>NC_000002.12:207489618-212489618 GCF_000001405.40 Homo sapiens | reverse complement strand
ATTTTTATTGGCTATCAGGAGCTAGCAAGATAAATATTTATATTTCTTACATTGGTGAATCTGATGACCCAAAGAAATACAAACATCCTCTACTTAATACTTCATTTCTGATTTAATGGACTTGAGGAAGAATATCCCATGGAATGTTGATTTTAATTTTATGGCTCAGAGTTTGGGGGAGTGAGCAATAGAAAAAGTACTATAAGGACTTGAGTCTTGGTTAGTAGGGTTCTCTTGGTAAGTATCCTTCTTATTTAGTGAGGTTTTCAGTCTTAATTGAGCCTCAAGCCTTGTTACCTATGAGGACAAGAAAACAACTAAGAATGAGCTGACAGGGAAAAGCAAGTCATGTTGGGTTGGTAATACGATATCTCTCACAAGTTCCATCTACTCTTAAGAAAATATCTTCATGGGCGTCAGATCTACGTGTGGGATATAAGGGGAAAAGGTCATTTGTGCCAATTCTGTCTTATTTTATACTTAACTATTATTTCTTTAAACTTCTGAATGCCTTTTCTTTTTTCTTTAGCTTTAGAGTACTTAATTTGGTTGAGCCATATGGGAATGTGCAATTAACTTTTATCAATTGCCTACCATACAAATGCAATTCTTCTTTGGGGGGTATCCTAAAAAAGGTAGGTGGCAGGTTCTGGCCATCTAGTATGAATGGCGAAGTGGGAAGTTATTCCCTCTCTCTCTTGCTGACCAGTTAGATCCTCCTGCTGAGACTTACAGTTTGAGGGAGTGACCACAAGTGGGAAGGTTCAGTAGAGATTTTTCAATATATTTGCAATGAACTCAAGAGTTTAGAGACAAGGTAGTGAACAGCTGTTCATGAGGTCATCGGTGTCCAGTGACCATTGTAACAATGGGGTAATTATAAGCAGAGAGTATTTCTGTGGTAGGAATTTTGGCCTTGCCTCCTTTGATTCTTGTTGGAGCTTGGTTGTCCAAACTTACTGTTCATTTGGTGAGATACCTGGTAACATTCTAATAAATTTTTTGTCTGCTCTAGTTAACCAGAGTCAGTCTCTATCCTTTGTAACCCAAATCTTGACTGCAATTTGCTAGGGTGCCTTGAAGTATAGTGTCTACAAATTATTTCTGTTAGATCACAAACTATTCCCAGGCATTAGTGAAGAAGTGACCTGATGAGATTTGTGATTTAGAAAATCATTTTTACAACAATATGGATGACAGACTATAGAGGTTAAAACTAGAGGGATGACTATAATTAAAAGGCCAATGTTATTTTTAGCATATTGTGAGAGAGAGGAGAGAGAGAGAGAGAGAGAGAGAGGAGCGAGGAAACTTAGAAAAAAGTGAAAATAGGTAGGAAAAAAAGCAAAGCAGAGTGGTATTCAAGAAGCCAAGAGAGGAGTTGCAAATGGTGATTCCAAGGGTCACACATTCAAAGGGATAAAAGGAGTGATTCAAAGGGTCAAATAGCACAGAGAGGGCAAGAAGAATTAAAATTAGATATCATCCATAGAGTTTGGAGGTTTGGAGGTTATCAGTGAACTGGGAGCAATTCAGGTGAAATGGTAGGGTTAGAAGCCACATTTCAGAGGACTGATTTGGAGGTGAGCAACTTGACAAAATGCAGGTTTCTTTTCCAATGAACTTGGCTGAGAAGAGAGCACGTGTTATTGAGCAAAGTGAAAAATATAGAAGCCACTAATTAGAGACACAAAGTATGAAAAATTTGAGGAAGCTAGAAAGTAAGTGGAGCAAAGTCATGATTTAAGACAAATACATCATAATTTTCTCATCAGTAAAACTGGAATAACAGTATCCACATCACAAGGTGTTTGTGAGGGTAGAGAATAAGGTAGGCTAAGCTCAATGCTTGATATTTTAGACTGCACTTTTTGGTGCTCCTCTTTTATGCTATTATAGCAAATAGACATTTGTTATTTCTCTCGTTCTTCCTTTAGCCTCTCATTTCTTTGATGGCATGTAATATGGATTATATTCACAGTTGCATTCCTAGTTCTTGGAATATTGCAGCCACATATAGGTTCTCAACACATATTTGCTGAATTTTTGAAAAAAAAAAAATACATGCCTAACCTGGTGGGAGTGTAGTAAATGTTAATTTCTTCTTCTCTATGGTGTTTCAGCTCTGTCTGTACAGAACTTTTAAAACTTAATTTTTTATTTGTCGCACCTCCCCATTTTAAGTTTCCTTCCTATAAAAAAAAGTTTGCTAAAGTGAATTTTATATTCTGATAAGGATTTTATAGTGTTTTTCCATGAGATAAGACATAAAAGTTATTTTTTATTTATTCTAAACTTCAGGGAAATAGAAATGGAAAAATTATTTGGTATATAAAATATTACAATATATAATTAGGACATGTTTTATATTACTGAATTACAGCTTTAAACAGAATATTTAATGCTGTTACAATCCCTTGCCTCCCTCTCCCCAGTCAAAGCAAACCAAGCATTTCTGGCACAGTACTGTCTTTGTAGAATCAGAGAATTAAAAGAAATATCAAGGGATTATCTAATTTAGTAGTTGCCTCTAGTCCCATGGTATTTTAAAAAAATGCTTAAGAGATATTTTTCACAAACATGAGTAACAGTAAAAACTTCAGAAGGAAAATGTGCAAAACCAAAGTGGGGAGTTATTTCTTCTCTGTACTATTGTTTTAAGATCTTGTGTTTTAAAATGTTATTTTTAATGTAGTAGTATAACTTAAAAAGCTAATTATAAATGTATTATAGCTTTCAAATAAAATAATAAAACCAACAGAATACAAAAGAACATCTGTACTTTAAAGCAGTAGTGTTATTTTTCTGAAACCAAATTGCTGCTTACAAGGTAACTGTGGTCCTGACTGCCATAGACCCAGAGTCTTTGGATTTCACTCTGTTGTGTTTATATTTCTGTCTGCCCTGAGATGATTTGTTTTCCCACCACTTTCTCCATCCAGAATACTACACGTTTTTTATAATGTGCTTTTCATCCCCATTTTACTTGGTTCAAATTTATCTGTGTCTTAGAACTCCTACTTTTCTTTTATCATTAATACATTACAGTAAAAAAGGTACTACCTAGAGGCAATGGGAGCTGCAAATTCAGTCCCTGAAGTGTGGGGCAAACTTAATTAAAACTTAGAGTAATGATGCTCTTATTGATTATTCAGATTACCCTGAACATGAAAACAAATACAACATTATTTATATTGAAAGCTCATAGATGCCACCTCCCCCGCCTTATTTGAGAAATATTGATTTTCCGTGCATTATGACCTAAAGATTTTACTTTAGTTCTAATAAAAATCTTGCATTATCTGCCTTTTTACTGTAGATATTTTAGCTTCATGTGTTTTATGTTTTTTGTAATCTCTCCTTCTCCCCTCATTTTACCAAGTTATACACCCCCAGTTACTTTAATGTCCTAAAAGTTTTGTTTTTATCTCTTTATTATTATTATACCTCCCTTATTTTGTTTGCATGTTTTTTCTTAATATTTGCTTTTGTTTTTCCACCATCCCCATAAAGTTTCCAAACTGCCAAACTGTTGTGCAATTTTAAGGGCCAATGTTTCTTGAGTAGTAGTGTGATTACTGGCATGTTCTTTCTCATCACGTATGCTGTGGCCTTAATGTTGAGGTCTCCCACCCCAATATATATGTTGAAAACCTAATTACTGAGGCAGTGGTATTAGGAGATGGGGCCTTTTGAGAGGTGGTTTGGTCATGAGCATGGAGTCCTCATGAATAGGATTAGTGCCTTTATAAAAGAGGCCCCAGAGAGGTACCTTGCACCTTTCAGCATGTGAGGACACAGTGAGAAGGTGCCACCTATGAGAAAGCCCTTACTGGACCCTAAATCTGCAGGTACCTTGACCTTGAACTTCCCGGCATACACAGCTCTGAGAAATAATAATAAACTTATTTGTTTGTAAACCACCCAGTTTATGGTATTTTTTGTTATAGCAGCCTGAGTGGGCTAAGATAATGTGCTGGTTAAATGAAAACTATTGTAGTTTTTATAATAAATTTTTTAACAGCACCATGTTATTACTGACATATTCATCTTGGAGTACTTGAAATTCCCCTGCTGTCTTCACTTACTGCTGCTGTCATCCAGTTTCTATATTCTCTTTCTGGTTAGTTCATTTTGACAATTCATTCCGTAGCTGTTCAGCCTTCTCTTGTGTGCTAAGAACAAAGGATACATTAGGCCTGACATTAATGCATGCCTTCCAAGAGTTTATATTTCTAGTTGAGAATGTAGAAAAGTAAAACAAATAACTTCAGTTTTGTGTTATTTATGAGAGAGGCATAGTGATACAGAGCAGGGACTGACTCTACCTTTGTAAAGAACTGGAAATAAAGATGGTCAGAGAGGGCTTCCCAGGGCAGGTGATGTGGAGCTAATAGAATTGAAGAAAAAAAACTATAGAAAATAGGGTATTTCCTGGAACTCCGGTGACTGGAATCAGAGTCTTGCTGCTACTAAAATGGTCGCTGTTTCTTTCTCTGCTGCTTTCTGGCTCATCTTTATTCTCTGGTTTTACTGTTAATGAAATCGTAATCTTATAGCTTTCCTGTTCCCTCTAGGATAAAATATTGGAGCAGGACCTCAGAAGGCTGTACTTTGATGATGTGCACATCTCTGGAATTGTCACTGTGGCCAGAGAAAGGGAGCACTATGTGGTTATTTGGTCCAACGAGTCATGTTCTAAGAGTTGTGGGTGGAAGGAGCCCTGGGAAAAGGCAGGGGCCACCACAACATTCCAGGCAGCAGGGGCAGCATGTGAAAGAAATGAAGTCCAGGAGGGGTGAAAATGAAGTTTTAGAAACAGTAAATGGTTTAGTGTTACCAGAATACTTGAGGCGTGTGGGTCGTGTGAGTAGGAAGGAGACAGAGATAAAGATGGAAAGGGTGAGGTAGGCCTAACCTTAAAAAGCCTTTGAAGCAATGCCAAGGCAGTTTTCTTTTATTTTCCAGTCAAAGGAGACACTGAGGTTTTTGTTTGTTTGTTTTAGTCAAATAACTTTTATTATGTACAACACTATTTTAAAAACCTTTTTACCTTATTAAAAATGATTTTCTCTGTGGAATCAGAAAAGAGAATTTGAGTAGCTGATTTGAAAAATTAAGATAGCAACAAAAGATGCATTCCTTTCATTTAAAGAGTAACCTCAAAATATTGATGCTTTCTGACAATCTTATATGTTCACCTTACAATAAATGTTCTATTTTTTCTAGATTCTATTATATATGTGAACGGGTAACTCATAAAAAGATTAGAGAAAATACAAGCAACTTGGTTCATGCAAGGAGAGGAAGTAACTACTATCCACAAGCAAATCTTACTTTGAGTTTAGGGAAGACTGAACTTTAGATTACGTTCTATTATTGTCCCTTCACTTAGTTAAATGAAACAAGTATTTTATAGAAGGTTTCAAGTGATGGTCCAGAAGTCACAACTGGGATTTAGAACACTGAGTTTTTATTTTTAGCTTTTTTTTCATTGAAATACAGCATATGTATAGAAAAATGTAAAAGAACATTAATACCTCTCCAGAAGCAACTGAAAAGTGTTTAAAGAACATGATGACAGGTCAGGCGCGGTGGCTCATGCCTGTAATCCTAACACTTTGGGAGGCCGAGGTGGGCGGATCACGAGGTCAGGAGATGGAGACCATGCTGGCTAACACGGTGAAACTCCGTCTCTATTAAAAATTAAAAAAATTAGAGGGGCGTGGTTGCAGGCGCTTGTAGTCCCAGCTACTCGGGAGGCTGAGGCAGGAGAATGGCGTGAACCCTGAAGGCGGAGCTTGCAGTGAGCTGAGATCGCGCCACTGCACTCCAGCCTGGGCAATAGAGCAAGACTCAGTCTCAAAAAAAAGACCATGATGACAAGATTAGATTCTATGCTTTTGAAATTAATAGCAGATTTAGAAAGAGTCAATGGGTGAGGCTTCTTGAAAGAGTTCCAGAAGGAGTTAAAGGCCTAAATCAAGATATTCTCTTTAGACAAAGAGA
This sequence comes from Homo sapiens, assembly GCF_000001405.40. Taxonomy (NCBI): domain Eukaryota; kingdom Metazoa; phylum Chordata; class Mammalia; order Primates; family Hominidae; genus Homo; species Homo sapiens. Next base: position 212,483,609 of record NC_000002.12, on the reverse strand, counting down.
AGAGAAAACATTTAGTTTCTGAACTATATAGATACTTTCTATGGAGAAATGTGGAGCATTGGCTATTGGGTCTGAAATATTTTAGTTAAGAACTTCATTTACTAGGTACAAATACGTAAGAAATTTAGAAAGCGTCCTTAGCACTTATGAGGTTTTTAAAAACTTAATGTCAAAAAAGTCTAACATTAGGAAAAGACACTCCAGATAACTTTTCTTTAGATAAAAAGAAGTATTGTAAAAAGGGAAATTCAGTGAGAATTACCTCTGATTGATGTGGATTCACCTCTAAAATGTAATCAACAATACTTATGAATCCTGAATGCTCTTTACTTAATTATCTGTTTAATTTTCCTCCTGCAAAAATTATGAGCACTGAGAGCATCACGTCAGTCATCTGTTCCAGTGAATTTCACAGGAAGACAGGGATAGAAGCTCAGCAGATGGTACGACCTTTGCTTTGAGAGTTGAGTGGGTTAAGTGGTCACTCTGTGGGTACCTGTCTTTTTGTTTTAAGCTCACTGAGAGTAGGGAAATGATTGGCCTCTCTGGCCATTCATCCTGTTCTATCTATCTGCTCACAAGGCAGAACTATATGGTGGCAAGAATGCTAGGCTGGGAAACAGAAGGTGCTTATTCTAGTACCTATCTAATCCTAATCAAATTTTTAAGTTGTCAAAAAATAACAAGGGAGTGGGCACAGTGGTTCACGCCTGTAGTCCCAGCACTTTGGGAGGCTGAGGCGGGCAGATCACTAGGTCAGGAGATCGAGGCCATCCTGGCCAACATGGTGAAACCCTATTTCTATTAAAATACAAAAAAAGAAAAATTTGCCGGGCATGGTGACCCATGCCTATAGTCCCAGCTACTCAAGAGGCTGAGGCAGGGGAATCCCTTGAACCCAGGAGATAGAGGTTGCAGTGAGCTGAGATAGCACCACTGCACTCCAGCCTGGCAACAGAGCAAGTCTTCGTCTCAGAAAACAAACAAACAAACAAAGAAGTTGAGTTAAATATTTTACTTCCTTCTAACTACAAGTATCTTGTTAAATTTCTCCTAAGGTTTATTTACCTTGCATAATCCCCAAAGTGTTACTAAACCTTTTGGAGTCTCAGGTTTTCATTTGTAAAATAATAAAATTCATCTCAGGATGTTGGCAAGAATCAAATGAGATTAAAGATTTTAAAATAATTCTAAAATACTATCCAAATTGTGGAAGTTATGGCTGATTGATATACCACATTTCCTCTTATTTCAAACCCTTATTCATATTCTCTCAGTAGCTGAAGAAGTATTCTATTTCCTAAGAAAACTCAGTTGTGGATTTATTTCTGCAGACTTTAACACATTCAATCAGCGGCATGGTGGGAGTTTTTGTTGGTTTGTTTTTGATTTGGGTTTTTAAATTTAGCTCAGCCAGCATTCGATCATTTGCAAGTGAAGCACATCTTATTTACCAACATGCTTATGAATTGAAAGTCTGTAGTGTGGTCAGTGTCAACACAGTTTGAAATTTACTCTAAATGTTCAAAGAAATGTACCTAAACTGAAGAGTAAATCTCCAGACTGTTTATAGAGAAGTGGGATGTGTGCCATTGCCTTATTAACTTAGGTTTACATTTTGGGTGCACAAGACTCAATTGCTGCTACCATTACCAGGCCTGCTGTATAGAGAAGACTTAAAAGCAATAACTCTCTAAATAGCTAAGTGTAATTTGCTGGTGCTGAACTCTTTTAAACATGCAATATGTCAATCTGGAAATATATGGATGAAAATGTAATTTTTTCAGCTTTCTTTAAATACTTTACAGCTCTGCAACGGTTTGCAGGTATTGTTTGTGGGTACTTCATCTTTGAGAAACATTGCTATGAATACTTTTTTGTGGAATGCTGCTGAAGACATTTTCCAAACTAGATGAGAAGAAAATTAGTATTTGTTGTGCTTCTTCTGGGTGTCAGGCATTATCTCCTTTAATCTTACTGCAGCTTTGCAAATATATTGTTGTTTTAGCGTTGAAAAGATTGGAGCTCAAGGGGTACATTTCCCATTGGTCACATACTTGGTATTAGAGAAATTGGAATTTGATTCAAGGGTCAGTGACTTCTTTTAGAGCTTCTCATTTGTTTTATTTGGCAGAGAAAGAAAGAAATGTTCTACTAGAATCTCTTTATGCTAGGATTAAAAAGTACCCCTCTTTGTGCTTTCTGTTTAGAATTTATCCTTTGGTATAAAATTTGCATAGAGTGATTTTTTAAATAAAATAATGAGCAAATTGTACCTTTGGAAGATGTTTAACATACTAATGCATTAAAAGCTGCTTTCAAAAAGCATTCATATATATGGGTATACAAAGTCATGTATGTGTGTGTATGAGATATATATCTATAACTTAAAGATGTATATATAACTTACATATATAACATATATGATATAATTTGTTGTATGTAATTTACAGATATATTCTATAACATAAATGTGATATAAAGAGATATATAATACAATACCTATAACTCACATGTGTATTTATATGTATATATGTGTTGTATGCACACATGTACACTTAATCCAACATTAGTCAAGGTTTTAGAATAGATGTTTAAAGTGACTTTACATCAGCATACTAAATTTTGTTCAAAATGACAAAATTTTAAAGGCTTTAAAATTGAGAGGGCAATTATGTTTATGTAAATTAAAAAGCTAATTCAGGAAACTTGTCTACAAACATATATTCCTTCCAGCAAATAGCACATTGTTATTAGCTGCTAAGTGCATAATCATAAGATTAGTAGTGTGAAATCATTTCCTTTTAAAAGCCTTCAAATAAACTTAAATACATAATCAAATATAGCAATGAAACTACCAACAACATAATTTTGAGATACTCAAGGCATATGCCATAACTGTACAGTGTGTCAATGTTGCCAACAGCACATATGGCTTGCTTGTTTGCCTTGCTGCGGTGTCTCCCTGCTATTGGCACAAGCAACAGCACACTACAATTCAATTCACAGACATGATACTTACATGCTGCATGGCACACATTATATAAGGAGGCACTATCTTTGAATGGCTGGGATAAGAATAGAGTAGCTCTTTAGTTCTTATTTCAAGACTCAAGGAAAATACTATCAAGCTATCCTTAGAAGTTTTATATTTGTTTCTTTAAACAGTATCCAAAATCTCCATCGTGGCCGAGAAAGCCTTGCATCCATAATCTGGTGCCTTCTTATCTTTCTTTTGCTCCTCTTTCCTGTGCTACAGCCACACTGGCCTCTTTTTGGTTTTTTCAATGTGCCAAGCTTTTTACATACTGTTTCTTTCCAGTAAAGTGTACTTGATAGTATACATATATTAATAAGGTCCAATTTCACAAGTAACAGGAGTCTTTGTTTTACATAGATGTTCAATGAAATGTCATATTTTATTGAATAGATAAAATATTTTTTATAAATTGTTATCAGGTATTTTAAGTACCATCTTCCTTTGAGGTTGTTCACTTGCCTAGAGACAGAGTTGAAAATAAGTTCTTCATCTAAGTAATAATTAATTCCCACAAGAGTTAAAAGTGAGAATTTAATGGTGCTTTAATTGAGAAGTTCAAATATGAAGAAATACGTATAGGACTTTTTTTTGTTTGTCAACATAACAGAAAAAAGTAGAATTATCATAAATGCAGGAATGTACATTGGAGATTTTCTTTGTGAGGCCATGACCTACCATTAGGCAGCAATCATCATGAAGTCCTCTGTTAAAATGACATTCACTTTCATCAGAACCTCTCTGTGTGCTACCTCTTTCAATTCTAGTCTCTTGCCAGTTTTAGAGCTAATGGTTTCCACCAAACATATATCTCAGATAAATTTTAAATGCATTTTCTATCATCAGCACACAGCTTTGTTGTAATGTTACATGTAGGGCAACCAGACAGGCAGAATTACGGTGATTGTGAGTGGATATTTTGGTTCTAGTTCAGATGCTGTTACTTCCTAATATTGTGAGCTGCACACAAATTTTAATCATTAAAGTAGGGATGTTAATAGAACCTTCATACTAAGAGAGAGAGAGGAATTTAATGAGTTAATGACTTTCAAGCGTAGTGCTCGGCGCACAGTAAGTACTCAATATTGGGTGCTCTTGTGTTTATAAAAAGTTGCTTTTCTTAAATTGCAAATTAAGAAGTCCTCTTGGGGGTACAAGGTACTATGTTTCAGAGCATGGTTTAATTGGTATCCTTCATGGTTTACAAGTATAGGATGCCCTGGTCATAGCCTGGGTGGCTATGAGAAAGAGAAAGAGAAAGAGAGAGAAAGAGGTAGCTCTAAGAGATCTATAAGGAATTGGGGGCTTTAAAGAGGCAATCAGGGGAGATAAAGGGAGTCTGTCAACATGGCAGGAAGATGGGGCTTAAGTAGAGAAGATAATGAATAGAAGTTCCTTTATGATAAGAATGACTGAGAAATTTTAAGAATAGGGATGCCTGGCATTGAAGTTATTGGCTGTAATGTAACAATCATTCTGGTTCCAGATTTTAATAGAGTCAGCCATACAAACATCCCTAAATATATGACACTTTGTGGAATGAAGGGCTTGGCATAGTGCCCAGTGGGGCAATAATGATACAACAAAAGCATAGCAATGCTGTAAGTGAAATTTAGGGTGCAGTTAGAGAATGTAGGAAAAGTGGGAACCCAAAGCCAGAGCTGAAGAAGACAAGCTAAATCATCATTCCTGCCCACAAACTCATCTTTGGAGATTTGGGGAGAGATGCAGAGTCTCTGACAATATTTGAGATGAAGGTATGTCAGCCAGTTTTTACTTATCTTTTGAGAAACTGGTGACCTTATCCAGTTGGAGGTCTTGGTGGCATTTAGGTTATGATATTATTAATAAGAGAGACAGTGGTCTCTGGAAAATTCAAAGATAGGGCATCCAGAATGGTCAGGCCCATTGGAACTGATATTTATAGGCTTCCTGGCATCAGGGACCTGGAACTTTCAGGACAATGGGAACCTAAAGCTTTCAGAAATAGGAATTGTTCTTTCCCTTTCCTCATCTCTCTCTCTGTCTCAGAATGTTTCTGCTTATTTCTGTGCATCTGTTCTAGACTTCTATCACTGAATACTCTCGCTCACTTATATTTTATATTTATTCATAACTTTTGCTTGTGCTTACCTATGAAACTCTCAATGCATATTTTCAACTTTCTTTGGGATTTCGTAGTTCAAATAGCTGAAAGAGAATCTAGTTGTACTAATTCACCTTTCCAAGCCAGGCCTGGGAAAGGCTGTCCTTGAGTCTGAATTCTCCCCGTTATAAATGACTGAGGACAGACTGGTACCAGAAAACATGCCTGGTACAAGCTCTGTAATTAATCTCATACTTTCAAATGTTAATTTTTTTCTTGCTAAATCTATTTAGGTAAATTAGACTTTCTGAAATTGGGGCACATTTACTTGTGTTTGGACAAAATTTTTCTGGCCCATAGAATATTACAGAATAATGAACTTGAATGAGTTGAACAGAACTCAAGTTAGTTGATTGGGTTCTTGCATTCTCTTTGGATGTTACTGGCCATGGTCAAAGCTTTCTAATAAAGATTATTCTTGTAAAGACAAAATGAATGACACAGCCCAATAAGATTATTTCTAGGATGAAGGCTAAAAATAAGCAGGTAAACATCTGAACACTTCCCTGTTCTTTCTTTTCACACATTGCAAGAGAGATGCCAGAGAATCATTATCTGTTTCCTGTCCTCAAAACAGAGCCCACATATTGAATAACTGAGTGACAAGCAATCTGGCCTATCCATATGACCATATTGTTTTCATCCCCTAATTAGCCTAGTCCTCACTGTGCTGATGAGGAAACAGATGCATGAAGCAGCAAATTACCTTCATCTCGCCTCTGAACAAAAAAAGACACAGCATTTAATTGTCTCATTTCAACTTGAGCGATTCAAAAGCAATAAAGTGGAAATATTCAAGAAGGGAACATTGCTTTTAAAAACATGTTTTCTTATCATTTAAAAGTCACCAGCAAATACAGATTTGAATTATAGGAATTTGGCAACTTTAGTTGGAAATGAATACTTCTTATTAAAAGACTTACAGCAAGTTGGTTCCTTAATTGACATGTGGATAAATACAGATAAATGTAAAGTGTTTGTGGTCCTGAGGGTGTACTGCACATTTATCGTCCATGTCTACTTTTCAGTCAGATTAATTGTAACGGTTCCTTTCGCATTCCTTATCTGATTACATTGGAGGTGTAATTTTGCCTGGCTATCAAAGTGGCAGAAGTATAGGAAGAAAAACGTGCCAGAAAGTAGCTAATGAGAACCAGTAAAACTGCCTGACAGACACAGACACTCTTTAATCTTTGAGTTTTGCCTTCCAGCTAGACCTTTGTACTACTTTGTCATTTTTATTTCTATTTCTGTGATTTCTAGACCCTAATGAAGTTTTGAGTAGTTATTATTGTTCAGATTTATTGGATACTCACAAGTTGGCAAACATTATGCTAAGTGTTTCACATAGATCATTTCATTTAATCTTTTTAATTACACTATGATGTGGGTACCATTACTATACCATTTTATAGATGAGGAAACTGACGCTTAGGCAGTTAGAATGTGGAAGAATCAATGTTCCAAAGGCCATTATGAAAAGAACAGAAGCTAAAAATAGTTAATAAGATCTTCATAATTCTATATAGACTGCTAGAGTGGTATTGTCTTTTGGTTTTGCTTCGTGATGATGCAAGAGTTATTGTATGCTCAAGTGGCTGTCTTGAGGGTATATACTTAAAAATAATGTTTGAAGCCCAGTTTGATATAGGAAAATATTTTTATGGATCCCAGTTGCATAGTTATAAAACTTTTTAATTTGTGTTAATGTATATATGAGGAAAGTAGTATTTACTCTTCATAAAGTTTTGTTTGGTACCTTTGGCATTAGTTCCCTTAAATTCTCATCTGCTCAATAGCGTCTTCAGGGAAAAACTGAGACATACAATCTAAACAAAGACACTACCTAATAATTTTTAGAAATCTTCAGAAATACCTAAAATAGTTGCAGTTTCATTCAATGCAATATGAAGTACCATGAATCAGTATAACCAACATAAACCATTATATTGAAGAGGGTAGAGAGAATAATATTTTGACATCAGGATATGTACATTTTTGAGTTTTTTAAAATTTCTATGCCGTGTGTTTACCTAATACTGCTATGCACATTAATTTGACAAAATGTTTTTTGACACCTACTATCTGCTAGGTATACTAGTGATAGAATAGCAAGCCAAGTAGACATAATTCCTAACTTAAAGTTTTTGCTCTAGTGAGGGAGACAAACTTTATTAAGTTATTAAATTTATAAATTACAAAGTCAGCTAAATGTTAAAAAGAGAAAATGCAATGAAAGTCATTAAAGGTGTGTGTGTGTGTGTGTGTGTGTGACAGAGAGAGAGAGAGAGAGTATGTATGTGTGTTTGGTGGGGATGTGGCATGTTTTAATTTATGGGGCTAAGTAACTTTTCCAGGCATCACTGAGGAAGTAATATTTAAGCTGAAATATGGAGGATATAGGCAAAGAATAATTGCTATGGGTACACAGTCTGATTTGTATTTCAAAAGATCCCTCTTGCTGTATTGTGGGGAAAGGACTGGGGGAAGGCAAGAGAGTCCATTACAATAATATAGTTCAGAGATGAAAGTGATTGGACTGAGTAAGGGTAAAGAAGGGACTAGGGAGAAGTGGATAGATACCAAAACTGTTTAGGATATAGAATTGGTAATACAATTATTATTATTATTTTCTTTTAAATAAAAAATAAAACCCCAATAACTTTTGTTCTAATTCATAAGACTTAATAGCAGAGTTATATTATTTTTTCATCATGTTATTCATTCATACAATAACACATAATTGTGTGTTTTTTGCATGTCACTAGCTTAGTTGTGAAATAATTCCTACTTCTTCCCCTCATAGAATGAAAGAGATTCATGAGTAGGTAATAATAGCATATTCTTATAATTGAAATGATAGAATTATTATGTGAGTGCTTAACCTAGCTTAATTATGCAGAGAAGGCTTGCTGGAGGAGGTGGCACCAGAAATGTGTATTTGAGGATTTGATCAGCAAATGGAACATTCTCAGCAGAGGGAAAATGAACACAAAGATAGGGAAGTGAGAAATTTAATGGCATGATTAGAGGCTAACACATATTTTACAGAGGATGAAGGACATGGGAGACGGGACTGGCTCTGTAATTTGCAGGGCCTCGTGCAAGAAAATGCAGAGCTTCTTGTTAAGAAGTGATTCATGATGACTGCAGAGCAGAGAACAACTGAGAGCACAGAGAAGCACTGGACCCTTCCAAGCAAGGGACTCTGTGTGACTGCACAGGTTGCCTGTCTATAAAGCTGGCATAGCTAGAGGTGCTAGTAGTAAGTTGGAGATGTAGACTATGAAGAAAGAAGAATTGAGATTTGTAAGCTTTCTACTTGAGGGCTTAGGTGATATTGACGCAACCAACAGAAATAGAGGCTATAAGATGGAGAATGGTCCCATTGTGGTGGCTCAAACCTGTGATTCCAGCAGTTTGGGAAAGCCTAAGCGGGAGGACCTTTTAAGGCCAGGAGTTTGAGACCAATAGCTGGGCATGGAGGTGTGAGCCAGTGGTCCCTGCTACTCTGGAGGCTGAGCTGCTAGGAATCCTTGAGCCCATCAGGAGGTTGAAGGACAATAGAGCAAGACCTTGTCTTGACAAAAAAAAAAAAAAAAAAGAATGGCCGGGTGTCAGGAAATGGTGATTAGTTTATGTTTTGGCAAGTTTATTTTAAGATATCTCTGGAGTATTCTATTGGAAATGCCTACCCAACATAAGAACTTGACTGTGTTAGGAGAGACTAAGGCTAGAGAGTCTTGTGGATGTGGAAATTATAAAGTAGATGAGTGGGTCAAAAAGACGGAGAGGAGGAGCAAGACAAGGACAAAACCTTCAGGAACCTCAAGACTCTCAGAAAGTTTATTCATAGAAGCCTTTAATACAGAATACAGGTCTCCAAAGCCCATGCCCCCCTTGAAGCTTGGGACAAGTTGTTTCTGTGCCACGTTATTTTTTTGGCTTCTGAGACATACTAATACCATACCATGCTGGCCATTTCAGTAATACTAACATCAGTTAAAGCTTTTCTCTGCCAACACAATATGAAGTTAATACCAGTGTGAGACAGGCACAGTCAGTGTCACTTCAGTAACCAGAAAATAGCTACTTTGAACCTTATTACTCGTTTATGCCTCCTATATTAAAATGTTTCAATTAAACAATCATTTACTGGACCCCTATTTGCAAAGTACCATATTTGTGACATCACTGAGCAAATACTAAAAAAAAAAAAATCACTATTTTGCCTGTATTTTTTGAGTCATATTGGTCCATTAATTGGCTTCTGTATCATCTCAAATTTACTATTTTCTTTATTTGGGACAATCAAGTGGAAATAGTGTCATCTACAAAATAACTGAAAAAAGTGTTCGTTATCTATTTTATGATTTTCAAACTTTAATATTGTATTTCACTATCAAAGTATAATTTTAAGGAATTTTCTACAATTGGTTGAATTTTGTTAGCTATTATGAAGTACTTGTCAAAGCCACCTTTTTTCCTATTCAGGATTAATATGGATATTAAAACATATAATGGTTAAATTTCATGTTGTCATGAAAGGTTATTTTCATAATATAGCTCTGCATAGATTTTGATGGATGCTATTTGGTTAATTCAAAACTTTACCATAAACTCATATTAGATATCTTATGAACTCTGAGAAAAAGAAAATATGAAATAAATGAAGATTCCAATATCAGTAAGCTGTAGTTTTATCCATATACCAAAATTAATAAGATAGTTTTATTCCAAAGTTATAAAAAATGGATAATTATTTAAGGTAACCAGTAAATACTGATCTCATTACCATATGCATTGTTGTTAAAGTATACTCTATGGTTAGTAACATTTGAAAAAGAAAATTAAAAATTGAATCACAGTGTTGTTATGTAGTATGATATACAAAGCTACTTACTATGCTATGGGAAAAATCTATTTCATGTTTTTCTGTTTTCTTCATTTAATTGGCACTTTTTTCCTAGAATCATTGCCCAGATCTTATGATGTAAAACAAATTTTCACTTTGTCAAAATGCAGTTAGGGATGTATTATGAACTGCTGCCATGTTTTGGAAAATGGCAAGTGTGGAAACCTCTTTTTATGTGCCAGCTTTGACAGAAAGGATAAAGACAACAGTAGTCATCTTATTTTCCCATTGCAGTGATTATCAATATATTCAGTAAGAATAATTCACACCCCCGAGCCTGTCAGAAAGATGAAATGATTTTAACTACAGAATAATAATAAACCATATTCAAAATTAATTAGCAATGTTAATGCTTATTAACAATAATATATATAAAATCAAAACAAAAATGAACATCATCAGAATTGACAGGTCTCCATTTTTTCTCTCTACCTGGTTTATTAAGACAGTATACATTTTATTCTATATTCAACTTTCTTAAACAGACCTTTGTGTTTTTTCATACTAAATTAGCATGAACAGCAGCTTAATGAAGTAAGAAGAATTTGCAACAATTGTTTGGGGGATAGGAATCACTTTTTATTTCAATAAAAGCTAGATGCATAATATACTTTTAATATACAAGTTAATATACGTTAACATTATTGGCTTATTCTCATTCATCATATAGCTCAGTATTACTGAAAGTATGGACCACAGATTGGTGCTGCTCTTCTATGATATAAGTACTAAAATTGAGACTATTTAGGAAATTTTATATAAGTTTGACATTGTTATAACATGCAAACACATGACATTTTTTCTAGTAATTTATTTTTACTATATTTAAAAAGTGTTGTAGAGTAGCAGTTTCAAACTAAAACAAACTATTCCTTTACGTGTAGATAGTTTGAGAAGTACCGCTCTTTCCAATTATATACTTTCTACCTCTCTGCATTTGCCTTCATTAAGAATTACTTAAGGTAGGTTTTTTTTTTAATATGGAACTCAAAACATCTCAAATTGCTTAATAACTTTTTATTATCTGTCTATTTGTAAGGAGTATGAGAAGTCAGGAAGCAATAGCAAAAAAGAAAAGAAAGGCTTAAGAGCCACGTACATCTGGATTCAAATAAGCTATATTACTTTCTAGCTGTGCAATTGGGGGCAATTTATTTACATTTCTTGAGCCTCTATTTCCCTAATTGTAAATGGAGATAATAACGTCTATGGTAAAAGGTTGTTGTGCCAATATATTTTAGGTTTCAGTGCATTTTAGCGTCCTCTCTCTCCTGGGTCTCTTCCTTTTAGTAGGAAAGTTGAATAATAAAGAATATTTATAGATACACATTTTATAATGTACTATACTCATTTATTGAACAAACCACAATTGAGAAGCATGAACACTATTAATTTATGTTGAACATATTTGATTGATGACGTGTTGGATTTTGCATGATTAAATATTTAATAAGTTACAACTAGTTATAAAATGATAGTTGATTTACAAATGGATTTCCTAATTTTTATTACAGAAAATAGATGTTACTTACTTAAGTATGAGAGAGTTTCAAGTACTTGTGACATTGCCCCTAATTTGAGTCAGAGGAGGTGACAAACAACAGGTGTTAAAACCTTTCATTTTCTTGTTAACTGACTGGATAATTTGGTAAATATAATCTAGATTTGCTTTTGGCTGTCATCAAAACAGAAAACAATTATTATTAAATATACTATAGCAGTGTTATTAGCATTAACAAATTACCTGCAAAATAATTTACATATGCAAAATGTAACTTTGAATCTTCTTTATGATTTTTGTTCCAGAACTAATAACAACAGCAATAAGTGCAAAAAGGAATAGATTATTTTTAGAAAGTTGTGCGTTTTCATTTATATTATAGTAACAGATTTTAAAAACAATCTGGTCTTATCCACTAAAATAAGCTAGGTTGTTTCTTTGCACAGATGGATAAGAAAGGACTGCTCTAGAAAGTAAAATTGAAGGCATTGGATAGATCATACTTAATTTTCAATGTTGCAGAGATCTCGATTTATTGGTTGTAGTAATCATAGTAATAGCAATTGCAAGAATATTTTGGACAATTTCTTAATTATAGTAGATTATTGTATTTCTGTATTAATGGATTTCTATTTGTCTAGTTGGCAGGGATATTTTAAGATTAAAGGCTAAAGACTCTGCAAAGAGTCTCTTTCTTAGAAGTTTGTTGATGAACATAGACAATGAGCACAATACTATTTAAGTAATAAAATATTTCTAAAAACCAGTTAGAACATTTCTCCAATATGAAATGGATTGTAAGATATTAATTTTGATTCAAGAATGAAGGTTACTGTTACAGACAAAGGCACCACTTCAATCATATTTTCTTTGTGAAATATGTCTCTAGCCAAAACATTGGGTTGAAGGCAAAGTAGTTGCCCTCATTCTCTCTCATGTTTGAGTTATGTTAATCATAGCAAAGATTCACATGAATGTTGTTATTCTTGTCTAGGTCCTGTGTAGTATTTTCTTGTCTTTCCATACTTTATAAAGCATCTAGGTTAGTTGTAGGAAAGAGTATTAGTTTGATCTATTACACTATTTTACTTATAAATAGTAATGTAATTTACATGTTAATTGATAGCTTTTATTGGTATCTGCTTCTTTTTAAAGAAATGTTCCTTGAATTAAATTTAGGAAAAGACCACAATAAAAAAGAAATACATTGAGATAATCCATAATCTCTTCTTTTAGATTGTTAGCCCTTTAGTGTATATTCCCCCAAAGGGTTGAAGTTACCCAGCTAATAACGGGCAAAGACATTTCGGGACCTCAGAAATAACTGAAACAGGAACTAGAAAATCCAGAAACCACTCTTCTTCCTTCTCATCTATCTATGCTTTTCACCATGTGTTAGTGTTATTCTCACAGATTAACTCTACAAAGTTGGACAATAGCTGCCAACATCTTCCAGTCTCATATCTTCTTAACTTTGCCATTCAAAGAATAAGGTTCTCTTCTTCCCTTAATTCCAATTTGGAAAACCTCAGAGAAGGTCTCTGATTGGCCCAGGTCTCATTGTAAAACTGTATGTGTGGCTGGGAGGAGTTGGTCCTATGATAGGCAATCCTTATTTTAATCACGTAGTTGGAGTAAGCAGAAAATAGGTTCCTCAAATAAGGCACGTATTTTTTTTTCACCTCAAAGCTAATGATGATAGGCCAGTTACTGGGTGAAGAAGCACAGAGAGGCTGGCACTATTTTCCAGATAGATGTGTTGTAAGAACATAATCTTTACTTTATTTGAAGCAGTATGAGGGCTTACAGCTAATTATATCTTGGTTGGGTATGGGTGACAACAAATAATGAATTAGCAGTCTTTGCCTTTATTCACCAGAAATTTATAATCTACTTGTAGGTGTATAACAGACAAACCGGACATTTAAAAAAAATATATTGTGAACTTATGTGATATTGAAGACTGTATGTACAATAGAATTTTCAGAGAATTTCAGGATTACTATGTGCTATAGTCTTCTGAAGGTTTTGAAAAGTTCAGTTTGACTTAACTTAGAATAATACAGTATTAATAATTAGAGCTAAAGAGCTAAAGATAACTGATGTTCCATCCGAAAAGAGGAGCATAGGGAATATTTTAGAAACAGGAATAGGTGCAGGATGTGCCAAAAACCATGAGACTGGTCCATTGTAGTGTTGGAAATTGTTGTGGAAAAAAAGATTAAGTATGCATGATCACACTAGAATTTTGGAAGGCATTGAAAAATCTGAATGTGTGCATATTGTTAAAAAAATATACTGTTTGGTCTCAAATTTGAGGTAGTACTCTCCAAAAAATTAAAAAACAGTAATATCAGTAATATCATGAATAGCTGTAAGAGATTTACCTGTGCAGTTATTGAGGAAATAAGAGAATTCAAAAAGCTTTTTATGGTGCTAAGCATACTGTTGGAACGCAAGACATAATATCTTTTTAGAACAGCCACTAAAAAGTGACAATCACATTTCTCTGAACTAGCAATGACATTCAAAGAGTTCCAGTAATATATATGTAGCAGATGCATCATTATCAGGACATAGACTGAAAAGGAAGTTTACAGTTAGTGTAGAAATATAAATCCATTTAAATTTGTCCTAAGTAGTTCTAAGTGCCTAATCTTATAAAACTATGTTTTTGAAAGAGACATTCAAATGTAGAAATTTCATAATGGTTTCATTATGTGAGAAAACTTTGAAGTATTTTTGGCCCTAAACATTTAAAAGATTATTTTATGTTATGTCTATAAATACTGAAAGGATACTATTTTTAGCAATCAGATTATTCAGATGTTTAGTAGTTGAAAAATACCATCACTGTATTATATGTAGATTTTGAAAATCACTTCTTTTTAGTGAGTTAAATGATATAAAGAAAGAAATCTATTTCTTGGATATTTGATTTCTTTTGATTCACCTTTTGAAATATTAAATATTGAAACACAGTTAACATTTTAGAAAAATAAGATTTGATTGATCCCCATAGCAGTCTACAAATCAACAATGGCCTACTGATACAGAGAGAAGATAATTTTTTTCCTAATAAGGGAACAATTTGTAATCATTGAATAATTGTATTTGTAAATTGGTAATGTGGCAGATAACTTATAAAGGAAATATATCCTGTCCTGTTCAAATGGTTGTGTTGAATTTTGAATTCTGCTGGATGTTTATAATTCTCCTTTGAACTGACAGTTTTCAGTCTTGCCCACAAAAAAAGTACGGTTCTCCTAGGATATACTCCCAGCATTGGTTCTACCACTCTCGTGAAATACCAAAATGTGCATATACCAGGTCCTGAAGTCAGCCTTGAGAAACTGAGTGTATTAGTCTGTTTTCACACTGCTGATAAAGATATACCTGAGACGGGACAATTTACAAAATAAAGAAGTTTATTGGACTTACAGTTCCACATGGCTGGGGAGGCCTCACAATCATGGTGGAAAGCAAGGAGGGGCAAGTCATATTTTATGTGGATGGCGGCAGGCTAAGAGAGAGCTTGTGCAGAGAAACTCCCATTTTTAAAACCATCAGATTGTGTGAGACCCATTTGCTGTTACAAGAACAGCTCACCCCATGATTCAATCATCTTCCACCGGGTCCCTCCCACAGTGCATGGGAATTATGGGAGGTACAAAATGAGATTTGGGTGGGGACACAGAGCCAAACCATATCATTCCACCCCTGGCCCCTCCCAAATCTCATGTCCTCACATTTCAAAACCATTCATGTTTTCCCAACAGTCCCCCAAAGCCTTAACTCGTTTCAGCCTTAACTCAAAAGTTCACAGTCCAACGTCTCACCTGAGACAAGGCAAGTACCTTCTGCCTATGAGCCTGTAAAATCAAAAGCAAGTTAGTCACTTCCTAGATACAATGGGGGTACAGGAATTGGGTAAATACAGCCATCCCAAATGGGAGAAATTGGCCAAAACAAAGGGGCTACAGGACCCAGGCATATCCAGAATCCAGCAGGGCAGTCAAATCTTACAGCTTTAAAATGATCTCCTTTGACTCCATGTCTCACATCCAGGTCATGCTGATGCAAGAGGTAGATTCCAATGGTCTTGAACAGCTCTGCCCTTATGGCTTTGCAGGATACAGCCTCCTTCCAGCTGCTTTCATGGGCGGGTGTTGAGCATCTGCAGTTTTTCCAGGTGCACAGTGCAAGCTGTCAGCAGATCTACCATTCTGGGGTCTGGAGGACGGTGGCCCTCTTCTCACAGCTCCACTAGGTGGTGCCCCAGTAGGAACTGTGTGTGGAGGATTCCACCCCACATTTCCCTTCTGCATTGCCCTAGCAGAGGTTCTCCATGAGCATCCCACCTCTACAGCAAACTTCTGCCTGGGCATCCAGGCATTTCCATACATCTTCTGAAATCTAGGCAGAGGTTCCCCAATCTCAATTCTTGACTTATGTGCACTGGCGGGCTCAACATCACATGGAAGCTGCCAAGGCCTAAGGCTTGCACCCTCTGAAGTCACAGCCTGAGCTCTATGTTGGCCCTTCAGCCACATCTGGAACAGCTGAAAGGGGCCAACCTGGGATGCAGGGCACCAAATCTCTAGGCTGTACACAGCATAGGGACTCTGGGCCTGGCCCATGAAACCACTTTTTCCTCTCAAGCCTCTGGGCCTGTGATGGAAGGGGCTGCTGCAGAGGTCTCTGACTTGCACTGGAGACATTTTCCCCATTGTCTTGGTGATTAACATTCGGCTCCTCATTACTTATGCAAATTTCTGCAGCCAGCTTGAATTTCTCTTCAGAATATGGGATTTTCTTTTCTACTGCATTTTCAGGTTGCAAATTTTCCAAACTTTTATACTCTGTTTTCCTTTTGAAACTGAATGCCCTTGACAACACCCAAGTCACATTTTGAATGTTTTGTTGCTTAGATATGTCTTCCGCCAGATACCCTAAATCATTTATCTCAAGTTCAAAGTTCCACAAATCTCTAGGGCAGGGGCAAAATCCTGCCAGTCTCTTTGCTAAAACATAACAAGAGTCACCTTTGCTACAGTTCTGAACAAGTTCATCTCCATCTGAAACCACCTCAGCCTGAACTTTATTGTTCATATCACTCTCAGCATTTTTGTCAAAGCCATTCAACAATTCTCTAGGAAGTTCCAAACTTTCCCACATTTTGCTGTCTTTTCAGCCCTCTAACCTGTTCAAACCTCTGCCTGTTGCCTGGTTCCAAATTGGCTTCCACATTTTGGGGTATCTTTTCTGCAGTGCCCCACTCTACTGGTACCAATGTACTGCATTAGTCCATTTTCACCTGCTGATAAAGACATAACTGAGACTGGGCAATTTACAAAAGAAAGAGGTTTATTGGACTTACAGTTCCACATGGCTGTGGAGGCCTCACAATCATGGCAGAAGGCAAGTAGGAGCAAGTCATATCTTACTTGGATGGCAGCAGGCTAAGAGAGCTAGTGCAGAGAAACTCTCATTTTTAAAACCACCAGATCTCATGAGACCCATTCACTATCATAAGAACAGCACAGGAAAGACCCACTCCCGTGATTCAGTCATCTCCCACCAGGTCCCTTCCACAACATGGGAATTTTGGAAGCTACAAGAAGATATTTGGGTGGGGACACAGAGCCAAACCATATCACCAAGTATATACAAAAGTTGGTCCTTCATATATTTGGGTTTCAAATCTTGCAAATACAGTATTTTCAATCCACATTTGGTTGAGGAGAATCCACGTATAAGTGGACCCATGCAGTTCAAACCTGTGTTGTTCAAGGGTCAACAGTAATTTTATGTTTAATGAAGATGGAATAATACAACAAAAGTCACTACTGTTGGAATTATAATTATGATTTTAAGCTTTTAAAGTTGAATAATAATAGTTTCTTGAATATTGGTGTAAAACACATTGATTTAAAACAGTAAAGTGTCTTGCAAAATTTTAAGATGCTTTCAGGATGTGTAGAAATTGGTGGCTCTGGTTCTTATATCTAGTCTCACTTAAAGTTTTTTATTATTTGCCGTCAGAACACAGAGCTTAACTTATTAGCTATTGTGTTACTTTTGAATGTTAAATAGAATTTCAAATAGAAGAACTTCAAGTATTTCTTCTATTTGAAATTCCACTTAACATTCGAAGTTTGTTTGTAGCAAACTAGGTTAGAGAATAGACTGTGGATGGGGAAAAGAGGACAATAAAATGGATGTATGTCAATATTTGAGACACATAGCCAGGGGATGACTACTTTAGGTATAAATGGTGGAAAGCACAAAAATATATTGGTTAGGGAGGTAATGAAGCTTTGAGGAGCAAGAAAATAGGAAGTGGAGAAAAAGGTACTGATTTGAGTCACAGCTACTATGGTTAACAGCAAGGCTAGACTATAAACGCTTTGCTTTGAAATTTGGCTCCAATTTTCATATGCTTTAGTGATCCTAGGTAATTTGCTTACTAAGTTTTTTAAATAGTTATTTTAGGCTAAAATAGGTGTGTGTATATTTTGTAGGAAAACACTTTGTAAATTATACAGAGATATGAAAATATAGATTATCATTGTCATTCTGATTCTGCTTCCTCATCCATTCAGCAAAGAGGTGCGCTGTGACCATGACTGTTCGCTTTCCCTTTCATTTATTCATATTTGCCTTCTTCAGCAAATTTTAAGTAAAATCAAACTTAGGAAGTTGTCAGGGCTTAACTTTAGCAATTTTGATTATGCCATTGGTCTTGGTCTCTTCATGAAAATTTATCATTCTTGAGATGGAAAAGACCTAGGAGGTCATTTTGTTCAACCCTCCTTTTAAAATCGGGAAACAAGTCTAGAGAGAATTATATAAATGCTGGACTGCTAACCAAGGTATCTTATTTCCTAGCCTCCTGGGCTAATTCTTCAATATTGTAATTCTGTCCGCTTCACTTTACATTTATTTCAAGTGTGTGGCTTGGAAAATCTCACATAGGTAGATGTTGGCAGAACTAGGCAAGAGCAGAGTTTTACTATCGTTGTATTATAATATTTCTGATTGTCTTTGACTGTCAATTTGTACTGTGTTAGTTTCTAAGGGGTGTGTGTGTGTGTGTGTGTGTGTGTGTGTGTGTGATGTTTCCCTTTCTAAATAGATTGCAAAACCTTTATGATCTTTGATTAAAACAAATAGTTTTGAGTGCCGACTATATGTAAATCATTGTTGCTGTTTTCAAAAGTCATTATTAATTGACCACCATTTGTTTTGTGGGAAAGAAACAGTTTAAACTTTGTAGGTAACAAAACTTATTTGGGGTCAATAGGCTCGAAGTTTCACTCTAGAAAACTGACATAGTTGCTTAAAATATATAATGTACTTCTAGCTATGTCAAATTGAATTACTAATTGACAGACATTGGTACTCTTATAATTAGAACTCCTTTGAAACTACGATCCATGAAATGTGAAAATGAGAATAGGAAATTAAATTCTTTATTGGTTCTCAGGCAGCTAAACTGGCACTCCCATGTTAAAATGTCTAAGTATTAATTTCATAATTGCTATGAAAAAAATCTGTTCTTACCTGTTTACAAATGTATAAAACAAAAATAATGAACAACAAACAAAACAAATGACTGCAAAATGATTCTACCGGAATGGAACCATGCTTGCAAATATTTACTTACCCATAAAAAAGAGAGCTTCTGGTCTCAGAAATAAATCTGTTTACAGTATATATGGAATTATACCAATATTTTTTGTGAGGTTCTTAAAATTATAGTTAAAAATATGACACAATAGTGAAAAAAGTAGAACCAAATAACATACTTGATTTCAAAGCAATAATTAAATATTTTTAATCATTCCCAGCTAAGATGATTTGATTTCAGGGTAAGAAGGAAAGTCATTATTTTGAGACCACATGGGTCTACTGATACCCTCTCACGCATAACTAATCCTTGTCACATCACTCCAACTAGTTAAGCAGAAGTGGCAGTTTCTGTATTCCACTTGCAGAGGTGTTGACTGCTGATATTGTATATTGTGTGCAGAATGTATCACTGGGTAAGAGCAGGTAGGAAATTGTTCTAGCTAAGAGAAGGTTTGCATGTCAGTTACCCTTCCTTTTATTTCTCTTTAATATTTAGACAAGGTGATTAAACTTAAATTTAAAGTTTCTCAATGTCTTTCCATGTATCCTAAATAGGATGGTAATTCTGCAATATGAAACAGGGCCAATTAATCACCTTTTGAACTGATTCATGAAGCTAATCGAATGAAACTGGCTGGGGTTACACACAAAATAATTAGTTTGTGCCTCTCAGATTGTCAGTATTGGGGCATTGTAACGTATCATTTTACCACGTAGAAGAACACTAATGCAGAATAATAATTTCAGTCTTCTGAGGCTTTTTTTCTTTTACTATCAAATAAGCCTTTTCAGGTATAAATAAAGTTTAACATGTAAAAATAATATGGAAATTTTATGGTAGATGAAATAATTTTAATGTTTATAATCAGAAAAACATGTCAATAATGAGATTAGTATATGGCCCAGTGAGATAGAGATATAGAGATGGTAGATAGATATATCTTAATCTAAAGCATATATACATATATGTGTTTTTAATTATTATTTTTAATTGACACAAATGTTCATATTCTGGAGTACATTGTGCTATTTTACACTTACACAATATGTAGTGATCAAACCAGGATAATTAGCATATTCATCACCTCAAACATTTACCCTTTCTTTGCGTTGGGAAAATTCAAAATCCTCTCATTTAGCTCTTTGAAAATATATAATTGTCGTTAACTATAGTCACCCTACAGTGCTATATAACACTAGAACTTATGTTTCCTATTTAGCTGTGATTTTGCATCCCTTAACCAACCTCTACCCATACCTCCTTCCATGATCCTCTCCAGCCTTTCAAACCACTGTTCTACTCTATACTTAACATAAGATCAACTTTTTCAATTTCGACATGAATGAGAACATGCAGTATTTATTTTGTGTGTGTGCCTAGCTTATTTAATTTAACATAATTTCTTCCTGGCTCATCCATGTTGCCATAAATGACAGATTTCATTCTTTTTTATGGCTGAAGAGTATTCTATTGTGTATAAATACCATATTCCCTTTATTTATTTATCTGTTAATAGATACTTAGTTTGATTCCACATCTTGGCAATTGTGAATAATGCTGCAATAAACATGGCAGTGCACATATGTTTTTGGCTTACTGATTTCCTTTCCTTTAGATATATACCCAGTAGTGGAATTGCTGAATCATATGGTAGTTATATCTTTACTTTTTTGAGGAGCATCCATACTGTGTTCCATAATGCCTGTACTAATTTATATTTCCACTCACACTGTATAAGAATTCTCCTTTTTTGGCATCCCTGTCATTATTTCTTATTTTTTATCTTTTTGAGAATACCCATTCTAACTGGGGTGTGATGATATCTCATTGGGGTTTTGATTTCCATTTATCTAATAAGTAGTGATATTGAACATATTTATATGCTTGTTTGCCATTTGTATGTCATCTCTTGAGAAATATCTGTTCAGATACTTTACCCATCTTGAAATTGGATTATTTATTTTTTTGCTGTTGAGTTGTTTGAGCTCATTGTATATTCTGCATATTAGTCCCTGACAGATGAATAGTTTGCAAATATTCTCTCCCGTTCTGCCAGTTGTCTCTTCAATTTGTTGTTTCTTTTACTATGCAGAAACTTTTTAGTTTGATATAGTTTCATTTGTCTATTTTTGCTTTTGTTGCCTCTGCTTTAAGAGCTTAACTATAAAATCTTTGCCCAGACCAATGTCTTGAAGTGTTGTTTCTCCAATGTTTTCTTCTAGTAGTGTCATTGTTTTGGGTCTTCCATTTAAGTCTTTATTCCAGATAAAGTTGGTTTTTGTATATTGTATATGGTAGATGTATTAGTCCATTTTCACACTGCTGATAAAGACATACCTGACACTGGGCAATTTGAAAAAGAAAGAAGTTTAATTGCACTTACAGTTCCACGTGGCTAGGGAAGCCTCACAATCATGGCAGAAAGCAAGGAAGAGCAAGTCACGTCTTACATGGATGGCAGCAGGCAAAGAGAGAGAGCTTGTGCACAGGAACTACTCTTTTTAAAACCATCAGATCTCATGAGACTTATTCACGATCATGAGAACAACATGGGGAAGACTTGCCCCCATGACTGAGTTATCTCCCACCAGGTCCCTCCCACAACATGTGGGAATTCAAGATGAGATTTGGGTGGGGACACAGAGCCAAACTATATCGTTCTGCCCTTGACCCCTCCCCAATCTCACATCCTCACATTTTGGAACCAATTATGCCTCCCCAACAGTCCCCCAAAGTCTTAACTCATTTCAGCATTAACTCAGAGTCCACAGTCCAATGTCTCATCTGAGACAAGGCAAGTCCCTTCCACCTATGAGCATGTGAAACCAAAAGCAGGTTAGCTTACTTCCTAAATAGAGTGGGGGTACAAACATTGGGTATATACAGTCATTCCAAATGGAGAAATTGGCCAAAACAAAGGGGCTACAGGTCCCATGCATGTCTGAAATCCAGTGGGGCAGACAAAGCTCCAAAATGATCTTTTATGACCCCTTCTCTTACATCCAAGTCACAGTGGGATGCAAGAGGTGGGTTCCCATGGTCTTGGGCAGCTCTGTCCATGTGGCTTCTCAGGGTACAGCCTCCTTCCTGGCTGCTTTCACAGGCTGGCTTTGAGTGTCTGCTACTTTTCCAGGCACATGGTGCAAGCCGTCACTGGGTCTACCATTCTAAGGTCTGGTGGATGGTGGCCCTCTTCTCACAGCTCCACTAGGTGGTGCCCCAGTAGGGACTCTGTGGAGGGGGGGTTCCCACCCCACATTTCTCTTCCATACTGCCCTAGCAGATGGTGTCTATGAGAGCCCTTCCCCTGCAGCAAACTTCTACCTCGACATCCAGGAGTTTCCATACATCTTCTGAAATCTAGCAGCTTTCAGCCATGATTGTAGCAGCTGAAATGCATGGCACCAACTCCCTAGGCTGCAAACAGCATGGGGACCCTGGTTCCTGCCCAAGAAACCACTTTTTCCTCTTAGGCCTCTGGGCCTGTGATAGCAGGGGCTGCCATGAAGACCTCTGACATTCCCTGGAGACATTTTCCTCATTGTCTTGGTGATTAACATTCGACTCCTCATTACTTATGGAAATTTCTGCAGCCAGCTGGAATTTCTCCTCAGAAATTGGGACTTTCTTTTCTATGGCATTGTCCAGTTGGAAATTTTCTGAAATTGTATGCTCTTCTCTATTTACAAAACTGAGTGCTTTAACAGCATCTAAGTCACTTCTCGAAGGCTTTGCTGCTTAGAAATGTCTTCCACCAGATACCCTAAATCATCTCTCTCAAGTTCAAAGTTTCACAAATCTCTAGGGCAGGGGCAAAATGATGCCAGCCTCTTTGCTAAAATATAACAAGAGTCACCTTGGCTCCAGTTCCCAAGAAGTTCCTCATCTCCATCTGAGACCACCTCAGCCTGGACCTTATTATTCGTATCACTATCAGCATTTTTGTCAAAGCCATTCAACAAGTCTCTACGAAGTTCCAAACTTTCCCACATTTTTCCTATCAGCCCTCCAAACTGTTCCAACCTCTGCCTGTAACTCAGTTCCAAATTGGCTTCCACATTTTGGGGTATCTTTTCAGCAATGCCTCACTCTACTGGTACCAATTTGCTGTATTCATCCATTTTCATGCTGCTAATAAAGACATACCTGACACTGGGCAATTTACAAAAGAAAGAGGTTTAATTGGACTTACAGTTCCACATGCTGGGGGAGCCTCACAATCATGGTGGAAGGCAAGGAAGAGCAAGTCATGTCTTATGTGGATGGCAGCAGGCAAGGAGAGAGAGCTTGTGCAGGGGAATTACTCTTTTTAAAACCATCAGATCTTGTGAGAATTATTCAGTATCAGAACAGCATGAGAAAGACTTACCCTCATGATTCAGTTACTTCCCATCAGGTTCCTCCCACAACACATGTGAATTCAAGATGAGATTTGGGTGGGGACACAGCCAAATCATATCAGTAGGGGTCTAGTTTTATTATTTTCCATATGGGTATCCAGTTTTTCCAGCAAAATTTTTGAAAAGATTGTCCTTTCTCACATGGATGTTCTGGTGCCTTTGTTGAACATTAGTAGGCTGTAAATATATGGATTTATTTCTGTGTTCTCTATTCTGTTGTATTGGGTTACGTGTCTGTTTTTATGCCATTTCCATGCTATGTTGGATACTGCAGCTTTGTATTAAATTGAAGTAAGGTAGTATAATGCTTCCAGCACTGTTCTTTTTTTGGTCAAGATAGCTTTGGCTATTTGAGGTCTTTTGTGGTTCCATTCAAAATTTTTTAGAAATTTTTGTGAAGAATGTCATTGGTATTTTGAGAGAGAGTGTATTGAACATGTAGACTGCTTTTGGTAGTATGGTCATTTTCACAGTATTATTACTTTCAATTCATGAATATGGTATGTCTTTTCATTATTTTTGTCCTCTTCAATTTTTTTCATCAGTGCTTTACAGTTTTAGAGATCTTTCACCTTCTTGTTTAAATTTATTCCTTTTAATATTTTATTTGTATTTTACATTAGTGTGGCTAGTGTAAATTATGTGTAGTTTTGATTACCAAAGATTGTCATCCTGACTTTCCTTAATAAATTGACAGTTGTGTATGGGGAAATAATTAACTTGATAAGATTATGGGAATATTCTGTGTACATCTAATACTATAAAATAAAAAAAAACAACTCAAAGAGTACAAACTAATTATGTCCTCATATATGAAGGCTAAAGTTTTCTTATATATAAAACCCAAAAGCCTTCAGATATATGGCCTCAGAAATCACCCTGTACAAATTTACTTGTCAAACATTTGATTATACTTAAATCCCTTTTCTATTTTGGTTATCCAAAGGAGCTAATTAGCGAATGAAAATATAGAGCTTTTAATAAATGTCTAATGGTAAGAATGAATGTAACTCATTCATTCATTCTCAGCTATTTGAATGCCTATAATATGCCTGTGCTACACAATGGGTCCAAACATGAACAAGATATGTTCTTCTCCTTAGGACACTCCTGAAATTATTCTCTTCTTTTCCGACCCAAATATATCTACAAAGTTTATTAATTTTTGTTTCTAAACATTTTCCTCATCTGTTCACCTCCTTCTCTCCTTCTTAACTTCTACTGCCTTATTTGTTGCCCACAGTAGTTTCTGTCTGGAACCCTTATAATCCATTGTCTCCAAATCAGTCCCTCCAGCATCTCCCCATTAAATCTGTCTTACACTGTGCTCGAATGATTTTTTTTTTTTCAGTAGAGACCTGATTGTGTGACTCTTGTACCTAAAACTTTCACTGCCCAGAGAATCAAGTCCAAATTTCTAGGCACAACCTACAGGTCTTTCACAGCCTCTTGGCATTCTGCCTTTCAAGACTCATCTTCCTCTCTCTATATGCCTGATTCATTCCTTATTGCAAAATTGGGTTTCTCAGTTTTCTTTAACAAATGATACACTTTCTCATGCATGCACCTTTCTCTACTTGAATGCCGTAATCCACCTTTCCTCACCATATGTCCCTTACAGATTTCTATATATCTTTCAGAGCCTAACTAAAAAGAGAATTCTTACCATTTTTTTCCTGATTCCCTACCCCCTAAAAAAAAATGGAATTTTCCCCTTGGCTGCCTTTGCATGGTCCTTTCAAAAGATATTACAGTTTTTTGTCGTAATCATTCTCTCCTGCTCCACTCATTTGCTTTCCAATGTTTCTGCTTTGTTTTTACATGCTCAGCAAATGGCAAAGTATATGACACATAGTAGGTATCTAATAATATTTGTTGACATGAATTATTTTAAAAAACAGTAGGGAATCAAGACAGGCAGAACACTAGCTGATTATTTCCTATTAAATTAGAACATACAATAGAAGAACATTATTTGGTGAATACTTTGTGTATCATAAATAATATTAAATCTGAATAATAAAAAATAATAAATAATAAATATTTACCTTAGCAAAGAAAAATCCTTGTAAATATTACTAGGGTGCCTACGGATATTGCCAGTATCCTATTTTTAAAAATGATCTTTAAGATCAAGACTTTACTCTGATTCCAGGATGTTAGTGCAAATTAAAAAGAATATTGTGTTTGGATTTCACATATAGGCCTAATTCTAGTCAATACTCTTTACCAGGAAGTTATCTCAATCATCCTTTCAAATGGTTCTAGCCAAAGAGAAAGGAATTCATGGAGAAATTTGTCTGAGTTGCTTAAACAATGTTGAATAAATTTTAATGTGAGTATTAAAGATAACAGATGTAGAAGTAATTAAGCCAAATTATGCCAATAGAGTGATAGGTAGTGATTTAATGGTATTAATTCTAGAGATATCACAGGACAATCAGCAAGAAAGCAATTAACATGAAATGAAGCTTATTATCACCTTCGTAGAAAGCTTGGGGGTTATCCATTTCTGAGAGGATACTCTGTGTGATAACAGTGCAAGTAATATATAACAAAATTTGGAACAGTCTGTAAAGAAGGGGTTGGAAATATCTGAAAGATAGTGTAGATGGTTGGATAAAGAAAATTAAACCAGCAAACATTCATGTAGGAAGGAAGAGAACAGAAATGTGCTATGATTGGGAATCTCAAAAATCCTAAAATATTTTGTTTATATTATTTCTGGCTTTGGGCTTAAAAATATATATATTTAGAGCAAAAACATATAAACAACACCTGTCTCTATTAGCCTGAAATGGTTCATAGGTGTAGGAATGATTTATACAAACATTTAAAAATATTTATTTTGTGATGTATCATTAAATATTACTAGGATATCTTTTAGGTACCCCTGCCGTTTTACCATTTCAAGTTGGCATAATGAAAGTTATTACACATTTCTGTGAAAAAAGTCCTTTGGGGCACCTGTAGAGTAAATACTGTGGTAGATGAGCTGTGCAGACTTTGGGGCAAAGTTATAAAGAAAACCTTAAGTATAATAGAACATGTAAAATATGGAATATTTAGGGGAGAAAAAAGGCCATTATAATCAATTTTGTCTGTCTACTTAATGGGAAAATTACAGCTTACAATTACTATTTGATAACATATTGTTGAACACACCACCAATAATTATTTTTTAATTTTCTGAATGGATATATGTTGTTTTTATATATTTTTATATAAATTGATAAAAAACATTTCTTGCTCTTAAAAGCTCTGCAAAAATTGTATCCCTTAAATATAAATGACACTATACTTTTTCTGTTATTTTAATCATGAGTTAGTTCTACATTTAAAAACTCCTAGAAGAATATTTGTTTCCTAACCTTCACGATTAATCAACCTCATATTCTTTTTTTTTTTAAGAGAGGAAGATAACTAATGAAGGAAGCATTGTGGTATTTATAAACAGCAGACTCAGTCTTTTTATACTTAAGAACAATCAGTTGAGAATATAATTCTGTAATAATTAATCATCTCTTACAGATTTCTATTTCTTCTACTTGTCACTTAATCTTGTACTCTATTTATCCCATCAGATTTGGGCTCCAAAAATATTTTACACTTATTTAGTGTATGCAATATTTTCTGATGACTGAAATACAGTTTTGTTGTAGTGATTTTGATAAAAGTGAAATACATCAATTCAGATTTTTCTTAATCTACATATTGTTGTCATTCTTTATACCAATTTTATTTTATGTTAGGGAGTTAGAAGAATTATTTTGAAGCTGTTTTTGAAATTACATTTTCTTCATTGCAAAATGTTGCTATAAAAATCAGATTTAATTTTAAAAATGCTCTAGAGGAAGTGTGTACTACAGTTTACTTGGTAAACCATTATTTCCTTAAGATAAAAATATTTATGCTTTTTTTTTCTTAATTTTGTTTTCAATTCTCCTTCAAGGGTGAAATAAACCTGAAATTTTAAACCATTAAAGAAAGACAGCTGGGGGAAGAAGCCATTACGTTAAAGGTGTTGAGGTCAGGGATGATCATTTATTTTTCTGCAGGATGCCCAGCACCTAGCATGGTCCCTTGAACATAATAAGTGCTCAATAAATATTTTTTAAACAAATAAATGAATAAATGTTATACTTTTAACAATAAATTTTTTCATACTTATTTTATTCTTACAGGATAAAATGGAAATGTATTACCTATTGCTTTGTAACTAAGATTTTAAAAAGTAACACTTTAAAAACTCATTTTTCTATCCAATAAAGTAAAAAAAATAGTTTGCATCTGAGGTTTAGAATTTTCTTTCTTTACTTTAGTAAGAGTAAGTTTTATTCAAAATCTCTCTCTCTTCCATCTTTGGTGATGGAAAGCAGCAGGAGCTGAGTACACAGCAAAACTTTTTTTTTTAAGGTGAAGGAATTTAGAGTGTCAAAATAAAATATTCAGTTTCTCATTCAGTTTTTTACTTGCCACATTTTGCATGCTCAACAGCCATGTGGCTAGTGGCTACCATATTGGACAATGCAGAGAGAATATTTTCATCATTGCAGAAAGTTCTACTGGCTAACTCAGGGCTAGAGGCTGCTACTGACACTGAGAAAACGATAAGATTAGGAGGGTGATGCATATTCATACATGAGATCACCTAATGAGAGAATGGAAAGAAGCATAATAGGTGATTGAATGATTGAAGCCTTACATCCTGGGAGGCACCTAGGTGTTAAAAATAACCCCTTGAAGGTGATCAGGTTGTTGGAAAGGTGGGAGAAAAATGAGAAAATAGCATCATGTAAACAAAAGTCTCTACTGTTTCTTGAATGGAAAAAGGTAATGAAGTCCTCAATTCAAATACAGCAGCAAGGTCCATTAAGTTATGACTTAGCCCCCAAAGGTGGGAAGATGGAGAATTTCTCACGACCTATTTGATTTGGATCAAATTCGTCATGCTAAATGAATATTACATCTTAATATCATAATAATATTGACACTTTGCATTCTGTTTTATAATGTGTGTCACACATTGTTTTCCCTAAAATGAAGTGAGGTGGCGGTCATTTCTCCTGAGTTTTATTAAAAGAAGAAGAATAAAAAAAAAACCTAAAGGAACTGTAGAATCAAGCTGGTTTTCACAAAAATTGAGTCCAACTGCTTCACTTTGTTGATGTGGAAACAGACCTAGAGTGAAAGTGATTTAACTACCTATACAGTTGATGTGCTCTCCACAATACTTGATTACATTGGTCCTATTTGCTGCTCTTACTCCTAGCACTGGAGGAAATATAAATTTAATAGATTGTGATTATGTCTACTAGAAGTGAAAATTTTGATTAATGAAGAGTTCTCATAATAGACTTATGGGAATCATTAAGCTATTTTAGAACAGATAAAATATTATTTATTGCAGAAATAATTTTCATTTTTCCACAGGAGCTCACAAATCAAAAGTTTTCATATTATTATAGAGATTCTAACAAAGTCTGTGGTTTATGCATAAATACTCTCCTCTGAAATATATCAAGTGCAGAGGTGGGAAAACCCACAGATAATAGCTAGCTTTTAAAATTGGCATTTTCATGCTAAGCATTCATTGAGTCTTTCAATATGACAGCATGTTTTGGGTTGTGTGAAAGAGAAATTGTCTTAAATTAGTCTGTCTTCTCAGTGGAAAAGAAGACAAATTGCCAACTTCCTAGTGCGTCACCACAGTAAGTTATAGAAGTTAAGGAATATAGCCAGGCATGGTGGCTCATGCCTGTAATTCCAACACTTTGGGAGGCCGAGGCGGGTAGACCATGAGGTCAGGAGTTTGAGACCAGCCTGGCCAACATAGTGAAACCCCATCTCTACTAAAAATACAAAAATTAGCTGGGCATGGTGGTGCATGCCTGTAGTCCCAGCTACTGGGGAGGCTGAGGCAGGAGAATCGCTTGAACCTGGGAGGTGAAGGTTGCAGTGAGCTGAGATCGCACCACTGCATTCCAGCTTGGGCAATAGAGTGAGACTTTGTCTAAAAAAAAAAAAAAAGTTAAGGAATATAGTATTGTTTCTGTTTATATATGGAAGATTTGCAATTCATGCACCCAGTGATTCTGGAAAGAAAAGAGAAAATACTTTTTCTAGTACTCTTTGTCAAAGATGTCTGACAGGTTGATAAAACTACGTTTAAATATGTTAAACATGATTAAAATCTGTAGTCCTACATTCTCATTTCATGATTTCTTTTAGCAATGTGTAACTAACATTTCTATGGTAACTAGGTAAAATGATTTTAAAATTTTAAAATAACAACAATAACAAAAGACCCTGGTGTAATAATCATATGGAAACATTAAAAAGCATACCTCGTTTGCTATACAAAGAGGTGACAAGTTGCTTAACACAAATCTCACAAAAACAAAAGAAATTAACCTAATATCAAATTTTGGTAGATATCAATGCAATATATTTAAATAAGAACCCTATTTAAACAAAAAACAAAACACTGAACCTAACAAGTGCAATGTTGATCATGTGTTATTTGTTTTGGAAATTCTCTTACTTGTTCTATCAATGAGTACAATTGCTAGATATAGCTTGGGTGCATTCTTGAATATCTCCATTTTTGAAGGCAGAAGGAGTTTGTATCACTTCTGTCTGCCTTTGAGCATCTCTTTTTGTCCCATGGACCTTAAATGGGAAATCAATGTAGGTCTTTCTTTACAAAGTAGACTTGCAAGGGTTAGAGTCTATATGCGGAGGGGGTAAGGGGAAGATATAAGAAGCAACACCTATAGAGTTATATGCTTGATACTTGATTATCATCATATAACATTTTTATAGTCAGAAAATCCTCATAACAATCCTGTGGGTATGTAGATATAATCCCTGTTTTCTAGTTGAAAAGAAGTATTTGACTAGTCGAGTGATTTGCCCCAAGTTATACAACTTTAAAATGTCAGAGCAAGAGTTTGAACATGTTTTATCTCATTGTAGGGTCTATTTGTTCCAGTAAGATAAATTAACAAATGTTAACAGAGAACTAAATTTTTCTATTAGAAATTATACAGTTTTGAGAACTATATTAGTAATGCTACCTTTTACATTTCCTTGAATGGAAATAATTGTAGTATGTCTTAAAATATTTATGTTTTAAAAACAAATTTTAACTTTTTATCTCTTATTTTAATATTTCTAGTATGTAGATAAGCACTGTGGAGAGGAATTAATTGGTCAAATGAATTTTAAACTTAGAGTCAGTTTTTTCTATTCTTATACAGAGTAAGCAAATTGTAAGATGCAGTTTTAAATGCTGATTCTAAGCTCTATTTTTATACATATTGTTTGTGTATATATGTTAAAATTATTTTTAAATATGTAGGTCTGAGTGCATTAAAATGATAACAGATTCTATTCTCTCCAATTAAATACTAATTTTCCTACTCATGTCATCCCACGCATTCCTATAAAAATGTCCTGAGCTACCATTAAATTTCACTGACTTATATATTGGCCAGGAAAGCTAAATTTGTTTTTGGTTTCTAGGTCATATTCCCTTGCACATTTGAGTGTGTGTAGTAGTTTAAAACATTTGTAATTTGTAAACTGACCAAAATTGTAGACACAAATGTTTTCATATACAAAGGTGTCAAAAAACTGTTAAATGTTATTTTTACTTATTTTAAAATGTTAAGTTTAAAAGAATTATAGTTTAATCTTTTCAGAAGACTGACATTGTCACAAGGCTTTAAGTTTCTCTGGGGGTTGGAAAGTGTATGTGTTAATAAAATATGCAAGGTCATTAGGCTGGCATGATTTAAAGAACCTTGGTAAGTTATTCCCTCCCTTCATCCTCCCCCTTCATTCCACACATAACTTTCTGCTCTACTCATGACATTTTTCCCACCCATCCATTTATTTTCTACAACAAAAAGAATGATAGTAACTGCCTCTGATAAATATCTGGAAAAAAAAAAAAAAAAACCTGCACACTCACAAGCCATGCAATGTAGGAAAGAGGTGCCTGAGACAATCCTTCTGTTGTTCTATTGTGCTACATGCTTTCTCTGGTGATGCAACCTTCATTTCAACCCAGTTGCCCCTCACATGTAAATCTAACTGGCTTTGTAGATATGAATAGCTGCGCCCTGTAGCAACTAGACAGAAATGAAAGGAATGTATGCTTAAGTCTGCAGTATAGTATTTTACTACATGGTTGATGTTCGGCTATACTTAAATGTTGGAAAATATCGGAACATTACTTCAGATACTAGAGTTAATAATATTTGAAGTGGTGAAGTTTTAAAAATATATGTTTTCTAGTTTTGCTATAATTTATTTGTGTAGCACTGTTAGGTTATTAAAAAACACTATTAAAGATAAACTAGGTGTGTGTCAATTTTAATACTAAGTTAAAATTTAATAACTAATGAAAATAGAGCTACTCTTTTAATCCACAGCAACTTACTGATGACTATATAATTTGATTTTTATTGCATCAAAACATATGAGGACAGGTGGTCATAGCTGATTATAAAGAGGCCCTTACATAGGTCAAAGACATGATTGTATCAATTTGGTCAGTTCTATTTGAGGATATTTTCAATCGGTAAATTCTATCTAATATCAAATGGTCTTAACAAGTAGTTTATGATTTTTCCAACATTATGATACATGGCTATAAATTCTTCTCATACTTTCATTTTGTATACACAGTGCAAATATGAACTTTTCTTTGAAATACTCTCCAGCTTCACAGAAAATTTCTGGTTTATTCATATACCAAGTCTTTGTCATAATCCTCAACAATTCTATAGATACATTTATTTTCACGGCCTTCTCCCCAACTGGACTGAGATAAAAAGTCTGCCTCCTTCTCGGATTCTTCTTAAAATATTCTTCATTCTCTACTTTCTACTTCATAATAGGGAGCCTAGTATATAGTCATCACCTTTACAAAAAAATAAAAAAATTAGCCAGGACTACACGGATGTGACACTACACCTGGCTAATTTTTTATTTTATTTTTTCGTAAAGGTAGGATCTTGCTGTGTTGCCCAGGCTGGTCTCAAACTCCTAGGCTCAAGAGGTCCTCCTGCCTTGGCCTCCCAAAGTGCTGTGATTATGGGCATGAGCCACCATGCCTGGCCTTGTTTTTTTTTTTTTTTTTTTCTCGGCTGAAATCTTCCTGCATTAAATCTGTAATGGAGTCATTATCGACAAAATTCTTATTAGGCAGTAGGTCATTCAGAAGATAGAGTCAGTATATAGTAATATGCTTTTACTGG
The DNA here is from genome assembly GCF_000001405.40 of Homo sapiens. Taxonomy (NCBI): domain Eukaryota; kingdom Metazoa; phylum Chordata; class Mammalia; order Primates; family Hominidae; genus Homo; species Homo sapiens. Next base: position 212,450,705 of record NC_000002.12, on the reverse strand, counting down.
TTTGAAGACTGTGTAGGTTTCTTATTGCTGCTTTAACAAATTACTAAGAACATAGTGGCTCAAACAACACACATGTTGTTATCTGGAAGTCAGAAGTCCAAAATGGGTTTCATTAGACTAAAATCAAGGAGTCAGCAGAACTGTATTTTTTGAGCCTCTAGGAAAGAATCAGTTTCTTCTTTTTCAGCTTCTGGTGCCTATCTATCTGTGTTCCTTGGCTTATGGCCTCCAGTCAGCAATCTCATCACTCCAGTATGCTTCTGTCCTCACATCTCCTCTTAACTCTGAACTTTCTTTTTCTTTCCCAAAAAAGGACCCAGAAAAGGATTATACTGGGCTCACTTAGATAATCCAGGACAATTTCCCATCTCAGGCACCCTACATTTATTGTATCTGTAAAATCCCTATTGCCATGTAAGTTAATATAGTCACATATTACAAGGATTGAGGTGTGCCCATTTTGGAGAGCCATTATTCTGCCTATCACAAGGACATTGATATAGTCATACTTTTTCTCCCCATTCTGTTGCTATTTAGGTTATTATTGCCATTGTTCTTCTTCTGTTGTGTTTGAAATAAAATTCTGGTTTAGTGGTTCTTAGGATCATGAGGCACACCAGCATGTCAACATCACCTCTGAAGTGCATAGCAAGTAATTTGTAACCAGACTTTTTAAATGATTCATTCCTTTTTAAACACGTTAGTGTATAGGCAAGGTCATTCCCATAACTTATGCTCTTTCTGCTAATGCCTTGAATGGGAGAAAAAGGAATGGATATTACAATAAGCTTACAAAAATTACATATATCTCAAACCTACAATAAGTGTCTATTTTGGCTGTATTAATATTATAGCTATATCAGTAGCTATAATTATAAATTATAATTTAAAAATTTGTGATAGTAGGGGGTGTTTATCCAAGCCTGGTACCTGTCCAAGAATATTTTATACCTATGAATGTCATTTTTCATGCTGCTCATGGATCAGTGAACAGAATTTGATACTTTTTGCCCTTGTGGGTCAAAAATTAATGCAATGTGAATAGCTAATATAGTCTACAAAGAAGCTTAGGTAAATACAAATAATGACAATAAAAGCAATAATAAAAATTGTGAAATGTAGTCAAACCAGATTGGAAAAAATATGGTAGCAATTGTAATTTAGAGTAATATTTATCATTATCATCTTATTGGGGAAAGCTATACGTAATTAAATACAGCCTGCAATCTTTTAACAGAAATGCACATTTGATTTAATTAGCTTTTTCTTTCAATAAAATTTACTTGCTATTATATAAATTGCTTTTTAAAATCACAAATTACCAAAAGCAGCTAGTGTCTAGTAAATTTTGTACCTCTTCCTACCAATAAAATTTCAGAAGTCTGCTGATACTTATCGTTGGCAATAAAATAATTCTGCTGATGTATTTTAGTTGATTAATGTGCATTTGATTTTATAACAAACTGGAAATACATTTCTAAGATACAGTAAACTGATGGCTAAATCCATTTCAAAGTAATACATAGTGGTGATGTTTTGTGCTATTCCATGATAAAGAAGAAATAAGCACTAGTAAAAGAAATCTGGATATTTTAATGAGTTAGGAAAGAATGATAGAAGCCACACTTCTATTAAAAGAAACAAGCAACAAAACACACACACATACAATCTGTGCTTAGACTGAATAGAAATATGAAGAGATAAATGACCTCATATGCATTCAGTGGAAAGAAAAGTTTGAGGCAATGAAGCTAAACATAAAAGAGGAAAAGCAAATGTAACCTCAGTGACCACAAGCTACAAAGTCCAAATAGAAAACCTGGGAGTATGAGAGGATGAAACTAAAACCTCCAGCAAAGAGCTTAACAGCAATTAAAATAAAGACAAATTTCTGGGATGGATAAACAAAGTAGCATATATTACAAAGGAAAATATACTAGTATCATGTAAGTTTTTTTTAGTAACTGCTTTCAAATAATTGAATCATAAACAATGATTTCTGCGGTTTTAAGCTCATTATTTTGGTTCCCTGGTTTCTCCTAGGATGCAGTATAGAATCTCCATGCCTGATGTTTATGTACCAACAGAAGCTGCTGCTTCTTTCTTTCATTATTTCCTTTTTAAGTGAAAGTTAATACCTTTTATATGTTACAGAGAAGAGGCAGAAAAAGCCACACTCCCACTATGCTATAAATGCACTGAGGATCAACTGAGGGATGATTATACACATGGCTGAATACAGTTTATTCATTTGTTCTTTGGATTTGTAGATAACAAATGGTGGTATTCTGTAACATCTTGTGCGATTAGCAAATGTAAGGCCGAAATGAATCTTTCAAACAGTGTATAAACAGTTTGATTTTCAAAATTATATAGACATTTCATTCTGATGTACGCAATTCATGTGTGTATCTCTTCCAGTCTTCTTCCTTTGAAATCACCTCTGTTGGGTACACAAAACAGTAGGGACAAAGATTTAGATTTGACACATGCATTAAAATCATTACTGTTTGTTTGTGTGCAAGTATACCTTAAAAGAGTGCCTGTACCCTGACATGTCATGATAATATTATCTTAGAGATTACAGTTAAAGAAACCATATTAAGTACCTTCTCATTATGGAATATTTTGAAAAAGTCAGTTGTGAATACCGCTGAAATCACTGGATTTGAGTCTGAAACAGGACAGGTTAACATGACATTCTATGTGATACTGAATTCTACTTCATGACAAGTAATAGTGTGATTTGATTCAATTCCATATAATGACAATTTTTGAAGAGCTTTTTTTGTGAAAGGTCTCAGCTAAGCATATGAGAATAATTAGAACACAGTATAAGAGTTTTGGCAGTTTGAAGACCAATGTTGAAGAAAGAAATGTTAGTTGCCCATGTTGAATACACACACACACACACACACACACACACACACAATCTTTTATGAAGAGTTATATTTTAGTGTACTATGTAAGTGACAGAGAATTAGCTTTATACTTATATTGGCCCATACTGGAATGTGTATTAGAATATCCATACACTTACTTAAAATTTCTGTAATTCTTAAACCTCTATCATAGTGCTTATTATGTTGATTACTTATTTGAAAACTGGATTAATTGAATACAGATGAAAGGTAAAATGTTCAGGATGGACACTAACTATTAACTTTTAAGGATACCTAAGAATGTTTATGAAAAACATGTTCCATGCTACAAATACTAGCTCATAATAAAAGAGAGGGTGGAAATCTTGACTTTGTTTTCTGGGAAAAAGTAATTATTAGTTCTCATTAGTTTAATAAGTCACATTTTTTTAAAATAGAAAAAATAGCTTTTTGTAGGACAAAGTGGAGAAGTTGACTGGAAATGTTAAGTGGAATGTATTTTTTCACCTTTTGAAAAATTTGGTATTGGCTGGGTGCAGTGGCTCACACCTGTAATCCCAGCACTTTGGGAGACCGAGGTGCACGAATCACAAGGTCAGGAGATCGATACCATCCTGGCTAACACAATGAAACCCCGTCTCTACTAAAAAATACAAAAAATTAGCCGGGCATGGTGGCGGGTGCCTGTAGTCCCAGCTACTTGGGAGGCTGAGGCAGGAGAATGGCGTGAACCTAGGAGGCGGAGCTTGCAGTGAGCTGAGATTGCGCCACTGCACTCTAGCCTAGGTGACACAGCGAGACTCCGTCAAAATAAAAAAAAAAAAAAAAGAAAAATTTGGTATTAATTAGTATTTTTTTCTTTCCATTGACTTCCTTTCCTTACAAAATAATTGATCATATTATTTCCTCCTATTAACTTCCAATGACACTTTTCAAATATATTGAATACAATCATATGGGTTAGGCTTATTACTTATCAGTTCCACTCTATATTTGAACTTCAGCTTTACCTAATTAAATTACATTTCATCCATTGGTAAAATTACCAGATTTTAGAAAAACTAGTGAAGCACATGGAGCCTAAATATGCTGAATTTTACTTTTTCTTTATAATAAAGGCTATGCTAAGTTTTCACATACCCTGGTGTATTAGTCAGGGTTCTCTAGAGGGACAGAACTAATAGGATATATATATATATATATATATATATATATATATATATATATATATACATATATATATATGGGAGTTTATTAAGTATTAACTTACATGATCACAAGGTCCTACAATAGGCTGTCTGCAAGCTGAGGTGCAAGGAGAGCCATTCTGAGTCCCAAAACTGAAGAACGTGGAGTTCGATGTCTGAGGGCAGAAAGCATCCAACTCAGGAGAAAGATGCAGGCTGAGAGTCTAGGCCAGTCTCTCCTTTTCACGTTTTTCTGCCTGCTTTATATTTGCTGGCAGCTGATGAGATTGTGCCCACCAGATTAAGGGTAGATCTGCCTTCCCCAGCCCAGTGACTCAAATGTTAATCTCTTCTGGCAACACCCTTACAGACACACCCTAGATCAACACTTTGTATCCTTCAATCCAATCAAGTTGACACTCAGTATTAACCATCACAAGTCCAACCGTTGTCAACTTGAACCCATACAGATCTGCTGAGATCACACATGATATCCAAGTAAAGACAATAAGGTCATAATTATGCCTAACATAATACAACTATCCTTCATACAACTGGAAAAGCACCAATCCCCAACTCAAATACTATTACATAAAGTTAACAATACTTAAATGCTGATACGAAGTCAATAAATCTTATGTCACATGATAAAGGAAAAGGAAATAAAATGAAGATATTTTCTTAGTACAAGTGTATACATACACAAACATGTTTTCAGCAAAAGAAAGAGGAAATAATCATGACAATTACAGTCCTCGTTTCTGCAGCTGGTCATGTGGTTGTAGGTGGTGTTGATGACTACCTTCTTCTACTATCCATTCTGTATTCTCTTTGACTTCAGCAAGTACCTCAGCAGGTTGTGGGTTTTTTCCCCTGGTGGAGTGACCCAAACCTTCATTCCTGCGGGGTCTGGACCATTTGTAGTCCTGCCTGGATTGGGCTGTTGTAATTTCCCATTGACCCCAATCATAGGGCATGGTAATACTAAGCTATGCCCTAATGGATCTCCTGTATTCCATGCATATGCTTCCTTACCTCCATTATGGAGTAGTAGTCTGATTTCATCTTGATAGTCCGGGTCAGTCACCCCAGCCAACACTGTAACTCCCTCCTTAGCCTGTTGACTTAAAGGTAGGAGGATCCTAAAGTGTCTAGGTGGCAATCTTAACTTCCAGTTTAATTGAATCATTGTTGTGTCTCCTGGTGGCAGCATTCCTCCCTCTGGATCGAAGACCTCTAGGCCAGCAGAATGTAATGCCGCAGGAACAGGAAGCAAAAATTTTGCTAGTGGATCACTGGGGTTAATGGTGAGTGTTGCCACTTTTACTTCTACCCCTTGATTCCTGGACCCGTGAATCCTGGCTATGGGAGAAACAGTACCATATATTGGATGCTGATTCAGATCATACACGGCGTTCTGGAGAACATTGCCCCAGCCCTGCAAAATATTGTCACCTAGTTAGCATTGTAATTGTGACTTCAAAAGGCCATTCCACTGTTCTATCAATCCAACTACCTCAGGATGCTGGGGAACATGGTAAGACCAGTGAATTCCATGAGCATGAGCCCACTGCCACAGTTCTTTAGCTATAAAGTGAGTGCCTTGGTCAGAGACAATGCTTTGTGGAATACCATGATGGTGGATAAGGCATTCTGCGAGTCCACAGATATTAGTTTTGGCAGAAGAATGGCATGCAAGATAGGCAAACCCATATTTGGAGTAAGTGTCTATTCCAGTGAGGACAAACCTCTGCCCTTTCCATGATGGAAGAGGTCCAATATAATCAACCTGCCACCAGGTAGCTGGCTGATCACCCTGAGGAATGGTGCCTTACAGAGGGCTCAGCATTGGTTTCTGCTGCTGCCAAATTGGGCATTCAGCAGTGGCTGTAGCCAGGTCAGCCTTGGTGAGTGGAAATCCATGTTGTTGAGCCCATGCATAACCTCCATCCCTGCCACCGTGGCCACTTTGTTCCTGGGCCTATTGGGCAATGACGGAGGTGGCTGGGGAAAGAGGCTGAGGAGTATCCATAGAATGGATCATCATATCCACTTGATTATTAAAATCCTCCTCTGCTGAGGTCACCCATTGGTGAGCACTCACATGGGAAACAAATATCTTCACAGTTTTTGACCACTCAGTGAGGTCCACCCACATACCTCTTCCCCAGATTTCTTTGTCACCAATTTTCTAATCATGCTTTGTCTAAGTCCCTGACAATCCAGCCAAACCACTGGCTATGACCCATGAACAGTATATAATCGCACATCTGGCCATTTCTCCTCCCATGCAAGGTGCACAACCAGGTGTACTGCTCAAAGTTCTGCCCACTGGGAAAATTTTCCTTCACTGCTGTCCTTCAGGGTTATCCTAGAAAGGAGCTGTAGTGCTACAGCTGTCCACTTTCAGGTAGTGCTTGCATATTGTGCAGAACCATCTGTGAACCAAGCCCTAGTCTTTTCTTCCTCTGTCAACTGATCATAGGGAACTCACCATGAAGCCATTGGTGCAGGCTGGGGAAGAGGAGGAGGGTAGCAGGAGTGGAGACCATGGGCATTTGAGCCACTTCCTCATGTAACTTACATGTGCCTTCAGGACCTGCTTGAGCCCAGTCACGTATATACCACTTCCGTTTGGTGATGGAATGCTGATTTTTATGACCCACTTTATGGCTTGATGGGTCAGAAAGCACCCAGTTCATGATAGGCAATTCAGGTCACATGGTGACTTGATGACCTATGGTCAAATGTTCAGTTTCCACCAAAGCCCAGTAATAGTCCAAGAGCTGTCTCTCAAAAGGAGAATACTTATCTGCAGAACATGGCAGGGCCTTGCTCCAAAATTCTAGAGGCCTCTGCTGTGATTCACCTATGGGGACCTGCCAAAGGCTTCATACAGCATCCCTATTTGCCACTGATACTTCAAGCACCATTGGATCTGCTGGGTCACAGGGCCCAAGTGGCAGAGCAGTTTGCACAGCAGCCTGGACCTGTTGCAGAGCCTTCTCCTGTTCTGGACCCCACTCAAAACTGGCAGCCTTTTGGTCATTCAATAAATTGGCCGGAGTAACACACCCAAATGAGGAATGTGTTGCCTCCAAAATCCATATAGGCCTACCAGGTGTTGTGCCTCTTTCTGGGTTGTAGGAGGGGCCAAGTGCAGCAACTTATGCTTCACCTTAGTAGGAATGTCTCAACAGGACTCCCAGACTACTGGGCTCCTGGAAATTTTACGAAGTTGGAAGGTCCCTGAATTTTAGTTGGATTTATTTCCCATCCTCTGGTATGCAAACATCTCACCAATAAGTTCAGTGTGTTTGCTATTTTCTGCTCACTGGATCTAATCAGCATAATGTCATGAATGTAATGGACCAATATGATATCTTGTGGAGATGAAAAGTGATCAAGGTCTGTCAGAATAAGATTATGACACAAAGCGGGAGAATTGATAAACCCCTGAGGTAGGACAGTAAAGGTACATTGCTGGCCTTGCCAGCTGAAAGAAAATTGCTTCTGGTGGGCCTTACGGACAGGAATGGAGAAAAAGGCATTTGCCAAGTCAATGGCTGCATACCAGGTACCAGGAGATGTGTTAATTTGCTCAAGCAATGAAACCACATCTGGTACAAGAGCTGCAATTGGAGTCACAATTTGGTTAAGCTTACAGTAATCCATTGTCCTTCTCCAAGATCCATCTGTCTTCTGCACTGGTCAAATGGGAGAGCTGAACATGGATGTGGTGGGAATCACTACCCCTGCAACTTCAAGTCCTTGATGGTGGCGCTAATCTCTGCAGTCCTTCCAGGGATGTGATATTGTCTTTGATTTATGATTTTTCTAGGTAGAGGCAGCTCTAATGGGTTCCATTTGGCCTTTCCCACCATAATGGCCCTCACCCTACCAGTCAGGGAGTCAGTGTGGGGGTTCTGCCAATTGCTAAGTATGTCTATGCCAATTATGCATTCTGGCACTGGGGAAAATTGACTGCAGGATGAGTCTGGGGACCCCCTGAACCCACTGTAAGTAGGACCTAAGCTAAAATTCCATTAATTACCTGACCTCCATAAGACCTTACTTTAACTGGAGGACCACAGTGATCTTTTGGGTCTCCTGGAATCAACGTCAGTTCAGAGCCAGTGCCCAGGAGTCCCCAAAATATCTGACCATTTCCCTTTCCCCTGTGCACAGTTACCCTGGTAAAAGGCCTTAAGTTTCCTTGGGGAAGGATGGGAGAAAGATGCACTGCATAAATTGTCAGTAATGTAGTGGGGTCCTTCCTCAAAGGGACCCAGCCTCCCCTTCATTCAAGGGGTTCTGGGAGTGTAAAGTGACTGAAGTATGGAAATTTGTTGAGGGGCCATGATTCCCTTTTTTTGTAATTCAAATTAGTCTTTTGTTCATTCAACCTAGAAGTTTTCTCCTTATATAAATTAAGTAGGAATGCAGTAGGCTTCCTATCAATTTCACTTCTAGGAACACGGTGATTAATTAGCCAATGCCAGAGCTCTACACGAGTCAGACTATTCTTATTGCTGCTTTGTCTCTGCTGTCCATTATGGTAGCCATGCCCACCTTGCCTTTGATGGTTGAGTGCAATTATCTCTAATGCATTTAAATTTTGTAGTTGAGTGACTGTGGTTCCCACTCTTAGATCTGACATACAGAGAAGAGCAATTACAGGCTCTTCAAAGAGCAGGTGCTGCCCTCACCGATGTGTTTCACAAGGCATTTGTCAAGGATATATCTTCTGGACCCTCCTAGCTGGGATGAGTATGTCTAAAGTGATTAATCCACGCCACCATCCCAGTCTCCCTAAGCCTTTGGATCCTTTTCTCTACATTAAACCAAGGGAGATCAGGCATTTCCAGCTCACTCACAGTGGGCCACCTTTTAATCCATATTTCAGCTAACCAAGCAAATAAACTATTAGAACCTTTTTTTTTTAACTCCCCAAGCTGCAACATTAAAAGCAGAGCCCCTATTTAGTGGGCTCAAATAAATAAATTCAGCCTGATCCAACTCTATGTTCCTTCCATCATTATCCCATTCCCTTAATATCCATTTCTATGCCTGTTCTCCAGGTTTCTACTTATATAGATTAGAAAACTCAAACAGTTCTTTTTGAGTGTAGCTCACCTCATGAGTCACATTGTCAAACTAAACTCTAGGGACCTACCAGAACTTAGTCTAGTTATAGGTCTAGAAGCAAACAGAGGTGATGGGGGTGGCTCCTGAGGAGAATCAACATTATCATGCCTGGCAACTGCCTCAGGGGAGGCTATCACCATTGCCTCCCGCAGAGCAGGAAGGCTATCACTGTTGCCTCAGGCAGCACAGGGTTTATCTCCTCAGACAAAGATGGAAAAGCTGATGACAGCATGGGTTGGGAGGGGATGTTGCCACTACTGGGGATGGGGAAGCTGTTCCTTTTGACAAAAAAGGTTCATCAGAGTTTACAAACTCAGTATCCCCAGCTTCATCAGAATCCTCCCACATGTGCCCATTCCGAGATGCAGGGTCTCATTCTTTTCCAATCAATGCCCTCACTTTAACAATAAACACTTGGTGAGGCTGTGCATGCATCTTTCGTTGCAGATCAGCCACTCACATGATAGCATGTCTATTTTTCCACAATTTCAGTTCTTTCTCTAGAGGAGATAAGACTCTCCCTCAGGGCAATCTTAGGAGATCTGAGGCTCAGTATCTGCTTCTAAAGCCCAGAGACAGAATCCCTGAGTTCATCATTTTCTTTCATCACTTTGTCCACTAAACTTAGGAGCAAGCAACCAGTTTCATTACGTTCCTTGGTTCTCCACATATGGTCAAAGGTGTTATGTATGTATAGAGTCACTAAACTCTTTGCCTCTCACGAGTGGTGAATCAGGAGTGTTAAGTGCATTTATTTTGCATAACTCTCTAAACAGTTCATGTCAAGTACTATCAGTGTTCTCCATATGATTAGAAGGAGATTCCATAGCATTTTGGGGTCTAGTCATATTAAGCAGCCAACTCTAGAAACCCCAAAACTGATGAAAGAACTCCATCCTTAATATTCTGTTCCTCCAGAACCACTCCTGGTACCAAAATCTGTATTAGTCAGGGTTCTCTAGAGGGATAGAACTAATAGGATATATATGAATGTATTAAGTATTAACTTACACAATCACAAGGTCCCACAACAGGCTGCCTGCAAGATGAGGAGCAAGGACAGCCAGTCCGAGTACCAAAATTGAAGAACTTGGAGTCCAATGTTTGAGGGCAGGAAGCATCCAGCATGGGAGAAAGTTGTAGCCTGGGATGCTAGGCCAGTCTCTCCTTTTCACATTTTTCTGCCTGCTTTGTATTTGCTGGCAGCTGATTAGATTGTTCCCACCAGATTAAGAGTGGATCTGCCTTCCCCAGGCCACTGAATCAAATGTTAACCTCTTTTGGCAACACCCTCACAGACACACCCAGGATCAATACTTTATATCCTTCAATCCAATCAAGTTGACACTCAGTATTAAGTATCACACCTGGCTAATTAAGGACATCTACTTTTCTTTGGATAAGTTAGTGATGGTATTGTTACTATCTTTCTACTAAATGTGTTGCACACAAATCCTCCTTTGAACTTTCAGATTTTGAGTTGCAAACTCATTATTATATCCTATAGGGCACCAAATTCCGATAGTTGAATATCTCTGTAGTAGTATACTCAAGTACATCTCCCCACCCCTGATTTACCATGCTACTATACTAGCCTTGTTTTTGTCCTTCAAATGTAAAATAAGCTCATTTTTAATAAATTTCAGGGCCATTTATACAGGGCTTCTTATATTTTTTTATTCGTAAATACTTTCCTCAGGTGTTGGAATGACAACCTGCATCTTCTTAGAATAAATTCTAATGTTACCTCCTCCAGAAGGCTGTTTCTGGTTATTTTTATTAAACCAAAAACTTTCTTATCCTAACCCCACCAGAAACTTTGTATCGCATTATTGTTTTCTTCATAATAATACATGACTAATATTTTGTAAGTTTCATACCTACAGAAATAATGCATTTCAACAATAGAGAACAGTGTTAAATTAAAATACCAAAGCTATAGCAGCAGAATTTCATACCTTAGTAACCTGAATGTGTAGATTTTTTTTTCATGGGGAGAAAGGTATATCCTAGAATCCATTAATTCATAACCAATGGATGTCTTCTAGATAGTAAGTTTGGAGACGGTACATTTGTCATAGCTGAATTTGTGTATTAAAGATCAAGTCTTCATAATTTGGTTGAGTTAATGGAAAACCTGATAAAGTTAGAGATACATTTTATTGCAAACGTAGAAGTGAGGCAGAATATTTAATTTTGTATGCTGATGAGCTAGGTATTCCAGCTGTATTTCTTGCAACATAACCACTAGCAGAATAATCTCGAAGCAGTCTTTTACGTGTTCTGGCCTCATTTTACTCATCTGTAAATTTGAGCCTATCTCAGCAAGGACTTGTACACACTATCTAAGGCAAATCTTGAGAAGTAGTGAAACACTGTTGAAAGTGTGTTCCTTTCAAAGCTAGTGCTTACTTACTTTCTAACAGTGTGATTATTGGAGAGTTACTTGGTCTGTCTGAATATTGAAAGGGCATCCAGTTTTTCTAACACAATTTATTGTAAAACGCACCATGTCTCACTGGTTTGGTATGCTACTTTTATCATGTTTAATTCACATAAATACATAAATCTGTTTCTGGATTCCCTGTTTTGCTTCTTTATTCTATTTGTCTGTCTTTGAGCCAGTATCATAATGTTTAACTTTTAAAAGATGTAATGGCTCTTGCTATACATTCATTCTTCTGGTTTAATGACAATATCCCTCAAATTTCATCCCTTCTCCAAAACCACCATCTTACCAAATTGTAATTTTGATTGAAATTATATTAAATATACAGATTAACGGGAAGCTAAGGAAAGTGTTTATATTATCATTAACAGTTTGATATGCATTTACTCAGTTCTTCCATTCATTCAATACAATTTATATTTTCCAAAGTTAGGATTATTAGGAATTTAACTTGTAATTGTTTTATGTATGTGTTTATTCATAATTATTTACTCATTCACAAACACTTATAGGGTACCCATATTATATCACATACTGTGTGCTTACTAATTGTTGTAGATATTAAAATTCATACACAACACACACAGCATTATGCTTTACCGTCAAGGAGCTTATAGTTTAAAGGAAATGATCGATATTTGTTCACCAGGAATTTTGCCAGTAGCTTTTCATAAGACATCTTATAAGAACCAACATTTAATGGTATTTTTCTCCTGGTATTTATAAACGTGAAGACAACTGAAAGTGGATAATAACTTACTAGAATTTATATAGTAAGCAATAATTAAAGCTAGGAGTACTATCTAAGTCTGGCTCCAAAACACATTTTTTTTTTCTTTCCATTATAGAATGTTATATCACATCTGTCCTCACAGTTATAAAAATGTATTAAATTTACCTGGTAGATGTTATCTGAATTATGAGCACTAGTCTAGAAACAAACAAACAAACAAAGCAGCCACCATAGGGCTAGCCTCATAAATGTACAACTCACTCTAAACATGTGCGAACAGATACACATGAGATAACATGGTACATAGGGCTAAATTTATGCCCAGGATACTATGTAAGCAGAACTAGAGAATGAGTAGGTACTGTGAGGAACCAGAGAGTGATTGTGATGAAATATCAGGGTGGCTTTCTTAAGGAGTTGATTTTTTTAAGGTAAGTCATAAAGAATAAATAAGATAGATGAAAAGGAAGATGAGGTATTCTAATTAGAGGAAGTCATAGAATAAAAGTCATGGAGGAAAGAAACAGAATGGTGTGGACAAAAACTACCCTATAGACAGTACAGTGTTTCTAAGGCATAAAGAGCAAGGCAGAAAGTCACTACAGAATCAGGCCTAGGTGGTAGATGTTAACCCAATTATGGAGTTCCTTTTGTGACCTACAAAGGCATTTGAACATTATTCTGTAGCATGTACAATAGAGAATACTTAAGAGCTTTTAGTGGGAAGGGGAGGCATAATTAGGCAGACAGGGCCAGATAAATGAGTTTATCCTAAAAATTTACTTTTGACCAATCTTCCTTTTTTTTTTTTTTTGTATCAGAACATGAATATAAGTAGCATAGGTTAAAAGGCTTATCACTTCCTGTACAGGAAAGGAGAATTCTAGTTATTACAGCTCTTTAGAACTCAAAAATTGCTACATAAGCCATCTGATTTTACTGCCAAGTTCATTCTCCAGCTGAGAACTTTACCATTAATGTGAAATCCTTTAGTTTGAGAGCAGGTAGGAGTAAGGGAAATCCTTGTATCCCAGAGAGCTGGAATAAGTTCTAGCAGACTGCTTTGTTTAGTAATCTCTCTGTATTTTCTAAGCCAAACTTATTTAGGAGCAGTACTTAATGGGGGGAATGCAGAAAAAAGACCACCAAGGATGGGCACAATGCAAGTGTTCTTTTACCTTACATTTGGTCTTTGCTAGGTTTTGTGAATGTCCTTATTGTAGATAATTTACCTTGCCCTGAGATTATACGGTTTGCTTTACAACCAGTCTTTGGCGTTTACATGGCCCTGGGATCTCTAGCCTTACTCTCTTGCTTGTACTAAAATCCTCTGGTTTACCTAGTCTCCAACCCACTCTTTTCTAGCCTCTAGTGCTTCCATTTATAACCTCTAGTTTGCCTGGCCTCCAACCTATTCTTGTCTCTGGTGTGCTCTACCCACTTCCATTCTTTGCCTGCTGGAATTAATGATGAAGCATTTAACTTAAGTCTAACCTGCAAAAGTCTCTTTGGTTTGAGAAAGGTTCGGCCATTCTAGTTATGTTCATGGGATTACTGTTTGAAGGTTTACTGGCAAATATAGTTTGAGTTTTATTTTGTCAACCTTAACTTTTGTTACTTGAGCTGAATAAATATAGAATTCATTTATATATTTTCTTCCCATGTGTCAAAAATGGCAAATAATATTCTATAAAACTGTTGTATTTAAAACTTGAATGTAGAGAAGCTGAGACTTAGAAAGGAGAAATGAAATCTCTGAGAGATTGACACAAGATCACATAGCTACTTAGTAAATATTTATCTTATTCTTTTTCCTCTTGAGGAAATATCAGTGCATTTCTCCTGGAAATTGAATCACCTACCAGTGTAAGCTGGCTAAGTCTTTTAATTATTGTAGATATTTTCTTATCATATTTGGTGGATGTCAGTCATGCCTACTTGGAGATAATGTGCCTTTCTAAATTTTTTGTTTTTCATTTGTAGAATGATGTCATATTTATTTCTTTTAATATGTGATCTATAGCGGATATAAACTTTTTGGTTTCTAAATGAATTGATTCAGTTCAGTTTTAAGATCTTACCGATTGCTTTTTCTGAGGTTTTTTATTTACCATGTCCTGTTTATATGGCTGACAGTGTTGACTAGAAACTTATTCTAGAGATTACATGTACTCATTTATTCATCAATTTCTCGTTTTCTCTATGTTATATACAATGATTGACAAATTTTGATGGCACATTTTCCTGCTTTTATGGTTATAATTACTCTGTTGTCTTGGGCCATGTACTGAATTTTCTATTCATTGAGGGTGATTCTGAATAGAGAATCATTTTTAACCCCTGGCATATCTGGGAATTTTCTGGGACACACCAAAGGATTATTATTTATTTTTTTTCTTTCACCAAAATATTTAAATATAAATTTATAAGTGCTAAGTCAATTTACATAGTATTAAAATATAATTTTTAAAAGCTGGAGCTTTGGGGTCAGAGAACCCTGGGATCAAATCCTAGGTCTGGAGCTTGAGCCATGTATAATTTTAAGACTATGTTTTCTTATCTAAATAATATTAACATATATCTTGGGGCAAATATGAGTAAATTAGGAAATACATGGAAAAGACTTCATCTAGAACCTGGGATTTCGTGTGTGCATGATAAAGTTTAGCTTTTATCATTGGCTTTATTAATGTTTTTATTCTTGCACTATAGATTTCTTCTAATTATGCCATTTATTCCATGTTCCTCTGATAGAAAAATTAACAAGAATGTATGTTAGTTTCTTATAAACAGGAGTCTTTTGATATCACCATTTAGAATTCCAGAGAAAGGCAATATTATGTGATAAAAATAAATAGGTGTTCACATTGTGTAGAATTCTTCTTCTCTCTACAAGTGTTGCCCAGAATTATTTATGGTGTCCAAAATTTAACATCAAGTCTATGGTTTGTAAGTCTTGGAGGCTACTCAGAGAGTGACAACAACTCCGTTGATATTCCCTTAGCTAGAAAAGAAATACTTGGAAATCAAGGTGTGTGGTAATAGGCCTGGAGAAGGTTTCTCCTGGGGATTAGGTAGTATGGTAGGAGATGGGCACTGAAAACAGGAGGGCACCAGAAGGAATATCAACGTCATCTTTTTTTGTAATTTCCTCTGGTCATGTCTTGATTTCAGATCTTCTCTTCTAAACTCATAGCTTTAAAAACAATTTCCTATGAGACTTAGAAATGAAATTGTTTCTTTCCTGTAAGAAATATGAATGAATGCCTAAAAAATTATTTCAGTTATTTGTTAAATATGCTTGTAAGTAGAAAAAAGCTTGAGTTCAGCTTCAGATCAAAGAAATCTGGACTTTAAATCATTTGTTTCTTGAAAATTTTCTTTTCTTCTTCTGCAAATGAATAAAAGATGGAAAATGTTGAGCAGTAAACTTGTTGATATTTTACATTTTTATCCAATAGGCAGGTTAGAATAGCTGCACATTTACATTGCTCTTCTCAGTTGTATGTAATAAGAATGATCTACGTAATAGAAGAATGTGAAACCTTGTTGTTCTGATTCCATATTATAAGATTACAAAAGAAGTGTCTGCTGGAACATTGAAGGAGAATGGAACATGTTCTGATTCTTAAAACTAGGCCTGCCACAAGAGAGGATTCCCTTTGAGAATTTGAAGTTTACTAAGATGAACGTGTCTCTCTGTGTGTATATAAATGGGTGGTATCTCTTGACTCTGTGGATTCCAAGTCGTGGTAAAAAGCAGTGTAGTTATTTTTCCCCCCACACTCCCCCTACTCTTACCCCAAAGACCACCTGAGAGTCTATGTGAGAAAAATATGTGTTACTTAGTTCTTCGATATTCCAAATTATATAGGGAAAATAGGAATTCTAGCAATTTTACATAATGTTTTAAGGTGTAGAAGACTTGTAGTATCCATAAGCACCATCTAGATACTTTAGGGAAAAATATTTTCACTTGACTGTATCTCTGGCTTTCTAGCAGCTCTGTAATTCAAACAGTGTCCAGTCATATGAAATCATATTTGTATTCATTCATTCTTGGGATTTCAGAATTTACTATATCCACTATGCTTTAACTGTTAGTGGTCTCTAAAACTCCAGAGGACACAATTTAGATTACATGGATGTGAATTTGCACTATTAAATTCTATTTTAGATTGGTTATTCTCTTGCTGACCCCTAAGGGGTAAAATGATCTGAAACATGCTTTTTAAAAGCATGTACAGGAACTGGAACATAAAGTCACATAATTGAGTCACCTTGCTTAATTTCCCTTTGTGAATTATTGGTTTCCTGAGAGGTAGTTTAACAGCTGAACAGAGGAAAATAATTCTCAAACTTAAAGTATCTCCTTGAGCATCCCTCTTCCATGTAATGACACTATTAGAGTGCATGACAAAAATCACTGGTAAACAAGGCTTTGAATTTGAATGCACACTGCCATGCGTAGAATATATTCATCACCTCAACATACAGAGAGTTCAATGTGTTTGATTTGTTATGTTGAAGATTATTGTGTCTTTCTGTTGATTTACTATAGAATTAAGATAGATGATATTTTCTAATGTTTCAAGATATTAATATATATATTTTACTACCAACGATGTGTATATAGTCATAGCTCTTCTAAGAAAGAACTTTTGCGAAGGACCTATTTTTTTCTTGGATCAGCTGTTCTTGTTGAGAACCTGGTATGCAAGTAAGGAATAAATGAGGCCTGAAAGTTGTATTAAAGGAACACCATTTGCAACTTTTTGTAATTTGGCAATTTTTAAATGTGAATATTTTTCGATCTATAAAAATACAGGTGATTGAATATGTTGGCCTTTTCAAAATCATATATAATTTTTGCAGGGGTGAGAAATTTGAAATTAACCAATGATTTCTGAATTTATTAAAGGAATATTTTAGTCTCAGTAGAAGAAAAAGTTCTACATGTAATAGGAAGGTAAAAAGAAAATTTTCTCTTCTTTTATACAGATTCCATGTGAATTCTCACACTTATAATTGATGTAAACTGAAACTTAAATAACAAAATCCATTGTAAAAATGTCAGTTAGTGGAAGTTTTTAGAAAATATTAATTATCCTATGAAGGCTACTCTATCTACAAATGAAGTATTTAGCTAAATGCAGTATAAAATTTCTAAAATATTGTGCTTTAAGAATGCATAATATGTAACTCTCTATACTGTAGTATCGGATTTGTATGTTATAAATAACTTTTCTACCACACCAAAGCTCTGGGACATATGAAGGGGTACATATAACCCTTCGATGTTACAAATGTAAGCACTAGATACCCCTTCATATATTCCAGAGCTTTGGTTATGTGGTAGAAAATACCATGTAACACTGTATCATCAGACTTCGAGATGATTCCAGAGTTTGTGGCTGCCATTACTATCCTCACCGACCATCTGAATAACTCAGGGAAGAGATGAGGCAAGTTAATTACATGAGTGATTCTTCAGTGAATGGGCAAACTAAAGGATTGTCTCTCAGAAGTCGTTCTTTAAAAGAGTTTTCACCTTTCACAACTTCTGTGGGTTATTAATGATGTTAAATGTGTTTCTTGAAAATAGAGCTTCATAATTTGCAATGATGATTTAAAAATCTAATTTGATCCTTATCAACTAATTTGCAGTGAGCTAATATAACTGCTAATTCCTGCTGTTGGTGATATTTAGACATATTGAAATCTAATTTTGCCTTAAAATTAGAAAATTTAAGGCTATATTTACAGAAGTCAAGTTACTTAACACTTAGCAGAATGCACCTCTGATCACATTATATATAGAGAGAGCACCCATTAAAGTTTTAGACATAAACTGATTCACAGTTGGCTGGAAAAGTTGTATAACACCATGATCCTAACTATTTACTATTTAATCATATTACAAGTAACTTAAAAGCAAATTGCAACCAGTAATATATTTCACAGAAACATAAAATTGCTGACTGTTTTTTAATATTACACTCTGGAAGAAAAGGCATTTACAATTATTGTCTAAAATGGCATTTGTAAATTATAAAATTCTGTTTATCTTTATTAACAAGCCTAAAAAAATTAGTATTTTATTATGACCATTGAAATTTTGATTCCACCTCCTTTCAGGAAAGGCCATCCCTCAAGGTGATAGCAACAGAGATAGACCAAAGAACAGACAACCTGGGTTACAAAATGACAGTGAGGTCCTGTTTTTCATTTGCCTTTTAATTGATTTCAATACATGCTCTAATCATTGGAAAACAATCATGGACAAAGTAGTGAAAAATCCTTGATTTGGTAGAGATTATATTTTCTTAAAAGTTGACAAAATAAGTAAAACATATGGAAGCCTAGACTATAAGTATTATGGAGAATAATAAATTAGGAAAGAGGACAATGAATGTTGGGAGATTATAGTTTCACGTAGGGTGCCCCATGGAGAGATTTACTGAAGAAGTGGCATTTGAGTAAAGATCTGAGGGAAGTGAAGATGCTGGTGAAAGCATGGTGCAGACTAATCAAACAGCAAGTATGAAGGCCCTGTGATGACAGTTCAAGGAAACAGTTAACACTATATGTTGATGGGATAAGAAAATGCAAGGGTCATGAGAGATGTCATCATAGAATAATAGGGGAAGGAAAGGTATGTAGTAGACTTTGGCTTTTATTCTCAGACATAGGAGAAGCCATTGAGGAATGCTAAGAAGTGGAGTGGCCTGATCTGATATACATTCAATGAGGATTACTCTTGCTCTTTGGTTAAGAATACTCTGAACAGAGTCAAAGGCAAATGCAATATTCCAAGTAAGAGATTGTGTTGACTTTATCCAGAGTAGAAGCAGTGGGGGTGGTGAGAAGCAATGAGATTCTGTATACGTTTTAAAGGGAGAGGGAGCCTGCAGGAATTACTGAGAGATATGATATGAAATTTCAAAGAAAACAAGAATAAAAATAGTTACGAAGGTTTTTTTTTTTTTTTTTTTTTTTTAATATGAGCAGTTGGAAGGATGGAGTTGCCATCAACTGAGATGAGATGAAGAAGACCATGAAAGGAGCTGTTTAGATGAGAATATAGACCAAGAGATCAGGAGTTCATGTGACATATGCTTATTATGCCACCTGCCATCCAAACAGAGAGGCTGAGTAGCATTCGTCCTCCTGGATATAGGAGCGTGAGGTTCTGGAGAGAGGTCTGTCAAAGAGGGAATCAGTGTCAATCAGTCTGAATAAAAAATTCAGAAAACATCAAGGATATGAGAAGAGATACAGGAGTAAGTCTATGTTTCCTTCTAAGGAAAAGCAGTGCAACCGCGTATTTATTATTTACATCAATGTGACCAGGTTTGGGGTCAGAAGGTCATTAAAACTCAGCACCACAATCTCAATCTTTGTCTCTGTCTCTCCTTGTCTTTGTGTCACTGTCTCTGTCTCTCCCTCTCACTCTCTCTTGCTTCCCCCATCCCCCATCTCCCACCTCATCTTTCCTCTTGCTTTCTCAACATGAGATTGAATACTTTTGGAAAATAACTCTGTACTCAATGACTTAGCTGTCTCATGCTAAACAAGATTGGTAATGGGATCTCAATATGTATACAACATAATATTCTTCGAATATAAAAACAGCATGCAGTTTGAGACCAGCCTGGCCAACATGGTGAAACCCCATCTCTACTAAAAATACAAAAAATTAGCTAGGTGTGGTGGTAGGCACCTGTAATCCCAGCTACTTGGGAGGCTGAGGCAGGAGAATCGCTTCAACCCAGGAGGTGGAGGCTGCAGTGAGCCAAGATCGCGCCACTGCACTCCAGCCTGGGCAACAAAGCGAGACTTCATTTAAAAGAAAAGAAAAAAAAAAAAACCAACATGCGAAGTAATTGCAACCTGCAAAGAGACATAACTGACTGTAGATAGAAAGCAATTTTTCATTTTATGGAATTTCTCTTTATTAACAGGTTTTATGTTTTAAAAATGTTCTTCTGGCTTAAATAAGATGTTTGATATAGACATGGTGTAGATTTTAATAATATGACTGCTAGTTATATTTTACTTACACATTTTTAACACGTGGTTTCTACTTAAATAAAGCACATCGTATGTATGTATATAAAACACAAGTATAAGAGGAAAAACAATTAATATTCAAAGCCAAGCTAAATAATAGACCTGAATCTAGTTCCTTTCATAAGCATTATTTATTTTCTTTACCAGTTGCATTTTAGGAAAGTGGATTATTTAATCTGTCCAACAACTATAATGTCTAAGTGGTTCTCTCATCTTCATTTCATTTTAAAGTAATGGTGCAATTCTGCATATGTATGAATCCCATTACTTCTGCCTCTCTTCCAACTTAATGTTTCAGTGTAGAAGGCAAACTATAACAGATATTAATTAAAAGAACCTATTAATTCAAATTATGAATAGTTTTAAGTATTTTCGCATTTTATTTTAATTACTTTCCACAGTTGGGAATCTTATCAGCATATTTATGTCAAATATAGGGAAGCATTATATGAGGTCATTAGGTGAACAGGCTCTGGGGTCAGACCTAGACAGGTTTGAATCTAACTGCCATGGTTTCATCATGTGTTCATCATGTGTTATTTAGGAAGATAATTACCTCTCTGTGCCTCAGTTTCTTATTTTGTCAAAAAAGAATAATAATAGGACCTACCTGAAAATACTGTAAGGGAGAAGAAAATTTATATAAAGTGCTTAGCATAATCCGTGGGCATAAGAACTTAGTAAATGTAGTAAATTTTGGTAACTGTCATATGAAATTTTAGAGGGGGATTCTTAGTTTTTGGTTTATGACAGCCTCCTCCTTTGATATACTCAGCTATCCACACTTGTATAATCCGTTGAAGACAGAAAGCTCCACTGTGTCCTCAGAAATCCTGGCTTTGTGTTCTGATTGTTGGAAGCTGGCCTGTGTGGATGATTATCAGTAGACTCCTGTGCTTTCTGGGTTTTGTTTAGGATTGTCCAATGACCCATTTGGAAAGCCCCAGCAGGGAATCAGAGAGAGAGAAAGGACAGTGAAACTAAGTATTTGTTCTCCTGGTTCCCTCTCTGTGAGATCTTCTTAATCTGTGTCTTTCAAGGGAAGGTCATTGCTGCTCTGAAGGAAGCTGCATTTGTAAGTTTCTCTTTGTTCTATAATCTCTCTCTTCCCTGCTTTAGTCTTGCTGGGCCTGGGGCTAATGCCAGCTCAAATAAACTGCTCTCATTCCTGCACTGTCCCTAGTAATTCCTTTACATTGCTCAAACTCTTAAAATTAATAACTTTTATATTAACATTCTTTAAATTATCCTAATTTGAATGTCTCATAAAGTAGTTGCTGGGAATCTGACTGATACACTGGGGTTCCACATAACCCCTCCCCTGAAGTCAGTTCATTTCCTGAGTGCTGCCTGGGAGTGCACTTGTATCCCTCTATCTGTTATGCCTACAGATGTCCCTTCCTTTCCCAGACTTAGTGAGTATGCACTTGTCTCTTCTCTTCTTGATAACAAATGCATGGGCTCAACCCAAAACCATCTACCTTTCCTCTAGCTTAAACTTCTCACTGGACTTAAGGTTTTATTTTACTTTATTTATTTAAATTTTATTTTATTGTGATAAGAACACAACATGAAATCTATTTTCTTACATTTTTAGTATACAATGTGGTATTATTAGCTATAGGTACAATGTTTTGCACCAGATCTGTAGACTTTCTTATTAATTTTTCTTTACTGAAACTTCATGCTCATTGATTAGCCATTTCCCATTTTCTCCTCTCCAGTCCTGGACAACTATCATTTCACCCTTTGGTTCTATGAATTTGACTTTTTCAGATTCCTCATATAATCTTTCTTCCTGGTTTAGGTTTCAAAAACAAAAGCCAAGAAGGAAGATTATCTCTGGAAAAACCAATGAGGCAAGGAAATATAATGGCCTAGCTATTTCCTTGGAATTAAAGAAAAACATAATATTTACAAAACATAAGCTGATAAGAAAGATGAATTAAAGCATTGTTCCAACCACTCTGTACATATAATTTAAGAAAAAATGTTGGTATAAGAAAAAGTATTTTCTACTGTTTAAATATTATTATCATTTCCTGTATATAAAATTCATGCCCAATTTGTATGTCATTCTTGAATCCATAGCTTAATAAAAATAACAACAAACCAAAATAAGGTTTCATAAGTGATTTGTCAGTTTTATTTATATATTTGCAAAATGGAGATAATTTATGTGAGATTGAGATCCTTTCTACTATGTACACCTTCAATATAAAGACATTATTATTCTTTCTCAGTTCTGTATTTCTGAAAGTCTGTCAAATACTTTAAAAAATGATCAGATCTATGCAAGTGAAGCTTGCAGAATTTGCATTTGCCCTCAATCCCTCTTCTTCCTCTAGCTTTTCATGTGTCTTGCCTTTGTTCCCATTTCACTAAGCAAGCATTGGCCTGCTGCTAATGCACTCACGTTTCCCCACAAGCTCTCACATTCCCTGGAATATTAAACGAAAAGAGAGCAACCAGGACAGGCAGACCAATTTCTTTCAGGTATACTGAATAAATTCCAGTAAGGCTCACAAATATTTCCTTTATTCTCTAACTACTCAAATTATTGCTAGTTTCTCTCCTTACAAGAAAATAAAATTTATTTGTAGGAAAAGGAAGTGAATTATATGACCAGTGATGCTATTTTATTTCATAATAGTGAATTTTTATTGTGTTTTTCCCATATGGCATAAAAACTATCTCATACAGTGCGAAACACTTACAAGCACTCTCACAATTATTTCCACTTCCAATGTGCAAATCACAGGGAACCCAAAATAAGTTTGAAGGTGCTGTAAGAATAGGTTCGAGGCAGAATATACAGTAGAGAAAGGGGATAACGTTTAAAACTAGCATAATGATTGGTGTGTCTTGGTTTTCTTAAGTCCAAGTACCAGGACTGACAATATGATAAACTGTCATCTCTACCTTAAACTCTCACCCTTGCCTTTCATTTGCAAATGAGCAAGCAAGTGGCCTGTTTTAAACACATGGACCATTAACTGCTTTCTTCTATTTGCATAGTAATGATAGTGAGCCAATGGTGATTTACTGCTCTGACTTGTATCATAAATAACAGATCATTTACGCTGCTAATTACACTCATTTCCATATCAATAATGCATTCTGGGTTGGGTTGGACTACTGCATTAGAAAATGGAATTGAATGACAAATTGATTTCCTACTAAAATGGTGTAAAACAGTTGTCTATGACAAGAAGATACTATTAAGTAATGTAGATAAGTGCAAAAGACATTTTTAAAACTTATCCTGTAGCTTGAATCATCAAAAGTATAGATTGGTCAGGAAAATATTTATCCCGTTTGCAAACACAAATGTGTAACATTTGATTATATCTATTGGTATCTGTCAGTACTACTTGGCTAGAGTATGGCTACCCCGAGCCCTCTGTCTCACATTTACTTTGTGGGTGGGCCAGTTAGCTTTTAGTTCTGCTATGTGATCCTAGACTGCACTCACAATCTGTAATGGTTATTTTTAAAATATAGGCTTTACTTCAAAAGGGGTGATTGTGTGAGAGTGTGGATAGGTGGTGGTACAAGCGCATCATTATTACTAAAGAAGCACTAAAGTTTAATATATGCCTTATAGATCAGTGATGTTAGATATAAACACGCAGGAACCTTGAGGAACTTTCATATTCACAATAAATATATTTATGGTGCATACAGGTGTATGTTTAGAGAAAGCCAAAGAGCAGTGGTAGAGATAAAGAGATTGAGGTTTTCTGAAAACTATTTAATAAAAATATCAGCTTCTCTATTTCAGCTGCAAGAAATTACTAAGACACTTGAAAATATACATTTAGAAGAAAATGTGTGACGAAAGAGATCTAATTTGTATAACCACCATCTTTCTAATAACTATTAGGTTGGTGCGAACATAATTGCAGTTTTTATCATTACTTTTAATGGCAAAAACTGTAATTACTTTTGCACCAACCTAATATTTTAGTGTGCATTTGGAAATAAATGCACGTAAAAAGTAACTAAATCAATTCAAAACTTATTCTCAGATTTGCTTGGAGCCTTCTATAAAGAGTGATATCACATTCAAACTTAAAAGTAGAGAACAATGACAAGTAATATATTTACAAAGTTGTTAGAGTCTAAAATAGATTATAAAGAAGTTCAGACATTGTAAAATGTGAAAGGAGATAAAGTCTCAGATTTGAATTTTTGATATAAGAAGACATTTCTGAAGATAAATGATTGAATACGTGAACATTGATTCAGAAGAAAAGTTTATGATTATAATTAAACCAAAAAGCTGCTAATTCTCATGATTAGGTGACTTATCCTGCATGTTAATAATTTGATTTTTAAGGCATTAGGTGGATAGGTACAACAAAATGAGGAATACAAAAACTTTTCTATCTCCCCAAATGTGGGTAAGAATGATGGATACCAACTAGCAAGAAAATGTTAGGAAAAAGAATGAAGCAAGGACAGTGATTTAAAAGATGTTGTTCATTGATAGATCACTTTATAAATAGTGAAGTGATAAAGATACATACAGTGTAACCAAGAAGGGAAGAGGGAGATGGAGGAATGATGAATTTGTTACCTGTAATTTTCCTAAGATCTGAAAAATGTGTCCTTCTAAATCAATATTATGTTTATACTATAACCAATATGACCAAATTGCAATTATGTTAAAATATGGATGTGTTTTATTTTGAGGAGACTTTTTGATATTATTGTTTTAAATAACCACTGCCTCCTTATTTTTGGAGAAATATACAATTACTTTGTAATAATATACTGATTATTGTATAAATATATAAGGATACATATGTGTGTATATACATATATATGTATACATATACATATATGTTCATATATATGTATACATATACATATATGTTCATATATATGTATCCTTATATATTTATCCAACACATATATATTATATATTATATGTAAAATATATATCTGTTATTTATTATATATCACACATGTTAAAGTTCTAAATAATTTTTTTAATGTGAGCAAATATTGTCAGACTAAAGTTTATTAAAATTTGATTTACTTTTACTTCAAAAGAGTTAATGAATTAGATCCATGATACTAAATTAAATTCTTGACTTTAGTATTACAAATATTTTATAATGACAGTTTTAAGAAAGCTTAGAAAAATCTGCTAGCATCTATAAAATGTCATATATAAAAGATAAATCTGATTAGTTGTGTTCATATTTCTGTGCAGTACTTTTTCTTCACGGATACATGGATAACATTAGGTATCACCTACACCATTATTTTTCTTTATGTATAACTAAAATGACATGGGTCATAGTCTCCAGTAGAAGACCACAATTAATAATTTGATCAATTGTCTTTGTGCTTATACTTTCATTTCTGAAGATAAGTAAAAGGCTTTTTCTTTGTTTATAGACATAAACTAAGTATTTGTGGATTTGTATATTTTTGGGTTTTCCAACTGTTCTCTTTCACAACATTCCCCTTCTACACCAAAAACAAACAAACAAACAAAAAAAGAAAACAAAAAAAAATTTGTTAATCCAGGGTAATCTAGTTTTATCTGATTACTATAGGTGAGCTATAGCTGTTATTAGAGGTCAATTCATTGCTCCAGTAAGACATCAACTTGATTTGTTTAGCAAAGTTTTAGTATATATACTATGTACTACTTGTCTGTAAAAATACGTGTTAGAAAATAGCAAGGCTCTCTTTTTTATATAGCCTTGAAAAGTTGTTCTCTTATAATTGGGAGAAAAAATAAGTGGGCTTTTATGTGCATAGATGGACTTTACCTGTTTCTTTTGGATATATGTGGATATATGTGCATGGGGAATAGCTTGAAGGGGAGTCAACAGGAATGGCACAGAATTTCACTCATTCTGTAGGCTCCCTAGTGGCAGGGAAAGTCCTACCATTGTAAGGTCCAGACACAGTACCAGACACAGAGTAGGTAGGCATTCAGTACATATTTATTTAATGACTCATCAGTCTGAAGTCTTGAAAGTAAAACAAAGATAGTCTCTTAGGTTCTAATAGCTAAGTAGGTAGTTGATTATAGGATGACTTGATGTATCCTATACATCAACTTTGTATTAGCCCCAAGGAGACTCAGACACCAAAATGAATTCTAAGATAAAATGCTAAACAACATCTAATAAGAAATAGCTTATATTAAGCCATTATTGCCAATGATTATGATTAATTAATAATTGTAGATTGTATTTTAGAATTTATTACTTTTAAAAGCTTATGATTAAACATAAAATTCCAAAAAGTTATTTAGGTTTTAATAATAAACTTTTGGGAATTTGGGAAAAAATACCTCATGTACAAAATCTGGGCCATAGGCACACTCTCCTGTAGCATTGGTTCAGTAATTCAAATCATAAAGTCAAGTGAGTGTCTACTCTCATCAGGTGAAAGTATACCTTAATGAAGGGTTCTGTTTGCATGGTGTATCACCTTCCTTAAATTTGAATATACAAACACAAAGCTATCAAGAGACAGCATCAAATGCACAGACTTCAATTAAAGAATTTTAGAAATAGATATGCATGCAGTATTACAATTATTTTTATTTTGATTATGCTATATGGGTAGCAATTAACATTTAATCATTTTCATATATATGTTTGTACACTAACCCAGAAGCTTTATACAGCAGACAACTTATATGTAGATAAAAATAAGGCACATGTGTGTCATACTTAGTTGCTGCTTTTCTACTTATAGTATGAACTGAAATGATCAATATGGCATTTTCTCCCTGAAGATGCATGTTATTTTGCCAATGGTTACCAACTCTTGACATTACTAGTTGAACCTCTATACATGGTCTTCTTTCAGCTCAAAGGTGACACCTCTTTTTTCTGTGATTCAGATAATCACTGTAGCTTTTGGCATCTTCTGCTGTCACTTTTTAGAAAGATAGTGGCTGTGTTACAAAGCTTTTCTTTGTGCTGTGTTTGGTGACTGTAACGTGTTTTCAGCCCATATGACTAATTGTTCCTCTATGTATGCTGATCATTCTGAATTTGCTTATAATTGCATTTTTTTTTGCCCCCTTCACTTACCTAAACCCTATATACTTAAGTGTCATAGATATGGTTATGTTACTAGCTTTACTCAGAGTATTTATTTACACAGATTACTTTACATTTTTCATCGTTTATCCTCTTACTCAAGTTATTATTTTGGTTTCTTCTAAAAATATGGAATATAGAATTCATATATTAAGAATAAAAAATTCTTTAAAGCTATTGTACTCTGTGGTATTTCACATAATATTAACCAGCTGTTAGCAATGACTGATATATACTTCCCATTGAAAATGATGTAAGGTCTGAAAGGATTCATTTTGACAATTTTATATCACATATTTATATTTACCTTAGGTGGTTCTTTTTAATGTTTTAATTTGGGACCACACTAATTTCTAACTTGGTAACTCATCTCTTACCAAAATTAATACCAAGCCAAGAAAAATGGTTTCATGAATAGAATCTACTAGTCTTTTATATCTTATAATGGTAGATCACTGATGAGGTAGAACTCCATAAGAGCTTCGCTCTCACAGTAAAAGGTTTTGGTTGTGCATGGATTACACCTGGTGAAAGTTGGTTAGTATTGTCTAAGTGGCTTAAGACAAATTTATTTTGATTTGTATTGTGATGACTTTGCGAAGCACCAGAATTTTTCCCGCTTCGTGTGTGTGTGTGTGTGTGTGTGTGTGTTTTGAGTCCAAGTCTCACACCGTTGCCCAGCCTGGAGTGCAGGGGCATGATCTCAGCTCGCTGCAACCTCTGCCTCCCGGGTTCAAGCAGTTCTCCTGCCATAACCTCCTGAGTAGCTGGGACTACAGGCATGTACCACCACTAATTTTTGTATTTTTAGTAGAGACAGGGTTTCAGCATGTTGGCCAGACTGGTCTCGAGCTACTGACCTCCAGTTATCCACCCGCCTTGGCCTCCCAAAGTGCTGCGATTAAAGCATGAACCACTGCTCCCAGGCTTCCCTGTTGTTTCTTAATCATGAATGCTTTTGTGACAATTCACCAGCATTCAGGAAATATTAAGGACAGATGATGTATTATCCCATTGAGCAATTAGAAATCTGCTATTTAGTCATATTACAAGATTCTAAATCTGGGATACTTTTCAATGGTGAATTATCACTGTGGACATCTTTAAAACTGCATGTTTCCCTTATGACACCACATCATCATATTTGCCTTCCCTGAAGTAATAACTCTTTTCTGCATGTTTGTTCGTTAGATATCTTCTTAATGCAAACTTTGAATTAGAGTTGTGTAGATAATATACTTTTCATTTGAAATTATTTAGACTTTTTCAACAGTATTCCTAAACACATTGATTCACTTTAGTGGTTGAATTTTTAATCTCTTTTGATTACACAGATGACTCCAATACATTATTATCCAGAGCTATGCAATCAGGTCAGAATTCTGTGTTTTCAAACAGAGAACCCTACAGAAAACCACACCATTTTTCATGTCTTCAAATTTTCCTAGTGTAGTGATGTGGATAGTTTTGACAATCTTCCATCTTCTTCCACTTAGTGGTTCTTAAAGACATTTTTGAAAAACACTAATTTTCAGTTGAACAGTGTAAGAAACCAGGCATGATGGAGAATTCCTCATTCTTACTGACAATATCCCAAAATGACAGCTCCCAAGGAAAGTGGTTTCTCATATACTATAATATGTTGAACATTTTGTACTACTTGTGACACTAGATATAGAAAACAAGACTAGATGACATAAGAAAAGTGTTAAGTCAATTGAAATTGTGGAATTGTTGGTTCAATATATGTATGCAGTTTATCAGCATGAAGAGCCTTTAGTCTGAAAACTGGCAGCTGTCAATGTGACCCTAAAAAGGGTTTCCAGAAGGAACAATGTGGAATACAAACCAATGAGTTTCAATTCATCTGATTGTAAGTAAGCAAAATCTCTAGAAAAGTGTAGAATGTCCAATTAAACAAATATAACCAGGCATAGGGAAGGCAATATTGTCTTCGTAAGGACCTTCTTAAAAATATATTGACCCATAATTTCCACTGAAATTCTTTGAAATATATCATCTTTTAAGATATGTGGTTGATGAATTATGTTTAGGCTTTAAAAAATTTTCATTTCTGACTATAGGAAATAAAAAACATCACCACAAACTGGAGACAAATGTGTCCAATTATATGGCATATTTATAACTTCTAGAAAACAAGTGTCAGTCCAGAGTAAAATCTCCAAGTTTGCAGAAACCAAAAGATTCCTAAAAACAAAAACATTATCAATACAATTATTGCTTTCATCTAGCCATTCTTTCAGTAAACATTTATTGACCCAAGCACTGTGATGTGTGCTGAGAATAAAACATCCTCTGTCCTCATAATGCTCTTCATTTGTCTGGAAAGACAGCCATTGAGCAAGAAATGATAAGTTTGATGCATGTCATGAAGGATGTCTGAATGTTACCTTGCAAAATTCTTTATAACGCCTGAGGATGGTTTATTAGGAAGGCTAGAGCAGGACCTCAGAATAGTGAGAGTGTTCCTTTGAGTCAGATGCAGAAAGAAACTTCTATAAGAGGATATGGTTACAACGAACAAGCAAAAACCTTTTCTGAAAAGACAAAAGCCTGTGTGCTTATGATTCAAACTTTTGATTTTTTGATTTGGAAAACTTGGGCAGATCCCATTCTTTCATAATTAAAATACATGCATGACTTTGAAGAGGTAAGTATAATAACTGACCAAATAAGGCAGACATTATGGTTTCAAAATAATTCAAATAAATGAATCTGACCTACAGAAAAACATTTTTAAATGTATGTGACCTAAGATTTCAATTTTATTTGTATGGCGGGGCCATTCCTGAGCATAACTGTGGGCTGGCTATAGCATATCATTTCTTATATGCCTAACATTAGTCTCCTAAATGGAAAATAAATCGTGCAGTCTTGAATTTACTTCTTGGAACAGTTTTCAGAAATATATTAATGTATAAGAAGACATAATTGGCTGTACTTTTGGTGAATATTGTATATAACATTGCTGAAATTTGGATTTAGGAATGAATGCTATAAAATGAAAATACATATCACAATGATCTATTTATGTATTAAAGAAAGGCATGAATGTGTCATATTCTCAGCACCTTTTATGAAAGCTTAGCAGATGTTTCAGTTTTCATAATGTATGCAGTAACATAGTTTTTATAACTTTGCACTTAGAATGAATTCATTTTAGTATAGCACAAGATATTTAAGAAATACATTGAGGAAAATAGTGTAAACAAGTAGAGATTATATTTTAAAGTAGAAAATATCATCTACCAGAGCTGATAGCAGTGTTTCAATGCAAGAAGGTTTAAAGAATCTCAGACATAAAAAATATTTTGGATACTATTAACTATTGAATAGGACGTTAATTCAGTTCTATGTATGGATTGATTGCCTAATATATTCAGATGTCTTAAACATAAAATATATAAAAGCCAATGAAATACATTTCATTCCTCACAACAGTAGGTCCTCAAAATGATTATTAAATGAAATATTGTAAAAATAATAAGTGAATCAATTAAATTACTACATTAATGACATTGAACTCTTGAAAACAGGGCATATTATAATATGCATTAAAGGCAAATATATGCATATACATTTATATGTATATGTATACAAACACACACATACATAGTATCTTAACACAGGTAGTATGTCTAATTTAGGATGAAGAATCATTCAAAGTCAAATCCCTCTCTTTTGTTTTGGCTTATTTCCATGTTTAGTATGATTCTGAAAATGTCAGTCTATTGGAACCCACATACATACACAATTTAATGGATGTCTGCAAATTTTCCTATTTAATATGTTTGTCTTCACTACTTTCAAATGCAGGCAACTCTTTGCCTCCCACTTCCAAATCTAGTGATTACATGTTACAGCATGTAGTGTCATTCGTAGATTGACTTGAAAACCACATTATCTGTCTGGTCTGAAAAACACTAATTTTGAACGTTCAGTTCAACAGTTTTTCTATAGCAATTTGGGGGTAGAAACAGAGTGAATTTTGAATGTGCCCTTAACTGAAATGTTAAAAAAAAAAAATGAAGGAAGAGTACTGTATACATAGTAAGAAGTTAGCAAATACTGTGCGAATATGAATAAAGTACAGGCAGAGTATAGGGTATGGCTCTTTTCACACGTATGAAAATACATTTTAAGGAAAGCTTAAATGCTCTGCTTCTTTGAAGCTTTCATGTTTGCATTGAAATTCAGTATTTAATAAACTTAATTATAGTAAAATGAACTCTGTAGGACCATGTCAATGGGATCTAATGAATGGTTAAAACACTTCAGAAACACCTATTTTCCAGATACATCTTGCCTTACATTAAAATCTAGTGTTTAAAATTTGTTATTATGAAGATTTTGTGGTAAATCATTTATGCCTTTTAAAGAGGAAAATTTTTCTAATTATAGTTATTTAATTGACAATCTAGGGAGGCACAATTACTTTTGTTAAGAAGCATTTCTCAAGTTAGTAAATTAGCATTTTCAAAAAGTGTATTTAATTTCTTTCCTTAATTTTTTTTGTTTTTATAATGGTTCTTATGATTCAAGGGAACTAAAGCATTTTATTTTATGGACTTCAAATATACATATATATATATATGTTTATTTTATTTTATTTTATTTTAGCAAGGCAGACTCTATTGATTGAAAATTACAATAAAACTAGTGTGAAAATTTAGACTCTTAGCAGGTGGAGAACACACAATTTTGGATTACTCTAAGCAATACTCCTTAAACTACTCTAAAGGATATATTTAGGCATTATATTGTACTTGCTGAATATGGAAAACACTAGAAAATGTTATTAACTAAGTGAATTAGACTGGAAATTACCAAGAACTGGATTTTACAATATTAATAAGTATTTCTTCATATACCATTGATATTTTTACTTAGTATTAATATGGTGGGAATTTGTCAGCATACTTTCTAAATTTTCTCTGGAGTACTGTCTTGGTCTGCTCAGGCTGCTGTATCAAAATACCATAGACCGAATGGCTAACAATACAGTTATTTCTCACAGTTCAGAAGACTGGAAAGTCCAAGACCAAGATGTTAATAGATTCAGTTATTTGTAAGGGCCTTCTTCCTGACTTGCTGATGGCTGCCTTTTTGTTGTATCCTTACAGGGAAGCTCTGGTGCCTCTTTCTCTTTTTATAAAGGCATTAATTTCATCATGAGAGCTTCACCCTTATGACTGCATCTAAACCTAATTATTTCTAAAAGGCCCCATCTCTTAATACTATCCCATGGGAGTTAGAGCTTCAGTATATGAATATTGAGAGAATACAAATATTAATAGTTAGCTGAAAAGGAATACTGATTTAAAGTGTAACTTATTTCTGTGTCATTAAAGCAAATTATTTCTTATGAAGGATCTGTTATAGTACATAGGTACTAATTGATAAAGTAGTTTATCAGGTTTCAAAGATACTGAGGAGCTCATAGTTTTCATTGAGAACTATTACGATTCTAATATAGCTTAGCCTTGGCTGCATAAGCTAATTGTTATGCTTCAGACTGACATTACAGGTTGAATATCCCTTATCCAAAATGCTTGGGACAAGATGTGTTTTAGATTTGGGATTTTTTGGTAAAAATGAGTCAGTAGACAATTTTAGTGGTTTGCCATACCTAATCTGAAAGTCCAAAGACTGAAATGCTTTAATGGGCATTTGTTATTAGTGTAATGTCAGCGCTCAAAAAAATTTGGATGTTGTAACATTTCAGATTTTAGATTTTTGGATTAGGAATACTCAATGTGTAGTTACTTTTTCTCTTTCTGATCACTATTTAGTTCTTGTTAATTTAAGACAGTATAAGTGAAGAAGTGGACAATCTTGACTTGTTTTTCTTTTAAGAAACTGATAGATATTGCTTCATCTGCCACAAATACTTATGACTAAGAAGTATAAAATAAATTACAAAATAAATATTTATCTACCATTTGCTTTAACTGATGATGTACGAGGTAAAACTAAAATGAGCTTTCAAATTGGACTGATAGTATGTAGTTCAAAACTTAGGAAGATAAAACCCATCTCTTGATCTTTCTATCTTGAACGCTAATTTTTCAAAATTTCTTTTAAAGTATAAATCCATTTTCCCTCTCCTTTAGGTAGTATACTTTTTCTTAGAAACATATTCCCTGTAGGAAAGTAATTTATGATACTATCTTATCAAAGCCCTTATCATGAGAGTTTGGATGAAAGGAAGTGAAAATCATCCTTATTTACCAAATAAAGTTGGATTTGATCAGATTAAGGATTTAAATATGCTGATGTTATCTTGTGGATTAGTCAAGCTTTGAAACACTGAATAAAACTTGCCAATAAGTGAAAGATAAAGGTGTCATTGTTACTGAGGTGTGCCTGTAGACTGCATTAAGGGAGTAATTTCCTTTGCCAATTTCTGAAGTGACCCCAGACTACATATATATGTCAGTAATGTACTGCAGTGCTAATAATGATGTAAGGGTTGAACTTGGTGTTTCATGAAATTAATATATATGAGTTAAATTAATCTTGTCATGGTCTTAAGGGCTTTATTTGTATTTTATACGAATATATTATGTGAGGTTGAAGATTTAAGAACGAGGCAGTTTGAAACTCAAGAGTTTTAATTCAGGTTTATAGATCTTTATTCTATTTTTTTAATATAAAAAGAAAAGATATTGAAAATGAACAAACATGTCTGACCCCTTTCCTAAGTACGGGTTGCATCTTTTCACAAGGCTCCAGTGGGTGTGAGCCAGAACTCTCTAGCAGAGGAATGAAAGGATGTTGCAAACAGTACACTATTGTACATTTCTATCAAAGGCAGGAAGCTGCAGGGCTTGATGTGTATCTTAATTCCTCTACTTTTTGCCCTTGCTGCCATGTTTTCAACAGCTTGTTCATTTGGATATGGCAGATAAATAGGTATGGGTGGACTCATTTGGAGGGTAACTTTCCGTTGATTTAGTTTGTACAGAAAGATGCTTTAGTAACTACCTCTCATGTCTCTTCAATCACACTAGCAATACAAATGCGAGTCAATAGAAAGTTTTGTTGATGGTCCCATTCATGGCTAGCTTTGTGGGTATGTAATTACACAGGCCCCTGTGTTAAGAAGAGATTCGTGCTTTGTTGCTGCTGTCTTGAAATTCTTAGTTCAAGAAATAAGGGGCTTCATGTTTTTATTTTGCACTCAGTTCCACAAATTTTGTAGCTTGCCCTGGACCCATGAATGATATCATAATTTGAATGGAAAAATAAAACTTTCTATTCGTTGGATGTTCCAAATAAAAAGTCATTCCACATTTGGATATCAACACAGAAAACTAGCACTTTGTAAATTATTTTAAAGAGGAGAATTATAAATAGCATTAGAAACTCAGTTAAGAAAATATTGTGGTGATATTTAACTAGACACTCATTTTCATATTTAACTCAGTATTTTCTCTTTATTTTGTCATAAAATATTATAGTATATCAATGTCTTCTAAATAAATACATTTATTCTTGGTTATACATATATGTCCTTTTAGTCTTCAAGTAATTTGGAAAAGTCTCTTGTTTAGCATATTTTTCTTCCATCCAAAGAACTTTATGTGTCACGTTCTTTATTTACTAATATTTTCCAATGATTTCTAAATGCTATTTCCTTTAACTGTATTGAATAAAAGATCTGCAAATACAGGTATACAGCATGCCAAAATAAGTGACACACACAAACAGAGCCCTATTTAAATTATTTTTAGTTACACTACTATTTTTCATTAATAGTATTTTCTTTTCTAAGTATCTAATCTAATAGTATCTGCTTTTCTTAAGGCTTTAGGATGGTGGAGTAGAGCTAATTTCAGACAAGGAATAATCTCTAAACTTGTAAAACAGGCATTCACAAAGTAAGTGGTTAAACAGGCCTTTTTTATAAATCAAATTACAGACCCAAAGTATTTCCTTTCCCAGTTCTTGGATCATTCCTTTCACTTCTAGGATACCAAAGTACGTAAGTGACGTTTGACAAGAAAATTAGGTTCCAGACCTACTGCAATGAGATTATGACCTCATCAAACATGTTTCTGAAATCATCATCAGTTTCAGTTTAATAGATTCAAGGACTCATTTGTTACAAACAAAAAAGCATGTTACTCCTAGTTGAATTAGCATCAGGTTGGCAGAGTTTAAGGCAACTTTTGGCCTTAAAGTCGATGTCTGGATTCAATTCTCTGAATGTTTATTTCAAGCCAAATGTCTAACCAGACAGAAATCTGTGCGTGTAGCCATTTATTGTGACAACAACTACATCATTAGACAAACCAGTCTGGTCACAGACTGTGAGTTAGCCTCCATGTCTTTAGCCAGCTTCTTTCTGTGGGTTCCAGTTTAAATCGATTCAATATGCTTTCTAGTTTAGATTCATATGAAACAGAAAGAAAGCTAGGAAATAAAGAAAGTCTGTACTCATTTATAATTTCTGCATATTGCAGGACCAGGAAGGAATTGCTAAACCTCATATTTTTATTAGGATTAGAAATTTTAAAGTTAAGGGTCCAATTTATCAATTTAGCTTAAAATACTAAGATTGGAGCCTTGGAATTTCGTTAAGCCTGTCACATTAGAAAAGCCCTGAGATTTTAGAATGAAACAGTTCAGAGCCATATAAAGTTATTACAGCATTTCAGAATTCTTAGAGAAAGATCACCTTTCAAATTGTAGATGAACTTCTGGTACGCAAGACACCTCTTCCGACTAAAGGCATTCAGGCTGCTAAATTGCAAATATTAAATCATTTTGATTTTTAAAAGTCCTTAGTTAAAAGAATATAGAATGAAAACATAAATTTTGTAGCCTTTCACTAATAGAGCAATGAATCTGCCAATTGAGAAGTTTTACAAAACATTCCTCTATATAAAGTACTCTAAGTGGTGCTATTTAGTGGTAAGGCATGTAACTATTGAAATTTAAAAGATTTTTAATAGCAGTCAGGTATTTTCAGAGATGAATTCCCATGAGATATGCAAAGTTGTTTTTGAATATTTTTGTTTGTGTGCATGTGTGCATGTTTAAGAGTTCAGTATAACCACTTTATATATGTACCACTTAATGGGGCAATTTACTGTCAACTCATGAGATCCCAATAACTCTGGAAAGTTGTAAACCAGCATTTTATCACTATTTCACAGATGAATAAAACTGAGAATCTGAAGATTAAGTAAATATACCTGATTTCTATAGCTATGACTTGAGTAGGCTGTACTCTTGTTTTATCATTTTGAAGATTTATTTTTCTGTAACAATCACTATAGATAATATATCATCAGTGGAAGATAATTGAAGTATTGTGTGGCTTTTTATAATGCACATGTGTGTGTACATGTCATATAAAAATAAATACTTTTTAAAATAATTTTGATAATACCTATTAAATAGTCCAAATTATAAGAGAAGTAGGAATACAAACATGAACTGAATAATGATTTCAAGCCCAGGGCCCTTTCTGCTATAACATACTGTTCCCATATCGTATTACTAGTTTTGAAATTACTGAGATGTTTTCTATTAACACATATAAGACAAATAAGGTATACAAACCATAGAACTGTTTTACAGTTGTATTCTTCCAATCACTATTAATTATGATCACCATAATTAAATTAAACTTGGTTAAAAATGGCTTATCCAATTAAATAAATGAAATATAACAGAGGAGAAATTTTAACATTCTGTGTTATTTTAATGATATAGCCAGGTGTATATGTGGCTATTTAGCTTTTTCACTGATTTGAAATCACTCACAAGTAAATAAGAGAGTAGAAGTACAAGGACTTTGCCTACAGTAAAGCACTGTAAAAATACTCTACATAGGCTGGGCGGGGTGGCTCGTGCCTGTAATCCCAGCACTTTGGGAGGCCGAGTCGGGCGGATCACGAGGTCAGGAGTTCGAGACCAGTCTGGCCAACATAGTGAAACCCCGTCTCTACGAAAAATACAAAAAAAAAAAAAAAAAAAAAAAAATTAGCCACGCATGGTGGTGTGTGCCTGTAATCCCAGCTACTCAGGAGGCTGAGGCAGGAGAATTGCGTGATCCTAGGAGGCAGAGGTTGCAGTGAGCCGAGATCGCACCACTGCACTCCAGTCTGGGTGACAGAACGAGACTCTGTCTCAAAAAAACAAACAAACAAAAAAAACAAAAAGAAAAAAAATACTCTACATATCACAAACCAATACAGAGGGAATTATTCTGTTCATCAGGCTGATGTAGATTAGCAAACTTGGGTAATTAGTGAATGAATATGTTATAATTTGTTTTTAAATATGCTAACATTGTACACAAATGCATTTAATCTACTTTGTGAGACAAGAGTGTCCTCACTTCAAATTTTATATATAATTGAGTAATTTAGAATGGAAGTCTCAGCTGAGATCTAAAGACAACAGGAAATTCATTCCAAGGTACAAGGCTATCATGCTTGACTTGAAATAACAAACCAAGATATGTTGGTGTTAGGCTGTTCTTGAGTTACTGTGAAGGAATACCTGAGACTGGGAAATTTATAAAGAAAAGAGGTTTAATTGGTTCACAGTTCTGCAGGCTGTATAAGCATAGCACTGGCATCTGCTCAGCTTCTGGAGAGGCCTCAGGGAGCTTTTACTCATGGCGGAGGGTGAAGCAGGAATAGGCACGTCATATGGCCAGAGCAGGAGCAAAAGAGAAGGAGTCGTGGGGAGGTACCACATACTTTAGGATCTTGAGAGAACTCACTCATTACCAAAGGGAGGGCATTAAGCCATTCATGAGGGAAACACCGTCCTTATCCAAACACCTGCCATCAGGCCCCACCTCCAACACAGGAAATTACCTTTCAACATGAGATTTGGTGGGGACACAGATCCAAACCATATCACAGAGAGAACAAAATAGTTTACCAAAGTTGGTAAATACTTTACCAAAATGGAGGGGGAGATTTAAGATTTATGAAGTGAGATTCTTGTAAGCTTTGATTTCTATTCTCACACCCTCAAGAAGGGAATGGGTGTGGGCATGATTCTTTCCATGAGTATGTCTTTAAGAAAATTAAAGAGAGGGTTTGCAGGATATGGTGGACTGATATGTGAGAAAGAAGCTAACTAATTGCCTTTATTTTGGAGAAAAACTGTGTTGAACTCCCAGAGTTGATCTAAGAAGAAGAAGAAGTCTTTCCCATAGACCAGATGTGGGCTACAGGAAGGAACTGGCATGGTGTTATCTTGGGTCCTGTCTAAGAGGATGGTCTGGAGGGTCTAAGTGACTTTATAATATAGTATAGCATAGTATAGTATAGTATAGCAGATACTATAATTAGGGACTAAGTAAGACTGCTGCATTCACCCTTGTCAGGGGAACTTCAGGAAGAAATATCTCAACCAAAGGTGCAAGGGAGAGAGAGACTGTTGACTTCCCCACAGAGATCACAAAACTACCTAGGGGAGAAGAATCACTTTAAACAAGTGTTTAGTTCTGAGAGCTCCAACACGAGATCCTCACCAATCAAGTAACTTTTCTATTCCTCTATGATCCAAAATCAGAGGATTTTAAAAATTGGCATTGGCAAGCTGAGGGAGAAGAGGTAGACGCATATTCTAGGGAGGGAGAAAAGCTGTCACATCCCCTTCCTGGTAGCAGTGTTTGTTCATCAGAATAGATATCACCATAAATATTTATCTACGTGTATTGATTATTTTGATGTAGTCTCCTTATATGTTAAAATATTTTTTCTAACTTTAGGTTAGGTTTTACAAATATAATGGGAATTTCTAAAACTTATAGGAGGTCTCTGGGTAGAAAAAAGTTATTAAGATGATGTAGCTGAAGTTGATAAGAGGCATTTAAGGACTGCTTGTAGCCTGTTTCGTGGTTATGGCACTGAAAAATGTAACTTTGAAACCAACAGAGTAGGTATAAGTGCAGAATTCTCCATATCTGATCAATTAATTTATTTTTAAAATATAAATAATGATATTTTTGTTTGTTTTCTAGTTATTTAGACATTGTATTACTTCAACTTGAGCTGTGTTTATTTTACTACAATGAAATAGTTTAAGCCATTTTACTTAAAATTAATTTTTTAACATTATACCTTTAAGACTGAAATGTTTTAATTTATCTAAATATAAATTGTGTAAATAGAATTGTAAACCTTTTGCTTACCTAGTTTTTAAAAAGTCATATATCAAAAAGTGTAGCTGTAGTTCATTATTTTGAGGCTACAAATTAACAGTAAATAATCTTTGAGAAACTATCTGAATATGTGTACATAAAAATAGATGTGTGTGTTTGTGTACATGTTAGAGTCTTACATGGTGAATAGTCAATACAAAAGCAGTTTAATTCACCAGCATTTTAAATAATCTTAAATGAAACAAGTATGAAGG
Organism: Homo sapiens; assembly: GCF_000001405.40. Lineage (NCBI taxonomy): Eukaryota > Metazoa > Chordata > Mammalia > Primates > Hominidae > Homo > Homo sapiens. The sequence continues at coordinate 212,410,737 of NC_000002.12, read as the reverse complement.
GGGAAGTAATATAACTATTTATAATACATATTTATATTTCATGTTTTTGTTTTTAAGCGAATATATACCACTGTTTTATTATTTGAAAAACATTCACAAAATTGTTGCCTTAAGTTAGTCTTAGACTTAGATGAGAAAATGAGAGGAGAATATTATTCAGTGAGAACACACATGCATTTCATGCTGTAGATAAACCTTATGCATAATTTAAAAACAAATATTTAATGCCGTTCAGGATTTTCCAAACTACACAGAAAACTTAAATGAGACACTAAAACGTATGATTTCCTGAAAAGAAATCCATATTTATACATACATATGTTCCATATATTTTAGCTTAAATTTGTCTTCAGAATGATAGTTTCTTTACAAAAATAAAACAACTTATTTGTGATGATTTGTACGTAATGAAATTTCACTTATATTATTTTGTGCACTAGAATATGTTTACTATTGTTCTTTACTCTCTAACTCACACTAACACAAATAAACATAGCAATAAATACATTACAGAGTTGTCACCATAAATGACAGTAACAGGTATCATACATTTCTTAATAAAAAGTCATCCCAATATAGTCTTTTGGTGATTACATTGTATAGCTGTATAAAATGTGTCACTTCTATCTTTAAAATACTTCAAAATACAGATGATTAAAGAGAAACACTGTTATTTCTATTTTTTTTAATCCAGGCAGTTTCTTTAATATCTAACAATCTTTGAGTTTATTTTTTAGATTTATTGTTTTCTGAAGATGAAGCCTGGATTTATTTCAGAGTTTATGTTAATAACTAGAATACACGAATTTAGATTTCAAAGTGCTTCACTATTTAGCCTGAAGAACCATTCCACCCTAAAATTTCTGTTTGATGTGATGTATTATGAGAGTACAGATTTAGTCACACATTTGTTATAACTGAACCATAATGATCAACATTTTCATTGAATCATTCAGTCTTTTATCATCCTGTTGGAGACTGATGAATGTGACTCATGGTGTCAGTAAAGTGGAGACAACAACTCATTCTGCAAATTTAATAGTGAAAGTGCTTAATGAATTCTCAGCATGAGTATGTGATAAACAAAACTCTTTGATCATCATGCATTATAGATAGACCAGACATCACTGTTTTACCTTGCATATAGTTTTACAAACATTGTAAAGAACATGCACTTTGAATAAAGTAGGACATGCCAATTCTTAATCTAAAAAATTCACTTACACATGTGATGTATTTTTTCTGAAATAGATATTATATTTACATATACAATCATACTTACATATAGAATTTAAAGATTGGGTAGATTACACTGCAATAAAAAATAACCCACAAATCTCAAGGACTTTAAAACATTGAAGACTTCTCATATAAAATCTCCACATCTCCATATCTCCACATCAGCATAAACATTAGTATTACTTATTTACTGCTTTTAAATTGAGCCGATACCTAAGATTATAAACAGGGATTAAAATGGACAAGTAGGTAGAGAAGGGTGTGCAAGGTGTGTCTTTCCATGTATTTTTACCCTCATTTAAATCTCCCTTTTTATAAATAACCTGTTCCCTGTCCAAGCTATATTCATTTCTGTTTCAAGCACATGAAAATGGATACTTAATTAAAATGAAGTAAAATTCTGCCTAATTAAGTTTGGTGATTAGGTTGTGAATTTGTCTGTGTTCTTGAATAAATGATTTAGTAAAGAAATGATTTGTATTATCTGTAAAGAGAATTAGCCAAGAGGAAAGGAATTCTATTTGAAGAATGTAGTAGCCAGGTGATATAGCTGATATGAGAAACTACATGTGGATTTCTGGCATTGCTGCTGCTGATCACTTGAAATAATGTTTTTGTCAGGATTGCTTTTAAATGTCATAATAGAAGAAATTCCTGTAAACTTCAGAGTGAATTTAGGGAAAGTTTAGTAAAATTCTGGTTCCCAATCTGTGCTGCATACTGGAATCATCTGGGAAGCTTTGAAAAAATCCTAATATTCATGACTCAGCCCATCATTAATTAAATCAGAATGTCTGGTTAAGAGGGCGGTGGTGGTGTCAGCATCAGTATTTTCTTTTTTGTAAGAGATGAAGTCTCACTGTATCGTCCAGGCTAGAGTGCAGTGGCTATTCACAGGTGCGATCATAGTTCACTACAGCTTTGAACTCCTGGGCTCAAGGGATACTCCTGACTCAGCCTCCCAAGTAGCTGCGACTACAGGCATGTGGCCCCATGCCTGGCCTCAGGAATCAGGATTTTTAAAAGATCCTCAGGTGATTCCAGTATATGGCAATGTTTGGGAACCCATTGTATTACAAATGTTGAATTTAAAATTTTGGAGTATAAAATAATAGCCATTATCCTCAGGAAACTTAACGTAGGAACAGAAAACCAAACACCGCATGTTCTCGCTTATAAGTGGGAGCTGAACAATGAGAACACATGGACACAGGGAGGGGAACAACACACACTGGGACCTATTGGGGGAGGGTGGGGATAGGGGAGAGCATTAGAGAAAAGAGCTAATGCATGCTGGGCTTAATACCTAGGTGATGGTTTGATAGGTGCAGCAAACCACCATGGCACACATTTACCTATGTAACAAACCTGCACATCTTGCACATGTACCTCAGAACTTAAAAATAAATAAATAAAAATAAATAAAAATAAAATGTTACTGAGAAACAAATATTTTAATATATTTATAAATATAGATTTTTATTCTCCTGAATAAAACACTTATTCAGTAATTGTCTATACATGCGAAAGTACTTTGCAGAACTAATCTTGTAATGATTACCTTATACCTAAATTTTCAAATTTTTACTAAGCTACCTAGTAGTACATAATAAGTGCATATTCTCAATACAAAGCATATCTACTTAATGCATTTAAAGTCTATGTGCATTGATATTATGTTTTATAAATTATTAACTAGAATAGTATAATATGTCAGTGGAAAAGAAGACAATTTCTAGGACAGCAGATGGTCTTTTGTCAAAACTTCTAATTCATTGAAGTAACTTTGTACTGCTGTTTAGAGTTCATTCTTAAAAGCCAATGTTTTTCATGTATATACCCAAGTAAATGCATATATACATATATATATTACACATACTCTTGAATTTTATATATATGCCTACTTATTTACTTAAAAACACTTAAATACATATATATACATATGAAGTAGCTGTAGTACAGTGGTGAAGAACATGCATTTTGAAGTCAGAGTGCTTGGGATCAAACCCTGGCTTTGTCATTTACTAGCTTTGTAACCTTAGACGGTTTACTAAACGTACCCCGCCTCAGTTTCTTTATCTGTAAAATAGGAATAATGTTAGTTATGTATTGATTAGATTGTTATGACAATAAATGAATTAAAGCCTCAGAAGGGTGTCTGACAGTTATTAAGCACTCAATAAATATTAGTTACCACTATTTTATTTTTACTTTCAGGTATTCAATTCTATAGTATTGCTTATTAAAGCATGAATAAAACTTGCTCAGAAGTTTTGATCCAGTGAAGGCAACATACATACATATATGTATTTATATGTGTTATATCATATAGATAATGTATATTTATATATAATATATGTTATGTATATAATCTTTTAATATTGTGTGATAAGCTTAACAGTCATATTTAGAAGGGGAAGAGATACCTAACATAGGGAATATGGGCAGTGGGGTTCGGGAAAGGCTTCCAAATGAAGATAACACTTAAGCTATTTTAAGGGAATTCACCCTGTTGGGAGGTGAGGGAGAAAGGATTTGTGCAGAGAGAAGAGTATGTGCAAAGAGACTGAAGTAGGTGTTGAAAGCATGGCATGTTCAGAGACCTAAGAATGGAAGGGTGTGGAATGTGTGGAGAGGAAGAGGAGAGTCACCTCATGAAGACATTTGTATCTTGTACTAAGGGGTTTGGGCTTTTTCTTGATGGTAATGGAGAATCACTGAAGGACTCATAATGCAAGTATTGGTATTTTTGAACCATTAATCTATTGACTCACAAATACATTATCCCAAATGACAACCAGAGTCAGTTCCCAGTCAACGATGAGTCTCTGAGAGGTTTTTAACAGTGAGCAACAAAGGCGAATGTTTCATTAATGTACCCGTCCTTTACTCTTCATTCAGTCTGGCTTTTCTGTAATCTTAAATCATTTAGTCCTTATAATGAAAACTAGATAACTATAATATGTGTAATCATCTTTTATCTGCAATTTGTAACAGCACATAAGTAGTAGTAATTTTGCCTCTAATATGGCTTTCAGCCATGTGTGCTGTTCTCATTTTATACCAAGAAATTGGCCATTTCATCATCCCAGACTGAGTGGTCATACTAGTTCTAGATCTGTGGTCATATTATCTGTCCAAAGTGAACCGATTTTTGTAGTCTCCTTTAGACTCTCAAGGAGTTCTTCTTTGTATTTCGATGTACTAGGACATAAGGTATCACTGCTGGCAGGTATTTGGAGGCACACATGTCTTAAACTTAGCCTATAGTCACAGGTACACAGGTACAACGTGCATGAAACTTCTCAGGCTCCTATTGGTGATGGTAGTAGTGCTGAATATAAAATTGGCCATACTATGGGAATAAAATCAGAAATAGAGACAAAAATTGATCAAATGTATTACTTAGCACTTCATTATTTTTCATGTTGTGAAATGTAGGTTTAGGAGGTTTATTAGTTCACACTGTGTATGGTTTTGGGCTTGTCCCTCGATATTCTTAGGATTCAGTTTTCTTCATGTTTCCTGCATGTGTTGGGCTACAACATTTAGAAAATCATACCCCTATTAAATTAAGTTGTTGAGCAGCGAGAGTGTAGAAGTTCTAGTTGTGCTGTTGATTTACATCAGTGTTGTATTCAAATTCATCAATTTTCTGAAGTACAAAGCCTTGTGTAGTTGAAAGACAACTGAAATTTAAGTTCAGAAACCTGAGATATTTCATCCAACATTATGTACTTACTAAGTGTGGCTGCTCCCTAGGAGCCAGCATACAAAAATAATTGAAGTATGTTCGTAACTTTGAAGATCTAAGGGAAACAGATGTGCATGATTAATTGTGAAAATATATCCTCACCTCTTTCAGATCTTTTATGAAGTGTTATTCTTTCTACTGAGGCCTTTCCAGGCTGTCCTATTTAGAACTGTATTCATCTCCAAATGCACAAAGCTGCCATGAACATTCGTGTGCATGTGTCTTTATGGTAGAATGATTTAAATTCCTCTGAGTATATACCCAGTAATGGGATTGCTGAGTCCAATGGTAGTTCTGCCTTTAGTTCTCTGAGGAATCACTGTACTGCTTTCCACATAGTTGAACTAGTTTACACACCTGCTAACGGTATATAAGTGTTCCCTTTTCTCTGCAACCTCACCGGCCTCTGTTATTTTTACTTTTTAATAACAGCCATTCTGACTGGTGTGAGATGGTATCTCATTGTGGTTTGATTTGCATTTCTCTGATAATAAGTGATATCAAATTTTTTTTCATATGCTTGTTGGCCGCATGTATGTCTTCTTTTGAAAAGTGTCTGTTCATGTCCTTTGCCCAATTTTTAATGGATTTGTTTTTCCCTTGTAAATTTAAGTTCCTTACGGATGCTGGATATTTAACCTTTGTCAGATGCATACTTTGCAAAGACATGGAATCAACCTAAATGCCAATTAATGATAGACTGGATAAAGAAAATGTGGTACATATATACCAAGGAATATTATGCAGCCATAAAAAAGAATGAGATCATGTATTTTGTGGGGACATGGATGGAGCTGGAGGCTATTATACTTAGCAAACTAATGTAGGAACAGAAAGCCAAATACCACATGTTTTCACTTATAAGTGGGAGCTAAATGATGAGAACTCGTGAGCACAAAGAAGGGGAACAAGAGATACTGGGGACTACTTGAGAGTGGAGAGTGGGAGGAGGGAGAGGAGTAGAAAAGATAACTATTAGGTACTGGGCTTAACACCTGGGTGCTGAAATAATCTGTACTGCAAACCTCTGTGACACGAGTTGACTTATGTAACAAACCTTCACATGTACCCCTGAACCTAAAATAAAAGTTAAAAAAATCCCCCTACAACAAATGCACACTTTCCAGCTGTTTGCCCTGCTGATTTTCTTTTACTTGTCATCCTCTAACATGCCATAACTCACATGTTCTGTATTTTACTTTTTAAAAACTTATTATCTGTTTTCCCTTTTACTACTACCAGTGTCATAAGGACAGAGGTTTTTTTCTTGGCACTAGGTGTTGGGCACATAGTCATTGCTCAAAAATATTTGTTGAATCAAAGAACAGATGGATAAATGAGTGAATCAATAATGAGGGACACTGTGGGAACAACGGGAAGAGTGATTACTTCTGCCTGGGGTCCAGGTGGGATTAACAGAATTTGATCTAAGTTTTGAAAAATAAGTAGTTTATTGAGTATTGAAGAAAGAGGAGGAAAAAGGATGACTTGAGAAAGTAATTCTAGTCTTGACTTGGCCATTGACTTGTGGCAAGATTTACTATCTTTGAGCTTCTGCTGGAACTGAGGGTGTATTATAGTTTTCACTTCCACTTTAGGATTCTGCTTTTCTCTCTTCCCTCATGGCTCGTGTGAATAAACTTTGCATCTCAACTAATCAGACTCTAAAACCTGTTATTTAGGGGGTTACTTAAAAATGATGGCTCTTATTAAGTAGTTTGAAGCCATCTGAAACGTTCAGTCTACAATGCCTTTACCTGCCTTCTTAAACTTCAGGAAGATGTCAGGAGCAAGTATCAGAGAAGTTATGGCTAGCAGGCCTGCCTAAAGAAGATGTGAGAGAGAACTCAAGTTAAAATTTGGTTTATTTTATTTTATTGTAGTAAGAACACAACATGAGATGTATCCTCAAGAGGTTTTTAAGTGCATAATACATTATTATTAACTTTAGAATTTATTCATCTTCCATAAATGAAACTTTGTACCTGTCGATTAGCAACTTCCCATTTCCCCAAGCCCCTAGTCCCTGGCAGTCACCATTCTACTCTGTGCTTCTATGAATTTCATTACTTTAGTATCTCATATAAATTGTCCCACGCAGTATTTGTTTTTCTATGACTGGCTTATTTAACTTGGTATAATGTCCTCAATGTTCATTCTTGTCACATATTGCAGGATTTACTTCTTTTTTAAGGTTGAATAATATTCCAGTTTATGTATATGACACATTTTACTTGGCAACGTATATTTAGGTTGTTTTCATATCTTGGATATTGTAAATAGTGCTACAATGAATATGGGAGTACAAATATCTCTCTGAGATTCTGATTATAATTCTTTTGGATTGATATGCAGCAGTGAGACTGCTGGTATGTAGTTCTATTTTTAATTGTTTGAAGAACCTTATACTGCTTTTCGTAGTAGCTGCATTTGCTTTTAAATCGAGAAATCTCCCAAAATTTCCGAGGATCCAAGCAGGACACTTTCATTAAAATATTTACTTTTTGCAGCCAGAGAAATGAAACCTAGGAGAAAAGAAGTACATTTAACAATTTTTTTTGAACTTTCTAAGGCCTTCGCAAAATCTATTTGATCTGTTTTACTAACTACAGTAATAAAAACCAAGTTCACCAATGTTCTGTTTTGAAATTTGAATTTCTTGAGATAATTTAATTATAACTGTTTATAAAATAATTGTTTTACAAAGCCAATAAATGACTAATTAGTAGATATAATTAGTCTTATTTCTGAACTGAATAAACAACAGGTCTTCCAACCCTGACATTTATTTGCATATGGGAAACAATTATAACAAAGTACATATGCTGGTATCACGTAAAAGTTGAATGAAACAAAATATATCATGAAGAAAAACTAATGAGCTGTGTTTCATTAATTATTTTTGGTATGATATTTATTGATAAAACTATATAAAAATGTTTTTATTTCTTTTTGTACAAAATAAAACAAAAATAAGGCTTTAGAGTTTATTAATTTACAAACCCCTGTATTTATACACATGCAGTTGTTTTTTTAATACCACTTATGCAAATTACTGACTTTTAATTGAACATTTTAAGAGATAATTGCAGATTCACATGCAGTTGTAATAAATAATACACAGAAGCCCTTGTACATTTTGCTCAGTTAACACAGTAGTCACATTTTACAAAACTATAGTATAATATTATAATCAAAAAGTTGACATTGACACCATCTACTGGTCTTATTCAGGTTTCTCAAGTTTTCTTTGAACTCGTGTGTGTATAAGTTCTACATGGTTTTATCACCTGGGTAGGCTCTTGTGTTCACCACCACCGTCAGGATACTGAAAGGATCGATTTATTCACCTTTTATAACCACATCCACATTCCTCCAAAGCCCGCCCAATCCCTAACCTGTGGCAATCACTAATCTGTCCTCCATTTCTGAAATTTTATCATATAAAACATTTTATATAAATAGATAATAAAGTATGGAATCTTTGAGATTGACTTTTTTTCACTCAGCATAAAGCCTCTGGAGTTTCATTCCAGGTTATATGTGTAACAACACATTCCTTTTTTATGCTGAGTTTTCTGAAGTGTGTATGCACCACTGTTTATTAAACCATTCACCTGTTAAAGAATATTGGGGCTGATTTCAGTTTCTGACTATTACAAATAAAGTTGCTGTGAACTTTAGTACAAAGGGTTTTGTGTAAATGTAAGTTTTCATAACTGAGGAATAAATGGCCGAGAATACAATTAATAGATTGTATATAAAAATATGAGAAACCTCAAACTATTTTCCAGAGTAGCCATGCTATTTTATATTCCCAGTAGTAATATATGTTTGTTCCAGTCACTCTACATCCCTGTCAGTATTTGGTGTCACTGTTGTTTTATTTTACCCATTCTGATAGGTATGTAATGGCATCCCGAGTTTTCAATAATTATGTTTGTGGCCTTTTAGTTTTACTGAGAGCCTTACTCTATACTCTAAACCACAGTAATAGATTGCCAAGGAGAATAAAAAAAATTATATAATAACGCAATCCATGTACAAAAATAAGATTATAATTTTATCATCATGTTTAATAAACATAATGGTTAATTTCTTCTCTGAAATGAGAACATTTATTATTATAAATACTTCATAAGCTAAGCTTATTTCATTTATTTATTTTGGTGTATGTTCAGTCATTTCTTGGTACACTTGCAAAAACTGTTATACCACATATTGTGCAGATCTGTTTTAGTAGTGTAAATATATTAACAAATATAAAAACTTTTTCAAAGCACTTGTATTTCAAATCAATATGAGCTTTCAAACCAGCTTTTGTAGAGAAGGCATATCTAATCAAAACATTTATTTAGAGGCCAGTCATGAAGTAAGCTAATCTTCTATTTATATTGGGTTTTATCTTTTCATATATATTATCTTACTTGATCTTCACAATAACTCTGTAAGGAAGTCATGGTATTTTACAAATGAAGAAATTCTGACTACATTGCTAGTTAAGTCTCGTTCAAGACTGCAGAGCTAATAATGGCCTAATGGTAAAACTGTGACTGGGATCCATGTCTAATGCTGGATCCATGTGTTCTGACTAGTGAAAGCAGAAATGAATACACAGACATTGGGTAAATAATAAAGTCCATGATTAATTTTTAAGGCTAATGCTTACCGTATGAACACTCTTTTATACCTAACTTAAAATTGGCATTAAGTGCTGTATCGTTATGAACCAAAACATAGCATTCTCTAGCAATTTACTTCAGATTCAGCTAGCATTTATTGAGCTACTAATATGAGAGGTGCTCTTTTAGGTTGTACTATATACATGCAAATATTAATTAATTTTGAGAAGAGTTTGCTAAGAGTTTTAACAAAAAATTGTTGCCCCAGACCCAAGTAGCCAGTTTATCTTTCAAGAGTTATATCTTTTTATTAAAGTTCAGAGACAGAGTGGGTAAATTATTGTTCAAATAATGGTCAGTTGAAAATATCTTGTTCTTACACAGATAATCAGAAAAAGTGGATTTATAAAATTTCATTTCTCTTTGCTCAATATTGCTCTCCTCAATAGCTTCAGTTTCAGAGACCAAATCCCATAGTTTTGTTAATGTATACTAAAATACATAATAAGAAAAATCTATTCAATGTAAAATTTTGATGATCTATCTAAACTATTTGTCTTTGCTGACTAAAAGGGAACTATATAAGATTTTATCAAGAGAACTCTTTTAGGTATCAGGTTAAATTTTAGTGATCACTGATTTGAAGTTATTTGTATTCTATAAAAATAAAGATATGGGGCTCCAAGCCTGGCAGTCTGTCAATCTTGACACCTCCTGTCTTTCACTGTCATGGTCAGTTATTCACTAAGTCCTATTGATTCTTACTAAATGTCTCCCCAGGTCAGCTAGGCCCTAGGTGCTTCACCACCTCCCCATTAGGCCACAGCATAACTGCAGTAGCCTCTTGGCCTGTTCCCTTCCAAATCCTCTTCCCCACTCCAGCAAGAGTGTTTTGAAATGCAAAAGTAATCATGTCCCTTCTCTACTTACAATCTTTCAAAGGTTTCCTATTGTCCTTGGTATAAAGTCCAAACTCTGGCACAGACTGAGGGTTTTGTCATCTTTCTAACCACACATCTTGCCACTTTTCCTTCACTATAACTTCTAGCTTCGCTTTTTCCAGGTTTTCTCATGGCACTTCCCCTTCCTGGTTCACAGTCCTTTCAGCCTGCCTAACATATCATTTGATTTCATTAAAGTTTTTCTCCGCCCCCATAGACTCTCAAAGCACTCTGAACTTTTGTCATGATGTTCATATACTATACTGTGCTCGTTTTTTGTTTGTTTGTTTTTGTTTTTGTTTTTGAGACAGAATCTTGCTCTGTCACCAGGCTGGAGTGCAGTGGCACGATCTCGGCTCACTGCAACCTCCACCTCCTGGATTGAAGTAATTCTCCTGCCTCAGCCTCCTGAGCAGCTGGGACTACAGGCACATGCCACCATGCCAGCAGGCTAATTTTTTTTTTTTTTTTGTATTTTTAGTAGAGACGGGGTTTCACAATGTTGGCCAGGGTGGACTCGAACTCCTGACCTCAGGTGATCCACCCACCTCGACCTCCCAAAGTGCTGGGATTACAGGCATAAGACACCACGCCCAATATATATATATATATATATATATATATATATATATATATGTATATATAAAATATATATCAGGGGAGGCATGACTTATTAATAGCAGCCCTTAGATTGAAGGTGAATAGATTGACAAAATCTGAGTGATCACCATTGTGCAGAATCACATTTCATCATAAACAAATGTTAAAGTAAATAACCCCTTAATACTTTTGTATCAGTTGGACTGTAGAACAATAATAATTAAACCATTTTAATTTCAAGATATGTCTGAAAATATTTGCCTCATATCATTTCTTTCTATAGGTAGGATTGGTAAATAATATAGATCTTAATATAGAATGTTTAGAATGAACAATATGGGCCAGGTGCAGTGGCTCGCACCTATAATCCCAGCACTTTCTGAGGCCAAGGTGGGCAGATCATTTGAGGTCAGAAGTTTGAGATCAGTCTGGCCAACATGGTGAAACCCTGTCTCTACTAAAAATACAAAAATTAGTCAGGCGTGGTGGTGGGCATCTTTAGTCCAGCTAATTGGGAGGCTGAGGTAAGAGAATCGCTTGAACCCAGGAGGCAGAGGTTGCAGTCAGCCAAGATCACGCCACTGCACTCCAACCTGGGCAACAGAGCGAGACTCCGTATCAAAAATAATAATAATAAAATAAATAGAATGAACAATATATTTTCAGACATATCTTGAAATAGAAGTTGTTTTCAGAAAACATATTTTTACACTAATAAATTAATATGCTATCTGCTTTGGTCTTTTAAGCCTTGAAAAATCTTGAATAAGAATCAATGAGTTGGTGTAATCACTTTTTTTTTAAGATGAGATTCCTCATTAAATGCTTTCATGAATTATTGTCATAACTTGATCAAATTGTAGAGGCATGTAAAATTATCCTTCTTTTAAATGCACTGTCTTTTACAAATACAATTGTTTTAGTAACAAAAACATGTAAATGTAATTTAAGTAATTAGCTCTGTCTATAAGCAAATCTAGCAATAAAACATTTAGCTCCATCTTTAAGTCAACATCTCAGCCTGCAGTCTTGCCATTCTTAACTTATTGTGACAATAAAATTTAATTAACATTACAATGATCATGTTGGCATTTTGGATGAGCGTGTTTGTTAGGATGAACTATTGATCTTGTATAGCCATAAAATTTTATTATGTTTTCAGAGAAGTGTGGAAATCTTTAAGTGACATCAGCTTTTCTTATGTTGGATATTTGGTTCAAGCTGTCACTGAATAAAGTTTGGTTTTACTAATACATTTTCCTGATTTTAAAAACCACATATATGTGCTCCAGAGAAAAGAATAAAGAGAAGACAACAAAACAAACACCCATAACCCCATTACCCAGAGATAATGAATATTTTACTATATAGCTTTACTGCCTTAAATATACATTCTCTTTTCCAACTTTGAGGTTATAATACATATATATGTGTGTATATATATATGTGTATATATATACACACACACACACACACACATATATATGTATCAGGTTATATTTCAGTGATCATTAATTTATATATATATGAGTTTATTTCCTGATTATTCTTTTCAGATATTATCACTATTCACATTTTTCCTTTTCATGTAACATTTCTCAAAAATGACACTTTTGAAATGGCCGTATGATGTTTCATATTCCTAATTTTGGCAAGTAAAGAGTTATCAGTTTCTCCCATTTTAAAACAACACTATAGATATTATAAACAATATTAAAATAAGTCTGGAAACATTAGTTGATACATTTGACAATTGATCAATATCCTTAATAGATTACAACCTTTCCAGGAACTAAGATAAATAGATGCCCTGATAGAAAAATGAACACAATATAAAAACAACAAACAATTGAAAATGTGAGAAATGTTCATATTTAGTCAAATATATCCACATAGAATTAACACTTTTCTATAATCTTTGACCATAAGCTTGGCAGAATTTAAAAATCATGTTGTTAAGATATAGGAAAGAGAGGAGTGTAATAACAAGGTATGAATGCAACCTTGTAAAATCCCATTGATTTGGAAGACAAAGTTGCAACCTCCCTCCCTCCCTTCCCCCCTTCCCCCCTTCCTTCCTTCCTTCCTTTTTTTCTTTCTTTTCTGTCTTTTGACAGGGGCTTGCTCTGTCACCCAGGCTGAGTGCAGTGTCAAGATCATGGCTCACTGTAGCCTTGACCTCTAAGGCTCAACTGATACTCTCGCCTCAGCCTCTTGAGTAGCTGGGACTGCAGGAGCGTGCCACCATGCCTGGCTGTTTTGTATTTTTTGTAGAGAGTGGGTTTCACCATGTTGCCCAGGCTGGTCTCAAACTCCTGGGCTCAAGTGATCCTCCCGCCTCAGTCTCTCAAAGTGCTGAGATTACAGGCATGAACCACCATGGCCTGCCTAGCAATATGTATTTTAAAAGGCCATTCTGATATTTTATAACTATATTACAGGACAATATTCTGACATCTGGAAAAATAAGACATTTATATGTTTTTTAACAATAGAAGAAGTATGGTAAAGATTATTTAAAATATCTAAAATATGGGATTAAATGGTTACATAAATATACAATACCAATTGATTAATATACAGTCATTAAAATGGAATAATATACATTTATTGTTCTTTGAAAACAATCAGATTATACATCAGAATGATTTTATTTTTTGTTTTTATGTACAGACACATTCTTATTTGTTTAAAATGTAGGAGGTTATTATGATGAAAACTTTGAAGAAATTCTTAAACTTTATCTTCCTCTGTGGATTGAGGAGTAAAAATCACAATTAGAGATGTTTAAAGAACTTCTTTTAAGAAATAATTCAAAAAAACTACTCATGTCATTAAGTAAAAAATATAATACATATTAGAATAATTGGTTTGGGTCTGCTATGGCTTAAGTAGGTATTGTGAACCAGTCCCATCTAAATATCTGCCACATTAAAATAATTGAAACCCCTTTTTTGGAGATCTCTGTAGGCCATGAAATTTCTGTAAGGGTAATAATAGCTAATATCTCGGGGTTCTTACTATATCTGGGGCATTAAATTCTAAGAACTTTATATTAACTTAAATCTCACAGTAATTCTATATCATAGGTATCTTGATTATCCCCCTTTTTCAGAGGAGGAAACCAAACCAGAGAGAATGTTGGTATCTTGCTCTGGCCAGAGAGTTAGTGAGTGGCTAAACTTGGGTTTGAATTCAGACAATCTAGCATTAGAATCACTGAACTATATGGCTTCTTAAGTTAGGCTTTTAAAAAGCTTTGAGAAGCTTAAGTAACTGTAGAGGATCATCTCTGGATTCATTCTGAATTTTGGGCTGGAATGTGCTAATAGACTCCAGCAAAATATACCTTTGTCCCAGATCTTATAAGGACTCCTCTGGAGTTCATTAAAGCATTTTAAAGGAGAATATTGCTAAAATATTTCATTCTTTTCAATGTTTTCCAGACAAGTAGTTTCCCAACTGTTTCTATTTGAGCACACGCTTAAAAATCAGAATTTTTGGCAGAATATCTTAAAAGTATTAAAAACATCCTAAAGCACATAAAACCATCAGTTATAATTAACACACAATCACCACTCCTATATAAGACTCTCGTAGTATCTCTAAAAGATTCAGTAGTTATCCACTGGGTTGATCTTCATGCTGTGTAAAAAAGTATAGCTGGCTGGGCGTGGTCGCTCACACCTGTAATCCCATCACTTTGGGAGGCCGAGGCAGGCAGATCACGAGGTCAAGAGATCGAGACCATCCTGGCCAACATGGTGAAACCCCGTCTCTAATAAAATACAAAAATTAGCTGGATGTGGTGGCACATGTCTGTAGTCCCAGCTACTCAGGATGCTGAGGCAGGAGAATTGCTTGAACCTGGGAGGCAGAGGTTGCAGTGAGGTGAGATTGTGCCACTGCACTCCAGATTGGTGACAGAGCGAGACTCCATCTCAAAAAAAAAAAAAAAAAAAAAAAAGAGTGTAACTGTTTGCTATTCTGTCCTGTCATTAATACTCCCAAGCCAAAGATGCTAACACATAGCGGTAAGCATAAAGGTATGCTCTTTCCTTAGCATAGGCTTAATTCTTTTTTATTTTAGGACATTAGGTCAACAGGTGAATTCATCATCATGATTCAGTATCAGTATCCTTTACGTGACACACCTCTATTTTCTTTTATATTTATTTATTTATTTGATAATATAATCAATGCTTATAAGCTCACAGCCAATTGTAAAATATTATTATAATATATAAAGCTTTATGTTCCTCCCTATTCTTTCACCTGCCTTTCTCTCCTCTCCTCCACAAAGATAATCACCATTTGAAGTATTATTCAAAATCTGATAAAAAATTAAGAATAATGCGAGGATTCTACCTTGACTTTTTAGTAGATAACATATCAATTAAGGAGGAGACCAAAGAATCCTACTCTATACTGCATTAGATAACTCAAGAATATGTATATACACATATATATAGCAGACACTGCCATTTCAGTATGGATACTCAGTTGTTAAGAATAGTGACTTTTAGATATTGTTTAAAATTTGGCAGCAAACCTGTGAAAGTTTTATGTTTTACTAATGTATTCATATTATGCTTATTGATAATCACTACTTGGATCTGGAAGTTGACGTTTAAGGCCACTTGATCTTAACTTAGATTTGATCCAATTCTTCTCCTTCAGGTCAGTGTATCCCAAAGTCAAAATATGACTATGACAATGATTATTACGTTACTAAACTGTATTTCCAAATGCAGCGTCATTTCCTAAAGTTGCTTTGAATATTTTTTCAATTCAGTTTTCTCTATGTCTTCATTCATGTTACAGGGCTTTCACAATCAAAATACTTCATTTTATAAATTTTCTAGTGCTTGAATGAGACACTAAACAAGGTAAGTATAGAGAAAATTATGGAAACACATGAAATAAGCACATGGAAGCACGTGGAAGAAAATATTTAACATAAGTAGTGAAGGGGTAGTAAACATCTTTTCTGATCTCTAATTCAAAATGAATATTAATGGTCTATAAATTAAATTATGTTTCTAAAATGCACATTTTAAAAATGAATATTGATAGAATGATAACAGGAAAATATAAATGGTCAAGATGGTGGTCCAGTTTTATTATTATATCTGAGGCCTTATTTACTTGAATTTTCATGTTGACAAAATGGTTAATAATTCCTAGGCAATAGATTAACATTATATTAGCGACAGTACCATTATAATATTAACTCAAAATAATTTTCTCATTGTAAATTTAATATTTTTGATGCCACATTTAAAATATTAAATGAATTTCTTTTATTATTTTAAATTATCCAAACTTTGGAAAACATAGTCATGAGTATAATTTAGCCTAGAGTTTATTTCCTCAGGGAAGTCCTTTCAGACTACATTTGTACATGAGACCATTTTAGTTAGGGTGGGCTAGATGCTGTAACAAATAGAATTTAAAAATGTATAAGGACTCAAGCACAATAGAAAATAATATTTTAATCATTCACTAGTTTAAGGCAGATCCAGTGGCATTAGAGGTAAAGGGTATGCAAGTGGATTCTATACCACATAGTCATTCAACAACTCAGACTAATAGAAATTTTGCCATATTTAGCATTTGACTTTCAAGGTTGCCTTACTTAACAGTCTCCAACTGGCAGAGGGGAAATGGGAGGCATTTTTGCATCTGGCCTAGAAGTGGAACAAATGACTTCTTTTACTATTTCATTGGCCTAGTACTCAGGCACATGTTCACACCTTACTGCAAAGGAAGCTAGGAAATGTAGACAAAAAGAACTATTTTTAATATATGACCAACAGAATCTGCCACAGCAACATTTTTAGGGAAATTTTTGAAAAAGAGATTTTATTTCGGGGTCTGGTGGATCCAAGATCAAATCTTGATCTTTCTTGTACCAGCTGAGTAATCCTGGAAAAAGTATTTACCTTCTCTTTGTCATAATATATACATATGTATCATAGAGACAAGAACATCCACATACCCTATTCTCACAAAGATTATTGTGTGAATAGAATGAAGTAATGTAAATAAGGTGCCTAGAGTGTCTGATTGTGTGTAGCCAAAGGTGGTACGTTTTATTATTGTTAAGTAATGATATATTATTATTTCATATGTTATTATTATATCATAAGTAAATTAATCCTCTCACCTATTTGCCAGCAAAGAATGCTCCCTGTTCAGTGGTTTTGATTCATATATGTAGAGTTTGCTTTATGGATAGAAAGCTTTTATAAAAAGCTCCCTTAAAAATGAATGTGTGATAGCTCATAAGGGTAATTTATTCTTCCCTATTGAAATAGGCACTATAATTTTTGGTTTAAAGATTGGAACTTTTATAAAACAGATTCTTGAGAAAATGGGACCCAAAGACACTTTAGTTTGTAGATAAGCAAGGTCTGCCACATGGGACAGAATAATTTGAACAGGCCCAAGTAGGTTCAGGTTTGGAGAGAGCAGAGAGGCATATTTAATGGTAGAAAAAAGAAAATGCAAGGGATTTGAGCCATGCCAATTTGCCCAGGGCTTGCTTTGGTGGCTATTGTAGTTCCCCTGGTTATCTTACTGCTTTCTCTGTCAGTCCTAGAAGACCTTAAAGCATGAAAATAAAAGGTAGGGTGATTGCCGGGGAACAAAAGTGGCACAAGCAGAAAATGATAGGGGAGCAGCCACCTAATAAATCTCTGATGCCATCCTAAATCAATCTGTCTTAGTTAGAGAATATCATCTTAGCAGAGAATATAATCTCTGCTCACAGCTCATAGTTTGTTGACCAGTAATGTAATATGATATAAAACACTTATAATGCAAGCAATATGTGATTATTGCACAAAAAAGATGTGCACAGAAAAAGGAGGGATTCATAAAGAAAGCATTTGAGCTGGGTCTTAAAGGATGATCGGGAACTCATTCTCTGTGCTATTTTAGATTAGCTTAATATCGAATGACATTTTAATTTACTTGCTTGCATTAAATATCTCTTTGCCCAGATAATGCATGTTTGCTGTATTGAGTTCTGTATATCTTTGTTACCTAGCAGAATTTATTACCAAACAGGTCTCAGCAGAGAGGTAGATTTTAATAATGTTTATTGAATGAGTTAAGACATACAATTCCTAAGTAATTTCGAAAATTTATCTCTTGCTTTCTTGTATGCCTTTTCTTAAATTTTAATTTTAGGAATCTTGGCTTCTTTTCTTTTCCATGTTACATTTCCCTCTTGCCATTTTCCTGACTCATTTTTTTAAAGATTTATTTTATGTAATAAGAAACATGTTTTTGAGTCACTGACCATGTAATTGAGGCATGACTCAATAATTTAAATGCCTTAGATTTCTCTGAAGGGACTAAGGACATTGGTCTGAGTGATTCACAGTCACTCTGAGTAGTCTTATGGATTAGGAGAAACAGAGATGCCTTTCCTTTTTTATCATTGATGTATGTTTTACAGACCCTCTTAAAAGCCTTCTTTTTATATTCATTTTGATGGTTACGTGTCTATAGTAACCAATAAAATGTGCCAATAAAAACTGTAAAGATGGTGAATATTTCAAGTTCTATTCAGTCATCCTAAATAGCTAAAAAGTAGGTCATTTACCTATAATCCTTTTAAATTAAAAATTTCGCATTGCTTATTTTATTTATTTTGTCAATTTTGGGGAGTCTTGTTTCTGACTGTGAAATAGAACAAAGACAATCATATGTAGATACTTTAAATTTACATGTACCATATATAACTTCTTTTATATATAATCCCACATAATATTATATGTCAATATAATATATTGACATATATATAATATATGTCAATATTATATATAATATATATGTCATATATATAATATATATGTCAATATATATAATATATAATATAATATATATAATATATATAAAATATAATACATAATATAATATATAATATTATATGTCAATATAATATATTGACATATAATATTCACATTGCTGTACAGGAGAGACTTTGAAGAATCCATAATTTTATAGACAGTGCTGTTGGTGATATATCTATGAGGCCATACAATGCAGAAGGTCTAAATATTTTAGTTTAGGGGTTAAAATTCAATTTGGGAACTGATAAGGTTTTACTTTGATGAGAGAACATAATTTATTTTAATTAAAGTCTGCTCATTAAGCAAATATATTAAACATCAGCTGTGAATGAAGCATTGTACTAGGCACTGCTGACAGAAAGGTGACCAAAATAAATCTTACCTTTAAAGATATAGTTTACTATTGATAATGATTTATACTTCTGTTAATCATATAGACAATCAGAGAATTTCATAAAACTTATTATTGTTCTAATTATTGCACATTAAATTTAGTTGGAGTTTTAAGTAGAACGCCTAAAAGAAACAATTTTATTGGTGTATTTTAGGACATCTGTTTTCTATTGATAAGGCATAAGATCTTGATGAATTTGAAGTTGTCTGTGTTAAAGTAATGGAAATATTAGTTCATGGATGGTGGTCATTTATTAAGACGTAAACACAGCAGTGAAAGTGAACTGATGAGGTTATATGCTATCTCACTTTCACATATTTTAGGAATTTCATCAGAGAGCTAAATGTGTCTACATGAAAGGAATTGTGCATTTTTAGATTTGTTTTAAAACCATGAAAATAACTATTTTTATTTAACCAATTCTGCATAGAATATTCACAATAAAACTGTGCTATATATAAAGTAAGACCTGTGGACCATGAAAACAATTAATGTCCCTTTTTTGAACTTTAACCTTCCTTGTGTCTGAAAGTATTAAGCTTAAAGAAGAAAAAATAAAAAGACTTGTGGAAGATATCCGGCACCAATAAAGAAATTAAGGAAATATGATGTCTTTTGAGGAGTGTCCTGGAGAAAGTGTTCATAAATCCATTTGAAGAAAAATGCATATGTATTAGATATTATAATCTTCTGTTTCAGTGAATTACATTTTGTAATCCCTCATTATATATTGAAGGACATAGCATAGCTTTCCTTTCTAGCATCTAGGTCACTAGTGGTATTTGAGCAATATAAATGAAGCAAAAGAAAAAAGAATAGATGTTCTGAACATATTGTTTTGGCAGAATTGTTAGCTGAGAAAGACTTTATATATGATTTTTTTAATGTGTGTAAATTCCCTCAGAGATAACAGGTGAAAAATGATTTCATTATTTAAAACAATAACAAGAAAAACAAAATTAAATAAAACTTGATATTTAGAATGTTTCTTAGTCTACTTAAATTGATTTACATACTCTTTAATAATACTTAAAATACTAATAAATGAAGTCCCTGCCCTGAAGTGGTACAATGTACAAATCCTTAATAAACTCAATTAACAGTGAAAATTTCTTTTGTGGTATGACTACATTTTAGATATGTTTTAAATGAAAATTCCTGAGATGTTACATTTTAATTTACAGTTACATAAGTCATTTAAGATTTTGCATTTCAGCTTTTCCTCATTTAAAGTAACACATTTCTCTTTCCAGCCTCTTCAACTTGGCCATTATATTACTAAGGAGGAAAATCATTTACTCTCTCTGAACCATTCATTTTTCATTGGTGAATGAGGGCTATTTCTTTTATTCTAGAGAGCACAGCAGAGTCTAGAGCAGAGTTTTTTTTTTTAATAAGACAGACCTGGGTTTGAGTTATAACTGCACATGAGTTATTATACCATTTTAATAACATCAGCTGAATTTCACCTGTCTTATGTAAAATTATTTGTTGTATGTTTTTGAAAGTTAGCAATCACATGAAGCTCTGAATATAATTTAGAATTATACACACAAAAGAGAGCTAAATTTTAATATAATGCCAAGTACACAATATATGCTCAACAAATGGTTACTAAAATAATTTTAGTAATATTAATGTACTGTGCACTAGAACACAAATTCCGTGGAGACTTGTAAGTTTTACTCACTGTTATATTTCCAGTGCCTGGGAGAGTGCTTAGCAAATACACAGTGTTCCATATTTGCTAAAGTATTGTATAAAGAAATGAGTGAGTGAGTGAATTCTTTTATCCCATAGAGTGCTGATTGACCAGAGTTGAATTTTTCAGGCTTTCTTATGGTAACTGTAAGCACAACAAGAAAATAAGGAAAATATTAGATGTAGTTTTGCTTTTGATATCATATTTTCAGGCTTTACTAATGTATACTTTGAACTCTAAGTAAAATCAGCAACTTTTGAACACTGATCTCTACTTCTGACACAACATGCCTATATGTGTATATGGTCTATACTTGTTTTAGAGGTAGGATTATATTTTGGTGAATACTCATTTTCAATATATGTATCTATTTTTAAATCATACTTTTTGTCTCCTCTTTTAGCTTATTGGATAATCATTATGTAACTACATCACATTTACCAAAATGTAAGAGGGGTTTGCTAATGTTATGCTGGAACATCAGATTTAGGCACTTGCTTGTGAAACTGCCACCTGAAATTTTGAGATTTTGCCCCATAAAGGCGGTTCTGACCAAACTGCCTAACCTGTAGTCTATACACTTTTTCACCAGTTTCTCAGATCACATAAAAGCTGCTTATTGACTTGTAAAGCAGGTACAAATTGCAGCATATATAAGTTGAATTATATTTAGAGATGCCTTGTTCAGTTATTTAGGTTGGTCCATTTCTGGTTCAGATTCTTCTTTGTTAGAGAAATCCAGCAGCCATCTAATATTTTGAAATTAGAAAATAAATTCTTTTCATCAACAAATTTGTGGTACAAAGTAAGTCAAGGCTCTCAAGATTGGCCCTAAGAACGGTCTGTTAATTCTTAGGCATTGTGTTTTAATGTTTCATAATACCTAAGAGTATATGTACATGTATGCCCACAATGACGACATTTCTCAAGATAGGAAGGGAGAAAAATATCCCATGAAATATGGCATTTCTTCTGCTTCTAGGTTCAGTCCATTTTTTTGATGCCTGACTTTGTCCATTCCAGTCCATCCGTGACAACCCTCTGGAGGAAAATGTTCGTGACTTCTTTAACCCTAGTGTTTACCCTTTGTGCTCTGGCTGCTCAGATTTCCTCTCTGCCCAGTTCCAGGTATAACAGCACGAAGAACTCTGAGAAGAATAGAACCATTCTTGAGGCATTCAGCCTGTATGTGTTTAATGCTGGCTTCAAGATCCTCCTATTTAGCAATTCTTCCCTTTCAAATCTAATTATTTGAAAGCATATGCTTTGTCCTATTCTGACCACTTCAAATAAAATGCTTTAGGAAGAAAATCTTTTCTGATATCCATTTTATCTATTTCAAATCATGCAGCAACCTATTAGTACTTCTGAGTTAACAGCTACTTCCAACTGAACTAGAAAATCATTTACTTCTTCCTATTTTAATAAATTCTCTGTATCTTTTTATAAAACTCTAGTTAGTACAGTCAGATTAGTCATGAGCTTACTGATTACTCCTCAACTGAGAATTTAACACCCATTTCAGATATCAAGGGATCTATATAGAAGCATTATATTCTCTCTAACGGCATATTCAAGAAGGTATTTGCTTGCAATATGTTATAATATTTCAGAAAATTCTAATACTGATATTACTTCTAGGTGGTGAGCCTCAAGAGATCAGAAAACCTTGTCTTGAGCATGGTTTCTATACACACCTAGTTAATTATACAATGCTCTGAATATAGTATGTATGCAGCCATCTTTGCCGTTAATCATCTTTGTTGCTGAGTTGTTCACATTAACCAAAAGTGTACTCTTGAAAAATCAAAGCATATACAAAGGGATATAACACTTAATTCTCTCACAGAAATTTCAGAATAAACTGAATTCAAAATGTTCAAGATTCAAATGTGTTCTAATTTGCAGGGCATGGTGGCCCACACCTGTAATCCCAGCACTTTGGGAGGCCAAGGTGGGTGGATCACCTGAGGTCAGGAGTTTGAACCAAGCCTGACCAAAATGACAAAACCCCGTCTCTACTAAAAATACAAAAATTAGCTGGGCGTGGTGGTGTGTGCCCGTAATCCCAGCTACTCGGGAGGCTGAGGTAGGAGAATTGCTTGAGCCCAGGAGGCAGAGGTTTCAGTGAGCTGAGACTTTGTCTCAAAAAAAGAAAAAAAAAAAATGTGTTCTAACTGCAAGAGGCAGATTGTATCAAAGTAAGACTTCAGTTGAGATAGAAAGTACCAAAGCCTTATTATGGTGAATTCCAGACATGAGGCCCAAATTCTTCAACGCTGCTGTATGCATTCTTGCTTTTTGCTTCTTGTGGCTTTTGGCACTTTAAAACTATGCTTGATATTAGCTAAAATTCAGCAAAAGGCTAAGGGTTTATTTATAGTTCGCTTTGTATCCAGAAAATAAGATATTATCATGTTCCATACACCAAACCAAAAAGATACAAATAACCGTACTCCTTTGTAGACAGATACATATAATATCTACCTTCAGAAGTATTTCTAAACTGGATGAATTCAGGTTATTTTATTTGCTTGATTTTTAATACTAGAAGGAAAAGAAAAGGTGATTATGTATGGTTAAAATACCCCACTTTCTTCCAAAATGAGGGATCAGCTTCATTCATTCAGTCATTTACTATTTACTTAAGGGTTCATTCAAAATTTATTAAGAACCTATTATAGCCATGCCACTATGTAAGAAATGTACAGATGAATAAGACAAAATCATTGGAACAGTAAGAAGATAATCAGAGAGATCCATAATTTCAAGACAATTTAATGACCTCTATATTAAAATATATGGTTAGTATTATGGAAACAAGGAAACACATTTGAATAAAGGGTGGTAACTTAATTCTAAAAGAACAAGGAGGGTAGTGAGCTTATTCCAGGTAGAGGAAGTAGTGTTGCATGCAATAACAAGGCAAGTTAGGATGAATGGTACAAGATAAAGTGTAGTTGGGGCCTAGTTCTGTTCATTTTATGCTAGGTAATTTGTCCCAGAGGAGAAGGTAATGAAAGTTAATGGGTTTTTTTTTTTTTTTTTAAGAAAGAAAGGAAGTAGTATATTTGCTTTTACAAAATAGAACTCTCTTGGTAGTGTGGAGAATGAATAGGTAGCTTTCTAATTGTTCATATGTAGAGAGGGAAATAAGTTTAGATCTATTTGGCAGCTTTGATTACCAGAGTATCTTGACTCCTGGTGTTTGTCTTAAGGACATAAGTAGATGATTGTGCCATTCCCCACCCAAACCTGGAGAAAGAATGAGAGATTCTAGGATGTATGTGATAAGTTAGTATTTGATGTGCCTATGAGACATCATGGAGAGATAATACAAATATCTTATGGCAACTGAATTTAGGAAAGAGGTGTGGGCCAAATATAGAAGTTTGGCAATAAGTGTTTACCTGGAAGGTGAATCCTTGGGAGTCGATAAAAAACACTCAGTTCTAAAAATACAAAAAAGTGTATTTTTTTTTTTTGTATTTTAAAAGCTATCAAGTGGTAAAGGATGACAGACACATAAATAAACTTAAGGATCAGGTTTGGAAGACCTAGGGAGAGGAAGACACAGAGAGAGTGACTGGTCTTCGCTGGTAAGATAGAGACTGATTGTCTTACCCTTTTGGCAAATATGGAAAATGGGGATATTAAACAAAGCTACTTTTATAAAAAGAAATACTAGTAACTCAGAGGTTGTTTCTTAATGTGGATAAAACAATAGTCTGCCTATATGTAAGACTGTGAAATTTTGGATATGGAATAATTTAAAATAAAAATGTTCAATATATAAATTCTGTTTGGGTTTTATCTGTTGTTATTTGCTTTTACCTCAAGTATAGGATTACTGCTTTCCCCATTCTTTCCACTTGAAGTTTATATGAATATTATAGGTTTTTTGAAAAAAGCAAAACAAAACAAAAAAGACCCACATAACTACTTTTTCTCTTGTGATTGAGGGATTGGCATCTATACTATTAACAGCAAGCAGAAAGGTGTAAATAAGAATAATCAAAATTTCAGTTCTCAAAATTATTTCAGGAGCATAAACTTGATTTTGAAAATAAACTAGGTTTCCTTTTGGTTTATATCAAGAAGAGAGTTGCTTAATTTGTACAGATAAAGGTGATCGTGTATGGGCTTGTTTTAATCTTTGAATGGGATGTTGACTCACATAGACAGATAGGATTTTCACAGCTTATTTAGAAAGGAAAATGTGGTTTGTCGATGAGTGAGGAGTACATTCAACATTGTTGTCCACTGATTTCCTCCTGGGAATCCTTTGTTAAAAGCACTATATTCCATATATTTGAATACCTTTATCAAAACCCCACACCATCCAGGATTTATTTTAAATATAGAATTAAGCCTAACAGGTATAATATATTTATTCAACATGCTGAAGTAAATCTTGCAGAAAAAGCATTTTTACAGCCATTGCCTGCAGTCTTTTAATTTGTCAGCCTGAGATCCATCACAGCTGAATTAGGTTTCTTAAGCCGTTTATTTGCAATAAAGTGTAATCTTCCAGTTAGTTTGCAAACACTGTTGAATTTTTCTGTCATAAACATGAAGATTGCAGCTACACAAACGATTCTTTTTTATCTCTCTTTTAAAAATAATATATTGTGGAACACCTTGTAGGGTAGTAGTTATAATGTGTGTGTGTTTGTGTGTGTGAGTGTGTGTGTGTGTGTATATATATATATATATATATATATATATATTCCACAAACATGGAATTTAAGAACAACAATTCTATTCTTCCTTTGCATTTACAACATTCCCTCATGTAGAAATTCACTCCTGAAATTTAACTGCCAGATGTTTTCTTAGGAAAATCCATATTGGTTCCCATTACCTTTAGAAAACTAACTTTAGGTGGAAATGAATGGTGAAAATGAATGCTGTAATTATGTCATTACACTAGCATAAATTATTGCCATTTTGTGCTAAACATGGTTAATTTTTTGTACATATATTGCTCTTTGAAATAGTTATAAAACTAAAATGTAGCTATTAAATGGCTTCAGGCTGATAAGAGGAAATCAAATGAAGTCTTTAGACATGACCTTTTCATAAGTTTCTCTGCTAATGTAATGTCACAGTAGTTTCAGGAATTTGTCTCTTTGGAAGCAGAATGGTAGAAAAGAATTTGCCTCTTGCCCTAGACAGCCAAAGAGCCCCTTTTCTTATATACTCTCTCCGTCACAAGAAGGAGAGAGAAAAATAACTGGGGTTAACTGAAAAGGGTAATTTGGTGCTCTGGGTAAGATGCTGGAAGTGATCCCAGCAGTAACAGGCCAGTCTACTTGTCTTAAGTCACTGCTAAAAATCTGGACAAGAATTTTGATGAGGTGTTACAATAATACTGTAACTCAATCTGTCCTTAAATTGTTCTCATAAACTTCTACAGATAGGGTCACAATTGCTGTCACTTACTTTTTATGATGTTTCGCTTGGAGGAAGGAAAAGCAGCTTCTGTGCTTATTAAGAGTTTGTAGCCACTGGGTCTGGAATGTATTAACAGTACTCTCATAACCTTTAGGACACCTTTATTCTAAAATACAACACAGAGATACTGGTAAAATATATACTAGCCCATCAGGAGTAATATTTATAAAAATTCGTGCACAAGATCAAAAGCAATTTAATTGAACAAATGTCAAGCAAGCAATGACAATGGGTAATGCACTGTGTTCAGAGTTCTGTAGGACATTGGAAATGTAAAACTGTGGTCCTTAAAATTAATCTGTGATGAACTAGGAAGCCTGACATGTGCCTAATTAATCATAATAAATGTAGGAATAATTGTCTTCGATAACACAGATAACTAAAGGTACTTTGTACTTGCTGTGACTTCAACCTGAATTGTGCTTCCCAACTACTAGAAAAGCTCTAACCTTTCACAAAGCTTTCTTCAGTTTTGTTCTCATCATTCTTTTTCCCCTTCCTTGAATTCCTGAAAGCTAGCAGATTTAACATCTAAATGTTTGGTATGCTTTGTCTCTTGAGGTGAATTTTAGCTTCCTGAGGTTAAACATTGCATGTTAAAGTTATATTTGTATCCACCACAATATCCACTAAAGTGTCAAGCATAAAATAATTGTTTAAAAGATTTACTAGTCAATAGACTGTACTAAAACATGCAGTCATATTTTTCACAAATTAGGGAAAAGTTTGATACTCTTGTTTCTTTCCTTCTTTCTTTCGGATAAGTGGAAACTTCTAAGAAATATGAATAAGTAGAAACTTCTAAGAAATAGGAAAGAAGTAAATATGTGCCTATATTCTTAGAATTAATCAGTATATTTTTAATAAATACAAGATTTTCTTCATAAACCAATTGTAGGGTGTAGGTAGGTAGACCAGTTGATGGTTAACTGGTAAGTCATCTGGGAAAAAGAAATACGTTAGGTCTTTATTACATTGCATATAATAATATAAATTCAATGCAAAATCATGGCTATTGAAAATATCAAACTATAGAAAAAGGTAAACACACTTGATTTATTATTTCGAGTATCTGAATGGGTAAAGACTCTCTAAGCTTAAAAACAATTGAAAAAGTTGTTAGTTTTTATTAACTACATAAAAGTCAAAAGCACCATATCGCAATATAAAAAACAGTAAGGTAGAAAAAAAAATGCCACTTGTTCACAGAAAGAGACATAACACCCTCAATATTTAAAAGGGTTATAATATTGTAAGTAAGATACCAAGTCCTGAATGTATTGGGAAATAAAATGTACAGAAAAATTCACAAAAGAAGAGTACAAAAAGAAAAAACATGATAAATTGTTTAACTTCTCTAGCAATAAAATAATTACAAATTATAATTAATGTGAGATACTATTTTTCCTGCTATTAAACATCTATATTAAACAAGTAATAATGTAGGTGTTAGTGCAGAAAAAATACCGCTGTTATTCTTGTAATCTAGAAAACACTTTGGAAGTGTCTGTCTCAACTGTTACAATGTAGAGTTCTTTATTCAAGTATTTTCATTTTCATGAATCATTCCTGAGGAAAGATTCAGAAATTCAGGGAAAATATACATATAAATTAAAATATTCATTGAACAGTTCCTAATACTAGATACATTTACAAACAACCTGAACTTATAGTAGGACAATGTGAACTATATAAATATATATGCAGTTGTATACTACATATTGTCATATTATAAAGTTGTTTTATTGCAGGAAAAAATACACACATTTTTACATAGAGTTCACAAAAATATTTCTCAAACTTTAATAAGTGTATATGCACATATGTGTTTTATATAGTGTATATACATGTGTGTATAATATGAATATGTATACATGTGTATGAATATATGTGTATAGTATAAATATATAGTAAATATATAATGTGTATATATATGTATGTGTGTATATTTGTATAATATATATTTATATGTGTTTATATGTATGTGTGCATGTGTATAATATATATTGTATGTGTATAATATACATTTATGTGTGTATATGTATGTGTGTGTATGTGTATAATAATATATATTTATAGTGAAATGCAGAATCTGATTTAGTAGGCCTGGGGAGGTGTCTAAAATTCTGTATTTCTAACAGACTCCTAAGTGATGCTGTTGCTTCTGCTCCATAAACAACACTTTGAGTAGTGAGGATCTACAGAATATCACACAGGCACTGGAGTTATATGGGAAACTGTTTTTAATGTTAAGGGGAAAAAAAGAATGATGTCATATAAAGTTATAATATATAAAAACAGATTTAATGTAGGTTAGTTCTGGGTAGTTGAAATATCAAAAAATAATTACAATTCTGAGCTTTGACTTTTTCAAGACTTGGTTATCTGTGAGGGTATATAATGCATTTATGAATAAATTTATTTTTGTTACATTAATTTTAAGTGATGCCTAGACAGCTCAACTGGATTTTTATTGGGGCTCTGATTTTTTTCTGGTCATAATATGATTCCGTCATGAATAAATCTAATAAGGCAATTGGAGACATGACTAATTACTTGGCAGAGAGCCCAATTTTAACTCAAAATGGTTGATTTGGTGGTATTTGAAGACAGGCTGCAATTGCTTGGAGAGTTAAGAAAGTTTTAGGTTAGAGGAGAAAACATGGAAAAAGTAATGTCTCACTACACATATACATGTAATAGTGTCACTTATTTTTGTTTATGGTTTTCCAAGCAACAAGTAAATTATACCACACAAGACAGTCTGGAAACTGGTATACAGATGAAAAAGGCTACATTTAGATTAACCTCAGTGCACCTTTCCAACGCAGAGTGAAAAATACCTCTGTAGAAGTGGTTACTTAATCATTTAGGTACAACTGCTTCTTTTGAGCCAACCTTTGACTTTTTATCTAACTTTTTGAACTGACTCATCTAATTTTTGTAAGATTTTGGTTTGGTAATTTTGCATTAATTAGGATAATTTGAATCATTTTTCCTGTGAAATATAAATAATGTTTTAAGCTTGTTAGCATTTTAAACAGGAAAAAATAAGCAATAATTAATTTAAATCTTTTGTGTGATGTGGGAAGACATTTAACTATGACTTTTTTCGGTGAAGATACTATTGTTTTCTAAATTATGGAAAAACAATCATTTTACTTGAAACAATGAAAACGAAAAAAGAAACCTATCTCCTTTGCTTTAGGAAATTTAGATTGCTTTAATTCCGACTACCCAATATATGATTTTGTGTTGTGAAATAAATAATGGGCCTTTCTTTAACTTTGAAAATATTATTTGAATAAACTTTAAGTAAATACAATATACTTGATTTAATCTCTAATTATAACCAAATGTCATCAATTGCTATGGGATTCCAGATGTGATTTTAACAATTATTGAAAAAGGGTGCAAGGTAGTAATTATAAATGATAAAGATGTATGATACATTTTCAAAGAGCCTAAATTCTCGTGAGAAAATATATACATAAATACTCTTAATACATTAAAATAAAATATATTTAATATAAATGAAATATATTTAAGTATAACTTAAGTGTATTTTTTATCAAGTACACTATCTTAAAATAAATGAGCTGCATTCCTGATGTCAATTTCCTAAACAAATACATCAGTTGTAAATCTGTTTTTATCACTTAGCATAACATCATACACACACACACACACACACACACACACACACAGAGTCATTCCTCAGTATCTGAGGTATTGGTAAATCCATGGATACTCAAGTCCCTGGTATAAAATGGTAGTATTTGCATATAACCTATGCACATCTTCCCATATACTTTAAATCATCTCTAAATTACTAGTAATACCTAATACAATGTAATTGCTATTTAAATAGTTTTTTTAACTTTATTAGATGTAGAATAGTGTCAAGAAATAGAAGACTGTACATATTCAGTACAGACACATTTTTTCCCCTGAATATTTTCTATTTACTAATCATTGAGTCTACAGATGTGGAACCCATGGATATAGAAGACCAACTGTGTGTATGTAGATGTGTGTCTGTTTGTGTGTGTGTATAATCATGCAGCAGAGTAGCAGAAAAATATAAAATTTAAAAAACCTTATTAGATGGCAGCTATAAAGAGACTTACTGTCCTTAGCCCTACTACTTGAACAACTCTTTAGCATTTTCTGTATCTTCAAAGTAGAACTGATACAGGTGCCTGGTAGGTGTGACTTTGCGGTACATTTATTTTGTATTTTATTTTGAATATTTAAAAATGCTTACAATGTTTTGTCTTTCATTGCTTTCAGCCTCCCATTGGTAGTATGGAAAATGCACACACACACAGACACACACACACATACACACACACACACACAGAGGAGAGAGAGAAAAGAAAAATATATATGATAGAAAAATTGAGTGTTTTTCCCCCAAAATATCAGGGTGGGGGATTAATTTTTAAGATTCTTTCTCATTGTGTCACTTTTATTTTGTTATGATAATTTCCACTTGATTTCTTTTTCCATTTTCTTTTTTCCCATTGCCAAAAATAGTTTATTAAAGTTAAAGAGCTGTGGAAATGGACTTCTTGGCAATAGATTGACAAAGAATTTTTAAAAAGATCTTTCTGGCTCAAGATAATATTCAGTGATCATTCCTGATTAGACATTAGTAAAGGTAGTCTACACAAATGTTGACTCTATTTCCATATTTTTTATTGATAACTTTTCGTCATACTGCATTTATATATGGTACATTACAAATTTTTTCTTATTTCGTAGATATTTGAATAAAGGAGCTGTTCTAAACTTCACATAGCTGTGCTCTTTCTTATCACTGTGTGGTTACTGGCATATTGACGACTACTTTGTTGCTGTGTGCAAATGGAAAATCTTGTTTAAACATGAGCAAATGAGCACAAGATAACTTAATAATGACTTTGAGGATAACAGTTACATGAGCTTCACTTATCTTTACTAATGCTTTGCTACAATTAGAATTTGTTCCCCCTCTTTAGATAATCAAATAAAATATATTGCTGGAAAATTTCAGCTAATGTTTGAAGGTTTTAATTGTGAATTCACAAAAATTGAACATTTCACTTGAACTTTTTACTCATGAAACTAAGTGGTAAATGAAAGTGGACTTTGATTATTTCTACTATAAATGTAATGACATTTAAAATTTTTCAAAATTACAAAAGAAAAAACAACTGGGTGCCATACGATGAATATTAAAATATTTTAGAACCTCACCTAAATTCTGCATTTTAATGGAACTAAAATCATCAGTTTTAAATAGTTTATTAGTATCAGAAATTTAGCATAAATGGCAATGCCTACTACTGCATGTCTGTGCAGAAGTTTATAAATTGTTAACTCGAACATTGGTAATGCATATGATATAATTTTGATCTGGTGTAGACCATGTGTTAGTATAAATGTACAGCACTATACTGAGTTAATAGTGACCAAACTTCAGAGAAATATTAATCATGTAGCCACAAAGATAATAAAAAGATAAAGAAGATTGAATAAAAATATTTAGTTGCGAGTGAATTTGACCAGGGAAGGGGAAAAAAAAATGAGCGCTTTGAATGATGGCCTTCAAATTTTAGGTGAAAATAACTCTCTCAAGGCTGATTTCCCAGAAGATGGTACCCCAGTATCTTTGCTGGAGACAAAAGGCCAATGGAAGACTATATCATACATAAGAAAGTATTTCTCACTGTTAATAATTGCTAAACATCTCAGTGTTTCCTGATAGTGTGAGTACCTCCATCTCTAAAACAGGATAGTCAGTTATTTTAATGCTCAATGCAGGGCTCTTTACCTTATCAACTTGGACAAAGAACATTGGTTCTATTGAGACTTTTGAAGTTCTATATGCAGATGGCATATAGAACAGTATTCTGTTCAAAGCAGCTCTTCTGTCTTCCTCAGAGAGAGAGAGAGGTGCATAATGACATTTCAGCCAACAATACTGCATTAATGACGGTAGTCCCATAATATTATAATGGAGCCAAACAATTTCTATTGCCTAGTGTCATTGTAACCATTATAATGTTGTGGCAACACCATGCGTGCTATTACCCGTGAAGACCTTCCAATGGGACAAGATGTGGTGGTAGAAAACAGTGATATTGATGATCCTGATCCTGTGTAGGCCTAGGCTAATGTGTGTTTGTGTGTCAGTTTTTAACAAAAAAAAATTAAAAGATAAAAATAGGAAAAAGCTTATAGAAGAAGGATATAAAGAAAGAAAATATTTTTGTACAGCTGTACAATGTGCTTGTGTTTTAAAGTAGGTAGTATTACAAGAGAGACAAATAGTTTTAAAAAATTAAAAAACTTATGAAGTAAGAAACAAAGGATTTTTAAAACTTAACCTTAAGGTAAGCTAAGGTTATATTATTGAAGAAAGGAAAATATTTCTTATAAATTTAGTGTAGTCTAAGTGTAAAGCATTTACAAAGTCTGCAGTAGTAGCTGTAGTGCCCTAGGCCTTCACATTTACTCACCACCCATCCATTGACTCACCTAGAGCAACTCCTAGTCCTGGAAGCTCTGTTCAAGGTAGGTCCCCTAGACAGGTGTACCATTTTTTATCATCCTTGCTGCATTTTTATTGTACTTTTTCTATGTTTAAATACACAAACATTTACCATTATGCTAAAATTGGCTACAGTATTCAGTACAATAATATGCAGTGCAGGTTTGTAGCTTGGGAGCAATAGACTATACCATACAGCCTAGGTGTGTAGAAGGCTATACCACCTAAATTTGTGTAAGTAAACTCTCTAATATTTGCACAATGGCAAAATTGCCTAATGACACATTTATCAGAACATATCTCTATAGAAGAGCTGTGCATGAGTATGTGTGTGTGTATATACATATGTATATTTATTATATATTTTTGTATATATATTTTATATAACTTTATTTTATTTTATATATATTCATATATATATATATATTTGCCAGGAACATTTAAGTGCTTTCCAAACTTCAGTCATTTTAGTACTACCTCTATGATTTTACAGTATCACGTAAGAGCTATATATTACAAGGTGCCTTAAGCAGTGGCACCAAAGGCAATGTCAACAAAACAATATCCATGTACAATAAGTTAAGCAGGGGAGAAGATATAGTGAAGGTTCTTTCATCTCTCTCCCAACAATTCTGTGTCTACAGCCCAGAAGTTAGGTACAGACAGATGAAATAAAGACAATGAAATAAAGACAGATGAAATAAAATTGTGTTTTCTCAATAGTTTGCCTGCTTCTTATTCATTCTTTGAACATATGGGAAGGGACTTCAAAACTTTCATGGAAAAATGAAATTAGAAGATAAAAATATAAGCTTTGCTTCTTGATAATCTCCGTCAAGGTCAAGACACTTTTGTAAATGATGATACCAGACATTTAGTCCATTCCTAAAAAACTGAGGGTCCTAGGAATTTAAGAATGTCAATGCAGTCTTTCTTACATCATTAACTGAAGAAAATGAGTGTCCTTTAAAGATATTTTAAATTAGTAAACAAAAAGAAGTCCAAAGGAGCCAGATCAGGACTGTAAGTTGGATGCCTAATGATTTCCCATTGAAATGCTCACAAAATTGCCTTTGTTTGGTGAGAGGAATGAGCAGAAGCATAGCTGTGGTGGAGAAGGACTCCGTGGCAAAGCTTTCCTAGATGTTTTTCTGCTCAAGCTTTGGCTAACCTTCTCAAGACATTCTCATAATAAGTAGAAGGTCAAGAAGCAAAATGCCTTCCGGAAAGTCAAGAAGCAAAATGCCTTGAGCATCCCAAAAAACTGTTGCCACAACCTTTGCTCTTGACTGGTCCACTTTTGCTTTGACTGGAGCACTTCCACCTCTTGGTAGCCATTGCATTGAATGTGCTTTGTCTTCTGGGTCATACTGGAAAATACATGTTTCATTTCCTGTTGTAAGTGTTTAAAATTTCCATTAATGCTCTGCTCTTTTCTGCAGCTGATCTGGGCACAATGGTTTTGGCACCCATCGAGTGGAAAGTTGCTCCACTTTAATTTTTTGGTCAGAATTGCGTAAGCTCAACCAGTTGAGATGACTGTGATGTTGGCTGTTGTTTCTACTGTCAATCATTGGTCTTCATCAATTAGGGCATGAACAAGAGGAATTTTATTTTTCTCACA
This sequence comes from Homo sapiens, assembly GCF_000001405.40. Lineage (NCBI taxonomy): Eukaryota > Metazoa > Chordata > Mammalia > Primates > Hominidae > Homo > Homo sapiens. Next base: position 212,376,001 of record NC_000002.12, on the reverse strand, counting down.
AATTGATGTGGATGGGTCTGCCACTGCAGGCTTCATCTTCAACATGGTCTTCTCCCTTCTCGAAACAAGTTATCCATTTGTAAACTGCTGATTTCCTTGGGACATTGTGCAAACTTTTCATAAAGCATCAATGATTTCATCATTCTTTCACCAATGCTTCACCCTAAATTTTATGTTTGTTCTTGCTTCAACTTTAGCAGAATTCATGTTGCTCTGATAGGGGCTCTTTTCAAACTGATGTCTAATCCTTCTTAATGCCTCAAACTATTTCCTGTTCAGACATGATATATCAAGTTAGTATGAGTTTATTTTGGTACAAAAATGGAAATACATCCATAGCTTTTTCATAATATTCATTTTCCATGAAGTTTTTGAAGTCCCCCTTATAAGAAAAAATATAGGCTGCATTCTTCTAAGAACTGTAACATCCAGAATCAGGTAATAATCCACATTTACACTCTCAGATATGTAGTTGCCCAGCAACTTGCTATTGATGTAACTTCTAAACACGAACCACACACATAAGTGGCGTTAGTGAGAAAAGTTGTATTAATGGTAGAATTGTTGCATTACAATTTTATTTGTTGTTAAAAGATCAGGCAAGATTAGGTATCAAGTAACTGTTCTTCATTAGATGAATTTCACATTGATTTAGTTATACATGTAACTCTTTGAATCTAAGCCAATTGTTTACAACAAAACAGCCTAATAGTATTTATTGCCATTAAAATATTCAGCAGAATTATATTACTGTGGTAGTACCATACCTAAACTTTGGGGGATTTCTCTCCATAATCTGAGACTTCTGTAAGACTTGTCATATCCATGATATTTATCTGGCTTGGTTATGTGTTCTATTAGAGTAAGCTTTATTAGAGTAATGTGTTATATTAGAGTATGTGTTTTATTTAGAGTAAGTTAATAATTGATTCATATGAGGCTATCTGACCTATAGTTAGGTTTATGTTGCAGGTCAATATATTCCTCTAACCCAGACTTATTACATAATCATTGACAAATATCTTTAATCATGTATTTATTAATCTGGAAAGAGAATATCACTTCTTCTTCACTCTTTTTTCCCCATATTTATTTCTAAAAATCTTCTCAGTAATATAAAAATTAACAGACCTCTTACTTTCCCCTTTCAATTTGGGCACTATCTGCTATGATTGTGCCACAGAGTAAATCAGTGACTAAAGAAAATTTTCTTGCCCCAAATCATATGCAATTTTCTTTATTTGTTAGTTTCCAAAGCCGAGGACAAACTAATAGGAACCTTTCTGGAGGCCAAGAATGGAACTGACGCCATTCTTGTCATTTATCTCACTTGTCTTATGGCACTCTAGTTCTTCCTCTTTACAAATATGTGTGTGTGTGTGTGTTTATATTTGTAATATTTTCAGTTAGACTGACTCATTAAAACTTGAAGCCTTCTAAAAACATGAATGATATGTGGAAAATGATGACTTTGAAAGAAATGAAGGCATATGTGTGGTGTACACACACACACATCGTTTGCTTTTATGCAAGTTCACACTTGGTCACAGAGAAATTATGGGAAGAGATGCACATTCACTTTTTAGATTTTTGGAGGTTTTGTTGTTATTGTTGCTATACTATAATGTGCTGTTCCCTTAATCTTTTTGTTATTTATTATTCCTATATTTATTTTATGGATTTTTAATTCATCACCAACTTCCTTCAAAGTCAAAATAGTCACTGTTAAGGTCTTTGAAATGTTTTAGCCATGGATGTAATATAATATACAGCATTATTATTGGTATTTTAAAAATTAGCCACTGAATAATGTCTATCTGCCTATTTTTATGTATAAACACGTGTTTGCAGTAATTACATGTTTTATGTCAAATCACAGTAGCTATATATGTGTGTGTATATATATATATGGATATATATGGATATATATATGGATATATATGGATATATATATATGGATATATATGGATATATATATATGGATATATATGGATATATATATATGGATATATATGGATATATATATATGGATATATATGGATATATATATGATATATATATGGATATATATGGATATATATATATGGATATATACATGGATATATATATATGGATATATACATGGATATATATATATGGATATATACATGGATATATACATGGATATATATATATATGGATATATACATGGATATATATATGGATATATATACGTGGATATATACATGGATATATACGTGGATATATACATGGATATATATATGGATATATATATATGGATATATATGTGGATATATATATGGATATATATGTATCTCCATTGGTTTTATTACCTTTCAACCATATCATATAAAATAGAACTATAACTTGATACCTTAATACCTCCCATTTTGTATCCTTTTCACTTTTAAAGTTATTTAAACTGCTACATTATTCTTAGTACTTTCATTATTAATTACTTTGCTTAACAAACTATAGTAAATGCTGTAAAAATTCTGAAATAATCCTTGAGTAAATGGAAAACCACACAATAATAATGAAAACTGTAACTATTACTATCATTATTATGATTTTATCTCCAGTTTCATTGACTGCAAAAATGGCTCCTAAAAATAGTCATTGCTATAATCTGATTAATAATTTAACAAGAGGTGTTATAGGAGTTTATTATGCTTTCCTCACAAATCAGTTGCAACTGAATTCAAATTAGGCTCTGTCAACTTAGTTAGCTGTACAATGTTGGACAAGTTACTAAAACTTTGTACTCTCTACCTAATCTCTAAAATGTGGATAATATAATGCTACTTTCTTGGGCTTATTTTAATTTTATTTTTGGTGTTAGATAAAGTATATAATGATTTACAGAGAATCTGAGATATACTAACCACTTAATAAATGTATTTAGTGTTGTCATTAACCCCATCATTATCATTTCTATTATTGTAATAGTTAAGTACAAAAACTATTGTTTTAATAGATTAACTTTGGAAGTTTCTTCTATTTTCTATACCAATTTACTGCTTTTTGTTTTTGCTCTTCAGTACAGTCTTAAATTTTCCCTGTTATGTATAGTTTTAATCTTGTCTTGAGAGATGATGATTGGGTGAATAAGGCTGTTCCAGGCATGGGATGAGCATGAACAATGGCATGGGAGAAGAAAGTAAAATGTAGTGTATAAAGAACTACAGACAGCTGGACATAGCTCAAAAGATGTGGTCAGGCTTTTGTTTTGTTTTGTTTTTGTTTTTGTTTTGAGACGGAGTCTCGCTCTGTCGCCCAGGCTGGAGTGCAGTGGTGCAATCTCGGCTCACCGCAACCTCTGCCTCCCAAGTTCAAGCGATTCTCCTGCCTCAGCCTCCCGAGTACCTGGGACTACAGGTGCACACCACCACACCCAGCTAATTTTTCGTATTTTTACTAGATACGGGGTTTTATCATGTTGGCCAGGATGGTCTTGATCTCTTGAATTTGTGATCCGCCCGCCTCAACCTCCCAAAGTGCTGGGATTACAGGTGTGAGCCACCGCGCCTGGCCAGGCATCTTTTTAAGACAGGCTTTCAGAGCTAGGCAAAGGAAGCTTGGATCTTATAGGATTTAAGGTCAACAAGGGGTTAATTGTCTTAGGCCAATAGAGGTCCTAATTTTGAATCAAATCAAATGTGCTATAGTTCCATATTTTGCGTTGTGATGAAGACAAGCAATAGAGGGAATCTGCTTATGAATTTAAATTCAATTTGCATCCATGAGCCTGGGAAGGCCTTAAGTAACTGTTGACAAAAAAGAGAGAACATAGCTATACTTTGTGTCTGATGTCCTTGCTTTGAACCTAGTGTATTATCGATTAAGTAAGGAAAAGGGGGCTACGAGATTCAGGACTGGTTGGTGGAGGACTTAGTTCAAACTTGGCCTATTGCCATCCAGCCTCTTCAACATTGTAAATAAGGCCCAGGTCTTCTTGTTTATGCTAATATCAGATTTTAAAAGTTTTAAAAGTAACATATTTTTACACAAATTTAAAATATTTTATATACTATTGCCATCTTTACAAAGTAGAAAAATATTTATAGTAAAATGAGCTTGCTACTAAATTGCAAATATCCTTTGGGTCACACAAACCAAGTTCTCGCCTATGTAACTCTTCATCACTTTCATGCTTTTTTTTCTTTCTCTTTAAGTGGAGAGGAGAGAATGAGCCTCTCAGCTCAAAGTAAGACTTTTCATGGTTTGGAGTAAGTGCCAAAAGTGCGCTGATCCTCAGGTTCCTCATCTATAGTATGGGAATTGTAATATGTACTTCACAGAGATATCAATAGGAACAAAAGAGATGATGTATATAAATTGCTTAACTGACCATCTGGCAGTGGTAAGCACTCCACAAAGGGTAGTTATTGAAATTATCAGTAGTGATGGCCACAAATAAATGAGTGCTGACATAGGAAAGTCTTCCTAAATACAATAGAACTTGCATTGGATTTTAAAAGACAGTACGTAGTGGGTAATAAATGCATATTTGTTTAATTCAAAATGAGAAAGAAAGAAACCAGCATGTAGGAGATGGAAACAAGCATGCACATTTTAAAAACCTCTCTTTTGAGCATGGCATGTATTTGACATTGTAAAGAAACTGAATTGCGTAGAGCAGAGGATATGTTTAGATAGAGTATTGTCAGATTTTGAAAGTTTTTAAAGTGAACAAGAATTTAGATTCCATTTGTTATAATGTAACAATGGAGTTTTGATGCTTAAATATGAAAGTACTATGCTAGTGATATTTAATGATTAGTCTAAAAATGGCAGATGAGAGGACTGGAAGAGGCAGGTCCCAATGAAACCCATAGGCTGGGGAAAAACCAAGAACACCTTGCCCAACGTGATTGGGCAGTAAAAATCTGGAGGATGGTACACACAAGAAACAGGCTTTCACTGAGAAACTGCTGAGATTTGTGGACATGTTTTACTCATATCTCTAGTTCATATCCAGTTAGTCATCTTGAGATTCTTCAAATAATAGCTTTTTACATCAACAGTGAGTTAAGGGAAAATAATGGTTATGTGGGAGAAATTAGGTACTAGATATATTGAGTATGAGGTGACTTTAATTTATTCAGATAAAATTTTAGGTATTTGAAAAGAGGTAAAGACTGAGAAGTGGGATAAATATAACTAAAGGTAAAGAGTTATCATTTATTGCTATTGACATTATGGTTAAAACTATGTGGATACCTTCATTGTTTAAGGGAATCAGTGTTTAAGGGTTATATAAAAACAGAAGGTAAATGGCTTTTAAGATTCTGAACAATAAAATAGTAGTAAGACTTGGGATTTGAGAATAAGAAGATAAAATTCCTAAGGTAATTGGAATTAAAATGAAAATAATACTATGTTACATATTTTCCTAATTTCCATTAATTTTAATGAAAATTATCACCCTGGAAATTTTTAAATTCAAGGCCCAAAGTAGCTAAGAATGTATCAGTTTTCATAACTTCTATAAAAATATGTTTGGGGCAGTGTGTTCCCTTATATATCCAACTAGCTACCAGAGGCAGTTATTGTAATTAGATTTTTGGCTGGTGCCTTGCACGTTTCTGAATTTAGTGTTTGGTCAGTTTATTAATCCATTATCATGATGCTATGAGGAAATATCTGAGACTGGGTAATTTATGAAGAAAATAAGTTTAATTGACTCACAGTTCCACATGGCTGGGGAGGCCTCAGGAAACTTTCAATCATGGCAGAAGTCACCTCTTCAGAGGGCAGCAGGAGAGAGAATGAATTCTGAGTGAAGGGGGAAGCCCCTTATATAGCCATGAGATCTTGTGAGAATTCACCATTCTGAGAACAGCATGGAGGAAACCACCCCCATGATTCAATTATCTCTACCTGGACCTGCCCTTGACAGGTGGGGGGATTATTGCAATTCAAGGTGAGATTTGGGTGGGGACAGAGCCAAACCATGTCAATCAGCTAATCACCAATTCATTAATTTACTATTTCTCTCTATATCTCCCTTTAATTTCTCATTTTTTTTCTAAATTTTCCCTGGATCCTAAAAACATTTGAAGACATGAAATGTTTTTCACAATGATTTTACAAGACGTGAAGCAAAAGAGATAACTTGCTTTAAACGAAATTAGTATATTCCAGCCAGATGCAGTGGCTCATGCCTGTAATCCTAGCTATTGTGAGGCTGAGGCAGGAGGATTTCTTGAGCCCACAATTTCCAGGCTGCTTTGAGCTATGATCTTACACTGCAGTCCAGCCAGGCATCAGAGTGAGACCCTGTTCCCACAAAATAAAAAAAGGTAGTGTATTACTTTACAAAATCATTTATTACTAGACTGCTAGAGAGCAAGGTTAAATGACAAAATCTCTGATGGATTAAAGTAAACAAATGCCATAATATACAGGCATTAAAACAAGCAATGGTAAGATTCAGATAAAAGAAAATTTAAAATTAAAAAAGAAAGAATAAGTAGAGATGAGTGAAGAAAAATAGAAAACTAAAAATGATAACGGGAATTATTAATTTTGGACAGATACTTATATATTTAAACATCTTTTATTGTTACATTTTTTTAATTCAATGCTACATGTAAGAAAAGGAAATTTGACAGCAGAGATTAGAAAGTCAAATGCGTACCAGGGTCAGGTAGATAACATAAGTAAATGAAGAGGACTGCAATGAACCCTGTCACAGGGAACATGTAGCATTCTGTTGTAAAGGAAGCAGTGTCACTCAGCTCCACTGTTGTCATACAGAAATGTTAGCCTATTTTTATATAATCATGCAATTTATCAATAAATTAATCTCTTTTTATGAACTTTTCCTCCTTTTAATTTTGGCAAATAATTCAAGAATTTTAAACAGTGTAGAGACCAAACAAAAAATGTAATAGACCACATTTAGTTTGTGGCTTGCCACTTTTTGCAACCTTTGTTTTAGAAACTTAATGAGTCCTAGATCAGTGCTTGTCAAATGTGCACTGGGGATAGTGTTACAAGGTAGATTCTAATTCAGAAGGTTGGCCTACAGCCTGCCTGAGATTCTGCATTCCTTGTGAGTTCCAGGGGATGTCAATGCTGCTGGTCCACGGGCCGCACTTGTAGTAGTAGGGACCTACGGTGCTATTAATAGTACTAAAACCGAGCTCATATGTCTTCCAACTCAGGTGTGGAGAATAGGCCATATCTCCCAAGATAATTCCCACTGATTGGTTATGATTACCAAGAATAGTATGGTTTCTCTGGGCATGGGAAAAAAGAGTGGTGGTATATGTGTCTTATATTTAGCTAGCCTAGCTTGATCATTTTACAAAGGAAGAAACAGATTCAGAGAAATTAAATGACTTCCTCAGCCTCAAACAGCTATGCAGTTACAGAAGAAAAGCTAATATTGATGGACACCATTAAGAGTCTTTTTTTTTCCATAAGTTATTGGGGTAAAGGTGGGATTTGGTTACATGAGTAAGTTCTTTAATAGTGATTTGTGAGATTTCGTTGCACCCATCACCCAAGCAGTATACACTGCACCATATTTGTAGTCTTTCATCCCTCGCCCCTGTCTCACTCTTCCCCTCAAATCCCCAAAGTCCACTGTGTCATTCTTAGGCCTTTGTGTCCTCATAGCTTAGCTTCCACATATCCGTGAGAACATACAATGTTTGATTTTCCATTCCTGAGTTACTTCACTTAGAATAATAGTCTCCAATCTCATCCAGGTCACTGCAAATGCTGCTAATTCATTCCTTTTTATGGCTCTGTAGTATTCCATTGTATGTATAGACCACAATTTCATTGTCCATTCATTGATTGATGGGCATTTGGGTTGCTTCCACGATTTTGCTATTGTGAATTGTGCCACTGTAAACGTGTGTGCAAGTATCTTTTTCAAATGACTTCTTTTCCTCTGGGTAGATATCCAATAGTGGGATTGCTGGATCAAATGGTAGTTCTACTTTTAGTTCTTTAAGGAATCCCCACGTTGTTTTTATAGTGGCTGTACTAGTTTACATTTCCAGCAGCAGTGTAGAAGTGTTCCCTATTCACCGCATCCACACCAACATCTACTGTTTTTTGATTTTTTGATTATGGCCATTCTTGCAGGAGAAAGTTGGTATCACATTGTGGTTTTGATTTGCATTTCCTTGATCATTAGTGATGTTGAGCATTTTTTCATATGTTTGTTGGCCATTTGTATCTCCTTTTGAAAATTGTCTATTCATGCCCTTAGCTCACTTTTTGATGGGAATGTTTACTTTTTTCTTACTGATTTGAATTCGTTGTAGATTCTGGGTATTAGTCCTTTTTCAGATATACAGATTATGAAGATTTTCTCCCACTCTATGGGTTGTCTGTTTTCTCTGCTGACTGTTCCTTTTGCTGTACAAAAGCTCTTTTGTTTAATTAAGTCCCAGCTATTTATCTTTGTTTTCATTGCATTTGCTTTGGGTTCTTGGTCATGAAATCCTTGACTAAGCCAATGTCTAGAAGGGTTTTTCCAATGTTATCTTCTAGAATTTGAATAGTTTCAGGTCTTAAGTTTAAGTCCTTCATCCATCTTGAGTTGATTTTCATATAAGGTGAGAGATGAGGATCCAGTATCATTCTCCTACGTGTGGCTAGCCAATTATCCCAGCGCCATTTGTTGAAAAGGGTGTCCTTTCCCCACTTTATGTTTTTGTTTGCTTGGACACCATTAAGAGTTTTCTAGGCCTGCCACATTAAAACACCACGGATGGGTGGATTAAACAACAGAAATGTATTTTCTCAGAGTTCTGGAGGCCAGAGTCAAAGATCAAGATGCTGGCAAGATAGGTTTTGTTCTGAGGACTCTCCTTTGACTTGTAGATGGCTGTCTTTACACTGTGTCCACACATGATCTCTTCTCTGCATGCTGGGACAGGGTTTTGGGGGTGTAGTTATCTAGTGTCTCTACTTTTTATAAGGACACCAGTCCTATCAGATTAAGGCCTCACTCTTCTGACCTTATTACCTTGTTTAACCTTCCTGAAAAGCCCTGTATTCAAATACAGTCACATTGGGGGTTAGGGCTTCAACATATAAATTTGGAAGAGACACAATTCAGTCCATAGAGAGATCATTTATCAATTTTGGATTCATTTATACAACTATAGTAATCATTGTTTATTTAAAAATGTAATAATATTTTTATAATTTTGATAACGTTTTATTAAAAGAATGGTTAAAATCCATATAAATAAATCTGTGCTTTATAAATTCATTTAATCCATAGAGTTAAAAGCAGAGACATTTTTAAAAGCTATTCTTGATAATATTATTCAAAATGTAGTATCAAGTGCTCTAAGTTATGTATCTTATGTTTTATTGGTGATTGTCTTATGGGATAAAATATATTATTAATGAGAAAATCACCTGGAAATATTTCAGAAATCTATTAACAATCAAACTTTTTTATGACAATACTTTCCAATAGCTGGACAGTGTGGTTTGTGGTAGCCATAGATCTCCCTGAATTCATGTGTTTTATGATCTGGTTTCCCTTTAAGGAATTTTTGTATCCTTAACACTGAAAGGTGTAATTTGTAACATGGAGCTGATTAAAGTCACTGTTCTTTTTTCCCCATAATTTTTATATCCTCTGTGATGTGTAAGCAGTCCAATGATATTAAAATTGTCATTTTAATTCACTGTAGTTTTTGGAGAAAACAATATTTGGAATCCTATCTTGCACAAACCAGGCCACACAGTGAAAACTGCCAAGCTTTTTAATATAATCATAATTTATATCAGATATGCAGTAGTAAGCATCACAGAACATACTCTAATACTTGTTTCAACTTCATTCTTATTCCATGAATAGCATGTAAATGGTCTCTGAGCAGATTTTGCCAATCAAATTTATATTTTTTCGGAGGCTAGCACCTTGAGATGGTGATCCCTGTCTTCTTTGCCTCACTGCCACTGAATGACATATCAAAATTTTTAGGGCATTTTCTTAGATTTGAAGGTATTTATCTGCTATATTCCTAATTGTCATTGTTGATATTTGATATTTTTCTACTATATGCTTAATTGTCATTGTTGTTTTAGCTGGTCTGATCGTGGAGGGTTTTCCCTTCAAGGTACACTTTCTGAATACTAAAGACAGTTTTCCTCAATAGAAACCTGTTCTCCTCAGTATGTACTTACAGTTATTTGTGAGTCCTTGTAAATTTGAACTTTTGTAGTTCTTTGTGTGCTAGTTAGCTTAAAAACATTATCATGATTTGTAGATGAACAAATATAAAGCATATGTATAAACCGAAACAAGGATATCAGGTTATATATCATTGATTATGGAAGAGTCAGATTTACTGACTTATCAAAGATAATATTTCCTACATATACTTCTTCTTTTTTTATACCTCATAAAGCTATTTGTAGCTAAGGAAATATTTTTATTAAAATTAGGCTTGAAATGAAGTTGTAAAGTTTTTCTCAGTACTTACAGTCAATTTAGTTTGACTGGTAATGCTGAATTTGCAATAGATTGCCACTATTTTTAATGACACTTGGTTTATGGTCCTTAATATTGTTTCACTTTCTATAATTTCATTTTAGGATTGTTATAATTTTCTTTACTTGCTTCATATTTTCCCATCAGTCTTATGACAGATATATTCTTATTTTTCTTCTAAATGGGGATATATTATTCCAAAACAACTGTAAAGAACGTTAGTCAATGTAAAAAGAAAACATCATTTAATCAAGAAAACCAAAGAGTTCACAAGATAATTTGAGCATTTTATTCTTATATAGATTATATATCTTTGAGAACTTTAGTTTGAATTATTTACATGTCTTTGCAAACCTTATTTTGTGTTCCTAAAAGAAAGGATTTTAGTCATGTATTGTGAATGACAGAAAGGCTAATTTCTGTTTTAAGCATTTTTTTTCAAAAATTAAATGACCAGAAATTTTTATAAATATTTTATAAAATATTTGACTTTAAATAAGATTTAAATATTTTGTCTATTTTATAAAATACTTATTTAAACTTGAAGCAGAGACTATAATTCATTCAGTTAGCAGTCTGATAAACACACACACACACACACACACACTCACACACACACACAGACGCACACACAAATAATCTGTTACAGCTTCCTAACTCAGAAGACTACCCTCCCTGTCTCCCACTGAAATAAGTGATCCTGAATGGATAGTGTACTGGCATGCATAAAATGCAAGTCAGTCTTAATAGCCAGAATAGTGTATTTTGGGGATGGGGGAGAATGGAATTTATTTAGAGTCTGCTCACAGCTTAATCTGCCACCACAAATGTCAGTGGCCTTGGCTCTCATTCCTTGCTTCTTTTGATGAGCCACAAAACTTTTTTGCCCTCTCCTGAATAGCAAAGGTATAATTTGCCATAATAATCAAAACTTTGCATCATTATGGTCACAGCTGATTCAGCTTCTTTAATGTTACATTTTAGAGGGGGAAAAATAAGTATGAGCCTTCTGGGAGAGCTTACATTGTTGTCAGTCTTTTTATTCCCTTTCTTTGGTGTTTTGTTTTGCTTGTAAAGGCTGCCCAGTTGCATTATCCCTGGCTTCCCTACTCTGCAAATTGCTGACTGAGAATTCTTTATTAGCGGTAGTAGGAGTCAAGGGGCTTTAGACAGAAATTCATTTTTTTGAAAGAAAAAAATTCAGGTTCTAATTGGGCACAGGACAACTTGGAAAAGCAAAGCATGCACAGTGTAAAAATTTTGGCAATACATGCTCTGAATCACTTCCCGGGTATTCTCCCATCTCCCTTTCCTCCCATTTCCCTAAACAATCAACTAGCTGTATGCTAGGTTGATTCAAAAGAATGGCTAATTGCATAAGGAACTAGAACTACTTAAGAAAGGAAAGTTGCAGCCCAGAATTGAGATATGAAATATTCTATATTTGAAGTAAATTTTAAACATTCTTCAGTTAACTAACCAGTTTACCAGAGATGTGTAGAATTGTGTCATTCCACAGTGTACACTAGATGTGTTTCACAGTTCTTATTATATTCAACATATTGGCATCTGGAAGCACAATTTCTCTGATCCTTGATCCTCTTTCCATTAGCTGTTTGGTATCTATGAGTCATAAGTTCAAATCTATAGTGGAATTCATGGACAATAATAAATTGGTAGTTCTTAAAAGTTTTGTAAATGTATATATAATCATGTATAGAGGCTGGTTTAGTTGTCACACTACCAATTGTGAAGTAGTGTAAATCCGTTTGTAAATCCAATTAATTTTCCAGTGTAAATCCATATTTAAAATGAATTATCTAACAAAAATTTATGTAACTCATTTCCAAATATATAAGTATTTTTTTTTTAATGAAAGCAACAAACAGGTGCCTTAGGTGTATTTGCTGTCAAATGTAAATTATTTTCATTTGTCTTTTTCATAGATATCTGGCTGCAGTTTATTCTTATCTAAGTGTCTAAGTTGGACGTGAAGTTCAGATTAAATGTGAATATTACATTTTGAAATATTAAGAATTCAGTGTAATGATGATTATAATAGCATGTTCTTTAATTTTTAAGCATCCATGTATTTTTTCAATGAATAAATCTATCTAGGTATTATCTGTAGCTATGATTCTGTTGTCAGTGATAACGAGGTAAAATAAATATCAGTTAAAAGCCTACTTATTTTCATGTTCTATCTTTTAGTTATACAAAAGTGATCATTTCCTTAATAATATCTTAACAAGATATGATGAAAAGAAATTGATTTTATATTGTATATTTTGCAAATACAAGTCTGCATGGGCTACTTAGTCTGATCACACAATTACAACCATAGGATACCTTTAAAAGCTATACTATCCAAAAACATTTAAATTTAAAAATTTAAATGTAATATTACATCATGTAAATAGGAATCTGATACTTAAGTCTGATATTATAGTGGGATATATACCAAACTGCTAAATTTAATCTCTGCTGTTATTTAAATTAATGTATATTGTATACAATCAGTAAATATATTTTTTCGTGTTTCAAATTTATGTTTTTATAGGCAGTAAAATGCCCATATTTTTATCTTCATGGCACAAATTTTAAAAATTAGGCTGTAAGTAATATTTGACAACTGCCTATCACCTTTAAATTTCAATTGTTTTATAATTAAAACTTAATAGCTCTTTTAAAAAGTATATTTTTTTATGAAAGAAGTATTTAGGTATACAATTGTATATGTGTTTTAAATTATGTTTTTGCTACTCTGAGACCAAAATTACTAAATTTTATTCAATATTTCTATTGTATTATTTATTTTTTATAAAGATAGTGCTGGCATTGGCTGTGTTGGCATTGGTAAAATGAAGTTTTATATTCTGAAATATGGCAATTTATAAACCATTTTTTAATTGAAGAACTGAGAAATAGCATTCTTTGGATCTCATAACCCATCAGCATCTAAGCACATTTGGCATGAATGTCAGGAAGAAAACAAGTCACACTAGATAGCTTACATGACATTTTTCTTTTTACCAATTAGAGAGTACGTTAATTTTTAAAGAGCTATATTAAATTCTTAGGACATCAAAATGGGCTTGCAGTTGCTAAGAAAATATAATGTGTGAGTATATGTTTAAAAGCTAAAACAGGTGGTAGATAACCTAAAAGCATGTATTGTAAGCCCTATTTGTGTTTTCTTTAAAATTAGCCGCTAATTTGGCCATTCCTTTTTAAATTTATTTCTCCATTCCATTGAGTTACAAAGTCTTTATTTTAGTATACCGATGGAAGTATCTGGCTACAGATTTGAAAGTCATACTTTTACCAGATCTGCCAGTACAGAAAATAAAAAATGATAGCCACTGAATTTAAAACATTATAATAACAAAGTAGAAAATCTTTATAGATTAAAACTAAATATTTATTATAACTCTTTGAAAGTTTCAATTATACAATTTGTCTCATTTTTATAACCTAACCTCAGTAAAAAAAACTTTCTATGTGAAACTTTTAAAATGTTATGTATATACAAAATTATATGCTTTAAATGGATATAACCTATTTTACATATTCATCAAATTTTGTTATTATATTGTCTATTAAAATGTCATATGAGTTAGAAACCTTGTTACCCTGTTCTACTTTTAAAACGCAGAGTGAAACTCACACTTCTGCTGTTTTTCATATTAATCAAATGCTAATGTGACAACCACATGCCAGACATTGTCGAATAGAAGTTATTATTTTATTGTAGATGAATCAGTTGAGGATTGTGGAGGTTAAATAATTTGCCTAAGGCCGTATAGATAACATTCACCAAAAATGGATTTCAAAATGACAGTAGTTCAGCTACAAGCCCCTTGCCCTAACTATTGTTCTACTTTGTTAAGGAAAAGCTTTCTTCTAACCATGCACTCTCACACATTGTGAATTTTGTCTTCTACTATAGAAAGTCTGGCACATATGTCTGAGTAGTAAGAGTGCCAGTAAAAGAATTAATCTGCCATAACATTACTTTTACAGAGTAAAATGCTTTGGAAGGTCAAAATTGCAGTTATGATGTTATTTACTTTACAGACAGCCTATATGCAAAACCTTCCCTCTTTGATATACTAACTCCAGAAAGAGCCACTCTGTCTTGGTGTCAGCTTTCAAAGATGTCACTGCTTCATCAGTATGAAATATTTACCTAGGCTATTTGACTGGTGGTGTCTAGACAAAGAAAGCATGGAGGCACATATGGTTTGATTCAAATAATGTAGAGTCTTCCTGAAAGCCTCAGATCAGAATAATTAAGGAAGGCTTTATCAATTACATTGTATGAACCAAATGGAAATGTTATTACACAAAATTTCCCTTATCCTGAAACTTTAATTAAAGTATGGGTTCAAATTCTTTATGGACCTTGGGGATAGACTTGGGATAATACTGAGACTACACATTTGTAAAACATAGAATAAAAAAAAACTTTTGGTCACTTTTGTTTGGATGTTGAACTCACTTGTTTAGAATCCATGTTGAGTTGGCTGTAAACTAAAAATTTAAACTAAAAATTTCCTCTGAGAAAAATCTGTTAAGAAGATGGGACTGTATCATATCTGACAGAAGCAAAATCTGGGCTTATTAATACCTGATTGAGACATCTCTGTTTCATCCTGATTAACTCACAAATAGTTAAGTAAGTCTCAGTCTAAATCACTGAATTTTTCATCAAGGAAAAAAAGTGAAGAATTTAGATGATTTTAGACACACTGAAAGAGTAGCATGAGTTAGTAATCTTATGTAGATTTTAAAGATTTTTCAGTATGGTCACTGAAAGTCACCATGCTTTCTGTGGTAGAAAGGGTCATTTTATTTTCCTTAAAATCTTGGTAAATATCCATACATAATCATTAATAAAAATCAGCAGTTGCTACTAAGTTTGGTCATTTAGCAGCATTTACTGAGAGCCCATGATATGCCAAACATTAGATTAGGCATTATTCTAATAAAAAAGTTGCTACAAGAGTCCCGAGGAAAAAAGAAATTACTTCCAGTTACATAAGGGAAGCAACAGAGATTGTTTTGAATTCAGATATGAGACTTGGAGCTTCCAGGAAAGGTAAACCTGTAGAGATGGGGCTAGCAAATAGACATCCAATCAGAAGAAATAGTGCTAATTAAGGCAAGGATGTGGGAAAGGGCAAGGAGTATTTGATGCTGAAAACTTTTCTTTGGCTTGCACACAGTGACAGAAGGGCTGAGAGAGAGTGGAAGTTAACTCTGGACTCATGCTAGGAAGGCTTTGGAAACCTCTAAGATTCTCTGATAATGGGACTATGAGAAGTCTATTAGATGTAAAGAATAGTAGGTCATTGTGGATGCCTTCATTTTGAAGTGATAGAAAGGTTCTTTGTTAGGGACAGTGAGGTGTCAGTTTTCCACAAATAGATCCCTTTACAAACACAGTGCTGATATAGAAGAATAACATTGTTTTACTTCTAGTGTTGTGATAAAATAAGGTTATGTGATATTCTCTGATTCTGATCAATGTTTTTAGATACAAAGATGCAAATTTCTCTTTAGACAAAAGTTACACGTTTGACTTCAGTGGAAAGCTTTTTTCCCAGTGGGCACATTTAAAAAATAAAAAGCAATAATGACTTATTCTTTCTTGAAAAAAAAAATGTAAAGTAGAACATTCTTTGTTTCTGTGGTAAATGTGCGAATGTAATTATTATCTTTTATTTTCTGGTTTAGCATTTGTTTTCTTACCTTTAAGAAAACACAGACAATCTTCACAATAGAATATTGGGTTCTGTTTCCTTTGATGTAGTAATGCATATACAATATTGCACTAATGATTAACTGGTGTGCCCCTGAGGTTTCCCAGACAAAACTGCCTTTCAGCAGATTCCTTATCTGCTATCAGGGGAGTGTTTACAGCAGCTAGAACTCTTAAGCGCCTTGTCTCTGAGACTGATGGGGATAATTAAGCCAGTGTTTGCCAGCCCTCTGCTCTTCTTGGTGAGGTTGGAAACTAGGAAAAAACAGATACATTAGCCCAAAACAAAACCTGCAAATTCATGTTCAGCAATTTGAAATAGATTTTATTGGTTGATTTTCTTCTAAACCTTCCACTTTATTTCTGAT
Organism: Homo sapiens; assembly: GCF_000001405.40. Lineage (NCBI taxonomy): Eukaryota > Metazoa > Chordata > Mammalia > Primates > Hominidae > Homo > Homo sapiens. Next base: position 212,359,389 of record NC_000002.12, on the reverse strand, counting down.
AGAAACCTATCTGAACCTTCAGGCAGAATAGAAAACTGCCTTCTCAATACAGATCATCAAATTTTCTATCAAAGCGATATAGATTGATGGAGATATATATGGATATATATATGTATATATATACAAGTTTTTAAAATATGTAAATATTTCTGACTTTTATATATCACATTTAGAACAAGTTTAGATATATACAATAGTATTTAATAAGATATTGCACAGTATTCTGAGTCAAGACATTTTAAAGGGGGCTTGCTGTTGAAGATTTCATGATTTTTAAGAACAATATCTGTTGTGAAATTATGTGGCAAAATATGATGTTGCATTGGTTTATTTTCCCTCATCCTCTGCATTTCTAGAAGAAGAGTTCTCATAATCAGTTTTAAATGAATTGTGCAGAGATGTAGCTGAAATAGAATAATTTATACCAGTTACTCATGCAGTAAATTAGGATAATATACTTTTCTAAACTTAATATATATTCAGTGAATGTATTCATCTTTTTTCATATATTGTATATATCTTTTGACATACAAGGTTTCATAATGAAGGTTAGATTTTGAATCCAATATTTAAGGCTGGTGAGTTATTGCTAAGAAATTATTAAAGCATGAGAATTTCTATACCTCTTTTCTTTAATTCACTCTGAATGAATTGGTGAAAATGACAACATTTAGCCTTTGTGATGTTAGATAGTTAAGTATTCGTTATTCTATCATTTTTCATGTTACTTAAATCATTGATTCATAATTTAAACAGGGTAAATATATACACCAAAATTTCCAGGAATGGAAAACATATATAACCTCATTAATCAAGAAATTTTAATTGAAAACTCCAATTATAAATTAGCTAAGATGTCATTTAAGATGATTTAATCAAGGAATAAGAATTTACTCCCATATGAACATTTATAATCTTCAGCTATTTGAATGGCACACTTTTTGTACAAATTATTTGTCTACTGTACAAGTGTACCTTCCTTGTCTGTGTTTTATTAGGTAAACATAATACTGTTTTTTTTTTAAAAAAAGTGCTAAGAACTGAGTGTGTTATTTGGTACAAAATGCTGCTTGCTGTTTACCAAATGTAAAATTGTAGGAAAAGACATGATCTTAAAATATTTAAGCATATGAAGTTGTTAAAAATATTAATCTGATATTATCAGCACAGGTCACGTAAGTATTTTATGAATTCTCCTTCAGGAAAGATTTAAATAGTTCTTTTTAAAAAAATGTATTCATGTATGAGAAAATTGGTATCCGTTCTTTTAGAAATGAGGTTATAAATAATAGTTTGAATATTTTCCCTGTCAAGCAAATTTGTCTCAGAAACCTGAAGACATCTATGGGAAGTCATTTAGAAATGCTCTGAAAAGCAAAATTTGGCCTAGAAAATGTACTTTGACAAATAGGAGAGCAATGAATACACGATGTTCAAAAGTAATCTAAAGATGATTCTGGGTGAGGCCAGTGGAAATCAAATGAATCCGACACCATGAAATCCATTATTGTTTGACCATTATCTAAACCTCCCTGCTCAGAAAGGATACTTTGTCCCCCCACACCACACTGTGTTTACCTACTATATTCTTGCAGTGTAATGTAGTAACCAAGTGACCGTGGGGCTGAACAATTTCAAGTCTCCCACACAGTGGAGGGCAGCACACTATGTCTTTGATAGAAAGCTACGTTTCTGCACTCTACAGTGTTAAAACAGATCGAAGGAGGTTAGTCAAAGGAAAATGTTGGTTGTGTTGATGAGACCATTTTCAGTGTCTGGGCTTCTCTGTGGGCAAACGTACATTTTCATAAAATGAATATGGGAAAAAGAAAGGTGACATGTTTTTAAATATTGAGCTTGATAAAACAAGCTTATTTTTATTGTATATTTCTGCTGAATTACCTTTTGCCTATTTACCATAATTTACCTATAATAATTTAATATATTTAAATAACTTTGTACACCGCTTATACTTCGAATCTATTTTTAAAGTCGTATTCTCACAGCATTCATGCTTCACAGATGGACAGATGGATCCACTTGAGCACTTTTCTTTGATAAATTGGACTAATTTATCTTAATAATATGAGGACACCATCTAAAGGAACTTTATAATTTATCATAATAAGGAGGTAACCATACAATATTTAAAAGAAAATGAATCCTTTTTTTATTTTAAAGCTCATTGTTCTGAATGAAATACTACAGACCTGTATTGTAAACAAAAAGAAAATGGGGAAAAAAGCAAAAGCTGAGAGACATATGATATCCAGGAATAGCAAATTTGCTCACATAATTTTTGAAGGATAAGACACTTATGTATAAGACACTATTATGTATCTTATGATTTTATTTACATATGTTAAAATTCAAATGATCATGTTTAAAATAATTTTTTCTTAGGCCACAAAAATCCTTTAAAATGATAATGAGAGGAAAATATACTTATGTTTGATTGATATGATCTAGAGTTTAATAATGCATTTTAGTCAGTATGGTGTTTCTATGTATAAGTTTCTAAGGTAGCAAAACCAAGAAATTTATTTTTACTTTATTTCACATAAAAATAGCATCATAGGTGATGTTCAAGCAATTTGACTGAATATGAGCATTCATACTATTAGGATAAAAGTTGGAAAGATCGATTTATCAAGGAATGTTTTTTTTTTACATGGGTTCATCTGTCCATCTGTGACTCAGTAGTGATTATGATTTAAAAATAGAGGGCATGTATAGACAGTTGCAAAAGGAGGATGCTTAAATGTATTGACTTATTTTTAGATAAGCAGGTAAAATAACAAAAAAAACCTACTTTAGGAGACAAGTGTTATGTGATAAATTATGAAGATCATGCTTTGTGAAATGTATTTTTGATACTTACTTTTAAAAGTAATTTGCCATTGGGAGGAGGAGGAGTAGCTGAGAAAAACAAATTATGCCATTAGTAGAGCCATCAGATTTATTTTTTACAAGGCTTTATTCTCTATAAACTAAAGTGAACAAATACAGAATTTAGGGTGGGACATCTGAGACAGACCCATTGGCTCTGCCTGTGGCTGATGGAAGTGTGTACAACTTGATTAATGAGGTCTTGCTGCTCCTGTGAAAACATATTTGTAATTTCTGTAGTTGTGTGAGGATCAGTACAGCAACATGGTTGACTGCCCCCTCCAAAGTACTGGCTGAAGCAGTCTACAAAAAGCAGTTTGGAACAGCGAGTAATATTTAAAGGTGGGTTTGTTAATAGAATCAGCATTTTACAGAAAAGATCAATTGCTTTTATGTTCAGACTTGAATATATAATAATTGTAAGGATAAACAATAACTGTTTTATACCCTCTGGGAGTTTATTTGAAATGCATTACTATATATAAAGAGGAATTAATTTAATTTTGTTTAGTGCTTTTTTCCTTAGCGTCAGTGGGACTGAGCTGCACATTTCAAATTTACCCTTACAAATGACATGACTAACTTCCTTAGCAAAGGTTGGAAGTGAGGTGGGAACAGATAGGTGATGCCATAGGTTGGAATATATTAGATGATTTTATATATATACACATATATATACACACTCACACATACACACATATATACATACATGCATATACATATATACATAAATACACACATGCATATATATCTATCACAGTTAATATAACATATACCCTTTAAAGGATACGTTTTAGTTACAACCTATAATAAACTCCATACTGACAAGATGACTACCTGTTTATTTATGAGCATATTGCAATGATATGCAAGGTTTTAAAATGTCTTTTATGGAGAAGCTGGGAAAAATAGGCTCATAACTATTACAATAACGAGCAGCCTTGCTATGCCTTAAAGTTTTAGCACGGTGATTTCTTATCTCCCCTGGATTTTTCCATAGCTGTTAAGCCAAAGCTGGGCCAAGTGCCACTCAACATACAATGACTATTTAAAGACTTCAGTAGGTTTGTAGATCAAGACCCTTTTATTTCCAAAGGGAGCAAACTTCATAGTTTACTTCAAACCATGTTTCCCCTCACCATGCAGAAGCTCATTCTAAAGTTTATTATGGAGCTGATAGTTTGCTTATAGCCCAATACTGTAGTACAAAACCCTAGGGTCTAGATAATAATAAACTGTTATTATTCTTGATAATTTTACCAAAGATGTAGTAGTCTTAGTTATAAAATACAAGGTAAAATTATACACAAAGTGCTAAGTGCAATGGAGTTTATGTACTATGAAGTATAGATAGCATAAATAGTTGAAGTTGAAAATATAACTTGTATTATTTAAATACTGACTGGTCACATTTTATTGTAAAACTATTCAAGACAACTCTAATAGATATAATAGACAATAATCTTAAAATATGCAATTTAAATTAAATATCAAGGTCACATGTGCCCTCTTACATTGTTCCCTCAGGACAGGGACTTGGGCCTTATTTAACATTGTAGCACTCATAAGCCTAACACGAGTATCTGTATTTAATATATAGCTAATAGGGGCCTCCTGAAAATAAAACAAAGGAAAAGAAAAAAAGAACCAGCAGATATATAAGTATTTCCAAACCCAACTTAAGTTGGTAAAAGCCACTTGGAAACTTCAACAGATTTTTACCTACTTTCTCTTCAATTACCTTTTTTGCTTCTCTTTCTGTAAATGAAAGCTACCATGAAAGGGTCTGTTGGTCTCAGAAATACTTCATAATGGCAGTGTTGGTTTTCAAGAACAATAGCTCACCTCACTCTCTGTCTGTAAACAGATTTGGAAGTCAGGTCTAAAGATAAAAAGCATTGCTTCTTTTGAAATTGCTGGTGTAAGAATGAGATACCCAGGAAGATCCAAGTTATTTCCTAGTGTGTATGTGTAAATATGTCAACATGGACTTTATGTGTACACCTTTGTATTGCATGTAAATATATTGCTGAGATTATGTAGTACCAGTTGGTAGGCCACCTCATGAGATCTAGAAATTTACATTTGCTACCCTTCTCTCATGTGGCACCCCTCATGCTCAGGCTTTGGCCGCCTTTCCTTATGACCTATTAATAATTGCAAAGCACCTCAGGAGTCTCACAGCTCTTCAATCATTCAAAAATATCACATGACCTAGATTCAAACTTGCTGCCAGCTCCTGACTGTAGACATTTACCTGTATGAAGCTGCTTAGGGACAGTTGCTTTAAACCTCACTTATACAATAATTATGTATAATTTTGATTAATCAAGTGCATGTGAAAAAAGACTAATTACAAATATCTCAGTAGAATAAAAAATATGAAGAGCCTTCATTGGTAAGGATGAGCCAGGTAAGAGATCAATCCTGTAGCGATGGAAATATTCTGAAATGGAACAGAAGCTTAACACAGCACAGGTTTATTTTTCACTCATTGAAATGTTCAGTATAGGTCAGCTACTCTTCTCCATCCTGTGGCTACACCATCTAGCACATGTGGACTCCCAAGTCCCTGTATAAGAAGAAGAAAGGAATTAAGGAGGTGCACTGCTTCTTAACTGCACTGGTCCAGAAGTTACAACAGTTATTTCTGCTTGTAGTTGAGTGGCCAGATTTAGTTACATGGTTTCAAGTGTAACAGGGGACATTTATTTAGTCTGTCCCATGAGTCTTATGATCTGGTGCCCACTTAACTCTACAGCCTGATGTTTCATAATTTATTTCCCCATACACACACTTTTACACACTGTACTACTAAATGTATTTGAGTGTAGATTTCTTTCCTCTTTTTTCAACATTTATCAGCTTTGTGTTCTAGTGAGCACTTTCAGACACATCACATAGATTTTTAAAGTACAAATTTTTAGAAAGAAAATTTAGAGTACAAATTTTCAGAAGGTACAGAGGAAACTAATAGGAAAAAGCTAGTGTAGATTATATCTGTCTAGGAAATAATTTGTATTTTATATATGTATATATTATAAAATATTTGTTTATATTGTATACTTTTATTTATATAATATTTTATACAAATTTTATTTGTATGTATTATATACAGCACATATATGTATAATACGTACATTTGTACATATTATATACATATTTGCATATATTATATACATTTGTATATCTTTTATAATAATTTGTATAATGATACAAATTATTTTGTATTTTGTATTGTATAATGATACAAAATCTCTGATAATTTGTATAACACTTCATGATTTTTAGTGGGCCCCAAATCATTAAAGTTTAAGGACATGCATTTATTGCCAGAGAATTCAAAGCCTAACAAAAACAATTATCCCCTAGAACTGGTCCTGACGGCTGCATTTGACACAGAAAAACATGAAATTAGAATTGTGAGGTGGGGGTAGGGAAAGTTTCCAGTATTCCAGGCAACTCACCACAGTAAAAGGATTTTTAACAGTTATTTTACTAAGGAAGGATATTTTCATTTTCATTTTCGTTGGTTTAGAGTGATTTAATTTGCCCATGAAAAAAAATTGTGCTACTGTTAAAGTAAATTATAATTCAATTTATTTCTTTATTTTGTTTTATTTTATTTTTTTGAGACAGAGTTTTGCTCTTGTCACCCAGGCTGGAGTGCAGTGCCATGATCTCAGCTCACTGCAACCCCTGCCTCCCAGGTTCAAATGATTCTCCTGCCTCAGCCTCCCAAGTAGCTGGGATTACAGGTGCCCACAACCACACCCAGCTAATTTTTGTATTTTTAGTAGAGATGGGGTTTCACCATGTTGGTCAGGTTGGTGTCGAGCTCCTGACCTCCTGTGATCCTCCCGTCTCAGCCTCCCAAAGTGCTGGGATTACAGGCATGAGCCACCACACCTGGCCAGTTCATTAAATTCATTTTATTTCTATGGTTTTACACATATACATTTGCATACTTCATTTAATGAATCTAAGAATATATCAAACATTAAGATTTTTTAAACTTGAAATTTCAACTAGCTTGATAAACATTTTGTAATAAATTATTAGTTTTATTTCCCCAAAGAAGAACTTCTGGTCTGTTGGTCAAGATTTTTGTCTTGATTATTTCTTTTTCTTTTCTTTGTTTTTTTCAATCTAAAATAAAGTGTTTTTTTTTTTTTAACTTTTATTTTAGGTTCAGGGGTGCATGTGCAGGTTTGTTACATTGGTATACTCACATCCTGGGATGTTGATGTACAGATTATTTCATCACCCAGGTACAAAGGATAGTACCTGATAGGTACTTTTCTGATCCTCTCCCTCCTCCTACCCTCCATTTTCAAGGAGGCCCCAGTGTTTGTTGTCTTCCTCTTTTTGTCTATATGTTCTCATTGTTTAGTTCCCAATTATAAATGAGGACATGTGCTATTTGGTTTACTTTTCCAGCATTAGTTTGCTTAAGATAATGACCTCCAGCTCCATTCATCTTGCCACAAAGGATAAGATCTCCTTCTTTTTTATGGTTGCATAGTATTCCACAGTGTATATGTATCACATTTTCTTTATCCAGTCTACCACTGATAGACATTTAGGTTGATTTATTACCATTGTTTTATAAAGTCTTTCTGTGTTTGAAAAGATGACACTGTGCTAATTCATTTATGTGAGGGTCATTTGCAATGTATGACCTTAGCAACATGATTATCTCAGTATAATACATAGCAACGAAGATGTTTATACATGCTTTGATTATATGCTCCATTAGTGGAAAAAGTGTAGAAAGACAAAAAAATGACTACCTTCTTGCCAATAGCTATTGTGGTTATTAAACACTTGAAACGTGGTTAGCATGATGACAGAACTGATTTTTTTATTTTATTTAATTTTAATTAACCTGAATTTACCCAGCTACACATAGCCAATGGCAAAATATTGCACAGCACTGCTTAAAAACTTGTGGGGAATGATCAACTCAAATTTTATATTATAAATCAAATCAAATTAATGTCATCAGCTCTGAAAGACACACTGTTTGAAGCAACTCAGAAATTCATTCTGTTCTCTGTCATTCTCACTGTTTTAGTTTGCTAAAGCTGCCATAACAACAGCTGGGTAGCTTAACCATGGACTGGGTAGCTTAAACAACATAAATTTATTTTACCATAGTTCTGGAGGCTACAAGTCCAAGATCAAGGCATTGGCAGTTTTGATTTCTGCTCAGGCCCCTCTTGTGTCTTGTGGGTAGCTACCTTCTTTCTGTGTCTTCCTGTGGTCTTTCCTTGGTGCCTGCACATTCCTAGGGTCTCTGCCCTAATTTCTTCTCCTTATAAGGACACCTGTCAGGTTTGATTAGGACCCACCCTAATGGCCTCATTTTAACCTAATCACCTCTTTAAAGGCTCCAAGTACATACTCCAAGTAGAATCTCCAAGTACAATCACATTCTGAGGTACTGGGGATTAGGGCTTCAATACATGAATTTGGAGGGGGATATGATTCAGCCAGTAATACCCACTAGCTGATAATAATAGCCCTTCCCTGCTCCATGGAGATATGTGTGCAGGTCATTTTCCATTTGCACCTTGCTTGCTTTTTATTTCAAAGTGGGATCATATTTTTACTCATTAGAACACAGTGTCAATGCAGATTATCTAAAGTCAGCCTTATTGCAAGTCTTGACAATGTGCATTTTTTTTATTATTTTACAGTCTTTATTTTGAATTTGTCACCTTATTTATAGTTTACTTAATATGCTTCTTTATGATGTGTATTTCTTGAAAACTTGTGTCATTCTAAGAATAGTAGGCAATTTTATAAACTCATGACATAAATATTTGTGTTTTACTGATCATAGAACTCATGAAAGATTTGAACGACTTAATATCGCTTTACAATTTTCTAATATTAATAGGGAAAATGTCTGATATGAAGGGAATATAATCTTAATGTCTTTGTCTTATTACTTTTGAGCCATTCAATATCTCTTTTAGTTGGCACATGTTTTAAATATTTTTTACGCAGAACTTTCTAGAATAGTTGCTATATCTTTCCATGTTAGTATTAAAGACAGCAAAACATTTGCTTATGTTCTTGGAATTCATCTCATGCAATATTTATTCCATAGTAAACATACTAAGGGAAAGAGGGAAAACCTCGTATTTTTCCTCTTAAGGAAACTATTCTTGTGTAAATGGATAGCTTTACACTCTAAGGTCTTAGCCCAAATTCTTTAACTAAATAGTTATGTTGTCAGCTAGGAAAATTCATTTCTATATTATACCACATAAAGAATATATCACACATAATTAATCAAAACATGAGAGCATATTGGAAGTATTAATCTACTTTGATTATAGCACTTTTTGTTGGAATGCCTTACACTAACTAATAACTTGGAAGTTCTTTGCATTTAGAAACTGTACTTCTTCACATGGCAGAAAAAAAAGAGGTTAATTTTTAAGCATTGATTTTAAAATTCCTCTTTAAAAGTTTTTTCTGTGGAAGGAACTATATTTACCTTTGTTCATTTTTTCATCAAGTTGTTTTTTTCAAGGACAAATCTTCAGGAAGCCTGTGATGAGCATGGTGAGTTGCCTTTCCAAATCTATTTTCCCCTTCTTCCTTATTAACAGAACCTTGATTTTGCTGGGATTGCTTTCCCAGTCTTCTTGGGAACATTTCCTAGAGCAACTATAAGATATAGTTTTGGCCAAGATATAAGTGGAAGTTTATGGGATATTTTTAGGAAAGCAATTGCTTTACTACGGGATAACTGCAACTTCTACTCCCTTTTCTACTTTTCCTCTGGTTTTGAATGTGCAAGAATATCTGTATCTGCAGCAGCCTTCTTGCATCCAGGAAATAAAAAGCATAAGGGCAGACTTCACAGCACTAAGGAAATACTAAAAGAATCTGCTTTCTTGGGGACATCAGTTCCCATCTAGGTCAATATCAATAAGTGCTAACCCCTGCACTTACTATGACAGAAAACTTAACTCTTATTTTAATCTGTTAGTCAGGTTTTCTGTTACTTTTAGCCAAATGTATTCCTAATTGGTAACAATTGTATACATTTTAGAACAACTGTTGTTCAATAAACCTTTCCAGTGTGTGGAAATGTCCAATATGTACACTGTCCAATATGGTAGTCGCTAGTCACAGCAGGGCTGTCAAACACTTGAAGGGTGTGTGTGTGTGTGTGTGTGTGTGTGTGTGTGTGATTAAGAAGTTGAACTCTTAGTTTTATATTGTTTATTTAACTTAAATTTGAATTTAGATACCACATGTGACTAGTGATTAACAGCCCAGGTATAAAACCTGGTGAACAATTACAACTCTTCTATTCTAAAAAATGTAAATTAATGTCTCCATCTTCAGAAGACATTTTGTGACATATCACCTCATGATACCTATATTCGTGTCACCACTTTTGAGACACAAATCATTATATCCTTTTCGAAATAAAATATTGACAATCATATCATGTTTGTGAAAGCAGAGGTCCACCTATAGGACCACCACACACAGACTGGCTTTCTTCATAGATTCCGCTCTCTTTCTTTATGTGAATTTAGTGGAGTTTTGGTTAAAAACTTCACTAAATACTCCAGTTATAGTTCCTACTTCTTTGCCTAAGTCTTGGATTATCATTACAGAAGTTTCATTGCCTGTCATTAATTTTATTATGAGCAGGTTTTGAATCGTTTTTTAAAAGCAGGTTTTGCTTAGGACAGAACTGAATATTGTGTGATTGAAATGGCAGACTGTGCACACTGAAGGAAAACATAGACTGTCAGTAATGCCACCAGTTCCTGCAGTACACGGTGGCCCTAGGCATTGAAACTATTTCTGACCAAGTCTGTCCACTGAATTTAGATGTTTACTTTCTTCTATTTTTACATTTTTATTTTTAGAAATAATTTTTTCACATTCTATAACAGATGTTCCTTGCTTCTCAGAATGTGACGATGTGTTACGAATTTGAGTTTTAAAACAATAGTTTATTTTCTTTTTTGATACACGATTAACTGTTTCTCATTATTAGCTGTAAGTAATAACACTAATCCCTTTCTTTTCTTTTCAGTCTTCTTTAATGAATATGTGTTTAACTTCACTCTCATCTTCCTGTGCTGATTTTGAGGAAACTTTAACTCATGGCAAGTGATAATATTTGAGGTATTGTGGCCACACTTTCCAGCAGCTATATGTGATAATATCTGACTCTATAAGTAGGTGCCTTACCAAAATAGGTGATCCTCTTGGAGGATGTTTCTCAGAATAGGAAAGACATGAATTTGGTAATGAAGCACCCAGGTGTTTCACTTGAGGGTATGAGCTCAGTTTCAATGACAGACTATCACGATCTTCCTTTTCCTGTGACATTTTTGGAGGAAAGTTACTTGATTATAAAATAAAAATTTTATTTTCTTTTTGAGTTCTAAACTGTTTCTTGACACTAAGCATTATAGTTCATTGGTTTATACATAAAATGACAAAATACCCCTCCATCCATCCAACATATATAAAAATAGGAATTGAATGCTATTTCACCTAAAAATAGCTGTATGGACTGGAGGTGCCTTTAAGCTCTACTTTAAAATATCTATATTATAAAATGTTAGTGATTCTTGAACTTTCCCCCCTTAAAAGACCAGACCACTAAAACTTATTCATATTTTATATACTGAATTAATTAAATGTTGAAATTAATAAATGGACAGTTATTTCTCTCATATTCAGGTTGAGAATGCAAAATCCAAAATCTAAAATGCTCCCAAACCCAAAACTTATTGAGCACCAATATGACACTCAAAGGAAATGATCGTTTGATTTTTGGATTTGGGATCCTCAACTGGTAAAAATATACTGCATACTGCAAATATTCCAAAATTTTAGACAATCAAATATCTGCAACAGTTCTGGTCTCAAGCATTTTGAATAAGGGATGCTCAACCTGGATTAGTTCTTCAGATCTGAAAGGAAAGAGTTGTATAAGGAAGTGTAACAATTAAATAAAGTCACACTATTTCTATTCCATCCAACACTCCAATATCTGTCATTTCCTCAGAGTTCATTTTGGGTATATTAGTGATTCCCAATGCCCTTTTTTTTGAAATTACAAAGTTAGGAATATTTTGAAATCACTTATCAAAGTTGTAATTATTTACTAAAAGCAGCAGAGAATAACGGAAGTCTTAGAAAACATGGACACTTCTGAAATAACTATAATCAATTATATAGGTCATAATTTATACGTTGAAGATTTGGTAAATTAAAGGCAAAATATAACTGCATTTTTCTTCCTTTGGCATTTATCTGCATATCAAATCTCTACAAAAATGAAATGTGTTATTATTTCCATGAGGAGAGAGTCAAGTGTTTTGGAAAGATTGCCAAAGCATTTTTCCCAACACTGTATCTTACAATGTTAGCACTTAGGCCTATCTGATATGACTCTTTTAGATAAGGCAGTGCCACACAAGTTCATGTTCTGCCAACTCCAAAGACAAGCTAATTCATATATCAGAAACCACATGGTTTTATTTTCAATAAGTACAATAAAAAGAATGTTGTTGCAAAAGTGCCTAGAAAAATATTTATTTTAATGTAAATGCGGCTTAGTATTCATAAAAGTAATAGTCATTTTGAGGTCTATTAATTATTTATTTCCTTCCGTCCCTAATTATTTCCATTCTTTCCTAAGTACCTTGGCCCTCAGAATTACAAATGGTAGGCTCCTTCCTGTGCATTAAAGTTTCAACACATATTGTGTGATAGATCTAGAAAAGTTATGAAACATTGCAATAGTGCTGTAACAGAAATACATACTATGTCCCATAACCAGTAAACCTCCATCAAATATAACTTGACAATATTTTTTCGCATGATGGTTGTTGGTGTTTTGAATCATTGTTTCAGGAAAAGTTTATGCAAACTTTCATTTAAATATATTTTAAAACATTAAAACATTTAAAACATTTCATGTTTTAAATATATTTTAAAACATTTTAATGTTTTAGTGCTTGGTATGAAGGAAGATAGCAAAGTTTAGTGTGAATTGATTTTGAAAATTGAGTCACCTTAAACTAGATTAAACACATACACATAAACACAAAATCCGGACATTATGTATTTGGCTTTAAGAGAATATGTTTTTACTTCACGTTCTTTGCCAATTTGTGGCTTTTCTTGGGGGGGGCCATCATTGAGGAAATATAAAAATAGGTATCAAATACTTAGAAAACATAGATACAGCACATCTGTTAAATGTTTTGCTGGCCCAGGGTGACAACATAAATGTTGATATGCACCTGACAAAAATAGTGCTCTGGTATTCTTGGCTGTGAGCTTTTTATCTGCTGTGACAAAGAACTGGTTATCTCTACTTCTGAGAGTGTGTTTCTAAAATGGAAGTTAAACTGTCTAGACAATTAATATTAGCAAAAAGCTTACTGATTATCACCTTAAATAAGCTTTCTAGTACATGGACTTCTGATAGAATATGCATTTTAAAATGTAGTTGCAAACTTAAATTTCTTAATAGATAATATAAAATATACATTGTATTTATCTCTCTATCTTTTTCGGAGAATTCAAATATATTTTCTGACCTTCATTTTCCAGATATATTGGTCTCAGAACTGGACAATTACTTATCTTGAACCCAAATTCATAGATTGATTGGGGAAATTCTAGCTGAGAAAGTAATTATTTTAGGATTTACATTTTAAATTTACATATAATGATTTAAATTAGCCAGTTAAAATCAACTTTGATAAAGTTTTCATTTTACCTAATTTCTTAACTCCCCTTATGTGATTTTAGTATATCATTTCAAATTTAGCTGTTAATAGAGAATAACTATATACCTGTTATTTACCCAGAAATATATTTTTAAATTTCATGCCACTTTCAAAACTATAAAAACTTATTGTCCGAGAGAAGTGACATTTACGGCATGTTAGCTAAAGTCTAGGTAGTTTCTCCATTTTTTAAAGCTTTGCCCAAATTAAGCCACCGTATCAGAGAGCTATGTATCTGAGCTAGTACCTCTCCATCTGTTGTGACAGCCAAGTATGTCTCCAGACATTGCTAAATGTCTCCTGTGGGAGCACAGTTGCTCCACTTTGAAAACCATAGAATAAAGTATAAAACTCTGTTAGGAATAGCAATAATAACAAAATAGCTAAATTTGATGACTCACTACATGCTAGGCAATGTGTTTAGTGCTTTTTTTTTTTTGAGACGGAGTCTTGCTCTGTCCCCCAGGCTGGAGGGCAGTGGCACAATCTGGGCTCACTGCAAGCTCCACCTCCCGGGTTCACGCCATTCTCCTGCCTCAGCCTCCCGAGTAGCTGGGATTACAGGCGCCCGCCATCACGCCCAGCTAATTTTTTTGTATTTTTAGTAGAGACGGGGTTTCACCGTGTTAGCCTGGATGGTCTCGATCGATCTTCTGACCTCGTGATCCGCCCATCTCGGCCTCCCAAAGTGCTGGGATTACAGGCGTGACCCACCACGCCCGACCTGTGTTTAGTACTTTTATAAACATTATTTTATTTGACTTTTGCAACAACCCTATGAGAGATGTACTACCATTATCTTATTTTGAAGATAACAAAAGAGTCTTAGAGTTTAATTATCTGCCCACTGAAATTTGACAACTGGTAATTGCCAAAATTAGATTTGTTCTAGGTCTTTCTGATTTGAAAGCCAGGGCTCTTAGACTCTTAGACACTCTACTGTTCTGTCTGTACTTGATCATGAGACAATAAATTAAATGATGCAATACATTTTAACTGCATTGTTATATACCATGAAAGTAGGACTTTTAGAGTTGAAATAAGGTGTGGTTTCTATTACCTGATGCATTGATAGAAAAGAAAAAACATTTTTCTTTGTATTACGAAATTACCAAGACTTTTCTGGTTTAGGATTTCTTCCACTTGCTTATACTTCGCTATGTGTGTGTATATATATACACACATACATATATATGCACACACATATACACACACACACACACACACATATATACACACACATATATATGGTAGCTATCTTTGTGTTTAACAGCTCTTTTATCCTGTGGTTCTCAATCTGGAGCAATTATGTGCCTTAGGGGACATTTAGCAAGGTCTGGAGACATTTTTGGTTGTCGCAACTGGGTAGAGGAGGCATGCTACTGGGATCTACTGGTATGCCAGCCAGGAGTCTGCTAAACATTCCACAATGCACAGGATAGTCCCCACAACAAAGAATTATCCAGCCCCATGATGTCATTAGTTCAGAGGCCAATAAACTTGCTTTAACTCTCTATTTTTGAGCACTAAGCTTAGAGACATTAATTCCTTTGTATTTCGTTAATAACTACCTGTATATAATGCTTTGTTTGGTGGCCCCATCTATATAACCATATTTTTCCCCTAAATTTTTCCCATTAACAGCAAATTATGCAAAATAAATTTAAAATGATTTCTTATTCTTTATTCTCTGGAAGACAGAATATGCAGGGTTTGCTTTTAAGATAAAGCAATTATATACAAATGGAAAAAAAATTGCATTGGAATCATCTTAGTCCTTATATATTATTTATTGTAAGAAATGAGTTCCTATGTGATATGAAAAACAGTATGAGGCTTTGGTAAAAGTAAATATAACTAGAAAAATAAAATATGAGATAAACATGAAAAATTAACACATAAAATTAAATTTAACCTAGTCAACCAGTGAAATGTTTGCAGCTGTTTATTGAATCAGGTTAGGTACTATTTCAGTATTTATGGGAAAAGACATTAATCTGTTAAAACTTTGCAAATAACTATGAATAATACTAATGTTATGATTTGTTTTTGTGAGGAATTCTGCTGAAGTGATGTGTTTAGAATAAGATGACTGGGATTTCTTTCTCTAGGTGTTTTACTTATTCAAGTCAGAATCTGTGCTTTCTTGGCCCTCTTTCCTGTTCAGTAAATCCCGTTATAAATTTATGTTCTATTCAATGCATTTAGAGTTGTATGTTGTAGAATGTAGTGATTTATAGCATCCTTTTGACTCTAACAGGGAAATCATGTGTTATTCCTATCATTTTAGCATCAAAATGACTGAACAAAATTAGCAATTTAATTTCACCTGAATACTCTGGACTGTGACACAATGACAAGCATAGATTAAAGCAATAGACACTTTGTTTCTCTCTCTCAGCATTGACTTCATTTTCACATGATATGGAGGTGTGTGTGGTTGAAATTATTTGAGACTTAGATCCACATAGAATAAAAAGTTTCAAGAGTATTATTAGTGGTTTAATGTTAGCTTGGGCCTAAGCAGCGGGTCAAGGAAATGTTGAATGATGTTCCAAAGGCATATACAGTTGTTAAATATGTTCATTGATGACCAGGCTGATGAAATAAAAAATAGACTCTATCAAATTATTCAGACCATAATTCTAGGTGAGCACTGTGAGGTTTAGTGAGGTTTATTGTTGATCATTTGAATTGAGAGTTACTTGACAAGGAGAAAAATATAGAAATTCTTGAGTTAAACATTAATGGAAAAATTCAACTGGTTTAGATTAAAAGAGAACACATAAATGGAAGATGTAAAAGTTTGGGCCTATTTACTCATAGATCAGAAGTTAGATATGAATAAGAAGAATACTACTTTTAAAATGTGTTTACAAAGTTCTAATATTGTATAATGCAAAGTAATTGTTTAGAAACTACAATATAGTTGATTCATGATTTATTAAAGAGATGAGAAGTCTAGTAAAGTTGTAAAAAATGGAGTATAATGCTTGTTATGATAATATTTGGGATAATCAGGTATGAGTAATTACTGTTGGTGCATTACTTTCCCCTTTATAATTGAAAACCCAGATATATGGCTTTGTTTTCATGAATGTGAGGCTAAAAATTCACACTTCCAGCATCATTGTTGTATTAGTCCATTTTCATACTGCTATGAAGGAATACCCAAGACTGGGAAATTTATAAAGAAAAAGAGGTTTAATGGACTCACAGTTCCACATGGCTAGAGAGGCCTCACAATTATGACGGAAGGCACATCTTACATGGTGGCAGGCAAGAGAGTGTATGCAGGGGAACTGCCCTTTATGGAACCATCAGATCTCATGAGACTTATTCACTTTCATGAGAACAGCACGGGAAAAACCCACCCCCATGATTCAGTTATCTCCCACCAGGTCCCTCCCATGACACGTGGGGATTATGGGAGCTACAATTCAAGATGAGATTTGAGTTGGGACACAGCCAAATCATATCATTTATGTTGCTTGTATTAAATTTGTGAGGTTCTTAATTCTTTAATATAAGCAACACCTCAGCCTCCCAAATAGCTGGGACCACAAATGCATGTCAACATGCCTGGATGTTTTGTTGTTTTTACTTTTTGTAGAGATGAGATCTCCCTATGTTGCCCAGGTTGGTCTCCAACTTCTGGGCTCAAGTGATCCTCCTGCCTTGACCTCCCAACGTGTTGGGATTACAGGTCTGAACCACCATGTCCAGCCCTCAAGCCACTTTAGTTTTCTATTATATATTTGGTCAACATATTATTTCTAAAAAATAAAATCTTGATTATTTAATAACAGTGCTATTGTTGCTCTTCTAAGAGGATTCACAGCATCTTCTAGATTATCTATACCTACTGGTTCCCTTGCAATTAGCTCTATGTTGGTCCTTTGAAGCCCAAGGTAAACTCAGAGATCAAGCTGATAAGAATGAAGATAGATTCTTACCAGTTTGATTTCTCTGTTTATTCATGTTCTACAATATAATTTGAAATAACTAAATAAAGAAATTGCAAAATGCCTTATATTAATATTTTTATGGGACATATATTAGGCTTTTAATATGTCATTTAGTCAAAGACAGTCTATACTCTTATAATATGATGGATGGAGCTCTCGTCTATCCCTCATATTATTGAACAATCAACAACTATTATAATCAGTGAATAAGTTCACATTGAATACTTACCCATGGACTGAAATTTGTTCCTGGAACATAACCAATCTAATATTGTTAAATAGTAAGAAAAATAAAAGGAAGCTAAAAAGTTCAGAATTTGAACAACACTGTAGGGGCTATACCTATGCAAATAATATAACTTACAAAAAAAAATTTAAGACATTTCTGGATATTTTCAAAATTGTTAGTTACTAGATTTCTATGAAAATCATGTTTAAAGTCAACTTCACTTCTAAGATAATACTTAGTACCATCTTTTGGGACAAAAAAGAAATATATAATAATACTTATATTTTTATATAATAGCAAATATTTTGGCATATACATTTCAAATTCTTTTAGCAAATATTAGCCTTTATTTTATTTATAATTCCCACAAAGAATTCTGTTTCGTATTTATTTTCAGCTCTTTGTCCTTTGTGGAGAAAAAAATATAAAAGGATTTCCAATAAGATTAAATATTTTATTAAATAACACACATGGAGCCATAGTTGTGAGGCAGTGATTATTTATTTCTCAAATAAAGCAAAGAGCCCTACATATACCTTTTAAGATCTTGATAAATCCTGTGAGTTAAATCAATTGTGATTATCTAAAAATCTTAACTGAGATAGATGATAAAAATAAATGGTCACCTAGGAAAATACTAGTAGCATCGAATAGACAAATATGTATTTATATTTAAATCATTGGATTTTAGCTATAGAACAGGGGTCCTCAACCCCCAGGCCATGGACCAGTCTATGGTCTGTTAGGAACCAGGCTGCACCGCAGGTAGGTGAGCAGTGGGTGAGCAAAGCTTCATCTGTATTTACAGCCAGCTGCTTCCCATAGCTCGCATTACCTGGGACCAGCCTGGACAACATAGTGAGACTGCCTACCTGTCAGATCAGCAGTAGTATTAGATTCTCATAGGAGTGCAAACCCTTTTGTGAACTGCGCATGCAAGGAATCTGGGTGGCATGCTCCTTACGAGAATCTAATGCCTGATGATCTGTCATTGTCTATCATCACCCCCAGATGGGACCATGCAGTTGCAGGAAAACAAGTTCAGGGCTCCCACTGATTCTACATTATGGTGAGTTGTATAATGATTTCATTCTATTGTATGATATAATAGTAATAATAGAAATAAAGTACACAGTGTCTGTAATGCGCTTAACTCATCCTGAAACCATCTTCCCTATTCTGTCTGTGGAAAAATTGTCTTCCACGAAACCAGTTCCTGATGCCCGAAAGGTTGGGGACCATTGCTATAGAAGAAAGAAGGGCCTGAAAATAATTTGAGATCATGGAGTATTTGGAATATGAATTTGGACTGGGTGTGGTGGCTCTCAACTATAATACCAGCACTTTGGGAGGCTGAGGTGGGAGGATCACTTGAGCCTGTGAGGTTGAAGATTCAGTGAGTCTTGGTCACTCCACTGCACTTCAGCCCAGAGTGAGACCTTGTCTTAAAAAAAAAAAAAGAATATTAATTTGAACTAGGAATATGAAAGTGTTAATGCATTTTGAAGAGAGTAAAAGCTCTGCTCTGTCATTTCTAGTAGGACAGCATCATCATTGTTTGTGTATTTAAACAATTTTTAAAAATGTATATCGTAACTGTGGGAATTATAGGTATTTTGACACTAATAATTTTCTCTTTTTCCCTAGGAATTATAGTATACAGATTTTCTGGACTACAATAATATTATAGTGTATCCTATCTCAAAATTTTAAAAAAGCATATTTTTAATGTGATTTCTTTTTCTAAACATGAAAATCAGAAATTACTATAAAACCCCAAGTTTTTAGAAATTTGCTCTCCCCTGTTATTTCCCCAAATGAAAAAAAAAATTAATCTTTCTCACAGTTTAGCTGCATTTTAATAAGTTGAGCTCACTCAGTGAAAGAAACAGAGGGAAAATTCTCTGACCTTGGTCAGGTACACAATTATTTTGCAAATGAAGTGGTGGGATGCGTGACTTTTTTAATGAGACAAAATTTGCATCAAGTTGTAATCTGATTGCTGGTGTACACCACTTGAACCTGACCCTAGGGTTAAACCAGTTCTAGTTAATTTATAAAAACAACACATACCTGTAAGGTTAGCCAAGAGTATATGATTTACTAATACTATACTACATTTTAAAACATTCTTAGTTTATTGTACTCTTTTAAATAATGAGCAAGATTATGTCCTTTGCAGGGACATGGATGGAGCTGGAAGCCATTATCCTCAGCAAACTAATGCAGGAACAGAAAGCCAAACACTGCATGTTCTCACTTATAAGTGGGAGCTGAACAATGAGAACACATGGACACAGGAAGGGGAACAACACACACTGGGCCTGATGAGGTGTGGGGTTGGGGAGGGAGAGAATTAGGAAAGATAGCTAATGCATGCTGGACTTAATATGTAAGTGATGGTTTGACAGGTGCAGCAAACCACCATGGCACACGTTTACCTATGTAACAAACCTGCACATCCTGCACATGTACCCCGGAACTTAAAAATTAAGAAAATAATGATAATAATGCACTAGGAACATTTTTTGAAAGTGATATTTTCATCTTAATTATCTTTAAAAAACCCAGTTGAATATAGTAGGTAGGAGAATGAGGTGGTTTTGAGAATGGATGAGTCTATTTTCCTTCATGCTTTGTATAATTAATTTCGTGTTACCGTGTATGCGTTGTCCTGAATTTCTCCATATGAATGTTTGAAGCATCCATTTAAATGTACTTTAATTCTATTAAAATTGGGAAGAGTTATTTCTCTGAATTTTCTTTTATGAATAATTAGATAATTCAATACTTGGAGGAGAGGGACATGACTCAATGTTGATGCAATGCCTAAATAAATGTCCAGTTGCTTGATTTCACTTGTCAATGAGTTGTGTAGGTATATCTAGAAAAATATTGTATATTTTAGTGCGTATCTCTTTTCTCTGAATTGCATCAGTTATTTCACATGTGATGACATTAAGAGAAAGATGACAAAATAGGTAAAACATTTATCTGGTGAAGTGTTTTTATACTTTGAACTATTATTTTTCATCACAATGAGACATTAAATATATGGATCTTTCAAATATGGATAATTAAAACAGCCACCTCAATTTAATGTTGCCTTGTATATGCATATGGTCTTTCATATCCCAATTATCTGTAGCTTGAGGAACCACTTTGGGATGCTTTGGGAAAAAACTTACTGCCACAGTAGTGCTGGGTCTTAGAAGACAGACTCATTTTCACCGCCAGACACTAAGAGTATCATGTCTGCTAGAAAATAGAATGAAGGAAGAGTGTGGAATGAAGGTAGTAAAGCACAGCAGTGACAGCTAGAGATCTGCCTTGAAACTCCTGTAGGAGTTTTCTATCTCAGAATAGTACTGGGATGGAGAATTCAGAAGTGGATAACCATCTGCCACCAGTCTGAAGTATGGTTAACATTTTTTCCTGGATTGGGATTCAAGATCAGTATGACATAAAGTCTGCCCTGGACAGTTTCAGCTGATGTCAATTATCCTGGCACAGTTACTAATGGCATTCAATATTACTCTCAAAAGTGTCTGCTTTGAAAGATAAGCTGTAGTCCCCGGAGAAGATTTATGAGTTAAGTTCCTTCATCCAAGGAGCAATGGCAAAAACCAGGCAGATTATCAAGACAAGACCCAAACAAAGGGAGCAATTGTAGATTAGGAGCATATTTGAAAACAAAACCTTTGAAACAGTGCAAAAACTCAGTTACAAAGATGGAATAATATCAGGCTTTAAGTAGCAAGAGTGGATTGATGTTGAAACTTCTTGCTTAAGGTCTGGACTGATCTTAAGACAGTGTTTCCCCAACTCAGATTGCATTAGATATGCGAGAGGTATTTGCCAAAATGCACATTCTCAGACTTTACTCCAGACATACAGAATGTGACTCCTCTGGGGTGAGCATGGAATGAGCAATTTTAATAAGCCCCCTGGTGATTCTTATTCACATTAAAGTGTAATCGACATTGTAATAGAGATGGGAGAGGGTCTGAGCTAGCAGTTTGAAAGAAACAGGTGCCATCTACAATTTTGTGAAAGCGGATTTGTTGCATAGAAAGTACAAATAAATACACAAATTTAAAGGACTTGAAAGCTATCCTCATTAGTCCCGAGTGATTTTAATCATCTTTGCATTGAAATATATAAATTTGTTCATTATGTCCTGAGTACAAGAGAAAGGTTATTATAGATCAAGAACACAGCTAATTCGTTTGCTAAATCCTATTGTATGAAAGTTTCCCTTACCAAATGATACAAAAGGAAGAATGCCTTAGGGAAAAACAGCATTCCAAAAGAATAACTCCAAACTATTTGCAGTTCCTGTGAAATCACTGGACCAGATCTGACTCTTAAAATAGAAATCTAAGCAAATCTATTGGAAAAAAAAGATAATAAATGTATTCACAATTGTTAAGTTATGGTATGCTGGATATTAGGCAATAAACTTCTTAAGAAACTGATGGAATTAGCTTCTAAGTCAACAGTAATATTTTATGCACTTCTATCTTGCTACTCAAAATGAGATCCATAGACCAACAGTACTGACCTATAAGAAGTGCAGTATTGCAGGACCTACCTCAGAACTACTTAATCAAAATCTATATTTTATTAGAACCTTCAAGTCACTCACAGGTGCATTAGAGCTTGGAGACATTGCTTTACAAGTAGAAGTGTCTGACCTGAGGAAAACTTGGTTTCCGTTTGGGAAGCCTAATCTCAGTGCAAAGTGAAGAGTTAGAGTGAGTCCACTAAAATGTTGTTATTCAAATTTCAGCCCTGCTATGATTCTGAAGTACTTACAAGCACATCTTTTAGAAAAGCAAAGAACATTTCACTGGCAGTTCAGGGAGTTCAGTGCAGTGTGGTGTCCTCAGAGTAGACTAAAATTTTGTCTGTGATTTCGGGCTATCAAAATAAACAAGAAATGTACTTCTATGTCATAAATGACTTTTTAGTGTAGTAAACAATATTGTATCATTGGCATCAAATACCTACAAACCAGTATTGGTTGACAGTGCATTTTGTGCTTATGAGCTTTCAATA
Organism: Homo sapiens; assembly: GCF_000001405.40. Lineage (NCBI taxonomy): Eukaryota > Metazoa > Chordata > Mammalia > Primates > Hominidae > Homo > Homo sapiens. The sequence goes on along the minus strand of NC_000002.12, from coordinate 212,336,446 downwards.
TATAATTGGCAGAGTTTTGTTTCTGGAAGAAAAATATAGAACTCATGTAAATGCTAAAAGTAAAGGCAAAGTAAAGAAAAATCAAGGAGACAAATTTCCTTAAATCTGAAGGGAGATGGTGTATTTATAAGACTGTTTTCAGTCTATAATAATGACTTCTTAATGAAAAGATGGCAGAAAGATTATTTAAATGCTAAAAGTTAGAAACCAAGTCAAGTCCTCAATTAAAGGAAGCTGATTGAAAAGCTGTCACAGATAAGCCAAAAACACAATGAAAACAAATTGAAGTATGGTAAAACACGAATTTAATGCTAATTTAATTTTTTTTCCTGTGGAACATTAATACGACCCTCCGCCATGTATCCCCCAGTTCCCCCAGTGCTTGCTTAAAAACTGGAGCAGTGTGAGAAATGCTACATACTTTATTCCCCTTTCATTGAATAAATGTTTATTTAGTAACTTAGAACTAATTGTATATTAGGCATTGTACAATAAAGACTGTGAGTAGACTTGAATTAGGGATACCTTTTTAATTTTGCTCAATTTGGAGTTTTCAAAAAAATTAACAGTGGAACTTCTTTTTCATGAAATGCCTATTAAAACTAGTTCCTGAACACATTAGGAAAGGAGAACTAGGTAACAAAAGGGAGCACCATACGCTTGCTCTCTCACTATAGCCTTTGTTCTTCCTTCCACTCGTGAATTTCATAGTATCTCGTTCTTTACGTTTTAAATTATTGGCTCACAGTGCCATGACTAATCCGAACCCAAAGAAAAATCTGATTGCTGTGGTTACTTTGTCTCCTACGAAATGTTAAGTAAAATTTTTCTTGTTTATTCCATATTAATTCATAAAATGGCATTCCTTATAACAGTTATTAATTGAATCAAACGAAAATGCATCTTCTTATGGGTAACTTAACAAGGTTTTTCATACATAATTTTTATTTCACTCTTCCTGAATGACTTGACATAGATGCAATTTTCTAAATTTTTGAATTAAAAAAATTACCCTAATTTTCTTTTTTAAATTACAAATCATTAGTTTCTGTATTCCATATCATATTGTAACCCACTACTACTTTCATGAGTAAAATCAGAAATCTGTTCCAAAATGTATTATTTGTTAAAACATATCAATTTTGTATTGTTAAGATGAATCTTATGTATTATATAATATGGATTTTCAATTACTCTGTGCCTTATTTTGAGACCCTCCAAATATGTAGCTCCTCTTTATACAATTTTAGAACCTTTATCGTTTAAATATAACCTCTGACTCTACCAGTACTAATTGAAACATTAAAAAGGTTACAGAGGCATATATATCACTATAGAGAATATTTGGATTTTATGTTTTACAGAATAGCTCTCATTCAGGATTCAAAAATGTAATGGTAAAAACTGGTAAGGAGTAAGTTAAATTAAAAGACAGCATTTTCTTTAAAATATATTTTTTTCAAGAATTTATCCAAATATAAACCCTGATATAGTGATCTACTTAGGAACTGTTTACCTGCTTACTTATGAAATATGAGCACTGAAATGAATGATGGTCCCCAGACGTATTTATAATGTCCCTTTGGAATTTATGTTTTCTCAACCAGTAGAAAATGTTGTCATGAAATGAAATGAGCATTTAAATTACTGTATCTGGATCATATCTAAATTATCTAAATTCATTGGCATCAGATTTTTAATAAATATGAATCTTGAGAGGTAGCTTTTTATGTTCATTCATTCATGTAACATTATTGAATGTCTGCCATATGCAGTACACTGAATGAGACTGATATAATACTTATAAAAATAAGGCCTGGCTTGATCCAGTCAAGGAAACAAATAATTATAATGCAATATGATGAGTGCTAAAATAAATTCTATATTAGCTGCAATTAGCTGCTACCAAATAACAAACAAATACATTTTAACTAACAATTCCTTGATACTATAGGAACAGAAATTATAGGATTAATTTATCCATGCATATATACATGCATTCACTCATTCACTTATTCAACAATTAATTATTCAGTACCTTCTTTGTACAGAGCAAGACACTGTTCTTGCTCTGGGAATATATCAATGAACAAAATTTCAAATATGTCTTGTGCTATAGAGATTACAGTTTAGTGGTATAAAGAAAATATTCCCTGTAAGTAAATTGAGTATTGTAGGATAAGTAGGAATTCAGTAGTTAAAGGAAAATAGTGGAGGAAGAGAGAGATGAAGAGAGCAAAAGAGAGAGGAATTAAGAGTGATAAATAATTAATAGAATTTGACTCTAGCTAACATTATCATCAATTCACTTAGAGAACCTCAAAAAGCTGAATCATCCATATGTCTTTTTCCTATATATGCTATATCTGCATGTACCAATATTTGAAGATTTTTTAGAATTATAAATTGAAAGATGGTATAATTTTAAGTGAGTGGAATATTAAGAAATTTTAATTTTTGCATTGAGCCTCCAGTCCAGTGTGCTTGTAATGTTAAGGTACATAGCAGTGACACTATCTGAGTCCATGTGGAGCAGAAACTAATAGGTTTCTGTATTAGGTGACTTGGCTGAATTAGTCAAGAAGGTTTTTTTCTTAGGAATTATTATTGTGAACCCAAGATCAGTAGTTCCAAAATTCTGGTTCACAAACAAGCTCATCATAATGACCAGAAGGCTTTTTCCTCCATCCCTGCAAACTAGGGTTCTGATTTAGTAGATATACAGGTGGACCAAGGAAGGATTTTTTTTTTTTGGTACAGAATCTCACTCCATCACCCAGGCTGGAGTGCAATGACAAGATCATGGCTCGCTGGAGCCTCAATATCCTGGGCTCAAGCAATCCTCCCACCTCAGATTCTCCAGTAGCTGGGACTACTTAGGTGCATGACACCATGTCTGGTTAATTTTTTTTTTTTTTTCGTATTTTTTCTGTAGAGACTGGGTTTCACCATATTGCTCAGGCTGGTCTCAAACTCCTGGGCTCGAGCAGTTCTCCTGCCTTGGCCTCCCAAAGTGTTGAAATTATATACATTAGCCACCATGTCCAGCCTGAAATATATATATATATTTAAAGCTACCCAGATTATGCTTTTGTGTGGACAGGTTTTAGATCTACTTCTGGAGGATTAGTTATGGCCACCCGGATTCAGGAATTTCAGATCAAATAAGAAATGAAGAGGATGATCAACTGGGACTCCAAACATTGGCAACTAGAGTGAGGGTTCTTAACCAGGAAGTTTTTCCCAGGGCTCAATCTGGTAGAGGTAGGCACTTCAAAATTATTTTTTGAATGAGTGACTAAATTCTGATATTTTATACCCATCTACTGAATTTAAGCATATGTGTGCAAGTATACATGTGTGTGCTTTTCATTTTAACCACCTCACACAAATCCTCTCTAGGGATTGTTAGAATTTCTCTATCCAAAGAAGCTAGAGTGATGATCTTAGTTCCATTTCTGATCATTACTATTAAATTCTATACCCATTTCTTTTATACCCATGTTCTCCTCTTTGCAGAATTCCTAAGAAGGGGAAAAAATCACTACTCACCTTTTCAATGATTTACATCACAGCTTCTAGTGATTTTTGGCAGAAAAATAACCCTCAGATTTTCTTTTGGACGGTACCATAAAGAAATCCAAATAGCCATTCTTTTTATTAACCCAATTCTTGTAAACTTTAAATTATTACTCTAAGTTTCGAGATTAAAAAGACCACCAATCTTTGGAACTGAAGAGGCTGATTGAGTTACAACCCAGGAAAGAAATGAACTCTTTTCATCCCTATCTGTGTGGATCATAAGAATAATGCCAGAACGCTTGGAAAGAGTCTCAGAATAATAAAATAATAATGACAGCATTACTTATATTAATTAATTATAGATTTTAAAAGTAGGACAAATAAAATAAATTTAGAATAATCTATATTTGATTTGCAAGAGTGAAGGCAGAGTAGTGGCATGATTACTGCCCTCAGGCTTATAGAGGCATTTTTCAGAAGAATTTAAGTAGCTACTACTGTATTGGTCTGTTTTCATGCTGCTGCTAAAGACATACCCAAGACTGGACAAGTTACAAAAGAAAGAAGTTTAATGGACTTACAGTTCCACATGGCTAGGGAGGCCTCACAACCATGGCAGAAGGCAAAAGGCACTTCTTCCATGGCGGCGTCAGGAGAGAGAATGAGAGCCAAGCAAAATGGGTTTCCCCCTTATAAAACCATCAGATCTTGTGAGGCTTACTCACTACCATGAGAACAGTATGCGAAAGACTTGCCCCCATATTTCAATTACCTCCCACTGGGTCCTTCCCAGTACCTCATGTTAAATTCTCACAACACATGGGAATTCAAGATGAGATTTGGGTAGGGACACAGCCAAACCGTATCACTACTGAGGAGACAAACTATACTTATCTTATTAGTTAATTTTTCTCGAAAAAGCCATAGGTATCCTAATTTATATATGGGTGACCTGAGACAGCAATAGGAGGTATGATTGGGGGAGTCTTCTGGAAAGTTCTCCAGCAGAATATAGAATTAATTCTGCTTAAATATTGAATTACAGCCTGTACTTTGGTTTAAGATTCTGTTATTAGTCAAATAAATTCCTATTTAATACAGCAGGTAAATTACTGTATAAAAATGACCAAAAAAACTATGTAACATGAATCTTTGCCCTCAAAGAGTTTATAGTTAACAAAAGAAGATTTGTATTTAAAATCTGTACTTCTCTGAGAGAGTAAGGTTCTTATCAGTCACACACACTAATTTGATTGAGTTTGGTAATATTTGATTTGATAATAATTTGAGTTTGGTAATAATTTGATTGAGTTTGGTAATATTATCTCTAGCTACAGTATACAATAGATGCTTTAGATTGGGATCTGTTATTTCCTTTAAAAATGCTTTTTTCTATCTCCCTGGGTTCTAGTTTTATGATATAAAAACTGAAGGAGAGGGAATAGATTTCTCTACGTTGCTTTCTTATTTAAAAATTTTTATTACTGTTTGTTAATATTTTGAGTGTGTACAGTTTTGGTTTGCGAGATTCCCCCAACACAGAACATTGCGAGATTCCCCTCAATGTCAGCATTGAGACATTCTCGGTTTTATATACTAATTATTTGTATGATTATGCTTAAGTCAACAAAAGTATTATTCATACTAGTTATATTATAATGACTTATTTCTATTAGTTATAGAAATAGGTTATTTCAAGATTTAACTGTTCTGTTTGGTTCAAGAGATGCGGCATATACATCATTATGTGGTCTGTCAATAAGTGTTACACGTAAAGTTATATATGCCCATGCAAAATAAAATGCATAAACTCATATACTGATTAAGTGTTATGGGCATATATATATATGTGTATATATATATATACAAATTACAAATATGGGAAACTTACTGATACAATATTTTAATATTGCAGGAAAAAGCACATACTTTGGCTTCAGATCCTTCTGGTTGCAAATATTGCATATACCACTTGCTGCTTGTTGACCCCAGGCAAATTAATAAACCTCACTGAGCCATATATATATGATTCTACCCATTAGGGTAATCGCACTTGTGGTAAAATCTACCCAGTAGGAAATCCTAGTTCCTAGGAATATTTGCACTTTAAGAGGTCATTAGGAACCATGTCTAAAACATAAGGTTTGAAAATAAGATTACACAGTAGTTATCTCTAAAAATGCATTTAGTGTAGGAATACAGAGGCAGAGCAGCTGGTGAATGGGGAGGGTTGATAGGTGGGTCTCCATATGCCCCCACCTACTGATCAACCAGAACAACTCTAATCTTGTATTTTGTTTTGATTTGTTTTTGAGACAGAGTCTTACTCTGTCACCCAGGCTGGAGTGCAGTGGTGTGATCTCATCTCACTGCTCTACCTCTTGGGCTCAAGCAATCCTCCCACCACAGGCTCCTGAGTAACTGGTACTACAAGCACCCGCCACCATGCCTGCTTTGTTTTATTTTTTTATAGAGACAGTGTCTCACTTTGTTGCCCAGGCTGGTTTCCAGCTTCCAGGCTCAAGCAATTGGCAAGCCTCGGGCTTCTAAAGTGCTGTTGATTACAGGCGTGAGCCACCACGGCTAGCCCCCTAATCTTGCAGGTTGTTTTAATGTATTTTGTTTGGAAAGTGTTTTCTACTGCTTAACTCATAACACTTTCACCATTACCAACAGAAAACAAAACAAACAAACAAACAAAAAACACAGATACAGCACAACCCCTCATTTTTCAGAGGAGTATAGTATCCAGCAAGCCCTAAGTGGCCCATGAATGGTCACACAATGGTTGTTAGTGGCCAAATCAAAGCTTAAACTCCCTCTTTTCTCCCTTGTTGAAATGTTTGTCTTTCAGTTTGTTTTCTCCACCATGACTGTTAACTTCCTTCATCTAACTCGCTTTTTGGAAAAGGTTACTGGGGTGGAACTTCAGAGATTGATCTACAGCCAGATGGTTTTTGATTTCAGTGGACTCTTTTAGAACATCCTCAGTAACACTGGAAAAGTTGGTGAATTTTAAAGTAACTTAAAGTTAGTTGTCATCTGAGCATACTGACTGATAGATTTTTCTCTTTCTAAAGGGATTGGAGGCACTTCAGGAACCTTTTTCTGATTGGGTTAGATTCAAGATTTTATAAATTATCTTGATAAATATTTAGACAACATGCTTTTCTCAGAAGTAAGTGACACTAGGCCAGCAGAAGCAGTAACAGGTTAAATCACTGTTTTACAAACCTGGCTGCCCACTTTTATCATGTAAGGAGGTTTTTAAACTTTAAGACATATCCTACACCTGATGAATCTAATCTCTAGGGCTGGAGCCTGACGTTGCTATTTCTTACAAGCCCAGTTTGATTCTCATATAGCCAGGGTGGAGAACTCCTGGGTTACATGAGTAAAAATTCAAGGTATTTTCAACAGGTGGGAACAGAACAGAAATCTTTCTTTAAAAACTAAATCAAACCTCAGTAGGCTATGACCATGTAATCAATGAACTTTCATACTTTATCATACTGTTTTTCCATTACAGTGTTCTCTGGCACTATAAATTGCTAATGACTGTGTGTAAAAGCTAAAAAAGCAATTCTATAGTCTCAAGTTGCTGTGAGAAAATCCTATAAATGACATTCTTTAAGTAAGTGTGAATTATCCTGTCCTTCAGGCAAGAGGCCTAGTTTTTTTTTTCTTCCTCTCTTCTTTTTAATACTTTGTTATTCATTGCAGATGGCAAAATAAGATCTAAACTCACATGACACTGAGTTACTCCTTCATTATTAAGTTGTCTGGTACCTTTAAAGTGAAAAAATGAAATAACAAGCTCTCAGTAAACTGAAGTGGTTTTAAATTAAACAAGTTCTTAGTACAATGTGTTTCTCTCACATGCTCCAAAATGTTCACTAAAATGGGATAAACATAAGGCATTTACAATTGTAATTTAAATTTTTCTTATTTGGGGCAAAAGTTATCAAATATCATGTTCAGTTCAGAAAATGCATGTCCAAAATTGGCCCTAGTCAGCACTAAATGTTTTATAAGGAGAGAATTCACAGCTGTATTCAGCTGCCACATTAGAATCAAAAACCAAAAGGAAATGAAACTAAATTTTTATGTAAACTAAATGTTTCCATATAAAATAGCACAAGGGAAATTAGTGTATAATTATTCTTATACCCTAAAAATTTAGATTTGTCTCTAAAGGAGATTTCTTGCATAAATTTCTTGAAGTGTATCAGAATATCAGTATGAATTCCCCACAAATTCCTCCTAGCCTACATACTATATGGTATAAGAAATCCTCAGTGTTTCAGATATTTGAGTTTTAAAGAATTATAGACCTTTCTGAATCCTCTGTTAATGGTGATTATTATAATAAACTATTATGACACATATTTTCAAATGATGACCATAATATCTCCAGCTTCATATGCTACTCTGTAGTGTGACCTTGTTATTCCCCAACAAGATGAAGTCAAAATTCCTTAATTATAGAATCTAGGAGGGCTGTGATTTCTCTGAGTAATGGATTATAGCAGAAGCGGTGCTAAGTCGTATACAAGTCTGGGTAATAAAAGATGATGCAACTTCCACTTTGTTCACTAAAACATTTACACTTGGAGCTCTGAGCCACTGCATTAGTAGTTTGACTACTATGAGGCCATAGCCTTCTGGCAATGCTAAGCTGCACAGAAAGGCCTCAGGTACATGCTCCTTGCTAGTAGTCCTAGTCTTTGAACCCTCAGAGCCCAGGTTCCAAACATGATTGAAGCCATCTTGAATCCATCAAACCAACCCATCTGCCAGATGAGTACCACTGAGTTTCCTAAATGACTTGAGAAATGGAAGAAATGCCCAGTGTAGCCCTGTACAAATTGTGAATTGTGACTTTTTTTTTTTTTAAAGTTGTTTTAAGACACTAGATTTTAGGGTCATTTGTTAACTGGAAAACTGTTTTGGATTTAGATGACAAATACTAAATCATTAGGCCCAATCTGAGAATTAAAGGGGTGATTAAAGCAGAAAGAGTATCTATGCCTTATTTTTTTTTCAAAAATTAAAAAATAACTTTTTGGAGGAATACTTTACATATAAAATCTATGCTTTTTAAGTGTACAATCCAATAATTTTTATGACTTAATTGTGCAATTAACATCAGAATCTAATTTTAGAACGTTTCTCTCCCCTACAAAAAAAAAAAAAGAAAAAAAGAAAAAAAAAAGAATCGTTAAAGGGGTTTTAGACTATTTTCCCAAAACAGATCCCTTGTGCCCACTTGCAGTTACTTCCTCTTCCCCAGACCCACTTAATGTTTAACTTTATTATATCCTTTATATAAACAATGACGTAACTTTGGTTTGGTTTTAGAATCATAGGGAATTCAAGACCAGGAGATCAAGCAAAACATGTAGATCTGGAGCTGCCTTGAGCACTAACTGAGTCTGGGTTCTTTTCTTGTTAATACTTAGCTTCTGCTTTGGTCTCCAAGAGTATCCTTAGTCTCAGAGTCCATAACTCATTATTTGTGAGAACAGGCCTTGGATTGCGTCTGTTGAAGTTCTATTTCCAGCACATACACACTATGTGTCATTGGACAAGTTACCTAACTTTGTAATTCATAATTTACTCATCTATAAAATTAGAATAATATTACCTACCACATAAGGCTATCATGAAGATCAAGTTAAATAATATACTTGAAGTACTTAGAACAGTGCTCAGTGTTATTAATAGTAACAATAATAATAGCCATAATTTAATGAGTGTTTATCATGTAACCAGAAGTATACTTCACACGTATGAACTCATTTAATCGTCTCAAAAACTTCATGAAGCAGGTGGTGGTATCATCAGTATTTACAAATGAGAAACTGTGTACCCATGAGCTAATTGCTTAATCTCTCTTTTTCCATTATAAGGTACCAAGGCTATTAACATCTCAATGAATAGTTGTTTTACTTGTCATGGAACTTATTAGAATCTTGTTTTGAGTCATAGCTGTTAGAATTCCTTCGTTCCTGTTTTTAAGAATTTAAAAACCTGTGAATTTTCAGCCATTCTCTATCCTTACAGACAGACATACACATACATGTGCACATGCACACACAGCAAACACATGCATTTTTCTTTTGGATCTAGAATACCAATCTTAAATATGGTAGTTTCTTACCAAAGGTTGCTGAACAAGATGAAGGAACAAACGCAGCTGTGTCGTGAACATGTCTGCAACTTTGGGACAGCATGAAAATCAAAGCCCTGGTTGGTAAAAAGGGTTATGCATTAGGGACTGAGGGCGTCTATGTTTATATAAAATAGCATTTCTATAGAAATTAAAAAACATACCCATCACTGTGATATGAGATGCTCTGTCTCCATGTGATGCGAAAATATGTAAGGAGCTTTTGGGCTAAAGCGTATTCAAATGAATTTTTTTTTAAGCTAAGGAATCTAATCATTGAAAGTATCTTTGTAAGTAATTCACCAAATATTTGGCCAGGAGAAAAATAAACTTTTATTTAAATGAGCATTTATTTAAAGTTTGTTATTAAACTTCTTGTATTTGCTTGAAGACGAGGTCTTTAAAATCCTGCATAACTTTAAAATGTATTGTATTTCAGAATTATTTGTCAGAGAAAGATAACAGTGATACGAATATAAATAATATAGGATGATAATTATGATCTAAAACCAGTAGGAATCATGTTATTTAAACTTTTTCTTGATATTCTTTTGCTTTTTGACCTGAAGTGTTTTATGGATACATTTCTTCAACAGCATTTTTCTTCAAATGTGTATACAGAACTACTTTGGATTTTAAAAGCATCCCAATTTGGGGTCCACAGTCTCTGGATTATACTATGGTGGATAAAATACAGCAAGATTTGGCTGGCTGTTTGGGCCTCCAGCTCTGTACTTAAGGGCTTATTGGAGCTTTGTCATCTTCTATAATGTATACAGGCAGAACTCTGAATTGGGCATGTCTTGGTAATAGGTGTAGTTTTTTGCCAAATACTTAGACCGATAAAATTATGAGCAAACAATTTCATTTGGAAAATAATATGGAAAAAATGTTTCCTATATTTGTTTGTCAGTATACACCTCTCCCCCAACCCAAAAGTGCACCTTTGGTTAGTAATGATACTCCATTTCACACCTTTACCTTTGTGCTGCATTTTAACCCAGTTTTGATAACATGGCTTTTGCTTACATCCTCTCCTAAGCAGCTCATAAAACTTTAATACACAGGAATGATAAATTCTAAACTCTCTGGTAAACTTAGCACCAAACAAGCAGCTGGTACTTTATTGCCTACAACTTCCTATGCATTTCCCCACAGTTCGAACTAAACAAGAATGCATTTATGTTTTATTTTTTTCTAATTAAGTAGAAAAGAAAAACATAGCCTAGAACTGATGAGTTTCAGATTTAAAGCATTTCTGTTATAACTGTCAGGCAATCAATTAACCAATTTCAGAAGATTTTAATCTCTCTTTCTTATTATATTTCTCATTTCCCTCAGTTTTATCCTGTTAAATGGGAAAGCTTCCCCATCCTCTTCAGAGAAACAATTCATTCACTGTAGAGATAAGCAAATCAAATAGAACAGTGACAAAATTTATAGTGCATATGAGAATGTTTTTCAGATTTAAAATCTACAAATTACGTTTTATGGACTACCTTTATATTCATGAATTTCACTCTCCTAAGAGTCACTACAGTTTAAGGTTTATAAGAGATTAAACAGGAGAAAGTATATTAAGAATGATAAACATGCATGCTTCAAAAAATAAATAAAATTTCTAACATGTAATACACATACATTAATGATTCATTACTTTTAGTAATTTTGGAACTACAATAGTCTTAAATACTGCAAACGCATTCTAAAGGTAGAGGCCTAGAGTTTTTTTTTGGGTTGCTTGTAATATTTTACTTATTGGCCTGGGCAGTGGTTTATATGGGTGTGATCAGTGTTTACTCATTAAACTGTATAATCGTGACTTGTGTACTTTTCTTTATGAATGTTATACCAGAACTTAGGAGGAAAAAATTTTTGAGCATACTGAATATTAGGAATTGGATATCTCCCTAAATTATTAAAGTTCATCTTCCATAAATTCTGTAAAACTGAATGTAGTATTTCCCCCTCTTCCCATGCAAGTAACTGATATCACTTTAGAAAACCTGATATGAACATTATTTGTTATTGTGCTTTTATGAAGAATTCTGTCTAATCTTCTCATAAGAAGAAAGAATTAGAACCAAAAATCTAATTATCAGATTTAGTAAGATGTAGGCAAGATCCACCTATTTTTTTCATTTATGTCTTTCAAAATCAATCACATTCTATTATTCACCGATCCACTAAACAGATGTAGAATTCCTATTATGTAGCAGGCATTGTTCTGTTAATGCAATAATATAATCAACTAAAGGAAAAAAAAACAAAAACAAAAAACCCGCTGCTCCTAAGCTGTTCATGGTTTCGTTATACTCTCAATGTTAAACACAATGATTGGGTTAAATAATAAAGCTCTATATACATTAGATGTTTTCAAAGTGAGAGGCCGACAGACTATTTCCTCTTGGTTCAGTCCATGACATCATCACCAAGTGAATGTCTGAACTGAGACTTCAAGGATGTGTAAAGGTAATTTCTTATTTAATATAACAGGAAGTTTAGAGTAATACGGGTTACTTTTCTAGAGGCTTAACTATGTTACCTGCCATTAACACTTTTGGCTTTACCTTAGGCCTTGCTGGTTATTCGTGTGGTCATAAGACGGCTGCCGAAAGCAACTGTGATAGCATGCTGCCTTTTTCACATCCAGCAGGAGAGGGAAAGAAGTCACAGTTTACCAGTTCACTGAGGAGTGTCGTACACATGTTGACTTACGATATTCTGGAAATTCGTATGAGTTGGTGGATACTGGAACACTTCAGGATTTAGTGATGAAGGCAGAGCAAACTAAGGCGTGAGGTGTGGTGGGCATGGCTCCGGACTGGGCAACCAGTGACTTCTACCATGATGTAGTTCTTCAACACGTCAGTCAATAAAGAGGTGCCAGAAAAGCCATGGATTTCTGAGATTTTATTAATGTTTTCAATCTGCATATATATTCATTTTTCTGGGGAAAGGGACCAAATCTTTCAGCATATTTTCAGTGTGGTACATGGCTCCAAAAGATAAATAACCGATATTCTAAAAAGTATAACTGACAATAATCATAATAATCTCTTGAAGCACTTTTATACTTTGTTTACTTTGTGTTTATAACATTTTTGGAATGCTGGCAGTATCTACATTATTACCACCACCATTAATCATTGTCATTATTATGTTATATTATTAAACTTTGAGAGGTGAAGTCACTTCCTGAAGGCCACACAGCTGATGACTGCTGGATTTCTTAGAAAGTATCATGATATTGATGATTTTTCTTTACTGTTTGCCTTGGTAGAGAGCAAAGAGCAATAAGTATAGCAAGCTCATACCCTTCCCCACACTACCTTTCCTAACTCCCATGCTTTTTAAAAAAGATATAGCAGCATTCTTAAAATAGTCTTTGCTTTCAATCTTAGATAAAAATCAGAATTAGAAAAATAATTTTCATCAAAAGCAACTGAGCTTAGATAGGATGATGGCTAATTTGGAGAAAATAAAGGCCTGATTAAAAATTATTAAATGAGTAAAAACGTGGTACATGAATCTCATAATAATTTAGTCAAAAGAGGTTCTTTTGGTGATGAAATAATTAAAATGCACTGACGAAAGGATTTAAGCAATTTTGTGTTATGGAAATACAGTGACAAAAATTCTTAAATTTGCTTTCATTGGATAGGTATTTCTAGTGTATAAAGGATTACTCTATCTGAAGTAGAAAAATTAAATAGTTTATTTTAAATGTGAGTTAACAATCCAATTTTTATTCAATCAAGCAATCAGCTCCCTATTTTTTTTTAAGTACTGATTTCAAGAATGATTTTTTTTTCCGGCTAGGGAGAATAACATTTAGCAGAAATATTAGCAAGGAATTAGTTCTGTTTACCATATGTATATAAAATGAAACACTATTCTGGTGCTACATGTCCAAATGTTTGTACCGAATGCTTCCATAATATCAATAATGATCCACTATTCAAAATTATTTGTAGCCCCAATTTCTCAAATGCTTGAGTGATCATTTTCTTTAGTAATTGAGTTCCTCGTAGAATTCCACTTCTCTGATTACTGGCTCAGTAATCTAGGCATATTAATTTGAAAAGCTGCATGAGCATGTGGCCAGGGTAATGGTAGTGAAGTAATTGCAAGGAAATCTTTTACAACAGACTTATTTTCATCTAATAACCTCTTCCCCAACAGTTACTTGGCATGCAGTGAATGTGATAGGAGTTCTAAAATGTATACGCATTCAAATATCTTTTAAATAAAGATTAGATATTCTAGAAGACATTTAGTAATCACATAAAATAGTTTTTAAAATAGTGGATTTTTTTTTATAGCTTTTAAAGAGGTTTGGATTTTAAGAGAAAGGCAATTTTTTGAGTGTTTACCAGGTGACAGAAATTGGGCACCTTTCCTGTTGTCATAGGCAATCTTCACAGCAGCATTGTTTAAGAGCTCTTACTATCCCTATTATGCACATAAGGAAAAGAGAGATCAAGTTGGTGAAGTTATTTGCCCGAAGTCACATGTCTAGAACCCAGGCCAATTCTGTCTTCTCCTAAGCCAGTTCACTCTTCAGTTCCAGCCTCAACAGAAAAGCCTAACTATTTTTATATTTTTAGGGTTATATTTCAGCATTTTACATACATGCATAGAGGCTCAATTTTCAAAGTTCAGAGTTATATAAGATAATGACTCCTAAGATGAAAGAAGGACCATAAATATTGTATCCACTCTGTGAAATCTATAAACTTGCATTGTACCAACAAAATCGTATTATTCTCTATTAATTATATTATTCTTCTTAAACTGTCAACCACAGGAAGGCAACATTCCATCTCTGTAGCCATTTTAATAACACAAAGTCAACTTATTAGCATTTTGAAGAAATTATGAAGAATGTATGTCTTGGTGGGTATTCCATGAATGATACCGAGACATCTAAGTCACTGTGCATAATTCCAGGGGTGTTTTTAATGCCTAATTGTACTTCAAAGATTCTCAAATTTAAGTCTAGCTATTAGCAAAGATACAGGTTTTGTTGTGGTTTTATTTATTTTCTTGTTTTATCTTTTTGAGAAAGAATCTTGCTCTCTTGCCCAGGCTGGAGTGCAATGGTACAATCCTAGTTTATTGCAGCCTTGAACACCTTGGTGCAAGTGATCTCAGCTTCCAGTAGTTGGAAGTATAGGCATGTGCCACAATGCCCAGCTAATCAAAATGTTTTGTTGTATTTTTAATACAGATGAAGTCTTGCTATGTTGCCCAGGATGGTCTTGAACTCTTGGGATCCCAAAATGCCAGTATTATAGGCATGACGCACTATGCCCAGTCTGTTGTTTTATTTTTAATTCTGCCATATAAACAGTTCAGTGTCTTAAATTATATTAGATTCTAATTAAGTTAAGCTCTTGTCAACTTCTACAAAAACATGTATTTGGTAGGAATTTGCTTACCTTTATTACCTTAGTGAATCTGTAGTCCCTCAATTAATTTGTTAATAAACGTAGTTGTTCTTTAATCACTTTACACTTTATAAGGCATTAATATATCATAATTACACGATGGCAAAATATAAAACTTAAAACATTGTAATAACATAGTGCATGTTACAGTATTAGTAAAAGAGCACCTTTTTGTAGTAGCCCACAAATTTTATTTAATGTAGATGATTACCATCGGTTTCCTTTTCCACTGTGATTATCTCATATTAAAACTCTACAGTGAGAGTTTTTCATTTAACTTCTGGTAATAGGGTATATTTCTGCTTTTCATATCTGTGTTTTAAAAATAAAAATATAAAAACAACAAAAAGAAACAGTTTTTTCAGGTTTTCTTTTGTTTCGTTTTCTTACCAAACAAGACTTTGGAGTCAAGTAATAATAATAATATATTGATGTCATGCTTTACAATTTTCAAGGCACTTTACTGTAATTGTTTCATTTGATTCTCACAACAACACGGGGAGGTTATATAGGGCAAGTAATCATGATCCTCCTGTTACTAAAACAAAACAAAACAACAAACCTGGCCCTAGGGCCAGAGAGAAAAAGAGTAAAGTATAAGAATGATAGCTTCTTTGTTTTTTTTTAGCCCTGGCTTTCTGTGTCCCAATGCTTGTCTTTTTGGTAGCACCCTCAAGCCTTTCCCCTAGCTTCACTCCTGCCCTCAGAGACTTTCAACCTTTCCTTCTTTCCAGTTCTGAGAACTCAGAATATAATAGCCAGAATCTTGTGTTGTTTTTTTTTTTCTGTCATGTAAATACATTTTCCTTTAGTCCTGTTAGTGAGAAAATCTATAGTTAATGTTTATTTCACTTTTCTCTTGCCTATGGAGTGTTAAGAAGGAACGTGATCAGGAACTGGAGGATCAGAGTACATTTTCTCTAAATGCTTTATTTCTTATTTGTTCACTATTACCAAGAAGAAGAAGAAGTAAAAAAAAAAGACTGTACTTGAAACTGCATTTCATTCCCCTAAGAAAGTAGGTAAGGGATTTGGTAGGCTATATGCTGGCAGCCACAGGAAAAAAATAAAAGTATGACTGCGTAAATCTGCCTGGTAGATGTACCCAGTAATCGGCCTGGTAGATTTACCCAGTCAGAACATATCAGACTTTTTCCATCCCGCAAACCTGGAACCCTAATCCGTAATTTTCCCTCACCTCAGTACAATGCCATCACTTTTACTTGCTTAGATTTGTCCACTGGTTGCTTTAAGATTCAGAAACAACTGCTTTGGGGCTGTATGGAGGAAAATTCCACCCACTTATCTGGAGTGGGATTTTTGGGGAAGGAATGGAGGATGCTTGGATTCCTATTCAGATCTTGAAAAGATGAGAGTATATTGTGTTCTTGGCCCCTAGCTTTGGAACGACATGAAGTTATCTTGATAATGTAGTCCATTAATACCCTTACAGAACAAATATGTGTTAAATGATGTGCCTTGAGAAAGGGGCTGGCATTGTTTACATAAAGAGATACATTCTAATTGCTTACTAACTTGGAAATCAGCCTTTAGAAGAAAACAGGAGGCATATGACTTGAGCTATAACCTGTAGCCACTGGAGCTTCTGTCTTCTCAATCAAAAACTGAGACGTTAGATAAAAATATACTTATATGCAATTCAAAGTTTCCTGTAACAAATAATGTTTCACTTATGCAAAGTTGCTTTGCCATTTGGCCATAATATATTAAGTGACAGCTAGATTCAATCTTACATGGATTTAAATGCTTATGCTTGCTACAGAAATGTCATTTAGAAAGGTTACATATTAAACTGACTTGAATGTTTTGAGAAACCTGGGCCAAGTACTTGTGTAAAACAAACAAATTTAACCTCAAAGCAAGAAGATAAACAAACACAAAAATAACAACAGCAATCATAAAAAACAACAAACAAACCAGAACAGTTAAACTAAACCCAGGAAAAGTGAATTGGAATGTCTGAGGACGTTTAAAACTTAGACTCCTGCGGGAAGGAGGTGGGTGTATTTGTTCCTTACTATCAAACATTTGAAGGCTGTGATGTATGAAAACTGTTAGACATATTTTGTTTGTCTACATAAAAGTAAAAACAATAGGTAGAAGTTATTATATGTTGACCCATTTTTGACCCTAAAAGAGGAATAAATTTTGAGCAATTTGACTTGTGCCACAAAATGAGCTGCCTGGAGTGGTAGTAAGTTCACAGTCCTGAGGTATTGGAGGTGACATAGACTTCAGTGATGTCATAGCTGGGATCACTGAATTTGGATTGAAAGTGTGGTATATCTATTATCCCAAGAACCTGAAGCAAAGAGAACACTGAAAAATGGTGAGGATTGGTCCCCACTGGCTCTCTGTAGCCATGGCATGTAGCAAAATGCCATTGGCCAGTAATGCTGTGAAAATCTTTCACCTTCTCTGTCTCCTTCATTATGTGCTGTTGTAGGTAAGAAGACCGGAAGTTTCAGCTTCGGGCAAGACTTACATGATAAAAAATAAGAAGCCTTTTAAGCAAAACCACAGGAAACATAATTCTGTTCAGTAGATTTACCTGTTATTAATATAACTTAGTAACAATCTACTTGGGTTTTAGGCAACTCTCTCAACTCCAATCCACTGAGTCAGCTTCAGTTTACCCACAAAACATAAAACAACTATTAAAGCTGGTAAAATGTTCTAGATAAAATAAAATTTGCAACAAGGAGGATATATTATTACACTTCTTTTTTTTCTGATTTTTTTTTGTCTTTTTCTCTCTCTTTCTATAGAGACTAACCCAATTTATTTGTAACAACTTTTATTTTGAGCAAAAGAAATAACTAATTGAAAACAATCCCTTTGAGGAGGAAAGAAATCAAAGACATAAAACAATAGACTGGGAAAAAGTTCTTTCCTCATTGTGCTATTTTGTGTTCCTAATTTTGCAAAACAAGCAAATGAAAGAAATGCTGATTACAACAGTAATTATATCAGATAACTTTAAATACCTCCAATTTAACAATATAACCCAAACTAAGCAGGTGTATTTATAGACAATACATACTGAACCCTTAAGCACAAAGGCTTTTTCATTTAGACCTTCATTTGAGGGCTGCCTTTCCCTCTTACCGGCTGTGTGACTCTTGGCAATTTATATAATACTTCTGAGACTCAGTTTACTGAATTTGTAAACTAGGGATAATAAATTTACCTACTTCATAGGATTATAAGAATAAAACACTTAGCCTATGGCTATCTGGATCAAGCATAAGTATTCAATGAAAGTTTGCCTTTATTTTAATTAACTTAAGGAAGGATAAAGCATATAGTTTTGCTGTCTCTTTTTTAACTTCTTTTGTGTGGATTTTGAAAAGATAAGTTTTGAGCATTGTTTTAAAGTGATTCTGTAGTTTCTATTTGTTAAACTTCTTTTTCCATAGGTTAATTTATTTAAAGAATTTTTTTTCATTGTAGACAGGCACAGGAAGAAACTAAACAGAAAAATTTGAAACCCAGTGAGTAAGTTCTAGTCCTAGCCTTACCACTTTATATCTGTATGCTTTGAGGCATGACATTTATCCTTTTTGATCTTAAGTCCTTCATCTGTAAAGCATGGGACTGGACTGGATACCTTCCTGAAGTTCTCTTTATTTAGAAACTTCTGTAATTCTAAGAATTCTGTGAAATTAAATGTTTAGGGTGAAATACATATTTTGGCTATATAGTATAATACAAAAATGATTAATTTCGCAAAATATAGTTTAAGGATCTCTTGAATTAAAAATCACCTGAGGTGGTAGTTAGAATGCTGATTGTGGGTACTCACTTCAACTTCAAAGCATCAGAGTCTTAGCCATGTGGTCTGGAATCTTGTTTTTAACCAGCTGTTCAAGTGATTCCTAGTTTAGGTGATGACTGGAATTTAGGAACTGTTGCTTTGGAATTAAGGATATAATATGATTCTTTAATCGATGTAATATCTTGGGGTAAAAGTTTTTAAACTATCACAAAGCTCTTTTACTCTCCTACCTGAATGAAGATTCTGAAAAGATCAAGGAATTTCCAGGGGTTCCTTTTAGCCTATGTTTTTGATTGCAAATGCTGATTTTCTATTAGTTGGAAAAAAAAATCTGAACTTACTGGAAACAAAAGTAAAGAGATGGCTGAAATACTTTATTGGGACATTGTGAGTTTTTCTCAGACACTCAACAATTTTACATTTTTAGTTGGAAAATTCATTAACTATGGGATTTTGAAAATATCAAATAAAGAACATATCACAAATGAGCAAGGGAAGAAAAACATCTGGATTTTAATCTAGTTATCTTTAATATAATCACCTCAGAATAGCTCCTGCGACTTGCAGCTGAGTACATAAAATAGATTAATGATAAACTAACATTTATTCACAGAACTATAAGCAAGTAGTTTTTAAAACAGTTTTATTGAAACAGACATAATTCTCATATCATACATGTACCTGTTTAGAGTGTACATGTCAGTGGTTTTTAGTGTATACACATAGTTTTGCAACCATCACAAGCAAGTGTTTTTTAACCACTCAAAAATCTCTCCATTTTTTTTAGGAAGATGCTTGCTCAGCTACTAGTCTCTCAACTGACACCATACATCTAAACAAGCAATTTCGCTCAGCATTTTATTGACAAACCACTTTTATCAGAATGCCAGGGACTATCTGGGTGCAATACTGTGAAAGAATGATTTGGACCTTTACACTGGATCATTTGGGGTTCCAAAGTAAATTCACCTGAAAGCTTACTTAGCGTGAATGCGAATTTCCATGCAGCTTGATGAATGCCAGGCTGAAGAAGATTGATGATGGAAAAAAGGGGGAACTTCAGATTCACTTTCTGCAAAAGCATAGCCATCAGATTTGATTAAAGACTACTTTGGGGTCAGATGCTCTTTAATGCTCAATTGTCAAGTGATTCCCACCTCTGTAAAAGGAAATACACATTTCTACGGCATCCAAAAGGGCACCCTTGCAGTGTGTGTGTGTACATGCATGTGGGCGTGTGTGACTCTTACAGTGCACCATACTACTCCAAGTAACAGAAAAAAAATCATCCAAAAAGTAGTTATTGTTTTTGAGGATAGTATTAGGAGAAAAGTAGTAAAAGATACATAGGAAAAAAAGGTGGTCTGTGAATCATCGATAGTTTTCTCAGGGATAATTGTTTTATTTAAAGCCATGAGCATGCTATTTATGCTTCTGGTCACTCACATAGTTATTTGGAACTTTCTTTTTTTTCATTTGTCTGTTAGGAATCAATATTTAGCTTTTTACTTCCTCATATATTTGGTGAGATATATCTATTAATAGATTAAGATGAATTTAATAATGCAGCTGACTGTGAATTTATATTTAGCTTCATATTGTAATGTACATATGTCTTCTGTGAGTTCAATTGTTACTTTTAGAAAATAATTGGCTCTCTGTTGTGTCAGAAAGTTTTTTGTATAATATGCATCTCTCCTTTGGCATCAGAATTCAAAGTTGAAAATCCATGTATTAACAAAATGCCCGGAATCTGACATTGTATTTGGTGACGAGGAAAGCTAAGTACCACTTTGTGTGAACTGGAAGTGACACAGACCATGTAAAAAACCAAAGCAACTGTGCTTTCTACCCAGATAAGGCAGGATATTTGTATAGCTCCGGAAAAGTTGCAAACAAGAAACTATAACTGTAATAGGACACATCAAATTCTTTAGAGTTCTTGTACAATATTATTACTATTTTGCCAGCATAGAATCAGTATCTAATCAAAGTTATTTGTTGCTATATACCTGTTTTAAAAATAATTTTAAGGAAATTTAGAAGAGAAAAATAATAATTATGTGTGTGATATATGTGTAAACATTTGTGTATACTTGTGTATGTGTGTCTATGTGTATCTTATTTAGAATTTCCTCACAAGCCACGTGTTGGATTCTCATTTTGAATTGCTGCAGTCTTTCTGAGACTAATTTAATTAAGAGAAAGTGAACCTCTAGCCCGGATACTCAAAATGATGTGTTACTTGCTCATTGTCATTTCTTGAGTTATTATAAAATCAGAGGAGCAAAATAATATTATACTTTTATATTTTTGAAGTGTTATGTGTAACAGCAGTAAAGTAGAATCAAATATTAAAAAAAATTAAAAGGCTTGTAGCTGATACCCATTTTCTGAAATCCTTGCCTACAGTACTTAAAACTTATCTGTTTTGGTGTGTAATAATGCTCAAAGCTCCTGTTCCCTCATGACTTCAGTAATCTCAAAGTACAGAAAGATACCTCAAGCTGTGACTAGCCTTTTAAAAAACCAAATAAATTAGCTTAAATTCTCCCACAAGCTTGGGATTGTTAATTAATTCAGCCTCAGTCCATTATACAATTATAATTTAAGCTCTTGGTCCCTACATCTGTTAGCAATGGAAAGTAATGAAAGAAATAATGTTGATGATGATTTATCATGACTTGCCAAGAGTAGAATAGTAAATGAAAGAGAAAGGCTCTTTCTGGATTAAAGGACCTGGATGGAGATCACAATTAAGCAGTTGACTAATACTTTTCATTATTAATTGATATTTTCCTTTAATTTCTCTCTTAGTAACTTAAGCAATAAGTAAATTCACGTGCTAATTAGTTTTTAATTCTAAATATCTTTTGAAGCTTCAAAATTTGATTCTTTTTAAAAAAAATCACCAAAATATGGTTATTTTGGATTTTTTTTAAAATTCTATACTGCTTAGTAGAATTGAAAATTTTTGAGGCTTGATAAGAACTTTCAAGATAACCAAATAACTAATTTTTTTCTAATGAATTAATTTAACTGTTTCATTTTTCTTTTCTTTTTTTTTTTAATGTAATACCACAGACTTTGATCTAAACTTCTTGCCATCCACTTTGGGATGCTGTTAACTCACCAGAGGTGATAGTTTGAATCATCAGTTCTTGGGAATGTGTTCAGAAAAAAAGTGCTTGAAAAAAATTAACGTAAAAATGTCAACCAAGTTGAGGAAGGGGTAGACAAAGTCTGAGAAACTATGTACTCATACAAACTTAAAAACAAGATTTTCAATTCAATGCTTTTAAAAATATTTTTGGCAAAACTGATCTCAGTTAACTTTGAAAATAATTTAATAACATGCTTTCATAACTCAGTGTCTTAGTGAATTCAGCATTTTAGGGAAAGATAAATTTAGCCAACTTAAAGTAGGATCTTACTTTATTTTAGCGAGAAGACCTCTGGTCTTATAACTGATTTAACTATATTTTTCACTGTTTGGCTAGTATCTGGAAGTGTATTTGAAAGTTTGTAGATTGTTTAAATTGTGGGATGAAGGGGAGATAATCACAAATGAAAATTTATTCATGCTGAAAAATGCCTCAAGAACTTTGAGATTCTATCCCATTTAACACCTTGATGATTCAGGAGATTGAACAGTAGTTAATGAAAGTTGCAAGTGGGTCCAAATTAATAGATGTTACCCAAGGATATTAAGAATAAAGACAAATTTTTAAATGAAGAAACAAAGATAGTTTAAAAATTCACTCAATGAATAATTCTGGAAAACAAAACTAAATTGTGACTTGTGGGAATAGTGTTAAAATGCCATTCTAAGAGATTTCATGATATTCATAAAATGGCATGTTAATTGTGCTTCTACACAGATGGGATAGACGAGCATAGCATTGAATTACATCTATTATTTTAAGTTGAGACATTTTAATATCAAAGTATACATATTATATGATATTAATAAACTAGAATCATTGACAGTAAAAAAGAAGAGCTACAGTAGAGTTAGTTATATACTGGAGTTAGTTATATATATATACCAGAATTAGTTGTACACTTGGCATGTTCTGAGATATATAAAATATATGAAAATCAAATTATGTAAATGAAAATGCTGTCACAAAATAAGCCCATGTAGGCAGAATAAATTTATTAATTTTTCAAAAGTTGTAAGACCTCTAGTTGATATCTTTTATTTACCTTATTTGATAGTAAAGTTATATTGTGTTGGTATTCTCTGGAATGTTTATTGGCTCTTTTCAATTTCTAATTTGTGTCAGTAATAACATTTATGCATAACAAAAATATGTTATAGACTGGTTTGTAAATGGAAGAACACTTTGGTATATAACATTGATTACTATATGGTATCCAAATTGGATATATTTACCTTAATACGGTTTCATTAATTTCTAAATTGTCTACATGTTCCACTGTCCTTACCATATGAAAAGAAACTTGCCAAAATATTTCCAGTATTATTCACTGTACTTTGAAAATTAAAAAAAGACATTAATTTTTCTTTAGTGGATGAATTTAAAACTATAAGGGCTTACTACTGATTTAGCTCATAGTAACTTTTAAAAATATACTGATTTTTCTGAAAATTTACAATCAAAATGATTTTATTTTTTTTCCTTATTAATACTATGTTGTTCAGTTCTGCTTTTGCTTCTAAAATAAGGAAGAAGAGGAGGAGGAGAAGCAAAATAAAGCAAATAAGAATAAAGCCAAACTGCTTCACTCTAATCTAAAGCTGTTCAATTTAATATATTCAGATATATACCTGCTGTTTTCCATCTTGATCAATCACTTCAATAGAAAACAAGATAATTTTTTTCTGAATATATTTGGATTCTATATTAATTTTTACAGAACTATATATATTGCTTGCATGCTTAAAATAGTTTAATTAGAATGTTTGCTTTTTAATTTGACAATTGATTCTTATGTAATTTGGAAAGAGTACTTGCCAACAATATCAGTAGCAAGAAAAAAAATTTTAGTGCACTAAATTAATGAATTTGAGGCTAAAATAGACATTTTATTAGAATGTATAATCTAATTGGAAGATGGATAATACACAATTTCATGGACAAACTGCATAATTTCTAATTCAATGAGTCTTGAAAATTTTACCACTCAACAACTTTCACTAAATTAAAAAAAATTCAAGTATATATGGCAGCAAACAAGAGTAGTCTCACTTTACAATGTTCATATTGAGAAGGCAGACAAGTTAGGAATTCCCCAGTTTCACCAAATAAACAGGGTCTTTTTCTGACCGGGGCCATCCTAGAGTAGTTCCTTGAAGGGAAAGTCATTTCATTTGCTTTCTCCCCCTGCAGTTACAATGTGAAACATAGGATTATGAGAGAGACTTCAAGACCCTATGCCTATCCAGGAAAAATCTTCGCTTTCTTCAGAGTACAACTGGGTGGCTTTATCTCAAGGCAAAATCTACTCATATAGGGGTTGAAGAGTTGAACTGTTTTCAGTGTTAGATTGAAAATCTTTAAATCACGATTTTGACAGTTGCCCCTGGGCATCCTCTCCCTTTCTGTATTTATTCACCAGGAGTTGAGTTTATGTGTCTTTATGTTTGCTCTAATAGATTTCTCTTGTGCACATTTTAGGCTGTAGATGTGGCTTTCTCTGCATTTGTTAGTTTGATGTCATCTAATTTCTTCCATCTGGGAAATGTCATTGCTTCTGGTTAACTGATAGAAACTTTTTGCTTCTGGTTAATGGATAGAAGCTTTTTTATTTCCAAAATTGTTATGAATATATTCTGCAAAATGGTCCCATTTGTGGTTTTTAAAAAATTTAGGACTTGAGGAGAGGTGGATGCATGTGATCAGTCTACTTTTTTCATATAGTTTTGATTCTCTCCAGACAATAGTCTGAAAGTAGGCATTTAAAGAAACAAATTCATTTTATCTTTACAAACTGGTATTAAAAATGATCAGTGCTAAACATAGTGACATATTCAGATATATAGCTTTAATGGGCAGTCAACAGCCTGTTCTTTTCTAAATTGCAACTCTATGGTGATAGGATTTATTTTAAAACTCAGGATGGGTGTGTTAACAGTTGATGGGATTCTCCCTCATTCTTCCATATCTGTTTCTTTTTTGTTCTATTGTGTAACTCCTTTGTTTCTTTCTTTTTCACTTTTATCTCATTCTATATTATTTTTATTTTTCTCTATTTTCCTATTCATTTATTACATATTCTGCCAGTAGTATTCCGGCATATATTGTTAGCCCCTCTGATTGGATATAAAAATTTGATGACCCCTATCTCTAACCTAAGTTACTAATTTGACAAATTCATTTAATAAATGTTGGATTTCTACTGTGTATCAAGTAATGTCCTAGTCATTAGAAATAGGTAAACAAAGTCCTAGTCTCAAGGAAGTTTGTACTGTCAACATCTGTTCTAGTACAGAAGTCACTGTGACTATCGAGCACTTGAAATGTGACTAGTGCAAAACAGGCTATGCTTTACATGTAAAATAGATGCCAGATTTAAAGGATTACTACATAGAAAAGAATGTAAAATAGCTCATTGATAATTTTATGTGGATATATTAAATATATTATGTAAATGAATTTCATTTTTTTTTTAACTTTTTAAATGGTGACTGCGAGAACATTTTACATTCTACTTCTACCAGACACTGGTGCTGTATGAACTGGATAGCTCATGAATATTTCCTGATTTTCATGGTAAAATAGCAATCATTAAATTTCTGGGTTTTTTGGAAAATAAAATATTTTTCAGTTAATTTTTCTCCCAATTTTTAGTTTAGTTTGGACTATAAACTTCTGGAATATATATATATACACACACACACACACACACACACACACACACACATATACATATATATGAAGCTCAAAACAGAGAGATTAGATGGTTCACGCAAAATTACTTAGGGAACAGCTGCCAGACAAAGTAAATTGAAATCTCATAGCTTTCAAACACATGCCTATGTATAATAAGCTGTAAGGAGTAAAAAATATTGGTGGCATGAAAAAGAAAAACAAATATTCACTAATAATTTCAGAGAAGTAACATGGGTTAATCAGGTTAATGTTTTCGCCTTGTTCCCCAATAGAGGGAGGCTGAATATCATCTGTCAGTGTCTCTACTGATGCCGCTATAAAGAGACATAAATTTGATGTCTTGAACAATAGAGTATAATTAACAGTGTTTAAGGTGATGATATTTGAATAAATGAAAATGCAAATTGAAAGATATTAAAATAGTGTTAATTTTAATAATTATAGTTATAACATGGAGAATGGTGAATTTCTAATTTTAGATTTGATAAAATAATTAAAAATAGAATAGTCCCTATATTAGACTTTATGAAAATAAACTGACTTTTAACTGAGGGGCAGTTTATTATAGAAACCTGTTTACTTACTTAGAAAAATGCATCTATTTCTATAGAATCAGTTACATTATACCTTAACATTTGGGGAGTTAGAGCCTTAAAATTTTACTTCAAGGGTTGAACTCCAGCACTGAAAACATGGCCCAACATGTTGATATACAATTTTAGTATTTTAAAAGTTTTTTTTTATTATATAGGATGATAACATCTCCTGAGTTTAAATAGAATACAGTTTAAAATTTGTCACTTGTCATTAATAAGAACACAACTGTCCTAATTTTATTCTGAAAAACAAATCTTTGAAAGTCTCTGATTGCTTAAAAAAAAAATACCCTCAAAGCTTACCATGGCATTGAAAACCATGACACAGATTTGCAGCAGAGAGGTGCAAATACATATGTAACTAATGACTTGAAGAGTCTTTGATTGTTATTTGGTTATTGAATTAGTTACATCATCTTAAAATTACTATTTAAAGAGTACTTATTTGCTTTCTATGCTAGGGAATGATAACAAATACTGATTGAGTGCCTGCTATTCACCAGTCACTCTGCTAGATACTTTTTATAAACATCTCATTCTAGTCTTTTAGTCTCATGATAATCTCACCAGGTAATTCTCATTGTCTTTATTTTAAACATGAAAAAGGACTAAAACTAAAACTGTTTCATTCATCTTTGCTAAAGTGCCTAACCAAGCATTTATTTTATAATAAGTATTCAATGAATATTTGGTGGATAAATATGTTAATCAGTGTATATTATAAATTCCTTAAGGATTATGTCCTTTATGTGCTTGCAGGTTTAAATGAGTGGAAAATCAAAACAGACTAAAAGTGTTGATTGGTTGTATTTTTCTTTGGATTACGTAAATAGTCTGGTTCTCAAATCAGAGGGTGTTAACTTATCAAGATATTTAAATAGTTATTTTTCTCCATATTTCTTCATAAACTGTCATTGTTCCAGTTTTAAAATTTGCACTGATGTTAGGTGAGCTTGCTTCTAATTTAGTGTTCTGTGATGCTCATTCTAAATTTGATAAACCAGAGTATCCTTCCTCAAATTAACTTACTGTAGCAATTTTATACACTTTAAATTGAAAAGAACCTCCTCAAGGGAGATTACTTTTTCTTCAGCTGGGGTTATTTTTACCCAATATTGGGTTATGGACCCAAATCCTATGGAAATATTTCCCCTAGTTAACTATTCTAATGTAGTTTCCCCAGTATGCTTGCAAATTTTAATTTACTTTGACTACCAAAAGGATAATCTTATAGCTTGGCCAAATTATAGAATGTTAAGCCTATTGAATATTGCTTCAACACATTTAATCCACTTTACCCTCAAGGAAATACATGCCTGGGTTTCATTACCTAGTATCGTGCATAGAGAACTCATAGGATTTAGGCATACAGCCTTTTTTCTAGTGATCATTGCTAACTTTTTTCTCTTTAGTTGAGGGGAAAAGATGTTGAGGGCAAGATATTTTAGCAAAATATATTGATCAACCTTTAATACTTTAAACAGAAGGTGTCTAGAGGTCAAACTATATAACTTCAAATAAATTCTGGTCTTTTAAAGCTTCTTCAGAACCTTTTAAAGAAATACCACTTGGAGAATGGATGTAGGTAGCAATGAGACGTTTCATAGAGAAAATGCCAGTTCTAAATGTTATAAACAAAATTGTTTCCTCAGACTCATTCATTTATAACTAGTATCTAAATAATATGAAGTGTTATACATTCAGGATTCTTGCTGTCCTCTGCAAAGAATGTATGAATGAGAAAAACTAATTATTTTTGTGAATGATTCCGAATATACTATAATTTGGCTGGTAATATTCAGAAAAATGAGGTCCATATTAATTCAGATTCAGTTAATATTTAATACCTATTACATGCCAGACGGTGTGCCTATGTTTCTTCAATGATTGACATTTATGTCAAAATAAACAACCAAGTATTTTTATTAGACAACTCTCATCTGAGCTCATTCAGCTCTGTATCAATTTTTCTATAAAATTGTGGAGGAATTTTTTTTGGAGAGAATTAAGGTAGAGATAGAAAATACAACAACTCCTTTCTCAAAAATTCAGATAACGTTGTCTCTTGGTTATAATGCATGGATCGGGGACTTCAATCTAGTATTCCGTTAAACATGTGAGAAGATGCAATGCTGCTGTTCAAAAACATTAGTCTACCTTTGGCTGCTCCTAGAGAACTCTTTGAAATAAAGTGTGGTGGCCTGTTCTGGGGCAAAGAAAATCAAATATTTTAATTTTCAAAAGAAAATATTAATTTGCATCATGTTACCTGCTATTTAAAGCAACTACATGAAATCTCTGTATTTTAAACACTAGACTGTGATCTCAATCTCATATGGTGTATGTGATAGTAAAAGACACAAAATAATTCTTATTTGAAAGGACCCGTCCTAGAAACATACTAAATGTTTATTCTCCTCAATTCTCTATGCTTTTCATGTAGATAAATGATTAGAAATCGAAAACCTTGTCTGTATTACATAAAAACTGTGCGAAAATGCATTTCAGAACAGCAATCTAATATTGTGTTCTTGGTGGACATAAAAAAGGGCAAAGTGGTAGCTATTTCTGCATACTTTTTATAACTAGTATTGAATAATTTTATTATGCAATTCAAAGTACTATTGCAATATATTTTTAAAGCATTAGTTAAAATTTCCTCTTTTTTTTTTGCCAATAGTCAGCATGATTTATTTTTGCCTGGGGATCCAAGAACTAATATTTGTATTTAGTCAGAGGAACTACCCTGCTGTCAGATTAACTCTTTGCTCTCCTCATCTCTTCTTCCTCTATTATGAGAATGATAGCTTTTAGAGCTAATGGGGATCTGAAAGGTCATCTGATCCAGTTCTTTGGTTAGCATAGGGGGAAACTGAGGCTTTGAGAGACTAAATGACTGAGCCCAGGATACACAGATAATGAGTAACTGAGCTCTGATTGGAATGTAGGCCTTCTGACTTCAAGTTTGATGTACTTTTTATTTTGAAGTCTGTTCTCTTACTCAATAATTTAATGATAATTTGGCCTTTCATTTTAAACTCTCTCAAATGGTTTTTGGAAGTATTTCAGGAATAATGTGTTATGGGAACCAAAATATTTTTTAGTCAATTAAAAATGCCATCCAGAAATCTTACAATTAAATCTTATATTAACAGAAGACATAAGTAATTTTAATTGGTTTTTATTTAAATTATTATATTTTCTAAGTGTCAAATAACTTTGGGTAAGTAAATTTGTAAGTAACTCTTCATAATAAACATTTCCAAAAACAATATGAATAAATGCATCCAAACTTTAAGAAGTAAATTAGAACACTAGTAAAAAAAAATAAGTGGCAGCACCAAATGTTAGGGTATAAATTTATTCAGAAACTGGGCTGCTTTTACCAGGCAGGCATGTTAGGATATGCAGTTTAATAAATATTGAATAAAATAAGGAAGAAATGTGAATTTGATGAAGTTTTCTGGCAATTAGAGCAATTTATTTCACTATTAACATGACAAGCTCTAAATGGAAATCAGCTATGGATGAAAATGCAATTTCATTGCTTGGTATTCCCAGTGCCATATAATTAAATAAAGAAATGGGGCAAAGGGGCAAAAGAGTGTCCATGGCTGACTGTTCTAGCAAAGCAACCATCCATCATGCAGGAGTTTCCTGTGCCTCACAGTGCTAAGATGGGGTTTGTGTTTGTGTATACTCAGAGAGGCTTTCGTTTATAGAGTTTGTTTGTTTTCTTCTTGAAATACTGCATCTAAAATGGAAGGAAAACAATAGTCTTGCTGAATTAGAAATGTCAAGTGCAATTAAATATTGTATTTTTTGGGGAGTGGTCAGACATAGAGTTTTTACTTCTTTATATGAAAATCAAATAAAAGCAGAATACTACTATATATTATCTACTGTTGCACATAAAAAGGAATCTTATTATATTTTTAAAGCATTCAACTGGGAATGTTTATCAGTATATATGTATATGTGCATGTTCGAATATAATATTGACAACTTAATTAGCTGTTTGTGCATAAACAACCAAAGTAAATATTTCACATGTTTAGCAGATTTACTTATACAGATATCATTGGCTTCAAATAAATTATTTTAGCATGTCTAAAAAACATTGAGGCTATTTTTACAATCATATTTTCTCAGAATAACCACTTTGATTTTTGAATATGTTTCTTTTTAAAATTCATTAAGTTTGTGTACTTAACAGATACATTTCTTTTAATGTACAGGGACATGATTAGGAACATGATCTATAATTATGTAAATGTTGTAATTGTTTCTGTTTTATTTGTATTTACTTTTAAAATGTATTTTTATCAAGTGTTGCCATGTAGTTATTTTGTGGTGATATTTTAATCCATAAAAACTATCAAATGAAGTCATAATATTTTACATTCCAGTTTCTACCATAGTGAGGCATACTGGAAATGTTTTCAAAATGTTAAGGAGTCAGGTTTTTTTTGCTTTGATTCATCTCATGGTAGTTTCCCTTGATAGAGAAAATGTATGACTCTAATATTAAGAATGTGAGGAGTTATACAACCATCATATAGGTAGTAGAAACAGAGTTACAGAAATATGGAGTGTATTTTTCTGTACAATCTTGACCAATTAAATACTATTTATTTTTAGAAGAATACTCATAAAATCACTATTAGTGGAATAAAAATCATTAATATATTAACCAAGATAATTTATGCACAGTATTTCACAAAGTGTCTTGTTTAGAGTACGTCCTCACTAAACAGCATACATTAATACTGATAATAGACCAATTAGTTTTTCTTTATTTTGGGAGTACTGGCTCTCCGAAAAGAGTAATGACTTAGGGAATAGATTTGGTTCTGCTAAATGTACAAAAATCAAGAAGTCTTAGTTATTATTGTATCTGGTTTCAAAAGAAAGGAGACTGGATCAACCATTATAAAATAATAAAATATTTGGCATTTATAAGTTGGGCATTCATAAGTTTCAATAAATATTTTTCTTTTTTATATGAACAAAATATTTTAAGTGCCTTATTAGTATTTTAATGTTAAATTTATATTTCTCTCTTGTTATTGGCTAATTATATATATATACACACACACACAGACATGTACGCATACACACATATATACTAACATATACACACAATGCTAAAATTAATATTTAGAATTGTTATGGATTCTAATCTTTCTCTGATTACATATAAATTAGGTTTCTAGACACTGTTTTTTTATTGTAGGTTTCAATATTTCTTCTCTATTGAAATTGCTCTAAAGAACTTTAGCTTTTTTAGTTACTAGAAGGGCTCAGGTTCTTGAGGACTAAATATGGAAACCTTACAGGGTGGAAAATGGCCATGTGAATTTTGTGTCAACCTTCCACCCTTGTGGCATCATTAGATTCTGGTCCAGTTCTGATTTATGTCTTGTATGAGAAATCAAATGCTCATTGATGCTTTTTCAATAACTTGGCACATTTTGGGCAATTTCTGTGGGGGTGGCTAAGAATACATTTGGACACCTAGATTGATTGGTAGAAATAAGTCTCTGGATATGCTACAAATAAAAAAAATATGTGTTCTTTATCAAGCCAGTACCATTTGCCCAGGCCAGCCCAGACACAGGCCAAACGTGTTCTCATGCATGTTGACTTTAGTGTGTGGAATAAATTTTCTAAGACATTGAACAAAGTATTTTTGTTACTAGTTTATTAGAATGTTTCCATATTCAGGTATAGTTTGGAATGGCAGGGGAAATTGGGAGAGAATTAGTTTCACGGGCTTTCCGTGATTGGTTCTAAAATACACGTTGCCAAACACCTCTCCTCTACCACCACCGGTTGTACAGAAATATTTTATAATTTCTTCTTCCACATTCTTCTTGAATTTCTAAACATCCCTTAGTTTTGATTCTGCTGAAAGCATTTTGACCAAGTCACATTCTCCACAACAAAATTGCTGGTATACGTATAGTTTGAAATCTCCAGTATCTGATATTGCTTATCACGTCTCTGTAGAAATCAAAGCATAAGTATAAAAGAAGGAAGATAGTATATTTTCTACTTCTTGAGTTGAAAAATTAGGAAAGTTATCTATTTTTTAAATCATTTGTCTTTAGTTGGTTTTCCCCTGTTTCCATTGTTCCTACTTTTAATTTTGTTATAGAGTCCATTTCAAAAGATATTTCTTCTTCCCTGCACTTCTACCCTGCATTAAATATTTATAAGATCAGCTAAGTGTCTCAGGGAAAACATGGCTTTGTGAAAACAAGAACATGGCTAGTAGCAAAAGCTGACTCTGATTTCAAATATTTGTCTTTATTTTAAAACTACTCAATTCTGAGTTCTTGATCAATAATACTTGATTTGGACTCATCAAAACTAACTATACTTTTGGGAAATGTAGTCACATATTAAAAATATAGTGGCTTGAATAAGTAATCTATTACAAAATTAAACTGTAATTCTAAGATGTATTTAACATTCAGGAAGACTTCCATAAGACTACTTCCAATTTTTACAACTTTCAGGGCTTAAGCAGTATTAAACACGTGCTAGATAAATAGAGTCTGTTCTCAGGATTTACAAGGATCAAATATCAGTAGAACAAAGTTCCTCCCAATTTGTGAACTTAAGTCTGTTAGAAAGTAATAAATGTCTTTATAGCTGTGGATAAAGATCCATTCCTATACTGACATGATCTAGCAGAGGGTATAATCAAATATACATAATTGGAGTGTTTTGTCAATAAAGTGAAATAGGGAGAAATCCTGAACATCCCTCCTGTCTGAAGCTCCCTAATCCATTAAGCACTGAAGGAGACAGAAATATGGAGAAATGCTCACTTTTGCTGAAAGGCACTGCTTTTCCTGCCCTTTCTATAAAAGACAGTTAAGCGATGATGGGATAATTCAGGGTGGTTTTCTGCCTCCTTTTGGTCCACTTACCCCTGGAATGCAAATGTGAATCTTCCTCCACCTAAGAAAATAATAAACTTAGGTCTTTCTTTCTCCCTACACTCCTCTTCTTTCCCCATTTTTCCCTCATCCTCTCTTCTTTCTCTTCTGCTTCCTTTATTCTTCTTTCTCCTCCCCCTCTTTCATCTTTTCTTCCTAAACACCTTTTCAGGAGTGAATCTCCTCTATTACTTGTTGGGATAAACAATTTTTTATGTCTATACATAGAAATGATAGCTTCAGAATTAAGGAAAGATAATTCATTTAAATGGAAATGAAATACATGCTCATGTGTGTTTTCTTAACAATCACAATAAGTGCTATCTTAAAATAAAATCCCACTAATTACTTAGGCAAATCTAAAATATTTATTCATGTTTTACAGAAGATCATAACATTTTATCCTTTTGGAGGTTCACAAGAGCCATTCATCTCTTTCTTCAATTACAGAAATTATTTGACTTTTGAGATACTGCTTCCCTAATAAAAATAGAGAAGGTGATTGCTTAGAAAATTCTGAAACTCATATTTTGCCAATGTTTTATCGTACTGCAATTATATGAGGTAATAAAATGGACTCTAATTCACCCCTTATTTTGATGGCTTGTAAATTCAAACACATGCAGTTGTGGAAGAATAGCTGTTATACCACAAGATTGATTCTGTTATACTGAACACTGCTAGAGTAGATATTATACAACAAGGAGATTTTATATAAATACCTTATGTCTACTCTATAGCTTATGTCAAGCAATTATTAAACATTTGTATTAAATATATTGTCTTCTTATCAGCACATATCTAATAACTCCAGGGAGAGATGTAAAGAACTGATGACTTTTCTCAATTTCCTGTGTACCAGGTGATCTAGATATAAAACCCCAGTGAAGTTTATTGAAGAAGGTAGTGTTGGCTTCATAATACAAATGGGTAAACTGAGGTTCACAACATTTAAGTAACTTGCCCAAGATCACATGTCTAGTAAATGGCATAATCAATCAGCCCAAATTTAAATCAGATGATATTCCAACTACCCCACATTAGCTAATGGTTATAATGAGAGTGTATCAAAAGCAACAAGGCACAGTATTGGTCAAGTATGTCTTATATCCTTAGTGACATAGGATACCCCTGCCAATGTTACCCTTCTCAATAGCGTTGCATTTCTTGAAAGTCTTTTATCTTAAAAGTTGTATGTGGATTTTCAACTTTATGTTTTTATTTTAAAAAATAAGATGTGATGTTATTTTTCAAAGCTCAAAACTATGTTTACCCTATAAGTTACATGCCTCCTGGGCCACATATTCATTTTTAAGAAGCAGAGAATTATGATGACATATGGATTTCAGGACCTCTGAGGGAACTTGCATGGGGGGACCATTAATATTGTATGTGCAAACGGTAATGCCTAGAAGTGTGTGGTGTGTAATCTATGAATCCATATGCATCAGTACTGACAATATTAGGACCTGTTACAAAAGTTACTACACTGGAGAGAGTTCCAAATTTGTCATGTTTACCAAGATATGTCCAACACCTAGCAGGATGACTGGTCAAATTAAATGCTTAATTAATATCAGTTGATTGAATAAACTATTTCAGAGTCACATGATATAACACAGATTAAGACAAATTTGTGAGATGTATTACAGTGCTCGTATTTTGTTCAGTGAGATATATTGGTCTCTAATCTTTAATTCAATTCATTTTACCCTATTTAAAATTTTCAGGTTATACATTACAGGGAATTGGGATATGCCTAATGAATACATGTGATGCTTAAGTTTCTTTTTGTTTAACATTGTAAGAAAAAACAAAGAAAAGGAAAAATAGAAGCGATAATATAATATCTGGGGATTTTCAGATATTAGAGTATAACTGTTATAGAGGAAGACATGGTAAGATGAAGGCAGGTCCTTGAATCAGGAAAGGAAAGGTTTATAATGTTTTGAAAGTGCTAAAAAAAAAAAAAAGCATATCAATGCAAACCATCTAACAATAATGATCCAGCCAAGTACTAACTACTTAACTGTACAAATCTTTTAACATAGTTTATGGGAAACACTTTTAATGGAAGCATATTCTTGTTTAATAAAGGACATCAATGAAGAAATATTTTGCTTTCCAGACATCTTTTTGAATCAAAACTGTTACCTATAAAGCATCTTTACTTTATAGAGACCTGAGTGAA
Organism: Homo sapiens; assembly: GCF_000001405.40. Lineage (NCBI taxonomy): Eukaryota > Metazoa > Chordata > Mammalia > Primates > Hominidae > Homo > Homo sapiens. Next base: position 212,300,903 of record NC_000002.12, on the reverse strand, counting down.
GCACATGTAGAGGTATTGCGGTATTTTTCTAAAATTTATCTTTATAATGTCTGAGTGAAACAGACAGAATTAGTGATATTTGCACATTAAAGGGATACGTTTACGCAAGAGTCAAAAACATTAAGATTCGAACGCAGGTTCTCTTAGTCCATTGTTAATGGTTCATCTAAAAATCGAGGTAGTTCTATCACCCTTATGTTTTGAGCATCTCATGAGATAATATAGTAGATATATTTAACTCTGGCCCCTTGTTTGTGGTGAATAAGTGGTTCCCGTCACCCCACTCCTCTTATCACATCTCGATTTACTGCTTTCTTAGTTTTTAGTCATTATTCAAAACAGTTTTCTTGATATTTTTTGTAGGCTGGGATATTTTAAAAAGCTAATCAAAGTTAAGGACAGTCTCACAAGAAAAATTCAGACGTACTACTCTACTTAAAATTTTAGGGTCACATTTGTGAAGCTCTTGCTTAAAAAACACGCGAACCCTGTGTAACAACATATATGTTTTATTTAATAGTCCTATTTATATTTGACTGCTTAGATTGGTTTTATGTAATTGACAGTGTTTTAAAATGTTAAAATCAAGAGCATGTGAATATGGGTCACACACACAAAATGAAAGAAAGCATAGTGTGCAAGTTGATATTCTCAGGGGACTGTTCAGCAGAAGGGTACAGTGTTAGATGTAATTTGTTTATTGACAATCTCCAACAATGGTTCAGTGAACCAGCAAACACCACAAAAGTAATGAATCCTTTCCTCTTTTAAGTAATTATATGTGAACAGTTCAAATTAACCTGTGGTTTGAGGCTACTGCTTGGGCGAACTAATTCGCTGATGTAATGACTTTTCTCATTTTTGCTTCAATGATTTAGGTAACAAGGGAGGGGGAAATGAAAATGTGGGGCTATGAGTTTATATTTTAGTGAAAAGATTTGCTGTTTTCTGTGAGTCACATTTGAAGACTATCTCCAACTGATTTAATGTAGGACAGGGTAGTTAAAATGTCAAACTTGAAACAAACAAAATTTCTGCCGTGCTATGCAGCAGTATTATGCACAAAAGAAACTGAATTGAAAGAGATAGATAGTTTGTGAAAAACTATTATAAAGATTCACCAATCTTTTTCAAACAACAGACTGCTGTTTGGTTGGCTATCGCTGCTCATTAGTGCTTGAAATCTGTTTCCAGGGGCCTGCTGCTTATTCTGATGCCTAAGATGGTGATACCATGCTGGCATTATATGGGCTATTATTTCTAAATAATGCTATATCATTACCTCTGTGTCCCTGCCATTATTATATATAGATATTCAGTAATGAGACTCAAAGGAAAATCTCAGGGGAAGGTTTCACAGCACCTAGGACAGTTCCTTTTACATGGTCGACACTCAAATATTCGTGGAAGAAATACATGCATTTAATGAGAATGTATGCCTTTTTATATGGTTTCTAAAACAATGAGTACTTTACATACTTTTTCGTATTACATATTTGTAAACAACTTAAACCTTCCCATAAATTGTTTCTTAAAATTGAGAAGATAATCATTGCATTCTTCAAAAAGGGATTGGCCAGCATTAATACCAATATTAGGATTTAATGAACCATAATGATTCCAAAATGTATGGCAAAAGTAATTGGTGTCATTATGAGCTGTGAGCTCCTGCCTCATTTATAATGTAGGGAAGCAGTGTAGCATGTTGGTCTGATTTGTTAGTCATTTCTTGTATTATTGTCTGTGTGTGATCTGATACATGCCTCACTCTTTTGGTCTGTGAGATGGTATCAGTAATTATAATACTTAGCTCACAAATTATAATGAGGGTTAAATGAGATAATTTATATAAAGCCTTTAACTCAGTGACTGACACTTTAAAAACTGAGCTCACAATAAATATTAGCTATTATTATGATAATTATTATCATGTAAAGTATTTCACAATGAAAGAGAACTTGCTATATAATACATTAGACTATTATTTCCAGATGAAGAAAATGACATGTAACTATTTGAGGTAATTATTCCTCCCAGTTTTGAGGGCTTCTTTAAACTTTGGTTTATCTGATATTTACTATATCCATTAAAATGCTACTCACCTAATTTCTGTCTCAACAAAAAAATCATTTTGCTATTGCGTCTGATTTCATTGTATCTTGTGGAGGCAGCTCTGCAAAAAGCATGTTCTTTAATTCCTTTGGTGAAGCTCTTAGTAAATGTTTTGCATATGGAAAGGTTCTAAGTGAGGATAATGAGAAAGATTAAAGATGGTAGTATCTTAGACATGAGAGGTAGTGAGTTCCTCAGGTAGTGTAAAATAGGGAAGAAGTACTACTCTTGTCTTGCCTACAGTGAGCTTCTTGAAAGGACTCTGCAGACTTGACAGGGGCTGAGGACTAGTTATGACAGTTCCTCAGGGAAAACTATTTTCCAATAAGAGAAGCTACTCTGGAGTTTTTCTTTCTCTGAAAGAAAAATTTTCATAGCCATAGAATATTGTTTTTTAATTCCTAACAGCAAAGTTAGAAAATAGCAAATATGCAATTTTTATCTTCTGAATTAGATGATACAGAAAGATAAACAAATCTGTGATTGTATTTATTCATGATGTAAAGCACATACAAAGCATTTCACTCCATGTAGAAACTGATCTTTTTTTACTAGATGGTATAGAATATGATTGATCTTCAAGCAGCATAAAAGAACATTAATGAAAAGTGACAATGTTCTACCTAGAGCAGTCCAATTGTTTTTTAAGTTCTTTATGATTTGTTCAGTTTCCAAAAGATTCTTGTTAAAAAGAACTATTAGTGAAAACAAATTGTAGTAAGATAATAATACATTTTACTCAATATTTTACATTTCAAACAAAACATAATTAAAGCATCAGATTTCAGCACTGTCTTCCATCTTCAAATAAGAAAATGTTCTTACTTATTTGCTATTTCATTATTTTTATGACTATATTGAACTTACTTTATTTCAAAATTCAAATATTTTTACATTGAATTTGCATTTATCAGTTTTTCATGTAGTATTTTGAGGAAGTTTGGTCAAAAATATCTTTATAATAAATAATGGACTCATTGCTATTGGTCATTTGATATATACAATTACATTAACTTAAAATTAGATTTGAGTATGCATTATATACACCCTTTTTCATCATCTTTCTAGGTTTTCTGGAAATATTTACTTTATTTGAGATTATTAAAATATTAGACATGTTTATCTAAAAACTGTAAGTAAAAGTTTATTTTTTAGTAGCCAGTGATCAAATAATGTTTTGTTTGATCTTTCAAGTCTTTCTGTGTCTTTCATTCAGGTTTATCCTTTGCAAAATGAAAATATTAGCTTTAGATATATTATCCCTTTATAAAAAGCTTATGTGTCTTTTAGTGTTATAACATTTATGACCAAATGAATTATGAATTGTTAGCTTTAAGAAACAGGCAAAACTGGATCACATATATACCATCGATTTAATCTGCTTTTATCACAAAGGTTACATTAATGTTTAAAAATGTCAATTTTGGCTAGGGATGAAGAACTAGAAATGTAATCCAACAACAAATCGTTCTTTGTTCCAATGAAGTGGTTTTTGTGCAAACATGTACCATACACACACATTAATTTTAATTGAAAGCCAAAACTGTTTTATTGGATAATCTAAAGTGGATTATGTATTGCTACCAATTAATTTTAAGGCCACTTCTTATACAAAAATAGTGATCTTTATAAATATTTGTATACTCAATAAATGATAGTAGTCCTAAATTTGTACTCAGATGTGAATAATACCACATTTGTAAGTTGACTTAAAATTCTGAAATGATGCTTCATCAGACAGGGTTCTTGTATAAAAGAGAGTTTAACCTCGAGTTATGAGCCTGGGAGGGAAAAAAATAAGGGACAGTGAAGAAGGATTAGTAGCGTTGGTGAGTCATTACCACCCTTCAGGCTGACCAGTCCAAGGAGAGTTGAAATCATGAAGGAGAGTCTATCTGGAGAGAGCTGTAGTTTTGAGGGTTGCAAAGACTTAGGATGGAGTTGGTGGGTGTGGTTAGTCTCTAAGGTTGATTTTGTTCATAAATTTCATGCCCTGAATGCCTTGCTTGCCTCACCCTGGTCCAAGCCTTAGTGAACACCTAAAAGTCTCTGTCTTCTTGCTCTCCAAACTTCTCCTGAGGATTTCCTCAGATTGTCTACATTCAGATTGAAGCCAGTTGGCAAACAAGATGCAGTCCAGAGGGTCAGCCTGCAGAGTTATGGCGCAAGGCAGATAATGGACTGGGGAAGGGAGTGTGCAAATTATCTGTTATAGAGGCAGAGAGAGAGAAGAGGATGGAGAGGGTATACTGATTTAATTCTGTTATCTTGAATATATTAATTTTGATATTCCTCCAAATGCTAATATATGACCTTGAAATAGTTCTTTACATTACTGAAGAACTGTTATATATGACACTACAAATTGAATATGTCAATGTCTTTTTTTTTTAGATTAGAAGCAGATGAAATTCTCTCATTGGAAACCACCCTCTACTTTCTCCTTGATTAGTTTCCTTGTTCCTTTCTATAATTCTCCTATATTATCCCAGGCATATTTATTGGTAAATAGAAATTAGTAGAAAGCTGCACGGACTCTACAATATCTGTCTGGCCCTCTCTCATGCTTCAGTCTTCATCAAGTCTGAACACTGACCATCATGGTGTTCCCTATGATTGCTAATACATCATTATAGATTAAATTTATAAAGTACCTAATATAGTGCTGCTTCACCTATCGAATGCTCAATGAATTACATATTGATTGAGTTGTCAAGTGATTATCCAAGAAGTTCTTACAGAAAGACAACAGAGCTTGATCAATCCTGGGATCATCTAATTGAGATAACCTCAAAAAACAAATTAAAAACAAAAATAAAACAACAAAACATTAAGAGTTAACTGCATGAAATATGGCTTTGATGAATGGCTGGCAAAAACTTTATTACTAAGCAATTTAAGTTTTATGTTCTCTGCTTTCTGGCTAAAATTCACGTATTTATTCTGATTGGAAACATGCATACAACATTTAAATCAAAGAATCAAAGATTGTCCAAATGTATCATTTGCCTACGTCACAGTAATGCAGCTGCCATTTACTGTGCAGCTACTATGTACTTGTTACTTTACATATATTATTGCTAATCCTTCTAACATCACTGCAGCATCACTGTGATTCACAAATATTAAGTAACTGGTACAATACCATAGAACTAGTAAGCAACGGAACAGGAATTTGAGCTCAGGTTTACTTGACTCTAAAACCCCTGTTCTTTCCACTGTGTCGTGATGTCAGTAATTTGGCGGCATAGTGTACAATAATTTGTGTGTGTGTATGTGTATGAAAGAGTAAGTGCATATGCATACGTTTTCTTTTCATTTGAAACAGAGAGAAACATGAAGATAATATAATCAGTGAAAATTCTTTGAGTTGAAGTTTTAAATTTTGAGGTTCAAAAATCTGTGTCATTTGAACACAGAAATTCCACTATAGCTGTGTGATCAACATATATGTCTTCTCTTCATTTTTTGTGGTTTTGTGAGTCACATTTCTTAATGTGCTGAATTTGTTTCTTATGGGTGCTTTGAGTAATTTTTTATTAGGTAGAGATTGATATTTAAAAGAGTTCTATTATGTAAATAGCAATATTTTAAAAGCAAGAAGTCACCCATGCATTGAGGACATCAATATATCAGACTTTTAATTGACAACTTGCAAGACCTGCTTGTGATTTATAGCTCGATTACAAACTCTGTTTCTGCTCTGCCAATGGAATTGGCAATATTTTTTCAGTCCAGATGGTGCATTAGCCTTGGCCAGCTGGTTCTCCCTATGCTGCCTCATCACAAGACCATACAGCAAATATTACCACGTATGACCCAGTTCAGTAGGTAATATGGCAAAGGCTTCATGCCTGGCTTTGCCCTCAGGGCATATGGAAGTGAACCTGAATGAGATTTATGCATCCAAGATTTTACACTCTATCAAACCCCCTACAGTCATTTGCTTTCCTGACTTGACTTTAGAAGCTGTTTCGAGTAGGCAAATAGAGCTGTATTATTTATATATAAGGTGTTTTAAAATTTGGTTATAGTATACTTTTTAATTATCATATTTTAATCATTTTTCTAACTTTAAGACAATTTTAAAATTCTAGGCAGTATTAAACATTTTGGAATTTTAAAAAGTAAATTTTTGAAGAGTTTTTTATATTGTAAGTATAGTTTTGATAGAACAGATTTATAAAAGAAGCTGTTTCTGACAAATTTTAAAGCGATACAACTTTTCATAGAGTGATTGACAATAGCTAGTAAGAATTATAATTTACAGGTTGAAATACAGTTTTGTATATATAATTTCAGTATAATTACTCTGATTTTAATATTTAAGACAAAATATTATTAGACAAAGTGAGATGAAACAAGAACAACAACAACAAAAATCAGATGATTGACTCCAAATAAAATCCCTCTTTGAATATATTTAAGATTATTTGGGTAGAAATAGAGACACGAATTTCTCAGTTTTAGTGTACTTTTTGTTTTATCTCTAATATTTACTATTTCAAATAAAATAAATAGGCAATCCATAAAATGGTTTGCATGTTGGATGCTTCTACATAGTTTTTCCATTGGAATGAATTGTGTAATAAAACCTTGTATTTGTTCCATATTTGTATATTCTTAACAGCAAAATAAAAGTAGAACAGAAATGGTATCCTTGGAAATTAGCTTTATTTTATTTCTATAATGGTATAGTAACAGTAAATGCAAGAGATTATCCTCTTTATTACTTGGTAAATTTAATACTGTTGAAGAAAATATAAATTTTTGTATTTAGTGTCAATTCTGATTCTGATTTTCTAAGGGAACTGGTATAGAAAAATACTTCGTTGACTCTCTCTGGAGAGAGTTCATATTCTCTCTACACACACATATCATCATCATCTTATACACATCATACACTTACAAATGTATGTTTTTTTTTTTTTTGTTTTTTTTTTTGAGACAGAGTCTTCCTCTGTCACCCAGGCTGGAGTGCAGTGGCACTATTTTGACTCACTGCAACCTCCATCTCCTAGGTTCAAGCAATTCCCCTGCCTCAGCCTCCTGAGTAGCTGGGATTACAGGCATGCACCACCATGCCCAGCTAATTTTTGTAATTTTAGTAGAGACAAGGTTTCACCATTTTGACCAGGCTGGTCTTGATCTCCTGGCCTTAAGCAATCTACCTGCCTCAACCTCCCAAAATGCTGGGATTAAAGGCGTGAGCCACCATGCCCGGCCAATATGTATGACTTTCACTCAACTGCATTAGTTAATGTTTATTGAGATGTGAAGAAAATTGTATATGATGATGGTTGTTTTGTATAAATTTTTAATAAGGTTTGTTGTCTGTGTCAGTTTAATGAAGTTTTTTAGAAGGTGATTTGGAGCTATTTTTCTATTATTGAAAGCTATATTAAATTATGAGATCAGATTTTTATTATGGAATATTTTTAATATATGCTACATTAAATTGTGAGATGAGATTTTTATTATGGAATTTTAAAAATATGATTAATATTTATGATTTTTTAAGTAAATGTTTTTCTGAAATCCTTTTTATTAATCTTATACAATGAGCAGCTCCCACATCATAAGTTAAAAAAATACTTATATGCTTGGAAATATATTTAAGTAGATTTTTTTACTTCTTAGGTCTTCATTCATAATTTTTGTCAGCTAATGCTTGAGTTTTATTTATTTAAAAATTGTTCTAGGTTATTATGTGGAGCTACTGTCAGTAGATTAGGCTTTATTTGTAGTTTGGATTGCTTTGTTTTTATAGCTTCTTCTCATTTATACCCATTTATATTTTCATTTCCTGGGAGTTACACATTTGTATACTTATAATAAGAGTCCTTGGGACCATTTATTTTGTTGATTTGATTTCAGTTCACTACCTTGCATTTGAAAACTGAAATAGAAAACAATCTCTTCTTGTTGAATTTTAGATACATTTTTACTTGACCTATTAATTGATACATGAACTTTCAATGGTTCTCTGGTTTATCTTTCAATTTCACGCAGAAAGCGTCAAAATGTCTACTAGGCTAAACAACTTTTCACTAATCTTTTTGTCTATTCATAATACAGTGCCATAATCCATAATCCTTTTGCATTAATGGTCATCAAAAGCATCAACAATCTGAACTGTTTGCTGCTGTGTACTTATAATTAAATATAACTGTGTTTTTTTCCTGTTACCCAATTTACTTTGTATTTTTCATAATTTTTGATATTGGTTGATTTTAGATCTAAACTAATTTTAATAGAGATATTAAGGCATCCTTGATTATGTCATTACTATTTTTTATCTATAATTATATCACTAAAGGTACTAGAAATTAACTGCAATATTAATTCTGGAAATTGGTAGAAGTGGAGCATTCAGAGATCATTGAACTAGTAGTGAGGATTCAATTCTTGTTACACATCTGCCAGTATTATATTCTGATGTTTAGCAAAATATTTCACTTCTCTGAGCCTCATTTTTTATGTATAAGATGAAAAGGTTAGGAAAGATCTTTTTTTAAGCATCTTTCCAATTATCAAATAGAAGTGTGATTTAAAATTATACTTTAAAAACATATACAAAAATCTTTATGCCAGAGGCATTTTTGGCGGCTAGAAATCATAAGTAGAAGTCAGAAGAGGTGTTTGATAATGGAGAAAGTTGGATTTTCTGACTTAAAAATTGTTTCAGTTTTTCAGAAAAAAATTTAAAAAAAGCAAAACTAGCTTTTTTTCAGAAATGTTTTTCCAGAATTACAACCAAAGGCATTAAGGATTATAGTCATTCAACCTCAGTTCTTTCATCTGTATAACAGATATGATCTAATTCATAGTGTAATGATTAATTGTAACAGTCCACAAACTACAAACTGTTCCTTTTTCTGAAATTTCTTTTCTTCCCTACAATTGTTCTGAAAGAGCCTAATAAAATATTTTTGAAAAATAGAGTTATACATCCTGCAACATTTAAGATGTTATGGGTACAGTGCTATCAGGAATTTGCTATATAGTCTGTTAAATTTGATTTCTCTGGCTAAGTATTCAATTTAAATTAGTATATGGTTATAAATATTCAGACTTTGTAACTCAGAAAAACCCCAAAAATCTCTAATGTTCATCAAATGATTATTTTTGAGCACCTGCTTTGTGTCCAGCATTGTGCTACAGATGACATCTAATTAATTTACTTCCATATAAAAGAAAGAAAAAATATGTATATTTACAGAGATAATGTTTGAAAGAACAAACTAAATGGCACCTGTGATGCAACTACACAATTAAAGCATGTTTTATCATCCTTGCACAAATGGGTCTAATTTAGCATTAACAACAAAATTAACTTAATTTTAATGCAAATTGTTCACTTTCCATTAAAAATATCTAGTAAAAAGACTTTTTAAAATACATGATAGGATTATGCTAAAGCTGATTAAAATATATTCAGGACTATCAACTTATATAACTGTTCGTTAGAATCATTTGTACTTCTTCTTTGTTATTTAGTATAGTCTATAGGAAGTATTGTTGCCATGGGCTATAGGAACACTTGCCATGAGTCTATAGGAAGTGTTGTTGCCTTAAACTTGTCATGGGCTGTGTTAAAGTTATTTCAATGTTAAATATGCTTGGAGAGATATGGGTGTTATGACTTGACGTTCACATACTCTGCCTACATTGCTGAGGCACAGCTCCTTTTCCCATAGTAAGTTCCCTACTTTATTGGGCAATGTGTGTTGGTAGAGGCCATATTTGGAAGAAGTAGCCATAGAAAACATACATAGGTATGGAAACAGTTGCCTTGTCTCTGGGGTCTTGTGTAACTTTTAACTAAATTAATATTTTTTACACACTAAAACACACACTCACAATCATTGTGGCTGTGTTTTTCAATCTTGTTCCGTTAAACTATAAGCCCAATGAGAATAGACATTTTTTTTTCTCCTTTGATTTTCTTTGCTCTTACACTGGCTGGCATAATGCCTACTGCATGGTATATGTTCGTTATTTGTTTTTTTACATTGAACAGAATGTCACATATTTTCTTTTTTAACTTAAGTAATCCAATATGTGATTTCTCTACTCACACATCACTTGCATGTGTACGTGCACACACGCACACACACACACACACGAAAAGAAATATAGTATAGTATGTGATACGTGACTTAGCGATTATTGGCCTGTTGCTATGGAAAATGCATTGCACTAGAAAATAAGAGATCTTGTCCCACTAGAACTCTTTCACTAATTAGCTATGTGCCCTAAGGAGCTTCCCTTCCCTAGGGCACAGAATCTATTGCTATTAAACAAGAGAGATTATTTCTTCCTTCCACTGAAGTCTGAATCTAGAATTTTTAGTTTACATTCTGGATTTTAAATTTGTAATTTCTTTCACTTTGTCTTTTGATGTGGTAAAGACTACTTCATATATATATCACACAATGCTATGTACTACTGTGTGTATACATATATATCTGTACACGTAGAAGTCGTTGGAACGATACTGGTCAGACTTACAGTGGTGGCTTTGTGGACAGGAAAAGAAGGAAACAGAACAATCTACAGATGTCAAAAAGAACATTGTTTTATTCCCCACTCTTTGCCTTTAAAAAATATAAAACTACATGTATGATTTCTGTAGTTAAAAGAATACAAATATGAGAATATTAAGGCTGAAACATGCTAATTTAATGCTGGGGAAATAAGTGTGTGTTATATTTCTTTTTTCTGCTGAAAAATACTAGGAATTTTACTATATAAATTATTGGCTCTTAAACTTAAATATGACATTTTTATAATAAAGTATTTAGACATATGCTACGAATAGAGGAGTTGTTTTCCTTATATTTTCATATTACTTCTGCAAGGCTGAAAGATTTGGTATCAGTTAAATCTATAAAAGCTGTACTATAGAGAATCTGAATGACATTCAAGACAGATTTCAGGATGACATAATTTGAGAATACTCTGTGCAATTAAGTTTTTTGTTTTTTCAAAATAATTCTACTTGGGGAAAGTAAGGGAACAAAAAAGCCCCAATAATATTGCCACCTCTTTTCTTCCTTAAAACTTTGTTGTAGTGGTTTAAATCCCTAGCTACTAACTGCCCTTCCAGTAGCCTAAATTCTGCCCTCAGATACTCATATAGAATTCCCATTGAGCCCAATTCTTCTGTTCTCCTTCAGGCAAAAACTTCCTTTGAATTTAAACTGTCTCATTCAGGTACTATGTTAATAGACACCAGAGATGCACAAAGAAACACAGTAAATAAAAGTTTGCTTGTATAAGCATGGCTGACTCAGGATCTTGAAATATTGCAAGAAATAACCTATAAAGAGATTTAGGCAATTATAAAATCTGGATTAAATATTTACTAACCAAGAATTTCTCATGAATCATTCTAATCTGCTGAATGTAACTTCTTTTAGTGAGAGTAACTGCCAAAATATCAAAAGATCCTTTAATTATCAGGTATTTGAATCCAGGAGTTCTCTGCTTAAAAAGAATACCAGTTACCAGACTATTGTATGAGTATTTAAAAAATCAGGAAAAGCAGCAAAAACAGATTTCAAAGTTATTATATTCATTTTAAAAAAGTAGATTCTTGAAATTAATATTAGTGGAAAGCAATATTTCAAACTACACCCATTTCATTTATAGTATATGACGAATTATGTAGCCACGGCTGGCCTTAGGGAAACTTGGGGCGTAGGTAGTTCTTTCTGGTGTTCTGCTTGGCTGTGTTGTCAGGAGGTTTCTTTTTCTCAGTCTCCTAGGGTTGCCCACGGCTTTCTGTCAGTCTGGTGGCTTACAAGGCTTCACACTCTCTATCCTCTTCCAGAACCAAGCCTTTCTCTTTCCTCCCTTTCTTTTAATATATAACATCTGCATCTAGAAAAATGTCCTTGCATTTGATAGCACAATAGATTAAATGAGATACAAATTGGAAATAAACAGGTAGTCTTGGTGGGAAACTCTTTTTAGGTAGGAGTATCATTCCCAGGGCCTTAGATCAAGATCTAGAAGCTATAAAGGGTTATAGTGGTGTTGTAGAACTTTGTCTTTAGTTGAGCTAAAAACGGGGTTCTCGTCACACAACCATGACAAATTAGGCTCACAGACACTTTGAAGGGTGACCAGGACAGGGTTTATTGGATGAAAAGGGAAAGAAGGACTATCAGCAAAGCGAGAAGCCGGCTAGCCAGTTTTCCACCTCGCACACTGAATTCCAGGTTACTATGCTGCAACAGGAGAGGCCAGGCTCCTCCCCACTGCAAAAGGCGTGAACTTCCTGAGGCTCCACCCCAGTGCGCATTCCTCCCAGTGCTCAGGCCTGTGGGAGCTTCTGCCAGGGAGCCCTTTTTACTTGGCTGTCTCAGTAGTAGTGACAGTGATGTTAATAGTATGTTCGTGGTTCCTCAAGCACACTAACATTTTCCTTAGATAGAGCCCTCGTAATATTTTCTCTCCTTGAAACACTAACCTATTCTCCTTTTGCCATTGTCCCGTGTGCCTCGCGGTATTAGCATTGTGGACACTGAAACCTAGTCTAAACTAGCACAAGCAAAGGGATTTTCTTGACTCACAAAATGAAAGTCCAGGAGCATATTAGGCCTTAAGCACAGATAGATCCAGGGCTGAAACCATGTCTCATGTCAGCAGGACACTCTTACTATCTTAAAATCTCAACTCTGATTTTCTCTCTTCTCATCTCATTCCTTTTCTTTTTCTAACATTTATTTTAAGTTCTGGGGTACAAGTGTAGGTTTGTTACACAGGTAAACTTTTGTAACGGAGGTCTGTTGTACAGATTATTTCATAGCCCAGGTATTAAGCCTCGTGCCCATTAGGTGTTTTTACTGATCCTCTCCCTCCTTCCATGCTCCACCCTCCAAAAGGCCCCAGTGCGTGTTGTTGCCCTCTATGTGTCCGTGTGTTTTCATCATTTAACTCCCACTTATAAGTGAAAACATGTTAAGTATTTCATGTTAGTTTGCTCAGGATAATGGCTTCCAACTCCATCCATGTCCCTGCAAAGGACATAATGTCGTTCTTTTTTATTGGCCTAATTCTTAGGCAGTCTTTTCTGGAATTGTGACAGAAAAGGTTCAAAGCAGTTATTTTTTTTCATATTATATCCATAGTTGTGTTTTTATTGCAAAGAGCACGCCTCTTACTGGATACCTCCTATCACTATTGATAGGGAAATAAGGTCATCTCATTGACTAGCGATGAAGCCTGTTAGGTTACCCCCTGTTTGGAGTAGGCAGAGGGATCAGTTCACAAGAATCTTTTGGAGCAGATTCATTTTAAAACATAAAAAATTATGTTAATAGAAAGGTGAACAAAAAGCATATTTGAGAGGCAAAACTATGGCTACTACTGTTTGTGACAAAAATTATCAAAAGTTATACTTACATATGGGTTTCTGTCTGTCTTCTCACCTATAGCTCTGTGAAAAATAAGTGTTGCTCACTGCTGAGTACTCTTACAAGTGTGACTGGCTGGGGCTGGTGTTGCCGGTGGTAAAGGAATTTACCAAGACAGTTGTAGGGGGAGAAAAATAAAGGCACATTTATTAGAGAAAGTATGAAAATTCATTGCAAGGGTGCAATATGTAGCACTACAGAGAAGGGGCTGTCTGCAAAGAGGCAGGGGCTGGAGGGAAGTTTTATAAGGTCTTCTGGAGGGGGCTACATGCTGATCGAGGTTGTGCCATTTGGGCTACCTGTGGAGCAAGGTCGTTGTGTCAGCGCGTTGTTTATGGTTACTTGTCTCTCAGAACAATTGTTCTCTCCTACCTTGGGCCCCTCCCTGGTGGTTATCAAGACTCCACAAATATCCAGTGCCTCTTGCGCTTTAGGATATATATTAAGAAGTCACTGGCTGTGCACGGTGGCTCACGCCCGTAATCCCAGTACTTTGGGAGGCAGAGGCTGGCGGATCGCTTGAGTTCAGAAGTTGGGGAACAGCGTGGGCAACATGGCGGAAATCCCGTCTCTACAAAAAAAAAAAAAAAAAAAAAAATTAACCCTCATGGTGCCACCCGCCTATAGTCCCAGCTACTTGGGGAGCTGAGGCAGGAGGATTGTGTGAACTCAGGAGGTCAAGGCTGCAGTGAGTCGAGATTGCCCCATTGCACTCCAGCTAGGTAACAAAGCGAGACTCTGTGTCAAAAAAAAAAAAAAAAAAAAAAAAAAGTCAGCACTTATGTAATCATCTCATTTAATCTGAACAACTTTAATATGCATTTTCTCCATTGTAAAAGAGAAAACTGAGGCTCAGAGAGGTTATGCAACCCATCTATATTTATATTTTATATGTATTGTGTCCAGATATAACACAGAGATACCTTTTTGAAAAAGTTACTGAAGTTGCTTTTATAAATGTTATGGGTAGTACAGAAACTTATGTGGGTCTAGAAACTTTGATGTGTTCACTGAATTTCAAATTCGTTCAATATACTTATTATGAATCACTAAGGTTTCTTGTAGGCCCACTTAAAATATTTGTACTGTTTTAAAAAATAATTTCCTTCTGATATTGGTTGTATTTCATAATAATAATGTTAATGTTTAATGCTTCAGTAAACCGTAAGAACCAATGTAATAGTAGTTAGCTGCCTGTTTTGTTAACAAGTAACCCTGAATTAATATGTACCTCTTGCTTTGAAATCTCGGTCTCAGTAAGATTTGAAGTGATTATGAGGAGACACTCAAGGGAGCCAACGTGTAACTCATGTTGCCCATTATGACATTTGACTATATCTGTGTCGAATAAATGTCCTTAATGCTATGTAAAGGACAGAAAGATAAACAATCATGTCAAATCATACATATAATATCTAGCCAAGCCATTGACCCAAATCAAAACATATGTAGAAAGAAATAAGGGGCCTATCATCCAAGAAATTTGTTTTGATATCTATTACTGGGTATTTTTGAGCCTGAATATTAGAGAGTCTAGAGTTATATAAAATCTATTCTACTCGAATACCAAGCTGTATATTGTAGGTATGGCTAGGTATTGATGCAAATTCTTACTTTATAAATCAATTTTTGATGCTCAATTTTTTTATAATTTTTCCTCCTCTTAAAATATTGTAAGTCCTCATTTTTAACAAACTGAATATCTGTTATTGACTTTGCATTCCATATATTTGTCATAATCATTTTTTAGATTTTTAATCCAGGTTGACTTCGTAACTAGCATTTGGGACCATATATATTTTCATTCCTGCTCAAATAACTGGCTTACCACCTAACCCACTACTCTATTCAGTCTTCCCTTGAATTTTGTCATTATGGCAAAAGAACTGTGTGAAGTTATTAGCAATTTTGGCTACAGTCTCTCTTAGAATGTTTGTTGTCCTTAGGGACTCACAGCAGGCAAAAAAAAAAAAAATCACAGTCCCCTTCAGCAACCTGTGCTTTTCTGAAATATTGGCTTTGACAAGCCTGCAGGGGTGAGAAATAATTTTGTGTGTGAGGGTTTGCACTTCATGGATGTCTTTCTGAGTTAATTACCAGGAGGAAATGGAAAGAGAGCCATTCTCACCCTTACCTTCAACCACGTGATTATGTGACCATAGTGCTGAATGATTATCTCTGTTTTGGCGAAAGTCTATAACTGAGCCTTCATTTAAAACTGGTACCTGGCACTAATCTGATTGAGTATATTGATCATATTGATGTAAATATCAGACCACCTGGTCTTTCCAAGGCTTCTAATGATATCTTACATCTTGTTTTTATTCGTTTTGAGCTATCAAATTACATTAAGGTTATAAGAGAAACCTGTCTGTCTCTGATGCCCATAGCTACTTGCCATTTGAAGGGCTGCCTGTCAAGATGCTATGTCTTACCTCTCTCCAGAAAGTTCAGCTTAAAACACTGAGGCTTACTGAACTTCTGGACAATTATTTAGTATTCATAAAGAGCTTTTCCGAGAAGATTCTGCCAGCCATCCTGTTATTTGTAAACACCTTTATGCAGTGCTCAAAAATAATGTGGTCAGGTTACAAAGGAAAAATAAAATAACTAAAGAGGAAGAAATACATATTTAACTTATGTTTAGGTATAAGTAAACTTCTAAAGACAACAAGCAAATGATGGTTATGTATTTCATGCTATGGAATACACAGGCAAAAAGATACTCAAATAGTCTGTCAAATACTTCAAAAACATGAGCTAAGTTTAAAGCAGACAGAATATTTGAAGTACACCACAAATGGAAATGCCCCAGAAATCTTTTATCAATTGGGCCTTATGTTCACTCTTGTAATAAAGAGGCTTTTGGAGTTTATATGCCATAGTCTAATAGGTGACTGCTTAATGGGATTTACATTCACTCAAACAAAATTAGGCTGGTAAAAGACAATGCAACATGCTGTAATGTAAATGGGACTGACGGCAGAATTAAATGTTTGTGGAAACAGGGCAGCAGATCTATCAAGAGCTAATTAGACAGAGTTCAGAGGCAGGCTTGGGAGTAAATAGTATCAACAAAGAAAGAAGGAGGGCAAGAATGGACAGAAAAAAGATCTTTTGTGCAGAGAAGAAAAGGAACTATACAAAAGTTATTTAATTAGAGACTCAGATGGAGTTTCTCCCATGAGAAAAACTTATATTCTTATCTGAACCTGTTGATAATATTACGTTGAATAAAAACTTTGATAAATTATTGTGTGTCTAAGTGCTTCTTTGTAATAATTGACTTTAATAGCATTCTCTTCACATAGTAACTGTTCTAGCTATGTTCACTGTACCCAGAAAAAAAATTTTGGAAGTTTATTTGAAGTTTTTCTCACAGAAAGAATAACACAGAAGTTTTGCCAAAATTTAGAGAGTTTGAGGCTTTAGGAAAGAGAAAGGGTAAAAGTGTCAATAAACAATAACAATGAGGAATAACAACTGTGGATTCATTTTAATTAGCATGTGAACAAACATAATATTAATTTTTGAAAACTTCAAATTTTCAACTCTTCACTGTGGTATGTCACTATAGTAACTATTTTTCACCTGAGCCATTGTATAGGGAAAAGGATCTAGCCTTTGGTATAGCTAGGAAACCATTTTGATGAAATAAATCAGGATCTGTATGCTTGATATTCAAAGTAGTAAAGGCTGACTACTTGATACATTTTCTTTTTTAACCTCAAATTCAGCATTTAAACTAGCATTGCATGAATCATTTTCCATTAAAAAAACTTAATGAATATTTTAGGGTTTAAAATTGTTTTAACAAACTCTAAGGGGTGATACATATCTTATTTTGCATGAAACCAAGAGTATATCAGATACATTTCAGGATATTTGCATTCTGCCAGTAATAAACTTTTAATTATAACAAACCTTTCAGTTTGTCAATAATTACTATCTACCTCACAGGGCTATTGTAAGGATAAGGTGCACTAATATATGTGAAAGTGCTTGGGAAATGTGGGATTACCGTACAAATTGTGCCATATGATACCGGAATCTTTATGAGAGACTGTTGCCATGCTGATGGGCATACGGATTTTTAAATGGCAAGTGTTATATTGAGTAATTAAACCCAGCAGTTCAAGTCATACTGATTGCTTTTTTGCCTCCTGTACTACACAAACAAAGAATTGTTCTGTGGGCATGTTCTAGATTGTTTGTGGTTTGGTTAATCCGTGAAATCCATGGTCTGCATTACTGTCAGCAGTTAATGCCCTGAGATTGCTTTATTCTTTAATGAAATGATCAGTAAGATTAGAATTGTTTTGTCCCTGCCATGGAAATAGACCGAGTATGAATGCCCAGTTTCTCTTGGTGGAGTTCCAATCTGTCTCTGACCCAAAAATATAGGTGGTATTTGGCAGTTTGTCTACCCACTTGTGACAAAGACATCTATCTTTCCCCATTTGTAAAAGAGAGAAACTGGATTGGGTCAATTTTACAATAGGTACATTTTGCTTCTGAACATTCTGAACACGTAAGGCAACATCCTGTTACTTCCAGTGATATTGTCAAGGTTTCCTAAACTTGGCTAATTACCAAAGTCACCTGGGGGAGCCACTTAAAAATACAAATTCCCAGGCACTTTCCCTGGAGATTCTGCTTCAGTGGGTTTGGGGCAAAGCCAGAAGATTTCAAGTGACTCTAATGATTATGGAGGTTAGCCAAGCTGGAAAACCACTCATGAAGTGGTATAAAATATATCCCATTATTTTTGTCCATAGTAAATAACAAGTATATTATTTGTCCTTATTGGCCTTGAAATGTTTATGAAATAAATATGATGGACACACTCGAGGTCCCTGGGTTACTTCATACAAGTCGAATAATCAAATAGAGTTTGTATCTTCCCATAGTAAATCAGGGCGATAACACCTGAGTTACCTCAAGTGCAGTTGTGATAAAGAGAAATATTTTTTAAAAAGTGCTTTCCAGAGTTCAAAGGTGAAAGTAGCCTGCTTGTAATGAACAACTCAGAGACTTGGGTTTTACTCCCAGCTCTGTTGCCAAGTCACTTTGTAACCAAGTTTACAATTATTTTAGCTTTCTGAATTTTATTTGCCTTGCCTATAAAATGAGGGAATTGAAAAAATACATATCCCTGTGGTGCCTGCCAGGTTAATCTTTTCTATGGGCAGCATCGGGCTACGTAACAAAGTCCAGATGGTAGAATTGTTCACTTCATTGTTATTTAGTGACCATCAGAGAATATTATGATAACCTGAGAATTTTGGCATTCTCTCAAATATAACTTCTAAATGATCAAATTGTTCATTGCAATGTTGGGCATGTTATCAAATGATTTTTAAAATATATTTTTATACTCTGGCACACAATGCATACTTTTTTTGACTTTTAGTTTTATAAACGTATCGTGTATTGAGTGGCATAGGTTTTGCAGTCTGGGTTAGACAATTGATTTTTACACTTTATAACACATTGAAGCAGAGTTGCATAAATTACCCTTGTTACTATTTTGGAAGGTAAATAGGCCTAAAATTCTACTATGTCACACATATAGGCTCAGAATTTAAGTAGATGGAAAGATGCTATTTGGTAAATTATGGAAAAATAATATACTAATTTAAGCTCCAGGTTATTTGATGAACCACATAATGTGCCATAGAGACTTCAAGGCTTTCAATGCAGAAATTTTCTAGAAACAATACACTTCAGCTATTTAAATGCTTGCCTTGTAAGGAGAGAACAAGATGGAAAGAACTGAAAGAAACCAGAGTGACCCAAATGGCTGGAACACAGAGAGCTAGAGCAACTGATGTAAATGAAATGGGTAATCCTGACTACTACAAATAGAAATTTTAAAAATGCGAGCTCACAGAGGAATCAACAGTTCTGTGGATGATTTCTGTTTCCCAAATATCCATATGTGACTGGGGATGGCATTTGTTTAGAAGTCTTAGTCTTGTAGGATTTTACATCTTGAGGGAAAACTTTTTACCTATTGCACACTTTTAAAATTTTACACTAATTCCCGTAACATCTCACTTCTACATTTTACAAATAAAGTAATTCACATAGTGCTTTAAACATCTTGGAAAGAGGGAGGCAAATTCATCAGACTCTTAAAGAAAATCAGTTAAATTATATTAATGAAATTAGTAGACTAATGATAATAGAAGAGCAAATTGAGATCTGTGACGGTTTCAGAAGATTTCTTAAATTGCAAATATGTTTTTTAGAAAAAAAAAGAAGGGCTTTCAGTATTTCTGAGGGGGAGTTGTGAAGAAGAATTTTAGTAAATAATTCCTAGAGGAATGTGACTTTACAAAAAAAATTTTCTTATCTTTTTCCTGCTTAATTTCATTAAGTGTCAAAAGACGGAGTATAGACAGTACAAAACCAAGTGTGTCAAGTCCTCGGATCTAGGTCTGGTTCTTCTGATCATGAGAAAGCCACACACTTTCTCTGATCCCCAGTTTCTGATTCCTAAAATGAGAGCTTTGAGTGAGAACATCTCTAGGGTCCTCCTGGTTTTAACAGTTTCTATGACTTTAGTCCATCTTTAGTTTCATTCAATTCATGATGCTTTTACTTCATGCCTGCATCTTTTTCCACTGTGGTTTGCTTCTTTCTGCCAATGATTTCATTATTCTGGAATCTACTTCAGTGTGAATAAAGTTATCTAACTGTAATACTCCTGATAAAAAATGTTGCCTACTTCAGGAAAACAACAACAACAGCAACAGAAACGCAGAGAAGACATTTGAGGCATGTTCAGGAGCAACTCTTTTTATGTCTAAAAGGTGATTGGCCCAAATTTGGCTTAATTTGTATATAAAAAATTTAAGATGTAGAATATTGATTTTTACATGCTTGACTTTGGGGAAAACTATGAATCACTTCATTCTTCATTAACCTTTCAGCAAGTGTTAAAGAATTTTGGCTTTTTTGTCTCAGACATTTTTGGTGAATTAACCATTCCAAGTGGGGAGATCAGATGCCCAGACCCAAGGCATTGACAGATAAATTAAATAATGGATTTTCATGTCTTGCCTTAAAAATATGTTGGTTGCTACAGGAAAAAATTAATGAATATGTTCTACTAGCAAAAATTGCCTATATATCTAACAACTACTATATTTTTGAGAGCAACTGGGTGGCTGGTTGTTCAAACAGGTAATGAGGTACAACCTTTTATTATTTACTCAGTCTGTGTTGGTATCACATTGTGATTTAGGATTTTATTTTATTTTTCAAATAATTTATTTCCCATCTTCTGAGGCAGATTTTCAAGTTCTTTTTGAAGAAAATTTCTTTACATTGCAATTCAATTGCAGATATCAAAATTATTCTAGATGTTGTTTGATTATTGTTTGAAATGAATGAGTTTTGTTAGGATAAATAATTATTTTCTAAAACTTTATAATGTAATTACATTTCTCTTTCACACTTAAACATTTTTGGCCTATATGCAACAACTTTTTGTATCCTTTTCTAGATTAAAATATTGTCCTTAATTTAAAGACTTTCTCTAGAAACCAATGACCTATACATTCACGACGTTGGAATTTAATTTTAAAAAGAAATGTCTGTTTCATCACAAACAATAAAAAAGATCAAGATTCACCAACTTTTTGAAAGAAAAGTAAGACTCATATTGGCATATTTTTTGAAGAAGGATGATACCACAGGTCTTTTGATTAATTAAAAAAGCAAAAGCTATCTTTTAAAATTAATCTGAAGACAAAGTTAGCAAAAATTGATGGGATGAAGATAAATAGAAACAAGATAAAATGGTCATAGAATCAGCCTTTGAATCATAATGAAAACTTATTGCTTTGATGATAATTATGTGGTAAGTATATGGCAGATTTTCTTTAATTAAGATAGGATTGCTAAGTTATGGAATTATGAATATAAACCTCATCTCCCCTTTTACCCTCTTTCAGTGTATTCATTACAAATAGAAATCAGCAGCGTTCTATTATTTGTATGAAGTTTTAAATTTTCATTATGGAATTCCAATCATTAAAATAAGTAAATTTCAGTAGAGATCTGCCAGAGTTAGGTAAGATCAGTAGCAAATATTAAATCTGATATTTTATGCACCTTTTAATTTTATTCTGCAAAAGTTCTAGAAAGCAAGAGAAATTCAGTTCAAATGGAGACAGTGTAGAGAAATTTCATTAATTCTACTCTCTTCTATACTCATAACTCATTATTTATACAATATTTATTTTAAAATTAAGCAAATTATGTTGCATTAAAAATACACACAAATTTACAGTAAAAGAGAGAGATTTAATTATTCTGATATATTTTATTTTAAAATCCTTTCCTAACAAAGTGTGAAATTTATAATCTGCAACATATATGCAAAGGAAACCATCCAAAACTTTTATGATCCCTGAAGTACCATTATATACTTTACCTCTGACACAGATCCAAAATAGAGCTAATCAAATGTTATTAGTGATTAATTTTCTGTGTGGGAATGAATGTTAATTGGGATTATAAAGTGACCGATTATGCTAGGAATTGAGGCAAGTTAACCTTTTCTTTCAAGTATCTATATATTCATTTTATTAATTTTAGCTTTTTTTAAAGTGAAGATTGCTTTTCTACCTTCATTCTAAAATACTAGCTACCAAATGTGCCTTACTTTTAATACAGATTTTAAGATATAATGAAAGACCATTAAGATTATTTTTTGTGACTTGCTGTTTTCAGCTAGTCTGTGCTTTTGCATAGAAGAGTTACCAAGTACACAATGGTGAAGAAGTAGAATTTAAATGTTAGAAGCCATTTTCTTGCTGGTGTGGCCTAAAATCATTCAGGTCTGCTTGGCCCAATGTGATTTTTCTATGTGACATTCTAAATCTGTGCTGCTGTTTCCCCTCACTGAAAAGACCATAAGGCTTTCATTGTATAAAGATAGAATTTTACCCATCCATCTCCATTTTAGTGGAAGTATAAATTCAATTATGTTTGATAAAGTCAAAAGGAAATCTTCAAATTGTCTGTTACACAAAAAATAAAATAAAGGACCCTTGTGCTGATGAGTTGGCCCATGAACAGAAGTAAAATGTCACTTATATTATGGCAATTTCTACAGATTGCAGCTACCAATATTTTATGTGTACATTTTATATGGAAGTAAAGCAAACAAAACCTCAACCAAAACCAAACCACTTTGTTTCCCTTCATATTTCTTATTGAAACATTTCAAGTACAAAACTGTTTATGTCCTAAAAAGCCTAGTTCTATTTAACAATATTAGCGGCAACTGCTGAAAAGAAAAGAGACATTTTTTCAATCAACAATCGATAATGAATTATTGTGATACTAATTTTATCCCAGTGAAGTCCGGAGTGAAGAAAGGCCATTGTCTGATTTTTTTTCAAGTTGTTCCTACTGATATTGCAATGGTTTAAAATAAAAAAGTATGTAATTTCCAAAATATAACCTGAAACATAATCATACTCCTCTGTTTACTGATTTCCACAATTTATTTAATAAGCACCCCTTCTTCTATTCACTTGGCAAGTATTAAGCACCTACCACGTCCTGTTCTAATAATGAATCTGTGTCAGCATATAAAGATGAACAAGAAAGGGAATCTTAGAGTCCAGGGAGGAAAAGCAAATAATAAGCATGCAGGCAATACATAAGAGAGTTAAATACAGTGGTAAGTCTTTTTGATGAGGTGGCCAGGGGACACTTTGTGGTCTTCCTCTGTGGCTAGGAGACTCTCTGTAGTATGAGCTGAGACCTGAAGAACAGGAAGCAGTTAGCCATTAAAAAGATCTGGGTATTTATTGGGATTAAACTGTTTCAGACTCTACACTAGGCCCTTGAAATGAAATGATGAATAAAATGAGACAGTGCTCCAGGGAACTCACGGTGAATATGTTGTGCTTATTTATTCGGGGGTGAAATCGTGTAGAATCCGTTGTGGTTGCAAGTTCCATTATATTAGCTCAATAAACACACATCAAAAAATATTAAATGAATGAACTAGCATCAGTTTAAAACTTGACATTTACTATTACCTCTTCTCATATATATTATTAACATTATGCATGATTTTATATTTTACTTGTCAAAGATGTTTAAGATTGATAGTGCTGGAAATGCTTCCCTAGATCTTTTCAGTCAATGTGTATCGCAGCCCACTGCCCTTAAATCTCTCTGTCAACTTATTTCTAATATACCTCATTCCCCCTAGCTTGCTGACTATTCTCTCACATGATAAATAACTCTGCCTTATCAAGGTCAGTTGGAAAGGCCCTTTTTACATATCTCATAAATTTTAGCCAGGTGCCACTGATGTGAGATTAATGTAATGGCACCATGGCAAGCACTCAGGCTTGTCTTAATTATGCTAAGGTTGCCGGTTCACCGTTTCTCTTCATCTGTCTCCTGCTTTAGGGAACACTAAACACTATGTCATTAGATTGTCTGTTCCACAACATTGGCCCTTTGCATTTACAAAGTCATCAGATGGCTTATGACATAGCTTTTCTAAGGAATTAAATTAAACAAATAGTGAAAACAAATTTAGGGCTAAAGTGCCTGAAAAGTAAAGGTTTAAAATTGTAATCAGAGAGAAAAATAATTCTCTTTGTTTCATAGTAATTTTCTTCTGAACTATGAGTTACTCATCTGATAGCGAGCACATTTTGGCCCTGGATGATCTCAGGAATGAGTATGAATAGTTAAATTGTTTCTTTACTTTTAAGAATGAAGTCTTCTCATGTATACTGTTGACCATAATCTCTGTGCACATTTGCAAAAAACTTTCTTCTCATTGCTCCTTCCCTTTGTGAATGACTGGTTTCCATGGGGAAGCTGTGTCTAAGCCATGTGTCTTACATGACTGTTTAATTACCTAATCTATTTTTGCTTAAGGTCCTCACTTACTTTCCAAAAGGCACACCAGCTTAGTCTCTTGAATTGGGAACAGAAACAGTTCACAGCCCTGGGTTTACAAATCTGATGGTTTGTTTAGATTCTGCTCTCCAGATAGTAATATAGTCTTTATGACTATATTCTTTATGAACAGATATCTAAAGTGGCATCCTCCCTTAATTTCTTTAATTAAATTAAAAATCCTTTTTGACTACTATGTTCTAGGCATTCTGGTCAACCATGGGTAAACAAAAAATGAAAAAGAAGCAGTCAAACTCAAGACACAGGATAAGGAAAATCTTTTGTTTGTGATGAAATAATTTGAGAGAATAATGCTTTCATTAACTATATGGACCCTGGAACCACATTAGAGCTGACCCTTGAACAACTGGCTTGAACTGCATGGGTCCACTTATCTGAGGGTATTTTTGAATAAATATATTAGAAACAAAGTGAAAGTTTCTGCAGTTTGGAAAAACTCAACAATCTGTATAGCCTAGAAATACTAAAAATTAAAAGTACAGCACACCGATGGGTCTTGACTTTTCATCCAATTTGCCAGTCTGTGTCTTTTAATTGGGGCATTTAGCCCGTTTAAATTTAAGGTTAATATTGTTATGTATGAATTTGATTCTGTCATTATGATGCTAGTTGGATATTTTGCCTGTTAGTTGATGCAGTTTCTTTATAGTGTCGATGGTCTTTACAGTTTGGTATGTTGTTGCAGGGGCTGGTACCGGTTTTTCCTTTCCATATTTAGTGCTTCCTTCAGGAGCTCTTGTAAGGCAGGCCTGGTGGTAACAAAATCTCTCAGCATTTGCTTGTCTGTAAAGAATTTTATTTCTCCTTCTCTTATGAAGCTCAGTTTGGCTGGATATGAAATTCCAACAAACATATGAAAAAACGCTCATCATCACTGGCCATTAGAGAAATGCAAATCAAAACCACAATGAGATACCATCTCACACCAGTTAGAATGGCAATCATTAAAAAGTCAGGAAACAACAGGTGCTGGAAAGGATGTGGAGAAATAGGAACGCTTTTACACTGTTGGTGGGAGTCTAAATGAGTTCAACCATTGTGGGAGACAGTGTGGCGATTCCTCAAGGATCTAGAACTAGAAATACCATTTGACCCAGCCATCCCATTACTGGGTATATACCCAAAGGATTATAAATCATGCTACTATAAAGAGACATACACACGTATGTTTATTGCGGCACTGTTCACAATAGCAAAGACTTGGAACCAATCCAAATACCCATCAATGATAGACTGGATAAAGAAAATTTGGCACATGTTCACCATGAAATACTATGCAGCCATAAAAAAGGATGAGTTCATATCCTTTGCAGGGACATGGATGAAGCTGGAAACCATCATTCTCAGCAAACTAACAAGGGAACAGAAAACCAAACACTGCATGTTCTCACTCTTAAGTGGGAGCTGAACAATGAGAACACATGGACACAGGGAGGGGAACATCACACAGTGGGGCCTGCTGGTGGGTAGGGGTCTAGGGGAGGGATAGCATTAGGAGAAATACCTAATGTAGATGACGGGTTGATGGGTGCAGCAAACCACCATGACACGTGTATACCTATGTAACAAACCTGCATGTTCTGCACATGTACCCCAGAACTTAAAGTGTAATAAAAAAATTAAGAAAAAGTTAAGTATGTCATAGATACATAAAATATTGTAGATACTAGTTTATTTTCTCATTTATGGCCATAAAATATACACAAACCTATTATAAGAAGTTAAAGTTTATTAAAACTTATGCACAGTAACACTTGCAGACCATACATGGTGCCATTTGCAGTTGAGAGAAATATAAACTAATGTTAAGGTGCCATATTAGATCATAATTGCATAAAATTAACTGCATTACATACTGAATTACTGTATTAATTTTCTAGCCTCCGCTAGTTGCTATTGTGGTGAGCTTAAGTGATGTGAATAGCCACCTAACATGCCATGTGATGCTAATCATCTCAGCATGAGCAGTTCATCTCCCAATAAATTGTGGATGTCAGTAAAAAGTGATCTGTCACAGTTCTCCTGTATTGTTCATTGTGTTTAGTGCAATACCGTAAACCTTGAATAACACCATGGGACCCATATGAAGTGTCACTAGTGATGCTGGAAGTGCTCCCAAGAAGGAGAGAAATGTCTTAACATTACAAGAAAAAGTTGAACTGCTTGATATGTCCTGTAGATTGAGGTTTGCAACTGCAGTTTCCTGACCTTTCAGACAGGATTCATCTTGTAAAGAGATAATATACAGTTAGAGTATTGATACAGTACAGTACTGTAAATCTATTTTCCTCTCGTGATTTTCTTAATAACATTTTCTTTTCTCTAGCTTACTTTAAGAATATAGTATGTAACACATGTAACATGCAAAATATATGTTAATCTACTGTTGATGTTATTAATAAGGCTTCCAGTGAACAGTAGGATATTAAGTTTTGTGGGAGTCAGAAGTTATACTCAGATTTTCCAGTGCACAGGGGTCAGCACCCCTAACTCCTACGTTGTTCAAAGATACATTATACTCTAGGTTTAAATCCTGCCTCCACCACTTACTCACTATGTGACCTCTGACAAGTGAGTGAACCTTTTTCATGGCTCATTTCTTCATTTGATTTTAAAATCCTTTCCTTACAAAGGTGTGAAGTTTATAATCAGCAACATATATGTGAAGGAAACCATCCAAAACTTTTATGATCCCTGAAGTATTATAATACTTTACCTCTGACACAGATCCAAAATAGAGCTAACTAAATGTTATTAGTGATTACTTTTTTGTGTGGGGATGAATGTTACTTTATGATGAGAATTTCTTCATCTTTAAAATATGAGTAATAATATTCTGGCCTGCTAATGTGATTGTACGGACCTTGGAAGGATGTAAACCACATGGATCCATGAATGGCTGGCTTGTAGTAAGTGCTATTAGCATATTTGCTATTTCTATCTGGACTTTTCTTAAGCCATGAGTTCAAAAATAACTCTGGAGTGCTTCTGCTAGCATTTTTAACATTATCAATTAGTCAGAAGTGAAGAAAATTCAATGTATTGAATAGATAATATTATTGACTTGCTATTTATCAATGAATTGGGCTAACTGTGAAATTATGTATGATTTAAGTATATAATTGGATAATAAAAAACACAGTTTGAATACTTCACATGAAACTCTTGCATGTGAAGATACTCTTTTCTGGATGAAAAATGTTCTCATGTTACTTTAATGTTAGCCACTAAGCAATATATCTGGAGTGGCAAATTATGTTCTTTCTTTTTCCAGAAATGGTGAAAGAAAGAATGCTATGTTGGTCAGAAAATCCACATACTCAAAGTCGTAATAGTGGCCCTCCCTAGTCAGTAAACATATGTAAATATTTCAATAAACAGTGTGTACCCTTATAGAAATATGTTGGCCATCCTAACTTGCCAAGTAAGTAAAATGTAGTGGTTTTTATAGTAGGGATATTTATATAATAATAGAAATAATTAAATTATATTTAACAGCTGATTTTTAAAGTAAAACTGTGTTCAAATACGTAATATATTCAATATAAATAATGAAATCTAAGTTCAATTGATTTTTTTCTTAATTTCATATACAGAAATAGAAAATATTAATCTGTAATTTTAAAAAACAGTAGAATCTTTCTACGCAAAGAAAAAAGTATTTGATCTCATAATTTTATGGATTATTGAATCAAATCTTGAAACTTGCATTATCAGTATGGCTCATGGCAATTACTGCAAGCTGGCGCATCAGTCAAACTATGTATTCCTAATAGCTTAACCCACAGAGTTTTTTTCTCTTGCTGACATTATAGTCTGATGTTGGTCAGGTGACTCTCCTCTAGCCTGGGGCTACTTCATATGGAACAGATAACTGCAGGTCACTGCAAGAGAGAAAACCTGTGAGCATGGGGAACCCCCTTCTCTGGGCCTGGAAATGCCACATTATTCCTTTTCACAATTCAACGGCCATGACCTACTCATATTGCCCCATCTGACTATAGGGAAGAGTGAAATGCAAAATCTGTTTATATGCCCAGAAAGAGGAAAAATAAATGGGAATTGTTGAGCAGTTGGCTTTGTGTATACTTCTGGACTGTTTAACTTTTGTGCATTGCTTTTTAAAATTTTATTTTAAAATGATCCATATATTTAGCTATATGTCAGGATTAAATTAAATACCTTTTTGGCAAAATGTGTGTGTATGTTAGAATATACAGGCAGATATAAATATATATGTTTATATTTATAAGGCAAATTTTAGATTTGCCTTATAAACAGGTAGTGTTAAATCAAGGGTATATTGGCAAATACTGAGGTTAATTGCTATGAAAACTGGGAGAGGCTCTGTTTTCACATTCTAAAGTTTCTGCCTTAGGCATAGGTCTTTTAAAAAAAATGTTAATTGGTAACCAGTTAATTTTAATCCTTATAAGAGAACCGGACTCTTAAGTTTGCTAGAGAACCTCATTTTAAAATATGAAAAATACTAATATTTATCTTTGCTAAACGTCTAGAGCATCTTGCCTTTGCAGCTCTTAACTTGGCTTCTGCTCCCTCTGAAGCAGAATGTAGATATGTATCAACCTGGCAACCATCTCCTTAAACTTCCTGGGGTATTATTACCAACTCTATCTGGAGGAATTCCAGCTCTAAATGTGGAGTTCATATTTGTGAGATAAAGAGCAGGCTTTTATCAGAAGTCTACTGGGAAGTGACCTCTTGATTTCTACTTGCTGTTCGGAACAAGAAAGATACATTGACAATTGTAAACAAAAATCATTTTAGAAGGTATACATAGCCCATAGTAATGTTTTTCAATCACTGACTATTATTTTGCTTTGTGATTTTGAAAGATTAATTTTAATAGGTAAGAAAATTATTAAAGATACTGATAAATCTTTAAATTTATTAACATAAAATGAAATTTACCTTTCTGATAACTTTTGGCATCATTTTCCAGAGAGAAATTCTGAAAGTTGTAGATAAAAGTACTATACACATGGTTTAGAAAAATACCACATATGAAAAAATACTTTCCTAACCTATTTTCTAACCTAAGTGTCACTTTTATATAAGCATGGTAAGACGTTGAAGTAATAAAAAAGAGCCTTATTATTAGCAATCAGATCACCTTCCTCTCTTCCTTTCTTTAACAAATATTTACTTGTTTTGTCAGGCATTATAACAATGCTGAAAGTCTAACTCAGGTATTGCCTCTGTCATCATAGATTTTCCATTCTGTAATCAAAAGGCATTAGATAAGTAAATTCACAAGTTTCCAAATATTATGTATTATATGATAACTGCTCGATAAAATAGGATACTAGAATATGGAGATAATTGTAGTTATCAATTACTACATAGCAGTGCACTGCAAAACTCATTGGCTAAAAACAATTTATAATAACAGAATTTTATCTCATTCTCTGGGACAGATATTGGGCAGGACATAGTGTGGATGGCATGCCTCCGTTCCACGATGTCTAGGGTTTCCATTTAAATGATTGAATGTCCAGGGTCTGGAAAGCTGGGAAATAGTCAGGTCTCTCTCTCTCTCTATTTCTCTCCTCCTCTCCCAATAGCTCCCTCTCAATCATTCTCTCTTTCTTCATTTCCCCCGCTTTCTCTCTCCCTGAACAGACCTTTCCAAATAGCTAGCTTGAGCTTTCTTACAACATAAGAACCTCAGGGAAATCAGACTTGTTACATGGTGGTTTAGGGCTCCAAGAGTAAATATTTCAAGGCCAAAAAACGTAGAAAGTTCCAGGCCTCTTAAAGATTAGACCAGAAGTGGCATAGTGTCGTTTCTGGCAATTCACTTTTGGTCATGGTGCAGCCCAGATTCAAATATTGACTCCTTCACTATTTTTCAATGGGAGAACTATCAAAGAATTACCAACAATGTTGAATCTGCCGTAGAAAATAAACGATGGGAGGAGGAATCACTGAGAGAATGCGAGGTAAAAACGATATGTTCACTGAGGAGTAAAGAATGAAAGAGAACAAGCCATAGGAAGAACTTGGAGAAAGCTGTTCAAGTGCAAAGATCTTGTGACTTGAGCTAAGTGACAATTTCAGTACAGACATCCAAACTGCATAAATCCTTCCATTTTAAGTTTTTTATTAGCATATACTAACATTTTTTCCTCTAATGTCATAATCTATTTTGTTTGTCAATACTTTCTTACCATGTCTACTCTTTTGGTCATCAGAAGTGGCAACAATATTATCTTTTAAGTGTATATTGCATATTATTAATGACAGTTCTGACACAGATTATAAAAATTCTGTTTAATTTACCATCCCTGGTAAAATCTGATAAATGCAGCTTCAGAGGAGCAAATGACAAAACTCCTTAGTCACTTTATGGAATTTCTGATACAGAATAGTTTTCTTAGTCTCTGTGCTATAGTCACTAAGCACACACAACAGTAAAGAAAAAAACTACGGAGGAAGCAGGCAGAAATATTGAATTTCTTTGACGTGATACTTAGAGGCACTTGGTGTTACAGAGCCTAATTATGGACAGAGAATAAAGGAGTGTACCTACCAGCAGGAAACAAGGCAAAGAGTAGAGTATCAATCAGTGAACACTCAATTGGGCTTAGCATGTAAAAGTTGTGATATTTCTTCCTCACACTTCCATGACTATTTATTCATAAAGTAGAAAGAAACTAGACTTGAGTATTACAATTCTTGACTCTGGGTCTTTGAATCTCATTATATCAACACTTTAGACACAAAAACTTGTAATTCTTCATCCCATGTTTATTTGTATGACCATAGCTATCTCTAAGTATTTAACCTTATTACATTGAATTTTAAATTGAGTACATATACTTAATTGCACAAATAATATCTAAGGGCAAAAGTCTACACTGTAAGTATTGCAAGACTCCTTTCTATCAGTTGATGGCATATCCACATGCTTTTGATGGATGTGGATCATGCCAATCAGCTGGCTTTCCCCACACATGAATAAGTATGAACACACATGGGTAGAGCTGCATCCTGATTTTGTATGTTGTTAAGGTATGAATTGGGCATACTCAACACAAAGCATGTTCATTGATCTACTCTCCTATATTTCTGATTTCTCACTGGCATATAGCTTCCTGGGGATGTGAGTAAATGGCATTAAGGTGGACGTGTAGTCAGTGTAACTCCCATCTGTACAATTGAATCACAGCAACATTAAAAGGGCAAGTAACCTTTTTGAACTATAGAAATTTATGTAGCTGTGTGGTGACAGGTCTCCATTGTTTTCTGGGAATTTCTGCTCTCTCTTTCAAGTACCCATTTGTGTTTATTTTCCATTGCACATCATGTGCATTATATAACTGAAAGGATTTTAAAACTACATTTTTTTTCTTTTTGCCTGTATTTTAAATCATTTTATTATTGCAAAAGAGTGAAAGTGCTAATGGTTTTTTGAATAGACAGAAGTTAAACTCCCTGGAATTATTTTGAGTACTACTAGTGTTTCTTTCTGGTATGATAATTCAATAAAAAAGGAACAAAGTGTGACAATGTGAATAATTTATAATGCTATACAGAAAAAATTTCAGCTCAGCATCCCTCCTAGTTCATGAGACTAGAGCAGGATTTGGCAAACTATTACCCAAGGATCAAATCTGGCTCACCAGCTGTTTTTTATAAATAAAGTGTTATTGGAAAACAGCCCCAATCATTTGTTTATCTATTATCTATGACTGCTTTCCTCCTACAATATAGATTTGAGTACTTTTGACAGACATTATATGGCCTAGTAAGCCTAAAGTACTTGCTATCCAAACCTTTGCAGAAGTTTCTTGACCCTTGAAATAGAATGAAATGCATGTGTGAATTAACTTAGATAATGTTTTTACTTTATTCTTTCAAAAATGCAATTTTTTCATTATGTCCCTGTGTATTTTGATAGAAATGCTAATACATAGATATTTATATATTTATATTAAGTCATGTGTCCCAAAGCATGTTAGCACAGCACATACGAAAATTAATGTTTCAAAGAGCTGCAAGGAACTTTATATGATTTTGTTCCCACTAAGATCTTGATTTTTGTGCTATTCCATTTTTTATCTCACTTTTCTTAAAATCTGTCATTTCTATCTCATTAAATCAGAGGATCTAAATTGAAAGTATAATCAAAACAATTTCTATTCTTGAAAATTTCAGGCTATCATACAGAGAATTGCAGTGAAATATCTTGGCCACATGCTAACCCCAGGCAAACTTTTCTGCTCCCCCTCCCAAACTGCCTCAGCTTTTGTGAGATAACATTTATGGTTCCTACCTTCTTCTAGAGAATGCTAACTAGAAATTGCATCAGGCATTTGATATAGTGGTGATGTTTAAGTCTTCTCTGCTAAAAAGATTTGTTCTGTATTGGGCATAGCACTCTGTTGATATGTAGATATTGTAATTAAGATTGCCCTGTCTTGTGATATGGTCATCTCCCAAAATATCCCTGATTTACTAAGAATTACCTAATATGATAAATAGATTGCTGTTGGGCTATATAATTCTCTCTGGTGCCAGATCTAATAGTGCCAGGTATAGAAATTTTGAAGTCTGGCCATGATAAAGAAATGAGAACAGGAAGGGGAACATCACACACCGGGGCCTGTTGTGGGGTGGGGGAAGGGGGGAGGGATAGCATTAGGAGATACACCTAACGTTAAATGAAGAGTTAATGGGTGCATCACACCAGCATGGCACATGTATACATATGTAACAAACCTGCACATTGTGCACATGTACCCTAAAACTTAAAGTATAATAAAAAAAAAAAAAAGAAATGAGAACTATGATTTTTAGGGAGTAGGGGCTGTTGTATTTTATTAATGTAAACCAATGAAGATACCTTATTTCAATGCTGAGTTTCTCTACTAAAGCAGTCACCTGAAAAGTATACACTAAAATAAGCTAAGGTAAACTGTTAACCTAGACCTATTCAAATATAGGTCACAGAAGTTTTTTGTTCTTGTTTTTAACTTGTATATAGATTCTGGAATCTTTTTTTATCTATGAGCCTCCAATCACTATGTATCAGTATGCAGTAATATTCCCTAAATTTGTACTTGAAAAATGGTAAATGGTAATTTTCATGGGGAATTATTTTCTTTCTATTGATAATTCTCTTTTCCCATGTTCTGATTTTACAAACATTATGGTTTATTGAAATGCATGTTCACAAAGCAGCTCTTCAATTTAACTTTTCCCATTTGATTAAGGCTTGTTGAGCAAGAGGCAACTGAATTTGGTGGTGTGTAATATTTTGGCATTTTTATACTCTGTGTGCACAGCTGTAATTTAGAAAAGCTCCGAGTAGCATTTAATGATCTACACTACATATTTAGGCATTTGTTTATCTGCTCAATTCAGATTTCAAAGCCCCAAACTTCAGGTATACACTAGTTACATAACTATGGATTAGCATAGGTTCTCTTCGTTAAGTCCGATGCAAATAAATCAAAATTAAGAATATAGTGTGGGTAATGTCTGATACTATGTGGACAAAACTGAATAGAACTTCTCATTTAATTTGTTGTGTTTTTTTAACCTTTTTATTTAATCTAAAACCTAATTTATAATCAGCTTTAATTTAGCAGTCATTCTAATTTCAAACTTAGTTGGCAATATTTTCTTTATTTTGAAATATTTTGTCAGCCTGAAGAAATAGTCTGAGAATATTCCACTAATAATAATAATAATCCTGTCACCAATTCTACTTTTCAGGTGAAATATGAGGCTTTTTCTTTACCAGCACTTCATTCATCTGTAGGATGATCTCCTAGAGAGGAGGCTGTGCAGTTCCATTTGAAAGCATTCTTCTTAGCAGCAGTAGTGAAAGATGAGTAGTTTCAGGAGGTAACTGCCTTGAGATTCTCCTTTAAAAAAATCGAAAGCCTCTTTAGAGCCCACTAAGAAAGACCCAAGAAAGAACCATCAAGTTACCCTGAAACTGCTGGCAGGTTTCTCTTTTGTAACAACAGTCCTTGTTTGATTTTTGATGCAGACTTTCCTCATAGAATGATTTTCCATTCAAAAAGAAAAGCTCTTCTGCCTCAGGATAGAAATCTCTGATTAGAAGTCCTTCTTTTGGTATGGTTATATCTTATTTTGAAAGAAAAGATATTTGAGAAAAAAATTATTTAATATCTAGTATAACAATATCCCTCCTCCTCGTATTAGTTTCCAGGAAAAGAAAATGAAAGGAATTTCATCTCTAGGCATAAAGTTAAGGGCAAAGGAAGGGGGAAGGAGACACAGAATAGGAGAGGGGGGCATGCAATTGAGACGGAGGCTCTAGTCACTCAAACTGTGATATGATTATTTTTGAAGGGTTCTCTTAAAGGGTATTGGAGTTCAAAATGAAAATTGCTTTTGCAGCAGAGAGCACCATCAGGTCTGTGGGGACCGATTAGCGAGGTGGCTCTCTGTGTCCTATATACTATATGCCACTTCAGTGGTTACAGTAACACATAGGACATGGAGAAGTGAAAACTTTGATTCATAAAAGGACCCCATGTGACTCTCTGCTGGCTTTATATTTAAAATGTGTTTGATCATTTACCACCCACTTTTAAGCTAATTCAGAAAGACAAAGTAATTGATGGATTAGACACAGTCTGTTGGTTTACAGTCTAAGCAGAGAAGGGTTTTATTGTATCATGGAGTATATTTTGCAAATTCAGCTTTCAATCTCCCTTTCTTGTCTTTTAAGTTACATTAATAAGTTTTGGGATCTGTATATTGTAATTTTTTATGCTGAGTGGAACTGGGAGGACAGTGTCATCTTTGGGCAGTGAAGAAAAAAACTGAAAGATATGATTATATTTTAAAGAAACATTAGAGACCCCCAAAGCCAATGAGATAGACTCC
This sequence comes from Homo sapiens, assembly GCF_000001405.40. Classification (NCBI taxonomy): domain Eukaryota; kingdom Metazoa; phylum Chordata; class Mammalia; order Primates; family Hominidae; genus Homo; species Homo sapiens. The sequence continues at coordinate 212,265,507 of NC_000002.12, read as the reverse complement.
ACTTCTCTCTTACTCTATCTGGCAGTTCTTAGGATAGGAGCTATAAATGTGTTTCTTAGGAAATGGATTCTTTCTTTTACTGTTATTAAGTTAAATCTATAAAGAAATCTAATAATTGATATCTCATTATCAACTCAGATATCTACACATGTACAATAATTCACCTTCTTGATGAAAGCTTTTATGACCTTTCAGACAGCATAAAATGATTGCTTCATTTTGTTTATCTCTATCAGTCTCCTAGGGTGTCATGTGTATACACGTACCATGGCATTGAGACCTATAGAAAATAAGTATAATATATATTCTGTTTTATGCTATAGATTGTGAGCTTCTCAAGGGCAGGGGCCTGGTCCTATTTGTCTTCCCTTTGTTAAGTGTAGTGTCCTGAGCACTGAATATCTATTGATAGAAGGAATAAGTGATAGCACATATCTACCCTTGTGCCTCTCCTGCAGCATGTTAGAATGGACCCCAGTGGGCCCCTCTCCACATAGGGGATTTTCCAGGGGAAGAATAGAGACAGTAGGAGGCAGCCAACTAGTCTAATTCCACTTCCATTCCTATGTGGAAATATGATGAAGGAAACACTGCCACCAGTAGCTATCCAGAGTTTATTTATTTCAGATGACTTTATAATGAGCCTGTAGACAGCATTTTGTTGTTCATTCACGTGATCATTTACTCAGGTTACTTTTCTATTACCTTTTCATTTAGTAGACTAAAGATTTAAATGTGAACCTTTTCTACACATAATATTCACGGTGCTTTTTTTCTGATCTCAGATTTAGACATAAAATAAAATATGAGAGAAACTTAATTCCCATTTTATAATATTTATGAATTTAATAATTTAAAATCATTTTAATTGAAATAACATCCTTAATGTAATCATGATAGTTTAAAGCAGAATGACAATGCCTAGTAGTAAACCTATCTTGATAATTTTGACCAGGACCTCTGTAAAAACTGTCCACAGGAAGTTTGCTAGGTACACAGAGAGAGTTCTTGTCTGTAGAGCCCACTGTGTGTTTCTTCTTCCAGTAATATACAGTGCAAGTGCTTGGGACAGTTCCACTTGGCCCAATCCCATTTTCCAGGCCAGTGAGCATAATGGCAGGGTAGAAATGAGATGTGTCTATGTGCCTTTGGTAATTACTGAGTATATGTTAATGAAGAGCTTTTCCTTGGCCTTCCACCAGCACGGTTAAATATGACCAACGAGAGCTTTTCCTTAGTGAAAGGAAAGCCAGGCGCATAGCTACAGAGCACTGTCTAAATACATTGGGTATGGGTTTAATTTTGTGCTAACAGGAATGCAAATATTCTCACATGGATTGCTTGGTAGTCCATTACACTTGAAGAGATTTTGAAACTTAGCCCCTTTCTGTGGAGCCATCCACATTGTAGTTGATATAACAAATTCAACCAAGGCAATAAGCATATAACATATATCTAAGAGATTTCCAGCACTATTCCAGGCATAGTAAGCAAAGAAAAAGTTGTACACAACATGACCACAGCAATATAGGAGCTTACCATTTAGTAGGACAGACAAGCCATAGATATTACAAAGGGTCTAACAATTACAATGGCATCTGAGAAGTGATTATTAATTAATATTTAATATTATTATTATTAGAATCTTGCAATCCAAAGTGAAAAGAGAGAATGTGAGAGAATCTAATTATGAAAAAAAAGGAAAAATGGAAAGTTGATTCTGGTGGTCAAGTTTTACTGTTTTTTCTCCCTAGGATGGGTTATTAACATAGTTTTCGGAACTCTTTTATTATGGGACCAATACAAATTTTGAAAATTAGAGAAAAATGTATTAAGCATAAAATTATATTATAATGTATTAATACAGTTTTTATTAAAAAGCAATTTACTTTATAGAATTGTTAATTTTTTCCAGAAATGAAGGATCATTTATTTTCCCATGTTGACATCTCAGATGTTTGAACATTTAACACAGTATTTGCTCTACAGGGGCTGCAAAAACGCAATTTGGTGCATAGAAGTCCGCTGTGAAAATATTTTTGCTGTAATCCAAGAGGAATCCCTTTATTTCTTGAGTTTTTAGGCACGCATATAAAAAGACAGTTTACAAATCCACTGTCATGCTAACCAATTTGGTAATGTTTCTATATAGAAAGTGCATTAATTTCCTGGGGCTGCTGTAAGAAATTATCACAAACTGAGTGGGTAAAACAACAGAAATTTGTTCTCTCACAGTTCTGGAAGCCAGAAGTCCCAAACTGAGTTGTCAACAGGGTTGGTTCCTTTGGAAGCTCTCAAGCAGAACCTGTCACACGTTTCTCTCCTCGCTTCTGGTGGTGGCTGGCATTCCTTGCCATTCCTTGGCTTGTAGACACACCATTGAAACCTCTGCCTCCATCTTCATGCAGCCTTCTCCTTATCTTCTCCTTTTTTCTTTCTTGTAAGATATTTCAAAAGATTTAGGGCCCACCCTAATTCACTGTGGTCTTATCATGAACTTTACCTTAATCACATCTGCAAATTGACCTTATTCCAAATAAGGTCAAATGAATTTGAGGGGACAATCTTCAACCCAATACAAATAACTGCAAATGAACATGAATGTATCAGGAGATTCCTGAGTATTAATTTGTTTCTTGTTTGATAAGAATATATAGTTCCAGACATACATTTACATATAATTAATTATTTAGAATTATAGTTTTTGTTATATGTGTTCCATAAGCTTACAGAGAGAAAATAAAGAGAAGGCTAAAATATATGAGCCCATGGATCCAATTCACCAAACCCATTGCACTTCACAGATACCCTTATATGGCTGTAAAATGGATTTATTCCTTACTCCTTCTTCTTCTTTTAAATAAAGCCACTTTTGTATAGAGCCATATCCACTGTGAGACGAAATTTTGCCAACTACCTTTATTCAAAGCATTGGAAGGGAGCATAACAATGGGTTCACATAATTGTAAGGTTTTCTAAAATTATGATATAAATATATTTTAACCATAGTTAGTTGACATTGCTCTCTTTTCATGATTTTTCTTTCATAGTACTTCTCTTCATAATATTTAAAAAAGGGCCAAAGACAGGAGAATGCCACTCATATGCACAATGATGCCTGGCTATAGATATATATATGTGGATAATGGAGGAGAAACAAGGCTTGCAATGCGTGGAGTCAGAAAATTATTCTGAATCATACAGCTCATATAGAATAAACCTGATGAATGTTTCTCCAAGTTTGGCAGGTGTTCTAAGAATTTACACAAAATAACCGATAATAGGTTGTGAAGTTGAAAGAAACATAAAAGCCATCTACTTTTATGATTTGAATGATTTTCCTATTCTCCCTATAGAAAATGATTTTGCAAAATCTTCATCATGTAAAGAGGTGGTCAGAGTACACAGCCAAAAAGTGGGAACAATTAGAATAAGATTATATCAGTTAATCAATAATTTAAACTATGATATTTCTAATTGAATATGTGATAATGTTGGTATTTGTTGGATTTATAGAAAGAAATCTGTTGTGATTTAGTTTCACAGTAAAAATAAATTTTTACATTTGTACCTAATTTTGTAAATTTAATTTTATATTTTTTATAAAGAGGTTTCATCACATTTTATAAGCATCAAAACCCATAAAAACAGAGTGCATTTTTACTTTTAACTTTTCTTTTATAATACAAAATGAAACAAAAATGCCACATATATAACACATGTACAATTGTTTTTTGATAATTTTTTCTCTTGAGAAATAAGATTATAAAACAAAGCTCTTACAGAGATATCCTTTATATTATTACCCATCTTAACTTCTCTAGGTCATTAAAGCATCTGAGCACTAAGTAGCTTTTTATCCCTCATGAATTATCATCATATGTGGATTGTCTTTGCCTTTATCTCTTATTTCTTCATTTCCTTTGATTATCTTTGACCAAAATTATTGTGGATAGTATTTTAATTTCTATGAAAAAGATGTTAATTTGGGTTCTATTTTGGGATTTGTTCTTGTCCAGGACGTTATCTTCTTACTCCCTAAATCCTCATATTTTTGTAATTTCTTTTTTTCAGGGATGCAGAGGTGACACAGTTGTTAACTTTTTTATCCTTATCTTTCTGTTCAAACTTTACTCAGTCCTACCTAAGATTGATCCTCATAAGTTGTTCGTCGTCATCTGAATTTTAAACCACTGAGCATTCCTCATTTCTTCTCAATGTGATTTCCTATTTTTTTCCACATGTCCCTGTATATAATCAAATATATCCTTTGTGTAACCTTGTATATAATCAAACAGTATCTTGGTCACAAGTTAAAAATGTTCCAGATATTTTGATGCCACAGAAACATGAAATTTTACATGCAGAAAGACTTTTTGAGAACATTCAGGTGGGACTTCTCATCTTGCAGGGAGGAAGCTGCTTCAAAGAGGAGATGTGCTTTGTTGGAGCAAAGTCCGGATTATTATAGAACCCAGGTTTTCTCATTCTGGGTCCAGATCGAGTCCACTGTCATTTGTATTACTTATGCCTGTAATACATACTTTACTCATATCTATATCTAGGCCGTTATGCATAACTTTCATTTCTTTCAGAATAATAATTTCCCATTTTCCTGTCACCCTTTTCTTCAAATAACCATTTAAAACCATTATAGAGACAGTTAGAGTGCCTACTTTTTTTTTTTATTTTTTTGAGACAGAGTCTCGTTCTGTCGCCTAGGCTGGAGTGCAGTGGCGCTATCTCGGCTCACTGCAAGCTCCGTCTCCTGGGTTTAAACAATTCTCCTGGATTAGCCTCCCGAGTAGCTTGGATTGCAAGCACCCGCCACCATGCTCAGCTAATTTTTGTATTTTTAGTAGAGACGGGGTTTCACCATGTTTGCCAGGCTGGTCTTGAACTCCTGACCTCAAGTGATCTGCCCGCCTCGGCCTCCCAAAGTGCTGGGATTACAGGCGTGAGCCACTGCGCAGAGGGCCTACTTTCTTAACTACCATCACCATTACTTACAAGCTGCTCATGGCATTTTGAAAACGCTGAAGTAAGCTAATGCTATAGACCAAATGTTTGTCCTCTATGAATTTGTAGAAAACTTTGTTTCAAACTTTGGTCATAATATTTTTCTTAACTCCAGTAATCAAGTATACAACCTAATTTCAAATAGCAGGACCAAATTAAGCCTATCTTTTATTTTCCCCAGCTCTCTACTCTTTTGTTTCTTTTCCTCCTCTGCAAATATCCTTTTGGACTCTGAATTTTCTAGTTCTTTTTAGCATACCATATCCCCATACTCTATTTGCCAGACAGTTTCATTTAAAAACAAGTAAAAATTTTATTTTCTCATATCTCCTTTAAGGTGGATATTTCATAAAGGAGAGTTTGTTTCATATATCTGTACAAGTAGTACATTTCTTTTCTTTTCTTTTTTTTTTTTTTTCTGAGACAGAGTCTCGCTCTGTCACTTAGGCTGGAGTGCAATGGCACGATCTCGGTTCACTGCAACCTCTGCCTCCCGGGTTCAAGCGATTCTCCTGCCTCAGCCTCTTGAGTAGCTGGGATTACAGGATGCACCACCATGTCCAGCTAATTTTTGTATTTTTAGTACAGACAGGGTTTTACCATGTTAGCCAGGCTGGGGTCTAACTCCTGACCTCAGGTGATCCACCTGCCTTGGTCTCCCAAAGTGCTGGGATTACAAGCGTGAGCCACCACACCAGGCCCAAGTAGTATATTTCTTATTCTCTGTTATTCTTTCCATCGGTAGAAATCGTACCATTTAAAAATAAATACTCAAAATAGAGGAATAGTATTACTCTTGTATAATTGAACAAAGGGAGTTTACATTAAAAATCCTGGAATATTCGTTGCCTTTATTTTTGTGTGATTTTTAGAAATTGGAACTTATTAAATGTTTAGATTGTTATTCAAAGGAAACATTTTAAATGAATTTATTTTGCTTTAGTTATAATATATATTGTATCATTTGAACCAACAGATCCGTACTTGTGTCCTTGTTTCTTCTTACCAATAAATGTATTCACATGGTTGACTCATTAATTTCAGGGATAGGAAGAGAAGTCATTGTTTAAACAAGTGTTGCTTTCTTAGGTTTGGGTCAGAGCGTTTAATGGGCTTTACCTGGAATTTCTTAACTTAAGTGTGTATGTTGGGAGGGGACTCATTGGCTTTTCAAGTAGTTGTCCCAGAATAGATTTTAAAGTATAATTTATGAGATGGAAAGAGGAAGTGTTGGTTAATAGATTTCTTAAATCATTTTATTAGACTGTTATTTTAATATTGCATGTTCAAAGAAAAGGACAAATACTAAAGAAAATATTGACATTCATATCTCACCTTTAGAACTTAATGCTCTGATGAAGAACATTAATTGGATTCTACTTTTCTAATATTTTGTCAAAAAAATTTCAGATATATTTAAAAGTTGGAAGAATTTTATACCCACCTCCTAGATGCTCCAATTGGTCCATCCATAAGTCAATCTTTTTTTAAAAATGTATTTCACAGCATGGTGAGCACCAGTAGACTTCACTTTTATCCTATTTTGTTTCTTGATTTTCTTGATGACTTTCCTTATTACTTTCCTCTAAGATGATCATTGTTTGAGACACAGGAAAGTTGTGTAATAAATTTAATGGAAGATACAAAAGCTTTTAGTATTTACCAAAATCATATATGCCAACTCATGAGTTTTGTATGCACTGAAAAAGAAAAGAGGTGCTTGTAATGCAGGTTGTACTATTATTTGAACACTAGCTAAATAATGTCCAGAAACACATTTCTGAGACTAGGTTTTGTTATTTAGGCAGCTTTAACTAGACTGCCTCAATGTTCTATTAAAAACATATTATATATTATTATATATATTATATATATCTTATATATTTTTAAAGAGAAATTGGCAAGTATGTTCCCTGGCTTGTTGGAATGAAAATCTTTTTAAAATTTACCTTTTATTACCAATATATTTTTTAAAACATATTATTTTAGCGTAACTATTTTAGGGTCAATATTTTTGTTTATTATTTGGAAAGTAAACTGTTTATCATTTGATGCGCAGTTCTAACTGAGACAGTGGACGGTATTTTTCGTTATTGTTGTTAAAATTCTATGATACAGTTTTGTTTAGGTAAACCAAGTTTGAATTTTTAAAAGATCATTATAGATTCAGATTATTTTCTTTGATTTTTGTTAATGTAACTAAAAAGTAGTCTTTAATGAGAGGTTTTGAAAACAAATAAAATGCATGAAAATATTATTTTGCAAATAGCATATGAAATTATCTAATACTTTTAGGGTATTCAGAACCTTGAAATTTTTTTAAAAATCTAATTTTTACTAAAAATAGGGAATTATAACTGTATATTTAATTTTTAATTATGTTGAAACTGACATTCCTATAAATAGTTTTGTACACAAGTAATAATTCATACACTGGGGTTTTGAAATATTGTTAAGCACATTATAAATGCTAAAATACTTCATAAACCACTTTTATAAACAGGATGAATTGAGAGCTGTGAAAGAGTCAGGATATTTTCCCAAGGACAAATACTGGAGTCAGTGACAGATTGGGGACCGTTTTTATTGACTGACAATCACAGTCACTTAACCATTAGACCATGCTTTTTTTTTACATTTCTTCCACATATTCATGCATTTAATGAGGTTCTGTTTACAAGTGGGAACTGAATCTATTTCTTCTTAGATTACTACAGTAGATAATATATACATATTACAAAGTGCAAAGAAGTTTGTTTACTTGCTTCATTAAGAGAGTTGAATTTTATGTTCAACACGTGACATCGCATTTAGAGTGAATTCTTAACAATTCCATGATTGTTTATGCAACATTGAGCAGGGTGGTTAAAGTTTCGGGTCTTACTGCTTAGGGTATTAACATTTTAGTAAATTTTATTTCTTGGATAAAAGCTGTCTTTCAGGAATACAGAAATAAATGCACTTAAAGACCTTGAAGATAGGAGTTGAAGTTTTGTTTCTAAAATAATAGAAACTGAATATTAAATAAGTGAAGTACTAGATAACAAAAGAGTTAGTTTGCTGATTATTAATGATTCTTTGTTAGAATTATCTTAACTGTTGAAAGATCTTGGCCTTGATTAGGAAAAAGTGAACCCTAATTACTTCAGAATTACAAAACATAGAAAACATTATCATGAAGTTCAAGCTTATTTAAGATTCCATATCACCTAAAGCATAGTGAAAATTGATCTATTAATATATCTTTAGTCAAATTATAAGTAAAATTGACTTGTTTCAGTCTTTTTGGAATCTACAAGTTTTGGATTTAAGTTATTAGAATACTGGTTCTCAAATATTGCATGTCCTCACTTATAAGTGGGACCTAAACATTGGGAACACTGAACAGAAAGTTGGGAACAATAAACACTGGGGACTGCTGGGTGGAGGAGGGCTGGAAAACTACCTATTGGGTACTATGCTTACTACCTGGGTGGTGGGATCATTCGTACCCTAAACCTCAGCATCATGCAATACATCCATGTAACAAACCTGCACATGCACCCCCTAAATCTAAAATAAATGTTGAAATTATTTAAATAACACAAACGCTGGTTCTAACAGGTCCCCTTCCATCAAACATTAAAATATTCTTGATATTTGCTTAGATTATGACAAAGAAAAATATTTTATCTGGGAAATTTACTAACTTTATTAGTTCACTCATTTTACCCAGTTGAGAAAAATGTGTAGGTTTTAAAATCATGTAGATCCAGGTTGGAGTCTTGGTTCTGTTCCTCATTGGCCCAGAGATGCGAGGCTACTGACTTATCCTCTGTGTTTGTTTTACCTATAATTTAAGGATGACAGTAACTATCTCAGGGCATTATTAGGTAAATTAAACAAAGCACATAGCATAGTGCTTAATATGTGCAGATCCTTAATAAATGTTTAATAACACCACCTCCCTTCCACCTCTGAAAGAGATTTCCAAAAGAACGCATGTAACTTTCTTATTTTTCCCATTTCCATTTTGGTAATGCAGATCTACAGTCCCTTGTTTCTGACTATCAAATTCACTTTCTTTTGACCTAACTCATTACAGTCCAACAAGAGGCAACTGATATGATTCCTTAAATAATAAAATGATGACGATGATAAGGCAAATTATCTGACTCATCAAACCAAAAATAATAAATACTAGTGCTTTATATTATGTTAATAAAAATTAATGTTCATAAAAATTGCTAGTTAAAGCAATATTTTCATTTACTATGTTATTAAAGTGCTTGTGAGAATCAGATGAGAAATATATGGCAAAAATCAATGGTGTCTTTGGCAGAATAAATAAATGTAATCTATATTAAACAACACAAACCTGAGCACAGTGGCTCATACCTGTAATCCCAGCACTTTGGGAGGCCAAGATGGGAGGACTGCTTGACACCAGGAGTTCAAGAACAACCTGGGTAACAGAGTGAGACCCCCCCCCATTTGTAAAAAAAAAATAAATAAATAAAACTTAGCCAGGAATGGTGGCATGCTTCTGTAGTCCCAGGTACTCAGGAGGCTGAGGTGGGAGGATCCCTTGAGCCTAGGAGTTCGAGGCTGCAGTGAACTATGATCATGCCACTGCACTCCACCTTGGGCAACAGAGGGAGACCCAGTCCCTTAAAAAAATGACACAAAGTATTCTATGTGCACCTACCCAGTGATTTGAAAGAGTTAATATATTTTTAAATTCAGGTTTAGCATCCCACGTCCAAAAATTTGAAATCTGAACTTTCTGAGCACCAATGTGACATTCAAAGGAAATGGTCATTGCAGCATTTCAGATTTCAAACCTTCAGCTTAGGGATGCTCTACCAGTAAGTGTATATAATGCAAATATTTAAAAAAAACACACACACACCAAAAACCTAAAATCTGAAGCTCTGAAGTACTTCCAGCCCCAAGCATTTTGGTTAAGGAACACTAAACCTGTACCTCTTACAGCAAGAACTGATAGACTATTTGGTCTTAAAAATACAAATTGTTTTATTTATATATTTGCCCTGGGTTTCTCTTTTGTACAACAAACATAATTGGCAGATTAGGTAAACTGTGCCCTTGTAGTATAATATTATGGATTTTTAAATTGGAGTTACATTAGTTAGAAAATGAAATTTTGCTGAATTAGCCACTTTAAAAAGGGTTGAATGACTCTTTCCCCCAGCACACTTACTGTCTTTCATATATACACACATATATTTTTCAAATTTTAAAAAATTGCTATAGTGCATAGTCATTGTGGTAAAATATTATTCTTATTTTTTCCTCTTAATAGTACAGTATTCAGTAATATGAAGATTTTCAGGTATACAGCCTAATGCACAACAGCGAGAAGGATGAAAGTATTATAAAATGTTGAACTCTCTTCTACCTCCTTTGATGGTCTAAATAATATGGATAGATGCATAAGTAGATGTGTTTGCACATGTGTATAAAGGTGGATTAAGATATAACACTATACCCGTGAAATAATGTAATGTAGAATGAATTACTCCTTACTCGGCTCTTAGGTGACATCTGAATGTTTTGAAAAAGTTAGACTTTCTCAGAGAGTATCTCTCACACTATAACAAAGTATTTACAGTATATCTGTTATTTAAATCTTAAACTGTAAGAGTGGTTTGTATAACTAGCCATCTAGAATGACTCTTGTGAAATCAGACCTTTACAACATGTCCCTTATCCTCTTTTAATGCATAAACACTGCACATCCTGAATATTCACAATATTTCAGAGAGATCTTAGTGCTTTGTGAAAGCAGGTTAGGAAGTTTTCCCATCAGTGGCATGCTGTCTTTTTTCCTATGCCATGCTTTTGCTATACATAAACAAAATTACGGATTCGTGGGGAATGGTGTCAGGAGCTCTTCTGAGACAACACTGGCTGCCTGGATATTACTGCCCTGAGGGGGTTTGTTCAAATGATTGTGATCCCACGGTAGAGCAGATTGAGCCAGTCTAACCTGGCAAGTGGGAGTAGGTGTGGGGAAAACAGCACAGCATAGTCATAGCAAAATGTTCATTGCCACTTACAGGATTGCAATTTTAAATAACACTATTCGAGTTGTTTGTTTCCTCTGTGGTGTGATCAGTGTGTCAGATTCAACATAGCTGTCCGCATTTTAACTTAATCTTCATTCCTTTGGTTTTGTTATTTAGTGAGTGGGCTGGTATGAAATTAGGCACTGGGTTGGTAAATAAAATAATGAGCAAATACGTTTGGACTGAGGAATTGTTATAAAATGTATTTATTTGTTTTTAGTTAGAGGCCATAATATTTTAAGTAGGATTTAAAATTGTATGTTATTTATATGGTCTTCTAGGAATATACATATTGATAATCAACTAATTTTTTTTTTAAATTTTACAGTCATGTGTGGCATAATAACAGTCAATGACTGACCACCTCTACCACAGCGGTCTCCTGAGATTATAATACTGAATTTTTACTGTGCCTTTTCTGTGTTTAGTTAGATACATTTAGGTACACAAATACCATTGTATTACAATTGCCTACAGTATTCAGTACAGTAACATACTATACAGGTGTGCAGGCTAGGAGTGATAGGTTATACCAGATAGCCTATGTGTGTAGTAGGCTACACCATGTGGACTTGTGTAAATACACTCTGTGATGTTCCCACAGTGACCAAAATGCCTAACGATACATTTTTCAGAACATATCCCCTTCATTAACTGGCATATGACTTTACTTAACTACTTAACTAACTTTTTAACGGCAACCCAAAAATTAGGCATGAAATGATTAATTTATCTCAACCTCTGCACAAATGCCAAGAACAGAGTGGTTTAGACCCTTGTTTTCCAAGTGTGTTCTGCTAACCAGCTGCATGGGCAAAACCTGAAATCTAGTTAGAAATGCAAAAGTATGGGCCCCACTCCAGACTACGGAATCAGAACCTACATTTTAACAAGATCTTAAGTGATTCCTATGAACATGAAATTCTGAGAAGAACTGGTTTTGATGAAGAAGAGAAGCAAATTTACTTATTATAGGTTTTTTTAATGTAATGGAAAAAGTAATGAGAAAACTGATAAGATCAAGAAAAATGCACCAAAATGTAGTCATATAATAACTACCTGAGATGTTCACTCAATTTTCATTTACTTCAGCATTATTAAATATTTAATTTTTATTTGTAGTTACAGCTTCAATCCCATCTCACTTTTATTGCTTTGTTAAATTCATATACAAAATAAGAGGGTTACCAGGAAATTTGTAACAACTTTTAATTGAACATGTTAGTCAAGGAGCCCCAGAACGATTACAGATTATGTGGTATCACTTTGGCGACTGCTACTCATGATGTTTATTCACATTTAATAGAATAAATCTACAGACATTTGATTCTAAGAAAAGTAAGCTAATGAAGCATGTAATATATAACTGACGACTTTTCTCAATGTAAACATAGGATGTAGATGTCAAACTGTCATGAATATTAGAAGAAATGCAAATGATGTTATGCAAATTTTCCCACAAGATGCTCACTCATTGTAATGTATCTTTTGATTATGTGTCTGAGCATCTAATGTCTGTAGATGATACTCTAAAGATATGTGTCACTTTTCAACTTTTAATTTTTACAATACATATGTCTGCATTGGAATAGAAGCTTCTGCCATCACACCTACATGTGTAAGTGATAGCATCTGTGACTCTATATGCTATCTTCTCTCTTTTTATTATAGATGACCTGTCTGTCTAAAAGTCTCATTATTCTTTCCTCTATGATCATCAGCATAAAAGGATGATATTTATCCAGTATTTTAAAAACTTTCTTTGGACCCCAATTTTTCCCCTGGCTACATCCTGATTTCTTTCCTTTCCAAGAAAAAACAAGTCTTAGAAGTCTAGCTGAATTTCACTATCTCTAATTTTGCTCCTCCATCTTTTCTTGAAATCACTCCAGTCAGCCAGTGGACCTTACCATTTTACTAAAATGACTCTTACCAAAGTCCAAAATGACCTTCATATGGCATGCTTACATTTTAGTTTTAGTCTTCGTTGATCTATCAGCAGCATTTGACACAGACGGTCATTCTCTTCTTTTTGAAACACTTTCTTAACATGGCTTTCATGACACCAAAATTCCTCCTACCTTTCTGCTCTTCTTAATCTCTTTCATTCATTTGTGTTTACCTCCTCTACCTCTAAATGTTGGAGTTCCCCACAGGGATTAATTCTAGGATACCTTTTTTCTATCTACAGTCATATCCATCGTCGTGATTTATTTAATGCTGTATATAAATGACCCCTCAAATTTATATGTCATCGCAGTAAATTGCAAATAGATTCTTTTAGTTGCTTAAGTCAGACACCTGGAACGTATCTTTGACCTTTTCTCATCACTGCCCTTATCCACATGCCAAACATTTTGAGGTTCTACTTTAAAAATATATCTAGAATCCAACCACATTTCAACACCTCCATTGTCATTACCCTTGTAAAAGCTACCCTTCTCACTTGCTTGGATTTTTGCAGTGGCTTTCTGTCTAGTCTTGTTTTTACCCTTGTGATCCATTGTCAGTATAAAAGCTAGAGTGCTAAAATGTAAATCAGACCATGGCACTCCTCTGGTTAGTGGTTAACTTCCCATGGCTTCCTATATCTTTTTGACTAACAGCCAGCAATGGATCTTCAAATAACTACATGGTCTGACCACCTGTCACCTTTCTAAATTCATTTCCTACCATTTCACCCTTGCTTGCTTTTCTTCTGAAGTATTAACCTTTTTTTTAAAAAATACCTAAAATATATTGGGCACACCCCTACCTCAGGATATCTGCATTTGCTATTCCTTTTGCCTGTATAGTTTTCTGTCATATGTCTGCATGGCTTCCTCTCTCACTTTCTTCATCTAGTTTCCCAAAAGTCCTCCAATCAAAACTTGTAAGTTCCTGAAAGCTACTGATCCTCATTTTTGCTTTTTATTTTTTCCTTATTCCTTACTACTGTCAAAAGCATGTTATGTTTTACCTATCGTGTCTGTTTTCTCTTCTCACTACGATATGAGGTACTTGAGGACAGGGATTATGTTTTTAGTTTATTCCCTGCTGTTTTTCAAGTGCCTAGAATGATGCCTGCTGCATATTAAATATGAATAAATGTTTATCAAATAAATGAATAAATAAATGAATGTATACATGCTGGATGCTTTTAACTTCTTAGACTAATATGGCAGTTTTCAATAAGCTTCTAATAAGAGCATTTTTGTAAATAAAAAGCAAACTGTATATATAATTCTTCCTAATAGAAATTTTGTGTCTTACTGGAATTCAGGATGTAAAGACATTTTAGATTGAGTCAAGTATATCCTCAATAGAATAACAAGTTTTCAACTCAGAAAATTTGAAATAATTTTGTACCCATCAACTTGAAGCTTAGTTGCTATTGCCAGCCCTAGACTATTTGATAAACAAACTAACTCCATAATTGTGTGCCAGAGTTTTAAAACTTCCCCTTGTTGCAAAATCTCTCAGTCAATATCAGAAATTCACACCACTATTTATTTGTGAAAATCTTTTTAAAAATAACTGTGTTAGTAGTATTTAATTTTGACAAATGGAAATAAGAAAACAGGGGAGCAGGGCTTTTCCTCTTTTACTTTTTACCCTTGTGAACTGATAGCATGGTTTTTTTTCACCATAATCTTATTTATTTATTTATTTTTGACTAAAAACAGAAAACAACAGGGCTCTGTGTGGTCTGCCTAGAACGTGAAGGGAAGATGTTTGAATTCATTCATTCAAAAATTGTTTGTCTAACATGGAAGAATAAGTGAATGCATGAATTTAGATTGAATGTTATTGGAATATTATCAATTCAGATGGTATCATTTTACATTTGTCTGATGTTTCCTGTTATTAATCCTGTGTCCCAAATTTAAAATATAATTTCATTACTCAATGAAGTTAAATATCTCGCAATCTCATTTATCTAGAACAGAGTATAAATGAGGAAGCAAATAAGGAGGTTCCTGAGCAGCCAAAACTACCATAAAAAGTCATTGAGAGAAATTTCAAACACCTTATACTTGTAACAGTTGTCTTAGTGCTAATTTACAGATTTGCTCACAATTACATAAGGTTGGAAACTCCACACCCAGTTGGAAGTGTAAATTAATAGATGTTTAAGGAGATTATCTTTCATAGGTAAAAACATTCACAGCTGAGACAAATGTCAGCAGGTAGCAATGAATGAAATAGAAACCCATAACAAATATAATTGTGAGACATGAAAATAAAAAGAAAACTAAAGCTTAGAGACATTACAGCTGATACAACAAAGGAGGAAACATCTAAAGTATTTTTCTTAAAAGTAGTGATGTTGAAAGAATTAAGCCCCAATAAATTTAATTAGTTATTGTATGAACAGAAGTTAGATTTAGGTTCAATGATTAAATTGATAATGGTATGCATATTTATCTTGCAATACATATACACGGTATCAGGTGGGTATCTACAACTCAAACCTTTACATCGTGCAACTGATTTTGGTTCCCTTGCCAATTGCATATAAGCTCTTTGACATTGTCAAGCTTCTTTACTATATTCATATACATAAGTCAGTATTTGATTTGCCATAAATAAGAAAAAATGTCGGCTGATTTCTTTTCATATGCAGTGTTTCTGAGGTCAGCTTGTATATTGGTTGACAAGCATAATACAATGTTTGCTTCCTATTAGTTTGTGGCTTAACCCATAAATGAGAAATCCTAGAATTTTACAAATATAGAGAAAGCTGTTAAGTTGTGAAGTTCTTGTTGTTTAATGCCCAGGTGGGGGCAGCAGCTTTCAGCAGCTCAGTAACTTTTCTCTGTTTAAAACATCCTTGTTTTAATTCTATGGTGTTTTTAATAAACTTTTCTCCCTTGCAATGTCGTCAGTTTAGTTTATTGCCTTACTGTTCTCCCACTAAAATGACATGAAGCTAAAAAGATAGACAAAAACTGCTTGCTTTTCCCTCTAGCTAATTGTATGTTTCAACCTATCTTTTCTATATCATGAATGATATTTTTCCTTTTGATTGTCACAATATCTTTTACTATATAAATTTAATTATCTAGAGTCTTCCTACATTTTAAATTTCATTCCATTCTCCATTATTATATAAAAACATACACACATATACATACATATATATGTATGAATAAATAATACAGTTTACACAATTTCCTTAGTCATATGTGGGAGATTTGTACCTTCCTTGCTTTTCTGAGCAGGAAATCAAAGCCCACCAATATTTTGATGATTATCAGGAATACAGTGAATTTACCTAATTACTATGCTTCATCGCAAACAATAAGCCAAGTCAGTGAGTGCTAATAGCAAGTTGAATGAAGGTCTGTTGCTGGTCTAGTTCCTGTTAAAATAACCCCAAATATAAATTAGAAACGATATAATTACATTGTAGAAATCAGGCATTTGACTATGTAATGGAATACCCCACTCCCAAAATTATATGCATAGTCCATTTTACTTTGAAGAAAAAGATAAATATGACCAAAAGATTCAGGAGAAAATAGAAATGTATTTAATAGGTGGCTTCAGATACTATAGCTCCTGTTGGTGAGCAAAAAGAAACTCAGTCATCTAAGGATGTTTACTAAGAATCATGTATCAATAAACCTGTTTTTTTTTTCCTAAGAATCAGCAGCAGTCAGCCAATCTAAAGCTGAAATAGTTGACATTTTGAGCAACCGTTTAGTACTAATCTAGCTAATTTTGATGACAATGCTGAGTACCTGTACCTTTCTACATATATCTTACTTATTTTTCTCACATCTTAAATTTTCTCTTAACGTGGCGGATTAAATTTGTGGTGACCTAGGTAGGATAACTCCAAGATTGTAGTCTGGACTTGGGAAAACTTCTTAATTTGAGGCAGCATAGGTAGATGCCTTTGTTAAAGTATATCACAGTTAAGAATCATATACAGCATGGCCATTATATTGATGTGAGACCAAGTTTTATCATTGACAGTATAGAACTCAGCCGTTTATTATAGCCATGCCATAAACCAAGTATATACTCTTTCTAGACAAGAACACTTACCTGTTGTCAGAGGACACAAAAAGTTGTGTTTAGCAAAGCCCAAATTAAGGAAAAGGCATATTAGGTGCATATAAAGCTCTACCACATGGAACCTTAAAATGATCATGTATGTAAACGCAAAAATTTGGCATAGGCTCAAAAAGTCTTCAAGTAAATTCTTTAATTTTGATGATTATGAAGGCACTAAACACATATTTCTTTCATTAAATTGTTGATCTATATTTTAAATTATTTTAATTATTAATTTTATTGATTTTTTAATCACAAAAGTAAAAACAAAATTCAAGCCATGCAGAAGTGTATACTATAAACATTTTAAATTAACATCTCCAGTATTTCTTAAACTCAAACCACAATGATAATCACTGTAGATAATTTGCTTTAAAACACCATTAATTTTTATTTATTTTTTATTTTTGAGATGAGGCCTAACTCTGTCACTCAGGCTGGTGTGCAGTGGTGTGATCTCGGCTCACTGCGGCCTCTGCTTCCCAGGTTCAAGTGATTCTCATGTCTCAGCCTCCTTAGTAGCTGGGATTACAGGCTCCCGCCAACATGCCCAGCTAATTTTTGTATTTTCAGCAGAGATGGGGTTTCACCATGTTGCCCAGGCAGGTCTCAAACTCCTGACCTCAAGCGATCTGTCTGCCTCGGCCTCCCAGAGTGCTGAGATTACAAGCATGAGCCACCGCTCCCGGCCTAATACACCATTATTTCTAAAGTACTATGATAAAATATTAAATGAGAAAACAAACTAGTTTTTTGGTTTTAATTGCTTTCTAGACAAGCAAATTTTTGAATGTATGTTGAAGGCTCCTGCAAGTAGATACATCAAATATTTTCAACCAATTCTAATAATTTTACCACACAAACTTATATTTCTAAATAAAAATATGCTGGAAATCATGACAACATTAATTAGAAATTTTCAGCCACAGATCTCTTAACCCCAAATATCAGGGGGAAAACTTTAGAAATAGTTTTGAAATATTAATAGTTTACTCATAAAGCAGTAATTTTTTTTGAAAAGGGAACACAAATAACATTCCACTAGAGGTAATAGATGAGGGCATAAAGGTGCAATTCTAAATGTTTTCTACAGAAGAATTATATCTACTTAGATGCTTTAGTTCAGGTCCCAATCATAGGTTGTGGTAAATATCAGATACTAATTGGAAGATACAATAAGGCATCCATATCTCTTCAGAATTTAAATGAACAGCAATGACACAATAATTCTCTATTTTGCCTTTTCTCAAACTATCACTTTATTTTGCCTTCTCTTGGTAAATAATTTTATTTCCTATAATTTATTGATACTAAAATTATTTAAGTATTTGGTTATCAATTTAATCAACATGATTTTTGAATGACTCACATTTTCAGAGATTTGAACCAGAAAGAACTTGTAAATCATCTAATCCTATAGGTTTCTTTCAGTTGAGGAAACTGAGACATAAGGCATTCCCAAAAACACTGAATGAAATTCAGGAAATAACTTAGATGGTAAATACTGGGAGAACTTACTGTGCACCTGAAGAAATTTAGTCACATAGGAAGTAAAGAAGCTGTGCTGCTGTCTATATTTACACTAAAGATTTCCTTCCCTGGTGCCTTTCTTCCTATTATTTTTTTCTCTTCTTGAGTACTTATTCCTCAGCATCACGTTTCTAATTCCCTTCAAGACAGAGCTGGAATATTACTTTCTTCATAAGGCCCTTTCTGGTTCTAGAGCTGTCAATTATTTCTCATCTTCTGCACACCACTTATTTTTAAGCTACATCTTTCATGACATCTCTTTCTAACTTGTATTTTGTGTATATTCTTGCACTAACTTGTAAGCTACTTGATTACATCATATTCATTTTCTCATCTCCTGCAAACTCAACAGAGCTTTTTCATTTAATTATATTCAATACATATTTGTTGAATAAATAAATGGAATGCAATGTTGATTTCCGTTATTAAAATGTAGATAACATGCTAGTTATTTTTTGAGAAGGAATAGTACACTCAGTGAATAGATTTTACCTCATGCACATTTATTAGTCATGTGGCCGTATTCAAGCTGCTTAAAATGAAATATTAATCCAATTAATTCAAGCTTTTAAAACAAAGCAATTTACAGTTCTCATCTTTGCTGAAAGTCTTATTAGCATAAATTAATTCCTTTAAGTTAAATTTATTTGACTGTTGCATTGGAGATACACGTGAACTGTCATTTCCATATTCAGAGCATGGGATTAAGAGAAGGACCCAGAGAGGTCAGTTAATCTACATTTACAGAGCTCTTGGAGACAGCACATATCTAAGCCGGCTCCCATAGAGGATCATCTATTTGCTTTTAAAGACTCTCCTGAGGTTTTCAAAGGAACACTGGCAGATGCAAAGCCTGTTGACTCAGGATGCCTACATCCTTTGAAAATTACACCCCCCACAACATTTAACTTAGCCATAGAAATCATTTAAAATACATTATCCCTGAATTTTTCTCCCATCTCCCTTTTGTAAATAGTGAGAAGGAAAGGGGAGTATCTCAGAGAGCACAAGAAAAAGAGCAAAGGGCTCTTTTGGGATTTTTCTCTTTCCTTGACAAGCCGCTGTAAGCAAGGTGAGGGCCAGGTTATAAGATTGGCAGCACAATCCAGATTTCTCTCTGGATAGGAACATTGACAGTTGTTTTCTAAACTCTTGGAAACAGCAGTTGATATCAGGCCTTCGTGACATTCTCAGGATGTTTTTCCATAATGGGAAAATCATTTGTGATTCTGTGATATAATTTCACCTTTTACAGTAGAATTAAACCTTCTCTACAGTTTCATCCCAGTGTTGGCAAGAAGATTTCACTGACAATATGAATAATATTAACGTCAATATCTGATATAACCTTTTGTTATTAATAATATATGACAACCACATAGAGAACTGTTTGAGTTACTCACTTACCATTATAGGAGGATAGCTTCCATTCGATTATCAAAATTATTTTTCAAAACTATTCAAGCATAAGGAAAATTTTCATGAGATAGTAACAGGAAATGTAGAAAACCAGTTTATATATTCAATGTGATCAATATTTTACAAAGCTTTTGGCACATATACATCCACATTCAAAATACACCCAAAAAATACTCTGACCTAATACTAGTCAGGAGGAGGATTTATAAAATACTTTTTTTTTCAACTCTTTTTACAGATGTTTTCAAATTTTCTATGATAAGTGTGTGTTTCCTTAATAATCAGGAAAATGTTACTTTGAAAAGATAATATACACACTGTTTTTAAAGCACAGTTTTACTGAAATAATTTATAGACTTCTGAGAGTTTTTTTATGGTTCTACAATAAAATAACTGTGATTCAAATCCTGGCTCTGCACTTGTATAACATTGGAAAACTCCCTTAACATCTATAAAAGGGAGATGATAGTAACCCAACTTCATTGGGTTGTTGTGAGGATTAAATGAGGAAATACATGTAAATCACTTGTAAGAATGTGTGTCTGGCACGTGGTAAGTGCTTAATTAATGTCAGCTAGAACATATTAATTATTATAGAGGAAGGAAACAAGGCACATATTTAGAAAGTGGGATGAGATCATTGGGATTCTCTGGCAAGGTTTTGGAAGAATTGAAAGTTAAACCAGACTGTAGAAGATAGATAAAATCTGAAAAGATATTTTCTTTGCTTTGGTGCAAGGTGAGAGGAATGGCAAATCATGAGGGAAATGATAAAGTTTGAGAAAGGGAAAGTTTATGGGTCAAATAAAACATATGGTGAAATAGAAGGTTTAGAGAAATATATTTTCTCCTAGACGTCTCTCTTTATATAAGTGCTCGAAAATATAAACAGGTTAAGATGGGCATGGTTGTTGTAAAGCAGAAATTACTTTCTCAATGCCCATTCCCCAACTTTTTAACATTTTTAGTTAATTCTGATCTCAAATTCTGCCTTGCAGAGTTTTTCAAAGGCAAGATCACAGTTGTATGTCTTGTCAGAATGCTCCTGTCATGACCCGTGAATTTCATTTTGTGTCAAATTCTAGAGTAAAACTAACAGTCTTTTGGCTAGACTTCCTCCGTGTTGCCTTTGGAAGTCAGGGGTAAAAAGGATGGACTTATGAGGTTGATTTACAATGGAAAAAAAATGATTTCATTATTTATTTTCTTCCACATACCTCATAAATGTCTATGTATCATGAAAAATTATTTTTGTTAATATGCCCATTATTCATTATTAATGAATTATACCAGTCTCTCTTTCTCTCATATTTTCTTTATCATATTGTTGAAACCGTAAGGTTTTTACACTGCTAGGACCTCCCCTAGAAGATCGTGTACATAATCAATATTAAGTAGATAGTACAAAATATTGATTTTAGAATGCTTACACTAAATTAACTTGAATACCATATTCCATTCTAATGTTTTCAAAGTACACCTTTCCTCATACAACTATAATGAGGTTGATAAGCTACTTGAAGGAACTAGGGATCATTAAGATCATTTTTATAATTGTTTATTAGATCCAAATTACTGATGCTAAATAGTAATTTTTTCTTCTTCTTTTTCTTGTTTGAATTGGGGAATCTGGCTCAATAGCTATTATTCCATCGATGGTGGCATCATTTGATATCTTATGTAATTTTTGCCCTAATTCTAGGGCCCACAAAGTAGGTGATTGGGATATGACCCCCAGAACTGAAATTCAGAGCAACTATTACAGTAATCTAGATTGCCTGAAAATATTATAACATTTTGGGTATCTCTTATTATATAAGTCCTATCCTACAGTATATTTACTCTGAAAAAAAGAAGATCACAGTGATAAAGTATAACTGTAGTAGATGTGGGGACTTCTTTATATCTTTTGTGCAGTGATGCTGCAGTAAGATTAATAAAAAGCTAAAAATTTACAGATATGATAGGCTTTTCTTTTTCTTTATATGGTGATACAAGGTCATGAAGACAGACATGATTTGTTATTACAAAACAATTAAATTTCTTCTTATCTCACAGAATTACTCTCACCCTTCTGCTAGAAATAATAACCTCCCAATATGCTTCTTAATCATATTTTGAAATAAATGGCTTCATCTTTACATCAGTTGAATGCCTCCTAAGTGGCCACAGTCTGCCAGATGCGTGGCTTCCCAATCTGGTCGCTGCCCTTAAAATTTTTTTTGAATATTAAAAAAATGAAACAACATTAGCTGCTAAGGAAGAACCCGTTCTGTGCCATTGATTAATTGGCATTGATAAATAAGCCACATTAGTATTACAAGAAAATGGCATAACAGATTGATGTCAACTTGAGCTCTCTAGGAATAAAGCTGAAGAGAACTCAGTACACCATCTGGAAGAGACAATGAGAGGTGGCAAATTTCATGCAATGGGGAAAAGGGGAGGGTGCTTTTCAGATGCCACATATCTGAACTGACACTTTGATGTGTTCAAGTGCAATCTCCCCTGTCAAAATATTTCTTTCTTTAGCCGTACTTGGTCTAATGCAATCAGACCACAGTGTGGAAGGCTGCCATATCCTCTTAGGTGAGATTTGTCTTGGAGTAACAAGCTGCACAGCTTCCAAATTGTAGTGCCACAATTTAAATGCTAAAAAACAAAACATGCAGTACCAGCTTATGTTAAAATTTACAACCTGCTGTGCCACCTTTAATACAAATTTGAGAATTCAGTGTATTTTTTTTTTGTTTTTTCACTCATGGTAACATGCTATAACTGAATAAGGATTATCTCTGTGTTATTTTAAATTGACAAAACTTATCAATACACTTTCACTTATTTTTCCCTGCTTAATATTAAGCTACATTTTCACCTCTCATTGGAAATTTCTACCAATAAGATCAAGTTTATGGGCTAATGATCTTGATGGGTTTAAAGCAAACTATTTTCTTGAGATGAGAGATTGTTTATTATAATTACCATTATTATCTTTATGACTCTAAAGTTATTTTCATAGGGACTGTGTAAAGTTGTACATGTTTTAATAAAATATAGTATCAATTAGTTTCATATGTCTATGCTAGGTGAATTTTAATAAAATGTTACTAAGATATTTTAAAATTATAACTAGGACTCGGAACTACTTGATCAAATCAATAAAATATTCTATGTCTTTTAAATATTAATGCTTTCTCTTCTTTAACAAGAGGAATGTTTTCCTTAATATAATTGGAAAAAATTGCCTACTTGAATCTGATTTAAATCAGGTATATAAAATTGTAAGGTTTTAGGCTAAACATCTTGTTATGTTGAGATTGAGGTTTGTTTAACTTGGAAATGTAAAACCAATATGATGATGATTATTCATATTTTAATCTATAGCATATAAAATGTCCTAGTATAAAAATGTTTATGGCTTAAAAATCATATTTGAATTTTTTTTCATTCATCAAATTATGACTCCTATTTCTAGTGGACTCATTTGTGTTGATAAATGTTTAGCCTTTATTACTTATATAATAAATTTAGATCATCTTGTTATTAATATGTTGAATCAATTCACATGGCACATGAAAATACATATACACATTAAATAGAAACATGATGAAAATAAGATTAAGTTGCTCTAGGCCATACAAACACTTACTTTGTTGAGGTTTTAAATGGAAAATAGAAATAATAGGTAGATTTACCAAAGCAATAAAATTACTGATTTTAGACAGTATGTCAAATAACTAAAAGATATGGTCGCAAATATTGAAAATACTCAACTAAAATAATTACCAAGGAAAAATATTGCACACCAAAGCCAATGATGGGAAAAGCAACAGAATCATGCACTGGAATTTGTTACATCTTTCTGTGGATAGAAACATTGTTATTATTAGTTTCTAAGATAATAGCTAATATTAACAATCAGATGAAATTATACAATGTGGTTATTACCTGTGTTAAATGTTTCTTAATATAGTGTGGGTAAGTTAATAAAATCTTGGACCTGTTTCATATACATGCTTTATACAATTTAAGATCATTTTGATGATGTTATATATAGATGTTATATAAAGATGTAGTATAAAGATTTGAATCCATTTCCAAGGTTTTCTCTTCCCTACTGTTTGAATGGTTTTAAAATTTTTTTTATTTTTTTATTTTTTTATTTTTGAGACAGGGCCTCACTCTCTCACCCAATCTGGAGTGCAGTGTCATGATCATAGCCCGCTGCAGCCTCAACCTCCTGGGCTCAAGCGAACCTCCTGCCTCAACCTCCCAAAGAGCTGGAATGTCAGGCATGAGGCAGTATGCATAGCCCTGAATGCTTTAATTTTATTAATTACTTGGAAATAAGTTTAATTTCTAGTTATTTCCTGGAAATAAATCTACATTTTTATATCTGATTTCAAGAAAGCATTCAAATGCCCATCACCAATTTTCTCCATGGTTAGATAATTTGAAGTATAGGAGAGGAAAAAATTTATTTCCTTATCCATTACTATGTCCATGGTTGAGGACCCTATAACAAGAGGCAGACTAATAAGAGAAATGTCCGTCTTGCAAGACATGGAAGGCTTTTAACATCAAGACCCAAAGATGTGAACTTGTGTATTTTATGCTTAGGTTTGATAAAGAAGGGACAGTTGTGGACAAATATTACTGAAAGGCAAACGATATGATCTAATGGCAATAAACTGGGGGGAACTTAGCACAGCCTGTTGATTCTGTTAATTATCTGTCCTTTTTTCTTTTTTTTCTGTTTTTTTTTTTTTTTTTTTTTTTTTTTTTTGAGCCAGAGTGTCGCTCTGTTGCCCAGACTGGAGTGCAATGGCACGATCTCGGCTCGGCTGACTGCAACCTCCGCCTCCCGGGTTCAAACGATTCTCCTGCCTCAGCCTCCTGAGTAGCTGGGAATACAGGTGTGCACCACCACGCCTGGCTAATTTCTTTGTGTTTTTAGTGGAGACAGGGTTTCACCATGTTGGTCAGGCTGGTCTCGTGATACGCCCATCTCGGCTTCCCAAGGTGCTTTGATTACAGACGTGAACCATAGCTCCTGCCCCCTTCGTCTTTAGAGATAAGGATATTCTTTTCCTTAGAGAATAGGAAGGGCACCTCTCCAATAAGTGTGTTATGATCTGCTTCAAAGGAGAAAGGTGAGGGGAAGGTGAGAGTGACGTTTTTGCTTCTGCGGTTTTCTAAAAAGCCAAGGTACCATATTTTGGGATAGTGTTGCTGAACCCCATCAAAAGCAAACATTCATGGTCTTTTTATTTAATCTTACCCTAGCCTCATGGAAGATCAAATAGATCAAATAAGACGCATTTAATTTGCTACGAGTATCAGTACAAGATTTCACAATAAGCACCTCAGAATGACTCAGGTGTCTAACCATAGCTACAGAAGTAACAATATGCACATTTTAATCTAAGATTTGGATTTTAGAACCTCTTGTTAGGTGATCCTGCTACTTCCCATTTTTACTTCTTTGTGTATTAGTTTGCCTCTTAATGTATAACAATATTTTCGATTTAACTTGATTTTCCCCCTCTAAAAAGCTTGTTATTTAATTCCTTTAGGATTAGAGTTCTGACAGGATAAAAACATTCTTGTCTTTCTCTTGCTTTTGTTTTTATATATTAGCATAATTTTCTATTTCATACCTCTTTATGTCTGAAGGAATATACCACATTATCATTACAAAAACCTCCTAATAAAGTTGAATTGTGCTTTCAAGTGGAGACAGACCTGAGATTATGAATAAAAGCAATCCTCTCCAGCAAGGAAGTACTTTGAATAGATTTCAGCTCAGTCAGATAGCTTGAGAGTAATAAGTAGCAGTGGGACTGGAAGCCACATTAAAAATTTCTCACTAGTTCAGAGGAAGATGATGAAAATTACCTTCAGGAGTAGCTTTAGGAACACGACTGAGGTAGAAATCACTATTTTGATAATATTTTGGATGGTGATTTACTCCCTACAAAACACTTTGCTACAAATTGTACCATGTAACATTCACACAACCATGTCAGAAATGTAGGGCATATGCAATTACTCCTTTTTGTATGTGTAGAAATTAAATCTAGCTGGGTGTGATGGGTCATGCCTGTCATCTCACCTACTCAGGATGCTGAGACAGGAGGATTATTTGAGCCCAGGAGTTTGAGACCAGCCTGGGCAACATAGCAAGATCCTGCCTTTTAAATAAAAAAATATAGCCAGGCATGATGGCATGCACCTGTAGTTTTATCTACTTCAGAATGAGGCAGGAGGATCATCCAGGAGTTTGCGGCTACAGTGAGCTATGACTGAATCACTGCCCTCCAGGCTGGGCAACAGAGCAAGACCCTATCTCTTTAAAAAATTTTAAAAAAGAAATTAAATCTCAGTGATATTAAGGGATTTAATAAAGGCCATTAATTAATAAGTGTTTGAACTGAACCAGAACTTGAAGCCCAGACTCCAAATTCAGTTTTCTTTCAATTATTCTTTTCATGAAGATTTTTGGGAGTAAGTATACTTAGCACTCTACATAAGACCCGAATATTACATTTCAGATTCTTTAAGCCATTATATTTGACATGAGATATAGGAAGCCTGAAAAATAAACAAAAACAAAAAAAAAATTGCTGGCAACATAAAAGTCTTGCTGATAGCTGTATCATTTACCATTAAAATTTTTAAACTCGTTGCTTAAAAATTATGAAATCTTTTTATTTCTTATTACTCATGGTTCTGAGACTCATTTGAAAATGTGAGATATAGCCCCATATTCTCTTTGGAAAAGCTATGTTATAAATTTATTTAGTTTTAATATAATATATAGTTTTCAATCAAGCTCTTCATTTTAAAAACTATTTAAGTTTGAAATTTATATAATAATGCAGGTGGCTAGCAAGATGGCTGCATAAGAACAGCTCTGGTCTGCAGCTTCCAGCGAGATCAACACAGAAGGCAGGTGGTTTCTGCATTTCCAACTGAGGTACCTGGCTCATCTCACTGGGACTGGTTAGACAGTGGTTGCAGCCCAGTGAAGGGTGAGCTGAAGCAGGATAGGGTGTTGCCTCACCACAGCAGTGTATGGGGTCAGGGAACTCCCTCCCCTAGCCAAGGAAAATCATGAGGGACTGAGCCATGAGGAATGGTGCATTCCGGCCCAAATGCATGCTTTTCCTACAGTCTTCGCAACCCAACAACAGGAGATTCCCTTGGGTGCCTATGCCACCAGGGCCCTGGGTTTCAAGCACAAAACTGGGCAGCCATTTGGGCAGACACCCAGCTAACTGCAGGAATTATTTTTCATACCTCAGTGGTGCCTGAAACACCAGCAAGACAGAACCGTTTACTCCTCTGGAAAGGCGGCGGAAGCCCAGGAGTTAAGTGGTCTAGCTCAGCGGATCCTACCCCCATGGAGCCCAGCAAGCTAAAATCCACTGGCTTGAAATTCATGCTGCCAGCACAGCAGTCTGAAGTCAACCTGGGACACTTGAGCTTTGTTGGGGGAGGGGCGTCCGCTATTACTGAGACTTGAGTAGGTGGTTTTCCCCTCACAGTGTAAACAAAGCCACTTGGAAGTTCGAACTGGGCACAGTCCTCTGCAGCCCTGCAAAGCCGATGTAGCCAGGCTGCCTCTCTAGATTCCTCCTCTCTGGGCAGGACATCTCTGAAAGAAAGGCAGTAGCCACAGTCAGGGACTTATAGATAAACTCCCACATCCCTGGGACAGAGCACCTGGGAGAAGGGGCAGCTGTGGGTGCAGCTTCAGCAGACTTAAATGTTCCTGCCTGCTGGCTCTGAAGAGAGCAGCAGACCTCCCAGCATAGCATTCGAGCTCTGATAAGCGACAGACTGCCTCCTCAGTGGGTCCCTGACCCCCGTGCCTCCAGACTGGGACACATCTCCCAGCAGGAGTCGACAGACACCTCATACAGGAGTGCTCCAACTGGCATCTGGCAGGTGGCCCTCTGGGATGAAGCTTCCAGAGGAAAGAACAGGCAGCAATCTTTGCTGTTCTGTAGCCTCGACTGGTGATACTCAGGCAAACAAGACCTGGAGTGGACCTCCAGCAAATTCCAGCAGACCTGCAGCAGAGGGGCATGACTGTTAAAAGGAAAACTAACAAATAGAAAGGAATAGCGTCAACATCAACAAAAAGGATGTCCGCACAAAAACCCCATCCAAAGGTCACCAACATCAAAGACCAAAGGTAGATAAATCCACGAAGATGAGGAAAAACTAGCGCAGAAAGGCTGAAAATTCCAAAAGTGATAATATTTCTTCTCCTCCAAAGGAGGAGTGTTTAGAAGGAAATTTATAGCACTAAATGCCGACAGGAGAAAGCAGGAAAGATTTCTAAAATCAACACCCTAACATCACAATTAAAAGAACTAGAGAAGCAAGAGCAAACAAATTCAAAAGCTAGCAGAAGACAAGAAATAACTAAGATCAGAGCAGAAATGAAGAAGATAGAGACATGAAAAACCCTTCAAAAAAGCAATGAATCCAGGAGGTGATTTTTTGAAAAGGTTAACAAAATAGATAGACTGCTAGCCAGACTAATAAAGAAGAAAAGAGAGAAGAATCAAATAGACACAATAAAATTTGATAAAGGAGATATCACCACTGATCCCACAGAAATACAAACTACCTTCAGAGAATACTATAAACACCTCTAAGCTAATAAACTAGAAAATCTAGAAGAAATGAATAAATTCCTGGACACATACACCCTCCGAAGACTAAACCAGGAAGAAGTTGTATCCCTGAATAGACTGATAACAAGTTCTGAAATTGAGGCAGTAATTAATAGCCTACCAACCAAAAAAGGCACAGGACCAGATGGATTCGGAGCTAAATTCCACCAGAGATATTAAGAGGAGCTTGTGCCATTCCTTCTGAAATTATTCCAAACAATCGAAAAAGAGGAACTCCTCTCTGATTGATTTTATGAGGCCAGCATCATCCTGATACCAAAACTTGGCAGAGACACCACAAAAGAAGAAAATTTCAGGCCACTATCCCAGATGAACATCGATGTGAAAATCCTCAATAAAATGCTGGCAAACTGAATCCAGCAGCACACCAAAAAGCTTATCCACCACAATCAAGTTGGTTTCATCCCTGGGATGCAAGGCTGGTTCAACATACGCAAATCAATAAACATAATCCATCACATAAACAAAACCAATGACAAAAACCACATGATTATTGCAGTAGATGCAGAAGAGGCCTCCTATAAAATTCAACACCCATTCATACTAAAAACTCTCAATAAACTAGTATTGATAGAATGTGTCTCAAAATAATAAGAGCTCTTTATGACAAACCCACAGCCACTATCATACTGAATGGGCAAAAGCTGGAAGAATTCCCTTTGAAAACCGGCAAAAGACAAGGATGCCCTTTCTCATCACTCCTATTCAACATAGTACTGGAAGTTCTGGCTAGGGCAATCAGGCAAGAGAAAGAAGTAAAGGGTATTCAAATAGGAAGAGAGGAAGTCAAAATGTCTGTTTGCAGATTACATGATTGTATATTTAGAAAACGCCTTCGTGTCAGCCCAAAATCTCCTTAAGCTGATAAGCAACTTCAGCAAAGTCTCAGGATACAAAATCAATGTGCAAAAATCACAAGCATTCCTATAAAACAATAATAGACAAAGAGAGAGCCAAATCATGAGTGAACTCCCATTCACAATTGCTACAAAGAGAATAAAATACCTAGGAATCCAACTTACAAGGGATGTGAAGGACTCTTCAAGGAGAACTACAAACCACTGTTTAAGGAAATAAGAAAGGCCACAAACAAATGCAAACACATTCCATTCTCATGGATAGGAAAAATCAATATCCTGAAAATGGCCAAACTGCCCAAAGTAATTTATAGATTCAATGCCATCCCCATCAAGCTACCATTGACTTTCTTCACAGAATTAAAACCAACTACTTTAAATTTTATATGGAACGAAAAAAGAGCCCGGATAGCCAAGAGGATCCTGTGCAAAAACCTGGAGGCATCATGCTACCTGACTTCAAGCAATACTACAAAGCTACAGTAACCAAAACAGCATGGTACTGGTACCAAAACAGATATATAGATGAATGGAACAGAACATAGGCCTCAGAAATAATGCCACACATATACAATCATCTGATCTTTGACAAACCTGATAAAAGCAAGCAATGGGGAAAGGATTCCCTATTTAATAAATGATGTTGGGGAAATTGGCTAGTCATATGCAGAAAACTGAAATTGGACCCCTTCCTTACACCTTATACAAAAATTAAGTCAAGATGGATTAACGACTTAAATGTAAGGCCTAAAACCATAAAAACCCTAGAAGAAAACCTAGTGAATACCATTCAGGACATAGGCATGGGTAAAGACTTTATGACTAAAACAACAAACACCAATGGCATCGCAAGCCAAAATTGATAAATGCAATCTAATTAAACTAAAAAGCCTCTATACAGCAAAGGAAACTATCATCAGAGTGAACAGGCAACCTACAGAATGGGAGAAAATTGTTGCAATCTATCCATCTGACAAAGGGCTAATATCCAGAATCTACAAAGAAAAACAAATTTACAGGAAAAAAACAAACCCATCAAAAAGTGGACAAAGGATACGAACAGACATTTCTCAAAAGAAGACATTTATGCAGCCAGCAAAAATATGAAAAAAGCTCATCATCACTGGTCATTAGAGAAATGTAAGTCAAAACCACAATGAGATACCATCTCATGCCAGTTAGAATGGCGATCATGAAAAAGTCAAGAAACAACAGATGCTGGAGAGGATGTGGACAAATACGAACGCTTTTACGCTGTTGGTGGGAGTGTAATTAGTTCAACCATTTTGGAAGTCAATGTGGCAATTCCTTAAGGATCTAGAACCAGAAATACCATTTGACCCAGCAATCCCATTACTGGGCATATACCCAAAGGATTATAAATCATTCTATTATAAAGACACATGCACATATATGTTTATTGCAGCACTTTTCACAATAGCAAAGACATGAAACCAACCCAAATGCCCATCAATGTTAGACTGGATAAAGAAAAGGTGACACATATACACCATGGAATACTATGCAGCCATAAAAAAGGATGAGTTCATGTCCTTTGCAGGGACATGGATGATACTGGAAACCATCATTCTCAGCAAACTAACACAGGAACAGAAAACCCAACACTGCATGTTCTCACTCATAATTGGGAATTGAACAATAAGAACACATGGACACAGGGAGGGAAACATCACACAACAGGGCCTGTCAGAGGTTGAGGGGCTAGGGGAGGGATGGCATTAGAAGAAATACCTAATGTAGGTGATGGGTTGATGAGTGCAGCAAACCATGGCATGTGTATACCTATGTAACAAACCTGTGCGTTCTGCACATGTATCCCAAGACTTAAAGCATAATAATAATAATAATAATAATAATAATAATAATAATAAATAATGCAAAGAGACATATACAAAAACATCTAGAGAAATACTGTTAATTTAGGACAGAACTCTGGATAACTTTTAATCACAAATGAAAAGTCAAATGTAGAAAGAAGCAAACTCCCAAATAAGATAAATACATGCACAAAAGTGTAAGTAGACAGAATTACCAACTCAACTTGGCTTTGGTCAAATTATTTGACTTGCTCATAATTTGGCCAAACCTGCTATAAAATTAAAAGGGAATATAAAACCAACATATTATAGAACACAAGAGGCTGCATCTCAATGAGATTCTCTTATGTGAATTACTTTCTAACAAAATTTTAAAAAGAAGTCAACAGAAATTGAGTGTTTAATAAAAGTAAATATAAACGTGTGATAATGATAAATCTGTCTAATCGGCATGTTTAAGGTGTTATTTTAGAACTCAGATCCTTATGTTTCTTAATATCAACTTACTGGTTATATTTGCCTTTCCATAATACTCAGTAAAAACATATCCATTAAGGAGGCTAACGTAATCATTTCAGGAATTAAAATTTTGAAAATAGTATGAAAAATAACTTAGAATGAGCTTTATAAGTGTTATAGGAAAGCTTTCAAATATATACATATATAGTTATTTCAAATGAAATTTTGCTCCTACCTACCTCACCACATAAGTCTTGGTCTCCTAAATGAGTGGGGTTAGAGTGGATTTCAAGATTTATGAATTTCCCTGAAGTGAAACTCTCTCAACCCTATTTTCTTTGTAAAATATTTTGCTAGAAAGTACATTCTACAGGTGTAAAGCATGGTCATTATATCATTATTAATATTATTCTTAAAAGTGGATCTCAAAAATAGTGATTTAAAAAAGGAATCCAATAGCATGTCCTGAATATTCCAATCTCTTTTGGACCTACCCAACTTGTATCTTCTTCTGATCTCTTATAATATTTGTGGACTTTTCAATGCATTCAGGAATAAGTATTGCCCTGAAGATCTCTTCCAATTCTGTCTAGAATTTACAGTAAGTATTTCTTTTTAACTTTTGTTGCTTTTGAATTTTATTTTAATAATTGCATTAAAAATCTCTGTAGCGCAAGGGACAAATGATACTTCAGGGATCTTACCCTGTTTTCTTCTTGGTCTTCTAAGGATGGGGACAATTCCCAAAGGGAGGCACTGCTATGTCTCATGTTACCATGCTATCTATGTGAGTAGAAGAGAAAGAAAAGTGAGATTCTGTTCACTTCCATTTAGAATCTTTACTTACTCCCGGCCGGGTGTGGTGGCTCACGCCTGTAATCCCAGCACTTTGGGAAGCCGAGGCAGGCGGATCATGAGGTCAGGAGATGGAGACCATCCTGGCTAACACGGTGAAACCCCGTCTCTACTAAAAATATAAAAAGTTAGCCAGGCGTGGTGGCAGGCGCCTGTAGTCCCAGTTACTCAGAAGGCAGAGGCAGGAAAATCGCTTGAACACAGGAGACAGAGGTTGTGGTGAGCTGAGATCATGCTACTGCACTCCAGCCTGGGTTACAGAGCAAGACTCTGTCTCAAAATAATAATAATAGTAAAAAGTAAAATCTTTACTTACTCCCCTGAAAACTCTTATATCTACTTAAGTAGATTTATTGTTTTCCTTCAAAGCCTTTATTTAACAGCATTTCTTCTTTGAAAATGGAATCAAAGAGCAGGAAACACTGAGTTTCCCATTAAGGTTAGAATATTTAAGCATTATGAAACACTTATGTAGTCTTCATAATGTTTCTTTATAACATATAAAAACAACATATATTAACTCATTGATAAATATGTTAATTTATTGTATTATAATAACAGCCCTTGAGAAAAAAAGTACTATTATTATCAAACCCACTTGACAGATGAGAAGACTGATGCATAAAGAGTTTAATTAATTTCTTCACTGTCACACAGATAATACAGGAAATTCGAATCTAAAACAGTGCTATACTGCCTTTCATCTGAGGCGAAGTACACATGTCTAAGATCATTCAGGGTCATAAAAACAATAAGTAAAAGCTTCAGATTAAATGAAGAAAATTATTTCACTCATACAGTTGGTGTATTCACTTAAAAGGGAGATTGAAAAATGAATTGTTAAATAAATAATGAAGAAAAAGGTTAGTAGAAAAATGAACCAAAGCATTTTTTTATCCTAGTTGATTGCAAGACTTTGTCAAAATAAATACATGCATATTGGTATTAGTTGTGTTACTACAGGAGGAGTAAAAACTATAGGGATAAAAAAACAGCAGTATGTATAGTTCTGGGTCTTATCTATCCTAATTTTTGTCATATGCTTCTATCAGACCTGACTGTTTATGAAGTGTTAATAAACATAAGGAAAATATCCACAATATGGACCATCCCTCTTCTTCAGAATAAACCTTGGCAGTCCATGTTATCCATGTAATTGCCATTTCCTGATGAAAACAGAGGTTTCTTTGAAGGCATTTAACAAGAGCCAATTTTTTAATGCTGCTTCTGGCACTCACCTTCATGGGCACTTTGCCGTTTCAGTCTGAAGTAATGAAAGATGGAAAGAAAAATATTTTCTTCTTTTTAAAGTTCCAGGTCTCCTTAGGTTTAAGCCCATCAGGAGTCCAGACAAATGACTTAAAACATGTCAAAAATGAAGTGAAAAGGTTTTATAACCTGTTTTTTTTTTCCTTTCGGACACCCTCAGGTTTTGTCCGTTTGAGATGACTGGATTTTTGTTTTCTTCATTCTTAGTGTGAAATCGTTCCTTCAAAACATGTCTGTAATGAAATATCTAGTTATCTCTGATGTTCTGTAACACTTCTTGAAAAAATTTCTGAAACAACAAAGTAGTTACTTTTGGAAGACCAAATCATTGAAATAAGGTATTTAGGTAAACATTTCTGGCATTGTTCATATCTACACCCTAACTATACTCTAACTGTATTTCGAAGATTCAAGAGAAAGATAACTCAACATTTCTTAAATTTGGGTAAATATGACAGTATTTTGCAAAGTTTTTTAGGTATCAGTGAATCAAATTAGTTTATTTAATGGTATCAACTTATGTATAATCTAATTTAAAAGTTCCATAATAAGTACATCATTTCCCTATGATTCCTGGGAAGGTACTGCTCATTGGATTTTTGAGACTCTAGACTCTTTATCATGCTGATCTTTAGTGAAAAACTTTTGTATTATAACTCCTGATTTTAAATAGTTATGTCAGTAGATAGATGAATGGGCAGATGGAGAGACAGATAAAAGATAACCTGAATAAGTAGTATGATTCATATTATATAGACGTAGATTTTGTAAAATATATGTTCAGAAAACCATACGCACTGTCATACATTTAAGTAGGGGAATTCATCTGAATCCTAGACACAGTTGTGTGGTACATATTTTCTGTATTTTAACATTTTAAAACAGTAATTACTTCGAAAATGGAATATTCTTGATGATGTTTGTGATGGTGTTTGACAATGAATTTGGCAATTTGACAAAAATATATTTTACCTCAATAGCCTCTGAAAGCCAATTTTGCATTTAAATTTTGAATCTGTTACAATACAAAATCCATTGGAAATCAATTAACTGAGATAGTAGCATATTTTATTATGGATAAAGTAATAGTTTTGCAGCATACCTACACTTAGACTTCCATGTTGTAGCCCATATTCTTTTTCCTTTTTTTTCAAGACAGAGTCTTGCTGTTGCCCAGGCTGGAATGCAGTGGTGTGATCTCAGCTCACTGCAACCTCCACCTCCCAGGTTCAAGCAATTCTCCTGCCTCAGCCTCCCGAGTAGCTGGGATTATAGGCATTCACCACCACACCCAGCTAATTTTTGTATTTTTAGTAGAGATAGGGTTTCACCGTGTTGGCCAGGCTCATCTTGAACTCCTGGCCTCAGGTTATCTGCCTGCTTCAGCCTCCCAAAGTGCTTGGATTACAGGCGTGAACCACCGCACCTGGCGGTTGTAGCCTATATTCTGATTTCTGTTCATTCTGTGCATTTCTATCGCATTTTGCTTAGGTATTGGCCAACAGTCATAATCTTCCTCTTATAACTTCCTTCTTTCTCTACATTCTTTATCATTTTAATAGGACCGCCATCCAAAGAATGGCATGAGTCAGGAAAATGGGACTCGTTTTCCATTCCTTGACTCTCACCTCTACATGAAATCAAACATTAAATACTGTAAAATAATACATATAGCAAGTCTCTCCTTCTCTCCTTTCTATTCCAGAACCACTTATTGTTGCTTAGATCCTCATTATTTATCACCTGGATAAGCTGTAACAGCCCTAAACTTCCCTTCTAGCTTCAGTCTTACCTCTTTCTAAGCCTCTGCTGCCAGAGAGATGTCTGTGAATTGAACCTGACTATGACACACCCCTTCTTCAGTACTCTTATGACCCTCTTTGACTTCACTGGAAAAGTTAAATACTGAGCTTGATTTACTGGCCCTTTAGTACCTTTCTGTTGCTTCTTCCCACATTTTCATCCCTTTCTGCAGTGTTTCAAATGGAACAGGCTATGGCATTAACTATGCACTTTTGCATATATGTTTCCTTCTACCTAGAGCACCATTGCCCATCAGCAACAAATATCCCCAACCATTTCTCAGCTCTGACTTGAGTCCATCCAGACTTCACCGAGGCATCTTTTTGTTTTTTATTTGAATGATCCCTGAGCCCTCTTTTCCCCTTTTACTTGGTTAGTTGTTCTAATTATCTGCTTCTACAGTGCTTTCTGTTTCCCTCTCTTCTAACTTTGTCATTCTCTATTATTGTTAAGGTTTCCCTCATTATATTTTCCACATTAGACTGTGTTCCTTAATTGCAACACTGTACATTATTCACCTATGTGTCACACACACTTACAGTGCTCTGTCTCTCTCTCTTCCCATGAATCCATACTGATATGTCCAATTCCAAGCCAATACACAGAGCTCATGCTGCCCTTTCTTCCTTGGGCATTTTGTCAATATTTTTCAAGTACAGAGATTCCAGTTCTTTTACGACAGGCATTGTTAACTTGCCAGCATACTTCACATATACATAAATTTTTAGCCTAGCTGATCCAATTTGTTGAAATTTATTGTCTAGATGACTCTAAACTTTACAGAAAAAAAATAAACAATTTGGAAGCTTTGGTGCATGTGGCAGTTTGCCATTGCATATATCATCATCTGGTTGATTATGTGACGTTTTGTTTGTCTGTCCAGATAACTGGTGCTATACGGACACACACTTATTCTCCATTTGCTTTCCACTGCACTGTAGCAGCAAGGTGGGGTTTACTGATTTTTTGTTTATATATTTTTTTTATCTGCCATCTCACATACATGGTAGGCTCTGCAGGATGAAAATAGTCTTTACTGCTTCTGCCTCCCTCCAATATTATAATTCTGGGCAGTGCTATGAATACAATAGTCCCATAAAAATGTTCTTGCTGAATGAATGTGTGAATTAAAATATCCATTGAAGACCTTGAAGATTCATAATTCTATTGGAAATATGTGATTTTAATTATAAATTATCTCCTCCACTCTATGGTATTGTACTCTAAGATATATCATAACTCAATACTGTGTATACAGGGTGAGTTCTCTGAGGAGGCTTCACCACTTTATAATTCTCAAATCATCTAAAGTTCAGGTTTGGGGTTTGAAAACCTCCACAGAAATTTACACTGGTTTTGTCATCTTCTTCTAATTTTCCCATCAGAAGTTTTTAGATGATTATCTATACTTCTTTTATTTTAGTTAAATAGGATTAGTTGCCAAAGTTGATTATTTTTAAAATCTTTATGGTGCTTTCTAGCTTTATATATAGAAATCAGAAGAAAGATCACACAAACCAAGGAGGGGGAGGTGAAAAGGAGTATTTTATAATTTTTCATAGAATATTGAAACAGGGATATCTGTTTCTCTTTTGTGTAATCTTTTCATTAATGTAACATGATCTGAACATTGCGACATGCCCTTTAAGCTCAGCTTGATTGGCAGAAAGCCATGAGTTCTCTCCGCCTCTGACAGCACAATGCCAAAGCATGCTGTCGCATCACAGTAAATCTCATTATTATTTATGCTATGTGAGTGTGCATTGATTTTCATTCAAAGTGAGTTCCCATAAGACTTTTTTTTTTTATACTGGACAGTAATCTATCAGGTTTCATTTAAACTCTCCTCCTTGTCCACGGCCTTTAATCTTATAAAAGTCTATATTGATAAA
Source organism: Homo sapiens (assembly GCF_000001405.40). NCBI lineage: Eukaryota > Metazoa > Chordata > Mammalia > Primates > Hominidae > Homo > Homo sapiens. The sequence goes on along the minus strand of NC_000002.12, from coordinate 212,227,739 downwards.
AACAATTTGGATTTTTAAAGCTAAAGGTAAGGAAATAGCACATAGCACCATTCAAAGACTTGATTACTTATAATGTATTTCTTTATTTCTATTTTTATGGTGCTCTGCAGTGTCTGGATGCTCAATTAATGTTCATTGGTTAAGAGGAGAAAAAAGGAGTAAGAAAGCAGTTATTTTGAAGGAATTGGTTCTCAATATATAAAGTAACTATTCAAATTAATCGTTGATTATCTACAAGCTGAAAGAAATACTGAGGTGGACATGTATTTAGCAAAGCTTTGTTCAGGAAAGATTAACACCTCATGAATATAGAAGAGCTCGTCATATATCCCCTTTTCTGAACAAAAAGGGGATGTGGGAATCATGACTTTCTCAGGTTTTGAGTCTGCTTTCCATGTGTAGAGATTATTCTTCCTGAAGCTTTGTTGAGGTTCATATTGCTGCTTATTGCTGCTTGTAATCTCCATTTTACTATATGATTTTTTTTTTTTTTTTGAGGTGGAGTCTCATTCTGTCGCCCATGCTGGAATGCTGTGGTCTGATCTTGGCTCACTGCAACCTCCACCTCCCGGGTTCAAACAATTCTCCTGCCTCAGCCACCAAGTAGCTGGGATTACAGGCATGAACCACCAAACCTGGCTAATTTTTGTATTTTTAGTAGAGATGGGGTTTCACCATGTTGATCAGGCTGGTCTCAAACTCCCAATCTTAAGCGTTCTGCCAGCCTCGGCCTTCTAGAGTGCTAGGATTACAGGCGTGAGCCATTGCACCCGGGCCTGTGAAAATATTTCTTAGAATCTATCTCCATTTCCATGTGGGAACTAGGTTCCCTCATATTAATGGAAATCCACAAATAGCTTAAAGGAGGTATATGATATTCCTGATTGCTGTGAATGTGTGAGTCCTTTTAGGAATTTCAACCTCTATGAATTTAGGAGCTTGACTTGCCTGCATTAACTTTTTAGTGTTCCATTTATTTATTTTTGCATATGACAGTTATATGATAAGACTGATAAGACAGATTAAAAAAAGCAACTTTATGTTCTATATAACATAGACTAATATGACATATCTCTGAGGGTATTTAGATAGACTGATATAAAGGAGTAGTATAAAGTTATCACTGTCTTTCAGCAAGTAACAAGTTTATCAGTGATTGTTCTCCATTGGATAGAAATAAGAATTAGTAAATTTTCCTAAAACTATATAATTATGGTTTCTTTCCTAGAGAACAGAATTTCTATGACTTAGATAAAGCATTGGGATTGTATTTGTTTTGTATTACTGTGTAATAAATTATCACAAATTTAATGGGTCAAACCCCCCCCCATGTCTTTACTATGTCAATTCCCATGGGTTAGAGGTACAGGTATAGCATGGCTAGATCCTGCTCAGAGTGTCTCACAAAACTGAAACTGAGATATCAGCCAGTGCTGAGTTCTCATCTGGTGACTGATGTCCTCTTCTAAGCTCAGTTAGGTTGTTGGAAGAATTCAGCTTCTTGCAGCTGTAGGACAAGGATCCCCATTTTCTTACTGGCCAACAGCCTGGGGTTGCTCTCCAAACCTAGAGGCCATTCTGGGGTCCTAGCCATATAGCTTCCTCCGTAGACAGTTGACAACATGACTGCTTTGTTCCAGGCCAACAGAAGAGCATCTTTGCCGATTTGAATCTCTCTGACTTTTGAAAGATTCACCCAATTAGATCAGGCTCAACCAGGATAATCTCCCTTTTCATTACATCAAAGTCAACTGATTTGAGATATTAATTATATCTGCAAAATATCTTCCAAACAGCAGAAAATAACATACTTCTGGGAATGAAACTACAGTGTATTCATATGACCCATACCCACTCAAGGGGAGGGGATTACACACAGCCTGAACACAGAGCAGGATTCTTGGGGGTCATCTGAGGATTCAGCCTGTTATAGGGACCATGTAACTTTGGAAATAATTTAAAGAGAAAGAAAGAAGGAAGCAGTGAGAGAGGGAAGAATAGTAAAAGTGTCCTATAGGAAAACATTGAATGTAAAGTTCCCATTTATTGTATAATATATATGAATTTAATTATTAAATATTTTATGTGATATAATATATAAATATTACATATGAAAATTATATATCTACACATTAAATACATTGTTTTCAGCAAATCCTAATTACCTCTATAGGATAGATATTCTCATGCCGAATGACAAAATACTAGTGATTTTTGTTTACTTTTGTGACAATAAAATGATTCAAACTTATTTTTGACAGAAAATGAGGCATTTCATAATTCGAAAGATCAAGCACAGTTATGATAGAATGAATCTTTTCAGATTCTAGCCAGAAAATTTATTCCAGCCTCATGTAAATGGTAGCAATGAAGAAATTATCTCCCCAACGCTGATAAAACATTTTTTTCCTTATCATATATTTAGTTTTGTAAACTCTTAGGGTTGATGCTTTCTCAAAATAACTAGTAACAAAAATTATTTGTTAGTTAAATTTTTCACTTTCTAATTTTAGTTGGATTTATTAACAGAACAATTACAATTTTTCTAAGCAGAGAAGCTGTAAAAATTATTTTAGGATGAAAGTTTTAATATAGTAAAGTGTATTAAAATCCTAGGAGGAAAAAGGGGACATAAAAACTTTCATATAACTTCTAAAAGAAACCCAAAATATAAATGGATTGGCATATAGCAAATATAGAGCTAATTTAATAAAAAATGGTTCAGGAAAAAATTGAATTTTTATTGACATTAGTTAGTGTGCTAGTTAGAATTATTATTCAACAGTATAAAGAACAAGAGCATGATAATACACATTCTTAAAATTTTATTTTATATTTTCATAAAATGTATGACTCAACAAATTCTTAAAATTTAAATGCAAATTCAAAATATTTCAAATTTAAAAAAAACTTGTTCAGACAGTAAATTTTCAGTTACATCATTCTGTGCTCCCTTCCTTGCATCTTTTCCAAATTCACATTAGAAGAGAGTAGTAACATTAAATTCCTTACTTTTTCGTTGTTATATGCCTTTTTAAGCTACGTGTTGGCTGCCACCATGATGTTTGCTTCTTCCTTTCAGCTGGGAGTGGGAAGGGGGTTAATTGTTCTCTTAGGGTTGTTGCCAAGATATTAGTGTGATAGACATATTTAATATATCTCCTCCTTTTCTTGTGTGTGTGAAGAATAAATGGGTAAGCAAAAGAGCAATACGTTTTTCCCTCCCCTTTCCCTTTTTTGCTCAGCTGGCAGCAGAAGTTAATTGGGTTTCATTTTTATTTATACCAGCAATCTTGGCTTCATTATCTTCACTCCCCACCCTAAATAAATATAATATAGCTTTTTTCATCCCACCCACATTATTTCTAGATGTCAAACTCATGATCCAAATGAAAATACCTTTATTTGAGAACTACAGGATAGTAAATATAAAGTCACAGTACGCTGACTTTGCTTGACTTGATACATTTAACTTCAACTTTATTTTACAAGTCTTGGAACAATGAAGTTCATATAGACTGAAAAAGAGAGAAGAAATTGATAAAATTCTTGAACTGGCTTTTTATTTGGTGTAAATTTACATTTAAATAACAAAAATCATAGCAAAAATGCATTTAATTGTATGAGAATAAACATGATTGATTATATCATTTAAAGTTTTTGATCCATAAATATAACAGATTCAGATAATGCTTATATGCATAAAATAAAAATTTTGTAAAATTTTGAATACTACTGGATAAATGCAGAAATTTTGCAATCTATTACAGATGTTTTATGTAACTACAAGCCTTATGTCTGTTAATCGTTGTGTTGGCTGGAAGGTAATCTATGCGAAGTATTTATTCCCTCAGGATTCATTTTCCAGGCTTTGACTAAATTCAAACACTGATGGTTCAATGAGAGAATGAAAAATATTCTAGTTCAGTGTGATAGTGTTACATTGGGTGATAAAAGCTTATATATCAGATGACAGTGATTTACCAATGTAATATTAATTAAAAATAATTTTTAAGAAGAGAGTAAATAACAATTTTTTAAAGTCTTAAGGGGAAAGCTAGAAAGAATGCAACACAAAGATAGATTTGAGGTAACTATGGCATTTACAAACATGGAGTCACAGTGGCTTTCCAAATTAAATGCTAAATCATTTCCTCAATATTTTGAGGATTTGATCATTGAAAAACATGTGAATAATTTTTATCCATTATATAATTTGAATCTGTGTGTGGCTGAACAAGATAGAGAGTAATGAACTTTTGGTTCAGGAGGACAAGAAGTACCTTCAAGAAATGTATATAAATAAAAAAAATATATATATATATATTTGATAAATATATATGAAGATATAAATATAGGTATATATCTATCTTGCTGAAAAGACAATTTTATATATATATATATATAAGCTTAATAAGGATATTGCTAAAATAAAGGTTCATGCAAGGTAACTATAGAGCTGTGAAACAGTATTGTATTTAAGAAACAAGCCAAATTTTCACAATTTTAGGGAAACATTACTTGACTAGTAAATGGGATCAGATGAGTTTCCAGATTTAACAAATAGAAATACAGTATGTCTAGTTAAATTAGATTTTCAGATAAATAATGGATATATGTATATATGTGTATAAGTGTGTGTTTTTATATGCATGCCCCAAATATTGCAACCCTAGCCCCCTAAGAGTTATTTTAAACCAGTTTCAGGGTTTAGGGGCCAGGGCATGAAGTAGAGAGAAGCATATAAGAGGCACTTAATGAGTTTAAAAAGCAAAAGCATATGCATCTTTAAAGACACTAACAGGAATGTGACTCTTTATCTATCCAATAATCATTGAACAAATATTCTTGAATTAAGTGCAAGATCCTTCTGAACAAAATAAACATAGTACTATCTCTTCTGGAGATTACAGTCTGGTATGTATGGGGTAAAGACATTAAACACGTAACAACCCCCCAAAATATGCAAAATTAGGAAATATTAGTAACAACTATGAAGGTAAACTGCAGTTTTATTAAAGAGGAAAATTCAAATTAGTTCAAGGCCATCAGGAAAGACTTAAAAGTGACATTTAAACTGGGACCCAAAGGAGCAAGAGTGGGAAATCATGATTAAAAAAAAAGCCAAGAGAATATGGTGTCATGAAAACCAGGCGAATATAGTATATTAAGAAGAGTGTTTGTGTTAAATGCTGCTTTAAAAAAGTTAAGTAGGTTAAGAATTGAAAAGTTTCCGTTAGGTTTGGCAGTAAAAAAGTCATTGATAACTTAAGCAAGAGTAGTGTTGGAGCTAATACCAGACTGGAGTGAGTTGATTTCTCTTAATTTTTTCTAATTCATTTATTAAGGAATTAATTTTATTTACTAAAATTCATATACTGTGTAATTTTTTAAATGTGAATGAGAGCTTTTAAGGAAGCAGAATATATTGACAGCAATTAGAATGGTAAAAATGTTTGCTGCTGATTTTGACCATTAACCCGTACTCCTCATTTCTGGTTGTGAATTTCCTGATAATAAAGCATTAATGTTAATAGCAACAGAAAGTTATAATATAGTCATTCAGCACTGCTGGAATACAAAGATAGTGAAAACATGACACATATGATAATCCTAAAAAATAATCCACTTATATACTTAGCATATAGTTCCTTTATATAGGAATTTATAAACTAAAAAGCTACTATTATAATTGTTTACTCAATTTACTAATCAAGTATTTATGAGGGACATACTATGCTTCAGACACTGTGCATACGGATACTGTAGATGTGGATACTTTGAAAAAGAGAATTAAGAAGCTGGCCTTACCTTATAATTTTTATATAATATTCTTTACAAATATCAAGAGATAGAGAACCGTTTTTGGAGGATATAGAAGTAATAAATCAGGCATAGGTGAGGTATAATTATAGTGTTGGTGCTAGGAGGAAAGTCACATTTGGGTCTCCTGTTAGCATCAAGGAATAGTAGTAGTATGAGACTCTCCTACAGAAGAGGAAAACTAAACAAGCAAAGAATTTTATGATAAAATTTAGGATAAGATTTTCAAATGGATTATTTTTCCCAGGAATATTTTGTTTTTGACAGGCACAGATTGTTATTCCCTCTTTGCTCAGCAAATCTTCATGGCAACAGGGGGAGGACCTTTAAATGAGGATGTTAAGTGATACAGTATATTTATCTATGTCTTTGGCATAAATAAAGCTATTGGAGGAAAGTTACATTCACCTTTCTGAAACTCAGTGAGATGTCTGTATTCCCAAACCTGACTGCTGCCATACCATTAGGTGACTGATACCTATACCTTATGTGTGGGTCTCTGATTTTATACTTCTCTTTGTGGATCTGCCAAATGGCAAGCATAGCAATTTTTGAATGTAAATTTTAACAAGAACATCCTTGTTGCTAAAGAAATACAATGTATATTGATGAAAGTTACATATTCATTTAATGCTTAGTAATTACATGAGTCTCTTGAGCATATGATCATTCATATTGATTCTAGCAGCTGACATCTAAATTGCATTACAGATCTGTGGCCCCTAACACTATAAACTCCAAGCACTTTCATTGTAATGCTTAGATTTATATATTTGCAACTGGAGACTGCCACTCAAAAACCACCCCCTGTTTCATGATCCATGGTTCAGAGTATGAGATACAATTGCTCTTTCAGAAGTCTCTAAGTAGGGAGGTTGTGTGGAAGTCACCTACATACTGGGTTGGACAAAATGTCAGGAATTGGATGTTTAATATTTTTCAAATAAATATATGGAACACCTGCTAGGTTTTCACATCCTTTTATAGAAGCCAGAGACCTCAAAAGTAGCAAAAATAAATATGATCATTGTGCTGATGGAGATCATAATGGAGAAGTAAGATATTAATTCATCAATCACACATTAACAACAGGATAAGTACAGAGGTACATGGAACAATGAAAGTATATCATTGGGAGATATAGCTTGGTCAGAAAATTTTACCCCAGCATTATTATTTGACTGAACACTGAGGGATAAGAAAGCCTTAATTGAATATAGCAGGGAGGGAAGGACCTTCCAGCCAGAGAAAAATATGTGCAAAGACATTTTGGCAAATGGTTGGTCATTGTTAACATATCATCTGTTGCCATCTCAAACAAGATGGGAACTAGGGATACACACAAGAAGTCAGCACCTGCTATATATTATCCCAGGAACAAGAGGTCTTAGGAGAATGCTATATTCCTATTCATTCCCTTCTGCTAAAATCATCAGAATTAACTCTTAGGCTGGGAAATAAAACCAAATCTCTGGTTTTTATAACTAGGTCAAAGCAATGCTGGGCATTTGGGATGGCGAATAAAAAGCTTTTTCTTTGTGTATGCTTATTTGTGTCCACTTGATAGTGTACTTATGTGTTTAGATTTAAAATAGATCTTCCAGTCTCCTGTGACATTAAGTAATTTGTAGCAAATATGAAATATAGTAGGTGAAAGTGATTTAATGAGTACATATTCTTATATACTCAAAAATATTGATCCAGTTATAAAAGGAGAAAAAGATTTTACTGCAATTCTCATTGCCTGAGGACTTTGCATTATGATGACTACATTCTGTTTTGATAAGCAAGTTTCTTGATCTTTGAAATGCTACAAAAGTGATTTATTATCCAAAATTAAAACTATTTTCTTCATCCTTAAGGTACTGTGATAGTTGAAATAGGCTTTTTACTTCATTCACCATGTAAATTTCCTTCACCTCTGGCAACACTGATGAAAAATCCCACTTTTTTTTTTTTTTGCGGGTTGATAAAAATACATTTTTCATTCCTGAATTAAATGTTCTATAAAAATTAAAGCCTATTTTTGAAGTTATAAAACTGTCACTTTATAATAAAAGGTTGTTTTCATTGACAAAACCAGAGGGTTTGTGCAGGTTTCTATTTTGCTCCTAAGAGTGTTTTGTGTTATGAATTTGGCCATGCACACAATTTACACTACTGTTTATAAGGTATAGGAGTAAAGAATACATAATTTCAGGGATGAATGATCAGGATATGGGGTGTGTGTGTGATGTAGTTGTCCATTGGCTCTTTCTAGCTTCTAGGGAGGCTCAGTAAGGGGCAGAGGAATGCTGCATACAAGGCTAGCATGAATAATATAATTAGATTTTTTATTTTTCCCCCCATTCTGGATTTAACTAACACAAGTGGGAGAAGGTGACCAAAAATTGGACTGTTTGGAATCATAGTATATCTTGTCAATCACAAGTGGAGGGAATTGCTTTAAAAATCTTATTATTTTTTATTAAATAATATAGAAAAATGTTATAATTTAGGTCTTTCTGACATGCTTGTTTAGCAGTTTTTAAAGTATTATGTGTGCATCAGAATTACAGTATAAATGTGACATAGTCACCTATTTATTGATTGCTATAAAAAGACATTATACAAACTTCACCCTACCATTTATAATTCATATGTGTATACTTTTCAGAAATGCAATAATGTTTAGAGGACAAAATAAGAAATGGTTTTAGTTCTACCATTTACCAATTTTTTAAAATCATAACTTCTTTGGGTCTCATTCTTTTCATTTTTAACATTAAGTAGTTAGATTGTAATCTGTAAACTCTGACACTTCATGATTTTATGATTCTACAAAATCTCTATTCTTTCCTTTCTTTAAATCGGGGGAGAAAATACTATTTTAAAACATTTTTGGCATCATAAAAAGGAATGGAATCTACACGAATCATTGTGTGGTCCCTGTAGATTTACGTTTGAGTGGTAAAAAAAAAATGGCATATACATTCAAGGATAAAAGTTCTAGTACATATGGTGAACTTTTAAAACATCTTTTGAGACTTTAAAAACAGTAAACATGGCTATCTTTGGGAAATCTGAATATCCCCATTCTATATATTATGTGTAAATTAAGAAACATACATGAAACTCATCTTTCTGATGCACACAAACCTAGGTTACCAGGATAAATCCCATGATATTGATATGTGCCAGCATGAGCCATTGGCATCCTGTGAGGTTGTGCAGTCAACCTAGAGTGAGATATGAATACTATAGACTCACTTTTGCCAATGTGAAATTCCTTATTTAACTAAAATGGAATGGCAATCTCTGGATTAATGATGAACAGTGTTGAAGGCAATTAGCTGGTTGACTAGCTCCAGGTTCACACATTATTAATTCTGGATGTTCTCTCACAGGCTTAAATCTTATGAGAACATGGCCTGGCTTTGCCCTCTATTTTCTTATTGTCTTACCATCTAGGCTTCCTTAATAGTAAGCAAGGATGCAAACAAACAAACACACAAACAAACAGACAGACAAAACAAAGGGATGAATGCTGTAGCCAGGATGTTTTACTCTTTGAAGAATAGAGTTAGGGAAAAATTTATCTTTCTCATATATTATGGAAGGAATAAATGGCCTATAATTTTCTGAATAAGCCTCCTGATAGAAAAAATTTAATTTGTACTTCAGATATTATTCATTAAGGCCGCACAGAACTGAAATTCTTACCAATTGAAACCCAAAGCTGATCCTGTAATTATGTGCAACTTATAAAAAAGGTTTTATGCCAATATTTCTAAAGCAGCTCTCGTTAGCAATGGAGACTTTGAGGCTATAGTAAAGAACTACTTTATTCTTATTATGTTACTTTTCATAATAATCATGTCACATGATGTCACAGAAGCAAGCAGACAGTATTAGGTATTCAATAAATATACTTTTTTCTCATCTAATTTACAAATAGTTATTGATCTTTGGGTTGTCATGATATGTGCTGATTCAACATTCTGTCTTAAGATTTAAGTGCACCAGAAGAAATATATACTTTATTGGGCATTTATTATGTTCTAAGACCTAAGGGCTTTACATATATTATCTTGTTCGGTCATCACAAAAATCCTTGTAATCTCATTTTATAAATTAATATACGGAAGCTTAATTAAATTATAAAAACTATCAAGACTCAACAAAATGACCAGTATTTTAAACTTGAATTTGAAACTAGTTCTTTATGATTCTGGAGCTTATGTTTTAATGGGTCTGTTTAAATTACCTCTGAATGTACTTGATGTGTTCTGATGACAATAGATTGTCACGGTGAGAAATCGAACCGTTTCCTTCTTTTTCCTTTGGAAACTGGTACTCAAACATATGTTGTCTGCCTAGCCTTACCCTGGCTACCCTCTAGAGACATAGCTTCTTATACTAACAAATTCTCTCCATGTCTCCTTCAAATTAAATTGTCTGCCCTTTTGTTTTGGAAGAAAGTTTCATGTCTTTTTTTTTCTTCTAAGTCTCTAATATAAAATGCCTTGCTCAATTAATATTTGTTGAATGAATGAACACATTTAACCTCAGTTTTAAGGGTTAAATAACATTTGAACTTGCAAAGATGTTAAGAAGCTTTGGTGGGTGATGACACAAAGATATTGGAGACAAATTTTGGTTTTGGCTCTGATCAGTTCCACAGAAGACCCTTTTATTGCTAGATAAATTGTGATATAGGGCTTGTACATTTTAGGCTGCTGCAAAATAGAGCAAGTATCCATTGCCTTTTTCACTGTCAAAACAACAGTCAATGAAAATTATATTCTAGCATCCAAGCTAATAATAAAATTATCTTTTAATTCTCCTCAAGCCATTGGTTGCTAATTGTCTGATGCTACCTTTCTCTTTATTGTGTGCTCAAGGCATTACAGACCAGATGCCTTGATCTGCAATCTTAACACATACATGTGAAGGATATTGCAAGGAATGTTTAAAAATGAAGTGGGGAAATTTGTGCATAATTTATTTTTTAAACTATAGAATGGATATAAGATTATATTAGAGTGTACTCTTGCTCTCTTGCATTCTGATAGGTTTCCTTGTGTGAAAAACTGAAGGCCAGGAATTACGGTTGAGAGCTGAGAATTTTATAAATGCTGTGGGCCATATCTGAGTGAGCCCCGGGCAACATGTTATGTATATAATCTGCTATGTTGTAGTGAGGAGAAAGTGAGAACAATTATAGTAGATAACAGCTTCACAGGAAGAATAGCAATCAATAGAAGTTTGACACTCATATTTGAGTTCATATTAACCTATTTTTTTCTTTTTTTGTGTATATTCAATTACTTAATTCTGGATGAAGATATTAATTCTCCTGATGGCATAGACCCTTCATAAGTCTGTAATTCATCATGTTAAAAACAGGTTACATTAATTGATTTTTGACACTTTTTGAATGAACTACAAGATAAAAAATCAACCCACTCTCTACATGGGAGTGACAATCCTGCATAAAGATGTAAAATCATTCTAAAGAAAATTATCACATTATTAGTAAAAATAGTTAAAATGTTGCCATGATATGCATAAGATAAATATTTTAAATAGATTTACTGTGTGTATATTTGATACATATTGCATTTTTTACATCTTTCACACACATTCGTATGCATAAATAGGAAGTGAATACTAATGGTGTCATTGGATCTTATGATAAGGATGTTGAAAGATTCACATCAATAAAAGGAGAGGGAAAGATATTAAACATAAGGATTATCATAAAATAATATGCTCATTGCTATATCTATCGAAGATCCATATATGATACAACTATAACATTCTTCCACAAATGATGTGGAAACTTACAACGCAAGTATTTTGCCCATAACACCGGCGCAAATCTTTTTTTATTAACTGAGTTGAACTTTAAAATTATGTTATGACCAAAAATCAATAAAGAGAAACTGATTTAAGTTCATCCAAGTGTGAAGGGGTTTATTACCAGTGCTACATCACTCTAATGATGTTCTCTTAAAAATTTGTTTTTGTGATCTATTGCATCTATTATTGCTAAAAGGATAAAACTGCAAAGCAACCTTGGACATTAATAAATCAATTTAAGAAAAGTAGGCGCATAGCCAAAGGAAAAGCAAAAATTCAGTATAGAGATTTTAAATGTTAGATAATTATAATATATGCAAGCTATACTTGCATCAAATTGCTAATAGGGATTTCCTTCACAAGATTTTTTTTTAGCAAAGTATTGTCCTTGTTAGTGACTTCACAGCTTGATAATAAGTAATATTTCTAAAGCTTGTTTTCCTTTTTAACCTTCAAGATGGAAAATTACTATAAAAACACAAAAACTAAGTTTTGTGAATTGAATTTCTGAAATTATTATTCTTCATGTTATTATTTCTATTTCATGCTATATAAAATATACCAGACTTATGTTGAAATATTAAGAAATCATAACTCATTTTATACAATGCATTCTCTAAAATTTGCACAATACACACAGCAAGAATTTTTATGATGAAAAATGGCAATTTGAGCCTTAGAAAAAATGATTCTCTTAGACTTTTCAGCTTTTGTCACTTTTCTCTAAATTTTTCAATGTACATAATTATATAGTGACTGTTTTCCATGAATATTTAAGCTGTGACAAATATATGTGATTTAATAGAATTTCTATGAAAAATTTGACCATTTATTTCAACTACTACATATGGACAGAAGATTGTTCAAATCCTAAGCATAAAATGCTGTGAATTTTCACAAAGGAGGCACTGTATACACAGTAATCACCTCCCAAATCAGGTGACAGGATATACAAGCACCTGTAAAGTCTCTCTTGCTTGCTCCTCTTCCCCTCAAAGTTATCACAACCTGATTCCTTAACATTATAGGTTAACTTTGCCTGTTTTGGACTTTATATACAGGGATTCATAAAGTATGCATTTTTTTGTTTCTGGCTTCATGTAATTAAATTTATGTTCATGAGATTAAGTACCAGTATTTTAATCATTTTCCTTGATGTGTCGTATCATTTGTATGAATATACTGTAATCTATTTACACTTCTGCCATTAATAAACATAGAGTTGTGTCTATTTAGGGGCTATTACAAACAGTAGAGCAATGAACATTGTGTACGTGTATTTTGGCGCCCACATATAGAATATTTCTGTTGGGGATTATATATAGGAGTGGAATTATTAAGTCATAAGTTTTACATATGATCAGCTTTAGTTCATATTGCCAAAGGGTTTTCCAAAAAGATTGTACAAATTTACACTTCCATCAGCAATGTATGGAAATTCCAGTTCTTGCTCTATGTTCTGGCCAATACTTGATTTTACCAGGTGTGTGATGGTATCTTATTGTGGTTTTAAATATATTTGTAAATGTATTTTCCTAATTATTAATGAAATATAGCACTCTTTATGTAATTATGGACCTTGGAAATATAAATTTGCAATCTCCTAATGATGTCCATGAAGTATAAAAACTATTCAAGATAATGTAGTGTATGTCCCAAAATATATTCTAAAACTGTGCTATCCAATACAGTAGCCATTAGTTATATGTGGTTCTTTAAATTTAATTCATTTTAAATTAATTAAAAGTAAAAATTCAGTTTCTCAATTGCACTAGATATATCTCAAGCATGCGAGAGCCACAGGTGCCTGTTGGTCACTCTATTGGGCAGTGCAGATAAAGAACATCTCCATTATCACAGGAAGATGTATTGAATCATTCTATTAAGTAGCTTTAAAAAATTATTCCCATATGTGTAAAAATTCTGTGTTAATTTGAATATTTAATTTTATTGCCTTATTATCTTTTGAAACTAGATAAAATGCAGCATGCAACCAATTGTAAGGATCAGGAATTAAAGGTCAGCATGAGGTGTTCTTGGATTCTGAATACCTCAACTGTAGTCCTAGCACTGTCCTTGCACGGCTTGGTGATTTAAGGAAAATCCTCCGTGTCAATCAACTTTGTATAACAAAGGGATTAACCTGCAAACACCAAAGAAATCTGAATTCTCTGAATTTTGATAAGCCACTCCCATTGCCTTTTGGCCTGAAAACCTTATTTGAAATTCTAAAGAATACAGCTACAACCTAAAATAGAAAGCAATTAAATAGCCTATAGACCTTGGTAAGAGTGGTTATGGAGTTACTATATCAGGCAAGTTGGGGCCTGGTGATTATGCCCTTCACCCTGCTTTTGAAGAGCCTTTGCCATTAGATCAGCAAAATTATTTTGACTTAAGAAATTGAATGAGTGCATTTATATTTGTATTTTTTCAGAAAATTACTTTAGCATTGTACTAATATCAATCACATAGGGAAACGTAAATATTTTCTAACATGTAGATCCTATGTCAGCACTTTGGGATGATGTGAGAGGGCTTAGCCATTCCTTCCAATATCTTTTAGCTGCCCCCATAAATGCATAAGATCTACATTAAAAACTGTGCTTTCATTACAAGCATAAAATTAAGACAACTTCCTGTTAAACTTCTACTCATTTCTAAGACAATAGTTTACCACTAAACCCTCATATATAGAAACTGAAACTTCTCATTGTGATTTTGATTTTTCATTTCTCTGATGATCAGTGATGTTGAGCTTTCTTTCATACGTTTGTTGGCTGTGTAAATGTCTTCTTTTTTGAAGTGTCTGTTCATATCCCTTTCCCACTTTCTGATGGGGTTGTTTTTTTCTTGTAAATTTGTTTAAGTTCCTTGTAAATTCTGGATATTACACCTTTGTCAAATGGGTAGATTGCAAAAATTTTCTCCTATTCGTAGGTTGCCTGTTCACTTGAGTGATAGTTTCTTTTCTGTGCAGAAGCTCTTTAGTTTAATTAGATCCCATTTGTCAATTTTGGCTTTCGTTGCAATTGCTTTTGGCATTTTTGTCATGAAGTCTTTGCCCATGCCTATGTCCTGAATGGTATTGCCTAGGTTTTTTCTAGGATTTTTATAGATTTTGGCTTTTACATTTAAGTATTTAAACCATCTTGAGTTAATTTTTGTATAAGGCATAAGGAAGGGGTCCAGTTTCGGTTTTCTGTAAATGGCTAGCCAGTTTTCCCAGCACCATTTATTAAATAGGAGATGCTTTTTCCATTGCTTGTTTTTGTCAGGTTTGTTGAAGATCAGATGGTTGTAGATGTGTGGTGTTATGTCTGAGGTCTCTGTTCTGCTCCATTGGTCTACATGTCTGTTTTGTTACTAGTACCATTCTGTTTTGGTTACTGTAGCCTTGTAGTATAGTTTGAAGTCAGGTAGCCTGACGCCTCCAGCTTTGTTCTTTTTGCATAGGATTGTCTTGGCTATAGGGGTCTTTCTTTGATTCCATATGAAATTTAAAGTCCTTTTTTTTTTTTAATTCTGTGAAGAATGTCAATGATAGTTTTATGAAAATAGCATGGAATCTATAAATTACTTCGGACAGTATGGCCATTTTCATGATTTTGATTCTTCCTGTCTATGAGGATGGAATGTTTTTCCATTTGTCTGCGTCCTTTCTTATTTCTTTGAGCAGTGGTTTGTAGTTCTCCTTGAAGAGGTCCTTCACATGCCCTGTTAGCTGTATTCCTAGGTGTTTTATTCTCTTTGTAGCAATTGTAAATGGGAGTTCATTCATGATTTGACTCTTTGCTTGTCTATCTCATGCCAGTTAGAATAATGATTATTAAAAAGTCAGAAAACAATAGATGCTGGTGAGGCTGTGGGGAAATAGGAATACTTTTACACTGTTGGTGGGAATGTAAACTAGTTCAACCATTGAGGAAGACAGTATGGTGATTCCTCAAGGTTCTAGAACCAGAAATACCATTTGATCCAGCAATCCCATTACTGGGTATATACCCAAAGGAATACAAATCATTCAAAGGTAAAGACACATGCACATGTATGTTTATTGCAGCACTATTTACAGTAGTAAAGATATGGAACCAACCCAAATGCCCATCACTGATAGACTGGGTAAAGAAAATGTGGTACATATACAACATGGAATACTATGTTGCCATAAAAAGAAATGAGATCATGTCCTTTGCGAGGACATGTATGAAGCTATAAGCCATCATCAGCAAACTAACACAGGAACAGAAACCCAAACACTGCATGTTCTCACTCATAAGTGAGAACACACAGACACAGAGAGGGGGAACAATACACACCAGGCCCTGTTGGGGTATGAGTGGGGAGGGGAGGGAACTTAGAGGATGGGTCAATAGGTGCAGCAAACCACCATGGCACACATATACCTATGTAACAAACCTGCACATTCTATACATGTATCCATTTTTTTTTTTTAGATAAATTTTTTAAAAAAGAAAGAAATGGAAACTTCTGCTGTTTAGACTTTGGATCTCTCTCACAAGTAGGTTTTGTTACTTCATTCACTAAGTGAATTGTAACTATTTTATTAGAAAGTGTAGACTACATGTCTAACTCAGAGCTAAGCACTAAGGACACAGAAATCAGAAAAATAGTCTTATAGCCTTTCAGAGAAGGCTGATATTAATTGCAACCTTGAAAGCTGAGTCTTTTGCAGCACAGGTGCTATGTAGGATGTTATCAGAAGCCTGAGTATGTATGTGTGCGATGTGTCTTCACGCATATGTGTGTGTTCTCTCCAGAAAGTGTTTTCAGTAGATGTGTTTAAATGGAAACTGGAGGGATGAGTGGAAGTCAGGTAAAGACTGAGAAGCAGAGACACTCATGGAAGCTACAGTAGTGCAAGCATTAGATGATGGTAGCCTTGAGTGACACAGTGGAATAAGTAAGTGAGTGGATGCAGAGATGTTTACTATGTAGAGTTTATAGCACTAGTGAGTAATTAATGTGGGGACTAAGAGAAAAACCAAGGATGACCATCAGCTTACTGGGTTGGAAAACAGAATGGATAGAGATGCCAGTTATGTATACAAGGAGTGCATAAGGAAAAACAAACACAAATGCAAAGGCAGAGGAGATATAATGGACTTTGGTTTGAGCATGAGAGAGAGAGAGATGCCAAGTGAGAATGTTCTACAGACTGGGAAATATAAATTGTGAATTCAGCAATATTGTCTAGGTTGGAGATATAGAACCAAGAGCCTTCAATACATTAAAAATAAATGAAACCATGACATCCCTCAGAGAGTATTTCCAGAATAAACAGAAGAGAAAACTTAGAGCAGAAATTGAGGAGTAGGTGGTGAAGGGAAAACTTTTAATCAAAATATCCATTATCTGACTCTCGATTCTCTTGTTTCATGAAAAAGCAGGCATCAAAATGACACCAAAATTTCACTAATCAGTAATAATTAATAATTCTGCTTTCAAATCCCACCTGCTGTCTGTCCCTATCCATTCAATCCACTTTTGGATCATCTATTTCTCTGATTGATGGATATCATAAACTAGATATTATAAATAAAATATTAAGTGGCTACAAAATGAAACTGAAAATCTTATAGGAGACAGAGGATTTCTTGAAGCCAGTAAATGTGATATTAGGAAATTTCAAGAGTCATAGGCAAAGCCTCTGACAAGTGAGACTCTTTAGTTACCATCATTTTTTTCTTTTATTTACTGTTTTAGTTTCATTACTTTTAAATGTATTTTTGGAAGAGCTCCTTTATTATTTCTAAATTAACATAATATCAGATCATATGGGAAATTGTTCATTGTACTTACAAGGTAAATTCTAAATTCTTTTTTTTTTTTTTTTTTGCACTAGCATTGCTGCTCTTTCTCTTTTCTTGGTTCTTAACTTCCTACTTTCATTTCTTTTATCTCTCATCACTTTATGCATATCTATGCACAACATGATGTTATGATAGGTTATTTGATGAGATTAGGCCTCAAGCTCCCAAGAGTGTCCAGTATGTCCTTTTAGCCAGAGGCTAAATGACCTTTCTGAGCAAGTTATCTTTTCCATGCTGACTTTTCTACCTATTCTATCTCCATATCCACAATCTGATTCAGCTGAAAAACAATGCAGGTCAGTCAAGCAAGTGACAAGGAAATAGGCTGACTGGTTTGAATGAGGAAAGGGTGTCTTTTCTCTACTCTGGACTATTGGATGGGAAACAACATACATATTGCCCAATGAAACTCTTTTGCCATATTTTAGTTTCTCTAAAAGAGAACACTGTGCAATTAGTAGGGCAAACTTTATTATTATTCTTAAAAATCATATATATTGAAAACCAGCCTATTGGATTAGTGCCTCACCCTCATGGCCTCATTTAATCTTAATTCCCTCCTTATGGACCCTGTCTCCAAATGTAGTCACTCTAAGGGTTTGGGCTTCAGCATATGAATTTTGGGGGAACACTATTCAGTTCATAACACTGCTAATAAGCAAGAAGCTCAGAATTTTAGCCCAAGTAGTCACATTACTAGTAGATACTCTCTCAACCTCTAGTCTCTGGTGCATCACTGAGAGTAGACGAGCAAAATGTACCCACTGTGGAATGTCAGGAGTATATCATAAGATCAGGATTTTCACTGCAGTAGTAGAACAAACAAAAGTAATGTTAAAATTGAGGGGAATATGTTTTTAGATTAGCCATTTTGATAATAACCTTGTAACTTAATTTCTTTGCCTATCAAAAAAGAGCATATATACACTGAGATGAAAAAAGTAATATGCATTTTAAAATGGCTGTGATTAATGTCTTACCATTCAGTTCTATATTGCTATTAAGTAAGGAGAATGTTTCATATGCAGCAAATTCAGTTATGGAGAGTTCATCTAAGTTGGACATTTCAAGTGTCTGACATTAATTTTATTTCCATAGAAAGGATTATGAGTCTGCATGTGAAGAAATTATGAGGTCAGAAAGTCTCTAATATAGCACAGATGCTATCAAAGTTGAGAAAATGGAAAGGAGGGTCTACATCTTTTCTTGTATGTTCTGAGATACAAGCTGATTTAAGTTTTATCCAATAAAATACATAGGAGATAAATCGGGAGAGCATTTTTCTCAGTTTAAAAGATTTTTTGAAACTCTGAATAGTTTCCTTAAAGTATAAAAGAATAAAAAAGAATAAAGGTCCTTAAGCTGTATATTTAATTCCTTATACAGAGTTATTTTTCATTTAGTTGAAAGTATGGAATAAGGGGTTAGATACGTTCTTTGCCTTGGATGATCTGGTGTCTATTTAAGGCTGGAAGTGTTACAGGATTGTTTAAATTGACATAATTGTTATTGGCATCCTTTGGCAGTTTCTCCTTGCCTGACAAATTCAGCAAGCACTAAAGCTTGTCTTCTTAATGTTTTGAATTCCCACTGCCTCTAACCACCTATTAACATCCTCAAGATCTTCACTTTAAATCCATCATTATTATGTTGCATTTCAAGACTAGTGAAGTTTCTTCCCTATCATCATAACTATTTTCCTCTGGCTCTAAATTCTCAGTTGTGTCCTATTCCAATATAATCTCTTGCCTTAGCCCTGTTTATATCTTTCAAGCTTTGTCTCTCTTTTATCAAGGACTCTTTCCTTTCATTGAATCTTTCTTCAAGATAGATAAGTATATTATATAATATGGTATAGTATTATATACTAAGAAGAACAAATAATGAGAAAAGAAGGATATGGGTTGAAATTTTATGGGCATGTGGAAAGCTTCATTGGGAAAGTGACTTGTTAGTAAAAACCTAAAGCAATAAAAGGCATTAACCTTGCAGGCGTAAGAGGGAAGCACAGTCCAGGGCAAACAGGACCCTAAGGCAGAAATACTCCTGGCACAAACAAGCGACTAATCCTCAATTAGTTCATTTTTCTCTTTCAAGCTTTATAGATATTCCTTAAATAAAGTGATATAACTCCAAAGGTAAATAGATAATATAGAAATACAAAAGCAGATATTTAAAGTCTTTGTTCAGTAGCTGTTTTTTATGTATTACAATAACACACATTAACTTCTGAGAGTCAGATTTTAAAAAGTATATGGCTTTAATTAGCACAGTTTATTTTACTTTTTTTCTAATTATTGAATTTAATACAAATTAAAAAATTGCAGAAGATCATATACTTTTTAGAAAAGAATGGCAGTATGAAAGAAAGGAACTCATACTTAATTATATAATAAAAAATTAGGTCCTAGTCTATAAACTCTTTAAGTAAATGACCTACTATAAAGCAGGTAAAATTCTATCCTTTTTAAGAGGAGGACATTAGATGTAGAGAGTTCAAGTGTCTTGCCCAGAATTAGAAAAGTAATATATTGTAAGCCTAACACTGTCGTATTATACAGATTACACAGTTCATAATTATGTAATTTGTTTATGACATTATACATAAGCAATGCTATTCCAAAAAAACCCTAACAAATTTTCACTGCTTATACTTGTTCTTGATATATTATATTTAGTGTAAGATTGAATAACATTAACTTAGATCAGATTCCACTGCAGTTGAAATAAAGCTTCACTGTTCTTTGAGTTCACTCTTAATATGTTGTGTAGCACATGGCGACAGACAAATTAATTCTCCTTCTGTCATATATTATCATATAGAAACAGATGCTATTGCTTGCAAATGCATAAGATTATTTACTGGAAAACAAACAGATAATTCCATTATTTGAAAAGCCTTTTTCATATAAATTGTGATCAACTATCATTGCTTATATTGACTCCACTTTCTTATCTCTTTAATGTGACTGAACTGGCTAGATTTCTTATTCTACCTGTTACCACAGGATTTTTTTAATGAAGCTCTTTTATCCTTAATAAAAAGTTTTCTTTATACCATCACTGATCATTTATGATTACTTTGAACAAAAACAAAATGAAAGAATTTGAGGAGATGGCTTTTCTGGAATATGTTTATACACAATTTCAGTTTATGAATTCACATACTATAAGCATTTATAAATGTCAGTCTACTTAATTGTGCTTACAAAAAACTCATCAAAAGTTTTTTTTTTTTTTTGAAACTTCTCAGAAACCAACATGGTTAATTGCAGTCCATAAAATTGATCATGCTACTTATGGTTCCTTAAAATTATGAGTAAAAGAAACATTTAAGAATAGAACAGACTAGGCCGGGCGCGGTGGCTCATGCCTGTAATCCCAGCACTTTGGGAGGCCGAGGTGGGCGGATCACGAGGTCAGGAGATGGAGACCATCCTGGCTAACACGGTGAAACCCCGTCTCTACTAAAAATACAAAAAAAATTAGCTGGGCGCAGTGGCGGGCCCCTGTAGTCCCAGCTACTCGGGAGGCTGAGGCAGGAGAATGGCGTGAACCCGGGAGGCGGAGCTTGCAGTGAGCCGAG
Organism: Homo sapiens; assembly: GCF_000001405.40. NCBI lineage: Eukaryota > Metazoa > Chordata > Mammalia > Primates > Hominidae > Homo > Homo sapiens. The sequence continues at coordinate 212,206,652 of NC_000002.12, read as the reverse complement.
ATAGCACCACTGCAGTTGGCCTGGGCAAAAGAGCGAGACTCCGTCTCAAAAAAAAAAAAAAAAGAACAGAACAGACGGAGACAGTTCATAGTGCTTGTGAACCAAAAATGTCATTAGACCTAAGCTATCCCTAGTTTTTTATCTTTAAAAAATTCAATTTATAATAATAATGAGATTTTAAATAAAAGGCTCACCGTGAAATACATGCATTACATCATTTAATCCCATGCAATAGTAACCAATCCCATGCGATTGTAACCAACACTAAAACATTTTACAAATGTAACTACATAATTTGCTTAAGGTCAGAGAGCTAGAAGGGCAATCCTAGGATTTGAACCCAGATAACCTGATTCTAGTGATATCACTTTTTCAAACATGATTTGACTGCCTCTAAGTAGCACCCTCCCCAGCTTGTGTCAGATCCTGTGCTAGGGGCTGAGGTTACAGTGGTATACAGGATAGCTGTGAGATAACTGTTCATGGCTATGCGTGAGGGTCTGTAACCATGAAACAGGTCAGTAGAACCAGGGCCATATAAAAACTGGGTGAACTTGCAAATCTTTATTGGTTCCCTGCTAATACCAACACAAATTATGAGAAATCAGAACCACTAATTATAAAGATATAAATAAAATTATCATAGGTATTATAAGGACTCACAAGAGGAAATTCTCTCCCCTGTGTTAGGATACTTGAAGAAACCAAAATAGCTTTACTTTTTGGATGTTAAGATTACTACTCAGAAAGCTCTTTAACAAAGACATCTGACATCAGATTGAAATGGTACTTTATCAACTCGGTTTTCAGAAACTTCTAACCACATATTTTGCTTTTAAAACATGATTCTTTATGCCCAGTGAGTAAATTTTAAAAATTCAAATTTTCTCTCTATGATTTACCTAAGTATCTGACTACTTATTTCTATAAGACCCTCCTACATGTAAAAGATGGTGTATTTGTTATTGTTGATATGTAACAATGCTTATGACAAATAAAGATAAGGTCTTTAATAATTGAATGGAGTCAGTTTGTAGGCATCAATTTTAATTTTAATATTTGAGGATTTTTTGGAATTCAGAAAGTAAATGCCATGATTTTCACTAATGGAGTAAAAATTATTTTTTAAAGTATAATTTTCTTTAAAATGGTTTCTATAATATCATAAAATGACCGTTTGTTTTTTATGGAGGAAAGTGTAGAAATTTATAATACCTAGTGCTTTTACTTTTTTCTGCTTTGTCTAGAAACAAAAGTAGAAATAAAACTATGGAGACTTGGTGGGGCCAACATGGTGAAACCCCGTCTCTACTAAAAATGCAAAAATTGGCTGGCGTGGTGGCACGCACCTGCAATCCTAGCTACTTGGGAGGCTGAGGTGGGAGGCTCACTTGAACCCAGGAGGCAGAGACTTCAGTGAGCAGAGATCGTGCCACTGCACTCCAGCCTGAGTGGCAAAGCAGGACTCTGTCTCAAAACAAACAAAATCTGTCTATCTGTCTGTCTGTCTGTCTGTCTGTCTCTGTCTGGAAGTTGGCCAGGCACGGTGGCTCATGCCTGTAATTCTAGCACTTTGGGAGGCCGAGGCGGGTTGATCACCTGAGGTCCAGAGTTTGAGACTAGCCTGGCCAATATGGAGAAACCCAGTCTCTCCTAAAAATACAAAACTAGCCGGGCGTGGTGGTGCATACCTGTAATCCCAGCTACTCGGGAGGCTGAGGCAGGAGAATCGTTTGAACCCGGGAGGCAGAGGTTGTGGTGAGCCGAGATCATGCCATTGCACTTCAGCCTGGGCAACAAGAGTAAAACTCTGTCTCAAAAAAAAAAAAAAAAAAAGTTTTCATATAAATAATATCTTTTGGGAGACAAAGATTTAGAACTGTGTTCCAACTTGATGTTAATCTTATTTCTGGAAGACAATCATAAATACTGTTTTTTTTTTTGTTTTTTTTGTGGGGGACAGAGTCTCACTCTGTCACTCAGGCTGGAGTGCAATGGCACAATCTCAACTCACTGCAACCTCTGCCTCCAAGGTTCACGCAATTCTTGTACCTCCCCATCTCAAGTAGCGGGGACTAAAGGCATGTACCATGAAGCCGGCTAATTTTTGTGTTTTTAGTAGAGATGGGGTTCCACCATGTTGCCCAGGCTTGTTTCGAACTCCTGGCCTCAAATGATCAGCCTGTCTTGGCCTCCTGAAGTGCTGGGATTACAAATGTGAGCCACCGCGCCTGGCCCACAAATACTGATATTTTAAGAAGTCAGAAGTTCACAGTTCTTTATCCATGTGCAAACAGAATGAAAGCAAAAAAGACACATTAAGTTTAAAACAAAATAATATTTTGTAAAGTTTTTTAAAGGAAATGGAAAAATAAACAGAGTCTTTTGCCTCATTGAAAGGCCAATCTCCAATTAGCAATGTGAGAAATAATTTACTCTAGCGATAATAGAATCATTAGTAAGTAGAGGGCAAAATGCTCCAAGAATCAGATTGTTAAAAAATCAAATCAGTGACTTATTTTACAAGTAGAGAAAAAATAGATCTGAGTAATTTTTCCAACAGCTTACCATATTCAATATTTAAATTAAAGTGATTTAATGTTTTAAGTTGATAATCTTTATAATTTTAGAACATTCATGCATGTTTGACTAACTTTTGACAAATCAAATAATGTGTAAAAATAAGAAGGGATGAATACTACAGCAAATAACTTTTCAGTCAAGTGACTTAGTATGTGACTGTCAGTGGTCATTTATCTAGAAACAAAGTTAAAAAGAGTATCTTCATTTTTTTTATTCCTAGTGTCAGGGAGGATGGAAGATGAAAGCAATGGTGTTATCTTTGTGCCACCTGAATGACAGGTAAAGTTGGGAAACAGCTAAGTGGTTGATTAGTGACTTATTGCCTTCTTCCAAAAAGATAGGAAGTGGACAGAGATTGGATTAAAATATATGTTTAGGCTTGAAGATTTTAGCAAGGATTTTAATTACTAGTTTGTCCTTTTCATGAGTATTGATGTGGTGGTCTGTGATGCCAAAATATGTACACACATCTTATTTTCCAAAGTATAGAATGATTCATTAAAAAGTTGTTCAGATCATGTTATTCTTATTTTCAAAACTTTCCCAGTGCCTTCCCATCTTTCACACTGTAAAAGCCAAAATCTGGATAATGGCCTGAAAGTTTCTACGTGACCTGGGCCTTCATTGTGTCTTGAGCTCATCTCCTATTACTCTGCCTTCTCCTTCACTCAACTTCAGCTACATCAGCTTCTTCATGTCTCTTTATCAGGGCAGGCATGTTTCTGCCTTAGGAACTTCTTTTGCTCTTCTCTCTGCTTGCATTGTGCTTTCCTCTTACACCTGTATAGCTAATTTCTTCCCTGGTTTTAGGTTTTTACTCAAAAGCCACTTTCCAGGAGAGCCTACCATGTGCTATCTTATCTAGAATTTCAACTCTTGTATCTCTTCTCCCATTTGTTCTCCTTATTATATATTACTGTAACATATATGTACAATGTCCGTGTTAATTTTTATTTCTAGTTGATTCCCCTAAATGTAAGCTCTCAAAGAGGACAGATTTCTGACTCGTTCACTTTTGTATCTTCTGTGCCTAGCACCTTGTAGATGTTCAATTAATATATACATATATGTAAATAAAATAAGTTATATAACATATATTACATAAATGTATAGTATTATTATGGTTTTGTTATTAATGTAATACTATTAATATAATTAGCCGATGTGTAAAAACTTTTTACCAGAAACTAATATACATAAAACTAATAGTTTTTATTGATTTTCTTCTCAATAGTCATTTATTTTGGTTAAAAAACATATGGTTGCTCCATGTTTCAGAATCAGATTTCTGACAGTGATCAGTCTTTCCTGGATTGAAGTTTTATTTCTTTGGATTAATTAGTGAAGTGAGACTTTTTAATACTGCCACATTAGATTAATCTGTATTGTATCATGAAGATAAACTTAATACATATATTTAAATATTTTGGGCTATGTGTGGTGGCTCATGCCTGTAATTCCAGCAATTTGGGAGGCTTAGGTGGGAGGACTCCTTGAACCTAGGGATTCAAGACCAGCTTGGGCAACATGGCGAGACCCCTGTCTCTACAAAAAATACCCAGACATGGTGGCTCATGCCTGTAGTCCCAGCTACTTGGGAGGCTGAGACAGGAGGATCACTTGAGCCCAGGAGGTCACGGATGCATGGATCCATGATCGTACCACTTCATTCCAGCCTGGGAGACAGTGAGACCCTATCTCAAAAAAATAAAAATAAAAAATTAATATTTCATGTCAAAACATATCCTCAGTGCCTATGTATGCCTGATACATAGTAGGTCCTCAATAAATACTTAGTGAATAAATGAACATAGAAATGATGAATATGCACTATTGATAAAACCAAAGAAAGTTACTATCACTTATAAAATTTCGCACCACCATTTTAAATAAAATTAAATATCCATTTAAATGAAGGGAGGGAGAATGATGTATTTGCTTAAATGGATTTATCACATTTTAAATGCAATCCATACTACAAACCTAGCTTTGTAACCGAATTGGTATTCATTTAGCAAACATTTCATGAATGTTGCTATTATTGTTCAGTATACAGAATGAATAAGGCAAAGTCCTTCTCACTGTGATCTTTTTCCCTTCAAACTCACAATTTTTCTTTCTCATACACAAACATACCAATACATATATGTAAATAAAATAATTCATATAAGTGCCAACAAAACAAAAGGAATAATAGTAGGGCTATATGACTAAGCTTATGGTAGTCATGGCAGTTCCACAAGAGAGACAACACTCAAAGAATTGATAGTCTACTTAATAAGCCACTGCTTTCTAGACAGCAAGTCATAACTGTAGAGAGGAAGGACCAGTTAAGAGATGTAAGTTTGTCTACCATAGTATCCAGAGAGGACAGAATGAAGAATGGATCAAAAAATAATTTCCTTTAGATGAATTTTAAAATATAGGACATGCTTCAGTAATTCCAATGTACCTTTTAAATGAAGGAAATATTTTGACATAGCTATATTCTGAATGAATCAATATTATTTAAAGAACATTAGAGAAAATAATTAGAGTCTTACATTTTTCTCATCATTTCTGAAAATATTTATCGATTAAAGCAAGCGTGAAAAAAATAAAATCCACCCAGGATCCACCTTATAACAGTCCAGAATACCATCCTGAGAATGACAGGATCCACTATCAGGTGAATCCACGGGAGAGCTGTTTGGAATCAATGCTAAAATAAACATTCCCAAACTCTGTTAAAATATCCTAATTTATTTAGAGTGGATTTCATGTACTATGAAGAGGAAAACACCATGCTCCACTAGTTTTTATGTGTTTTTAAAGGTAATTTAACATAGTTATGGTTGCATGCTAATATATTCATAAGAAGGATGGAAAATAATCAACAAATATAGGGTAATTAAGCATCAGGCCAAGTTATAAAAGAAGGAAAACTTGCATAATTAAATTTTAAATGTACTTTCTTAATATCTAATTGACTAATTCTAAAAAAATAGAAATGTAATATGTATTCATCTGAATTTTTGTTGGGTTTTCTTTCAACTTGGATTTAAAGGAGTAGACATTCGTGGAAATTCTTCCTGGAAATGTTTTTCACAAGTGCTACTTTCAAACTCAGAAACAAGCACTACCCTACTGACTAACTGATTCCTCAGGCAAGGTTTATAAATTCACTCTGATGTAGACCATATTTAACACTTTCTAATTATAGGTATGTGGAATGCTAATTAATTGGTTGTGTGATACTAATTAGCTAGCACCTTCCCCAATTGTCTTAAGTGAAAATATTTCCTTTTGGATTTTCCTATGGAGGAAATGTGATATTCTCTATTAGGAAAGGAATATCAATAAATAATAATCATTTTTGAATTCTGTTTGCTTCTCATGCCAGCAAACTCTCTTACACTTTTTGACTAACAAGTATTGCAAAGTTGCTATCCAGTTGGCCTACTGTAGCACTACTTTTATATTTACGTGGTGAAACACATTTCAGCCATACAGTGTTCCAAGCTTTTTACAATTATTACCTGGTTTAATCCTTATAATAAATCTATGATGTAAATACTATGAGTGCTTAACTTTAATTAATACAGCTTTCCTGTTAAGTAGTACTGAAGCTTATTTATACTGAAATAAAAATAACCAATAGTCATCTGGATAGTTTTCCATTTTTAATTTCTGAAAAACTTTACAAGATAAATATTTTGTCTAAAGATGTAATTATAACTGTTAGGAAAAACTATTATACAGTCTTTATTATTGAGATTGTAAGTTTACATATGTAACTTTTCCTATTTCTTTTCATATTCCTTTTCCCTTATATTCCTTTATATGATATTTTGCCTCTGAATATTATATAGGTAGGGTCATTCCTCAAAGTAGAATGATATTAAATAGATCCTTCCTATTTTATGTTGTCTGGAAGAAGGGGTTCTTAGTTAAATGGAGACCATTACTGATTTGTGAGATGAAATTAATGTCCTATAATTACCAGCTGCCATGACCTTTAACAGAATTTTAAACAAGGAGAATCTAGATAGCTGAGGATTTTCAGTAAACTTTTGTTTTGTTAAAAATTCTTCAGTTCTAGTTACCTAGTACTGTAACATGTCTGCATACAGTTTAACTTCATGAATTACTATTTAGCTATGTGCTTGTTGTCCACTAATATCTTTTCATACTTCACTGGCCTGACTCCATGCTAGGGACATAGGTCAGACTGGCAGTCAATGAATTCTGATTGGTTCATTGGCTGTCTCTGGAGTCCTTCAGACAAGAGAATCGTTTTTATTTTTTTTTTAAATATGAGCTGGATATTGTGAATTGCTCATCTCTAATAAATTAAAAATTTAATGATTCTGGTGAATATTTTCATGAGCAGATTTAAGTACTGAGGAAACGTAGAATTCTGAAGTATAGCTGCTTACTCAGATAAAGCTGGTCTCAAGATAAACCAGGCTCTCTATAATGCATTATAACCTTAAGAATATTCATTCATGATATACTGACAATTAGCTTAAGAAAGACCTCTAGCCTGAGTAATTTGGTTTAGAGTCTCCTTCCTCTGCAGCCGTAAGTTGTGGAGACTTCAAAGTTTGTTCTGTATCTACTACAAATTGTGATATAATTTATGATGTAATAGTTATGTTCTGGGGATCCAGGTAGATTATTTTTAAAATATTTAAAGTCACTAATGAGGTTCACTCACTCACTCATTCATTCAAATTATAAGAAGCTGCTACTATTACCTTAATGTAATGGGTACTGTACAATACACTGGAAGTGAAATAGATAAATAGAACAATATGAAAGAAAGTAAACAGAAGTCAAAGTACGTATCTGTGATCAGTAGTGAGTTAATGGTTGTAAATAGTTTGGGGTCCCTGTACAATGTAAAATTATAAAAATATTTTCTAACAAGTATTGATGAGAATGTGGAAAAATTGAAGCCCTTGTGCATTGTGAGTGGGGATTTAAAATGACACAACCACTGTGGAAAACAGTATGGTGATTCCCCAAAAACAAATTAAACACATAAAATTACCGTAATTCCACTTCTATTTCAAGAGCATTGAAAGTGGAGACTCGAACAGATATTTGTGAATTAATGTTCATAGCAGCATTGTTCATAATAGTCAAAAGCTGGAAACAATCCCAATAAACATCAACAGATGAAGGGATAAAAAATGTGTTATAGGCTAGGTGTGGTGGTTCATGTCTGTAATCCCAGCCTTTGGGAGGCCGAGGTGGGTGGATCACGTGAGGTCAGGAGTTTGAGACCAGCCTGGCCAACATGGTGAAACCCCATCTCTACTAAAAATCCAAAAAAAAAAAAAAAAAAAAAAGGGCGTGGTGATACACACCTGTAATCCCTAGCTACTGGGGCTGAGCCAGGAGAATCGCTTGAACCCGGGAGGCAGAGGTTGCAGTAAACTGAGATCCCACCACTGCATTCCAGCCTGGGCAACAGAGCAAGACTCCAGCTAAAAACTATATATATGGCAGATACAGTATAATATTATTCAGCCCTAAGAAGGATTGAATTCTAACACATACTACAATACGATTGACCATTTAAGACATAAGCCAGTCATAAAATGAGAAATATTATTATATGATTTCACTTGTATGAGGTTACCTGGAATAGTCTAGTCACATTCATAAAGACATAATAGAATAGTGGTTGTCAGGGGCTGTGGGGAATGAGAATGGGAAGTTATTTTGTAATAGGCAGACAGTTTCAGTTTGGGAAGATAAAAAATATCTGGAAATGAAAGGTGGTTATCATTGTGCAATAACTTGAATGTACTTAATGCCATTGAATTGTACATCTAAAAATGGATAAAATGGTAAATATGTTTATATATCACAATTTAAAAAACCCAATTGCTAAAATCAAACATTTTTCAAAAGTTAACTTTCAGACAATCTCAGTAGTATAAAGATCATTATTCCCTTATGATAGTGAATATTGTTTCTATCAATTAAACATTCTCATATGAGCATTCTTTTCTATACATTACGGCATATTATGTATCACTTGAGTTTATTTGCTCAGCTCTCAAAAGAATCCCCATATGAAGTGTGTTCTCCATTTAGCAGCCTCATAGTTTGGTTCTTGAGGGGATCTGTCTTAACTACATGAAATTAAAAATTAAAATGCTTATTTCTCTGTCAGATTTTCTCCACTTGACTGAAAATGCTCTAGTTATAACAGTAAGTTTAATCAACAATTGCAAGTTAGAATTTAGAGGAATAAATAGGAATTTCAGAGTATGCTCCCTAATTCACTTTTTCATAGACCCTTCAAAAATGCTACTTAGCTATATAGTTACAGGGCTTTCAGCAAACATAAATTTCCAGCTCACCCTTCTAAAACAGGAAATGGCTTTAAACACAAAAGGCAATACAAAATCTGGAGTTATAAACACAGTGGCATTTGTGACACTATCAAACCTATTATGGGCAGTTCTCCAAATTATTGTGGGATTCAGAGACAGACTTCTTGATTAATAACATAGTTCTGTATTTATGGTACGAGCCAAATAATTTTGAGCAAGATATTTATGAGAGTTAAGCCTCAGTTTCCTCATATATAAAATGATAATAAAATTACCTTTTGCATAAGTGTGTGGTTAGGGTTAAATGAGAAAACTGGGCCCATAATCATTTACCCACAATTCTAAAATCCACAAAGTTCTAAAAGCTAACAGTTTTCTTCTAAATTGGCTCCAAAATTTATTTAGTGAAAAATCCTGACCTAAGCTGACTTAAGAATAATTTGTGTCTTTATTGTTCCCACTTATTGCGAATCTTCATAAGTTTTATTGTATAATAATTAAGGCAATTGAATATGTTTCTAAATACCAGCAGTTTGGCTTAGGTCTAGTCATGACAATGAGTATTGCCAGGGAAGAAAAGCTTTAATTTGGAGGATGTCAGCTGGGACACTACAGGCCATTCTCAAATTTGTCTCTTCCCCCAGCTGACTAAAATTAGGGGTGTATAAAGGAGTTGGTCAGCAGGCAGCAACTGGTCAATTTCTATGTTTATTTAAAACGAAAGAAAAAAACAACCCGTAGACATCAGTTCTATGGGAGAATTAGGCTGGTTTCAAATGTGGGTTGCTACCCAGCACGGGTGAGGCGTGACATATGGTATATGCTCTGATTTCCTTATCCAAAATCTGAAAGTTCTGGATTTATACACGTATGTCAATCCAAGAATTTCCTGTATATCAAAAATAACAAAATACTTCATACTTATTCAACATTTAGTTTAGCTACCATAATTATTAATTTGGGCAGTTATGAGAGTTTGAATTTAGGATGAAACCATACTATTTCATTTAAGGTATAGTCAAAGGAATCGCTTAAATTGATGGAAATTATGTCAGATCAGTAAACAGTACTATTCCATCAGGTTTAGTACTTTTATGAGATTTCTGCTTCTTTCCTTACCTCCTGTACAATATATAATTATATTGCATCATTTAGAATTTTCAGTCTAAATTACTTTACTATTATAAATTACAGCTGACCTTTGAACAACACAGATTTGAACTACATGGACCCACTTAGACATGAATTTTTTTCTATAAAATTACACCTAGTATACCTGCCTCTCCTGCCTCCCCTTTCACCTCCTCCCCTTCTTCTGCCTCTGCCATCCCTAAGAGGGCAAGACCAATGCTTCCTGTTGCTCCTCCTCCTTAGCATACTCATTATAAAGATGAGAATGAAGACCGTTATAATGATCTGCTTCCACTTAATGAATATAGTAAATATATTTTATCTTCCTTATCATTTTCTTAATAACATTTTCTTTTCTCTGGCTGTCTTAATTATAAGAATAAAGTATATAATACATATAACATACAAAATCGTTTTTTAATCAATTGTTATTGGTAAAGCTTCCAGCCAGCAGTAGAGTATTAGTAATTAAGTTTTAGGGGAATCGAAAGTTACCCATAGATTTTTGACTCCGGTGGTGGGGATAGGTTTGGCATCCTTAACCTCTGCATTGTTCTAGGGTCAACTGCACATTAAAATTGCTTTTGTTAGTCTAACCAGATGTTGACATGTGTCTACATAATTTTATTTTTGGATGAAAATTTCCAGGAATGCATGATGGACTATCTTAAATTAAAAAGAAAATTTTCCATTTTCCTAAACTACTCCTATTCCTCAATTATGACATAAAGGAAAGAACTCTATAACGAAAGGAAACCAGGACTATTCAATCATGTATTCCCTTGGTTCTGGTCTGTTTAATGTTTCCTTGGTAACTCACAACATAAACATTTCTGAAATGAGTTCTTTGAAATATGCTTTTAATATTATTTATACAGATTAAGTATAGGGATATGGTAAGCCATGTTTTTGTTGTTTATTTTTATTATATAAAGTTAATGTGCTTGAAGACAATATTGAACTTATGAGTTATGCTTGTGCCATATTAAAAATTATGTTCCAGAGAATTTTCTTACGTACTCTAACCACCTCTATTTTTAATAAATTAGGAAGCCTAAATTGATTTACATATATTATAAGAACAACAATTATGCCTTTAAAAGGTGTGCATATTTTATTTAATTAATTTAAATTTAAAAATAGCCTAATTAAAAATAGTTTTAAAAATAATACTGTGACTGTCTAACTTGTTATGTGATACACTATAAGTAGCAGATTAAGTATTTTGCAAGTCTTTTTTTAAAATCTGAGCATATTTATTTGTTTGATTTTCTTAGAAAGTAACACCTTGAGTAATTGTCAGCTGTCTAATGCAAATTGTAGCTAACAACTGTTGCTATTCAGAATTTTTTAAAATACTGGCAAATTGATATTTTAAAGGAGAGAGAAAAGAGTAATAACACCAAATTTATAATTTGTTCTGACAAATGAGGATCCTGTTACTATCTACAATGAAATAATACTTTATATAGTTAATGGCGAATTTATATAAACATTTTTATGCACTATATACAAATTATAAAACTTTATTTGAATTTTACTGCAATTTAATGTGTTGTGGTTTTTCAGCTTCTCAAAGTAGCATGAGGGCAATCCATGGACTGCCTATATTATATTTTTAATGCATTTTTAAAAACTTCAGTATATACCAATTAATCATAACCAATGTGGAAAACAAATGATTGTTGTTTATTGTTTATCAACATTAAGAATTTAGAGCCTTTCTGAGGCTACAACCCCAAAACTTTTATCTTCCATGTGGCTTAATAGATGGAAGTATATCATTTTAATATTGTTTTCGAGAACCATGACTTCTCTTTTACATTTTGCATAAGAAATTCTTAAAAACCTTCAGATATGCCAGCAAAAATATATGTTTTTATTTTTCTTTAATGATTATATTAATTTTGAAACAGAGCTGTCTCTAAGGACTACCATTTTAATTTCCCAGCCACATTTAACAATTAGATCTGTGCAATTATGACTCAAGCAATAAGCATTCTGAATAGGTTAGTGCATTATTAAGCAAACTGCTAGCTAGCTGTTTGTATGATTCTAATGAACAAGCCTGTATTGTCAGCACACATTTGACACAAGTGGTATATTGTTAGCTAAGGGAAATAGTAACAGGTAACATAGTATTGCCCTTGGAGCAGAATCTCCTAGCTTAATGCTCTAGTCATTTAAATGATAGAAAATATTTTCTTGGTTTTTACTTTCATGAAACAACATTCCCAAACTTTCTTGAGGATCAAAATAAAAATGATTATGTTAGAAAGGAAACAAAGTGTGTGTGTGTGTGTGTGTGTGTGTGTATAAACTATTTAAACTATATATAAATTATTTCTCCTCATTTCTACTCTAAAAATTTCTCTCCCTTTTCCTAACATCTCTCTTTCTCTACCTTTGTTCTATTCTGTCCGTCTTGCAGATATGTGCTGATAAATCTTCAATATTTTCAGCTTTTATTGCTTTGCATGACTATAAAAAGTTAATAACAGATTTATATTTTTATTAGCATTTATGCTGCAAATGCAAGAGACATCTTAAATCCTAATTTAATGCACCTTTAAAGTCCTTTTTATTAGCCTGTTAATTCCCAGCTGTACTGTTTTATTGAAATGTGCATTACATTTGTGCCATAGTCAAAACAATGGTGTGGCTCTAGAATTACAAGGAAAAAATAACCTTAGTATTTAGATAAACTACACACTCAACAGTCTTGAAAGTCTACCACAAACATTACTGGCCCCTTGAAGCTGTAATTGTAATGACATATTTTTTAGTATTCTAATTGAAGAATTACTCATCTACATACATCCCTAGGTAGGTGATTTTATTGATAGATTAAAGTAAGATATCCATTATTGATGACAATTATTAAATTCCATTTTAAATATGAATTTCATCATACAGTTTCAGAAATATATTTGTCTAGAAATCAAGATTCATATATGAGTAATATGATTACTTTCTTTAGAACTGCAATTATAGTGTTCTAAGAGTTCTCATGTATTTCACATTAAAAAAAAACCTTTCTGTTTGGTTTAATGTACTAGTAAAATGTGCATTTGTTATGTTTAATGGGCAACCTAATTTTAGTATTTCTCCCACAAGATCTCATGAACTGTTTTCTATCTTCTTATTTGTATTCTATATGTGACCCAGCAGGTATTAAACTAGAGAAAATTGGGGAAACAGATAGTCTACCTTTAATTAAATACTTAACATCTCCCCCACCATTTTTATGTGCATTTCCCCAAATGGAAAAGCAGATGGCATCACTTGAGCCTACAGAGTGACAACCTCCTTTTAAAATTTCTGCTGAAATGGAAAAGTGGGGGCAATGCCAATTCAGCCGTTACAGCTTATTCACATAATGGACAAGATGGCAAATTAGTTGGGAGGAGTAAAAGCACCCTGGAGTTATAAATATAAGCCATCTTCATTGCCATTGCATCAGTCCAGCTATATCCAAACCCAGGAGGTAAAAACATGTGGGTCTTGCTTTATTTTGTACATAGCAGGAGCTGGCAGGAAAGTTACATGGTAAAATAGATTTCCAACATTTTTCCTGCCGTTAATTGTAATTTTCCAAGGTTTCCTCTGTGACAGAGTTTACAAAAGGGAGCTTTCGTAAAAACTATCATTAGCTTCTTGGATCAATACGGTTTAGGGAATACAAAACAACTTTAGTTGTTTAAAAACAGGAAATATCAGAGGGTGTTCCCCTCCTCCCTATGGATAGCAAATCACACTATTGATCGGTCCTCAGTGTAACTGGGCAAACTTTTCAGATATCACACTATTGATCGGTCCTCAGTGTAACTGGGCAAACTTTTCAGATATCAGGTGGACTAGCTGGGAATAAAAATAAAGCCACTCTACTGAGTATAGTATATGACTCCTGTGAGACCTCCTGAGTATCTCAGTATGAATCCTTTAAAAGATGTGGCCTTTGTCCATGATAAGACCATGAAAGATAAGGAAAGGCTTAAGACCAAAGGCATTATTGTTCTATTTTTCTATTTGTCCTTTTTTCCTTCATTTCTCACCATTTGCCCAATAGCCTTTTTCAGCTAATTCTGAGAAAAGATAATGACTAAATGAACAAAATGTACATGGAAAACCACATAACATAAATATAGACTGAAATATGATCTCAATATACATGGGCTGATGGTATGATTATAATACTCAGGAGAAAGACAACTGAGATAAATAACTATGAAAACTGAGGAATTGCTGTTTCCAATGCCCGAATCAATATGAAGAATTTAAAAAGTTCTATTTCAATTTTGAATAGTACCTCACATAACTAGTCTGTCTTGAGTTTGCAGACAGAGTATAGGGGAAATTAGCATTTAGAAATTAGAATTATGCCAAAGAAGGAAATAAAAAAGAATATATATATCTAATATTATATATATAATATATAACACATATAATATAATATATATAACATATAGATAACATAACACATAATATATATAATATATAATATATAACTTATATAATATATATAATATATATAACATATAACATATATAACATATAACATATATATAACATATAACATATATAACATATAACATATATTATATATAACATATATAACATATAACATATATAACATATAACATATATAACATATATAACATATGCATCATATATAATATATAACATATATAACATATGTATCATATATAATATATAACATGTAACATATGTATTATATATAATATATAGAACATATATAACATGTATTATATATAACATAGAACATATATAACATGTATTATATATAACATATAGAACATATAACACACGTGTTATATATAACATGTATAACACGTGTTATATGTAACATGTATAACACGTGTTATATGTAACATGTATAACACGTGTTATATGTAACATGTATAACACACGCGATATATGACATGTATAACGCATGTGTTATATATAGCATGCATAACACATGTGTTATATATAACAGGCATAACACATGTGTTATATATAACAGGCATAACACATGTGTTATATATAACAGGCATAACACATGTGTTATATATAACAGGTATAACATGTATAACACGTGTTATATATAACAGGTATAACATGTATAACACATGTGTTATATATAACAGGTATAACATGTATAACATGTGTATATACCTACAACTAGGTTGTAAAATTTTCTGTTTCCTAATACACATTACATTTTTTTAAAAGTAACATTAAAACTCATTTGCAGTAACATTAAAAAAAATGGATGATTCGTTAAATCGGTGGTTCTCAAAGTGTAGTCCCCAGGCCAATAGCATCAGCATCATCTGGGGAATGGTTAGAAATGCAAATTCTTGAGCAGACCCACAGAATCAGAAAAAGGGGATATGACATGCAATATGTATTGTAGTAAGTCTTGTCCATGATTCTTATATAGTGTAAAATTTGAGAATCACTTTCTTAAACCCTTGTTTTATGAAACTACATTTACTAGTGAAATTTTATACTTGCTATTAAACTTGGTAGTTATACAGTGGTTTATCTTTATCTAAAAAAAAAAAAATGCCCTTAGGGCTGTGTTGATCAGTATTCTGATCCTCAAGGAGGGGTAGTGAACTTTAGGGAAACTTGGTATTAGCCAACTGAGTCTAATTGAGATGCATTAGGATATTATATGTGTTTGTGAGCGTATGTGTGTTTTCAAAATACAATTCTGAAAATAGTTTCAGAATGAATGGGAACTAGATTTAGTTTATTAATTCCTAAAATAATACTCGGATCTGAAATAGGCATATCATATTTTATAAAAATATGGCCTACTTTATCCAAAATACATTCATTTAAGGTAAAGGTTTTCATCATTAGGATGTGAAATAGATTAACAGGGTTTCTTCTCTCAGGTCTATGTGTTTGAATTTTAATTGGTTGACACTGACCCTAAGGGCTGCAACATTCACTGCAAAGGAACCGATGGTGGTGTGAATAATTTTCAAGACCTAATGAATACACTTATGTATCAAAGGCGCCCAGTTCTTCTTCTTCTTCTTTTTTTTTTTTTTTTGAGACGGAGTCTCGCTCTGTTGCCCAGGCTGGAGTGCAATGGCACGATCTCCGCTCACTGCAAGCCCCACCTCCCGGGTTCACGCCATTCTCCTGCCTCAGCCTCCCGAGTAGCTGGGACTACAGGCACCTGCCACCACGCCCGGCTAATTTTTTTGTATTTTCAGTAGAGACGGGGTTTCACCCTGTTAGCCAGGATGGTCTGGATCTCCTGACCTCGTGATCCGCCCGCCTTGGCCTCCCAAAGTGCTGGGATTACAGGCTTGAGCTACCGCGCCCAGCTGCCCCCATTTCTTAAAAGATAGAAATTATCTAAGTTGATTGCACCATCTAAAGAACTCTCTAGTGATAATGCTGACTCAGTATAACAAAGATAATCTAATTTGAAATTTGAAAATTTTTCTAGTTCAGTAAGTAAAACTTTTTAGAATGTAATAACTATCAATGACTAAAAAGTAACATAGAACTTTCACTTAGAAGGTAGCTATGCCTATGGAAATTTTATTTCATTATGTCTGGTAAAGTAGGCTTTATTATAAAAAGGTGTGTTTTCATTAACCTTACAAAGACATATTCCAATATGGTGAATAATATTATACATAAAATGGTTTGACTAACAGTAAAGATGATCTTATAATTGGTTTACATATTTTGGTCCTTGTGAGCATAATTTTTTTAACTCCTTGAAGTCAGAATTTAAAATCTTAGCATGTAAAATATGGAGGTTAGAAATTCCATCTATCTAATCACTGATTATAAACAAAGCGATATGAATCTTATGGATGGTACTCAGATATGTGAGGTTAAAGACCTGTAATAAGAGAATAAACCATTTTATTCAAATTGGCAATATTTTATTTAATGTTTTTGTAGTATATATGCCTGTTACACATTTAGTGCAGTGCACTAGGCCCTTATTGGCATGAAACTTGTTTATAATTTGGGGTGTTGAAGATTCTTATTACTAGCTCTTTGATATGTCGCTCTCAAGAAAGAGCCTTGAAAGAATTTGAAAAATTGAATGTGATGGAATGAAAAAGAGGATCATTTGAAGGTGGATCAGAGTTTTTGGAGGACTTCACAGTTTTATTTCTAATAATGAAGAAAAGAGGCTGACAGAAGTCTTGAAATAAAATGACACCAGGAATAATTAGTGATGGAGAGGATAAGCAGAAGAAATGACAACAGTAGATATCTGAATATTGTAGAGGAAAGAGAACCCTCATTCACTCAACTGATTTAAGGAACAGTGAATAAGTCACTAATAATTTCAAATAAAGTTTGAGTATCCCCAATCTGAAAATGCAGAATCTGAAATGCTGCAAAATTCAAAACTTTTTGAATGCCAACTTGATGCTCAAAGGAAGTGCTCATTGGAACATTTTACATTTTGGATTTTCAGATTAGGATGCTAAACTGGTATTATGCAAATATTCAAAAATCACCCCCCCCCCCAAAAAAAAAGTTAGAAATCTGAAATACTTCCAGTCCCAAGCATTTTGGATAAGAGATACTCAACCTGTAATGATAAAATAATCAGAACAGCCACTGAGCACTAATTTGACTACATGTATAGAAAAATAACCTGTTTATATATTTTTAGCTCTTAATGAATGTTCAGCATGCATTTAATAAGAACATATTCGTCAGGAATAGTGACAGGCTTTGAGTCTCTATTCTCATGTTCTCATGTAGCTTATAATGAATACATTATAAGTATGTTGAGTCTATGGAAGACTATGTCAGACAATATTCACCTAGTCTGAGGAATCTTGAAGGAAGATGACCTAAAATAATAAATAGTATTTAAACTGAGTTCTGAAGGATCTAGTAGGAAGAGGGAGAAAGCTTGTTCCAGGTAAAAGACACAGCTAGATGAAATCCAATTCAAATCTATTGAACAAAGAAAAAGGTGGCACTAGATGAAGCAAAAGAGATATGCAGAGACAAAATTGTCTTTGCATTAAAGGCCAAGTTTACTAAAACCACGGGAAGCCTTTGAATACTTTTATGTAGGAGACTGCCATCATTAGCTTTTCTGTTTTTAAAAAGCATTCTGGTTACAGTGGAGAGAACAGAATGGTAGAAAGCGAGAAACCTAGGGGTGAGGTGTCTAGGAGGTCGGGTGGGAGAGGGAGGTGTACCCTGACCATTTAAGAGGATGTTATAATACAGGCAAGAGATGATAAGAGTTTATCCTAGAGTTGTAGTGGGTAGCGGGATAGAGAGGGAGGGAGAGAAGAGGGAGGGAGAGAAGAGGGAGGGAGAGAAGAGGGAGGGAGGGAGGGGGTGAGAGGGGGGGGGAGAGAGAGAGAGAGAGAGAGAGAGAGAGAGAGAGAGAGAGAGAGAGAGACCTGAAGGTATTATAAGGGAGATCTGACAGGATTTGGGATTTGACATGGATGGCTACCTGATCTCTGACTTGAGCAACTGGATTGATTGTGGCTATATTCACTAAGTTAAGGAATTCTAGAGCTGTCAGGAGAAGAAGTGCTAAATTCAAATTTGAACGTTTTATTTGCCTGTACGATATTGTGAGGATATATCACCAAATAATATTATAGGATTGAAGTTAGATGTCTTGTTTCTCGAGGTTAGCTGTCAACGCATTAAAATTGGGCTTTAATGAGTGGTAACATATTGCCATATATCAGATTAGGAGCTCTCAGTCACATTTCTTGTATTTCATAACATCACTTCTAATATTTCACTTTGAAGATCACTCATGTCTCTGAAATAATTTGTATCTGATTTTGCATCATTATTTCCTACCCTCTAAAACACTAGCTACAGCCACTGAAAGGAATTTATGATATTATCCCAAATCTGAGTCACTTAAATGTCTCTTTTCCTTTGGAGTTGCATGCCATTAATTCTACAAATTAGTAACAAATTCAGTATTGAATATTTTTAAATGCTGGCTCTTAAAAAATTGATATTTAAGACTGATATTCTTGTTTTCAAATTTACTTTTGTATTTTCTAATGTAAGCTACTTCAGCAATTCCATAGTTTGGAGTATTTATTAACATGTATTGTCAATACATGTCAATATAATTTGTATAATTATAATGGAAGATTAACATCTTTATTTATTTATTTATTTATTTATTTATTATTATACTTTAAGTTTTAGGGTACATGTGCACATTGTGCAGGTTAGTTACATACATACGTGTGCCATGCTGGTGTGCTGCACCCACTAACTCATCCTCTAGCATTAGGTATATTTTCTGGTTGAAATCTTAAACCGAAGAATCATCTCACATGCTGGTAATTGTGACACAATATCTTAAATGACAGTCTCAATGTTAATAATAGTACTCAAATGTTTTATGTATTATAGTATAGTATTGTGATTCTGCATTTTTTGTCTAGATCATCTTTGACTGTCATCTGAGTCTATATGCCTCTGTTTTCCCTTTTAACAGTAGAGTCAAGTAAACTCCAACTGTATTTGACCTTAGGGTTCGGCCTCTGAGCAATATGTAAAATCTGATCTTAGTCTAAGGCAGAGGAAAAATGTAAGTCTTAGTATTATATATTTAAATTTGATTTTAAGGGAGAAGTGTTCTACTTCAAAAAGTAGGCAAATTTAAAACTTAGTTCATTACCTTCAGAGGAATATGAAAAGAAAATAATGGTGGAGATAGTCTGAAATTCTTATTTTTAGAAATAACTGCTATAATATAGAGAAAATAGCAAACATGTTGACGTATTTTATCGCTGCATACTTCTATCTTTCAGTATTAGTCTTTTGAATATTGTTGAGTATGTTCATTTAAAAAAAATAAAACAAACCTCTCTTTGGGTTTCCTTATAAATTTGGTTGGCTCATTCTGATCCCTGTTTCATTCTTTGACTCTTTAGTTTATTTGCCTGCAAAAGTGGCAGAGAAAAGAAGACTTATTGAAGACGTTTAGGAACAGGAACATAGTTTGACAGTCTTTTGCTCCAGGGTGGGTAGGTTGAGTAAAATTTGGTTAAAATCAGGTCGGGAACAATTTAGTTAGATTAAGGAAGATCCTGATTTACTGGTTGTCTCTGACATCTACACTTGATTGAGTGTTTTAATTGTATTTACCAGTGAAGTAAATAAAAAATTAGCCAAGTTTAATGAACACATTTTCAGTTAGACTGATTTAACTGAGAGATATCTTGCTGACTAGACAGATTATCAGACACTCTTGACTAGCTAAATCACACAGAACACTTAAACCAGTTTGTAGGCACACACATCATTAATGTGGGCAGCCAAGAACGGAGATTGCTTAACAAAGATGGCACAAGGTAGTTAGCCATATGTTTGAAATGATTTAGGCGAAGTTTGCCAGAAGTGGAAATGGACTAAATGACCTCTGGAGGCACTTTCCAATCCTGTCTTTCTCATTTAGTCGAAACGTAATTAAAAAAATCTATATGGGAGATACAAATTTATTTTACTTCAAAATGCCTTGGGTTTTGTTAGGTGACAGACAATTAAAAACAATGTATTTCTTGTAAGCAAACGTTTGAATTCAATGCTAACGTAGCTGTTTTGATCAAATACAAATTACTTTAAGTTGTAGGATAATTAACTTTACTGTTTAAACATTCATTAGACAACTGCCTAAGAAATTTTTATGTATTTGCATTTTTAGAACAATGGAAAAAATTCTATAATATTGAAATATGTACTTTATGTGCATGAAGAGAAATGAAACTTTTCCAAAGTATGCTTGTAATTTGTAAATTAAACTTTCTTCCCCTCCCTGTCCCCCATACCTACACTACAACTGAGACATTTTACTTTTAGATTCTATTATGTCCTCTTTGGGCCAGACTTCTCCCAAATTCCATCATTACTTATTATTCCTCTAAAGTCTGAGAAACCAATCTCCCTAGAATGGTCCTATATTCCCAGGAATTTATAATGTGGACCCTACTTAAGATCTCTTCTCCCTAAGCATCCCACCGCAGTGACCATGACCACTACAAGTTATTCTGAGCTTACTGACACTCTAGGAAAGATCTGAAGTACTTACGTGTTAACAGATTTTTAAAAATAATCTCTTTGAGGGTTATTTATATTTTAATTGCACGTGATTTCTGAATATCAAAATAATTGAAACCCATAGTTAAAACTGTAATCTTCAAGTGATTCCAAGCAGATGAGCCTTTTTTTTTTCTTTTTCTGAGGTCTACCAAGCACATACCCCAAGAACAAATAACTGTGTTGGCTGGGTGTGGTGGTTCACACCTCTAATCCCAGCATTTTGGGAGGCCAATTCCAGCAGATCAATTGAGGCCAGGAGTTTGAGACCAGCCTGGTCAACATGGCAAAACCTTGTCTGTACTAAAAATACAAAAACTTAGCTGAATGTGGTGGTGTGCACCTGTAATCCCAGATACTCGGGAGGCACAGGCATCAGAACCACTTTAACCAGGGAAGCGTAGGTTGCAGTGAGCCAAGATTGTGCCACTACATTCCAGCCTGGGCAACAGAGTGAGACTCTGTCTCAAAAGAAAAAAAAAAAAGAAAAAAAAGTAACTGTGATATCTAATGGACATGGATGTTCATATGCGTGGTGTGTATATGTGTTATGAACAGAGGACCGTGGGTGAAGGTGCACTAGATTGGTCCTTGTTAATCCTAATATTTTGTCAGCTTGCAAAGAAGCCAGGAGACTAGAATCTAAGAAAAAAAATACTTATTTTCTTGTGAAATTAACCTGACCTCTATTTAAGAAAGCCAAATGAACTGATTCTTGGAGGCATTCATAAAAATGTTTTGGATTTTGAATATCAATTTTTACTCTATGCTACATTTTTATTATTATTTCCAAATCTACCTAAAATTGTAATATTTTTGTAACTGCAATGAAATTGCATAGTAGGTAAAATAAACAAAAACAAACGAACACAAAGACATTTTGTTTACTTTTATTCAATCTATTGAGCTCTTAGTGAGTATTTACTAGATGCTCCAAAATGTGCTAGGGCCAGATGTAAGTGTTTGACTGTACTTGAAGGTGCCAGGTAGGTGATTAGGACTATTAGAAAGATATATAAGCATAATCCCTGCCTACTATTAATAGAATTGATCATTTGTTAATTAAATGACCCTAAAACAAAATCAACCAATTCAGAGCCTTATATATATAAGTATTAAAGGGTGTCGTATACCTTTGAGTACTTGGAGTCAAGGTGAGAAGGGGGTGATTAATAACAGTTGAAATATTCAAGAACACAGGGTTTTCGGCAGGGTCTTAGAACATGATTAGGTTAAGATTTGGTGGGGAAAAGAGGTCCAGGTCATTTCAGGGAAGGATCGAGATTTAAGCAAAGTTTTGAAAATGGGAATTAGCCCCAGGCTACAGCAGAGAACACCAAGAACCACAGCCCCTTGATTCAGTCCATTTCTTACTCTGTGACGCATAAAATGTTTTATTTCACTTTAAAACATTCAGTCCAACTAATGACCTAAGGCAGGAGAAAAGCAGTTATCAAAATTGCTAGTGATGTGTATGGTCACTTCATAAATATGATTTAATGATTTTGAAAACAGAATGGGAACAGAGCATGCTTAAAGCAGTAATAAGGCATTTTTCAAAAGTGTCAGGTTCTTAAATCACAAATTCAAAATGAAAAAGAATAGACCTTTCTCTTGTAGTTAATCTGTAAAAATATCTTTGGAAAAATAGATGAAGAATAGCTTATTTTCTGATTGTTCTTGACCAGCAATAGTAAAATTATGTGTAAATGAATTTCATGGTCACTTGGTTTGGCAGATTTTCCTGTTGAAACAATTTTAATTTCTTTGTCCTGAAAAATGTTCTTTCATGTTAGTACAATGGACTATACATCTTGTATAGTCTACTTTTATAAATTAACTGAAAGTGTAGCAAAAAAACTTCTCCATAGTGCAGTATTTCAGTGTATTTGAATAGAAAGTTAAAAGGTATATGAAAATGATAACAATTACATTCCTTTCAAAATTCAAGATAAATGTTGTTTGAAGAATACAGTTTAAACCCTATTTCTTTTATGTCCACTAATTTAGTGATATCTCATCATTGATTTTTAACTGAAACAGTTTTTACTAGTTATATGCAGTTCCAGGAACATTGCTATTGTTTGAAAATCAGTAACTATGAAGTTACCTGCTAGTTAAATTTATATAGCAAATTGTCTAGACTACCCATGGTTCAGCCCTCTGTTTCTAATGCTTCAACATTGGCATTAGCATATAAAATCCATAGAAGTTTAAAGTTTTATGATAGTAAAATTGCAATCTCAAGTGTTTTCTTTTTTATTTTTTATTACTACAACCTCAAGTGTCTATGGTACTTCAGAGCTTTAGGGTGTATTCACCAACCTCTATCTTATAGCATTTCTAAAAGGCATAGATTATATACATACATTTATTTTAAAATAAGGTAAGTCAAACTTAAAACATCGTTTTAACTTAAGGAGACCTAATAATTATTTAAATTTTATAGCAGATTCTAAATTGAAACTCATAACCTTTTTCACTTTGGGTTTTATCTATATTATTTTTGAACAAATGGCTAAGTTGTGTGACCAAAATCATGATTACTAGAATTAATAACAAAATTTTTCCTCTTGTTTATAATTTATTAGGTTAAAATATTCATCTTAAAAATCAATAAAAAAAAACCTCAACCCAACTTTTACCTGAGCAAAGAAGATGAGTAGTCTATTCATAGCAGAAACATAATGGCCTGTGAAGGTGAACATTTAAGCAACTCTCCAAAGCAAAACAAAACAAAACAAACAAAGCAAGTCTAATTTTTATACTGTGCTGATTTCAAAGCTGTGAAAACTCCCACCTATGTTTAATTTCAAGCTACCAACTTCATTTTATTGAAGGTGGAGTCGGGTGGGAAGAAATAATCAAAACCTGCATGAGCTGGTTCTAAGACACCACTGAAATAAAATATGCTCACTAATAAAAAATGCAAATAAAAACAACAGTTCAGAGCATCATTTTTCACCTACAAACCTGACAGTGATGAATGTTCATGTCCTTTGATTCAGCATTTACATCCCTAGGAAGTTTACTCTAAAAATACTAGGACAAGCTCAAAAAGGTGTGGGTACTGGCATGCTTATTATAACATTATTTGAAATAGTGCAAAATTTGAAATAAGCTAATTGTTTATAAATAAGATGGATCAAAAAAACTGTCAAGAATTGTGATTAAGAGTGCAGGTTCTTGTGGGATACCAGTTGGGTTCAATACCATCCCCAGTGATTTGCAAATGACCTGGGACAAGTTATTTAGCTTCTTTGTACTTATTTCATCATCATTAAAATGGAAATAATAATAGTATTAACTTCATAGTGTTAGTATTTGGATTAAATGAACTCATAGATGTTAGGAATTTAGAACATTCCTGGCATGTAGTGAAATCTTGGGGAATGTTAACTATTATTATGATACATCTATTCATTTAAGGGCTATTTTAGTTATTAAGTTAATTTATTTTTCCTTGTGAATCTATAATTATAGTCCTGATATCCAAATGTGGTAAGGTTACCACACAAATAATTTCTGATCTTACACTTGCAGCATTTTTTGTAGTGTATCAGTTATCTCACAAAAGTATTTCTAACCCATGTGGAGGGAACAGATATTTTAACCGTGTTTTTCTTTGAAAGTAACTGCCCCTTTGTGGGTAGAGGGATATGTGAAGAACAAACTGATTAGGTGTTGCCTCACTCTTAGGAACTTGAAGAATTTTAAGTGTTGATTCTAATTGGAAATTGGGTCTCTTGTTTGTATAAGTCTTTTCATAAAACCCTCTCCTAGTTTATTAAATCATTAAATAATTGTAGCACATATTAGTTTTGATTTTTATTAATTGTGACTTATTTTTTATATGACATAATTGTCAGTCATGAAGCATAACTGCTACGCATTGCAGTAAAAGCAGAAGATTTCTGCTGAATGAGTGCAGGACTGTAATATAAGCTGAAAATCTGTGTGATAAACATATGTATATGATTATTAGTAATATGTGTTGTAATTCAGAGTCAATAAAATTTTCATATTGAAATTATTTATAGGTTTTCAAGAGTAAGTGATAAAGATCTGCATTTTACATAATACTGTATGTTATTTAATTCTGTGGTGTGGCAACCAATCAGAAATATGTACGTACATATTCACACATAAATATGTATTATGTATCTTATATACCACATATTCAATATTGGCAGCCCAACAACAACAAAAAATCTCTGTGATGGCTATTTGATGTGTATAAAGCTAAACATCTGAAAAATAGAAAAGATTAATATAAAACCAAGGTTTAAAGTTTATCATAAATCACATCAAGTTATAGGAAAACAGTGATGAAGAGTGGTCAAAGGCAGGTGATCTGGAGAAAGACTCCCTAGGCTCTGGTTATGGGTCTACACTTAGTGACTACATGACCTTAAGCAAGTTGTTTAACCATCTGGGGTCTCAGTTATCTATAGAATTGAAATAAAAACAATTCTGATATCATCAACAGTTGTTAGCATTAAATGGCTTATTACATGGGAGATACCTAGAACAGACTCTAGATCATAAAATAAAAGCACTACTAGGAGTTAAGTACTAGTAATTAGTATAATGGAATTACTGTACAGAAGTGCAACTATAGAGGGCATGATTATTTAACTGGCCATAACTACTTGTCAGTAAACATTCACTAAATGTCCCCAAGAGTGTAATCAAAGAATCTTAGGAAACATACAGTTGAATTTGCAAATGAGGCAGATGATATAATTAGAAATATACGTTTCTAAATGAAAAGTGTGTTGTTAGGAAATAATAAATCTGCACTGTTTGAATACTGAGTTGAGAAATTGGTGACATTAGAGAAAATGTCCTAGAGGATAGAAATTCCGTATTTTAAGTTGAATCTTCCATTGCAAATACCCGATTCAGCATAATGCTTTGTTTCTGATTAATAAAGTTTCAGACAGAATAAGAAATCTGTAATGGGGTGACCTATAAATATAAACCTGTCATGTTGGAATAGAGTGATCTTAAAGGCAAATGAAACAATGTTAGCTTACAGCTAAACTGGAAAGGGAGAGGAGTTATTGCCTCTGCATATTTGAATGTTTTTAGTCTGTCTAAGTGGACTTGTTTCTGACATCATATATCCGCTATGATTGTAATTTTGCAGCTCTGGGGTGATCCAGGTGTTTCACTTACCAGCTATCTGTCCAAGAAAAAAATATGCTTATCCCGAATTGACAGGATATCACATGTATTTAGTGAAGTTTATCTTCACAGTTGGGCAAGAATAAATAAAACAGCAGTGTAGCCCCTATGAGGATATACTATGTGCTTCAATTATTGGTCCATTATATCACTGGCAGATGTTACATTTTGGTACCTAATGGAAAAGTTTTTGATCAGCAAAACCAATTATTTTGGCATGCAACGGCAATTATCACAATTCTCTTTCAAAAGGATCTGCATGGCTTTATATTACCATTTTTTAGACATAAAATTTTTATGATAATATGCATCAAATAATTGTACCCCAATAGGCCAGTTTTCTAGATGCCAGAGATTTATTTTTTATCATCTATTATTCACATTCTCCTCACACATGTGCCATTAGCTTCACTTTGTAAAGGCTTTTCTCAATATCATGAAAAATAAATAATGTGAGAAATGTATGAAGATTTGGGAGACCATTCCCAGTAATTCAATAGGATCAACTTAATGAAATATTTCATCATAAAGTGTGTTTATAATTGGTACATTTTCCTTGGAGAGGAGCTTTCTAGCTCAAATATCTATCATCTATGATTTATAGCAACTTGGCTTAAAATGATCCACAGTTACATTCATATTAGCACTTGTAAACAGCAGTTTACAAATTAAAATAAATCATCATTCACTTTTGAGGAAGTTAATCTGGGCACAAATGCAGCTAAAGGGTGAGCAACATGATCTCTAATTCTCACACCCAACAACCCATGGTAATCTTTTCTACTCCGTGTTAATATAGCTCTTTGTTATTCCTCTCTCCTAGAATTTATCTACCCTGTTCTTTCAGTATGTCCCTGTTTTTTCTCTTACTAGTTTTAGAATATACCATTCTTAAACCTAAGAACTATAGCCTATTCTTTACTATTTGTTTGGAGTACTCTCAGTGCTTAGTATAGTCATACAAAAAAAAAAAAGCTCTCAATGTTTTCTGGATTGGACTGTGTATGCAGGAGGAATTTCTAAATGAGAAAATGAAAATAACAAAAGTAATGTCCTCCTCGAAGAGTCATCAGGTAGCTCTCTATCTCCCCTGAACTTTACTCAACAATGTCAAAACAGGCTTTTTGATTTCACAACCCTGATATTTTGTCTTTAGATTTATTTCTTTCAAAAGACATAGGAGCTTTACATACTCCAGTATAATGATTCTATGTCTTACCAAATCAAATATGATGTTTAGTAAAAGTTTCATTCATTTCAATGTAATTTAAGAGACACTGCTAAAAAGATATAGTATTACTTTTATATATTAATTGTATATTTGATTGTGGTATTTCTAGCCATTTCTATAAAAAGATTAGAATTAAATCTTGATTCAGATATTTAACTCTTACAGTAAGTTTTCTATGGAAAAGCCAATATTCAGTTTGCAATACCTTTATCTAGACTATAATTTTTTTTCTAAGCAAGAGGATTTTTTATGTATTTTTAAATTATTGTAATGTTTTGGCGATGGAGGAGAGTCTTCCATCATAAAGCGAACAAACAAATATAAATTACCTGCTCTTATCTTCAAATCTCTGACTATCAATCTTGATATGTAAATGGTGACCAGAATGAAAGTTTAAAGTTTAGTGGTCATTCCGCCATACTAGGATGTTAAAGTCTTACTTTATCTTTAAAATGAATTTCATGATATATATTTTTACCCATGAAGCTTAGGGATATTTGAGTTTAGGGTTTTCAGTACTACCTCTAATACATATGTATTTAAGAGGATGAAATAAATTATAAAAGTTACTGAAACCTAGTGGTTATGATTGACACCTCTCACTCTAATGCCCCCAGATATATTTGATTCATCATCAAGTCTTGTCCATTTTACATTTTCAGTATCTTGTAAATCTCTCCACTTTCCTCCTTCTTTACATAACTCTCATTTTTAGGGCATCATCATCTTGCCCTAACATCATCTCTTGTCTGAAATCCTTTAGTGTCCTCTTAATTGCTTTTCCAAAATAAAACCTTAAACATCCTCCAATATGGGTTACAGCAATCTTTTTACTATTGACAAATTGATATATGATTATATCACCTTCCACACCCCTACTTAACAGCCTTCAGTGACTTATCATTGTTTTTAAGGTAAGGCTGAATCTTTAACATAGACAATAAGACCCTTGATATTTCTTAAGCATCCTCTTATATTTCGGCCTTATCTATCACCACTTTTTACCCTTCTCTGGACTGTTCCATTCCCTCTTTAGCCACAGACCATTTGCACATACTGTTTTACACTGTTTGAAACATTCCTCCATGAACAACCCTCTTCCCAACACACACACACACACACACACTCACACTCACAAACACTCACAAACACTCTTTGCCTTTTTAACTTGATTTCATCATTCAGAACTTAGCTTAAGTGCTTTATCCTCCATGACCCCCTCTTCTGGCCTAATTGAGCAAAGCTTTCCTTGTTAAACATTCTCATAGACTACTTATCTCAAGTGGCAATTAAACTTCATTAGTGTAACTAATATGGATCCGTCTTTCCAGAGTATGTCTAAGAACATATGATATGATTTGCTCACAACTGTCTCCCTCACATCCAGCATAGTGCCGGCACATTTGTGAATGAAAGAATGAATGAACAGCTGGTGTATTGTGAAGTCTATATAATTGATAAGCTTCTTGAAAAATGTTTTTAAAAAGTGAACCTTCAGCATGAGCTTGTATTAAGGGAAAAAGGAGTAGAGAGTAGGGGATGGTTTATATCTCCTGCATTACCCTAAGTTGGCACTCAAATAGCATTGAATATAAAAAGAAAGCTAGAAAGCTGCTATATACTTTGAAAGTTCAGATTATTTCAGAATTATTATTGTTGTACTAAATTTGCTAGGCAGATCTAAATTCAGCTGAAATATTAAAAAGTATAAATTTCAATTTAATTATTTGATTTGATGCATAGTTCTTAGTGGGTTTACAGTGTAATAGGCACAACCGCTAAGAAATTGTTGGAAAAAAATATTGCAAATTTTAAAAAATGAGAACACCATAGGGATTTTATATATATATAGTATAATTAACAATCCATTAGATGATCCTTATTTACATTTTTTTACCTTACAAAAAAATTCTATAATTCTTAAGTGGTAGTTGTAAATAGACTGACAATACAAATCTGAAAACTTGAGCACTTAATATGATGATTACAAATGAAATAATCATATTAATCACAATACTTATGGGTATTTTCATTTAATTTTTTTTGAAGATGTTGCTTCATAAAGTAATACTGAAATTCCTCTCTCTTTCTCTACTTTAATTTCATTTGTATATAAAGAAAAAAGAATTATTTTAGTTTAAGAATATGCTTATCTCAAAGATCTTCATAACTTCATGAGTACCTGCCATATGCTAGCCTCTATGATAATGCTCAGAATATAATGCTGAGCAAAGCAGATGGAGTTCTTACTTCCATGGAGCCTGTAGTTTGGTCGAAGTATACATACACGTAGATGGATCAACATAATACACTGACATACACATTATAAAAGGAGATGTTCAATATTATAGGGACACCTAATAAAGTCATTGATTCCAGACTTGGAGCTTTACGGAAGATTTCCTAGAATAAGTGTAAATAAGGTAAAAACAGAAGGATGAATCAGCATTAGGTAGGTGAAAAAGGGAGACATAATATTTTGCTTCTTAATCTGCTCAGGCTGCTATAATAAAATAACATATACTGGGTGGCTTAAACAACATACATTTATTTCCTAAAGTTCTTGAGGCCAAGAAGTCAAAGAGCAGGGTGCTAACATGGTCAGGTTCTTAATGAAGTCCCTCTCCCTGGCTTGCAGATAGCTAGCTTCTTGCTGCGTGTCTACAGGGTGGAGAGTGAGTAAGCTCTGGTCTTTTTCTCCTGTAAGGACATTAATCCTATCTTGAGAGCCTCACCCTCATTACCTCATCTAAACCTATTTACTTCCCAAAGACTCCACCCTGAAATACCATCACTTTGGGGATTAGGGCTTCAACATCTGAATTGGGGTGGGGAGGACATAAACATTTGGTTATAACAGCTTCTATCTTTAGAGGACAGAGGTTTAAGATAGAAACCAAAGCATAGAATGCAAGCACAGCAAGGGTTAGCCTGAGGTTAGAGCTATAATCAAAGACTAGATCATGAACATGCCCTGAAATTCTACTGAGGAGTTTGTACTCTAAACTTAGTAAAACTGGAAACTATTGCATGATTTTAAGTAGGGAAATGAAGTGTTCTGTTAAGAACAAAAGCAATTTGTTAGCAATTTGTTGATAGAGGCAACTTTATAAAATGATAAGAACTGGTGATGAGGAAACTTTGTGTTTTGACTTGCAATTGGTCTTAGCTGCTGGGTGACCTCAAACCATTCACTTTACTTCTCTGGGGTTCAGCATTGTGACAAGAAAGAAGAAGAAGGGATTTACTTATAGATGATCTCTAAGTACCCTGGAACTGCCAGAAAGGCTTTAACAATGAAATATGGTGAGAATGTTTATTATGAGCCTCAATTTTATTCTATGATGTACTTGGAGAGGTAAAATATTTAATTTCAGATCCTCCAAACTAAGAATAAATCTTGGAAGCTTAATAAAAGTAAATCCATGATGTCATTCTCTCTTTACTTACTCCATCCTACCAGAAAAAAAAAAAAAAATACATATTCTGCTTAGCTTTGTTCCAGGTAGTTGAGGTAGTATTAGACATAGCGCGAAAATTATCTGTTTTGGGACCCAAATATTTTGAAAGTTATTTAAATTCTCTGTTCTTGCCTTCTTAATGATAGAAAATCTAGTACATGGTAATGATAAGTCAGATTGTTTTCTAACCATGACTACCCTCACATCACACAAAAACACACACAGAAGGAGGGAGAAAGGAAAGCAGAGAGAAACAGTGACATAAAGAGGAAAGAGGATTTAGCTGTCTCAATAAGCCTTTGGTATTGTATAGTTCTAGACTATGTGCCTATTGTCTGAATTAAAAGAAGTGAGCTTCATTCATTCAACATTTATTGCCTGCTTTTTATCTGCTAGATACTATCCTGACTGCTGGTGATATGTTAACATAAACGTGAAAGGACCTTGTTTCTGGAGTTGAAAGTAAGAAAATAGTAATTCTGTCTCTGAAATTAGAAGAAAGTTTTAGAGATGATATGGTGACTTTTACACCAGATCTTGATGAAAGAATAAGAAACGTTCAGACAAAGAAAATAGGCATTCTTGAAAGAAACGGCAGAGGAAAAGCCATATAGGCAAAAACCAGGAGTTTGCCTTGGGAAATGTTAGACCAGACCAGTTTGATA
Source organism: Homo sapiens (assembly GCF_000001405.40). Classification (NCBI taxonomy): domain Eukaryota; kingdom Metazoa; phylum Chordata; class Mammalia; order Primates; family Hominidae; genus Homo; species Homo sapiens. The sequence continues at coordinate 212,174,959 of NC_000002.12, read as the reverse complement.
TAACTGTAGTTTGGGATGAATTAGGTAGAATGGCAAGAGATGAACCTGTAAATAGTAGACTTAGATCGAATTATAAAATTGTGTATGCAATGCCATGATTTTTTAATTTATCCTTAGTCAACAGCAGCAATTTAAATTCTTTAAGAGAGCGGTGTTGGGAATTGAGGTCCTGTTTATAATACTCCTTTTTCCCATCCAAGATAAGAAAAAACTGAAAGTTGTACTCATGATAGACATCAAAATTATTACTAGATTAAATGTATGAACAAACTAGCTTCCTCATATTTCACCAAACAATAAGTCCCTGTGTAAAGATGAACTGCTTCAAGCAGAAATATGTCCACAAATGTGGTCTTTGGTTCTGTTTTAATCAAGTAGAATGAGTAGCATGGATCTTCAAAGAGGAATCATCCTAGAAGGAATAACACATTTGAACACATCATGCTTTTGTTTTCTCAACTGAAAGGAAGTGCAAGTCCATATTGGGTAATTTGTCACATTTCATATAAATTGGTCCTTAGAAGTTTGATGCTATTCTGAAATAGCATTTAATGTATGTATCTTAACTTGTAGCCTCAGTCCTTTTCCCTGTTGATTGTAAGAGGAATTTAGAGAAAGTTCTCAAAACAGTCATCAGATAGGCTATAGAAATTGATGACTGCACATATTTAATAAACATCTGCCATAATTAACTGAAACCATGAATATAGCATTAAGCTGAAAAATCATAAATGTAGAGAGTATGAAAATCCAAAAATGTCAGATTTTAAAACAGTCACATCATAGAACTCCTTTTTCTCCTTTCCCCTGAAAAATTTTTCATGACTGTTCTTGACATACGTCTCCCTCTAATTTTTATATGTACCTGCAGTTTTCTATCAGTTCAGCTGCAGCAGGAATCTGTCTAATGGCAGACCTTTACTGAGACAGACAGTTAATGGGAACAGTAGCAGCCCTGAGGTGTGTTTATACAGTCAGACTCACTTCCTCTACTTCTGTGATATATGAACTACTTCGGAAGTTTCCCAGCTGTTTCAGTGGATAAATCATAGCAGTAGGAGCTCATATTTAACCTTCACTGTACTGGCTCAATACTTTGTAGTCCTTTTCTTTTATCTCTTTGGCTGTATGCAAGAGATTTCAAACAGACTTGTCCATGTGCAAACGACATTGTTCTCTCTATCTGCTCCCTCTGACCTCCTTTCATCCAGCTCAGGGAAATTCTGATTCTCTTCTGAGGATTTGCCTATATGTCAGTCACAATAAGATCAACACTCTGCTAGAAGTCAAGTGGTTTAAGGATTCATTTCCTGACAATAAAGCAAAATTGCTTCTGTTGGGGAAGGGGTGTTGTGCATGCATTCAGTGAAATCTCCTGGTACACAGTAGATATCGTTATATACCAGGTATTTCCTATTGTTTTAGGGAGCTCTAGCCACAGTCAGTAAATTTTCCTGGGTAATAACAGACCTCAATTTCCCACCACCTTTCCACTGGTTCACTGGGCCCTTCAGGCTGACCTTCTCTTTGTTCCTGGATAATGCTTCAAGGCCTTTGCCTTTGCTACTCCCTCAGCCTGGGGTACTCTTCCCTAGCTGCAGGGCTTACTTCTTTCTGTTTCTGTTGTATGTTGCCTTTTCAGAGTAGTCACCTGTATACCTTATCTAACATAGTATGTCCCTATCCTATTCTTTTTGTGTCCTGGTGATTAATCCTAATTTGTAATTATTTTATTTTCTTTCTTGAATACAAAATCCACAAACATAGGGATTTGTGTTTTGTTCTCTGTGGTTTCACTGGCATACAGAACCATGTCTGGTATAATAAGAGATCAATTAAGTTTTTTAAGAAATTAATGTAGATAAAGACCTTTGTTTTTTAACTTTTCAAAATGAACCCATATTCTACATATGATTCTGCAACTGGATATTTCCCACATAATAATATACATTGACTTTCATTGTGCATTAGTAACTATAGACCTATTTTTTACATTTCCATTGTTTTTAAAATTTCCAACTAAGTTCAGGGATACATGTGCAGGATATAGAAGTTTGTTACATGGGTAAACGTGTGCCATAATGGTTTACTGCACAAATCATCGCATCACCCAGGTATTAAGCCCAGCTTCCATTAGCTATTCTTCCTGACCCCCTCCCTTTTCCCACCAAAACCCTCCCACAAGCCCCAGTGTGAGTTTTTCCACCCCCATTTGTCCATGTGTTCTCATCATTTAGCTCCCACTTATAAGTGAGAACACGTGATATTTTGTTTTCAGTTCCTGTATTAATTTGCTAAGGAACATGGCCTCCAGCTCCATCCATATTCCTGGAAAAAATATGGTCTCCTTCCTTTTTATGGCTGCATAGTATTCCATGGTGTATATACACATATACAAATGTATATGTACATTTTCTTTATCTAATCTGCAATTGATGGAAATGTGGGTTGATTCCATGTCTTTGCTATTGTGAACAGTGCTGCAATGAACATACGCATGCATGTGTCTTCATAATAGAACAATTTATAGTCCTTTGGGTATATTCCCAGTAATGGGATTGGTGAGTCAAACGGTATTTCTGCCTCTAGGTCTTTGAGGAATCACCACAGTGTTTTCCACAATGGTAGAACTAATTTACACTTCTACCAACAGTAAAAAAAACATTCCTTTTTCTCCACAACCTTGGCAGCATCTGTTGTTTTTTGACTTTTTAGTAATGGCCATTCTGACTGGTATGAGATCGTATCTCATTACAGTTTTGACTTGCATTTCTCTAATGATCAGTGATATTGAGCTTTTTTTCATGTTTGTTGGCTGCATGTATATCTTTTTTGAGAAGTATTTGTTCATGTCCTTTGCTCACTTTTTTGGGGGGTTGTGTTTTTCTTGTAATTTGTTTAAATTCCTTAGAGATGCTAGGTATCACACCTTTGTCAGATGGACAGATTGCAAAAATTTTCTCCCATTCTGTAGGTTGGCTGTTTAATCTGTTGATAGTTTCTTTGGCTGTGCAGAAGCTCTTTAGTTTAATTAGATTCTGTTTGTCACTTTTTGCTTTTGTTGCAATTGCTTTTGGTGACTTAATCATTGTATTGGTCTGTTTTCACAGTGCTATAAAGACATATCTGAGACTGGGTAATAAAAGAGGTTTAATTGACCCACAGTTCCTCATGACTGGGTAGGCCTCAGGAAACTTACAATCATGGTGGAAGGCGAAGAGGCGTGTCTTACGTGGCAGCAGGCAAGAGAACTATGTAAAGGAGTAACCATCAAACCCTTATAAAACCATCATATCTCATGAGAACTAGCTCACTATTATAAGAACAGCATGGGGGAAGACACCTACATGATCCAATCACCTTCAACCTGGTCCCTCCTTCAATATGTGGGGATTATGGGGATTACAATTTGAGATGAGACTTGTTGGGGCCCAGAGCCAAACCATATCATTCTGCCCCTTGCCCCTTCCAAATATTTCACATCCGTTTTACATTTCAGAACCAATCATGCCTTCCAAAGAGTCCCCTGGAGTCTTAATTCATTCCAGCATTAATACAAAAGTCCAAGTCCAAAGTTTCATCTGAGACAAGGCAAGTACTCTGCCTATAAGCCTGTAAAATAATTAAAAAAAAAACAAGTTAGTTACTTCCAAGATACAATGGGGGTATGGGCATTGGATAAGTGTTCCCATTCCAAATGGGAGAAATTGGCCAAAACATAGGGGATACAGGCCCCATGCAAGTCTGAAATCCAGCAGGGCAGTCATTAAATTTTAAAGCTCCTAAATAATCTCCTTTGACCCCATGTCTCACATCCACGTCATGCTGAGGTAAGAAGTGGGCTTCCATGAAATTGGGCAGCTCCTCTCCTGTGGCTTTGCAGGTCATATTCCCCCTCCTGGCTGCTTTCACAGTCTGGTGTTGAGTGTGCAGCTTTTCCAGGTGCACAGTGCAAGCTGTTGGTGGATCTATCATTCTTGGGCCTGGAGGATGGTGGCCCTCTTCTTACAGCTCCACTAGGCAGTGCCCTGGTGGGGAATCTGTGAGGGGGTCCAATTTCACATTTCCCTTTCACACTGCCCTAGCAGAGGTTCTCCATGAGGTCTCTACCTGTGAAGCAAACTTCTGCCTGGACATCCAGGTGTTTCCATACATCCTCTGAAATCGAGGCAGAGGTTCCCAAACCTCAATTCTTGACTTCCATGTGCCTGCAGACCCAACACCATGTGAAGTCACCAAGGCTCGGGCAATGACCAAGCAATGGCCTGAGTATATTGGCACCTTTTAACCATAGCTGGGACACAGGGCACCAAGTCCCAAGACAGGCACCCAAGTCCCAAAACTGCAAGGCCTGGGGCCCAGCCTGCTAAACCATTTTTTCCTCCTTGGCCTACGTGCCTGTGATGGGAGGGGCTGCCACCAACATCTCTGAAATGCCCTGGAGACATTTTCCCCATTGTCTTGGCCATTGACATTTGGCTCCTTGTTATTTAAGCAAATTTCTGCAGCTGGATTGACTTTCTCCCCAGAAAATGGGTTTCTCTTTTCTATTGCATCATCAGGCTGCAAATTTTCCAAACTTTTATACTCTGCTTCCTTTTTAAACATAAGTTCCAATTTCAGATCAAATCTCTCAAGTTCAAAGTTTTCCACATCTCTAGGGCAGGGGCAAAATGCCACCAGTCTCTTTGCTAAAGCATATCAAGAGTGATATTTGCTCTTGTTCCCAATAAATTCCTCATCTCCATCTGAGACCACCTCAGCCTGGACTTCATTGTTCATATCATTGTCAGCATTTTGGCCAAAAACCATTCAACAAGTCTCTATGAAGTTCCAAACTTTTCCATAGTTTCCTGTATTCTTTTGGGCCCTCCAAATTGTTCCAACCTCTGCCCATTACCCAGTTCCAAAGTCACTTCCACATTTTTTGGTATCTTTATAGCAGTACCTCTCTCCTAGTACCAATTTACTGTTTTAGTCCATTTCACACTGCTATAAAGACATACCTGAGACTGGGTAATTTATAAAGAAAAGAGGTTTAATTGACTCACAGCTCCACATGGCCGATGAGGCCTCAGGAAACCTACAATCATGGAGGAAGGAGAAGAGGCAAGTCTTACATGGCAGCAGGTGAGAGAGAGCTGTGTGAAGGAGAAACCATCAAACTCTTGATAAATCATCAGATCTCATGAGAAGTCACTTACTATGACAAGAACAGCATGGGGAAAATCACCGCCATGATCCAATCACCTCCCACCTGGTCCTTCCCTTGAGATGTCGGGAATTATGGAGATTACAATTTGAGATGAGATTTTGATGGTAACACAGAGCCAAACCATTTCAGTCATGAAATCTTTGCCTGCATCTATGTCCTGAATGGTATTGCCTAAGTTTCCTTCTAGAATTTTTATAGTTTTAGATTTTACATTTAAGTCTTTAATCTGTCTTGAGTTGATTTTTGTATATGGTGTTAGGAAGAAATCCAGTTTCGATTTTCTGCATATGGCTAGCTAGTTCTCCCAGCATCATTCATTAAATAGAGAATCCTTCCCCCATTGCTTGTTTTTGTCAGGTTTGTCCAAAATCAAATGGTTGTAAGTGTATGTATAAACTTATTTTTTTAAATCTGAATATTATTATACTATATGGATTTCCTATACTTTACTAATTCAATTTTCTGTTGATAAGTAGGCAAGATTTTTCTTCTTTGTGAGGAATGTATCTTTATTAAAATAAATATTTTTGTACATATTTCTTTACGTACTCATACCAACATTTCTATAGAATAAATTTCAAAAATTGGAAGTCCTAGGTCAAACAGTATGTGAACTTAAAGTCTTTTAGATAATAAATTTCATTTCAAAATGAAAGCAATGATTTGCATATTCTCCAAGTATAAATGACTATACCTTATTCCTCACGTCTTTACCATCACTGAATAGCATCAGAATTTAAATACTTTATCTATTTATAGGTAAAATTGTTTATCTCATTTTATTTTGTCACATATGATGGTAGTTGAGGTCTAAAATCTTTAGGTACTTCTATTTGATGAAAATACAAAACCTTTAGTCTGACATTTAGGTTACATTACTGTAATTCCAACCTCAACTCTATCATTCTTTACAAAGATTCTGTGCTTCAGGCATGGGCCTCATTAGCAGCACAAGTCCACTTGATCATTTCTGTGCTTTGCAGTTTTCTCTTACCTGAATGTCCTTTATTTTTCACTATTTTTCCTGAAATCCTAGCCATTTGTCAAACCTGGTTCAAATGTCATGTGCTACATGAAGCCTTCTGGGATAAGCCCTGTTGAAGCTAGTTTTTGTTTTTCTTCATCTATTGCGTTAATTTTCCCTCCACAGGGTACTCGTATCCTAATTTGCTGATATATCTAATTTTACCTACTGGATTTTAAGGTCCTTAAGAATCTGGAATTATGAAATGTATGTCTTTCTCTCCCACAGCTCTTAGCATGGTGCCCTCCATTAGAAACTGTCTCTTGAAGAAAGAGTGCATGCATGCATGTCTAACACTGCCCAGTACATAAATAAGCATCATTGAAGAAAAGAGATGTCATGCAAGAAGAATAATTCTAATGAAAACAAATTGGCATTCATTTCATAGAACACACTGTATACGAAACTCATTTAAATCTGCAAAGAGGAAATATTTCTTTTCCTTTACTCTTGAAAAAATCAAGCCTAAAATTACTCCAGTGTATTCCCCCAGGAATTTAGGAATGCAAAAAGGAAAGATTTCATTTATAAAAAAGAAAACAGTTTAAGTGGCTGCTGCTTAAGTAGAAGTAATTTTAAAGACTTGATTTTCACCAGTTTTTCCAACAATAGAGATTTAAAAGGGAAATGAGACAAGTTTTTTTTTTTTTTTAATTTTAATTTCAGTTCCTGGATACATATGCAGAACGTGCAAGTTTGTTACATAGGTATACGTGTGCCATGGTGGTTTGCTGCACCTATTGACCCATCCTCTAAGTTCCCTCCCCTCATTCCCCACACCCCAACAGGCCCTGGTGTGTGTTGTTTCCCTTCCTGTGTCCGTGTGTTTTCATTTTGCAACTCCCACTTATGAGTGAGAACATGTGGTGTTTGGTTTTCTGTTCCTGTATTAGTTTGCTGAGGATGATGACTTCCAGCTTCATTCATGTCCCTGCAAAGGACATTATCTCATCTTTTTTATGGCTGCATAGTATTCCATGGTGTATATGTACCACATTTTCTTTATCCAGTCTATCATTGATGGGCATTTGTGTTGGTTCCATGACTTTGTTATTGTAAATAATGCTGCAGTAAACATACGCATGCATGCATCTTTACAGTAGAATGATTTATAATCCTTTGGGTATATACTCAGTAATGGGATTGCTGGGTCAAATGGTATTTCTGGTTCTAAATCCTTGAGGAATAGCCATACTGTCTTCCATAATAGTTAGAATTAATTTATATTCCCATCAACAGTGTAAAAGTGTTCCTATTTCCCCACAACCTCACCATCATGTATTGTTTCTGGACTTTTTAATAATTGGCATTCTGAGTGGCATGGGATATTATCTCATTGTGGTTTTGATTTGCATTTCTCTAATGATCAGTGATGTTGAGCTTTTTTTCATATGTTTGTTGGCCACGTAAATATCTTCTTTTGAGAAGTGTCTGTTCATATCCTTTGCCCACTTTTTGATGGGGTTGTTTTTTTCTTGTAAATTTGTTTAAGTTCCTTGTAAATTCTGGATATTAGACCTTTGTCAGATGGGTAGATGGTACAAATTTTCTCTCATTCTGTAGGTTGCCTGTTCACTCTGATGATAGTTTCTTTTGCTGTGCGGAAACTCTTGAGTTTAATTAGATCCCATTTGTCAATTTTGGCTTCTGTTTCAATTGCTTTTGGTGTTTTTGTCATTAAGTCTTTGCCCATACCTATGTCCTGAATGGTATTGCCAAGGTTTTCTTCTAGGGTTTTTATGGTTTGGGGTTTTACATTTAAGTCTTCAATCCATCTTGAGTTAATTTTTGTATAAGGTGTAAGGAAGAGGTCCGGTTTCAGTTTTCTGCAGATGGCTAGCCAGTTTTCCCAGCACCATTTATGGAATAGGAGATCATCTCCCCATTTCTTGTTTTTGTGAGATTTGTCGAAGATCAGATGGTTGTAGATGTGTGGTGTTATTTCTGAGGCCTCTGTTCTGCTCCATTGGTCTATATGTCTGTTTTGGTACCAGTATCATGCATTTTGGTTACTGTAGCCTTGTAGCATAGTTTGAAGTCAGGTAGCGTGATGCCTCCCGTTTTGTTCTTTTTGCTTAGGGTTGTCTTGGCTGTACGGGGTCTTCTTTGATTCCATATGAAATTTAAAATAGTTTTTTTTTTTTCTAATTCTGTGAAGAATGTCAATGGTAGTTTGATGGGAATGTCAATGAATCTAAAAATTACTTTGGGCAGTATAACCATTTTCATGAGACCGATTCTTCCTATCCATGAGGATAGAATGTTTTTCCATTTGTTTGTGTCCTGCAAAATGAGACAATTTTGTAGAAGTGTTTTGTTAATGTAAAATACTAAACAAATAGGTTATTGTATTCATTTCAGCAGCACAGTCAACCAAATGAATTTCCAACCATATTAGTTTGAAATATTCTCATCTAAATCTGTAGTGAGAAGAAGCATATCCTCAGTGATTTCCAGACTGGTAAAATAAGATCCCTAATAATAAAGCTGAGTGTAATATCAAAGATGGATCAGAACTGATCTGTAAGATGCCAAAGGTCAGGGACTGTGTCTATTTTCTTTAAAATAGTTTATTTAGTGTCTAAAGGAGAGTAGCTGCTTAGCCAATATTTGTTGAACCAAACTAAATTTGGGGCAGGACTAAATAGAATTTGAAAAAAAAATGATTGTGATGTTATCAGAGCACAACTTTCTAAAATGTAAATAAGAATTATGTCACCAAAACAATAGATCTATGTTATCAGTACATATTGTTGTAACATAGTTACTATTTTGCAAATACAGTTTTTGATTAAAGCAAAAATTAAAGTGTTATGAAAAAAAATTAGTTTAAAATAATAGAAGAATTTAGTTTGTTCATATGTGACAGTTGGCATTGTGTTCTGTTTTATGTAACAGAGAATCCAACTACAGAAGTTTAACCCAAAAATTGTTTATGTTTTCCACTAACAAGCAGTTAAAAGGTGTGCAGTCCAGGGCTGGTGCAGTTGCTCATGGATGACTTTAGAAAATTTCCTTTTAATATTTCTATGGTTGCTGCACATTCAATGTGATGTCCACATTGATGGTATAAAGATGCGGGAAGGATGAAATAAATTTTAAGGATGTGTCAGCCAATTCTGTGGTATTTTATCAGGAAAAAGGAAAAGAAAAGAAAAAAGCTTTCTTAGAAGCTATTATGAACAGCCCACTTCTTCTATCTCACTGGCCAGAGGAATGACATCTCCCTGATTTGTTGAGATCAGTCACTATTTATCCTTTGGGGTATATGAAAGGATTTACCCTCTCTGCAAATCAGAGATTTTTTCATTACCCTCAGGGCTGGGATTATGGTGAAGTGAGTGAGACATTTGCCTCTGATGTAGAATTTACGGGGGTGCCAAAAATCTCAGTAAATATATATATATATTAATGCAAAAAATTTAAAAAATGACATTGATATTAAAAAATTCATGATGAATAAGATACCAAAAACTCTAAGTAAAGAAAGAATCCCACTCGCAACTTGCATGACTCATTGAACCAGTTTCATCTTAATCCTAGCTGATTACCTGACCAAATAAAGGTTCTTTTATTAGGAATGAAATAGGAAAATTCAGGTGGGTGATGAAGGAACAAGACAGGAGGGACGGATGTTAGTGAGGGGATGGACAAAGTCGACCGCAGCATGTTTGACTAACCACAGTTAATTAAAAAAATGGTCTTTTATTTTCTTCATGTTTTCTTTGAAGTTACTTGACAATTAAAAATGCGAAAAAGAAAAATTTCTTCAAAGTCAAGTTTGTCCATAAGGGCAAGTAGTTCTTAATAGTAGATTACATCACTTAAATAATAGTATACACACTCAAGCACAAGCAAAATGGATGCAGGTTCTTTATTCAAAATGATCAAGGCAAAATTAAATTTTATCAAAAATTAGAACTTCATCAAGTTTAATTCTTCTTTAAAGAAATGACAAGAGGTTGAAAATAGGCAGAAAACCATTTTTCAATATTTTTCAAATTGTCTGAGATGAAAGAAAAAAGGGATTATTTACCTAAAAATCAAAATGAGGAATTGCATCAGACCTATCTGATGGATAGATAGACGCTTAACAGCAGGAAGAAATAATATTTATTTATTTATTTTCCCAAAATGGAGTCATATTTAGTCACATCTTTTTTCCTTCCCCCCTTTTTTGTTTGTACAGTATTTCAAAGTTAAGGATACATTGTATTTAAATATAAAATTATTTTTGCCAGGTGAGAAACCTCTACATTAGCACTTTCATTAGAAATATGAAGGCCACAAATCTAATTTTAAGTTTTTTACTAGCCACATTAAAAATAATGAGCAGATAAAATTAGTTTAGTAATATACTTGGATTAAATATGTCTAAAATATTAAAATGTTGTTTTCGATACTTTATATTTTGTTGTTTTTTTAAAAATATCATACGTCTTTGAAATCTGATATATGTATATCTTATACTTAATAGCACATATCAATTCAGACTAGCCATATGTCAAATTCACATGTGGCTAGTGGCTACTGTATTGGACAGTGCAGCGCTATATGTGTCTAACTTTAACCTTTGTTATATGTCTAACATCAGCCTATTTGATATCAAAAATTGTTCAGGCCAGGCAAGATGGCTCACACCTATCATCCCAGCACTTTGGGAGTCTGATACAGGAAGATCACTTGAGCCCAGGAGCTTGAAACCCAGCCTGGGCAACATAGGGTGACCCCATCTTTACAAAAAATAAAAATAATTTAAAAAATAGCTAGCATGGTGGTATATACCTGTAGTCTCAGCTACTTGGAAGGCCAAGACAGGAGAATTGCTTGAACCCAGGAGGTTGAGGCTGCAGTGAGCTGTGATTGCATCACTACACTCCAGCCTGGGAGACACAGTGAGACCCTCCCTCAAACAAAAACAAAAAATTGATCAGTATGTCATGCACAAAAGGTCTTTTCTAAAAATATGGCATTAATACTGATCTGGAAAGGCACAAGCTATATAAAAGCACCATAATCTTATTTGTATAACTGGCTTTTAATGGTAGAACTCCAGTGACAGGAAAGGCACAATGCTGAATTGCTTCAATTTTTTCATGTGCCACCTGAAATTATATTAGCTGACATGACTCAGTAAAAATTATTCATTATTCTAAGAGCCATTATCAGTTTATTACAGACTAATCAATAGAATTCTCATTACCTGTTCTAAGATTTTTAAAAGTAAACGTCAATTCTTTATGTGTTAGATCAAGAGTTTAGTTGCAGACTCCTTTAGAACACCAGCAAATGGCTCTAGGCTTTGCAGCACTGACTGGGTTAAATTAATGGAAAACAATGTTTTGTTTAGTTCCTTCACCCTTATTAATGAATAGTGCCTTTATATCATTTATGTTTTTTCAATTGTCATATCCTGTGAAAAGAAAACCTTGGAAAAACACAGTTTTGGGTGATGGGAAACCTAAGAAGGAAATAACATGAAAGATTAGAAAGTATATATACATACACACACAGATAGGTAGCATTTAGGGCTCATTTGTTTCTTAGCATATTGATATTAAATTTGATGGACAGGAAGGTACAAAGCAAAAAACATGCCATAAAATTGGTTAGGATTTTTTTCTCATAGATAAGAGATTCTCTTATTCTGAGAGTCCAACAGAAGGAGAGAAACTGAATTATTACCTAGTTTGAAATTGAAGAAGAATGCTGATGTGAGTAAAAAAGTTTGGCATTCCTGTTCTCAAATGCTACCCAAAAGACACAAAAAGAAATCTTTTGAGAAGACCAAGAGAACTACTTAAGAGCTGCTTTGCTGTTACTATAAAATTGTTTACCTGAATTTCAAAAGTATTAATTCCTTAATTCATAAGATTAGAAGGTAAATCAGATTGCAATTTACCCCAGCATTTTATTGTGAAACTTACTAAACAGAGCAAACTTGAAACAATATATCCATCATTTAGCTTTAACCATTACATTTTATTGTACTTGTGCTATCACATTTCTCCTCATTATTGCCCTCTAACCATTATCCTGTTTCATTTTTTGTACATTAAAACATGAATTGCAGAAATCAGAAATGTAGAAATACATTAGCTTGCATACTACTAAATAAAGTTCAGTATCTGATTACAGCATTTTCTTTTGACGTAAAATTTATATACAATTTATTGTACAAATCTTAAGTGCATATTCACTATGTTTTATCAAATACATGCAATTGTGTAGTGCAAATACTTATCAAGATATAGACATCATGTCACCTACAAAGTTCCCTCATGTCCCTCACCAGTGTGTCTCCCTCACTTCTCAAGATAAACACTATTTTAATTTTTTGGACCAAGATTAATTTTGCCTGTTCTAGAATTTTATTTGAATTCAAATCATACACTATATACTTGTATATAAGACTTTTTCAAAGATAATGTTTTTAAGGTTTATCTATGTTGGTGCATGTATGAGTAATTTGCTCCTTTTCATTCCTAAGTAGTATTGCATTGCATGAATATATTATAATTTATTTGTTAATTTTCCCTTTGATTTATACCTAGGCTGTTATTTATAATGTGCTATGAATATTGTTGCATATGTCTTTTGTGTACATAGGTTTCACTTTCTTGAGTAAATACCAAGAAGTAGAATTGCTGGGTTATAGAAGAGATGTAGTATTTGGGTTTATGTGAAATTAGTAGACTATTATTTCCCAAAGTAATTGCAACACTTTATATTCTCACAATATATAACAGTGCTACTTGCTCTGGATTTTCACCATCACTTGCTATTTATTGTCATTTATGAACTGATGAAAAATGGAAGCAAAGATTAATAAGGAATTTTTAGATCATATATGTTATGATAAAAATTAGTCCCAATTCATAGGAGAATATTTTTATCACCACGTTACACTTCTTACCAAATGTTAAGATTTAGTAGTGGTTTTGTTCATGTATTTTGAATTCTTATACTATATATGGTCATATAACTCAAAGGACTAGTGTACTGCCAGATGGTAAATAATAAGCACTTTCCTTATAATTTCATTCAAAATTTACTTTAAATATAAGTTGTCTTTTCCTTATCTAAAAGATAGTTGATGAAAAAGGAGTAGAAGTTGATCCTTTAAGAACTGTAGATTTTTAACAATATGAAGCCTTTGAGGTAGAAAGGCTTAAGACATAAACTCCTAATACAAAAGGTTTTAGAGTTTAGCAGAAAACTTTTCCTGCTCTTTCATTTTAATCATTATATCTGCATCAACCTATGGGAGAAAAGGAGGCATTATGAATATGAAGGAATTATCCTGATATCATTTCACAAGGTAGCTACTCATGTCTAGAGGCAAAGATAATTGAAAATTTAGGCAGATGGGTGTGGTAATAATTTCTAGTAAAGTTAATTATGTTAGTATGGGGACACTTCATAGTGAAGTATTAATAAAGGAAATTACATAGAAACTTCTTTGTACTCAATGAATATTAAATATGAGGATAGATGAGTGAAAGAGACTGTACAGATATATTTTGATCTGATCTCAATTGTGTGGCTGATGAAGATTAAAGACTTTTTGAGTTGTTATTGTTATTTGTGCTCCTATTTTAAGCAGCCTTCCATCTTTTAATGCTAAAACTCTAGCATTATAAGCTTGTGGAGATGACATATTTATGAATATTTATGGGATATTAAACATATCACTTTTCAGTGATGCATATTTTTCTTTCTAATTTTATTTCACTCTACTTTGTTATCATTTGCAGTGCTTCTTTGGCAATTTGTTACCTGTCTTTTGAGTTTGTACTTTCAAATATACACACAGTCATAATGGCTTCTGAGATCAAGCGCTTCCCCTTCCCCAACCTACCCTCAGTGAGAGCTACATTTGTGCGGATATCTCACAAAGGTGAAAGTATCAATTAAGAAGAGATCATCAGGTGTCAGGGAGCCTTAGGCTTTGGTAGGAAATAGCCAGCCAAGTAATTTGATTAACAGAATTCATGAAGAGTTAAATTCTCTAAAAAAAGAAAAGCGCTAAGACCTAGACACATGAATTTTCAGTAGAATTTGGCATTGGATGCACATCCCTCTTCTTCTAAGAGGAACATATAGAATACTAAACTGTAACCACACCATGACTGCGTCATAAAAATGTGGGCATAGAGACAATGGGACATAGAAAACAGCCATTTTATTTTTCATTGTTTTCATTCACACTGATATACATTTATAAGACTTTTTGTGTGTGTGATACAGATTTTAAAAAAAGGTTTTATTTAACTATGGAGGACTTGTGGATAGAGTTCACCCTCTTTACCAGGAAATAATAAAAGTGAGTGTGGTATAGGGACAATTATGAGCCACTTGATTATAAATAATTTCTTCACTTTTTATTTTTAAATAGGCACTGGCCACCTCTCTCTTCCTTAGTGGTTACCTTTCTGAGTTTACAGCTATCATACAGGCTCCTGCAAGCAAGGGGACAAGCCTGAAGCATCCAATCCAGGGTTCCTTATGCTTACTGTGACACTAATTGGTTCTTGTCTTACCTGCGTAAGTTGAACCCAAAGTTCATAAGAAATATTCACCCTTCTGAGGAAAGGGTTATGCTAAAATCAAGAATAGGGGTTTAGCCGGAGAATAGGATGATTAATGACAAGAGGAGAGAAACTGAATAGTTTGAAGACAACGCATTTGGGCTTGCCATGGATTTGTCTTGAGAAACCTGTTGTAAAGAAAGGAGGCCAAGTTAAGTTTTTGGACTTAGACTAACCCTAAAAATAATGTTTTTCCTTTTCCAATATTGTGTACATTTTCAGTTTGTCAGTTTTATAGAGTAATTAAGAAAAGTATATTAGCCATTTATCACATTTTTAATGATAAGTTTGGCTCTAGGTATGTAAGATCCTTGAATATGGATGTACGTAGCATTTCAGAACAGTGTCAGCAATTGCTGGATTGGAAAATAGTACTAGTAAAATGATTTTAATTTCATCTACTAATTTAAACTGGTTGCCTTGCTTTCTTCAAGCAGTGTGGTCTTTTTTTTAATTGTGCAGGCTTTCATTAATGCACCAGTGAGGATGAAAGAAAACAATTCATTTATGTAATTGCAACTAGCCTGTCATACCCAACTTGGGAAAGCAGCAACTCCCACAGCATGAGGTCCACATTATGCAACCCAGGCTGGCATTTAGATGAGTTCCTTTTTGTTGAAAATATATGAACTTCTAATTATTTTAAATGTATAAGTAATACATATGTAAATCTACATTATACGAATGTAAAATCTGTTTTAGTTAAGAAGTAAATCCACAGTAGCAATTTAGTTGTCCATTTTAGACATTGAGAAAGTGTAGGCATCAATAATAAGGAAATACTTGAAAGATAACAAAGTCACGGAATTATATATGATTCTGGTCTGTATTAGCTATCTGTTTCTATCCAAAAAAAAAAAAAAAACAAAAACACACACCACGGTTTACTACCTTAAAACAGCAAACACTTATGATCTCACAGTTTCTGAGGATCAGGATCTGCAAGTGGCTCAGCAAAGTGTTTCTAAGTCCATGTGTTTGTGGAATAAATACTTAATTCTCTTATTGACTGATTTTTACTCTTTCGTAAACTTTCCAAGATGAAAAACCTTCCAAGGTGCATTCTTCTTACCTGCCTACTCAAAAACAACATATCGACCACATTTCAATGATTTACTCATCATGTAGACTCTTTATTAAGAACATTATCAATATTATTTAATGATCAAATAGTGATATAGTCCTGATCTCTAGTTTTCCCCTACATTAATATTCTCATTCCACTCTGTATGCTATAATATTGTATCTACCCTTTGCATATCTTGCTCTCTCTTACATTCTTAGCTTTTTGACAGGCATTTCTTATTCTTGTCATATCATCATTCCTAAGCAAACCCTCCCTCAAAACACACATCCTTCATCTCATATTGACAGATATTTAATGAGCCTCTGCTGAGTTGTGGACTTGGGCTAGCTCGTGGTGGACACAAAAGTGAATTGCACATTGTCTCTTTCCTTAGAGAATACACTGTTTATTTATTGGGGATGTGAGTGGCCCAGAGAGACATGATTACTTAATAAAGTCATTAATAATTTGGTACAAAATATAATGAGGTCCAAAAAGATTATCTTTTTGAGCGAGTCAGAGATATCTCTTCAGAGTAGGAGATATAAGATATTGAAATTAAAAGATGGATAGATAGGGACTTTTGGGTAGATGAGAAGGGGTAGGGAACTTTTGGTAAAGGAAGTAATATGTGCACTTCACAGAGGTCTTATAAGAACGTGGTTCATTTTAAGTATTTCCAGTATAGTGTGGTGGGACTTTGGGGATTAGGAAACAGTGAGGTCAAGAGATGGGCATTTCACAAGTTGGTAGCTAGTGAGATAGGTTGGAACTAAATGTTTCATGATTTATATAGTAAAAAGCTTCAGCATGTGTGCTCATCTGACCATTTGTGGTTCACTTCTATTTTTGCATTTGCTATCCATGTGACTTTGGGCAAGTTGCTTAATCTTGCTTTTCTTGTCTGCAAAATGGATATAATATTGTTTGCTTCCTAATTTGTTCAAAGGATTCAGTGAGACAAATGCAAAACACTTAGCACAGGGACCAGACTCAGTAAGTGTTCGGCAAATATTACTTTTATTATCACTATTATTAATTTATCCCAAGGATTATACTATTTGTCCTGTAGTTCAGAGGAGCCTATCTCAGTTGTATAGGCAACATGGTGACAGAATCAGATTTGTGTATTTAGTTTCACTGACAACAGTGTCAAGACTGTTAAGAGCAGGCTTCTTTCCCCTCTGGTCTTCTTACCTCCAGTCTAAGTGCCTACTAGTCCAAAGACTTAGGAAGAGCTCTGGCTTAAGTAGAAGATAGTCATGTATTCATTCATTCATTAAACGAATATTTCCTGAGCCCTATTTTGTGCCAGGCACTAAACAAAGTTTCTATACATGTGGATTTATTCTACTGAATAAGACTTATCAATTGATAAACTTCATAAACAAGCTTCTTATTCTTAACTTACTAAAGCATAGTTTTAGTTTGTAATGAGAAATATTAGATAGACATCAGATACAGAATTAATTTTCTTACTGGTTTCAAAAAAACCCAGTCTTTTTTTCCTTTGAACAGTAATATGTTTACAATACCTAAAAATGATTTTGCTGTAAGTAAATATAAAATGCTTTCAAAAAGAACTATCCTGGGTTTAATCTCAGATTAAGTACAATAACTATGTTGTAGTGACATAAATCCTGCTGGTTAATTCAATTAATTCAACAACAAACATGCAAATACAGTCTGATCTAATAAATACAATAAAAAGGGTAAGTATTGAATACTAGGCCCACACTCAGAGAGGCCATCTCACCCCACTTAGAGGTGCCAGGGATAACATCCCACAAGAGACATCAGCTGAGGTTAGTCATGCAAATAGATCATTCTAGTCAGAGGGAAAGCATGTGCCATGGCCCAGAAATGCTGGGGAAAACGTCAGTATATGTGAAGTCTGTAGTGTGAGGGGTAGTGCTAAAGCCAGAGATGTAAACCAGGTCCTGAAGGTCTGATATGCCATTTTAAGAAGTATGGTATGTAGTCTAAGAGCTGTGGAATTCCATAGACATGTTTTTGCAGGGGAATGACATCAAGACATGCATTTAATAAATTATTTTGATGAACATATGGAGAAAAGTTTGGAGACAAACAGGGTTTAAGCACAGGAGACCAGTTAGGAGTCCATTCCTGTAATTCTAGCTAAAATAATGATGGTCTGAACTAACCTAGTAGCAGTGGGCCTACGGGAAGTGAATTACTTTCACGGATATTAGGGAGATAGAAGCAACAGGACTTAGTGATCTATTTGATGAAGGAGAGAAAGGAGGCCAGTGTGTCTCTGTCTTGGACAACTGATTGGATGGAGGTTCATACACTAAGCTAAGGAACTAGAAGACAGGCAAGTTTGAAAGGAAAATATCCTGTTACTGAAAAAGTGACAAATACAAGAACTTATATTTGCTCACTTTTACCAAAAAAGACAATGAAAAATACAGAAATGCTGTTTCAACAGTTCAGAAGGATGCACAATCAACAGTGATTTTTCCTTGTCTTATGTTGAAGATCATATTGTGGTTTAAAATATTTGAATACTGAATACAATTATAGGCTTGGTTGGGTATGCGTGCTTCCCCGCCTCGGGCTGACAATTTTTGATGTCTGTGCTGACTGATACAATTTGGAGGGATGAACCGAATTATTTTCCTATCCACCACTTCTATTTATACAGAAATTACACTTGACTGTAGTGACACTAATCATGGCAGAACTGATCAAATTCAGCTCCCCTGCTGATGAACTGGGTCAATAAGTCATTCATGACTGACAGGTGTTTCTGTTCCTGCTTTCCTTTCCTTTTTTTCCCCCACTTTTAAACACATTGGAATTTTATAAGCCACTTTTCTTTACGCTCCCACATATATGTCCTTTCAGAGGAAATGTCAGGGAAGGTTTATTTGATTCAGAGACACAGCTTTCATTTAGCTCTTTCTACTCTTTCCTTCTCCCTCTGAATGAGTACAAGACCCAGGAGAGCTGAGACAGGGGTTCTTGACTTTGTGTGTGTCACAGACCCTTATGCTTGTCTGGTGAAGCCTGTGGGCCCCATCCAGAAACATATTTAAAAATACATCAAATAAAATGCATGAGATTACAAAGGAAGCCAGTTATATTGAAACACATTTGTTGAAATATCATTAAAATTTTTTTCTGATATTGTAATATATGTGTTCTTTTTATAATTAATTAAAAGCTCTAGCAGGAAATTTAATAACTAATATAATTTCAAAGTAGCCATCAATGTCAATAATATTTTGCAATAGCTTCAACTGTAATATAGGAAAATATCTGTGATTATTTATTGATGACACACAGATATCTAAAACTACTCTGATTTGTCAGCTACATTCATAACTGATGGGAATGATAAATTTCAATCAGAGTTCAGTGAAAATGAAGGTGTATTTTTTTCCCATCTCAAGCTCACGGACCCCTGAATTCTGTGGTCGCCGTTTAAGAACCTCTCGCTTCTTGGGTTACAGTATGCATGATAATTATTTGGAGAACTTGTTAAAATGCAGAATTATGGGTGCCGCCTCCACCCCCAGAAGATGCTGACTCAGAAGGTCTGGGGCGGGGCCAGAGAATATATATTTTAAACATATACCTGAAATGTGATTCTCATAAATCTTGTTCTAGAATCATCTTTTGAGAAATAAAAGCTTAGAATATAGAATAAGATTTGCAAAGACATTGGGGTGTGGGATATGACTATTAGATCATTATCCTTGTGTCAACATTCCAACTTTTGAACTTTTTTATAATAATTATTATTTAAATAAATATATGTTATACATACAGTATTTAAAATGTGCATAGAATATTTTGTGTGGGTAAATAATTATGAGTTATTATTTGTCGCATCAACATTTTTCTCTGAAAGACAGACTTTTTTCTTAAGACAAGCTTTAAATAAAACATTTGACAAAATATCACTAAAGCGTAGCAAGTGGTAATAATCATAAATGTAATGCAGTGTAGTCCTGTGACATTGAAATCATTTCAGTAATTTTACAGTACATTTGAATTGCGGCACCATTCATCCGCTGAGTTTCCATTAACTTTGCTTAAAATCTCTCTGTCCACAAAGAAGCACCAGTGTCAAGTTTCTCCTTCATGCTCAGAGACCTGGCTTGAATCACAATTCTGCAGAAGATAATTGTTATTAATTAAAACATTCCTATCAGGCTGTGTTTTGTTTTAATGCATATTGAACAGGTTCATAACCTCTGCTGTCTTCATTATTGGAAAAGAAAAATAAGAGAGTACTGTTTTTTAACTCTCCCCAGCTCTCCTGGGGTTTCCCTGATGTCATTGAACAGGCTTTTTGATTGGTTGATACCTTTTAAAAAAAGAAATAAAGGCACAATATTATAACACATTGCAGAGCAGGCTCATTATTGTCAAATTAGATTCACTGACCTTCACTGCCACTTGCAGGGAAGAGACAGGCGGCATATCAAGGACGGTTTGCAGTGAGTAAATCCACACTAAGTGCCACTCAACAGTAACTAGCCTAGACATGTCTTTGTGCTATTTTAACATGTCAGTTTTTAAACTCCTAGCATATTAAATACTGTGATACATAGATTCAAGTGAGTAATATTTACAGAAAACTATGCACATATGTTTTTATCAAAATAAATTTTATTCCAAAGGACACCTCCCCAGTGTGTGTGTGCCATTTGTAGATAAAATCCCCAGCTTCCTTAATTTATAGAAAAATCAATAATTTCCTTGTATATTAAGGCAGGGCTGGCATGGTCAAAGTTTGTTGTTTAGCTTAAAATATGTGTATATCCTTTAAGCCATGTGAATCATTTTCTTCCTTCTCTGTACACAAGTTATTTCCCTTTTAACTTGGTGTAAAGACAGAGGAGACAACTCTTAGTAGAATTGCAGTTGCTGAAAGAATTCATTCATTCATTTGCCCATCAATGTTTTTCTGGGCTTAATAAATGCCAGTCATTGTTCTAGAAATAATATCATAAAGAGATTCCTTTCTAGCTGTTGTATGGGGTAGGGGGCATATACGAGGTATTGTTAGATATTTGAAGCAATAGGTCACTGATAATTCTTAAATATCAAATGACTGTGTTTTAAAGTGAACCATTTTCCATACGTACTTAACCTCTTGCTATGAGGTTAATAGTTACAGTTTCATAATCTGCCTTTTTTAAAAAACTGGGATAGAACAGCATTTTTACTGGGATAGAATAGTCTGTGAGGTTTCATATATAACATTCGCACATTCTAATTCCTATATGATGTTAGAATGAAACTTCACTGGAACTAGAAAGTGCCACAAAATATATGGTAGAAGGCATAAAAGCTCTGTGTCACATGGTTGTAGCATATTCATGCGTGCAAATTATAATATTAGGTTAGCACAAAAGTAATTGCAGTTTTTGCCATCACTTTCAATGACAAAAAACGCAATTACTTTTGTAATAACCTATGGTTGAATTTAAGAGAAATAAAACAACAATATGCGGTGTTGGCTATAACACACTGTATTTTCCTTTCCATGAGATTTATTGTACTCTGTCTCAGAATGTGTCTAAGTGTCCTACTTAGACACAATTATTTACATATGATTGTGTATGTTCTGTGTTTCAGAGAATATGGAGTTTATTTAAAGTCAGTAAGTAGCCACTGAAGGATGTTTCTGGGCATTCTGTTTGGCAAGCTTGCAGGAGTAGAGAACTTTGTCCTATTGTCAGTCTTGTGTTCTTACTCACTTTGTGAAACAACTCCTTTACCTTTGGGCAGAAGGACTTTTGGCTATGGAAAGTTAATATGGGTTTAAAGTACAGGGAACCTGGATGAGAAAAAATTGGTATTTTGCCAAGATTTATTTTTTGAAATGCCATATTTATAGAGAAGATGCAAATGACGATGAAGCTTAAGATTTTTAGTAGGTTCCCCTATCAGTTAACATTATCCACAGTAATGCTGCATAACAAACAATCCCAAAATTCAGTAACTTCAGACAATGATTTTATTCTTTGTCATATGTCTGTAGATTGGCTTCTCCAGTCAGGGCAAATTGCCCATTTTCCTTAAGTGTCTCTTACCTTTGCTGGGACCTGTTCCCGTGAGATTAGCAGCAGTAAAATGTGGAAACTGTGGAACATGTGATGCCTCTTAATGCCTAGGCTTAGAACTACACACTCTTACTTCTGTGTACATTCTGTTGACCAGATCATGTCATAACTCAGCATTCTTCCTGGAGTAGCTAAGTGCTATTGGTGGTCATTCACTGAATGAGGAAGCACAAGTGGAGAAGCTCCTTCTGGGAAAAGGATGACTTTAATTTTGAACCTGTTAGACTTGAAGGGCCTTTAAACTTATGAGTGGAGATATTCAATAGGCAGTTAGATGTATGGGTGAAAAGCTCAGAAAGAATGATGTGGGCTGAAGATAGAAATATGGGGATCATCAGTATGAAGAAAGTAATGAAAGTCAGTGGAGTAGGTGAGAATGTCCAGGGAGAAAATTTAGATTAAGAGAAATGGGACTAAGTTCTACAAGCAAATATTTAAATGGCTGACTATGGTAGAGTCGCAAAGAAGAATTGTAGAAGGAAAGTCCAAAGAGAAAGAGGAAGATGAGGAGAGTCAACAAATGAGGGCAGCAGAAAATAATACATTCTGCAAACCTGATTATTGACAGCTAATATTCATTAGAGTCCTGGGATGTGCTAGGCATTAAATATGCCCAACTACTTTATGTAGAATATTTTATTTAATTATCACAGTAATTCTGGAAGGCATTATTAATAACTCCCTTTTATAAAGGAAACCAAATAGGAGTAAAATAATTAGCCGAAGATCACAAAAGTAATAGATGATGGAGACCGATTTGACCACAGGAACTCTGATTCTAGAGCCAGAACTCTTAACTATGTTTTATAAAAACTGAGAATTCTAAACAGATTTAAATATTTAAAAAAACAATAGAGCCTTATGATCTATTAAATATGCTTATCTATAAAAGAAAATGTGATGAAGTAAAACTTATGCTACAAAATATTTTGTAAAATAGAATCCCAATTAGATATAATTGAATGAACTGATCATGATTGCCTAGAATAAAGAGTGGAACTTGGGACTTGCAAAACTAGTAACACTAGTATTCTTATGAAATGTGAAATGTGGCAATTTTGGATGTGATTATGGCCCATCTTAAAAAAATATTTTTTAGCTGGAGTGCAGTGGTGCAATCTCAGCTCACTGCAACCTCCGTCTCCCAGGTTCAAACGATTCTCGTGCCTCAGCCTCTTGAGTAGCTGGGATTACCAGCATGTGCCACCATGCCCAGCTGGTTTTTGTATTTTTAGTAGAGACAGGGTTTCTCCATGTTGTCCAGGCTGATCTCGAACTCCTGACCTCAAGTGATCAACCTGCCTCGGCCTCCCAAAGTGCTGGGATTACAGGCGCGAGCCACCATGCCCAGCCATGGACCATTTTTATTTTTACTTTATTGTATTTCCAAAATTTTCTGAAATGTATATTTATTATTTTTATAATTAAAAATTAGATATAATTTTAAAATTCCCACTCAAATCTTGGGGGAGTTTAATTGAGGTTTTATATATATGGAGTGCATGACAAGGTATTTTTGTACCTATTAGATGATAAATACAGTAACATTGATGGTTTGATATAATATTGTCACATTATATGCTTTAAAAATGAATAAAAGTAACTCCAAAAATGTGTGAAAGCAGAACACAAAGCACTTATATATTGCTATATGCCTATGATATATATATTAAACCCCTATAATGTATATATTAAATATATATATTTAATTCTACAGCTAAAATGCTTAACAAAGAGATTAGAACATATTTGTTAAAAAATAATATCACATGTTTTATACTCTTAACCTATGTATATTTTTAGTGAGGGGAAAAGATGCAGACAGATGCATTTATTTAAGCAAATTAGAAAGCTTAATTATGTTAAATAAAATATTCCATTTTCATTCATATTTAATATATGAAATATTGATTGTATTTAACATAGACTTGATTGCAGTAACCTTTTGCAAGGTGGGTACCGAGTTATGGAACCAATATTTCTGTTGGAGAAGGTTAGGGTTATGGCCAGTATTACTGTCATTATGTTTTAAGTGGCAGAGGCAACCATTCTTCTTGAGCAACCTGCTATGAAGGCCAAGCATGCATGAACAGAGTTTAGTGCCATAATCAAATGAAACTTACATTGAAGGTTATCTCACATGAATTTAATGATATGCATAATTGTTATTCTACTGCATGATAATTAGGCATGAATGTAAGCAGTTCTTATAAATGAGAGTAATTTGTAGGAATTTTGCACAGCCAAACCAAGCACAAGAAGAATGAGTCTGGCAAAATAATGGATAATCTTAAAAGGTGAGAGTCTAAACTGCAGCCTGTGTTCCTCAGCACACTGTTTCTTAACCCATTGGATTCTCAAAATTATCTCATCTTGGGGGAAGGAAGTAAGGCAAAGGAGGATCGAGGGAAAAAAGAGTAGAAGAAAACATTCATGTTATTAGTTGTTAGAGGTCGAATGTGTGCCTGTAAAAGATATGCTGAAGTTCTAACCTCTAGTATTGTAGATTGTGACCTTATTTGGAAATAAGTTGTTGTACATGTAATTAGGGAAAATGAAATTATTCTGAAGTAGGTAAACTCCTAATCCAATATGACTGGTGTCCTTATAGGAAGAGAGTCATGTGAAGACAGAGATGCAGGGAGAACACCATGTGCAGATGGAGGTAGAAAGTGGAGTTATCTTGCCAAAAGCCAAGGAATGCCTGGGGCTACTAGAAACTGGGAGAGGCAAAGAAAGATCCTCCCTTAGAGGCTTCAGAGGCAGCATTGTCTCCAGCACTTTAATTTTGGAGGATTTCTTGCCCCCAGAACTGTGAGAGGGTAAATTTCTGCTTTTCTAAGCCACCAGTTTATGGCACTTTATTACAATAACCTTAGGAAATGAATACCCGGTTTTGCAAGTTTCGTCTTCCACTCTGATTCTGGAAAAATGGGTATTTTATAAATGAACAAATATCTGTTGAGTGCCTGCTGCTTGCCTAGGATTCCTTTAGATACTGGAGTTAAGTGTTCCTGATGAGATAAACATGGTCCCTGTCCTCAAGGGGTTTATAGTCTATGACTTGCATGTTCTTATTCCCATGACACTTTGTATTGTCTTAAAACACAAATTTCAATTTTGTTAGAATCATTTGTTGCCATGTCGGTCTACTCCACAAAATAGAGAAATCTTAAGGGCAGGTGCATAATCAGTTCAGAAAGCAATGCTTAGTGAATGAAAAAGAAAGAATGAATGAATTCAGTTTGAGGATGAAAAAAGAAAGACATTATTTAATGGAGAAACAGGGCTAATGGAAGGGTTGTATGTATGCATATGTACATGTTTTATTTTTCTAAATAAGAGCATTTTTCACATTAAAAATAAGACCATATTTGAAACATTTTAACTGCATATGCTACTGTGCCGCTGTTTCTATTTCTACCTTCCTGTAAGTTAGCAAAATACTTTTTTATTTGGTAATATTGTAGACTTGTTGCCTTCAAATATTATCCGATTTCATAAGTTGTTTATTTTCATGTTCAATTTACTACAACTTTTAACTCTTTATAACCCATTTTATTTTATGGATCTATAAAAACCAACACATTTTTTAAAAAAGAGTACATGTGACGAGCACTATAGTTTGAAAGTTCTGTGTCACTGTATGTGAACTTTTAAAGGTGATACTCCAGGCAGCAATTGGAGGCTTATAAACAGGAATGTCATGAAAGATAAATTCATCATAAATTACTTTTCCAAATCTCATGTATGTGAATTTAGAAAATCAAATTTTTTAAAATTTTTTTTTAATTATTATATTTTAAGTTTTAGGGTACATGTGCACATTGTGCAGGTTAGTTACATATGTATACATGTGCCATGCTGGTGTGCTGCACCCACTAACTCGTCATCTAGCATTAGGTATATCTCCCAATGCTATCCCTCCCCCCTCCCCCCACCCCACAACAGTCCCCAGAGTGTGATGTTCCCCTTCCTGTGTCCATGTGATCTCATTGTTCAATTCCCACCTATGAGTGAGAATATGCGGTGTTTGGTTTTTTGTTCTTGCGATAGTTTACTGAGAATGATGGTTTCCAATTTCATCCATGTCCCTACAAAGGACATGAACTCATCATTTTTTATGGCTGCATAGTATTCCATGGTGTATATGTGCCACATTTTCTTAATCCAGTCTATCATTGTTGGACATTTGGGTTGGTTCCAAGTCTTTGCTATTGTGAATAATGCCGCAATAAACATACGTGTGCATGTGTCTTTATAGCAGCGTGATTTATAGTCCTTTATTTTAAAATAAAATATAATTGTTTATTTACTATTCTTAAACTGTGGTATCTTTGATGTATTAAGTCTTTCAGGAAACCAACCATGTCTTTCTCATCTTTGAAATATCCCTTTATCTCCATCTCTCCACATTTCTCCCATCTCTTTCATCCTCAGCTCTTTGAAAGTACCTAGGGCTTTGTATTACTTATGTTTCTTTCCCAAGATAGTAAAGGGAAATAATGCCATCCTATATGTTTTTCTGTGCCATAAAGGAATTCAGAAAACAATAATTTTATTTTTCTTGTACCTCAGAGATAATACACAAACACACAAACTTAATGATACTTTTTCCTTCTTTTTTGAATTATGCGAGGTATCTGCTAATAAGTATATTCCTCTTTGTAGATACAATTTTCTGAATCCAGCTAGTTTTTAGTCTATATTCATTGCATAAAAAAGTAGAATAATCCTGTGTATGCCTCTAGCTGCAATAGAAATCGGTACCAATTATGCCATTGTACTTTTTCACTCTGAATAAAAAAAAAAAAGAAAATACTCTTTGGGAATTGTGCTGCCCCCTGGTGATGAATGGAATAATAAAATAGAACCTTTAAATAAGTTTACTAATAACATATTGTTCATTAATAAATGCAAAATTTAACACAAAGTCTGCACAAAAGGTAATTCAATAAAAAGTG
Organism: Homo sapiens; assembly: GCF_000001405.40. Classification (NCBI taxonomy): domain Eukaryota; kingdom Metazoa; phylum Chordata; class Mammalia; order Primates; family Hominidae; genus Homo; species Homo sapiens. The sequence continues at coordinate 212,147,995 of NC_000002.12, read as the reverse complement.
TGCATCCACAACTTAGTCATCTGATATTACAGTGATTATTAGGCCAATCTTAGAAATGGAAAGATGGAGAAAGAAGGATAAATCACAGAAAAGGGACCACAGGCTTGAGAAAAATAAGGATTCCAACTCCCCACAATTGCAAATATGAAGAAACTTTATGTTACCTCAGTTTAGAAAGCCAGTTTCTTCACGGAGGGTTAATGGTAGGCTTCAGATAATGACAGCAAAACAAAACTTTACAATGTTTCTCAAACTAACAAAATTTGATTTTATTGGATTTGATTTTATTTCTGAGAAGTCTTATACCCTAAAGTAGATTTTCAATACATACATCCTCAATTTATTCAATTCTGCTGAGAAGATGCTTCTTTCCTTTCTCATATGTTTACAGAGATTTTTAGAGTTATGTACTGTGGTAGATAGTAGTTTGTGAGTGCTTCATTTTATATCTCTGAGTTTTATCCTGTGTGCTTTAGGATATAAAAATCCACAGTTGATGTCTCATTCTGAGTGCTACTTAGAGGCAATCTAGTCTAGGTAATTCTGAACATAGAATTTTAGAATAACAGTGACCTTACAGATCATCCTATCTAACTCTTAAATGATGCTGGATTAAATCTTCACATTTTATATAATGAAGAAATTCAATTATTTCACAATAATATTGTAATTCTTCTTTTGAAAGTGTAAAGACAGGGCACCATGACTCACGCCTGTAGTCCAAACACTTAGGGAGGCTAGGCAGGTGGATGGCTTGAGCACAGGAGTTCGAGACCAGCCTGGGAAAAATGGCAAAACCCCATCTCTACAAAAAAAAAAAAAAAAAAAAAAAAAAAAATTAGCTGGGCATGGTGGCATGCCCCTGTAGACCCCACTACTCAGGAGGCTGAGGTGGGAGGATCACTTGAACCCCGGAGATGGAGGCTGCAGTGAACCAAGATCCTGCCACTGCAAGACAGCCTGGGCAACAGAGTGAGACCCTGTCTCAAAAAAAAAAAAAAAAAAAAAAGTCTAACAATGACAACAGAGCTTCTCTCTGCCAACTTTTTCCCCCAGATATTCCTTTCTTCTGTCTTGTCCCCATATCAGTTTTACCCTATTTTAACCAATGCCTTTTTAGATAGAGAGATTCTTGGGTGTTAAGGGATAACTGGGTGGGAAGAAATGTCTGGCACCATTCTGCTACTGCCTTTCCAAATCAATTGAGAAAATAAATCTAAAGATGTGCACAGACTCCACTGCACTCACAGAATTGGTGTTTGTGCACTGTTAATTAAATAAACATTAAATAGAGTGAATGCTTGCCGTAGTTAGGGACGTCTTTGCAAAAAGCCCCCTAGCTGTTCAGGGATAAATAATGTAGGAGTACCAGAGGAGTTTATGTATTGCTGGCCTTGCTATGGAATCTCAGTGCTTCAGAGCCAACACAATGTTTTATGCAAGTTAGATCCCCAGGCGACACTTGGTCCTCAAGTTTGCTGACTTTTCAAGTAGAAGGAGAAGAAATAGTGCACAATTTCAAATGAAGAATACTTACTGAGCTAAGAATTGTTTTTCTACTAGCTTAGCACCATATGCTTCTAGAGTTATATTGTCAACAATTCTTGGCACTTGTGTATTTGGCTATTTATTTAATGTTGAGGCTGAAAACAGGGTGACATCGGCAAAAGGCAGAGAACAGAATAAAACAGAAAATAGAAGTCCCAGCAAGGCAGTTTGCAGTCTGTCACCATTCAGGATAAGAGAAATAGTGGGCATTAACATTATTGAGGAGCCCAATCTAAACATATAACTGAAACACTAAATATTTAATTCATTACCTCAGCTAAATTATTGGGCTGAAAGCTGGAGATACTGGCCACAGCAAAGTCAAACAATAATGTCAAGATGCCAGGATAATATGGAACTAAATGAAATTGCAGGCTTTTGTCAGACCTCTTTTATGAGAAAGGGAGGAGTAACCAGGCTCTTTAGTGGAGACACACCAGGAAGCATAAGTAGACTATCCCCTTTGGGCCCTTAGGGGGACAGGAAGTATAGATTGGGTGTAAGTTCACTGGGTCCGAGCAAGGGTAGGATGAAATGAAAGAGTTTTCCACAGTGGTGATGAGAAGGGGAGCCGCTTTGAAGGATGGGTAGGAAAGTGAGAGATAATAGACACCAAAGAGTTCTCAAACAGATTGACAAAGAGAAAAAAATAAGACGATAAGGATGAGAAAGTACAACAGAATGAACTCCAGTGGCTTTTTTTTTTTTTTTTTTTTTTTTACTGCATGCTGGCTGCTTCACTCCGTGTTGAGTGGGCACAGCCAAGGCTGTACACTTAGCTGTTGAATCTCAGGTGTGACCTGCATTGCTTAGCAAGATGAAGAGTGAGTGGACTGGGTGACTCTTAAGTCTAAAGGCCTATAGCAATTTCTTGTTTTATCACTGGAAGTCTGAATAGCAATATGTAGAAAAGTCTTAAGGTCATTTAAAACAACTGCCTTCTCCCTTTCTCTTTAGCTTTTCTGGGGTAAGTTAATTATTCTAAGATGGCATGTGAAATATTTTGATACTGGAAGAGGGCTAATTTTATACTAGACAACCCTGAAATTTATAACAATTGGTACCAAAATACTAGTCATTGGGGAATATGATGGTATAATCATGAGGTAAAAGGAGGCTCTGATAGTGTGAATGAATAGTATTTATGCAACCACTAGTCTAGCTATGTCTGGGAAGTAAAAATACTATCCAAGCCTTATGAGTCAGAGTGCTGTGGCTTGCGAAAACTGTCTTTAAAAACTTTCTCTAGTATTTGATTTTCAAATGGATTTTTTTTGTTTTAACTACAATTTTTAAACTTAATATGTAAAGGCAATGGAAACATTTATGTATGTACTCACATTTTAGTTAGAAATACTCCAAATGTTTTGACATAAGCTTATAAAACACAGATTCCTTAATTCTGTAGAAGGCTGCAAAGTAAACATTCAATTACACATAAAGCTTTTTTTAGTTCCCCCAAAGTGGTTTACGAATGTGAGATATCAACTGTTAAACACGCAGAGGCAAATACTAAGATTAGAAATTATATTTTTAAAATTCTGGTTTTAAGATATATTCAGTCTAACATCTTTTAAAAATTTTGCCTCTTAATTTTATTATACTGTCTACTCAGCTGGGTTACAGTAAGCTAATCTAGGCTTACATGTACAAATCTCTGTAATACTTTTTATGCGATAGAAGAACTACATCTGGCCTGCCCAGCCAGAAATGATAAAAACAAAATTTGAGGTCTCCATGAGCTGGTTTATCATCTAATGGAGAATTAAGATCCATATACTGGAACATAAGAATAAAACAACTTTGCAAATAGAAACATAATAAATCCTTGCATATAAATTTTAGGGAAATGTAAATTGAGTAACTGATTCAGAACTTTTCTGAAAGAATGAAATCCTTTAGGCAATAGTTGAGGATAATGGTGGATATTAATTTTGTCAAATACTTTCAAAGTATTCTTGGTAAGGTCAAAGGAATGAATTAAAAATATAGGAAAAGTTGTGGGTAAGTTGAATGGTGGATGATATTTAAACTATGTTTTGATTATTTTTAAAACATTTTCCAGAAAAAATAACTTTGGATCAAGTGTGAAGGGATATTGTAGCGGATCTCTAAATTTATGGAAAATCTTAAATACCAGTTAGGTGACTAGAATTTCATTCAATGGTTAATGAAGAATTAGTAATATTTAACACAATTGCCAAAGAGGGTCATACGTGTATTAATGTGAGTATACATATCATTTGAGAATTCACGTTCAAAGTAAAATCACAATACTGAAAAAAAGTTAGCATGCATCCAACAGAATTCTGTGTGCAATCTTACTAAATCAGCCACAGTTTCAATGGTAGCCAAATCCATTTTCTATTCCTGATCTATTTCTAGTTTACTTTCATAGATCTAATTAAGTTTCTTCTTTTTTTTTTTTTGAGATGAAGTCTCACTCTGTCGCCCAGGCCGGAATGCAGTGGTGTGATCTTGGCTCACTGCAAACTCTGCCACCTGGGTTCAAGCGATTCTCCTGCCTCAGCCTCCCAAGCAGCTGGGACTACAGGCATGCGTCACCACACATGGTTAATTTTTGTATTTTTTTCAGTAGAGATGGGCTTTCACCATATTGGCCAAGCTAGTCTCGAACTCCTGACCTTGTGATCCGCCCGCCTCGGCCTCTCAAAGTGCTGGGATTACAGGCATGAGCCACCATGTCCAGCCGATCTAATTAACTTCCATTGGAACAAAGTGCGAAAAGGAAGAGGCTTGTAGTAGAGTCCATTGAAGATATTATTCACTCCCACTTTTTCTGTGGGATAGAAACTTAATCAATCTGTTTTTATTTAACCCATTTCTAGTATTCCTTCTATGTGAGTCACAGCCATACCAAGGTAAGGCTATCTAGTATTTCTGGGAATTTCTATCACCTCGTTGCTAATTCATGAAGAATTTTAGAACATTTCTCAGAAGTTCCTTTTTTTCCCAGGATACCCAAAATTTGAATTCCTGGCAATTATTCTAATAATTTTGGCTCTTATAACCATCTCTTAGGTAATTTAGGATCAAAGAAGTTAACAGGAAAAAACTGCTTTGTAAATTATTCAACACTTTATTATTAACCATAATAATAGCTATAACAATAATTTAATATTATAATACACTGACAGTAAATTGGCATACAATTGTTAGGTGCAACTCCAGGTGTGAATATATTTAAGCAAGCATGATCTTTGAAATCTGAATTGACAAAACAGTTAAATTATGAGGTGATTTTTCCATTACAAAAAGATTGTTTGCAAAATAATCACAATGAGATATTTTTAAAGTTTCAATAGTACACTAAAATATGACTTGAAATATGTAATTTGATTTGAAAATTTTTGAGGATTATGTTTATCATGTGATATTGGTTAGCTTCTGTATACATATGACACATGCTTTTGTTAAAATGACTCTTCAAAAAGTTTCCTTTTAACAAGTCACATTTAACTTGCTTCAGCCAGGACTTGAAAAAAAAAAAAGATGTTCCTAAACATCTATTTTCCAATTACATAGGCAACTAGTGCTGTTTAGCCAAATGTTCTTAAGCACCCTGCCAAGTTTTACAATACAGTTTTTCTTCTGGCAGCGTAACATTTTGTTTGGGAGTCCTTTCCATAAAGGTGGACAGTTTCATGAAAGCTCTCAGCAGCACATGAGGCACTGTGCCATGTGAACATAGCCTAAATGAAGAGTCTCATTCCATTTCTGTCTCTAACGTTTGAGAATTCATGTTCTCTGTATTTCTATATTAGAGTTATATAACTATATAATTGAGGATAATATTTATATATATTATATATATATTTTAATATTATATATATATATATAATGTGTCCTTTATTTAACTGTTTGACCTTTTCTGAGTTCTTTAACTTATCTTGAATGCTGTTTTCTCATCTATATGCATAATCTGGACTTAATGATCTCTAAAGATCTTTCTGGTCCTAACATTCTGAGCATCAGAAATAACATTTGGGTTATAATGAATGAGGAATTCTAGCCAGAATTCCAAAATATCAACAGTCATTCATTTATGCGTCCATCCATCCATCCATCCATCCATTCATTCATTAAATATTTATTGAGTACCTACTATGGGTCAAGTACTTCCAAATGCTATAAATATAGTAATGAACAAAACAGAGTTCCTGCCCTCATAGGGCTTACATGGTAAATGAAGATATAATATGGCAGCTGGTGATAAGTGATAAAAAATATAATGTTTTGAAATGATGCTACTCAAAGTGTCATACACAGGTCAATGCTAGTCTGTTACTGGTACACAAGATAAATCCATAAATTGATAATCAGCATTTTGAAACTTTTATAGCAGTGTTCAAAGACAAGTAAGGTGGCCCCTGTGGCCAGATCTGAGTAAGTGAAACATCCTAGGAGATGATATCAGAAAAGTAGCAGATAGATGGTCTAAGTGCCTTGTAGTAGGTCTAGATAAGGACTTTTAATTTTATTCTGATTGATATGAGAAACCATTGGAGATATTTGAGCAAAGAAGATTAGTGATCTGATTTATAGGTTAAAAGATGTAAAATTGTTTTATATCTGATATAAAATATACTTGAGGAAGACAAGAAGAAAAGCAGGGACATCAGATGGAAAGACATGGCAATATTCAAATAGGGACTTTCGTGGCTTGAAATAGAGATAGCAAGGTGGAGCTGATAGATATTCTGAAGAAAGAGCTGATGGATTTGCATATGGTTTTGTGGCTTTTATAACTGGGTTATGGAAAGAGAGAATAGTTGACTGACTAGATTTTTGCCTGAGTTAGTGAAAGGGGTGCCATTTATTAAAATGAGATTGGAGGCTGAAGGAAATTGGAGGGAAGGAGTGGATAAACTTTTAGAAATGTTTTTCTATTTTTAAAAAAGAAAAAAATCTATCTTAAAAATAGTACTGTTGGAGCAGTCTTTCTACATGCACTCACTTGACTGAAGCCTATTTGTATTTCTAAGAAGTGTTATTTTTAGAAACTTGCACCTATTTTCTTTACACAGTATGGAATAAAAATTGAGAAGGGAATGGGTCACAAATGGAGGGAACCAGGGAGCCAAGTTTCTTCATTAATAAAATGGTTGGTACTCATTGAGATTGTACTATAAAATTCTTTTTATGTGTTGTAAATACCTAATGACTATCACCCATAGCATCTGTCATGGACTTCTAATATAATGCATAACAATTAAGAGTACAACGCTGTAGTTCTAAATTTATAAAAGGTAATGTGTCTTCAGCATATAAGTATTTCATCTTGTTTATGGCATTTTTACTTGACGGAAATATACTACTATTGAACCTAAATAATTCAAAACAAGTAGTTATAGACGTTAGTTATATAATAGTTATATATAGACATTAGTAATATAATTTAAAATATGAGATCAGAAGAGATAAATAATTAGTAAAATAGAAACAATATTATACAATTTTGTATATCAAATTGCATGAACTAGAAAAGAACCTAGAGCATACACAGAAATTATGGTATTAACTTAAATACTCCCCTCTACACACACACACACACACACACACACACACACACACACACACTCATGTTTCCTAGTCTATTCAGGTGGGAAATTGGTTTGTTTTTGAACTTTATAGAGCAACTTTATAGATGAGTAGATCAGTTTACACTCAACTTTTTAAGGAATATATTCTTTTTTACTTTTATTTTAGATATTTTAAAATAAAGTTTCTTAACTGTTTACATCAAAAATAAATTCACATTTTTATCTAAAATAATGTTCTATTAAAATTACAAAATTATCAAAAGTATTGATAGTAATTTGGTTAGCATACACATTTCTATAAAGAAATGGCATATTATAGAATGTTTGTCTGTTTACCCTTTCCTAAAATTAAAAAAAAAACATTTTTAAAAATGAAATATACTTTTTACATTTACAATACTTAAAACTAGTATAAATTTAGAAATGACAGGACAAATATATATGATATGTATATATATATAACATATATATAAATATATATAGATATTACTATAGATACATAAACATATAGATATTACTATATATATTATATGTCTCATACCCAGAAATCTATTGATCAGAGAAAACCATTTGCAACATATTATTGTTTTTTCTTCCCAGCTAATATTTTTATGTATATATGCATTTACATAAACCCATATATTCTTAAAAAGTATCTTTGCAAAGAATTGACTGTTTTAAGGGTTATTATTTTATTTTATTTTAGTTTTTGAGACCAGAACAATAAAAAATGATGCAACTGCATGGATCTTGTTTCTCAAACAGTTAATACATTTTATAACCAGATTCTATAGTCATTATTTGACTTGCATTAAGTCTTCTTTACAAGTTATAATCAGGTGGTAAATGCATCTGAAAAGAAATGAACATTTACAAAGAATGTAACAACTAATTGATTATATTTTATCCTGGCAAATAATATCAGTAGAAACTTGAATTCTATAATAAAAAAGATACTTATTTATATAATTTATCATAAAGTGCATATTATTTTTGTGTCAGGAACTGAAAATGAGTCATGTTCGGAAAAGGTGTGCTTCAAATTTTAAAAATTGATCAGATTCGTGCTGTGGCAGGATTAAAAATAGAAGTTAGTGTGTGTTTTCTTTTCCATCTGTATCTCTATGTAAACAGTAAGTGATTTAGTTTGAAATTGTATTTACCTGCTAGAAAATATGTTTTGCACATATGAAGCTTATCAGCTACAAAATATATAATTTAGACTCTCAGAAATTCACATTAATTTAAAAATAACTATGCAAGTATTAATTTAAAACGTACAATTGAAAAATTTTTTCTTGTTACTAGTCATATCTTATATAAGGAAAAAAATCATCAATTATTCTCTACTTTTTAAAAAATTGAACCTGATGCTATAGAACTTCTATTATTGTTAGTGTGATATGAGATATTTTTAGCACTCAGTGGTATATTTTTGATACCTTTATTGCCAAATTGTCTAAGATAAAATAAATTAAGGAACTTTGTAATGCATTTTTGTGTTAACACTGTAGCATAAAAATGCAAATATTGTATACTAGCAAATATTGTATCCCTATGTATGTGTATGTGCACATGTGCGTGTGTGTGTGTGTTGTTTTAAATATTGCTCTTAAATGTAGAAGACATTTCTGAGTTCATCTCTAATACTTACAAAATTTGCTAAATGTCACCTTGGCTCTTCTTTGTGTGTCATAGTGAATGATGTGAATTCCATTAAAAGGTTGGACTTTTACTTTCAATATCTTATCATAGATTTTGTATTATAACATGCTACTCTATTATAATAAAGCCCACGAATAGGATATCAGATTTTTAAGTCCAAAGATTAGTGAAACTTTATGGGAAAACACTCCAAATTAAGTAACTATCCATGTGATCTCTGAAGTCCCATTTACTTACCCATAGGAGTGTGAAGTGAGTAGGGAACTTGGTAGTAATATTAGCTATTAACTATAATATCAAATTTCTGAATTAAATAAAATGAAAAAAGACTAAAAACAATACCCATGACATGTTCAATCATATCGTTATTAAGTAATTTAGAATGGGGACTTAATTGAAAATCAGCCTGAAATGGAATAGTTTTCAATAATGTGTGTATCCGGTCTGTGTCAGAGCAATTTTTCCTTATCCTTTTAGACAAGTGAATGAGGACCTAGTTAAATATATACTAAAAGATATACACTAACCTGGCTAACTGAATAAAACATTTGTTAAGGTATCCTACTCCTTTTTCTGTTGCTATAACTGAATGCCTGAGACTGGGTAATTTATAAAGAAAAGAATTGTGTTTTTTTATAATTCTGGAGGCTAGAAAGTTCAAGAATGGGGAGCTGCATCTGGTGAGGGTCTGCTTGGTAGAGACTGTCTGAAGGGTCCTGAGGCAGCAGAGGGTATCACATGGCAAGAAGGCTACAGAATGCCAGGCTGAATTTTTAACAGACTCTTGATACTGCTCCATTGGGGATTAAGTTTCAATCTGTTTTGGAGGGGGCAAACATCCACACCACAGCATAAGGTATGATATTTCTTCCATTGTAGATGCTGCTGAGTAGATCGGTAACATCATTGACTACTGTTATGCCCAGGAAATTTCTTCTCACAAGTGATGTCTAACTTTTATACAAAACGATGTATATTTCGTATGTGTGGTAGGCGAGAAGGGCTCTGTTTTATATGTTATTGTGGGTAAAATGAACTTTGACTTTGATTGTGGGTCTTATTCAGTAGCAGTGAATCAAAGTCAGATAAAATTATTCATATTTATTAGCAGCTTAACTAAATTTGTATACTATTATTATTTCTAAAAATTCTACAGAGGATTTATCTTAGAATGTAAAATGTTATAAATCTGTGACATAGATTGTATTTATTATTCCTTTTACAGATAACCCAGAGCACCATGTATTGTTTTCCAGTAACCATTTATTGAATAAATACGTGACAGAACGAATAAACGAATGACAGATATTTCTCTAGTGGTGGCTGTCTCCTTATCAAACACCCAATTACAGTTAGTACTTGAAAGTGTGTTGTTTACTCTGTTGATAGTTTCTTTTGGTGCTCAGCAGGAGGAGTGCTTATACACTGTTGGTGGGAGTATAAATTTGTTTAACCATTTTGGAAGACAGTGTGTTGATTCCTTAAAGACCTAAAACAGAAATACCATTTAATCCAGCAATCGCATTACTGGGTATATGCCCAGAGGAATATAAATCATTCTGTTATAAAGACACATGCACGTGTATGTTCACTGCAGTATTGTTCACAATAGCAAATACATGGAATCAACCTAAATGCCCATTAATAATAGACTGCATAAAGAAAATGTACATATACACCATGGAATACTATGCAGCTACAAAAAAGAACAAGATTATGTCCTTGGCAGAGACATGGATGAAGCTGGAGACCGTTATCCCTAGCATACTAACACAGGAACAGCAAACCAAGTACTGCATGTTCTCACTTATAAGTGGGAGCAAAATGATGAGAACACATGGACACACAGAGGGGAACAGTACACACTGGGGCCTATTGGTGGGTGAGAGTGGGAGGAGAGAGAGGATCAGAAAAAATAACTAATGTGTACTAAGCTTAATACCTGGATGATGAAATAATCTGTACAACAAACCCCCATGACACAAGTTTACCAATGTAAAAAACCTGCATGTGTGCCCTGGAACTTAAAATAAAAGTTAAAAAAAGGAAAGTTGATTGTGACTGTACTTGTAAGTATGATTATCTTGTAAAAATAACAACCCACTACTCATCTAAATGTTTTAGAGAGACCAACCCACTGGAGATTATAGAATCTAGTTTCTAGAATAATAGAGTTTGGGCACAGGAAAACAATTTAAAATAAATTATAATAATATATTTTATAATCTAGTCTATATTAGTATCAGGTGGGTGCTTTTTGTTTTTTATCCAAGAGAATAATGTGACTATGAATTGGGTTTTAAAACATCCCCGAAAACTTGTTAGAAGGTGATCTTGGATTAGGCTTTATATGTAAATCATCTGAAGATAACAGTAAAGACTGTCAGTCAAAAATGTTGTTTGCCACACCCCTTCTTCTCACCCCAAGTCTAACATTCACAGACTTTTCTTTTAATTTTAAAAGGGTCGTTAAATTAGACACAACTTTACCCTGAATGAGCAAGTTTGGACAGATAACTTGGAACAGTGGAGTGAACCAGAGCTTCTGTTTACAATTATGCAAGCTCACCACTGCAAGCATACTCATGTACTAGGGAACAGATGGGGATAAAATGCAGTGTATATTGTGATGTCCAGGTCATGTGCCCCTCATGGAGTTTGTTTCACTTAAAAGAGTGCCACCCTAGTGCATTTGCATGAAGGTACCTATTGCCCAAGAGTAGCCCTGGGTTGGAGAATGCTTTGAAGGAAGAGAGACCTTATAAACAAGCATGGGGTGACAATAGTACAATGTTTCACTCTTGCTATTTCTCATTTTTTCCCGTTTCTAGTGTAAGCTGATTGAACATTTACCCTAGATAGTGCCTATTGCATATTATTAGTCAAGTAAACATTAGCTGATGAAAGGAATGAAAAAGGAAGTCTCACTCTGAAACCAATGCAAGAGAAAGGCCATAGTCCATTTCTTAATGTGCACATCTTTATCAATGCTTAAGAAATCCACCTTGATATGTGAGTATAGTATCATATTAGGAACATCTAGTCTAATTCCTTCTTGTAAATTCTCCTAACAGGAAAAATATCCCACACACTGCCGCTTTAATTACAGTGAATGGCAAAGGTCTCACAGTGATAAGGCATCACAATCAGGCTGGTTTTTATTAGACACGAGGGGATGGTTGAAGGCATGATAATCTAGAGAAGAAAGATGTTTGCTAATGTTTACATACTTAGCTCCCACTGGCATTTTACCAGCTTGGAGGTTTGCACTGTCCCTCTTAATCTGTGAAAGTGCATCCAGATTCACAGCAAGACCTCAAGGAGAGCCAGATGATGGGGCAGATGGCAGATGACTAATTTGGCAAGCCTTGATGAGTGGAAATTGTTTGTTTTAATTGCTTGTCAAGTCCAGTGCCTACATTAAAGTTAAGGACCTAGCACTTTCACAGGAAATGAAATACTACAAAGTAAATAAGAAGGACTTTGTATGAGGGAGGGATAAAGAGGGCAGGCAGAGAATAGTGACAAAATGTGGTAAAGGGAATATTACATTTCTGACAATTGTATTTCTGTGATCTTATTATTTCATCCAAGTATGTATAGATGACAGAAATGTAATTTCTAAATCTGTAAAGCCTTTCTGTTTTTCCTATTTTCAACATAGAAATGTTATGAAATAAAAATTAAGAAAAAATATTTGAAGACAGGGAAACAATAAAGACAGAATATATATATATGCAGTTATAAGTTAGTTGTTATTTGATATGATACATTAAAAATCATTTGCAATTTTTTAATTTTACCAAGCTCATCTTTGAAATACAAAGTACAAAAATTTACAAAGATAAATGTTTATATTGGGAAGACTATATCAAGGTAGACTACTCAAAAACCATATTACTCATAGAAGACAATCATGTATAATTTTGAGGTACATCAGTTTTTTTAGTTTTCAGTTATGAGGTTATTTTCCCTCACACTATATAGTAGCTGCACTTAAGAATTTTGAGAGCTCTCAAAGACTATTGTAATCAACAAAAGAGGTAAAGTACAGATCAATTCAATTTTAGATAGATCAGCAGATAGGAGTATATATAATATATTGATTTATCTTTCATCTGTCTGTGGTATTGAATACCTATGTCTTCCATAGGTACAAATCTATTAGTAAAGGTCTACAATGCCAAAAGTTCTTTTCATTAGGCTCAAGGATTGTTTAGAAAGTGTTTAGTAGGCCAGGCGCGGTGGCTCACGCCTATAATCCCAGCACTTTGGGAGGCCGAGGCAGGCGGATCACGAGGTCAGGAGATCGAGACCATCCTAGCTGACACGGTGAAACCCCCATCCCTACTAAAAATACAAAAAAAATTAGCCAGGCATGGTGGCGGGCGCCTGTAGTCCCAGCTCCTGGGGAGGCTGAGGCAGGAGAATGGCATGAACCCGGGAGGCAGAGCTTGCAGTGAGCCGAGATTGCACCTCTGCACTCCAGTCTGGGCGACAGAGCCAGACTCCATCTCAAAAAAAAAAAAAAAAAAAAAAAAAGAAAGTGTTTAGTTAATTTCAGCAGTCTACGTTTTATCACTTTGGGAATCAATAAAACAGTGGTAGAAGATAAAGATTCAGATAATACATAATAGGATTTTTTTTAAAAGGATACCAATTTTTACACTGAAAAATATTTTATGTCTAGTTTTATGTAATGAAAATTATGAAACACATTTCCTATTTTGCTAATAGTTTTTTCTTTAATACATTTAATTATGTAGAATATGAAATTTCTGAAATATAAATTCATTTCAATTTTTAAACTCTTTTGGCCCTAATCACATCTGATAAAGATATTTTAAAACATTGATACAAATTTTTTATATTAAAAGATACCAGTACAAATGAATAAGAGCAATAAAATCCAGAATTATACTAATAGAGTAATGTATGATCATTGTATATGATTCATTCAAGAATGTAAGGATGGTTTAATAATTGCAATTTATCAATAATTTACCCTAATAAGATTAAAAAAAAACTTCTCAAAACTGCAAAAGCATATGATAAATTGCAATATTCAAGTCTGAAATAAAAACCCTAGTTTTAAAGTAGAATTCTAGAATATATAACATGATGAAATGTATGCTGAGTTAAGGGAAGCATTTCCATGAGGGTTAGAAAAAAGATAGGAATGACTATTACCCATCAATTGAAAAAAATTATCCTAGAAATGTTGTGCTCATAACAGTTAAGCTGGATTTATGAAGAACACTCAGCATAAAACCTTACTTTGTAGACAGGGAAACCAAGACTCAAAGTGATGAAGTGATTTGCTCAAGTTCATTCAGCTTTTAAAAATGGAGGAACCAGTGTTTGATTCTGGCTCCATTCTAGTTCTCTTTTATTTTTATTTTCTTAATTTTTAAAAAGGTTTTGTAGGGAAAGGGTCCCACTTTGTTACCTAGGCTGGTATCCTGACCTGAAGCAATCCTCTGGCCTCAGTCTCCAAAAATGTTGGGATTTCAGGCGTGAGCCACCACACCTGGCCTTCCTTTATGTATATTCTTTACCTTTTTTTTTTTTCATTCTAGTTCTCAGTGACTCTGAAGTCCATATATTTATTTAACAAATGTTTACTGAACAGCTATGCCTGTTTACTGATGTTTACTGAACATCTGCTATATGCCTGCTTTCCGAGGTGCTGAGCAAAGGCCTCTCTTATGAGGCTTGCATTCTAATGTGGAGACATATCATAAAAAGGTAAACTTGCAGATGTATAATGTAAATTCACATAGCAAAAAAAAAAACAAAAACAAAACAAAACAAAAAAAAAACACCAAAATGAAAAGAAAGCAGAACACAATGTATGGGAACCTGATGTCTATTTTAGATAAGGTGGTCAGAAAAGGCTGTTTTGAAAAGGTGACATTTGAGCAAATACTTAAATACAAGTTCTTATAGGCTATAAGAACTTTGGATTTTATAGTCAGTGCAATTAGAAGCCAAGGGTTGTTCTCAGTAGGGGAGTGACATGAACAATTTACATTTTTGAAAAAAACATTCTGGCCTCTGTGTGGAGAATGAATAAACATAAATGTGTTTCTCAGGGTTCCCCAGAGAAACAGAACCAAAAAATTTTAAGTTACAGGATATCAAAAAGAGCAAACATGAAGAAAGGACTTTACCTTCTCTCCCAAGGAAGGAGTTAGTGCATTTTGGGTTGTAGATACAATAGTTGTATCATGTTAGGTGGAAGTATGACCTGTTATTTTCTTTATTTGGAGATTAAGTACAGATTAAGAAGTTGTGTATGTGTGCCACGTTAACAAGGGATGGGCTTATGATAGTTAATTTTCTATGTCAATTTGTCTGGGCCATGGAATGCACAGATAGCATATATATACAAGTATATATACACACACACATATATGCTATATATAGCGCGCACACACACATAGAGATTTATTTAAAATGTACTATATAGTCTTGGCTCACACAATTATGGAGGCTGAGAAGTCTCACAATCTGCCATCTGCAAGCTAGAGACCCAAAAAAGCTAGTGGTGTAGTTTAAAGGCCTGAGAGTTAGAGTGGCAATGGTATAGATTCCAGTTTGGATATGAAGACTTAAGAACCTAAAGTGCCAAGGGCTGGAGATCTATGTCACAGTTCAAGCAGTCAGGCAGAGAGAAAATTCCATTTTCCTCTGCCTTTTTATTCTATCCGTGCCTGCACTGCAACAGATTGGATAATACTCACCCACACTGGGGAGAGCCATGTGCTCTACTCAGTATACCAATTCAATGGTAGTCTTTTGTGAAAACGCCCTTATGGATACACTCAGAAATAATGTTTAGCCAGCATTCTGGGCATGCTGTGGCCCAATCAAGTGACATATAAAATTAACCATCACAGGCCCATCCCTTGTCAGCATAGCACCCATATGCATCTCCTTAATCTGTACTTAATCTCCAATTAAAGACAATAAAAGGTAAATGATTTCATCTAACATGGTACAACTATTATGCCTATAACCAAAAATGCACTTTGTCCCCAGAAGAAAAAGTGAAGTCTTTTTTGATGTTTGCTTTTCTCCTTGATATCCTATAACTTAAATACTATTGTGTAAAATTAAGAATACTTAAATATTATGACATAAAGTAATACATCTTATGTTTCATGATAAGGAAATAAGAGAGGAAAAGAAACAGACACACCCACACACAAAATGTATTCATAACATAATAAGGAATAAATACTTATGGCAATTACAGTACCCATTTCTGTCAATGGTCACATGATCATAGCTGGTATTTATAACTACCTTTCTCTACTACCCATTTCATACTCCCTTTGCCTTCAGCAAGCACCTCAGTTGGTTATGGTTCTTTACCTGTTGAGGTGACACAAACATTCATTGCAAAATGCACTGGACCGTACTAGTCCTGCTTTGATTGGGTGGTTGTAGTTTTCCATTGAATTTCATCACTGGGCATGGTAATACTAAGAGACGCCCACAGGAATGTCCTGTATTAGAGACATACTCTTCCTTATTACCTCCATTGTGGAGTAGTAATATTGATAGAATCTGCTACTATCCTTAGTGGTCAGGATCAATTATCCCAGCCAGCTTAGCAATTCCTTTCTTTGCCTGTTGATTCAAAGGAATGAGGAGCCCAAAGTGGCTGCACGGCAGTCACTTCCAATTCAATGGAATAACTGTTGTGTCTCCTGGTAGAGCACAATGTTTGGAAACCCGGTACTTATTTAAATAAGGTGGTCAGAGAAGGCTTTTCTGAAAGAATGACATTTGAGAAAAGATGACTACAGATTCTTACAAGCTAAAGAGTTTGGATTTTGCAGTAAGTTTAATGAGATGCCAAAGGGTGTTTTTAGTGACATGAATGATTTATATTTTTAAAAATATTATTCTGTTCTCTGGGTTGCGAATTAATTAATGGGGCAAATAGGAAATCCTGGACATTAGTTAGGAGGCCGCTGTGTAAGTCCAGGGAAGGGATAGCAGTGTTTTGGATTAAATGACTATAGCAGTGGAAGTGACAAGTTTGGACCCATTTGGGGATGTATTTTGAACATAGAGATAACAAAACTTGCCATCTCTGCATAACTATAATAGCATTCATTAATAGTCACTGGAAATAGTTATTGCTTCTTCTGTGGTCTTCAATATTTTGTATTTTGATGTTTACTGCAATGCTAGATTTTTTAATGCCCAACAATATGCATAAATCCAAGGTGCATTTATTAACATTTCTGAAAAGGAAAGTACTTATTGGTGTTAAATCAGCAAAAGAATTTTTTATCAAGTTCCATATTTTATGTAGCCAGCCTTTGAATTATGCACACACAATATATACATGACTTAAATATACTGCTCACTGCTTTCCTTGCTACGTGCCTTGTAAAACTATACAAGCCCCTATGAAACAACTTGGAAATTTTTCTCAGTAATTATTTTTTCATGACATTTGGAGACGAGTAGATGCCAAATAAATAATTATTCATTTCTTAATTGATAAACTGATATCTCGCAATAGGCATTTGATCTGAGAGTTAGGTAATTCTCTTTTTTTAATTCCCATCATCTTTTCTTTGTAAGCAAATAGAGTGCTGATTTCATAGCCAGAACAAGCTTGGAGGCGATAATTAATTTTTAGTTTTAATATAGATATTGTTAAGGTTTCATTATTTTACTTTTAATATATTTCCCCATGAATCAAATTAATCCACTGTTAACCAACCTTTTTATGTTGCTACCAACTTTTTACTTTTTTACTGAATGAGGATTATATGGTTCACACGCTGTTGGATATAAATCTTAAGAAAAATAAAAAGCCTGTGTTTGGAAGTATAGCTACATTTGTAACAGAATCAATACAAATAGAATAATTGAGGATTTTATTAGGACCTCACATCCAGCTTTACTCCTGGAGTTACATTTGGAATGAAAACTTTAGGGATCACATGTAAATTTTGGATTTTTGATGCTTGAACTATTGTAGGCTTATAGTTTAAGGACTTTATAATAGTATTGACAAAGGTGGCTGAATTTTGTTAAACTTGTTTTGGCTGCTGAAGACAATTTTTCAATTGTGTTTTGATAAACAGCTTTGTGAAATCAATGAAACTTGATGGTTTAAGCGTTGTCTTGTATACATTGCTTGATTGTAAAATCAATTGACAAATGAAAGTTGTGAGTTACTCAGTGGAGGCTCCACAAAAACAACTACAAATGATTTCTATGAGCCTATCCAAACCAGTTCTTCAAAAATCAAGTGTGTCTTTCAAGATAAAATTTATGATGAATATACTGTGGATTCTAGATAGTTTGAATCAAACATAAATGAAAGCCTCAATGAGACAAAAATATCTACTAAATTGAACAGCATGTAGTAAAAAAAACTGCAAAGACTAGAATGTTTGGCAAATAGAGTATTGTGATTAATCTAATTTTGTTTTTTGGAGGATCTTTTTTTGTCAAAAAATATTTCTAAACATACTTATTCAAATTTTCCATTTTAAGAAGGTATATACAAAACTTACCTGATCATTTATTGAGGAATAGCAATTTTTTTTAGTTGAGGGCCATTTTCTGAGTACGAGTTATAAATGTTCTGATATCAAGTAAATGAATTATTGCAATGTAGGGTAGCATATGTTCATTATAAGAAGTTTAAACAAAATCCTAAGTATTTATACCATACAAATATTTAAATGAATATTAATGAGAACTTATGAATATATAACTATCCAGATTTGAATATTATTGTATAATATTATATTATATTGGATATAATATTGTATACCTTTTTATATATGTAGAATGGGAATTATGCAAAAATACCTAGATATTGCAGTTACAGTAATAGATGCATCTCTCAAAGGTTGTTTAAGCTTCTATATAAAAGGTCAGAATACACCAACTATTTTGAGAACATTTTCATTTAGATTATTACCTATTGATTTTTTATATTAATATTAAAGTATGAGTATTATTTCCAATTGAGAGAAACTATACAACATAAATTATATATAGGTTGCAATGTGTTATTGGATATACTTTAGAAATGGTGCAGCAAATTTATTAATGGATGCTTATATTATCCCCATAATTGGTTGTACTAAAATATGTTCATCCTCATTGGAATTTGAGATAATTAAAATCTATATTTCATAAACCCATATAATAATACCTTTTCTCAACAGTCATTTTATTAGTTTATAAAGATTTTATATAAATTTACTGGGAGCAATAAAATAAAGATCATGGATTAAGGTTTTTTCCAAAAGGGCCTTTAATATATAATGAAAAATATCTTGGACTTCGATCTTGATTTATAAGGAATATGCACATGAATCAACTTTTTCTTCTTCTTCTCCTTATGTTGAATATCATTTCTTCCTGGGTGTTTGTTTTAATAATAAGAGAACATTCCACAGAGCCAATAAAATGTCGTTATGGTTAGGAATGATACTGTAATTTCATTATATATTTAGCAAATTCAGTCAAACCAAGCACAATAGTTAAATTTACTCAAAGTCAAAAGCATATAACACAACTAGAATTTAATCCTTTCTGTGTGTAACATTTTAGCAGGTGGGGCCAATATTCATCATTATCTTGATGGTATTGATAATATGACAATGTAAAATATCTATTGCTTGAAAATCCTACTTCCTTTTAGCTCAGTTCTCAGCCATCTCTAAGGTGTGTCACTCATTCTTACGGTCCAAGATGATGGCTCATATTTTAGCCATGACATCTGCATTTCTGGCATCAGGCTGGAAGAACTTATGAAGAATAAACCAGGCAAAGTCAGGCTTCAACCGTGTTTGAAACCAAGTTCTGGGAAGGTGTCATGCAACATGTCAGAACTTAGTCCACTGGCCAAACTTACCTCTAAGGGGAGGAGAGAAATATAATCTTTATTTTGGGTGACCATGTGTCCAGCTAAAAATTGTGCAGTCTATTACAATGAAGGAATTGGAAAATGGATATTAAAGATTTTAGAGGTATTTACCATAGCATCCATCCGTATCACTCTACAAAATCTGCATTCTCAAAGGCAATAAATGAATTCCAGCATGGTGTATAAAGGGCTTGGAGGAAGCAATGGAAGTGTAGCATGGAGGTTATAAGCTGATAGGACCCTGGAGAGAGAGAAAGTGATTTTTAACATTTATTTAATGCGGAATTTAGAGACAAATAGTAACAACATACCACAGAGTGGGTGGCTTAAAACAATAGCGATTTATTCTCTCACTGTCCTGGAGGTTAGAAGTTGAAAATCAAGGTGACAGCAGGCTCATTCTCCCTCTGAAACTCCAGGTAGAATTCTTCCTTGCCACTCTCTAGCTTCTGGTGGTGGCCATCAATCTTTGGCATTCCTTGGCTTGTAGGTACATAGCTCTACCCTTTGCCTTTCTGGTCACGGGGCTTTCTTTCCTGATTGTCTTTGTGTGCACGTGGTATTTTCCTCTTCTTATATCAGGGCCGTCCAATCTTTGGCTTCCCTGGTCCACATCGAAAAAAGAATTGTCTTGGGTTGCACGTAAAATACACTAACAATAGCTGATTCAAAAAACATAATGTGTTTTTTTAAATATTTATTTATTTATGAGATGGAGTCTCGCTCTGTTGCCCAGGCTGGAGTGCAGTGGCGCAATCTCGGCTCACGGCAAGCTCCACCTCCCGGGTTCATGCCATTCTCCTGCCTCAGCCTCCCGAGTAGCTGGGACTACAGGCACCCGCCACCAGGCCCGGCTAATTGTTTGTATTTTTAGTTGAGACGGGGTTTCACTGTGTTGACCAGGATGGTCTCGATCTCCTGACCTCGTGATCCGCCCACCTTGGCCTCCCAAAGTGCTGGGATTACAGGCATGAGCCGCTGCACCCAGCAAAAAATATAATGTTTTAAGAAAGTTTATGAATTTGTGTTGGGCCACATTCAATGTCATCCTGGGCTACATGTGGCCTGATAGCTTCAGGTTGAACAAGTTTGTCTTATTATCATTATATTGAATTAGGGAACACCCAAATGACCTACCTCATCTTAATTTGATTTACATCTAGGAAGACCCTATTTCCAAGTAAGGTCACATTCTAAGTAATGGGAATTAGGACTTCAACTTGTCTTTTAGGACACACAATTTAGCTGGTAACAGAGTACTTCTAGAAAATATACTTTTTGGTGAACTTTAGAAATCCAGACTTTAAAAGTTTGGATTTTGTTTTTATAATGAATTTCCACTATGGTTACAAACATACACTATTTTTCAAGATTTTTGGATTAAGATTTTTGTTATTTTCGATGTGTTCATAGGCAAAAACAGGCTTTAAGGTGGTCCTAATTATTAGGCTATACCCATCTAGATGTGTTTTCCTTCCTCTGCAGGAACTCATCCCTTTGAAAACAACATCAGGCATCATAGCATCTTTTTTACTTCTGTGTATATAAGACATGAATGTATATATTACCTTATTACTAAGCTGTGTTCCTAGTATGTTTGCAGTCTCCACTTTGTATCTTGCCTTAAATTCAGTATATCTTATGTAACTTACCAAACCATTTTCTTTACATACCATTATTAATAGATTTATAATATCTATTTTTAATCTACTTAGGATTAGAGTCAGTACATTAAGTGGTGAAGATTGTGTTCTGGCAGGTATATAAACCATAAGAATAGTATCTAAAAATCTGGCTTCTGGAAGTCACACACAATTTTTTTTTTTTTTTTTTTTTTTTTGAGACAGAGTCTCACTCTGTTGCTCAGGCTAGGAGTGCAGTGGCATGATCTTGGCTCACTGCAACCTCCTCCTCCCAGATTCAAGTTATTCTCCTGCCTCAGGCTCCCGAGTAGCTGGGATTACAGGCATGAGCTACCACGCCCAGCTAATTTTTGTATTTTTGGTAGAGACAGGGTTTCTCCATGTTGGCTAGGTTGGGAACTCCTGACCTCAGGTAATCCAACTGCGTCGGCCTCCCAAAGTGCTGCGATAACAGGTGTGAGCCACCATGCCCAGCCACAAAATTAAAAAACAAAACAAAAACTTGTGTAAACTTGTGTGCTCACATAGGAATAGAACTTGGCAGACAGATTATTTATTATCAGTCCATTATACCTCAGAAACTCATGAATATATACAGTGATACTCTAGTTGATAACAATAAAAGTTGTATTTTTTACATATCTGGTTTGTAGTATATGTTTACAAATATTTCAGTTTAGACCTAAAGACAGAAATACCATTCAACCTAGCAATCCCATTACTGGGTATATACCTAAAGGAATATAAATCATTTTATTACAATGACACATGCACGTTTATGCTCACTGCAGCACTATTCCCAATAGAAAAGACATGGAATCACCCTAAATGCCCATCAATAATAGACTGGATAAAGAAAATCTGGTACATATATACCATGGAATACTATGCAGCCATAAAGAAGAATGAAATCATGTCCTTTGGAGAGACATGGATGGAGCTAGAAGCTATTATCCTTAGCAAACTAAAGCAGGAACAGAAAACCAAATACTGCAGTTCTTATTTATAAGTGGGAGCTAAATGATGAGAACACATGGACACATAGAGGAGAAAAACATACCCTGGGGCCTATTGGAGAATGGAAGTTGGGAGGAGGGAGAGGATCAGGAAAAATAACTAATGGGTTCTAGGCTTAATAGCTGGGTGATGAAATAATCTGTATGAATAACCCCCATGCCACAGGTTTACCTATGTAAACAAGCCTGCGTATGTACCCCTGAACTTAAAATAAAAGTTAAAAAATAAAAATAAAAACGCATGTTTGAGGTCTTGTAGGTGCTAGTTTATTTAGTAAAAAATTTACTCAGCTGGAACAGCTGATATAATAACTATGATTTTAAAATAAAATTGTTGCTTTCACTATCTTTTGATTTTGATTTATTTACATTTGTAGAATTACCCAATTAGAAAACAGAGTAAATCATATGTCCTAAAAAAAAAAATGTTTAAATAAAAGTAAATGTATTTACTTGCTTTATATGGTCATAACAAATGGGATTAAGTTTATCTCCTTGCTATATATTTCTGTGGAATCTATGCCTTCCTACTCTCTGTGATTAGCACATGTAATTTGGGAATATAAAAGTGAAAATGTTCATCAGTGCGTGGGTCTATGCCTCTTAATGACGATCGAAATATTTATATTCAGAGAACTGGGATAGGCTTGTGGAATAGAGAGTTTTGAGAAAGATATTATCATTGCGCATATCATATAAAGGTTATGTAATTTCACGTGTATCTTCTTGTCTTTGCAGTGTGTGCAGGAACGGAGAATAAACTGAGCTCTCTCTCTGACCTGGAACAGCAGTACCGAGCCTTGCGCAAGTACTATGAAAACTGTGAGGTTGTCATGGGCAACCTGGAGATAACCAGCATTGAGCACAACCGGGACCTCTCCTTCCTGCGGGTAAAGCTGTGGCTTTCTTTCTCTTCTTTGTGAATGGACAGTGGCGTCATGATGCATACAGGCAGACCTGTGTGCTGATACCTGGAAGGGGTGCTCTTCTGCCTGGCAGGCACTGTGACTATAGGCAAAAGATAAGAGATAGCGAAACGCACCCAGGAAAAGAACAAGAGTAACAAAGCCATAATGACTGACGCTCCTGAGTTTAAAGCAGTTGCTGTTGCCCTAAGATTGAGAAAAGATTCTGTCACCATGTAGTACATGACATCTAGCAAATCTTTTTCTGACAAGCTGTGAACTAGGAGAGTCAGAGGACCAATCAGATAACAATTGATAACTCTAGCCAGTCGTCTCCATTTCTGCCTCTTTTCTGCCACTTCAGACTTTTAGATTATTTTATATCACATAAGGAGACTAACACTGTTATTAAAAAAAAAGAAAAGAAAAGGAAAGAAAAGCATCTGGTTTTGAAAACCTACAAATTATTTAAAGTAGACTCATAGGAAATCACAAGTATTTACATAGATCAATACGTGCAAGAACACAAATGTGTATATGTATACTTGAAGTTGCTCAGACAATCAGTCCTTTTGGAAATTATTATTATTATTTTTTGCTTTCATTGATCTATACTCTGTTAAACTGGCTGTTAGTGCTAATGCTTACAGTTTCTTAAGTTTTGCTTTAACTGGAATATGTTTGGGAAAATCTGAACTTGAAGGGGCCTTTGACAAAGTGAGATGGGGATGTGGTCTTTGCACAATTAAGAATTTATGCTTATATAAGAATTACTAATATACATTTTAAATAATAGCTTCCCTAGAATACATTTGATCTTGTTTTCAGTAACCTTTACAAACTTCTTAGGAGCACTTTCGTATACATTTAGGTTAAATGTTTTGAATACTGATATAGTAAGCCAGTTAGTGGATAGTAAATTATTTAGAGATCTATGATAATGTTAATAATTCTATACTTAGATAAGTCGTGAAAAGGAGTGATATTTAAATATTTTCAATGTACTAAATATGTCTAAAATTGGTAACAACCTCAGAAAATGAACCACCTCAAAACATAAATAACACTGTGTGGCTTATGATATCCATTTTTAAAACGACTCTCATAGTTGGACTAGTAAAGCAAATGAACTGAAGGTATTTCCTTATTCTCTACTTGATTGATAGAGCTCTGTTTCTGTAAGTTATGTGTCAAAAGATTTTAATAATTATGATGTTTAATTTTGATGTCTTTGTTTATAAAAAATAGTAAAGGATATCTGAATCATAGAATTAGAGGGCCTTAAAAGAACTTACTTTTTTGTTTTTTCTTTGTTTTGTTTTGTTTTGTTTTGTGAGATGGAGTCTTGCTCTGTCGCCCTGGCTGGAGCGCAGTGGTGTGATATCGGCTCATTGCAACCTCCGCCTCACGAGTTCAAGCAATTCTCCTGCCTCAGTATCCCAGGTAGCTGGGATTACAGGCGCATGCCGCCACGCCCGGCTAATTTTTTGTGCTTTAGTGGAGACAGGAGTTTCACTGTGTTAGCCAGGATGGTCTCAACCTCCTGAGCTCAGGCAATCCGCCCTCCTCGGCCTCCCAAAGTGCTGGGATTACAGGCGTGAGCCACCGCGCCCGGCCCAAAAGAACTTACTTTTTGAGGGAGCTGTTGTTCAAAGAAGGGAGCACATGCAAGCTATCCTAGAACATATGACAAGAAACTCAATGACTTTATAGAATAGACAAACTAACAAAGAAAGCTGAATTCTGAAGCAGGGAAAGGAAATAATTTAAACAGTCTATTAGATTGGAATAATAGAAAAATTTTAAAATGCAATCTAAAGATCTTTGTTTTTCTTCTTATGTTTGCTTTACTTTTCTGTACGTGGAACTAAATTTCACTGACAACAAAAATAGTTGTGACTATTGTAAATGACAGTCATTATATTAAATAATATATAAAAATGTCTTTTTATATATTTTATAATAATTCTTATGGTCTTGTAAGGTAACAGCATGGAATGATAAAAAATAGACTTTAGTCCATATTTAACCTTTAGCAATATGAAAGTAGCATGTAGATATTTTTGATATATGGTCTATACTGTGTTGGGAACCATTTTGAATTAAAAAGTAAGATACATTATTAGAATGAACAGATTTGGAAAAAGTAAGATAAGGAGGGTCAAGATTTCTGCCTGGATAAAAAGTAAGCTGTTTCTTTTACAAAAGTAAATTTTGGTTCCTAACTAGCATCTCTAAAAGTTCATCTAAACTTTGTACTAATCCATGTGCATATCTTTATTTTAATATATGTATTTAAAGATAATTCTAATAGCACTTAGTTTTTGTTTTCTAACTTATTTTTTGTTCCACATATCTTTTTTATAAAAAATCATTTATATTATGACATGTACCCATTCATGTCATATGCAGTACTTATGTATTACACCTTTCTAATCCTTAGAAAACATATCTGCAATCCCAAGTAAACAATGACATTTATTGTCCTTGGCTTCAACAATCATGTTGAGGATGACAGATATGTAATATATAAGTACTGTATACGTATATGTGTGTATATATAGGCATATTACATATATGTGTTTGTGTATCTATATACATATATGATAAATTATGTTTTATATGTGATATATATGTGTTTGTATGTGGGGTGTGTGTATGTATGAGTTTATATACATATATATATATATAAATATAAAATATTATCATTACTAAGACACAAATAAGAACCCAGAATCAGAAAGAAGGTGTGGTCCTATGTTAATGGTAGGGGTGGAGTGCATGCTAGGTTATCTAAAGGATTCAGGAAAAGTTTCATCAAAGGAGTGCTTGAATTAAATCCTGAGAAAATGAACAGAAACTCAAGAGGTGAGTGGGTTGTAAGAGAAGGGCATTTCAATGGGAGTAGTATAAGGCTTAGAAGGAAGCCCCTGAATCAGAGTTAATAAATGTGTACTTAGTGTGTACTGTTTTAGACACTAGGAATATACATTGCAAATAAATCACATGTGACTCCTACTCCCAGGGAATCTATAGTATAGTGTTGATGAAGAAAAAGTTTCAGGTGAAATAGAATACTCCACTGGAGAGGTAGAGAACGTCGATGGTGGAGATATTTAGGAGACATCAGCATCCAAGTGACAAGTTAACATTTTGTAATTGGATAAGGTAGTCAATGGAGATTAAAAAGAGTAAGATCAAGGAGTGGTTCAAGAACAGAATACTCTTTAACCAGGTGTGGAGGCTCATGCCTGTAATCCCAGCAATTTGAGAGGCTGAGGTGGGCAGATCACTTGAGGAGTTTGAGACCAGCCTGGCCAACATAGTGAAACCTCGTCTCGACTAAAAATACAAAAATTAATTAGGTGTGGTTGCAGGCATCTGTACTTGGGAGGCTGAGGAAGGAGAATCCAGGAGGTGGAGGCTGCAGTGAGCTGAGATCACACCACTGCACTCCAGCCTGTGCAACACAGCGAGACTCCGTCTCAAAAACAAACAAACAAACAAACAAAAAACCAGAATACTCTGGATGCCCCATTGTCTGTTTTTTTGGTGAGCTCAGTATTAGTAGTTACTTTTCTTACTGGGCCCTGAAAGCAGAGACTATTTGCCAAAATCTTCATAATACTACTGTATTGGATGATACATTATTTCAAATTATACCTTTGAATATGCTACAAAGCTCTCCATTTAATATAAAATTTCATTCCTTCCTAAAACCACATTATGGCTTATTTGTGCTCTTAGTAGCTTCTCTCCAAAATATGTAATCTGTCCAGTATTAACACATTATAGTAAGTGGAGTCCATGTAAAGAAAATATAGTGATTTTACCATTATTTCCTATAAGTTTCAAATTGTATGAGTGGATAATAAATTTGTATATACCTATTATAGACATAGTTCTCATCTACATTTATGCACCAAATTTCTTATAATGGTTTTACAGTTTCCTTCCTCTAAGAGTGACCCAAATGATGTATTTAGAGGATCAATAGTCATCTTAAATTTCATTCTGGATTCATTTCTGTCTTTAGGAACTTAAGAAATTACTTTAATTTTTAAAGGATTTTTATCCGTATTTTCATCTCTAGCTAGTGAGGTCGTAGTGTTTTGCTTTGGCATTTGTTTTATTTTGTATGAAACCACTCTAATTTCTATGAATTGTGACAATTTTCCCTGATACCTCATTTATCTTATTCACTATCTGCATATTCAACATTTATGACTAAGACAGTGATAAGACATAGTAAATATTCATTAAATATTTGTTGAATGGACAAATGAATTAGTATTTGTCTTAAATTATAGACCCCAATTTCATATATGAACTATTGTCTAGATAAACATGTGAGTCATGTTATTTCAGTGTGACCTCACACACAGGCCAGGTATGTGGGAATAAGACAATCAAAATCCCTTCCCATGAGGATTTGGAATTGTCACCAATAGCATTCAGTTTCTCTATTAGGTTCTTGACTACTCAAATGCCATCACCACACAGCCATCTTTTGTCTTGTGGTTTGAATATCATAGAGAGCTGCGCAGATAGAACAAAGCCAACACACTGAAACAGAAACAGAGTAGAAAAAAGCAATATTTACCCCAAATAGTAATTTGGGGAACCATTCATTTCTGTTTCCTACACTACTTCTGATGACTGATTGCAATCCAGCCATTTCCACCTCTACTCTTGCAACTTTATAGTAATTTCCCCCTTTTCCCCTTAAACTAGAAAAAGATTGTTTCCTTTTAGTACACTAAAATGCCTTGTCTAGTACGTCTCCTGAGATTTCAAGAACACAGCAAAAGTGAGCCTTTGCAATTGAATTGAAGATGCACTTTTAAATAATTTTAATGTTTTGTAGATACTTTCCTTAATCTTTGTTAGATACATTTTGTTGAAATGCTTTTAAATGCATTCTTTTCAAGACGCTTTTATTACAGCAATCTTGATGCTTATCTCTGTAAACACCTTTCATGCCAGCTTTCTTCTGACCTCCAGTTCTTGCATTTCTTTTTGGGAAGAGAAATCCAGTTTACTATGTTTAACATTCAACTACCAAGGAACCACATTGCTGGCTAGAAAAAGGCCCTAAAACTTATTTATTATGTATTTTATCACCATCACAAGGTTAAGACATATAATAGAAAGCAGCGAGGCATAAAAATCACAGATTTTGTGCTATTGTCTTACACTTTGTGAACTCTTTAAAACAAGGCAAAATGTAGTAAGTAATGGGAATGAACTATTAGACCTTTTACCCTCATTAGAATTCTTGGGAGCTTTCTCTCCTTTGTCATTCCATTGGTCTTCTTTGCTACTGCTGGCACTTAATAACTCAGTGCTTCTAAAAAGGTGCCTGACCCACCAGCTTTTACATTTTAAATTTATTTTCTGTTTTATATATTAACTTTAAGCAAATAACTATAATGTGTCAATTATGTGTAAAGAAGTATACTATGAAATGTAGATCATATAGTGAGTGTTAACACCTATCCTCAGTCATTGCTATAACGGGTAATAATTTTTAATCTGTGGCTTGAATTTAGTTGTGTGCAAATTATTTTAGAAATAGTATACATTAAGATTATAAGGAGATGAATTTATTTAACAGTTGATGCATGGATGTGGAATAGTTACAATATCGTAATTCATTGGAACTCCTTATGCTGTAGTCTAGAAACCTTAAATTTTAATCATTATACATGTCTTTTATTTCTAATAAATGAATAAAAATAAAGTAATATATAAAGATGCCTTTTAAGATAACATTAATACTCTATTATTGATAGTAAAAGGCAATGACTTTGAAAAAGTCAGAAAGTATAGTTTTTTGAAGCAAAAAGATTAAAAAAGATAACTTCTCTCAGATAATGAATAACAAATGCATGTTATTATGAAAAGGTAACACATTTGAAAAACATAATTTGCTTTTATATATATTTGGCAGAGCTATATGGCTGTTTTTGAATGTACAAGAAATAATGCCATCTAAAAATTTCTATTTTTTTTTAAAAAAACTTTGGAGAAATCATGCAAATAGTTTATTTTTCTCTACCAGAGAAAATGTCCTATTTTTAAATTCAAATATAGCCTTTGTCTTTAGTTAATAATTAACATTTTATAATGCTATGGAATTGTCATCCTCTTTTATTAGGATATGTATGGGATTCTTCTGAGGATGTTGCTTTTCAACTACTCTTCGTAAGACATAAAATTTGCATTACTTTTCCACTGCTAGTAAAGGATCTATACTATTTCATTCTCTTTCTCATGAATATTCCTCTTCTGACCAATGACAAACATTTGTAGGAAGGCAGAGAAAGCTGCAACTCAGACAGCAAAACACTGCCAATCTTACTGCAGCCAAAGACTTTGGCTTCATTAGCACAGTTTTGTTACAATAAAGTCAGGAGTGATGTTTGACAATGAGTTTCAAGTTGCAACAAGTAACCATGTCTTGATCTATTCCTTCCCTGTTTTCAGTAAGGATGAACAACCATTGAGAGTTAATATGAAATTCTAAAATATTTACGTTTAGCCTACTTCTAGCTTTAGTGCTTCCTTTTCATTGTCCTCTGGCAATTAGAAGCACATGACCAGAATTAAATCCAACAGTGTGGGGGATGGTTTTTATGTTTGTGTCTGTTTTCCATATCTTCCTCATGTAC
Organism: Homo sapiens; assembly: GCF_000001405.40. Classification (NCBI taxonomy): domain Eukaryota; kingdom Metazoa; phylum Chordata; class Mammalia; order Primates; family Hominidae; genus Homo; species Homo sapiens. The sequence goes on along the minus strand of NC_000002.12, from coordinate 212,118,062 downwards.
TTTTAACTCTGTGTCCGGGCTAAGCTGTCTGCTGCATAGCATGATTTAGAAAAACCCTACATTGAAGAGTACATATTTCAAAATAAATAGATAATTTATACAGTACTTATTATTTTGAGTTAGAAAATGATTTACTGAATAGTTTGTTCAAATACTAGCTACCAACACCCATCTATATTTATTTTTAGCTTATTAAATACCAGATAGAATGACTTGTGTGGCAGAAATTATGTTGGAGAGAGAGAATCAGGATGAGAAAACTTGTCATATTTTAGAAACATTAGAGAGGAAAACACCATTTAAATTAAACATCTATGACATAACAAAGTGGGTCCACATGAATTACAATCTCATATTTCCCAAAAAAGATGATTTAAGTGCAACATTTTCAGATACAGCATGCATATTTCAGTTATGCACACATTTTGATCTGACTGTATAGTTCCTACTATACAAGCCTGAATTTGTATTCCTGATAAACTTTGTAAGATAATGAAGTGGTATATTTGTCACTCAAAAGGTGAACAAGTAAATGAGAATTCTGTATCAAGCATTTGTAATCTGTAAGTATCTATTCATTGAGCACAGTAGTCTATGTTTTTCTTCCATGTCACTAATTGAGACAGGTGGCAAGAGAGGATTACAAGATCAACATTGAAATACCTAGACTTCGCCATCATTAGATTCAAGGAAACTGTACCTTCAAGAAACTATTGGTTGGGTAAACAAGCATTAAAAAAGAGATGGTGATGGAACTTTTTCTTTAATTCTTTCTGTTTTAATTTCATGTAAAATTGCTTTTGTGGTAAAATGTTACATATTTAGATACTGCATTAACATGATGACCTCTTAGCAGGGTGAGATAAAGAATGCTAAAAAGGACACAGAGAGAATAATATTGTAACATGTCATTTAGGCCAAAGCAGACATTTTGGGTTAAATAGAATTTTCAAAGCTTTGATAGTATCTGAAAGCTGTTTCTAAGGCCGTTAAAGATAATACATATGCAATTTTGTATGTGTGTATTTACGGCTGGCTTTTAAATTGAAACTTGATTTTGTACTAAATCTAATCATGGAACTTGTATTACATTTGAAAAAGCTATGCAATTTACACTTGGCTTAGGATTTTTTTTTCTCAGAGGTTAAGTACCATTTAATCTAAAAATATACATTGACTCAAAATTCTGATGCTCTTTCAGAAATTCCACAAGATAAATCAAAGGATAAAAAAGGTCTATATTCTTTATTTGGCATTTATTTAAACATTTATTTTAAATTTTCTTTTTAATCATTTCAATTAAATGTTAAATAAAAATATTTTCAATAGGCTGATGCTGTGACTCACACCTGTAATCCCAGCACTTTGGGAGGCTGAGGTAGGAGGATTGCTTGAGACCAAAAGTTTGGGTAACATAGTGAGACCCTGTCTCTACAAATGTTTTAAAATTTAACCAGTGTGGCGGCACATGCCTGTAATCCCACCTACTCAGGAGGCTGAGGTGGGAGGATCATGTGAGTCCAAGAGTTGGAGGCTGCAGAGAACTATGATTGTGCCACTACACTCAAACCTGTGTGACAGAGGAAAACCCTGTCTCAAGAAAAAACAACAATAAATAAACCAGCAAAATATGTACATCTATGAGTTTCCTCTGTATCTTAAGCATATTAAAAAACTATAAATAAAATGGTATCTATGATAAAGATGTATAACTGATAGTAAATATTTGAAGAAGTATTAGAAGGAATGATACAAATAAAAAATAGACTAGTATTTATCAATCTAATATAAATAGACTAGTATTTATCAATCTAATATATATAAAGATATACATATAAGTATAGTATATACAAATATTGTAAATATAGTGACCATTTATATCTATGCATATATAAATGTAAATTAGCAACCGCTTTCCAGGAATCAAGAATCAAATTAGTATATAATATTAACCTTATATAATGTTTCTAGTTAAGTATAACCTACTAAATAATGAAAACAATCTATTATTTCAATAATAATAAATAACAATAAAACTGTTTGCAAAAAGTTTTTTTAGCCCCTAATTGCAAAGCAGTTTCCACAAATATACCTTTGTTGCAAATATATTTAAATTAAAAATTAATTTATTAGGATGGTGAGCAGATGCAAAGTGTTTCTTTATACCTCTGGGCATTGTGGTATTTAAATTTGGCTTCAAAATGTGCATATAATGAATTTATAGGCTTGTCTTAATTTTAAATGAGAAAAATACATCCAGGCACAGTGGCTCACACCTGCAATCACAACACTTTGGAAGGCCTAGGTGGGAGGATTGCTTGAGCCCAGGAGTTTGAGACTAGCCCGAGGAACATGGTGAGACCCTGTTTCTACAAAAAAAATGAAACAAAATAAACAAATAACTAGAGAAGTCAAGTAACAAATCCATTTTACTCTATGATTCTTTGATATACTTTGCTCAGGGAAATTGAGCATGTAAAAGTTATTTCTTTACTTCTTTTATTTGGGAACAGCAAGGACCTTTATTCAAAGAGAGAGAACACAATTTATGTGATGTTGTTAAAGAAGTATATTGGCAATGAGCTATCTTTTAATTCTAAAAACCAAACATTGGAATATAATCAATACCTTTTTTTCTTCAAAATTTCAAAATATACTACATATATTTTCATTAGCTTTATTTTTCTCTGACTCTTAAAATGAAACACTTTGTTTTCTTTCAAAAAAAAGACAGATTTAAACTTGATGAACAATTTTGCATGAGACCAAATCAATTTTAAAGGTCTCTCGTTGGTCACATAGAGTATAATTTAAGGATCAAAAGTGTAAAAATAAAATGTGAAAACTGTCACATTTAGAAATATGGTAATTATTTCTCCTGATCTCTAATTTGAACTCATTTATTATAAAAATAATATAGTAAAATTTATAATGAATGTGGTAAAATTAAGGTATTTTAGTAAACAAAGGCCTCTTCAAAATCATTATCATTAAATTTCTACCTGAAAATAAGAATATGTAATTGAATGTTAAAGTAAATCCTCTTAAATAATTTAGTGCTACTCTTTCCAAAAATAAAAGTGTCTATCATGATGCCCAGCACCTTGTAGCCCCTCAACAAGAGCTGGTTGGCTGTACCTAACCCTATTAGGCTTCTTCCTTTCTTCTTTGATACCCTGTATACCATTATTGAGCCATGCTCTGAAGACTTGACAGTAAGTTTTTACAAAGCTTTTTTGGAGGTTCAGTTTTTGGGTGGTGGTGATTTGTATTTTCAGAGAGGTAAAATTGCAAGTCAAACACTTGGTTGTTTTTAAGAGGCAGTCAATGGCTGAAGAAGTACAAAGACTCTACATAGTTTGTGAGGGTTGTTTCAACATCATTTCGCAGAAGCAATGAGAAGTATTCATCAAAAACTCAATGAGGCATCAATGAAGCATTGGGAAGCATTCATGAAAGACAAACACAGAGAAAGTACAAGCAAATATGGATTACATATCTGAATTGTATTACTTTCCTTCTTAAAACTTTCCATCCTCTTAGGATAAAGTCCAAAATTCTTATTAAATTCCTACAATTGTTTGGTCCCTACCAATAAGCTTTGTCTTCCCACTGTCACTAATGACATGAAAACTCACTGGCCATCTTTCAATTATAACCAACTTCCTTTTGGTATTCAGCTCTTTCTGACTCTACTGACCTTTCTCTCGTTCTCAGATTTTCTCCCCCATGAACATATGGATACACCTAATTATTCATGTGCTGGCTAAGTTCTGTTCTGGTTTTTTAGGTCTCCATCATAAATAATTTCTTCAGAGATATTTTACTAACTACCTAGTCTAAATTCCTCCCATTACATACATTCATAGCACCCTCTGCTTCTTTGTAGCACTTCTACTATGACAATTATTTAAGTATTTGTAAATTCTGTCAACACTCCTAAATAACAAGTACCAGACAAAGCCCATGTCTAGTTCACTGCAGAATTCTAGCATAGTACACAGTGTCTATCATGGGGTGGCTGCTCAGCAAATACTTGTGAAATAAATAAGTAAGCAAATTTTATAGCCATAAGAATTCTTTTATTTATGACTTTAAATAAAAAGTCATAATCAGGAAAAAAATGCACAGGAATTACTTTACATTACTTACTTTTCCAACTGAAGTTCCTCTTTATAGTGTCTTGCAGAATCTGTAGTACCTTTCATCTTACAGCCTATGAAATGATTTGGTTAATAATAAATGATATACTACCCATAATGGAAACATGGGATACTTAGCTTATATATTTACACTCTTACATAGAAACCTAACAGACATATAGGTAGTGCAGCTTATTGGCTGAGTTGCATGACTTGAGCAGAGTCATGTAGCCTTCACAACTTTCACTTTCTCCTTCTCTGACCTGCCTCGAATACCTGAGAATCCCTCCAGTAACAAATCCCTTATGTCCAATTCCTTTTTTTTTTTTTTTTTTTTTTTTTTTTTTGAGATGGAGTCTCGCTCTGTCACTGAGGCTGGAGTGCGGTGGCATGATCTCGGCTCACTGCAAGCTCCGCCTCCCGGGTTCACACCATTCTCCTGCCTCAGCCTCCCAAGTAGCTGGGACTGCAGGCATCCACCACCACACCCAGCTAATTTTTTGTATTTTTAGTAGAGACGGGTTTCACCGTGTTAGCCAGGATGGTCTCGATCTCCTGACCTCATGATCAACCCTCCTCAGCCTCTCAAAGTGCCGGGATTACAGGCGTGAGCCACCGCACCCGGCCATACCCAGTTACTCTTTATAAACTAAGGTCTCTGTGGTTTTGCATGTAATTTTCTTCCTCTATGGAATGTCTTTTTACCCTTCTCTATTTGGAAAATCATACAGTCTCTACTAACTTGTTCTAAATATAAGCTATCTCTATTCCCCTAACCTTAACATGCTCCCCCAAATTCGATCTGTATTTTCATCCCCACCCTTACCATCAAGACAAGCAGAATTAATGTCTTCCATTGTTTCTCCATAGTCCTAAGTACCTACTGGTACTATACCGTATGTCACATTGTTTAGGCCTGTGTTAGGTGGTGAGATATACTGTGCATTTTTGTCAATTTATGAAGATTGTACAGAGTAAATGTTCAGTGAACTTTTATTTTTTGAACAGATAATAAGCTGTGTTAAATGGTTTTCTTCCAGTGAATTTTGTTATACTGGAATTATAATCTTTGTAATAAAAAGAAACAGTATTTATAAGCTTCCTTAGACTCACGTTTCATGTTGGCATGGACTAACACCTCGGAAATACCATTTGTTAAAATAGGTTCAGGGCACTGTGCTGGTTTTATGCCTAACACCATCTCCCACTCCTTATTACAACCCTATGAATAAGTGTTGTTATTCACATTTTGTAAGTGATGAAACAGGCTCAGAGAATTAAATGACTTTCTCGGGACCACAGAGCTAATGGGCAAAGTGAGCATTTTAAACCAGTTCTTTCACTTTAAACTTCACACACTTGGACTTTGTCTTGCTGCTGCCTACTATTTACCAATGACCCATTTGTTACTTAAAGAAACCAGGATTTTAGAAAAATCAGTACAAGGAAGGGAGGTTTTCATTAAAAAAAAAATAAAATAAAAATTTCGGAACTAGATTGAAAAAGGTAGGCCTCAGTAGAGCCACAAAATTTGGGGACCCTGAGCAGACAGAGCTAAGATTACTCAGTGCTGGGGACAGTGGGTATAAGGAAAACTGTACCGAGAACTTGAGAGACAAATTCACCTCCTTTGCTATTCAGGTTTTATAGTCAAAAGAATTAAACAGAGACCAAGGAGGATGATTGCTTGAAGCCAGGAGTTTGAGATCAGCCTGGGCAGCAAAGTGAGACCTTGTTTCTACAAAAGATCTGCCTGTGCTCCTACCTATTCCGGAGGCTAAGATGGGAGGATCATTTGAGCCCAGGAGTTTGAGGCTGTAAGGAGCTATGATTGTACCACTGCACTCCACCCTGGGTGACAGAAGTTTTTTAGAGATCCTGTTTCTAAAATAAAATAAAAATAAAAAAGAATTAAACATTCAGCAGATGTTTACTGACTGCCAACTCTTTGAAATTCATGGCACTATGTTTTGTAAAGAAGTACAGTGCTATCTGTAATAGTTGACAGTACCTAGCCCAAATTAATAAGTGCAAAAAAAAAAGGTTGTATAGTGCCAAAAAAGGTAAATGCCACAGACATTCCCAGATTGAACTCAAGAGCGCCTTAAAACAAGAGCTACATCTTATCTTTCTTTATATCCCCAGTACCTAGCACCCTGCCTGGTATTTTTTTAAAAAAGGGTTGTGAGTTAATTAATAGATGATTGAGTAGCATGCATTTGGCAGGGGGGCAGTTATAAGAAGATTCATGGAAGAAACAAAATGTGAGTTAATTATAAAAAAAAAAAGAATAGAGAAAAAGGAGAAGGTATTCTAGGTGCATTTCCACCTGGGAAATCCTCTCCTTTTTAAAAATTCTATTCACAGATGTGGAGGAAAGCAAAAAAGAGAAAGTATTTACCATAGCATAGGGGGAAAGAGATAAGATGCAACAAAATTGTGAAATGTTAGGACATAAGGCTGAAAACGGAAGACCAAATTGTGGGGAGCCTTTAAGACTTGTCAGCTTACTAATAAGCTGTAACAAATCCAGTAGCAGGAAGAAAGTATTATTTGGAGGAATTTACTTGTATGGGTATGGCGTTATTTCAAACTCCAAGGAATTAGTTTAATGAGAGCCTGGAATCAGTTATTTGGAGTGGCAGTTGAAGGCAGAGATGTATTCAATAATCATTATAAGGAAAGACTTAATAAAGACTTAACAACTAACTGCATATAAAGGGTGTGGGTGAAGAAGTAGATAAAAAGATCCTGAGATCTCCAGTCTGGGACATTTGGCAGATGTGTCGTCCAGGCAGTAACAGGGACAAAGGAAGGACAGAGCATTGTTGCCAAAGATACCTGATGGCAGGTTCCTTGAATTTCTATTACTTTTTCAGGAAGAGCCCCTCATTGGAAATGTGCTTTGCATCCCAAGTAAGGTAAGGTACACTGTTAGGGCTCATTCAAGTGTCAGGTAGGCGGGTGGCCAGAGAATGAAAGTGTTAATAAAACATTTATCAGTAAACTTTTATTTGCAAAGACTAGATGACCACTGCATTTATTTCAAACAGTAATCAGATTCAACAAACAAGAAGTTAAGCTCAGTAAACAGCTAGTTGTGCTTCAGCCATTTGGGGCAATAATCTAGGTGTCTTTCCAAGAAATGTAGTCCCCTGAAGAGGCTGGCTTAACCTTTTGTTTGCTGATTGTAATTACAATGCATTTAGAATTAAGATGAAGAGCTTTTTTATTGCAGGAGCTAATTTGAAAGCAGTCCGGTGATAAAATTTGCAGATAACTCTGCTCTAGCAAAGTCCCATTTGAATTTTTCCTATTATCAGTTAAAGGACTTAGATATCAGTGGACTTCGCCTTAGTGTGGTGGTTTGTTCTCAACTCTCATCTATTTCAGTGAGGCGGTAGCAGCAGTGACTGCTTTATTACTCCATGTGAAATAGGCTGCTGGAAAAGTGTCAAAGCCCATGGGGTCAGCAATCTGACATCCTTCCTAAGGAAGCAGAGGGCACAAGCTAACTAACATGTGGTGCAAATAAAGAGGAATATGGTAACAGGAAAGAAGTCAAGTCTTGGAAGAGAAGAAGAGTAAGCAATAAATATACTGGGGACGGGTGGATTTGGATAAGCTGAGAGGAAGCCACAAGCACAGGAATATGCTAATAATGAAAACAAATGCTAAATGAGCTCCACAGTGTTTTCCAAATAGCTTAGATTTTTCGAATCCTTTGAGTGGGATAGCTTCACCTATACACCTTTGACTCCTCTAGTCAAGATTTATAAGGCAACTTTTGCTGCAGTTATCTTAGCATTTATGCACAATTGGTCTTTTTAAGAGAAATTCTCACTACCCCTGTGAAGCAGTGGGACAAGTTCATCTTACTGATGAGGGCAACGAGGCACAGAAAGGTTACCTGACTTGCTTGAGGTCATGTATCAAAAGCTGGCAGAAGTTAAACTCAGGAAATTCTGAAGTGACTCACTTCAGAGCTCATAACAAAATTTAACTTTAAAGATAATTAAGCTCAATTCATACCCTCTGCATCTTCATTGTAGAATTTATGCTATCCTCATGGCTTACAGAAAGGGAAACGTCACAACAAATTGTTGCAGTGAGTTTTCAAGCAGAAATATATCTTATTATTTATTAATATTGAATTGTTTGATCACGCTCTTGCTTAATGCTCTCTTTTACCCTAAAATATACACATGAAACAATCATGTATCCTCCTAGCTTCAATGCTGCTAAAGGGATAGAAGAATCAATTGGTTAGTAAGCTCCTCAGCACAGATTCAACAGCTCTTCTCAGACTTCATTTGGACTATGATGTTCAGATAAAGACCTTGCATGTAAGGATAGAATTGACTGACTAGAGTGTGTCTATAATAGGCAATTGGGACAATATGTTTTTAGAAAGCCATGTCTCAAAAGTAATAGCTGAAAGAAGTGGGTGTGTTGACCTTGGTGAGGAGAGTACTGAAGGGAACCATAGTAATTGTTTTCAGATATTTGAAGGGCTCTCATAGAAAAGGGAGTGGCCTAGTTTTGAGTTGTTCCAGAAGGCAGCATTAGGCAGAAGCTGAAAGGAGGCAGATTTTGGCTTAAAATAAAGGTTTTGCTAACAATCAGAGCATTCTTACAACATAATGGAGTGCCTTGTTAGATGGGAAAATGGACCGGAACTCTTAACTGAACACCTTGTATTTTCTAGGAACCGGGCCATTGGCACCACAAAGCAGCAAAAATAAAAGACAAAATTAAAGATGCTGGCATGTTGTAGGCACCCAAAGATGTTTGTTCATTTTCTTCCCCTCCCTGAGTGTTTCTTATATACATTCCCACAATGATCCATGACATTGTCATTATTACCAACATTCTGCAGAGTAGGACAAGGCAGCAAGAAAAAGGGAGAAGTGAGGACTTGAATGTGTATCTCTCTGTCCCCAATTCTCACATCCCTCCTACTGTGCGCTGCCATCTCCATCACAGAAACCTGCTATCCTGTACTCTCCTACCACCATAGATACTCAGCCAAGAGCAATCAGGAAAGGAGGGACAAGATTTCATGCATTTGGTAGAAAGTTGTTTAGAAAACTTTAAAGTCTTTTTATTCTTTGTGACTCTTCTGTCTTCTTAAAATGTGACGCTACTTCCTCAGCAGATGCTCTGTGCTATTCAATTATACTTTGGTTCTGAAAAAAAAAAAAAAAAAAAAAAGCAGACCCATTTCTAACATTTCCATGACAGGTTTAGTGAAGTGATTGGGAATAGTTGAATGTACTCCTGGAATCACTGCTTTACCCCAAAACTCCCTCTGATTTTCCTTTATAAGTTTATTCATTTATGGCATTCCTTATTTAGGTTGTATCCAACAGGGACTTGGAGAGTTTTAAAGTATGGTATAAAAAATACTGGCATGACCCCTGAACACACTGCTTATCTTTCTTTCTTTAAAACTGCATTCCTTTGATCTTGAGTGCTTATCACTTATTAGTCTCTTATTAAAATGCTAAGATGCTAAGGTGGTTTGTCTTAGGGGGCTTAAACTTTATTAACCAGCATCTCAGCTATTAGATTTTATCTTGATGGAAGTTAGTTGATATTCCACTGATCTTCACGAATAGTTTTGCTTTTTAAATGATAACAGGGGAAGTGTTTGAATCTACCCTCTGAGATGCTTTTTGGGTACCCTACATATAAATCTCCTATTGTTTTTGCTCGTGCTGTGTCTTTATTCTTTCCTGCCTAAAGTGTGCATATTCATGACTCATCTGTGCCACAGTGCTTATCTCAAATAATTAATGGAAAAATAGAAAACCTAGGTTTTAAACTCTTTAATAGTATAATCTGGTATATATTTATTTAACTCTCTGAGTTTCTTGTTTTCTTTTGTAAAATGAAAATATTAGTGTATTAGTTCATTTTCACACTGCTGATAAAGACAAACCCGAGACTGTGTAATTTAAAAAGAAAAAAGGTTTAATGGATTCACAGTTCCACGTGGCTGGGGAAGCCTCACAATCATGGCAGAAGGAGAAAGGCATGTTTTACCTGGCAGCAGATATGAGAGAATAATAGAACTTGTGCAGGGAAACTCCCCTTTATAAAACTATCAGATCTCTTGAGACTTATTCACTATCACGAGAACAGCACAGGAAAGATCTGCCCCCAAGATTCAATTACCTCCCACCAGGTCCCTCCCATGACATGTAGGAATTGTTGGAGCTACAATTCAAGATGAGATTTGGGTGGGGACACAGCCAAACCATATCATTCTGCCCCTGGCCCCTCCCAAATCTCATGTCCTCACATTTCAAAACCAATCATGCCTTCCCAACAGTCTCCCAAAGTCTTATCTCATTTCAGTGTCAAATCAAAAGTCCACAGTCCAAAGTCTCATCTGAGACAAGGCAAGTCCCTTCTGCCTATGAGCCTGTAAAATCAAAAGCAAGTTAGTTACTTCCTAGATACAATGGGGATACAGGCATTGGATAAATACACCCATTTCAAATGGGAGAAATTGCCCAAAATGAAGGAATGAAGGGCTAAAGTCCCCCATGCAAGTCCAAAATCCAGCAGGGCAACCAAATCTTAAAGCTCCAAAAAAAAAGATCTCCTTTGACTCCATGTCTCATATCCAGGTCACGCTGATGCAAGAGGTGGGCTCCCATCATCTTGGGCAGCTCTGCCCCCGTGGCTTTGCAGGGTCCAGCCTCCCACCTGGCTGCTTTCACAGACTGGCACTGAGTGTCTGTGGCTTTTCCAGGTGCATGGTGCAAGTCATTGGTGGATCTATTATTTAGGGTCCTGGAGGACAGTGACACTTTTCTCATAACTAGGCAGCACCCCAGTGGGGACTTTGTTTGGGGGCACCCACCCCAAATTTCCCTTCAGCACTTCCCTAGCAGATGTTCTGCATGAGCACCCTGCCTCTGCAGCAAACTTCTGCCTGGACATTCAGGCATTTCCATAGGTCCTCTGAAATCTAGGCAGAGGTTCCCAAACCTCAAATCTTGACTTCTGTGCACCACCAGGGTCAACACCATGTGGATGCTACCAAGGCTTGGGGCTTGCACCCTCTGAAGCCATGGCCTGAGCTCTACCTTGGCCCCTTTTAGTCACTGCTGGATCACCTGGGGCACAGGGCACCAAGTCCCTAGACTGCACACAGCAGAGGGACCCTGGGCCAGGCCCATAAAACCATTTTTCCCTCCTAGGCCTCCAGGCCTGTGATGGGAGGGGCTGCTTTGAAGGTCTCTGACATGCCCTGGGGACATTTTCCCCATTGTCTTGCTGATTATTATTCAGCTTCTAGCTACTTATGCAGATTTTTGCAGCTGGCTTGGATTTCTCCTCAGAATATAGGATTTTCTTTTCTATCACATTGCCAGGCTGCAAATTTTCCAAACTTTTATGCTCTATTTCCCTTTTAAAGCTAAATGCTTTTAACAGCACCTGTCACCTGTTGAATGCTTTGCTGCTTAGAAATTTCTTCCACCAGATACCCTAAATTATCTCTCTCAAGTTCAAAGTTCCACGAATCTCTAGGGCAGGGACAAAATGCTGCCAGTGTCTTTGTTAAAACATAACAAGAGTTACCTTTGCTTCACTTCCCAACAAGTTCTTCATCTCCATCTGAGACTACCTCAGCTTGGATTTCATTGTCCATATCATTATCAGCATTTTGGTCAAACCCATTCAGCAAGTCTCTAGGGAGTTCCAGACTTTGCCACATTTTTCTGTTGTCTGAGCCCTCCAAACTGTTCCAATCTGTTACCCATTCCAAAGTCACTTCCACATTTTAAGGTATCTTTTCAGCAGTGCCCCACTCTACTGGTACCAGTTTACTGTATTAGTTGCTTTTCATGCTACTGATAAAGATATACCTGAGACTGTGTAATTTAAAAAGAAAAAGAGGTTTAATGGACTCACAGTTCCATGTGGCTGGGGAGGCTTTACAATCATGTTGGAAAGCAAAAGACATGTCTTACACAGAGGCAGACAAGAGAGAATAATGGAACTTGTGCAAGAAAACTCTCCTTTATAAAAACTATCAGATCTCCTATGACTTATTCATTATCACGAGAACAGCACAGGAAAGACCCTCCACCATGTTTAAATTACATCCAACTGGGTCCCTCCCACAACACGTGGGAATTGTGAGAGCTACGATTCAAGATGAGATTTGGATGGGGACACAGTTAAACCATATCAATTAGGTCAGGACAGTGTTGTATAGCTTGAGTTGATATTAGATTGTTTTCATAATTGTCATATTCACATGCAACTATGTTATTTTAAATTTTATTGAAACATTTTTCGACACAAATGCATTTTAATTGAATTCAATATTACTACCAAAAATGACACTCCAGTATCTCCATCATAAGTAAGAAATAATAAAATATTAATGCAAAGAAAAAGCGTGATTGCTAAAGACTCAGAGCCTTAGGAATTCTTTGTTTCTCCTTTGAAAACGGGAGTGACAAAAATTAGAGAGTAGTTTAAGATATAGAAACACAGAGCTGAGACTTTCTTCTTATATAATCATAAGGAAAAGTTTTTACACAATGCAATTCAGTGCTATGTAAACTATTTTCTACATATCTAAAATAATGTTGAATACCACTCTTTGGAAAACATTGGACTCACTCGTCTGCAATAACGCACACATGATCTATAATCTTAAAATTCATGATCTGACAAATTTATAATGATATTCTAGGAGCTGGTGACTCAATGGACTTTTCATATTAGGTTTTCTGCATGAAGTTTAGGTGTTAGGGAATTCTACTGAATGAGGTATTTGTGGAACAGTGGCATTTCCAGAAGTCATCTGATTTTTTAGGGAATTTCCTAATGGAGCATTCTAGTCCCCAGGTTTTTTTTGAGAAATTATATCTTTTTGAAAGAGAAAGGACGTTGATGTCTGATGAATTCTACTTATTTGACCTTGGGCAAATTCGTTAACATTTTGCAGTCTCAGTTTCTTGTTTAGGATAAGAATGCCAACACCCACAAGGGGTCAAATGCAATGGTAAAACGTATAGAATCTATCATAATGCCTGACATATAATAGAAATTCAAACGTATACTTATTTTTTCAATTTTGAAATAAAAATATTTCTAGCAAAGCGCAAATCGACTTGACTTCTGCTTTTAAACAATCGCAATATCATAAAGAATGTGAAGTTGTTTTTGTGAGACTTTAGAAATGCATTATAGTGTTGTGGCTAGGATCATGGGCTCCAGTGTCTAAGCATGGTTTGAGACCTCACTTATTAGCTGAATGAACTTAGGCAGAGTCTTTAACTCCTATGTGGCTCAGTTTCTTTACTGTAAAATGAGTATATTAATGGTACCTACTTTTTGGTTGTAATGACCCAATGTATTTACAGTTCTAAACTAGCATTCGTTAGACATGTTTCTATGTGCATGTATTATATTTTTGTTATGAAGAGATATGGTGAATTTCAGGTGAATTGTGAAGTGTAATTCTAATTTAATTTAAATTTTTATTTGAACATGTATGGGATAATACAGATAAACTGTATTGCTTATTTTCAAATTCCACAAGGACATATATGCCAAATTAGGTTAACTTTGAACAATATATTCTGTTATGGACCAGGCATTGGGTTACCTGCTAGGGATCCCAAGATGAATAGAAACAGTTCTTTGAATGTGAAGCACTCACAATGCAATGGGAGCTCAGTGCAATGGGAAATCAATCAAATTATTATTATATGATACAATATTAATCATATAGAAGTGTGAACAAAATGCCTGAGAAGCATGACACTGGGCTAAAAAAATCCACAAATCTGTTTGAGGTTAATAATGAGATGGTATAGTCCTCATGTTGTATTTCTAGCACAAAGAAAATAATGCTTTAACTGTTTTTGGTTGAGTAATTCCTTCCCAATTCTTAAGGACCATTTAATGCTGGAAAATGAACAATGACTTACCTTTAAACAAATTATCCAGTTCTGTTTTGCATTGTACAGAGAAAGCAACATGTTTTAAGTACTATTCTCTTTCAGAACATAAAATTTATTCACAAAATGACAGTGAATTTACAATACTTCACAGTTCTTAACATTCAGAATGTTTCTCTTTTAAATCATGTTTAATTATTATTTTCAAAGTGGAAATATATTTTAATGTAGTAAATAGAAGAGGTGCATTGTAAAAAAAAAAAATGAAAAATCAGACATTGGATTGCATAACGGAGAAAGGGCAGTCTTCCCTTTCTAATGAATCCCTCCATTCCCTATGCAACTGAGAAGTAGTTTTAAAATTTGGTGTATGTCCTCCCAGAATTATGTTTATCTTTTGATCACAGAAGAGGGAAACAGGTTGGTCAAAATCCAGATATGTAGGAGTTGTAAAACATGCACAAGATTTGGAAGATTTAGTACCAGAAAAGAATATAAAATATCAAATTAATACTTTTTTATATCAATTGCATTTTTAAAAATAATATTTTGGTTATATTGCATTAAAATCACATATATTATTTGAAATAATTTTACCTGTTTCTTTTTACAGGTTTAACTGTAGGTACTAGATAATTTTAAATTATAAATGCAACTTGCATTATTGACTCACATTATATTCTATTATACTGGCCTAGAAAGTGAAGGAAGACTTATCAAAATGACTTCCCTTTCAGCTTACCTGAACATGAAGAAGAAAGTAACAAATGCCCCAAGCAAAAGTAGCAGAATGTGTAACTCTTTGGGGCAGGAGGAAGTTAGGTAATTTCAAATAATTAAAGGAATGGAGTATTCAGTGTGGCTAAGCTTCTGGAAGAGAAAGAAGTCCAGTAAGCTCCATCTGTCATGCATTGAAATAAATAGATGGAGAGATGGATTGATGGAGAGATGGACAGAGACAGATATAACATTGCTGCGTGGAAAATGGAGTATAGAAGTGGAGAAGAGCAGAAGTTGAAGTAGAAATACTGGTTAGTTAATTGCAGCAGTCTAAGTAAGAAAGAATAGTGTGTTGGATAATGAAAGTTATTGCAGTTTGAGAGGATTGAACAGATGTGAGATGTGTTTTGGAAATAGAATTAATAGTATTTATGATAGCTGTAGATGTCAAGGATGAAGAATATGGTGGAAGATCAATTGAGTGGAAGAGGTTCTGTTGACACTGAGTTGGAATAGATGGGAGAGATCTATAGCTCCACTTAGGAAATATTATATTTGAGATGCCTGTGGAACTTTCAAAGTGAGATATATCAAGTAGGCTTTTAGAATTATTACTTACGATATTTAACTCTTATTCATATACATGACTAACAGTATATCTGTTTGCACATGGTTATCCATGTCTATTGTTTAAAAAATCACACGACATTTTAGAAAGAATATCTATAAGCATAAAAGAAACAAGAGGAAACAATCCTCCCTTTGAAAAGAGACTTTTTTTCTTTTAATACACTGAATTATCCCTGGAGACAATTGGTCTCTATTGGAGATGAAAATGATCAACAAATGAAACAAATGCCAAGGGCATTTTCAAGATATCAACACGTTATGGTCAAACAGGGTGAATAAAATAAAATGTTTTCCCCGTTTATTGAGATAAAATAATTTGATTTTAGAAGCAAATTGACCAGAGTTTTAATCAGCAGAAATATGAAACCAGAAAATCAATAGATAAATGAGTTGTTAAAAGGCAAACCAGCTTTGAACACCAGAGTTAGAGAAAATAAAATTATGAAAATGACCAGCGGTAAAGAAAAAAGATACATTTTTAAAGGAAGATAGAATTATTAAAACAAGTTGATCTGACCTGACATATATATATATATATATATATAAAATAAATTTTCAACGTATATGATTTTCTCCAAGAAGGCAAAAAATAAGGACAAGTTCAAGGGAAAGAGTTCTACCCACATAATTAACTTGAGAAGGGAATTATAACCTGGAAGCATTACAAAGGAACTAATACTGTGAGAATGCAGACAAATTGGTGACCGAAAGGAGGTAAATGTACCCCCCCAAGCAAAACGTACTAGCAGGGACCATGGAGGTCTGTGTTGACGGTAGACAGGGAAGTAAGGTCACTGAATAAGCTTCCAGCGGGAGAGGAAGCTTTTTATAACCTTTTCATTATTGTTGAAAAATATATTTATTGAAAGACTATGTAGAAGTAATTTTTTTTTCTTAAGGAAATGAAAGAAGTGAGAAATCTTGGCCTTGAACAATGTTTAGGGTGCTTTTATAAGGAATTTCTGACTTAACTGACCTTTACTTGTTATATATTATTTTCAGTTCAGGGTGATAAGAGCGTTTTCAACTTTTTGTGTTTTTCAATTTTAATTCTTACTGCTCTGAGCTCTTTAGAATATTATTTATCTAGGGATAGATTGGTTATTTTTTGTGGTATGCGTGTTTCCTCACTAATTTCATATAACCTAATACATTATCTTTTAAGAAGCTTGGAAATCTTTGACCCTTGCCACCTCTTAAAAAAATCTTTCTTCGCCTTAAAGAAAATTTTGTCTTTTCTATGTTAAAAGTAGTTTGAAATACATATACATATATATATATATATGTATAGGGTGTGTGTGTGTTTGTATTTTGATCCAAATGCAAAACACATTTCAGTGTAGCCACATGTAACTTTATTCATAAATTTACTTATCCAATAATGATATTTTTATTATCCGCCATGTGCTACACACTGGAATGTTCTTTTTCTTTTTTAACAAAATTATATACATATCATTTCTGCTCATTAATAACATTAATGCAAGATCATAACTTAAAACCGTGTGTAAGTTTCATATGTGGATAAAAATATTGACTTCCTGATAGACTCGTCTATCAAGAACTGGTCCCTTGCCTATAACCAAATCTAAATAAATAAAGCCATTAAAAATTGACTATCCCAGACACTTCATACTCAACAACACTAAAATGTCAGCAAATTTTGAAATAAGATGATTAGCAATACACATTTATCTACTTACCTGTGGCTTTCAATAAGCAGAATAAACAAAAACCAGAATCTCTTGAGAATAGTAACCTTCCAGAAATCTGCTTTAATGACTCTAAAGGACTCAAGGCCTAGTTATCTAAATGCTGCCAAAATTGTTTGTATTTGATCAAGACTTACCTTTTCTTTAAAACCTTCCCTGCTCCTACTCAGGCAGAATAATTGCTTCTTCCTTTGGTCTCCACTGCTCCCAGTAGTCACTTCGTTTATTTCATTCCTCATACCATATTGCAATCACAAATTTATTTGGCCATTCCCCTGAGGTTCAGGATTATGAACTTTGACTTATTTATTTTTGTATCCTGTACCTTAGCACTGTTCTTGGCACAGAGTGGACATTTGTGGTTTGTGAAACCAATTTACTGTAGTTCTGTTAAAACAACATGCCTATGAATACTTATAGAGACACACTGTAGGAGTGTAAACTATCAATGAGAATGACAGAATTAAGACAAAACCATCCTATCAACTTATAAGACCAATTAAAAATGCTATTTATTTCTTGTATCAGGTATAGTGATAAGGGAGAACAATTTGGCTTCAAATATTAGAGCAGAATCTTGGGCCCAGATCTTGGGATGGAAATCTGCTTACTTCTGTTTCACCTGTCCTCTCTTCATCACCTTGTCCTTACACTTTTTGATGCTGCTTCTTTTGCAGTAAATGCTGATGTCTATAATTGAGGCCAGGATAAGGTCCATTGATATAACAACCCATTAGCTGAAAACAGCCATGCTGTCAGTTAGATCTATTGCAGGAGGTCAATTTATCCTGCAGTTACAAAGAAACAACAAAAAAAAGTTTTAATATTCAGTAATGACTGTAAGACCATTGATGTACAATCTTTTGCCTGCAGTTCACTTTAATATGCAAATAATCATTTTATTTCAATGGAATGGCTGTTTTAAAACTATAGTGAATTTATCATTTGTCTTCATACCTGCATGCATGCATAGATTTGCTAGAGGTGGTTATCTGTGTGATCACTGTTATCTTTAAAATGGAATTAGTATGCTGCAGATATCTTACTAACTGTAGATAGCCCTTCTAATCCCCACTAGCCACCATCCCCAATACAGATAACAGGAAAAAAAGAAAAGAGAGAGGGAGAGAGAGAGAACTTTACAAATATAATTAGATAATGTCATCCTGAAAAGAAAAAAAAAAAAACTGTAAAACAAAGCTATATAGAGCTGACTTCTGAAATGGTAGAATTCTAAATTGGCATTGCCCTAGAGCCAAAACTAACACTGTCAGATAAGGTAGAGGTTGTAGGAAAGCAAGACCAATATGTTTGTATGCCCCGGGAGAAGTCATCATTTCATATCTATGGCTATCACATGCAGATTGGAGATAGCTATTAATTGTGCCTTGCTATTAAGGCCATCAAAGTAAAACTGTGGAAAGACATACCTGTTGGTAATTCAAAGGGTACATTTATCACAATGTACTGTAGCTGTTGTAAATGGAGGATAGTTATTTTACTATTTAAGAGAAAATCTTGATAGATACTTTTTTATTATAATTTTCTTATAACTAGATAGATAGCATGTGACTTACTATTTAGTAAGTAAAATAAGGTATCTCATATCTCAAGAAGAAGTTTCAGGAATAAGAATTTTTTGAAGCAGTAGCCTTTTATTTGTATATTTATTTGAGACACAGTCTGGCTTTTTCACCCAGGCTGCAGTGCAGTGGCATGATTTATTTTTATTATTTATTATTTATTTATTTATTTATTTATTTATTTATTTATTTATTTTAGAGAGGGGCTCTGTCCATGTTGCTCAGGCTAGTCTTGAACTCCTGGCCTCAAAATCCTGGACTTGAACTCCTGGGCTCAAGTGATCCTCCCACCTTAGCCTCCCAAACTGCTGGTATTACAGGCATGAGCCACAGTGCCCAGCCAGCAGTAGCCTTTTAATATGCATAGCCCAGTGCTTTCAAGTTTGTGCAGGCAATTCCATGGGTAGTACAGTAGGTGTTAGAAAGCGGTTTCCCACCTCTTCTCCAATTTTCCTGTTATTTCTGCATCATTCCTGAATAAATATAGGAGTCATTAATTGTACATTTGAACTATTTATAGGATACCAATCTTACAAGAGTAAGCCTTATTTAAATTCAAAGCTAAATTTTCTTATACAAACTTTAATATTCAGCATATTTTTATTAGAACATCTTTCAAATGCATTTGCACATCACATTATAAAACGGTATTATATAATACAATATTATATAATATCCCTAACTGGGAATTTTCTAATTGGAAAAGAAAATAAAAACTTCTTTTTATAAAGCATGCCCCAAGGGACTAGCAGGTCTTTTAATACAAACAAGCCATTTCCAATTGCCTGTTAAACAACCCACTCTCATCAAAGTGGGGGTTTCCTTTCATCAAAGTTCTATCAAAGACCAAACTCTATATATTTGTATTCCAGAACATTGATAAGACCTAGATAAAGACAAACATTCAGCTTTCCCATTGGTGTCTCCTTAAAGGAAATAGAGGCCATGAGGATTTTTCTCAAATCTGGCCTCACTGCCTTTCCTCAAACAGATTATCTTTGTCTAAAACCTTTCTTCTCATAGCCTGGAAGAAAAGTCTCCCTTTAAATGCAAAGTCAAGGATAGAAGCTTGCAATTTCTTCTTTGAGGGTTGGAGGGGGTCTTCTTTAAGAAATGTAATGTAAATTAGTTACATTGTTTTGAAAGGGGCCCTTGGAGAAGGGAGCCATGAAGATTAAGCTTCATCGGTTCCGAGATAAATCTGCCTCTGTGAAAACCTCATGGTATCAGTATCAGCACTTTGTTTTCTTTATTGTCTATGAGTCTTCTAAAATTTTGGCCATACCCTCTTTCTCTATTGTCTATTTCCATATAGTATTTTATTCTGCTCACAATTCTACCACATAAATCAGAGAATTCCCCTCAAACCCATATATATCTTTGGCTACTTTCTATCTAATATGTTCGAAGTCAAGACCCCAGAAAGTGTTGTCTATATGCATTGTCTTTGTCTCCATAACTCTCACCTGTCTACTACAGTTTTTACTCTTTAATCTCAATGAAATGGCTCTTAACAAGGTTACTAATGATATTCTGTATTAAACCCAGTGGACATCTTCTAGTCATTATCTTTTGCAACATTTGATGTTGCTGACCATTTCTTCTCTTTGAAATCATTTGGATTCCCTAACACTATTATTTCCTGGTTTTGTCCCATCTGCCTGATCCTTCCTTATTATCTTTCATTGGCTACCCCTTTCTCTGCATCACCATTTAAATATTGATAGTATGGTATATTTCATCTTTGCCTTCTGTTATCACAATGCATCTCCTTTCTGTATAATTCATCCCTGCCCAAATCTATCTCTTAAATCCACATTTATTTCTGAATATCTGTGCCTTAGCTAACCTTTATGATTTGGTTAGTCACCTGCTTTCACCAAACTATCTGCCACCATTTAGCTAGGGATCCAGGCCCTTAGTCAAATCAGTTCCCTATGCTCACAATGTATCCTTTACCTGAAATGGTTTTCATCTGTTACCCTCTTCTTTATTCATTTTAGTCTTAGTAGTCTTTCCAGTATCATGTTACCTCCTCATAAAAGTACACTATGCCTTCCTAAATTGTAATGGCACACTTTTCCCCTCTCCCTTCTGCAGCATCCTGTACATTGTTACAACAATGATGAAATTATGACTGTTGACTCTCCTGCTTGTCCCTACATGAAAACCCCAGTCTCTACACTTTGATTATCTTATGGGAACAACATTTATCTTTCATCTCAATATTGCCAGTGCGTAGTACTGTAGCTTATCTGTATGTACTAAATAAACATTTGTTAAATTACTTCATTAAGCTTTGTCCAAATGAAATGCAATTGCCCAACTTTAACAAGTTGTTCTATATTGTTTTCCATGTTTTTTCCTTAGCCGTTAACTTAATAGAAGGAGGAACAAATAGATATTGCACATAATAATAATAGAGCAATGGAAGTAGGATCAATGTAGGAGAGAGGTAGGCAAAAGGGTACATTGCTTTTGAATAGCAGAGCACTCAAGATTCCAGCTGAATAGAATCCTACAAATACCCATTGTCTGGCACCCAATTTACCTAGGCTTCTTCATCCCACATTTTCTTATCCTGCTCTGGCTTATTAGTTACCCTAGTTTCCCAGGGTCTAAGCAGATAATTAAGCTAGATATTTATTTTGCATAATGCTAAATCATGAACCTGCAACTAGCAAAAATAAAATGTTTAATATGAAAAAGTCAGTATATTTTAGATAATGCATGACATGTATACTATGTGAGTTTCAATGACTTACTCATCTAAATAAACTTGAGGAAATGTGAGCCCTCAGTAAGCCACCACTTTTATTTTATTTTGAAGAACAAAACGGTCCTTTAAACTTTGTTTTCATAACTAAGATGAGAACTTCTGATCTCATCTTAATGCCTCCTAATATATAACATATGAGATATGTTATTTAACATTTTCACCAAGTTCTCTAAGGATATCCTGTAGTTACGATGGCATACTCCTTTATTTTCTATTTTTTTTCTAATTAACTTTTAACTTGTAATTTGACTTGCACAAAGGCTATGCTGTTATCAATCTACTAAAGTTCTAAAATCTGGGATTTAATAAACACCTATTTCTCAGATTTTGCCTCCTCTATACCATTGTAACTGACCTCTTAAACCCTTTTTCTTCAATTCATGTCCAAACCTGAGCTTTTCTCTGTGAAGCACAACTCTCATTTTCCTTTTATAAATTAAAAGTTTTTTCAAACTATGACATTGTTTGCAGTGTGAGTCTTCTCTTTTCCTTCCCTTAGCTTATTATCAATTTGATCAAAATATTAGAACATATAGAAAATAGCTCTGGGTTCTCGTTGGGAAATTCTGCCCATTATATATAAAACTTACCTTCTTTCTTTCTTTTTTTTTTTTTCTTTTTTTTTTTGAGACAGAGTCTCGCTCTGTTGCCCAGGCTGGAGTGCAGTAGCACCATCTCGGCTCACTGCAAGCTCCGCCTCCCAGGTTTACGCCATTCTCCTGCCTCAGCCTCCCGAGTAGCTGGGACTACAGGCGCCCACCACCACGCCCGGCTAATTTTTTTCTGTGTTTTTAGTAGAGACGGGGTTTCACCGTGTTAGCCAGGATGGTCTCGATCTCCTGACCTCGTGATCCGCCCGCCTCGGCCTCCCAAAGTGCTGGGATTATAGGCGTGAGCCACCGCGCCCGGCCAAAATTTACTGTCTAAGAAATTGTGTCATAAATGCTCTGTATTCTGATACTCACATGGATTCCAATTAAACTTCATTAGCAATCGAGTCACAAGCCTTTTTCTCTGTTCTTTGATTTGTATCACACAACAATTAATATTCGGTTGCTTTTTTAAACTCTCACACTTAACTCCAAAACATTTATACAACTTGGATGCTTTCTCTAGGGTTTTATGCAAACTTTGGGAATTTTATTAGAATCGTAGAACTTTCTGAAATGTACCCATCAAAAGTTATCACCTCTATTATGAATTCCTTAGAAATGGATCCCGGGAGAAAGCTTGGCATATAGCAAATCAGCCAGGAACAAGTTTAATAAAATCAATTTAATAAGTGGGGGAATAACACACAAAAGTTGTTTTGATAACTGCATGCCTCTGGTGCATTGAGTAATACAAAGCCAAATGCCAATTGTTTTCAGTACCTTAAAAAATATCTCAAATTAGAACTCAGGAAATGCCTAGTGACTTTTTTCTCAGACTAATTCTTACAATCTAGCAATCAAGATGACATAAGGTGTAAGGCATTGTGAGTGCTCCAGGACAAAGGTAGTCCCTCTTCCCCAAGAATATTACTTTTGATGTTTACGTAGAAAAGAAAAAAAAACAGTATCAGAAACTTAGTAATTGTGCTGAGGAATTTCATATCACTTTCTGCCCTATTTTCTAATTTCCTTTAATGAAAGTAATCCATATATAACACATTTATTTCATAAACATATAAATGTAATAAATAATCTTTATGACATATATGTCTATAATTTCACTAACCTCGAGAATTTTATTTATGGACTATGTTAGTCCATTTTGTGTCTTTATCAAGGAATACCTGAGACTGTATAATTTATCAAGAAAAAAGTTTAATTGGCTGACAGTTCTGCAGGCTGCACAGGAAGCATGGCACCAGCACCTGCTTAGCTTCTGATGAGGCCTCAGGAAGCTTTCGATCATGACAGAAGGTAACCGGGGAGCCTGCGAATCACATGGTGAGAGCAGGAGCAAGAGAGGCAGGCGGAGGTGCCAGGTTCTTTTTTTTTTTATTTTTTTATTTTCATATTTTATTTAACTGTAGCCATGCCACAATAATTTAGAGTTTTAAAGAACAAGTTTGATTGAAATCTAAACTTTGTACAATCCTGAATTGAGAAGTTTCCTGTATTTTATTATGACACAATCTTTACCTAAAAATAGAGTAATTATGAATTGAGAAAACATAGCTATTAATTTCATACTGTTAAGTAGATTTTGTCTGGAAAACTATTCATATTTAAAGGAGCTTTGTACCTTTGTATTCTTTTTGTTTTTCCTTGTTTATGTAATTTAATTTTATTTTATTTTATTATTATTATTTTTTATTATTATTATACTTTAAAGCCAGGTTCTTTTAAACAACCTTATCTCACATGAACTCATGACCACAGGGCGGGCACCAAGCCATTTATGAGAGGTTCACCCCATCAGTGAAAAGCCTCCCACCAGGCCCCACCTCAACATAGGGGACTGCATTTCAACATGAGATTTGGAGGGGATAGAACATCCAAACCATATTATGGTCTAAGGAGTCTTATTTTTCAACTGCTGATTTGTAATTGAACCAAGTTATCTTACTATTCATTTTATTTCTATTTCTTTTATTTATTTATTTATTTTCATTGTCTCTTACTGGAAGGAAAGGTTATCTTACTATTCAGTAACAGCGTGATAACTTACATAATTTATTTCTCTGGAAATACTTATTTTTTTCTGATGTGTCAGAGAATTAAAATATCTATGTTTTCCCTAATCATCCTTAATGGCAGCTATTTATTATATAAAAGCAATCAAATGGCATGATAATAGCATGTCTTTATATATTTATAATGTGTTTACTGACTGCTGAGTATATGTCACAATTAACTCAGGATTATTATAACACCACAAGGTGAGAACTATCAATTTTCCCATTTTAAATATGAAAATCCCTAAATACGACAATGTTGGATAAATTGGCTGAGAGTTCACAGTTTATTAATGGCAGAGCCAAGATTTAAACCCAGGCAGTTGGCTTCATTGTTTTCATTTGTAATTTTTTTTGCTGTTATCCTCCTCATCATTGTAATTCTTTTTTAGTTGTACTTCTCTCACACCATTGAGTTATAGATGTCAGATGGGTTCCAAGAGTTTAGTTAGGTTCGAGGTTCATCTTGCATCTTCTGAGTTCTGTTTCTTGTTGTTATTGTTGTTGTTGTTTATTCTCACAAGCATGGAGAAAAATAATTCTCTAATTTTTTAATCTGTAGAAATGATAGTAATATTATCCACTTCATAGGACTTTCATTAAGTTTAAATGACCTAATGTATTAAAAAGCACATAGCACAAGGTTAAGTACTTGATAAGCAAATCCAAATTGTTATGACATAAATCATTCTCTGGAGATACTTTCCATTGGGATGTGCTCGCCTATATCCTCTGATAGGGTCTATTCTGAAGTTATAGTTCCTGCTTTCTGGAATAGAAAAAAGTATGGAAGCATTTTCCATGTAAAAGAGAGGAAAAAGGCCATCTAGCTCCACATTTGGTAGTTAAGCAAACTGAGGTGATCAGACATGTGAAGTAACATCCTAGAATTCGTATCAATAATTTCCCTGTGTTTCTGTATTGCCTAATTTTTTCTTATTATACTTTAAATTCTGGAGTACATGTGCAGAATGTGCAGGTTTGTTACATTGGTATACACGTGCCACGTTGGTTTGCTGCACCCATCAACTCATCATCTGCATTAGGTATTTCTCCTAATGCTATCCCTCCCCTAGCCCCCTGACAGGCCCCGGTTGTGATGTTCCCCTCCCTGCGTCCATGTGTTCTCATTGTTCAACTCCAACTTATTGCCTAATTTTATTGTACTACAATATCCTAAAATTACTTCCACTAAGAAAGCATCATTCAACATATACAACGTATTCAACCATCTAATCAACAAATATAATTATACTATACAGGAATGTAGTAGGAAGAAGACCAGATTGGTGTTAGTTAAATTTGTATATATTCAATATATTTTAAAATTCTATTTCTGTAAACGATATCATTTTCCTTAGCCTCATGAGTCTTCACTCTTCGATCTATAAAGAGGTACAAAAGTCAGAAAAATTGGAATAACTTTTCAACTCCTTGTCCTATCTGGTTTTCTTGATATGAACTTGATTGTAACACTCTAAAAATAAAAACACTGGTATAATTCCATTCTCCAAGGAGCAGAAAGTGTTTCTTTTTTAAGTTCCCAAACTTTAATAATTTCTGAGCACTGAACAAGAGCAACAGTCAACAAGTCAGTGTAATATCTGATGTGTAAATGAGACTCATTTTATGTGAATAGTCTATCCTGTTCTACAATTCTAATAACTATGTATAATTCCCTAATGGCATTTAAACTAAACCATTTAAGATGTTCTTCACAAAATACATGAAAATTATGTACACACAATGATCATAATTAGGCAGTTTTAGGAAAGACATTTGTTTCCCATAGGACATTGCTAATAACTCTCCACCTGTGACCTAGAGTTATAATAATTTTTCCAAGGTCACAGAGGTTCCCTAAATGAAGTGGAACTGGAGACATATCACGTGTGGGATCTTCATATAATTAGGAAGAGAGAAAATACTGAGAGTGATGAGTATTTGCTTCGTAATGATCATTTACTAATATAAAGAGTGGGAACACTGTCTGGAGTTCTGAATAAAAAAAAGTAATAAATTTTGCTTTGCCTTATAAACTTTAAAGATATGTTTTAAAATTATTTTCATATTATGAAGGAAATCAAGTTTATTTCAAAAATATGGGCAAACAAAAGACAAAAAATAATTTTAAAAAATCACTTATAATTTCCCAATCTAAAACTAGCTATTGTTAATATTTTATGATTTTTTTTCAATGTTTGTTTCACTATACATATACAAATAGATTGGATCCTACTCTGGGAACTTTAGCCAATTTTTTGTCCAATATTTCTTTAAGCCCTTTGTTCCTTTCCATCAGTCTAATAGTTCTCAACCTGAGACAGTATCTCACCCTTCAGGGGTCATGCAAAATGATACAGCAACCATTGGCAGTGTTAAGAGGGAGTTACAATACTGCAAGTAAATTTGCCCTACCTCAATTCCTGGTAATTCCTTCTAGTTGCATGGAAATTGGATAGATCTTTAAGGAAAAGTCAGTGAAGTAGGGATGTAAGTCATATCCCAATCACCTGATGTTTTAGTTTACCTGCCTGGTAGAATAAGAGCTCAAAATCGAACTTAAGCTTAGATTAAGGTAATTTAAGTTTATTGCAATAAATAAGCTATAAATCTATACTTGAATTTTGGAAAAAGATTTATCCCTGCCACATCAATTGACCTTAATATATCTTTCTGTACTTTTTTTTTTTTTTACCTGTCTCCTGCTCTTCAGCTTCCTCTTCCCTCTCTGTCACGCCAAGGAAAATGCCATTATTTTTCACATTCTGTTTTCTGTATAGACATTTACACATTTTGTATACAGAAAGTCAGGTATGTGTCATTGTCAGTTTTGGGAAACAGTTATGAACTCCTGCTGGGAATATGTAATGGTTTTTAAAGTCAAATTAATAATCACCCCAAAAGGGTGAGGTGACCAACACAACGTAAGATAGATAAAGAATTAATTTAAAAGGGTGGAGATTGTTAGAAAAAAGAAGAATTGCACATGTCATCACATTAGTTCAGTTTTAACAATTGAAGCAAATCACTAAAGATAGTGGACATGAAGAGAGGAAAGAAACAAAAACCCAAGAATTAGTATTACCTTATAGTAAACCTTGTTTTAATCATCAGTTAGCTGACATGTTGATGAAGGCATTGTACATTCATGGGGCCCTTTAAATAGCATCTGAAGTGGACAGACTTGGAAGAATTAAATTGGAATCTGGAAGTATGGCCTGTGCATCAGTGTTTTGTTTTTAAACTCTGAATATGATTATAATATGCATCTAGGATGGAGAATTGTGGAGCAAGCATGTCTAAATGAGTGATCAGTTATAATCTTTCAAGGACAGAGACTCAGTTTTCAGGAGTTGAAGGCACAGGGACCAAGTTCCAAGACTAGATGCTTCTATAGGATAGACCAGTTTGAGCTGACAATCACTAGACCTCCAGGGAGCTTTAGAGGATATTAAAGACTGAAACAGTTTTTCCTCTAAGGAGAAATAGAGCCATGAAAGTTTCAAACCTGTGTGTAAGGGAGAATTATTACAACTCCTACAAGTTAAAGAGGTTTCAAGAAATATAGTACAATGGGCATTGAATAACTGTTATAATAGCAGTGATTACAAATAATAGGCTTATAATTTTAACATTTATTTTCAATTGCATTGTATTTTTGTTTAAGTTCCTTGACGGGAATTATCTTTAGAGGAGATTTGGTAGAGTTTATTTTCAGATAAGTAAATCAAAGTGCCACAGCTTCTAGACTGAGTGTCTGTTGAGCAGACCATGTGTTCTAATGGCATCATTTATCTCCATGCAGGTTTCTGATAGGCTGACAGCTGTGAATAGGACTAACACATCTGACCAGGAAAGGCAGAGGCTGAGTAATCATACTTCATTGTGGAGATAGCAAACCCTTAATAATGAAGGCCTGGTAGACATTTTATAAGCACACCTTGTACTAGGCTGCTTGCTCTAAGCAACTTGTTCTTATCAAAGAAAGAGATTTCAGAACAATTAAAATACTCAGTAGGCACAAACTACATAAGATTCACCTATTATATAACTTGGATGAAACAAACTCACAAAAAGAGTAAAGATGTATTATTTCCATCTCCCTTTGCTGTAAACAAATACCTGAGACTGGGTGATTTACAAAGAAAAGAGCTTAATTGGCTCATGGTTCCACAGGCAGTATAGGAAGCATGTCACCAGCGCCTGCTTCTGAGGAGGCCTCAGGGAGCTTTTACTCATGGCAGAAGTCAAAGTGGGAACAGACATCTGCATGGCAGGAGCAGGTTCCAGAGAGAGACAGAAGGTGCTAAATACTTTTAAACAACCAGATCTCATGAGCAGTCACTCACTATTCAGTACCAAGAAGAGATGGTGCTAAACCATGCATGAGGACTTCACCCCCATGACCCAGTTACCTCCCACAGGGTTCCCCCTCCAACATTGGGGGTTACAATTTGACATGAGATTTCAGTGGGGACACAAATCCAAATCATATCAGAAGATATTCCTCAAACTTAAAAATGTGCAATTCAGCCAGGAAGAATAAGCACTAATACTAACCACTATCCCAAAAGTTGTTTAAATGTTGATTGGAACTTGTATTTCCCAAAGTGGAATTCCCAGACATCTATTTTATTAGTATATTTTTACTTTGAAATTTCAAATTCATTAAGCTTATATATTATGAAGTCAATTTTAAAAAATAAAGCTATTTTAATTGATACAAAATGTGAAATCAGGTTGGTATTTGTATATAGTCTTATATTAGCTTTTAATGTATTTTTCTATTTGCTTTCCTTTGTCAACTATTGACAAAATTAATATACATGCAGATCAGTAGTAGCAAATGGAAACCCCAGTTTTATTATTGTTATTATTATTTCAGAATTCTACTTTACATATTTGTTTGTTTTTGTTTCTGTATTTTCAGGTCCCCCTCATCTTTTCCTAGAATTTGAGCTTTCTCTGAGCAGGGAATCTGGTTGCTTTTGGTTACTGCTGTAAACTGAGTGTCTAATAGCGTACCTGGTACATGAGAATGCTTAACACATGTCCATTGTATGAATCAATGAATAAACCATTTTTGTATTTGTAATTTTTTAATTTAAAATAGAATTCAGACACATAAAAGCTATTTCTTATAGGCATTTAAGTAATTTCTATGAATTATGTGTCTTTTCACTTGTTAGATTCTCAAGTTCCTGGTCATAACCACCATATTTGTAGCTTTCTCACTGGCAATGGTGTTTCTTGAAGTAGAACTGTATCAACCACAAAGAAGTGGGTAATGATATCCTGAGACTCTTAGCTGCTACCCAGGGACTACCAACCAGGGTGTGAATTTCATCTCTAAAGTTTACTGGTTCTGTGACACGTGCAGGATTGCATCATATTCAACTCTGTCTTTCTTCATTTAGTGATTTTGTGTGGTTATGAGAATTCTTGTTATGGTTAGTACCTGTCATGTGATAGACAATCCATTTTTATTTTTCACAATAATTCTTCCAGTAGCACTGTTTAATCTTTAAAACCCACATCTTCCTTTGATAAATATGATAATTCCCAGACTCCTCTAAAGTGGTTTAAAATTTCCTTCATGTCCTACTATTATAATAAGGTGATACCTGTAATAGGAAACTTCTATTTATTAAAGTGTTTGAAGACTACACAGTTCAATAACCCTTTGATGTTACTGCTCGATTTGCCCTTTATATATAGTGTTGTTACATTGATTTGTCCTGCAGAGTTTAGTCTCCTTGATAGCCTTTTCCCAGCAGATTTTAATTAGATGATGAACTTTCCACTTGTTCCTGGATCAGAGAAGAGAGCAGATATATAAAAACAACACAACAAATAAAAAATAGTAAGAACAATAGCAACAAATAATGATTGTGAGTGTTTAGTGCCAGGCACTGTGTCTGAAGCTTAACACGCATTATTTCAATTGACTCTCACAACAGTTCTATGAAGTAAGTGTTATTATTATTCCTTTTTAACAGAAAAAGGAACTAAAGTTTAGAGGTTAAATAAATTGCCCAAAGTCACAAGTAAATGGTAAAGCTAGGATTCTAACCCTTTTCTGCTTTTAAAATGTATCTATAACATCTTCTTTGTCCTTAAAAATGTAGAATGTTATTAGAATTTAGCTCTTAGAAGTATCTAGTGCAGCAAACATGTTTTATAGATGAGGGAAGTTAATGCAAATGTCTAGACGGATCTAAGACTGAGAACCTGTCTCCCGGCCTCCTGTTTAGAACTCTTTCCACTAGAGTGCAAATTTTCACCTCTCAAGCTGGTTTGGACTGTGTAGAGTGCTGAGTGGCTGGAAGTGTCACAGAGAAACCCAGCAGGGTGAGGATTGTTAATAGATTTTATTAATTCACCAAACATTTGTTAAGCACTTACTATGTGCCAGGAACCATGATGATGTGGTATGGAAACAAAGACTGATGACAGAATCATAGCTATAGAATGTAGTTTAGAAATTGGTGGCGTTAGTACTGTTACTATAAATTGTGTTCATTGGTTTGCATTAATTTATACATACAGATAGTCCACTTATCACAGTATAAATCATTTATATTTCTAGTTTTATTTGCTTTCTGTGGAAGTGTTCCTAAGTCTCTAAGCAACATAGGAAAAATGTTGCATACTCACTATTTAGTGAAGTTTAGTTTGGTGATGGCCTTTAGAAGATATTTGTGTGTGTGTGTGTGTGTGTATGTGTGTGTTGATGTCATAAGAGGTCAGTATCTTGCTTATAGACACATTTTCCATATAGAGGACTGTAATCATAACAATCAACAGATGATCTTTTTAAGCTCCCTTTCTCTGCATCACCGAAGCAGGAAGATATACATCTTTCCTGGAGAATATAAGTGGATGTGACTAGCCTGAGACAGATGTTAGGGGTAGGAGGTAATGTCTCTAACAGGCTCTATTCGAAACTGTTGGAAGCCTCCCAGTAACCCTATCTAGAATGTGAACAGTTTGTTCGGTGCTTGGAGTTCAGTTTATCTTTGGAAAAGGTGTTCTCCTACCCATGTACTTTGCATCAGGTTTAAAGACTCTGATTAGATGGTTCTGGCTATGATCTCCCTTCTCCTAACAGTTTCTGGATTTGGAAGATAAGGGGAAGCCGTTGCTTTAACTTTTTTAGCCTTATCCCTCTTCTCTTACCTGGTCTGATACAAAGTGTGGAGTTTTATTTGAAATCTTATAAAATTAAGACCCTGATAATATACCCAAATTATTCTTATTTTTGGTTCCATATCAGCCACTTGAAAATTGTCTGATACTGGGCAAAAATGTAGCCACTCTGGGCCTTGATTACCACATTCATAAAATTAAATAGTTAGACATAAAGAAGCTAAGGCAAAAAGAAAATTCATGATATTGATATAAAAAATCATAGAATTTAAAGATAAGATTTGGTTTTCTTTTTTTCTTAGAGGCGGTAATGCATAAGGCCTTAGTGCGATTTAAATCAGAAATATTCCATAGAATCCAAAGATATTTTTTCTTTTTTTTTTTTTGGTGGGGAGAATGCATAGGTCCTTAAAAATTTAAATCAGAAATATAAAGACCATCTGAATATTGTATCCATCTATCATTCGTATTTCCTGCTATTAGTGGACTTCACTTTCTTGTACACTGACATTATTTGCTTTTCTGGCCCACATAATAGAAAACGTGGCAGCCAATCACTTTTATGCTTATATCCTTCAGTTAAGATACCCAAAGTAAAACTAACTTTTCCCCCCAGTTTCTGCCCCATAATTCATTTCAGAAAAGGAGGTTGAGTCACCTTGAGTTAACTGAAGCCAGTTGATAGCAATTCCAACCGTAACCATGTCAATGATTAGGATGTGAGAGATTGGGGAAGTTCTCAGATGTATAGCTCTCATTAGACACAATAGGTGTCTACAAGAATGCCTTTATATCCTCTTATGAAAAAATGGTGTTATATCCCTTCTTATCTTTGGAACTAGGTGATCTTGATATAAAAATATTGATGGCAATACAATAAGGCTAATAACAACTTTATTTTGGGGGATTATATAATATCTTAGATACTGTTTTAACTACTATATGTGTAAGCTTCTTTATATATCGAAGCCACTTTATGAGGAAGGTATAATTTTTACCTTCCTTATAAATAAATATTAACAAATAACATAGTTTTAAAGTGACATTAATGAAACAGATTTCCTAAAAAAGAGTCTCAACTCTCAAAGTTTCCAGTTTTATTTTTAATCTATTCATATTACATTATAGTTTTTGCTATGAAGATGACCTGCAACTGTCAAAAATATATATGTAAAGTAGATGACCTAAGCCCAAATGTCTATTTTGCCACTCTTCAGTCAGGTGTCAGGCTCCAGATACTAATACCAAGCTGAAATGATCAGGGTTAAGCAGAAAGAGGTTGAGGATGTGCCTAATTGCCATCTATTATCAAAAGCTTTTATTTATCACTCATTTGTATTCAGTGCTGTACAGAATGAGCTATATAAATACAGCCTTTTATCTCTAAGATTCATGAAACAAAATAATACACATGTAGGAATACTTGAGTAAATAATATAAAATTTTCATTAATGTTACACTCTGGCCTTAAATAATTTCAAATATATTATTTGATATTTTTTAAACTGCTAGAATGTGGAAGAGAAAACATAGGCAGTATGTGTTTTCTACCCCAATTTAGTTTGAATATTGAGATTGATGATGCTACATATGCACCAAGAGGGCATGCACATTTTTAAAGAACAGTTAAAGTAACTATTTTAGGTGGGGAAAGATAAAGATGAGGGGACAGGAAAATGCATGTTTATTTTGTATTCACTATATGTCAGTTATTTGCATTACAATCTACTGACCTGCACAGCACTTCAGCAATTTTATAAATGAGAACTATTACACTTAGATTTTAAATAAATTACTTAAGTCATGTAATTGGTCAATGGGGAAGTAGTGTTCAAATTTAGGACTTCATGATCCCAATATCATGCTCTTTCTACCATCTTTCCTCCCTACTAGGGATGATAGTTTACAAATAATGTTTTTGTGTATATTTTTAAATGAAATGTGACTTTCTAACTTTTTATTATTTTAACATTCTGTGGGTTCCTCTTTTCTATTTTAACACATATGTGAACTAGGTTAGATTTATTTTCTCTATGTTTCAGATGAAGATGTTTGACCACACCAATATGTCTTGTGTAAGTGACAGAGCCAAGATTCAAACCTACGACTATCTCACTTCAAAATCCTTGTGATTTTCACTAATATCTTGTAACTTTTAATGTCTTTCCCCATGGGTAATCAAGAGTTGGTTCTTTAGTACTTCAGAAATATTTCTGCAGTAAAAGTCTAAATCAAATTTGTTCACAATGATTTAGGCAATAGTGTTTTCTCTAAATTGTAATTTTCTTTATTTGAGAATCTGAGTAAGAGGGAAATTGCCCTTATCCCATGAAAAGAATTTCTTTCCTCTTGTGAATTTTCAGCGTATAACTAGGTGTTGCGCGTTATAGCTTGCTCATGGCTGTCTGATGCACTCCATGGGTTAGCTCATTTAATTCATTCTCATAAGTGGATAACTTTATTGCCTTTATCGTTTTTGTTTCAGTGCTCTGAATTCCCGCTAATTTGTTGAGTTGTCCGATACAAGAGGATAAAGTGGAGTAAATTAATAATCTTCTCATAGAAGTCATTTGTCTTCCTATTTATCTTTCCTTATATGTGTGTACAATCGACTCTCAATTATTTGCACGGATGAAGAGGGAGCATTGTGCCATGGGTAATCCAAAAGTCATTTACAGAAGATTTACCTTCATGATTATCTTTTGTGTAGATGATATTCCCTACATACACTTCAACTGCACTCATGAGAGAAGGAAAGACCTATAAGTGTGTTCATTGTCAAAGAATAGGCAGGTTGTAGTGGATCTTTTTTTTTTTTTTCCTGTGAACAATCCATATGGAGAAAATAGAGAATTGAATGTATAAAGTCACTCTATAAAGATATGCGTTGTTCTGTTTGGGATACCATACAGAAAATCAGAATTTGGTTTAAACTGTCATTTCTAAACTCCCTTCTGTTTATAGATCTGCTGAGATTTAGACATGAATTAAAATCTGGAGATAAATATTTTAAAGCAGTTTCCAGAATGCTTTACTTATGGGATTGTGCAATCCTATGTTGTCAACCTATTTTGCCAGGTTTGTCTGGCATTGTTTTTTTTGGGGGGGAGGGGTGGTAATAAATCCAAACTATCTTTTAACATACACTTGCCTTTTAGTGCGGGCAGTCTCTCGTGTAGTCTTATTTTATGTTCCAGCCCACATTCTCTTGACTATTTTACTGTCCTGCGTTTATGGTGCCTTCCAATTTAGTGTCATTTTCGAATTGCATTTGCATGTTATTTATTCCATTTTGCATGTTAGTAATGAAGATACTAAAATTCGAGACCTAAATCAACCTTGGTGACAGCTCATTCCTCCCCCCAATTCTATCTGTTGCCATTTATCATTACCCCTTGTTTATAGCTCTTTAAATGGTTTTCCCACCATCTGAGAATAATCATCTTCAAGCCAATTTGAATTAATATTGTAAGACAGATTTTATGAAACACTGAATTACATACTTCATGAAAATCCAAATATTCTACTTTTACTGCATCCCTTTATCCATTAATTTTGTAATTCTATCAAAAAAAGCAATCAGGTTTGTTTGACATAATTTGATCTCCGTATATCCATACTGCTTATTTATTATTCATGGGCCTTTTCTTATCTTTTCTCCGTGTACCTAAGTTTATCTTAATGGCTTCTATTAGTGAGAACATATATGATACTAGGTTACTTATGAATCATAGCAGAGTTAGCTTCCTTCATTTGTTCATCAGTAGATGCTGAACACCTATTGTATTCATTTATAATGTAAATCTTCATGGGACAAGTATATACACTTAAGGCTGATTGACACATGGTTGGTCAGGACCAGAGAAGGAAATTTCTGATTTGTGTTCTTGTCGTTTTACCTACTATATGACAGTAATTCCAATATGCATTTATAAATGCATGCATGCATGTAATGTTTAATTAAATATTTTCATTTCCTTGCTGAGTTATTACTTTTACCTGGGACACTGCTTCACATGCTTTTTCCTAACCCTTTAGGGACATCAAAATTGTTCATAAAACTTTAAAAATCTCTGTCAAAAATATTTTTCCCTTCAGGTTTTTAAGACTGAGTGTCATACGAATCCACTTGTAGAAAATAGGTATTCTTATAGGAAGTCAGAAGTGCTTTGAAAAACTGTAGCTATTTTCTTTCATAATGATAGTCTTTAATTTAAAAAAGCCCTGTTCTAATACCCACATATGCCATTTTACTGTGCCAAAGTATGCAAATGCCCTTATAAAACATTATTTTATAGTCATCTTTATTTCCCAATTTCTTTGCTCAGAATCTGCATTTATTACTTTAATTTTAACATCATTTGAACAATATTGCTATGTTTAACAAGCAAATAAAAATCTCCTTGAATTTTCTCCTTGTTTCTTAAAAATTAAACACAATATATTTTAAAGGAAGTGTTTATACATATGTGACCATATAAATATTTAACAATTTATACTTAAATGAAATAATTTCTATATATGTAATCTACGTCTAAAGCTGGACATAGTAAACACTGTTTTTCTACATAAATGTAAATATTCTCCTTACATGATAAAATTCTCTTTCAAGAGATAGTGGGACTCACAATGGTTCATGCAGAAGAGTGTCACTAACTGAAAAATTATTTCATAAATATGAAAGATCACCTGGCTTTTTATATTCTAAGTATTCATCCTTTAGTATTATAATTGTTCCGTGGAAACTTTGCTAGACAATAATACAGCCAATTCTTGGCTATCAGTTAAGTCTCATAAGCAAATGACAAAATATCTTTGTAAGTCTAACAAAGGCTGAAGTTTGCTAGGTGAAGTGCTTTATAATTGTCTGATGTTTGCTGCCTGTAAAAATTAATGTTACATATAAAAAACCCAGAACTGACAGCCCTTTAAGTACCTACATATT
Organism: Homo sapiens; assembly: GCF_000001405.40. Taxonomy (NCBI): domain Eukaryota; kingdom Metazoa; phylum Chordata; class Mammalia; order Primates; family Hominidae; genus Homo; species Homo sapiens. Next base: position 212,081,799 of record NC_000002.12, on the reverse strand, counting down.
CTTAACTTTCCCTGGAAATGTAATGTTGTATTCTGCTTCAAGAACACAAAGGGGGCAAATGTTTATGGAATCAGCTACAGTCGGTGCCCATTTGACAAGCATTACCCTAAATACTACATCTTGTTGTGTTAGAAACAGGAGAATGAAGCTTAAGAAATGTGGCTTTTGGAAGAACCTATTCATAAGCACTTGCATCTTTTTAATCAGTAAATGTATTTAGACTCAAGCACAGGAAAAGCTCTCATTGACATATATAACATTAGCACCACTCAGAAGGCAAAAAGAGCATTGTGATTTTGCTAGATCTATTGTGATTGGTACCCTTGATTTAGTGTGATGGCATTACATGATTAGTACCGCACTGTCATCCAGGAAAGGCAATTTCAGTTTTACTTGTTTCCTTGTTTGTTTTTTAATGTCTTGACAGGTTTATACTGTCTCCTTTTTGTATGTCATATAAACATTGCAGAAGATTCTAGAACATTCTAGAAGAGGATTACAAAGCAAGATGCTTAATTTCATTTCATCTCTTACAATCTCCATGCTGACTGCAGTTTGGTTGATCACTGGGACACCACACACCTACCTCCCTCACCACCCGTCTTTTTATTTGCTTCAGCAATGGATTTATAGAAAATGCCTTTGCTTAATTAACATAACCGTCTGCAGCTCTTTGAAACTCCTGATCTGTGAGCCATGAATGTCAGAAATATTTTATAACTTTGTGTGAGGGCTTCTGTGCTATTGACAGAAAAAATAAAGTGAGCATAGACATATAATGTCTAACGCTCATGTTAGACTGAAGGTTGACAGCGTGCTCTCTATGAAGAATGTTCCAAATAATATTTTTAGAACACCTTTAAGTGACCTATCAAATGATCATGAAGCATCCAGAAATAATATTCGATTTATGAGGTTGCTTCAAAACATGCTGGATGAGATGTTTTCCATATGGCACAATTCACCTTTTTGTCATTTCAGATGTAATGGGGAAGGAATCAGTGGAAAGGCTATGAATAGTTTCACAAATTAAAAAGAAATGTTGAAAGCAATTTCTAAAAAGCTTGAAATGTAATCTTCCAGATAAATTTTGAATATAAAGAGGTTTTTTTTTTTTTTTTTTACTATTTATACCATAAAATGAGATAAAACTTTGTCGCAAAATCATCTGCTAAATTGTGACATATGGAGGGTTGCCAATATATCTCCAATTGGGTGAACTCTGAGGCTATGGTCTTTAAAAACCAAAACATGTAAATCAACATAAAAATTGTGGTCTTCACTAGAAACACATTCGTAATGGATGGTAAGCATGAGACTGAATAACCATTATTTTTTAAAAAAATGGTTATATACCTTAGCCTTAAAGATTTATTAATTCTCCCCCTCAACTGTATCATTTTTTCTTGCCTATTCTGTTTAAATTGAGACATACTAGATTTGGGTTAATTTTAATTTTAATTTTTATTTTTATTCTTATTTTTTTTTGAGACGGAGTCTGGCTCTGTTGTCAGGCTGGAGTGCAGTGGCACAATCCCGGCTCACTGCAACCTCCGCTTCCCGGGTTCAAACGGATTTTCCTGCCTCAGCTTCCTGAGTAGCTGAGATTACAGGCACGCACCACCACACCCTGCTAATTTTTGTATTTTTAGTAGAGACGGGGTTTCACCATGTTGGCCAGGTTGGTCTCGATCTCTTGACCTTGTGATCCACCAAAGTGCTGGGATTACAGGTGTGAGCCATCACACCCAGCTGATTTCTGTTAATTTTTTTTTATGTGAGGAGCTCCTTCCTTTTATGATTAATGAACTGAATAGAAAGTGATTATAGCTTTCTAAATCTGTAAGATTTAGAACAACAGTTAATGAAAAGTCTACTATATAATCCTAAGATTAATATATATTGGGTTGTAATTAGCTTCATCCATTTATATCTATCTATCTATCTGAATAAAATAGATTTTGCACTATCAAAGAAAGAAGAAACAGGAAATCTGAACACCATTATGAAAGGGTAGCAAAGTGTTATGTTCATGTGTGTATGCCTGTTGCTGTCATTTACATACTTTTTAAAAAGATACTTGGCAGGCACCTTTTTACAAAAGGTAAAAGGAAGCATCTATGCCTAACTGGAAGCATCTATGATGATATTTATTTGGTTTGTGATTAATAGTACCATCTAAATTTGTTCATGATCTCCTTATATTAAGTTATTGAAATGGTTATTTCAATAACCCTTATATTAAGTTATTGAAATGGTTATTAAAAGGTTATGGGAGTAGTTATATCAAGAAATAAAATAAGGAGTTAGTCATTCAGCAAATTCTATACAACACAGACCTCAATTGTTGAAAGCATGAATACCTCCAGTTACTTTCTTAGGAACTCAACCAACAGTTTTGGTAGGATATATATTTGTTCTTTTGTTTTAGCTATCGTGAATTCATTGGGTTTGCTAATTGTATTAATGAAGCAATAGGATTTCTTTAAAAAATAGAGCGATTAAGAATGAAAATAATAACAGTTATTGCTGGCAAGCATAAGGGGAATAAAATAGATATAATTATTGGGGGGTGAAATTTGGCAATTGCTCTTAAAAATGGGATCTTTACATTCTTTGACCTAATATTTCCAGCTCCAGAAAATTATGTGTATATCTGATACATATATATAAAAATTTTTATTTTATTATTATATCTAACATCAAAAAAGAGAATACAATGGATTATCAATAATAGGTAAGTGAATTATGCTTTATGGATAATATAAAAATGAAATAGAAAAAAGGAATGAAGTAAATCTATAAATACTAACGTGGATAGGTAACTGTACATTAAGTGAAAAAATAAGTTATTAAAAAGTATGTATATTATGACTCCATTTATATAAAATTAAGACTAATAATATTAGCATTAATATTATACTAAAAATATCAGTATAAAATGGTAACTAGTAATAATTAGTGTTATAAACTATTAGTAATTAATAGTATTAATTACTTTTCATATTAGTGATTGTTTTAATTATATTAATATTAATAGTTGTGTTTGTAAACAAAAACTACAATTAGAATAATAGTCTCTTAACTGCAAATGGTGGATGTCTTTGGAAATAGAGATCTTAGTGAACTTTACATTCCAAATTTTGATTGAAATATGTACAATGAGCCCATAGTACCATTTAAATATTAGAAAAATACAACACCACAAAATTAATTACATATATGTATATGTGTTTGTGTGTATTCACATGCTTGCTGACCTTCCTTCCTTGCAAAGATAATTTTTATTTCAATACATTTATATTTTATTACCACTGTTATAATTAATCTAGTGTAAAATATGCATTTAAGCTTATTTTTGTTCAATAATAGGATATTATCTACGCTGTTTCATTTAACTTCTTTATAGCTGTCCGTATTTTGAAAGATAGTGCACAACAACAAAATCTGATCGGGACTAGAGGTATAGTTTACGTAAAGTCTCTGAAACTAAAAGAAACTAAAAGTGAAACCCCAAAAAAAGTTTCTTAAACAAAAATGAAACTAAAACATTAAAACTAAAAGCAAGGTTAAAGTGAAGTTGCTGGGACAAATAAAAATTAAATTTAGTTCATCAAAATGAGGTGACCTAAGTCTATATCTGTGATGAAAATTATAGTATAATTGCAATAAATTTGCAAATAAGTAACATTAAATAATTGATAATACTATTTGCCTGTAATATGATTTTGTCTAATTACCAAGAGAATCTCTAACTTCCTTTGGAATTACTTTCTTTCCTTCTTGATGGATCATTTCTTATATTAGCCTTAGTCAAGAATGTGGTGATTGAATTATTGCCAATATAATTTTATTATTTGGTAATTGCTGAATGCCACCAGAATAATAGGCTTTGTTCTAAGACAGAAAAGATACCCAGCACTTTAAAATTTTCAGAAACAAGTATGGAAATTGTGGAAAGATGAGAATTTTCATGGAGAAGGCAGGTCTAAAGTATTGCTTTTCATTTTTAAAAATAACTGAAATATAAGAAACACAGAAATGTGCAATAAGCATAAATGTTAAATTCATCAATTATCACAAAGTATATAATTAACTTAAGGAATTTAACACCAGCTTCTCTTAAGTCCCCTGCTTGCCTTTGCCCATCCCTGTCCTCCTTCCTCCCAAAGGTGACAACTACCCTGCCTTCTAACACTGTAGTTTAACTTTACCTGTGGTTTACATCTATATAAATTGGATCTAATAATATGTATTCTTTTGTGTCTTCCTTCTTTTGCTCAAAACTATTAGTCACTGTCATTCATGTTGTTTCATGTTACCTGGGTTCACTGATTTTTAGTTCCTTATACTATTCCATTACACACACACAAACACAAACAAATATATCATAATTTATTTATCATTTCTACTGTTGATGAGCATCTGAACTGTTTTCAGATTTTGTCTAACATGACTAACACTGCCATAATTATTTTTGTATATATCTTACGGTGTATAAGTCTTGTAAGATATGTATCTATGAACTGAATCACTGGGTCATCGAATATACGTAAGTTAAACTTTAGTAGATAATGATAATTTTGCCCCCCACAGTTGTGTTATTAATACGTATGTACCATAACAAGTCTTCCCATTGTCCCATATCTTTGCTAACTTGGTTTTATATATAATTTTAGTTTTACATAGTATAGTAGGTGTGTTGTGGTATTCCATTTTGGTTTTACTTTTTTCTGATGTATAATTAGGTTGTATACGTTTTTATACATTTAATAATTGTTTAGCTATCCTATTTTTTGACATGTTCATTCAAATCTCTTGCACAGTTTTCTACTGGATGTCTTTTCTTCCCTTATTAAACAATAGAACTAATGTAAATACTTTGACTACCAGCCCTTCATAGGTTACATAAATTACAAATATATGTACCCTTTCGGTGGCTTGCATTTTTACTCTCTTAAGCTGTCTTTTGATGGACGAATATTTTGAAAATGTGGTGTTAACCTTATATCTTATAAACAAACTCTTTTCCCGTAAGCCATTCTTCAAGCAGTTTTGTGTCGGTGGCTTTTTAACATAGGGGACCCTTTTTCTAAGAATAGCCTGACTCTTGACCTCACTCCTTTCTCTTACCCTGCCAACTGTGAACTAGCATACCTCTTGCAAAGAATGTGGTTTCTTTCTATATTGCACTTCCTTTTTAAAACTTATATATTTCAACTAGATCACTTACCACATTATATTCTAGTTGTTTGTTTACTTTTCTCTCTCTCTCATTAAACCACAAAGTAAGTTGTCAGGAAGAAAACCTATTTTATTTATTTTCTGATGTGTAGCCTCGTTTAGTTATTGCTTAAAATAGGCACTTAATGAATACTGTTGGATTGAATTGAATTGATTTGATATCCTTTATGATATGGTAAAGTCAAATAGATTAAAACATCTGTCTTATTCAATATTTATCTCTCTCATGATCTAACACTTTACTCTTTACATGGAAGATAATTGTCAAATAAATAACAAATTGTCTAAAAAGTTGAAGTAATTAAAGTCCGAAATATAGAATATTTTAAAATAATGTTTTGTTAATTCCAAATGTGAACTATGATTTGAATTAGGTTAATACAGTCCCTCAGAAATATCTCCAAAAGTGTTTAAATTAAATTACATAATAGATTCATCATAACAAACCAATTGAGGTGTCTATAAAATATTTTCATTCTTTTGGTGTCTGCTTCTTAGCAGTTTAGTTATTCATTCTAAATTCTGATTTTACTTAAATATCTTAATAGGCAGAATAAAATTAAAATTCTCTAGTTAAAATTACAAAAAAGTAAGACATATTCCAACTACTGGATTTCAAGCTGATGAGGTATTATCATAAATGTAGCAATAGAAGAAATAAAAAATGTTGGAAACTTTAGTTTCTAGTCATAAGAGAATTATTTGTGCTTCTTCCCATATTCAAGTGAAGAGAACTTTTCATATGTAATGTTGGCTGTAAAATTCAAAAATAAATGAGATTACATTGAAAATACCTTCTTAGTAAGTTATATGGGAGCCACATCACTATTCTGCCCTTCAATTCAGCTAACAGGTATGAATATTATATAAAACCAACCAATGTTATGTGTTTCTCTACATTCAAGAAATTTATAAACCATATAATTATTTAAGAAATAGAGAACTAAAGTTTTTCTTTTTGAAATTCATACTATGTAAGATTTCTTTGATAATTTCTCTGACCCACTGGCTCTGAGATAAACCACCTACAATGAGATATACTACCCACAAAGATGAAGGCTAATATGCAGTTTACTTCAGGTGACCCAGCCATTCCGAGAAATGCTGAAGACTAATGAAAATGCCTGACATATAATTAATTCAATGATTGTATAATTTTATTCCCTTTTTCATCCAAGCTGTATTGTACCATTACATTGCATGTATTAAATATTAAATATTATATTCCAATGTCCCAAGACAATTATTTCATGTAAAATTCCTGAATATCCTATACCAATTAAAACTTTCTTACACAATAAATATAGCTTGTCTTGTGTATGAGAATTGGATTAACTAAAGCCATTAATTAGTATTTCTTTTAAAAAAAATCCCATGGAAGAATTTTCTAGAGTATAACACTTTTATATTTTTTAAGTGCTTTAATTTTAAGAAAACTTTCTTAAATTGTTTTATGCTCAGTTTCATCATGGCTGAGAAGAGAATAGATGTGTTATCATGAAAAGAGCCCTATAATTTAAACTAATACTTGGGTTTGATTCTTAGTTCTACAATTTAGCTAGGAACTTGAACAAATTAATACTGTCCTAAGATGTGATGGATTGCTTCAAGAAATTGCCAGGACCTCTACGACCAGCAAATTTTAAACAAGGTATAAAATATTGTTTGGTTAGAGGAAAGGAGACTAAGGCACTGGGCAGATGGTTGCGCTAGGACAAGAATTCCCAAACTTGATAGCGTTTTACAATGACCTACTAGCTGTTTAAAATATAAATTCCTGGAACCCTCCCAGAACGACTGTTTCAGTGTCTAGTTGTAAGAAAATATGTCCTTAGAATCATAGCACCAACTGGATCCTTAAATATCCCTTCCAAATCTAATGCTCTGTGATACTGTAAGTATTAATCATCCTATAAAATGGAGATAACCATTGTCTCCCCAGGTTGCTGGCAACATTCACTAAGATGATATTCATCAAAATACCTGCCAACCTGTTGAATGTCCTGTAGAAGTATTATATTTTTTAAAATAGTATTTGGTTAAATAATAACCAAAACCTCTTCAATTGATTTTTGGGGCATTATGATCTTCTATTAAATACGTTAAATAAATATGGGATTAACCTGAGAATTACCCTTAATGATGTGCTATGATTTATTCTTTCATGAGTTATAATCCGCAATCCTCAAGTTAGTTCTTACTCATACGTGCATCTTTATTTTATGTTTAGTGATTCCTGAAAGGAATAACTTAAGCATCTTATTTTGACACATTATTTATAGTATTAGTTGTCTGGATACAATTGGCATTTGCCACCCATCATTTTTATTGTTTCTAGGGAGTGCAACTTCCATCTTTTTGCATTTTTACAGAGTTCTTATTGGCTACAGCTAAAAGCTTGAATAGACAAACCAAGGAGCCAAGCTAAGTTTTGGCAGAATTTTTGCCTACACTATTTGACTCATGCTTCACCTTCAGTAGAATGTACATAGGCCAATGGACAAGTCCATGTGTGCTTTCTTGGCTGGATCAGCATTTGCGTGTAATCCTTTGCTCACAAGTTGAGAATGTGAGGAATACTTTCTCGATCATTTTCAGTGTCCAGGGCATCATTTCAGTTGCATGTTTTTCTGCTGCCCTAGACTATAACTTACCTTGTCAAAGTAATGTGTTAAACATATTTTCACATAACTGGCTTAAAAATATTTCTAGACATTGATAAATCTTGTTGAATGTAAAAAAATAATCATGCTTTGATTGTGTAAGTATAGCCTCCATCTTTTCTGATTTACTTGTTCAAGTCTGATGGATAAATTACATATATTGTTTGTCTCTCACTGAACCTGCCTCCCGCCCAGATCCACTCATCACTCTTCTTCACCCTGCTCTGTGCACCAAGAAATTTTCCTGTGTGCACTGCATCAAGAAGACTCCTGGTTTTCTGACTTTCAGTTGTATTTAGCCAATGGGAGACACTATCAGGTGAATGAGAACTAGTGTTTATCCTCTGACTCACTCCCTGCAGGGTGACTAGCTACCTGGGCTGCTTTTGTTTTATATATTGTTCTGGCCACAATGGTGTGTGAATATTGTATATATACAGCCTCATAGAATCCCTGTCAAGACCCTTATTAAATATACAATTAACTTTCACCAATGGATTAATTAGTCTCATAACTTCACTTTCTGCCTCCATTCTAGCTATGTCTTCCTTGTATAGTAATTGGGAAATTTTAAATGCAAACCTATCATCCTCCTCTACCCATGACACAAATGCATCTTTAAATCCTGAAGTGACCTCCAGTTATTCTCAAGATAAAGATGAGTATCTTTCATATAGACTTGAACGTGATCTACAATTTCTTCTGCAGCTTGGCTCCAGCTTTCCTTTCTAGCTTTTCTAATACTGATGTCCCACATTTTCAGTGTTCTCTCTTCCTTCCTTCCTTCCACCTCCAGGCCTCCATACTGGTTCTCTGCCTGCTTGGAAAATTTCCCATTTTCCTACTTTTGTCTAATCAATTTCTACTTAATTGTAAGCTCAGTTCAGGCACTGTTTTCTCAAGCAAGCTTTTCTCAAGCCTCAGTCCAGTTGTTGTTGTTGTTGTTGTTGTTTGATGTGTGCTTTCATGAAACAATATTTCTTTGTTTCTTAGCATTAATCTCAACTTCCAGATACTCACTCATTTGCATAATTATCTGATTAAATCCCATTTCTCCTAATAATCTCAAGCTCCATGAAACAGGGGCTTACTTTTTCCTCATCTGTGTATCTCCAATACCTAGCCAAGGCTGAGCATATAGTAGCCACTGACTAAATATCTATTGATTTAAATGGCTAAGTGAATGAATAAGGACTAAAACTGAGTATCAGTGGGAGTTCATTAAAAGCTCTACAGTTTATTGTAATGAGATTTGACGAGTAGATCGAAAACAGTTCTCCAATATTCTAATAATGTGAGTGAATTCTTACTGCCCAGCCCTCTTTCTTGCTTTGGCAAGTATACATCTTTCTCCAGGGAATTCATCCCAGAGCTGTCCCCTCTGTCTTTTTTATACTTGAAAGTTCTATTTTATGCTGTAACAGGTGGAGCTGTCAGAGAGAGGGATCATGTTGTGGATGCAGAGAGATTAAATTTTAAGGATTTGTGAATTTAGACATTCGAATACGGAAAACTATCATCATTCTACGCTACTACCTGTCACTCACCCTGCTACCATGATATCTAAAGTAGGATGAGTTGGACTGTTTCAATGAATTAGCTGAAGATTTGCCTAAGATTTGTCTAATCAATTATAAAACTAGAAATAGTTCCATCCTCTTAATCCCAGGTGAGGATGACTTATCCATCAAGTTTAGTAGAGTTAGACTAGAGTTGTAACTTCTGTACTCAACCATTCACTGTCCCTTGACCTGAATACACACATTTGGAAATTACTGCCTAGAAAAATACTATGGACAAAGCAACATTTGGAGCAGGAATAATTAAAATATAGCCTTGCTTTTTGCTACCTGTACGACTATGGAAGTGTATTTCATTTCCCTGAGCCTCAGTTTCTTCTTCTGTACAATTCAAATACCAATACATACCTCATGATGTGTTGAGAGGATTAAACACAACAATTGATAAAAAGCAACTGTCAAGACTGGCACATAGTAAGACTGCAGTAGACATCTATTGTCTTTATTAACAGACTCCAATCAAGTGAAATTACTTGCCTAGACTAGAGAAGTAGATGTATCTTTCCAGCTATGAATCACATTACTGGGAAAGAATATTTAGCCAATGTAGACAATTACTTCAAATGTTGTATGTTTCATCGTAATAGCTTTATAACAACTGCAAACTGCTGTCATGACAAAAACCAAAAAGACAAATGAGATACTTTGTACATCTGTTGTTAAAGTATTCTTTCTCGTGAATAAATATTTTGATTGAACATTATGTAAAACTACACGCTTTAATGCAGTAGTTTATAGCTTTTAATGATTTCAATGGTGATAGAAGATTATTGTCTTTTGTACTCAAAAAGTACATTCATGAACTTGCTACCACCTGATTATTCAAATATTCTTGAAAAACCTTAGGCTGCATTACCCTGTAAATGTATTATGTCTTTGATTAGTGTCTGTGGCCACCTCCTTTAGAATCTGCCTCTGTTTATTGCTCTTTGCATATAGTGTCCCAGAAATCAATGAATATTGATTTAAACTGTGTTTCTGAGTGGGTTTTTTTTTTTTCATTTCTTCTGTCTGCTTTAATTTGTTTATGCACATAAAACAGTCAGCTTTAACTTAGAAATATAGGTATGGACCAGATCAGATAGATGTTTGTTAAAAATATTTTTATATCAAGTGCTTTATATCTGCCAATAGATGGTCAACATGATAGTCAAAGTTACAGATTCCCAAAGAAAGTATATCTAGTGAGTATTATTTTGTAACACCCCCCTCTTCAATGCAGTGCAGAGACATTGAGGGAAGTGACTTGTTCAAGAGTGCAGTTTCTTAATGCCAGAGTCAAATTACGATACTGAATTGTTGTTGTTACTTTGTCTATCATTTAATCAAAGCCAGAAATAAATATAATTTTGAAAACAAAATTTTAAAACATAATAAGAATGAAAATAATGTGTTCCCGTTAGAGAAAACGGGGACATTTCAGATATGCTTACATTAAAAAAAGAAGTGTGAAATGGCAATCTGATTCTTAAATTTGAAAAAGGAAATTCAAATTCAATTTTAAAACTAAATGTATTTAAAGAAAGAAACCAAAGCTTCACCCAAAGTCATGAAGATCTACTTTCCTTTTTTCTGTGTTTTATAGTTTGAGCTTTTATATTTATGTCTTTGATCCACTTGGAGTTAATTTTCTGTGTATGGTGTAAGACAGAGATCCAAACTAATTCTTTTGTGTGTACATTACAGTTATCCCCATACTATTTGTTGGAAGAACTAGTTTTTCTCCATTGAACAGTCTTGATTCCCTGGCCAAAAGTCAATTGACCAAATATCAATTATGGGTTTATTTTTGAACTCTTAAATCTATTCAATTGATTTATATGTGTATTATCTTATGACACTACCACATTGTCTTAATTATCACAAGCTGTGAAACCAGAAAGTATGAATCCTCCAAATTGTTCTTTATAAAGACTGTTTTGACTATTCTGTATTTCTTGAATTTCAGTGTGAATTTTAACATCAGCTTGTCAATTTCTGCTAGAAAGCCATCGGAGATTTTTATAAGGATTGCATTGAGAGTGTAGATCAATTTAAGAAGTATTGATACTTTAAAAAACATATGCCTTTAATTTGGGAAAATAAGATATCTTTTCATTTACTTAGATCTTTAATTTCTTTCAATAATATATAGTAAGTTTTTAATGCAGAAGTCTTGTACTTTTTAAAAAATTATTTTCATTTTTTCTTTAAGAGACAAGGTCTTACTCTGTCAGCCAGGCTAGAGTACAGTGGTACAGTCGTAGCTCACTGCAACCTTGAACTGATGGGCTCAGCAACTCCTCCCACCTCAGCTTCCCAAGTAGCTAGACTACAGACACATGCCACTGTGCTTGGCTTTTTTCTTTTTTCTTTTTTTTAAGACATGGTTCTTACTATGTTGCCCAGGCTGGTCTCAAGTTTCCAGCCTCAAGTGATCCTCTCACCTCAGCCTCCCAAAGTGCTGGAATAATAGACAGGAGCCACCGTACCCAGCCTTAAGTAATTCTTTTGATGCTAGTGTAAATCGAATTGTTTTCTTAATTTTATTTTTGGAATTTCATTGCTTGTATAAAGAAATACAGTTTATTTGTTATATTGTCTTATGTTCTGCAATCTTGCTGAACTTGTGCTAATTCTAATAGTTTTTTTGTGTATTTCGTAAAATGTTTATATAAGATCATTTCATCTACAGATAGAGAAACTTTTCTTCTTCATTCCAATCTGAATGTTTAAACCGAACACCTTTTAAAAATAAACTTAATGGCTCTAATTAGAACCTCCAGTACAATATTTAATAGAAGCAGAAGGAGTAAACGTATTTGCCTTGTTCCTGATCGGGAGTGGGGAAGCATTAAGTCTTTCATCATTAAGTATGATGTTAGCTGTGGGTTTTTTATAGATGTCCGTTTCAGGTTGTTAGTTTCACTCTAATCCTAGTTCATTTAATTTTTTTATAATGATGTTGGATTTTTCTTAAATGCTCTTTCTGTACCAATTGAGATGACCATATTGATTTTTTATTAATGTGATGAATTACATTCATTGATTTTTGAATGTTAAACCAACCTTGTGTTCCTGGGATCAATCACACTTGGTCATGGTGTGTGATCCTATTTATAGATTGTTGGATTTGGCTTGCTAATATTTTGTTAGAATTTTTACATCTGTATTCATAAGTGTATTAATTTTTTCTCACACTGCTAATAAAGACATACCTCAGACTGGGTAATTTATAAAAGAAAGAGAGTTAATGGACTCACAGTTTCACCTGGCTGGGGAGGCCTCACAATCATGGTGGAAGATGAAGAAAGAGCAAAGTGATGTCTTACATGGTGGCAGGCAAGAGAGCATGTATGGGGGGCTCCCCTTTATGAGACTATCAGCAAACCTGAGTTCCAAATTCATTCATTCATATTTACGTTCTTAGATAAAAAGTGTATAGATACTTTCCCTTCCTTATTTACCAATTGCTATCCCTATGGTCAAAACACAAAATTACAACAAATTTAGCTTAAATACCTCAGTTGGCTTTATTTGTGATTCTAAAATTGGACAACAGTTCATTCCATGAAATAGAATCAGTATTCCAATGAGCAGAGATGATTTGCTTCGCAGACAGAGAGGGTCTGAAGAAAGCAGAGACAAAGAACAAAGAGCGTATTAGTCTTTTAAAGCTACTTTTCTTGTAAGGCAGGTACAGAGAGACAGAGCCATAGGAAAGTAATTGATTGGTTAACATCAGGTTACTTCAGGGTAGCTTTTGGTGTGTAAGAATTCAAGCAGAGGAAACTTCATTATTATGCCAACTGAAGATTTAAACTGGCCTGTTTGGGAAATTGGCTGTTATCTTTCCTGATTTCTTGGAAGGCCAGACAACAAATTAGTTTAGGTTTAGTGGATTTGGAACTTTAGCATGGATGACTCCATTTGTTTTTAGTCGGCTGTGTTGGGAACTAGTGCAAAAACTGAGTCCAAAACAATGGTCTCCTATGATTTTTATTTAACAATTCCCTTCTTTTTGTGACCAGCACTTAGAGCATCAGTATTACTCTCAGTTGCCATTTATAGGTTACAGTGTCCTACTCATTATCACCTGTGTCTTTGAGTTTTTGTGGTTCTGGCTGGACAGAGACCATTTGATGTTAGACAGATGGCTGCATACAAACATTGAAAACTTTTAGAAAGGATACAACACACCAGAGAAACTACTGTGACTATCATGGGAATAATACTAAGAGTTTGGAGTTTATTCCTCAGCCAGGCTCCCCATGAACTGAACCAATTAAAATCAAATAAAAAATGAGATAGGCAAGAAGTCTATCCATTTTAACTAAGTAGTCTGTTCATTCGTTTTTGCATCTAAGTCTATATAGTACCCAATGTATTTATTTTTGTACAAGTGTCATTGATTGTGTAGATTCCTCTCTGTTCAGTTAGTAGGTAGCAATTCTATCATCTAGCATTTTAGGAATGGGCATGACAATTTGCAAGTTACCCGCAGGAACTACTTATTGTGAAATCTTAAAGACAGTGTTATTCTGTCAACTGAAAGAGGTAGGGATAAGTAAAGAGAAAATTAAGAGGAGGGATGTCTCATTACAATAGGGAGTCTTGTTCTGACAATGCTGAGAAAAGATATCCACAGCATGAAGTCAGCAACTTCTTGTCCTGGATTTGTAGATTGAACGTCTCTGGTTGTGACATCTGACATTTTTGGTAAACTCTCTGTGTGACCAATGAATCAGGTATGAGATTTGTACCTTGAAGTTTACATAATGCTGTCCAGTTTTGGCCTGTAGGACTTCAGGAACAGTAATTTTTGTTTTTGTTATAGAGTTGTAACCAGATATTGGACAAAATTAGAAGAATTCAGGATCTAACTTAATCTATAGGTAGATAATAAAAACTCAAAAACAGTGAATAAGTCTACAATCTAATGACAGGTTTACTTTAGATTTCTTTTGAAACATATTTTTTTCTCTATCATCACTCTCATTTCTACCAAAGATAATCATGGGAAGACCAGTTCGCCTGATTATTTACATAAGTGCAGCACAAATACACGTATAGGCTCTGTTTAAATTTGCTTTGTTGAAAATTTCTTACTGAACTTATGCATATAACCATAATGTCATGAAAATAAAAATATTTGTGAATAGTTTCTGAAGGGATCAGGTAAAGAAGAAAATTAAATGTTTCCATTTTTGTTTATAAAGGTGTGCTATACCAAATTGCTGTAAACTATAGATAGCTTTAATGAAAAATGTTTCCTTAAACCTCAAAACAAAACAATGAAAGAACCAGTAATGTTTCAAATATAAAAGCTATTATAAAAACCATAATTCTTTCTTATCAGTTCATTCAGTCTAATGTAATTAATTCTTGCTTTGTTTGATATTGGTTAGCAGTTTCACAAACCCATCAGTTTCTTTATTAGACTTTTGAAAATTCATTCCAATGGAATGAACTCATAGCTATTGGAAACCTGTACTTGTCAGAGTTCTTTTCATGCTTTCCATGAATCTCCTTAAAGTCATAATACTTTAGGATTGTAATTGCTGGCAAGAAGCTTTTAGAAACGCGTTAGATTAAAGCAATTACCTGTGGACATCAAGAATTCCAATGGCCATGGCTAAGGATCTGATAAGAGAGTTACACAATTGACAAGGAAATTTGGTTATTTCTGTAGCATAAAACAATTTAAAATAACCACAATTATGATGGATAGCATTTACACTAAAACATATCAGATTTCTAGGAACTTTATATAATTCTGAAACACATATTAATAACATATTCATATAAATATAACTCCAAGAAGTTTCAAACATCATTTCTTACTTTGACAATGTTTCTTTTAGAATTCATCATATCGGATAAGCCTAATTAGCCCAATATTTCTCTTTTGTACTTCCCGGGGTCCTTACAAAATGTCCAAAAGTTTGACTGAGGTCAGAAAGACTTAATTTTGATATTTGAGACTATTAAAACAAAACCATTTTATTTTTTCCTAGGTAAGACTTTTGAGGTTATGGTTTGTTAAGTGGCTATGGAAAGTCATCAAGTCATTATACTTTTTGAAAACCCTCTTAATCTTTATATTATTTTTGAGGAGTTTAGGACACAAGTTAGAGCCAGCCAGAGGACTTTAAATTTACTCCTGTTGCTCCACATCCCAGAGTAAGAGTCTTTCGAGGCCTAATCGAATGAGTAATAGTGGCCACTTTCAACCCTAGTATTTCTCTGTGGCTTTCATTAAGGTAGAGAGAAAACTGTCCAGCAGTCACTTTGTGACTAGTCAATAAGATTCTTTTTCTGGCATGATATTTAACTCAAATTGAGAGAAAATTACCTAATATTCCTGGGAGACCAACTGCTTTCAACCAGACTACTTATTAAATAATTCCGGTTCAGAACTACAATTGTTACAGGCACCTTCACCATCGCTTCACTGAGAACAAGCACATTTCTATTTCAACTAAGCATTAAATTCTGTAAATTAATCCTAGCTCTATGGGGTTGGGAAATAGTGTTTAGAAAGTGACTGTACTCCGTTCCCTGACTTTCACTGATGAGCAGTGAATACCTTCACTCACTTTGACCTTGATATCCCAGAGGGATCTTAATGACATGTAATCTGTTTAAGTCATTATAGACATTTTCACACAGTTTCCACTTCCTCTCCGTTTCTAATATCTTGCCAAATATTTCCAGTTGCCTTCTAAGAACAAATTTGAAATTGAATGGGAGAATTATGTACAAACTAAGACAGTGATCTGCTTTTGAAAAGTAAAGTAATCTGGATATTAACTTAGACATTTATAAATATGTTTGATTAATAATACATGGGTATTTGTCATATCCAATATGTTAGCTATTATAAATACTATTGTTTACACTAAATCACCGGGAAATAAACTCATCTTCATTTCTATTGAGTTGAGCCACTGAATTTGCTCTTTTTGTAGGCAATTTTGCATGGTTCACCTTAATATGGTCAAAGATTTATACACAAAAATGAAAGTGCTTTATTTCACAAAGGAGAACATTCTTTCACCAAATTTACATAATTTTCTATTCATACTAGAGAGTAATTAGCGGCAAACTAACTTCCAGGAAGGGGTTGTCTAAACACGTCTCTTTGAATATATTCAACAAATAAATGCTTGTATCTAAAGGCCTGTTGAGAAACTACTTTCTTGTGCTTTGTCTAGTAGGGGTGATTAGTAAAACCATTTAGATGATTGAGTGAACTATCTTCTATCATGTCAATGAAAGTCAGAAAACACACACACACACACAACACACACACACACACACACACACACACACACACACACACCATAAAGATGTTGTTATGGTGGTGGAACCTATAGTTTAAACAAGAGTTAATTAGAAACTTCAGTCAATCACAATGTTTGTTTCTCTAAACTGTTAACAACAATTACAAAATCAGAAATTTTAATACTGACACGATGTTTGATATTAAGAAATTATAGTTACTTGTTCTGGTCTCAATACCTTTCTTTATGCTATCCTCCTTTCTCCTTTTTCTTTCTCTACCAAATCGCTTTGTACTCAAATCCTTCCTATGTGTCAATGCCTATTTCAAATGACAGTTTACCTACAGTGTTCTTTTGTTCTCTAGTTTGCGAAAGTAAACACTGCTTGCCCACCCATTTATTTGACTGTACCTCTTTTTGTCTTAGAAACTCATATATGTAGGTATAATGAATGTATGAAAAAATATAATCCTACCAAAAGTGCAAAGAAGAAAAAGAGAAGGAAGACTCTGCCAAGAGAGAACCCAGAAGGCCGAGTGGAGTATTGCAGCAGGATCTTGAAAGGGGTGGGCTGTTTTTAATCTCTAAATTCTTCACTCTTTTCCATCCTTCAAGCAGCCACAGTTCCTTTCTAAAACACAAGCCTGATGTGTTGCCTATTGTAAAAGATTTCTAGGTTCCTCATCATCTGTAGGACAGAGTCAAAATTATTTAGCATGGCATCCATGTATTTAGTACACTGCCCATATTTTAAACTTCGTGTAACACCACTAATACCCTATAAACTCTGGTTATGCCTAATCATTTATAATATGCTAGACATACCTGTCTCAGGTATGCTTCAGGCCTTTGTAAATAATAGTTTTGGTTTTTGTTATTTTTCTTTTCTTTCTAATCTGGAATCTCCTTTCCTTCTGGGGAATTACTTCTACATTCAGCTACAATGCTTCTTTCCCAGGAAAGATTCTTTTGACCTTCTTGTTCTCCAGGCAGGGAAAGATTTTTCTGCTCCTATTGTGTCTTATACATATCTCTATTATGGCTACAGTGATTTAACTTCAACAAGTCTTAGTTACCATGTCTGTAAAATGCAAAGAGGGGACCAGAATGATCTTTAAAGTCACCTCCAGCTTTAGTGGTCTTTAATAGCTCCTACTCCTGAGGGAGGGCATTCAAGGGCCATTCAAGGGATCATCTGGCAAATAGTAATCAAGCCACAACTGATACCACCTCTCTCTGAATTAAATCCTTTAACCCCTATGATTGTATGAGAGAAACGCATACGATTTTGCTATGATAGTTCCTATATTTAACCTATTTATGGCTTTTTGTTTATTTCGTTGATTTTATTAGGTTTTGTTTTAATTTTTACGTTTGTTTTTGCCATCCCTAAATTTTAAATTATTATGTTCTCAATTCTGTCATTTTTTTTCCCTATGGTTGCTGGGTTTGCTATCATGCTTTCAGTGGTGATAAAATCTTAGGACTGTAAAAATATACATTTATATTTTTCTAGTATTTAAATGGTTTTGCTTTTTAGGCACTACATTTTAACATCTGAAATTTATTTGCCTTTAGTGAAGTAGGAATCATGACTTTTCTTTAAATGACTAGCCAGTCATCATCAGATTATTTATTAAATATCTGTATGTCCTTCAAACTATTTAAGATAACATTTATAATCTGTTAAATATCATACAGGTGAGTTTATATGATATACACATTTTTGAAATTCAAGGACCTGTTTATTCTTATGCTAATATAAATTTCTTAAAAATATTTTTTTCTTGTTCTAAATCATCTGTTTCTATTCTGGTGGAACACATTATTGTTAGATCATTTTATTACTCTTTGTAAAGTAAAATGGTAAAAATTATTAGATTTGATACCTAACTTCCTGGTTTGGATGCAAAAAGTTAACAAAACTAAATTTTTTAAAAATGGCAGGCCAAGAGAATATTATTAATTTAATTTTACTATTTGATAAGTCTCCTGTGTATGCATGTGAGCACTTCCATTGTATTAGACAGCATGATAAATAATTTGTATAGTTTATTTTATTCAATTTTCACAATAACTCAGTGAGCTAGGTACTACAATCCTTTTTTGTTTTTTCTTTTAACACATAAGGACACTAACACTTAAGATATTTAACTTGCTCAGAGATGTAGTAAATGGTGGAGATGACATTATACACAGGCCAGTCTGGTTTCATAGCCAGTGTCTTCTTAAAATGTGTTCATTATGTCCTTTTCATCAGCTTGATCTGAGATTCTCAAAATTAAACTAACAGCTCAATTGATTCCATCTGAGATGCTGAATTTTCTGTTTTAAAGAATTGAGGGCTGGGAGCGGTGGCTCACTCCTGTAATCCCAACATTGTGGGAAGCCAAGGCGGGCAGATCATGAGATCAGGAGATTGATACCATCCTGGCCAACATGGTGAAACCCCCTCTGTACTAAAAATACAAAATTAGTTGAGCATGGTGGTGCATGCCTTTAATCTCAGCTACTCGGGAGGCTGAAGCAGGAGAATCGCTTAAACCAGGGAGCTGGAGATTGCAGTGAGCCGAGATTGCACCAGCCTGGCAACAGAGTGAGACTCCATCTCAAAAAAAAAAAAAAAAAAAAAAAAAAAAAAAAAAAAAGAATTGACAAGTGAGAAGAGTAGTAGGAGGAAGACGAAAGCTGGAGTGAGACTGCAGTCAGCACAGTTAAGATTCCATTTAAGTTAGTATATTTAGTCTCACTTCAAGTTTGTTGACACGTGAATGGAGATCTGTAGAAAAGCAGTCATTTCTACATCTTATTCAATTAATATACATGTAGACTTTTGTGAAAAGCAGATTATGTCTCATATGCTATTTGCATAAAGAAAAGATGAAAATTTGTAATATTGAAAAACAGAATAGATTCTGATGGCTACTCACAATGAGCATATCTAATACAAATAATACTATTTCATAACTTTGACAGATATAGATTTTTTTAACAGTATAAAAGAAACAATCTAGGCCAGGTGCAGTGGCTCATGCCTGTAATCCCAGCACTTTGGGAGGCCGAGGCAGGTGGATCACCTGAGGTCAGGAGTTCAAGACCAGTCTGACCAACATGGAGAAACCCTGTCTGTACCAAAAATACAAAATTAGCCATGTGTGGTGGTGCATGCCTGTAATCCCAGCTACTCAGGAGGCTGAGGCAGGAGAATTGCTAGAACCCAGGAGGTGGAGTTTGTGGTGAGCTGAGATCACACCATTACACTCCAGCCTGAGCAGCAAGAGTGAGACTCTGTCTAAAAAAAAAAAAAAAAGAAAAGAAAAAAGGAAAAGAAAGAAAGAAACAATCTGCAATCTGATGTGGTGTTTGGGACCCATTTTGCAGGTGCACATAATCCACATAACAGTTCCCACCCATATCCATCACCACTCTTTACAATATTGTTTTCACAATGACAAATTTTAATGACTGTTATCATGGATATTTAAATGGGTATTGAAGTGTAATGAATGCCAGAAACTATAGAATATGGCTTAATGGAAACACAAATTGTTGTCTCCTGGAAGCTTTTTTTTTTTTTTTTTTTTTTTTTTTTTTGGAGACAGAGTCTCACTCTGTCACCCAGGCTGGAGTGCAGTGGAACCATCGCGGCTCACTGCAACCTCCCCCTCCTGGGTTCAAGCAATTCTCCCATCTCAGGCTCCAGAGTAGCTGGGATTACAGTCACGAACCACCACACCCTGCTAAGTTTTGTATTTTTAGTAGAGATGGAGCTTAACAATGTTGGCAAGGTCTCAAACTCCTGGCCTCAAGTGATCCGCCCACCTCAGCCTCCCAAAATGCTGGCATTACAGGCATGAACCACTGCACTGGGCCTCCATATCCTCTTTAATATTTACTTGGTAGAGGTTATTGTCTTCTGGTCCTCAATGGGAACTTCGACACCATACCTGTGACTTCTCTTTTCACTCCTACAGACTAAGCAATTCTACAATTACTTTTAAGTGACCTCAATTAAGAGTATCTATTCCAAAATATTTTTTATTTACTTTTTTATTTTATTTATTTATTTATTTATTTATTTATTTATTATCATACTTTAAGTTTTAGGGTACGTGTGCACAATGTACAGGTTTGTTACATATGTATACAGGCGCCATGTTGGTGTGCTGCACTCTTTAACTCCTCATTTACATTAGGTATATCTCCTAATGGTATCCCTCCCCCATCTCCCCACCCCATGACAGGCCCCGGTGTGTGATGTTCCCCTTCCTGTGTCCAAATGTTCTCATTGTTCAATTCCCATCTATGAGTGAGACCATGTGGTGTTTGGTTTTTTATCCTTGAGATAATTTGCTGAGAATGATGGTTTCCAGATTCATCCATGTCCCTACAAAGGACACGAACTCATTCTTTTTTATGGCTGCATAGTATTGCATGGTGTATATGTGCCACATACTCTTAATCCAGTCTATCATTGATGGACGTTGGGGTGGGTTCCAAGTCTTTGCTATTGTGAATAGTGCCGCAATAAACATACGTGTGCATGTGTCTTTATAGCAGCATGATTTATAATCCTTTGGGTATATAACCAGTAATGGGATGGCTGGGTCAAATGGTATTTCTAGTTCTAGATCCTTGAGGAATTGCCACACTGTCTTCCACAATGGTTGAACTAGTTTACAGTCCCACCAACAGTGTAAAAGTGTTCCTATTTCTCCACATCCTCTCCAGCACCTGTTGTTTCTTGACTTTTTAATGATCGCCATTCTAACTGGTGTGAGATGGTATCTCATTGTGGTTTTGATTTGCATTTCTCTGATGGCCAGTCATGATGAGCATTTTTTTCATGTGTCTGTTGGCTGCATAAATGTCTTATTTTGAGAAGTGTCTGTTCATATCCTTTGCCCACTTTTTGATGGAATTGTTCGTTTTTTTGTAACAACAATTGTAATTTGTAAATTTGTTTAAGTTCTTTGTAGATTCTGGATATTAGCCCTTTGTCAGATGAGTAGATTGCAAAAATTTTCTCCCATTCTGTAGTTTGCCTGTTCACTCTGATGGTATTTTCTTTTGCTGTGCAGAAGCTCTTTAGTTTAATTAGATCCCATTTGTCAATTTTGGCTTTTGTTGCCATTGCTTTTGGTGTTTTAGACATGAAGTGCTTGCCCATGCCTGTGTCCTGAGTGGTATTGTCTAGGTTTTCTTCTAGGGTTTTTATGGTTTTAGATCTAATGTTTAAGTCTTTAATCCATCTCGAATTAATTTTTGTATAAGGTGTAAGGGAGGGATCCAGTTTCAGCTTTCTACACTTGGCTAGCCAGTTTTCCCAGGACCATTTATTAAATAGGGAATCTTTCTCCATTTCTTGTTTTTGTCAGGTTTGTCAAAGATCAGATGGTTGTAGATGTGTGGTATTATTTCTGAGGGCTCTGTTCTGTTCCATTGGTCTATATCTCTGTTTTGGTACCAGTACCATGCTGTTTTGGTTACTATAGCCTTGTAGTATAGTTTGACATCAGGTAGCATGATGCCTCCAGCTTTGTTCTTTTGGCTTAGAATTGTCTTGGCAATGTGGGCTCTTTTTTGGTTCCATATGAACTTTAAAGCAGTTTTTTCCAATTGTGTGAAGAAAGTCATTGGTAGCTTGATGGGGATGGCATTGGATCTATTAAATTACCTTGGGCAATATGGCCATTTTCATAATATTGATTCTTCCTATCCATGAGAATGGAATGTTCTTCCATTTGTTTGTATCCTCTTTTATTTCATTGAGCAGTGGTTTGTTGTTCTCCTTGAAGAGGTCCTTCACATCCCTTGTAAGTTGGATTCCTAGGTGTTTTATTCTCTTTGAAGCAATTGTGAATGGGAGTTCACTCATGATTTGGCTCTCTGATTGTCTGTTATTGGTGTATAGGAATGCCTGTGATTTTTGCCCATTGATTTTGTATCCTGAGACTTTGCTGAAGTTGCTTATCAGCTTAAGGAGATTTTGGGCTGAGACAATGGGGTTTTCTAAATATACAATCATGTCATCTGCAAACAGGGACAATTTGACTTCCTCTATGCCTAATTGAATACCCTTTATTTCTTTCTCCTTCCTGATTGCCCTGGCCAGAACTTCCAACACTACGTTGAATAAGAGTGATGAGAGAGGGCATCCCTGTCTTGTGCCAGTTTTCAAAGGGAATGCTTCCAGTTTTTGGCCATTCAGTATGATATTGGCTGTGGGTTTGTCATAAAAAGCTCTTATTATTTTGAGATACGTCCCATCAATACCTAATTTATTGAGAGTTTTTAGCATGAAGGGCTGTTGAATTTTGTCAAAGGCCTTTTCTGCATCTATTGAGATAATCATGCGATTTTTGTCTTTAGTTCTTTTTATATGCTGTATTACGTTGATTGATTTGCGTATGTTGAACCAGCCTTGCATTCCAGGGATGAAGCCCACTTGATCATGGTGGATAAGCTTTTTGATGTGCTGCTGGATTCAGTTTGCCAGTATTTTATTGAGGATTTTTGCATTGATGTTCATCAGGGATATTGGTCTAAAATTCTCTTTTTTTGTTGTTTCTCTATCAGGCTTTGGTATCAGGATGATGCTGGCTTCATAAAATGAGTTAGGGAGGATTCCCTCTTTTTCGATTGATTGGAATAGTTTTATAAGGAATGGTATGAGTTCCTCCTTGTACCTCAGGTAGAATTCAGCTGTGAATCTGTCTGGTCCTGGACTTTTTTTGGGTGGCAGGCTATTAACTGTTGCCACAATTTCAGAGCCTGTTATGGGTCTATTCAGAGATTCAACTTCTTCCTGGTTTAGTCTTGGGAGGGTGTATGTGTCCAGGAATTTATCCACTTCTTCTAGATTTTCTAGTTTATTTGTGTAGAGTTGTTTATAGTATTCTCTGATGGTAGTTTGTATTTCTGTGGGATCAGTGGTGATATCCCCTTTATCATTTTTTATTGCGTCTGCGTCTATTTGATTCTTCTCTCTTCTCTCCTTTATGAGCCTTGCTAGTAGTCTATCAATTTTGTTGATGTTTTCCAAAAACAACCAGCTCCTGGATTCATTGATTTTTTGAAGGGTTTTTTGTGTCTCTATCTCCTTCAGTTCTGCTCTGATCTTAGTTATTTCTTGCCTTCTGCTAGCTTTTGAATGTGTTTGCTCTTGCTTCTCCAGTTCTTTTAATTGTGATGTTAGGGTGTCAATTTTAGATCTTTCCTGCTTTCTCTTGTGGGCATTTAGTGCTATAAATTTCCCTCTACACACTGCTTTGAATGTGTCCCAGAGATTCTGGTATGTTGTGTCTTTGTTCTCACTGGTTTCAAAGAACATCTTTGTTTCTGCCTTCATTTCATTATGTACCCAGAAGTCATTCAGGAGCAGGTTGTTCAGTTTCCATGTAGTTGAGCAGTTTTGAGGGAG
The DNA here is from genome assembly GCF_000001405.40 of Homo sapiens. Classification (NCBI taxonomy): domain Eukaryota; kingdom Metazoa; phylum Chordata; class Mammalia; order Primates; family Hominidae; genus Homo; species Homo sapiens. Next base: position 212,057,624 of record NC_000002.12, on the reverse strand, counting down.
TTTCTTAATCCTGAGTTCTAGTTTGATTGCACTGTGGTCTGAGAGACAGTTTGTTATAATTTCTGTTCTTTTACATTTGCTGAGGAGTGCTTTACTTCCAACTATGTGGTCAGTTTTGGAATCAGTGTGATGTGGTGCTGAGAAGTATGTATATTCTGTTGATTTGGGGTGGAGAGTTCTGTAGATGCCTACTAGGTCCACTTGGTGCAGAGCTGAGTTCAATTCCTGGTTACCCTTGTTAACTTTCTGTCTCATTGATCTGTCTAATGTTGACAGTGCGGTGTTAAAGTCTCCCATTATTATTGTGTGGGAGTCTAAGTCTGTTTCTAGGTCTGTAAGGACTTGCTTTATGAATCTGGGTGCTCCTGTATTGGGTGCATATATATTTAGAACAGTTAGCTCTTCTTGTTGAATTGATCCCTTTACCATTATGTAATGCTCTTCTTTGTCTCTTTCGATCTTTGCTGGTTTAAAGTCTGTTTTATCAGAGACTAGGATTGCAACCGCTGCCTTTTTTTTGTTTTCCATTTGCTTGGTAGATCTTCCTCCATCCCTTTATTTTGAGCCTATGTGTGTCTCTGCACGTGAGATGGGTCTCCTGAATGCAGCACACTGATGAGTCTTGACTCTTTATCCAATTTGCCAGTCTGTGTCTTTTAATTGGAGCATTTAGCCCATTTACACTTAAGGTTAATATTGTTATGTGTGAATTTGATCCTGTCATTATGATGTTGGCTGGTTATTTTGCTCATTAGTTGATGCCATTTCTTCCTAGCATTTATGGTCTTTACAGTTTGGCATGTTTTTGCAGTGGCTGATACCAGTTGTTCCTTTCCATGTTTAGTGCTTCCTTCAAGAGCTCCTGTAGGGCAGGCCTAGTGGTGACAAAATCTCTCAGCATTTGCTTGTCTATAAAGGTCTTTATTTCTCCTTCACTTAGGAAGCTCAGTTTGGCTGGATATGAAATTCTGGGTTGAAAATTCTTTTCTTTAAGAATGTTGAATATTGGTCTCCACTCTCTTCTGTCTTGTAGAGTTTCTGCCAAGAGATCCACTGTTAGTCTGATGGGCTTCCCTTTATGGGTAACCCGACCTTTCTCTCTGGCTGCCCTTAACATTTTTTCCTTCATTTCAACTTTGGTGAATCTGACAATTATGTGTCTTGGAGCTGCTCTTCTCGAGGAGTCTCTTTGTGGTGTTCTCTCTATTTCCTGAATTTGAATGTTGGCCTGCCTTGCTAGGTTGGGGAAGTTCTCCTGGATAATACCCTGCAGAGTGTTTTCCAACTTGGTTCCATTCTCCCCGTCACTTTCAGGTACACCAATCAGATGTAGATTTGGTGTTTTCACATAGTCCCATATTTCTTGGAGGCTTTGTTCATTTCTTTTTACTCTTTTTTCTCTAAACTTCTCTTCTCACTTCATTTCATTAATTTGATCTTCAATCACTGATACCCTTTCTTCCAGTTGATCAAATCGGCTACTGAAGCTTGTGTATTCGTCACGTAGTTCTCGTGCCATGTTTTTCAGCTCCATCAGGTCATTTAAGGACTTCTCTACATTGGTTATTCTAGTTACCCATTTGTCTAATCTTTTTTCAAGGTTTTTAGCTTCTTTGCGATGGGTTCAGACTTCCTCCCTTAGCTCAGAGAAGTTTGATCTTCTGAAGCCTTCTTCTGTCAACTTGTCAAAGTCATTCTCCATCCAGCTTTGTTCCATTGCTGGTGAGGAGCTGCGCTCCTTTGGACGGGGAGAGGTGGTCTAATTTTTAGAATTTTCGGCTTTTGTCCTCTGTTTTTTCCCCATCTTTGTGGTTTTATCTACCTTTGTTCTTTGATGATGGTGATGTACAGATGGGGTTTTGGTGTGGATGTCCTTTTTGTTTGTTATTTTTCCTTCTAACAGTCAGGACCCTCAGCTGCAGGTCTTTTGGAGTTTGCTGGAGGTCCACTCCAAATCCTGTTCGCCTGGGTATCAGCAGTGGTGGCTGCAGAACAGCAAATATTGCTGAACAGCAAACGTTGCTGCCTGATTGTTCCCCTGGAAGCTTCATCTCAGCGGGGTACCCGGCTGTGTGAGGTGTCAGTCTGCCCCTACTGGAGGGTGCCTCCCAGTTAGGCTACTCGGGGGTCAGGTACCCACTTGAGGGGGCTGTCTATCCATTCTCAGATCTCAGACTCTGTGTTGGGAGAACCACTACTCTCTTCAAAGCTGTCAGACAGGGACATTTAAGTCTGCCTTTTGGCTATGCCCTGCCCCCAGAGGTGGAGTCTACAGAAGCACGGAGGCCTCATTCAGCTGTCATGGGCTCCACCCAGTTCGAGCTTCCTGGCCGCTTTGTTTACCTACTCAAGCCTCAGCAATGGCGGGCACCCCTTCCCCAGACTCACTGCTGCCTTGCAGATCGATCTCAGACTGCTGTGCTAGCAATGAGTGAGGCTCTGTGGGCGTGGGACCCTCCGAGCCAGGTGCGGAGTATAACCTGGTGTGCCATTTGCTAAGACCATTGGAAAAGCACAGTATTAGGGTGGGAGTGACCCGATTTTCCAGGTGCCATCCGTCACTGCTTCCCTTGGCTAGGAAAGGGAATTCCCTGACCCTTTATGCTTCCCGGGTGAGGAGATACCTCACCCTACTTTGGCTCTCGCTCAGTGGGCTGCACCCACTGTCCTGCCCCCACTGTCCTACAAGCCCCAGTGAGATGAACCTGATACCTCATTTGGAAATGCAGAAATCACCCATCTTCTGCATTGCTCACGCTGGGAGCTGTAGACTCAAGCTGTTCCTATTCGGCCATCTTGGACTCCAAAATATTAATCAATACTTTCATCCTTATTCTAAGGTAATACTTCCTCTCCTTCTCTGACAGTTGAGGCCACTGTTTGGCAGCCAGCATCTTCCAGAAAAAGCATCTGATGGCTTTTGTCCCTTTTCTGCTCTCCCCACGCAGCTTACTTCCTATAGCTTTTGGCACTCTAGGATTGGCACTGGAGAGGGAAGAAGAGAAAATGGAAGCACAAGAGTTTCTTTGGTGAAGATGGCCTGGGACCTGCTAGAAGAAACCACATTTTATCCTGAGTTTTTCAAATATTCCCATCACTAGTTTTCTTCCAGTAGAAACTCTTTTCTACTCCCCAGGTTGTCCAGTCCTTCCAGCCCTGGTTTTGCTGGTAGCTTTTTCCACTCAATCTTGGTTCTTAAGCATTCTTCTCCTTTCCAGGTTGTTTTCTGAAACAGAACTTAAAATGGTCCCAGACCTCTTCTTTTTATCCTATGTGGCCTACATCTGTTCCAGCAAAAACCTTCATGCATGCTTTACTCAGACACAGAGAGAAGGCAGGCTGTTTCCACCACAAAAATGATTAACCTGTTCTTACTCTCCAAATTTCTTAGGTGGGAGTTATGCTATATTTTTCCACTTCTCTCCTATTACATAGGTCATATAATAAACTCCCTACATAGCACATATACTCCACATAGCACAGTGGAAACCTCCCTCACTGGATTTGAGATGAGGACAGGTGCAATACTCTTCCCTGTGGGGCAAGAGGAGGAGGGGAAGGAGGTTACTGCACAGCTTTTTCTGTAGACGCCACGGCCTCAAAATCCTGATTTTCTCCCCTCTTCTGTTCTCTCTCAGCTGCCATCATATTTATCCCCATATACTAATGGGGAAGAGTGACTTTTAATAAACAATTTTATAAGTAATTTTTATAAGTAACAAGTAATTTAATAAGTGTTTCTTGAGAATGCAGGGTGATGTAGGCCTAAGTTGGCATCATAAAAACCCTGTGGAAGAATTGATAATAGAAACCTGAATATGCGTAAGATTTAGCCAGATAAAGAAGATACCAGAGTCTTCCAGGTAAAGGAACAGATCGGAGAGATAGCTTGGGGAGTCCACGGAGCTAACAGAGACAAAGAATGCAAGACATAAGCTGGAAGGGGAGGAAGGGCCAGATCATAGGCTGCCCTGTGAACCACTTTAAGGAGTCTGTTTCTATTCCAAGAACAAAGGGAAATATTTGAAGGGTGTTAAACTGGAAAGTCACACAATCATGGAGGCATTTTTAGAATTACTATGGCAGCAGAGTGGAGAATGGATATGAGAGGAGCAAGGCTAGAGGCAGCCAGATCAGTAAAGGGGGTAAAGAGCAGTTTGCATGAAATAGAGTTGTGGCCCATACTATGAGGTGGCAGAGGAGGAAGGGAAGAGGAGGGGATTTTTAGGATGTGTCCAGGTGGAACATTATCAGACCTGGGTGACTGGATGTTTAGATTGGCCCAGTCCAGGGGTAATTTGGTCCAGGAATTAATTATGACTTCTGATTTATTATTTGGAAAACTATGTAGACTGTTTTGTACCTTACTAAAAGAGAAATTTTGGAGAAGTAATAGATTTGAAGAGGGAAATGATATGTACCATTTTATTTTGATCGATTGATTGAGACACGGCCTCACTCTTTCCCAGGCTAGACTGCAGTGACATAATCATGGCTCACTGCAGCCTTGAACTCTTGGGCTCAAGAGATCCTCCTGTTTTGGCCTCTCAATGTGCTGGGCTTTAGGCATGAGCCACCACACCTGGCCTGTATACTGTTGGAGAAAAGCTATAGTTGTTATGGAAACCCCACATTTGGTCCAGGTCCCGTTGCTACTGGCACAGGAAGCCAATCACTGAGACAACAAGTATTGTCAGGAAAGAAAGCTTTTTTATTCGGGTGATGTCAAATGGGAGAACAGAAGAATAATCTCACATTCACCTCTCTGAGCAACTAAAATTGGGGTATTTATATAGCAGGAGAAGAAATGTCACTACAGTGTTGAAAGAAATTAGGGAGGGGTACGGGAGTAGTAATAATGAATGAGGAGTCTGACATCTCACTCTCTGGATGTGGTTTTAGTCCCTTGCCTGTGAGTCAGCTTCCTGAGGAAGGAAGTCAGATGAGACAAATACAAGTTTCGAGTTTCAAGACCAAAAGGGTCCATTTCTGTGTTTATTCTAAAATCTATAAACATCATTTCTATTGGACAACTGGGCTGGTTTCACATTTTAAGTAACTTTTAGACATTCAGTAAAATTTGGTTAGTCATTACTTCTATTTTACATATAAGCAGACTGTATTAGTCATGGTTCTCTAGGGGGACAGAACTAGTAGGATAGATGTGTATATGAAGGGAAGTTTATTAAGGAGTATTGACTCACAGGATCACAAGGTGAAGTCCCACAATAGGCTATCTGCAAGCTGAGGAGCAAGGAAGCCAGTCTGAGCCCCAAAATCTCAAAAGTAGGGAAGCCAACAGTGCAGCTTTCAGTCTGTGGCTGAAGGCCCAAGACCCCCCTGGCAAACCACTGGTATATGTCCAAGGGTCCAGAAGCTGAAGAGCTAGGAGTCTGATGTTTGAGGGCAGGAAACAACCAGCATGGGAGAAGGATGAAAGCTGGAAGACTCAGCAAGTCTGCCCTTTCTACCTTCTTCTGCCTGCTTTATTCTAGCTGCATTGGCAGCTGATTAGATGGTGCCTACCCAGATTGCAGGTGGGTCTGCTTCTCCCATTCCACTGACTCAAATGTTAATCTCCTTTGGCAACATCTTTGCAGACACACCTAGGAGCACTATTCTGCATCCTTCAATCCAGTCAAGTTGACACTCAATATTAACCATCACAAAAACTGAGGCCACAAATTATATAAGTGTTAAGGTCAAAATCTGAACCTCAATCTGACTCTGTGTGCCAGATTATTCTTTTTCTAATCTGTGTGGTGTAATTTAAGAATGATATTGTAATAATGATAATCCTGAGAGGTAATCATATTTTTAAATGTTAATAAAATTTAGACTATTATAAAATTTAACCTTGCAAATAAATAGGACATGATGAGTGAAAGAAAATCAAAATCTATGGGGGAAGCCATAGTCAAGAACTGAGGAGAAAGTGACCACATTATAGTTTAAAATAAGGTTGTTTTGCACTCAGATTTTCTTTAAATTATGTGTGATAACTTACCAAAACCCTGTGCTTCCATGATTACTGAAAGAAAGTATTTTTGTTGTCATTTGCTTTCTCGTTTGAGTTCCTGTAAGAAGTAATCTCATGTGTAAGGAAACATAACATCAATTTTTATTATATTATGAAAATTGCTAAAAATTATTCTTTAAATGCATAGGTTTGAGAACCTTAAAAATAAAAGTCTTAGTGAATACTATGTGAGTTCATGATGTTTAAATAAAACCTCTCAAATGATAACAATTTCCTCTCATGTCACTTTTAATCCCCACATCTAAAGCTATCTTATACATTTAATACTTAAAGCACTTAAAAGAATTACTTAAAGAGTATTTTAAAGACATTACTTTAAAATACTTAAAGAAACTAAATGATTTGTATGTCAATATGAAATCCCAAGCAGAACAAAGAAATAAAATGCCAGACTCTGATACAACCCAAATATTACCTTTCAAAGCTTAGAAGAGCTGCCTTTTAATTTCTGAATAGGAGGTGTAGGCATTCTTTCTAAACATGTCTGCAGAATTGGGGGAATGTTGCCAAAGAGCAAATACTTGGACTTTTCATGGCAGTGCCTTTGTTCTCTGGAAGGCGATTGCTATTTCAGTTACAGTATGGCTTTGCTACAAAAAGGCTGCTCTTTTACATTCCCTGGTTGTTTATGATGGAAGCTTGCAGGTGTACCTTCTCTAGTTGTTCATACGGCAGAAATACCCATTTTCTGGAGGTGGATTGGTATTGGTAGTAGTGATTATTTTTGCCTGCATTATTTAAGAATCTCAGATTTAAAGCAACAAAAAAACAAGTATTCGGTTCTTAGTTATCAAAAAGTAAAAGAAAAAAATAGGCTAAAAGTGAATGAGAATGATACAACATCCTTAATCACCATAATCATGTGTGCAGTCCATTTATTTTCCATACTAGCACAGATAATTAAGACAGTAATACTTAATTTTACAGTGAAACTTGGCAGGATTAGTCCCGACTACTTTTTTATTTTGGAAGTAATATCAGCAGAACAGCATTAACGTCATTTAAAATATTATATTTATTTTATTTTTAAATTGATATTCTACCCAGTACTATACCAAAGAAGATCACTTAAGTTTTAAATAAGAGGAAGAGGAGAAAATAGAGTCAAACCAGGAGGACTATTCCATGTGGCAGGGTGCTAACAAAGCATTCCATCACATTTATCACTTTATGTATCTGCAAACAGGAGGGGAAATGAAATTTTTCTCATTCACAAAGAAAGCTAAAATGATAATGTGACTGACTGCATTAGATATGTGCATTAAGATGTGTGCATTGCAGAAAGTGGTTATGGATACAGAAATCTCCATAGATCCCCTAAATCTAAACTTTGCCAGAAAGTTTTCTGATACGATTACCTGAGTAAGTCATGGAGTTATTCAGACAGACATACCCTGTTTGGTCCAGAGAGTACATAGAAAGGAAAAAAAAAGACAATATGAAACTATGAGGATGCATTTTAAAGATTTAAATACTTGAAATTTGATGCTTCCCAGTAATCTTTTGTCAAGATTCTCCCCATTTTTTTTCAAAAGGTAACCCTAGCTTATCTTTGTCCCTGTTCCTTTCTAATACCACTATTCGTATAGGTATTTTTCCAACCTTTTACCTAAATTGCCATGACTGGAAAGATAAATCATGACACGTATTTTCTATTGATGGGTCATTAAAATGATATGTGAAGTGCAGACTTGGAAAGTAGTACATAGCATATCCCACTGTTCTAATTTGCAAATTATGGTGGAATCGTTCTTTCTGAAGCCCACACATGTTTTGCTGACTCACTGGAGTCACTTGAGAGTAAAGACTATGTGAAGACAAAGACATTACCTTGAATCCAGTTATTCTGCCCAGCAATGTTCTTTTAATGTAGAGAACAGGCAATCATAATTTTTAAAGAAATAACCTAAAATATCAACAACCAACTGGTATTCTTACAATTGTGTCTTTTTATTTAAACAAATGTCATTTTTTTCTGATGACTTTAAATACTGAGAAGTACTGAGAAAACAAAAAGGATAGCTTAATTTCATCATACACTGTCATAACGTAGTTTATAGCCTAGGTATTCTCATTGTAGACCCAATACAAAAAGCCTGGTCCTCTAGTCTCCCGACTCATAACAGATTAGAGCATACCGATATATAATTGGCTACAAGAATCAGGCGTGCACACCAATAGCAACAATAATAATAAATAATAGGGAAAACAAAACTATGAAAATTAATTTAAAAAAAATGAAAAGTCCTTTCATATAGGTCCAATTATTGTAGCACAACTGGAAAGTTGAACACACATCAGTGACCCCTAAAGATATTACCTATTACATGTTTGATGTTCCCAAAGATTATTTTAATTTAACAGAGATATTATAATTACAGTTGTTAGCCTTTAAGAAAGAATGTAAACAAGGAAAGATTTATAAACGAAACTTGAAACTGGATGCATTAATTTTCTATTGCTATATAACAAATCACCACCTTAGCAATGTAAAACACGCATCTGTTTAAACTGCAAGGTTTTCATTTGGTCATGAGTCTGGATAAACTTTAGCTGGGTCCTTTGCTTAGAGCCTTACCAGGCTGAAATCAAGGTGTGTGCCCAGATTGCACTCTCGTATCAGCTCTGGGTTCTCTTCCAACCCAACTGGTTGATGACAGAATTCAACTCCTTGAGGTTGTAGGACTTCCTCTCCTTATTTATTCCATGTTCGAATGCTTAAGGGGAATATTTTTTCTTTAAACACACTTGTCTTAAATGATCTCATCCAGTCCCAGGGTTTTAAATACTACGTATGTGCTCATGATTCCCAAATATACTTCTCAGGGAGCTCTGTCACCACCCTGAAACTCCAAATTTAAATATACAACTAACTACGTGACACCTTCACTTTGATGTAGAATATGGATCTCAAACTTTACAAAGTCAAAACAGAATTCTCAACTCCTCTTTCCCCAGCACCAATTCATTTTTCCCCAGTCTCTTCCATTTCAAACTGTGGCACTGCTGCCCACTCCAGTTGTTGCTTGAGCCAAATATCTAGGGATTACCTTCGATTTTCCTTTTTCTCTTTTCCACTGCTAAACAAACTATCAGTCCATTTTATTAATTTTTACCTTCCAAAGCATAACCCAAATATATTTACTTGTCTCCATGTCTACTACCAGCACCCTGCTCTAAATCACTGCTATAGCTTCCTCCATTTCCAGCTGTGTCCCCTGCAATTCTTACTTTACACTACTGCTAGTATGATTAAGACTGTGAAAACCAATTACACAGTGTCATCACTCCACCACTTAAATACTCCAGGATTCCCATTGCACTTAAAGTAAAAGTCATATTCCATACCTTTTTGTAAAATAACAAAATTCTATAGAATTTGGTTCTGCCCATCTTTCTGACACCATCTCACCTTCCTTAGCCATGCTGTTCCAGCTGAGGCACTCTTTCCATTTCTGCCCAAAGGCCTTTGTCATAGCTATTTTATCTTCTGAACTTTTTCTTCCCTGACTTCACATGCAGTTTTTCTTGTCAGCTTATAGCTGGGCTTAAATATCATACCCCAACGAAGTCTCTCATGAACACCCAATAAAATGTAACCCTCTCCATACACATCAATCTCATTATATCACTTTGCTTTAATTCCTTGTATAGAACCTATCACAATGTGCTTTTTATTTATTTACGTTTGCTTACTGTCTGATTATTATCTCTAAACTCCATGAAAACAAGAGTGTTGTCTATAAGAATCATCAAATATCAAGCATTCTATAAATATTTGTTTTAAAAATTAATATGAAGGGCTGGGCACGGTGGCTCATGCCTCTAATCCTAGCACTTTGGGAGGCTGAGGTGGGTGGATTGCTTGAGCTCAGGAGTTCGAGACCAGCCTGGGCAACATGGTGAAACCCCATCTCTACTAAAATACAAAAAAAAAAAAAAAAATTAGCCAAGTGTGGTGGTGGGTACCTGTAGTCCCAACTACTTGCGAAGCTAAGACAGGAGAATTGCTTGAACCCAAGAGGCAGAAGTTGCAGTGAGCCAAGATCAAGCCACTGCTCTCTAGCCTGGGGGACAGAACAAGACTCCATCTAAAATAAATAAATAAATAAATAAATAAAATTAATATGAAGGAGAATCTTCAAGAATGGTCAAATGGAGAATTAGAAGAAAGTTAAGATTCTTTTCATTCTTGCAAAATAGTGTTATTTTCGTGAAACATATTTGTAGTTTCATCCTGTCCACATCCATTTAGATAAGCTATTGAGACTAAAGAGAATAATTTAGAAGTTTTGTTTTGATTAATCAGTTGATACTCATAGATTATTCAAATTCATGTATATTTGAGTTAACATTGCTGGATAATTTGTAAAGTGTGGGTGGATTTTGTTTAGGATAAAGAGTGTTAGAGGTAGAAAACTTAAAAGTTTTTTTTTACTTCATTTTAGGACAACAATATATAATATGCAGTTAAAATTCAGTGTAACTTTTCTCTTAAAATTATGTTCTTTTTGGGAGAATAATGGCTATTACATGAAATAGAGAACCCAAAAATATATCCTTTGTATGAATTATTTTTGCACTCAGCTCTTTGTGCTTATTTTCTATAGTAAGCTTCCAAATTGGGAAAAGAAAATGGCATATAATCAGTATATCCAAGGTAGATGAACTCTTGAAGATATGCAGGAATTCCACAAGGTTAAGCAAAGCAAATCTTGTATACTTTTGGGCCATTAATTTACCTTGAACTTTTGGGAGAAAAAAACAGCTTACCATGACAACCAGCAAACAGCAAACGTTGCATTACTCTTAGGATGAAATATCACTAGGTGAAGAAATTTTTCCATTACATCTGATAGATTTGTGCCACGGCCCCCAAATCTCCTGGCTTTAAGATTTCCCACTCCATTGCAATGGCAAATAGACAATTTGGTGGAAAAATATAAGAATCACTGGACTGTAATAGACATCCTTCTGTACAATAGAATGTCCTATTAATTGATGAATACGAAGGTAAATGATAAATACATCAATACTGCTAAGTAATAGTAAATATATAAATGGAAACTCATATGGGAGTGATATCAGATCTAGACCATCCTATACTTTTCTTTAATGTTCTTTTCAAAACTGCACACATTTAACTTATAAACAGCAAAATACTCCCTTACCAGATTTATTGTTGCATAGTGGGTAGGGTCAGAAAACTGAACTTCTCTAGCTGTGCTACTGTTTACTATGTGCAAACATGGTTAATGGGCTTCACCTCTCTGGGGCCTAGGTCCCTCATCTGTAAAGTGAAGGGATTAGTTTATTCTCTTAGGTGTCTCGTAGCACCAAACTGCTGTGATTCTATTTCCTTTTGCTTTTTTATTATGTCTCATAAAAAATTAGGTCTCTCCATTTTTAGATTTCGCATATTTCTGTTCAACAGCATTATTTTCAGGTTCTCTTCTCCACTTCACATGTCTGAAAAAAATTAACATGGATTGGGTTTCCCATCTTTACTCATTTATCCAAATTGTCATCTTCAGAGGCAAATGGTGGATCATGAGAATTGTGATAGCTTGAATGAGAGAATCCCTGAATACCAGTGAGTCTAAGACGGTTTATTCCATAGAATATATTGGTGATACAAAGTAGGAGGGTTTGACATCTCTGTCCTTGTGCTTAGAGATATAGCTACAAATGTTCATCTCTGCCAAGGATATATATATTACTGGTCATTTGTAAATGAAGCATCGGGAAATGTGAAGTTCCCTTTTGAAGTTAAGAGCTGATTGTCACTCTTGGTTATTTCAGCAGACTACTTTGATTGTAAAAGCTATTCTTGGACACAGTAGCGGTTTGTTCATCTGTAAGGACAGGAGAAAGAAGCCTTTTCAGGTTCATCTATCAGCCTTAAGTCTTATTGACGTTTCATGTTGGTACTGTTCAGTCTCATTTCCAGGTATGATCCACTCTTACTTAGTCCTCCCTGAGGCTAAAACTTCAATGGTAGCTTGGATCTTCTGACGATGCTTTTATGGGGGAATGGGATTTGGAAAGCAATTGAGGGTTATACTACTATATATTACCAAAAACAAAATGTTACTTTTCTTTTTCCTTTCTTTAATTTGTTGAGACAGAATCTCCTCTCTCCTCTATTGCCCAGGCTGGAGTGCAGTGGCACAATCTTGGCTCACTGCAACCTCTGTCTCCCAGGTTCAAGTGATTCTCATGCCTCAGCCTCCCAGGTAGCTGGGACTACAGATGTGCACCACATGTCTGGCTAATTTTTGTATTTTTAGTAGAGACAGATTTCGCCATGTTGGCCAGGCTGGTCTCAAACCCCTGGCTTCATGTGATCTGCCTGCCTTGGCCTCCCAAAGCGCTGGGATTACAAGCATGAGCCACTGCACCCAGCCTAGTTTTATTCTCACGTAGTATATTTAATTGCCATACCAAGGGAATCCAAGTCCCAAAGGTCAAGTTGAGAAGACAATTACCAATATTTTTATGCAAGATTCATATAACATAATTATTTTTTGGTCAATAAACAATTGTGAGAATAAAGCTTTTTTAAGCTTTTGATGGCTATTATGTTAACTGTTAATATATGACGGGTAATGAAGTGTCAGAGGCTCATTAGATCTTTGAGCCTATTGCTGCCAGACCCTGATGATACTGAAATCGTATCTATCCCATCAAAAACAACACATAACAATTGGAACTGAGAAGAAAGAAAAAAAAAGAAAGAAAGAAAATATTTTTTCAGCTTCAATCAGGGTCATTTATGGTTCCTTTTTCTATGATTAGGACTTTGGGACATAAAAGATTCCCTGAACTATAAGGGTATCAGTTTAAGGAGGTATGGGAGTAAGATCCTCCAGATAACATATTAGCCAACAATAAGCATTGCATCCTTTTGAAGCTTTGTACTAACATCAAAAGTTTTATGATTAGGAGTTGAGAATTTATACAGTCTTCAGAATGTAAAAGAAAGTGTTATAAAAGCTAGTAGATGTTAAAATTTATTGTAATATAAGAGGAGTAATCCTGAATGTGGGAGAAAAAAATAGAAACCATTAGTTATAATAATTCATTGTGAAGGAAATACAGTAACTCTGATACGAAATCTGTTTCAAAAGGGGGAGGGTTAGGTAGACTAGAAAAAAACTCAGTACTTCAACCAAAAGGCGGCAGAAATATCGGCATTGAAAGAGGATTTTGGTTTTTTTATATAGAATAAAATAAACTTGTACTTATATCTTGAATAATGGCAAGAGTCCAAATCAGCTACAGGTGATTCTGAAATTAAAATTTATTTTTCGAGTGTAACTTTTATATATGCTTGAAATTTTATGTCTATATTTTAAACGACTATAATCCAATTGAGCAAATTTCACAGATCTCCTAAGTAAAATGGTATCATGGAAAAATATACTATTGGGAGACACTACCGTGTAGTACTAAGTTGGACACTAATTAAATTTATGACCCTAGACAATGCACATAAAGCACTCAGAATAAAACAACAACAAAAATTAAGACCTTTTCCAGATCAAATATTTTATGAGAAACTATAGCACTCGATGATTATGAACTTTGTATGACGTGTTTTCCAAAGAACATAAAGAAAAATAACCTTTAAGCTAATAATAGGGAATAATGATAATATGTAATATTTATTGAGTGATCACATTATGCTAGGCACTGTGCTAAGTGCTTTACATTAAATTTTTCATTTTATCCTTCTGGTAACCTGACAAGATAGGTACTGCTATAATTTTATGGCTGCAAATAGACTTAGGAAGATTAAATAACTTGTTCAAGGTCACAAATGTAGTAAGTGTTGGAGCAGGGCCTGATTCAATGGTCAGGTTCTTACTCTCTAATTCTTATTCACTTATTCTCTGGCTTTTAACATGTATACTAGCAAACCTATTTATGAGAGCTGAAAATAGTAGGCATCTTAACTGCATATAATGAAAATCAATATAAGATCCTTATTTACAATGTATTAATAATTTGAATTTGAAGTGAGAGTGTCACATTATTACAGCTAACATTTTATCTGAAATCCCTGTTAATCTTGATTGCATTTTGATACCTTTTGCACTTTAATATCTGTCAGTAGACCAAGTTACATCTGATATAATGTATTGCCTCCTCTTTGCTCTACAGAGAGATTCTCATTTATTAATGGTTAGATAAACTTCATTTTTCTAGCACAATTAGAAACAAATGCAGGTTCTAACAAAGTTTATCAGAATTTGGGAGATTAGTTTTGACCTGAGGCAAAATAAACAGCGTACCTATGTAAAAGCATGAGAGTTGAGTCTTTGTCAACTAAAAAATATCAAATCACAGTTAAGGACTTTGAAAGTCACAGGATTATAGCTGAACTAATTGTCACTTAAGTAAAGACTTAGTTGCTTTTCTATATCGTGTCAAAGGTAACTTGTTTATCATTGCTTTCAAAGCATAAAGGTACTAACAGTCCTAAATGGCTTTGTGATGTTGGCAGGGCCCATCTGGCTCTTCTCAGTGAAGAAGCAAGTTTCTGCATATGAGACTGTAGTACTCAATAGATTTTCCTTTGCCGCACAGCTAAAGAAACTAAGCTGAGACAACAAAAGTCATTTTATTGGCATAGGCCTTGCTTGTAAAATGAATTCCACTTTTCTTCCATAGCTCATAATGTTTCTCCAAAGTAATTATCTAAGAAAGATTTAGTTCTCTTATAAAATATAGACTAAACAACAACTGAACTAGTTTGCAATATAAATGCAGCAAATGATCACAATGGTAAACCATGTGGATGACAAGTATTTTGGAGGCATTAAAATTGTATTCCAATTAGTTCCGAAGTTTATTTGAACTAAAGTAAGTCTTTAACCAAGGAGCGAGATCCAGTTTCCTTACAGGGAGCTTCAAAAAAGCATACTAAAACCACAAAGAAAGATTATAGGCACTTAAAGGAAATGTTATGTAGATTAAATGTCAACTGGACAAGTCAGATTGAAGGATAGGTTTTTGATATGTAGCATAAAGAAAAACAAAAAGAAAAAATAATAACGGAAAGCACCTGGTTGCTTTCATTGAGCAGTATACTGTCATATTTAGCTACACAATCGTGCATGATTTTATTTTATGTTCCCAATTTCCAAAACTTCAAAGCTTCCGTGAAAACCTAATTTGAAGTATTTGTAAAATAATTCATGATGGCTATATTTCAGGTAGAATCTAATATAGTCTAAACAATTTTGCTGTAAATTATGGAAAATTTTAATCTTTAAAACAAAAAAGATCAGCATGTAGAAAGGAAAGCGCCTGCAAGGTCTTATTGTGTTACATGGATTTGCAATTCTTTATTGTAGAACCAAAATGAAAATAAAGTAAAACTTGCCTATAATGCCGATTTATTTCTTCAACTATCACCAATTTGAGCACTTACCCATACTGAATTTGAAATCAAAATGCTTTGAATACAGCTTATGAGCTTCTTTGTTTTGGGTGGGGTAGGGGGAGAACCACTAAAGCAAACCGAAGGAAAAAAGGAGATAATAGAGCGTGGAAGCAACCTCTTGGCAAAGAGGAACAAGAGCAGTGGAATAATTTAATTGCTCATCAGCTAATTATACGGTATTATAATGTTAATGTGTCTTCATCATGACAATGTAATAGGTATAGATTGAAGCATATGAAAAAGAAAGTGTTGATGCAGTAATTATAAGTAAGAGTGGAGCTGTTAGAGTAATTATAATGCTTCATCGGGTAATTAACGTATTGTTCAACTTGAGATGGGGAACAAAGAGTGAAAAAGTTAAATATTGAAGGACATGCCTTTGACACTCCAGAGACGTCTTTGAGCTTTTGCAGAGAATAGGATATTCTATATTGATACTGTTTTTTTCTGCTTCCCTTTTTCATAATTTACTATTTTTTAGTCATGTAAGCTTTGAAAGAACGCGGTAATTTGAGTATGAGATGCTACTGGTTTTTTTTTTTTATGTAATATGATCCATATTGCTACTATTTCTTTTTTCAATTTTATCTCATTTTATATTCCTCAGGTCATTAAATGAGCTAAAAACTTTAAAATTAAGCTGGCTGAAAATTAAATAATGTTTGTGAACAATTCTGGAAACTAAAGATGGTGCTAATTATTCTTTAACACACCTGAGCAGTTCCTTCTGATAGAGGATTAGTACTTTCCCTTTTATTTTAATACCAATGGGTAACCTGAATTTTTTTTATACTCATTAGCTTAGATATATCTGTTTACAGTAAAGACCTCTGGATAGATTATGAAAAAAAACAGCAACAACTAAACATTGGCAGCTAGTGGTAGGCAGCTATAATTTTGTAACCCGTTTACCGTTTTTCTAAAATAACATACGCTACACTTTTCTAAATGTTTTACATACATGAACACATTCAGTTTCCACTTTCTTTGTTTTTTTTGTTTTTTGTTATTGATCAGTTTTACAGATGGAAGTACGTACTGAGGCAGAGAGGTTAAGTAACTTGGTCAAGTTCACGTAACTCCCACTGATAGAACTGGGATTTGAACCAAGAAGTCTCTTCAGACTCTGCTCCTGGTTGTAGATTTAGGAGCTTGTTAGAAGACCTCTCCTGAAAAGTTTCCGTATTCAGATTAGAACAGAATAGTTAAAAGAGATTTAACTGATAAGTGAAAGGTAAATAGGGTCTAGATAGGCAGAAGAGAAGAAAGCAATTAAATACGCAAAAGTTGAAGAAGGCAAAGGGTAAAAATCAATCTCACGGCAGTGAAAAGCCCATGAAGCAGAGCCCAAGGAGAAAAGACCACAGTCTTAGAGCAGGTCACAAACAGCCTGAAGGCCAAAATCAGAAGTTCACAGAGAAGCTCATTAAGTTGTACTACTCAGTGTACATGAATATCCCAAATGCTTATGATAAACACTTACCGGAGCTACCATGCTAGGTATGGAGGTGAATATAGGGCAACTGGCAGAGACGAGTTAGAAATAGTGATGCCCTACTACTCTAAATTGTTTTTAAATTAACAAAAAAGGGCTAGATTTATGAGACTCTTATCCGTGCTGAAGTATTTTGTTAGTTTGAGATAGCAAGCTGCAAAGCCATCAATATTCCTTCATATGTTCTTTTTAGAGAACTGCACTTTTCAATTCTGTTCTTATTGTTCATATCAGCTTGTGTTATAAGGTGAAATAAACCACATAAATGAGGAAAAATATATAAGTGTTTTCTTTCTAAAAATCATTAGAGAAGAAAAAAAAACTACTAAAATTTTTCTATTCACCAAATAATAGTGTGTGTTACTTTCCATCAGAAAAAATTAAACAGTAATATAAACTACTTAAAAAGTACATATATTTTTAAAGAAAGTAAAATTAAAGCAAAAAGACTCATAATCTAGGTACTTCCAACTTTAAAATAGACTAAACTGATTGAAACATTGAATTCTCAGTTAAAATATTTATATAACTGGCATGCCCTTTGAAGGTGTCTACTTCCATATTTTATGATTTATTTAGCTTCTGGAAATTAAGAAAAAAATACCTGAACTAAAAAAAAAAACATAGTTCACTTAAATTTGGCAAAATATGTACTTATGTAGTTTCCACATAAATATATTAGAGGTGGAAGACTTTGGATATATTTTGTTATTTAGCATGCAGCTAAAAACAAGAGACTATGGTTGGAATGACATGGATTCCTCCTTTTTTCTTTCCTTTTCTTTTCTTTTCTTTTTTTTGTGGTGGTAGGCATTTGTGTGTGGCATCTCTCTAGGAGAAGAAGCACAGGCTTTGGAGTCAGAATGGTCCCATGTGCTGACTCTGTTAACCTCTCTGAACCTTATTTTCCCTATTCTGAAAGAGGTAATCATAATTTCTGTGTTGCAGAGTGGTTGAAAATTAAAAATACATATAAAATGGTTATCACAGAAGCTGGCACATGATAATTGTTCAGTTAAAGCTGGCGATGATTATTGCTACTCAGCATAAGCAAGTTACTGAACAATGCTGAGCACTACTTAATAAGAAGTTCTCAAAAGTTTAAAATACATCTATGAAATTATGTTGTGACTTTCTTTTAAAATATTAATTATAGCTGTCCTCAATCTATAATGAAAGAGGTACTAAGCATTAAAGAGGCAAAATGTAGCCATGTAAAGTATCCTCTCTTCAAGATCCTTCACAAAGGTGAAGAATTACGGTTGTCAGAGATTAGTTCAACCATATATAAAAAGGAAACTAGTGCTATTAGTAACCCTTCAAAGAAAATTTTATGATTCAAAGGCAGTGAGCAGAAAGTATACAATCATTATTCTTCTGAAACATAGTTATAGTTCATATAAAACGTGTATATGGGATTTATTAGTGATTCTCTTCTCTTTCCTCTGCTAGGCTGGGTATCATGAAAGCAGAAATTACTTCTTTCATTTTCAGGCCCTCCAAAACTAGTATAGCACCCGGAATATAAAGTACTAATACACATTCACTAAATAAATGAGAAAATAAATTTTTATTTCATTGGGAGATAGAATCAAGGTTAAGAATGATATTGACCATTTAAATTCACTACAATTCACAAACCACCAATTTGCCAGATGCCTTAAGTTTCTTTCTCTAAACAAAACCTATATCACAAATGCTAACAATAAACACTCACAAACACACATTTATTTTTACTTTACTTTTCTTCTCTTCCCCGATCATGCCCTAGAGAAGATGTTCATATCCATGAAATGAGGAAAAAGCTTTAAGAAAAGGCATTTCCTTACATAACTGAGAATACAACATATTCTTCTGTTGCTCTTATTTTATTATCTTAGTCTAGCACTTAGCTAAGCAATATTATCCATATATACAACAAAACTGACCTTCTCCTCTGTAACTTTAACACCATGATTTATAGATATGGTGAAAGAAGAAGAAGCTTTAACAATTCAGTGGTCAGAAAAATCATTTTTCTTTTCCTTATGGAGGAGAAAAAAAGAATCAACGAGTAACTCAATTGTTTTGAGAATCAGAACACACAAAGTACAAAAGAAAAAAATGTCTTAGGTAGAGATATTTTAGACATACATTTTTGAACAGCCGTCCTCTTTGTTTCAGTCACACACTTTGCTGGTAACCATGGGGACTCACTCAGTAAAGGTAGAGTGCAGCTGGATACCTTAGTTGTAGTAAAAAGCCTTGGAGAAGCCTAAAGGAAGGACCATATTTGACTAGAATTATAAAGTTGTTAGATTTTGCTTACTGAATCCAATTAATCATGAAGGAACTATTCAATGATATTTTTATCTAGATTTTTTCTTCATATATATAAATAAAGAGACTAATATATAATAGATTATATTCTAGGATAATGAATTTTATATTGTATTTATAAAAGGAAATATTTGGGAATTCTCCACATTTTTAAAGCTACCTCCTATAGGCAGGAAGTAGCTTCTCCACATTTTTCAAAAGTTACATCACATATTTCTATATACCTGAAAGTTTATCCCATAATAATATATTTCATCACCATTTTGAAAATGATACATGGAATGTTATGGCTACTTTAAATAAATACATGATTAAAGAACAATACTTTTTGTGAAATAAATACAAAGAAATACAACGGCTAATTTTTTCAAAATCCCTGAGATTCTAAGAATCATTCTCTGTTGTAGTGCCCTTTGAAGAAGTATCTTGAAAAATATTTGCTCTCATTCCCCGGTGTCCATCTAAACTTTATTGTTTGGTCTAGATGTTTTTATCTGATTAGAATTTCAAGCAGTTATTTAATGTCTATTAGATTTACAACGTTCCTTAGAAAAGATTAATTTTTAATTTTACTTTCATCCCTTCCCCTGACTTCAAAAAGTTTGTAATTTCCACAGAACCAATCTGCACATAAGAAGTTTATGTCAAAATACAAAGACATGTTTGTCAGCAAGAGAATGTTAGTCTTTGCCCAAATATTCAGCCTGTGGCATTTCTCTGTATTCTTCTGCATTGGAACACCCAATGTGTCCACTTTAACTTACATAAGGAACGTACAAATCTTGAATGTTATTAGCTAGATGTTGTTTGTAGGCTTTGGGATACACTTATAAAGCATTTATACAAGTTATTGAACATAATAGCTTTAGTGTTGTTTTTGAGATGCTGTCATTACCTTTTCTTGGTAACTCTCATTATCCAGTTGGTGCTTTCCTTAGGCTAAGCCTCCTGTTACATCTGTGATCTTCCAGATATACTCATTCTCATCTCTCAGATGTGTTCCCTCTCTAACATAGCAGGGCTCCATGCTGTTCTTAGAACTTGGAAACTTGAAGACACAAAAGGTCTAGGCTAAGTGCCAACTTCCCCTTCTACACTTTGCTGAGTTTTCCTAAAGTGAAATGAATCCTTTTACTAAACAGACAAAACCCAAAAACAAAAAAACAAAACAAACAAACAAAACAAAAACAAATGAACAACAAACAAAAAAACCCTTCAAAATTGTTTCTGATTAAAAGCTGATTGATTATCAGTGAAAATGAAAAGGAGGAGCAACATGATAGCTGAATAATTTTCTCTACTGTAGCGCCTATTTCTTTTGCCTAGAAATAGCCCTCAAACTGTTCTACCAAGTTGATAAAATCTAGCTGCATTTCTGCTATCTCTAGGATTTGCTTTTCAATTCGGGGAACTTTAGACGCACAATGAGAATTTCTCTGTCCTTTGTCCCCAGATTTTAGAAAATCATAAGCTTCAATCAAAGGGTAGTTGTTAGTATTTTTTTAATAGAATCTAAACTTGCATGGAATATACTCATAAGAATAAAATGTATTTGGCCGGGCATGCGGTGGCTCACGCCTGTAATCCCAGCACTTTGTCAGGCCGAGGCGGGAGGATCACGAGGTCAGGAGATCAAGAGCATCCTGACTAACACGGTGAAAACCAGTCTCTACTAAAAATACAAAAAATTAGCTGGGCGTGGTGGCGGGCACCTGTAGTCCCAGCTACTCAGGAGGCTGAGGCAGGAGAATAACGTGAACCCGGGAGATGGAGCTTGCAGTGAGCCCAGATCACTCCACTGCACTCCAGCCTAGGCGACAGAGCAAGGCTCCATCTAAAAAAAAAAAAAAGAATGTATTTATCCATGATTTGAACTAGTTCCACGGCGTCTGGTATAATGCTGTATGTATAAGCGTCACCAATGCATGCTTTCTAGATAAAGAAGGGTTAAAAAAAAAATGTACTCTTGACTTTCTCATCAGAAACAATTGCAGCTTTCATGTTGCCCATAACAAGTCAGAAATTGAACTAGCATTTAACTGTTTTATCCTTTTTTTAAATCAAGTTTTGTTTGAAGACATTCTCACAGTTCAGGAGAAGCCTTTGGAAAGGAACTGTTGGGATCAGTAGGCTAACTGTCTTCTCAATATGAACCTCAAGTAGATAGCAATGAGGTTGATAAAGGTGACTCATCCTATATTAGTTTTGTCTGATTTGTAACTGATATGAAGATTTAGCATATTAATTATTGATATATAATGGATAACAATTTTACTTAAGTAATACAGGAGGAATTAAGAATATATCTTATAAATGTTTACCTATATGTATCCCAGGTAGAGTTCATATGTACAATCACTAAAAAATGCTGTCTTCTTTTCCTCTATAGGAAATCAAAAGCATAGGAGTAATCAAGTTTAATTTTAGAATCAATTCAAGTGATTGGCAATTTTTTTATTATATGCCTGTTTGGGTCAGGTACTTTGCTAAGAATGAGGACAAGATGAACCTATCCATTCACTTATTCTTTGAAATATTAATACTTATTGTATCTGCTGAGTGCATATTACATGCCAGGGACTGTTAGATTCTGAAGATTCTGAAGACAAAACAGCATTTTTGCCCTCAAGTAGCTAACATTTGCGGGAGGAAAGTACATGACACATTCCTTGCCATCAAAGATTTTATGGTCTAATAGAAGACAATAGCAAATGTAAAAATAGAAACAATACAGTGTGACATGGGTGAAGAGTGAAATGTATGTATGTTAAAACATTATTACAGAAGAGAGCGCAAAGATTTATCTCATCTAGGGACATCAGAAAAGCCTTTCTGAGTTGATGACACCTGAGCTGTGGGTTTTGAAGCATGAATATTTTGCATGTGGATGGAACTAGTTAGAAGTGGGTGGAGGGATGAGACACCTCAGAGAGAACTAGCAGATGCAAAGTCATAGCGCTCTAAAGCAACACAGTGTATTCAATCATCTATAAGCTATTTGACATTAACCCAAATAAAACAGTTAAGTTCTGGGAGCTGAGTGGGGACAGAGGAATGAGATAAGAACCTGTACCTAAGTAGAATCAAATTATGCTAAGGAGCATGGACTTTATTCTATAGGAACTGGAAAGCCTTTCATAATTTTAAGCAAAAGATTAACACAGGCTTGAATTTTAGAGAGACTACTCTTTTAATAGTGTTTCTCAAAGAGGAGAATTGCATTGATTTATGTTCTCTGTTATTAAACTATTAGCCTCTGAATGAACATCATCGTATATGGTGCCTCTATCTAAGTTATTATCTAAGATATTTTCCTACTGCTTGTCAGCGGGAAATAATGAATCAGCAAGGAATTAACATAACCTAATTTTCATGGAGTCATTTCCTAAAAATTTCCACACAAACTGAATTTTGAAAAAGGTGGACATTCACTTTGTTCCAGTGAAACCATCCCATTGGCTTAGCATTTTTGCACCAGTCTCACATATATTTCTTATAATCAAATGAGAGAAAAATCAGTGGATCTTTTCCAAGTCATTTACGTTTCTAAATGTATCAGTTGTGACTATGATATAAGAGAAAAAGGCTAAAGAATCTTGACTATATGGATAAAAAAGAAACTAACATTTGTTAAACTAAAGCTGTTTCCCCCAAGCTTTTATTAATTTCCATACCCCAACTAATGTTATTAACTGTTAAGTTTATGTACTCCCATTATCTATTTCTATAAAGAAATACATGACTATAATTTTGATCACTTAGGAGCTTTCTGAAGTAGTCAATGAGTAAAATTATTGTACGGATCACTTTGATTTCATTTTCCCATCAATTATTATGTCTAAAGGATAGTTTTTGCTTTGTCCATTAGCTGGGAATCATAACCACTATTCCTTTTTAATCCTTTGTAAGGTAAGAAAATAGAGAAAACTAACAAAATGTCAGCTAATAAAGCCATATTGACTTATTAGATATTTATTTCCTTTTTATATATTTTGTCCATTAGAGTAATTTAATAGTCAAAAGTAGAACTAATTGTCTGCTTTCACACAAAGTGAATGTAGGTAAAGGTAGGGAAAATGCATAATTGATATTCCCTGCAGAGAAGTCTCTCTGAAGGGACATATAAAAATAAGAAGAAACACAGATTAGTAAGCTGACACAAAGGGTTTTTTTTAATATGGGTAATTATCTTTATTATGTATACAACCAGTGGGAAGTATACTATCTTCAGACTTGCTCATAACCCCTACTGATTTTAAGAGACAAGAAATAAGACTTTGGGTCTACACTTCATTAAATCTGCAATTGTTTAAAGGGTTGTGTTTTCTTCTGTAGTTAAATGAGGAAGCATAATGATTCATTTTTGATTATGATTTATTGAGATTTCCTGCTACAATTTTTGTGGCATTCAGTATTTTCCTTATACTATTTCATTATAGAATCTTCACAGCGTAATTTGGTATTAATATCTCTATTTTACACATGAGTAAACTCAAACTCAGAACTGTTAAATAATTTACCAAAGATCAAATAGCTAATAAGTAGCAGAGATTATATTAAATTAAACTAAGGTCTCCATGACCTTAGAGCCTCCAATTTTAACTAATACCTAAAATGGCTTCCATGCCACTGTTTAAGTTATTACTTCTGGTAATACTTATATTGTAAATGTTGCCCTTTGGTATGTACAATTTTTACAATTTCCTGGATCAAAGTTAAAATAACTCAATTTATTTTAAAAATACAGTTACTTTATAAATTTTAAGAACCATATTATGAAGGTTACATAATTCCCTTTTCTGTTTAAATACAAATATTGGAAAAGTTTTTTTGCTTTTAATATTTTAAAATTTAGGCTCTTTGCAAAATATATAAGGAATTTGGTTCTTAATTGTTTATCATCAGTTTTAATACTCTGACATGATATTATTTTGGTTGCCTTGAGCTGCATTACAAAATTTAATAAAATATTATTTTAATAGCACCAATGATTAGCTACATACCCAGCTTCTCTTTTGAGATCCCAAGGGTCCTCCACTACCTTCATTAGAAAAGTAATCTTGATATCACTAATTTGTTTTTCCAAATTGCCTATCTAAAAGTGTACAAAGAATAAGTGAAAGATTTGGGAATATAAATCAGTCTCTAACATTATTATAGATTTCTGAGTAGACTAAAATGGTACATTTATATAATTTTGTAAGTATCATTTCTCCCTGCCGTGTATCTAGTTTTAAGCTGTGTTAATAGGGCCACCAAATGAATAGACTCAATGTTACTCAATATCCTTTCCCAGTTTCCTATCAACTCTCACATAGAAGTGAAATTAGTCATCTTGCTAAGTTTGTTTTATTTTGTTTTGGGTTTTTTTGGTCCAGTCTTTCTTCCTTCATTTCTTTTCTTTTTTAAAACTCCTTTTCTCTCTGAGAAAAAATAACTGAACTTCCTTTCCCTCTTATGATATTTTCAGTTCCATATAAATATTTCTTCCTATAATTTCTTATTTCAGGAACCACTCTCTAGCCCATCTATGTCCTTACCTATAAACTTATCAAGAAGCATGTCCATATGGAAGTCTGTAGAAATAGGGTCAGTGCCAATACCACCCTCCCCCACCAAATTGTATGCTACTAAACAAGTACTTTATTTCCTATGTATATTTTATTTTGAACAAAGAAAAATGTAATTTTCTCTAAAGATTATTTTATTAAAATTATATCCACATATAAAGTATTCCATTTGATATGATAATGCACTGATGCTTAAATATGTACTTATCAAAAGTGGTGAAGGTATTAAACTAGTCTCTATCTGTTCATATTTGTTTAAATATAAAACTATGAAGCCATGCATTTTTGTGGCTTTTTAAAAATAATCAGCAGAATGCATA
The DNA here is from genome assembly GCF_000001405.40 of Homo sapiens. Taxonomy (NCBI): domain Eukaryota; kingdom Metazoa; phylum Chordata; class Mammalia; order Primates; family Hominidae; genus Homo; species Homo sapiens. The sequence continues at coordinate 212,032,429 of NC_000002.12, read as the reverse complement.
TGTGGCATTTTCATATTGCTTTCTATAATAACATCTTGAGTTTATTAGTGGCCAATTTAATTTGTGCTAATCAGCCTAAGGCAAAAGGAGTGGCAAATTAACTTGACACATACATTTGATGTTTTTTCAGTATTTCTAGGTTTTGCACTATAACCACAACATGGCAACCCAGAATAAACACACAGATCTACAGTGTCACTTCCAATTACCACATTACTTTAAATAGCTGTAACTCACTGAAAAGCCAGCCGTGACTCATTATCATCTTGGTTTTAGCTGAGAAGGCCTGCATCAACATTGCATATGAAATGGCATGTTTGAAAATTGTACACTTTCATTAATGGTCTGAATCTGGATTTACAGCATATTTTTCTAAAATAATATTTAGCAATATTAATATACTTGGCAGAGTCATTCTTACTCAGACTCAAAACAGGCACCAAGAGACAGCAAAGTTGCTTTCCCTGCAGGCTCCTTCTTAACTCCTACTCTAAACTCACCAGGGATTGTGCAGCGGGAAATAGTTTAGTGACTAGGGAAATTGCCATAATAATCTTTGCCATCACTTGTCTTTCCTTGAGTCTTTTCTGCACACAATTTAATATAAAGTGTCAGAAAATGACTTCTCTAAAAATTTTGTGATACATATCGTCAGCCATCATTTTTCTAAAGAACAGTAACCTCAAAATGTGGTCCATAGAGTTACCATTTAATTTTTTGTTCAAACTGGGACACTTTTGAAAGTGAAAGGAGTCACTATTGATAATTAAACCATAAAAACAGGTATAAAATGAAATCGTCCACATCATATCTGAAAGTCTGGTCATTCTATCATCAACTGCTCTGCAAGAGAATCACGTAGTGTGATTGTTTACAAATCTAAATTCCTGGAGCCCATCTGCTAAACCAGAATCTCTGGCTTTGTGGCCTGGGGGTCTGCATTTTTAAAAAAGCTTTTACAGTTGCTTCTTAAGTGTATTAAACAAATAACAATAGCTGGCATTATATAATGATTAACATGTGCCAGGCACTTTTCTAATTTCTAATATATGTTATGTTTTAAAGCCTCACTTTAACTATGATAGAATGACAGGTTGATATATAAAAAATTTAAATATAGAAGGAAATGTGGCTACTTGGAAACATTTGAATGACTGGTCAAAAGATTTACATTTTACCTCGATTTCTGGAATCTTGCAAGTCACAGCCTTAATTCAATAATCTGGGATCTTGAAAAACAACTAAAAATTTGAGAACAAAGTCATTAGTGAAGAGATGATATTTTAGCTGGGCCTTAAAATCAAAGATTTTGCTGGGCAAAGAATGGAGCCAGAAGGAGTAGCTTGGGTATAATCAAGGAATCATAAAATATCTAGCATGTCTAAGAGAAGTGAGTTTCATGAGGCAGAAGACGGATGTTGGATAAGAGTGTGAAAGGTAATGAGGCTGGAATGGTAGCCTGGTGTTAAATGTCGGTGGATTAGCAGATACTTTGGGATACATACTCTCATTTGCACCCCTCCCCCATGTCTTTTTAGTACTGTATTTACAATACCATGACGGCTGGCTCAATTTCAAACTACCCACGACTGATGGTTTTACCTCCTGGAACTTTCTCTGCTTACAATTGGGGCAGCCAGAAATGCTGGAGAATTAACATTCCTCAAAGAATAGTCCACAACCAATTATTGAACTTGGTGGATTATTACCCCAGTTCCCTTGCCCATTGTGCTAAATAACTTTGAGGTACATATTCTCTAAAGGTCCCCAGGGTCCCAGCAGGATTCAACAAATGTAATTAGATTGATAACACACTCTTTGTCACTGCTTTCTCATCTCTCTTACATTTTTCTATTTCCCTACCCTTGTTTCTTGGAAAGAGCTCACCAAAGTTTGATTTGTGCTTGAATCTTTGATTCAGGCTTGGCTTCTGAAAGAACCCAAACTAAGACAACATTGTCTCTTAGGAAAATAATTTGGATTTTATCTAATTGCTTACTAAAGTAGGCAACTAAAGAAATTTAAACCAAGAGAGTGAGGAACTTTATATTGCAGCAAGAAAAGTAGCAGCAATGGGAAGGAGAGACTGGATAGGGGAGAAAGTGGTGGTAAGGCATCCAGCTAGTTAGACGGCTGGTGCAGGATACTGTTAGAAGAAGCCTGGATAAAGGTAGTGAAATAGGAAAGGGAGATATATGAGGCTCCTTTTGAAGTAGAACTGAAAGGATTAAGTGATTGATTGGATATGGGGATTGAAGATGGAAGTGCGTTCATACATTTCATCATTTGTATGAAATGATGAGCAAATCAAATTAATGAACTTCCCAAACTCAGTAGATAGCACACAGTGATACCACCTGTAGTCAGGATGCAGGCTATCCTTTGTGTAAGCCCAACAAGTGCTATTTATGTGAAATAGTCACAGCCTGGTATGCCTGAATGGCTCATCTTGATAGTACAGTGCAAAACTTGCAAAACCTTATGTGGCAGAAAAGTACAGATTAAGCTAAGGAATATACGAGGCAAATGAGAAGGCTTGTTAGAGTGGGGATTGTAGAATTTGACTGAAAATTTTGTCACATCATTTCAGATGTGGTATAGATTACACACTCGGTATTATCCTGAGCATTAAATACATAAGTGAACTTAAACAAAATGTTTAGACACATTAATGAAACCTGAGAAGTATGAATACTGATAAAATAATAGCTGGAAAGCAATCTTTTGGAAGACTGTATGAGATGAATGCATCTAAATCAAGTCTGCATTCTTGTCTTTTAAAACCTACAACTCAGATATTGCAAATTATAGAAAGCACGATGTCATGAATATTCAGAACTTATCTTTTTGTACATGCTGATTGCTTTAGGAAGTTAAACCCTAAATACAATCTTAAATCCTTTTTTAAATGGTACTCTTATAAAAACATACACAGATATCAAGCCCTTTATAATCTAGACAATAGGAGTTAGTTATGTTTGGGTGTTACTCAAAGCTTCTGCTTAGGAAATGTAGAAGGCTGCTAGTATGATCCTACTGATGCAGGGCAGGGAAGCCCCAAAGTGGAGCTTAGCCCACGAAAGAATTTTCTTTCCAGGGCTTTGCCCAGGAAAGAATTCAAGGGCAAGATGGAGGTAGAAGAAAACAGCTTTATTGAAGAGGCAGTGTTACAGCTCTGGCAGTATTACAGCTCTGTGACTCCTTCTGCAGAGCAGGACTACCCTATAGGCAGGGAGTAGTAGCTCAGGGCAGTTTTGCTGTCATATTTATACCCACTTTTAATTACATGCAGATTAAGGGGCAATTTATGCAGAAATTTCTAAGGAAGGAGTAGTAACTTGGGGTCATCAGGTCATTGCCATGGAAAGGGGAGGCAACGCCCGGGTGTTACCATGGCAATGGTAAACTTACATCGTGCACTGGTGGGCATGTCTTGTGGAAATCTGCTTCCACCCCGGTCCTGTTTTAGCTAGTCCTCAATTTGGTGTGGTGTCTAAGCCCCACCTCTGCAGTTACATCCTGCCTCCTACTTCACTAACTCTAGAATGTCCCTCTCCTGCCCACTTACTTTTTGCAATAAAAATTCACATTTAGACATAAATTCCTTTGGGTTAAGTCTACTAGGCTCCATATAAAAATGAATGCTCTCAAGGGTGAGCACCACTGTAAAAGAAGAAAATAAAGTATAGAGAACTCAGGTATGTTGAGCTTTTAAAGGGTGGAAAAGGGCAGAAAGGGCACAAATTGGGGAGATCCAGGGAACTAAAGGGAAACTATTTCACAGTTTTGATTAATGTTTTGCCTGCGTGCAGTCTGTTAGCTTTTTAGTGGTAGCTGACCATTAAAACCTGCTGTGTTCCCTGCCTAGAATGGAACAACGAAACAAAAGTACTTTGGTAGTTTATTAAAGCCAACTGAGACAGCTTTTTAATCCAATTTCCATTGCGTCATTTATGAGAAAATTTGTCTTTCTGAAACTTAAAAGTCAAACCTTTTCACAAAGTATAGAAGGAAGACATCATTGTCTTTGTGTTACTAGCCATTGCCAGGCGGGGACATTTACAAGAAAGTGAAACCTCCTATGGCAGTTTGATTTTTTTAAAATATAGTGAGTCGCTTAGGTCGTAGACATATTTTTGAAGGTTTTGGCTTATCCACTTCCTCAGTTCAAGGAGTTTTGGAAATTGAAGAATTCATAGGAACCAAACTTGTCAGGCCTTTGGTGTGTCACATGATTGTACTTTTCTACTGATGTGACAGGACATCACATAACACACACAACTTGAAGCCTGAAAAAAAATCAGGGGCATTGCTATTATTGAAGGAAGTGTTGGCATTCACAAATTCCAGAGTTTTGTCTGCTAGTTGCTGGACAACAACTGGCAACTTCCTTCATTTCCTGTTGCTGAACTTTCCTAAGTTCCATGCAGTCACAGATTTTGAAGAACTACAAAGCTTTCCTAGATTTTTATGATTATGAGTTGTACGTTGAATCTCTGTTTCTGCTCTCAAAATACTATATTCGGATTGCTCCAGTTATGGAAGTTTTTGCTCAATCCGCATGACTCAGATGCAAGATATATTGTTAAAATATTGAAAAAAAAATAAAGACTAAGCTGCAAAGTGAACTATATTGACTAAGAAACAGAGAATTCTTGGACTCCTGAGGTCAGTTATAGAAATCTAAGATCTATCCAGATTTCTCTGGCCAGAGAGTAAAACTGTGGAGTTTGTAACTGTCACCATGAAAGTAGGTTCTGTTTTCAGGCCAACTGCTTAAATGGAAACAGTGATCAACAGAGGTGTAAAGTGAAGCCAAGGAGTAAGAATAAAGATATCATACTCACTCTTTGTTCTCAACAATTCTCCAGACCCTTAACTATCCACATTCTCATTGATTTACAAAATTGATCAATGATAAGCACTGTGCTTGGATCTCTTGTTTATGTAGTAAAAATAACATATTAATCTGGTTTTTGGATCACTTTTGTATACAGTGAAAACCTATAATTAAGCTAAGGGTCTAAACTCTCCAATTCTATGAAATAAAAAAATAAATACCCAATTTGACTTATGCACCTTTGATTTTCTGATCATGTGACCCATCACTAGGAAATATTCAGACTGTTATTGTATTAACACATATAATTTCTCACGAACATTATATTTTCCATGGTTAAATTTAATGAAAGTGTTTAAAATATGTGTTCATGTACATCTATCTCCAATGCTATTCATAATTAACCTCAGCTTGGTTTTTACATGAATAAACTGAGGCTTAGCATATTAAATAGCACAGATGTTACCTCACACTTATGGATGAGTAACTGGACATAATACCTGTACCACATATATAACCTTGATGTGACTTGAATGAGATGTTGATGTATGATGGAGCAATTTGCAAATACAAATATTACAAATTATTATTTGTATTAATTAATTATTGTTAGTATCAACTAAATATTATAACATTATTAAATAGTATGTTATTTTTATGGAAAAGCAATTTTGTCTACTTATTTTAATGAATGAATCTTTCTTTACACTCTTGGAAAAATTAGCTTGAAAAAACTAGGAAGACTTGGTTATATTTTTATTTGTGTCAAAACAGAGGTTATACTTGATGTCATTCTCCAGGAGATTACCTGAGATTGCATAAATGAACTGAATTTCAGCCATAGGCATATATTGCTTCTAGGAAGAGTTAATGCAAATATATAATTCAAACAATAATATCGAAAAAACATGTTTTAATATTCTGGGAGGAGATTCATATTCCATTTTGAAAGATTGTGCCCACCATTTAGCATCATGTACACTGATTTTTAATATTTACCAACTAGAAAGTTTTTGATGCATTTTAAATGGTGTGTTTATAATAATTCACTATTAATGTGGCTGCTAAAAATAAATAGGTTTGAAATTTCTTTTCCTACATTAGAAGTTGTTTTGAGTGACGAATTTGTTCATACACTTATTCAGTATTCTTTTCACAAGTAGTTATAGAGGTTCTGGTATCTACAGTATAAAATATTATATTGTGAGCTCAACGATGAATATTCTGTTTATTATTTTAAATAAAATTATCAAGACAATGTTCAATTTAAACTTCACTATTAGGAACCTTATAGGTGACTGAAAAACCTATATGTGTGATATTTTTACTCAAATATGTTTTATTTATATACTAAAATTCATTCATTCTTTTATTCAATAAATATTTATTGAATACATGTTATGTTGCTATTTTTAAAGGTCTCTTTTTTACTTGTCCTTAAAAAAATTCCCGTGACCTCATTTAATCTTGCTTGCTTTGGCTTACGTATCCATTTAATATTGATTTTAATAATAATATCTGCATAGAGATATATAGTTTCAAAGCATTTACGCATCTATTATTTATTTTTGTCCTCATTGAGACTTTATGGGAGAAGCAGGACAGTTACTCTCATCCCACTCTGACAAACAAGAGAACAGGTTAAGCTTCAGAGAAGTTCAGAGATTTGCCCTGAGTCACATAAGATATAGCAAATATAACACATTTTAGAAAATAAAGTTCTTTATTTTCAGTAGATTATCGGTGTAATTATGTTTTGACTGAAAGAAATTTATATGAATTTTGGCTCATCACTTATTTTAGGGACTCTTCTGAAGATGACCCATGACCTTTTCTAGAAAAGAGAGAGGAGTATGAGTAGATTTACTAGTTTTCAGTTTGAGTATTTTTTCTCAGGGAAGCTCTCATTACCTAAATTGAGAAGTTCTTGATAAGCTAATATATTAAGTCTTATGATATAATTAATGCAACAGACTTAGGAACATAATTGAATGATACTGTGTCAGGGATAAAAGGAAGCAATCTTACAGGCTCAAATGAACTATTCACACTTTCTAGTGGTGTAATGGGCAAGGAAAATTATCTGCCTTTATCACAAGTGTTCTTGAGGATCAGCATTTTAAAAAATGATTTCTCTTTGGACAAGACTTTCTACTTCTCTTTGTAATTCCATCATAAATATGAATACATACAAAGTACAACTATTGAAATCATTTTCCCATTTCATTTCTTGGCTGTTAAACAAAGAATAATACTTTAAAATGAATTTCGGTGATACTAGGTAGTGGGCTGCAAATAGGGTGACTATCATAACACCTTTCAAGTGCCTTCTCATAATGGGTATGGTATTAGAAATAGATGATTAGAATTTCCTAAGTGCACCAATTGATAGAAATGCCCTCCTCATTCTACTCTGTAAATCCTATTTATTCTTCAAGGAGTTACCGTGTACCAGTATGTCTAAAAGCTATATGACCTCTCCTTTCTCTAAACTGCCAACTTTAATACTAACAATCATATTTGCTGCCATTTATTAGGTGTCTACTATATGCTTACATTAATGGTACATGTTTATTTTACAGTAACTTTTTAAAGGAGGTACTGGTAGCCCTTATTTATAGAGAAGACAGCTCAGGGAATCTTGGTAATTTGCTGAATATCACACATCAAGGAAAGGATAGCATGGAATGTGAACTAAATTGTCCTGAATCCAAGGTCCTTGGTTACTACATTTTGATATTCATATCACATCAGACTCCAATATAATTTTACTCTCTAGAGTGTAGATTTTAGGATTGATTTTAGGCCACCTGCTCAGTCAACCCTTTCTGTTTGAATACTTGACTCTTTTCCTTTTTATGTCGTTGAATATGTCACATGATTTATCCACAGATTTGGAGGACAACACATGAAGAGAGTGAGAGGTAAGTAGGAAGTGATAGGTGTTGTTAGACTGTCAGTAAAAGAAAAAGGAAAATGATTTTGAAAATAGAACCTTTTTGATGTATCTCCTTTTGAATGTCAAAATGACTTACAAGAATGTTGTCAAGGGATTCTAAGAAGTATGGAGATCTAAGGAACAACTTGAGCCTGTTTCTGTCTTAGAACTTCTGTGTGAACACGAAGCAATAAGGGATTTTCTTTGTGTTCCTTGGTTATTAACATTGATTTTCTGTGTGGTGGGGTATGTCATAAATAATGGAAACATTATTGCTTCTGATAATATAAAGATAACATTAACAAAGCTCTTTGTTTTTTTTTATGTGCTTTGCAGCAAGTTGTTTTGAAGAACCACAATCTATTTTGGAAATTAGGTAGAGCAAGAAGGGGGACAGAGGTATAGAATGAAAGAGCCAGTCATTTCATCTGGGCTGAGATAATACATTCTTAAAAGAGAATGAAACACTCTGTGTCCATTTATGCTTGATTAAGCAGTTTGAAATACAAAGATTTAAGTCAGCTCACACCTAAAATACCCTGGGTATCGAGATTGTGTCTGCCTGAGAGAAAAGGGGAGAGAAGGGAAGAGAGAAAATGGAAGACAATCTAATTAGAATTTTGGGGACAAAAGACAAATGAAGCTCATTATACTCTAAAGGGAGTGAGCTCCTTTATTTGATTAGTTTCCAGAAATTATAATTGATTTGTTTTCCTAAAAAAAAAAAGCCAATATTTTGTGTGTAAGTTTTTGTTGTATATTTTCTATTTTGTCCTAAAAATCATCACAGACACATATTCATTTCCTGGATATTGTTCAAAAGGTACGTTTCCTTTCCAGTTTAGGTATCACTACCGTTCAAAGACACCCATGGGGACATTTGATTTAATTGAATCTACTCATCAGAGCAATAAAATTGTTTTCTTTTTTTTTTCAAAAGAAAAGTTGAATTAGCAGAAATTTACATTGATATTATCCATTTCAATATGTCTGTATTATCCATCTCAGTAAATTTTTGCATGATGCATGTTGAAGTCTGCATATATTTCATTAATAAATTGAGAAAGAGAAGTTGCACTGATTCAATCATTATTTTTGAGATTTTGATTGACTTATTCATCTGTTTTTTTTAAAAAATTAACTTGTATAAACGCTTTTATTAATCTAATACTTAACAAACTGCTTTTTGTACTTGAACCATCCCTGTCTATCATTTAAAGCTTGTTGGCTAGTGCATTCTTAAGAGATAAACATCTGGAAATATCATCTCATAGGTGTGTGTGAGAGAGAACATGTAATACCCAGTTCAGAAGATGACAGATCACAGAATTGCAGAACTGGAAAAGACATTAGGGATGAAATTTCAAAATGAACTACAATGGACTACAAAAATTATGTAGTAAAGTAATTTCAAAGTTTAGAAGTGAAGCTGAGATATAAATATAACTCATCAGATAAGCATAAAAGCTTGAGTTGTATAATGGCTCATGTCCAGGCTGGAGATCTCCAGATTAAACAGTGTTCCCATGATTCTCATACTTTTCTCTATACTCCCTAGGCAGATATTCCATGACAGAGATCTTTCTAGTGAAATTTCCTAAACAATAAGTTATGTGCAAATGAAAAAATAAAAACGTAATAAAAAAAAAATGAACTTCAAACTTCTATACCTCTGCAATGTACCTGCCCTTTCCCACCACCATAAAGATGGCCCTCCTTACTTCCACATAAAGTAATTACCAGGAAGAAGTGTCATCTAATTGCATAAATCCTCACTAAGATGAATTCCTCTAGAAGCAGGAAGATTTGCCTTTCAAAAGAGGATACTCTTTACCTGAAGAAATGAATTATTTCATTTGTGACCATTTCTATCATTATAATAAAACTTTGAAACAAAAAAATACAAATAAAACTCAAACCCAGTTAATTTTCCTTCAGATTATAGTTTTTTATGTTTTTTATTTTTTAAGTTCTGGGGTACACGTGCAGGATGTGCAGGTTTGTTACATAGGTAAATGTGTGCTACGGTGGTTTGCTGCACCTATCAAACCATGGCCTAGGTATGAAGCCCAGCATACATTAGCTCTTTTTCCTGATGCTCTCCCCACTCTACACTCCCCTGACAGGTCCCAGTGTGTGTTGTTTCCCTCCCTGTGTCCATGTGTTTTCATTGTTCAGCTCCTACTTGTAAGTGAGAACATGTGGTATTTGGTTTTCTGTTCCTGCTTTAATTTGGTGAGGATAATGGCTTCCAGCTTCATCCACGTCCCTGCAAATGACACGATCTGGTTCCTTTTTATGGCTGCATAGTATTTTATCTTGTATATGTACCAAATTTTCTTCATCCAGTCTATCATTGATGGGCATTTGGGACAATTCCATTACTTTGCTATTGTGAATAGTGCTGCAGTGAACATATGTGTGTATGTATCTTTATAATCGAATGATTTATATTCCTTTGAGTATATTCCCAGTAATGGAATTGCTGAGTCATGCTGAGTCAAATGGTATTTCCAGTTCTAAATATTTGAGGAATTGCCACACTGTCTTCCACAATGGTTGAACAAATTTACATTCGCAGCAATGGTGTAAAAGCATTCCTATTTCTCTGAAACCTTGCCAGCATCTGTTGTTTCTTGACTTTTTAATAATCACAATTCTGACTGGTGTAAGATGGTATCTCATTGTTGTTTTGATTTGCATTTCTCTAATAATCAATGATGTTGAGCTTTTCTTCGTATGTTTCTTGGCCACATAAATGTCTTCTTTTGAGAAGTGGCTGTTCATGTACTTTGCCCAGTTTTTAATGTTTTTTTTTCTTGTAAATTTGTTTAAGAAATTTTGCAAAAATTTTCTCCCATTTTGTTGTCTGTTCATTCTGATGATAGTTCCTTTTGCTTTGCAGAAGCTTTTTAGTTTAATTAGATCCCATTTATCAATCTTTTCTTTTGTCTCAATTGCTTTTGGCGATTTCATGATAAAATCTTTGCCTGTGCCCATGTCCTGAATGGTATTGCCCAGATTTTCTTCTAGGGTTTTTATAGTTTTGGGTTTGACATTTAAGCCTTTAATCCATCTAGAGTAAATTTTTGTATAAGTGGTGAGAAATGGATTCCAGTTTCAATTTTCTGCATATAGCTAACCAGTTCTCCCAGCACCATTTGTTAAGCAGGGAATCCTTTCCCCATTGCTTGTTTTCATCAGGTTTGTCGAAGGTCAGATGATTATAGATGTGTGGTTTTATTTTTGAGTTCTCTATTCTGTTCCATTGGTCTATGTGCCTGTTTTTATACCAGTACCATGCTCTTTTGGCATCATGCTACCCGACTTCAAACTACACAAGATTATAGTTTTTAAAGGGTCACTTTTGAGTGCCATTGGAATCATGCATTAAGACTTAGGCATCAGACAATAATTATTATACCTATTGAATAGGAATTCTAAAGGTCTAATTATTTTTATCATCGTATTTCTAGATCAAAATCATATGTCTGGATCAAAAAGGTAAGAAGAGAAAAGTAAACATCTATCAGGAATAAAATATTCATTATCTTACTAAAACATATAAGAAAGTGCTATATAATCATGGTGAGCATATTTTTATATTCTAAAACTAGATTCATCAATGTAAAGTATATGGATCTGTCTATTCTATGTAATCCATAAATACATTATGATTACCTCTTCTTACCTTTTTATGTAGACATATGATTTTAATGATAAGAAAATCTGGTAGCAGTAAAAAAAATATGAACTATAACAAAAACCTGTTTAGTAATAAGTGACATAGAATAATTCCTGAAAATTACCTAATGGCACCAAAATGGAAACTTGAAAGAAGACTTTGTTTCTGTGATACCAATTGCATGTTGAATGATCTGAATTATTAACAAATGGAAGACAAATATCAGTAAAGTAACTACTACAGGCAGTAGGCTGAGAATTGTGAGAAAAGCTTAATTGGTATTATTTAAGAAGAATATGTATTTTATTCTTAGTGTATGAGGCAATAAAAACTCTAAAAACCTTAAATAGCTTGAGGATACATTTGTAGGTAACACTTTTATAAAGCATTCTGAGTTTGATTTACATAAATATAAGTAAAAGAAAGAGCAAACGTATATACCAATAGATATATAAGTTAACCTAGCTTAAAAATAAAATACATGTTGAAAAAACTTAGGAAAACATTAAAAAGCTTTAACAGAGATATATTCTCATTGTAAGGTGACCTAGGATTCAGTAAACCTGGATATATCCAGTAGAACAAGTGAGAAGGCTGATAATCCCCAAAAATCACTCATTCATTTAATTATTTTTTGAACCTCTATATATGATAAGTTCTAATATTGTCCTAGCATATTGAGTCTATTTTTTTTAGAGAGAAAAGATGAAGCGTAGGATTGTTAAGTAGTTTGATCTTCTACTGAACTTTGAAGAAATCTTACTCCTAGTAAATCAGAACTCCTTTGCTTTAATAAAAGAACATGTCTTATATCCCAAGCAGAATATGCATCTTATTCTCTGTAGACATACATATGCATTAAGGATGCTGTGGAATATATTGTTCATTCATTAGGTAGCAGAATTTTCTCTATGAGTATCTACATAAGAATCATTTTTCTGTTTCTAGAAATTATACTTTCCAGAGTAAGGATGTTTTTTCTTATAATTATAAAATTTACCTTTTAAATTATGTAAGCAAATTAGTTACCATTTTATTGACTGCAAGTATACTTAACATTAAATATAGACCCCATCTCTAGCTTGTTTTGGATTTCAAAATAAGAGATTTATCCTTGACCCCATCTTATCCCTTCCTCCCTCCCTCCCTTCCTTCCTTCCATTCTTTCTTTTTTTCTTTTCTTTCTTTCCTTTTTTTTTTTTTTTTTTACAGAATGTTGCTTTGTTTTCCAGGCTGGATGCAGTGGCACAATCTTGGCTCACTGCAACCTCCACCTCCTGGGTTCAAGCAATTCTTGTGCCTCAGCCACCTAAGTAGCTGGGATTACAGGCGCCCGCCACCATGCCTGGCTGAATTTTTGTATTTTAGTAGAGATGGGGTTTCACCATGTTGCCCAGGCTGGTCTCAAACTCCTGAGCTCAGGCAATCTGCCCATCTTGGCCTCCCAAAGTGCTAGGATTACAGGTGAGAGCCACCGTGCCCTGCCTATTTTTCTATTCTTGTTTCCCTTTTACATGTGTTTTTCCATTCATCATTTTATGTTAGTGTGCTAAATTTTTTATGTTTGCATTTTTGTAGATAACCTTAAATGCTTTTTTAATTAAAAACGGCAGATTATGAATAAGCAAACACATATGGAAAAATAAGGTTTATTTTTCAGCAGGATTTAGAAGTTTCCATTGTTATTGTTTAAAGATGGCTATATAATAAGGGCGCATCATACATACTATTAAAGAGCCAGACATTTTCTAAGACCTTCCTGAAAGAAATTGCATTATTTTTGTAAAGAAACCTGCTTTGCTAATTTCTCAGATATTCTACATTGTCCCTCTAGGTACTTCCTCTACCCTTCTCTTTGCTGCTCTGTGCTTCGGGAGGATGACCTCTATGAACTACATCAACCAGGCTTCTTGTACTCTGGCTTCTGTTTGGTATATGTCAATGAATGTGCCTGTCAGAGATAAGATGACAGTAGTTATGAGCTCCCATAACCACCGCTCCCCCTCACTTTTTAATGTAATGATTCGCCAGTTATTGGGTCTTGAACTATTTCTTGTTGCTTTTACTACACTTTGTGCATGCCTTTGTAAATAAATCTTTTATTTAACTATCCCCAGATTGCCCAATTTGAATGTTCTCCCTGTCTCCTTTAAGTACCCTTAAAGTTTTGACCAAGAATGCTGTGAAATAACTGAAAATCAGGAGGAAAATATATATTCATTGAAAGAGATTTTGAAAAGAACTGACAAATACAGACCCAGAGGGTCTTGAACTGGTGTCTTTAGTCTTGTCTAATGTGTTCTATGAACCCTATAAAATTATCTGCAAGTTACACTGAGTAAATGCATTTCTCTATACCTAGTATTTAAGCGTATATAACTTTCAATAGCTTTTCAAAGGGGTCTGTGAAACAAAATTAAGAAACAATGAACTAGACATTAATGTTTAGTTCCTTAAAGATGATAATTTAAGGTCTTAATCTTCTATGCTGGTTTATTTCCAAATACATCAAGGTAGAATATTTTCTCACTCTAGAATCCTTAGGTCACATTTGGTAAGTGACTCAATATTTTGATATCATTAATATGTCATATCCCCCAGGAATACTGGGAAATGGAGCACTCCGGGCTATCCAAAATAGAAACAGGATAGCTGCTGAGACCCTTGTATTCTTTATCTCAGGTTAAACCTAAAGGTGAGAGAATTATTGAAGATGTGATATCCTAGTCCTGCTGTGGCTTGTTGGATGACTCTGTAAGTCCCTCCTCACAATATTCCTTTCCCAATATACTTATACTTTTAATGAAACATCTGGTAGGATTTGTTATTCTTCCTGGGGTGGTGGTTAATACTTTACCTAAAAGTGTTCCCAGGGCCAGCAACAATTTCTTATAGTTTAGCCATATTTCTTTAGCCCTAAATTATATTTTCCATTCAAGACTCTGCATTTAAGCTAAGTATAATGTTGATCTCCCATATGGTTGTCCTCTTTGATGAATCATCAAGGATAATGCCAATAGCTTCTTTTTCTACATTAAAACATTATCTTTGTCAGATTATGTTAGAAATCAAGATAGAAAATTTTCAGTGTGGCATGCTTATTTTCTCAGGAATCATTTTGCTAATACTCATTAGAGATTAGTAGTAATAGTTATCACTAAACTTCCAGAGGCAAACCATCTATTTGGGCAAGCTCTTTTAAGATATATCCACTGTAGGCCAGAGTGGAGGCACCATCAAATGGCTTACTTGGAAATTATTATTTAATATACAATAGTCACTTCCAGGTATTAAGAGTCTTGGCTGATGTGCAAAACTTCATGAATGTCTTCCTAAAAATGCCCAAGGAAAATTAGATGTGGAATAAATATTAATTTTTATATGCAACAACATTGTATACTGAGAGAGCATGGCCTTTGCATTCACAACTGAGTCGAAATTTATCTTACCTTGCATAGTGTCTCTGAATAAGATGCATATTTTTAATTGAAAATAAGTTTTATTACATTATGTTCCAGGGAATTCTTCTCAATCTTTTCATACTTGAGATTCTTTTCAACCTTTTCATTCTACTGTCTGGTGGCCAACAAATGAGTTTTGGGTTATACTGAAATAGAGTTGTGTGTCTCTCAAAGCCACTTGCACAAAATGAGAAGTTTCAAGGTTTATAAATAACATTTATTAGCTTTTTTACTCTTCTCTATACCACTTATTTTTTAAGAATAAAAACAATGTATTTTTCCAAGAAATTATTTAAAGATAATGTACACTCAAGGAAGTTGCATTCTATTACCTTCGTAGTATTCTAGTTTGAAAATACAAGTGCAGCAAAATCCACACCTGATATGTTTTTATCATATTGAAAGACTGTTGTTATACTTGTGTGTGCTCTTTTTTCTCAAAGTAAATCACATTTCAAATACGCTGCATATTTAATTATTTAAAAAATTTTAGTGACATTTTAAAAATAATTTGTAATGAGTATAATCATTTGATGTTTTCCATGCATCTGGCACTTTATAATAATAAAAATGACAACTACCTTTTATTAAGTGACAACTATGAGGCAGTGTTTCATATCTTTCTTTTTATAAGTCCCCAAATAATGCTCAAATGTATATATTATGCCCATTTTATGGATGAGAAAATGAGGCATTGAGGAGTTAATTACCTTATTCAGAGATACTATGCAAGGTAAGGTATCTCACTATCATTATTTATTTGTAATTAATATGTGGGTAACACCACTATGTAAAAAGCTTATTAACTGAAAATATAAAATACAGGTCCTATTTTTCTAGAATTTCATCTTGCATATTAAATATAGATTTGTCCACCCCTCTCCTCCACAAATGTTGAAATCAAGTAAAAACCAATTGTACTTAAAAATTCATAAAGTTTAGAGAACAAAAGTTAAAACATGTTAACTAATATTTCATACTAGATTTTTTAAAATTTGCATGATATGCCAGTAGATTTTTTATAAATTTAAAATAAAAGCTGCTAGATATGAATATGTTACAGAATAATGCAATCTAAGACAGTTTTTAATATGAACTTATTTCTCTGTAATTAACAGTGATTATCTCGAATTGTTTTCTGTTTCTCATAATTCGTCTTTTTTCATAGTTGATTTACCTGGGTTTCAGTCCACTTTTCAGTGGTTGTTATGAATTCAGGTCTGCTTCCCACTGCTTATTGAGCTTTTCCTATGCTGAACCTTTTTCTGTCTGATTATCACAGGGTTCCCCTGATGTGAACTTGATGAAAACCAAGTAGGGGGCATATAAATTGAAAAAAAAAAAGTTAAAATATATATATATATATGTCTAGTCATTGTCAAAAGGAAAGAACTGTTTAACAACAATTGAAGTTTACATTGTGTTTTGTCTAATACATTATTCCTGGCAGCCAATGCACCAATGCATTTTTTTTTTTTCTGGTCAGTAGTCCTACGCTATAAAAATCTAATTATAGATATTTCTCTTTATTTAGGGAATGCTCTATTTTGGTATAAAACATATGATGCAATCAAATATGTAAAAATGAGTTGTGCTCTCATTAGAGTGTGGAATGCAAATGGAGTACCTCACACCCCTGTGACTTTGCATTCTAAAACTGTTCAAGGTCAAAGGGCCTCAAGTACTGGCACTTGGAAGTTCATTTTAAGGGCAGTGGGTCATCCTCCTGTTGAAAATACTAGACACTGTAATGGAGAGAGCTGAAGTGAGTTTACTATTGGTGGTTGTAGGCACTACCCCCAAGTGAGTTGATGCATTGAGTGATATTCAGGGAGCTCCAAATTACTTGGGAGGTGGGGGTAGGGGGTGGAAACAGAAACAAATAATTACAAAGCAATTTGAAAAATGTTGCTAAATAACATGCCAAATGATTGACAGAGGGACTGCTGAGTAGGAACATGCCAGGAGGGGAGTGGAGCTAAGGGCAATTCAGAGAAACAGGTCCCAGGCACAAAATTTTGAGTGGAAGATTTGTCTGAGAGTTGGTCCTTCACCTCATTGTCTAAGACTTTTCTTGTTTGCCTTGAAAGCCCTGATATAGGTTCAAACTGTATCCCAAGGACAATGGCCAATCACTGAAGACAAAAAACAGATTTACATTTTAGAAAAAGATCTCTGTTGACAGTGAATTGGAAGAGGAAGGAAAAGATTTATTTATTTTTATTTTATTTTATTTTATTGAGACAGTGTCTCGCTCTGTTGCCCAGGCTGGAGTGCAGTGGCGCGATCTTGGCTCACTGCAAGCTCTGTCTGCTGGGTTCACCCCATTCTCCTGCCTCAGCCTCCCGAGTAGCTGGGACTACAGGCACCCGCCACCATGCCCGGCTAATTTTTATATATATATATATATATATATATATATATATATATATATATATATATATATATATATATATATATATATTTTTTTTTTTTTTAGTAGAGACGGGGTTTCACCGTGTTAGCCAGGATGGTCTTGTTCTCCTTACCTCGTGATCCATCCGCCTTCGCCTCCCAAAGTGCTGCGATTACAGGCGTGAGCCACTGCGCCTGGCTGAAGAAAAATACTTAAAAGAGGAAAAGAGGTTATAATATACAAGCTAGATGCCAATAAAGGGTGCACAAGTAAACAATATTATGTACATTTTTTTACTCAACATTCAGCCATGATTTTATTAAATGCCAGCTACATGTTTAAGAATTAGGGTCAGTTATTTAGTGTTGACTATGTACTTTTAAACAGGAAGAATGGTTGAAGGGTAATGGGATTTATTTAGTGAGAAAAGAGGCTATGTCTCCATGTTCAAATAAAGCAATGTGAGAGGTGTGTTTGAAGCAGTAAAATAAAAGAAATTAAAAATAAATGCCCAGATTTGATCAAATAATACTCTAAAGATAACAGATATCTAAATGTCATTGACCACTCCGTTTATGATAGCATAAAGTATCCAAGCTATTTTTTTTAGCATCTACCTACAGATCTCCATGTTACATCTTGAATAATACAAATTTAATCATCCAGTTTCATTTTAAGTCATTTTCACAAAGCCCGTGTCTGTTTAGAGTTGGACATTTATGTGAATAGTTTTACTTTAAAGCAAGTTGTTTTGAACTACTTTCTAAGCAGGCAAGAGTAGAGTTTGCAATGGAGTTGTCCTTAAAACTTGAGCAGCTCCCCTAAAAAATCTCACCTACTTGTTCTGGGGAGATCCCAGAGAGTGTCACATAGGCTGAGTAGATTAACATTCTATAATCTTCCACTTTGGCTTTATTTTGTTAATGCTGTCTGTTCTTGAAGGCACTTGAGAATGGCATCTCACAACTGCTATTTGGGCCAGCATGCACAGTGACAACGCTGAGTTTGAGTCAAGAGAGGTTTTTCTCCAGTATTTCCAAAGTTACAAATTATCAAGTTCATGGGCACTAAATCCAAGTGATGTTCTACACAGAAATGAAGAAAATGCTGTTCCCCACATTCAATATCTTGTTTAGTTGCTGTGTTAGCTTCTTAGGGCTGCAGTAATGACGTATGACAAACTGGGTGGCTTAAAACAATAGAAACGTATTCTCTCAGGGTTCTTCAGGCTAGATGTCTCAAATCAAAGTGTTGGCAGGGCCATGGTTCCTTCAGAGGCTCTAGGGAATTTCTGGGCATGATGGTGCATGCCTGTAATCCCAGATATTCAGGAGGCTGATGCAGGAGGATTGCTTGGAAAAACAAAAGATGCTCTAGGGAAGAAACCTTGCCTCTTCTAGCTTCTGATAATTGCCAGCAATCCTTGGCATTCCTTAGTTTATAGATGAATCACTCCAATCTCTATCTCTTCTTCTGTGTGACTGTGTCCCTGTGTCCAAATTTCCCTGTTTTATAAGGGGAACAGTAATATTGGATTTAGGACTTACCCTAACCCTCTGTAACCTTATCTTAATTTGACTACATTTACAAAGGCCCTATTTCCAAATTAGGTCACATTCATTCACATTAATAGTTTCCTGTGGGCATGAACTTTGAGGGAATGCTATCCAATTCAATATATTTACCCAGGCCTTAAAACAGTGTCTTATGATAAATTCTTCTACCTTATCATCAAGCTCTCTTTCAAGTCTGTATTTCTGGAGCTAGACTAATCATCCCTGCCTTCTTTGTACCTCCTCAAAGGTGCATAATCTTCTTCGGAATGTTAAAATAATAATTACACCCGGCCAACATGGCAAAACCCCATCTCAGGTAAAAATACAAAAATTAGTTGGGCGTTGGGGTGAGTGCCTGTAGCCCTAGCTACTTGAGAGGCTGAGACAGAAGAATTGCTTGAACCTGGGAGGTGGAGATTGCAATGAGCTGAGATCATGCCACTGCAATCCAGCCTGGGCGACAGAGTGAGACTCTGTCTCAAAAAAAAAAAAAAAAGGAAAGTATTTCTTGGCTGGGCATGGTGTCTCATGCCTGTAGTATCAGCACTTTGGGAGTCTGGGGCAGGGGGATGGCTTGAGCCCAGGGCTTGGAGACCAACCTGGGCAACAGAGTGAGACCCCGTCTCTACAAAAAATCAACAGGTTGACCAGGTGTGGTGACATGCATCTGTGGTCCCAGCTACTGGGGAGGCTGAGGTGGGAGGATTGCTTGGGCCTGTGAGGTTGGGACTTCTGTGAGCCATGATTGCACTACGGCATTCCAGGCTGAGGGACATAGAAAGACCTGTCTTAAAAAATGAAATAAAATAAAATAAAAACAACAACAACAACAACAACAAAAAGTTTGGGCATGGTGGCTCACGCCTGTGGTCCTAGTGCTTTGGGAGACTGAGGTGGGTGGATCACAGGGTCAGGAGTTCAGGACCAGCCTGGCCAAGATGGTGAAGCCCCATCTCTGCTAAAAGTGCAAAAATTGGCTGGACATGGCGGCAAGCGCCTGTGGTCCCAGCTAGTCAGGTGGCTGAGGCGGAGAATTGCTTGAGCTTGGAGGTGGAGTTTGCGGTGAGCTGAGATTGCGCCACCGCACTCCAGCCTGGGTGACAGAATGAGACTCCGTCAAAAAAAAAAAAAAAAAAAAATGCAGTTCTTAGCATTGTCCACTGAAAAGGCTTAGAAACAATGACCAGCCCAGTACCATTTGGCACCCCTTAGGGCCCAGACCATACTACCTAAATATAATTTCGTCTTAAAATAAACAATGACTTTTTGGAAGTGTGGCTGATTCCATGTTTGAGGGAAAAATGTACAGGATGAGCCTAAAATATCTTGTTGTATCAGAAAAATGTTATCAAAAGCTTCTGGGGTCATGTGAAAAGGATTCCAAAGACAATCCTGGCTAGAGATAAGACAATTTGAGTAGTAATAAGAACAATAACTGCAATGAATTAAAACATATCAAATATTTTTAAGTGCACAAGTTCATAATTATACTAAAAAACAACCCTAATTGGTCACCTTTGGATCCTAACTTTCCTGTATAAATTTATTCTTCACGGTAACCGAAATGGTTGATAAAGGAAGTTTTGTTTTGTTTTGTTTTTCTAAAAGCATTCCAGTCAATAAAATAGATTGGAGATGATAGAATTATAATGTCATAACTTTGCAACCCCTAATGAAGTAATAGGTCCAGGCAATGGCCTTAAATGACTGCTAAATTAATACAAAGAGAAACATCCAGACATTATATGCCTTCTGAAGGAAGTTCACATCACTACCTGTGAAATGCTTTTTTTTTTTTTTTCTTTGAGACAGAGTGTCGCTGTCTTGCCCAGGCTGGAGTGCAGTGGTGTGGTCTCAGCTCACCACAGCCTCTGCCTCCTGGGTTCGAGCAGTTCTCCTGCCTCAGCCTCCTGAGTGGCTTGGATTACAGACATGTACCACCAAACCTGGCTAATTTTGTATTTTTGGTAGAGATGGAGTTTCGCCATGTTGCCCAGGCTGGTCTTGAACTCATGACCTCAGGTGATCCACCCGTCTCAGCCTCCCAGGGTGCTGGGATTACAGGCCTGAGTCACTGCACCTAGCTGAAATGCTCTTCCAAAAACATTGAGTCTAGCTTAGCTCAGCATTGGTTAATAGAACTTTCTGTGATAATGGAAATGTTCTATATCTGCACTGTCCAATACTGTGGCCACTAAACACATGGGACTAAATTTAAAATAAAATTTTAAATTCATTTAGTCCTGCTGCAGGAAGTCAGGGACCCCCAAACGGAGGGACCAGCTGGAGCCACGGCAGAGGGACATAAATTGTGATGATTTCGTGGACATTTATCAATTCCCAAATAATACTTATATAATTTTTTATGCCTGTCTTTACTTTAATCTCTTAATCCTGTTATCTTCATAAGCTAAGGATGTACATCACCTCAGGATCACTGTGATAATTGTGTTAGCTGTACAAATTGATTGTAAAACATGTGTGTTTGAACAATATGAAATCAGTCCACCTTGAAAAAGAACAGAATAACAGCAATTTTTAGGGAACAAGGGAAGACAACCATAAGGTCTGACTGCCTGCTGGGTTGGGCAAAAAGAGCCATATTTTTCTTCTTGTAGAGAGCCTATAAATGGATGTGCAAGTAGGAGAGATATCGCTAAAATCTTTTCCTAGCAAGGAATATTAATATTAATACCCTGAGAAAGGAATGCATTCCTGGGGAGAGGTCTATAAACGGCCCCTCTGGGAGTGTCTGTCTTATGTGGTTGAGATAAGGACTGAGATATGTCCTGGTCTCTTGCAGTACCCTCAGGCTTACTAGGGTGGGGAAAAAACTCCACCCTGGTAAATTTGTGGTCAGACTGGTTCTCTGCTCTCGAACCCTGTTTTCTGTTGTTTAAGATGTTTATTAAGACAATACGTGCACTACTGAATATAGACCCTTATCAGTAGTTCTGCTTTTGCCCTTTGCCTTGGGATCTTTGTTGGACCCGTATCAGTAATTCTGCTTTTGCCCTTTGTCCTGTTCCCTCAGAAGCATGTGATCTTTGTTCTGCTTTTTGCCCTTTGAAGCATGTGATCTTTGTACTTACTCTCTGTTATTATACCCCTTCCCTTTTGAAATCCTTAATAGAAAACTTGCTGTTTTGATTCTCAAAAATAAATAAATAAACAAATAAAATAATAATAATTACAATACTCTTGTTTTCCTGCAAATATACACACCTGGTGATTATGTTTAGACCACCAGAAGCTTAGATTTGATAGTCCTGCTGCAGTACTAGTTTTTGAGGGTTAAAAGGTAAATAATACCTTATCCATGTCTTCAAGAGAGTCATAGTCTAGTGGGAGAGGCAGAGGGTTATATAGCTTTGTGATAAATCCTGTAACAGCAGTCTCAGGATGCTCCACGAGCAACAAGGAGGCACTTAACACTGTCTTGGGCAATCCATGGTCAAAAAACGAGGCTGGAAAAACATGTTGGGGCTGCATCTTGAAGAGCATTCCAAAGCTGGTAAAATTTGCCCTGTTAACAAGAATTGATTGAGGATTTTAAAACGGAAGTTATGGAAACAATAGGAAGATTATTCTGGCTTATGAGGGATAGGTGAATTAGAATACAGATATGGCTCAAGGAAGGAGAGTATTTCTTTAGACAAGAGATGTTATATTTCTAAAGAAGATTAGTAGGAGTACAGACAGGTGGGAGGATACAAATGTCCGGGACATTTAGAAGCAACAGGTTGTCAAAGAGATGGGGGTGAAAAACTGTCTCAGGAAACCAAATTTCAGCCATTGATTTTTATTTATATAATGAAAGATTGGGAGGAATGATTAGCTCAATTTATTGCTACATCTTCAAGTGTAATTCTAATCCTAAAACCCAGCAATCTCATTTAAGTAACTCTCTCACTCTCAACTTCCTTATACCACTTAAAATAGACTGTTTTGAAAATGGTTTTGATTTGGTAGCTATATTAGCTTCCTGTGGCCACTGTAACAACATACAACAAACTTGATGTGTTAAAACAATAGGAATTTATTCTCTTACAGTGCTGGTGGTCATAAGGCCAAAATCAAAGTGTTGCTTCTTCTAATGGCTTGAGGGAAGAATATGTTCTTGCCCCTTCCAACATCTAGTAGCCCCCAAGTGTTCCTTGGTTGTAGCTGTGTTAACTCCAGTCTCTTTCTCTATCTTCACATGGTTTTCTTCTCTGAGTATTTCAAATCTCCTCTGCTTTTATCTCATAAGGACACCTGTTTTTGGATTTAGGGCCTGCCTGAATAATCTGGGATGATTTCATCTTAACATCCTTAACTTAATTACATCTGCAAAGATCCTTTTTCCAAAGAAGATCACATTCATGGGTTCCAGGTAGAAATATCTTTTTGGGGGGTTGGGGGACACCAAATCAACATACTACAGAAGTTATAATAAGTTTTAATGATTTTTATTTTGATAAACATATAACTAAAATTTCTGTTTAGAAAAACATATAACTAAAATTTCTGTTTAGAAAAACATTTTTTGCTGTAAGCATTTCATTTCATAGATACTCTAAATCTTTAAAAAGGGCCATGGTCAATATAGGCTTACTCATGTGAACTCTGTCCACAGGGGCTAAGATAAATGTCATGTAAAGCATGAATCTTGTTCTCTAAGTCAGAGCAGCTGCCAATTTACATGGCTGTGACTGAATGAATAGACTTATTTTAGGAACAAATATAGTTCTCTGAATGCTGTCAATTTCCTTATTTTCTCTTAGGAAAAGATTCTATTCATTCACACTCTTGAACTTCAAAGCAGTGTTTACCCCTGTGAACATTCTAATTTTGTAGATAAGACTAAATATGCTCCTATGAAATTAATCTAATGTAGCCAGCATAGTCTATGAGCCTGTCAGTAATTTTAAGATGTGTGGTTTTATGAATAGAGTACAGTGTTGTGAACTGTTAAAATGAGTATAGTCACTGTCTTCTCATTCTCTATATTGCTAAATACAATGACTGAATGTGCAGCGCTTTCAAAATTTTTGTATTTGTTCATTCATTTATTCAACAAATGTGCATTAAACAACCTACTAGGAGTTCATCAAGGGTGAGAAACATATTTAATTCATCTTCATGTCCTTGGTGTCCAACGTAATGATAATATGATAAGGAAGAATTTCTGTCATTTTGACATTTGTTTCTATCAGAAACAAATCAGAACACATTTGGCCAATGAGTGATTACTTAAATAAATAAATAAATCTCGACTGTGTCGTAGGGGAATCCAAAAACAAATGACATTCTCTTAAACTCGAGATGTATCATAATTTGCATTTTGTAATGTGTAAAACCCCCCTGTAGACTAGTAGAATAAAATAATGCTGATTAAAGATAAATGAATACAATTAAAGTTAGTGCTATCATTTGCATAGTTGCAAAAATACAGCTCAGTAAGTAATTGAAAATATCTTTCAAATGAAAAATGTTAACTTGAGACATTTTTAGAAATAAAATAGATGAATATGCTTATGTTTGTTATCCACTTATTCATGCATCTGTTCATTCATTCATCAAATATTTCCTGACTATCCAATATATGTAAGGCCCTTTGCCAATAGTGCTGGTTATGACCATATGGTGAAATATTTTGTGTTAAAGAATTAAACCAATTTTCTTGAATAAGGAAGACCCTTGACTTTTTAAAATTATGTTTAAATTTTTTTAACTTGGAAATTTAATATCAGATAACTATGAAATTGATCAAAGGAGTATTTTTAGTAATTATTTGTGTCCCTCATTAATATTCTTCTCAGGTAACTTCAAAATATCACAGATGTGAGTATAAAATCTATTTGTTTAGAACTGTGTAGTGCTTAAGGATTAGATAAATATAAGTTATGAATTTGGAGACTATTGATTTTTGACAAGCATTTACTTTATGTCCAATAATGTAAAAACATTAGCAGATAGGAAAATGTTTTTAAATGCAAAGGATTATAGGATGACTACGAGTAAATATTTTTAAAAAGTTGCTGAGTATTCTCTTTATTGATTAAAAAACAGAATAAAAATATTGATTTTTGAGTATTTCCTTTCATATGTAATTATATTCAGATGTAAATGTTAAGAAGGTGGTTTACCATAATAACGGGCATTATATAGTCATTTTATGGTATCGTAATGAACAATAGAGTAAAAATTAAAGAACAGATATAAGTTAATAGTCCTTTGATATTTTTGATAATTTTAAGACAGTAATATATAGCACAAATATCTTCCTTATTTAATTTTAAAAGACTTTTTTTCCTTTACAAACAGAAGAATGTATCTGAATTCTAGCACATGTAATCAAACAGATTTATCATCAGTTCCACCCCACTTTTGTTAACTTCTCTGTTCATTGAAGGTTTTGAAGATTAAATTATTTAATACAAATAATATAACCAAATAAGGTTTGGCATATTGACAGCAATCAGTAAATGTTGATTACTACTTATTATCATTACCATTTTTACTATTAGCAGTAATAGTAGTATAACCATATTTTAGCAAATCTGCAGCCATTCATTTGAAGTTGAATTATTATTTTAGGTAATAAAGAAAAATTCTGCTAATTGAACTCTAGCAAAATGTTTTCCTATCATTAATTTCATTATGCATCCCAATCTCAGTGAAGTTAAAATGTAAAGGGATGTCCAGCTTAAATCAATAAAATACAGTGTTATTTTAATAAATACATTGACAATGGAATTCTTTTTTCTTTTTTAAACCGGCAAGATACGTAAGCCTAGAAGACTATTGTCACAAGATAGTGATAGTATCTGCTTTGCCAGACAATCTATAGAAATTTGGTATACTTATCATGATCTGAAACCTGGTATATTGATGCTCTGAGCCACGGATCATTAGCCAAGGGGCCAATCAAAGCTCTATTAATAAGTTTATTTGCCTGAGTTTTGGGTTTTAGAATTAAAAATTCAGGCTATACTCGATGCCATTTTCAAAATAATGTATTTAAATAACCAACCCCCTAATAATTTTTAGTTTGGGTTATTTTCCCTAGGTATATTATAATAGGAATCATGTTATCTGGAATGATTTCAGTGCTGTCAAGGAGACTATAACTAGAAATATAATTATATGCTTGAACATTAGTTCATATTTAAGAACGTTGAGGTGAACCTTAATTTAAGATTAATTTAGAATCTTTATTAAAAAGGTCTTTGTAAAAACCTTTCATATATAATGAAAGAGGTAGATAAACTTGTTTTATAAATTTGTTTTTATACACTGAAAGTTTATTTATATATTGAAATATTTATTTTCAAAATGTGCAAGTTATTTTTTCTCAAAGAATAATTAGAAAGATTCTGGGATTTACCATCTTCTAAATACCTCCAAACACTATTATGCCACAGCACATTCAGATAAAATTCACTTGATGCATTGGTTAGGTGAACATTTTTGATTATCTATTTCAGAACTTGAGTCTGTTTGTATGCTTGTACAGGTTTAAATTAAGTTGGCAATTTTGTTCTTTCTTTTTTTTCTCCTTTTCAGTGGCAGGCCATAGTTTTATAGAAGCAAATTTTTGCAATCCTAATATGTAGTTTTTAGTGTTATTTATGTATTTATTTTTTAAGTAGAATTGAGGACTTGCTATGTTGCCTTGGCTGGTCTTGAACTCCTGGATTCAAACAATCTCCCGCCTTGGACTCCCAAAGTGCTGGGATTATAGGCATGAGCCACTGAGCCCAGCTTAGAGTTATCTTTAACATATTGAAAAATAGAAATATGGAAAATAAAAATTGGCTCAATAACTGGCAAAAATTTAATGCTTGAGCTACTTTTATACATTTTTACCATTTAAATCTGTAAGGTGTTGCTTTCCTACAAGAGGCTTTTCTGAACTACATATAGTGTTCCTACAATATATTTTACCTGAAGCTTATGTATTTGCTGCTTGCACTGTTTGGAACACTCTCCCAAAATTCCATATCTGACGAATTTATACTTTGCTTTGTTATCACCTCCTCCAGAAAGCCTTCCTTGTTCCTTCAAGGAACCTTGTGTCTATTCCTCATAACCTCCCGCTATTACAGAGCATTACATCATATTGTAATTTCCTTTCTTTGACCATGTGGATTTTTTTTCTTATTATTTGTGCTTAGCACTTTGTAGCTGTCCCCAAAAGGTGTCTGAATATAGTTAAAAATGATTTATGCATCTCATTCCCCATTGCTGTGCTATTGAAGGTGGTACTAGAGAGGTTCCAGGTCTGCCCTCTAGAGGTCCGGGCGGCAAAATTTCGAGTTCTGCTTTATGGCTAACTCCAGCTAGCAGGAGTGACTCTCACTCAATGGGATTCAAAAAGATTTCCTGCTTCGTAAATCTTTTTAAAAATATACACATATTGAACTCAAACACCTATATATGTTGATGTATATTGTGTATGTTTATGGAGTGGAAATCATTTTATTTCTCTGTAGTTGATAATTTGATGTATACCTTTTAAAGTTAATTCAATCATATAGCTAATATCAACATAGCTTATATTAGAGAAACAATTAGCCAATATGCAAATGAAGGATTAAGTAAGGACCTATGAGAAATAGGGGGAAAGGTAATTATTGACAATGTTCCAGATTCCTACCTTACTGAAATAATTAATCATGTAATTTAGTTAAATCAATCTCAAAAGCTATATATACATATTTTTACATATATAAAATATCAATATATATATGTAAGTTAGGCTAAAGGGGATTAGTTTTATAATATAAATCAAATATTAATACATATATTTTGGGGTGTGGCAGCATTGAAGAAATCTTTAATTGATTAATACCTCTCTGTAGTGTGATAGACCAGAGTCTTTCTCCCATGGCTCCTTACCTCAAAAGATGATGGGTTTTTTTCTTTACAATTCAATGCCAGGTAATGGAAGTCTCAAAGTCCTGGAATCAATCAGTCAAGTTTAAAAAATAAAAAAGTAAAGTTGGAAGACTGGCTTAGAAATCATTCCCTAGAAATCAGTTGGCAGACTTATTGCAAACCCAATTGACAGGGATAGGGAATTAGTCAGAGATGAGAAGATTTTATGGCTCAAGATTTGAAACAACTTCCAGTGTCAATAGGAATCGGGATGTCTAATGTGGTTCAGGCTAACATATGTACTCACTTTGGGAGAAGCAAAAGGAGATTTCTTTCTAGCATTTTGTGGGTATCTTATTTGGTGATGGATAGTTTATTTCCAAATAGGCTTCCAAGTTTGCAGGATGAGGGAGTCAACTTGATGTCTCAAAATACTGCCTGAAAGATAAAGATTCAAAATTTGCTGTCAATTAATGTATAGAAAATATTGTGAATAGTTTCCTTGATACAATTTTTTTAGCTCTACAAATATCTCTTTGCCTTATTGTTTCCATTTCCCATAGTTTATTTTATCTATTATCATAAAAATATTCCTGCAGTCCATGCATATCTGGATTACTAAGCAACATTGTGAATAATTTTATCAGTAGTAGTTATACTACTAGTAATAATTAACATTATTCAAGTACTTATGGAAGACCTGCAGTGTATTCACTACCTGTTTTATGTAGATTATCTCATTTAATCTTCACAAATGACACTAGGATATAGAGACTTTTATTGCATATACGTTGAGGGGACTGGAGCTTAGAGAAAATATATAACTTGCCCAAGGTCATCTGGCCAGGGAGTCACAGAGTTAGAACAAGAATCCTAGTCTTTTTGGTTCCTAAACCTGCACACTGGACCACTTTGCCCTATCAATCATGGGAACATTCTGGACTGGGCTGTGGAACAGGTCGATTAATACGCTAGTATCATTCAAGTTAATGTTTAATCATTTAACAAAAAAGTTTCATCATATTCCATGTTTTAAAATATTTTTATTATTTTATTTCTTAGAATATTTTTCATGTGCAATACGGTGGGGAGGAGATGGGGATTGTAAAGGGTGTAGCCTCTGATCCTTTTGTTACTTGGGTGTAGAGAGGTGGTGTTTTCCATTCCATTTAGTTCTAGGAAGTCAGCACGAATTGGCTGTTAGGTTCCCTGGCTCCAGACACTATTCTCCTGCCTTGTGTTCTCTGTATCTCTTTTGTTCATGTTGTTCTATTTACTTGCTCCATCATATTGAGTTATACGAAAAAACGCTTTAGCTCAGTTTTTCAAATCATTATTTGCTTTTCAGCTGCATTTTTTTTTTTTTTACCATTCAGCTGGTCAATTAAGATTTTTGTTTTGATATTCATTTGTATTGTCTTTCTCTCTCTTTCCTTCCTTCCTTCCTTCCTTCCTTCCTTCCTTCCTTCCTTCCTTCTTTCTGTCTTTCTTTCTTTCTTTCTTTCTTTCTTTCTTTCTTTCTTTCTTTCTTTCTTTCTTTCCTTCCTTCCTTCCTTCCTTCCTTCCTTCCTTCCTTCTTTCTTTCTTTCTGTCTCTGTCTCTCTTTCTCTCTCTCTCTCTCTCTCTTTTCTCTTTTGAGACAGAGTTTCGCTCTGTTGCTCAAGCTGGAGTGCAGTGGCACAATCTCAGTCCACTCTCCGCCTCCCGGGTTCAAGCAATTCTCCTGCCACAGCCTCCCGAGTCTGGAATTACAGGTTCCCACCACTATGCCCAGCTAATATTTTTTTACTTTTAGTAAAGACAGGGTTTCACCATATTGGCCAGGCTGAGGTCAAACTCCTGACCTCAAGTGATCCGCCCGCCTCGGCCTCCCAAAGTGCTGGGATTACAGGCGTGAGCCACCCCGCCCAGCTGACATTCATTTTTCAAACGTCTAAGACTTCTATATTTATTCATAACAAATTCATATTGCTTTATGGAAATGCAAAATTCTCTTGACTCTCCTCAATATTATTTACTGTGTTTATTTTAAACTTTCTTCTATTTGTATCATCATCAGTTTCTTTTGATGTTAGTACTGTTTGTTTGTTGCCTGTATTATAAGGGTTGCTTTTCCTTCAAAACGTGGCCCTTTTACCTGTTTATTTTATTTTTAGAATTTATTTTTGCTATGCTTTACATCTGGGTTTCATTTTTGTCTCATGACAAGCTTGCCTGTTGTCCTCTGCCCACCACAAGAGAATAGGTCTGGGAATAGAGTTATAATCATAAGGCTGTAACTGGCTCCAAATACAGTGCAATTAATCTCCCTGAAGAAATTTCTTGTACTAACTTCTGTATCTTGTATCAGCTGATCCATCTTTTAGATACCCTGAACAACTGCCACCTCTGAAACCCCTCTTCTGCATGTGTTTTAGGTTCTGGCTTCTTATGGTCTCTCACTAGAGCTGATTCCATCTAGTCTCTGGAAACTTTTGGTATATTTTGCTTTGCCAATATCAGTCTTATCTTGGATTTACTTATTAATCTTAGCATCATTTTTTGGTCATATAATGGGAGCTGGAAGTGGGAAAGTGAACATTGAGCTCAGTCTGCCATCTTGATACATTATTCTTGGTCATGTAAGTTTCATTTTACCAGCATCTGTTCAGTAACATTCAAATATGTGCATTTATTTAAAAACGGATACATAAATGTACGCCAAAATTATAAGTGGAAAATTCTCAATACTACCAAGTTTGTGTAATTTAATGGTCACGCTATTAATATGAAGCTAAATTTATCTTGTTTACTTCTTTATTGAAACATTATACGTGCAAATTTCTTTCTGAGACTGGCTGTAGAGAGGCTATTGCCTCATAAGATATTGATAATTTGGGGATAAAGCAATTTGTACATATTATTTTAAATGCCTCATAATGTTTCCTTCATATCAAGAAAAGAGATGCTATTTCATCTTTTCACAGTTCTTTTTCTTGCCATCACTTTGGAGTTGATTCTGCTGGACTGAGATCTGTCAGAGCAGAATAAACAAAAGACTTTTCTTAAAAAGTGTGGTTCTCATTCAAGCTATGCTGTACACAGCACATCTAACTGTGGTAATGAGCTGTTAAGGATTCCACTAATGGCAGTTTAGTAGCTGTAGCTAAGGTTTTCCCAACCAATAAATATAGTTTCCTTGGCTATTAGGCAGAAATCCTCGCATAGCCTTTTAGCACAAGTGACATTGATTAATGGCCACAGAAAATAAATATTATTCTCCTGGAGCAAGTATAACACCCTATAAAATCAATAGACTCAAAGGAAGAAAATACAGGAGTCTAATTACTTAGGAAAGATATAGTAATCTAAGGACACACTGGGCAATAAAACTACATAGCTAAACTTTAAGGAATTAAGAAGTTTAAGGGTATTGCCTATTGGTATGAAATGAAGCAATAACTTCAGCAACCACTGCCCATATTTAGAAATTTAAATAAAAGCCTGAAACTACTGTTGCTGAAGGAAACATGCTAATAACTCTTTAAGTCTAGTAGTGTAAATATACAAGTTTAAATTAATATTCAAAACCTGTTAAAAATAATCCAATATTTAGGGCATATTTAAAACAAAATTTACATGTTGGGAAACCATATTTCATATTAGAAAAACAAATATGCCAGCCTCAAGAGTTCTAAGTGTTTGTAACATTTATTTTCCACTGAGATATAAAATATAAAAATGAGAGATGTCAAAATGTTCTCTCTTTCTTAAATGTGAATAGGTTTTCAGTGTTGGATATAATTTATTTTTTTTCTTTACACATAGACCAAATGTAAATTTTCTGCTCTTTGTAATGTCCTGAGATAATACTGCATGAAGTTTATCTCCTTGTAGATTCATGTAACTAAATATATTATCTATAATATCCAATTAAAATATATACATGATTCTATCTAATTATAGATTTTGGTAGACATTTTTTCTGACCTTCTTAACAATATTGTTAGGGTTTTATGAATTGTTCTTAACTTGGTATTTAAGTCCATTTAAATTTCAGCTATAGGAGAATTTTTCACGTCCCTAGCTAAATTTCCTTGTAATATTTACTTTATTTTTCTTATAGGCTCCTAATTCATAATTAGTTTCAATTCTAACGCAGTTATTTGCCATAAAACAGAGGGTAAATGATTACTAAATGAGGGGATATAGAACTTCACCTTCTTTTCCTTAAAACCTCCATCTGGCTTTCTTACATTGTTTTCACCACCAAACCAGTTTTCTTAACTATCAGTATAAGAAATCTGCTGAAGTAGCATCCAATTAATATTGCAAACACATTTCTAAACTTTAGTAATCTCCATCTGATATAGGAAAAACTGTGTGATTTCTAATTCCTCATTTCTCCAAGTCAATGTTATGTATCTGGCCACGGAAATTCAGGGTAAATGTAATAACTCTTGGGCTGTATTATCTGAGGATTAGTCTTAGCATTCAAAAGTTGTCAGAGGCAATATTGATGAATATCAAAATAATATATATTTGATACATTCCTGCTTATTGATGTGAAAAACATGAAACTAAATGGTAGTGTTAATACCTTTATTAATTTTACAAAGTGAGGTTATAAAATCTTCCTTTTCAGACAATGTCAAAAAGATTAGAAACTGTGACAATATACTTTAGAAAGGAATTACCGAATCCCTCAAATGTTCTGTTACCTACTATTATACCGTGACTAGAGACACCATTATAACATATTTTATTTTATATAATCATAATAACCACTGGTCTAAAATTAAAAGACTTTTTTTTAGAAAGAGACAGAAATGAATCATTGATTGACCTATTGCTGACCATCAAACTAAACTTGGTAAGGAAATATTCTACAGTAAAATGAATAGGTAAGATGGTTTTAAACCTAAAATATTAGCAAATTGAAAAAAAGGAAATCAATCTTCAACACACACAAAAATTATAGACAGAGGTAAAAGAAATTCAAGCAAGATGTCCCATTTGTAGCTACAATTAATTTAGTTTATGAATGAGCATGATTAATTACAAAGCAGTAAACACTGAGAACTTTTGTGCCCATGCCGATTTTACAATAATTTATTTCCATTCATTTGATTCTTTTATGTTTAGTTAATTAATTTTCAATAATGTGTTAATGTCATTCTTAGTTCAAGGCATCTGTAGCTAACTGAAATTAAACATAGCTCCAGAGTCTGAACTATTCAGAATGTTTTAAGATTTATTCAGGATACCCCTGCAAAAATGAGAAAAATGAGGGAATTCTGTATACCTATTTAGTCAAGGGAATTCACACTACTGTGTTTTATATCATGCCCCAAGAGCATGAATTCTAAAAATGCAAATATGAGAACTGGCAAAAAATTGATTGATGCTAATGATTTTAAAACCAATTAATTATAATTATTTATTTTATCACAAAATCAATTACTAATATATTCTGCCATGTTAATTAAGGCAGTCAGATAAGCAAGAGACATAGAGTTATTTGGGAAGACTAATTTGGGAAAACTAATTTTCCTATTTATTAAAGTCTGTTATAGGTCAGAAAAGTGTAAACTATCAGTTATTAAATATTCCTCAAAAATCTAGTTATGCCTTTATTGAGAGACATGTTCTAGTTTGATTAAAATAAAAATATTCTAAGAAATAAAATAATAAAAATATTTTAAAACATGGAATATGATGAAACTTTTTTGTTAAATGATTAAACATTAACTTGAATGATACTAGCATTGTTGTTATTTTGTTTCTTATTGAGTAAAGAAAAATTGACATAAAGGTAATCATAGTAGTGACTTCTAATGCTTTCCAGTGTATAGTAAAAATATTCTGTAATGCATCACAGTATAATAAGTAATATAATTATATCTCACCTAATCACTGAAATCATCCCTAGGGTATCATGGTTGTGAAATTTTTTCAAAGAAATTACACAAGTAAACTTCTGATTTGTTTACAAAGAGCTATGAGGTTGGCCATTGACATTTGTTGCAGAGATCTCACCTTAAAGAACTATTATCATTTCATACCTTGAGCAAGAAAACAAAATGCTGTCTTACATTTAAAACAAAAAGGGAAATTTACTTACAAAGTATACGCTGATTTCAGGTCAAGGAGGGATTATTTCTTTTTTTTTTTTTTTTTTGGCAGTATGAGTTAAGTAGTTTATTTAACATTTGGAGTCAGATATACCTGGGTCTGAATTTTAGTGTACTTAACAATAAGATTGAGTTAATAATTGTGTTTATCTCAGAAAGATCTGTGATAAGGACCAAGTAAGATAATGTACATAAAGCTCTTAGCACAAAACATAACACATCACACTCAATAGATTTTCCCTGTAAAAAAATTCAACAGTTGATTAAAGACTAGAACCATTTCACTACTATAAAGATCAAAGAAATGAGGGACTGGAAACAAGACAGATAAGCAGGGAGTCAGAATATTTCATTTGTTATATTCTGTTTCTTGGTGGTTTCATTTTTTTTATTATTATACTTTAAGTTTTAGGGTACATGTGCACAATGTGCAGGTTAGTTACATATGTATACATGTGCCATGTTGGTATGCTGCACCCATTAACTCATCATTTAACGTTAGGTATATCTCCTAATGCTATCCCTCCCCTGGGAACATCACACACCAGGGCCTGTTGTGGGATGATTTCTAATAGAAACCTTATCTGTAATTTCTCAGTACTTTTCAGCTTCACGTATTGCATTCTACCTAAACTCAGGCATTTGTGTGTGTGTGTGTGTGTGTGTGATGTGTGTGTGTATAAAAATAATCTCATGATTGATAGGCTATATGAAATAATTCATTACATTTAGATTTTGAAGTGGAAGTGGAATGATTAATATATTATTTATCAGTGTTACCTTATTCTAAGGAATAAACAAGACAATATAAGTAATGCAGTCAACATGGTTTTTTCTGTGGCTCAGTAATTGCATTAAGTTACATTGGTCTTCAGTAAAGGACAGAGGGGAAGAAGGGGAGAGGGAGCGGGAAAGAGGGAATCTATTTAAGCTGTGGCACCTAATTTAAGTGTGTATGTGAGAGACTGAGATTGGGAAAATTATTGATGAATTAACATTAAATAAACATATAATTATGACTGAAGTTATAAATCCTATACAAATGGCATAATATCTTTCAATGATTATTTGATATTATTTATAAACATTTAAGGTGTTGAATTTATCATTTATTTTAGGTACATAGTTTTCCCTTAATTTAATGTGTTTACAACATCAACATTTTATTACAGTATTTGGATAGGTTTCTTGCTTCAGTAAATAGTTCAGAAGTATTTTTTTTTTAACAAGTGAAAGTTACTAGAGGGTTTAGAGAATGTTTAAGAGAGGAAACATAATAGAAGTTGAGGAAATTTTTATAAAATGGAATGAATCCACGTTCCTGATGCTTCCTATGAATTCTGGAAGGTTTGAAAAGGAAGGAATTATAGACTATTATCTTTTTGATAGATATTAGGACAAAGACACTCATCTACATTTGCAGTTAATCCGGCAAACGGGGTTTAAATGCAAGACACTAGATACATTGACCAATGCTCTCTTCATCTTGTTTCCTCAGTTGGTCATAGTGAAAGTTGCAGACCTTCTGTTTCTATTTCTGCTGTTATCCTTCACTTCGCAGTTAAAAGCAGTCCAGAGAGGTATCACAAACCTTTAGTCCTCATCGTGATGGTTTGTCCTTAACCAAGAGTAATTGTCAGCAACAAAAGCAGTTAAAATCTCTTTTGGTCTTTTCTGGCATCCAAAGTCCACCTTGGTTTTAGCAAAATATTTGTTTCATGTAGTGACTGATTAAAATTAAACGTGTATGACCATAAAGGTGGTCCCAGGGAGATGTTTCTCTTACTCATTGGCACCAAAATAGGATTTACTGATGAGTGAACCAAACTTGTGAAGAATTCTTTGGATATGGATGTAAACAACTCATGCAGCAAAGCCAGGGAACAAACCGAAGGCCTGAGTAATCAAGGTTTGCACATAGAACATTACAGTATCTAGAAAGCATCTTTTAAAACTTACAATCTAAAATATTTTTAATTTTTTTAATTGGGCAAGTATGCTCATAGCTTGGGGAAAACCTTAATGAGATTTTAACCTGCTTTTAATTTCTAATGGGATTTCCCTGGTTGATTATGTTATGGTAATATCTCCCTTATAGTCATAACCAGCAAAAAAGGTAACTTCTTATTATAAATACTCTATCAGCTTTCATTCTTAAAATAGGATGGAAATTCAAAATTTTTGTTAAATTTTGAATATTGCCCAACACAGAAACATGTTCTAGTATCAATAGTTACTAAAGACTAATGAATAATAAAACAAGGATAATGTTTAAACTTGATTTCAGGTTTCTGCCATCTGAAAAAAAAAATAAACCAAATTTTTAATTTTATGAAAAGATATGGAGTCTTGCATGACAAATGACAAAATTCTATAAAAAAATCTATATGGTAAGACTATTTTGAAATTAATTTTAGAATATTGAGAAGAAATAATGATACTAATTAATATCTACCTAAACCTTAACAGTCTTCAAAGTTTAAAATGGATGCTTTCTGTAGAATGAACATATCCTTTAGGACTGCAAGGCAAAGATCATGTTATACCTGGTGTACAGCATATTATAGCCCCAAACAAGAATACCTTAAGGCATCATTCTAGGCCGATTGACCTAAGCTGACCACTCTGGATGTTGAACACTTTTTTAGCTTCCTTCAAAATGGCTAATTAATTCAACAGTATCCATTAAATCCCTAGTGTATATATGTGCTATCATAGATAGAATATGGGAATACACAATATAAAAAGGATCTCTTATTCCAGCCTCAGCAGCTGGAAAGCTTTGCTGGGTGAAGTCACATTACAACTGAGACCTGAAGGAACTGGGTGTGTAAGGAGGGACTTAAGATGGTGTGGAGAAGTCAGGGGCATTAGATGTTGTACCTGAGATACAAGCAGTAATGCGCAAGAGCCTATGAAAAGCACGACACATTGAATAATTATTAGGAATTCAGTATTTTTGCATAATTTGAGAGAGAATATAGAAGGATAAAAAATCAAGGGCCATGGCTGGGCACAGTGGCTCATACCTGTAATCCCAGCACTTTCGGAGGCTGAGATGGGAGGATCGCTTGAGGCCAGGAGTTTGTGACCAGCCTGGTCAGCATAGACACCACCTCTATGTATTTTAAAAAAGGCAAGGTCCTTAAAAACAATGTTGAGGAACTTGGATTTAAATCCAATGAATGAAAAGCCGTTGAGAAACTTTAAACGAATTTACACATAAGAACTATTGCAATCATCAATTAGAGTTCCTCTAACTAAAATATTAAATGTATTTTTCAAATTAGCCAGGACAGTTATTTTAACTCAGGGTTTTTCATAGAGCACAGAAAAATGAACTGAGAAATTAAACAGTGAAACAAAAATTATATTTTAAACATTATTGAATAAAGCTGTTACAAAATATTTTGTTCTGATCTGACATTAAGTGCCTAGAAAATAAGAAATTAATGAATCCTCTTGGCAGATGTGTCTAAGAGACGTGACTCTGGGCATCCTCCCCACTCAGGGTTTTTTGTTGTGTTCCATGTTGCATGCTGCTCTCTGTTGGAATGATGGCGGTGATCCATGAGAGAGTTTAATAACACCCACATCAGAGAATTCCCAGAATGTCAGGCCTTAATAGCTTGAAGTTCAGTTGATCCTAGGCTCTATAATTTTAGATGTTCAGGTTCTTGTGCACAACTGCATGAAGCATTAGGGAGTGTGTTTTTGCAAAATAATTTCCATCTATTCCCTGAGAATGCCTTCTCTGTTAATTGTGCTGTTTTTGCTGTTGCTCTCTCAGGTAAATTCTTTTTCCCTTCAATGTGATATCTACGGCTCCTTCTTTGGACTGTGCTTTGAGTTAAAGAGGATTGATAGGTACAACTCACGTCTAGAAGATATGCATGTCTAAACTGATGAATTCTATATAGTTGTTCAGAAATATTGTCTGGAATAAAACTATTGTTTGGATAAAAATGTAAATGTATGCTTTACACTATAAAGTAAAAAAACAACAACTCCAAATAGATTGAGAAGGTAAATATAAAAAATCAAACTATACATACTGGAAAAAATCTAGATAAATATTTAAGTATTTTTAGATGATAAAACATTTCTAAAAATGGACATAATGTAAGTTATAATAGTTACGTTGAGCCAGGCATGGTGGTTCATGCCTGTGATCCTAATGCTTTGGGAGGCCAATGGGGGAGGAGAGCTTGAAGTCAGGAGTTTGAGGCCAGACTTGGCAACATAGCAAAACTGTGTCTCTACAATTTTTTTTTTTTAATTAGCTGAGTGTGGTGGCATGTGTCTGTCATCCTAGGTACTCAGGAGAATGAGGTAGGAGGACTGCTTGAGCCCAGGAGTTTGAGGCTGCAGTGAACCATGATCATGCCACTACATTGCAGTCTCAGTGACAGACTGAGAACCTGCTTGTGATAGACAGATAGATAGATGATAGGTAGA
Organism: Homo sapiens; assembly: GCF_000001405.40. Taxonomy (NCBI): domain Eukaryota; kingdom Metazoa; phylum Chordata; class Mammalia; order Primates; family Hominidae; genus Homo; species Homo sapiens. The sequence goes on along the minus strand of NC_000002.12, from coordinate 211,994,118 downwards.
TAGATAGACATATAGATATAGATAGATTTGACTATATAAAAATTAAAGCAGTGAGTGTCCAAAACATAAACATTAAAATAATGTACATATGTATGCCCCTTTTGATGACTTTATTACTTACTAATACATAAAATAATATATGGGAAAAGACACTAATAATTATAAAACATATAAAAATGTTTATAATTATTAAACATATAATTATAAAAAAGTAAGTTTTATCTTTTTTATCCTGTAGCACACTGAATCTAATTCTTTTTTTCTAAGAAACACTGATATGCAAGTACTTTTGTTTCTCACTGGAATCTACTAGGTTTTTTTTTTAAGTTTCTTTTTTTTAAAAGCAGAAATGATCTTAAATATTTTAATCAAATCTAATTGTTCCCAGTATAATTCTGCCTGTAATAGATAACCGGGGGCAAAAATGTCATACCAATATTTAAAAATTATAGTATGCTTGGAGTTCTTTACTATCCCTGTTTTTTTTTAATTTTCTTTAGTACATTAGAAAAATATATCTTATCTAGGATGAAAAAAAAAATAGCAATTTGGGGAAGTCTCTTAAAGAAATCTGGGGTGATAACGTTGTCATCCTTCTTCCTATCTTTTCTTCTTTGTAAATCAGATTATTGGATTGCCTCAGTTAGCTAGGCAGTAACAAAATAGCACACCCTGAGTGGCTTAAACAGCAGAAGTTTATTTTCTCGAAGTTCTAGAGGCTGGCTGTCCAAGAGCAAGGTACCCACAGAGTAGGTGTCTCCTGAGGCGTCTCTCCTTGGCTGGCAGATGGCTGCCCTCTCGTCGTGTCTTCACATGGCTTTTCCGCTGTGAGCATGAATCTCAAGTGTTTCTTCCTCTTCTTGTAAAGACATCAATCCCCTTGGGTTAGGGTCTCACCCCTAGGATTTCATTTAACCGTAATTACCTCCTTAAAGATCCTATCTCCGTATACAGTTACATTCTAAGGTGCCAGAGTCTTCAATATAAGGTACTGGTTCCAATATAAGATTCTGAGGGAAAACAACTCAGTGCATAACAGAGATGATATGGGTTTCTCTCAAAACTGCTGGCTCGCCAGCATGCAAAGATGTTGTGGGCTATCAGATTTACTCACTGACACATGACTGAGCAGAGGACAGGTAGTTGATTGGGTTATTACTGTTCTTTTCCTTTTAAACTCCCACCCACTGGGTTTTAGGTAATATATAAGGCTAAAAATTATTTCGCCTTTTTTGTTGTTAGTTAAATTGGAATAAAGCCAAACAACTATGTCAGATAAGACTTTGTCTTTGGAGCCCATATCTTCAAGTTTCTCCTCCTCTGCAACACACTGGTGTATGGGGCATGGGGTGAGGGAAACTCAAATGATTTCCTGGTATCCGAGTAAAGAGGTACATGCGGTGTCCACAATTTTCTTTCTGTCTCACCTGAAGAGTGGAGAGTCTGGGTCCATAGGAATGCTTGAGCAGATTCTAGTCTTAAGCTAAGGCTATTTAGAAGATATTTATCATTGATTTCTGCCCCTGACAAACTCATGTTTTTTTTTTTTTTCTCTCTCTCTCTCTCTCTCTCTCACTGTCTCTCATCTCCCTCTCTTCTTCCCTCACTTCCCTCTCTGATATGGTTTGGCTGTGTCTCCATTCAAATCTCAACTTGAATTGTGTCTTCCAGAATTCCCACATGTTGTGGGAGGGACCCACATTTGAATCATGGGGGGCAGTCTTTCCCATGCTATTCTTGTGACAGTGAATAAGTCTCATGAGATCTGATGGGTTTATCAGGGGTTTCTGCTTTTGTTTCCTCCTCATTTACTCTTGCTGCTGCCATGTAAGAAGTGCCTTTCACCTCCTGCCATGATTCTGGGGCCTCCTAAGCCATGTGGAACTGTAAGTCCAATTAAACCTCTTTTTCTTCCCAGTCTCTGGTGTGTTTTGATGAAAAGACATTAGTTGGTTTATAAACTGGATACAGTGAATCGGTACCAGTAGAGTAGGATGTTGCTGAAAAGATACCTGAAAATGTGGAAGCGATTTTGGAACTGGGTAACAGGCAGAGGTTGGAACAGTTTGGAGGGTTCAGAAGACGACAGGAAAATGTGGGAAAGTCTAGCTATACTTCTCTTATCCTTTTAATTTGCTAAGACTCTGCTTCACATTGTCCTGTCCCCTCCCTCCCTTAACTTTATCAAATAATCTGCTGTGCCTCAACATAGCCTGTGAACTTAAGTTTTACTGTGTCACCCCATTGTACTTCTACTGAAAACAGACACCAACTCAGCCGAAGACTTAGGGGAGAAATCCAGACGCCAGGCACATGTGAAAATGCTTCTCTTCAATGTCTCTGATTTTTCCTTTTTCCAACTTCCTTTCCGTTCATTTATCTTAGTCTCATTCCTATTCAAACAATGGGATAAGCCTAAATGAGCAACTAAATGATCTTTTCTATCCTAGGTAGGCCAAGTGTAATTAAACATTTTTACAATAGTCGTTCTCCCCTGGATTTACCTTCTAAGTCTATTATCTTGGAAAAAAATATCAAGTATATATCTCCTTTCCTGGGACAATAAAACTCTTTATTCCAGAAAAACACGTTTATAGAGAATATTGAAATGCATTGTTCTAATATTTATATGAAAGCTACTCCTATTATTTTGCATTCTTACCTTTAAGAATATTGCTAGATGACAGTATCTCTTTTTTTGTTGCTTCGTTTTGTTTTGTAGGTCCCTCATCATATTTATGTATTTAAATGTAAAAGCTTTAGTCATTGGTCAAATACAGTACAAATACAGGTAATTGGTTTGTAATTTTATTTGCTTAATTTGTATCCACAGCATTAATCATCATCTGCAATATTATATATTTTAATTGTTTATTTGTTTTTTGTCTATAATATTTTGTTCACTCTTGTGTCTTCAGTTCTGGAACATTGTCTGGAATAGACACAACAGAGGCATTCAATAGAATAGATATTGGTTGAATATATTAATATGAAATCCACAACAAAAGCCCTACTATGTCAGCTATAGACATCACTAGAATTGAATTTTAATGGCTTGTTTTTGAATTACTGTTGGATATTGACCATAGTATATTTTATATATACTAATTTTTTAAAACTATTTAAAAATTATGTATGCTAAAATTTGTATGTTAGATGAATTTTGTCGTTTGAAGAATTGTATAATTATGAAAATAATATTTTCTATTTAAAATATTTTTAGTATAATGTTATGAAAATGTTCCAGTCACATAAGAAATCTAAACTTGGTAGCATCTAATCTGGCACTCCTGTTGAGTCACTGTCTCATTTTTATTAGTTACTTCTTACGTTTTGTCTTCTAAATTTTGCAACATCCAACATCCTCAAGAGATGCTGGTCGAGGATACCATTTGCATGTTCCAGGCTGAACTTTTCACTTGAGCATCCAAGAAGCAAATCAAGGGGCTTGTTCTAAATTTATTTGTTAGCTTCAAAAAACATGGGTGTAACCAGCTATTTTAAATTTAACGACTTGCTAGAAGTTGAATTGTTCTAAATTGGGAACTGCCTGAATGGTCCTTATTTATTTATTTATTTATTTATTTATTTATTTTTATTTTTATTTTGGTTATTTCCTTCAAATGTGGTGCAATGATATGCACATAGTAAGCACTCACAATATTCTTGTTGGATTTTGTGACAAATGTACAGTTATTTCAAATAATCTGAATGTTAAGATAGCTTTCAAGGAACATTTATAGTGCTGTATGAAAAAATAAGTGGGATGCCTACAATATACACAAGTACATTGAAGTGGCAGTAACTCCTACAGACCTAACTATCTTAATCCCCCCAGATATTTTAATGGCTTTTTTATTATAATAATGCAATACAGATTTCTATCGTGTTTTATAATTCGTCACCTACACAAAAATCCACTTTCACATTTCCTCAGTAGACATCTATTCAAATGCCTAGAAATTGTTTAATTCATGATAGGAAATGATCTGATAAATCATCTCTTTTACTTTTTAAATAATTCAGGAAGGGGTTAATGAGCATTTATATCAATATTCTGTCTATTTTTTTTTTCATTCCTAACTTAGTTATACTTATTTACAGGGATTATTTTTGCTTGTGGATATTACTGTTATTGATGTTGGTAATTTGTATTATAAATTTGGTAGTGAATGCAAGCTAAGGGATGAATGATTCCATTTTGCTCTAATTTTATACACCAAATTCATATTAATAGGATGAATGAGAGCTGTGTTCCTGAGGAAGGCATTCAAGTAAGACATGGGTGGAGTTAGGAAAGTGAATGCTGTGTTCTTTTTATATAGTGCTATTAACAACATTCACTGAAGACTCATTTTTTATTCATAAAAACTCATATTTATTCATTGAATGGAATATGATTAGATTGCATCCCTTCCAGGATCATCAATATGCCTAATATCATAGCAAATCACCTACTGGGTGATCCTAATTTTTGGTCCCTACTAATAGTGCATACTTGAAATAAGATGGTGGTCTTGGTAAAAGAGTTTCAATGCATAGCATAATTGAAAAAGGGGACAAGAAAAAGGATTTTTACCTTTACTATTTTAAATTGATTAAACAGAAGAAATATTATATGAATAAAATTTATTTTAAGAATATTATAGAGAAACAATTATAATTATTGAAACATAGGATGAATCTTAAATAACAGTGTTGGGCAGCAGTTGTCTAAAATCTTGATAGTTGTAAAATTCAAATGATCAATGTATTGGATTTTGGGAAAATTTTTCCATTGAAGCAAGTAGAAAAAGTCAAGAAGGAGAAAATAACAAATGCTTTGCTAGGGAATATTTTATAAAATACTTGGCAAGATTGAGGACCTGGCTGTTTCTTTTTTGCAAGAAGACACAGTAAAGATTTATAGGGACTTCAACAATGTTAACATCTTTTTAGAAACTCATTATAATCAAAGTAGGTCATCTGGTAAATATTTGTCTTACCTTCTTCTAATTGTTGTCATTCAAAAAACAGAGAAAGAATCTAGAGGACTTTTGTTAAGGACATAGTTCTATTCCAAAAATAAAACATAAATGGGACTATAGAACAAAAAAGAACCTTGGAAAAAATGACAATACCATCTTAGAGTTTCTGTTAAAGAAGAGAAATGCTGTTAAAATTCATTCATGGGGTTTCATTTTAGAAAAAAATAGATTGCAAATAAGCCAGAACAATTTTATGCATGATCGTAGGAGCACATAAGCAAAAGAGACTTAGATCCCTTAAAAAAGATTATCAGGAAAACTTAAGCTCCAATGACCTTGGGGTTGGAAAACATGCAAAGATTGATAAAAGTAGCTTTAATAGTTACATTTAAAGAGAAGTGGATGAAGAGGGAAAGGGAAAATAGAATGAGAAGCAAATGAAAGAGAGAAGAGCATAGTCTTTTGCTTGGGTAGATGATGTAACATTAACTGGGCTCACTGGAGTGAATTAAAATGTTTGACACCTGTCTTATTCCCATCTTCAATTGTAAAGAATAATTTAGAAACTTGAATCAGTAGCTCAGAGAGAGCCTAGATGTGGGCAAAGGTAAAGCATATCTAGCCTCTAATATTTGGCATCAAAATAACTGTCACAAATGGAAAGAAATTGCTTATATGTTATCAGTAAGTATTCTTTACTAAACACTTACTATATAACAGACACTGTACTGCTGCTAATGTTTCTTATATCATTTTACCCTTTACAGCACTTTGAGGTAGCTAGGATTTGTATTCCTGCTTTTATGGATAAGGGGATGAGGCTTGGAGAGAATCCAACTGCCCAAGATTATAAAACTAGTAAGCGGTGTGAACTTGAACTTAAGTACTCTTTGTTATTTGGAACTCACTCTTAAACCACCGTGCCTTTAATAACAATAGGTCTGAAAATTAAAAATTTATTGTAAGCACATAGCTAACTGACATTAATTAATAGTATAAACATTTGCTCTCTAAAACCTTTTTCTGCTCTAATAAATTATTTCCTTAATCAAGCCTGATAATAAAAAAGTCCTAATTAAAATTTGCAAAGAACATTAAAAATAACTTAATTGTTATTTTCCCTAACAAGTACATTTTAAAAGTTATAAATACCAGAAATTTGTAATGTCACTTGAGAAAAATGAAGTCACAGAAAGGTATAGCTCTTAGAAATGTTGAACTTTAGTGGCGAGTTCTGAACTGTATAAATTACTTTAAGTAAAACTTCCTTTAAATGGACAAGATATTAAAAACTTCCTCTTACAATGTTTTTCTTTAATTTCAAAGGTTAGTTTTGGCTGAATACCTTATACATTATTTGAGGCATTAGAATGTTTAAGTGATTGGCAATATACTTTGTAATTATACATTGTGAGTATTGGAAATAAATGAGAAACAATTGCATTTTTTTTGCCTGTTCCAGTCTCACTTTCTTTAGCCTTAGAAAATAAAAATGTGTAAATAAAATTAGGTAGGAAAAATGTAAAAAATTAGGAAACCAGCCTTCATCACAATTGATTTTGATTGCAATAGATTCCTCTTCTTTCCTTCCTTTTCTTACACCCTCCTCCCTTCCTTCATTAAATTTCTCTCTCCTATGTTCCCTTCCTTTTTTTCTTTAAGATTCGTTTAACCTGAACATTGAGTTAATCTGAATCCAGTTGTAATTTCCATTGTTTTTAAAAGACCTCAATTTATTTACTGAAACATTTAGCAACATAATTTTTGATAAATAAAATAAAATAATCATGGGTGATAGATTTCTTTCTTTTTTTTTTTTTTGTCTTTTCTTGAGATGGAGTCTCCCTCTGTCACCCAGGCTGGAGTATAGTGGCACGATCTCGGCTCACTGCAACCTCTACCTCCTGGGTTCAAGTGATTCTCCTGCCTCAGCCTCCCAAGAAGCTGGGACTACAGGCATCTGCCACCAAGCCTGGCTAATTTTTGTGTGTTTAGTAGAGACCAGGTTTTGCTATGTTGGCTAGGTCAGCCTTCAACTTCTGACCTCAGGTGATCCAGCCACCTCGGCCTCCCAAAGTTTTGGGATTACACGTGTGAGCCACTGCACCCACTGTGTGATAGATTTCTTTACATTTATGACTGGAACTAGTATCTTACATTAATATTTATATTTTGTGTTTTCATACTTTATATATTATTAGTATATTCTTGGAATCTTTGTTAAAACATCTGTTTGAATATGAAGTATCACTTGTTCTTAATTCCACCAGAGTCTTTGTAAATATTAAATAAACTTTACTTCACCCAGAGTCAGTTATTTTAAATATTTAGATGTAATTAGTAAAAATTTTCAGCAATTAAACAGCCCCAAATCATATAACCTTCACCGTATGCCATGCACTATTCTAGATGCTTGCAAGTGTTACCTAATTGAATCCTAACAACAATCTATGCATTGAGTGTACCTGTTATGCCACAGAGAAAATTACAGTAAAGAATTCCAAGGCTAGGAAATCTGGCCCTAGAGCCCAGGTTCTTGAACCAATAGGCTATGCTAACTCTCAAGTGTGAAATTAAAATTATTTAACTTGAATGTGAAAGGAAATCAATTTTGATGTAAGGCTTCCTCTCACGTGTGCTTTTAGTTCAATATAATCTCAGTTGCCATGAGTCTAATAAATCATAAACTTAGTAAAAACTGCCTCATGGACAACAGATTCTAATACGAGTTCTAACAATAATTAGCTATATGATCTTGAGTAAATCATTTATCCTCTCAAGATCTCATTTTCCTCTTCTACACACACAAAAAATGATTGGATAGTATATTCATTTCCTAGGGCTGTCTTCACAAAGTGCCACAAATCGAGTAGCTTTAAACCATAGAAATTTCTTTTCTCTCAGTTCTGAAGACTGGAAGTCCAACATCAAGGAGTCATGCAGGATTGGTTCCTTGTTGATACTCTGAGAAAGAATCTGTTCCAGGTCTTTCTCCTGACTTCTGTGATTGCTGGCAGTCCTGGGATTTCTTTGACTTGTAGACCCACCACTCAGCCTCTGCCTCCATCTTCACATGGCCATATGTGTTTGTCTCTGCAGATCTGTTTTCTTTTCTTATGAAAACCTAAATCACTGGATGGAGGCCCACCCTAATTCAGTACTACCTGATCTTAACAAATTAGATCTGCTATTTCCAAATAAGGTCACAGTCTGAGGTCCTGGGTGGACATGAAATTTTGGGAACAGTATTCAAACCAGTACAGACAAGATTATTTCAAAGATCCCTTCGATACAACATTTTAAAATGTGATGACTTTAGAGCTTTAGTAGTATTTTCAATTTTCTCTTAAGCAAGATTTTTAGTATGACTGCCCATAAGATTTGGAATTATTTGAGTATTTTTAAATAAATTTTTGTTTACATTTGGATATTTTTTGAAAAATATCCAAAATAATAAATTATTTTATAATAATTTAAATTAAATTATATTTTCCCCTTTCATCCTTCTAATACATAAGAGACACTAGTTTTATGGAACTGGTGCAGTGACTTCGCTGACTTGGCATTTAGATGTTTTTAGTACTTAATAATTTCTTCTACTCACATCTGTAATGAGTTCTGTATTTGCCACTTATGAACCCTTTTACTGATGGTCAATTTGGTCAATGAGGCTTTGAAGCTGTTCTGCTGGAGTTGTTCTAGAAAGCAATCTTAGGCATATTCCCATGTTTATGCTTGAATTTACTGTACTTAACAGAAGTATTACAAATACCGAAAAATCTAATGATTCGATAGTAAATTAAGAGTAAAGAAAAAGACTTTTTTTCCAATAGATTATTTTTTCATTCCTTCCCTTCCTCTCTTACTCCCTTCCTTCTTTCTTTACTTCCCTCTTCAGTCTATCACATTCAGAAAACTATCAATATCATTGCCAGTGTGCAAATCTGGGTACTTTTTACAATTAAATATTCTGGATTAACATCTTAAATAGGTTTCCGACAGTGGTAAGAGTCTTGTTGCCAAAACCGAAATGTTTGTCAGTGAGTATGTTAGCATGCTTGGATTATGCATACAATTTTTCTTAGCTTTTCAAAATATAATTATGTTACATTTACCATGAAAACAATAACACTCTAAGTGTTATATGCCAGGCCAGGCGCCGTGGGCCGAGGTGGGTGGATCACCGGAGGTCAGGAGTTTGATACCAGCCTGGGCAACATGGTGAAACCCCGTCTCCACTAAAAAAATAAATAAATAAAAAATTAGCTGGGCATGGCGGTGGGCACCTGTAATTCCAGCTACTTGGGAGGCTGAGACAGGAGAATTGCTTGAACCTGGGAGGCGGAGGTTGCAGTGAGCCAAGGTCGTGCCATTGTACTCCAGCAAAACTCCATCTAAAAAAAAAGAAAAAATGTTATATGCTAAACTTTTGAACATGGCTGAAAGTTGTTTTATTCTAATAAGATAGAAATAGCTATACATTATTCTTCATTTTTTTTTGGTTAGCATTTATTAGATACCTTCTTTATTCCATCAGCATACTAGGCATTGAGGACACAATGTTGAGTACAAACCTGAATTTCTGCCTTCAGCAATTCATAATCTAATTAAAGACACGGGCACATGTACACATGACAGCCTAAGGTACAGGGTTTAGATTAGTGTTACTTTGAAGGAATTTCCAAACTTTTGCTGTACCTTTGAAAATGGCTTATTATAATACTGTAAATTATGCAATTTTCAGAGCATAATATGCTATTATAAAGATACTTTTTTCATTTTTAGTTATTTTAATTATTTCACTGCTATAGTCTGAGTGTCCCCTGAAGATTCATACATTAGAACCTAATTCCTGGTATGATAATATTAAAAAGTGGGGCCTTTGGGAAGTGATTAAGTCATGAGGGCTCTACTCTTTGAATGGCATAAGTGCTCCTATAAAAGACATATGAAAGGGCTCTCATTACCCTTCCACCATGTGAGGACATGGCAAGAAGGCACCATCCGTACCATCTTTGATGAAGAAAGCAAGCCCTCAAGCAGCCACTGAATCTGCTGGCACCTTGATCTTGGATTTGGATTTTCTTGACTCTTGGATTTTATCTTAGATTTTCCAGCCTACAAAACTATGAGCAGTGCATTTCTCTTGTTTATAGATTATCCATTCTAAGATAATTGTTATAGCAACCTGAATGAACCATGACATTTACTATAATAATGTATATTATAGATCAATAATAGATCATTATTCTGTCATAATAGGAAATAGGATTTTAGACATTTTTATACATTATCATTAATATAAGGAATGTTATTGATAACTTCCACAATATTCAGTTTTGTAGCAGATCTCTATTCTTAATTCTTTCAAATACTTGAAAGTCAATGAAGCTGTTAGTTGACTAGAAATGACTACCATCTCTAAATGCTTGGGTTTACAAGTTTAATTAAACTACAATTCTAACACTTTAAACCAAATGTCAGTGTTTTCTTTTATTTCTAAATATGACATGCTGTGGAATCAGTCACTTTATAGATTGATAGGTAGTACAAATGATTCTGTTTTGATTTATCTTCAGGATATGCTTTTATTCTCAGTTGTGTGTGCTGGATAAATCATGGGAGTACTTTACAAATGCATGACAAAATGATCTAGCATTAAACAAATGTCACTGGGATACTGATTGAATAAACTCTATAGCTATACAATGATCTTATTGAAAATACAGTTTTGCTTCTCACCAAATCTGCTTGCCTTTCAGTAATTTGAACTACCATCTCCCCAATTTATCATTCTGGAAATGTGAGAGTCAACCAGCCTTCATTCTTCCCTCTCCTTTATCTAACAACAATACCAGGGTTTCCTTTCCTTCTTTAACATCTCTTAAATCACTCCATTTCTTTCTAACCCCACTGCCTCTGCCTCCATCCATGCCACTGCCATCTCATTTGGCTTTCTAATACAGCTTTCTAACTTGTCTTCTCACATAAATTCTTTCCACCTTCCAAACTATCCTCTACCTTTACAACCAACCATTTCATTCCTTGTTCAACACCCTTCAATTACTTCCCCTTGCTCCTGAGATAAAATTGAGATTCCATGATATGGTATAAAGGAGAATTGGCAAAATGGTAAAAGTCATGACTCACGTCAATATATAACATTTTTAAAAAGTCAAAAATGTTTTGTAATGTAAGATGCTACAACCATTGAACCATTGTAAAGGATAGACATACATAGACAATAAGGAATGCTGAAATGAAATTTTAATGATAAAAAACTGTATTGCAAAGAGCAAAAATGTAACATTTATAATCATCTTTTTATATGACTAATATTATTACTGAAAAAATTCATTTTAATTTTTATAAATAGGAATCATTTGCACCTCCATTTGTTCACCATGGATTAACTTGGACCTCTATGAAGTGGCAAAACAGCCTGGCCAAGGATAAAGGGTCAGAGCCCTATAGAATCGGATAACCTGAAGGCTCCTCTAGGAACAACACACTGCATTCTATTGAAAGGACTCCCAGTATTCCTTTTGTCCAAAGTCTTTCACAATTTTTACTGACAGTGGCTTGCAAGGCTGTGCGGTCTTGCTCTAGCTCTCCATCCTCCTCATCTGGTAATATCCTCTTTGTCTGTACTCCATCCATTCTGGAATTTGACTCCCAAACATTTTTTTCTCTCCTTGTTCTCAGAGCTTTAACACTTGTTATCCCCTTTTTGTGGAACATTTCTTCCTGTACTTTTTGTTTTTTTGTTTTCTACAGGTCTCTGTTTAAAAGATCACTTTCTCAAGGCAGCCTCTAGGAAACACTGACTCACTTAGAACTTCCTTTGGTATATTCCAGGACATCGTTTTAGTAACACTGATTGTTACTAAGTTGTAATTGCTTGATTACTGCTTGTACTATCCTTTAGTCTGAAAAATTATAGGAGGACAGGGACTGTCTCTTTTCTCATGAATCTCTATAAAGCTATATTGAAGAAGCTCAATATATATTTATAAATTTATTAAAATCTTCCTTGAAGGTTTATATTTATTTATTGTTTTTATCAATATTGCTGCTGCATTTTAAAATATAATAATGATAAATAATAGTATTTTAAAAATTATATCAATAGTAAGCATATATTGAAGTTTATCTTATACACTAATTTATTCCAAAATATGGTATAAAACTTACTAACCAGCTGAATTTATGAAATTTGGTGCATTTCTCACTGAGCAGATAAAAGAGCTATTTTTATCCATTCAGTGAGAGGTATCAAACAGCTACTGTGTTACAAAGTAGAAATTCAGGCATCAAAATCTGAGAGAGCTCATGTGCACATACTCATGTGGATTTCAGAGGCAAATGCAAATATTTATGAGTTCTGTAGTAGGCTTCAGAAACGGCCACAGTGGTAGCAAAAGATAAAATGATTAGTTCTGCTTTGGTATGTACAAAAGTGTCCACAGGGAAAAATTGCTAGAAGTGATGTGAGGGTTTCAAAAGCACATCAGGATGTAAGGGAGGCCATTTCATACTGAGGAATGGGCAGGAACAAACCACAGAGGCATGATGCATTTCAGGAAAATGAAACAAGTTCAGTGTCATTGCAGCATAGCATACATTTAAGGTAGAGGCCAGAGACAGATTCCAAATGGCCTTGAATGCCATACAAAAGAATTTACACCTAAACCTACAGGCAAAAACCAGCCACTAAAGAGTTTTAAGTAGGTTTGGATTTTTAGAATTTATTAGAATGTAACACAGCAGTTCCCAAAGTGCTCTTCACTACAAGGTCATCGGTTAGAATTTTGCTCTGTATATACCTTTTAATCGAAGATAATAGAAAATGAAGTAAGCTTTCCTCATTGATGGTCTTATTTAGTCTGTGCGCAGGTCCAGTGTACCAGATGAAACTGCTAGCACGTGGTGCTCTTAGGGAAGAGTGGGAACCCCATTGTGCAGAGGATAGACAACAGCGTCCTCTCTCACTTATTGGTTTGCTTTCAGCATATTGCTGAGTATCACAGGTTGCATTCCTGGTTAAGTGGTTTCTGTAGATAATATTGTTAATTTTAACTAAATGAACATTCACAAGATAGGAAGTTTAAGAACATTCTTTAAGAAAGCATTGGATTGAAGAGAAATTATAATACAGATGGTGGGGAGCGGTATCGAGATGACACGGCTGCTCCCTGCTGTTCTTTCACTGTACTCCAAGGTTAAAAAGCAGTGATGATCTACTCAAATCTGACAAGAAAGGGGCGAAAATTCAAATGATTAAGAAGGCCATATGAAATATGGATTTCCTTATACTATATTTAATTATGAACTTTGACCTAACTGTACAATGTGTCCTGAGACATGAGCTAGTAATCACATGTGACCTTCAAAATCTGCATAACATTTTCAAACAAAGCATCTATAAAATAAAGATGTATGTATTTTTTTCTGGGAATGTTTAAGATATACAATACTGAATCTAAGGAGGTGTCTTGCTATATCTGGTGAAATAGAGCATCTATAAAATGTACAAATAACAACAGGTACACATATCAGGGAGGCATGCTCAAAAATCTTTTCACTAAATACTAAGGGATGACTGTACTTACATTATTTAAAACAAACAAACAGCCTTTAGAACAGAAATTATCTCCCAGGGGCCTGTAAAAGTAAACACATGAGGTAATGCAAATCATGTTGATTAAATATCATAGTTTGACAAGAAAAGATTCATTCAGAGTATGAATCTCATGAAAAATTTTTTAACCATTTATGTTACCATCTCTTCGGTCTACTCAACTGCTTATATTGATGCACTGAAAGTCAGGGCTTTCAAGAATCTCTCAAAAGTTCTTGGCAATTTTCTAGAATGTTAATTCTTAGTTTGACACATTTCTTTTGCACAAGTGTATTTCTTAATACTCCACTTTGTACTAATTCCATTGATCAGCATACAAGTTAGTCATATGTCTTTTTCTTTTCAAAACTAAGCCTCAATTCTATTTTTATTCAAGAGACAGAATACTCTTTCCAAATAATAGGTCTATACAAATTTACTTATGTTTTAAAATGACCTCATTATATCTTAGTGTCTTCAAAATAAGGTTGCGATTAAATGTCACGTTGAGGAATCTCACTCTCAGCATGTTAGCAACTCTTCTATATTTGAAGACATATATTAAAGAAAATTGCAAAACAGAATTGATTTGATGTCTGTAATTTGAAAAGAAAATGGAGGTTCAGTAACTATGTGGTGAGTTCATAATGGGCATAGATGTATAAATCATCTAATATTCCAATTAATGAACATTATTGAGTTAGGGATTGATCCAGATAGTAAGAATCAGAGGTAAACAGATAAACAAGGTCTCTTCTTTTATGGAGCATGTGTTCATGGAAGGATAAACTTCAATTTAAAAGGTGAACAAATGATTAAACATTTCACTGAACCTAATAAAACAGTATAATGTGTATTATGGCAGGGAAGGCTAAATACTTTTCAAACAACTAACTTGTACTTCTACTCTCTTGGCTATCAACACCTGATTAAAGTGGCCCAGGAGAAAGAAAAATGTAAAAGAAGAAATACCTATTGAAAATAAATACTTTTCTTTAAAATTAAGTTTAAGGATTACCAGAAGCATAATTTTGTCAAAAGTAGAACTAAAGAGTAGACAAGCATAGGAAAGAGAGTTGAAGAATCATTCTTTTTAGTAGTTACTAAAGCTGTTAACCTTATATTATACCTCAAGAGATAATGTGGTTAAAAAACAAATGAAAATACATAAACTTGATATACAAATTGCTATAGGCAATTTGCTCATTTTTGCCTGAGCAAATGTGACAATTTCTTGCCAATTTTTTAAGATAATCATTTTAGATAGCCACTTCAGTTTTCTAAAATCTGTCTTGAATGTATAACTAGTAATTCCCAAAATTCCCCTTTGTATAAACATAACTCATGTTATTCCTAGGCGATATTCATATACTGTGGAGAGATGGTTTTTGTTTGTTTGTTTTGGTCTATTGTGTTTCCGTGGTAGTGTTAAGGAAGAGGGAGTTGGTGATATGAGCATCTACGTTGCTACTGTCATGAAAATCCTTGAAATTCTGAAACACTCATTTTTCTAAGAACTAGAAATCCATTCTTGTCTTAATGTTTTGTTTCACTTTTTCCATATATCTATGGACTTTCAAGAGAAGTATTAGATGATTTTCTGATACTAGAAGTTGAATTACAGGAAAAAAACACTATTTAAAAATCAGATTGATGTCTAAAATGTTGTAATATTTAACTACTTTAGACTGGGCTGGTACAAGATGATGGATGGCTCTTTGGTGTAGTTAGAGAACACCTTGATGTTCACCAATTTATGATGGTGACATATCCTCAGGTCACCAGAGGAGGAATTGAGTATGGTACTTAGGACAAACAACAGTAAGTGCTTTAACAGTTCAACACTAAAAATTGAATGCCTTTACACAGTGTTTCTTAACCATATAAAGTCTAAAATAGATATTCTTGATCAGAAGATAGTCATTTAAAGACTCAGACAATTTAGCTGGGTATAGTGGCACATGCCTGTAGTCCTAGCTACTTGGGAGACTAAGGTTGGGAGGATCCCTTCAGCTTAGAAGCTACAGTGAGTGATGATCAAGCCTCTGCACTCTAGCCTGGGCTTAAGAGTGAAACCCTGTCTCATTAAATTAGATAGATAGATAGATAGATAGATAGATAGATAGATAGATAGACAGACAGACAGACAGACAGACAGACAGACAGACTCAGACTCCTTTCACTTTCTGGCTCCACCTTCCCTAAGGTCCTTGGAGTTGTCTGTGTTTGGCTGTTTGCTAGGGAAATTATAGAGAGGATCCCAAATAGGAAAAGTGACACAAGTCACTTTCACCCATGTTCAATTGCCCTGCACTTACCCAACTGCCAGAGAGGCTAGGAAATGCCCAGGGAGCAATTCTGCAGTCTCTTTCATAGTGAGGGAAATTTATGTATTCTGGTGCCCAGGGACCATAAAGACTAAATGTCACTGTACAAAATGCCTACTACACTTCTCAATTTAGAATTATTAAGTAAAATAGGTGAAGAGAATTATTATACATCTAGGATGCAGCAAGATGAATATTTACTGTTTTTAGAAATGTTTGCATTGTGGGTGTGATGGATAGGCATGTTTGAAATAGCCTAAATAATTTAAATATGAATATATTTTCCTTCTTTGCTCTTATAACCTCTAACTGAGTACTCTTTTCAAGTTGCTTTTTTTTTTTTTTTGAGACGGAGTTTCGCTCTGTTGCCCGGGCTGGAGTGCAATGGCATGGCTGGTTGCAATGGCTCAGTGCAACCTCCGCCTCCCAGGTTCACGCGATTCTCCTGCCTCAGCCTCCAGGGTAGCTGGGATTACAGCTATTTAAAAAATTAGCTGGTCCACCACGCCCAGCTAATTTTTTGTATTTTTAGTAGAGATGGGGTTTCACCATTTTGGCCAGGCTGGTCTCGAGCTACTGACCTCAGGTGACTCACCGCCTTGGGCTCCCAAAGCGCTAGGATTACAGGTATGAGCCACCGGACCCAGCCAAGTTACTTTTTTTTTTTTTTTTTAAAGTCAATATCTTAACAAAGTAAGGCCTAAAAGAGAAAGTGCCAAGAGGGAAAAAAGGCACTCTGAGAAGTTACGGCAAAGAATTGGGAAAGTTGTCAAAACAAACAAACAAAAAATAATAGATTTGTTTTAGCAAAGGACTTGGCTAAAAGTTACAAACCTAATATATGTAATACACAAGACTACTTCATCATCTTTCTTTCTGACAGTCTCATGTTCTTTTTCAAGCCAAAAAGGGACATATTCTTATAGCTGGAAGTTTAAGGGAAAGACTTCCAACTTAACTCTGTGTTGAGGGTGCAAATCATGTTATGAAGGCTCAATTTCTCTATCCACCTCAGAAAAGTTGCCTCCTGTGTCAGGCAGTATGCCCACTGGCACTTATCAGTTTATTAACCATAGGGGAAGAGACATAGGATGTCATTTCTATCTCAGCTGGGTTTTGTAAGGAATATACCTCTTCCTGCATCTTCTTCCCTTTCTTCTTGATTGTATTGACAATCATACCATCTTAAATCATATTTACATAAAGATGTCATTAACATTTTTATATGTATAGGCACTATTTAACATCTTTATTTTACAGTGGAATTAAGCAACTTTCTAAGATCACACAGATAGAAACTGATATTTTCTTACTCCTTCAGTCTGTTTATTCTCTTTTCTTGCAACGTGTAAGTCATATATACATAATTTATTTTTAGATGCTTGCCCTGAGTTTAAATTCTTTTTAGCTTAGCCATTGTAGATGTTGCCTCGGACTTGTTGGCTAAAACTGGTTTTATTTTGGATATGATTTTTTGTACAACTGATTTTTATAATGTAAATGATATTTGATATCATTGACAAGATGAAAAATAAATATATATATTTTATAGTTATAGAAAAGAGCAAATAGCAGGGCATGAATCATATATATCATTGAAGCAGATTTAATTGTTTTAATTTGATTTTGATTAAATTTCATAGCAGTGAAGCTGTGAATGGCTCACTCATTTCTGAGTAACCTCTATAGATCTTGATTCACCTTCCATTCCCAGTTGTAGGAACTCTATGATATCATGCAACTTAAGAAAAAAACACAATAAAATAAGTGGTGACTTTTAAGCTAAGATAAGATAATGTAAAATATTTTCAATTCTGTGAATGAACAAGAAATGAAGCTAATTAATTAAAACTATCGGGAATTCATTTGAAGCAGTCTGTGATTAAACACAGTCTTTATCACTGAACAATTAAGTAAATTTGGCCTCAGGTATCTTTCCTCATTCCCCAGAGAATGGGTGATGAAATTCTGGTTTAGAGTTATACTTTATTACAGATTTATCTATTATAATTGATTCAGCTTGGATATAAAATTCCAGTGGAATAACTGATGCAAAGAACATATTATGTAAATGTGTAAACCTCCCATGAGTTAACTTTAATTTCAACAATAGAAGAAAATAAAACTTCTCTGCCCATTTCCACAGATTAGTGCAACATAGTAAGAATGAAATGAACTATAATGGTTTGCATTATTAAGAATATGTTATACAAGAATTATTTAAATAAAATATTGTTAAACATCCCTGGTTAAGTACAGAAAATAATGTTAGGATAACATTTAAATAGAATAATATTAGTAAAGAATAATTGACCAGTTGCTTCTTCTTGAGGGAATGTTTTGGTTGAAAATAATGTATTTTAAAATCCCAAACACTGGCTTTTTTTGGAGATTGGCATGTGTACTGATAATAAATTCATTGGCATTTATAAGATGTTTTTCCTGTGAATTCTGTTACTAATGACATATTGAAAAATTGTATACAAGACGTAAATGAATGAAAGTAATGAGGCATAAATTCTCAGGTAAGACATTCTAATATTGATAAATTGCCAAAGAATATCCTCCTTAGTAGCAAATCAGCTTACCCTTCAAAATATATAATTTGAAACAATATGAACTAAGTTCGCCGAGTGTAAACTTGTAGTTTACTTATAAATTGTCCTTCTGAAAGGTCTGTCATCTAACTCTTCTTTTAACCATATGTCTTTCCAAGTGAAGTTGTTCTTTGAAGAAAGAAAGCTATAGCTCCAAAATTCAAACTGTGGAGCAATAATTATTAAACTGTAGCTTTAACAATGTAAAGCTACACTTAACAATTTTGTACCTTTGAATCAATCAGGTCAGGATTGATTGGACAACACTAGAATAGGTTATGATAGTATAATTGTTTTTCCTTAATGCCAGTTATTTAAGCGTGGGGGAGCCACGGTGGTGGCTCATGGCTGTAATCCTAGTACTTTGGGCGGTGGAGGCGGATAGCTCCCTTGAGCCCAGGAGTTCAAGATTGTCTTGAGCAACAAGGCAAAAGCTCATATCTACAAAAAGATACAAAAATTAGGCAGGTATGTTAGTGTACTTGTAGTCCCAGCTACTCAGGAGACTGAGGTGGGATGATCACTTGAGCCAGGACTTTGAGGCTGCAGTGGGCTGCGATTGTGCCACTGCAGTCCAGCCTGAGTGACAGAGCAAGGCTCTGTCTCAAAAAAAAAAGTGATGGATATAATATTTCTTGATTCAAGTTTAATGAGCATTATGAAGAATATTTTTTAAAAATTAAATCTGGTTATATTAGTTTCTTATGAGGGATCCCATGAATGCATGTATTTCAACAGTGATTGAATATTTATATTCTGCATGATTAAAATATTATTTAGATGAGCAAACATTAAACTACTATGGATATTTTTCTATGATGAGAAAAATTTCTTTTCTTCTTTTTTGAGACAGTGTTTCACTTTGTCACCCATGTGGGACTGCAGTGGAACAATCTTAGACCTTGGCTCACTGCAGCCTCTGCCTCCAGGGCTCCAGAGATGCTCCCACCTCAGCCTCCCAAAGTATATGGAGTAGAGGTGTGAGCCATTGCTCCTGGCCAATAAAGATTTCTTACAGTAGAGTTAAAACTGGAAGGAGTCTTGGAGATGCTGTGGACTCCAAGACTTCCTCCACTTTAGAGATGAAAGACTAAGAAGGTTTGGATAATTTACCCAGGTTATATGGCTAATTGACACAATTTGAACCACAACTGAGGGTTTTAGGAAGGAGCTCAGGGTTATTCCACCATGCTCTTTTCTTTTATTCTTCCATGTCACCTCCTCCCTTCTTCCATCCTTCCCTTCTTTCTTTCTTGCTTCCTTTACATGTGCATGGAGTTTTTACCATTACTCTAAAACTATCTTAAGCACTGGAATTATGAAGATAAAGAGACACTGACAATAAAAGCTCAAATTTTATGATTTAAAAAAAAAGCTTTTAAGTTCAGGAGTACAAGTGCAGGTTGTTACATAGGTAAACTTTTGTCATGGAAGTTTGTTGTACAGATTATTTCATCATTCAGGTATTAATCCTAGTACTCACTGGTTGTTTTTCCTGATTCTCTCCCTCCTCCCACCGTCCACCCTCTGAAAGGCTCCAGTGTGTGTTGTTCGCCTCTCTGTGTCCATGTGTTCTCATTGTTCACCTCTCACTTATGAGTGAGAACATGTGGTGTTTGGTTTTCTGTTCTTGTGTTAGTTTGCTGAGGATGATAGCTTCCAGCTTAATTCATGTCCCTGTAAAGGACATGACTTTATTCTTTTTTATGGCTATATAGTTTCCATGGTGTACATGTCCCACATTTTTTTTATCCAGTCTATTATTGATGGGCATTTAGGTTGAATCCATGTCTTTGCTATTGTGCATAATGCTGTAATGAACATACACATGCATGTGCTATTATAGTAGAATGATTTATATTCCTTTGGGTATATACCCAGTCATGGGATTGCTGGGTTGAATGGTATTTCTGTTTTTAGGTCTTCGAGGAATTGCCACACTGTCTTCCACAATGGCTGAACTGGTTTACATTCACACCAACAGTGTATAAGTATTCTTTTTTCTCCACAACCTCACCAGCATCTGTTATTTTTTTGACTTTTTAATAATAGCCATTATGACTGGTATGAGATGATATATCATTGTGGTTTTAGTTTTTAATTTCCCGGCTGGGCACGGTGGCTCATGCCTTTAATCCCAGCACTTTGGGAGGCTGAGGCAAGTGGATCATGAAGTCAGGAGAATGAGACCATCCTGACTAACATGGTGAAACCCCGTCTCTACTAAAAATACAAAAAATTAGCCAGGTGTGGTGGCGGGCACCTGTAGTCCCAGCTACTCGGGAGGCTGAGGCAGGAGAATGGCATGAACCTGGGAGGCGGAGCTTGCAGTGAGCTGAGATCCCGCCACTGCACTCCAGCCTGGGTGGAAGAGCGAGACTCCATTTCAAAAAAGAAAAAAAGGAATTTCTCTAGTAATTAGTGATGGTTAGCTTTTTTCATATGATTGTTGGCCACACATATGTCTTCTTTTGAAAAGTGTCTGTTCATGTCTTTTGCCCACTTTTTTTTGTGGGGTCGTTTGTTTTCTTTTTCTTGTCAATTTGCTTATGTTCCTTATAGATACTGGACATTAGACCTTTGTCAGATATAGAGTTTGCAAAATTTTCTCCCATTTTTTAGGTTGTTTCTCCCATTTTGTAGGTTTACTCTGTTGATAGTTTCTTTTGCTGTGCAGAAACTCTTTAGTTTAATTATATCCCATTTAGCAATGTTTTGCTTTAGTTGCAATTGCTGTGGGTGCCTTCATCATGAAATCTTTGCCTGTGTCTGTGTCCTAAATGGTATTGCCTAGGTTGTCTTCCAGGGTTTTCATAGTTTCAAGTTTTACATTTAAATCTTTAGTCCATCTTGAATAAATTTGTGTATGTGGCATAAGGAATGGGTTCAGTTTCAGTCTTCTACATATGGCTGGCCAGTTATCCCACTACCATTTATTGAATCAGGAGTCATTTCTCCATTGCTTGTTTCTGTCACCTTTGTTGAATATCAGATAGTTGCAGGAGTGTGGTCTTTTTTCTGGGTTCTCTATTCTGTTCTCTATTTGTCTATGTGTCTGCTTTTTCACCGGTACCTTGCTGTGTTGGTTACTGTAGCCTTGTACTATACTTTGAAGTCAGGTAGCATGATGCCTCCAGCTTTGTTCTTTTTGCTTAGGATTGCCTTGGCTATGCAGGTCTTATTTGGTTCCACATGCATTTTAAAATAGTTTTCTCTAATTCTGTGAAGAATGTCAATGGTAGTTGAATAGGAATAGCATTGAGTCTATAAATTGCTTTGGGCAGTATGACCATTTTAATGATATTGATTCTTCCTATCCATGAGCATGGAATGTTTTTCTATTTGTTTGTGTCATCTCTGACTTCTTTGAGCAGGGGTTTGTAGTTTTCCTTGTAGATCTCTTCCACCTACCTAGTCAGCTGTATTCATAGGTATTTTATTCTTTATGTGGCATTATAGTTTCTTCCTTGATTTTGTTCTTAGCTTGACTGTTGTTGGTGTATAGGAATGCTAATAATTTTTTCACATTGATTTTATATCCTGAGACTTTGCTGAAGTTGTCAGCTTAAGAAGCCTTTGGGCTGAGACTATGGGGTTTTCTAGATATAGAATCATGTTATCCACAAACAGGGGTAGTTTGACTTCCTCTCTTTCTATTTGTTTATTTATTTCTCTTGCCTGATTGCCCTGGCTAGAACTTTCGATATTGTATTAAATAGGAGGAGTGAGAGAGGGTATCCTTGTCTTGTGACAATTTCAAGGGGAATGCTTCCAGCTATTGCTTCTATTGAGATATTAATAATCATGTAATTTTTGCCTTTAGTTCTGTTTATGTGATGAATCACATTTATTTACTTGCATATATTTAACCAACCTTGTTTCCTGGAAATGAAGCCTACTTGATCATAATGGATAAGCTTTTTGATGTTCTGCTAGATTTAGTTTGCTAGTATTTCATTGAGGATTTTTGAATGAACATCAAAAATATTGACCTGAAGTTTTCTTTTTTGCGTGTGTCTCTGCCAGATTTTGGTATCAGGATGATACTGGTCTCATAGAATGAGTTAGGGAGGAGGTCCTTCTCAATTTTTTGGAATAGTTTCAGTAGGAATGGTACCAGCTCTTCTTTATACCTCTAGTAGAATTCAGCTGTGAATCCATCTGGTCCTGGGCTTGTTTTGCTTGTAGGATATTTATTACTGCCTCAATTTAAGAACTCATTATTGGTCTGTTCATGGATTCAGTTTCTTCCTGGTTCAGTTTTGGGAGAGTCCAGGAATTCATCCATTTCTCTAGATTTTCTAGTTTATGAGCATAGAGAAAGGCCACATCAACTACCAAGGGAAGCCAGTCAGACTAACTGCAGAGCTCTCAGCTGGA
This sequence comes from Homo sapiens, assembly GCF_000001405.40. Lineage (NCBI taxonomy): Eukaryota > Metazoa > Chordata > Mammalia > Primates > Hominidae > Homo > Homo sapiens. The sequence continues at coordinate 211,971,227 of NC_000002.12, read as the reverse complement.
ATTCTCTATGCCAGAAGAGATTAGGAGCCAACATTCAGCATTCTTAAATAAAAGAAATTATAACCCAGAATTTCATATATGACCAAACTAAGCTTCATAAGCAAAAGAGAAATAAGATCCTTTTCAGACAAGCAAATGCTGAGGGAATTTGTTACCACCAGACCTGCCTTGCAAGAGCTCCTCAAGGAAGCACTGAATATGAAAAGGAAAGGTTGTTAGTAGCCACTACAGAAACACACTGAAGTACACAGACCAGTGATGCTGTAAAGCAACCACATAAACAAGTCTGCACAATAACCAGCTAAACATGATGACAAGAGCAAATCCACACATATCAATAGTAACCTTAAATGTAAATAGGCTAAATGCCCCAATTAAATGACACAGAATGGCAATCTGGATAAGGAACCAAGACCCATTGGTATGCTGCCTCTAAGAGACCCATCTCACATGCTATGACACACATAGGCTCAAAATAAAGGGATGGAAGAAAATCTTCCAGGCAAATGGAAAACAGAAAAAAGGCAGGGGTTGCAATTCTAATTTTTACCAAAACAGACTTCAAACCAACAAAGATCAAAAAAAGACAAAGAAGGTCATTACATAGTGGTAAAAAATTCAATTCAGCAAGAAGATCTAACTATTGTAAATCTATATACTTCCCACACAGGAGCACCTAGATTCATAAAGCAAGTTTAGAGACCTTTGAAGAGACTTACATTCCCACACAATAATAGTGGGAGACTTTAACACCTCACTGACAATATTAGATCATCAAGACAGAAAATTAAGATATTCAGGACCTGAACTTAGCACTTAATTGAATGGGCCTGATAGATATCTATAGAACTCTCCACCACAAAACAACAGAATATACATTCTTCTCATTGCCACATGGCAATTACTCTAAAATTGATTACACAATCAAAAGTAAAACACTCCTCAGTAAATGCAAAAGAACTGAAATCATGACAGTCTCTTGTACCACAGCACAATCAAATTTGAAATTTAGACTAAGAAATTCACTCAAAATTATACAATTATGTGGAAATTGAATAACCTGCTCCTGAATGACATGATAAACAATAAAATTATGCAGAATTCAAGAAGTTTTTGAAACTAATGAGAACAAAGATACCATGTCCCACAATGTCTGGGACACAGCTAAGGAAGTGTTAAGAGGGAAATTTGTAGCACTAAATGACCACATCAAAAAGTTAGAAAGATCTGAAGTTATTATAACAACATAATATCACAACTAAAAGAATTAGAGAACCAAGAGCAAAGAAATCCCAAAGCTAGCAGAAGACAAGAAATAACCAGCATCAGAACTGAACTGGAGGAGAGAGACATGAAAAACATTCATAAAATCAATGAATCCAGGAGCTGTTTTTTTGAAAAAAATTAATAAATAGACCACTAGCTAGACTAATAAAGAGAAAAAGAGAAAATTCAAATAAACACAGTAAAAAATGACAATGGGAATATTACCACTGACCCCACAGAAATACCTATTTTATGGTTTTTTAAAATGCAAATAAAAAATTTGAAACTTATCCAGAGAGAAGTCTAATTAAGCAATGCCCTTAAACTGTGCATAAAGAGCACCCTTCCCAGCCTTAAAGCCATGCTGGGTAATAGGGTAAGAACTGCTTTAGTATTCAATTCAGATGTTCATCTTCAACCACACTTAAAGAGCTTCTGCAACTCTCAACTTTATAAATACGGTAAAGCATAAATTATGTGGAGAAAGACCTAATCCATTCTTGTAAGAAAAAAAGTATGTATATGTAGTTCACTATACAATTAGCATAAATATTATTACATATGATAAACCATAGATTATGTACAGTGTTTCAGGCTTTTCTCATTGAAGAACTTGGAACGTTTTTTCAGCAAAGAGATATGTCTATTCAACTCTGAATGGATCCTGTTTTCCTAACATTGCTCAGACCCTTCTGTGCATCCAACTCGGCATATAATGTCTCTTTTTTTCCTTTATTGGAGTTACTGGTGTCATTTGCAGTTGTCTTAACTTTTGTCACTGCTTTCCTAAAGGGGGTATGCTTTTATACACTTTAAAAATGCTCATGTTTATTTTACTTTCTACCTTCAGTATGACTTAGATATAAAGCTTCTCTGCATCTCTGTTTTGATTCAAGAATTTTGTGTCCTGTGGTTTTTAATGCTTATTCTCTATTTGTTATGTAACTAATGTGGCAAAAAAGTAAAACTTAATCTTAAATTCTTTCATTTTTCAGAAAATGTACATTACTAATTTGAATTTGGGTTCAATTTGAATAGGTCCTTCAATGGGTTGTAATGATATTCCTTTTGCAAATTGAAGAGAGCAAGGGCAGGAGAAGAGAGGGTAGAAAATAAAAAGGATATAGTCACCAAGCATCATTGTCTACTTATGCACTGGTACATAAATGTAACCCGTCCCCAATAAAAATATGGCTGAAATAAAAAAGAAGAAAATGCATAATGTAAGAAGTGACTCATTTTACTTACTTTAATAGGTATTGTGATCTGGAAACATAGAATTCCCTTATGACTTTATGACTTTATCCAAGCCAATGGTCATTTTCAGTTTATGCTTTGCAATTTTCAGTACATATGAATAAAAAGAGAACAGAGCAATAAATAAAATATATCTGCAACAATTGGATTAAATAATAGTTGTTAAAGCAATAAGAAACTGATAGGGTGAAGTAGTCTGAGACAATCTCTGTTTTATGTATTTCATATTCTGCTTTGATTCATTAAAAATGCCTTTATCTTAATCATGTCCTATTTGGTCACAGCTGAAATCTGCATTAAAACATATGCTCTTAATATTTCTCATTGTAGAATATTTGGAAACTGGCCAAGCAATTCTTGAAATGATGCTTCATTTGCTTCACTATCCAGAACAAGAAAAATGATTTTCATGAACTATGCCCCTAAACCATTCATGGTTAAAACTTGAGGGTGTTTTTATTGAAGCTTGTGCTGTACATCTGAAAAACCAATGATGCCTAAAGAGTTTGGAATCACAAGTTTGTGAGATGAAAAAAGTGAAAGAATGTTCAGTTTGAAGGGAAAAGCCCAAGAAAATGGCTTTTTAAAGTAGTTTGAAAAGTTTATTACATTACTTTAGTATGTAAGTTAATATGAATATTCTACATAGAAGATATGAATCTTAAAAATGTAATTAATGTTACTAAATATATCTATGTAGTCTAAATGCAGTTTCAATAAAAATTGTTTGATACTTTGCTAGATTCTACCTTGTTTTATACAGTTAACATCCCCACAGAGAAAAGACATAATCGTATTCTAAATGATTAACTTAAGTACTGTTAACTTGGCATACTGTTCAAAAAGGATATAAAATAATATATACTATGTGTAATGATTACCTGCAGAATTTTAACTAATGAATAAATTAATAAGATTATATGTTATAATTCAATGAAAAAACAATATAACTGAATTCTAGATTATGCCAACTTAGGTTCCTCTTGACCCTTCACATTGATGCTTGATACCATTGCATTGTATGGTTATTATAATCTTCAAAATAACCTGCATATATATTCTATGTAATTCTTTATTAGTGAATCTAATTTTGGTCCTTTCACAGGGTGTTGTTTACTGTTGGATTTTTATTAAAGTCATCATTCTTGGGGCCATTTCTCGTAAGTTTTAAGATGTTGCTAATTCTTGAGTAACTCTTCATTTTATCCACCACACTTACCAATGATAATTAAAAGATTGGAAATGAAAATACCTAAGTTTTCTCTGATTGCATCATAATTTGCTGAAATATGTCACCTAAAAATTCTCAAAATTGTTTATTTTTACCATTTTCCATGAAATTTACATAACATTTTCTATCTTAAGTAAAGCCTCTTAAATACTAATTGCAGTTCCCTATTACATATCAAGGTTTTAGAGAGATTTTTGGTTTTATTCATTTAGATATTCCCCAAATATAGCCCAAACCTGGCACTTAGCAAGCATTCGTTAAATACTTACTGAATGAGGAAATGAGGGAATGGAGTATTCTATTTTGAACAAATTCAACAAAGGTAAGATTTTGAGCAATTGTTTCTGTGTAGAATTCACTCAGAAAAAAACATTCAGGCATTTGTCATTTAAGTACGCTAAGTGTAAGAGGTTCAGGATTATAAATGGGATCTTCAGCCCATTTAATGCAATTTAATAAATATTTAATAATTACCACATTATATATAAAGTATAACGTTAGGCACTGTAGAGGACATTGCCATTATAAAAAAGAGATACATATTCTCTCACCTGAAGCTCCTGACCTATTGTGTGAAGTAGATAAAATTATACACAACTTGGGTAGTAATGACACTAAAATTTACCTTATCTCCATGGGCATTCATTTGATCTGTCTTTTCTATAATAATGTAATAAAGTTCAGAGGAAATTGAGTAAAATGTGTTCTAAAGGCTATACTGCCTCTAGAGAACTACAGGGTATTGGTTTTCCAAGTAGCATTTTCAAAAAGATTAATATAATACTTAAAATATATAGACTTAAAAATAAACATGTAATGGTATATAAACACCAGTATAAAGTAGAGTGTTTTCTAACATTAGAAAAATCATTTAGCTTCCTGTTGCTAAGAGAGATAGTTAATCTTTTTCATTTTAGGGTTTAAACAAATTTAAGTCCGGGTGCAGTGGCTCACGCTTGTAATCCCAGCCCTTTGGGAGGCCAAGGCAGGCGGATCATGAGGTCAGGAGTTTGAGACCAGCCTGGCCAACACAGTGAAACCCCGTCTCTACTAAAAATACAAAAATTAGCTGGGTGTGGTGGCGGGTGCCTGCAATCCCAGCTCTTCAGGAGGCTGAGGCAGGAGAATCACTTGAACCTGGGAGGTAGAAGTTGCAGTGAGCCAAGATCGTGCCACTGCACTCTAACCTGGGCAACAGAGCTAGACTCCGTCTCAAAAAATAATAATAATAATAATATTGAAATTCTTTTTTCTTTTTTTAAGACAGGGTCTCACTCTGTTGCCCAAGCTGGAGTGCAATGGCGTGAAAACGGCTCACTGCAGTCTTAATCTCTTGGGCTCATGCAGTCCTTCCACCTCAGCTTCCTGGGTAGCTGGGACCACAGGCATGTGCCACAATGTCCGGCTAAATTTTGACATTTTTTTGTAGAGAGAGGGTCTCCCTGAGTTACCCACGCTGGTCTTGAATTCATGGCCTGAAGCAAGCCTCCTGCCCTGGCCTCCCAAAGTGCTGGGATTACAGGCATGATTCTCTGTGCCCAACCATATTGAAATATTTTTAAAAATTGACATACATTTCTCAAATGTGATAAAGATAAATATGCTTTGCCCTTTCCTCTTTTAGTACAAGTGTATTTTATGGCTTTCATATATAAATAAAGGTAAAGCATTATATAACTTTAAGTTTATAGAAATATATAGAAATCAATGGCCTTCTTAATTATAAAATATGTTCTGTGAGAAGGATTTTCTTTTCAAGTCAATGTTAGATCAATTATTCAGAATCTCAAATTCTGTTTTACTATTTTATTTTATTTTATTTTTCTAGTTTCCTCTGGAAATAGTATCAACTACTTTCATTTTCTGCTTTGAATTACCTTAGCACATAAAAAAATTGTGTATATAACAACTTGGTTAATTTTAGTTGGTTTACTTGTACTCCGGTCTTTGAAGTAAAATAGAAGAAAGTGGAGATGTTACTTAGGCAAGCATCTTTCAACACTAGAGCATTTATTCAAATGTGACTATATCAGGCAAATCTTTTATGAAGATGGCATATTTATATGTTTATGATAATTTAAAAAATGAATATAGATTATATTGATCTTTTACATTCATGTTTTATTAAAATTATTGTCAGTGATTTAAACTATTTCCATTTATCAAATGAATATTTACTTTTACACATTTCCTAAGTTCTGTAGAAGATATTTTTCAGTAACATACTGAGAATATTGGTCTAATATCAAAAAGCATAATATTTTCAGTATTACCCTTGAAGCACAAAGCTCTTTCACATGCTGTCCTTCTTATTTTTTCCTCTTTTCATGATACGACGCTGTCAACACATTATTTCATGGTATTGCAGAGGCAATTAGTTATACAAATTAGGTAATCATGTATCAACAAAGGCCTTGTGTTTGTGCCGTATAGGTAATAGTCTGTGTGGAGGAACTGTCCTATAGTTGAACAAATCAAATTAGGCATTTTTTAAAAGGTAACATGGAAATAATAACATTAAATTTTATATTCTAAGTAAAAAAGAACAGTGAGCACAGTGCCACCTATATAGTAGGTATTCATAAAAGTAATGTTCTAAGAGTGGTAATAATGATAGTAAAAAAATAGTATTTCTAGTGTTTTCAATTACAGTAGCAGAAATTTATTTGAGTAGTAGAAAAATGTCCTGTAGAATCTTAATCCCCATGACCTAATTTGTTTTATCTATCTTTTTGTACACTAACACTTTCTAACAGGGATTTGAGGTAACTGTGTCAGCTAAATAGACCTTAGCATGAATTATTTTTTAAGTTTTATTTCTGTGTGTCAGCTAGTAGAGATTATATCAGATTTTAGTACTGGAACCTGCTTAAGGAAATTAATGGAGGATTAAGAGAACAAGTTCTAGACAAGAGAGGTGAAAGTTTATTCCGTAGTGAAATTCAAGAGTGTTAAATGAAATGTCACCTATGTCATTATTTTTATTAACATCAGTTCCTTTTGAATATTCTTGTAGTTCATGAACTTAAAACCACAATACATTTTCTAGTTTAACGTAATTCCGAAAAAACATCTGTTGAAAGTTAGCAAATTGCTTCAGAAAATGGTGATTGGAGGTTAAATGTGATATTTATATGAAATGGCTTTGTAAACTGCAGTATGCATATAAAATACCAGTGCTGTGATGATGTTGATGAAGAGGATTGGAATGAGAAGTCAATATCCCCATTCATTCTCCAGAAGAGGAGGGGATATTGATGTCACTTGTGTTAATGAGCATACCATGAACCTAGTACCTCACCGCTGGGAGTGTAATCCAATGTTGTTAACCACTGCTGAAGTCTAGTATGATTGATAAATCCCTTCCCAAGAGAAAGGTGATGAAGTTGACTCAGGAGAGAGAAATACCATGTGTCTTTGTCCAGTTTCCTTTCAGGGAATACAATAACTAAAGAGTTCATCACAAGCATTTGTCTACTGTACCTGTAACAAGTTGCAAAGAGACTATTCATTTTTTCATTTGTTCCTCCCTGTGAGACATTGTTATTTTTTATGTTTAAAATAGTTTGGTTACTGGGTACAGGTTGGAGACTATAAAACATAACCTTTCTTTCAAACAAAAGATACTTTCTCAGAGATTAAAGAAGAATTATGCCTATAAAGGAAATGACTGACTTTGTTTGTTTATAAATTTGCTTATAAATAGAACAACTTAGCCTTAATATCCCCAAGTTGTATTAGGCAAGCTTTTAAACAGTGAATGAAAAAAAATCAAATCAACATAGAAAATTTTGCTACTGCAAAATTAGGTTACAATGGAGAGAGAAACAGAGAGAAAGAGAAAAGAGGAAAGAGAGGGAGAGAGGCCTATTTACCCTTATAAATAGATATTTATTTATCTATCCATCCACTGTCCATCCAGTAATATGTGCAATAATAAATTCAGGTTAGAAAAATATATATTAATACAAGAATATTAATTTAAATTTTCCTCATAATGTATACATATTTTATGGATTGTATTGATGGTATACTAGCAGGCACTGTTTTTATTACTTTTAGAAAACCACTAAGGCAACTCTACAAGCTATAAAATTAAACAGTTGCCTCAAATTAATAAGTCAATCAACCTTGACATTTTGGACTTGATTATTCTTTGCCTAGTGGTGGGTGTGGGAGGTGGGAAGAAAGGGCTGTCTGGTGCATGTATGATGTCTACCAGCAACCCAGATGTCTACCCACTAGATGCCAGTATCACCCTCCACCCCTCACCAAAGATGACAACCACAAATATCTCCAGACATTGCCAGATGTCTTCTGGAAAGCAAAACACCCCAGTTGAGAACCACTGTTTTGGACCTATGTGAACAATATTATAACCTGACACCCATCAAGATATATGAAATCACAGGTGCTAACATAATTTATTTGAAGATTAAAAACATATTAAGCACACAGAAAAACATATTAGGTACATGTACCTGCTATCCATATTTAACAGATATACAGATATTAATGTCATTTAAAAGAATTTGTAAAAAAGAAGGTGTTAGTTTAACATCAGATAACCGAAAGTTCATATAGTACTTGGGAAAATTCCACAGACTTGTTCCTTATACTGGTTTTTTTAAAGCGCCATCAACCAAGTCTCCCAAGCTAAAAACCTCAGTCATTTCTTGTTGCTTGTTCTTCCTCAATTCCCACATCCAGTAAGTCATGAAGTATTTTTGTATTCCACCTCAAAAAGATGGCTTGGATCTTAGAGCCATCTAATTTGTATTCACTGCCTTCCGCATCTCTTGCCTGGCAACAAGTTTCTAACTTTTCTCTCTCCACCAGCTTCTCACCAACCTACTCCATTTTTACCCTGCAACTAAGAACATAATTCTACAAAATAAATCAAAGCCTAAATTCTCTGTATACAGTGCCACTAATTCCCCATTGCCTGGTGTAAAATTATAGACTCCTACATTAACTTTTTCCAATCAAGTCCCTCTCCTCCCTGACTCATTTTCCATTCAGCAGTCTTAGACCTGTGAACAACACTAGGCTCTCTCAAGACACTTTGACATTAGACATATTATTCTCTCTGCCTAAATTGTGCAAATGTTTCTTACTAACATATTCAGTTCCTGCATATGAATAGAGAGAATTTGATAGCAAGGAACACTATGCATATGAAATTGTTTGGTTTCTGATTTCATATATCAATTGGAGAGATGTGAAAAGGCAAGGGACATTTTTATGTCTTTTCTTATTTTTTCCACTTGATGGCTTATTTTTATACTTTCATAAGCAAACATATAAGCAAACATTATACAAATATTGAAAACTTCACAAAATGAATACATAGCTTAAGTAGTTTGGAAAAGGCATACTCCTTTGTAACTGTCAATCTACATCAAGAAATAGAGCTTTGCTACCCACCCCAGAAACCCCACTATGTGCCCTATCCCAATCTCAAATGCTTTTCTCCCCAAAAGTAACCACCATTCTTACTTGTATAGAAATTGCTTTCTTGTATGTCTTTATAGTTTTATCACCCAAGTATGCATCCCTGGACACTATAACTTGCTTTTAAAGTATTTTTTCCAAATTTCCTTTAAGACATGTGACATAAGTTCCTCCTCCTCCTTTTTTCCCTCTTCTTATAATTTACCTATTCAAACACCTGGGACATTTTTCTGTAGAATTTTCTGAAGGCTAGGTTTTGTTAATTGCATATTCATGATCAAATTCACCATGTTTCTCTGTCTTTTGTACTTCCAACAAATGGCAGCTGGATCCAGAGACTTTATAATACTTACATTCAGTCTCTTTGATGAAACCATAGGTGGTGGTGTGTTCATTCAGTGGGAGGCACGTAATATCTTGTTGTTGTCAAGAATGTCAAATGTCTGAGATTTTAGAGTGTTTGCAAGCTAACAAGTTAGTCTGTCACTTGTGTTAGAAGAAGACACAAGACTCAATGGCACAGCAGTCAGCATGAGCTTCATGTTTACATGGGTTCCCATTGCCCCTGAGGCAAGTCCCATGGAAGTGATTGGAAAGTACAAACAGGTCGATACTGTATCAAAAGAGATTTGTGTCACAGTTGCAGAACTCTGAGCTTATGAAACTCCATTTTTATAAAAAGGGCTGCTAACAAATCTGCCCTCCACCCTGGAAGGAGAAACTGTCTTACTATTCCAATGCTGCTTACTATACAAACATTCTTGGAAAAAAAAATAAGTCTGAAGAAAAGCTGGTACACACCAATGCAGGAACAATGCAGAACTGTCTCCCATCATTTTTTTCTCTATTATTGTGATATCATTTGCAATTACTAGCCAATGATGCTGAATATCTAGAACCATTAATTCATAAAGACTTTCAGAGTGGCAATGCTCCAATTTTTAAAAATAAATATTATTTTTAGGGAAGTTTTAGGTTCACAGAAAAATTGTGAAGAAAATACAGCATTATTATATAGCTTATGCTCAGTTTCACCTATTATTATTAACACCTTACATTATTATGGTACACATTTATTACAATTAATGAATCAAAATTGGTTCATACTATTTTAAAATTATTTTCACTTATTCGTTGGAACACCTTACAAGACATAGTGCCTGATGCAGACTGATATCTAATCCCCAATATGATGGTATTTGGAGGTGGGGCCTTTGGGAGATGATTAAGTCATAAGAGTAGACTCCTCATGAATGGAATTAATGACTCTATAAAAAAGAACCTAGAGAGATCCCTTGCCCCTTCTGCTGTGTGAAAACATAGCAAGACACTGGCCTCAAGGAGTGGGTCCTCACAAGACACTCAATTTGCTGACACCTTGATATTGGACTTCCCAGCCTCCAAAATTGTGAGTAACAAATTTCTGGCATTTATGAATCACCCAGTCTGTGGTAAATTGCTATAGAAGACCGAACAGACTAAGGCACTACCTTTCATCTGTTATTTCGTTACCTGGTGTTACAACTCATAAAGGAAAAGGATGAATGCTTATTTTCTTTTACATACATTTTCAAAAAAGTGAATTGGTCCTCTATTATTGTCCAAAGATGAGAAATTTATGTCATTGAATATTATTATGAACTCGTAGGTTTATATGTATTTTATGGATTATAATCAGTTGTAATTATTTTTGAAATTTAAGTTACCTCATCATTGGCCAGGAAGGGTCTCTTCCAATTGGTTCTTGAGCCCTTTTGACATGAACTTAGTAGTTTTTGATAGCTTCCTCACTATCTGCTATGATAAGATGTTTCAGGCTCATCTTATCTATTTCTTGTCCCATACCTAGAATATGAAATTTCTCCAAGAATTCCTGGTTTCTCTTTGTGTAAAACTATAATTTAAGACCACAATCTAGGTGCTAAATCCCTGTGGAACACTTAACAACCTTTCAGAACTTAGGCAATTGTCTGTTCCTACAACTTCCTTCTCCAATATTCCTCAGGCAAATGTATCCACTTCACCCCTGTGTACACACAGGGTGCTGTCGATACCCCCATTATGGTCTTCATTACTTTCTAATATTCAGAATCTTAATCATGGTTCCATCGTTGCATCTTAAACGTGTTATTCCTTTGCTCCTTTCCATGTTTGTCTTTCACAGTGGTTGTAAACTACTAAGGGGCCAGGTCATGTTTTATACATCTCCATGTCCCCAGAGCAAGGAATAGCTTTGAATATACTACAAGTACAGATTGCTGAATGAATGACACCAAAATAGGCAAAAAGGTGATATTTTAAGAAGATATTTAAAATCAATATATTTTATACCTTGCAAGTAATCTATATGCAGCCTTAGAAGGTACTATAATGATTGCTTCTCTGTAAAATTCCTATAGAGGGGAAACATAGAGAAAAATGTTTCATAATTAAGTTGTTTACTTGAAAGTCCTGAAGACAAACACACAAACATAGGCACAAAGTGCCTCTCTAAGTAACAATTATGTCAAAAGAAAAATGCATTTTTTTTTCCAAAATGGAAGGTGCCAATGTATGACCAGAAAATGAGGTAGCTTTATAATAAGATTAGATGTTCAATGCATAAAATTTTAAAACAAATGGTTTACTCTTAAAGAAACAAAGATACAGGCATTCACTTGCAAGTTATTGTAAATCTTTCTTGGCAAGCCATCATTTTCTTAGTGGCAATCTTGTCATTAGACGAAGATTGGAGATGATAAAGGAAGTAACCACCGTAAGATTAAGAACCATGTCTATTTTGCTCACCACTGTGTCTCCAGCAACTTGAACAATGTTTCTCAAATAGAGGGGGACAATAAACATTTGTAGAATAGATAATTGGCTGGAAGGATGAATAGATGTATGGGTGGGTGGATGGATGGATGGATGAATGAGGGTGAAAGCATAGAGACTTAAAGACTTTTTTGAGGAAGAAAAGTCAAGTGCAAATTTAAAAATACATTTACGTTAGGATTGTTTGGTTATATTTGCATTATTAATTTATGAACAGAATCTCATTTGATTCTATGTATGTTTGAAAAGGTCAGATAGCATCTAAGAGAAGGCACCTAAGAGAAGGCACCTAAGAGAATGCTGATTTTGAGACTTTTAGGATACTTAAAGTACCTTTTAAAGCAGATTTTGCAGTTATAAATATCTGAAGCATGCTGCAGTTACTTTTGAGAAATTACTCTTTCTTAGCTAATATTTTTCTCATAAATAAACCTTAGAAAGAGAATGTTATTCTTAAATCAAAATTTTAGACCATTTTGCCGTGGATAGTACTTTAACCAAGGAAGTAATTGGTACCACTTTTTGAAAAAATACTTCAAAGGGATTGGGATTTTGATCTTGGGAATAAGAGCGATCTTGTTGTTGTTTTAATATTTCCTCCATCACTTTTTGTCTATATGACTTTGGGCAAGTTATTTCACTGCAGTTACTTCATTTATAAAACAGAGGTAATAGTCAGAGTGATTTCACCAGTAGGTGACAGAAGACATAAGAATGCCTCACACACAGAAAACACTAATTAATAGAAGTTAATGTAATTATTTGAAAATTTGTACTATTTGAAATAGTAAATAGCTACTTAGAAAGTTGTGACTTGCATAAGGATACTTAAATAAGAAAAACATTTAAATTTCTTGTCTACAAGTCCATGGCCTCAATTTTTGTTATATTTGTAGTCCTGATTGTATCCACAGATGTCCATAGAATGCCTATTGCGTATGTTTGAATTTAATATTAAGAGCATCATAAGTAACATCAGACCTTGTTGTCACTAGAGGAGATGACTAAAGCAAATATTTGTTTTTTTATAAATTAATTAAGGCTGTGCTTTGTGTTTTTTATGGCCAAATATTTAGACAGATATTGAAGTGTGTCTTGGCAGGCTTGTCAAATCCAGGCCTGATACTTTGGCTCTCTTATTTCTGAGATTGCTCATGCTTTTCATTTAAAAATAACAACAGACTAGTCACAGAATCAGTCACCTCTAACTTTTGCATCCTCAAAGGGTATTTCCCATATGCTTTTCAACAGAGGCAGCTGTTGTCAGCCATAATTTCATAGAGGCCCATTTTCTTTCGTTAAATTTTGAATGGGAAAACATCACATTTATAAAAGACCTCAGACATGAAACTGTCACTCTTAATTGTACATTGAAATGCTAGCAAGCAGTTTTCTCATCTAAACTTTGGTGATGTGTAGTTATTCCTTTAGAAATAGAAAAATACAGTTTTATATATGCTGTGCAACACAGGGAACATATTGAAAAGGAGTTCTGGATTCAGAAAAACAATAGAAACTAATACTGAGTGATAGCTATGAGCCAGACCTTCTGTTAAGCAAGTCATAGAGATACACTTCTCAAAATAATCCTAGGATTTGGAGACCTTAACATCCCCATTTTACAGATAAAGATCCTGAGGCACAGAAAGGTTAAATAATGTACCCAACATAATACTGCTAAAAGCTAGGATGTGAACTTAGGCAGTGTTTTAGTTTGCTAGGAATGCCATAACAAAGTACCACAGACTGGGTGGCTTAAACAACAGATATTTATTTTCTCACAATTCTGGAGCTGGAAGTATGAGATCAAGGGCTCTGTAGCGTTGGTTTCTTCTGAGATCTCTCTCCTTGGCTTGTAGATGACCAACTTCTCTCTGTGTTTTCTCATGGTCTTTTTTCTTGTCATGTCTGTGCCCTCATCTTTTCTTCTTTGAAAAACACTGGTTATATTGGATTAGGGCCCGACTTAATAACCTCAATTTAGCCTAATTACCTCTTTAAAAACCCTATCTCCAAATACAGTCCCATTCTGAGGTAGTATGGGTTAGGACTTCAGCGTATACATTATGGGGGTTTGGCTGGGCACAGTGGCTCACATCTGTCATCCTAGCACTTTGGGAGGCAAAGGCAGGAGTATTGCTTGAGGCGAGGAGTTCAAAACCAGCCACAGCAACATAATGAGACCCCCATCTCTACTGGAAAAAAAATTAGGTTGGTGTGGTGTTGTGTAGCTGTAGTCCTAGACACAGGAATCTGAGGTGGGAGGATCTCTTGAACCCAGAGTTCAAGACTGCAGTGAGCTGTGATCACACCACTGCGCTCCAGCCTGGGCAACAGAGCAAGAATCTGTCTCATAAACAAACAAATATATACATGAATAAATTTATTTTAGGGAGTGGTCATATTTAGCCAACAATAGATAATCTGACTGAAGCTATATCTTTATGAGCTATGTAGTACCAATTGTTTAATTAATTTTAATATTAAATGTTTTTGCTTATATATTGTTTACCATTCCTAAACTTATACAAAATATTTACAAATATTTTGGCATAATTGCACTAATTATAATATGATGAAATTGATTATCTTTTGTTGATTCAACTTTTGAGCATTTAGCAGGAATTTTTCCTGTTGTGCAGAAGAGGAACGTAATATTGAATAATTTGCGCAAGGTCAATAAGTGATGGAGACAGGAGTCAAACTAAGATTGTGAGACTACAGAACCCAAATTTAATCACTAGGCTGCATCGTCCTAACCAGTTTGGCTCTCTGTGGAGAATACTCATCATCATATGGACAATGTTAATAAACATTACGACGCTTTGATTCAGGTATAGCTTCAGTTGTACGAAAGTGCCGAAAACTAATAATTTCTTTTTACTTCAGCTCTATCTATATCTAAACAAAGTTTAATTCAAAGGTTTCCAAACATTCTTACTATTTTTGCATTTATGCGTTGTATCTAATTTCAGTTAAAAGTCAATTCCCCAAGTCATTGGAGCTTAATGTGTTTATCTGATAGGAAAAAAATTGAACTCAGTATTATATTTTAAATAGTTATTAAAGATTATTAAAATGTCTATTTGAAATACAAGCTTCAAAATATAAGCCTACCTGTATAAATATGTAGAAAACAAATACACACACACACACACACACACACACACACACACTTTAGAGATGATAGAATCTTCAACTTATGAATTTTTTGAAATATGTATACTTACAATTGAAAGTTTGTGTTATTATGTAAATGAATCTACCAAAGCTTCCAACTTAGTTTGTGTAATCTGTTAAAAGAAAAACTTTAGACAAATTAAATTTAGCAGAGTTTATTTAAAAAAAGAATGTTCATGAATTGGGCAGCACTCAGATCAGGAGTAGTTCAGGGATTCCTACCCAGCAATGTGAACAGGCAGAATTTATAGATGGACAAGTAAGTATTATGCAGAAACAGTTTAAATTGTTACAGCGTGGCATTTGTCTTATTTGGACATAGTGTGATCAGTTGGTAGCCTGTGATTGACTGAGGCCTGGCTGCTATGATTGGCTGAGATTCAGCTACTTGTTATGAGAATATACTCTTAAGTTAGTTTGCAGTTTGTTTATATACTAATTAGGTCACAGTTTGCTGTATAGAAACTCAAGGTACAGAGACAACTTTGGGCCAATTTAATTTAATTTTACAAACCTAACTCTAGTGTAATAAGTCTATGATACAGGAATACAGTCTTGATAAGGTCAGGAGATGAAGAATCAATTGGGAATGTAGAGATCTGAAGGGGGACTATTAACCCTCCAGCCAGCTCAGGAAAATATAAAGGACAAAAAAAATATGGTTAATTCTAGGGAGGTGAGCTAAGGAGTCCTCTTCTCAATGGAACTAAAGGTGTTCACTGCTAAGAAGTCATGGGTTGAGAGCTGGCTAAGCGGCCAGTGATGAGTGAAATGGCCTGCAGATTCTTAGAAAGTAGAACTCATAGCAACACTAGCACCCAAGAGACTAGCTGGAAATGGCTGAAAGTTAGCAGTTTGTTGGGATGATCTTACCAGGTTTCCTACCTCTTGAGTATTATTTCACGCAGTATGTAAGTAGTATGAATTCCACTCTACTCCAGTCAGTATATGACATTTCACATTACTTACTTTTTTTTCAAATCTAATTAAATGAGACTTTGAGTCCCTCCTTGCCAGGGTGGCACAATCCTTAGAGTTTTAAAAACAATGGGAAAAATGAACGCAGAATTCCAAAGCAAACATACTATCTCTACAAGCAGCAGGGATGTGTAATGTTTGCTCTGTGGTTATTAATGTACTTTTATTCTGGTAAACTTTTTCATGCTATGTCATAGTTAAGAATGTTTTCTGCTTTAGATATTCTCAGACATGCTGTGAAGGGCAGGGACAGAAATTAATTGCCTAGGGAAATTTAATGGAAAGCTTTACTGATGGAGAGGCTACAATTTGCTACTACATTTGTCACCGTCAGAGAACACATAAATTCTGCAGTCATTACCAGCAGAAGGGACTTTCTATTACCCCCCCTCTTACCACCATAGTTCTCTGTTCCCTACTCTTCTCTGTGATACTACAGGTTTATTTGACTTAGTCTATTGACCTTAAGTAATCAGCATTATATTTGTTGATTCTTACCTGATGAAATGTATTAGCATTTTTGTGGATAATATCTAATTGTGTATGAGTTCTTAAGACACTGGAGTAGAAGTTAAGAATTTGGATCTTTTTGACTGATTACAGAAGGTTTTAACAAAAATGGATAGGTATATTTTCAAAGAGATGCTAATTTTAAAGAAAAATAAGTAATAAACATGGATTTGATGAATAATTTTAGTAGGAAAAAATCTAGGAATAAGAGTTTTACATACTTAGCTAGGAACATGTAATTGCTTTTAATGTGCATAAAATCATTCTAAACACTTATTAAATATTTAGGAATTGTGTGTTACTGTAATCACTTTAATCTTAAGGTAAATGAAGAAACATTTAAGGAACTAGTCTTCATTTCTATTAAGGATCAAATTTTTTAAAAAGTCAACTAAGAAGAAAAGAATTAGGGATTTATATCAAATACAGAAAAATTAATAGCTATTAAAAGAGTTGTGGAATGAAGCATAAATGTAAAAATAGTGAAGACTGATTTTTCTGAAATGATCTAGAGGTAAAAGGATAACCCAGTGAGCCAATACCGTCCCATCTAATCTTTGATTGAGGGACATCCATTGAAAATTCCAGGTTTATAACTGCAGATTTCACATTGTCTCTAGAATATTATGCAGGAGAAATGCTTATAAAATTTGTTGTCATTTTTAAAAAATCATGATTTTTTTCCTGGACTTATTGCTAATATGGTATGGGAAATTATTTTTTTGTTTTCCATTATCTTTTGATTTCTATCATCAAATGTCATAAGCAAAACAAATTGTCCCTTGGGCTAGAAGAGTTTTGAAGCATTCAAGGCTTTAATAATATCCGATTGTATTTACTACTTGAACAAAGCAACTGTAGAAACCTACATTGACAATGGAAATCAATCAGTTTTACTGAGCGGAAGCTTACACCATGAGGAGGAAGATATATCTTTAGGAGCATATTCACTCTTTGGTTGACAAAATGGGATGACTTCCTAGAACTAAACTGTTACTGAGCCAGAACCAGAGTCAGGATTTTGTCTTTGCTAGGGCATTCTTCTTCTTCTTTTTTTTTTTTTTTTTTTTTTGGAGAAAAACCTTTATTTAATATCAAAGACATCGCCAGTAACTCAGAAATTAGATTTTATTTTGTTTTATTTACTTTTTTAAATTATACTTTAAGTTCTGGGGTACATATGCAGAACGTGCAGTTTTGTTACATAGGTATACATGTGCCATGGTGGTTTGCTGTACCCATCAACCCGTCACCTACATTAGGTATTTCTCCTAATGCTATCCCTCCCCTAGGGCATTGTTATAATTTCTGTTTACTACTGTGGTCCTTGGACATAATTCATAATTGTTTTGTTCAAACAATGTTTTGTATTAGTGGCAAGTTCATAAAATTATTTTCCTTGGAAAACGATATCTAAAAAGACCTTAAGCATTGCTTTCCACTTTTCGATTCCATTCCATTCCACAGCCATTATTAAATGTTCAGCGCCAGAGTCTATATTTAGGGCCATAATATACACACATAAAGTATAAGGAACCATTTCTGAAATTTAGGAATAAATTGCAAATTGCATAAGCAAGATATAAATGTACCAAAGGTTACATAACAGAGAGATTAAAAGCAACAGTTCTTATGTAATGATATTATAATTTTTTTTTTTCTGCTCAGATTGTCTGCAGGCAGTTCATCTGCCTGGCTATTATCAGAGATAATATTTGTAATACTTAGCATCTGTTAAATACTTACTATTTGCCAGACAGGTTTCTTATATCTTCTAACCCCTATTACGGTTTTATAATAGAAATATTGGTATCTCTTTCTTAAAGATGAAGAAACTGAGGCTAAATGAGGTTAAGCAACCTGATGAAAGCCACAAAGCTAGTAAGCACAAAGGCTAGGTTTGGAGTCCAACTTTGCCTGGCAGACAAGCCCACATTTCCTACCGTTATACTTTCCCATAGATAAGTCCATATGTTTAAAAGTTGTTTTTATTCTCTCAAAATTTTCTAAAACAGTGGAAAATGTTGTGCTACTGAGATTCTTTCTGATGGCTGAAAGGAGAGGAACAATGGATAACTGACATGGTTGTGTGGCCTTATCAGACATTATAACATATAATTTACGCTTTTAGATATCTCTTCACTTTTTATCCAGATCTGCCAATATCATCTCAAACCACGTTATTTACTCTTTTTCATCATTAAGCACTCCTACCATTATTAACTTGTTTCCTGTAATTGTTTTTATTTGTAGTCAGTACACATGGCTCATGATCTGCACTGGAGTTTCCTTTTGAGATGTTTCAAGATATTTGTTCACAGAAAGACTATAGGAATACCTGAGAGAATGTGACTATGAATACCAGAATACAGAGACCAAAATAAGGCATGATGTGTTTCTTTTAGATATAAGAATTTTATATTTATCTCCTGTAACTCTTTTTAAAATGCTTCAGTTCCATGTGTCCCTCTACATATAAAAGATTAGAGCAACACATCTTGGGTTGAGAGATTTGCTATGATTTTTTTTCTATTATTTACATTATTTTTCTGGGTCAGAGAAAGGGACGTAACAATTAAGATAAATAGGATCTTCACTATCATTATCATAAAATAATTTACTATGGACCAACTTATGGGTGGCCTTGTTCAAAATGGCTTAGACATGCATTCTCAGCATTAACATGGAATGATGTCCAGAGTTCACATAAGAAAAGGATATTTGTTAGGCTAATGCTTAGTTTTTGCATACTATTTTGCAAGAACAGAGGGTAATAAACAGAATGAATAATGACAGAGACTTATTTTGGACACTAGAACCTCAGTTATAACAGCAAATCCCTCCAGTTCTAGAATCTTTACAAGGGAGTAGCTATTGCTTTTAATCTGACCTTCCATGAAGACAAGACACATGTGTCTGAGAATAATGTAATACACACCCTGAAATGAGAAGTATGTAAATATTACAACACAATTAATTCAAATATAAATATATTTAGTAATATGCAAATACAAAGATTTTCTTAGTTATATTTTACTTTTTCTAGTAAATAAGAGCACTTGGAGCATCCTCTTCTGCATTAGTTGGTCCTTCTTTATGTGTTCAGCATTTTTCTTGGTTCATACCTATCACACATTCTAGAGCACTTATTATTTGCAGATTATTTGCAGCTTGTGGTAATATGTGATCCAAATGCCATGCCAAGTGACACTGAAAAATTACTATTAATGTTACTCTTTTACAAATAAACTTCTTCTTTTACCTGAATATGCTTCATCTGTGTTTTCTCTGTTGACATTATAAATGTGTTTCTCCATCTTGAGATAAACCAATGACATTTTACACTTTTTGATAAGAAGAGTCACTTCCTGAGTGGGATGGAAGCTAATGATAAGTTTGTTTTGGAATGATGGATCTTATCATATGTTGTAGGCAAAAGAGTCATAATACACCCTCCATCAACACATTTATCATTGTGATCTAATCACTAAATAATTATTGTATTCAAGTTTAAAGAAAACTTTTTAATAATGAATGAATTTTACTTTTTAGACCATATGATGTCAGAATGTATGTATAATCTCTCTTTAAGAGCTCAAAGAGGTAGATAAGGGCATTCAAAGAGGTAACAGCTCAACCATTAGAACAGTGTTTGAAGGAGGAATTACAGAGCCCTAGAGCTAGACTTTTCCACGCGGTGCAATTTTAAACAAATTGCTGTGTACGAACAATGCATATCACTGCTGAGTTTCACCCCTCTTTTCTATTGTCCTAGGCATTTATCCCTTCACCCCAAGACACTCACTGTCTTAGGAATACTCATAGTGGCTTAGAGTTCCCAATTTGATGCCAGATATGAGTAATTCCATATATCCCTTTCCTATTCCTCTCCACTTTTGCTCCATTAGGATTCTACTCTTCTATTGATTATTTGTAGCATGCTTATTCCTAAGAATTGTGTGACTGGGGGGAAAGAGTCTGAATAGAGGCTCACATATTTTATTTTTTATTATAAACCAACTAGAGATTACTAAATAAAATGTTATATTTTCCCATTTTGACAGATATATCTTTATAACAACCTGGATGGCCAGGTACAATGTTAGAACTTTTGGAGTCCTCAGGAATATGTTGGCATGGAGAGAAGTGGCTCCAGTCTATAGCCTCTCTTCCACCCACTTCTATCCTGTATTGTGAGAGGTCTTACATGCAAGTTTTTGAACACTCTAGCCTACATGTCCAGGATCTGTACAGTTTCCCATCAGACATTGACACCTGGACCACCTATTCCTTCCTAAATGTATGCACATTGGTGGCACAATCTGCTCTCTGGGGATGGAACTGGGGAAGATGACATTACAGTTTCTGGGTAAAGACTTGGGGTTATTTGCAAAGGGAATTCTGGGATCACAGGGTCTGGAAGGGGAGAGTGCAGAATCTAAATGGGCCTTTTTCTTCACTCCACAGGCATTGTACAGTGGTGAAGGGTGTGGCCAGAGAAGGGCCGGAGTGATACTTGTTGGTTTCTTACTGCCACTCTCCTGGTCACATGAGACACACAAGTTAACAAACCAAAGTGCTTGAACTTATAGGGCTATATTCTGGGAAAAAGAGACAGGTTACGAATACTAAATCTGATAAATGTATGAATGATATAGTGTAGTAGAAGGTAAGAAGTAATGGGAAAATATGAGAATTGAAGCAGGTAAAAGTGTAGGGGCTACAGTGTTCAACAGGTTTATCAGGGTTGGCCTCAACTGAGAAGGTGATATTTGAGCAAAAACTTGAAGGTAGTGAGGGAGTTTGCCAAGAAGATAACAAGATGAAAGGAAACTCAGGTTTTTAAGGGTATAATGCACAATTTAAGGTAGAACTATACTTTTCATGTGAAAGAGAACTGATGACTAGATCATACACTGCAGTTCCAACAGAATTATAATAAGAGCCATAAAATGTAATTGAAAATGTTTTGCCACAATAAGAAGATAAAAAGAAACAACTGATATTAACTTTAATAATACATTTTATTTAACTTAATTTATCTCAAATGTTATCATTTCATCATATAATCTTCAAAATCCAGAGTGTATTTTGTACTTACAGCACATCTAAATTTATGCCAGCTACACTTCAGTTGCTCAGGTCACATATGACTAGTGGTTATTGCACTGAATGGCATAAAGATTTTGATACATCAGTAAAAGTATTTTGTCTGTTACTCTGAGTGACTTAGGAGATGTTTCAGAGTTTTAAGCACTGAAGTGTTGTAATTTGATTTATGTCTTTAAAATATCTTGGCTAGCCTGAATTGAGAATACACCATAGGGATCAGGAATAGACTCAAGGAGACCTATTGCAATAACCTAGATGAGGAATGATGATGGCTCAGGTGGGAGCCATGGATGACGTAAGAGGTAGTTGAGTTTCTGATCATTCTGAACGTAGAACAAATAGTATGGATCACACTTGGGGTGTCAGAGGAGAGTCAAAGATGACTGAAATTTTGGCCTGAAAGTCAGAAAAGATGGAATAACCTGAACTGAGATGAGGAAGGCTGCCAGAGGGGTGGAGGAAGAAAAGAGTTCAGCCATTGATAGGTGTATCTGAAAAGCATACTAGACATCCAAGTAAGGATGTTGAGTAAACAGTTGGGTATAAATCTGGAGTTTGGGGAAAGTATAGAGATAAATGTTTGGAGATCACCAACTTTGAAACTGAATAAGATCACCAAGGGAGTGAGAATAGACAGGGTGGGGGGAAGTACCAAAAACAGCCTTGGAGCATCTGAAATGAAAAGGGTTAGTTAGAATAACATGAAATTGGTATTAAAATAATACCAAATACTTGAGTATTTTTTTTATCATTTTTAGTTTTTTTTAAATTCTGACAACTATTTATCATCATTTTATTGAAAAAATATTTAGATGAAACTCAGACTTTCTTCATGACACTGTTTTGCTTTAAAATGTCTCACAAACCCTCAAATAATTAACTTATTATAGACAACTAAATTTAAACAGTGGGCAGTAAAAATTAAAAATGTGGTTGGAATGAATTTATAGACAACAATTAGGTTTTTTTTTTTTTTTTTTTTTTTTTTTGTGAGACAGAGTCTCACTCTGTCGCCAGGCTAGAGTACAGTGGTGCAATCTTGGCTCACTGCAGCCTCCGCCTCCTGGGTTCAAGTGATTCTCCTGCCTCAGCCTCCCAAGTAGCTGGGACTACAGGCACCTGCCACCACACCCAGCTAATTTTTTGTATTTTTAGTAGAGATGGGGTTTCACCATGTTGGCCAGAATGGTCTCGATCTCTTGACCTCATGATCCACTCGCCTCAGCCTCCAGAAGTGCTGGGATTACAGGCATGAGCCACCATGCCCGGCCACAACAATTAGTTTTTAATACATGTTTTTTATGTTTGTGTTCCCTAGAGATGTACAGGGCAATTGTTATTTGATAAATATAGCACCAAACACCAATAGAGCCATTTTAAACCTATCCTACAATTTACAAACTAACATGGCTTTGTTTTACTTAGGCTCACCAATATGCTTTTTTATTTAAAGTTTGACTGATGGTTGTGTGTCCTTAACTTATTGTAGTCTGTTGATAAGCAAGACCTTTATTCCTTTAACTATATTCAAATCTCAGGTATGAAGAAGGTCCCATAAACAAAATCCATCATTTTAGTATAAGCACATTCATAACTGTTTAAAAGAAACACAACTTATACTTCAAATGAGATTCTAACCCTTTGTGATCTTTTATTATGAAGCCAATTCTTTAGAATATGATATGGAAAATAATGTATTAAACTAAAAACTGAAAATTAGAGTTTAATAACTCATTTTAATCTAAATTGCTACATATACAGAGTGACAAATTCGTTTTATAACACAGGCAACTGTTTGTGTCTTTTCAGTCTGTTCGAGAAGTCACAGGCTACGTGTTAGTGGCTCTTAATCAGTTTCGTTACCTGCCTCTGGAGAATTTACGCATTATTCGTGGGACAAAACTTTATGAGGATCGATATGCCTTGGCAATATTTTTAAACTACAGAAAAGATGGAAACTTTGGACTTCAAGAACTTGGATTAAAGAACTTGACAGGTAAGGAATATATCCAAAATGGCAAATATGCTTTCATTATCAATATAAGGCAATTGTATATGTAGGGTTACTGTCATATTTGTTACATTGAGGAACACTCTAAGGCATTTAAATATCAGTGATTTATTTGTTTTATAAGCAATGATGCCCTGTGATGCCCTTGCTTTTCTTTATAGATTTTGTAAGTTTAGTGTGAAGGATACCATAATACTGTATCTCAGCTGAACAGGAGTAAACTCTGGAAATGCTCTGTGACTGAAAACTGAGATATGAAACATGCTGTGTTTGGTGGTTTCAGGTGAACAGTGGACCATATCATCAAATCCTTGCAATAATGAGATAACTATCATTAGCGCTTAGTAATATCCAAGCTGTTATATCTATTTCCATGAATCTTTAGTTTTCTGCACAATCACCTTATTTTTAGAAAATATATCTAATTTATACAGTTTTGATTTCTCTTATTCAGTAGCTCACTAAATCCCATCAGCAATTCTTTCTCAGAATACTTCAATAACATCAGATCATCAGAGTAGGTTTTTCTCATTAAGATTGGAAATATATGATGTAAGCAACCTAAAATTATCATCCTTCTGTGAAAAACACTCGATAGGAATTTATTTTGTAAGCTGGTTCTTGCTATCCCACTGTTACTTTTCAGTTCACATAGCTCAGGGTGCATGAAAGTTCTGTGGGAGGCTTTTTGGTATAATGAATTTTACTTCATGAATTTTACTTCATGTATACCTGTAATCAAAATGAGCTGCTTATTGAGATCGCACCATTGCTCTCTACCCTGGGCAACAACAGCGAAACTCCATCTCAAAAAAAAAAAAAAAAAAAAAAAAAAAAAGAGAGCTAATTAGTAAATAATTAGTACCTAACTGTAGGATAAAGGAGTTTACACTTTTAATTTACTATAAATTAAAATAATCTATATATTTTGCATCCAAACCTGTAGTGGTTTTATATGTACTTTGAGTACAATAAGTGGTAATAATTATTGACATTGAAAAATTAAGCAGTTTAGAGATATGTCCTTAGAATATAACAAAAAGCAAGATGAATGTTGTCAGAATATTGAAATCATTTGTTTCTTATATTTGAAGTGGATATTAAATTTCTAGTTTTAAGTTAGACATAGCTTTATAGTTAACCAGACATATGAAATAAAATTGGGATATTTTGGGTGAAGAAAGGAATACTGATTGTGTTATTTATTTTGGACATGATTGCTATAGAGTTGATGAAATAATGGTGAATGCAAATTGTTCAGAATTTATAGATTCCTTCATCAACATTTTCACTTTTATTTCTTTCAAAGATAGTTTTCTTACTGAAGAATGGAGTTTTTTTACTAAATTGCTACTTATATAGAAATAATGATAGGAGAAAGAATTTTGGAAATGAAATGTGTAGAGAACAATTGAACGATTGAAATTAGGAATCTAAAAATACTGTAATATGATCCAGTTAAAACCTGCATAG
Source organism: Homo sapiens (assembly GCF_000001405.40). NCBI lineage: Eukaryota > Metazoa > Chordata > Mammalia > Primates > Hominidae > Homo > Homo sapiens. Next base: position 211,945,941 of record NC_000002.12, on the reverse strand, counting down.
GAAGCATTGTGTTTTCATCATGATTTCCCTCTGATTATAGTAAAGAAAAAAATGAATAAATTTCTTTCAAACTTTTGTATAATACTGGAATCTTGTTATTATTCCATAAGATGTGCTGTTTGAGAAATCTTTCCACATAGAGAATTAGTCTTTAAATAGTTCCCTTATTTATTTTCACATTTAATACCAGTACTACTAAATTATTAGAGCAGAATTATTTAATCAATCAAAATTATGCCACATTTAAACATACTTCATACCGAGTAAGTGCATAACTTGTATTACTTAAGATTGTGACAGTTGTTTAACTTGTGCATACCAAAATATAACACTATTATTTCAAGAATATTATTATTCACTTTGCCTAGAAGCTGTGAGATTTTCTTTTGCCATAGTACAAATGGATAATTAATAAGTGATTAAGAGAATGAGTTGATTGTTTAGAAAAATACATACTCATTCAAAAGTTATTAATTTTTTTGAGTATGAATTGAAGAAAGTGCAACAAAATGGTAGAAATTTAGGCTAATATGAACATTTTTCAGATATTTTATTTATTAGGTGGTTGTTATGTGCCAAAATTATTCTGTAAGGGAAACAGTCTAGGGTCATTGAACTTTAGGTATTCTGGTTGATAGTGTTACTCCAATTGTAAGAATCAGAAGTTACATGTATGCATGATTGTGTTTGTGTGCAAGAATATGCAAGAAATGATAGAAGACACCTAACAGTTCACATGGAAGAATATGGGATAAAATTTTCTCTATGGCAAAATCTTAAAAGGCTAAATGTTCTAGGTAACCCGATTAAAGCAACAAATAAGTGCCGTAATTAAGTTCAGGTAAGATTGTTTTTGTGCTTCGGAAAAATATTTGTTTTATATTGCTTGCTTTTGTGTTATACAAAGCAAGAGTTTTTAAAACAACATTTTTATATTCTATTAAGTGCAGAGCTACTGGACTGGCCTTAATTTTTTATACCTGGTATAAAATGAGGGGAGACAGCAAATCTGCTGATTAGTCGGATACCTCACTGCCTAATCTACCATACTGTATTACATTTTTAACTCCATTCTTAATGGACCATCACCATGAGCATCATCCAGGAACTTAGAAATGCAAATCCTTGGGCCTCACCTGAAACCTACTGAATGAGAAACTCTGGGGGTGGGGCCCAGCAACTTGTGTGTTAAGTATCCCTCTAGTGATGTTGATGATTACTACAATTTGAGAAGATCTACTCTAATTAATGGTATGTTACCAAGAAATGGTAGCACAATATCCAGTTGAATTCTTCACACTTATTTGCTGCAAATAATTTTTATTCATCTGTCATCTTGCAGAGAGAAAGGAAGGGATGGGAAAGGAACAGATAAGGTTTTGCTTTCATGACAAGAAATACACTGCATGTTCGGGTGAAAATGAAAATAATACACTGGGATCCTGGATAGAAACTTGGGTATAAAATGACTTAAAGATAAGGAAGATGCTGGGAATAAAGTTTTTCTATAATCATTTTGCCAAACATCAACTTTGTATAATGATAAACCATTAAAAAGACAATAATAATTCGTGATGAATTTTCTTCTTAAGCAAAATTTTATTTTTAAGTACTTTCGACAGGGTAAATAACCAGTAACAATTATGGGGATGGGAAGTGTACAGAGTGTTGTAACCAAGAGTTTTGAGATGAAGACTTTAAGTGTTCTTTTTTTTTGTGTGTGTGTGTATATATATATATAGTATATATATATATATATATATAGTATATATATATAGTGTATATATATAGTGTATATGTATAGTGTACATATATAGTGTGTATATATATATAGTGTAACCATGTATATATATATATATAGTGTAACCATGTGTATATATATATATATGGTTTGCGTTTCTACTTAAATCTTTTTCACTGTTTGATATTAGAATAGTGTGTGTTCAGAACAGCACATTAGCTTTCTGCAAACTTTGTGTAAAAGAGATATTAGTTAACATGAAGACTGTCATTATACACTAGCTAATGGTTGGATGTCACTTAGACATATACAGATTAATTCGCACATTAAAAATTATTACTAACTAGCTTAATGTTCACCAAAAGTTGCTGCATGGCCTAAAAAATTACTGCAGATCTTATTTACATACTTTCATGTTGGTTGTGACTGAGACAATAAATGGATTTAAACCTATTTTTCTGGCCAAATAGAAAAACTTGTTTTACTGCTGCTTCTCACATTTCTCATTATGCACAGGGTAGATGATAAGTAGAGGGGGAAAGAGGCAGGTGCCTAGACTAAAAATAGGCCACACAATCTATAAAGGAGTGAGGAACTTACATTGGCATGCTCTAGGTGTCCTGTTAACACTGCCTTACTTTCTTCTTGCCAGTGGAGAGGTTATACTTCCATCAGTGCATCCCTTCAGTCATATAATCATCTCTATCTTGAGGCCATTGGGAAGGTCCCTACTGCATCAGAGAAGTCCATAGCTGGACAGGGGACATCATGTCTTCCGTTAAGGTCACTTGCACATGGCTGTGGTTCTTATTAATCACTCTTGATGAGGATGTCCTGCTGACTTTTTTTAATCACCTCTTTTTTAACCAAACATTCCTATTCAAATCGACATTTAATAGTATATATACAATCTTAATTAATTCTATAAGCTTCTACTTGTTTAGTCACTAGTCTGGCCAAACCCTAAAAGGAATTATATGGGCCATAAAACCCACTATTATTTTCTCCCTTCTATAATTTATAAAATCACCTCATCTGTTACTAATGGTTGGTAATGTGATACAATTTAATCTATATATTATATTGTAGATATAAAGGAATCTTTCATAAATACTTAAGTTTATATCTATTTATATCCCAAATGGGAAGATAAATACTTAAGTTCTTATCTATTTTGTTTATATCTTAAATGGAGAGATAAATGCTTAAGTTCATATCTATTTTATGTATATCCATATAAAATAGATAAATGTGGTTTCATCTTGATATGCAATGATAACCTAGGTACGAATTTAATACACATATACCTATATTTATCACACTACATTTCACCTTAGATATTTGAATTTTCACTTTATAAATTATGAGAATATCTTTAGAGAAGGCGATATTTGGGATGATACAGAAATACAACTGGTGTTTTCCAAAAATTAGCTGAATACGCTATATATTTTCAGACCAACATATTCATATGTTTTAGTCTTTATTTGATATTTTACGGACATTGTAATTGTTTTGTTAACTGTGTACTGGATCATCTTGATTTGATTATTATCTGAGGTATGGACAAACAAAAATTTAAAACAAAAAGTAGAATACCGAAGTTATACCTAGAAGCCCTCAATAGTAATGAAAATAATATATGAAGTTTGCTGGATTCTGGTAGATGAAAAATAGAATAGAAGGCTTGATGGCACATGCCTGCGGTCCCAGCTGCTCAGGAAGCTGAAGCAGGAGGATCTCTTGAGCCTGGAAGGTCGAGGCTGCAGTGAGCTATGATCATGCCACTGCACTCCAGCCTGGATGGCACAGAGGGACCCTGTCCCAAAATAAATAAATAAATAAATAAATAAATAAATAAATAAATAAAATGCTTCATCCAGAAACTACAACATGTAAATGTTGTAAAATTTGAAAGATGTGATATCTGAACATTACACTTGAATGTCTGCCTTCAAATATGCATAAGTTATTAATTTAAGTAGTACATCCAAGTAATGTAGTACCTTTTCACATTTAAGTCTCTCAAGCCTCTTTGGCATTATTCAGTTATGGTCAAATAAATAACCTAATATCGAAAAGGACAAGTCACCTGTCATTGACTCAATATATGTCATAGAGTGATATGAAATTGTGAAATCAGAAAAAATCTCTGTGCAAAGACCTGGCCTACCACCTACAGTCTGGGTGTCTCTCTGAGACTCAGATTCTTTATCTTGAAAACTGTGAAGAAAATTCTGCCTCATAGTGTTGTAATGAGCATTAAAGAAAGAAAGCAGGGAACTTGTCAATTAAAGCATCTTTCACATTGGGGGTGTTTAGAAATCTTAGTGTTCTTTCCTTGTATCTGTTTTGTTTATAGTTTTCCTTTGTTTTACCACATTGAGAAAACTATTGTATTTGTTTCTGCGTATTCGGATAGATTCCTGTTGTTTCCTTGGGGCTTTGGGTGTGACCTGTTTAGACAAAAAAAAAAAAAAAAAAGTGTTCCAAATTTCAGTGTGTCTTCTAACTACTTTGTGCTTAAGATCTGTTTCTCTGGTGATGAGAAGCCTGAGGCTGGCCTTTGTCTACTCTCAGGAAGAGTGCTGTCTTTGCTACCTCACAGCACTTCTCTCCTGTCTTTCAGTGTTTCATGCCAAGCACCTGTTGCCCCAGCCCTTCATTTCAAATCTCCATCATCATGTTTCATCCTTTATTGGCCCTGACATTTGTCTTGACCTACACAAGAGACATATTCATTCTGAGTTCTTTTTCTTACACAAGAGTTGCTAAGCATTCTTCAACTACCCTGTGAAAGGTCTTGGTAATATTTGAGTGGGTTCAACCAGGCTAGTTCAGGGATTGTTGTTAAACAGAATGTTTAACAAAAGTACTACAAACATTTACATTAGAAGATCTATTCAGCATATTGTGATATTTGCCGCCAAAAAAAAAAAAAAATCTAAGAGTACTCTTAGCTTAAGGGTAAATTACTTGGAAAATGATTAGATCAAAACTAATCTATAGTGAAGCTTAAGTGAGTCAGAGAGAATCAGTGAAAAGAGTGGCACATTCTTCGGAAGAGTCCATTTTTAGATCAGGTCCACAATTTCTGGAAATGATACTCTCATCAGTGTTTTAAAGAGTATTGTTTGCTTGTCATGTCAGACTGTGTATTGACTAGAAAAAGGAGAACTCCAATAATGTATTAATACCAGTCGATAGAAACATATATTCGAAAAGAGGAAATGTTATAATTAAGGGATCAGAGATTATAATGGCCATTTCAGCAAATTTTGCTGGGACTTATTCTCAGACAACTGATTCGTTAGAGAACTGATGAGTGGATTTATAGAACTGAATGAAGGGGAAATGAGAATTTCTCCTCCTGCTGTACCAAGAATCAGAGATAATAAGGAGAGAAATCTGAGGAGAAATAAGCCAAAATAAGTGGTGGGGTTGGGCGTTCAGGGAATAGAATCATCCTTTCTCCTCTGCTCACATGTTTTCAGTCATGACTGGCAAGATGATCTGCTCAGGGCATATAATTCAGCTCCCTTAATTTATGACCCCTTCAGGAATCTTAAAGATGCCTCACTCTTTGAAGAACATTCTATTTAATCCCTAGAGCATCCTTTAGAAAATATTAGGGGAAGCCTAGCATTATGGAATTTCTCAGGAAACTTCCCTACTTGGAACCTTAAACCTTTGTGATCATTCTTACTTTTTCTTAAGATACAGTAAAATCTGTCTTCTCCCTTCCCTAAGAGAGGAAGCTTATATATCCTAAGGAAAAAAATGTATAAGGGAGACAAACCCCCTTGCTTAAAGCTCATCTATTGAGGAAGCATGCTTGTTTGCTTTGGTGTTTAGAAAAAGAGGAACATTTTTGCTCCTCAGAGTCCCAAATGTAGTACTAGAAATTGATTAGTTTTAATACAACAATGGCTCCATCGTTTTGCTCTGAGGAAAACAGTAAATATATCAATACCCACCTCTCCACCCTTACCCCAGGACATTAGCTTCATCTGGCTTTCAGACCCTGAACTGCAAAGTATTGAAAAATTCTCTGCATCCATTCCCAGTTACCAAGGGAGGCACAACAATGCTGGGGCTAGAATCACTGGATTGTTGCACTTTCTGATTTCATGGCAGAGGACTGGAAACAGTAGGAATAATATTTAAGAATAAACCAAATCTATATCTATCTCTATCTATCTATCTATCTATCTATATACATATATATATATATTTTTTTTTTCCTTTTTTTTTGAGACGGAGTCTTGCTCTGTGGCCCAGGCTGGAGTGTAGTGGCACAATCTCAGCTCACTGCAAGCTCCACCTCCCGGGTTCATGCCATTCTCCTGCCTCAACCTCCCAAGTAGCTGGGACTACAGGCGCCCCCCACCATGTCCAGTTAATTTTGTATATTTCTATTAGAGATGGGATTTCACCATGTTAGCCAGGATGGTCTCGATCTCCTGACCTCGTGATCCGCCCGCCTCGGCCTTCCGAAGTGCTGGGTTTACAGGTGTGAGCCACCATGCCCGGCCACCAAATCTATATTTTAGAGGGAATGAAGAGTGCATGCTATTTTTGACAGATGTCTATAGTAATTTTTTAGAATATGTAAATACATCATCAAGTTTAGTTAGAGGAGGCAGCCTCAAGCTTGGCAGAACCTAACACCCTCAGTCAGAGTTCAGAAATGAGGCTACATGTTGTTCTCTTCCAGCGTTTACCAAAGGCATGATAATTGTAATATCCCATATGTTATGGAAGTTTGCACCTTGCAAACTGCTTTCAGTTCCTTTCAAAAAAAAAAAAATCTGTTTCAGACACAGCCCTGTAATGCTGACCTGGCAGATATCTTTATTATAATTTTACATCTAAGGAAACCAGGCCTAAGGTCTTGTGGCTAATCAGGTGAACCTTGTGCTGGAATCTAGATCTATTTACCCGTTCTTCATATGTCACTCCCAAAAATTGTTTAAGACAATTTCTTCAGGCAAAACTATTGTCAGTGAACCATTAAATTGGCTGAAAAAAGTAAACAATCCAAACTTGAGCAATAGGTCTTAAGGCTGTATTTTAGAAAGAATTTGTTTTGATCATTATATAATACTTGAATATATCATGAATGGTAAGTTGACAATAAAATACAAGCAAACGTGCAATACAACAATATTGTAAATACTGAATTTGATTTTTTAAAAATCTATTACTCATCCTATAGCCACTGTCATTCAGCTATGGCTTTTTAAAAATCAAGCTTGCTTGCTAAACTCTTATCTGTAATGCACAAACATTTATTAATAGACTTAATTTTACTGGTAAAAGTTTAGGATTCTTTTGGAAAGTAATGTCAATTCAAATATTTATTAGCTTTGTTTTGTTCTACTTGTACATTCAAGTCATTGTGCTGAGATATGAGCTATTCTAAATTATCTCTACATGCTTGTCTTCTCTCAGTAAATACTATATTTCTGACAAATATTTACCCTCCGTCTGCCATGTGAAGCCAATTATTATTATTATTTTTATAGTCAAGCATGTCTATTCTTCTCAAAAGCTGCACTGTCCAATAGAACTTTATTGGGATGATAGCAATATTCAATATGTGCCACACAACAGAGGAGCCAGTAGCCAGATGTGGCCAATGAGCCCTCTGAACAAGACTGCTGTGAATGAAGATAGGAATTTTTATTTTTATCTAATTTTAATTAATTTTAATTTAAACAGCCATATTTGGCTAATGGCAATCATATTGGACAGTGCAGCACTAAAGGGACCAGACTTTTACTAAATCCAATCCAGCAGGCAAGGACTTACAAGCACAATAACGTGGAGAATCACAAGACAGGCTCAGAATCTGGGCTCCCTGAGTCAAATTCTATTCTGAGGCAAATGATTCAACTTTCTAAGCCTCAGTTTCCTTATCTTCAAATGAACATAACAAGGATGCTCAGTTGTAAGATGATTATAAAAGTTAAATTATCAAGTACATATTGAACATTAAATGCAGTTCTGGAAATAAATGTGATTATTTTTTGAGGAGAAGTTTGATTTTGGTAAAAAAATAGACACAGTGTATTTTTATAATTATTGAAAGCATATTAGGCTTATATCATCAAATTGTAGAATACAGAATGTGTCATTTTTGATTTGGGCCTTAACCATATTTTATATTTGAGTCAGCAGGGTTCTGGATGGCATGCATTGCTTCTAAATATGTTTTAAGCTGCTATGACTTGGGTTTTCTGTTGGTCAGATAAATGACACTTTAAAAATGAAATTTTTTACTTTCACCTTTAGTTTCCACAGTATAAGTATCTGTTGAAATTAGAAATGGGTCTCAAAGAGATATGGTTTGGCTGTGTTCCCACCAAAATCTCATCTTGAATTTGTAGTTCCCGTAATCCCCATGTGTTATAGGAGGGACCAGGTGGAGATAATTGAATCATGGGGTTGGTTTTCCCCTTCCTGTTCTCATGATAGTGAGTTAGTTCTCACAAGAGCTGATGGTTTTATAAGGGGCTTCCCCCTTCTCTGGGCACTCATTCATTCTCCTTCCTTCTGGCCTGTGAAGAAGGATGTGTTTGCTTCCCCTTCTCCCATGATTGTGAGTTTCATGAGGCCTCCCCAGCCATGCTGAACTGTGAGTCAATTAAATCTCTTATCTTTATAAATTACCCAATCTTGGGTGGTATCTTCGCAGCAATGTGAGAATGGACTAATAGAAAAAGTCTATTTCTTTAATGGTTTCACTGAAAGAAGTAAGTGTTAATAGAAGATAATTATTATTATTCTGAAAAATCTGTTAAGAATTATTTCTAGAATAGACACTGCCGATTATCTTTAGGACTCCCCAGTTCATGTTAAAAGTTTTTTTAAAAAAATTATAGCATTTATTTAATAACAAGGTAACACGAAAAACCCTTTTATAAAATGTTTTCTCAAATAGCTATCTGCCATATTTCAACAAATTTAAGCCATCATCAATTGTAGGAAACAAACTGTTGTTTTTGTTTGTAGTCCACACTTTCTAAAAAGAGAAAAAGTAAAAGCACCAACATAAATGTAAAAGATTGTACAAGGAACCAGGATTTTAAAGATATTAGATCCAAAACTGTATGTGTTTTAGAATTAATACAATACAGTACATTCAAATAGGCTAGAAGTTCAATATACCTCTTATTACTTTTCTAGAATTATAACATAGCTATTGTAATGGTGAAACTGTGTACTGTGGAAGCATATAAAATAGGTTACAATAAAAATGGTCAATGTTTTGTAAATGATGAATAGAATTTTCCATTTATCTGTATCTATCAGGAAATAGATAAATGAGAATTTGCATGGCCCAACACTTTTTGGCATAATAAATGTTACTAACCAGGAAATTTTAATGATTGTTTTTGTTTTCTTTTGAGATCTAGTTGATTTATCACTTCTACGGGGAAAAGAGATGGAAATATAGTTCAAAGGCAGAAAAAATACTTATTTTGGGAGTTTTTCTTAAACTTTGTTCTCTTAATAATATGTCAAATAGATCTGAAGATTGTTATTATACATCAGCATGGAAAGAGGATCTGTCTTCTTTACCAGAAGTGCAAGTTATTCTAGCTCTCTTACTATTTTCCCCTCTTCCTTAATATTTTATGATCCGTCTGTATAACATATTTCATATCTTCTAGCTATAATTTTATTGTAAGCCATGTAAAATTATTTAGGTTATCGAATCATAATGACTATAACAATTTTGAAGAATATTTATAAGAAAAAAGTGAAAAATGGTGATCCATAACTTTTTTCTTCCTTCTAAGAGCATTCAATTTACTCAGTTTCATTTTCTCTGTGGTGAAAATCAAAGGTTTGATTTTATATTATTAGTAGTGTTGAAAAAAGCTGATATAAAAAGGGTATTTTTGATTTTCAATTTACTATGAAATAGAAGGACTTCAAGTTTTAATTTGGTCTTTTTTTTTTAAGTGGCGGTCTCAGAATATTCTGGCAAATATTCTGGTAAATAAGTATGTCATTTTGATTTTGATGGTGCCCTGAATTCTCTGAACTTTCTGCTTTAATGTTGAATAGGATGATACTGGGTAGGATTATATATCTGCTGGTATACAAATAAGAACACAATAATAAATTCTACTAGTTTTAAAAAATTATTCATATAACTAGAATTCATTTAGGCTTTGTGCCTTTGGTTTTGATGACTTGCCTTTTTAGGATAATAAATGTAGAAAGCAAAGTATCTTTATGGCATAGTACAGCCCAGGATAGAGATACTATTGTTAATAATAACAATAATAACAACCATAATTAATAAGTATTTACTATGTAGAAGTGGTTTGCAAATATGATCTCTCTTCATCCTTGCAATAACCACGATTAGTAGGTGTATTAGTTAGGGGTCTCCAGAAAGACAGAACCAATAGGATATAGATACAGATAACGATAATAGCTATTTGAGAAGGATTCATTAGGACAATTGGTTGATGCAATTATGGAGGCTGAGAAGTTCCACAACAGGCTGCCTATAAGCTGAAGACCCTCGGATGCTGGTGACCTGGCTCAGCACCTCGGAGGCTGGTGACCTGGCCTTCAAGTTTGAAGGCCTCAGAACCAGAGAAGCTAATGGTGTACCTCTCAGTCTGGGATCAAAGGCCTTAGGGTGCAGGGAGCCACTGTTCTAAGTCCTGCAGTCCAAAGACCAGGGAGCCTGAAATTGGTGTCCCGCAAGAGAGAAAGAGTGTGTACTGGCTTCAGATGAATGTATTCACCTTTCCTCTGTTTTTGTTCCTCTTGGTCCCCAGAAGATTGGCTGTTGCCCACCCGCATTGAGAGCATATCTTACCTACTTAACTCTACTCAGACTCACAAACTCATCTCCTCTGAAACACCTTCATAGACATGCTCTAAAATAAAGCTTTACCAGGTTTCCGGGTATTTCTTAATCCAGTCAAGGTGACGTCTAAAGTTAACCATCACTGTAGGTTACTATGATTCTTTCTATTTTGAAGATAAGTAAACTGGACTTAAAAATATTAAGTAATATACCACAAGGAGGGCATACAATAATTTATAGAGTTCAGATTTGAAGCTAGGTAGTATAACTGCTGATTTTCTTTTTATCACAATGCTATAGGGATTCTGAGAAGAAAGGGGATCACATGACACTAAACTTTTGTCATCCTCTGCTATGTGTGAATGAGCAGGGGATGCATAAAATTATTCATGTGGTCCAGGTGTCACCTCTTCAAGGCAGTTTTTTTTTTTTTTTAGCTGAATGAGACTTTGCTTAGTGTAGATTTTTTACTTAGGAAATGAAATGATTCTAAAAGAGATACAGATTGTATAATTCGATTAAATTATTTCTTACATTGAAAAGTATGCTATCAGGCTACTTAAGCTTATTTCTACAGACACAGGGAACTAAAATAATAAAGTATAATAACAGAGTGGATTGAAATGCCCTAATTGGGCACGGACTTCATAGCCTTTTCTTTATTAACACTAGAAGACAAAAAAAGACAATTAGTTATATTTGAAGCGTGTTTTATTTTGTTACTCATGGGGTGATGTCTTCTATAAATCTTATTACTCTAGTATTTATTTTTTAGAGAATTTTTTGTGGATGAGGTGGAAGGAAGGAAAATCAATATGAGAAAAATGGCAGGCTCGAAAAAGATCTCAAGTCTATGAGATGACTCTAATTACTGATTTCATGAAAATCATATTTTATCTTATTAAAGGAAGATATTAGAAGGGTGATTTTATAGTTAATTTTATTCATACATTATAGCCACTCCACTTTTTGAATTTTTTATTTAAGGACCAGAATACTAACTAAAATTACTCCCTAGTTGGCAACTGGTATAAATATATACCATTTTGAAATATCCAAGTATAAATGGACAGGCTAAGTTGATCTATATATTTTAAATAAAATATTTATGACTTCCTTTCTTCTATAGCTACAGTAAGTGATTTTTGCCTCCCTAAACTACATTTGGTTTTGTACATATTTACAGCAGAGTTTTATAAAATATATATTTTAGTTTTAATAATTATTAGACTCAATTCCCTTTGTGAAGAATAGTAACATATTCGGGGTTACTTTTGATAAAAAGATGGAGGAGACTCTAAAATTATTGAAACGCATGTAATTCCTTTTAGGTTTAGAAACCCTCTAACTAATTATTTCCAGAATTTGTGTATGGCCTTAAGATAAACACATTTTATGTTGTTTTATTTTGAGCTCACATTTTATTTATTGAAACAAGTATATTTCAGACTTAGACATCAAAGAATACACTACACTTAAATTTAGCACATATTTTGGAAATAAAGAGCAATAAAAATCTCTTAATCTATTCTTCTATAAAAGCAAAGTTGAAGAGGATCGTAGATGCGATATTAAGAGAGAATTTAAAGATCGTCTAACCCCTCTCTCATTTCGAAACTGAGTCCCAGAGAGAATAAATAATTTACTTAAGATGAGGGTTTTTCTTGTCCTACTGTTAGTCGAGTCCTTTTTCAACTATATTATTCCAAAAATATAATTTGATTCAAGATACTAGAAAGAGGAAGGTAACAAAAAGATTTAAAGAAAACATATGCCAATCTATATATGTTTAGGTATACATTTTCATTGATCAGTGGGAAGAAAATAAACAATATAGATGCCATAATTCATGTGTAACCGAATTGTAATCTAAAGTCATCAAATATCTACAATAGATTATCAAATTTGATATGAATTTCATAGTCTTGTTCAAAGAGTACTGGGCAGTATGTTTTGCAAGGAAAGGATGGAGAAGATAATGAAGCAGTACTTAACATACCTATAGATATATCTTTTATAAAGCATGGGTAGAAATATAGAATGGAAGGAAGCAGCCTGTGTCATTGATACCATTGTTCACATAGTGAATGTGTGGCTGAACTTCACATCTGTGCATTACACTGTCATTTCACGTACTTAGAAATTGCATGTCGTAATGATAAATCTTTGTAATTAAAATTGTATCATGCTTCAAATGCAGTCCTATGGTGCTCAGGGAAAAGAGGTGAATCAAGAATTAGTGTCTTGGCTCAAGCGCCTCTTAAAAATTACGAGAACCTAACTATCACTTGTGCAAAATAAATACATCAGGGGTCACAATGTAGGTTATCAACTCCTTTGTGATTTTATTGAAGATCACCAGTGCATAATTTAAGTAACTATTCAATCGTTTTATGTATTTAAGACTATTACTATGCACAGTGACTTCTGTTACTTTTGGTTCATTATTAAATATAAAATAATGTAAAAATATTTAAAACAATAGTGTTTATGGAGCCATTTTCATGTTAATTTTAATGTCTAATATAATTTAAATCAGGGAGAGATTTAGTGTAACTTTAAAGTTCATTTACATTTTAATCCATTAAAATATGACTTAGTAAGAAACATTCAATGCCAAAGACATCTTTGAAACATTTTCCTTTGGAATTACAAAATTTTGTATTTTTAAAGAGGAAATCAATGGTAATATATAATTATCAAATTAACAGAAATGGGAACTTTTAAGCCATGAGTGTGTTTCTAAATATCACATGTATAGATAAACATAGAATGATGGACACTCCCCCCTCAAATGGTTTTCTTTCTAAAATATTTCTAATTATAATTTCAAATGACTATTTAAATCAACTAGCTGGTGAAATAGGGAATGTCCTTTGGAAAAAATAATAAAATTATTGAGATACAAAGGGCAAACAGTTGACAATCCATAAATGTATATAATTTTTTACTCTGATTATTGTCATTTATAGTTGTCTGATTAGAACTTTACCCATGAAAAAATGTAAAACAATCAGAAAATTAAGTAGCTCTTGTATCCAAAAAACACTCTAAGACTTACGCATAAAGTCAGAAATGGTTTTGGAAGGGCAAAGTGATAAAAACAGAGCTCAGAGATAAAATGCTTGAAAGATTCTTAACGCAGAAATTTAAATTTGGCCTGAGAATTTTGATTTATTATTTGAATTCAAACCCAGCCTATGTGTTCTAGATGAGAAGGCATATTTCTAGATTATAAAAACAATATTTCCAAAATATTCTCGTCTAGCCCTAGCAACATGAAGTTGTAGAAAAAAGCCTGAGTTTTGAAACCTGACAATTTGAAACTTAATACTCGCACTGCAACAAAGAAAGGACAGTCACAATCACTTATGTGCTGTGCCTCAGTTTTCATCTGAAAATGGGAATGAAATGCAAACAATGTATGCAAACTGCCTAGCATAGTGTTTAGAACACAATATATGTTAGTTCCCTTCTTGTGTCCACTTTTCTTATGCAGTTCTCAATAGAGTAACAATATTTAAGAATATTAATTTATTGGTTAATCCTTGCCACATCTATGTAAAACGTGTTCTTTATTGGTTCTTCATTGACAGATATGGTTGATTTTAGTAGTCTAGGCTCACTAGCAACCAGAAGATTCGTATTCTCATTCCACTTATACCTTAGATAAATCACCTAATACCTTTTGCACTGAGTTTTCAATTACGAAAGAATAATTTTCTTAGTTTTTTTTTCTTTCTTTCCTTTCATTATTTGATAATACCTACCTACTACCTATCTTCTTGGAAAAGTTCTAAGGCAAAATGTGAGTCACATTTTCTTAGTCCTCAAGTTTTCTGCTTAGAACAAGTGAGGACATGACATTACCCCTTCCAATTCAGCAGAGAACGGTGCTGTAGTTTTGCTTTCTGAGCACATGGGAACTGAAGTTCAAGCATTTAATTAAAAAATGCAACTCTATGTGCATATCTAGGGACCTCTATTAGGGTTTGATTGTTCTGTGTGTATTTATTTTCTGGCATAGAGATAACAACGTGCTATAATAATAGTAACAAAATGTGTTTATTCTTAGCTATGTGTCATTAAAGATAGATTCATTTTTAAAAATAAATTATTTTGTTTTCCTGCTAAGGCTAAATAATAGCAAAACAAAGAAAGGAAAAACTTTTGATGACTTTTGGGGAGGGAAAAAAGGAAAGTGAACTGGGCAACACAACCAATTTACTTGATTTTAAATATTGCGTTTAAGCCAAGGCTTAACAGTGGTGCCAAGCCTTTAACACAAGACTTCCTAGTGGTGCCAAGAAAATCCTATTCATTGTTCATTTCTTAATTTCTTAGTTCCCCTGGAATTATTCAAATGTCCCTGCTGAGTAGAGCTACCAATTCAGCTAAGAATTTGTTTCCCCAGAGATTACTTTTATACTGTATTTGAAAGTCATTAATCATTGCTCCCTTTTAAATCTCCATTCCACAATAAAATGGGATTTGAATGCCTAGATATTTCATAATTAGTTCTAAATAAGCAGAAACAGTACCAAATATATTTTTTACCCCTCCTACTTGATGAACTTGCATTAAGAATATTTTGATAACTTATTTTAATTGGCTAAGATCTAATTTATTAGGTATTTTCTGGGAGTTTTAAAAATAATTAAAATACCCAGTTACTGTTTGCTTGAAAACTTGAACTTCTAAAGAAAGGGTAGGCTATCGCTGATAGTGTTTTCAGTAGCTCAATTGCTATAACACGGCTGGGTCTCTGTCAGTGTGTTAAAAAGAAGTGAAGCAACTGTTGTCAAAACAGTGGAGATGTGAGACACCTGCAGAATAGACTTGGTTTGCAGACTCGGTAACCACAGGAAGCTTGGGGGTTGCATTCTAAAATTAGAATCTTTACTCCAAACATGAAAATTTAAGAAAGGTATCTTAGTAGCATTTCACAAGTGTTTAGACTTACTTCATGTTTGTTTGTATTCTTTTACTCCGTAAATAAGGTAATTGACAGCTTAAACTCTCACATTGCTTAGAACCACTGTAAAAGTTTTTAAATGGTTTTCATATGCTTGGATACAAGACCATGGATTTTCTAATAGAAAGCAAATAATGACTATATGTCTCCCTTGTTTGCTGGGCATGAAAGTATATTTAACAATTATGTCTATATCCTTGCTTCAAGTCCTTAAATTCTGTGACTTAGAGAAAAGTTGTTTATAAAACATTACTCTGTCATTTTATTTTATTTTTTAAAGCATAACTATGTTAAAAAAATAGAAAATCTGTTTTCTGTAAAATAATTGTAATAATAAATCCATACATGTCAACAGGTCATACCTATTTCAAAGTTTCCTAAAGAAAAATAAATATTGACACATACCTGGAACTGAGCAAAAGGCAAATAAGAAGACCAGAGAGAGATATAGCAAAATAGCCAATAAATATATAACAGAAAAAGAGGATGTGTGTATACACATGTTGTTTTTCTCTATATACATATATTTATATGTACATGTGTATAGATGCATATGTATAGACACATACACAGATGCATTTATATGTCTATATGAGTATAATATCTAACTATTATGCATAGCCATGCACATTGTGTGTCACTGACACATCCAAAGAGAAACACACTCAAATTGTTATAATTCTATTTCTCTATTCATGGTCAGAAACGATATTTGGCTCCCAATAATTTATTTTTATATAAAATTAATTTTACAGAAAACCGTATGGAACTCAATAGACAGAATGGCAAATGAGTAATCCATATGTGTTTATATCTATCAACATGGCACTGAAACATGGTGTGTGTCATGGGAAATGTGCCCACAGGCTGAAGTGTATGTACAAAGGCATCACATGGGGAGAACATGCTGGAGGGGTTTTATTTGATGTTTTCAAATTGCTCTAGGGTCTGTCTTGCAAGAAACCCTTTTGGTTTTCTTTTCTTTTTGATTACTTTTTATTTTTTATGTTTTAAAACATACATATTTCTTTTGAAACATACTGCCAAGAGAAAGAGTAAAAGAGTAATTACAAATGAACTATGCAATCATATTCTCTCTGTCTCTCTCTCTCTCTCTCTGTCACACACACACACACACACACACACACACACTTATTCCAAAGATAAACAGTCAAGTTCTATGTTTGTATCTGTGGAGATACCTGCCACAGTCAGCAGTTAGGATTTGTGAAATTGCATATCCAGAATTTGAGATCACAAACTGTACTGAGGGCAGGATAAAGAAAAGATGGCACTGAAGTGAAGAGCTATTACATGTACCCATGAAGGTATATTTTCATTTGCTTATTGGTATGGCTGTGTGTATTTAATTATTTAAAACTATTAGGAGACATATATATTTTCCTACTAAATGGGAGTAATTAAAATAGCCCACTCCCTTGAACTCTTAACATCTCATTAAAGGTTGAAATCAGGCTTTGTGTCACCCCAAACTTACACCTAGCTCATTGTTTTTGGAGCTTTAGATTAGGACAAAGTATTCTGCAAAACTATCTTTTCAATATGCCATAGAAAGCTAATTTGAAATTTTAAACCTGACAAGAACACTTCAACTTTCTATAAGTGACTCAAGTAATTACTTCTTCACAAGACAGACATAGTTTTGATGCTATATTCATATCGTTTTCATTTCATGAGTCTTTCATTGCTTCCTTTTAAACTGAAGCTGGACACTCATGGGAAGCTTAGTATTCATAACAGACAGTTTGCAAAGAATGAATGTATCTTGAAGGCCCGATGGTAAAAGGCGTGCTCTTTCTTCCTCCCAGGAAGAAAGCATGCTGCTAAACTTCTGTTTGCACACAAAAGATTTCTACAGGAGAGTTTATGTTGCTCTGTGGTTTAAGAAGTCCGAGCCCTCTTACCAGGGGTAGCCCCCAGCCTGGCATTTGATAACAGTGAACAAACAGGTGCAGTCCTCTGGTGTTCACGTTGCCGGCTTCTCCATAGGACAATGGTTGTTTTATTCCCTGCGGTGAGTGGGTTACGGGGGTGGGTTGATGCCTCTGCTGAGAACAAACCCACTCTTGATAAAAGGTTACAATGATTATTCTCGGGGGAAATTCAAAAATATAATCCTACATACAGATGAAGTTCAGGGCATGAAATTTAACAAGATTTGTTCACTCACGCAAAGGTCTCAGTGAAAGTTAACAAATCATCAGTGCCCTGCTTCTGTCCTTAGTGAATCATTCTTGCTTCTATTGGGATTGTGTGAATATTCCAGGTGCGTGACCTACGTTAAATGGTGTTGTTTCTGAAAGCAGACCTTTCCTGAATTTCAGGAGGATGGAAAATATGGTACTTAAATTTCTCTTTCATCTCTGTCTGGTTGCCTTAGAATTACGTGAAAAATAAGTGTCACTGATGTACCCCTGTATGTATTATAAAGAAAGATTAAGCTGTTTTTTGAGAGGAAATTATAGAAAAGTATACTTTATTTACTGTTGTATTTTTGCCATTTGCTATGCTAATTAAGTAATATTTAACCTCCTCGTAAGTATAATATTTTAGAGATGGAAGGGACAAACTTCCTTAACTTCTAGATAATGAAAACCAACCAACTAGCCAATAAACTGAGCTCTATATGGGAAAAATGACTTAAAAAAAAAAACTTTTGCGAGTTAAGTGTAGAACCTGATTGTTTGACTGGTTTTATCTTCCTCACTCTACATTTGTGTTTCCCAAAGTTTAAAGCATATGTGGCTGTCATGCTTTTTTGCTTGAAGGCATTCTGTTAATGTGGAGCCTGATGATTTTCTGTTTATTTTAGAATCTCATTATTTACATAAATAGGGCAGCAGATGAAACCTTCTCATTGTTTCCAAGGCTAGAATGAAAACAAACATCCTTTTCATTGCTTTGGTGGTAGTGTTATACTTTTGTGTCCTAAAAAAACTGTAACGTTGAATTCTTTTAATTAATGAAGTTAGGCAAAATATATTTTTGTAACTGGACAGAATATATCCATATTATATTAAAGTTTTCACATTAACCAGTCATTTCTTTTAATTTATTAATGACAAAATATCTATGGCCAGGAACTTACTTTAAAAATTATGCAGACTATGTTTTAACCAATAAGTCACTATCTTCACCTTGCTGTCCACCATTATGTCTTCTAAAACCTAAACCTATCAATAATTTCAGTGCTTATGTTAGGAGATATAATTTGGTTAGGTCCTTTGTATAGTCATTTACAATCATATCATGGAAACAAAGATCTTCTCTATTAAAATTTTGTACCCCATTTAGCTTAAAGCCTCTGTTCTCATAGAGAAATTCATTTGACTTTCTCATGTTTGGCTTATGAAATTTTTCTCACTAGAGTAATACTTCCAATGTTTGACGGGTCTTATGTATTAGTACACAGTGACAAAGATTAATATCACATTGACTAAGTATAACCGAGGATAGGACAGCTTTTGAGGAGATAGTGGATAAAACAGTTAAGCAGTCACTGAGGAAGTAAGTTAGGAAATATCTGGTATGCTGGTCAAAGAGGGGAGAACCAGGCTGGATGATGACATAAGAAGGCCCCATTGAGCAAAATAAAGGCATAAAGTTATCTGGGCATGAAGCTGGATTGGGTTTGGAGAAAATGTTTCAAAATAGAGAAGTATAGATAGAGATGATCTAAACACAAAGCAAAGTTTTTCTAAGTTCTTCATTTTTAGGGGTTTGGTGAGTTCAGTGGCATTGAGATACTTGTAACAGCAGTTGTGTAATCACACTTCCCTGCTTAGCAAGTCTTTAGGCAGTTTCTATGGGTTATTAGGAAAAGAATTTTTATGGAAAAACATTGAATTAAGCTAGTTACTGAGATAAAATGTGTTGCTGTCTATAAAATTCCATCCTTGGCACAGGTACCATTCAACCTACCACTCCTTTCAATTATAATATGTTTTAATTAGGGCAAGTAGAATGGAAGTATATGTAAAAGTACTACGATAAAGTGTGGCAGACACTGTATTGAGACATAAAGAAATATCAGAGACTGGGGTAAATTCTTGCCAAATCAGATGTTTAAAGTAGGCGTGGTGGAGACAATTAGTGCTCATCAGTATCTGTTTTCTCTTCTTCCTGAGGATGCAGTCAGAACAAATTGAAAAGGTAACTAATAAAAGGGGGAGAGAAAGAAAAATAATGCGTGTGTTTGTGTCTCCTGCTGATTACAGTTATGCTCTCAGCCATGTCAGGACTGGCGCTTAACGTGGCTCCGAGACATTCCTAGTTATAGCCAACTGACGCAACCACCTCCCTTCAGCTGTTTTTTGTCTTTTCCTCCGCAAAAGATCACAATTTTCTTGGGCCTTTGCCTTTTTCAGCAGGCTGTGAAGCTTGAAATTTCTTACTACTGCATTTCAGTTTTATCTGGTTCTACTTAATTGGGGCAAGGGAGTAGAGTTAAGGTTAAATACAGAATATTATGTGATCTGTTCCTCCAATTAAAATAAATTGCACTCTAGACACAAAACAGTAAAAAAAAAGAGAGAAAAAGTATGAAATGGAAATGCCTTCCTACACAATCCTTCTTTCTTTATTGTGAAATATTGTACATATTGTTAAAACAAAATGTTTCATAATCTTAGATAATACTAAATATCAACATATATTTATTTCCGTAGTTTTAAAAAGCAGTCTTACAGCTGGGCGTGGTGGCTCATGCCTATTATCTAGCACTTTCGGAGGCCGAGGTGGGCGGATCACAAGGTCAGGAGTTTGAGATCAGCCTGGACAATATGGCAAAACCCTGTCTCTACTAAAAATACAGAAAAAAATTAGCCAGGTGTGGCGGGTGCCTGTAATCCCAGCTACTTGGGAGGCTGAGGCAGGAGAATTGCTTGAACCCGGAAGGCAGAGGTTGCAGTGAGCCAAGATCACACCAGTGCACTCCAGCCTGGGGACAGAGCAAGACTTCCTCTCAAAAAAAAAAAAAAAAAAAAAAAAGCAGTCTTGTTTTTGTTTCAAATATGATTTTATTACATCCTTCAAAAATGATAGAAGCAGGAATAAGTTGGTAGTGTTTATATCTTTGACAAAAATGCTAAATTATTCTTTCTAGGTTTTATCTGTTGGTAAAGTCTCAACTAATACTAATGTTGTTTGAGCAAGGCAGTTCTTATAAAGAAAAAGTATTTTTCTCCTAAGTGGATGGCTGTTACTAGCTGGTGTTTTCTTCCTGTGTCTAGAACAAATTGTCTCCAACTATAGTATTTCTGAACTGCAAAGCTTTTGACTTGGAGACTCATTGATTACGTGATGAAAAGGAAATGCTTCACAACATTCATTGTTCTATTATTCAGCAGTCATTACTTATCAATCTTCTTTAACCACCCTCTGGAGCTCAGACACTTTACTATTTCCAAGGGGAAAAAAAGTATTTCCTAAAATATCCATACAAAGATTTGAAAATAATGGTACAAGTAGCCTGAAGAGGAAAATGGATGGATGCGGATAAACGTACGTCTTTAATCCTTGGTCCTTTTTCTTCCTTGGTTAAGATCATTTTTGATTCACTTCCTTTATATTAAAAAAGCTATATATTAAGTACATCAATTTTTATTGGTATAAATACGTGACTCTTACCTATGTGACCGTGAACAAAGAAATACTACCAACTTATTTCTGCTCACATCCCTGGCTGCTGTCCACAATGTTGTATGTTTTCATTTTCCTTTTTTATTCTGTGTAGAATGAGATCTGTTATCTTTGTTTCACCCTCTAAACATAATCTATAGCCAATTACTATATTTATGTGATCGATTTGACGTGTATCTAACACTCTTGATGAAAAAAATATTATACAGATTATTCAAATAACTTATCTTTTATGTGCTTTTATTTTTTTTTATTTTTATAGATGTATAGGGTATGAGTACAGTTGTGATACACCCATATGTTGCTTAGTGGTGAAGTCTGGGCTTTTAGGGCACCCATCACCCAAATAGTGTTCATTGTACCCAATAGGTAGTATTAATATCTAAATTTTACTGGATACCAAATGAATGTACTATAACCTTTTCTGAGTAAAAATTCTTGAAATTCCATGTTATCATGCCAACCCCTGGAAAACTACTAGGTTGCAAAAGTGTCATCCTTTAAGTTTTAGTGTGTGCTATGGGACTCCTAGCAACAGCCTTTGGATGTCCATAGCTGCCACAGGGCTTTAGAGGACTAATAGGGACAAGTCTTTCCTATTATGAGTCATGGCATAGAAATCTAGTGTGGGGTTTCCATGAGAATGGCAAACTTGAAACAACCTCTCCTAATTGGAACAATATTCAATTTAAAATTTAGGTTATGGCTGGGCATGGTGGCTCACACCTGTAATCCCAGCACTTTGGGAGGCCGAGGTGAGTCGATCAAGTGAGGCCAGGAGTTCGAGACCAGCCTGATCAACATGGTGAAACCCCGTCTCTACTCAAAATACAAAATTAGCTTGGCGTGATGGTGCATGCCTGTAATCCCAGCTGCTTGGGAGGCTGAGGCAGGAGAATCACTTGAACCCAGGAGGTGGAGGTTACAGTGAGCCGAGATTGTGCCATTATACTCTAGTCTCAGCAACAAGAGCAAAATTCCATCTCAATACAATACAATACAATACAATACAACTTAGATTATGAGCAACCTCTAAAAAGCCAGATCTACTTGTGGAAATTGAGGAAAGGATGCATCTCTGTACACCACTTCTTATCCTCCAGTTGAACCTTTTCCCCTCTACTTGAACCTTTTCATTTTCTGCACTCAGCAAGGCAGCACAAGGCATAATCTCCAACACCATCTCATGAAGATGAATTGCTCTAAGTCTTGCCTAGTATAAGCAATTTATGTCTCATTGCTCTTACTTTTCCCATACCTATTCACTGTTTTACAACCAAACTTCTTGAAAAATTCATCTGCACATTTGGTCATCATTTTCCCATATTCATTCAATTTCATCTTAACATTGTTTAACCAAACTCTTTTTTAAAAAATATCAGTGACTTCCATGTAGTCACATCCAATGGATAAGTTATATCCCATCATCTGTCAACAAGTTATTTATCCTTTGTTGCGAGATTTTCTCTCCTGCCTTCTCGTAATTCTACATTCTTTAAATTCCCTTCTCTCCTTCCCAGATGTTTTAAAAGTCTGCTTTGCCGTCTTGTCTTCCTCTAGCAGACCTATAAATATTGTGCCAACTTCATTCATATGCAAAAGTTCCCCAGTATTATATCAGAATTCTCCTATGAATCTCAGACTCAAAAATCCAAATGTACACCTATAATTTACGTGGAATAACTGACATATATTCTATTTTAACATCTCCAAAGCTAAATTCCTGAACCTCATTTCTCACCTCCAAACCACTTCATCTATTGTTATACATTTATTCACAATCTCACAAATCTTTTCATTCCCAGAATATACTAAACACTCTTTCATTCCCAGAATATACTAAACAGAATATACCTTGCATATGTCTTTTTTCCCTGTGAAATACTTTCCTACTAACTTTCATATGACTGACTCCCCTTGCTTCAAAGTCTTAGTTTAAAGGTTATATCCTCTGACAAGGTTTTTTTGACAATCCACACCACCCCATAATATAAATGAGATTCTCCATCACATTCTACCTCCTCGTAAGCAGTTGTATGCACTGTGCATAATTGTTTTTATTATTGTTTTCTTAGAAATTAACACAATGTACAATTAACAATGTATTAATTTACTCAGTTATATTATTTTTATTTCCCACTAGAAAGAAAACTCAGTAAAGGTTGGGACCCTTGTTCACCACTATTTAACAGTGCCTTGGAAAGTGCAGTGATTTCTTATTGTCTAAGACACCATCCATTTTAAGATAGTATTTTATGAACTGTTAAAATAGAAAAAAAAAGTTGATAAACTATAATGTAATTCTTCTTGTTACTTAGGACTTTTTTCCTACATATTCAGAGAGACTTTTGATATTAGAATCATTTAGACAGGAATTTTTCACGTCACTCTTGTTCATACATGAAAATACAAAATAATGAGCAAAATAGACTGTTTAAGCTATTCTTAAAACTTCCTTACATTTATAATGTAACTGGTAGTCACTTTTCAGTTCTCCATTTGCATTTGCTGTGCTGTTAAGAGCATTGGTGATAGGGCAGTTATCAAAAGGGCGTACCCACTTAGTTCTTGGGCTTTCTTCCACACTGCTGACAAACATTCTACAAGGTTAATGCTGGTGAATTCTTAATCTTGTAGATGATGTTAGTCTAAGTTTTTTATAAAACAAACTCCTATCAACTCCTATTTATTCCTCAAATAGTCCTTAAAATGGTTTGTTAGCTTAAATGTCAAGGCATTGATATTATTCCCTCATGCTGCTGGAAATAACAGGTACGTGCTGAGAGTTACTACAAAATCACAACTACCATCCAGCTAATAGCAATTATTAAAATAACATGTACCTTAATTTCATGGATATTAAAATATGAAAAGGTGTGCACCTTAGAATAGGTGAAATAAGGTAACGGATTATCCATGACTCTTCTTTCTTCTTCCAACTCTTTTCCATGACTACTTCCTTCTCATCATTTACTTGTCAGTTCAAAAACTATGCCGTGACTCCAGAGGGCTTTCCCTGACAATCCTATGTAAAATAACCCAGCACTCCCTCTCCTGCCTTCAACCAGTCACTCTATGTAAAATTGTCCTATTTGATGTCATTGTTAAAACATGTTTACTGTCTTTCAGTTCTTCTCTCTAGAATCTTTGTCTAAGAGAATAGAAACCTTCTCTCTCTCATTCACTGATATGATGCAAATTTGTTGAATGGATAGCTGGATGGAGAGACGTTGGTTTTTCTAACTCGAGTTTTAGACTTACACGTCAGTTGAGTAATCTTTGGCTTTGTTTTTGGTTTTGATCCTTCCTATTTTTTTTAAGCTCAAAAAACAAGTCTTATCCTAACCCCACATTCAGCTTATACTCTTCAGATAGCTGGTACATCTCAGATCCAACACTCCAAGCTGTTATGTTCATGGAATGAGGGGATCATGTTAGCCAGCAAGAAAGGTTAATGACAAGAAAGAGAGGGAAAAAGGAAAGCTTGAATAAAAGCAATTTCTGTTACAACTGAAGCTCAATCTACAGATTTGCCTGTTATGACAAAGAAAGGAACCAATCTTAGTAATTTGTAGTAAGAAGTGATAGTGTTTATTGGGAAATTGAATATGCATAAAGATACAGCAAGATTTTTTTTTAAAGTTTGGCATCAAGTGTTATTTATCCAGTGTTATACAGATAAAATTATTGGTCATCTTAAAAACATTTATATCTGAATATTATATATATTTGTGCTTAAAATATACATTTGTGTAGATTGTAGTGTGTCAAATATAAAACATTCCAGTATTAATAAACATAATTCAAAATATGTATTTTCAGTAGCTCTATACTCTGTACTTTAACACACTCTGTTGTTCAAAGGGATATGGCTATGAGATAATAAACAAGACTCTCTAATTGCATATCACCTGGCAAATAGAAAAGAAAACATAATTCTGCAGGCATATAAAAGCTCATAGACTTAAGTCAGTTCAAAATTACAGCCAGAACACTGTAAAAAAAAAAAAAAAAGTCACAGCTCTCCAAGAAATATCAACAGTTTGTTAATATCAGCTACTGGCTTTTTGTTTTTCAAGTGAATAAAAGGGCTTACCACATACAGATGGGGAGTTCTGTGTAGTATATTGGCAAACACATCTTGCAGTAATCTTGTCAAGGTTGAAATGTGACCTACTAATGCATTTATGTTAATGTTGGAGGTTTTAAAATTCTTTGATTACAAAAATAATTGGCTGTATGTTGGGAGTAATAAACAGCTCAGAGTAAAAGTACCACCTTTCAGCATTTCACTGCATGAGTAGAAGCTCTTGTTAACACCTCTGAGATCTATCATGTAACATAGGAAGAAAGATGATACATAGGTTCAATTTTAGTAATGAAAATAAAACTATATAGCAAAGATAAGCTAGACTTGCATGTTTATTAAAGGCGAAATCCTGTAGTACAAGGTAAGAATTTAGTAACAAATCCATTATGCTCTCAGACGCACAATAAGCCAAAAGGGCTGTTTCAGAGATGGACATATTTGACTACATAATTTATTGATTACTTGCCTGTAAGGTGACCCTAAATCAAATGACATTTTTCATGACAGTGCTTATGTCAGTTGCATTTTTAAAACAATGGGAGTTTTTGCCAGATTTTTGTTTTTTACCACAGTACATTAATTTAGAACCAAGCTTAAAACAAAGTTGTAATTTGTTGCAAATATACACACATATACAAGGAGAGGGGTCATATGTGAGATGGAATAGTTTTCTGTACAATTCAAAAAGATTAGTGGTTGTTTAAATATTGTGTATTTTATAGGAAGATTTTGCAGAACAGTTATTATTTTCTGGGATTGCGATCAATGGATTTGGAAGAGGTCATAGAATTTTTCCTTGCAGCATATGAAAGTATGTCTACATATTGAATTGCCTGCCTCGGCCCTATTCCAGCTACTTTCTGGGGTCTGTTTATCACAGACCATGCATAAACAACTTCTAACTTCTGAGGTGCCATAACACTAATCACTTTTATATTATGCCTGATAAAATCCAAAAACTAAATGTTTTGGGTTACAAATATAAAAATGTGCTAATCCTGCCTGTGGTCAGTGACCATTTTAAACTGTTCCATTTCATGAGCCCCAAAGGATAAATACCATAAGACCTGATGGGATTAAATAAGAACTCTGCGTGTTCATGCACATTTACTAGGGTTATTTGCTTTTTCTTCCATTCATTCTTTCATTGGATTTAATTTTTATTTAAGTGACTACTACTATTTTTGTATTTGTTTTCCTAGTTTGATTTTGGATTTCTCCCTGTAAGATATCCTATAAACTCTATATTTGGGGAAGACTATTTATATTTAATTTTGTATAAAGTGTATAAAGCCTTATAAAATCACATGTAAAGATGTCTGCATGGAAGAACACTTTATCCACTTTCTCCCAAATTTAACCTTTTTCCCCATTTGGAAGGAGCTTGGAAACCTTGAGGAAGGATTTACTAGTTTCTATTGTTGACAAACTGCTAAATATTTTAATTACTTTGGAAACTGCCCCATAAAAAGCTGAATCTTAGATGAAATAATTCACAGAACCAGTTAAAGCTATTTTTACTTGTTTATTCATGATTAGGATAATAAGATATTTGTAAGGAACTGGGAAATAAGATAGACCTCCATGGGCTGGGGGAGGGAGAAAGGATAATAACGGTGTCCAGAAAAACCTGTCAAGGGCAAGTTTAAGGAGAAAAACCACAGCAGTTAGTATATCAGTTAGAATAGGCTAGATTATGTGGTGGTGACAAAAATCACCAAAATCTCAGTGGCTTAAAACTATATTTCTTTTATATTTTTAACAGTAATAAGAATGAGATGGAAGCTTTGTTCCACATTTGTCCTTTCTCAAGGATGCAGGCAAAAATATTCTCCACCATTGTGAATGTCACTGGGTCCAGAGTAGGGGAAAATAAATTTTGTAAATTGTACACCAGCTCTTAATGGCTTTCCCTGGAAGCGACAGACATATCTATTTCACATTTCACTAGAAATGGCATTGGCCAAATCTAACTTCAGAGATGTGGGGAAATACACTCCTACTAGGTTTACATAGGAAGTATATGGAGAATAGTACTAGAGGGACTACTGCCGCAAACGTGGTATTACATCCTACCAACTGATATTAAAACGTATCTCTCGAAATCTACAGGGTACAGTTAAATTTCATATAATTGAACTCTCCAACTTTAAACTCTGGTGCACCACAGTGTAGGTAAAGGTCTTTTCACTCTAAGAGAAACATCACGTAGAAGGTTACAGACCAGTTTCTAATGGAAACTGAATGCCTAAGAAATTTCTGACTTGTAGTGTACAGGGGGATGGAATAAGGGTATAGACATAAAAAAAAGTTTTAAATATTTTACATTTTATAGTTCCTTGCCCATTTCCTCACTAAAATTTGAAATAAGTAATACTTTCAGTTCTGTAAACCAGGTATTAATTACTTTTCCAAAGAGAACTTTTACAGGAACTACTAAATACAAAAAGAAAAATTAACTTCTTACCTGATCCCTGAGAGCTTTCTCATGTGCTAAATCAGCTCCATTTGTATTCCCATCTATTTGAAGAGTGATATCCTCCATTAAGCTAGAATCATCTTCAATCCAGCCACTGGCTTCATCTTGACTTTCAAAGTTCTGTCAGGTTGGTCCCTTAAAAATCATATTTCATGTTTTCTCTCCATTCTCACAAGAGCTTGGAGTCTCATTTTCCTTTTTACATGGTTCCCCCAGTGGACTCTTAAGTGGAGAAGCTGTAATTTCTTGCCTCTACGATATAAGGGGTTAATACCACCAGCATAGTAACTTCTGTAAAACTCAGGTGAGATCAAAACACAGCTCTCCTCAAAACCCTTCAGTGAATGCTCAGTTCAGGCAAAACCCATCAGTGCAATCAAATGTCATCCAGAATCTGACTCAAGTAGCTTTGATTCCTTTCTCTCTCTTTATTACGGCTCCTGGTCTTCAAACCATCCCATGCAGTGAAATTTCTTTATTCCAGTCCTATACCCACTTTTAGCATTTTTTAGCACTATACTGTATAGATAATTAATAGAGTTATAGTTAAGAGGCTGTATAGGATTGTAGTTAAAAAGGCAGGTTCTGGCACCAGACTTCTTTGGGTTCAAATCCCAGTTTTGTCATTTACTGTTGGGCATTGAACAAACTGCTTAATGTCTCCATATTTTGTTTCTTCATCTGTTGTGGTAATGACTGCATAAGTTAATATAGGGAATCTCTAACAGTGCTTGCACACTCTCTAAATGTCAGCTATATGAGATAGTATTTCTCCCCACCCTGTACCCATCTCCACTGTGTAGCTCCCTAAGAGCCGGGAAAATACGTCATTTTTTTTTCCATATCTCTGTAGCACACAGCATGGGGAATAAGCAATTTATGCTTTCAGAGAGAAGTAGTTATATGGAAATTATGTTTTACCAATAAATCTAATTTCCAAAGGAGGATGAAAATAGAACACGTGTATGAAGCCCTCATGAGCAGCAAACCATCTGAGAACATTTTAACTCTGTCTTATGGCACTTATAGCCTGACCTGTTCCCCGTAGAATATTTGCAGAGGATCTTGGCTTTAAAATCCTCACATCAGCCGTGGCCACCTTGCCTCCCTTGGGTCCCTCCCTAGTTGTAACCACTGGTATCAAATCTGTAGGTCTCCTGTAAATTTTTCATTTCATCTTCATAAACAGGTCTTGGCAATCCTTAAATGTTAGCACATGTAGATCTACCAGATTCCTCTTAGCAGTCTACATTTTGTGATGTTTATATACCATAATATGAATACATTATCAATATTCTTAAGAAGAAAATATGTATTTCCTATGTCTTTCCTATTAAACATTCTTAAATGTGTCTCCTTAGGCACATTTATGGTACATAAGAATCTTAAATTTTAACAGATATTTTCAAATTACTCTGCAAAATGGCTACACAAATTCACATACATACAAGCAATAAGTGAGAGAAGAGTTCCACATCCTGTTGATAATATTTAATTTAAATCAGACCCTCATATTTTTAACCATGTTGTTGGATGAAAATATTTTTTACTTGTATTTTTCCAGTCCATGATTATTAATTTTCTATCACATATTCTAACACTTCTTGCATTTGTTTTCTTCTACTGATACAAAATTTATAGGTAAATATGAAGTATTAACATGAATCTCACTACTTAGAAATGGTTCAGTGGCTTATGCACGTAATCCCAGTGCTTTGGGAGGCCGAGGCGGACAGATCACCTGAGGTCAGGAGTTCGAGACCAGCCTAGCCAACATGGTGAAACCCCGTCTCCACTAAAAATACAAAAATTAGCTGGGTGTGGTGGCAGGTGCCTGTAATCCCAGATACTCGGGAGGCTGAGGAAGGAGAATCACTTGAACCCGGGAGACAGAGGTTGCAGTGAGCTGATACCGCACCACCACACTCCAGCCTGGGTGACAGAGCGAGACTCTGTCTCAAAATAAATAAACAAAATAAATAATAATAATAATAATAATTTCATCCAATAGCGTAAACTTGGCTTATTTCTACTGTTTGAGATATGGGCACTCTAGATATTTTTAATTTTTTATAATTATATAAAATGGTAACTTAAACACGATTACATCTGCATAGTTGAATACATAGAATCATAGAATCAAATAATACAACATAAATTTAGTTTACTATTAAAAGTTGTATGTATAATTTCTTCAGGCTTTTGATTTAAAAACCTTCAAAGAAATCAAGAATTAATGTTAATATTTTTAAATTACTTAGCATAAATCCTGGAACTTAGAAGATTTCAAAAAAATAACAGGGATATTTAATGTTGCTATTACTATCACTTTCATTATTATTACTTACATATATTATTACTATTTATATTTTATGGAGGGGAAAAGCTTTCCCCTTTTTATCTTTTTCTTATATCTCTATCTTGGGTCACTCCCAGGTGTACTGCCCATGTTTATTTTCTTTTTGAATACTTATTTCCTTATTGATCTTTAAACTTGGCCTGCCCAGACTCCTTGTTTTTTTGTCATTCCAAGACCTTTTGTGTCATTCAGCTCTCAAATTACTTAAGCTAGGTAAAGAAGAATCATTGGTCATTGTATAGAGTTTTAAACATATGTAACTAAAATAAATAGTAAATTTCAATGGATGTGGATTTCATGAAAGAAAGTTGTCTTAAAAATAATTAATAATTGTATTGGAGATATATATATATATATATGTAATGTTTGAACTCTGTTAGTTTGCCTTCTATGTGCTATTTAAAAACAAATTTAAAATCTAAAGCAGGATGAAATGTTGATGTGAAACTTTAATTAAGATTGTTATTGAAGGGAATAAATGATTGCTGTGGGAAAGTGGTGCAATTTGAGTTGGAAAAATAAATCATTAGCTACCAAGGAATGGTAGGGAAGCACCACCTTCATACAGATATCAAAAGCAATGAACTTAGGGCTTGGTGGTAATATTAGAACCTCAAGTATTTGTAAGAAAGAATTATTACTATTTGGGACTAAGTCCAGAGTACTGAAACAAATTAAAATTGGCATAGTTGGACAGGTACATCTTAATAAAAGAGGGCGCTAATATTACTTTGCCTTCAGACCTGAAATCTTTGTCTCTGCTTCTCCCTAACCTTTTCACATGCCTGCTAACAAAAAATCTTGGAAATTTTGAATATAAAGATAGACAATATTCCAGGAAACAGGATTGGGATTTTAAGCAGAAAGCAAGTACATATTAACATTCTGTAGACCTGAAAAGTTGCTTACTCCTCTGTTCTGCTTTCCCCTCCATAAAATATACATAGTAATAATATCAACCAATAATATTGATAAGAATAAATACTTAAAAGAGTGAAACATTTAAATGTTAGGAAATTAAATTTATCTTTCAAATTATCATGTTATTTGGCTTATATTTGTTTAGGTAAAATGCATGTTACTCTTAAAGTATATTTATGTGCAATTTTGATTATGTGTATTTTTCCACTTATAAAAATATGTTTAACTCTTATACATGCATTTATAGTTCCACCTATAACATGTAATTTTCCACCTATCTCTCTACTTAATTGTTTAAAGCCTCCTCAAAGAGAGGTAATATGCCTGATTTATCTCCATCTCTGGACATTGTCTTGTGTTGTAGTTATTTGGTAAATGTTTAATGAATTATTAAACACCATAAAAGAAAATCTTTAAATCAAAATTTTAAAATGAGCAATGTGAATAATCAAGGATGTTTTCTAGCTTTGATTTTATAGAAGAATCAATAGATTGAAACTTACAACTCCTAACATAAGTTGTAGCTCTGATTCTAGGTTTTCATTTACTTCAATTACCAGTGGACATAGGGAATTCATGTGACAGCAAAGAGAAGCTGATGTTTGTTTGAAAAAAAAAAAAGAAAAATATGTTATAGTCTTTGCATAGAAAGCTTGTACCACATTCAAGTCCCCTCTCCCAACATACAATTTCACACTTTTCTTATATCTCTATCTTGGGTCACTCCCAGGTGTACTGCTCATGTTTATTTTCTTTTTGAATACTTGTTTACTTATTGATCTT
Organism: Homo sapiens; assembly: GCF_000001405.40. Classification (NCBI taxonomy): domain Eukaryota; kingdom Metazoa; phylum Chordata; class Mammalia; order Primates; family Hominidae; genus Homo; species Homo sapiens. The sequence continues at coordinate 211,914,093 of NC_000002.12, read as the reverse complement.
TAAACTTGGCCTGCCCAGACTCCTTGTTTTTTTTTTTTTTTTTTGTCATTCCAAGACCTTTTGTGTCATTCAGCTCTCAAATTCTATTTCTTGTCCTTGACTTTTTTACTACTTTCCTTTATTTTCTCCACTTATTTGATTTTTGTTTTCCTTTTTGACATCTTATCTTGTTAAATTACCTATTTTCTATTGTTTTATTTGAGGTGTTCATTCCTAATTTAAAATTTTTCTAATTTTATATGTTTAATCACAAAGAAAAATTTGTTAATTTTGTTTATTTTCTAATTGATACACTCATAGTCAATAGAAATCATAGCATTCAGTTCTTTCATTTTTCAAATAATAAGAAAGGCCCATACGTGATAGACACTATACCAAATTTTATTGCTCTCTCTCTCTATGTATATATACACATACACACACACATACACACATACACACACACACACACACACACACACACACACACACACATATATATATATATTTTTTTGAAATAGAGTCTTGCTCTGTCGCCCAGGCTGGAGTGCAGTGCCATGGTCTTGGCTCACTGCAACCTCCACCTCCCGAGTTCGAGCGATTCTCCTGCTTCAGCCTCCTATGTAGCTGGGATGACAGGCACGCACCATCACACCTGGCTAATTTTTGTAGTTTTAGTCGAGACGAGGTTTCACCATTTTGGCCAGGCTGATCTCGAACTCCAGACCTCAGTGTGATCCGCCCGCCTCAGCCTCCCAAAGTGCTTGGATTACAGGTGTGAGCCACTGCACCCGGCCTATTGCTTTTAATATTTTTAAAGCATGTACAAATTGTCCTCAAAAGGCCACATTCTATGTTTATTATTGTAAATAGATTTTCTTATTTATTCCTCACAACAGCTTCATGAGATAATATTGTGGGGACCAAGGCCCTTAGCCCCCTAAAGGTTCTCTGAAAAATCACTGACAAGAGGCAGATTGATTAACAGGAGAAAGGTATACACATTTATTTAACCTGTACAGATGGGAGCCTTCAGAATGACAACCACGCCCCTTATGAGGTACAGAAGCTTATATACCATCTTGAGGTTATAAACAGAATGTTGGCTCAGAGCACGGCCAAATGATTTATGCTGGTAAATCAGATTTTAGTGGCAAGACAGGTGATGATAGGGAGAAAGAAAGAGTCCTGCCTGTCAAAAGTGGCTGTGCTATATAGATGAACCCTCACAGGTAGCATCTCTCAGAGAGAATAGATGGTAAATGTTTCTTTTCAGGTCTTTAAAAGTGTCAGGCTATCAGTTAACCTCTCCTAGATCTCAGAAATGCCTAGAAAGAGAAGTCCTGGCTACATCAATGGAAATTCTCCACAGATGCAAATTTTCTCTACAAAAGATGGCTTTGCAGAGCCACCTCAGTCTGTTGTCCCTGTAGCAGCCATTTCAAATTATGTCAAAGAGATATATTTTGGGGTAAAATATTTTGATTATCTTCATTAGTATATCTCAATTTTGTCAATACAAACCTGAGAGTTATAGTCAGAGGTTGAATTTTCATTTCAAAATGTTTTCCTAGTTTTTTTTCTCTTTTTTGTTTTATTGTAAGTTGACAATTTATAATTGTATAAAAGTATGAGGTACAAAGTGATGTTATAGCTTAAGAATACAGTATGGTATGATTAAATCAAGTTATTAACCTATCCTTCACGTTAAATGCTTAAATTTTTTGATGAGAACATTTGAAATTTACTCTTGGAAGGTAAAAAAAAAATCTCAGGACCCCCCAAATTAAAGCCATGAAGCTGAATTGTGCAACATCCTCTTCCAAATGGAAGCTTGTCTTCCAGGTACAGAACAAAAACAAGACTCATTTCTTCACCTGCCTAAAGATGTGCACATAATTGGCTCCTCCTTTACTCCCTTTTTCTCTTCTAACATTCACTATATCTTGTGTAAAATGTAGATTTACTGGACACTAACTAAAATTTCACAGGGTTGTACCCATTTGCCTTACTGCCTACCTACCTGTCTTCCTACGTACCTTCTCCCCACTTTAAGGAATGCATACATATTAAACCTCCCAAAAACCTCTTTAGAAAAATAGCCACAGGTTTATCTGTGGCTGGTGTGTTTCCCTAGATGCACTCTAAAGCTGGCTTAATAAACCTCAGTGATTGAAACTTATGCCTCAATCACTCATTTTGGTTGTCACTGTCTTACCAATTTGAAATGTAAAATATTCTACTACTAATTATATTTACCACATTGTGCAACAGAACTCAAAAAAAAAAAAAAGAAAAGAATAAAACCTCTCCTGTCTAACTGAAATTTGTAACCTTTGATTATCATCTCCCCATTTTCTCCAACCCCCAGTCTCTGTAACCACCAATCGCTGTTTCTGTGAGATTATTTTAGATTCCATATTTAGGTCCATTTTCTCCATCACATTATTTCTTATGTTGATTTTACATTGGCTTCTGCAAGTCATTTGAACAAATATTGCCATTCAAAATATTTAATAAAATATTGATACGCTAAATTGTGAAAAGTAGGCTGGGCATGGTGGCTCACTCCTGTAATCCTAATATTTTGAGAGGCAGAGGTGGAAGGATTGCTTGAACCCAGGAGCTGGAGACCAGCCTGGGCAACTTAGGGAGACTCCATCTCTACTAAAAATTTAACAAGTAGCTGGGCATGGTGGCAGGCACCTGTGGTCTCAGCTACTCTAGAAGATGAGTGGAAGGATCACTGGAGCCCAGGTGATTGAGGATGCAGTGATCTATGATCAAGCCACTACACTCTAATCTAGGTGACAGAGCAAGGACCTGTCTCAAAAAACAAAAAAGTTATGAAAAGTAGCAGAATGAAGATGTCCATGTTTGCATCAGAGAAATTAAGCCAACTTTTAAAAAAGACTGTCGGGCTCTTCAAATTAATACTTATTTTTGACTTACTACCCATTATAGAATGTTTGTGAAATACAGAGAGCAAACTATACATATTCCTTACCTAAATAAATAAAGGAGTTCATTTACTAGTGAAAACAGCTAGTTGGAAATCTATAACAAAATAAATGTATTTTGTTCTCATAAACATTGATGCTGCAGGCTGTGATGTTGCCAGGCAGAGATGATGGTTATTACCAAGAAATGGTTAGCACTGTTCTGTTTTGTCAAGTATGAATAATGTAAAATAATATAGTCACATTATTTTGAATAAAGGAGTTTACTTTAAGAAGGATAAGAGATGTAATAATATTGACTTATTGTTCCCTTATAAAATAATTTTAAATTCATTTTAGTTACATGGGTCTAGTGCTGATAACGTCTGAATAATAGGAAATTAATTTAAAAGAATGACAAAAGCATGAATATAACGGTTTTTTAAAAACTTTTAAGTTTAGGGGTACAAATGCCGTTTGTTATATAGGTAAACTTGTCCCATGGGGGTTTGTTGTACAGATTATCTCATCACCTGGGTATTAAGCCTAGTGTCCTTCAGTTATTTTTCCTTACCCTCTCCATCTTCCCACCCTCCACCCTGCAAAAGACCCCAATGTGTATTATTCCTCTCTATGTGTCTATGTGTTCTCATTATTTATCTCCCACTTATAAGTGGGAACATGCAGTATTTGCTTTTCTGTTCCTGTGTTAGTTTGCTAAGGATAATGGCCTCCAGCTCCTTTGGTGGAGGCCATTATCCTTAGCAAACTAACACAGGAAGAGAAAGGACGTGATCTTGGGAAAGGTCTCATATCCAGCCTCTACAAGAAAATTAGACAATATTATTATGTTTTATGGCATAGTGAGAAAGATAAAACTATTTTAACTTAATGTGAAATCAGAATTAAACTATAAGCTAATCATCTGCAAATATGAACAATTTAAATTTATTAAAGTTGGCCAGGCATGGTAGTTTATGCCTGTAATCCCAGCACTCTGGGAGGCTGAGGTGGGTGGATCACCAGAGGTCAGTTCAAGACCAACCTGGGCAACATGGTGAAACCCTGTCTCTACTAAAAATACGAAAATTAGCTGGCCATGGTGGTGCATGCCTGTAGTCCCAGCTACTTGGGAGGCTGAGGCAGGAAACTTGCTTGAACCTGGGAGGCGGAGGTTGCAGTGAGCCGAGATCACGCCACTGCACTCCAGCCTGGGTGACCAAGCAAGACTCTGTCTCAAACAACAACAACAACAAAAATTTATTAAACTTAACTTATACAGAAAGATTGTCCAGACTATGGAAAGTATATTAATTAGTAGATAAAATTAGACATTCTTGTCATTTATCTTAGTTATCTTCTCCTCACATCGAGTATTTAAATGGAAAAGTAATGAGTGTACACACACACATAAACCTACATACACACAAACACACATACAGTCATGTGCCACCTAACAACATTTTCATCAACAGCACATTACATATACCATGGTGGTCTCAAGATTATAATTAACTGCAAACTCCATTCGTGGTAAGTGCCTTATACAGGTGTACCACTTGTAACCTTTTATACCATATTTTACTGTACTTTTTCTATGATTAGATACACAAATACTTGCCATTGTCTTTATAATTGTTTATAGTATTAAGTACAATACCATAATGTACGGATTTATAGTCTAGGAGCAATAGGCTATATCATTTCTCCTAAGTGTGTAATAGGCTATACCATCTAGGTTTGTGTAAATACAGTGTACTTTACGATGTTCACACGATGACAAAATTGCCTGACAATGCATTTCTTAGAACTTACCCCAGGTATTAAGTAACACGTGACCATATATAAATAGATATAATCATGACCTAATGATAATTATGGAAAAATAAAAATATTAAAGCAATTGAATACATAAATCCAACCAACATTGTTTTATTTCCTCGTTGCCAGGAAATATTTGTCAAAAAGGGTGCTGGAAAAGGTATGCTTTGAAATAGCTTATGGATATTTATTGCAGAGAATATTTCACACTATAAAGACATTGAATACTATCATAACAGACTAAGCATATATGAACATTAATATTCAGGGTATGTAGCTTACTTGTTTATAATATTCTAATAATTTACATGGGACATTAGCTTTTATGTATCAGTTAATATTTTACATTTTTCAATCAGTCTTTAAGTTACATATAAGAAACCAGTTATAACATATATAATTTTTAAATTTTTTTATTAGCTTAGAAATGTACTCTTATCTAGCTTATAATATATATTAATTTTTTATTTGTGATACAGTTATTTCAAGATGAGATAAATAAAGGCCAAGTCTATGCTGTTCATATGCTTCTGGATGATCTTACAACACAAAAGAGGAATAAATGTCTTCATGTTTGTACTACAATTGCCTCTGCATTTTTATCACTTATTGGTGAGAACAATTTGCTACAAAGCAATAATAAAACGGAATGTAATCAAATGTCACTATGGTCTGTTATATTGCAGTAATGTCAAATAAGAATAATAGGTTTCATAAAATGCTGGGCAAATCTGAGAACAACCTGATTCAGTGGGTGTTCGGAATCATGGCTCAATAAATTGTATTCATATACATTTGGTATACACTCACCGATATATAATAAGCTATGTCTGTGATTTTATTTAATTATATACGATTTTTTCCACAGTAGATTATTGAAGGACTTTATTAAGTAAGGTTTTATGAGCCAAAATTCCTCAATAGATTTGAAACCCCAAGTATAATAGTAGAGAGAAAATCTACGTAATTGTTCTTCATCCTAGGGTCCTTTGTCAGAGAAGAAAAAGGGACCAGTTCTGTGCCCTGTTGTGGTCCAAATATACAATACTTTAGAAAGATAATGTCAGGAAAATCAACTAATTGCAGAACATAAATTCTAAGACAAAGTGTCACTGTAACTGTGATCTTCTGAATGTTTACACCTGTCATCAACACCCAAGCTCTCCTTAACCGCTCAGGGCCCATTGGGACTTTCAGAGCTTAGGTCCTGGCTTCCAGACTGGTGAACTCTAATGCCTCCCCTCTCTTGTGTTGTCTGTATAAAGTAATTCACCTTGTATTTGAAGGAGATACCTAAATATGTTTTTTTTTCCAGTGCTCCAATAAAGGTACTCTTAGAAACAAAGATACATGGATTTAGGCTATAAAGTTTCAGTATGAAGTCTCAGTAGCCCGTGTGTGCAAAGTAAAGAAATCTCTGCAAGATAAAACATGCTGTATAACTTTTTGCATAAGGTTTTAATTCTTCCAAAAATGATTTTTAGCTTAAACTCCCAAACTTAAATACCTATCAGTGCCAAATTAATTGTATACCTGTGTGAATTGAAATGACCTATAACACTATGGAGAGTTGTGGGGTTTTGTGGGTTCTAGAAAGACAAAACTTACTACCTAAGTCCCTCAACTTTATTTTTTTTTAAATAGGTATAGTCTGACCAAACAAAGTATCTCTGACTTCTGGGTTCTTCAGTATGTGACTGTGATAGAGTGAAGCTCATAGTATTCAGCACCAAAACTGTAATCCTAAATATCCAAGTAGAAAGAAAAAAAGAGTCTGGCCTCTGCATAGTAAGATAAGGAATGGTAAAATAAAATGACTTGATCTTCTTCCAAGACAAATAATCACTTTCAACTCTGGGTTTGATAGGCTTATATGGTCTCTAGTATTCTGGCTAGTACTGTGGGTCTATACAGCAGTAACCAAAGGAAAAAAAAAAAAGGCAAAAGCCATGCTTTTCAGTGCCTACTTGATCATAGTGGAGTGGACCCATAAAGGTGGGGAAAATTTATTTCTGTCTGAAGAAAATAAATTGACATCAGCAGTTCATTCAGTCCCCTGGCTTCAGAGATCATCTAGATGCTGAAGATTCCCAGTGCCTTTCTCTATTCTTTAACTCTCCCTTAAACACAGACTCATTTAGTATTCAGCTGCCTTGTCAATATATTTTTCTTAGATATTATATTTAGTGAAAATACAAGCTAAGCTTCTGTTAAAAAGAGACCCCAAGATATATTGACTTAAGAAATGTATCAGTTAATCTCGCTGATGTAGATGAGCAAAGCTGGTAGGACAACTCTGTTATGTTAGACATTTAGTGGCTGGAATGGAAAAAAGGTCAGAAGAACACAAATATCATTATTTTAATGGCACAATCAAGCGCTGGTACACACCACTGCCTCTTTATACCAATGACCATAACTAAGGCACATAGACATGCCAAACTTCAAGAGAAGCTAAGAAATGTGCCCAACTTCAACACAGGAGGCCTTTTATTAAAAGACAAGATGCCATTATCCTTAGCAAACTAATGCAGGAACAGAAAACCAAATACCCCATGTTCTCACTTTATAAGTGGGAGCTAAGTGATGAGGACACATGGACACAAAGAGGGGAATAACAGACACTGTGGCCTACTTGAGGGTAGAGGGTGGGAGGAGGGAGAGGATCAGAAAAAAAATAAATATTGGGTACTAGGCTTAGTACCTAGGTGATGAAATAATCTGTACAACAAAGCCCCATGACATGAGTTTATCCATACAACAAACCTGCACATGTATCCCTGAACCTGATAAAAGATATTTATGATATCTATCTATCATAGATATCAATATTTATACTTTCTTCTTTTAAACTTAGATCGTACTCTGACAGCAGGTATCCCATAACTATCTATAATATTAACATGTACAAAAATGGAACTCTTGATTTTTTCTTCTAAACATGCTTCCTCTATAGTTCGTTCCATTTCTGTGAATGTGAGCTATGTTCCTCAATTGCTCATGACAAAATCTTCAGGTCGTCTAGAATTATTTTCCTTTTTTATTTATGACTTCAAATTATTTTCATCAGTAAATGTTGCCACTCCATTTATATTAAATATATGCAGAATCCTACATGTCTCTGCACATCCAATGCTTCCACTATGGTACAATCATGGTTATTTCTAACCTGGATTATTAGAGTAGCTTCTAAACTGGTCTTCCTACCTCCAACCTTGCCTTCCAACAGTCTATTTTGTACACAACAGCCATATGCTGCTTTTCAGATTGTGACACTTCTCGAATGTATCTCTCTCTGGGTTGAGTAACTCACAAGGCTGTAGGTGTGCTACCTCTGTTGTTCTTCACACTTTAATCTTTTCCCCTCTCTCCCTTTCTCACTGCATTCCAGCCATACTGTCCTGGCCTCCTGGCCGCATCTCAAGTGCACAAACACCCTACCTCTTTGGTGCCTTTGAACTTTTTGCTCTCTCTGCTTGAAATTGTCCCCCATAAACTCTGTTTCAATTTTTCACCTTCTTTAAGTGTTTTTCCAAATGCCACCTTTTCAAAGAGACTTTCTCTCATCCTATGTGTTGTATACATAATAGTATATATATATATATATATACACACACATGCACACACATACACACACATATATACACACACATACACACACATATATGTGTGTATATATATATATATATATATATATATATATATATGATCCTTCCTACTTTACTGCTCTTCATGTCATAGGTATATATAGTTTTTATGTATTTATACAGATACTTAAAACACTTCCAAACATTAAATTGCATTGAACATAGTAGTGGCTTTAAAATTATCATTTGAGAGGTAGATGGTAGTCAAAATAATGGCTCCTCAAGATACCCACATCCTAATCCCCAGAACCTGTGTTAGGTTACATGGCAAAAGGGAATTAAAGTTGCAGATGAAATTGTTTGCTAATCAGCTGACCTTAAAATAGAAAGGTTATCCTGCATCATCTGGGTGGTCCCAGTGTAATCCTGAGGGTCCTTAATAGTGGAAGAGAGAGGCAGAAGGGGAGAACAGAGTCATGGCAACATGAGAAGGCTTTGGAGATGGAAGGAAGGGGACTATGAGCTAAGAAATGCAGACAGTCTCTAGAAGCTGCAAAAGGCAAGTGAACAGATTGTTCTCCGGACCCTCCAGAACCCTGCTAACCCTGCTAGCATCCTAATTTTAGCCCAGCAAGACCCATTTCAGACTTGTGAACTCCAGAATTGTAAGGCAATGAATGTGTGTTGTTTAAAGCCATTAAATTTGCGGTAAGTTTGTGCTGTTTTTTACAGCAGCAATGCCAGACTAATACAAAGAACAACATATATTAAAGTTGAATGTGATTTGGATATTCTCTCAGCTATGTGAGCCATTTGCCTGAGTCAGTGATTCTTACAGTATCTGTGAGAATCTTTTCAATTACTAATGCTGACCATAAACAACAACAACAACAAAACTTACCACACGTAATTCCTGTCTAACCTAAAATAGTACCCATCTTTCCATAAATGCTAATTATATACTAGTGAGTGAAGGTAATTGTTCTCTGTTGGTCAGTGACCACCAATAAAATAAATATAGTGATTAACTGTAAAATTAGTAGACAAGTATGCTTTTATGAATTCAAGTAAGATTTCTGATAAAATAAATTATAATTTTGCTTTTTATTTCTTCACTGAAACTATTAATCAACTGTGGGATAGTAATAATGTAATAATTAATATTTATTTAGCACTAAGTGTGAGCTAAGTGTTTTATATACATATATTATGTTTAAATGTCATCCTAGTAATATGGCTTTGAGATAAGTTCTACTGTATGGTATTTTATAAAATGAGAAAATGGAGATACAAAAATATTAAGGTAATTTGCTAAAGTTCCATTAGTAAGCATTTTGGAGAAAGAATTTTTCTCCTAGAGTTTCAGCCTGAATATGGGTCCATTTATGCTTTAAAATCTTGGATTGTTAGAAATTGAAAAATCTTCTGGAGATAGAGAGCTACTGTTCAAGAATGTACATGAGTTCATTAGTTTTTGAGGTTTTTGTTTGCAGTGTTCGGTTCTCTACATTTTAAGAGAGCTGGTTTATATTATGCTCTGTGTGCATGTTTATGTGTGAATGTGTGTGTTAGTGTGTTGCTTTCACAGCTGCTAAACATGCACCTGCATCAGACTGAATCCAGCTAAAACCCACTATTAGTGCATATTATCTTCAATACTTGGAACAGTATTTATTTGCCTTTGACATTAGCGGCTGACCCTGATGTTCCTTTATCTTTAAACAGCCAATCTTCTTTTCAGAATATTCTTCTTATAGCACTATATTTAGCTAATAATTTGATGTGTTGTAATTTTGTTCTTTCAGCTAGTTTTGAGTTCTAGCAATTTAAAATCTGTTTGATATAATGAAATAAGATATATAAGAATATGTCCCTAGGATATATCAGCAGTTGTGTTTCTTTTCTTTTCTTTTCTTGTTAATCTGGTATATTCTTGCAACCAAGAAGGTGAGCTTTAAGTAAAGGTGCTTTTTTTTTTCTTTTTTAATTGTGTAATCAATGCTACAGAGTGAAATCGGCATTTAATACAAACCTCTTTTTTTATCAGTATATTGTTTAGGCAACAAGTTAAATTCATGCCCACAAAGGGATTAAATATTGGCATTTCTTGTTGGGTTTCTCTTTTGAAAAACAGTCACTAACATATTTATTGATTACCCATTTCAATAGAAACCATGTGTGCAAAATTTAAATTGTTTACTCAAGTAGATGAAGGATATTTAGAAAACCAACCAAAATTTCATGAGAAATACATTGAATTTAAAATTTCATGTATATTACTCTCATGAATTGGTCTTTCTTTCAAAGTCAGATTTCTGTTGCAACTTGTTCATTTAGATTTTCATATTTTGCTTAGATGTTTCTTTTCCATGCCTGCCTTGCACCCAAAAATCATTTTCCAGGGATTAAGTCAAGCTGATCAAATTTAGTTAAACTGTAGGACATTAAAATATACTTCATTCAATATGATATTTAATTTAACATTATAAAATTAAGATGTAAATACAAAGTTTGTTTTCATGCTTCTCAATTCATCACATATTGGTTAATTACTGAGAGCCTATTCAAGCAGTACTTTTGGAACTGAGTAATAACATTTATTTGCCACTCAATCTGATGATTTGAAGAAAGAAACATTGTGGCAAATGTGGAGGGAAAGAGACTTATTTTAAGTTACTTAAATCAGCTGAAAGAGGGGAGAATAAAATGCAATAGAAGAGCTATATATGAGACATTGCAGAAGAAAGTTTGACATAATTAATTTGTGATATATTTCAGTGAAACAATGGCATATAGATTGAGATTACAGAGATAATTAGTTTTACTGAGTGAAGATTTTTAGTTTTCTAAAGAAAAGTAATTATATATTAAATAGTAAAATGGTACTTTCTGAGTTGTTTTTAAATATAGTTTTTGCTTTGTGTTGCTCTTAATTTCTAGCCATTTCATTACCAGTAATGCTGATTAAAATATCTGACTCTATAATCTATGATTTTTTATAGTTCAAAATAGTCTGATAAGTATATAGAAGGATATGAAAACAAAATTTTTAAGAAAAAAATATACATAGAAGGAAAATTACTCAATTTTGAGACTTTATTAACCAGTAAATTTGCTTCTCAATACTTTATTTGCCCAGATATTTAAAGAATTCAGAAGGAAAGAAGAAGGAAAAAATCAAAACTCATTCTAGAAAATTTATTTCTTTTCAATAGCTCTTTTTTCTCTTACATATACATAGAAAAGATGTTTAGTTTAAAATAATGTGTTTAAATTATTTTTTATCACTTCACTATAATTTAGTTCTTAGCTGCCAATAACTATTTTGTACAGTATTAGTTGGTGTGAAATAGGAACCAAATTTTTCCACTGTTATATATTACAGATGTTAATATCTATAATATATTAAAAATGCTTGCTTGTTGTTTTATTTCTGTGTTTACTGTTAGAAAAAACTCCCCTTAAAATACCGTTATACCGTTTCATTAGAAACATTTTCTATTTAGTTATAATTTAATAAAAATGTCATTGATTGGTGTTTTATTTGTTTTTTCGCAAAATAGTCTTTGTGGAGGCACAGAGAACAAGGGGTAATCCCTGCTCAAAGAAGCATGTATAGTACAATGAAGAGATCACATATTTAAACCAATCATACAAATGAGCAAAGCAACACTGGAGAGAAGTGAGGGAGTTGCCATGTATATGAATTAGGAAGGTTGGAAAGCTTTCTAACTAAAAAAAAAACTATTTTGTGAGTCTCAAAACATAAGAAAAATTATGACAAATAACAGAACATAAAAGTGGTACATAATTTATAACACAGCCACCCAAGAATCTATACCTACACACCATGTCTAAGGAGTTGCAATTTTTTAAAAACATTGTAAATTAAGTACATTAATGTTTATGTAAAAGCAAATTTTTTTTGACTCTACAAATAATGCTCATGGGTGCAGCATTCTTTATTCATCAAGTGCCATTTTTAACTGGAGTTTTAATATCAAGGATGATAAATATAGGAAAAAAGCTATTAGGCTGTCAATTTTCCTTGACAAGTCCTAACATGCCAGATGTATGCATAGTAATAAACACTCCCGTTATATGCGATGCCTTAATCTCTGAGATGATGATGTTGAAAAACACCACAGATAACATCTTGAGATGGGATAAACATGTGCAAGTGGTGAGGTGGCCACAGTGAAAAGCAGAGTTATGGCAGAGTTACCCTTCGGTAGTCATTGGATGAGAAATTTCCCCAGGTGGGTAATGCTTGCAGAAGGACATTTGGAGCGCTCCTTCAGGTTATCTCCGTGGGCTCTGACAGCAGGTCACTGACTATTCCTGCCAGGATCAGCGCCCACACACAGTGTAACACCATGCACCTGTCATGCTTCCAGAAGGAGCTGATGCATCTACTTACCAGACAGTTTTTTAAATCTATCACATTAAAATGCTCATTTATTGAATGTAATTTCTATTTAAAAAGAGAGCAAATGCCATTACAGGTGAAGAAAATGAATTTCAAAATAGCTAAGTGACTTATTCAAGGTTACAGGGCTCACAAAAACAGACCTAAGACATATCCTCTGGGTTTTTGGCATCAAGAACATGATCCTACCACTCTTTGAGAGAAGCCTATGCTCTCATTCACCATCATCATTTATTTACATGTCCAAATGAAAGAAAAATAACATACAAATTTCTTTCAAAATAGAAAACATTTTATAGTATATAATATTTGTAAAATCAAGCTGAGCTATTTAACTGATTTTTAATAAACATGTTTTGCCTCACTCCATTCATAGTGGAAGGGGTAAATATGATGGTCTTGAATCCTAATATATGATATTGAAATAGAGGAGATGATAGCCTGGGAAATATTGCTCAGGAAAATAGAAAATGCCACTCTATGTAGAATAATCCTTCTGATTAAAATTCAGTAATTGAGTGTTTACATTTCTGAAAGGAGGCATTGCCAGTATCTAGTAAATAAACTGGGTTACTTATAAACAGTGGACATGTGACAAGTCTTGGGGAGACATTTATTCTAAGTGCCTTGAGTCCATGTCCTGTATAGAGCCTTAGTAACTTGCTAAATATAACACTAGGATTTGAAAATAAAATTATCTCTCATAATGAATAATCAAAAAAGTCAGCAAACTCTTTACTAAAGCGTAATTACTTAAAATAGAGTTACTTTGAAGGACCCGCTTTTCAATAGAAAAATTGAGTTTGACTGGTTTGACATCATTCTTTCAAATTCCTGCAAACAGGAACCTTTTTTTTTCTAGGTTTGTACTTTTAAAGAGCAATGAGTTTGTTTTACTTTCATCTATGTTCTAGTCTATTATGAGGAAGGCAAAATGGTGTGTGTGTGTGTGTGTGTGTGTGTGTTTAAACATAAAATAGTAATTAGACTCTGACTGGGCAGCAGAAAGGTTAAATGTTCAATCTGTGCTATTTTAAGACATGGGAACAACTGCTTTCTCTGTGTTGATACGCTCAGAAGTCCCTGTTAGTATGAGGAGAATTTCTAATTGAGAATGCAAGAGCCGCTTAATGTTTTTGAAGTTCTTCGTAAATGAGCCTCGTATTTAGGAATCACTTTAAAGTTCAGGACACTCCTGGGTATTTATATTTGGCATACTGCCTGTGATGGAAAGTTGAGGCCTCGGGTTACTGTGTGCAGAGCAGCCCCTTCTGTGGGAATTGGCATAAGACACCTTGTCTACTGATGGAAGAGTGGCATTAAAACTGCACTCTAGTTTTAACAGGAGGGGTGCTCAAGAAACTTACTTAAAAGTACAATACTGAGTTTATAAGTTTGGTTAAGTTTGCCTTTCCGTTTATTCCAATTTTAGATATTAATTTTTCATCAATAATATAGCATTTTATTAGCTGCCAGTCAAGACAAATTAATATATTAAACTTAACAGTAACCACTTTCAACATATCAAATTACTATGCTTAGGGAAGTAGCAATCTATCATTAAGAAAAATAAGTGATGATTAGTGGCAAGCTCAGGTTACCAGAACCATTACTTTTTCTATTAAGGAATTATATGGGCAAACTAGAATGCTAGTCTTGGCCCCTCTTGAAAATTTATTCTATAACCTGTAAATCACAATAACATATCACTAGAGACATGAACAAACTTTTTATCAAATGTAAGTACTATAAAACAGTACTGTCTAATTTTACAGGTCTGCTTGACAAGAAAGTATTACTTTAAAAATTTAATAAATTACTTTGTGATTGGTTTCGTAATTTCTGTTTAGGGGTAACAGTCTGTTAACTTGCTCTTCAATTCAACTTTTATTAGAAAAAATATAATGTCATATAAAATGTTACTGGTAGATGAATTGCCCGAATTTAAAATATGATTTTAGAACTGAAATAAAATAAATGTGACTTTCATATGGCAGTTAGTTTACTAATGCCGTAGAGAAAATAGATAGAGGAAATGAAGATAGCTTCATTTTAAACCATGAATTCTATAGTCATTTCAACAAGTACATCAGATGAAATGTGAAGGAATTAATTCCTTGAGTGCTCATAAGTTTTCCTATAAATTAGATAAAACTTTGAGTTGTAATGGCTGATTATTATAACTTCCAAGAATCCCACGGTTGTTGAATGAAAGTCTTGAACATCTGAGTTTTTGTCTTGCTTCTCTTCTTTTCAAATGCCCAAATTGACTCATGTGTTAATTTAGAAAATATTTATTGTTATAATAGGTAAGGTACTGGGCAAAACATTATTGAAGTCTATAAAAAGAAAACCAGTAAGTGCAACATAGGAGAAGGAAATTTGAGAATGGTAGTTTGGACGATTGAGTGTGAAGATTCCATGCCACTTGTTTTAATACTGGTCTATAAATACAGCTGTGAACTTTTGTAACTTAAGGTCTGTAGGTCCCATACTTTGAATGATAGGCATGCTACTGGGACACAAGTGACTGACTACAGGAGGTTTCAACAGCAAAAGTAATTACTAATTCTATTCCCATTAGAAGAGAAATATAAATTAGTTAATGATTTTCCTTCCTTATCATTTTTTAATTTAATGATCCTGAAAATGTCAGATAGCTGTTTGCTCTTAGAATTACAAAAGAGTCAAGCAGTGCATTTTTTAAAAACATTTAATGGATTTTTAAGTCACTGTGTCATGAAAGGTTAGCAAATTTCTACAGTCATTTCACTTTAAGTGCAGAAAATGGTTTTTGAATAGACGTCAAATAGTTTTTAGAATTACTTCTATACAAATTACTTTTGTCAGATACATAGTAACCTTACATTCATAATGTATAGACACTTGAAGAAAATCTATTATGCCTCTGTAATATCATTTGTGGAAATGAACTCCAGGTAACTTCCTAATTCTTATGGCTAAAGGCACAAATTAAATATAAAAGAAATATCAATGAAATAACATGTTTAATTCAATCATTAGGCATTCTCTTTGTGCTGTGTTTTATCAAAATGATTAAACTATCTTAGATAAAAACTTTCCTCTAGAAGATTTGGTGTAAGAGAGAATTGGCAGTATCACATTTAAAATAGGCATATTTAGTCTAATGGAAAATAAAAATAAATATTATAATATCTTTTTTAGGCTTTCGAAAGCTACTGACTAACTCTTAAAATGTGTTGATATGATCTATTCATTTCAAAGTTTATTATGCTTATTAGAAAAAAAAATCAGCCTGGGTGAAATGGCTCATACTTGTAACCCCAGCACTGTGGAAGGCCAAGACAGGAGGATCCCTTGAACTCAGGAGTTCAAGACCAGTGTAAACAACAAAGTGAGACCCCTTCTCTATAATTAAAAAAAAATTTAAATATTAACCGGGCACTGTTGTGTGTGCCTGTAGTCCCAGCTACTTGAGAGGCTGAGATGGGAGGCTGAGAAGGGAAGATCCCTTGAGGCCAGGAGTTTGAGGTTACAGTCAGCTATGATTATGCCACTGCACTCCAGCCTAGGTGACAGAATGACACCCTGTCTAAAAACAAAAGCAAAAAACAAAACAAAACAATTAATTAAAAGCAAACAGAATCTTCCCCATTTAAAAAAAGAACAAAAAAAGTAGATAAAAGGTATCTTTAAGAAGGGTTGGGTCAGACCACCAAAGGAAGATTCTGCACATTATTTTTTTCCTGGTTGAGGCAGGGTCAAGGAGGGAAGGCCTGCTGGGTCTAATTCAGAGGCTCCAGCACAGGAAACAAAGTGGGTATATGAATCTAATTTTGCACGTCTGCTTTCATGTTCCCAATTTTGACTTTTCTATTTGCAAAGGATATGTCAGGCAGATTTTTTTTTTTTTTTTGCAAATTATACTTTGTGATCTTACAGGAAGATGAAAAGAGCCCTTCATATGCATCATTATAAAGGTAAAACACTATTGCTTAATTTATTGGTATTTCCACCCAGCTAAGTATCTGTAAACTTCTGGCAGAAGCTAGGAAATTCATTTTTACAGTACTTTCACATGAGATAAATAAGAGCACACTTTCATGAATTCATGTCCATTTTGATGAAAACAGTTGCATGCGTGGGTGTATGTATGTAAGACTATAGTAAAGCAGACTTCAAAAATTTTTATGATATTTTTCTTTAGATTTTTATTAGTGCAATCTTATATTTTTCATAATATAAGAGCTTTAAACATAGTGTTTTTATAATATAGAATATATTCTATACTTATATAATAATTTGTATAATATTAATAATAATTACAGGGCATGTAATGATAAATTGCTGATGAATGCCATTATTTTTAATTTAATATTCACTTCCCCAAAGTTGTATTCTAGAAGATTAAGAGATTTGACCGAGCCAAAAATTTGACTAAGTATTCTCTTGTTAACAAGACCAAATAAATAGGATTGGAAATAATGATGAAATTGTAACAAATACTAGTGGCATGTTCATTCATGTTAAAAAATAGCTTTTCAAAATAATTTTAAACAGCTCAACCCATAGCTCTTTTGACCTAATGTGGCATGTTAAACAGTCTTTTTCATATTTTTGAAAGTTAATTGAATGACATTTATATGAAATTCAGAAAGTGATATGATTTGTCATTTTAAAAATGACAATCAAATTTTAAAAGGATCATTTTGCATATTGTTATGATACCAACCTTCTCAAGACTACAAATGCAAAAAAGATTATTTTATGCTGCTGTGGAGATGACAGACTCCTGGGAAGAAAAGGTAGAAATAAAGAAATCCATTAGAAACCTACTATAGTAATAAAAAAATCAGAGAGGAGGACATCTTGGACCAGGATGACAGCAGTAGAAATTTCTTTGAAAGTTGTTGAATTTGGGCTCTACTTTACAGGGAAAAGATTTACTGATGATGGACTAAGTATGAATGTGGAAGAAAGAGGTTAGTCAATGATGATTCCAAGTTGTTTTGCTTACACCTAGAAGAATAAATAACAAATAGAGATGAAATGCCAATAACCAAATAGAAAAGATTACAGAAGCTGTGATTCAGAGAGAGAATCAGGAGTTTAATTTTGGACTTGTTAAATTTAAGGTGACTTTTAGACTAACAAAATTATTCAGGAAGCAGTTTAATGTATAGGTCTAATGTTCCAGTGAAAGGTCTGGGCTAGACATATTTTGTCAACTGTGTGCACTGGGTATTTAAAGGCATGAAACTTGGTGAAAACACCTGGGTAGGAAGTATAGGTAGAGAAGACGAAGGATCCAGTGACTGACCTTGGGGCCTACCAACAGTAGGGAAGAGAGGTGGGAACACTAAGGGAGACCAAAGGAATGACTAGAGACCTGGGAACAAGGAGACCAAGAAACTGGAACGAAGCCAGTGCAGTGAAGACTGAACAACTGTTCATGAGAAATCAGAGATGACGACACTGGAAAAAAGAAAAATCCTATGGACTCAGCAATGTCAATGTCATTTGTGACCCTAACAAGAGCTGTTTTATGGCAAGAGTAAAGTGCCAGATTACGATAGATTTCAGGGACAATTGAAGGATCAGAAGGGTTAACAGTGTGTATAGACAGTTCTATAATGGAATTTTCCTGTAAAGGAGCAGAGAAACAGAGAAAAATTTGGAGATGTATGTAAGGTTAAAGAACTGGATATATTAATGAGGGAGATGTTACATTTTACCTGTATGCTGTTGTCTAAAGAGTCCATAGAGGGGGAGCAATTGATAATACAAGAAATAAAGGAGGCTGGGCATGGTGGCTGTTGCCTGTAATCCAAGCATTTTGGGAGGCTGAGGTGGGACGATGGCTTGAGGCCAGGAATTCTAGACCAGCTGAAGGAAAAAAAGTGAGAACCCCATCTCTTCAAAAACTTAAAAATTAGCCAGACACAGTGGTATGCACCTGTAGTACCAGCTACTTGGGAAGCTGAGTCTGAAGGATCACTTTAGCCCAGGAGTTCGAGATTGAAGTGAGCCATGATTGTACCACTGGCTCTCCCGCCTGGGTGACGGAGAGAGACCCTGTCACAACAACAACAAAAAAGATAAGGGGACCATTGCTAAGTGTTGTCATAAGGTGAGAGGGATCCTAGGTTACCTAAGAAAGGAGTTTGAGAGCAGTGTACATCATTTCCAGTTCACATTCATTTGGATAGAACATAGTCATATGGTCCCACCTAACTGCAAGGGAGACAGAAATTTTGTCTAGTTGCATGTCTAGCAGAAAAGGGAACTAGGGTTAATGACTATACCACATTATCTCTATCATAGGAATAAGAGAGCATTTTATTTCCTTATGCCTTTCAAAATTGTACTACATAGTCTTGATTTACTTGCTTAGCAACAAATTAACTGAGGTTAATTTGATTTGACTAATTTTAACATAAATCATGTTAGATATTAGTGATTACTACTTCATCCTCAATGTTCACAAATGATTCCTTAAATTATCCATCTTAGATCGTTACCCTGTAATGTAGTTTATCAAATACACCTTTTCCCCTTCCTTTTTGAAAATTAAAGCACCATTTACACTCTTAATATTACATAGACTACTTCAGCTTTCTATGACTGCCACAGAATCACCAACAGTTTGGTGTCATTGAATAAGACAATCAGCACCCTATCCTATAATTCAGTCATGCCAAAAGACTCAAACTCTATTAGCGTATTTTTTCAAACTGTGCATGACAGCTCATTAGTGATTTGTGAAATGAGTTTAGTGAAATGAATTTTTTTTTTATTATACTTTAAGTTTTAGGGTACATGTGCACATTGTGCAGGTTAGTTACATATGTATACATGTGCCATGCTGGTGCGCTGCACCCACTAACTCGTCATCTAGCATTAGGTATATCTCCCAATGCTATCCCTCACCCCTCCCCCCACCCCACCACAGTCCCCAGAGTGTGATATTCCCCTTCCTGTGTCCATGTGATCTCATTGTTCAATTCCCAACTATGAGTGAGAATATGCCGTGTTTGGTTTTTTGTTCTTGTGATAGTTTACTGAGAATGATGATTTCCAATTTCATCCATGTCCCTACAAAGGACACGAACTCATCATTTTTTATGGCTGCATAGTATTCCATGGTGTATATGTGCCACATTTTCTTAATCCAGTCTATCATTGTTGGACATTTGGGTTGGTTCCAAGTCTTTGCTATTGTGAATAATGCCGCAATAAACATACGTGTGCATGTGTCTTTATAGCAGCATGATTTATAGTCCTTTGGGTATATACCCAGTAATGGGATGGCTGGGTCAAATGGTATTTCTAGTTCTATATCCCTGAGGAATCGCCACACTGACTTCCACAATGGTTGAACTAGTTTACAGTCCCACCAACAGTGTCAAAGTGTTCCTATTTCTCCACATCCTCTCCAGCACCTGTTGTTTCCTGACTTTTTAATGATTGCCATTCTAACTGGTGTGAGATGTTATCTCATTGTGGTTTTGATTTGCATTTCTCTGATGGCCAGTGATGATGAGCATTTTTTCATGTGTTTCTTGGCTGCATAAATGTCTTCTTTTGAGAAGTGTCTGTTCATGTCCTTCGCCCACTTTTTGATGGGGTTGTTTGTTTTTTTCTTGTAAATTTGTTTGAGTTCATTGTAGATTCTGGATATTAGCCCTTTGTCAGATGAGTAGGTTGCGAAAATTTTCTCCCATTTTGTAGGTTGCCTGTTCACTCTGATGGTAGCTTCTTTTGCTGTGCAGAAGCTCTTTAGTTTAATTAGATCCCATTTGTCAATTTAGGCTTTTGTTGCCATTGCTTTTGGTGTTTTGGACATGAAGTCCTTGCCCATGCCTATGTCCTGAATGGTAATGCCTAGGTTTTCTTCTAGGGTTTTTATGGTTTTAGGTCTAACGTTTAAATCTTTAATCCATCTTGAATTGATTTTTGTATAAAGTGTAAGGAAGGGATCCAGTTTCAGCTTTCTACATATGGCTAGCCAGTTTTCCCAGCACCATTTATTAAATAGGGAATCCTTTCCCCCTTGCTTGTTTTTCTCAGGTTTGTCAAAGATCAGATAGTTGTAGATATGCGGTGTTATTTCTGAGGGCTCTGTTCTGTTCCATTGATCTATATCTCTGTTTTAGTACCAGTACCATGCTGTTTTGGTTACTGTAGCCTTGTAGTATAGTTTGAAGTCAGGTAATGTGATGCCTCCAGCTTTGTTCTTTTGGCTTAGGATTGACTTGGCGATGCGGGCTCTTTTTTGGTTCCATATGAACTTTAAAGTAGTTTTTTCCAATTCTGTGAGGAAAGTCTTGGTAGCTTTATGGGGATGGCATTGAATCTGTAAATTACCTTGGGCAGTATGGCCATTTTCACGATATTGATTCTTCCTACCCATGAGCATGGAATGTTCTTCCATTTGTTTGTATCCTCTTTTATTTCCTTGAGCAGTGGTTTGTAGTTCTCCTTGAAGAGGTCCTTCACATCCCTTGTAAGTTGGATTCCTAGGTATTTTATTTTCTTTGAAGCAATTGTGAATGGGAGTTCACTCATGATTTGGCTCTCTGTTTGTCTGTTGTTGGTGTATAAGAATGCTTGTGAATTTTGTACATTGATTTTGTATCCTGAGACTTTGCTGAAGTTGCTTATCAGCTTAAGGAGATTTTGGGCTGAAACAATGGGGTTTTCTAGATATACAATCACGTCATCTGCAAACAGGGACAATTTGACTTCCTCTTTTCCTAATTTTGAATACCCTTTATTTCCTTCTCCTGCCTAATTGCCCTGGCCAGAACTTCCAACACTATGTTGAATTGGAGTGGTGAGAGAGGGCATCCCTGTCTTGTGCCAGTTTTCAAAGGGAATGCTTCCAGTTTTTGCCCATTCAGTATGATATTGGCTGTGGGTTTGTCATAGATAGCTCTTATTATTTTGAAATACGTCCCATCAATACCTAATTTATTGAGAGTTTTTAGCATGAAGGGTTGTTGAATTTTGTCAAAGGCTTTTTCTGCATCTATTGAGATAATCATGTGGTTTTTGTCTTTGGCTCTGTTTATATGCTGGATTACATTTATTGATTTGCGTATATTGAACCAGCCTTGCATCCCAGGGATGAAGCCCACTTGATCATGGTGGATAAGCTTTTTGATGTGCTGCTGGATTCGTTTTGCCAGTATTTTATTGAGGATTTTTGCATCAATGTTTATCAAGGATATTGGTCTAAAATTCTCTTTTTTGGTTGTGTCTCTGCCCGGCTTTGGTATCAGAATGATGCTGGCCTCATAAAATGAGTTAGGGAGGATTCCCTCTTTTTCTATTGATTGGAATAGTTTCAGAAGGAATGGTACCAGTTCCTCCTTGTACCTCTGGTAGAAGTCAGCTGTGAATCCATCTGGTCCTGGACTCTTTTTGGTTGGTAAACTATCGATTATTGCCACAATTTCAGCTCCTGTTATTGGTCTATTCAGAGATTCAACTTCTTCCTGGTTTAGTCTTGGGAGAGTGTATGTGTTGAGGAATTTATCCATTTCTTCTAGATTTTCTAGTTTATTTGTGTAGAGGTGTTTGTAGTATTCTCTGATGGTAGTTTGTATTTCTGTGGGATCGGTGGTGATATCCCGTTTATCATTTTTTATTGTGTCTATTTGATTCTTCTCTCTTTTTTTCTTTATTAGTCTTGCTAGTGGTCTATCAATTTTGTTGATCCTTTCAAAAAACCAGCTCCTGGATTCATTGATTTTTTGAAGGGTTTTTTGTGTCTCTATTTCCTTCAGTTCTGCTCTGATTTTAGTTATTTCTTGCCTTCTGCTAGCTTTTGAATGTGTTTGCTCTTGCTTTTCTAGTTCTTTTAATTGTGATGTTAGGGTGTCAATTTTGGATCTTCCCTGCTTTCTCTTGTGGGCATTTAGTGCTATAAATTTCCCTCTACACACTGCTTTGAATGCGTCCCAGAGATTCTGGTATGTTGTGTCTTTGTTCTCGTTGGTTTCAAAGAACATCTTTATTTCTGCCTTCATTTCGTTATGTACCCAGTAGTCATTCAGGAGCAGGTTGTTCAGTTTCCACGTAGTTGAGCGGTTTTGAGTGAGATTCTTAATCCTGAGTTCTAGTTTGATTGCACTGTGGTCTGAGAGATAGTTTGTTATAATTTCTGTTCTTTTACATTTGCTGAGGAGAGCTTTACTTCCAACTATGTGGTCAATTTTGGAATAGGTGTGGTGTGGTGCTGAAAAAAATGTATATTCTGTTGATTTGGGGTGGAGAGTTCTGTAGATGTCTATTAGGTCCGCTTGGTGCAGAGCTGAGTTCAATTCCTGGGTATCCTTGTTGACTTTCTGTCTCGTTGATCTGTCTAATGTTGATAGTGGGGTGTTAAAGTCTCCCATTATTAATGTGTGGGAGTCTAAGTCTCTTTGTAGGTCACTCAGGACTTGCTTTATGAATCTGGGTGCTCCTGTATTGGGTGCATATATATTTAGGATAGTTAGCTCTTCTTGTTGAATTGATCCCTTTACCATTATGTAATGGCCTTCTTTGTCTCTTTTGATCTTTGTTGGTTTAAAGTCTGTTTTATCAGAGACTAGGATTGCAACCCCTGCCTTTTTTTGTTTCCCATTTGCTTGGTAGATCTTCCTCCATCCTTTTATTTTGAGCCTATGTGTGTCTCTGCACGTGAGATGGGTTTCCTGAATACAGCACACTGATGGGTCTTGACTCTTTATCCAATTTGCCAGTCTGTGTCTTTTAATTGGAGAATTTAGTCCATTTACATTTAAAGTTAATATTGTTATGTGTGAATTTGATCCAGTCATTATGATGTTAGCTGGTGATTTTGCTCATTAGTTGATGCAGGTTCTTCCTAGTCTCGATGGTCTGTACATTTTGGCATGATTTTGCAGCGGCTGGTACCAGTTGTTCCTTTCCATGTTTAGCGCTTCCTTCAGGAGCTCTTTTAGGGCAGGCCTAGTGGTGACAAAATCTCTCAGCATTTGCTTGTCTGTGAAGTATTTTATTTCTCCTTCACTTATGAAGCTTAGTTTGGCTGGATATGAAATTCTGGGTTGAAAATTCTTTTCTTTAAGAATGTTGAATATTGGCCCCCACTCTCTTCTGGCTTGTAGGGTTTCTGCCGAGAGATCCGCTGTTAGTCTGATGGGCTTCCCTTTGAGGGTAACCCGACCTTTCTCTCTGGCTGCCCTTAACATTTTTTCCTTCATTTCAACTTTGGTGAATCTGACAATTATGTGTCTTGGAGTTGCTCTTCTCGAGGAGTATCTTTGTGGCATTCTCTGTATTTCCTGAATCTGAACGTTGGCCTGCCTTGCTAGATTGGGGAAGTTCTCCTGGATAATATCCTGCAGAGTGTTTTCCAACTTGGTTCCATTCTCCCCATCACTTTCAGGTACACCAATCAGACGTAGATTTGGTCTTTTCACATAGTCCCATATTTCTTGGAGGCTTTGCTCATTTCTTTTTATTCTTTTTTCTCTAACCTTCCCTTCTCGCTTCATTTCATTCATTTCACCTACATTGCTGATACCCTTTCTTCCAGTTGATCGCATCGGCTCCTGAGGCTTCTGCATTCTTCACGTAGTTCTCGAGCCTTGGTTTTCAGCTCCATCAGCTGCTTTAAGCACTTCTCTGTATTGGTTATTCTAGTTATACATTCTTCTAAATTTTTTTCAAAGTTTTCAACTTCTTTGCCTTTGGTTTGAATGTCCTCCCGTAGCTCGGAGTAATTTGATCGTCTGAAGCCTTCTTCTCTCAGCTCGTCAAAGTCATTCTCCATCCAGCTTTGTTCCTTGTTCCGTTGCTGGTGAGGAGCTGCGTTCCTTTGGAGGAGGAGAGGCGCTCTGCATTTTAGAGTTTCCAGTTTTTCTGTTCTGTTTTTTCCCCATCTTTGTGGTTTTATCTACTTTTGGTCTTTGATGATGGTGATGTACAGATGGGTTTTCGGTGTGGATGTCCTTTCTGTTTGTTAGTTTTCCTTCTAACAGAGAGGACCCTCAGCTGCAGGTCTGTTGGAATACCCTGCCGTGTGAGGTGTCAGTGTGCCCCGGCTGGGGGGTGCCTCCCAGTTAGGCTGCTCGGGGGTCAGGGGTCAGGGACCCACTTGAGGAGGCAGTCTGCGGGTTCTCAGATCTCCAGCTGCGTGCTGGGAGAACCACTGCTCTCTTCAAAGCTGTCAGACAGGGACACTTAAGTCTGCAGAGGTTACTGCTGTCTTTTTGTTTGTCTGTGCCCTGCCCCCAGAGGTGGAGCCTACAGAGGCAGGCAGGCCTTCTTGAGCTGTGGTGGGCTCTACCCAGTTCGAGCTTCCTGGCTGCTTTGTTTACCTAAGCAAGCCTGGGCAATGGCGGGCGCCCCTCCCCCAGCCTCGCTGCTGCCTTGCAGTTTGATCTCAGACTGCTGTGCTAGCAATCAGTGAGACTCCGTGGGCGTAGGACCCTCCGAGCCAGGTGTGGGATATAATCTCATGGTTCGCCGTTTTTTAAGCCGGTCTGAAAAGCGCAATATTCGGGTGGGAGTGACCCGATTTTCCAGGTGCGTCCGTCACCCCTTTCTTTGACTCGGAAAGGGAACTCCCTGACCCCTCGCGCTTCCCAGGTGAGGCAATGCCTCGCCCTGCTTCGGCTCGCGCACGGTGCGCGCACCCACTGGCCTGCGCCCACTGTCTGGCACTCCCTAGTGAGAGAAACCCGGTACCTCAGATGGAAATGCAGAAATCACCCGTCTTCTGCGTCGCTCACGCTGGGAGCTGTAGACCGGAGCTGTTCCTATTCAGCCATCTTGGCTCCTCCCCTGTCGTGAAATGAATATTTACCTGCATAAGTGAAACACAATAGAATAAAAACAAAAATAAAATTGATTATATGTAATAATGACAAATATTATGCCATTGTGAATATATGTGTGTGTACACACATACATTCTTGTGAAATATATAATCATAAGTGGAAATGTAATGTGTTTATCCAATGGTTGATAAGTATAATGTTTAAAGTCATTGCTTGAAATAGCTTTATGCTAATGTACCATATTTTCACTAATCATGAGCTTGTTTTCTTCCTTATGAAATCTCAGAAGCCTGTGTTCTATGCTAATAAATATAAAAAGGTTCATTTTCCTTGGTAGAGTAGCCCAAAGAAAAGTGTTTTCATTGTTAGAGTGGCAGTAGAAGAAACTGAAAAAGTAGCCTCATGTAAGACTATAAAATAAAGCTTCTTAGCAAAAAAGGAAAAAGTCCTGATCAGATTTGTATTTCAGAAGATATTGCTAATGTAAGGATGCATTGGCCTGGGGGAATATTAGGAATGGAATTTATTTATATGATGGTTATAATGGTCTATGAAAATGTTAATGAGAGCCTAATTTAAGGCAGACACACTGGGAATGGAGAGGAAACAATTGATTCAGGGTCATTTGGAAAGTAGAAGATATTTGAAAATCATTTATTCAGCAATAATGTGCCAGGTGGTTGAAGCATATTAATAAACAAAACAGATTCAAATCCATACCCTCTTGGATATTATGTTCTAGGAGAGGCAGACCGACAATAAACATATTAAGTATGTTTAGGTACTACAAGTAGATAGCTTTGCAGGATCAATAAATTTGTGTGATAATAACATGATTAAACAGAAAAACAACACTGGAGGAATATTATGAAGTTACTGGGTTCCTGAATATGAACAACCTGGGGAGAAAAGCATTAGGCACTTGAAGAAACATAATTAGGTATATTTGTTTAGAAAGTAATATTAGGAAAAATAATTGAAAAGGTGAATTAGAGTGATGTGATATCACAGAGAACTATAAATGACACAACTTTTGTCTTGAGGTAATTAGGATCTAGTTGAATTTTTGAGGAGGTGAATGAAATGATCAGGATGGCATTTTAGAGCTATTATTAGGCACTGAACACCATGGACTGGGTTAACTGTGTGAAATCTTGATTCTAACAGATGTAAAATACAATTATTCAATGTAGAATTTAGGGTTAAAATGAGTCATTAACTAATCACTACTTGTTTTTTTTTTCCTGTTGTTTCTCTCACCTGTGTGTGTGTGTGTGTGTGTGTGTGTAATCCTCTGTTATCTTTCAACTCTGTTCACTAATTCTAATTCAGGATGTTTCATATTAGCTCTTCATTTTCATTGCGGTATATTTCTAACTGGTACAGGAGCCTGATTTGGGGGAGTGGACCTATTACAGGGCTGAATAAAACAATGAGAGTTGGCATATATTACCAGAGCCAATTAAGTAATGTGGAAAGTTACAATAAGAAAAAAAGTCCAAAAAATGAGTTGAAGACTTAATGCTTTTCCTCCCACATTTGCTTTTAAGTTTGAAGGTGCAGAGAAGTGGTACTGGAATTGGAAATGATAAGGAACAAGTGAAGAAATTCTTTCAGAGAACCCACTGTGAATCCTCACATCAAGTGTATCAGTTCTAAAGTCAGTGACAAGTTTAACTGCCTTCAATGTGCAGGAGTTGAGCAGGCTTAAGGTTAGGTACTGGCAGCATGTTGAGCCCATACAAGTAATAGGACAGTCTGCATGTGTAGATGACATGGAAATAAGAGAAGAAAGAGTACAGGCTAAGTTTAGACCTCTTCAATTTACGATTAATGGCATTTCTTTCATTTGTTTACATGCCCCTAAGAAAATATAATTACAGCATAGCCGTCCCCAAGATGCCATGTGAAACTTGTAAGATACCTTCTATTTTCGTTCCTGTTTTTATGACCTCTATTTCTTTTCCCATATGTTTTATATTTCTTTTGGCCTCTTTATATAGTCAGTGGGCACATGTTTATTTTTATCCTGAAATTCTTAAATTTTTAGTTAGAAATTATAGAATTCACATATAAGTACTTTTTTAAGTTTTATCCTTCTTTCATTTTTATTTCAATGAATATTTTTTGAGTGCCTTCCATGTACCATGCATTATTCTTGCTGATGAGAATACAGTAGTAAACAGAAGTGAACCAAATTTATGTTCTTCTGGAACACTTTAGTGGGAAGATAGGCATAAAAGCTATGAAAAATGTCAACAGGGGATTAGTTAATGGTTGGATGGAGTTTGCAATTTTAAATAGGATGGTCAGGGAAAATCTGACTAAAGGTTAATAATGTGAATTAAGATCTGAATAAAAAGCAAGTTAGAGAACTCAGCAGATACCTGTGATGAGTGTATCTAAGACAGAGAAAACAGAAACTGTATATGCCCAAGAAGATATCATCTAAAAAGAACTTATTGCTCTTTGCAATAAAATTTGAAGCATTTTTTTACCTCTTTCTCTCTATGCTTTATATAATTTGAATTGGTAAAAATATTTGACGTATAGAAAATTTATTAACAGAATTTAATTCTCCACATTGTTAGATTCTTTCAACTAGCATATAACTTGGTCTATGATTTTAACTTTCTCTAAATACTGAGAGTTATATTTCATATAGTAAAGTACCAACATGAAACTTAAAGACTAATTTCATTAAGAAACATTCTTAAACTGATATTGCTTCCCTTAATAAGGGTGATAGAAGATGATGAAATGCATTTTAGATTAAAAAAATCGGCCAGGCACGGTGGCTCACATCTGTAATCTCAGCATTTGGGAGGCCAAGGCGGGCAGATTACCTGAGGTCAGTAGTTCAAGACCAGCCTGGACAACCTGGTGAAACCGCGTCTCTACTAAAAGTACAGAAAATTAGCTGGTTGTGGTGGTAGTGGGTGACTCTAATCCCAGTTACTCAGCAGGCTGAGATAGGAGAATTGCTTGAACCCAGGAGATTGAGGTTGCAGTGAGCCGAGATCATGCCAGTATACTCCAGCCTGGGTGACAGAGTGAGAGCCTGTCTTAAAAAAGAAAAAAAAAAATTATAGCAGTTGTTTCTCTATTTTCTCTACAGATCTTCCATTATTCTTTTTCTTTATTCTTTCTTTAATAGGTTACAATTTCAAAATATATTTTCTTTACTATCACTATAGATCCAGCTTTTCTGGGTAAAGCTTTAGAGATTCATTTATTGACTTTCTTTCAGGCCTAGGAGAAGAAATGTTAACCTTTTGGCCTCTCTCTATTATAAAACATGAGTTTCATTTTTTATACACTTGTCATAACAAATTATAATTTGTGGTAGGGCTTCCTTGGAAGATTATGGCCATATTGAAATTGAAGAGATGTTTATGGCCTTATTACCTTTGAAAAAGTTTTAATTTTAAATATCAATTCAACAAAAAAGCCAAACATACAGTAATCATTTTAAAAAATATTAGAGATAATTCAATACATTTTAAAAATTATATATCCAACCCATTACCCACAATGATATTTGTAAAGTAGAATCAATTTTCCTTATTTCAGGTTTCCAGACATAAATATCTATTTTTATTTTTCAGAAAAAAAGAGAATAGAGTAATACTATTGTTGACTCTAATTTTATTATAATTATGTTTAGAATTTTTGGAATTTGCTCAACATAGCCAAAAAAAGAAGTGAAATACAATGTTATGGTTAATTTTTTCAACTTAACCCAATTGGAAAATTCCAGTCTTCACTATAACATGTTTAGATATTAGCTGCTAATATCTATCACAAGAGTGAGTTGATGAAATTGGACAGATGGGGGTTGTTACCTCAGATGATGCTCTAGACAAGCAAGTGTCACAGACAGAGGATAATGAAATGCTATAAATATGATACATGTGGGAAATGGGCACCTTTAGAAAATTTTGGTTAGGTGACATGTTTTAACATCTAGGGGTTCCTTATGGGTAGGATGGCCCTTTAGGAGAAGGCTCTGTGTTGACAGTGTGGATTTAGGGTTCAGGAACTTAGCTTGAACAAAAGAACAAAACCTAGGGAATTCATATATGATGATAGAGGGAAAAATAAAAGTAAGACATTACTTTTCTGCCGTTTCCGTGGTACATTTTCATAGTCAGGGTTTCAGGAAAGTTTGGTAGGAGAACTGGATGTTGGAGAGACAACTAGACGTGCCATGTTTCAGAGTCCAGGGTAGCTATTTCAATATTAAAACTAGAGAAAGAAGAGGAATTGGTGAGTAGGAAAAAATAACTGGATTAAGGTCTTAGAAATAAGCTGAAACAAGAAGAATGAAAACAGAAGAGATAAACAGGAAGGTAACAGGAATCATGTATCCAGAGTGTGTTGCTATTAGATGCAGGTGTTTAAACGTAATAGAGCAAAATGGATCTGAGAAACTTAGAATAGGCTAGTCTCTAACATGGAGCAATTATGTTTATATTGTACTGTTTCAGAAGCCAGAACTTAGGTTCATTTATAAGAAGACATATTTTAGTTCCAATAGAGAAGTAATTTTCTCTATTTCATATTATATAAAATTTGAATTAGTGGCCTCACCGGGGAGTGAGTCAGTCCCTCATGGATAGAATTATGTAAATAGGCTGAATTATCACCATTGAGTTTTTCTATAATGCATACAAGGCACAAAGAAATTATTTCTCAAAATCTTCCAACTTTTCAAAGAGTAACGTATTTTATTTTATTTTTTATTTTCGAGACTGAGTCTTGCTCTATCGCCCAGGCTGGAGTGCAGTGGCACGAACTTGCCTCACTACAACCTCCACCTCCTGGGTTCAAGCGATTCTCTTGCCTCAGCCTCTGCCTCCCAAGTACCTGGGATTATAGGTGCCCACGACAACGCCAGGATAATTTTTGTATTTTTAGTGGAGACAGGGTTTCTTTCACCAACCGTGTTGGCCAGGCTGGTCTAGAACTCCTGACCTCAAGCAATCTTCACGCCTCGGCCTCCCAAAGTGCTGGGATTACAGGTGTGAGCCACCGTGACTGGCCAAGAGTAATGTATTTTGTTTTAATTTTATTTTTATTATTATTATTTTTTATTATACTTTAAGTTTTAGGGTACATGTGCACAACGTGCAGGTTTGTTACATATGTATACATGTGCCATGTTGGTGTGCTGCACCCATTAACTTGTCATTTACATTAGGTATATCTCCTAATGCTATCCCTCCCCGCTCCACCCACCCCACAACAGGGCCCGGTGTGTGATGTTCCCCTTCCTGTGTCTATGTGTTCTCATTGTTCAGTTCCCACCTAGGAGTGAGAACACGCGGTGTTTGGTTTTTTGTCCTTGCGATAGTTTGCTGAGAATGATGGTTTCCAGCTTCATCCATGTCCCTACAAAGGACATTAACTCAGCATTTTTTATGGCTGCATAGTATTCCATGGTATATATGTGCCACATTTTCTTAATCTGGTCTATCATTGTTGGACATCTGAGTTGGTCTTTGCTATTGTGAATAATGCCACAATAAACATACGTGTGCATGTGTCTTTATAGCAGCATGATTTATCATCCTTTGGGTATATACCCAGTAAAGGGAGAAGGTAGAAAGTGTCTGATCAGTAGATATTAGAACCCAACACAGATACAAGGAGATAGGTAATAGATATGGATTGAGTGAAGTGAAGATAAATTACATGAAGATTAACTTGATGTTGATTCCAAGTCTTCTGTCAGTCTCTTCAATTGTTAGAACTGGTACCACAGTGTAGCAATTATAAGCCTGACCTGGAGCCAGGTGGCTATACTTAAACAATTTTAAGAACTTCAGATTCTCAACCTTATTAGCTTGACAAAATTTTAATAATGATACATTTTTAGTAAGATGATAATATTGCTGTGTTAGCATTAAGGTATCATTTATTTCAAAATAATTTAAATATTCAGAACATTGCTGTGCCTCTCGTGTTTTTATGTGAATAATTTTATTATCTATTTTTGCAAAGAAATGAGAACAAACCTCACTATAGAGAAACCATATTTTAGTAATTGACAAGCAGTCATATTTATATTTATTATATTTATCTATTGAGCTATCTCTATATATGAGGGGACTTTTAAAAGTTCATCAGAAAATTGATTTAAAAGATAAAAATAAAAAATGTAAACTTTCATTCTCAGCATAAGCTCCATCAAATCCAAGACACATTTATAAACAATGATACCAGCCATTTAGTCCAGCCCTAAAGAACCGAGGGTCCTGGGAACTTAACCATGTCAATGCAGTCTCTTTCACATTATTAACTGGAGAATAATGACTACTCTTATTTTTTTATTATTTTTTTTAAGATTAGGAAACAAGTAAAAATGAGAAGGAGCTGAATCAGGATTGTAAGCTAGATGCCTAATGATTTCCCATCATAACTTTCAGAAAATTGTCCTTGTTTGATAAAGGGAATGAGCAGGGGTGTTGTTGTGGTGCAGAAGGACTTTCCCGTGAAGGTTTTCTGGATATTTTTCTGCTAAAGATTTGGTTAACTTTCTCAGAAACACTCTAATAGTAAGCCGATGTTATCTTTCTTTGGTCCTCCAGAAAGTCGAGAAATAAAATGCCTTGAGCATCCCCCCAAAAAGACTGCCACTGAAGCTGCTTCGTTGTCTGGGATAATATCCAAGGTTCGTTGTCTCATGGCTACAAATATCAAGGGCGCAGACACACAAAGAGTGAGCTTAACAGTGGAAGTTTAATAGACAAAAGAAGGAGAATAGCTCTCTGCTACAGAGAGGGGTCCCAGAAAAATGAGTTGCTGATTTCGTGGTGAAATGCAAGAGGTTTTATAGATGAGCTAGTGGAGGGGCGGTATCTGATCTACATAGGGTCCGAAAAACTGGTTAGACCAGTTGCGTCATTTGCATGGGGCACAAATCTCAGCCCCCCCGACCCCCACCCCAATCTTTTATTATGCAGGCAGGTTCTCTGACTGAGCTGCTCCATGTTGCCCATTTCTTTCTTGTCATACATGTGCTAACAAAAAAAGGGAAGATGGAGCTTCCATGGCAGACATACCTGGCCCTCAGGTAGTCCTTCTCTATTGGCGCAGCTGCCAGCATTCCCCCGTGCAAGCTTCAAGCTTGCTTATCGATGTTTGCGGCTCAGTATTTCAGGCTGCTCTTTGTTAGCAAAAAAATAATTTCTTGGACTGCTTTTTGTTAAAAGGGAAACTGCCGATGACTCTTTTGCCCTCACTATCTGCCTAAATAATTTATTTCTACCGCCTGTATCACCATGACCTTTGCTCTTGACCAGTCTGCTTTTGCTTTGGCCGAGACCACTTCCACTTCTACTTCTTGGTAGCCATTGCTTTTATGTGCTTTGTTTTTAGGATTGTAACGGTAATGCCATGTTTCACTTCTTTTTAAAATGCTTCGAAGACATTCTTTAGGCTCTTGGTCCTATTTGTTTAAAATTTCCATGGAAAGCTCTGGTCTTGTGTGCAGCTGATCTGAGTGCCATGGTCTTGGCACCCATTGAGTGGAAAGTTTGCTTAACTTTAATTTTCCAGTCAAAACTGAGTAAGCTCCACTAATTGAGATGTCTGTGGCATTGGATATTACTTGTGCCATTAAATTGTTGGTCCTCTTCAATTAGGGCACAAACAAGATGAATATTTTCCTTGAAAATTGATGTGGTTGGTCTGCCACTGCAGGTTTCATCTTCAATATTATCTTGTCCATTCTTAACATTCATTTGTAAACTGTTCATTTCTTTGGGACATTTTCCCCATGAACTTTTTGTAAAGCATCAATGATTTCACCGTAAATTTGAGGTGTATTTTTGCTTCAATTTTAGCAAGATTCATGTTGCTCTGATACAGGCTGTTTTCAAATGGATGTCTTAATGGTTCCTAGGGCCTCAGACTAGATCCTGTTCAGACATGTTATAACATGTTAGTATGGGTTTATTTTGGTGCAAATGTTTTTTGAAATCTGTGCATAGTTTTTTTCATGATACACATTTTTCACAAACTTTTTGAAGACCCCTTATGTATAGTCAAGTAAACAATTTGGTGTGAACATTTATTAGGCATCTACTGTGTATGCGCATGAGGGATAGACATAATAGGAGGATAAAAATATAGAGGAGACACTGTCATTGAAATATTTGGAGGTTCCCAGAGATGGAAGATATATACACACATTACTATAATGCGTACCACATAGTGGTAAATTCCCTAATAGATATTTTTAATGAATGGAAAAACAGAAGATCTAGCGTAAGACAAGGATTTTGTAGTGTAAGTAGCATTTTGAGCAAAACCTACTGTTAAAGAATGTTTGATAGGTAGAATTGGAAAGAGGTACATTCTAGAGACAGAAGAAAACAAAACACTGTCTTGGGTAAGAGAAGGAAGTTTGTATTTCAGAAAATATGAGGACATACCAAGGAGTATATAGCATATAGTTTTCAATAATATGTGAAAATTATTTTCACATATTAGTACTTATGAGACTATATGTTAAATAATAATTATGCTTTATTTATATATTTATTTTTGTTAATATATATTAATAATATATTGAGTTTAAATATATAACTTTCATACTTCTGGAATGCAGACTTCATTCTCTTACCCAAAACAGTGCATGTTTTGTTCTCTTCCTAGAATATATCTCTTTCCAATTATCCAAGATTATCTTCACATATTGGAACTTATAATATCATATGCTCCCCTTTTGTATGATTGATATTTCTTTGTGTAAATGTGCTATAATACACTTAACCAAACTCTCTGATGTACATTTAACTAGCTTCTAGTTTTTTACTATTATAAGTATGACTACTACACTGTTCCATTGTCAGCTACATTTTCCCTTTTATTTAATTAGGCTAAATCTTAAAAGGGCAGTCTCACCAAGAAAGATTCATACACATTAATCTTGGGTACAGATCCTATATTATCTTTCAAAAAGTTTTGTTAATTTATCCTCCTAACATAGTACATGAGAGTGCCTGTGTTGCCACACCCTGGCCAAACTGGCAATAACAACCATTTTGACATTTGCTAGTGTAATAGATGAAGACATAGGATATATTTATTTAAATTTGTATTTGATTATCAATGAGGTTAAACATCATTTTATTTGGTAATGTTCATTGCTTTCAATGGGAACTCCCTATTTATATATTTTGCCTGTTATTCTATATGGTATTCATCAATTTTCCTTATGGAATTATGAGCTCATAATCTTATTAATCTCTTAGCTATCATTAATGTTGCAAATATGTTTTTCTAGATTTGGGAAAAACAGGTTTTCACTAACCTGTTTTATGTTGTCTTTTTTTTTTATGCAGACATTTGTGATATTAAGTAGTCATTTTTGTCTAGGATTTTCTGTGTGAATTCTAGGGGAAAAGAATGTAGATAAGAATGCAGCATCTTCAACCAGATAGCTTGGGTTAAGATAGCCCCAGCATTTACCAACCATGACTTAATGTCTGTGTGCCTTTCATGTATTAGCTCCTTTCTCCTAGAGGGTTAGAGGACACACATAAATCAACACATGTAAAAGCACCTAGGAGAGTATCTGTTAAGAACTCAGTGAATGTTAGTCTTTCTTGTTATTATCATTTGTGCTAATTTTAAAAGACTTTCTCTAGTCAAAAATTATAGAATTATCCTGTGTTTTTCTCTAATGCAATTTTTGTTTTTTGTTTTTTTCTACTTAAAATTTTAATTTGCCTGTAATGCCAGCTACTCGGGAGGCTGAGGCAGGAGAATCACTTGAACCCAGGAGGCGGAGGTTGCAGTGAGCTGAGATTGCGCCACTGCACTCCAGTCTGGGCAACAAGAGGGAAACTCCATCTCAAGGAAAAAAAAAAAAACAAAACTTAATTTGTCTTAATTTTTTTTCCTAAAGTGGATAACTAATTTTCTCCATGCCATGTTTAAAATATTCATTATTTCTTGATTATTTTGATATTTATCCTGAAAACTGTAAATACCTACATGTATTATTAATGGAATTTTAACAATTAGACTTTTGATGTGATAAAAGAATGCTTTTGCTTTCAGCATATTTTTATGAAATTCATCACTATGCTAAAATCAAATACCTTTTATTACTTTTTCAATGAATACTATTGTATTTTCCATAATATCAATATATCATCCACAACTAATGACAAAGTTATCTCTTTCTTTCAAAAAGTTATTTTGTTATTTAAATTTTTTTTCTTTAGTTGTTTAGGCCTAAAGGACAATGGAAAATGGTTATAATGAGAGTGGCAACTTTTTTACTGATTCCTGACTCTAATGAGAACTGTTTTAAATTATAAGATAAATTTCGATGGAAGATTTTAATTTGTTTAGAAAAAGTTGTTTTAATTTCTACGGTGATACATTGTTTTTTGTTGTTGTTTGTTTGTTTGTTTTGAGATGGCGTCTCGCTCTGTTCCTCAGGCCGGAGGGCAGTGGCGTGATCTAGGCTCACTGCAACCTCTGCCTCCTGGGTTCAAGATATTCTGCTTCCTCAGCCTCCTGAATAGCTGGGATTACAGGCACCCACCACCATGCCACGCTAATTTTTGGATTTTTAGTAGAGACGAGGTTTTGCCATGTTGGCCAGGCTGGTCTCAAACACCTGACCTCAGGTGACCCGCCCGCCTCGGCCTCCCAAAGTGCTGGGATTACAGGCATGAACCACCTCGCCTGGCCTGATGCATTGTTACCGACATAAATTTAGTAAATTTGAAGACATACAATGTAAATAAAAATATTATCTATTATTTCTTAAACCCAAAATAATAAGTAGTTACATTTTGGTGAGTATATTCAGGTATTTATTTCCTATACAAATTGTTTTCATTTAAAAATGCAGAATCAGATTTTTCAATTTTGTAACATGACTGTATAGTAGCAAACATATTTTAATGTCTGGACTAATAGCAATATCCCTGAAATGGAAAAAAAAAAAGACATTTTAAAGAGGAAGGCGGCATAATCAGATACGTTCTCAGAAAAACCCCGAAAGTATGCTTGAATAATAGATTATAGTGAGAAAGAGTTGATAGAAAAACAGTGTTTATATAAAGTAAATCAATTTATATTAGGCTCAGCTATTAATGGCAAAACAGGCAATACATTAACTGTGGCTTAAATAAAAATATATTTCTTTCTCAAGTAAAAAAAGCATAATCTGGAGGTAGTGAGTTCAGAGCTGATCTGGCTTCCTGAATGTTATGACCCCACAGTTCTGTCTAATTGCTCATCCAACCTCAGCACATAAATTCTGCCATAGTCCAATAAGGCTACTCGAGCTTCAGCCACCACGTCATAATGCCAGCTGACAAGAAGCAAGAAGGGATAAAATACATATACCTTTTCTTAAATGTACTCGTCCTAAGAGTTGTACACACTGCCTCCACTTACGTCTTATTGTCCAAAATCATTCACTTATGACTACATTTAGCTAAAGAAAGGCTAATGCATATAGAAAGGAGAGGTTCCGTAATTAAGGAAGAAAGAACAAGTTATGAGCCTTTGCCTCAGTAGGCTTTTCAGTAGTTAAGATGTGGAATAGCAGTATTTGAACGGGAACAATGAAACCAGAAAGAAGAAAATAGATATAAAACTTTGTTAATTTTTTCATTTAATACTGTTTAATATTTAGGTTTTTAAAATATTTGTTTTGGCATGATAAAAAAACATTTTAAAAACTGATTACAATTTATATGAAGGAAAGTGGATCGATCTTCAGTGTAAAGCTTAATTTTTATATATGTATATACATTTAAACATTCAAAGTATTCCCGTTGCCTGCAGAAGATTCCCTCATGCCTCTTACCAGTCAATACCTGTCCCCTCAATAGCCAGAAATTATTAATAGTATTTAATTTCTATCCACATAAACACATTTTATGTGTTCTTGAACTTCACATGAATCCAATCATTACATATACCCTTTTATAACTGGTTTTTCTCACCGAACACACAGTCTCTATGATTTATCCAGAAAACAACACATTCATGAGGGAAAAGTATCTATTAATATTAACTAAAAAGAATAAACTTTAATTGCTCTATATAATCTGGTAAAATTTTGAAATAAACAAGGCTCCAGTATGAATACACATCGCATAATGGTGAAAGTGTAATTCTTCTCCTTCCTCTGTCTTGCCATTCTTTAAGTGGATGTGGTGTGATCAGGTGCATAACCATTTGTGAGATAGAGTTAGAGTAAAATTAAGAGTCTCTTTGACACATAAATCCAAAATACCTACTGACGTGTGCAAGGAAACACTCAGAATCAGCAAAATTGGTATTCTCTAAGTGTATACAATATTTTGGCAAAATGTGATGCTATTAATTTTTTGACTACTTTTCTTGATCAAAAATTGAATGTGTCACTGAAGTAAGTGAAGAGAGAAAGCCTTCTTATGACTGCTGAGTGCCTGTGTATTTGTCTATTTTAAAATTTATTTCAGAAGTACAGTCATGTGTTGCTTAATGGTGAGGACATGTTCTGGGGAATGTGTTGTTATGTGATTTCATTATCCTGTGAACATCATAGAGTGTATTTACACAAATCTAAATGGTATAGCCTCCTACACGTCTGGGCTATATGGTCTAGCCTGTTACTACAAACCAGTGCAGCATGCTACCATACTGAATACTGTAAGCAATTGTAACAAAATGTATGTGTGTATCTGAACATAGAAAAGGTACAGTAGAAAATATGGTATAAAATATTAAAAATGCTACACTTGTGTAGGACACCTTCCATGAATGGAGTTTGCTGGACTGGTGGTTGTTCTGGATA
Source organism: Homo sapiens (assembly GCF_000001405.40). NCBI lineage: Eukaryota > Metazoa > Chordata > Mammalia > Primates > Hominidae > Homo > Homo sapiens. Next base: position 211,875,721 of record NC_000002.12, on the reverse strand, counting down.
AGAAAATGAGTAAATGATGAGTCAATGTGAAGGCCTGTGACATTGCACTACTGTATACTTTATAAACACTGCACTTAGGCTACACTAAACTTATTTTAAAAATATAATAATTGTGCTGCAACATTGCTACAGCTATGACATCACTAGACACTAAACATTTTTCAGATCCATTAAAATCTTATGAGACCACCATCATATGTGCAGTCTGTCATTGACTGAAATTACATTGTGTAGTTCATGACTGTATTTGGGTACTTGTTTCTTCTTCTTCAAAATTTGCTCATTATTATTCTAAAAGGGCAAATAAAGGAATGCATCTAAGTGGGGAAAGTATGAGAAATAATTAAAATTACCAACAAAACAGGGAAAGCTAAAGACTCTTTGTAATCATCAAAGCATCGGATTATTCAGTTCTTTAAATTAAAGCAAGTGCTCAGCACTCTTAAATTTTCTAGGTAATTAAATGGCCTCTGTAGTTTGGCTATTTTGACTATAATCTTGCTGATTTGAATGGTATTTTATTAATGATATCTCAAGGGGAATTTGCAGTAGCTTGAAAATTAATGAAATATTAATAACCAACAACCAAAGAAATGCAGATATGTCTGCTTTGGAAAAAAAAAAACGTTATCTGCATGTTCCTTAGATTAAAAGCATTTTATTTGAGTTTGTTTTTTTTTTTTTTTTTTTTTTTTTGCATTTCTATTTGAAGCATGACAATACAAGCCTTAGCTTAAAGAGTGGGCATTTGGTAAGAAATACAGCGCACATATTGTGTGTCTTTGACAAACCTTTTGTGTAAAACATTATTTTGGCAATTTGATATATTTTAGCATTAACAAAAATGTTTTGTGCAGGAAAAATGTGATTTATATTTTTATTTAAATGTAATTCTGAAACCAAAGGGACATAGCTGAACTTCTTTCACTTCAAATGAAAAACAAATGCCTCATCTACAGAATGGAAGATGGCTAAACTGCTGAAGAGGAATCTCTGTTGCTGTATGGCATGGCATGAAATTAAGGAGCAGTGAAGAGTCAAGTTTACACTCACAATAGGAAAGAACTCCACCTGCCATAAGGTTATCACTCTAGTATGGAGAGAGCACTGGTCCCTGAAGGGATTTTGCAGATCAAGAGTGTTGAGAGTGGAGATACAGAGAAGATTCATGGTCAGATCCTAAATTTTACCTAATTTATCAAAGGAGATATTACCTTCACCCAGTCCTTTAAAATTCATTATTTGAAGACCTAGCATTAAATAATTACACAAGCAAATATGAAGACTTAATTTAAAAGTAAACAAAAAACTCTGGAAATAAGAATAGCTGATGATCAAGAGTAGATAGGGTAAGACAAGAACAAAGTTAGATGCAAAGCTGAAAAATAAAGATGGATTACAGTTCTCTATTCAGATTATTAAAGGAGCTCTCTTATTGGCTGAGTATAAAGGAACTAGAGGCTGCTATCAAAATATTCTATTTTGTCTTTATTCTTCAGTGTAAATAGATATAACTAGCAAAATGAGAAAAAAAATGAGAGCAGCAGGTTTTTTTGTTTTGTTTTTGTTTGTTTGCTTTTTTTGACTGGAATGCAGTGATGTGATCATGGCTCATTGCAGACTCAGTCTCCCAGCCTCAAGTGATTCTCTCGCCTAAGCCTCCCAAGTAGCTGGGACTACAGGTGCACACCACCATGTCTGGCTGTATTTAACAAAGCTTTTAACACATTCACTTGATATATTAAAAATCTTAATGACTTTGGAAGAATCAGAGTGAAGATTTTGAAGCCTTTTTATATATACCATGAGTTATACAGTCAATACATTTTTGAAGGCAGAGTATCTATATCTATTATTTTTTTTAAGAACACATTGTTTTACACAATTATTTTACTTCCAGAAACCTATGCCACAGAAGACTTAACACCCTGGACAAAAAAATATATACGTATGAGGAATTTTGCATAATTGTCCATAGTGAAAATTTGGCAACAACCAAAATCTCACCCCCAAATAAATGATTAAAGAAAAATATATTTATACAGTTTATGTTGTACAGTTACACAATGGAATTAGCTAGTTCTAATGAAAATGAAAGATTTTCTTCAGAATACAGTTAGTGAAAATTGCCAGTTGGAGAACATATACAACACTACTTTTGGGGAAAAAAATATGTAGGTGTATGTAAATAGTGAAAATATCTTAGGCATGGGATTTTGGTAATCTTCATAATCTACATGTTAGGAGTGAAGTTTTGGTAATCTTATGTAGTCTACATTTGTACATTTTTGTATTATGAAGAGAAACTACAGAGAAGTTTGCATTGTCATCTCATTAATATAATTTTTAAAATTTAAAAAGGCTTCTCTGAGATTGCAAGAGGTGAGTGACTTTGCCACAGGTTTTTAGAAAAGTAGATGACTACACGCTTAACATGTTGTTGAGGTCATCTATGCATCAGCAATGGGAGGTTCAGGTATTATCTGGGGTCCTTCTAGTTCTAAGACTCTGTGATGCTGAGAGATGGGAGAGATATGAAATCTGCTGTGCTGAAATGGAAGGGCTTAGCTTACTCGTGGCACTCCAACTGCAATTTAGAATTTCTTATCTCACTCCTTCTTCCTGGACCGAATCATTCTCACTGTCCCATCATATTTTAAGGAATACCATTAGGAAGTCACTAAAGATTTCACTTTTTAAGATTTCACTTTTTCTAGCACAACTAGAAACAATGTGATGGATTTGAGTTCTTAATTTAAAAATTGTATGCTTCATATAGTTATCTAGTCCAAAAATATTTTACATTGTATGTTTATAACTAAAGTGTATCTTGTTCTCCCTCCACCTTGTGTAGTTTATCAGTAAAACCAATAAAGCCTACTGAATTAACAGACATATAATATCACTTACAATAAAAGTAAATGTACCTTTTACTTACAGTAAAACAATACAATTTTACTTACGATAAAATTGTATCACTTACAGTAAAAGTAAATTTGTAATAGGAAAACTGGAAAATAAATGCACAACAATTATTTCTAACCTGACTTGAATAATTATTTTTTGAAGGGGCAATTATCATACCATATTGACCTTTAAATATACTGACCTGATGTTTAACATATTCTAGCATGACTCTGAATTTATTTTTCACTAAATAAGATAAAAAAAATAAATTTTGTGATAATTTGGAAATCTATTTTATCTGTAAACTGAGGGGATTTTATAGATATAACTCAGTAAATCTTAAAAAGGACAAGACTGTCAGAAAAATTGGTGTTCTCAAGAAAAATTGAAAAGAACCCCCGCCTTTTGCTGACATTTGCATAGGCTTCCACTCAAAACCATACATAGGTACACACATAATTCTATTATCAGGCTCACTGCAAAATAATTCTCTTACAATACTTTCTCTGTGTACTTTATATCCATCCTTGAACCCGAATGTTGTAATTTGTGATGTGGAAATGTTCTAACAAACTGAGCATGAATTATAACAAGATCAAATACTAACCCTCTACAGCAGTACTAATGATGTGAAAGGCTTTAGCCTTTTTATATATGTATTTTTTCATTTGAGCAAATGTTATTTAGCAAGCACGGAATGATATTTTTGGTCTAGAAAATTAATAATTCATTCATGAATAATCATTAAAAGCAATTATTGAAATGTATGTCTGACTTCATAAAGCATAATACTAAAATGTGTGCTTATTTAATCTGGTGATTTTTATTTGGAGACATGCTTCCTGTACCCTCTGCATCTCTTAGTAACTTCCTCCCCTTTAGATGTTTCCCCTGTCTTCCTCCTCCTGCTTCTCCTCCCTCTCTCTCCATACATTTCTATCACAGCGAGCACATATAGTCTCTTGAATCCATATTTACTAGATTTAGTGCTGATTGCAAGGTGAATAACTAATAGCCGTAGCTGTCACTGTAATGTAACTTCTTTAGATAGAGTTTAAAAGTGATTTGTAATAGAAATATATATTTTTGGTTTATGATGGAAAACAGCTTAGAGAAAGAGCTTTTGCTTCAATTAGATTTTCTTTATTCACTTTTGATATAAGATTTGAAATATTGTCCTATACTTACTGCTAGGGAATACCATTTTATATAGATGTAGTACGTGAACATAGGTGTGCCTCCATGCTCTAAAAATGTCCCACAATAAAGTCTGAATGACCCATGACTAGAGGGTTTTTTTTTTTTTTAATGCCAAAGCACTGCTCACTGCTTTTGGAAAAGGCCCTTTATAAGGCACATGGTAGAGAGATGGAGTCTAATCAATTAATTTATTGGCATAGAGAAAATTACTTGATTAACTACCAGAAAAAATGGCCCCAATATATAGCAGTTAACACAAAATTGTATTTATTTATTTATTTTAGAAATAGATTTTGCTATGTTGCCCAGAGTGGACTGGAACTCCTGGGCTCAAGTGATCCTCTGGCCTTGGCCACCCAAGTAGTTGGGACTGTCGGCATGCCCAAATATCTTTTGGCAGCTTAAAAAATTTTGGACTCACATCTTCTACCTCTGTATGCAGTGTATTATCCTCTTTTCTGGTGTTATGTTCCCTGATAATCTGCCTTTCCACAGTTTAAATTTATTAATGGAAGATATTTACTTCTTGCCTGATGATACTAAAATATTACTCACCTTCAAATATAGCACTAATCACATGATGATGTGACACTTAGAATTGTGTTCCCACACTAAGCTTGACTTTTAGAATTTCTAGGTCTTATTTAAATTTATGCCAGGGCCTTGTGCCACATTTTCTGCGTGATAGAAACTTAGTAATTGATTGTTGAATGAACGAACAAATTGAATTCCCTTATACTGAAAATGAGAAATCAGGCATTCTTGATCAAAACCCAAAAGTCTTTATTTCACAAGTCCACAGATGGGGATTTTCACTGATGTCTCTGAAATTCATACAAGTAGACACTGAGAGTATATATACATATATATATAATAAAAATTACCAAGTTTGAGGAGTCCCTTTGAGAATGAAAGTTGTATTCTTACCTGGAAAACTGTATTTTAGTCCTCTCATTTGTGTGCTTCACATGCACTATAACATTATATTTATGCCAAGGTTGTTATATTACCACAAAGGGTGCTAGTGATTTATGGTCTATTAGAACATATCACTGCTTGAGATTAGAATTTTGATCTTATAGTAACTTAGCATGATATCTTATAATAATCTTATTTCGATGTAGATATCTCAATAAAGGGCATATGACTAAGTTTCAAAATAATAGGACATAACAATGGAAATCTTATTTTAGTATAAATACCTATTAATAACAAGTGTCTAGAATATGAATGATTAGGACAGTATATTTCAATACAATTCCACAACTAAGGTAAATTGAAAATGTAAAGACATTTTATAAGCTTGATGTCACTTTTATGAAGGAATTGTACTTTTTTTATGGCCACTTGTACTTGAGAACACAAAAATATATTTTACAGATAATTGGCAGGGACAATGACATGCATTAAAATAATCTATATTGAGTTTTACTTCCCAAATTTATGGAATGCTAAATGGAACAATTTTCAAATTAAAAGTTTACAAAACCTATTAGAGTTGTATGGGCAACTATAAAAAGAGTGGTAGACAATAAAGGAAGAAGGAAACAATTGGAGAAAGAAAAGGAAGATGATGGATACTGGGAGAATCACAAGGAGGACAGTGAAGTCTTACTAAATATGACAGTCTAGGTCACAAATACTTTTAGGACTTTTAGCAGCTCTCAAGGTAATTATAACCAGCAATCCACCCAGGTAAGTCATTTGCATCCATGGAAATTTAAAAGTAAAATCAAATAGGTTTTTGTGGTGCTATTTTCAGAAGAAACTTCTGTTGAGAGTTTGTAAATCATGAAGAAAATAATATGTTAAAAATATCAATATAATTTGTATATATACCACTCTATTAGAGAAGATGCAATAATTTCACTCAGAATATGAAAATATTTCTTAGACACATGATGGACCTGATAATTTTGGGGGTCCAATGTTATATTTTAAGCAATGTAATTTAATTTTTGCATTATTTTTTTCCTAACTTAGTTCAATAAACATTTACTGAAAACTTTCTTATATGCCAGGAAATAGGCTAGGTACCGGGGTTACTAAAATAACAAGTTGGCCTATGCAACCTAATAACTCACTTTTGTAGTGATAGAGAAATAATATAAACAGACCATAATTCTGCTAGGTGATAAAATGCTATATCAACTATGTAACTATTATTACAGGATAGCAACTGGGAAGGTTGGAAATATCATGTTAGATGAAATTACATTTAAGCTAAATCATACAGTGATGTACAGGCATGTCCTAGAGCAGGAGGATGTCACGTTAAGCAGACTCAGGGAGATGACAGTGATTGTAGAAAGGACTAACAATCATATTAGCCATACTTGTGTCTGCTAACTGTTAAAAACACAGGTATGTTTCACTGCAGGCCATCTGGCTTCAGAGCCTATGCTCTTAAGCATTATGCTGTGCTGTGTATCAGGATAATACAGAGTTCGTTCTTGGCAGGATTGAAGCCATTCGGTGTGACTGGATGATAGAGTTCATGGAATCAAGTGAAAAAATTGTTGGGACAAGATTCCAAAGGGGCTTATATGCTGTGCTGGGATATTTAGACTTTAACTTAGAGAAAATGTTAAGTCATAAAACATTTTTATGTAGGGAGCAACATAATGATGTTTATGAAATTGAAATGAGGTTTAGAAAAAAATCAAGACAAGCATCATGGTTAGGAGGCTGTTGCAATAGATTTATTGAGAGGTAAGGAAAATTGGGACTTAGACATAGTGAAAGTAACGAATTTGAGGCATTATTTTAGAAATCAATGAAAAATTGAGTCAGAAAAATATTGAGAGATCCAGTGAGAAAGACAAGAACCATGACACTAAATAACATTTTTAAGTCTTTATTAAGTCATTTCAATATATTTTATAGTATGCAACATAGAGCAGCAGGGTATAGAGTATCAGAATCTTGGGAAATGCAAAAAGGAATAAAATAAGGGTTCCTTTGATCAAAGAACAACCCAACAGTTGAGCTAGAGGACACATAGAATAAACAAAATAACACAAAAATGATCACTTATGAATGTTATTTATTGGTTTTCAAAGATAATTCTGTATTATTCACAATTATCATACTTTACATGGCTTATCTTCACTATGCCATCTAGTTTAAAAGGTTTATAAGAGCCATTCTATTTCACTTCAGGGTATCAGACATATAGGAAGAACCTGGCAGTGAGCCATAAAACCATGTTTGGCAATAGCAACTTATGGGAACAAGAATGATTTCATTTCACAAAACCTAAAGAGAGAAGCATTGTTAAAGGATAGCAGAACTTCATTAATTTCCTAATTCTTATTGCTTCAAATACACATTTTCTGTGAGGTTAAAACCTCCCATTCTCTAGATCCTGTGTATCTTCCTGTCCAGATCAACTTTCAGTTGCATTCCAGAAATGACTCATCATTCTGTAGAAATACCATATTTAACTTTCCTCTATACATACCAGGTTTTTTCCTATCTAAGAAATCTGACTTAAAATCTGCAAAGATAACACTAATCAGAGAGAGAACTGCAGTTCTATGTACTGGAAACACTGCAGTATATAGTCTTGGATATCATAGTAGAATCTGGAACTTCAAAAAGTACTATGGATCTTATCCCATTCTTGAGCAGATGCCATGATTGTAAAAGATGCTTTTCATTGAAAAGGAAAGCAAAGAATGCTAGTGATTCCCAGAGGAAAGCAGTTAAAGTCCTCAGTCATAGAGATTAATTACTGTGGATGGATTGAACATACATAGTGCAACAGCTGTAAAAACATGATTCTAGTATGAAGATTTGTTACATATATAACAATAAACATACGGTTTAAGTTGTTCCACAAAGATTTAGTCTAATAGCTGATTTGATAAAAATAAAATACTCAAAGCCAGGCATGGAGATACACACCTATAGTCTCAGCTACTCAGGAGGTTGAGGCAGGATGATCACCCAGGAGTTCAAGGCCAGCATGGGCAATATAGCAAGACCCCATCTCTTAAAGAAATAAAGAAATGAAGAGCTTTATAAGAGTATACACATTCATATATCTACATGTTTTATGTGATTTTTACAATTATGTGTAAAGTGTTACCATTTTTGATATTCATGCCACTGAAGTTTGTAAACTTACATTTTAAAATTACTATTTGATTTTCTGCATTTATTTTATTCTTATTTTATCATTAAATCTGGGATGATGTGTGTGTTTACATACTTGTAAATTTTGCTTTGTGCAGATCTATATATTTGCAGAAATTTTCAATTCTTGCAAATGATTATAAGATGATTTCACCGGAGAGAATGTGAGTTTCAGGTCCATTTGCCAATTTTCTGCCTGGACTGTTGTTTTTATACAGCTGAATCAAAGCCGAAAAAGTAAAGTGAATAGCAGATACAAAATATTAACTACATTGACTTATCCTTCATCTGCATTGAGCGAAACAAACAAATACGTAATAAATGTATGGAATTAGTTGCCATTTTATACATTTCATACTTTTTGATAGTTCAGATTACTTTTATTCCTCATATCACACTGAAAGTTCTGGAAAGAACACGATCTTTTTTTTTTTTTTTTTTTTTTTTTTTGGTTTTAAGGAATGGAGAGTTTAATAGGCAAGAAGGGGCAAGAAGGAAGGGAGAAGACAGAAGGAAGAAGCTCCCCCATACAGAGACAGAGGGAGGGGAGCACTCTAAAGCTGAAAGAGGAGGTCCCCCTTTTTTGGTTTATGTGTTTGTTCCTTTTATTTTTTTCACTTGAAAAGCAAAATAAAAATCATAGATAATTTTAGGTCAATGTATTTGTAATCATAGCTCTATTGGCGTATTTTAAAATTTATATTCACCTTTATTGAAAAACAATTGAGGATTTTTATAGGAAGACAAGCTTAGATAATACTTTTTATAAACAGTGGGATTAATGTTAGTCACAGAATCAACTAATGCTGTTTTACTGGTTAAGTTTTTTAATGTTTATTAAAATCTTCATTTATATAATTGTACTTGATTATAAGACAATAGGAATGCACAGTCTATGTGTTTCAGATTCTGAGTAGAGCAATTGTTGCATTATCAAGAAACTTAGCTTCGATTTCTCCTTGCTGACAATTCATTTGAAGGCCCATGCATAAACTTGTACAATAATATAGTATTGTAGAGCTTAGATTTTTGATACTAGATTCTATAAAACATTTAAGGCAGGCATGGTCTAGGTATTCTTAGGCAGGAATAACTAGTCATAATTACAAAATAGGAAAACATCCAAAGAATAAAAATCAAAGAAAGAGTGATAGGACATAAGTTCAGAGTGGAACCCAGAGACAAGATCATAAGATAGGTTTTATTTTAGTTTATTTTAATTTTGAGATGGAGCCTCGCTCTGTTGCCCAGGCTGGACTGCAGGGGCGTGATCTTGGCTCACTGCAAGCCCCGCCTCCCGGGTACAGGCGATTCTCCTGCCCCAGCCTCCCGAGTAGCTGGGACTACAGGCACCTGCCACCACACCAGGTTAATTTTTTGTATTTTTAGTAGACACAGGGTTTCACTGTGTTAGCCAGGATGGTCTCGTTCTCCTGATAGTTTTTATAGGTCACAGTATAAGTGTATATTCTCCTGATAGTTTTTATCGGTCACAGTATAAGTGTATATTTAATTCTAATTACAAAAGGATATAATTTTAGGGCTTCAAAGGGGTGTGTTTAATTTATTTTACACTTTAAAGAATTAAGAGTCTCTCATTTTCTTCTTAAGTAGTATAATATGAATGGTACTGGAAATAATGTGTCTATTTCATAATCTATTTTGGAGATAGAACTGGCACGACTTGTGGTTATATTGGGTTAGAAATAGGAATGACTTCTTACTCTTTGGTCTGAGCAAATGGATGGCTGATCTTGCTATTAATTAATATGGGAAAAACTGATTAAAAAGTATGTTTGGGGAGATGGAACAGTTAGTTATTCCCAACAGACATTCAAGTAGACAGAAAATCCCAGCTACTTGGGAGGCTGAGGCGAGAGAATCACTTGAACCTGGGAGGCAGAAGTTGCAGTGAGCCAAGGTCACGCCATTGCACTCCAGCCTGGGAAACAAGAGTGAAACTCCGTCTCAAGAAAAAAATAAAAATAAAAGATATAATTATCAACTTATTTTACCTAAACAGAGGAATATCACAGAATATCACATGACTATTTTAAATAGACTACATCCATTTAGGCCTAGCTGCTCCAAGAAATAAGTTGGGAGGTAATTAAAGAGATGCCAATCCAAAGATAAGTTAAAAAGAACCAAATATGGTATGCGTTTTCCAGAGCTATTTAATATTATGGTCAGGACAGGTTTTTTCCAATCTCCTAAGCAATAACAGATAAATCTTTATGATATATCTATATATACATATAGATATATACTTTATAGATATAGATATATATAGGTATAGATATATACTTTAATGAAGTTTATTTGTGAAAATATTGGAAGATCTAGAGACTTTTTAGTAGATGTCTGCAAGGAAGCACCCAAAAAAGGAATTTTAAGCCCCTTTTATGAAGGACCACTTCTAGGAAATTATAGTCAATCTTTTATTTATTTATTTTTTATTTTTTAGACAGAGTTTCACTCTCCAGGACAGGCAGGAGTACAGTGACTCAATCTTGGCTCAATGCAACCTCTGCTTCCAAGATTCAAGTGATTCTCCTGCCTCACCCTCCCAAGTAGATGGGATTACAGGCACCCACCACCACGCTCAGCTAATTTTTGTATTTTTAGTAGAGACAGGGTGCCACCACACTCAGCTAATTTTTGTATTTTTAGTAGCGACGGGGTTTTACCATGTTGCCCAGGCTGGTCTTGAACTCCTGACCTCAAGTGATCTGCCCGCCTGGAACTCCCAAAGTGCTGGTATTACAAGCGTGAGCCACCACACCTGGCCAGTTCTAATCAATCTTTATCACTTTACATAATGGCAGAGATTCAAAAGGATTCACTGTATGTATGATTATTTCTAAGTCTCTTGGTACGTAAATATCAAGCATTTAGGATTGCTATTTTATGTTCGAAATAATAATATCCCAATTTTCTGCCAAGGTCAGCATCTTGAGCTTTTCAGACCCTGGTATCATTTTGCTGGGGCAGTTTACAGACTTTCTTGACCTGAACCACCAGCTTTTGTGCAAGCATGCAGCCTGAAGCAGCCTGGAGTTACTGCTCCAGGTGGAGGAGTTCCTGGGAAGTGCCAAAGAGATCCCCAGAAGCAGGAAAGCAGTCACTTTCATGTGGGTTCAGGGTAGGAGTTTGCAAATCCCAAAAGACAAGGGATGGGCTCCCACCCAGTCTGAGGATTAAGGGCCAGATGCCAAGGATGGAAGGATAGAGGAGATAGCAACAGCAGCAGCATCCCAGAAAAGAAGGAGAGGTGGGAAAAAGGGCCAGTGCCAGAACACCCACAGAGGAAAGGAATCAAGAAATGGCAAAGCTACTGAAGGGGCAGGCACAGATTTTTCAAGACTGGGTGATGAGAAAATCTAGAGATGGTAGTGGGGCTTGTGAGAACACAGGCAGGCCTAGTGGTCTTGGCCCCTTGCTACTGCCAGCAGGACTGGACCTTCTGGCTTCTCTCTCAATGCTTCTAACAGAGGCTCACTCTGGATCCTACCTCCAAGCCCTCTCTATGAAGCAGAGGGTCAAGAAAAAGGAGGAAAGAAAAGATAATTGAATGATGAATCCTCTCAATTTTTCCACTGAATACACAGAAACCTATGAATGTTAGACCCCTATAGGTTCATATATTGAGTTAGGATGTCATATCCCACTGTGTCTGGAATTTTTTCCTTCCGGTGGGTTCTTGGTCTTGCTGACTTCAAGAATGAAGCCACGGACCTTCACAGTGAGCGTTACAGCTCTTAAAGATGGTGTGTCTGGAGTTTGTTACTTCAGATGTTCAGATGTGTCTGGAGTTTCTTCCTTCTGGTGGGTTCCTGGTCTCACTGACTTCAGGAGTGAAGCTGCAGATCCTCACAGTGAGTGTTACAGCTCTTAAAGGTGGCACGTCTGGAGTAGTTTGTTCCTCCCAGTGGGTTCTTAGTTTCGCTGACTTCAGGAATGAAGCCGCAGACCCCTGTGGTAAGTGTTACAGCTCATAAAGGTAGTGCGGACACAAAAAGTGAGCAATAGCAAGATTTATTGTGAAGAGCAGAAGAACAAAGCTTCCACAGCATGGAAGGGGACCTGAGTGGGTTGCTGCTTCTGGCTGGGGTGGCCAGCTTTTATTCCCTTATTTGTCCCTGCTCATGTCCTGCTGATTGGTCCATTTTACAGAGTGCTGATTGGTCCATTTTACAGAGAGCTGATTGGTTCGTTTTACAGATTGCTGATTGGTGCATTTACAAACCTTTAGCTAGACACAGAGCACTGATTGGTGCGTTTTTGCAGAGTGCTGATTGGTGTGTTTACAATCCTTTAGCTAGACACAGAGTGCTGATTGGGGTGTTTTTACAGAGTGCTGATTTGTGCATTTACAATCCTTTAGCTAGACACAGAGTGCTGATTGGTGCGTTTTTACAGAGTGATGATTGGTGCATTTACAATCCTTTAGCTAGACAGAGTGCTGAATGGTGCATTTACAATCCTTTAGCTAGACGCAGAGTGCTGATTGGTGCATTTTTAAAGAGTGCTGATTGGTGCATTTACAATCCTTTAGTTAGACACAGAGCGCTGATTGGTGCATTTACGATCCTATAGCTAGACAGAAAAGTTCTCGAAGTCCCCACTCGACCCAGGAAGTCCAACTGGCTTCACCTCTCACTATTTTTCTTCAGCACAATTCCTTTTATGGTATTATCTTACTCACACTTTATTTTTAGATAGAACCATATTAAATTCCCTTTTTTCTAAGTAAAATAATGATCTGATATATCAGTTTTATGCAGTTCATTCCATTTTAAATTCTTTGAGCAAAGTATCTTTACTATATATTTAGAAGTCTTCTTCACCTATTCTAAAAGTTCCTTTTTTATTTCACAAAAATATAGCCAAGAAAATAGTTTTAATCAGTGATTGCAATGACAAGAGTTTCAATTATGCAGTGTTGTCTCCATGAATTAATCTAGTGAGTTTTGACTTATGAACATATTCTGTAGAAGTTATGTTTGAACAGGAATCTCTGGAAAATTGCCTTTTCTCATCTAAGACAATGCTTGAAAAAAATTGAGAACAAAGCATATATTCTCTACTGAATTAAAAATATAGTGTAAAAACTCTTATTTTCTGCTGATAAGAAACAGATGTTATAGCATTAATTTGGCTTTAACAAACTATTAGCTGTGATTTTATCATCATACAATTATTGTAAACTTGTTATTGTTTTTATCCCTTTAGCCGATAAATATGTTAAAAATTAAAATGGAAAATTTGAGTTCTAGCTTGAAAATAAACACTTGCTAGATCTAATGATTATTCTACATGTCATGCAATCAGAATCTTGAATGAGATTTTTAAGAGAGATATGGCACTACCTTTTATCTGTGTCTTTAAATATTTTAGTAACAGCAAGGTTAAATAAAATTTTTGAATAAATATGTTTTATATTAACTTGGATACAACTTTAAAGAATTTAAAATGCTGAATATAGAAAAAGAAAAGAAATTGTCCTTTATTTCACATGACTTTACCCATTTATGCTTTAAAATTTTTTAAAAGATCATTTGCTGGCTTTAATAGTAGTGAAAAAATTAGCATTTCATTTTATAACCCCATTGGTCAGCATTCCAAATCCTCTGTTTTAGTTTTTTCATTTCCTTGCTGTTTGCTGATCACACACATTCATTTCATCCACTGAGTTGTTTGTTTAGTTGTAGCTTCCTTGTTGTTCCAAGCCTCAAATCCCACCCATTCTAGAGTAATACATTTTCTGTAATTTTTTAATGAGTATTTTTATTCTTAAAGATAACCCAAGACTTCGTGTGTGAACATATTGTGCATGTATCACCTGTGAGAGATGAAGAAAATTATAAAAACAATTCATTGTTAGTCTTTAGCCAATATTTATAGGTTTTTCTTTATATTGTTAATGGCAATATTCAAATTGTGTTTGGGTTCCATCAATATTGTTTTTGGGCTGGGTGTAGTGACTCGTGTCTGTAATCCTAGCACTTCGAGAGGCTGAAGTGGGAGGATGACGGATGACTTGAGCTCAGGAGTTTGAGACTAGCCTAGGCAACACAGCCAAACCTCTTCTCTGCTAAAAGTAAAAAAAAAAAAAAAAAAACAAAAAAAAAACAAAAAAAAAAACACGCCTGGACTGATGGCATGAATTTGTGGTCCCAGCAACTCATCAGGCTGAGGTAGAGTGCTTGAGCCCAGAAGGTGGAGGCTGCAGTGAGCCATAATCACACCACTGCACTCCAGCCTGGGTGACAGAGTGAGACTCTGTCTCAAAAAAAAAAAAAACTACTTTTTTTTAATATATATATATATATATATATATATATATAAAATATATATATAAATATATATAATGTATTTATATATTTTATAATATATAAATATATTATATTTATATATATATAAATATATAAATATATTATATTTATATATATATAAATATATAAATATATAATATATTATATTATATAATATATTTAAATATATTTATATATTTATATATATATAAAATATATATAATGTAATATATTGTCTTTGTTTTTTCCTAATTCTTTTTGAGTTGTATTTTTTATTTCAGAGAAATAAAATTAATGATTTATTTTCATGCCAAATTATTCTCTAATGGTTATTATAGAGCCTAACACCATGGTAGTATTATAACATGCTAGTGTTAATGTAGGAGTGAATATTCCTATTTTTAATATTTAAATAAAACATTGCATAAGTATTTCCTAAGGTTTGGGAAATCATCTTTCTGTCAGTAACATAGCACTAAGTATTTATATGGCAAAAATTAAAATTTACTATATTTACTGTCAATAAACTTTAATTGTACTAGCAAGAGAGCAGAAATGCAGAACATTACAGACTTATAATGTGTGAATCACTTGCAAGCTAAGAGGCCTAGGTAATTATTTGTCTTAAATGAGTAGTGTACAATAAAACCCAGGGACAATGATAATTGAGGTGACTTCATCCTGCTTCAACTCTGTTATCACATAAAAGGAGCAATCTGTTTTTAATCTAAAATTTGACATGAGTAAACTTGTTTTATTAGTTCCTTGGTGCTTGCTAAAACAAAGAAAGCAGCAATTTAAGAGTTAGGCTTATAAAAGTCTTTTGAAGACTCTGTAGCTAGGACTTAATCAGAATAATGTTGAAAGTTAGAAAATAATTGGAGTAACTTAAAAGCACAAACAAGTCAAATTACAAAGAGTGAAAGGCAAATCTTGTTTCTCTATGTCCAGTATCATACAATCATGGTATACTTTACTTAGTAATGAAAGAGCTCTTCTAAGAAGTTTGCGACTTACAATAGCAGTTGGCTTGTGACTTTTCTCACATAGACTTCCAGAATTAAATTGATTTTGACAAATATTTAAAATGAATGACAAGAGATGTTTTGGCGTATAATAACCACCATTTATGTTTTTAAACAATTACAGAAACTTGTAAGATAAATTTAATGATTGCATTAACAATTTTTCTTTGTTTTACCATTGCCAATACGTTTGTAATGAATCACTTATTTGTGGTTTTTCTACCAGAAATAGGAAAAGAAGTTAATGGAAAACATTTACATTTCTTTTTCATTGCTGCTAATCATTTCTGCTTATTGGACATTGAAGAAGTGTGTCTTACAGAACTGATTACTTCTGGGTATATAACCTACTAATTATATGTGTGCTTTGCATTATTCTTGCCTTCAGCTTTCATATCCAATATGAGATAATGAGCAGATTGCTTTAATTCCAAAGCAATCACAGAGTCACCACCCCCAAAATATTTCTACAATAAAACGAGGGAATTGTTTCACTACAAAGTCAGGATTCATTTTGTATTATTTCTTACAGAGGAAGACATAGCTCCATAACTCTGGAGTGAACTTAAAATTAACTTTTAGGAATTTTAATATTAAACTTTATTAAACATAACACATCTTTTAAAGAATAGTCATTTACCTGAATGATTTTACTATCTAAGCTTATAAAATACAAAATAGGTATATTACAGTATTCATGAAATTCAGCCTAAAAAATGTGAATCCAAATATTTTTCTAATTTGACAAAGGTTAGATAATTTATGTGAACCAGATAGGGATGTGATAACATGATAATCAAGTTATAAGTTAGGGTTGCCATATATTTGTGAACTGCCTTTATCTAAAGACTTTTTCTAGAGAAAGAGATTTTAAGGGAATGCATGAGGAATTGGATAACAGTGACTCTTCATTTAGATTTCATTGATTGCTGAATAACTAAGTTCATTTACAGTTTTGATTGCTAAAATTGAATTAATTTTAGTAATATGTCTGGGAAGGCTGCAGAGGCAGAGGACAATATTATCAAGTTACATTAAAAGATACATTGCCGGCCAAGCACAGTGGCTCATGCCTGTAATCCCAGCACTTTGTGAGGCTGAGGCAGGTGAATCACCTGAGGTCAGGAGTTCAAGACCAGTCTGGCCAACATGGTGAAACCCTGTCTCTATTAAAAATACAAAAATTAGCCTGGTGTGGTGGTGCATGCCTGTAATCCCAGCTACTCGGGAGGCTAAGGCAGGAGAATCGCTTGAACGGGGAGTTGGAAGTTGCAGTGAGCGGAGATCGCACCACTGCACTCCAGCCCAGGCGACAGAGCAAGACTCCATCTCAAAAAAAATGAATAAATAATTAAAAGATACATTGCCTTTTGGAGTAGAACCACCATACAACATGCCAGATTGTTAATGGAAAGTATATTTCTATGTTACAGCTAACATCTGTCTCAAAATTTTATTTCTTATTTACAACTAGGTTTTTGTTATAGCTAACAGAGAAACGCTAGCCAAGGATTTTATTGCTGGCCAAAATAAAAAAAAAATGGCTTTTTGTGAGCCATGATTTTATTAACTCTGTTCCCAGTTTTAGTTAGTTACATTCCTTATTTAACTCAATAGAGAATTTTGGTAAGCTAGTACAAAATGGTCTAAATCAAACCATGCTGAGGACTTTATTTTGATTAGTCTTCAAACATTTGTTTTGACTTTTCATAAGCTTTAAATTTCAGATTTAGGGAAGTTAATTTACTGAATATACTTTTATATGTCAAAAACATTGGAGGATCAAAGCAATTAACTTTGGTTATGGAACTGTCTACGGGACTGTAAGGGTACTGTGCAGTCTTCCAATCAGCTCATTGCTTTTTCTCACTATGTGCATCAGCCAAGTCATCTTTATGCAGGCCTTTTGAAACCTCCATCTCTTGGTCTCAGTATCACTGTGCACTCTGTCTCCTTGTCTCCATCTCTTTCTTCACCTCTTCCACACTCTCTTTCTTCTCACCTCCTTCAGTCTTATTTCCCTAAGACGTTATGTGTGTGAACATAACTGCAGCTTTGTCTATGAGTAAATAAATGTGTGTGTTACATCGAGAAACATATGCATGCTTTCAAATTACAGAATTAGAAGCACGCTTACATTCATCGTGCCATCTATTAATAATAACTTCTCAGATCCTGGAGGTACTCACCATTTTCCTCATACAGATGACAGAGGATTTATTGTTGTGAGATCCTTACCCGTGTGCTTCACTCTTACTATAATAAATACATGCATTTCCCAATAGCGGAGAATTCAGTACTTTCAAATTACCTTTTCTCAAACAATCATCTTGCCTCTTGAGCTACTTGTCGTAATGTGTAAAACATTAACCTATAATCTCATGTATACCTTTGTAATAGACTTTACCTGAATGAAACAGTTTCAGGTAGGTAAATTGTATTCAAATTTGGCAAATAATTTATTTGAAAGGATGCTTTTAACATTTCCCAGAATATGCTGAGGCTTATCCAATTGTCATTTGTTTTTATTCCAAATTAGATTTTCTGTTATTCCTTTTATTCTTTTGTATTTTTATGTTTTGATTAAAATTCAGAAACCATGCTGAAGAAAAGCTGGAGGAGACAAAAAAAAAAGTAATTTTCAAGTTATTTGAGCAAGAGGCAATGCCGTTTAAAATGTATTATAGTTCAGTTGCTCTTCCAGTTTGCTGTGAGGATTTTTTAGGGTGAAGGGACTTTTAGGAGCAGAATTTCAGGATATATACATAGGTTAAAAGGGTTTCTTATAGCAACACTTATTGGACTTAACAGATTTTATGAACTAGAAATTTTTTCTTTTAATTGGAGGAATTTAAGTGTGACTGCCAACTATTTTGCAAAGGAAGGACATTTAAAATATCAGTTGCAAAAACTATCGTTATTCTTTTATTAAAGAAACAATACCTAAGACACACAAACACACACACACACACAAACACACACAGAGATATACACAGAGTCAGAGGAACAAAAACTCAGAATAAAATGTAGGACTTCCTAGCAATGTTACCTGACAACCATATGCCAGAATATTTTCAAGATATACATTTTAACAACCTGAAAGCTGAAATATTATAACATACAATTATATTACATATAATAACTTTTTAAATAATTTTGTCTAAAGTTCTAAATTCGAGATAGTAAATCTGAGATTTACTAAAGATCTAAATCTGTTGATTGTACAACACCAAAAGTACTCCTACATTATTTCTTCTACTTTGTTTTCTATCATATTGTTGAAAATCTAGTTTCATATGTTCATAAACATTGAAACAGCTATATTAATAATAGTTGTATCAAATTTAAATATTCTGGAAGAAATGAGATAAGCCATGGAAATATAGCCTTACTGTCTCCAGAAGTCTGCTTTCTTTCCTCCAGACTAGAAAGAAATTACAAGACTAGGCTGGGCGCAGTGGCTCACGCCTGTAATCCCTGCACTTTGGAAGGCCGAGGCGGGCGGATCACGAGGCCAGGAGATCGAGACCATCCTGGCTAACACGGTGAAACCCCGTCTCTACTGAAAATAAAAAAAAAATTAGCCGGGCGTGGTGGCGGGTGCCTGTAGTCCCAGCTACTCGGGAGGCTGAGGCAGGAGAATGGCGTGAACCCGGGAGGCAGAGCTTGCAGTGAGCCGAGATTGTGCCACTGCACTCCAGCCTGGGCGACAGAGCGAGACTCCATCTCAGATAAATAAATAAATAAATAAATAAATAAATAAATAGAAATTACAAGACTAGCTAGGGCTGAGAAAAGTGACTTAATGAAGAACATTCCCCAGACTTCACAGCTCTGGGCTGTAATTGCCTAATTGAAATCAGAAAGGGCATTATCTGAGGATTAAGTAACCTATGAGGACTTCCTAGACTGACACCAGACTTCCAGTCATTGGGAATTATGTTTCCATAGTAATTTTTAAACCAAGGTTAAAACTGAAATATTTTTCATTATATTGTTCTTAGGTAGGCAATTTGTGGTATAATATTTAAGAAGTATAAATGCAATTTTGTTACATGGGTACACTGTGTAGTGGTTAATTCTTAGCTTTTAGTGTACCCGTCACCCAAATAAGGTACGTTGTACCCATGAAGTAGTTTTTCATTCTGACTTTGTATCCTGAGATTTTCTAAATTCACCTATTAATTTTAATCATTCATCTGTAGAATCTTTTTTATTTTTCTACATACATAAGTATCTTATCTGCAAATTATAATAGTTTCACTTCTTCCTTTTTAATCTTTACACCCTTTATTTCTTTTCCTTTCCCAATTTCCCTGGCTAGGAAAATAAACTTAAAGATTGCAAAGGCCCAAGGACAAACAGAATATTCTTGAAGAAAAAGATCAAATTTGGGGGACTAAAACTACTGGATATTAAGACTCATCATAAAGCTACAGTACACAGTATGCCTATTATTGGTAAAAGGGCAGAGAAATAGACAAAGTAATATAATTCTCACATAGAGGGAGTCTTTATGAAAGAATTGGTATTGGAGGAGAAAAGTGGATGAAGGCCAGTGTTTTTAATAAATGTTGTTGGAATAATGAGATATCTATGTAGAAATTGTCTTGATTCAAATCTCACACCATAGACAAAAATCAATTACTGGTAGATTGTGGATGTAAATGTTAAAGGTAAAAAACTTTTAGAGGAAAACGAGAATATTTTTATTACCTTGAGGACACACATACACATGTATACATACCAATCCACTAATTATGAAGCAAAAGATTGATAAATCTTATACTAAAATTAGAACTTCATTCATCAAAGGGCATAATTTTAAGAGTGACAAGAAAAGTCATTTAGTGGGAGACTTTTCAAATGTTTATAACTGGCAAAGACTTATATCCAAAATATAAAAAGGAATTCTACAATTCCTTAAGGCAAAGACAGGTAACTCAATAAAAAATGTGCAAAATCTTGAAGGAGCACTCTCCAACAGAAGATATCCAAAGACCCACTGTATACATGAAAAGCTTCCCAACATAATTACTAATCAGAAAAAAAAGCAAATTAAAGTAAGAGTGTAGTACCCTCATGTGCCCACCAGACTGGCTTAAAGTAACGAATGTTGTTGAGTACATGGAGGAATGGGAACTCATATACACTATAGGTGGGAGTTTAAATTGGTACATCCACTTTGGGAAACTGCGTAGCAATAGCGGCTAAAGGTATAATATGCCTACCATGTGATCTAGAAACTTAGAATTCACTTTTATGTTTATATTCAAAAGAAATTTACACATATACACATACACACACATATACAAATGCACACACACACACTTCAAAGGACAAGCTTAAGAATATTCATGGTAGCATTATTGGTGCTAACAACCTAAATTTCAATCAGTAGTAGGCTGAGATGATTAATTTTGTTATAGGCACACATAGAATACTATACAGTCGTGAAAGTGGATGGAATACTGTCTTTTGTACAACACGGGTTGAATCTTACAAAGATAATGTTGAGTGAAAGAGAATAGAGATGAAAGCATACCAACTCTGTCATTTCATTTATATAGTTTATTTACAATTAGGTAAAACTAATATGTGCTTCAAGAAGTCATGATGGCATTGCCTGTTGAAAGGTGAGGATGTAGCAATTGTGAAGGGACACAAAAGGAACTCAGCACTGACTGTGTTTTATATCTTGAACAGGGTGGTGACTACACGAGTGTTTTGCCCTTTTTAAAAAAATGTGAAAATTGATGAACATATTTCTGATTTCATCATTTTTCCATGTATGGCACACTTCAATATAATATTTAACAATTAAATATCCAAACTACACATATGATAATATGAGAATTAACACAAAGTTTATTTTTCCTGCTCAAATAATGAGGCCTTCTAACTATGGACTCCTTGATTTTGTAGATGATAAAACTATCCTAATAATCATCTCTATATTTTCTGAAAAGAGATTTGTAATTTCATAAAATATAGGTCTAGGTCTAATTTTTACTGTTGTTACACAATTTATATTCTCAAGCAACAATTTGAGAAAATTCAAACACCGTAACATTGTTCCTTTGGGTGGATAAGATCTACTGTTTTCCTTGGAGGTAAATGTTCAAATGGTCCAAATGGGTTAAAAGGTTCATATTGTTAAGAATGAGAAAATATCTGTTGTTTGAATAAAGAATTAAAGCCCCTTTTCTGAACACACATAACCAATCTCACAGTGGCATCTGGTGATGACTCCTTTTTAAGTCATTATAACTAATGTATTGCTTTTTATTGAGTCATTGTTGTCCTCCTTTGTACATGTTGACAAATTGTGGTAAAATGTAACTAATTGGATTATTGTCTATCATAATCACAATAGTGTAAAGTCCTAAATAGAAAAAAACACATATATTTCTGATAATTGCAGGGGAGTTTTTGTTGTGTATGCTTTGGAATAAGGTAAGAGGAATCATTTGGGAATGCTTGTTTCTGCTTAGCAGTCAATAACTAATTTTGTATAAAGGCAGTACCTCAGACCACTGCCTCCATATCACTCAAGAGTGTGTAGTTCTTTTTGAAAGGAAAGAGGCTAATGATCTCCAGGACTGGGTCATCAAGAACTAATTAGTGTGCCTAACAGAGTAATGGTCTGAATCTGCCAGAGGTTATCAACAGAGTTTGAACAGCCATGGGAGTAATAATTTTTAATGCAAGTCATACAAGTAGACCAAAGAGGTTTTCAGAACCATATGACTGAAGTTGTCACCTTGGAATAAACGTTTTGACCTAAAATGCATAGAGAATGGATTCCCAGTTAAAAGAAAGGCAACATAGACTGCTCACTCTGGACCTATTCACTCATTGATGTACTATAGGTAAGTGAAGAAAAAAAAAGAGCAAGATCTGTTGATGATTCAGTCTCTTTCACACAATTATGCAAGAATCTGATCTCTATTTCCAGCCTAAAACCATATAAGCATTGGGAAGCTCTGTGAAATCTCAGAGACTGTTCTACTTAATATTATTCTTTATGCCCCCTTCAGAAGCAAGACCTGTGTTTCCCCAAGCACAGAAAGGGATGACAGCAAAAGGGAAGCACAAATCGACAGAACTAGATCCAGTAGTAGGCTGTGATGACAAGACTATTAGACCAACAACAGTCACATGAAAAATTTAGGAAGTTAAGATAGTATGCCAGAGGTGATGATATCTATTATTTATTTTCTAATAGAGCATACCTGTAAATTCTAGCTGCCAGTAATAGCTCCAGAGAAAGGATCTTGCAACTCACTTCTTGTTTAGGTAGTATTGAGCTGAGAAAAGCTGAATCTTTTGCAGCAAGTAGTAGGAGCCCAAAGGACAAACATGAAACATCTTCTTTTCCCACATATTTAGACAAACTAAATAAATGTAGGCCATTAGGAAAAAAAAAAGTTTTGTGTATCTATTGAAGAGTGGATAGACAGCTTAGTGATGGCAACGGCAAAAAAAAAAAAAAAGTTGGCCATTGTACCATGTACAGTAAGTCCTCACTTAGTGTAGTTTTTGTTCTCATCAACATTATAGGGGAATGATGTTGAACAAAACAATGTAATTTGAGGACCTGCTGTATGTCATTTCACTTAAAAGTCACAGTTTCCAAGAACCAATTGATGATACTGCATAAGGACCTACTTTACTGCAGTAGACTAAAATAATACTTACCAAACCCTTCTCCCAAATAAAATGATGTCCAAGATTTTATATAGGGTAGTGTTTTCTAGCTTAAGGCCAGTGTCAGTGCCGATTCAGCATACTATCAATCATCTTTTTCTATATTAAAATGTACTAATACTGGCCCCAAGTCATTTTTTTAAAAAGATTTAAATGTTTTCCTCATTTTTAATTTTACTGAAGTCAGAGAGCTTTTCCATGGCTTCAACATGGGGCAATGTATGGAAAATAGTGTTTTTGGATGATTAATCTGCAAGTAATAAATGAATTAAAATTTGAAGATATTGGAAGCATTCAAAGCCCAAAAGAGACTGACATAGAATGATAAGAGCCTGGACTAGAGTAGAAGAACTGTAAACTGAATGAAAGTTACAGATAATGACAATAGTGATATAAATTCATGTTGAAGCTTGTTAATATTTTTATTGTTTTCTGTGACTATTTCACAAGATGTCTCTATAGAAGAAAATATCAGTAAAGGTCTTATTGGGCTTAATAAAAGCACTCATCAAGGTAGATATTCAGACTGTTTAATAAAGTAAAATGTAGAATATTTAGCCTTTGCTCATATCTCTTTAGCTTTTGATTAAAAAAATTCTTGAGAAACTCTTCTCAAGAAATTTGTCTTGAAATTTCTGTATTCTAAGAATTCAATGCATATATCTCTTATTTGCTTTTTCACTATTCTCTTATCACAATAGGATCAAACACCTTTTGAAGGCAAGGGCTATTTTATGGGATATAAATATTATCCCAAAATATACCACGTGATCCTTATAACAATGATTATTTTTTGATGATGCACAAGGTTATGTTTTACAGCAAATATGCTCTTCAACTTACATATGTTTGTTACCATATTTTAGAACTTGTGCTACATCCCCATTATCTAAACATGAGCAAGAAGCCAGCGCTTTTAGTTTAGCGAAGAGGGAAACTCTAGTGTATTAAAGATAATTGGGCCACAACATTTTGACCCAGAGATGCTTTGCTTCTGATATTTTGACCTAGTTATATTTTAAAATTATTTTCTGGATTGAATTGGATTAAGCCAATTTAATTTCTTGACCTATTTTTGACATATAATTTTTCCATTTTGATTTTTTCTTTTGAATTTATTTTCATTAAATAAATTATATTTCTTGCAGACCTTAACACCATGAACTGAATCATTAGTTCATATTACGTAATGGGTTATTTCACTTGTGAATTTTCTTTTGCAGTTTCTTCTATGGAGTTCCATTTTGTTCAGTCAAATTTTGTACATCATTTTCAATTTTTATTCAAAACAAAAAGTGTTGTATACTACTTTATCTGTTGTTAGTTTTATTGCAGGCTGGTTAGTTCTAAAGGTAATAATTTATTTTCAATATGAGTATCTGAGACAATTTAAGATCAGCTGCAGATTATCAGTTGTATTGACTATCAGGCAGAGCAGAGTCAAAACAACTTTGAGTCAAATTGCAAGGTCCAAATGTGCTGCCTTAAACCTGATACATATAATTGTGTACACATCAGAATCTAAACTCTTCAGTGTCTTAATATAATTGATATTATTACTTAGTTTTAGATTATCTTTCAGTTCTAATAAAAAGAAAAATAATTTTAGATAGTGCTGTCTTACCTGTCTGTAGATAATATTGAATTCTTGATGACTAAGCCATGATCTGGCCCCTAACAGCCTCATCTGCCACTCTGACCCTACATGTCAAATACCTACCAGCCATATGAATTAATACTGTTCTCCAAACACCTTGCTCCTTCTAATCATACATGACAGCTCCCCCAGCTGAAATGAATATTTCCACCATCTCTGTCAATTGTTAACTTATCAATATCTTCTCTAGTTATCCCAACTAGGCATCTGTTCTGGCTTCTGAATGCCTGTAGAAAGCTGTACCCTGTTGTTTAATATACTTCTAAATATCTGAGATCATATCTAATTACCTTTGTTCTCTGCTTGACTGTATGTTGTTTGAGAGAGTAAACCCTATATATGTATACATATATATATTCAACACAAGTTGAAAAATTATTCAACATATATATACACTACATATATGTTGAATATGTATATGAATATGTATATGAATAAAAGGCATATATACTGCTTCTTAGAGAATAAGAGAACAGTAACTTAAAGTGGAAGAACTCAAAGACTAAACTCAACATATAATACAATTTAAGCACCAACCCAGACAAAGCATTGCATTTTGGGGAATTCTCACTGGATTATTGCTAATATTACAATACACTGCTTACTACCATAGCTTAAATGGAAACAAAATGTAATTAAGAACTGGTAACTTTCAGTGAATAAATATATGGTTCTATGCAAACAGCGATGGAAGCATAGAAGGTTGGATGGAAGATAGAAATGTTAAAAAGCATCAGTGTGATAATTGCAGGCAGCGTCTTGAAAACAGTTTGGTCAATTCTGTATATATTTTTAAACAGCCTAGCAAGAGATTAAAAGCTGAGATTCATGGAGAAACCCTTATTTGAATAATTTGTGGTTTTATCCTATAGTCATTATTAAAACCAAACATGCTATTTGTGCATAAAATGTGCTATTCTCCACCTCATTTGCATTTTGCTGGGCAGTAAGATATACTTTTGGTTCTACTCTTTGGAATGCCAATATAGAAAGATGATCTTAATAAAAATGCCATTCAGTGGCTATGTATGGTTTTATCTTTATAAATGAGATGTTAGTAATTTTTCACATTAATAGTAAAAAGAAAAACCAAATATTGCCTTAAAAGAAAGAAAAATAATGAGTAGGCTTCTCTACATCTTCAAACAATAGTAAGAAGTACATTTAAATATGTCTATAAAGGATCTGGGCATAGTTGGAAATCTAAGAGTTAGCACCATATACCTATTTTAAAGGAATCTTGCTCAAGATAGATATCAACTTTAATAATTAAACATTGCACAGAAAAAATAATTATGTGTTATTACTATAATAATTGGGTACTACTGTTTCATTGAAATTGCTTTAATTAATTGTAATATAGAAGTAGGAATTATATTTCAAACTTCAAATCATATACAATAAAAGTACAAATTAATCTGTAGTACTTTATAAATATGGTAACCATGCACAAGCTTTCTTAGAATACTCCCATCTGTTTTTCTAGTATTAGTTATTAATGTATATTTCCACTATCAAAATCATCTCAGATTGGGTGATAAATAATATATGCATACTATTTATAAAGCAGAACTATCTAGTCATAATACTTTTTCATGTTGATATCTATCAGGAAAATATGTCTTCCATATTTCTGCATAGGAAAAAAACACTGTACTTATTGGTTTATTGGTTACATACACACCATTCATAGTTTTCCACAGTCTAAGAATTAGCAGGGATTTAAAAAATAGTTGAATGTGAAAATCATTAGGTTTTGCATAAAATTTGAACCATTACCTGCTGAGAAAGTCATTTTGTATGTAGTTTGCTCAATGACATACCAATCACTTTGGAAATAAATTTATGTACCATGAAGAATAAGGAGTGACAAATGTCAAGCTCAGCTGAGCATCTGCTAGTTGCATACCAGCTGATAAACTACTGTTTTATTTTGATATATTCTATTTGTTATTCATGCATTACACTCCACCACCCCTCATATTTGAAATCTCTAGAAAGAGGTCCAAGAATATGCTATACTGTGTTGGGTGACTTCCAGGTGCCTAATCTCTAGTCTATTGGATTCTTCCCTGCATAGTACTTTTTGTGGCAGGATTGGCCACAAAGACCAATATGGTTTTGTAGTATTATAAGACTGACATCTTTGAATAGGTTCAAGATTGTTCTCCCTTCAGTTTATCCATAAACAGAACAATTATACATGAGGATACACATTAATAGATATTGCTTCCCAATTCCTAAAGAGGCAGTCCCTAAGTCAGGTGGTCAGTGCAGCCTTGAGAGACCTGAGAAACATACAAGCCCAGAAAGCAATGGACTTGTGTCATTTTACTCCATTAGGCTAGACTAGAAGACAGGCCATGATTCCAGGTTCAATTGCAATTTCCATATAAAGAAGTCTTATCACACCATATTACTTGCAAGTTTTTTGTTTTGTTTTGTTTTTATTTCTTTCTGTGTCATACAGGCTATGCTGTGTCTGGATGTGGCCTATCCCACAGATGACACAAGGTGGTACAAACTTTATACCCAGAAATGGACCCACTTTAGCTAGGGGCTGTGTTTCTAAATATTCTACTTGTTGAGCCAATATCAGGTAGATAATATTTTAAACTGTATGCTTCAAAATAACTTGGGACAAACAGGCCTAGATAGGAAATTAAATAGAGGATACAGAATGAATTTGGAAGGCAGAATTAGTCTGGAGAATTAGGAACATGGGGTCTTAAGCCAGACGGCCTGGGTTTGAAGCCCCGCTCTGTCTCTCTTACTTTTAGTATGGCCTTGCTCAAGGTATATAACTTTTCTACTTCTTAGTTTTCTTATCTGCAACAAGAGTAATTACTATAACCACATATATCAAAGTTAGACAAAAACGGCCTAGATGAGAAATTGTATAATACACACAATGGCATCACGCTATTATGAAAATTTAATCAGTTAGTGCATATTAAACCTGGCACAAAGGAAAGCCTCAATAATTGCACTACTGGTAATAGAAGTGATGGCTGTAGCCGGGTGTACAATCTTTTGGCTTCCCAGGGCCACATTAGAAGAATTATCTTGGGCCATACATAAAATACACTAACACTAACCATAGCTGACGAGCCAAAAAAATTGCAAAAAAAAATCATAATGTTTTAAGAAAGTTTACAAATTTGTTTTGGGCCACATTCAAAGCTGTTCTGGGCCACATGTGGCCTGTGGACTGCAGGTTGGACAAGCTTGCTGTATAGTATCTTTGCCTGTGGCCATTGTCTAGCCTTTATAGATAACTTACAGTCAGTTGTGCATTGGGCCATTTGAAACCTTAAATCTTCTTGCAAATCCTTATTGTAACTTCATGTGGGCTCAGTTGGCAGCATAATGAGTGGCAAATGAATTAATTATGTATGATAGATTTTAACATTATTGTAGTAACTACTTGTTGGTTATTGTAACCGCTTGTTGACTGAATATAGGACTATGATAATTCACTGCTCAATTGTTTCTGTTTTCATCTAATGTGGAAACATTGGAATTGAAAAGTGAAATTTAATTATTTTTTATTTGCACAAACTCATTTTAGGAGGAAACAGGGAAAACTGACTCCCTGCATAATTGGGCCACTTACTAATTTTACAAAGAATCCATTAAATGTTAAGCACAGCTCAAGATGTTAGTGTGTCTGCATTTATGGACCAAGTTTCTCTTACTCTGAGGATGGCATTTGTCAGAGGAAATCCTTGAACTTCCTCCACTGCTTCACTTAACTTCCATATGTCTTACAAAACTCCAACCACCATGTTATAGCTAGGGTATAGACTTAAAAGAAGCACTCAACTGTTTCAAATCATGCTGTGCTGGACAGCTCTTTATTTCAAAGCTATTGTTACAGTTGAATGCTATTAGATGTGAAATAGGGAACTGGAGAAATATAACTAAGATGGATTTTTTTAAACTTTTCAGGGTTCTGTGCTTGCATGAAGAAATCAGCATTGCCTTCAGACTTTGCAAATGCCGAATTAGGGAAAAATAGACTATTATTTTCAAGTTCAAATTGTTGACATTTTTTACTCAATTGAGGAGGTGTGTAGGAGGATATACATTTGACATTTAAAGTAGGATAATGATCCTGCAGCCACTGTTTGAAAGTGTAACTTTAGAATTCCAGGTGGTCAAATTATCTGGTCATTTATAAAACAAGATTTCAGGAAGAGACTGGTTTGAACTTTTTCCACTGAAATAAGAGGAATATTTCTCCAGCTCATTTTTCATAGCGCTCTCTTTTTAATATTTAAGCTGAGAGGACATTAGCCTAGGGATCAGATGGTTTACAGAGTGGAAAAATATTGCTTTATAATAAAAGGAGGATATTGAATAAAGCCCAGATTTAATACCCAGCCTAACAGAACACCCTGATGAATGTAATTGCATTTTAAGCATTCTGATTAAATTTTTTGATCCATATTGCATTTGTTTTGCTTGTGAATCTTTTATGAAAAAAAGTGTCTGGAGATTAAAGGATTAGTGAGTTCTTAAGAAGCTGGGCAGCTGCTAAAGCATCTGAATATTCTTCCTAAAGATGGTTGAAAAGCTGCATTAATCTCATCTGTTACAGTGAGTGATATGGCTAAAACTAGAATTGCTAGAGGGAAATGCCCTAGGGATGATTTTTTTTTCCTAGAGTGGACAACATGAATGATATTCACTATAAATGAAAAAAAAAAACAACAATTAACAGTATTGTAGTTGAAAAAAATTGTCAGTTATGCTTATTTGTTGGAAATAGTGCTTTCTCTTTCTTTTCGTTTCTTAAGTGTAATTGACAATTCAGGGAATACATAAAGATTAAGAAATAATTTGCATGCTCTCAAATCCTAAGTGTCACTCATGGCTTTTGATAACCAGACAACAAAAGGGCTAGCAAATTAGCATAGCTATTGTACCTTGTAGGAGGAGAGGCTTATGTCACTCTGACAAAAAGTAGATAAGATTGAACAAGTTGTAATAGATGAGTACGTTTTGCACAACATTCAACTTTTAAACAAATAGCCAAACATAAAATACAGAGTCTTCTTTTTTTCCCAGAAAATTGTTTCTAAAACCATTACAAAAGTTGGATGTACTAAAGTCAGATTGAGGTTCCCATTCACAAAGGGCTAAAAATACATGTTTCTTAAATTTGTAATCATGGTCCACACAAGCCCAGCAACCTGTGATCAAGGCAATCTGGTGAGCTAGTGAGAGATTTGTAGATCCCCTGAGAGGTCTGAAGCCACTGCTAACTGTGTTAGCTGGCTGCTGGTACCAAAAACAGCAATGAAGAAACAAAGACTTTTAACATTCCTATCTGGGAATAATACTCAGCCAGTCCTCTATAGGTGTTAATATCGTCTCATGAGATTTTGCCTGCCTAGGATGGCTTTACTGAACAAAGAAGTTCTTAACCTTGGCTACCTACTTAAATAACCCAGGGAACAGCTTTTACCAATTCTGATGTGGCACTTTTCTTGGTGGTGGGGATAGTGATGGAGCGTGGTTTCTGATTTGATTTGTCTAGGGTATTGGTATATTTGAGGACAATTGCTCAGTATTCATGCCAGCTGTTAGTCGGGAGCTGGCATGCTGCAGGAGCTTTGGGGAAACCTTCCACCTGTTACTCATAAAGAGGGAATGGACTGAAAACAAAAACAGAGCCCACTCTCTTTGAGGACAATACTGACCATGCTTCCTTCAATTCAGAGCAGAGTGCCTCCCAATGCTACAAGAATTGGTGAAGAACACCATCATGACTTCCATGGAATGCCACCCCTTCTTTCTCTCAGTGCAGTGCCCTTCAGCTGTCCCAAGAATGCCTGATGGCTTTGCTGGAGGACACTAAGAATAAATTAGTCTATAAAAGATGTGTGGGTTATCCATCACTGAGTAATCTCAGGCATTGAATATCCACAGTTAAATGGTGCTTAATGTAGTCGTTAGATTTCAATAGATTGTATTTAAAATTCAGTGTCACTCTGGAATATTGAAGAAATACTATAGTCATGTATCATCCATTATTGTGAATGCAGCCAAACTAAACAAACAACAGTTGAAAATATGTAAATCTATTATATATAATGTTTATA
This sequence comes from Homo sapiens, assembly GCF_000001405.40. NCBI lineage: Eukaryota > Metazoa > Chordata > Mammalia > Primates > Hominidae > Homo > Homo sapiens. Next base: position 211,844,655 of record NC_000002.12, on the reverse strand, counting down.
AAAGTGTCATCTGTGGTTCTTAAGAATTTTGAATTGTCAAGTCTGTTGAGATGTTGTAGAAAGTTATGAAGCTTCTCCCTCGACAGTCCACACAGAGTTATACATACAATTTCAGAGGTTCTCAGACCACTAGGTTAGCAATCAAAAATTCAACTGAGAGAAATAAAGCTTTTGATCAAGAGACATGGGTCAGATATTTATCAGAGTTGAGATATTTGACAAATTGCTTTATCATTCTGAAAATTAGTTTATTCATTTATCATTATTTTAAATGAGCACAACACTATATCTACATGGTTATGAAGATAAGTGAAAAATATCTAGTGCTATTATCCAAATAAAATGTGAAGGTGTTAATAAGGGATCACACTTTTCAACCACCTTTTGGAAAAATCAACTTACTTTTAAAAATGTTTTTGCCCTTAGTATGATATTTAGATAAAATAACTATTGTGATTAATGATTAATAAATATTACTTTACGTATGTGTTCATTCATCTAGTAAGTCAAAAAAATTAGTGTTTTCATTTCTCACACTAACATAGAACTTGAAATAGCCAGGGATGTGTATTTTCAGGGATTTTATTTGACGAAGTCTGTCACTATGTGTGAGGCAGTGTAGATAGAATAAACAAAACATCAGCATTAATAATAAACTAGTTCAAAATCCACTTCAACCTCTCTTGCTCTCTGTGAAAAGTTGGCAATTCATTTGACCCCTCTGAAACTCATTTTCTTTGTGTATGAAGGCATCATCTGTAAATATTATTAAGAAAGTCACGTTTTCTTATAAATATTGTCAAACCTGCTTAGATTTTTACTTGTAATACATTTATCAAGTACTAGTGATATACACTAATTATGGAGTAGACATGATCATTTATGATATTTATACAGAGCAAATAGCCTTTTCTTGGTAGTTAAAACAATGAAAGCTCATTAAAATATTTTTTTGCTAGTTAAGACTTCACATATCATTAAAAGGGAACACAGAACGAAACTAAGATAAACATAAAACTAGCTTAAGGATGTCTAGAAAAACATTTTTAAAATCTCCTTTGCTGCCATCCAATCACTTGTTTAGAAGAATAGCTATCTTTTAAATTTTTCTCTTCAAAGTTATATAAGGCAAGAGGACTTTTAAAATACCAATCTTTCTCAGTCTGTGGTATACAATGACTTCTAGAGCCATTATGCAAAACTATCCTGGTTTGATGCTGTGTGTGTGTGTGTGTGTGTGCACACGCACGCACATGTGCACCAGCCTGAGTGTTGGCCTGCTAGTACCGACAGCTAAAAAAGCAAAGCTCTAGGACGCATCTTCTTATTTAGACTGGCTTTTTTGGAACATTATTTGTCTTCACCCAATATGAAAGCTGACTTTTTAAAAGTTGATTTAAGGATACATCTACAATTTCTAGGAGAAGATAAATAGTGAAAGTCAAAAAGGAAATATCAGTAGAGGCAAGTCATTAAAAACATATATTCAAAACAACATAATAAGAATAATGTTATCTACTCCATGTTCTTTAATTAGGGTTTTCATGTCTCAAACTAACATAGAACTTATGTTAGTCAAAAGTTAATTTTGACTTCAATAGCTGTTAGTGCTTTTGCCTGTATGAGTCTCTATTATAAACATCAACTATTCCATTGAATGATTTTAACTGTTTTATAACTTTAAAGATGAGTGGACCAGAAGAAGTGGAGTTGTCCAGGATCATGTAGCTATCAGATTTGTTTGTAAGAATAATGTGTTTATTTAGTCCACAAATAGTTACAGCATGCCAACTACCGGCCAAGCACTGTTATAGTCATTTGGAATGTAATAATTTAAAAAGACAGATACGACCCCTGTGTTGAAAGGATTCAAATTTATTTTCTTTGGTTTAAATATCTTTTAAATTTAAATTATTCAAAATAGAGAATTAAATCTTGAATATAAATAAACTCAGTGTTTGTGTCAGTGGCGGGAGGTGAGGTGATATTTCTAATTTCAAAGACTATTCCTGAATAACTTAACAAAATAAAATGTTTAGGCAGGGTTTAATGGCAGTTCCTTTGACTTTAAATATCACAATGTGGCACTGAAAAAGATAGGAGATATTCTATGTTGTACACATTATGTTTGCAATATAGGTACATTGAAATGTGTTATTTGAGACTACCTGTAGTCACATACAAAAATAATCTATTTCTTGAAAATACATTTTCCAGAAAAGATATTGACTACATTTATCTCAAGTTTGAATGAATTGTTACCTTGTGTGTTTACAGATTTATGTCAGAAAAAAAAAGTGGAAACGTATTTGAAATCTCAAACACATTGTATTAACAAGGAAAAATGTTTGCTAATATCAACCCCTTTATTTCCTACCAGAAATTACTACCAAAAAAAAACCCAACAGCCTTATTCCTTTTTGTGATATGTACAACATGTCAGAAATTCAGAAATATTGTTATTTGTCCAGCAAGCAACAATATTCAAAAAAATTCAAATCACCTTGTTTTAATTACTAACTTTAAGAGTAATCTATAATCGGCAACTTAATTTAGGAATTGGTAAATTGCTGTTTTGCCATCACTTTTGACTTAATAAACAGACATATGTTTAGAAATTTGGGACAGAATTGTAAATAATACTTGCTTCCTTGAGGGTGGTAATTCTGGGACATATTTGAAAAAAAATTATTGAAACATGAATTGTCAGGCAAAAATGTCCATATATAATTTTAACTGCTGAATTATCCATTACCAACTTTTAAATATTTGTCTAGATTCACTAGGCTACAAGTTCCCACTGTGCAACTGATGAATACCTAGCAGGTGCTAACAAATTTTAATTCCAATCAAGTCAAATACAATTGGTAATTCTGCTTTAAAATCATATGTGAATGTATTGTAGACATTTGAGAATTCCAGGGAAGCCATATTTCATTTAAGGAAAATATTTTTGAAGGCCTCATATTAAATATTCTAATTGTTCCTTAATTGGTGGAATAAAAACATGGAGATAAATTTAAAATTAAATAATAAAATAATATATGAAATGTATCAGAGGATAAATGAAAATAACACATTTTCAAAATATCCAAATATATAATCCTTATACTATACCTTACCTTAATGCCACATTTTATTTTCTCCACACTAACTTTAATATTTCAAAAGGTGTGGCCTAAAGTAACAATACAATGTGTCATGGTATCATTTTGCTTTCTTAAAGCATTTCATGATGATGTTATTGTCAGGCACAATATTTCAGAACCATAATTAGAATCATTACTTGATGAATTTTGGTTGACATTGTTACAGTTGTAAAAGTTAATTTTGACTTCAATAGCTGTTAGTATCAAAATAGCCCAATAGTCACCACAATTACTCAGAGAAATCCTTTGTCTGTAAACACAAATATAGCACATTGGAAACTAATAAGAGCACATTTATCTAACTATAGTGGCAACTTCAGTTTTCCAGCCTTGAAATTATAAGATTCTTGATTTTATTTTTTGTGGAGGGAATTATCTAAAATTTTCTTCATAAAGTATATTAATGTATAATTTCAAATTTTCAATGTTCAAATTAGTGTAAAATTTGGCTCACTGAATTTGAATTATATTCTTCACTATAACAGAATTGACTAATCTAAGCACATATTGGTATATGCCATTAGTTTAGGGAATGTAGAAAAAATACATTTTATTATGTGACATTAGTAAAATGTTTTACTTAGTCTAAAGCATTTGGCAAGTGTCCCACTTGATCTCCAAAGTTTAAATTGCATACCCCATTGTTGAGAACAAATACTGTATTTGTTTATAAATTACATAAATGCATTGCTATTATTAGATAATATTTCAAGCACAAAACCTTGCTGAATCAAGGTTTATCATTAATGATATTGGACATAAATCCATATATTTTTGAATTTCTGTCAACTTCTTGTCTGATTGGATTGGATCATCACAGTGTCTACTGCATAATGTCCATGAAGAACTTGCACTATTAGGAGAACCAGCTTAGCCATTCTTGTGCTGTTTTTGAGGAAAAATTCATGTTTTCCTCAATAGTTCTGAAGAACCTTTTTTAAAGCCAATTTTATGCTTTTTGTGAGGTTAAGTTTAATTAAAACTGGATCATAAATCTATCAACTCCTTAAGCAGGCCCATCCATGGAAACTGCAGCAAGTTGTGATATGCTGAGGGCAAACGTTACAAGTGAGAGTAAGGCAGAGTGTATTTGTCTGTTCTCACGCTGCTAATAAAGACATATTCAAGACTGGGTAATTTATAAAGGAAAGAGGTTTAATTGATTCACAGTTCCACATGGCTGGAGAGACCTCACAATCATGGTGGAAGGCAAAGGAGGAGCAAAGTCACGTCTTTCTTGGTGGCAGGCAAAGCGAGTGTGCAAGGGAACTCCCCTTTAGAAAACCATCAGATCTCTTGAGACTTATTCACCATCATGAGAACAGCACAGGAAAGACCCACGCCATGATTCTGTTAGGTCCCACCAGGTCCCTCCCACAACACGTGGGAATTATGGGAGTTACAATTCAAGATGAGATTTGGGTAGGTACACACCCAAACCGTATCACAGAGCTTCACTGTCATCCTCTTCTGTTGCAGCTTCAGTTTTTCCTTCATGATTCCTCCATCCTGTCCATGTAACAGGACTGGAGAATACCCACTAAGTAAGGGCAGTGTCAGTCTACATGTTACCTATTAGCAAAGCTTAGTTTCATTTCTTCTTATTTTTAAAATAAAACAATGAATAGAACTTTTAACATTTTGTTTTTTTAACCCAGTAGGTCTTTTTGTACATAGGAGTGCACACTCACCCATCTTGGAGACCATTGGCATAGAGAACTACACGTAATATGAATGTAAACCTATAGTGTTTAACAACACTTGAGAAGGAAATCAAGACATGTTTTTAATTTACACCAGTGTTTTAAGCATTTTATCTTTCAGTACCAATACCATATATTTACAAAGAGATTTGGATTATAGAATATTTATGTCAATGATTTTGCTGCAGAATAAGAAATATGCAGTTATTGTTATTATTATATTGAATGATGACTCATGACTATCTTCTTGTGGTATGGATCTACTGTACTGTGGAAAAATAGTTACATGCACCTGAGAAAAAAACCTAGTTGAGAATTGTTTTGGGGACCAGTCAGAATATACTTTTAATCTTTTTCACCTTAATGCTTATAATACAGTTTTCTCTATACCCATCTCATAAGTGTTATGTAGCCCCTAGAGGTCAAGTATTTTTTTTTATTATATCTTGTATATCTATTCTCCATGAAGAGCTACTTTTTAAGTGAACTAGAGCTTAAGGCACAGAAGAGAAATATGAGCGTGAAGGGTGACAATTAGGTCTTTCTTTCTTTCTTTTCTTTTCTTTTCTCTTCTTTCTCTCTTTCTCTCTCTCTCTCTTTCTTTCTTTCCCTCCTCCTCCTCCTCCTCCTCCTCCTCCTCCTCCTCCTCCTTCTCTCTCTCCCTCTCTCCCTCTCTCTCTCTCTTTATTTCTTTCAATATTTTGCTTCTTTGTTTATTGGGACACATTATGTAAAAAGGAATCTTTAACTCCATGCAAAGAGGTGGTCCATTGTTGTATTAAACATTTAAGAATGCACATACAGTAAAATTACCTACACTTATTCAGTTGGTAAATCATTTCTGCTTTTCTTTTTTCTTGCTGTAAGCAAATTTCACAGTAGGATGCTTAGAAAATAGCTTTTCCTTGGGTGAAAAATCAGAGTTCAATAGCTTCAGTTCTAGCCAACATGTTGGAAGGTGATCCAGTTTGCACTGTACCTTAAAATAGGAGCTGTGACCTCCAATACAGACCCGTTAGTCCGAATCACAGACCCGTTATTGTGTTTCTGGAATTATTTGTCTATTTCAAATATATTTTTAAACTATAAAATGTTTATCATTAAGAAGGGTTTAATATTATTGAATTTTGTTTACATACAATATAATGCCAATTTTACACTGACATTTTTGGACATACCCACATAAGCAGAAAATGCCTGAAACTGCAATAAGGATATGAATTGTATTTGTTTTTGAAAGTTGAAGTGAAGACAATGGGAAAAGAATGGTTAAAAAACTTCACTTTTAATATCTTGAGTTTTATAACAGCTGCTTTCAAGAATATGCTGTCCATAGTAATTATAAACTAAGTAATAAGTGGAAAATATTCTGCATTTTAAAGGTAAAGCTGTATCATATGTGATATTTAACATGTGTTTTAAAATTATCTCAAGTTAAACACTGAGGGGATGACTGAAGCAGAGGCTATGTAGAGATGATGGCTGGTACTGATTATTGGAAGTCAAGAGCTTGGATAACTTTCAGATAGGATCAAATACCACCACCATCCCCCACCCCGCTGACACACACTCACAGAAATTACTCAAATAACCAGACTTTCATAAACTCACTCAAGTGGGCCATTGTAAACTACAGAAAGTTGCAATACATGGAAAGCGAACACAAGTGAGGGTGACACCAGCTCTGCTGTTGATTCTCCGCACTCTGGTACTCCTACTTTTTCACTCTGATTTCACAGTCATTACCCATGAAATAGCACTGTGTAATTCACCATCTGAATGATGGTACCCAAGCAGTCCACTTTGGCATTCAGCTAACCCTCAGCACGGGCCACAGAGCTCCTCCCATGTGCTTTGTAGATATGTTTATGACCACCTTCCCCACTAGATTAGAAGTTTCTTCAAGAATATGAGTCATTTTCTGATTCACCTCTATAACTGCATTGTCTCACCATCTGTCTTTATTTGCTACCCTGTATAATACCTGGAACATAATATATTATCCACAGAAAATGACAACATTAGTAAATGGGAACCTAGTGCCTAGAGAGATGACAGGACCTATTCTAGGGCTTTTATGTGTATTTTTTATTCACACACAAACTCGATTAGTATTTCATTTTTAAAGATGTGGAGACTACTGAGTTACAGAGAAGTTAAATAACTTGCCCAAGCCTACCCAGTTAGTTAGTGAGAAGGAGATTCAACCCTAGGCAGCTTGGATTGAGAGTCTATGATTTTAAACCCTTTGCTACATAAGCCTTTAAGTCTTAATATTTCCCGAGGAGAATCTACGATACATGTCTGTGTTAAACAACTCTCCTTGCCTATAAATTTTTCCTTTTATCTAACCTTAATCCTCTATGCTTTAGATTAAGCCTCTCATGCTTTCTTTGGTGCAGAGAATCTATTTAAGAGCCCTTTATGTACTTGAGAGGAGTTTTTCAGTCATTCACTTGACTACTGGTTCAATAACCCAAGTACTTTTAACCTTTCCCTCTAGAATTGATGTCTGAATTCTATAAGCATTTTGGAGCACTTTGGTGGAAACTCTTCAAGTCATGTTTAGCTGTGAATCGAACAGATTCAGTATCATAGATTTGGATTAGGATTAACCTGTCAACAATTTATCATGCACAATATCCTGTGATATGGAATTATAGAATTTTAAGATCTATTTTATGTATAATCTTGCCATGTTTGAAGTTTAACCACCAAAATTTATTATTTAGATGTATTTCATAATCAAATGGTTTTGGAACCATAAAAGAAGTTTTAAAAGTTGCTTAATGGCATTTTTCTTCTATTGCCTAAAACTGGTTTCCTTTTTTAGAGATGGAACAATATTTTAAAAAACTTTTCTCTTACTTCTACTGTACTTAACTATTTGGCTCCCATTGTGCCTTTGTATGTTACACATAATTTCTTATTAAAACTAAAGCTTCCTTATAATTTAATAACCTCATTTCATATAATCTTTTCTAATTTATAATATTACCGAAATATTATATAATAATATATAGCAAGCTATTTTGCAGCTGTCATTGTGCAGAAAAGAGTTAATTAACACAGCAGACCTGAAACTGCTATTCATAGAAGGGCTTGCTTGCAAGATTGGCCCTTGTCTGGTGTTTGGGAAGTTGAATATTTGTAGTGTTCTCACTATTCTTCAACTGATATGCATGGTCTATTGTCCTTCGATTGTTGTGCAAACAATGTGGTTTATGCTGAACACCTGCTTTCCTTCTATGACTCTGGAAGTTTGGTATGTACTAAGCAGAGAGTACCAATATATGTGACTACCTTCTAATAAAAATTTTGGATGCCTAAATCTCTAATGGATTTCCCTCGTAGAAATATCACACACATGTTGCTACATGTTTATTTCTGGGGGAAGAATGCTCTCTGTGTAACCCTTCATGGGAGGAAGTGGGTATAAGTAAGTTTGCATATGGATTCTTGCAGACTCTGCCTGTGACTTTTTACCTTATGATCTGAAAGTGTGTTCTTATTTTCATTGCTGTAATCAATTTTATCCATGAGTAAAACTGTATATTGAGACCCGTGTGTCTATATATCTGAATGAAGGCTAATGTTGGGGACTCCCAGAGCAGCCATCATTTACAAAATATTTTTCCATCGTTAACTCACTTCATCTTTCTAACTTCTTCAGAAATCCCCATCAAGAAGGCAAGATATATATTATACAACCTATTTTTAGATAAAGACCTGACATGATTTTGTTGGCTTATTTTTATTTATACTTAGCATTTCTTTGCCTTTTAAGTAGCAATAAACATAGGCAATACTGTTAAGTTTTCCCTTATGTGTCTTGTATACTCTTCCCAGTTCTAATTCTAGGAAGCTCCTTTATTCAACCCTGCAACCCCAAGGTATTCAACTGTTCCTCAAACACACACTCCCACATTTCTCGTAGGTCAGGTTCCCCTTGGTTTTGCAACTTTATTGTTGCTTCACTTGTATCAATATTTGCTTGTATTCTCATTTAATATGATCATGACCTACTTCACGGTACTGAATCTTTCATTAAATGCATCTCAGCCAAAGTATCCATAAGCAAATGATTTGTCTTCATCAGAACCTACCAAAAAATAAAATGACATAGGAATTCAAAGACTGAATTCTTTGAAAGAATGAAGGTGAGTGGAAATGATGTTTTTCATTAAATGTTTTAGGATCTGCTTCAAATTAACCATGACTCTATTTACTGAATGTGACTTCATATTGATTATACATCATAAGATGAAATTTTAGGACCATTCAAAATAAAAAAAATTAATCAAGAATCTCACATGCCCTATTTTTTCCAGTCAACAGAAATTTTAAACCACAATTAGATATTCCTTGCATAGTGTTTTTACCCTTTCCTGAACACATAAAACTTCAAGTGTCAGAGTGGTTTTATGTAGAGAGTCCTTGTGGCTAACTCATACTGGAGGCAGAAAAATGGCATGGTAGAGAACCAGGAAATCACAATGGAGCCATGCATTTCTAAATATTCATCTGGATTATTTGCTCCATCAGCCTTCAAAAGATGTATTTTTGTTACTTTGCGTAACTTTTGAAGAGCTGAAGTTGTGGAAGGCTGAGCAGAGATGGTTAATGAAGCAGAGCTGGGGTGATGATTAAATCCAATAAGATCCCCCATTATTTAACATTTCATTAGCCTTTGCAACTTTAATGGGCTTAAAAAAGATCTTTCCCTAAAAATATTAAGGAAAAATATTCCCTATGAGGAGATTGTAGGATCTCTCAGTAAAGGATTGTGGTTGACATGTTTATGCATTATGACTGAATGTAAAGCTTTGGCCTACATTAGCTTAGGAAAAAAGTTTTAAAATATATGAATAGGTTTTTAAAATCTATATGACTTTACCATTTGAAATTTGGTCCCCCTGGGAGACTTTAGATTCTCCTTACAGGCCAGCATCTTTCACAGATTACCCAAGTGGTACATCAAGAAGGTAAATTGCTATTACTCCACCTTTAAGTTTGACCCTGCTGCTGAACAAGTGATCCTAAATTTCACTTTGTGAGATTCAGATTCTACAACAAATTGTATTGATATCTGCTGAGATTTACTGTTTCCAGGCCTTGTACTGGCCCACTTCCATATTGATGACATCAAATTCGATATTTATTGAGTCTTTCAGGAATATTTTATTGGTTATCTTGATTTCTACCTAGTTTATTTGGAACAAAGTAAAAAAATATTAACTGTTCTCCTAATATGATCTAATTAAAAAATGTCTTCTTCCCTTAAAGTCAGTTGCCCCTACCCCCCTTCTTTTTTTTTTTTAAGTGACCCACTTGTTGATAAAACAAAAATTTACACGAAAGATCTTACAGTTCAAGCTATCCATATGTATTTTGCCCCTACTCTCTGGTTAGCAGCTGCAGCTGTTTTCATCATCACTCCTTTGAGATCTGCTGTTAAGAGTCTGTAAGTTGTTGAGCAGTCGCAGTGACTTTGCCACCTGCCTTTCCAGGGGACTAGAATTCTCCTGCACTGCCTCCAGTTTTGCTTCAGGGTGAATTTACAGTGACTTTGCTTTGTTTTGTTTTTGATTTTGCATTTTCCTTTCAACTAGCCTATTTCAATTGTGTTATATGGTAATTTCTCTGATATCTTTATACTACTCCTTTGTCGTATCATAAAAATATGCAACCCATCAAACACATCTTGAAGCAAACTGACATGGTAGCAAATTGCGGAAGGATGACATATTGTCAGTTTCATAGACATAAAATTAAAGGTCTAGAAGGGACTGTAAAGATCGACTACACTCGTTTTCATAGTAAATGCTCTGAATATGCACCTAGGGGTGGCATCCAGTGAACTGGGGTACAGTCACATACCATGCTTCAGTTCAACCAGGCAGATCTACTTTTTATCTCCTAGATAAATTGGGACTCTTCTAGAAAGTTTCATTTTAAAAAGGATACTTTAATATAGTTTGAAAATGACCAGGTCTAGTCTAATCTGATATTCATTTAGCTTGATATTAGAATGACTCAGTGGAAACCTGAGCCATGTTAGCCAAGAATGCTGCTTCTGCTTGAACAATTATGCTAATCATAAAATTAATGGAAGTGAAAATTGATATATTTACAGAATCCAACATGAGTATCCTTGGTTGGTTGCCAATCCAAATTCATATCTTTTCTTCCTGCTTAACAGAAAAATTCCTATTTTTTCTATCCATCCCTCAGGGAAGATGATCATATCTATCTATAGCTCAGAGCTAGATCTGAGTCTAAACAAATCATTGTAGTCCATTCTCCTTGCCAGGTCTTGATTAGAGTATGGGAATCTTTTGTAATTATGCCTTATATTTACAAAGTGAACTCTGCTGAGAAGCTTCTGGGAAGGGTTTCCTCTACTGGATGAAGAAATCAATGTAAAGGAGTTTCTTTTCAGTGGAACACTGAGAATGGCAGAGCAGAAAAATGGAGAGAACCTGAAAACTAAGACGTCCTTAGACTTAAGACATCTTTAAGTAATTGAATTAACCAGTCAGGGAGCTGCCTTATTTCTAGAGTACTTATGTGCAATCATCAGCTCCTTACTTGAAAAACCATATGATACTTCACTGCACTTGCACCCAAGGTCATCCTGATAGATTGTGATTACAAGGGGATGGGGAAAGGATTCTAGAATATGCTGGGTATCTGCTGTTTGTCAGGCACTGTTCCAGGCAGTTTTTATATCTACTCTTATATATTATTTTTCCTTTACTTGTGAAGGAAGTGTTATCCTCACTTCACAGGCAGAATATCTGAACCTAGAAAATATTTGATCAGTTTCTAGAGATTTCATAGCTGCCAAACTGAAATTTGAACACAAGAATTCTAATTTATATGTCAACATATCACCTGCAAACATATATATAAACTATATATATAGTCTTATTTATTTATATATATATAAACTATATATATGTAGTTTATTCAATTCAGTGCATCAAACTATTTTAATATCAATGCGTATAGACAGGGAATGTGTTCTTCAGCTATCCTCTGACCCCTCGCTCCCTGTTCTATCCAGGATGGTTCACATATTTACTTTACATGCCAGCCCCTTTTTGAAATTGCCATCACTAGAATCTAACCCCTTCTGATACACAAGGATGCTGGTTACATATATGTGTGTATATATATGTATATATATATACACACACACGTTTATGTGTATATATATATACACACACACATACATATATTTATTTAATTGTTATTTCAAGAAACATATTTCAGTATTTGATAAGGAGAGTTTTTATCTTTAATGCATTATGTCTAAAATATTTTAAAAGATAAATCCAATTATCAGAGACTAAAGGCTAATACATAAATAGAATCATTTTATTTGTGACAGTTCTTAAAGAGAAAAATGTATTTTTAGTTTTAATAATGTATTTTTGTGAAGAGTGCTATGCTCTAAACGTATCTTATTAATTTGTAAGATATAAAAAATTATTCTCAGTAAGGACAGAATACTCAGGCATATGCATCTCTCATAATAATCAACTTTTTTTTCAAATCCATGGCTTATATGTCAAGTCTGTGGAGATGCTATCACTAGAGTAAGACATAATAGTTAATATTTACTGAAAACTAATTTGAATGCTGTGACATGATAGGTATAAAAGCTACAGTAGCTATATGAATTTTTATATTCAGGTATTTATTCACCTTTTACTTTCAAGTACAGACAGCTGAAGATGTTCTTGGGAAGAACAAAAATGAGTGTGTCACCTTGGCTTGACGCCACATTTGTCCTGTTACTGCAGAACTTCTGGTCTAGTTTCTAGTTAAAAAGAAATACAAATGGATGATTTACTTTTAAAAGTACAGTGAAGACATTACTATTTTTTTTTTTGAGACAGAGTCTCGCTGTTGTTGCCCAGGTTGGAGTGCAATGGCGCGACCTCGGCTCACTGCAACCTCTGCCTCCCAGGTTCAAGTGATTCTCCTGCCTCAGCCTCCCAAGTAGCTGGGATTATATGCACCTGCTGCCACGCCTGGCTAATTTTTTGTATTTTTAGTAGATATGGGGTTTCACCATGTTGGCCAGGCTGGTCTTGAACTCCTGACCTCAGGTGATCCACCCACCTCAGCCTCCCAAAGTGCTGGGATTACAGGTATTAATGTTACCATGACTGGCAACATTACTATTATTTTAAGTAACTAAATCATACTTAATAGTTTGTTAGGAAACATAACATTCCAATGATTTTTCTTAGTCTTTTTTCTTAGATAACAGTCATGTTTGTAGAAACACTAAGAAAAAGCCATAGCTGGAATATTTGACTACTCATTAGGTCAAAGGCTGTTTTGTAGTACGGAAATTAGTGGTGGTGATTTGGGGTGACATCTGGCTAAAGTTTTTAACAAGACCCTGAAAAGCTCTCTCATTATCCAATTGATATAGAGAGCACAGTGAACTGCACACATAACATGACCCTTCATGAGTAAAACATCTATTTCAGTATTAGACTGGACTTGTTTGAAGTGGACACGAGGGTTGCCTTTGTTGTCCCAGTAGCCACTTAACTCTGAAATTTTGAAAAACCTTTGGAAAGCGTAGTTGGAACTGTCTTACAAGAACTGAAACATTAGAATGAGCCTAATTAGAGATTCTTTAATTATGATTTTTATTCATTCATCTCCAAGCTAAGTACTTTTTCATTAGCAAATAATGTTTGCTGTTTTTCTTTCTATCCCTCTGTATTTAATTTAGCATAAGCTTTTATGACTTGGGTTTTTTTTTATTATTTTTTTAACCTACATTTTAATGTGTTCCACTCTATTTTCATCCTGGTATATGTTAAGTTTTATAGAATATATGACCATCAGTATTAGATTCTCATGCCTTATGTGGCCATATCAAAGTGCTCTATGCAGTCCTTGTTAAATGTGCTGTCTTATAACCCTATTAATTAATGGTGCAAGATTAATAAAAATATAATTAAAAGATCACGTAGATGAAATGTAATCTCATTTCACTTCATTGTTATAAACATTTCTGCTACCTGGGTTGTATTTTATTTTTTAATGTGACCTACTTAAACATACATTTTTATATTTTTATTGCATTGATAAAAATATGAAAATTATACAAATTTTGATATTTTGTTTCATTTTGGAATGATGTTTATTGCTTTCTAGTATTCAACGTTAATTTATTTTAGTTATGCTAATTTTAGAAGCTACTATAAAGTTAACTAAAAATATATTGTTAACAGTAGGAAATTTAAAAGATCAAACATAGAAATAAACAAATTAAAGGCTAATAATTAAATGTATCTTTAAGTCAAAAGAGTAAAATAGAAGTGGTACGAAATAAAAAGGGAATCATTATAAAGAAAGGGTGTCATAGGAAAGAGCCCATTAGTTATTTGGCCAAGTAGAGTAGGCTCCTCAAATTTAGCACCTTGATTAAGCCCCTTATTTCTTAACTGGGTTGTTAGCATAGAGATCAGGGAAGCAGATACTGATGATGCCCTCAAGTTAATAAAATCCAGTGTGATTTACAATAACTGGAAGCTGGAATGAGCCACTCAAAGGGTACTTGTTTAACATGGCATTAGAGGAAAGAGGACTAGTCAATAAGTAAACAAATAAGACACAGTCCCCAAGAAAGAGTTGTGGGATATGGGGGTGGATAAGTAGAATAACAAATTCAGAGCAGTGTGCTAGTGTTAGGATAGGTACAGGGGATAGAGAGGTATCTCAGAGCTTCCCTGAAGCGGGTGAAACTTTTGCTGAGCCTTGATGGATGAGAAAACTACCCAGGGGGATGGGGGTTATATTCACTCCAAGTAATGTGATTGGAGTAGCAGTCATACTTGTTACTATTTGCTGACCATTCAGAATGTGCCAGGCATTTTGTATATTTTATGTCATTTATAATTTTTTATGATAAGTCATCCATTTTAAATTTGTAAATATAGACGATAAGTAAAAAGAAGCAGGCGTATGTTAGGCTGCTTCAAATCACAAATCTAAGTGGCAGAGCTTTAAAGGCAATGAAGGAAGGACAATAGATAAGAAACAACCTGACATATTAAGGAAACTCAAGGTGTTCAGTTTGTCTAGAGTGAATTCTTTTTTCATTTTTTTAATGCAATATATGTTACATGAATAATTTGAAATAGCGTGATAAATAAGATATATCTCTGTCCTTTAAAAAGTATGTCCTAGCAGTGAGAAGCAGATGATAAACAAGTAAACAAATTAATAAAGTTGGTATGTTCTACAAATACTGCTATGTTTTATGAAGCAAATAAGACAGAGTGATGACGTAGAAAGTAACTGATGGGTGAATAAGCCACACAATGAGATACTTAACGGTAACCAAAATAAGTGAACTTGAGTAGCATATGAATATATGAATCAAGTTCAACAATCAAATATTATATAAAAATTGTAAGTCCTAAAAGATTGCATGCAGACTGATAACTATTTACTAAAGTTTAAAACAACTAAAATAATGTGTGTGTGTGTATGTTATATATGGACGCAATGAAAGTACATATAACTGAAAATAATGATGTGACCACAGAGTTCAGATTGGAGAAGGCATAGGGACGGGTTAATGGAAGTAATACATGTAAGTCATTATCAAGATCCTAGCTTTTTGTGTGTGCTTTAAGCTGACAGGTAATTAGTACACATTTAAAATAACTAATTAAGTAACTAATGAAAGTAAAGGAAACCATGCATGGCTCCAATATGAGAATGCTTCATGAACCAAAGATTAAGATTAGTCCAATTTTATGCAACTGAGTTTCTCTCAATAAAGAAGGAAAGAGAGTGGTTGGTACCAGCAAATTTCCTGAATAGGCAAAATTGAGCTGAAACCTCAACACGAAGGAGCTGTATCAAGACTGTGGCAACAGTGCTCCCAGAAAAGGAGGCAGCATGTGATGCTGGAGCATGCTTGGCAGGAAGGAAAAGGTGGAGTGAGACCTGGGAAGAGCCAGTGTGTGCAGGAGTGGTGAGAAGTAAGTCCAGACTCTAGATGTAGACCGTGGGAAGGACTCCCAATCTGGCTTCCTTTTCAATCCTTGTAAAATAATGAGACTGAACCAGACATTTCTGTGGGGCACTCAGTTTCATCTAGGGAACCTTTCTTTATATATTGGTTTCTGAGTGAGGTTGTGTTTTAGCAAGAGACCACTGCTTAACAGTAGCAACAGTGACAAAAAAATGTAAAAATAATCATCTTAGATGTGTTCTGAGTCTGTTGTTGTTCACCTGATTAAATTTGCATCTGATTTGAGTCCATCTCTGCAGCATTGTGATGACCCTAGAAGAATTCTAGGGCCCAGACACAGATCACAGATGTGGAGGCATGCCACAGGCTCTGGAAGAAAATTTGATAGTAGAAGAGCTTGTTCTACTTTCCTTATTTCAGGGTTGTGTATTGTGGGTTTATTTTTCTTCTGGTGCGAAAATGATAACCATACAACCATCCTCGTTAATACGTAACTACACAATTCATAGTAGCAAAATGTGTTTTGAAAATTCTAAAGGAATATTCTGCCATGAATATGATATTGAGGAAATACTGATAGAACACTGATTTCCCATCCAACTGAACATATAAAAGTCAATCCACTTTAATTAATATGACTAAGACTCTGTTCAGTCACATTGATATTGTTCACATTCCCTAAGATTTTTCTAATCTTAAACTCATATATTATCCTACAGATTAACATTAATCTGGAGTCCTGGAATAAACACAATACAGATTAATGTCAAAAGATGTGAATTCTAGCATAGCTCTGCTAAGGCAAGACTTGCTTTTTTGCCTCTGTTTCCTCACCTGTAAAGTGAGGGGGCTGGCCTAGAATGATCATGAATGTGTCTTATAGCCATCAATGTATCATTCAGAGGAGACTTTTAAAAAGTGAAAATGGCCTGCCTTTTATTGTATATAATAAAAATAAAATAATTGCATATGTTGTAAATATTATGTGCAAATGAAGAAACTGCATGATCATGAATGTGTCTTATAGCCATCAATGTATAATAATATATACATATAAAGTCTAGATTTATTCTTCAGCAAATATAGATGGATTGGAGGTATTTTTAAACTTTCCAACTAAATTGAACAAATACAGCAGATAGCAAAATTTAATTTACTTAAGTTTTTTGACATTTTTTCATTAAAAAAAGAACTGTATATCAGCAAGATTGAAAAAAAAACCACTTTGTCTTACCAGATCAATTTTTAAAAATAAAATCCCAACATGAATACTTTCATTTTTAATTAACTACAAACAGAAGGCTTTTATTTCCACCCAAAATGTCAAACTAAATACACAAACATATTCACAAACTAAGTGGTATGTGGATTGTCAATAATGATGAATGGCAATTTGAAAAGATATACAACAAAACAAAACAAACAAAAACCTTCTTATTGTGTCTTGCAGAAGGAAATAACCCTGTCCCAACAGTGCTTAGAAGAGCTCTTAGGTAACTCCAAGGACTTAGAACAGCACTCATAAATTATCATGTGAATGAATGAATGAGTAAATCAGAGCTGGAGATAATGAGAAGAGGGTACACTCAACATGGGTAGAAAGTCATTTTCGGATAGAGCATGGGTAGGGTAAGAGTCTAACATTCTAAATTTTATTCTTAATCCCCAATCTAACCATACTTAAAAGTGAAGAATTTTCTTGTGTTTCCATAATAAATTTTGGATTATATATACACAGATGTATTTCATAGCCCCCAGGATTCATGCTGTGTGTTTATCCCAACACAAACTTAACTGAAAACCGTGTACCTGCATGTGTTTAAATATATACACACATGCAAAAGGGAAGAACAAGTCCTTTACAAAAGCCATCTCTGCAAATAACAGTTGGGCAAGAAGTTTAATTCATTCTTTAAACTCTAAGGATTGCCTTAAGTAAAATATGTCATTAAAATGTTTTGATAAATGCAGAAATACACATATAGCATATGAATGTGTCTTGTATGTGGTGTTAGAGAATTAGTCAGCTTCCTTTATTTTATATTGGTGTATCCTTTTGTGGCTATCAGGGTAGTACCTGTTTGCTAAATTTAGTTTCCTGTTCCCATTCTGCATACTTGGTGTTAAGCAAAGTCAGGCCTATCCATTCACTTAACAAATATTTATTGATACCAGACACTGTTCTAGGTCCTTGGGAGCCAGGAGGAAATAAAACAGACAGAGATCTACTCCCTTGTGAGATGTTATTTTAGTTTGGGGAGATAGTCTGCAATAAATACAATAAATAAATAAATAATATAGTATAAGAGAAGATAATAAGGGCTATGGATGGAAACACAATAGGGACCTGCATTGAAATATATTTTTATGATTCATAACTTATTACTTAACAAATTTTTTGAACATTTACTACTTGAGATAGAAGGTTCCATAAAGACAGGACCAATATATGTATTTGATTATGATTATATCCGTAATCCATAACACAGTGCCTGAAATATAGCAGGCATTCAATCAATATGTGCTGGATTTTTTTAAAAAAAGCAATGAAGGATTATGCACTCTATGATTCTTACTAATTTTGTGCAATTCTCCTTATACCACACTACTTCATTTCAAAATGTTTTTGAAATACATTGAAATTTTAACTTTTAGTGTTTGTGTTGATTATATTTCAGTCTGTTTTCTTAGTTCTGTATGGAAGCCCAAAAGCTCATTGTAAATTGATCTCCATGTCTTCTTGGGATTAGGTTGATTCTAGGGAAGCTATATGTAGACCATTAATATCCAAAATGTTAGTCTAACTTGGAAGTTCTGCTCTAGAAAAATCTTAAGAGATTTTTTCCTAAGCCAAAGCTCCCAAATTAACAGGATTATCCTATATATATTATATAATATAATTAATCTATATTGTAGATTAATATAATATAATAAAATATAGTGTAATATATTAATACATTATATAACTAATGTATTATATAAATATATCATTGATATATTATTAATAATATATAATATATATATAATGACAAATATATTACATTTCTACCAGGACTGTTTTAAACATCATATTTAATTCAGCTTTGTTTTATAAAATGTTTTTAAAAGTCTACCTTACCCACCAGATTATAAGCTCCTGGACTGACTCACATTTATCTCTCTGTCCTTCAAAGCACATAGCACATAGTGGATATTTAATAAAAGTGACTGAATTGCTAAATGCTCAGAACAATTAGATAATCAGCTGGGGTCTAGAAGACATTTTGTTAAATAGAGAATTTCATGATAGTGTTACATTGAAATGGGATTTAATTTGTTGTTGCTAAGTTATAGAAGTCAGAAGAGACAAAAAATAATAAAAGCTTGAATTCATTTTGCTATTTATACAATGCCATCTTTTGCTCTTTTCAATGAGCCTGTTCAGAGTTTCTGCATTAAAGAAATAATAAGGGCCTATAAGTATGTATTCTCAATGTGTAGTCTCATAAAAGCTTTGGAAATACGTATATGTTCATTACCGTTAACTACTTATTATCATTATGATGATGATAATAAATCTACATGTTTTAATTTTGTCCAAACTATTCAGTAAATTTAACATCTTAAAACAGACTTATTCTACTGAAAAAAAAGTGATTTTTGATATAAAAGAATAGACTGTCCTTTTCTTCTCTTATGGAAAAATTTATATCTGTTCTGGTCTCCTGCAAAGGCTTTGTTCCTCTCTTTTGATTTATTAACTTTATTTAAATCAGTCATTCATAATGCAATCATAATAATCTTTCCAACAGTATTACTAGATGGCAGGTAAGATACAGAAGTTTTACTGTACCCTAGTGTAGAATGTAGAGATATTAACAAAGATGAAGTCAAATATGTGTCTTGCTAAAAATTCTTCATTACAGTCCGGTAATTAACATTTTAAATAAGTTGGTGCCACTGCAAATTTTGTGTAAAAACAAACATATTTTTTTCAGAGAACATTGAAAGTAGGAAAAATAACGTAAAATTATAGTTTGAAGTGAGTTTTCTTTTTAATTATTTTCGGTCTTTTTAATTATTAAGTCTTATCTAATTTTGACAATCAAATCATCATTGTCAAGTTCATTTCTTTTCTATTGTAAATATATATTCCTTCTATTATAATACATGTAAATAATCTATTCTACTTAGGTAAAACTTGTAAAAATATGAACTTTCATAAAACTTTTGAAGTAGCATTTCGTTTTTCTCAGGAATATAAATTAGTTTTATGGGTTGAATTTAACTTAAAAAGAAGTAATTTGGTTGCAGGACAGATCACATTATAAATAAAATAGACAGTTGTCTAAATGGTATGATTTGAAGCGTGCTCTGGAACTTTGCTTGCCTGAATTATTTCCTATCCTTGCCTTCCATAATGCCAGAGATACCATACAACAGAACTGCATACGTTAGCGATGAGGCATACACAGGTACCATTTGCTAAATAGTAACTATTCCTAAACCAGGTATCACATTAAGCAGTCCTTTAAGGGGACTTAATTTACAAGATACTGTTTTTCGAAAGCAATTAGCTGAGAAGGAATGAGAATCTAGGCAGCTTAAACCTTAAGGGGAAGGATGAAAGGAAGTAGGAAATATTTTTAAGCAGTACTCGTAAAATGCTTCAGTGGAGAGTTACTGGCAGCTAGAGGGCAATGGGAAAGCACTTGCCATAAGGAAAAGTATACAGATTGTGTGAGAACACTCCATGCCCAAGCCTGGACAGAGTCGGGGAGCCTAAATCACCATTCTGCACAAAGCTGGTCTTGGTCGTAATAATTTTTATTCATGTTGTCCATGCTATTGAAAACATTTTCTTTCATACACAATTTTACATATTGTGTATTATATCTCCCATTTCTACTTCTCTTTGAATGTAAACATTGAGTAATTAACTATGAATTGGCCAATTGGGCCCTCAAAAATTAAATGACAGAAATAGTGAAATGCTTAGCACGTGCCAGTCATTTAGAAAACCTGACCTTATCAGAGGACAAAAATTACACAGATTATAGAAGCCCCATCATTGATTAATGACATTTTCAAGCTGTGAAACTATTTGAGTTAATATACTTTGATAATGCAGTAGAAATATGAATTTGTATTAACATTGAATTTACCACAATAGCATAAGGAAGATATTTTAAGTTAGATAAGATTACATAAGGTTCTATAGATTCTCCATTTGCAGCTGAGAGTAATAAAGTGAATTCTGCTAGGAATGAGTTTTAGTGGGATTTTTTAAAGAAACAAAAATAACCTAAAGCAAAATAATATATATTTTTATTTTAAAATGAAGATACATATAAAATGAATATTTTATATTTTTCATTAAAAAATTCTGTCTCTAAGAGATGCTTACCCCTTATGTTGGTTTCAGTTCAAATACATGAAAATACTAGATTAAGCTTGGGTCTGGCATCTCACAATCGCAAAACCCACATACACTAGCAATTGTAATTTTGAATATTTTCTTTTGTCATTTTCCATATGAATGTCCTCACATAGCTATTGTTTCACTTACCTATTGCCCCAAGATGATTCATCCAAAAACATCCTAATAAAACTCAATGACTTGGAACAACAATTATGTATTCTTATGAATCTGTTGTTGGCTAAGTTCTGGTCTGGTGATTTATACAGGGCTTGACTGGAAAAGCTCTGCTCCAAGCACAAGTTCATCTAGGTTGGATTGGGGCAGTTTTGTTCCATAGTGATTTATTCTGTGGCCCAGGGGAAGGGCTAACAGTTGTAACAGCATTGGAAGTTCTTCCCATGATGATGGTACAGTCCATAAAAGGGAGCAGAAATCCACGATGCCTATTAAGCTCTAGATATAGAAATGGCACATTCTCATTTCTGCCACTCCCCTGGCCAAAGAAAATCATAGGGCCCAGCCTAAAACCAAGTGATAGGAAAGTGTGCTTTTGCTACAGAGAAGCCATGACAAGCATGTGGTTGTCAGAGACAAAGGAATGTTGTGGCTAATGATTCGATTTACCACAGTTATATTGATGCATCATTATATAATAAATAGTTATACAATATTCTATCAAATAATTATGCCATATTTTATATAAATCTCCCCAACTTCTGAAACATTTATGTGGATTTTGGTTTGTTGCATTACTTATGTAATACAGCAGTGTACATCCTTGTGCATGTAATTTTCTTTCTATGGAATATTCTTTCATCAGGATAGCTTCCCTGAAGATGGATTATTTGGCCAAAGTGTACAGATAGATGTCTGACTTTTAAAAGTTATTGCAACTCCATCAGCTACAAGTGATACATTAGTTCTTTTTAAATTTATTTTTCAGTTAAAAAAGTTAAATTGACACGTTATATCTATACATTTTTATGGGGTACATAGTGATGTTGTGATACACATAATATATAGTGATCAGATCAGACTAATTAGCATATCCATTATCTCAAACATTTCTTTGTGTAGGGAGCATTCAATATTCTCCTTCTAGCTATTTTAAACTATATATTATTATTAACCATAGTTATCCTACAGTGCTGTAGAACAGTAGAATTTATCCCTGCTATCTAGCTGTAATTGTGTATTCTTTAACAAATCTCTCCTCATCCCTCTCTTTCCCCTACCCTTCCCAACCTCTAATATCTTCTTTTCTACTTTTTACTTCTAAGAGATCAAATTTTTTTAGCTTCCACTAGTGAGATCATGCAGAGTTTAACTTTCTGTTTCTGGCTTATTTCATTTAACCTGATGTTCTCCAATTTCATCCCATTTGTTTATTTTTATGTTGTTGCCTGTGTTATTAGGGTCTTATTCATAAAATCTTTTCCCAAAACAATGTCTTGAAGCATTTTTCCTATGTTTTCTTCTAGTAGTTGTATACTTTCTGGTCTTACATTTAGGTCTTTGATCCATTTTGAATTAACTATATCTAGCATGAGAGTTAGGGATCTAGTTTAATTTTCTGCATTTAGATTTCCAGTTTTCCTAGCGCCATTTGTTAAACAAACTGTTCTTTCTGCAATGTGTATTTTTAGCAGCTTTGTCAAAAGTCAGATAGCTGTAGATACATGAATTAATTTCTGGGTTCTCTATTCTCTTGCATTGATCTGCATGTCTGCTTTTATGTCAGTACCATGCTGTTTTGGTTACTAGAGCTTTGTAGTATATTTTGAAGTCTGGTTATGTGATGCTTCCTTTTGATCAGGATTGTTTTGTCTGTTTAGCGTCATTTGTGGTTTCATACAAATTTTAGGATATTTTGTATTTCTGTGAAAAACATCATTGATATTTTGATAGGGAGTGCATTGAATCTGTAGATTGCTTTAGATAGTATGGTCATTTTAACAATATTAATTATTCTGATTCATGAGTATGGGATACTTTTTCTTTTGTTTGTATCCTCTTCAATTTATTTCATCAGTGTTTTGTAGTTTTCCTTGTCCAATTATTTTACCTACTTGGTTAAATTTATTTCTAGGTATTTTATTTTATTTTTCTAGTAGCTATTGTAAATGAGATTGTCTTCTAGCTTTCTTTTTTAGCTGGTTTGTTATTTGTATGTTGATTTTGCAATCTGCAACTTTATTGAGTTTGTCAGTCCTAAGTTTTTTGGTAGTCTTCAGATCTGTCTATATATAAGATTGTGTCATCTACAAACAGGGACAATTTGATTTCCTCTTTTCCAGTTTGGATGTCCTTTATTTATGTCTCTTGCTAAATTACTCTGGCTAAGACTTCTATTACTGTGTTGAATATGAGTGGTGATATTGGGCATCCTTGTTTTATTTGAGTTCTTAGGGGAAAAGCTGGAAACTTTTGATGTTACGTATGAGTTTGGCATAATTGTTTTTAGTGTGTTGAGGTACTTTCCTTCTATACCTTATTTATTGAGAGTTCTTATCCTGATTTTCTGCATCCATTAAGATGATCACATAGTTTTTGTCTTTCATTTTGTTGAGGTGACGTGTCATGTTTATTCATTTTTGTGTGTTGACCTATCCTTGCACTTCTGGAATAAACCGCACTTGATCATTATGTATTATCTTTTTAGTGTGTTGTTAGATTTGGTTTCCTCATATTTTGGTGTGATTTTGTGTGTGTGTGTCTATGTCATCAGAGATATTGGCCTGAAGTTTTCTTGTTTTACTGTGTCTTTGCCTAGTTTTAGTATCAGGGTTATACTGGCCTAGTTAAATGAGGAAGAAATTTCCTCCTTTTCAATTTTTTGAATAGTTAGAAAAGAATTGGTATTAAATCTTCTTTAAATAAAGATCTGGTAGAATTTAGTGATGAGGCCATTGGTCTTAGACTTTTCTTTGTTGGGAGATATTTTATTAACTGATTCAAACCTGTTACTTGTCATTGGTGTGTTCAGGATTTTTGTTTCTTCTTGGCTCAATCTTGGTAGGTTGTATGTATCCAGAAATTTATTCTTTTCCTCTAGGTTTTCAAATTTATTGGCATATAGTTGTTCACAGTAGAAGAGACACTATTTCATTCAACTTGCACCAGCATGAACAGTCCCTAATTCTCAGTTGTTGCTGCTGTTAAGCAAGCATAAATTAGTACTTCTTTTTCATTAGATATTCCATTGGTTATTTAAAAGTTATATACTTTTTATATGTATTTGTGAGTTGTTGATATCTGCTTTTGAATTATCTGTTTATGTACCTTACTCAATTAACCATTAGAATAATGGTTAATGATTTGAATGTGAAACATTTCCCACAAGCACCTTAAACTGAACTCCATCTAATAGTCAATGTGTCATTTTGCTTTTCCCAATCTGGTGGGTCTCATCTGTTCTAAAATTTGCTATTTATTCATTTATTTAAGTGTGATGCATGGAACTTATTATACAATGTCCTTTATCACCCACATCTAAAAACTATCACAACTTAAACAAAATCTATTTCCTACTCTCTTTATCCCTGTTGCCACTAATCCAGGTCAACACTCTCCTCAGGCTATTGCAATACCCTCCTTACTGTTTTTTTCACCTCTAGTTTGTTCTACCCTTTCTTAGCATTGCTTCCAAAAATCTTTCACTATCCTAACAATTAAAACATACCACTTACCATCTCAGAATTACTTGATAATTTCCCATTACACCTAAAAAATTTTGAGACCTTTGTGAAAGTGCCCCTGCCTCTCTGCTCTGTTCTTAAGTCCATCCTCCCTTGCTTAATTTATGCTATGTGTACTCTAAAGATGCAGAAATACTCCTAATAGTTACTGTCTATAAGCATTTTCTAACATTTCTATTTTCTGCAAATTCTGGGGATCTTCCTAGAATGCTCTTTCTAGTCCTCGAGACAAGTTTCAGACTAAAGCTTTTACTATTTCCCCTTGGCAGATTCCAGTACTGTTAGTTCTCCCTTTGTACTTTGTATGTATCTCCATTATAACATGTGTCTTTTCTTGTGATAATTTATTTTTATATCTTCCTGTTAATTTAGTTAGTGTTTTCTATGTGATCAGAGACCATGTCATTTCATTTTTTTATATCTCTAGATCTTAGCACCATGTCTGTCTCAGAATGTGCAATCACAAAATGTTTTCTGAATTAGCAAATAAATGAATGAAAATTGAATACATGAATGCAAAAAATGATTTTATCTAAATAATCATGGATATATTCTCTGCCACAGGAAAACAATGGTGAGAGAAGATTTTAGGCAAGGTTCAAATCAGATTATTTGGGTTTTATCTTGTGGCATCTACTGAAAATTAGGCTACCATAAGCCAATATTATGCTTCATTTTCAAATTTGATAGACAATCAAGAAAAAATAATTTAAAATATTGCTTTTAGAAATTTAAAACTGTGTCACTTGTTTATTTTAGAGCAGACATTTTATAAATACATTTGAAAAATGTTTCAATTGGAGACAAGAACTACCTTCCTTACTTCTTTGTTCTCTTCTTAGTGATCATACATCCCCATCCACCTATAAGAGAACTGACTATATCATTCCTCACAGAATCTGTCTTCATTGTGGACCTGTGGAATGTATTTTTAAAAACATATTCAATGTTTTTGTTGAAAAAATAGTTTCAAGTTAATGGAAATATGTAGTTGAGTTTTAGTGTATTTATTCCAAGAGCTAATGCCTGAATTATCATCTTTTCAAAAGTCAGAGATATTATCCTTTATTAAGTGAAAAACTGCCTTATTTTGTGCTCCCTTTAAGTACTTAAACATAAGTAGATAGGATTTCTGTTATTTGGAGACCATTGTTAATTGATAGTTTCTTTTATTGGAATACCCTTCTGCCCCAACCCCCACCCACATTTATCTAACTAGCACATACTGGTAATTCGAAACCCAGCTAACGTATCTCCTTAAAATTCGCCCTCCTGTATGTTCTCAGAGTACCCTGAGAAAGAATTTACTCCTTGCCATATTGTATCTGATCTCTCATTAGACAGATGGTGGAAACTGTGTTTGTTATATCAGCAATGCACCACAACTTCTGCACCAACAGGCTCTAGAAGTGTTTTGTCCAGCATGGTGTCCCCTAAATATTTAGATATTTTTTTCCTAATACTTAAACATAGGGATTTTCAGTATCTCTTGAAATAAAAATCCTGAGGATTATTCAACCCTATGTTTATATTCCTGCAAAGGTGGCTGGACATGTGAAGCAACTTCTAGTTTCAGATGAGGAATGTGATCTTCAATTTGTCAATTTTAATGGAAGAGATGGGAAGAGAAAAACAATGTGTAATATCATCTGTATTAAGATACAGAGTCAATGAACAATGAACTACTTTAGAGTAACTTTAACAAGATATGAGTTCTTATCTGTCTTCTATAGCAGCTTAAAGACATCCAGCCTGCAAGAACGTATATAGAGGATTCGATAGTTCTGCAATGTTGGGGTCCCAAATTCTTTCCATCTTGTGGAAATTCTTTCCATCCCCTTGAATGTTGCTGTCATGTGTACAATTGAAGATGGTTTTCAATCATGTGGCCTTGAGGAACAGGAAATGGGAAAGATAAGGGCTCATCTCTTACCTTTAAAGGCAAAATCCAGAAGTGGCACATCTCACTTCTGCTCACTTCACAATGATCAGGACTTAGTCATGTGTCCATATTTAGCTGCAAGGAGGGAATACTGCCTTGGTTTGGTGAACATATGCCCAGTGAAAATTCCATTACTGTAGAAGACAGGGAGGGACAAGATTTAGGGGGACTGATAGCAATCCCTGCCACAGCATCAAAGGGGAAAAGTAAATTTATGATACCTTTTCAAAGTTTTGTCCTGGAAAATAAAACCATCTATTTTTACAGGGTTGATATACATGTATATGTTTGTTATTTGATATTGAGTAGAGTAATAACCAGATTTTTGCAACTATACCAAAGAGAAGTTCAATAAAGTAATTAGAATTGCCTAGCTCTGTCTACGACAACCCCTTTAACAAGAAGGTACTCCGCTCTATTGAGGCTCCAAATGTAAAGGTTTCCTTTCCCTTCTCTGAGGACTTGCCTAAATCTATAAGTGTATCCAAAATTTCAGTATTAATTCAATGTGGGGACACTAATTATTTATCTTTGAGGAAGATGCTAGGCCAGCCCAGGTCTTCATTTTTGTTTAAGAGAAATAATCAGCCTTAAAAATCCCCCCGTGACTGTTTGAGGATGGACTTTTCAAAGGAAGAGCCAGGGACTATAATCAAACAAAGGCAATGCACTTTCACATTAAAACTATCTAAAATTATCCAGGCAGGCTGAATGTAATTAGTGAGTTGGAACTAAGCCAAGATGTTGAGGCAAACACTGCTATTTCCCTGAAAGGTGCCCTGGGATTTTTTTAAAGGCTGTTTATGGTCAAGCATAGAGTTTTACATGTCATCTAGAAAACAGTACCTATGGGAACACAGTGCTTCCAGCTCCATTGCTTGCTAACTACTGACATTTCTACAAACAGGGAAGTGAATGCTAAGTACTGAATCACAAAGATTTTTCTTATTGATTCACTTTTTGATTATTTGTTCAGGAGAGTTCTGTGTTTTGTTGGTGGTAGTAGTGGTGACTGGTAGTGGTGGTGGTCCGTTTATGTGATATAACTATTTTATTTAAAATTAGTTGAGATATGTGTTTCTGTATCACCAACATGGTCAATAAGTTTTTCAAAATATTGTTTTTATTTTTAGAAATGTTTATCAATGCTTATTCATGAATAATACACATTAAGATATCTTTTTTTTTTTTTTTTTTTTTTTGAGACGGGCTCTCGCTCTGTCACCCAGGCTGGAGTGCAGTGGTATGATCTTGGGTCACTTCAGCCTCCACCTCCTGGATTCAAGTAATTCTCGTGCCTCAGCCTCCCAAGTCACTGGGACTACAGGCGTGTGACACCACATCCAGCTAATTTTTGTAATTTTAGTAGAGACGGGGTTTCATCATGTTGCCCAGGCTGGTCTCAAACTCCTGACCTCAAGTGATCTGCCCACCTCAGCCTCCCAAAGCCCTGGGATTACAGGCATGAGCCACCGTGCCTGGCCAAGTTATCTTTATATGAAAACTGATATTTTATTAACAGCTAAATATACTTTTACATTTAATCAGCATTGTACACTGTATTAAGGTTCTCCAAAGGGACAGAACCAACAGGATATAAAAAAGGGAGTTTATTAGGGAGAATTGGCTCACAATTACAAGGCAAGTCTCACAACAGGCCATCTGCAAGCTGGGGAAAGAGAGAAGCTGGTAGGGTGGCTCAGTCCGAGTCAGAAAGCCTCAAAACCAGGGAAGCTGACAGTGAGACCCTTAGCCTGAGGCTAAAGGACCGAGAATCCCTCACCCCCAACACTCCCAGGGAGGCAGCTGGTGCAAGTTCAAAGAACCTGGAGTCTGACGTCCAAGGGCCGGAGAGGAAGGAAGCATCCAGCAAAGGGAGAGTGAGAGGATTCTGAAAGCTGCTTATCCCCCTTCTTCTGCTTACTTTGTTCTAGCTGCGCTGGCAGATGATTATATGTTGCCACCACACTGAGGGTGGGTCTGCCTCTCTCAGTCCACTGACTCAACTGCCAATCTCCTCTGGCAACATCCTCACAGACATACCCAAGAACAATGCTTCATTGGCCATCTAGGCATCCCTCAATCTGGTCTAGTTGACATCTAATATTAACTATCACATACACCATAAACAAAAATTTAGTTGAGTGCTGTTTACAATGAATTAAATATTTTTGGTAGACTTAAAAGTGGAATATTTGAGGGGTTGAAATTCCTATGGGGAAAAAAAATCTCCTTTTTATTTTGTTATCATTTCTTAACTTTTTTGACAATCTCTAAAAATTTGATAGATTGCTTTTTACCTTACTCTTTTGGGAAAAGGTGAACTGCTGAATTTTTTGACAAAACAAGAAAACATAACACCTGAGGAGAGTCAAACACTTTTCTTTCTATTATAAAGTTATTCCTATGAAATGCGTATTTGGAATTATTTTTAAAATATTGTTTTGAATAACTATAACACTTTATGTTTTTATAATTTACTATATGTCTAATCAAATCCATAGTTGCTATTATTCTAGTAGATTGTCATAATAACCCTATGAGTTACTTTCTTTATCATATAATTGCTTTGCGTTGAAATGTAGCAAGCATTTAAGCTTCAACCTTGATTTTTTCCTTTGTGAAGACTGTTCTTATAGAAATTTTATAAGTCCTTACACTTTTTTAATGAATAGGGTCCCCATGCGAGAAGCCTTTTGAGAGGAAAAAGAGGTATTATTTATAATTACTCTGGAAAAACACCTATCAACTGAGCCTGTCCCTGGAAATCAGAGGTGTAGGCACAGCACCTGTGGTGTTTCCATCAGTTTGTAATGGTGTATTCATGTGTATAAATGTGGCATATGTAATTAAGGTCCTGTGCCATAGCAACTGTAAGCACAGGCTCTGGAACCTACTTCCTATCATTGTACTATGACACTCACAATAATGCTGGGAAACATTATCGAGAAACTTTCAGATTGATTTTATTATTTGTTAAATTAGATAATATAAATTTCTGACTCAAAGCCTATGATTTACCAGATAAGTGAGTTTCTACCTGTTTTGAGACTTCTTCAAGAAGGACCAAAGGACCCTTTTCTTTGTAAATTTACTTTTTTTTTTGGTAGTGACTTTTTATCTGTCTCGCTAAAATGCCTGCTTTGCTTTCTATTGGTTTAAATAGGTTCCTTAATAAGACTGTAATTTGGGCCCTGGTTGTATTTGTAATTTAAATATTGTTGATTTCAGTTTTTCATCTTAGTACCTCTATACTATTCTAATTATTTTCTGTGCAATTTGCTACAATATTAGAGTTTTAATTTAATGTCTTAAGTTAATTATTCTGAATACATTATCATATAATTCTAAGTCATATATTACATGCCTTATGTTTATAGTAAATACACAGACACTTCTCACTGTTTGGCCAAAAATGTGATTAGTTTTTGTATGCATCATCTCATTTTATCCTACTATGAAGTAAAGTTACACATTTTTCTGATGAAGAAAGTGAAGTTTAGAATTTTACTAAGATTATACAGGTGTTAAGGATGGTATTTTGTCCCAGTATGACATCTATGCGTTATGAATATATATGCCTAAGGTGTATTTTAGACAAATTGCATTTATATTTGTATTTAGACTTCTGTAGTCTCAATTTTTTACTCACGTATTCATGAAATTATTCCCATATTTTAAAACTTAGTAACATGTTTATAATGGCTGTATAGTTTTTAGAATATGTATACATAATGTGTAATTAATTGATGTACTTTTGCTAGATATTTTGCAATTTTCAATATTTGGCATTTTATATTTAATACTCCCACAAATATTCATTTATATGATTTATATTATTTTTTGTCCAATGCTCTAATTAAAAGAGAATTACTAATTTAAGGTTCTTGATTTTTTTGATGAATTAATTTTGAGAGTCGTTTAAAGGTATTTTTAACATTAGGATTTTCAAGTATATCAGATTTAAAAAATTAAGTACTCAAGTAGCAAGGTTTCTGAAAGGCAATGAGAACTAGTTTACTGTCCTGTCTTTCTTGAAGTAAGTCAGTTAATTTCTACATGTCTTGGATTTCACACTTGTAGGATAGGAATAGTAATACAGAGTCAAAGGGGAAAAAAACTCCCAGAAAAAAAGTGTTATTTAAAATAATGACATGATTAAAAACATTCACTGCATGCAAAGATAAACGGGATAGAAAATGTAGGGAAGCACCTGGAATTTCTTTGAAAAAAGTCAATATATGAAATAGAAGGAAATTGGATTCTTCATGTAGCAAACTGAAGGTAAGTGTAGAATGTGCCATGGAATAAAATGTGTCCCTGCTGAATTCATTTCTTTATATTATTTTAATGTTTCAAGATTCATTATTGTAGAGGTCTCAAAACCACACAGCGTTGCAACTGGATTTACCTGCTATTATAACACTTGGCAGCATGTTACCCTAATCTCAGAGAATTCCATTATACACGACCATTGCTGAATTATTTCAGCTTCTTTTTTTCTCCTTGTATTTTAAAACATATATTACATTCACATAGTTAAAATCAACAATCTTGATTTCCATTCCAAGATGGCCAAATAGCAACAGCTCCGGTCTGCAGCTCCCAGCGTGATTGACGCAGAAGACAGGTGATTTCTGCCTTTCCAACTGAGGTACCTGGTTCATCTCATTGGGACTATTTGGACAGTAGATGTAGCCCACAGAGGGCGAGCTGGAACAGGGCGGGACATCACCTCACCCGGGAAGTGCAAAGGGTCAGGGGATTTTCCTTTCTTAGTCAAGGGAAGCCATGACAGACAGTACCTGGAAAAACGGGACACTCCCGCCCAAATACTGCATTTTTCCAAAGGTCTTAGCAAATGGCACACCAGGAGATAATATCCCATGTCTGGATCAGTGGGTCCCATGCCCACAGAGCCATGCTCACTGCTAGCACAGCAGTCTCAGATTGACCTGTGAGACTGCAGCAGCCTGTAGGGGGAGAGGCATCTGCCATTGCTGAGGCTTGTGTAGGTCAACAAAGCAACTGGGGAAGCTCAAATTGGATGGAGCCCACGGCAGCTCAGCAAGGCCTGCTGCCTGTATGACTCCACCTCTGGGGGCAGGGCATAGCTGGACAAAAGGCAGCAGAAACTTCTGCAGACTTAAACGTCCCTGTCTGACAGCTCTGAGGAGAGCAGTGGTTCTTCCAGCAAAGTGTTTGAGCTTGGAGAATGGACAGACTGCCTCCTCAAGTGGGTCCCTGACCCCTGTGTAGCCTAACTGGGAGACACCTCCCAGTAGGGGCCGACTAACACCTCATACAGGCAGGTGCCCCTCTGGGATGAAGCTTCCAGAGGAAGAATCAGGCAGCAATATTTGCTGTTCTGCAATATTTGCTGTTCCGCAGCCTCCGCTGGTGATACCCAGCCAAACAGAGTCTGGAGTGGACCTCCAGCAAACTCCAGCAGACCTGCAGCTGAGGGACCTGTTGGAAAACTAATAAACAGAAAGGAATAGCATCAACATCAACAAAAAGGACACCCACACCAAAACCCCATCTGTAAGTCACCATCATCAAAGACCAAAGGTAGATAAAACCACAAAGATGGGGAGAAACCAGAGCAGAAAAGCTGAAAATTCTAAAAAGCAGAGCGCGTCTTCTCCTCCAAAGGATCACAGCTCCTCACCAGCAACAGAACAAAGCTGGACAGAGAATAACTTTGACGAGCTGACAGAAGGAGGCTTCAGAAGGTCGGTAATAACAAACTTCTCCATGCTAAAGGAGGATGTTTGAACCCATCACAAGGAAGCTAACAACCTTGAAAACCTTGAAAGAAGATTAGATGAATGGCTAACTAGAATAAACAGTGTAGAGAAGACCCTAAATGACCTGATGGAGCTGAAAACCATGGCACGAGAACTACATGACGCATGCACAAGCTTCAATAGCTGATTCGATCAAATGGAAGAATGGGTATCAGTGTTTGAAGATCAAATTAATGAAATAAAGTGAGAAGAGAAGTTTAGAAAAAAAAAGAGTAAAAAGAAACGAACAAAGCCTCTGAGAAATATGGGACTATGTGAAAGGACCAAATCTACATTTGATTGGTGTACTTGAAAGTGATGGGGAGAATGGAACCAAGTTGGAAAACACTCTTCAGGATGTTATCCAGGGGAACTTCCCCAACCTAGCAAGGCAGGCCAACATTCAAATTCAGGAAATACAGAGAACCTCACAAAGATACTCCTCGAGAAGAGCAACCCCGAGACACATAATTGTCAGATTCACCAAGGTTGAAATGAAACAAAAAATGTTAAGGGCAGCCAGAGAGAAAGGTCAGGTTACCCACAAAGGGAAGCCCATCAGCCTAGCAGCGGATCTCTCGGGAGAAACTCTACAAGCCAGAAGAGAGTGGGGGCCGATATTTAACATTCTTAAAGAAAAGAAATTTCAACACAGAATTTCATATCCAGTCAAACTAAGCTTCATAAGTGAAGGAGAGAAAAAATCCTTTAAACACAAGCAAATGCTGAGAGATTTTGTCACCACCAGGCCTGTCTTACAAGAGCTCCTGAAGGAAGCCCTAAACATGGAAAGGAACAACCAGTACGAGCCACTGCAAAAACATGCCAAATTGTAAAGACCATCGATGCTAGGAAGAAACTGCATCAACTAACGGGCAAAATAACCAGCTAACATCATAATAACAGAATCAAATTCACAGGTAACAATATTAACCTTAAATGTAAATGGGCTGAACACCCCAATTAAAAGACAGAGACTGGGCCAGGCGCGGTGGCTCACGCCTGTAATCCCAGCACTTTGGGAGGCCGAGGCGGGTGGATCATGAGGTCAGGAGATCGAGACCATCCTGGCTAACAAGGTGAAACCCCGTCTCTACTAAAAATACAAAAAAAATTAGCCGGGCGCGGTGGCGGGCGCCTGTAGTCCCAGCTACTCGGGAGACTGAGGCAGGAGAATGGCGTGAACCCGGGAAGCGGAGCTTGCAGTGAGCCGAGATTGCGCCACTGCAGTCCGCAGTCCCACCTGGGCGACAGAGCGAGACTCCGTCTCAAAAAAAAAAAAAAAAAAAAAGACAGAGACTGGCAAATTGGATAAAGAGTCAAGACCCATCAGTGTGTTGTATTCGGGAGACCCATCTCACATGCAGAGACACACATAGGCTCAAAATAAAGGGACGGAGGAAGATCTACCAAGCAAATGGAAAGCAAAAAAACGGCCGGGGTTGCAATCCTAGTCTCTGACAAAACAGACTTTAAACAAACAAAGATCAAAAGAGACAAAAAAGGCCATTACATAATGGTAAAGGGATCAATTCAACAAGAAGAGCTAACTATCCTAAATATATATGCACCCAATACAGGATTACCCAGATTCATAAAGCAAGTCCTTAGAGGCCTACAAAGAGACTTAGACTCCCACACAATAATAATGGGAGACTTTAACACCCCACTGTCAATATGAGACAGATCAACAAGACAGAAGGTTAACAACGATATCCAGGACATGAACTCAGCTCTGCACTGAGCAGATCTAATAGACATCTACAGAACTCGCTTCCCCAAATCAACAGAATATACATTCTTCTCAGCACCACATCACACTTATTCCAAAATTGACCACATAGTTGGAAGTAAAGCACTCTTCAGCAAATGTAAAAGAACAGAAATCACAACAAACTATCTCTCAGACCACAGTGCAATCATATTAGTACTCAGGATTAAGAAACTCACTCAAAACAGCACAACTACATGGAAACTGAACAACCTGCTCCTGAATGACTACTGGGTAAATAACGAAATGAAGGCAGAAATAAAAATTTCCTTTGAAATCAATCAGAACAAAGACAAAATGTACCAGAATCTCTGGGACACTTTTAAAGCAGTGTGTAGAGGAAAATTTATAGCACTAAATGCCCACAAGAGACAGCAGGAAAGATCTAAAATCAACACCCTAACATCATAATTAAAAGAACTAGTGAAGCAAGAGCAAAGAAATTCAAAAGCTAGCAGAAGGCAAGAAATAACTAAGATCAGAGCAGAACTGAAGGAGATAGAGACCCAAAACCCCTTCAAAAAAATCAGTGAATCCAGGACCTGGTTTTTGGAAAAGATCAACAAAATTGATAGACTGCTAGCAAGACTAATAAAGAAGAAAAGAGAGGAGAATCAAATAGATGCAATAAAAAACGATAAAGGGGATATCACCACCAATCCCACAGAAATACAAACTACCATCAGAGAATACTATAAACACCTCTATGCAAATAAACTGGACAATCTAGAAGAAATGGATAAATTCCTGGACACATACACCCTCCCAAAACTAAACTAGGAAGAAGTTGAATCTCTGAATAGACCAATAACAGGCTCTGAAATTAAGGCAATAATTAATAGCCTACCAACCAAAAAAACTCCAGGACCAGATGGATTCACAGACAAATTCTACCAGAGGTACAAAGAGGAGCTGGTTCCATTCCTTCTGAAACTATTCCAATCAATAGAAAAAGAGGGAATCCTCCCTAATTCATTTTATGAAGAGAGGGATGCCCTCTCTCACCACTCCTATTCAACATAGTGTTGGAAGTTCTGGCCAGGGCAATCAGGCAAGAGAAAGAAATGAAGGGTATTCAATTAGGAAAAGAGGAAGTCAAATTGTCCCTGTTTGCAGATGACATGACTGTACATTTAGAAAACCCTGTCATCTAAGCCCAAAATCTCCTTAAGCTGTTAGGCAACTTCAGCAAAGTCTCAGGATACAAAATCAATGTGCAAATATCACAAGCATTCCTGTACACCAATAACAGACAAACAGAGAGCCAAATCATGAGTGAACTGCCATTCACAATTGCTACAAAGAGAATAAAGTACCTAGGAATCCAACTTACAAGGGATGTGAAAGACTCTTCAAGGAGAACTACAAACCACTGCTCAATGAAATAAAAGAGGATACAAACAAATGGAAGAACAATCAATGCTCATGGATAGGAAGAATCAATATTGTTAAAATGGCCATACTGCCCGAAGTGATTTATAGATTCAATGCCATCCCCATGAAGCTACCAATGACTTTCTTCACAGAACTGGAAAAAACTACTTTAAAGTTCATAAGGAACCAAAAAAGAGCCTGCATTGCCAAGACAATCCTAAGCAAAAAGAACAAAGCTGAAAGCATCACGCTACCTGACTTCAAACTATACTGCAAGGCTATAGTAACCAAAACAGCATTGTACTGGTACCAAAACAGAGATATAGACCAATGGAACAGAACAGAGGCCTCAGAAATAACATCACACATCTACAACCATATGATCCTTGACAAACCTGACAAAAAAAAAGCAATGGGGAAAGGATTCCCTATTTAATAAATGGTGCTGGGAAAACTGGCTAGCCATATGTAGAAAGCTGAAACTGGATCCCTTCCTTACACTTTATTCAAAAATTAATTCAAGATGGATTAAAGAATTAAATGTTAGACCTAAAACCATGAAAACCCTAGGAGAAAACCTAGGCAATACCATTCAGGACATAGGCATGGGCAAGGACTTCATGTCTAAAACACCAAAAACAATGGCAATAAAGGCCAAAATTGACAAATGGGATCTAATTAAACTAAAGAGCTTCTGCACAGCAAGAGAAACTACCATCAGAGTGAACAGGCAACCTACAGAATGGGAAAAAAATGTTTACAATCTATCCATCTGACAAAGGGCTAATATCCAGAATCTACAAAGAACTTAAACAAATTTACAAGAAAAAGCAAACAACCCCATCAAAAAGTGGGCAAAGGATATGAACAGAAACTTCTCAGAAGAAGACATTTATGCAGCCAACAGACACGTGAAAAAATGCTCATCATCACTGGCCATCAGAGAAATGCAAATCAAAACCACAATGAGATACCATCTCACACCAGTTACAATGGAGATCATTAAAAAGTCAGGAAACAACAGATGCTGGAGAGTATGTGAAGAAATAGGAACTCTTTCACACCATTGGTGGGAGTGTAAACTAGTTCAACCATTGTTCCTCAAGGATCTAGAAATAGAAATACCATTTGACCCAACAATCCCATTATTAGATATATACCCAAAGGATTATACATCGTGCTACTGTAAAGACACATGCACATATATGTTTATTGTGGCACTATTCACAATAGCAAAGAATTGGAACCAACCCAAATATCCATCAATGATAGATTGGATTAAGAAAATGTGGCACATATACACCATGGAATACTGTGCAGCCATAAAAGGGGATGAGTTCACGTCCTTTGTAGGGACATGGATGAAGCTAGAAACCATCATCCTGAGCAAACTATCACAAGGACAGAAAACCAAACATCGCGTGTTCTCAATCATAGGTGGGAACTGAACAATGAGAACACTTGGGCACAGCGCAGGAAACGTCACACCCAGGGGCCTGTCTTGGGGTGGGGGCCAGGGGAAGGGATAGCATTAGGAGAAATACCTAATGTAAATGACGAGTTAATGGGTGCAGCAAACCAACATGGTACATGTATACCTATGTAACAAACCTGCACGTTGTGCACATGTACCCTAGAACTTAAAGTATAATTAAAAAAAAAATCAACAGTCTCCTGTTTTGTCTACTCTCTAGCTCATTAAGCTGTTTCTGATGATTATTAACATATCTCTGAATATATTTAAAATATAATTAATTATTTCTTGATTTATCATTTAAGGCATCTATTGAACAGAATATATTATCAATCTTGACGTTTTTGTTGTGTAAAAGATACTGTCTTTTAAACAATATTGTTTAAAGATACTATCTTTAAAAGTATCTTTAAAAGATATTGTTAAAAGATACTATCTTTGTCTAAAAGTTGAAAATCAATATGCATTATACTTACATTATTGTGATTTTTACATTCATGCAACTTTTAAAAAATCATAGCAGAGGGAAGAATGTACTATGATTATATTTATTTCCTTGTGCAGTTTGCTTGTTTTTTCTTGATGTTTCCACTTGGCTTTCATTTTCTTACACTACATGTTTTTGTTATAGTCCAATTATTGTCAGATTTCCTATGATGCATTATATCAGTCCCCCTTTTCCCTGGAGACTACCTTCTTTGGCCTCTCAGTTTTATGTCACCAATCCGTATTATTTTCTGTACATTTCTGTTGCATTGTGATACTTCTCTTTAGTTACTTCCTGGGCTGGATCCTGCATCACCTATTTTTCACTATCTTGCTGTGCTCCCTTATTTTCTTGAAGGGTATCTTTAAAATATTCCTTAAAAAAATGGTGAAGGGTAAATTTACTGGGTTCTTGAATATCAAAATGTCTCCTTCTATACTCATAATTTAGTGATGGTTTGATTAATGGCGACTGGGTTTAGAATTCTAAGTTAAAAAGAATTTCACTTAGTATTTGAAGTTACTACTTTTCACACGGTGTCCCTGTTGAGAAGTCTGATGTGATTTTGATCCCTGCTGTCTCTCTCTCCTTAGTCTCTCATTCTCATTCTAGCTGTCTCTGCCTTTCTTATATCCCTGTCCTATTCTTTTGTAGGATTTTACATTTTTTTTAAGATTCTGAAATTTTAAATATACACATCTAGGCATTTATTTTGTTTTAAAATCTTTTTCTGCATAATTATGGGAAATTATTTGGCTCGATTAAACTTAAGGGAAATTATTTGCCTCAATTTATTGATAATGTATTCTTCTATATGTTCTTTCTTCTCTCTATAACTTGTAATGCTTGACTTCCTGGATGTATCCTTTATTTCTTTTATTTTTTTCTCTTCTTTATATTTCTCTTTTTTCTCTACTTTCTAGGAGACTTCTTCAATTTTGTTAAATATTATATTTATTAAATATTTTATCAGATATGACATTTGCAATTTTCAAGAATACTTGTTTCTTCATTGATTATTCTTTCCTATAGAATAGAATTTTTTTTGTATTTTTTTCTCAAATTATCTGTGAATATGAACTAGATATATCTTGACATAGATACTAGCTTCTGAATTATCTATTTTTGGTATTGGTTCCACCCTTGTTGTTCATCTTATAACAATTTAATTTTGGTTTTGAAAAGACCACATTGACTGACTGTGACAAATTAATTGTTTAAAGGCAAGAGAATAAGCAAAGAGACACAGTGCTGTTTTCTGGCAAGAGATGACATGGTTTGGCGAAGAGGCCACCCATCTCTTGAAAGACTTAGAACAAATCAATGGAAGTAATACATAGGTAAAATATTTTAAATAAATACGTCTCTCCTTGTTCTATTTAGATTTTTCTATGCTCATACTCTTGTGTTTTCTTTCTTTGACTTTTAACACCCTTTTATATTATTTTTCTCCACTGATTTCCTTTCCAGAAACTATCATTACCCTCGGATATTTGATCAGACAGATTCTTGTTCTCACTCAACTCTTCTCCATACTCAAAGAAAACAAAAAAGGATTTGAGGATCACAGACCAACTTCCAGCCTATGGCATGGAGGAGTTGAATAGAATCTTTTAAAAAGGGCCAGGCACAGTGGCTCACACCTGTAATCCCAGCACTTTAGCACTTTGGGAGGCACAGGCGGATGGGTCACTTGAAGTCAGGAGTTTGAGACAAGCCTGGCCAACATGGTGAAACCCTGTCTCTACTAAAAATACAAATTTAGCTGAGTGTGGTGGCAGGTGCCTATAATCCTAGTTACTGGATAAGCTAAGGCAGAAGAATCACTTGAACCTTTGAGGCGGAGGTTGCAGTGAGCCAAGATCATGCCGTTGCACTCCAGCCTGGGTGACAGAGCAACACACCATCTCAAAAAAAAAAAAAAAGAATATTTTGAAAGAGCTGTAACCTCTGCTCAGAAGTAGAAAGAACACTCACTGTTAGGGATGAAGAGCTCATTTAGAAGGATTCACTCTAACCATGTTCCTCTAAAATGGACAGTTAAAGAAGGAAGGCTACAATGCCAGAAATCCTAAGAGATGGAGCTAAGGGAAAGAGCCCAGGTCTCTTTAAATTCCTGTGTACTGAATACAGAAAAGAAATCAACCTTGGACTCCAATTTGATTCCCATAAGTCTTTTGGTATTACCTGGCGTGTTTATAGAGCATTAAAAAACCCCACAATGGGCAGCTATAATTTTCCCTGCACCCAACTTCTGGCTGAGAGCATACTAGTTGACTGATGTCAATTCCTGAGATAATTTGTCTTTTGAAATTCTGACTATTGGAAAGACTTTTTTGGAATTGTATTGGCCTATTGGATTCAGTGGTAGGGGAGCTGAAAGTCACTCAATTCATTTGTTTCCAAAGAACAAGTAGAAGACCATTCAGCATTATGAAATAAGCAGGTTGAAAATTTCCTTTCTCCTATGCCACGTCTACTCCCAAGGATCAAGTATATAGTCTCACCTGAGTGATTAATGCAGGACTAACAAAACTTGGGAACATATCCCTGACTGCAACCTTTTTGTACATTTGCTTCCTTTTTCTAAATTATAATTTAACCTTCCAGTCCCTCTAATCTTTAGATTTTTTATGTTATTATGTTAATCCTATAAACAGGTCCATACTAACATGACAGCCAGTTATTTGATTTTATCTTCCAGATGACATGTAAGCCTTTCCTATTCAAAATTTACACGTGGAAGTAAATATTCAGCAGTGGAAGTGTGATATTCTGGGGTGACATGTCTGCAGCACACATTTCAAGAATCATTAGATAGCCAGACGCTTATTCTACTCCATTGCAACAAATGATGACAAGAAGTATGAAGAAGTCTTATGGAATTCAGTGCCTTCTGGTCTCTACTGTTCATGTAACAGTAGGGGCTTCTGCACTTTTCTTTACTCTCTCATGAACTGTATAACTGCCTCCCTTTCCCTTTCCATTCTTTATCAATAGGTAGAGGAGCTGTGAAGACTAGTTCCATGAGAGCATATCTCAGTCTGGTTATTGATGTAGTAAGAGCTTGCTCATCATTGAGGAGTTCACAGATACAATTATTCAATAAACCAGATGTGGTAAACTGCTGTCTCAAAGACTGTAATCTACAGACGTGCTTTGCATAGAAGAGTGTTTAAAATTTGAGGGAATTTACCGATAAATTCTGCATTTCTGGCCCCTCTGAATAAAACCAACCTCTGGCAACCCTGAGTTCACATTGTCTCTTAGTAACATCTTCTGGGGCTGAGCAGTCAGTGCTCTTTTAGTTGTGATGGGTGCTTTCCAGTTTGCCATAGTTCTACTCACTCTATTCCTTATACCTGTCTCACCTTACCCATTAAAACCAAATACCAGGAGATGTTTAAGAGGGAATTTTGTTTCTGACAGAGTGT
The DNA here is from genome assembly GCF_000001405.40 of Homo sapiens. Classification (NCBI taxonomy): domain Eukaryota; kingdom Metazoa; phylum Chordata; class Mammalia; order Primates; family Hominidae; genus Homo; species Homo sapiens. The sequence goes on along the minus strand of NC_000002.12, from coordinate 211,803,413 downwards.
TTAAAAGAAGGAAGTGTTGTAGAGTTTATTATCTTCTGGACTCTTCGGTGATAATCTAATATAATCTATACTGATAAAATTATAGGAAGTTTTATGGTCTTAGTGTTATATTTCCCCCCATTTCTATTCTTAGAATGTAGTCCTTTTAAAATCTATTGAAAATGAATAATAATGTTGCTTGGATGGACTTTTCTTTGACTATTCTGAAAAGCAATGTTGGATTAGATACAAAATTTAGCATGACACATTTTACTATTATTAATAGGCATTTGCCACCTGTCAGCCAAATAGATTCAAAATTGCTTATTAGCAAAGTTGAGGGAATAAGTGGAAAATGTGTAAATAAATGAACTTCTACACTTTAGGATGTCTACATTGTGTGAAAGGATTTTCCTTGAAAATGTGCCAACTTTTTTTCAACTTTTGGATCGCATCTTATTATCCTAGCTGTAATTAGAAATCTTGTGAAATTAAGAACCATTAAATTCAATGAGTTTTCAGCATCGGAAATTTGCCCAGAGGCACCCAGCTGATGGGTCTGCCTAGGATTAGGCTTTCACAGAGTTCTCCCTCCTCTCCTCCTATTCACTCTAAAAGGGAGCGTCTTCTCCACTTAGCTAATTAATTACACCTGCCAACAAGCAGATGGTTCTGTAGGCTTTGAAGCGGGGAAATAGCTAGGTGCATATCAGCTAGCTTAAGCTTCCTTCAGTTGCAATTTAGATTATAACTCTTGAAGCTCTGGAGAAAATAAAATATTAAACAATTACAAGTGAAACAACATTTTAAACATATTTTTATTTCAAAAATGTATTTCCGGTATTTATTAATAAATCATCATTCTCTTTTCCACATGTCAGCACACAGATACTTTTAGAAGGCTTAGGTTTAGCATCTGGTTTGCAACAATTCTTCAAGATGTTTGTTGCCAGCTAATTGTTCTGAACTTCAAAGTAAAATGAGAATAGAGAACCTAATAGTTAAGTTCTCAAAATATTATAGCTTTTTAGTAAATAATGTTCTTGTGATGTCATTAATTGTAAGGAAAGATATGTATGTGACAATGGTGAAATTAGAACTGAGGACACTATTGGTACTCTTATTAGCATTCCCACTACCTGTATTTCAGTTTTTTGTGTTTTTTTTTTTTTGTTGGAGACTGAGTCTCGCTCTTTCGCCCAGGCCGTACTGCAGCGGCGCTATCTCGGCTCACTGCAAGCTCCGCCTCCCGAGTTTCTGCCATTCTCCTGCCTCAGCCTCCCGAGTAGCTGCGACTACAGGTGCCCGCCACCGCACCCGGCTAATTTTTTGTATTTTTAGTAGAGACGGGTTTTCACCGTGTTAGCCAGGATGGTCTCGATCTCCTGACCTCGTGATCCGCCCGCCTCGGCCTCCCAAAGTGCAGGGATTACAGGCGTGAGCCACCGTGCCCGGCCTGTATTCCAGTTTTATGCTAATCTGATTAGTGTTCCTTTTTGTCTCCCTTGCATCTCAGCTAGGTAGCATGAACTAGAGATTATCACCAGAGCTTAATTTTCTATGTAAGATTCTTTCAAATATGATATAACTATATAAACACATGCCCTACAAAAATAAATTAGGCGTAGAACATGAATGTATACAAGATACTCTTTGTATTATTCTCTTCTGTAAAGTCCAGTTTAAATCTTTTTAAATTCACAAATAAATGTTTAGTTTCATGAAACTTCTAAAAATATTTTCTCTTATTTTACTTTATATCTGAGAAAGTTTTAGTTAAGAACTTTCTACTTTTAAAGATAATTATATCTTTAGAAGTGAACATATCCTTTTGTTTGTGCTAGAATAAAAACTCTTCTGTGTACAATATATTATATTACCTTTTAACTCAGCACATTTATGAAATTAATGTACATAAAATAAAGAAAATATCCCAAACTCACAAATAAAATCAGCTTCCTTTTTTCACTATTTTAAATAAAAGTTAGCTAATAGGCATGTCTAAAGATGAATATTTTTAACTATATCAAGCAAAGAAAAAAGATGATTTAAAAAATATATATTTCAAGAAGATATTTCAGTTCTCGTATGATATTGAGCGGTATTTAATCCAGTAAGTTCACCTAACAAAAGATACTGTGATAAGGCTACATTTAACCACCTGTTTTAATTTTGGATTCCCTTTTTTTCCCCATCATATGAATCCAATTTACCTTTACAGTGATTAGAATATTAAGCTTAATGTTTAAATACATTTTCATTTATTTGAATTAATAATGTAAATATTTTGCACTTTTGCTTTCTTTATGTGAATTACTCAACAAATAATAGGAAATAAATTATAAGGGGAATGGAATTCGGTTAGAAGAACTGAATGCCCTACACATTTGAATATCAATTTTATATTTTTAGAAATACAGCTATAAAGCACATAGAGATAAATTCTTTATAAGTTTATGAGTTTGGATATGGTAATTAAAATCATTTTACCCTATTCATTAAAGCAGAGCTTTCAAACACTAAGCATAGAGTTCCCACAGTACTTGACAATAATAAAATTGGCTTTCTTTTAATTCACTTTTTTATTTTCTATTTTTTTACCAAATTGAAGTGCTTTTCCTTAAGTGGGCTGAATTCTTGAAGTTTTTTATTGTGCTGCCTTTTCCTCTGCATCTACTTTTGACAGAGGCAAAAGAAACGCACCTCAAGAGACGAGGTTGGGATATGGTCCAGACATCTACCAGAGCCAAGAGGTTTTTTTTTTTTTTTTTTTTTAACGCACAGTTTTTCATGTAGAAAAGATCCCTTAAAAGCATAATTTTACCTTTCAACTCCATAAAATATTTTCAAAAAGGACTTCAGGGAAATTACTGTGAGTTCTTAATTATACTTAGAAGTAGATTACATAAGATAAAATTGTGCCTCATCTCTGCTTAAACTGTTTTGTTTTGTTTTGTTTTCCATTTAGATTACTCACGCTTTCCTTTCTACAATGGGGAGAGCACAGACTAAAAATTTAAAAGCCAACTCAGCCATCAGACTAAGTTGGAATCATGGTTCTTTCGAACTCTTACCAGTTATTTAGCTCTCTAAACCTCAGTTTTTTCATCTGTAAAATGAGATTAGTAATAATTACCTCATAGGATTTCTGTAAGGATTAAGAGAAATACTGCATTATAAGTATTCACACAATGGCAGCATTTATGAAGAGTGTACAGTGAGGTGGCTAACAATGGGGCTGTGGAGCCAGGCAGACAGACTTTGGAATCCTAGTCTGATCCCCAACTATGCATGAGGCATTTGGCAACTTGCTTCATCATTGTGTGTCTCACTTACTATGCCTTTGGGGTGCAGAAATCCCACCCTTAAAAAGGAAAGTTCTATATTTAGTGATTGTGAATAATTTTATGGGTGTCCAGAAGCATAATGTGCTCCAAAAAGGGCATGTGAAACTCATAAAAGTGGGTTAAAATATATTTTTTTAAATGAGCAAATGCACAAACCCATGAATTTTAACGTGGCCTAGTAGTCTTGCCCTGGTTTTAGCTCTCTCTGAAAAGGGTATTTATGACAGGAAATGGAGAAAAATCATCAAGCAGGATAGAAGAAATCTGCTTATCAGAGAACTCTTCTTATCTTTCCCTCAATAATAATAATAGTACATCAACTGAACATGTGTTGCATGGCAGACACTGTGGTCAACATATACATATGATAACTCATTTTCTCCTTTCAGTTGCCTCATGAACGTGGCACTATGAGTTATCACCATTTTATAGAGAAGAGAACTGAGATTTGGGGAGGATACCTACAAAAATTATCTCATACTTTTTGATAATTCCCTTCCTGAAAGGCTGTTGCTCTATGGCAGAGTCATGGTTACCCAGTCCCCTGCAGATATCAATTTCTCAATAGTTTTCCCTTCTTGAATGTTGGCATCTTGAGTGGACTAAACCATCTGGCATTGTTAGACATGTTAGAATTTTTCTTTATGTCTAGCCTCAAGAAGCAGACAAAGATCCGCAAAGATTTTAAAATATTTATTTACCCTATGAAAGCAGAAACATTCTAAAATAAAAGATGTTCCTTTATGTAATTTAGAAGACATGGTAATACACATTACAGAGCTATAATGGAGGCTATTCTCTTATGACCTCAGATGTGACAATATGAAAATAATTTTTACAGTGGAGAAAATGATTGGGTGGTGGTAAGGACCATAGAATATTGTGTTTTTGAATTAATTCATTATTCTACTGTAAAAATTCCAGACCCTTGGCCTGGAAGAAAAGAGCTCAGCTCTCTTGTACAAGACTTTGGAATTTATGCTAATTTATTTGAAGCACAGTGGTAGTGACAGCAGAGGTAAAGGCCACCTGGAGATTGTGAGGGAGGTTTTGTGACCTACGAACTATGCACCAACCTGATCCAAACAGAGGGAAATCTAGCAGCTCTAAATGCTGTCACAGAATATAGTTAGAGAAATGACAGGAAATTACTAAAGGGTTAACTCAACCAGATATCTAAGATACTTCAGTGTGGGAAAGATAGTAAGTTATAGAATTTATGATCTTGTTCTTAGGAAGAATTTAACTTATGAAATACAGAGAAACCCAATTTTTTAATTAACTAACTTTAGTAAGACATTTAATAATATTTTAGCTCAATATATCTATCTCTAAAATTGTTATGCTAGGCACCAAACTTAATGGGGATTTCATGTATCTCTCAAAGGTTTTCATTTGGTCATCATTTCTCCCCCAAAACCTGTACTTTGACCAATGTACATAGGTTTTAAAATAGTTTAGACAAAGCTCCTGAACTATATTATTAACTTATTTTGAAATAGCTAGTACCTTTTGAACACCTAGTATGTAACTGGAGTTTTGTATATATTATCTGTATTTCTCATTGTAACCCAACAAAGTAAAGATTATTATTCCAATTTTGTAGATGGTAGAAAAGAAACGTGAAGTAATTTGCCTGCAACCACCTAGTAAAAGTGCCAAATCTATGGTTAAAAAGTGAACTAATGTATAAACAAATTGTGGTATATTCACAGACTGGAATAATACGGAACAATAAAAATGAACAGCCTATGAATTAAAGCAACAGCATAAATAAATCTCAAAAACATTATTTTCAGGGAAAGAAGATAAGAAAAAGGAATAAGATACATATTGTGTGATTCTATTTCTATGAATTTAATAAAGAGGCAAAACTAATTTGTTGTGGTAGAAGTCAGCATAGTGGCTGACTTTCTATGCTGACTTCTATGCAGTATTGACTGGAATGAAGCAGGGAAAATTTTCTGGAGTGATAGAGATATGCTGTGTCTTTATCTGGGTGGCGGCTGCTTGATACAGATGTACAAATATTGTATACATGTATATGTAAAACATAGAGCTTAAAATTTGTCCATTTTACTGTAGTTAATGTATACTAATTTGAAACTGTATACAAAGCAATCTAAAAAGCCATTTCTTTCTATTTTGCCACAGTACCTGATATTTTGTATTTTGACAACCAGTGCTTTATAAAATGATGATTACTGTTATTCAATTATTCCTTCCTGATTTTCTCCAGATTTAAACTTCATTTTAAAAGAAAATTAATTTGGACCTTCGTGTTGTGGCTTTTAAAATAATCTTCCAGTATGGCTTGCTTGCAATCTTATTTTATGACTCCTTCTTTAATTTCTTATTTTGTAAAGTGTTGTCTTTATGTGTTATTTTTAAAATTAACATTCTAGGCATTTTAGCTGAGACTTCTAGCCCCCAAATCACTTATTTATATTTTTAATATTCACAAATATAGCCTTTTAAAAATCTTGACATATTTGAAAATCATATAATCATCTTACAAGAGTAAATCATTATTCTTTCTCTTGCTTTATCTTTTATTTGCAAGTCTTAACATGCCAGCAACAAACATACATAGCAATATTATTTATTATTACTGTCATCAAGAAAAATCATACTTTTTTGAAGTATTCTAAAAAAGAAATAGTGTAGAAATCACACATTGTGAGAAGAGTTATTAAAACTATACAAACTAATATAGTGGGTGAGATATTTGAAAGTGACCTTGCAGTATATCCCCAGGCTTATTGTATTAAATCCTGTAAATAAAAGGGACAAATCATTTCTGAGTACTAATATGACCGTCCCCTTATTGGTAATGAAAACATTGAACTCTACTGATTTGTTCTACTGAAGCAATTACATTTTCTGGAAACTTGGAACAGTTATTTAAGAGGATTGTTGTCTGTAATGAGGGCTTTCTGGTGGATATAGGAATAAAAATATGTGAGCTTTATGTAAAAGAGTGTTCTATTTTAATAGCAAGAAGACATTAAATTTCTCATCCTTTTTATATACCTTTGGTTGTGTTTGTCTGTTATCAGAGAGATAATCACCTACTGTGAATTTTCCCATCCGTCTTCCAGAAATCGTATTTTACTCTTTATAATTATTAATGTAGTTTTAATTTTTTCTAAGACATTTTAAAGTGTCATTTTCAAAACATTGAACCAGATCTCTTAACAATAACAACAAAAATAAGTTATGAGGGTTACACCTGATAAATTATTTTACTAAATTGTTTGCCAATAACTTAAAGATCAGGTTTTTAACAGTGCTTTGTAAATGTTTTACACATAGTAAGACCTTTCTTGGAGTAAACAGAAATAAATCTCTTGCCTTTAAAAATTACTCTTTAAAGATAGTATTTAAGAAGGTCAACTTCAGTAGTCACTAGGGAAGTGCAAATTAAAATAATACCACTATACACCAATAAGAGTGACTACAATGAAATACAACAAAACCAACTAATAATCAAGACTTGACAAGGTCAAGAAGCAACTAGATTTCTCATATACTACTAATGGGCATATAAATAAGTTAAATTGGTTAAATAAAAAGTGATTATCACTATGACCCAGCAGTACTACTTCTAGGTATACACGCAACATAAATGTGTACATATAATCATCTAAAGGCATTTTCTAGGAAGTGCATAGCAGCAGTTATTTATAATAGCCCAAGTGTGGAAAGTATCCAAATGCCCATCAATGCAGAATTGACAAACCATGGAATACCACACAACAATGAAAATAAACAATATAGATGAATTTCACAAACATAATATCGAGCAAAAGGAGCCAGACACAAGAGAATACGTATGGTATGATTCTATATACGTAAAATACAAAAATAAGCACACATTATCTTGCTCAAAGTCAGGATCAGGGTTCTGATAGAGTGACATGAGGTGGAAAGTATGAGGAAGGCTGCTGTGGTGTTGGTATGGCTCAAGCTCTTGATCTGAGTGCTGGTTACATAAGTGTGTTCAGTTTGTAAAAGTTAATTGAATATGATAATGCACATCTATGTGTGTATATTATAATTCAATTAAAAAGTTTCTTAAAAAGCTTTACATTTGTTCAAGTCACAAGATTTATGTTTTATAAATATCCAGAAGATGCGAGGTTTCTTTTGAGTCACTATAACAGAGACTGCTAGTTGTCACCAATATCTATTACCACTTTCTAAATTTTAAATAGTATATAAAGTTTAGCTACTCATATGATCACCCAGAATGAATACTTTAATTCCCTTCCTTCCATGCACCTAGCTGTGGCTCGTTGACTTCATTCTGACCAACGAGATACAAGTATAATTGTGCTGTGGCAATTTGCAGGAATTTTCATTAAAATACATGTACTCTTCCTCTGTTCTTTTGTCCTTCATGATTTTCTCCGTCTTTTGCATGGTTTTTGCCAGTTGGAAACTCCTCTTGTATTGAAGATGGTAGAGAAACAAGAACAAAATAGAATGGGGCTCCCTGATGATTGTGGATTTTTATATAATAGCCTTAAATAACCTAGCCAGATTTTTATATAGAAGAAAAAAATGTCTATACTCTTTAAACTACAACCTAATCTAATACTGATTAAAGCAATGTTAGTATGAATACTCAAAAGAAGCATATTCCTTGCTCATACCAAGAAGTAACCACTATTTAAATAATTAGCAATTTAAAATTATAATAGAAGCAACTATGCGACAGATACCGTGAGTACAATAAACCCATCACAGAATTGAGCAAACTCAGCTTCATAAAGGTGGACAAGGCCCACCTTTGCTTTGTTGAAACAAAACTAGATTATGAGCTTTATTTTATCCAGTCAACTAGATTCAGTATTATTGCCTTTACAATTCAAAGCCGTGATAGAGCAGGATTTCTCTCCCCTACCACCTGTCTCTCTCCACCTACCTAGAGTATATTATCTATCTCTTTATAATATAGCATATATTATGACTTTAATATGCAAGATGGATTTGTGGGGAGAATAGATTACAGGCAAGAAGTTAAATCTGGTATGAGATGATAGAACCTGAATTAAGTAGCAGTTGTGGATATAAAAAGAGACACTATGAGAAATTTTCTGTAGAGCACCATAAATGGTTAAATATAGAAATAAAGGAAATAGTAATAAATTTCAAACTTTGAGTCTATGTGACTTTTACAGCATTTATGTTGATTTTAACAGAAATAAGAAAACACAGGGAGAATACAAATCTCGGGAAAATTATTAGAAAAAAGTTAGACGTTGACACACGTATGGGATTATATAATAAGACAATTTGAGAAGGAAATCCTATGTTCATAATTTGAGTACTGTTACAAGATAAAATATAGTTTTAATTTTTTCCGGGGAATATCAATGAGTTTAAGTGGATTACTACTTTCTTAATATTAGGACAGAAAGAATATATTAAGATCAAAATAAATGTATTCAATATTTTATGGGATTTACAATGTAAATATCTAGTGCATATCACTAACATTATGCTATCACTAAGCAAGTAATTTTTTACAAAAGTTGGTCATGTTCTATGGATGTTATCATTATCATAATCATCAAAAACATTTGAAATTCTACTATGTGCTTGACACTTTCTTTGGCACTAGGGACACAAAGAGGTGTACATCATAGTTCTAATCCTTGAGGGACCTCCAATAAGATAGGGGAGACAAGGCAAATACACAAAAGAATATATAAGAAGGTAAGGTAGCATTTGCTCTATGTCAGATAAGTGGCTCGGGTAATCAGTGTTACAGGAGTTAGAGGAAGGGGGAACTCTAAGAACTAGGTGGTCATAGCAAACCTCTCAGAGGAGCTAGAACTCAAACCTGAAACATAATGAAAGCTAAGAATTGTAGTGGATACTGAAGTATGTATTAATAAGTTAGAACATTGCAACAAGCATTACTGAGCTTCATTCAATTGAAATCAAGATATTATTTTCTATCTTAAGCTGATTTTCAGCCAGTGGATCTAATAATTTCATCTTGAAATTGCTATACTCTGATGGAAAAACATTTGGTATCTGCATCCATGAGCTTTTGACTCTGATCATCGAGCTGAAATATAGAAGGTTACGTCACTCATTTACATTATCACCCTCTACCCGCTCCCAATACAAACGTGACATTTCAATTTTGCACACTTCAACTCTCCTTAAATCATCTGTATAAAAACTTCAAAGCTTGATTGATGATGAATGAGCCATTGTCTCCTCAAGCACCCGGTTCTCATTAGCCTTTTGAGTCTCAGCTTATTAATAATGAACCTTGAGGGCTGACCCAGTGGGGTAGCAGCAATTCATTGTGCTCCCAGCTGAAAGGTCTGGGTTTGGGAAAGATACAGGAATCTCTGGACCAAGTCCATTCCAGAGATCATGTATTAAGTATCATAGGTGGATGATGTGAGCTATATTACTTTTGTATCATTATCTGCCAACAGACTTGTGTGGCTTAAGGTGATGACAGTGAGAAAGATACATTGCTTTATGTCCGAGAAAGTCTTGTAACTGCTTTCTGTGGCTTCATCTTGAAAATGGGTTTTGCTGCCTTGGATTTTGATTCTTGATTCTGCCCTTTGACTTAGATAGATAGTATAAGTCTGACATATGCATTATTTAAATGCGCCTATTGTGATTAGATAAGTGCAATATTTCTAATCTTTATTATTTTAATTATCATTTTAATTCTAAGGTTGACCTGTAGATGCACCCCTGCAAAACAAAATACTTAGATATACAATCAGGGATAGAGGTTAAATATTTCATTCCTGTTTATTAGATCCTTCTTATATCATATGGTTGGTAGATTTTGAGTAGAATTAAAATGTTCACTGATAATATCGATCATATAGACTAAAGTGAAATATAGTGTAACTGCATTTAAAATTATAATCTTTATTTTGGAAAAAGAGAAAGATATTCAATCTTATTCACAAAATGGTTACAAATTGTGCATGGGGTCCATGCAATTTTGTAAATTTCTTAAACCTAGTAAAGGGGTCATATTAATCTGTATTTTCAGCAGGGATGTTACATCACAATTAGGTCATTTCATACAGGGCAGAGAAAAAAAGCTATTATTCAGTATTTTACCATAGTTTTGGAGATAATATATTTGCAAAATGTCAATGATTCTGTTAATGGGCACTCATCCCCAAATTCACTGCAGTAACTAGCATTTGACAAGAAATGAAGAATACAAAAGAAGTTATTTAAATAACACAAACATTTCCTTATTTATTAGACTCATGAAAATGGAAATCAAGGAAAGACATGGTCCAATGGTTAACCTTTGTGGAGTGAATGACAAAGATACAAATACTTTCTGTCCTTTTTCAAATGTCATATTGGCAGTTTATACCTTTCTGAAAAATGTAAGGACAATGTGAGGTAGACTTACAGTTCAATACAAGAAAATTTAGGCTTCTCTGTAGCATATGCAAGGTGATTTGCACAGGCTTAGAGAAATTTGGTCTGTATGGGATAGCTAAAGATCGTCATTATTTACCTGGTAACTAATAATTGAGTTTTGTGTACAAAATAGGTTAGGGAGTAAAAATGCCTTATAAATATCAAATGTATTGTCTGCAGTAATATTGTATATTATCAGTTATATGCGTTTTATATAATAAATGCTATTTTCCTTTCGGCTTTCTCTAACCACAGAATTATATATATATATTTTCTTAAATTCAAGATATTCTGTATAGATATTTCAATTAATCAAATATTTATTGTGTATCACCTTGAGCCTTGCATAATATTGAAACTGGAGATATGGTTTTGAACAAAACAGTAACAGCTTCATACTTTATGAAACATAGGACCAGTCAAGATAACCTGTAGAGTGTTTATGGGAAACGATAACTTTCATTCTTACTTTGATTTGGTCAGAATATAATTTAAAATTAGGAACTACAATAGAAGTTACCTTATAAATATTGATTGCAAATTCCATGGTACTTTTTTTCCATACACAATTAAATCTAACAATTATTCATGGAGTGACTGTTGCTCTAGGTTTGATGCTATAGATACAGCACTGAAAAACATTTCTTACCTTCATGGGGCTTAGTCTAATTATATCTCAGCTACAAATACTATGCTATATATAAGTTAAATTCAAGATATTGGAAAATAGTGTAGATTACAATTTACTCTAAATAAAAAAAGATTCGTGACATCTTTTACTCAACTTGCATGCATTAATCTAGTCGGAAACGTTTGAGACACAAACATATTTAAGTGTTTACTGGAAATTTTCAGCAATGAAATGATACTTTTTTCATCGATGTCATGTCTAATATATCTTACTCTATTTAACCATGACATTTATTAAAAAGAGACAGTTCTGTTTTGTGAACTTGCCAGAAATATTTGTGTATAATATGATAAGAAAACTCATAGCAGCTTTTTTCTATCAATTGATTCAATGACCAAGAATCTATCTGTGTCTCTCTCAATTTACTCTGATAATTTTCTGCAGTGGAAGTAAAATAAAATGAAATGAGATACTTTGAACTCATTCACGCATTCAACATTTTTTTTTTAGCTTCTGCACTCATCCAGACACTTTGCATCTTTCTTTGAGTATCAATTAAATGTGTGCCTCCTTTGCCTATCTTTCTTAACATTTATTTGTTACTTTATTTCATGTTAGTGGGGGGAAACTGTTGGTTGGTATAACACAGGTGATTCCTTTGTAAAATCTTTGATAAAACTTGTGGAAAACTTTGTTATTCTTGTGTGTCACCACAAGATCTAAATATAGCCAGACATTTTTGTACTCTTATTAGATAAACATCTAAACAAACTTTTCTCTTTTCCTAATCCTTGTCCCTCTTTCTTATCTAAAAAATGCGGTCAAGCCTCTGTAGTCAACCAAGACAGAAACATTAGGCAGTCCTTCTAACAAGTAAATAATTTGTATCTCTAAGAACTTTCTTACAGGTTAGTATCTATTCTCTAGAATTTTTTTAATACAGTAATAAACATACCTGAGTATATTTTCTCACAAAAATATGTCAAATTCATATTTTAAAAATGTAAAGTTACAAAATCAATGAAAACTTTAAGAATATATGTAAATGCCATTATAACATTACTTTCTGACACATATTTAGGTAATCAAATTAATCAAAAGAAAGTGTAAGACTGTACATTAAAACTGTCCTATAAGTGTCAATGAAATTCTACATTCTCTGACTGTGAGGCTTTGACATTCAACAGCAGAATAGGGTGTATACCAAACATAAAGGAAAAAAGAATATTTTCAAGGAAAACAAACAATACATAAATAAACTACCCATCATTAATTGCTAAACATTTATAAATCCTCCTGACCAGAATTGCTAGCAGATGCTGAGTTTTGAATTAGGAATGATAAAAGTATCATCTGGATTGATCATGTGTCTTAATTTGAAATGTTAACGTGTAAGATTATGCTGGATTTATTATTGTCTCCTTTCTAAATCCCTTTTCCAAGTATAAGCCAAGCTCTCGAACAGACTATTTCTAAGAAACAAATGTCAACATTCATAGCAGATTAATACTGTTGAAGAAAGGGATTTGATAAGACTATTATTCAGTATAATATAATCTGATTCTATTTGAAAAATTTTAGATAGGAAGTTGGAGATGGATACTGTGTTCCTTTGTATGAACTATTTGAAATACAATGTGACTCCTGAAAAATATACACTCTTTCTGCAATGTTTGAGCTATTACCTTTTCACTTTTTTTTTTAAGTAGAACTTTTCTAAATGTAGACTGAAAAATAACCTTTATTTCCTGGATAGCAGTCAAAATCTCCTTTCTTTGTCACCTAATGGAAAATTATTCCTAGAGCAGAAGAGCATCACCTAATGTCTCATGAGAAAGCTATTAGTATGAGATCATCACATTTCGTAGATAAAAACTTAATGCCAAACATTAATGTAGAAATCCATTTCACAATCTTTCTTACGTCTTACGTCTCCCTTCTGCTTTGATGAAGGTTGTATGGTTAGGTCATAAAAAATAATGAACTGGGTTTTAGAAGTAGAAAGATGATCTAATTTCTTTTCTTTTTTTTTCCTCACCGACAAAATGGAACCAATAGTCAGTGAAATGACTGATGATGAAAATGGGAGTGATTTTAAATGTAGAAAGAACTACAATATCAAAACTAATCTGGAGGGTTTCGTACATGCAATGCAGTAAGGCACTTGGGATGTGACCACCAGTCCACAAATAACCCTCTTGTGGTGTGACACGTTCCTTTCATTTATCTCTCTTCAGTTGAAGATGACTCCTACAAACTTAGCTTGGGGTTCCACACAAGAGAGATGAATTTCTCAAGGCTACCGTGGGAGATGGTGTCGGTTGCCTTCCCAATATCCATGTCCCTCTTCTTCCTCACTAACACCCCTGCTGGTCTGGGTTTTGTCCCAGTAGCAATATTTCCACCTCAATAGTTACTTATTCAATCTCTCTTGCGGTAGAGATAACCATGGGATATTGTTCTGGCCAGTTAAATGCAGACATAATCCTCAAGGAGAGCATTTCTTCTCAAATAAAAAGTCACAGCTTCACTAGGAGGAAGTCTCTTGCTTGCTCTTGTGACTTCATCCTGCCTGCAATTCAGAAGGACTGCAGTTTAGTTTTTAGATGTAGCAGCCATCTTGTGCCTGAAATGAATAAAACTGACACACTGAGGATGGCAGAACAGATAGTGGGCACTGCGGAACAGCTGAACTAATATCTGCAACTGCCTCCTATAGGTTTCTTATGTGAAAAAAGAAATCCCCTATCTCTATAAACTGTTGATTGGGTTTTGATTAATTGTAGTTGAACACTTTATGGACTGATGCATGATTTCTCTTAAATTGCTTTTGTATTGAACAGGAAGGGGAAATGTGGTACATATTGGGCTGGAAGGTGCTATGTGTATTTGTAGCTAATTTCTTCAAATAATAAGAATAATATTTTCAGAGGATATATTTCAGTTTTTATTTTCCTGGATAACTTAAAGCTATCCGAAAGAGAATTCATTTCTGTGGTCAGTCATTGTTTGTGGAGGACAAATTAGCTAATCAAGGCCAGTGTTGTGAAATAAAGAATCAAGTACAAATTGGCTTTAGTGCATGTTATCCCACAGCCGTATCCTTACTTCAGTGAACCACAGGATTTGTTATACATTGCTTTGTGTTGTTAAGAATAATTGGCAATCTTATCGATTTCATTTGAGATGACAACATTTTTGTGATTGAGGCATTAATTTTAGCTTCCACTTTGTGCTAATTACTTACCTACTGACTGCAGTCAATGTCACCTTGACTGAAACAATCTCTCTAAGGATAATATGACAATTGATACCAAATATCTTAAAACTATCCACACTCTATGACCTTGGAATGTCATGTGTGGAAATTTGTTGTAAAGACCAATGAGAGATAAATAAGTTAAATTACCAACAAGAGAGGATTGGTTAAATAATTACCATTTAATTTATACTATGACATATCCTGTTCTCATTAAAATACAGAGTAGTAATTACCATTAAGTACTCACTACATAATATTAAACTAAACAAGCAGGTTATAAAATATTATATAAAATATTATTTCAATTCCAGGGAAGAAAACAGATAAAAGACTGTAACATTTATACCAAAATGTTAGGAGTGTTACTCTCAGAGTGTAGAATATGAGTGGTTGTTTTTCACTTTTGTAATTTTTAATCTTTTCAAATTCCTGTAATCAATGTATATGATTCATTGAAAGATATTTTAAAAGATATCTTGGCTATTAGCAACATGACTCTAATTTAACATTGAAAATAGTTAAGAGCAAATCACTTTTGTTGATTACCTTTTCATCAACAAGCAGTTTGACAAAAAATTTGTTTATTTGTTTTTTAATACAGAAATCCTAAATGGTGGAGTCTATGTAGACCAGAACAAATTCCTTTGTTATGCAGACACCATTCATTGGCAAGATATTGTTCGGAACCCATGGCCTTCCAACTTGACTCTTGTGTCAACAAATGGTAGTTCAGGATGTAAGTAGAATTATTCTTTTTAATTTCTCAAAATGTTCTACCCTATGTGGCGATGAATGAGTTATGCTTATTATGTCATTACTAATATTTTGAACTTTGATTGCATTCATTGAAATGTTCAGTTATATATGGCAGAACAAATGGCTGATCAACCTTTTACTTCTAGCTAATTCTCTTTTGGAAATCATGTTTCCTCTTCACAAATTCTCATTTTGTTAACATGTTCCTCTTTGCTTAATTTAAATTACTTTATCATACTTCCAATGTACAAATGTGTGTTCCACTATCCACAAACTTAAGGCTGGTATCTAACTATTGCTTCAAGTCTCTGTGACCCATATCCCATTGAGACAAAGGTAGTAGAACAAAAATGTACCTTCCTATTCACTATAATTTTTTCAATAAAAAAGTAAAAACTAGTGAACATTGAGAATTCTTAAGCCTTCATTTGCCCCTGAAGCCTTCGTGGTCATACTTTATGATAATTTCAAACACTTATGGAATGGAGAAATATAGATTTCATATAGAAGAAACATGTTACAGTCTGATTTTAGTCATTAGTCGAATAAACTACTGAATTTCTCATTCTTAAAATGTGTATTCTTTCTACCACAAAGAATTTATCAGATTTAAAGTGTTTAATATGATTTAATAATAAGCAAGTAATATTTGAACCATGATTTAAACCTTTGAAAATTATTCTGTCTGGTATCTGTTTCATTTTCATAAAGCAGGCTATGTGATCCCCACATTTATTATTACTGACATTTGTATGAAAACAGAATTTTCATCAAGTGTTAACCTGGGTTTTATATTTCTCATCTATTATATATTTCCCACCTGAAATCATAACTGTCTCAACATAGTTCAATAATTATTTGCTATATTACTGATTGTGTTATGACATTTTTGTGAAAAATCAAACTCCAAGGGACAATTATTAAATTTCATCATGGCCCTAATAATATAATGGGAAATATGAATGTATTTGATCAAAACTGACAGCTGTGTTTTTAATAAATGGCTAAAACTTTATGTAAAAAGTAGAGTAACATAATTTTCTTGTCACCTTTGAACAGAAATTTGTATGGGATTTTCCCTTTATGGCATTCATGTTGCCTACTTTGTAAAATTACATGTGAGAAAAATGGAATCTTTTCACATTAACAAGACAAATGATGTGTTTCAGAAATGCCTTCTGTTTTCAGTCTGCCCATGCTATTGCACATATTATATTGGCAGGGTAGTGGTGGGGAGGTGTGGATATTGGTTGGGTAAAAGGAAAGACCTGCTGACTCTCAGCTTATCAGACTGACTGGTCTGTAAGGCATGAATAAGATCGTGCAAGAATAGAGCCTGAGACAGAAGCCAAAAGGGAAGTGTGCCCACCAGCCTTACAGAATTTGGAGCAGGAAAGGTCTGAGGGGTTTGCTGCACTTTCACAGATGGTGTCTCTTTGTGCTATTCTTTTTGAAGACAAATTTGGATGGTTGTGCCTATAATTAGGCAACTGTGGCTGTATTGTTTTTTTCATGTAAATAATTGCAGGTGCAAAAATTATAAATGCAGAGTAGAGTCATAACCAATGGTCTTTTACAAATTAACTACCAATTGATTGCCAAAGTTTTATTATTTACATAGTAGTTTTATTTGCTGACACATTATATGTACTGCATGACACCATAGCTATTAATAATGAATTGACTGTTTTTTGACTATTATGGTTTTATCTTTAGTCAATTTATTTCTCTGTCTTCTCCCCAGAGGTAATCTCAGACACTCTCAGGGTTTTAAATGCAACCTCTAGGTTGATGACTCCCTAGAACTACATACCACCAACCAATCACTCAACCAAGTTAAAAATTTGGGGGGTCATTATTATCTTTACTTTCACTTGGCTCTTGGGAGTTAATCACCGAGTCATCCTGATCTTTGCCCATTTCTTGATTTTACATATTTATTATTATGATTGCCCTAGTTCAAGACTTCATCTGTCTAAATTACTAAAACAAACTCTGAATTTTTAATATTTTTTGAGGCAATGGACACTGTAGCATCCTGGTGAAGCCCATTGACCTCTTCTCATAATATTTTTAGAAGAAAAAATGAGCACAAAACAAATACTTTAATTCATGAATGCATAGCAATCAATAAATACATAAAATGAATTACAATGGATTACAAGGAAAATAAGTTAGGTTGAGATACATTTATCAAAATGCTTAAGAAACAGATACCTAATATAGTAATATGCTTATTCATACATTAAATTAAAAATATTAGCAGTAGGATTAATATCTAATATCATTTTCAAGCAGTGATAGGCATAAATAATATATTTTAAAGGGAAGTCTCTTCAACAAATGGTGTTGGGAAAACTGGATATCCATGTGCAAAAGATTGAACTTGGGCCTCATCATATGCCATGTTCAAAAATTAACTCAAAAGCGAATTACAGACCTAAGCATAAGACTTAAAACTATAAAAGTCTTGGCAGAAAATATAGGGGGAAAGCTTTATGACCCTAGGTTGAGCAATAAATTCGTGGATATAACACCAAAAACACCAACAGCAAAAGCTAAAATAGACAAATGGGACGATATTAAACTTAAAAACGTCTGTGCGGCTGGGGGCGGTGGCTCACGCCTGTAATCCCAGCACTTTGGAAGACTGAGGTGGGCGGATCACGCGATCAG
This sequence comes from Homo sapiens, assembly GCF_000001405.40. NCBI lineage: Eukaryota > Metazoa > Chordata > Mammalia > Primates > Hominidae > Homo > Homo sapiens. The sequence goes on along the minus strand of NC_000002.12, from coordinate 211,785,328 downwards.
GAGAGCGAGACCATCCTGGCTAACACGGTGAAACCCCGCCTCTACTAAAAATACAAAAAATTAGCCGGGCGTGGTGGCAGGCACCTGTAGTCCCAGCTACTCGGGAGGCTGAGGCTGGAGAATGGCGTGAACCCAGGAGGCGGGGCTTGCAGTGAGCCGAGATGGCACCACTGCACTCCAGCCTGGGGACAGAGTGAGACTCCGTCTCAAAAAATAAAAAAAAAAAAAAAAAAAAGGCTGTGCATCAAAAGGTACAATCAACAGAATGAAAGGTAACCTATAGAAAGGGAAAAATATTTGTAAATCATGTATCTGATAGGGAATTAATATCCAGAATATATGTAGAACCTGCAACTCAATAACATGAAGCAAATAATCCAATGAAAAAGTGAGCAAAAGATTTGTATAGACATTTCTACAAGATGGTACACAAAGGGCCAACAAGCATATAAAAAGATGCTCAACATTACTAATCATTAGAGAAAAACCAACCCCAAAATCATATCAAAACCACAATAAGATATTGTCTCCCACTTATTAGGATGTCTAATATTAAAATATAAAAAAGAAAATAACAAATGTGAGGAGGTGAAGAAATTGGAATCCTTCTTGGTGGGATTGTAAAATGGTGTGACCACTATGGAAAATAGTCTGGTGGTTTCTCAAAAATTAAAAATAGAATTATCATATGACACAGCAATCCCACTTCTGGATATATATCCAAAGGAATTAAATGCAGGTTCTCAATGAGATATTTGCATATCTATGCTCATAGCAGCATTATTCATAATAACTGAGAGGTGGAAGCAACCCAAATGTCATATATGGATGATTGAATAAACAAAATGCAGTATATACATACAATGATGAAATATTATCCAGCTTGAAAAAGGAAGGAGATCTGGTCACATGCTACAACATGAATAAATCTTGAGGACACTATGCTAAAGGAAATAAGCCAGTCACAAAAACATAAATACTGTATGATTTCACTTACATGAAGTAACTCAACTGTCAAACTCAAAGAAAACAGAATGTAGAATGGTGGTAGCCAGGTGTTGGAAGGAAGGCTAAATGTCCAATTGCTCTTTAACGAGTCAAGTTGCAATTGCTCAAGGTTGAAAAAGTTCTGGAGATCTGTTGGAAAACAATGTGAATATACTTAACATTACTAAACATACACTTAAAAGTGGTTAAGATGGTAAATATTATGTTCTCTTTTTTTAACTGTAATTATGAATAAATCAGGAAGAAGTTGAATCCCCGAATAGACCAATAACAGGCTCTGAAATTGAGGCAATAATTAATAGCCTACCAATGAAAAAGTCCAGGACCAGATGGATTCACAGTCTAATTCTACCAGAGGTACAAGGAGGAGCTGGTACCATTCCTTCTGAAACTATTCCAATCAAGAGAAAAAGAGGGAATCCTCCCTAACTCATTTTATGAGGCCAGCATCATCCTGATACCAAAGCCTGGCAGAGAAACAACAAAAAAAAGAGAATTTTAGACCAATATCCCTGGTGAACATTGATGCAAAAATCCTCAATAAAATACTGGCAAACCGAATCTAACAGCACATCAAAAAGCTTATCCACCATGATCAAGTGGGCTTCATCCCTGGGATGCAAGGGTGGTTCAACATACGCAAATCAATAAACGTAATCCAGCATATAAACAGAACCAAAGATAAAAACCACGTGATTATCTCAATAGATTCAGAAAAGGCCTTTGACAAAATTCAACAGCCCTTCATACTAAAAACTCTCAATAAATTAGGTACTGATGGGACGTATCTCAAAATAATAAGAGCTATTTATGACAAACCCACAGCCAATATCATACTGAATGGCCAAAAACTGGAAGCATTCGCTTTGAAAACTGGCACAAGACAGGGATGCCCTCTCTCACCACTCCTATTCAATACAGTGTTGGAAGTTCTGGCCAGGGCCATCAGGCAGGAGAAAGAAATAAAGGGTATTCAATTAGGAAAAGAGGAAGTCTAATTGTCCCGTTTGCAGATGACATGATTATATATTTAGAAAACCCCATTGTCTCAGCCCAAAATCTTCTTAAGCTGATAAGCAACTTCAGCAAAGTCTCAGGATACAAAATCAATGTGCAAAAATCACAAGCATTCTTATACATCAATAACAGACAAACAGAGAGCCAAATCATGGTGAACTCCCATTCACAATTGCTTCAAAGAGAATAAAATACCTAGGAATCCAACTTACAAGGGATGTGAAGGACCTCTTCAAGCAGAACTACAAACCACTGCTCAATGAAATAAAATAGGACACAAATGGAAGAACATTCCACGCTCATGGATAGGAAGGATCAGTATCATGAAAATGGCCATACTGCCCAAGGTAATTTATAGATTCAGTGCCATCCCCATCAAGCTACCAATGACTTTCTTCACAGAATTGGAAAAAACTACTTTAAAGTTCATATGGAACCAAAAAAGAGCCCGTATCGCCAAGTCAATCCTAAGCCAAAAGAACAAAGCTGTAGGCATCATGCTACCTGACTTCAAACTGTACTACAAGGCTACAGTAACCCAAACAGCATGGTACTGGTACCAAAACAGAGATATAGACCAATGGAACAGAACAGAGCCCTCAGAAATAATACCACACAGTTTGGCTCCCGAATCCATTCTCTGAACTACACCATCTTCTCTGATGAGAAATCATTGTTTCTCTATTTTTCCATATTAATGTTCTTGTATATTCCTATTTGCTTAAATTTTAGAGGGCAACTTATTTACATCATGGCACTGCTGCTTACCAGCAATTTGACCTTAAGCAAGTCATCTATGCCCTCAGTCACTCTATCTCCTTACCTATAAAAGACAGAGAGTGTCAAGAGCTGAGCTGAGCTGAGCTGAGCTGACAGCTAAGCTGCTAGGTGACAGTGGTCAATTCAGACAAGCAAAAATGAGGATAACAGTCAAGCTTTTAATCACTTACTGCAATAGTTTATTCCAAAGGCTAAACCAGAAAAAGCATCAACTTCACAGTCTCATGTTTCTTCCATAGAACAGTGCCAGCTGAGGGTCAGATGGATGAGTGCAGACATGGGGAATTGTTTCACTGAGGAGGGAGTGGCAAAAAAAATGGTTCTGAAAGTTTTATGAACCTGGAAGCTTGAAGGAGAGAGGGGTGGGAAGGCCTGAGTGAAAAGTACTAAGTATGGAGTCAGAGTGGAGAAAAGGTGTCTTCCAGGCCCCCTTACTTCCTCCCCTTAAGGAGATTTTAGTGAAAGCACCTAAGGAAAACCGCTGTCAAAAGACCTTAATAAAGAGGTCTATGAATAGCGTACCTGGGCCAGGATGGGAGACATATATGAGACATGGCTGGTCAGCAAACCCTGAGTGTCTTACTGCAACCCCCTTAGAGACTGCAGTGCATTGACTGGGCACCAAGTCTGGCGTGGGAGGACAGCTTTGAAGCCCCAGGAGGCCTGCCAGGTAAAGTAATTGTCTGTGCTCCTGCCTGAAAGATTACACATAGGTTTTTCTTTTTTTTTGCCCAGGAGCTGTTATTATTATCAACTTCATAGGGCTATTACGAGCAATAAATGAGTTAATGTGTCAATCCAAGGGTGATTTCTTATGACAAAAGAATAAAGGACCTTGCAATTATAATTTTTATATGAATTGACCATATGAGGACAGAAGTATTTTTAAAATATGTGACAGTTACATTTTCATTATATATTCATTGACATTTAACTATGTTTCTACATTTTAAGTGTGTTTTAGTAACTAGAAGGTTGTCTCTCATAGGTTTAGCTCATCAAGACACTGAGAAGAACAATCCTCAGCTGCTCCAGTCCCTACAACCTTTTTCTTTGATTACGCCAGGTACATCACTCATTCTTAGTTGCTTTCTAGAACCAAATACCAACTAACAACTGAAGTGGGAGAGGGGGAATTGGCAAATTCATAGATACCACTATAATCATGAACATAATTCCAGGACTAATTACTTGTTTAACCAGATGTTCTGCCTGCATTCATTCTGTCCATGTTTTAAACTTTTTTTTCAGTGACTTTTACATATCATAGTAATGACCCACTCCTAATTAATATTGCACTTTGTATTACATATAACTAGCTTTCTTGAAATAGAATTCTCGAGATAGAGTACAATTAAACCTCATCTATTACATTACCAACTTGTGTTACTCCTTCTATATGAAAATATTTAGGTAAAATAGATGTGCCTTTCTAAGGTATTGTGTAGTAAAGCAAAAAATAAGAAATAAAAAAGTAGCAAGAAAATTTACCCTCGATGTATTTTAGTACAGCTTCAGTTTGTGTGCATTAGACATACAATACATCTAACTTTGCATAAATGTATACACAGAATGAAATCACACTGTTTTCAAAAGATATTTTTAAATAAAACCCTAAATTATGGAAATGGGAATATATGAAAAACATCAGACATGGAAAGGATACATTGAATCTGTATGAATCCAAAAGATCATTTTTCTAAAATACCGATAAAACAGATTTTTATGGACCTGTTTTAATAAAACAAAAAACAAAAGAACTTAAGATCACTTATGAATTCAGATGCAATTTTTCTGAATAAAATATTAGCAAAGAGAACTAACAGAATCTAAAATGTGTTTAAAAAAGAATGCACTAAGATCAAGTGGCAGCTCAGCTGCCTTTTTAATGCTGTTTTGAGAAAGTAAGGACTTGCACCTGACCCACACCATAGAAGGCCTTTGACACTCTATTTATAAGAAGAGGCTTTCCAGGTCAACTGAAACTCACTCTAGGAATTAAGTTTTACTAAGAACATTACGGAAGCAAGCACAATACACCTGCTAGCCTGGTTTTCTTGTCTCTTAGTTCCTTGAGATGAAAATGTATTGTTTCACTTTTTGAGTACAGTTTTCAATATACATCTTTATTTTCTTTTCTTTTGTTTATTTTTTATTTTTTTAGACTGGGTCTTGCTCTGTCACCCAGTTGGAGTGCAGTGGTGCAATCACAGCTCACTGGAGCCTCGACCGCTTGGGTTCAGGCAATCCTCCTGTTTCAGCCTCTTGAGTAGCTGAGACCACAGATGCATGCCACTACACCCAGATAATTGTTTTTTACTGTTTGTAGAGACAGGCTCTCCCTACGTTACCCAGGCTAGACTCCAACTTCTGGGCACAAGTTATCCTCCCGCCACAGCCTCACAAAGTGCTAAGATTACAGGCATGAGCCACTGCGCCCAGCCTTCATTTTTATTATATATGATAAGTTCCTCTCAAACAACCTTTTGCCAAATTGTGTGTGTGTGTATAATTATAAAAAATAATTATAAGGGCGTGGTCATGGAAAGTGAGTACTTCTTCTGTAATAGGAGATGTGGCATTTTGAAGGCCTAATTGAACTGGATGAGCCATTGAGACATATAGGGTTTAGCCTATAAATTAACTCTGACAAAGTTGTGTAACAATTTTACTGATATCTTATCGAGAGAGTCATAGAGGTTATGGGATGGGCTTGAAACCAGTTTCTGGGAGTTTGATTCCTTCTTTTCTCATTTAGGTTTTCCTTTAGGCTGGCTCTTCGAATGTGCGGTAAGGTGGTGGACAGCCATAAAGCCGCTCTAAATTAGCAGATGGTTGTTCAATTGTTAGTACTTTTCGTTTTGAAGCAAAGGCTTCTCAGATCATAAAGATTATTAGTATAACTGCTGTTAGTGAGATAAATGACCATATGGATAAGATAATATTTCACGTGGTGTATGCATCAGGATAATCAGAGTAACGTCAAGGCATACCGGATAGACCAAGGAAGTGCTGTAGAAAAAGGTTAAATTAACACCTATGAATATAATGGTGAAGTGGATTTTAGCATAGGTCTGACTAAGTGTATAGCCTGAAAATAAGGAGAATCAGTGGACAAAGCCTCCTATAATGGCGAGTACTGCTCCTATTGATAGGACATAGTGGAAATGGGCTACAACATAATATGTGTCATGTAAGGTAATATCTAGTGATGAATTAGCTAATAAGATGCCGGTTAAACCTCTACTGTGAAAAGGAAAATTAATCGTAGGGCACAGAATGTTGCGGGAAATCATTTGATGTTACCGCCATGCAGGGTAGCTAATCAGCTAAAGACCTTGATGCCAGTAGGGATAGCAATAATTATGGTAGTAGAGGTGCTGTATGCTCGTGTGTCTGCATCTACCCCTACTGTAAATATATGGTGAGCCCATATGATAAATCCTAAGAAGTCAATTGATATCATGGCTCTATGCCCATGTATCCAAACGATTCCTTTTTTCCAGAATAATATGTTACCATGTGGGAGATTATCCCGAAGCTTTGTACCAGCAGAATACATGTTGGTACAAGATAAGGTCACCCCCACCAGCAGGGTCAAACAAAGTAGTGTTGAGGTTATTGTCAGTTAATAGTGTAGTAATGCCAGAGGCTAGGACTAGAAGGGAAAGGAGTAAGAAGGACTGCCGTAATGAGGACTGATCAAATGAAAAGGGGTGTTTGATATTGGGATATAGCTGGAGGGTTTATGTTAATAATAGTGGTAATAAAGTTAATGGCCCCTAAAATAGAAGAGACACCTGCCAAGTGGAGCGAGAAGATGGTCAGGTTCACAGAGGCTCCTGCATGTGCTAGGTTTCCTGCTAAAGGGGGATAAACTGTCCAGCCGGTTCCAGCGCCGGCTTCCACTATTGAAGACGCAAGTACGAGTAGAAAAGATGGGGGGAGAAGTCAGACACTCATGTTATTTATCCGGGGGAATGCCATATCGGGTGTACCAATTATCAGAGGGACTAGCCAGTTGCTGAAACTCCCAATTAGGATTAGTATCACCATAAAGAAGATTATAACGAATGTGTGGGCGGTAACAATAACATTGTAGATCTGATAATCTCCTAGCAGAGTTCCTGGTTGGCCTAGTTCTGCTCAAATTAGGAGGCTTAAGGTAGTGCCTACTATCCCCGCCCTTGTGCCGAATAACAGGTACAGTGTTCCGATATCTTTGTGGTTAGTTGAAAACAATCAACAATTGGTGAACACAGGGGGGCGGCGGCGGGGGTATAAAATGGCTGAGCAAGCATTAGACTGTAAATCTGAAGACAGAGGTCAAGGCCACTGTTCACCAGCCCTGAAGTGATTTCTCATGTTGAATTGCAAATTCAAAGGAGCAGCTTCAATCCTGCCGTGGCTTCTCCTGCCTTTTTCCCCCAATGGTGGGAGAAGTAGATTGAAGCCAGTTGATTAGGGGGTTTAACTGTTAACTAAATTTTCGTGGTTTTGAATTCCACCAGTCTAGTAAGGGCTTAGCTTAATTAAAGTGGTTTATTTGCGTTCAACTGATGCAGAATAGAGTCTTGCAGCCCTTAGGTCTGTTACAGAAATTAAGTGTCATTTACTTACTAAGGGCTTTGAAGGCCCTTGGTCTTATTTAAACTAAATTTCTAAGTTATAGTTAGTATTAATGGAGAGGTGGGTAAGAGGACGGTAGAAGAGATGACAAGTGAGGAGGGAGTAGTGTGGGTTTTGCGATTTCGAATTGTCATTTTAGTTTCATATTATTAGATGTGGGGAATAGTGTTACCAAGATGGAATAAATGAGGTGTATGTAAGAGTACAGGTTGAGTAGGGTTATGATAGCTATAATGGTTGGGGTGACAAGGCTATAATTTTTTGTAAATCCTTGGATGATGATTCATTTAGGCAGGAACCCTGTAATGGGGGTAAACCTCGTAGGGATAGTAGAATTAGTGGAATTATAGGTGTCAACCATGCTAATTTCTTTCAGGCATGAGATAGTGACAGGGTTGTGATGCTTATACTCAGGTTGAGTGATAGAAATGCAGTTGTTGTTAAGATAAGGTAAATAATCAGATTTAGAGTGGTAATGTTTGGGTCATAAATTAGTACTGCTATTATTCAACCTATGTGAGTGATTGAGGAGTAGGCTAGGATTTTACGCAGTTGTGTTTGGTTAAGTCCCCCTCAACCACCCACTATAATGGATAGAATTGTGATAGGAGGATGTTCAGGTTTGTTGATGGGAAGATTTGAAACATAATTGAGATAGGGGCTAGTTTTTGTCATGTGAGGAGAAGTATATCATGCTTGAAGGACATAACAATTAATCAGTAGATGCTCACGCACATATGCTCACGCATATACGCTCATGCATGTACCCCCACGCACCTATGCTCAATTTGAAGAACTATTTCCGATTACATCTGCAAACTCCCCTCCCTCCATCTCTGCCTTTACCATCAACCTAGGTAAATGTACCCTTGCCAAACCCCAAAAACAAGATACTAAAATGCAACCCAGTCAGAGCCCAGAAATCATATTTTAACCACGAACGCTCCAACAGCTACACCTCAATTGATGTAATTTTCTAAAAAATCTTAAGGCCCTCCTACCAAATAAACCCTCCATTCTGTATAATAAATAGAGTAACTAAACCTCTGCCCTAATACTAATATAATACCTTGAGCATATCCCTCTGAAAGCACTGCCCCAATATAACATACCCCTAAATCAACCATATTCAAATTATGAGTCATCCTCTCAGCCAAACCTCTGCCAATTCAACTTTAAAGAACCTGAATTTCCAGAACTGTAAACAACCATTTGTATTTACTTCTTTCTTTCTCATATTTTAATTTTCACTTACGTATTCCATGCAGTTAGTATAGCTTAAGTATTCAAAGCAAGACAGTGAAAATGTCTAGATGGGTTCACACAACCTCATAAACAGATAGGTTTTGTCCTGGTCTTTTTTATTAGCTCTTAGTAAGATTACACATGCAAGTATCCCCACCCCAGTGAAAATGCCCTCTAGATCACCCAGATTAAAAGGAGCAAGTATCAAGCACACACGAATGCAGCTCAAAAGAGTTTGCTCAACCACACCCCTATGGGAAACAGCAGTGATAAATCTTTAGTAATAAACAAAAGCTTGACTGAGCTTTACTAATATTTAGGGTTGGTTAACTTCATGCCAGCCACCACAGCCATATGATTAACACAAGCTAATAGAACTCGGCATAAAGAATGTTTAAGGTCTATCCTCAATAAAGCTAAGTTGTAAAAAACTCCATCTAAGTTGTAAAAAACTCCAGCTGAAATCAAATGTACTACAAAGTGGCTTTAATACCCTGAAGACACAATAGCTAAGACCCAAACTGGGATTAGATACCCCACTACACTTAGCCCTAAAGTCGAATAGTTACATTAACAAAACCATTCGCCAGACTACTACAAGCAACAGCTTAAAACTCAAAGGACTTGGCGGTGCTTTACATCCCTCTAGAGGAGCCTGTTCTATAATAGACAAACCCCGATACAACTCACCATCTCTTGCCCCCGGTCTGTATATCACCATCTTCAGCAAACCCTAAAAAAGTTATAGATTAAGCATAAGTATACACATAAAAAACGTTAGGTCAAGGTGTAACCCGTGAGGTGGCAAGAAATGGGCTACATTTTCTATGTCCAGGAAATCTCATGAAAACCTTTGTGAAATCTGAGGGCTCAAGGAGGATTTAGCAGTAAACCAAGAGCAGAGTGCTTGGTTGAATAAGGCCATGAAGCACGTACACACAGCCTATCACCCTCCTCAAGTATTACTCTAGATATCACTATTACTAATAATTGTCTACACATCTATAGAGGAGATAAGTTATAACATGGTAAGCATATTGGAAAGTGTGCTTGGACAAACCAAAGTGTAGCTTAACCCAAAGCATCTGGCTTATGGCCAGAAGATTTCATCATGGCCTGATCACTTTTAGCTAACTCTAGCCCCAAACCTTGCTAAAAATGTTATCAAACTATCTTAATCAAACCATTTACTTAGACAAAAGTGTAGGCAATAGAAATTTTTACCTTGGTGCAATAGACATAGTACAGTAAGGGAAAGATGGAAGAGCTATATCAAGCACTAAAAAAGCAAAGACAAGCCCTTATACCTTCTGCATAATCTATTAACTAGAAATAACTTTACACAGAGAACTATAGCCAAGTCCCCCAAAACCAGACGAGCTACTCAAGAACAGCTGAAAGACCACACTCACCTATCTGGCAAAATAGTGGGAAGATTCATGACTAGCAGTGACAACCCTACTGAGCCTGGTGATAGCTCATTGTCCAAGATAGAACCTTAGTTCAATTTTAAACTTACCCAAAGAATTACTTAATTCCCCTGTAAGTTTAATTGTTAGTCTAGAGAGGGACAACTCTTTTGACCTTAGGAAACAACCTTCCTACAGAGAGTAAAAATTATTAGCACCACAGTTGGCCCAAAAGCAGCCACCAATTAAGAAAGCATTTAAGTTCAACATCGAACTATCTTAAATTCTAGTCACTCTACTGAACTCCTAACATTACATTGGACTAATCTATTACTTAACAGAAGCAATCATGTTAATATAAGTAACATGAAGACATTCTCCATTGCATAAGCTTACATCAGACCGGAATAACCCACTAACAGTTAACAGCCCAATATTAATAAACGATATAATAAGCACCCTGTTATTTTCACTGTTAACCCAACACAGTCATACTCTAAGGAAAGATTACAAAAAGTAAAAGGAAATTGGCAAATCTTACCTTGCCTGTTTACCAAAAACACCACCTCTAGCATTATCAGTATTAGAGGCACTGCCTGCCCAGTGACATATGTTCAACAGCCGCGATATCCTAACCGTTCAAAAGTAGCATAATCACTTGTTCCCTAAATAGGGACTTGTATGACTGGCCAGACGAGGGTTCAGCTGTGCTTTACTTTTAACCAGTGAAATTGACCTATCCGTGAAGAGGCGGATATAAACAAATAAGGTGAGAAGACCCTATGCAGCTTTAATTCATTAATGCAAATAAAAACTCAAGCCTACAGGCCCTAGCTTACTATCCCCATATTAAAAATTTTAAACTGCTTGGCCTGGCGCAGTGGCTCACACCTGTAATCCCAGCACTTTGGGAGGCCGAGGCAGGGGCATCACCTGAGGTTAGGAGTTCAAAACCAGCCTGGCCAACATGGTGAAACCCCGTCTCTACAAAAATACGAAAATTAGTCGGGCATGATGGCAGGTGCTAGTAATCCCAGCTACTCGGGAGGCTGGGGTGGAAGAATCGTTTGAACCCAGGAGGCAGAGGTTCCAGTGAGCCAAGATCACACCATTGCACTCCAGCCTGGGCGACAGAGGGAGACTCCATCTCAAGAAAAAAAAAAAAAATTGGTTGGGGTGACCACAGAGCATCTGAACAATCTAAGACCGTACTAGTCCAAGTGAGATTTTACACACTGACCCAGTAATTTGATCAACGGAATAAGTTACCCTAGGGATAACAGCACAATCCTGTTCTAGAGTCCATATCGACAATAGGGTTTACAACCTCAATGTTGGATCAGGACATCCTATTGTGTTGCCACTATTGAAGATTCGTTTGTTCAATGATTAATGTCCTACGTGATCTGAATTCAGACCGGAGTAATCCAGGTTGTTTTCTATCTAGTTAACATTTCTCCTTTATATATATACTTCACATAAATATGATATATGTATATATATGAAGTGTGTGTGTGTATATATATATTCTTCACTATAAAGTATATATACTTCATAGTATGTATATGAAGTGTGTGTGTGTGTATATATATTATATATATATATATATATATATATATATATATATATATATATATATATAAAGTTACAGAAGTATAATCCTTACTTTCTTGAAAGTGACAGAGTATTTATTCCTTGGAAGTACTTAACCTGACCTCCAGGTGGTAGAACAGAAGATTATCTCATACCCTCTCTTCCTTAGCTCATCTTAGTCCTCGTATTCATCATGCATTGCAAGTATTATTACTTTTTCCTGAAAATCATAACATATATGAGTATATAAAAAATTCATTTGTATGTAATAAGTACATAAAAAGTAAACATTTATGTAAATTTATACATACACACATACATACAATATTAGTCTCAACAGTTTATAATTATTAATTAGTTTCTACTTATCTTTTACATATAACTTAACCAAAAACTTGGAGTAAATTCCATAGCTTCACCTCTCTGGTCTTATTCTCTTACTGCCAACCTCCCAGCCTCTGCTACCAAGGACTCCCGTCATGTCACAGCTGGGCTAGGCACTCCCTCAACTGCTTTTAAGACCCAGGTGCCTGATCCCTTCAAAGCACAAATAAAACCAGTTATTGACAAGGCGTGGTGGCTCATGCTGTAATCCCAGAAATTTGGGAGGCTGAAGTGGGAGGATTCCCTTAAGCCTGGAATTTGAGAGCAACCTGGGCAACAGAGTAGGACCCCATCTTTAAAAAAAAAAATATATATATATATATATATATATATATATATGTGTGTGTGTGTGTGTATATATATATGTGTGTGTGTGTGTATATATATATATGTGTATATATATATATATATATATATATATATATGTGTATATATATATATATATATATATATATCCCAGTATGGTGAAGTATACCTGTAGTCTCAGTTACTCAAGAGTCAGAGGTAGGAGGATCACTTAAGTCCAGGAGGTCAAGACTGAAGTGAGCCATGATTGTACCAGTGTGCTCCAGCCTGGGTGACAGAGTGAGACCTCATCTCAAAAAAAGAAGAAAAAACATTAGTTATCAACATAATTTTGTTATTAATAAGAATGGTTATTTGGAGAGAGAGAGGCCCAAAATTAACTTCCATGTCCCTGTCCATGTGTTGTCATTGAAGATATCCCCCACTACTGAGACCCTCTGACCACGTTCAGACCTTAGGGATTAGTCTCTTTATCTTCCCCTAGGTCTTTTTGCCTCTCATTCAGTTCAAAGCTAATTTCATTTTCTGTTTCTGATTTAGTGGAAATGTCAATTGTCATATTAGGAAACACTCCACACAGAATATGGTGTGGATCCCTTAGACAAGTTTTAATAGTGCATTTTCCAAAAGCATGATTTCTTCAGTCTTAAATTATACCATATGTCAGTGCCGTGCTGATAAATATTTAATAACTACTCTCCAAAAATAGGGGAAAAAAGCCCCAATTTGTTGAGCTTACTGATTTTCATGGTATAAATATTTCTAACGTCTTCCCATTTGAGCAATCAGTGTGGATTTTGGAAGAGATGTCCAGGTATCACACCATTATGTAGTATTTCCACCATACAGGTTCAGTAGATGTAAGTAAACTCAATTACACAGAAGATAGTAAAACATTGTAAACTATTCAGGAAATAATGAATTTCTAGTATATATTACCTTTGTTTTAATAACATTTAATTGTGGGTTTATATAGTTTAATATTTAGTAATGGTTATTTAATGAAAAGCTCTCAAAATTCTAGAAATTTTTAGTAGTTGGCCTTGTACACCAGGTACTACCACCTGTGAATATGAACAGCCCTGTAAAGGTAATGGTAGGCTGAGGCCAGTTCCGTTGCTTATCATTTTTCTCTATAAGAGCACCAAGAGATTCGGCCAGCACCTCATGCATGGTATGAACTGATCGTAGCCCCTAGTCTCTTGTGAGCAAATGCTGAATAAAACACACACACACATACACACACACTTCGCAAGAAAGAACAATCACTTTAGCCTCTTTAGGGGTAGGGCAGCTTAGCTCAAAATTTGTAAAGAAAAAGCATTTGACTCTTCAGCATCATTTTCTGCTAACATTTTTCATTTAAATTATTAAACTGTATACTTACCTGCACTCATGCTAACTTTTGCATTCAAGTTTTCCACAAGACTAATGAGTAGATTTTATTTATGTTTGACTAAAAGGTTTAGAAAAGTGGTCCCTGTCAGATTAAACAAGAGTTTCTGTCTCAAAGATTAACTCCTCTGTACCCCACAAGCTTACTGCTCTAGCTCTTAAAATGGCAATTTTCCACCTTCAACTATGTTTAGATTCAGTTTCCACTGATGAACCTTAAATCTTCTTTATGACCATAGCTTGTTGGAAGAAAAAATATTACATGAAGGTGACCAGCAGAGATGTTGTGTAGCATGGTCTAGCACTAGCACGAAAGGCCAAGGTTCGTCATGTCCACAGGTAACTAGATTAAGGTTTCCAATCGTGGGTATGTATCTGAATTCACTCAGAGATTCTGCCTGAGTACCTTTTGTTTAAAGAAGAGAATCTGACTATCTTCAGAATTCTCCTATTGATTCTAGGAAGAGGTGTAAGTAGCACTGGCCTAGCATAAGATTTCTATGATGGTAAAATGATTAGCAAAGCCTAATATGATGCAGACATTTCAGGCCATGTGTTAGTTTGAAATTGGCATAGAACATATGGGCATGCTACAAATGAGCCAACTACCAAATACACGAGTCCCCTCTTAGAGAATATTTAGTTCTCTGTTGTTTTGCGAAACTTCTATGTCATTAATTTCAATAATAAAAATCACAGTGCTTTAAATGCCTGTGACCTCCTGGGCCTGGTATATCACAGGCACTTAAAGAACCCTATTTCTAATTTGCATGTTATGTGAGGTAGGTATTAAGAGCCTGATTTGGGGGCCTCTGAGAGCCTCAAGCAGCTTGCAATTTCTAGTATGGAGCAGACTTGTTGGCTTCCAATGAAGAGCTGAAGTGATCAAAATATCTTGAAATAGTAGGTCTCTGGAATTCAAATTGTCTATCTGAGGGCAGCCTTCAGGTTTCATTGTTTCTCTGAAACTTATTTTTAAGTACATTTTAACAAGCATTTTCACTAAAATATGTGAATTTTATTGAAAAAATATATCATGCTATAACTGAATGTCACTGATATGAGAAAGGTTTTCACACCGTTCAAACATAATAGATGGAGAAAGACAAAGCAATTTGAATAATTAACTTTTCTTCGAAGTAGTAACTCCTAACATTTTTTAAAATGGTGAGTTTTTAAAAAAGAATTAGAGATTTTTGGAATTTAAGAATGCTTTTTTTGTTACCTTTTTCTAAACAAATTCTGTATTGCATATTTCCTTTAATAAGGAAAATAAGGTGGAATTAACTTTGCTTTGAATACTTTTGAATTTTAAAATGTTTTAGAACCACAAAATACAAAGCAAGGAACATTAATGTGAAGTGATTCACAGTAAGAGACATCTGGTGATCTTCCACATTTTAAAAAATGTACTTCACGTAAAGTTTAAGTCATCCTGCTATATGAGAATTTGCAAAAATTTCTAAGCCTGGAAGAATTAGGCGTAGAGGTTAAAATGCTAGGTTGGTAAAACTGAGTTAAATTTTCTCCAAGTAAAACACTCATCTGTGATGGTTAATATTGAGTGTCAACTTGATTGGATTGAAGGATACGAAGTATTTTTCCTGGTTGTGTCTATGAGGGTGTTGCTAAAAGAAATTAACATTTGAGTAAGTGGACTGGGAGAGGCAGACTCACCCTCAATATGGGTGGGCACCATCTAATCAGCTGCTGGTGCTGCTAGAATAAAACAGACAGGAGCAGATGGAAGAGCAGACTTGCTGAGTCTTCCGGCCTTCATCTTTCACCCACACTGAATGCTTCCTGCCCTCAGACATCAGACTCCAAGTTCTTCAGCTTTTGGACTCTTGGACTTAACACCAGTGGTTTGCCAGAGGCTCTTGGGCCTTTGGCCACTTTGGCCACAGACTGAAGGCTGGACAGTTGGCTTCCCTACTTTTGAGGTTTTGGGACTCAGGCTGATTTACACTGGGATCCTTGATTCTCAATTTGCAGATGTCCTATCCTGAGACCTTACCTTGTGATCCTGTGAGTCAATTTTCCTTCATAAACTCTCTTTCCTATATATCCTTTTAGTTCTGTTCCTCTAGAGAACGCTGACTAATAACAGATTTTGATAGCAGGAGTGAGGTGTTGCTAAAAAATACCTGGAAATGTGGAAGCAACTTTGGAAATGGACAACAGGCAGAGATTGTTTCCCTGTTTGAATATGGAGAGCTCAGAAGAAGATAGGAAGATGTGGGAAAGTTTGCAACTTCCCAGAGACTTGTTGAGTGGTTTTGACCAAAATGCTGATAGTGATATGGAGAATGAAGTGCAGGCTGAGGTGGTCTCAAATGGATATGAGGAATTTATTTGGAACTGAAATAAAGGTGATTCTTGCTATGCTTTAGCAAAGAGACTGGCAGCATTTTGCCCCTGCCCTAGAGACCTGGGGAACTTTGAACTTGAGACATATGATTTAGGGTATCTGGCAGAAGAAATTTCTAAACAGCAAAGCATTCAAGATATGACTAGGGTGCTGCTAAAGGCATTCAGTTTTATGCATTCACAAAGATATTGTTTGGAATTTGAACTTATGTTTAAAAAGGAAGCAGAGAATTAAAGTTCAGCAAATTTGCAGGCTGATAATGCAATAGAAAAGAAAAACTTATTTTCTGATGAGAAATTCAAGCTGGCTGCAAAAATTGGCATAAGTAAGGAGCCAAATGTTAATCACCAAGACAATGGGGAAAATGTCTCCAGGGCATGTCAGAGGTCTTCATGGCAACCCTCGCATCACAAGCCAAAAGGCCTAGGAGGAAAAAATGGTTTCATGGGCTGGTCCCAGGGCCTTGCTGCTTTGTGCAATCTCAGGACTTGCTGCCCTGCATTCCGGCCATTGCTAAAAGGAGCCAACATACAGTTCAGGACATGGCTTCAGAGGGTGCAATCCCCAAGCCTTGGCAGCTTCCACGTGGTGTTGAGCCTGCAGGTGCACAGAAGTCAAGAATTGAGGTTTGAGAACCTCTGCCTAGATTTCTAAGGATGTATGGAAATGTCTGCATGTCCAGGAAGAAGTTTGTTGCAGTGGAAGAGCTCTCATGGAGAACCTCTGCTAGGGCAGTACGGAAGGGCAAAGTGGGGTTGTAGCCCCCACACAGAGTCCCTACTGAGGCACTGCCTAGAGGAGCTGTGAGAAGAGGGCCACCATCCTTTGGACCCCAGAATGGTAGATCCATCGACAGCTTCACTGTGTGCCTGGAAAAGCTGCAGATACTCAGTGCCAGGCCTTGAAAGCAGCCAGGAGGAAGGCTGTACCCTGCAGAGCCACAGGGGCAGAGCTGCCCAAGGCCTTCAGAGCCCACCTCTTGCATCAACGTGACCTGGATGTGAGACATGGAGCCAAAGGAGATCATTACAGAGTTTTAATGGTTGACTGCCCCGCTGGATTTTGGACTTGAATGGCACCTGGAGCCCCTTCATTTTGGCCAATTTCTCCCATTTGGAATGAGTGTATTTACCCAATGTCTGAACCCCACTGTATCTAGGAAGTAACTAACTTGCTTTCAATTTTACAGACTCATAGGTGGAAGGTACTTGTCTCAGATGAGACTTTGGACATGGACTTTTAGGTTAATGCTGTAATGAGCTAAGACTTTTGGGGGTCTGTTGGGAGGGCATGATTACATTTTGAAATGTGAGGTCATGAGACTTAAGAGAGGCCAGGGGCAGAATGATATGGTTTGGCTGTGTCCTCACCCAAATCTCGTCTTGAATTGTAGTTCCCATAATCCCCGTGTGTTATAGGAGGGACCCAGTGGGAGGTAATTTAGTAATTTAGGGCTGTTACCCTCATGCTGCTGTGGTGATAGTGAGTGAGTTCTTACAAGATCTGATGGTTTTATAAGGGGCTTTTCTCCTTCTGCTCATTCTTATCCTTCCTACCACCATGTGAAGATGGATGTGTTTGCTTCCCCTTCCGCCATGACTGTAAGTTTCCTGAGGCTTCCCCGGCCACATGGAACTGTCAGTCAATTAAATCTCTTTTCTTTATAAATTACCCAGTTTGGGGTAGGTCTTTATTAGCAGCATGAGAACGGACTAATACATCATTTTTACTAAATAAAATTATATATTGAGTCAAATAATAAGCACCTAATTAATGTAAAAGAGAGATTTACGAAGCATTCCATAATTGATTTTTTAACATAAAACCCTGATTGTATATTTGGTGTTTAAAGTAACTGTGTAAAATTGAATGACAATTACACTGACTCTATTCAGTATTACTCTCTTCTATTTTTGTTTACTCTGTAATGGGTGAGAGTAATTATGTAAGTGTTCTGTTACCAGTGGAGGGTGACCAGGTTCTTGGTGTTTTGAACAAAGAATTGGGAAAAATGCACGAACAAAGCAATAAAATAAAAGCACAGATTTATTAAAACAAAAGTACTCTACACAGAGTGGGAGTAGCCTTGAGCAAGCGACTCCAGAGTGCTGGTTACAGAATTTTCTGATGTTTAAATACCCTGGAGAGGTTTCCCATTGGTTACTTGCTTTACACCCTATTAATGAAGTGGTGGCCCCCAACCAGTCAGACTGGTGTTGGAAGGTGACCAAACAGACTGAAGTGAAGTTACCAAGTCACACCCCTATGCAAATGAAGACAAGGCCGACATGACCAGTCTGACCGGTTTCAGGAGCAGACCAATCAGAAGTACTTTACTTTCTCCTCCACAATGCAGAAATGGGGGAGTGGGGTGTTGCAAAAGGAGTAGCCTTTGATCCTTTTGTTACTCGAGAGTGGAGAGGTGGGGTTTTCCTTTTGATTCCATTCTAGGAAATCAGCACAGATCGGCGTTAGGTTCCCTGCCTTCAGACCCTGTTCTCCTGCCTCACAACCATCATTCACAGATTTCATCACAACTCACAAGTTCATCCTTGTTTACTAATGAAAGTGTTTCATAGAATTCAGTTTCACAATTAAATAGAACTTAAGGAACTATTTTCCCTTTTTTTCTCTAATTTCTCATCACTTGAAAACTAGAAAGCAAAAGGAAGATGTTTATGAATAACTGAAAACATGTGCAGACATTCAGCTTTCCCTTTTCATAACATTTACCAAGATGTTTCACATGTGTCTTTCCTCTCCTATTGGTGTTCCCTCATTCAGGACTTTTATTTCAAAGTTTAGAGAGGAGGAAGGGGAGAGACCACTGGTTACACTAGAGGATTGGGGCAAGGGATGTGGTATCTACAGGGAGCTGAGAAAGATGAACAAGCAGATCAAACTGCTAACCCATTTGGCAATCTTTCAAGCCTAGATTGTTGCAAGCAGCTGTATGCAACTTTTATTTAATTCTTTCCTGCTCAGCAAGAACACATTATGTTCAATTTAGAGGTGATTCTTTTGCCAATTGTAGGTGCTCTTTCTACACAGGAGAAAAATGGAGAGAAAATTATGCAGTGACATTTCTCTTAAAGTTCTTGGCAAAATATAAGTAAGAGAAATACATAAAAGAAAGAAAAAAGCTTGAATAAAAATGCACAAAGGAAAAGTCATCAAACAGGTAGTTATCTTGATCAGCCACTTTTATTCTCCTACCTTTCTGTGCTTCATTAAACAAAAATGTTGATCTAGATAATTTTTTCAAAAATATTTTCTGTGGCATCAATTCAAACTCTGTACTCAAGAATTAGAATACAGCATTAAACTAGTCGTTTAAAACATATGCCAGTGAAGGTTTCCCAGAATAAAGAAATTGGCTTTACTACAAAAAATACAATGATAAATTTAAAAGTTTTTTAAAGCAATACAATGATGGACAACCATCACTTCTACATTTCTAAATTTCATTGAAATGCATAATTTTAAATACCAACTATTTTTATTGAAAAGACTTGCTATACATTCTTAGTGGAATAAACAAATGTCTAAGGGTCCTTATAGTTGTATACTGGACAGGAATCTGCCTGCTTTGGTTCAGAAGAGAAAGATTGATTACCATCATGCAGTTTTGCAACATTCTCATGAAATAGTAAGTCATTTCTGTTAGTATATACAATGGGCTCAGAGATTTTTTTTTCCTGAGGGATAAGAAACAAAACATGGTCTTATCAATAGTAAATTACATTAAGAGTAAGAGTATAATATACGTTGAATACTTTTTAAAATATGTAAGGAGGTAGAGAAAAATTAGACATCACTTTTCTTTTTCTCCTCTCTTCCTATCCCTCCTACCAAAGTCTTTTATCTGACCATATTTCAGGACAAAGCCCCCTGAATCTTCCTTCCAAAAAGCATGATGATGCCTCTGGTTCTTTGCTTTGAAAGGTAGCCTAGTGTCTGAGCTCAAGGTGGGTGTTTCTACATGAGTTTGAATCTTGTCTCCAAGAGTTTCTAACTACACTTGCTTAGCCCCTCTATCCCTCATTTTTCTCATATAAAACTGAATTGGAATAATAGATTAAAATATTGTGAGGCGAGGGAGTGAGATGGGGAGGGGCACCTTTTTCCATGCTCTTGACGTCCACCTACACCACCCTCCACCCTGACTGTTATTGACTAAACCGCTCATTTATCACACACATCAAAGATTTTGGTAAATGACCCAAATCATCTTTTTAACTCCATGCAAGTCATTCCCTAAGTGATTTTGAATGAGTGTCTTTATAATGATCTCATTCAACATCTTTGCCTAATGGATTCCTGTCCTCCTAAAATCCGTTGAACTTTCTGAGCATTTGTATTAATCCCATTAGAAATCAGACCTTGTTGTGACACAAAATTTGTCTTCCTATGTGTGTTCTAATATATTTTGGGTGCTCTTCCCTCCTTTGTCCCAAATGGCTATTCTATTTTTGTATCTGTTAACATAAATTAGATACTTGGTTGTATTGGTTAAGAGTATGGGCTCCGGAGATAGTATTTTTAGGCTCCAGACCCAGGCTTATTGCAAACTGTGTGATCTTGGGCAAGTTATTAAATTTCTCTGGCCTCAGCTTCCTAATCTGTAGTAGTACTTTCCTCCTAAGTTTATCATAGAAATAAATTGCCTAGAACCATGCCTTGTACATAATAAAATTGTAATATATTTAAGCTATAACTACCTCTTTAGCATGCTAGCTAACGAGGGCTTTCATTGTGATTAAAGGATTTGTATTTCAGAAGTTACAAGACCAAAAACATTTTTTAGAAAACAGAAAACTGGAGCTGAAAGATAGGTAATAGAACTGATATTTATTTAGACTTAAAAATAATTTGCAATGGAATGCAAGAGATGTCTATGCAGTGGTTTGCAAATCATTTATCTTTTTTCTATAAATAATAACTCAATTTCCAGATCTGTCTAGTAGTATATTAAGAAGGAACTCCACTGAAATAGCTTTTTGATGGAATCAGATTTTTAAAATATATTATATGTCCATTATCCTTGAATTTATTTTTTGTGTATGAACTTCGAAGGTGAATTACTGAAAACATTCTACAGCAAGACATTTTAGGCTTATTACTTACTATAATGCCTTTTGGGTCATTTTCTTATAACCTCCATCAACTTTAAAATCACATTTTTATTCCTTTGGCTTACAGTGGCATTTTAGAAATGTGCCTATTTGTTAATTTGAGTTCTTTTTAAGTGAAAGGACTTGGACATATACATATATTTGTGTGTGTGTGTGTGTATACACACGCACAGCTAAGGCCTTGTTTTAACAGCAAGTCCCTTTGACAGATGAAAAAGTGGTAGTAACATACGATGAGTCTTGGGCTGTTAGACCTCAGAAGACTTTGTTTAATATTGTGGTGTGGAGCTACCTAATCTTTTCCAATTTGTTATCCATTTTTCTTTGTTATCTGTCTCGGTGATGTCTAATCTCCACAACTGACTGCTACAGGCTAGCAATCTGTAACAAAAACTCAGTCTCAATCTTATATATAATAAAAAAGGAAGGCTGTAAGATTAATGGCCCCAGCCATAATTATAAAGTCCCAAACCACAGATATTATAAGACCTTTCAAAATGTACTCAGGGTTGAAGAAGCTGTGTTAGCACTATGATGTGAAGATACTGGCCTCTTAGTAAAGGAAATGTTGGTTTATTGAATCTGAGAAGCCCATTGTGTTTTGAACACTGTTAGGAACTATGGAAAAGAAATGGTTCCTTCCCTTAAGGAACTCATAATAATTTTATCCATCTCAGTTTTCCCATGACAACACTCATTTCTTATGAATTTATATAGGAGATATTTCTATTCTTGGAACTATCAAGTGGAAGCCAGATGAAAACACAGGCTATCCATGGAGACCATACTACACACAGATTATCAGAATTTCTTTATGTTCATGTTGAAATAGAACCCAAACATTTCTCCTTAAACACTGACTATTCTGACAGGATAAAATGTACAAATATGGGAATATTCATAGTCTATCTTTTGTACCTTCTCAGATATTTTGTGTCTGCTTAATACTTTCAGTGCACCAGACCAAACCGTTCTCATGTCTCCAGACACACACACACACACCACACACACACACAATCCCTAGATGTTGTAATGCACACTTAAGATACATAACAAAAAACAGGCAAATAATTATTTGATAAGAGAGCTAAATGGAATGAAAAATACTTGAGGAGAATGGTTTAGTCCATCAATCACATAATAGTGATACAATGATGGTGGGAGTAGAAGGACAAAAGGTTTGTGATGACGGACAGCAGGAAGAGAGAGAAAACTAGGATTGGGGTTTTGCTGAATGAGAGTGAGAGTCATGTGAGAAAACAGTTTAGAACTGTTGCCATGGGCAATGCTTTGGATCCCATTTCATGTCCTTTGAGAGCAGTAAATTTCTTTTGCTTGAATTTTAGCTGTTGAACCACGTTTCTCAAATGTGACACCACTCACAAAGTGAACACGTGGGTGGTTACAGTTCCTCAGGGACCCATTAGCATGTCTCACTAGCAATCTGACAGATGAAGGTCATGGAGTGGGCTGAGACCCCCACATCAGTGACATCTAATCTTCTTCACTAATCCACCATTGCTCCATCCATGGGTTTCTGTTTCCCTTTCTGAAACATACCTGGAAATATTTCCTGCCTTCTTTTTCTCTCTCCACGTGCACCAGCCTGAACTCTACAAGAGCCCGAAGTTCCAGTGGCAGAGTGAGTTTCACTGGAGTTGGGTTATTCGTAACATTCTTGCTGAAACTGTGGCTTTTCACGCCTTTGTCAAAGGATGCAGAAATCTTTGAAACCCGCTTGTCTTTGTCTGCTATGCCTGCGAAAGCCTCTAAGGGGTCACACCCTCCCCGCTTCCAATTGCTTGACCTGTGGTACCTTACTGATCATTTCAACCCTGTTTGCATAAACATTTCTGTCTCCATTTATGTATCTGCCATATCACCTCTACTGACCCTCTCCCTCTTTGTCTGTCTTTGCTGTTCAGTAAAATTGTTATGTAATGTGTTGCGATGGAAGAAAAAGGGAACTAACATTGATTACTGCTTATTACAAGCCAGGTACTTTGCATGTGATATTCAACTTAGTCATTCCTTCATCAAATATGTGAAGTAGGTATCATTACCTGTATTTTCTTAATGAAGAAAGTCAACTCTTAGGTAAAGTTCTTTACCCACAGTTCCACCAATTGTAAATAATGGAGCCTGAAAGGAGACAAAAATGATTTAATAGCTGGGGTTTTCCACACTTTACCAGCACTTAGTAAAAGCTTGTATTTTTTGCATTTTGTGAGCATATAAATGAACACTTAGAGAAGTAAGTGACAATACTGTAAATTGGTTACATACTCAGTTGTATTTTGAATATTTTAGCTTTCCTAAACTGTGAGCTCTAATTTCCTATCACATTCTCCTTTAGAAATAAATGCCAATTACTAAAATGTGTTTGTATTTAATTGACATTTATTTTAGACCCATTTACTGCTGAACTTTAATAAACAAATAATAGAATCAAAGTAATTGCCAATTAGAAATGAAATAATGGGCAAGAACAAAAATGTTTGACTAGAAACATGCTACGTATAAAAAGGGCTGATGTGCCACAGAGGGACAATTCTCTGGCTCTACTTAAAGGACGCTTTTTCCAAAAAAAAAGAAAAAATAATTTCTGATTAAGATGGATGTCGCTGATTAAACAACCAAATATGAAACTAGAAGGACAGATAACAGCATATATTACGTATCCTTCTTTGCTGTGGATGTTATATAATGTACTTTAGCTCTAAAACATCACCATCAAAAACACTTCTAGAGTTCTCAGTCATAGTATGTTAGGAAGTGTGAAGATTAATTAAAATTTCTACCTTTAAAAAATAAAAATAAGGATGCTTTTTATTTTCTTTTTTCCTTTTTTTTTTTTTTTTTTTTTGAGGAATCTCACCCTGTCGCCAGGCTGGAGTACAGTGGCGCAATCTCAGCTCACTGCAACCTCTGATTCCCTGGTTCAAGTGATTCTCCTGCCTCAGCCTCCTGAGTAGCTAGGATTACAGGCACGCGCCACCACGCCCAGTTAATTTTTGTATTTTTAGTAGAGACGGGGTTTCACTATGTTGACCAGGATCTCCTGACCTCGTGATCCGCCTTCCTCGGCCTCCCAAAGTGCTGGGCTTATAGGCGTGAGACACCACGCCCGACCCATTTTCTCACCTATAAAATAAAACAAATGGTAGTACTTATGCTATCATGTTGTTGTGAAAATTAAATAAGATAATGTATATAAAATACCTACTGCGCTGTGCAGAGAGTAAAGAGTGCTCAGTAAGCATTAGATGATGTGGTGAGGTTGATGATGTTGATCATGCTGTATAGATTGGAGTATGCAGTATAGTGTACACCTCCATTTTTAGGATAAACATTTAAGTCCAAAGTATAAAAACAAAGTGAAATAAGTTAACTAACCTGCCTGAGGAATGACACAACCAGTAACAGGTGAGATTTGAAATTCTAATGTGTCTCATGCCAGAGAGCCTTTATGTAAGAGTACATATCTGTTGATACTTACATGAAATGTTGATTCAGAACCACAAATGCAAGAATTTACATTGATCCTATTAAATATCATAGCTTTAATTTCAGCTTATTGTTCCTTCCACCAAGTTCTTCCTAAATCTGAATGATTATTCTCCATAAGAGTATTCACTACCCCTTCCAGATTTGTGTCATTTGCAAGTATGATAAGTGTATTTCAAACATTTTATGCAACTCAGTGACTAAAAGGTCAAATATGATAGATGTGTACAGAAGCTTTTGGCACACTCCTGGAGCTAGGACGTCAATCCAGGCCAATTAGCACATCATACTTTTATCAAATGTTCTGATACATGTGCCAGTCATCTACAAATCCCCTCATCTATTTCAGATCCCATCAGTGTTTTACACAAGGACACAATGAAACACATGGTCACATTCTTTCTATTGTTTAAGTAATCTTTTAATGAGCTACAAATCTGCTGAAAAATATGATGTGAAATTAGTGGTATTTTCTTAATGTGTATTTTCATTAAAAAATATGTATTTATCTCCTACATGTACCAGTGAAAATATCTCATAAGGCAAAATAGTTAATTGAATTTTGGCATGTCTATATGACGGAAGGTAAATCTACCAAAGAAATAAAATTATATTTATTTAATATCATCCAAAATGTTTAGGATAAAAATGTAAACTGAAAATAGCAGATGACAAAACTGTATAAAGTATTACATCGTGTTAAAATGCAACACACACACACACACACACACACACACACACACTCTAGAAAATGAAAAACACCAAAATTCAAGGTTATGAATTTTTTTCTTCTTTCATGTTTTTATGCATTATACAGCATTTCCAATTTGAACATCTATTAGAAATAAAATCTAGTAAATCTATCTGGAATGTTTGCTATTTAAATGTAGTGGGTCAGGGGAGTCATGGAGAGGTGACATCTAACAAGAGCAAGTTAGTGGGTAAACCTGCTTTATAGGCTCTTAGAGGAGGAGAGGAAGAGGAAACAGAAGAACCCTAAGTGGGAGTGAACCTTGTATGTCCTAGGAACAGCAGGAGATGACAGTGAGAGGAGTAAGCCCGGAGGAAAATACTGAGGCAGGGAGGAGAGGGCTACGTGTTGTAGGTCCTTGAAGACTGTGGTAAGGACTTTGGCATGTACTATGAGGCACATGGCAACTTAGGAGATTTGACATGGTCTGACTAAAAAGATCGCTCTGGCTAATATATTGAGAAGAGATTGTAAAGGGGCCAGGGTGGAAGCTAGGACACCGGATAAGAGGTTATTGCATTAATCCAAGCAATAGATGATAGTGGTTTGTATTACAATGATAATGGTGCAGGTGGTGAGAAATGATTGGATACTAGACAGATTTTGAAGTTAGAGACAACGAGATATGTTCATGAATTTGGATCTGGGCTGTAAGACGAAAGAAAACAGAGCTGAGGATGACTCCAAAGTTTTTGGCAGAAGCTTCTGAAAGAATTGAGCTGCTATTGACTGAGATGGGGAAGACTGTACAGGAATAATTTGTATGATTGGAGTGGGAAGAGTATGGATTTAGTTTTGAACATGTGTATTTTCAAGTGCCTGCTAATTGCACAAGTGGAGATGGTTCGTAAGCAGTTGGAAGTATAAGTTTGCATATCACAGAGTCTAGACTGGACATACAAATTTTGGAGAGTGCCAGACTATTCAGGTTATATGAGGATTAAATGAGTTAATATATCCAAAATGCTTAGAACATCCTTGGAAGGCCCACCACTACATATAGCTGAACAGGTTGTGCACTGCACACCTCCAAGGGTTATCATGTAGATTGAGTACATCTGAAAGATGCTTCTGGACACCCTTGGTGGCTCTGGCAAGCTCATAGTAAGTGCTCATTATTATTGTTGTTATTGGTTTCAAAAAGCTGACACATCTCAGTATATTCTTTATGTTTTCAGGTAAGGTTTTTCAGTTAGTTCAGACCCCTTATTTATATGCTCAGAAATACATTTGACATTGATTGGAACTAATTCTGTTCCACAGTAGGTGGAATTTCTGTATTCTACTTTGTGCTAGCAGCTATAAACAGTGATAATTAATGCTTTAAAAGTGCCTGGTTTGGAACAAATATATGACAGTATCATATATAAAAGCTTTTAGTCTTTTAGGAAAAATTTCATGTTTTATTATTTTGAGACATTTTGTTATTAACATATGACTTTTCCAAAAAGCATTAAGACCTTTTAATGTGATTTTCTTTGAAGTTCATTTCCATTGGTTTCAGTAGCCTAAAGCATTCTGAAGGCATGTTGGAAGGAGCATAGAATATACAGAACAGTAATATCATAGACAGCATTGAGCAGATCTTTCCATTCGGTGGGAAATAGATTGCATTTAGTATGTTCATGTTTATTTCATTTTTGGCATAATATGTATTAGGTTATTTCTAACTGTTAGTCCTTCTTACAATCACATGAGCTTGTACGTGTAAGTGATAATCGACAATCTTAGATCTAAATGGATTATCATCAATTTTTCTTTTAACTGTAAAATGGTGTTGCTCTATCTGTTCTCCTTAAATCTATATGTAGAAACAGTTCTATATTCAGCCTGCAAATGGAGTAGCTGGTTGCTTCCATTTATGAGTTAAGAGATTTTGAAAAATGGCACTCTCATAGGTCTACCCACCCCAGCCTGCCCAGCCTTTTATTTGTAGCTGTGGTTTCTACCACTGTCATGTCCCCTCATAATTGATCTATGTTTCCAGAAGGCCTCAGGAAAAATACAAATTTGCAAAGTAACTTTAGAATCTTCAAGCCTTTGCACAACTTTTGTGCCAGATTAACTGGCCTGTCCATTAGCTATCTGTCTGATATCCTGTCTAAGGTGATGCTGGAGAAGATACTTTGTGCACTGGCAGTCACAAATTAGCAGGAGGGAGTTGAGCCCCTGAGGGAGGGGTAGATGGAAGCGCTGCAGACACTTCTGTGCATTTTACACTTCTGTTTGAAATTAATCTTGATCACATGAGTATATATGCTGTTCTAAAATTTTGACTATAAATTGCTTGAATGAATATCATGATGATGCTTACAAAAACATCAAGTTTAGCAAGGTTAACCGTACTTATTTGTTTTTCCTGTACAGTAATTGCCTAATATATTTTGACCTCATAACTCCTGATGTAATATACTGTAAGATGAAAAATCCCAACGATAAATGTTTTTAGTTTCATTTTTAACTTCATATTTTTTAGCAAGGAAGAATACCTGCCCATCTTTTTGTATCAAGATGTATGAAAGTTAAAGTTTCCATTTTATACTTAGTTTTCAAATTAAGAGGCAGGATAGGAAAATTGAATTGAGACTGGAATAAAAAGTAAAGTCAACTCACATAACAGAAGAGTGAATACAAATAAACAGATGACAATGAGAATTGTCAGATAAGAACAAGTGGAAGTATTAACATCTCATAAAGAAGAGCAATTCCACATCATGGTAATGCCATTAATTCCTACTGATGTAGCATTTGCTCAAATCATATTGAGACTTTACTATTATATGAGTGGTTTACAGTAAGTTAAATGTGAAAAACAAAGCTATATGTATATTTTAGTACTGCTGGAGAAAGATGCAATTTGATGGGAATGTGTCCACAAATCAAAGAATAAACTCTAAGACATGAGAGACTGCTAGATTTTTACACTGCTTGTCTGAAAGTTTGGTTACCAAGCATCTGATCAGCTCTAATACTAAAGCATTGTCTCAAAATATGTCTATGATACTAACAGTTTGGAATTATATGCCAAGCCATTATCTTATATATACTTTTGTCATTTTGGAACCGTCAACCTCAGAATCTCTGGAAGTGCTTTTTAAAACTAGGGATTCCTGTACCTCACCAGACTATAAAATCAGCATCTTGCACAAGCTACTAAAGTGTCAAAACTAACTTTTGGGAAACATGACTCAAAACCATTTTCTACCCTACAGGTCAAACTATATCATTTTAATGTTCAAGGACCTTGGCCAACTCCATAATACCCATTAAACTCCATAATACACACACAGAGTAAACTCCAAACTGTTTAGAAGGCTTTCGTGATACTTTGTAAGCTCACGCTCCAGCTGCTATTACTCATGCAAACTATGCTCAAAAAACCCTAAACTACTCATTATGGCCCCAAACAGTTGTGCTCATCCATGCCTCTGTGTTATTGCTTAGGCTAGCTATTCAGCCTGAAATTCTCCTTCCCTTCCCTTTACTGCTGGACAAACTAGATTGTTCAAGCAAAACTAAACTGCAGAGCCTTCTGCAATCCTTTCTCTCCACTTTATACATACCTATATTTTCGCAAATATTATGGTCATAATAGTTACTTGCCTATTCCTCTGCCTATTTCCTGGACCCTAAAACCTCCTTGAGGACAGGGTAGTGACATTCGTCTTTTTATCCCCCCTCCCTGAACCCACACACACACCAAGAATAGGGACTGGTTTAGCATAGACTTTCAATCAATGTTCTACTTTCCTATTTTGAATTATATGGTCATAAAAAAGGTATTATTCTCTCACTTCTTTCTCTAGTAAAAGTAGTTTTAAGAGGTCAAACCTGCCAGTTTTTAAAAGGAGTAAAAGAAAAATCCAGGGATGTAACTGCGTTGCCTTTAGCTAGAGGCAGTTTGAGGATATGATCTTTTATAGTTGCCAATGACTTCATATTTTGTAACTCTTCAACTGTCCTGGCATATTACTTGCAGAAAGCATTACAGAGGTAGACAGTGAATCCCACATGCAGGTGGTCACACAAATAAGCACAACTTCTAGATGAATTTGTGACTCTTAAAAACATAAATGCAGTTCATGGACTCTAGTTCCTACAAAGGAATGCAAAGGCTACATTTTTAGTAACATCCGCTGGACAAGCATAAAAGATGAACTTAGTCACGTTTGCCAGCTTCCATGATGAATAATGCATTGTGAAAGCAGAGGGATTGCTTGTGAATTAAAATAGTGGTGATGGGGAGTAACCAGAACTTATTTTTATTTTATTTATTCATTTATTTTATTTTATTTTTTGAGACAGGGTCTGATCCGTCGCCCAGGCTGGAGTGCAGTGGAGCAATCATGGCTCACTGCAACCTTCGCCTCCCAGGTTCCAGTGATCCTCCCACCTCAACCTCCAGAGTAGCTGGGACAGCAGGCGTGCGCCAACAAGCCCGACCGATTTTTGCATTTTTTGTAGAGGCCGGGTTTTGCCATGTTGCCCAAGCTGGTTTGGAACTCTTGGGCTCAAGCAGTCAGCCCACCTTGGCCTCCCAAAGTGCTGGGATTACAGACATGTGCTGCTGCACTAGGCTTAGCACTTACTCTAAGACATTTAAAAATAGTTAATAAAGTAACTGAAATGGTTGTTTAAAATGTTGGTTTGTTTCTTATTTCATCTCTTTGAGCCAAAATAACAAGACGTACTAATTTGACTAATTCTCCTATCACCGAGCTACATGGAAATGTCAGATTCTTCGTTTTTAGTAAAGAAGTGGACTATTTTCTCACATAGCTTCAAAAGAATTATAGCAGGCCGGGCGCAGTGGCTCACACCTGTAATCCCAGCACTTTGGGAGGCCAAGACAGGCAGATCACCTGAGGTCAGGAGTTCAAGACCAGCCTGGCCAACAGGGTGAAACCCCGTCTCTACTAAAAAACACAAAAATTAGCCAGTGTGGTGGTGCATTTCTATAATCCCAGCTAGCTGGGAGGCTAAGGCAGGAGAATCGCTTGAACCTGGGAGGTGGAGGTTGCAGTGAGCCGAAATTGTGCCATTGCACTCCAGCCTGGGGAACAAGAGCAAAACTCTGTCTCAAAAAAAAAAAGCTCGGGCACAGTGGCTCATGCCTGTAATCCCAACACTTTGGTAGGCCTAGATGGGTGGATCATGAGGTCGGGAGTTCAAGACCAGCCTGGCCAAGATGGTGAAACCCCGTCCCTACTAAAAATACAAAAAATACAAAAACTAGCTGGGCGTATGGCAGGCACCTGTAATCCCAGCTACTCGGGAGGCTGAGGCAGAGAATTGCTTGAACCTGGGAGGCAGAGGTTGCAGTGAGCCAAGATTGCGCCACTGCACTCCAGCCTGTGCAACAGAGCGAGACTCTGTCTCAAAAAAAAAAAAGGGATTATTGCAATAATCAATGGGAAGAATCACGTACCAGGTTGAGACATGGAAGTGGGAAGATTTGGACAGCATTGGCAAAACCCCTAAACACTGCTCTCATTTACGTATTCTAGAATCTGACTAATTCCTCTCTTCGTGGCCCTCATTTACAAAACACACTCTGGGGAGAAGTAGTTTATAAAACTAATTCACACTGAATATGACAGACACATAAGATCTCTTTTTCAGATGAAATCAGGACTTTTGGCCAGGCGCGGTGGCTTACGCCTGTAATCCCAGCACTTTGGGAGGCCGAGGCAGGCAGATCACGAGGTCAGGAGATCGAGACCATCCTGGCTAACACAGTGAAACCCCGTCTCTACTAAAAATACGAAAAAAAATTAGCCGGGCGTGGTGGCAGGCGCCTGTAGTCCCAGCTACTCGGGAGGCTGAGGCAGGAGAATGGCGTGAACCCAGGAGGCGGAGCTTGCAGTGAGCTGAGGTTGCGCCACTGCACTCCAGCCTGGGCGACAGAGCGAGACTCCGTCTCAAAAAAAAAAAAAAAAAAAAATCAGGACTTTTGAGGTTAGTGCATGCCTGAGAAGAGAGGGCAGGAAGAAAGTCCCAGTAAGACAGTAGGTTATCATTAAAATATATGTATAATATATATATATTAAATATATATATATAAACAAGGGACATATCGAAGCCTGTGCTTAACATTCTTCACTGAAATGGTCTAGGGTGATCTCCTTTTAGATGTCACATGGACGTGTCATCGTTTAAGGAATGTAGCTGACTTCCAAGCCCCTGGGAATTAGATTGGGAATTATCTAGCTCCACCTGCTTTCATCCAACTCTTCTTTCCTGGGCTAGGAGGCTGTTAAAAATTTAGATTTACTGACTTTTTCCCTTAAACTCATAGAGGGTGAACATTAGCTACAGAGTAGTCAAAACTCTTTTCCTGAATTAATTCTAAACTCTAAGAAGGTGATAAACTTCTCTGTTTCAGTTTAATATTTTATGTCCATTGCTTAACATCATGCTTAATACACAAAATGAAGAAGGTACTTATGAAATAATCAGGGATACGTGGTTGGAAGGATGTAGGAGGGAATGCTTATAGGAAATTTTGTTTTTTTTTTTCTATGCTAGGCAGATAATTACTATGGGAACTCTCTCTGTACTTCCCAATTATCTACAAGAATCAAACTAAGGTTACAGGCATAAAAATGTAGTAAGTGCATTGATTCATAAATATCTCTAATCAGATATTTTGGTCAGATATTGTAGCATTTACTTAATTGCTAATTGGCAACATCCAGTGATAACACAAGTGCCATGTCTTGCACCATTTTGAAGAGTAAAACTAAAGCTGAACTGAGTACTAGGACAGATTCCAAAAGTGTCAAGGCTCCAGAGAGAAAGTTAAATAAGGGTAGTCTTGGCTGAACAGCGATTTATGGGAGTACAGTCAATTCTAGATCCTCTAGTGCATTTGTCATAATAGAATTTTGAAATGTGTAGGTCAAGTGGAAATGGAAACTACCAACAAAATCTCATAATATCGAGTAGACAGTCAAGGTTAAATTATTTAAACTTGTTTTTTGTGTGTGTGGGTACTATATCACATTTTCAAATAGGTGGGCCTTGCCCTGATACCTTGTCAAGAACCGTCAACAGTATTTCTAGCAACATGCCTTTTTATATTGAATCTGGGAGCAGATGTCTGGGTGGCAAATTGGAATTTCAAGAATAAGAAGTTAAAAAATTAA
Source organism: Homo sapiens (assembly GCF_000001405.40). Lineage (NCBI taxonomy): Eukaryota > Metazoa > Chordata > Mammalia > Primates > Hominidae > Homo > Homo sapiens. The sequence continues at coordinate 211,752,650 of NC_000002.12, read as the reverse complement.
TCGAGTAAGAGAAAAACATTGAGAATATAAAAATGTCTAATATGAATTTTGTTACTTAGCTCCTTCCTTTCCTTGTTCCTTCCTTCCTTCCTCTTTCTTTACTTTTTCTTTTCTTCTCTTCTATTTGCTTTTATCTTTTCTTTTCTTTTTTTTTTTTTTCCAGTTAGGTAGTATTCTGGCCACAAAGAATAAGGCCAAATATTTTACAAGCCCCAAACATAATTAAATAAATCATAGATTAAATGGTAGATTATCTTATGCTTCAACTATCTTCAATTAACAGACCACTTAATGGATCAATTTAGAGGATTATACCAAATCTAAGAAAACACATTAACATTAGCTACTTTCTCATAAAAAAGTTTGTACTCCAAAAAGTTTTCACTGCTTCCTATTTTGTCTCACAGTCCTTTCTAATTTCCGCTAGTATAAATCAATTTAGATTTATTAGCTTTGTACAAAAGAACTCCTGTAAGTTTTTAATAATAATTATCATTATCACTGATTAAAGTTATATTGTTCAGGCCAGATGGAGTCCTTTTCCTGTCAGCTACAATGAGCTTGCATTATGTTGTTATAATGTGTTTGGCTCTAAATAAACAGATGGCAGAGTGACAGGATATTATACACTGGTGATGTCAGCGGCAATACTTCACAAATAGAATTGCTTTAAATAAACTCTGTTGTAGCAAAGATCCCCGTACTTTTAAGATGACTGGAATTGAACCTAAGTATTTTATTAACTTGGAAATAGTACAGTTTACTTTCTCAAAGGTAGACAATCTGAATGGTCTGAGATCCAGCCAGAGAAAGTGTCTTTTGAATCTGCATCTTAACCGTGTACTCATTTAACAGAATAGGCTCACTTTGGCAGTTTCACTGGAGGCGGGAAAACACTCCAGGTTGTAAGAACTTTCTGGTTGAGGAATTAAAAACTTGAATCAAGGAAAGATGGGAGCATCTGACGAGATGTTATTTGATGATATTTATAATATAGTTAACGTTGTTAAACACTTTAAATGGGAGAATCCTATTAACAATTAATATTAAACAATTGACAATGTTTAATAAGAAGCATTTAAGGAAATGTCATAGAAAACATTTCTGTTTATGGAAAAGTTTTAAGCTTTAATAGATTTTTAACATCTATATTTTATTCTAAAAATGTGTCATGTACCCACAGAAATTTAGAGTGAATCTATGAAATTCAGAAATAAGATTCAAAGGAAGTCGTTTTTATATGACTTCTTCCAGCTAATATTCTTTATTTTCAGTCCCGATGGGAATTTCTCTGTGGGACAACTACGTTTGTTGAGGCAAATACCTATGGTAGAAGAAGATGCCACTATAGGAGATTAAGGCTTAGAGTTGAAAATGCAAATAATGTTAATAAACATTTTAGAAGTATATATTAAAATAATTGAAATTAAGCTTTCAAAAGTATAGCTTAAATGCATGATTTTACCATTTATTCTAATGATTTTTCATGTGTTTGTAAAAATATATTCTTGTTCTCATAGATTTCCACTTATTTTTAACTGTTGCTTTACTTTTTAATATATGTTGCTCTCAGTAAGGTGTGATCTCTGGAAATTATATCAAGTAGAATAGATCAATAGAATAATAATGCTGAACAGTGAAAGTGAAACTTATTAACTATAATCATTTGCTTTTGATTTCCTGAGAAAATTCACAAATTCATTTATTTTATTTTCCTAAAAAATGATAAGAGGATTTGAATACCAGGAGGTTGTACTTTAGTTTCACATATGTTTGACATTCAGGTTTTCCTACTTAAGTGGGCATTTTATGGGCTATGTTTCAGCTCTAGTATGACATAAAAATCCTCATAAAGGAGCAGGAGTATTTCCTTTGAGGAGTTACTCCTAGTCAAGGAGTGAAAGATTATAACGTGCATGTCCTTTTTCCCTTTTCGTGTTCTGCAGGTGGACGTTGCCATAAGTCCTGTACTGGCCGTTGCTGGGGACCCACAGAAAATCATTGCCAGACTTGTAAGTGTTCATCAGTGAGAGCACACAGGTTTGATGTGGTCAAGGAATTTTAATGATTGGTCCATTTCATGCCTCTGGTCATCTAAAACATGAAATGAGCTATCACCTCCTTGTGGTTGATTTGCTTTGGGCCAAGAAAACTACCCGATTTTCATTGCTTTCAAATGAAAATTAATATATAATTGATTCTTAGGTTTCTTCGTGGTTTCTAGGTTAATGATCTCAACAGCACAGCTATGGTGATATTAGCTATAACTTTAGAGTTTTTACATCACTAGAAGTGGGAAATCCAATGTGTACAAAATAGTAACTCAATTTCAGGTTAACTGGGTCTCTCAGTCCTTTCATTAACTAGTTATTTCACTATTCATTCATTACAAAAGGAGAGGAAAGAAAAAAGAAAGGGTACTATGTACCCACTGTATTTTTCCAGGCACTGTTCCAGGCACAGGGATAAAAACTTTATGAATTATGGAAATAGTCACTATTTTTGACAATGACTATTGCCCTTAGTTTATACTGTTTCTTGGATTAGTCATTAGCTAAAGAAAATATGAAGCTATCATCATTGCTAAGACATATAGTAACAAAGCATACTAAATATAAAGACAAATAGCTATTTTTTTTTCAGCATTCTTAATGTTGTTTAGTACTCAAACCAGCACTGAACTTTCATGAAACTTAAGAATAAATGATTTCTTTAAAAAAGAAAAATAAAATGTCCTATACAAGTGGTAAACACTCATTCTTCCTGCTGCAATAAAAATGACTGAAATATGATATGGAAAAAATATAGTGACAAGTTGAAATATATTTCTTTGTTATCATAGATGATACAGAAAATATTAAAGATTCAAACATACAAATATTACACTCTTAGATGAAACTTTACAGATTTCTAATTTGTCTCAGTTCACATTTGTCTAGTTCTATTTGCTAGATTCTGTTTTAATAAAGAGATATAAAAGGATTATTTTATTGTGAACCACCAAAGAATAAAAATATAGGAAAAATATTTCCAATGATAAATGATTTCTTAAATTTATTAATTTTAATTCATGGGCACTCTCATATCCAAAATTCATGAAATGGAAAAGATTATAAGGTAAAATAGTATCTTCCCACGTGGGTCCCACCTTTTTCCCTCAGCTCTCCATAGGCAACAAATATTATTGGCTATTTTGGTGTATTTTTCCAAAAATAATTTATGCATACCCAAGGAAGTATGTATATAAGCACTCACCCCATTTTTCATTCAAATATTAGCATGTTTTGCATGTTGTACTACAGCTTGATTTCTTCAACCCATGCATGTGTATGAATTATTTGTAGTATTAATTTCTAGAGGTGAATTTGTAGGGTCATAGACATGTGGATTTGGAAATGGGTAGAGAACAGCAAAATGGAGATCTTATTTTCTATAGAGGTTGGATCAATTAGTTCTACCGAGAGCAATGTACATAAATGCCTATTTCCCTCCCTATTCTTTGGACGAAGTAGTTCATTAGGGAATTTTTGGATCTTTGTCAAAGGGTTAGATGAAACATAGTCAGTGTAGATTTAAATTAACTTATTTAATAGAAACAATGTTTTATGGCAGGAATGTATTGACAAGAATCTTAAACAGGCTTTTAAATAAGATGAGATTATTGTGTGAAATTCATTCACAATATTTGGAGATATTCTTTTAATAGCAAAGAATTGGAGGCTAAGTTGCATCCCAGTGCTGGTCTGACACGCATGTGACCATTTGCAGGAAGTCAAGTTCTCTAAAATAAGGAAAAATCTGCAACAGTTTGTGATGAAGTGGAAAGTAACCAAAGAGACTGTGAAAGTGCTAGATATCCACTGGTCATTTCATGGCAGAAAAAAACTACCGAGGTATCAAATTAAAAATGAGTTTTTACTCACTCACCTACTTATTTTATTTATTCACTTATTTATTTTACAGAGGGGTCAAAGAGGCTTCTGCAAAAGCTCCTTGTTGTGGCTGAGCCACTCTGGTGGGCCCAACCACACCCTGTCTCAGGCCCATGGGGTTCAGCCAGTACTGTTGAGGGACTCACCATAGATCTGAGGGAGGAAGGAGCTTAGATTTGGGAAACACTGGGGTGGATCCCTCTTCTGTTGAGTAGGGGCACTTAAGACACCCTGCTGTTGTGTTGTTCCTCCAGTGCTAGATCCCAGAACAAAATTACTTCCTCCCACCACCTTTCAGATTTCTCCTTTGGTTGCCTCTTGCGTTACTTTCAGGGTTTACAGTTGAATTAAACAGGTGGGAAGAAAAAGGTCTCTGCCATCTTTTCTATACCAGAAGTCTCATACAGTGTATTCAATAACACTATTAATTAAAATTAATAATACTATTACAATTAAAATAATTACTTTAATTATTATTTTCATCTGTGTCTTATTTTATGTGTATTTTTACAGATTACAAAATGCAGTGTATAGATTATATGTATCGATTTTACAGTCGTTCCTCCATATCACTGGTTTCCACATGGCAAATTCAACCAACTGCAGATCAAAAATACTTGGAAAAAAACAATTAAAATAATAAACAATTAAAAATAATACATATAAAAAACTATATATTATAACATCTATTTACGTAGCATTTACATTGTATTATGCATTATAAGTAATATAGAGATGATTTAAAGTATATAGGATGATGTGTGTAGTTTATACTCAAATATTATATGCCATTTCATATAAGGGAAGTGAACATCTATGGAGTTTGGTATTTATGGGGGTCCTGGAACCAATTTACTGCAGATACCAAGAAAGACTCTCTGTATACATATTATATATTATATATACATAGATGGTGAATATTTATTCTCAGATTGAGATATATGAGTAAAAAATGTGAAATTCAATCACTGTATTAGGGTAGAATGCAAAAAAAAAAGTTGTATGTCATTGATTATTAGGGTTTTCCCTAACTTTGATTGAAATTTTCCTTCAATTTATACAGTGCTAAAAATTCTGAACCTTTTAATTTATTTTAGTAGATCTGCTTCTGTTGGCTAAATTTCACAAAAGTTATAATTTCCACCAACATCTCTTATTTCTATAATAGACCACTTTCAGGATAATTGCCAAGCAGACACGTGGCCTTCTCCGAAAAATACCCCCTTCTAGATGGTCAGCCCCAGTAGCCATGTTTGTTTTATGGGACACTTTACCCTTTACTTCACAGGGCAGTGTTTATCAACCAGAAGTGATTTCTGCCCCACAGGAGACATTTGATAATTTGGGTTGTCATATCATGGAGGAGGGGTGGGAGGGATGATCTTCTGGCACTGGTAAAGTAGAGACCAGAGATGATGCCCTGCAATGCACAGGAAAGCCTCTTCCACCCCTACCCAAACAAAGCATTAGTCAGTACAAATAAAAATGTTAATAGTACTGAGGGTTGAGAAATCTTGTAATATGGGTGGATAATTGACTAGACTGGGCCAGTCAAATTCTCTCTCCAGAGAATTTAGATTTGGGATCCAAAAGTGCTGGTTACAATAACTTAGAAACTTGAACCTGAAGAGATGTTAAAGCTAATTGAGGTTTCCATTTTTGAACTACGTATGTTATTGAGAAGCAGAAAGAAACAGTCCCCAAAGTCACTAAAGAATAAAGCAGCCATACAGAGAGTTGAGGAAAGAAAGAATAACAATTTTTGACAATGTTTACCTCCTAGTTCTCTGGGTTCCGTGAGGTCCAGCTACACTGCTGTCCTTAGGTTCCATAAGAAACACGATGTTCTTCTAGTATATTTGAATGGAGGGTTTTTTTTTTTTTTTTTTTTGAGACAGTCTCCCTCTGTCACCCAGGCTGGAGTGCGGTGGTGCGATCTCGGCTCCGTGCAACCTCCGCCTCCCGGGTTCAAGCAATTCTCCTGCCTCAGCCTCACAAGTAGCTGGGATTACAGTCATGTGCCACCACGCCTGGCTAATTTTTTGTACTTTTAGTAGAGACGGGGTTTCGCCATGTTGGTCAGGCTGGTCTTGAACTCCTGACCTCAGGTGATCCACTCGCCTCGGCCTCCCAAAGTGCTAGGATTACAGGTGTGAGCCAGTGCACCCAGCCTGAATGGAGTTTTCTCACTTGCTACCAAACACAGGTGGGAGGAAGTCTTGACTAAGAAAATCATCAAGTTATAATTCATGTATCAAATCATCAGACGTGAAATTACTTAATTCAGCTAATTTTTCAGCATAGAAGCTATCCTTACTGTAATCCAAAATTGGCTTAACGGCCACTGTGCTTACTCCACAAAGCCTACCAAATTTAAACTCAACAAATTCATGGACCTAATAAGCAAGTACAAATTTTATTTTATTTTATATTATTTTGCTTTAGAGACAGTGTTTCACTCTGTTGATAGTGATGGGTTGTCTCTTTGTTGCCCAGACTGTTCTCAAACTCCTGGCTTCAAGCAATCCTGTCTTCTTGGCCTTCCAAAGTGCTGGGATTACAGGTGTGAGCCACCACACCGGCCAAATGTTAGAATAGTATACAAGTTAACATAGAACTTTATTAAATATTTCCATTTTAAAAATTCATTTTCACAATATTCCTGTGAGTTAAAGAGGGCAGTTACATTAACCCAATTTTACAATTGAGGAAATATAAGCAGAGGAAATGATTAAAGGGCTAAATTTACACAGCTAATACCTGGATTTTAACCTAAGTGTTCTTAATCTAGAGACAACTGTTTCCTGGATACAGTATTTTGTAACACAGTTTAGTAGTCGAGGAAGCTGGATTTGAAATTAGCCAAGAGATACAAATCTCAGTTGTTTCCAGTTTCTATCATGGGAAAATGACTTCATCTTTCAGAATATCATTACCATATCTATAAAATGGAGATAAGTATACTTACCTAAGGGTTTTTTTTGTTTTGTTTTTGTTTTTTTTCTGGCGGTGGAGGGTGGGGGGCACAATGAAATTCAACAATGCAGTTGAAGCTCTTAAATAATTTTTAATATATCCAAAACCCAATCAATAATAGCCGATATTATAATAAACTGGAAAGGATACTGTTAGAAAACTTATTCCAATTTAAATCTGAATGAATGAAAGTGGAAGGCAAACTCCTGTAGGCCAGTTCCACCTTGTGAAGTCTACTGACACCTGGTGGCTGGGACATGGAAGAGCAAAAACCCTGGAGTGGGGTTGGAGGCTGCCTGTCCTTGACATTCATTCCTGTCCTCTCTCTCTCTTAGTCTGAGCTACTTGAAAGCGAAATTACTTATCCATATTTAAAGAGCCCAGCATCCTGAGGCAAAAAGTATTTTGGAACTACTCAAAAATATACTTATTGTAAGATCACAATTTTAGAATTTAGGTTGTATTTTTTGAGAATTAGCTCTCACGAGAGATTCCATAACAATATGAGACCTCCAGAGACCCCATACAGTTGTAACACACGATTCATTTTTTTAAAGTCAGTTATTTTAGGCTTTCTCTAGATTTCCACTGACTCTTCTGTTATTTAAAACATAATATTTACTCTTAGGTCCACTAAAGATATACTTATATCTGACCCTGACTTAACTTTTAAAAAATCAGAAAACATGCTATGTAAGTTTTTGACAATATTCTGCTTTTGTGGATTGACTATATAAAAGTACATTTTAGAGTCTGAAAGATACAATCAGATGTTATTTACAAATGACCTATTTCCCTATGACTAAAATAAATTCACTTTAGTGAAGGCTTTTCTGGAAGTATTCAGCTTCATGATTTACCAAATATTTCCTTATTTTTTATGGATAATTATTCTTTGAGACTTTCCATACATTGGGGAAAAGAGAAAAAAGTATTAAAAAGCCCCACACCTCAGCTAAGGAAACTGAAGTGACGCATATATTTCATAGACTACACCTTATCAGTGCTGACATCTTCCCACAGGTGTCTCCTAGCAAATGTGCTGGGAGTTATCCTCTTTGTCACTAAATGGTGAGAAGCCACGCTAAAGACAAATGGCCCAGGCTCTGGGAGAACAAGTTCATGAAAATGAATGACTTGTTAGGGTGAAATGAAGCAAAGAGTGGTGATCAGATTGAAAACATCTCTGAATAGAGATACAGAGAAACAAAGAAGCCGGTCACAACAACAGTGAGCTTCAGGGAAGGTCTGTGGGAGGCCAGAGGTTTTAAACAGAAGAAATGAAGAAAAGGTTTTTGTTTTTGTTTTTAATAGATTTAGCTAAATGGAAGAAGAATGTGAACAAACCGACAACTTACTACGAACAACAGTTGGCTATGCAAACCTACCAGACAGAAATTTCAGTAAAATCTTTTATATTTTTAGTAAAAGTTAGTACATTTTCAGTAAAATTTAGTAACATTTTGCAAGTTATTTTGTGTACTTTTTTGGGTGCCACAGTTAGCTTGATTGCACGTTAAATAATTTAATTGTGTCATTGTTCCTCCATAGCATTTAATTATGTTCAGGCTATAAACTGTGAAACTAGTAGCTGTTTTTTTTAAATGTTTTCCTAACATATGAAATATTTTCTAGATAAATTATTTAAAACAAACTCATTCAACTTAAAGAATGTTGTAAATATTAATGTAAGTAGATTGTGCTTGTAAAATCTAACCAAGTGTTCCCCTCTTCCTGTGTTACTCATGAGTCTGATTTTCTAAAACATCATGAATTTATTCTCCTTAAATCCTTCTGGATGTTAGAGCACCATGACCCTATAAACCTAACAAGAAAATTTCTCACAGAGTTGCAAAGGGTCAAAATAGAACTTATGATTGGACACTGAGAGCTACGTTACATGTGGAGCAGTGACTCAAACTTGAAAGTACTTTTAAGCTCAGTTAAATGGTGGCTGCATTGCTCCACAGCACAGCTTAAGTAAATTGATTTAGTGGATTAATGTAGTCGTGTCAGGGGAGACAAACTTATCTGCTATGTGAAGTCTGAAGCTTATAGAAGTATTATTTAGCAGGCTTACAGGTAAGAATGACAACTCTCTCTATTCATAAGAACTGAGTCGTAACCTATGAGCTCTACAGGTTTTAGGTATGAGAGAGACTAAGGTTTAAGAAATAAATAATAATGATTAAAGAAACAAAGTTATCTCTGTCCCTGCAAGATATATGAAGCACACTTATCTCATTTAAAGTAGATACTGCATGTCCTTTTTTATCTTTAAGCACAATATCAGGCCAGCTCTCTCCAGTCTCCCATTATCAGAAAGGGTGGTTGTTTCATTTTACGCATTCCTTTTGTCCTGCTAGACCTGGTGTTATCTCAGTCACTGCATTTTGAGTGAGGAGGGGGAAAAAGGCATATATCCAAACATTACAGTTTGATTTTCCTGAACTTTGCATACATTTTGCATTAAAGTCATCATAATTGTGAAGTTTTCTAGGCTGATAACCACTCAATACACTCTTTAGTTTTCTAAGTTGCTTTATAAGTGATGTTTCTTGCTGATAAGCTGATTGAAAAATGTGAGTTTGACAATAGGTTAAAAACATTATTTATTGTAGAAGTTGAAATACAGCAAAATTAATGAAGAAATGCATACTTTAACCACTGGAGTGAACAGATACACTTCTCTCCATTTAAATGTCTAATTTAAATGTCTCCATTAAACTGACTAATGCATTACTTTAACCAAAAGAAAAGTTCTTTTGATGGGATTTACCTCTTGCTTCTTACTTACTTATGATAGTCTTCCTAGACTATCATAAGTAATAGAACTTGCCAGGTTATCTCAAAATCTTTTTTTTTAATTAAAAATAGAATAATAGTAAAATAAAGATAAGCACTGTATTTTTTTCTTGTAGATAATTGTTAATATGGGTAGTACTACACTGGCAAAATAAAACCTTTTTCCAAACAACATTTTATGTCATTTACTTTTTCCATACAGACATTATAGAATATGCTAGGAAAATTTAGAAATTATTTAGCATTTTCCTCAGTAATTTATTATGCTTGGGCATGAAGAAAATTGGTTTTAACATTTGCAATATATTAAAAGTTTCAGTTTAATAGTAAAGGGGAAAAAAACAAAACCTTAGCCTGGCTTATGAATTTTATTTATTCTTAAGAAAAATGTCATACATATATACATGTCCTTTTATTTATTCAAAAGTATATCTGGAACTCCTTCGAAATAGAATAATAAAATCTAACAAAATGATTATATATTTTTGTTCCTCAAAATTTCAACAAGAAATGTTGCAGTTGAAAATTAAATTGTATCTTTCTCCATGAAATTTTCAACAGTTTCCTGTAGAATGTGAAAGCAAAATGACAAATTATTTGGATAATAAACTAATTATACTCACACACATGCGTACACATATAATTTGTCTAAAGTGTAATTGTATTTACATTCTTTGTGGAACAAATGTTGTTTAAAAAGAAGGTGCCGATGTGGTAAATATCCAATTAGAGCAGAGAAAAGCAAGTGGGAGCTAATGGGGAACAGGGAAAGAGCTGAGCCAGCAGGCCCCATCAATCAGGATAACAGCGAGTCTTTGTACACGCCAACATCTTTAATTAAAACCCTTGTATTTTACTAATAACTTTGCACATCCATAAGCCTTCTTATTGATTTCAATTATTCCCATTTTTCCTTTTTTGGATTTATGGTTTCTGGAGATATTGTAAAATTAAAGTAAACATTACAATGAGCTAATTACTTGATTACACTGACCATTTCAAAAAGTGCCCCAATAATTTACCGGTAGAAAATGAGAAAAATCTTCCCTGATGTGTTCTTCATTTTGACATAAGTTGATAATATTTGTTGTAATTTAATGACTTTTCTCAAAGATTTAAAAGAACAAGTTGTTTCATTTTAACTACAGGAGATGTATATATTTAAAATACTCTGTATATTACAGTTTAATGGGATTCAGGAGCTATTACTTAATGACAAGCCAAGGGCTTCAGGGGCATAAAGGTATATATAAAATTGTTCCTGTTCTGTGGCCATACTGTGGGTTAGATACAAGACAAAGGTGAGGAATGTTGGAAATGATCAAAAAGAATATTAAACTGGGACATTAGGTAACTAGAGATTTGGTCCCACCTCTAACTCAATTTAAGAACCTCAGTTTCAACAAGTTCTCTTATCTTTCTCTCTCTCTCTCTCTATCATCTGTCTGTCATCTAGTGTGTGTGTGTGTGTGTGTGTGTGTGTGTATAACTACATATATAGTTATAGATTATACAGATACAGATATAGATTGAGAGAATGGAAACTGTGGGGTGTTGTGCAGATAGCTATTCTAAGCAGAGGGATCAGAAAATGAATACTCCACATTTGAAGGATTACTAATAGGACATTGAGAAGAACAGTCAGATATATCTGAAAGTTCTACCAGTAAAATAATTTTGTTATTTTGGTAGTGATGACAACTTATTCTGAATTATTTGTGTCTTCACAGCAGAAGAGCTGACTGTCATTAGAGTAACTATATTTGACTATCAAAGAGAAAATTTCAAAATTACCTACATGTGACATGCTTCTGATGAATAGGACAGCCATACTATTTTGGCTACAGAAATGGAAAGAAGTGTGAGATTTTATTCTAGGAAAAGCAAGCACTTACATACCACTCTAACGGTTTGAGAATTTAGCAAGCATGAAGAAAGATATTCTCCTTAAAGTTTTGCCTTAAAATTATTGAAATGTATTATATTCTTTTTCAAATTAATCAATTTGGTTAAAGAAATAATTAAGTAGGCTGGGCGCAGTGGCTCACGCCTGTAATCCCAGCACTTTGGGAGGCTGAGGCAGGTGGATCACCAGGTCAGGAGATCGAGACCATCCTGGCTAACACAGTGAAACCCCGTCTCCACTAAAAATACAAAAAATTAGTCGGGTGTGGTGGCGGGCGCCTATAGTCCCAGCTACTCGGGAAGCTGAGGCACGTGAATGGCATAAACCCTGTAAGCGGAGCTTGCAGTGAGCCAAGATCACGCCGCGACAGAGGGAGACTCTGTCTCAAAAAAAAAAAAAAAAAAAAAAAGACAAAGAAAAGAAATAATTAAGTAAACAGTATAGGGATGAAAGAGGATAGGAAGGGGTACAGTACAGAGATGAAAGAGGATAAGAAGGGGTAACTGGATACAGGTCAACTTTTCTTGTGCCAAGCCACGTTTTTGTCCATTATATTAAAATAAATGTGAGTTCACTAAATATCAGACATGTAAAGATTTCATTTCTGAAGCCAATATAAATTTTATATATTACTCAACAATTTATAATATTATCATGGCTGCATCTCTCCATTACCATGGGCACTTTCCAAAGAAATAGTCACTCTATTAATTTATGATGAGTTATAAAAACATACAAAAATATTTTAAAAAATAATTTGTATATATTACTATCTCACTGAAGACAGTTATTTTTGGTCTATCTAAAATATTTTTACCCATGAATTTTGTTATAACGGAGCTGATAGAGCATTATGACCACGGAAATACCTACAAGTTTTGTTCTGATTTCAGTATTTCTTGAGTAACTGTCACACAGGATAATTATTTTCCTCTTTAATAAGGATGTTATATGTATTTAAGAAGTATGTAATTTCATTGACTAGAAAACAGAGAGGATGAGGGAACAGAAAAAAAGACAGATTCTGATGTTAACAACTAGTTGCTGATAATTTAAAAGAATCAAGCTACAATATTTCACCAATATGTAACCACAAAATTAAATGAATAGGGAACTACTGCATTCTAAGATAGAAATGCCCATGCTTTGAAAATGTCAGTTTTTCTAAAATTAAGCTATATTTTTAACTATATTTAATCAATTACCAATGCTTTCTTTTCTAAAGAATATCTTAAAAATACATTTAATAAAATAGCCAGATGAGGCTGGGCGCAGTGGCTCACGCCTGTAATCCCAACACTTTGGGAGGCCGAAGCGGGCAGATCACGTGGTCAAGAGATCGAGACCATCCTGGTCAAAATGGTGAAACTCTGTCTCTGCCAAAACACAAAATTACAAAAATTAGCTGGGCTTGGTGGCATGTGCCTGTAGTCCCAGCTACTCGGGACACTGAGGCAGGAGAATCGGTTGAACCTGGTAGGCAGAGGTTGCGGTGAGCCAAGATCACACCACTGCACTCCAGCCTGGTGACAGAGCGAGACTCTGTCTCAAAATAAATAAATAAATAAATAGCCAGATGTTTGAAAAGAATAACCTTGTGGAATCATTTTCCCTATCAAGTATTAAAATGTTAAAAAGTAATAATTATTAAAACAGTGTATAACTGGTTCAGAATGGTATTGATTAAATGGAATCTAACAAAGTTAGACATTTGGAGGCAAATGTCTACAGTGATTTAGTTTTTACAAAGGTGACATTTTTTAAAAATGACAAAAGCATAGATTATTTAACAAAGAGAGTATGAATAAATGGCTCACTTATGGAATAAGATAATGTTAGATCCCTACAATAAAACAAAAGGCATAAGATGGGTAGTACATTAAAAGTCTAAAGAGCATAGGATAGACTATATATAGTCTATATTTAGATAGACCTATACAGATTGATGAATTATAGATTAAAAATTTAAAAACATGTGATATAACTGGAAGTACTAGGAAAAAATATAGAGATAAAAATTACAGAATGATGACTGCCTTTTTAAACATGACATAACAAATACAAAATAAAATATAAGAAAAAGATCATTTTCTGGCCAGCCACAATGGTTCATGCCTGTAATCCCAGCATTTTAGGAGGCCAAGGCAGGTGGATCACTTGAGGTCAGGAGTTTGACCTGTCTACTAAAAATGCAAAAAATAGCCGGGTATGGTGGTGAGCACCTGTAATCTCAGCTATTTGGGAGGCTGACGCATGAGAATCGCTTGAACCCAGGAGGCAGAGGTTGCAGTGAGCCAAGATCACACCATTGCACTCTAGTCTGGGCGACAGAGGAAACTCCATCTCAAAAAAAAAAAGAGGGCCGGGCGTGGTGGCTCATGCCTGTAACCGCAGCACTCTGGGAGGCCAAGGCAGGTGGATCACCTGAGTTCAGGTGTTCAAGACCAGCCTGGCCAACATGGTGAAACCCTGTCTCTACTAAAAATACAAAAAATTAGCTGAGTGTGGTGGCAGAGACACCTGTAGTCCCAGCTACTCAAGAGGCTGAGGCAGGAGAATCCCTTGAACCTGGGAGGTGGAGGCTGCAGTGAGCCGAGATCATGCCACTTCACTCCAGCCTGGGCAACAGAGCAAGACTCTGTCTCAAAAAAAAAAAAAAAAAAAAAAAAACAAAAACAAAGGAAAAATTACTTTAACTGCATTATAGTTAAGTATAGTTTTGTATTTTTAAAATAATTTTAATTAAAAAGAATTGAACATTTATACAAGAAATCTGCAAAAAATACTTGACATTACTTATAATCAATGACATACAACTTTATAAATTAAAAACATATTCAGATAACTCCTAGTAAGAAAGAAAGTATGAGCTTGGAACAGTATCAGTTATTCTTGGTAGATTATAAATAGGTAAAAATCACCATGTAGACTAATTAGTCATTTGTATCAAAGTTTTAAAAATATGCATTTTCTTGAACCACGAAATGTATTATTTTAACACTTAGATTATCATATGCATGAAACGAATGTTCCATAGTATATATTACAGCAGTATTTATAATAGTAAAAAATACAAACATTGCAAATAGCTTAGAAAGGGGATTCAGGGTATATTCATACAATAGTATAATATAGAGCTTTAAAAAATAATACAGCAGAAGCATATTTATGCTTCTACAAAAGACAGTTAATGATATAATATTTAGTTAAAAATACCAAGCTATAAAGCGAGATAATAACTACCATTCATCGATTACTTAACAATACCAAGAGCCAATATTTATATAATGTTCACTGCATGTTAGGCACTATTCCAAATTAATAATTTCCCATAATACATAAAATCTTTGTAACAGCTTCATGAGGTAAGTACAGTTGTTATTTTTATTTTATAGATGAAAACCTAAATCACAGAGAGGTTAAGCAATGTGTCTAATCTGGCACAGCTATTACGTAAAGTGAAAATTAGCTATTATGTAAAGTCAAAATTATGTAAAGTCATCTCCAGAGAACTTCCTGTAGTTATCCATTGTGCCGGTTTTGTACTAACAGTTTCACATGTATTATCTCATTCCAACCTCATGAATCATTTCGGTATATACACTGGAAATAAGGTAGGAGAGACAAGAAGAAGTGGGACTAGAGAAAGTTCTGAAGGAGGAGAATATGAGATTTCTGCATGTAGAGAAATGTGGATTGATGGGATAATTTTCTGGAGGCAGGAAGGGAGATTGTGTCCCCTTCCTGGATTTGAAAATTGTAAAGATCTGAGTTATTTTGAATTACTTTTAATTGTGTGTTTTGTGTTCTCTTAACTCTCATACTAGTGTGGAACCATAATAGGGATGTCAAGCATTCACAGAGACTCAAAAGTTGACATTGGTTGTTACTGCTGGAGTAAGAGAACAAATGAATTGTTTTTAATTCTGCATATCTGTAGTTACTTATATTTCCCTGAAAATAGGTACTGCATATGTAATTTCAGAATTTTAAGAAAGTAAGTAACAACAAATATAATAAGTAATACCCTCTTTATCGCGACATGACTTTTTTGGTAAATGTTGAGGACTTCCGAACTTTTGTCCTGAGCAGAGAGATTATAATTTTTTTATCAATATATTAATCATGCATAAAAGCTTTAATATCTATAGATTATATTATTTTCTATAAATATATTGCTTGGAGAGGATCCAAAAAGTTGTTTTGTATTGGCCCACAATTTAATATACTGCCATGTAGGAGAAATTCAGACTGAACGATCCCAAATTTCCAGTAATTATGGTGGGAATAAAAAGCACAAACCTCTGAGAATGGTCAGTCTCAATGGCACAATTCTGA
This sequence comes from Homo sapiens, assembly GCF_000001405.40. Taxonomy (NCBI): domain Eukaryota; kingdom Metazoa; phylum Chordata; class Mammalia; order Primates; family Hominidae; genus Homo; species Homo sapiens. The sequence continues at coordinate 211,736,693 of NC_000002.12, read as the reverse complement.
AGATAAGGCATTATGGCAGGCTGTATTGTGCAGTGATTTTCCATATCCTCTAGAATCCTAAAACTTCAGAAAAGGGAAATTTTATCACCAGTGGCTCTAAATTCCTGAATTCATTAGAAGGCTAATTTGCTGTACATATATAAGAAGAGCACAGAGATCGGTTTCTCTAATTTCTTAATTTGACCTTTGTTCATGCAATAAGACAATGCTTTCAGATTGCTGGTTGCAACTTGTTAGTAGATTATAAAATCACTTCAGTACACCCTGCCCAACAATACATTTTTATTGAAATAAGATACATTGGAATAAAATTGACCAGAAAAGGCAGTATCAAAATGCTCTTGCACTGATTAGGCTCAGCATTATTCCTCAAAACATTTCATCAAGGATATGTGTACTGAGCCATAATACAATGTTATTTGTACTGTAAATTGTTATTTTTTAAAAATCAAAAGTTTGAAAAACACTACAAAGGTGCATTATGTGACTTGTAGGAGGACATGATTATCTTTTTTTTTTTTTCCTTTTTTTGAGACAGAGTCTTGCTGTGTTGCCCAGGCTGGAGCACAGAGGCACAATCATAGCTTACTCTAGCCTTGAACTCCAGGGCTCAAGTGATCCTCCTGCCTCAGCCTCCCAAGCAGCTAGGACTACAGGTGCACACCACCATGCCTGGCTATTTTGTTTTTCCTTTTTTCTTTTTGGTAGAGACAAGGTCTCATTATGTTGCCTAGGCTAGTCTCGAATGCCTGGGCTCAAGAGATCCTCCTGCCTCAGCCTCCCAAAGTGCTGGGATTACAGACGTGAGCCACTCTGCTTGGCCTGATTATCTTTTTTAAGAAGATAATCCCAAACGTGTTCTATGAGGAGAAAAGCAAAACATATTCTTCTGTATATACTCAAAATGTGCTTGTGGTATAACTCTTTTAAATGGTTTCCTCAAAAGGTCTCTTTTTCTGAGGTATAGACTTCAGTGTTGGCCCTCTCTGGGTCTGAGATTTAAAGAGTATTTGAGTAATATCTTAGTTTTCATTGTTGGCCCTCTCTGGGTCTGAGATTTAAAGAGTATTTGAGTAATATCTTAGTTTTCATTATCATCACTCACAATCATGGTAGTTAAAATAGCATCAGCCAAGCTGTTTTTCAGAGACGTAATGCAGACACGTGTTTGATCACTTTAGCTATTTGGCGTTGTATTTAAAACAGTTTCCAAAACTATCTTCCTCTCCCCTTTTAGTCCTTTTGATTTTTACATTTAGGCACCTTCTATTTGTGACTCTTAACTTGATGAAAACATGTAAATGAAGATATATAGGAGTCAGAAAACTAATTTTAAACTCCACTTTGATAATAACTTATGATTTGACCTAGGATAAGCTAGTTTTTAAATGTTAACTTCTTCATCTGTAACACTGGGATAATTAACTTGCTCTGCCAAATGCACAGGTTATTTTAGTATAGTTTTTTTTTTAAATTCATGTGATACTCAGGTCATAAAGTTAAAAATAATAATGCCTTCCCATCAGTAAATATGCTTCCCTCAACCTACATTTTTTTATAAAGTGATTACTTTATGGTAATATTTGGTATATGTGTGTGTATTTATATTTACATATACACATAAGCACATAAAAGTTGTGGGATTTTGTTCTGTGTGTTTTACAAAAATATGTATGCCATGTCTATTCGTCTATCACTTTTGTTTCACTTCACATTATATTTTTAAAATCCTTTCATTTCAGGACATAGAGAACAATCCGTCTTTTTTTTTTTTTTTTTTTTTTGACAGAGTCTCGCTTGTCGCCCAGGCTGGATTGCAGTGGCTGCACTGCAGGGGCTCTGCCTCCCAAGTTCATACCATTCTCCTGCCTCAGCCTCCCGAGTAGCTGGTACTACAGGCGCCCGCCACCACGCCTGGCTAATTTTTTTGTATTTTCAGTAGAGATGGGGTTTCACCATGTTAGCCAGGATGGTCTCGATCTCCTGACCTCATGATCCGCCCGCCTTGGCCTTCCAAAGTGCTGGGATTACAGCCGTGAGCCACCGCGCCCAGCTTTTTTTTTTTTTTTTTTTAATGCTACAGCTATTTCCCTAGTTATGGTTGTGCTATAATTTACTTAACCAATTCCTCATTAGTGGACATTTAGGTTACATTGTATTATTCTCAGTTACAACTAATGAACATTTTTCTATACATATTTGTCCACAGATGCACATTCTTCTGTAAGTCAGATTTCTAGAAATAGAACTGCTTGGTCACATGTGAATTTACATACACAAATTTGATAGAGACAAATTAGTCTTCAAAAAATCATGTATCAATTTATACACCCACTAATAGTTTGCCCAATTCTTCACCCTCATCAAAACTAGAAACTTCCTGGAATGCTCTGAAGAAGTGGTGATCTGTCTTAGAGATGTCTGAACATTACTTTAGATTTGCTCATAAACAAGTAAGTTTATTTCAGTTTTAATTTTCTCATCAATAAAATGAGAAATTTGGACTTGATGGTATTTATTGTTTCAACAGATATTTGTCCATTGTTTACCTAATATGATGTTCTTTTTTTAATTTTAACATTCTGTATTTTCAATTTTTAAAAATATTTTTGAGACAAAATTTTTAAATATTTATTATTTTTTCAAAATTTTTTAAATATTTTCTGCTGCATGGCCCAGGCTGGAGGACAGTGGCATGATCTCAGCTCGCTGCAACCTCAGTCTCCCGGGTTCAAATGATTCTCCTTCCTCTGCCTGGCTAATTTTTGTATTTTTAGTAGAGACAGGGTTTCTTCATGTTGGCCAGGCTGGTCTTGAACTCCTGGCCTCAAGTGATCCGCCTGCCTCTGCCTCCCAAATGCTAGGTGTATAGGTGTGAGCCACCACTCCTGGCCCTTCTGTGGGTATTTTTATTGCAAAATTGAGTGAGAGAGAGATTATATTTGTTTTCTTCTACTAATATTTTGGATAGGGAACTAGAATAAGCAAAAGAAAGAAAGTAAATTTTTTTTTTTTGGTTTTTGTTTGTTTTTCTATCAGGTTAGATGTGGAGATGTCTGTTATAATGCACAGTGATTTAAAAAATTTGAATACCAAATTTTCCATATTTCTTGGTTTATGAAAGATCTATGATATAATTATGACTTTTTTTTACTACTTTATCTGCAGCCTATCATTTATAGGCAGATTTTAAGGTGCAGACCTCAATTCTAATTTTTAAAAATATTCTTAAAAATACTATGGTATTCTTACGCAGATTCATACTCTTCCTTTATTGCCTTGAAATCAATATCTACAGGCCTGTGAGGAATATGCAAAATAACTCTTACTCACTCTCAAGAATATTTTTATAGTTAACGTAACAAGGCAATATTATTTTTTGAATCTTCACTCACAAACTGTGGAGATGCTAATAGCCTATTAAGAAGGGAGAATTTCCCTGGTGACCAAGTGTGTAGTTTATAATCAGCTTTAAGGTCCCTCAATGAATCATTGATCATGTCTTTATTAAATAGGTTGAATAAAACTTCATTAAATAAATGAATAAAGCAGGTGGTGATAAGGAATGGATTAGACAGAATCCCTTACCTCTTTGACACAACTAACAATATTATCATGTCATAGTCCGTGGGTCACCAGGGATTCATCAGGTCAAACCTGATTAGTAGCTGCCAAAATATGGGCCTACTCTTTTTTTGTGTTTGTTTTTTGTTTTTTGAGACGGAGTCTCACTCAGTCACGCAGGCTGGAGTGCAATGGCATGATCTTGGCTCACTGCAACCTCCGCCTCCCGGGTTTAAGTGATTCTCCTGCCTCAGCCTCCTGAGTAGCTGGGATTACAGGTGCGCGCCACCATGCCTGGCTAATTTTTGTACTTTTTAGTAGAGACGGGGTTTCTTTTTTAGTAGAGATGGGGTTTCAGCATGTTGGTCAGGCTGGTCACTCGTGACCTCGTGATTTGCCTGCCTCAGCCTTCCAAAGTGCTGGGATTACAGGCGTGAGCCACCATGTCCGGCCTGGCCCTACTTTTATTAACTGACTCTGAATGTCAATTTCAGTAGCGACTGTACAGCTATTTGCTATGTTTTCCAGGGGAATGACAGAGGTTATTGCATTTTGGATTAAACAGTTATTTTACATGTGGGGTATATACTTCATGATATGGCCTGGTCGGTTTATTTAGAGTAGCTATCACCAAACCAATTAGGAATTAGGAATAAAAGAAAATTAGTCGTATTTTATTTTGTATTGTGAAAATGTGTATGATTGTGGTCATTTAGAAGCCCAGATACTTTTTGATAATTCCATTTTGCTAGGTCTAATTTTTTTTTTCAAAAAAGACCTCTGAGAGCCTTTTTAAATATGTTAGATAATACACTGTGGCTGGTTAAAAGAATTGAAAAATCCTTAAAGTGCAAAATTATTTTCCTGTAAAAATTAGGATATAGGCTTATGATGAAGCCTTCCTCTGTGAGGCAACAATTTTTGACTTATTTCTTCTGCAATTTAATATGAGATAGGAAAGAGCGTTCTAGTTTAAGACCAACCCAGCTCTGACTCTGCCTTTCCATCTATGGGAACCTTTCATTAGAAATAAGAGAGTGCCTTAGAGCAGAAGTTTGGAAATATTGGCTTATAAAATCTACTTCTAAAAATCTTAAGGCTCCAAATAAAAAAAAAAAATGAATTTTCTGACACCTTCCCCAGACTTACTGAGTCAGAATATAGGAGATGGGCCAGACATCTTTATTTTAAGTCTTTCTACTTGGCTTTTAGTTTCTACCTGGCCCTGGACACACAAATGTGTTCAATTATTCTCCTTTGGAAGAATGAATAACAGTGTATAGTTTGGCATTAGTTTCATTGAACCTGATTTTTTACACATGCTCTGTAAGTAACGCCTCTTCTTGGATGGTCTGTGAGCTTTATTTGTTTCACTTTAAGTGTATCCTGTTGATGATAGCTTTCTTAAAACATGTTACACAACCCAAAGTGTTCAGTTTTTTAGTCACAATTTCATCATTAATAGGAATAAATTTTGAATCTTAGAGCTAGAGGGTACCTCTAGAGAACATTTCATCAAGCCTCCTATCTTTAATTAAGTGGATGTCTAAAGCATGTAGAAGAGATTTCTTTTAAAATACTGACAAATAAACACTTAAGAAGCCCATTACAGTGTTTTTATCCCTCTAATAGTCAGTAATTCTTCCTCACATCCAACCCATATCACCTCTACTTTAACCCAAGTATTTCTCCCTTCTAGTTCAAACCTCCAAGTATGTAACTGGAAACAGTGTAATAAAAACATTCCATTCAAATACTATCTAGTTATTGAACATATGTTTTATGATCATAATTTGTCAAAATTTTGACACAAAAATAGAATAGAGGCAGCATAGAGGTATGAGTCTTTGAATAAAAACTGAAATAAAATTTTAAAAAATAAAATAAATATGCTTTAAAATGTGCTTAGCAGTGCAATTGGGGATTGCCCCAAGATACTTTTCACTCAGACAGCTGCTGGGTGAGAGAAGGGAAGTTTTCTACTGGTATTTCATTTATCCATAATGTTTGCCTTCAGAACCAGTGAGGCAATATTTCCATCGAAAATATAGGTAATTTCCCTCCCAAATTTTCCTATATCTACTTGCACATCAATTTTTGTTTGTTTGATTTTCCAATTAGTGATAGGGACCTTTACAACACAAATAGGAAATTAAAGCAAGAAGTCACTGTGATTAAGTTTCAGACAAGGAATAATCAGTCAGTCAATCAGATGGTGTAAATGACTTAAAATTTTTTTCTCCCATTTCTCCCATTGGTTAGAATAAAGGTTCTCAACTCTAGACTGAATATTGGAATCCCAGGGAGCTTATTAAAACTACCAAAGCTTCTAGAAAATTGCCAGCGATTTTGATTTAATAGAAACTAGGTGATTCTCAGGTATTGTATTTTTTGAAACTACTCTATATTCTGCTACTCAATATGGGGTATGTAGATGAGTAGGTAGAGACATTACCTGGGAGCTTAATAGAAATGGGCTTATTAAAAAGTCTTGGGCCCCACTGATACCAACTGAATGAAAAGTTTTACTTACAGAAGAATTCCAGTATTCAAGTTTGAAAGACTGTTAGTTGATCTAATATACAACCCAGTTCAGAACCACTGGTTAGAGGAAATGAAGATAATCAAAAGGCACTGAAGGAGAGAAGACAGAGGAGATAGGGAAAGAGGAAGGAGATGGGGGAGGAGGAGGAAGTGTCAGAGTGTAAAAAGACACAAAGACTTTGCCTAAATTTATCCTTATTTCTATTGTTAACGGGCGAACAGAGATCTTTTGTCTTGTCACTGTGATGTCAGTGCTCTGTTTTGCATTATTTATGAATATTCTTTGTCTTTTTTGCTATTGTTGCTAGGAAGCAACAATAAATATTTAATTAGTAAATTGCCAAGCTTCTTCAAGTAAAATAAATTTGTCCTAAGGGAGTAACTTTAATCACAGTATTGGTTATCATTATATTGAAAGAAGTAATTAAGCCATAGTTCTTATTAGTGAGATACTGATAAGATTAAGCTACTTAATGATTTTTTAATATTTTTTGACTTGATAGACATTCTCTCAGTAGTATTGGCTTACCATGAATTGTTTGATTCCTTAAATGTTACCCGTCTAATTCTCATGGATATTTTGAATGAATTCACATTCCCCATGTCAAGTTTACTGACCCGAATATAAGAAGTTTAACGTCCCAGTTTTAAATTTTATATTAATCACATTTAGTGCATACCGCCAATGAAAAAGCTAGTGAAAATTGGACCCAAATATTTTAATGCACCCAGTGAAGCAATTTAGAAAGGAAACTAAATACAAGGAAAAAAATGTAATGAAATATTTGAGCAAGGATGGAATTAATAAAAACCAAAGCAATTATAAGTTAATGTTCCTATAGAGGCTGACTTATCTCATTGATTTCAGGAATTATTTTTTGTTTTGTGTCCCCATTGTAATAAAATATGAGTATAATTTGATGAGTTTATTCACATTAAATAATGCTTATTAATCAAAAAATGCTACTAAATAAATTTACTCTATGGTGCCTTTCCACTTGTCTTGCATGTAGCCTTGAATTGTACAAAGGGAATGTTTTCTTTCTTGTTACAAGTCTCATATAATAATATAAAGAAATATTTTTTTTAACCCCATTACTGTTTAGCAGTTAAGCTTGTTGTTTTGTTCTTTTTGCCTACCTTTTATGTGTCCAAATGCTTCATGCTTACTGAATTTTCGTTTGGAATTAAGGGATATAAAAATGTTGATGGTGAAAAGCCCTATATTTAAAGTTGAATGTAATTTACTTTGAAAAAAATCAATTATAGACTGATTTTGGAAAATGAAAGCCATAACTCCCTTTTAACATGTTAAATAAAAATTGTGGAATGCATCTGCATTTGGATAATAATTTAGAGGAATTTTTCTGCATGTTTCTAAAAGGGAATATAATATCAGAAATCAGTGTGTCCTGAAAAAATATTAAATATTTGAATACTATGTGGAAAAGTTGCTATTTTCAAAAATTTTAAGTTTTCTTCCACACAAATGATTAAATAATTTAAAATATTTTAATAGTTCCACAGTATAATAATTGCTATTGAATCTAAGATTGTACTACATTGGATTATATTTGTATAATATTATTTTCATATTTAAATAGTGTACTCAATGAGAGAAATGATTTTAACGTGAACACTTAATACATAATTTTAAACTACATTCAGGGTTACTTGTCTTATCATTGTAATTATTTTCTACATTAATTTTCTCATTTGGCAGGAAAAACCAAAGTAAATACAGAGAAACTGAAACATTTTGTCTAGTTACTTTAAATCACCATGGAGTTAAAAATAAAAAGTAACACTTAGACATATCTGTCTATGATTAAAATATGATGTGACTTATAAGATTGTTGACTCCATGCTATTGTTTTCCAGCTGAGCAATAGCTGTCAAATAGAAGCAAATTGATAAACTCTCCTGTGATAACACATTTCAAATCTAGTTATTTATTTATTTAACATATGTCTGCTATTTTAATTAGCGACTGTTGATGCATCGAAGCACTTTATTGAATTTGGAAGAGAAGAATTGTGTTTGAATTTATTCTGTACAAAACTGTCTGTTAAAAGTGTTTCCTTTAAAAAATGTCATTTATATTGTATGAATTACTAATTAGGGCATCTAAACAAATATACCACTTGGTTAAAAGATAGAAATATCAATATAAGCATAATGTATGACATGAAGAGTTAATGAAAGGATACAAATTGTTTGGGTACATATCATATATATATATATAATGTGTGTATCAAATATAAATAAAACTATGTAAGTGCCAGTTACAGTTACAAACATAGTAATACACCTAGAAACAAAATAAATGGAATAAATAATAATATGTTAGATGGTAATTGATGCTGTAACAAAATACAGGAAGGAAGGAAGGGAGATGAAAGAAAGAGAGAGAAAAAAGAAGATGAAGGTTCATAAGGAGTCAGTTGATTGGGAAAAATTCAGTATTAAACAGGGGCAGACTTCAATACAAAGGTGTGATTTGGTCAAAGACTTAAAGAAAGTGAAGGGACAGTCCAAGGGGATTTATTATGCAGAATTTTGTACCAGGATACTAATAGAAGAAATAATTTATTTTGAAGTTTAATGTAACCAAAATTGCAAATACAAAATATACGTTCACAAACCCAGATATAAAAATTTGATTATTTTCCAAATCTTCTATAAGCTTATGGTAAAAAATAGCATGTAACCTTATTTTTACAAAATAAAAAACATGACAGAGGGTGAGTCCAAGTGCCATTTTAGTTTAAACTTTATTTGATGTTTGTATTGGTTGTACTACATAGAGAATAATTAATTAATCATGTCAAATGGAAGAATATTCTTTATCTTTCAATATTGTGCATTATTTTATGAATATCATCATCATGTTCAATGGAAAAGGATCCAATTAAAAATATGAAATCATGAACTAATCAACAGCAGAATTTAAGGAGCATTTAAATCCTAGTATTTTAATATTTGTCTCTTTATATTTCTTAGTGACCTATCTCTTTAACTCTATACACCTTTTTATCTCTCTGATAAATATATTAAGCCCTGAGGAGATACTGCCATTGAGTTGGCAATATATGATTTACCTATTTACTTGAAGGGAATACTGCCTTATATTGTGTATTAAGTACCAAACCCTGTGTTTATCACTGAAAATTAAAACTTAAGTAAGACAATAAACTTCAATAAACCCATAGGTTAGTTGGGGTGAGGTAGAAGCAAACTTGAAAAAAATACAAATGTATAAGTGCCATAGAAATATCTAAGTTGATGAGCACTGTTAATAGGGACCATGTAAAGCACTTTATACCTGTATATTTATCTTCAATCCTATTAGGTGGGTACTAACTCCATCTTAAAAATGGTGAAGTAAAATACAGAATGGTTAAATAACTTGCCCATATAACGTGGATATATTTTGGATTTGAGCCTAGATCTTCAGACTACATAGACTGCTGCATTAACTTTATCTTCTTGCTTGTTCAGAAGCAATAGTGAGAAAATAACTCAGCTTGGAGCTGTGTCTGGAAAGGTTTCAGAGCAAGTATTTCCTAGGCTGAGAAGCTAGGAAGGATTTTTAACATGGAGAAATGCCTTGTGAAGAAGCAATGAGAATCACAACTTAATTGCAAGTAGTGTTTCTATCTGGCTGGACGTGAGAAACAGAGTAATGTGATTCCTGGAAGGGCAGAGATGGTGGTCAACTTATGGAGGGCTTTTGTCCCTTGCTTAAGGTTTAATCCTTTAGTACGGGGATGGTCATAAGTTTCATACTGTGAATCAACACTGATTTATAGGCGTTGGCTTACAGGTTCAAGCCATTACTTTTAGGGCATTGTGGAGGATTAACTGGAAGGAAAAGATGGGATCTGAGAAAACTTTTAGAACACTATGTAATCATTTAGAGATAGGCTTTTGAATAAAGTTAGAATAGAGAGGAGGGAAAGTACTGAGGAATATTTAGAAAACTATTGCTAATACTTGGCAATTTTATTAGGTAGGAGAAGTGATGATAAGAGGATAGGAGACAGAAAATACATTGCAAATTACTAGCAAGCTACTGGATATATGGTGCTTCCATTAATTGAGATAAGGGAACTTAGAAAAGAAATACACTCAGTAGTGGGTGTGGGAAGAAGAGTTATGTTCTGTTTTGTACACCTTGCATATCAAAATGGGGACTTCTGTAGACAGCTAGAAATGCATGCTGTAGCTCCACAGAGAACTCAATTCTAGATCTGAAAGTCATTTACTGGTAGACAGTATGCTAAGTAGAAGATGAATGACTTTTATCCAGGAATGAGCCCATAGTCCCCCCAAAATTGTCAAGAACAGGTCTGGGGAATGCTAATGTTTATGAGGCAGAGTCTTGATAAGGTAGGAACAAAGAAAGCTTAGAAGATCTGTTTGAAAATATAGGAAGAAACAAGGCTGAAGTGGAAATACAGAAACCAGGAAGTGATATACTATACATATCCTGTAAAATTCATACCTTAAATACCCTAAAAATATTTTTGGAATAAGTGAGATAAGCAGAATTGTGTCTCTTATTGCTATAATGTTGATGGATAGCCTTTCGTATTGCTTTTACTAAAGTATACCTCGATATGATGCTGTCAGCTTGGATTGAAGCATGTTATAAGAAAAGACCAATGATGATTTTTGTTGTGTTTACTATTAATGGCTTTCTTTCCTTCCTTTTTTCTTTCCTTCCTCCTTTCCCTCCCCTTCCTTCCTTCCTTCCTTTCTTTCCTCGTGTAAAATATTATGTGAATTAACTTAACATTTATGTGTCCCTTTTCTGCATTGACTACTAAAAGTCTTAGACCCATTTCTGGGGACACCTTCTACTAGGACCTTACTATGCACATTGTGTGAATTGACTTCACCTTTCCTAGCCTGCCAAATGTCTCATTTAGTTATCTCAATTTTCCTTTGTTTTTAATTTTAGAGACAGAGTCCCACTATGCTGCCCAAGCTGGAGTGCAGTGACTATTCACAAGTGCAGTCGTAGCCCACTGCATCTTTGAACTACTGGCCTCAAGCAATCCTCCTGTCTCAGTCTCCAAGTAGTTGGGATTACGGGCACACTCCACTGTGCCTGACTTCAAATTGGATTCTTTCTTGTTAAGTTGTATGATCGTCATAAGGCATTGTAATTATTTGCTGAAACAAGAAAGAATATAAAAATGAAATAATTATAAATTAATTTTGGAGATTTTTGTATAAAAATTTTGATCTAGTTGTAAACCTCATTCATTAAATGTTTGCTGAATTGAGTCAAAGACAGGGTGAGAAATTGTCACTCCAGAACTCAGCTTATGAGTTTCTCCTGGTGGCAGACTTTGATCATGGTCCTATCTCTGTCTTCTGCAGTGACAAGGACGGTGTGTGCAGAACAATGTGACGGCAGATGCTACGGACCTTACGTCAGTGACTGCTGCCATCGAGAATGTGCTGGAGGCTGCTCAGGACCTAAGGACACAGACTGCTTTGTATGTCTGTGATTTCTCTCTTTTATTATCCTGCTCTCCTTTCCTTCCCTATTTGATTCAGGCATACTGAATCTTTGTCTTATTACAATCAGATCAACTTTAGCCACTTTAGGATTAAGAAAAATGCTCTGCCCTCCTCAAAGTCATTCCCTCACTAGGTTGTCTACTGATTAACTAGAATTGTTCTATTAAATGAATTGTATATTTCTGATATAATTTATGTTACAAATGAGGTTCATTGGAGAACATATTGAGATATCTTTTTATAATCTAATAACATCCTTTCCAGTAATGCGGTGATTACCTGTTTATGTGGTTGCATCACTGAGTTCTGCAAGTGGGAGCAATTGCATTTTATTTCTTGAATATAAATTTCAAGATTATAGAAGATATACTTATGAGTTTCAGTATTTTCTAGTTTATATTTTAAAGGTAATATTATTTTAAAAGTTTAAGATTTATAAATAGTTTGTTAGGGACAGTTTTTAATTATATTTTGATATCATATTCCTGACACAGTACTCTTTGTCTTTGGCATACATGTCAGCAATTTTGAGTTGTATTTAACTCAATTTCATATACCGAGAACACCAGCTTAATTTTAAAGCTAAAAATCGTAAAAATACACAAATGTTTATATAGTTGAAAATGAACACAGAAATTTTTTTCTCTCAAATATCCAGCAAACATATGTAGTAGAATTGAGCTTTTTTTAAAAAAAAAAAAAGAAAGACACTTAATTCCAGCAATGAGCAAACCATATATTAAAGCTCTTATGATATAGACAGTAATTTCTTAGTTTTCTTAATATCATAAGGAATATAATCTTCTATACTCATTCTATAGTGAAACAAAAATATGTATTGCAGAAATGGATAGGGAGGAAGAAGAAAAGGAAATAAAAATGTTAAAAATTTAAAGAAGATACTCAGTAGGTCTTGAACTGAGAACCTTCCTCTGTCTTTCATCAGACGTAGGATGGAAGCTTGATTCTGAAGACATTGAACACTGCAGGTGTTTCATTAACAATTCCAAAACAATAACAACAATAAACAGCAATAGCAAAAACTCTTAGAAGTTTTGCATGCAGTTTTTGTCATGGTTCCATTATCATGATAAGCACAGTGCTGAGTGAGCTTCAAATTATCATTTCATTACTTTTATGGAACGGTCTAATGATTCCACTTTGGCTTTTGGTACAGAATGTTCAAGAATGCCAGACTAAGGCCTTGGTGTAAGTTACATTGTTTTGTATGCTGTCGCAAAGCTAAATTTGTTTTATTCCTCTGACTTATGTTCCTTTGTTCCTGAGCAATCTGTGTACAGCATTGCATAAAATATGTTAGTAAAGCAATTATAAGGACACATGAAATTTTATAACCATAAATTAAAACTTACTGAGTTTTCTAGATTGGTTCTTAATAGATTCTTCCTAGAATGTGTCATCTTAGTGAATAATGTGTCATCAGTAAGTCTTGTTCTGATTATGCATCTAGTAGACCATCATCAGGGAATTGTCATGTTTATGATAAAGTGCTTGCTAAAACAACAATTGATGAAGCAATGTTTTGAGGAAACAGAATAAATTAATGCTTATTAATAACCATATGTACTATTTATGATTAAATGTAAATCATAGCTTGAGTTCGTATTAGCTTGCTTTCCAAGGCCCAAATCATTCCTAAAATGGCTTAATTTCTTAATTGAAAGAATTAGCTCATCCACATTTTTGTTAATCACATGTTTATATGTACTTACACATATATTCTGTTTTTATATCAAGTACCTACCTCTCAGGTAATAAAATGGTTTTTAATTCTTCCCAAATGAATTTGAAAATATTAATAAATTGAGTTATGAATATAAATATACGAGTCAGCAGAAATGAACTGTCTTCTACATGGTAGCTTTTACTAAATGGAGTGGCATTAGGAAAAAAGCCATACTAGAAATGACATCATATTATTTAATTACAGGCCAACTGTAGCTAATTACCTCTTTACATTTTGGCATTACATGCACTGTATTTGTATTTGGCTAGTCACCAGCCAGAGCCTTTTCTTTAAGTCCGATATAAATCACCATCACAATGTTTTCTTACAGGACAGTGGTGATAATTGTACTTTACATGTCATTTGGGATATGGAACTCTTTAAAATACCAGCTCAAGTGGACATCTAGCCTGTAGAATTAGGGATTTGGTTGTCAGTGCTATACTTTAAGACTAAATATAAATGCTTTGAATAAGTGTGAACTCAAATAATTTTTCACTATTAGCTAACTTTAAACCAATTCTCAGTTTAGAAATTACTGGATACAGGCTAAGCACTTTGAGCATCAGTAGCCATAAATTTTCCTATTTACTGATACTGGAAAAAAGAGTTTTATGAAATTTTGGAAACACACATGACTCTTAAATTATCAAATTTTGTAATATTTGTGGAATTATTATAGAAAAAAACTTCTCCTGTTTTGGCAGCGTTTCATTAACAAGTATTATGAGTTTATTTGTAAATGAAAGTAATATTTGCTGTGTTGCAGGCCTGCATGAATTTCAATGACAGTGGAGCATGTGTTACTCAGTGTCCCCAAACCTTTGTCTACAATCCAACCACCTTTCAACTGGAGCACAATTTCAATGCAAAGTACACATATGGAGCATTCTGTGTCAAGAAATGTCCACGTAAGTAACAGAATAAGAATAACCAAATTAATTAGGTCATTATTTGAAATCAAAAGAATTTTATGTAAGTTTATTTTAATGTGAAACTTGTAAGAATATTATAAGTACTTTGGGTATAGATACTATTGCCCCCATTTTATAAATAAAGAAACTAAACCAAAACTTTAAAGTGATTTGTGTAAAGTTTCATAGCAAAAGGATGACATGTTTGAGGTTATAAAACTCCTACTGTGGCTGGGCGCACTGGCTCACACCTGTAATGCCAGCACTTTGGGAGGCCGAGGTGGGTGGCACCTGAGGTCAGGAGTTCGAGACCAGCCTGACCAATATGGTGAAACCCCGTCTCTACAGAAAATACAAAAATTAGCCAGGCGTGGTGGCGGGCGCCTGTAGCCCCAGCTATTCTGGAGGCTGAGACAGGAGGATGGTTTGAACCTGGGAGGTGGAGGTTGCAGTGAGCCGAGACGGTGCCACTGTACTCCAGCCTGGGTGACAGAGAGAGACTCCATCTCAAAAACAGACAAACAAACAAAAACCTCTTTCTGTTTTTACTATACCACAGTATTTTTGCCTATCATACTGTTTCTCCAAAAAAGTAATTAGTTAAGTGGCAGCAAGCTGTGTAATGAATAGGATCTGCTTCTAATAACAATGGATTTTTACCTAAAATTATTTCTGATTCCTTATTTATAACTAGAATACTTAGCATTATATTTTTAATATCAAGTTAACCTTAAACAAAACATGTATATATATATATATATATATATATGTTTAATAGCAAATTAACCTTAAATAAAACATGTATATATATAAAGGGTATGTTAAAGGATCTTAAACAAATTGATAACATCCTGAGGATTCAAAAGGACCGACTTAACTTTCATCAGGTATTCAGGATAATATATTGATATTTACTTGACTCTATTTTTTTTTTTTTTTTTTTTTTGCTTTGAGTAACCAATGGGACATTTCCTATTGGAAAGGCTGAAAAAAATCACTATATATGCCCATATACTCATTTAAAAGAATTATTTATAGTCTGTGCTATACATATAATGTGACTTACTTCACTTTGTGTATGTGATACAGTAGGAAGTACAGGCTGAGCATCCACAATCCAAAAATCCAAAATCTGAAATGCTCCAATATTTGAAACTTTTAGAGTGCTGACATGTTGTCACAAATGAAAAATTTCACACCTGACTTCGTGTGATAGGTCACAGTCAAAATGCACACAACACAGTTTGTTTAGTGTTCCCAAGAGGGAAAGAAACCACACACATACACACACTCTCAGCCCCTTTCGACTGTGGTACATCTTTTCCTTGCATACCCAGATTTCCAAAGGGAAGCACACCCACAGGTAATAAAATGGCACGTGTGCAGGCCAGACACACCAATGGCAGGTTTTCCAAAGTGCCATTTTGTGGTGTTGAGATATTGTTGAAAATGTCAAAAAGGCCTGCAGCTATCCCTCCAGGTAAGGGTGGTAAAAATAAGAGGAAACATTTATGTTTATGTGTAGCTTAGAAAGTCAAGCTTTTGGAGAAATGGGAGAACGGTGTAAGTATGCAACATCATAGAGAAGAGAAGAGTACAGTGTTGGTATGAACACTTTGTGTGACCTGAAGAAACAGAAGGATAAACTGTTCTATGCTGAAAATGAATAACAGAAGTTAATGAAAAATAGAACAGCACTGAATAAAGCTAATGATAAAGATCTTGCTTGTGTACCGAAAGAGTGGATTTTTCAGCATGTAGATGAACATAAGCCACATAATGGTATGCTGATCATCAAACAGGCAAAGATCCAGCACGGTGAACTGAAAGTTGAAGAGAACTGTAAATATTCAACAGGCTGGACACAAAAATTTAAGAAAAGACATGGCGTTAAATCTTTAGAGATTCCCGGTGACAAAATATCTGCTGATCACAAAGCAGTGGAGAAATTCATCATTGAGTTTGCCAAGGTCATCACTGATAAAAATCTGACACCAGGACATTTCTGTGATGCTGATGAAACATCACTGTTTTAACATTGCTCCTCCACAAAGGCATTGACCACAGTTCATTAGACAGCCCCTGCAGGAATGAAGGATACCAAAGACAGAATGACTGGGCTGGAATGTGCTAATACAGCAGGCACACATAAATGTAAACTTGCTGTGATAGGCAAAAGCTTGCATCCTCAGTTTCCAAGGAGTGAATTTCTTACCAATTATTATGCTACTAAAAATGCATCGGTTACCGGGAACAACTTTTCTTATTGGCTTCACCCAAACATTTTATACTAGCACCTCCTGCTCATCGCTGGGAAGCTGGACTGGATGTTGAATGCAAGATTTTGTTTTTCCTTGACAACCGTTCTACTCATCCTGCAGCTGAAATTCTCATCAAAAACAATGTTTATGCCGTGTACTTTCCCTTAAATGTGACTTCATTAATTCAGCCATGTAAACAGACTATCCTTAGAGCAATGAAAAGTAAATACAAAAACACTTTCCTTTTTTTTTTTTTTTTTCTTTTCTTTGTTTTGAGACAGAATCTCGCTCTGTCACCCAGGCTGGAATGCAGTAGTATGATCTCGGCTCACTGCAACCTCTGCATCCCGGGTTCAAGCGATTCTCCTGCCTTAGCCTCCCGAGTAGCTGGGACTACAGGCACGTGCCACCATGCTTGGCTAATTTTTTGGATTTTTAGTAGAGACGGGGTTTCACTGTGTTAGCCAGGATGGTCTCGATCTCCTGACCTTGTGATTAGCCCGCCTCGGCCTCCCAAAGTGCTGGGATTACAGACGTGACCCACCGCACCTGGCCAAAAACACTTTCTTGAACAGCATGCTAGCAGCAGTGAACAAAGACCTGGGTGTGGGAAGGTTTTCAAAAGAAGCTTAGCATGAAGGATGCTGTATATGCTGTTGTCAATGCTTGGAACACAGTACTAAAGACACAGTTTTGCATGCCAGGTACAACCTCTGACCTATGACTGTGTTCGGGAAAAAGGTGGTTACTTGGAAAGATTCCCTATGTCAGGTGAGAAAAAAATAATCCTTCAGAGTCCATCAGTAAACTGGAAGAAATGGATATCACAGAAGTTTTTAACATTGATAACGAGTTGTTCCTTCATTGACTGATGGTGAAATTGCAGAAGTCGCTCTGAATCAAAGCAATCGTGGTAATAGTGACAATGAAAATGTTTTTAACATTGCACAAAAAGTTATCTACAGAAGACATGATGAAAATGTGTTATGGGCTCACTGAAGGACTAGAGCATGGTGCATTCATAACAGAACAAGAAGTCATGGGAGTTTATAAAATCAAAAAGAGACTTCTAAGACAAAATTCACTGTTAATGGGCAAATGACCCTGGAGGAAACATTTTAAAAAGCCATCCAGCAGAAAGCCCCCTTATCCCTGTAGGACCTATTCCCTGGTTTCTCAGCTGTTTCTGATGTTTCTTTTTACCTAAGAAAATAAAACAGTGTATCGTAACCTTTTAATCAAAACACAGCATCATAGATGGACACTAAAAGCCTGCATTATTTGTTGTTGTTGTTGTTTCACAGCTGATGGAGGTATTCTGGTCATTCTACTCTGATACCTAGTTATTCCAAACACATTATCTTTTCACTGTGTTAGTGGTATACCATGTTTTTTTTTTTTAGTTTTATATATTTATGTGTGAATAAGTGTAAGAATATGATTGCTCATCAGTAGTATATAAATTTAGTGTTATGAATGATGGTGATGCCAAACAACCACAGATTGTCTATGTTGATGGCTGAGATAGTGATGCCTTTGTTTCTGATGGTTCAGTGTACACAAACTGTGTTTCACACCAAACATTACTTAAAATATTATATAAAATTACCTCAGGTCATGTGTATAAGATATATGGAATCATAAAAACTGAATATTGTTTTTAGACTAGGGTTTCATCCCCAAGGTATTTCATTATGTTTATGCAAATATTACAAAATCCAAAAAATTCTGAAATCTGAAACACATCTGGTCCCAAGCATTTTGGATAAGGGATACTCAATGTGTGTAAGGGACATGGGATTAGAGTGGCTATGGATCGTGGCTTCGTTCCCTTATTAGTCATGTGATTTTTAAATAACACCTTTTGTTCTCTATTTTTTCTTCTTTAAGATGTGGGTTATAAAAATTATATCTTCTGGCCAGGCACGGTGGCTCGTGCCTGTAATCCCAACACTTTGGAAGGCTGAGGTGGACAGATCACGTGAGGTCAGGAGTTTGAGACCAGCCTGGCCAACATAGTGAAACCCCATCTGTACTAAAAATACAAAAATTATCCGGTCGTGGTGGCACACACCTGTAATCCCAGCTATTTGGGAAGCTGAGATAGATAGGAGAATGCTTATACCCAGGAGGCAGAGGTTGCAGTGAGTCGGGATCATGCAATTGCACTCCAGCCTGGGCAAAAAGAGCAAAACTCTGTCTCAAAAAATATATATATCTTCCCTCCTTTCTTTCCAGAGCCATTATAACAATCGAAGAGATAGGATATAAGGATGAGGGGGGTAGATTTTTTATTTTTTTGGAGACAGAGTCTGGTTCTGTCACCCAGGCTGGAGAGCAATGGCGCAATCTTGGCTCACTGCAACCTCCGCCTCCCGGGTTCAAGCGATTCCCCTGCCTCAGCTCCTGAGTCGCTGGGATTACAGGCACATCCACCACGCCCAGCTAATTTTTGTATTTTTAGTGGAGCCTGGGTTTCACCATGTTGGCCAGGCTGTCTTGAACTCCTGACCTCAGTTAATCCACCTCCCTCGGCCTCCCAAAGTGCTGGGATTACAGGCGTGAGCCACCGCACCAGGCCGAGAGGGGTAGATTATTTAAAAAGGCTTTGAAAACACAATTCTAGTCATTGTTATGAAACACGTTCATATCCATTAAAGTAAAAATTGTACTTTGACTTCTTTATGTATATATATGTGTGTTTAATATGTCTCTTAATTAGCATTTTAAAGTCACAGACACACTAACTCCAAGACAGCAAAGATTTTGCATCTTAAATATTTCAATATTCACACCAGTCCTTTTCATCTAATAACCTCTTATCTAAAGTCACCCTATATGTCACCATGTACCATCCTTACAAAACTGAGGGCTTGGCAGTATTGCAGGATGGGGCTAAATGATATTTTCCCTTTTCTTAGAAGCGCATTATACTACTACCTAATCTACTACCTTCAAATTAGGATGCCTTTCCCAAAGACAGTCAAAACTATGCTTTCTTGGAGTTTTTTTGGTGCTTTCCCTTTTATTCAAGTCCTTAGGTTGAAGCCCGAGGGTTGGGTGAGAGCAGAAGTACCAGGAAAATTTGAATTAGAGAATTCCCCTTTTCTTTACTATAGCCCTTATAGTGATTCACCTGAAAGCTGTCAACTCCAAACTGTAGTAAGTGGCTAAACATGAAGACCTATTGTGTGAAATTACCTGACTTGTTTACTTTAAATGTGGTAACTTACAGTCTTCCTTTCTTAGATTAGTTTGTGTATCTCAAACTACAGGCTAATTTAAAGCACTTCAGTATTTGTCTATGAAAAAATTTAAATCTCTGATGGGCCTGGCTTACATGGCTTGGTTTGCCAAATTGAAGCTTTCTTGGGAAAACAAGGACATTAAGCTTCTTCTTTTTTTTTTGTTTTTTTTTGTTTTGTTTTGTTGTTGTTGTTGTTGTTGTTTTTTGAGACGGAGTCTCGCTCTGTCGCCCAGGCCGGAATGCAGTGGCGCAATCTCGGCTCACTGCAAGCTCCGCCTCCCGGGTTCACGCCATTCTCCTGCCTCAGCCTCCCGAGTAGCTGGGACTACAGGCGCCCGCCACCAGGCCCGGCTAATTTTTTGTATTTTTAGTAGAGACGGGGTTTCACCGTGTTAGCCGGGATGGTCTCGATCTCCTGACCTCGTGATCCGCCCACCTTGGCCTCCCAAAGTGCTGGGATTACAGGCGTGAGCCACTGCGCCCGGCCTTTTTTTTTTTTTTTTTTTTTTTTTTTTTTTTGAGACAGAGTTTCACTGTTGTTGCCCAGGCTGGAGTGCAATGGCACAATCTCGGCTCACTACAACCTCCACCTCCCGGGTTCAAGCAATTCTCCTGCCTCAGTCTCCCTAGTAGCTGGGATTACAGGCATGCGCCACCATGCCTGGCTAATTTTGTATTTTTAGTAGAGACAGGGTTTCTCCATGTTGGTCAGGCTGGTCTTGAACTCCCTACCTCAGGTGATCCACCCGCCTCGGCCTCCCAAAGTGCTGGGATTACAGGCGTGAGCCACTGTGCCCGGTCGGACATTCAGCTTCTAAATGCAGGTCTACAGTTCCTAATCCAGAATTCTGAAATTTAAAAACTCCAAACATGCATTTTCTGAAACTCGTTTGGGTGCAAAACTTGAATCTAACTGATATAAGACTAATTATAATATTTGTTTATTCCATTCGGCAGAAATGTGAAAGGGTTTCATTGTAACGCATTTCCCAAGATGTATTAGTTGGTTCTTACACTGCTATAAAGAAATACCTGAGACTGGGTAATTGATAAACAAAAGAGGTACAGTTGGCTCATGGTTCTGTAGGCTGTACAGGAAGCATGAGGGGTTCTGGAGAGGGCTCAGGAAACTTTCAATCACAGTGAAGGTGAAGAGAAGCAATTATGTCTTCCATGGCCAGAGCAGGAGGAAGAGAGAGGCAGGAGGTGTGACACACTTGTAAACAACCAGATCTCATGCTAACTCACTCTTGCAACGACAACACCAAGAGGGATGGTGTTAAACCATGAGAAGCCACCCCCATGATTCATTCACCTCCCTCCAGGTCACACCCCCAATACTGAGGATTATAATTCGACATGAGATTTGGGTGGGGACACAGATCCAAACCATATCACAAGACCTTGAAGAAAGAATGGCTACTTAATATCATGTATGCACCTGTTGCAGGTTGGGTTCCCCTGAGATAGAGATTAGGTTATTAAGGAGTAGTCTCAAAATCAGCACTTTTTGGGGAAGGGAAGAAAGCAAGATTGGACTTTGATATCATCTCAACAAAGTGACTCTTTGTTGTGGTGGATGCTTTCATGT
This sequence comes from Homo sapiens, assembly GCF_000001405.40. NCBI lineage: Eukaryota > Metazoa > Chordata > Mammalia > Primates > Hominidae > Homo > Homo sapiens. The sequence continues at coordinate 211,715,290 of NC_000002.12, read as the reverse complement.
GGATATTGACTTGGAATGCAAATTTTTCCATACTTTGTACCCACTCCCATGGATTCTTTGCACCAGATTCCCTTTCTTCTCAAATTTTCCAGTATTTCTTCTCTCAGGACAAGCTCATTACTTCATATATATTCTAAGGTCAAGCAACTTCTCTTTTCATACAAAATGAGTAATCAATTTCGCTACCTAGAATTATACCCGTTGGTAAGATTTTCTCTTGTCTCTGTGCTTCAAGTCTAGTCATAGGTGAGATGGCAGACAGAGAAGCTGCCATCCATTTTCAGCTAGTACCACATACCTAGTCTATTTTGTGTCTTACTCTGTTAGCTTTTCCTAAGTGCCTTCTCTTAGCCCCCACACAGCCATAGGTATGAGATGACTGAGAGGGGCCAGCCCAGTGGTGGATGGCATGGGGGCCTCTTAACCATTTGCTTATGCAGTTTACTTGTGCTTCTGCCCCTACACATGTCCTACTTTAATTTTACAATGGAATGCTCTTGGACCTGCCCAACATGATGACATTGTGACATTATAGCAAAACCCTGTTCATGATAGGCAATTCTGGCTATAAGGTCTGACCCAAGATCCATCTCTACCAGGACCCAGAAGCATGTCAAAAGCTGTTTATTAAATGGTGTGCAATCCTGTGCTACAGGTGGCATAGCTTAGCTCTAAAAACCTAGAAGTCTCTGTTGTGATTTTCTGATGAAACTTGCCATAAATCTACATGGCATATTTTCCCACTATAGATGCTTCCAATATCATAGAGCCTCTTGGGTTTTATGGCCCAAGTAGCAATATTGCTTGCATCACAGCCTAGATATACATCATATGCCGTTTCTGCTTTGGGCACCCCTCAAGGCTGTAAGCATTCCACAACATTGCATATTGTGCCAGAACAATATTCCCAGGCATGGAAGGATGCTACTTTTAAAACCAGAGTGGCCTAGCAGGTATTGTGTTTCCTATTTATTGTGAGAGCCTTTAGGTGCAATAATTTGTCCTTTATTTTGGAGGGGATGTTCTGGCATATCCCATGTCACTGGACTGCTAGACATTTAATCCAAGTATTGGGTAACAAACTGCTCCTTGTCTATTTGATATACCTTTTCCAAAGTACTACCCTTTCCAATTTTATTTCGTTTCTTCGTATAAAAATATGAGAAAGGTTTTGTGGCACTCCACTGAAAAATAGAACACATTTTGAGCATTTTCTCCTGGATGTGAAATGTACTCTGATCCAAGGCAGTTCAACTTAAGCTTCATTTGTGCTTCATGGACTTGAAGTATTTTTGGACTTCAAACTTGCGTCATGTCATGAAATGAAGTGGAACTATTGACACACACAAGCTAAATGTCACGTAGTTTCCTAAGTATATAAAAGAAATCTACTCTATCTTGGGGGCAATTCAATATGTGGAGCAGTAACCAAGCAAGTACTAGTTGTTGTTAACACACATTGCATTTGACTGGAAATACAATTTCAGGTTGAGATATTTAAACAAAGAGTTGTTTAAGGGTAAGATACATAAACACTATCAATGATGCTAATCATTTTTAAACCCTAAAATATCTTGTTTTGAGCTTGTTTGCTGAATGTTAACATTAATGCTTATTTTACCTTTTTTTTTTTTTTAATCAGATAACTTTGTGGTAGATTCCAGTTCTTGTGTGCGTGCCTGCCCTAGTTCCAAGATGGAAGTAGAAGAAAATGGGATTAAAATGTGTAAACCTTGCACTGACATTTGCCCAAAAGGTGAGTGGTAGCTCAGATTATTTAGTTAGAACTGGGCCTATATAACAAGGTTTTTAATTCACTTTTAAGTAGACCAACTTTTTAATATAAACCCACTCTCACAACCAAACCTACCCACACGCTTTCCATAATTTTGAACAGTTACTCAAAATATGAACTTTTATAGCACTGTATATTATTGAGTTTGAATTTTATCTACTAAAATGGCCCAGAAAAAAACGCACATGTAACATTGATAGGAACTCAGAAATAAAGTTGCCTGTTACTCTGTCAATAGCAAATCTTAAAAGCTTTGTAAAAAACAAGAGTTCACACGGTTATGTTGGCATCACAACACATATTAGTTGCTTGCCACTATATACAAAATTATCTGCTAAGCATAAAAAGAGATCCAGAGGGGCATGAAATTTACTTTCCAGATCTTGAAAATGTATTTTGAAAGATGAGATCTATGAAATGACAAGAAACTTTACCATAAGTTTAAAATAAATATATCAGATAATTCATGCCATAGAATTTTAGCGGAGGAAGGAATCTCTTCCAGCTGTGGGTAGTCTAATTCCTCACCAGAATGAAACCTAAATTAAGCAAGATGAAAATAAAGTCTAAATCTCCTGAATGTTATTAAACTTTTCAAAGTATCAGGGAGTGCCCTAGAAAAGGACAAACTCCACACTTACTTTTAGATGATGTTTTCTCTCTCTCCCTCTCTGTTTCTTCCTTATCCCCTCTCTCTTTCTCTATACATCCCCCCCCACCCACACACAAAAATTGTTTTGTTTGTTTGTTTAAATTAGAAGCTTCAGAAAGCATGTTCAATTTAAGCATAAATATTTGAATGGCCCTTGATTTTGGTTATAATTCACATCATTAGAACTCTTTATTTGCATATATTCTCCATTAGACCACTGTTTTTAAAATTGCAGGTTGTAGACCATTAGTATGTAGGCCATGAAATCATTTTGCTAAAGTTACCAGCATTTCAAAATCATTAAAAATGATATTTTCAAAGAAAGTAGAAAATAGATAATTTTATGTTGTTAGGAGGAGTATTGATTTATAAAATTTCTGTAAGACTTATGTATGTGTTATGTGTGTATACTGGGTCTTGATATAAAATGTAATTTCTCTGATGAGTCATCGTCATTCGATTTTAATGCAGGGACAAGTTTTTAAAGCAGAACCAGTAGTGAATGTTGAACGAATGAATAATTATTTTACTTTTTAGAAAACAAAATTTGTAATATATTTTATATGTTACAATTAAAAATACTCTGCTATTTTATAATGAAGATGCAATGATTTATTGGCCAAAAATAAGTTTCTCAATCCCCTAACTCTGAGTCTTGTTTCTACAGCTTGTGATGGCATTGGCACAGGATCATTGATGTCAGCTCAGACTGTGGATTCCAGTAACATTGACAAATTCATAAACTGTACCAAGATCAATGGGAATTTGATCTTTCTAGTCACTGGTATTCATGGGTCAGTATTAAATTTTTGTGCAAGTTATTTTACAAAGTGTAGACAAAACTGAAGAGATTCTTTAGTTTTGTTTATTTGATTCCTCTGGAAGCTGAAGAGTTTCACCTTTCATTAATGCTCCTCACCAACAAAAGCAGGGGCCTGATTTCACCAGCAATGACAGTATACTAGTTTTGGAATGTGCTCAAACTTTAGTTTGGTGACTAAGGTCAAAAATATAAATTTGTATTTAAACTAAATTATATTTTAGGACATCCTCCTCAAATCCACAGTTTTCAGCAAGCTTGACTTATTTTTAGATATGTTTAGGGAAAAAAGTATCATTGGTTGAGGTGGGAAAATTCATTCAAACTTCTAATGGATTAGCTTGAGAAAACATGAATTAATATCCTTTAAAAAGTCTCACATAAAACTAATCAGTATGTTGAAATTCCCCTGAGCTTCTTCCAGAAATTCTTTGTCCTGATGTGTTATTTTCGTCTTGTTTCCCTTAAGTTGGGAAGTTAGCACCACTGTAAGAGATGCTGCTAAATGAATTTCATTTTGGTAATACAAATTGCAACGTGATTTATCTGGGCTCCTTCATTACAGGACCCCCTACTCGTTTTAACTGGAAAACAAACAAGTTTGTATTCTTTGAATGTCAGTATTTTAACATTGTATGTTATCTATTTGTCTATATTACTACTTAATCCCTAAATGTTAGTGCTGCAGGCTACAGATAAAGAATATCTCTCATATATTTTAATTCAAAATCTTACTCTGAACATGTATCAGATCATTTCTAAAAGCAAACTAATTTGACATATTATGAATAAATATGTCCAAATAGGAATGGCAAGAACAATAGAACAAAGTGTTTCTTTTCATTCAAATCAATTATTATATGTATTATTGCTAAATATCTGTTTATTTTAATAGGTAGCTTTTAATACAGCCCCATGTTAGATAGTATAATAGTATGTATGTAGCTGCCACCCCATAATTGTTGTATCTGTCTTAAGAAATGTTTTTTTTTTTTTACTTGCCTTTTAAAATGTATAGACTTGGTCATTGTCGGCCCATATTCCTACATGGCAACAATTTGTTGGAACTGGGTAGCCATATTAGTCAGTTATCATGCTGTTAATAAAGACACACCCGAGACTGGGTAATTTACAAAGAAAAAAGAGGTTCGGTGGACTCACAGTCCCACATGGCTGGGGAGGCCTCACAATCATGATGGAAGGCCAAGGAGGAGAAAAGCATGTCTTACATGGTGGCAGGCAAGAGACAGTTTGTGTAGGGAAACTCCCCTGTATAAAACCATCAGATCTCACGAGAATTATTCACTATCATGAGAACAGCGTGGGAAAGACCCACTCCCATGATTCAGTTTCCTCCCACTGGGTCCCTCCCACAACACGTGGGAATTGTAGGAGCTACAATTCAATATGATATTTTGATGAGGACATAGCCAAAGCAAATCAGTAACACTAGTCATTTTGAGATGGGACACCCTTAATCAACTTTACCATAGTCCCCACTGGCCTTCTGAGTCCATTTACATTGCTGTCTTACCCTCCTTGCCCCATTGCATAGGAGACCTGGGACAATATTTAGGTGCTTCTTCATAATTTAATGCATATATGACATTTAGTAAGGCAATATACCCACAATTTGACTATATTTAAAACCAAATACCACATGAATGTAAGATTATATTATGCTAATAATGTCTTCTGAGAAATAAGAAGATAGAGCCACTTGACTCACATTGCGTGCTTTCACCTAGAAATAATAAATGAATTAGCCTCAAGCCTTTCACTGTGGGGAATGATTTGAAATCATATTCACATGAATTGCATTAGACAAGTGGTTTTTATCCTTATCAGGCACAACATTCCACTTTTATATATTAAAAAATTGCCACTTTTCAATTCTGAAATAAAATTTATAGATAATGTAACCTAAATATATATTGTTTTAATTATTATAATTCTCTAGTTGTAATTTTAAAAGAAATACGAAAAAGTAAGGTACAATAAAATATTGTTAGGGGAATGCCAAGTTTCCAATTATACGAAAGTTTGGATTTATGAAAAATGAGATTAGAAGGCATTTTTGTGTAAGAAGTACCAGGAAATAAAAAGCAGAGGAACAGCTGACCACTGGAATAGAAAACCACTAGCCAGACACATTGTTATATGACAAAAGAAAGAGGGAAATGACTTTCATTGAAATTGGAGTAAATTGCTTCTCGACTTTTTGGCTAAGATCAAGTGAAATTGGAGCAACACAACTAGGGAATTATACCTGGCCAAAGTATGACCAAGCATGAAGTTTGCACATATGAGGTCCTAAATGTCTAGTAGGACATTTTAAGGTTGTATAAAACATGACTCAATCCTTTGATTTAAGAGACAGTTAACAACCTTGTGATAACTGCTGTAAACTATAGGATCACCCAGTCTCTGTTACAACTGAAACAGCTCTCCAGATGTGCCAACTTCCTGTTCGTGGGGTGGTGCTGCCCCCATTGAGAAACACTGCAAGAATTTTGTGATAGTAGAAAGATTGCAAACCACCAAAAGTGACCTGCCAAGGCTAAAATTCTTACAGATAAAACATGGGTAGAAAGGTTTCAAAAATGTTCTATCTAGTGAGGTTCAGAATAGTTATTTTAGTCTTGGTTCATCATAGAACATAATTATTAAAACTCTAGATTTCTACTAGTTATAAAATTACTCTCTCTCTCTCTCTCTCATATATATATATGTATATATATATGTATGTATATATATATATATATATATGTGTATATATATATATATACACACACACGCATATATATAGTCACCTCCGGCCCAGAGTGGAGGAAAGTTTAATAAATAAATGCAATAAAAAATGGAAACAGGTAGTCCAATGAATAAAAATGCATCAGGCAGTAAGGACCATGCATTTACAAGTTTATGGGAAGAATACCACTTTAGACTAACCCAGACTTCTAAGGAGAAAAATATTGCTCATTCATCCAGGTGAAAAATTACTTATGGAAAATCAGCTTACATGGATTAGAAGTAGAAAGGTAAACCAAGTTTGTCTTAAACATAAACTTAGAAAATGAGAGTTAGGATTTCTTCTTGGATAATTTGATCCAGAGTAGACTGGAGTGTGATTTGCAGCTCCACCACGGAGGGTTTGTGTTGAGTTGCATGGCTTTCTCTCACGTCAAACACTAGGTTTCCTCCAATAAAAAAACTTGAGAAATGGATTAACAATAAATACCTATTTCCTATGATTATTGTGGTGATTAAAAACAAAAGTTGTTTTGAATTGCTCAGCCCAGTGCCTGGCATATTGTAAAACCTTAACAAATGGTATAAAATAGAAGGTTGGAAGTGCAGGGAAGGAGGGAAAGATAGTGAGAGAGAGAGAGAGAGAGAGAGAGAGAGAGAAGGATGGAAACAGAGAGAAATGAAAATCAATAAAAAACAAAACAGGAGGAGAAGAAGGCAGTGGAAAGGAAAAATCACAGTGCCTATGTCTAGTTTATAGCACAGCATGTTGTGCAACAAATATTAATTTTATAGACTTGATTATAGTCTTATATAGACTCTTTTGGAAACCAAATAAAGGCAAAATTTTCCTTACAATGAGTCATGCTTCTTAGTTCAGGGGATTATTTGTCTTTAATCATAGCGCTTAAACCTGGAATATTTAAAATAATAATTATAATTGGGTCTCAAGTATAATTTATAAGGTATTTTCCAGGACAAACATATAAATGAATTATGATGTATTCTTTATTCTCACTGTCATGCCAGCATGAAACATATATTCTGAAGCCTTTCTGTTTCATCTTAGGAAAGTATGGCTATAGAATTAATTCAGTAGAATTAGACATGTTATATATGTATAGATACAAGTGTGGTCATGAATGTAATGTGTGTTTGTGTGTGTATGTGTGTGTGTGTATAAAGATAGAGATATTTTAAAGGTGAACAATACAGAGTATTATAAGCAGAAAACTTACAGTGAATTAAAGAAATGTTTTACCTCAATTTCCATTACCCATAATATTTTACTAACCAGCTTTTGATAAGGTCATATGGTTTGATTAAAATAGCTGAGATGTTTTTAACTGATAAAATGCAAAAATAATAATTTAATGAGGTTGTTACGCTTTTTAAAAACAAGTTTCTCCACAAAATATATTTACTGGCAATTCATCAATTAAAATTTTAATATATAATTAGGCTCAAGAAAGTTAATTGGCATGTTTAGTTTATAGTACAAGAGTACCATTGCCAGAAATAGCAGTGGGCACTCATTTTCTTATTTAGAATGGGAACTGCAGGAAAGCTTAGTGCTTAGGGTTATCGTTAGGAAAACTTTTCTTTCATGTTTTGTTATGTTTTACATTATTGATGTGCATGTGCTTAGAGTAACCAAATGCTCACCAAATAAGCATGTTCATGTTGTGTCACAATGAGACACTGGCAAGAAAGGGTTTACATAGTAGCCTGCAATGGTGCTAGACAATGGAAGGGAAATAATAAACTCGATGATAAAATAAAGTGATTTCAGTGGAAATGAAAATATGTTTCTCTCTCTTTTTCCTGAGCTTTATTTTGGATCACCAAACACAATGACACGGTAGACGTAGTGTTCTTTTGCATGGCTCCGAATTTAGTTAGGGAAGTTAACTGTTTTAAAGTACTATGTATTTCGAGTGGCTATAGGATGCAACTCCCAAGACATACTTTGAAATCAGTGAGTGGAATTCTGTCAACTTATTTGACAAGGGTCCTGAGTCTCTAAAATTAACTGTATAAAATATCTGTGGTCCACTGAGCTTCATGTTAACATTCCAGAATTCATTTCATTCCTGGCAACATGGAAGTGTTCTCAGTAAAGGTCCGGACTGACCCCATTATTGTGTGCTTGCCCTGAATTTTGAGTTTTTCTCAATAAAGCCAAGATATTTGATTATACGACCTGAGCTGTCCTATACTCTGCTTTTCATCAAAGAACAAATGTTGAAAGCTTATTCTTGTACTGCAGAGCTGATATTTCCTCTGTATACAAAATTCTTTGCACATTAAAAAGTGAAGGCAAGAGTTTTCCTACATGATACACTTCATTTTTGGCTTCATGTTCATCAAAAGCATAGTTATTTGTTCCATATATCTTTGCTTGTAAATAGAGAAAGTTGCTAGAACATTTCATTGAGACTTTAAGCTTTTGTGAGATATTAATATGACATTGAGAAAATTTTAATCAATAGTTTATGTGTGAATTATAGGGAAACACATTTATAGTGTTTCTCCAACCTCAGCAATATCCAGTATTTGAGCCTAGTATAAAGCACTCCATGTTAAACTAGCAGTACATTGTATTGATTGCACTTCTTAGTTTGAAACACTAATTTAATCAAGCAAAGTTTTTTTTGTTTTTTTTTTTTTTGTTTTTTTAAGATGTGGAATGGTTTCCAGTAGAGAAGAATATGCTGATGAACCAAGTTCAGGAAGCCAGTACAAGGTGGTTCCAGAGATCAAGGTTGCTGGAACTGATACTCTTTTCAAGACTTGAATGCTGGCATGAATAAATGCCAATGGATTCAGACACAAATCCCCAGGACATAGGCCATATGCCTATCTGTTTGTCAGGGGATTGTGGAACACGTTGATTGATAGCCCTATTAAGGCTGCATATAGTGGATCACTAATGGTTATTCGCCATACCAAAAAGGAATGTTCTCAGAGACTGGTAAAAGAAGAGATGTCCACAGTAAGAATAAAATTTGTTTGGCTGCTACAGGTAGATACATACTTCTAAAAAAGCCTAAGATCACTGTTCTTAGAAGTTTTGATCTGTCTTGAAGAAGTAGCCAATGGATAAAATTTAATCTCTCTGTAAATGGTATATATTAATATGAGGTCTCTACCTAGGATAGTATGAAATGTCTTTTAATGTAATAAAATTTTAAAACTTACTGTGGATTTCTTTAAAAAAAAAACTGGAAGTCTTGCTTGAATTCATATACTTGGAAGCGAATAGTTCCTGTGTTATAAACGTGAATATGAATAAGCTAGATAGGAACAAGATGGTTCTAAGTAATCTGTATGAAGAGAGACTTCTGGACAATGTTATAAATATTATGAAAATTCACAAGTAGATAAATGTAGAGCTACAGAAAAAAAAGATGTCAATTTTATTTGTGTTTGTTTCTGTCCTTCTTACGAATTCCAGGTACTAATAGCAATGTATACTTCTTTGAGGAGCGGAAATGCCAGTTGTTCTCACTATAATATAATGTATTTCTAGACTATATATATTCTTCCAAATCAAGAATAAACTTTTAAAACAAAATAATGTAAAATGGTTCATACATGAGCTTGCTGTCTTTGGGAATTTCATCAGAATAGTTGAAGCTGAATAATCTTATAGATCTGGAATAGGCTTTGATGAAAATCTCATATTTTGTGACATCAAAAATTTCCACAAAACACCTATTATTCCTCCTCCACATCTAGCACAGATTAATTTAAACATGCATTGATAACACCCCTACTGCTAATTAAAATTAAATTTGAATAAAATATTGTCACATTTCTCATATTTTCAATCCTTTAGTAAAATTTAAATTTGGCTACATCTCTTCTTGATTTTCTAGGGACCCTTACAATGCAATTGAAGCCATAGACCCAGAGAAACTGAACGTCTTTCGGACAGTCAGAGAGATAACAGGTAATTTTTTAAACTGCAACTGTTGCGCTATGAACAATATAATTTTTTTAAAAATTACACAAGATTGACTGGGCATCGTGGCTCACACCAGTAATCCCAGCACTTAGGGAGGTTGAGGCGGGTGGATCATGAGGTCAGGAGATGGAAATCCTGGCCAACATGGAGAAACCCTGTCTCTACTAAAAATACAAAAATTAGCTGGGTGTGGTGGCGCGTGCCTGTAATCCCAGCTGCTCAGGAGGCTGAGGCAGGAGAATTGCTTGAACCCAGGAGGTGGAGATTGCAGTGAGCCAAGATCACGCTGCTGCACTCCAGCCTGGCAATAGAGTGAGACTCCATTTCAAAATAACAACAAAAAACAAAACAAAACAAAACAAAAAAAGTTACATAAGATTGGAATCAGCAACTAATTTTCAAAGCAGATTTTAGTTTGTAAAAACTCATGTTATTTTTAAAGATGGTGTCTTTTTAGCTTTTATGCACATTTTGAAAGCCCATGGAATTACAAAATGAGTATCTTTGAAAGTTTGACATTACGACTCTTGCAAGTGTCAACTGATCTTTGAAACTATGTTTTTCTGTTTACTTCTTCAAAAGAAGTACTATTGAAAATAGATAACATGTAGCATTTATTTAGCACATACATATTAAGCATGTAATGTGTTCAACATTGTCTTATAGGTAATATGGGACCCATAGATATGAATCAGACATGGACTTACCGTAAAATAATGCAAAATCTAATGAGAAAGGCTAGATATGTATATAAATGTCTTAGAATACAAGGGTGACACTGATGTCATAAGTGAACAGATGAAGACGTAAAAGATTTCAGAGAAATTGAAACTGTATTTTTCTCTTTATCTAGTTAGACTACATTTTTGCATTTATAAGAATAAATCAAACTGAGTCATTGAAACGTTTCAACATATACAGTTTTATTGGGTAGGACACTCAATCTTGGAAGAATACATATGTAATAGAGTGCTTAAAAAATAGAAATGTTCACTACCCCTTTCTCACTTCCCAACTTTCAACACATTTTCACCATATTTCAAGAAAAATCAGCACTAATACTAAGACAATGATATTCTGATTTATTTTTTCTACTCTTCACTTGTAGGTTTCCTGAACATACAGTCATGGCCACCAAACATGACTGACTTCAGTGTTTTTTCTAACCTGGTGACCATTGGTGGAAGAGTACTCTATAGGTAAGTGGATATGTTTAAAGCTGCAGGGCTCACAGATTTCAAGAGGAGCATTGTGTGTGCATTAAGTCAAAACTATCACTCTTATTGATTTACTGATTCTGGGGAAATCATGCTTCCATCCTTATTTCCAAAGATAAGCTCAATAAAAATACCTCCGATGATGGTGTGAGGTATTACAGAATACATACTTTGATTTTTCAATTGTCTGTCACTCAAAATAATATTAGTATTTTGCAAGTATGGAGGGCATGATGTGAACAATCCAATGAAACTTTCATTTTTATCAGATGTTATCACAATTAAAAGATAAGAGTTGTGTGACTTGTTAATAGCTTGGGTGTATAGGATACAAATGCTGTTGTGCCAGGAGGTTCTGTTCTTGTCTCTGGTGCTATAATTGAACTACACGTCACAGGGCTGATGTTTTAGGAACTCGTCCACCACTGTACGTGTAGTGCTGGTTAATAAATGGACAAAAAAAATTCAGGTTTAGAAGGACATTGATAAAATTATAACATCAATAATTTAAATTCACGTTATAAGAGTAAAAGATTTCTCTGATGTCATCTGTATGATGTTCTTATTTATGAACAATTAAAAGTCAATTTGCATAAGAATTTTTTAAATTTGTCTATTTAAGTTCAAAATATCTCCAAACTTAATATCATCATTGATTTTCTAATAATGTTTTATAAAAAGTACATCGAATTTCACTATTAAAATTTAAAAGTTATAGGAGGTTTTAAAAATGTAAAGGAGAAAGGAGCTTAATAAGAAAGGATAGTTGAAAGATACAATCTATTAAAGTGCTGTATATAAACAACTTTTACTATCCGTTGAATAAATATTATAAGCCAGTCAAGACATTGTGCTAACATTGTAATCAACAACTCAAGATAGTTATGATGGGGACAAAATTTGAGAGAAAGAGTTACATCTTAGTCTTTATCATTGAGCATACATACACACAAACACACACACACACCCTGACAACCATGGAAAATAATTATAAATATTAACAGCAAAGAATATTTAAAACTATAAATAAAAGTGGAAAGCTTTGATCTCCAAAATGTAAAATAATATTCATTAGCTGATCGAAATGTGGAAGCATGTTTATTCTTTAGAGAATGGAAAAGTAAATAAGTAAAAAAAAGTAAATAAGTAAAAAAGTAAATAATTACAAAAATGTGGACTATAGTAAAATAAAAGTAGTTTCCTCGATTTTTCAATTTTCTGTCACTCAAAGTAATATTAGTATTTTGCAAGTATGGAGTGCATGATGTGAGCAATTCTAAACAGGGTAGTTGTTATTTAACTTTTAGAGACCTTTTCCCCAGATACCCAAGGCATCTGAGTTTGCTTTCTTTTTCTAATTTTAGTTTAGTTTGATTCTTTACATTTTACTATCTCCTAACCTTACTTACACATTCCTCAATTATTACAGTTCTTTGGTGTCTGAGGTATAAATTAAAGCTAAATACCTATAATCATTTTCTGAAATTATTTAGACATACTCTGAAAGTATGTCTAAATCTATTACATAAAGAGGAATTAATGTCTTATTTTGAGTAGATGAACAATTGTTTTATAAACACTTCTTTAGTGTTAATACAGGATTTCATCATTGAACAATGTAAAGTTAAGTCTTGGGGTGGGAAGATAGTGAGCAGATATTTCAGTGGTAAATACATACACAGAAATAGAGATACACTGCCAATATGCATAACTGTAAGCAATGGAAATTTTACTTTGGGAGGTCAAATTATTACTTTAAAAACTGTATATAGCATGTAAAAACAATATTCTAAACACAGATTTATTGATTCAGTTTCCATTTATACACCATTAACATTCTTTTTAAAATAAAATGTGACAGCCTTATTTTACTCCGGAATGCGTTTCATGGTTCCGTTTTCTCACTTCCCCCTCCTTAGTGGCCTGTCCTTGCTTATCCTCAAGCAACAGGGCATCACCTCTCTACAGTTCCAGTCCCTGAAGGAAATCAGCGCAGGAAACATCTATATTACTGACAACAGCAACCTGTGTTATTATCATACCATTAACTGGACAACACTCTTCAGCACAATCAACCAGAGAATAGTAATCCGGGACAACAGAAAAGCTGAAAATTGTAGTAAGTACATTACTCAGACATTTAAAACATAGAAACTTAAATTTTTTCCCATTCTTCTTTGGACCAAACAATTAAAAATAACATCCGGTCAGAATTGTTGCTCTGTTATCCCAACCCTTAAAAAGGAAGGTAGTTGTTACAATTACCAACATGGTATAAAATAATCAGAATAAGTGACTTTCTTTTTTTTTTTTTTTTTTTTTTTTTTTTGAGACGGAGTCTCGCTCTGTTGCCCCAGGCTAGAGTGCAGTGGCGAGATCTCGGCTCACTGCAAGCTCCGCCTCCCAGGTTCACGCCATTCTCCTGCCTCAGCCTCCGGTAGCTGGGACTACAGGCGCCCGCCGCCGCGCCCGGCTAATTTTTTTGGTATTTTTAGTAGAGATGGGGTTTCGCTGTGTTAGCCAGGATGGTCCCGATTTCCTGACCTCGTGATCCGCCCACCTTGGCCTCCCAAAGTGCTGGGATTACAGGCATGAGCCACCGCGCCCGGCCGTCTTGCCTGATCTTAAGAACCCTCCTGTGGAGATTTGGATTCAGTTAGGTCTAAGTAAGACCTGGGCATTTACATGTTTAATCGGCATCCCAGGTCATTTCAAGGATCCAATCAATTTGTGGAGATCGACCCTATTGAATTCTCTGTTTGTTGTTTGGTTTCAGGGAGTTTCATAACAGAATAACAGAGTTTTGCCATTTAGAGGTGGTAAGAAAAATGACGTATTTTTCTAACATGTAAAAACTACTATTCAAGAAGTATATGTTCAAGGTGTTTTATTTTTCAGAAAGAAAGTTTATTTTATTAATGCATTTATGTAGACATGTATATCATTTTTTCATCTATTTTGCTACTTATTGATTCATTGAATAATTTCTTATTTACTCTGAAGCAAATAATGCTTTTGTAGGCACATGACTATGCCATTCCTATCGAATACACTGATACTCCGTTGATTTATGCTTAATTCTTCCCTGTTTTTCTACTGAATACTACTCTTTCCTACATCCTATGAGTGCCACTATTATGAGTACAACCATCTGACTCATTATGGTAAATACTGAATAAAAAGAATCCGAACTCAAATGAACTGTTTGCAAATGAATATTCTTGTTGTGGGCACAAAATCAATCCATTCTAAAAGGCAGAACCCTAGAAAATTCTGCTCTCACAGTATTTGCTTACTTCTTTGATCTCTCCAGGGTACACATAAATAATGATTGAGTTTGTGTGTGCGTGTATACGTGTGAGTGTGTGCGTGTGTGTGTGTGAATAAATAGAAGACTTTTTTAAAGTTATAAACTCTTAAGAGGCCAACATAATTTGTTTATTGAGTTGTCAGTGAATTAATTGATTTATTAAGACCCCATCTTGTTCCAGAAATAATTTAAGGCAGCTCAGTCTACCAATCTTCATAAAATATAACTTATAATTTGTGAGGAATTCTCTTATATTTTAGCTCTTTTCGATCCTTAAAAATATTTCCAAATAAAGGAGATCTATTACAACATGAGGTTCCTGCTAAGAGTGAACTTAAGTTCTTACTCATTCTCATGTTCCACATAGAATCACGAAATGTAAAATCTAATTGTGTATCAAAATATGCATGTTATATTGAATGATATTCATTATTTCATTTGGCCTGTGTTATTTCCTTGGTTTTACACATTACTGATTCCTAAAAGAAAATTTGTTGTGCTTTTTCCTTAATACTTAAGCTTCTTACCCCATATCACAATATGTGTGTGTACATGCCCCAAAGTAGATGATTCATGGCAATAAGATAGAATCTTCTTCAATACCAATTGATGAATGTTTCCCTAAATCAGGGCTATACTCTCGTTTCCTTCCACATCCTTAAAAAAATTAGTACCACTACCTTTCAAAAATTTAACTGTGAATTCAAAATAATGTAAAGAAATATATAAAAGAATCAGAAAAAAAATTCTTCCTCTTTGATGCACTTAATCAGTTTGCAAATCCTACAAAAATTCATATGTCATATATCTGTCTATACTTGAATTAAAAAGCAAATGGGAAGAAGAAAATGCAAAAAAATAAATGTAGGGAAGCAAGATGGGAAAAAGGGATATTTCAATAAATTATATAATGTTATTTCACCCCTCTTTAAAACTTCTAAACATTTCAAATGACCAAAAGAGAGTGAATAATGACAATGATAATAAGCTAAAATATAAAATGTGTTTAAACTTTCAGTGTTATGCTTCTTGGATTGAGTTTAGCTACTTTTCAGACCATAGGCATATTTTTTTTTTGTTCTGTGCATAAGAATTGACTTTGCAGTTTGGGGAAAAAAATGAAGCAGTTAGGAGAAACATAGTTTTGTGGTGCTATAGTATCAAGCATATCATTTTTCATTTTTAACGTCTTAGAATAAATGTATTTTGCATGAAATTCATTTATCAAAATTTGGACTTCAGTCTCACAGCACACCGGATCCATAAAAATTCCATATGCCTCCATTTTCAGAAATATAATTACCCTGTAAACTTGACCTCAGAGATGCTGCTGATGTTTACAATCCCCAGTACTCTTTGTAAATGGGAATGTCTAAATGCTTGCTTCATTTTAAATGCACTGTAAATGTTTCATTTTTAGATATTCTGTCTTGCTATATCACACACACACAAGATGTACATGAGCATACGCACATGTTCACTACAACACCTAAACATATATGCATATCAGCGTGCATGTCTGTATGTAGTTCCACATACAACACACATGCATATATACACACCTAGAAAACATATCCGTGCATACACACCCTTACATGCTCACCTACATTTACATGCAGTCACCATCAAATACACTTATCTAAATCTAGGAGTTGGCTTATGAACTTAATGAAAAGGCAATCCTTCATTTGTAATGGTGTTTTTTGGAATTCAGCATGATTTAAAACAGTAATGACGATTTTTTAAAAAGTTAACTCATCTATAAAGGGTAACAGTGGCTAGAGCAATCTTACTCTTTTAAGTCAAAAATTTCAAAGCTGACTTTATGGTTTGAAGAGATTGAGATTGCGGGAAACTCTGGGACATGAAAAGCTAGAATATTTTGGGCATCTATCATTTACGTGGTTATGATAGTAACCAAATTACAGTGTTAGGTGGAAGAAGTTTTAGAGTAGGTTTATAAAAGCATTTGAAGTTTCTTAAAATGTTTAAGCATAAATTTTTAACACTGAAATATAAGCAGTGTAGAGATAAATATTACACCAATCCTTTAGAATCTGAGTTCTATTTGAACTTATATATCTCATCTTAAAAATATTTATACAGATACTGTTAAACCCAACATGAATAAGAGATAAATTCATTATTGATTTTCAAAATAAAAATATTTTTATTTTTACAATTTTAATAGTACCTTTCTCATTGTTCAATATAAAACCAATCAAAAATATATAAAAATATTTTTAAACTACATTATATATAATTATTGGTGAATATATTTTTCATATGTATGGATAAGGATAGTGAAATATATATTTTCGTATATGAATAGGATCATACCATTTCTATTTAAATACCATTCAGCCATCTATATCTTATACTTAATATAGTATAAGCATCTCCCATTCAATAGATAGAGCATAGAGCTCTTCCTTATTCCCCTTTTTTTTTTTTTTTTTTTCTGAGACGGAGTCTCACTCTTGTTTCCCAGGCTGGAGTGCAATGGCACGATCTTGGCCCACGACAACCTCTGCCTCCCTGGTTCAAGCAATTCTCCTGCCTCAGCCTCCCTAGTAGCTGAGATTACAGGCAGGCGCCACCACGCCTAATTTTGTATTTTTAGTAGAGACGGGGTTTCTCCATGTTAGTTAGGCTGGTCTTGAACTCCTGATCTCAGGTGATCCGCCCGCCTCGGCCTCCCAAAGTGCTGAGATTACAGGTGTGAGCCACCATGCCTGACCTTCCTCATTCCTTTTTAAAGCTATTTATAGAAGTATGCTGGACTAGTACCATATTAATTGTATTTTAAATTATTTTCCATTTTTATATCATCACTACTGCCATGATGTGTATCTAGTTTATGAAACATTTTGTAGTGTACAATTATTTCCTGAGGCTAAAAACTTAGATGTGGAATTTCTGTGTAAATGACGCTACATAAAAATTTTCTCACTAATTTCCACGTCATCTTCCAAAAATACTAAATCAATTAACCTTGTTCCAAACACTGTGGGATAGTAACGTTTTCCACCACTGTTTTAAATCACTGGATATCATCTATGGTTTTAAATTTCAGTGATCTGAAAGAAGAAAAGAAGTATTTTATATTTACATGATTAATTTATCTTTTTTTAAATCTTGTAAATTGCTTTATATGTGAACTTTTTTCATTTTTAATTTGGGAGTTGTTCTTTTTCTCCTAAATTTGAAAGAACTATTTACAAATTAAATTCATTAAATTTTGTTCTTTAAATGTGTTGGGAATAAGTTCCTCTCTTACTGGTAATTTGAATAATTTGTCTTTTGATAAACTAATGTTTATCAAACCATATTTTTATATAGTTAAGTGACTAGATTGTTCTTTTCCTTTTTAATTGTTTGATCTTGTATTTTTAGACAATTCTTTTCATCTAGTACTTTAAAAACAATATTGAAATTTTTAACACATCTTGACATTTTGGCATAGCATTTTTAAAATTTCCTGATTGGAATATGGATCCAAAATAATTTATTAAACAAGCCATCTCTCCTTTTTGACTTTAGCTGATCAGCTAACAAATCAGCTAAAAGGTGCCAGACTCTATCTCTCAACCTAGCTATATTGTTTAATTTAGTTATTACAACCACCCTGTAAAGTATAATCATCTGCATTTGCAGATGAGTATACATACATTAAGAAAGTTAAATGATATTTCCAGTTTTGGAGCTACTAAAATCCGATTAAGGATTTGAACCCAATGCCTGTCTGACTTCAAAGTCTAGGCTCTTCATTTCACCGTGATTCCTCTCAAAATAAAGAAAATATTGGCCGGGCATGGTGGCTCACGCCTGTAATCCCAGCACTTTGGGAGGCAGAGGTGGGCAGATCACCTGAGGTCAGGAGTTTGAGACCAGCCTGGCCAACATGGTGAAACCCCGTCTCTAGTAAAAATACAAAAATTAGCCAGACATGGTGGCAGGTGCCTGTAGTCCCAGCTACTGGGGAGGCTGAGGCAGGAGAATTACTTGAACCCAGGAGGCAGAGGTTGCAGTGAGCCAAGATCACGCCACTGTACTCCAGCCTGGGCAACAGAGAGTGATTCCTTCTCAAAAAATATATATAAATAAAAATAAAAATAATGAAAATGTGATTAATTTTCATAAGAAAATTGGATGATTTACTGAAGTATACCCTATATAACATATTATTCAGGAGCACACTCTAGAGCCAAATGGCCTGGGTTTTAATCTCAGCAGAACTCTTTGCTATCTGACCTTTACGGAGATCACTTATTGTCTCTATACCTCAGTTTTATCATTTTAAAAATGGAATAGATAATAGTATTCACCTCATTGAAGGCCTGGCTCAAAGAAAGTGCTATACATAGCTGGGCACAGTGGCTAAAACCTGTAATCCTAGCACTTTGGGAGGCCGAGGTGGGCAGATCACCTGCAGTCAGGAGTTCAAGATCATCTTGGCCAATATGGTGAAACCCTGTCTCTACTAAAAATACAAAAATTCACCAGGTGTGGTGGTGCATGCCTGTAGTCCCAGCTACTCGGGAGGCTGAGGCAGGAAAATCACTTGAATCCAGGAGGTGGAGGTTGTGGTGAGCCAAGTTCACACCATTGCACTTCAGCCTGGGCAACAAAGTGAGGAAAGAGAGAAAGAGAAAGAAAGAGATAAAGAGAAAGAAAGAGAGAGAGGAAGAAAGGAAGGAAGGAAGGAGGGAGGGAGGGAGGGGGGGAAGGGGAAGGAGGGAAGGAAGGAAGAGAAAGGAAAGAAGGAAGGAAGGGAAGGGAAGGAGGGAGGAAGGAAGGAAGGATAAAAAGAAAGAAGAAATAAAAAGAAAGAAAAGAAAGAGCAAGAGCGAGCTATACATGTATTAGATATTGTTACTACTAAACATTTTATTTTCCTATTAAAAATAGTTTATATATTAGACATTCATATATACACATGTAATGTGAAGATACAATATTTAATTTTACTTTATGAAAAAATGCCTTTTGGGGGATAAAAAGGAAAGATAAATATCAAGAGCTTTCTTTTTTACGCAGAAGAAAAATTTACCTTATTAAAGTGGTGAATTAAAAATTTGTGAGAAAAACATCAACCATTGGGAGATATGGAAGGAATATTAGTTATTATGTTATTAACAGGAGGCTAGACATTGAAGAATTTAGAAATGATCTCAAAATCATAAGCAGATAAAAAGTATATGTTTGAGAATCCCTTGAAATATATTTATTTTTCTTTTTTCTCTTCTAAATTAAAACATTTTAAAATTGGCTTTATGATAAGTAACAGACTTAGTATTTTTAAAAATTCCAAAAAATATCAAGTTTAAATTAATGGCTCAGGGGAAAAATATCTGGTGATGGGGAATATATTTTTTTGGCACAAAGAAGCCAAAAAGGATACACATTTTTATATTTATCTCTGGTTTTTATGTTTCTGAAATTTGACAGTAGAAAAATCCACCCCATTGTACATGAATCTAGAAAAAGGTAATTTCAGAACTATAGTTAATTGCTAATAACTGAACTCTCTGGATGACAACATCATCCAACTTTATAGTGAGTCCAGAATTGAAGCAGGCCAAAGAGTTAATAAGTAGGGAATGGAAGGTATATCACACAGTGGAGAATAAAACAGTGTTTGCTTAATATATTGTTTTATTTGTTTTTCTCTGGTAACTGTGATAAAACAACAAAATACAGAAGCAAGCATTTTACTTACTATAACATCATAAGAAATGTTGGATTTCTATAAAATAAACAGACTTTATATCGTCGTCATTTCTAATATGTTGTATATTATAGAAAATGAATTTTGATTATAAATTAAGATTTACCTTATTTTAAGAAAATATTACTAAGGTGGCAGATTTTCTTACTTTCTCCTGCTCCCATACTTTCACCTTTAATTTGTGCACTCCTAACCCATCCCATGCTATCTTGAGTAAATGTGCTTTTACAAACAAAATGCAGCCTACCAAGTTAGAAGAATCATCCTTTGGGTCTGGGAGCCTGGGAAATCAATGAATTCTGCGACAGATTTCATTAAACCATAGCTTGGTATGAACCATAAAGTGTGTAACTTTGAATATAGTGAAGTCGCTATTCTTCTGAGTAATCAGAAAATAGAAAATCTTAATTATACTTCTAAGATTTTCCTTTTAAAATTACTAGAGTAATACATCAATACACTGTTCTTTGTAAAAAAAAAAAAGCATTCAAGTAAGATTTTGTTATTGTATTTGAAACAGCACACTGTCTAATTACTAACAATGCTAGAAAATGTTCACTATGTTCTTATCAAAAGGATAATAAGCAGTTACTCTTGCCAATTAGCTACAGAAATGATATCCCTTCTATTTTGTAATCTAGAAATTCTGAGAGAATGATATCTCAACAATAAAAGCCAGGATTACTGCAGGCTCCAGTTTTTATTACAAATGGTGGGTGATATTTTAACCTGACTTGCCTCTACATCAGTGGTTGCAAAATTTTAAAGTAAAACTTATAATTATTAAAAATGCAAAAGCTAGGCTCCAGTTCTCCAGAGATTCTTATTTAGACAGTGTTGTGAGTTGTATTGTGTCCCCTCCAGAAGATGCTGAAGTCCTGACCCCTGGTATCTATGAATGTGACCATATTTGGGAATAGGGTATTTGCACAAGTAGTTAAAATGAAAGTTAAGATGAGCTTATACTGGAGCAGGGTAGGTCCTTCATCAAATGACTAGTGTACTTACAAGAAGAAGAGAAGAGACACACAGATGGACACACACAAATGAGAACGCCATGTGAAGACATACACCCACTCAGAGGAAAGACAGCTGTGTGACAGCAGAAGCGACTATTGGAATGATATAGAGGTGAGCCCAGAATGCCAGGGATTGCTGGCAACCACCAGAAGCTAGGGGAGGACCATAGAACATTCTCCCTCTGAGAGCCCAAGAAGAAACTAGCCTGCGAACACCTGGATTTTGGACTTCTGATCTCTAGAATTGTGAGAGAATAAATTTCTGTTGTTTTAAGAAGCCTAGTTTATGGCAGTTTGTTACACTATTTCTATGGAACTAACACAGACAGTGGGGTGGGAAACCTTAGATTCTGCATTTTTAATACAAAGCAGATCATTCTGAGACAGATGCCTGTGGGAAATCCTTTGGGAAACTCTACTCTGTCACACCCCATATTATTCCCCCATCGTTCTATAGTCAAAAAGACATTTGAGAACATGTGATCCTAACAATTCCTTTTTTCTTCTGAAGCTGTGTTCCCTTGTAGGAAAATTCATAATTGAATAGCTTAAAACCATATATTTAATAATATAGGTTTGGGAGAAAAAGATAAAGAGCTAACTCTAAAAAGCATTCTATAAATAGTGGGGTTTTTTTGCATTTACTAACAATAACATATTCAATAAAATAAAGGGAATATTTAATTATAGTTTATACAGTAATTGGGTAATTATACTATAATAAGTATTGTACTATCAAATTTTATTTACTTTAGACTTTCAACAAAATACTTTTGGATTCATTTTATTTTTTTGACACATATCTCTTCTGAGAGGTATTTTATATTGTGCTCAGTTTTCTAATCAAACCTTAAGACTTTCTAAAATTTTATTTCTGCTGTCACTACTGCCTCTCACCTCCTCCTATCAGAATTTGCTGCTCTGGTCCCACTCACATCAGAGATATAGAGTAACTAGGGTATATAAGAGTTAACAACAATTTGTGTAGCATCTATTTAACCTATTCAACATGGGGAAGGGGTATGTTTCTGCACTTACTTCTCCACTGCTGCTTCCCCAACTTCTTTGTTAACCCATTATAATTTTTTACAATGTCATATAATGTCATTACACTTTACACATGTCTAACCTTGCCTACACACAGAGCTTATTGACAGTTTAGTGCTTATGAAAGACTGAATGATGGCCCCCTGAGGATGACTGCATTCAAATCTTCAGAACCTATGAATGTTATATGGTAAAAAGGACGTAGCAGATGTTATAGATCTTAAAATAGAATGATTATCCTAAAGTTATTTGAGTGGGTTACAAATATAATCACACGTGTCTTTATAAGAGGAAGGTAGAGGGAGGTTTGACTACCGTAAAGGAAAAGGTGATGGGACCATGGAAGCAAAGGTTGGAGCAATGTCACTGCAAGCCAACGCCAAAGGGGTCTTTAAAAGCTGAAAGAGGCAAGGAACAAATTCTCTCCTGGAGACTTCAGAAGCAATCAGCCTTGCTGACACCTTGATTCTAGCCCCTTAAGAGTCATTTTGGAC
Organism: Homo sapiens; assembly: GCF_000001405.40. Lineage (NCBI taxonomy): Eukaryota > Metazoa > Chordata > Mammalia > Primates > Hominidae > Homo > Homo sapiens. The sequence goes on along the minus strand of NC_000002.12, from coordinate 211,692,484 downwards.
TTCTGAACTCCAGAACTATGAGAGACTAAATGTAGGTGTTTTTAAGCAATGAAGTTTGTAGTAATTTGTTACAGCATGAATAGGAAATTATTTCAGTATTCTTTTAGTGATATAAGTCCAACCCAGATTACTTTAGGCATAAAGAGACTGTATTAACTCACAGAAATGAGAAGTCCAAGAAATAGCTTTTCGGACACAATTGGATCCAGGGGTTCGAACAACATCACTAGGGCTCAATCCTCTATTTGCTTCACTCTGCTTTCCTCTTAGGCAAATTCTCATTCTTCATGAAAGATGACTGGCCCTGGCAGGCATATGCTAAGAGCATTCACAGAGTTTATGAACACAGATTAAAAAGCTCTACCTTCCCTCTTCAGTACAGATTGACGCTATTTGGGTCAAACGCCTATCTCTATTATCGCTATTATCTCCTTGTCACCAACTATTCAAATATACCTTCAAGTCAATCCCATCAAAGAAATTGAAGTGACATTTTTTGAAATAGGAGGTCCTTTACTCTCCTGCTTAGAACCTTTCAACGGATTCCGACAGCTCTTTGACCAAAACACAAAATCCTAAAAATGGCCACTAGGTCCTGCACAATCTGTCCCTTCTCCATCTCACCAGTTTACAGGGTACCACTTTCCCATATGCTGCCCATGTCAGTTTTCTGAGAGCACTAACCTTATTCCTTCCTCAGACTCTCTTGGCTAGAGTTACAATTGCCCCTTTCCCCCACCCCTTTGCCTTAAGAACTCTTACTTACCCTTCTTATTTCAGCTTTAATGTCCCTTCTTCTGTGGGCTGACCTAATGCCATTTGCCCACTAAGTTAAGACAACTGCTGTATTCTATGTTCTCTCAGCAATCTGTTATATATATACACACACACACACACACACACACACACACACACATATGTTTCTATGCATACATAAATTTATGTGCAGCCTGTTTTTCTAATTAGCTGTAAACTCCATGAGGTAACAAAATATGTATTCTATTTCATGTTTCAGTTATATCCTCAGCTCTTAGCAGAGCTAGCAAAAAGTAGTTTCTCAATAAATATTTTTCAAAATAAACACAGGGATATGCTTTTATGCCTTCACATTTCTCTTGAGTACATGTATTGAGCATTTACTTAATGTCTCAGACCCTGTATTAAAAATTCTACTAATTTTATGTCTAATCTTCATCACAATCCTGAAAGAAGATATTACTGTTCACTTTAAAGATAAGTAGCATGTAAGTAATTGCCCAAGGCTACCTGGGTAATTACAGAGTAAGGGTTTAAATCTATGTCTAATCACAAAACCTTAACTATGATGACCACTAAACAGTACTTCTCAGCTTTTAAAAAAAAGATGAACAATACCTGTCCAAATACATTTCAATATTTTTGAAATAATCTGTTTACTTTCACATGTAAAACTGTAGCAAAATCCATTACTTAAAGCTTCCCTCTAGTTTAGTTAAAGCAGGTTCAGTGTTCTCGGTAAAGGTCAAAATACTAAGCACATTATTATCTCTCCAAATTTTTAACAGACAGCTGGAATTCAGATGAGATAAAGAAAAATCTATTTTGCAGCTTCCAGAGAAAACACAGAAGAAGTTAAAGGTTGCCTAATAACTACATTGCTAAAGTTTCTTTAGAGAGATTTATAATGGCCTTTTGAACTGTAAGCCATTGCAGAGCCCTTCCACTCCTTCACTCATGACTATCACTGCAGGAAGTCAGAGGGCTGTTGAATTCTTGGTGCTGATCGAAAATTTCTTTTCTCTTAAGAATTTCAAAGAAGTGGCTTCCTTGGCCTTTTGTTCTATGCTATGTGGAGATACTTCCTTTGGTTTCACTCTAGAGAAAATGATCAACCAATCTTCACTTCCATCATCTATTGGTCTGGAAAGAATGAGAAGAAAATAGTTATGACGGTTTCCTGTTTATTATTGATTTCTTCCAATAGATATTGTTTCCCTGACCCGAAACTGCTCTGAAATTGGGCATATGATAAAGACTTAGGGAGGCATTAGACAGCCGAAGAGAGGTAAGATTTTGGGTGAAGCTGAAGCTTCCTCTCCAATTTATGTCAAAGCATGTAACGAAAGATCAAAGCAGTCAGCCTTTACCCTTCCACTTACTGTAAAGTGCTGTCACCTTTAGCAGAGGTAAGGGGAAGGGACAAGAGGGAGAAGATAGCAAACCTGAAAGTAAATAACGTGATATGGTAAAATAAATGGACCCAAAAGTTTATGGAATATCATAAAATAGACAGTGCCAAGGGAATGTTTGTGACCTTGTCAATGTCCTCAAGAAAGAAACTGAGTTAAGTTAGAACACTAACTTAAGACAACTGCTATATTCTATATTAACTTAGCACTGAATATATATTAGATGTATATTATATATTATACATAATATATATTACATTGATATATATTTATATATCATATCTATAAAGTGTATATATATATTTTAGATAGATAGATAAAATTATCTGTAATTGAAGGCCTGAGATAGAACTTGATAAAACATATTAAAAAAAGAAAACAAAAGTGATCAATACGGAGAGACTCGTGACACCGTACAGTATAATTTTAACCATTCTCTACTTCTCTTTACAAGTTGTTCTCATAATACAACTTTCCCTCTTCAGGATTTCCTCTGAAGATCATGTTTATCCCATTAGCAAGAGTATGTAAACACTGTATATAACGATATATGTCAGAAAATGAGATACTTGATAAGTAACCTTTAAATGTCTAAATGGTTATAAAATGAGTATTGTAACTTAATATTCATAAATATAATTGATCTTTGCTACTTTTATAACTTTGTCTATTATATAGAATTCGACCACCCATTTATATTTAATCAGTTTGGTTAAACTATCTTTTTACTCTTTACATCTTTATAAATTAGTGCGAAGTCATTCATATTCTACTTTTTGGGAACTGGTGATATAAGACCTATGTTAAGGTTATATTTCTGGCTGGGTGCAATCATTCATGCCTGTAATCCCAGCACTTTGGGAGACAGAGATGGGAGAATTTCTTGAGCCCAGAGTTCGAGACCAGCCTGGGCAACGTAGTGAAACTCCATCTCTACAAAAACAACAACAAAAAAGTAGCCAGGTGTCATGGTGCATACCTTTAGTCCAAGCTACTTGGGAGGCTAAGGTGGAAGGATCACTTGAGCGCAGGAGGTCAAGGCTACAGTGAGCCCATATCACACCACTCCACTCCAGCCAGGGCAACAGAGTGAAACACTGTTTCAAACAAACAGATTCCATTTATGCTGACATTTCTTTTGTGGAATGAGAGAAACCTCTTCCTCTGTATTATGACTAAATCAGAAAGAAATAAGCACTATTGCTATTGGTTCAAAATTAATATAACAGAGAAACTGTTGATAAGCCATTCCCAAGCAAAACATCAAATCATTCAGCTTTTCAGGGGAAGAGAGTCTAGATATGATAAGAAGATAAAATGTCATAATATATGATATTTCATTTTAATAAATATTTAAGACATGGAGAAAACCACAATTAAGTAAAACCTGCAAACTATGAGTTACCTAAAATAATTTATAATATATTTAAGCATAGGGTCAATCCTATCTACACAGGAAAGCATTCCATTTAGTCTCTGTTCTTTCAGATTATCTTTAAAAATTCTCTTTATGTTATTTAAAATAACTACAAAGTTAATTAGAATAGAAGAATATATAGTTTTAAATGAAGCTTAGTGGGTGCTTAGCAGCTTTTTTGGATCATTTGGGAGAAATTTTATGTGAAAAATTTTGTCTGTAAACAAGAAACAGCAAGTAATCCCACTTTGCATTGTTAAAAGTAAATATAAGATGTTCACTTCTGACAAAGATGAAATAACAAAAGGGAGGGATCGAATTTACCCTGCCTCATGAAACAATCAAAAAAAGGACAAAATAGATGAAACAATAGTTTGCAATAGACTGGAGAGCAGAACACAAGGGAAAGTGATTCCTGAGAGTGAGAAAATAAATGAGGTGAGCCTTATGACTGCTCTGGCTAAGTGCCTTGAGAGAGATTTTAAGCCACAGTATAATGAGGGAGATCCCAGGCAGAGTCCCAAGAACTCCAGGTTGAGAAGACAGAGCTAGGAGTCCAGGCAGAATAATGCAGCTAGAGTTGACAGACAATACCAGAGAGGAAAGCAGCACAGAGAGACAACTGCGCTGTAAGAAATATTAAAGGAAGTCCTTCAGACAGGAGGAAATAATACCAGATGGAAATGTGGATCTGTACATAGGCTGAGGAGCACCAGAAATGGTAACTACATGGATGAATATATAAAATTTTCATCTTATTATTTAGTTGTCTTCAAATACGATGTCATGCTAAATCGAAAATAGTAACAATGTAATGTGGAGTGAATAACATGGGAAAGTAAGATGTATGATAATAGCTCAAAGGTAAGGAATGAAGAAATAAAAGCATCCGATTTTAAGATCCTTAGAATAGATGTGAAGTGGTAGAGTATAACTTGAAAACAGCCTGTAATAAATTAAAGATATATACTGGGATTTTGCTTCTGTGAAGATGGAGGAAACATACTTTTACCTTTTCCTCCCGCTAAGTACAAATAAAAACCCTGGACATTATAAGACAACTCTGAAAGGTGGACAGAAGAGACAGACAGGTGTGAGATCTTGGAACCCAAAGAACAATGCAGAGGTGAGTTCTCTGAGTTTTCTTTTTGCTGCATATATCCCAGATTTCAAGATGAAGAAACTGGCAACTCAGAATCCCCAACAGATGCAGATAAAAAAAAGCCCCAACAAAAGCCTGTTCTTTCTACTCAAAGAATCTGGAAAGGGGCAGGTAGACAAGACAGAAACCTTTTAGACAATAATTGCTCCACTCCAGCCAAACACCACAGAAAAACAACAAACAAACATACAATGCTAAAAACAACAAACAAACATACAATGCTAAAAATAACAAACAAACAAACTTCAGTCAAGCTCGCAAAAGAGAGGAGAGTGTAGACTTCTACTCTCACCAGGCCAATCTCCCTTCCATGTGATGTCAGAGAAGGCAGGGTATGGAGTTCACATTTTCATCTCCACTGAGTGATAGATACTAGGCAATATTGTGGGAGGGTTCTTTTTTCGTTTTTTCTTGTCTTTTTTTTTTTTTTTTTGAGACGGAGTCTTGCTCTGTCACCCAGGCTGGAGTGCAGTGGTGCGATCTCGGCTCACTGCAAGCTCCGCCTCCTGGGTTCACGCCATTCTTCTGCCTCAGCCTCCCAAGTAACTGGGACTACAGGCGCCCACCACCACGCCTGGCTAACTTTTTGTACTTTTTTTTTTTTAAGTAGAGATGGGGTTTCACCATGTTAGCCCAGGATGGTCTCGATCTCCTGACCTCGTGATCCACCCACCTTGGCCTCCCAAAGTGCTGGGATTACAGGCATGAGCCACCACGCCCAGCCCAGTATTGGGTTTTAACCCAACTCTTGTGGTCTTGGGCAGCTTACACTCTCTGTGACTCTGCCCACCTATAAAATCCATGATCATTCCTGTTTTTCATGATGGCTTTGAATATTAGTATTCATAAATGAAGAAAGAATACCCCCTCCAAAAAGAAATAAAACTAAAGGCCAATGTATCTCTAAAGAATCTAGAGGCTTTGGGAGGCCGAGGCGGGTGGATCATGAGGTCAGGAGATCGAGACCATCCTGGCTAACAAGGTGAAACCCCGTCTCTACTAAAAATACAAAAAAAATTAGCCGGGCGCGGTGGCGGGCGCCTGTAGTCCCAGCTACTCGGGAGGCTGAGGCAGGAGAATGGCGTGAACCCGGGAAGCGGAGCTTGCAGTGAGCCGAGATTGCGCCACTGCAGTCCGCAGTCCGACCTGGGCGACAGAGCGAGACTCCATCTCAAAAAAAAAAAAAAAAAAAAAAAAAAAAAAAAGAATCTAGAGGCAAAACTCCTTAGCAAAGTAGTAGCAAATAGCAGTCAGCAATATATACAAAGAATTATACAACATAACCAAATGAGTTTATTCCAGGGATATACGATTGGCACAATATTTGATAATCAAAAATGTAATATATTAACAGCCCAAGGAAGAAAAAATTCATTATCATGTCAATTGATACAGAAAAAGCATTTGAAAATTTTAACACTTGTTTCTGTTTAAAAATCTCAGAAAAAAATAGAAATTCAGAGTAAGTTTCTCCCCTTCATGAAGACCATCTACAAAAATCCTACAGCTAACATTATGCTTAATGGTGAAAAGCTGAAGGCTTTTGCACTAGATTGGGAACAAGAAAAGAAAGACCTCTCTTATCACTCATTTAACATAGTATTGAAAGTTCTACCTAGCAAATAAGGCAAGAAATGAAAAAGCATATAGATTGAAAAGGAAAAAAAATCTCTCTATTCACAGATGGCATGATTATGTACATAAAAAATTTCAAAAAATCTACAAAAACCTCCTAAAATAAATAAGCAAATTCAGCATGATTATAGGATAGAAGATAAAACTTACAAAGTTTAATTGTATCTGAATACATGTAATTAACATGGGGACATAGAAATTAAAACTATAATACTATTTATAATTACTTAAAAGATGAAATACTTTGGTGTAAATTTAACAAAACATATACAGGACTTGTATGCTGAAAACTACAAAATACTGATGAAAGAAATCAAAGCAGGTGTAAATAAATGCAAAAGCCTACTGTGTTCCTGTATTGAATAGCTCAAAATCATAAAGATGTCAATTCTCCCTAAACTGATATACAGCTTTAGTACAATTCTTATCAAAATATCAAAAAGGTTTGTTGAGATAGAGACAAGATTATTATACAATTTGTATGGAAAGGCAAACAAGTTAGTCCAACTAAAACAATTTTGGAAAAGAAACAAATGAAATGGGAATATTCAGTCCACATATTTTCAAGAATTATTACATAGCTGCCATAATTAAGGCTGTGTGTTATTGGTAGAGGATAATACACAGATCAATAAAACAAACTCAGAAATAACTGACACAAATATACCCAATATATTTTTTACAAAGGTGCAAAAGCAATTAATTAGAGGAAGGGTAGCCTTTAAAGCAAATAGTGCCAGAGCAAATGAACATCTATAGAGCAAATAAACGAACCCTAAGCTACATCTCACATCTTATAAAAACATTAACTTTCAAAACAGGTCATGAGATTAAATGTAAAATATAAAGCTATAAAATTTTGAGGTAAAAAATGGAGAAATCATTAGGGATTTAGAGTTAGGTGAAAAGAATTTAGAGTTTGCATGCAAAGAACAATCCATAAAAAACAAAATGATAAATTCAACTTCATCAAAATTAAAAACATTTGCTCTGTAAAATATCCTAAGATAAGAATGAAAGTATAAGCTACAGATTAGGAGAGGAGATATTCAAATCAGATAGTTGTTACAGAACCGATATCTTCTTATGCCTGCTGTACAGTAATATACAAATATTCTGAGACAGCAGGGTTTGCAGCAGAGAAACAGTTTAATGATTGCAGGGCAACCTAGTGAGGAGATGGGAGGAAACCCTCAAATTTGTCTCCCTGAGAATTCTGGGCTGGGGTTTTTAAGAGCAAGGGGCTGGAAAACTATGACCACTGGTTGGTCAGAGTAAGAAGGATGAAGTCATCAGGATGTGGAAACTCCATTCTTTGGTGAGTCATCTCCTCATAGGGTCCTTCAGACCAGTTGGCATCAGTGGGGTCCTTCAGACCAGCTGGCATCAGTGATTTCTCTGGCATGCAGGACATGAAAGAACATCTTAAGGCAAAACCTAATGTTTCATAATGTTCAAATAGTTAGCTATAGAGCAGTTAAGGAGAACTATAATCTTGTAACAGGGTCTGCATGACTCTGAGACAAAAGCAAACAACTATGAGGAAGCAGGTCCAATAGAAAGCTACATTAATTACTAATGATGTGTGTCCTGCAAGCTTGGTTTCTTTTCTTTTCTTCTTTTCTTTTCTTTTCTTTTTTTATTTTATTTTGAGATTGAGTTTCACTCTTGTTGCCCAGGCTGGAGTGCAATGGTGCAATCTTGGCTCACTGAAACCTCCACCTCCCGGTTTCAAGCGATTCTCCCTCTTCAGCCTTCTGAGTAACTGGGATTAGAGGCATGCAACACCATGCCCAGCTAATTTTGTATTTTTAGTAGAGATCGGGTTTCATCATGTTGGCCATGCTGGTCTCAAACTCCTGACTTCAGATGATCCACCAGCTTTGGCCTCTCAAAATGCTGGGATTATAGGCATGAGCCACCGTGTCCGGCCACTTGGTTTATTTTCATTTCTCCCCCTCCCATCTTCCCTTATTAGTATTATAAAGTTTATAGGAATGGTTTCATAGATAGATGGAATATATAAAGAACAAAAAGTAGCACTAAATAGCAAATAAATAAATAAACGAAATCTAATTACAGTGGTCAAAAATACGAAGAAACATTTCTCTGGAGAGTATATAAATGAAAAATAAGCATATTAAAAATGTTTGACATTATTAGCCATTTTATGGAAATCTAAATTTAAAACACAATGAGATATTACTACACCTATCAGAATGGCTAAAATAAAAAGAGTAATGAAATCAAATGTGGGAGAAGATGCAGAGAAATGTAATAATGAATACATGGTTGGTGAGAGTGTAAAATGGTACAATCACTCTAGAAAATAGTTTGCTACTTTCTTAAAAAAAAAAAAACCCTGACTAAAGTGTTACTACCATATAACCCAGCAATTAACTCCCGAGAATTTATTACAGAAAAATGAAAATTATATTTATGCAAAATCATATACACAAATGTTTATAGTAGCCCTAATTGTAGTAGCTCCAAACTGGAAACAACCCAAATATCCTTTCATGGGTAAATAGATAAACAAATTGTAGTAACCCATACTATGAAATACTATGGTCAATAAAAAGAAACAAACAATAAACACAACAACCTGGATGAATCTCTGCATATGTATTCTAATTGACAAAAATGCCAATTATGAAAAATTACATACTGTACAATTCCATTTATATAAATTTTAAAATTACCAAATTATAGTAATGGAGAAGAGATTAGAGGTTGCAGCAATGGAGCTCTAATGGGTAAGTTTAAAGGGAAGGTGGGAGACAAGTCAGTGTGAAGATACAAGTACAAAATTAAGGATTCTTGCTATGAGGAAATCTGTATTTTGCCTATATCAATGCCAATGTCCGGTTGTGTTACTGTACTATAAACTTTTTAAGATCTTATGAGATAAAACTGGGTATCTATAACACGGTATCTCTCTGTATCATTACTTACAACTACACATTAATATACAATTATTTCAGAATAAAATATTAAATTTAAAATATTTATATTATAAACCCAAAAGATAAAATAGTGAATCAAAAGTTGTAGAGCTCATAAGCCACATATGCAGAAAAACATAAATAGAAATAAAATAAAATCATTTTAATAATCAATTTATCCAAAACATAAGAGAAAAGAAGAAAAGGAGGAAGAGAACAGAATGGACCAACAGGAAAAAAAAAACTAAGATAAATTATTTCAACTTAATTATTTCAATTATTACATTAAATGTAAATGGTTTAAACACCCTAATTAAAGGGCAGAGATTATCAGATTGGAATAAAGAAAAACAAGCCTCAATGATTGCTGCTTACAAGACATGGACTTCAAATATAAAAGCACAAGTACATTAAAAGTAAAATTATGGAAAAATACTATGAGAGAGAAATAGATGGAAGAGAGTAGAGAACCAGAAATGTATGAACAACTTATTTCTTATAAATATGCAAATTTCATACAGAAAGGATATCTTTTCAACAAATGATACTGGAAATATTGAATATCCATATACAAAAACTGAATAGATCCTTACATAGTACCTGTGATTGTTCATTTTATATATCAACCTAACTGGGGAGTGGGTTGACCAGATATTTTTTTAAATATCATTTCTGGACATGTCTGTGAGGATGTTTCTAAATGAGGTTAGCATTTGAATTGGTATACTAAGTGAAACAGATTGCCCTCACCAGTGTGGGTGGGCATCATCTGGTACACTGAGGGTCCAAATAAAATAAAAAGTTGAAAGAAGGGAGAATTCACTCTCTCTGCTTGGCTACTTGAGCTAGAACATTGATCTTTCTCCTACTCTTGGAATGGAACTTACATCATTGATGCTTCTGGTTCTTAGGCCTTTGGACTTGGACCAGAATTTTTATCATCAGTCCTCTCAGATCTCAGGCCTTTAGACTCAGATGGGGACTGCACCACTGGCTTCCATAGGTCTCCAGCTTTCAGGTGGAAGATGGTGAAACTTCTCAGTTTTCCTGCTTGTGTGAGCCAATTGTGTGTGTGTGTGTGTGTGTGTGTGTGTGTGTGTGTGTGTGATGTGTATAAAATGTCTTAATGGTTCTGGTTTTCTGGAGAACCATGACTAATACAGTACCATATGTGCAAATTAACTCTAAATGAATCATATGGATAATTGTGAAACCTATAAAACTTAGAAAATACCAGAGGAAACCTTTGTGAACCTGGGTTGGACACACCAAAAACTTTTTAGATATGATGTCAAAAGTATGATTCAAAAAAAAGGTTGATAAGTTATCAAAATGAAAAACTTCTACTTTCAAAAGACAGTATTAAAAGAATGGAAAGACATGGCTAAAATTGGGAGAAAATAGTTGCAGAATATATAAAAGACTCTCAATACTCATTAATAAGAAACAATCAATACAATTTAAAATGGGCAAAAGATTTGGTGGCACTTGACCAAACGAGATATGTAAAAATAAACACATTAAAAGATATTCAACATTTTTAATCATTAGGAAAATGTGAATCAAAACCACAATCAGGAACTACTACATTCAAATTAGATAGTTTGAAATTGAACAAACTGACCACATCAGTGTTGGTGAAGATGTAGGGAAACTAAATTTTGAGTTGTGTTCATTGATGGTAGGAATGTAAAATGGTACAACTACTTTGAAAAACAATTTGACAGTTTCTTAAAAAGTTAATCATATACCTACCATATTGTCCAGCCACTCCTCTCCTGGGTATTTATCTAAAGGACAAGAAAGTGTATGCCCATACAAAGACTTTTACACATATATTCATAGTAATCTACTACTACTATTTTTAACATCCAAAATGGAACAGTCTAAATGTCTGTCAATAGGTGAATGGATTATAAATTTCATATATCCATACAATAGAATATACTCAGTAATAAAAGTGAATAAACTATTGATACATGCAGTAACATAGATGAAACTCAACATAATTATATAAATGAAAGAAACTATATAAAAACAGAAAATATACTGTATAATTTCATTTATTAAAAATTATAGAAAATGCAAACTAATGTACAGTGAGTAACAGAAAGCAGACCAATAATTGTCTAAGGAGGATGGTGCAGGAGGCAAGGATTACATAAGGTCATGAGGAATCATTTGGAGATAATGAATACATTAATTATCTTGATTGTAGATGTGGTTCATGATGTCAGCACTTATCAAATGGTATACTTTATGTATGAGCAGTATATTGTATGCTATGTATACTTCAATAAAACTGCTGCACACAGACACAGATACACACACATTTCTCTCTTAAACTATGCTGAAAGAGATTATTCAAGAAGTAGCAAGATTTGTTGATAGATCTAAGTCTGCTTTAAAAAATTTTTACACAGTTTACCATAGGGGCCTTTTTAATAACCCCAGGATATAGAACAAAGAAAATATGAATTGGAATATTTGTTTCGCTGTTTCAGAACTAGTCAGGATCACAGGTGTGGGCGATTTGCTCTGTCAAGCATATGTTAGAGAAGTTAACTTTCACAGATTTCACAGATAGACTTCCCTGCTTATATTACACTACCATATTCAGTGCCATCCCAACCCACCTCGCAAATGTTCTTGCCATAAAATTTTACATCTCATAATAAGTAAAGTTGGTAACTAATGGAAAGATAAAGTTGATTTTGATGTTTTAATCTTCTTTAGAATTATTATTTCATGAAAACCACATGAAGTTGTGTTTCAAATACCTCAAATCACTTTCAGACACTCAGGATAACATTTGAAGTATTTATGGCTCTTCTTATCAATATCAAATCTCCCGTCACTAAAATAATGTCATGCAGTATAAATAATAATATCCTGAATAAAAGATATTCAGTATAAAGGGAAACAAAGATGGTTAGCCTTAAGTGGAAATTTAAAAATTATTTGGCCCTTCTGCCATCAACAACAACAAAAAATAGAGATAACATAGAGATAACACTAAAGACTATTGTTACTGCTTTAATCTCTACACTTCTGCATAAATAATCACTGTAATTTGCTGAATATTCTTTCAAAACTTCTTCCTTACATGTGATGACTTGACTAATAGCAAGGTAGACCTAGCCAGAATACAGCAGGGTCCTGTAGAAAACTTATATTTTGGTTGGCGCAGTGCCTCACGACTGTAATCCCAGCACTTTGGGAGGCTGAGGTGAGTGGATCACTTGAGGTCAGGAGTTTAAGACCAGCCTGGCCAACATGGTGAAACCCTGTTTCTACTAAAAATACAAAAATTATCTGGGCGTGGTAGTGTGAGCCTGTAATCCCAGCTACTCAGGAGGCTGAGGCAGGAGAATTGCTTAAACCCGGGAGGTGGAGGTTGCAGTGAGCCAAGATCATGCCACTGCACTTGGATCTGGGTGACAAAGCAAGACTGTCTCAAAAAAACAAACGAGAAAACTTGTGTTTTATTTCTATTCCTTTCTCCCCTTCTTACCCTCTATAAATTATTCTTTTTCTTTCTCTTCCTCTTTTAATACTTTTTTTGTTTCAGGACAATATTGTTTTCTATTTCTTCATGAAGCTCTCAAACTGAGAAGCCAAAATATTTTATTTATTAGTGGAGCAAAGCATTGGCTTGAGAGAAGTGTGGTTTATTCTTTAGCTTGGACAGATAATTTATATCACCTGTCCTCCCAATAGTTTTTATATAGGCAATTCACTTTTGTTTAACCTTATGAAAAATGCAAGATTGCTGTACAAACACAGCTACTAGGACTCTGCAATATAGAAGAAGTTGTGGGTAGGATGGGACATGACGATGGGATAGGCCACCAAAGTCATTTGCCATATATCTCTTTTAAGTGAACTCCTTTAGAAATAGCATTACCTAGGAAGATTTTAAGTTTTGACACAATCCTCTGTTTTATTTCCCCTTGATTTTGGTGTTTCACAGCTGCTGAAGGAATGGTGTGCAACCATCTGTGTTCCAGTGATGGCTGTTGGGGACCTGGGCCAGACCAATGTCTGTCGTGTCGCCGCTTCAGTAGAGGAAGGATCTGCATAGAGTCTTGTAACCTCTATGATGGGTAAGGCTTCTTCTAGGGTTGCCTTCACCTCATGAGCTTTGAAGGACTGATTAGTTCTGATTTTTTTTTTTTTTTTTTTTTTTTTGAGACGGAGTCTCGCTCTGTCGCCCTGGCTGGAGTGCAGCGGCACGATCTCGGCTCACTGCAAGCTCCGCCTCCTGGGTTCACGCCATTCTCCTGCCTTGGCCTCCCAAGTAGCTGGGATTACAGGCGCCCGCCACCATGCCCGGCTAATTTTTTGTATTTTTTAGTAGAGACGGGGTTTCACCGTGTTAGCCAGGATGGTCTCGAACTCCTAACCTAGTGATCCGCCTGCCTTGGCCTCCCAAAGTGCTGGGATTACAGGCGTGAGCCACTGCACCTGGCCTAGCTCTGATTTTTAAAATTATAAGAAAATGGTAAAATGCAGGCCAGGATTTTTAAGGAGAGCTCTTGTTGCATAAAGGAGACAACACATAGACGAATTCTTTTAAGGAAAAATAATTTTATTTGAAATTATGAGTTCAAATACATAGTTTACTATTGTATGCATTTTTAAAAACATACTCAGACAATTCTTATTATAGCAATTTACAGTTAAGCAAAATTGAGAAATATATTCCAGTTTTCTTTATGAAGGGGATTGTTATAAGTAATCTTCCTCTCCATGTATCCCAATAATATTTTTTATTTTCCTCTCATACTTCTCTATAAATTTCATCTGGAGTGCAAGTTTTCTTGTTTTTTTTTTTTTGTTTGTTTGTTTTTTTTTGTTTGTTTGTTTTTTCTACTCACTTTTATGTCTATTTGTATATAGGAATGGCTTGTTTCTGTCTTTGACAAGTGCTTAGCCCAATAGAAAAACTACCACTGTAGTTTCTATTTGAAGTGGTTTTGAAAGTGTTCTGCCAGGTTTTAGATAATCTAAGCAGTATTTTAAATTAAGTATTTTTAATTTTATCTGGTATTTCAATAATAACATTACCAGTAGTAGAAGCTAGTAAGTACCTGGTTGCATAATATTTCATATATTCATAAAATCACTTTATCATAACATACTATTTGATGCATCATTCTTGTCCTTCATCAATGTTATAATGTATTTTTAGTACTGCTCCTAAGTCAAATTTTCTTATGTTGCTCACTGAAAGTATTTTCTTTCTTTATTTTTATTTTTATTTTTACTTTTATTTTTATTTTGAAACGGAGTCTGGCTCTGTTGCCTGGCTAGAGCGCAGTGGTGCGATCTCGACTCACTGCAAGCTCCACCACCCAGGTTCATGCCATTCTCCTGCCTCAGCCTCCCGAGTAGCTGGGACTACAGGCGCCCGCCACCACGCCCGGCTAATTTTTTGTATTTTTGGTAGAGACGGGGTTTCACTGTGTTAGCCAGGATGGTCTCGATCTCCTGACCTCGTGATCCACCTGCCTCAGCCTCCCAAAGTGCTGGGATTACAGGCGTAAGCCACTGCGCCTGGCCTCTTTTTTTTTTTTTAATTTATTTTTTTTGAGTCTAAGTTTTGCTCCTGTTGCCCAGGCTGGAGTGCAATGGCCTGATCTCAGCTCACCACAACCTCCACCTCCCAGGTTCAAGCAATTCTCGTGCCTCAGCCTCCAAGTAGCTGGGATTACAGGTGCCCGCCACCATGCCGGGCTAATTTTGTATTTTTAGTAGAGACAGGGTTTCTCCATGTTGGTCAGGCTAGTCTCGAACTCCTGACCTCAGGTGATCTGCCTGCCTCGGCCTCCCAAAGTGCTGGGATTACAGGTATGAGCCACTGCACCCGGCCTGAAAGTATTTTCAATAGTTTTGGAAAGTATAGTTTTGAAGTTCTTTCATTTCCTCATGTGCCTCATGAATTATCCCACTGGATCCAATAAATAACATTGGAATTTTGCATTTTACACGAGAAAAATAAAAATATATAGATCATAATGATATTGACATGTCTCTTCTTTGCAAGATGTCCAAAACCAATTCCATCCATAAAATATAAGGGAAAATATTAATATTAGAAGCATAAGTATAAAAAATTTTAAATAAGAATTTAATCATTTTTCAGGAAAATTTTAGCATTTAATTTTGTGAGGTAACTTTGGCTTGTAATTTGGAAATGAATTGGAAATTATTTGCTGCTTGTCTCATTGAATCATATTTATGCTTGTTCCCAATATTATGAACATAAAATACCTCAGATCAAAATATGCTTGCTTTTGCATTCAGCAATTGATAAATGAAACAAAACACAATAGACTAATAAATTAAAATGAAACACAATAGACTAATTTCATTAAGTGAATATTACATTAAAAGTTTATTGAATATATATGTGCAATACTAAAGAGGAAATTATAGAAATCATTTTGTGTAATAGCAGCATCTTATAAATATAGGGAACTGGTTTAATTAAGTATGGGCTGAACTCGCAACACTATATAGGACTCAAGCCAATGCTAGAACGTAAGGTATCTGATTTTTCATCTTGATTTTTTGTTTGTTTGTTTTTTTCCCAGAACACCATTGTTTTTATTTAATATTACAGTTTTTAGCTTTTCAGAAATATGAAATTTATAAACATGTGTATGTATACACCAGTTTCTATCTCATTTCTACAAAAACAATGAAAGCTAACCAAAAGAAAAATACAGGTTTCCTGAGGAAACACTGATTACCACACTGTTTTTTATATTTAGCATATTTCATATTTACATTATAAAATCAAATCTGTTAAATTAACTTAGTTTTTAATGTATTTTGCAGTAATTATGGCACCCCAGGAAACCATAAGCATGGGGCTAGTTTGAAAGATGATCAACTTACGTATCTTGTAAAAGACTGGTGCAATTCTTGCCTGCCCAGTGATGGATTGCCCACCTTCCATCTTGTGGTATGGGCTAGTTTCTTTCAACATTGGCTGATGGTTATGATAGCCTTTGAGGAAGAACCAGTTTATATCCCAACTTCATTGCTTCCTAGTTGAAACATCCAAACTTGGGCAAACGATCTCATCATTCTAAATTGGTTTTCTTATGTGAAAATTGGGAATAATAGTGGTGTTAACTTTATAGGACAGTTGTGATTATCAAATGAGAAAATGCGTAAGATCTTGTTGGAGTTTCTACCATAAATGTTATCATTATTTTCTTTTTCGTCTATTTATCTGAGTTGATTAAATGGTTAAATAGAATGGCCATTTTTGAAACTACTGAAAGTAATCAAATATAAATATGACATTTACCAAAATCCAGGGAGCCTATTTGTTATATATATATATATATAATATTATATTTTATATATATATTATATTAAATATATATATGTTAAAAAATGTGGCTCCAGAAGAGAAGAAATCCTAAAAAGAGGACTTTTTGAAGGGAAAAATGAAAATCAGTCAATTACTGGCTGATTAGCATTCAAATCCATGTCATATAAATCACTGTATTTCAACAACTCTTAACTACAATGCTCAAGCAATAAAAATGAAAAAGATAGGTAACTGCAATGGAACTTTAGAACTTCCCATATCTGTCAACATGCTTAAACTCTTGTGAAAGTTTAAGAACAACACAGAAACATCAAAGAGGGAACCAGACTAAGCTCCTTCTAAGTCTTTTTACATTTTATAATTGCAGCTTCTCAATGAAATCTTATTTTTTCCTTTTACAGAGGATATTTTAAAAAATGAGGCTTAAGGAAGTTGAAGTATTTAAGGCCTAGAAATAGTAGTGTCAGTCCTGGGGTTTAGATTTGGAAAAACTAGATCCCAGAGTATTCACTCTTGATCACAGGACTTGCTAAGTTAACACATACAACAAAACTGTGAGAAATGTTTCATAGCAAAACCAAGGGAACAAAGCTCCCTATCCAAAGCTCATACTTAATAGACTATAAATTGTTAAATCTGATTCAAGTGAAAGGGTGACTCTGGCAAAGTCACAATAGAATCACTAGAGGACAGGAAAGAAAAAGAGAAATTATGGAGAAAGTCACAATAAAGGGCAGAAGAAGTAATAGAGATTGCCAGGAGGATCTTTTCTGAGAGCAGGAAAAATCAGAAGCCTGTCAAATGGAAATCTATGGAAGAAAAGGGCAATAGGCCATCTCCATGATTGTTTTATGACATACATTTTATTCCTCAACTCTGCGTGTGGGGAAGTGGGTTTTGGAGAAGAAGAATAAGAAAAACGTGACCTTTGTTCTAGTAATATGAAAACTACAACCCTCATTTAGTACCATAAACTTTTAATCACCCAAGAAACTATTATCCAAAACCAGTGGATAATCTCAAGTGTGCTATAATTGTCATAATTTTGTTATGCAAACAATGCTTTTGATTATTTTTATAATTTTACTACCCTCCCATACCAATTCATTTGGACTTTTATATTCTGAAGGTTTCCTTTGTTGAGTACTTTGTATGCTTTATGTCAGTGAAGCATGCAAAAGATCACCTGTCTTTATGTAATTGTGATTTTAAAATTAAGAAAATTTATAAAAGGTTTGATCCATAACAAACTGCTATCTCACTTTATAAAATGCATAATCCATGTAACTCAATATATGTGCATTTCATACATAATTAAGCCATCTATTTATGCTATTCATTTGGAAAACCAAACTTAATTATTTTGCCTTGGAATAGATGTAGTCTTAAACTAACCGGCAGAAAAGATAGCTCATCATTGTACTTCTTTCATTTATTAAGGCTTTACAGTATTCAAATGAGAAAAAAGTGAATGCTTCACTTTAGGTAAAAATATATTTTAATGTATCACTTAATGAATCAAAAATTGCCATCTCTGTAATGCTATTGGTGTGGAGTAGTAACACAGGACACAAAAGCACAAAATAATAAAATAGCTAAACATCGTCAAATTTTATTAATGATTTGTAAATGGCATTTTAAATTGTCTGTACTCAGTACTTTATCCTCCTGTATTTTAGTGGGATGGGGTGGTTTAACATATTATAGATGACTGATATCTAATTATTGATATAATAATTTTGCCATAGACATTGATTGTAAAATTCATAAGTTGATAACATGTAATATACAAATAGCCACAAAAATGTAAGGATATAGGAAGGGATGACCACCATCCCAGGAGATTTCAATTAGAAAGTTTTAGGATGTTACCATTAAACTGTGTCTTTTATTGTATACCTATAGAATTACTTCAAAAAGAATTTAGACTACAAAAAGATGTTGTGATATTAGATCAATAATATAAGAAAATGAAATCTACCATAAAAAGATGTTTTCTCTAATTCTCCAAGGCAGATATTTTAAAAGGAGAAGAGGAATCAAAGTAGTTTTTGAAATTTCACCAAAAATAAATTGAAGAGTCTTGGGATTTGAAGGACAAGGATTGGGAACATTCATGTAACTTAGCAACAAGAAAAATACAATAGTTCTTTCAGAGTTTAGAAATAAAAGCTTCTCCAAGAGTAAAATTGTATATAAAGACAAAACAGGCACAGCCCTATTTAAAAAGGTAAAAATGGTTTTACTGTGTCATCAGAAGAGTTATACTTTGTAGCTTTTTTTTTTTTTGAGATTGCTGGAATATGTCTTGCAGGAGAGAGGTTTCCAGAATGAGTCTAACATTGAACTCAATGGAGGACAGGGAGAGCCATCTGGCTGCAGTTTATCTTTTCTCCTAATGGAAAACTTAATGTTTCTGATGCTCCTGGCACATAGAGAAACAAACTTTAGAATTTACTCTGCCAATAGGACTTTTAGCAGATGTTACTTCATTTGTTAAGTTGACGCTTGTTTGCTTACACCTCCTCATGTGGCTGATGTTTTCACAGTGAATTTCGGGAGTTTGAGAATGGCTCCATCTGTGTGGAGTGTGACCCCCAGTGTGAGAAGATGGAAGATGGCCTCCTCACATGCCATGGACCGGTAAGCCTGAAGACATCTGTGGTGTGTTGGCTTATTTAGTATCATGTATGAATGTTTGTTATTATTTTATCATTTATTCATCCATTCAATAGCTACTTACAGGATGCCATGGGGAAACATGTTTATCTGCCTACAAGAGGCTTAAAGTTTAGTAGTAGAGATAAAATAGTTAAAAAGTCGATGTCATACATATTTATTCTCCAGATAAAATATAAAATAGTTAAATGGAATTATAAGATATAGAGTAGTCCTGGACTATTGCACAGTATAGAAAAGAATAATTAGATTGAAGCATAATCACTAACATAATAAAAATATTTATAAATTGTTATAGAAACACAAATGAAGGAAAAACTAATTCTGTCTTTGGGATGGAAATTGAGACATCAAGATAGGCTATAGAGAAGTGATGCTGGAGCTATGCTTTGAAGAATAATCTGGAAAGAAGAAACATATAAACATATGCAAATGTAAAAGTTCATGTTGTATTTGAGGAAAGCTATCACACATTTTTATATGCATTTAATCCTTTAACTGTTGTGGCACTGTGAAAGACAGTGGAAAGAAGGAGACAAGTACTCATAAACTAAAATCTAAAGCAGTGCAATAAATACTATGGCAGAGGGAAGAATTGAGCTATGAGAATCCAAGGAGGGGTTATAGGATTAGGAAAGTTCTCATGGATGAGGTCTCATTTACATAGTTTGAAGTTAGCCTCAGAGAGAAAATTATAATTATTTTTTAGACCTCTCTTTGGTTTCCATCATTTGAGTTTTTCTTAATAATGAGATCAGTATAAATTTTTCATTCCTAAGTATCATTTTCATCCTTCTTTAGACAAATTTCCAGTTTATCTGTGTTATTGAATCCTCTCTCAATGGATAATTTGAGACCAACATTTGAATGTAGACAAGAGCTTCACATTGCTCTGTACAATTTCATTGAAAATTTAAATAGTATTAATTTTTATACCAGAATGCTTATTCAGCACTTAATTAGCTTAGAAAAAATATATATATCATTGAGCCCTCCAGACTTCCATTAGGCCCCAGTGAGCTGCTCTGGAACTTTATCTAAAGAAAGATGTGGAAAAATTGGCCAGTTCAGAGGACGACCACAAGGATGATTAGCTTGGAAAATTAGACCTCTGAGAAAAAGAAGTGGTGTTGCTTGGTGTGAAGAACCAAAGTGTAAAAGGCAATTTAATATGTAATGATCTCCAAGTAACTATGCAAAGGGCATTTGCAGCTATTTTCTTTCTCCATTATGGACAGTCATGAAAAATACAATTAACTAACAGTGTGAGAAATATGAATTCTGTAAAGAATGTCATGAAACACAGGGAAGTGCATTTCTGTAATGGCTTGTTAAGGCAGGTTGGGATATCTGTATGAGTCTTTAAAAAAGAACATATTTAGGTAACTTCTTGACTATTAATCATGGAATGAAAAAATCTCTTTCTGAGAGACTGAAACTTTTCAAAATGTATAATTAAAATAATCAAGGATTTGGCCCTCTCATCTGAATAGGCTGGGAATCATCATAGGCCCTCTAGATCCAATCATAATATATATTAGACATAGATTTACAGAAACACTTTTCAAAAAATTATGAGCAACTGCCAAAACTTGCCTAATGTTTCATTTGTGAATCACTACAGGTGCCACTGCACTGATATTTCCTATAAATATCTTATTACAATTTTCTAGATTAGTTTTTTTTCTTCACACATGTAATTTCCTATTTCTTTCTCTTAACCTTTTTAGTTTGAGCAAGGCTTTAAGAAACATCTTATTCATTTATTCAGCAAATATTATTTAGTACCTAGTTTGTGCCAGGCTTCATGAGTATACATATTGTTAGGTTTTTAAATATTAGAAAATTCAAACATTAATATTCAAAATTATTTCTCAAAAATTAAGAAGTTGCATTATTTGCATATTTTAATTTTTTCACATTATCTTTTCTTCATCTATTGTATACTGTATAATGAAAATACATTCAAGTAATAATATTTTGGCCTTTCTTGCAATTGTGACTTTTCAGAAAAATCAAATATATTTATGAACTAATACTTTTAGTTCACCTAATCCTATAGACAAAAAACTAATCTGCTTAAATGTTGCATAGTAAGACACCATATTTTTTTCTAATTTCATAAAAAAAATCCCATGTCTGAAAACTTGATGTTCGCTTACCATCTGTAGCAAAGTCTAACCTTCACTAAGGAGAGACTTCAACAACTGTCCCTTCAGTATGCCTTTATTAGTTTTCAGGTGAGAAAAAAGTTCAGTGACCACTTTACCTATGAATCAAGTCAGAATTAATCTGATTATCTTGGATCATATTTATATTAATGATTTAACATACATTACTGAGGGCCTTTTGTGAGCTAGTTCTGTGCTAGGTATTTGCACCTACATTTTATTTTATTGTCTTGTAGGTATTACTCCCATTTTTCCAATGAGGAAATAATCTCAGAGATGTTAAATGAATTGCTCAATGTACTTAAATGAATTGTTCTGTAGTATTGAGACCTTTGGAATCACAATTTTACCATCCAGTCTCAATGTGCTTATCAGTTCCATGCTTTTTCTCTTCTTCATGATGCCTCCTGTTGCATAAAATTGTGCTAGTGAATAACTCATTCATTAATTTCTCCTAATTTGTGGGTTTTTGCAGTTTGTTTACTCATTGTTCCTCAAAAAACTTGAGATGGTTATAAAAATATACATTTTTAGAACTCCAAAAGTTGATTTTTAAAATTATTTATAGTTAAAGAATCAGTAATCTTTGAATGCTAAGCAGGTAAGAACACGACATCTTTCAGTAACGGTGCCTGAAAAACTGGCATGGCTGAGCTCAACCAGTGGCCCAAACATTGCTCCCACTATGGTTTGGTTTCTTTCAACCCTTAATGATTCATATTAGGTTTTTGCCTGTTTCTGGGCCCACATGTTAATGACCACAACTAGAGTCAGAGATGGTTTTGTGTGCCAGATAACAGTCATCTATCATTTAAGATATCCAAGAGGTTCTGGAAGCTTCTCCATTAGACTGGCGTTTTGATGAAATTGAGGAAGAAGTCATCAAAGCCATTTGGAAATCCCATTCCTGATCTTATGATATATTCTGTTGAAATCACATTTTTTGATCTATGAATATTTCCCCAATGACAAAAACTGATATATACTTATGTTTACCAAACACTGTTACATCTGAAGCATGCTATCACTTTCTCCCTTTAAAATATAAAGAAAGTTAACCAATAATGATTAGAAAGTTACTCCAAAAGTCAGCACGTCAGTAGGATATGAAACTGTGACTCAACTATAGAAGTTCTGACTGTAAATTTCTCGTACATCTCAGTTTTTTGTCCCCCAGGAAACAATGTCTTCAGTGCAATAGGGATAAAATGCTTTCAGGGACTATGATAGCTATAAGTAAAATGAGATAATATAATCCTACTTAAAAATGACAGAAATTTACGGTAATCTTGCAAGGGATAGATTGGAAATAAAAGAAGGCCTTTGCGCTTATGTCCTTGTCTGTCCACACTTGGTCTTCTATATTTTATTTAATTTTTTATAATTTTATTCACTCTGCTTTACTTTCATTACTTTTAGGCAGTCCTATCCAGAAAGGTATAGGAGGAAATATGAGAAGAAAGACAAGCCTGGGAAATCAGACAGTTTCAGGAGACCAAAACTTAGGCTAGAGAGGCAGCAAAAGAAGAGAAAAAATAGTAAGGGAACTGATTTTGAAATACATTCCTATAAAAGTGAAAACACTGTTAAATTTAGGTTAATAAAGGTTGTGCTGCTGTAACAAATAACCTCCATATTGCAGTAGCTTACATAAATAAGTTTAAGTTCTTTTTTTTTCATGTAAAGTACATAGTTGTTTTTTGCTTTTTTCTTTTTTCTTTTTTTTTTTTTTTTTTTTTTGAGACTCACTCTGTCGCCCAGACTGTAGTGCAGTGGCGTGATCTCAGCTCACGGCAACCTCTGCTTCCTGGGCACAAACGAGTCTCATGCCTCAGCCTCCTGAGTAGCTGGGTTTACAGACATGTGTCACCATGCCTGGCTAATTTTTATATTTTTTGTAGAGATGGGGTTTCACCATGTTGCCCAGGTTGGTCTTGAACTGCTGGCCTCAAGTGATCTGCCCACCTAGGCCTCCCAAAGTGCTGGGATTAAAGATGTGAGCCACCACACCCATCCATCTTGTAAAGTACACTGGAAATCTGGGAAATGTTCTAAGGCAGCGAGCCTCCCTGTTATGGTCTACCATTCAGGGATGCTTTTAATTTATGGCACTTCCACTTCTACATGGGGTCTGTGAGTCATGGCACCAGAGAGAGAAGGCTGGAGACTTAAGCACTAGTTATCTCATAGTCACCTCTAGTTATATTCCATTGTGCAAATTAAGCCATATCTTATCTCTGGTGGGAGGAGAATTATAATGTTCTCATGTGACTGGAATAGAAGATAATTGGTCACTGGTGAATAATAAATATGTCTTTTACAGTAGCTACCAGAGAAAAACATCAATGACGACTCAAAAAAAAAAGTCATGCTTCTATAAGGATTCAGCCTATCCTTTAGTTGTCTGTCTAGATTATTGACTCCAGAGGTAGTTTAGAAATAGGGATAAGGAAGAATATTGCCTTGACCTTCATTTTCTATTATTGCACTGATCAATTCATTTATTGTGCCTCGGTTCTTAAAGCCTTTGGGAATATAATGAAAGAAGAGTAAACATTAGACACAGGTATATTTCTTTAAGTCTCTTTATTATGGAAATGAGATGGGGAATCAGTATGTTTCTTTTTCTGAGATTTGCCAGGACATTTTTAGTTATGTCAGCCTGGGACATTAGGTTTTCTATCATGATAATACAATCAAATACAGTCATGCACTTCATAACAACATTTCAGTTAGTGATGGACATATGCAATGGTGTTACCATAAAATTATAATATCTGCCTTTACTGTACCCTTTCTACATTTAGATATGTTTAGATACACACATGCTTATTATTGTATTACTACTGCCTAAAATATTCAGTACAGTAATATGCTGTGCAGTTTGTAGTCCAGGAGCAAAAGGCTATACCATATGGCCTAGGTATAAAGTAGGCTACACCATACAGGTTTGTGTAGGTACACTATGTGATATCTGCGCAATGATGAAATCACCTAATGATGCATTGCTCAGAATATATCCCGGTCATTAAGTGTCACATGACTATAGTTAAGAGATGCTTAAAAAACAAAGAACAAAAAGTTATTTATCTTATTACAGTATACTTAAATATTAAATATGAACTTGATTTTACTTTTACAACTTTATATCTTTTGACTTCACCCAGACATGATTTTACATTATAAGAAAAATACATTTACATTACTTAGAAGAATAATTCCTAATTCTTAATTCAGACTCTGCCTAATTTACTCATTGTAGGTTTTATTCTGTGTGCTGCAAGAAGACATCAGCATGTCTCTTGTCTTGTACAATAAGTCATGGTACTGAGCATACTTGCACAGTAAATGATTCTGTGTAATAGACAATATTACGTGCCTAAGTACCCATAAGCAGGTGTTAAAATTGGAAGGATGTGAAGTATTCTTTTTTGGGAAGAAATAAGAAGTTACCATTAGCAAACTCCTCAGGTAGAATCAGGATTAGGTTTTATAGGCTTTTTTTTTTTTTTTCGAGCTCTGAGCCTCACAGCAAAATAGTGAAATAGACAAGGGCTTGATTGAGCCCCACCAGTCTCAGGATTTCCTGAAAGCTCTTCCTGATTACTTTTTCTTCTTTATACTTCTATTCACACGCCTCCATTTTTAAATTTTAAAATATTGTATTTCTCGATTTTCTGATGCCTTAAGTAACCAATTTGTAATATCTAGCTGCTCTTGGATTAACATTTGTGTAGGACAAGCTTTCCCAACCTGCAGCCCATTGGCCACATGCACCCAGGACAGCTTTGAGTGTGGCCCACCACAAATTCGTAAACTTTCTTAAAACACTATGAGTTTTTTTGCAATTTTTTTTTTTTTGGCTCATCAGGTGTCATTAGTGTTAGTGTATTTTATGTGTGGCCCAAGACAATTCTTCTTCCAATGTGACCCAGGGAAGCCAAAACACTGGACACTCCTGGTTTAGGATATAAGGTACTCCCATTATCTTTACAATCCCTACCTAATATCTAGTTCTTTATAACTTAGTGTTAACTCCTGACTGCCAAATTCTCATTGTTTATAACTACAAATGTGATAGAATTGTCTCTCTGTATGCTTACTATATCTTATTTATTTAAGTTGTTTTCCATGTGAACTATAATGATTGTTGAACCCTATGGACATAGCCAGATTTTAGGGAGAAATGGGTCAGGGGAAGAAGTTCCAAAGGGGAGTGGTCAAAGAGGAGAGGAATTTTAAGACAATATGGTGTCCAAAAAGGAGATGTAAAAGTACATTTCAGGTAGCTGTTGTCCAGAACAGCTGAATGTATGAAAGCATCGGGGAAGTCTTTTAAGAAAGATAGCATTTACCAAAGTGTTCTAAATTTTCTTTGCTCTGACGATATACCCATTTCTAGTATGCTTTCCATCCATTATACCAGATCCAAATCAGTTTGTATTCTGTAAAATTCATATATGTTTTAGTTTGAACATCTTAATATTGTCATGACTTTTAGATATATTTTCATATCATTATCACTTATTAACATTCCACATATTAGAAAGTTAATGTGTATTATAAACATAAATATATAGAATGAGTTTGTTCTATTTGCATTTATTATACTCATATTTATATTATCTTCATCCTTGGATAAGTTTCTTCATGAAGCCTTTGTTTGTATGTATTTGCTTTATTATTATGGACTATTTTGCTCATCAAAATGTGCATTTATATGGCTTTCAGTATTGTTCTGTGATTTACTAAAATCCCTATAAATAGACATAATATGACTTTTAGTGTTTTCACAGTGGATATGAAATAAAGAAAAATCTAGGAATTATTTTTATTCACCTAAACGGCCTAATTCCTGATAATGTTATCATAACAAATTTTAAAATTCATTTTATAAATAAAGTCATTGTACAACCAAAGGAAAGTTTACATCCTACTCTTATATGAAATTCAGTTTTAGTTAATTTCTATTATATCCCTTTTCTCATTAACTATTTAGTAAAAGTATTCACATATTCCCAGTGGTGGTGATGAAATACCTCTAGGGAAAATGTGTTTTACTAAAAATTGCTGCACTATAATATTGCCAGAAATAAATCACAAGAAGAAAATACTGACATCCTTTTGAGAAAGTCATTGGACAGTTTTGCTGATCAAATTAAGTCACATTAGAGTCATGACATGGAAATCAGTTGGCCCAGGAACTGCTTATGTCGAAAAGGAAAATATTTCAAGCACAAATACATTATTATAGTGTTTTCACACATACAGGATATCAAAACTGAACTTGATGGATCTTCTTTGCACTGTTTGTACTACAAAAATTACATCCACATTTGCACTGCTGAAAATGTTCTCCAATTCTCTTAGAGGAAGATTTGCCACCTACTGAAGTCTCAGTAACTAAACCACATGAATACATTCCAGAGGAAATGACACCACTTTTCTTTTTTCTTTTTTTTTCGTTTTCACATTTCAGGGTCCTGACAACTGTACAAAGTGCTCTCATTTTAAAGATGGCCCAAACTGTGTGGAAAAATGTCCAGATGGCTTACAGGGGGCAAACAGTTTCATTTTCAAGTATGCTGATCCAGATCGGGAGTGCCACCCATGCCATCCAAACTGCACCCAAGGGTAAGCATTCTTGCTGGCCAAGGGCTCACCTGGTATGTGTTATCCACATGTATCTTTATCCCTGGTACCATCTCTGAAATGTATACCATTCTCATAGAACTCTACTAATCCTTATATTTAAAATGCTGATTTTAAGAGAAATACTGAGAGAATGATTTATGGAATCAACTTTGTACACCCTTAAATATTTCTGCTTAGATTTTACCTATAACCATTCTATTAACACCTTCATGAAGCTAGCTAGTGTCAGGTATACTTTGGATGCAGTTTAGAAATTCTTCGAAATTATATTGGAGATTCAAGATCTCAGAAAAGATAGGACAGTAATCATGCTTTTGAGGTTTGTGTTTATCAAATCTTTAAAGGAAGTTTTCTATTTCTGTTTCTTTGTTGTCACAATAAGCTTAAGGTGAGGATATTTCTCTTTGATAAATACTACCTTAAATTACTCCTTCAAAAAATATGAACAAAGGTAACAATGGCAGGGAAAAAGGGAACCTAGTGATATGTATATTTAAAAAATGAGTACATTTTGTGAAAGTAACCTTGTTACAGGTAATCCTTTAGCCTTGAATTTCTTTGACTGATATAGGGCAATCTGAAGCTTGGTAAATTTTTTTTCTCTTTTTCAAAAGAATACATTGTGCAATGAATAATAATTAGATTACCTTTGATATTGATAACAGTTGAATAACAAAGACACATTACAGAAAGAAGAAAAGCACTGAACTGTAAAAGAAATAATGTCATTCATCTAACAAATTCCAACAAGTATTTCTTAAGAGACAACAAGTCTATTTTAGTAAGGATTTTTCCTTTTCATTCCTCCGGAAGGTGAATAATTTGTAATTGAAAGCAGTGTTACATTTGCCATCCTCCTACTGCCCATAAAGCCTTTTCTCCATTGTGAATGCCTATAGGCATGTGCACATACACATATAAACACACACACACAGACGCATACAGACACACACACACACACACACACACACACATTTGTAGTTGAGAATCAGCTTGGGTACTTTATATCTGGCAGGAAAGTGTGAGATTCCATAAACAGATTTTCTGTCAGATTAAGGGATAGCTGTTGGGGGATACTGAAGAAATTAAGCAAGCGACATCATTTCCTGCCAAGAAAACATCAATTTGCAGATGTTGCTACAATTTCCTGCAGGTCAAGAAATAAGCTTAACTCACTCTGTGAAGTGACAGATCCTCAAAAGGTAAAGTAATATTCTGCCATTCAAATTCAAATTCACCTTGGAAGTGGTAATTGCCAATTCATTGGTTCACATATAAGCACGTATACATTTAGGGTACTGAAATAGTCACATAGACACTTTGCTTCAAGGAAACTAGAGGTAATAAACTGCTCCCCTTGTGAGTTTTTGGCATACTTGAGTTAAGAGTATTTCACAAAAAAAAACAACTGGTTCTGCTGGAGCAGAAGAAAGAGTCAGCAACAGAAAGAGAAAACTTTGCCTGCTAAAATCATCCACAAGAGAATTTTATTGTTTTGCAGCTAAAATTAAACCAGTAAATTATTCAATATAATGTTGATGTCAACAGCTGTTGCCATTCAAAATGAGACCTTTTGCTGTTTTTGCAAATCTAATTACAATGAGGCCATTAGAGAAATGAAAGTGAGATCACAGAGCCATAGTCTGGATGCATGGCTGGTGTGTCTTCCTCTCTGCCCTTTTAAATCATTATTATATAATAATAATAAACATATATAGTGGGGGAAGTAGAAATATGAGGCAATGAAAAGAGATTAGTTTATGGTAGCAACAAAATCTGGATCTCAGTCAAAAGGAAGGATGAAGGTGTAATGGGGAAGAAATCTCACCAGAGCATTTGGGAACTCCAAGTGAACAGAAAAAAGACACCTTTAGCAATTTGCAGCCGCAGAATTAAGTTGAGACAGAATTTGAATATTGTACTCCCTGGCATCTTCCAAGGTAAATGCATTCTCTAATGACTGACTTAATCCTGAAGGATTTTTGTCTCTGTTTTCATTTAGCTTTCTGCCATCCTGTTTTTAAAACACCTTCATATTGTCCAGATTCACTCACTTCATAAAAATGCTGTGGTTCTAGTCCCAGAGTATTCTAGTCCCAGGAATTCCTGAAGGATGTGATTCCTAAATTCCTAAATCCTCATATAAATTCTATTGCAGTTCAACATTATGCTTTGAGATATTTTACTGAAGCAATAAGGTGTTCTGTGCAGTCAGTCCCTTCTTTCCAAATTGAGCATATAGAGATATGATATTTTCCTGGGAAAACCACAGGGGCAGTGAGGATGATGGAGCAAGTAACTATTTTTATTCCTAAACACATGTAATAATCGACCTATCAGTAAGTGTGAGCTCACCAGGCCAGTTCTACTTTGGAAAACACCTTTTCTTTTATATGCCTATATGATGTCAGATAATTCAAGAACCACATTAATGAAAATAGTCTTTCAAACCACATTTTTTAGAATTAAAGTTCTTACTTTGAATACTGTTTAATGATTTTTCTGAAAATAAAGTTACCTGTGTCATACTTTAAAAGCACTTTTACTACTCTAAAAGTACATTAAATATAATGGCTCTAACAAGCTCTCTAGACACTTTTAAAATAGGTCATCTATTTACTCCTTATCAGAAGATTCTCACTAATATCCATGAAAACAACAAGTTTGTCTCTTCTTACCTTGACTAGATAATTTTTATTTTAACAGCCTTTTCTTAGTTTATTCACTCTTCAGCTTTGTATATTGGATATCTGCTCTGCATCACATACAGTGATAGGAAAATTCAGAAATGAACAAGACACAGCTTCTGACCTCAATGAACTCACAGTCCAGTAAATTTATATTATTTAATTTATATCCTCTGTTAGAGACCAGACCCTTCTCCACAGTATTTTGAAATGATAAGCAAGAATTTAAAACTTAGGAATGATGTTCAGATTTGAAATTAGCAAGATAGAATTTTTTTAAAGATTTGTAAACTTAACCAATGTAATTAAATTGTGGGGAGGGCAAGGATGATTTTTTTCCTCACTAATATCACTTGAGTATGTGCTCATTTAATGTCCGTTTAACTTTGGTTTTGTATCAAACCAAACCTGCATTTTAGACTTGGAATGAAATGGTTATTTTATGGAACATCTTTTTAAAAATCTCATTGCATGTTTTTGTTGATATTAGAATAATGATTTTATATTATTAAATGTCACATGTACCTTAATCTTTTTTTTTTTTTTTTTTTTTTTTTTTTTTTTTTTTTTTTTTTTGAGACGGAGTCCCGCTCTGTCGCCCAGGCTGGAGTGCAGTGGCGGGATCTCGGCTCACTGCAAGCTCCGCCTCCCGGGTTCACGCCATTCTCCTGCCTCAGCCTCCCGAGTAGCTGGGACTACAGGCGCCCGCCACTACGCCCGGCTAATTTTTTGTATTTTTAGTAGAGACGGGGTTTCACCGTTTTAGCCGGGATGGTCTCGATCTCCTGACCTCGTGATCCGCCCGCCTCGGCCTCCCAAAGTGCTGGGATTACAGGCGTGAGCCACCGCGCCCGGCCGTACCTTAATCTTTTTATCCATTTTTAAAATATTCTTAAACTGATATAATGAAATAATTTTTATACATCAAGAGAGGGAAAGAAGGGCTGCTTGTGGAAGTTTTGTCTATAATCTTTTAATGGAGAATTTTTAAAAATTTCCTTCATTTTTATTTCAAAATTTAAAGATTTTATCAAAATATCTAAACTATGTTGGTTAAATGAGTACATCAAGGAACTTATAAGTCATTAGTACTAACAAAGGTTAAACACAGTTTAATATTCAGAACTTTAGATATTGTTTTGGAATTTGTTAATTAGACATGTGTTTTATTTTTCTAATTTTCTATAAGTATTCCACTTTGAAACACTTTTTTTTATAATTCTACTATTCTAGATTTTGATTCAGTTATTTATTTGTGATTTTGGCTCTTCAAAAGTTTTGTGTTTCTGTTGTTCTGTGATCTGGCTGAATGGATGCAAATTGCATATACTAATTAGTTGCTTACAGAAAATACAAAGAGTTGAAAAACAATATACATATTTTAGTTTTCAGCGGCTTGTATTTAGAAAGAATGGTGCCACTTCAGTCATACTCTTATTTTTCTTTGTCTTTCATTTTTTTCTTTCATTCTCAGTTTAAAAATAGGTTTGAATCTCAAATATCCTACACAATCCCCTCAACAACTTTTCTTGACCCTACATCCTGCTCCCTCAGTCCCTCCCCGCTCTTTCCCCAGCCTCTATTTTTCTATCTCCAATTTGCTTCTCAACTCACAAAAACCTAAATTCTAGTGACCATGACAATGACAAGTAAAATTATCTTAAGAGTTATTTTACCAGACTTCTCTGCCTTTCACACTGATGATCACCGCCTCTTTCTTGAAGTTCTTTTCTGATTTGACTTCCATGAGACTACAGTTAATTGGTTTTACTCAATTATATTTTCCCATGCTTCTGGCACAAAGAACTCATCTTATGTCATATACTGTTGGGGTTCCTTGGGTTTCCATCTTCAGCCTCTGCTTTTCTTACTTTTTATATCTTCTTTAGCCATCTATTCACTTACATGGTTTCAACTTTCTCCTACATGCTATTTCAAGATTGATCATTATACTCATGCCTTCTTTCCCCGTTAACCACTCATCTTTCCAACTGCTGATAAACATTTCTACCTAGATGTAGGACAGCCATACTAAATTCTAGATACACAAAACTGAAATTATCAACTCCTCATCCCCTAACACATACAGGAAGAAACATATTCATCTTCTTGGATTCTCTCAAGGATAGTACCACTATTAGCAAAGCTAGAAATGTAAGTCTTCTTTAACTCCTTTGATCATTTCACTTTCATGAATCAACTGCTCTTTTTTATTCCCTCTATCTTTTGAGGTATTTCTTGAATCTGTTCTTCTGCCTCCAACACAGTTACCATTTCCCTAGTTTGGTCCATCATCTCTTACGTGGACTAAAATAGTCTTTGTGCCAAATGAGTCGGCCTGGCTGCCAGCTGACTAGTATCCACAGAGCTAGGAGATTTACTGAAAATACTAATCTAGCAACTTCACTACTTCTTTAAAGCCCTACAGTGATTTTTTATTGATTGTTACTAAGCAAATATTTCTCAAAATCTGGCTCCCACCTAATGTTCTAACTTCTTTTTTCCCCTCTTCCTATTGCCTCATGTTTTGCTCTCCAACTACTAAGAATTATTTGTAGTTGTTTTGTATATACAATACATTTCTTCAGGTCTGTGCTTTTGCTCCTGCAGAAGCCACCGCCACCCCAACCCCAGTTTGCAGAACTCTAAATTTCAGCTTCTTACCTCCCCTAAGAGGGTTATCATGCCCTTCTAGGTTGGCTCTAGGTGTCTGCCCTCCACACTACCATGAACCACTTTTTCATGTTTCTTATTACATTTATCACATTATTCAATACACATCTGTTTATGCATCTGTCTCCTTCATTAAATTCATAGCTCATTGAGAACAGAAAAATGTCTAATTCATCTTTTTTTCTCCCTCTAGCTCCTAGAATACTAGGAACACTTAGTAGACATGTAACACAGTGCTTTTTTTAATGAATGAGTATCTTTCATATTCACACTTTTCCCTCAAGTTAAATTTTAGTTTTGAATTTTTTTTAATCTTTCAAGGGTTGTTATAAAGATGGATTGCAAACTAGCCATAGCTTTTTAGATTCTCACTTGGAACTGATAAGCAGACTTTTAATTTTACAAAATGATAATATGGCATAAAAATAATTTTCAAGAAGATAGAGCAGGAACTTAGGAAAAAACAAGTTATTTGGAATATAATGAAAAGAAAACTATATAAGACAAATTGGAAGCTTTTTTAGTAGTTAATTTTCCATTTTTAGAAATGATTTTGACTATAGATTATATATAATACTAATTTAATGCTATGTACTCTAGTTTTTTTCCTTTTTAGTTGCTTTTTAAAAGACTTTTCATACAGGTGTATTCTCTCTATTTCTATAGATTAAAATTTGTCTGCGCTACTCCAAACAAAAACAAAAATCAATTTTTAAGCTAGCAGGAATGTTATAACAAATGTTTATGAGACAGAGAGATAAGTGACTTAATTGGTATTATAGGTATATTATATTAGTTCACCAATGTTTAGAGTTATTTAAATATATAATGGATAGACTGGCCTTATACATTGGCACCTTTTTACATCATTGTATGATGATCCTATCTTAAGCTGCTTTTTCAAATTTGAAAATTAAAAGTTTGGAAATATATGTAATCTTTATTACCAGCGAAATAAGGCACTTCTATAAATCCTAACTATAAAAAGGATCTTGATAATGTTCTGGAGCTGTATGTCTTTGATGGGAGAAAAGGAAAAGATAAAGAGTTCGAGTATATTGGAAGATGAAAGAAATAATAATTCTATATTGGTTCAAAATGAAATTCTAGGGACTGCACATTAGAATTCTGTGTACTTATGTAATTCCATTTAAATGTTAGTCTCACTGTATTCTTTACTTAACTGGGTCTCAAAGGTAATTCATTTCCTTACATAGTATATATTTATCTGTTATTGTTTGCGTTCATTATTATGGTAGTTTAAAAACTTGTTTTTGTTTACCTGTTATGGCATTGCTATTTTAAAAGACAGTGTCAAGAGAAACTGCAGTATGGTGAAACCAGTTAATTTTCTTTTAAAATAAATTCATGTTTAAGATAAGTATCTTTTAAAGACAGGCACAACCAAGAATCAGAATAATGTGATTATGTAAAGTATCCATGAGAATAGCATTAAAGCATGTTGACTCATTTTCTGCCAAAATCAACCTTTAATGAGCATTGAGCATCAGGTTATTATATGATATTGGATTGCTCATGGTTTTCTTATTGTTTTTTTTTTATTTAAACTTAAGGCCTTTAAGAAGAAACCATACACAAGAAAACAATTATAGTCATTGAAATATCAACATATTTGTTGAGACATGTAATCATGTATGATGCATATCAGTTCAAAGTATTAGAAGTGAGCTGTGCGTTTGGAAGTTATTCACAGAACCAGTGTAAAATTTCCTTTTACTTTGGACATTTCTTTGCATCCCACTTAGTTGATAATGGCAATTCATTTCTGTGTATTCATCAAGCAAAAATCTTCCTGGCTTGAAATTCATTGTGTTCCAAAATAGTCTAATAGTTATAAGAATTCGAGACAATCAATATTTATTTTACTGATTTTTTAAATGACTAATTTTTTCCCCTTGTATTTTTTTAAATTTGCATTTTCTGCAGGTGCATAGGCTCAAGTATTGAAGACTGCATCGGCCTGATGGATAGGTACTTGGTGTGCTTGCTTCCCATGTTCTTCCTCCAAGGCTCCATGTGTGAGCACTGGTGCATGTGTGTGCATGTCACTGTGGATGGAGAATGATGTTTTCTGTTCTGTAATTGCCTGCAGGTGTAACGGTCCCACTAGTCATGACTGCATTTACTACCCATGGACGGGCCATTCCACTTTACCACAACATGCTAGGTAACATCTACCATGTTTCCATTTTGTCGCTCAAATCCTTTCCTAGTTATCATGAACAAAAAGTACTAACCAGTTGGGTTAAATTTATAATATATTGTAACTCATAATATATCAAATTGGAAAGTTTTGAAAGAGGCATAAAACACTTTCCTTCTCAAGCCAACTTTCTTACTTCTTTTTCCTTCATTCATTGTGATACAAGAGTCCCAGTTAGTAACACCATCGATTTCTTTTTTTTTTTTTTGGAGACCGAGTCTCACTCTGTTGCCCAGGCTGGAGTGCAATGGCATGATCTTGGCTCACTGCAACCTCCACCTCCTGGGTTCAAGTGATTCTCCTGCCTCAGCCTCCCGAGTAGCTGGGATTACAAGTGCCCACCACCATGCCTGGCTAATTTTTGTATTTTTAGTAGAGATGGGTTTTCACCATGTTGGCCAGGCTGGTCTCAAACTCCTGACCTCAGGCAATCTGCCTGCCTCGGCCTCCCAAAGTACTGGGATTACAAGTGTGAGCCACTGTGCCCGGCCTCGATTTTTAATTTGTGTAGTCTAAACAGGATTTTGAGTTATTAATATATACCTTTAATAGAATATTTTTTGCTCTTAATTCAATAGATGATTACAAAAATATTTATAAGTAAGGAATTTGCAGAAGTTTATTATTTAATTTAATTCAATTTCTGATTTTATATTATTTTTAAGTGGTTGGCATATTCTCTAGGTATAAGAATTAACATAAAGGCAATATAGAAAATATTTTGTGCAGGTAAAAGTATAACTTGGAATTTAAAAACAAAACGTAAGACTCATTCCCACACAAAAACCTATGTACTAATGTTTGTAGTGGCTTTTTCATAATCACCCAAAATTGGAAACTACTCAAATGTTCTTCAGTTGTGGCATATCTATATATTGTAACACTACTGAGCAATAGAATAAAAAGGAACAAACTGCTGATACACCCAACACCATGGATGGATCTCAAATATATTACACCAAGTGAAAGAAACCAGACTTAAAAAAAATACATACTGCATGATTCCATTCACATGGCATTCTGGAAAAGGTGAAACCATCAGGACAGAAATGTTGCCAAGAGCTGGAGATCGGAGGATAAGGTTGACTGGAAAAGGGAAGGAGATAATTTGAGGAGATAATGGAACTATTCTTCTATCTTGATCATGGCGATGGTTGTACAAAAGCATGTGCTTATCAAAAATTATAGAACTGTATGTTTTACTGTATATAAATTATACTTCAATCAACCTGACTTTTAAAATATCTCATAAAATATTTCCTATATAACATTACCATCTTATGTAGAGATATTGTTAGCTTTATTTATGAAATAATAAATCTCATCCTTTTAGGAGAGAGAAGGTAGTACTAAAGTTAACAAAATGGGAATTTTGGATGAAGAATACTTGCTTTTAATGTAAACTCTTGTATTGAAGCGTATATAGTGTGAAAGTACACAAAACATAATTGTAAAGCTCAGTGAATTTCCAAAAATGAAACATTTGTGTTGCCATTTACCAGATCAAGAAACAAGATGGCAACAGAGCCCTGGAAGCTACCTTGTACCTCATTCCAAGGGTAGCCACTGTCCTAAATGGTAATACCATAGGTCAGATTGCCTGGTTTTTCACTTTATATAAATTTAGTCATACAGTTTGTATTCTATGCATCTGGCTTCTTTTGTGAAATATTATATTTATGAGATTCAAATCTGTGTCACTGAATTTAGTCATAATTTCTTCATTCATATGTTATTGCCTTTACATGTTTTTAAAATAAATATGTCATCTTAATATATCATTTTTAATGAATAGAAAAATTAAATTCTAAAAAGAAAGCGAAGCATGTGCTAGAGTAAATTGATTTCTACAACAGTGGCACTGTGACACTTGGGCACAATCAAGACTAGTTAGTCTAGTTATTTCGAGCAAGGTAAAATTATGAAAAAATTAGAGAGAGGGAGAGAGTGCCGAAGGCCTAAACTATAGTTTTATAAGCCAGGGTTCATCTTAGATTGTTCCTATATTTATGAAAGAAATTTTCCTTCTTGAGACCCTGGCAGAGCAACTGCATTATCAGCTAGAACAGTTTTCACATTTGCTTTGATGATTTTCTTATAATTATGTAGTTATTCCAGTGGACTAGTTAGGGGTAATATAGTACAGTGGTTAAGTGTTCCGTCTTTAGAATCAGATTTTCTGAGTTCAGAGCCAGGCTCTACCATTTTTAGATGTGTGACTGTGGGTAAGTTCCTTAAATTATCTGAGCCTCACTTTCTTCATGCATAAAATGGGAATACTAATATAGTTCATAAATTGTAAGATTGAGTGTGTCCTTAGAACAGTGCCTGGCTTAGAAATCACTCAATAAGTGTTATTATTTATTATCTTTCTGTACATCAAAAATTCTCAAACCTTGAGGGTGAGAGAACGTGCTTCCCGGGGGAAGGAGAGAGGTCTTTAAAGCCACACCAGGAGCTTTGATCTGTACCTAAAGCCCTTTTGATGGGCCCCTTGAAGGAAGAGAGAGCATTTCTCTCTCTTCACCTTGAGAATCTCAATTACAATGTTGGCCACTGATACTAATTATGGTAGGTCATTGGCTGATATGTAGAGGCAGAGAAAGGTTAAAACCACACTGATAGATCACTTATAGTCCTTAATGCTTGTAATTGAGGTTATTTAACTCAAAATCATAGTGTATCTTGTTATAGATTTAATATTTTCAAAATTTAAACAAAAGCATGATTGGAATTCTCAATCCTTTTGCCTGCTTCGGTTTCCAGGACATATTCACTCTGAGATTCCAGTAATCTCAGACTAAAACACCTAATTCAGATTAGCCTTATCATAAATAGGTGACCATGGCCAGTCACTGTTTGTAGATAATACAGAAAGTACAGCCCATCATTCTTAAGAAGAATCACCTGTAGCCCACAATATAGGTAAAAAGCAGGGGTTCTTGAATGTCTAGGTTCAAATATTGGCTCCATGATGTTTTTTATCTGTAAAATGGGAATTATAATGGTCATTTTGAAACTGAGAATTCTTATAACCCTTAAGATTGGTGTGAAGATTAAATAATGCACAATAGCCAGCATACAGCTTATGTTTATTGGTGGTACTTACTGCTCCAGTTGAAATGTTGGCATAATAATCACTTTGAAAACCTCACGAAGTTAGTAATTTACATATCAACAGGGCGTTAATCCAGTAGGTTAGTGACTACAGGATTGATATATCAAAATTACTCAGGTTTTAAGCATTTCAATGTTATACCAAACTTCTAAGTACAATAATTTAAAATAATTCATAGCAATAGTTAATTGTTCCTTTTAGGAAACTCTAGATATCTTTCATTAACGCCTATTTAGAACTTAAATATAATGCAGTGTGACTCCATTCTTCACTTGCATTGACTTGTCAGAATCAATTGACTTGTGAGGGGATGTTTATGAGAAAGTTTGACATTTACATGAAGGATTTAGCCTGGATGCTTTGCAAAAGTGTGTATGATCATGGAACATTTTGATGCAGATTGGGTAAGATGTGAAAGTAACAAGTGTCTGCTTTTTCAGGTCTTCAGTATTGCAACAAATGCTTACCTCTCTGAGATGAGGTGGGTGTGTATTTCACTGAAAGCAGAGCGCTAATTTAATAATATTTTTAAATGTCATCATAGTTTTTCAAAGCATCTGTCAATTGATTGAAGTGAATCTTACATAATAGGAGGACAAAAACTACAAATGAAAATAGTTGTTTTGGGCAGGGCGCGGTGGCTCATACCTGTAATCCCAGCACTTTGGGAGGCCGAGGCGGGCAGATCACAAGGTCAGGCGAACGAGACAAGCCTGGCTAACACGGTGAAACCCCATCTCTACTAAAAATACAAAAAATTAGCCGGGCGTGGTGGAACATGCCTGTAGTCCCAGCTACTCAAGAGGCTGAGGCAGGAGAATCTCTTGAACCTGGGAGGCAGAGGTTACAGTGAGCCGAGGTCGTGTCACTACACTCCAGCCTGGGGGATAGAGCAAGACACTGTCCCCCTCAAACCCCCCCAAAAAAGAAAATAATTGTTTTGAGTTTCTTAAACCATATTTTAACTGGCGGATTATCCAAATGCCTAGTTTATTTTTAGTCACAGAAAATTACATTGAGCATGTCAATGTGGCCATTTCAAAATATTTAGTGTTCATAGTCCTTCCACCCCATTATATTGTATTCTGTTTCCCAAACCAGCGGGGCGGGCGTGGGGGGGGGCGGGTGCGGGGGGCGGGGGGGAAGATTTAAATGAAAGCAGGTGAAATGTTTCCAGTCTTGATCAACTTTCATTTTCTAAGCAATGTTATTCTTTCCCAAGCCTACAATGTATTAGTTGGTTTCCACACTTCATTTACATTATAGGCTGCTGCTGGAATTTCTTTCAGGAAGATTGGATAAGATAGAATAGAATTTCTTTTTTTACCTTTAGTCTCCTAGAATATGCTGCTTATAATGAAAATAATACTTGATATTTTAGAACCTCTCCCTACTTACCTTATTTGAATTAAGTGCCTTAAAAATAGTATTTGCCTTTGGTGGTTTTTCTTTTCCATCAAGAATCCTATAAAAAATATGTTTAGCAAGACTTTTTCATTCTTTTCTGTATATTATTTATTTTAGCTTGCATACATGCTATTTTCATATAGATTCTGATAGAATAGAATATTTGATTCTAATCCATTTTAGATTCTTTGTCAAATATATATCCAAAGATTTTTTTTTGTTTGTTTGTTTATTTCTTTTAATCTCAGTCTCCTATTCTATTAGGGCTGAAATTTGTTAATCTCAATAAGTCAAGTTTCCATTGGCAAAACATTTCTTTGTGTTAGTTAGCAGTCCATGTGTTAACTGACTAATAACTCTTCAAATTTGTGAAATCATTAAAACAGCTAGATATCAAGCATTTTTATCTAGTTACTTGCTCCAATTCAATTATTCTAGGTGCTTCACAATATAAAGTAAAGTAATTTGACTCAGTTTAACTATCTAAATCTCCTTTGGGCAGCTATTTGAAACATTTTATATTCTTGTCACATTTTAATGCCTGTGTCATACTTTTACTTTATGGTATAGTGGTTATTAAGTAACAGGTCACATAACAGTTTAATCCTTTAGCAGTGTGACCCATGTGTGATATATGAGAGAGATGATATGATATTCTTGGCACCACTTTCACAATTGGCACATTTTTTTTTCCTTGTTTGTTTTGCCCCCAAGGAACTTAAGTTCATAACTCATGTCCAAATCAAACAGTCAAAATCATCCATAGATCGTTACCTTAGATGAGTGGCAGTTGTATTATGATCCTTAAGTCCAATAAATAAAAGCACACAGCCCTTTATTATAAGTCTATCCTCAGTCCACTAAGTTCTTTATATTAAATTTACTTTGGAATTAAAGAGAGTTTGAAGAGGTGAAGGAGAGTGTGTGAATCTCTTCTTTTCCACATGACTTTTGTCCCAACTTCCCAGTAGCCATAAAATACCAAGGTTATCACAGAATTATAGGGGAAGAGCAAAACGTCTCAGCTCAGTTGTTAATTACTGTTCATACAGTTAAAGTGGTTACTTTAACAGAAGTATTTAGCGTCACAAAGTTGCAAAAGTGGCTTTTACCTTGATAGCAAAATGCTCAGACATTGT
Organism: Homo sapiens; assembly: GCF_000001405.40. Classification (NCBI taxonomy): domain Eukaryota; kingdom Metazoa; phylum Chordata; class Mammalia; order Primates; family Hominidae; genus Homo; species Homo sapiens. The sequence continues at coordinate 211,652,053 of NC_000002.12, read as the reverse complement.
TACCAAAGCTTCTAGAGACCCTAAAATGTTAATATTATACTCAAACTCACTGAGTGACTTACAGTATAATAAAATAGAACTTGAAGTATAATAAACAAACAAAACAAAACACAGTTCCACAGGTAAAATTACAGGCATGGCATAGCTGGGTTTTTTCCTTATCTTCTCACCAGGCTGAAATCAAGGTGCTGTCTGACCTGTGTTCTCATCTAGAGCTTGGAGTCCACTACCAAGTTCATTCAGGTTGTTGGCAGAACCAAGTTCCTTGAAGTTGTAGAACTGAGGCTCCCAAGTTATTGCTGACTCTTAGCCAGCCATGTGTATTCCTTGTCATGAACCAGCCCTTCCCACCCCACCCCCACCATCTTCAAAACCCAGCAACAGTGTTTCAGATCCGTCTTATTCTTTGAATCTCCTAGATTTTGTCTCTCTGACCAATAGACCCAGATATGAAGGCTCATGGAATTAAGTCAGGCCCTTGCTGATTGTCTTTCTATCTTCAGGTCAAGAAATTTGGGACCTTAATTACATCTGCAAAATCCTTTCACATCAGCACCTGGGTTAGAATTTAAATAAGTGGGAAAGGTATGTGTATATTTCAGTGGCTGTAATCCTGGGAGCAATTTTTGATTTCTGTCTAGCACATCTGCCTACCCTGGGTACTTGAGCATATAATATTTCCGACGGTGCCATTCTTATTTTTTCTTGTCCTGAAGGAAACTTGATTATTATTCTGTGTGTCATGCAACTTTGCCATATAAAGGCACATCTATGTATGAGAGATCAATTGGTTAAACTATCTTCAAATAATGTATTATCATATTCTTGTCCTCAAAGGCCCTAGAGCAAGCAATAAGGTATTATCTTGGAACTAAAACCAGGGTTCTCTTTGTACATTTATATACTGTAAGGTAAGGTCTCAGTGTCCATGTTGGTTCCAGGTGCTCATGCTGCATTATTGTGCAGTACCTCACAAACAGAATCCTGATTAAAGTACTCCCTGGTTAATATAAAATTTGTGGCCTTTTCATTAAGTCATCAGACCTGTAAGTCTCTCTCAAGATTGCTCTAGACCTGCACTGTCCAATATGGTAACCACTAGTCACGTATGGCCATTAAGCACTTTCAGTGCAGTTAAAGCAAATTGAGATTCTATGTAATTGTAAAAAGTACACTGGATTGTGAAGACTAGTATGAAAAAGGGAATATAAAATATCTTATTAATAATGTGTTATATCAGTGACACGTTGAAATGTTAATAATATGGGTATATTGGGTAAATAAATACAATTAATTTCATCTTCTTAAATATGTCTGCTAGAATACTTTCAATCACTTATTTAGCTTGTATTATAGATCTATTGGACTGCACTGCTCCAGCCCAGTCATCATGAAACTTTGATTTAATATTCAATTTTGGTAATAGTTTTACACAAAATAAGAATAGTAGAGGGAATGATATTGCATATTCACAGAAGGGTGTTTATTTCATCAGCTTCAATGGGTTACAGATGGGATGAGTTAGACAGATTCGAGGAAAAACATCTGTTTGCCTGAACCCATTGCATATACCTGTATATTTATATGTGCACACAGATCTTATAAACTTCTATAGGAGAAGACTAAATTATGATAATTTGAGTCTGCATTTAGAATTCCCAGTATGACCTACTTTTAAAATTGAAAATTACTCAAAGGGTTGGAATTATATTTCATAGATCTTAAATTTGTTTTATAGCCCATATTTTAATTAAAACATTGTTTCAGTTTTTATAAATGAACAATACTTAACCAAAAAGATTTCTTAAGTAGAGATCAAAGTTTCTGTTTTTATGCCTGCCATATATTTAGAAAAGAGTTGAATTTATTTCACCATGTAATTTAGGCATATATTGTATTAGATCCTAAGTAAGTACCTTTTTTCATATTTTCTATCTAACTAGGGGAATATAATTAACTGAGACCCCCTTCTGTGATGTGGTTACATAAAATGATGTGTAGATATTAATTCAAATTGCTCTCTTCATGCCTTTTTCTTATTACCTCAGCACATTCCCTAATTAATCATTTTTTCATAAACATACAATTATTCTTCTGTACTATGTATATAGGCAGGAGCTAATTAGCAGAGAGTGCTTTGATTTATCAACAAAATTCCATTACAGTGATTTCCTTCTCTGCCATCATCTACCCTTAAACCCAAAGAGGTGTAATTTCATTGTAATTTTGCAGTAACTCAGTACTAAAGAATGAATGATAAGGAAAGGGAACCTCACCTCTAATAAACTCTGAATGCTTGTAGCCATGTAAGTTTTATAGCATTCTGTTCTTCTGCTCAGAGTAAAGTGTTCCATATGCTTGAGTCATTTATGGAATAATTATAGTTACTTTTAGTAGAGTAAAAATAAAATAACAACAAAAACCTTTTACCATAAAAAATTTACTTGTTGAGGGAAAAACACCATGTTTTTTCCTGAACAGAGCAAGATAAATTTACAAAGCAACTCCTTTGTTCAATCTCTGACCCCGAAATCCGAGAGTTCAAATCCCAGAGAGAATAGCTATATTGTTCTACACACCAGGAAAGAAAGGACCAAAGGGAAAACCAAAACATCAGTTTTTTATTTCTTTCTCAGAGTACTGATGTCTTTTCCAAAATCTTATATTTAGCTAGGAGCTTGTTTTTGCCACCTTTAGAAAATCCTAATATGTATCTATATCAGGTATGCTACACTGTGACATTGAATATTTATGACAAGCATATAAAAACAGTAGTCACTATTGCCATTCATAAATGATGAAACAGACTTAGAGTCATTCAGCAATTTACAAAAAAATCGCTCAATGTCTTTCTCTTAGTTTTAATTTTTAGCTATTAAGCCTACTTCTGTGTAGGATTTTATAATGCAGTTCTCACACAGAGTATTTTATCCTGGACCAATAAATTCCATGATCTAAGCGTGTACTCCTATAATTGTAGATAATGTAACTTTTTAAATACATCAGATAAACTAATCTAAGACATATATGAACAAACATAGGCACAGTTTTAAAAAATATTTTCTTAAGTGAGAGTTATTTTAAAATTCTGCAGAGATTTGAAAAACAAAGTTGTGGTTTCGTATGAGAACAACTTTCACCTGTTCCTAATTGCATTAATGCTACCATCCCCAGCCTCCCTCATCAAAAGTACAAGTAAGAATTCAAATTTCATGGACACTAAAATAAAATAAAAGACAATATAGTGCTGGACTTTGGCAGCCACTTCCTTGTTGTCACTAGATCATACTGTAGGATTTATGGGATTGGGAAAAATTGATTGGAAGTAGTAACGATTTTAGGTGATAGGTTATGAATCTTAGATTGTGTATCATCTGGCTCTGGTTGTTTCGGTAAAAAGTGATTTCTCCCAAGAAAAATTCTTCCCACTGTTGATACAGTCAAACATACCATATTTTATTTGTTTTTAACAGGAGAAAACAGAACAAAACACAAACCCTCCTCCATATATGTTATTTCACAATATGCAGCCAGTAAATATTCATTGTATTTACTACATGTCAAATGTTGGCTAAGATACTGAGGAAAGAATAGAGAGAAAAGTTAACGTAATTCCTAATATCATAAAATCCATTGTGTAGGGAAAGAGAAAATATTATTTAATATTATTTACATGCATTTACATTAATATTATTTACATGCATGATTATTTATTATGAGGGAAATTATAAATGAGTATGTGATATGCAGATGGTAAGAAAAGAAAAATACAACCAATGACACCTGGGTTTTTGTCCTGAGTAACTGGCTAAGAATGATGTCATAAACTGAGATGGAGAAGACTCAAAAGAAAATGGAACAAATTTTATGAGGAAAATAAAAAATTCTGTTAAGGTATAACAAATTGGAGACGTTTATTTGATATTTGAGTGAAGATTTTGCATAGGCAAATAAATATAATACTGTGGAGCTCAAGGGAGGAGTCTGGGTCATCAAGCATATTTAAATTCATTACATTAAATGAGATTCCATATGTAGAAAGTGTAGATGGAAAACTGCACAAGCCTTAGAATACTCCATAATTTGTATGAGCAGAACAGAAGAGAAAGGTATAGTACGGCAAAGGAAATTGAGACAGACTGAATGGAGGTAGGAGGAAATCAGGTAAGGTGAAGCCCTGGACGCCAAGTAAAGAAAATGTTCTAGAAGGGAGTGAGTCCATATGCTGATTGGGAAGCAAGTATTGACCTTCTAACTTAATCGTTTGTTGGTAATGTAAATATTTAGTATTATCAATGTGAATGGCTGGCTAAAACTATTGGAATAAGTAATCAGGGAATTGGGGAGCCAGAAATTCGAGTGAATGGAGAGAAGTGTTAAGATTCAAAAAATATTTAGAACTTAAAATGTAATACCATACTTAGTGATTAACTGGATATGAAGGAATTGGGATAAGAAACTGTTAATCATTTTTTTCTAGGCTTCTGGCTTGCAAAGTTGGATGGATGGGGGTAACATTAACTGAGATTTCTCACAGTAGAAGGGTGCTAAATTAGTCATCCTGTGTTTAGTTTCGGATGTGTTGAATTTGCAGTGACTTTGACATATTCAGTGATGCTAAATGGGAAATTTAATATACAGATATGGAAGTTTCTCCAAGTGTTGATATCTTTTGAGAAATGTAGATGAGAGAGAAGAGAGAGAGACTGGGAAATAGTTGGACTGGGAATAATATCAAGAGAAAGATATTTTGAGAATGGGTGAAATTTTGAGTCTGTTTTGGAAGATTTTATAGAGTGTGAGAGGTTGGAGATACAGGAGAGAGAAGAGATTATTAATTATAACAGTTTCCTGAAAAAAAAGAAGAGTTAAGAGGAAAAGAACATATGAAAGGATTAGTCTTAGAGAAGTCTCCCTCCTTCATTATTTTATTGAGAGAAAATAATTACAGGATAAAGATACAGATAAATGTATAACTTTGGTAAGAAAAGGTTGAGTTTATGTAAAATTCTAAATTCTCTTTGAGATTGTAGATGAAATCATTTTGCCCAAAGGGAGGAGACGTACAGGTATGAGGAGACAGATGGTCTGGAATATTAAATCCAAATATAAACTGGGCTAATTTTTGCATTTAAAATATTCTGACATTAATCCACAAATCATCAATAATTTGCAATGTGTTGCTTTACATGTTTCTAACTTGAAGGTCACCCTATTTTGCTTTTGCATGGAAAATAGCAGGTTGTGGTTTGCTCTCAGTGACTCTAGACTCATTAAATTAGAAGACTGTTAAATACATAATCAGAATCTAACAGCATCCTGTATGTGTTCTGAGACATTAACAAATTTCAATACCTGTTGCGTTAATTGCAAAATGCTGATATATAACAATTACTCCAAATCACATCATTACTACAAACATCAGCAGTTATGCAGCTGTGCAAGTACAGATTACTAGTAAATCAGTACATCATGAAATATTTTTCCTATTTCAGTTTTTATATGCTTTCAAATAAGAAATTATGATGGAATTCCCTTACAAATAAAATTTCTTTGGCTTCTGAATGTACTTATGTAACTAAATTTATCTTCAAGCAATGGTTCTGGTCTTAGTGATTTGTCCCATATGCCTTTCTTTTAAATCCAAAGCAAGTAAATGTAGAATTCATCATCCTGATAGTTAAAGCTCACCAGCTCATCATATTTTAGGTATTTTTCTTTTTTCCCTCTTTCTGTTTTTTAAGATTAATTCTTTTTTAAAATATATTTTTAATAAAATTTAAAATTACAAAAGTAATACATGCTTAGAGTATTAAATAGAAATGTATATGTTATGTCTATGTATTAGTCCTTCCACACATTTCTCTACATACTAATACATATATACGATAATAAGGGTTTTTCTTTACAGATTAGGGAGCATACTCTACACATTATTCAATAACTTACTTTACTCACTTAATAGTACTTTATGGACAGCCTTCCAGATCAACAGACATTACCCCTTTTTTATGATTGCCTAGTATTCCCTAGTATCAGTTTACCACCAACTCCCTATTGAAAGATAGGCTATTCCTACGTTTTTGCCTTTTACAAATTATAAAATAAATAACATATATATGTGTGTGTATCTGGCATTAAAAAAGTATGTTTAGCTAGGGATTAATTAAAATACATGAAAATATTCAAGTTTCTTATTCATATATGTGAATTGCTATTCAAAAAGTCAAATAGAAAACACATTAAATATTACAGAAGTTACAATGTGAGTTTAAAAACATTTGAATTATAGTGTCATTATAAAATACATAAATTTGTAACAGATCATTATCTTTCATACCTTTCTAAAATTAGACAGGTTCCATCAAAGTACGGCTGCAAGTTTTTCACCAAAAGTTGCCAAAGACTGAATAACTTAGAAATTTCTTCTAATGAGTTTATAGTTTCATTTATGATGCCATTAATCATGTTATACAGAGATCTTGATGGATAAAGAAGTTTAATTAACTTTTCCAAAGTCTGTTGATTTATTAATTGGTTTCAAGTAATCCTAGATGGTCAGCTATAGATATATGTATCTGTAATATTTCAACATCATTTATTTTTATGGAGGAATAAGAATATATATATATAAACAATTCACAGGATGGCTTTGATCCTATATAGTTTTGAAATTATAAATAATATTTATAGAATAACTTAGTCATAGCAATGCCTAATCCTTTTATAAAACACTAAGAATAGATTGTGAGGGCTTCTCCCTCTCTGTCTTTCTCTCTCTCTGTCTCTGTCTCTCTTTTTCTCTTTAAGTTACTGCAGATGTCCTTACTTGATAATAAAGGATAACTGGCATGAATTTTATGAGAAAGTACCCATTGCATAGCATCTTAAATTTACACTTTTGTTCTCTAGAGTCGTTTGTTTTTGACTGTTTGCAAATAGCTAAATACTAACATACTTACTTAGTGATCCCAATAAATACTCAAGAAGAGATGTTAGTGTTTTCCAGCAACTAACTCAGTGCCAGAGGGTGAATTTAGGACCCAATAACTGCTATCTCTTACTCTCCTCCCCCGTGGCTCTAAGAAAAACTTAGATTTTGCATAAACTCAATTGGCATGATTGTAAGTAAAGATAAGTCATTTGCTTAGATAATTTTCTAAATGCAAAAATAAAGATATGCAATCTGAAAGCTTTAAAGACTGAAAAGAAGAAAGTCTATAGATATACTTCATTTAGCAAATTTAAAAGGGAAGCGTTATGTTTATTCCAAATTACTTTTAGATTATTTTCTTATGACCATTTACAAAACAAAGAGATTTTAAAAGATCTTCTGCTGGATGTCCATAAACAATACATAGCATTACATATGGCTGATTGTTAATAGTATACACAATTTTAATAATAAAAAGTAAAGAACAGATTGGAAAATTAATATTCTAGCTTGGAGGAGAATGTTTCATGTAGATGTGGGTTTTTTCCTTAGTAGTAATGATTTATTTTGCATGTAAATGAAATGGTTTCAGGCAAAGTATAAAGTTGTCTTGGCATTATATTATTTCAATGTTGTTTGAAATGCTTAGGTTCGATTTTTTTTTTCTCTTACATTATCTGGAGGCTGTGAATCTGTATTCAGAGCATCTGCCGAATCATAACATCGCCTAGGCAATAGCTTTTGAAAAAAATGGGTTTCCCCATAATTAGAAATGTGTTCTAATTAGGGGTTGGGTGTTTATATAAGTTTAGAAAGGAGTTATATTACTAAACATTGTTATTAAATGCTTTCAAATGTGTTTTTGTGAATTCAGTCACAATAAACCTCCTCTTAGAATATAAAAACTAATCAATTCTAAGTTAAAAACATAATTTAAAATGGGGTGCAATGACCAAAAGCCTCTGTGAAAGGAGGGTTTGTTTGTCTTTTCGCCAAGTCCCCTGTGGAGGCAGAAACAGTCTCACCCTCTCATTTTTTCCTTGGGTTACTTCCAATCTACTATGGATCCAGAAATTAGAAAACTTGGATGTTCTTGTTTTGCCAAATTAAATGCTAATGAAGACCTGTGTTTCTTCATGTTCTCTTTATTGATCTTTCAGTACATATTTGCTTGAGGTGTGTAAGTTCAGGAAACATTTACTACTTTTGAATTTTATTACTGCTTGGAAATGGATGACACATAATATCCTGTCTATTACAGCACATATAATTCCACAATTCAGAGACAGCATCCTTGAGGAAGCTCTACAAGCTTCTACTTAGTGTTACTTACAAATGTGTGAGGCACTTCCTCCCACCCCTGTCCCCCTCCAATGTAAGCATTCAGAAAAGTCTGATACACGTAAAGCCTAGTCAATGACCAGAAGAGTAGGATGATGAAGCAGATGTAATAGAAGCACCAGAGATAGTAAGTGTTAACAAGAAAGGAAAGGGCCATTGACTTCATTTATGTTTTTAAAAATGCAAATATCTTGAGATGATGCATTTGACAGTTAAAATGCAAGAAAAAAGGAAAAGTGAAAAATTTGGACATAGTCACTTTTCATACGAACTTTTCAGTTAGTATCTTCCTTGCCTACAAGTAAAAAAAGTAATGGCTTCACCCAATAGTTTTAGGTGTTATTCTATTTCATAACAGTAGTCTAGAAATGGCATAGCTGTTGCCATGGGTTTCATGGATCAGTAACAACAGGACCAGAACGTATATCATTTTATTATCTTTCTGTTTTGATAGTACACTGAGTGCCACAGCTCTAAGCATTAGATCCAAGGACAGAAGTAGAGGGATAGGCTTCATCAGCTCTACCTGTTCTTTTCCAGAATTCCCTATGGTCAACCTTTGCTTTCATTTCATTGGCAAGAATTTTGTTGTATGTTTACACCAAGATGCAGAGAGACTGAGGAAGTTGTTACTTAACGTTTTAAAAATCACTAGTGTGTTAGGGGTAATGGAGTAGGAACAACTGTTGCTTCAGTCAGCCTGGGACTTGGACGCAGTGTGGTGAGGGTGAGGGATAAACTAAACTAAAACCAGCAAAGAAAAATAACTTGTCTCAGGATTAGTTTCACTGCTTTTAGGAGAAAATATTATTTTACCAATTACTACGAAAGCTGGAATAAGCAAATGTTAAACACGTATCAGCTTCATTTCAGAGAAGCCTTACATAAATAACTCTTCTCATTTTCTTTCCATTAAAGATATTTTAGAATTATGCTTTTGTTAAGTTTAAAAACATATAGGGAGCTCTGAGATTGTTGTTGGATATATGTGCTTTCAAGGGTTGATTTAAGATAAAAAGTTTGTAAGTATTTATGGAAGTAAACTTTCATCCAGTTATTTCTTCATGTAACAGCTATTTAGTACTTCTTTTCATGAGACAATAAACTAGACTCTAAAACATATGAAAGTGTTTGTGGCAAAATTCTAGCACTTAAAGGACTTATGTTTGAGCTTATAAAAATAGAAATTCTTTTATTTTACCTTTAATCTCTGAATATGCTTGCTTATCATTACATAGATAAAGAGATGGATGGTACATCCTGTCTAGGGCATAAGTAGGAAAGTAAAGAAATCCAATGATTGAGTCCTGAGGCTTTCCTATATTTAGAGGTCAGGGTAACACGGAGCAAATAGCAGAAAATGAGTGAAAAGGACTGACCAGACAGGGAAGAAACTAGGGAAAGGATGGCTTTCAAGGGAGGACAGTGTTTCAAGAAAAGGGAACTGATCATTTATATGAAAATCTACCACCAGGTTGATTAAGATTAGCTCTAAGAAATTACTTTTTGATTTGGCAGCAAGAAAACCATTGGATGACCTTGATAAGAACCGATTTAGTGAAGAGACAGAGACTAAAAATGTGATGAGAGTTAATTCAAGAATTAAGAGAATGGAAATAAAATGATCAGTTTTAGACAAACTGTTTAAGAGATAAATGCAAAGAAAATATTCTGCTTTTTCCAAAATTGTTCCAAATACTAAAGAGTCACATCAAGTGGAAGAATTGCATTTTTAAGAACTCATTATTACTTAAAATATCCCACTTAACTATTTCATTCACTTTATAATAATTATTGATAAACTTCTTAGACAATGTTATTAGAGTGATAAAACAAAAAAAAAAATTAGAAATGATGGTCCTAACCTCATGGGGCTTATAATTTACTTTGAAATAGAAAAGAATCCAAGAAAGCATAATTATAAATACCTAAATCAAGTTTGGTCTAGTAGTGTCTAAGACACATAAGTACTAAAAACAAATATTCTTGAAACCACGATAGCAAAATGGAATGAATTGAGGTCAGTCACAGAGATGACAATAAAATTGAAGCCACTTATTAGTACTTACAGCTTTGCATCTGGAACATAAGGTTTCTTCTATAAAAACTACCAAATTATAAAAGAATATGAAGGGGACTCTTTTGGAGTATCTATGTTTAATTGTCTTTTTCAATTAAATAATTTTCTTTAAGCTTTAATATTTAATGTCAAATTTTAAATTCTCCAAATGGGGGATGGCATTAAGGCACAAGAATTAGCAATGAGATCTATGTAGCCTTACTAAGGCATCTGGCTCTAGCATGTGTTACCCAAGGCAAATAGCACTATGAACAGGTTTTTTAAATGTATTAAATATTTTTAAGGTTTGTTCCTCTTGCAAATGATGATCTCAAAAGGTCAGTAAAAAGATAAGAACAAAAACAGATTGGAACAGTAGAATTTATCTTGATGAGATAAGTGAAACCGCATAAAATGATATAGTCTATCAGCAAAACAAAAGGGACAGGGAGAGGAAGTAGAAAAGAAATAAAGCCCCTTTAGCCACATTTTTCTTCCTTTGCATTTTGAATGTTCCTAGAGAATAAATAAAGTACTAGAAAAACTTAAAGGGAATGGAATGGAATGTTGTCTGTGACTCACTTTAATTAAAAATGTGAAGCTATTAATAAAATCAACAGGTATGGGTCTTGAAATTACAAGAATAACAAATATGTAAAGAAATTGTAAAAGTTGAATGAAATGATATAGATTTTGGATACCCTTTAGCACTTCAAATCCATAGATCAAAAAGAACTAAAAACTTCTCCCTTCTAATTGTCTGTCTGCTGATTTCTGCACGTCCCTTTAAGGCATCATCGGCCTTATTATATTCCCATAGGCATGGGAGTCTAGTCACTTTTGATGCCTGCTTTTTCTCCACTGTTGAGGTTATACTTTTTATCAGTTTTGCTGCTGTTAATACATTTTCTCACCATATCTCCTTTTAAACTTTCCTAATCTGTCTTTCACTATTACTCATGAGGACTTTTAAAACAGTCAGCTAAACTAATTTTCTTGCATATCTTTTCTTTTTCCTGCTTATCTATCTTACAACTTTCTACCAGAATAATTTTCCTAATATAACCGCATAATTATATTTTAATGGAAAAAGGATTTAGAGAAAAATATACTAAGAGTCTAGGCTTGACTATCCAGTTAGAATGCTTCGGACCTTGGACAAGTTGTATAACCTACTTCAGATTCACCATACATCAATAATCAATTATATTGGAAGAGTTATTTGACATAACACATATAAAATATCTAGGAAAAGGAGCTTTGTTCATTAATCCTGCAAGAAATGTCCAGTGACTCTAGATAGATGTCCAAAAATCCTGGTATTTTTCCCACAACTGTATTCACTTCTTAAAGTCTTTTCCCATCTCACTTCATTCAAATCTTCAGTAGGCTGCAAGGCCACCAACTCCCCGATGAACACTTGTAGGTCTCCGCAGCAGGAAAAAGGGCTACCAGCAGGCCAATGTAAGTAGAAAATACATCATCTGAATAAAGAGTAGTGATACTTCCCAAGAAAGATACTTCCTTAATCCCTCTTTGTTAGCATTTTATTTTTAAAAAAATCTTCTTTCAGTATAAAACAAGGATTGGGGAATCTAAAGTATAGTTAAAAAAAAATCAAAAATGCTTTATATACAGAATTGACTATCAAGGAAACAAACAAACAAACCAGGCTATTACTTTAAAAATGTTTTCAAGGCTAGACTTGGTGGCTCACAGCTATAATCCCAGCACTTTGGAAGGCCGAGGCGGGCAGATCACCTGAGGTCAGGAGTTCGAGACCAGCCTGGCCAACATGGTGAAACCCTGTCTCTACTAAAAATACAAACATTAGCTGGGCATGGTGGGGGGGTGCCTGTAATCTCAGCTATTTGGGAGGCTAAGTCAGGAGAGTCGCTTGAACTCCGGAGGTGGAGGTTGCAGTGAGCCAAGATGGCGCCACTGTACTCCTGCCTGGGGAACAGAGTAAGACTCCTTCTCAAAAAAAAAGTTTGCAAACCCTCTGAAAATGAGATTGCTCTGTATCTGTCTTATGTAGTTGTGTACAATAAGCATGACAGAAATGTGTATGCTTAATGCTTCGATAGATAAAGGTAGGTGCAATTTATACATAGAATATATTCTCTGTTAACAACTAATTATCTGAAATTATAGTGCATAGAATGAATGGAGATTTTAAGGCGAAGAAAACTTTTTAAATATGGGAACAAGAATGGTGCCAGCCATGATTTATCCCTCTCCCACTTTTCTTCACAGAGCAGTGTTTATGTAATACTTTCTGCTCTATTATGAAACTTAAATTACTTAGCATGCTGAACAATTTTGGTACCTAATGTAACTGAAGTTGTAAGAACTGAATCCTGGACATTTAAATCTTTTGCTCTATTGCTTCATATTACCTTGTCCATATAATGAATAAGTAATAGGACATAGTGATACTTAACGGTTAATTTGTTCTGTAATTAAATATTTACAATATTCTGTTTGTGTCACAAAACATGTCCTTATATATATTCTATCTAGATAACAGTATATAAACAATAATAAAGTTACTGTATTAGTATGGTATATAGATATATGATATTGTATAATAGGTATAAACTGTGGAAGAATTAATAAAAGCACCAAAACTTCATCTGACCTCTTAAAAACCCTGTTAAAAGGAAAGTTCTTCCTGGCGTAATTCGTTTTCAACACTTTAGTTGTAGAAAATCCTGGGTGTAGAAATTCCTAGATAGATTATATATATTCTGAGGATGGTGTCCTTAACATGAGAATGTTTGCCAGAAAGTCAAGTGTATAAGTTTATGTACTTCCCCAAAATTTGATAAAACAAACAAAAGCCCATAGATATGTGTAAATGTTGCCTGTAAAGAGAAGGAAGGTTTGCTCTGAAACTACTTGAAATTTTTTCTCAGAAGCTGATCTAGATATAAAAGGATCAGATTATATTTACATATTCATTTAATGGCAATATCTCTACTGAAGTACTTTTGCAACACTGTGTTATCGAATGAAATGTTGCATTCACATATTGAAAAAAAGATTGATTTTAACACATAAAGCCGAGTCAAAAAACATTCAAATTTGCTTAGGAAGGGGGACAGTACGTTCTGATTCATTAGCTTCAGCACTTACAGTTTTGGTCATATTTGAAATGTAATAGAGGAATCTTGAGCCTTAATCAAAGGACAGAGACCTATTGTAATACCCCAGGTCTCGTCAACCAAAAACTGTAAGATCACTTTCATTTGCTCAAAAAGAAAAGATGTGTCATGTTTATAAAGCAGGTTGAATTCTGGGTCAGAATAAGCACTACTTGTAGGAGAAAAAGAACTCCCTTAATGTAGCTCTCCTTGCCCCAGGCAGTAACCCTTAAAATGTCTTCTGGGGAATTTCAATGTTTCCTGGTGTTTCAAGGTCTCTTGTTTCAAATCTGAACTGTTTTGGGGAAGGCTGAACAGAGTAGCAGTACAATAGGTACTGTCACTGTAATAATAGATACTGCTCGTCTTTACCTTTCTTAAAGGAAATCCCATATAAGTTAAAAAAAAAAGAAAACCATTTTAACTGTTTTCTCACTTTGAAAACAAAATGAAGCTAAAAGAAGAAGAATGTCACTTATAAACTTTACACCCAAGGATATAAAGGATTTAATAAAAGTAAATCACAATGAATATAGCAATACAGATAAAATGATAGTCGAAAGAGAAGTAAAATATTAAGATATAACTAAATATAAAAGTTCTATGAAAACCCCTAAATAAATTTATGTGCATTTTGTATTCTCTACTATCAAGCATAGATATTGAAGCAAAACCTGAATAATGATATTTGTGTAAATATATCATCTTTAGAAAGAGAAAAAATACAATAGGTGAAAGTTTAATGGACTTGAGACTCCAATACATAAAATGTTAGCATTACTATTTATATTTGATGTTATCCAGGCATCTTTTCTATTTTCTTGTATTTAATATGGAGTTTACAAGATATGTGTTACATCGTTATTGTGAAACTATACAATGTATGTAAAAGTTAAATTCTAATTATAAAATATACAAGTATTGGAAATTATTAGAATGGAAAGTTCACATTCAGTGGAGCTAAATGATTTAAATTTAAAAGTAGTATATAGGATCAAAAAAGCCTTTGGTTTACCTCTATGAAAGGGAATGATTTCTAAGAAAATATGACATTTTCATTTTTATTAGATTATTTCCCATTGAAAATAAGTGCATTGCTAGTGACACCCTGTGTGCTATAAAACCTGTGAGAATCTGATGGCTGTCAAATCTTGTCTTTCTCTTATGGAAACAGACCTTTTGCTATGTTTAAATTATATACATAATTAAGAAAATATTGAAAACGTTATTGTTTTCAAAGCTATATTCCTTGCCTCAGTTGGTAATTGTGAATGAATTATAAGAATTTGATTTTAATAGAGAGTCAATAGGTTTTTGATCAACTACATTTTTCTTACAGCAAGAACACTTTACAAAACAGAATATACCCCTGAGCATACATTTGTCCTCTGGGTCATGATAGACTTATGCTTTCATCTGTAGCCACTGTAAGATTTTCAGAAGAAAGATAGGATATAGGATGATGGCCAATGTTACCTAATTATATTTTTAAAATGAAATATAACTTTATAGAGAATTGTAACATTTGACCCTAGTTTGTGAAATATACATTTAAGTTACATATACATTCATAAAATGCAGTAATTAATTTACTTTCCCAGAAAGTAAAACTTGCTGAAAATAAAACTAAGACACTTTCGTGTGAATGTGTATATATGCACACACCTACACATACTCATGGGTTTTATAGCACAACAGAGTGTCATTAGCAATGCATTTATTTTTGATGGGAAATAATCTACTAAAAATGAAGATGTCAGATTTCATAGAATTATTCCCTTTCATAGAGGTAAACTGAAGTTTTTTCGATCCTATATACACATACACACATACCCCAACATACACATTTTAATATAGAGATATAGATAAATACTTATTAACTCTGGGTATCCTAAATTCCTTTAGATTGGGCTAAATGTAGGATAAACATTTGATTTATTGCTCACATAGAGGCACTTTGGAGAGTAAAAGTGGCATTATTGATTATTAGACTGGCATAAACTAAGACCGTCCTGGCCAAAATGGGATGAATAATTCCTAAACTTCAAGGTGTTTGATTTAATGATAATGCTAGAAATGATCTTGAAGCAAATTCATTAGATACTATGAATGTAAACATGACTATATAATTTCCTTCTGCATTTATTTTTTGTACTAGCTTAGGTAAAGAATGTATTTGTGTATATTTAAGCTATTTGATAGAGGCAGTAAACTCACAATTGGTTAGAAGTAGACATATGATTAAAACTTAGATTTGCCTGGCTCCAAAGCATCTTTCTGCCACAATAAGGAAAAGTCATACAGAATTTGAAAGATTAACACAAAGTAGTAATGTTGGAGATACTGTTTTACCATGTTTTGCAATTTGCAAAGTTTATTTTACAAAAAAAAATCCCTGTTAAATTTATCTGACTAGCCTGTCTTTGTTTGTTTTTCCTTCTTATATACTTTTTTTTTAAAAAAACACACACACGCATTTTCAGTTTAACATTTAGTGCCCATAGATAAGCAAGTGAAGCAGGTCTACATCTGATGCAACAAATCCTGAAGACCTTTCTTCAAATTATTTAGTTTAATCTAAAAGCTTCTAAAAGTGAAAGTCTTTGATTCATAGTCAATACTATGAATTGCAAGTATACCATCAGTGTTTTATAGGACTACAGGTTGTTTTATCTTTAGTTGAAAATTATTCTGTATTCAAAAAAGTAAAGAAAATACACATATATTCAAAATTTAATAAACCTTTTATTTGGTGACGAACTTACCTTTAAAAAAAGGTAGAATCATAGAATTAACATTTATTGCAATATGCATCAAAATACCAGTTTCGCCAATTAAGAAAATACTATTGTTCCTTTTTAAAAGATAGCCAGTCCTTATAACATTAAATAGAAAGAGTATAACAAAATAGTTTTTTAAAACATTTGAGTTTTAATCATGAATTATATTGACTTTATTACATTTTTTTTGTGGTCTGACATCTGAAAAGAAACTGATCAATGGGAGAAAATATCCGGATGTTTTTAAAACTAAGGTTTCATGTGTCCTCTCACATTTTATATTCTGCATGAGAGAAATAGCATGGTCCAAATATAGTAATTAAGAATATACATATTTTAGATGAGTAATATAGCTTGGAAAGATGCTGCTCTTTTATAAAACAATTGCATTCAAGTCAGTAGAATTTAATCCATTTCATTGTCTCTGAATTTCTAAATGAAATTATGAAAACCAAATCATTTGCTTTTAAATAAATTAGCAAAATTCGTTTGTGATTCAGAATCCCTGTGAGATTAGTTTCTTCAGTAGTGGGAGGATATCAGTTTCATAATACTATTTCCAAGTCACAGAATAAGGTAAACTATCAATTGATCGTATCCTTTTAGTCTAAGCTTGGACTTGATCTTAGAAATTTATACTTTAGGGGGTCTCAACCATTTTTAATGGACAGCCAAAAGACAAGACAAAAAAATTGCAATACTCCTGTTAAAGATAAGGAATCAGAGTATTCTAGATCCCTTAGTATTTGAACCTTGTGATCTCATAGTGTCAACTGAGCCTCTTATCGCTTCCGCTGATTCACATACAAGATTCACATTCAAGGCCTGGAGTGGTGGCTCATGCCTGTAATCCCAGCACTTTTGGAGGCCAAGGCGGGCAGATCACATGAGGTGAGGAGACCAGACTGGCCAACATGGTGAAACCCCATCTCTACTAAAATTACAAAAATTAATTGGGCATGGTGGCAGTCACCTGTAATCCCAGCTCCTCCAGAAGCTGAGGCAGGAGAATCACTTGAACCTGGGAGGTGGAGGTTGCTGTGAGCCAAGATCACACCACTGCACTCCAGCCTGGGCAACAACAGAGCAAGACTCCATCTAAAAAATAAAAATAAAATAAATCACATTCACGCTCAGAAACAGGTTGGTTGGTAATAGCCATTATCATCATTAGACCAAGGAGAGATGCACAGCCATTTAAAGAAGTAACTTAGGTTGCTATTTCCTCTCTACCCAAAGGGTCCTCATAAAAGGAGCTAAGCATAAATTCTCAGGAAAAAAACAAACAAGAAAAAGATATCTATCCTATACTTACAAACATCTAGGAATCATAAAAATTCAGAGGAGTAAGAAATGTGAAAATAGTATTAACTTTTCAGATTATCTTGGTTTATGGTACATAATGTTAACTGTAAGAAACATAATAGTAATCAAATGTCTCAGACATATCAAACTATAATGAATAGAAAATATACACAAAAGTACTTAGATTGTAAAAGTGGACAGGGAATAACAAAATGAAATCTTAATTGAAAAAAAAGCAAAGTAAACATTCAAGAAAAAGAGAACAAGGCCATTATTACAAAGCTAAACTTTTAGACAATGATTTTTTCTTCTGCATTTTTCTTGAATTTAATAAACTTTTATTTCAAAAGGAATATAAATGGATCATAAAAAATTAGAAAATACTCATTGCAACCTTCACTTCCTGGGTTCAGGCGATTCTCCTGCCTCGGCCTCTGGAGTGGCTGGATTTACAGGTGCATGCCACCACGCCCAGCTGATTTTTGTATTTTTAGTAGAGATGGGGTTTCGCCATGTTGGCCAGGCTGGTCTAGAACTCCTGACTTCAGGCAATCCACCTGCCTTGGCCTCCCAAGGTGTGGGGATTACAGGCGTGAGCCACTGGCCCGGCCTCAAGTTTCTTGCATATTCTGGATATTTGACCTTTGTTAGATGTATAGTTTGCAAATATTTTCTACTAACATCAAAATCTTTCTTTTGCTTAGGTAGTTTGGCCTGGAATATAGAGGTTCCTATATGTCTATCTTTTAATATTGTTTAAGATAATTTTAATACCTAATCACATCTTCCCTTTGGAGTTTTAAAGTGAATGTCAAAATTATAAGAGCAGATTGTGATTAATTAATACATTACCTCAAGAAGAAAAAACTAGTGAGAACACACAACTTATATAAAAACATTATCTTTAAAAGACATTGGAAATTGTATTTCCTGTTTACTTTGTGTTCTTGTTTAAATGTCAAAGAGAGAAAAACCCTAGTGAATTTAAAAAAAAAAAAAAAAAAAATTAGAAAATACAAATTAGTAAAAATAAGAGCACTGTATTCACACTACCCAGAGACAACTACTATTTAGTATATTATTTTATATTATTCCAGATCTATGCATCTGAGGATATATTTGTAGACATATATGAATATGTATTTTTTCATATTGAAGTTCTACTGTTTGGAAACCGAATCTTTTCAGTTTGTGGTGCACGTCTTTGTGTTGCAGCAAATTATCTTCTCATCTACTATATAATTTATATTTAGATCTTTCAAGTTTTCCAAAAAGACTCTATAACTGGTTTGTCCAAACTAGGATCTAATGCAGGAGTACATTTTATATCCAGTTGCTATGTCTATTAAGTCTTCTTAAGCTACATCAGCACCTTTTTCATGATACTCAATTAATAAAAAGAAACTGCAAGTTGTCTTATGGAATATTCCCTCCTCTTGATTTTACTGGTTGCTTGTTTGTGGTTAATGATTTATGTTTCAAACGTAAATTCTGTGGGAATAGGCAGAATTTGGCCTCTTATAATGTTCAATAAAACACTTATATATGATTTTTAAGTACAGAAATTTTAGTTCTTTATTCCTTCAGGTTGTTTGTACCTCTACCGTTCCTGCAGAGTGGTAAGAAAACAGTAAAGAAATTCAAGTAGACCAAAAATATTGCTGTGAGAAAATACTGAAAGTAAATTCTAACTATAAAACCAGAAATTACTGTCTTGAGTTTTTGAATGTCTTATTTTGATTACCATTACTTGCCTGTATAGTAATTATATGGCAATCAATCTCCACCAAAATAAGAAAAAAGAGAGGTATTAGTTTCTTCTCCTGGAAGTTTGTTCTTAAAAAATAACAACAACAACAAACAAAGAAACAAACAAAAAACAAAATAGAGCGTTTTCTTTTCATATACAGTGACATTGACGTTTACATATATTTACATAAATATGTATACCACCTATTATTTTGCAAAATAAATAAGCAGAGAAAGTTTAGAGTTTGGTCTGAATCTACAATTAACGAAATGTTGGACATTAGTCTCAATTATACATAAATATTTTGCGATAAAAAATTGGACTGAGAAAACAAAAATATGACCCTTTCAATAACAGTGACTTTTCAGGGATATGTTAAGCATTTGAGCTAAAAATTATACCTTTGGTTGAAACATAAAATATTTCCTGAAATACATATTTAACTTGCATGATCAAAAATATGATCTTACACAAACAAAAACATATCACAATGAAGAATTTTTTTCCATACTATAGTTTAATTTTCTCAGCAGAGATTTTTATATCTTTAGAAAATCCCATTTAGAAAAATCTAGCTGAATTATAGCAACATTTCAGTATACTATAGTACTTTGAGCTGTCAGGAAACAACCTTTAGGATGAACTACCTTTTTAGATTTTTCTGCAGTTTTATATGACAATATAGCAGTCATAATCTCTAAAAGACATGATTTCATTTATAGAAGAAGTTACGCAGATTTTTTTTATGAGCTTTTTAAAATTTCAAGATTTTATTGAGAATCATCCACCATACTATTTCTGATCTATCTCTGAGCAGAAGTTTATTTAGCAAGAGAAAGTATTTTTTAAGAAAATGTAGTATAAGTTCTTTTAAAAATATAAATATAAGATATAAAATGCTTTATTATGGAAAGCATGAGCAGGCAGGAAGTTCTTTTTTAGTTTTGATATCCATTGTGGCTTCCTGGTCAAATATTTTTTAGGTAACACCTGTGTGTTTCACTCAAGATTATTTCCTATGGTATACAAAATTCATATGATTAAGAACTCTGACCACGGAAACTTCAGAGATACTGCTCTACTCTAGAACAAGTTAAAAATCACAACTACTACTGTTTAAGCAAGGAAAAAATTAGCTAAGAAGTGATCAGTTTCAAAATTATATCTTTGCTAACAATACATTACAAAAACATTTTAAGAATGAAGATTTCCAATCAATCTCTTCTTAATCCCTTTTTGGTACTGTTTACCACTTTTTATGTAATGCTTCATGTGCAAACCTCTTTTATGAGTGTATGATGCTGAGACACACTATTGATTCTAATACTCTTGTCATTATTCTGAAAACATGTCTGAACCAATTCTTTATCTTTCTCCTGACCTTTTTTCTACCAGAGTTGCCCTAATCAGAGTTTCAAATAGCACTTTGGGCAATAATAACTCTCTTATTGGTACCCTTATACTCCAGAGGTGTGGGGTTTCTATGTCTTCAGACCACTCATTTTTGCATTAGAGCAGTGCTTCCTAACTGGGGGTGATGTTGACAGATCTTTGGGAATGTCTGGAGACATTGTCATGACTAGAGGATGGGGGTGCTACTGGCATCTCAGGGATGGAAGCCAGGAATGCTACTAAACATCCTAAAATGCACAGGACACTTCGCGACAACAAACTGGTATTCAGCCTCAAATGTCAATAGTGCCACTGTTGTGAAAGCCTGCTTCAGAGAAATTACTGGAAATAAAATTACAAACCACAACAATATTCTTACAATGCATTTCCTGTTTATTCATATATAATAGAAAAATATTAAATGCGCCAACACCAATGTCTTGGCATATGTTTTTCATACTGCTAGCAAGTTTTACATTTTTTTCATCAAATGGCATGTTGTGACTGTTCATCTCAAAGATTAGTTGTACATGCATGGTTTATTATTTGTTAAACACACAAAAACAACCATAGTTTTTACCATGAGAAAGGTTTTGGTAGAGCAAAACCTAATGCACTTTTATATTTGCATTTCATCTAAATGACTAGATTTGTGAAATGTGGATAATGTCTTGTACAACTGCTCTTTTCTCTTCCTCTGTCTTCTCTCTCTTCATACTTTTTATTTTTTTTTTTCTCATTCTGGTTGTCAGAACTCCCCTGATTGCAGCTGGAGTAATTGGTGGGCTCTTCATTCTGGTCATTGTGGGTCTGACATTTGCTGTTTATGTTAGAAGGAAGAGCATCAAAAAGAAAAGAGCCTTGAGAAGATTCTTGGAAACAGAGGTGAGGTATTTCTTTCTCCTCTTCATGTGTTTGGGGATTTTCATCAGGTTTAGAAGGTTTAGATGATGTTCAATTATTTAATCCAAGTAAAATTCTGTTCAGTGTCCTAATTAAGTTTTTTATTTTATAGTCCGTTAAACAAAGCTTGTGAAAAATCAGATTATGTTGTAAAAATAGTCAAGGCTTCAAGGGGGTAGATGGGAGTGGTCAAGAAAATTATTGTATTGGGGAAAGTATCTGTATTTTGTTTGTATGGTTGGGAGGATCCCATTAGCAAGCTCTGGATAGAGGATATCTCAATAGCAGCAGATCTAGAAAATATCTGCATTGAAAATATCTCATTCTGTAGGTTGCCTGTTCACTCTGTTGGTAGTTTCTTTTGCTGTGCAGAAGCTCTTTAGTTTAATTAGATCCCATTTGTCAATTTTGGCTTTGGTTGCCATTGCTTTTGGTGTTTTAGACATGAAGTCCTTGCCCATGCCTATGTCCTGAATGGTATTGCCTAAGTTTTCTTCTAGGTTTTTTATGGTTTTAGGTCTAACATTTAAATCTTTAATCCATCTTGAATTAATTTTTGTATAAGGTGTAAGGAAGGCATCCAGTTTCAGATTTCTACATATGGCTAGCCAGTTTTCCCAGCACCATTTATTAAATAGGGAATCCTTTCCCCATTTCTTGTTTTTGTCAGGTTTGTCAAAGATCAAATAGTTGTAGATAGGCGGCATTATTTCTGAGGGCTCTGTTCTGTTCCATTGGTCTATATCTCTGTTTTGGTACCAGTACCATGCTGTTTGGGTTACCGCAGCCTTGTAGTGTAGTTTGAAGTCAGGTAGCGTGATGCCTCCAGCTTTGTTCTTTTAGCTTAGGATTGACTTGGCAATGCGGGCTCTTTTTTGGTTCCATATGAATTTTAAAGTAGTTTTTTCCAATTCTGTGAAGAAAGTCATTGGTAGCTTGATGGGGATGGCATTGAATCTATAAATTACCTTGGGCAGGATGGCCATTTTCACGATATTGATTCTTCCTACCCATGAGCATGGAATGTTCTTCCATTTGTTTGTGTCCTCTTTTATTTCATTGAGCAGTGGTTTGTAGATCTCCTTGAAGAGGTCCTTCACGTCCCTTGTAAGTTGGATTCCTAGGTATTTTATTCTCTTTGAAGCAATTGTGAATGGGAGTTCCCTCATGATTTGGCTCTCTGTTTGTCTGTTATTGGTGTATAAGAATGCTTGTGATTTTTGCACATTGATTTTGTATCCTGAGACTTTGCTGAAGTTGCCTATCAGCTGAAGGAGATTTGGGGGCTGATATGATTGGGTTTTCTAGATATACAGTCATGTCATCTAAAAACAGGGACAAAATTTTTACAATCTACTCATCTGACAAAGGGCTAATATCCAGAATCTAAAATGAACTCAAACAAATTTAGAAGAAAAAAAACAAACAACCCCATCAAAAAGTGTGCAAAGTATATGAACAGACATTTCTCAAAAGAAGACATTCATGCAGCCAAAAGACACATGAAAAAATGCTCATCATCACTGGCCATCAGAGAAATGCAAATCAAAACCACAATGAGATACCATTTCACACCAGTTAGAATGGCGATCATTAAAAAGTCAGGAAACAACAGGTGCTGGAGAGGATGTGGAGAAATAGGAACACTTTTACACTGTTGGTGGGACTGTAAACTAGTTCAACCATTGTGGAAGTCAGTGTGGTGATTCCTCAGCGATCTGGAACTAGAAATACCATTTGATCCAGCCATCCCATTACTGGGTATATACCCAAAGGATTATAAATCATGCTGCTATAAAGACACATGCACATGTATGTTTATTGCGGCACTATTCACAATAGCAAAGACTTGGAACCAAGCCAAATGTCCAGCAATGATAGACTGGATTAGGAAAATGTGGCACATATACACCATGGAATACTATGCAGCCATAAAAAATGATGAGTTCATGTTCTTTGTAGGGACATGGATGAAGCTGGAAACCATCATTCTCAGCAAACTATCGCAAGGACAATAAAACCAAACACCGCATGTTCTCACTCATAGGTGGGAATTGAACAATGAGAACACATGGACACAGGAAGGGGAACATCACACACCGGGGCCTGTTGTGGGGTGAGGCAAGTGGGGAGGGATAGCATTAGGAGATATACCTAATGTTAAATGATGAGTTAATGGGTGCAGCACACCAACATGGCACATGTATACATATGTAACTAACCTGCACGTTGTGCACATGTGCCCTAAAACTTAAAGTATAATAATTAAAAAAAAAAAAGAATATCTCAGTGGCAGATTTAGAAAAATGTTAGAAAGAGAGAGAGTCTTTCTGTTTCAAAACAAAACTAACAGACAAGGAATGCATGTTTTAATTAGGATCATTAAATTAGTAGTCAATGATCTCATTATACCAGCAGTGAAAGACTAAGCTTACAGGATAAAACTTAGTGTTGTAATCACACAGACCTTACTACACAATTTATGGGATGCATTTAATATTATGCATGGTAGTTATTGTGAGTATGTAAATTACTCATGAATGATTATAATGTCTTTTATATTGCTACACTGAGTTCTCTAGCATAAAAGCAGATAGTGTTCATGGTACAGGATACAGGGAAGAAACAATTACAGAAGACTATGAATTACCAGACCCTTCTCAACTTCCATCTTACCTTTCTCCTGATATACACATCTGTGCCTATCTAAACAATTCACAGTAATTCTGTTCTGAGATAAGCTTATCCAACGTTTGTTGTTTTTCTCATTGTCAGTCTGACAATTTCACTTCTCCTTTGAACACTGACAGGAATGGGAGGAATGGGAATTTTAATTCATTCACACATTTTGCATACCGATAATGAATTAAATTTTAGCTCTTTTTACCCAGAAATCAAATCTAGATAGAAGTATCCTGTGAAAGTTTCTGGAAACTACCTTACAGCTGCTTCTAGGAAAACACTTTCTAGGGAATAAAGTTATCTGCAATTGGAATGAGCTGTCTCATGAATAGACATGTTCAAGCAAAATAAAGGTAGTCAATTACATACATGGGAAAACCTAATAGTGATTCCTACTTTAGCTGGAAGCTTATTGAAGAGCAATTTGATTACTTTCAATCTTGCACATGTGAATGAAAGTTTGGACACAACACATGTGCTTTGTGCTATGTATGTTTGCAGTTTAGCTAGGATGCTGGAGGCAGAGAGAATTCTTCCTCATGGCCAGCTTGAGGCAGTTGGTGAGAGAATTCTGGAAATGAAGTATTGTAAACTACAGTTGGAAAGGAAAGCTTGGAATAGCAGTGTACATTTAGGTGACTGCAGAATGGAAGAGAAATTACCTTAACCACACACAGGGAAGGCTCATTGCCGTGAAAAGAGTTGTGTTGCTTTATCTTGGTTTGTTTTTATAATGCAGTGCTTTATAAGAATGTCCTTCAAACCGTCATTTCCTTACTAAATAAACACACACTTTTTTTTTTTTATTTTTTTTATTTATTTTTATTTTTATTTTTTGAGATGGAGTCTTGCTCTGTCGCTCAGGCTGGAGTGCAGTGGCGCGATCTCGGCTCACTGCAAGCTCCGCCTCCTGGGTTCACGCCGTTCTCCTGTCTCAGCCTCCCGAGTAGTTGGGACTACAGGCGCCCGCCAACACGTCCGGCTCATTTTTTTGTATTTTTAGTAGAGACAGGGTTTCACAGTGTTAGCCAGGATGGTCTCGATCTCCTGACCTCGTGATCCGCCTGCCTCGGCCTCCCAAAGTGCTGGAATTACAGGCGTGAGTCACTGTGCCCGGCCCACTTACTGGTTTTATAAGCAGGTTCTGTTTTTATAGAAAATTATTCTTTAAGACTAAATTATTTTACATTTGGTGGTTAGATAATCGTAGAATCCCTATCTTTTTCTTAGTAAAAGAAAATATGATTTTCTACCACCATCTAAATAAAGGGGGAATTTTTAAGATAGTCAATTTAAATCTTTAAATACTGAAGCTAGAAATCTGCCTCAGAAGTGAACATTTGTTGAATCTTGATATATTGTTTGCATACACTTAAAGATGGTACACGTTCCTCAAATCATTTTGTTCCAGATTGTCTTTTTTATGTTACATGCATAAAACTATAAAACATATTTTTTCCACACATGCTTACTGAGATGCACTGTAAGCTTGATGCTTTGGTAGATGGTGTGATTCAAAAATATATTAATGAGACATGATCTCATCCCTTGAAGAGTAACAGATTTAGTGCTTACAATATGCCAGGCAATGTTCTAGAATTTTCCACATATGTTATCTCATTTCATCCTTTCTCAAGTTTCTAAGGTAATTATTGCTACACCTACTTCACAGATAAGAAATAAAGGTTTAGGAAGGGCAAATTGCTTCCTGTGAGTGGCAACACTGTCATATAAACCTCCAAATTTAAACCCATGTGTCTGTAAAATATATTAAATGATACAGAAACATGTTTTTGTGAAATATATTAAATGATACCCAAGAAAATTAAAGAAGACTGAAAAGCTCAGGTAGAACTGTGAAGTTTTCAAAATATGCAATTATTGCATGGTATATGCCAAGGCATATACACAATGTATATTTTATGTATATCTCACCCAAAATGCTGAAGCCCCCTCCCAGTATTTTGTGTGATTTTATGTAACTTTTGTATATGATTTTTAAAAATGATTCATAAGTTATTCATTATACATATAGCATATGTATCAAAATCTACCCAACAATTCCTGTATGGTTGAGTTGCCTTCAAATGAAGGGAACTCAGTTGAGCAATCATTTTGAAATTTAACAAATAATTTAGTGATTCTTTCTGAGATTTTTAAAATGTGACTTGAATGCAGTTCTATGTTATCAAATTTACATTTATATAACTTAAATTTGAAAATGAAATTGAAGATGAGTTGTCAAACTCACAATTAAAGAAGAGTTTGAAGATAACCTAAGTTTATTGGCAATTTTTTATTACGTTCTTCCTAAAATTCTTGCTATAGCTACATTTACCTTCAATCAAGAATCTTCCACTAATTAAGTAGGCCGTTATTTTCACAGAAGCATGGTAATTCATACCCAAGCTGCAGGGCCACAGTGCACTTAGCTTTGGAGATAGAGATTTTGAATTACTGTGGTGGGTTCAAGACAGTTTGAGTAGTAGTACCCTTTGATTATTATGCTGGAAAAATAAAAGAGACTATTTGTAAAGTTTAGTTCCTTAATTTAACTTTTAAAAGACAAAGAAACTCCTATTTCTTGCACTTGCCCTTTTACTCATACATAGATAAAAACCTAAAATTTTAACATAGGATACAGGCTTTTTGGTACCCAGAGCCTCTCTTAGACATACTTTTTTTTTTTCTCACATATGCCAGTGATTGGCACGCATGCACATACTTGCCCCCTTCTCATTCATTCCCCCTAACTGAATCACAACGCAATGATGACGTCTAAAACTATCAGCCTAATTTTACTACTTTGGCCACACCCAGCCCCCCCTGTGATTATGTAGGTTTCCCACCGTACTCTCACCCTTCTGACCAGTCCCACTCCCTGTTGTATTCTGCTATATTTCTTCCTCCTCCTCCCTCTTGCTGTGCCCAAGCAGCTTTTCACAGTGGCCCTCCCAATACCAACCCATTTTCATTATGTCAAGACTTAGACATCTCAAGACTTGATTTTAAAGTGTACATTCTTTAGGAAGGCAAAACTAGTGAGCCTCACTCCCCAGTAGTTGTTTGATGCCTTGCATTTCATAGCATTCACTTATGATGCAGAATCAAATCATAGAATTTTAGAACTATTGATTTAACAGGTAAACTTGGGCCTTGGTACTTCAAATGTGTTCGAGGATCACCATGGTACCTAGGCATCCCTTAGAGTTCTATGCAAATGCAAACATTTCAGGCCTACTCCAGACTTGCTGAACCGGGACCTATATTTAACAAGAAGTTGAGGTAATTCAGATATACACTAAAGTTTTAACAGCCCTGTCCTAGGGTTTTGGCATTGTGCGTTTTTTTCCCCTCTCCTCTGACACATTTGTCCTGGCTTCCCAGGTATATTTTAAGCTCTAAGAAGGCAGCATTTCCTTCTTTAATGCATCAAATCTCGTAGCCTAGTATGCCTCAAGGTAGGTGCACATTTGTTACTTGTGTTTGCCCTGACAAAGAGCAGGAGAAGAGAAAGGACAGGGTCTGAAAGAATGCATAAATGTGTCAGTGAATGGTGAGTGGTGCATATTACGAAGGTATTGGTTGTCAAGGCAAACCAAGTTGGTGTGTTTTTCTTTGTAAGAAAGAGAACCAAAGAGAGAGAGAGAGAGAGAGACAGAGAGAGAGGACTGACTATCGGACTGAAAGTATAACCTTCTTCTTTCCGCTTTGCAGTTGGTGGAACCATTAACTCCCAGTGGCACAGCACCCAATCAAGCTCAACTTCGTATTTTGAAAGAAACTGAGCTGAAGAGGGTAAAAGTCCTTGGCTCAGGTGCTTTTGGAACGGTTTATAAAGTAAGTAAAAAACAACGCATATCGTTAGTTAAGTTTTGTTTTAGATGTTTAGAAAATAATAGCCAATGGAGTTATTACTTTAGACAACCTAATTTTCTTATAATATTCAGAAAGGAAGACTTTTATAATATTGAGAAGTTGCTGCACAAATGAATTCATTAATTTTTATTGAATGAGCTGGGACGGATACAGTCTTGAGAGAAAAGCAAGAAACTCTGATACAAAGCCAAGTATAGTTTTTTTCTTAATACCTTTCTGAGCCCCGTATGTCATATTCCTTTTGGCAAATTTCTATTTTTATCCAACTATCAAGCCCCAACCCATTTGCCATTACCCCTACACAGTGCTCCATGAACCCCAGACATGCCTGGGCAATATACCATAATCCTTTATTCTTTTTCTCTTCTGCTTTTTTATCCAACGCCTCTCCATCAGGATCCTAGTAGCTGATCTTTTTAGAATCCATTCAAATATGCTGATGTCTTAATAGGTTGGAACTAGCTTCTAAATCATTTTTTGCCTACTTGGTTACATTTATGATTTTGTAAATAATTTCCATGGTTTTGATGTCTTTGTCATCATAAGCAAACTAAAAATGTGACATTATATGCAAAATTGAGGTCAGATAGGAGGAAAAGATGACATCATGTGTTTTCAATAAGAGATATTTCTGGAAAGGAAAAGCTCAAATGATGGCATGTGTATGTTTACTTATTTGCCTTAATTACAGGACCAATTCAGAGGCTAGGCCCAAGATTAATTGTGGTGAAATTTATTTTAATGGTAAATAACAAGATTAAGAAACTCTTCTGGGCAAATGCTGAATTATTCTTGTAATATCCATTACTACAATTCCCAAAAGTTACTTTGGCATTTTATATATATATATATATATATATATATATATATATATATATATATATATATATATTTTTTTTTTTTTTTTTTTTTTTTTTTTTGAGATGGAGTCTCGCTCTGTTGGCCAGGCTGTAGTGCAATGGTGTGATCTCCACTCACTGCAACCTCCTCCTCCCAGGTTCCAGCTATTCTCCTGCCTTAACCTCCCCAGTAGCTGGGATTACAGGCACTCACCACCATGCCTGGCTAATTTTTGTATTTTTAGTACAGATGAGGTTTCACCATGTTGGCCAGGCTGGTCTCGAACTCCTGACAAGTGATCTACCCGCCTTGGCTTCCCAAAGTGCTAGGATTAGAGGCATGAGCCACCATGCCCGGCTGGCATTTAATATATTTCTTAAAGCTATGTGTAAGCCTACATTTTACAAACATATCTGTTAAAGTTAATTGGATCTTAGAAATGTTGCATTTTGAAATATTCATTTTTTTCTATTTAAAACAGAGATTTATTTAACAAAAAATATTAATAATTAGAATATAAACCTTAATTTTTCTCTCCAAGTGCTCCAAAATAATCTAATATCCTTAAAATAAAACTTGTATTCTAAGGTCAAAATGCAGAAGTTTTCTAATCTTTTAGTATGCATATTTTATTCAATTAAATTTGATCTTAATTTGACAAAAATTTGAGTACCTACTTTGCATAGGCACTGTTCTAGGCTGACTTGATGCCTTTTCTCATCTTCAGATTTGTATATGTTCAAAGAAACAAATGTTTCTGTTTCTCAATTTAGATTGTGCTAGAAAAAAACAGACTCAGACTGTATCATTTTATATCCTTAAAGTTTGTATCTATTTACTGCAATTGTATTTACATCTTTAATAATTTTAATCTGTACTCATTTCTACAATAAAATATCAACGAATTATGTGGATAATAAATGTAGAGTCCTAAATTGCAGTCTTGATTATTTAAATTGACAAATTGAAAGTACTGCTGTGAATTTGATCCATACTGACAATCATTCTGGATCACTTAGCTATGCCATAAATTCCCATTCTAATGATTGATTGCAGGATTTTTCCCCACCTGAATTATCTAGTAAATGCTACAAATCTCCGTATTCACAGATGTAACTGAAGGCTTCTGTGCTGAACCATAGGACAAGTCAGTAGAAAAATATTAGGGCTTCCTGCCTGTTACCAATTCTGCATGTGACATTGACAAAATTTAAAGCAAGTAGGCAAATTTATGTGTTTATGAAGAACAGAAATAGGGAGAAAAAAAGAGATAAATGGAAAAATTTAAATGTATTATAACGTACTTCCATTTTTAAGATAACTCAATCTTACATTGTTCCTAGAGTATAATCACTCCTATATTTTTAAAGATAATGTGGTCTGTAAATTAAATTTTATTTTAAACCTTGGATACCCTATAACTCAAGACTAAACACTATCTAATGTCCTCAGCAGAGAAAAATGTTACCCATTTAAGCATTTAATAATAAAGCTTTATTAACTTGTATTAAGAGCATTTATTTGTCTATTGTGCATGAGTGTTTTACCCTAATTGAAATTACTTGTAATGAAAGTGTCTATGGTTGACTCTAAGTTTTAATCAATAGATCAGTTGTTATGAAGACATACTGTCTTAAACTATAAAGGATTATTCTTGACCATAGAAGTGCAAATTGGCTTAACCAATTATTTGATTATTTTTTTCTCCTAATTAGAAATATTCTCTGTTTAAGTATAAAGATTAGGACCAATATCATGTGTATCAGATAGTAAAATTTTTAACTAGTCAGTCCCAGAAAATAGTGAAATAATGAATGAAATAATGAAAAAAAAAGAATAATTTAATAAATATTTATTTTAAAAAGAAGTATAAAATACTTTACATTGAATTTATATTCTTATTTAATTTTATTTATGTATTTATTCTTGAGACAGGGTCTTGCTCTGTAGGCCAGGGTGGAGGGCAGTGGTTTAATCACAGTTCACCGTAGCCTCAACCTCCTGGGCTCAAACCATCCTCCCACCTCAGCCTCCTGAGTAGCTGGGACCACAGGCATGTGCCAGCACACTCAGCTCATTTTTAAATTTTTTTATTTTTTAGTAGAGTTGGAATGTCTCTATGTTGCCTATGCTGGTCTTGAACTCCTGAGCTCAAGAGACCCTCCTGCCTCAGTCTCCCAAAGTGGTGGGATGAGCCACCATGCCTGGCCTATATTATTTTAAAACTACACTTTAGGGATACTTTAATATTGATGCCATGTCTTCATAAAGTAATCTTCTCTGTGGTTACTTTATTGAATAATGAATAATAAGCCTGTTTTCCACCCTAGATAACATCAGTGAGAAAATGAAGCCTTTGAGTATTGGGCTGTTTTCTTTTTTCTGTTTCTGCTTTATTTTCTTTTTAATTTTTTGCAAGGAACTTGGCTTATTATTTTGCATTTGGCACATAGATTTCCCTATTCATTCTGCCTAGGAAGAATGCAACCATAAATTCACTTTCTAAAAGTTAAAATCTTTTATTTTCTTTATTATTGTTACTATGTTTTAAAATAATTCTTGTGTTCAGGTCTCCTGATGATACTGCAACTTTGAGTAACACAAATACATATGTTGTAGCATAAAAGTTCAAAGTGAAAAACTTTTTGAATTTTTTTTCTTTATGACTATAACTAGCTGATAGTAAGAAAGACAGGAAGTAAAGATGTTTTGTTCAGGAATAACAAACTATTATTTTTCATTCTTTCATTTTAATGTTAAAAATCTTATAAGAAATATTTTCTGATGTCAGGGCTAAGAAGCTAAAATTTGAGATTTTTCGGTTTTTGTCCTCATGCTCTCATATTTGCTTTTGCGTTCATTTGGGAAAATACACCTTTTAAAATGTATTCTTGTACAACCTGTGCATCCTTGTATGTCTTATCAAAATCATTGTCCTCATTCAAATGCTATAATTCACTTTACCCAGAAATGCTATTATTTAGCTTAATGTTGTATTTCACTCAAACTCTACCAACTTTATACTTTCCCAAGGGATAAATCCTGTTCAGATATTATAATTATATTTTGATAGGAAAAGAGAACTAACAACGGCCAATATAAATATTTTATATTTCTTCAGAGATAATAAAATTCCTTCACGCACACACATATACACATGCTTTAATAATGTAGACAAATTAATATGTGCTCAATATCCCCTAGCACTTGCCTTTGAAAAATAAATCTTAAATATTCATTCTTGAAAATTAATTCATAAATCAATCTGAACTTGAAGAACATGAGAATATGCTTTTTTAATTGTTTTTCTTGCTGCTGAATATTTAGATAATATTCAGCCTGAGAAGAACCTCTAACATTCCTTAGCCCAGTCTTCTAAATTACAGATGATACAACTGAGCTTCAAAAAGTAGAGCAACCATCTCAAAAAGTCGATGATACCATCCAAATCAGATATTCTTTTGCTATCCTATTTCCATGCTGTCTTCACTATTCAAAGCCTTTTTCATGCACACAAGTAGAATTTGACAGTAGTGTAAACATCTTGAAAGGATATATATTCTATATTCTATATATGTAATCATGTATATGAGCAACATCCTCAGATAATGAAAGCAGACAACAAAGTTGCAGAGTAACTTGTAACATGTAACAGGTGCTAAATAAACATTTGTTGATTGAATGTTATAATATCAAACTTCTAAGTTACTTTGTAAGAACTTAATAGGTTGAGATGTCATATTTAATGTAAATTTTTTTCCCCAAAGGGTATTTGGGTACCTGAAGGAGAAACTGTGAAGATTCCTGTGGCTATTAAGATTCTTAATGAGACAACTGGTCCCAAGGCAAATGTGGAGTTCATGGATGTAAGTACAGACACCCAGGCAATCACATTTTTCTCCATTATCAAATAGCCTGCTTAGATAATTAAAGCAAAACAAAACCAAACTCCACAACTTACAAATTTCTCTTATGGAAATATTATAATCTTATAATTAAAGACATTTCTAAGACCAATTCACATTGTATTATACTTTTTAGATCACTTTTGCTTCACAACTGTCTGCCTAGATAGGTCACTAGAACTTGCCTTTAGAGTTTCAAGATATTTACAGTCCCCAAGGTGAATTATCTACATTGATTCAGACATGTAATGTTCTTAAATTTTCTTGTTAAATATAACCAAATAGCCCTCCAGTGAGAGCAATACATAATTTCAACGGAAAACCAATTGCATTTAATAACCAAAGCTCATGTGTATATTTCTTAAAATTAGTTGCACTGAAGAGTGTTAGAAAGACTATGTGGTGGTGGTAATAAGTCACTAATATTTACAAAGTATTTGCTAAGTGCTAAACACTGTTACAAATAATTCACAAATAATAATTTACTTATTCCTCAAAATATGACAGACCAAGAACCTGGGGTTAACCCAAGGTTACCCCAAGGTTAGAAAGTTAGAAAATGGCAGGTCTAGACTTTGAGTTCAGGAAGCCAAGCTTGAGTAGGTATCAGTAAACTTTTTTTTTATAAGGCTGGATTATAGTCAGGCTTTTATATGCTACGTGTTCTCTGTGGCAGCAACTCAACTCTGCTCTTTTTGGTAGGAAAGCAGCCATAGATAATTAAAGCAAAACCAAACAAAACAAAAACTAATGCAAATGGGTGTGACTGTTCCAATAAAACTTTTTATTTACATAAATAAGCTGCAGGCCAGATGTTGCCTAAGGGGAAAGCAGGGGCTAAAATTGATAATTTGAAAAATTAACCATACTGTTTTATTTTATTATGGTTATGATCTATTTAGTTGAAAACATCAATCAAGATTAGTTTCTATAGCAAGTTAGTCTCTGTTAAATTTAAATTAAGAACCTACCTGAGTCAAGTAATTACCCCTTGACATTTATTTTTTTAATTCAAATTCAGAAGAAAAGACTCTATGGGTTAAAAAACTCCAACTATGAGTAAAAAAGTACTTTTTAAGGTCAATCAGAACTTGAAGATTTCCCCTAGCAAAAATTGTAGATTTGAACCGGTCAGCAAATTTCAGAGTAGGATGGAATAAAATTATGTATTTATCATGCCGTTATTTTTTCACATTCAATACAAGACATCTTGCCAGGGGTTCTATCAAAGACCATATATGTTCTTTCTCTATCTTTTAGCATAATGTCTTGAGTAATAAGAATGATTTCTATTTTCAAATGACCTTCATATGAAAAATGATGCAAGCATATGCACTCTGATTTTTTTAAAAGATGAATTGCTATATATCTCTATCCAGTTTCTCTTGTAAGCTCCTTTACAAGTTTTACAGGAGCTGTCTTTGACCTTGAATAATTTATTTATGTATAATGCTAACTACTTTATATAAAACTACTTTCAGCCTATCTTATTATTGGTTCTCATATAGTAGGTTGATAATCAGCCTGTACAAACCAGCTTTTCGGATTGGTTGGTTTCATGCCTTACCAGTTGCTAAATATTTTAAATATCACCTTGTTGCATATCTACCGGCATCTATATAACAGTAAGGCCAAAAACTAAATATTGTTTCTTTCTCCAGTTCTCTAAAGTTTCTGACACGCCACTGCTACATGTCCTGGCTCATATATTAAAATTTAAAACTGAAGCCTTTTTCAGTGATATGCCAATTATTCAATTTGATCTTGATCATAACTATAAATTTGTGAAGGGAAATTTTTTAAAAAGTAGAAGTTATAAAGGAAAATTACAAAGAGTAGAAACAGTATAGGTTAATTTATAAAACTGGTAGAAAAAATCTTGCCAGCCTAGACTACAGCCAAAGCTGAAATTCATGAGAATGCTAATAATCTCTGCTGGAGGCTTGAACAGACATTTTTGTCATATTTCCATGGAAACAGACTGGCAAAAGGGGGTTAAGAGCCTACAAAATAATCACACCTAAGAAAAAATCTCTAAAATCCTCATCATGATTTTGAATGATTATTTGAAAGCTCCTAACCCCATCCATTTTTTTTCTTGATCTGATGTATATTCCCATGGAAACAAGAGTGGAGATGGCAGCTTGAAGTCTTAGATTTCTGCTGAATTTTAGATGAGGCTCTGGTTGAGCCATGAAAGGAGTCATTTTCCTAGATGGTTGATGGATTTGGTAACCAACAGATTCAGAAGACTCTGTTCTCTTTAAAAGTTAAAAAAAGTTAAAGAAAATATTTTGACTGTGCCTTTTCTCTTGTGGATAGATGCTGGAAGATTAACAGATTGATGGACAGCTATCAGCAGAGTTTAATAAGTACCAGGCAGAAACATGTCCTACTATTTTCGAGACTTCTTTCAAAACATTAGAAGGATAGCATCACAATGATTAAAATGCAGTTTAACTGGCAACATCAACGGTGAATTTAGTATCTAATGCAGGCTGCTCTAATTTTAACATAAACATAAGCCTATATTTCATACCTACATTTTTAGCTCATTGGTTATGTGTGTAGA
This sequence comes from Homo sapiens, assembly GCF_000001405.40. Classification (NCBI taxonomy): domain Eukaryota; kingdom Metazoa; phylum Chordata; class Mammalia; order Primates; family Hominidae; genus Homo; species Homo sapiens. The sequence continues at coordinate 211,616,565 of NC_000002.12, read as the reverse complement.
TCATTATAAAAGTATTTGAATAACAAACCACAAAAAAGAGGTAGGTTCAAGAAAAATTATTTGTAATTTGAATCTAAGGGTTGAGTTGAAATTATAAATATTCCAGAGTTACTTGGTTAAAAGTAATAAGTTTAACTTGTGTTAGTTTGGGTTCTTACAGATGCAGAAGCTACCCTTGAAATAAGAATGTGAAAGTCATTTATTTTGGAGGTGAAGGACTCATCAATGGGGGAGTTTAGAAATAAGACAGGAGAACTAATAAAGCTAGCTGCCGTTGTAAGTGACTGGAGCTTCTTTTCACTGGAGAGACTCTGGCAGCCAGTGTAGGACATACACCTCAAAATTACCCCACTCAAGGGTTAAGGGAGCTGAGGGTGTAGAGCTGCTGGGAAAGAGCCACACTTCACCCCCTACATATCCTTCCAGCCAAGGATGGCAAAATAGGCTCAGTGGAAAGAGAAAGCTGTCAAGCAAAGAAAGGTGGGTGGGGGTCATCTGGTATAACACTATGGTAGAGTGTTCCAAGGATAACTTTCAAGCTAAATAAGATCTGCTGCAACCATGTTTCTGCAAACTAGCGTATGTGCATATTTGTATTTGTATGCTTGTTTGTACAGTTCTTCAGGGGAAAAAAGCTTTCAAAGACAATGGAAATTGCACAATCTTATTAATCATTAGACTCCCTTTTCTCCACTCTAACTTTATGCTTGAAATAGAATATTCTAGATTCAATAACCACTACTCTATTCATCACACATAGCTGTGCTTTACTGGTTATTATAATAAATAACACAAATGTGGCAACTTAATACTCAAAATTTATCACCACAATGAAACTTCTATTGATATTCAAGGGTAAAGGAGAGGACTTTTATATTTTCTTAGAATTTTTACCATAGGCAAAAAATAAATAAGGGGCAGTTTGTGTTCTATTAAATGCTACACTAAAAGCAAGAGAAGGAGAGTTTGGTCACCCAGGGCTGTTACTCTGCTCACCCGAATATGTCTAATGGATTCATAATGACAATAATAACACACTGCTAGTGAATGACCAGTACATTCTTCATTCCCATAAAGAAAGATCATATTGAACAACATTAAGAAAATGACTCTAAAGGCGCACCTTCATAAGAATACCTGCATTTACACCTGCTCCTAGTTCTTGTTTCAGACAGAACCATTTCACAGGGAAAATGCAGGCTTTTTTGTTGTTTTTTGTTTTCTTTTTTTTTTAAATCCACAAAATGGTGCAGAACACATACATAAGAAATGATGCTATTGAACAAGATTCTTAAAATTGGGCACCACTATCTCATGAAATCAGACAGACTATTCACTTTTTCTGAGTTCCCTTCACTCTGTATTTTTCCCCAGTATTTAAACCTAGTAACAGTTGACTGTTTTTAAATGTTTTATCTAAATTACTTGCTTTCTTAAAAAAAATGAAAGAAATTATGTAATTATTCTCAATTCTAGTGACTACTCAACAGTCATGGCTTTGCATTCGCATGAATTTTTTTGGCTTTTGTTTCAACTTTTCCACACCAGATTTACCACAGTGAGATACTGCAAGGAAAAGTGTTTTAAGTCATCTGACTTTATTATGTAAATGGTAATATTCTTATTAAAAAGAATAGCTTGTTTTTCTCTATATATACCATAGGAAATTTTATTTATCTTACACAACTGCTGTTATCCTATTTTCTGAAGAAATGTTCATGTGAATAGTCTTTGTATGTTTCTCTTCTCCATATTTCCATTTGATATGCAGTATCTTGATGGGAATTATTTTAAATCTAATTGATATTACATTAATCAAGTGAAATGAATATAATTTATCAGTTTACATTTTCTCTTAGAGTATAACAGGCTTATAAAATTATTTGAAAAGGTATTTTGTTCTATAACATTTTCACATTATAAAATTTCATGTGTATGGCTTCACATAGTAACTCTTAGCTATATCCTGTTCCATACTAATAGTGGATTTTTTATTCTTAATTTTTGTGGGTACAGAGCAGGTGTATATATTTATGGGGTACATGAGAAGTTTTGATACAGGCATGCAATGTGAAATAAGCACATCGTGGAGAATGGGGTATCTATCCCTTCAAGCATTTATCCTTTGAGTTACAAACAATCCAATCACACTCATTAAGTCATCTTAAAATTCACAATTAGGTTACCATTGACTATAGTAACCTCGTTGTGCTATCAAATAGTAGGCCTTATTCATTCTTTATATTTTTACATTTTATTTTATTTAACCATCCCCAGCCCCCTACTACCTTTCCCAGCCTCTGGTAACCATCCTTCTACTCTCTATCTTCATGAGTTCAATTGTTTTGGTTTTTAGATCTCACAAATAAATGAGAACAGATGATGTTTGTCTTTCTCTGCCTTGCTGATTTCACTTAACATAATGATCTCCGGTTCTATCCAAGCTTTGCAAATGACTTGATTGCATTCTTTTTTTACGGCTGAATAGTGCTCCACTGTGTATTTGTACCATGTTTTCTTTATTCCTACATCTGTTGATGGACACTTAGGTTGCTTCCAAATCTAACCTATTGTAAGTAGTGCTGCAACAATCATAGGAGTGCAGATATCTCTTTGATATATTGATTTCCTTTATTTTGCGTATATACCCAGCAGTGGAATTGCTGTATCGTATGGTAGCTCAATTTTTAGTTTTTTGAGGAACCTCCAAAGTGTTCTCCATAGTGGTTATACTAATATACATTTGCACCAACAGTGTATGAGGGTTCCCTTTTCCTCACATTCTTGCCAGCATTTGTTATTGCCTGTCTTGGATGTAAGTATTAAGCCATTTTAACTGGGGTGAGATATCCCATGGTAGTTTTGATTTGCAGCTCTCTGATGATCAGTGATATTGAGCACCTTTTCATATGCCTATTTGACATTTATATGTCTTCCTATGAGAAATGTCTATTCAAGTCTTCTGCCCACATTTTGGTCAGATTATTAGATTTTTTTCGTATAGAATTGTTTGAGCTCCTTATATATTCTGGTTATTAAACCCTTGTCAGATGGCTAGTTTGCAAATATTTTCTCCCATTTTGTAGGTTGTCTCTAGAACTAGTAAGCAATCAGCAGGAGCCTCACATTTGAAATTACTATTTCAAATATCTCCATCTTCAGCTACATTCTCCTGCCTTTCTAGTTCATTTTCCTTTCACTGACTCTCCTTTGTCTCACGATCCCTCAGTGCTTCCTATCTCACATCTCTCTGCAGCCCGCTTAGATTCATGGACCATCATTGTAACCATGTTCTTACAAAAAATCTTCAACTTTCCTGCTTCTTAAAATCATACAGGCAGTAAGCAATATCAGAAATATTGAAATATCTCAATGCAAAGTTCTAGACTTCTTTTCAATCTATAAATTTTTCCTAGATCATCTCACTAGACTACCAAGTTCCATCTCTAGTCTGTTTTGTGAATCTGACCTTGTCTCCATCCTTAATATTGCCACATGGAAATCTCAGGGACGTCCCAAGTCTAGCACACCTTGAATAGATGCCTTCATCCACTCTTCTCAATCTCTTCTGCCTTCGATTTCACCCATTTATATATTTTGTATCTGTATCCACCCTATTGTCCCTACCAGAAATTTGAAATTTATCCTTGAATGTCACAACCCCACAAACAACCAACCTCCAATTCGAGAGTAAATGCTTTGATTCTATGCCAAAAACACATCTGGACAATTTCCTCTTCTTTTTATACTCTTTTGTCGTCATCTTAATCTCAGCCCTCAACTTCTTCAGCTTAAGTTATGAGACTAGATTTGATCTCCCTACTTTTTAATACAAAGCTTGAATTGTGCAGGTCCTCTGCATGAGACCTTTAGTGGCTTTACTAAAGTAAAATATCAGATTCTTAGCTTACAGAGCTCCTGATTTCTTTTCCAATAGTCTTTCTCTTCACTGACTTTCTTTCCACTCCCCTTATAAGCCAAGCCAGTCAGTGCCTTCACCTGGAGTTTTCATCTTCCAATCATACCTAATGAACTCCTAGTTATCCTTATTTTCTCAGCTTAAGTGTGCTTTCTCAAAGAGCCCTTTCCTGATTTCTAAAGTTATAACTTACTAATAGTACTCAGAAATTTTAATAAGTTATTATATATTAATATTATTTATCTTAGTTTTTAATTGTAGAATTCCACTCTCCACCACTAGACTACAAGATCCTTGATGACAGCAAATATGTCTGCTGACTCCATCACTGCATATCTATGAGCAAGCACAATATCAGCACATAGGAGACAGAATAACTACTTGGTTAATTGTCTGAATTGATTTTTTTTTCCATGTTTTAAAGACTTATTATTCTCCTTTACATCCTCTCTATACCAGCCCAATTAATTTCTGTGATATTTTTCCCAATTGTTCTATCTTTATTTAGCATATTGTAGTTGGAATAATTTTTCTTAGGTATTTATAGTGCTCATATATGATTCATTTCTACAAACTCAATTTAAGATCTGTCTTGAATTTAGAGTGCCAGATGAAACACAGAGAACTAGACCTTCCGTTTTGACATGGTATTCATGTACCCTCTGAAAACCCTTTGAGGAGGAAGACCCTTGGAAGATTTTTTCCTATGCATGCAATAGGCCAATAACTTTCCTTAGTTTCTATTAGGGGAACCTGTTTTAAGGGAATCTTGTGAGTGCTTGCCTGTTAGTGTTTCCATTATACATGGGAGGGTAGTATTAGGTTTCATTTTTAGCTTCTTACTTCTGAGTTCTTGGTGACTTGTGTAGTAATTTGGGATACTGTTTGCTTCTCCAGCTAAAACGTGCATCAGGATCTCTTCTCCTTTTGACCTCTCTATTTTATTTTCTGTTTCAGTAAGAGTGAGAATACAAGGATGAAAAGAAAAATAAAGTTGATTTTATCACAGATTTTGGCAAAAATAAATAAATGAAAGCAGTCGTGAGATGAAATTCTTCTTTCGATTGAAGGTTTTTCTTCATCGAAGGGTTCGTGGTCTCACGGGTTTCAAGGAATGAAGCCGTGAACCACAGCAGCAAGTGTTACAGCTGGATTAGAGCAACGTGCGGACCTAAAGAGTGTGTGGCAGCAAGACTCATTAAAGCGAAAGCAAAAGTAAAGCGAAAGCAAAAGTAAAGCTTCCACACCTTACTTTGGACCCAGAAGGGTTGCCTTTCTGGCTTGGGTGTCTTATGCTTATATCCCCTTATGACCCCTCCCCTTTTCCTTTTTCTGTCCTACAGAATTAGCTTATTTTCTATCTGCTTGTGGGTTGGCGGGCCCGATTGGTTAAAAACATCAGGCTGCAGCTGTAGCTTAAACTCCCTATATGATTGGTTGAAGTTTCAATCCCTTAGCTTGCAGCTGTGGCTCATTTTGGCTTAGGGGAAAGTCCCCTTAGGGAAGTCCCTATTGACCCAGGAAGTCCAGCCAACATAGCCACTTAGTCCCTCAGTTGACTGCAGGCATTTCCAGTTGAGAGTTAACAGAATTTAGTAGTGATCCTAAAATTTGAGCTTTAAATACTGCCTTAGGGGATACTAAGACAAAGTGCTTGACAAGTTTTGCATTCCAACAGGCTTAATTTCTCCATTGAAGTACCTAAAAGAGACTATCCAGATCCAATACAGGTTGCTCTCCGTAAGCCTCAACCTGTAACTTAATTAACTTTTTGTCTGCCTCTGTTTCTCCGAAGCATTTCTTGAATTTGTGTGAATGAAAGGACATTTCTCAAGAGCACATAGTCTACTGCACCAATATTTGCATTTAGTAAATGGAAATCAGTTGTCTGTTGAAGACATCGTTTTCCATATTGTAGGTATTTTCCAGCTCTCTAACCTACAGTTTGTGAATTTTGTACATGACTAGAGGATGTGTTATGATGCCACATAGGGCTGAAAGAGAATTAAACTAATCATGTGCAATTTCTTATTCCAATCTGAACAGCAACCGATACTTATGATGACTTAGGAAAAATCCCCACTCAGTTTGACTGTATCACTAGGAGGAACAGTTTCTAATATTCAGCTGTTCATAAAATGCAGGTAGAAATCTTTTGCCCAAAGGACAAGCAAACACCAGAAAATAGAATTTCCAAAATATCAGCAATTTCCAATATGTCAAACCTCAATGGTTTTGTTAATGATCTGTTTCCAGAGTTAAGGATACAAAATACTGTTCCTGCAGGAGGAAGGGACTATCTGCATAAAGTCCTGGTTTGCATTATATGGCATGAAGTAATTAGTTATTCATAGGGCAGTAATTTGGTTAAGGGAAAAAAGGCTTACTATGCTGTGATAATTGCAATAGGCACATATGTATCTAATAAAATCTAATAAGTCTAATAAAAAGACACATCTAAAAATCTAATAAAAAGACATATGTATCTTTACACATGTATGGTATGTGGATAAAAGATAAAAATTCTCTTCATCTTTTTTTTTTAAGTTTAATGATACCGTTGGGTAATTACTTATTACAATGATCACATGGCTGGCATTGCTAAAAATGGTATTACAAAAGCGTCTACTTTACAAGGATAGCTTAGAAAATTTTTTATGATCGTTTCCTCAAAATAATCAAGAGAATTCCTCATTTTACTTAACACCACTGTTGTTATCAGTCAGAGGTTTATGTCTACAATTTCCAAACCATAGACTGACAGAAACTAAAGAAATGGACAATAGGTCTGTTTTTATTTACCTGGTTATGTCCTTAAGTCATGGACAGGAACTTTGTCAGTGTAGGGGCCAAGGCCCTTGGTTTCCTAAAGGTTTTTCTTAAAAACTCACTGACATGATGCAAATTAATAGGAGGAAAGGTAGCAAGACCCCATCTCTACCAGGCATGGTGTCCTACCCCTGTAGTCCTAGCTACTGTGGGAGGCTGAGGTGAGAAGATCACTTGAGTGCAGCAGTTCAAGGCTGAAATGAGCTAGGATCCTGGTGCAGCATTCTAGCCTGGGTGACAGAGCAAGATCCTGTTTCTGAAGAAAAATGCCTAATTAAAAGACTTTAAAATGTATTTAATGAAGACCCAAAGATACAGGGAAAATTGTCCATTCTTATGCTTAGGTTCAAAAAAGTATAGCCAGACTTATGGAAATATGATTGAGTGTGAAAGAGTGTGATCTAATATTAATTGAGTGAGGAAACCCAGCAAGGCCTGTCTGTCTAAATTCTTGTTGATTTCTCTGAGCATGCATTCTTTCCTACTGGGTGTGGGGGCAGGGCCCTCTCTGGAATGTGGGTCTAATGACCTACAGTCAAACAGGTAGGTCAGATCATTCTTTTATGGCCAGTTTTTACATAGAATATTTTCAGATTTTATGGCTGGCTTTCAGGAAAAGGGGTTCTCATTTGTATGCTCTGTCTGGGGAAAGAGGGATTCTAGGTTCTATGGCTTGCCTTGGTGGAAAATGGGACTGAGCGACAGGAGGACAGGAGAAAGTCAGAGAAAAACCTTTGCTTCTTGGGCTGCTGCTGAGGCCTTCATTCTGGTGTATAGTCTGCATACCATCATCACCCTTAGGAATGGTCATAGTTAGTAAAATGGTTCTCTCAAGTAGAGGGTTAGAGATGACCCCAGATTGCTAGAAATCTTCTTAATGTTTAGAAAGTGATTCCACATTGAGGGGCAGAAGTCAGTAATCCTGGATCACATGTGGGCTGATTTCCATCCAAATTAACTGAATATATTAATGTAAACAAGGGTGAATTTAGGTATGGTTTTATTTGCACTAATATCCTCCTGCCCCTTTTCTAATTACAAGAGCTAATCTGTACAATAAGGAAATGGAGTATAGTGGAAAATAATTTAACTCAACTGCACACCAAAGCCAGGGTGAAAAAGGATCAGCCTAGCATTCCTTGGTTCCATTATCCACCATGAATCCACTATTAATAGCAGAAATATTTTCCGAAGATTTTCTAGAACCACATGTAGCATTAAGATCAAAATTGTAAATTATAAAGAATTAAATGATTCTTTGTATCTATATTGGGCTACAAGAATGCCTACAAACCAGTATTAATATGCCTATTTTGAGAGAAGAATAAAGCTTACAGATAGTATTTAAATCATTGTTCTCATTGCAAAGCCGATAAGGGAAGACAGAGCCTGGATTTGAACTGAAAGTTCCCTAGCTCTAAAGTCAACTGGCTTCTCATACCATTACTCTGCCTCCTCCAAAAGATCACATTAAATGAGAGGCAGGTGGGCCACATGTAACAATACCTGTGGCAGTTCAGTCAAAAGTTTTGTTTCTTCTGAGTTTTTCTTCTGATTTCCTTCAGCTGCCCGCTGCATCGATGGAAATCAAGCTTTGTTCAAGAGGTATTCTTACTGTTCAAAGCCAGTTGATGGCCTCATCTTTTTCTTCTTATTTATTATTGCTCCATATGACATTTTATGTTACTCACTCTTACTCTCAGATTAGAAAATCAAACTGTGTATAACTTTCTTAAAACACACATACACACACAAATCCTCTGAATTTATTTAAAAAAAAAAAGATTCTGGAGCCTGAGCATGGTGGCTTATGCCTATAGTCCCAGCTTGTTAGGTGGGTAGATTGGTTGAGCCCTGGAGGTCAAGACAGCAGTGAGCAGAGATCGCACCACTACACTCCAGCCTGGGAGACAGAGTGAGACCCTGTCTAAAAAAAAAAAAAAAAAAAAAAATCTGATGCGAAAAAGTTTTTATAAATATTGCATAAATGTTTTAATCATTAACGCTTTTCATGAAGTGATTATCATACAATCTATACTTATTTGAGTCTATTAAAACAATCATAGTATTCTATGTATACTACATATATAGCTTGTTTTTTTCCCAAAAAATGCTATTGCATCTCCTAAGAGGCCATCTTTTTGGTGCCTGTTGCTTACAGTTTATGTATAGCATGGCATAGTGTGATTAGAAAAAAAATGAGCACCTCTGAGGATTACAATTATGAGACCAGTTCGTCACAGACGAATAAGCAATCAGTGAGGGTGTTGGATCTCAAAACTAAAAAGCTTTGAGTTTTCTACAGTGATCCTTGCTGCTGCAACTTTATCTAGGGTTTTGATCCACTTACAAATTTAATCTAACCTCTCTGAATTAAATATTCCATTATCTGTTAGAAAATAATTAGAAGCTGTAAGTAGAAGTCTGCATACACAGAGTTCTTTGGGAGTCCCTGAGCTCATTGAACTGAGGAGTTTGACGGATACTGGTCAGCTAATATTGGACCACAAGCTAATAATAGCAAAAATGCTGCTTAGCTAGGTGAGAAAGTTAACTTGGGGAAAATGAAAATGAAACATTTGGGATTTATGGTCAGAAATAAATTTCCCTTTTTCATTTGTTTCCTGGTAAGAAAATAGCCAAGGGAGCCAGTTATTTTTTCATTTTTCTTATTTTTTTAAACAAGTTATAATTAAGATCTAAGGGCCCACTTGACCTCAGCTCTATTGACTATAATTTCCTTCTATCCCTACAAAGAATTTTGGTGAATCAGGAATATGTCTAGTATAATGCGTACAAATAATAGGTAAATCTGACCAGTAAATTAAAAATTGTCAGCTCTAGCAAGCATGTGGAAAATTCACCATAGGAAACATGTGTAAGCTTTTTGGGAGACTTGCGAACACAAGGGGTTTGAGTATAACATCAGAAAAGGTTTTTCCTCTTGTGATTAAAACAATGCACCCAGTGCCTTTAAAATAAATTTATTTCAAAATGTGCAGCATTCACTTACTTAATGAATGTGCTACTATACTCTTACGAAAGAAAACACATTTTATTCTTTTGCAGAACGGCGCTTCAAAATACAATATTCTTTAGTTTTTCATATAATGTTGATTTTAAAAAGGTAAATTTATGAATTCTCTTATTTTACTGGGTTTATGGGTATGAATATATTTTGAAAATGTTCTGTTATTCTTTTCACTTGTACATACAATTATCTCACATATAGTGACCATAACAACATTTTTAGTGTATCTTTATACTTTTGAGATCCATAAATAATATCAATAGGTTTATTAGAGAGAAACCCACTCTTCTACTTGGTAATTCAATTGTCATTTAAAGTAACAGCCTATAGAAAAAAAAATTTTCCAAATCCATATTCCTTTTCTATTTCAAATCCACATTTCCTTTATTTCCCCACTGGTTATTTTCTCTTATAATATCTACATCTCTTTAGTAATCTTTTTTATGTACAGGAACTCTCTATGTACTTCATGGGCATGTGTAACTATTAAGGAAATAACATTCCCGTTTACAAATGAGAATGAAATATTTAGAAATAGCCCAGATATAATTCCGCTAGCAGGGTTTTCTAACTGAAAATGAAGCAAAAGACTTCCCTTAATGAGGCATAAAGTCTTTCCACTGCTTCTGAAATAAACAGAATTGTTACATTAGATTATCATTCTTTTATTTAATACTTTGTCTATTGTACAGAGAAATTTACCATCATCTGTGTCTAAAATTTACTTAATTTAAACTCCTGGGTGAATTCAGTAAAATTTTTAAAAGTGGGCAGTTCCATTTTTCAATTTTAATCTTTTAAAGAGAATTTTATAAGTACTAATTAGGAGACCTCTTAGGTAAAAGAAATACTGAATTTAGAATCTTGATATAAAAGATCTTGGTCTAAATTCTCCTGCTACCTACAAGTTGGGAGCTCAATGGGAGCCCAGCGAATCTGGTTTTGAAAGGCAAATTAATAAGTAACTGCTCCTAGGTTGTTTAGGATGTTAAAAAAATGATTCTTGTTATCTATTCTGTGTTATATAAATATAAAATACTATTTTTATACTTCTGGCATGTTCTAATAAACATAATAATGACTTAGTAGCTATAGTATGAAAATACATATTATCTGTTAAATTACATGTGATATAACTTGGGATATTATGGGAAAATAGCCTCTATTTATTTACTGTCTTTTGAGTAATGCTACCTTCAGGATGACACACTTTTGAACCAGATGTGGTGAATTCAGTTTCAATGTCTGTAAGCTCTCTTAGGGGTAAATAAATTCCAGGACATATACCAAGACTTTAGTTGACTTCAGATTAGGACTGCAGCAGGGCATATGTTGCAATGAGATGCACAGTGGGTGAGAACTCTTGTTTTTTCTTAATATGTTCCATCTGAAATTACTGATAAGTCTCAAGAGACCCTCATCTCCAAGCATCTTTCTATAGTCTTCTTTCCAAAGGTTTAACAATAACCATTTCCTATAATGAGTAAAAATAGCATTCAGAATGTTCCTCTGGTGGATTTAGTATTCATCTCATTACAGGGCTTAGGCACCATTGCCCATTTCTAATCAATAAATTATTTTCTCCCTTTTAGATTTAGATTTTGATTAGCTTGAACTTCATAAAACAATATCAGAGGAACAAAAAGAGAAACAATTTCTGTAGTCTGTTAACTGTGATCCAAGTGTGTTGAATACGTTTTCTTCCATTCATCATGGTAATAAAGCACCAAAGACCATCATCCAGCTTTAAACTATAAGTTAGCAGAAAGACTTACATAATTAGTGCCAACTTTTTATAATAAGAAAATGAAAGCCTGTATTTAAGAACTTCCTATTATTTAGGAATTTTCTCTGCATGTCTTTTTTTCACATTAGCAATTCAAATAGATACAAGATGTTTCGATTTCTAAAGGGTTATATATATGCCAAATAGTTATTTTGTGGATAGTAAATGAAGGTTTTAAGGTATTTCTATTAATACTACAGGGTTTTATTTTCATCACCTTAAGTGAAATGCATTCAAAACAAGGCAGTGCTGGTTCAAAGTTAACAGTCGGTCGATCAAGACTTGGTGAAAGACAGTTCTGATATTTAAGTCAACCAAACAATCTGTTGAAAAATATGTATTTGCCAGCTAAGACATTCTTTGAAGCATGATCCTAGGTTATCTAACTGTCGTTTTGGTGATGAGATATTACATTACAAGGTCTCTGTGCTATGAGGTTGATAAGACTGACTGTGAACACTGGCATACACCTAAACTATTTGACTTACAAATCAGCAGTCGAGCATAAAGTATTCAGGGACAAGGGACCTTGGAGGATTACTAAGTGATATTTATCATTTGGGTTTATCCTTCTCAAGTGTTTAAATTTAGGAATATGTCAGTATTTGATAAGGAACAGTGGCATAATTTCAAGGTGAAATTTAAATGTAAGTAAGAACAAAATCAGTTTCACTGTTTAAAGAAACAGGAAACAAACGCAAAAATTGGTAGAAGCTCAATCAAGATGTGGGGACATCTCGTGACCCACTATGTTTATATAAGCTGAGTCTCAAATCATGTTTCTTTCTCTCAGGGTGTTGATTGCACCGATAACACCTTACAGAATGTAATAATGTATTTACATTTCATCCTTGATAACTGGCATTTTTAATTTGCCATTGCAACATCAATTGACCTATATGTTAGACTACAAGACTCAATCTGCAGTGTGTCAAGGAAAAAACATAAAATGATATAAACTAATGAATATTTTGAGAGATTAGAAAGAATTTCTTTAGAAATGTGGTATCCTGTAATAGTTCAATCAAAAGAAAGTAAATTAAATATGCCCACTTGAACAATTCATGGAAAGCTGGTGGAACCCAAATAGCAGGAATACAGCTATGCCTCAGGAATGACCTGGAACTAGAAATTTAACACTGTAAGCATCTATAGAGACCTCGTGTATCTCAGCTTCTGCCCAGCTTGTGTGAAGTACCTCCATTAACCCCTAGTCAAGGAAGCAGAGTTTAGGAAAACGATTCTCATTGGCCTCTTTTGGGATTGTGCCCATCCCTGGATCAAATGAAGAGGGCATAATCCCATTTTTCAAAATGGCTGCTGATGGTCCAGGAATTTTATCATGTACATTGAGTGAAGACCAAGATTAATAAAAGGGAGAGGGAGGAACTTGAGAGGCAACCTGATAAGTGACTGCTAAAAACTTAATTAATACTTCTAGTCTAACCAGAGACCAAAAGAAATGTTTATTTCAAGCTACATTGCCTCATTTTTCTCTTATGTATATATTTTTTCTTATTCACCTTTTGTAATGGATGATTTTTTTTCAGTATGATTGCTATGTAGGTGTTGTTCACTGTTGGTAATCATTTAATTAAGACCTTTTTCCTTTATATTCTATATCCCTACATCTAATTCTTCCGAAGTGTATGACTCGAATTCTCTTTTGCCCAATGTCAGATACTTACAGGAAATCTATCAGTTACTCTTTCCTTTTTCTTTCTTATCTGGGAGAAATCCTTTAATCCTTTATTTATTTATTTATTTATTGAGACGGAGTCTTGCTCTGTCGCCCGGGCTGCAGTGCAGTGACGCGATCTCGGCTCACTGCAACCTCCGCCTCCCGGGTTCAAGCGATTCTCCTGCCTCAGCCTCCCGAGTAGCTGGGACTACAGGTGTGTGCCACTATGCCCAGCTAAATTTTGTATTTTTAGTAGAGATGGAGTTTCACCATCTTGGTTGGCCAGGATGGTCTTGATTTCTTGACCTAGTGATCCGCCCACCTCAGCCTCCCAAAGTGCTGGAATTACAGGCGTGAGCCACTGAGCCGGGACAGAGAAATCCTTTCTTAAGAATTCCACTCTCATGCTGCAGTCTGGATGGGTAATATCTAGGTCATTGGCCCAGCTGTAATTCTAAGTTCTCTCTTTCTCGTCATTCAGAATCCCCCTTTGCTTCTCAGCTGAATTAGATCCTTTAGTTCGGGGATACCATATCTTCCTCCTTCTTAGTTTAGTATTTCATTTCACTGAAAGTATATCTGTAGTAGTCTATGCCCAATCAGGAGATAGAATGCAATCCATACTATGGGTTAAAGAGGGGGACATTTAATGTGAATAATCATTAAACATGGCAAGAGTAACTGTACTATGTAAGGATACTTTATATGGTACCCTAAGGGTGAGGGAGATTACCTAAGAAAGGTCAACTTGAAGGGGTCCATACTTTGTTTGAGTTGTGTTTTGGCCAGGGGGTAGGAGAAAAGTTGACTGGTTTAGCCAGGTTGGAGTTGTTCTGGGGTTATTGAGCAAACAGTAAGCATCCTCTGGATTGCAGGCTGGTGAACAAGTGATCAGCAGCTGCTGCTGTGGGGGAGTGGGTGCTTAATTGTGAGGGGGCTTGCTGGTAGAGCCCAAGCAAAGTACGCCACTGAGTGCAGATGGTGTGAGGGCTTGCTGACAGAGTCCAAGCACCTGCACTGGAAGGAGGCCTGGAGAGCAGGCAGATCGTGTAAATCTCAGGTTTTCATGTCAAAGAACTATGGGAAGGTTATCATCAGGCCAAGACTTTAAGGTCGGAGAGGACAAATCAGGTCCTGGGCCTGTGACTAGGATGGACTGTACCAAGTGTTCTCACACTCAAACTGCTGACCACCCCCCTACACCCAACACCTGCCTACTCCACTCCCAAACCTGTGCCAGAAATTGCAGGAAGCCTCTTCTTCCTGCAGCATCCCTCCTGAGACTGCTACCTAAAATCTTAACATAATGCCCTCTTTAAAGAAGATATGTTTAAAAGAACTCACTTATTTATCACAGAGGACACATTGAAAGGTATATTTATAGTTGAGAGGTAATGAATTCATAATTGACACAATTATATGACCCCCAATACTTTCTTATTACATGATATTTATTTCCTATACATGGTAATATTTATTTTCTTTTGCCTCCCTCCCTCCCTCCATCCCACCTCCCTTCTTTCCTGTCTTCCCATCTTTCCTGTTTTTCTGTCTTCTTTCAGAATTGACACATTCAAAAATACTTTTTATATACCCCCTACTTGTTTGATAGTTTGCCTGGGTATGAAATTCAGTTGATAGTACTTTTCCCTCAATATTTTGCAAATATTTTCCAATTTATTCTAGCTTCCAGTATTGCTGTTATTGCAGTCCAATGCCATTTGGATGCCAAATTTCTGTTTTTCTCTTGGCAATATTTGGGGATCTTTTCTCCTGTCTGGTATTTCCAAAATTTCCAAGCAATGAAAGTTGGGGCTTTTTTTTTTCTTCATTCATTGTTCTGAGCTCTTGAGGGATGCTTTGAATCTGGAAACTTTGAATCCGGAAACTTATGTCTTTCAGTTTGGGGATTCCCGTCCCCACCCCCAATCCCATGGCATCTTTGATAATATTTTTCACACTTTTT
Organism: Homo sapiens; assembly: GCF_000001405.40. Taxonomy (NCBI): domain Eukaryota; kingdom Metazoa; phylum Chordata; class Mammalia; order Primates; family Hominidae; genus Homo; species Homo sapiens. Next base: position 211,601,353 of record NC_000002.12, on the reverse strand, counting down.
TTGTTCCTTTTTCTGGAATTCTTACTAATTATATGCTGGACCTTCTAAATGGATCCTCTAATTTTCTAGTATGTTTTCTCAGATTTTCCAGGTGTATGTTTTTTCTTTTTCTGAGAATTTTCTTGACTTTTCCTTCGCAGTTATTGTATATGATAATACCATATATGATACTTTCAATTTCTAAAACCATCTTTCTTGTCATCATTTTTCTTTAAATGCATGATACTTGGTTGATAGATACAATATATTTTTTCATATGTTTTAGGATGCTAATTTCTTAAATGTTATTTTCAAGTCCCTGAATTGTCTCCTCCCTCAGGGTTCTTTTCTTTCTGTTTGTTTAAATCGGGTCTGTTTTTAGAGCTAGAGTTTTTGCACAAATATCTGTTGATTTGAACTTTACTGTGAGCAGGTGTGTGACCATTTGTTTGAGTTACCCACCTTAGTTAACTCAAAAGATTTCTCTCTTTCCAGAGAGAAATCTGTCAGTTTGTCTGCTGCTAAATTACATATCTGGCTGCCAGCATTTTTACAGATGATTCCAAGTAGTTTGGCTCACCATGTGGACATTCAAAAAAAACCAAAAAGAAACAAAAAGTTATTTTTACAGTTAGCCTCCCCTTCCCCATTTTCCACTGTGTGTGGTGTCCCCAAATGTAGTGACTTTTTGGCTCATTTCTCCATTTAAAAATTTATAGTTTTTTGCCAGAATGGAGTTAGTCACCTGGTACACCTGGTACTCTGAATAAAGAGATATTTACAGAGTTTAATAGCAATTTATAAGGATTTTAATTGTTATTCTTGTTTTCAGTCCTACCTTTCAACTTCACCATCTGCGCTACTAAATTTCTTAGTTTTTATACCTTTTCCTATTTTTTCCTGATGGAAATGGCTTTTGTATTATTGGCATCCCTCTTTGTAGGCACTTGGCTTTTTGCTTTTCTCATTTTGCTGTCTCCATTTCTTATCATTTTTCTGAGATCTGTTGTCATTTTTTCACTTGCTATTATCCCATCCTCTTTGTTCCTGTATTTGTATCTTTTTACGACCTTAAAACCTTCACTCTTGTTTCAGCAGGATTTGGGAAGGAGCAGAGAAAATGCATGTACTTAAAACAGTTAACTGGGAGAATCATAAGGAAATGAAATTGAAAAATCCTAGGAGAGCTCCTTCTGACCTTGTTTTGTTTTGTTTTTTCCTATTGGGTTTTGTGAAGGTAAAATGAAAGAATAAGTACCCTCTAATTTCAGCCATTCAATAATCTCATTCTATTGTGGAAAGCTTCCCTTATAATGAACAGCACTATACATTCTTTGGACAATCAATGATTGCTTATTGAGAACTACAGGCTCCTTAAGCAAATGATCTTGTCATCCTCACATGGAAACAAGAAAGACAAGAAGCACCCATATTGAGAAGTGGTAGTTTATAACTTTACTTAAGGTAGTCACTGCTGGGAAAAATGTCTAAGAAAATACCCACTAGATTGCAGTTAAAAGTGAAATTCTTCTTTGATTTTTCTCATAAGTTGAAATTTTAAAATATTGGGAATAGTTAAAAGTTATCCTTTTTGATTTAAATACAAGAGAAGTTTTATAGGAAATAATATGTGCAATCTAATTTGGCTAAGGATAGAGCTTGGCAGTAGTACTGTCAACCTTATTATTAACAGCTACAGAAATATTTATGGTGGCCATTGTTTTCATAGACTATAGAGGTATAAAGATTACCAAGGTGAAAGAAGACATTTAACAACTGCATGCTTCTTGACAGGACTCTAAATGTTAACACACTGAGTCTGTCTAACTTGACAGGAAACACACACACACACACACACACAGAAGAAATTATTTTCTGTGAGCCTGTTAGCTCAAAGAGTATCTTCTTACACAGGCTGACGGTAATTGAAATTAGCGTGACCAGTTATATTTTTATTCCAAAGACATTTTCTTTGTAGGCAGAAGTAAAAAGAGCCCAAAGCAAGGACTCTTAGCATTTTTTCCATTCAGAGATTTCTTTGAAAAATCTGATGAAAGCTATGGATCCTTTGTTCAGAAAAAGTATGCATACGAGTGCATTCAACCATGACTTTCATTCAGTTCCTGGGGATTTGGAATCCCTCTGGAGGGTATATACACAGGAATCACTGGCTTAAAGACTTTTCTTAAAGCTCAGTGTTATTATGCTAATATTATAACTCTAAAGGAGACTTAAGAGGTCAATATGTGCCCTGGACTGCTCAAGAGATTATTCTAAGTCACTGCTCAGTTTTAACAGTCAGTGTATTAGGACCCTTTTGTATCTTACCTTGTTTAATCTCACAACAATCTGTAAAATAGGTGATACACAATGAAGACACAAGTTCTGAGAGGGTGGATGCAGGTCCAAAGTCCCACAGCAAGTAAATGATGGAGCAGGGCTCAAATCTATGGCATGACTCAAAAATGTCTCCTTCTGCCAAGTGACGTTACTCAAATTGTTGGGTACATTTATATGGGCAGTCTAATAAATAAAGAGTAACACCAACTAAAAAGAAAAAAGAATGTTCATTTCCCCTTTTCCTAGTACATGGTGTACATGTATATATGTCCAAGTTTTCACTTTACTAGAAGAATTTCAAAAGTAGGAGAAAATAGGTAAATTTAATATAAAGTCTATACAAAAGAAATAAATAGGAGTATTCCAATGGTAAGAATGTATCAGGTGAAAATAAGAAATAAAATAGATTTCTTGATTTTTTGCCAAGGCCTTTCTTCCAAAAGCCTTTCTTCTGAAACTTAGACCAGAATATTCAACTGTTTACTAACTAGTTGAAACCACACAGAGGATTCAACATACCCCAGTTTAACATATTCCAAACAGATGTAAGTTTTACTCCTAAGCCCGACTTGCTTTTCCCATGTTCTTATTGTAATGAATGTTGACACCATCAACTGAGTCACCCAAGTTATCTGCAACTTTCCTCTATTTCTCAGCCCAGCACGACATTGTAGACATTTCCATTTTGATCTGTGCCTGATCTTCCTGTTTTCAGGGTTCATTTTTTCCAGTTCAAGCTTCACATGCCCTCTAGTGAGGTCTTTGGACCACAAAAAGCTGATGATCTAGTTGCAGAGGACTTATCTAGAATTTCTGTGTAAGCAGGCTTAGAAGTATTGGCCCTATTTGAAAGGACAGGGGACAGGAGGAGGACGTGGAGAGATGCGTGGTCTAAAGCTCTGGAGCCTCTCTTGGCAGTCAGTGTTTCAAAAGATTGAGGTGTATAGTGAGTTTAACTAAAGTGGATTGTGCCTTAGAGGCCACCAAGCATGTCAGATGGCTCTAGCTGAAGTTCTCTTTTATTCCCCACAGACATACAAAACTGCCACTTTAACTGAATTATTCTTTTGCCTGTTTTTATAGCATTTTGATTAATGAAATAAAATAGATTCTCTTATCAAATAATAACATACAAAGATATAATCTTTCTTTTTGGGGAAATTTTAGTTACTCTTAAAAAGCTGATTTTTTTTGAATTAAAAAATCTATTGATGAAATTCATTTAGCAACTGATCATTTTTAAGTAATATTTTTACTATCATGTGAAGGTTAAAAAATAAAAATTGAAATAATTGTGAAGTAGTGACTTGATGTCTCTTTACCATTTTAATAATTTAGATTTCAATTGAGTATAGCTCTAATGAAAAGATGAATTTGTATTGTGTAATTTTTCTGAAATATTGTATAATACAGTCAATTTACCTTGATAATGAGAATTTAACCATATTCCATAATAAGCTTCCTTTGAATTAACAATTTGTTATATTACAAAACTTCTTTAGCTCTCAAAATTTACTTGATAAATTTTGGACAGCTGTGTTTCAATATAGGAAAACATTATTTTATCAAATAGATGTATATGTGTGGATTGAAAAAGAGTGTTAATAGATTCTGTACAAATGAATCCATTTATGTTATTATGTTCTGATTATAAACTAATATACACTCATAGAAATGCAGAAAATATGTACAAATGATGGTCTGGTTAAGTTCAGTGATGTTTGCTATAACAAATTTGAAATATATCTTTGAGGCTTTCTTTTTTTGCTTGACTGATTAGATATGCCTCATCCCCTAAATCATATATGCCATAGACAATAATGGATTAATATATGGTATTTTACAGGTTTTTTCCTAACCCTCCTCTCTATAGACCATTTGGATATTGCATTTTTCCTTGCTTCTTCATGTTTTTAGGACAGAAATAACAAGTGAATAAAAATACTCGCTCGATAGAGTGAGTAAGTGGGGCTGGATGCAGTGGCTCATGCTTGTATTCCCAGCACTTTGGGAATTGGAGGCAGGTGGATCACCTGAGGTCAAGAGTTTGAGACCAGCCTGGCCAACATGGCAAAAACCCATTTCTACTAAAAATACAAAAGATTAGCTGGGCATGGTGGCAGGCACGTGTAATTCCAGCTACTTAGAAGGCTGAGACAGGAGAATCACTTGAACCCGGGAGGTGGAGGTTGCAGTGAGCCTAGATCGTGCCATTGCACTCCAAGCTGAACAACAAGAGTGAAACTCCATCTCAGAAAAAAAAAAAGAGTAAGTGGGTAAAAAGCTACATCATTCTTTAGTTGTTACACATGTAGGAGAAGGGCATTTCATGAAGAGATAGATCAGAGGGGGGAAAAAAAGTCATCAAGAGAAAAAGATTATAAAACTAGGACCTAGAGAAAGGTCTTCAGGGGTAAGAAGGAGGCTCCCAGGGGTCTCAGGGTGCTGGAAAAGAGAAGAGAATGCAGAGGTTTATTAGGAATTTCTACAGATTATACCTTAGAACCATCTGACACATAGAGAAAAGTGAGAGTTAAGGTGTATATTTCATTTATGTTGTTGCTTTCTTAAAAATGAATATTTTTAGACCTAAGCATCCAGAACTAGTGGATTTATAACTACTATGTAGCTAAATTGCCAGAATATATTCGTCTTATTTTGAAGCCTCTTTTCTGTTCCATTGAGCTGTGTGTTTCTACTTCCAAAAATGAAAATAAAACACCATTTCATGTACTTCCTCTTTATTGGACATTTTGATATTTGTCAGAGCAAGTATGCTTTCATTATTATTCAAAGCATTCAGACTTTTTTTTTTTGCTGTGAAGTCTATAATTGCATTAACATCCCTTCCTCTCCCAAATGACATCTTATATAACATTGAATTAAACATGTAGTTTAATTTGGAGAAAGCTGAAACTTTACAGTATTGAAACATTTCATTCAGATATACTTTAGTTTTATAATTTTCTTGAAATATGATTGTATTTTTTTCATTGGAGTTACTTGTCAATATTTTGTTGTTTCTGTTCCTATTGTGATTGGTATCTTATTTCTTATTCATATTTTTAATTGGATATTGTTGGCATAAATTAACTCTTCTTGTTTTGCATACAGTTATCCCTCTATATCCAGGGAGGGATTGGTTCCAGGACCTCTGCAGATACCAAAATACACGCATACTCAAGTCCCACAGTCAGCCTGAAGAACCCACGTATACAAAAACTTGACCCTTTCATATCTGCATGATTTGCTTCTCAGCAATACTATATTGCAGTACTAGTTGCATATGTGAAACCTGCTAATACAGAGGGTCAGCTGTATTGAAACAAAAATCCACCTGTAATTGGACCCGTGCAGGTCAAACCCATGGGCTGTTGTTCTTCAGAGGTTAACTGTATTTCTGTGTGGTCTGTTAGTAGTAGTCTAATAACATCTGGTTCTTATAACTATGATGTTTTCATCTTGTTTCTGATATAATTCCTATAGTTTTATCTCTTTTCTTATTATTAATGCTTTATATTTGTACTTTTTGCTCTTTCTTTATCAGGATTTACAAGACCCTCTCATCCTCTGGTATATCTCAGACCACATATATTTTTTCTATTTCCATTTAATATTTTTCTTTTATTGTCTTCCCTTTTCTGTCAACTTAGTGATTTTTTTCTAGTACATCTGTTTTTCAAGTCTTTAAAAATGTATTTTAAGATTTTAAAACTTGTCAGGGATCTTAGCTCTTAATTTTAAAGTGGTCTTGCCAAATAATCTTCAGCAGCCAACACAATGTCTCTCACACTGCAAATTCTCCAAGTTGTTTGCTTTCTAGGCAAGTTAATGCCTATCGTTTTAAGATGGATTATTACCTTATTCTATAAAAATTTATCCCAGAAATGATATTGTACTTCTTCAATGACTATTTTATTTGAATCTTTCTTATTCTCAAACAAATTTATTATGAACTGAATTTCCTCAGGGTGTAACTTAAACCACTTCCTAGGTATATGTAAAGACAAAAAGACATTCTATTCAAGAAGGTAATATGAGAGAATGCAATTTGATTGACAATAAATTCATTATAGATTGGATATATTTATGTAGACATACGACTGCCACACCCTTTATAATGTTTATACTATTTCAGTCTTGGATTGCATTGATTTTACCTTCAGTCACTTCATGAAGTTTGAGATAATGTGAACTTAAAAAGCCCTTCTTTAGGGAATGAAAGAATACATAAAAGAATGCAACAAGACCCTTTACCTAAATTGTCATTATTTTAATTTTTAAAGGCTTTTACTTTTTCTGTAGATACAGTAAATTTCTGATGTAAGATACCATGTCCATCTTGGTTACTACTCTAGTTCCTAGAATAAAATAGGATATCATTGTGAATATCTTATGAATAAACAGCTATGCTATTTATGTTTACTTTCTCTCTAATTTACACTAATCTATCAGTATTATGAGAAAAAATAAAAATAGCTATGGCATCAAATAAACATTCCATATTTGATGTCATAGCTATTTCTGAATGGTCTACAAAATTTTGATAAAAGCAAATTATTGCTTAGTTTTTTTTTTTTATTTGTTATTTTTGTAGAAATGGAGTCTTGCTCTGTGGCCCAGGCTGGAGTGCAGTGGTGCGATTTCAGCTCACTGCAACCTCTGCCTCTCAGCTTCAAGCAATTCTCCTGCCTCAGCCTCCTGAGTAGCTGGGACTACAGGTGCACGCTTCCACGCCCGGCTAATTTCTTTTGTATTTTAGTAGAGACGAGGTTTCACCGTGTTGCCCAGGCTGGTCTCAAATTCCTGAGCTCAGTCAATCAGCCCTCCTCGGTCTCCCAAAGTGCTGGGATTATAGGTGTGAGCCACCACGCCCAGCTAGTTTATTTTTAAGTTGTTGTTGTTGTTGTTGTTATCGGTTGGGTTCCACCAAGAAGGATATGCCTCGATGGAATTTAGTGTGCAAAATGTTATTGGAGAATGACTTTGGGATTAACAGCTGTGGCTGGGCAGTAGGAAGTAGGATTGGACATAGAGAGATACCAGGTTGTGAGTCATGCCTGACAGCAGCCTTGTCTAACTCTTTCGGTAGCTGTGGTGCTGGAACGACCCATCAAAGTTATCCTGGTTGGCATCAATCAGTCATTAATTAGGGTCCCTCTGGGAAGGGGTGTAAGTTTGGGCAAATTGGCTCTTTGCAGCTGAAGAAATCTCTGTAGGGTGAATGAAGGCTGTTTGCCAGCAGCGCTCTCGGATAAGTCTTTCCTTGAAAGGGTATCAGGGTGGTGGTTGTTTTGCACATAGTGTATCAATAAATAAACCTATCTCTGGTCAACATTAACTATGTAATTAGGGGAAAGGTGCTAGAGTATCTTTGTGTGACAACAGATACAAGTGTAAATTAACATGGCTAACTGCATTTGATGGGAGAAGCTAAGATACTTAGAATAATGCAAGACAGAATAATACAAAGTGCTGTATTTTTTGCTTCAGAGAGTAAAAGCTTAAGAAATACTGGAACTCCAGGGAGATGTGAAAGAGATACAACTTGAGCTCATTGTTTTGATGTGGATTTGGTTTGGATAGGGTTAGGGCACAGTGAATTTCTTGCATTTCTCAAATCCTTAAGATAGATTTGCCTTGCATTTCATAAAAACTGTTCTACCTTTGAGAAGTTACACTCAACGTTTCCACTTTCTGTTAATAATTACCTTGCCTTACATTTATTTTACTCCCACACTTCAATAAATATTCTCTTGGCTTCACTCAGAGCCCTTAACCCTTCTCTCTTCTTCAAGTTTGTTAGCTGCTATAGCCTACTTTACTTTCTTGTTCCATCGTCAGTAACTTTAACTACTTTCTTAAGGCTATCCAATCTGCTTTTTTGCCCCATTGACTTTCTGCTAGAGTCACCTTGCCAGCTGCCATCCATGCTAAACCCAAAGACACATTCTTCTCACTACGAGAGCCAAGATGGAGCAAGCCCCTTCAGTGTGCAGAAGGGCCCTTCTTTTTTTTTTTTGAGATGGAGTCTCACTCTGTATCCTGGGCTGGAGTGCAGTGGTGCAATAATCTTGGCTCACTGCAACCTCCACCTCCCGGTTCAAGCGATTCTCCTGCCTCAGCCTCCCAAGTAGCTGGGATTACAGGTGCCCACCACCACGCCCAGCTAATTTTTTGTATTTTTAGTAGAGACAGGGTTTGACTATGTTGGTCAGGCTGGTCTCAAACTCCTGACCTCATGATCCACCCACCTCGGCCTCCCAAAGTGCTGGGATTACAGGCGTCAGCCACCATGCCCAGCTGGCCCTTTTATACTATTTTAAGTTCACTCCATTTTATTGGCCCTTGTACTACTTAAAGACCTCTTTTTATGCTTCATCCAGGGAGATTCCCCTTTCTTTCATCTAGTTTAACTGCTTACAGCTGCTTTTATGTTTTGGAACCTTGAAATCCTCTTTGTCTTTCAGTTTTATTTTTCATGCATCCTTTGCAGCAATCAATCATTCACTGGATGCTGACATGTCAGACATTACGCTTTACAATATAAATAACACATTTACTGCCTACACTGTAATGCCCAACTTTGTTTTTACTACCCCGTTTTTAGACTCTCCCTTTCCTTTAATCACCTAGCCTTGTTTCCACCTGAATTGACTCTCCCTTAGCTAAGAGAGCCAGACAGACTCCGTCTTGGCTCTTTCACTGGCAGCCCCTTCCTCAAGGACTTAACTTGTGCAAGCTGACTCCCAGCACGTTCAAGAATGCAATTAACTGATAAGATACTGTGGCGAGCAATACCCGCAGTTCCCAGGAATTCATCCGATTGATAACGCCCAAAGCCCTGCGTCTACCGGGCGTCTAGCAGCTTGTAATAGTCTTAAAGCCCCTGCATCTGGAACTGTTTACTTCCCTGTAACCATTTATCCTTTTAACTTTTTTGCCGACTTCTGTAAAATTGTTTTAACTAGACCCTCCCTCCCCTTTCTAAACCAAAGTATAAAAGAAAATCTAGCCCCGTCTTCGGGGCCGAGAGAATTTTGAGCGTTAGCTGTCTCTTGGACTCTTAATTCGTCTCAAAGAGTGGCGTTTTCTCTAACTCGCTCAGGTACAACAACACAACCTCAACAAGGTAGGTATTGTAATTATTACCCTAAAAATGAGGAAACTGAGACTCGGCTTAAATCATTTACTAGCTAAAGTTACATGGTTTTTATATTTCAGGCAGGATTCACACTGGGATTTTTATGACTCTGACACCTGGAAACTTTCAACTTGTCAAAAAATAAATGGCAAGCACAGTGTCAGGTGTTAACATACACAAAGCTTTAAGAGACTCTCTTTGCTTTGAGGACTGCAGAGCTGAGTGTGGGGAACCACTAGTGCAGTTAGTGCTATAATAGCGGTACCTATTACATGCTGTGGGAGCCTGGAGAACAGAGTGCTTACTCTGCCCAGAGGGCTTGGAGATGATTTCACAGAAGAGGTGATGTTTAAATTAGGTCGCAGTGGATGAGTATGACTTAGTCTGTCAATGATCAAGTGACTGAGAGAAGGGCAACATTCCATGCAACAGTATAGTGGTATGGAAAGCCCTGGCATGTTGAAATCTAGCTTCAAAAAGCCTGTCTGGAAATGTAGTTAATTGGATGAAGTGAGAAGAGATAAAACCAGAGAGGTAAGTAGGGAAAAAAATTAAGACCCTCATGTGTTAAACTAGAATGTCCTCCCCTCCCCTAATCTATCCCCCTTCGTTGGCAGATAAATGGATGTTTGTAATGTATAATTGGAAAACTGAAACTAGCGACTTTCCACATAATTCTGATTACAATCAAGGATCTAATTTTAATAAGTAAATAATGATGCTCCAATTAGCTCCCAGGGTTGCAGTTATATGTATGATAAATCAATATCTTTATTAATTTGCTGGGTAGCCACTAGAATATTTCACAGTTTTAGCATTTTGGTGCTAACAATGTGATAACAGACCCCATGAGAGATCCTTACAGGGAAAGTGTAGTCAGTTATGTTGCTTAAGTGTTTTAAGATCACGTTTGGTGAAAAGAATTATATTGTTTAAGAGTATAATCATCATTGTAGAGAAAGTTTCAAAAAGTTTTTAAGTTGCTGCTCTTCCTGTTGCATAACAAGATAGCAAGTTTTCATTTAACAGAAACCTCTCCCTGTAACCACCCAGTGGGTTCAGCTTACCCAATTTGTAAGCACCCAATGGGTTCGCCTTACTTGCTGCCTAGAAAGAGCCGATTTCCCAAGACAGGGGAATCGCAATAGACAAAAGAGTAATTAACGCAGAGCCAGCTGAGCGGGAAACCAGAGTTTTATCGTTACTCGAATCAGTCTCCCAGAACATTCGGAGATCAAAGTTTATAAAGACAGTTTGGTGGGAGGGGAGGGGCAGTGAGTTGGGGAGTGCTGGTTGTTTGGGTCGAAGGTGAAATCGTGGGGAGGGGGGTCCCTGTCTTCTTGCCCTGAGTCAGTTCCTGGATGGGAGTCACAAGATCAGATGGGCTGGTTTCTTAATCTGGGTGGTGCTGGTTGATCCATCAAGGATAGAGGCTGCAAAATATCTCAGGCACTGATCTTAGGAGCAGTTTAGGGAGAAGCAGAATCTTGTAGCCTCCAGCTATGTGACTCCTAAACCATAATTTCTAATCTTATGGCTAATGTTAGCAGTCTAGTCCCCAGGCAAGAAGGAAGTTTGTTCTGGGAAAGGGCCATTATCGTCTTTGTTTTAAACTATAAACTAAGTTCCTCCCAAAGTTAGTTCTGCCTATGCTCAGGAATGAATAAGGACAGCTTGGAGGTTAGAGGCACGATGGAGTCGTTTAAGTTGGACCTCTTTCACTGTCACAGTCATAATTTTGCAAAGGCGTTTCATCCCTATGGATATTTTTAGTGTAAATTATCTGGAAAATGTGGTTATCCTTAGCATGAGAACTCTTCTGTTAATATGTTCATCCTATTTTTCTGCCAGTAATTTTTCTAGAAACAGAATAAATGTGTACATTTGAAAATGATTAACATCATTAACTTCCTGTAGTTGTAGATCAATAATGAGGAACTGTACCTATTGAGGCAATTAATAGTTTTTATAATGATAATTCTAAAATGCATGCTAATAACTGTGGTCACAAATTGATCAGATGCTCTTCTCTCATAATTGGACATAGATGTTTTTAATAATGCTAAACATAAAATGAACATTTTGAACATAGTTACCCAATTGTAATCATTTTTACAATAGTTTTTTTTATAGTTAATGATCAATTTTGAATTCAGAAGTATTAGGCAATACTTCTAAATAGATTTTTCAAATTTTTGACTGACATCATTAAAAAATTAGCTATTCGTTTTGATACGTATTCTCAGTTACAAGTTATTCTATATTATCAATACTTAATCAGGTTTCTGCTCCTGGAAATTAAAAGTTGGAACTGATTGAAAACATTTTTGTATGGGAGTGGATGTTACGGAAAATGAAGAAGAGACTGATGGCTAAGCTATTAGGGCTACTCATTCGGGCTACAAATTTGTTTTGAACTGAGTCTGGTTGATTTAAGGAAATTATATGTGGACATTCATTTTAATGTTTTTGAAATGTTAACTAGGTTTATGCTTTTAGACATACTGACATTCTTATATTTTCTTTCACATTGACTCGACAATTATCTTCAGGCTGATACATTTTCTAGATATAGATACTGCATTTTAATTAAAAAATACACCTAAGGAAAGAAGAGATCATCAATTACTTGAGGGAATAGGAATGTGTATCTTTTGCTGTGATTACATTTTACAATCTAAAAAAATGAACATTTTGTTCATATTATGTTAAGATTGGACAAACTGGAAATACTTTTGACTTGGCCTAACTTTTGTTGGCTTGAGATCTTACCTAGGGCCCACAATAATGTTAAAGCTGATAATTGCCTGTGATAATTTTAAAGCTCAGATTGCAATTATAGATTTTCAGGATTTGAACACAGTTATATTTATTTTCTTCTTGTATTTTCCACATACTCATAATATAAAATTATAAACATATTTTTTCTCATATCTTCTATAGCAGTGGCAGGTATTACCTTTTTCCACCCCTTGCAAAGGTATAGATTAAGTACTGCAGAAGGACATGTGCCCAAGATTTTTTTGTTGACAGAAAATTCTAAATCTTATTAGAAGATTTTAATTCTCAATCTGCCTTTCAGTGCCTAATGGCTAACATTTAAAACTAGTATATATCATGTGATTTTCTCAATGGTTAAGTGCGGAGTGATTAACATCATGGTTTCTGAAGACAAAATGCCAGGTTAGAATTTCAGCTCCACTACTTACTAGCTAAGTGGCCTGGGTCAAGTTACTTAACCTCTCTGGGTTAAGTTTTATCATCTGTAAAATGGTAGTAATAATAATAGCACTTATTTTATAAGGCTGTTTTGGGAATTAGATGAGTCAAAATATAAAATGTAGTTACAATAGTAATAATTTAAATGTCAGTTATAATTATTATTAGTCAAAATTTACCTGCCAAAAGAAAGAAAATTTGGATTTTCTCATTCTTTTAGCTACCTATTAGATTGTCTATTTAAATTGGATTTGAAAGCGTATCCTCATTTGTTCCAAGCATTTATGTTTGCTCGTATTACTTTTTGTTTTAATTTATTTTTTGAAGTGTTCATGCATTTATATAGCCCCAAACTACAGCAATATGAAAAAAATTACATGATGAATTTTCATACCCATATTATCTCAGTTTACTCAATGCTTGCCCAAACATCCCTCCAGAATGAACCATTTTATTAGTTTCTTGTATATTCTTCCAATTTTTAAAAATAAAAATGTGAACAAATGTGAACATACATTCTTATTTTTCTTCTTAATACACAAAAAGAAACACATTAAAACATAATTCCATACCTTGCTATTTATCACTTAATATATTTTAGAGATCTTTTTAAGTTAGTACATAGAAAACGGTCACATTCTTCAAACAGCTGTAGATCATTACACTCTGTGGCTGTACAGCAATTTACTTAATTTGTCCTTATTGCTAGAACTTTGGGTGTTTTCTAAACTTTTGTTATTACAAACAATGCCGCAATTAAGAACCTGTGTCATTTCACATATCTGAAGGTACAAGTGTAGAATGAATTTCCAGGAATATAATCCCAGGTCAAGGCTAAATACATCTGTAATTTTTACAGATAATACGAGGTTACCTTTCATAGAGGTTGTTTCATTTTACCTTTCTACTGGCAATACACGCCAGCATTTGTTTCCTCGTGGCCTATCGAGGATAGGTCATTATCAAATCTTAGGATCTTCTTCCAATTTAAAAAGTGACAAATGATATTCACTGTACTTTTTTTTTTTCCCTTAAAATGACAGAAATTTATTCTCACAGTTCTGGAAACCAGAATTCCAAAATGATGGTGTTGGCAGGGCCATGCTCCCTCTAAGTCTCTAGGGGAGGATCCTTCCTTGCCTCTTCTGGCTTCTGGTAGCTCCTTGGCTTGTAGGCCGCATCGCTGCAATCCTCCGGCTTCATGTGCCATTCTCCCTATGCTTCTGTGTCTTCACATGGCCATCCTGTTATAAGGACACTAGTCATATTGGAATAGAGGTATGCTCTATTCCAGCGTGTCTCATCTTTTTATTTATTGAGACACAGTCTCGCTCTGTTGCCTAGGCTACAGTGCAGTGGCGTGATCTTGGCTCACTGCAGCCTCTGCCTCCCGGGTTCAAGCAGTTCTTTGCCTCAGCCTCCCAAGTAGCTGGGATTACAGGTGCTCGCCACCACGCCTGGCTATTTTTTTTTTTTTTGTAAGTAGAGATTGGGTTTCACCCATCTTGGCCAGGCTGGTCTTGAACTCCTGATCTCCTTGATCCACACACCTTGGTCTCCCTGCAGGGTGTCTTATCTTAAATAATTATATCTGCAATGACCTACAGATGGTTCCTCACTTACAATGGTTCAACTTAATTTTTTGATTTTACAATAGGTTTATTGGCACATAACCCAATCATAAGTTGAGGAGCATCTATATTTTGAAATAAGGTCACATTCTGAGGTACTGGATGTTAGGACTTCAATATATATTTTTCTTGGGAGACATCATTTAATCCAGAACAGCACCAGATAAATATTATCGGAAAGAATAAGTGAGTCTTGAAATGATATTTCTTATCAATCTGGGTGAGACTGACTGAAGTGTATTTTGTATGGGAGACAAACAGCTACAGCCAAAGCCAAGGCACAATATTTCCATATCCATAAGTTTTACTATGGTTTCAAATTCATAGAGGTCCTATATTCAGCAAATAAAAAGAAACCAGAATAGACTCAAAAACAATCCTCCAGGAATCCCTACATTTCCAGTCACCATGTGTTCCCTGGGGTATGTGTAAAAGGAGGAATAGAGTTCCTACTTGTATTCTCTAGGATTGCGTATGGGCAGAAGTAAAAGGAAGTATTCTGGCAAGAAAAGAAAAGGGTTTCCCACTACAAGATATGGCAGGAACCGAAAACAACTTGCTGACCAGATCAATATCTAACTTTAAAAAATACTTCCAGGGTACTTTTAACGTGAATTCCCTTATTTTGAATGATGTTATACAACTCTATTTCTTTTGCTGTAAATTCTTTTTATATCTATGGTTTTTCTTAACTGAGTTGGTTGACTTTCACTTCTTAAGTTCTATATATATACTCTTTATATGTTAAAGAGATTAGTTTTTATGATAAAAATTACAAATATTTTTCTTGTTTGTCATTTGGTTTTTGGTGTGTTATGGTGATATGTAATGTGCATAACTATGTTTACATGAAGTTGATCAGTTTTGTTTTTGTTTGGCTTCTTTTTCTTAATTGGGTGGAAAGCAATTTCTTAGAATTTTAATTTTGCATTGGTTTATTGAATTTGATTATTTATCTGATAAAACTCTACTTCATCACATTTGATAGGAAGAAGAGGTAATGGAAGGAAGGCAGGAAATATTTTGATGTAAATTTCTTGAACTTTGGAAAATTATGACAAAAATAAGCTATTGAAGTATTTCAAGTAAAATGATAATCCCAATCTCAGTAACTGGATATGTATAACTTTAATTATTTTCTTCAAAGATTACTTTTCATGAAACAGAAGCTGAGTGTTGGCTTTAATTATCTCCTCTTTATTTTGGAGTAATTTTTCCATAATAATATTGATAACATTTATTGAGCATTGAGAATAGACAGTCTGCACCTGAATAATAGGTACCTATGCTTTACCTAATACAAATGTATTATACCTTAAGAAAATATTTTCTTAAAACCCTATTTGCTCAAATGCTTTTTTTCTCAACTTATCCATTCTAAGTCAGTGTCTATATTGAAGCTGTTTGTAAATAATTGTAAAATATACTGAATACTTGAAAAATAATATTGAAGTTAATAAACTGATTTAATTTTTAAACATGTATAATTAAATATATAAATATTCTGACTTTTAAAAATCATGACCCCTCAAAGTCAATTTCTTATTTATGCTATCAATTATCAATGAATTAATGTCAATTTAATTTGGTAATCAATTTACAAAAGTTAGGTAGATTTGGCTTTAAACAACACATTTTTATAGAATTGAATGTCTTTCTAAGCCTAAGGAAGTCTTTTTTTTTTTTTTTGAGACGGAGTCTCGCTCTCTCGCCCAGGCTGGAGTGCAGTGGCACAATCTCCGCTCACTACAAGCTCCGCCTCCCAGGTTCACGCCATTCTCCTGCCTCAGTCTCCCGAGTAGCTGGGACTACAGGCTCCCGCTGCCACGCCCAGCTAATTTTTTGTATTTTTAGTAGAGACGGGGTTTCACCGTGTTAGCCAGGATGGTCTCGATCTCCTGACTTCGTGATCCGCCCGCCTCGGCCTCCTAAAGTGCTGGGATTACAGGCATGAGCCACTGCGCCCGGCCAGCCTAAGGAAGTCTTTTTATTATTCTTTCTTGTTTTGTTAATTTATAGGCCTGGGTTACTAGCTAATCATTATACATTTTTATTGATACGTGATATTAGTGTAGAATATAGTGGTAATTTTTTTTTCATAGAGAAAAAATGCGCCACAAATAAATAAAACATGTTTAAAAGTTGTAGAAAGAAAATTATAAATGGATCCCTGTATATATTACATTAGGAGGAAGAAAACAAAATAACTGGATTTCATGGTATATATTTTGTATATACATAGATGCATAAAATATACACATATACATATATTTTTTATATGTAAATATTTAATATACATATATTTAAAGTTAGGATACATTTTCCACTTTTTTCTATGTGAGCTTTTAAACATGAAGTACCTCATTTGTGTTTCTTATTCATATATAGTATGTAATTTTAATCTTTATGTGCCAAAGTCCTGGACAAAGACTTAAAATTCAGTAATACAGAAAACTAGTACTCAAAATATATTTTGATCTATGTTCTAAATCAAAATATATCACACTCTTTTCACGGATCAAGAAACCAACATTAGATCAAATAAAGTTGCTCCATTACACACTGTGGGGTCTTATACATCTGGATTGAAAAATGTCATATAGGAGTCCTAGGATTTATGGTATATGCTATTTCGTTAAACATATTGTTATTCTGCTCTCAAGTGCTTGATAAACATATTTATCTTCAAATGTACAAATGAATTACCTATCCATAACATCAAATATTATATATATGCACCTATGAAATATAAACAATAACAACAAAAACAAAATACCCCAAAATAGTGCTAATATATTTGAAAATTCTAGTTCAACTGAAACCTATTGTGGATTTAACAAAACCAGAGACATGTTTTATTTTGGAGGCTTACCTGAATTAAATATGCAAGATATGTATGTTGAAAACATGTCAGTTTATAATTGGATCTTTCTTGAGGCAGATCAGACATGCACAATGGACATGGCTTTTGCTCTTGCAATTACTTTAAAATTAATGGGGAAATGAAAGCATCTAGTATGCTATCTCACCTGTCATAATACATTCTTTTTAAATTCTTTTCAAAGAAATGCATAGCCAAATGAAAAATAGTAGTTAAAATTGCATTTTAAATTGTTTGAATTGTACTATTAAAGGAAACCTATAGGGCAAAGTCAAAAGAATAATTTATTTCTTATTTCCGGGGAACGTTGAAGAATACAGCAACAATTATACAATAATGATATTATAATTGACAAAAAATAATTGACAAAAAATAACTACTGTGACCTCTTTATGATTTCTTTATTCGTAAATTGGATTGTTTATATTAACATGTCATAGTTACAAAAAATATTTTACTAGATTTCATTACTCTTGCATTTTTTAAATTTAAAGGTGATAAAAGACAGTCCTATAGATACTTATTTGTTACAACAAAGTGCTGTACCTTAAATTTTTTTAATAGGTATATTGTTGAATACAGTTAATTTTGAATTTATTTTAGAAAATAAAACTATCAAAAAATTTAAAAAGTAATTTATCTAGGGAAAATAATTTATTCTACTATACTTCCAAAAATCTTGGGAATATAAATAACTTACTCATGATATTTTAATAACTATTAATCATTTTATTGATGTGTTTGGCTCTAGTATTTTGAACAATTAATTAAAATTTATTCCTCTCAACTTTTTTACCACCCAGTGGTACTATTTCAAAATACCAAATAACAATGTTTTTTATCTGTGTAGACATTGAAAACATGAAAATTTATGAAATTAAATTGTTTCTGAATGTCATGTAGTATGAAATGTATTATTTTTAGAATATGGCTGGATACATAGTAAGTGCTCAGTAAATATTTGTGTTTGTCGATAAAGTGAATTTCATTATTTAATGTTTTCTCTGAAAAATACACTGTCCACTAGAAACCACTAGCTTTTAACCAGAAGATCTGTAGATATTTACTTTCAAAGCCATTTAAATCATTCAATAAATACTGAATGAAGTATTTAAATATTTCCATCACATTTTCAAAAGAAAATATATTAAACATGCAAAAATGCCCTAATGTTAAAAAGCACTGTAATTCTGTACTGATATACTGATATCTCAAATATTCTCAAGTGCATTCCTGCTTTAATTACAGATAACATATAATTGCCTAGTTTGCACTTAAAAATCACTGAAATTGGTTTGGAAGAACCTTTAAATACTTGCTTTCTTCATGCTACATTTTTAATAATTGAAGTAAATGTTAGGTTATGGTGTTCCAGTACATGTTTTAACACATCTGTGAATTTTAATGTATAGACATTTCAGTTAAATAGCTAAAAGATGAAGAATTTATTTTTTATGAGTGGGTTTTTCATACCATTTGTAGATCTGATGAATAATTACTCTGAATATATGAATTCTTTTAATCTAAGTAACCTATGTCAGTATGATATCATAAATAAGTTCTGGTTCCTCTGATGAAACAGACTGTGCAAATAATTCTTTGAGAGTTGAAGTACCACAGAAACATTTTCTAATAATTTAAAATTTTTATTTTTTAACTTTCAAAAGAATCTCATATTTAGTCTTCTAGTCCTGGTTCCATCTCAGTTTGATCTGGTTCTTAAAGGAAAGACTTAGATCACGGCCATCCAATCCTTAAAATTAGCTAAAATTTGCACAGGGATTTCTTTGGAGAGTTCTGGAAGCTATAATACTTTGAAGGACCAACAGTAGAACAGATAAGTAGAATTGCTTCAGAGTTTGTTATGTGGGAATAGACCAAAAACAAAGCAATAACAATTAATGTCCTCCACAGATGAAAGCCGGCACGCCTACCCTTAAAAAGCTGTCTTTTTACATGTCTATAAAGAACTGAGACATTATTGAAATTACCATTGACCATTGAATGCTGTAACTTCTTTTGCCCTTTTTAGAATTGTTTAGCAGAATGGTCAAAGAGTAATTGTCATGCCTGTAGTCACCAGAAGATATGTGCAAACACAGCAATGGGCAAGATTGACCAATACTAACATGAAATTAATTTTTTTTTTTGAGATGGAGTCTCACTCTGTCACCTAGGCTGGAGTACAATGGCATGATCTTGGCTCACTGCAACCTCCGCCTCCTGGGTTCAAGTGATTCTCCTGCCTCAGCCTCCTGAGTAGCTGGGACTACAGGTGCCAGCCACCACACCTAGCTAATTTTTATATTTTTAATGGAAACGGGGTTTCACCATGTTGGCCAGGATGGTCTCAATCTCTTGACCTCGTGATCTGCCTGCCTCAGCCTCCCAAAGTGCTGGGAATACAGGTGTGAGCCACCATGTCCGGCCACTACATGAAATTTGGTGGGAAAAAAATGAGGCCATAGGGGTGAAGTGAACTATAAAGAAAATACAACCAACTGTGGGAATGATGGGAAGAAAGAGCAGTGCCTAGAAGCAAAATTCTACTCATATTGGAGGTAAATTATTCCCCACTACAGAGAATGAGAGTTGAAAAAGGTAACTCTGGAAAGAACAAAAAAAAGTTTTAAATCTGACTTGTAGATCATAGTTTTTTATTGTATTTTTGCATGTGTGGTAAGCATAGGCTTGAAGAGGTGAGCAGGCAGGTAGATGTACTTCCTATATTTTGTGATAATTATCTTTCTGTAGGTGTGTTTTGCTTGACTATTTCCATGTTCTTTCAGTGGTGATTTTACACTTATTACTTTACTTTTGGGGAATTAAAATGTAATGTTTTTCTTTTTTTAAATTTTTTACTTTTAATTTTTCTATATTAATTGTTTTATTTCCATAGGTTATTGGGGGAACAGGTGATGTTTTGTTACATGAGTAAGTTCTTTAGTGGTGATTTGTGAGATTTTGGTGCCCCCATCACCTGAGCAGTATACACTGCACCAAATTTGTGGTATTGTATGCTTCACCCCCTCCCCACCCTTTCCCCCTGAGTCCCCAAAGTCCATTGTGTCTTCCTTATGCCTTTGCATCCCCATAGCTTAGGTTCCACATATGAGTGAGAACATACAGCATTTAGTTTTCTATTCCTGAGTTACCTCACTTAGAATAATAGTCTTGAATCTCATCCAGGTCACTGCAAATGCCATTAATTAATTCCATTTTATGGCTAAGTAGTATTCCATCATATATATATATATATATATATATATATATATATATATATATATATATATGTATATGCATACTATATATATAATATATAATCTATATATATAATATATATATATTATATATATATATATATATATATATCACAATTTCTTTATCTACCCGTTGATTGATGGGGATTTGGGTTGGTTCCACGTTTTTGCAATTGCAAATTGTGCTGCTATAAACATGCATGTGCAGGTATCTTTTTCATATAATGACCTCTTTTCCTCTGGGTAGATACACAGTAGTGGGATTACTGGATCAAATGGTAGTTTTACTTTTAGTTCTTTAAGGAATCTCCACACTGTTTTACATAGTGGTTGTACTAGTTTACATTCCCACCAGCAGTGTAGAAGTGTTCCCTGTTCACTGCATCCATGCCAACATCTATTATTATTTTTTGATTTTTTGATTATGGCCATTCTTGTAGGAGTAAGGTGGTATCTCATTGTGCTTTTGATTTGCATTTCCCTGATCATTAGTGATGTTGAGCATTTTTTCATATGTTTGTTGGCCTTTTGTACATCTTCTTTTGAGAATTGTCTATTCGTGTCCTTAGCCCAGTTTTTGATAGGGCTGTTTGTTTTTTCCTTGCTAATATGTTTGATTTCGTTGCAGATTCTGGATATTTGTCCTTCTGTCAGATGTATAGATTGTGAAGATTTTCTCCCACTCTGTGGGTTTCAACTGTGTTTTTCCTTAAACGGATAATACCTCTGTATGATATGCTAACCACAGACTGCTTTAATTCACTAAATGAATTTTGTTATACTGTAATTTGAACTCTCCTCAAAACAACTTATTTAAAAAGCACCAACAGTTTCCAATTAAGGGTCCGTTGTGGGTATTCACGTTTCTGGTTTAGTCCCCCAGTTTGATATTCTTTAATATAAAATTGGATATGAGTTGACAACTTTAGTATTTTATTTTTATTTTAAGTTCTGGGCTACATGTGCAGGTTTGTTACGTAGGTTACGTAGGTTAATGTGTGCCATGGTGGTTTGCTGCACCTATCAACCCATCACCTAGGTATTAAGCCCAGCATGCATTAGCTATTTTTCCTAATGTTCTCCCTCCCCCAACCCCACCCCCTGACAGGCCCCAGTGTGTGTTTTTCCTCTCCCTGTGTCTATGTGTTCTCATCATTCAGATCCCACTTATAAGTGAGAACATGCAGTATTTGGTTTTCTGTTGTTGTGTTAGTTTGCTAAGGATAATGGCCTCTAGTTCCATCTACATCTCTATAAAGGACATGATCTCATTCCTTTTTATGGCTGCATAGTATTCCGTGGTGAATATGTATCACATTTTCTTTATCCAGTCTATCATTGATAGGCATTTGGGTTGATTCCATGTCTTTGCTATTGTGAGTAGTGCTGCGGTCAACATAGATGTGCATGTATCTTTCCAATAGAATGGTTTATATTCCTTTAGGTACATACCCAGTAATGGAATTGCTGGCTCAAATGGTATTTCTGGTTTTACATCTTTGAGGATTTGCCACACTATATTCCACAATGGTTGAACTAATTTACATTCTCACCAACAGTGTAAAAGTGTTCCTATATCTCCACAGCCTCTCCAGCATCCATTGTTTCTTGACTTTTTAAGAATCGCTATTCTGACGGGCATGAGATGGTACCTCATTGTGGTTTTGATTTGCATTTCAACATCTCAGTGTCGTTAAACTTTTTTTGTATGTTTGTTGGCCACATGAATGTCTTATATTGAGAAGTGTCTGTTCATGTCCTTTGCCCACTTTTTAGTGGGATTGTTTGTTTTTTTCTTGTAAAATTGTTTAAATTCTTTGTAGATTCTGGATATTCGACCTTTGCCAAATGGATAGATTTCAAAATTTTCTCCTACTCTCTAGGTTGCCTGTTTGCTTTGAAGGTAGTTTCTTTGGCTGTGCAGAAGATCTTTAGTTTAGTTAGATCCCATTTGTCAATCTTTGCTTTTGTTGCAATTGCTTTCGGTGATTTCATGAAATCTTTACCCACGCCTATGTCCTGAATGGTATTGCCTAGGTTTTCTTCTAGGGTTTTTATAATTTTGGGTTTTACATTTCAATCTTTAATCCATCTTGAGGTAGTTTTTGTATAAGGTGTAAGGAAGGGATCCAGTTTCAATTTTCTGCATATGGCTAGCCAGTTCTCCCAGCACTACGTATTAAATAGGAAATCCTTTCCCCATTGCTTCTTGTTGTCAGCTGTTTAAAAAATCAGATGACTGTAGACATGCAGTCTCATTTCTGTGTCCTCTATTCTGTTCCATTGGTCTATGTGTCTGTTTTTGTAACAGTACTATACTGTTTTGGTTACTGTAGCCTTGTAATATAGTTTGAAGTCTAGTACCATGATGCTTCAAGCTTTTTTCTCTTTGCTTAGGATTGTCTTGGCTATGTGGACTCTTTTTTGGTTCCATATAATTTAAAAAATAGTTTCTTCTAATTCTGTGGATAATGTCAATGGTAGTTTAATGGGAATAACGTTGAATCTATAAATTACATTGGGTAGTATGGCCATTTTCACGATATTAATTCTTCCTATTCAGGAACATGGAATATGTTTCCACTTGTTTGTGTCCTCTCTGATTTCCTTGAGCAGTGGTTTGTAGTTCTCCTCGAAGAGGTCCTTCACTTCCCTTGTTAGCTGTATTCCTACATATTTTATTCTGTTTGTAGCAATTGTGAATGGGAGTTCATTCATAATTTGGCTCTCTGCTTGCCTGTTGTTGGTGTATAGGAGTGCTTGTGACTTTTGCACACCGATTTTATATCCTGAGACTTCGCTGAAGTTGCTTATCAGCTTAAGAAGCTTTTGGCCTGAGACAATGGGGTTTTCTTGATGTGGGATCATATTATCTACAGAGTTTGACTTCCTCGCTTCCTATTTGAATACCCCGTATTTCTTTCTCTTGCCTGATTGCCCTGGCCAGAACTTCCAATACTATGTTGAATAGGAATGATGAGAGAGGGCATCCTTGTCTTTGCCAGTTTTCAAAGATAATGCTTCCAGATTTTGCCCATTTGGTATGATACTGACTGTGAGTTTGTCATAAATGTCTCTTATTATTTTGAGATATGTTCCTTTAATACCTAGTTTATTGAGAGTTTTTAACATGAGGGAATGTCAAATTTTATTGAAGGCCTTTGCTGCATCTATTGAGATAATCATATGGTTTTTGTCTTTAGATCTGTTTATGTGATGAATTATATTTATTGATTTACGTGTGTTGAACCAGCCTTGAATCCCAAGGATGAAGTCAGTTTGATCATGGTGGATAAGCTTTTCAATTTGCTTCTGGATTCAGTTTGCCAGGAATTTATTGAGAATTTTTTCATCTATGTTCATCAGGGATATTGGCCTGAAGTTTTCTTTTTTTGTTGTATCTCTGCCAGGTTTTGGTGTCAGGATGATACTGGCCTCATAAAATGAGTTAGGGAAGAATGTAGATCATATTTTTATCCACCGCAAGACAAGGTACTTGATTATCTGTTATTTATGGGAGGGTAAAAAAAAGAGCAGAAATAGGAAATCCCCATTTTGCTTACAATAAAATCCAAATGTCAGCCTTCCATTCAAACTCCTCCAAGCCCTAGTACCAACCTGCCTTTTCCATCTTGTTTCTTACTGTGTTCTGTCATGTACCATATGCTTCACTGAAGCTGATCTATTTGTATTCCCCATGCATGCCACACTTTTCCATTTTCTTAATTTTAGAAGCAAGGGAAACTAATTATATTGGACAACTGTTATATACCAACACTGTGCTAGACTCTTTCACATATATTACCTGAAATTGTTCTTTTCAGAAGATAGGCATTATAGTTCCCATTATATATCTGAGTAACCTCAGATTGAGGTTTTGACAGAGTGAATAACTTGCTTTATGTCACACAACTAGTAAAACAGAAGGAAGACTCTGGAAGGAATTTGTATCATCCACACCCCTTTCTCCTCATGGTACAACCCTACCAGTGTTATTTATCTTTTTGCTTTTAACATTCTTCCCACACATAAATACCATATTCATATTTTTCTTCTGAACACAGCTTTTTGTTTACTTGCATTCAGTTTTTTAAGTTAGAAGGTAATTTCTCTCTTGAAAGAGTTATCATAGGAAATTTATATCATACATTTATAATTATAATTACTAATGTTTATAATTTTTATACTAAATTTTAAAGACTTATCCTAGGATATTGGCTATTTAAGAGTAGGATATATGTCTTTTTAATAATTGTACCCTTGTGAATGTATAGAGAAGTCCTCAATCCATATCGGGGATGAGTTAATAAATTAATGAATGAAAGATGGCTAGTTATTTCCTGCAAACATTCCCAAAGTCAATACAGTTATTAATAAGGTAACATACAACAAAATAACTATGATAGCACCCTGCACTACTGTTTGAAGTTGCTGATGATAAATATAATGGCCATGAATTGACCTTTCCTAGGGCAGGCATTATGGAAACCCAAGATACCATGCCATTTCTAAAGTATTGGTTAATTTTCAGTGGCTGTTTTCAAGTACTGGACCAGAATTGGATGCCCTCTTGCAGAGATTCTTTATGAGGTACTCCTTTTCCCACTGCCACTTGCTTACCCTCTCACAGTGTGCGTCTAGACAAAAAGCCACATGTTCCTTTGACTCAGCCCCCTGAAACAAAGGCACTAGCAGTAAGAGTCTTTTGTGACACCATATATTTTCTTTCAGGGTTTATTATAACCCCTTTTGCCTGAGTGGGTGGTAATATTATTTACTGCTACTATATTAAAAATATAAAATAATAAATAACATTAACGCAGATTTGTACTCATTGCTGTTACCTCCAACTGGATCCCCTTGACATCAGGATCAATGTAGAATATTAAAATAACACCAGCATTAATATTTAATATAAAAACTTGCATATTAATCACAGTTTCAAATTTAATATATGATGGTAATAAGTTCATTATAAAAGTAGAGGAGATAAAAATATGTGAATGACAGACAAATGATTTCTACATATAAATTATCCTACATAAGCATGAAGCTATAAGAGAAAAATGGAAAACTTAATTAAAGTCACTCACTGTTTTATCTTGGAAGAGTCAGAATGACACAGTCCTGCCTGCTCCTTTACCACAGGTATGTTTGATATAGTTTATTAAGTATAAAGGTAGCATTTTTCTAATTTTGTCGAGTTGCTTGTTATTAAGTTCCTTTAATATGAATGTCATTAATTAACTGAGATTATTCTTACAGATTAAAAGCAGAGTAGATATCTCCCTTTAAACAAGATGCAGTGTCCAGGAAAACAAATGCATACTACTTTCCCAAGTTATACTAAATAGTAAACAGTAAAGCTCTAAGTGATTAAATAAAAGTTATTAACAAATTTACTAAAGTCTGTTCTATTGAAGTCAAATTTAAGTTTCAAAAATATTGATTCAGCACTTTTAGATTCACATTCTCCCATTCACAACTGAGAATAAAGACATGAGTAGTCTTAGTTCCTCCTGAAAAGACTATTTAGCATTTTATTATTGGAAGATTAAGTGGTTGAGGATAAGTTGGGCTCATTTGATCTATACCAAAAAAGGTTAGTTAATGCCTGTTAGAATGTCACTTTGTAAATATTTCATTAACTAGTTAATCTTATATTGATCATGCCTATGGACACTAGGATAATCACCACAAAATCTGCTAGATCTACCTAGTTACCTAACTGACATGAATAGCTCCTGCAGAGAAAACATGGCAGAAAGAGACTAGGCTATGGATGCAATGTGAACTGGATTCAAATCTCAGCTTGGCTACTTAAGGAATTTAGAATCATGGCAAATGGTTTATCCCTTTTAAATGTGTCTTGCTATCAGTAAATTAACATAATATATTTTATACTGGACAAGATTGTCCTGAGAACTCAGTGAGTTCAGGTGTAAATCAATAGCATTGTGCTGACATAATTCAACAAGAAGTAGCAGTCATTATTAAGCTCTGGTAGAATTCTTTAATATGTGACTTCAGAGGGACCACAGTATGGTTGTTAAGAATTAGAAAACTACAGGTGAACTAAATAAAGCTACAAGTGAACCAAGTGACAGGTCTAATAATCTCTTTAGAAAATCATTTTCATATGGAGAAAGAAAAATGAATGTTAATAATTATTTCTTTCTCCCTAGTGGTAGTATCTACAGCCTGGAATGATTTATTCTAGTTCTAGTATGTTTGTGTTTTCCTTCTTTATAGCACATTACAGTATCCTCTTCATGAGAAACTCCATGTTGGAGCTTGCTAAGAATTTTTCACATCAATTCTGAAATGCTGTTTGCAGACACTTTTGTGTTTCTCTTTATGTAGCATTGGTAAGATTAATAAGTAAACTGTAAACTGCCTATGCCTAAAACTACAAGAATTCATTAGTATCCTGATCTCTATTATCTACTTGTTCCATATTGTTATTGATTATTATTAGTGTTATTGTGATTACTTTTTGTTAAAGAACAAATTTATGTAGTCTTTGAAGTTCTCTTATAATGCCAAAATCTACTTTAGCCATCTTTTAACTCTTCATGGTTATATGTTGAGATGGGAAGAGATACTGCTAGCTCTCCCTGGGGTTAACTAGGAAAAGAATAGCTGATAAAGTGCTGACAGCAAAACTGTTTTCTGTCAGTTTTCCTGTCTTGCATGCTTAATGTCCCCTCCAGACTTTAAAAGATCAAAGTGACCACTCACCCTGCAGCTGCAGCTTTTTTCCAGATTCAGTCATGCCTTATTGCTTAACGATTTTATTCCCTTTAGATATAATTGGTTTAATAAAAATAATAATAGCTAACATTTTAAGTATCTACTAGGCACTGTGATAAGCTCTTTTCTTGTACTGTATCATTTAGCAATTACATATATATGTTACTTACCAAATGAATTAAAAGTATCTGCATCATTTAGATTAGACTACTATAGCTTATCCAAACTAAAGATTTGGTAGCAACATCAGTTTTTAAAATATGTGAAAAAATCAAGGCAACAATATTTCAGCTCACCTTCACCTCCCAATAAATCAGTTCTTGTTGCTTAAAGCACTGAGTGTCTCTAGCACTGAGTGTTATGAGTCCTCATCCAGTCCAGGCAGGAAAGAATACAGTAATTGTAATTGTTTCCTGTAGCTTCTGAAACATTTTTTTTTAATATTTTCTATTATTTTATTTATTTATTTATTTTTTTGAGACGGAGTCTCGCTCTGTCACCCAGGCTGGAGTGCAGTGACACCATCTCGGCTCACTGCAAGCTCCGCCTCCTGGGCTCACACCATTGTCCTGCCTCAGCCTCCCGGGTAGCTGGGACTACAGGCTCCTGCCACCATGCCCGGCTAATTTTTTGTACTTTTAGTAGAGACAGGGTTTTACCGTGTTAGCCAGGATGGTCTCGATCTCCTGACCTCGTGATCTGCCCACCTCAGACTCCCAAAGTGCTGGGATTACAGGTGTGAGCCACCGCACCTGGTGCTTCTGAAACAATTTAACTGAAATTTGGTGACTTACAATAACAGAAATATATTATATCACAGTTCTGGGGGCTAGACATTTGAAATCAAGATGTTGGTAGGGCTGCATTCCCTCCAGAAGCTCTAGGGAAAAATACATTCCTTGCCTCCTCCAGCTGCGGGTGGCTACAGATGTTCCTTGGCTTGTGGGGGCATCACTCTAATTTCTGTCTCCTTCTTCACATTGCCTTTTCCTCTTTGTGCCTGTGTCTAATCTCCTTCTGCCTCTCTTTTATAAGGATATAGAACCTACCTGAATAATCAAGGAAGATCTCCTAAACTCAGAATCCTTAATTTAATTATATCTGCACAGACCTTTTCCCAAATAAGGTAGTATTCACCTCAGGGATGAATATGACCTGGGATTAAGATGTGGGAATATTTTGAGAGCCATCATCAGCCTACCACACAATGACTGTTTAGCAGTATCTTTCATGGGTAGGAGGAGGGGAGTGTTGGTAACATGCAAGCCACGTATTTGCCATCAATGACCATATCTGTGATTTTACAGGTAACTGTTGTCAAGTGCCTTGTTCAAGATGACTACATTAGAAGGATCCCAGTAGGAAACACATGGCATACAAAGTTGAA
Source organism: Homo sapiens (assembly GCF_000001405.40). Lineage (NCBI taxonomy): Eukaryota > Metazoa > Chordata > Mammalia > Primates > Hominidae > Homo > Homo sapiens. The sequence continues at coordinate 211,572,759 of NC_000002.12, read as the reverse complement.
GGAATTGAACAGAGTTTAGCAAAAGAGTCTTTATAAAAGTAGGAGCAGGATTAAGTAACAGCAACAGGGTTTGTTGAAGTACTTCAAGATGAGTAACAGCACTGCTAGGCTTGAAGAAACCAGGGGAAGGTTACCTCAAATTGACGGCAGCTGTGACCCTCACTAAGGGGTTGCAGGAAAGTGAGGGTGGGGGATAAGTACCAAACTCACTCTGTTCTTCATTCAGTATTGTACCACTGCTTTGCACTGGCTGAACCCAAATGAAAGCCAGGGAGCGTCGTAGCCCGTTGTCATCATCCATTTGGGTCAGTCTCACTGAGCACGTGGCAGGGTGAGTATTGGTAGAAAATGGTGGAGAATAGAGCTTGAGGGACAAAGAAAAATATACAGGCCAATGTCACAGATTGTTAGCGTCATACCTGGAAATATACTCTAAACTTCTTTATTCTAAAATTTATTGCAATTTTCACAATATAAAATTTAATTCAACATGTGTTTATTGAGTACGTGCAATGTTACGACTCTATGTTGTCAATCAAAAAATGCCACTGATATTTTGTATGTTTGTAGCATAAACAGAATATGTTAATTAAAAAAAGCGGTATTTTTACAGTAGTGATGTGAGCCTGAATTTAAGTAGGAGTCAGAATGAAAAGACACAGAAAGATGTAGATTTGAGCTACACTGGGATAAGCAATTAATAGGACTTGGCAAATTATTAGATACAAAGTGGAATGGAAAAAATAGAAATGCAAATACCAAATATAAATCCAAGATCTTAAAACTGAATTAGGAAATGTTTCTGAAATTAAAAAAAAAATAGTAAAGTAAAGCAGGCAAGCTCGTATGGGAAAATTATTTACCGTGTTTTCTTTTATCTTACAAATCCAGTAGTATCTATTTTAAGAGATGAGAAAGCAATTGAAATACGGGTTGATTCCTGGAATGGAGTAAGTGTGGGAGGGGAGGATATAATACAGATTTTGTTCATTTATTCATAAAATGGTATTGCATTCTTCTTATAAGCCATATATTCAACAAGGATTTGGTGATAAACCAATGAATATGACTGACTCACATTACTGCTTCCAGAGAAAAAAACAGAGATGCCAGACATTTCACCGATAATTCTAATAAAATAAGATAGATGTTATAACATGGTTTTGTATAGTTATATTATAGATAAGCTTATTAGTTTCTGCTCAGAAATGACAACTGAAATTATAGGAGTGGAGGAGAAAACTTGGAATATGGGCATAACATAATTCTCATGTTTGGAAGGGCACAGATACTTTGGACGTGAAGATAATGGATTTTATTTTTTATCTCGAGAGAAAAAAAATGCCCTGCTGTTTACATTGCTTCAAACTAAATCAAATCATGACAAACCACAAAAACTTTGCAATCAATTCCATATGTTTTTGACAACTCTGTCATATTTCTTAATGTTGGAAAATATTTTCATCTCTAGGAGGTTGGAGAACAAATCTGTAAGGAGGTAAGAGACTGCAGACTAAAACAAAGTGAGGTACAGCCAAAGCCCGGGTAGTATTTCTGCATTGAAGGGACAAGAGGTGTAGTCCCAGCTACTCAGGAGGCTGAGGCAGGAGAATTGCTTGAACACGGGAGGCGGAGGTTGCAATGAGCCGAGATTGTGCCACTGCATTCCAGCCTGGCGACAGAGCAAGACTCCGTCTCAAAAAAAAAAAAAAAAAAAAGAAGAAGAGTACTCAGAGAGTGAAAAATCAGGACAGGTAGGATAAAGTGCTAATATCAGCCAAAGAAGGATTTTGAAGAAGGATGGTCAGTGAGATAAAACAATGCAGGCTGGGGAAATGTAATGAGATGAGAAACATGTTGACTTTGGTGAAAATGAGGTATTTGATGACATTTTCCAGAGTAATTTGAGGGGTAAGAATTTAGAAAAGTGGCAGAAAAACCGGATCTCAAAGGCACAAAGGAGGATAACATGAAGAAATAGCTAAAGGGGGACTGACAAATATCCCTAATGTACAGATAGGGCAAAATTGAAGGAACTTTTATTTTTGGAATATGGGATGGGACACATATATGTCCTTGTAGTTACAGTGAAGGTGGTAAGCACAGTGAAGGTGAAGTTGTACTAGAGATAAATCATGGTAAAATGATTCAGTGAAACAGAGTAAAATGGTGTCAAAAGTACATTTCACAGAGTAGATATTAAGAAAGGTAGAAAGCTTTTTTTTTTCCCTGCCCAGAGATAGAAGCCATAGTAAGTGTAATAAAGCATCAGTAAGAAATTAAAAACTAAAAGAGGCCTGGCATGGTGGCTCATGCCTGTAATCCTAGCACTTTGGGGGGCCAAGGTGGGTGGATCACTTGAGGTCAGGAGTTTGAGACCACCTGGCCAACATGGTAAAACCTTGTCTCTACTGAGAAAAAAAAAAAAAAAAAAGCAAAAATTAGCCAAGTGTGGTGGCGGATGCCTGTAATCACATCTACTCAGGAGGCTGAGGCAGGAGAATAGCTTGAACCTGAGAGGCAGAACTTGAAGTGAGCCAAAATCGCACCACTGCACTCTAGCCTGGGCAATAGAGTGAGACTCCGTCTCAAAAACAAAATAATAAAACATAAAAAACACAAAAATAAATAAATTTTAAACAACTAAAAGAGTAATTTTTGGAGGATCAAATCAGGAGATTTAGGCAAAATCTCATGAATCTGTGCCTTTCTCTAACATTTGAAAGTTTGAGAATGGTGATGGGGGCATTTACCTTCAGCCAAAGAGCAGCAAAATGGAAACATCAGAGGGGAGAAAATTATATGATATTGGCAAGTGCTTTATTGTAATAGTTAATATTGGAGATCAAGCTATGATAGAGGTAAATGAAGTACAACAGAAACCAGGCATTAAAAGATTTATGAATAAATCCAGTCTTCTTAAGGATTTAAGACTTAAACCCTTTATGACTGCAAGGCCCTACATGACTTGGTCCCTACCCACCTTTTCAATCCCATCTCATGCCATTAGAGCCCTTGCTAAATTCCAAGCACATGAGCCTTCTCAGACCTTCCAAAATATGCCAGACTCTTAGGTCATGCTTTTCCTTGAATGCTCTTTCCAAGTATTTATATATATGACTTTGTTTCATAAATCTGATCTCAGGACACATTTCCTGGCTCTCCTTATCTAAAGTAGCTCTGCGACCACCGTTTCATTATCTATCACAACACTCTGTTTATTTTTGTGATACCTCTTAATCTCATTTAAAAATACTTATGCATCTGTTTTATGTTTATTTGGCTTTCCTGTTTACTAGTTGCCTCTCCAGGTAGAATGAAAGCTTCCTGAGGCTGGAGATTATTTTGTAGACACAACTTCAATCACAGTGCTAGGCACCTAGCAAGTTCTCAATAAACATTTTTAGGTGAAGAAATATAAAACTAACGGGATAAAAAATATCATAAAGATGGAATTTCAGTGTAATCCGGAGTGGAAGAAAAAAGAGGGAAAACAGAAAGTAGAATTCTTTCCCGATGTAGACTTCTTCAAAAGGTCTTCAATGAAGTGGCAGTGTTAGTGACTAAATCTAACGTATGGCCACCCAATGGGTGAATGATGTAGAATAGAGATGGAAAAGTGCTGACTTCAAAGTTTAGAAGAGTCCTGATCTGATTGTTGGAGTCCACAAAAATGATACCAAGGATTGGAAGGGAGTGGTAAGGCTACTGAGCAATGTGGACACATTTAAATTGAAGGCATATTAATTCAGCCTCTCTAATTACTGCTCACCTATTTACCCAGATAAATTATAATTTATTCTAGACATGAAGGAACAGATGCAGATTTCGTTTATTTTATTATCTTCATACCATCTGCAGCAAAGCAAGTTAGTAAAAAAATTATTATGGACCAGTGATTTTATTTCATTTTTCATCATTGTGGCCGTCATTATCTTCTTTGTGTTCTTCATCACTAGCACTCTCACTATCTTTAGGGGCAGCATTTCTTTCAAGCGCTCACAAATCTGCTGATGGTTGCATGATGTGTAGTTTTATATGTCTACATTAATTGTCTCTTTTCTTTTCCTCTATCTCTCTTTTAATCTTCCCTATCTCTGATGCAATGAGATTTTCCTGGTTTTCAGCTGGAGGGTATTGCATTAATGGTCCATAGATACAATGAAACAGAGTTTGGCTGAAGTTAACATTTTTAAAAACAGAATAGCCTATAAGTTTTCACTGGCAATATGGTTGTTTCTTCCCTTTTGTCTTTGTGAAACCGCTAAATAATATGAAAAACTAAAGTGGAAAGATATAAATATCTGGTGGTTGTGCAAAACGATAGCTGAATATAAAAAAATGGTATTGCTCACTTATTATTGTACAAAAATGTCTTCCCTTCAGGCTGAAATAGAGATATAGATAATATGTGGCTAGAGACTTGACATACATGCTTCAGAGCTTTTTAATCTATACCTCAGTAGTCCCTTGATGGTTTTTTTAAAAAGACCTTATTTACACCAGACTTCATTATAAAGAAAAATATTTTTGTTTTAGAATTTTTACTGTAGCACCTGTTACATTATTCCCTTCTGTTCAATGAGAAAACTCTGAAACTTACCTACAAGAAAAAAAAAAATTGTAAAGCAAAAAGGAAAAAAAAGACAGAATAATTTTTTTCTGGAAAAATAGATAATGTCCCTGTCAGGTTGTATTTATTCCCATGGTCTTCAGCGACATTTTCTAGTGACAGCAGCAAAGATTCCAAAATTGCCTCCATAGGTCCCACACAAAGATAACTAACAGAGGACATTAAGTTTAACACAGAGTAATTTATTGAAAGCCGACACTCTATGATTAAAATATTGGGATTTTTCCCTTTTTTATCCCACTCATCAGTCTAAATAAATTCATATTCCCTTTTCTTTATCTACTCTCCTATCCTCCAAACCAGCCATCTGCTATTTCTTTTATGAAAAAAAAAAAAAAATGCAAGCTACAATTAGTGTCTTGTTCGTTTTTCTTTCTTCAGAAAAAGAGAACTATTACGCAAATACTCTGCAATTTGGTTTCAAATACTCTTTGTAGTGTGATGAGCAATTTTTCTTAATAGAAACCCAGCTTTTTTGCCAGGACTTACTAACAGATTTTTAAAAAGAGAGCTTCCGTGTGACTTTTTTACACCTCTTAATGTAAACTTTTCAAATGCAAAAGTAACCCCAAAATCTTTCTTCTACTTTACATTTTGTCATTCTCTTTACCTTAATAAATAACATTTATCAAATACTACCCTCAGTAAATCAGAGAGAAATATTTTATTTGACTTTTTCTGAAAACATTGTAAAGTGATGACAGTTTACCTGTAAGCACAAATGTATTGTTTGATTTTAGTTCCTTCTCAGGAAGCAAAGCATAATTTGACCCAATTCATGCAGGTAGGGCTAATGTGAGGTGCTTGGGGCTGTCTTGCTAAAAACATAAAGATTGACACTGTAATATGCTGATGAAACTGAAGTAAAAAATATGATATTTCTACTGTCGTAACAGTACAGTCAGAATAAAAATCCTGAGTGTTTACTGATCCTGCTACTAACAAGTCACATGACCTGGGCCGGTAATCTCATTGAGTTTTGGTTTCCTCATTTTGCAGCTGAGAATTAATTTTGAGTTTGAACTGCTTCATGGGATTATAATAAGGATCAAATAATTATTAGATGTTATTGCTTTTGCAATGGATTATAGAAGCACACATTCGATGGAGACATCAAGATGTGCTAGAGGTTCTCAACATTTTATATTTCCTAAGTTCCTTTAACAAGGGTACTTGCTACGAATGGAGACTCCTAAGATCTTCTTCTAAACCTGAGTATCTGGGAGTGGGGCCACACTTGTAACTGTAAACCTAGGTGACTTTCATATACACAAAAAATTCAGAGCCACCAAAAAAGAAATAACATAAGTATAAATTGACTTTAATCTGATATCTAATATTTAAGTATCTAACTTAATACACAATTAAATATATAATTAAATTAATGATTTAATCTAATTAGATGTTTTGCTGATTTGTCGGTATGTGTATATTTTTACATGTGCATGTTATAATTCAATGAAGGAACCCTCTGGTTTACACTGTGAATACACTTAATACTAGATTAAATAATAGGTAATAATAGATCATTTAAGTTGGCTAACATTTTCATCTATACTCTCTTTATAACTACATTGCTTTGCTTTATTTCAAATGTTTACTGAGATACACAAGAAGTGAAAGCAAATGTTTTCACCTCGTGAATCCAGACGAGGCCACATGAATAGTAATAACGTAGATTTCTGGCTCTGCTAATTATGCAAAACCCTGGCCCCCCAAGCAGTCTCCGCAGATATTTTGGAAACTTGTTGGGTGTCTCCTATTTACCTATAATCTGGCCTTCCAGCTGCAGTCTCCCTGTACAGTGATCGTTCTTACCAGTTCTGATCCCCATGTTGAATTCTCTTCTCTCTGAGCCATTGGAGAGGTCCCACTCCTGTTACCGCTGACTGATACCATGTAAGGATGCTTCTGTGGTTTCTACAGTGATCTTTCCTACCAGTTCTGGTCCCTATGTTGAATTCTCTTCTCTCTGAGCCATTGGAGAGGACCTACTCCTGTTACTGCTGACTGGTACCACGTGAGGATGCTGAAGTCCTTGCTAGGCGTGACGCCTCAAAGTGCACCCGGAACTTCCAGTCATCATCTTGTTGCAGTCCTGGTGGGCTCAGCAAGAAAGCATAGAAACTGGTCTCTGTTCTGTGACTCTTCTTGTTCCCTGGGGCAGCTAGGGAAGAGATAATTGAAGTATCTTTTTTACTTGGAAGCCATGTGAAAAACAATGATTTCAGTTTTTGCCACCAAACCTCAGAAACAAAAAGTCTTTTGAGGGAGAGTGACAGCATTTTACCAGCTTACTTCTTTTGTTTGGTCTTCTATCACTCCTTTCTCCAGGCGTGTTCCCATGCTGCCCCCTTTTCCTTACTGAAAAAATAAAATGTTAAACCTCACGATAAACCCTTGGCTGGATCTGGGAAGCCCACATACCCCATCAAACACTGCATATTTGTGAATAACTCTTGTAAGGCACAGCTGAACTCAACAGCGGTAAAATAGTAGGGACGGTTAAAGGGGATAATGTCCTCCCAAGTAGCTTTAAGGTAATTATAAAAAAGTGAAATACTTTGACAAGACTAATGATGAAAGATGCTAGCTACCCTGCTGTCCCTTCCCTGCCCCCATTTTCCACTGCCCAAATCAATCACTTTCAAATCTTTGGAAATTTCTTCTGTTACTTAACTCCATACATTTAAATAATATGCTTATACTGTGAAGTCTTAATTTTTTCTTTTTAGCCTATGTATCATATGCTAACTTTTTGCAACCAGCAATGGTTATGTACCTTTCACTCCATTCCCATCACCACCTTTCAGAAGGGCATACTCTGTCCCATCTTCCCACAGCTATATGATTTCTGATTATATCAGTATTTCATGTTTAAACTATTATGATTATGTAACTATTCCCAGTTGTGCTGTATCGTAAGTATGATTTTCTGTTTAATTATTTGTATTAATTTATGGAGTACAAGTATAATTTTGTTACATACATAGATTGCCTAATGGGGAAGTTAAGACTTTTAGTGTATCCATCACTCAAGATACATTGTACCTATTGAGCAATCTCTCATCATCCACTCCCCTCTTAGCTCCTCACCTTTCTGAGTCTTTCTTGTGCATATCTTTGTGTTTTATCTCAGGTTAATTTCTTCTTTTTTACTTTAGCTTAGTTTTCTATGTATCTATCACTAATTTGACCTTCAACTCCCACTAGAAAAATAAATACTTTCTTAATGTATTTTAAGTTCATCAGGCATTCTATCAATTCCATCTTCTTGGGTCACCTTTCCCAGAGCTATTTGTCCTGTTCCAGTTTGGGCTGGCTGCTATTTCCGTTTGTTGTATAGCTTTTATTCTAGAAAATTATTCACTGTATTTTTTGTATTTCCATATCTCATGCTTGATGTTTGTTTCCTTGATTTTATGTACTCTTCTAACACCCCCTCCCTTTTTTATGAGCACGTTTACAAAGAAAGGAAGCATGGAAGGTACATGTATCAAGATTTGGCATGTCTGAACATGTCTGTTGTATGCATTCACTTGGTTGAAATGCTGCTAGGTGTAAAATTCTAGGTTGAAACAAAACTTTGAGAATTTTGAAGTCACAGCTCTATTTGGGAGATGGAATGGAAGAAATCGTCCATATTTTTATCATATGTAAATTTACATAATACTTCTATTTTCCCCAGAGTACTTCTCTTTCCATTTTGCCTGATATCCACAGTCCACAGTTCTTTTGGTTTAAGATTTCCTAGAGGTAAAGGGAAGAAGGAGATGTGTAGTCTAAGTGTTTCCTAAATGTACTCTGAAGCATTCCCGCTGAAAACAGTTCTTCTTGCTCTGTTTAGGGAGGTTTGTAATACTACTACTCCTCAGCCTTTGGTGTTATACATTATTGGGTTGCTTCTCAGTTTCCCCCCATTAAATTAGGCTTCAGATTGCTTATGTTTACCAAGTTGGCTAACACTGATAAGCCACTTCCTACTTTTACTATTCTATCTTTATTGCCTCCTTTCTGTGATTGTTGGTGTCTGTCTTTTAAAATTAACTCTTTTTTTGTCAGTATAATGAAGTTGAAATGAAAGGGAAGTAATTTGTGAATTCAATCTGCCATACCATGTTAAATGGAAACTCAATATAATTTGTGTCCTTAATTTTTTATTTTGAAATGTTTCAAAGTTATAGAAAATGTTCAAGAGTAATACAATGAACACTGTACCTTCATATAGAAAAACCAACTGATAATCCATTGCCATATACATATTACACCCTCTATGTGTATGTGCATTTGTGTGTATATATATGTATAGACACATCAAAAACATAGATACGTATACATATATTATATATCTCTCTCCCTCCCTGTGTGAGTAAACTATTTGAAAGTAAATGGCAGACACAAGATAGTTCATCTATAAAGACTTCAGGATCTTCTAAGATCAAAGAATACTACTTTACATAGCTGCAATACCATTACCACTCTCAAATATTTAACATTGATATAATAGTACATGATATATAGTCCCTATTTAGATTTCCTCAATTATCCCAAGAATGTTTTATATATTTTTTTATCCAAGAGCCAAAGATGCAACATTGCTCTATTTCTGTAATAAATGTTAGTTTGAACATCATACACTTCTTTTACGTTTCTCCTAATATTGACATTTTAAATAAGTACAGGCCAGTTTCTTTGCAGAATGTCCTACAATATGGATTTGTCTGATTTTTTCCTCATGATTAGATTCAGATATTATTGACAAGAATACTACGTAGGTGATATTACATAGCTTTTCAAAAGCAAAAATTTACTATTGTTTTCGTAGGAGATGAACAATATTTTATTGGCTTTCATAATATAAAAGCACATATCAAGCCGTAACAAAGTACATAAACATTTATTTTATGGTTATGTCTATTTCAAATTACAATCAAGAGTCTTATAATAACTTTTTATTAGAAGCTAACTGGTATGCACTAAATAACCATCATATGTCCACTTTTATCCCCATTAAGCAGTGGTGCCTTTATGATTCTGATGCAAAATTATAACTCAGTTTTCTCATTTTATGAAATATAAAAGTTGGAGTACACTTTGGGAGGCCGAGGCGGGCGGATCACAAGGTCAGGAGATAGAGACCATCCCGGCTAAAACGGTGAAACCCCGTCTCTACTAAAAATACAAAACATTAGCCGGGCGTAGTGGCGGGCGCCTGTAGTCCCAGCTACTTGGGAGGCTGAGGCAGGAGAATGGCGTGAACCCGGGAGGCGGAGCTTGCAGTGAGCCGAGATCCCGCCACTGCACTCCAGCCTGGGCGACAGAGCGAGACTCCGTCTCAAAAAAAAAAAAAAAAAAAAGTTGGAGTAGTCAAATTTTTATAGTCTCAGCTCTCAAATTTTATGAATCTATGAATAAGACATCACTTATAATTTTGAAAATGAAATAAATTTGAGGAAAGGTAAAATTATGAAACAAAATATCTTATTAAAATGTTTATTATTTTATATAAATTGACAATAGACATATTACTTGTAATTATCTACATTTCCATATTTACGATTTATACATGACACCGTTGTAAGCTGTCCAACTCTACACCAATAATGGGTGACTTCAAAGTTCAGCTCACCTTACTCTACCTGCAACTAACTAAATTTGTATACATTATTTTACCAGAGCAAAGGTCAAAGGTTAAAAATCCATAATATAAGCTGGAATTCATTTTGACTTACTTGGCAATAAGTAAAATCTCATATTGCTCATATTACAAAGGAGAAAATACTGCTATTAATTGTGTAGGCAGTTATTGTATAACAGCTTCCATGTTAATGCATGTAGAGACTTTGTTGTTTATTTAATTTTATTGAATGAAATCACTTTAAAGATAGAATAACTGAAATTATGTCTTTTCATTTTGATTGATTCCATTGAGTAAGAGTACATTTTTAAAAATCATCAGCACCATTAGTACAATCCAAGTAACTCTAAATCTAAGAAAATTTGAGTTGAAATCATGGTATTGCATTTTTTTCTTACAGGAAGCTCTGATCATGGCAAGTATGGATCATCCACACCTAGTCCGGTTGCTGGGTGTGTGTCTGAGCCCAACCATCCAGCTGGTTACTCAACTTATGCCCCATGGCTGCCTGTTGGAGTATGTCCACGAGCACAAGGATAACATTGGATCACAACTGCTGCTTAACTGGTGTGTCCAGATAGCTAAGGTAAGTGCCTGTCAATTTCTATGGAAATTACATTTTTAGGTTAATATTTCCTAACCTGGAACAGTTTTCATATTGAAAATATGTTGTCTTCCCATTTAAATAAAATAAAGTATATTTGCTGCAATGAAAGATACATAACAGAGAGGTACTTTTAGGTAAACTACAGATTAAATGCGTGATATATATTTTTAGATTATTGTGTTGTATCATTTTTATTGAATTGACTAGGTGCCAAAACAAATAGCTTGGTAGTCAGGGGGAGGAATTGTTATACTGGATTTGTTTGGCTTATTTGTTTCGGTATAGTCTAGTTAACTAATAAAATCCAAGAAAGAAAGGGTTGAATGTCTGAATTTGTTCATGTTTAGATGATTTTTAAAAATAGCCTTTATGTTTAACTCTCACTATTACAAATGAGCAAAGTCTAAATATATTCTTAGTCTTTTTGATGATCTTCAATTGGTTTTTAATGGTTGAGAGTTTTAGTCTTACACAAAGGCTTAGGCATGTCACATATATAAGGGCAGTGTTCTGGGGTGATAGGGGAGGTGGGTCTGTGGTTACAGAGAGCATTTACTAGTTTCTAGGGGACTGTGAATTGGGGAATATTACTAGAGTTAGCTGATCTTTTAATTTTTTTAAGAGTGGCCAGAATTCTGGATTTTTTGTGATTTCCCAAATTTAAATCTTAAGTCAATTTTTGAAACACTGGAGTCTAAACAAAGCATTCTTATCATGCAGTCTGCTAGTGTGCAACTTCTAGTATACATTCTAAATGTTCAAAACAAATATCTATGATTATCTATACCAGATATCTATCTTGATAATTTTCTATTTCTAGAGAAATAGGTCAATGATGAGTTTTAATTATGTCAACTCTTAGTTACATCAAAATATGACCCGAAGTCTTTTAAGATTCCATAGATATTTTTATCTATACGTTTGTACAATATAAATGCCAAAATAATAACATAGTGGTTTTGGCCTTTTTTAAATAATGTAATAATGAATAAAAGCACATTATAGAAAAAAGAAATTTGACATAATTATTAAAATTTAAACCAAAAATTTTACTTGACAGAAAAGCTCAGCTTAGTTCTATACACCATAACTCGCAGTAGAGTTTCCTTATGGACTGTGTATTATAATTTTGTAACTGTTATGTAATAACTGCAACTGTGAGGATTCTTTATGGCAATGAAGTTTGAAATATAGCACTTCCGAAATGGATTTATCTAAGAACTTCTATAATTTATAAGGTGAGTTAAATATGCAATAGAACTTATCAAATCATTCTAGGACTATAAATGAAAACAAAGCTAAGCTTCAGGCCAGGTGCCATGGCTCACACCTGTAATCCCAGCACTTTGGGGGGCCGAGGCAGGTGGGTCACCTGAGGTCAGGAGTTTGAGACCAGCCTGACCAACATGGAGAAACCCCATCTCTACTAAAAATACAAAATTAGCTGGGCATGGTGGCACATGCCTGTAATCCCAGCTACTAAGGAGGCTGAGGCAGAAGAATTGCTTGTACCTGGGAGGCTGAGGTTGTGGTGAGCCGAGATCACACCACTGCACTGCAGCCTGGGCAGCAAGAGGGAAACTCCATCTCAAAAAAAAAAAAAAAAAAAAAAAAAAAAAGCTAAGCTTCAAATTTGTTAGTGCTGTCTGTATTTTCTGCTGTGTCTCTACAATTTAGGTTTTGTCCTTAAGGTTTGTGTTATTAATATATCATTTATATGACATTGTACACTCTAATAAGAGAAACTACTTTGAGTTTCCTGAATAATTAGTTTTATACCTTTTTGCCTTTGCAAATGCCATCCCCTAAGCTTAGAAGTCTTCTCTTGGCTTCTTGGTTCATGCTGCATGATCTTATTCATCCATCAAGCCTGTTTGGGCATCCTCCATTTATGGAGTCTTTCCTAGTCAACCCTTCTCTGGAGGCAGAAATAATTATTTTCTTTTTTGTATTAATTTTGGTAGTTGATATCTTGAACACATTCATATTACGTAAATGTCATACTATACTTTTACTATCTCTCTGTCTATATGGTAAGCTTATTTAGTCATTAATCTTCAGCAGATATTGGTGGGCTTTTATCTTGTTTCAGATACGATGTTGACTGAGGTATGTATGAGTAAACAATGCAGATACGAGCCTGGTTCTCTCTGTGCACCCTAATGGATTGAACAGACATTCAACAAATGAAAGAATTAACTATAGGATTGAATACAGTGGTTCAGATTTTAAAGAAAGCCAACTACTAGGGAGACTTAAGAGAAGACACTGAGTCCTGAGGGAGAAGTCTTCAGCTATGAGAATAATATTTAGGCAAAAGAAAGATCACACAGGGCTCTACAGATGTGGTGATCAAGAGACTTATCATCCAAGTGGAATAATTTTAGGCATGAAAGGAGACTGTATTACTAGTTATGCCAGGACAACAGGCACAGAAAAGTCCTAAACAGAACATATTATATGGTTACCCAGTATAGCAAGAAAAATTTGAATTTTATTTTAAGTGCTGTAGGTAGTTACTGAAGTATTTTAACATGCAATTGACATAATCTCATTTATATTCTAAATAGATCATGCAGTCTATGTACGGAGGTTAGATTGAGGCGATATAAGAATGAAAATGAAGATACTAATTAGGAGTCTGGAGGCAATGCCAATAAGGAGAAGTAGATGGAATTAAGATATATTTGGGGGGCAAAATTTAAGGTATTCAATTATTGATTAGCTATGAGTGGTGAGGGAGGGGAGTACGGTGAGATCATTTCCTGAGGTGGTGAAGGATGGGGGATGAACATTTGTAGGAAAAAATCAAGAGTTCAGTTTCAGACTTGGCACATTGGAAAAGTTTATAGAACATGAAACTGGGAATGTTAATGAGGTAGTTAAATTTGGTCAGTACTGTATATATACATTTAGGAATTATAGGTATTTAAATATATGGAAAGATGAAGGATTACCTTGAGACTGACTGTATCTGATTCTCATTTATTCCCGGAATCTAAAATTGGATCTTACATGTAGTTAGCCATTCAATAAATATATAGTAATTATTTTTAATCCAAGAAAATAACAAAATCTACCCTTAAGCAGGGAGTCCTTCCTTTATTTTTTTTTTCTACTTCGGGAGCAGAATTGTGTAGTGGAAACAGACTTAGGGTTAGAAACACTATGTTTATATGTTGGTGCCTACTTTTCAGTTTTGTGAGTTTGTGTTGTTTAGCCTCTGAATTCTTGTTTCTCATTGTATATAGTGGTATTAATAATTACTATATTTTTTTCTCATGTGCAAAAAGAATGTAATAAATGGTATCTACCTGTGGTAGGTTGAATAATATCTTACCCTCAAAGATGCTAATACATTCTATCCCCAGAATCTGTGAATGTTGCTTTACATGTTAAAAGGGACTTTGCAGATGTAATTAAATTAAGGATCTTGAGATGAGATTATCCTGGATTACCCAGATCGGCCCATTGTAGTCACAGGGGTCTTTGTAAGTGGGAGGCAGAAGGATCAGAGCAGGAGACAGAAGACATAAGAACAGATCAGAGCTGAGCAGTGCACCTTGAAGATGGAGGAAGGGACCATGCATTGAGGAATGTAGGCACCTCTAGAAGCTGGAAATGATAAGGAAACAGACTCTCTTAGAATCTCCAGAAGAAATACAGGCCTCCCTGTTCCTTGATTTTATAGCCTGGTGAAACTGATTATGGACTTCCAACCTACAGAGCTGTAAGAGAATAAATTTGCATTGTTTTCAGCCACCTTTCACCCTAAGGTAGGCCCTAGTGTGTGTTTCCGTGTATCCATGCATTCTCATCATTTAGCTCCCCTGTATAAGTGCTAACAAGTGGTATTTGGTTTTCTGTTCCTTGTTAGTTTGCTAAGGATAATGGCCTCCAGCTCCATCCATGTTCCTGCAAAGGATATGATCTTGTCCATTTTATGGCTGCATGGTATTCCAAGGTATATATGTACCACATTTTATTTATCCAGTCTACCATTGATGGGCATTTAGGTTGATTCTGTGTTTTTGCTATTGGAAATACTGTTGCAATGAACATACGTGTGCATGTGTCTTTATAATAGAGTTATTTATATTCCTGTGGGTATATACCCAGGAAGGTGATTGCTGGGTTGAATGGTACTTTTGTTTTTAGCTCCTTGAGGAATTGCTAGACTGCTTTCCATAGTGGTTGAACTAATTTATGCTCCCACCATGTATAAGTGTTCCTTATACACTTATAAGGAACAACAATGTATAAGTGTTCCTTTTTTCATCACAACCTCACCAGCATTCTGACTGGTGTGAAATGGTATCTTTTTGTGGTTTTGATTTGCATTTCTCTAATGATCAGTGATGTTGAGCTTTTTTTCATATGCTTGCTGGTTGCGTGTACGACTTCTTTTGAAAAGTGTCTGTTCATGTCCTTTGCCCACTTTTTAATGGGGTTCTGTTTTTTTCTTGTCTATTTGTTTAAGTTCCATATAGATGCTAGATATTAGATCTTTGTTGAATGCATAGTTTGCAAAAATTTTCTCCCTTTCTGTAAGTTATCTTTTCACTCTGTGGATAGTTTCTTTTGCAGTGAAGAAGCTCTTTGATTTAATTAGACCCCACTTGTCAATTTTTGTTTTTCTTGCAATTCCTTTTGGTATCTTCATCATGAAATCTTTGTCCATGCCTATGTCCTGAATGGTATTGTCTACGTTGTCTTCCATGGTTTTTATAGTTTTGGGTTTTACAATGCAATCTTTAAGTTATCTGGAGTTGATTTTTGTATATGGTGTAAGGAAGGGGTCCAGTTTCAATCTTCTCCATATGGCTAGGCAGTTGTTATTACAGCCCCATTTATTAAATAGGAAATCTTTTCCCCATTGCTTGTTTTTTGTCAGGTTTGTCAAAGATCAGATAGTTGAAGGTATGCAGCCTTATTTCTGGGTTCTTTCTTCTATTCCATTGGTTTATGTGTCTGTTTTTGTACCAGTACCATGCTGTGTTGGATACCATAGCCCTGTAGTATAGCTTGAAGTTGAGTAACATGGTGCCTCCAGCCTTGTTCTTTTTGCTTAGAATTGCTTTGGCTATTCAGGCTCTTTTTTGGTTCCATATGAATTTTAAAATAGTTTTCTTTAGTTCTGTGAAGAATGTCAATACTTTCTTGGTCCTGAATTTCATTTTTATTGCACTGTGATCTGAGAGAGTGTTTGTTATGGTTTCAGTTCCTTTGCGTTTGCTGAGGAGTATTTATGTGCAATTATGTGGTTGATTTTAGAGTATGTACCATGTGGCAATGAGGTGGATGTATATTCTGTACCCTGTAAGTATATACACCTATGTACCCACAAAAAGTTTAAAAAATAAAAAATAATTTTATTTTTCTTAAAAAAAGAAGAAAGTATATTCTATTGTTTTTGGTGGAGACTTCTGTAGATTTCTATCAGATCCATTTAATCTAGTGCTGAATTTAGGTCCTGAAGACCTTTGTTAAGTTTTTTGTCTCAATGATTTGTCTGATAATGTCAGTGGGGTATTGAAGTTTCCCGCTATTATTGTGTGGGAGTCTAAATATCTTTGAATGTCTCTAAGCACTTGCTTTATGAATCTAAGTGCTCCTGTGTTGCACACATATATATTTAGGATAGTTAGGTCTTCTTGTTGAATTGAACACTTTACCATTATGTAATGCCCCTTTTTGTCTTTTTTGATCTTTTTTGGTTTATAGTCTATTTTTTCTGAAATTAGAATTGCAACCCCTATTTTTTTCTGTTTTCCATTTGCTTGGCAGATTTTTCTCTATCTTTTTATTTTAGCCTATTGTTGTCATTGCATGTAGTTGGGTCTCGTTATCCAGCTTGCCACTCTGTGCCTTTAATTGGGGCATTTAGCCCATTTACGTTCAAGATTTAGTATTGAAATGTGTGGATTTGATCCTGTCATCGTGATGTTAGCTGGTTATCATGCAGACTTGTTTGTGTGGTTGCTTTATAGTGTCACTGATCTGTGTACTTCAGTGTGTTTCTGTGACTGGTAATGGTCTTTCTTTTCCACATTTAGTGCCTCCTTCAGGAGCTCTTGTAAGGCAGGTCTGATGGTTACAAATTACTTCAACATTTGCTTGTCTGAAAAAGATCTTATTTCTCCTTTGCTTATGAAGCTTAGTTTCCCTGGATATGAAATACTTGGTTGGAATTTCTCTTCTTTAAGAATGTTGAATGTTGGTCCTGAATCTCTTCTGGCTTTTAGGGTTTCTGCTGAGAGGTCCACTGTTAGTCTGATGGGCTTCCTTATAAGGAAGTATTTTGTAAAATATTTTCATTTGTATTGTAAGTTTTCTTTCCATTCTTCCATTAGTTCATCATTCTACGACATTTTATGTGATAGAAAACACAAACTTAGGCTGGGCGTAGTGGCTCATGCCTGTAATCCCAGCACTTTGGGAGGCCGAGGCGGATGGATCACCTGAGGTCAGGAGTTCGAGACCAGCCTGACCAACATGGAGAAACCCCGCCTCTACTAAAAATACAAAATTAGCCGGGCATAGGGGCACATGCCTGTGATCCAAGCTACTAGGGAGGCTGAGGCAGGAGAATCGCTTGAACCTGGGAGGTAGAGGTTGCGGTGAGCCGAGATCGTGCCATTGCACTCCAGCCTGGGCAACAAGAGCGAAACTCCGTCTCAAAAAAAAAAAGAAAACACAGACTTAAACACCAAAATTGTTTGTTTCTTATAGGCAGTCATGCTCCCTCTGCATGTGCTGCCTTTGGACTTGACTGAATTTGGTAAGCAGAGCAGTCCATGTTATTATTTCATGCTCATATAATACCATATGCCTTCTTGATGCTTTATGAATCCAGGATACTAGGAAATCATGAAAATTTCGTCTTTTATCGTTGTTGCTAATAAGTTGGGCAAGCAGTTTTTAAAAGACAATTTAGCAGATTCTGAATAGTGTATGTGAGGTGTTTCTGTTTTTGTTTAACTCAGGTATTAATTTAATATGAGACAAAAAGTAGGCTGTTGCCCAAAGCAAACATCCTTAACTGACCCTACCATGTATGGGTTCAGCTTTGATTATTCAACAAAATCATGACTGATTGCTGTGGTCTGGGAGTGACCAAAAGGACTGTTTTCTCTACACAAAGTCAGGAGCCGAATACCAACCTTTATTTGCACTTGGGTTCCAGTTAAAAGCCACCTTAGACAGTGTAACAAAGTGGAAAACAGCACAGATCCTGGGACCAAGGTTCCATCACAAGCAAGCATATGAACTGTGTGACAACAGGCAGACAGTACCTGTGGTGTCTACAGGAAAGTGGGGCGAGCATCACCCCAGCTTCTAGCAGCTCTACAGCTGCCTGTACCTGCAGGCCCTCCTAGGCCCACTTCCTCTCCAGCACTGCGTGTGCTGTGTGGGTGGGAATGTGTGGCTCTGGGTCCAGAGCTGCATTGGAGTAACATTGACAATGAATGAGTCCATGTAGATCAAGTGTGTATTACACACCTGGCATATCCTTGGTGCTTTACGTACATTGTGTTGTTAAATCTTTACTGAAACTCTAGCAGATATGGCTCATTATTTCCCCAGTTTATAGATGAGGAAAATGGGAAGTTAAGTCCAAAAGGACACACAAATATATTGAAATGCCTGAGTGCTATGCCAGATAACTCTGACTCCTGAGCCAGGTCTCCAAACCACTCTGCATTCTTTCCTCTCCATACACACACACATCACTGCAGCTTAAAGTGACCTGCTCTTCTTCAACGGCACTCCGGAATTAGAGGACTGAAGGGGAGCATACCATTTTATCTGTAGTTGTGTCTCATCATTAATTCCATAAGAGAAAAACTGTCATGAATAATACTTGTTATTGTCTTCATGAGAACATGTTTTATCATTAACATCTATGCCGCATTTTCAGGAGAAAGTGCTAGATGAATATTTGTGGAGGAACTTCTTCAAGCAATGTTTTAACTATTGAAATAAAGCAAACTCAAAACAATTCTGGGAGCTACTATGGGTCATAGATACTAATTACAAGGGACACTGTAAAATAAGAATTTAAAATGTGTAGTCTGGTACTAGTTTGTGTTTAGCCTACAGATTCTGGGTTCAAATCTCATCTCTATCACTTACTAACTGTGCGAACTTTAATAAGTTAGTTAATCTCTCTGTGCTCTTGAAAAGGGGGATAACAGTGCTACCTATTTTGTAGGGTAATTTTAAGGATAAGATGATATTTGTAATGTGCTAAGCTTACTGTTTGGCATAAAGTAAGAATGTAAACTATGTGTTATTTTAGATAATATCTGAAATCACTACAATAAGGACAGACATATGTTTATAGTTAGAATACCCTAATTATGACACGTAAAAAATACCGTCATTTAAAAATATGACTTTTAAAATTTCAGATACAAAGTATTTAGCATTTGTTCATAGACCATACCAGGCTGAGGAGAGCAGGGAATCTCATGTTTAATATTCAATATTTTTTGCCTTTGGAACAAGGAACCTGAGTCTCTCATCCACATATGCTTTCCTACACAGGTTCCTAGGATGCTTGTGGTCTTAACTTGGCTTCTAATTTTTATGTTAAAAATTGTATTATTGGGCTGGGCGTGGTGGCTCATGCCTATAATCTCAGCATTTTGGGAGGCCAAGGTGGGTGAATCACGTGAGGTCGGAAGTTCGAGACCAGCCTGGCCAACACGGTGAAACCCCGTCTCTACTAAAAATACAAAAATTAGCCGGGCGTGGTGGTGGGTGCCTGCAATCCCAGCTACTCAGGAGGTCGAGGTAGGAGAATCGCTTGAACATGGGAGGTGGAGGTTGCAGTGAGCCGAGATCATGCCACTGCACTCCAGTCTGGGTGACAGAGTGAGACTCCATCTCAAAAAAAAAAAAATGTATTATTTGTAATATTGAAAACATGTGAAACCACCAGTGAACTGGCAAAGAACTGAGCTCAGGGGAAATTCTTAAGACAATCTATTACTGAAGAGGAGCAAAGAAAAAATTCTAACTTTTCAATCTCAAGCTAGAAAAGGTTAATATTTGTTTGACTTACTATTCCTGCAAAAATTTTAGTTTCTGACTTTGCTCTAAGGAAACTATCTTTTGTAGCTTTTTTATGATACATATATCACTGGTGCTGTATTTGTAAAGCCTGAATACTGAGTATAGGCCACTATTACCTTTCAAAATCCTAAAACCTTCCTCAGAGCTTTGCTGGCCTATTTACCTTGTCAGATTTTTTTTTCCGGTGCCCTAATTGATTTGAGGTTAAACTCAGATGTAAGGTTCCATGGGCTTTCTTTATTTTTTTTTGGTGTTTTGCCATTGAAACTAGTTGAAAGGGTGATTCTAAAAATATGTCAGTGGTCCATCGTACCCTTCAAGATGATTCACAGATTACCTGATTAAGTTGTATACTCAACTTAAACTTCTTCCAAAAAAAATTTTAAAAAATTTATTCAATATTTTTAAGAATTAGTGTGTCTAGCCAAAATAATTTAGATTCTACCTATAAATAAAGAATTTTTCAGTGTATTTTTGCAAACAGACTGATTCTACCATTTATATTTTCAGAGAAAATTAGTACTGTTTCAAAGTTTAGTGTAATTTGGGACCAGTTTAATAGACTTTCTCAATTTTTTTTTTTCATTTCCAACTCTACGTTATCACCAAATTACCTTGAATATCCATGTCATATTTCTAATTGGAGCTAATAAAACCTGATTATTTTTGTGGCCCAGGGACAGGTATCTGTGCGCTTTACTTTTCTTTACTATTGGTGGCAGAGTGGGAGTTAGTGGAAGGGGCAAATGGGAGAGAAGAACCTCTTTCACATTAAAAACGTGGTTCACAATGATTGGAAAGAGAGCAGATTCTTGTGTTAAGAAATGGATTCCTCTTCTGTGACAGATGTGAAAGCTTCCTTAAGGCTTGAATATGTTACACGAGCAGAGCCTTCATTTACCTTCTTTCCTCTTTTCCATTTTTCTCCAGTAGTAACTATGGGTGACAAGAAACTTAATTTCTTATTCAATCCAGCCATTTCCTTCTGCATGAATTAAAATTAAATTCAAATATGAATGTCTGATGTCATTTAAATGCTTGAACTGGGTGCTGACATTTCTAGTTTAATTCTGGTCAAGACCAGATGCTATGTGTAGATATGGCCTCAGTCATATGCATGTATATGCAAATTATAGAAATTTAAAAAATAATAGTCTAGAGAAGAGAAATAACCCTACTAACATCATAGAAAACATAAAATTGGCACTTATTAATATATTCAGTCATGTAATAGAGACATTTAATACTGTTTGGAAGTTTGTGAATACCAGTTGTTTGAATGGATTCCTTGGGTATATTTGGACACAGAAAAATTTTTATATTTTATAAAGGCACGATAAAAGATAAATATTAAAATTACAAGTCACAGTATTAGTGGCATAGCTAAACTCCCTTTAATGACAATACACCCTTAAAATCAAAATAAATTTATTGTAATTATATAACCACATTTTGGAAGAAAAAAGATGATAGCTTATTATTTATCATTTTTACTGTGATCATTTAAATTTGAATACACTATATAGTGTGATTAATTGTCATCAGACCTTTTGTGTATGTCAGCGGCATGAATCTAATTTGATGGTAAGATTTTATTCACAGTAAATAGCTTCAGTGACTCTACCAGGGTCACACTGCATACTAGTCTAAGGAAGAAGAACTAAACTCAGAAATATGGACAAGTCATTGATTATTTCATGGAGATACAGTGTTTAATTTTTTTTAATTAAAAAGCCAGCCTGAAGTGGGAGGATCACTGGAGCCGGTGAGGCGCAGATTGCAGTGAGCTGTGTGATTGCACCACTGCACTCCAGCCTGGGCGACAGAGCGAGACCCTGTCCCCCAACAAAAAAGGTGGTCGGGGGGAACCTAATAATGGAATTCTTGCGGTGTCTCGGTGTATTTCTTAGGACATGTCATAATTAGAGATTTGAGAATTGAATCCCAAAGGAAAATTATCTACAGCCATGATCTAACCAGGAACAATTAATTGATTAATTTAGAAATCATATTAAGTGTATTGCTTTGTAAAGAGAAACAGAACCAATGAAATGCATGTGTGTGTGTGTATATATATATATATATATATATATTCCTATATATATACTTATTCTAAGAAATAAGCTTAGAATATATATACCTATATATTCCTAAGTATATTCATATATAGATATATTCATATATAGAGATAGATATCTATATATTTATATATATATATATATATATTCTAAGGAATGAGCTCATGAGATTATGGAGGCTGATGAGTCCCAAAATAAGCAACTGGCAAGCTGGAGACCCAGGAAAGCCAGAAGCTGAAAGACAAGTCTTCTCCAGACAAATTTTCCTCGTCATTTCCTCTTTCCTCATGTTAATCAGAAATAAGTATGGTCAGATATATCAGATTTAAGGAAGAGTACATTTTTTTTTCTAAATTAGAATTATTCTATAGTATCAGAGAGTAGAGTGGTGGCTATCAGGGGCTTTGGGTTAGAAGAAAAGAGCTGTGATCAAACTTGCAGTTATATGATGAATAAATGTACAGACTTAAGGTACAGAAGGGTGACTATTGCTAACAATGATGTGTTGTATATTTGAAAATTGCTAAGAGAGTAAATCTCAATGTTCTTACTATACACATACACAAAAATGGGGACTAGGGTGAGGTGAAGGATACGTTTATTAGCTTAATGGTGGTCAGCATTTCACAATGTATACATGTATCAAAACATCTGGTTGTACATTTTAAATGCATACAATTTTTATTTGTCAATCATACCCCAATAAAGCTGGGGAAAAATTATTCTGGCTTGGTGAGCACCTATTAGAATTGGCTTGAAGTTCCACTTTATCATGTATAAGGAAGTCCCGACAGGGTTCTTTCTAGAGATACTGAAGAA
This sequence comes from Homo sapiens, assembly GCF_000001405.40. Taxonomy (NCBI): domain Eukaryota; kingdom Metazoa; phylum Chordata; class Mammalia; order Primates; family Hominidae; genus Homo; species Homo sapiens. Next base: position 211,549,903 of record NC_000002.12, on the reverse strand, counting down.
CCTGAAGAGGCACACAAAGTGCTGAGCAAACAGGAGCAGGGATTCCATTTTTGTGAATTTTGTCGTTGGCTCATAAAGGTACTGCTGGTTCACTCCCATCACAGCAGAACCCTCCAGTCTCTCAGTCAGGCATGCACAATTATCTAGCTTCCAAATAATTGTCTTCCTCTCTATTTTATTTGACACATAAGTGTTTATTGCTCAGGAATCTGAAATCTGCTGGTGGTCTGCTGGGTGACTCTGGGATTTTGCCTGGGCTCACTTACGTGTCAGAGGTATAGACTTTCTATCAGCTGAACTAGACTGGGGTGACTAGGGTGATGAGGCTCTTTGCCACATAACTCTTGTACCCGATCAACGTGGCTAGGGCATAGTCCTATATACCCTTGACTCATGCTACTCAGTCCTCCAGGGCCTGGATATCCATGCATTCACCATCCCTTGAGAAGCCGAGCACTTTTGTGGGTGCAGTGTGACCGTAGGAACATAGGTCTCCCTACCCAATCCCACTACCAGCCCCCTCTAGAACTGCCACCAGTGATTCTACCTTTCCCTTTCAGTCTTAAAGAAACTAGCCTTTTGTTTTCTAGGTGGTTGAGTTCTGCCTTTTCTATGTTCCCACCTCCATTGCTAGAAATAAGTCAATTTCTCAGACAACAAAACCTAAGTGAGACTTATTTTCTGGGTGCTGGTGCTTCAAAATTGCAATTTTACATCTTGCAGTACAAAAACCCTTTCCACATAGGGAGCCCAGATTAGAAACACGAAAACTTTCCTATTTATTCAGAAGTAGCAAGCACAAAACGTCAATTGATATTTTAATAATACATTTTGCTGCTGTTTCTACACAAGGAAAGAAAAACAATTAAAAAATGACGCAGAGAGAACCCAGCCCAAAAGAACCCAAAAGAAAATTTTCTTTTGTGGAACTGGTGAATCTTTAAAAATGATTAGCAGAGTCTATTGAAATGTTGGTGCAGGAAGGAGCCCCAGAAGGTCTAGTTCAGTGATTTTAAATTTTCTTGAGGCATGAATTTGTTTCATGTGAAATCTTAGTTTAAAATCGAAACAAATATAACCGAACCTAACTGCAGCAGCAGAAGGGTGTAGACAGGGCTTCATGGAACCCTAAGGATTCTCTAGATCCTCACAGAAACCAGCTTTAAGATCATCTAATGTGCTGTGTTGGAGATGGGGAAACGGAAACATAAGCAGGTGACAGAGTCCAGGTAAGGTCACGGTTCTTGGTGTCAGAGCCAAGACCTGGATCCATAACTGCTCTGCCACCCTGATATCCCAGTTCAGATTAACTGGCATCCAGCACCATCCCCAAGCCCTGACTGCAACACTTGTGGACGCTTTGTTTGTAATTTAGGTTCTATAACTACTACAGTGTGATGGAGAGTTGGTCTAAAATATGAGGTCGTATACCTCTTGTGATAATTTTTTAAATGAGCTTATGAATTTTTTCTCTATAGAATTTTATTTGAATTGGCTAGCTTACTTTTGCTTTGAAATACTTTTTGTGTTTTTAGTTTATCTCCCAAGGTTTTTTTTTTTTTAATCTTCCCTTTCCACCAATAGTTTTCCCTCTCGATCTTTCTATCAGTTTGTCTAATAACATTGCAACCTCCCAAATCGGTGATAAAGCACCTGGTTGAATTTGAATCATGTTCACCCTCTCCCTGAAACAATTTTATGCTTTTTATTTATGCGCCAAATTTTCATTGCCTCAAAGGAGGACAATATTTAAAGGGTAGTAAGGGGTAAGAGAGAATCTCTATACTACCAGATGAAAATGAAGTTTATTGAGGCGGTTTATAGAGCACAGGTCCCAGAATCCCACTGAAGCCTTAATTATTTCCTGGAGTTTGCATGAAATATGAAGGTTTCTCACTTAGAGGAGTCATTTAGGCTTTTTCTTGTCTAACCTATAAAATAGCAAGCTTCCCTTTTGCTTTGCTTTGCCTGTGGCTTTGTTTGGCATGCTGAGCAACTCTAATTCAGCTTGTAAGTTACTCCTTTCTATAAATGGCAAAGGGTTTTTATTCAGCTGCCATTCACATCCAGAAAGTAAAGAACTTAATTTCTTTACTGTGAATTTATGCTTCAGCTAGTACTTTTACGGTACTTTTTTTTTTTAACAGAAAAGTGAAAGCTACCCCAATCCAAATGGATTAAATTTTATTTCATGTGTGTAAAGTGCTCACACAATTTCATCTGTTAGTCATAACTTTTTGAGGCTTGGTATTGTAGCAGATTTTAGGAGCACAGTGATTTTCTCAAATGCAAAATCAAAGTAGGAGGACTGGCATATCTAGTTTATTGCTCCCCTATGGCTTTTGTTTCTAAAACTGTAGAGGTAGACGGGTGTTAACAATAGTGCTCTCAGGAAGTTGTGATATATATTTATGATCTTTCAGGTGTGTGCATGCGATTTTATTTTTCCCACAGATTTCAAGATGTTTATAGTAATCTGGAGATAAGATTTGCCTTTTTCTGGAAATAGGAGAAACAAAGAATGAGAATGTCAAGTGATTTGCTTGGAAACAGAAAAACTACAGTGGGACTGAAGATGAAACACAGATTAACTTACTTCCACAATTGATCACAACCAATTTTTTTTCTCCAGATAGCTCTTTAAAAATACAGCTTTTTATTTTGAAATAATTGTAGATTCACAGGAAGTTTCCAAAAATTTAAAGAGAGATTTCATTTGTCCTTCATCCATTTTCCCCAATAATAACATCTTGTATAACTATAAGTGCAGTATTACAGTCAGGAAACTGACATTAATAAAATCTGCATAACTTTTTCAGATTCACTGGTTTTACACAAATTTGTGTGTGTATGTGCGTGTGTAGTTCTATGAAGTTTTATCACGTGTGTAGATTCATATAGCCACCACAATCAAGATATAGAGCTATTTCATGGCCTCATCCCATCCCTTTACAACCGCATCCACCTCCTACTTATTTGTTTCTAAATGCACTCAAGCCTTGTCACGATCAGTATTTGTAATAATGACTTATTTTTAAAACATCTTCTGAACGTTTGTGTTTTGCACGCTAAAATGGGCATACAATATTCTGGACACTAAGCTTGATTCTAGCATTAGCAATTTGTCAGTCTTCCTTGAAAGGGTATCCTCTATGGATTTGTACAAAAAATATAGTATAATGGTGGCTATGAAGAAAAGGGTCTGTGTAGTTATGTAGCCTAGAAGGGGTGCAACACCAAACAGGTAGTATTATATCCTCTAATACTTACCTAGTGGGAACATCTAAATTCCTACTTGTACACCCTCATTTAACCATAAGAAAGTGGCTTAGCAGATCACTCTGGTTACAGAAGAAAGCCTAATAAACCCCAAAGGGCATTGAGCCACAAGGGAGGAAACTTAGGTTAATAATGAATACAGGCTGAAAGTGAATGAGAGCAAGCAGTTAAGGCTTTATGCCAATCTATTCTTCTATAAGAAAGTTTAAAAATTTAGGGTAATTCTTATTAGTATCATGTGATAAAACAAAATATATACTATATGTGTGTATATGTGTACACATGCATATACACATAAATATATATGTATGCATATGTATTATTTTTACACACCTTAAACATCAATATACTAGTAAGAATAATTTATATTTTGAATATAGAGTCATTCTATGTAGCCACAATTCTACAATACCCAGTGAAATATGTATGTGTGAAAAGGGATGTAGAATGTTGATAGCTATTATTGTGATGATTAAAAGTATTAGGCTAAACACTATTTCTACGTAATTTCACTTTCTATTATCTAAATTTGATTGATTAAAAAGAGCTTTTTGGCAACGGTTCATGATGTTTTATTTGGCTAAGGTAAAATATGAACAAAATATATGTGTAGTTATGGAAAGGGAGGGTGAGCTGAGTGGTGATGAGCACATGAAGAAGAGTGGCTCTCGGTCAAGGATTTTATCCTTCATGAAGAAGCCTTTTCCTAAGCTCAGTCTCCACCTCAATCACAAAGTGAACAAAAGATTAGCTTAATGACAGTCATCTATCAGCTAGCCACATTTCAGGTTTCAAGATCCTACTATTCCCAATGCTCCCTGCCTTGACAAGGCTAATTGTATAATTACAATACTACATCACCCACTCCTGGTGTACTTTCCCTGGCAAGAACTGGAACTAGGAACGCTAATGATTATCGCCCCAAGCAAGCACATTAGCATGAATGCAGTTTACTAATGGGGCCATACTCCTAGAAATTGTAGTACACAAGCTTTAAGCCATGGATTTTATTATCAAGTCCCTTGTAGATTAAATGCCAGACTGAGTTGAGCCCTAAAATCAGTTATTTTATTTTTAAAAATAAAATGAATGATTTATCCCATCTATTTTTATATCCTTTGTGGTACATATTAAGATTTATTGAAGTTATTCTACTAAAATGAAGTAGAATTTACAAAGCTTTCATCAAGAATGCTTTGAGTGCTAAATAAAATAATAGTCTTGTGCTAATTTCTATGTAAGTTTAAGATTTCCATAAAAATCTAGCCAATATGGATGGGGTGGCTTCCATGATGTCATTACTATTCATAATCTGGGTGACACTTACATGGGTGCACTCAATTTGTGAAGGGTTATTGACCTGTATATACTTATGATGTGTTCTTTTCTACTTTATCTTTTTGTACTTTAAAAAAAATGTTAAGCGTCTAGCCATTTAAATTTTGCTTTAAATATTTTGGATGGCTATTTCTTTAAAGCTTTGGCATATCAAGTCACAACAGCAGCCTGAAATGACTCAGTTTCTACTATAGACTGGAAGAATGTAGGGCCAGTCTAGAATATGGGAAGTCTCTAAATCAAGAGTGTACAGCCAAAGGTCCTTTGTGTAGGAGTTGAGAAAATTTCATGAATTCCTTCTAGCCCCTGATGTTCAAGCCCTTGACCGATTGTGATTGGGGCTTCTGTGGAACAGGTTGTCTTATAGTTTGATTTCATATAGATCTATAATGACAATCCACGGCAGTAAACCATAAGGGAAAGTAATGACCCTTGTGTCTTTTTAATCTAAGTGTTGTGTTTGAAACAAGTTCAATCTTGTAGTAATAAAACTAGCCAACATTTTCACTGAAGTCATGCAAACGAGGTACATAGAGTACTTCTCTTAATTCTTACAACAAAGTTATGAGATTGATACTATTATATGTTTAAATGAGTTGATGTATGCAAAGTACCTAACACAGTATCTGATGTATATCAGCATTCAATAACGTTTTGCTATCATTATTATTTTCTCACTCTTGTTATTATTGTTTACTTCCTTCTCATTTTACCTGAAAAAACTGGGACTTAAAGAGGTCCTAAGTGTGTTCAAGGTTGCATAGCTGGTAAGCATGGAGGCATGATTCTGCCCAAAGTCTCTTCAGCTCGACCCAAGCGTTTCCACAGGCTACGTCTCTCAGGGACACTCTATTGTATAACTCTACGAGTGGGGCAAGGCAGCAAACTCAGATTGATGGTACCCATGCCTAATTGATTTTTTGCCTTAATTAAATGATTGGAAAAAAGCTCTTATTTCCTGTCATAATCAATAACATTTGAAGTATAAAAATATACCAAAGGCAGAAATTTTATACCATAATTTTGCAGAGAATATGGGAGAGCACAGACTATGTATGTCAATATAATAAATTACAGTAATTCCAGAATCACCATCTTAGTCACAGCTGCTCTTGTAATTGTCCTCCTATGAAAAGTTTCTATTAAAACACGACTAGGTGGGGTGATAATTTATTCCATTACTACCCTCATCTGAGAACATACAAGTATAATCCATGTGAATCTATGGATTATCATTATATCAAAATGTATCTGTGCAGTGAGACTTTAACTGGGTGGCTTTTTACAGGACAGGACAGCAGTCTCTCCATGCATATTCTCCTGTTACCATGATCTTATTCACAGGTGCCCTGAGGTATCTGGCCACAAAATACTCACATTTTCATCAATCATTGAGATAGAGGTAGTAGAAAACCTTTCTTTTTCTTTTTCTTTTTTTTTTTTAACTTGCATTTCCCAAAAGACTGGCTTGGAGAAACATTATTGAAAACTTCTTTTAAATCAGATTCAAGATATTACAGCAGCGCCTGCTAGAGTCTGTCGACATTTCCATTATAAACCCATATTTTCCAGGTTTATTACTTGGCTGTGAAATTCTCCTATGGACTGTGATACAAAATACAGAATTTCAGCCCAAAATAATTTTGATTATCATCACTCAAATACTGAGATTCTCCAAGTTATGATTTTTTAAAAAAAATGCCACAAAAGTCAAGTACTTTGGGGGACACCTACACATTTGAAGTCCTTTATAAAATGCAACATTAAAACAATTTGTTCTTTTTAAGAAACAAAGAAACAAATAACTAAAATCTCAGTGCCTGAAGGGAGAATTCTGTGAGCCCACATGGATTTATTTCTTATGATTTGAGGGCTAATTTGATATTTAGATTGAGATTTTTAATATTACTACAATATGCTTTAAAGAAATTGGCACTATATGGGTCTAAAAGAAATTAGATTGTAGGCAAGGGAGAATTATAATAAAGACTGAAAATGCAACCCACAGAAATAATATTCTCAAAGCTACTGATGTTGCTGCCGTTAGAAATAGTGCCTTATTTTTTGTTTTGTTTTTTGCTTTTCCTACTGGTGAGTGCGAAAAAGGCTGATAAACAATTTATAAACTTAATAGGGGTGGACTACTAGAATCAAGAATTTTATCAGCAAAACAATCCCCATTGCAACATAGTAACTAAATTTCTTGTCAACAGAAATTGCTACATTGGAAGTTCTAAATTTTTCTATCCCCAAAACACATATAACACAGGCAGGAAAAATATGGATCGCCTTATTCTGCCAACTTACTAATTCACCACTCTAAATAAGAGTTGTTTCACAGAAAAATACTACCTAGGGTGTACTTTTCCCTTTTGGGATTGAACGAATCTAAAAATCTCTACTTTGGGTCAGATAAGCGGGTAAATTAGCTCCACTTTATGTCCTTGAAGAGTTGTGATTTTAGGAACTCCAAAGAAATCACTCCTGGGAGAGTTGTGGTTATTAATAATTCTAAAGCACTTGAAAATTTATCCTTGTTTATTTAAAGGGAAATCTGTATTTTAAATATAATGGGAGATTAAAAAAATGCAAAAAACTAGGTGGAAATTTTATTCCCCTGGCCACTCTTAGTCAAACCTGTCAAATAATATTCTCAATTCTCTAAAGTGAATGGAATAAAATTTAAAATACAAATTTTTAGAACATCTTCTAACTTATTTTCTATTTTTATTAATATTTAAGTGCATTGAGAAGCATAGTCACCCAAATTAGCACAAAGTATGACAGAGCCATAGAAAAGAGCCTAAACAAGTCACGTGAATCATAGTTACTTTGGATGCAGTCAGACTAACTAACGGGGAAAGCAGAGGGGGATGGAAAAGTTGGGTTGAAGTCAGAATCCAAGAAGAGCCTTTCTCCTCCTCTTCCACTCCATAGTGTCACAACTGGGAGCCCAGAGCTAAGAGATAGTTTTCCTTCACTTGTTTAGAGGAGGAATATCCACAAAGGACTGCTTCATTCTGATGCTCAAGCAGTCTGGCACTGAGAAACCATTCCAGCAACCTGCAGGCCATGTGCTATGTTTGTCTTTCTCCCTAAGGCACTCACCAATTATATGTTCTATAAATGTAAGCCAATCTCCCTTCTTGAGGTGAAAGTAATTCTATGTTTTAGTTTATTAAATAGAATGGAGTTCTTAGGTGAAATGAAAGTGATATTCCAAAAAGAAGCCCAGAAAATCAAAACAATCTAAGTAATGAGATCAATAACAATAAAAAAAATGTGGACCCTACCTCCATTAATTATTTATTACATCTTTGGTTTTGCTCCAGTCAGTCTTTCTAAAACTCATGCTCATTTTTGAGTGGTGATAATACAAGTATTTACCTGGTAGAGATGTGAGTGTTAACATGAAACTCACGTGACAGTTAACATGCATAAAGAACTTAAGTTTAGCACAGAGCTCGTTACATAGTAAGAGTTTAATGATGCCCCATGCATAGGGAGAAACTGCTGAACTTCACAATGATAGCACTGATGAAATGTTATATTTAACAATTGGAACAAACTAGTGTAGAAAAGAAGAGAAAAATACCCATGAGTGGAAATTGCAACAGCTATAAGCTTCCTCATTTATTCCATTGGATAAAGTCCTGATGAAGAAGAACACCTGTATTATGGAGAAATAAAAGGATTTAGACAACCTATTATAAAGACTTTTTCCCCAGGGTTGAGCTTTGGTAGTCATTTAACCATTGCTAAAGAAAAGGGCAGCAGCTACATGATCTGATAGGAATATTCATGGGCACACTGTCTTTCTGGGTATAAAAAAAGACCAGTGAAATGAAGCAAAGTTAACTGTAGGTCATAGTGAAACAAATAGTACTATTAAAATAACAGAGCTATATCTCCAGGACTGGGACTTTAAAACCTGAGTAGGACATTCAAAGATAGTCTAGGGAGACACAAAAAGTAGCTCAATTTCTTCTTATTTATTTTGAAAAGAAAGAAGAATTTGGAAGTGAATGACTAGCCATGCAGACAGAGCCTAAATATTTTATAGCTTATCAAAGCTCTATGAGGAAATAGCATAAATCCCTTGAGCGCCAAGACAAGTATATTTAACTGGAAAATTTTGTATTTGATCAAAGAGACTTTAAAAAAATAAAGACCACATTGTACCTTTTCCCCCGAAAAGGAAATGGCAATTGATACAGTTTCTTAGATATAATCACAGAGAGGGAGAGAGCAAATTGACACCTCCCTCTAGAAACTAATAGGATATATATTATGGCTACAGTCAGCCCTCACTTAACATCATCAAAAGATTCTTAGAAACTGCTGCAACTTTAAGCACAACAACATACTGTATACCATAGGAAGTTAACTCTTGTTTATATCAATTAGCCTATGGTAAAATTATTTTTGTTATACAGTAAGTTGTTTTGCTTAAAAACAAATGATGACATTGAGGAGTTACTGTACTGTACTATGTATGGATTTAAAAGAATAACCATTAGAGAGCTGCTTAATATCTTTTGGAAAAAAAAATATTTCTCTAGTGACCCTATTCAGGATTTAAAACTCAGCTTATACTCGGGAGGCTGAGGCAGAAGAATAGCATGAACCCTGGAGGCAAAGGTTGCAGTGAGCTGAGATCACGCCACTGCACTCCAGCCTGGATGACAGAGTGAAACTCTGTCTCCAAAAAAACAAAACAAAACAAAAAACAAAAACAAAAACAAAAAAACACCAAAAAACAAAACAAAACAAAAAAACCTCAGCTTAAAATGCCATCATCTTCTTAAATATTATCCAGCTCCTTTTCAGTCCCCATCAGGTGTCGTTCCCCCTCCTGGATGCTTTCATGGAACTTAAAACATCTATTTAGTTTATTCGATTGCATTGCAATTATGTGTACGAGTTGCTCTCCCCTACCAGATTATGATTCTTAAAGGGTAGCCACTGTGTATTATTCATGTGTGTGTTTCCACTAGCCAGTGCAATGCTTCCTGCAGCACAGGTGCTCAAAATAAATATACAGTGAATATGTGATATGTATTATATATATGTGTGTGTGTATATATATATATATATAAATCATGTAGGTCAGGGACAATATTAATGGGTGCAGGTATCTTTATAATAGTACTTAGAAAACAGATAATGAGCAAAATGGCCTTTCATTGTTTACACAGGCAATAGATTTGATGGCAGCAATATCATCAAGACTTACTAGACTGACTTAGACATTTTGCATGACTTATGGATATATCCAGGATGTTCACAAGAAAGCATCATATAAAATGAAGGACAAATGATAAAGATTGGCATTATCTTGAAAAATAACATTATTACATAACCTAATGTGCTGAATGAATGGAGGCTATGTAAAGTGCAACGAGCAATGGAAATGTCTTCAAAAATTGAAGTTTTCAGCATAAGAAAGAATGGTTCCATTGCTTGAGGAACATTAAGACGTGATACAATGAACATAAAAAAACCTCCCTTTGTATTTCTGCCTTCTCTCTTAGGGAGGATCACATTCACACTGGAAAGGTTAAAGGAGGCTTGTATAGTATGGCATTGAAACATCAGACAAGTAAAGAACTATAAGGAGTCACTTAATCCTTTAAATGAATTCAAATGAGCTACCCTTTCCAGAATTCTTGAATATTATAGAAGGCAGAAAGGGAGCCATAAAGCTTTAAGGTGTGTGAATGACATTTATGTATTTATTTTAAAAATGCAGAATAGGAGGACAAATTATATATGAGTCACTAGTTAACAAACATTATTTTGAATACTTAGGTAAGGAAGGGTTGCACAAAAAGACGCAGATGTGCTTATTTAAAACAAATCAAATCTATTGGTTTATTAGATGGATATATCAGAAAAATTCTACAGACGTGGTATGTTTTAGTTTATTAAGGCATTTGCAAAGTTTTTACAATTGATGGAAGCACAAAAAATCATACAGCAATTATGGTTTTTCAATTCTGTCTTGGTACTAATAATACTACCAAATAGCTTTGATTAATATACCAATATAACTTGGGTGACTCTAATAGTGTTTTAGAAAATTTATTCTTAGCTCTGTTAAGTCAAATGTTTTATTGATTTCATGAATGAAGATAGAAGTTATGCTTTAAAAATGTTATAGGTTATTCAGAACAATTGGCTTCAAAAAATGTTATAGGTTAGATAAAGCCAGGAAGAATTAATAACTTTTTAGATGAAAAATCAAGTTTCATGTATCTGGAGTTAGTACTATGATAAATATGAGTAAAATTCAGATTCTTATACTTTAGTTCATTTAGTCAGTGCACATAATCAAGATGGGGAGAACTGGTTACACAGTAATGCATATTAAAGAGACAGTGGTTCTGAACTATAGTGGAATCATTAACTCCTAAAATAATGGAAGTTATGCGTTTTCTGTCCCACAACATACACATATTCATATTCACATTACATACATGGGGAATCACAGATTCCCTGGATGTCACATCTATGTATACCATCAATTCTACGAACCCAATATTAAGAATCTTTTTATGAGTGCCTTTCTGTGGTGTTCTAAAATACAAATTCATGCTTGAACCTCTGTAACATATGTACAATGTCCAGAATAAAAGGATTACGGGACTTACTGTACAGATTGCACATACAGCATTATACTTAATTCCGTGTCAAATTCAGGTATAATGAAATGGAGACAAAGCAATTTAGACTGGTGAATGGTCAGAGAATCATATGATTCTTTTCTGAGGAATTTTATGCCTAGAAAAGAGAGCCCCAGGATTCCAGAACTGTCTTTAAAATATTGAAGGGTTGTAAGCTGGAAAGAGTAAAATTGTCATCCAAAATATGGTGGAAAAAGGCCAAATACAGAAATTTTAGGAATTTCTGGGAAGGCAAATTTTTCTATCTATTGTATAAGGAACATACACACAGTATTAAATTCGTGTATAACATAGAATGGGATGCTTCATAAAGTAATGATTTCTCTGCCACTGGAAGGTATTTAAGTAAAGACTATATCATCTCCTGCGTGAAGTATTGCAAAAGGGATACCTGTAGAAGGAGAAGGCAGTACTAGATGATCTTCAGTGTACATTTTAAATTTAAGATTCTATGATCTGATTATGTTTCAAAGAATACTAAAGGACTACAAATCCTATAATTATTTTTGTTAAAGTAAACAATAAGCAATAACCCTGTATGGACACCTATTATTGGATGTTTCTGAGTCTGCCTTAATTGATATCTGTTGGCCTCAAATTATTGTCATTTCCATTTCTGAAACAATATTTTGAACATGATGGTTATTTTCTAATGCAGGTGCACATATAAAATTTCACATTTAAAAAATGTCTTAAAGGGTTTTTGAAAATGATTGGAGAAAAGGAAAATGAGAGAAATTTATACGGAAGTTTCTTTTGTATTACAACTACACATTGATAAAATAAGAAATAAACTTCAATCTTGATTTTTCTGCTTTGATGAATTTTTATTAAGCCCTTTAACTCAATTCAGCCTGTATTTTGTGTGATACAGGCATAAGTTTTAAAACTTACTAAAATATTTTTAATGTTGAGTTGGACTTTATATTTGGAAGCTGTATTTATCTTAATATCACAGGAATGTACTTAAGGGAAATACAGTTTCTTCAACCACCTTCTCTTGTTTTCCTGAATAGAAGTGTGGTAACATAAAAGTACCTAGAAACCTAAAGCTTTCCTTTTGAAGAAAAGTGTTTCAAAAATGAAGGGCCTGAGTTAAGAGAACGAATGACTTAACATGTTATAACTCTGAGAAATACTTTCCAAATTCTCTTATATTCCTACCTCTCTCATTGCCAAACTAAATGATTTTAAGATATTTTCCTCACAAATTTATTTTAAAAGGAAAGCTTTTTTACTATTTTGAGAAATGTCAAATAATTATAGAAATTTCCAAACAAATTGAGCCAGACCTTACAGCAATTGCATATTTTATTCATTTTTTCTGTTTATAAACATCATTATAAGCTATTGTAGTAGATGGAAAAATGCATAATATCTTTACCATTGGGATACTTGAGAAAATGGTGAAGTTTTTGAGAATGCTCTTAGTAAACACGGATGGATACAAGCCATTGGGAAAATTGATTTTTTAAAATTTTAATTTTACACTAATTTTCAGGGTAATTTTAAAAATAAAAAAATTGTTTTACTCTTACTTTGTTTGAATATTTTGCAGTATTCTCTCTTTAGAATTTAGCATTGCTGCAACCAAGGAATAAAGAAAAGCTTTTGTCTTTAATATTAAAACTGTCTTTACAGAGGTGGTTTTTTTTTGTTTTGTTTTGTTTTGTTTTTTCCTGCTCTACCTTACTAGGTTGGGAGAAAGATTTAAGATTTGGAGAGAGAGAGGGTGATGGACGTTATGTTGCAATGTGAGCCAAAGAGCTCCAGTTAAAGTTAATAGGCTATCCAGAAACCTGTGAGTCCTAAGAATTCAGAGTGAGATGCAGGCCAAATTCATAATGTGAGGACATATTCCTCAGCTATTTAGTTGTTTTCTTTATTTCTGACTCCCATTCTTCGATGACTTGCTTCTCTTTGGTTTCCCACTCCCCTGCTTCTTTCTTAATTTCAAGAACCTCCCTCCATCTTCTTTGGTTCTATATATTTCTCCCTTTTCTTTGGGATATTCTCTCTGGCTGTCCTTGATATTTCCTATTTTCCCACACTGCCCAATCATTCGCTCAGGCATCTCTGGACTCCAGGGCCTGGAGAGTGGGACTTTTCCAAGTGTTTGCCTTTCAAGTCATGTTTGTAATGTCTGAAGACCTGCCTCTTCCCCAATGGGAAGCCGGAGTAATGTCCACAGTTTGAGTCAGGAAGACCCATCTTTCAAGTTTAGGGTTTGTTGATTTCCATACCCAATGACTTCTATTTATTTGTTCTGACAAAATAGATTACACTACACTTGCAGTTCATTTTAGATTCAGACATGGTAAACAAATGAGGTGTGGAAGGTGTGTAATTTCATTTCTGGGTTAAACTGATTGATTCCTAAGAATTTCCTTTCAGCTGAAAAATTTTTAATTATCGAATGTAACTCATTTTCTTTTGGTGTCATTTTAATCTCTTCTCCAAAGGGCTAGGGCAGGAAGAGAATACAGGAAGAGAATCACTTCTCAAATGACAATAGAGATGATTGTTTAACATTATATAGCTTAGAAATATTAAATATGGCCTAGACCTCAGTCTGTGTTCCCATTCGCTTTTCCAGTATACTCTTGGTGTTCTTTAAATTTAAAAAAACAGGGAAATGTATCTTCAAGAACATGTGTAGGCCTGTTAATATCCATAAATGCTGTTTATAAATGCACACAATATCATAATTACTATCAACAATCTAAGGCTTCTTAGCTATTATAGAAATATTTCAATGTTTTTTAAAATTAGTTTTTAATCGGCTAGTACTTCTGAACTTTTACTGTAAATAAACTCTAGACAGACACATATGATTTTAGTAATCCAGATTTTACACTTCTCCCATCCAAGTACTAACCAGGCCTGACCCTGCTTAGTTTCCGAGATCAGACGAGATCGGGTGCATTCGGGGTGGTATGGCCATAGACCAGATTTTACACTTTCTATACACAACACATGTGCATGGACACACACACACACACACACACACATACACTCTCTCTCTCTCTTTTTTTTTCTCATTATGTTTTTCCCAGCAGCACTAGAGAGAATACATTATTCCCATTTCGGAGATGGAAAGACTGAAGCACAGGAATGCCAAATTATTGTTTTTAGTTCAGTTAGCTACTTGGTAATATACCTAATGCTGGTACCTAAGACTCTTGATTCCAAGCCCAGAGTATATTTTAATATACATCCGTAAACATTAATGTTGGTAGTTGAAAAGAGATTAAAAGTTAAAAGTGAGAATGAGAATAAGAGACAGGTAGGAGTCCATTAGATATAGTTCCAGGAACGCCTTACCTATCAGGATCAAACATATTTTACCAACAGCAAAGTATTTAACAATATAGTTATGTTCTTAGAATAAATTTCATTTTTTCTCCACATCTTTTATTAAGCCACAAAAGGTGCCACATACTATAATTTTACAAAAGAAGCTCTTAAAAGAACAAATACATCAAATTTTCCCCGTTGGAAACAAAGGTGACTGTAACAATAAACTCCTGAGCAGTTCAGGAGCACATAGCTTCTCAAAGAAGAAAAACCAGTTAGAATGTATATTTTCTGGACCATAATTAGACATAGTATAAATTTCCCTGGTGATGGTAACAATAGAAAGACCAAGGTTAGCCTGTTAAATGAAATGTGAGTGAGAACTGGGCAGTTCCAACTGGCTGCTGGCACAGTTTTAGGTGTCCTGCCAGCGTTCAAACCCACAGGGTCATTTGGCAGTCAGGTGTCATTAGTCAACGCTCTCGCTCTCTCCCTCTTCCCATCTGTTTTCGTCTGCCTATTTGTGTAAATTACCTCTCAGTATGCAGCAGGGCTCAGTCTAGTCATGTATTTTCCTCCTACTCCTTTGTCCTTTTTATCCCTGACTGCTCATTTAGACTTATAGCAATGATTTAACCGAAAATTTAACATGAGAAGCAAGATAATGGTAGCAATTAATATTACTGCTGTTACAAAGCAGCATCCCTTATGGCTATGGCAAAAAGACCACTAAAGATAGTGTAACAAATGTCAAAGATGTAGTTGCCACTGGCCATTTCAAATCATGATGATTATCATCAGAGGCCAAAATGTAATGATGCCCTATAAGAGGATGTAGGGTTTATGTAATTTTGTGTGGACAATTTGCAGAGTTAATATCCAAAGGAGATTCTTGAAGAGAGCACTGTTCCTAGTTTAACAATACCTTTTAGAGAAAAATAAGAGAGATAAAATAGGTTTTCTCCCGAGTTGACCATGTTGTTTACTAGCACGCAGAACACCCACTTATCTGTTATCCCTTTGAATAAAATCAAGTCATAAGTATACCTGTAAATCCTGTCTCAATGCTATGAAGAAAGGTGGGAGGCTTAGCCTGCGTCACCCAACCAGTACACTTACTTCACAACAATTAAGAAGAAATAATTACTTACACAGTAGCAACTGATAGCAACGGATTCCTACTCTGAGAAGGATTTAAAACTGAAAGGATTATTTGCTAAGGGCAGATAAGAAAAAATCACACCAAATAATCCCACAGCTGCATTTCTAGCAATGATATATAATTAGTTACGTTGGAGCAATGGTTATGGGAGCACTATTGATATCTAATTCTGGTTTATAAGAAATCATAGGAAAGTCAGTCTTCTGAGAACTTTCTACTCTTCAGTAAGCATGAGCATGAAGATGTTTGACTAGATTTTCTGTATTTTTTTAAGTTTTGTTTTTATAGCATGTTTGACCAAAGATTACTGACCATGTTTTTCAGCTCACTGTTATTTTGTCATATATGAATGAATTTAAAAGAAAATACAAATAGTCATGCACTGCAAATAGCCCCAACTTTTTCTTTTTGAAGTACCTGAAGGTTGGGAAATCCCTAAAAATAATCTAGATTTACCACTTATTCAGTACTTTAATCTCATCTGAAATGGCTCTGTAAAAAAAATGTTGTCTGTTCCATATTTAAATATTTCCAGTGACAAGTAGCACACCATTTTCTGAGGCAGAAGATTGTATATTTGGATAATCCTGGTTTTTTGCCTAACAATACTCAAATCTGTGTTCAAACAGATTATTCAATATTTGTCAAACAGTTTTTCATTTCCAAAATTCAACTTTAAAATAAGTAAGGATTATGAATATCCATTTCTTTAAAGACATACGAGCTCTATTAGGTATAGTGCTTAAGAATAATGATAAAGTGAACTGTCTATGAAAAATAGGTATTTGAAAGTGACAACTGAGCAGGGATACAACAGGAGGAATTGTAAAATTACAGAAGACATGGTCACAAGACTGTATATAATTCATAACAGGAAAATAGTAAAACATTCTGTCTAAAAGAAAAGAAATAGTTTAAACTAATTATGGTATACACCTAAGGAATTTTGTGGAACAATTAAAAAATGAAGTCTACCTACATATTACTGAATGGAAAAATCTATCTGCAAGACCTGAGAATCATGTAACATACAAAATGAAAAAAGGAAGGTATAGAAATATCTACATGATATATTCCCATTTGTGTAAAACCAATAGCAACCACTTTATTATTTATAATATATGTTAATGTCAAATATTTTTATTTTAAATAAAAGAAATATATTTGTTTTATGCTAAATAATATAAATGTTAAATATTTACATTTGTAAATAACTGCATAGAAAAAGATACGAAAGTTTATATAAGCTAAAAACTGTTTACTATAGCTGAAGAATAGCATATATTTGAGAAGTATAGAGAAATAATAACTTTTTTGCTATGTGCTGTTTTACGTGGGTGGTTTCTTATTTTAAAATGCAAGATTAAACACTCAAAATGTCAGTCATTGAACCTTTTGGAGTTTGGATATCTTTTGATATCTTTTCTCTTCTCATTATTGTTATTGTCATTTCCGGACGTCTTGTTCAGCTGGCACACAAAATTGTCTCACTTTCCATCTGTGGAGATCCCCATTTGATTGTGGTTATCATCTTCTATCTGTAGAGATCATTGTTGACATAATATGGTACTAAGGACCGAATGTTTAACATAGCTCCTTTTTTCTCCCAGATTCTCTATAACTGCTATATATATTTTTCAATTTTCCTTTTCATTAAAACCATAAATTATAAAGTTCAGTGCTCTTTTTTAGTTAATTTTTTATATTTATTTTTGGGGGTACATAGTAGGTGTATATGTTTATGGTTACATGAGATATTTCAATACAGGTATGCAATGCATAATAATCTCGTCAGGGTAAATGGGGTATCAATCACATCAAGCATTTATGCTTTGAGTTACAAACAATCTAATTATACTCTTTTAGTTACTTTAAAATGTACAATTAAATTATTATTGACGATAGGCATCTTGTTGTGCTAGCAAATGTTAGGTTTTATTCATTCTATCTATTTTTTTGTACCCATTGACCATACCTACTTTCCCCCCCCACAACCCTTCCCAGACTCTGGTGACAATTCTTCTACTCTCTAACTCCTTGAGTTCAATTGTTTTAATTTTGAGCTCCCACTAATAAGTGAGAACATGCAAAGTATGTCTTTCTGTGCCTGGTTAATTTCACTTAACATAATGACCTCCAGTTCCATCCATGTTGTTGCAAATGACAGGATCTCATTTTTTATGGCTGAATATGTACCAGATTTTCTTTATCCATTCATCTGTGGATGGACATTTAGGTTGCTTCCAAATCTTGACTATTGTGAATAGTGCTGCAATAAACATAGGAGTGCAGGTATCTCTTTGATATACTGATTTCCTTTTTGGGGATATATATCTAGGAGTGGGATGACTAGATCATATGGCACCCCATTTTTAGTTTTTTGAGGAACCTCCAAACTGTTCTCCATAGTGGTTGTACTAATTTACATTCCCACCAACAGCGTATGAGAGGTCCCTTTTCTCCACATCCTCGCCAGCATTTGTTATTGTCTGTCTTTGGGATATAAACCATTTTAACTGGGGTGAGATGATATCTCCTTGTAGTTTTAATTTGCATTTCTCTGTTGATCAATGATGTTGAGCACCTTTTCATGTAACTGTTTACCATTTGCATGTCTTCTTTTGAGAAATGTCTGTTCAGATCTATTGCCCATTTTTTGAACAGATTATTAGATTTTTTCCTATAGAGTTGTTTGAGTTCCTTCTGGTTATTAATCCCTTGTCAGATGGATAGTTTGCAAATATTTTCTCCCATTCTGTGGGTTGTCTCTTCACTTTATTGATTGTTCCCTTTGCTGTGCAAAAGCTTTTTAACTTCATGTGATCCCATGTGTCCTTTTTTGCTCTGGTTACCTGTGCTTGCAGAGTATTACTCAATAAATCTCTGCCCACTCCAGTGTCTCAAAACGTGTCCCCAATGTTTTATTTTAATAGTTTCATACTTTGATGTCTTCGATTTAAGTATTTAATCCACTGTAAAATTTGATTTTTTAATATGGTAAGAGATAGGGTCTAGTTTAATTCTTGTAGATATGGATATCTAGCTATCCCAGAACCATTTATAAAAGGGACTGTCGTTTTCCCAAAGTATGTTCTTGGTACCTTTGTCAAAAATGAGTTTACTATAGATGTGTGGATTTATTTCTGGGTTCTCTAATTTGTTCCACTGGTCTACATGTTTGTTTTTATGTGAGTACCATGCTGTTTTGGTTACTAGAGCTCTGTAATATAATTTGTTTTTGTTTTCTTTTTTGAAGACATGGTCTCACTCTGTTTTCTCAGGCTGAGTACAGTGGCATGATCGTGGCTCACTGCAGCCTTGACTTGCTAGGCACAAGCGTTCTCCCACTTCAGCCTCCTGAGTATCTGGAACTACAAGCACACACCACCAGGCCTGGCCAATTTTTTTCTATTTTTTGTAGAAATAGGGTTTCACTATGTTGCCTAAGCTGGTCTCAAACTCCTGGACTCAAGCAATCCTCCCACCTCAGCCCCCAAGTGCTGGGATTACAGGTGTGAACGACTCTGCCTGGCCTTGGTAGTGTAAGTTGAAGTCAGGTAATGTGATTCCTTCAGTTTTGTTGTTTTTGCTTAGGTTAGCTATGGCTATTCTGGGTCTTTTATGGTTCCATATAAATTTTAAGATTGTTTCTTCCATTTCTGTGAAAAATATCGTTGGTATTTTGATAAGGATTGCATTGAATCTGTAGGTTGCTTTAGGTATTGTAGTCTAGACATTTTAACAATATTGAATATCTGGTTCATGAACATGGAGTATCTTTTCAATTTTGGTGTCCTCTTCAATTTCTTCCATCAGTGTTTTATAGTTTTCATTATAGAGATTGTTCACTTCTTTGGTTAATCCCAAGGTATTTTATTTCATTTGTAGCTATTGTAAATGTGATTACTTTCTTAATTTCTTCTTCAGATTGTTTGCTGATGGCATATAGAAATGCTAATGATTTCTATATCTTGATTTTGTATCCTGCAACTTTACTGAACGTGTTTATTCGTTCCAATAGTTTTATTTTGGTGGAGTCTTTAGGTTTTTCTAGGTATGAGATTGTATCTGCAAATAAGAATAACTTGACGTCTTCCTTTCCAATTTGGAGCTTTTTATTTATTTTTCCTGTCTGATTCCTCTATTCAGATATCCACTTTTATCCAGTATCCTGAATAACAATGGTGAGGGTGGGCATCTTTGTCACGTTTCAAATCTTAGAGAAAAAGGCTTTCAGTTTTTCTCCCTTCAGTATGATGCTAGCTGTAGCTCTGTCATATATGCCTTTTATAATGTTGATGTGTGTTCCTTCTACACTTAGTTTTTCAGGGTATTCGTGAAAGGATTTTGAATTTTATCAAACACTTTTTTAGCTTCAATTGAAATGATTATATAATTTTGGTCCTTTATTCTGTTGATATGATGTATCACATTAGTTGATTTGCATATGTTGAACCATTCTTGCGTCCTTAAGATACATCCCACTTGGTTATGATGAATTATCTTTCCAATATGTTGTTGAATTTGGCTTGATGGTATTTTGTTAAAAATTTTTGCATCAGTGTTCATCAGCGATATTGGCCTGTAGCTTTCTTTTTCGATGTGTCTGTCTGCTTTTGGCATCAGTGTAATACTAGCCTCATAGAATGAATTTGAAACTATTCCCTCCTCCTGCAGTTTTTGGAATAGTTTGAATAGGATTGGTATTAGTTCTTTAAATATTTGGTAGAGTTCAGCAGTGAAGCCGTCAGATCCTGGGCTTTTCTTTGCTAGAAGTCTTTTTATTATGATCGATCTCATTACTTATTACTTGTTTGTTCAGGTTTTGGATTTCTTCATGGTTCAATCTCGGTAGGTTGTATGTGTCTAGGAATTTATTCATTTCTCCTAGGTTTTCCAATTTTTTGGCATATTGTTACTCCTAGTAGCCACTAGTGATCTCTTGAATGTCAGTAGTACAAGTTGTAATGTCCCCTTTTTCATCTCTAATTTTTTTTTTTTAATTTGGGTCTCCTCTCTTTTTTATTAGTTAGTCTGGCTAATGGTTTTTCAATTTTGTTTATTGTTTCAAAAAAACCCAACTTTTTGTTCTGTTGATCTTTTGTTTTCTTGTTTCAATTTCATTTATCTCTACTCAGATTTTTTATTTTCTTTCATCTACTAATTTTGGGTTTGGTTTGCTCTTGCTTTTCTATTTCTTTAAAATGCATCATTAGGTTATTTTCTTGAAGTTTTGCCTCTTTTTTATGTAGGGACTTATAGCTGTAAAATTTCTTCTTAGTACTGCTTTCATTGCATTCCATAGGTTTTGGTATGTTGTTCTCCCATTATCATTTTTTTCAAGAAACTTTTCAATTTTTAAAAAATGTCTTCATCGACCCACTGGTCATTCAGTAGCATATTGGTTAATTTCCATGTGTTTGTATAATTTCAAAAATTTCTCTCATTATTCATGTCTAGTTTTATTCCATTATGGTCAAAGAAGATGCTTGATATTATTTCAATTTTTGAGTATTTTAAGACTTGTTTTGTGCCATAACATATGATCTATCCTTAGGAATAATTTGTATGCTGAGGAAAGGAATTTGTATTCTGCAACCATTGGATTAAATGTTTTGTAAATATCTATTAGGTCCATTTGGTGTATAGAGCAGATTCACTCCAATATTTCTTTGTTGATTTTCTGTCTGGAAGATCTGTCCAATGCTGAAAGTGGGGGTGTTGAAATCTCCAATTATTATTGTATTATTGGAGTCTCTTTATTTAGCTCTAATAATATTTGCTTTATATATCCGGATGCTCCAATGTTGAGTACATATATATTTATGATTGTTATATTCTCTTGCTGAATTGACCCCTTTATCATTATATAATGACCTGCTTTGTCTTCTCTTATAGTTTTTGTCTTGAAATCTATTTTGTCTGATATAAATATAGCAACTCTTGCTCTTTTTTTGTTTCCATTGGCATGGAATATCTTTTTCCATCACTTTATTTTCAGTCTGTGTGTGTCTTTATAGGTGAAGAGTGTTTCTTGCAGGCAAGAGATCATTGGTTCCTGTTTTTCATCATGCAGCCACTCTGTCTTTTGATTGGAGAGTTTAGTCCTTTTATATTCAATGTTATTGTCCGTAAGGACTTACTCCTGCTATTTTATTATTTGTTTTCTGGTTGTTTTGTGGTCTTCTTTTTCTTCTTTCCTTCTTTCCTGTCTTTCTTTTAGTGAACGTGACTTTCTCTGATTAGAGGACTTAGTTTCTTGCTTTTTATTTTTTGTGTATCCATTGCATTTTTTTAAAATTTGAGGTTACCATGAAGTTTACAGATAACCTGTTATCATCCATTATTTTTAGCTGATAACAGCTGAACACTGCTTGCATAAACAAACAAACAAAAAGAAAACTAATAAAAACTCTACACTTTAACTTCCTCCCTCTGCTTTTTAACATTTTGTTATTTCTATTTATATCTTATTATACTGCCTATGTCTTGAAGAGTTGTTGTAGTTATTATTTTTGATTGCTTTATCTTTTAGTCCTTCTACTTAAAATAAGAGTGGTTCACACAACAGAGTTACAGTGTTATACTATTTTGTATTATTCTCTGTACTTACCATCACTAGTTAGTTTTGTACCTTCAGATGATGTCTTATTGTTCATTAATATGCTTTTCTTCCCAGTTGAAGTATTCCCTTTACCATTTCTTGTAGGACAGGTCTGGTGTTGATAACACTTTTCAGCTTTTGTTTGTCTGGCAAAATTTCTATTTCTCCTTCATGCTTTAAGGATATTTTGTCCAGATATACTATTCTAGGCTAAAAGTTGGGGTTTTTTTCCAGCACATTAAATATGTCATGCCACTCCCTCCTGGCCTGTAAGGTTTCCACTTAAAATTTTATTGCCATACATGTGGGTGCTCCATTGTTTGTTGTTTGTTTCTTTTCTCTTGCTTTTAGAATTATTTCTTTATCCTTAACCATTAGGAGTTTGATTATCAAATGCCTTGAGGTAGTCTTCTTTGGGTTAAATCTGGTTAGTGTTCTGTAACCTTCTTGTACTTGGATATTGATATTTTTCTCTAGGTGTGGGAAGTTCTCTTATTATTTGTTTAAATAAACTTTCTACCCATAATTTTTTCTCTGTCTCCTCATTAAGGCCAATAACTCTTAGATTTGCACTTCTGAGGCTATTTTCTAGATCTTGTAGGCATGCTTTATTGTTTTTTATTCTTTTTCCTTTTGTCTCCTCTGACCATATTTTCAAAAAGTGTGTCTTCAAGCTCACTAATTCTTTTTTCTGCTTGATTAGTTCTGCTATTAAGAGACTGATGCATTCTTCAGTATGTCAATTGCATTTTTCAACTTCAGAATTTCTGCTTGATTCTCTTTAATTAACTTACTCTCTTTGTTTAAGTTATCTGATAGAATTCTGAATTCCTTCTCTGTGTTGCCTTGAATTTCTTTGAGTTTCCTCAAAACAGCTATTTTGAATTCTCTCTCTGAAATATCAGATATCTTTATTTCTCCAGGATTGGTCCTTGGTGGGATATTTAGTTTATTTGGTGGGATCACTGTCTGGGCATTGAAGAGTTAAGTATTGATTTTAGTCTTTGTAGTTTGGGCTTGTTTGTACTCATTCTTCTTGGAAGGTTCTCCAGGTATTCACAAGGACATGACTGTTGTAATCTAAGCCATATCTGCATCAGGAGGATCTCCAAGGGCAGTAATGTGCTTGTTCTTTCAGACTTGCAGAGGTACTGCCTTGGTGGTTGTGGACAAGATCTGGATAAGATGTGGATTAGATCTGTGGATAAAATCTGGGAATTCTCTGGGTTGCCAGGCAGAGACTCTTGTTTTTTGTCTTACTGTCTCCCAAGAAAATGGAGTCTCTCCCTCTGTGTTGAGCTGCCTGGGGCTGGGGATGAGTGACACAAGCACCCCTGTAGGTACCATCACTGGGACTCTGCTCAGTCAGACCTGAGACCAGCATAGCCCTGAGTCTCACCCAAGTCCCACTGAAACTATTACCTTGTTACCACCTATGTTCGCTCCAGGCCCTAGGACTCTACAATCAGCAGGTGGCAAGCCAGCCAGGCTTATGTTCTTCCCTTCAGGGTGTCGAGTTTCCTCAGGCCATGGGCAGTAGGCATCCAGTTCCCCCATCTGGCAGCTAGGGACTGGAGTGAAAAACCATAGAAGCTTACCTGGTGGTCTATTCTATGGTTTGGTTGGCCTTCAAACCATAAGACATAGTCCTTCCTACTCTTCCCTCCCCTTTCCACAGGAAGGGGAGACTCACCCTGTGGTCACCACCACTACAGGCCCATGGGGAGTATTGCCAGACTCTCGCTGATGTTCACTTAAGGCCCCAAAGCTCTTCGGTCAGCTCTGGTGAATGCTGCCAGGCCTGAGACTCACCCTTCGGGGCAATGGGCTCGCTTTTGGCCCAGGGAAAGTCCAGAAATGTCATCCAAGAACCAAGGCCTAAAATTGGGGACTTCAAGAACCTGTTTGGTGCCCTACTCCAGTGTGTGGCCGACCTGGTGCCTGAAGCCAGCACATCTCAGAGTCTCATCTAAGGCCCATGGCATACTATGTGCATATCGTTCTTGGTTATTCAGGGCCCAAGGGCTCTTTAGTCAGCAGGTGATGGATCCTACCAGGACTAGGTCTTTCCTTTCAAGACAGCAGGTTTTCTTCTGGCCCAGAGTGTGTCTAGAAATGTCATTTGGCTGCTAAGACCTGGAATAGAGGCCTTACAACTTAGAACACTGCCCTATCCTACTGTGGCTGAGCTGGTATCCAAGATGAAAGACAGAAATCCTCTTACATTTCCCTCTCCTTTCCTGAAGTGGAAGGAAGTGGTCTATTATGGAGTCATGAGCTTTTTTGTCTGGGGTTGCAAGAGGGGTGGTTCAAGCACTTCCTTAGCTGCCCTGGCTGGTGTTTTAGTAGGTCATGTGCCCCCGAAGTCCACTGGCTCAGTACGTAGCTCAGCACTAGGACTTGCAGTCTTTGTGGCCCAGACTTCCTTGCAAGTTTTATTTAGGAACCCAGAACACTTCAGCTTGCAGTGGTGAGGCTTGCTGGAATGCAACTTCTGGCCACTAGGATGGTGAGTTCTCCTTTGGCTAGGTCTTCTCTGAATGCTCCCTATGGGAGCAGGCATAAGCTGACTTCAGCCCAGTTTTACTTTCTGCTGTTCAGAGGTGGCAGCGTGCTGGCAGTCCTTACAGCCCTCGCTCGCTCTCAGCGCCTCCTCTGCCTGGGCTCCCACTTTGGCGGCACCTGAGGAGCCCTTCAGCCCACCGCTGCACTGTGGGAGCCCCTTTCTGGGCTGGCCAAGGCCAGAGCCGGCTCCCTCAGCTTGCAGGGAGGTGTGGAGGGAGAGGTGCAAATGGCAATCTGGGCTGCGCCTGGCGCTTGCGGGCCAGCTGGAGTTCCGGGTGGGCGTGGGCTTGGCGGCCCCGCACTCGGAGCAGCCGGCGGCCCTGCCGGCCCCGGGCAATGAGGGGCGTAGCACCCGGGCCAGCGGCTGCGGAGGGTGTACTGGGTCCCCCAGCAGTGCCAGCCCACCAGCGCTGCGCTTGATTTCTCACTGGGCCTTAGCTGCCTTCCCACGGGGCAGGGCTCGGGACCTGCAGCCCGCCATGCCTGACCTTCCCACCCACTCCATGGGCTCCTGTGCGGCCCGAGCCTCCCCGACGAGCACCACCCCCTGCTCCACGGCACCCAGTCCCATTGACCACCCAAGGGCTGAGGAGTGTGGGCGCATGGCGTGGGACTGGCAGGCAGCTCCACCTGCAGCCCCCGTGAGGGATCCACTGGGTGAAGCCAGCTGGGCTCCTGAGTCTGGTGGAGAGGTGGAGAACCTTTATGTCTAGCTCAGGAATTGTAAACACACCAATCAGCACCCTGTATTTAGCTCAGGGTCTGTGAATGCACCAATCGACACTCTGTATCTAGCTACTGTGGTGGGGCCTTAGAGAAACTTTATGTCTAGCTCAGGGATCGTAAATACACCAATCGGCACTCTGTATCTAGCTCAAGGTTTGTAAACACACCAATCAGCACCCTGTGTCTAGCTCAGGGTTTGTGAGTGCACCAATCAACACTCTGTATCTACCTATTCTGGTGGGGCCTTGGAGAACCTTTGTGTCAACATTCTGTATCTAGCTAATCTGGTAGGGACTTGGAGAACCTTTGTTTCTAGCTCAGGGATTGTAAACACACCAATCAGCACCCTGTCAAAACAGACCACTCGGCTCTACCAATCAGCAGGACGTGGGTGGGGCCAGATAAGAGAATAAAAGCAGGCTGCCCAAGCCAGCAATGGCAACCTGCTCGGGTCCCCTTCCACACTGTGGAAGCTTTGTTCTTTCACTCTTTGCAATAAATCTTGCTGCTGCTCACTCATTGGGTCCACACTGCTTTTATGAGCTGTAACACTCACTGCGAAAGTCTGCAGCTTCACTCCTGAAGCCGGCGGGACCACGAGCCCACCGGGAGGAACGAACAACTCCAGACGCGCAGCCTTGAGAGCTGTAACACTCACTGCGAAGGTCTGCAGCTTAACTCCTGAGCCTAGGAGACCACGAACCCACCAGAAGGACGAAACTCCGAACACATCCGAACATCAGAAGGAACAAACTCCAGACGTGCCACCTTAAGAGCTGTAACACTCACCGCAAGGGTCCACCGCTTCATTCTTGAAGTCAGCGAGACCAAGAACCCACCAATTCTGGACACACTGTGACAGGGCAACACTGAGTTAAATTCAACATCTCAAAAGCACTGCACTCTCCCTTTCCCAAGCACATAGATTTCTAAGCAGCTGCTGTGGGGGGATGTGTGAGGGGTTGCATTGGCAATTCAAGGCTGTTTTTCCTCTTCAGTGCCTCTTTTAGCAATGTGAAGTTAAAACCAGATACTGTGAGCGCTCACCTGATTTTTGGTTCTTGTGAAGGTGCTTTTTTGTTTTAGGCAGTTGTTGAATTTGGTGTTCCTATGTGGGGTACTGTCAGTGGGGCCTTCTGTTCCACCATCTTGCTCTACCCCTTTCATTCTATCCAGTGTTATTTCCTATCCTCTTGCCTTTCTAAAATGTATCCAAAATTTCTCACTTTGCTACAGTAAGATCACTAATGCATCTTACCACCAAACTCTTAAGTTACCAAGTATAGGTGTACCTCCACGATATTATGGGTTCAGCTCCAGATCACTTCAATAAAGTGAATGCTGTAATAAAGCAAGTCATGAAAACTTTTTGGTTTCCCAGTACAAAAGTTATGTTTATACTACACTGTAGTCTAATAAATTTGCAATAGCATTATATCTAAAAAGCAGTGTACATGCTTTAATTAAAAAATACTTTATTGCTAAAAAAAGAGAATGATCGTCTAAGCCTTTAGTGAGTCAGAATCTTTCTGATGGTGAAATTTCTTAAAATAGGATGACAGTGAAGTTTGCCATTATTTATTGACTCTTCCTTTCATCAAAGATTTATCTCTAGCTAGCAAAGTTGTTTGATAACATTCTACCTACTGTAGAACTTCTTTCAAAATTGGAGTCAATTCTCCCAAACCCTGCTGCTCCTCCATCAACTAAGTTTATATAATACTCTAAATCGTTTGTTGTCATTTCAATAATGTTCACAACGCCTTCACCATGAGTAGATTCTGTCTTAAGAAACTGCTTTATTTGCTCATCCATAAGAAACAACTACTCATCCATTGAAGTTTTAACATGAGATTGCAGCAATTCAGTCACATCTTTAAGCTCCACTCTAATTGTAGTTATCTTGCTGTTTCCACTACATTTATATACAGTTACTTTCTCCATTGAAATCTTGAACCCTTCAAAGTCATCCATGAGAGTTGGAATCAATTTCTTCCAAAGTCCTGTTAATGTTGCTCTTTTGACCTCCTCCCATGAATCACAAATGTACTTAATAGCCTCTAAAATGGTGAATCCTTTTCAGAAGATTTTCAATTTACTTTGTCCAGATCAATCAGGGAATCATTATCTGTGGTAGTTATACCCTTTTGAAATTCATTTCTTAAATAATAAGACTTGAAAGTCAAATTACTCCTCGATCTATGGGCTAGATAATGGATGTTGTATTAGCAGGCATAAAAACAATGTTCTTCTTGTACATTTTTGTCACAGCTCTTGGATGACTAGATGTATTGTCAATTAGCCATTATACTTGGGAAGAAATCTTCCTTTTTCTGAGCAGTAGATCTTAACAGTGGGCTTAAACTATTTCGCAAACCATGCTGACAACAGATGTGCTGTCATCTGGGCCTTGTTGTTTCGTTTATAGAGCATAGGCAGTGTAAATTTAGTATAATTCTTACAGTCCCAAGGATTTTCAGAATCATAAATGAGCATTGGCTTCAATTTCCGGTCACCAGATGCATTAACCCCTAAAAAGAGAGTCAGGCTGACCTTTGAAGCTTTGAAGCCAGGCATTGACTTCTCTCTGGCTATAAAAATCCTAGATGGCATCTTCTTTCAGTATAAGGCTGTTTAATCTCCATTGAAAATGTGTTGTTTAGTGGAGCCACCTTCATCAATTATCTTAGCTAGATCTTCTGGATAACTTGCTACAGCTTCTTCTATATCAGCACTTGCTGCTTCACATGCACTTTTATGTTATGGAGATGCCTTCTTTCCTTATACCTCATGAACCAACCTCTGCTAGCTTCCAACTTTTCTTCTGCAGCTTCCTTACTTCTGTCAGCCTTCATAGAATTAAGGCCTTGCTATTGATTAGGCTTTGGTCTAGATGAATGCTGTGGCTGGTTTGATCGATCTAGACCACTAAAATGATCTTCATAACAGCAATAAGGCTGTTTTGCTTTCTTATCATTTGTGTTCACTGGAGTAGCACTTTTAGTTTGTCTAAGTAACTCTTTGTCTGCATTCACAACTTGGCTATCTGTTTGGTGCAAGGGGACTAGCTTTCAGTCTACCTTGGGTTTCAACATGCCTTCCTCACTATGCTTAATCATTTCTAGCTTTTGATTTAAAATGAGAGACTTGCAACTCTTCCATTTACTTAAACACTTAGGGGCCATTGTAGTTTATTAATTGGCATAATTTTAACATTTCTGTATGTCAGGGGATAGGAAGGCCCCAGCAGATGGGAAAAGATTGGGTAATGGCTGATTGGTAGAGCAGTTAGAACCTACATTTATCCATTAAGTTCATTGTCTTATATGGGCATGATTCATGATGCTCCAAAACAACTAAAATAGTGACAACAAAGACCACTGATCACAGATAACCATAATAGATATAATAATTATAACAAAGTTTAAAATATTACAAGAGTTGCCAAAATGAGAAACAGAGATGTGGAGTGAGTACATGCTATTAGAAAAATAAACTTGTTCAATGCAGGGTTGCCACAAACCTTCAATCTGTAAAAAATGCAATGTCTGTGCAGTACAATCAACTAAAGCACGGTAGAAAGAAGTATGCCTGTACCTCTTATTACTTTCTGTTTTTCTAGACCAAGGTTTGACAAACTTTTTATGTAACAAGCCAGATAATAAATACTGTAGGGTTTGTGGTCCATATACGATCACTAGTTTCTTTCTCTCTCTTAACCCTCTCCCCTTCTCTTCTTTCTTCTTCATCCCTTTAAAAATGTAAAAACCATTCTTAGTTTGCAGGCAGTACAGAACAGGCCACGGGCTAGATTTGGCCTAAGGACTATATTTTGCCAACCCATGTTTTACATAATCTCTTCTTTATTGAATATGTCGTCTTCTCCCTGTAACAGTCTGACAATACTGAAAGACTGTAAATATTTATTAAAATGTATTTTCCTAGACATAAAGCAAATTTGACTGGAATTATGCCATTTGTTAAAAATGTTGTCTTTTGATAAAATCTGGAAATGCAAACACCCCGTATGAAACAAAACCAAAATTCCATTCCTTTTGAATGAACTGGGATGGACTTTACCAACAAATGTATTGCTAAAGCACATTACATACCTTTCAAAAAAAATTCTAAAGCTAACCTCTCATCTTTATTACACCCTTTCTAAACATGATCCAATTAGAAATTAATCTAGGTAAGTAGAAGAGTAGGTGTGACCTGCAATAGCAGTATATTAAAGGCTTCCCCTCCTCACATGGAAGAGGTATCACTGATAGATAAGGGCCTTTGGAAAATCATTTTTATTCCTTTTTATTAGGACAAAACTCAGAGATACATGCAAGCATGGAGCAAGCAAGTTTTCTTCAGTGGTGAAGTGGTCAGGATAGCTCTTTTCGATAACAGTGTTTTTGTATTTCTAGTTTAGCTAAACCAGGATCTAGACAATAGTTGATACATATAAAAATATTTACAGTGGATTTCTATTTGTCTTTCCATGATGCAATTAGAAATGCAAGTACAAATGCATACATGTGTGCCTTGTGTTGCCTTTCTTTCCTGTTTTTTTTCTTTTTTTCTTTTTTGCCCTATTTTAATTCATGTCCAACTGTTTTGCTTGGGTGAATTTGTACCTTTCATATTCAGCAACATTTTTCTACATATCCTTTAGTCCTGTTTGTCTGAAATTTGGAATATGAACCACTTTTGCTTTTTGAGAAAATTTAAGCTATTATCCAGTAACTCGTCTGGATCTGCACTGCAGTAGCAGTGTTGTGGCTTCAGTAGCCATCTGCTTCGAGATGGAAAGTCTTTGGTACCCATGGCAGTGGAGGAGATAGGGAATGGCTTTAATTATGTCTGCCATCACACAGCTATGTGAATTTGATCTACAACTTTAAACAGAAAAGAGAAATTTACAGCCAATCTACAGTCTATATTAATAGGATGTAGCCAATCAATGACATTTCCAAACTAATGGGCTATAATTACCTTAAATAATGCAAAAATATTTATGCAATAAAGAAAAATTAAGTCACTGTATTAAAACTTTCTAAATTTATACAGCATTCTTTCACATAATTTGTCATCATTTACCACCAAGATGCTTGGACGGAGCCACTGACAGATAACTTGGCTCACTCAAACTGGTTCAGCTCCACTCAGGGCAGACAGTTTAGGGAAGTGAGAAAATGCAGGGGTCTTTGCCTGTTCCCAAATCCCTACTGATATCCTCACAACTGGAAGTTGGAAGGCAAGGAAGCAAAACCTTCCCCTGAAGACAGAGAGAGGGCTGAGTGAAGACTAACCTTTTAGGGAAGATGGAAATTCAAGTGTAAATTAATTTTAAAAATAAGTAAATTACCCAATATTTAGTGAACCGATGCTAAACACTCTACCTGTATTTTCAAAATTTAAGCCTGACAAAAAAACCCCTTTAATATTCATTCAATAATTATGGCCATTTTGTATGTTTCAGAGTTTATATTATGACATCAATCATCTCAGACACAGGATACAGTTTAAAATCGTCTACAGCCTAATATAAGTCATCTACTAAACAAAACCCTTTACATAGAATCACACTAACTTTTTTTTTTTGGCAGAGTCTTGCTCTGTCACCCAGGCTAGAGGGCAGTGGCGTGATCTCAGCTCACCGCAACCTCCGCCTCCCAGGTTCAAGCAATTCTCCTGCCTCAGCCTCCTGAGTAGCCAGGATTACAGGTGTGCACCACCACCCCTGGCTAATTTTGGTATTTTTAGTAGAGACAGGGTTTCACCATATTGGTCAAGCTGGCCTCGATCTCCTGACTTTGTGATCTGCCCGCCTTGGCCTCCCAAAGTGCTGGGATTACACAAACTCTTTTCTAAATTCCTTGACCTAGTGTGTTTCCAAGAGGACACAAATTCAATGACAAACTTAATGAATTGTTCTTACTTCCTTTGCAGAATAATAATAGCTAACACTTACTGAGCTCTTATTGAGTACAAGGCTCTCTGTGGACTATTTTATTTAATTTTTGTATCAGTCTGGTGAAGTTGGGAGAATTTTTACCCCCATTTTATAGGTACAGAAAACTGAGACACCTAGAAGTTACATAGTTTTATTCCAGACCTCACGTCCTTAGTCCATATTTAATACTATGGAATAAGAAAAGTCATATTACATAAATATGAGGAATATGAGGAATTATAGATAATAAGAGTAGATACATTTATGGTGTGATTAGTGAGGACAAATAATTACACTTGTACAATAAGACCAGGCAGAAATAAAGAAATGAAGTGATGGCAAAGTGACGAGGATCTCATGGAAAACTATTTTGAGAAGATAGGATTTGAGAGGCTTGACTATAAAAGGAAGCTGTCATCTCACAATTCTCTGCAATTATCAACATAGGAGACATCAAAAATAAAATCTACCTCCTCTATTTTGTGTCATTATTTACCTTGGTGGAAATGGCAATTAATTTTCTGGATTTCAGAAGTACAAGCAGCTTGCAAATGTCTCTATAATGCATGTCTTGGATTTTTATGTAATTTATGTAAGCACAGTGATTCGCTTTCTTGTAATTTGTACAAATTTCATCTTCTCCTAGCCAGGAAATAATGTAAATGTCAGAGACAGAGCTCTCTTCATTTAGGCAAGGTGTGCCTAATCTTTTATGAAGGCAGGGACCATGGGAAAAGAGGCAAAGGAAAAAAGCTATCTCACCATTAACTTTCACCCATAAAAATGTTCTTTTTTTAGTTTGTAACACTGCAAAATGTTAGCTTTAGAAAAGATACAGGAAACTATTTAGAAGAAATAACCCTTATTTTTAGATAAGAAAATAGGAATCCAAAGTAGCCAAATGACATAATTGATTCATAGAAGTGCAAAAGTGAAAGATGTCACTTATTTCACAGATATTTCAAAGATACTACTTATAGCAACTTTATAAAAATTGAATGAGAAGGTATCATTATCACTATTTCAGATAAGGATATTTAGTCTTATTTTATATTAAAGAAACATATTATTTTTATGTTAGTCTTATTTTTATGATTAGAAAGTGTAAATTTGGTGCTAGAACCAAAGTTTTTTAATTCCCAGTACCATAAGCTTTTTATTCTAATGTGCTATCCCTGCAATAAGTTTTGGAAAATATCAACAAAAGTGTATATGGGGCAAGTGGAGAAATTGTAATTTGCTGTTTACCTACTCCTAAGTGAATAGCTTTTTCCACTGTAGGAGCATCACTCTAAAATGTTTTTCTTTAGAAGCTCAGTGAGAAAATTGGTGAGATTCAGAACCTGATGGTGGGAAAGAATTGGCTACATTGATGGAGCAAATCCATTCTCTATCCCTGTGCCTGAGAAGGATTACTATTAGCCTCAGTAGAAAACAATCAATGATCAGAGTTGGTCACATCACTGTTACTCAAGGGTTCTCCTATTCTATTTGCTTCAGAGCTACTACTTCTTGCTTCTACCGTGAAATCTGTCCCTTAGAGATGCAATAATCCTTATATACACTCTGACTGCAGCGTGAGAAAGACTCCTTTCACCCTTATTTAGTTTCAATTCCTCTTAGTAAGTTTTACTAAGTAGTTAAGGATGAAATAAAGTCATAACAGGTTGGGCGCAGTGGTTCATGTTTGTAATCCCAGAACTCTGGGAGGCTGAGTCCAGCAGATCACTTGAGGCCAGGAGTTCAAGACCAGCCTGGGCAAAATGGTGAGATTCCCGTCTCTACTAAAATTATAAAAATTAGACAGTCATGGTGGCGCACGCCTATAATCCAAGCTACTCTGGAGGCTGAGGTACAAGAATCGCTTGAACCCAGGAGGCAGAGGTTGCACTGAGCCAAGATTGTACCACTGCACTCCAGCCTGGGCAACAGAGTGAGACTCCGTCCAAAAAAGAAAAAAAAAAGAAAAAAAAGGGAAGAAATAAAGTTTTAACAAACCCACAAAAGAGATTCCATAAGCAAGGCTAAAAATTAATGTGTTACCTACAGATATGGCTGTGTGGTGGTGAAAATATTAAAATGTTGGCCGGGCGCAGTGGCTCACGCTTGTAATCCCAGCACTTTGGGAGGCCGAGGCGGGCGGATCACGAGGTTAGTAGATGGAGACCATCCTGGCTGACACAGTGAAACCCCGTCTCTACTAAAAAAATACAAAAAATTAGCTAGGCGTGGTGGCGGGCGCCTGTAGTCCCAGCTACTCAGGAGGCTGAGGCAGGAGAATGGCGTGAACCTGGGAGGCAGAGCTTGCAGTGAGTCGAGATCAGGCCACTGCACTCCAGCTTGGGTGACAGAGCAAGACTCCGCCTCAAAAAAAAAAAAAAAAAAAATATATATATATATATAATATATGTTTTTATATAAGTTACTAAACAGTCACTACCTCAAAGACTGCAAATACCCTTATACTTTCTTGACTTAGCTGCCTG
Source organism: Homo sapiens (assembly GCF_000001405.40). Lineage (NCBI taxonomy): Eukaryota > Metazoa > Chordata > Mammalia > Primates > Hominidae > Homo > Homo sapiens. The sequence continues at coordinate 211,515,813 of NC_000002.12, read as the reverse complement.
GCTTCTTCCTCTGTGCATTTCCCAATCAATGAATTAAAGGGAAATGTGTGGTACAGTAGGGGCATCCAGGACCACATCCCTGTGCTCTGAGCAGCATCTATCTGATTGTTCTTTGCCCTGCCATACTGGATTATGTTAAATATTACCCTTGCACGATAGCAGAGAAATGGGTGTCTTCACAGAGTGAGTTTGCAACCTAGTCATCTTCAAGCCAAATTCCAAACATCTAACATCCCCGAGGCATATTCAATGTGTCTAACTTGAGATCATTAACTTCTCTTTCTAATCTTTTAGACTCTCTTCTAATATGCAGTCTACTCAACTGACATTACCCCTGTCCATCCAGACTTGCAAGTCAGAAATCTGGAATTAATAAGATTTCTGATTAAAACTTCCCTGTGTTTGGGAATTTTGAAAGTCCTACAGCATTTCTTCCTTATCACCTTTAAACCATCATCTTCTTGCCAGAATTCATCCAACAGTGTGTTCTAATGGGTTTTCTATTACTTCTGTGTCACACCCTTCAATAAATTGTCTCCATATTAAAGCCCAAATTCACCAGGGTGATGGGCAAGACCCCCTCACAATTTTCCTTTTTCTTGGTTCCCTTCAGATTCAGCTCTGCTAAATCATCCAATTTCCAGGTCTTGAGAAATATCGGATGTTTGTTGTCTTTGTCAAGAATTGCTCTTTTTGCCTGAAACTCCTCCATACTTTTGCAGCTTTCCAATTTGTATTAAGAATCAGTTGAGGCTAACCTGCTATATGAAGCCTTTCCTGCTCCTCACCAGCCAGTAATCAATCCCTTTTTCATTTCGTACTGTACATTGTATATATTTCAATGAAAGCACCTGTAAACATTTTATTGCACTAATTTTAGTACAGGTTGAGCATCTCTAATCTGGAAAATCAAAATCCAAAATGCTGCAAAACTTGAAACTTTTTGAGCACCAATGTGATACTCAAAGAAAATGCTCATCGGAATGTTTCAGATTTCGGATTTCCAGATTAGAATGTTGAACTGGTAAGTATAATACAAATATTTCAAAATCCCAGGAAACCTGAAATCTGAAACATGTCTGCCCCCAAGCATTTCAGATAAGGGATTCTCAACCTGTATGTGTCTTTTCTTACAGTTGATAAACTGTGAGCTGATTGGAGGTAAAAATAATATATATTTTTGCACCTTCATCTTTTATAGTAGAGCCTAGGACATATGAGATGTGTAATAAATGTTTACTGAGTAAGTGCATGAATGAATTAGTCCTTACGGAGCCTCCAAGTAGTGAAGATTGAGTCACTGTTTGAGAATGGCAACTTCTTTCATTTTTTTTCTGAATATACTCAAAACATTTTTCTTGTTATGTGCTCAATATTAAAAGTTGGAAGATGCTAAAAAGCCTAAAACACTAATCTTTCATTACACCATGAATTTAGGCTCTGGCTGAATTAGAGGAGGCTCACCTTGCTCAGCTGACCTTACTTTGATTCTTTCAGTTGCAGTGAGACATTACTTTCAATAACTCCAAGAAACCGAGATAGGTTTCATATTTAGAAGCAACATCGAAACAAAACTTAGCTGTTAGTGTTCGCTCTAATATGTGGGAGCCAAAAAAATTTGATCTCATGGAGGTAGAGAATAGAACAGTGGTTAGTTACCAGAGAAAGGGAAGAGTAGAGGGTAAGGGGGTATGAAGAGAGATTTGCTAATGAGTACAAAAATACAGTTAGATAGAAAGAATAAGTCCTAGTGTTCCCTAGCACAGTAGGACAACTATAGTTGACAATAATTTATTGTATATTTCAAAATAGCTAGAAGAGAAGCTTTAGAAGGTTCCCAACACAAATGAATAATAATTGTTTGAAACGATGGATATCCCTGATCATTACATCAAAATAGCACATGTACCCCATACATTTGTACAGTTACTGTGTACAATAACTGTACAATTTTTTAATCAATTTTTTAATCCCCCCCAAAAATATAAAGAAACCTTAGCTATTATCCTCATCACTTGTTTTAGTAGTCTGGAGCCCTGAGCCTGTATTGTATTTCTTCTTCCTGTTAGGGGTTAACAAAGCGTAGACAGGGGTTGGGGGCGCCTGCCAAAGACCTATTACTCTAGCAGCTGGAGGAGCTGTCCAAGTTTCTTTTCCTGGGGTTTGAAAAGGAATGTTGTGATGAATAGTATTTGCTCATTCTCTTCCCTATCCCCAAGCTTAATGCTATTACACCTTGCAGGGCCAAGTTCTCCACAGGTAAATTTAATAGAATTGAATCAGAGGGACAAGCCTCGGCTAAATAATTAGGGATTTCATAGAGAGAGGGGAAAGAATTCTTAAACAAAAGGTCTAGGATCACAACACAAATACTTCCCGTGAAAAAAGGCATAGTTGACCATTGACATACTCTTCTAGGATCAGTGTTTTTTTTTTGTTTTTTTTTTTTTTTTTTTGAGACGGAGTCTCGCTCTGTCGCCCAGGCCGGACTGCGGACTGCAGTGGCGCAATCTCGGCTCACTGCAAGCTCCGCTTCCCGGGTTCACGCCATTCTCCTGCCTCAGCCTGATTTGTTATTTCCATTGCACTCTCACTAAAAACTTGTAAAACTTGTCGTCACGCCTTACCATTGCAAACAGCATGGTTGACAGTTCTCTTTTTCCTTTTTTCTTTTTTTTTTAAACAGGGCTTGAGGGAACAAATACATAAAGCAATCATCTTTGTACACTTAAGCAGACCAGTGTTTTGTGTAAGACCCTAAGAGGTAGATCTCCAACCATAGGCAATCAGCTCTGCTCAAATCAGAATACTGTCTAATGTTTCAGTCTGACCCAGAAACAAAAGCCTGACCTCATCATGAAAACTTGTTTTCCAGTCAATGATTAATTTCTACCCGACATCTTTTATTTAAGCATATTCTCAGAACTTGTGAGGTAACTATGGCAATGGACACCTAGAAGGGAGACAGATCTTTGTTATTAATTTCTGCATGCAGAGATGGGTCAGGTACTTAGTTGTGTTATTATGCAAATCTCCAAACATGGCAGTGGGAGACCTGCTGGGATTGTTCTTACCAAGAACAATATGCCCTTTTAAAGAATTGTACTTTGAGTTTAACTGTTTTGTAAAAATTTAAAGACATAGAAATGAAAATGAAAAGCAAACGTGTTTTGCCTACTATTAAGAAAATGGCATTTTTTAATTGATTAGAAGGGGGAAATTTGTGTATGTTCAAAGATAGTTCCAAAAAGTTTTTTTTTTAATTTCATTGTGTTTGTTCACTTGTCAGAGGCAATAGTGATTTCTAATATAAATGTCTGAATATTTTTAGGAAGTTTCTTTCTATATAAAAATGCTTTTTTTTTTGAGATTTTGGTTTTTGTTCTTTGGAATAATAAACCAAGAGAACCTGTCTGCTCTGAAATCAGTGCTCTGTTGAGAGGACCCAAACTTTGATATTTATTTTAATTACAAAAGGTCTCCCAGAATGGTGCAATAAGATATAGGATGACATTAATGGTGGAAGGAAAAACCGCATGTCTATGTCTTACAAGTGGAACAGGTGATATTCAGTTCATACTCAGAGTTTCTCAAACTTCTGCCCTAAAATAGAAGATAAATGAGCGCACTTTCGTTCTTCAACTTGCAGTTCACAAGAGTCAGTGAAAGTTCCAAATTGAATGTTGCCAGTTTTTCCCAAGGATGTCTGCAAATTTTGAATTTCAAGTCCACAATATGGTTTATCATAAAAATAATGTCTTTAAACAATAATTTTAAAATTAAACCAATGCTGTGTGAATCTTCTTCCTGTCCACCCAATAGTTATGAGTACCCTCTGGTATACAATGTCTCCATGATTTATTTTCAGAAGCATGGGAATTTAGACCTTATTGTTCCATGTAAGTCTTGTGTTCTGCTTTTCAAATGACACCATTTTAAAGGATTATGGATCCAAGAGCTGATAACTAATCATCTCCTCACAAAACAATGGCGTAGGGGAAAAAGACATTTCTGAATATTTTAGTTTCAATGTTACCGTGGTTACAAGATACATTTCCTTTATTAACATAATCTTTTCTCTTTTTTTAATGCTTTTTCTCTCTAGAAAGGATTCTTTTTTGATATGATCACAATTAAACAATGGATTCTGAAATTGAACTGGCATTTATAGAAGCTGGTAACAATGTACAACAATTTTGCTTATCTGAAAAGCATACTGCTTTAAAGAAAATTTATAGATAGCTTTTCAAGGTTTGTCATTTCTTATTAGGGTTGATATGGCTCAAGTTTTGCTTTCTCAGGGTAACATCACAGAAATTTTCCATTAAATTATTCTCTTTCAGTAATACTCATGGTTCATTTTCATTTTTGTGTTACTTCTTAGAATATCAGTGTTGCTTTTGTGTAATATATCTGTCTGTATTTATTCAAGAACATGTATATAATCATGCTATGTAACACAATCATAATAACTAAAAATTTTGACATTGCTGTCAAATCACATTACCTATAATTAGCTTAACATATTTTTCAAGGTCCTATAATTGAAAAATACAATGCTAGATAATATTGAATATATAAGAAGGGATATATATCTATATATATGCTAAAAACTTAAGAGAATTTTTAATGTCACATTTAAATTACAGTGCATTCCATTTCTGTCTGGCCTTAAGTAGGCAGTTTAATATACTAATACATTGATTTGATAATTAACTTGGAGCTTATTAAGCTTGTAACTACTCCAATAAGCATTCTTACCTCTCTGTTTTTTTGGTTGTTGTTTTTTCATAATCCCTTGGTGCTTTTCATTTTTTTCATAATCTCTTGGTATATTAGGTTTAAACCATGGATCTTGTCTATTTTATACTGTGATCTTAAATTTTCAAAATTGTTGAATATTGTTTCAAGATATAAATATACTCTAGCAATGTCTAAAGCTACGTCAGGACAAAAGGAAAAATAAATGAGATTGTCATATTCTTTCAAAGAGAAGAGATTGCTAGCATCTCTGATCTCAGAAATTTCTGAGAAAAAAAATGGCAAGCTTCTGAATAAAATGCACAGTCATTGAAGCAATATCATAATACTAAAATGATGAAATGAGTAGAAAACTAATGACTTTTAATAATCATACAGCTTTTCAGAGAGAGATATATAATTGAAAACATTTTCTAATTTCAAGATAATCACATCTGAAAAGATCCATGAATTCTGAGTATTTTGAATGATAACTTCAAAAAAAGGTAAATATAGAACAGGGTTCATTTTAGTGCAACATTTTAGTAGGAATCATCTAAAGAGTCAATGGCACATGGCACTATGCTGTCTTCTGTTTTAAAAGAAATTTAGATTCAGGGGACACACATGCAGGTTTGTGACATGGATATATCACGTAATGGTGAGGTTTGGGCTTCTAGTTTAACCATCGCACTAAATAGTGAACTTTGTACCCAGTAAGTAATTTTTTAAAATCCATACCCTCCTCCCACCCTCTCCTCTTTTAGAGTGCCCCGTGTTTATTATTTCCATCTTTATGTGCATGAGTACCCATTGTTTAGCTGCCACTTATAAGTGAGAACATGTGGTACTTATTTTCTTTATCCAACCACCCATTGATGGTCAACTTAGGTTTAATTCCATGACTTTGCTATTGTGAATAGTATTGCAGTAAACATATAAGTGCAGGTATCTTTTTTGTATAATGCTTTCTTTTCCTTTGGGTAGATACCCAGTAGTAGATTGAATGGTAGTTCTATTTTTAGTTATTTGAGAAACCTCTGTGCTGTTTTCCATAGAGGTTTTATGAATTTAAATTCCCACTAACAGTGTAAAAGTGTTCCCTTTTCTCTTCAGCCTCAATAGCATCTGTTGTTTTTTGACTTTTATGAATAGCCATTCAGACTGATGTAAGATGATATTTCACTGCGGTTTTAATTTGTGTTTCTACAATGATTAGTGATGTTGGTCATTTTTTCATGTGTTTGCTGGCTGCTTGTATGTCTTCTTTCAAGCAAAGTCTGTTTCTGTCCTCTGCCCACTTTTTAATGGGTTTGGTTATTTTTCTTGTTGAGTTGTTTGAGTTCATTATAGTTTCTGGATATTACTCCTTTGTTGGAGGCATAATTTTTTAATATTCTCTCCCATTGTGTAGACTGTTTACTCTATTGATAGTTTCTTTTGCTGTGCAGAAGGTCTCTAGTTTAATTGTGGTCCCACTTACCATTTTTTGTTTTTGTTGTAATTACTTTTGGGGACTTGGTTTTAAATTCTTTGCCAAGGCTGATATCCAGAATGGTATTTCCTAGATTTTTTTGCTAGGATTTCTTTAGTTTGAGGTCTTACATTTAAATTTTTAATCCATCTTGAGTTACGTTTTGTATATTTAGAAAGATAGGGGTCCAGTTTCATTTTTCTGAATATGGCTAGCCAGTTATCCCAGTTTTATTTGTTTATTTATTTATTTTGCTTTAAGTTCTGGGATACATGTACAGAATGTGCAGGTTTGTTATGTAAGTATACATGTGTCATGTTGGTTTGCTGCACCTATCAACCCATCATCTAGGTTTTAAGCCTCCCAAGAATTAGTATTTGTCCTAATCCTCTCCCTCCCCTTGTCCCCCACTCCCCGACAGGCTCTGGTGCGTGATACTCCCCCCTCCCTGTGTCCATGTCTTCTCATTGTTCAACTCCCACTTATGAGTGAGAACATGCGGTGTTTGGTTTTCTGTTCCTGTGATAGTTTGCTGAGAGTGATGGCTTCCAGCTTCATCCATGTCCCTGCAAAGGACATGAACCCATTCTTTTTATGGCTGCATAGTATTCCATGCTGTATATGTGACACATTTTCTTTTTTTTGTTTTGTTTTTTTGTTTGTTTGTTTTTTGAGACAGTCTCGCTCTGTCACCCAGGCTGGAGTGCAGTGGCACGATCTCAGCTCACTGCAAGCTCCGCCTCCTGGGTTCACTCCATTCTCCTGCCTCAGCCTCCTGAGTAGCTGGGACTACAGGTGCCATGTGCCACATTTTCTTTATCCAGTCTATCACTGATGGGCGTTTGGGTTGGCTCCAAGTCTTTGCAATTGTAAATAGTAATACACATATGTATGCATGTGACCTTATAGTAGAATACACATATGTGTGCATGTGACTTTATAGTAGAATGATTTATCATCCTTTGGGTATATACCCAGTAATGGGATTGCTGGGTCAAATGGTATTTCTGGTTCTAGATCTTTGATGAATCGCCACACTGTCTTCCACAGTGGTTGAACTAATTTGCACTCCCACCAGTAGTGTAAAAGCATTCCTATTTCTCCAAATCCTCTCCGGCATCTGTTGTTTCCTGACTTTTTAATAATCACCATTCTAACTGGTGTGAGATGGTATCTCATTGCAGTTTTTATTTGCATTTCTCTAATGACCAGTGATGATGATCTTTTTTTCATATGTTTGTTGGCTGCAAAATGTCTTTTTTTGAGAAATGTCTGTTCATATCCTTCGCCCACTTTTTGATGGGGTTGTTTTTTTCTCGTAAATTTAAGTTCCTTGTAGATTCTGGATATTAGACCTTTGTCTGATGGGTGGATTGCAAAGATTTTCTCCCATTCTGTAGGTTGTCTGTTCACTCTGATGATAGTTTCTTTTGCTGTGCAGAAGCTCTTTAGTTTGATTAGATCCCATTTGTCAATTTTGGGTTTTGTTGCAATTGCTTTTTGTGTTTTAGTCATGAAGTCTTTGCCCATGCCTATGTCCTGAATGGTATTGCCTAGGTTTTCTTCTAGGGTTTTTATGATTTAGGGTTTTACATTTAAGTCTTTAATCCATCTTGAGTTAATTTGTGTATAAGGTGTAAGGAAAGGGTCCAGTTTCAGTTTTCTGCATATGGCTAGCCAGTTTTCCCAGAACCTTTTATTAAATAGGGAATCCTTTCTCCATTGCTTGTTTTTGTCAGGTTTGTCAAAGATCAGATGGTTGTAGATGTGTTGTGTTATTTATGAGGTCTCTATTCTGTTCCATTGGTCTATATATCTGTTTTGTTACCACTACCATGCTGTTTTGGTTACTGTAGCCTTATAGTATAGTTTGAAGTCAGGTAGTGTGATGCCTCCAGCTTTGCTCTTTTTGCTTAGGATTGCCCAGCATCATTTATTGAATAGGAAGTCCTGTCCTCATTGCTTATTTTTGTCAACTTTGTCAGAGATCAGATGGCTGTAGGTATGTGGGATTATTTCTGGGTTCTCTATTCTGTTTAACTGGTCTATGTATCTGTTTTTCTTCCTGTACCATGCTGTTTTTGTTACTGTAGCCTTATAGCATAGCTTGAAGTTGGGCAATGTGATGCCTCCTGCTTTGTTCTTTATAAATAGCCTGAATAGCCAAAGCAATTGGCCTGTAGTTTTCTCTTTTTCTTGTATCCTTGCCTGATATGGGTTTCAGGGTTTTATTTGTTTTGTAGAATGAGTCAGGCAGGAATTCCTCATCCTTGATTTTTCAGAGTAATTTCAGTAGGACAGGTACTAGCTCTTCTTTGTAAGTCTGACAAAATTCAGCTATGAATCCATCTGGTCCTGGGCTTTTATTGATGAAAGATGTTTTTTATTACTGATTTAGTTTCATCACTTATTGTTTGTCCGTTTAGGATTTCTTTTCCTTCCTGGTTCAATCTCGGGAGGTTGTATGTTTCCAGAAATTCATCCATTTCATCTAGATTTTCTAGTTTGTGTGCATAGACATGTTCATAGTTAATCTCTGATCGTATTTTACAGTTGAGGTATCAATTGTGATGTCTCCTTTATCATTTCTGGTTGTGCTTATTTGAATATTTTTCTTCGTTAAACTAGCTAGCAGTCTAATGACTTCATTTAGCCTTTCAAAAAACAAACTTCATTTTTTGGATCCCTTGTATTGATTTTTTTGGTCTCAATCTCATTTAGTTCTGCTCTAATTTTTGTTTCTTTTATTCTGCTAGCTTTGGGGTTGGAAGTGTGACATTATATTTGAGATTTTTCTGTCTTTTAGATGGAGTTTTTTAAACATTATACACTTTCCTCTTAGCAATACTTTTGCTACATCTCAGAAGTTTTAGTATGTTGTGTCTCTGTTTTCATTTGTTTCAATTTTTTTAATTTCTGCTTTATTGTTGTTGTTTACCCAAAAGTCATTCAGAAATAAGTTGTTTAGTTTCCATGTACTTTTGTAATATTGAGTTATTCTTGGTATTCAGTTCTAATTCTGTTCCACCATGATACAGAAACTTGATATGGTTTCAATTTTCGAATTCATTAAGACTTGCCTTATTGCCAAGCATATGATCAGTTTTAAAGAATGTTCCATGTTCAGATGAAAGAAAAAAAAGGATACTCTGTGGTTGTTGGAAAGAGTGTTTTATAAATGTCTATTAGGTCCATTTGGTCTAGAGTCCAGTTTAGGTACAGAGTTTTCTTGTTAACTTTCTGCCTCCATGACCTGTCCAGTGTTATCAATGGGATGTTGAAGTCCCCCATTATTATTGGATTACTGTCAATTTTTTCTTGGGTCTAGTAGCATTTGTTTTATGAATCTGGGTGCTCCAGTGTTGGGTGCTATATTTGGGATACTTAAATCTTACTGTATTGCACTCTTTATTGTTATATAATGCCCTTTGTCTTATTTTACTGTTGTTGATTTAAAGTCTAAGAATGGCTACTCCTGCTTACTATTGTTTTCCACTTACATGATATATCTTTTTCTACCCCTTTACTTTAAGTCTGTTAGGTGTCCTAGCCATTAGACGGTTCTCTTATAAGCTGCAGATGGTTGGGTCTTGTTTCTTTAATCCAGTTTACCTGTCTATAACTTTTTTTTTTTTTTTTTGAGATGGAGTCTCGCTCTATCGCCCAGGCTGGAGTGCAGTGGTGCGATCTTGGCTCACTGCAAGCTCTGCCTCCCAGGTTCATGCCATTCTCCTGCCTCAGCCTCCTGAGTAGCTGGGATTATAGGCACCCACTACCACGCCTAGCTAATTTTTTGTATTTTTAGTAGAGACGGGGTTTCACCGTGTTAGCCAGGATGGTTTTGATCTCCTGACCTCGTGATCCACCCGCCTCTGCCTCCCAAAGTGCTGGGATTACAGGCGTGAGCCACCATGCCCAGCCCCTGTCTATAACTTTTAAGTGAAGCATTTAGGCTGTTTACATTCTTTGTTAATGTTGATATGTGACGTTTTGTTCCTGTCATAGTTTGTTTGTTTGTTTGTTTGTTTGCTAGTTGCCTTGAGGTCTCAAGTGTGTTATTACTTTATAGGCTCTGAGATTTCTACTTACATGTTTTTTTTTTATGATGGTGAGTATCATTCTTTCATTTTCGTGTTTAGAATTCCTTTGAACATAAGTTGTTGGGCCAGTCTAGTGATAGCAATTCCCTTAGTGTTTGCTTGCCTGAGAAAGTCTATATTTCTTCACTTATGAAGCTTAATTTAGCAGGATATGAGATTCTTGGCTGATTTTTTTTTTCTTTTTTCTTTTTAAAGAGGTTAAAAAATAGTTCCACAGTCTCTTCTGGCTTATAAGATTTCTGCTGAGAAATTTGTTGTTAGTCTGAGGGAATTTTCTTTAGAGGTGATTTGACACTTCTCTCTAGCTGCCTTTAAAATTTTTTCTTTTATATTGAGCTTGGATAGTCTGATGACTATACACCTTGGTAATGTTCATCTTATATAGTATCTTCCAGGTGTTCTGTGAATCTCTTGTATCTGGATATCTGAATCTCTAGCAAGATTGTGGAAATCTTTCTGAATTATTCCTTCTAATATGTTTTCCAAACTTGTTACCTTTTCATCTTCTCCCTCAAGAATGTTTTTAAGTCTTCAGTTTGGTTGCTTTTCATATGCTATATTTCTCAAATGCTTTGCTTGTTTTTAAAAATTATTTTATTTTTGTCTAGCTGGGTTGATTTGAAAACTAGTCTTCAAGTTCTGACATTCCTTTTTCTGCTTTGTCTCATCTATTGTTGAAGCTTTCAACTGTGTTTTAAAATCCTTTCAGTGAATTTTCATGTCCAGAAGTTCTCTTTGGCTTTTCAAAAATATATTTATCTCTACTTTCATCTTCTGAATTGTTTCTTGAATTCTTTGTGTTGGTTTTCAACTTTCTCTTGGAGCTCATTGGTCTTCCTTGCAATCCATATCTTGAATTCTTTATCTGTCTTTTTGAAGTTTTCATTTTGGTTAGGATCCATTGCTAGAGAGCTAGTGTGGTCCTTTGGGAGTGTCACAACATTTTGTTTCTTCACGGTGCTAGAGTTCCTGTGCTGGTTGCTTATCATCTGTAGAAACTGTTACATCTTAGTTTTGAATTTACTTTCATTTGGGTGAGTTTTTTTTTTTTCTTCCCCACTTTGAGGGTTTAGCTGTTGCACATGTTGGGTAGGGTCTTTTGGCTTTGCTTCTATGTACTATTAGAGGGCCAAGGTTCTGTATGAATTATTTGGTTATAGATAGCCTTAGTCTAGTGGTTTTTTCAAATGCTCATTGTTTGTAGGTTTTAGTAGTGGTGTGCTGTGCATATTATCTGGCTCACTGTCTAGTACAGAGGATGGAGATGTGGTGATCTTGGGAGCCTTATCTTATTTCTCAGTACTGTGCACTTCTGTCTGCAGAAATTATATATTGGGTAGTGCAATTTATCCTACTGGCTAGTAGGTGGCACTTGCAGGTAAGAACCAGCTGAGCACTGTACAATGATGTTAGCAGAAGTTGCAAATGGCCCTGCAGTTTGACCTCCCAGCCAGTAGGTGGCAGTTGCAGGTGAGAGGCAATTGCAGTGATGACAGTGGGATTTTTACTTTGTCTTTGTTGATCAGGGCAAGCTCCAGGATGTTCCAGGTTATGGGCAGAGCATGGGACTCTCAGGAAAGGGTGGGATCAATCTAGCAATCCTGCAACCAGGCTCTCTAAGGCATGTGCAAGCACTGGCCTTCACAGGGGTCTGAGGGTTCCTCCCAGTCCACTGAGACAACCCTCCAGGCAGAGGAGGAAGCACCTCTCCTAAGCCACAGAGCCTTCTCAGGGAAAGAGTGGTGACCTGATGTTTTCAGCCCAGCAGTCGGCCACTGGACTCACCCAGCTTCCATACCTGCCAGCAAGTGGATCTCCTTCCAGCATCCAGCCCAAGAAGCAGGCCTGACCCGTTAGGCTAATTCTGAGCCACCTGTGCCCAAGGCGCTATGCGGGTCCAGATGTTTTGAACTGTGAGTCCCTGAAGCAGAAATTGCAACTATCTTGTCACACCATTCCTGATCTGGACTAGGAGGAACTGCTCCAAGACTGCCAACAAACCACTCAGGCAGATCAATGTGGGGTATGCTGTGGGTCTCCCATTGCGGTAACAACCAGGCTGGCAGTCTTGGGAGAAACTGGCGGGCCTGGGGACATGTGGTTCAGATGCTCCTCAGTTCCCAAACAGTGCTGGTGGGACCCATCTTGGGCATGTGAATGTGGCCAGCTCAGTTCTATCCTGGCTCGGCAGACAGCAGGAGCTGCAGCCGCTTAGGGCATGATGCAGAATTTTGCAGGGTGGGTGCCCAGAGTCATGTTTTGCTGCAGCTGCCCAGCTCACTGAAGCCTTTTGGGGTCCACTTTGGTTTAAACGGTCTCTCTGTATTCTCTAGGCCCAAAGGTCTGCGAGGGTGGTGGGAACTTCTGTAACTAGGGTCTCAGAGGATTGCAGTGGGAATGTGGTGTCCCAGAGTTTCTTCATTCATCCATTCCTCAGGTCTAGTCTGGCTCCAGGGGCTGATCTTGGCAACTAGTGAGGCCAAGCAAGTAGCCATGCTTCCTCCCTCTTCAACCACGGTGTCCTCCATTGCCTCTCTATTAAGTTTCAGTGTCTTCTTTCAATAAATCTGTTTGAAGTCCAAGGCTTACCTGATACTGTGACTCTTCTTCATGAAGGAGGTGCATCCCAGCTGCACCTAGTCATCCATCTCTAATCCTAATGATCTTCTTATTCAGGAAAAATGTCAGAAATATGCCTGAGAAACTCCAAGAAGTTTTACACAAGGCATTTATAAAGCTAGAGATTTTCCATAGATTATAAATCCTTAAATGAGCCATCAAAGATGGCTGTAATCAATATCATCACATTGTACTCTACATTTATACATTTTCATGAATCTAATTATGGTTTCTAGATATAAAGAATATGAGAAAACACAGTAGAACTCTCTAAGTCTGTAGGCTTTCAACTTTCCAAGTTATAGAGGGAGATATGAGCTCTGTAGCACACTCATGTTCATGGAGGCCTTGCTTCGTTCAATAGTAATGCATCCTTAAAATAGCAGATTGCTTTATAATACAGTTTTATTAATTAGGTGGGCTAATAGGTAATTGAATGTTTATAATCTGAAGTTAAGAGTAATCAATATGAAATAATTAATAACCTTTGAGACAGATTCAGAAACTGTTATCCACTCAATATATTAGCTTTCTGTTACATTACCCTAATTTGAGTATATAAAATGTCAAGAATAGGCTTCCTTTGCATTGTTAAATGATATCTTCTTCCCAAATTTGTTTGTTAGAAGCCATAGAAGTATGTTATGAGCACATGCAAACTCTCCAAACTATTGTCGTTGCATATCTCATACACAGGTGGAATTTGAAGTGCCAAAGGCCTTTATGAAGAACATTAAAGTGACTACACTGTCCAGAAAGTTTATTCAATCTGCTTGCTGTAATATCCCAATATTCCACCATTTTGAACTCATTTCTTTGGCTGTAAGCAGGGATCCAAAACAAATTTTACAAATAAGCTATCTAGCTGTTATCGATACTAAGAAGAGTTTGATTCATTTTACATTTCAGGTAGGGGAAAAGTATATGGAGGAACAACAAATATAGCCAAGTCGTTAATAAATGCTCTGGGAGATTTAATGTGGCCTCACACTGCTCAAGCCCATGAAGGCATTGCTTTATAACAGCAGAATAGAGTAACTGATGTTCATAAAAGTGACCCTGAATTAACAATATAAAATGTTAGGTCAGATTTTATATATTGTATTTAATAGTGAAAGCTATAGAATACATTTTAGAGAAATTGTAATAGCACAATTAAAAGTAAGTTAAATTATTATTTTTGGAAGACCTGAGGTTATATGCATTGTAATTTTGTCTTGATATTGTGTTAGATAAATACAATATGTTCATATGTACTTAAGCATCCATATGTATATACATTCAGAAACAGGACTAAAGATAATTATAAAACAACAATATCTTATTGTTTTCTAAAAAAAACACACAAGCAAATCAAATGTCTTGATTTATGCTGTTTTTTTTAATTTTTATGGATACATAACAATTGTACATATTTATGGGATACATGTGATATTTTGATACAAGCATATAATATGGGTAATGATCAAATCAAGTAGTTGGGGTATCCATAATCTCAAACATTTATCATTTATTTGTGTTAGGACCATTCCAATTTCATTCCTCTAGTTATTTTGAAATATACAATAAATTATTGTTAGTTATGGTAGCCCTATTGTGGTAGTAAATATTAGATCTTATTCCATCTAAATATATTTTTGTACCCATTAACCAACCCTTCTTATGCTGTTTATTTTATAAATCTTTCTTCTGTGAGGGAAGTTTGCTTTTTAATAAACTCCTTTTTAAATGAGGTATATAAATGCTTCCTTCCCTTTTACCTTTTTTAGTAGATACTTATCTTTTTATTTATTTTTATAGTCAGCCTCTTGTAAATTAACTAGGTAATGTTCTTAATGGAATTGCACATAATGAACAAACAATGGCCTTCCAATGACATATGTATGTCAAATCTTACTAAAGTAATGAGAGAAAATAAACTTGAAGAGAAAAGAAAAATGTTTCTTTTTGAAATGTAAGACCATTACTGTTATTCAGTCACAACCTTTAATTTCACTAATGCCAAACCTATTATACCAAAGGAGTCACTCTTTTAAAAATAGAATAATTAGAATGACCTGGCAAACCAGTGCTCTCAGTGTGAGATATGTACAAACACCATTCTCAAAATTTAGCTTTCAAAAAATTGTGGAAGAAGCACTAACCCACAAAAAAAACCAGTTTGGAAATGCTAACTATAACTTACATATAGAATATTAAAAGAAAAAAGATCTTTTCTTATTCTCAACAACTGTGACTCTTTGGATGTTTCATTTTCATTTCGTAAAAGTGACCTAAAAAGCATGGGCTCCATAATTCAGTGATAAACTAATGATTATGAAGAAGCAGTTTGATCATTTGAGTGGAATGGAAATTGACTTTACATTACATTTTTAATGGGTTAGATTCATATTTTTGTAGAATCAAACCTATTAATACATGAAAGTTTAAATAAATTATCTTGACTGTGGCAACTAAGTCAGTTTTCAATCAAATGACCTATTTTAGGAGTTTTCTTCCTCAGTAAATAAGCTTCAGACTATTACCTAGAGCTCTCCTAAATTGCTATTCTAGCTATAAAGCAGTGAGAATTTTAAAAATGTCTGTTGCTATTTATAGTCCAGTGGCTATATTGTGTCAAATATTTGAATAAGTAATGTGGCTTAAATTATACCCTTTTAAATGGCTATAAATTAGAACAAAATGATGAATACAATTATAATTGTGTCATTATAAAACTTAGGGTCAGAGCAGACGACTGTACCATGACCAGATACAGAAAATAAATCCTAAATATTTTCAAAGACCATTTCATCTCCATCAGTCTCACTTCACACTTTCATATGTTTGGTTGTTTCAGGTAGTGAAGATGCCATTGTTCAACTAGAGGGGCTAGTGATTGTCATCACTCACTAGTAGGGTACATCATTATGCATTTCTTTAGTATTCTCTTGTCATCTACATGCAGGATAGTCACAGTGCCTACGTTTCAGAAATATCACACATTCCTACATTTCTTGAGATGAGATATTGAGGTTGAAGCCAAAAAAAAACTTTTCTCAAAACCAAGTTTATAACTGCACCACCTTGGTTTGGGAACAGTTTATATAGTCTCAGAAATAGAACTTTTTGGGGGTATCTTCACCTAGAAAGAGCAAAGCAAAATACCCTATTGTTAAAATTCTGATGCTTATGAGTGAAGTCCCTCTTACACTTACACATTTTGGTGATCTCAAAGTCCAAATATATTGTTTCTATCTGTGGAATAACCAACTCATCTGAGCTCTGTTGCTTAGTATGTGTGTACAGTATTTAAGATCTGTAAGTCACAGTTTTCTTTTTTTTGTTTGTTTGTTTGCTTTGTTTTGTTTTGTTTTTCTGAGACAGAGTCTCGCTCTGTTGCCAGGCTGGAGTGCAGTGGCGCTATCTCGGCTCACTGCAACCTCCTTCTCCTGGGTTCAAACAATTCCCCTGCCTCAGCCTCTCGAGTAGCTGGAACGACAGGCACACACCACCACACCCAGCTAATTTTTTGTATTTTAGTAGAGATGGGGTTTCACCATGTTGTCCAGGATGGTCTCGATCTCCTGACCTCGTGATCCACCTGCCTCAGCCTCCCAAAGTGCTGGGATTACAAGCGTGAGCCACGGCACCCGGCCTGAGTCACAGTTTTCTCATCTCTAAAATGGGCAGCACATCTATAAAAAGGGAGTTTAAGTATAAAAGGCAACTGGCCCAGAACCTAGCACTTAATAAAAGGGAGGAATATTGAGTATGAGGAGGAATGATGAGTGTGTTTGCTTATTCATTCCAGAACTCATCAAAGATTGATTGCATGCTTACTCAGCACTAGGCTCTGTGCTAGCGCTGGAGTTACACAGGAGAATGTAACAGGTGAGGCTACTGTCTTCGTGGAGCCTCATTATAACCCATTGTTGGGCAATTCCCTTCTGTTCCTCATCTGTGTCCCTGAGGGAAGCATCAGCAGTTATACCTTGTCAGCAGGTGCATTCTTACTTACTTTTGTGCCACTAATAATGGTTTCTGATTATATTTCTAATGGTGGTAGTGCTTTAGTTCACATTACACAGCTTCCTAGCTTCTGTCTCTCAGCCTTCAAGACTGCCCTATGCATATGGCCTCTTTGTCAATTGTAATGGTAATATGACTGAATGAAAAGGATTATTGTAGGAATGACCCCGTTTTTAGTTTCCTGCTGAGGAGTTTGGAAAATATGAGAAAAGCTCTTTGATGAAGAATTTGGAATTTTTACTATGGAGTCAATTGTTACTCCTTATGATGTTTGAAAAAATGGTCCTAAAGCAAAGCATTTATGTAACATAATGTGTATTTAACAACAGCCTAGAATTTTGATGAATGGGAAATTAGTACAATATATTGGCAGTGATGATATTTAGAAATAATTATAAGCAGCTTGTTCTGATAAGATTTGTTAATATTACATTTATACATTCATGTTTTGTATATAGATATATATAAAACTTTAATGTACCAAAGTCAAACAAATAATTAGTTTAATGACAGAGAAATAAACAAGTAACTCTTCTAGTGTAATATTTCCAATTCTGTATCCTTTAGGGGTGTTGAATACCTAGAATAGGACACTCATTCTATGTAACGAGAGGGCATACTGAAGACTTTAGCACAAATTAGAACACTGATAGTTATAGAAGTTCCTAGGTTGAAAGAAGTCAACATACCATATTGTGGAGAGACCACTGTAGACTTAGAATACTAAAAAGCAGTGAGAGACACAGAAGTCTCTCACTAAGGGAATGAGAAGGGTTTCATGTGGTGCTCCACATGGAGTGCTGGCATCTTCTTTATTAAAAACATGCAGGTCTCTTGGTGATAGTACACAATGCAGCGACCCATGGATGAACTATTGGCAGAACCTTGCACATTATATTTCTTTCATCATACATCTTTCATCTTGCCGCTGAACAACTTGAACGTAGAGGCTTTTGAAGTTTCCTCTTGTCTGTGTTTTCTAGTTAGACAAAAATAGATGCTATGTGAAAAATTAAGCAACTTTACATTATTCTGCCTTTCAGACCCAGACATTTATACAGTGTGGGTAGCAAGGTATATTTTATTTACTTTTTCAAATATATGGACCATCCATGAAATAAATAATGTCTCATAAGAGCCTCATCCTTTCATTAAAAATACTATTCTTCATCCTTTTATTCCCTATAGCATATTCAATCACTTGTAGCAAGTCCTGTCAATTTTTCTTGCCTTAAACTCAATGTATGTGCCTGTTTCCTTTGTGTGGTACTGTTCTCTTAGAAAACTTTTTTATAATGTGCTTCACTTCCCTGGGCATCTCTGTTGAAGTAAGTGATGCCCTTATTCATCCTCACACGTCTTATTTTCCTATCAGTGATTTTTTTTATAGGTTGCCAGTACAAGTAGATATGTAATTCAACAAATATTGAATGCCTACCATGTGTCAGAAACTGTCAGAGGCACTGGGACTATAGTGTTTATTCTGTACTTTTGAAAGTACTTAGAAATATGAAGGAATAGAATGTAAAAGCAAGTACAAAATGTTACACTTTGCCACTATTATATGCTCATCTTTGTTTTTTTAACTCGTGTTTGCATCTTTTTGGTTTAAAAACCTGTATTTCTTAAGAATTATTAAAATACAAAGTTTGAGTTATGGAAATAATACATGCCAAAAATTGGTCAAAACATATATTTAATTATAATTTAGATTTTGCCATTTTTATAACAACATTTATATTATGTAAGTAAGTAATAAGTCTAATTCTGCTCATGCATGCATTCAATAAATATTTATTAAGTGCCTACTATACCAGGACTATTCTAGGTGCTAGGGACATACTGGGGGTACACAGCAGACAAATGCATTCTTCCTTCTTGGAGTTTATGTTTGAGGTAGGAGACAAACCATAAACATATAGGAAAAAAGAGTATGAAATGTCAGGGATGTGTGTGTGTATATAATATCAGATTGCCTGGCCGTAATGGCATCACTGAGAATACTTGACAAAAGGCATGAAGAAAGTAGGGGAGATAGAAACGTGATTGTTTGGAGGATAACCCAGGCAAAAGAAACAAGTATAAACCAAGGCCCTGAGGCAGAAATATTTCTGGCATATTGGAGGCTCACCAAAGATAATCATGGCCACCATCTTAATAGAAAATCTTTGGCTTCTGTATTAAGATTAGGCTATAGGGGAGGAGGGTAGAACTAAGGCAGAAATACCAGTAATCAAATAATTGAGGTGAGAGATGATATGGTAACCTGTGTCAGGGTAGTAGTATTATGGGTGCTTAAGAAGTAGTCATCATTTGGATTTTTTTTTTTTTAGGAGAAATTTGAGAAGAAGGTATGTGATGTTAGAGAAAGAGAATTTTCAAGTATGGTACCGATCAATGGTTATGACCTGATAACTGGAAGAATGGTGTTGCTATTAACATATAGAAAGAACTAGTGCATAGCCTGATTTGGCAGAGATTATTAGGAGCACAGATTTGCACACATAACATATTAGAGGCTCAAACAGAAGTGTCAAGTAGGGAACTGTATATAGGGGTCTATTTATGGGAGTGGTTCAACAGGAACTACACATTTAGGACTCATGGGCATTTAGGTGGTACTTAAAACCTAGAAACAGTATATAGTGACATAGGGAGGGACTACATAAAAAAGAGAAAAAGTTCAAATACTCAAAATTAGGAAGTCCAAATTAGGATGATAGAGAGATAAGGAAGAACCAGCAAAAGACACTGAGAAGGAGCTGTCTGAAAGGTAGGAGGAAAACTGGACTGAATCAAATGTAAATCAAATGTTTCAAGAAGGAGAGAATGATCAACTATGTCAGTGCTGTTGATGGGTCAAATAGATGAGAACTTAAAAGGGATCAACATATTTATCAGTATGGAGATTATTTTTGATCATAGAAATAGAAGAGGACAACCCTACGTTTTTAGCATGTTATATAGGTTTCTCTTTAAGATATAAATGATATTATGTTTGTGAATATAAATTTGTAATTGTATACATTTATAATAATAATTATTAATACTGTATATTAATTAAAATCTGTTCTGGCTAAGATTATTTACAAGTTAGTTCATTTTCTCTGATTATTTTTAGAACTGCTTAATCCATTTTAATGAAAATGATTTTAAATGTTAATGTCCATCTGTGGGTGGTACTTTATTTGCGTTGTCTTCTGGCATGGACTGATGTGTGCCTAGTAGAGAGGAAAATATATTTTGTTCCTAGCTTATATTAGAGAGATTCAAATATCAGACAAGGCGTAACAGTGATATTATGAGGTTACAAGAAGGTTAATGCTATTTAGACAGATGGTGAATTGCCAATTCAACCTGTTGTCACAATAATGAGTATGTGAAAAAGCATCAGTGTTGCAGATAGGAGAAAAATGAAATAGTTGTTTTTACATATCCTTATACAAATTTATTAACAGCTCTCTCATAAGAGAAGAGTTATTCTACACAAAAGGCGAATTATTATGTTCTCATTTATTAGTCATTATAAGAAATAATATTTTTATTATATTCAGTCTATCTTTAACAATTATTTTGATATGATTTTTCCAGGCACAATGGCTTAAACACTTAATCTAAAAATATTTTGCTGTTTTACATATAATTTTCAATGTATTGTTATATTAAACAATCTTTTTTATCTCTAAGAACAGATTTCATAGCTCTTCTTACTCCTTGTCCAATAAGTGTAGTTTCTATGAAGACATTTAAGTTATACTTTTTTTTGCTACTTTTTCCCCATTTTTGCTAATATATTTCATAGCCTAAATCTCCCAAAACAAGTACTAAGATATTCTTTTATTCAAGAATTTAGACAATATGATTATTCAGTTTTCTAAAGAAAGATGATATTTAAAAATTCTATATAACCAGCTATGTCCCAATGCTTTGAGATGTTTTTCTCCTATTTTGAAGATTACCATAAATTTTGGCATATTTCCTATTAGGAAACACAGTTCGTTTCCTAAAACAATTCCCAAGGAGGTGCACAGTGAATCCTGGTTCACATGAGATGACTGGCAGATGAACAGCTGCCCTCTGAAAGCAGCCAATTAAATAACATGCAGCTTTGAAGCTGTCACTTGAAAATATTGAGGCTTATCTAAACTAACAAGTGATTGAAAACTCACAACAAACGCCTTTTAAAAGGGAATCATACAGGCTTCTTTCAAAATTTCAGAGAATCATTAGGTGGCAAGTAGGTAATTATTTCTGAGAAGTCTTCTTTATCATGTAGAGATTCCTCAAAAAGCATATCAAGAAGAAAAGAAAGACGGGCAGCTGCCTAGAACTCAGTTACAGACTGGCTATGCACTATCAAAACAGAGTGAAGTCAAAGGGAAATAATAATGCTGCATTTTGTATTATTTCAAATTAGTTTAAAAAGTAAACTTTTATTTGGTGTTCATGTTTACTGCTGTGGCATTTTTTTTAGCATTAGAACTTCACTCTTACTTGTTTCAGAGCTGAGCTAATACATTTTAATGATGTTGTTAGCAACATTTCTAGTACTCAAAACAGGGAGTCCGGCGGGGTGCGGTGGCTCACGCCTATAATCTCAGCACTTTCGGAGGCCGAGGCAGGCGGATCACCTGAGGTCAGGAGTTTGAGACCATCCTGGGCAATATGGTGAAACCCTATCTCTACTAAAAATACAAAAATTAGCTGGGCGTGTTAGCACTTGCCTGTAGTCACAGCTACTTGAGAGACTGAAGCCCAAGAATTGTTTGAACCCAGGAGGCAGAGGTTGTAGTGAGCCGAGATCGCACCGCTGCACTCCAGCCTGGGCAACGCTATGTTGGGGAAATAAGGCTGGGTAGCCCAAAATTGACCATGTTGGGAGTATTTACATCATGCAAATCAGCAAATGCTATAAATTAGGGTCTTTATTTTTAGAAATCTGGCTTTTCAGAACATCATAGGTCAGGATGAGGCCAGGCAGTTTGTGTTTTTATCAGATTCTGAGATGACACTGATGCCATTTGGAGACCATAGTTTGGAAAAACAATGGAGTTAGGGAAGCATGTAATATTGCCAGAAATACTTTTGATTTATTAACCTAGTTAACATCTTGAGCTTTTTAAAAGTAGAACTTCTCTGAAAAGTGATTGTTTCCTTGTTTCTTAAGATTTAATTGTAATGAAGAAAAAATATATATTTCAAATCATCTATAATATACTTTCTATGATTATGTGGCTTAAATTGAATGAGATAATGTAACCATAAACTGCTATGCAAAGGTGTTTTTTTTTGTTTTTGTTTTTGTTTTTTGTATTTTAAGTTTGGTTATTCATTGTGTCTTAGTTTCTCAGAATCCCAAATAACTTTTGCTTTGTATGCTATATAAAAATTATTTCTTAAGAGATTTTTAGTAATGAGTCTTTTTTCCCCAACCTGTGAGTAGTACATTTATCCAGGCCAGATGTTAATTGCAACATTACAGGTTAAGAAAGGAAATAGGGTAGTGAAAGGAAGGCACTTTATTGTTTTGTCTGTTCAATATATTAAATTGGGCATTTTTGCCCTCAATTAGTTTTCTATCTAGAAAAGAAAATAAATTAGGAATTTGTTTTAAAGATGTTGGATGTATAAAAATAAGAAAAGTATGGTATAAATAATTGAGAGGGAAGTTTCAAATGCTGTAACTGTAGAAATTTGAAGGAAAAAAATGGTTCGAAGCAACTACAATGGAAAGCTGGTTGATAATCTCTCAAATTACGTAATAGTTTGGCATTCATTATCCATAATCTAGCCTCACAAGAGTGACTCCATCTCTCTGGGCCAACTTAAATTAATTGAAATCATTAATGACATATAAAACCTGAGTGCCAATTGTTAATTTATAAAACCTATTATCAGGCAGCCTGGAATGCTAGTTTCTGCATGATTAGCAATTTCTCTAGCTGGAGATAAATTTATTTGGAAAGTCGAACTTAGTGACTTGATCATCCTTAGGAAACAAGGATCAGAACCAAAGAAGCCAGCTGATGTGTTGAGTTAGCAGTGGATCTGATTAGAACAGCTTGATTTTATTTCTAATGTTATTATTACCGCAATAGTTACTGATTATTGCTATGCTATTACTTATATCAGTTGTTGTGACTCAAGATATAGTTTGACAGTGTGAATGGAGGTTAAGAGAGGGGACTCAAAGGTCTCATAATGTACTTTTGAGTCTGTTTTTTAAAATTGTTGTTGTGCTTATTGTTTTCTATTTCTTGCTGAGCAGGTACAAACTTATTTTGCCCATCATTATTTTACCTACTTTTGTAGACTCTACCTCACAGGTTTTTCATCGGCATTAAATGAGAGTATTTATGCAAAATACCTAGAATAGTGCCAGCCACATAATAAGTCCTCAGTGGTAGGTAGATTATTATATTACCTCATTTAATCCTCACAATAAACTGTTTTATTAGCTTAATCTTACAGATAAGGAAAATGAAACTTATAAATGCAGTACTTCATCCAAGACTTTACTAGAAGTGGCAGGGCCAAGGGCCAAGATTTAAACTTTGCCATCTATATATTACTCCAAAACCTGAATGCTCCCCCCAAAATCAGAATAACTGAATTAATTAGTGAAGACTTCTTCTTACCTTGAAAGTGCTTAGAGGCACACTGCCAATATTTTCACTGAAACTACTTTTGTTCCAGGCTCCCAAGGCAGTCTAGCCTTCTGACTGACACATCTCTTTAGCTGGTAAATATATCCTATTCAGTTTAAAACAAACTCACTTGCTTAATTCTTTTTTTTTTTCTTAAGGTGAGTTTGCACGTCTTTGCTGTGATACAGTATGTCCTGAATTAGCCACTGTGTGATGGGCATCTTCATGTTCATGCTGGAATACATAATGGAGGATCCTATGTACCAACAATAACAATGTATTTGTAAAAAATAGTCTGTAGTTCTCCCTGTCTCAAGCTTTGAATCCCCAGACTTTAACATTATCATTACCATTAAATATTTATCAAGTTCTTACTGGATATATGACCCAAATGAGGCAGAAATGATGTGGGGAAATAAAACAAGAATGATGTTTCTGCAAACAATTAACATTTCAAACGTTTCCATTGATCTCATTCATGATTTATTTTAAAAAGTCAAAATAATTTGAGGATTCAGTTTACTTTCTAAAGGCTCTAATTTTGTTTTAAATTTACTTCCTAATTACCATTCCTAAGAACTTTATAATTTATTATTTATAACATAATTACCAAACCAACATAGTTTCCTTATCATAGTAGGTGTTCAATCAATATTTAATGATGTACGTAGTTTTATAATTAGAATGGAGTTCTAAAACATAATAAATTGATACCCTAAATATTTATTAAATGTATTAACCACTTATGAGCATTTTCAATAAATATTAGCCTTATTGAAATGAATTGTGATGTCCATTTGTAATGTTCAATTGTAATGCCCAGGAATTGTCATGTCCAATTAAAGAATCCTCAACTTGAGGCAGGAGATATTGATACCTATCCTGATTCTGCCCTGATTTTGTTACTTCATCTCCCTAGACCTTATTTCTTTATCCATGAAACAAAATGATTGCATAAAATGCCCTTTGAGACTTCGTACATTTCTAAAATTTGGTTTGTGCTAAACCACTTGAAAGAAAAAAATCCCTTACAATAAATTTCCACCAAACCATTAAGATCAGTTTTTCAGAATCAGTCTTTGATAAATCTTCCCTTTTATGTCAACATTTTGTGTCCTAGAAGTATAAACATTATCACCTGATGAATTAAGAGACTTCACAAATCCCACAGGATATCCTGAAATAGACAGCATCGCATTAGGATCCTAGCAGGGTCTCTGGTGAATATAGATTTCAGAATGAGGAGTCTCATCTATCCAACAGCACATATTAAATTAACAACTCCTGAAACATCACACAGTTTCATGTTCTTAAATCTATACACAACTGAGGCAAACAATAATATGCTTGCATATGTGATTATGTAATACTTTTCTTGAGAACAAACAACATCAAAGATGTCTCTTTCTTCCCCACTCTATTTAATAGAACTGTACTGCCAATTAGGATGCAAAGCTGTAAGAGGGCAATAAGGGAAAGAAAATGCAGTTTGTCTACAGCACACTTTCGTAAC
The DNA here is from genome assembly GCF_000001405.40 of Homo sapiens. Classification (NCBI taxonomy): domain Eukaryota; kingdom Metazoa; phylum Chordata; class Mammalia; order Primates; family Hominidae; genus Homo; species Homo sapiens. Next base: position 211,490,709 of record NC_000002.12, on the reverse strand, counting down.
TCCTTTTAGTTCTCCCATACTTCTTCGTCTCACAAACCATAGGCAATGAGACTTACTCACTTTCCTGAGTTGGTGTTAATCCTCCAGCCTGGGCCCAATGCTTCACCTCTCCATAGCTTCTGAAAGTCTCTCTCTAGGTCGCTCATGATTTACAATAGGTGAGTTATATAAACTCATTATCTTTCTACTTTTAATTAAGTCATCCATTTATTGAATTTTTACTACTAGTGAAATACCTTGAATTACCACTAGTGAAATACGTTGAATGCTGCTGGCATTCAACAGGAAACAAAGAGCCACCCCTGCTTCCATGGAGCTTGTCTAGTGGGAAAGAAAGGCTATCAAGGAAAAAATGCATAAATTCAATATATAACTTATTTAGGCTAAATGCTATAAAGAAAGAAATAATGAGTTTCATGAGAGAGTCTAATGGTAACAATGAATAGACGTATAATACATAGACATAGTTCAGAAGAATTTTCCCTGGGAATGGATCTGAAAGATGAGTAAAAATTAGTCAACTGCAATGTGAGGAGAATATTAATTCCAAGAATGGGCATATTTTAGGAAAAGATGTTTTATATCTTTACCCAATGAAGACCAAACTAGCCAAATGCTATGTGAAGCTTCTTTAATAAGAGCTTAATCCCATTCACATAGGAGGACCCCTCATGGCCTAATCACCTCTTAAAGCCTCCACACACCTTAATACAATCACACTGGCCACACCTAAATTTTAGAGGAGACACATTCAAGCTATAGTAGCCAGATAGCTTCTATTTTCTCAGTAACACTTATTGCATGATTTTTTCATTTACTATAAACTTTTAAAAGTCAAGACTTTATATATCTTGATCACTATTTATATCTCCTTGATGTGATGGAGAGTTGGTCCTCAAAATATATTAGCTGAATAAATGAATGAATGAATGAATGAATACATTAGTACTGCATAGCTTCCTTTCATATGCTATTTGTCATGTTGTACAATATACATATGAATGCAGTTGAAATATTAAATCAATACCTTCATATTCACTTTTACCTTTAATTTTATGAGTAATGAGGATTTTATATAATTTGTATAATTTTACTTAAATAATTAAATTGTTGACATTATATAATGATAAATTGCTTGACAATGGCTACTAAACAGAAAATGAACATAGCTATTAATACAAGGCAACCAACAACCATATTTTTATAATAACTATAATAGCCAGCATTTAGTATTGTTCAAAGTTTTTTACGTTTAATTCATATGATTCTCTCGACAACACTTTGAGATTGGTATTATTGTTATCCCAAATTTGCAATTGAGGAAGCCGCCTAAAGTCATATGCCTATTAAGTAACAGAGACAGGATTCAAACCCAGACATTCTGGCTCCCAAAATTCAGCTCATTTCCACTGCATTATACTGCTTTATAGTCATCATAATGAACTGTTGCAGTTAGAAAACATTTTTATTATCCATTTATTCTTATTATAGAATTAATGAAACAATAAGCAGTCAGCTGTGGTGAAAAGAATCCTATTCAGAAATCATTTTCAATTCTGTTTTCAGCTAAAGCTCTCTCAAATTGACAAAATATCTTGTTGATTCTTGGAATTCAACTTATTTCCTTCCTGAATCAAAATATGTTCTACCTGGAAAATGCAAAAGATTAGCTTTTGTTTCTTTCTAGCCATAAATTCTACAACTTTGGGGAGATAAATATTTACCTCTAATGCAATCTGATTAGAGAGCACATTGGAGAATCAAAGCTACAATTAGCCATATAGACACAACTGCTTAATTCAAAGAGCAGAGTAAATAAGTTGGAATGGAATGGGAGAAGAGTGTTTGATTTTATTAGCCTCATTAGTACAGGATTGGTGCTCTCACCTTTTTACTCTGCAATGTCTGAGATTTCATTTCCTTAATAGTTTACTTCTACAGGAAAAAATATTGCCAATTTATTATTTGCAAGATGAGGACAGACTCTTTTTGTAGAAATTTTGAATCATTATCTAGACTACTTTCCTTTTCAGGTAAGTTTTATACCATAAATTCAGTGTATCTTTTAAAAAGTTTGTAATATTTTATATTTCAGTTTTTTGCTTACTCTGACACTTATTTTAAAATAAAATTGGCTGCTTTTAATTGAGAAACTAGCCTTCTAAGGCATATGAGAGGCTTCACATTATACTTTTCTTAAATAAAATGTTAATCTTGAATTATTTTAAGAAATCTTTATTCAGCATTTTCCACTGCCAGATATTCTTTTAGGCACTCTCAATACAGTGATGAGCAGGACAATATCTCCATCCTCATGAAGCTTAAAGATCTAATGAAATGAGGAATACATGAATGTATACATAAGTAAGATACGGCAAGTACCAGGCAAAAATAAATTTGGGTGATATCACATAGAACAGCTTGAAGGCTGGGGAACATGGGACAATTTGAACACAGTGCTCAGGATAGTTTCTGTGTAGCTCAGATATGTCCAGCCATTCCGTTGAGTATTGGAAGTGTACATGCTGGGGGAAGGAACAATCACATTGCTGGGTTTGTTTAGTTATTCATAGCTCATTCCTTTGAACTGCATGAAGTATAAATACTGCTCTGTTAGTATTTTAGAAGAACAAAAAAAAAAATGTGGTTCTTCCAGGGAAGCACTCTGTGTGGTATGAGTGTTAATTTTTTTTCCAGAGAAGCACTGACATTTCTTAATTACTCTGTTCATGAGTAGTCATGTATAGCGATTACTGAAGGCTCAGCAGAGCATTGTTCTTCCAAAGCCTTGGAGAACAATAATGCTGACAGTTCAGGCCTTCAGTGTCCAACACACTTTTCCTCTCTCTTCATTACACCAGCTAATTACTCTGGCCAGTGGTTATTGTGTAGCTCCTCTCCTTTTCCATAACCCCCGCAGCCCTTTACTGTCAGTGAAATTTACAGTAATAGCATAATATTCTCTTGCTACCAGGCTTTTCTGCTAGTTATTTAAAGGTACCACCTCCTTTTATGATATCCAGCTTCTGAATCACTTTACCAGTGGGGATAAAGTGATATCCACGCTTTAGACTAATGGAAACATTGCAACGCCATTGTTTTGGAAAAGGGGGCACCTGTTTTCCCAGAAATTCTGGCTTGTACAATAAAATAGAAAATAATTGTTTTTAAAATGTCAAGTTGCAATGCTGAAGGAGGTGTTTTGAGTGTATGTCTACATAATGCCAAAATATTTATTAATAGTTAATTCAGTTAAAAAACAAAGTTGACCAAAACAGTTTGGTATCATGGAATTAAAATAATTATGTAGTGATTACATTTGCTATTTATTTATTTTTTTATTTATTTTAATTCCAGTGAGGTTAACATAGTACATAAATAGTCATAAAGTTGGATAACATAAAACTGTACCACTTTTAAGCAGAAAAATAAAGCTTTACTATCTCAAGGACAAAAAACCAAACACCGCATGTTCTCACTCATAGGTGGGAATTGAATAATGAGAATTCTTGGACACAGGAAGGGGAACATCACACACGTGGGCCTGTTGTGGGGTGGGGGGAGGGGGGAGGGATAGCATTAGGAGATATATCTAATGTAAATGACGAGTTAATGGGTGCAGCACACCAACGTGGCACATGTATACATATGTAACAAACCTGCACGTTGTGCACATGTACCCTAAAACTTAAAGTATAATAAAAAAAACTACAAAAAAAAGAAAAAAACATATTTTAAAGAAAAATAGATTATTTTAAGAATATATTATCTGATGAAGCTGTTATATTCTATACAAAGACACTCTGTACCAAATCTCCTCATCAACCTGAATAAAACAAAACTAACTTTTTCCTGAAAATATTTTAATCCAAATTTTATTGAGCAATTACCTTGTAGTGAGCACTTCACATATTGTAACATATTTAAACTTCACCACAAGTCTGTGATTTGGGTGCTAACATCACCCACATTTTTCATGTGGATGTAATGTGGAGTAAGATTGAGGCTTGGAGAGAGAGTGTCGCTTGCACAGGGTCATGGATGGTTATAGTAAATAATAAAGATGAGATTTGACCCAAAATCTGTTTAAAATCAAAGCCAAGGCTCCGAACCTACACCCATCACCTGTTACGTATCAAAAGCAAAACAGCTGTAAGATGATTAGACTCATTTTCATATTTTGAATAGAAAACTACTGCATCTTAGATATTTTACAGCTGTCATTTCCATTCTGGTTGAGGTTAACTCGACATAGGTTGCTCTACAACTGAGAATATTTACCATGACTTTAAGTTTTAAATGTGTTAGAATCAATTTACAATGAGGTCACTAAAAGGAATGCCTTAGGGAAAATTTATCTACACTATTGAGGACAAAAAAGTGGTAAAAATTAATATTTAATATTGTTTCTCATTTATTAATAGCATTCATTAATTGTCTTTTTTGCACCTGGGAACGAAAAGGGAGCAAGCAGTGTTAATTAAGAAAAAAGAAAAGGAAAGCAAGGTACTCTTTACCTTTGAATCCACAGTTAGCAGATACAAAGTTCCAAGAAGGATGATGTAATTTTTGCTATTAGCTGTAAACTTTTAGTTAATTATATAGTATGCTTAGTTATAATATCTTGTTATAAATACAACTATAGAGCCAAGCTTCTTGTGTATGAATATATTTACATATAGATACAGAAAAACATAAATATAAAAACAACTGATACTCATTTATAAACCAGTTGGAAATCATAATACATTCTCTTAGAAAAATAAAATTATAAATGCAAAGGTCCGTAAATCAATCCACAAGCCCCTGACGATTTCTGTAATGCCTTTTATTTCTTTTCTTTTTCTTTTTTTATTATACTTTAAGTTTTAGGATACATGTGCACAATGTGCAGGTTAGTTACATATGTATATGTGCCATGCTGGTGTGCTGCACCCATTAACTCGTCATTTAACATTAGGTATATCTCCTAACGCTATCCCTCCCCCCTCCCCCCACCCCACTGAGTTTGGGGTGCGACATGTTCCTGGATATTCAAGACAAAGCATAATCCCTTTAAAGAATTTGCTGTTTGAATTAGGAGACAAGACATACATATAAGATAATGTATAACAGAAAGAGAAAATTGGCTAAGTTTCACAATAGTGGCTTACAGGACTTGAGAGAAGAAAATGATCCCTGAGAATTTGATTTGGTCTTGGAAGTCTTGTTTGAAGAGACAGAACTTGAGCTGGGCCAGAAGGAGGAAGTGAAAAAAACTGAGAAATGGATTCCAGATAGGGTGAATTGTTAGAGTAAGAATACTCTCCTGCTGGTCTATAGTTTTTCCTACAGAAAAAGGATAAACGAACAAGGTTAATGACAGATTAAAAAGGCAGGATCTCAGAAAGCAGACTGTTACATCTTGACTTTATGTTTACATTATGTATGCCTTTCTGTGTTGATCTGGCATCCTGAAGCAAAGGTAGATTCTGGGCTATTTCACAAAGTCAATCAAGATTTGTAAAACTAAGACACAAAAAGAAGGTAAATGAAAGTAGCTATCAGAAAGAGAATCAGCAACTAGAGTACCACAGAGCATCACATTAGTCTCTTATCTCTCCTTATATCTTTTTCTCTTTGTGTAACAGTCCTTCCAATACTCTGGCCCATGTGGATGGTCTGATGGATGCTGACCACCCTTGAATTTTACCTTTTAGCTTCAGACTATGTTCACTTTCAGTCAACATTTTTAAATATGTGAGAACTCTGATTTTATCAGTTTGAGCAGCTTATGGTAGCCACTGCTGGACTGTTCAACTTGTCCAGGTTGTGAGGATACATGCACTAATAAGGGGGCCTTTCCTAGGTACTAGGCCAAGTGAATTGATAATGTCTAAGTGTTCTTTATCTGTGCTGGTTTTCTTTCTACTTGTTCTGTGAACTATTGACAGATAGATGTTGAAATCTCCAACTATAATTACATTTAAAAGAATCGTTGTAGTTCTTTTCACTCTTGGTTTAAATATTTTGAAGGTCTGTTATTGCTTATATAAATATTTAGGATTGTTATGTCCTGTTGAAAAATTGACACTTTTGTCATTATGAAATTATGCTTTTTATTCATGGTAATATTTTTTGCTCTGAAATCTACTCTGTCTCATATTAATGCAGTCTTTTAAATTTTATTTTTGTTATTGTTAGCACGTTATAATTTTTTCCATCCCTTTACTTTTAAATTATTTGTGTTTTTATGTTTAAATTGGGTTTCTTGTAGGCAGGATATAGAAGTGTTATCTAACCTAACAATCTCTGTCTTTTCATCAGTGTTTAGACCATTTAATGTGATCATTGATGTAACTAGATTTAGATCTACCATCTTGCTATTTGTTTTCCAGTGTTTAGACCATTTAATGTGATCATTGGTGTAACTAGATTTAGATCTACCATCTTGCTATTTGTTTTCTATTCTCCCTATGTGTACTTTGATTCCTTTTGCTCTTTTTTCCCTCCCGTTTTTCATTAATTATTATGACTCTATCTCCTTTGTTGGTTCATTAGCTATAACTCTTTGTTGCTTTATTTTAATGGTGTCTTTAGGGTTTGTGCCTTTAATTTATCAGTCTATCTTTAAGTGGTATTTCTACTGCTTCACATACAGTATTAGAACTCTAACATTTCTTGTGAGATATACTGATTTTAAATTCTTTCAGCGTTTGTATTTCTAAAAAAGTCTTTCCTTTATCTTTGTTTTAGACAGACTTTCTCCGGGTAAAGAATTTCAGATAGACAGATTATTTTTTTCTTTCCATACTTTAAATATGTTGCTCTTTATCTTCTTACTTGTATTATTCTCAACAAGAAATGTGTTGTCATTCTTGGCCGGGCACGGTGGTTCATGCCTGTAGTCCCAGCACTTTGGGAGGCTGAGGGGAAGGATCACTTGAAGTCAGGATGGCCATCACCAGCTGGCCAAGATAGTGAGAACCAGTCTCTACTAAAAATACAAAAATTAGCCAAGTATGATGGTGGACACCTGTAATCTCAGCTACTCAGGAGGCTGAGGCATGAGAATCACTTGAATCTGGGAGGCGGAGGTTGCAGTGAGCCAAGATCGCACCACTGCACTCCAGCTTGGGCGACAGAGTGAGACTCTGTCTCAAAAAAAACACAAAAACCAAAAACAAACAAACAAAAGAAAAACAAACAAAAAAAGAAATGTGCTGTCACTCTTATGTATCTATTTATATAATGTGTCTTTTTTATTCCTCCGGCTGTTTTATGATTTTTGTCTTTATTACTTACATTAAGCAATTTAATTATGATTATGATGTTGGAATAGTTTAATTCATATTTCTTTTTCTTGGGGCTCATTATGTTACTTGGATCTGTGGATTTATAGTTTTTGTCAAACTTGGAAAATGTTTGAACATGATTTCTTGAAAAATTTTCAGCGCTTTTTTTTAATCCCTCTCATTTAGTGACTATAATTGTACGCATATTTGGTTACTTAATTTGTCCATCAATTGACACGTATTTTCTGTGTTATTTTTTCAGTCTTTATTTTGATGGTTCCTATTTCTCTATTTTCAAGTTCATTCGTTTTTTTCTGCAATATTAATCTGCTTTTAATTCCATCCAATAGGCTTTTTATCCCTGTGTTTTGGCTTCATTCTTTTTTTATAACTTCTATGTCTATTGCTTCTTAAACATATGAAATATAATTATAGTAATTGTTTTAATGTCTTTGTCTACTAGTAATATTATTTGTATCATTTCTGGGTAAGTTTTGATTTTTTTAAATTTTTATTTATTTATTTATTTTTTGAGACAGTTTCACTCTTGTTGCCCAAGCTGGAGTGCAATAGTGCGATCTTGGCTCACCGCAACCTCTGCCTACCAGGTTCAAGCGATTCTCCTGCCTCAGCCTCCCGCGTAGCTGGGATTACAGACATGTGCCACCACGCCCGGCTATTTTTGTATTTTTAGTAGAGACAGGGTTTCTCCATGTTGTTCAGGCTGGTCTTGAACTCCCGACCTCAGGTGATCCGCCTATCTTGGCCTCCCAAAATACTGGGATTACAGGCGTGAGCCACTGCACCCGGCCTGATTAATTTATTTTTTATCCTCGGTATTGCTTTTATTTTTCTGCTTCTTTGTGTACATTTTGATCTTTGATAAGATACCTTACTATGAATTTTGACTTGTTGAAAGTTAGGTTATTTTTATTCCCATAGATATTCTTGAACTTTCTTCTGAGATGCTGAGTTACCTGGGAAGTAACTTTCAGGTCTTGCTTTTAAAAAAGCTTTGTTAGGCCAGAATACAACTGCATTTAGTCTAGAGTTAATTTTTCCCCAATACTGAGGCATGACCCTTCTAATTCTTTGATGATTCCTGAAGTGTGAAGTTTTCTACTCTGGCTATTGGGAACAGAGATTATTTAGGGCTTATGTGAAAATCAAGCACTTTTTCTTATAATAAATTTGGATGATTCTTCACCTGGGTTTGGATAGTTTCTTCACATCCATGTACTGATCGGTATTCTAGTGAATCCTCAAAGAGGGACACTCTGCAGTTCTCTGGATTATCCTTATACAGTTCCCTATTCTATGTCTCTGTTGCCCTGTGAACTCCACTTGCTTTGCCTTCTCTGGGATTCCAGTTTTTTCTGCTCAAGATAGGAGACTGCCTGTCTCTACTTGGATTCCCTCTCCTTGCACTGTGACCTGGAAATTTACTTAAACAGTAAGCTGGAGCAATCTTGTGGCTTATTTCTCAGGGGTCACATTCTTCATTGCCTGATATTCAATGTCTTGAGTACTACTGTTTGATATATTCTTTCCAGTTTTTTAAGTTGTTTTTTAGATGTTAGTTGGGAGAGTAAATCAACATGTTGCTCCATCTTAACCAGAAGCCTAAAACTATGGTGGATTTTATTCACTGATCATATCTAGTTTCAATTTTCCAGGACAAATGAAATTCTGATGTGTTTATCCAACAAAGTATCCTAGATATATCGTCCTATTGTGCTATAGGCACTATGTTGAATATTAAGAGAGACACAAAGTCACTTAAGAAGCAGCTCCTCACATACTCACGGAGTATGTAACCATGATCATATATTCATATATTACCTTTGTTCATAAGCACAGCAGTACTTCCAGAGAGTAGATATTGGTTTGTAAGGAAAAAAAAAAAAAAAGATTTCCAGCCCTGGTGTGTTACCTTATGAGTGGCAAATTCTTCAGCTCCCTGAACTTCAGTTTCTTTAGTTACAAATATTTGAAATACTAGTGCTGTGTTAACTTTACCCTGCCTTTAGAATGCTGTAAAAAATTCAGAAACGAATGCAGAATAGCATAAGAATATATGAAAGTCTCTATTAGAAGTTAAAATTAATAGGGATAGTATCAATCTCTTAGAATTCAAACATGTGTGTTCACAATGTGGCTTTTTCTATTTTGTTTAGTTTTTTTTCATCTCTTCATATCAATTATCTCTTTCTTATTACTTTAGCATACATTTCAAATATCCCACTGAGCTTTGTTCTAAGTTCAAAGTGGTATTCAATCACTTTTTACTAATGTTTCTATGACCTCTTAATGGGATAGTGACAATGAAAATAATGCTATTTAAAATGAAAGATATGTACACTACTATAGGTGTGTAATTGGTGAACCAAGTGACTGGAGGTTGTGAGTCCTACTTAAGTGCATCAAGCAGTTATGTCATGCTGATATATAGAGCTGATTGAATAATAGAAATGGCAGTTTATGAACTAAATATATTTCAGTTGTAATGAATATAATAAGCATGCTATTCCTGATTCAAATAAAAACTAGTTTGCAGAGGTCCTATTAATCTTTTCAGGAGAATGATATGTTACCTTGTAGTGCCATGGAAGCTACTTCCCTCAAAAGAGGAATAAATTTAGGAAATGACAGAGATAAACAAAACATTTCACTCCCTATCATTTGGTGGATAAAAACTGTGACGCCTAATGAGATAAAGTATTTCACCAGGTAGATAGGGGCAGTAGCAACACTGGAACACCAGATTCCTCATACCCAAGTGTATTAGTCTGTTCTCATGCCACTATAAAGAACTACCTGAGCCTGGGTAACTTATAAAGAAAAGAGGTTCAATTGACTCACATTTCCATGGCTTGTACAGGCAGCATATCTGGGGAGGACTCGGGAAACTTACAATCACGAAAGAAGGGCCAAGGGGAAGCAAGTTTGTCTTCACATGGTGGCAGGGGAGGGAGCAAAGGGGGAAGTGCTACACACTTTCAAACAACCAGATCTAAGGAGAACTCTCTCACTATCACAAGAACAGTAAGTGAGAAATTTGTACCCATGATCCAGTCACCTCTCACCAGGTCCCTCTCCCAATGCCGTGGATTACAATTCGACATGAGATTTGGGTGTGGACAGAGAGCCAAACCATATAACCAAGATACTATACTAAGAAACAATGCCAGTTCCCTAAAGACAAGAGATGTGAAGGAGCCAGAGAAGTAGGTGGAATGACAAGAGGAAGGGGCATGAAGGACAAGAGGAAAAGCATGAAGACCAAATGTACTTCCAAGTTTTTGCATGTAACAAGAAGAAAAAAGAAATAAAGGGTTAAGTCAGTTCCAATGGTGGCAGATAGATCAGATTTTTGTTTAAGTGTTTAGATGTCTTTTGGCAGAGACAACTGGTTATGCCACACTTCAGCATACCTATTGCCTACAACCTTGTTCTGCATTTCCCATGAGACCATGAGGCTTTTTATTCAAGATCATTTTGCTCTGAAATTTACCTTTCTCTGAAAAAAAGGGAAAAAAAGTGTTAATTATATGAGATTTGTACAGCAAATGTTGTCATAGCTTTTTTCTCATCATATATAACATATTGTAATTTGAGCTGTTAAATATTTTGTCCAAATATTTTGCCCCAGTATTTTGCCCCAAAACATTGTGATTGGTTCTAACAGATGGACACACAGCAGTAGTCCCAGATTCATTGGCAGAGCATGAATACATGCAAAGTGAAAACCAAGCTTTGCACCAAAAGAAAGCCTTCTGTTACGTTTGCCAGTTCCTGTGCCGATAGATATTTGTGGTAGAATAATTATGTCCTCTATCAGATGGATTTATTTTGCAGGAAGAAAATATTTATTTTATTTCTCGTACATAAGACACCATGCTTTGTGCTGTGGATCTATAATTTAGAAAATTTACACATGGATACCACCTTCAAACAATGTACAGTCTATAGGCAAAATTAAATTTTACCACATGACTACATGAATAGTGGGCTATCCTAAGTATTATAAGAATGATAGAAATATGACACTATAGGCATTCAGAAGAAAAAAATGTCTTGATGGTTTTGGACTGGAGGCATTACCCAGGGATAGAAGGAAATTTGCATGAAGCCTTAAGTGGCCATATTGCAGGAGCAGAAATAGAGGGGAGCTATTTAGCTTGAGCAGTGGTTTTCAGAGTATGATCTCCAGACCAGCAGTGTCAGCACCCCCTGGGAAAGTGCTAGAAAGTTACATTTTTAAGACCCCACTCCATACCTACTAAACCAGGAGCTCTGACCCTGGGGCCCAGCAATATTTGCTTTAAGTTTCCTAGGTGATTCTGATTCACTCTCAAGTTTGAGAAGCACTGAGTTAGAGGCAGCATCTAGAACAAAAGGATAAGATAACAAAGTATGGAATACATACAGGAGGAGGCCCATGTGACTGATTGAAGGATAAGTAAAAAGTGATTAGAGAGACGAAACCGAGGATGTAGTTGGGAAAGCATGAAGAAGCCTTACATTACCATCCTGAGGAGTTTCAATATTATGCTGTGGGATAATGCACATTTGAAGATGTTTTTTTCCTGGAATTGGTTTTGTTTCTGAAGAAAAAAGGATGTTACCATTAGTACATCTGAGAAATAGTAACATAATAATGTTTTATCATAAGAGTTAGAAAAGAGGTAAGATGGTGCTGTGAAGAATTAGGGGATATGTTGTATTCCACCCAAGAAGTAGAAGAGCTTGAATTAGGATGTTGAAAGCAGGGATGGAGAGAAGTGAGTAGATTCAAGTGGTGTTTTATTTGCTTAAGTGGACAGTTACAAGAAGTGTTTCAAAAGCTTTGAAATCAAATCTATTTTGCCTCTAATTGGAAATGAAGTGGGAAGAAGAAGGGAAATGACTTTACTTCTGGAAATTTAGATGTAAATTGTACAATGAAGAGAGACAGGGATGTTATGAAGAGACAGTGAGAGGAAGAATCTGTGATTCCTTTTGAACACACACGATTTTAGGTACTCATGACATTCAAGGCAACATATATCTGGAAACGCAGATTTGTCTTTGAATATAGAGACATTAAACTATACTATCACTTTTTTCTTCATACCATCCCGAAGCTGTTGAAATACTGATCTAGGAATCCTTGGTATCTCAGTGATTAAGCTTGTTTGTTTTAACTGTAAGCTATTGGCCAATGCTGGCATAGACTATTGTTCTGGTATAGATAGTGCTGTGTTCCTAATACCTTGCTCAGTTCTCATTCTGTAGATTTTGCAGACTGTGTTTTAGTGATCCCATTAATGTGGTTGGCATCCCTTTATTTGGCTGAGTGTGCACCTGCAGAAACTGGACAGCAGATCTAGCTTCCTGTTGGCCTTGAATGCCAAGAATTCATGAGCCAAGTGGTGTTGTAGCTTGGACTGTTCAAGGAATATTGCCTTAACTGGTTTACTACTTTTAAGCCACCAATGGTGAAGTGCTTTCTCAACCCACCTGAATAGTCATTTAAATGTATTACACAACAACCATTATGCAAAAAGTTACCTAGTTGTCATTGTATCATATTCTTATTCTAATAAATAATAGGTCAGTCGTTCCACAAAGGCAAAGAGAACTGTTATGCAATAATAAGTTACTTTTGAACTTTAATACTTAAAATTCTTAGCAAATTTATGGTTTCCAAGAGAATTACTCACTGATATGAGTTAGCTATTATTAATAGCAAGTGACTATTATCCTCCTTCTCTAGTTTCTTTTGCTTTCTTATTATAAAAATCTAACACAGATCTAGAAAAATATACAAAACATATGCATAGTTTAATACATTTTCATAGAGCGAATACACTTCACCATTACACAGGTCAGGAAATAAAATTTTGCCACCCAACCCAGAAGCCCCTTTCCATTCTCTTTCCTTTGTAGTTTTATAGAACAAATGAACATCCCCAAACACTGTATTTTATTTTTGCCTCTTTTTCCTTTTGTATATTCTGTCTCTTTTCATCTTTAGTGTATTAATTAGGGTTCTCCAGAGAAACAAAACCAACACAGAGAAATAAAACCAACAGAATAAATGTGTGTATGTTAGTATGTGTAGGAGAGAGAGAGAGAGAAAGAGAGAGAGAGAGATTTTAAGGAATTTGCTCATGTAATTATGGAGACTTGGTAAATCTAAAATCACAGGGTAGGGCTGGCAGGCTGGAGTCCAAGGGAAGAGTTGCAGTTCAAGTCCACAGGCAGCCTGCTGACAGAAGTCCTCCTTGCTTGAGAGTGGTCTATTTTTGTTCTATTAATGTTTTAACTGCTTAAATGAGGCCCACCAATATCAGGGAGGGTAATCTGCTTAGTTAAAGTCTACCAATTTAAATGTTAATCTCATCCAAAAACACCTTTAGAAAAACATCCAGAATGATGTTTGACCCCAAATCTCTGAGACTATGGCCCAGCCAAGTTGACACACAAAATTAGCCATCACATATAGGTTTATCCCTCCCTGCACTCTTTTTCCTTTGCAATTTATTTGTTGAAGAATCTAGATTTTTCACTTGTAGAGTTTCCCATAGGTGTAATTTTGTCAACTGCCTTGTTAGAGTGTAGTTTGACATATTCCTGTGTTTTATGCCTTCCTTCTAAGCTACTAGTTGGATCTAGAGGCACAATCAAATTCAGGTTTTTCTTTTGTTTTGTATTTTGCAAAACAAGTTTATAGTGTCTATCATTTAACAAATCGCTTCCATTATTCAACATAATATCTGCTTGTCTCTTTTTGGGAGGTTATCAGCCATTGATGCTCAAATCCATTGATTCATTAGGAGTTGCACAATGATGATATTCTAAGTCATTCTTTTTTTTTTTTCTTCATTTTTTATTTATAGTATTTCTTAAAGAGAAACTTAGATTCTTCTACTCTTCTGTAACTCAGGGTCTCCATTAGCTTTAAGTAACTTTCTGTCAATTCTACCTGATGTTACAAACCCAATAAATCCTTCCCTTCAAATACTCTTCCTCAAATTCAACTCTGGTCCACACACTCCCCTACCCAAAATATCCCAGTGATTCTCTTTTGTCTCACAAAGGAAGTTTGCATTTTTTTATTGAGCACTCAATGTCTATCAAACCATGTCCTTGTATCTTTCTAGCTTTTGTATTCATCACTCCCACAAAGGTTTCATACATTCCAACCAAACTATGCTGCTCTCCTAAATAGGTCTCAGCTGTCCAAAGCTCAGAGCCTTTGCTCATGTTTTCCCCTCTGTCTTAAAATGCCCTTCCCCACTTTCTCTTCAGCTGAAGTTCTAAAGTCAGTCTATCAAGGTACAACTGAAGTGCCACCAGCTCTACCTAGAATTGCTGATCACATATAATCTCTTTTTTTGGAACTCCCTTAGACTTTCTGTCTTTTTATGGTGATCGTAATATTTTGCCATATACTTGAGTCATTTTTATATTTGTTATTTTTCTTGATGGAATTGATCGTGTAGTTATTTTGTTATTTTAACATTTTATGTTTTCCACTACTCTATTACATAATCTGACATAAGCGGTATTCAACAACTTATACTACTACAGATAAATTCAAATACACATTTATTACTTTTATTGTTTGGTTGAAAACATAAATAAATTTCACTTAATCCTATAGTTATTTTATTATCTTCATCCTTTTCAGATGATTGATTTTCAGAATATAAGCTGTTAACAGAAAGTTTTCTGCTTAGGTCTAGTCCAATTTTGACAAGGGGTAATATTATTCTGCCCTCTTGTGCCCAATAAAAACACAAAGCAAAATTAAGACTGTAGCATTGTATACTGACAAACAACGAGGTTATACGGTAGTTGGTATATGATGTTTTTGTAGTTTTCAATTTGCTTCCATATTTATATGTCATTATAGTTCTTCAGATTCAACTGATGTCCATTGATCAGGTATTTCTTACTATTTCCTACATGTACTAGGAAATACATTGATCAGGTATTTCTTATGGTGTATGTTAATACACTGTGTTAGATACCTTTATATACATTACTTACTGAAGTTTCACAGTAACACTGTGAGGCCGACATTATTGTCATCAAGTAGTTAAGGAGAATGAGTTTCAGAGAGGACAATTAACTCGCAGAAATTTATAACAATACTGAATGCAAAACAAAAAGAGATTCTAATACAGGTCTTTTAGTTGTAACTTATCCCTCTATATAAAAACTGCCCTTTTCCTCTAAATTAACTACAACATTTATATTATCATGTCAAATATCTTCAAGTAACTTATTAGAATGACAAAACATTTACTGTGCTATTTACATGCTTTTGACATTAATAATAAAAGAGCCTGTGGAAAACATCCTTATGGATTACATGGGATAATGCATTGCAATTATGAGTCTTTCCTGTCATCCCTCCTCTTAAATTTTCCTCACCATACTGTTTTGCCTTTCTGTATCCCTGACTTAGCTTCCCATTTCTCTCTTCCCCAGTCTTCCATCACTTTCCTTTCTTTGACTGCTTCCTTTGCACTCCATGTTTCTACTTCCTCTTGTCATTCCACCTACTTCTCTGGCTCCTTCACATCAACTCTTCTTCCATCCATGTACTTAATGGCCCATCCTCCATTGCCTTCCCTTCTCATTCACTCTAGACTTTCTAAGAAGCTCATCCAAACCAAAGCTTTACCTATAACCTACCTGTGAGTGGTTCAGAAATGTATGTCTTCATTGCTCATCTGTTCGATTATATTACAATTTTACTTGGTTAGAATGTTTTGAAAAAATATTTTTATGGTATCAAAATCAACATATTGGAAATTGAATACATTGTCTTTCCAGGTTAAAAGATTTTGAGTTCCTGTACACTCCTTGGTAAATGGAACTACCATATGCAAGAGCCCAAGTCATAAATGTTGAATCATCCTAGATTCTATCTACCTCATAATAATTAACTTCTTTAAAGTTAATTATTAAATCCATGGTTTAAAGCAAGGGCTTTGGAGTCAAATATGTCTTACACGAAATCCTGGCTATACCACTTATCATTAATGTGATTCTAATAAAATTAATTAAATTCTCAAAACTTCAGTGTTGTCTTCTGTATAATATAGATAATAATAGGTTTGGAGAAATGTTTAGAACATAGGTATTTGGTTTTTATTATTTATCTTTATTAATTTTAATCTTTAGTATGAATATTAGGTATTCTAGACCAGAGACAGATTATTTATTACTTATATAATAACTAAATTGGCCCCTCTTGTTCCAGTCCTTACCCCTGGAGCAACATAATAAAAGCCAGATAAAATATTATCTTACACAAGTGGCCAAATACTTCATAAGTGAGAGAAAGACAAAGAAAAATAGATTTTTTTGTTTTTGGCCATTTATATACAAGAGAAAGCCAGCTGCACCCTTTTAATCCTCAAAGAAGGGAGAAAAACCTTTGCTCCTTGGAGACGAAATGGAAAGGCTCATGGGTTTACGATAACCCAGGATCCTTCCCAGTAGTTGAATCTCTCCACAAACTTCAAATTTCTGGCTTTTATGACCTAGGGATATCTTTATCTTCAATTCAATTTGGTATTTATATACCATCTTACTCGCTCAGATTTGGATGCAACAGGTAACCACTGTCAGGTATTTTCTACTGTACCACATTTTGGGTTTTATTTACCATTGAAATGTAAATAGGGAGATAGAGCTCCCATCTCCCTGGCTCCCAGGGAGCTTAACCTAGATGCCTAGTCCAGGCTGTAAACATTTGGTTCCCTCAGGGTGATGAGGTTTATTATCCTTTGGAACAGAGCAGTTAACTTGACAAATGGCTATAGATCTAATCCTTATAGTATGGGAAAAGGAAAAAGTTTTGAGGGGAAATGAAGGCAAATTTCTCCATCCTTATATCATACAGATTTCCATGTCCCAGAAAGCTGGCCCTTTTTACAGGAGCACTAAGAAATTCAAAGAAGATTTATTTTCCTGTGTTCTAATTTTCTGTGGCTGCTGTAACAATCTGCCACAAACTGGTGGCCTAAAGCAAATGACATTTAATCTCTTATGGTTCTGGAGGCCAGAAACCTAAAATCAGAATCACTGGGCTGAAATTAAAGTGTTGGCAGGGACCTACTCTCTTCTAGAAGCCCTGGGGGAGAACCCATTTCTTGCTTCTTCCAGCTTCCAGTGGCTGCCAACATTCCTTGGCTGGTGGCCTCATTAATCTGATCTTTGCCTCTATCTTCACATCACATCCTCTTTACCTCTATTTGTGTGTAAACTCTCTGTTTGCCTTCCTATAATGAGAATACTTGTGTATTTAAAGCCCACCTAGATAATGCAGGATCATTTCTCCATGTCAAGATCATTCAGGTAATCACATTTGCAAAGACCCCTTTGATTCCCCGTATATAGTAACATTTATGGGTTCCAGGAATTAGAACACATATATCCCTGGGGGAGGCAGAGGTATTTTTTAGCTTATTATATCCTACAGTCAAAATAATAATAATAAATATTAATTATCATTATAAATAATAAATAATATTTATATTATTGTTGAGGTTGTGTTTAGGTCCCACCCTATACCTACTGAACCAGGAGCTCTGAGGCTGGGACTCAGCAATCTGTGCTTTAATTTCCGTAGGTGATTCCG
Organism: Homo sapiens; assembly: GCF_000001405.40. NCBI lineage: Eukaryota > Metazoa > Chordata > Mammalia > Primates > Hominidae > Homo > Homo sapiens. Next base: position 211,472,790 of record NC_000002.12, on the reverse strand, counting down.
ATTCACACTCAAGTTTGAGAAGCACTGAGTTAGAGGCAGCATCTAGAACAAAGGAACAAGATAACAAAACATGGAGTACATACAGGAGGAGGTCCATGTGACTGATTGAAGAATAAGTAAAAGGTGATTAGAGAGACAAAACCAAGGATGTAGTTGGGAAAGCATGAAGAAGCCTTAAATTACCGTCGTGAGGAGTTTTAATATTATGCTGTGGGATAATGCACATTTGAAGGTGTTTTTTCTTGGAATTGTTTTTTTTTCTGAAGGAGAAGGATCTTATCATTAGTACATCTGAGAAATATTAATATAATAGCGTTTTATAAGAAGAGTTAGAATAAAGGTAAGATGGTACCAAATTTGAGTGTCTCTTCCTAACATCCCTGTCTCTCTTCATGACACAATCTATGTAGAGACAGGGATGTTAATCACTAATTTGACTTTTATCATATCAATATTATTAAATATTATATTTAATATAATAAGATTTATAATAAATATTATTTATTATTGTCATGGTTGTGGCCATATCATGACACTTGTCATTATCACTAAAATATCTTTATAACCAGTATTTTCCTTCCCTCTTAACATTCCTTAGTTTAGAACAGAACCACGTCTTGCCTGTAATGCTGCAACAACCTTCACACTTGTCTGTCTACCTCTAGCCTGAAATTTTTCCAATTGGATAACCAAATTGCTTAATCTTTTAAAATCTACATTTGGTCAGAAATCTTTTGTCAACTTAAAAGTTTGCAATGGCTCTCCACAGCATGAAGCCTACTGCTCCAGAATTATCTTTTTTCCCCCTTTTTTAAGAGACAGGGTCTCACTCTGTTGCTCAGGCTGGTCTTCAATTCCTGGCCTCAAGCGATCCTCTTGCTTCGTCCTCTTGAGTCATTGGGGTTACAGGCATGAGCCACTGCCAGAATTATCTTTTGTTACTTCAGTCTTCCTGTTCCACTCATTAATGTGCCATTCTTTCAGACTGCTCATTATTTTTATCTGCTGTCCCTCTGATTGAGATACCTGTCCTACCAAACTTTGTCACTTTTTTAACTCCTACTTCTCCATGGAGACTGGGTTCAACCACCTTCTCATTTTGGAAGCTTTTCGTAAAACATTCTCAGCTGGGTTCCCTGCCTGTGTGCTTTTTCTGGCATTAGCCACACTTGACATCAAATCCCAGTTCCACCTCTTAACTGTGAGATTGTGCAGTTGGATATTGATACAATATCTATATTTTTCAGAAGTGGGAAATGAAACAGGTCACTCACAAGTTTTTTTTTGGCGCTGCTTTATCAGCACATATATTGAATGTAAATAGTATTAAAGTACTGACTTTTCACTTTTATGTCTATTTAAAATTCCCTTACTTATTAATTCAGATTTAGTTTCCTGTTGATGAGAAGCAATACACTGCACAATTTAGGGTCTGAAACAACCATTTAAATTTGCTCAGATTTTGTGTGTTAGAAATTTAAGAAAGGCTTGGCTCATGGTTTCTCTGATCCAGGTGATATCATCTGAGGCTGGAGGTTCTACTTTCAATGTAGCTTCTTCACCTGTGACTGGTGCCTCCATGCTCTTTGATTCTTCTCCCTCTCAGCCTCATTGTCTCATCTCTCCCTCTCTCTCTGTCTTTTTGTCTCTCTTCATATGGTAGTCTTATCCTCCCGGGCCTCCTTAAGTGGCTTGGGATTCTCATGTTATAATGGTCTTCGGTAGCCATACTACTTTCATGACACCTGGCTCCCAAAGCCTGGAAGTTGAAGCTGCCAGTGCAGTTAAGGGATATAACCCAAAATGGCACAGTCTCATCATAGCCTGTTTGTCCAAATGGTTGAAGGGCACACTCAGATTTAAGGAGATGGAGAAATAGATGCTGCTCTACCTCCGGATGCAGCAGCAGCAAATAATTTACATGCCAAAGGGCATGTGGCATGAATGATAGTTGCTGCAGACATACTTGGAAATTACAGTTGGGCAAGGTGTTTTTAGAATCTCGTTGCTTAAAATGAGATGTGTAGAAATACAGATTGGGGCTTAACCCAGACCTGCTAAGTTAGAATCTGCATTGTAACAAGATCCACTGGTGAGTTAGTCACATGTACCTTAAAGTTTGAGAAGTACAGTTTTAGTTTTACGGGATTTCCAAAGTTGTCTTAAAGTATCTCTCTAAAATCCACTGATGTTCATTTTACTGATTAGAAAACTGAGGTATCAAAACAATTAAATTTAAAAAATTAAATAAATAGATGAAAGTAAAAAAAATGCTACCTATTGCTGATTTCAGTTTTTTTCTACATTCAGCCAAATTGTGAGACTGGTTATTTTCTTCCTTGACATGATATCTGCTTTAATATTTATGTGAAAACAACTGTTCTGTAATATGTTCCAATTTTACACCTTAAGTTCTAATTATGTAGGAAGTCAGAGAGCCAAAGAGGAGTCAGTCTGGGCACAGCCAAGTTCCCAGGGTGCTAGTGCCACTAACATTGTCCTTTTCTTTTTAAGAATGTAGCCATATTCTTAAAAATGGCAATGTTGATTAATAACTCAATTATCAATTCTGTTCCTACTACCATTGTACCATTAATATTAGTGTGGGACGTACTTCTTTCCATTTAAATATGAACTTTTTGATTGCTGCAGCCAACCACAAGGAGTGAAGCCCTTTTTTTTTAAGCGAGAAATCACTAAGTGCCTTTAGGAGGGATTAATTGTTAATTATAAGTCTTTTATATTTTAAATAAAAGGAAAGAACCTACTTGTACCTTGTTCCTCATGTTTTCAAGTATATGATTATAACCGGAATACCCCAATTCCTCAGGTATCTCTCTTAATATAATTATATGATTTAACACTTGAATCTCCCCCCCCAAGCCCACTTAAACACACTTAAGGTTGACTGTTGCCCACTGGGAGGCTTTGAGCAACCTCTTTGTTCTGCTAAATCTTTTCCTATTCTTAAAAAGAAAGGAATAGATATGCAATTATACTCCTTCTGCAGAATGCAAAGTTATGTACCTGAGTTATACTTGCACGACAAAGATTTTATATGACTAAGATGCGATTTAGTTATGACAAGGATTTCAGTTAACACCTAGTTTGTCAATGCAAATTTTATAACTAAAAGACTATGTCTATTCCTTGTATAATTTAAAAAGACTTCAGTTCTTAACCACTCTTATGTACAGGGCCAAAATTCTTCTGTCATTATAAGATCTTCCTCTAGCTTTAAGATTAACAAACCTAGGAGGATACATATATATTTAATGGACTAGCTTTTTGTTTGCATTGAAATGCTTGTGGGAAATGGTTTTAGCTGTCTTGGAATAAACATGCATATCTCATGTACACATGAAGATTTGTTTACATTTTCACTTCCCCCACCAGACTATGAAAACTTTCCTGCTGGAAAGTGTGTCTTATTTACCACTGCATCCCAAATACTTTGCACAGCACAAAGCACATGGCAAATTTTTGATAAATTTCAAATAAATGGATAAATGAATGAATATATTTACACAGTGCCTATATGGCCTCTGAGCTAACTGTAATCTACTTCAGTCTTTTCGTGTTGCCCCTGCTGTTGCAGAAAAGGAGGACCATGGACAGGAAGGTGAAGCATGACAGGCAAGCAGCTGCTGCTTGATTCTTTGTCTGAAGGGGCTTACGAGCAGAGTTTCCCTTCCAGCTCTGTTTGGTCTCATTACATGCGGGATCAGGTCTCTGCCATTCCAGACTTCTGCACGCAGCCTCAGCTCAGGCCCTCCAGAGGGCTGTCAGCTTTCTCATCTCTACCAGACAACTTGACAATGCTGTACATGAAACACAGGACTCTCTGCCTTTAAGGGTTTTTTTTTTTTTTTTGAAGCAGAAGAAAATATACATATATATTTTGTAAAAGAGTATGCAGGGTTTTTGTTGCCATCCTTGTTGTGTTGTTGTTATTCTTCTGCAGGATCCACATTACACAGGGGCAGATATTTCCTGAGGCTAATGATGAAAGCACCATGATAGTATTCTTCTGTTATTTTATTTGTTGGAGGTGTAAAGTAGTAATCCCATTTTAACTTTTTCCTGTTTATACATCTGTCCTCTTAAACATCAAACACGGTGGCTTTCTTTCATTAGCCTCATTTGCTCAAAGTCCTTAGACTAAAGACCTCTTCTGAGTTGGTGTATGTAGACTTGGGGGGCGTTTCTCCCACCTTCTTATTTCACAAGAACTACATTTTTCCAGGCAAATAGACCCCTCTGTATCTATAACGTCCAGATTTTTATATAGGTTTCCTATAAGCACGGTGCTGTTCTCTATCAAACAGCCCTCATCCTTTGAACATGCTCTTATCTGTGTGTCACACGTGACAGTCAAAACCCCTGGATGGGTTGGCATAGTCATCATCCTTGCTGTGCTATTTCCCTTTCATAAAGGCACACATTTGATCTTATCTTCTCTTAACACAACATTCAGTGGCAGTGTTGTATTTTCCTTCTCTTTCTCTCTGTTAAATATTCTGGTTTGTGGAGGTTCACAGACATGTGTTAGCATATCCTTGCCTGCATGTAGTTGTTCATTACTAGACCTTTGCTCTCTTTATTTTCTTTTCTGACTCTTCCTTTTTTCTCTTTAGTATCTCCAAAATGGTTTACATGAATACTAAAGGTGACCGTTGTAGAGTGGATGTCCAAAAATCTACTTGCATCTAATTACATGTCTTTTTCTTTTTATATAATCCATCCACTTCCAGCCACATTATTTATCTCCATCTCCTTTTCTGGCCCTGTCAACAGCCACTTTAAATTTGGGTGTAGAAGTATCCTTAGATTGCTCCTTTACTTTCTCCAAAAGGAAATAACAAGATTTTCCATTTAAGGTAAAAGTCAGATTGGCCCAATTTCCCTGCATATTTTGGGAATCACATACTTACTGAATGCTGATCTAGGGTTTAAGTCACATGTTTTATCTAGATCACCCTTTGGTGGGTTGGAGGAGAAGGAGACATGGATTTACAGTTTCCACAAGGAATTTAGCTTCTTTCCTCCCATATGGCCTAGCCTTACTCTGCTGTTGTTTGTCACTTAAACTAAGAAAATATGTAGCATGCTAATGAATTTCTTTCCTTAATGGTCTTCCACTTCTATGGCCTCCAAATACTCTATATTAGATATGAAATTCAGCCAGATTAGAATGCTTTCTTTTTGGTTTATACTTTCCAGGGAAGATATTTACACAGGATTATTTCCAAGGAGAAGGTCCACTGCATGGACAGGTGGAAGCACTGTGAACGTAGACAAGCAGGCACAGCTTACAGTACAAAACAAAAATACATTAGTGCTGCCTAAAAACAACACACCTAATATTGATCCTGTACATTACATTGTGCTTTTACAGATCACATTTATAAACATCATCTGACTAAAGGTTGCAACAACCCAGAGAGATAGACCAGATACCAGTGCTCCTATTTGTTAGATAAAGAAACTGATGGGTGGTTGAGTCAGAATGTAGTGAGAACAAGAAACCAGTTCTCTTGCTTTCCGATTAACGCTCATTCTGCTTTAGAGTATTTTTAGTTTTCCCAGAATTGTTGGCACTTGCTCTGGAAAAGGTACGTTACTATCAATGAAACCTACAAACTCCTATTCAACCCACTGCATAACACAAAGTAAAATTTCTGGGGTTCTGTCACTCTAAAGAAAAGATTTTTAGAATAATTACTAACATGGACATTGGAGGTCAGTCTGTGGCATATCCGAAGATCTCAGTAATATATATAATATAATGCATTACACCTTTAAAATCTATATTTTTAATTCAGCAAAAATTTGCTTTACAATATTGCCACTTACCACGTATTTCATAAAGGAAAGCATGTAATCAAATACTGGAGAGAGAAAAGAGAGAGAGAGAGGAAAACTGATATATTACCATTTATAAGGTGGGAATTTTTTCTCTGCAGCATAATACTTATATTGGAGCATTACCATTTGGAAGCCCACATAGATTTCAGATAATAAGAATATCCTCATTTGATGGCTTTGTGTGGGATGAATTTCTTTTTAAAAAAGGTCTGTAAACCATAGCACTTTTCTGACACTTTTTTCTTCTACTCACTGAATTCATTGCAGTTACTGAGAAATTAATAATAACTAGTCAGTCACAGGTGTGTGGTGTTTATTTCTGCCACCCACAGAGTGTTTCAGGCATACTGAACTCAGTTGTTGATAAATTTGCAATGTTGTTGGAGATCAGTTCTGACACATGTAAGTCAGTACCAAAGAATCTAGCTTGGCATCCTGTCCTGGATTCAACAAAAATTTACTCTTTGGAGTCTTGAATTCTTTGACAATAACAAGGATGTTAACTACAAATTTGGAAAAGATAACTCATTCATATTTCATGGCATCATTGAATGTGTTCCTTTTTTTTTTTTTAAAAAAAAAAAAAAAAACTACACAAAAAGATGAAAGCATGTTACTTACTGGTAGTAGGAAGACACCTTTTACCTTACATTGAAAAGCTTCCCAACCATTTTGCTTAGAAAGTGAAGGCTATTACGCTAAACAACAATGCCGGCCTGGAGGACACAAAGACTTCATAAAGCGTTTGCAATATCTCTTTTAAAAATGTCAGAGCTCTTTCCGAGTTGAGAACATTTCTCTCAGAATGGTAACAAAGTGCCCTGGTGACTGCTTGTACATTCACAAGGACTTCACTACTTTGCTTCCTACCCTTTTGCCAAATGTATGACAAAATGCTTCCAAACAAGACCTTAATAACACAAAGGAGGAATGACAGCAAAAAGGGTCTGACCTTTGTTTATTCCGAACTTAGCTTCAGCACCGATTAAGACCCATGCTGAATTTTTAGCAGTGTGACTTATTCATCAAAGTGCAAATCCCCACTGGTAAATCTGGAAGTTGCCAGGGGATTTGCTCCCATTTGGAAGTCCTAATCATGAACAATAGACTCCTGCCCAGAGGTAACTACTGTAAGTTACAGAATAAGAATTCAGAATTTTCTCGTAGTGGGTTGGCTACTCTCGACCGGCAAGTCTTAGAAAAGCAGATAGGAGGTTTCTTTGTCCTGTATTTTGTTGTCATTTGTTCAAGATAGATTTTGATTATACAGTGACTTATACAAAATGACTCTATTTGAGGCCCTTTTTTTCATAGGCATAAGCAGTATCTTATGTACTAACTGTCATTTAGGCTTCAAAAGTAAGTGAAGTAGGTGAACATCTGATTTTACTTTAAAGGTCTTCCTCCTTCCCCTATTATCTTCTCTCTTTCATACAATGTTCAGAATTCCTGCTGTTAAAGTATTTTTTTAAAGCTATGATGTCATTTTTAAAAACCCAGGGATTTCAATTTTCTGTTGCCGCATTAAAATTCATCCCAAAACTTAGGTCTTAAAACAGTAATTTATTATTTGTCTTGATTCTGTGATTGACTGGACTCAGCTGGGAGGTGCTTCTGTTCCACGTGGTGTCTGATCTTCCTCATGCATTCAGCTGAGGTCAAAATATTCAAGATAGCCTCTCACCTACCTGCGAATCCTCCACGTGGTTTTTCCTTGGTGGGTAGTCTAGCTCAAGCCTATTTAAAGCACGGAACTGGCTTTCAAGAATGTAAGCTCGCTGGGTGTGGTGGCTCATGCCTGTAATCCCAGCACTTTGGGAGGCTGAGGCAGGAGGATCACTAAAGTACAGAAGTTCAAGGTTGCAGTAAGCTATCATCATGTCACAGCACTCCAGCAGCCTGGGTAGCAGAGGAAGACCTTGCCTCAAAAAAAAAAAAAAGAAAAAAAAAAGAAAAACAAGGTAAGCTCCAGTGGGCCTCTTATTATCCTGTATGCCTCTCATTAAGCCTCTGCTTGTATTGTGCTTGTTAATATGCAATCAGTCAAAGCAAGTCTCCTGGCTAAGTTCTAACATCACTGTGGGACTTCATGGATATAGTGAGGTATGGTCCATTAGAAGCCACCACTGTAACAGCCTGTTGTATCAAGTTAAAATGTTAAATGTGAAGGATGATGAGTATAAACTTGCTCATATTTATTTAGTAGTGTATAATATAAAAAAAGCTTTTCTCAAGTTAATTCTGAAGATTCTATAGGGTGGGAGAAGCTTTTACTATTATTACCTTTTTATAGTTGTAGAACATGCATTAGTGAGATTAGTGACGTACTTTTTAAATTGAATCCTCAAATGATTTGACCACGACCACACAAGATAATAAATGACAGAGCTGTCACTTAAATACAGATTTTCTGATGTTAAGGATGGTTTTGGTGCATTAGCCAGAATATATTTAGCCTTCAATTTTGTTTAGGTACTGCTGAAATTGATGAAATTGAAGAACTTCAGTCATACCTGTAATTATATTTTTCTGACAAAAGGGCTGATGTGGAAAATACCCCAACTGTTTGGAAGGCCACAGTATTGCATAACTCTACGCAGTGCCTCATCATTAATTCATATGCCCAATAAATATTTGGCGAGTGCCTATTATGTATGTTCTAGGCACTGTCTTGGGTGCTGGGCTTATAGAAGTGAACAAAACAGACAAAAACCAAATTCTGCTATTGTTGAGCTTATCTTCTATTAGAGAAATCACAAAATAACAAGATAAATGCCCAGGTGGAAATTAAATCAAAGAAAGGGAGAAGAAATACAGAGTGGTTGCAACTTTAGATTAGGTGGGCAGGGTAGTTTTCATGGAGAAAGTGACATGTGAGATAAGACTTAAAGGAAAAAAGCAAGACTGACATGCAGATATTTGGGGAAACAACACTATAAACAGAAGGAAGAACAAATGCAAAATCTCTGGGGTTGAAGCAGTCTTGATAATGTTTGAGGCACAGTAAGGAGGCCTGTGTGGCTACAGCAACGTGAGTGATGGGGAGGGAGATGAGATTAGAGAGGTAATGGGGACTAGATCATTTAGGGTCCTGAATGTCATTGAAAAGACTTAGACTTTTGTTTTGAATGAAGCAATGTCTGGAAACCACCATTTGATAGAGCGACCATCCAACCTACTCTTCAACTTCCTGGAAAGGCCTGCTGTAGGAGGGGAGGAGGATACTTGTTTTAAAATGCTGAATTTTACCCAGATCTGAGAGTGAGAATCTTTGGAAGTGGGATTATGTAATCTGCATTTTAAATTGCTCCCAGCTGCTTCCTATGTCCACTAAACTTTGTGAAGTACCGCCTGACCTATTAGCACATTTCAGCTTCCAAAGAGCAGATAATCAGCCCCAATTTTACCATCTGGGTAATGCTAAATGAGGCCCACTTCCAGTTAGGTTAATGAAGCTACAGCAGACTGCATGCTTCTGCAAACCAACGCTGATCTAGCACCTTCAAAATTCCCCATAGGAACCCAGGAAGAAGTAGTATTAGTAAAATCACTGAGGTGTGAGTGTGCAATCCACATAGCAATATTAAATTAGCCTTCTTAATCAAGTGAGTAGCTTTGCAATTTGTACATGAACAAACCCTGCTGGAATTTGAGCCAGGAATCCTTGAAACTAAAAACTATAGCTCCGCTTTTTGTAATTGAAGGAGAATCACTGATTACAGAGATTACACTAGATTCCTAACTTCTTTTTCAGTCACAGAATTATTATTAAGCAAGGGCATCACAGCATGTAACTAAAGAGCATCTTCCACCTGAGTTTCTAAGTCCCTAGGAATTTCTTTTTTCTGGGATAATTTTAGGGTGGGTAAATTATTTCTAATTTACTCATTCTAACTATGGACTACAATACAGCAGTGGAATATTTGTGGTGAGTTTATTCCTAAAGAGCAACAAACTGCTTTCTATCAGATTTATTTTTGTTGTGGTCTTAGATGTGTTACTTTTTCTTGTTGAGTGAAAAAGAGAAACTATAAAGTATAGCTTGAGGTTGGATTGAAGAGAAACAAAAACATTGATTTTGAACTCTAGTATAATTTCAGATTCAATATGAACTATTTAAATATAGGCTAAAATAAAACATGTAGAGAGCTGACAATATTTTTTTCACTTAAATAGTTTGTTGCAAAATACTGACTTTTAGAAAATGGAATTGCAATTAGCATTTGGGAATGGTAATTTTTCTAGGAATCCTAAGAAGTGTAACAGCCCATTATAAAGTAAGAACTGGAACAAGCTCGCTTAAACAATGAACAGTCTCTTTTGAGTCTTGGGGTACAAATCATTTCCTTAAAAAACCCTTTTCTTCCTTCACCTTCTGGACCACATGAAACTTGTCTTTCTGCGAGTTGCTATTTGGTCAAATTTCTGATTCATTGTCACAGGTAACTCTCGCTCACTTATTGAAACTGGCCTTGAGACTATTTATACTTTCACTTGTATTTCCATTAGAAAGTTAAAAAATAACATACAATCACTCCGATATGGTTTGGATCTCTGTCCCAGCCCAGATCTTATGTCGAATTGTAATCCCCAATGTTGGAAGTGGGGCCTGGTGGGAAGTGATTGGATCATGGGGGCAGGTATCCCTCAGTGCTGCTCATGATAGTGTGTGAGTTATGAGATCTGATTGTTTAAAAGTGTGTAGCACCCCTGCCCCTCTTTCTCCTGCTCTGGCCATGTAAAGTGCCAGCTCCCACTTTGCCTTCCGCCATAATTGTAAGTTTTCTGAGATCTCCCCGAGAAGCCAAGCAGATGCCAGCATCATGCTTCCTGTAGAGCCTGCAAAACCATGAGTCAATTAAACCTCTTTTCTTTATATTGAGTCAGTGCAATAGTAATCACAGTTTTGCCATTTTATTGCCATTACCGGAGCATTTTAATTGCCATAAAATGGCAAAACCAGAGTTGCTTTTGCACCGACGTAATTATCCAGTCAGAGTTTTTTTTTGTTGTTGTTTTATTGTTTTTTTTTTTAAATAGCAGTGTAGGAACTAATACACACTGTTAAAATGGTTGGCCCAGAGTACTTTAGAAAGAGGTTACCATTTTGCTTTTCCTTATCTTCAAGACTCTCCATTTAATTAATCTTTTTGTTTTTAATAAACTCTTCTAGATAACCTCTGCTCAGTTGTTTTCTCAATGGTTCAGCATGCCGGCCTACATTTCGTAGTGTGTATCTCTCTCTCCTTCTGTGGATGCATATGCTTAGTGTCTATGTTTCTTTCTTGTGGCCCCTCTTTCCCCTGCCTAACCATAAACACAATATATGTGTCTTTATCCTCAATTTACAGTAGTTAGAAAAAATATTTTCTTAGAGGCCAGATATTGAGAAGATGAGATAGTATGCAAAAGGAACAACCCTTCTGCATACTACAAAAAAGGAAGAGGAAACTACCACCACAGATCCTCTGACATCCCTTGTTTTCCCCAGATCTCTACTTCTTAGAAAGGAAACAGAACAAACAAAAAACACTTTGCAGTCCATTTTTATTTTTCTTCCATATTATTTTCTTCTACCTTGAAATCAGCTCCGATTTCTTTCATCTCATTAGTATTGATAATAATATAAATATCTACTAGTAAAAGCAAACATTTCTCCTTATTTTTTGGCATTTTTAAAGAACCAAGTGAGTCATTTGTTTTATCTTACAATAATTTAAAAAATATACAGTAATGAAGTTTTCATCTCTTCCAATGACACAGATGAATTTTCATTTACTTTTTAAGCTAACTTTGAATAAAGATGATTTAATCAAAAGCAGGGATTTTTTTTTTTTCCCCCAATCTCTAGGAGTTACAAAAGGAGAAAAATGAGTGCTAGCTGTCTAATATAAACTGTAATACCAGGTTGAAGCATTGCTGTACTTCATTTTTCAGTTCCTAAAATGAAAGAAATAACAAAGGAAATACCAAAGAGAAGAGCAATATACCTGGCTAAGGAAGACAGTACAAAGCTACAGTAACATAAATTAAGAAACAATGTTACCTTTGGTTTTTAAAAGTTTTACCTTCTCCAAGTTCAGACCAGACTAGACAAGATCTGTTCTAGCTATAAAATCTTATTTTAAACATTTGAAAGGATTTAATAAACATTGATTTTTTTTTAATGCAGGAAAATGTTTTTAAAACAGCAGAAATATTTTACTGAATTGTATCAATTACATAGGAAGCCACCCTGGCTGTATTCTTCAACATGGCAAGTTGAAATACACAAAAACTGTCTGTAATACAAAACACAAGCTCGTGATTAGAATTTGTTTTGTCAATTTCTTCCAGGATGATGTTTCTACTGGCAAATTATGTTGATTTGGAAACTGCATTAACCTGGTTTTAAAACAGTGATTATGTTTCAACTTCCACCATCTACCCCCAGTTGTTCAACTTTGAATTAATTATGGTTATTAACCCACTCTAAGAAATTAATGCTCTAGTAATGCAGAGGCTGGTTAAGGTTCAACAAAAAATGTATTCATTTATCCAGGAAATATTTACTGACCTCTTACATGCAAGGCTTCATGTGTAATACTGAAGTTTTACAAAGATAAATCTGTTCGCACTTTCAAGGTGATTACAGTTCAGTAGAAATTAGAAGATCATTTTCAATCATAAAAAAAAGCATTTGACTTAAAAGACATACAGACGAAGAAGGCAGTGAGATATATAATATTCATTTTTACTGGTAATAATAATTTTAAATTTTGCAAAGTAATTATTTATAGTAATAATGTTGACTTTTTAAAGCATTCCTGAAAGTCTGACCTGGAATTGGGTAAGGAGGTCATGAAAAAGGTGGTTATTATGGAGATTTCAGAAACTAAAGGACTTCTGAATAAAGGGAAAATGTTAATATTATCTGATTTTTAGCCTCTCACTATGGCCCTAATTAAATTTTTTATTTTCTTTGCTACTCTCCTCTAAGCTTAATTACTTGATGTTGACTAACCATATACCAAGAGTGCACGATGTGTGTATATATTTATTATTCTCATTATGATTCAAACCAATGTTCATTTTATAGATATAAACAACGAGATAAACTAAATGTTATGACTTCTTTCCCTCCTGTATTAGTCCATTTTCATGCTCCTGATAAAGTTACCCAAGGCTGGGTAATTTATAAAGAAAAAGAGGTTTAATGGATTCACAGTTTCACATGGCTGGGGAGGCCTCATATCATGCAGAAGGCAAAAGGCACATCTTACATGGCAGCAGGCAAAGAGAGAATGAGAGCCAAGTGAAAGCTGAAACCCCTTGTAAAACCATCAGACCTCGTGAGATTTATTCACTACCATGTGAGCAATATGGGGGAAACCTCCCCCATGGTTCAGTTATCTTCCACCAGGTCCTTCCCACAAGACATGGGAATTATGGGAGCTACAATTCAAGATGACATTTGGGTGAGGACACAGCTAAACCGTATCACCTCCCTAGGGACAAATGTGCCTGGATTATTTCACTTTTGGTTTTGATCCATTTTCTGAGAAGGAGAGTTGTGGGATTACCACTTTTGATAGAAAAAATATGAAAGAAACATGAGGCGTTCAAATAGAGAAAGTGTCCCCATAGAAGTAGTTGGTTGACCACATTGCATTTTTCTAGTTGTTGGTCCTAAATCTTTTTTTGGAACAAGATTGATTATAAATTACATAAATAATCTCATTTCAACATTTTCTGAACACTGACATATGCTGACTTAGCATATGCATGCTATATAATCAGTCAATTATTTGAGGTGATGTGAAACTTCAAACACAGAAAAGTATTGTATTGGGGAGATATTATGATTTAGGTTTTTCTCTATAGTTTTTGCTTTTATGAGACAAGCTTATGATAAGTGAAATAAAATTCTGAATTAAATCCATAAAATTATAATTTTAATCATTTTATAATATGTTGGGAAAACAAAAAGAGGAAGCTTTCTATTTCAGAGCATTTGGTTGAATCAATACCATTTTTTTACACCTTTCTTAAAGAGCTGCAGAAAACTATGACTTTGCTCATTTCAGTGTTTGCAGGAGATTCAGGAAGTATTGGTGATGGCTGAAGGATTTCATTGTGTATTTGATGTGGATTTTCTATTTGTGTTAGTAGTGTGTGTTTTAGCCTGGATTCCCCTGAAAGCAAAGCTTGAGGCAAAAGCACCTGTGTTATTTCCTTTTTAATGGAGTACGATATCAAGAAAACAGAAGTCAGGGAAAGCTTTGCTCATCTCTTGGGACAATTTTTTTGTCATCTGAATAATTGCATCTCAGAAAAGGTTTTTTGAAGGGAGAAAGGTATAAGAGTTTATTTAGTGTTGGCCAGGCGTGGTGGATCGCGCCTGTAATCCCAGCACTTTGGGAGGCTGAGGTGGGTGGATCACAAGGTCAGGAGATCGAGACCATCTCGGCCAACATGGTGAAAACCCATCTCTACTAAAATACAAAAAATTAGCCGTGCGTGATGGCACGTGCCTGTAATCCCAGCTACTTGGGAGGCTGAGGCAGGGGGATCACTTGAACCCGGGAGGCGGAGGTTGCAGTGAGCTGAGATCACACCACTGCACTCCAGCCTGGTGACAGAGCAAGACATTGTCTCAAAAAAAAAAAAAAATTATTCATTGTCTTGTCTCTCATTGGTCAAAGGCTCATTGTACAGTAGGCTAGCTCCCCTCTCTTCCAGGTTGCATGTGCATGGTTGCTGGGCAAGTGTTGTGACCTCAGTGTCAACAGGGAATCCCCAGAGCAGGAGGTAAGAATGAAAGATATATAGAGTGATATATCTATGGATATATCACTATAGTGGAGGAATTTAGTTTATAAAGCACAAATATATCTATTGCACTGATTGGAGCCCACAAGACCTGGTCAGTGCAAGTGGTTGCCAAAATCAAAAAGTAGCAAAGCCCCAAGAAACAGGTGAGACAAAAGGATCTGAAGTAGCACATGAATGGTATGCAATTTTGTGAGTTAACGTGATACCCACAGTGGACCAGCGGTTCCTCTAACCTGTGGTTTGGTCTCTAGCAGTTGCATGAAAGGCTGTGGTAATAGTTGAAATAGTCTCAATAGAAGAAAGTTAGGATAAAAATCCAAATCATAACAATCCCATCATCCTTGAATGTATCTAACTCTTGCAATGCCTTTATAGTTGAGGATTACAAGCAGGAAGAATCCACATCACTTTCCTTGTCAGTTTATCCTTAACCTTGTGGGTTAGGCATGCATGATGTAAGAGTTCTTCCTCCACGACCCTCATCTCCCTGTGCAAAATTCAAGTGCAGTTGTTGACTCAAGTGAAGGCCTCAGCCCTACCAGCTCATATTCAAGGCTCAGCTCTAACCTTGAGTGTTCGATGTTTACATATTGCTACCTCTCTAGGATAAGTGGCAGTTGGAGCTTTTGTGCTATTCCTCAATGAGAGTCTTGGAATGATAATAAACATGATTGCTTCTTTCTGCCTGTCACTACAATGACTAACACATATGATACTTCATCAAATGTACAATGCAAGATAGATGAGTAGAGGAATTTAGTTTATAGAGCATAAATATATCTATTACACTGAAGGGGAAACTAACATCTATAAAGAAGTAATTATTTTTAAATAGATAATTTCAAACCATTTAATCTAGGAATACTGTACAGGCTTAATGTAACCATAATGTATTGGCCGTGCATCACAAGAACTGATTACTCCTGTGGGTTCTTTTCACATGGTATAGTGTGAAGAGGTGATGATTTAGAGCGAGTCCATCTTAATTAAGAATCTTAAACTCTTAAGTCTCAGGTTGCTCAGTATTAAATATTTCTAACTGAATAGTTGTTAAAAAGATTAAATGGGATAATTTGTATATTTATAAGTGCTTCATAAATAACAAAGTATCATATATAAATTGTCACTTTTATGAGTTTATGTCAATGTTTCACATATAGACTAAAGCAGGGGTCCCCAACCCCAGGACCACAGAGCCATACAGGCCGCAGAGCAGAAGGTGAAGGGGGCTGCAAGTGAGCATTACTGCCTGCGCTCCACCTCCTGTCAGATCAGCAGCAGCATTAGATTCTCATAGGAGTGGGATCCCTATTGTGAACTGTGCATGCGAGGGATCTAAGTTGTGCACTGCTTGTGAGAATCTAATATCTGATGACCTGAGTTGGGACAGTTTTTTCCCAAAACTATCCCTCTCCCCTCCTCCCACATCCATGGAAAAATTGTCTTCCACGAACCAGTCCCTGGATCCTAAAATGTTGGGAACCACTGGACTAAAGCACTGGCATATATTTATATAAATTTTGCATACGTATATATGTATATATATTTAATACATCCACCTCATCTGCTAGAATTTGAGCTCAGAGTAATGAGGACCTCTTTGAATGTTGAATAAATGAGTGGGTATTTGGATTTACTTCAATAAATTAACCAGCTTGATTTATATTATAAACTCATTATGTTTCGAAAATTTGCAATTATTCATTGATTCAGAAGTATATCTGAGTGCCTAAAGTTTGCATGATACTGTGCCAAGTGCTGGGGATATAAGATTGTATATTATATCCTTACATTGTTTGTCCTTACATTGTACTGTCTAGCAAAAACACAGACATAGAATAATAAAACAACGGGATTATTGCTTTTACAGAATGCCTTATATACTGTGCCCCATTCATTTCTCACTTCAAATCTGTGAGGTAGTTATCGGGATCACTTAGTTAACAAATGAAAAAACAGTAGACTTGAATAAAACAGACTTCAAATTCCTCATTATCATAGGTGGCTTCACACACTCAGGCTCCTCATCAGTCAATACACAATAAGTTTGTATGTTCGGGTGCACATGCAAAACCCTGTATATGTATGTCAGTATGTGATACTAAGTAAAATGACCAAATTATCACATACTTAATGCCTGAATCTTCAAGAAGTGGAAACTTTACGCTGTGAACTGGCTGAGACTTCTGGCTACTCTTTAGAAAGAGGAAAATTTATTACTCCTGGGACTGATAAAATTAGGTATCAATTTATTACTCCTGGAACTGATAAAATTAGGTATAAATTGTGGAGCATTTGAGAGGACACGAAGAAGCTCTCTCTTGAAACTGGCAGCAACTATGGATGTAGAAGTACTTAAGTGCAGAGTACTTCACTTGTGGACATATTTTATGTTTGTAATTTTTTCCTTCAAATAGTGAAAAACAGGCAAAATTAAAAGTAAGCAATCACATAGAACAAGCTAAGGGAGAAAACATAATATGAACTGTTTTGTCATTTTGATTCTTAAGTAATCATTTTAATTTGCACTCCCAAATTATGAGAGATTTATGTGGGTTTTATATGTAAGCATATAGACATTTGAAGCTTTTCCCTTTTTTCCCCTTGTTCTAATGGTGAAGGAACTGATTTCAATTGGCAAAATAAAACCAAACAAAAGGCAGCTGAACAGTGCTGCCACCTACTGTTCAGAGAGCTGTTTAGCACTGCTGGGAACCCATTGTCCCTGGCAACTCATGGAAAATGAATATTTAAGTATTTATGACATCCAAATAAGAAGTCCACTGAACTCCCTACAGAAATAACTTCTCAAATCAGCTAGTAGGAAATCATAATTATAAGTCCATCAGAGACTTGCAGTTAGTAGATTATGCAATGCTAAATTTTGTGTTTCACACACTCAAAAAATGTAAGCCATCTGTGTGTAAGAGCATTTTCTATTGAAATAGATGATCATATTAAAACAGAGTAATTTCTGTTCTACTGTGCTAATGAATTTTATTGGGGACAGAAATAAAACGGACACTAAAGACAGAGAAGCACCGTTGAAGATAAAGCACATTCTTTGTTGTAAGTAGCAAAAGACTGATACATTCAGCAAAAGAATGGTTCATAGAATTTTTAAAGGGTTTCATTTGGAAAATGATTTTAAAACTCGCCAGGCAATATTGACAGCACATCCTGTGTGCCGGCCAGCCAGCCGGCTCCTTACACAAGTGAGGAGGCAGAACCGTCCTGGCGGGGAGGCACTGACAAGCCAAATGAGAGTTGGCCACAGTCTTTGTTTGCTTAATAGGAAAAGTTATTACCTTTGCTTGTTATCCCAAGAAGGCTAATGGAGCTCTCATGGTTCTCTCTTTCCAGACACTAAATAACATCAATTACAATCATCCCAATTAAAACAGGGAATAGGAGATGTAAAGTTAAAAATTAAACCAATAACCCCCTGACTGACATCTTCTGTTACTTTTTCTTGTCACTTGTACTCTTTAAAATTCTGGTTTCCTTCATTAACTCACATCACCTTAAAAACCCCTAAATTACTTTAAAGAGAGAGAGAGAGAGAAATGCATTTGCTCTAGCAGTCTTAATGTTTGAGGGTCTCTAGCATCAGTGCAATTGGGTGCCTGATTTTCTTAATGCTGCATTCAAAATGTTATCTAAGAAGTGTAAAGCATAGAGTCAGAGAATACATGGATTTAGACTAAACTGAATTTATTTTCAATTTTGTGATGTCTTAAATATAACAACAACATCCTACTGATTGATGCCTCTAAGCTTTTATTTATAAGCTCTTAAGGATTAATAGGTTATAATTTATATTCTCTACCAAAGTGTTCTCAGGTTACAAATATTCTTAATGGAAGATATTCCACATATTTAGTCAATACATAATTTTAATACAAATATTAGATTGGTGCAAAAGAAAAGGGCTTGACTTATTCTAATGTTAATCACAACGTTAGCTTCATAAGAAAAAACTGATAGAATGTATCTTACTAGTTGTGGAGCATAGGGAATCTATACAGTACAATTATAGCTACGTATCTGGGGATTTATTTGCAATTTTTTTCCAGAGACATTTGGATACCTTTGTACTCTCATGAAAATTAGATTTATGTAGTTGATTGAACATTGGACTTTCTCCATTTATGACAATATATACAGTTTCTGTATTTTTACTATTCCTAAAACTACTATTAAATTTTAGTAGCTTAGTATTTTTTCCTAGACAGGTTTCTGAAGCAGTGCTAGTGCATTTTGTGAAATGAGAGGTATAAGTATGTTAAAACAAACAACTTTCTACAAAACAGCAAGTGAATCTATTGTTTAGATTCCATAGACACGTTTTTTAATGTCAGCCTGATCTAACACCAAATACGTCTATTATCCTGGGATCCACGTCTGCCTGTCTGCTACAGACTTGTGAATGAGATAATAGTATTGATTTATAACACATGTCTATGGAGTTACGATCCAAAGCACTCTAATGCTATGAAATGGATTTAAGAAAACATTAGAGATTTTCATTTGAAAATATGTCTAGTGCATGTAGTCAAAAGCACATTGTACATGTTATGTGCTGTTTCATTTTCCTTTCTCTCTTCCTCTTTTTAAAATGATAATTCATTAGTGAAGATATTAAATAGTACTACAGTATAAAAAGAGGAACATCAAAAAAATTTAAAGCGGGGTTTTAAGCATGATGAAATTAAATAAACCAAAATTTTTGTGTAAATAATGCTCTGTGGAGTTGTGTTACGTAGTGACCCTGAGTAATATCTACTATTTTAGTATTTTTATTATACTTTTAAAATGAGCTTAAGACTTGAGATAACTTAAACTTTAAAGACATGAATTTAATTGCACTCTTACTAAATGAGAGCATATGAATTTTATTTAATCAGATGTTAATTTACCCTTTTCTTGAGGTGTTACCATTTCATTGCTGAAAGCATTACCTAGTACTTTGAATGAAACGCACATATAACAATTAATAAAGAAACAGCAAATCCTTGAGAAGCTAGGCTTCGAATTTTCTCCTTGCAATCTGGTAGTAGAGAAAAGAAATTAAAGGTGACTTGTGTGAGTTCAATATACTAAAAAGGAAGGAAAAAGTCCTATAATTCAGTTTTCAATGGCTTCTTTCTAACTATATTAAAACACTCTGAGAGACTAATTATTTATCGTTTTGTTGAGATGGAATCACACATACTTTACTGCACAAATTTTATGTTGATTTCAATTGTTTGATATTCAATAATAAACTATTATTAGAATCAATTATTTAACATGACACTGATATTTCAGGTAAAACCCAGTGAAGTGCCTAACTAGTGTGGTGTCTTTGAAATGTAATTAAGGTTCTATACTATGAAATGTATAGACCTGAAGAAGATTTTCAAAGAAATTATCTGGTAATATTTATATATCAATATTATTTTGGCCAATATCAATATAGATAATTTGATAGAGGTTGAGATAGTTGGTAACAGAGCTATTTTAATTTTTTTTAGTGTATCAATATTTAATTCATCCATTAAAGGACATATGGGGTAATAACTGAAAGAGTATACATAGTGATTTTGAAGAAAATGGTAAGAAATAGGGTGCATTTAGAAATAGAGTTTATTGGCTGGGGGCGGTGGCTCACGCCTGTAATCCCAGCACTTTGAGAGGCCGAGGTGGGTGGATCACAAGGTCAGGAGTTCGAGACCAGCCTGTCCAACATGGTGAAACCCTGTCTCTACTAAAAATACAAAAATTAGCCGGGCGTGATAGCACGTGCCTGTAATCCCAGCTACTCAGGAGGCTGAGGCAGGAGAATCGCTTGAACCCGGGAGGCAGAGGTTGCAGTGAGCCGAGATCGCGCCATTGCACTCCAGCCTGGGCAACAGAGCGAGACTCCATCTCAAAAAAAAATAGTGTTTATTTTTATTACAAATGTATTATCTGAGACAGAAATCAAAAATTCTTAAGCAGAAATATATTTGTTCATCTTCAAATCAGGTGCAGTGTATGAGTGCTGGATATATAGGAGGAAAGCTATTTCTTGGAAGGAATGTCACTTCAAAATAATTACAAATGAAAAAGAGATTTTTCTAAAATTTCTACTCGCAGTGAAATGTGATGGTGATGATAAGACAAAACAAGCCAAGTTTAATAGAAGTTTACTCCTGATAACTTGATATTTCCAGTATCTAATACTTTCGAGTACCTGCTATTTGCCCAGCACTTGAGCTAGGCATGACAAATTACTTGGAACTATTAAGAAAACTATTTCAAAGTCTGGTTTTGAGACAGGATCCTTTTATACAGCCTTAAGTAGTCTAAAACTTGTTCTTTATGTTAGCCTACAGGAATAAACAATTTTACTGACCCTTCTTATTGGAAGGTCTGCCAGAGGTTGCATTTACCTTGACCTTGTTGTTTATACCAGTTCACTGTAGCTTAGCTCATATGCTAGGGCTTTCTATTTCCCCTTTCCTCCCCTTGCTGTTCCCTCCCCACCACTTCCCTAGCTAGGAATAGTTGGGCTTTCTTTTTGTTTTTTGTTAGGTTCTTGACCAAATTCTCATGACCACCATTGAGAAATATTTCTGGATTCTGTATCAATCCTTATATAATATTTCTTTCTACATCCTGCCTCCCTTAATTCCTCGCTAGTTCCCTGTCTCCCTTCATTTTTTCACAGACATACCTCTTGAAAGAATAGTCTACAAATACTGTTTTCCTTTTTCATCTCCAATTTCCTGTCCAAACTACTATTCAGACTTCCGTCCTGAATGCTTAAGTGAAACTTTTATCAACAACATCACTAATGACCTCCTAAATGCCAATCCTAATGGCATTTTTTCAGTCCTCTTCTTACAATGCCATTCTAGCATTTTGCATTTGACATTGACAGTCATTCCATATTTGAAACTCTGGATTTCTGCTGCACTGCTCTTTGCTGGGCCTTCTTCCATGCCCCTAACTTTGTCATCTCAGTTTTGTCCCTGTGAGTTTTTCTTTTGTTTATTGCTTACGTGTGTTTCTTCACTTTCATCTCTGTGAAAGATTTCACCCAGATCCACGATCTTAACTATCGTACATATTCTGACAGCCTTCATGTTCATGCACTTATTCCTTTAGTAAATATTGATTATCCACTTACGATATGCAAGGCACTGTTCTAAAGGGTAGAGAATACAGCATGAATATGAGTGATAAATTCTTTCTCCTCGTGGTGCCTTCACTGTAGTCAGTGAAACAGACAACAGGTAAGTAACAGCATGCCTATATGTTGTCAGGTAGTCATAAGTGCTCTGATGAAAAATAAAGCAGGGTAAGGGTTTAGAGACTTATGGAGGGGTGGATGATACTTTAATTCAAACAGTTGGAGAAGGCCTCTCCGAGGACATAATATTTAAACTGAAACCTGAATAATATAAACATTAGTCCTGCATATATCACCATCCAATCAGTAGCACTAACTGAAGTTATCCTTGTTTCTTCCTCTCTCTCATGCTCCTATTTTATTTGACATTAAGTAATGTTGATAGTAGCTTTTAAATTTCTTTCAAATCGATTACTTCTCTCCATCTCCACCACCATTGCTAGCACCACCCTGGTCCGGGCTGCCATCATCTCTCACTTAGAGTATGAAATAACCCCTTAACTCTCATTTTCACTTTTATCTTCCTTCTGTAATCAATCATTCACACTGTAGCCAATGAGATTTTTCTCAAAATGTAATCCAATCATGTTATTCCCAGGCTCTTGGTTTATACATCCCAAGGACTTTTATCACTCTTAAGATAAAAGTCAACATCCTGAGCCTGGCCTCCAAGATCCTGCAGGTTTGCCCTTGCACACTCCTCCAGCCTTACCCCACATCAAGTTCTCTGTCTTGTTATTTCTGCCCACCTCCATTAGCTCTCTCATAGGCTCACCAAGTTTCATAATTTCTCTAATCCCAGTTCTGCACATGTATTCCTTAGACCTGAAACCAGGCTGCCTCAGTTAAAATTCCAACTCTATTATTTGCTGTGTGTTTTTGGGAAAGTCACTTAACATCTCTGTGCCTCAGTTTCATTATTTGTAAAATGGAAATAATAATAGTATGTACTTCATGGGGTTGTGTAAACTGCTTAGGACAGTGTTTATCATTTAGCAAGCGCTAGATGAGTGTTCATTATATAAGTTATTGCTATTATATCATAGTACCTAGATATAGTAGATTCTCAATAAACACTTGAATGTTAATTCCCTAGTTAGCCTCTAGAGGCTTGTTCTGCTCTTCTTCTAAGTACACTTATATCCAGGCCTGTAACTTACATGGAAATCAAGTTATCCTTCCCTAGGCAAAGACTATTGTATCCATTAACTACAATATTCTTGTAGGCAATTTCTCATTCCCATTAAATTAGCTTTCTTTTTATTAAACTCAACTTTATGTTTTATAACTTGTCTTCAGTAATAAAATGGGCTATAATACATGATACATATTAATTAGGGATAAGGGCATTTCTTCACAGATGGTATGTGTGCTTTCCATTTCATACTCAGATTTAATCTAAATTGCATATGAACTATGTCTATTGAGTTTTAAAAGTGAATATAAGCTACTATCCTCAGCAGAAAAGAACAATTAGCACATTCATGAGCTAGAGCTCAATTTATGGTTATATTATAATGAATAACCATTTCCTAATTTAATGAAACCCTATGCCTTAACTGCAAATGTTAATAGATAAAAATAGTAGCTGAACTTTTCACTGGTTGTGAAATACAAAATATTAAATTTTACAAAACAGTTAAACTATTGAGGAAACATCTTATTTTCATACCAGTTTCAGTATTCTGCTACTAATATTACACGGTCTAAAACATTTCAGAACAATACTGTGATAACATGAAAATGCACCTTATCTTTAAGTAAATTTTATCTAGTTCAGCCAAAAGGTTCTGATAGGAATTCAGAAACATTATCAGCAATATCTTAAATACTAGTTATCAAGCTTCTTGTAGGAGGTACACTATTGGGTACTAATCAGTATTAATATCTAGACATAAATAATTTTAATTTGTAAAGATGATTAAAGTTGATGTTAGAGGTATACATAGAATAGTAATTAACAAATTTATTAATTTGTCTTAATAGAGAACACTGAAATATATTGAGCATGTATACTTCAATATCATAGTTTACCCAAAGAGATTTTAAATATCTTAGAACAAAAAATGTGCATTTAATTTTTTAAAATCTCTTACAATACTGCATATCTTTTAGTGAACTGTCTCAATAGAAAGAAGATGCATGACCTCAGTGTTAACAGACATCTATGGTAGCTCTACATAAATATTTTATTAAAGTAATTCCTTTTACAGAAAATATTTTACCTATTCTTGGGCTTAATCTTAAAAGTGTAAATTGATGGGGTTGTAATGCATTTGTAGCTGTACTAAGAATTCTAACCTTTATTGGTCCTTCAAAATGTAATTCAATTTCCATTCTCAACAAACATTGCTAATTCCTCCATTCAGAATTCATATTTCACCCCATGTGTTTATATGCCTTTGCACCTTCATTATCATTTCTTATAATCTGTATTGCATTATCTCTGTGTGTAATTGTGTGTGTGTGTGTGTGTGTGTGTATCTGTTTGGGTAGATGTATATACATACAATTTTCCTTGTCATCTTTAAAAAATCATAAATGGCTGTTCAAACACCTTGCTCAAAGTTAGTTATTCTCCAATACTGTTTGGATTTAGATTCACCTTCTTCAAGCTGGAAAATCCAGCAGAGTCTACCTTTGTGATATGTTCTTATTTATATTAAAAATAATAATAGGCTGGGTGCAATGGCTCACACCTGTGATCCCAGTACTTTGGGAGGCTGAGGCGGGTGGATCACTTGAGGTCAGGAGTTTGAGACTAGTCTGGCCAACGTGGAGAAACCCTGTCTCTACAAAAAATATAAAAATTAGCCAGGTGTGGTGGCACGCATGTGTAATCGCAGCTACTGGGGAGGCTGAAGCAGGAGAATCACTTGAACCTAGGAGGCAGAGGTTGCAGTAAGTGGAGATGGTGCCACTGCACTCCATCCTGGGTGACAGAGCGAGACTCTGTCTCAAAAAATAATAATATAATAATAAGTCTAGACAAAATATACAATGAAGTTCTTCCTTACTCACCAAACCCCAGCCATGTTTCTCTTAACAGGCGTTCTTAATGAAGTGTTCAGTTTTGTACAGACTTTGATTTAAATATTCTAATTCCTAAGGTCAAAAGTTGGGTTTTATTTTTAAATAAATCTTAGGTAGCACTTAATTTTAATGTTTGAATAGCTTGAATCTCCTGACACTGGCAAACATTTACATGCAACCACAATATGCAGAAAGAGGAACTAAATTTGGTCAGAAGTCAAAAATAAGTCTGCTAAATCCTAGTGGATGTAGAACTTTTTAATCAAAATATTGGCCTTGAATGCAGATTTCATGTGTTTCCAAATAGTAGAAAGTAACATGTATTTCTAAGCAGTGTCTCTTTGTGACTAAATTCAAAGAAAGAACCATTATATTTTAACAGACTTTACATTATTTTGCCAGAAAATATGGCATTTCTACTAGAATATTGATGTAGAAAAGAAACTCCACCCCATTTTATTTTCATATCTTTGCGTAAGATTGTGTTTACAGTGCCATTATTCACAAAAGCCTTCCATAGAGTATTTTTTTTTTCTTGTAATTAAAACAGTAGGACTTAATGACAGGCTGGGGATGCTTGCTGTTTTTCTAATAATGGATTGAACTATTTGAATGGGTAAAAAATGTTAATACAGTGATTATTTCAGGCTGAGCTAAGTCTTGTCATAAAAGATAAAGTATTAAATTTGCATTAGATGTTTTTAAAATGAAATTGAATACTGTAAAGTCATATAAAGGTAGTCCAACTTTGCCAAACATGATCATAATTGTAAAGGAATATAGAAGTTATGATTCAAATAAACTCACTTTGACAGCAAAAGAAACCCACTGATTTTTGTAACACAAGGTCACTGGTTTCATTAAATCCATTTATTCGGTACCATGACTTGTGAATGTTGCTTTGTTGTTTTACGCTTTCAGTGTTTTATAGAGGGTTTATAGTTTTCTTATGTTAAATGTTAATATATTGTGATGTGGAAAAAATCTTCACCTCTTTCAAAAATATATGATAGATAAAAATTAAATCCAGTAGGAGACATGGATCATTTATAACTAAAAGCGTAGAAGGAATTACTGGAAGCCAAATTGTTAAAATAAATAAATCAAATAGTAAAGACTACCTTTTTAGTTTGCTTTAAAAAAAACCTAATTCATTCACATTGTTTTAGAATACACTTTTTTATCTGATTCTATAAAGTTATCTGATACTTTTAGATTTTGATATTAAGCTTAAAATTAAGTTTTAAAAATCTGGTTCTGGAGTAACTGACTTTATTTTTTAAATGTTTAGATGAGATAAATTTTTCAGATCCCATGCATTTGTTGGTGATAGTAAGAAAGTCTTTGAAGAAGAAACTAACTTCAAACTTCATACTAATGTCCAAATCCATTCTGAGTTTTTAAAAAGACTTTACATATAGAAAACTCTTAAAAATAAAACTCATATACATGACACTTTGAAATAGCATTCTTGTATTTCTACGAAGTTATTTTTGTTCATTTTTCCTTATCTCTGTCCTCCTGTCTCACTTACCTGCTAGTATCTTCTCTGGGTGACCCCAAATATCCAATTTCTCTGTTTCTCTGCTTCTGAGGACAATAGAATACTCCAGCCAGGTGATGCAATTACAAAGTTATGGTTTTTATCTTATATTGTGCCTCAGTATTCTTTGGCAATCTTTACCCTGATCTTATGTGAGCTTTCTTACCCACTCTACATGGACACCTGCTGTGCTGGTGCACAGAGTGAAATCAGACCAATGGTCCTCCTTTGGCCACTTCAAAACTATTCACTCTACCCCATCTTTCCTCTCATCCTCAACTTATGTTAGTGCTTCGCAATTTACCAAGAAAAATACTGGTATGAAAACATTAGCTCCCCCCATCTTGTTCTCTTCCAGATTCCAACATTTCCTTTGTTGCTATCTCAGAGGAAATGTCTCTTCCTTTACAAACCTGCCTCCTTACATGAACATTTGATCCCATCTCTGCTGCTGGAACATTTCTCCTTCATTTCTTCTCAACCTGTATCATCAATCTCCTGACTCACTGGCTCCTCTCATGCATCATATAAATATTTCAATTCTCTGGGGGTGGAGGAATAAACAATCCCAAACTTGTGACTTCCTCTTTCAAGTGACAGCCTATGTATTCATTTAGTTTTAAGAGCCTAATTTTGTGTTGTTTTGCGGACCACCGTTCTTCAAATCCTTGTTCACTCTTGAGTCCACTGCAATCTAGTGACTCACCAGGTTGCTAATATTCCCGTTTCCAAATTCAAAGGTCCCCCTTCTGTTATCTTTTTGTACGTCCCTATTGTATTTGATACTGTCGCTAGTTTTACCTTCTTAAGATTCTCTCATTTCCTCTCCAACAACTCCACAAGAAATAACACTCTGTCTTTGTTCTTCTCCTATAAATCTGGTCATTACTTTTGGTCACTTTTTCTGGTATTCTTTTCTGGCACTCACTTATTTAACAACGGTGTTTTCCCTGGAAGAAAGTATCTGAGTTATCTCATGCTCTCTTATGGTTTAACCTCATTGGTAAGGTCCCATATCTGTCTGCTGCTCTAACCTAAACTTAATTCTCCAAGTTACTGTCTTAGTCAAACACTAAACCATTGCTATTGGAACTAGTATTATAGTATCCCAATTGATCTCCTTGATTCTTTCTAATGTGCTTTACCCTTGTTTGTCCTCCACACAACTGCCAAATCTGATCAAGTCAATTTGTTTTATCAAGGCTTTTAGTAACTGCTGTGCACGTCATGTTAGGTAATCACAATTAAGTTAGACACTTAATTTTGGCGCTTTTAGCCATTGACAATTAATTTAGATCCTATCCTCAAAGAAGTTGTCATTTTTTCTAAATATACCATTACCTTTTAGAACTCTATCCTTTTTACGTGCTTTTTATTATGTCTAGAATGTTCTTACTGTATTTTATCCAAAAATTTAAATATTTAATTTTCATTCAATATCAAGCTCAAATTCCACTTTTGTTAGTTTTTTTGTAATCAACACAGAATATGCTACATGTCCCTTTTTCTGTACTTTCTGAACACATCATTTACGTAATCTGTGTCCATGTATGTATCTCACAGCAGACAATGAACAGCTTGAAGGAAATAACATATCATTATATGTAAAACAATTAGCAGAGTGTTCAGCACATAATTTCTATTCAATAAAAGATTGTTTAGAGAAACAAGGAAACTTTATTCTTTTCAACTACATAGAGAGTGAGTTGTATACACAGTGTATATTATGTATGCAATAAGCTAGAAAGTGATCAAGAGAAAATTTGTCTTTCCTCCTGTAACTTTAAATAGCTGATAATCTAATGGAATATGCATACCTATACACAAATATAGGACACAAGGTGTCCCTGATTTTCATTTGTAAGGTATTTCTAAGAGGCAAAAGTAAAATTTTAAAAATGTGAATGATAGATTTCCATGTTATAAGTGAGATTCAATTATAGATAACTTAAGAGTAACACAAAATATTTAATTTTGTTTTACCTTTAAACCTCATGTACAGTTATATATTTACAGCTTTTCTCCATGTACTTAAATTTTGTTCTAATGAATACATAGTCATCCAGCTAAAGTTCAATGAGTGTCCAGTGGAGGCTAAAGATAAGCCAATTTTAGTCTCTTTAGTGATTTTTTTAATTCTTCCTAATTATATTACTATGAGAATGTTTTTCTTATCATCTCTATTTTCTACCCTATTATCTTTTAAACATTAAAGTGAAATGTTATACAGATAATTATACACAGAAATGAAAGTATACAAAAAAAACCCCACAAACTTTAACGATGGTAAGGGTGCTGAAATTAAACCATTATAGGAAAGACAGCATTATCAGGAGATGTGGTTGGCAGTTGATAGATGATCTTTGGGATTCTAAGTATAAAAGTGTGTTTTATACTTAAAATCGGAGGGAATTTCAAGTTACTTAAAAACTGAACTTTTGAAAATGAGAATCATCTGTAATGCAAGGTGCTGGACAAAGGACATAATACTATCAACATTGAGTTTTACTCTTAACTGTTCTAAGAATTTTACATACAGTCATTCACTTAATTCTCACAACAACCTTATGAGATAAGTATTATTATTATTGCCATTTTATAGATGAAGATATTGGCAGACTGAGTAACTAACATGTCTAACGTGCCTATGGCTGCATATAGTTAGTGGCAGCGCTGATAATGAAGTTTGGGAAGTCTTGTCCCAGAAATCACTCTTCATTCCTGCATTCCACTCCCCCAGATGTCAATGATAAACAGGAATGGGTTAAAAATGACCCTTTAGAACTGTTTTTATGATATGTGCTTTTAACCTTCTTTCATATGAGATATTAACCACATAAATCTGTGAACTGGAGAGGAGACCAAAAGAAGAGGTCAGCTTTCAAATTTCACATTGTCAGTGTGCATGAGCAATACCCTAATTTCCTAACAATTGTGGGAAAACCGATAGCATTTAGCCCAAAGCCCAAATAGTATTCCAGAATTAAAAATATTCAGCAAGCAATTTGCAACATATATGCAAGTAAGCCTGAAAATTAACAGATGTTTAATACTAAAAAATAAAAAGCAAAGGGACAATGTAATAAAAATCATCATTAGCAATAGAAAATTATTGCCAATAATATTAAAATTTATTATACCTTTTCCTCTTCCTTTATTTTTAATTGTTATGAGGTTATGTTTGCAAGTATATTTATTACTGCTGGGAATTTCTTCTTTCCAGACCTCTTGATCCAAAGGCAATAGAAAGAGTAAGGATGAAAGAGTAGAAAGAGATGAAAGGATAGAAAGAGTAAGGATGAGTAAGGAGTAGGGAGAGGAGGAAATCAATCAATCGACTATTATTTATTGACTGTCCCAAAACGTGATGAAATTGGTAAATGTGAGGAGGGTCAAACTGAGTTATGTCATCTCCACAGGAACACGCCATTCACAGTTCCAGGCACTCAACAGTCCATAAGGGTTTGAAGTGAAGAATAGAAGATAAAAAAAATCTTTATTTTTCGGACTTGAACAAGCCGAAAAAATATAGCTTTCTACTTCTTCCATTACTCATTTTAGTGTTTAATTCTCTTAAAAATAGTTTGACAAATTAATCAAGTCAATAGATGAGTGCTCTATTGAGATTCATATATATATACACATATGTATATATAAATCTCAATACATATATACACACGTATACATATATACAGGTATATACATACATACATATAACACACACATATATACGTGTGTGTGTGTGTATACACACATATATATTTTGGCTTTGTGCTTTATCTACTCTCTACATGAAACTGTTAGCATTGGGTAATTTGTTATATAGCATTTTTAAAGTCTGAGCATACAAGTTTATGTCCTTTCTGATCATAAAAAAACTTTGATTTAGCTGCAAATCCAAAAAGCTTTTTTAAAATAATGCTTGATAATCTCAGGGTTTAGCTCCAGATGGATGGTTGGATGGATGGATGGATGGATGGATGGATAGATACCTGTCTATAGATAAAGTTGGACATTATCACTATGTTGTAGAGTGACCCAATCTATTTAGGAGTTGGGGAAGATCTTGTGGAGGAAATGACATCTAATTTGTGATCTAAGAAACGTTAAATTTGACCAAGCATGTGTCTGTAGCATGGTAGGAAGAGTGTGGCAGTGTATGGTGAGGGGGTGTTCCAGATAAAGGAAATAGTAAGTGTAAAGGCAAAAGAAATTAGAGGGTTTTCAGCTTTGCTTGGCCATAGAGTTCAAGGTGAAGAATTCCAAGAAAAGAAGCTGGAGGGCCAAGCAGAGTCAAGTTGCTTGTGGGCTTTTTTGGCTACCTGAGTGAAAACGTGGTTCAGTGTATGTGCATGTCTGTTGAAGGGTAAAGGAGAATGAGGAAATGATGGCAAATGCACATGGTTAAAAAGAGAAGACTTAAGCAAAGAGAAATATGTCAATTTCCCATGGCTACCTCTTGGACTAGATCTGAGCCTTTATGGAATGAGTATCTAAATTTACTGAAGATTTTTAAGGAGACTGTTTGTTTGTTACTAGGGACTCAAGAATAGCTAGTGATACAGCTGAGGACAAAATAAGGCACAAAGTTCAGAAGAGGGTAGAACTCCTCCCTAGGGCTGTGTGGAAGACAGCAGAGCACTGACATGGTAAGGAGGATGGAAGGGCATAATTGCAATGGTTTGAAACATTATAAGCTGTAGCTTCTGGAGCATCAAGAGATAGCAGCCCCAGAAAAGATATCAGCATTTCCACAGGAGCTTCAACTGTGGGTTCAACAACTGCAGATATCAGTGAAGAGTCCTGAAAAACAAACAAACAAAAACAAGAAAGATTATCCATGAGCATCTATGAGGCTCCTGGCTAACCCTAGAAATATCTGCAAAAGGCTTCTTAGAGGCAGGGAGCTACAGGTGCTCTCCAAGCAGGTTGGGCCAAGAAACAGTGAAATTTGTATTATTACTATACCATCACATGTGTCCTGAAGCCTGTAGTGACAGCAGACTCTCCCAGGACAATTTCTTGACAGTTTTAATAATTAAAGATAGATGATTCACATTTTAAGTAATGTGATGATATCTGGTACTTCTATGGTAATATTAGGCTAGAAAATGAGCCAAGGTGCAAAGCAGGAGTCTCTTTCTCTTAGTCTTTATGCAGGAACTAGATGGAAACAAAGCCCTGGAATTCCGAGGAAGAATGCAAAGGTAGAAACAAGGATGTGTGTCAAAGTGGGCATCCAAATCAACAGTAAGGGATTTAGATGAAAACAGAAGCCATGGTACAAATCCTTCTGAGGATTTTGAGAGGAGCAAGCCTGAGGAAGGAGGGCATGGGGCAGATCAGGAAGTTTGGAAGTGGCTGGGTGACTTCCAGAAGGAAGTATGTAGGTGCCACTTTTGCGAGTTTTACATGCGTTGGGCAGATATTTGCATAGTGGGGCCAAGCCCATTGCTGTCCAAATGAGACAAGGCAGAACTGAATTGAATGACACACTTTTCAACCCCTTATGTGGATACTCAAGTTGCATAAGAGCCTTTAGTGCTCTAGGAGTTTCACATTTTTAATGCAAAGACACTTACATAAAAGTATTCAGCAGTTATAAATAAACTCAACCACCTGGACATATAGATAAGTAAACCACACTTAAGAAAATAGTTATTGAAATTATTTAGGTCTATATGATGGCAGAAGTTTTGCTTTGTAATAAGGATACCTCATAAAATTTGATATAATCAGCTTAAGAAGGAAAATTGTATATACATATCCCTATCCCTAAGCTGTATGGTTTTCCACCAGTAGCATGCAATTCTGTGAAACCACAAAATATTAGGAATGATCTGTTTCTGCTCAATTATTACTAAGGTGTCAGACATTCAACCACCTCTCTGTAGTCTCTGAATGCATTTGCACAATATGTATGCTCAGAGAAAGGCTCAGCTTCTATTAATCTAGAGGTTGCTGTATTAATAGGTTGCACACTTCATTGATTTTTAATTAATTTCTAAAGAGACACAGAGGATAACTGCTACAGCCCACAGACATCTCCATTCTCATTGGAAAGCACATCTTTATTGATTGGCTGCCTAAGGAGTAGAAGTAATGCACTTTAAGTACACCTCCCTGTGAGAGTTCGGACACTACATGATTCGCTTCTCCTATTGTAACCATATTGGCAAGAGATCAATGGGAGAAAAACTGTAGCATGCTTGATATTCTCTTGATGCAGGCAGATGAGCTTTTTACTCACAATGTAGTGAGAAAGCAGAGGTTTTTCGCACATGCTGTTTAATTTGCTTTTTTGTTTTTGATTTCATTTATTTATTTTTTGGTTTTCTTAAGAAGGCTTTCAAGCCCCAAGGAGGCTGTTCTTCAAATGGATGTTTTAAAAGCTTGCCATGAGTGGTAAATGAAACTTCTGAAGAAAATGTAAGGAGCAAGAAAAAAAAATTCTGTTATCTCTGTCGGCCTCAGGAATCTGTAAATGGTCTTCCCCTTCTCTACCCCTGGGAGACTAATACCAACATCTGGGGCTTAGCCTAAATGTGGCAGGGTTTGCTTTCCCACATTCCATCATAAAGATTGCAGATTTTAAATTGCATTTATTAATTTGTCAGTGACTGTTCTAAATCCTTTGTATATGGAAACTGACAAGAACCCAGTGAAACCTGTATTACTGCTAGTACTCCTATTTTAAGACAAGGAAATTGATGTACAGAGAGGTAAAATAACTTGTCCAAAGGTGATACCTAGTGCACGACAAAACTTATCAGAACTAAGATTTGTCTTGCAGGCAGCTTGATTCCAAAAGCAATGATCTTAACCATTATGCTATATGACCATATACATAAAAATATACTCAGTAGATTACAAGCCATATATGAAACTCACAAAACTGAATGTAATCTTGAAAATGGGTGCTCTATGAATCCAGTGAAAACACTTCCTTCCACATAATAAACGTTGAAGGCTTTTAAACAAGCCTCTTTAATTTTGCTGGATTCCCCAAGGGATGGTGCCTTTGGAGGCACTTTAAAAACCAACTAACTATTTGTGAATTTCACTGTGTCTTCAACAACTTGAAATTTGCCTGGCATCAGTAACTGGCACACTATACATGTTTGTGGTTGGAGTAAATGAACCATAAGACCAGAATTTTGTAAGTCTGTCCAGGAAGTAGCTATTTTTCTTTGCAGCATAGATAGAGCATTGGAGTGTCAATATCCCACGAGTGAGGAAGCTGAGACGAATCATCAACAGCCAAAACTTCCAGCTGAATGTCCAGGTCCTAAAGAGGTTTCTGGGCAGCCCACCACAGCATCTCCTACATGCAAGTGTGTATGCACACACACATGCTTACACACACACACACACACACACACACTCAAATATATTATTGGGACTATCTGTGAAAAATAAATTTCAAATAAATAGCAAACAATAATTTTTATTATATATTATTAAAAGGACAGAAATTTGGTTGTCCTTAATATTCCAAAATCTAAGTTCTTAAGCTCTGCAACCTAACCAGGCTTCTTGAAGATCATGACTGCAGTTGGAAGTGTGAGAATTAACCATGAGTGTTAACTCCCTGCTGGCTCAGGACAGCCGTATGAATCTGCTTTTCTTCCTCTGAATAGAATAATAGGAAGAACATTCAGGAACAAGCAGAATGAGAAGCTATTGCACCTAACAGTGCTGAGTAACCAACAGGTGTTTCAATTGGCTGCCTTTAAAGTGGTCAAATTATATTTTTAATAAGATAAATTTGTGCTTATTTATTTTAAAAATACATGGTATCTTATAATAGTGAATGTTTACGTGTTTTCTGAATTTTAAGCCATTGAATCCTCAAGACAACCCTCAGAGTAGATACTATTATTACCCCCATTTAACAAATAAAGAAAGTGAAACAAACACAAATGTTGTATAAATTGACCAAAATCACATAGCTACTAAGTAGCCAGTGTTTTTGGATTTTAAAATTAGGATGCACTAAGATGATTTTTACTAAAACATATTCACAACTCTCACTAAATATTTGAAGGGGGACATCTACTCTACCTCTTTACTGTTCTCTGTGTCTATTATTGGCCCACAATTTAATATTTCAGATAGACATATTTTACAGTTTCATCTATCATGGAATAAAAATTTAAAGCTAGCAGTAACCTCAGAGATCATTTCGGCCAATCCATCACTTTTATAGCAGAGGTGAAATGAGTACCTGTGGTCATAAACCTAGTTAACAATATGTCCAAAACTTCTGTTTCACAACACTCAGCTCTGTGTTCTTTCTATTCTGCCATGAACCAGCTTCTGCTGGTTAAAAAGGTCCCTCAGTTGATTCCATTACTGAGCCTCCTTATATTCCCTTTATGCACTATTTGGATAAAATCGGCTACTTCATCCAAAAAGATCCCTTTCTTTCCTTAAACATGCTTATATCTTTAGCTCTAACCATAGTAAGCATTATAGTTGGATTCTTTTTCCCCCAGGGATAGAATTGCTTTTAGAAGGAAAGGTAGAAAAAAAGGAGATATTTTCATTTGAAATTAGGTTTCCTGAAGCTTCCTGTTATTACGAAAGCTTCAGGTAATTAGAATGAAAACAGAAAAAAAAAATGCTCTCTTGCTAACTCTAGAGATTAATGCTGGAGATTAATGCCTGTGAGAGCTGACTGCAGCTTGAAATTTTTAGCTCCACACACGTATTTGATGAAATTGTCGCATGGCCAATATGTGAGAAGCAAATATTTATTGTCAGAAATAGTCCAGTCTCTCTTGACTTCCTTTAGCTTCCGGCAGCTGGGCAAAATACATTTTCACATTGAATTAAAACAAAAATAATGCTTTTTGCCAGATTGTTGTGACTCACATATCATAAGATTGAAAAGAAGGTCATGGCTAGGTTTTCGTCAATACCATTATTTGAAAATTAAGTCATTCTCTGTTCTTTTCCATAAGCAGTTTATATGAGTTGATTCTAACCAGAGATTAAAATGTTAAATTCAATTCTAATACAATTTTCCTTGGATTTTATATCAAAGTTCATTTCTGAAAATCAAGCATACAATTTGACTTTCTCTGGTTAGCTTGTATTTACTATGATTACACATTTTAAGAGCTATGAGCAAAACATGAACTAAGTATGCATTCTTTGAAAACTTACTAGGGCTTACAGAGAAGGTATAAAAAATAGTCAGATTATGAATAGTTCAGGTAATGGTAAATTCTGAATAGTTTCGGTAAAATCAGACTTGTGGCATTTGGATCATGAAGTAGACAAAATAACCCTAAAATACTTCTTTCAAAAACTCCCCTCCATGGTGTGTAATAAGTGGCAGTTATCTTGGTATAGAAAATCTATTTTATTAACCCATAGAAAGCATTATTAACCCACAGAAAGCATTCTACAGCACTGAACCTTTTAGATCTATTTTATTCGTGACCTTTATCTTCACTAAATTCTTGAGTCGGTGATGTATTTATAGAGGGCACCAAATCTTTTAATATGTCTCCTAATTTTTCTTTCTTCTTATATGACAGCATCTTCGGGTGAATTATTGTTAAAATAATACTTTGAATAATAATAATTCTGAAATTGTATTCACACATTAATCATGATGGGTAGGTTATAAGTATATGTATCATCATTTGCAAACACTTATTAAACACCCATTGTGATATATTAGCTGAGGTTCACAGATTTTCTGAAATAGGCAATTAAAGTTAAGGAGGGTAAGTAATTCTTGTGCATTCTAGGATTGTTGATAGCTATCCATGGAGCAGTAATAAAGGTTTTCATGTTCTACACTTACTATATGCCAATTGCTATTTAAGTGCTTTGCATATGCTAATTTACCTCACAACAACCTGCAGGATAGGTGCTGTTATGCCCATTTAGAGACGAGGAGAGGAAGGTGATGACAGAGAGAGTAAATAAGTTTCTCAGAGTGACAGGGCTAGAACATGGCAGGGCTGGGGTTTGAAACAGGCAATTGACCACAGAATCTACACTCCTACCCACTCTACCATCTTGCATTCTCTGTGACCAAAATAAGAACAGTCTGTAGTTTGCACAATTCAAATTCCTGTGAACTTACAAAAAGATGCTATAATTTAACTGAGTTTAAAATATAAATTAAAAAATGTCAATCACTTGCATTATGTCCTGAAATTCACAGAAACACCAGATAATAGTTTTTTTCTGCCAAAGTACTAGTGCCTTTTAAAGCTATATGACTTCAAGTGGCTGGATGCAGTGGCTCATGCCTGTAATCCCAACACTTTGGAAGTCTGAGGCAGGAGGATTGCTTGAGGCCAGGAGGTTGAGGCTGCAGTGAGCCCTGATCATGCCACTGCACTCCAGCCTGGATGACAGAGCTAGACCTTGTCTCAAAAAAAAAAACAAAGAAAACAAAACTGTATGACCACTATGTTCATTAATTTCTCCATGTCCACCTAACCCTGTGACCCATTAAGAGAGAAGATAGGCTTAAAAATGTAGACTTTAGAATTGCCACAGCAAGGGATTCAATCCAACTTCTACCATGCATTAGTTAGATCAGCAGTCCCCAACCTTTTTGGCACCAGGGACTGTTTTTGTGGGGGCCCGGCAGGGGAGATAGTTTTGGGATGAAACAGTTCTACCTCAAACCATCAGGCATTAGTTAGATTCTCATAAGGAGTGCACAACCTAGATCGCTCGCATGCACAGTTCACAACTGGGTTCAGCCTCCTACGAGAATCTAATGCTGCCGCCGCTAATCTGACAGGAGGCAGAGCTCTGGCAGTTATGCTGGCTCGCCTGCCACTCACCTCCTGCTGTGCAGCCCAGTTCCTAACAAACAGGCCACAGACCAGTGCTGCTCCATGGCCCAGGGGTTGGGGATCCCTGATTAGATAACTTGGAGCAAGTAACTTGACCTCGCCTAGCCTTTGTTTTCTCATATTTAAAATACGTCAACAGTGTTCATCTCATAGGATTAAGTTAACCAACCAATGTGGCAACATTTACTTTAATGACCGCTGTGTTCTAAGTACTGGGTCAATGTCAACTGTGGTTGCTGTCAGTATTATTCTTCTCCTAATTTACTCAAGCTGGCCTGACGTGGATACGGGAACTGCTAGAGCACAGAGTATGAGGCTTCTTTACCCATGAAACACAGCATCATAATGAAGGACCTTTATTTGTTCATCTTGAAACTTCCACGGACTTCATCCAGTTTGTTTTTGTCACTGTTATTTCTAATAATTTTCTGCCACCTTAGTTGCATGACACTCTAATTTGAAGAGTTATTTCATTTTGAAGGAATCTAGCACAGAGTGTGACTCAAATGAGAGCTTCCAGTAAGAAAATCCTATTTAATGACTGTGATGTAGAGAAAACTGTTTTGAGCAATCCATAGATGATTCAACACTCTCAGTGTGTGAAAGTAGGACTAAGGTGGCTTTAGTAAGTAATGATTTGAAAGCGTGCATCTGTATAATGATGTTTCATAGTTACAAAGCAACCATAAACATGTATTTTGATGGTTTGGTAATGATATAGATACTTACGTTCTTATTGCTTTTAGTGATGGTCAGGTGGGTGAGGGAAACTGTCTAGAGACTGTCACCTAGTTTTTAAAAATTGATTTCTCATTATTTTGAAGAAAGTACCTTTTCTGGAAAAATAGTATTTAGCTTCAGGATAGTCTATCACTTGCTGAGGCTTTGTGTATAGAATTTCAAAAAACTTTCAGAGTTTTTGAAATTTTTCTTGTATTGTAGAGTGTGTCATTAGAGTGTCAGTCTGTGCAGACTGCTATAACAAAATACCATAAACAGAAATTTATTTCTCATAGTTTTGGAGACTGGGAAGTCCCAGATAATGGTGCAAGAAAATTTAGTGTCTAGTTGAGGACCTGATTCCTAGTTGTTCATAGCTCCTATAACCTCACATGCCTGAAGAAGCAACAGATCTCTCGAAGGTCTCTTTATAAGTTTGCTAATATCATTCATGACGTTGTATTCTCATGACCTAATCACTTTTCAAAGACCCCACCTCCTAACACCATCACTTTGGGGGCTAGAATTTCAACACATGAACTTGGGGAAGGACATAAAACCATTCAGATCATAGCAGAGTTTTAAATTTTTTGGTGAATGTGCCTTAGTTCCCTATTGGCAAAGTACATATCACTCTTCCTGCATAAGTTTAAGAAATATAAAAATGATATTTTTATTAGAATGATATTTGGTTCAAGGGATCATTATCCACCTAAATTACAAAAGTCTAAAAACAAAATTGTTCTCAGTGTATTCTCTTTCTTCATCGTTCAAACAAATACTAAGGATGATTATTTTATAAATATTCCTTGATATTATCCTCTTTATAGTATTCCTTCTGGCCTAGTTTAGTTGAAGGTTCAGATACTCTTACACGTAGGAGCAGACGAGTGTTGTAAGTGATGGAAGCAGAACTCCTGGGAAGAAATAGTGAGCGGAGGGATCTTGGAAAATGGGGTCGGATTGCCCTTATTGGGGTACAGTTGGTCTCAGCTACAGAGAATAACTGACCCCCGCCCAGTGTGGGGACTAAAGAAAAAAAAATCTGAAAAATGGATGTAGTCCATGGACTGCCAAATTGCAGCCTTTATTTTACATCACCTTGCTTCTGTATTGTGGCAGTGGCTCCTGCCTTCAGCTACATTGATGTCCAATCCATTCTCTGTACTGACACCAGAGTGGTGTTTTCAAGAATCCAACAATAATCTCTCACTCCCCTTTTTTTATTTTATTTTATTTTTTTTTGAGAGTCTCACTCTGTTGCCCAGGCTGGAGTGCAGTGGCGCCATCTTGGCTCACTGCAAGCTCAGCC
Source organism: Homo sapiens (assembly GCF_000001405.40). Taxonomy (NCBI): domain Eukaryota; kingdom Metazoa; phylum Chordata; class Mammalia; order Primates; family Hominidae; genus Homo; species Homo sapiens. The sequence goes on along the minus strand of NC_000002.12, from coordinate 211,433,509 downwards.
TCCCAGGTTCACGCCATCCTCCTGCCTCAGCCTCCCGAGTAGCTGGGACTACAGGCGCCCACCATCACACCTGGCTAATTTTTTGTATTTTTAGTAGAGATGGGGTTTCGCCATGTTAGCCAGGATGGTCTCGATCTCCTGACCTCGTGATCCACCCACCTCGGCCTCCCAAAGTGCCAGTATTACAGGCGTGAGCCACCGCGCCCGGCCTCACTCCCCTTTTTAAAACAACTTCCACATCACCTAATTGTATACTGCATGAAATGCAAAAGTCTAAGTTCTTTACCATGACATATAAGGGACCCTTCTTGGACCCTGCCTCTTCTTTTGTTTTCAGTTTCACTGCTCACCACTGTCCCTCATACATTATGCTTTAAAAATACAGAATTGCATATCTTGGTGCAAGTACGCCATGGTACTGCTACCCCTGTGCTTGTTCTGTTTGCCTGCAGTTTTACCCTCACTCTGTCCAATTGGGAGACATCATTCAACCCTTACTTAGGCCTTGGTACTGCTTTGAAGTCTCTCCTCTCACGCATACTTGCTAGGCTATACTACATAAGGGCCTCAGAATAGAGTTCTCTTTAAATGCCTTGCATGTATCACATCAGTCCATTCAAGTTTTTATTCCCTATCCGCCCACTTTATTAATTAGCTTCTGTTCTCCTTTAATATACAGACCTTATCTGAATCTTTTTTGTCTTCTCAGTATCTGTCTATATAGTCCAGCATATAGTACGTGTTAACCTGTTGCCAACATATATTCCGTGTTCTGATATGAAGGTGATAAGAAAGAGAATAATGAATGTTTCATGAACATTTGTTAAAGGGATAGTATTACTTGGGAAGATATGAAAATATTCTATCTCCAAGGCAATGCATTTATTTGTTTTTTTTTTTTTTTGATCCTTTAAGTCATATAAGGGCTATATGTTCTCAGATGTACTTTATTATAGGAATTTCTAATTTAATGTACTCAAACACAAAGCACTGTTTAGGAGAGAGGGCAAAAGTCCCATAAATCTCGGTTGTAAGTTGATTTCAGAAAACACTAATACACACAGCGTCACCCAACTGTTGACTGATTAGACCATATCAGGCAGTATCCCCACTGGTTGTGTTTAATGTGCATTTATATGGGGTTTGGCTCATGATGCTGTTTGAAGTAATCTTCTCTTTACACTACACCAGGTATACGGTTCATAATTTTTTGACCTGTGTGATTTATGTGTCTGTTTTCCACAGCTTTTGTTTTGATATTAGAAACCATTAATCCTTCAAAGTCCTGCAGTTGTAATGTTAACTGCCCACAGCATTGATTTGCAATTGGCATGAGAGTATGCTTCAACATTTTATAATAATTCTAATCTATTTTTAAATGGTGATCATTTTACCACAAAAATCATCAAATATAGAATTTCCCCTAACACTTCAACAAAAATATATTCACTCTAATCTCGGCCTCAGGTTTATTTCCTTAGTTTTACATAAGTTCTTTTGTTAAACATAATGTTTAGCAACCCTTAGTTTACCTAGTACTGAAGTACAATTAATAAAGTAATTATTACTCCTCTAGATTATTTTTTCTGAATTTGTATAGATATTAATACATAACATGTGTTATATATTGTTATACATGGATGTATTGTGAGGAGAGCCAGCTATGTCTCTTGCTGCTAAACACCAACAAATTTTATTTTTAATTTCCCTCTATGTTTTATAAAGGTAAAATATTAAAGGCTAATTTCAGTGTCATTACAAACTGTGTAATTTCACTATGGATTCTCATAATGACTACTGATACCATAGAAGTCTTCTTAAAAATTACAGGTTTGTAAGACTGCTAGGGTATATACTTCATTCTGTGCATGATTAATAAGAATAGTATAATAAGAATAGTATAATTCTTCAGCCTCCATAGAATCTATAATGGTGATTTTGGCACCATTAAACTTCAAATGAAATATTTCTAAAAATTATGGATAAAGGTATTTGTTTGGATGTGTAGGGGGAAGATGACGTGAAGCAGAAGTTATTGAGAAGGAATGATTACAAATATGTGGGTCAATCCAAGCATATGTTAGCTTATTTACTACAACACCTGCACACCTCACTAAAGAAAGAGTTTGCAAAAGGATATCAAGTCACTTGGAAAAATAATGATCTAACATTTAGCTCATGTGAAAGTAATTCTTTCATCTCATAGGACTTTAGGGAGAAAACACCAAAAGCTGTTTGTGGTTTGCTGTCCCCCAAATCAGGTTTTCTCTAATTTTGAAAATATTCTAGGATTCTGGCTTCACTTAAAAAATTAGGCACTTCCAACTGAAGGCTAAGAAACTTTGTTTTAGAAAAATGGGAAAACCTGGGCATTAACTGAATATCATTAAGGAACTTGATATTTTTCAGGGAATGATGTACCTGGAAGAAAGACGACTCGTTCATCGGGATTTGGCAGCCCGTAATGTCTTAGTGAAATCTCCAAACCATGTGAAAATCACAGATTTTGGGCTAGCCAGACTCTTGGAAGGAGATGAAAAAGAGTACAATGCTGATGGAGGAAAGGTGGGTATCTTTTTGAGAGCAATCTTGCTTGAAAATATAGTATAATATCCTTTTATCTCCTTATATTTTATACAAGAAACCAATAAGCCTGAAGCTTAGGAGATTATTAAGCCTTGGTTCTACCATTTGCCTCTTCTCCTGCCCCGGGTATATATATATGTGTGTGTATATATATATCATATACACACACATATATATATACCATATATTACCAGCTTCCGTTTCTCAAAAGTAGCTAAAATAAGATGATGCATGTCTGTACCCAGGTGACCTTCATGTTAGGTCCAGTGATGGAAAGTGGGTGGATCCTTAGGGCTTCTAGAAATTAAACTTTAACACATGGCTGTAGAAATTGTCCCACTGATCTAAAGACCGTAGCACTAACTCTTATAGAGAACATAGATTCTCTCTCATAGATTAGAGAAAAGTTTAGGTACTACAAAGAACCCTGAACAGAGCCACTGCCTCGTCTACCTTTTCTGACCCTCTAGTCTCAGCCTCTGCCTGACAATGGAGTTCCTGACTCTTTCACCCACTATATGGTTTCAATCCATGCCTTAGTCCCATGTCTTGTATTTCCTCATTAACCTTCTCTTTAGCTTGACTTTCTTGGCCAAACTATTAGGACTAGACTTCATATGGAGGTCCCTCTAGCTTCACCTAGTGAAACCTAAGGTCAGGCAGCCCAAATGAAATAAGCAAATGCAATCTTAGGCTATGGTGACCTATAAGCTTACACTAACAACAACAAAAAAAAACCCAGTTATTCTCATGTCATATAAATATATTTATTATATGCCTTATTTATCATATGGGCCATCCAAATATATATTATAAATATTTTGCAATGATAGGTTTCCAAATGCTTAACTTTATCACAAGGCAAAATAACACAAAAAATTTTAAAACTACCCTATTTTGCCTGTTTGTTTACTACCAAATTGCAGTAGTCTGAGACCACAGCATTGAAATTCACTCTAAGACTGCACAGAAGTTGAAGTCTATAAATCACATGGCTTCACTTGTCTTGAGAACATAAGATTTGAGACATAAGATTTGTCTAAAGCAAGATTCATTATAGCTTTAAATGCTTGGTAACTATTAAGTCTTTATCAAGCTACCTGTGATTTAAACTTACTTCTTTAACACAATGTCCGTAGTCCATAAAGTCTGCTAACTCCTTGCCCGTAGGGAAATTACTTTCAATGTGTCTTCTCTTCCCTTTCACTGAATACCATGATTCTGTCATAGAGTTACCTTGGTGTCACCTTGGTGAGCAGCCAACCTCATGATTTCAAAGGCCTATTTAGTTTTAAGCTTTCAACTGCAAAGTAGAAGTGTTTATCTTTATTCCATAGAATCTAATTATATTCCCAGCTATATAATGCTGCCCTTCATAGTTGAAACTCATTCTGCTGACCCATCATCAGCAGGATATGTGGGTTGAGATGTTTTTCTTGTAGTGATGATAGATTTGTGCTGATCCTTTCACATTCTTTTATATAGTTCCTATTTTGAAAATGGTACATATTTTCAATACTGGCTAACCAAGATGAGAGGGGTCATTTGAAGCTGGAAAACAAAGCAAGGCTAACTTTGGAATTCATGATTTTAGGCGTTTTAGTGGCCAAATTATATGAGAGGAGAAGGGAGGGGGCAAGTATAGAAAGAGTCCATTGTACTGGTGGCCCAAAATGTGTCTGAGGGTGAAAAGGGATAACTGAAAGTATAACAAATCTCATTTTTTGAGAAAAAACTATAAACACATTTTTAGAAGCATGTGTATTAGATGTTTAGATTTAATATTATAAATCATAATATTTACTAGCAACTTAATTACTGAATGTTAATTAAGAACTATAGAAAGTTATCCCCACTTAATTATTTTTACCTTTAATTGTTTATAAAGCTTTTTTTTTAAAAAAATAAGTATGACCAAGCAGGGTGGCTCACGTATGTAATCCCAGCATTTTGGGAGGTCAAAGCAGGCAGATCACTTGAGCTCAGGAGTTCTAGGCTAGCCTGGGCAACATGATGATCATCTCTAAAAAAATGCAAAAATTAGCCAGGCATGGTGGCGCACCCCTGTGGTCCCGGCTACTCAGAGGCTAAGGTGGGAGGATCACTTGAGCCTGGTAGGCAGAGATTGCAGTGAGCTGAGATTGTGCCATTGCACTCTAGCCTGGGTGACAGAGTGAGACCCTGTCTCAAAAAATAAATAAAATAAAAAATGAATAAGTATAGTACATCTTTAGATTAATTCACTTTATGTATTTTATAAATTAACATATATTTATAGTTATAGTCATAAATTAACATATATTTATAGTTATAGTTATATCTATACACACATAATAAAAAAATATGATTAAGGCCAGCCCAAAGACTCACATTTAGGAAATACATATAGAAATGAATTTTTAATGTAATTTTAAAACTTTTACTTCTTACTTCTCTATAGATGCCAATTAAATGGATGGCTCTGGAGTGTATACATTACAGGAAATTCACCCATCAGAGTGACGTTTGGAGCTATGGTAAATAAATCTTCTTTGCGAATTAAAGCTTGTAAAGCAAAAATACATATGTTAAGTTCATGTGAAATATCTTAAGCTAAATTATTTTGTTGTGTTATAAATACCTATTGATAAGCCTAATTTCCTAAAGCAGTTAACTCTTTGCTTTCTCAATGAAAAAAAAATATTTTATTTTATTTTATTTTATTTTATTTTAAGTTCTGCGATACACATGCAGAACCTGCAGGTTTGTTGCGTAGGTATACATGTGGCATGGTGGTTTGCTGTACCTATCAACCCGTCATCTAGGTTTTAAGCCCTGCATGCATTAGGTATTTGTCCTAATGCTCTCCCTCCCCTTGCCCTCCATCCACCGACAGGCCCCGATGTGTGATGTTCTCCTCCCTGTGTCCATGTGTTCCCATTGAAGAGCAACAAAATATTCTAAATAGCATTGCTATCTGCCTTTTTCTGTTTTTTTTTTTTTCCTGGTTTATTACAATGTAATATACTAATATTTCTGCTAAGATGTTTTCCATAAGCTGTGGTTTTGTAGGAACTTGCCTGATCATTTTGACAGAAAAAAAAAAAATCAGCCAATTTTAGTTTAGGGACAATTTCATAGAATTTCATGGTGTTAATTTTAAGCAACTTTCAAAAACATAACTCTGAATACAATAAATATTCAAACAAAAACAAAACCAACTTTTTTGTGGGTTTCTTGCATGTAAGAATTTATGTTCTATAGTAGAAAACAGATTATTGTCATAACAAAGAAAAATTACTGACAGCAGTAAGTTAGAGCAATGAACATGGTAAAAGAGAAGATTGCTAATTACAACATTAATTTTAATTTACAAACTACTTGTGGAGTTACAGAAATATTACAGAGTGAATAATATGAACTGGAAAAGAGTGACATTTATAATTAGAACATTTATTTTATTGTGTTTAACTTAATTGTTAAGATGAGCTATTTAGCATCTGTCTGGCTACTTAAAATTTAAGTAAGTCCGGTAATACCAAGAAGGAGTCAATACGTTTCTAAGTTTAAATATATCATATAAAATTAGCATTTCTTACAAATAAAAAGCATAATGCCCACTTAAATAAAAGGGTGGTGGTGAGATTTAAATGTATGGTACAATTTATGTTACTCAAACTTAAGCTTAAAAAAAAGTTTTACCTTTTTTGCATTGTTGGAAAAAAAAAGATATAAACCATTCAATCACTGAAGAACTTACAATTCTTATCTAGGAAAAAATTAACTATCTTTAAAAAAGTATTTAAGACATTTCAATCAAGTGGGTTATTCCTTCCACATATGTATTCCATAGGAGGTGGTAAAATTTTCATGAAGGTTTCATGTGTTTATTTTACTCAGCTTAGAAATAGAAAATGTCGTGTGTCTGAGGTATAGACAAATGTAGTGGAAATGCTTGACAAAACTTACTTGCTAAACTATTGTAAGAAGTGTATAGAAAAACATCTATTGCATGTATTCTGTGATAACTTTATATATTATATGATACAGATTAGCATGTAGATTAGCATTTATACATTACATGATATAGATAGGTTTATAGAATATATATTATGTCAGATTTATATATTATATCATATAGTATATTTTATATATGTATATACTTTTTTCTTTTTCTTTCTACTTACAGTTCCCTGAATCAAATATGGCAGTCTCCTGAAGGCAAATTTAAATTAGCTCAAGATATATAGGCAGTCTCCTGAAGGCAAATTTAAATTAGCTCAAGATATATATAAACTGGGCAGAACAGTCATATTTTTAATAGTAAAATTTGTCTTTTGGGGAAAATCTTGTTACTCAGGGTGTAACATTTTTCTTCATGTTGAGTTGCAAAATCCCAGGAACTGTTCAGCAAAAATAAATAAATAGATAGGTAGTACTCTGTTTTGAAACACAGCCCAGGTCATCAACCCATATTCATAAGGCATTTAAAAAATGTTGTGATATATCATAGTTGATTGCAAAAGGCGTTAAAGGCAGATAAAGTTGCATAACCTTGTTTACAGTGCACCTTTATGGAAAATTCTCACTAGGTGCATTTTTATTTTTACAAAATAAGCACTGGCTGTGATATACATCTTAAGATAAAGGAATTGCAAGTAAAATTCGAGGATGTTTTGTTTTAGCTTTCCTGACATTGTTCTTTTGCTTGAAACCATCCTTTTCTAACCCTATCTTGTCATCACCTTTACAAGGATATAATTGGATTATTATCAGAAGAAGTAGAGTTTTTTATATTTTGGCTTTTGTTTTTGTATTTTATATTTTCTATTATTTTGATTTACAGTTGCTTTGTATCTTGCTTATGTTGGGAGTTCTGCTAGAAATGTGAGAGTATCTACTCTATCTTTTATAACTACCTACCTAAGTTAATAAAGTGTTCTCCTTAAATATATATTCTAGGCCCCGCACGGTGTCTCGTGCTTGTAATCCTAGCATTTAGGGAGGCCGATGTGGGCAGATGGCTCAAACCCAGGAGTTTGAGACCAGCCTGGGCAACATGCTGAAACCCTTTATCTACTAAAAAATACGAAAATCAGCCAGGCATGGTGGCTCATGCCTGTAGTCCCAGCTACTCAGGAAGCTGAGGTGAAAAGATCATGTGAGCCTGGGGAAGTTGAGGGTGCAGTGAGCTGTGATCATGCCTCTTCATTCCATTCTGAGTGACAGATTGAGACCCTGTCTAAAATACAAAATAGATAATTCTAAAATATAAACTATTCTAAATATAAAATATTCTAAAATATAAAACATATATATATATTCTGTAAGTATGACTATCTAGAGATGAACAGTCATCCACTTAACTTGTTGCAGCCTGCCTCATAGAAAATTTTTATGATAGATTTTAGGAGCTTCTCCTTAATATACAAAATTAAAGATGTAATAACAATCAGTCAATTAAATTGTCACTAGGTACATGTTAACAATATACCTAAAATCCTAAGATGTAAATATTAACCAAAAAAATCAGGTAATAGTTAATATTCTATTAGAAAGAATAATTTTAAATTCCACATAGTTTTATATTTTAAGCTTTGTATTTTTGTTATCAGTCAATGATAACTGTTATAAACTAAAAAATACTTCAGCCTGAGTAAATAATTCATTACAGATGGCAATAGGAAAGAAAACATAGCTCTAATTAATGGATTTTATACTGAAAGATGACTGTATATACACATCAATCAAAATTCACTTTGTAATATTATTGTGCCCAGCTAGCCATGTCTGAACTTAAAAATCTTTATCCCTAAGAAAATATTATCTTAAATTATATAATCATTACATTACAAAAAAGATATTTAGTGTATATATTATTGCTCAAATCAGAACCATCATTATCACCAAAACTGGCTGTTTGCATGCTACCATTTAGGGTATTTGCTTTTGCAGAGAAAATCAATGTCCCAGTGATTCAAGAAAGCCATTTTATTACCTAAAAAATAAACTACTTTCTATCCCCTTCACAATTTTGTTGGTGACTACTTCACATGTACTATATATTACGTATGGAACATTCCTCTCTCAGGCTCTCATATGTGCTAAAGAAGTCTATGTTTTATTCAACTGTTTTCTTTGTGTAAGTTAGAGAGAGTCACAATTCTTTATTGTAACATAAGGTAATTATTCTGGAAGCCTTTTATAGCAAAGATGCTGATCTTAAAATTAGTCAATATCTTATTTTACTGGCAAAAGCATATTTATTGGTACTGAATACATATGTATATATAGTAGATGAATTGTTTTATGGACTGTAACGTGGTATAACTTGGATCAGCAAACATTAGTGTTACCTATAGGCAGAAATGGGGAACAGATTCTATATGCTGACATCCACTGTAAATTGTCTCTTCTATCCATTAGAAATTCCAAGACAATAATAAGAAAATTGAATTCCCCCACAAAGATTTTGACATTGGGGTTCTCATAATGGATGCAGGAATTTATGGAGCTTTTTTTTTTTTAATTGATTGGTGTTTGGATTGACCTGTAAGGAGTATTCTTTTACTACTGGTATAGTGCTGGTTTGTTCAACATATGTTGTTAATATGCTTAAGTAAGAATTTTTTCTCCAATATAGGAGTTACTATATGGGAACTGATGACCTTTGGAGGAAAACCCTATGATGGAATTCCAACGCGAGAAATCCCTGATTTATTAGAGAAAGGAGAACGTTTGCCTCAGCCTCCCATCTGCACTATTGACGTTTACATGGTCATGGTCAAATGTAAGACTGCAAAATAATGTTATCACCATCATCATTCTTAGTAAAGTAATAGCAGAGATTACTCAATCTGTACAACATTTCTCTGTATTGAAAAATACGACAGTTCAAAAACAATTATGAAAGGAACATATGAACGCCTCTTTGTTGTGACTATTATTAATATAAAGTAATACTCTTCCATGCTATGAAGTCAAAATTATGACTCTTTTATTCTTATAATCTCCATGACAGTCAAATTGCCTGTCGTAAAGAGAGGTAATTAGTCACAATAATGTTATTACTAACATTACTAACATGAATGTTAGTAATAACATTAGTGACCTTTATGGGAAAATATCAAACATTAGTGACCTTTATGGGAAAATATCAGGCTACATAAATGATCTAAACATGAAGGAAAAAAGCTTGAAACTGACAGTTTTAAAAATTAATTTAATAGAAATAGGTCTACTGGTTTTAGTCAGGAGCAAATTAGCAGGACAAGGTGGGAAGTGGGAAGAAATGAATCTATAGTGAGCTAAAAAGATTATAAATGTTTACTTTTTTCAATTTGATCATTTGTTTACATCAAACTCTTACTTTTCTTTTTTCTTCCTATGTCCCAGACACATATGTATTATAAATGTGTTTTTGAAGCACAGGCCCTTAATTTAAATAGAATTGAGGAAGTCTCTGGAGTTTCTGGCTTAATTTAAGTGAGATTAACATGCAGCAATCTCTCTTGTATAATCTAAGGCTTTCCCCTTCTGATTTACACGGGGTTAGCAAAGAAACAAACTTGTGAAGGTGAATAAGCATCTTATTAATAAGAGACTTTGGACCCAGGTCTACTCAGATTTATATTCATGACATGTGTGATACATTCTGACAGTGAGGGAGGAAATAAAAAATGTTCTTTGCAGTTCAGGTCAGCCTGCCCTTTTCACTAAGCATAGTTCTATTTACTCAATATTTAGTTGGAAAGAAACCGATACCTCAACTGTGGTTAACCTTTTTTGGCTTCAATAGTTTCAGAAACACCTGTTTTCTCATTAGCATCTTGGCATTAGCAAGCATTTTTTCAAATGAATGCATATAGAATACAGAGCATTTGAGCTTTGTTTGGGGAGAAAAAAAGCAGATGACATTAATGATACATAAAATGACACCCAAAAAATTCCCAGAATAGGAATAAAAACTGAACTCCCGGAAAAGGAAGGAACAAGCTTTACAGCCTTATTCTATTAAATATTGTTTGGTAGACATCTATGGAAGAAAGTTTAAAAACATGCATGTCTTATATAATTTAATCCTGTAACTAGCATAGGAAATGATTTAAACTCATCAGAATTTAGCTCTGATGAAATTAATTATGTAAAACCAAGAAAACACTTTCCCTAATGGAGAATTTTACCTTTCTTTCGGGGTTTTAATACCTAAGAAGAGGATAATTTGGCAAGAAAATCAAGGAAAGCTTGATACTTTTATTCTTGTCATCTCATTAGCTAAACAGAGCCTGTAGAGATAAGGTCTGCTTTATCTAGACTCCCAGCTAAATAAGAATACATACCTTGAAAATTGCTGATAGTATTTTTATACTAGACAAGCTAGTACTAAGATAAGCTAATGTCTATTGCTGAACAGGCATTACCAATCACTTTGCATTAGTTTTTTTTTTTTTTTTTTTGTCCACCAGGACAAATGTAGCACAAGAAAGTTGCTTTTAATTCCTCTTTTCCCGTTTGTGCCAGTGTAAGCATTGTAACCAAATCTTCTCTCCTATGTCACTCCTAATACAAAATAATAACTTATATTGCAGTCACGTCTATACACATCAGAGAAAAAATTTATCTTTTGTTTTACAGTACATTACATTTAGTTATGAATATCAACAAAGAGACCGATAAAGCCTTACCAATTGAGTCGTTTCTTTCACTAGCTTGCTTTCTTTCTCAGATCATTACGATTAAAACAACATTTTTCAAACTTTTGCTCATATTTTCACAAAATTTAAATTTCAACTCCTTTCTAGTTACGAATATAGTGACATTTTCACTGTGTAAATTTCCAGGTTGGATGATTGATGCTGACAGTAGACCTAAATTTAAGGAACTGGCTGCTGAGTTTTCAAGGATGGCTCGAGACCCTCAAAGATACCTAGTTATTCAGGTGAGTACATTTGACTTATGCCTTTAAGACTAGGCCAATGGCAAACTCACTGCAAAATGAGTAGTATCAGGACTTTGGAACTGTGGAAAGGACCACAAACATGTTGATTAATTAAGCAGAATTATCATGTGACATGACTTATGGAAAAGAGCTTTTTATTTCACGTCAGATCCACCTTTTAGCACCTTCCCTTAGTATTCAAGTGGCTCTGCTACTGAACAGATAATTATGATTATACATATACATAAAGAGGTCTTAATCCTCAGACACTTATTTTAGCACCTTGATTTTATTAACATTATGTGTAAGTCATGTTCATTAGTATAATTTTCTTTTTTCGGAACAAAAGGAAGACAGATTTTTGTTTTAATCTTGCCCATGCTTGAAGACAGTGAATCAAAAGTTTCAGTATATTATTTAATTTCCCCAAAAATATTTTAAAATATGTTTTGTTTTATTTGGAGAGATATGCAGTATCTAAGCAATAACTCAATTCAAATGAATTGATGCACATTTTAATCAACCAACCAAAGAAATATTTTATATTTAACACTAGAAAAATAGATAGACTTGGATAATTAAAAAATAATAATATATTTCTCTAGGATTAATTTCACCTAAACTCTAAACAAATGGGCCTTGGACTAGAGTGTATTATGTTTCCTCAGTAAAGCAAGGTAGCCTTTATTTTCATATCGACAGTCTGACATAAAGATAAAAGCTAGGTTTTAGAAGATACTTATTTCCATTTATTTTTTCCCCAAAATTAGTTTTCATGAACTGAAATTGTTTCCAAAAATTATGTAACTTTAAAAATATAGGAAAAATACTTAAGAAATAGACGAGGTGAGGAAGAGCATAACAAAGGTTTTGGTGTCTTTCTCATACTCCTTTACTCTATTTGCCACTTGCACTGTGAGTTTTGAATGCCCCTACTTTGATAATGCAGTCAGTATGCTATAGAATAAAGTATAGACCCTATGGTCCTGATAATCCTACAGCATCAAACCAACCAAATAAACGTTGATAAATTGATCACCTTTTATTGTTTATTCTTAAAGTTGCAACCCATACACTATCTGGGCAATGAACAATTATTTTCAGACCTGAAATTGATTTTACCTCCCTAAAAACATCTTTTGATTTTGCTTTATTATTCTCTAATGGCATTTATCATATTCTCCTTGTATAAAGTTTGTTTACCTGGCCCTATCATTTCTAAGCATGTTATAGGTTTCTTAATGGCCGGTGGTTGTGCTAAAGACTTGTTTTTTTAAAATGTGTGTATGAATTTTTCAACCATTTGTTATGATATTACATAAATTTATTGCAGAGACCACATATTTAAGATAAGAAAGAATCATATTTGTGTCTGATGGGCAATCTTTCTTTTAGGGTGATGATCGTATGAAGCTTCCCAGTCCAAATGACAGCAAGTTCTTTCAGAATCTCTTGGATGAAGAGGATTTGGAAGATATGATGGATGCTGAGGAGTACTTGGTCCCTCAGGCTTTCAACATCCCACCTCCCATCTATACTTCCAGAGCAAGAATTGACTCGAATAGGGTAAGAAATAATTATATACACATATCATATTCTTTCTGAGATATAAAATCATGTAATAGTTCATAAGCACTAACATTTCAAAATAATTATATAGCTCAAATCAATGTGATGCCTAGATTAAAAATATACCATACCCACAAAAGATGTGCCAATCTTGCTATATGTAGTTAATTTTGGAAGACAAGCATGGACAATACAACATGTACTCTGAAATACCTTCAAGATTTCAGAAGCAAAACATTTTCCTCATCTTAATTTATTTAAAACAAATCTTAACTTTAAAAAACAATTCCAACTAATAAAACCATTATGTGTATATAAATAAATGAAAATTCCTACCAAGTAGGCTTTCTACTTTTCTTTCTTAAAAAGATATTATGATATATTAGTCAAGAAGTAATACAAGTATAAATCTCTTTCACTTATTTAAGAAAAATTAAATATTTTCTGTCAAGTTGAAGTAGAAACACAGAAAACCGTGCAGTCCTTTGAACCTAATCACATCGAAAAGGCTGCTGAGAAGTAGATTTTTGTTTTTAAGAAGTAGATTTAAGTTTTGAAGGAAGTTTCTGAAAACACTTTACATTTTAAATGTTAAACCTACTCTATATGAATTCCATTCTTTCTTTGAAAGCTGTCAAATCCATGCATTTATTTTTATAAATTCATTCCTCATACATTCAACATATATTGAGTACCACTGTATGTGAAGCATTAGTATACATTTAAGACTCAAAGAATTTTGATACAACTTCTGCTTTCAAGAAGTGAAAACCTTAATCAAAGAATCATACAGATAGAGGGACTGCATAGTAAGTGCTGTAATCCAGTATTCACTGACCAGTACGGAGCATGAAGAAGTAGTAAATTTGTGTCTGTAATCAGTTTCTTCCATTGATAAGATATAAACATGATGCTTAATTTTTTCTAGAAGATAATTCTTTTCTCTTAATCTAAGAACATTATCATAGCTAGTAGAACCGACAGCATCCGATTTCTCTTGACCATAGCCATAAGAATATTTTCAACTTGCTGCTCATTATCTAACAAACATAATTTTCTTTATTTCATATTGATTGTAATAAGTAATATTCCCCTGGTGTTTACTATTCAACACATATATGTTAACCTCCTTAATCCTTAAACAAACTTCATGAGGTTCTATTATTATCATCCCCTTCTTTCAAAGGAAGAAACTTGCCACAGAGAAGTCAGGTGATATGACTGGTGTCACACAGCTAGTCAGTGGAAGAGAGGAATAATGTAATCTAGATATCTGCCTACTACACTGTAGGTTTGCTTCAAAGTTACTGAAGCATGTTATTTCCATGATGTGATTAGAGTCTGGGACTTGTCTTGTTTGGGAAATTTCCCAGGTGGTTTTCTTATAAAATGCATCTCAAATCTGCTCTACACCTTTTACTCATCTACCTCCATTTAGAAGATCTGATATGGAAAGAGACAAAGATGGAGACCTCAATTATTTTTTCTTTTCTGTTAAAAAATATTATAGTACAAACTGAAAACTTTATCACATGCCCAATGGGGAATAGATAACTAAAAGTTTTAAAAATTAGATCAATGGATAGGTAATGAATAATCAGTCTTTTGCTTGTGAGAGGGGAAGAAAGCGGTTAAGGTGTATAAAGGAGGCTCTCTGTACACTTTGCAAAATGATCAAATTATATACCCTTGTATTTATAATTTTAAGTGACAAATTCATTACTTCTGGTTACAACAGTGAAATTTAAAAAAAAATAGTTTTTCTTTCTTAGCTTGCAATGCTATAAATCTTTTTCTTTTTATAAGAATTCTTACATTTCAGCTTTTTGTTCATTTTAATTTATAATTCTCAGTGCAAGAAATTCTTAATAAAGGTTTGAGCTAGCTAGATGGAATTATTGAGACAAAGTCTAAATCACCCGTGGACTTATTTGACCTTTAGCCATCATTTCTTATTCCACATTATAAAACAATGTTACCTGTAGATTTCTTTTTACTTTTTCAGTCCTTGGAAAAGAAATGGTGATTAAATATCATTGTATCATTTTATGTTCAGGCATTTAAAAAGCTTTATTTGTCATCTATATTGTCCTAATAGTTTTCAGTCTGGCTTTACGTAACTTTTACGGAAATTTCTAACATGTACAAATGCCATGTTCCTCCTTTCTTTCCTACATGGCTGAATTAGAAAACAAATTACTTCCATTTTAAGTTTGGCTAAATTAGAAAACAAATTACTACCATTTTAAGTTTGGTGGCTAAATAACGTGCTAAGGGAACATCTTAAAAGTGAATTTTGATCAAATATTTCTTAAGCATATGTGATAGACTTTGAAACCAAAAAAAAAAAAAATAATGCATTTTGAAAATATAGGCTCCACTGCGCACTAATTAAGAAACTTTAGGTAATGTTCTGAATATCTCTATGACTTTGTTTCCTCATTTTCTAAATGCTATATTGCCTATCTTATATGAGTGTTAGGCAATTAACTTTAAAAAATTGCAGAGTATTTATAATGCCAGGTAAACAAATTTTATTACTCTACTTTTAGAATCATCAATTTCACTTTTCATTTTTACCATTTCCATTTTTACCTTTTTCCTTGTCAATATCATATATCATAAATAATCACACTTTCTTATAAGGTGCTCTACCCACTATCTATGAAAAGCTTGTTGATGCAATTACTGCTTGGCCAGCAAATTATTTCTGCTGATGTGTTCTAATATCAAATAAAGACAGAAGTAATTTTTTATAGTGCTTTTGATTTTTTCAATTCCACAAATATTTTGATAAATTACAACTTTAAAGCAATGAATCAATTCAAAATACAATGTTTATATTTGTCCAGAAAGTTGATGAATACAAATTTAAGTCATGCTAGAAAACACTTACCTAATTTACAGCTGCTGTTACTATTGTTAGATATACTTTTAATATTACCTTAAAATTTTTTCTTTTTTGAGACAGGATCTCACTCTGTCACCCAGGCTGGAGTGCAGTAGCACGATCTTGGCTCAGTGCAACCTCCACATGCCAAGCTCAGGAGATCCTCCCATCTCTGCCTCCAGAGTAGCACCACAGGTGCATGCCACCCTGCCCAGCTAATTTTTTTTTATATTTTTTTGTAGAGACAGGGTTTCCTTATGTTGCCAAGGCTACTCTTGAACTCCAGAGCTCAAGCAATCCACCCACCGTGGCCTCCCAAAGTGCTGAGATTACAAGTGTGAGCCACCATGCCTGGCCTCAAATCTTTTTAAGCAATAATACACCAAAAGCTATTTTACTCTAGCGTGATGTAAAAATAGGAGAAAATGAGAAGCTATTTAACTTCTGCAAACCGTGCTCTATATCTGTAAAATGGGGATTTAAAAATTTTCTCACGGAATATTATGAAGATTACCTTTTTAGTGTATGCATGCACGTTACCTATTAATGGACCTGGAATAGATGCTCCAATAGTGTGGAAATAAATGAATATTAACCAAACGAAAAAAGCAAAGAGTATTTATTCAGAGACTGCTATAGCAAGAAAGTCAGCTCCATCAGTTACATTTTGGCAGAGACTTAAAGGCCCGCAGAGGAGTGGGAAAGCTGTGTAGGGTTAAAAAAAAAAAAAAAAAGGGAAGGCTTCATCTATGCCCTCATTAGAGACTGTTGGCCTGGGGAAGCTATAGGCAGGATAACTAGAAGCCATTGGTTAGAGGTGCATGTTTGACTTTTTTCTGTTGGTCTGAAGTTGGAAGCAAGGACAAAAATTAGGAAAGCTGCCAGTTATTAATCAATTCTGGTCATTTGGAGCTGATTGTTATACAAGTAATTGTGTAGCTTCCTGGGTTGTTACTAGAGATAGCAATCTGACTTCCTGCAAATCTGATTTACAAAAGGCTGGTTTGCTGGGCTGTTTATTGTAGATAAGGAGGTTTGCTTCCCAATTTGTTTCTATTTTTACATATGGTCAGGCCATTGTCCCTTTGTATATTCAGTCTATTGGATTTAGTTTCCATTGCGGCCTTCTTTTCTCTAGATATTTAAACACATGCTGCCTAATATTTTCGATTACATGTTCAGCATAATTTAAAAATTCTCCATAGGTTTTTTTTCTTTCTTTTTTGTTACAATGGCTAAGTTTGGTCTTTTGAGTTACCTAGAATTATATTTTTTTGATATAATAAATTGTATATTAAATGAAATAGCAATGAATAAAAATAGTGAATAAACTGATGTGGCTGAAGATATTTTAGCTTTAATGATATTAGAAAATTTAATTTAATGTAAAAGCTTCCATGTATTTTTATAGAGGAAGACATAGTTTCAATTGCAAGCCCATCCAGTCATTTGTAAGCAATAGTTTTAAGATTAAATGCTCCTCTGTCAAAACATATCAGCTAACTCTTAATTATCTCAGCCAGTGGAAGACAGAGAAATTGTAGCTACTCCACATTAGTGAAGTGAGTAACCCGCAATGGATTTATCATCACAATGTAACTTCTTTTTCCCTTCTTTTCTATCTGCTAAGAAGTAACTTTATTAAATAGATTTATTTGCATTTTCCTCTTCCTCTTACACGCTTTCTCCCAGAATAGATATATAAATAAACTGAAAAATAAAATGTAAGCAGAAGTGAAGAAGAATGAAGAAAATTAAAGAAGTTTGGTATCTCAAAAATTTGATCAATTTCTAAGTCATTGAATGTAAGTTGAGTATCTTGACTGCTAAAAATATGATTCTCTCTACTTTATTTTACACCATATCACTTTGCTCTCAGATTAGATTTCATAACTTTAATATAGATATTTATTTTTATAAGGTTACCACACACACTGTAATTAACCATGAGATTTTTATAAATTTAGCCCCAACTCCTGCATAAAAAGAAAGAAATGCAAGCAAATCTTTGGTCTCTCCTGTAAGATTTATTATATTTTGCTATGTTTCCTTATGATGCATAAACCAGTAGAAGTTTGAGCAAAATGATAATGCAGACACAATGATGTCATTCTCAATAATGACATTCAGGCCGGGCGCGGTGGCTCACGCCTGTAATCCCAGCACTTTGGGAGGCAGAGGCGGGCGGATCATGAGGTCAGGAGATCGAGACCATCCTGGCTAACGCGGTGAAACCCCGCCTCTACTAAAAAAAATACAAAAAATTAGCCGGGCGTGGTGGCGGGCGCCTGTGGTCCCGGCTACTCGGGAGGCTGAGGCAGGAGAATGGCGTGAACCCGGGAGGCGGAGCTTGCAGTGAGCCGAGGTCGCGCCACTGCACTCCAGCCTGGGCGACAGAGCGAGACTCCGTCTCAAAAAAAAAAAAAAAAAAAAAAAAAAAGAAAATGTAAGTTTCAATGGGATTTGCCTTAGTATTTCAATAAATCAAAATCCTGTCCCTTTATGAAATAATAAAAATAGTAATAATAATAATAATATCAGCTAAAACTTACTGAATGCTCACTATAACCCAAGTACTATGCTAAGTGATTTAAATTAAATATCTCACTTTTATTTCACAAAGCCCTAGGAGGTAACTACTACTGCCAGTCCAATTTTAAGAGTTTAAAAAAATAATTGAGCTATGGACAGTTTACGTAACTTACAAATGATAAGAAAAAGAGCTAGAAATCGAGTCTGGATTTCAGTTGTCCCACACAAAGGCCATATTTCTAAGCTAACAGAGGGGATGGAGGAGGGAGACTTCTCATTTCAAGTTGCTGTTAAACATCTTGCTACTGAAGGACCCTAAAACTTTTCATTCACTTTACGGTAATCTGGATAAAAAAACTAAACTGAAAGTCAGAAATCTCACATTCTGGAACCAAATCGATGAAGCTTTAACCTTAGTTATGTTTTAAAATATTGCCTGATTATATCTCATGCATTAAAATTGTATTTTCTTTCTTTTCTTCTTTTCTTTTCTTTTTTTTTTTTTTTTTTTTTTTAATTGAGACTGTGTCTTGGCTCTGTCACCCAGGCTGGAGTGCAGTGACGCAATCTCAGCTTACCGCAACCTCTGCCTCCCAGGTTCAAGCAATCCTCCTGCCTTAGCCTCCCAAGTAGCTGGAACTAAGGCATGCACCACCATGCCTGGCTAATTTTTGTATTTTTAGTAGAGACAGGGTTTCACCTGTTGGCCAGGCTGGTCTCGAATTTCTGACCTCAAGTGATTCGCCCGCCTCAGCCTCCCAAAGTGTTGAGATATAGGCGTGAGCCACCACGCCAGGTCACGCTGTATTTTCTTCTAAGAAACATTTCATCAGAAAATGATCAAAAACATTTTGGCCTACCTCTGATAGAGGTAGGAGGCAGACAAAGGCCTAGGCAGATAGGGAAGGGTCCCCAGAGAGTCTCCAACTCGCCCCCACAAGTGTTTACACCAGATATTTTGTGCAGATAAGGAAGCCTGCATGGGGTGCTTGCCTGGGCGTGCCCGCAGTGGACTGGAAGCCCACATGCACTGGGGGAATGGGGTGGAACCACCAGGAATTTGCGCCTTATCCAGGGGAGGAGCCTGGCCTCTTTATCTCGTGTGTGGTGGTGCTAGTATTCAATTTGAGGGAGGTGGAAAGCTGCTTGCAGGACCCCCTCTCTTTGCTGAGAGCTTTCTTTTTCACTTAATACATTCCACCTTCCTCACCCTTCAATGTGTCCGCATGCCTAATTCTTCATGGTCGTCAAACAAAAACCCAGATTAGCTGAGCTAAGGAGCAAAAAAAATCCTGCATCGCCTCTATGCATAACTTTTTTCCTTATGTGATTGAACATAGAAGAGAAAACCCTATGGACACAAGTTAAGGAAGTATCTCATAGCTAAATGATATAGTGCGAGAATTTTGTGATGATATGACAAGGTTACTGTGGTTGCAATTTACCAAGGATCAACATCACTTCTAACAACGGCTGCTACTTGATGATAAATGATTGTAGTCTCAGGATATTGGCTTGACATGGTGGTATCTTTGACATGATGCTTGAGGGTTTTTGTTTATTTGTTTGTTTTTATTAAGACAAAAGAAGGGGCTCTTCTTCTTAAGATCCTCCCTATGACAAGGGCTTTTGTTTGTTTTTGGTTTTTTTATTTTTTTTTTTATCAATGTGTGTGTGTGTGTGTGTGTGTGTGTGTGTGTGTGTGTTTTTAAGACAGGGTCTCTCTCTGTCCCCAAGCCAGAGTGCAGTGGCACAATCATTCATGGTTCACTGCAGTCTTGACCTCCTGGGCTCAAGTGATCCTTCTGCCTCAGCCTCCTGAATAGCTAAGACTATAGTTGTGTACTGCCATGCCCGGGTAATTTAAAAAAACATTTTTTTGTGTGAAGACATGGTCTCACTGTGTTGTCCAAGATGGTCTCAAACTCCTGGCCTCAAGCAATCCTCCCTCCTTGGCCTCCCAAAGCACTAGGATTACAAGCGTGAGCCACAGCACTGGGCCTAAGTAGAAATTTTTTAAATTGTTCAATTTCTTTTCTTTCTTTCTTTCTTTTTTTTTTTTTTTGAGACAGTCCCACTCTGTTGCCAGGCTGGAGTGCAGTGGAGCGATCTCGGCTCATTGCAATCTCCACTTCCCAGGTTCAAGCGATTCTCCTGCCTCAGCCTCCTGAGTAGCTGGGATTACAGGCACACGCCACCACACTCGGCTAATTTTTGTATTTTTAGTAGAGACAGGGTTTCACCATGTTGGCCAGGATGGTCTGGATCTCCTGACCTCGTCATCCACCCCTCTCAGCCTCCCAAAGTGCTAGGATTACAGACGTGAGCCACCATGCCTGGCCAAATTGTTCAATTTCTTATAATGAAAGAGTAAATGAATTAATATATTGAATGTTTATCATAGGCTAGGTACTGTGTTGGGCAATGAGAGTACAAAGTTGGAAGACAGAGGTCCTGCCATCAAAGAGTTAATATTCTAGTTGAGGAGATAATATTCTGAGAGAGACATGCCAGGAATTATAGGAAAAAGACAAAGGAAGCTAAATCAGTTTAAGAGGTTATAAAAAGTCATTTTAAATGTATCTTTGTGGAGGCTGATTATCTAGCTTGGAATAGAAATCATTTTGGTGGAGCAGATGAGCAGATCTGAAATGGATCAGAAGAAAGGCAAAAACAAACAAACAAATAAAACCCCCCACCACAAACAAAGGTGAAGAAATGTGTTTTTGTTACTTTTTAATTTCTACTTTTTGTAATATTTCTATATTGCACATGCTTGAGAACTTTTATCAGGAGGTGAGATGGACTTTCTTCCAATTTTCTTTTTTTTCTGTCAATGTTAGGATGGCTTGAAACATGATTTTGAAATCTCTTGCTCCTCATTAAATTATTCAATTTAAAAACTTTTTTTTTTTCTCTTAGCCTTCCTGAAAAACAGCTCTCAAATTCCTATCTTCTGTTTCTGTTGTCTTGAATCTATTTCAGGCCCTCATCACTTCACAGAAGTTACTATAATATTACTCTAATCGAGATCCAATTAGTTTTATTTTTTATTTTTTGGAAAATAGGCTCAATTTCTAAATAATAGTGTTTACATTGTACCAAGTGAAATACAATATTAATTAATATTTCCATGCTTTATCATTTATTGGCACCAATTTTTATTTTTTGGCCTTCATCTATTTAGAGTACAGCTTTCTATTATTTCCATCAAGGGAAGAAACTGGAATGATGCATGTTTTAGTAGGTCTCTCTTCAAATGATATATAATCCTATTGTCACTAACAGTTGAAGGATTTTTGAACGTTTAGCCAAGGAAATGCCTTGGTCATTCCAGTTGACCAGTCACTGCAATTTATTTTCCACTCTTCTCCAACTCACACACACAAAACTGCCCAGAGCTGCAAGCATCATCCCAACATTGATCTCTTTCAAAATATAGATCATGTTGGTGCTTTCTGTTTGACTTTAGAGGTGTGGCTGGATAATTTGCATATTTTAAGAAAGAGCTCCTCTCCTTATGTATTATAGATTTGACTGTTGTTTTTAAATAAGGACATAATGTCAAATTGCATTCATTTGTCCTTCCAAGCTCTTGGAAATTACAGGGATATCAAAAATGGTTCTGACCCCTCTGATTTTCCACTAATTTGAGAAACCTTTCAAATACTTAATTTATATATAACAAAAATATCAAGGGACCTTTTTTTGCAATGTCTTTTCTACCAGTGACTTTCTTAAAATCTGGATATATTAGTTCAGTTATGCTATTCTTTGTAAGATTTACTTGTATTTAACACGGTACCTTAGGCTGGGCGTGGTGGCTCACGCCTGTAATCCCAGCACTTTGGGAGGCTGAGGTGGGTGGATCATGAGGTCAGGAGATGGAGACCATCCTGGCCAACATGGTGAAACCCCATCTCTACTAAAAGTACAAAAATTACCTGGGTGTAGCGGCGCATGCCTATAATCCCAGCTACTCAGGAGGCTGAGGCAAGAGGATCACTTGAACCCGGGAGGTGGAGGCTGCAGTGAGCCGAGATCACGCCACTGTACTTCAGCCTGGCAACAGAGCTAGACTCTGTCTCAAAATAAAACAAAACAAAATTAAATTTAAAAAACAAAGGTTTTTTTTACAAATTGTTATTGTTCTTTAATTTATCCCTGACTTCCTAAGGATTTTCATAGGGTTGGGTTATAATATCTTATTAAACTTAATGTCAAGCCTTCTATAGTACCAGCTCTGAATTCTAAATTCTTCATTTAGCCCTGTCTTTAGGAATTACAAACAAAATTGAACTATTTTCTCAATTTCTTTAGTAATAAAGAGGTAAGTTTTAATTTATCAAATTGTATCTCCAGGTATCATACAAATCACTTCTAGTAGATTTGAACTTTGTATAATGCCTCCTTGTTATGGTACAGTATGAATTCCTCTATAGTCACTGCTTTATTCTTCAGGGAATCTGCTTTTTCCATTGTTAAATAATTGCCTGTATCCCTTTCGACATTTTCTCTTGTAATAAATGTTAATCTTATTATTTTTCTCTTTAATATTTAAACAAAGTCTAGTCCTTTATGTGTGTCAAACTGAACACCAACCATTGGTATTATAAACCTATAAATGCATGTTTACACATGTGAAAGAGGTGAAATATTTCTCATAGCGTGGTAAATCACAATGATTTTACTCCTCACCCAAACTGAAGCAGCAGCCTGATATTTATAACTGACCTCCAATTCGGGAAAAGAGGAGAGATTGGCAATGTGTGTATATATATACATTTAAAACAAATACATTATTCATTGCGTATAAAGTCCCACACTCTCATTGACATGCAGACACCAGGCTCTCCTTACAATATGGACAACATAATTTAACATCCTTCCTTTGGCACTTGGTTTTCCTTCTTTTTCCCTAGCATGTATGTCCTTCTCTGAACATATGTTTCCACTAGATTTTCTCTGAATAGAAATACAACCAGTGTGGTTTGTCCTTGGCCTTAGTATATATAGATGAACTCTGAGTGAAGTGACTTGCTTCACTGAGATGCACTGTTGTAGTACGAGGTGGATGCATAAGTAACTATGTACTCGCGGAGTGTCAGAGTTGCAAGGGACCTTAAAGACATTCTAGTGTAAACCCTTTCATCTTATATGTGTATACTGATACTGGAAAATATAAAACCTGTAGCCCAGTGTCCTTGTGCTTCTAAGGGGTATGTGAGAAGCTTCAGTTTCTCAAGTCTAACTCTAGTATTCAGACCTCTATTGCTCTATTGGTTCCCCCCACCCCTGGTCAAAACCATGAAAATCTTGATTTTGACTTTAAGTTTAGTGAGATTTAGTATCAATTGGCTTAAAAGGATCTTACTGGGAGCACAGTGAGAAGCCAGAGCCCCTGCTCGATTTATGCCTCTGTGAGACTCCCTGTAATCAAGAGTTAATGATTAGGAGGAACAAATGGAATTGATAGAGCCAAAATCAGAGCAAAAAAGCAGGGAGAACAATGTCTGTATCGGGACTCAGTCATTACCTACTTGAAGATAAAATGATCCTTACAAGTTAAACAAATGTTTCAAAATTCTCAAACACAAACCTAAATATAGCTACCATTTATTGATCACATATTCATGTATTAGGCTCTGCTTGGAGCTTTTTTACATTTATTACCCTTAACCTTCATAACAAGGGTAACTGAAAAGCATTATTATGGCCATTTTACAAAGGCAAAAATGAAGCAGAGAGGCAAAGTATTTTTGCTGAGACTTCCAGGTTACATGGTAAAAAGTAAGGTTTTTTTACTGATTTGTCTATGCTTTCAACTCTCACCCGTCATTTGGTTAAAAATATATATATAATAATCTTCAATAAATAGCAATTAAATAAAATATAAGCCTAATAATCATTCAAATGGAGTTCATTAAAAGATGGAAGAGATGGTACAGACTTCTACTTTATTTATTTTGTTTTTTAAATATTGGGGACAAATTTTATGAAGCCTTTTTCGTTTTACTCTAGACTACGAAGTACTATTTTGAAAAATATCCTGTCCCCTTTACATCCTCGGAGTTTGCTACAAGCAGTGTAATTCAAATCAGTGAATCACTTTTATTCTTGTGACATTCACAAAAATAAGTGACAGCTGAACAGTGCTTAAAAGTTTGCAAAGCATTTTGGCATCTGTGGCATTTTATTTTTACACCAGAATCCCAATTATACAGAACACTAAATTCTTGGCCTATTAAATAACTCAGTAACTTGGTTAAGAGCTTGGCAAATACCAGACGAGTGTCAGGTCTTCCGGCTCCAAAGAGAATGACCTATCTAGTAAATAATGATTCACCTGAAAGAACAACTTGTGCTTATTGTTTGTAGCTTCTTATCAGCACTAGACTTGGCTGCTGCCAAACATGTTTCTACAACACTAAGACAATGCGTGTCTTAGAAACACTGCTTGTTTAAGGAGAGTCTGGCGCTAAAGAATGTTTCAGAGATCTTTATGAAATTATTTTACACTTGAGCAACTATCAGCTGGCACGAGAAGCCTTTCTGAACAGTTGAAATAGGCTTCATCCACTCTTTGTTAAAAAGTGCTAAAGAGGAAAATCAGAGCTGGAAAAGGACACAAAGAGGTGGGAGGGACAACTAGAGAGGATCCTTAGATTGAGAATGTTAATGAATGTTTTATCTAAATCATTTAGATGGTTAATTTTTAGTATTACTGCTACAAGATTCGCAGCTCTGCTGTAAATTACTGGGAAAATCTCATCAAGAAGCCTATTCTTTACTGTACTCGACCTAGAAAGGACAATTGTGAGTTTCTTTACCCTTTATATAATAGAAGTGGCACATTATCATCAACTTTCTATTCAAATTTTTTGGAAGTTATTTAATTTATGTATGTATGTATTTATTTATTTATTTTACAAATCCATCTTTGTCTGCCAGAGCTCCCTGTTCAGGCCAGCCTGCTATGATGATTGCTTCTGCAAAGGCTTGAGAGAGAGAGATGCTCTATTTTATTCTCAATAAGGACTGATGGCATTTTGAGAGGCTCAGAATATCCTTTGATTACTCCATGAAACAGAATGGAGAAGATGGTTGTGGATAGTAGGGGGTGGGCCGGCTCATCAGCTTTCCTTTGTGCACTTTCTGCAGTTGAACATATCCTAATCACAAGGATCTTGTGTTTCAGTCCCTTTCCTCGCTCACCTGCCCAAATGAAAAGTTCTCTTTTCAGTTCAGAATTCTGACATAGCAGCGTGTTCTAAAGAGAGGCTAATTTGTGTTCTGTCGTTTTTATTCAGACATTGTAAATGAATGGCTGTGGACCAGCCTCTCATTACACTTGAGCAAAAGCTGAATTGAGAGATGGGTAGACCACCGTGGGAAAAATTCCAAATACTATGACTATATCTCTTGCAGCAAAATATGCTACATTATGATGAAAGAAGTACAGTAAATCAAAAAGGGAAAGAAATTGGAAGTTTAATCTACAACCAATTTAGTTTGCTTTTTCCAACAATAATCATAGACAATTGTTTAGCAACATTCATACTTAATTGTTTCCCTCCCTGGGAAGAAAAAAAAAATAGTGTTTATAATTCCTAGCGTATGGAGATGTTGAGGTATACATAATTCATATTCATTTGGAGCCTACTACAGTCTCTTCTTAGTTAGAGTCCGGTATTGTAGTTATGTGTTAGAGAGACCAGGCTACAGGATATTCTTGGGTCGAAATGACTAAATGCATTCTTTTGTGTCTAGTAATTACATATAAGTGTATTAAATTCCTCAAAGAGTAAATAATAATAGGTGATACCTGTTATCACTTATCTTTTGCCAAGTACCATAGTGTCTAATATTTATTAGTTTATTAAATCTCATGAAAACCCCTTGAGTTTAGTTTTTTAAAATTTATTTTTATTTTTTTGAGACAGAGTCTTGCTCTGACACTCAGGCCAGAGTACAGTGGGGTGATCTCAGCTCACTGCAACCTCCCCACTCTGGGATCAAGCAATCCTCTTACCTCAGCCTCCTGAGTAGCTGGAACTGCAGGCATGCACCATCAAACCCAGCTAATTTTTTATTTTTTGTTGAGGTGGGTTTTTGCCATGTTGCCCAGGCTGGTTTCAAATTCCTGGGCTCAAGCAATCTACCCACCTTGGCCTTCCAAAGTTCTGGGATTATAAGCATGAGGCACTGCACCTGGCCTTGAGTTTAGTTTTTTCTATTTTATTTTTCTACTATTTTAGTATTTACTATTTTTTGTTTATTATCTATCTACTACTAACTATTTTTATCACTTTTGTGGGTAAACCGAGGCACAGCTATTCAATGACAAAACCTGGAAGCCTGGCTCGAGAGTCCCTTGAGGCTGCACTGTTTACCAAAATGATGCATTGCCTCTCAGTCTGCCTCTGACATTTCTTTTCTCTTTTATTATTGCTATAAGATCAGTACTCAGTACATTAAAGATGAGTATATCAGTGAGGAATTTTGACTTTTTGAATGTTTTTATCATCAGATTCCTCATAAATGTTAATTTTGATCTTTAAGGGGCTAAATCATCTTACTATTAGCTGTGTATCCATTAATTCAGACTTAGAAATTTCTACTTACCTATATTGAATAATGATTAATTCAGGCAAGTAGCAGAAGCATTTATTCATTCAATAATTGATCCATTCATCAAACATTTATTTAGGTATCTACTATATATCTGAACTAATGGTTTCCCACTAGAGCCATATGCAGTTGTGCCCTCTTATTTGTGGAAGAAATTTATGAATAAGTAACTAGCCAATAAAATGCAATGAGAAAGTGTTATAATAGGGACAAAGAGAATACGTTAAGGGATCATTTGAGCAAATAAGGGTTTTTAAGCAGGGGCATGGCAAAGTCAGACCTGGCTTCTAGTAAGAAAATTCTGGTAGCTTTTTAATATGTGAATTAAAACAAAGAGAGATTTGATTATTTCTTGAGTCACAGGACATGAGTGGAAAGTTTGATGGAAGTGATGGTTTTGAGATAGAAACAACAGGATTTGGGTATCAGTTGGATGTTGCAGAGTGGGAAGGAGAGAAGTCTAGGGTGACTAGGAAGACGTTAACGTTACTATTAATACATGAAAACAGAGGAGTAGATTAAGGAGATGTAATTAATATTTTAAAACATAAGTAGATATAGTCATTAGATAGGAATGTGTGTCTAGAGCTCGAGTGAAGTTAACTCATAATTTGGAAACCATTATTATTCTTGATTCATGACATCTTACTATCCTTTTTGAGAGAAATTTTGGTAGAATGTAGAACTAGTGAAGAGCCGAATAAAATTGATTGAGGAGTTAAAGGCAGGAAATGTGAATTTCTCTGAAAAACTCATCTATGTGAAAGGAAGAAAGGACGCAGAATGTGAATTCAGAAAGGAAGATGAGTCAGAGGAAGTTTTCTAGAATAATGGGCATCCAAATATTAGAGACGAGTGAGCCAGTGAAATCACAGAGATTATGGAAGATAATAGGGGATAGGTGGAGAAAACTCTGGGAGGAGTTAGGGGAAGGTATGTCCAACACATTTGTAGAAAAGTTTATCTTAGGCAAGAAGAAGTACATTTGGCATGATAAAATTTAAGAATGAGATTTTTAACCCATGTGTCAGATGGAAGTTTCTCTGTCCCTTGAGCATTAGATACAATTTTATTGAACCTGAAATTCACGAACGGAAGACATTCGAATTGCTTCCTCATATTTTCTTTTAATTCACTGAGGATAAAGTGCTGATTGAGGCAATTTAGTGATATGGCAACATAGCATATCACGGAATCTGAGGTCTGACTTCCTGTACTTAACTAGTTCTGTAAACTTGGCCACTTACTTAACCTCTTGGTTTATTCTACTCTAAAATGATGATAAGAATAATATCTACCACAGGTATATATGAGGATGTAGTGCAGCAATATAGGTAAAGCACTTCAAACTAACAACTCATTAACTGTTAGCTCTTCTCTTTTTTAAGTTCCAATTTCCTAATTTCCACATTTTATTAATTCTCACCACTTCCTTGATTTCCACAAATCAGTCTCTTCTCTCATTTCTCCAACAACAAAAATAACTCACATCCAGATTTCATGAATTTGGCAGATTAGATTGAAAACAGAACTGGTGGACTAGGTTGAAGGGGTCACTTCATAGAAAGTACAGTCACCTACTGTTTAATCCTCTTCTCTCTCTGCCTTTTTCAGCTGTTTCCTCCCAGACTGATCTGGAGCTCCAAAATTTCCTTTCTCGATTTTGTTGTATAATTTTCCTTCTCATCTGAAGCCTTGGTACTCAACTCTCAGTTGACTCACCAACTACACAAACAAACACTTAACCAAGATTAAAAAAAAATGTTTTAACAAAGTTAAAAAAAAGTGTTTTAACAAAGTTAGTTGTCTGTCAAGAGACAATTCAGTCCAGTTGTAATAACAAGTAGTAAATTTTCTATTTTATTATAATTTAGAGGTTAAATTGAGGGACATTGAGGTACTTCCAACCTATAGACATTTAGATTCTGTTCTCTCTATTATATTGAGAGCAGGCTGTTGACAGAGAGGGAGAAGAGCAGGGCTGTGTTAGGAAGCTTAGAGACTGGCTAAGGCTTAAGAAAAATGCCACAGTAAGGCATACAAACAAAGACAAATGAGGGGATAGTAAATCTAAGGATCACCAAAGGCGTAGAAAACTTGGCTTTTTTGAGG
Organism: Homo sapiens; assembly: GCF_000001405.40. Lineage (NCBI taxonomy): Eukaryota > Metazoa > Chordata > Mammalia > Primates > Hominidae > Homo > Homo sapiens. The sequence goes on along the minus strand of NC_000002.12, from coordinate 211,404,272 downwards.
CACCATTCTGCTTGAATGCATGACTGTTCAGTAGCACTGATGGAACCGGCAGCAAGGGAGAGGGAACAAAAGAGATAAATCAAGAGTTGAGCTCCGGTAGGGCAGTTGCAAAAATAACGCTGAAGCTGAAGGCACTAAAGGTTACATTGAGGATCAGTGATGTAAGGATAAAGGATAATGGGGTATAAGTAACTTATTTCTTTTTCTCTTATCTATGTACCTAATTATACATAATTACGTAAATACTAACGTTGTATATCTGCTGTCAACTGAGTATGCTAGGTTCTTGACATAACATTCCCATAAAATGTAATACTAAGGAAAAGGAAGGAGCATTCTTTCCTCATGTTAGGCAAAGGAAACTGGGACTTAGAGAGGTTGAGAAGCTTGTAAAATAGCTTTGGTAAGTGCCAAAGTATTCAAAACCATACCTGGCTTACTTCAAAGCCCATGCTGGAAAAATAAAGTGCCAAGGGATTAATTGAGGAGCAGAAAAAAATAAAAGGCAGAAGAACCGATTGAGTCAGAGAAAGGAAATCAATGCACAGAAAGAATAAGAGATTGTGGTCAGAGAAAGGGATTCTTAAAGAATTGGCATTGAGAGCTTTTCACAGTGATGTCAAAATGTATACGCAGCTATATGGTAGTTAAAGCAGCTATATGGTAGTTAAAGTGCAGTGGAGATAAGACTGTAGGCAAGGAGGAGGCTCCAGAATTATAATACTTAGGTATTTAGTGGGGTCCATGGTGAAAGGTTTTGGGACCAAGCCAGGCATAATTGCAATCTCAGTGATACCAATGAGCATGAACACTCTGAGTGCTGGACAATGCCTCCAAAGACTGTAGATTATAGTCACAAAGATAAGAACCTGTGGTATAATTGTTTAGCATGAGTCTTCAAAAGAAGAAGGGCTTGAATGAATTTTGAAGAGCTAGTATCTGGAATCTTACAGCATATTAACCTTGGCTCTGAGGCCTGAGTTGAATCATGGAATAGACATTCTCCATTAGATGAAATATTCCAAGAAAGCAAGAAAGGATGTGCAGAGTGGCATCTCATGAAAGCCAGATTTTTGGTAAATAATAAACTGTAGGGAACATTTTCAGAAACAGCGAGGTTGGAAAAGGGGCAGTCCAGGTTTTGTGGAGCCAGACACTAATAATTGAGAGTAGAGGTGGAGCCTCTTTGAGAAAGAGAACACAAAAATGAAAATTTTACTTTTGCAAATTTTATAAAACCCCCAAATCATGTGAATCTATGACTTGGGTTCTTCATCAGGCCTATAACTGAAGAGTCTAAAGCTTAAACTTCATTGCTTCAAGGTAAATCCACCTTTGGGTCAAAGAGGTTAGAAAATATGTAGGAGGAACGGCTGTCAGGAATTAACTACTAGTTTCAAATAGCATGTTAGTGAAAGCCGCTTTGGGGACTTCTGGTGTTTAGAACATCAAGATGGATGGGGTGGTCTCTGAAAGTTTAATATAATAACTATTTATTGTACCTCCTCTTTTCTAGGGGAGGATGGTCCAGCACATTTTAAAACTTTATTGCAGGCTGATAAACGTTTTATTGAATGTTCACTTGTCTATACGCTTAGGATGAGCTTGCTGCTTGTTTTTGCTCTCTTCTCTTGACCAGAATTTCCAAGCAGGAGAATATGAAGGCATTTCAAAGCAAATAATTCACAGGCTGAGCTTGTGTCAAACTCTCTTGGAAATATATTCTCCTCCTGCATAATTTACCTTCAATATGCCTTCATATTGGCAATGAACCAAATACAAATCCTAGAATTGCTGCCAGGGTGCTAGTATTACTTTTAATTACTTTCACCTGAGCTTTTGGTCACTTTTCAGTAAGAATTTAAAAGATCAGTCCTAAGAATGATCAAAATGTTCTCTTCTCATTTATCGTTTTTTGCAAGGATAACTAGATCTAAATTTTCTTCACCAGAATTGAAGCTACTACATAACTTTTTACTACTTGGATAAGTAAATTTAGGAGAAATAAGAGAGGCAGGATACTAATGTAACCGGTTGGTTATCTACTTAAGGAGCTTGTTACCCTAAAAGACAACACTGATGAATTAGATAGGGTTTCTAAAAGTCTGGGATATATTTATACATGATAAAAACAGTAGTGGTTCCTAAGAGAGCTTGGGATGCCTAATATTTAAGACTCATGACCAGAAAGATAAGCATTCTCTTCTTTGTGAATATGTTCATAAGACCATGTATTAATATTTCCTTTCATTGGATCATAGCTGCACCCTGGCTTAATAATTTTCTTTAGATATGATAAATTATAATTGTGCTAGTAATATATAATATATTATTATATTATAATTGTGACATAGTGGCCCAGAAAATATAAAAGAGGTTTTTCTTACCTTTCTAGTACTTTTTTGTTTGTTTGCTATTTATTGGTAGAAGAGCTAGGGTAAAGGATATGTGAAAAAGTTTAATCTATTTTATTTTTCCCAACTCCAGATCACTTAAATTACTTTAAGATTGCCAATCTAAGCACTTTTCTGTAACCTGGCTGCTTTCTTTCCAAGGTGCATCTTTCTTAAGCATGTTTATTTGTTTTTAAAATCTACAAAAGGCTTCAGATCTCAATTTATTAAAGAGGTGATATATAGGAATGATGTCTCCACCAAACAGGGCATGAGAGTTCAAATATTTCCTACATGACTACATGCCTCTCTTAGTGTGTCAACTTTCTCTACAAAGGCCAGCAATCACAGGGAAGGAAAAATTCAATTGAAGCATACATTCAGCACGGAGGACTTCTCCTTGGCCTGTTGACAATGCCTCATCATGAATTCTGAGATATATCTTATTAGGACTCTGCCTGGATGCTTTCAAGTGTTCAGTAGAAGTGATTAAAAAAAAAATCAATGCCAACCTATACTCTGTAAAAAATGTGAATTTCTAATGTTTGCGTTCCATTGACTTTCTCACCCTCATCATCTAAAGAAAGCAAAAATAATAAAGATTTTATTTCAGTTATCATAATCTCTACTGTTAGATCATTCAGTTCATTTATTTTAGTTGCTTAAGGATTTTATTACTGGATATTTCATGTACACCTTTCTGTGGCTAAGTGGTGAGGGCTCTGAGAGTTCTAAGGAGCCTTTCTTTGAATTACTGCTGCACTGAAAAAAAGCATAGCAGTTTTAATTTTCAAAGGAATGCTTTAAAATCATTTTAAATGATGTGTTAATTAATAGACATTTAAATGAAACTTGCACATTATTTCTCATTATTTTACTTATGTCAGTGACAGCAATCATTTTGACAATTGTTTCAAATTTGGTTTAAACTTTTTAAAAATTTTTAAATATTTAATTTTTGTGGGTACATAGTAGGTATATATTTTGGGTGTATGGGAGATATTTTGATACAGGCATACAATGTTTAATAATCACATCAGGGTAAATAGGGTTTCCATCATCTCAAACATTTGTCCTTTGTGTTACAAGCAATCCAGTTATATGTTTTTATTTATTTTAAAATATACAGCTAAATTACTATTGACTATAGTCACTCTGTTGTGTTATCAAATACTAGATCTTATTTACTCTATTTTTTTTTTGTACCCATTAACCATCCCCACTTCCTCTTACTCTCCCCTTGACTACCATTCCCAGCCTCTGGTAACCATCCTTCTACTCTCTATCTCCATAATTTCAATTGTGTTAATTTTTAGCTCCCACAGATATGTGAGAACATGCAAAGTTTGTCTTCTGTGCCTGGCTTATTTTACTTCAAATAAAATTTGTGATACAAAGTTTGCAAAATAACCTCTACCCTCACACAGATAATCATGTCACTGTGCAAATACTTTTATTGTGGTATATAAAAAGTGTATGCTTATTTGGAAGGCAGCATTTAGTTGATTTTGTGTGAGGGATACTTGGAAAATTCAGTATTCAGCTGTATTTTCTTTATGTCACTGGAGAAAAAAGCCTGTTGCACATTTATCTACTATGTTATTCTATTCAAAGATATTTAACATCATAAACACGAGCTTATAAAGCTTATAAAGCACCCAACACAGGCATTATTATCCCCATTTTACAGATGAGAACCCTAAGCTTAGAGAACACTTTTTTAAGGCAGCGGGGCTGTTGGATGACCGTCCTTTTCTCTTATCAAGAGCTCTTCTCCAGCAGCTACTTCCCTTCTCAGAGACTCATACTCTGTAATTTTGATTTAGAATTTCATTGACTTATAAGTTTGATTTTCTGTAGCATTTAGCCATGATTATCCTTAAAATACTTTTTGAAAATTTTAAAATGGTCCTTCCTTATGTGTTTGTTCTGTGCACCACAGTGTGGAAATGCAGTTAGGTGATATGTACCACTTGTAGAGAAAGGATACATTTTGCATCTGCCTACAGTTGGTTTATCTACAAGGTCTGTCTTATTGTTCTTAGTTAACAAGTTGTATTTTTCAGGGATACAGCTAAACCCTGGTTCTCTAGGTCTCCAAAGCAATAGGAAATACCTAGGTGTCTTAGGGGAATGTTGTCATACTAGTGATAGAATCTTGAAGTTTTATAGCTGAATGTGAAATGTTCATCGCATTCAGAATCACTCACCCATTTGTAAGAATACTTTTAAAAATACTTTTAAAAAACTTTGCCATTAGAATTAAGATTTCCAACAATGGCTTCAGAAATAGTAACTGATATTGACAGGAAGAGTGTACTAGATGAGATATAATAGTCAGATAATTGCATCTGAGTTCAATTCCACCCAAGCCATCTGCAGAAGAAGATGTGTACCATATATAATATCAGGGATGCTAAAATTCCACATCTTTTAAAACTTATCCAACTGGCTTGATGGAGTCACTGAGATTTTTCATCAATAGAGCCACTCTTTGGGTTTAAGACATTTTTTAATCTCTCCTTTGATTCAATATATCTTTGCTGAACATTCACCATGTCTGTGCCCCTGGCACTGTGCTAGATATGAAAAATTTAATAGTAAATTAGAGTGAATCCATTTCTAAACAGACTCATAGTCTAAGAAAAAAGACACACTGATGAAATAAACAGAATACAGTTGTTAAATTATTCACATGGGGCATATAATGGGTTCTTTCATAAATACTTTTTGAATCAATAATTAAATATAATGAAGCTACTGACAATTTTTCATAAGATCACGATGTAATCAAGGCAAAGAAGCCAGAAAGAGCATTGAGGAAGTAATTAGAACTTGGACAGAGGTCGGAGGTGAGAGAGGAAAGGGCTCATCAAGCAAATCTGAGATTTATTTGACTGAAGGCTTATGAGGAAAGAGCAAAGAAAGAGGTGAAGCTGGAGAAACTGGCAAGGATCATAGTTACCAAAGCCTCCAATGCCACAAATAATGGACTTCATTTAGCCTGAGGGCAACAGTAGGTCTTGCAGTTTTGTTTTGTTTTGTTTCTGAGCCAGAGTCTTACTCTGTCGCCCAGGCTGGAGTGCAGTGGCGCAATCTCGGCTTACTGCAACCTCCCCTTCTTGGGTTCAAGCAATTCTCCTGCTTCAGCCTCCCAAGTAACTGGGATTACAGGCATATGCCATCACATCTGGCTTATTTTTGTATTTTTAGTAGAGATGGGGTTTCACCATCTGGTCTTGAACTCCTGACCTTGTGATCTGCCCGCCTCGGCCTCCCAAAGTGCTGGGATTACAGTCATGAGCCACCTTGCCTAGAGGTCTTGCAATTTTTAAAGCAGGGGAAGGAAGTATGAGTATTAGATTGGAGTGAAGGGAAAGAATGAGATCAAGGAGAACAGCTAGAAGGTTGTTACAGTACTCTAGTCAAGAAATGGTACCATAATTAAGATTTTCATAAGTGCCTGTTTTCCTTAGTGCATCCTAGTTTACTTCTGTATCAGAAGCATAATTATTAATAACACTTTCTTTTACTCTCTAAGTATCCCAGTGGGAGTGACAAAGTTTTTGGCACCTTAACCACAACTGAAATAGTGGCCATGAGGATGAAGAGAATGGTTAGATTCTGGGGGTATTAAGAGGTTTGAAAGGGTAGACCTTGGATGCTTAGCTATAAGGAGTGGGGTAGAGGAGACATGAAAGATAACACTAAGATATTTGACTTGCACAGCTGGATAAGTTATTGATATTATTCACCAAGCAAAGAAAGACAAGCAGGCCAGGGAGAGAAGAAGATGGCCATTTCACTTTAAGAAATGTGATGTTTGAAATGCTGTGAAACAGATCAGTGTAGATTATCAGGGCAGCTGTTAGTTATATGGGTATGACGTGGTATTCTGTAGTTCAGTGTTCCCTGAAGTAATTCCATCATAATCTACTAACACCAATTTGACCAATTTGAGAAGATTTTACGAATGAATTCATCAGACTAAATAGATGCCCTCTGGCCTGGCTAAAGGCATGTTTCTGGGCAGAAAATAAAAGTATAGATAATTGAGGATGTTTTTGGAGTGTGAGTTGCTGATCAAGAATTGTACACCTGGAATGGGAGGACAATACAGTCCTATTTTCCACGGAGCCGGGGCAGAAATAAATGGGCCCAGAAATAATTCTGTTAGGAATAAAGAATCACGGGCCTGAAACTGCAAAATCAACCTTAGTGGGGAAACACTGAGATCAGATTTTGCCTGCTTTAGAGTTTCACCTCGGCTGTCCTTGGCTCAGGTGGACAATCTAAGGATCCTCAGCCGATAGATGTTTTTCTAATTAGGCCTGTTAGTAACTAGCTGTATCATCCTGAAGAAAGTCATTTACCGTCTCTATGGGTCATCTGTGGTACCAATGGCAGATTTAAATGAGATTCTCTAGTTTTAGTTCCATTTCATTTTTTGCTTCATTTTTTTAGTAAAGTGTTACAATTTTAGAAATTAAAAGAAAATTATTATGGCCATGATTCTGGCTAATCTGGGTTGACTTTGGCAGCAACCGTGTAAATGGAAAACTAAGAAGTATTGGCCATTTTTTTATTTTAGAAAATTCCAAAATGGTTCACAAATAGATGCAGGAATGCTTTGTATGTTTTTCCTCTTCCTTTTTATATGCAGCAAAATCAGATTTGGGGGCTTTTCAATAATGGCAAAAGCTGCTTAGACTATGGTCAACAGGTAGCTCTCGGGGAGGGCTATTTTCTCTTGGGGTGTTGCCTTCAATCTGATATTCTTTTTGGCCTAGATCAGTTGTAAATACCAGCCTGTTTCTGTCAAATGTAACTAGTGTTTGCTCTGGGCTGATGGGACAGTCATGTGCTGTTTGTTCTGTCAGTAGCTGTACCAGAGTATTCACAGTACATTATTCAGATCAGCTCACAGGAACCAGCTGTCCTAATTCCAGGTGGACTGTTAGAAATCTTTTTACTTACGGCAACAGCTGTGCCACCTGGTAGCTTAAAGAGCAGTAGTTGGATGAATAAACCATTGTTACAAATTCACTTTTTATCTGGTAAACAGTTTGCATAAACTAGCATAACTGAAGATATTTTCAACCTGGTCCACACTGCAATTATAGGAACACTGAAGGGCTTTATCTGTATTACGTTAAATTGTTTGCTTGTTGCCAACACCTATCACTTAAAACACTGAATAAAATCTACGTGCCAAAATAAGGTTTATAACATTTGCAGTTCTATTTCCTATATTATTTGTTCTCCATCCTCCAATACACAAACCGTGCGCTTCATATTTTTTACATTCTCACACATAGATTGCTCTAAATACTATTATTGAAATGTTGAATATATAATAAAGCATCCTGAGCTTGGGTTATTACTAAAGAGAAGATTGAATATTTCACTGTTGCCTTATTATTTGCCAGTAAATAACTCTAAACTCTAAATAGAGTAACAAATATTTCTAAGTAGAACTCTTATACATGGTTTTTTTTTAGTGAACATCACTCATTTGTTGATAAACAATATCTGCATGTGAAACATAAGAAAAACAAAACAAAAGCTGCCCCACAAATGAGTTAACAGCCTCTAAAATATGATGTGTTTGATTGTATGGGTTACATAACCTTTGTTATCTTGTTTTAAGCTATTAATTTTCTTAGCATGTATATTAATACATATACATGTGTATGCACATATATATATCTAACATATGTATCCACACATACACAGAGCCTAAAATTGAGATTTAAGTCTTCGCTGATAGTACAAAAGGAACTATATCTAGGCAAAGACATTACATTTCAAATTCTAAAGTTATGGCATTCAAATTCAAAGTGTTTATAGTCTTTTTTTTTTTCTTATTCTTAGTTCAAACCTGCCTTATAGATTACTTATTTTTAACAATTATTTTAATCCCTAAACAGTATCTTATTGCATAGACAGATCTGGAGATAAATGCTGTGAAGGTAAAAGTATATCAAGTAGCAGATATAAATATTATGAAGGTAAAAGTATATCAACTGACAATAAGCATGTATGTGTATATCGATTTTTAATAACTGGCTTTTATAGGTAGAGTGTTTAGATAACATATCTCTTCTCTGTGAAGGGCAACCTGTTTTGTAGACAAAGTACCATTTTAATAAATACTACTTTTAACTAATATGTTAATTAATATGTGTATGGCCATATTAATTATCCCATTTGTCTAATAAACGTCTTATAGCCTATTCAATAACAAAAGTTAATATCTGTCTTAAAATTAAAGTGTCACTAAATTTACTTTGCGTATATTAATATGTATTTCAGCTTAGAACAAATGTTTTGGTTAAGGCCAATGCTTTCAGCTATATTTAAAAAATAAATAGGTTTGTTTCTGAAAAACATAAAAAATGCAACCTCTAAAGGATGCTTATTATTATTTATTAAAAGTTAATTTGAGGTTCTAAGGTATAACAGATTGTACATTGGATGGGAACTCAGGGAATCTTGTTGCTAGTACCGTCACTACTTTTGTTACCTTGGAAAATTAACCTCTCAGAGTGTCAGAGTCTCTATCTGTAAAATAAACATTTTAAATCATAAAACTTTATTTCAAAAAATTGTATTTTCATGAGTCATCATCCAAATGTGGTTCAGCCTCATCAAAACATACAATCATATACTGCATGTAGCCTAAGTGATACTTTGAACAAGATAGTCCACTTTAAAAAGGAAAGAAAAAGCGATGAGTCGACTTTGAAAAGATTTATGAGAGAAAACTTTATAAGATACTTTGCTTTAATGTTAATCACATTTTACAATATTTAATAACTAATCGTGTGGGCTTGAGGCAGAAAATTTATTTTACACGTAAATCCTTTGGTAGTTGGAAGTGATCTTTTCTATTACTTGTCCTATACCCCTATTCTTCTTTTTAGGATTAAATAAACTAAAAGACCAAGAAACTAAGGAATTTGTTAAAAGTCATGTGACTTAGTGAGACCTATTCAAGAATACAATCCTGGAGGTAGAAGGATTTCATGAGACCATTTGTTCTAGGTCTGTGGGGTTTTTGTCTTCAAAAAAGTTGCCCGATCCAGTGCATTGTTTGCATCCTGAAAAATCTTCATCAGATATTCTTTATGAGGTTAGGATAAAAACCACACAAGCAGAGACAACTTCACGATTCATTTGAAGAATCAGTTAGGCTACTCCAGAATTTACACATCGAAAAGGCTTGATGATTTCATTTCTGTTCTTAAAGACATTGCATTAGAACTAGATGTTCTTAAGCATACATTAAAAAAGAAAGAAAGAAAAAGAGCCTACCCTCTCTAACTGAAAAGAATTACTGAGAAGTCTTTGAGAAACTCCTAGAAGTTTTCCTCTTTAGGTTTCTGGCTATATGCATTAGCTAGTAGCTAAGTGATCATGAGGAAAAGGTTCAATTATGACAACATGCTAATGGAAATGAATATAAACATGCCAAAAAAGAGAAAGTTGCTAGAACCAACCAAACAATACAAAAATGCAGAACTTGCACCAGGGTAAAGAGATCAATTCTGTGTGATCACTCATCTCAAGAAGGGTGACACAATTCTTGTTGCTTATCTTGAATGAAGCTAAGCAATGTTGGCATTAGTGGAAAATTGTATTTCTTTATGCCCTTTCTTTTTTGACTGTGCTAATAACATTCTTTGATTCCATCACATACTATTGCTCAAAGCAGCAACTTAAAGCAGGAACCTGTAAAGTGAGGGAGATTTTCAGTTTCATTTTATTGACTCATTTAGCCATGAATATTTTAAAAGGAAATATCCTCTTGTTCTACTGATATTTGGAAAGGGCATAGGAATTGCTGCCCGGGGATACAATAGCTTACTTACCCTCAGTCAAGCAGGAAGAAGAATTTATTGACTAAGCCTTGTACTAGGAACAATAAATCCATAAGCAAGAGTGCTGTCATGAAAAATCTTTGTGCTCTCCAGTTATTTAAAATTGTCTCCTCCTGCTTCAGGGCTGGCTTTGCTCTTGGTGAGGTAGGTAAATGTATATATACACAACATGATTTTAGATAAAAAGGACTTGTAGGAAAGAATGGAAAAATACACACACACACACACACACACACACACACACACACACACACACGCTATTAACTCTTAATACTCAAAGTTTCCTTCTTTCCAGTTTATGTCCTTGTAACTAATTTAAGTGAAAATAAGTGGGGTGGAGCAGTAATGTAACACATTATCAGCATTTTATACTTAAGATAATGAGTTTCAGATGCCTCCTTAAGTCATTAAGTTCTTTTCACTAAAACTAGAGAAAGAAACTGTAAGAATTTGTTTGAGAAAATAGTTGAGGCATAACGCAAAGGAAGAGACAGGGCAAAGATGAGTAAGAATAGAAATGCTAAAGTCAAAATCTATGTGTGGTATAATGTTAAGGTCATAGAGTGACGGGCTATGTGGTCAGATAGCCAACTATGGATGTGTGCACATGGCAGATCCTTTAATTTCTCTGCTCCACAATTTTTTTGTCTATAAAATGGGAGTTATAATTTTTAATAATGCTATTTACCTTACAAGTTTATAAGAATAAATAAAACCTAAAATAGTCCATGGTATAGGGTAGGTACATAATATATATTAGTTTCTCTTTCTATTTCTTAATTTCCCTAAGAGTTATCATGTATTCATCTATGAAACACAATAAAAGTAGACTTTGAGGACTGACTTAAGAAAAGCAGGATTATTAAGCATTATAAAAGACAGCATTTCCATATGCTTTGTAAATTCTGTCTTGACTCTTGTTCATATTTACAGATACCACTCATAGTTTCCATTTGTTCAATTTTTTAATTAAATGAGTACATGAGACATATATGAAAGATGAAAGGTTCCAAGATTAATGAGTGGATAAAGAATGAGAGCCAGCCGGGCGCGGTGGCTCACGTCTGTAATCCCAGCACTTTGGGAGGCCGAGGCAGGTGGATCATGAGGTCAGGAGTTCAAGACCAGCCTGGCCAAGATAGTGAAACCCTGTCTCTAAAAATTAGCCAGGCGTGGTGGTGGGCACCTGCAATCCCAGCTACTCGGGAGGCTGAGGCAGAGAATTGCTTGAACCCGGGAGGCAGAGACTGCAGTGAGCCGAGATCACGCCACTGCACTCCAGCCTGGGCAACAGAGCAAGACTCCATCTCGAAAAACAAACAAACAAACAACAACAAAAAAGAATAAGAGCCCAAGTCAATATTTCTTCAACTGGATCATAGAGTCATTATTGGGGTGTGTGTGTGTGTGTGTGTGTGTGTGTGTGTGTGTGTGTGTGGAGTAAGAGAGTTTTTTCAAAAAAGTAGAGTCCCACAGAATCAAACCAAATAGAAAAATGACTAAATAAATAAATATATGTATACATAAATAGACAAAAGACATTATGTGTCATATATATAAAATTCAGCCAGCAGCTGAAATCTCAGTAGGCTTTTCCCAGCCATTATTGGGTTTGGCACATATGGACACATTCTGTTTGTTTCCTTCTGATTGCCCTGTGAAAAATGAAGGTCCTAAATCTAAACGTCTCAAAACACTGGTATGTTGAACTCAGTTGTGAGAAAGATGCAGAGTTACAACCATGCATCAGGAATTATAATTTATAATGCAATAATTATAACATAATGCAATAAACATTTTCTGTATGTTGCTATGTGACCTGTGAAAGTGTGGAGATGCTCATCAGAGTGTTAAGCAGATATGTCAGGGAGGATAAAAGGTTGAGAACCTTTAATAGTTACTATGTGGAAGTGTCTGGATAATAAATTAGTGCTGATGGATTAGCAACGTCTTACAGAGACATTTTATTTTAGTCAAAGGAATTTGGAGTATTTCTTGAACCTAGAAATTGTAATCTTATAATTACTATTGAAAGTAATAATTATTTAAAGATTAGAAAGTGACTCTCATTGATCACCTGTTTAATTTAGATAGAAGCTAGGCATTAGGCCTGTATTTTTGTTTCCTCCGAAAGTAGATTTGTATAATAATTTTTAAAAATATCACAAGATACAGTCCATCTATTTAATAAATAAAATTTCTCAGGAACAATATTAAATAATACAAATATAAGAAATACTGTGCATATGAGACAAAGGTTCTAATATTTATCATTCAACTAAAAAGTAAATTTTAGAACATGATGTATTTAAAAGTGCATTTAATACCGTATTTGATTCATTTACTGATACTTGCCTTCTCTTTAATCTCTGGCATTTAAGTCCAAGTTAATCATACAATCTCCCAGCGATATGGCCACAGAATTAAACTCATTCCATCCATCACCCTTACAAACCCCCCCACCAGGAACAAACTCAGTATCACCTGCCAGTTCCTAACCCGCCTCTTTCTATCTCTGCCCTGCTGACAGTAAATCGCCTCACCAGCTAATTGAACAGATGCACCCAGTGCTGCTTCCTAAAGATCTGCAAAGCTGGACTTTGATGGACAGCAGAAAGTAGCACAATGGAAAAACAAAAGCTTTTAACTGAGAGCATTGCTTTGTTCTGCTTCGAACTTTAAGGTCACTCCAGCTCATTTTGACTGCTGTGAGGATCTTAATTTTTACTCAACCAATTTACTTGCAGCTGTCATTCTTTCCAATATTAAAAGTTCAGCTCTTCAAGTGTGGGGAATTGAGGGAGAGAGAAATGAGAAGAGCTGGTTTCAAACTAAAAACAGCAAAAACAAGTAAAATCTGGCTTGGCTCTCAAGTACAAAAAGTTATTTTCAAAGCTTATAAATTATGACATCGTGATTAACATGTAATTTAAATATATTTAAACAACAATTATATCACATTTCCAGCCCAGCTAATTGGCCTCACAGATGTTCCCTTGGAGCTGCATTGCCCTTCCACGGGGAAGTGAATGAGGTGCTTTTTATCATGGAAAACAGATAAAAAAGCAAACTGAAAAAATGGAAACAGAAACATAAAAAAAGCAGCCAGTAGCCCTAAAAACAATGAATGCTAAAGGGGTTTTGCTTAGCATTTTTTCCATTTTAATGCTGAAAACAGGAAAATTCATGAAGATGCTCCTATTACTGTGATGCTATTTGGCAGTTTGTCCAGATACAGAGTTGGCAGGTTGCTGACTGAAAGACTTGTCAAAGCAGGGACAGTGGATGCATTCTAATAGGGCATGGCCTCGCTTTATGTCTTGGAACAGACTAACCGCAAGAGTCCCAGTTGTTTTAATCCGTTGCCTTTACAATGGAAGCCATTCTAGCCCAGATAATGAATATAGATAATAAACTGTTCCCTGATGAAGAATGACTTGTAAGTTGTTCCTTTGATTGTTTACGTCTCAGGTTTTGTAAAATGCAAAATGTGCAATCAATACTCATTTCTCAGCTGTAATTCTAGTCAAACATTACCCAGTACAGCAACTTTTGCAAGGTAAGAGGTCAAAGGAGCACTAGTAATTATGAATATTTTGGAATACCTGGCATTCTAATATATAACCATAGACTTGAAATAAATTGCCTTGTTTCATTCTTGCCTTTTCTTCTAACAATCTTAGATTATAATTGATAGTGCAAATTCTCAAAGGACAGTGGCCATGTCTTTCTTAATATATGGTGGTATTGCTGGCATCTACCACAGTGCCTGTGCTTTCACTGTAGAGATTTAGTAAATATTTGTTAAATACTTGCCAAATAATTGGTGTTTAATGATGAGGGTAAGGCCAGTGTTTGTAATTTGGTAAAGTTCCACCAGGCAGTTCCATATTTCCTGTACTATCACTCTATATTACAAATCACTGGAGTATAAAAAATACTTTCCTCAAATTTTATGAACAAATGTACTGGATTTCAGGTATTTCTAAAATATAGTAAAACATGCCTATATTTAAGGTGATTAGAGAACAGGTGAGCATTTTAAAATGCCTCTGATGAGTAGCTTTGGCATCCTGATTGCTTTATTTTAAAAATTCAATTTAGTAGATATGAATATTTAAATGTGATTGATATATCCTTTACATTTTTATAATAGTGTAGAGTTTACAAAGTTCATTTATATACATTATCTTACTTCATATTTATTAATAATAAAATAGGGAGGCCAAGAATGAAAATGAGGGTCTGAGAGGTTTCATGATTCACCAAATTCACACCACTTATCATTGGAACTGGAGCCCAGGTCATTAAACGATCTGTCTGTTGCATAGTAGCACCTCCTATGTATTGCATATTAAATATATCTCTGACTTTCCATGCCATAATCTTTGAGGTGTTGTTAGTTATGTTACTAAAGAAGAAAATAGATAAATATTCTAATACCACCATAGTTGTAGGGAAAATTAAGATATAACCTCACTATAGGGGTTCAGACCATGTCCCTTGATTAGTCCAGCAGACTAAGTTAGTTAAGGGAGATTATATTATCCAGTTGTTATTGACTTACTTTAAACACTTAATCTCCATGGGACCATATTCTTCTTAGAATGCTTCATGAATCTAAATCATATGAACATTGACCTGGAATAATATTTATCTGTTTCATTTAAAAGATGTAAAGTATCTGTAATCCCAGCACTTTGAGAGGCCGAGGCAGGCGGATCACCAGGTCAGGAGATTGAGACTATCCTGGCTAACATGGTGAAACCCCGTCTCTACTAAAAATACAAAAAATTATCCAGGCGTGGTGGCAGGTGCCTGTAGTCCCAGCTACTCGGGAGGCTGAGGAAAGGGAATGGCGTGAACCCGGGAGGCGGAGCTTGCAGTGAGCCGAGATTGCACCACTGCACTCCAGCCTGGGTGACAGAGCGAGACTTCATCTCAAACAAACAAACAAACAAACAAACAAGATGTAAGGTATCTTAGAGGTTTATTTTAGTCATCTCTGTTTACTTAAAGCTGGATCGCAGAGAATATAAGCTTCATAAAATCAAGCGATTTGGGTCTGTGTTTTGCATTATCCCTGTGCCTAGAAAAGTGCCTGGCACATAGACAGTAGGTTCTCAAAAAATGTGTTTAATGTATTTTTGTATTAAGAAACAGAATTAGTATTATACAACTCCTTTTCCTTACCCTAAGGAACACTGTCCTTCATCTTTTATTAGATTTTTATATCCTCTTTCAGTTAGCCCATAGGATGGAGCGTTAAGCTATAAAAATACAGATGTATTTTTGTTGTTGTTTCTTTAACTGAAATCTGATTTTGACTCATTATAAATACCATAAGGGGAATCTAAAGCATGTTTTCAGGAAAGGAATTGATTTTCCAAATTTTCTGCTCTTTCTTAACTTAAAAAAAAAAAACAAAAAAAATGTGAGACTGAAGATAAAATAGCATATACCTTTTAATCAGGAGAGACTAAGGAGTTTACCTTTTGCTGAAGTGGTGAAAAATAAATGTAGCTTGATAGCAAAAATTAGTCCAGGCAAATCGAAATCTCCTGCCATCTCCTTCCAGAAACATTTATTCTAAGAGAAAAAATAACAGCAGACAATATGGCCATTTCAATCTTTTGACATGTAAAGAAGGAAACTGTTTCCCATTTACAGCTATAGTTCATTTACTACTTTTCCTTTCCTCTAGGGTTAATCAGAAGAATGTTTATTATTTACTTTTCTAATCCATTGAAAAATTTTGCTTTTTCTGTACAATTTTCCTTTTCAGGGATTGAATTAAAATATTTATTTTCCTCAAAACATATAAATAAGCTTGCTTATGGTCAGAATGCATACAATTGTGCTGCTTAGGAAGCTTCACTGTTGTGCACTTTTTCCCCTTTGGTTCATACGACCCATGTGGCTTTTCTTTTTCGTTTCTTTTTTTAATTTTTTCATTCATATTGCCTCTTATTATATCCATCATTCCATTTTTCTTTCCTATTAGAGTGAAATTGGACACAGCCCTCCTCCTGCCTACACCCCCATGTCAGGAGTAAGTATTTCACAATCAACCTTCATCTTTTAGGATTTTCGGTCTTTGCTTACCATGTTTCCTCTCTCGTCTCTGCATAATTTCCTCATTTTGCCTTTGCCAACAGTGAGTTAAGAATTTGGTGTACATCGTGTAGCTGCCTTTGTAGATGTGTTTTTATCTCAGCTGATAATCCGAAATTGAGATATCATGCATCAACAGTAGCTTTCAATTTTTATCTGAAGGATTTACCTGGGCACATAAATTATGCTTCTGGATGTGGAGGTGATCTTTACTTCCCTGATTATTGGTCATGTACTAAAAAGTCAGAATTATAGTGATGATCCTCTAGTTAGGTACTAGAGCCTCAAATTCATAATAACCACAGAATTTTCGAAGGGAATAAAGACATAGGATTATTCAAAATATATCCATGTACTTCTATTCTTAATGACAACTGTCTATAATTAATGACACTTGCATTTATCATAAAAATTCACTTTGAAATTTGTATTAAATATAGGCACTTGTGGGAAAAGGGCATCAAATACATTTTATTAGAATATGTTTCAGTTGGTTAATAAAACTAGAATGTGTATTTCAAAATTATTTTCTGATGATTTATCTTTTAAGAAAAGTGGAAATTTTAGGTGTTTATAGTTTGTAACTCCATTAGCCACTAGGGGAAAAAAAACCAGTAAATACTATGACTATTCTCTGAAAGACTGGCTTTGATATCCTTGTGGCTATTAACATTCATTTTTAAACTATTTCTAACAACGCCTTCTCTCCACATATGTTTCTCTTATTAACAGAACCAGTTTGTATACCGAGATGGAGGTTTTGCTGCTGAACAAGGAGTGTCTGTGCCCTACAGAGCCCCAACTAGCACAATTCCAGAAGCTCCTGTGGCACAGGGTGCTACTGCTGAGATTTTTGATGACTCCTGCTGTAATGGCACCCTACGCAAGCCAGTGGCACCCCATGTCCAAGAGGACAGTAGCACCCAGAGGTACAGTGCTGACCCCACCGTGTTTGCCCCAGAACGGAGCCCACGAGGAGAGCTGGATGAGGAAGGTTACATGACTCCTATGCGAGACAAACCCAAACAAGGTATGAACTGATTATTCAGAAACGATCGCCATTCGAAGTTCACTTCCATCAAGATAAACAAAGTACAGAATAGAAATTGCCAGATAGCTGACCAGCACAACATTTGTGATCCAGTAAAGGCCTAGGCTACTGCTACTTGTAGTATGGTCCCTGAATCAGCAGCATCCACATTATTTATTATTATTTATATAAATCAGAATCTCAGGCAGGCCCCGTCTGAATAGGAATCTGGATTTTAACAAGATCCCCAGGCTATCTGCATACAGCAATCAGTCTTGAGAAGCACTATTCTAAACATATTTTGTTGAAATATTTGAATGAAGTAGCATACTACAAAGTGTCAGGACCATAGCTTTATTGGACTTAATTGCGGAGATCAGAAAGACTGGTATTGTTGGCAAAAGTGCCTGATGCTTTTGATGGCACTAATAAAAGATTTGTTTGACTCATTTAAATGATGACATTTAAACAACCTAGTTTATTATAGGAAAATATTATGTTCTTATATGACGTTTTTCAAAAATTAAAGGTTTGACCCTGTATATACTTACAAGCATACCACCAAGATTTGAAAATAATAATCTGTGGTTTTACAAAGCATAACAATAATTTTGTAAAGTTAGTAGTAGAAATGTTAAGCACCCAAATCAAATAATGCTTCAATTTTGCAACAAAACAGCCTTTCTTCTTCTATGCTAACAGTATCACAACAGAGAAGATAGATGATTGTTATTAAAAAATGATGATCATGTCTCTCGCAGTCTTTAGTGTCAACAGTAAACTACATTTTAAGACTCTGAGAAGGGCCTGGTATATGGTTATGTTCTCTCCTTTAAAGTAAAATTTAGAGATCTCTAATTGTAAATAACCTTTTAAAATATATCTGTCTAGATAAAATTTTTACATATCTAAAACTTCTATACATATAAAAATGTAATGAAGAGTTTGGATGCTCATAGTAGCCTAGTAATGACACAAATGTAGACGTTGTGAAGACTTGGCAGATTCACCCCAAAGAAGAATCTTTTCTGGGGAGATTTTCACTCCAACCGTAAAGTTATTGGACAGCTATATAAGTTTGCATGAGGACAATATATAAGTAGATTGCATTGAGGAAAGGTAAGGTGAAGAGAAAAGCAAGTCACCCTATAGAGTCACACTGTATTCTCAGATTTTATCTCTGAACACTAAGCTCCGTTTCTATAAAAGGTTGCTATAGTCTAACCTCGTACTCAGAGAGTACAGAATTTTAGTGTAGACATTCCTATTCTTTCAATTAAGAAGTTTAAGGAATCTGGTAAGAGAGACCAAATTCTGCATTCCTTATAAATGTTTTCATACACTTGTCAAATTAAAACTTGTTACTAAGCATAAAGTTCACCCAACTCCTGCAGGGGCAATAATAAAAAACAGTGCAGTAGAATAAGAAGATTATGCAAGAGGAGTTAGAAGACCTGAATTCTATCCCAACACTAATTGTATCCTGCACACATCATTTAATCTCATTTTTCTGTCTACAAAGCTGGAAAAATAAGTCTTGTACTTCTTTTTCACAGAATTGGGAGGATGAAATGATAGTGTCTTGTAAAGGCCTATATATGATAGTGGGATATTCATTACTGCCCTTTAAGTTGAATAAATGATGCTAAATACTTACCTATTCTGTATATATATATTTGGAGAAAAATAATCCTCACTTAATAGGATTTTTCTCTCTACTTATTGGGCTAAGGATAAAAGACAGAAAGTTTGTTTCAGAATGGCCTCTCAACAAAGAATTGTGCCCTCTTCATGCCTTGAATTCAAAATAGGAATAGCTTAGGGCTTTGTGTATATAGTAAAAGAGAGGACTGTCAGAGGACTTACAATACATGCGTGTTTATGTCTATGTGCAGTCTATATTATAGACATAGATGTGGAATTAAGCTTCAGGAGAATGGTGATAATTATTAGCACCTTTTAGGCCAATACCTATACTAGATGGATTTATTAGATTGATCCGTACAAAATAGGCACTAATTGACTGGTTTCAATATACAAAATTTATTTTATTTTATATAATTCAAGCTGATAGTTTGCTACTTTGTGATTATGATTGGTCAATGGAAATATTATAATTATACTTTACTATTAAGTAGAAGTATATGTAATGTCAAGCAGGTCAACTAGAGGCATGTTAGCTATCTGTTAGATTTGCTTTTTTAGTTGAATTTTTTTCCTTTGATGCTTTCTTTTCCATGTGTAAAACCTTTTTCAGAAGCATCTCCAATTAAATCCTTGTTACCAGTATAGGCAATCATAGCAAACCATAGAGACTAAAAAACATGATTTCTTCACTCCATCTATTCATCTTGGCATGGAACTCAGCTATAGATTCTTGTTTTTTCAATATCCTTTATAGAAGTTAAGTTGTCTGTATATTTAAAGACTATTTAATCCTAATAGGTAGTCTTATTTCCTAATATAAATAACTTTTAGAAAACAAAAACATTGAAACAACCAGCCCCATATGCAGAAGAGACAAATGCAATTAGAAAGAAAGAAAAATTTAGGAGATAGAAATTCTGATTCTGGCCTCGTTGGCTTCTTGTTTTATTATAAACATTTTTGACCCACTTACTCTTTTTTTCATAAGACAATGGTGATCCACAAATACTTGTTGTGAGAAATCATGAAAACAAATCTGTGGGTTTTTTTGTTCTAGACAAAGAAGCTAACCATTATGTATAACCTTGGTCTGATTAATATTTTCCAGAAACTAGAGGTTAGCTGATATTTTTTTATTCCTTTAGAATACCTGAATCCAGTGGAGGAGAACCCTTTTGTTTCTCGGAGAAAAAATGGAGACCTTCAAGCATTGGATAATCCCGAATATCACAATGCATCCAATGGTCCACCCAAGGCCGAGGATGAGTATGTGAATGAGCCACTGTACCTCAACACCTTTGCCAACACCTTGGGAAAAGCTGAGTACCTGAAGAACAACATACTGTCAATGCCAGAGAAGGCCAAGAAAGCGTTTGACAACCCTGACTACTGGAACCACAGCCTGCCACCTCGGAGCACCCTTCAGCACCCAGACTACCTGCAGGAGTACAGCACAAAATATTTTTATAAACAGAATGGGCGGATCCGGCCTATTGTGGCAGAGAATCCTGAATACCTCTCTGAGTTCTCCCTGAAGCCAGGCACTGTGCTGCCGCCTCCACCTTACAGACACCGGAATACTGTGGTGTAAGCTCAGTTGTGGTTTTTTAGGTGGAGAGACACACCTGCTCCAATTTCCCCACCCCCCTCTCTTTCTCTGGTGGTCTTCCTTCTACCCCAAGGCCAGTAGTTTTGACACTTCCCAGTGGAAGATACAGAGATGCAATGATAGTTATGTGCTTACCTAACTTGAACATTAGAGGGAAAGACTGAAAGAGAAAGATAGGAGGAACCACAATGTTTCTTCATTTCTCTGCATGGGTTGGTCAGGAGAATGAAACAGCTAGAGAAGGACCAGAAAATGTAAGGCAATGCTGCCTACTATCAAACTAGCTGTCACTTTTTTTCTTTTTCTTTTTCTTTCTTTGTTTCTTTCTTCCTCTTCTTTTTTTTTTTTTTTTTTAAAGCAGATGGTTGAAACACCCATGCTATCTGTTCCTATCTGCAGGAACTGATGTGTGCATATTTAGCATCCCTGGAAATCATAATAAAGTTTCCATTAGAACAAAAGAATAACATTTTCTATAACATATGATGGTGTCTGAAATTGAGAATCCAGTTTCTTTCCCCAGCAGTTTCTGTCCTAGCAAGTAAGAATGGCCAACTCAACTTTCATAATTTAAAAATCTCCATTAAAGTTATAACTAGTAATTATGTTTTCAACACTTTTTGGTTTTTTTCATTTTGTTTTGCTCTGACCGATTCCTTTATATTTGCTCCCCTATTTTTGGCTTTAATTTCTAATTGCAAAGATGTTTACATCAAAGCTTCTTCACAGAATTTAAGCAAGAAATATTTTAATATAGTGAAATGGCCACTACTTTAAGTATACAATCTTTAAAATAAGAAAGGGAGGCTAATATTTTTCATGCTATCAAATTATCTTCACCCTCATCCTTTACATTTTTCAACATTTTTTTTTCTCCATAAATGACACTACTTGATAGGCCGTTGGTTGTCTGAAGAGTAGAAGGGAAACTAAGAGACAGTTCTCTGTGGTTCAGGAAAACTACTGATACTTTCAGGGGTGGCCCAATGAGGGAATCCATTGAACTGGAAGAAACACACTGGATTGGGTATGTCTACCTGGCAGATACTCAGAAATGTAGTTTGCACTTAAGCTGTAATTTTATTTGTTCTTTTTCTGAACTCCATTTTGGATTTTGAATCAAGCAATATGGAAGCAACCAGCAAATTAACTAATTTAAGTACATTTTTAAAAAAAGAGCTAAGATAAAGACTGTGGAAATGCCAAACCAAGCAAATTAGGAACCTTGCAACGGTATCCAGGGACTATGATGAGAGGCCAGCACATTATCTTCATATGTCACCTTTGCTACGCAAGGAAATTTGTTCAGTTCGTATACTTCGTAAGAAGGAATGCGAGTAAGGATTGGCTTGAATTCCATGGAATTTCTAGTATGAGACTATTTATATGAAGTAGAAGGTAACTCTTTGCACATAAATTGGTATAATAAAAAGAAAAACACAAACATTCAAAGCTTAGGGATAGGTCCTTGGGTCAAAAGTTGTAAATAAATGTGAAACATCTTCTCATGCAATTATTTTATTATCCAACACACTAATCTTTTGATACTTTATATAATTCCCTTTCTTCATATACTGCATCCAGTACTAGAACCATCATTATTATGTATCATTTTGAAAGAATACCTGATGAGATGAAGGATGAGAACAAATGACAGAGATGAGTCTCCAAGTAAAGGGGGCCTCACATCAATAATTAGGAAACTTAGATATAAGTCGCCCTTTTCTGAAAATTCTACCCCAAGTCATTTAGATTTTTAAAAAATATTTCTAATGTTAAAATATTGGGACCAAATTAGAATCAATAGTATAAGATTAATTAATTAGAGTAAAAATATCTATTAAGGCAGAGAAAGTTTAGAGAAAAAAATCCAAAGAAATTTGTGTTTCTTCCTATTCTGAACAAGTAAATCCATCCATCCATCCATCCAAACCTCCTTTATCTAACTGTGTCTACTAAAAGCACCATGTTTTGTGGGGAACACTCAGATAAATGGAATATCATCCTCAACTTCAAAATTCTATGATCTAGGAGATTTAATTAAAATGACATTTTAATTTTTCTATGCGTTCCAACAATCAGATTGCATAGTCTCTTTTGTGAATAGCTGTCATATAATCAGTTGTACTGTAAGATATCTCCTTTAAACTCATTTGGGATATAAGTTAAACATCCTTCAAATTGTTGATGTTGACAAACAGGATAATTTCAATAATATTATTCAAACATAAACTGGTCTAGGAGAATATTGCATCACTGACTAATTAGCCTATCTAGAGTCTAACTTCACCATTAAACCAAAAGCAGATGGTGGTCCTTGGCCAAGAATATTGGAGACATTGGAGTTGGTTTTTTTCTAAGCTATAAGAAGTGAGGCGAGCTGAAAAAGTATGGTAGAGCAGGAGAAGGGTTTGTGAGATTCCTTCTAGTGAAGTTCACCCTCAAACTTTTCAGGGGTAAAGACACAGAGTGATTCAGGGGCCACAATCTAATAGCTCAGGGCTCTCCTATCCATTCAGAGAAGTCTCTAGGAAAAGGGATCTCATATCAGTACTTATGAAAAATTGAATATAAGCCTCCCTTTCTAAATAAATCTGCATCGAGTCATCACAGCCCTCTTTTTGGATACTATACCTTGATTTTTTTTTTCTGATTTACAATATGCATATGGTTTCTACTGGGCTATAGAAAGCAGAATCACTCATTTTGGAGAAGGAAAAAATGAATAGTTAAAACAAACTTTTAACTGTTAAGGTAACAGAAATGTATTTAGTGAATGTCTCTTTCCTCCTAAGAACACAAGACTTCTACATGTTGGGTAATACCTAGAGATGCATGTAGGAATAATCCAAAATGACCCAAATGCTTTATAATAGCACCACTTTATAATTCTTTTGAATGATTTCTGTAGTATATAATTGACTTCAGTTGTTTGAGTGTTTTTTGTTTTATTTTTGTCCCCCCTGGGAAAACATATTTCAGCATGTATAAGAGGGAGAAAAAAAGTTTCATTCCTTCCAGAGAATAACTTATTTAGTCCAGTAGGGTAGAATTTTAAAATGTCAGTTAAAGTCTTCAAAGTGCTTGGGGGGATATCAGATTCCAGAGGCCAATTGTAGCAATTGAAATTTGCAGAATCAATTATGTAAATCTGAGACAAATTAGTATTAAAATTACACGGAGTATATTTTTTAAATCACCCAACTTTGTAGATTATACCTATTTTGGGCAGGTATGGAAAAATTTTGCAGTTAAATGATTGCCTAAAGAAAGTGGTAAACAGGTGAGGAAAGATGGCCTCTGATCTAGGATAGATCCAGAACCACAAAGCATCTGCACCACAAAAGGTGTTAGACTACCAAGCAGCTCCTGGTTTTCTGCATAGTATTAGTAGCACAGCTTAGGATGAGAATCCTTTCTCCAGTAACATTCTTAAAATAGCATGAAAAACAACGCAAAACTCAAATTTCTATTAAAACACACAAACTAAAATCAAGTGATTCTTTTTTGTAGATTAGGGAGAAGGACTGAATATCTAATTTAAGAGAAGGAATAGTGTTTAAGTGTTATAGTGTGTGAGCTAATACCTTCTAAAGGAAAGACATGGCATGAAGATTGTGCATACTTACAATGCTAAGGAAAAATCAAGAAAAGGACTGTGTGAGGCTCTGCTACTAGATGAAGTTGGAAGGACTATTAATGTGCTTCTTGAAGTATCAAAAATGAAAAGAAAATTAAAATTGTTTAAGCCTGACAGGGAAGGATGTAAATACAAGTTTTTCTAGAGCTCTCTAACCTTTATTTCAAAACTGGAATTATTCATCCATCTGTAATTGTTGATAATTTAACTAGTATATGTAGTTCATAAGGTAATAGAAAAGGTGATCATGAAAGCATGTATATAACTGGACAGAACCACGATAATGCTATAAGATGTAGATTTAGTTAGGTTATCAGATGTTAAATGATTTTAATATTATTAAATAAATCAAACTAGAAAACTAACCACAAGTATAATGTAACAAAGTTAAATGCAGGATATAAAAATGTAGGATGGATTTTGCATAGTAAAAAGATAAGTTTGCCATTTAAAATTGTTGTTTGTTGGGTTTAGCTGAAAGTAGGCATATATGGTTCCACTTGGGAAAACTTGCTTTAAAGCATTACAATGAACAATTTTTTCTCATTCTCTTATTCCTTTATCACTTTTTAAATGTAAAGAAAATTGTATTTATTTATTTTTTTAAATAAACACCACCTTGCAGAATTTAATAGGCAAACATGTTACATATGACTAAGTAAGGGTCTTCAAGATGAAGTAAAGAAAATGTAAATGTTCTATTACCTTATGCAGAGACAAAAAAAAAAAGGAGTGGTGTCATTTAGCTAGCAAACAAACAAAATACAGTTAATTGGTGATATGTCCTTTCTTTTCTCACTATGCCCTCTTGCCTCCAAAAATGACAACAAAGAATCACAATTTTTCTGATAAATAAATGCTAAACCAAGCGTTTCAAACTATTGCATTGCCATTCTTTTGGACTTTAGTTATTAGAATGATGATTGTTATAGGGCAAATGAGAAATCCATGTGCATCAGCTTCTAGTTGTTAAAAAAACCAGATAAATTAACTTCTACTGTATACTGTGGGCAGAGGATCCTAGAGCTGATCCTACAACATCAGCTTCTAGTTGTTAAAAAAAAAAAAAGAAACAGATAAATTAACTTCTACTGTATATACTGTGGGCAGAGGATCTTACTGTGCCTCTGTTTGTGTACATGGACTTCGGTGTGTATCAGTTTGAAGGACAGCCTTGCCCCATGTAAACATATAAATGCAGATTGGTATCGCCTGGTTGCTATTTGCTTAAGAACAAATATTATACAGATGAGATCAGGCATAATTTTAAAAGATCATTATCAGTGGAGACCTCATTATTACTGATATTACAATGGGGCCAGTTTTTATACTTCTGGGTAGAATTAATAAAATTTTTCTGATCCCAGAGATCTGAGTTCTCTCTGCAGTTGGAAACAAGAAGCTGTTGTGGGCATTGTGTCGGGCCAGGGGCCCTTGTGTTTGTGTGGGCAAATATCTTTTAGCAGTGTGAGCTGCTTTTTTCTTTTCATTAAAAGTCTCTCTAAAATAATAGAAATTTCAGATACTCGGTTCAAGTCTCACTGATTTTGTAGAGGTCCAAAAATGTAGGATCTGTCACTTTTGCAGGCCCCTGCCTCACCTAATTCCTGGCCAGGTGACATTTTGGGCAGAAGTAAATGCTTCTATAGTCACAAGCTAAAATGACTCTAAGCCCCAATTTCACGGGGGGTATTCACATGCTTCCTCTGGAAAATACTCTTTGACAGTCAGCTTTGCAAGTAAGTGATTACCTTGTTAGGAATCAAAGAAAAATGTATTTCTCTCTGACCTTTAGAGGAAAATAGAATCCTTCCCTTTTTTGCCCATTGACACAACTGGCACTGCTCTCTTCCCTTTCTACCACCCTGGTTCAAAGTAGTCCCCCGATGCTGTCCTGTTCCTTTCTTAAGCCATAGTGGATCTCTGAGATCCTACACCCCACTTTGTGAAACACTGACTTCATCTTTGCCCTCGAATGCCTGATTTTTTCATAAGAGATTCTAGCAATTTGGACACTGTTTAAGTGAACTATCAAACTACCGCATAGAGAATATTTAAGCTATTAAAATTATGGTTTCCCATGAAGATCAATTCTCTGTGTCCTTCCCTATAGGAATTTGAGACGAGTTAGCCCTGTGATGAATCTTGAAACTCACATATGTCCACATACACTTGGTAGAACTTCGATTTAATCTTTACATAAAAGCTGTACATATAACCAAGAAGTTATTTTTGCCAGTAAATTAACTTATTTGCTTTATTCATCTTATTTGGTTCCTAATCGTAAATATTTTGTAGCTGCTGTAAATTTTTTTCTCCCAAATGAGGAGTCTTATTATCATAAAGGTAAAGGCTATTCAGCTTTGATAACCACCTGCAATTCTTTTTTGGATCATTCATCCATCTAACAAATACATAATGAGGACAGTTCATGTTAATGAAAATCCATGTTGTTTAATAGAATGCCATCCTTTACCTACTTTTGCTCTTTATGGACGTTTTTCTTTTCATGCTCTAGTGAGCTTTCCCTATATCATGAGAAGTGGTTATATTTGTGCAAATATACAAATATAGGAAAACAAAGATTCATACCTGTAGGCAATAGTCTAACTTGTCCAAACCACTTTGCCTTTACTGCTATTTTTATCCCCAATGCGTAGATATTTCCCCCAGGCCTATAGCCTTTGTGAAGGAAAGCAAATCATACCTCCTGTATATTGACACGAATCTGGTTTTCAAATGTCATTTCCAGATTTTTTAGTTAATTGGGGGTTGTCCTTTTCCCTTAATGTGAGAGTCATTTTCCTGTATATTTCTGGATCTCTCAGGGGCTGGGAGGGGGGAGTGAGGGGACTACAACCATAGCACTCCAAGAACCCTTTTGGGATTACTCCAGTAATCAACTACGAAAGTTATTTTCTAAATGTAGATATGTAAGGTGTTCTTTTAAAGTAAGGTACTTTGAAATATGTAGCATAAACTGGTACTGCTGTTAAATGGGTCGATTATTAAACGGAGCAGCTGTGTGAGGGCAGCTAACTTTGAATGCCTGTCTCCCTGGCTGGTGTGTCTCCTTCTCATGTTGAGAGCACCAGGGATTGCGTGGCTGCATGCTGAAACCGCATTTTCCCATGGTGTATGACTAGTTCATCTCTTTCTTGAGCACCATTACAAGAAGATCAAATGAAAATGAGATCAATGTGGAAGACAATTCATAGCACAAAAAAAGTCATCTTAAATCTACTCTCAAACATTCATCTTATACATGCATCAAAGTAATTTACTGACATCAGTTTGGGTGAGAGAGGGAGTCACTTTACTGAAAAGGCAGAGGCTTAAGGTGTATACATTTGTACTCACTTCCTTATTTTCTTAACTTGTAAGCAGAAAACAAGCCCTCTCTCTTGTGAAGTATCTTCAAAGGATTGGGGTGCAAAAATACCTTGCTGGTAAGCCATCAATGTTTTATTTAAATCCCTGCATTCAAAGTTAGCTGCCTTTTTGAAATAAACAAACAAAAAATACTACTGTATGTTTGAAAATGTGAATAGTATTTTTATAGCTTGTTAAAGACATGGCTAGTTGCATTTGTAAATAAGTATAATGTTGCTTTGATTTTCTTTTGTGGACATCTTTATTTGGAACATAATTGTCTTTAGGGTTGATTTGTATATAAGTAATTGGCCTGTGATTGTTTCTTTTTTGGTTGGAAGTTATCATTTTGACATTACTTGTGATTCTGTGTTCAGCACTATTGTGATGTGTTCAACCTCTGCACTCGCTTACACAATAGGATATGCCAATTGTGTGTGGTGTAATGTTATTTTGATTTTTTTCCATGTTATTGATGAAGGATCATGCACCTAACACATACTAACTTTTTTAATGTTAGGCATATTTTTAGTATACTTTCTCTTATTCTTTCTTCTCCTCCAACCTTTTACCCATCCTCCTTCCTTTCCCTCATTCCTGTTGTTATTTGAGAATGAGGGAGAAACAGTATTTTACATTTATGTAATTAGGCTTTTCCGTTAGTTCTCAAGGATCCTCTTTTGGCTCTTGGGAAAGAATTGTACCTGTACAAGGCAATTATAGAATGCGAACTGCTTTGCCTCATTCCATACTGATCATCCCAGCTGAACAATTTGAAAACTGTTCTGCCTTTTTGTTACATGAATCTGTCAGAAATATATTTTTAATTTAATATAAATGAAATTCAATAAAATATGAAACAAACGTTCTCTTTTGTGTCAGAAATTTGTTATTAGATAAGCCAACTAGCAGAGAGGAAGATTTGTTCTAGGTTTAATAATGTGAAGATATAAAAATGGGCTTATTTTGCCCATATTTATGCAGCTCATTAGTTATTCCTCAGAACTCTTTGGTGTTTGGGATGTGATATGTTCCATATGTTTTTACCATCCACTGCATATGCCCATTGATGTGTACAGACTTACTCATCTGTGCATGCTATGCTTAATTAACTCTGGTTGGTTTGTTTCTCTGAGAATAAAAAAATATATAAAATATTTTGTAGGTTGCATCCAAACGACATTAATATTTTTATATACTTTTTTTCTTTCTGCCCTCATTGCAGTTTATAAAATGGATCCTGGCAATCCTTGGCTATAAAGAATATCAGATGTTACTACTGTCCTTGAGGTGGGGGAGGGAGAATAAGACCTTAAATAGTCAATCAGCTGACTAGTGACTTATGACAAGCCCACATAACAGTGTGAGAGTGACTTCAGAGACATTGGTGACATGAACAAGATCCTCTCTCAACATTTTCTTATTATATAACTTTTTGATTTTAAACATCATTGATTACTCCATGCCTCCAAAGTGTAAGAATTTCAAAATTCCAATAACTTCTGATTAGAGATTCTGTTATTCTTTGAAACTACTGTGGTTATTTGACTGTATAGAATGATGACTGAGTCAGTGGACAAAAAATATATTTTCAGCCTAATATATTGGAGTAAATTTTCTTAAACCTGTTCAATTGTGGAGCTTCAAAGATCTTGTTAATAACACCTGCTATTTGCATGGACCTGCACACATACCCTCCCTTATATATTATGGCCCTTTCATCTGAAATCATTGTGATTTCATAGTGTTCAGGGTAAGATATGTCAGGGCACTATGCATTTTAAACAACTATAAACTGAGAAGGGAGGAGAAACAACTTGTGTTCCTAATGCTTTAAGGTACAATTGAAATTTCCAGTGGCACCATGCTGCTAGCTTATAGCAGTTATACTACTTACTAATTACATAGTGCTTTATAAAATTCTTCATATGTTGGTTCATTTGGCTTACTGCACCCTTTTGAGGTAAGTATTATTAGAATAATCCTAGTCACCCATATAAGGAAAATAAAACTGAAATAACAAGTGTAAACTAGAATCATACAACCATTAGTAAGTGATGGTACTCACTCTCAAAGCTTCATATTCTGACTTAAATATCTTTCTTTAATTAGTTACCACTTTTCTTTCTTCCTCTGATAAGGAGTAACCACCTTCTGATGAAAGCATGCATAAAGCTGACACACTGATGAAGGTCAAGACCTTCAATGGTCTTTTATTAGTTTTTTGACAACCGCTCTTGTGATGCAATTAAAAACCTTATTCCACATCCTCAAACTATCTGGGAGCAACTTATCTATAATGGAGGATGAGGTTTCTTTCATTCTAGAAAGATTAAGTGCAACATAATCACAAGTAAAATAATTGAAACAACAACAAAACCACCACCATGTGGAGAGCCTACTGATGGTGTGCCCTGCCCAAGGTGTTAGAAATCTGCTTGGTAAGGCACCCACTTCTCCCCCACATATATCAGAGAATATTGCAGATAACTACACTTATCTCTAGCAGTGTTATTGCATATATTAGTGTTAATAGAGGAGAAACTTCATATAAAATGCCTAATTTATAAATAAGTTGGTAAATTTTCTAGCGTTTATTATAGGCTAAGTGGTCACTGGAAACTTCTAAAATACTCACAATGTAGAATCTGATCCTGATCCAATGTCAAAGCTTCATTTAAAATGACGATGATGAGAGGAAGAAATTATAGAAAAGCTGTGAGGTATATAAAGCGGTATAGAAGAGCTTCTAACAAGGCTAAAATGAACGTCACAATTCTGACTCTAGCTACTCTCTCCTGCTTTATAGTCTTAAAATCCTGAATTCACAATTGCTTAATTTAAAAAGCCCCTATGGGGAGACACATATATGCAGCCATACATATATGTACAGAATATATAGAGATGTAGTAGATATACATATACAGAACATATAAAGAGATGTAAAATATTTAAAGATATATTGATATATTGCAGAACTTCATACAAAATCTCTATTTTCAAGAACTTCTATCACAAGCCCCATAATGTATATCATACTACAAGATGGACTCATAAAACTATAAACTGAGCAGGTGCGTAGTTAGCTAATTGTATTTCCCTCCACAGTGTTATCAAGCTGCATGATAAGCCATGGGGAGCAAAGCCACTAGACAACCATCTGAAGATTAGAAACAGAAGACTGTCACCCAGATAGCAATTTTGAAGCTATAAACAGAACAATTCACCACAAGATAGCAATCAGGAGACTGTAAATCAAATGGTACACAGGAGACATGTGAATGAATATTGGAATACTGCTCTTGTAGGTTACCCGTAGGTTTTCAAAAGACAAATACCCATCTTGCAAAATATTTGACCTGTTTCTACTTACTTATCTTTCCAAGACAAGTAGAGAGCTCTAAAAAAATAATATAATCAGTTTTCTGCCTCTTTTAGAAACAGAAGAACAAAGCTTCCAGGCATTAAAGACTTATCCCATTAGCTGCCCACTGACTCCTATTGCAAGAGGCAGATACATAGCACAAAGTATCCTGATCAGAACTTAATGCCTCAATTCAGTTATCTTAAGCATCATCTTTTCTATATCATCTTTGTTCATGTATTTAGGGATTTATACAATCACCCTGCTATTACTTAGTATGGAACTATCATATTTGTGTGGATTTATAGCCATCACGACAACAACATTAAGATAATAGTAGACACTGATTGGATGCTTGCCGCATGCTGGCTTTCTGTTAAGAACCTGTGTATGCACTGTATCTTAATGTTCACCACAACCTTACTAGTTAGGTACTATTATTTTCCTCTTTTCGTAAATGAGGAAAGTGAAATTTTAGAAAGATTAAAAAACCTGTTCAAAGCCACACAAAAATTGGTACAGCTGGGACACAAACTTACTTGACATCAAAATACTTTATTTCTTGTGCTACATTGCAATCACATTATAATATTAACAATTATGTAGTGGCTGTGGTTTTTTTCCTCACAAAGTTAAACTCAGACATGCAATAAATGTATAGTTTTTGGGTTACAAAACTTAGCACCTTTCCCAAATTTCCAGTTCATTCAGAAGAGGAAAACATACACATATATAGAAAACATAAGCAAATAAGAATTTTTCAGAATCAATTTAGAGTATATTCAGCCAATTGAGGGTTTTTCCTCATCACTTCATCTCTGAGGTGGCCTCTACGTTCTAGGGCCTTTAGTACTAAGTATTTACAAGTTTCTGCAGTGATGGTAACCTAACTCTGAAATATTACTGGCTTATAATATAAAAGCTTAATTTGGCTGTGAGTTTGACAGGTTTCTTCCAAATGATGTCTTAGGAGACCAGACTACTTCATCTTGTGGCTCATCAATTTCTACATGTTACCTCCATAATCATCGTAACAGAGAGAAGAATGTTGGAGGCACAAACAGGGACTTTTCACTGGCACAACCTAGAAGTGACATATCACTCCTGCTCAGAGGCCACTGGTTGAAACTAGTCACCAGGTGCCCAAGTTCAAGGGAGCTGTGGGAGCACATATATATTGAGTGAGCATAAATTTGTCTGACACAAGCTGATGTAGCATTATGACAACAGAGTGAAATGCCTAGTCCTTGATCAATATCTGATGATGACGTCTGTTAGGATATACACAACAGCTCTGTTTATTGATAATTATCACTGTTTTCCTCTGTCTCCCTTTGAGATTCCCATCTGGTACCTGACCATTTGGTCTAATGCACATTCCGCTCTCATATGCCCCTGCTGTGACCATGGTCCTCAGGTGCTCCTGAAAACCTCTGAACCTTTCTAGAAGAAACAGTAAAATACTCTTGCTTACATGACTTTTGGTCTCTGAAAACTTGGTCTTGCTACTATGACTCTCTATCAACCCGACTACTTCCAATTCAAGGGGAAGTGAAACTCTGTCAGGCTACTTTTCAAGGTTCCTGCAGAAAGTGGGAAATAGTTTGCATTCCCTAACTTAACCTAGGGAAGGTTGCAGAAGTAAATTGTATGCTCATAGACACTCATCAGAATCTGTCATTTTCCCCTTTATCCTCATTCTCCTTCCCCAGACCAGAGGAGCTTTTTAAGTTGAAAAGTGGGATTGGTGGGGAAAGAGGAGTATTGTGAAGAGTGGGTTCTA
This sequence comes from Homo sapiens, assembly GCF_000001405.40. NCBI lineage: Eukaryota > Metazoa > Chordata > Mammalia > Primates > Hominidae > Homo > Homo sapiens. The sequence goes on along the minus strand of NC_000002.12, from coordinate 211,371,437 downwards.
TCTTATCACTATTTTTTTAAATAGTGAATTTAAAAGTGAAAATATTGTCGTTTCTTTTCTCTAGTTCTTCCCATAGTGCCTTGGCAGTTTCCTATCTTGTAGCCTGAAGAGGAACTCCTCATGAGTAAAAGAATCATGAGGGGACAGCAAAACAGCTATGTACTAGGCAGTATACTAAACAAGTTGCATGCACTAACTCATTCTGATGACGATGGGGCACAGTAAAGTGACCCCTGAATACGTAGGGGCCAGAACTCTTTATTACTTACAGCTCCGAAAGAGAGGAGACTGCCATGCAGGGCAACACGGTGGGATGCAACTGGGGAAAATTGTAATAGCAAGGGAGATAGTTTATGTATGGCAAGCCAGGTAGAGTTAGCTAGGTTTCAAAAGCTTGCTATTGATCATTCTGAATAATCTGCAGACCCAAGGAAGAAGGGACCATCCTTAAATGTTTGGCACCTGGGCTTCTGGCAGTTGAGGGTATGTTTTGTAAGTAAGCATGTTAGAGCCTTATAAGGTGGAAGGGGTTAGAACATGGGCTTAGCAAACTGCCAATGAAGGGGCATTGAGATTTTAGCCATGACCTCAAAAGTGGATCAAGACAGCACTTAAAAAATATTATGTCACAAACTGTCATGGTTCCTCCTTTTCAGTGAAAGTAACTGAAACATAGAAGTATTAAGCTACTTAACCAATGTTACACAGCTGGGAGGTTCTACGGCTAGAATTCCAACCAAGATCCAACTGGCTCTTGGCTATACCGCCTTTCTGAATAGACCTATACTCTCCTACTGGTTCTTTAGTAGGGCCTTAGTAGGCATTTTTCCCATTATTCAGTTTAGACACTTTCTATCTCCTATCTTGCACAATGTGTCATTTGCCTGATTGCTAGGAGCTCTCGCGTGTTGAGTTTCTGGTCATTTGCCTCTCCGGACCCCCTCAGCCCGCACTTACTTTATATCTTGGCTCATTCCTTTTTTCAAACTCTTGGTGCTTAGTAACTTGTTTTCTGGAGTTTCAGGGGTGGGGAAGGACATGTCTGGGGAGGAAGGAGAATGACCGTCCATACATTATTTGGAAAACAAACAAAAGATATTTTAAAAAAATCTTTATATTAATAATAAAGTTATGCTTATTGCCATCATTCTAGTAAAAGAGCATTTTAATATTCAATGTATTAGATATAATGTACTACTTTGTAGAGCAATTTTAAAAGGATTTTACAGTTAACAATAGGAATATAATTGCTTAACATTCTACAAAAATAGATTGGCCTCACTCTGGTTTATGCTAGGTTTTCCCTAACTCACAGTGAATGACAGATCAAGCAGTGATCATCCTAAGGCATTTCATTCTCCAATACTCAGATGGGTCAATTTTACTATTATGTGATAAATACAATTTTTCCCCCGTGTTATCTAATTTTATGAGCTAAATTCAAACTCTATAGATTGAAAAATTGTATAATGAAAAATATTGACATCTTTCTTTCAGAGGATAAAAGAGACATTGCAGAAAAGATTTTAACGTTGATCTCTGGTGTGAACTAGATTTCTCACTAAATTTAGCAGCAGTCCTGCTATTGTCAAAGAATAGATAACAAAGCGCTAATCAGGTACTCTTCAGTTTCTTGCCTAATATAGGTGATGCTCAGCTTGACTTATTTTTTCTAAAGACAAGGTCTCCCTTTGTCACCCAGGCTGGGGTGCAGTGTCTTGATCATAGCTCACTGCAGCCTCAAACTCCTGGCCTCAAGCTTTCTTTCTGCCTCAGCCTCCCAAGCAGCTGGGACTACAGGCCCACACCACTGTGCCTGTTTCTTTTTAATTCATTTTTGTAGATATGTTGCTCAGGCTGATCTCAAAATCCTAGTCTTGAGTGATCCTCCCACCATGACCTCCCAAATTACTGGGATTACAGGTGTGAGCCACTGTGCCCAGTGTAGCTTGACTTTTGAGGCAAATAAAGAAGAGAAAATATTGGATGATAAAGTCTAGTAGTATCAACCAGAGGATTAAGATGAAGCTAATTTAAAATTACTTGGAATGAGAATGGTAGCTCAACTGAAAATATTAAAACAAATTAAAATAAAATAGTTCCAAATGAAATCATGTGCTTAAAGAATCTCTTTTTAAATCATGTTAGAGTGGTTGGTTTTCTTTTTTAAAAAATTTAGTTTTTTAAAAAAGTATTAAGTGTATTTTAAAAATTATTATTATTGATCAAATTCAGTATTTTTACAGTGAAAGGCCATTATTATAATCTGATCCATAGATTTCAAATTCCAAGAGTCCACAAAACAAAACAGCACTGTTCAGTCACCCACTGTTATCATCCCATTTCAAGAAACTCCCAGAAATCTAAATATGTGGGAAATGTCATCTATTCTTTCAACTACAGATGTGGTCCTAGACAGGAGACTTGAGAATGGCCTGTGTGCAAAAGACAAACACAGAAATGAAAGCTGTTGATTTTCTAGTAGATAGATTCATAGCAATAGCTAAAATGTTATATTTCCACAGCAGCCTTATATGTAAAGATTAACACATAAAATTCTCAGACAACTCAGAGGGGTTTAACAAATGATGAATGACCTAAAATGGTTTTCCAGGAAGAAAAGATGAAGGAACAAAGTATGTAGAGCCAGAAACAAATGTGAGGGGGCAATTAATAACTCTTCAGGTATGAGAAGCCACTAGGTGAGTGAAAGTGAGCATCAGAGACTGTACCTCACAAATAATTGTCCCCATTTGATTGACACCAAAGGACCAAAATAACCAAAGCAGCTGCTGGGAACCTATGCACTCTGGCTTCTTTCTGTTCATTTTCTCTGCAGCCACCAGGTTCACAGTCTCCTGCTTGGGCCCCTCTCTGGCATTCTCTCTGGTATTCAGAATGGAAATCTCACCAGTATTTATTTTGCTATCTAGTTCACTATCGTAGATTTCAGCTTCACAAATGTCTCAGTGAGGTCCTTTGCTGAGGGTGTAAAAGTGCAAACTTACGAGCCCAGATGGAGACAAGGCCAATGGGGTGAGCCGCTTAGATTCAGCTCAGCAAGACTGCTAAACAGATGAATTCCAGACAAACATCAAATGCTTTCTTGGTATAGAACAAAACTGGCAACACAGACTGAGTGTTCTGGGAGTTGTGGGTGAAATGGAGAGCTTTTGTTTTGGGGGGTCTGACTACCACCCTTGTTTTCTGATTCATCAGAAAAGCTCACAAGACTCAATAACAGGTTATATTCAACAGCTAAGTTTTATTATAGCAAAGGAGCAAGAACAACAGGAAAAAACAAAGATATGCAGTTGATATGGTTTGGCTCTGAGTTCCCACCCAAATCTCATCTACAATTGTAATCCCCATGTGTCGGGGGAAGGGCCTGGTGGGAGGTGACTGAATCATGGGGGTGGACTCCCTCTTGCTGTTCTTGTAATAGTGAGTGAGTTCTCAGGAGATCTGGTTGTTTGAAGGTGTGTGGCACTTCCTTCTTCACATGCGCTCACTCTCTCATATTGTAAGTTCCCTAAGGCCTCCTCACCATGGTTTCTGTATAACACGTGGAACTGTGAGTCACTTAAACCTCTGTTATTCATAAATTACTCAGTTTCAGTTAGTTATAGCAGTGTGAGAACAGACTAATACAGCATTAAAAAGGGTTCAGTGAAGTCAGATGCCAGTTTCTAAGTCCTTCCCTTTCTACGATCACACAGGACATGCTTCTTCCTACACCTGGGAGCAGCAGAGATGCATGTAAAGTGTCTCTGCCAGAAAAGCCTACTCAAGTCTCAGGATCCAAGGGTTTTATGGAGGACTGGTCATGTAGGTGCGTCCTGCTGTGCAACCGACCATGGTAACTGAAATTCAAGACTCCAGCAATATAACCAGGGACATCATCAATCTTGACATTTGTGTAAATCAATCCTGACAAGTCCTGACAAGTTGGTACATTATGCCCCATTGCTCCAGGTGTATTGGTATCCTTAATTAGTAACATAGTAACATAAAGAGTATTCTAAGAGCCACGTTCTCAGGCATTAGCCAAGGGTCAATCACAGTTCCAGACTCCGCTGCAGACATGCTAGTATTGAGCAACCAGGACCAGTGTGCTAACTTTTTCCTCATATCTATGTCAACATGTTTGGGAGTAGGATGGAGACGAAACCCCATGGTTGAGGGAGAGTGTGGTGAGCATTATTTCTTGATGTTCTAAAACACGGCAGGTGTGATATTTGGAAAGTTTTTCTTCTGCTGCTTGGGAACAGTAAACTGGAGGAAGCTGCTATAGGAAGCTGTTTTGTCTTTTTCTCACTTGGTAGATGAAACCAGAGGACTAACTTTGCATTGAGGTCCTTAATGAATGAGGAGCCAGCCAAGTTGACCTTTCCAGGTTTGATGGGAATGCTCAGAAAGTCAGCAGCTATAGCACAAACTCAGTACTATTGCTATGCTAGGAATATTCTTTTCTAAAATAAGTTTATTCTGTATATATAATACTTATACATTAAAGGAAAGGAGAAAGTACAGAATCAGAGAATACAAATAAAAAATAATGATCATATGATATCATATCATATACAAATCCTAAACCTACAAAAAGTATTTTGCAAATATGGTATCATTTGCTATATATGTTTACTTAATGGTCTTTCCCCACTTAAAACATATCATGTACATTATTCATGTCCACAAATATTCTTTTAAAGTTTGTTTGTAATAGTTACATATTCTCCTATTGTGTGGAAGTATTATAATTTCAAACAAACTTTTTATTGAGGACATTTGCATTGCCTTGGACTGTCATGTACATAATACATTATTTTCTTAGGACAAATTCCTAGAAATAGAATTTTGAGTTAATCACTGTATACATGTTTAAGGGACTATGAAATGATGTTCCATTCACCTCGACTTACATATTTGTGTTTGTAGAATCTTTGTGGACAGCCTCAGAGTTATTCAAAACAAATTGAAAACTCACAGAGGACCATTTTTGCCAGTTTAGTTCTCAAAAATCTGTGTGCAAGTGTTACTACAGACGTTGACTTTGAGCTTTCTCCTCTTGGAGAGAATGTTTTGCTTTAAGTTGGGACAAGGAAGATTTCCCTATCACAGAGAACTTCCTCAGCCTCACTGACAACATTTTATGCTAGTGACACATTTTGATTTTTTTTTCCTAGCACAAGAGAAGTGAGCAAGGGATGGATTATTAGACAAAAGAAAATTGTCCTATGATCCAAAGCCAAGATGCTGTTCCATGTAAACTTGTCTTTAATACAAGAGCAGATTGATCAGGGATACAGATTATGAGCCCATAGCATGTCTTTTTCTTGATTGCGTTATGTCATCCTCAACAACAAAGAGTAGCTCCAGATTTGCATTCATTTTGTGTTAGGACCTTGTGATTCTCTCTTGGAAGATTTAAAACACGTTCCTTCTACATTCCTTTCATATTTCTTAAAAAGGCCATCTAACGTTGGTGCTACTATATGTTGGGATCTCTAATTTTTAATTTTTTTTGAAAAAATGGCACTGGTGATGACATTGCTGCTGCTTCAAGTCAAAAAAGATAACAAATTTCACTTAATTTTCAAATTTAAAAAGCACAGGGATTGAATAGCTGACCTGTGATGACCAGCTGCACTTTGAGGCCCTCATATTTACATGTACTTACACATTTTCTAAATGAAATGATACCAATTATAGAAATATCTTTTTTTTTAATTTAACAGTCTTAGTTGGCCAGAGCTCTTTGAGAAGTAACATTACTCATTCACAACAGAAAACCAAGTCCACATAAAAAAATTGTAATGTATATTCAAACTACCAATAAGACCTTGCTATTGTAATGGTAAAGAATTTATTTCCCCATCTGAAGTTTCAATAATTTGAGCCTATAAAACAAGCTGGTAATGGACATGTTAACAAGAAAAAAGGTATACAAATGTATGAAGGTGCATAAACATGGAAGCCATACACAAAATACGAGATTCAAAGGAGTGGCCAGATGACTGAAGTTTTTACAACATCCTGAGGTTACAGGAAGAAGAGGACTGTGACTTCTAAAGGGGACTAGGGAAGTGGTGTCACAGATTATGGGAGGGTGAAGGGAGGAAAGCATAGGTAGCAAGGCTGTTTCTTATGCAGATAAAATCTCTCAGGTAGCAGGTTTCAGAAAGAATAGACAAAAGCCTGTGGTAAGAGTATTTCTGTCACACCTTCAGAAGCATCAAACTTTTAGTCTTATTTTCCTCTGAGTTAATTTGTTCTAGATCTGGACAAGGTGGGGGAGGGAGGCATCAGAGAAAGCCTGTTTGCATCTGCTGTTTATTTCACTAATATAGATTTCCTTTACAGATGCAAATCTCCCCACAAAAGGACAGCTTTTCAAAGCTATTTCTGTGGTTTTCAGCCCCTCTGAATAGCCGACTCAAAATACACCAAAGAAGTATATTGGAGGGGAGTGAAATATTCTGTTTCCTTCACTGCTCATTTGAAAGAAGTTGGAATTGAACTTGCCAGTCTTTCAAACTATCACTAATTTGCTTCCACTCCATATCTACACATTTCCAATAGGAGCAACTTCTACTATTTTCATATTTATGTTTCACATTGATAATCATGCTTCTAATGCAATAAAGGAAACATCAGTTAAAAAATTTAGGCTGAAAACCTTCCCAATGGTCTAAATAATGTGGGCATTTCCATGAATAGTCCATTCCAAAAGAGCTTCAAAACAAAACCTGAGGTAAAGCAAAACGTTGAATAATAGGGGAAGTTACTCAAACTCTATCAAGACTCAGAAAAACGGAGAGGGTAAGAAGAGAAATTTGGTTTTCATAATAACTTAAAAAAAATTTTTTAGAGATCAAGTAGGTATTTCTTTTATAGCATAGAAAGGAGGAATAATAATTTTATAACATTGGAGAGTAAATGCTTGAAAAACAGTCTGAGATTATGGGAACCTACATGAAACCCTAGGGTTGATATAAAGATTAATTTAAGCTGAAGAAATTTGACATTCCACAGATGCAGGAAGAAGCTTTCTCAGAGCTTCCCTTAGCTGACAAAAATCAGAAACTTCTGAGAACTGAGGACTGCCATAAATTCCCTCTCTGGGAAGGCTTCTACTCCCAGGAGACCCAAAGTACATTTCCCTGAATCTCTTCACCAGGAGAGTTTATGAAGAAGATGGAAAGACCACTCATACCTGCACAGACAAACATTATCACAAACTTTCGTATCTTCCATTTGTTTTCCTAGGAATCAACACACTCTTCCACAATGGTTGAATTAATTTACACTGTCACTAACACTGTAAAAACATTATTCCTTTTTTCTTCACAACCTCACCAACATCTAGTGTTCTTTGACTTTTTAATAACAGCTATTCTGGCTGGTGTGACATGGTATCTCAGTGTGGTTTTGATTTGCATTTCTCTAATGATCAGTGATGTTGAGTTTTTTTCATATGTTTGCTGCCTGCATGTATGTTGTCTTTTAAGAAGTGTTTGTTCATATCCTTTGCCCACCTTATAATGGATTGTTTGTTTTTCTCTTGTAAATTTGTTTAAGTTCCTCGTAGATGCCGGATATTAGACCTTTGTCATATGGAATAGGTTGCAAAAATTTTCTCCCATTTTGTATGTTGTCTATTGATAGTTGCTTTTGCTGTGCAGATTCTCTTTAGTTTCATTAGATCCCACTTGTCAACTGACACTTTTGTTGCAATTGCTTTTGGCATCTTTGTCCATGAGATCTTTGCCCATGCCTATGCCCTGAATTGTAAGTATTGCCTAGGTTTTCTTCTAGGGTCTTTATAGTTTGGGTTTTACATTTCAATCTTTAATCTACCTTGAGTTGATTTTTGTATATGGTGTAAGGAAGGGGTCCAGTTTCAATTTTCTACATATGGCTGGCCAGTTCTCCCAGCACCATTTACTAAATGAGGAAATGTTTCCCCATTGCTTTTTTGTTTTTTTTGTCAGTTCTGTTGATGATCAAATGGTTGTAGTGGTGCAGTCTTATTTCTGGGTTCTCTATTCTGTTCCATTGGTCTACGTGTCTGTGCGTGTACCAGTACCATGCTGTTTTGGTTACTGTAGCCCTGTAGTATAGTTTGAAGTTAGGTAGCATGATGCCTCCAACTTTGTTCTTTTTGCTTAGGATTGCCTTGGCTATTTGGGCTCTTTTTTGATGCCATATTACTTTTAAAATAGCTTTTTTCTTATTCTGTGAAGAACGTCAATGGTAGTTTAACGGGAATAGCAGTGAATCTATAAATTGCTTTAGGCAGTGTGGTCATTTTTACAATATTGATTCATCCTATCCATGAGCATGGAATGTTTTTCCATTTGTCTGTGTCATCTCTGATTTCTCTGAGCAGTGGTTTGTAATTCTCCTTGAAGAGGTCCTTCATGTCCCTTCTTAGCTGTATTCCTAGGTATTTTATTCTTATTGTGGCAATTGTGAATGGGAGTTCATTCATGATTTGATTATTTGCTTGCCTGCTGTTGGTGTATAGAAATGCTAGGTATTTTTGCACATTGATTTAGAAATACCATTTGATCCAGCAATCCTATTACTGGGTATATACCCAAAAGAATATAAATCATTCTATTATAAAGACACATGCATGTGCCTGTTCATTGCAGCCCTATTCACAATATCAAAGACATGGAATCAACCTAAATGCCCACCAATGATAGATCAAATAAAGAAAATGTGGTTCATATACACCATAGAATACTATGCAGCCATTAAAGGAATAAGATCCTGTCCTTTGCAGGGACATCGATGGAGCTAGAGGCCATTATCCTTAGCAAACTAATGCAGGAACAGAAAACCAAATACTGCATGTTCTCATTTATAAGTGAGAACCTAAAGATGAGAATGCATGGACTTGTTGGGGGACAGCAACACACACTGGGCCTGTTAGAGGGTGAGGGTTGGTAAGAGGAAGAGGATCAGGAAGAATAGCTAATGGATGCTGGGCTTAATATCTGGTGATGGGATGATCTGTGCAGCAAACCACCTATTGTTACATGTTTACCTATGTAACAAACCTGCACATCCTACACATGTACCCCTGAAATTAAAATAAAGGTTGAAAAAAAGAAAGATGAGAAGGAGGAGAAGAAGGGAAATGGGAGGGCATAATGTAACAATTTTAGGACTCCATGTTTTAAATGTTATTTTAATCCCATCTATTTATTTCTGAAAGTAAAGCTCACTTTCAGGAAACCCTTACACCGAAGATGACAGTGCTTAGGAAAATAGAAGAAAATCACTATGGTGTTTGAAGAAAGGAAGAAATGAAAGATAAGGAAGAAGGAAGAATGGGGAAGAAGGAAGATATAGGAGAATCAGCAGTGAGATGAAGGAAGATCAAAAAGAAAGAAGGGAGAGACAAATAAGTAATCAAGAGGCACAGGAAAACAGAAAAGGAAAATGGCAGAGCAAAAACATAAGAATAATGGAAGCCAGGCATTGGCACACTATGATCCCTAGACCAAATCCAGCTCATTGCCTGTTTTTGTACAGCCTGACCTAACAATGTTTTTTCTAGCTTTAAACAACTGAAAACAAACAAACAAAAACAAAAACAAAAAAACAGAAAAAGAAACAGTGCTTTGTGGTATGTATAAAGCTTACATTTGTGTTTATAAATAAATTGAATAAAGCTTACATTTGTGTTTATAAATAAAGTTTTATTGCATGCATTAAAAAAAGAAACCCATTAGTCTTTCCTAAAGAAACGTATTTGTTCTTCCCATAGGCTGTTTCTCCTAAATTATGTATGTAAGCCTTACCTTTAACCATTTAACATCACCTTCTTTTGTTGGCTACTATGTTCATATGCATATGAATAAAACTTTTTCTCCTGTTAATCTGTCTTTTGTCAATTTAATTTGCAGGCTTCAGGGACTCTAAACTTTAATAAGAGAGTAGAGGAAAAATAATTTTCTCCCTTAAAAGACTCAGGATAGAAGTACTAAGGAAGCACTTCTAATTATCTGATTAACCAAATATGGTGTTAGCAAGATAGAAACACGACAACATCTCTCAAGCTTAATATTAATATAACCTCTGTGGGGTGCCAAGGAGAAACTTCCCCTTCGCCCTCTGAAGAATCACTGAAAAATTACTGACATGTGGCAGATTAATAGGAGAATGGCCATACATATTTATTTAACATGTATACATGAGAACCTCAGACTGAAGACCCAAAGATAGAAGGGAAGTAGTCCATTTTTATGTTTAGGTTCAACAAAGTATGGAAAGCTGTGTAGAAATATGATTGGACAAAAATGGTCTCATCTAATGGTAATGGACTGAGTGGGGAAGCCCAGCAAGGCCAATCTATCTAGATTCTTCTTGTCCTCTTTCAGCATGAATTTCTTCTTTCTGGATGTGGGGCAGAACCATTTCTGGAATGGGGGTCTTATGACCTACTGTCAAATGAGATAGGTCAGATAACTTCTTCTGGCTACTTTTTACACAGAAAGGCATAGAGAAAACTTGAGTAATATTATTAGGTTTTATAACTAGGTATGGGGGAAGAGGGGTTCTGGTTTCTACGACCTGCCTTGGGGAAGAGGGATTCTAGCTTCTATGGCTAGCCTCAGTGGGGAATAGGCCCGAGAGACAGGAGGACAGGAAAAGGTAAGAGAAAAACGTTTGCTTCTGAGGTCTTCATTTTGGGGGTATTATTTTCTGAGCCCCAATACCTCTTAGTTATTTGGGCAAATTAGAGAAAAGGAGAAACTGAATTCTTTAACTACAAAGTTCTCTTGCATGTTGAAGTGGTGGTTGCTTTGTGTTTTATGTCTTAGACAACAGTGATTTTTCATTTGGTTTTATCCTGGGGCATTAGCTGTACAGATAAACTCTCTTTCATTTTAATGCTATGAGTTTTGGCAAGTCAAATGCCCTAAGTCTAAATGCTTGAATACCTCAAATCAAACTCTCTCTATAAATGTATAATCTGGACGCAGGTGACCATTTTATATTTAGTGAGAAAAAGTAAAGGTCATTTAGGTCTTCAAGGCATATTTTTAAATATTCCAATTTCCCTAGGTGCCAACTTTTTTTTTTTTCTTTTTCTCCAGCAACCTCAATATTTTACATTCACTAGCCTGGAAAGGTCATTTCCTAGAAATCTAATTCTCTAAATAAAATGTCTATGTTTCTTACTGTTTATCTGGAATACAAAATTTGTTAACTTGCATACAACATGCCAGAAATAGAGATGTGTGCTAATTAACACAAAGTTCACAGCTCTGAGTTTTATGTTAGACAAATATATGCCTGTTTTTACAAGCCTTTATAATTCTCTCCTGTTGAACATTGACTTTCAAACTTTGTTTTTAGTCACTACATAGTAAAATGTTAAGTTGGCATACAAGACCAAATGTCCATGAATTCCGTATCTCACTATTTTTTATGCACACACACGAAAAAATCAATATGAGATTTCACCTCTTAAATAAGCATTTTCTGTTTTAAAAAATATGTTTTAAAAAAGGAGATGAGGTAGGATTCACTTTAAAAAAAATGCCTTTCCACAGCTATTAAAGACTTCTATGTACAAAATCATTGATGAAAATATTCCCTCAGATGGTATATGCAGGGAGGTGTGCAGGGAGGTACAGGGAGCACAGATATCACAGGTAGATATGACGGGAGTCAGATCTAGCTTCTTTCCCTCCTGCTTCATCAGAGGCTGGTTCCTCTTTAGGTTTAGTGACTCTGTTTTCTGCAGACCCATCTTGCTAAGCCACTTCTGCCTCTTTTCCTTTTGCCTCACTTTCCCTGTAGTTTGCACTTTTTCTGCTGCCTTTTTCACTCATCTACCCTTGGGCTCTCCCTTTATTGACCCTTCAGCTCACTTAAACTTTCTCTTGGGTTGAATGACAATGGTTGCCAAGGGGCACAGTCAGTCAGAGCCTTTGAGAATCTAAGCTGCCTGGACATTGCCACTGTTCACATTTTTTTTAGTGGTACTACTTTCTGCTTCACATTTCCAGATACAACATTTCTTTGGAAGTAGGTGGCCATTAATATTGAATCTCTACAGTTTGTAGGAGATATAATTACCCTTTAATTCATACTGTGATCTGTAACTTTGGAGCATGATTCATTTGAAGATGATCTTAGCCTGTTAACTCATTTTTCTCTTCCAAATAACAATAATGATATTATTTTGGTAGAAGGCTTTTATTCAAATACAATTTTTAAATCTGAATTTTAAAATTCATTTCTGATCTACTTGTCTGCCTCAAGGCTTATATCAAATTTATTTCCTAATAAATTCTATAAATCCTATGTCACTCTCATCCACCCCCACTTTTCCATTCCTATTCTGTCGTTGCCTAGATGAGTTGACCTGTAGCCCTAGATCCTGCAAAATTGTTTTCCTAACTTTAAACTAGAACAGCCACAAGAAGTCTTAGTTCCAATCCCTGCTTAGTCTCTGGATTCTATCTGGCAAATCAAGCATGTTGGACCTGTTACCTCATTCATAAAATTTCAGAGACAAACAAGATCACTGCTTCTCAAACTGTTTCCCCCAATGGCTAATTGAAAACACAAGTTCCAACTGAGCTTAGTTAATCTGGACAAGGCAAGCTCCTTTCAAGCATTTGGTTCAGAAGGTTGAGGTGGGGCCTGAGAGTCTGCATTCTAACAAGCATCCTGTCATTGCCCTGGGACACAGACTGTACTTAGGTTACATTTTCTACTTGTTCATTGACGTATGTAAATGCTTAGGGCTACTCCTTTTTTTTTTTTTTCTGGAAGGCCTTTGACATGGTTAGGCTTTGTGCCCCCACCCAAATCTCATCTTGAATTGCAATTTCCATAATCCCCCAAATCCCCACATGTCAAGGGAGAGACCGGGTAGAGGTCATTGAATCATGAGGGCGGTTCCCCCATGCTGTTCCCTGAGATCTGATGGTTTTATAAGGGGCTCTCCCCCTTCACTCAGCACTTTTCCTTCCTGCTGCCTTGTGAAGAAGGTGCCTGCTTCCCCTTCGCCTTCCACCATGATTATAAGTTTCCTTAGGCTCCCCCAGCCATGCTGAACTGTGAGTCAATTAAACCTCTTTCCTTTATAAATTACACAGTCACACAGTTATACATAGCAGTATGAAAATGGACTAATTCAGCCTTCTTCTACTATATCAAGATTTTCCCCAGCCTTCAAGTCCCCATTCAATGCCATCTTTTTTATAATGTCTTTCTTGATCATTTTCTTGATTATGCAAGCAGCACATTCACTTCCCTTATACTGACCTCTTATCAAGTCATACCATCACATGGCACCTTTTCTACTTTCATTTTTATTTTTGTTTATCTCTTTATTTGATTTTAAACTCCTTGAGGATTGTAACCCTGTCCAACTCTACCTCATTATGTTTAGAACAGTAGTTCTCAAACTTCAGGAGCATCAAAATCACCTGAAGGGTAAATAAAACAGAGATTGCTGAGCCTTGCCCCCAAGATTCTCATTCTGCTGGTCAGGTAGGGCTCTTGAATCTGTATTTCTACAGGATAACAGTGCCAGGAATATTGGTGATTAACGCATTGAACTTTTTGAACACTGCTATAGAGTAAAGCTCTAGGCTTTAGAGTCAGAAAAATCTGGGTTTGAATCACCAGTTTCAATCACATGTTATTCCAGAATAATTGTGAGACAGTTACTTTTACTTTTCATTCTTACTTCTTCAGTAATAAAACATCTTTTAGTATTTGGGAAAGAAATAAGTGACAATGTACAAAAGGGTCTGTTTTTCATTAATTACCTTCCTTTATAATTAATCTTCAATGTCATTTATGCTGGGTTTCCTTTCTGATTGTCCTTGGACAAGGGAAAGTCTCCTGCAATGGGCTCCTTCATTCCCATAATCGCACCATCCCAGCATTTTTTACAACTTCATTGTAATTGTTTCTTTAATTATCAACCTTCTTTGATAAATTGTAAGATCACTGAGGGCAGGGGCCATATATTTACTGCGACCTAAGAGTATTTTGCCCATAATCTCTACTTTGTACCTGATACAGAGAAAGTGCACAATAAATATTGGAATAACAATTAGTGATTGAACAAAATCAGAGATTGATAGAGATGAGAAAGAGAGAGCGGAAGAGAGAGAATATTGTGCCTGATGAAATAGGAATAACAGTACCTACCATATGTCATTATTTCTAGGAAAGAATCTAGCATAGTTTTGGACATGTTAAAAGGCATCCAAAACATATTAGTTGTCTTTTCCCAGCAATAATGTATGAATGTGGTGCTCATACTCCCAAGACTTTCCAAAAGAGCTATATTTTAAAGCAGTTTAATTTTTTAAATAAAAGCAATTTATTCATATCTGTAAAATAATTTTTCCACTTTTTTGGACATTATAAAATAATGTCACAAATCAATAAGTTTATGCATCACAATATTGATCTGGACATTGGTAAAGGCAAGATACAGTATATGAATGGTTAAAACAGTGCCCTCCAGAGCCACACTATTCAGGTTCAAATTCTGGCCCAGCAACTTACATGGGAAGGTCACTTAATTTCTCCATATTTCAGTTTGATCCTCTTTAAAATGGCATAATCTATAATGCCTACCTCATAAGTGTGTTATAAGAATCAAATGAGCAATGTAGGTAAAGTGCCCTATACATGTTACATATTAAAAAAACTCTTATAATAAAGATCTTCATAGTTGGTATTAACTATTTGTTGGTTGAATTAAAGAACACAAAATGTACATTGCCTTGAACAGAAACTTGGCCAAATAGCCCTGAGAAGTAGAAAAGGAAGAAACTGTATTAAGAGCTACCATGTGTCAGTTATTGTAACAGACTGTATTTTCTCAAATTAGCCACAACAGTATTTTCCTATCTTGTGTGTTCTTTTGAAAACAATGTGGCTTTGGCACTCCAGTTGAGAGGTGAGTCCTATGTTCCCTACCTTTGAATCTGGATAGGACTGTGACTAGAGCAAAGGAAAGCTATATGATTTCCTAAGCTAGGTCATACATGGTAATGCTGGTTCCATCTAGTTCTCTTGGGAAGCTCATTTCTGGAGGCTTGAGCCACCATGTAAGAAGTCTGAGGCCACTATGCTATGAGAAAGCCCAGGCCACATGGAGAAGCCACATGAGTCTACTGGCTGATAGCCTCCACTGAGGTCCCTGCCACTCATCAGATCAACTGTAAGACATGACAGTCTGACACATGTGACTCACATGCAGGTGCTTCTAGATGATGTACCTGCTTCTAGCTGTCTGATCACCCCTAGTCTTTTCCTTTTTGAGAGATGGGGTCTCACTCTGTCACCCAGGCTGGAGTACAGTGGCAAAATCATGGCTCCCTGCAGCCTCAACCTCCGAGGCTCAAGCAATCCTCCTATTTCAGCCTCCTGACTAGCTGGAACTATACCTTCATGTCACCCATGCCTGGCTATTTTATTTTATAAGGATTAGGGTTTTACTATGTTGCCCAGGCTTGTCTCAAAATCCTGAGCTTAAGGGCTCCTCCTGTCTTGGCCTCCCAAAGTGCTAGAATTATAGGCGTGAGCCATTGTACCTGGCCTCACCCCCAGTCTTTGAGGCCTCCCAGTTGAGGCTCTGATGTAATGGAACAGATCCAAGTTATTCCTGCTGTGCAAATTCCTGAATCACGGAAGCCAGGAGCATAAAAAAAAAAAAAAGTTGCTTTAAGCCACTAAATTTGGGGATTATTTATTAGCCACAGATAACCATCACAGTTACTATTTATATACATTAGATTACTAAATGCCTACCAAATTATGAAGCTGTTATTACTATGCCATCTATGCCAGTAGTAATATTAAGTCTTAAGGTAGTATGATACATTTTTATAAGGATGCCCATCAACTAAATGATGAAGCTGAAGTTTTAGATCTTTTTGACTTCAAATCTATGTATTTTTTACTATCCAACGGGAAAATCATTCTTATGTCTTCAAGATTTCATTTTGAAAAGTGTGAAGACCCAGCTCATTATGTCAGGCTAGCCTTGATTTTTCTTATGTCCTCAGAAGATGGTAATTTTCACAATCAACCAGAGCTATCAATGGCAAATGTCTTACTAAATTCAAGGAGGCTGAAATGATCAAGCCTCAGGTCTATCAGTGAAGGCTGCCACATGATTTCCTGTGTATGCCCAGCAATGCCTGACTTAGGAAGGGTAAAACACAGCATTTGCCCAGCTAAAGTGATCACACTCCAAATGATGTGGACAAAAACACTGCCTGATTCTTAGCCCGCATGCTGGGGAATATTTGCAGTATGTACAGAGACCATCCATGGTATCTGGTGTGTGTGTGCGTGTGTGTGTGTGTGTGTGTGTGTGTGTGAGAGAGAGAGAGGGAATGTTCAATTATGACCAGTAGTATCGTGTAGCCAGACATAACAAGCCATGGCATTACAGGTTAACAGGTTCCAAAGAAATAATGAGACTACTGGTATTGTATTTGTTTAGGTTTTCTGCTCAGTGCTTACCATTGCCTACAGAATAAAGAATAAAGCCCAAACTCCTCAGTATGAACTAAGTCTGCATCACCATCAGTCTTAATCCCCACGGCTCCTTCTCCTGCTCCTACATCCTACTTGACACTTGAAACAAGTACTTCTTCCTCTGGAATTATTTATTTCTATTTGTAGCTCTGTGTACTAAGATATACTTAAGACCAAGGAATGTGTATCTTGTTCATCTCTGAATTCTTAGCACTTTACTCAATGCCCAACAAAGAGGTTACCAAAAGGTGTTTGTTGAATTAACAAGTGAGTCAAGACTCAGGGTTTTTTTGTTCATATTCTGGACATAGATGATTGAATTTCTGGGACAATGACCAATTATTCTGATCTGATAAAGACATCTGTACTTTAAGAATATGGTTCCTAATAACTCATTAGGTATTTATAATTCCCCATTTTTAAGCCACTTACCCCTAGAGTCGATTATATAAAATCAAGGAGAAAGGGGTGTTTACGCTCAGTTCTTCTAGACAGCCCCCTTCAGGGGCCTTGGACACTTCTAAAAGTGACCTCTGGGGTACACTCAGAGCAAAGGGGTGAGGCACTAACTGTGGTGGCTACAACCCACATGCACAAGTAATCATCAAGTTTTAATAACTGTCTTAGTAGTTCTTGAATCTGTCTATAACTCCTCTTCTCTTCTGTTAGTAAGCTAGTTCAGACCCACATTAGTTTTTGCTTGAATAACTACCCAGCCATCTGTGGCCACTAAGAGTTCATGTACTAAATGGGTATTGGCACATTTACTTATTTCTTTTAATCAAATGAACCTGATTCTGAGCATTCATCTGATTCAGGTCATGGGGGAAAAAGAATATCACAATTATTGCAACACCCTGGTCTCCCAGGGCCACATGTGAACCCAAAAGTCTGAAACAGGACTCAGAAAATGGACAATCACCCCTGATTTCAGTCAATCCAGGAGGGTTCTGGTATCCTCAAGGTAAAGATCACAGTGATCCTTTCAAGTCTGGCAGTGGTAGGGGACTCTTCCCTGTAGCTCATGAGAAAGACTGCAGCCAGCCCTCGGGGCACCTGCTACCTGCTCATACCGTTATTGTGTAGGGGCAAATACTTGCACATTTTTTTGTTTGTTTGTTTGCTGGGAATTGTTGCCTTTTCCTTTTTTATTCTCATTTAAAATATTCTCTCTCCCTGCTTGGTGGTTTCAAAGACACTTAGTATAACCTCTACAAAAACTCTGAATTTAGAAAAACACAAGCCAGAGAAGAGAACATCTGATTTTAACTCCTTGAAGTCCTCCCCTGAGGCAAATAGGTAAGAAAAGACTGCTACTTTAGTGGAAGTGCAGGGAGGAAAATGCCAAAAGAAAAATGCAACATACTGTAATATTCCAACAATTATATTTTCATACTTGTAACTGATCTCCAGGTTTATATTTGAAACTGGTTCCTCCATACCACTGTCAGAGTAATTTTTAAAACTAAAACTCTTTTTTTTTTTTTTTTTTTTGCTGAAAATTCTTTAAGGACTCTGAAAAGCCTTATAAAGACATAAAAATAGTTTGGGCGTTAGGGATCCCTCTTCTTTTCTTTCCAAGGCTTCTCTTACTACCACCACTGTCCACAAACTTCACTGTAGATATTCTGAATTATAATCGTCCCTTGGTATCCATGAGGGATAGGTTCCAGAACCTCCAGAGGACACCAAAGTCCACAGACGCTCAAGTTCCTTATATAAACTGTGCATATAACCTACGCTCATCTTCCTGTATACTTTAAATCATTCCTAGATTACTTCTAATATCTAATACAATATAAATGCTATGCAAACAGTTGTTGTATTGTTTGGGGAATAATGACAATTTTAAAATCTGCACATGTTCAGTACAGAGGCATTTTTTTCTGAATATTTTGAATCCTCGATTAGATGAATCCATGGATGTGGAACCCAGGGATACAGAGCGCCAACTGGATTTTCTCTGCTTAGCATGCACCTCGCCTCTCATTTTGCCTGTCAGGGTGCAGCTTCGGTGTCACTCTCTCTTTGAGAAGCCTTTTCTAACCTTTCCCTGCTCCCAGCTCTAGCCCCAGAAGATACCTTTGTTGTATAAACCCATAATATCTAAAGCACATCTTTATCTTCTGTATTATGCTTGTTTATTTTCTTATCTGACTCCCTTGGGCACTCTTGAGATAGGAACTATATCCTTTTCATCTTTAAATCCTCTTGTTTTAATACTTCAAAATGTATTACATATAATGAAAAAGAGAATATCAGAAACAATTCTGTAAAAGTAAGACAAACTATAAATTCTGTGTGAAAATTTGTATTTTATCTCTCACTTAAATGAGTTTGATCAAGATAAGTATAGGATGAGTAAAATAATGTATTTTTTTTAAATACAACTCCACCTATCCAGGTCTCAGCCAACTCTCAATAAATGCCTACTTTTAAAAATGAGTGAATGGTTTCATATAGCCAAAATAATCATGAAGAGGCCTCTGTAATTTATAGAATTGAAATATTGCAATTATGCTGGCAATGGTTCTCTGAGCTCCATCATGCCAATTCCTCATCTTACTCTTTATCTGTTGTGATCCTGCACCCTTGCCAGAGCTGGCTCAACAAGAATCGGCACCTGACTAGAATGCAGCCACCCAGAAGCTGGCTGCAATCCACGATGTGGCCTGACATGGCAACTGCACTGAAAAGGCCTGCCCTGGGTCACATGACAGATGATCTAGTCAGATTCTCTCCCGGGAATTTTGACAATCATTCAAAGACTGAGTAAGTCAGAGCAGAAAGAGGACTCTGCTGAGTCCTCAAAATGGCAGAGCACTAGCAAAGGGAATATCACATCAGATGACCAGAGTTCCTGAGGGCTCCAGAGCTGCTGCTGTGGCCTGAACACTCAGGATGCCTGGCTGTACAGCTGTGCAGTCTGCTTCCTGGAGTTTCCTATCTTCCAGGTTTCCTTTAATTAAACCTCCCATCAACTGAGCCAAACATAGCTTTGTTCCTTGCACTCTAAAAACACCAAACAAATACTTGAATACAAAGTATACAAGCAGGGCATGGTGGCTCATGCCTCTAATCCCAGTGCTTTGGGAGGCCAAGGTGGGTGGATCACCTGAGGTCAGGAGTTCGAGACCAGCCTGGCCAACATGGAGAAACCCCATCTTTACTAAAAATACAAAAATTACCTGGGCGTGGTGGTGGGCACCTGTAGTCCCAGCTGCTCAGGAGGCTGAAGCAGGAGAATTGCTTGAACCTGGGAGGCAGAGGTTGCAGTGAGCCGAGATCATGCCACTGCCCTCCAGCCTGGGCAACAGAGTGAGACTCTGTCTCAAAACAAAAAACAGAAAACAAAAACAACAAAGTATATGAGGTCAGGGACTTTATTGCTGTCAGTTACCAGTCTACATCCAGTATCTAGATCAGCGTCTGCTCACAGAAATCTTAAATATTTTACTTAAATATTCGCCAAATGAATAACACATTAATTTGGTCAATTTTCTAAAATTTGAAAATTGAATCCTATTAGATTGAGCTCTGGTGTCTGACAACCTATGTTTAAATAGGAGCTTCTACACTCAATACGCTTGCAATTTGACTCCTCTTCCTTCAGGTTTAGTTTCCTAACACATAAAATTGGAAGCCTAATTGCTATGGCTGGATATGGCTTGTTCCTGGCAAGACTCATCGAAATTTGATTTCCAGTGTGGTGGTGTTGGGAGGGTGAGCCTAGTACAAGGTGTTTGGGCCGTACTGGAAGATCTCTCACGAATAAATTCATGTCCTGTCTCAGGGGTCAGTGAGTTCTCACTCTTTCAGGAATGGATTAATTCCCACAAGAGCAGGTTGTTACAAGGAGTCTAGCCTCCCCCATTTCTCTCTTTTGGAAAACTCTTGACAACTGATTTCTTTGCACACACCTGCTCCTCTTCCTCTTTTAACCATGAGTTGAAGTAGCCTGTGGCTTTCACCAGATGCAGCTGCCCGATCATGAACTTTCCAGCCACCAAAATCATGAGCCAAATCAATCTCTTTTCTTTGTAAATTACCCAGTCTCAGGTATTCTGCTATTGAAACAGTAAATGGACTAAGACACTAATACTCCCTACCTCGTAGGTTTGTTTAAAAAATAAGATGAGAAACTGTAAGCAGGTATGATGCCTGGGATAGAGCAAAAAGTCAAGAAATTGTGGTTAATATAATATTATCGTTTAAAGCTAGTTTTTCTACACATATAATTACCTTGGATAAGATCATTTTTACAGAGGTGGTAAATAGAATTTTACAAGGTAAAATACAGAATAAAGGCCAGAAGTCAGAAATGCTGGGTTCTAATCCTTTTCCTGTCACTATTGTTCTCTGTGAATTTAGATAGGCTAGTCAAATTTTGGGTTCCATATTCATATTTATTAAATAGGCAGGGGTGGAAGCTAGATATTCTGTAAAACCAATTTCAGCTTTAAAATTCCATTATTTTCTTTATTAGTCCATTTTCACACTGCTATAAAGAAATACCTAAGACTGGGTTATTTATAAAGAAAAGAAGTGTAATTGGCTTATGGTTCTGTAGGCTGTACAGGAAGCATATCAGCTTCTGCTGCTGGGTAGGCCTCAGGAAATTTCCAATCACGGCGGAAGGCAAAGGAAGAACAAGGCACTTCATATGGTTGGAGTAGGAGGAAGAGAGAGTGGGGAGATGCTACATACCTTTAAACAACCAGATCTCTTGAGAACTCTATTATAAGACAGCACCAAGGAGATTGTGCTAAACCATTCATGAAAGATCCACTTTCATGATCCAATCACCTCCCACCAGGCCCCACCTCTAACATTGGGGGTCATAATTCAACATGAGATTTGGGTGGGGATACATATCCAAACCATACCAGTGATTATACATAAAAAGAGCAGATTCAGTTTAATTCATATTGTTACTTATTAACATCTGTGATAAAAATGTTGTTTGGGGAATGATGATTGATTCAATTGTGGTTTGGAGATTTGCTTTATTCAGGCACATACCATGATGGTGAAGAAACACACAGACTAAGAACTATTTGTATTATAAAAATAATTAAATCACATGCAATAACTAAATTATTTCCACACTCAGTGCTATGTTCATACACTGTGTTCAATATTAACTGCTATGGTATCTTAAATAGATTTAATTGACCAATGAATAATAATTAAATCTACTAAAGCAATTGGATTCAGTGCAGATTAATTTAGACAAGAAAAAAGTATATTTGCTAATTCAATTGGCTTCCTTTTCATTATTATTATTATTTTTTAAGACATCTTATAATTCAAGTGGGCAAAAAACAACACTTTCCTTAAAATCAATCTAATTTTGATACCACAAGTGCTAATTATATTTATGCAAATCACAAATGAGTCCAGTTGGGGCTGTCCCTATTTAGAGGAGTTGACAGTTCTCAGGGTCTTAGTTCCTGGGGAGATTGCTTCAGCTACTAATAAACAGCTCACATCTATTGCTAAGGTATTCATTCATCCCATTTACATGATGTCCTCGGGTCCCTGGCTCTGCAACTTTTGATCATGCTAGAGGAAAGGGGCCCTTCACAAAGCTAGGAAACAAGGCAGCCATTTCCCTCTGACTTCCTGCCATCCCCTCATGTGAAGCCAGGATGACATCAGTCTTCTGCTTTCCTAGCCCACAGATTACTGGCTCCCTGCCGACTCCCAGAACCAATACTAATGATTCCCTCAGAAACACTGTTATTTCAAATAATCCTTTCAATGACTTTAGGTCTGTGTAAAACAAAAGCCAGGAAGTAAAACTGGTGGTTACTCCTACTTCCACTCTGCCACCACCCTGCCCTTATGCAAGGGAGCATCCAGCATCCTATCGGCCAAAAAGGGAGAAGGAAAATGCTGGGAGACAAACACAAGTGAGTGTCTCAAAAAATGCTTCTGCCACACCAGGCGTATATCCAAGAAGTCACTTCCTTCACAACCTGTGGTTACATTTGTTTAAGGTTCTTCTCAAAGCCGTCTTTCCTTAGCTTCATCATTTTTAGAATCATTTTGGCTGAGAACTTTGAAAATGCCTGGGACCATTGAGCCAAAAATTATGTCATCAGATGTGTCTTATTTTAATACTACAGTTAGTTATTTTATTTACATACTACTTTACCAAGCACTTACATACTATGTATCAACTGGTCACTGTGACTACCCTTCAATATATTTGAGCATTATTAATAATATTTCTAATACTATTTATAATAAAATAAACACATAACAAAAATACTAAATGATTTTGCACAATCTCAAAGTTATTAAGGTACGGAAACAGAATTGGGATTTTTGGACTCTGGCTCAACCCCCTTCACCTCTGTTTTTTATCTTGTCTCACAAGGCCATTGGCTCACTCACAGAAGAAATTGAATGAGCTGACCTGTCAGGATAGGAGTAACTAAATTTTACTTGACTGAAGATAAAAGGATGCCCCATTTATTAGACATTGAGAGACACAAAGGATATGAGAATCAAACAATGGCAGGCAGATGACAGACCAGTATGTGAAGTTTCTCTTCCAAATATCCATCTTTGTCATCTTCCCACTCCCACTTGAATTAGCTTGTTATAAGCATTTTTATTTTTTTTCTAATACCCTGAAGGTGCAAACTGTGGAAAGAAGGTATAAGGAAAGCTTCTTAAACAAGTAAGGTGGGATTTCATTAAAAGCTTAAAGCATAAGCACCAAAATCTTAAACTCGAATGGTTGTTTCCCCATGTTATAGTGTTGTGTACACATTTGTGGAGTCTTGATTGGTACCCAAAGCCTCCCATAGGACATACCCCTATGCATCCTGAACCCCTGGGACTCTTGAAAAAAATATCGTTTTCCTTTCTCCTCTTCTGTCCTCTCTTCACAGATAGGTAATTGTGTCTCTGCACTAGGGGACACTCCCCTCAGATGCATCCTCCAAACTGGAAAGAGTTAATTTTCCAAACCTTAAACTCTTTGGTTTAGGATTGGGCTCAGGAGAAGGGAACTCAGAAGCCCAACATGCCAGCAAAAGACTCAAGTTTTTCGTTGGTCGGGCTTTTGGCTTCCCTCTCCCTGTACGAAGTGGTAAAAGGAATTGGGATTTTTGAGCATTCCTTACCCCTTCTTTGTTTTGTTTCAATGCACGTTTTCTAATAACCTGATTTGTCTCTTCTTGTTTTCAGGCCATCAAACTCCAAACGGTCATGCAACCGGAACCTCTGATGATGGCCCCTTCTGCTGGGAACCCTTAGAGAGGCCTCAGAGGGAGCTCTGACTGCAGTTTCCCCAAAACAGCGCCCCCTGTCAGCAGGAAGCAGTTAATATTGGTCTTCGTCCTTATCCTTATCTTTATTCTAGTGGCAGTTAGATGTACTTCTTCAGAGAGGGGAATGAGACAGCCAAGTGGGAGGGAGTCCTTGGAGAAACTCCAAGCAGCCTGTACACCAGGGTGGAGCCACAGAATTTCACATCCTTTGCGGTGGGGAGGAGCCAGGCTCCTCCTTTTCCTCTGTGGAAACTGGGATTCAATCTGCTGGGCAGGAAGTGCTCCAGCAGGGACTCTGGCCTTGTGAGAGTCCCTATTTCCTCCTGTTATTCCTTTTCACCCAATAAAACTCTATCTTACTCACCATTCAAATTGCCTGCAAGCCTAAATTTTCATGGCCATGGGACAAAGGACCCCATCTTTAGCTGAACTAAGGAAAAGTCCTGCAACAGTAAGACCCCATCTCTCTCTCTCTCTCTCTCTCTCTCTCTCTCTCTCTCTCTCCATATATATATATATATATATATATATACACACACATACATATAGCCATTGTTTGTATAATGCTTTCATTCCTTAAAACAAGATGCTTATAACTTGACTGGATTATGTTCTGACAACAGGCCTGTAGACTTGTTGAGGCCTATAGAACCAGTTTACTCCTTGGTTCCTCACCCCCAGCCCCATGACCTACTGCCATTTTCCACCCAGCCTATCTTGGAATCTCTGTTACACCTAGTAGGCATATCCTACTATTTCCTGGATTTTCTGAAGATCACGTCAATCAAGTTAGAAAACTTTAGCAACTGAAGCTTTAGAAGTGGTTGCAGGGACAGTGGGGAAGCCAAAATCTGCTTTCATTAAAAACCTCAGGTCTTCTTTAAAAGTCTTCCATACACATGTGAGGAAACCTGAGAGTACAGACATAGCATTAAGTGATAGTGATGCATAAATCTATACATATGTACATAACATTAAGTCAGTGGCCCAAGTGGGAATCCAATTACATGATTTTTTTTTCTACCCATCTGCCTCTCTCACTTCGGATTGAAGGAAGAGGATGAGAATTCTTTCTGCACTGAGTCCTCCTCTGGGGCCTCATTCAGGTGATTCCTTTTCAACATTTGAGTATCCAAGGTGGCAGAAAAAGGTATTCAGGTGGTAATTTATGTTTTGCTTCCTTTGTCGTGGAAGAACCAGGGAGATTAAGAGCTGCTTGTACTTTGTTCTCTGTTTTTCCCTCTGCCATTCTAGAAGGTAGTGCCTTTGTGTTTTCTTATCCTATGGGCCTTTGCACGTGACCATCTTTTTAGCTTTTGTAAAAGTCTAAAGTAACTGGAGTGCTCCTGGTAAGCATAACAAGGAACTCCTTCTTTGGTTGGATAAGAGAGCAAGAGAGGGAAAAATGTTTGAAGCTAGGTAGTGAGTAGCATTTGGAGACCACAACTATTGCTTACAGGGACTTGAAACAATGGCAACATACCTAGAGAGGATGTGTACATAAGACACTTAGGAAGGCTGGACTTTAGCTCCCTGCCTTGGCAATGTTCTCCTTATCCAATAATAGAATAGAAGTAGGAGGACAGAAGTGGTAGTAGCTATCACACACAATGTAGGGCTGAATAATGAACCCATGATGGCAGTCTGTGTGGACTGAAACTGGTGTGGTCATTCGTGAAAGTTTTACTCTGCTGAAGCCACTTTGGTCACTTGGAATCTTCTAGAAAGACTGATGTGAAGTTTACCTTCAGAGCAGTGAAAAGCAAGCATAAACTTTCTCACATGCCTCTATATGCAGCTGCAAATTCATATCCACTGTACTATGTTACCACCTTGAAGTTTAGTAAGAGACTTGACTTCGTATTACCACCAAAATGCCTGGCACCCTGTCATCTAAATGCTTGGACCATAAAGTCTCTGAAGTTGGTATTGACATAGCTACATTACTTCTACAGGAGAGAAATATTCATAGCACCTACATTTTCTTTTGTTTTTTAAATTGTTTCCATGCCAAACATTTTCCCCTCTCTTGTCCATCTAGCAGAACAGAGAAGAGGACTGGAAGCCCAAAACTCGCGCTGTAGCTAACAAATAAAATTGCCATTCAGAAACCTTCACATTGGGATTGTTCAATTCTAACACACAGCTAATAGGACTTCGATTATTCTAAATTATAACTTCATAAGGTAAAATTATTTGTGAATGAATATTGTGGTAAACCCTTTCATGAAATGAAAAATCCCTTTAATGTTGGGGGAAGCATACATCTATGCTCATGTAGCAGTTTTTTTAAAGAGATTACACCATTGTGTAATAAAACTTTGGAGTATTTAATTTTAAAAAAAGCAACACTAATGATGTCTTTATTGGAACGACAAAATCGAAGGTGAACTCGGGCCTGTCAGTTTCTCAATATCACTTCTCACGACAAGTAGCTATACCCCAGGAAAGAGCAAGTATTGTCCTACGATGTTGAGAAAAAGGCAGTGAGGTGCTTGGCAGGCTCTTCTTTGATGTTATTCTCTTCACTAGGACCAAAGCTCACACCAATGGGGGATGGAAGGCATTAAAGCAGGATCCTTTAGCAACTGAAGCTTTAGAAGTGGTTGCAGGGACAGTGGGGAAGCCAAAATCTGCTTTCATTAAAAACCTCAGGTCTTCTTTGAAAGTCTTCCAATCTCCTGTTTATAGCCTGATGCACCTAATTTGATCCCTGTCCAGTTACTCTTTTTGCTACATCACTATCCTAGTTTCATTTGTTGAACAAACAAATAAATAAAGGCATAATTGAATGACCTAGCGTTTTCTTATGATGGCTGAGATTATAAAAGGAAAAAGAAAAAAATAAGAAATCTCTAACCTAAAAAGTCACTTAGGAGGAATTTATTTATGAATTTTTTTGGCAGTTATGAACACTGTATCAAATATAATAAATAGTTAAAGAAGATAGTGTTTTCATTTGAATGGCCCTGACAATGTTGAACTTTACCTGAGCCCTTTGCTCCTGGAAAGCAGAAACAGAAATCCCACCTCCTTTTCTATTCTGGGAAATTGCTTACTATTACAAACCTCCTGTCCCTATATGACTCAGGTAAGATGTGAGAGTGAACCCCTTGTTACCTATGACAAGCCTCTTCAAATTCCTACTCTGTGCCTCATAAATGATTAGCTTCACTGTTTGTCCCCACTGAACCATCTTTGTAGAATGATCATAAACAACCAAACTTTAGTCAGGCTTTTCTCTTTCCCCAAGGTCTCCAAACTTTGGCCCACCCTTGAGCTTAAGGAAGCACTGTAGAGCAACCTCCTTAATGGCCTCTTCTGAGAATCAGCTGCCAGAAAAGAAAAATTTTCTGCTCAACTGTCTGATCATGCCACATACTCATCCCATGCCACACCACATGATTTTTTCCAACCTTGTTTATTCCCTTCTGTAAAAGAAAAGCCTTTTCTACCTGACTTTTGAGACACATAGATCTTATGGTTGGGGATCTCACTAGCGCTATAGTCCTTCTTTCTTTATTGCAATAATTCGCCTTCCCATATCACAAATCCCCTTTTTTTATTATGATAGATTCCTTTACATTACATTAGTTCCCCTCACACATTGCAATAGACGTTTTGAATCAAGTCTTTCCTTCCTAAGTTTGGGCTAGTTCTTTATTTGACAACCCTCATGGGTCAGCTAATGCTCAAGATTAATCATTTGAGTGAAACTTTCAGTGAGTTGAAATTAAACCATGTATAGTAACTCTATGAACTTTAGCAAACATTTAGGAAAATTGAATTTACATTGATTGTTATTTTCCGTGAAGCATTCAAAGGGAAATAGTAACAAAAAATCTGCTTCATTTAAGGGTGCCATAAAAATCCGATTTAAAAAAAAAAATCTGGGCTGGGCACAGTGGCTCATCTAGCACTTTGGGAGGCTGAGGCAGATAGATCACTTGAGCCCAGGAGTTCAAGACCAGCCTGAGTAGCATGGTGAAACCCCATCTGTACAAGAAATCAGAAAACATAGCTGGACAAGGCGGTGTGTTCCTGTGGTCTCAGCTAACTAGGAAGCTGAGGCAGGAAGATCACCTGAGCCCAGGAGGTCAAGGCTACAATGAGCTGAGATCACGTCACTGCACTCCAGCTTGGGTGACAGAGTAATACCTTGTATCAAAAACAACAAAAACATCTGCCTCCACCTGGATTTTGAATTATTACAGGAATACATGTATTTTAAAACCTAATTTTATTTCCATTGCTTCTCCCACCTTATTCTTGGACTCTTGCTAAGTGATTTTATTTTTTATCTGTGAAATCCCCCCAAAATAAGTGCCCTAAGGATTTCAATAGTTCCCAAGAACATATAATGATTGTTATTAATAATAATATTATCGTTAATTATTAAAAAGATAATTGGACCCAACACAACCCAATTATTGACAGTCTTTGCCTCTGTTCTTTGAAATTAGTGATACTGAGAAAGAAGGGTATTTGAAGACACTTTGCTTAGTTTTGGTAGCCATAGTTATTATTTTTAGATTAATTGATTAAATTAATTTTACTTTGTAAGATGGCTTATCAGTGGATAGCCAATCAGTGGATAGCTCCTGCTGGTACAGAAATTAATTTTACTTCATAAAATGGCTCTGGAAAGGTAACAGTTTCTAGTGGTGGCAAAAAGCATTTTGTGTTTTAAGGTCCCCACACATTATGAAGAGAGGGTGAAAAGAAAAATAATATAGGTATAGATATAGAATCAGAGGTTAAGAGGACCTGAAAGTATAAAGTAAATATGGTATTTGTGTGTGCACATGTGACTGTGTATACACACATATATAGCAGTATATATAAGTATATATGTGTATACATATATAAAAGGTTTCTTCTCAGTTTAATAGTATAATAAATATATATAGTCTTTAATTATTTCCAGGCAATTCTGCCAGTTTACACTTAATTATGGTTTTAAATAAACAAAGTAAAACAACCACATTTTCTATTTCTTAGCAAAACACAAAAGCAAGTTCTAGAGGCAGATTTAGCCATTTGATTTATTATTTTAAGCAAAGTATTCATCAGGGTATCTGCTTTCGTAAGCAATTATCTATAAAATAAATATATTAGATTTGATGATAAAGAATATTAGCAAAGCATTTAAGAAGCAAACTTTCTTTTAACTTCACCCTCTACACTTTTTATTTATATTTCAAATATAAATAAAAGGCTTGGCATGTGGCTTATGCCTGTAATCTCAGTGCTTTGGGAGGCCAAGGCACGAAGATCACTTGAGGCCAGGAGTTTGAGACTAGCTTGGGCAACAGAGCAAGACCCTGTCTCTACAAAAAGTAAAAAATAAATAAAAATAAAAATAATTAGTCAGGCATGGTGGCATGTAGTTGTAGTCTTAACACTGGGGAGGCTGAGGCTAGAGGAGAGCTTGAGCCCAGGAGTTCAAGGTTACAGTGAGCTAGGATTGCATCACTGCACTCCAGCCTTGGTGACAGAGTGAGACCCTGTCTGTGAAAATAAAGAAAGAAAGAAAGAAATAAGGTGTGACTTTTAGGAATTTAATATAAATGCCTAAGATGGCAGAAGGCTTCCAGAAAATTGAAAGGATGGTAGTTGAGAGGATAAGAGGTAACATTGAGAGCCCTAGTTTCTTTATTCTTAATGTATTCTTTATGAATGTTTGATTTCACTGAGAATTAGAAACAGAAATTTGTTTGCCCTCATCCAAAAGCATAGCATAGACAAAGACCCCTGGGAAATAGTAGCATCGTAGACGGTACACTCAATCTGGGGAATAAAGGCTCTAAGGAAGGAAGCTTGACTCCAACTAGTGAAACAAAATTTACACGAGTAGTGGGACAAGACAGTTTCAAACTCTGAGGCTCTGAACCACAAGAAGGTAGATGTCTGATCCAATCAGTGGATAGCTCCTGCTGATACAGAAAACTGCATCCAAATAGAAAACGCCTTTTAGAGATCAGCCATTGTGCTTACAACTCACATGGCAGCAGATACTACCTTCCTACCAAGATGATACCACTCTAGCCCCACAGGGCAGCAGTGACAGAATGAAGCCTTTTTTTTTTTTTTTTACATCTAAAATAAAAAACAAAATCAGACTATGTTTAGCGGTTGCTTTCTATATTAAGCCTTACCATTCCAATCTTACCTGCCAATTTCTCAAACTATGAAAAAGACTTATATTGATTTTAAAGGTTGTTCCTTGTTTGAAGATTGAAATTTGGATTAAAAAAATATGAAAGCATTAACTAAATTAGCCATGGTATTGGGCCACATAGGTGAGTTCACAAATTTGGTATTTCCGAATTCTTCACCTTTGTCTCACTTTATTGAGATATAATTTACATGCAATAAAATGTACTCATTTAACTTACAGTTTGATAATTTTAAGCAATCATGTAGTCTTATCATCACCACCAAAATCAAGATGTAGAAAGGTTTCCACTATCCTAAAAGTTTCCTTGTGACCCTTCATAGTAGATTCACCCTTTTAGCCCCCAGCCATAGGCTCACATTGACCTACTGTCACTCTAGTTTTGCTTTTTTAGAATTTCAGGTAAATGGAATAATACAGAATATAGTGTTTTATATTTAACTTTTTTCACTCAGCATATTTTTTGAAATCCATTCATGTTGTAGCATGTATTCATATTGTGTTCCTTTTTATCATTGGATAATATTATACAATATGGATATTCACAACATTCAGCAGTTATGGACACTGAGTTGGCTATTATAGATAATGATGCATTGAACATCTGTGTGCAAATATTTGTGTTTTTATTTTTCTTGGATAAATACTTAGAAGTGAAATCACTGGGTTGTATCAGTAGTGTATGTTTAATTTTATAAGAAACTATTTTCTAAAGTTGTTGCACTATTTTATACTCCCGCTAGCAATGTATAAGGATCCCGGTGGCTCCACATCCTTGCAAACATTTAGTATTGTCAAACTTTTAAATCTTAATTATTCTTGTGGATCTAAAAATTATCTCATTGAAATTTTTATTTTCATTTCCCTGATATTTGATGTGGGTTGAATTGTGTGCTCCCCAAAATGATATATTACAGTTCTAACCCCCCAGTACCTCAGAATGTGATCTTATTTGGAAATATGGTCATTGCAGATGTACTTAGGTAAAATGAGGTCATACTGGGGTAGGGTGGGTCTCTAACTCAGTATGATTGGTGTCCTTATAAGAAGATCTCCTTGTGAAGAAAAATAGAATGCTCTGTGATAATGAAGGCAGAGATTGGAGTTATGCAGTTATGCAGTTATGCAGCTGCAAGCCAGGGAACATCAAAAGTTACCAACAAACCATCAGAAGCTAGGCTAGACAAAGAAGGGGTCCCCTAGAGATTTCACAGGGAGCATTGCCCTGCCAACACCTTGGTTTAGGATGTCTAACCTCAATAACTATAAAACAACAAATTTCTGTTGTTTAAAGATACACAGTTTGTGGTACTTTCTTGCAAAAACTCCAGGGAACTTATACAACTAATAATGGACATCTCTTCATGTGCTTTTTGACCACTTGTACATCTTCTTCTATAAAGCGCTTGTTCAAATATTTTGCCCATATTTTAATAACAATTCTTTTTCTTATTACATTTAAAGAGGTCCTTCTATATATTCTTGATATAAGCCCTTTGTTAAGTGTATTCTTTGCTAATATTTTCTTTCAGTTTGTAGCTTGACTTTTGGTTTCTTAGCTGTCTTATGAAAAACAAAACTTTCCATATTTTGTTGAAATCAACATTATTATTTTACTTTTTATATTTTGTACATTTTTCCTTATTTAAGAAATCTTTTTCTTTCCTATTATCACATAGATTTCACTGACATGTTCTTCTGGAAGCCTAATGGTTTTAGCTCTTATATTACTATCATCCATTGTAAGTTATTTTGTGTGTGTGGTGGGGGAGGTGAGATAAAGGTTAGTTTTAAAATTATTATTTTATACAGGTATCCATTTGTTCTAGCAAAATATATAGAAATACTACCTTCATACCACTGAGTTGTTTTGGAACCTTCATTGAAATCAATTGATTATATAACTATGGTTATATAATCAATTGATTATATAACTATGGTAATATAATCAATTGATTATATAACTTATATTATGATTATATATAAGTCAATTTCTAGACTTTCTATTCTGTTCTGTGTCATTTGACTATTGAGGAAAGTTCTCTCATAATCAAATGAAATCATATTAATACATCCCAATCATGTTGCAGATTCACCTATGCTGTCTTAACAGAGTATAATAACAGAAACTTGGAAAATATTTCAAGGACACATGAACATTTTTATAAACACATGACTCTGTTGGGATTGGAAGATTACACCCTAGCAACTCAAACAGCCTCCCAATGGTAAAATATAACTTCGAAACTTCTCTTTTTTTCTACGCTGAATGCATTCTTGAAGAGTTAAAAACTTTCCTCTTTTGTCTTGTGTTATTTAGTACAGAAAGATTACCTTCAAAAAAGAATGCACAGAAACTAAATTATCTGAAGAGTGTTCCTTGCTGTGTTTGGAAAGCCATATGTAGCTCAGTTTGTGAAACCTATGGGATGAAAATAGAAAGCAGGAGAAAGCCATCCAGGAGGCATGAGGAGGTATTTTCTGAAGTTGCGAGGCATATGCTAACGTTGATTGAATTTGTGGGAAGTCAACCAGCAAATTCTGGTGAACACAATGAAAAAGAATTTTGAGAAAGTTTAGAAGAAGATACAAGTCTAATCAGCAGGTGTAGACCACAGCAATCTGGTTGAGCCCTGCTACAGATCTTACATAACAGGTAATTTGGAATTAGAAGAGCTGTCCTTCATTGAGATGTAGACTTTGTGACCTTGGTGAAGTTACTGAGGCTCAGTACCCTGATTTAAAAACATGGAGCTAATTTTATAGCACAGAGAGTTGTCATGATGTTAAAATGAAATAATGGAAATCCTGGTTAATGGTTCAAACCTACTTCTAACATTTTAAATTATTAACTCGTAGGAAAATTATATTTATTTTTCTACGAAAGAAATTATATAGAAGAAAGGAAGTAAAGATTGCTTCCATTAGTTACATGACATTTTGCCTTTATGCCCTTACCTTTCAGATTATAAAAAAATGGTTATGAAATTAAAAGTGTTTTTTTAAAAGCTTTCATTAAAAAAACAAAAAAATGGCCAGGTGCAGTGGCTCACACCAGTAATCCCAGGACTTTGGGAGGCAGAGGCAGGTGGATCATGAGGTCAAGAGATTGAGATCATCCTGGCCAACATGGTGAAACCCTGTCTCTACTAAAAATACAAAAAAATTAGCTGGGCATGGTGGTGCACACCTGTAGTCCCAGCTACTTGGGAGGCTGAGGCAGGAGAATCACTTGAACCCGGGAGAAGGAGGTCACAGCGAGCCAAGATCATGCCACTGCACTCCAGCCTGGGTGACAGAGTGAGACTTCCTCTGAAAAAAAAAAAAAAAAAAAGCAAACAAGCATGAGCTATGAATATTCTACTCTTCAGTTAACGGAATCATATACTTAAACTGCTAAAAAATCAGGGATGAGCTTTTACTGTCTCCTAATTTTATAGGTAACTAATATGGTTTGTCTGTGTCCCCACCCAAATCTAATCTTCAATTGTAGTTCCTATAATCCCCACTTGTCATGGGAGGGACCTGGTGGAGATAATTGAATCATGGAGGTGGTTTCCCCATCCTGTTCTCATGATGGTGAGTGAGTTATCATGAGATCTGATGGTTTTATAAGGGGCTTTTCCCCTTTATGCTCTACACTTCTTTTTGCTGCCACTGTGTAAAGAAAAACGTGTTTGCTTCCCCTTCCGTCATGATTGTAAGTTTCCTGAGAACTCCCCAGCCCTGTGGAACCACGAATCAATGAATCCTCTTTCCTTAATAAATTGCCCAGTCTCAGGTATGTCTTTATAGCAGTGTGAGAAGAGACTGATATAGTAAGGAATGAGAGTCCTGTGAGCTTAATTTATTATCTGAAAATCATCCAGATGCTGGAGGACAGAGATGGTTTTTAGATTCTCATGTTGTCTCAGTAATTTGTCCAGGAATGTGAAAAATAAACACAAGCATGTAACTGATTTCCTTTGTCCTATCTTCCAAATCCACTTATTATTAATTGTGTCATCTAAACAGTAAGTTGCAGCAAAAATCATTTAAATTATTCTATAATCCAAAGGAATACATTAAAGATTGGCACATCAAAATGAAGAAAGATTATGTATAAGGTGCAAAGTCACAGAATAATTGAAAATCAATTGTGGACCTGGAATACAGTTGGGTAATTGACACATTCTTGGCAATCACTTCGGGTATGGTTTTCCGCAGACAGAAAAAGCATCATCCCTCTTATGTTGTGAATAGCACCGCAAAGAACTCCTCCTTCCCAAATTCCACCATCATCACCATCAGCACTTCAGTAAACAATTTCTATGTAGCTGAATTTATGGTGCCTGAAATCTGCCCGATAAAATCTCCTTTGAGATGATATTTTTAATTCTATTCAACAAATATTCATTGAAAGGCTATTATGGGTCAAGTGCTAAACTAGACTACAGAATGGTCAGTGATGTATTAAGTCACCCATGCCCTCAAAAAACTTATAGTCCAAGTGGATTGAGCAGGTTGTACCCAAATAAGGATAGGCTGCATAGTTTAATGTAAAACAGAGTGAAATAAGAACTGAGGAAGGAGTTAAATGCTACAGGGACTCAAAGAAAGAGATATAACTTCTGGTTTTGGAGATATGGAACTATTAGTGAAGAAAGTAGTATTTGAGGTAAGTTTTGCAAGATGAGCAGAATTTCAGAACATCTTGAGGTCAGGAAGAATGTCTTCCTACTGCATATCTCCATCTCAAGGCACATATTCATACTTATAAAACAGAACATGTAAAAAATCCAGACTTAGGTGCTTCTTCCTCTTATGTCCTGTATTGTGGTTAATGATATCAGTGAGGGCCTAAGGTTACGAATCTGAGATTTGAGTTTAACTTCTCTTCCCTATCCTACTCCATGCAAATTGTTCCATAGCTTTAGTCTCAGAAACATTACCTGATTGCCATTTTAGGCTTAGAAGATTTCAAGAGTTTAGACTCTAGAAGATTTCAAGAGCTTGGACTCTCTAGCTCCAGTCTTCTCCTGATTTGCAGCCAACCTCCAAGATGGCCCCCAATGATCTCCATCTCCTGTTATAGATGCTCTTGTCTAGCACCCTTCCATATCATAACAAGATTGGCAGCCCTTATAGTATATTATTTATAAGATTAGATTAGGAAAGACACTCTAATGTCTGTCTTGATCATTCTCTTATTCTCTCTTGTTCTTTCTTTGAATGTCATAGGGACACTATTCAGAGGCCTATGTGATAAGCAACTGAGACCTCTTGTCAACAGCCATGTAAGAGAGCCATCTTAGAAGTGGATCCTCCAGCCCCAATCAAGCCTGCAGATGATTGCAGCCACAGCCAACTTCTTGACTGAAACTTCATGAGAGACCCTGAGCTAGGACCATCCAACTGAGGTGTTCCTGCTTTCCTGACTGCCAGAAAATGTGTTAGATGATAAATGTTTGTTGTTTTAAGCTGCATAGTTTTGGGATAAATAGTTATGCTGCAATAGATAACTAATACACTCTTGTGGCTCTTAAGTTTTCATATTAATAGTGGAGTTACCTTCCTAAGAAAGAAAAAAAATTATCCATTTTCCAACATTCTACGATTTAGCACTTCTCATGTTGCATTGTGATAATCTCACTAATGTATTTCTCTATTTAGTACAGAACTTGATGAATAATAACTTTTTAAAGAATTGAAATATGGAGCAAAAAGCATGGAGGAAAGGATATATGGATTATATTTAAATAACAGTTTGACTAGATTATGGAGGAGTAATTGGATATTCCTTGAATAATTCAATATGAAGATATGATGTACAGATTATCAAATATGAGAAGGGAGGGATTTGTAACAAAATTTAATTTAAGTGCAAGAATTTGTGTTATTTCTGTCATCCAGGAGGGAAGAAGAGGTACTTGAGGAAATATGTCAAAGCATTAGTTACTTGGCTGGAAAATGTAAGATAGGGAAAGAAAGAGGGGTGTGAGTGTGTGTGTGTGTGTTCTTGGTACAGGATAGAAACAGAAGTATAAAGAAAAGACAACATAGGAATCTTACGCCAGGTATTGATAAAGTGAAAATTACAGATGAATGCTTTAAAAAACTGTGAATGCCAGAGACTAATTTTTCTATTTTTGAATCTAGCAAATTAAGCAGCAGCAAATGAGAGAAAAAGCATGGTTATTGAAGATCAACAAACTGGTTTGAATCCCAGCTTGCCACCTTTTGGCTGTGTGGTATTAGGGAAGTTAATTAATCTGTATGAATTACAATTGTGTATTTTAAAGATATATTTAAAAAAAACAATACTTTCTTTCCAGGATAAATGTAATGAAGTTTAGCATATAGAAAGGTCCTTGCATGGTGCTAGGCACCTGAGTGTTCATACCAGGGAAGGTCAATGAACCCCCCACAGCACTATCTATCCTGGTCTACATGTGATTGTGAAACTCTGATTCATATTCTAGACCTATTAAACAAATGCACAGATTTATTTAAATTGATGTATTCACTTATTCATGTAAAACGTGCTATAAAAAGAACTTCACCAAAGGAGTTTGGCAGAGCTCATTCTGAAATTTTAGTGCTGTTGGATTTTTTATAGGAAGTGGTCATTATTAGTGCCTCAATTTCTAAATTATACAGCTGATAATTCTACTATCCCTTGTGTTTATGGTGCTTTTCAGTCTTGTATCTTTTGATGGCTTTCCACTTTATTCTTGCTGCCTGTGAGTCTAGACTAGTCATCTCTGAGCTCTTTAATATACTGATAGAAAGGTTAGATGACCTCGTCTCACAATCATAACTTAAGTCTCAGGAATGGTGGTGTTTGTTCTTAAAAACCCTATTACTCTAATGAGACTCACCCAGGATTTTTGAATTAAATACCACTACGTTTATTTAGTAGAGAATATTTTTTAAAGTTTTCATTTCCTATAATGCATAAAACCTGTCCATTATTTTATGTATGTATACAGAGAATTTGATTTCTCCCTATTTACATAATTTTTAGAAAGCTATTTGTCAAATTATAATTTAAGAGTACTGAAACTACATATTAAGATTGACTTAGGATCAATGAGCCATTATAAAAACAACACATGAGCTGTAGTTCTTTATAAGAGAGAAGCAATTCAACACCTTATATTTCAGCTTCCTGCAATGATATAACAAAATCAGCTTGTGAAACTTTATGCTTATAGTGGGCTGGATATATGAAAATGAACTCACAAATTCTTTTCAGTGTGTGGTGATTGAAATTTACTACTGATTATCAAGTACACAATTTTTTGGCAAGGAAAAGGTTAATGACTTCTCTCGCTTGCCTCTGGGAGAAGTAGAAGGTCCTTTTTTTACTTTATCATAGAGTCATATCTTGGAATCTACCCATGCCTCTCTGTGATACAAATTGGATTTTTATATAATTTTCCCCCAAAATTCTGTTTATAGCTTAATGTAAAAAAGAAAAAGAAACTAATAGGGTGGTATGGGTTGGGGAGGGAGATTTTTCTCCTGGCTTTCTCTTTTTATTAGCCATCATAAATGCTGTTGTTTTTTTTTAAAATCCACAATTCATAACCAGGAGCAATAACATAAAAATCAATAAGCAAGGAGCTAGGGTTTTGCCAGCCATCCCAAAGAATTTAAGCCTTTTTTTCACTTCTAGTTTAGAAGATGCCAGTTGAAGGCTAAATCAATGCCTGCTATGTGACTTTTTTGCACTATTTGCTGAGGTAAAAGAAAGAATTGTGCTTTATTTTGTTGGTACCTTCTGTCAAGCAAGACTGGAAAATCCCCAAATAGGCAAGTGTCTCCCTTTCACTTCCTAAAAGGTCTGATATGGTTATTCCTTGCTTCGTTGTTAATCTTTGTAAAACATTAACTGAAGACTCATTTAGATATAATTTCTTCCCAGGATGTTTATAAAATCTCCCTGGTCCCAGTGCTTAAAAAAACAGACTTTGCTGTCAAAAGGTTCAGGTCTAATGGCAGCTCCACCTCTAGCCAGTGTG
Organism: Homo sapiens; assembly: GCF_000001405.40. NCBI lineage: Eukaryota > Metazoa > Chordata > Mammalia > Primates > Hominidae > Homo > Homo sapiens. The sequence goes on along the minus strand of NC_000002.12, from coordinate 211,333,419 downwards.
ATGAGCTCCTGTTATTACTATTTCCTCATCTATAAACAAAGATTATTTCTATTTCCACATCATAAACTTGTTGTGAAAGTGAACCAAGATTATATATTAAAAACATTAAAAACTCAATCTCATCAGGGCAACCACTTTCTCCTCTCCATCATCCACCCTCAATAAATGCTTTTTTCTTGCTTTCCTCTCACTCTTCTCAAACTGCTCAAGTTGTATTTCTATTACTTGGAGCCAAAAGTGACCTTACAAAGACAAATTTTGCAAGGAAAAAAAAAATGAAGGGAATAAATGTATGTAAAGGTTCTAAAACAGGATGCACAAAGAGTTTTTACTACTAAATTTACTAGTGCATATTGTCAAGACTTTCGATTAAATTTAAATAGAATTGTACCATTCATTTACTGAATTGCTTTAACTTCTTATTATATTTGCTCTGCTATTATATTGTTATGGTAGTGCTTTTGTTTTTATAGTAAATAATAAATCATTTTCTTTTTGCTTTCAATAAAGTAACTGCAGTTTTTGTATATGCAGAGAGTCCTTTTAAATAGAAGCATAATATTTCCTGGTAAATCTTTTGTAAACTAAACCTCATTAGAAGCGGAACTGGTACTGGAGTAAACTGAAAAACAAAAAATGCCTTTTTTCCTCTGTTTCTCTTTTCTCTGTTTCTCTCTGACCTTCTAATTCCTGTTTCTCTCCTCCAGGCGAGCACATGTTTCAGTTGTGGTATTCCATTTAAACTTGCTCCAGGCTCATAACACTGCATGCATTTTCTTCTTTGCTACTCCTCCTTTATTATAAATACTATTATTTTATTTATAAGATTTTAGCAAGCTGCTAGGAGAAAAGTCTCTTGAAGTAAGACATCTTAACGTGTAAATGACAGTGCAAACATTTCTAGGTGGTGGTTGTTATTATTAAGAAGAAATAACTATATTTTAGAAACATTATTTTGTGAGGACACATAGGGGATGCGGAACAAGATTTTTCTGTGGCTAATTAAGTTGATTGAACTGAGGAATATTTAATGACTTTTGTCATTCCCGTATCTTAGTATTCTTTCATTCTAGACCCTGAAATCTTACAAATTGGTTACTATACTACTGAAAAATTTCAGACCAGTGTAGAGTTTATGGGGGAAAAAAATCATTATTTTAAAAATACTGTAAAATAAGAAAGTGTTTTTATTAGCATTAGACTCTTTCTGCCTTACTTTACACTAACTGTGAAATTTTCTTGTACACTTTTTACATGCAAGGAACAATGAACATGCTTTATAAGAGGTGACCAAGATGAGCCTCAACATTTCCCTCAGCTTGGCCAAACTTGAGACAAGCTTCTTTCAATCTGTAGGCTTTTGACATCGCTTTCTTAAGAACATTTACTGTAGAAAGCTTGTCATTGCAAATTCTTTCTTTGCCCCTTTGAGATGTTAATTTTGATCTGGGAGCCATCCCTTTGAAATGTAATCATCAAGGAAGACAGTATTTCTGTCTCCCGGATCCTATCTCCTGGTCACTGTGGGAGGGTAGAAGCCTACTTTAAGTGGACACTTTTGTTGCAAGCTACCTTTTGTCAGGAGGGCAGGAGAGTTTACTTTTCCTTTAGGTAAGGCCAATTAGCAAACAAAGATGACCTTATCTCTCCCCACCCTCACCCCACCCCAGTTCTTAAAAATTCTCCAGCCCTTTGTTTCAGTAGACTTGAGCTCAGACTGAGTTCTGGCCTATCTACCCTACTGCGATAGCCTTAAATGAAGTCTTCCTTGTCTCTTTTACTTTGTCCACGCAAGTTTTCATTTGACAGTTGGTAAATAAACTTCTTGAACAATATGTACGTTCTGTATTAGAATGGAACTGTTATACCTGCCAAGAACCTTTTAAGGTAGAAAGATTTCTTTATTTGAAAGGATATGTACTTATGTCATTCTGGAAAATACAACACTGGTTCCCGTTTCCAGCAATTACCATTATCCTCATGTAAAACACTTTGAATTATTATTATTTTTTAAATTTTATTATTATTATACTTTAAGTTTTAGGGTACATGTGCACAATGTGCAGGTTTGTTACATATGTATACATGTGCCATGTTGGTGTGCTGCACCCATTAACTTGTCATTTAGCATTAGGTATAGCTCCTAAGGCTGTCCCTCCCCGCTTCCCCCAAACATTTTGATTTCTGTTTTGGATTCCTGGAAGGAAAAGATCTAGCTTTTAAAACATAGATTCAGATGCTCTACTTCCTTTTTTTTTTTTTTTTTTTTTTTTTTTTTCTGGAGACTGTCTCGCTCTTTTTCCCAGCCCACAGTGCAGTGGCGTGATCTAGGCTCACTGCAACCTTCATCTCCCAGGTTCAAGTGATTCTCCTGCCTCAGCCTCCCAAGTAGCTGGGATTACAGGTGCATGCCACAATGTCTGGCTAATTTTTGTATTTTTAGTAGAGACGGAGTTTCACCATGTTGGTCAGGCTGGTCTTGAATTCCTGAACTCAAGTGATCCTCCCACCTTGGCCTCCCAAAGTGCTTTGAGATGTCTCTAATAGGAAGATACTTTATAATTTGTGGGATAAGAGGTAGCAGTTAATTGTAGTGGCTACTTTAAAGGGATTATCATGGTCAGCCTTTAACTCCAACCTCTAAAAATGGCAAAGCTCCATTAATGTTTAATAGTGTTTTTGTCATCATCCGTAATTGAAAGATTTGTGCAATTTCAATTTTTGTTATTGAGAGTGGTAGAAGGCAGACAACTCCTAGGCAGATCAGGGCACACACCCAGTGAAATACCACCTTCAAGGCAAAAACAGTTTAAACCCTAGCTACAAGTCCTAGGTAAATCAACAGACTGGATTGTGAAGCTGTCTTCCCGTTTGGCACACCTTCCTCGGATTGATCCCCACCCTTCACCTATTTTACATATATCTATCCTTGCCTAATTGTTTTTTACATTATAGTGCTCACCTTTGAGTGGTGCCTTTGTTTCAACCTTTTTTGCATACTCACAAACCAATCAGCACACACTCCCCTATTCTGAGCTCGTAAAAGCACTTATCTCAGCCACACTGAGAGAAACCACCAGACTTCGGGTGGGGGACCACCCTCCTGACCCCTGTCTGCTGCGAGCTGTTCCATCGCTCAATAAAATTCTTCTCTGTCCTTGCCACCCTTCAATTGTCAGTGTATCCTCATTCTTGGATGCAGAACAAGAACTCAGGAACCACCAAACGTGGGTATGGGCTATAACACAGGTGTGCTTGGTCACGCTTGGCCCAGCCACAGACCGAGCCAGTGTACAAGCTAGATGTGGCCGAGGTGGGCCAAGCAGGTGGGCTGCCTCCTGTAGCAGGCAGCGTGGCCAAGCGAGGCCCGGGTCGGGACATTGCTGGCCAGAGGTCCCTGGTTGGCAAAGTGACCGAGAAAAATCCTGCGTCATTATTTTTATTGAAAAAATATTTGTGGGCTTATATTATGTAGAACTGAAAGTTCATCCCCAGCAACATGTCAGAGCCTAAGCAGCAGAGAGTTGTTGGCTTGTAGGTGGTAAAGGAACTTACCAACAACAGTATAGGTTTGAAAAGGAAAGTTTTGTTAGAAAGAACGCTGCAGCAGAGTGCAGCAGGGTGCTTCAGGACGAGAGGACTGAGTGCGCTGCAGTGGATTTTCCTTAGGGGCATTTATGCACCTTAAAGTGGGAATTTAGAGGTAATTTACAGGTAACATTAGTCATATAGTTCTGAACTTAGAGGTAACATTAGTCACATAGGTCATGGTAGATGATTACATTTGTAGATATTTTAGTGCCTTGATGTCAGCAAGATTGCACAATGAGTTTTGACATGCTCACATTCAGGAGATGAATAGAAATTCTAATTACTTATAAATTCTTGAGAAAGAAGCTGGATACCAGATGTGGCTTTAGATAATAGGGAAGTTTAATTACTTCCGAATTTCTTAGATAAGGGGCTTTGCCTCCAAATGGTCTACTTGATGGCCACCAGGTAATCTTTGCTCTCTCCTCAGTTTAGAAGTTTAAATTTTTGTTGCTGTTGTTTTTGACTCTTGTCATTGACTCATGGTTGGACTTGACTTCGAATCAGTTGATGACTTTTTTTTTTTTTTTTTTTTTTTTTTGAGACAGAGTCTCACTATGTCGCCAGGCTGGAGTGCAGTGGCGTGATCTCGGCTCACTGCAACCTCTGCTTCCCGGGTTCAAGCAATTCTTCTGCCTTTGCCTCCTGGGTAGCTGGGATTTCAGGCACGTGCCACCACGCCCAGCTAATTTTTGTATTTTTAGTAGAGCTGGGGTTTCACCATATTGACCAGGATGGTCTCAATCTCCTGACCTCGTGATCCACCTGCCTCGGCCTCCCAAAGTGCTGGGATTACAGGCGTGAGCCACTGCGCCCGGCTAGTTGGTGACTTTCTTATTACTGACTTTCCTGCCAAGATGCCCTGGGAAATCACAGGCTATCTGGAAACTACTCACTATTAGTAATAATGAAGAGTGATACTCTAACCTATATGTAATAAAGAAAGAGAAATGTATGAATAAATATGAAGTTGTAGGACACAGAATCAAAGAATACTGCCTTGTTAACACACAACACATACTTACATCAGACTTCTAGAAACTACATTTGCTGTGTCTGTTGATTGCTGGTGTTTACATTGTTATTCAACAAGTTTAAATATAAATAAAGATACACAGCAATATATAAGTATACGCATGTGTATGTGTGTGTGTGTACATATGCATAGACATGCCCAGATACAGATATACATATGATTGTTGATGTTGGATTTTGTTTCTCTTGTGTGATACAGAATGAGTAGAATTTGTAACAGCAACCCTGTTTACCTCATATATCACTAACAAATTTTGGCATCATATTTAGTTTATTGCTCAAATCTAAGGTAACCAACAATCCTAGATTTAAATTTTGTGGTTTTTGTCTTTGAAGGAGTAGATATCCCGAGATCCCCAGATGTAGTTGCTGCACAAAACAAACAATTAAATTACCAAAAAAAAAAAAAAAAAAAAAAAAAAACAGGAACAGTGATAGACTGTGAGTAACCTTGTGAAATATTACATTGGGACTTAACTAATGAGAATGCTTTATGACTAATCAGTATTCAGCCATATGTTATACTTGACCATTTAGAAGTAAGTCCAAAAGCTTAGCAGATTGTGGTAACTTGGATGGAGAGATTTCTTCCCAAGGAAAAGAGAACCTTTTATTCGCATCTGCCATGTGTGATAATAATTTGCTAAAAAAAAAAAAAAAAACAAAAAACAAAAGATAGGCCAGGCATGGTGGCTCATGCCTGTAATCCCAGCACTTTGGGAGACCGAGGCGGGCAGATCACCTGAGGTCAAGATATCGAGACCACCCTGGCCAAGATGGCAAAACCCGTTCTCTACTAAAAATATAAAAATTAGCTGGGTGTGGTGGTGCATGCCTGTGGTCCCAGCTACTCTGGAGGCCGAGGCAGGAGAATCGCTTGAGCCTGGGAGGCGGAGGTTGCAGTGAGCCGAGACTGTGCCACTGCACTCCAGCCTGGGCCACAGAGAAAGACTCTAACTCAAAAAAAAAGATGAAACTTATCCTGATAGCATGATATAGCATGTTCTCTCTTTTCACTTGGGAACTGAGTACCAGAGCTATTATGCATCTCCAGTAAAAGCCAACATGTGGTATATTTCATACCAAAGACTCTATTGTGTATGGATCCTACATTATTAATCGTATATGAATCTCTTTGTAAAAACTGACTTTTCCCTATAACTTTTGTTAATCTCAACTCCAGAGCTCTCAATTGGATTTGCCATAGCCTGCCCTGTCCCATGTGTCTGGGAGGCAACTAGATTCCACATACACACCCAGGCCACTTTTTATTTTGTTCTTCTGATGTTTAGAGGTAAAATTGTAGCTATAAATATAGGAATGATCAAATATTTTTTTCTTGTACTTAGAAGAATTTCAAATAATATTCTATTAACATAACTCTCTGGGGAAAAAAAATTGCATTTACCAAAGGCCAGCATATTTTAAGTGGGAGTTTAAAGTTCAGGTAAAATGCAACAAATTCTTTGTGGACGTTCATAAATCCTAGAATTGTGAGTGAATAAGACAGGTATTAGTCGTTCTGATTAAGGAAGAAAAAGATGTGTTGGTTTGTTCGAAATACAATAATATTTTAAAAGACAAAAAAGTGAGGGTGTGAAAGAAAAGCAGTTTGTAACAGATCAGTAAAAGTGAAATGCTGCGCACAAACCCACTTTTCTAGGAATTTTGCTTGAGAAATGTCATCATACAGAAGCAATGATACAATCTATTATATGGCTCTCTTTTCTTATATCCAGCAATCTCCAAATGTATTGTTTTTTAATCTGGAGATTCCAAGTGAGGAATAAACTATATTTTTTTGAATCACCAATAAATAGCTTCTGCAGTCACCATTTGCTAAAATATGGGGTTCAGTTCACATTTTCAGTTGCTGTAAGAATGAAATCTAGGAGTCAATTAACATTAATTATGCTGGACCAAAATTAATAAAGATAAGGTAGTGGGGTTGCCACCTTATCACCTGGGGGTGAGGGCGGGGGTCAGGGGTGAAAGGTCCTCTGATGAAGCCAGTAGGGAAAATGGACTGATGGGTTTAAAATGTGATTACTCTGTTGTAAATTTAATAAGGATATTCTTTTAGCAAGAAGCATTATAGAATTGTTAACTCTTACAGACAGGGTGATCTTTAAATGTTCACCAGAAAACATGTTGTGGGTTTAGAACTTGTCAGAATGATGGATATTCTGCTTTTCAGAGTCTTCTGTTCTATAAATGTTCACAGTATGCTTTGGGAGGGAAAAAAATCACCCCCAGTCTCTTATAATAAAATAGGTAAGTAATCAAGCAAATAAACAGTTTCTTATTTTAGTTACGTAAAGTCAACCTCAATGAGTACTGTTGCATTAGTTGAATCTGAACTTTAAGACATTAATGGCCTTGTTTAAAAACGCATGCCCAGTAAAATTTGTATTAGGAATAGATGATAACTCTGCCTCACCACCTCTCTGAAGTATTTTCTTTTAAAAAATAATGGAAAAAAATTGAAGTAAAAGAAGAGAAATGAAAGAACATTTATGGAATTCTTGAACACAGTGATACCTCAGCCTTTTATATCTGCCCTCAGAATCTGATTTTTAAACTTGGAGGCTTATTAGGGGATAAAAATGTAGAAATCCTTGGCATTTAAACATTTTAAAAACCTACAAAAAATAACAGTCCAAGTCTGAAATTCTAGTCACAGCCAATAGAGAATGTAAAGAAAAAATATTTTTTCTATTGACTCCTGATTTTTTTTTCAATGATCTTTAGTTACCTGACAAATTGGGAGATATGTTACTGTCCTCCATACTTTTTCTTTCTTTTTTTTGAGATGGAGTCTCCCTCTGTCACCCCGACTAGAGTGCAGTGGCATGAACTCAGCTCACTGCAACCTCTGCCTCCCGGGTTCAAGCGATTCTCCTGCCCCAGCCTCCTGAGTAGCTGGAATTACAGGCACCCACCACCATGCCCAGCTAATTTTTAAAAAAAAATTTATAGTACAGATGGTGTTTCACCATGTTGGCCAGGCTGGTTTCAAACTCTTGACCTCAAGTGATCTGCCTGCCTCAGCCTCCCAAAGTGCTGGGATTACAGGCATGAGCCACCACACCTGGCTATTTTTTTAAAAGCTAATTTGTTACTGGTATGTAAATATGCTACTAATTTGGTACATTGATTTTATATCCCCAAAATTCAGTAAATTTGTTTATTAGTTCTAAGAGTTTTTTGGTGAAGTTTTTAGTTTTTTGTTTGTTTGTTTGTTTTTTAACATATAAGATTATGCCATCTAAAAAGAGGTATAATTTGACTTCCTCTTTTCCAATTTGGATGCCCCATATTTCTTTCTCTTTGCTAATTGTTTTTGCTCTGACTTCCAGTACTGTGATAATAAAAGTGGTAAAAGTAGGCATCCTTGTCTTGTTCTAGTTTTTGGAGAAAAATCTTTCAGTCTTTCTCCATTTAGCATGATGATATCTGTGGTTTTGTCATATATGGCCTTTTTTGTGTTGAATACATTCTTTCTATACCTATATATAGAGAGTTTTTATCATGGAGGATGGTAACTGTTATCAAGTGCCTTTTATGCACCTGTTGAGATGATCATTTGGCTTTTGTCCTTCATTCTGTTGATGTGATGTATCACATTTATTGATTTACATATATTGACTTTTCCTTGTATCCCTGGGATCAATCATACTTGACTATGGTGTATTATCCTTTTGATCTGTTGTTGAATTTGGCTTGCTAGTATTTTGTTGAGAAATTTTGCATCTATGTTCATAAGACACAGTGGCCTATAATTCCCTTTTTTTGTTGTGTTCTTGTCTGGTTCTGGTATCAGGGTAGTGCTGGCCTTGTAGAGAAGTTGGGAAGAATTCTCTCCTCTTCAATTTTTAGGAATAGTTTGAGAAGAATTTATGTTTGTTCTTTACCAGTTTGGCAGATTTCAGCAGTGAAGCTCTCTGATCTAAGGTTTGTCTTTGTTGGGGGACTTTTTAGTATTGATTTAATCTTGCTACTTATTATTGATCTGTTCAGGTTTTTGATTTCCTCCTGGTTCCATCTTGATAGGTTGTATGTGTCCAGGAATTCACCAATTTCCTTCAGTCTTTCTAATTTATTGTCCTATAGTTGTTCATAGAAGTCTCTAACGATCATTTGAATTTCTGTGATATCAGTTGTCATGTATCAATTTTTCATGGCTGATTTTATTTATTTGGATCTTCTCTTATATTTGGTAGTTTGTCTAGCTAATGGTTTGTATATTTTATTTTTTTCAGAAAACATCCTTAATTTTGTTGATCTTTTGTATTTTTTTTTTTTTGGCTCTATTTTGTTTAGCTCTGCTCTGATCTTTGTTATTTCTTTCCTTCTACTAATTTTGGATTTGGTTTGTTTTGCTTCTCTAGTTCCTTGTGAAGTATTTTTAGGTTGCTTATTTAAAATTTCTCTACTCTTAATCTAGATGTTTTGCTATATTCCACGGGCTTTGGTATGTTGTATTTTTATTTTCATTTTTTTCAAGATTTAAAAAAATTTCTTCTAACTTTTCTTATTGGCCTATTGGTAAATCAGAAATACGTTGTTTAATTTCCATGTATTTAGATAGTCTTGAAAATTCCTCATTATTGATTTCTAGTTTTATTCCATTATGGTCTGAAAAAATACATGATATAATTTTGATTTTAAAAAATTTGTTGAGACTTGTTTTGTGGCCTAACAGTCTATCCTGGATAGTGTTCCATATGCTGATGAGAGGAAAATGTATTCTGCAGCTACTGGATGAAATACTTTGTAAATATCTCCTAGGTTCATTTGGTCTCTAGCATAGTTCAAATCTAATGTTTCTTGGCTTTCTGTCTAGATAATCTGTCTAATACTAAATGTGAAGTGTTGAAGTCCTCAACTATTATTGTACTGGGGAAATCTCTCCCTTTAGCTCTAATAATATTTGCTTTATATATCTTATTGCTACAGTGTTAAGTGCACATATATTTACAATTGCTATATCCTCCTGCTGAATTGATTCCTTTATCATTATGTAATGATCTTGTCTCTTTGTATGCTTTTTGACTTAAAATCCATTTTATCTGATATAAATATAGCTGCTTCTGCTTGCTTTTGGTTTTGGATTTCATGGAATATCTTTTCTCATCTCTTCATTTTCAGTCTATGTGTTTCTTTAAAGGTGAAGTCAGTTTCTTGTAGGTAGCATAGAGTTGGGTCTTTTTTTCTTTAAAATCTGTTCAGTGAGTCCATATCTAATTGGGGAATCTAAACTTCAACATTTTTGTTGATAGGTAAGGACTCACTCTTGTCATTTTAAAATTGTTTTTAATATCTTTTATTCATTTTTTTTCCTCTGTTATTGTTTCTATTTGCAGTTTGGCAGTGTTTATGGTTATAACTTTTTTTTTCTGTTTCTCATTTTTGTACCTGCTCTACAGTGAGTTTTACACTTTCATGTGTTTTCATGATGATAGAGATCAGGTTTTTGCCTTCAGATATAGGACCCCCTTAAGCATCTTTTTGTAGAGTAGGCCTAGCAGTGCTGATTTCCTCAGTTTTTTGCTTGTCTGGAAAATAATTTATTTCTTCTTTATTTCAAAAGGACAGTTTTGCTGTGTATAGGATTCTTGGTAGACTAAAACTTTTTAAAAGCAGTTTAAATATATTATCTCATTTTCTCTGGAAATGTAACATTTAAGCTAAGAAATCTTTTGTTAGTCTGATGGGCATTGACTTATATGTAACTTCATCTTTTTCTCTTCTATTATTTATTTATTTCTGAAATCTCTTTTTGTCTTTGACTTTTGACAGTTTGACTATAATGTGCCTTCAAAAGGACCATTTATGAGTTGAATGTATCTAAGAAGCTTTGAGCTTTCTGTATATGGATGTCCATATCTCTTTCAGAACTTGGGGAGTTTTCATGCTATTATTTCATTAAATAGGTTCTTTATTCCTTTTTCCATTTCTTATTCTGAAAATTCCAAAATGAAGACAGTTGTTTGCTTAAGGATGTCCTGTATGTCTCTTAGGCTTTCTCTATTCTTTTTTCTTTTTCTATTATCTTTTTTTGACTGACTGGGTTATTTCAAAAGACCTATTTTTAAATTCAGAACTATTTTGTTAGGCTTGATGTAGTTTATTGTTGAAGCTCTCAGTTGTATATTTTATTCAATTTATTAAAGTCTTCAGTTCTAAGATTTGTTTTTTTAAAATGATGTCTTTTTGTTAAATTTCTCATTCAAATTATTAATTGTTTTTCTGCTTTCATTGAATTGTCTGTGTTCTCTTGTATCTTGCTGAGTTTCCTGAAATTATTACTTTGAATTCCTTTTCAGGCATTTTATACATTTTCTTTTTGGGGGGTCTGTAACTAGAGAATTCTTGTGTCCCTTTACAGGTGTCATGTTTCCTTGCTTTTAAAATACTTCTTGTGTTACTACATTGATATCTTTGCATCTGGTGGAACAGTCAGCTTTTCCAGTTTTATGAGGTAGTTTTTGTAGGGAAAATCTTTCTCCTATAGATATGTCCTATAGTGTTGGTCAAATAGAGTATTTTGACTTTGGTTCTGGGTAGGTGCAATTGTACAGTTTCTGTATGATTTCTTGAGTTCTAATCCACTTCAACAGTGTGTGCTAGTGCCTTGGTGGCCTAGGCTGCAGTTGTTTACCAAAGCTGTGGTATAGCTTTGCTGGGGAGTGCTGATGCCAAGTAGTTCTGTCTTGGGGCTCTGGGCAGACACGCATGAGGCTGTGACAGCTCTGTTGCTGAAGGGGGTGGAGATGCTGCCAATGGCAGGCCCAAGAGACTGGTTCTCAGGTCCTTTCAGGGGTGCATGCAAGGGTGTGTGGCAGCTCTGCAAATGAAGGCAACAGGGCCACCAGTTGTGGCAGTGGGACCCCTAAGAAATACACAGGTGCACCCGGTGGCTCCACTGCTGGAAGGAGCAGGGTATTCAGTGATAACTAGCCTTTGAATTTTTAAAGGACACTGTTTAAAGAGAGAATGCACATTTAGATATTATTTGTAGAATAATTTCAAATTTTGGAAGTAAATTATATTAATAAAAATTTTATATTACTTTTAGTTCCATCTGTGATTTGAGGTTAGGCTCCTTAATTTACGAATGTCACAGGGAGTACATTAAATGGTGGGAAACAAAGTTCCTGGACTCTAAAATAGACAGTTCTCAGTTGCCTCTCTGTCACTCTTTCTAGTCTATGCAAAATTTTATAATGATTCAGGGACACACTGACATGGTAGCCTCATGTGATGGACTCTAACTCTCAGGGCTGCTGGACTCCTGTTTTAAATTTCACTGACTTTCCTAAACTTACTACACTTAGAATCAGCTGAAGAACTTTATTTTTAAAAAATTATTATTTATTCATTTATTTATTTAGTTAGTTAGACACGGAATTTGCTCTTGTCGCCCAGGCTGGAGTGCAGTGGCATAATCTTGGCTCACTGCAACCTCCGCCTCCCAAGTTCAAGCGATTCTCCTGCATCAGCCTCCCAAGTAGCTGAGAGTACAGGTGCCCACAACCATGCCTGGCTAATTTTTTGTATTTTTGGTAGAGATGAGGTTTCACCATGTTGGCCAGGCTGGTCTCCAACTCCTGACCTCAGGTGATCTGCCCACCTCAGCCTCCCAAAGTGCTGGGATTACAGGTGTGAGCCACTGTGGACGGCCTGAAGAACTTCTTAAAGCATAATGTCTAAGCCATATCCCATTCTGACTGAATGTTAATTTTCTGACATTTGAATTCTGGAAGCTAGATTTCTTTAGGAACTATTATTTTTTCACAGCCAGTCCTAATTTGATGAGCATGTTCTATGACATTTTAATGTTTTTGCCCCTCCGCCATATCTCAATCACAGTTCTAGACACTGGGAATCCTCTCTGTATTGTCTTGTAACTTGTAAGTCTTGTGTCCTGTAAACTGTATGTCTTGCTAACTGCTTCAAGAAGAAAAATAAGACATAAACAACTAAACATAATGAAAGTGAAAAATAAATAAGTGTTATATAACACTACTAGCTTGAGTTATCAGAGTGAAGGCCAAACATTCACTAATTCTTATGGGCAAAATCAGAAACAGCTCCCTGGAGAAGATCAGATTCAGCTAGACTTGTGAGATTGGGAGGAAATAAGGCCTCAGGCTCAGAAATCAGACAAGCTTGAATTTGAATTTGTGACCCCACTTCTGTTGGAGATTCAGTTTCTCTTAAGAAAAATGGGGAAAATTAGATAATGCATTAATTAATGAATGTAAAATCTTTAGAAAAATGCCTGACCCCGTGCAAGCCTTTAGCAAATATTAGTGGATAATAATTTCAAAACACAAAGGTGCTTTCTTACTACACCTCTGCCTTTAGCTTCAACAATTTCTTACCTATTTATACACACAAGTACAACCACTCATTCACTTACTGACTCCCATAACTTGTAGACATGTTAGCTAAACACTATGAGAGGGATTAGGGATAAAATTGATACTGTATAAAGAGGATGTATCTCCTGCTGCCTTGGAACTTAGAGTCTAGTGGGGAGACAGAAAAATAAAAGTCATTTTTTAAGAGTGGTAAGTGTGATAAAGAGAGTTATCTGGTACTATGAAAGCTTGTGATGGGGAATGAAAGCCAGCTGGGTAGACAGGGAAAGCTCTCAAGGAATTGACACTTGAGCTAATATAAAGAAGAATAAGTTGTAATTACTTCAGTGAAGAGGGGAGAAAAGGGCACTCCAATGAGAGGGAACAGAGTATATGAAGCATCAGGCCAATGAACTCCCAGCAAAGTATAGGTTTTGGCAAATGAGAAGAAGCAGAGAAATGTGACATGATGCTGGAAAATAAAGTTTAGACTACACAAACCATTAGAGATCATGTTAGGGATTTTGATCTTTCTCCTAACAGCAATGGAAAGTTATTGAAGGGGTTTAAGCAAATAAATGATCAGATTTGTATTTGGAAACTATCACTTTGTCTGTATGCAGTGAGAACAGTTTGAAGGGTGCCAGAATAGAAGTTGGGACTGTATGTGTATACACACAATTACACAAACAAATATACACATATTCTTGCAACTGGACTTGATAATGGAAAGGAGGTATTAAGCATGACTCCTACAATTATTATTATTATAACTGAATAGGTAGTATTGCCTTTGTCTAAAATAGAGGAAAAATGAAGCACTTTATTGATTAGGAGAGATAACCTGAGTTCAGTTGTATATAGCATGCTTTAGAGGTGCCCCTGAGACTTTGTCTTACACAGTTCAATATGCCAGTTTAGTGCTAGGAGGATAAGACTGAGCGGGAGATGTAAATGTAAGAACAATCTAGTTATAGGTAACAGTTGAAGTGATAGGCAGAGATAAAATCACCTGATGAGAAGTTACAGAATGAGGGCAGTGGGGGACCTAGGCATGAGCCTCGTGGAGATCCCAGTACAAGTCAGGGATAATGAATTCATAGTGGAATCACTCTGATCTGTTTCTAGGAACGATGCCTACTCAGGCGTATAAATGAAGAAAAGGGATTCCTGAAAGACGGGATTTTCCCCCGAGACAAGTTGGATAAAAATCCCTAAAGTAAGAAGACAGTTTACAATGTTGGCAAAGACTGTTATTAAAATGATTACCATGAAACCAAAGGTGGATGAGAAAAATGTGAGGACAGTGAGTGCTCCTGAAAGGAAAAGCAGATGTGCCAATAGAGGCATGACTATTACCTTGGCCATTCTCAGGCCCTGTCTTGCACAGCCTCCAAAGACCATTGCTTGACTGAATAGTAGCTCTGTCTATGATGAGAGAGTAACTGGGTAAAGGAGAGAATTTTAAAGGTCAATTTGGCCAAAATCTAAGAAGATTCTGAGATAACTCTTGTAAATAGTTTTGACATCTTAACAGGGTGGCATGAAAGCATTGACCAGCTGGCACATAAAAACCAGTCTGTATCTTTAATGTCATTCCTAGAGAAAAATTCTACATTCTTTCCCAATTTTCTTAGCTTTTCAGAAAAGTTTAGGTAACTGCAAACCTAGACATTCATAACTAGAGATTTTCTTTTTCTTTTTTTTTTTTTAAATTTTTTTTTAATTTTTTTACAATCTCTTCAATTTACTGAAGAAAGCTATCTGGGAATAATAAATGGATGGAGAAAATGTGAACAGCCCATGGCAGCAAATAAAAAATTCAGAAATAATGTTGCAGTGGAGATGGCCTCTGTGAACACCGCAGAGATGGTTTTAAAGTGCAGTCATGAATTCATTTTTTAGATTTAAGAAACATTAGTTATAAACACCAACATGTCAGATTTTGGTTTAAAGACATCTCGCCTATCTGGTAAAAAAAAAATACATTCGATCATATATATACACATGTATGAAGCCCAGAAGGTTTTTTATTTCTCTTTATTTTCTTAAGCTCTATGATTTTTATTATTTTTATTATAAATAGAACTCATTTCAATAAAACCCACCAAAGGAATATGGAACCATAAGTCTCAGCATATATTATTTGAATCCTACCAAGCAGTACAAAAAGAGTCAAAGAGCTTTGCTATGGATTTGAGTAGGCTAACCAATCTTGTCATATGAGTTAAGGCTCTTCAGGTAATTTCAGTGAACCCTACAAGGTAATTTTACTATATTTTTGAAAATTTCATTCAATATATTAAATTAATGAGCTACTAGTGCATATTCAATATACCAGAATATATATATATGTACACGTATATATATGTGTATACATATATATGTGTATATATATATTCATATACATATATATACGTGTATATATATTCATATACATATATAGTGTATATATATATTCATATACATATATACGTGTATATATATTCATATACATATATACGTGTATATATATTCATATACATATATATACGTGTATATATATATTCATATACATATATATATGTGTATATATATATTTCTTTGGCTGTACTTAGCCAATCAATAATTACTTTCCCCTGGAAATTTCTTAGTGTTTTGCTTATTTATTTTTAAGTATGAATTTTATTTAGCTTCTGTTCTTGTTGTGGTTTGTTTGTTTATTAGCTCCTAGCTATGTGAAAGTTATAATTCTCCCTTCCAGTTTATTTCCTTTAAAACAGTATAACTTCTCACTGATTTTACTGGCAGATACAAAATTTGTTTTTTCTATTAGCACATCTTGTTTGCAACAATTATTAAGACCTTACCAACCTTGTAATAATAAAATATTTGTCTTATAAGGCTAATTTGTACACAGTAGTACATGTAGATCCAAATTAGAACAAGAGAAAGCCCCAGTAATATTGGAGAAGATAAAAGTAACAAAAAAAAGAAGGAGATGGGAGAGAGAATGTCTCTTACAAAAAATCATTTGAGAAATGCTCTTCAAACTTTTCATAAGAAATAAACTGAATAAAGCAGTTTTATTTTGTCTGTTTCTTGTTTTATTCATTTTAGAGACGGAGTCTTGCTCTGTCACCCAGGCTGGAATGCAGTGGCACGATCTCAGCTCACTGCAACCTCTGTTTCCCAAGTTCAAGCAATTCTCCCACCTCGCCTTCCCAAGTAGCTACGATTACAGGAACGTGCCACCACGTCCAGCTAATTTTTGTATTTTTAGTAGACACAAAGTTTCACCATGTTGGCCAGGCTGGTCTCAAACTCCTGACCTCAGGTGATCTGCCCACCTTCGCCTCCCAAAGTGCTGGGTAGCATGAGCCACTGCACCTGCCCTGTAAAGCAGTTTTATCACATGCGTTTGAGCATAAGTGACTATGTTATTTAACTACAATGATAATGCTAAATAATTTAAATAAAAATCAATCCTAAGACACTAGGAGAATATTTTGAGTTATTTAAATAGGTACCAAATGAAATTATCTGAAGTGACTAGCTAATCCGCACTAAGCACACAATATCAGATTTTGAATTTCTTGTTCTCAGTAATGCATATTTTTTACTTGATTCCATCAGACTTATTCCTATGTACTTTCCTTTTCTTCCTCATTCTTCTCTGTCCCTCTCTTCTCTTTTCCATGTGTATTCTTGTATGATTCTTCTTTCATTTTCCTTGTTAAAAACTGTAGTTATTAACTAAAGAAGAGCCATTATTGTTCTACTTTTCTTTGGCGGGTGGTGGGTTCTGAACCTCTCTCTTGTCCTTTTACCAAGCTCTTTAGTATCTAAAGTCATTTTGTTTTACTGTAACCATGTATTCCCCATAGTAGTTGTTGAGGGCAATGTATCTTATTTCTGTCTCCAATCTGTGGCAAAATATTCACCAGGTTTATCTTTATTTCTGCACCATCATCCCTGAAATTTGTTTCCTTTAGCCTTGATTGTAAATAAATTAACACTATTATAACATCCATGGGGAGTCTTTGAGCTTTTCTGTATGCTTGCAACCCATCTAATATCAGAGTTAGACTTGAATGATATGTAATTAGTTTAATGTATTTGGGTGATAAATCTTTATAATGGATTTCTATGGTGTGGGAGCTAGCATTAGGAGTTCTTTATTTTTTTTATTTTTCATTTTAAGTTCTGGGGTGTATGTGCAGGATGTGCAGGTTTGTTAAATAGGAAAATGTGTGCCATAGTGATTTGCTGCATCTATCAACACATCACCTAGATATTAAACTCAGCATGTATTACCTATTTTTCCTTATACTCTCCCTATCCCCACCACCCCATCCAACAAACCCCAGTGTGTGTTGTTCTCCACCCTGTGTCCATGTGTTTTCATCATTCAGCTTCCACTTATAAGTGAGAACATGAGGTATTTGGTTTTCTGTTCCTGCATTAGTTTGCTGAGGATAATGGCTTCTAGCTCCATCCATCTCCCTGCAAAGGACATGAACTCATCTTTTTTATGGCTGCATAGTATTCCATGGTGTATATGTACCACATTTTCTCATTGGTGGGCATTTGGGCTGATTCCATGTCTTTACTATTATGAATAGTGCTACAATGAACATAATGTGCATGTGTCTTTATAATAGAATGATTTCTATTCCTTTGGGTATATACCCAGTAATGGGATAGGGGGGTCAAATGGTATTTCTGATTCTAGATCTTTGAGGAATTGCCACACTGTCTTCTAGAATAGTTGAACTAATTTATGTTCCCACCAACAGTTTAAAAGCTTTCCTATTTCTTTGCAACCTTGCCAGCATCTGTTGTTTCCTGACTTTTAATAGTTGCCATTCTGACTGACATGAGATGGTATCTCATTGTGGTATTGATTTGCATTTCTCTAATGATCAGTAATGTTGAGATTTTTTTTTTCCTATGCTTGTTGGCTGCATAAATGTCTTTTGAGAAGTATCTGTTCATGTCCTTTGCCCACTTTTTAATGGAATTGTTGGCTTTTTTCCTGCAAATTTGTTTAAGTTCCTTGTAGACTCTGGATATTAGACCTTTGTCAGATGGATAGATTGCAAAAATTTTCTTTCATTCTTTAGGTTGTCTGTTTGCTCTGATAGTAGTTTCTTTTGCTGTAGCACTAGGAGTCCTAATGCCCAAAGCTCTTCTGGAAAATAGGTTCACAGGGCATTAGGCAGTGGGGATTCCTACCAGTAAGCACAGTACTGAGGCCTAGTTGGCTGGATAGTGTGCTTGCAATTTTCATCATAGTCCCATGTGTTTATTCATTTAATAAGTGGTTATTGATAACCTCTTATATACCAGGCATAGTACTCGGTTCTGGGGTTCCTGTCCTGATCAAGAGTTGATACTTCAATGATAGAGACAGACTACATAAAAGTTAATATCTCTTTGATGGTAAGGCTCAGAAATCTGACTTGGTTTAATTTAAACACAAAGGATATGTGTTATATTGATACTTAAGAGTATCAAATAATCTATGTTTAGAAACATGGATGAGTCTCATAGCAGCTAGAGGTACTTTTAACCAATAGCACACCAAGGATGTTCTTTTCAGAGACAAAGAGAGTTGATGGATGGATTGATTTTTTTTTTTTTTAACAGATTGGCATCCCCAGGTTTTTAGCTCTAAATAATAGTATCTTAATTCGTTAGGACCGCTACAACAAAATACCTTAGACTGTGTAATTTATAAACAACAAAAATTTATTGCTTACAATTCTGGAGGCTGGAAAGTCTAAGACCAAGGTGCCAGCATATTTGCTGTCCCTATGAGGCTTGTCCCTCATAGATGGCACCTTCTATATGTCCTCACGCTGTGTGTGTGGGGGCGGCAAACAAGCTCCCATGAGCCTTTTTTTCTAAGGCCATTAATCCCTATTAGGGCAGTGTCTTGATAATCTAAAAGCTTCACCTCTTAATATACGTTGTAATGGTGATTGAGTTTCAACCTATGAATTTTGGGGGACGCAAACACTCAGACCACAGCAGACAGAAAAAATGACTTCAAACATTTCTCATGCCTTACTCCTTCCACTTTAGGTACTTCAAAGAGTGTGGCATCTCTTTCTTAGTTGCAGCACCAAAATTTCTAGAAAAAGACTAGGACTGACCTTGATTCAAATACCCTTTTTCTGACAGATTAGCACAGGTATTTTGCAGGGAACGCAGAGGGTTCATATGGAGAATTGAAGAAAGCGCGTTATAATAGGCTGTCCCCACTAAAATTATAGGTGAGGATTGGAGGATATAACTAATTCCTAGGTCCTTTCCTACTTGACAGGCACTAACATCATTATCTATCTACTACATACATGTAAAGAGATGTGCACTGCTGAAGGATATGTGTCATAATAGAAAACATGAAGGGAGCATTTGGAGCACAGAGGATTTTACCCCAATTCGGGGATTCAGAGGAGACTTGCTGGAAGAAGTTAAATCTAAGACTGTACTTGGAGCAGGAGGGTGAATAGCCATGTGAACAAAGGAGATGAGGCAGGTACAGTGTTTCAGGCACTGTGGTCAGTATATATAATTAGGTAGCCTTTAAGAGATAACGCCTGTTTAAGCAAAGTAGTAAATAGCTGTTTAAGAGACACTGCTCTCACTGCAGGAGGATAATTGAACGAGGGAGTGAGAGAGGAGTAGATAATTTTATTAAAAAATTAAAAAGAAAAACTATACAATCAGGCTGGGCATGGTGTCTCACATCTGTAATCACAGCACTTTGGGAGGCCAAGGCAGGTGGATCATTTGAGGTCAAAAGTTCAAGACAAGCCTGGCCAACATGGTGAAACTCCCTCTCTACTAAAAACACAAAAATTAGCTGAGTGTGGTGGTGGTCGCCTATAATCCCAGCTACTTGGTAGGCTGAGGCAGGAGAATCGCTTGAACCCAGGAGGTGGAGGTTGCAGTGAGCTGAGATTGCGCCACTGCACTCCAGCCTGGGTGACAGAGGGAGACTCCATCTCATAAATAAATAAATACAACTATACAGTCTTCATTAAACAATAGTAATAATGTGTTGGAAGCAGATATAGTCTAGATATTGTGTAAAGAATTTGACTGAGTGCCCAGGATAATTATTTCCCTGAAGTTATATTTGATATTACAATAATCAATTAAATACTTTGTTAATGTTCATAGAATTATGTAATTTTTATATTTTTATAATTTATGTCTACCAATAAAATATAGCAATTTGCTATTAAATAGTTTAAATAAATATGCACTTTAAAATTATTTTTACCACTCCAATTTACTCAAAAGGTCAAACTTTGGATAATAAATTATATGATCACCTTAGTATTATAGAACTCATATACATTTATTATTTTATTTAACTATTATTAAATAACTTCTTGAAGTAGATAATATTACTTCTATTCTGCCCATGAGAAAACTGAAATCCAGAGAGATTATTTAGGTCAAACATCTAAATTAATCTTTAAGAATTGTTTCAAAATAAATGTTCATATTATTAGAAAATGAGTTGACTTTTTATGACTGTCTTGGTCTGTTTTATCCTGTTATAACAGAATATCACAGACTAGGTAATTTACAATGAATATAGCTTGTTGGCTCATAGTTCTGGAGGCTGGAAAGTTCAATATCACAGGGCCAGCCTCTGGTGAGGGCCTGTTTCTTCACTTTCACATGACAGAAGGACAAAGAGAGAGAGAGAGTCCACTAGGAAAAGCCCTTTTATTAAGGCATTAAACCTGCCAGTGAGGGTGGAGCTCTTATGGCCTAATCACCTCTTAAAGGCCCTTCCTCCTAATATTATTATATTGACAATTAAATCTCAACATGAATTGTGGAGGAGAAAAACATTTGAACCATAACAATGAAATTTTGTATTGCAGAAAATCCTAATATTTCTTTAAAAATGTTCCAACAAGTTTTCTTTTACTAATGAAAGTTACATTAGCATTGAGTAAAAACATACTGAGTCAAAAACTTAAAAAAGAGACTGTAACCATTTGCATTACAGCTTGCAGGACAGAAATGGTATACTTTTTGATAATTTCATATATTATGCTACTAATGTTTTCAATCTTGTAAATCAAAATGCACCTGTCTTCTTGGAAGACGTAATACGAATGTAGTTGTCACCATGGAAACAGGAGTTCCCTCGTAATCTCTTAATTCCTCCCGAAAAAATTCATATCTAGATGATTTTTCCTTTCCTTCTCTGCGGGACATGCTATCTTATCAGAAATTGAAGTGTCTTCATCAATAATTTGCTTAAAATTTGTTGAAATTATTTTATTATTTATCTCTCAAATTCAGGTAATAAACAAAACACAATGTATGTGGAAACAGATTAAGTGAAGGGAACTTTTAATTTTATCAGCATTCCATTCCATTATTTAGGGGGAAAAATAACTTTCTAAAAGATAGAACTTTTTAAAAAATGGCTTAAACTATGCATATATAATTGGAAAATGTAAGCGGAATTTAATTTAGAAAATTAAGCATATGTGTTCACACTTTCCTGGGATGCCACTTGGTTTCCAGGATCCTGTGGAGGAGTTCTGGCAGGGAATGGGGGTACAGCAAGGTGGCAGAAACCAAACTTATGGATCTCAAACTCCCAGCAGTGCTCATCCATCCTTCTCATCCTGGTCATCTCCAGTATATCCTACCTCAGTCAGTCAACTCCTTCCCTTCAGTTATAAAAACCAGAAAACTGGGTGTCCATTATCTATTTCCCACCTATGTTGAATCATACACCAGTATTTTCAGTTTGCTTTCGTAAATTTGTCTTGAATTCACAATTTGTTCTCTACTACCATTTTAGATTAATCTACCATATCTTTCCTGAATTTCTGAATTCTGGAATACCCGATCTTCCTTCATCTATTCTTATTCTCCAAGTCATTCCCTACACAGTACCATAGCAAATGTTGCCAAGCTTAAACTGAATGGTGCCAATGCCTTGCTTAAAATATCCAATGATTTTCCTTTGCTCTGGATAAAAAATAGCTACTTATCCAAGTTCTTCTTGCTTCCACATTCCTTTGCCTTCTCCAGCCCAGATACATTGTTGTAGGATTCTCCTACACTGTCCTTCCATGTGCTCTTCCCTGTACCTGAAAAACTATCCCTCTATACTCATCGCTTCAGGGAAGCCTGTTTTGAATTTCCAGACTATGTCAGATCCCAAAGGAGAGGTGTTCTTTTTTACAGTAGTCTTTTTTTTTCTTCAAAACATTTATCACAATTTTGAATTGAATATCTTTTAGTGATATTATTTGGTAAGCATACACCATGCTTTTATTTTATATTTTGTATGTTAATATATCTTCAGGGCCAAGTACAATGCTATTACATATTAAATGGACTAAATTAGTTAACTAACTTAAATAAAATGAATTATAAATGACCAACTAGATTAAAAGATGAAAAGTGGAGATTAAGAGAGTATTCATTTTATTATATAAAGAAACAAGTGTGCTTAAATGTTGATAGAAAAAACAGTAGAGAGAAAAAGATTGAAGATACGAGAGAGGGTGAAATTCCTCATAAAAGCACAGGTGAAGGGAGTGAGCCGACATTGGAGAAGCAGCACAATTTCTATTAGAACCAGGAAGGAGAAAGAAAAATTAGGTTGTATATGCTAGAATTTTGTAGGATTGTGGCAAGATTTTGCAAGAGTAACTGCCGAGTGTATTCTATACAGTTTTTCTCCATGAAGGAGGAAGCAAGAGAGGGGAGGAGAGGTCTCAGAGTTTGGTGGAACATAAAGAAGGTTTAGGGTAGCTATCATACATTGGAGATTGGGGAAGAATTCTGAAGAAATTAGAATAAATGTTGGATAGTGACCAGGACTCAACTGGATAGGAAACTGAATTGGTAATGGTAGAGTCATGTGTTTGACAGTGTGATATTTTTTAGCAACTCAGGGATAGGAAAGGAGACAAACTATTGGGCTCCAAGGTTGGAATTCGGCTACATTGGTATGATGGAAGAAAAGGCACTGGATGGAAGTGAGGTGCTGGCAAACATTGAAGAAGTCCATTCATTAAAGCAGTGCCTTTCCAAAACTATTACATTTGTTTATTCTTTTACCTCACTGAAATCTTTTCTCAAATATCATTTCATCAGAGTTCTTCCTTGATGATTCTATTCAAAATATCATTCCTCTTTTTATCCTTTATCTTCTTACAAGATTGTTTTTTTAAAATTCTTATCATCATGTGATTTAGTATTGTTTGCTTGTTTATTTACATCTACCTTGTTACATTTATGCTTGTTTATTGTGCATCTACCTCTCATTTTAGAATATACACTACATAGGAGTAGGTACTTTATCAAAAAAAAGTTGTTAAGGGACTTCTAAAAACGTTGTTAAACCCCACCCCTAACTGTTCCTGAAACATAGTAGGAGCTCAATCAATATCAAATGTATTATTTATATAGATAATTATTATAAAGACCCTGAGTATAAAATGACTGTATAGTAGTAAATTGTGGAAGTATAGCAACAAAGAGGTAAATTATTTGTTCAAAGCTAATCAGTACTCACTTCATCACTTCATGTGCAATTGCCTTTTTTTTTTTTTTGGTTTGTGTTAACTTCTGTTTAAATTTTAAAATTTTGAAAGCACTGACATATCTGTTAGCTCATAGAACCTTCACAGTAACCCTTTAAAGTTCCTCTTCTTGCAATTTTATAGTTTGAATTTCAGACCAAACTCTTCTGTGACTTTCTATAAAATTTCCTCATCTCACTGTCATATGTTAGATCCATATTCCCACAAAACATTTTTTCTTATTTTGATTGTTGTTATTACATTGGGCTGAATTATTTATTTATGGTATTTGTCTTTTACTGTATAGTGAATTTTTAAGCTAGATTTCATTTGCATGGTGTTATATTATCACCTCAACACAGAACCTGCCCCTATTAAATTTTAATAAATATGTGTTGAATAAATGAATGAATGAATGAACCTCCATTTGATGGATAAGAAAACTGAGCCCATGGAGTAGTTAATTGATTTATCCAAGGTCACAGAGATGACAAGAAAAGGAGCACTGGCCTTACGATACCTAGGTAAAAGCTCCTTGTAACATATATTATACATATATTATACTTTAGTCATAAATTTACATCCCTAGAGCTGCTATGCGAATTTAATATTTTTGAAGTATCTGAGCATGAACCCTTTAAAGTTTTCAATACAAATAAAAAGCCCATTAAGCTCTCTGTTTTGTTTTTGCACATTTCTTATCCTTCTGCGTAAATGCTTTTCACATTCACGGCTCTAAAGCAAACCAGAATGATTTTATAAACAGCAGTGCAGAGCAGTGTCTTGCAGCTAAATGGGATGCCCTTTTGTACTACAAAAATCCTTAAGGCCTCCAGAATTTAAAATAAAATAAGAAATCTTTTCAAGTAATCTTTTTTTCATGAGTTCCCACAAGAAGTTTTTCTGCCATAAATATTGAAAAGGCCTTAATACAGTAATAGAGGTATTCTGGAAACTGCTTTTAGTCATTGGTCTGTTCCATTCCATTGTTTTGTGAATCAGGGAATCCTCCCTAAGTCAGAATAGAATGCCATTCCCTTGTGGAAAATTGAATCAGGTGAGGGTTGGCAAATGTTAGAAACAGGTAAAAGTCATAGGTTTTCTCAAAAGATCTAGGCAAAGTTTAGGAATTCATATATTTACTTTGCACAGAAGGAAACCAATGGAAATCTAGGAATTTCATGAAAAGTAGTAAACATACAGACCAAACGGGCAAAAGCAGGAGTTAAGAGATATTAAATATAATGAAATATCAAATAGAGATAACATGAATATGCCTGTATCTTGGGAGTGATTCTTCTGTAGTCCCTATTTAGATAAATATCAATCTCTAGGAACTGTTTACCTGGGACCTACTCTTTTTGGGGTTCTTGCCTAGATATAATTAAGGAATACATGAAGGAAGCAATATGTATAAGTGGGGTACAATTATTAGACTAGTAAGTTTCATGACCTAAGGCAAGTAAGCCGATTCCTCTATCTCATAGGCTTGTTGTCCATTTTCTGAAAGACCTACTCCCACCAACTCACATTTCTTCCAGGCCAAAATACTGGTAGACCCTGGAGAAGAGGCAAAATGTCTGATGCAGAAGCAAGTGCCATTCACCCCCAAAATTACAAGTTTTATCATTTTATATTGGAAGAAAATAAGAGTACTTGTATATAAATAAATTCTTAAGCTGTTAGACCAAAGAGAAACACTTCTAAAAATGTTAGATCAAGTTTGAACTGAATTTATTGATACGGGTACACTGTTCAGGACTTATTCAATGTGAAAGTTTAAACTCTAGGGATGGATATAACATTTTACTCTCTGATGACTGAATCCTGGATTTAGTGGTGCATTATATAAAATGAAACTAAAAAGTTACTTCTGTGCATTGTAAAAAATTCAGTCTTAGAGTGGTAGGAATATTGACATATACTTAAGTGATTTGCCCATTCATCCCTAATCATGCCTCCTAGGAAGCTCCAGAGGACATTCCCGTTATCAAGATATTGGGAAATACATTAGCAAGGCAAGCACCAGAATCCTGGAATCCTGGTATATGTTGTCTGCAGACCAGGTATGACAGTGAGAGTTTCTACCATTAAAATGAACTCCTTAATTTCAATGGGGATGTGTTATGGCATTCCAGAGTGGCAGAGGCACATAAACATTATGAGCAGGGGAAGAGGGCATAATTGTAGCTGCAGCTCTCATCAAAATGGTTTGATCTGCAGAAATAGTTATCATGTTAATTAATCATGATGCCCCTGCAACTGAAATAGGTGGCCACACTACTCAACGGTCTCAATATAAGTTAAGAACACACAAATCACAGGAATAACAATCTATTGCTGATGAATGGGGACTGGTTAGAATCACCACTGTGGAGAGTCATGGCCTCTGCCTCAAATCACTGCCCTGCACCAGTTCACAGACCCAGAGCCCCTGAACAGAGTGGACACTGTAAGAAGGAAGAGTCCTCCGATAGTGCAATCAACAGGTCTCTTTCTCTTGCTCTTCCCCAAATGGTACTCTGATCATTTTCTAGTGTGTCTGTGCATGGAATAGAGAAATACCTCGATTTTCTTAAGTCATGGCATACTGGCTGTGAACCTCAAAGGCCTTTGTGAGTTACCAGGCAGAGTAATGACTTTTGGAGACCAGCTGATGTAAGAGCTTTTGCCTGAATCATCTCACAGTAGACTTGGTCCCTCATACCCTGCCCAGTGTTTATTTCCTGTCACTACGGAGGCAAGAAGAAGCTACATCACTTAGATAGGGAGGAAAGGTCATGTTTGCTGACAGCAGATGCTCAGAAGAAATAAGTTTCACTTGTGTAGGTGGTGTCCTTAATGGTGTTAATAATACTATTATTAGTAACAACAATAGTTAACATTTATTGAATAGCTACTCTACGTCAGGTACTGCTACAAACTCTTCATATTAATTAAAAATCAGAAACTGGGTGAAATAATTTTGAGACTCTTTCTAATATTAGGATTATGTCTCTAGGGCCTATTTGGAATTACTGATCATGCCAGTGGCTGCTTTTCCTCATAGTGTTGTACTCTCTCAGTCCTCCTCATAAAAAGAAATTTCAGCTGTGTGCCTATTTATCACTTAAAAAAACATTTTTACTTCAGAGCAATTTTAGATTTATAGAAATATTGCAAAAGTGGTACACAAATATCCCAGATTCCCCCACCCAGTTTTGCCTATTGTTAATTAATGAGCCAATATTGATACATCATTATTGACTAAAATCCATACTTTCCTCAGATTTCCTTAGTTTTTACCTAATGTTCTTTTTCTGTTCCAGGATTCCATCATCAGCATCACATTACATTTGCTTCTCATGTCTCCATAGGCTCCTCTTGGCTGTCCAATTTCCCGATCTTTCCTTGTTTTTTGAGGACTTTGACAGTTTTGAGGAATACTGGTTAGCTATTTTACAGAATATCCCTCATTTGGGATTTGTCTGATTTTTTTTCCTCATTGGAGTGGGGTTTTGGGTTTTGGGAGGAAAACAATGAAGAGGGTAAAATGCCATTCTTATCACATCATATCAACTGTACATACTATGAACTTGTCTTAGTCCATTTGCGTTGCTATAAAAGAATATCTGAGGCTGAGTAATATATAAACAAAAGAGGTTTATTTGGTTCATGGTTTTGCAGGCGGTACAAGAAGCATGTGCCAATGTCTGTTTCTGCTTCTGCCTCAGGCTGCTTCCAGTCTTGGTGGAAGGTGAAGTAGAGCCAGCATGTACGGAAGTCACATGGTGAGACAGAGGGGAGGTGCCAGGCTCTTTCTAACACCCAGCTCCGACGAGAACTAATGGAGCAATAATTCACTCATTACAGCAAGGATGGCACCAGACCATTCATGAGGGATTTGTCCCTCTGTCCCAAACACCTCCCATTAGGCCCCACCTTCAACACTGGGAATCAAATTTCAGCATGAGGTTTGAAAGGGTTAATATCCAAACCATAGCACAGCCTGATTTATCACTATGATTTTGATCAAGGGTCACTTGTCTAGGTACCGCTTAGATCTCAAACAATTCTCCCCTGTAAAGTTTTCTCTGTTCTTTCTCCCTGTCCATACTGTGCTCTTTGGAGGAAGTTGCTGTGCAGAGGCCACACTTGAGGAGTGAGGAGTTATGCTACCTTTCTCAAGGACAGAGTATCTACATATATTATTTGGAATTCTTCTGCATAGATTGTTTCTTCTCTTCCTTCCCTACCCCACCATTTATTAGTATATTTAATCATTTACTCACATAAGTAAATGTCCATACTGAGTGCAGATAATGGATATTTATTTTCTACTTTATAAAACTTTTTATTTTGTTGCTGAAGTTATTTCATCATTAGCCATTGGGAGATCTTTCAGTTGGCTTCTGTGGTCTACCGATACACAATCCTCATCGTTGTGTGTCTTTTTAGTAGCACTTCTTTACTTTCTGGTAGTACAAGATTCTTTAGGCTCATCCTGTATAGTTCCTGTCTCAGTTCTAGAATCAGTCATTTCTCTGAGGAGTCTTGGTTAAGTTTCTTGCAGAACGGTATTAGAAACCAAAATCTGGGTGCTAAAAAAAAAAACCTTTTTTAACATAGAGTATTCTGTGTTTATTTGAAGAAGAGCTCTGCTTAATAACTCCTAAGCTTTGTGTAATGGACTGAATTGTCTCCACAAAATTTATATGTTGATGAGCCATAACCCCCAGTGTGACTGTATTTGGAGATAGGGCCCTTAGGGATGGAAGGTTAGATGAGGTCATTAGGTGGGAATGTAAGCCTACAGGACTAGCGTATTTATTTATTTATTTATTTAGAGACAGGGTCTCGCTCTGTCACCCAGGCTGGAGTGCAGTGGCGTGATCTCATCTCACTGCAACCTCTGCCTCCCTGGTTCAAGCAGTTCTGTGCCTCAGCCTCCCGAGTAGCTAGGATTACAGGTGCCCACCACCACGCCCAGCTAATTTTTTGTATTTTTAGTAGAGATGGGGTTCCACCATGTTGGCCAGAATGGTCTTGAACTCCTGACCTTGTGATCCACCTGCCTCAGCCTCCCAAAATTCTGGGATTACAGGAGTGAGCCACCGCAGACAGCTAGGAATGGTGTTTTTATAAGAAGAGGAAAATACATCAGAGATCTCTCTGTCACCTACCAAGTGAAGACAAGGTGAGAAGAAAACTGTCTATAAGCCACAAAGGGAGGCCTTGCAAGAAACCAACCCTAATGGCACCTTGCTTGATCTTAGACTTTAACCTCCAGAACTAGGAGAAAATAAATTTTTGTTGTATTACGAAAACAGTCTGTAGTATTTTGTACTGGCAGCCTTAGCTCACTAATATATCTTATGCTATAGCATTTGCTTCCAACGTCATGAAAACTGCAGTCTGACTTCCTTCCTGCCTTCAGCTGCCTCATTGTGTAGATGAGATACATTTACTATTTCCAAAGCCCTGATGCAGGAGAAATACAAATGAGGACAAGTAATAGTTGAGCAATTTCTCAGCCTTTGACAGAGAAAGGTATCTACTTCCATTATGCAGTTTACAAAGAAGTTTACATGAATTTACTTCCTTCAGAGTGATATTTGTAAAGCTGGAATATTACTATAATAATCTAATGGGTGAACAAAAATATTGCCATTTCTAATCGTTCAGCAGTGTATTAACCGTAGATGCTTTAAAAGGCAATAGCACCATCACCAACAATAACAACAATAAACCAAATGTGCTACAACTCAAAATATAGCAGTAAAATAGAGTGAGTAAAATGGAGTATGTAAAAGTCATATATACTACATTTCTCTGACTTTCATTTGAACTCAAGTTCATGAGAAGTATGGTGAAGTTCTATTGAGAGATGTAGAAGATATGTCTAAACTAAATTATAAAAATATCTGACTCTGGTTTGATGCTTGGGGAGCTCAGTAAACCAGAGTTTTACACAGAGCACATACAAATGTGAGAATTGGGGATGTCATATCTAGCTGGAGTCATGGAAAGCCAGTTTGGAGATAAAACCAACATAGAGAAGAATGGAGAAGTCAGGGAATTGCAGATAAATGGCACTACAGCCCTGTGATAAACATGCTTAAACTTCCTCTACCTTGAAATGTGTCAGTTACACAAAGTGATATATCGTCTTTATAGGTTATGGTTTAAGACTATTTGTGTCATTTTTTTCTGTTCCTTGCAACTAGATACAATCTTATACATGCCTAACAGAGGTTCTGGAAAGCAGACTATGTAGAAAGAAAACTATGACTACAATTTTAATTTTAACTGTATCATAAAATTTTTAGGAAAAAATAAGTGTAATAGAGATTAAATTAAAATTCACATACAAAATTACTCTAGCAGAGTAATGAGTGATAATCAATGATCAAGTTCTACCACTATGTTTATTCAATTCATTAGCAATTTGCTAATCGGGAGGGACTGCTGTCTGTTAAGAATGGGTCTTGGGTCTTGATATTTGGGTCTTGTTATTCAGTTAGACCTAAGAATCTTCTCATTACAGGAAAAAATTAGGTAATGAAGGCTCTGGGGCATATTGGGAAATAAAAGGCAGTGATTAAGTTGGTAATTTTATGCAAATAAAAATCAAAGCACCAGGAGAGAAAGAATAAGAAAAGGGTAAGACTTTCAGAAAGTGTCAAGCTGTCTCCTGTGATTCTTTTACATAACAAATACAACTTTTTTACTTAATCAACAATGTAGAGAGTAAGTACAAGGATGGCTATACATAAGCTGAACATCTTAGAAAATATTGTAGGGGGAAAAAGAGAGAACTTGCTGATAATACAGTACTTGCAAAACAAGCTTTTGCTATTTCCCTCTTGACACCACGTCTGTTGTCTACTAGGGCAATCATATCCAACAGTAATTGTCTAACAATTGTTCTGCACTGAGAAAATACTTCTGATTACAGACATTAACACGTTTAGGCATTAAACCTCCTCACTGTAATTACCCTTGAGCTTATTCTCACAAATGAATTAATATGCTGATCGCTTGGACTAATACAACCAGCAAAAGGGTGATGAATTGCTTCCAAATCAGATAAAATGAAGCATGACATCATGTAATTAATTTCATGGAAGTGGGGGGTTGAAACAGAAAGAAAACATTTCCACTGGGGCTATCTTCCCAGAGTGCGATGTGAGGTAGGGGCAGGAAGTAGGGAAAGGAAGATGAAACCTAGTGTTACTGAAAACGTCTGAGCTTTTGAGCAGTGGGTTTGTACATTCCAAGGTACCATTTGAAACTGTGATGCTTTTGTAGCTAAATGTATGGAGCACAGCTGATGTGCTAATGGACCCTGCTATGAGTGCCCCGGTGGAAGGTCTGAGAAGGCAAATAAGCTTGCCTGTCGTTTCTGATGCTGAGAATAATTTGCCTTCTTAAATGACTAGCTGGAATTAAAAGGGTACAAATGTCAAAAATGTATTTAGTTCTGAAATACAAAAAAAAAAAAAAAAAATCAAGCAAGCAAACAAAAAGCAAGGGCCCATGAATTAAAAGATGTGCTAACAGGGTATGATTAGAATACAAACTGAATTTTTCCTCTCTCACACCTATCCAGGTAAATAACAAGGTGGCTGGGTATATAGAGCGTGAATGTTCCTGATTTGGATCAAAAGGTGACTTACTTGTGTAACCATAAGGATACTAATTCATCTTCCTGACCAGTGCCCATGTTGTTTAGTCACCCAACAAAAAGAGCTTTAACAGAGCTACTAGCAAATCAATGGTACTTTATTTAGATCATGGCTTGATTTCCTCCACTATCTCCTATCCATTTCTACCTTTTTGAGAAGCCCGAATCACCTAGCTAGGAATTGGTAAGGGTGACACCTGGTAGATTTACGTGGCTTCCTTAATTACCTCTACGTAGAATTTTGAAGCTATCTTGAGGACATAGGACTAAAGTATACCTGTTAAAAGTCCCATGGATAATAAGAGGAAAGAAAAAGCTAAGCATTTTGAGTTATAATTGTTGTCTTATTGGGGAAAACTATCCAGGCCGTTACTGAATACAAAGTCAAATATCATCCAAAACTTGACCCCTCCTGGTCAGAAACAAGGCCTCTTTTTAACCCGGGGGACTGGGTATATCTAAAAACTTTACCTTCAAACAGAAAACTCCTTCAGGCTTTCTAGACTAGACTCCTTCAAATCCTCCCAACCTCTCCTACAGCTGTTAAATTATAGGGAATCTCCCCTGGGATCTATCTTTCTGCATAAAGTCTGCACCAACACTGGCCCACTCACACTTATGAGCCCTTGGAAGATCTATGATTCTTGTTTCATAAACAACCAGGTAACACTAACCTTTTTTTTTTCAGAAACTCTTTGCTGTCTTTATTATCTACTTTCCTTCACCTCCCTTTTCACTTACTTATGTGCTCCAGAAGAGCTTAATGGAAACCCTTGTCAAAACTATTCAATTTAGCAATATCCTTCAATTTTATAATATTATCCTCAATTCACTTACTCTTTATCCAACTATCATTACTTAAAACCCACATACAATTGTTCAACTTGCAGTAGATTTTTATTTGCAAGGCAATTTTTCCCAATACCATTCGTGTATGTTACTGTAATGATATAACCAATGTGGAAAATAATGATTGTGCCACTTATTTTATATTCTATTCATTGCTCATGCACCGCTCTAGTTTTAAACCTCTCCCACTGGGACATAAACATAACTTTTCCTCATGTATGAGGCCTCTCAAAAACTGTCAAAAGACCCCCTTCCCTTTTTCCCAGTATTTAAATCAAACCAATCACATTGTATTACCCACCCCTTCTAGGTTATTATGGCTTTGCGGTACTGTTGATAACTATTTAAACCCTCTTCACGCTTTGGCCCTATCCTACCTTGATAATTCTCTTCATTATGGTGATTGTATTCTGGGTAAAATAGATCCTGCTCAAATCACTATCTTGAACATAGCTTCCAATCTAAAATCCCATTCTAAAAGAAAAAGGGCTCTAGGACTTACTGTGACTGGAGTTATGGGAACTGATACAACTCTCAACTTTTGGGGAAGGTTTTACTTACCATGAACTCACACTATAGGAACTTACTGCCTCCTTAAAATAGCCTTAGCAAAAACTGGCTCAAGTCCATCAGTGCTAGGAAAGTCTTTAGGCTCACTAGCAGGAATGGTTTTAGATAATAGACAAGCTCTAGATTACCTCCTAGCTGAACAAGGAGGAGTCTGTGTTGTCATCAACAAAACCTGTTTCGCCTACATTCATGTGTCTGGAGAAGTGGAAACTAGTGTCCAAGACATTTTCAAACAAGCCAAATGGCTACACATACTTTCCCAAAGTAACCAAGACTGGACCCAAACCCTAACTGATTGGTTTCCAAGAATCACTTTGCTTCTTCCATTCCTTGGACATTTATTCCTAATCATTCTTCTTTTAATATATGGTCCCTGCCTTTTAAATGTGCTAATTAATTTATATCTTCCAGATAACAACAATTCCACCTGCAGATGACTATGCAATCCCAATACCAGCTGGCAACAGGAACTTCCACTTATACGGTGCCTGTTGATGGAATCTAGTCTTCCCACTTTGAACAAGTTTTTCATGACCCCTCATTCCCTTCATGACAGAGAACGAAAAAGGGGAAAACAAAACATATCCCCTCCACAGCCCCTTTCAGCAGGAAGCAGCCAGACAGACCCAATGCTCATCTTCACTATGCTGTTTTCCCTTTCTTGAGACCCTGGTAGGCAGCAGGTGGACATGAGCATAGGGGATTATAAAGGGTCAAAGGTTTGACCGAGATACTTGTCAGGGGAAAAATGAGCAGAGCAAAGTCCACCAGATGGCTATCAAGCAGACCATCCAGAGGCAAAAGTCCTTATCTGAAGAATTTAGAAGTAATTTGACTTCCCTATTATCTAAAGTGGGCATCTGATTTCACATTTTGTTTCCAAAAATTTATAAGTAACTAGAATTTCTATACATCTCTGGAATGCATGCATGTCAAAATTCATTGTGCAGCTCTTGCTGACATTAAGACACCAAAATGTCTACAAATGTAATCATTTGCCATGACCTATGTGGCTAATGTGATCCACATTACCCTTAAGCTCCTGCTTTAAGGTTCATAAATACCTCTAAGGAAAATCCACTGCAGCACACTCAGTCCTCTTGCCTAAGTGCCCTGCTGCACTCTGCTAGAGCGTTCTTTTTATCTAATAAAACTTTCCTTTTCTAACCTATACCATTGTTGGTAAATTCTTCTTACTACCCATGAGCCAATCACTCTATGCTGACAGGACTCTGACACCTTGCCTGGAAATAGTTTTATATTCTTTTTACAGAAAAAAAAATCTTGTTCAATGTTTTTATTACATAACAGTAAACAAAAGCCTATTATAAGATTTTTTTCCATTTTCATTTGTTTTCCTTTTCTTGAGAAACAGTGTATGACTTTGCATGCAGTATGTTCTCAGCAATTCTTGTTAATTAATTAAATTTACATATATGAGAGTACCAGCTTAGTAATCCTACTGTCTGGTTTGAATCTCAGCTAATCGCGGTGTGACTTTAGCCAAACTGTCTGAGTTAAATTTTTTTGACTGTTAAATGAGTTCATTCTACCTTTCTGGCGGTGATGACCTACCTACGAGAACATGCTTCTTGCAAAAGATCTCTTTCATCCCTCTCCAGAAGAGGAGAAAAGGAAACACAAGAAGAAATACCTGGTGCAGAGCCCCAGTTCCTACTTCAGGGATGTGAAATGCCCAGGACGCTATAAAATCACCACGGTCTTTAGCTATGCACAAACAGTAGTTTTGTGTGTTGGCTGCTCCACTGTCCTCCACTTGCCTACAGGAGGAAAAGCAAGATTTACAGAAGGATGTTCCTTCAGGAGGAAGCAGCGCTAAAAGCACTCTGAATCAAGATGAGTGGGAAATCATCTCAATAAACACATTTTGGATTAAAAAAAATGAGCTCATTCTAACACACTTATAAGCTTGTGTAAATTTGATGGGGAAAACATAAGGCAGCTTGCACTCAATAAATATTGATTTTTCTTGTCATCAATTGTAATTGCCAACATTTATTGTTAGCATGATTCTATTAATTTGACATGTTGATCTCACACCAATTTAACAAACACCCACTCCAACACCCGGATACCTCCCTCCTCCCCTCTGGTCCTTGACCTGTCGCTTTTACCCATTTTCAAGCATTTTTTGTTTATTCATTTGTTTGCATAGCAGTGAGAATAATCATTTCAAAATTTGAATTGGATTTATCACTCCCCCTACTTAATGCCCTTTAGTAATCTGACTTTATACTTAAGATGAATTCCAAACTTCTTTCCATGGCTATGTTATTTGACTCTGTGGAAGACCAGAATATACCACACCAAAATAAATTATACCTCTTTGGTATATCAATTTTGTTGAGCTGGAGGCACTTAAGAAGCAGATGCAGAAAAGCTCTCTGCCCTTCCTCTCTTGCCGAAAAGCAGGACATATATTTACAAAGAAAAAAGATATCGCCCTACCTTGTCCTTCTACCAGGGATAACACAGGTTAACTACTGAAGACTACTTTAGACCCATTTTGGGCCTGGAGATAGCACCAGGAGAGTCTACAGTTAGCAAGCTTTACTAACTAGCCTTCATCTGCCATTTGTTTGACTTCTCACAAGTGGCCACCCCCAGAAAATCAAAGTCTTTTTCTTCTGACTTGCCACTTTTCCAAAAATGTACTGTTCTTTATTGAAGATGCTATGTAATTTAAAGCCATCTCTTTGAGAAATTACTCATAGTCTGGGTATCCCCCATGTACGCATGAAGTATGCATGTTGATAAACTTCTATTTGCTTTTCTCTTGTTAATCAGTCTTTTGTTACAGGGACCATTCCCTGTAACTTCTGAGGGTTGATAAAATAATAATTTTTTTCTTCCTCTACCTTCCCAATTCATCTATACTGCTTTTTACCTAACTCCTATTCAAAGATAAAAAGAATGGATAAAAGCAAAAAGAATGAGCACAATGTGGAAAAATCTTCCTGTCCAGTAAGGAACACATGTTAGAATAGAGTCTCAGCTCCAGGTAAGAAGGTTGGACAAGAGGAGAAGTGGGTCTTTTAAAGCCAAAAAATAAAAATTAAAAAAAAGTCAGGGGCAGGGGTATCTCTAGTTGATTTGAGGAGAGCAAAGTCTCTGGTGCTGCAGGTTACATCTAAGCTGGTTGGTTTAGGTGCGTGCTGGGATGGGCTGAGGTGGCTTATGCTGAGCATGTGAAGACCCCATCTAGGATGGCAGCATTCAGCTGCCTCTGCTAATGAGGGTACTATGTCAGAATCAAAATGATGGTGCCCAAAATGATGGTCAGGTCTGCACAATGGCTCCCAGGCCAGGTGGCCAGGTCAGACTTTGTCGTAGCCACACTGGCCTTCTTTCAGTTAAATATACGTGCCTCAAGACTTCTGCACATGCTCTTCCCTCTGTTTGGATGTGGACCATTCTTTTGCTCTTCACGTAACTCTATTTCTTCAGGTTTCACCTCAAATTTCAGCCCTGCAAAGAGGTCTTCTCTGACCACTATTTTTTTTTTTTTTTTTGAGAGGTCTTGCTCTATCGCCAAGGCTGGAGTGCAGTAGCATGATCTTGGATCGTTGCACTCTTGACCTCTGGGGCTCAAGCGATCCTCTCACTTCAGCCTCCCAAGTAGCTGGGACCACAAGGGATCTCACTATGTTGTCCAGGATGGTCTCGAACTCCTCGGCTCAAGCAGTCCTCCCACCTCAACCTCTCAAAGCACTGAGATTACAAGCTTGAGCCACTGCATCCGATCCCTGACTACTTCTTAATCCCCCAGTATCATTCTCTATCTCTGCATGTTTTTCTTCATCATAATTTGAAGACTTTGTAATTATTCTACTTATTTACTTTGCATGTATGTATATACATACATACATATGTATGTATATACATACATACATATGTATGTATATACATACATACATATGTATGTATATACATATATACATATGTATGTATGTATCTATCAGTTCTGTATCCTATTAGTCTGTAGGCTACATATACAGGCTTTAGTAAAAGATAAACAGAGTCATTTATTCATCTAATTTCCTTTAATCCAACAGGCAAAGAAAAAGTTATGATGCTTGAATTGCTGTCAAACAATCTAGTTATATTTAATTCTACATTGAGTTCATAAGTTTTAAAGATATCATTCACATTTTTCAGGGAGTATTAACAGCAGATCAACATGAATATTCCTTTAGGAAAAAAATGAAAGCTTCATGTTTGTATGCATAGTGTTAATATTCATATATTTGTATGCAGTGCCTTTGGAGCAAGCAAATGTCCTCTAACTGCAATTTCAGCCTGGTCAAGGTAACAGACCTTTTTCATTAAGTACTTCCAAATTTCAAATCTATCCATGAACGTGAAAAATCTGTGCTAATTAAAGCCTGTCATATAGGTCAATAGTGCAGGGAGGACCTGGGAGGTTCCCAGGACTTAAAGGAGAAGACTTCGCATTAAATATAACTAGGATTTTCTGCACCACAAGGCAAGATGTCGCTTCATTCTGGTTCTGTTACATGATTTATGGACAGCTGTTCAATTGTTCAACGGGATTTTCACCTTGTAAAATGTTGATCAATTTTTGTGGCTAGAAAAACGGAAACTACCCAATGTAGAGAACATTTGTAGAACAAATTTAGTGGGTAAAAATCCCCACTTCTTTTACATCATCCTGTCATGTGCTTTAAAGATTTCGAACTCAAATGTCTTCAGTGGTCTGGCAGAGTGATTTTATTTTTTATTAACTGGGAGGGTGGTGCGAAATAGCTTAGGGCTAGCGACAGGGGGCAGCCACTGTCATTTCAGGCAAATTCTTGCCATGCAAGAAAAAATGTAATTTTGTCAAATTTTCTAACTTTTCAAGAGGAGCCAGTTACCAATATTTTTCAAAAATTAACTATATATATTAAATACTTGTAACTAATTAAAAATAATTAAAAACATTATATGGATGACATACAGAAGTTTGTGGGCTAAATGATCTCTACCAGCTTGTGACTTCTGCAGTAAGTTTTGATTTTACCTTCTAGTGTTGCTGTTTATTAAAGATACAATGTGACTCACATATGTTGTTTATAATTGTTTAGTAGATACATTTTTTAAAGTTTAAAAAGGTGAAATCAATATAAGTAATGGATTTTAATCCAATATATCCAAAATATTATAATTTCAGCATGTAATCAGTATAAAAATTGAGGACATATTTTACTTTTTTTGTTGTACTACATCTTTGAAATTTGATGTGTATTTTACACTTACATCTCAATTTGGACACTCAGTTTTCATTGGAAATATTCGATCTATATTTACCTTTTATAAAATGTACAGTCGAAAAATAGATTTGTATGTCCAAGTTTTCCCAAACAGCCTTAAGAGTTTTCTAGTAACTGAATTGAGTACTAGTTTTAAAAACTAAATTAAATTAAGTAAAACTAAAAATTTAGTTTCTCAGTCACATTAGCCACATTTAAGGTGCTCAATAGCTAAATGGTGCTATTGACTACCATACTGAACAGTGCAACTCTACGACTCTAATTGTGTGCTTCAGCATTTTCTAAATAAGGAGATAAATGTTAAATACTAACAGAGAGGAAAGATACTAATATCTCCATTTAAATACAAGAAACCAACTCTCTAGGGCCTAAGTCAATTCCCTTTTGGTATTCCAGACTGGAAATTAAACATTGATGAGCAATTCTGAATGAGATTCTCTTTTGCCTCTGGAAACACACAGCTTTGAAAGTCTGAATGATCCTATTTCAGTTTGTCTGAGATGTCACCAAATTCACCTTTGAATTATTCATATTCTAACTTCTTAAAAATTACCGAATGCCTGTTTACTGTTCAAACATATCCTGATAGATGCAATGTCTCAAAAATTGAGTACCACACCACCCAAATACCCAACTCGACTACAAGAGATAAGTTTTATATACATTTTGTGTGCATCCTCTCCTAGCTCACACACATAATTATTTATGTGTTTCAGCGAATACCTGTATCTATCTCAATAGGAAGGATTCAAAGTTGCCTTTAAAAGCTTACTGTGTTTTATGTTGGATGCCCTTGGAGTTCAGCAGAATTTTCTCTTAGGGAGAGAATGGCTTTGTTGATTAGGCAAAACCTTGTTGGAATGCTTTTTAATTGCAAAATGTTAGTACTCTGCATATAGTCTAAAAGGAAAGGGTCATTACAAAAAAAGTTACATTGATTTGCCCAATATAACAGATGAATATTAAAATTTTGAATCCTTTCCTGGAAACCTGTGGTTTGGGATCAGAAACTGATACAATAGTGAGGTACAAAAAGCAGTCTCTGAAGAGAGAAAGCCTGACCAGGCAACAGGACAGAAAAAACCTTTTGGGAGAGAAACTGATCTACAGGTAGGTCTAGGTTACCTACATGTGGTAGACATACCCTCGGGATTTAGAGCTGGAAAGTCTCATATTCAGTATTAATTTGTTGCCTGCTCTGTGCCATGCTATAACCTTCTTTAGATACTTGCAAGCAGCTGTCTTGGGAGTACACAATAGCTGTGTATAATTTTTTTTCTGAACAATGAAGAAAGAGACTATTTCTTGCCTTAGGCAACATGGATTATAGTAATGAGCCAACTCAGAATGTAAAACCAGAATAGGAATCAAGAAGCCTGTAGAAGGAGGGTAAAAAGAATCAACATCTTGATAACCCTTGGGGTATTGGGTAGAGAACTTGACTACCCACAGTACTTGGGATGGGGCTCCATAAGTTTATTTAAATTAAAAAATACCTTAGAGGACTGTGTAACAATAAAGTAGCAGATGTCTAGGTGACATATTTATTTAAACATGTTTTGTTTGTAAATGTTTGAAGTATATGTGTCTTAAAAGCAGTTTCAAGTTGTACAAAATGCTTAGTCATATTCTCCCTATTTTATATTTAATGGCTAAATATTTCACTGCATTAATAAACTATACTTTAATCAGATTGTTAAATATTTAGGCTGTTTCCATTTTTTATTAAAATAAATCATATGTCATGACCATCCTTGTATAGAGTTTTTCTAAGGATAAATTTCTAGACATTTCTGAATTAAAATGGCTAAAAAATTTAATTTAAAAAGCAAATGTGAAAGGTTATGTCAATTTATATTCTGACTCACATTGCATGAGAAAATCCCTTTTTATGTTATGACCATTATCTACCTTTATAACATGACTAATCTGAGAGAGGAAAATTAATGCCTCATAATTTTAATTTTTATTTCTTTTATTACAGGGAATTTGAGTATTTTCATTTGAATATTTATTAGCCAAATGAATTTCTTCTTATCAAGATGGTATAATTAATCTCATTTTGATGCATCTCCTCTAAAACTATAGCAATGTCAGATAAAACACAAATATAGAAACACAGGAAATAATTGAGTTAAATACACATTTATCAAGATAAATGTGATTGGAAAATTTTCCTTCACTCATTCTTATCTTGTATTAATCTTTCCAATATTGGTTTGTTAGGACCATTTACATGTTAAACTATAAACCTTTAATTTACTATGTATATTGCAAATTACGAATTTCAATGTAATCTTTGTCTTTTGATCTTTTTTTGATCATATACAAGTTTTCTTTTTCATGTTATTAAATATTTTTTAGTCATTTCCACTAGGGCTTCTTTTTTGTTTCATGCTTAGAAGTTCTTCAACATTATTTAAAAGTCCAATGTTCTTAATTACTGTACTTGTATAATAATTTCTCAATAACTTTTATATAAAGACTTAAGTCAGTGCTAATAATTAGGAATTGCAGAGTTTGCTGCCATTTGCAATTCCCCCCCACTCATAGAGTATTCTATATGAGATCTAACAATCAGCATGATTTTTTAAAAAACCACTGCCCTATTTTCTATATTAGCAAAATAAGTCAATATTCAAAAGTCAGACATTATTATGAAAATTTTCCAAAATTTTTGATGATAGTTCATAAAATCAACATTTCTTTTGCTTTTTTGCAAAATTAATCATAGGCAGCAAGGATATTTAAAAAACGGAAGCACAGATGTCATCTTGGCTGAAATTAAGAGAAAAAATATGTGTAAATTGTGTCCTAGGAAGTAAAGATTGAGCAGGGATATAGGCAAAAGTAGAAAGAAGATAGCCATGATTGCCACCTTCAAAAAGAACCAGCAAAAGTGCAATTCTCCGAAGTGAACTATATATTCTGAGGTGAAAAATAGAAAATCCTACTTGTAGAAGCAGGACCTAGATGCGTTGAACTTCTCTATACCGATTGGGTTCTGAAAAGCAGGAATGTTGAGCAGAACAAAGAATTTTTAAAATGAACAAACAAAAACATGGGCAAAGTTTCAGGTAGTAACTGTGTCTATTTTGAAGATTAGGGAAATAGAGAGGAAATTCTTTTTAGAGTTTGACAGCTCTCAGCCTTTTTCTATGACTAATGAGAAGTAAAGAATAAAATACCTCCTAAAAAATTTTTGTTAGCCAAGACACAACTCCAGGCTGTTCCTTACAATTGTCTGCAAATAGCTGGAAAATTTACTTTATTGAAAGATGGTTTATTATAGAGAAATTAACAGAAAATTAATACAAACATACTACAAAACATGATGAAAACAAGTGGAAAGCAAATGACAGCTGAAGAATACTCAGAAGGAAAATGTTGTCATAAAGCAGATGAAAACATTACATTTCCCCATGCGTTAAAAACGTAAGCAATCATATCTGTGCAACAAGATTATACAGCATATATACAAATCTTGGGAATAGATGGTGAGAAAACAGAATGAAATATAATAAGACGATGTCCCAAATTACAGGAGCCAAGTTGAAAAAGTTCTCAAAGATGAGATAACATAAGCATGAAATAATAACAGTTTATAATACTTTGAATAAAATAAGAACCAGAGTCTATACCGATAGTAAATACTACATCAATAAATATAAAGCTATTTGTTATAGTAAAATGTAAAATGCCTCACCCCTCTCAATGCATGTAAGTAAAACATAACTAACAATATATGTTACCTAAATAATAAGGTGTATCTAGTAGATGTTCCTTGGTTACCAAGGTGTCTCTAATAGATGTAGGTCAAACTTTATGTTCTAAAAACAGAGGATACATCATCTTTTCATGGGCCCTGAAGTTGACCATATGTTAGCACCTCAAAACTTCCATACATTGTTCAAACGTAGAAATTTTATATTAACTGATGTCAACGCTGTGAAACTATACATTTTTAAAAATTCAGATAAGAAAAAAATGTAGCTCCAGGGGTGGGAAGCAGGAGACACTTGTAACTTGATTCAAAAGCAAAAAGTAAAAATGCTAGACTATTATGATAATAAAGACACCCAAGGACATAGTCAATGTAATGCTCAGTGGGAAATTACTTATATTTAGAAATATTTTAATGCATTTATATTAACAAATGAGAATTAATATGAGAATTAAATGTCCAAATCAACAAGTTTGG
Organism: Homo sapiens; assembly: GCF_000001405.40. NCBI lineage: Eukaryota > Metazoa > Chordata > Mammalia > Primates > Hominidae > Homo > Homo sapiens. The sequence continues at coordinate 211,291,279 of NC_000002.12, read as the reverse complement.
AAAAGACTCAAAAAGCAATTAAAGAGAAGGATGAAATTAAAAATACAAAAAGATGCTCAGTCTCACTCATAGTTAAATACTGTGTGTCAGAACACTGTTATCCTGTTTCTAGTCAATCAAATTTACAAGAGTTGAAAATCTGACAACCTTGTTGGCAAGGGTATGCAAAGACTGGCACTCTCTTGCTTGTGGGTGATAATATAAATGGGTATACACTTTTAGGAGTGTATTTTGACTAATGCCTAGCACATATAACTAACACATCCCTTTATATAGAGGAAATCCACCTCTAGGTATTTGTACTACAAGTACACTTGCATATGTGAGAAAGACTCACATGACGTTGTTGTTTGTTGAAGTATTGTTTGTGGTATAACTGTTTAGCAACAACCTAAAGGTATATCAATAAAGAACTCATTAAATAAAGTATATGGTATATCAATCCAAGCAATGGAATACTACGCAACCAAATGAATGAATAAGGAAGTTCTTTTTGTAGTAATATGTATTAATACGCAATTTTATATACCATCGAGTATAAAAATAATACATAGAAAAGATTATAAAATAATCTACCATTTGCTTTAAAAAGCAAAAGAAAAACGTATGTATATTTTTATTTTATAGATGCATAGAATATTTCTAAAATTATTTCTTAAGAAATTGATTACAATAATTGTCTCCAGGAAAGGGATTTTAATAAGTATATTCTGTATATACTTTAATAATCATTTAATTTTATACTTAAATAGAATTAAGTTATTTTCAAAAAGGAATGTAAAACAACAACAAAATAAAGAAGAAAATATATTGTTTCATTATATCTTATGTTCAAGCACTGGAGTCTTACCTCTAGCACATGGGAAATGCACTAAACGCAATGTAGTTAATTAAAATGCCCTCTATATGTTAAAAAGTGAGTAAACAAGCCCAGTGGGTCCATTTTCTTTTTAAAACTCCATTATTATAAATGGTAATTAATCCCTTAGAATAGGGTTTATCCCTGAAATGTCACCACCTGTTTGTTACTGTTTATACAGTATTTTAGTGATAAAAGAATATAATATGATACATTAGCTTGGCCCGTGGCTTATTTCTATTGCTGCTCTTCACAATTGGTAGACTTTGATATTTAAGGACAGATCTCTCAATAACTAGAATTTTTCATGAAAAACTGAAATTTCTATCTAAATTCTAAATGACCATGATTTAATTTAAATTAGAAATAGCATTCTCTCATCATCCTAGAATGGTTGAAACTAACGAGAATCAAGAATGAAGATTTCATTTTTAACTCATATGTGTGCATTTATGTGCATATTTATTTTAACATGTATGTAATACTATGGAAACATATTACTTTCTATGACAGGTAAAGCTGGACTCTATGCAAAGTCCCCACTTTCCAGAAACTTTATGTGAAGCCTCAATATGAGCTTTGATACAGGACAGAATAGAATCAATATTGAAAGTAAATATTGGAAATGTGAACATTGGACGTAAGAAGCCTAGGTAAGGGAGAATTCACTTATGCTTATTGCTGAGAATCTCTCTGACCACATTCTGGAAGCTTCTTAGAAGATGTAGGATTTGAGTTGAATGGAGATGGGAGAGTACAGGTTTCAAAACAAAAGAATATCTTTCTATTTTAACTAATTTAATGGCTGTACCATTTATTAATATGCCTTCAATTAAGAATTTCGTTCTTGTAAGTAGTTTATGTGAATCCAGTATTATAATATAATTGTTAAGAGGTAAGTAGACTGGAGTTCAAATAAGCTCAACCACTGATTAGCTGTGTAACTCTTGAGCAAACTTCTTGCTATTGGAAACCCAGCTTCCTCATCTATTAATTGTTTATAATAACACCTACTAATGAGGTTGTGAAGATTGAATGAGAAAAATTACATAAATGCTCAAAGTAATGCTAAAATGCTAGCTATTAATACACTGTGTTATAGAAATTATTAACATTTTGAATTAATTCATTCTAATTTATTTTAATCTTTAGATTTGTTCATGAGTGTTAGATTACTCATTAAGTCCGTGGTCACTTAGGTTCTTGATGGCATACCAATTAATATTAGATACATAAAACAGCTTTTTGTTTGCTTAGATGGTGAATTTTATTCTATGTTCTTAGGGAAATTCAGTTTTTCTATCTATTCCAAAGATAGGAAACCACTATTTGATTCTTCAACTTGAACTTTATTTGGAAGCTGTCATGTCTGAATATTAAAGTTCAGAAATGATACTCGTGTAGGGGAAACAGAATGTCAGAATGCTTCAGATGGGCCATAGGACTGTAATTCTAATTACTTAGGGTGTTAAATTCTGGTAAATAGCTGTCTTGACTGACTCAGGTTTTTATAAGCACTTTGGATCCAATTTCCCTAAGGTGGTGCTCCAAAGGAAGAAAAAAACCCTCCAAATATTAATATAAACATGTCTAATTATTGGTTGACAGTGAACCAGCAGCACTGTGCAAAGAAAAGTAAACTGGAAAAAAATAATAAAACCAGGAGTGAGTGAGATTAGGTGTATAGCAACCAGATATATCAGCGATGGTACTGCTTTTCCCCATTCATTCTCCTGAGAAGTAGAATTAACAAGTCCAAATATGGATTCCAAAAGTGTACAGTGAAATTAAGTGGCATCACATTAGTACTATTATCCAAAGCAATCCATGATGATAGGGATGGATAGGAATACAGTAATGTTTCTGAGTAGCATATAGTACATCACTATAAAACTTGCCCAATTTTTCAACCCTGCGCAATTTTCAATGTAGCTTTGTAGTTCCTCCCATGAAAAGGTAGCATCTATCTCCCTATTTTTGGCCTGGGCTAGCTTTTTGACTTGTTTTGCTACAAAGAATGTGGTGCAAGTGATAGTGTGTCAGTACTGAGTCTAGCCCTCAAAAGGCCTTGAATTTTCTCTCTCTTGAACTTCTCCTTTCTCCATTAGAACAAGCCCAGGTCAACCTGCTGAAGAAGAATTTAGGTACAGTCACCCTAGAAACTAGACTGCAGTTGATTGCAGATGTGTGACCAGCTAAGAACTAAACATTTTCCTAGCTGAGCCCAGCCTAAATTGTTCAACTCCAGAATTGTGAAGTAAATAAAAGGGGTTGTATTAAGATACTATACTGATAAAATTGGCAAGAGTTATGATTAGGGAAAGAGTTTCTTAACAGTCCTCGAAAATACATCTGGTTTGGACCTACGTCTTAGCCAACACTGAAGAGTACAAAGTGGGATCTTGTTTCAGTAGTAAAGAGAAAATTGGTAAAAGCTAGAAAATTTTTAGAACGCAATCTAGCAGACTAAGAGTAAATGCCAGGGCTAGGTTTCAAGCTTAGCAGGGAACTGGAGTGAAATCAGTAACCTACACCTGAGATATGGTCACCCAAACTGGTAAAAAAAAATAATAATTCCCACTGAAATTCAGTGAAAAGTAGGGAGTTCAGAGCTCACAACAGTTGACAGTTTGATCAATTCTAGGTCCCTCCCACTGGCTGTCTTGAGGCTGACAGCAGGCTTACTAAGAACTGGACAAAGCTAAGCTTGCAGGTGGCAGTCTTCAGTCATTGAAGCTGATGGAGAAAGGTATTAATGAGCAGGGAGATAAGGAGAAAATGAGAAAGTTTAGTGCTATGCAGAGGTGGTAAGAAGAAACTTAGGTATCTTCTATCTGCCTCTGTCTTCTCATTATCACTTCCCTCCTTTATTCTCACCACATTGAATCTATTTTTCAATGTTTTTTTCTACTTATTTAAATTTTAAAAAATAATTTCAACATTTATTTTAGAACCACGGGTGCACGTGCAGAATTGTTACATGGGTATATTGCACCTTGTTGAGGTTTGGGACACAAATGATCCCATCACCAATATAGTGAGTATAGTACCCAACAGTTAGTTTTTCAACCCTTTCCACCCTCCCACCTTCCCCCTCCCTCATAGTGCCCAGTGTCTATTGTTGCCATCTTTATGTCCATGAGTACCCAATGTTTAGCTCCCATTTGTACATGAGAATGTGTGGTTTTTAGTTTTCTGTTCCTGAGTTAATTCACTTGGGTAATATCCTCTAGCTGCACCCATGTTGCTGCAAAGGACATGACTTTGCTGTTTTTTTATGGCTGCACATACTGAGTAAACTTTATCTTATAATGTTATTAAAATGTATGATTATAAGGCAAGGTATTGTCATCAGGTAAGTCTATACATGGCTATTGTGTTATTATAACAGACAAAAAAGAGACATAAGTAATGGATAATACCAAAGAGTTAATACAAATATCTGACAACTTTGTCTTCGAGACTAAATACAGAATGGAATCTTCAGAATGTTCACAGAAACCAACAAGGAGGCCCAAGGATTTGGGTGAATAGCATCAAGTTAACAGATACTGGAGAGGATGCTCTGGATACATCCTCATCTAGGGTAATTATCTTACATTCTGTACAAGTTTTTAAAAAGATCAATAGCACCTGGAACAAATGAATACAAGGGTGTTCAGACTTTGAAAGGTCTGGCAATCCTGATTGTGGGAAAGAATTTGTGACTACGTATAATTTTTAATATAAAAAATAGGAGGCACAAAGTGAAATGGCATGGTCTTTGAATATGTAAAGGTCAGGAGTGTGACTATAGGTTTATTCTGTGTGTCTCCATGGCAAAAATACAGACAGGACAGAGAAGCAGTTATCAGACTGCAAAGGACACAAACTGAGGAAGGGAGAGAGACTTAAACTTTAAAACAAAAATGAAGTTTATTGGAAAATTATTTACTAAGTGAGATTACGTTGTATGACTTGAATTTTTATTGCATAAAACTTGAAAAGTCAAATGGCTTCTTGGAGTAGTCATCCAAAGTCAGGGGAAGCACAACCAACACAGTAGGTTTAAAGAGACAGGCAGAGAGAAAAATGAAGATGCTCCTTGACTACTGCATAAAGTATTTTTCCCATGTAGTGATTGTACAAGGTTTTATGTTTTATAAGATAATGTTTTATTTTCTTACATTTATTATCTTTTGAATTCAGTTAATCAAAGTGAATGGCAAACCAAGAGATATTGTTCATGTAGTGGACCCTAAACATCCCCCGGTTCTGGGTTCTGATCTACCAACAGATGCGGACAACATAAGTTCTAAACCAGTGAAACAGTTTTATCATTCAAATCACACACATTGTTAAAATCAGTTATCTTACCAAGACACCATAACTACTTGAAAAAAAAATCATTAAAGCTAATTTGTACATCATTTTGACTAAAACGCGCACTATAATTTTCTGACATTTTTCTTTAAACTCATTGGGCATTACTTAGGATATATCTATTTGAATTGAAATATAATAGTTTATTATCACTAATAAGGTAAGGGCCCCAAATGCAAAAGAAACACAGATCCAGGTGAACTATTAAGGTCATTTGGTTACATTCTGGAAAATAAAGGAGGCTTGTATACACTCTCGTGTGTCGATATCCATTGAAAGACGCTAGGTACTGTTGAGGTTGAATTTTGACTGTGAAGAAATATAATCTGTATAGCAGGAAAGCATACCCAACTGGAATGCTGGCTCAAACAAAGAGAAAAAAGCAGCCCATTATCTAGTTTTAAAAATAATAATAACATTTCAAAAGGATTTCTTTTTTAGTTAGTTCTTAAGCACACTTGAGGTCACTTCTCTGGGCAGGGAAGTGACTGGTAGTATTAGCAACCCTTCTCTTTTTTTGTCAGGATGTTTTCATGAATATTTTTCATAGTTGATGGGTAATTTGATTCATTTTCTTTGAGGAGCATTATCTTCACCAGAGAACAAAAACAGCCTATATTGGGAAATTAATTTACTTTTCTGAAAGTCTGTGAAAAGTTGGAAAGAATTACCATGAGTCCACTGAGGAATAAAAAGCCCTCAATCTTGAATATAATATACCCATTGCTCTTTCAGGATTTACCTATTTACAACGTCGATCAAGGTTATAGAACTGTATGTTTTAGTTGCTTAGAATCTTCTTGGAATAAAAACAAGCTATATTTCTTTTATTCTACTTGAAGTTATTTATTTATTCAGCCTCAGGAATCACTTCCTAAGACAGAAAAAATCTTATTTTCTCTATACTTTTAAAGTCTTTCTAAGGTGGAATACGTCTTTGGGGTGGAAGAGCATTATTTCATCTATAAGAGAGGAAAGAATAAAGAGACAATAACTATTAACATCACTGTTTTCACTCCTTGAGCAGCTAGTTCATCACAAAGATCCATGCTGTATTTAAAGTTTTCAAATTACTGCCAAGGAATTTGCAAATTATACATATTTTTCAGGGAAATCGTATATTTTCTCTTAAAATTAGGAAAAATATTTTCAAAATTTCTTTTGTACCATCCACAACTATTATGTAATGTGTGGATAAAACTGATTTTTCTTTACAAAATCTAATGCTATTTTCTTTACAGATACCCTTTCTTTACAGATACCCACAGATACACACAGACACACACACACACGCATGCATGCACACAAACACACACACACACACGCATGCACGCACACACACACACACACAAAGACTGTTTTCATTTGAATTACACACAGATAAATAGCAAATTAATTTCATTCAATCAGATGTCCAGAGTCTCACTTGGCTCACCGCTCCCCTAAAAATATAATTATTACTTTAAAAAAGATTTTCAAGATCTAGAAGATTCATTTCTTTCCTAAGTAAATCAAAGTTTCCTTCAGTTTTATATGCAGCACTACAATGCTGATATGGTCTGTAAAATATTTTTCTGATTATTGTTGTGATATTTAAAAATACTTTTGATTTGAGATCCCTCTGTCTCTCTTAACTTCATCTCTCCTTCTCTCTCTTCTTTATTTTTTGCTAAAAGCATGCATTACAGGTCTTACCTGGAAGAAAATGCAGGAGATACCCACTAATTGCCATCAGGCTAATTTGTGACTCAGAAATTGCTGGAATGCAAATATCAATCTGACTTCCTTCTTAAAATAAAAGTCTTTTAAAAATGTCTAAATTACATTGAGACTAAGGAGCAATTTCTCTTATTGAGCCATTGTACTTTTACAAAATGATCAGTGATGCATTACATTTGTGGAAGGAAAATCAGAGGATGTGAGAGAGTAGAACATAAAGTAATCATCTCAACAGCGAGGATCTTAAAAATGCCTAGTAAAGAATAATTCACAAGCAACATTTCCGTTATGGTAAACTAAATTTTCATTAACTCTGCTTAGCCATAAAATGTGGTAATTTTTCATGGATACCTTGGTTATCAGAATAAGTCACAATTTCTCCTAGATTCTTTAGATAGATAGATAGATATGCATGCATGCGTGTGTGTGTGTGTGTGTGTGTGTGTGTGTGTGTGTGTGTGTAGCTACAAAGATAAAGTTTGAATTCCCATTTTAAAATCTAAATGGGCAAACTATTTTTGAAAATGTTTGAAACTGAGGCACAGAAAGTAGAGATAATCATACTTTATTGATTAATTGTTTTATTGATTCATTTTTACACCCCTTCCCTCCCTGTTCCCGTTTCTGACCCTTCATCAACATCAACTCCATTGGTGTGTTAGGTATGCACATTTTAAAAATATGTGGTACTGTTTTGTAATATATATTGAGCTATAGGCTGTTTCTTTTCTTATTATATTCATTCAGCTTGTTTATATAAGATCTACCCATGGCTCTCTGTTTATGTATAGTCCGTCACTTCTAAAAGCTGCAAAGTTTTCCATAGTGTCATAGATTAGGCAAGAATATTGATTTTAAAAGATGGCTATATTCATTTATATTGCTGCTGTGATGAATAACCACCAACTTAGTGGCTTAACACATATTTATTCTTTTATGCTTCTGGAGTTCAGAATTCCAAAATGAGTTGGCAGGGCTGTGTTCCTCCTGGAGTCTCTAGGAGAACCCATTTGTTTGCCCTCTGTAGTTTCGAAAGGCCAACTGTATTCCTTGGCTTTTGACTCCTTCCATCTTTAAATGTCTCTCTGCATTTAAAGATGCAGTGTAGCATCTTTAAATGTCTCTCTCTGATGCCAGTTTCTGTTATCACATCACCTTCTCTGACTCTGATGCTCCTTTCTCCCTCTTATAACAACATTTGTGATTATGTTGGGCCCACCTAGAAAATCCAGGATAATTGCCCCATTTTAAAATCCTTAATCAATCATAGCTGCAAAGTCCCTCTTGCCATGTAAGGTGACATATTCATAGATTCTGGGGATTAGGATGTGGCATCTATGGAAAGCAATTATACTGCCTACCATAATGCCAGAAAAAATGGAGATGGGTCCAGATTTGATCCTTGACTGTTACCATCTTCACTGTTACTCCTTAGGGCAGGTTGTGCTATTTCAAGATGGTACAGAGATTCTCCAGAGAGCAGTGCACCCCACTGACTGCAGACCTGTCATGAACCCCTTGGAAATCTTGTCAAAGCTTCAACATGTGTTCCAAAAGCATCCTTCTTGTTATCATTCCCTTACCAGTGATGCTGCACACCAGTATGTTATGGTTTTCTAACACAGAACCTTCTCAAATGCCATCATCTTGATATTTTAGCAAGCTAACCATTTTTGTCTGGTCTTGCTACTCCTGGCTTCTCCAAGACTTCATTTCCTTCCTGCTCACAGGTTACCCAGCTCCACTGCTTAAATGAGCCTGATCTTTCCTGAACAGAAGACTGGGTGGTACTGTCTGGTATATTCTTCTTTGGGTGTTGTTTTTTGAAATAAACAACTCCTTATAGTTAAGAACGTGAAGATTGAATTACCTTTTTAAGACGGTCAGGCACACTGCTACATCAGTGAGGGGAAAAACAATCACACCAATTACTAAATTAGATCTGCCTACCAAATAAGCTGACATACTTTATTGTTTAATAGTTTTGTTGATTATTTTGGTTATACTAGCTTTGTGGGATTAAGGACAGTAGCCTATGAGGGTACCCAAATCACGGGTGAACACTGAAAATTCCTGCCTATTCAGAGAGACATGTGTAATGTATATTGACATACTTAGAGGTACTGATTATCAGCTTTCTCTGCACCTTGTGCCAATTGACCAACTTTTTCTTCTTTTTGCTACGCTGGTGGAATGCAACGGATTCAAATGCTTTTTCTTTCAAACAATTTTTAACTTCACTTCTGATTGGCTTGTGGCCCCTGCTGATTGACAAGTAAGTCTACAGCTGTGGGTCCTCTTTTGAAGCTATTTTATCTTTTCTCTTTGACTTTTCTTTAATTTGATTCACTCTTGGAGCACCCTGTGGAAGGAACCCTGATTACTCTCTATTCCCCTGAAAGTCGGTAGATGGCAAAGCACACTCAGAGGTCTTATCCCTCCTTTGTTAGGATGGGCTGCCTGCAAAAGCTCTGGGAATGCTTATCTGTGCTGGCAGATAACTGCTCCCAGGTTTAAACTTCAAAGGCAAAACCCAGGCAGCTCCAAAGAAGGAAACTTCAGTCAGCTTCAAGGGGTCAATGAGCTGGCCCTGTGGCTACTTTTGGAAATGTGAAAGGCACACTGAGAAATCAGGCTAGCCTTAAGATCTTGAGGTCACTTTTTTACATTTGTGTGGTAACTGCAGGGTTCTGGGTGGTGGGGGAACCAGCTCCTTCTTTACAGGCAAAGACAATGATACTCTCCACTGGAGGACTGACACTGGGTGCAGGTACTGACTTTGTGACCAAAGAGTCAGAGGGTACAGTGAGAAGGTGGGCTCCCACAGGACCACTCATTAACTGCAACCTGACCAGGAAGTTTCTGCTGAACAGGAGTGATTTACGGCTGAACCTGATAAATCACTTGCATGTAGCAACTATGGCTCAAGGTTCTACGGGAAATTGTCACCAAATATTTTTTCCCCAGGCATGGATATCTGTTAATGTCTGTAGTATATTTTTCTAACCCTAAAGTTTGGATGGCGAGAATGTCAAAGAAACAAATAGTCTCAAGTTCAGCCTCTCCCTGCCACTAAAGATCATAATGACAATTTCTTTTCCATTTTCTCTTCTCTTCTCTCTCACATATATATATTTTCCATATATTTATAGATATAGACATATAAAGTAATTGGACTGACTCATGGAACATACAGTGAAAGGACCCTGATTATTCCCTTTTTCATTGCCAGTATGTAAATATGAAATAAAGAGAAAGAAGAATAGTTAGAGCAAGCCCCTCATTCTCACTGCCCCAAGCCTCTACTTTGTGATAGTCTTTATCCCATAGTCAGTTTCTTAACTTCGCTAAGCATTATTTTGTCTCATCAAAAAAATAAGTGGCATAGTAGTAGTATCAACCTCGCGTGGTTATTGTAAGGAGCTAATGAGAGAATATGATTGAAGTATTCAGCAGGTGTAATTGGTTATCATGATATTTATTGTCACCCCCTTCCTGATTATTCTGAGAAAGGCTCTGGCTCATTGTGTTTGTATGTGTGGGAGCTGAGGTTGAAAAAAAAGGGGAAGGAGGTTAATCTAGTTCACACACTCCCAGCTGCTGTCCATGCCTTATGATTAGATCTCTCTGCCTTGCTGTCTTTTCCTGTCACTTTTCTTTTGATCTTTTGAGCTTTGTCCTCCTACTTGGTTGCTGTCCACTCCATTGTCAATTTCCAGACCACAGATCTTCATGATGCCTACAGGTAGCTGTCAGTGCTAGTGCTATGCCGGCCAAACTCGTCTCTGGGGCTTTTCTTGCTTGGCTAACGGAATGCCTTTCATGAGCAGCTTGTTTCATAGGGGGTTCCCCTACCAGATACTGTAGGCTCCAAATGCCAGCTTTCTTCTTCATGATAAGCATTATGAGTAGGAAGAGGGTAGAATAGAGGATCACGCTGGTAGATGGTCAGAGAGAAAGAGCCTCATGTGACACCTAGAATCACTGAGCTCTTTTACATATGGGCTATTATTGCCCAGTGTACCCACTCTACTTGTCTTTTAGATGAACAGTGAATATTTAAAGGGCTCGTTTTATGTTCTACTAGTCCAGCTATCCATAGGAAAGGCTACTATATCTGAAGCTTAATTGTGAAAAAAGTTACCCACATTTTCCCACAGGGTTTCCGACACTAACATTTGTGTTATTATTAAAAACACTCTCAGGCCTCATGTTGTCAAATCACAGTGAACAAGCTCTCTATATCCAGGGGTTTATCAATAAGGATGCTAAGACTTGCATGAGTACATTGCAGTCCTAATTCAGTGCCTGGAACATGGAAGATAAATGTTACCTTCATATTATGAGCAGAATACCTAGCAATATGTTTTTTATTTCCTGTTTTAGAAATGACATTAGCTATTTACAAATAATGTGTTATGAACCGAGAGTTTGTGTTAATTTAATTCTGTTTACCGGAGGTCCAACAAAATAATAATTAAATAAAATATTAGAAGAGAGAAGTCTGTCATTTCTCTTTATACAAAGCCACTGCTGACACACTGAGGCTTAATCGCAGAGATTTTATTTGTGATTGAGTTCATTCTGTTTTCTTCTAGAACACTCTCCCCCTCTTCCTCCTTATCCCACCATTCAACACCTCCCAAACTCCCTTCTGCATACACAGACATGCACACATCTATGGAGCTCAGCTTTTGCTCTGAGTTATCTGCAGACCCAAAATGTGGACCATATTTGCAGATATAGTTTAGCACAGCCATAGTATATTTCTATGATACTCTTGGCTGTTATCTCACCTTTTTGACCAGGGACTACTGAGGCACATTAGTTGTCTTCAGACAATCTGCCTTCTTGAATCATAATTGTGGATCTCAAGGATAAGTGCTGAACATCAGTCAACAAAGTAAAATCTTAAAATCTACAGTTAAAATATATTGGCCTTGGTTGGAGGAAGTGCAATGAGTTGCAGTTTGGTAGCAGTGGTGATGGGTGAAGTGGAGCTGACTCTATGATATGGCTTGGTTGTGTCTTCAGCCAAATCTCATTTTGAATTGTAGTTCACATAAGCCTAAGGTGTCATGGGAGGGACCAGGTGGGAGGTAATTGAATTAGGAGGCCGTTATCCCCATGCTGTTCTCATGATAGTGAGCTCTCATGAGATCTGATGGTTTTATAAGGGGCTTTTTCCCCTTTGCCCAAGCACTTCTCCTTCCTGCCACCATGTGAAGAAACACGTTTGCTCTCCCTTATGTCATGATTGTAAATATCCTGAGGCCTGTCCAGCCATGCTGAACTGTAACTCAATTAATAAAGTTTATAAAGTTTCTTTTATAAACTACCCAGTCTCAGGTATGTCCTTATAGCAGCAGGGACTACTGAGGCACATTCATTGTCTTCAGACAATCTGCCTTCTCAAATCATAATTGTGGATATCAAGAATGGACTAATACACTCTATTTTTCCTAAAGGATATCATGCAATCAAGAAACAGTTACTTAGTGCATATGGCATGCCAGGATCTGGTATAAGGAGTGGACATGCAACCTTGAATAAGAGAGAAAAGTCTCTGCCTTTGTAGAATTTACCATGTAGTCAGGAATACAGGCAAGTAAAGAAGACATTGTATTTACAATATACTAGAGTGTGTTAAGTGTTCTGATATAAAAAGTGCAGAGTTCTAAAGGATCATATATGAGAAAAGCCTAAGTTTCCTGGATGATTGTATGTTCAGCAGTGGTTAGGAAAAGATGTTTGAAAAAAATGCCACCAAAGCTGAGATCTAAATGATAAGGAGGAGTTAGCCAAGACATAAAAGTGGGGGGCATGTTCCAAGCAAAGAAGCAGGGAGCAAAAGGCAAGAGAATGTAATTCATTCAGGGAACTGAAAGTCATTACATACTGGTAAAGTTGAAGGCACAATTGCAGAAGAAGTGATCAGAGAGGAAACTGGGGATTTGAATAACCTCAGATCATGTATAACCTTCAAATTCATATTAAATAATTTGAACCTTATTCTAAAGGTTTGGAGCTAAGAAGCATATATGGTTAGATCATTCTGCCTGCAGTGTACTGAAAAGATTCGGAGGGGAGTAGAATGGAAGCATGGTGACCAGTTAAGAGAGTCCTGCAGACATTCGATACATGGCTGATAGTGGCCAGAACCATGACTATAGGTAATACAGTAGGTCAAATGATAACCCCTCAAAGATGTCCACCTCTTAATACCTGGAACCTGTGTATATATTATGTTACATGGCAAAGGCAATTGCAGTTACAGATGAACTTTAAAATAATCAGCTGACTTTAAAAGAAGAACATTATTCTGGATTATATGAGTAGGCCCGGCATAATCACAAGGGCTCTTTAAAGTAGAAGGGAGGCAGAGGAGGAAGTTTGAGTCAGAAATTTGAAGATGCCATACTACTTGCTTTGAGGATGTAGAAAAAGGGCTATGAGCAGAGAAATTTAGGAAGCCTTTAGAAGCTGGAAAAGGTAAGGAAATTATTTCTCCCTTAGAAACTTCAGAAGAAATGCAGCCATGTTGATACCTTGATTTTGGTCTAGTGAATCCCATTTTGGATCTCTGACCTCCAGAACTTGAAAGAATAAGTATGTATTGCTTTAAGGCACTAAGCTTGTAGTAATTTTCTATAGCAGCAGGAGGAAACTAAGAAGGGATGGAAAGAAGTAGAGAATGCTGAGAGATATTTAGGTGCTAGGAATGAGAGGGCTTAGTGTTCGATTTAACATGCAAGAGGAAAGTGAGCTAAGAGGGGTCATCTTTTCAAAAAAGTTTTTTTGTTATATTAATCACGAGTAGAGAAGTCTTCATACCAGTGTAACCTATAACATACCAATGTAACCTATAACAATACATTCAAATACTAGATTTGACTCAAAATAGCAGTAAATAATATTACAGATATTAAAGGCAGAGATGGAAAAAATGTATACAATGATCAGTGACTTGTTTCTCTGGATATTTGATATCAATACTTCTCCATTAGACTGATAAAGGATTCATATAGTTCAGATATCGATATTCAGCCAAATGTCACTTATAAGTAAATAAAATGAAATGAAATGTTGAATTTCAGACACATTATATAAATAACTGCTGCCACAAAGTTGTAACATGTTACATGTTCTAGAAAAGCCCAATGTGCCTCTTAAGAGTGATGGACATAATTTAAATACTAAAATAAAACTTTTAGAGAAACTTGGTGAGATTTAATTACTAAATTGAAAAGAAGATAGAAAACAGAATATGAAACACAGAAAGCAATGATTAGTATTATTTTAGAATTAGATAAGCATGACTGGCAGATACACAACCCCAGGGTATTTGTCAGATCAATGGTCTTCTCTTCAAGTCTTTCATGCCCATCTTTTCTCTTCCCTCCCAGAATTATTCTTTGTCTTCTCTGTGGTTCAATGACATGTACCTCTATTATATCAGGTTTCATATTCTTCACTAGATTACAGCTATTTATACATGTGTCCTTCCTTTTCACAAGCTTTCAAACACTTGAAGGCAGGCAATCTTTTATTTTTGTTTCTTCATCTAGCACAATGCCTTCTATGAAGAACCTAGTGAGTGATGAAGAAGGCAGATTCAGTAGCAGAACTGGGTCAAGGATTTAACTTCATGCTTCACTAATTATCAATGTAAGCTTGGGAAACATCATTTCACATCTTGGTGCCTTAGTTTTCTATTTCAAAACTTCATGTCTCAAAACATAAGGCAGAACATTTTAAATGACCTAATTGTTCAGATGAACTGAGTTACGTTACAACTGTGCTTAAAGTATTACTGTTCAGCTAATTACAAATGTTGATGTGCTGAGTTGTGGATACCATTGAACTGCTGAAAAGAAGTTCTATAGGTTATGGAAGGAAAGAAAAAAGAAAGGAGAAAGATGAAAAGACCAGAGGGAAGAGAAACATTGTGGGGGAAAATTGAGATATCTAAAGGAAATTGGATTAAATTTCTTACATGTGTTATGCTATGTAAATTTCCTCTCTGTCTCCCCATGCAGTTTCAGTTAAGTATTATTTTTCTTTTAATGCTTTGTGGAGTTGGATCTATCTTCAGAATACCTCAGAGCTCTGACTGTGTCCTAGAGGCAGGCCCTGGGCAAGAGTAAATGACAGCAGAAAACTGCTGTACACAGCCTAAAGAGCCAATAAATATATGAAACAATTACCCATTAATTATTCTTGCATCTTCTAAAAATAAAATTTTATAACATCCTCCATTTCTTTTTTTGATGTTAGTCAAGACATTGGACTCCTGAGCGTTATTTCAGGCAAATTGTATACTCACGTCTTCAGAGTTTCCTACAGGGGAAAGCTACAAGGATCTGAATTTTAAACAGTGACACAGTGAGGAGTGGTATTGACACACAGACATTGGGATATGGATTTTACTTAACTCTGTTGATAAGTAAGGTAAACACCAACTGTCTTGTTGTTAAATATAATTCCAACTTTCTATTTTAGTAAACTGGGCACATTTTTACAATGTGAGCACACATAGGTTCTCACAATCCAGATCAAGAGAAAGACATTAGTAGCATCTCAGATACCTAGCTAGTGACCTCTCTCAGGCATTACCTGCCCCCCTCCTCAAAGGTAACCATTATGCTAACTTCTACTCCCACCTGATGAGTTTTGCTTGTTTTTGAGCATTGCATGAAATAACTCATTCCTACGAACTCTGGTGTTTGGCACACTTTACCCCTTCGATTTATCCATGGTTTGCAGGTAATAGTAAGCCATTCATTTTTATGTTATCTTCTGTGATACAAATAGTATGCATAATATATGTACGCATTCTACTTCAAATGGCCATTTGGATTGTTATATATTTTAAAGCCATCTAGTTAGGTGTATATAATTTTCGAATCTATGTTTCTATTGAATTGCCTTTTATAAATCTGAGAATATTCCTCTGTATCTTTAATATGTTTTTCCCTAAAATGATATTTGTCTATAAGTAGAATCTTTTCCCCTGGTATATCTTTTTCATTCCTTTACTTTCATTTCTTTATGTTTACTTATTTAAAATTGTATCTTGTAAATGCCATATGGTTGGTATAGGGAAGGAAAAAATAAGTTTTCCTCTACCCTTCCAAGTTCTCAGCTAGAGACCCTATAATAAAAGACAGATTAATAAGATAAAAACAAACAGAAGTTTATTAACATGTATATTGCATAGATACTCGAGAGATACCTATGAGGAAATCTCAAAGAGGTGGCTTAAAAATTCAGCTTATAGATAGCACCTTCAATAAAAAACAATAAAATTTTAGAGAAGTGACAAGACAAAGGGAAAAGGTCTTGGGTCTTTATGGTGGCAAAATGTGGGAAGGCAAATATAGAAATAAACTAATGATAGATAAAGGCTAATTAGGACAGTTTTGTTATGTAGATTTCTGTGGTACCCCCTCAAGGCATATAAGGGTCTCTGGTGATTAATTTTTGTCCTTTCTGGTATAAGAGGGGAGGAGGGATACCTTTGTAAACTTATGTTCTGCTTTTTGGCAAACAGGGGGCAGGAACCTGCTTCCTCTCAATTGCTTTCAATTTAAAATGATCCTATGCCAAAGTGGCATATTTTGATGTACCATATTCTGTTGTAATGAGCTAATATTTTATTGTTTAATTTTCTAATTGGAGTTCTTAGTTCATTTATTGTCATTATTGATTTATTTAAGTGTAACTGTAAAATCTTTTTATTTATTTTCTATTCCATCTTTTTTTCTTTATTCCTCCTTTTTGCTTAATCTTCTATTGACAAAGTTGTTTTATTATTATACACATTCTCCTCTTATTAGGATTTTAGTTACAATTTTACAATTTTTGTATTTCTCTTTCTTTTTCTTTTCTTCTTTCTATTCTTTTCCTTTTTCTTTTCTTTTTTTTTTTTGAGACAGTGCCTAATTCTGTTACCCAGGCTGGAGTGCAGTGGTGTGATCATGGCTCACTGCAACCTCTACCTCCTAGGCTCAAGCAATCCTTCCACCTTAGCCTCCTGAGTATATTATCTCCCTAAAATTAGTACTTTTACCATTTTCTAGCTGATATAAAAATTTACAACAGTTTAACTCATTCAATCCCCTTATTATTTTCATATTTGTATAAGTACATGTTACCAATCTCACAAGATATTTTTATTATTGTTATTTTATCAAGTCATTAATAATTTACATTTGATCATTAAATTTACCATATCTGGTGCTCTTTATTTCTTCTTGAAGCTCTGTGCTTCCATCTGGGATCATTTTCCTACAAGCTTTACTATATATAGAAAGTCAAGTCTTTTGATAACAAATTCTTTTAGCTTTTGTTTTCCTTTGAAAACATCTTTATCTTCATTTTTGAAAAATATTTTGCTAGGTATAGAACTATCACTCCTTTTTCCCCCTAAGGAATGCTCTAATTTTCACTGTGGCTTTTAGATATATTTACTGTAATCTGTTCATTCATCTCAACTATAAAATCAAACAAACAAAAAGGAAGGCAGCTTCTGTTAGCCCTCATAACTGAAACACTCTTGAAGTAAGAGACTAAAAGAGAGCTAGTTATTTTTGATGAAACAAGAACAGGAAATAAAATGGAGAAAGCACAAATTTATTATCAGAAAAGCATGACAATATCACATTTTTGAATTTGGATGTGTGAAGTTAAGGAAGTATAATACAGAATAGCCTGTAAATGTCTCTAAATTAACAGGCAAGTTATCTGCTTGAGAAATAGGAAAATAGTGGTGGAATAGAGACTATCAAGTTATTAGTTTGGTTTAAAAATGGCAAATATGAGAAATTAGAGAGAGAACAGAACCAGGGACTTGAAAAAGAACTGCTTAGCTATGCTGAAAACCCATCTGGAGACCAAATAGTTGGCACTAATTCATACAATTGCTTTATTTTTTTCTAACAGAACTCAGAAGTCTGGGTACAGCAGATAATAAGATGGATGGTCAGACAGATGATCTGAAAAACGTTCATGATTTTTAGGTGAAGGAATGAGAGTGTTAGAATGGCAAGAAAGTTTTTGAAATGAACTATCAAGGTGTCAAGGAAAGGGAGAAAATAAAATAAAACTATGAGAGGGGTTATGTGCTGTGAGTAACTGGAGGGAACGAGAGTCCAAAATTCTCCATGAATAAAAGGAACGGGAGTGGAGGACCCAAAAGAGCAGAAGATTTGGTAGGATGATGAAATTTTGAATTTCAAAATTTCAGGCAAAAGAATTTGAGTGATGACTATTTCAGTATTTCTGTAGCAGTGGTTTGTAGGATTGAAATAAGATCAGAATGTTGATATTAAAGTCAAGTCACTTTGAGGCTATTTGCTGGAAAGGTCATCTACACACTGAAATGGCCCAATTGGTGATGGTTGATTTCATTGTAGGAGTAAAGAAGACTAAAAGCCATATTTCAAAGTCCACAGTGAATAAATGTGAGCAGTCAAGATTACAAAGGATGACATCAATAAAGAGTAGTACATAATGGCATACCCAGTTATGAATCTTAATGAAAGTGTGATTTTTGCTTTAGGATAAAAAAAAATATTTAGGACCTAAGAAATTGCCAATGCTACCTCTAGGCCATCAGATTCTTTAGGGTGAAAAAATAAAAAGCTTGCAGTCAATTGGAATATAAGGAAGGAGGTACTTTCAGGGAAGATCCATGTTTCAAATAAATAAGTAGCAGAAGTTTTCTGTGAAGAGATTAAGGATATAGAGCAGTGTGGTAAAAGTATGCGGGGTTCTAGCAGCCACTGAAAAGAGAAATTGAGAAAGCTAATTGTTAATGGAGGAACCAAGAGGATAATTATGTAATGTGATGCTAAGTGAGAAAATAATTGACCAAAGGCTTTGAATTTGAGTTGGTGGCTAACCAACAGATGTATAGTTGAAGTTAATATCATCTAAGTTACTGCTCTAATAAAAATAGTAGGCAGCAGCCTTTGTTGAATATTCATATAGATTGACACTGGGCAGTTAGGTTTGAAGGGAATTTTCTCCGGACATGCAGAAAGGAAGAATGGTAGTAAAAATGTAATCTAGAAGTATTCCTAAAGCAGTATTGTCAGGCTTAGGAAATGGCTTTCAACAGAGCTCTCCCCAAGATATTTCAGGGGAATATAGATTGTATTTCCCAGAGCTCACACTATAATTCAGTTTGGAGCTAATTCTTACTAATTAGTCTATTTTTACAGCATTAACATGGAACATGTTGGTTGAGGTTAGGAGGCCTCCTTTGAGTTCAATATTCTACCAGCAATGTGGAGGAGTATATGTATTAATATACTTATATCCTCATATTCACCTCTTAAAGAGCCTTGTTGAAGCAGAGTGACAAGAATTTCTGTTGTTGAATTGGACTGAAGAGTTTCTAAATGTCCACTCAATCTGTTCTAGAAAGAGAAGCCAAGGATTTTTTTTTCACCCTACACAATGCGTTCATCTCCCTGCATTAGTCATGTCCAGTATGTAGTCTTTTAGGAAAAAAAAAGTGCAATATTTTACTAAATTTGTTATGTAAGTAGTTAGTGGAATATGAGCAGGGCAGGAGATGGCCCTTCCTGCACGAGGAATGTCAGGCGACCAGCAGGTAATGACTAGGTGGTTGTTACACTGTCTCTCTAAAATAATAATTGGTCACAGCCAGTGCCAGGAAAAGGCAGTCACCCAATAAATAAAAACAACGAAACTGGTAATTAGTAGCTTCCCGATAAGATCTCAGGAGTTGGGTGAGTAGGCTCACACATGTGCATTAAGAGGCAAAATGGTGGCATTTAACTGGTATATGAACTTCCTCTAGAAACACTCAACTGGTAAAGGAAAAATGCCTCAAGTGAGCATGCATATAACTCCAGTAAACACACTGCACATGTGGCCCTTTCGAAGTGTTGGCAAGCGACCGTGCATGCGGAATACCAGCATATAGAAACCCAAGACAAAGGTTAAGCCATCTACTAGATCTCTCAAGTTGCTCACTTGGCCCTCTTCCAAGTGTACTTTACTTCCTTTCATTCCTGCTCTAAAGCTTTTTAATACACATTTACTCCTGCTCTAAAATATGCCTTGGTCTCTCACCCTGCCTTATGCCCCTTGGTTGAATTATTTCTTCCAAGCAGGCAAGAATTGAGGCTGCTATAGACCCATAAAGATTCACCACTGGTAACGTACTTTGGTGCCACGACTGGGATGTGTTCCCTAATGGTAAAAATTTGGCGAACGCAGCCCATTATGTCAAAATTTGGAGTCAAAATGTAATCACTCAATGGATTCTTCTTGCCTGCTCTTCAGATAGAGCTGGATTATCAAGACAGGGGAATTGCAGTAGAAAAAGTTTAATGGACACAAAGCCAGCTAAATGGGAGACTGGAGTTTTGTAACTCTATTCAGTCTTGCAGAAAATTTGGAGACTGGAATTTTTCAAGGATAATTTGGCAGGTAGGGGATGAGGGAGAGGGAAGTACTGATTGGTCATGTCAGATATAAAATTGTAGGGGGTTGATGTGGGTTCCTTTTGCTGTCTTCTCTTCCTTGGCAGAATCACAGAACTAGTTAAGGCAGATTACCAATCTAGGTGGCACCAGCTAGTCCATTAGAATGCAGGGTCTGAAAAATATCTTGAACACTAATCAGGTTTTACAATAGTGATGTTATCTATAGAGGTAATTGGGGAGGTTAGAAATCTTGTGGCCTCTACTTGACTCCTAACCCATAATTTCTAATCTTGTGGCTAATTTGTTAGTTTTACAAAGCTGGTCTGGTCCCCAAGCAAGGAGAGGGCTTGTTTCAGGAAAGGGCTGTTACTATCTTTGTTTCAAAGTTAAACTATAAACTAAACTCATCCTCTAGTTAGTTTGGCCTACATCCAGGAATGAACAAGGGCGGTTTTGAGGTTAAAGGCAAGTTGGAGTTGGTTAGGTCAGATCTCTTTCAGTGTTGTAATTTTCTCATTGTTATAATTTTTGCAAAGGCAGTTTCAAAAACAAATTCTTCCCTTCTCAACCTCTTTAACTAGCATGGCTAACTAATCAAGCTTCCCCAAAACAATAGAAAGACAACACAGTATATATAGTAATTAATTTTTCCCAGCATGACTTTGTCACCAAATTCAGAACCAAGTTTTTGTAGTCAGTTTTGAGCTGATATAACAAAATGGGTAATTTATAACAAATAGAAATCTATTCACTCACAGTTCTAGAGACTAGGAAGTCCATTATCAAGGTGCTGGCGTCTGGTGAGGGACTTCTTGCTGCATCATAGCACAATAGAAAACATCACATGGCAGAAGGCAAAGAGAGAAGGCAAAAGGGGGCTAAACTCATCGTTTTATAATGAAGAAAATCAAAATATTTTACCCCAAAATATATTTCTTTGACATGTCTTGAAATAGATGCAACAGGACCAGCAAACTGAGGTGGGGGAAATTTGCCTCTGTTGAGAATCTCTGTTAAGGAAGCCAGGCCTTCCCTTTCTAGGCCTTTACAAGATCCGGAGAGGTTAACTGAATGTGACACCTTTAAAGGTCTGAAAAGAGATATTTAGGGTCTATTCTGAAGACTGCTATATATGAGGCTTCATCTGCATAACAAGATCACCTTTGCTGGCCAGGTCTCTTCCTTTCTCCCTCTCATATCCTGTCTTGCCACTAAACCTGATTTATCAACATAACCTGTTTTGGGCCATGCTCTGAGCCTGCATTCTTTCTACAACCTCAAGATAGTATCTAAGTTTCTGTACCTCACTGAGAGACTGGGTCCTCATTCTGAAGGCTCCTGTGTATACATGATAAATAAATTTGTATTCCTCTTCTCTGTCTTTTGTGAGTTGATTTTTCAGTGAAACTTCAGAGGGCCAATAAGGAGCCTAATACAACCCATGGGGATGGAGCCCTTATAGCCAAATCACCTCTTAAAGGACCCATCTCTTATTACTGCTATAATGACAATTAAATTTTAACATGAATTTTAGAGGGGACAAACATTCAAGCCATAGCACAAATTAAATCAATCAAGAACACAATGACTTTAAACAAGAACAGATTCTTTCTACTTTTTGAAAAATCAGAGAATTCCTCAAACACTCAGGCATGCAGTGTAGCACAAAGACCATTTTATTAAACGGTATAAATGAAAATAAAAACAGATTAGAGATATGCACCTCACTAATAAGTATAAAGCCCATATTTGATACTACATTAAAGATCAGGAAAGAACAAATCATAGAAGACTATGTTTGGATTATTAACGAAGTCCTGGAAGATTAAAAAACATTATGATTTTACACATTGCTAACACATTTTTATCAATTTGCGTACTTAATTATTTGCCCTACTTTCTTAGAAAGATGAAAATATGTTTATTATTTTAGACTGCAAAGTAAAATCCCATGAGGAAAAATGCAAATACAATCAGATTAGCAATGGTATTTGAACAAGGGGGCTATGACTAAATAGACCATGGGCTGTGTACAACCATGACTGTGTGAAACGTGATTGTCACTTCATTTAAAAGAGAGAGGAATATGAAGTACCTTTGTTATTTAACTAAAACCAAATAATTCCCCTTTTTCTTCTGTTGACAAAATAAAGACGTGTGTATTTCAAAGGTCTTTCTTAAAACTCAAAGGAAAAAGCACAAGGGGACTCACATATATTATGTCTAAGAAATAATCTGATCTTTTAATGATTGCCATTCTACCTAGTGTGAGATGGTATCTCATTGTGGTTTTGATTTGCATTTCTCTGATGAGCATTTTTTCGTGTGTCTGTTTGCTGCATAAATGTCTTCTTTTGAGAAGTGTCTGTTCATATCCTTTGCCCACTTTTTGATGGGGTTGTTTGATTTTTTTCTTATAAACTTGTTTAAGTTCTTTGTAGATTCTGGATATTAGCCCTTTGTCAGATGAGTAGATTGCAAAAACTTTCTCCCATTCTGTAGGTTGCTTGTTGGTGGGAATGTAAACTAGTTCAACCATTGTGGAAGACAGTGTGGGCATTCCTCAAGGATCTAGAACTAGAAATACCATTTGACCCAGCCATCCCATTACTGGGTATATACCCAAAGGACTATAAATCATGTTACTATAAAGACACATGCACACGTATGTTTATTGCGGTGCTATTCACAATAGCAAAAACTTGGAACCAACCAAAATGTCCATCAATAATAGACTGGATTAGGAAAATGTGGCACATATACACCATGGAATACTAAGAAGCCATAAAAAAGGATGAGTGCATGTCCTTTGTAGGGACATGGATGAAGATGGAAACCATCATTTGGAGCAAAGTATCGTAAGGACAGAAAACCAAACACCACATGTTCTCACTCATAGGTGGGAATTGAACAATGAGAACACTTGGACACAGGGTGGGGAACATCACACACCAGAGTCTGGTGTGGGGCGGGGGGTGGGGGAGGGATAGCATTAGGAGAAATACCTAATGTTAATGATGAGTTAATGGGTGCAGCAAATCAACATGGCACATGTATACCTACATAACAAACTTGCACGTTGTGCACATGTACCCTAGAACTTAAAGTATAATACAAAAATAAATAAAATAAAAAAAAATCTGATCATTTAGAAGAGAAAAAGGGCAAGTTGAGAAGAAAAGACTCCAAAATAAAGCAAAAAATTAGAAGGAGATCATGAGTTTGTCACATACATCCATATGAAGAGACCACCAAACAGGCTTTGTGTGAGCAATAAAGCTGTTTATTTCACCTTGGTGCAGGCAGGCTGAATCCGAAAAAGGAGTCAGCAAAGGGAGTTAGGGGTGGGGTAGTTTTACAGGATTTGGGTAGGTAGTGGAAAATTACAGTCAAAGGGGTTGTTCTCTTGCGGGCAGGGGCAGGGGTCACAAGGTGCTTGGAGAGGAGCTCCAGAGACTTATTGTCCAGGAGAAGGAATGTCACAAGGTAATGTCATCAGTTAAGGCAGGAACCGGCCATTTTCACTCCTTTTGTGATTCTTCAGTTGCTTCAGGCCATCTGGATGTATATGTGCAGGCTTGAGCTCAGAAGCCTGACATTCCTGCCTTGTTATATTAATAAGAAAAATGAAACAAAATAGTGTTGAAGTGTTGGGGTGGTGAAAATTTTTTGGGGTGGTATGGAGAGATAATGGGAGATGTTTCTCAGGGCTGCTTTGAGCGGGATTAGGGACAGCGTGGGAACCTAGAGTGGGAGAGATTAAGCTGAAGGAAGATTTTGTGATAAGGGATGATATTGTGGGGTTGTTAGAAGGAGCATTTGTCATATAGAATGATTGGTGATGACCTGGTTATAGTTTTGTATGAATTGAGAAACTAAATGAAAACACAAGGTCCGAATAAGAGAAGGAGAAAAACAGGTATTAAAGGACTAAGAATTGGGAGGACCCAGGACATCCAATCAGAGTGCCTAAGGGGGTTCACTGTGATTATTTGCTTGGTTGGCGAATTTTGGGGCTCTATCCTTGAGGTTTTTTATGTTGGCATATACCAGGCCAGATTGATTTAGGTAAAAACAACACCCTTTATTTAAAAATATACAGAGTCCTCTTTTTCTAGCAGTGAGTAAGTCGAGGCCTATGTGATTTTGGAGGAAAGAGAAATGCAAAGCCAACAATTGCTTGTCAAAGAAGGATTAGAAATGGCTAGGAGAAAGTGAGTGAGATTGATAGTGTGGTGGAGATAGCTGAGGAGAGGTAGAGGGTGGCATAAGAAAGGGAATGAGAATAAGAGTGAGTATAAAAGTAAAGAATAGGACTTTATGAGGGTGAAAGTATTGGAGTGTATCTTGCCATTGAAGAGCTTCCATCCACTTCAAGAGAGACTTAAGGGTGGTGGTTTGAGGTAAAACCAGGAGCCACTGAATACCATGAGCGTGAGAAACTGCTTGGGTGATTTGACTAATAAAGGTCAATCCGTTATCAGACTATATAAAGGTGGGAAGGCCAAACCAAAGAATTATGTCTGACAGAAGGGAAGAAATGACCACAGTGGCCTTCTCAGACCCTGTGGGAAAGGCCTCTACCCATCCAGTGAAAGTGTCTACCCAGACCAAGAGGTATTTTAGTTTTCTGACTCGGAGCATGTGAGTAAAGTTAATTTGCCAGTTCTGGTCAAGAGCAAATCCCCGAGCTTGATGTGTAGGGAAGGGAGGGGGCCTGAACAATCCCTGAGGAGTGGTAGAATAGCAGAAGGAACACTGAGAAGTGATTTCCTTGAGGATAGATTTCCACGATGGAAAGGAAATGAGAAGTTTTAAAAGGCAGGCTAGCAGCTTGTAACCTACATGGAAAAGGTTATGAAATGATGACAGAATAGAATGGGCCTGTGAAGCTGGAAGAAGGTATTTTCCTTGGTCCAAGAACAATTTGCCTTGTGTAGGAAGAGACTGATAGGGGAAGTTTCAGTAGGGGAGTAAGTGGGAGTGACTGATGAGAAGAAGAAAAACTGCCATGAGGGACAGAAGTTGGAAGGCTAGCTGCTTTTTTAGCTACCTTATCAGCATAAGCATTGCCCTGAGTGATGAGATCTGATTCCTTTTGATGGCCCTTGCAGTGAATGACTCCAGCTTCCTTTGGAAGTAAAGCAGCCTTGAGAAGAGTTTTTGTTAAAGAGGCATTAATGATGCAGGACCCTTGCATAGTGAGGAAACCTCTTTCAGCCCACATAACAGCATGGTGGTGCAGGATATGGAAGGCATATTTAGAGTCAGTATAAATATTGACGCATAGTCCCTTTACAAGAGTGAGGGCCTGAGTTAAGGCAATGAGTTCGGCTTGCTGAGAGGTAGTGGAGGGGGGCAGAGCAGTAGCCTCAACGATAGATGTGGAAGATACTATAGCATAGCCTGCCTTTGCTGGTGAGTGGCAATTAGGTTTGGTGGAACTACCATAAATAAACCAAGTGTGATCAGGGTGAGGAAAAGGAAAGAAGGAAATGTGGGGAAATGGAGTGATTATCAGGTGGATCAGAGAGATACAGTCATGGGGGTGGGGGCCAGCCTAAAACAGTAAGGTCAAGTTGTTTGGACAGAAAGGCTACGGGGCAAGGTCCTGGCTCTTGTGTAAGCATTTTGACCACACAGCCCTGTACTTTTGCTGTGTGTAATGAAAAGGGTTGGGATGAGTTAGGGAAAGCTAGTGTGGGAGCAGCTACTAGGGCTGTTTTTAAGGAACAGAAAGGGGAGTGGCAAAAGGATTTAGGATCTATGGAGTCAGCCATGTTTGCTTTTCTGAGTTTATATAATGTTTTAGTCAGGATGATAAAACTAGGTATCCAAAGGTGGAAGTACCTAACCATGCCTAGGAAGGAAAGGAGTTGTTGTTTTGTAGAAGGGATTGGGGTTTGGAAGATTAGCTGGACATGAGCAGGGAGAGCACATGTGTTTTTATGAAGAATTATGCCAAGATAGGTAGTGGATGAGGAAGAAATTTGGGCTTGACTGAAGTAATTGGGACTGTCCATGAAGCCTTGCGGCAATACAACCCAGGTAAGTTGCTGAGGCTGATGGGTGTCAGGATCAGTCCAAGTGAAAGTGAAGAGAGGCTGGGATGAAGGGTGCAAAGGAATAGTAAAGAAAGCATGTTTGAGATCCAGAACAGAACAATGGGTTGTGGAGGGGTTGTGGAGGGAGGTATTGAGGATAGGAGAGTTATATGGGTTTGGCACCACGGGGTGGATAAGGCAAGACAATTTGGTTGATAAGGCACAGATCCTGAACTAACCTATAAGACTTCTCTGGTTTTTGGACAGGGAAAATGGGGAAATTGTAAGGAGAATTTATAGGCTTTAAAAGGCCATGCTGTACCAGGCAAGTGATAACAGGCTTTAATCCTTTTAAAGCATGCTGTGGGATGGGATATTGGCATTGAGTCAGGTAAGGGTGATTAGGTTTTAATGGGATGGTAAGCGGTGCATGATCAGTTGCCAAGGAAGGAGTAGAGGCGCCCTATACTTGTGGATTAAGGTGGGGAGATACAAGGGGAGGATGTGAAGGAGGCTTTGAACTGGGGAAAAGGGTGGCAATGAGGTGTGGCTGTAGCCTATGAATAGTCAGGGATGCAGATAATTTAATCAAAATGTCTCGACCTAATAAGGGAACTGGGCAGGTGAGGATAACTAAAAAGGAGTGCATAAAAGAATGTTGTCCAAGTTAGCATCAGAGTTGGGGAGTTTTAAGAGGTTTAGAAGCCTGGCCATCAACACCCACAACAGTTATGGAGGCAAGGGAAACAGGCCCTTGAAAAGAAGGTAATATGGAGTGGGTAGCCTCCATATTGATTAAGAAGGGGATGGAATTACCCTCCACTGTAAGAGTTACCCAAAGTGTATGTGATGGTCTAGGAGCCTTCCGAGGCGAAAGGGCAGCATCAGTCTTCAGCCACTAAGCCAAGAAGATCTGGAAAGGAGTCAGTCAGAGAGCCTTGGGCCAGAATTCCAGGGGCTCTGGGAGTGGCTGCCAGGCAAGTTGGACCATCCGATTTCCAGTGGGGTTCCACACAGATGGGACACGGCTTAGGAGGAATCCCGGGATGCAGGCATTCCTTGGCCCAGTGGCCAGATTTCTGGCACTTGAAGCAAGATCCCTGAGGGAGGAGGTCCTGAAGGAATGCCTGACTGCTGTGGCTTAGGTGTTTTGAAGTTCTTATTGCTGGAGATGTGGCTGGGGTTTCTCTCACAGTGGAGGCAAGTAATTGCACCTCTTCTCTATTATTGTGCACCTTGAAGGAGAGGTTAATTAAGTCCTGTTGTGGGGTTTGAGGGCCAGAATCTAATTTTGGGAGCTTTTTCTAATGTCAGAAGCAGATTGGATAATAAAATGCATATTGAAAATAAGACAGCGTTCTGGCCTCTCTGGGTCTAGGGTGGTAAAACGTCTAAGGGTTGTTGCCAAATGAGCCATGAACTGAGCTGGGTTTTTATATTTGATGAAAAAGAGCCTAAACGCTAACTGATTTGGGAGAGGTCGGATAAATAAAAAAGGAGCATTAACCTTGACTGTGCTTTTAGCTCCAGCCTCCTCTTTAAGAGGAAATTGTCGGGCAGGTGGGGGAGGGCTAGTCGCGGAACGAAACTGTAAGCCAGACCGGGTGTGAGGAGTGGAAGTGATAGAAGGATTATAGGGTGGGGGAGCAGAGGCTGAGGGACTTGCTGTGGCCTTGCAAGGAGCAGCCTGGGAAGGAGGGGAGAGGTTAGATGGGTCTGTAGAAAAGGATTCACAGGACTCAGAGCTGGGGTAGAGACTGAAGGAACAGACAGGAGAGAAAGAAGAAAGATTTGGGATGAGTCGCATTGGGAGCAGAGATTAGGAAGGGACCGATATGTAAAAGAATGCCTGGACATCAGGCACCTCAGATCATTTGCCCATTTTACGACAAGAATTATCTAGATCTTGTAGGATGGAGAAATCGAAAGTGCCGTTTTCTGGCTATTTGGAACCATTGTTGAGTTTGTATTGGGGTCAAGTGATATTGCAGAAGAAAATAAGGCATGTAGGTTTTAGGTCAAGTATGAGTTGAAGAGGTTTTAAGTTCTTGAGAACACAGGCTAAGGGAGAAGGAGGAGGAATGGAGGGTGGAAGTTTGTCCATAGTGAAGGAGGCAAGCCCAGAGAAAAGAGAGGAGAGAGGGTAGAGACATGGAGAAGGGGGTAGTGAGCAGCCCTGGGCTGTAATGTGGGTGAGCAGCCAAAGCAGGTGTCCCTGCAACTGACTTGCCACCAAGGGAATGTGGGTGAATGACCAAGGCAGGCATCCCTGCAGTGATCAGACACCAATGGGGTGTGGGTGAATAATCAGGCAGGCATCCCTGCAGTGATTAAACACCAAGGGAAGACTGTCTTCCTGAGTCCATAGCTGGTGCCAGAGTTTTGGGTCCATGGATAAAATGTGTCTCCTTTTTTCCTACTAGAGAGGAAAAAGAACTGGAATTAGAAGGACAGGGAGATTGAAAGGTAGTGAGAGATGCTCGAGAAGGGAGTGAAAAGATGGCTTACCAGATTTGAAATTGGTGAGATATTCCTTGGGCTGCTTGGTCTGAGGACCTGATGTTGTAGGTGGATCTCCTCACAGAATGAGGGCAAGGACAGGGGGCCAGTCTCCTGAAGGAGTCCTCCTGTCCCGGGTCTTTGGCACCAAATGTCACATGTGTCTATGTGAAGAGATCCCCAAACAGGCTTTGTGTGAGCAATAAAGCCTTTTAATCACCTGGGGGCAAGTGGGCTGAATCCGAAAAGAGAGTCAGCAAAGGGAGTTAGGGGTGGGGTAGTTTTATAGGATTTGGGTAGGTAGTGGAAAATTATAGTCAAAGGGGGTTGTTCTCTTGCAGGCAGGGGCGAGGGTCACAAGGTGCTCGGTGGGGACCTCCGGAGACTTATTGTCCAGGATAAGGAATTTCACAAGGTAATGTCATCAGTTAAGGCAGGAATTGGCCATTTTCACTTCTTTTGTGATTCTTCAGTTGCTTCAGGCCATCTGGATGTATATGGGCAGGCTTGGGCTCAGAGGCCTGACAGAGTTGTGACTCATTTAAGTTTCAGTTAATTGAAATCCCATGGTATTGCACAGAATTTCAAATAATTATTAGACAATACTGACATATGGAAATTACTATGTAATATTATAACTAGTCTTATAAAGATATATTATGAAGAATAAAAAACAACATTTCTAGACTGGGTGCGGTGGTTCACGCTTGTAATCCCAGCACTTTGGGAAGCTGAGGCAGGCAGATCACAAGATCAGGAAATCAAGACCAGCCTGGCCAACATGGTGAAACCCTGTCTCTACTAAAAATACAAAAAAAATTATCTGGGCGTGGTGGCACGCACCTGTACTCCCAGCTACTTGGGAGGCTGAGGCAGGAGAATCGCTTGAACCTGGGTGGTGGAGATTGCAGTGAGCCAAGACAGAGCAAAAGAGTGAGACTCCTTCTCAAGAAAAAAAAAAAAATTCTTGTTTAGGAAGTTTTCGTATTTGGTACTCTTAAGAGAAGAAACAACAAAATCAAAGAGGTAATATAGTATGATGTTAAAATACCAAGTAACAGAGTAATGCAAGTGGCTTGAAAAGGGATGTGTGTGAATTGAAAAACTTAACAGTGCAATGGCTTTAATAATTCATTTCTTTTCTTTTCCATTGGGTATCTAGATTATTAGCTATTATAAACTAATACATAGAAATTTTTCTTACTTTTTTTTGTCAGTTACATTAATTCACAACACAAACCAATGGAAAAAAACAAATTCCTCAGACTACTTACAAATTGAGAGATAAAAATAAGTCATGGTGTTGAGAAAGCAGGCAAGAAAATGTCACAGATACTTAATCTCTAACAATTTATGTCATCTTTCTTAGTTACCTTTACCTATAAAATAGGGAGAATCAAACTGACTTTTCTGGGTAACATGAGATAACATAGGCAAATCACTTTACTTGTCTGCCTAGTACAGAGCTAACTCTTAACACTGTACCTTGCCCTTTTTATGCTCTAATTCTATTTTCCCTCATGAAATCTGGAACGAAGAAGGAGGTCTGTAAGTACCTGGAGGGCCTCATTGAAGGCCATTCATAGATGGCCTCTGAAGTGAGGAAGAGACAGAAGACTGCACTGACTAGGAAACAAGTCAGTCAGGGCACAGGATGAATGGGTTTGAGTCACTGTGGAGTGTCCAACCAAGGAGAGAAGATAAACTTGCTAAAAGATAAACAGAAAGACGTAGAGATATGAGAGTACCATTCCAGAAAGAGGAAGCGAGGTGACAGAGAATCCAATCTCAAACCGATGTTTTTTCATTTCAGCAAAAACAAATCTTGCTGGGCTTGAGGCAGACCCTTAGAAAAGATTAATTATAGCAAACTAAATGACCATTGAAACTTTAGTCTAGAATGAGAACAGAGTTTTTAAGTAATCTATCTGGTAAGTCTTGATGAGTGGAGCTTGAAATTCTTGCCTTAGAGTCACTCGGTTCTGTGAACAGTGGACTGAAGAGTGAATTCCTTCTAGCAATCCATGACCCAGGATGTCACGTTTCTGGTCATATCTTATGGGAAAGCATAATGATTCTAGATTCCAGCTTTGGCCATTTCAAGCAGTTCACTTTCAACAATGTTCAAATACCATTAAAAATCTTTTTATTTTTTTAAGACTGTAGAAATTTTCAGTAAAATGGAAACAAATTGCTATAAGTAAACCATTTGTCACAGTCTGATTACTTTGCAGCCACTCTGGGAACACCAATTTGTCATGCTAGATCAAGATAACCACAGCCTGACTAGAGGAAATGGCTTTTTGCCTACCAGTTGTGATTTTTTTAAAAATGTTCACCCAGAGAGACGTGCTCCATGGAGTTTTCATGTTCACTCCAGCTGTGTGACCGAAGAGAAAAGCTAAGGCAGTCAGAACAAATTGCACCATCTAAAAGCATTTAAAGGCAAAATAATTAACTATGGTTAAATATAAAACACAGGGTTGGAAGAAAATATGCCTGTAAAGTACAATATTTTATTATATATGTTTAAGTTATTTAAATGAGAAAAAGTTAAGAAACTATTACTCAGTTGGAAAAAGAAGGATGAAGAATAATCAAATGTTTTCAGCTACATTAATTTCTTAGCATAAAGTAGGCACTTAAGAAATGCTTGATAATTTGTTAGTTGCTCGATATGAAAGAAATCATCAGTTTGTCCTCCTATTTGTACTATATATTAAAGTTGAGAACATTTTGAAATAGATCGTTTAATCACCTATATTTCAGAGATGGTTTAAGTATAATTTAGCCTCAAAGAGAGGTCAATTATTCAAGACCTTACCCCCTCCATTTTTTCCTTACATAACCAACTCAGAATATAATAAAAATGACACTAGGTAACTAACACCTACTGCTTGCTGAAATAGCTAGCATAGGTCAAAAAGGTATATTATAGCCTACCCCTAAGATGAGTTTTGCAGACTAAAAATGGAAAACTCTTATAATCTCTAATAGTCTTCACCATGACAATTGTCACATTTTCCCAAGAACATTGCTAGTTCACCAATCATGTTATTATTGATTGCAGTTAACTTTAGAATAGTAAATATACTCATTGCTTTGTTAATCTTGTAAGAGATCAAACTGTTAACAAAGAAAGCCATCTTTTTGCAGTATGTCATTTGTCACTGATATTTTATGACACAGATATGCAACTGGATATCTCAACTGCATCTAACCACTTTCAATATATATATATTTTAAAAGCATTTTTATAAGTGCAACCTGAATGAGTGGTCTATAATGTTAAGTATTAGTATCTTTTAATCCACTTATTCTTATTCAAATTTTCTTCCCTCCCTCCCTCCCTCCCTTCCCTCCCTCCTTCCTTCCTTCCTTCCTTCCTTCCTTCCTTCCTTCCCTCCCTCCTTCCTTCCTTCCTTCCTTCCTTCCTTCCTTCCTTTTGTCCAGAGTTTCACTCTGCTGCCCACGCTGGAGTGAAGTGGTGTGATCACAGCTCACTGCAGCCTTTACCACCTGTGCTCAAGTGATCCTCCTGCCTCAGCCTCCTGAGTAGCCAGGACTACAGACATGCACCACTATATCCAGCTATTTTTTTGATTATTATTATTATTTTTGGTAGGAATGGGGTCTCACTATGTCCAGGCTGGTCTCAAACTCCTGGCTTCAAGCAATTCTCCTGCCTCAGCCTCTCAAATTACTGTGATTACAGGCATGAGTCACCATGCCCAGCTTCAGATTTTTAAGGCTTTTGTTACACTTTAATTCAGAAACATGTCTTTTTGACATAGGGTGTACTTTCAAATTGTTTGATCTTTTGCTATTAAACTCAACTATTATCATTTTCTAAGAACACATACATTTTATTTCATCAAATCTTAGGAATCAGTCTTTCTGAGAATCATAATAGGAGTTAACTTCCAAACCCAAATGTCCTCTAAGCCTTACCAGTTCATGTACCTTTAGTCTTGGGTCTTGGAACTCCATAGGAATCCAGTGGATAGAGGGTGGTAATGGAAGGAGAGAGAGAAATTGCTTTACATAAGAATTACTGCTATTAGCTTTGCAAACCCTCTTCTCTAGTGTCCATTATGTCATTCTACATATCATAGAAATACAGCCCATTCTACAAAATACAGGTAGAACATTACCTATGGCTAGAGGTTCTTTGCTGTCATTGTCAATTGCCTAGAAAATAAATATATTATTTGATATTATTTACAGTAGTAGTTTACTTTTGATATCTCTCTATCTAATATCAGGTATCTAATATCTGCCTAGTCATCTAATATTTATCTACCAATCTGTCTATCATCTACCTAAATTTTTTAACTACAATTAATTTTAAGAACATTATCTACATATTAGGAATATAGGAGTATTTATAGGGTTTTCATAAAGATTTAAAAAGTTAATGTGTGCAGTGCTTAGAATTGTGCTTAATATGTAGTAAATCTTCAAAAAATGTTAGACATGATGTTGATAATGATGATGACGAAAATATAGTAACTGAAAATGTGCTAAATATTTTAGACACTAATTCATGCAATTTTTTGAACCTTCAATAAAGGGCTTACACATATCAACAGAAATTGATTTCAGACTTATTCTTACACTACTGGTGTTTCCAGTGGAAAAAATCAGTGATCAGTAAGTTTTCACAAGGTTTCAAAAGTTCTCTAGAAGATCTTTATTGTATTATCTCAGGATACACCATATTTTCTAGTGAATGTGTTAAAACTGCTTGTTGTCAATACTTTCACCTTAAAAGGGAGTTGCCAAGGAAGACTAAATTTGTTTTTCTTCTGGAAACTTCTCCAACATACTAGTACCTATTAAAACTCACTGATCTGTAGAGTCTTTATACATATAAGCAAGCAGAGGCTTGAGGGATTAGCAAAAGTTTCAGGTGCAAATTTCAAAGACAACCCTTCCAGATCATCCCAGTTAAATAGAACTTGATTGATGTACAGGGGGCGGTTTAGGTAAACTTTTAAAACAAAACCTCTTTTCCTCCCTAGTCCCGTAAAAAACGAACAAAAACAAAAACATCTATATTCAAGCATATACACAGAAGAAAACCAATTCAGATCTTCAGTGTTTTAGGCCCCGAGGGATGTGCCAGAGGTCTTGTTAATAAAGATACTTAATTTTTAACAATGAAAGAAGAAAATACATGGACATTGCTCCCAGTTAGAAGATGTGGAATAATAATACCAACTTCTGGAATGTAAATGGGTTTGGAAGTATATTTTGGAGAACAGTCAAGATGATTGACCTAGAATGTTATGGGTGTTTTAAGGAACACCTATGAATTTTTAGTTTGACATTTGAAAAAAACTCCCAAATTCTTTGATGTCTTTCTCAGTCTGAATGCTAGGCTGGATGAAAAATGGTACTTACTTGGAATGATATTCTCTTTATTCTCATGCTATTTAAAATACTTTCAGTTTCTTAAATATCCTATTCTAACATTTTTGATTTGTCAACAATCTAGAAAACTGGCATTCCCCAATAGAATAGCAACTTAATAGTGATGCTACTTGAATAAAACACCTAAATAGAAGCACCATCTATCCCACAGAAATACAAACTACCATCAGAGAATACTATAAACACCTCTACACAAATAAACTAGAAAACCTAGAAGAAATGGATAAATTCCTTGACACATACACCCTCCCAAGACTAAACCAGGAAGAAGTTGAATCTCTGAATAGACCAATAACACACTCTGAAATTGAGGCAATAATTAATAGCTTACCAACCAAAAAAAAGTCCGGGACCAGACAGATTCACAGCCAAATTCTACCAGAGGTACAAGGAGGAGCTGGTACCATTCCTTCTGAAACTATTCCAATCAATAGAAAAAGAGGGAATCCTCCCTAACTCATTTTATGAGGCCAGCATCATCCTGATACCAAAGCTTGGCAGAGACACAACAAAAAAAGAGAATTTTAGACCAATATCCCTGATGAACACTGATGCAAAAATCCTCAATAAAATACTGGCAAACCGAATCCAGCAACATATCAAAAAGCTTATCCAACATGATGAAGTGGGCTTCATCCCTGGGATGCAAGGCTGGTTCAACATACGCAAATCAATAAACATAATCCAGCATATAAACAGAATCAAAGACAAAAACCACATGATTATCTCAATAGATGCAGAAAAGGCCTTTGACAAAATTCAACAACCCTTCATGCTAAAAACTCTCAATAAATTAGGTATTGATGGGACGTATCTCAAAATAATAAGAGCTATCTATGACAAACCCACAGCCAATATCATACTGAATGGACAAAAGCTGGAAGCATTCCCTTTGAAAACTGGCACAAGACAGGGCTGCCCTCTCTCACCACTCCTATTCAACATAGAGTTGGAAGCTCTGGCCAGGGCAATCAGGCAGGAGAAAGAAATAAAGGGTATTCAATTAGGAAAAGAGGAAGTCAAATTGTCCCTGTTTGCAGATAACACGATTGTATATCTAGAAAACCCCATCGTCTCAGCCCAAAATCTCCTTAAGCTGATAAGCAACTTCAGCAAAGTCTCAGGATACAAAATCAATGAGCAAAAATCACAAGCATTGTTATACACCAATAATAGACAAACAGAGAGCCAAATCATGAGTGAACTCCCATTCACAATTGCTTCAAAGAGAATAAAATACCTAGGAATCCAACTTACAAGGGATGTGAAGGACCTCTTCAAGGAGAACTACAAACCACTGCTCAATGAAATAAAAGAGGATACAAACAAATGGAAGAACATTCCATGCTCATGGATAGGAAGAATCAATATTGTGAAAATGGCCATACTGCACAAAGCACTTTATAGATTCAATGCCATCCCCATCAAGCTACCAATGACTTTCTTCACAGAATTGGAAAAAACTACTTTAAAGTTCATATGGAACCAAAAAAGAGCCTGCATTGCCAAGTCAATCCTAAGCCAAAAGAACAAAGCTGGAGGCATCACGCTACCTGACTTCAAACTACACTACAAGGCTACAGTAACCAAAACAGCATGGTACTGGTACCAAAACAGAGATATAGATCAATGGAACAGAACAGAGCCCTCAGAAATAATACCACCCATCTACAACTATCTGATCTTTGACAAACTTGACAAAAACAAGAAATGGGGAAAGGATTGCCTATTTAACAAATGGTGCTGGCAAAACTGGCTAGCCATATGTAGAAAGCTGAAACTGGATCCCCTCCTTACACCTTATACAAAAATTAATTCAAGATGGATTAAAGACTTAAATGTTAGACCTAAAACCATAAAAACCCTGGAAGAAAACCTAGGCAATACCACTCAGGACATAGGCATGGGAAGGACTTCATGTCCAAAACACCAAAAGCAATGGCAACAAAAGCCAAAATTCACAAATGGGATCTAATTAAACTAAAGAGCTTCTGCACAGCAAAAGAAACCACCATCAGAGTTAACAGGCAACCTACAGAAAGGGAGAAAATTTTTGCAATCTACTCATCTGACAAAGGGCTAATATCCAGAATCTACAATGAACTCAAACAAATTTACAAGAAAAAAACAAACAATCCCATGAAAAAGTGGGCAAAGGATATGAACAGACACTTCTCAAAAGAAGACATTTATGCAGCCAAAAGACACATGATAACATGCTCATCATCACTGGCCATCAGAGAAACGCAAATCAAAACCACAATGAGATACCATCTCACACCATTTAGAATGGCAATCATTAAAAAGTCAGGAAACAACAGGTGCTGGAGAGGATGTGAAGAAATAGGAACACTTTTACAATGTTGGTGGGTCTGTAAACTAGTTCAACCATTGTGGAAGACAGTGTGGTGATTCCTCATGGATCTAGAACTAGAAATACCATTTGACCCAGCCATCCCATTACTGGGTATATACCCAAAGGAACATAAATCATGCTGCTATAAAGACACATGCACACGTATGTTTATTGTGGCACTATTCACAATAGCAAAGACTTGGAACCAAGCAAAATGTCCAACAATGATAGACTGGATTAAGAAAATGTGGCACATATACACCATGGAATACTATGCAGCCATAAAAAAGGATGAGTTCATGTCCTTTGTAGGGACGTGGATGAAGCTGGAAACCATCATTCTCAGCAAACTATCGCATGGACAAAAAACCAAACACCGCATGTTCTCATTCGTAGTTGGGAATTGAACAATGAGAACACTTGGACACAGGAAGGGGAACATCACACACCAGGACCTGTTGTGGGGTAGGGGGAGGGGGGATGGATAGCATTAGGAGATATACCTAATGTAAATGACCAGTTAATGGGTGCAGCACACCAACATGGCCTATGTATACATATGTAACAAACCTGCACATTGTGCATATGTACCCTAGAACTTAAAGTAAATATACAAAAAAGAAAAAAAAAAAAAGAAGCAAAGCAAAAAAAATCTATCTACCAATTTTTATAAAATAATATTACTTCAATCCTTTGGAAATTAAGTCATGCTTTATTTTCCTTGAAGGAGATAACATATTGAATCCCCTAAATTATTGTAGATACTAAATGAGTAGGAATGCCCAAGGAGAAAAGATACATCAAAAAGATATGAGAAATTCTCAGATGCAGTTCATTTCTACCTGACACTATTTCCTAGAAAAATATTTCTGTGATAGATTTTCAGTCTCTCAGAATTACTGACATTTATTTAATGTTCTAAAAGTCTTTTTAACAAACTAAATATCAACTTACAAACAGAACTTTCAGCTGAAAATCACAAAGTCATCATGGAGAAAAAAGGAGTTGATGATGAGATAAAGTGTAATTAGAATTATATTATAATGTAAAAGAGGAGAATTGTATTCCATACATATATACTTACATATATGGGTATGATAAGATGCAATAACTGGAGAATATCTGTGTTCTTTAAGAAAAGATCAATTTAGGCATAGGCATGATACATTCTGCCAAAGGTTTAACAAAGATAATTTAAATACTATGCTTATAATGCCAGTGTTTATTCTAATACAAAGTTGACCATAACAAGATTTTTAATTGGTGCTGTTTTAAAGTATAACTATGTATGATCATTCCTCCAAAACTAAAAGCAAAAAAATCTAAATATTGGTTTAATTTATACTTTATTAAAAATAAAGGAAATAGTTACACATAAAAAAGTAGATACCTAATTTTGTCTTTTTTTGTTGTTAAGTTTGATATAAATTCCCCAGACTTTTCATTTTTCTTGTAATTCTCAGTTATACTTCAAGCTCAAGAAGAACTTTGCTATATCTGAGATCATATGAAATATTTCCCATTTTGAACATTGCACGAGGCTGGCAAAAATGATGAAGTATTCTGAAATAGCATTTGGCTTTGAGTCTACTACATTTGGCTTTGCACAATATTGATCAGCGTACTTGCTGGGTTAGCAACAAAACTTAGGATCATTATTCAGCACTATTTAAATGTAGCAGAAGAAGCTCATTTTATTTCTTTTCCTGTTTTCTCTTTTCTTCCCTGATGAGTTGTGCTAGACTACTTTTAAATTAGATAGGACAGCAGGTGGGGCATTATAATACATCCCTCTGCATTTTAAACTATATAACTTGGGTCACAGGCGCCTTTTGGAAAAAAAATGTGTAATTCTTTCAATCTACCTGTTGAAAGTTGAATTCTCAGAATATCACTGTAAGATTTTGTCTTCATAGTTATGGGCTTATCTCCCTCGTAGCACTCCTGATAATAATTTGATAGACTCAGCATCTGAATGCCCTTAGTTTGAGATAACATCTACTCTATTCGTTCGGAGTCTGATTGCCAACTATGCAAAAATTATTACTGATAAGCCTATTCAAATCTTTCCTATAAAATGCTATGTTCCTTAATAGTTTCTTTAATTAACAATACTATCACTGCTCTCTGCTCCCTCCAAAATCAAAAATCAGTGCAATTTAAGAATGTCTCCAACTAAAAGTTGTCTACTGTCAATGTCTTTTGCAAAGACCATTTTAGACTAAGGAAGAAAAAAATGTTTTTCAACATGCAGTTTTTCTCAAACCTAAAATTTGATATCTATTCATATTTGACCTTTGGCCAAAATTGAGAATCACATCTTTATAACCTGAAGTTCTGTAAATTAATTCTTGAAAATTCCACATCTGTCTTAGAATACTTCTTGTGCCCTCTCTCACATCCCCTTAGTCCAGGGTTTCCTCCTGCCACTGCCGTGGCAGCCTGCTTAGTGCAGATACAACTGGAGAGCTCCTCAATTCAATTGTACCGGGGATCTCTAGTTTTCTGCCTGGGTCTTCTCTGGTGCATGAGATTCTTGCAAGCACCTGCTGAGCACTCAGACATGTACAACCTGGGAGTGGGATTAAGTTAACAACCCTCCACCCACAGGGAAGGAGCCCATAGGTTGACATTTTCTGTGGATAATCCTATAATGCATCAAGAGAGGTTGTGGTAGAATTTAGTTTGTATCCAACTTGATAATGCGTATTTGTTTTGACTTTTCTTCTATTTTCCACTCTCTCATTCCCTTCCTCCTTTTCCTTAATGCCACATCCTAAATAAACCACCAGCCTGAAAGTCATTGCCTCAGAGCCTCAGACTCTGCTTTTGTAGTGAAGTAAAACTAACACAACATCCAAATTTTATTTCAGGAGACACAAGTCTCAAATTTAAAAATCTTGAGATTGTGTTCTTTCTTGATACAAAAATATAGACAAAGAATTATCTACTCAGCATACGGGAAATTGATGTTGGAATCTTCTTGGACCTATCAGTTTTATTGAGCTTTAAATCAAGCATTAATTTTTCAAAGAACTTTAACATTAGACAAGTTACTAGGTCTAAAGAAATGCGCACCAAAACATAGATAAACACTCCTTGCGTTCATAAATTTTAGATGCTTTTCCAGGTCCCACCAGCCTGAGGACTTTAAATCAAGGAGCACTAACCAAAGAAAAGGCAAAACAACAAAACCCTGTCACTCAAACACCCATCAGTGGACACACTGGACCCCTAGCCTCCTCCAGGTGTCATCCGCCCCGTGCCATGGCTCAAGAATCCCTGCTATTGTTGTCCAAGTCTTTTATCCTGGACCCCTGGGCAGAAGTAGTAGGGCCTTCAGTCATGACCACAGGGCATGTTTCTTCCCTCTCAGCATTATTTTCACCTCCTGCAGTGGCCACTTTCACTGGAGCTATGGTCACAATATGCTAAATTCCTCTAAGCCCCACACTACTTTCTGCATATGGCCCCTTCCAACCACCAAGGTCTCCAGCTCTCAAAAACCCTGTGCTTGCTACCCCTGGGCTTCATACGTAGGCTGTACCCAACAAAGACAGGCTAGCTCAGAAATAAGCTGCTGTTTAGAGTCAGGCACAGCCTGCTGTTGAGTAAAGAGTTCTTTCCTAGTGGTTTTCCCATGTGTTCCTTTTTAAAATCCAGATGAGCCATTGGAAAGGCTCATCAGGCCTCTACTCCCATGAGAAGGGTCAGGCTTCTCTGCCCACCCAGGCACTCTCTCAGATTCTAGGAAGCTAATGTTTTTCCCATGGAAAACAAAAAGAGCCTGAATGTTTTTCCGACTATGTTTCAGTTCTTCCTGTACTGTTAGGGTCATGACAGATCAAACATTTTCAATTCTGGAATTTTCATGCCTTGGTTTAGCTGCTTAGTTTAGTTTATAAGTGAACTAAAAAGCACTGTACATTGTCCCTATTTTGTCTGTAGCAGTGCTGTTTATAAGTGCTTAAGTCAGCTCATTTATTTTAATTGCTTCACAGCATTTTATTGTACCTACTGTGCAAATACTTACATATGCCAACATGAATAAATCTTGCATATATGAATTGAATGAAAAATAAAAAATAAAAAGATAAACACGGAGAGATGCCATTTAGGTAAAAACATACAAAGCCACCAAGAACTCAACACTATGTGCTATCATGGATGCAAATAGACATAGCTAAATTGTACAATAAAAACATACACAGAAAGAATATCTACAGGTAATTGATTACCACTGGGCAGGAAACACACATATTAGGATGGGCAAGAAGACACTCTAACTACAAGATTAGAAAACAAATGAAACAAACATAAATCCTAAGAAAGAAAAATATCTGAAGCTAATAGGACCAGGTATTGTTAAATCTGAGTGGGTGGTACCTGCATATTATCTATTTCTTTATTAACATTAGAGTATGTTTGAAGTCCTCAATATTTATTTCATAAAGGGTTAACGTAAAGAAAATAATCAAATATTGTAGATATAATATCAAAATTTTTCAAAAACCTGCTTTACCAACAGACAATATTTTAACCTCAGAATTATACTTACTATAGATACCTGTTTTAGAAATCTATAAATTGAAAGGCATTGCATATTCTCAAAAGAGCTAATTACACAATTTAAAAAAATCTAGTTTGCTTCTGATTTGGGCTTTGGTGGAATGAAAAAAGTTAATAATATATTCTATATAATAATCAATTATAATCCACAGTTTCTTTTTCACTCACCTTCTGCCTAAATTAATGATTATAGTACCTTTAAGCCAGGGATCATCAACTAGGAGATATTTCGTTTCCCCAAAGAATGTTTGGCAATGTCTTGAGACACTGTAGATTATTACAACTGGGGAAGTGGGGGTGCTATTGGAAACTAGTAAGGAGAAGCCACAGATGCTGCTAAATATTTACAATTCATAGCTCCCAAAACAAATAATTATCCAGTCTAAAATGTCAATAAGGCTGAGGTTGAGAAAATCTTGTCTTAAGCTCTCTTATTTTCCAAATATTAAAGCATTAAAATCTGCATTCTTAATTATTCTCAAGTTCTCCATCTCTCAAAAACTGATCATGGCATTCTAACCTAATAAGAATCTAGGCCAGGCGCAGGGGCTCACACCTGTAATCCCAACACTTTGGGAGGTTGAGGTGGACGGATCACTTGTGGTCAGAAGTTTGAGACCATCCTGGCCAATATGATGAAATCTTATCTGTACTAACAATACAAAAATTAGCTGGGCGTGTTGGCACATGCCTGTAATTCCAGCTACTCAGAAGGCTGAGGCACAAGAATCACTTGAACCCAGGAGGCAGAGGTTGCATTGAGTGAAGATCGTGTCACTGCAGTGCAGCCTGGGTGGCAGAGCAAGACACTGTCTCAAAAAAAAAAAAAAAAAAAAAAGAATCTAGCCTGCCCTTTGGAAGGAAATCCTTTCTGTCTTATTTCTTCCCTTTTTATTTATCTTCCAGTGCTGACCACACTTTTTCAAAGTTGCCAAACTAGTTTGTTTACTCGGGTTCTTCTGTGATCCTGGGCTTAAGGCCATTTAAGGCCATTTATCTTCTCACTAATATTTGTTTGTTCATTTTCACTTATCAAATAATAAATAAGAATCTTTCATTAACTTTTTCTTTCTGTTTTCTTTTTTTTTTTTTTTTAGATGGAGTTTCACTCTTGTTGCCCAGGCTAGGATGCAATGGTGCGATCTTGGCTCACTGCAACCTCTACCTCCCAGGTTCAAACCTCTACCTCCCAGGCTCCTGCCTCAGCCTCCCTGTTAGCTGGGATTACAGGCATGCACCACCATGCGCAGCTAATTTTGTATTTTTATGTTTCTCCATGTTGGTCAGGATGGTCTTGAACTCCCGACCTCAGGTGATCTGCCCACCTCGGCCTCCCAAAGTGTTGGAATTACAGGCATGAGCCACCACGCCCGGCCTCTGATATTTTTTATCAAAGTCAAAACATTGTCTTCATCTTCATTCTTCTATTTTTCAGCATCATCAAGCCTGTTGAGAAGGCATTCGACATTCTATATTTTAATTGTAAACTTTGCTGCATATGTTTATCCTTTCTAATACGTTGGTCGTTTATACCAACTAAAAAATATTGTGTTTGGTTATAATGAAAAACAAATAAAAATGTAAATGTTTGTTTCCGCAGAAGTGTGTGCTATCCAGTAAGGTCCTTTAGCTACGTTCATTGAGATGCAGAGGGCAGTTCTAATTTTCTGAAGTAAAGCATCAGATTCAGCAAGAGGTTTACCCAGAGGATGTTTACTTTTTATAGCATCTTAAGGAAAAGTTGGAAGATTCATGAAATATCCTCATCAAGGAAAGGAGCACCGAACCACACTTGTAAAATATATACTTTGCTTGTGTATGCGTGTGTGTGTTTGTGTGTGTGTGAAATTCCACTTTCTAGACATGGAAGATAAAGCAGTGGAATCATTTAAAAAATATTTTAAAGGCGTGATAGCTACATTTAGGGAGGTGTCACCAAGTTTTATGTAGGACTTTTGATGCAAAAAAGTATTTAACCACATAATACATATCAGATCAGGGCATAGTTTGCTCACAGAGCAAAGGTTGAAGGCAGCACATTCCTGTGTGAAACAGAAACAACAGGCTTTGGTCTAATCAATTTGGAGAACATGGAATTCAATTTGGTATTAAATTTTTTAAAACAGGATGCTCCCTTTGAGCCTTGCCATAAGGCAATGCTTAAAGCATTATTAGCAAAAATCCAAACCAAACTCTCCTGTGTTAGGCTCAAGTATGCCTGTTACATACTTACCTATATAATCATATCTACTCTACTAAAGAAGCACTTTATATATTTTTTGTAGAGACAGGGTGTCACTGCGTTGCCCAAACTGGTTTTGCATTCCTGGACTCAAGTGATCCTTCCACCTCAGCCTCCCAAAATGCTAAGATTACAGACTTAAGCCACCATGCCCAGCCAAAAAGTACTTTTATATTTTTTTTCTTATTTATAACAATATCATAGAACTCTTAAACAAATAGTTTGTACCAAAGGCCCTAAAATTTAGTCTGAGTGCATATGTGTATATATATGTGTCTATGTATGTTATGTGTCAACCTCAAGGTATAAAATGGGAGACAGGGAAAGGAAGTAGTTTGACAAACGTATTTTATTTTTATATTATTTTATTTTATAGTTCTGGGATACATGTGCAGAATGTGCAGGTTTGTTACATAGGTATACATGTGCCATCGTGCTTTGCTGCACCTATCAACCCATGACCTAGGTTTTAAGCCCTAGGTTTAAGCCCTAGGTTTAAGCATTAGGTATTTGTCCTAATGCTTTCTCTCCCCCACCCCCCAACAGGCCCTGGTGTGTGATGTTCCCCTCCCTGTGTCCATGTGT
The DNA here is from genome assembly GCF_000001405.40 of Homo sapiens. Lineage (NCBI taxonomy): Eukaryota > Metazoa > Chordata > Mammalia > Primates > Hominidae > Homo > Homo sapiens. The sequence continues at coordinate 211,247,145 of NC_000002.12, read as the reverse complement.
TCTCATTGTTCAACTCCACTTATGAGTGAGAACATGTGGTGTTTGGTTTTCTGTTCCTGTTTGCTGAGAATGATGGTTTCCACCTTCATCCATGTCCCTGCAATGGACATGAGCTCATTCTTTTTTATGGCTGCATAGTATTCCATGGTGTATATGTGCCACATTTTCTTTATCCAGTCTATCATTGATGGGCATTTGGGTTGGTTCCAAATCTTTGCTATCGTGAATAGTGCTGCAATAAACATATATGTGCATGTGTCTTTATAGCAGAATGATTTATAATCCTTTGGATATATACCCAGTAATGGGAGTGCTGGGTCAAATGGTATTTCTGGTTCTAGATCCTTGAGGAATCACCACACTGTCTTCCACAATGGTTGAACTAATTTACACTCTCACCAATGGTGTAAAAGCTTTCCTATTTCTCAACATCCTCTCCAGCATCTGTTGTTTCCTGACTTTTTGAGAACCATCTTTAGTACTTTAAAACAAATCTTTAATTGAAAAACACATAAACTGAACAGAAGTATAACCTTGAGTAAATTACTTAGGCTCCTTGCACTTAAATGTTACCTTCTATAAAATGAGAATAATAGTGTTATTTATGTCACAGGTTTTTGGAAAATTTAACACATATAAAGTACATAACAAAATCCCAATATTTGGAAGGTAAGCAAACCATGCTAACTATTATTATTAAAAAGAGTTCTCAAACATGGAGTCTCAATGGAATGATATTTCAACAATAATATCTTAAAAGTAATAATTAAAGTACACTGAATTTTCTTAATTTTTTAATAAAATAAATTAGGGTGAGTTTAAAGTGCTCACTAAAATAACACCTATTTAACTGATTGGCATTCTAATAAGATTTCCTGAGTGAGAGACGTAAAGGTGATGTTATGAGTCATATTCTGTAAATCGTGCTCTCCGTCTGTGTCAAAGGTTGTGCTTACAGAAGTGTCCCATGCCCATGAATATCAACTGTCATGGGTGTTGTTGGAGAAAAGTAAGCTGAAAGTCTCTTATGCATATTGTTTGTAAGGTGTGAGGAAAGATCAGTAAGAGATGAATGAGACAGGTTATGTAGCCAGTTGAAAAAGACCTTGAGGTCATGGTAATGAATTTGAATTATATTCTATAAGAAATGTGAAACCACTGATTTTTTTTTAAGCCGTGAAGAACAATCCTTTATCCATTCACTTAACAAACACTGATGGCTGGGCATGGTGACTTACACCTGTAATTCTAGTACTTTGTGAGGCCAAGGCAGGAGGATCACTTGAAGCCAGGAGTTCGAGACCAGCTTGGGCAACATAGTGAGATCATGTATCAATAAGAGCATAAAAAAAAATTGAACAAAAACCCAAACACTGATTGCCTTTAGAAGCTCAGGCAGTGCCAGCTGCTGAGGACTGAACTATCAGCAAGATAGACATGGTCATTGCCAACCTAACCAGTAGGGACTTGGGACAATGAGTAAGTTGCAGCACTGTGCTGAAATAGGTTACAAAAGGGAAACATCAAGTCAGAAAAGTTTACTGTGAGGATAATAAAATGGAGAAATAAAGTAAATGCAAAGAACCAGAGTATAATCAACAGAATAACAAAAAAAATATAAAACCAGTGTATAATCAACGGAACAACAAAAAATATATACACTATACATATGTTGATAATACTCTGGTTCTGTTGAGATATATACACACACACACACACACACACACACACACACATATATGTATATCATTGCTGGTTCACATCCTTGGAGATTATAAGACATTCATTTTTATTGGTCATTACACATACATATTACACACGTTATATGATAATGCTCATGAAAATAAGGGTATCTGGTAGACATGCCTAACAGAATGAGAATGACTTCTATAACAGTGCATGTTCAAAGTCTTGGACAGAATAACTACATAGTTCAAGGATATCTAATGACTTTTTCAGAACTAATCTTTTGTTAAGATGGAAAACTACCAACTATTATGATTGCTTAAGAGTCTTACATTTAGCTGAATATGTTGCTAAAATATTGAACTCTTACAACTGGCATACAGAGAAAAAAACAAAAGCAAACTATGAAAGATGTTTCACCAGCTGTAGTAGTTTTGACATTAATTTGTTGGGGAAAAAAAAAAGAAACAAAATATGCGAAATGGAATCAACCCTGTTCCATACAAAAAATGAAGAACAGCCTCGATAGAAGTCCATTCTTTTTTTTTTTTTTTTGAGACAGAGTCTCGCTCTGTCGCCCAGGCTGGAGTGCGGTGGCATGATCTCGGCTCACTGCAAGCTCCGCCTTCCGGGTTCACGCCATTCTCCTGCCTCAGCCTCCCGAGTAGCTGGGACTGCAGGCACCCACCACAATGCCCGGCTAATTTTTTGTATTTTTTAGTAGAGGCGGAGTTTCACCGTGTTAGCCAGGATGGTCTCTCAAACACTTTTTAATATGTAAGAATAAATTCCACCGTTATGTGAGCAATTCCCATTTTAATATAACAAAATTAGTAGAAGTAACTAAACTTACTTGATCTCACCAATTTCTTTGATAATAAAAGTACCTTCAGTGTAAATCATTACCAGCTAAACAGTTTTAGAACCTATGCCCAAATCTTATCCATTTATTTCAACATCTTTTCTCTTCCACAGTTGAAGTTATTGAAATTCATTTTACTAACCCAGAGGAGAACAATATTAATTTTCATTCTGAACACTGTATAAAAGGAGATTTTCCCCATTATTAAAAAAGAAAAAACTGTTTAGCATATCTAAATGAAGAATATACAGTTTATAACAGAGTACAATAGTAATCACGAAAAGCTACAAAATGGTATTATTCTCTTAAGACTTCCATCAGACCAGCCATAGAAAGTAAAATATGAAATCTAAGCAAAAGTGTTCAGACAGCCATGCATAGATGCATATTGTAAATCCTTCTATTCAGCTTATTAAATGTTCCTGTATTGTCTATCTGTAATTTGCAGTTGTTTCATCAGCAGAGAGCATTGTCTTTAAGCTATAGTGAGCATCACTTCTAAGAGTGGAAGGAAATGGAGAGTGTGAAAAGGCTATGAAAGCAAGCAGACTAATTTGTGGTAATATTGAACTGAATAAAGGGCTGATTTCATCAAAGGCAGATGGAAAGATATTTCTGGTTTTTCAAATGTTAATGAATAAATAGCATTTAATTTCGTAAATTTTCAAACTTATTCTGAAGATAATTATTTCATAAAATTTTCTCATTTCCACTGCATGCAAGCAGCTGCATTGAAGACGTGTGCATGCAATTCTGGGCAGGAGGTAATAATTCATTAGCATAATTCAGAGGCTACTTCTACATACTATGAAAGTTACCAAGGAAGAAGGCGTACTGATGAGAGCATATGATAATTTACTGCAGCAGAATTTAACATGTTCTGCCAAAGGAATCTGTCACCCCAAAGAAACAACCCTAACTCTTCCTGACCTGGAATTAACCAATACAAATAATCTGATCTCGGATTGTGCATGAGAACATTCTTCCCCTATAGCACACTGGCTCCTACATCCAGGAACAAATAGGAAAAAAAGAATATCAAATAGTATGAAAAACACCTGATAGCTCAGTTCTACAAAAGGAAGTAACAAAAAGCAGTTACGTTAAGTGTTCAGTATGCTGAATTTAACCTTGGCTTGTGAATGAGAGAGATTTCTTTTATCCCTCCATCTTTGTCTCTCTTTTCTTTACTCCCTAATTCGCCAATTGGTCTTGCATTATATTTATTCTACTACATTTGGAACCCTTTCCTTTGGCATTCAATATATGTTGGGTTAATAGATATTTCTACAATAATTAAAAAAACCAGCTGAAATCGATATTTAAAAATTAATTAGATGTGAAGCTATGACCCAAAGAGACCACGTGCCTTGTCCAATGTTACTTGGCTAATTTGTGATTGAGATCAAGTACGTACACACATCTCTGGATTATTTAGACTGTATCTGTGCTTTTTAGTGGAAACCCTAAGACCACATGAATTAGAGTAAGCTGAGGAGATGCTTAAGATACAGATGCCTAGATCTCTTCCTATATCAGTGAATTGGAATCTCTGGGGTATGGTCTGGCAATTTGTATTATTAGAAAGATCCCAGGTGATTCTTATGAATGTTAAAATTTTAGAAGAATTGTGGTGTGCCATAGTGACCCTCTTAGATTCAATGGGATATTGTTAAATTTTTCTTTTGGGCCTTAGAATGCTCTGTTTCAGTTTCTGCCCTTGTTTCAGTTTGGTATGGACAGATCTAAAGTTGTTTAAAAAGAGAGATGAATCCAAGGAACAGATATCTGAGTAAGAAAAGAGAATGACAAATACTGTAACTGGAAGATACAAAACATGATAATGAAAATGTCTTTGGTGTGGCATCACAGGTTCATATTTTGGAGGAGAAATATATTCCTTCTTTATCAGAAATACGGAGGTTCAATGACTAGGATAGAAAATGTCACATGTATGGAGAGCTGGTGTGGATGATATTTTGATGATAATGATTTTTATCTTGTTGTCTACTGTGAACCTGGCCTGCTGAATCAAGAAGGTAGGAAGAACGGGCTGGGTCAGGACCTGAATAATAGGTTATAATGGTTGACCCTGAGACATGTGCAGTCTACTGGGAGGACAGGAAATTGGGGATGGTAGTATGAACCTCTGCTAGTTGTGGGGTGCATTGACATCTTGAGGCCTCTGTGTCTATTCCACAACATAAGTCTCTTCTGATCCATGGAGTGCCTTCTGAGCTTAGATTTGTAAGTTAAATCTCTATTATTTTTGTCTCTTTCTGTGAAGATCTTAATAAAAAATTTAGCTTTCAAGACTCAAGCTTCAAGTCAAAGAAACATCCTTAGGAATTGGAGGTGTAAGGCTCTATTCACTCTACAGAGAAAAGAAAGCTCTCTACACTCTATTTTCAGAGACGTGAACAGGGAATGATCTACCTCCTTGCCACTTCACTCCTGCAGGTCAGCAGCAAAAGCATTACATCAGCTGTGAGCTTGTTAGGAATTTAGAATTTCAGCCCTCATCGGAGACCTACTGATTCAAATCTGCATTTTTAACTACATCCTCAGGTGATTCATAGGAACATTCACATTTGAGAAGCAACTAACTTCGGTTGGATGAAGATGAACTTGGACTCCAGTTTCCTCCTTTCTAGTTTATACTATTCAAGAGTCCCAGGTTAATTTTCTCAATTTAAAATTATTTTCATGTCATATTTCTGATTAAAGAAAAATCTCTTCCAGAGGCCCAGGTGGGCGGATCACTTGAGCTCAGGAGTTCAAGACCAGCCTGACCAACATGGTGAAACCCCATCCCTACAAAAAATACAAAAAATTAGCTGGAGGTGGTGGTTCGTGCCTGCAATCTCAGCTACTCAGGAGGCTGAGGCAGAAGAATCCCTTGGATCCAGTAGGCAGAGGTTGCAGTGAGCTGAGATCACGCCACTGCCCTCCAGCCTGGGTGACAGAGCAAGACTCTTCCTCAAAAAAATTAAAAAAACAAAAATAAATAAAAAAAGAAAGAAAGAAAAAGAAAAGAAAAAAAATCTTCCAGTGTTTTTTGTTAAATTAGAACTTAAATTCTAAAACATTCTAAGTTCTCCACAGTCTGGTTTTATTCTGCTGATTATATCTTCTCCCATTCTTTAGTCTTTACCAAAACTTTAGTGCAGTTACACTGATTGTTGTTTTGCAAATATATTGACAGTTTCTGGCCTCATCTGTCCTACTCTTACTGTTCCCTAAAATTTCAATGCTCATGTTCTTTCTCTGTCTATAGCAATGAATCCTGCAATGGTCAATTTAACTATCACCTCTTCCATGAAGGCTTCTCCAATGTCTCCATCTTCACCTTTTGATAGTCACACAGCATCCCGTTCATACCTCTTTTATTATCTTTATTTTCTTCTCCTTAATATATTTATTAATAACTGTCAATTTGGGTGAGTCAGATCGCCACTTCCAGCCTCTGTTTACTCATCTGTAAAAGAAGGATTATTATTATTTTTTTTTTTTGAGACGCAGTCTCTAGCTTTGTCGCCCAGGCAGGAGTGCAGTGGCGCGATCTCGACTCACTGCAAGCTCCGCCTCCCAGGTTCACGCCATTCTCCTGCCTCAGCCTCCCGAGTAGCTGGGACCACAGGCGCCCACCACCACACCCGGCTAACTTTTTGTATATTTAGTAGAGATGGAGTTTCACCGTGTTAGCCAGGATGGTCTCAATCTCCTGACCTCGTGATCCGCCCGCCTCAACCTCCCAAAGTGCTGGGAAAAGGAAGGATTTTTATGTAGCTATTAAACAAACAATGTGAAATAATTTATGAAACATCTCTGAAAAATATGTAGTTTCATGCAAGTTCATGCAAGCATAAGACGCTCATAGCGTTTATAGTCTCTTCCCTGAAGTATAAAGTGACCCCTCATTATCCCTCAAGGGTATGGATCACGTTCTATACTTTCCACAGATTATGTAAAGTAAAAGCACACAATAAATTTCACACAGAGAAATGTACACTTAAGAATACACTGTATTTCCATTTTCCTATGTTTTATATATGTAAACAAATTATATGCAGTTATATTACTTCATTTGTTTTCCAAGGTCCTATGTATTTATGTATCTCCATTAAAGCTTCAGTTTTTATGTCTGGGTTTCTTTTATTTCTTTAAGCATTGTCTCTGCAAATACAATCTCAATCACCTACATCGGTTAAGTTCAATCATAGGTTATACTGCTTCCATTTCTACCACAATTTCCTCAGAGTTGGAAGTCTTTTAGGTTCCACCACCATTCCCAGCTTCTCAACGGGAAAGTTATTAAAAATGCTAGATCATTAATCTAAACTGAGTCATATTAGAACATTAGTTTACTCTGTGTCTCATATACCTTGCTTTTAAAAGATAAGTATTAGAGAACTCAATTTGTAGTGGTGTTGAGGAATTAAACATGTTAACTCATGTAAACTGCTTAAAACAAGGCTAGTTACACAGTAAGCCTATGCTGATGTTAGCTATGATTATGAAAATTATAAGATAATGATAATGTGCGCTATAGTCTGTGAAAAATCTTTTTAGGTTAGAAATAACCACACCAATTTTAGAAATTTGTAGTATTGCTCAACCCAGAATAGATTTCTTATAGGCAAATGAAAAGATTTATGTGAATTTATTTGAGTTGAATTTTAAAGAAATCCAGATTTCTTTCAACTAACAAATATATAGATTTTATGCATTTTACATAATGTCAAAAAATAGAATTGTTCTAATTTCCAAGAAAGAGAAAATGCACGAGAGACTTTTATGGGCACTGAAAGTCCATTTTTCATTCAGTTATGAATTGGGTAATACTGTTGTCATTGTAGAGAGTGCTGGTGGCATCTATTATTAAAGTTATAGAATCAATCATGATTCTGATTAATTTATGTATTCATAAGGGACAGTGATATAGAAAGTATAGAATGAATTATTTTCCTCTCCAATTTACATCAATGTTTCCAATAAATGTGTTTATTAGAAGACTATATTTAGTCCTTAAAATAAAACTAGCATGGAAACATTGATATTAGCTAAATGTATCAAGAATCTGGAATTTATTTCAAAAACAAAACATTATATATAGTACTATATTTCTGACATATGGAAATACTGTCATGTGCCTATTTTATTCTATTGTGAGAAAGAACTTGGAATTCAGTGAAAAAGACCTACAAGGCAGAGATGTGGCATTTAAGATTTAGACAGATATAGGTATACATCTTTTTTTTAAAAAATCTTTTTTTTTTTTTTTTAAGGTTCTGGCTGCAAAAGGCAGCTACTGTTTGAAAAAAGATTTCTGCATTCTGGGAGTTGACTCTTGAGAATGGTGTAACTGTTTGAGACAGTAACATGAAATCTGTAAGAAAAGAAAATGGACCAAGTGCACAGTCCCCAGGCATAACTGATCACTTTCCTTTGTTCTGAAATAGCTGGACCTAATTCAGTGAGTACTCTAGCTTCATAACTGTCCCTCTGGCATTTGAAAACTTAGCTGCCTTAGCAGAGTGGTGGTAGCTTTTTTTTCTTTTTTTTTCCTTCACATGTTCTACTCACATTGTGATTTCCAAAGAGAACGTGTCATTCAACTGCTACCCTCTGAGGAAGTTTAAGGTGTAATAGGTGAGAAGTCAAAGATAATTAAGGGAAGTAATAGTCTCCCAGAAGACAAGGTATATCTTTTTATAAATAACTCCCGTCAGACTTCCTAGAAATACTACATTTGCAGCATTGTGTGTTAGCATTCAACTTTTACTTTTTTAGTGACAAAAAAAAAAAAAAGTGAAGTAATTATCTTGGCTTGATTTCTTAGTAAATACACAGGATTTCTGTGAATAGTACTGGAAGTGTTTCTTTTTTTCCCCCCATCTCAAGAATGATATCAGAGTTTAAAGAACAAACCCGTTTAAGATAGAATTAAATAAAGTGCATTCTCTGCAGTCAACACAAAGCAAACACTAATAATTTTAGGGCTCAATTTCCTTAAAAGATGAAATAATTTTAGTTGAATGTACAACAGTTTCCGTATAAAGATTTCACTTGCAATTTCCCTATGGGGAAGTATTCATCAGCTCTAACTGGTTTCTCAACAGAGAAATGTACTAGAAAAACTGACAAATGATATACTATGGCAAGGCAGGGGAAAGTATGTTTAATAATAGAGAAAGGTAACAATGCATATTGTAGACTCAATGTATTTTCTATTATAATCTATTCAGTTTGAGTTTCTCAGAAGACAGAGTATATGTGAATATTGGCAAGTACAATACAGTGACATTAGCCCATCATAGTTTGTCACATGGCCATCAGCTGCCACCATGTTTTAATAAGAGAAGCAGTTGCCACTCCCAGACCTCATACTTAGCTGCGGAGAGTCGCTACTTTAACCTTAACTCTAAGTAATACTTTGCCTCTGTGCTTCTGGCTCTGCAGAGTTGAATCTAAGGATGACAGTCACATTCCAGTTTTGCTCCACCTTAGTTACTGAAGCAAACATAGTATGCTTCCATTCAACATTGCATGCTTACATGTGCTAGATACCACACTGGGGTACAAAGCAGAGTAAGCAAAGCAAATAGGAGCTCATAACTTAGCCAGAATAAACAAGTAATGATTGAATAAGGATACAAACATAATATTTAAAACTGTTATATGAAATACGAAGGACAAATAAGCAAAGTAAAGAGTGCATTCTTCTTGAAACCTTATCTAGTCTGTGAGAGTTAGGGAAGCTAGTCTAACAAAGGGAAATGAGAAGAAATTTGCAGACAAAGGAGTTAGCCAAGCGAAGGGGAAGTTGGGTGGGATTAAACAACATATGCAAAGGCAGGAAGAAGAATACTGAAAGAAACTGAAAGAGAAATAGTGTGGCTGGAAACCAAGGTTCAAGAAGGAAAGTGATATGAAATGAGGTTGGCATAAAAAAGGCAGGGACCAGATCATACATTCACACAGGGACTTGTAGATAGGATGAACAGATGACCCTCTTTGCTTGGGTGGTAGGCCTGGGTTATAGTTATTGTCCTGGTATGAGTAATAATTGTGCCCTCTAACTCATAAAGTGTCCTGCTGTGAATGATAAATTATATAATCATCTGCTTACACATAATATTATGCTTTTGTTTATTAAATAAATCACGAGTCACTAGATGGTTTAACCAAAGGAGTAACATAATCCGATTTGGATTTTGTAAAAATATTTCTCTAACCGCAATGGGGAAAACACATTGAGAAGTAAAACTCATAGCAGAAGACTTAGCCCCAAGGCTCGGGACAGAATGGACTGCTCATCTCTCTGTAGCCTGGCAAGGGAACCCAGATTCATGTCATTTCCCAGTGAAATAATTCAGGATACCCTTCTCGCCTAGTGTTTTCACAGATGTTTTCACTAAAAGTCTTTCCCCCATCCATGGTTGACTTTGTTAGCCTACATAATAAGAAGAGCTGATATTTGATGTACAAGGAATAGTTCTGAGAACTGTACATGTAATCACTTATGTAACTCTCACAACACCCCTGTGAGATAAGTACTATCATTATTCATGTTTTGCAAATAAAAAGACTAACTTGACTAAGGTAACTAACATAATAAGTGACTGAGTAAGAATTTGAACTATGAAATCTTATTCCAGATACTGGACACTTAACCACTATCCTATAATACGTGCGGCTCCTCCTTTTAACCACTAAGTAGGCATCATTTTCTGAACTCCAGCCATCTCATTTACAACTAAATACACTGATTGGCTTTTACCTCCTGCTTCCAATATTTTCCAATCATTGCTAGAGGCTTATTATGAAGGACAAATAAAAAATCACAGCCCAGCTCTGACTCCATGCTCACAGCCTGTCTCCACGGACACGGGAATAACTCAAAGTGAAGGCAGGATGTTCCAGGAGAATGCGTTTCCGTCTGCCTATGTATTGTCTTTATGAACTCCAGCAAAACATGATTTATCATAGGATACTCTATTCTGGACTATCTAGCTACGCTACTGGATACCATTCATTAGGAACAAGTTTAATTCACCTACTTGTATGCATATGAGCTATTCCTTTTTCCTCTAAATCCACTATTCATAATTGCATAATCCTATGTGGCCTCAGCAAACTGGGTCCTGAATTGTGCCTAAGGAAATTGAAAACTGATTTCTTCCCTTGAAAAATACTAAGACAACCACTCTAGGGGCCATATTAACAGAACATTAGTTGGATGTCTTCAATGTCTCCAGTTTTATCCTTATATCCCTTTTCCCAACAGGTGAAAACCCTTTACTCCCCCTACCAATCTCTACACTAAATGTTTATGAGGGGCCTTCCTATTCACTCATTGGGGTTTATCTTTCTGGGCATATCTTTCTTGTCCTACTTATTTTCTCCCAATGTTAATAAACACATGTTATTCTCACAATAAATAGGGTTTTCATTGGAATTAGGGTTGCTTTTATGCCTTCCCTAGTTATACAAAAGAGATCTGATTACTTGTTCTTCTGGTTGTGAAGAAGTTCACCATCCACTAGTATCTACCACAGGAAAAAACTCTAAACACCTTGCCAATATCAAGCAGTGGCATCAATCCACTTGCATGAGTTTGGTGAGACAGAACGCTCACACAAGTTAGGTGAAGCAGCTTTATTACTCACAGATAGGCAGCAAGGGACAACAAAAACCTAGGATTCATGGAGAGCTAGTTCCCAAAGGCTCATGAAAGCTGCCCAGGGAACAGGGAATTTCATCTGTGCATGTCTCATGTGGCACTGAAGCTGAGGGATCCTGAAAGCCAACTGCACTGGGTTTATACCTAGGGGCACCGTGATTTGCTGAGCTAAAGTCTTATAGGACATCTTTTTTCTGGAGCGACTGAAACAAAGCTTCCTAGGCTGTCCCTGACAGTTTCTCCTTATCTCAGGTTGTTATATTTCCAGTTCATTCTACAGTTATTCTGAGAACTATAAGTAGGAAGACAGAGGAAGGCCTGAGTTGGCCAAGGCCATCTGCAAACCATCCAGCAAGGCTTATGTAACTCTTATTCTGCATTGCCTAACAGTTACATAGGATCACTGTAAAAATCAACACTTCACTTTGTCTTAATATATGCTATGTATGCTACTTTCTCTCTTCAATACCCCTCCCCTCAAATCCCTCAAATAAAATGTGGTATTATTTGATTTTAGTGTTTGTATGATCTATTGTAGTGGAAATGGGTGAAATCACCAATAATACTTTTTGTATCTACCTTCATACTTCTGCTTGGTGCCCATGGGCACCAAATATGTAACATGGAAAGATAAAATGAGGTCTTTCAGGACAATTCTCCAAATTGTGATGGATCAAACAGCACATTAGCTGTCAGGACTCTGGTCTCTGGTCTCTCCTACTCATGCCCCTTCCTTTGTCATGAGATGCTGATTGCTATAGTGATATGAGAAGAGACATGCATTGGAAGGGACCTATGACATGGTTCAGTTTCATAAAAGAGCTGAGTTCAGATTCTAGAGTCAGAGTGCCTTGGTTCAAGCACTGGTTCCATCTCCTATTAGCTATAAGACCTTGAGCAACTTAAGCTCTGGGGCCTAAATTTCTACATGTATAAGATGGGAATGATAATGCCTACCTAATTGGGATTGTTGTGAAGCTTAAATAAAATAATTTTTCAGAGAAAAAAATACTCTGTAAGCACTATTTTAGTTATTACAATTGTCCAGTTTTTTAACTTATACAGATTTTGCTCTCATTTTACCAATCTGAGCTAGGTTTGAAATTTCCATTGCCTGTTGCAATATGGCTTATGGTCACATGAGGTCACAAAGCATATTTTCTAACTTCTCTGGGTTAGCCATAGTCTGAAAGGTTTGGCCTTTAAGAGGTGGTAAGAAAATTCTGTTATCAGAAGTTTTAACTGGGCAAAACTTTAAATTCCATTCCACTTACATTTTAGTTGTTCTGAAAATTTTTTAAAACGCTAGACACCAGAATCAATCAAAATTGGCCAATATCCACTGTAGTTCCATTAATTTTTTTCTATGAGCTCTGTTTTCAATATTTATAGACAACTAGGGAATCTATTCTGGTTTATTCCTGTTTTAAGTTATATCCACATTTCATCTTTGGTAGTATAAGACCTAAAATAGTCTGCTAAGCTTTAAGTCAAATACCATAGATACTTTTAAACAAATATTCCTAAAAAGAATTTTTGTGCAGTCTTATTGAGGTTTACTCTGAGTCAAAAACTGTGTGTGTGTACTTTTTAAGTATATAATAAAAGATAAAATAAAATGAAATATGACATATCACAATAGACTGCCACTGATTAATCTGTTACTTCAACTCTCTAAGCTTTCTTATGTCTAGAATTCAGTTGTTGGATTATAGAATTTCTACGTTCTTTAAAAGTTTACATTTTAGACATTAAACATATTATAACATTACATCACTGATCTGGTTAGGCTTTGTGTCCCCACCCAAATCTCATCTTGAATTGTAATCCCCATAATCCTTATAATCCCCATGTGTCAAGGGAGAGACTAGGAGGAGGTAATTGAATCATTGGGGCAGTTTCCCCAGTGCCATTTGCGTGATAGTGAGTTCTCACAAGATTTAATGGATTTATATGGGGCTCTTCCCCCTTCACTTGGCACTTCTCCTTCCTGCTGCCCTGTGAAGAAGAGATACCTTGCTTCCCCTTCAACTTTCACCATGATTTTAAATTTCCTGAGGCCTCCCCAGACATGCTAAACCGTGAGTCAATTAAATCTCTTTTCTTTATAAATTACCCAGTAATTTCCCAGTCTCAGGCAGTTCTTTATGGCAGTATGAAATAGACTGATACAGTAACCATAACACAATGTTTAAAACAGACATTTTACTCTGTGTCCCTAGAAAACAGGAGCCACAGACATTTATTGAACACCTATTATGTGCTAGATAATGTGCTAAACAATTTTACTAACATTATTTCCAGAATACTCATAGCAACTATGTCTCAAAGATGGCAAAATGAGACTCAGAGCCATTGAGTCACTCACCAGGGTCACATACCTGGAAGGTAGCACAGCACACATCAGGTCTGTCTGATTCCAAAGTCAATGCTCTATCATAGGGTCCCCTGATACAAAGAATCTTAGTAGCCCAAGGTAAACTGGCCTTCTCATCAATTAGAAAATTCTCTAACTCAGTATAGCTCTTCTCATCCACTTTTTGAATAGACTAGGATATCTTTCTGAAGATCTGTATCACAAAAAGACTATTAAGTAGAAAATGAGTGCATAAGGAGGCTTTGGCCATATTCCTTTAATAAAATACTGTGCCTTAATTCCCTTGAGAGAAAGGATCCATAGGATGGTGATGCTTTTGACTGCACTCGATAATATTCTAGACATAAGGAGTAGCTAATGAATCTGAACTCCAAGAGAAGGCTAACCAACAAGTATTCATCTATTCAACAAATATATACTAGCCCTCATAGTGTGGGTCAGACATAACAGTGACCAACCACCATCCCTACCCTGAAAAATGGATGGACTCCTATGAGCTGGGAAAAGGATAGCAATTCAGGTGGTGCAATAATATGAAGAAAGCTTTAGGGAGCAGCAAGTCAGGCACCGTGACAGCAAGTCAGCCACCATGACCAATAAAAGAGTTTACATAGAAAGTAAGAAGAGGTCAAAAACAAACATATATTGCCACAAGATTATTAAGGTCCTTTGAATGCCAGACTAAGGAGTTTGGGCAATTCCTTTAAGAAGATAAATGTGCAAATCATCCTTAGTGTTATTTCTAAATTCAATTCAAAACAAGAAAAATCAAGGATGATTAGCACAATCAAGCATCAATCGTCTAGTGCTATTTTTGAAAGAAGATAGATAATAATTCTTCTACTTTGTCAATTTCTAGTTCAGAAAATAAAATTTCCTGTCCTCTTTCTCTTCACATATTCAGCATAAATAGACATTTACTCTGTTGATTTACCCTAAGGGGATCATTTGCTCCAACATAGATTGGGATTCAAGTCAGCAGCATTCTACTTTTAATACTGTCTCTGTCCCTGTTCCCTACTGCTCTTTTACAACAGCTCCCACCTCCTGGTGTCATCTCCACAGGATCTTCTCCATGGGGATCTATGTCATGACACTGGTGACATGGGAAAGCAGATGCTATTTTTTAAATAGGAAGTTTTTTATTGGAAATGAAGGGATTTGAGGACTTTATTGGCTAGAATCTAAAGTTGATTGTGAGGCTCTGCATTTTTAAAGAATGCAGGGTACCACGCAATACCTAGCAGGATTGATATGGCAACAAATAAAAATAAAAATAAAAACTCTAACAACATACCCTTTCTATACCTTCATATTCCAAGGTCATCTATGAGCTAAGATTATTTCATCACTGATTTTACTATTAACTTACAGACTCAGAACTATACGCTATAGGGTCTCCATTTGGAAAACAGTGAACAAACCAGGTTATATTCTAGAAAACAGTGGTAACACTGTTGGAAAACAGTAGAAAGCTTAAAATAAAAAACAATAAAAGAGACAGGTAATAACACATTCTTAGAAATTGTCCTTATTGCAGATAGTAAAGGAGATTCATTAGGTCTTTGGCTTATTTTTATCTATTTATTTATTTATTTTTGAGATAGGGTCCCATTGTTGCCCACGCTGGTGTGCAGTGGTGAAATCACAGCTCACTGCAGCCTTAACCTCCTCCAGCTCAAGCCTTTCTCCTATCTCAGCCTCCTGAGCAGCTGGGACTACAGGCATTGATCACTATGCCCGACTATTTATTTATTTATTTATTTTTTGTATTTTGTAGAGATGGCATTTTGTCACATTGCCCAGGCTGGTCTCCAACTCCTGGGCTCAAGCAATCCGCCTGCCTATCTACTCACCTAGGACTCCCAAAGTGCTGGGATTACAGGCATGAGCCACTGTGCTCAGCCTTATTTGTTTTTTTCTATGTAGGTTTATTTTTGATAGACTCTAAAACCATCTGACCTTCTACTTGGAAGAAGGAACTCTCTTTGTCCCCATTGCCACCTGACAAAAAGTGGGATCTTGCTAGCAGGACACATTTGGAGAGTAATGTGCCTTCTACATGTGGGTGGACAATTTAGAAAAATTTAAAGGATTTTGGGATCCCTTACATTTTGAATCATTTTCTTTGATATGAGAAAGACTGTTTATATTACACATTTTAGTACAGCTTATTTCTTGTGCATTTGTTCATTTGTTTACTCATTCATTCATTAGGTAGCATAATATTATGAAAAGAACAAGGACCCTTGGATTAAATGACGCCCCTGTTGAAATTTAGACAAAATAAAATTATTTGCTTAATCAACACAGCAATGAAGATAGGTATGCCTGAGAAATGTCCGGTAGTCTATTTTATAAATTTATCTTAAAGATCTATTTTAAGCTCGATGTATTATGGAAATAAATAAGTTTTAAAAATGAATTATAACTTAGTGAAGCAAGTAGTTTAAATGTGATAAGAATGCACAAAGAGAGACACCTAATCAAACTGGGGAAAAAAGACATACTGGGCTACAGATTCTAACATGAGAACTTAAGAATGAGAAAGAATTAGATAAAAGGGACAAGAGATGAGGGTGCTAGAAGGAGAATGTACGCCTAATCCAAGGAGAGCTGCGGTACAGGGTAGAAGGAGGGAAATGGTGCATTAGGCACTACGGTAGCTCAGTATGGAGGGCCCTGAGAGTGTGAAAGAGACACACCATGGTCATCCCAGCAGCTATTTTCAGCAGAACACCAAAGCTTTTAGTTTTCTTAAGTGGACCAATACAGACAGAACACTCTTACAAAGATCTTAGAAAATCTTCCTGGGCGAGAAGTGGTTATTACTTAATTTCAGCACTTCAAAGTCGTGTACAGAATATCATTTTTTTTTCCACCCAGGAGGAAAAAAAAACAAACAAAACTTTTTATATTTAGAAGGAATCTTCTTGACTATTTTAATTTATATAATTTTTGTGAGACTATAAAGTTGAGATCTTTCAGTTCAAACTGTATAGAATGCCCCAAGAAAGATATTAAGAAGACGCTTTAGGCATATGCAACTTTTCAGTTGCCTAGTAATCACTAAATATGTAGTTAACAGACAAATACTTCTAATTTTATTTGTTTTCCTTCTTTCATATAATTAGAATAATTCTTCCTTGAATTTAAGAATATTTTGGCTATCTAGTTACCATTATTTTAATTTTTTAAAGTTTTTTAATTGAAAACTTCTAGCACTTTGAGAGGCCAAAGCAGGCAGATCACGAGCCCAGGAGATCAAGACCATCCTGGCCAACATGGTAAATCACTGTCTCTACTAAAATACAAAAATTTAGCCAGATGTGGTGGCGCATGCCTGTAATCCCAGCTACTCAGGAGGCTGAGGCAGGGGAATCGCTTGAACCCAGGAGGCGGAGGTTGCAGTGAGCCGAGATTGTGCCACTGCACTACAGCCTGGTGACAGAGCAAGACTCCATCTCAAAAAAACAAAAACAAAAACAAAAACAAAACAAAACCCCCCAAAAATTGTGCTACTTTTTTGGCAATTTTTAAACTGTTTTTAACGTCATAAAATATACTTGACATAAAATTTACCATTTTAACCATTTTTTTATTTTCAATTTTTTGTGGGTACATAGTAGGTGTATGTATTTATGAGATACATGAGCTATTTTGATACAGGCATGCAATATATAATAATCACATCAGGGTATAAGGGGTATCTATTACTTCAAGCATTTATAATTTCTTTGTGTTACAAGCATTCTAATTATACTCTTTAAGTTATTTTAAAATGTACAGTAAATTATTGTTGACTGTAGTCACCCAAACGCTCTTCAATCAGCAGGTGGTGAATCCAGCCAGGCTTGTGTTCTTCCTTTTAGGATGGTATGCTCTTCTTCGGTGCAGGGCAGGACCAAAAATCTGGGAGCCAGGGCCTGGAGTTGGGAACCTTAGGAATGTATCTGGTGCACTATTCTACTGGGGCTGAGCTGGTACTCAAGCTACAAGACAAAGTCCTTTTCCCTCTTCCCTTCCTTTCCTAATGCAGAAGGAGTCTCTTCTTGTGCCACCACCACGCAGGTCTGTGGTGAGTACTGCCTGGCTACTGCCAATGTTTACTCAAAGCCCGTGGTCTCTTCACTCAGCTTGTGGTAAATACTGCCAGGCCTCTCCCTTCAGAGCAGTGGGCTCCCCTGTGGCCCAGGGCAGGTCCAGAAATGCTTTCCAGGAACCAAGGCCTGAAATCAAAGGCCCTAGGAGCCTCCTTGGTGCTCTACCTCAATCTGGTGACCAAGCTGCAAGACCAAGTTCCCTTTACTCTTCCCTCTCCTTGCCTTAAGCAAGACGAGTTTCTCCCTGTGGCCACCAGAACTGGGAATGTGCTGAGTGACACCTGAAGCCAGCATGGCTCAGGGTTCTACCCGAGGCTCATGGCATGTACTCTCTGGGTACTGCTGATATTTTTCAAAGCTCATAGGCTCTTTAGTCAGCATATGATGAATCCTGCCAGAACTAGACCCTTTCCTTCAAGGCAGTAGTTTCCTATCCGGCTCAGGGTATGTCTAGAAATGTCATCTGAGGTCTAGGGCCTGGAATCAGCCTTAGGACTCTGCCTGGCATCAAATTTTACAGTGGCTGAGCTGGTATCCGCATTGCAAAACAAAGTCCTCTTTACTCTCCCCTCTAGTGTCCTCAAGCAGGAAGAAGGAGTCTCTCCCAGAGTTGTGTGCTGTTCTACCTGGGGTTCCAGAAGGGATGATGCAAGCACTCCCTTGGCTGCCCCAGCTAGTGACTTACTACTGGGTCATGTGCTCAAGTCCACTAGCTCTGAGTCCAGCACAGCACTGGGACTTGCCCAGGAATTGCAGTCCTTGTGGCCTAGACTGCCTTTCACGTTTATTTAGTTCCTTAGAGCACTTTAGCTCACGGTGGTGGGGCTAGCCAAAATTCAAATTCTAACTGCTGGAATGGGTGACTCCCCTCTGGCTAGGGCTAGTCTAAATGCTCCCTTTGTGGTGCTGGCTGAATTCTGCTGTGTTGCTTTCTGCTGTGACAGACAGCACTTGAGTCCCAGTGGAAAGTCCACAATCACCAATCACTGTGCTCCCCCACCATCAAGCACAGAGATTCTGTCTTTGCCAGGTAGCTACTGCCAGGGCTTGGGGAGGGGTGGTCTCAGCAATTCAAGACTGTCTTTCCTTTGCTTTTCAGTGTCTGTTTCCTTGATATGTTGTTAAAATCAGGTACTGTGATTGCTCACCTGATTTTTAGTTCGTATGAAGGTGCTTTCTTGTGTGGACAGTCGTTTAATTTGGTGTTCCTCCGTGGGAGACAATGATCACTGGAGCAATTTAATCAGCCATCTTACTCCACTTCCTCCTCCATTTTACTATTTTTAAATTCACAATTCAGCGACAATATTTATATTCACAATGTTGTGCAATGATCAGCATCATCTATTTCCATAACGTTTTCATCACCCCAAGCAGAAACTCTAAACATTAAGCACTAACTTCCCATTCTCCACTCTCTGGAGTTTCTGTTAACCTTTAATCTACCTTATGTTTCTATAAATTTTCCCATATGGGATATTTGACACCAAAAGTATGAACAACTAAAGAAAAATTAAGGTAGACTTCATCAATATTAATAACTTTTGTGTATCAAAGGACATTATCAAAGAATGAAAAGACAAACTATAGAACAAAATAATATATTTTGAAATTATATATCCGATGAGGGTTTAGTATCCAAAATATATAAAGAACTCCTACAACTCAACAACAAAAAGACAAATAATCAAATGAAAAAATGGGCAAAATACTTGAATAGACATTTCTCCAACAAAGATGTATGAATGGCCAATAAGCAAATGAAAAGATTTTGGTCATTTGGGAAACATAAGGAGATAGCACTTCACACCTACTAGGATAGCTACATCAACAAAAATGGAAAATAACAAGTGTTGGTGAGAATGTGGAAAAAGTGGATCCCTAGAACTTTGCTGGTGGAAATGTAAAATGATATAGCAACTGCAGAAAACAGTTTGGCAGCTCCTTAAAAGGCAAAACATGGAATTACCATACAACCCAGCAATTCTACTCCTCAGAATATACCAGAAGAATTAAAAGGGGAACTCAAACAGATACGTGTATGCAAAAGTTGATTGCAGAATTATTTGCAATAACCAAAAGATAGAAACAACTCAAGTGTCCATCAATAGATAGATGGATAATCCAAATGTAGTACATACATACAATG
Source organism: Homo sapiens (assembly GCF_000001405.40). Lineage (NCBI taxonomy): Eukaryota > Metazoa > Chordata > Mammalia > Primates > Hominidae > Homo > Homo sapiens. Next base: position 211,227,282 of record NC_000002.12, on the reverse strand, counting down.
AATTTAGCCATAAAAAGTAAAGGTCTGGGCCGGGCGCGGTGGCTCACGCCTGTAATCCCAGCACTTTGGGAGGCCGAGGCGGGCGGATCACGAGGTCAGGAGATCGAGACCATCCTGGCTAACACGGTGAAACCCCGTCTCTACTAAAAATACAAAAAATTAGCCGGGCGAGGTGGCGGGCGCCTGTAGTCCCAGCTACTCGGGAGGCTGAGGCAGGAGAATGGCGTGAACCCCAGGGGGCGGAGCCTGCAGTGAGCCGAGATTGCGCCACTGCACTCCAGCCTGGGCGACAGCGAGACTCCGTCTCAAAAAAAAAAAAAAAAAAAAAAAAAAGTAAAGGTCTGATAGATGCTACAACATGGCTGAATTTTGAAAACACTGTACCAAGTATAAGAAGCCAGACACAGAAGGACTTATTTTATAATCTTGCAGTTTTACACTATTTCCATTGTATCATCATTTCATAAAATAATATTTATTACAGAGAATAGCAAATGTTGTGTGATAATGTATATTATATCCTACCACACTTAAAACACACACACATAAACATACATAGGTATACTGAAGTACTCCATATATCAAACTTTAATAAAATGGAGTTTCTGTAGAGATGATATATAATTTTAAGAAAAAACAGTGACCATTTTTGGTGCTATTATTTTACAAAAGAGATTATTTCAAGGGGAAATAGAAAGTTTGGGAAACTTGACAAAATTATCTAAGAAAGAACTATGACCTTAGCATGAAGGTTCATATTCAGTTTATACATTTACATGTTTTGCTTGATAACATGCAGTATTAATATGTCACTGAAATTTTATTTTTCTCACACATCGAATCTTGTCAGGAAAATATAAACAAAAGGGCACTCAGATTTTAGAATCTCTCTTAAGTTTCTTTTACTAAACAAAAACTAAGTATTAAATATTGTGATGTGAATGTAGAATGGATATTTTTTCTATAATAAATGATTTAAGTATCAATTAGTATATTTATAGAGTTTTTCTCACTTAGCACAAACCTTAAAATCAAGTATAAAAGTCACATCCTATAATTATATTGAAGTTAATTAAAGTTAGGTCAAACCTGTGTATAATAAAGACTATTTTGCATTGCATTTTACCACCAAGAAAACTCTAGAATTCAGTATTTCTGATTTTTTCTCTAACTAAAAATCTCCAGTCGCAGAACCACAGCTGATGCCACAGATAAACAGAATTGATTCAAAAGCAGCCCAACAGGCAACGTAAAAACCATTTCTGCCGAACACATTCTTTCTACTTTGGGAATTCAAAGCCTAATCTTGTTACATTTGAATGTGTAACCCCTGTCCTGTCACATTCTGATAAGCATCTTTTAGTGCTGGAAGAGCAATTTTCTCTTTAGCTTTAAAAACTCCTGTCTTTACTATAAATAGCAAGTGATTTATTGTCAACTTGCAAAGTTTATTTTTGAATTAACATTTATTTTCATCCGTATGAATATTTTTGGCTTTTGGAAAGATATTGAAATTTGTTGTTTGGATTTGCACATGTGGTCTTGCTCTTGTTTACCTCACTCACACTTCCGACAATAATTTCCTTTACTTATGTGTCGTCCTTCAAAAGGATCCTGCCTTGGACTTTCTATTGGGAATTATTTGGAGCTATGCTCTTGAGAGATAAGGTAAAAAAGTGACCTCAGGTAGACTGTCCAGACACAATATGGATTAATTCTTTATCAATGGAATATTTTAATTATCTTTTGATGCACAAAACATTTTTGGAATATCTGTGTTGCTTATATAATCATGTCGCATTAACTTCTCAAACACTAAGTAAAACTTTTGAATATAAATCAAAATAAAAATTTCAGTTGCACTTAAAGTACAAATCTTGGCCATGGATAAATACAATTCTCAAATGTATCCATAGCTACCACCATTTTAACTTCCCTTTTTTTTTTTTTTATTATACTTTAAGTTTTAGGGTACATGTGCACATTGTGCAGGTTAGTTACATATGTATACATGTGCCATGCTGGTGCACTGCACCCACTAACTCGTCATCTAGCATTAGGTTTATCTCCCAATGCTATCCCTCCCCCCTGCCCCCACCCCACAACAGTCCCCAGAGTGTGATATTCCCCTTCCTGTGTCCATGTGATCTCATTGTTCAGTCCCCACCTATGAGTGAGAATATGTGGTGTTTGGTTTTTTGTTCTTGCGATAGTTTACTGAGAATGATGTTTTCCAATTTCATCCATGTCCCTACAAAGGACATGAATTCATCATTTTTTATGGCTGCATAGTATTCCATGGTGTATATGTGCCACATTTTCTTAATCCAGTCTATCACTGTTGGACATTTGGGTTGGTTCCAAGTCTTTGCTATTCTGAATAATGCCGCAATAAACATACGTGTGCATGTGTCTTTATAGCAGCATGATTTACAGTCCTTTGGGTATATACCCAGTAATGGGATGGCTGGGTCAAATGGTATTTCCAGTTCTAGATCCCTGAGGAATCGCCACACTGACTTCCACAATGGTTGAACTAGTTTACAGTCCCACCAACAGTGTCAGTGTTCCTATTTCTCCACATCCTCTCCAGCAGCTGTTGTTTCCTGACTTTTTAATGATTGCCATTCTAACTGGTGTGAGATGGTATCTCATTGTGGTTTTGATTTGCATTTCTCTGATGGCCAGTGATGATGAGCATTTTTTCATGTGTTTTTTGGCTGCATAAATGTCTTCTTTTGAGAAGTGTCTCTTCATGTCCTTCGCCCACTTTTTGATGGGGTTGTTTGTTTTTTTCTTGTAAATTTGTTTGAGTTCATTGTAGATTCTGGATATTAGCCCTTTGTCAGATGAGTAGGTTACGAAAATTTTCTCCCATTTTGTAGGTTGCCTGTTCACTCTGATGGTAGTTTCTTTTGCTGTGCAGAAGCTCTTTAGTTTAATTAGATCCCATTTGTCAATTTTGTCTTTTGTTGCCATTGCTTTTGGTGTTTTGGACATGAAGTCCTTGCCCATGCCTATGTCCTGAATGGTAATGCCTAGGTTTTCTTCTAGGGTTTTTATGGTTTTAGGTCTAACGTTTAAGTCTTTAATCCATCTTGAATTGATTTTTGTATAAGGTGTAAGGAAGGGATCCAGTTTCAGCTTTCTACATATGGCTAGCCAGTTTTCCCAGCACCATTTATTAAATAGGGAATCCTTTCCCCATTGCTTGTTTTTCTCAGGTTTGTCAAAGATCAGATAGTTGTAGATATGTGGCATTATTTCTGAGGGCTCTGTTCTGTTCCATTGGTCTATATCTCTGTTTTGGTACCAGTACCATGCTGTTTTGGTTACCGTAGCCTTGTAGTATAGTCTGAAGTCAGGTAGTGTGATGCCTCCAGCTTTGTTCTTTTGGCTTAGGATTGACCTGGTGATGCGGACTTTTTTTTGGTTCCATATGAACTTTAGTTTTTTCCAATTCTGTGAAGAAAGGCATTGGTAGCTTGATGGGGATGGCAGTGAATCTGTAAATTACCTTGGGCAGTATGGCCATTTTCACGATATTGATTCTTCCTACCCATGAGCATGGAATGTTCTTCCATTTGTTTGTATCCTCTTTTATTTCCTTGAGCAGTAGTTTGTAGTTCTCCTTGAAGAGGTCCTTCACATCCCTTGTAAGTTGGATTCCTAGGTATTTTATTCTCTTTGAAGCAATTGTGAATGGGAGTTCACTCATGATTTGGCTCTCTGTTTGTCTGTTGCTGGTGTATAAGAATGCTTGTGATTTTTGTACATTGATTTTGTATCCTGAGACTTTGCTGAAGTTGCTTATCAGCTTAAGGAGATTTTGGGCTGAGACAATGGGGTTTTCTAGATATACAATCATGTCATCTGCAAACAGGGACAATTTGACTTCCTCTTTTCCTAATTGAATACCCTTTATTTCCTTCTCCTGCCTAATTGCCCTGGCCAGAACTTCCAACACTATGTTGAATAGGAGTGGTGAGAGAGGGCAGCCCTGTCTTGTGCCAGTTTTCAAAGGGAATGCTTCCAGTTTTTGCCCATTCAGTATGATATTGGCTGTGGGTTTGTCATAGATAGCTCTCATTATTTTGAGATACGTCCCATCAATACCTAATTTATTGAGAGTTTTTAGCATGAAGGGTTGTTGAATTTTGTCAAAGGCTTTTTCTGCATCTATTGAGTTAATCATGTGGTTTTTGTCTTTGGCTCTGTTTATATGCTGGATTACATTTATTGATTTGCATATATTGAACCAGCCTTGCATCCCAGGGATGAAGCCCACTTGATCATGGTGGATAAGCTTTTTGATGTGCTGCTGGATTCGTTTTGCCAGTATTTTATTGAGGATTTCTGCATCAATGTTCATCAAGGATATTGGTCTAAAATTCTCTTTTTTTGTTGTGTCTCTGCCTGGCTTTGGTATCAGAATGATGCTGGCCTCATAAAATGAGTTAGGGAGGATTCCCTCTTTTTCTATTGATTGGAATAGTTTCAGAAGGAATGGTACCAGTTCCTTCTTGTACCTCTGGTAGAATTCAGCTGTGAATCCACCTGGTCCTGGACTCTTTTTGGTTGGTAAGCTATTGATTATTGCCACAATTTCAGATCCTGCTATTGGTCTATTCAGAGATTCAACTTCTTCCTGGTTTAGTCTTGGGAGGGTGTATGTGTCAAGGAATATATCCATTTCTTCTAGATTTTCTAGTTTATTTGCTAGAGGTGTTTGTAGTATTCTCTGATGGTAGTTTGTATTTCTGTGGGATCGGTGGTGATATCCCCTTTATCATTTTTTATTGTGTCTATTCGATCCTTCTCTCTCTTTTTCTTTATTAGTCTTGCTAGTGGTCTATCAATCTTGTTGATCCTTTCAAAAAACCAGCTCCTGGATTCATTAATTTTTTGAAGGGTTTTTTGTGTCTCTATTTCCTTCAGTTCTGCTCTGATTTTAGTTATTTCTTGCCTTCTGCTAGCTTTTGAATGTGTTTGCTCTTGCTTTTCTAGTTCTTTTAATTGTGATGTTAGGGTGTCAATTTTGGATCTTTCCTGCTTTCTCTTGTGGGCATTTAGTGCTATAAATTTCCCTCTACACACTGCTTTGAATGTGTCCCAGAGATTCTGGTATGTTGTGTCTTTGTTCTCGTTGGTTTCAAAGACCATCTTTATTTCTGCCTTCATTTCGTTATGTACCCAGTAGTCATTCAGGAGCAGGTTGTTCAGTTTCCATGTAGTTGAGCGGTTTTGAGTGAGATTCTTAATCCTGAGTTCTAGTTTGATTGCACTGTGGTCTGAGAGACAGTTTGTTTTAATTTCTGTTCTTTTACATTTGCTGAGGAGAGCTTTACTTCCCAGTATGTGGTCAATTTTGGAATAGGTGTGGTGTGGTGCTGAAAAAAATGTATATTCTGTTGATTTGGGGTGGAGAGTTCTGTAGATGTCTATTAGGTCCACTTGGTGCAGAGCTGAGTTCAATTCCTGGGTATCCTTGTTGACTTTCTGTCTCGTTGATCTGTCTAATGTTGACAGTGGGGCATTAAAGTCTCCCATTATTAATGTGTGGGAGTCTAAGTCTCTTTGTAGGTCACTCAGGACTTGCTTTATGAATCTGGGTGCTCCTGTATTGGATGCATATATATTTAGGAGAGTTAGCTCTTCTTGTTGCATTGATCCCTTTACCATTATGTAATGGCCTTCTTTGTCTCTTTTGGTCTTTGTTGGTTTAAAGTCTGTTTTATCAGAGACTAGTATTGCAACCCCTGCCTTTTTTTGTTTTCCATTTGCTTGGTAGATCTTCCTCCATCCTTTTATTTTGAGCCTATGTGTGTGTCTGCACGTGAGATGGGTTTCCTGAATACAGCACACTGATGGGTCTTGACTCTTTATCCAATTTGCCAGTCTGTGTCTTTTAATTGGAGCATTTAGTCCATTTACATTTAAAGTTAATATTGTTATGTGTGAATTTGATCCTGTCATTATGATGTTAGCTGGTTATTTTGCTCGTTAGTTGATGCAGTTTCTTCCTAGTCTTGATGGTCTTTACATTTTGGCATGATTTTGCAGCGGCTGGTACCGGTTGTTCCTTTCCATGTTTAGCGCTTCCTTCAGGAGCTCTTTTAGGGCAGGCCTGGTGGTGACAAAATCTCTCAGCATTTGCTTGTCTGTAAAGTATTTTATTTCTCCTTCGCTTATGAAGCTTAGTTTGGCTGGATATGAAATTCTGGGTTGAAAATTCTTGTCTTTAAGAATGTTGAATATTGGCCCCCACTCTCTTCTGGCTTGTAGGGTTTCTGCCGAGAGATCCGCTGTTAGTCTGATGGGCTTCCCTTTGAGGGTAACCCGACCTTTCTCTCTGGCTGCCCTTAACATTTTTTCCTTCATTTCAACTTTGGTGAATCTGACAATTATGTGTCTTGGAGTTGCTCTTCTCGAGGAGTATCTTTGTGGCGTTCTCTGTATTTCCTGAATCTGAACGTTGGCCTGCCTTGCTAGATTGGGGAAGTTCTCCTGGATAATATCCTGCAGAGTGTTTTCCAACTTGGTTGCATTCTCCCCATCACTTTCAGGTACACCAATCAGACGTAGATTTGGTCTTTTCACATAGTCCCATATTTCTTGGAGGCTTTGCTCATTTCTTTTTATTCTTTTTTCTCTAAACTTCCCTTCTCGCTTCATTTCATTCATTTCATCTTCCATCACTGATACCCTTTCTTCCAGTTGATCACATCGGCTCCTGAGGCTTCTGCATTCTTCACGTAGTTCTCGAGCCTTGGTTTTCAGCTCCATCAGCTCCTTTAAGCACTTCTCTGTATTGGTTATTCTAGTTATACATTCTTCTAAATTTTTTTCAAAGTTTTCAACTTCTTTGCCTTTGGTTTGAATGTCCTCCCGTAGCTCAGAGTAATTTGATCGTCTGAAGCCTTCTTCTCTCAGTTCCTCAAAGTCATTCTCCATCCAGCTTTGTTCCGTTGCTGGTGAGGAACTGCGTTCCTTTGGACGAGGAGAGGTGCTCTGGTTTTTAGAGTTTCCAGTTTTTCTGCTCTGTTTTTTCCCCATCTTTGTGGTTTTATCTACTTTTGGTCTTTGATGATGGTGATGTACAGATGGGTTTTTGGTGTGGATGTCCTTTCTGTTTGTTAGTTTTCCTTCTAACAGACAGGACCCTCAGCTGCAGGTCTGTTGGAATACCCTGCCATGTGAGGTGTCAGTGTGCCCCTGCTGGGGGGTGCCTCCCAGTTAGGCTGCTCGGGGGTCAGGGGTCAGGGACTCACTTGAGTAGGCAGTCTGCCCATTCTCAGATCTCCAGCTGCGTGCTGGGAGAACCACTGCTCTCTTCAAAGCTGTCAGACAGAGACATTTAAGTCTGCAGAGGTTACTGCTCTCTTTTTGTTTGTCTGTGCCCTGCCCCCAGAGGTGGAGCCTACAGAGGCAGGCAGGCCTCCTTGAGCTGTGGTGGGCTCCGCCCAGTTGGAGCTTCCTGGCTGCTTTGTTTACCTAATCAAGCCTGGGCAATGGCAGGCGCCCCTCCCTCAGCCTCCCTGCTGCCTTGCAGTTTGATCTCAGACTGCTGTGCTAGCAATCAGCGAGATTCCGTGAGCGTAGGACCCTCCAAGCCAGGTGCAGGATATAATCTCGTGGTGCGCCGTTTTTTAAGCCCGTCGGAAAAGCGCAGTATTCGGGTGGGAGTGACCCAATTTTCCAGGTGCCGTCCGTCACCCCTTTCTTTGACTCGGAAAGGGAACTCCCTGACCCCTTGCGCTTCCCAAGTGAGGCAATGCCTCGCCCTGCTTTGGCTGGCGCACGGTGCGCGCAACCACTGACCTGCGCCCACTGTCTGGCACTCCCTAGTGAGATGAACCCGTTACCTCAGATGGAAATGCAGAAATCACCGTCTTCTGCGTCACTCAGGCTGGGAGCTGTAGACTGGAGCTGTTCCTATTCGGCCATCTTGGCTCCTCCCCCTCTTAACTTCCCATTCTTATACCCATACCATATTCACATAATTCCTGAAAGAGTAAGTGCCCAATCAATTTGAGTTGAATGAATGAGATTCAAGATTTGTGATATCACTTTGATTATTGTCCATTTTAAGGGAAAACTCTTGTGCCTCATTCCTCATATTTCTGTAGGAACTTCTACTAGAAGAAGAATTTACCTTCTTACAAGAAAGAATTTACCTCCTTTATGACTTTAGAAGAAGGAACTGGACATGTTAGTGTCAGCTACTTCTTCTTTCTCCTTTTAATTGTAATTTCCTGCCGAAGTTTACACAGGCTTATGATCTTGCCTGTTGCTGTTAGGAGCCTGTCCCTTTAGGGCAAGGCCTATCCTCATCTAGCTGTATCAATAATTGGAGGGGTAGAGTAAATCTGCTAATTCACAGGAAATGCTCACCTGCCTCAGTTATAAGGCCAATTTATTAGTAATAAAGATGGTATTTTGGGTTTTTATCTCTCTGGTTCTTGAATATATCTCTCATTTGTTCCTGAAGTCACATGCAACGTGGATATGTTGCTATGGGTTTTCTAAAACTCTAGTGATTTATAGACTACATAAGAGCTAGAAAGGCTTCTCATATGTTTGATGGTATTCAGGAAGTCATTCTCAGGTTCCTTTCTACAATGAAAAATATCCAGTTCAGTCTCTCCTTAGCAACTCTTGAGGAAACTAGCATAGCCAGAAAAATAATTTGATGCAATAAACCAGATGAAGAAATAAGTCTTTGATTACATTAGCATAAAATACAATCTCTCGAAGTCTTTAAAACACAGATTGGTGAGCCTTCTCTCCAAAGTTTCTGATTCAGCAGGTGTGAGGTGGAGCTGAGAATTTGTATTTCTAATAACTTCTCAGGTGATGCCATGCTTCTGGTTCAGAAACCACATTTTGAGGGCCATTGCCCTAGACCAGTGATTCTTAGACCTTCTTGGTGGCAACTTAAAATTAGCTGAGGAACTTCTTTAAAAATATCAATGCTTGAGCTCTCCTCCAACATATGTGGTTTTCCTTTGGAAGGGGTTCAACTATTAGTAGTCGCTTTTTATTTTTTTTCTCCTTTTTTAAATTTTTTATTTCAATCGGTTTTGGGGAGTAGGTGGTGTTTGGTTAGATGAAAAGTTCTTTAGTGGTGCTTTCTGAAATTTTGGTGCACCCATCACCCGAGCACTGTACACTGTACCCAATGTATAGTCTTATTCCTCACCCACCTCCTATCCTTTCCCCTGAGTCCCCAAAGTCCATTGTATCATTCTTATGCCTCTGGGTTCTCATAGCTTAGTTTCCACTTATGAGAGAGAAGATATGATGTTTGGTTTTCCATACTTGAGTTATTTCACTTAGAATAATGGTCTCTGATTACATCCAGGTTGCTGCAAATGACATTATTTCATTCCTTTTTATGGCTGAGTAGTATTCCATGGGGTGTGTGTGTGTGTATATATATATATATATATATGGTTTCAGGTATTAAATTTATGTCTTTTTTCCATCTTGAGTTGATTTTTGTATAGGTTGAGAGGTGAGGATCCAGCTTCATTCTCCTACATGTTGCTTGCCAATTATCTCAGCACCATTTGTTGAATAGGGTGTCCTTTCCCCACTTTATGTTTTTGTTTGCTTTGTCAAAGATCAGTTGACTGTAAGTATTTGGCTTTATTCCTTGGTTCCCTATTCTGTTCCATTGGTCTATGTGCCTATTTTTATACCAGTACCATGCTGTTTTGGTGACTATGGCCTTATAGTATAGTTTTTAGTTTTAGGTAACGTGATGCCTCCAAATTGTTCTTTTTGCATAGTCTTGCTTTCATTATGCAGGCTCTTGTTTGATTCCATATGAATTTTAGGATTGTTTTTTTCTAGTTCTGTGAAGAATGATGGTGGTATTTTAATGGGTATTGCATGGAATTTGTAGATTGCTTTTACAGTATGGTCATTTTTACAATATTGATTCTACCCATCCATGAACATGGAATGTGTTTCTATTTGTCTGTGTCATCTATGATTTCTTTCAGCAGTGTTTCACAGTTTTCCTTGTAGAGGTCTTTCATCTCCTTGGCTAGGTATATTTCTAAGCATTTTATTTTTTATCTTTGCAGCTCTTGTAAAAAGGGTTGTGTTCTTATCAACTTAATCGCTGTTGGTGTATAGCAGTGCTACTGATTTGTGTAGATGGATTTTGTATCCTGAAACGTTGCTGAATTCATTTATCAGTTCTAGGAACTTTTTGGAGGAGTTTGGAGGAGTCTTGAGGGTCTTCTAGGTATATGGTCATATCATCAGCAAACAGTGACAGTTTGACTTCCTCCTTACCGATTTGGATGCCCTTTATTTCTTTCTCTTGTCTGATCGCTCTGAGTAGGACTTCTGGTACTATGTTGAATAGAAGTGGTGAAAGTATGTATCCTTGTCTTGTTCCAGTTCTCAGTGGGAATGCTTCTAACTTTTCCCCATTCAGCATAATGTTGGCTGTGGATTTGTCATAGATGGGTTTTATTACGTTAAGCTATGTCCCTTCTATGTCAATTTTGCTGAGGATTTTAATCATAAAGCGATGCTGGATTTTGTCAAATGCTTTTTCTGCATCTTTTGAGGTGATCATGTAATTTTCATTTTTAATCCTCTTTATGTGATGTATCACATTTATTGACTTGTGGATGTCAAACCATACCTACATCCCTGGTATGAAACCCACTTGATCATGGTGAATTATCTTTTTGATATGCTGTTGGATTCAGTTAGCTAGTATTTTGTTGGGGATTTTTGCATCTATGTTAATCAGAGATACTGGTCTGTAGTTTTTTTCGTTATGTCCTTTCCTGGTTTTGGCATTAGGGTGATAGTGGTTAAAAGCTCCCTCTGGTGAGTGAAATGTGCAACAAGAGTTGTGAATTACAACCACATACTAAGTTTAGTAAATCAGTTATTGTGTAGTAATTAAATGCAATGCAGGGTTGCTTTTGTTTGTGCCTCAAAGTGTTCTTGCCATGGTGGAGCATTCCATCATTCTACCTTGCTTATTCCATTCTCATTTGCCCACATCAAGTAAGTTGATTTGTTTTACTATTATATCTCCTCTTTTTTTTTTTTTTTTTTTTTAGGTTACAGTTGGGAATATTACACTGAGTGGGATGCATGGTAATAAATGATTGGCAAGCCGATCTTATCAGTAATTAAATATGTGTAATTCAATAAGGATCATGGAATTTGTCTTTGTGCTGCATGAAAAAGATGCAAAATAAAGCACCATGTTTTGCGAGAGAGAAAATCTTAAATAAAAGATGACATTTTATAACCAATTACAAAGCATATCTTTGTATTTATAATTCATCAAAGTACTATTGGAGCATAGAGCCATAAAGGAATAAAAAATAAAACTCTTCAGAATAAAGCCTAGGTATTAGCCCAGGTACAAATAAAAACATTAATTAATAGGTATTTTTTTGCCAAAGCAACAGGAAGCAATGCTTTTAAGACTCAAAATGTGCAAGCTTGTGTGTTCATGCTATTTTAAACAAAGATCTGAATTAATAGTATGTTCCACCCAATCTTGAAGAGGCTTAACTTATTTAATAAACAAATTTATTTTTAAATTTATAAAACAAGCTTTCTTACTTTTTTATAATGATAGAAAAATAGCAATTATTTTAAATGACTATTTAAGTAAGAACTGTAAGAGAACAATAGCATATTCCTAAAGCTTATTCATAGTTTTGTATTCTGCCAGAGTGCAAATTTTCTGGATGAATAGAAAAAATCGTGCAAGCTATTATAGTTTCCTCTATTTGAAATCCTTGTGCTCAAGAACTTAAGGACTTCTGTTCAAATCATAACTTACAGAAATGGATTCTGTAATGCACTATGCCTTCTTTTCTCAGCAAGCCATTGTGCAATGCTTGGTTTGACTTTATAACATTCCTGATTGACACAGGACACAAATAGTCAACTGAGGCAAACTTCTTTAAGGTGAAACCCAAGTGGAATGCAAGCCTTTGTCTTCTGTGGGCAGGATTCTGCAGAAATAAGTTCTCTGCTCTTGGAACTTCTTTCCTTACTTTTTTGAGGTCCTGTCACTTATGTGTTACAATTTGCATGCAACTTTCAAATTTAACAGATATCCTTTCCATTTTCTTAGATCACTCGTGATGAATAAAATTAAAATTGTATTCTTACCCTTGCTGACCAAGGCCACATTTTATTCAGAGAGCCTCAAATGGTCTGGGCTTCTTTGCCCTGGTAGTTCTCAACTAAAGTTCCTTCAAATTTAGTTTAAAGTTCATTTCCTCAACCAGCTTCAAAGGACTACTTCATTCAAATATCTGCTTTTGTGGAGATGATTCCCTTGCACAGCCTTGACCCTAATTAAATGGAGCCATATTCTTTACCTTCTTCCAGGAAAATGTTCTCTCATAGGAATAAACCAGGAAAATGTAAACTAATGAAAATATTCCAAGCTAAACAAAGGTACTAATAAAGGGCAGCCAGCCATAACACATGTACAAACTACCATAGGCTAGGATCTTCAGAAAATTACTTCAGTGGTAAGAGGTTAAGAGATAAGTGTAGTCATCTGAGTAACTAATGCTAATTGTCTGCTACTGGATGTGATCTCTGTTATCTATGAACCCTCATAATACTTGCCTTGAACCACCTCTTTGTAATTATATGATTTTGAATTAACTATGTAATCTCTCTAAAGCTTAGTTTTTTACCTGTAAAATGGGGCTAAAATAATCACAAAGGACTGGTCTGCTGATTAAGTAAGACAATCAGCATCAAACTTTCAGTGTTTACTGAAACTAATGGCATGGTTTCAAAGGAATTATTCATTTTATTCAAACTATTGGAGAAGTCACGTATCTAAAAGATGACACAGAAACTTTAATTGTCAAACCTAAGTGTGTTGATCTGATCTTGAAGGAAACATCCTAGAAATTTTGCAGACTGAGCTCTTTCTTCAAAGTAATCTACCCACAGCACAAATGATTTTACTACTTAAAATGTGACATATTCATAGTTTTATTTGTTTGCAAATGAGAAGTTATTATGGTACTACTAGTTATTTAAGTTTGTGCGTCTTACTTGGGAGCAGCAGGCATTTCCGTGTGCGCACTTATGCATTTGTTGTCTTTTTGGTTTTGGGAAATATACAAGGAGGACTTTGGGGTGATAGTTTAGTTCTCAAGATGATAACCATATTGAGAATCAAACTATCACCCCGAAGTCCTCCTTGTACCCAAATGAGTGACAGGCTTTACTTCTCAAGATGATAACCCTATTGAGAACCAAACTGTCACCCCAAAGTCCTCCTTGTACCCAAATGAGTAACAGGCTTTACTTAGTAAGACAGGATGGTTGTGGTGGAGGACAGAGGAAGTGTTACATCTTGAGGGGAAAAAATCAAAATTGGGCCAAAGTAATGTCACTATCTCTCTCCCAGGCCTCAGAGAAGAATAGATGGGCTACCAGGTAGCATAAGCTAGGATTTTATGATGTGGAGTTTGGGAATGTCTGGTTTTAAGTTAGGATTTTACAATGTGGAGTTTGTGAATGTCTGGCTTCAATACTCTATAAAGGTATGTATACAAGGAATACTCTTTTATAAAAACTGGTAACACAAAGTAGTTGCCACTAAAAGTTGGACTCACTGACAGTGTTATACCTTTGTCCTCATTTTTTTCTTGCTGAAAGTAGTAATAGCTAACACTTACAACAAATAGATTTTTAAATTTGTTCCTTGCATCCACCCTGACAGGTACTTCTATCAGACTTATTTTATAGAGACAGAAAGTGAATATAAGAGGCAAAATATTCTGCTCAAGATTACACAGCTAGTGGCTTACATGAGATTTACACCTACATATGTGCAACTCCAGAGTTCTAAGAACACCAGATACTAACTCAGTTCTTCCCATCTTGTGTGCTCAGCCACTACCTTAGTTTGACCAAAATGGTATCCAAATGAATAATTTAAAGGTAAATGTATTCAAAGCTCTAAATTTCCCTCTAACTACAGCTTAGCTGTGTCCCACAAATTTACCATACAGAAGTTTACTTACTGTTCAGCTTTAAATAATTCTTAATTTCCCTTTAAATGCAATGATTATTCAGTGAGCTATTATTCAGTTTCTATGTATTGGATTTTTGTTATTAATATCTAATTTTACTGAAATATAAACAAAAACAATATACATGATTTTTATATTTTAGAATGTATTGAGTTTTTAATGACCTGATATTGTCTAAAATTTTAATATGAAATTACTGAGGACATACTTCTCATTTTCCTTTGTATTAGCTTTTTCTTTTCCCTGAGACCACAGTAAGCTGACCAAGTCTTTGATTATTTTACTTTCCATAGTCTTTTGTAGCAACTCAAATTGCAAAACTTGTTTCTTTCTCCAAAAGCATATTCAGTGTGGGTCTTTGTACACTAAAACTTCTGAGGCTGTCATTTCTAACTCTATTGTCTAATCTTTTACACTTCATACATTTCTCTTACATTTTCTTTTTCTTTGCTGCTGCTTTCTGGGAAATTCTTCTGTCTGATAGTTTTATATTCTTCAGTTAGTATAAATCTTTTGATTTGTTCCACTTGTTTCCTAGGATAGAGGGTCCCAGGATGACAGAGCCCTTGTTCATTGTACCTATTTTCAACCACCTCTCCAGGCATAGTATCCTCAAATTTTCTTGTTTTTTTCTTTTCAAAACAGCAGCCCAGGGAGAAGGCAGTCCCTTGAGATTTGTAATTCATCAGGCCTAAGGTTAAAAGAAGACAGTGGAAGAATCAATGCCAGAAGGTGGCCACTCGGTCCGTATCTATTTTCTTCTACTTCTCCCATGAGCAGGGCATTTCTATTTCTCTAGGATATCATGTAAAGGTCCTTGTAGTCTGACTGTTTCTGTCAATATTTGAGGTGAAGGGGACGGCATTGTTTGTCCAAAGACAACGATGGCATGGAGGACGGATGCTAGAGCATAAATTAAAACTCTTTTCTTCTACTCTTGCCTGTGGTTACCTTTCATCTCGCGCCTTAGCCTTTGCATCTCACAAACATATCAGATCAAGGCAGCTTTGATTCTTTCCATGCATGTTATAATTTTTATTTTATTATTTTATCTTGCTAGTAAACTCCAAGATTCTTTTTTACTGCTATAGTTAAGAGTTGACGTTGCAGGATGAAGTTAGAAGCTGGGCTATTTTGCCAACTTAAGAATCCTTAAACTTCTATATTAGTAACTGCCTTAATTTCCCAATCTCTTTGGACAAACTGGATCCTTCCTGCTCATCAGGCTATGTGTACCCACATGCACAATTGTATACACAGATCACGGAACCAGAGTCCCACCTTCAAATCCCAGACATGAGCTTCGATTTCCATTGTTAGCTAATGGCTTTGTGCATCTACCTGCTTGGATATTTGAATGTAACTGGTGTATTAGTTGTAATCCAGTCAGGAAATTTTTTCTTTTAATATAAGGAATTGGTTACAGAAGTATTGGAGGGCTTTAAAACTAAAAAATATGGTCAAAGTAACAGAGAGATAGCAACTCTATCTAAGGAATAGCTACCACAGCTTAAACTGGGGGAACAAAAGAATAAGATTGGGGTTACCAGAACATAGAATATTGGAGAAGGAGCACTCTGGAGCACATCCTATGGCTTCTGAAAAGGGAGTATCCCAACTGGGCTGATACTCTTGAGGGGTAAAATGAGGTTGCTACTGAGGATATAGAAAAGAAATTGGAAACTGGACCAGATGTTGCAGCCATGGTGATGTATGTTAGGGAAAATAAACAGGAAAGAGCAACTTCCTTTTCTCTCCTCCACTTAACGGTGTTCCTCTGACCTCCCTACTGGCAGAGCTTAACAGGGAGCCAGCTGGATAGAGAAGTGTGCTTTGCACAGTGTCAGTTCCAGGATCACAAAGCAGAGCAAAGAAGAGTGGATATGGAATTGAACAGTAGGTTCATTACTAACTGCACCTCGATTTTCTATCAGCTTGGCTGGGCAACATTTATCCTTTACCTATCTGGACCTGTTCTGGTCACTGGCCTACTTGCCTAGGTATAATGAGCCCTAGCCATATTCCAGGTTAAACACTCAGCAGAAAAGAAATTGACTCTGGGGACTCTATTGAAAAGAGCTGTTAAGCTGTAACTGCCAGAGGCTTCCAAGAGTAGTAGCTGCCATCAGTTAGGTTCTCCACTTAACAATAGCAGCTGCCAGTAGACCATGACTTTAAGACTATCTGATTAAAGCTAGCATCAGCAGATATTTTTGCCAGAATAAAGGATCTTTATTTCTACCTATCTCTGAGAGAAAATGGGAACAGAGCTTACTGTTAATTTCATATTTGGGTGGACTATTTTAAAAATCATACCTAGGCTATTAGACTTGATGCTCATGAATGCCAGAGCCATATCAAACACTTTTACTCCTGAGTTTTTTCTGTTACAATACAGTATCAATTCAGTTTCACTTTGCTATAGATATAGAAGATACACACCTTTGTTTATACAGTTATATATGAACCTCTAATTTCTAGGAATTTGGCTCAAATTAGAATATCAATTCAGTTTCACTTTACTATAGAAATAGAGTGTGCCAGGAGATAGAAGGATGAGAAGGGCTCATTTTCTCTTTGTAAACGGTTTGTAATCTGAAAGAAAATAGAAGACATGTACATACATTAACTATAATCCAAGGTAGAAAGAGACATGCTCTCCTGAAGCAAGGTAAGTAGTAGAAGGAGAAATTACTAATACTAGGAAAAAATAGAATCTTTCAAAGCCGCTCAAAATGGCTGCTTTAAATAGGCAAGCAATGACATCATATCATTTGATACAGGAACTTTCTATAATTTAACTAAAAATATAATAAGTTATAATTGTGAAAAATTCTTCTCTTTCATCAAGTGTCAGTTACCTAAAACTTCTATTCAAAATTATTTTTTAAAATGCTGTTTTCTAATACAAACAAGCAAAGACAAAAAGATGAACAGAACAACTACACAGCCAGGTGATGAGCTCTCAGTTTTTCAAAAATGGGAGGGAGCCTGCACCAACAAGAACTGTTATGAAAGTGCATCTGGGCCGGGCGCGGTGGCTCACGCCTGTAATCTCAGCACTTTGGGAGGCCGAGGCGGGTGGATCATGAGGTCAGGAGATCGAGACCATCCTGGCTAACAAGGTGAAACCCCGTCTCTACTAAAAATACAAAAAATTAGCCGGGCGCCTGTAGTCCCAGCTACTCGGGAGGCTGAGGCAGGAGAATGGCGTGAACCCGGGAAGCGGAGCTTGCAGTGAGCCAAGATTGCGCCACTGCAGTCCGCAGTCCAGCCTGGGCGACAGAGCGAGACTCCGTCTCAAAAAAAAAAAAAAAAAAAAAAAAGAAAGTGCATCTGTGTTTATCTTGTGTTAAAAACAGCTATCAATTGAAAACACAACTTACAGCTCAAATGTGGAAGAACACAAATCAACTCCAAATAGTTTAACACAAATAATTCTAAGTAACATTGCCATTGAGGTAACACCAATATGGATCTTGAAGACATGAGACGAAATTTTTTATCTTAATCATTAGGCTATTTTGTTAATAGTATCTAATATTACAACCTGCAGTGATGAGACTGAAGATATAATATTATTATAGGAAGATGATGATTTCATAATTGACAATAGTAAATGAAAATCAGGAGTAAGTCCCAGAGCAGTGTCTTTTGAGTTATTTTATTTTTTATTTATTTATTTTTTGCTTATTCAGTGAACTGATATTTGTTATTCCCAGAGTGCCAATAATATTGCAAAAATTCTGAAATGTTTCCACATTTTCTCTGCTGCCTTTAGGCAGGAATATACCAAAACCATTCAAGAAAAATGCCTACATACTCTGGACATTTGCTAAAACAATTTAGAATCATAAAGTTCTTCTTTTAGCTAGACAATATACCTCAGAAATTGAAGCTTATTTTCTTTCTGGTAAATATAGACATTGATAATTCACCCATGTCTTTATTACTCATCCATACCAGAAAGTAATTTTAAGTCTGCTTTGATTTATGTCAGGGCTACTACTCCTCTGCACTACTAACATTTTGGAATGGGCACTTCTTTGTTCTGCAAGAAGGCTGTTCTGTGTTTTGTAAGATGTCTAACAGCATTCTTGGTCTCTGTCTATTAAACGTGTGTTGCATCCACCCCTCCAGTTGTGACAACCAAATATGCCTGAGACATTTAAAAAATGTCCATTGAGGGCCATGGAATCCCATGGTTGAGAACCACTGCTTTATCTTCTCCAAGCTTGTCTCTAACTCAAAACATTGGTTAGATTGGTGTCTTATACTAATTAAATCTATTTAAGGCGGCCGGGCGCGGTGGCTCATGCCTGTAATCCCAGCACTTTGGGAGGCCGAGGCAGGCGGATCACGAGGTCAGGAGATCGAGACCAAGGTGAAACCCCGTCTCTACTAAAAATACAAAAATTAGCTGGGCGTGGTGGTGGGCGCCTGTAGTCCCAGCTACTCAGGAGGCTGAGGCAGGAGAACGGCGTGAACCCGGGAGGCGGAGCTTGCGGTGAGCCGAAATCACGCCACTGCACTCCAGCCTGGGCGACAGAGCAAGGCTCCATCTCAAAAAAAAAAAAAAAAAAAGATTTTTCTGTGGCTAGAACTGGTACTTGATTAGCAGAGAAAAAAGAGCTCTATAAGTGATATAGGTAGGGCTTGTGGGGACCCTAAGAGTCTTGAGTATTAGAAGGGGCCTTGAACACTATAGGGTTTTTGGTAGGGAATTACATATAAGGTACAAAGTAATGTCCATTATAGATCTTAAAGAAGAGAAATGAAGAGATGAGATTACGATCAGAAGACTAAACATTAAGTATGTGTGCACTGATTGGGAAGATGGCCGGGCAAGCCTGCAGAATCTTCTGTAGTGTTAGGAATCTCACTAAACATGGAGTCAATGACACGGGACACCTCCTTGTGCTTGCTCTTCACAAAACACTGTTCTGGAAAGAGTTTCTCACACAATTGCTTTGAGTATACGTTCTGAGTACAAGGTAAGCAAAAGGTAAATATGAAGTAAGTTCTGTGTTATTATATTCATCTTGTAGCACACTGACAACCTCAGAAACTTTCTCAGCCTTTCCTGTGACTAGATCATCACGATTTTTTATTGTATATTGAGAAAATATTTTTCTTTTCCCTCTTATTTAAAACATATTTTTATGCAATCATGCCTTTGTGATTATTTTAATCAGTTTCATTGCCTCTCTGCATGAAGAAAGCTTTATGATAATAAATGATAGTTATTATTTCACCTACAATTAGAGGTTTTATTTTAAAAAAGGAAATGAGAAACATCACCTAATTGAATGAGAAAATATGGGTTTCAAAGATATTGAAGGTACAAGTCAGCATTTGAAAACAACTATGCCTGGAGGGTGAATTGCAGTTTAAATGTCATGTCTAAGAGTTATGTCAAAAAAAGAAAAAAATAAAAAAACCTTACCAAACACAAAGGATTAAAACATTTATTGGATTTTCAAGTGTTTTTTTAAATATTCAAAAGAGGTAGTGAAATCTCTTTTCTGACTTCAGCCATTTTCCCCCACTTATTCTCACTACACAGCATACTATACATCTGATGCATCGGATGTATGTTATCAACACTTGAATGACTTAAATTCCCAAGAAGGAAAATGCAATCCATCTTATATGTCTTTAGATATTACTTTTGTTGTCCAATGAATGTACCAAATTATATATTCTACATAGAAAATGGCAATTGAAAAATTTGTAGGCATATACCATTGGCCTGGAGAAATTGTGCTCGCATCATGATATACCACTGCATTTCTTTGATAGCATCATACTATTTTTGAGACTTTTTCATCATACTAATTACAGTGGTCATGCTATTTACATTTATGTTTGTCAGTTTCTGTTGATAGATTACAAATAGCAAATTCCATTTTTGTAGCCCTTTGACTTTCCCCGTGTTGAATATAATCATCTTGTAAAAACTCAGAAACTATCTCATGCTTTCCTGTGACTAGATCATTCACTTTTTTTTTCTTGTACAAGAAAATATTTGTGTTTGTATATCTCTTGTTTATGGAGAAAGTACTAGGCAGACACTGCTAAGTACTCTTATTCTGAGTCTAGAAACAGCCTCAGAATCCATCTAAAAATGGCATTTCAGGCAGCCATTAATAATTTTTCAGAGTGGGAATGAGCCTCTGTGATGGTTAAGTTGTATGTATCCACTTAGCTTGGCTATACTACCCAATCATTCAAACAACTACTAATGTAGATGTTGCTGTGAAGGTATTTTGTGAATATGATTAACATTTATAACTCAATCAGTTGAGTTTTTGTAATGGAGATTATTTTGGATAATCTGGATGGACATGAGCCAATCAGCTGAGAGACATTATGAACGGAATCAAGGTTTCCTTGAAGTAATTCCACTTTTGGAATCCAGCTCCTTCAAAGTTTCTGCTCTACCCTTCCTGATGACTCACCCTATGGACTTCAGATTTGTCTGGCCAGTTCTAAGCAAATTTCTTGAAATTATCTGTCTATCTGTCTATCTATCTATCTATCTATCTATCTATCTATCTATCTATCTATCTAATCTACCTACCTACTTATCTATCTTCTACAACAGTATCTGTTTTACTGGCATATACATTTTCATCATCACGAACAAATGTCACTTTTGAGCAAATATCAGAGAACACTATGAATTCATTGTGATGTATCTGCTAAAGAACAACAAAATAGTAACTGATAAACATTAAGAATTATAATGTCACAAAAATATATTGTCTGCACTGTACCTAAGTCTTGTTTTCAAATCCAGGGACCTTCTTTTAAAAGAATTATGGTGAAATGGATCATGTGCAGAGAAGGGCAACTGGCCGATGATGAGAAATAAACCATACCATGTAAGGAACTACTGGAACTATTTGGGTTGTTAACCTGAACATGAGGCTGAGAAAGTAGAAGGGCTACTTTCTAGTTGACTGGGCAACTAGTTTGACAGAAATATATTTTATAGGAGTGACTCCTACTTACAAATGAATTAATGATTAGTGGTTTGGACAGGTGAATTCTAGTTGTGTAGCTGTCAGTAGTTTGGACAGGTGAATTCTAGTTCCTATATACTCAAGCTGCCCATCCCTTTTCAGAGAAAGTTCCCCATTTTATAGTCCTCTGCTTGGGTGTCAAGCTCTTCCTGCCTGAGGCTTAGGACCTGCTAGTACTTGCCATAGAATGTGTCTGGAGTTCTACAGCCAGGAGAATGGCAGTCCACATTACTGCAGATAATCAGAGGACATTGTCATTCACAAATGGTTATATGATATTAACCTAGCTAATTATGAGTAATAATAAAAACAATAACAAATATATTTATCAAGTATTTACTATCAGACACTGATCTAACATTTTACCTATGCTAACTCATTTGATTTTGCCACAATTCTGGAAAGTTAAGTCCTATTTTTATTGCCATTTTATAGAACAGGAGAATAAGACAAAGTAAGTAAATCTTCAAAGTCATGGTTAATAAGCCTGTAAATTGCATTACTATTATGGGTTAACTTATATCCTCCCAAAATTCATATGCTGAAGTCCTAACCCTTAGTATCTCAGAATGTGACTTTATCTGGAAATAGGGTCTTGGCAAATGATCATGTTAAAATGATGTCATTGTGCTGGGGCCTAGTACAAATATAACTGATATCCTCATAAAAAGGAAAAATATGGACATAGAATGGACATACACACAAAGAGAACACCGTGTGAACATCAAGGCAAAAACTGAGGTGATGAATCTATAAACCAAGGAATGACAAAGATTGCCAGCAAGCCACCAGAAGCTGGAGACAAACCTGGGAGAGATTCACCCTCACACCTTCAGAAGGAACTCACTCCGCTGACACCGTGACCTCAGACTTCTCATCTCAAAAACTGTGAGACAATTAATTTCTGTTGTTTAAGGACCCAGTTTGTTGAACTTAATTATGGCAGCCCTAGCAGACAAATATAGTTCTTCTACTCTGGTTGTATGTCAGTCAGTCCCCACTATAAACAATGATTCAGATACTCCGGCATGTCTTTCTTAAATAATCAATGAAGTAAATAAAATAACCTGCGTATGTAGCTTTATTTTGCAGCCCTTGTACGTCATTCTTTTCTTCTTTGGATCTAAATGGGACATTAGTGCTTGCTAGCTCTCCTGACCTACAGGAGAGACTTGATTCGAGTCGGATACCGAAAGCATAATTAGGACCAATGGGAAGGAGTTACACAGAAGCAAATTTTGGCACAATAAAAAGGAAAATCTTCCCACCAACTAAGACTGCCCAAAACTATAATGAGAGTTCTTGTGAAGCTGTGGGGTTCTCATCATAATAGATATTTGTCATCTCAGGAGGGATGTAGGCCTCTGTAGGTGATTGATTGATCCCTCTAATCTTTATGAAGCAATTCCTGTACTGTCTTGCTGTCTAGGAAAAAGAAGGTCAAAGGTGAAAATTAGTTTCTGATAAGAAAGAGGCTGTCTAGAATAGATCTACTTTTAAGGAAGTTATGAAGAGGCCCCAGAGACTGCGAGAAATGCATCTGAGAAGATTACTATTATAAGCTGAAACACAGTTCAAGAAAACGATTATAGCAACAAGCACTGAGAAAGACATTTAAGGAAGGGCTTAACAATTACCTGATGCTCAGAAAGAAAGGGCTGGCAAGAAAGATATAATGATGAGTGTTGTCATTTACTGGTGGTGACAGGGATACACAGTAAAGAATATCACAGTTGCGGAGATCTAATCAAAACTGAGGTACCCATCATTTTTTAGGTCATTAAAAAAAGGTGCTCAGCTACCCAGGACTATAGATACTCCATCCCTCAAAACATACAGAGACCAAGAGCTGTTTCTGCAGTTACATGTCTAAGGAGCATAGGCATGGCATAACTATCATTTAAGATCAGTTTTTTCTTCCAGAAAAAGAAAACATAGGCTAATGCAGCTGTGTGGTTTCAGTGGCTAAAAGTAAGATATGAAATCATCTGCTCTGGTTATTTTTAAATCAGAGCAGTGGTAGGGTGCTATCTGAAGAGCTTGTCTATGTGTATGGGTGGAAAGGAAATGAAAATTGAAAATGTGGCACCCAGAGTAAAACAGATTTTGTTTAGTTTTTGGTATGGAACCCATCTGAAACACCAGTTATTTTCCTGTGCCTACTTAGTAATTCTGGCCACAGTCCAGACATTAGACATGAAAGTTTTATGATGTTTTATAAAAGTACTTCATTCCCAAGTCTTATGCCATCTTAGTAGCCAAGAAAGGACTCCCAGGTCTCCTGAGTTCTAATTCAGCTCACTTCTATTTTGAATATAAGCAGTGAATTATCAAGAAATTATGAACATGTAAAATTTCATACCCAAATTGAGGGAGACAAAAGTTTGGAAAAGTGTTTGGAGAGGTTATTTTCTGCCCTTGTTGTTCTTTAATTTAAACTAAAAAAAAGTTTAAATTCACATTTTTTACAATAATTGATCAACTTTTTTTTTTCTATAACAGACTGTTAGTACTAGAGTTGTCTACCTTGTGTCTTAGCTGAAAAAATGAAATAATTTTCCTTTTCTCACAACAGCAAGAGAATAAATAATATTAAAAATAATAAAACTGAGAATTCATTCATTTAATTTAGAGATTCTAAGGTTTATTCAAATAAAACTAAAACAACCCAAGATCCTTGAAGCCTACCTAATTCTTAACTGCATAATTTCCTCTGGTCTTTTGTAAAAACATTTTTGAGGAATCTTATTTAAAAACAGTTAAATAATGTGCCTCACCCTTTCATTCAAATAGGACTGTTTTTCTTTCCTTAATTTTTACCTGTACTATAAAGCTCAATTGGAGGCATTGAACTTTGGTTGTTTTAATATTATTATCAATAAACAGCCACACACATGCAAGTCACATGTGTTTATTTCATGATCCCTCACTTATAAGTAGAAGCACAGTAAGACATAATTTTTCTATGCCACTACTATTTCTAAAATTTTTTCAAAAGTAAAGACACTCAAAATAGAACATTCTGTAGATTTTGGCTTGAAATTGCTATTTTGAGAATTTTATCAAGCAGAAAAATGAAATTTTCTTATAAAATGTACTTTTTCCTTTTTCACTCTGGATTCAGCTAAACCACTGGAAGCAAATTGAGTTCTTAGAGTGTTTTGACGATAAGAATAGAAATTCTTCAGAGTACCTAGGACTCAATCTTTGAGTCTCTGATTAAGATTCCTTGGAAGTCAATGAGCAGTTACGCTTTTCCTTCTCTTTGTACCACATATTTTGAAGAAACAAGACTAGTGAGGGGATGGCAATAGCATTCTTCCAAGACATCAGTTTGTGTTTTCCTCATAGTTTCAAAAAATTGATTTTTACCTTCTGTAGATAAGTTTTTTCTTTCATATTTGTCTCCTTTTAGCTTTTTAGATTCGTCTTTCTTTTCTTCTCTGAAATAAACAAGCATTTTATAAACTTAGTAGTTTGGAGAAAGTGGTAGTTGTTAATGTTATTTGACTCCCGTGATATGCTGACACATTTTCCCTCAATAAAATTAAATACAAATCCAATAGATTTGAATTTGAATGCAATTATTGAATTAAATTATAAGTTCTTAGAGGGCAGAGGTGAATGTTTTATTCTTTTCATCTCATGACAATGTGCTCAGACATCAAAGGAAATTCATAATTAATCAGAATTTCTTTATCATTTAGTTTAAGCTTTCTTTAGCAACAACCCTAGAATAATCTATAAATAATTATAAAATATCTCAATTATAAGTATTTATGTGTGTTTGATCTCGAATTAACTTTATAATAAAATCAACAACTTTTCTTTGGATTAAACAGATATTTAAATATATATTGACTTATTGGTTAATTTCCCACAAAGTTAATTTCATATAATGACAGCTACCATTTATTGAGTGCCTAATTTGTACAGTTGCTGTGATAAGCACTTTAAAATAATTATCCTAATTTTGCTGATGAGGAAATAGATTTTCTATTAGAGGCTTAACTGGATTTTCTAGAGTCACACATAATTTGTTTGAGTATTAAGAATTTGAATTCTTGTCAGAAAATCCAGATTCTGTGTTCTTTAAAATTGTGTTAAACAATTAGAAGGATTCTTGTGATTTGATTGAGAAATAAAAGGACAAACACATTTATAACAGCCATCTTTCTTCAGAGAGAATAGTCATTCTAATTTTTATTTGGTTTATTTCAATGTATATTTATTATTTTCTCTTGAAAACCCTTGAGTTGAGAACTCTGAGTAATGTGAGATTAGAATGACATGGCCTAACTTCTAAAGCAACTCTGAAGACAGTGGGTTCATATTATATTTGTAGTAATATTACTTATGATGACCAGCATGTAAAGTGGTAATTTGGTTTGTTGTACGCAAAGCAATATTTCTCAATCTTGCTTGTTCCCCAATACTTCTGAGAATAGGGTGCATTTCAAAACATCAAGTCGTAACAGTGGAATTCTCTTCTCTTCTTTCTCTTTCTTTCTTTCTTTCTTTCTTTCTTTCTTTCTTTCTTTCTTTCTTTCATAGAGTCTTGCTCTATCATTGAGGCTGAAGAATGGTGACACAATCATGGCTCACTGCAACCTCAATCCCTTCAGAATATCTGGGACTACAGGCCTGTGTCACTGTACCTGGCTACTTTTTTTTTTTTTTTTGATTTTTAGTTGAGATGAGGTCTCACTGTGTTGCCCAAGCTGGTCTCTAACTCCTGAGCTCAAGAGATCTTCTCACCTTGGCCTCTCAAAATTCTGGTATTACAGGCATGAGCCACTGTGCCTGGCCTGACAGTGGTATTTTGTGATCTGGGAGGTGTTATATGTACTTCTTCTCTCTACCCACCATATGCCAGGTACATTTCTGAGCAAAAAATAATCAAGAGAGGGAAGATCCTTGTTTACTTGTTGCTTATAGCCAAATGGACATCAGAATATTTAAGGGAGATTTTCTGTGTAGTTAGGAAGTGCTGCCGACTGATCTAGATAGTCCATAGTCTGTTGAAAATCACTACTTTTAATACGTGTTTCTTGTTAATGAATAGAGTCACAATAAGCAATATTTACAGGTTTTAGAAGAAACATATTTGTTCCTATATATTACAAGTAATGGAATTTTAAAGAGGGGAAGACCCATGAAACTGGAAATACTGCTGCACTGCTCATCATGAGAATAAGTATAAAAAGAGAGGGGCAAAGCTAATTCTTAGGACAGCAGAAAGAAAGAAAGAGAGTTTTTAGATGAATTTAGGGTAAAGGAAGTCAGCACCAGTCTTTCTGGTACGATCCTTTTTGTATTTGCTAGAAAAGTAAACTTCAGGAACAATGAGAACACATGGACCCAAGGACGGGAACATCACACATCAGGGCCTGTTGGAGGGTAGGGGTCTAGGAGAGGAATAGCATTAGGAGAAATACGTAATGTAGATGATGGCTTGATGGGTGCAGCAAACCACCATGGCACATGTATACCTACGTAACAAAACTGCACGTTCTGCACATGTATCCCAGAGCTTAAAGTATAATAATAATTAAAAAAAAGAGCAGAAACAAAAGTAAACTTCAGACAATCTACGTTGCCAGGTCTTTATTATTCTTAGTACTATTTCTGGCCTCCATGATTATTTGTAGTCTTTGAACACCCTTTTCTAGGCAGATCAAACTTCATTTTCATAAATCTTTTTTCTGTCATGGTCCAGGAAAGTGAAAATAAATTTATTAGGCATTATAATTTCTTTATGTATACTAAGTGAATCCTAGGGATAAAATAATATATACGATTATGAGGCAAAATGTAAAATTTCTTCTTCATATTGAGACCTATAGATTTTAATTTATTGAACCAGGAAACTACTGAGTAGCAAACTTTCATTGTTTTGTGGTGTGTGTGTGTGTCTGTGTGTGTGTGTGTTAAGGGAATAGGGTTTGGGGAGGAAGGAGAAGCCAACAAGAAAATGAGGGATGGCACTGAAAATATATTTGCTATGGTGAAATTACATAACTTTAAAGTTAACCAAGATGACCTTAAATATCATCATCTATAAATTCTTTTTGAGATAATTTATTCCCTAAGAGATAATTTTTTTAAATTTCACCTTAAGTTCTGGGATACATGTGCAGAACATGCAGGTTTGTTACGTAAGTATACATGTGCCATGGTGGTTTGCTGCACCTATCAATCCATCATCTAGGTTTCAAGGTTTTAAGCCTCATACGCATTAGGTATTTGTCCTACTTGAAGTAGCTTGTTGGTATAGCTGTGGGAAATCTCTGTTTTGAATGGTTTTTCTCAGAATAACATACTCCCTGCCTTCTACAATGCCAAATTTATCAGACACTCTTTCTTTCATCTGTTGGTGTTAATACAGTCTTGCAGAAGCCTCTATTACCCAGAAAATTCTACTGGAAGATACACAGTACTGTCAAATGATGGCACACAGAAAAAAATCATATATATCCATATTGCATGTTTCTTCTAAAGAACTCAGCCTATAGATAGTGGATATTTTTAATCTTGAGGAAACTCTAAAGAACTCAGATTTATTTTGTGGCCATAGAGAGATTTTGGCAGAACTACAAAATAAATTAGAATGTATCTTCCTTTATTTTTCTTTTTAAAATTTTCAGAATCTCAGAAAGCAAATGTGACTTTTTAAAAGTCCAAGAAAAGGAACTTATGACTTAAAATCAGAAAACATAAAGTATATCTGGCAAGTGGATAAAGCCATTATTCAGAGCTCTCTAATAGTTTAATTTTCAGTATAATTGCAGGTTTGTTGTGACTTGTTCTGTGGAACAATCACTGATTAAAATCTTTTTGCTTTAGTTGCATCGTATAATGGCAATGACTTTTGTTCAATGTATGAATATGTTTCAGGGTCCAATGCAGGTGAAAACTTTTTCCCAAATGCATTCTTAAGAATACTAAAGCTACAGCCTATTTTCACCCAATTTCTTTACATCTATTCATTAAATGGGGCATGGGGGAGAAACTGAGAGAACAGAATACCTGTACTTGTATATTTCTCATAATTTTTGCCAAGAAAAACTCATGTGTATAGTTTTGTTCTAACTAATCTAGCATCTCCTCCATCTACAATACTATCAGTCTTCCTCCTCCAAGAAATGCATGGAGTGCTGGCAAAATGACCTAGTAAGATAACAAAGCAATTTTCAGAATCACACTAGAAATAAAAATGTTTGGCATAGAGATCCTGTACATGTTTTACTAAGTGGATACTTAAGTATTTTATTGTATTTAGAATTATTGTGTAAAGGAAAAATTATTCTGAGACTTGTGAAAATGGTAAGGAAGACTTTAAGACAACTACAGTAGAGGTTAATTCTATTGCAGTAGGGGAGATATTCGAGTTCAACTCCAAATACAGTAAGGACAAGTGGGAATTTATAGCCAGCTATCAGAAGAAGGAGATCAGTGGGTGGAAAATTACTCAGAGGAGACATCACAGAAGGAAGATTCTTGCTAAAGGCAGGTGAAGGACTTATACATCAAGGGTGGGGAATGAGATACTTCATCAGATATAAAGGGGGATTAGTTATCAAAGGTAGAATGATTCTTGCAAATCTCACTTGGCAGGATTCTTTGCTTAAGGCAGGCCAGGATTGAGATCTAGATGAGAAGAGGGCTCAGAGGAGCCTAACAAGTTTGGTCAAGGACACAGCCTTTGTCAACTGTAAATGGTATTGAGTTTTTAATTTTGGTTTCCACATGTTCATCGTTACCATAGGATTAATTTGTTCTAACTAATCCAGCATCTCATCCATCTACAATACTATCATTCTTCCTCCTCCAATAAATGAATAGGATTCATTTTCACATGTTGATCTTGTATTCTGCAACTTGGCTGAACTTAATAGTTCTAGAAAGTTTTCTTTTGCAGGTTACCTGGGATTTTTAAAAAAATGTAGAAAATTATGCCATCTGCAAATTGGGTAGTTTCTCTCTTTCGTTCCAATCTTTATGTCTTTCATTATTTTTTCTTGTCTTATTTCAGTGGCTAGAACTGCCAGTACTCCATTGAATAGGGGTGATGAGAGTGACCACACTTGCCTTGTTACCAATCTTATGAGGAAAGCATTTAGTCTTTCACAATGAAGTATGATTTCATAATAGTATTAGATTTGTTGTAGATGCTCTTTATCAAGATGATAGAATTCCTGTGGTGAAAAACCAACTCAAACTGTTTTTTTTTTAAATTCTGTTCTCATGACAATCAACTCACAAGACTTCTGTGACCAAATGTGTGGGGATTTCTTGCCACACACCAAGCCAGCAATCAATTCTGCAGTGGACGCCAGCTAGGTGTCCTCTAATTCAATTCAATTCTGACGTGATCTAACTGGAGCTAGCCTCAGACACCACAGGTTGAGGTGTCAGTCCCATAAGATTGTCCTCTCTTTCTCACCAGACACAAGTTCAGGCCTCCAAAATTTCTGAACAGCTGGCTTCAAGTTGGGGTTGCCATGAACCCCTCTTTGGGTTTGATGAATTTTCTAGACTTGCTCACAAAATTCAGGAAAACACTTAAATTTACTGGTTTGTTACAGATAATTTTTATTTTATTTTATTTTAATTTATTTTCTTTTTCTTTTTTTTTTTTTTTTGAGATAGTCTCGCTCTGTTGCCCAGGCTGGATTGCAGTGGCATGATCTCGGCTCACTGCCACCTCCGCTTCCCAGGTTCAAGCAATTCTCCTGCTGCAGCCTCCCGAGTAGCTGAGATTATAGGCGTGTGCCACCATGCCCAGCTAATTTTTGTATTTTTAGTAGAGACAGGGTTTCACCACGTTGCCCAGTCTGGTCTCAGACTCCTGGGCTCAAGCAATCCATCAACTATGGCCTCCCAAAGTGCTGGGATTACAGGCATGAGCCACTGGACCTGACCCAAAGAATATTTCAAGGGACACAAATAAACAGCCAGATGAAGAGATACATAGGGTGAGGTCTAGAAGGATCCTGAGCATAAGAGCTTCTGTCCCCATAGATTTGAGGTGTGCCACCTTCCTGGTACAAGGATGAGTTTTTGTTCACCTGCTTGTAAGCCTCCACATGTTCAGCTCTCTGAACCTAGTCTTTTGGAGTGTTCATACAGGCTTAACTACGTAGACATGATTTAGCCATTGCCCACTGGTAATCAGTTTGATTTCAGCCCCTTTCCCCTCCCCATAGGTTGGAGGGTGTATCTGAAAGTATCACCACTGTAATTATGCCTTGGTCTTTCTGATGAACAGCCCTCATTTGGAAGCTCCCTAGGCACTGCCAGCCACCAGTCAACTCAGTAGCATATAAAAAGACATTTCTTTGGAGAGTCTAAGGATTTTAGGAGATGTATGTCAAGAAATGGGCTGAAGATCAAATTTTTCAATATCACAATTCCTCTCTATTCATAACATGCTGAGAGCTTTTACTGTGAATGGCTATGGAGTTTATCAAGTGCTTTTTCTGTACCAAGTAATATGATCCTACGATTTTTTTCCATTATAGACTGTTGAGATGGTGAGTTACAATGTTTGACTTTTGCATGTTAAACCAGTCTTACATAGCTGGAATAAATCTCACATGGTTATGATGTATAATTATTTTTATATATTGTTTTGTTCAATTTGCTAATATAATATTTCCAGTTTTCTTTTATCCTTCTTCTTTTTGGGGTGGTGGACACTGTCTGATTTTGGAGTTAGTGTAAATCTGACTCATAAAATGAGTTACAAAATGTTTCATCTTCTATTTTTTTGTAAGATTTTGTGTAAAATTAGTGTTAATTCTTCTTTAAATACTTATAGAGTTCCCCGGTGAAACAATCTGGGCCTGAGATTACTTTTGGAAAGTTTTTTAATCCCAATTTAATTTTTGAAAACTATTATAGGGCTATTTAGGCTATCTGTTTCATTTTGGTTGAGTGTTAGTAGTCTGTGGTTTTCAAGAAATTAGTCTATGTCTTCGACAATTAAATATATATCAGTATATATTTATTTTCTATATCACCTTATTATCTTTTTACAGGCTGTGGGAGCAGCGGTGATATTTCTCTTTCATTCCTAATATTAGTTATGTCTTTCTCGTATTTTGCCAGTTTTACTAGAAGATTATCATTCTTATTGATTTTTTTCTGAAGAAAACTTTTTGCTTTACTGACTTTCTGTATTATTTCTTATTTTGAATTTCATTGATTTCTGCTACTATCTTTATTAAATTATTCCATTTTATGCTTTAGGTTTACTTTGCTCCACTTTTGCTAGTTTCTTGAGATAAGAAGTTAGACTATTGATTTAAGATTGTTCATCTTTTCCAATGTAAGCATTTATAAGCATATCAGCATTGTTCAGCTGCAAAATCATGGTTTTTTTTTTATTATACTTTAAGTTTTAGGGTACATGTGCACAACTTGCAGGTTTGTTACATATGTATACATGTGCCATGTTGGTGTGCCGCACCCATTAACTCATCATTTACATTAGGTATATCTCCTAAGGCTATCCCTCCCCCCTCCCCCCACCCCACAACAAGCCCCGGTATGTGATGTTCCCCTTCCTGTGTCCATGTGTTCTCATTGTTCAATTCCCACCTGTGAGTGAGAATATGCGGTGTTTGGTTTTTTGTCCTTGCAATAGTTTGCTGAGAATGATGGTTTCCAGCTTCATCCATGTCCCTACAAAGGACATGAACTCATCATTTTTTATGGCTGCATAGTATTCCATGGTGTATATGTGCCACATTTTCTTAATCCAGTCTATCATTGTTGGACATTTGGGTTGGTTCCAAGTCTTTGCTATTGTGAATAGTGCTGCAAAATCATGTGTTTTGATTAACTTTATTTCCATTTTCATTCAGTTCTATAGATATCTTACTTCCTTTGAGACATCTTCTTTTACCGTTGAACTATTTAGAAGTGTGTTTCTAAATTTCTTAGAGTTTTACTCTTATCTTTCTGTTAATGATTTCTACTTTCATTATGGTCAGAAAACATATCCTGTATAATTTCAAGTAATTTAAATTTGTTAGGGTTTGTTATGGCCAGGATATGGGCTATTTTGATAGATATTTCATGAATAATTGAAAAAATATATATTCAGTTGTTATTGGCTGGAGTATTATGTCAATTAGTATATATATGTGGATTAGATACTGTTGGTTAATTGGGTTATTTAGATCTTCTATATTCTTGCTGATTTTTAAATCAAATGTTCTATAATTTATATTAAAGTTCACAATTAAAATTTGTGTACTTGTTAATTTCTCCTTTTATTTCTACCAATTTTTGCCTCACACATTTTGAGGCTCTGTTTGTTGGTGGATACACATTTAGTTTCATTATATCTTCCTGGTGGATGAATCTTTTAGCATCATATAATATCCCTCCTTGTTGCTACTAATTTTCTTCACTCAGAAGTCTATTGTAACTGATACTAATATAGCTATGCATGCACGCATCTTTTAAAAACCAATATTTGCTTATGAAAACTAATTTTTATTCTTTTACTTTCAATTTACCTATTTCAATAAATTTCAAGTGAGTTTCTTATAAATTACATATATAGTCAATTCTCAATATCTGCAAGTCCATATTTTCAAATAGCCTACTTACTAAAATTTATTCATAAATCAAAATAAATACAGCATTTTTGCCATCATTCACAGACATATACAGAATGGCAAAAAACCTGTCAACTAATATATACATTCTTAGCTGAAGTCAATCAAGGTGACACTTTCTTTTGTTTCAGTTCTTATGCTGGAAGCAAGTGTCCTTTATGTGATCTAGTTAATGCCATAGTTTCATATTTTTGTACTTTCAGTTGGTGATTTCACTGTTTATTATGACCCCTAAGCATAGTGCTAAAGGGTTGTCCAGTGTTCCTCAGCCCAAGAAGGCTATCGTGTGCCTTATGAAGAAATTACATGTTAGATAAGCTTCATTCAGGCATGAGTTATGATACTGTTGGCCGTGAATTCAATGTTAATAAATTGCAATATGTATTAAATAAGTGTCTTTTAACAGAAACACATATAATATGTGGTTATACATTAATCAATCGATGAAAATGTTGTGACCTTCTGGACAAGTTTGCAGGAACCTGACCCTGTATTTCTACTAGGAGCAATGAATTAGCATTTATGTCAACTTTATAGAACACAGATACCATGAACAATAGGAATCGATTATAATTGATTCATGTCTTTTATAAAATCAACTCTACTGGCCAGGAACGGTGGCTCACGCCTGTAATCCCAGCACTTTGGGAGGCCGAGGCGGGCGGATCATGAGGTCAGGAGATTGAGACCATCCTGGCTACAGTGAAACCCCGTCTCTACTAAAAATACAAAAAATTAGCCAGGCCTAGTGGTGGGCACCTATAGTCCCAGCTACACGGGAGGCTGAGGCAGGAGAATGGCGTGAACCTGGGAGGCGGAGCTTCCAGTGAGCAGAGATTGCACCACTGCACTTCAGCCTGAGTGACAGAGCAAGACTTCATCTCAAAAAAAAGAAAAAAAGTCAACTCTACCTTCTAATTGGTACGGATTACTTACATTTAAAGAAAATATTGATATGTTAGGGTATGATATTATTTATTTTCTGTTTGCCTCCTCTTTCTCATTTATCTGTTTTACTTTCCTTGCCTCCTTGTGTTTTATTCCAACATGTTTTGAGATTTAGTGGAAGTAATATTCAACTTTTATCTTATTGTGATTATATTCACATATTTCTTTTTATAAAATTTCCTGGAGTTAATTATTGCCTTTCCATTTGCTTCATTTCCTATGTGCCATTAACAATTCTTCCCAAACCATCTAACAGAACTGTAAAATTACTCTAAACATACATAAAAATGTATGTTTTAACACATTTTAGCTTAATATAATATATAAATGCTAAAATAGATGAAATATCAAAACAGTGAAAAATAACCAAGTTTGCTCAAATGCTATAAGGTATTAGGATCACCCACTGTTCTACACTGTCTAAACAGAACTCATAAAATAGTAAGTTCAGCAAATTGAAGCTTTAATATAAAACAACTTTTAAAGAAAACATAGGTCTGATTTTTTGCATTCAGTAAAACTCAATTCATTGGATTCCAGAAAACAACATATTCCTGAGTATATTTCATTTATAATTCAACATTTTATTTCCAAATTATTGTTTAGGCATCAATAATTTTATCCACAATTCTAATTTTTGATTTCAAAGTTTGATACCAAAGGTATACTCCAGAAAGGCCAGGTTTGGCCAGTTGGAGTTCTCATCATTGATTGAGGCTTTAGCTTCTTCAGGTTAGGGTATCAAGGATGATCAGACTCAGGGTGCTGATGTACCTGAACCAAACCATAACTGTAAAGGGGTATCACAAAGAGATCTTTGTGGAGATAGAATAGTTCCATTTCTTGACTTCAGTGGTATTAACACAAATTAATACATGTAAAAATGACACAGAACTGTACGTGCACATTGTACCAATGTTAATTTCCTACCTTTGACAGTGTATTGTAATTAAATAAGACATGACCATCAGGGTAAACTAGGTAAAGAGTACATGGAACATCTTACTGTCTTTGGACATTCTGCTGAATCTATAATTATTTCAAGGTAAAAAAAGTTAAAATGTTGTAGCCCTATTTTAATTTCTGGAGCACAAGCCATTACTGCTATTTTTTCAGAACTCTTAAGATTGTATCTGTATGAATTGTTTTGTCATGAACATTGCAATTATTTTGTGTAGCCCTTGAAATGATAACAGATATCATTGTCATCATATTACACTGACAGGTTATTTGAGGGAAAGAATCCAAAACTTAATAATATTTTCCTCCTATCCTTGTAGTTACCAGATGGAATGGACAATACCTCTAACCTCAGGGACTTTGTAACTTTAATGCTGTAAGCACAGAAGTCTGGCAGAGATGTCTGCAACTCAATTCACTATGGAAAATGATATTTTCTTTTTGAAATTCTCTTTATTAATAGCAATGTTTTTACAAAAATACACAATATTTCAGAGAAATAAATAGATTAAACATGTAGTATCTTTAAAGTTATAGCTTTTTGCTCTGTCTTTTATCTCTATCTCTATAATTCCTTATGTTCTAATTCTTAGACTTGTATTTTGGTTACTTATATATTTTGTGCCTTCTATAAGTCAATTATGGGATCTGAAATGTATGAGAAATTCACCTTGAGTTCAATTTTAGACAATGATCATATTACCCCTGATTAAAACTGTTTAGTGTTTAGAAAGAATTAAATCCACTCATTTTACTATGATTTATGATGTCCTCTGTAATCTAGCCCCTGCCTGTCTCACTGATCTCAATCTGTTCTTCCTTTCCTTCTATAACTATTTGCTGACTACCAGCTGTATGCCAGACACTCTTCAGTGTATACTGAGCATCCAAGAGTTAAAAGACAGGCACCATTATGTGCCTGTTCTCCTGGAGTCAACAGTACAGCAGGGAGCATTAGATTTATCAAATCTATGAATCCTTGCTTTTCTATGCATTTATAACTATGAAACATCAAAGATTTAAAAACCCCACTTACTTTGTTTCAAATTGATTACCAGTTCTTAACTGCAGTCTTGAATAAAACAATTAGAGGAGATTATAATCAGAGTATTATAATCAGGGTTAGAATAAAGTACATACAAATATTTTCATTTTTTATGTCACTACTTTGAAAGTTCAAGGGAATATCTGAGGTGCAACATTTTGCCACATGTCCACCACTTGGTCAGAGTTTGGGGCATCTTGATTGACTGCATCACCAAGATTATTTCTATGGTGGGAAGAATATATTCCTACAGGAAAATCAGAGTGCTCTTTCTTCTATTGTTGTGGCTGTTATGACAACTAAAATACTCGACAATTAAAATATTGCTAGCTTTATTCTGTGAAGAAGGCAGGAAACACATTATGTTTTCAATTTTACAAATGGAGAAACTGAAAACTTGGAAACATAAATGCACAAGTCCAAAGAGTAACATGGCTAAGACTTGAACCTATTTTAACTTCAAAACCAGTGCATATTTCGCTATCAGGAATTAGTAAACTAAACCTCAGAAAGGAGCTTTAAGGTGTTTATAAATCTCTTGAAATAATATGCAAAATGTTGTTTATAAGTTTGGATGTGGATTTATTGATGGGAGCAACCTGTGGATATCATCAGATTTTTAAAAGGACTCTGAACAAAAAGTAAAACAAATAAAATAGATAAAGAAGGCTAATAACTACTGCATGCATAGTGCATCTATTAGAAGGGAGTAAAAAAGTATGAGTCCCCAGGCACTAAGCAGTGAACATGTTTCTCTTTCATGTTTGAAGAGCTATGAAAAAGTAAAAAAAAGTTACAAATGGATACCGTATTCTACCATTTACCACTACTTTTGAGATTTACCCTTTCTGGGAGGCAGTTTCTCAGGAGTACATCTGTAAAAGGAGGCTGCCTCTTTTGAGAGGGTACTGACAAGAATCTACTCATTTATTTCCACATTTCCTTGAATCATCACATGAAATCACAAAGGACTCAAGTTTAGCCTCTACTCTTTTACTCCTCGGCACAAGTGGGAGAAGAAGGTTGCCAATTTGTTCACTGCTGCATAGTGAGGGAGCTTGGACATGCTCATTTCCTAGGTCCCGTGCAGTTCCCTCAAGGGAGAGCTAAGTGCTAGAAAAGAGTAACCTTACAGTCTGTACTTAAGTAATTAGGCTGGGAAGAGGACTGGAGACATATCCCTCAATGAATATGCACTACTTTAGGAAATATAGTAAGTCAGGGATTCCCCAAGAAACCAAAGCAAGGTTTTCTTGCTCAGCT
The DNA here is from genome assembly GCF_000001405.40 of Homo sapiens. Lineage (NCBI taxonomy): Eukaryota > Metazoa > Chordata > Mammalia > Primates > Hominidae > Homo > Homo sapiens. The sequence continues at coordinate 211,190,342 of NC_000002.12, read as the reverse complement.
CTGAAACTAAAATTAAGTAAAACAGATGTGAAAGTGCTTTGAAAAAGTAGATAAAACACTAGAAAAATGTGAAGGCTTATGATGGAAGCAATTCCTCCAACCCCCTCTCAAAATGCTGCATTACGTTTTATGTGCATAAAGCAGGTAGCAACAAAATGCAATACCAAGGAATGCATAAGTGGGGATGATTTCAGAGTAATATGTAATATAATTAAGAATTAGAATATTTTGGTAGGATTACCTAAATTTATTTTCTCTATTTTTTTTTTAATTTTAGGTACTTAGGAATTCAATTTTTCCCTTTGGAGAACAGAGATTAATATAGGTTAATTCTATTTACATCTGGCTGAGTGTTCTAAGACTGTTCCTATGGGTTTAGAAATTAATCACAGATGAATTCACACAAGGCCTTTCTTTGCTCGCTCTATATATTCATTTCTGACTTTTTACCCTTAGAAAATAGTTAAAACTCAATTTTCTCAGAAAAACAGAACAGCCCACTCTACCAGCTTCAGAATTCTTTTTTCTTTATTTTTGGCACCTGTTGGATGACTCAGGATAGTAGGATTTTTTCATGTACTCTATTATTATTTCCTAAGTACATAATACATGATTAGTTTGAGGAATCCACATGTATAGGTCCCAAAACTGTCTTGTATGCCAAAATAATGATTCAGGAGCTAACATTAATACAATAATTGGAATTCACTTCTCTTTTTGCATGTATCAAATCACTCACAGGTATAACAACTACTACTTTTTATGGTCTTTCCCAAAAGCCATTTCTTACTATGTAGAATAACTGGGCCCCTTTGTCATTAGGTAAGAGTTTTTCTCTGAAGACAAGCAAAGAGTGAGCAAATATAGACTCTCTTTTGTGGGAGGGAGCAGGAGAAGGGAAGGCTGTGATTATCACATTTTAACAATGTTTGTTGCATCCCAAGCATCTTTATTAAAGATTTATTTCAAATAATTCCAGCTGCAAGGGAAGGCCCAGTTGATCTTGCAGCAGGTGAAACATCCTATAGAAGTATTTGTCAAAATGTGGTTTCCAAACCAAAAGCAGCAGCATCACCTGGTGACCTGCTAGAAATACAAATTTCTGGGCCCCACTCCATATCTACTGAGGATGGGGCCCAGTAATCTCTGTTTTGACAAACTCTCTAGGTGATTTTGATGCTCACTAATGTTTGAGAACATTTGCCAAGTAGCAAACTTAGTTTGCCAAGTAGCTACATTAATAGCTGACTGAGACATGGCATGAGAAGAATAGAGTCATCTTCCTTTCCCTTTAAGATACCTGTACAAATGTTTTAATAAAGTTAATTTAGTTTCATATATCCTTTAATTTCTAATATCATATGTCTTAGTGAAAGCAATATTCAACTTTTATCTTATTGTGATTATATTCACGTTGTTCTCTTCTAAGCCATGTTTTACGATTACACTTTCTTTTTATCAAATTTCCTAGAGTTAATTATTGCCTTTTCATTTGCTTTCTTTCCTGTGTGCCATTAGCAATTCTTCCAAAACCATCTAACAGAATTGTAAAATTAGTCTAAACACTATTTTGCTCTTGGTCAACTTCTGCCCCATGCATCCAAATGAAGCTTTCCTGCTGGATCCCTTTCACTTCTACCAGGTAGATTATTTTCTAAATCTTAGACAGACCCTCCATCCAGACTGGCCTTTATCCTCTCCTCTGTGTGGATCTCATTTCCCCTGCATCCACTGTCATTTTCTCTTAATTAACTCCTTTCTACCTTCTTTCTCCTCCTTGATAAAAGATAAATGTAAGTTGACATTTTTGAAACTTGTTTACTAGAAATTCTTTTATTCTACTCTTACATATCATAGTTGGTTTTTTTGGTTGATGTTTTTTTATTTTTAAGACAAATCACTAAAAATAGAATGGAAGCCCTGCATTTATGGTGGAACTTGTCCACTGATGGGTTTTACCAAGAGAGAATTACAACAAGCAGAAACCCATTGTGTTATTAGAGAGCCCTCCAAAATCAGTCTCTCTCTCTCTCTCTATGTATATATATTCTTTTGGAGTCTTAGGAGTAAAATGGTGATTTTATGTCTGACAACCATCATTACTAGAGCCAAGTAGAAGCAGGGATGAGGGATCTTTCCATTCAACATGTAGACTTTCACTTCTCAATACTGAACCGTTCCCAGCCCTCTATTTTGTTGATTCCCTAAATCTCATTCTGCTGTGGTTCAGTACACCTTCAGAGGAAACTTTCAGGCTCCAGCTCTTGTCTGGCTGTGCAGGATCTAAAGTTCCTTCTATAGACAGTCAAAGAATCTCTGTTTTCATCCCATGCCTCACATGAAATGTCAGAGATGAATGGTACCTCCAATTCTTGAGAGTTTCTGAATGAAATTCTGTATCATGATTAGGCTTGCTTCTCATTGGAGTCCTCCTTGTAGTCACTTGGTATTCAGCTTCCTCTTCTCTGCAAACATTAACTTAATAGCTGACTGAGACATGGCATGAGAAGAATAGAGCCAAGAGGCACTAATAGAGAAGGACTGACAGACTGTAAAGACTGATTGGCAGGATGAAGGAATAAATACATCAGGGATGAATACCAGTTTTCTGATTTGGGTAACAGAGTACTTCCCAGCAGATGGTGATAAAATTTACTGAGTTAGACAATACAACAGAAAGAATGGGTTTGGTGAGTTGAAGAGTAATTATGCACTCACTTTATAATATGTTGGTTTTATGATGCCTATAGTTCTTTTGAGTGAATATATCTAGTTGTGAGCTGTATAGACAGTTCTGGTTGTCCAGAAAGTGATGTGATATAGAGATAAAAATCTGGAAAATACTAACAGATAAATGCTATGTTGTATATATTGGAGTAACTGAAATGAATTATGGTATCAAAGAAAAAGAACAGAGGCTAGAATCCTGGGAAACATCAACATTTAAGAGGCAGTTGAAGAAACTCCTACAAAGAAGACAGTGCTAGTTTGGGTCCTCCAAGAAGCAGGTTGAATTAAAGGCTAATGACATTTGCTAAGGAAAACATCTATAAAGGATAAAGGGGAAAGTGAGAAGTACTAGGAGGGAGAGACTTCACATGAAGATATGAATCTGACACCTGTGAAAGAGAAGAGATAAGGAAGAATTGGGTAGGAAGAGTCTCACACTGCAGTGCCCTTCTCAAAACTTCAGACCAGACTAATGGGAAGTCCCTGAGCACAGGTTAGCCTTTGGATGTGTCCTGTGCAGGCAGCAATGGGTGGTCACCGGTACCATGCTCAGCCATTAACTGGGAACAGTCCAGGGAAAGTGTGACCTTGGTGCAAATGCAGTCGTGAATTCAAAGGAGCAGCAGCTAGGACTGTCCATCGTCTTTGCTTCCATAAGCAAGGTGTCTTGAAGACCTGACAGGCAGCTCATAGAAACATGAGAGAAACTAGAAAGAATGGTGGTACCGAACCAACAGACAGTAATTTCTATGTATTATGCCCATAATATTTCTGTGAAGAGAAATGGAGGATAAATCATCCTAAAACTGCAAATGTGAACCTGAGACTTTACCTTGTAAAATCTGTAGTTAATAGTCAAGTGCAAAAATGTGCATAATTGGAAGCAACATTAATACTGCAGGAAACATAGTTCTAGAAAAGATGATGGATTGGCTTTAAAGTTTAAAACCATTTATAATTTTCAAATATGCACTTAGAGTTGATTTGAAATATTTCATACTTAAGATTCCTAATGGAGTTAATCAATCACAGCTGATTTCGTTGCAAGCACAGCACCAACCAGAAACAACACAGCCAAGACATATGTGCAAATCAAGGCATATCACTCCTACACATTTAGTGATGAGGAAGGGATATTTTTTCACTAAGCCTTCATTCTTACTTTGTTAATATGTGGTATTCCAATATAGTCAGAAACTCAGTTATGACCATAGACTCTTATAACCACAGCTTTTCAATTCTATCTTACTTTCTTTGAAAATTTTAAAGTTATCACATATTTTTATTACTCTTTGGATTTTGGAAACCAAAAAAGAAGGGTCCACATTTTGTAATCTCTACCTAGATGCATATAACTTTCAATCAATGGCCCAGAAGCAAGGGATTCATGTTAAGGCTTTTGGAATGTATTCATTACACATACACACAGTATAGAAACAGAATTTAAGAGAAGCAAGGAGAGAAAGGGGGGAAAATTCCCTATTTATTACAGCCCCTTTCCACATTCACAAAGCTTAGTGATGGCCTCCCTGATGACTTTCCACATGACTTTAGAGGATTGCTCTTCATTAAAAGGGAGACAGATTGTGGCTGTATGGGTAGAGTCCAGGAGGGAAACAGAGCTGTGATGACTGAGTCTTGGAGTAGGAAAAGGAGGGGAGAGAAGTGAGAATAAGACTATCAGTTCTGCAAGGATGGGCACCTTGTCTATTTTTGCTCTTTTTTTCTGGTCTATTGCCATAAATAAAAAATTTGCAATTCTAATGTTCCTCTTAAATAAATACATTTAAATCTAATTTCTGCAATCAGCTCAGGTTGTAAAGTCTGGGAGAACACCCTTTTATTTAGTTTACCCCAGCAAATTTAGCCATGTCTTAGGTATGGTATAGGTGCTTAAGAGTTAATTGATGAATTGAACTGTTTAACAGTTTCTACGTGAGGGTAAAATAAAAACTTTTGTTTTATTTTTCGTAAAAAAAAATAAAGTTATTTAACTTCGGAGATGTTAAATTTCTATAATGTGAGCACTAAAATCTCTTTTTGTCTCTGACTGTGGATGACAAAAATCCAGTTCTGACTTGGCGAGAAAGAATTCTAACGTTTTCCAGTGTCTAATAGTTCGAATATTTTTCTTCACAATTTTAAATGAAAAGGGTATGCCTTCGTAGTATTTTATTAAAATGAAAACTTCTTCTTTAGGTATTTGAGTGGACATTCCAGTCAAACAGGCTTAACAGATTTTTACATATGAAGTAGTTATACATTAAAAAAAATTCACAAACAGGATGAAAGTAGGTCTCCACATCCACCATAATGAGATATCTGGTTGGCATCCACTCCTATGAGTTTAAACAGATCAACTCTTTAAATCACTGATTTAATAGAATCATATATATGTTTTAAAAATTCTAGAATATATTGATTTTTTGAAACAGGAAAAAATTGTATGACTAATAAGAGAATATCTTAAAAAGATAAGCTGACTCTCTGATATTTTCCACTTTTATTTCTCTAAGAAGAACTAAAAAATATACACTTACACACAAATGTATATATCTAATAAGGAAGTGCTATATGGTATATGTATTTGTATACAAATATACATAAATATGTCATGATGGTGAATTTTATGTGTCTGCAGGGTACCCATATATTTAGTTAAATATTATTCTTGGTGTATTTTTGAGGATGTTGTTGGATGTGATTAACATTTGAATCCATAGACTAAGAACAGATATTTCACTCCCCAATGTAAGTGGGCTTCATCTAATCTGTTGAAGGCCTGAATAGATCAAGAAGGAGAAAAGAGATAATCTCCTCCTTCTCTCTGCCTGACTGTAAGCTGGGACATACGTCATCTGTTTTTAGACTCAAACTCGAACTGGAACTCACATCATCAGCTATCCTGGCTGTCAGACATTGGATGTGGGCTGGAACTACACCATTGGCCTTCCTGGGTCTCCAGCTTGCTAGCTGCAGGTCTTGGGACTTCCAGCAATCAGATTTCACATGAGCCAATTCACAGTGTTTCTGTTCCTCTAGAGAACCATGACTAACACACACATTACATACACACACAAATATAGCATAAAATAGTAATAAATTGCTAACTGCAGGGCAGAATTTTGAATCTCTTATAGTATGGTTAAGCATGTAGATTGCGTTTAGCTTGTTTTTATTTTTTTGGTACTGTCAGAGCTTCAAAATGTTGAAGTTGAAAATAATTACTTTTGTTAAAGTTATGAAATTAGAATGCTTTTAATGACATATGTGATGATAAAAACAATTGAAGTCGTTAAGCTTCGGTGAGTTTAATGAAGTGTTTACTGATCAGGGTGATTTTGTTTTGAGCTGCATTCAGGTATATCTCTAGGGGTGGCATCAGTCATCCATCTGAATTTTCATTACTGCTCACATTGAAAAAAGTCAGAAAATGGTAATTAAAATTATAATTAAACTAACACTGAAAAATGACTTGAGAAAGAAGTTTATAATTTTATTGAAAAGTTTTCTTTTCATAAAGCCTTTCAGATTTTCAAAGACAAAATCATATTGTTCACATATTGTACATTTCCTTATAATGTCCACTTCCTGTAGACATTTCTAGTCATCAAATAGGACATTCAGGTTTGAGTTATTTCTAGACTTACGCTATATTAAATGAAAAAGGGAAACTGCAAAGTAGAGTGAGTAGTACAACCTCTTTTATGTAACAAAGATTGATACTGCTATTAATATAGATATATAGAAGTATATATTTACATGTACACGAATATGCTAAGAAATAAAATGTAAAAACTTAGTTAATAGTGGTTAACCTTGTGGTGGAGGCTTGTAGGTGGTGATGGAAACTTTCAAATTTCATGTTGTGCCTTTCTAAACTCTAAATTTTTTGGCCATGTGTCTTATTGGTTTCATTTACTAAAAAGTCATGGAGGACTCTGGGTCCTTCTTCGTTTTCGTCTTTATAATATTTGTTTAAGATAGAGAAGAATGTTTTCTGGAACCATGTAAAAGAAACCTCTTCTTAAAATAATCTGTTTTCTTAAATCTTTTTGAATTGTTATTATTTCTCCCTTAAACTGATTATAACACAGGTTCTATGTAGGGGTTTTGCAAGACCTCTCATGAGGAAGATCAGGAGTAAGATTTGTGAAGAGCACACAAAAGAGAGGGCACTGACATATTTAGGGAGGTGGGACAGATGTACAAAGAGAGAATGCTTCTGGAAGAATGTGGCAAGTTCCTCCGCCCTGAAAGCCTGGAGAGACTAAAATCATGCAACAGGTGAGTTGCTGACTCTAAGGAAAATCAGGGTGAACGATGCATCATGTATTTTTCTCAGATGGGTGGCAACTGAGCTCTGGAGTGATGCTAGAGATTCGGCATATCAGAGAAAAATAGAACATTGAACCAAGCCTCTCCAAACAAATGAGAAATTCAAACTGATACTTAGAGAAGGAAATATGTCTGGCTAAACACAGTGGATTGAATACTTAGATCTCTACTCTTCCTCAAGATACCATTAAAATGTCAGTAAAGTAAAAAAAAAAAAAAAGAAATAGAAATCCTTCAAATGAGGACATAAGAGCAGATAAGAGATGAAAACTAATTTGTAAAAGCCAGAAAGTGGACGGAAGTTTGCAGAGAAGAGAAAGGTGAATACCAAGTAAATGCAAAGAAAACTCGAATGAGAAGCAAGCTTATTCATGATGGAGTATCCCAAAAAGTCTTAAGAATTGGAGGCACCAATTAACCCTGACAGCCTGTGTGAGGGTTGTTTGTATGTCTGCATAAATAGAATATTAGATTCTGCTCATCTAGTGGACTTCAGCGACCCACAGGACATTTAAATCATACCAACATCCAGGCTCAATGTCCAGAAATTCTGATTTAACTTAGTCTGGATGACACCAAGGTATATTACTTTGTAAAAGCTCCTGAGGTGATTCTGACATGTAGTCAGGGGTGAGAACTACTGCTCTCATACATATTGACTGTTGTTTAGAAAGGGAAGCGGGCTATGATTTAGTGACCTTACCCAAGATTTCCCATCTAATAAAACCGAGTTAGGATAAGAAGCAGTTCACTCCCCTTAGGATTTCTTTTCATTGGCCATCCTGCCTCCAGTCCTGCCAGTTAGAGGCAGTGGAACTTATTCTCAGCTAATCATGACACTGAGTCTCCAGGCAATTGAACCAGAACACTAGCAGAAAAGAATTTTGTAGGTCAGAGTTGTTTATATTAAGGGAAAAAAAATCACTCCTATGCACTACTGAATTACTATCTTAAAAATATTTTTTTTCTGTTGTTTACACATACCTCTGTGCCCTATGAGAAAAACAGACAGTTCAAAAGGAAGAAACAGCAGTGTTGGTCAAGGAGTTAGATGCCCTTTGGTGTCGGTTTTAACACCTAGATGACTGCATTTGAAATTAGGAATGCAGGGTTTTCATGCCATGCATTTCCATGTCATTATGTTTTCAGGCCACGAGAACAATTTTGATATAAAACAATATTGCTTTGAAAATAGAGTGCTGTCCCTTGGAATGAAGGCAAATGAGGATTTAGAATACTTGCAGGTTGTTCTGTCAGTACTAATTTGAGTGCTAAAGTTCTATTTGCAAACCTAAGTAAACAGGAATGTAGACAGCTTGAACAAGATGAAATTGTGATATCGCCCAAAGGAACAAGCTGATCAGGGAAAGCTCAGCATGCATTTGAATCAAGAGCATGTGCAACAACGGTAACTCTGCTTCAAGTAGTCTGGGCTGGACCGGGACAAGGGAGGCTTAACCTATGACACCTGGTATTTGAGGGCAGAGAGCCATACACCAGTCATTCTGAGAGCCTCTCCAGATTTTTGCAGCACATGGGAACTTGTGCTAAACAATGACTACATTCAGTTTTTCGGCAGCTGTCGATCACAGTGGGCTTCAGCAAATTCCAGTTCCTGAACTCATCAGCAGCAATAAATGTTTATTGCCTGTTTAGTGAGCACATGGTAGCAAAGCTGAATTTGTAGTAGTGTATTAAAAAACCTTCTGATTTAGACAATGCATATTAAAGATACATGGCAGAATTCTTTCCTAAAGGAATGATAAACAGCTGCTTACATAATCAAAAACCTCAGAGCCTAATAGCATCCAGGGTCTTTGTGGTTGAAGAAAAACCTCTTGAAGTCACAGAAAGAAAGGTTTCCCTTTTATGTGAAGATCTTGATCTTCGGTAAATCCAGCAGCACTTTCCCAATTAACTAGGGCTCTCTGCTTGAGCAGATATCCTAACTAAGGTGGCAAAGTGATGTTGTTTGGACTCATAAGGATTCAATCTTATAGAAACCACCAGAGAATGGTGACTGAGTCAGGGGACATGGATAGAAGGAACAAATGTGCTTTCCTACGTGAGGAAGGTTTAGTTTCCAGGGATGTCAAACATTATTCCAACAAGCACTGATCCAGGAGAGCTAATCAACTTGAAGAGTAGGATGTAGACTAAATATCCAAATCCCTGTGGGCAAGAGAAGCAAAACCTATATACACACATATAGGTAAGAGTTAAAGGAAAATTCTCTTCCCCCTTAAGGAATCTCAAGTCTCTTTCCTCTTAGGTTATAAAGAGTAGTCTGTGTCCAGAGCTGTGTAGAATACAAAATATTTTTTCCTGCTAACTAAAAATGACCTCTCACTGTTAGACTATGTTTGCTATGAAGAAAGAGAATTTGTTTTGGAAAATTTCTCTTTGTCATATCTTGATCATCAATAGCAAGTTGAAAATATAAACAAAGAAAGTACCATCTCCCTAAGAATGAAAATGAGTTTGAAGGGAATGAATGAAAACTACTCCCTGAATAATGAGTTTTTAATTTTTAATTTCCAAAATCTCTCATTGTGTGTGCATTGTGTATGTATATGCACAATAATTTGTATACATGTAAGATTTCTCTATGCCTGATTTACAAAAGTAGTCAAATTAGAGGATCTAGTTGCAGGCCAGCAACTAACACAAGCTTGGTGGAAAAGGAGACCTTCTGGGCAAATAGGAAAGAAAAGTACTGTTTTTCTCCAGCTTAGTTACAGGGCTCATGGTTTGCTGATTTCAACCCTCATCCATCTTCACCTCCACTGCTAAAAGATTTATATAGAGTACAACTTGCATAATGTTGCTTATTTACCACATTGAAGAGCAAAATGCAATATTGTCTTTTTATCTTCTTTAAATCATCTTATAAGAACACAAAAAACAAAACAACAAAATTTTAAAAAGCTGCTTGATAAATATTTCTACTCCAAGAGGTGACATATTTAAATTAGAGCTTAATCCAGAGATTCTAAACCTAAACCTCCAAGAACCCTTTGAAATACAATGTCTTTTGCATGCATTCATCTGCATTTTTCTGGGAATAGAGGGTTTGCAAATGTGTTAGTGATCTCAAATTATTAAACTAGCTTAAGGCCAAAGTATAGTGAAATTAATAATTTAGAAATATACACTAAAGAATAATATAACCCTCAAATATCCAAACAACTTTCTAATAAAATGGTAACTTACTTTTGGTTGAGTATTTTTCCCCTTATCATATAACAATCACAGAATTGGAAGATGTAAAAATATCTGCTATTTTTCTGCTGTATGCAATATTATATGACACTCGGCTGAATTTTCATTTTCTATTTTAAAGATAAATCAGTTAAAGGCTTTCTCTTTCTATACCATATAAACCTAAAAACTATATTCTGTAAGATTACATATTATTGATAACTAGTTATTCATACAATATATGCTATGATGTCTATATAGTTGTTTTAGAGCTCTTTAGTTTCCTCAAATATCATTATGTTTTTATTGTAACAGAACATCATTCCTTTCAGTTCCAGTTTTATGATTTTTCAAAAAGGGCTACTGCTGAAGTTAACCTGTATGCCTTTACGATACAATTTTAATTTTTTATTTGCTTAACAAACTTCATAGATGAAGAAAATATTTTCATAAGCATCTCTATATAAAACAAAATACAATTTTATTGCATTTAATAAAACTGATTTTATATATTTGTTTCCCTGTTCTCTTTTGACTAATAAGCAAAATTGAGCTTTGTATTTTACCATCAAAATGAAAAGTAGTTTGCTTTACATATATATAGATATATATGTAAAAAAGCATATATATATATGCTTTACATATATAGAAAATATATCTATATATCTATATATCTATATATATATATATATGTTCTCAGACACACATAGAAGGAAGTCCAAGTGTGGTACCCAACCATAGTTAAACAATTATTTATATATTATGAAGTAAACTTTTTAAAATAAAGCATATCTTGAAACTAGGAGAAGTTATCTCCAGTCTTGATCTACTTGGTCTTCTATGATTCTCTCAAGGCAAATTCTCCTTTAGAATAGAAAAGCATACGAAATAAAACAGGGTAACGTCGGGGTTAGGAATTAAATTAAATTGATCTTAGAAAACATAAACAAGAAATAGTCAAAGATAGAACCAGGCACCTCCATTTTTCTAAAATTGAGCTTTTTTTTTTTTTTTTTTGCTTCTTGAATTTGCTTTGCTTTTTTCTCCTTTCAATATATATTAAAGTTCCCATGGAAATTTTGAGCCTGGGGCTAGAATCTTCGACAGAATCATAACAAGGAACATGGCAGTGGTATACAAGGTGAGGAAAACCAAAGGAGATATCAAGCATGACACAGAGGGAAGAGCATGGGTTTTTAGGATCTGAATTTAGGACCTATGTTCAAATTTATTGGCCCCCTCTGGCTGCATGCATGTTGGCAGATTTTATTTTCTTATTTTTTTATTTTTACTTTTAGCATCAGTATTTCTTTTACATGAAGTAATCCCTAGGGACAAACTCAAGAATAGCGTTGTGAGATTTCAGTGTTTGCTTCTTTCTGCATTTACAATAAGAAGGAAGTGACATTGATACCTGTTTGTTTTCACGGGGTATTGTGAGCAGGGCCAGATTGTTTAAAAATATATAATTATCATTAATGTTTAACCATAAGTTACTCATGTTTCAAAAGACTCAAGATTCAAAAGACACCATGACTTAATCTCTTTTCATTCTTATTTTGATCGATTATTTTAAAAATTCAGACTTTTTGACTTTCTGCTCAAAACACGAAAACATATTTTGTGCTTAAAAAAGTATATAAACATTTTATGAAAATAGAATGTAAAGAGAACTTGTTAATTATAAAAATCACTGGATTGATTTTTATTGCAATTGCTTAGTGACTCCATGCCACCTCACACGATGATTCTGCAACTGGATTTTTAAGACAGAAAATAAACATTTTTTCTGATAATTTACAGCTCATAGAAAAAGCACAGAATACTAGGATACTATAGAACCAGGCATACCAAAATGAAAGGATTAATAACCACTTGTCTGATAAGTTTGACAAATCAGGTGCTTGCCGTAACTAAAAATAATGTATAAATATAAATATGTAATTTTAATCTATTTTAAAGGAAAATTCCTTTCATAATTCCTTTTTTAAAAAAATTATATCTTCCATAATAGCATCTTTATGGTGAAAATTGCATTCATTTTTTCTGCTATTAGGAAAAGTGTTTGATATATGTAGGCACTTGGTTAGAAGAGCACACTACAAACTCTTCTTTGGGATAAAATGTTTCTGATAGTTCTCTGTACTGGACATTTACAGAACAAACCATCTTCCCCTATTTTCCTAAAAAATGGTAAGTGATACATTTTTGAACTTCTACAAAGTTGGTCATTGCATTTCTCCTAAGAACTCTATTTTCTCAATGTTATTTCCTTTTTTTACATCAACATGGGTGCCTCTTACATTTCTAGAAAATATTGATCTTCTTTAGTAAAATAAGTTTTCCAGTGGTTACAAATGACTTGTGAATGTGGTGAAAAAAAGTTCATTGATCTCAAATCCAATAATCTCATATGTGCAGACAGAAATCTTTATGAATCCTATTTATTTATAGGTTTCTATTAAGTGGCTCAGCTCATAGGACTCAAGGTACTGGTTTATCATTATGACTGTGCCTTTGAAACCAATCATAAAAATATCAACAGCAGATTATGAGTGAAATCAGTTTTACTTAGACCTATATTCACACATAACACTATCCCATTAAAATAATTGGGTCCTTCAAATTTCAATGCAACCTTGCTTCTGTGTTGTTTTCATCCATGGGATAAGTCATTTTTCCTGGAGCATGTTTCCCCATACATTTATTTAAATTAGTCTCATCTTATTCAATATCCAGTTTTTAAAATCCAAAATGAAACAAAATCTCAGAAAGATGCTCTTAGAGATAGTAACATGTGAAACTCTTTGAAGTGAAATATTCTTTTATGAAAATTTTCTAATAGCATTTGGATTGAGTAGCAGTTTATGTCTCTAATTAATTTAATATGTGCCTTTTTAAAAAAGTTCACTGTTACTTCATCTGTTTTTCATAATCTAAAATATTAGGTTCTACAGTATAGCTACCAAAAAGACCCACTAAACAGTGAGTTCATTCCTCTAAAGATTCAACTGACTGGCAAATTAGAGACATGTTAAGAAAATAAATCACCCCCATTGTACCCTAATTGTCTATTAGTTATCTTGTCAATGAGGTCCAACTGTACTGTTCTTTGGGTGATTGAACATGACCTCTGGGGTATGTCTGTTAAGGCAAAGGAAAATTTCAACACAGATAATTAATAGTCTGGGATTTCTCCCTACATCTTTTCCTTCTTTTCTGGCTCTGTCCTTTCAGATTTAACACTCAGATTGAATGCTTTCTCTTAAAATTGATGCTTTGCTCATTTCCTGTTGCCTTTCTTTGGCTGCCATAATTCTTCACCCATAGGGAGATAAAAGCAACACATTCAGACCACTGTTGCAGCACTGGCAATGAGGTGGATGTAATCTGTAGTTCAGGGGTCTATATTCACATGTGAATCTCAACTGAACTGCAAAAAGACATTTTTCTCAAAGATGTAACATGTTGCAATCAGCTGTTCTTCAGAGAGGGACATATTTATTTGAGTAATGTGTAATTTGAGTAATTTATGTGCTAACATGGAAAAGTTAATAGAATTGTTGTATATGAAATGTCTCAACCACTATGTAAATGTACAGAGTTTTAAAAAATATAATTATAAATTCAGACAGCTCTACAAAAGTATATTGTCAAAGTACAAAGAGACAATATCATTAGATGAAAACCAAAAGATAGGCCCTGTATTAATAAACACATATCATATCATGTTGAGCATAAACAGGATTTGAGACATAAAGAGAATTTATATCAAACTAATTTTGACTTAAGTATCACCTAACCAGTTCTTTGAGAAGGGCTGTATTGCCTAGTGAAACTTCTAGGTTGGTGTCATCACGTATTTGGCAGGATCAGTTCCTAGTTCTGAGCTAATGGCAGACATGGCTAATCAGTCATAGCACTCTTGCTTGCCGAGTCCAGATTCAGCCTTAGGTATCATCTCAAGTGCCAAGTCTATTATATAATAGCTGCCTGAAGAATTGTGTTGCAAAAGATTGTATTTGCAATCCCAGTTTTGGGCAGCTCTTCTGGGATACAAAACTTGAAGATCATGTATGTAAAACAAAATGGCTCATAAGATATAAAAGTAATTCAACTGAAGTAGTTTTTTCATTTAAAGGTAATAACTTGTACATTCCAATGCACCAATAATAATAGCTTGCAAAATTCCAACTACCAATGGTAACAGAACTAAAATTTCTTTATCGTCACCTATTCCTCTTGCCTTCTTTTCACAAACCTTCTAAACAAATTGCCAATATTTTTTGCTTATATCACCTCCAACCCCTCAATTTTCTCCCATTTGGCTTCCATCCCGACACTTTACTGAATCTTCTTCACTCATATTAACAATTATTTCTATGTGATTAAATCCAAGAAACAACTTTTAATCTTATTTTTCTTGATTTCCAAGTATCCTTCAATACTGCTAATTGTTTCCTGTCCCAACCTTTTCTCCTCAGTCTATCCTAACACACTCTTGGATTTCTTTTTCAGTCTTTGTTCTTCCATCTTCTTTTGCCCCTTCCAAAATGTACAACCAAATGTTTTAACTGTTGTTTTTTATGTCTCTGAGCAAAGTTCTTTTTTTCTTTTTCCTTTGTATGTTCTTCCCCAGGTGAACTCATTCCCTCCCATGTCTCAGATTACCATCTCTACGCCTAAGACCTCTTAACTCTGTATTTGCAGCAAAAACATCTCTCCTGGGCTCCAGGTACGGATTTCCAGATGCCCTCCTTGGCATCTCTACTTGGTTGTTGACTAATTGAATCAAAGTGCTTTACATTCCTTATATAACCCTTGATGTTTGTTTAGTATAAGATATCTCAACAAATGACCCTTACCCTCTACCCTGTTGCTCATGCCAGAAATGACGGTCTTTTGACTAGTTTCTTCTCACTTAGCCCCATCCATTTAATCTGTTCTGCTCATTCTGCCTTAACAGTATTTTTTTAAATCAGCCCATTTATTTAGATTCCCATTGCCACTAGTTGAATTAATCTTCCTATTTCTACTCTAGACAAGCCATTCTTTACACTGATGCTATACTGATTGCTGTAAAATTTGTATGCCA
Organism: Homo sapiens; assembly: GCF_000001405.40. Classification (NCBI taxonomy): domain Eukaryota; kingdom Metazoa; phylum Chordata; class Mammalia; order Primates; family Hominidae; genus Homo; species Homo sapiens. Next base: position 211,174,978 of record NC_000002.12, on the reverse strand, counting down.
CATAACCATTTGGAAGCCTGTTATATTTCCTCTTTGTTACTGGCATGAAATTCAAAATCTTCACGGGATTCTCCTTAGCCTGGCTCCTCTCTGGGTTCCTGGCTGCACAATTCAGTTTGTTTATGGGGTTTTTTTGGCACTATATCTACATTGGGCTTATCTCTGTTTAATAAAAGAACACCGTTGTCTTGTCTGAGCAACTTGACACATTTTATTCCTTTACCCGGGTACACCCTTTACCCCTCCATTATTTAGGTAGCCCTTATCATCTTTCAGGATCCAGATCATATGTTTATTCTTCAAGGAGGCCTCTCTGAAAACCCACGTTGAGTCAGTTACTCCTGTTATGTTTCTACAACACTTAACCACTTACCTTTTTGGAACTATTACACGTTTGTGCTTTTTATTAACTTCATAAAGGCAGGTTTCATATTTATCAAGTTCTTGGCTGTATCCTCAGCACAGGCACTTCAGAAATACTTTAGAAATATTGGTAGTGCTGGGAGTTTTATAGAGGAATTTAAACTACATTTTTCCTTCTTAACAGCACCACTTTTCCTTTGGAGGAATTGTCTATTTTCCATGGGATACAGTTCAGTGGGACCTCAAGTCAGGGGCCCTACCCTTCCCCAGTCCAAGGTCAAGGATAAGATCAAATGTGGGTGATTGGTTGATCCCTCCCTGGAAATGGAATCTGGATCAGGGTGCCAAGAAAGCAGAGCTCTGGAGTTAGTTCCTTCCCAGTGGCCGCACTATGACCACTCCTGAAGTTCCTGTCTCAGCCCCAGCGAGCTGCTTCAGTGCCTTCTCTTTCCCAACACTACTACTCTCACCTGCTGTTACTTCTCTGGGCTCTTTATTTGTAATGAACTTTGCTTTCCTTAAATTGATCAATTTTCTTTTCTTTTGTTTACAAAAAGGTACCCTCATAGACAGCTTTTACTTTTTTCTTTTCTTCTAACATGTCAAAAATACTTCATGATTTGCTTGGGATTCTGGATTAGAATCCTGGGTTTGGAGACTTTTTTTGTAGCTGTTATTTTAAATGGGTATCTTCCACCTTATGTCTTTAATTCCTCTATGCTTAGCTGTCTTATGATTTTTAAGCAATTCTACTTCAGTCAATCCTATACTTAGGTATTCACTTACACGTTTTCTCTCATGAATGTTTATTTATCACTATGTATCAGATATTAGCTGGATACTAGAAATACAAAAATCAAAACACATTCCTTTGTTTCAAATTACTAGTGATGAGATATATTAACATTTTTTTTCAATATCTTGGGATGTGAAAAATGCTACAAAAGAGATGACATACAAAGTAAGTAAGGTATTATGGACAAAGGAGGACTAAGGTTCTGTGACACTCTGCTTGTATAATGGAAGGCTTCTTGAAAGAGAGTCAATGAAGTCACAAATAAGAAAGGAAGGAGCATGTAATATTTATGAGGATATGTAGTGAGGTCATTAAGAGCACAGACTCTGAAGCCAGACTAGTTTCAAGCCCAGGATCTACACCTATGGCATAGTTTTTCAAACCAAACCAAGCCAACTGAAAACACAAAACAATAACAACAAAAACATACAAAACAGCAAATCGTATCAAGCCCCTAGACTTAATTTCCAGTTTACAGGGAGTACAAAGTGAAGAGGGACATATTAAATCAATCAGCAAAATCCAAAATTCTGAAAACTCCAGAGAACAAAATTTGCTTTTTGCAACAAAGAGGAAAAACAGAGAAAGAAGGAATTAAAAGGAACTTAAGAGACACATCAATCATACAGACTATGTGGATCTGTTTGGATTCTGAATCAAACAAGCCAATAGAAAAGTATGTTTATGAAAAAAAAAACATGAGAATTTAAAGACTGACTGGATTTTGAGAAATAATTATTAATTTGAGTTTGACAATTTTTTGTTGTTGTTATGTTTAAGGAAGTTCTCATATTTTAGAGATGCTTGCTGGAATACTTACAAATAAACAATAATATGTCTGAAATTTGCTTCAAAATAATCCACTTGGGAAAGGAAGTGAAAGGGAATTATATAAAAACAAGAGTAGACATGAACTGTCAATTAATTAGCATTGGATGGTTAAATGGTATTAAATTCATATTGAAAATTTAAAAAGTAAATAAAAATCCTGGATCTGCCACTTACCCATATATCAGCTATGTGTGATTTTAGACAAATCACCTACTATCTTTGTCTTAACCTCAATTTACATTATTCATAAAGTAGAAATGATAATAGCAAACTAATGTTTACTATTAGGATTGTTGTTAAGATTAAACAAATTTGTTTATGTAAAAAGTTTAGAGCCATGCTGACTCAGAAGTATGCTATATAAATGTTATTATAATTTTTAAATGGTATAGCAAAAAGATAAATTACATGAGAAAGAAAGGCTGGAGAGAAAACTGAATATATGAGACATCTATAAGAGTGATGAAAGCTTAAAAGGTGAGAAAGTAAGTTTTAAGAAAATCTAATGATGTCCTTAGGCATCAGTGAATATAATGACCGATTCCTATATAATGCACCTATGATTCCAGAGTTTGAACTCAGAATATAAGACAAAACAGATAAATAACTAATTTCATCTTGTTTGTTTTAATAATTACTGTGCTATATGAGCTCTAGAAACACAGTCAATAACTGTTCTTTGCAATTAACATAGTCTGTCCAAAAGTCTGATAGAGCATTTCCAAGAAGAAGCAGTTTCATTATGATAAAGTTTTCTGACACGATTGCCTTCATGAGAACCACATTTCATAGTTCACTACCCATGATGTTTTTAATCTTCCAAGTTAATGGGTTTACCTAAATTCAGCCAGCCTGTGTAAATCATGGAAAACATACATGCATTTCCATGTGAAGTATGAGTTATTATTTGATTATTATTAATATTATGATGATGACGATAACTCTCTGTTCAGAGTGCATTTTCAGTCTGGGATAATTTTGTTTAATTGCTATGTTCTAAGTGATTATTTCAGAAAGTACCCTAGTTAGTATACCACCAATGAGCCTGTGTGTTATTGAAATGATTTTCCAGACGTAATATGTTTCTGGCCTAGCCTGTCTGATTATTTTATTGAAAGTACAATAAATGTCAGAAACAGCAACACTTTAAATTAACAAAATGATCATTTATTGTCATGTGGGCATATTGAAGATAAAAAGCAACACAAATATGGTCATATGCCTAGAATAAATATAAGGAATCTTGTTCACATGCAATATTGACTAATTTAGTGTGTACATAATGCATCTAATGGAGACTATGAAAGTGATTTATATGTGTTTTTAAAAGCGCTATTAATTTCATTTTTTAACACCTGGTGTTTTTTGCTTTAAAAGAATCTCTGTATGAATTTTGCTTTCCACTCTGAAAAACCAGGAGTCAACCTTTTATAAATATAGAAGTAAAATCTTTACAAATCAAGTATTAAGTTGTCTCATATATTTAGGTATATTGCATAATATAAATTTCAATCAAATTCAAATTAAAGTCATTTGTTTTAGGTTATGAACATTTGACAAATATATATAGAAATAAGAAGAAAAGAACACTTGGTATAATAATTAGTATTAATTATTACTGCTATAATTTATAAAGTGTTTTTGTTTGCCAGCATCATGCTGCAAACACAAACTGCACTGTGTGCATTATCTCATTATTCATCACTACAATTCTATTAGTACTGTATCTTAATCTTAAACAACAGTAAATAAAAAGTCTAAGTAAAAACAGTATGCTTTATAGCCTTAAGAGAATCCTCCATCTTCTTCTTCACTTCCATTAGATTGCCATACAAACCATTCTTCTGTAGAAAATCTCATGCCACCATTGCCTATGATGTGGATACTATTAGCACACTCATTCTGGCAGAGTAGGAGGTCAATTCTGCGAAGCGTAACCTTCCAAGGCCACACAGGCAGTGAATGTCAGACACTATGCCGGTGTCACTACTCAGTCACTTTCTCTACCAGGTCTTTCTTCCATTCACGCTCCTCTTCTCCCTTCTGCTTACCTGCTGCAGAAGTTAACTGTTGGCTCCAGTTTCATTTTGGTTAATTAAAGCATTAATTCATTTAGCTCTCCCTATTCTACAGAACAGTTTCTCCCTTTGGTGCAATGTTTAAGTCTCAGCCTTCTTTTTCTCCACCTCCTTAGGAAACTGTCACAGTGGTCTGATCCTTTCTAGCCTCTTGAGTGGTTTCAAACTAGGATTTTTCAAGCATTTAGTTTGCCACATTCCTGAGAGCAGGTGACAGGTAACTGCTGAGGCACTATAGCAGCTCCTAGCAATCATTAGAAGAAGGTTCAGTGAAGTGACTTCAGATAAAAACGTACTTTAAAATTTTTACTTTGTGTTTGTGTGTGGGTGTGTTTTCAGTTGAGATATTTGTGTCTTCCTATATTTTATTTAAACAGACTATGAGATTGGACTGGCCAGACACCCGTAAGTTATAAATGCTTTAAAAACAAATTCCCTTTTCCGAATGAGACATTTTCAGGGACTACTGTGTAGTACTTTATAGATCTAAAACATAACTCGTTTAAGTATTCTTTCAGAATTATGAGATTATTTTAATTCATTTAGATAACATAATCCTTTTAGTCTTTATCAAACAGCATTCAGCCCTTCATTTTATTTATTTATTTATTTATTTATTTATTTATTTATTTATTTATTTAATTTATCTTGAGATGGAGTCTCGCTCTGTCCCCCTGGCTGGAGTCCAGTGATGAGATCTCTGCTCACTGCAAGCTCCGCCTCCCGGGTTCCCGGCATTCTCCTGCCTCAGCCTCCCAAGTAGCTGGGACTACTGGCGCCCACCACTACATCCGGCTAATTTTTGTATTTTTAGTAGAGACGGGGTTTCACCGTGTTAGCCAGGATGGTCTCAATCTCCTGACCTCGTGATCCGCCCGCCTTGGCCTGCCAAGGTGCTGGGATTACAGGCGTGAGCCACCGCTCCCGGCCCAGCCCTTCATTTTAAACACTAATGCATTTTATATGATCTGGTTACCCCTCCAAAAAATAAGAAAAATAAAAGAAAATGAAGAATATTTAAAGAATGACGTTTTACCCTGCTCCAAAAACAGTGAATATGATCATTACATGTAAATAGGAAAATGGTAAAGCAACATCTATTATATCAGTCAGGATTCAGCCAGAGAAATAGAACTCATAGGACAGATATATGTATTATTTATTACAAGGAATTGGCTAACAGGATATAGGGGTTGGCTAAGCCAGTCCAAAACCACAGGACAGGCAGTCAGGAAGGGGAGATAATGAGCAGTACAGACCTCTAGGAGAACAGGCAGATTTTTTTCTCTCTCTTTCTCCCAGGGAAACTTCAAACCTGCTTTTAAGGCCTTCCCACAGATTCAGTTAGGTTTGCCCAGATTACCTGAGGGAATATTGCTTTACTTTATGTCACCTGATTATGGGCTTTAAATATATCTACAGAATGCCTCCACAGCAACACCTAGATAAATGTATGAGTAACTGGGGACTATATCCGAGCAGAGTTGCCACATCAATAAAGCCATCGCATATATGAATTTCCCAGCCTCCTTGAGAGCACATTGTCATATTTGAAGTTTTCTCAGAGCTCTTCCCTGCTCACGTCCTTCTACCTCTCTCAACGAATCACAATACTGAACCACCATATTGAATTTAAAAATATATCCTCTTGCTTTTTTCTTTTATCTTGCTTTTGAGATTTAAAAAATGGTGGCACTGTATTTCTCTCAGGTATGCTTTTTTCACTTAACAGACGTCAAATATGTATACATTTTGGTGTGAGTAGCTATCGTTATTTATTTTTACTTGTATGTGCTATTGGATTGTTTGAACACACCAACGTTCATTTATCTATTCTCCTACTGATATTTTGTTTACAGTTATTTTCTATTCAATCAATAACTCTTTGAAACTTTTTGTACATGTCTACTGGGTCACATATTTGAGGATTTATCTGGGTCAGCATTTAAGATTCGAATCCCTGGGTCTTATATTATAAATCTAGGTTTAATTTACAAGACAGTTACGCAGTAGTAATATCAATTCACTTTGCCTCCCTCTGTATAAAGACCTAGATTATTGCCAACACATGGTATTATCAGACTGTATTTTTTAGTTTCCTATTGTTGCTGTAACAGATTATCACAATTTGTTGGTTTAAAATAACACATATATATCCTCTTAGAATTCTGGAGGCTGTAATTCCAAAGTCAGTTTCACTGGGCTAAAGTCAAGATGCTGGTAGGACTAATTTCTTCTGGAGGATTTGGGGGGGGAAAATCAGTGTTCTTATCTTTTTCAGCTTCTAGTGGCTGGCTGTAGTGCCTGGCGTATGGTTCTTTCCTCCACCTTCAAGTGCATCTTTCCAGTCTCGGCTTCTGTCATCTCATCACCTCCTTTTCTGCTGTAGTCAAACCTCTGTTTGTGTCACGCCAATAAGGACATTGTGATTGTATTTAGAGAACACCTGGATAACCCAGGATATGCTCTTCATCTCAAAATCCTTAATCACATCTACAAATTTCCTCTTAACCACATAAGGTGACATTCATAAATTGTGGAGATTAGGGTGTGGCAGGAGAGGGCATTATTTAGCCTATCACTCAGCCTTTTTGTACAAACTTTATACACATGATGCAATCTTACTGTGGTTTCCATCTGGATTTCCCTGAATAATAATCAATAAGGACATTTTCTTACATGACAGGGACATTTGTGTTTCATCCCCTGTGAAATGATTGTTTATATTTTTAACGTTTTTTATTGAAATTTTAGATATGCATGCTGGTTATTAATCTTTATCAATTAGGTGTATAACAAATGTCTTCTCTCATTTTATAATTTTTCTTTGAATTTTAATACAATCTTTTGATGAATACAAACTCTCAATTTTAATGTAATCATTTTTTTATGCTTAAACATTTTTGTCTCATTTAAAAAATATTTTTCATCTAGAACTCATAAAGGTATCCTTCTTTATATATTCTTTAAAAATAGTTAAAGTCTTGTTTACTTGTTTGTATGTAATACACCTTGAATTGATTTTGTTTATGGTATAAGCAGAATCCAATTTCATCTTTTTGATTTTTTGAAAATCAGCTATTCTAGTACCACTCATTCCATCATTTACCCTCTTCTTTAAAATTCCACTTCCTTGTGAGTCAAGCTTCAATATCAACATGGCTCTGTTTCCAGATTCTGTATCTTGTTCCATCAGCCTATTTGTCTACCACTGTAGTAGCACCACATGGTTTTAATGACCATAGACTTATGGTAGGTCTTTTACTCTACAACAGCAAATATTCATTTGGGTACCTTTTAGGAGTATGTTGTCCTTTTTTCTCCAAAAAATTTTAGAAAAATATTTGCCAAATTTTAGGAAAAACCCTGTTGACTTTTTATTGGAATTAAATGGAATCCACACATTAATTTGAGTGAGGTGACATCTTTATATTTGATTTCACTGTGAATATTTGTTTCTGTAGAATTCTTTAAATAATCTTTTAATAAGATTGTACAATTTTCTCCACAAATATTTTGTTAGATTTATTGTTAGGTATTTTATATTTTTTGTTGCATCCTAAGTGGAATTTTAAAATTGTTATCATCTCTTTATTGTTATTACAAAAAATACAATTATATTTTACATATTAATTCTATATCCAGCCTTACCTCAACTCTTAATTCTAAAATTTTTTCTTTGTATTATTTTGGATTTAACATGCATACTATAATACTATCTCTGAATAATTAGAGTTTTATTTCATTAAAATTTTGTAGTCTTTTTTGGTTTCCTTCCTGTATTGTTAAGACTTTCAATATATAGTTGAGTAAAATTGTTGATAATGATCATCCCTGTTTTGCCTCTCATTTTAGAGAATATTTCTAAATAGTCACCAATGAAATTGTTGATGCTTTCTATACATTTTGACAGATATTCCTTTAAGTTACAGAGTTCCTTTTTATTTACCATTCACAAAAATTGTTCTCAAGAATAATGATGAATTTTATGGACTTTTAAAAATATATATTAAAATAATCATAGTTTTCTACCTTTAACCCTTCATGAATTATACCCTATACAGGGTCTCTTTGTAGTTAGAGTTGCTAATATTAAATGAATTTCAACTTATGCAAATTCGACAGAAGAATACAGTAATCTCCCATCACTTGGGCTCAACAACTATGAACATTTTGCTATTCTTGCTTCATCTATACCTTTCCCTCCATGCCTCCTATTATTTTAATATTTTATATGATCTTCAAAATACATTAAATTTCACAAATCCTAATTGTATAATTATGACAAATTGATATAGTATAATCTATTAAGGTACAAAAACATTTTTATCATTCCAGAAAGTTATTTTTTGCCTCATTTGCATCCAGAGCTGCTAATCTAATTTTTTTCACCAAAAATTAGTTTTGTCTGCTTTGAAACGTCATATGAATGGAATCATACAGAAGGTACTCTAATGTGTTCATTTTCTTTAACTCAACATAATGTCTGTGCGATTCACCCATGATGTTGCCTATAGTTCATTCCTTTCTATTGCTGAGTACAATTCCATTATATAATATAACAATTTATTTACTCTCCTGTTGTTGGACATTTGGATTGTTTCTAGAGTTTTGCCTATTGTTAGTAAAGCTGCTATACATATTTTGTGAAAATCTTTGTGTGGGTATGTTTTCATCCGGTAGAGTAAATACTTAGGAGTGGAATTGCTGGTTCAAAGGGTGGGTTTGTGTTTATATTTGTAAGATACTGCCAAACATTTCTCCAAAGTGGTCACATTTCCACTAGCAATCGATGTGAAAGAGTTTAAAGATTTTTAATTACAATTTTAATTTCTTCATAGTTATAGAATATTTCAGCTTTTCTTTCCTAAGTTGGTTTTAGTAAATTATTTCAGCCTTGAAATTATTTAATGTTATTGGCACACATTTTTCATAATTTCTTGTTAATATCTTCTATACCTATACTTATGGTCCCCTTTATTTTCTAACTTATTTATAGTTTCTCTTTAAAATTCTTAAGCCATCTTTCCAGAGATATATCAAGTTTCTTGGTCATTTTAGAAAGCCAGCTTTTGGCTCTTCCTTCCCTCCCTCCCTCCCTCCCTTTTCCTCTATCTCTTCTCTCCTTCCTTCCTTCTTCCCTCCCTCCCTCCCTCCCTCCTTCCATCCTGTCTCTCTCTCTCACACACACACACACACACACACACACACACACACACACACACACGGTCTTGCTCTGTTACCTGGGCTAAAGTGCAGTGGTACCATCACAGTTTACTGCAGCCTCTACCTCCCAGGCTCAAGCAATTCTCTGCCCTCAGCTTCTTGAGTAGCTGGGTCCACAGGCATAACTTTTGGCTTCTTAAGACTCAATTTGTATTATCTAGGTTTATATTTCAATTTTTTTTGAAAATATATTATTTCACTTTAACAAAATTTTTTAGATTTTTTTTCTGAGCTCAAAAGTGTTTAGTACATTACTATTCAAAATCTCTTTATTTGCAAACAATACATTTAAAGCTACAAATTTTACTTCTGCACTATTTGGCTTACACTGGCAAATGCTGATATGTGGTATTTTCATTATGTTCAATTTTATGTATTTCCAATTTTCATCATGATTTCTTCTTTGATGAAGGAATTCTTTAGATGTTCTTAATTTTTAAGTGTATAGACTTTGTAAATTAAATGTTCTATAATCAGTAAATGAGGTCTAGAGGGGACTTATTCTTTGAAACCTGTGAAATTTGTATATACCCTAAATGGCTACATTTTGTTATACCCAGATACTCTTGTAATAAATGTCTTTCCAATTAGATCAATTTGCAAATTATGTTGTTTAAAACTTCTATATACTTGAAAATATTTTTGTTTCCTACTTTCATATTTTCTCCTGCCCCTCATCATCATGGGTTAGGAAGAGGCCTTAAGTAAGAAACCTAGACCCTACCCTCTCCCCTCCCCAGAGCCTCATCATCAATGGTGAAATGGGAGTCTTCAAAAGTCAGCCCTTCTTATATCCAATGTTTATAATTTAACCACAACTGTCTGACTTGGGTTTACCAGGACTAATCTCATTTTATTCTTAATTTATATTTACTTTGGTCATCCCCAAAAGCCCCACAGTCTGAGGCAATTTTTCTTCTCCTCCACTCAAATCCTTATAAGGCTCTACCCAATCCCTATTGCCTCTCTCTCCCCTCCTTCTGAAACTTCTGAAATTCTATTTTCTGTATTATCTACAAAATCCATGCTATTTGTGATCAGTCATCTTCATGAAACCCTTCTGTATGATTATCTGTACCACTTATTTTGGAGACAATATGTGCTTCATTTTATTTCTTTTATTTGCTTATATTCTTGATTTAAGTAATTTGGAGAAGGAATAAGAGGAATTTGGGAAGCATTTAGCACATCATGACACTTTTAAATATATGAGAAAATTGGAAATCATAGGGAGAAAACATTCAATACATCACCCTTAAATATTATTTAGCTGCAGGTTTTTTATAGGTGCTTTTTTTAGATTGAGAAAAATCCATTCGTATTTCTAGAGAGACAAGAGTTTGTTTTGTTTTATTATGAATTGTTTTTGTCAAATGCCTTTTTGCATTATTGAAATGATCATATGATATTTTCTCTTAGTATGTTAATGTGATAAATCACAATGAAATTAACCCAATGTTGTATTCTCAGGCTAAACTATACTTGGTCATAAATTATTACTCTTTAAATATTTTGATATATGTGATATGCTACTCTTAAGAAGAATGTTGTGTGTTTGTGGGTGTGTGTGTGTGTGTGTGTGTGTGTGTGTGTGTCTTTTTGATCTAAATCTAAAAGCTAAAGGAGTAAAGCTCTGAAAAAAATAGGAAAATATATTTGCTACTTGGAGGCAGGCAAAGACTTTTTACAATAATGCAGAAAAAAAACATATTTGAAGAACGTTAATTAGATTATATAAAGAACATTTCTGATTACTAAAAGATACCATTAAGAAAATGAATAGACTAGCCAAAAATTAGGGGAAAAATATCTGCAAAACTTTATATGGCAAAGAATTTGTATCTAACATATTTCAATAAGTCCTACAACTCAGAGATTAAAAAACCCAACCCTTCAAAAATCACAAAAGTTTGAAGAGTCACTTCAAAAAGGAAGATATACAAATAGCAATATGTAATTATAATAGTGCCCTAATTGGTTTGTCTTCAGAGAAATGTAATTTAATATGCTATTCTCATGGATGGTACTGAGATACCAATAAACTCCCATCAGAGCAGCTAAAATTAAAATGACAGACAACACTGTATGTTTGCAAAGATACAGAGCCATCAGGAGTCTCATATGGTACTTTGAGATTGTAAAATGATACAACAACTTTGGAAAACATTCTGGTAGTTTCTTATAAAACCAAACACACACTACCCCATAATCTCGAATTTTATTCCAAGAGATACAAAAAGTGTGTAATTCCATAAAAAGATTTATATTCATAGCAGCTTTATAATATCTCAAAGTTAGAAACAGTCTAGATACTCATTGGTAGGAAAATAGATAAATTCTGTTATATTTATACAGAGAAAACTACTCAGCAATAAGAAGGAATTAAGTACTGATTCATACAACATGGATGGATCTCAAACATATTATGTTGGGTCAAAGAGGTCTCACACAAATGATTGACTACATACTGTATTATATTTCATTTGTGGCAAAAAAAAATCAGAACAATGATTGTCTCTGGGTAGTGAGGGGAAGGGTTAGAGATATACTGGGAAAGGATGTGAGGAAAATTCCTGGGAGACGGTGCTGTTTAGTATTTTGACAGAGGTTTCAGTTGCCTGAGCTTATGCATTTGTCATAACTCATTGAGTCATACATTTGAGATTTATGCATTTTATCGTGTATAATTTTTACCTCAAAAGAAAAAAATCATAAGCAAACATTAAACTCCAGTTAATAATGATTAACTACGTGCAATGAAGTATTTGGGAGAAAGTGTACTAATGTCTACAACTTACTTTGAAATGTATAAAAACTAAGATGCATTGATGTATGAATAGAGAGGCAGATGAAATATGGAGCAAGTAAGGTCAAAATATTGATTATAGAATCTGGGTGGTTAGTCCACAAGTTAAAAGTAAAATTCTTTCAACTTTTCTGCACTTTTGAAAATATTCATGATAAAATATTAGAAAATATAAAATTCATATTTCCACATAAAATACCTCCATGGAACAATTGACAGGGTTTCAGGACTTTTGCGTGCTATTAATATGTGAAATTCACATTGTAAGCATTACTCGCTTGCAAATTTTTAGTTTAACTTTGTAAGTTTATTATCCTTCCTTTGATTACTTTCATTTGAGCAAATTTGAATTTCAAAAATAAATATATTTGATCGCGATTCCATTAAATATTTTAAAGTTATTTGGCACATTTTTATTGAATGAAGGTAAGATATGGGTAATGATATTTTTAATGTAGTTGTAAATTACCACTTATTTTTAGTTAGTTGATATATTTCTGACATGCTGAGGGCATTATTATAGTTATAAGATTTCATGTAATAATAATAAAGAATAAACTAAGGCTTAGTGACTATAGGTATTGCTGTCACTAAGGGGAAGAGTATTATTATAACTCAAAGAAGCTGTGTTTTAAATCTGGATGCTCACTAATAATTTTGCAAATGGGTAGCTCTATTGGGAAAGTGCTAATGTGATTGATCCTTCTTGTTTTTGTTTTGTTTTTTTCACATATTGTCATTTGGAAAATCTACAGATCTGTTAGTGTTGTCAGCCCATGAAGCAATTTTTATGTTTTATATAATATTTTTTGTAGTTAAGAGTTAAGACTTTACAGAATATAGACGTAGAAGTTAATCTCATGTCTATCATTTACTGCATGTATGTTTGGAGCCAAATTTTAAACAATCTAAGCTTCATTTTACTTATTATTAAGAAAGAATAATGATTGATTTTACAGCTATTGTATTCATGCTGTTTATATTATAGTAAGCAATAGCTAAAGTAGTGAAAAATCAAGAATATTATATATATATATATATATATGGCTTGTTGACTTATTTGATCGTGTTTAAATTCATATTGATGAAAACTAACTCTGAATAATTTTAACACAAAAAAATGAAGAGCCAATAATATAAATCAATACAAACCAAGTATAAAAATTTATACTGACCTCTAAATAAACATACTGCCCACTAGGATATAAAGCCTGACCTCTAAATAAATAAATATGAAGCCTGACCTCTAAATTAAAGCCGGACCTCTAAACAAATATACCGCCCACTAGGATATAAAACATTTGCAAATTATGTGTGGAAATTTGAAAGAGGTTCCCATGAAATTCTGAGAATAAAAATAGACTGTGGTTTTGAAAGAATGTCTAGAAGTTTATATGTGTTGTTTTCGTTCATTTTATGACTTAAGTTTTTGTACTTTCCTTTTAAAGGTCAGCTTGTTACGGGGAAATCGCACCTCTTCCTTAGTCACACACATCATCTCTAATTGTGCTCAAGAAAACAAACTCACTCTTGTCAGGGTCAGAAATAATTAGCAGGTTTTTCTATGTCTGTTTCTGATAAAGCCTCCAAAATCCACAGAAAGAACACTTTGAAATCATTTAAGATAGAGAAGCCTGATTGGAACTACCTAACATCACGAGTTAATCGTCACAGTTGAGGATTTAGAAAATTAGTTCTTGTCGCTAATGCAAACATAAATGCTAAAATAAATGTTCAGGTTCTATGACCATATACCCCAGTTCATTCTATTAGTATCCTATTTATCAAAATGTTTCAAAAGTAAAATAGGCCATAAATAATACCATTATATATATTTTGTTTGGTATAAATACAAAGAACTTAAATTATTTTGCTGCATTTTTTTTTATAGAAACCCTGAAGGGCTACTCATTTATTTTTTAAATCAGACCATTTCAGCAAGCCAGGTGAAAATACAGGATTTAAATGTGTAATCAGAAACAAAATAAAAGTTACTTTTGCTCTCCCAAGGATAACATAGCCCAAACAGGCTTAAAATCTAAATAATAAAGCAAGACGTTTGCTTATTGGCTGAACCACATAACACCAGTTCCAATTAAAGTTAGCTGCGTTATGGTTTTTGAGAGCTGAGAGAATAAGATTTAATGGAGAACCCAACACCTATTTTCAATGAGGCCAGAATGAGACACATTTTATTTGTATGTTTTTTAATTCATTCAAAGCCACTGCAGTGGAAACTAGTACAGACTTTCGGGAGGTCAATTTGACAAGTTATATCAAGAATCTTCCATATGCTTAAACCCCTAATCTAATAACTCAGCTTCTAAGTTTTTTTTTTTCTTGGAGAAACAATCAAGAATTTATTTAAAGCTGTGGATTTGTAGTTTTAATTATTGTAATAGTCTAACTGGAAAATAATCTAAATACATATATAAATAGAGTTATTAAATAAATTATAGTGTTTTATACAATGTAATGCTATGAAGTATATATCTGAAGATTATTTAAAGTCTTTGGATTATACTTACAATATATTGGTGACAAAAATAAAAATGTTTTCAAAAGGTCATATACGAGTTATACGTTATAAACGATGGCACAGAAACAGTCCTTAAGTCAAACTGTTATTGTGACACCAAGTTTTCTAAAAATTTTATGCAAAACGTTGGTGGCAAGCACTTTTCACAGAATGCTGACCTGAATCTGTTACACCACTTCCCATTTTTTTGTGACCTGGCCAATGCAATATTTGGTTTAGGGAGGCCCTTCTTGCTAAAGGACTATAATTCTTATTATCACCAATTTCTGATATTAGTATTATTTAGAATATGGCAGAATGGTATAGGCTCAGTTGCACGACGTCTTTTCATCACGAGGATTTATGCTTTTTCTAGAAGCTGCATTCAATCACTTTGGGGAAAAGGCTAATGATAAAAGTAGTCTTTGTTGATGCAGTTGGCAACTGAAAATAAAGGAAAGGGAGATACTGTGCATGGCTCAACATTAAAATGTTAGAAAGCATAAAATTAGTAATACCCTGACCCTAGTAATGAAGGATTTTGAAACAGTAGAAACGTGGCACTTTTATTAAAATTTCAAATATGCACACTCAACACTGAATAAATCAATGATGGTTTTTTCTAGTTTTCATAGCCTGAAGGCCAATGTTACCAACTATACAGGATTTGCTTTGATAGGGCAATAAACTAAGAATTCAAATTATATCAAATCCCCAATTAACCAGTGAGATTCAGATATGGGCTGTTCTAGTTATGATGATTCCACTATAGACTAAAACTCCAAATCAGGTAAATCTTCAAAATTGTTCCATGAAGCTGAAAAAAATTCTTCTCTGATATTAAAATTAGTGAATATGAAAGACGGCATTCATCATCTCAACAAACGGGGTTTGCTTAAAAGGTTTAGAATTGAGAGGCTACCAAGAGTAGGCTGTTTCTAAGTTCTAATCAAGAAAACCAGAGTTTCTCATAAATCAGGAAGGTGTACGCTTGTACATTATCTTAACTGTACATTTCTTTTGGCAGTCAAAGAACTTATTCCTACTCTTTCTTCAGATCAATTCAAATTCTTTATTCTCCAGAAATCTTTTTCCAAAGATCAGCTATTTTGGAGTTTTGCTTTCTTCTCTTTGATTTTACTATACCATTGTATATTAATGCCTATCTCAATTACGATTGGAAATTAGAAATGTTGCGTGCTTACTCTTCTTTTCCCTGAATGGCATATTTTTTGAAAGTCAGAACAGGTGTTTTTGTCTTGTCAAAGTCTATTATGGCTGGGAATATAAGTTTTTAAATGAAGCTTGAATGGGCCTACAGAGCACTCCAAAGCATAGTCAAATTGTTGAGAGTATATCCTGAAGCCAACGGTATCCCCCCACCCCGTGCTAAAGAAAAAGCTGAATAATTTCACATATATCACGTATATAAATATACAGTAACTTTAAGTAGTAAGAGAAGGAGAGAAGTTATCTGCATGGCTTTGTATTTTGTTGTTTTTAAAAAACAAATACAATACGAAAATATTTCTTTAGTTCAGAAAAGGGAAAAGATGGCTAACTTTAAAAACTATTATCAATTACTTGGGTGACAATATCTTTTAAGCAGGAAAAAGTAAGCTCAACTAGTTCTGAGTCATATATTGAAATATCTCTAAATATATGACCCTTTGTTCTAACCCAGTGCACACAGACTAACCTTCTAATCTCTTATTTGGTTGCCTTAGGTTGATTTGCTTAAGGAGGGAGAATCTGGGGAAATGGCAGGTGCTAGTTATCCAGTTAGATGTCTCTGTCATTGTGAGTATATAAATCAGCATTCTTGTTTATCTATCCCTTTCTTTTGTGATATTAGCCACTGAGAATCAGTTCTTCTGAGCAAAATCACATCTAAGAGGGCTGACAGCTTGAGGTCCTCAGGTTCCATACCTAAAGGCTGGAGATCAGATTGTAACAACACCATGTGTAAAGCCTTCCCTGAAGCAGCGGGCCAGCCAGGCATCCTTCATTTCTAGTAGTTCTTGATAGCAGAACTTTATAACTAATGTTCCAGTTTCCAATCAAAATGTATGCAACATAATTGCCCCCATCAAAATCTTTCTTTTTTCTTATGTCTACTGATGTTTATAAATTGCCCTCAATGGTGATTTCTGACATTATAATTATTGCAATGAGCATCCTTGAATATATGTTCCTAAATATACATGTAAGAGAACACGGACCAAGAAGTGGACTTTTTGGATGATAGGAGTGACATCCGAAAGGTTTAATAGCCTCCATGACAGAGGTACTGTCAATCAAAGTAGTTGCCGCCAGGGGGCGATAGAGAATGTACTGCTTCAGTATTAGCCTTAGAAGTGTGTGGTACCTTCACTAGAAATTACCAAGTCTTTGAAAGGAAGCTGTAACAATGTACTCTTTTCCACATGTTGGAACTTTAGGGGTTTAAATCTCCTTTGCATTTTGCTCATCCCAATACACAATATAATTTTTATTCAGGATCTTTATTTTTAAGATAGTTAAGAAATATACTTAATTTGTATTTTCTGATGAAGAAAATGGAATCACCAAGGCAAATGTTTGTTGTAACTTCCTGTTCTAGTAACTCTCCTTTGAAATAACAAAATGTGACCTTTATAACCAGTGACTCTTTAAGCAAAACTAAAATTTAGGTGAAAATATTAAGCTTATACTCTATGGTTACTATATATAATTTATTAACTATGATAAAATATAAACATAGTACTCTGTTTTTAAAATATATACATATAACTAGAGTGTAGTTCTAGAAGTAACTACCAATTTGTTCTTAATATTTTGATACAACTTAAGCAATGTGTATCTAGGTTAATATTTCTGTTTTAGTAGTCCTGGTCAAGATTATTGTCCTTTTATATTTTCAGTTTTTCTTAAACCTCAGTTCAGATGAGTCATCTCTGGGTCCTAAAGTTATTCCAAACAAGGGCATCATTTCCAAAGACTCAATGATACAGGGCTTAGATAAGTACAGAAGTTAAGAAACAGAGCCAGATCCCAAAGCCTAGAAAGTAGCCAGTTGATAAATTAGGTTAATAATATTGGGCATCAGATTCCACAAAAAAGGAAATGAAGGAAAAGAGTGAAGTACACATTGATTAAATGCAATTTGTCTAGAACAAATATTGAAATCATCCATTGTGACTTTTAGTTGGGCATGAAAGGTGGTGCTGGACACACTTCTCATGGATGTAGAGAAAGATACTCAGTGGCCTAAACTCAGAAGGACAAGTATTTCCACAATAATCAGTTGTTCATGAGAGCGGTGAGATTATTTGAAGTCATCCTTGCGTGCTTCCAGACATATGTTTATTGCAAATATAACAAACAAAATAGTGTCCCACACATGTAATCAAGGTATAATTTTTAAACTGCTACACACTATCTATTGTAATGTTTCATAACTAATATCTTTCAAACCCAAAATTTATGAAGAAACAGAAACACTACATTATTCAGGTTAAGAAATTATTATATGTTTCTTAGTAATCATATGTAAGACAATGATCAGAAACTTCCTAAAGGAGTTACATTGCAGCAATCCATATTAAAACTAATTCACCCAACTCTGGAATCGAATGCATGCTTGCTTACCTAAATATATTATTTCTAAAGGCATAATGGATTCAGTTATTCCTACTGAGTAATGCAGTTAAATTTTTATTAAGTTTACCATGTTATTAATTAGTGCTACTGGCATTCAAAAATGAGATTTTGATATAATCAGCAACTAAAAACAATTGCTTCTATGGAAAAAGAAACCCATGATATCATTACTATATCATTGCTACATTTTAGTGATGATTTCAACTGAAAACTTAAAAAGCAATACAAAATTACTGAGTGAGATATGGAATCACATATTGAGATAAATATTGATTCAAGTGCTTTATTTTGATAAAGGAAGACAAAGTTCTTGGGTAAAATATCATTAGCCTATATTATTTTGCTGGATTTCTAAAGAATACAAATATCACACATTGGACATTATCCTAGGTGAAAATAGAATACATATTCCACTTTGGGGGCAGGCCCTGCTTTTCTGACTACTAAATTGGGTTTGTAGGATGAATTAATTAGTAGAAGTAAGCCAGAAAGAAACAAACAAATTCTTAATTTCTGGCCGTCTTCTGGCAGAGATGTTAAAAATAATCAGGATTCGTTTCCTTTTTTTTGTTTGTTTTTTGAGACGGAGTCTCGCTCTGTTGACCAGACTGGAGTGCAGTGGCGCGATCTCGGCTCACTGCAAGCTCCGCCTTCTGGGTTCACGCCATTCTCCTGCCTCAGCCTCTTGAGTAGCTGGGACTACAGGCGCCTGCCACCATGCCTGGTTTTTTTTTTTTTTTTTTTTTTTTTTTTTTTTTTTTGTATTTTTAGTAGAGACAGGGTTTCACCATGTCAGCCATAGCCAGGATGCTCTCGATCTCCTGACCTCGTGATCTGCCGGCCTCTGCCTCCCAAAGTGCTGGGATTACAGGCGTGAGCCACGGCACCCGGCCCCATTTCTTAAATTACCTAAATAATCATGTTAATTCTTTATGTATTTGATGGAAACTCTTCCTGTTCTCACCTATGAACGATCAATGAACTATGAACTATAAATAAATTATGTTAGCACGTTTGATATATGCATAAGAATTAAGTTTTAATTCAGATATTATCAAATTATCATACCATCACTTAGCTTTTAATAACATAAGCCCAAATTCTTATAGTAATTCAAAACTAAATTTTAAATGATTACTAAACAACAATTGCATTTGGATAGAATCACCTCAGTGTAGGTCGCCTCAATACATTCAAGCAGCTCTCATGATTTCTGCTTAAGAGAAGAAAATCTTCTCGGAAAATATTTATTTGTGCTTAAGGTCAAATAAATAAAAAAAATTAATGAGAGGATCTAAGATGAATCTGAAAATTGTAGGTGCTATTATAGCCACCATTCTTTATTATTTGAAAATAAAAGATCTTTTCAGGGACCAAAAATTATGAAAGAAAAAGAAAAGACCAAGGAAAAATGGGATGGATGCAAAACCTATCGGTGGTGCATGGAATCACAATTGCCAAGTCTGCAAATCCCATTCCAATTTTCAATTCCATTCCCAGGTCAGTGTGTGGCAAGGGCTCTCTTTATCAAATTACTGTCAGTTTTCCTAAAAGTGTTCTGAATGAGCTGGAGAGTCATCATTTGTTTTTCCTAATAAACAAGTTATTTAAAAGCATATGTTGTTTTGGAGTGAGTATAATAAATACAGTTTTTCAAGTGGGACTCATCTGAATATTTCTCAAAACATTTACTTAGCCTTTAAAAGCATTAGGCTGCTTTTGAAATAATTTATATTTTCAATGTGTAATTATATTAAATGACTAACAACATATCTTTGAGTGACTAAATCTTCACTTTACAGATATGCAACACAGGAGGCCGAGGTGGGCGGATTGTCTGAGCTCAGGAGTTGGCGACCAGCCTGGGCAACACAGAAACCCCATCTCTACTAAAATACAAAAAATTAGCCGGGCGTGGCGATCTGTGCCTGTAGTCCCAGCTACTTGGGAGGCTGAGGCAGGAGAATTGCTTGAGCCCTGGAGGCGGAGGTTGCAGTGAGTCGAGACCGCGCCACTGCACTCCAGTTTGGGCGACAGAGCAAGACTCCGTCTCAAAAAAAAAAAAAAAAAAAAAGATAGAATAAATAAAAGAAATTGTTGTTTGTATGAAGATATTCTACAGAGTAACTGCTACTTTCATTCAAGTGCCTTGCTAATGCCTCTAGAGATGCTAGCTAGTATGCTTCTCACTTATTCCTCCTGGTCATCCACACTATTCCCCCAAGTATTATGTAACTTTTAATTTCCAAAAATTATTTTTGAATTAAAAATTTAGAATTGAAAATTATGTTATAAAAGCACAGAAATTATTTAAATTTAACCTGAAATGCATAGTTCAGGCAAGAGTATCAGAAATAACTATTCTTGGTAAAGTATGGAAACTGAGATTTGAGATATTATTATTTATCAAAAACATTGGCAGAGCCAGAAATGAAACTAAGTAATCATATCCTAAACATTTTCATTTCTTTAAAATTTAAAAATTTAAATTGCTTCAGGAAATAGAAAGTAGTTATGGACTTTAAAAAAGAGGAACAATGGTTATACCTTACTGTACTTTTGCTCCCAATGAATACACATATACACACACACACACACACTCAACTTTCTCTTCCATTAGCACTATTATGCGACACATTTCAAAGTCAATTTTTGGTTTGTGAATTATGTAATTCCGCTAATGCTTACTGAATGCCTATGTTATGCTAGGAGTAATTCTAGGCAATGAAGATACAACACAGATGATTTATAATCAGAAATTAAGTTCTCCAATATAGTCAATGCTTCGAAAACATTTAAATAATAGTTTGTATGTTTTTTATTATGACTTGGTTGGTTGAAAGTAACAGAAGTCTAACTTAAAATGGTTCTTACATCCAGACAGGAGGAATAAGTTATAGTGTCCTGTACCACTGTAAGATGCCTACAGAACACTAATGTATTAGTTTAAAATTACTAAAAGGAGGCTACTGAACATTTCTAACACCAAGGAATAATAAATGTTTGAGATAGACATACTAATTACCCTGACCTAATCATTATACATTATATGTATCAAAACATCACTA
This sequence comes from Homo sapiens, assembly GCF_000001405.40. Lineage (NCBI taxonomy): Eukaryota > Metazoa > Chordata > Mammalia > Primates > Hominidae > Homo > Homo sapiens. The sequence continues at coordinate 211,153,650 of NC_000002.12, read as the reverse complement.
CGTACCCCATAAACATATACAATTATTATTTGTCAATTAAAAAAATAATAATTTTTAAAAGGGAGAAGAATTTAGCTTGTATGACTGAAAAGTCCAAAGATGGATCTGGTAGGTCATAACTTAATGTTGAATATTGTTTTCAGAGCCTTTTTCCATCTCCGGAATGGATGCTTTTCTCTTTGAATAGATTTCCTCTTTGCATAGGCTTATTCTGCATGGCAGAAAAGAAGGTCTCTGATAGCCTCAAGTCTATATTTCTATTGCTTTGTGAGCCAAGAATAAGATACATTTTCTCTTTCAGCACCATAAATCTTAGAGGAAGCTCTAATTTGTCCTGCTATGGACCGTCCCTCAACCAATCACTTGGGAAAGAAGTTTCCGACTGGCTGTCCCTGGGTTACACATCTACGGTTGTGGAGGGATTAGAGGGGGAGAGAAGGCTGTGAGGCAGCCCTCTCAAATTGCACAAAATAGATTTGTCATAGGAAAAATGCTTCAGAAATAATAAGAATTGAGGACTGTTTGCTGGGCATAAAAGCAATAGTCATTCTATATTGTAATTTTTAGTACATTTGAGATATGGTTGTTTACTTCCCAGTTACTCATTTAAGAATTAAGGTGCATACCTGTCTTTTCATCAAATGATATATAAGTGTTATAATTATGCACCTTCCAAGATTAGCTATTGACTAGGGTTTTTCAAAAAACCTAATTCAAATTGCCGCTGATATTACTAATAAAAGCTACATAACTTGATAGCTGTCAAATCAAATATATATTCTTTATCAAAACTAGCATAGAAATAACTGTAGACAGGAAATAACCTCTAGGCATGAGAAGAGCAAAATGAGGAAAGAGTGGGAAAAATCATAATATTTTTAGGAGTAATTATTATATACGAGGTCCCACTCTAGGCAAATGTTTTACATTATCTCACCAATTTCTGACAACTACTCCATGAGAGATATACTATCTCTTCAATTTTCAAATACAAAATATAGACTCAGAGAGAGTCTCCTTTGAATAACTTGGACAAAGACAGACATGTAATAGCAAGTCAATATGACTCTGAATCTTATGGTTTTTTTAAATACAAGAAAGTAAGTTTAAGAAAATAAATATGTTTGCATTTGTGTGTGTGTGTGTGTGTGTGAGAGAGAGAGAGAGAGAGAGAGTGAGAGAGAGGGAGAGAGAGAGAGAGAGAAATACAAGCTCCAAAGTCCCAGTGTGATCAGCTGAGTTCTCGGTTGACACTATTTAACAGTTTCATTTGTTCCTCTTTCTAATCCTGCTTCCCTCACTTCCTCACAAGTGTTATTCCAAAGAACACCATTCAATATAACACTTGTGTGCAAATCTCTATCACGGATCTTGTTTGCCAGGAAACCCAACTTATGATATTTGATACCAGGAGTATCCTAGGATGTAGAATCTAAGAAGGATTCTGAAGTTAGATCACCTTCTGCCTGGCTGACAGGGGAGGAACTATTACCAGTGGTAGATGGAGCACCAGCTGTTTGCACAAGGTCACAGTGCAACTGTTCAATCTTTTATTTGTGGTTAACTGGTATAGTAGTTAACGGAAATGCACTGGAAGGTGCACTATCTCTGCTTTTTGAGAGATCAGAATGAAGTTATAATTATAAAAATACTATGAAATTGGATGGCCCCTACTATGAAAAATGGATGTATTGTTTAAGGGTAATGAAAGAGTTAGGTAGGTTAATTGTCAATTTTTTTTTTTTTTTTTTTGAGATGCAGTCTCACTCTGTGGCCAGGCTGGAGTGCAGTGGCACGATCGCGGCTCACTGCAACCTCCAGCTCCCGGGTTCAAGCGATTCTCCTGCCTCAGCCGCCCGAGTAGCTGGGATTTCAGGCACCCACCAGCACGCCCGGCTAATTTTTGTATTTTTAGTAGAGACAGGGTTTAACCATGCTGGCCACAATGATCTCGATCTCTTGAGCTACTGATCCACCCATCTCGTCCTCCCAAAGTGCTGGGATTACAGGCGTGAGCCACCGCGCCCGGCCTGTTAATCATCATTTTAAGGATGAATATATTATAAAAACTAAGAAAGGATAAATGTGGGAGCATATAAATAGACTATCATGTCTGGCATCCAGAAGGCTAGAAAAGCTAAGGATCAGAACTAGAACTGATGTAAATAACAGCAGAGCTTCAGAGAAGATAAAATTATCAACACTAGAAGATTGGCTGTATCAGGACTATGTATTAAAGGAGATCTCTCATTGTTAGAGAGTGGGACTTACAGACATGAGATGGGGGCAGGCACTCAACATTTTTGGGTTTCCAGGTCTCCTTGAACCCTTGAACATGTGGTGGTGTTTTTTCTCTTGGTACAAGGTGTGTGCTTATTTCTTTTTGTTTGGAGAGAATGTAGAGGACTCTGCTTTGCTAGAAAAAAACAAGCCCCCTCAGGATCTTTCTCCATTCCTGAACAATAGATAAACAAATGGTATTAAGTTCAAACATAATTTAGGAAGTGCTGTGTCTTCTAAGAGAGGAAGTAAACTATTCCAAGAAGACTCTCTAGGACCTAGCCAAAATACAGCAGGATGCATAAAGCAAAATTCATACTTTTTTTGTTTAATAAAGGTCAATTTTATATCCATCAGGTCTACTCTACTTTGTTTCTACTTTCCTGGAAGAGGAAGGTGTTCCAACAATGTTTTCTCAGAGGGAATTGATTTGGAGAGACATACTAAAAGTTAAAGCCACCGAGGCTCAGAGAGGAAAAGATCTTAAGTTGCTGCATCTTTTCTTTTTCCTCTCCCATGGGAGTCATTTAGTAAATGACTACTGATCAATTCAACTTATTCTTGAACTAAGCTCAAAGTGATGGCTTTTTAGGACATATGATTATCAAATAAGCTGGTATCTGACAATCAATGTTCATAGGGAAAGTTGGTTTTAAGCAAGATGAGCTGTGTAAAAATCCCACATAACATGAATAAAAACTTTACTTTTAAAGGCCACACTTGATAAAAATTTATAATACCTAAAGTAGTCATAAATTTTAGAGTCTTCTAAGCAGTTTCAGATTTATAGACATAAAAGGTACTCAGTCATGTTCATAGTTTTAGAGCTCCTCATATGCTATCAGTGTTGACTACCTGATGACTTTAATATTGTCTTGGCTGGGAGAAGATATTTGAAAGAGCATAATCATATATAAATAATTGCATTCCATTTTACAGGCATGCAAATGAATACTTTGGTGCTGTGAGTTCCAGTAAGTACAATATTATAAACCTTTCAAATCATCCATAGTAAATAATTTAATTCAAATACAAGGAGAATGGCATTTATTCAAATAGGCAAAGCGCTAGATGTTAACAAGCATCATGTAAGTAGTCCTGATGAGCTCACATTTTCTGAACAAAATTAAATCTTTGGTTAATTAAGATTCAAAATGATGCTCCTACATGATGGTCTTCTTTCTGCATCAAATGAATAAAGGGAAAGCTCTCTATATGCAATTTCTATAATGAGTAGATTTTCATTGAATGAAGGCAGATGCTGACCAGTTGGGCTCATTTTAAAAATCATACTTAAAAACAATAGGGGTAATGAAAGACAATACGTATCACCTCTCTAAGAAGATGAATACTGTTGACTCATTAGGCTTTTTCCGAAAGTCAAAAGTATCACAAATTTCACCTATCGAGTTCCATATTTATATTGAAAATGATGATGCAGGGTTTTTTTTCCTTCTCCACAGAAGTTTCTGTTATCCTAATCTTGCTTAAGAAAGCCAGCAAAATTCTTAATAGCTTTATGACTCTGAAATTCCATGCTTCAATTGTTCTTGTAGTTAATAATCCTTAGGATCAGTTGGATTATCACCCTTTCTTGCTGGATAAATAGAATATAAGAGTATTTTATCTACATCTCTAGAGGCCAATGACCTTAGCACATTAGACTTTGTCACTTTCCTCTGCCTCTCTAAAAAATAATTGTTTTTCTATATCACCTCACTAACTATTTCTATATCACCTCACCTACTATTGCTTTAATTGGTTTCCAATTTTTTTTTTTTTTTTTTTTTGAGATGGAGTCTTGCCCTGTCGCCCAGGCTGGAGTGCAGTGGCACAATCTCGGCTCACTGCAACCTCTGCCTCCCGGGTTCAAGCAATTCTCCTGCCTCAGCCTCCTGAGTAGCTGGGATTACAGGTGGGCACCGTCATGCCTGGCTAACTTTTTGTATCTTTTAGTAGAGATGAGGTTTCACCATGTTGGCCACGCTGGTCTTGAACTCCTGATCTCCTGGTCTGCCCGCCTCAGCCTCCCAAACTCCTGGGATTACAGGCATGAGCCACCACGCCTGGCCCACCAAGTTTAAATTTTGTAAAAGAAACTATAGTATTGAATATGACAGTAGCGTAGTTCAATGTCTTATGCCTTTTTATCCTGCCAATCAAGCAAAGCAAAATGGAAAACAAGAATTACAACTAACATACAAATACTATTTTTAGTGAAATTATAATGTTGATGACAGTGTAAAAAAAATATATATATATACTACTTCCGTGAATTTATTTTACTATTACTTGTATACATATAAATGATGGATGTATAAATTTGTCCATTTGAAGACATTTATAACAAAAGAATTTGAAGCAATCCAAGTGTTCATTAAAAGATTAAAAATTATGATAATCCCCTAAATTTGTAAAATGTGCCAGAAGTCTTTAAATGACAAAACAAGGATGAGAACATGTTAAAAAAAAAAGATTTTTACATGAAGAAACTCTAGAAGCATACTCAGAATTAATAAAGGTAATTTTTTGAGGGGACTGTAAATTGGTGGGTGGGAAAGGTAAAACTAAATAAGGGCTCTTAATTAGAAGCAATATTGCCCTTGGGACATTTCACAATGTCTAGAGACAGTTTTGTTGATCACAAATCGGGAAAGAATGCTACTGGCATTTAGTTGGTTGAGGCCATTGATGCTGCAAAACATATTAGAATGCAAAGGGTAGCTAGCCCTTCAACAAGAAAATGGCATCTAGACATAAATGTCAATAGTGCCAGGGTATGGAATGCTAGACTAGACCAAGAGTAAATATTTTTCCTTTATGGCTATTTATATGATTTTGTCTTTTTATATTTGAAAAATTTAATTTGAAAAGATGATACTATTCTAATCTTGAACTTCTTTCTAAGAGAATCTTTAATTAACATTCATGGATACAATAGCTAAATGAGGATTTGCACACCATTGTCAATTTTTGCAGACCTTTATTTGTAAGATAGTATCCTACTCTATGTGGCAAATGGGGGAGTGTAGGAGTCTCATTTTTTAATTTATTTAGGAAACCATCAAAAAACAAACAAACACCAGTATCACTGAATTATATGTCAAACAATTATGAGAAAACCATGTTTATCAAAATTGGTGTTTAATATGTTCATTAATTTGTATATGTGATTGGGTTTACCATAAATTGTTTCCTCTTCAGCTTTTATTCTAAAGTAATATGCCAACATAGTCTTAACCCATTTTATATATTTATATATATCTTGCATAGCATACTGTCACACACACACACACACACACACACACACACACACACATATATATATATATCTTGCACAGTATACTGTCTCTTTAATAACACCTGACCTCTTCCTGGATAAAAGGAAGTAGTAAGAATGCTCATATTTTTCAAAAGATTGCTCAATATCATGTTTCCTATGAAGTATCTTCTTATGGATGCCAAGGCTGAGTATATCACTACAAGATCCTTACATAGAGAGTATTTTGATTCAGCTCTTTTAATATAGTTATAGGAACACTTTGGTGCTGTATGCAAAGTATTATTTTATAACCAACTATTGTGTGCAATAGATGTTTGTTATCAGGAGTGAGATGAAAATCAGGCAGGTCATATATGCAATTCAAATGTATCCAGCCTTAACAGAATTTGGGTAAATATGAAGACTCTTATAACTCAATGTCCACATTATCATTGTTCCTAGGCTTTAAATGCATAGCAACAAATTGTTTATTATCAACTTCATTGTCTGCTCTAGGTTTTTCAATGTTCCTGGAAAAGATATCTTATTTGCATATACAAATCAACACTTGCTGCCATTTGCTGATGACCTGACTCAGAACCACCATCATTACTTCCACTAGCTTTAGTTTTATTTAAGGAACTATTACTACAGGTACCGATGTTTTCAATTCTTAAAGTGATACATAAGTTTGGCAGTATCTTGGGAAGAAAATGAATGACTTCCTCCCGTATATTTGTTATTCACGGCTACTGATGTGAGGAGGGATTCAGACTCCTAAAACATTTTGAACTTTAGTAAGACAGCTCCTTTTCTTTCAGGTGCCACATGCTATTTTATTTTCCAAATCACAAAGGATTTTGCCTGATAAAAGTCAGTCCTTACCCAGATCCAGTACTTTCACTGAAATATTTTATTCTCTGCATCAATTTAACTCATTATAACAGACCTTGTGTTCCACTTTTGATATATGGTCAATTTCTTCTCATAGGACTATTTCCATTCATAATTCACTTTCTTTGGGCCTACCAAATATGCCTATTTATATATGCCAGGGTTCCAATGACAAAATAGAATTGTTTGTTTATTTGTACATTTGAGTGGAAGCTGTTTGTTATGGTCTGTTTCTTATGGCATGGACCAAGAACATAGCATGTGCTCAATAAGGATTTTTGAATAATTGGAATCTCTATTTCTAGCCTAAGTGATTAATTACTTTCAAATTTCAATTGCAGAGAAAAAATGCCAAACATTCTTTGAAATGAATCAACAGTCCTGAGCATGTCATTTTGTATTATTGTTGTACCCACCACTTCAGACACTGATAATTCACCTAAATTTCTGTTTTCCCCTCTAAGGGGACTTTATAATTAGAGAGAACCAATAATCTCAGTGAGTCTATCATGACAATAGATGTAGCATAACTTGAAATTACACAACAAAAAGAGAACTTTGAGATATAGTAAAAATCTGCCCAAATTTGTGGAATTTAGAGGGGAGTTAAATCTAAAATTAGTTATACTGTATTCCAGTAGGCATTGGTATAACCTCAGTATTTTGTTTAATAATAATTCTATTTATTGTCTTTTGCATCTTTCTCCATCAAGAAAGATCTTCCCAATTTCATAAATAAGATAAATAAAAAAATTAGAAAAATGTCCAAAACCATGCAAAGGAATAGACTTTAAAAAAAGAACCTCACTAATAATGACATGTAGTCCATTCCCTACACTTAGCTTTCTTTCCTTTGTAAATGTTCCATTATGACTATAAAAATTATCCTATTTATTAAATGTTCTTTATATTTCCATTATAATTCTTCCTTTTATATGTGGAAGATTAGCCCATTTTTTTCTATTATTAAGAAATATTTTTTAAATGTATGTTTAATTACAGTGGCAAGGTACTGAGATAAATGCTCCATAGATAATTTTTTCTTTCAAAGAAACTGGAATATTGAAATAACTGAGAATAAATTAATGATTAAATTTGTACTATTGATTTGCTTTTAGTCTTGACACATAGAATTACTCATGTGTTTTATTGAGATTGATAAAAATATTTACGATATGTAAGATATAATCACTGATATTTAAAAAGTATGATTTTAACATGAAATGATAGAAGAATAAATCTATGTTGATTAACAGCTGTTAGAAAGATAAAAATAGTGACATCAATCATTAGAACATAACTATATAAACTTTCATTCTTAATATATTATGACTTAATTTATAACATAAGACTAAAAAGATATCTATCTTAAGAAAGGAGACATTAATTCAACAATCATATAGCATTTACTATATATTAATCAGACACATGCTAGGTTCAGGATTTATAACAATGAATACCATACCCTTTCTGCCTTCAGGAAATTTATTATCTCTCTAGAAAAGACAGATCTGTAAACAGATAAAAATATCAATGTGGAATGTTAGAAATCAATTTATTTTTATAATGTGGTAGGTTAGATATCCTGGAAAATTATCTTATAATAAGAACCTAGAAATACTACATCAGGCCTTCCAAATATTTTTTGAAATCTATATCTGATATTTTAATAATATAGAAACAAATACATGAAAAGGTAACTGGAAACAACAGTGATTAGGATTAGTTTTCCAGGCATCTGCCTTGAGGACATTTGCAGATGTGAGTAACATGTGGGTGTAGGCCAGGGGTATGAGAACTATCTGTATTCGTTGCAAAGTAGAAACCTAGACCATTGAATATATCTGAATCTGTTAAAGAGCTCCTTTTAGTAAAAAGTTAAAAAAAATTAAAATTACTTGTTTTCCAAGAGGTGACCAGAAAACTTACTATCAAAATGACGAAGGATTTTTCTCAGTCACTTTGCCAGCCAGAGACCTCTGTCTGGCAATGCCTCTGCCCAGACAGATGACAGTGTGTTAACAGCTCTGTCAGCCCCGTTACCCTACTCTGGGCCACAGCTCTGGGGCTGGCTCAGTTCTGCCACTGCTTCCCATCACATAGGGCAGCAGCCCTCCACTAGGAGAGATCAGGGGGCCACAGTGTTACTACTTACTTTGTACTCATGTTCGGTGGGCCTTTTGAGTTCTAGTTCCACATCCAAGAAGAATGAGGATAGACTGACAATTGAAGGATGAGGAGAGCAGAGAAGAATTTTATTGAACTCTCAGTGGAGAGGAGACATGAGGGTTGTCTAACACCTGAAGTCAATTGGTTTCTCCCCCCAGTGTGGCTGGGTCTGGGGCTTTTATGTGCTCAGAATAGGGGGTGTGTGCTGCTTGGTTTGTCAGTATGCAAAAAAAAAAAAAAAGGCTAAAACAAAGGCTCCACTCAAAGGTTGGCATGACAGTGTAACAAAACAATTAGGGAAGAGTAGGCATATGTAAAATAGGTGAAGGGTGGGTATCAATCAGAGGAAAGTGTGCCAAACAGGAAGAGAGTTTCTCAATCCAGTCCATGGATTTACCCCAGGACTTGAAGCTAGGCTTTCAACTGTCTTCAGCTTGATGGTGGGGTTTTACCAGGGACCTGTCCCTGTCTGCCTAGGATGTGTCTGCCTCCTGTCACTATCAAAAGCCTTGGCTCTAGATAAGGAAAGTATTCTATCAGAATTTTTAAGCCATAGCACTTTCTCCATGTAATAGTGGAATTCAGATTTACAGCTGATTAATCTATGAAAACCTCAATTTAGAAGTAAAGTTATCTCTGGTTAATAAATATCCCAAATTGTTTCTAAATGAAAGTATCCACAAATTAAAATTTGTAGCATTCTCACAAATAAAGCCAACCAAGAGTTAACAAATCACACACCATGTTTTCCTATGTTGAAATAAATATGAGTCAGCATACTTATCTGGCCAAAATATGAGTCAGCAAAAACAACAGGAGGATTATTCTCATAAGAACTTTTAAATACAGATTTAAAAATGAGTATGTATAAAATATATTTTTAAATATAATACAGAATGGGGAATATAAGCAAAAATTAGGATACAATTAAAAAAGACAAGGCATATGTGGAAAAAGGCAGATAACTTTATAGAAGTAAATAAATACACAAAATTTTTAAATTACTGGATAGATTACTCAAGAAATTATACATAATTAGTGAGCTGGAAGATATCTGAAGAAATTACCCAGAATTTACCATAGAGGGACAAAGAGATAGAAAAGAAGTATAAGACCTGAAGGAACCAGAGAAACAAGAAAAAACTAAACCCAAGCCCAGCAGACGAAAAGAAATAACAGAGATGAGAGCAGAACTAAATAAAATTGAAACAAAAAATACAAAAGATAAATGAAACACAAAACTAGTTATTTGAAAAGATAAACAAACTTGATAGACCATTAGCAAGCTTAACCAAGAAAAGAAGAGAGAAGATCCAAATAAGCTGAATTAGAAATAAAATGGGGGATATTACAACCAATACCACAAAAATACAAAAGATCATTCAAGGCTACTATGAACACCTTTATGCACACAAATTAGAACATCTAGAAGAGATGGAAAATTACTGGAAATATACAACCTTACTAGATTAAATGAGGAAGAAAAAGAAACTCTTGTTATTGGTCAATAACAAGCAGCAAGATTGAATCAGTAATAAAAAAAAATGCCAACAAAAGAAAGTCCAGGACCAGGAGTATTTACAGCTGAATTCTATCAGACAGTCAAAGGAGAACGGTTACCAATCCTACTGAAACTATTCCAAAAGACAGAGAAAGAGGGAATCCTTCCTCTTTCTATGAAACCAGTATAACCTAATACCAAAATTCGGAAAGGACATAACTACAAAAGAAAACTAGAGACCAAAATCCCTGATGAACATAGATGCAAAAATCCTCAACAAAATACTAGCTAACTGAATCTAACAGCATATCAAAAAAGATAATACATCATGATCAAGTGGGCTTCATAGCAGGGATCTTTTAACATACGCAAGTCAATAAATGTCATGCATCACATAAACAGAATTAAAAACAAAAATTATATGATCATCTCAAAAGACAACAAAAAGCATTTGACAAAATCCAGCATCCCTTTATGATAAAAACCCTCCAAAAATTGGCACAGAAAGGAAACACCTCAAAGTAATAAAAGCCATCTATGACAAACCCACAGCCAACATCATACTGAATGGGGAAAGGTTGAAAGCATTCCCTCTGAGAACTGGAACCAGACAAGCATGCCCACTTCCACCACATCTATTCAATATATTACTGGAAGTACTAACCAGAACAATCAGACAAGATAAAGAAATAAAGGGCATCCAAAAAAGAAAGTTAAACTGTCACCATTTGCCAATTATATGATTGTATACCTAGAAAACCCTAAAGACTCATCCAAAAAGCTCCTAGACCTGATAAACAAATTCAGTAAAGTCTCAGGAATCAAAATCAATCTACGCAAATCAGTTGCACTGTTACACGACAACAACAACCAAGCTGAGAATCAAATCAAGAACTCAATCCCTTTTACAACAGCTGCAACAAAAATAAAACACTTAGGAATATAGTTAATGGAGAAAGTGAAATATCTTTACAAGGAAAACTACAAAACACTGCTGAAAGAAATCATAGATGACAGAAATGGAAACATCTCATGCTCATGAATGGGTAGAATCGATATTGTGAAAATGACCATACTGCCAAAAGCAATCTACAGAGTCAATGCAGTTCCCATCAAAATACCATCATCATTCTTCACAGAACTAGAAAAAAAAATCCTAAAATTCTTATGGAATGAGAAAAGAGCCTTCATAGCCAAAGCAAGACTAAGCAAAAAGAACAAATCTGGAGGCATCCCATTATCCTACTTCGAACTATACTACAAGGCTATAGTCACCAAAACAGCATAGTACTGGTATAATATAAAAATAGGCACATAGACAAATGGAACAGAATTGAGAACCCAGAAATAAAGCCAAATACTTACAGCCAACTGATCTTCAACAAAGCAAACAAAAACACAAAGTGGGGAAAGGACACCCAATTCAATAAATAGTGCTGGGAAAACTGGCAAGCCACATGTAGAAGAATGAAACTGGATCCTCTTCTCTCACCTTATACAAAAATCAACTCAAGATGGATCAAAGATGTAAATCTAAGACCTGAAACCATAAAAATTCTAGAAGATACTATGGGAAAAACTTCTAGACATTTGGCTTCCAGACAAAGAATCCATGACTAAGAACCCAAAAGCAAATGTAACAAAAATAAAAACAAATAAATGCGATCTAATTAAACTAAAATACTTCTGCACAGAAAAAAAATCAGCAAAGTAAATAACCCTCAGAGTGGGAGAAATTTTTTGCAAACTACGCATTCGAACTAAATGACTAATATCCAGAATCTTCAAGGAACCCAAACAAATCAGCAAGAAAAATTAACCGTATAATAATAGTAACAATAAAAAAGAGTGAACTCTAATAGTAAGTCTATTAAATAAAAGATAAAAGCAAAATAATATCAAAGAATAAATTTATGAGAATAAATTTGAAACATAGACAAAATGGGTAATTTCTTAGAAAAATATCACTTATTGCTCAAAAAGAATTTAAAAACCTATATAAATCTATAACCATCAAAAGAAATTACATCCATCATTTAAAATCTATCCCCCAAAATTCATACCAGGTTATATAGCTTTAACAAATGATGAGAAAAGATAATTTCAGTCTTTATCTAAACTCTTTCAGAAGACAAAATTATATGCAATATTGTAAGCCCAATGCAGCAAAAATATTATTATATATACTGATAAAAATATATTACAATGTATATTTATCTATTCATATATAATTTAAATTTGGTGTTATTTAGGAATACAAGCATGTGTTGAAATTATAATTTCATAACATAATTTACCAGATTTAAAAAATAAACATATAAAACTATATGGTTATTTCAGTAAGTACAGGGAAAGCACCAACTAAAATCCAATGTGTAGGCTTTAGCTTCTGATTATGACACTGTAACATATTAAATTAATGCTTCTACCTAGAATAACTAGAAAAGCTAGAGGGCTTATCAGGCATCCAGGACTTGATAGACAAATATCCCCATAGAGCAAAGAAGCTTATTGAAGGTAGCTTTATTACTCAGGGTTCTCTAGAGAGACAGAGCTAATAGGAGATATCTATCTATCTATCTATCTATCTATCTATCTATCTATCTATATATATGAGTTTAGTAAGTGTGTGTATATATGTACATAAGAAACTCATATATGTATGAGTTTTTATAATTTGTATATATAAATTTATAATTTATATATACACACACTTAATACTCATACGTATATATGAGTTTCTTACGTAGTATTAATTCACATAATCGCAAGGTCCCATAATAGGCCTTCTGCAAGCTGAGGAGCAAGGAAGCCAGTCCAAGTCCCAAAGCTGAAGAACTTGCAGTCTGATGTTTGAGGGCAGGAAGCATCCAGCATGGGAGAAAGAGGTAGGCTAGGAGGCTGGGCCAGTCTGACCTTTTCATGTTTTTTTCCCTACATTATACTTGCTGGCAGCTGATTAGATGGTACCCACTCAGATTGAGGGTGAGTCTACCTTCCCCAGCCCACTGACTCAAATGTTAGTCTCCTTTGGGAACACCCTCACAGACATACCTAGGATCAATACTTTGCATCCTTCAATCCAATCAAGTTGACACTCCGTATTAACCATCATAAGTCCATCCCTTGTCAACTTGAACCCATACACATCTCCTGAGATCACATATAATCTTCAAATAAAGACAGTAATAAGGTCATAATTACAAATAACATAATACAACTATCCTTCGTACAACTAGAAATGCACGAGTCCCCAACCCAAATGCTACTACATAAAGCTAACAACAGTTAAAGGAAATAAAATGAAGATATTTTCTTAGTATAAGAGTATACATGCACAATCATGTTTTTAACAAAAGGAGGAGGAAATACTCATGACAATTATAGTCCTTGTTTCTGCAGCTGGTCATGTTCTCATAGCTTGTATTGATGACTACCTTCTTCTGCTACCCATTCTGTATTCCCTTTGCCTTCAGCAAGTACCTCAGCAGATCGTGGTTTTTTTCCTGGTGGAGTGACCCAAACCTTCATTCCTGAAGGGTCTGGGTCGTTTGTAGTCCTGCCTGGATTGAGCTGTTATAGTTTTCCACTGACCTTAATCACATGGCATGGTAATACTAAGCGACACCCTAATAGATCTCCTGTATTCCATGCCTACTCTTTCTTACCTCTGTTGTGGAGTAGTAGACTAATTTCGTCTTGACAGTCTGGGTCAATCATCCCAGCCAACACTGTAACTCCCTTCTTAGTCTGTTGTCTTAAAGGTGGGAAGAATCCAAAGTGTCCAGGTGGCAATCTTAACTTTCAGTTTAATGTAAACATTGTTGTGTCTCCTAGTGGCAGTGTTCCTCCCTCTGGAACTAAGACTTCTAGGCCAGCAGAATGTAATGTCGCAGAAACAGGAAGCAAAAATTTTGCTAGTGAATCACTAGGGGTGATGATGATTGCTGCCACTTCCACTTTCACCCCTTGATTACTGGACCCATGAATCCTGGCTATGGGAGAAACAGTACCATATATTGGACACTGATTCTGAGAATACACAGCCTTTTGAAGAACTTTGACCCAGCCCTGAAAAGTATTATTACCTAGTTGGCATTGCAATTGTGACTTCAAAAGGCCATTTCGCCATTCTGTCAATCCAGCTGCTTCAGGACAATGGGGAACATGGTAAGACCAGTGAATTCCATGAGCATGAGCCTACTGCTGCACTTCTTTAGCCATAAAGTAAGTGCCTTGGACAGCAGCAAAGCTTTGTAGAATACGGTGATGGTGGATAAGGCATTTCGAGAGTCCATGGATGGTAGTCTTAGCAGAAGCATAGAGTACAAGACAGGCAAACAACCCATATTCAGAATAAGTGTCTATTCCAGTGAGGACAAACCTCTGCCCTTTCCATGATGGAAGAGGTCCCATATAATCAACCTGCCACCAGGTAGCTGGCTGATCACCCTGAGGAATGGTGCCATATCGAGGGCTCAGTGTTGGTCTCTGCTGCTGGCAAATTGGGCACTCAGCAGTGGCCATAGCCAGGTCAACCTTGGTGAGTGAAAGTCCATGTTGCTGAGCCCATGCATAACCTCCATCCTTGCCTCCATGACACGGGTGGCTGGGGAATGAGGCTGAGTGGTGTCCACAGAACAGATCATCCTATCCACTCGATTATTAATATCCTCGTCTGCTGAGGTCACTCATTGGTGAGCACTCATGGGGATACAAATATCTTCACAGTTTTTGACCAAACAGGTCCATCCACATACCTCTTTCCCAAATTTCTTTGTCACCAATTTTCCGATCATGCCTCTTCCAAGTTCCTGACAATCCAGCCAAACCATTGGCTACAGTTCATGAATCAGTATATAGTCACACATCTGGCCATTTCTCCTTCCGTGCAAAGTGCACAACCAGGTGCACTGCTGGAAGCTCTGCCCACTGGGAAGATTTCCCTTCACAGCTGTCCTTCAGGGATATCCTAGAAAGGGACTGTAGTGCTGCAGCTGTCCAGTTTCGGGTGGTGCTAGCATATCGTGAAGAACCGTCTGTGAACCAGGCCGTAGTCTTCTCTTCCTCTGTCCACTGATCATAGGAAACTCCCCATGAGGCCATTGGTGCAGGCTGCAGGAGAGAAAGCAGGGTAGCAGGAGTGGAGACCATGGGCATTTGCCTCACTTCCTCATGTAACTTACTTGTGCCTTTAGGACCTGCTTGAGCCCGATCATGTATGTACCACTTCCATTTGATGATGGAATGCTGCTGTGCATGACCCACTCTATGGCTAGATGGGTCAGAAAGCACCCAGTTCAGGTTGCATGGTGACTTGATGATCTATAGTCAAACATTCAGTTTTCACCAAAGCTCAGTAACAGGCCAAGAGCTGTCTCTCAAAAGGAAAGTAGTTATCTGCAGAAGATGGCAGGGCCTTGCTCCAAAATCCTAGATGCCTCTGCTGTGATTCACGTATGCAGGCCCACCAAAGGCTCCCAACAGCATCCCTGTCTGCCACTGACACCTGAAGGACCATTGGATCTGCTGGGTCATATGGCCCAAGTGTCAGAGCAGCTTGCACAGCAGCCTGGGCCTTTCAGAGACTTATCTTGTTCTTGACCTGATTCAAAACTGGGAGCCTTTCAGGTCACTCGATAAATGGGCCAGAGTAACACACCCAAATAAGGAATATGTTGCCTCCAAAATCCAAATAGGCCTACTAGATGTTGTGCCTCTTTCTTGGTTGTAGGATGGGCCAAATGCAACAACTTATCCTTCACCTTGGAAGGAATATCTTGACAGGCCCCACATCACTAAACCCCTAGAAATTTTACTGAGATAGAAGATCCCTGAATTTTAGTCAAATTTATTTCCCATCCTCTGGCATGCTAATGTCTCACCAATAAGTCCAATGTGTTTGCTACTTCTTGCTCACTGGATCCAATCAGCATAATGTCATTAATGTAATGGACCAGTGTGATACCTTATGGAAGTGAAAAGCAATCAAAGACTCTCCAAATAAGAATATGACACAAAGCCAGAAAGCTGATATACCCCTAAGGTAGGACAGTAAAAATATATTGCTGCTTCTGTGGGCCTTATGGACAGGAATGGAGAAAAAGGCATTTGCCAAGTCAATGGCTGCATTACCAGGTACCAGGAGATGTGTTAATTTGCTCAAGCAATGAAACCACATCTAGTACAATAGCTTCAACTGCAGACACAACTTGGTTAAGCATACAATAATCCACTGTCATTCTCCAAGATCCACCTGTCTTCTGCACAGACCAAATAGGAGAGTTGAACAGGGTTGTGGTTGGAATCACCACCCCTGCATCTTTCAAGTCCTTCATGGTGGCACTAATTTCTGCAGTCCCTACAGGGGTGTGATATGGTTTCTGGTTTACTGTTTTTCTAGGCAGAGGCAGCTCTAACGGCTTCCATTTGGCCCTTCCCACCATAATAGCCTTCATCCTACCAGTCAGGGAGCCAGTGTGGGAGTTCTGCCACCTAAGTATGTCTATGTCAATTATGCATTTAGGCACTGTGAAAATGACCACAGGGTGAGTCCAGGGACCCACTGGACCTACTGTAATTTGAATCTGAGCTAAAACTCCATTAATTACCTGATGTCCATAAGCCCCTACTTTAACTGGAGGATCACAATGATGTTTTGGGTCCCCGGGAATCAATGTCAGCTCAAGGCCAGTGTCCACTAGTGCTTGAAATGTCTGATCATTTCTCTTTCCCCAATGCACAGTTACCCTGGTAAAAGGCTGGATATCTCATTGGGGAAGGATGGGAGAAAGATTAACAGCATAAATTGTTAGTAGTGTACTGGGGTCCTTCCTCTAGGGGACCCAGCCTCCCCTTCATTCAAGGGGTTCTGGGTCTGTAAACTGGCTCAATTCTGGAAATTGATTAAGGGGCCATGATTCTTTGTTCTTACAATTCAAATTTGTCTTTTGTCCATTAGACCCAGAAGTTTTCTGCTTTATAAAATAAAGTAGGAATGCAGTAGGCTTCCTATCAGTATGACTTCTAGGAACACTGTGATTATTTAACCAATGCCAGAGTTCTACATGAGTCAGACTATTCTGATTGCCGCTTTGCCTCTGCTGTCCATTATGGTAGCTACGTCTACCTCGCTTTTGACAGTTGACTGCTGCCACTTGGCCCCTGCCACCTCGGAATCCAATTATTCCCACTGTATTTAAATGTTGTAGTTGAGTGACTGTGGTTTCCACTGTTAGAGCTGACATACAGAAAAGAGCAATTATAGAGTTCTAAAAAAATACAGGTGCTACCCTCACAAATCTATTTTACAAAGCATTGGTCAAGGGTATAGCCTCTAGACCTGCGCAGCTGGGATGAGTCGGTCCAAAGTGACTAATCTACTTCAGTATCCCTATCTCTTTAAGGTTTTGGATCCTTTTTTCTACATTAACCCAAGGGAGATCAGACATTTCCAGGTTGGTCACAGTGGGCCATCTTTTAATCTATATTTCAGCTAACCAAACAAATACATTATTAGAAACTTTTTAAATTTCCCCAGCTGCAACATTAAATGCAGAGTCCCTACTTAGTGGGTCTAAATCAATAAATTCAGCCTGACCCAACTTTATGTTTCTTCCACCATTATCTCACATCCTTAATATCAATTCCCATGCCTGTTCTCCAGATTTCTGTTTCTATAAATTAGAACATTCAAGTAGTTCTTTTTGAATGTAGCTCACCTTCTCATGGGTCACACTCTGAAACTTGCCTCTAGGGGCCCGCTGGGACTTTAGTATAGTTACAGGTCTAGAAGCAAATAGGGGTGTTGTGGGTGGCTCCTGAGGAGAATCAACATTACCTTGCCTGGCAACTGCCTCAGGGAGGTCATAACTGTTGCCTCAGGCAGCGAGGGTTTATCTCCTCAGACAAAGGTGGAAAGGCTGATGGCAGTGTGGGTTGTGGGTCATATATATATTATATATATAATATATATCTTATTATATATAAATATATATTAAATATATATTTATATATAATAAATATATATATTATATATCATATTTCTTATATATAATAATATATTATATATAATATATATGATATTATATTATATATAATATATATGATATTATATTATATATAATATATATGATATTATATTATATATAATATATATGATATTATATTATATATATAAGATATATATCATACATGATATATCATATATATAAGATATATATATCATGTATGATATATATCTTATTTTATATATAATATATAAGATATATGATATATATCTTATAATATGTAAGATATATGACATATATCTTACATATAATATGTAAGATATATGACATATATCTTACATATAATATGTAAGATATATGATATATATCTTACATGTAATATGTAAGATATATGATATATATATTTATATAATATATATCTTATTTTATATACGTTATATATATGTCTTATTGTATATGTAACAAAAGATATACATATCTTATTTTATATATAACATATAAGATATATATCCTATTTTATATATAAGATATATGATATATATCTTATATGTAAATTATATATATTATATATAGTATATATCTTATTTCATATATTATATATATTTTATATTATATATAATTATATACAATATATATTTTATATTATATAATTATATATAATATATATTTTATATAATATATAATTATATATAATATATATTTTATATAATATATACTATATAATATATATTTTATATTATAATTATATATAATATATATTTTATATTATATATATATTTTATATTATATATAATTACATATAATATATATTTTATATTATATATATATTTTATATTATATATAATTATATATTATATATATTTTATGTTATATATAATTATATAATATATTTTATATATAATTATACATAATATATATTTTATATTATATATAATATATATTATATATGAAATATATATATTATGTATATAATATATAATAAAATAATATGTATAATTTTTATATTATATATAATTATATATAAGATATATGATATATATCTTATATCTTATATCTTTTTTATTTATCTTTTTTATATATTTTATTTATATCTTATTTTTATCTTTATATCTTATCTTATATATATCTTGTTTTATATATAATATATAAGATATATCTTATTTTATAATATATAAGTTATATATGTCTTATTTTATATATAAAAAAAGATATACATATCTTATTTTATATATAACATAATATATAATATGTATGTTATATATGACATATTATATATATTAATATATATTATATATATCTTATTAGTTCTGTCCCTCTAGGGAACCCTTTATATGTAAACTCCCCTTTATATAAATATAATGTATAAAGGGGATATAAACATAAATATAAAGGGGAGTTTATTAAGTAGCATTAACTCACAACATCACAACATCACACAGTCGGCCAGCTGCAAGCTGAGGAACAAGGAAGCCATTCAAAGTACCAAAGCTGAAGAATTTGGAGTCCCATGTTTGAGGGCAGGAAGCATCCAGCATGGGGGAAAAAAGAAATGCAGACTGGGAGGCTAAGCCAGCCTAGCCTCTTCACATTTTTTTCTGCCTGCTTCATATTTGCTGGCAGTTGATTAGATGGTGCCCATCCAGATTAAGGGTGAGTCTGCCTTCCCCAACCCACTGACTCAAATGTTAATCTCCTTTGGCAATACTCTCACAGACACACCCAGGATTCATACTTTGCATATTTCAATCCAATCAAGTTGACACTCAGTATTAACCATCACAGTAGCCAAAAAGCAAAATACAGACATTTTCAGAAAAATGAGATAATTTGAAGTAGGAGATTTCCAATATAAACAATACCAAGGGGAATGTAGTCCTTTAAAAGGAAAATAGAATATATAGAAAAAGTAAGAAATGGAGAAAGAATAAAAAGCCATAGAAAGTACTAATATGTAGATACATTTAAATAAATCTTGACCATAAAAACAAAATAGTATCTTATGGGATTAAATTATAGGTAGAATTAAATGTATGACAAAAATGATATCAAAGGAAGAAGAATTTAAAAAGATGGAACTCTACTAAGAGTCTAACATTATCTGGAAAATTGTAAACATGCTCTACTATAAGGAAAAAATATGCTGTGATTTCTAGGTTAATAGTTAAAGGAAGAGTAAAAAATGTAAATACAAGCTAATAGAGGAAACATTTGTGATAACTGAAAATAATTGATTAATCCAAAAGAAGGCTCAAAAGTAAAGAAAAAGAAGACTAGAACAAGCAGAAACAATGGACAGTAAATAGTGAGATGGTAGATATAAACAGATACATCCATGGTTATAATAAATGTACACTGTATGAACATTTCAATTAAGATACAAAGGTTTTCAGGCTGTATTCAGCTATACGCTACTTCCAAATAGACATCCCTTAATGTAAGGACATAGAAATCTTGAATGTAAAACACTAGAAAAAGATATACCTTGTAAACACAGACTAAAAGCAATCTGGAGGTGCTGTACTAATATAAAAACACATCAATTTTAAGGCAAGAAACACTTCTAAGAAATATATTTGTACGTTCTATTTAATCTAGCCTCAAAATGTATAAAGGAAAAACTGATAGATCTAAAATGACAAATTGATATACACAAACATAGAATGTCATTTCAATACACCTCTTCCTGTGACTGATGAGATAAACAGATAACACAATCAGTAAGGATATGAAGACATGAATAGCACAATTAACTTGACCTGTATGAAATATCTAAAATGCTATGACTAACATCATAGGAATATGCACTCTTTCCAAGATCACATAAAACATTCACCAGAATCGTCTATTAAAATATTTGACCACAAAAACTTAAGTTATTCAAAGTACTTTCCCTGACCCCAGGAGAGCTAAGCTAGAAATTAATTCTAAAATATATAACTGAAAATTATTAAGTATTTACCAGGTATGTAGTATATTTCCACACTTCTACATAATTCTTGTGTCAAAAGTAATCACAATGGAAGATTAAAAATATTTTTATTAAAAGATAATAAAAATGTAACATCATAACTTGTGGTGTGCTGTTAGAGCTATGTTTAATGGGAAATTTAGAGTTCCAAATCTTTAATTTAGGCAAGTGTACCGAACTATATATTGTCCAAAAGACAATGGGAGCACTGAGAAAAAGATCATTCTGCTCATGAAACACAGCTTGGGAAGTATTTTATGCAGAAACTGTACTTTGTCAAAGTTGTATTGTCTTGGCGACCAGCATAGATGAGTGGGGAAAGTCACAGGGAATGAGTCTGGAAATGCATGGTGAGATAGTTTGAGCAAGCTAAGGAGTTTGGAATTTTTCTCATTGGCCAAGGATTTAATGTGAATTATCAATGGTATTTAATTTGGAAAAAGAAGTGATATAAGCAATCTGAAATAAACAGAAATCTATTTCTGTTTCACAGCAATTAAGGATGGATTTAAAGGATAGACTATAGAGGATGTCCTTAAGATAACATACTTAGAAATAATGAGGGAGAAAATTAATTTAGTGGTTATTAAATGCAGAACAGAATACAAATTCAGGTGCTATTTCTTGGGTTGAATAAACAATACTTGATGATTTATAGGATCCTGGGGAAGTGGTGAAGAAAGGTAGAGACAATTTTCTACTTAATTTACTAGGTAAGTATTGACTATTCCTTTAGAATAAAAGAGAATGAAAGGAGAAGAGGCTCTGAGAAAGAACATAATGGACCCAATTTTAGACACATGAATTTAGGATACCTGTGATAGTTGGAAGTAGCTAATAGAATTTAAAACATTGGTCAACACTTGAAAGACAGGGTTGTGATATGTATATGGGTGATATCAGTTGAAGAAAGAGGAGTAGATGAGAATGCCCAAAGACAATGCAAATCAGGAAAAAAAGAGAGGTATCATGGAGACAATTTCATTGAACATTGAAATTCAAGATGCAGGCAGAGAAAGAGGACATAGACCAGATGCTACAGAGAAGAGATTCAGGGAAATACACATTAGGTATCAGCAAAGTTTTTAAAAGGAGAATAAATCCATTTTCTCAATGTTGTAAGACTATTGTCATCTCCTCCATATGCTTAAATACTAAATGAATGTAATACTAGGGAGCCATGAGTGCTATACCCTTTTATTTATTTATTTTTCAAAGAATAAGATTTGGAACACAGATAGCAAATACATGAAATCTTTATCAATGATGCTACAACTAGGCCAGATTGACTGGTAGTTGAATGAAACAGGTAGCTAATAGAGAAACTGATGGAAAAAATTTGCCTGGAAAGCAAATTGAAAATCAGTTAATGTTAACATTATTCAACATTAATCAGTCAGTGAACGTCAACATCAAGTAGCCATGGATGTAAAATGGTGTCCTCTCTATTACATTTAGTATCTCTGGTTCAGACATTACCTTTAACAAACATAGAGGCATACACAAGTTTAAAACTTGAAGTCTAAAATCTAAAATCCCAAGTGTAAGCCATTTCTCCTCTTTTAAAAATTGCTCTGACAGGGAAGATTTACCTATTGAAATATTGTTAACATCATTTCCATTGTAACTAATTATAACAATGATACCTATTTGGAAATATTATACCACATGCTTGAGTTGAAATTATACATATGGGGAGAGAATAATAATAAAAATATCCTTAATTTGTTTATATACCAATCAGCCCTAGAGAAAAAATAAAGCTTAACTGAAAATGCCTGCAAATTTTCTTTCTAGAAATGTTTTGGAAAATGTTTGTTAATCATACCCCACCTTCATCCAAAAAAAAAAAAAAAAAGGGACTCTTTAAAGAACAATACTTCGGGGACAGGAAAATAATTAAAAATTAAAGTGTATTGGAAAGCAAGACAATACCTCTTTCTAGTAAACAATTTGATCTCTTGGCTTTGGGTGGTTCAGTAGCAAATAATTAAAATACTGATGCTAATATACAATCGGTTTATTAAAAATTCTACTTCAGAGATTTATTGTGCCTCTCTGGATTTGAAGTGAACTTTCCACTCTTCATTGTTATGCAGACTACCAGGCATTTGGGGATAATCAGTTCATTAGCTGGGCTTAGGAAATGACCCTCACATCACCTTCTCTGTTTGGGTTTGCAAAGGTCACCATGCAAATGTGCACGCTTTGCACCCAGACAAGCTCAGAGAAATGGCCTGAAATCTGACATGTTTTGTGACTCTGTGACAAGTTCTGACCCTTCTTTTACAAAGAAAGCCCTGAAGTTAGAGAGGTACACACACTGAGGGTACTAAAAACTGTAAACAGAGCAAGTCAGGGCAGCACCAGAGAAACAAACACGTTAGATGGAAATAACAGATCACTTTTCCATATTAATGAGACATTATAAATCACAATTTAATACAAGAAAATACACTTAAAATATCCACTGTCTGCACAGATTTTTCATAAATATTCAAAACATGACCCATTTATCTTAGCCCGCAGGAAAAATTTAACTGAAGTAATCTCTGTCATCAGAAAACATAACCTATTATATGGCTTCTCAGTTGACGAGAGCAGATGAACAGATAAAAAACAGTAAAATGAAAATCAAAACTACATCCTCCTAAACTAGTGATATCATTGTTTTGATCTATAATTTCAAAGTAAAATGCAGTTATTGCATTTATTTTGAAAATTCAGGCCCCCAAACCTCAAATCACTACTTTCCTTCAAAATTATCTGTAAAAAGGAAAAATGCACACTCCTATACTGTAATTGTATATAATACAGATATTATATAATATAGATTATAATATATTATGATCTATATTATATAGAATTATAATTATAATTTTAATATAAATCTATATTATATAAACCTTAAAGTCTAAAATCTAAAGTCCGAAGTGTAAGCCATTTATATTTTATTAATTATAATTATAAATATATATTATATAACATATAGATATTATAATTATATCCCGTATAATTCTGTAACTTGTCTCTTAATTTCACTGTATCAAAATAAAGAAATGTTCTTGATAGTCAACAAGAAATGTACTTATACTTGTGTACTAATACATTTATGTCAAAAGTCATCAAATGGGTTCAGAAGTAGCTGAAACCATGAGTAAACAAATGGATTCAATCAGAGCAAAAAAATGAATGATTGGAACAAATATTTTTAAAAAGAGATTTACTATCTTCATTTTTTAAAACTCCTGAAACTTTTGGAAAAATGAAATAGGGAAAGGGGGTTTGAGAGAGTATGAGATTTTTAAAATTATAAAATATTTCAGACACTCAAAATTGGATAAATGTTATGACAAAATCCATGTACCAATCCTCAGTCCAGCTTGAGAAATAAAACTTTATGAAAGTTGAAAATCCTTCTCCCTAATCACATCTCCTTTTCTACCATATCCCATCCTAAGTCAAACACTATCCTGAATTTTGCATATTTTATTTCACTGGTGGATTTTCATACTTTATCCTATTGCATTGATTTACTGTGAACATTTTAAACCAATAACCACAATGAGACACACATATTTTAGTTTTTATAAGTTAAATATTTTCAGTAAATTGGGTAGATAATTATGTGTTTAAATTCATAGTATTATATGAACACACCTCATATTTAAAAAGGATAAGTTTCCATACATTCAATTTTATATAAGTTTGCTGACTTTTGTAATATGAGACTTTGTGAAGGTAGTGTTAAGTAGGGTGAATGGTGATCGATTAAAACATACCAACAAATACAAGAAAGTCACACAGTACTTTTAATGTAAGAAAAACAGATAAGCATTTAACTCTGAACACGACTGTAGAAAACAAGAGATAGAGCTGTATTCTTTGAGTGGGACAAGCATCATTAGCTAAGTCCCTACAGAGCATCCCATGATGCATATGGACTTGGTGAAGACCCCTTCAAGTCCTCATTACCATTCTCTCTGCTTTTTTGTCATTAATACCGTCCTGACTTCTCGGATTTTGAGAGTCCTTTGGTCTCTGAATGCTCACATTGGTAATAGCTCTAGCACATTCCTCAAGGCTTACTAATAGATCAGGTGAAGTTGGATCAGTTTCTCAGGGTCAATTACCAAGGACACGTTTCCCTACTGTTCCCTGCCTGATATATATAGGTCTGCTAGGCCAAAAATTATAATCATATACATGTTTTGATAATTATATATTCTAATATCTTAGGCTCTATGCAGGTAAAAGAGAAAACTATATCATACAGGGTGAACATTGCAAAAGATATTAAATCTCAATAGATTTTATTATGAATTGATTATATTAAATTGTATAAATATACAGATGCTTATTTTAGCAAAAAAAAAAAAAAGAATCTATTTTGTTATTTCACTATTAAAAGCTTGTGTTTTGAGTGAATTCCAAGTATTTTGCTTTCTTATTGAACTGATAATTTTGGGGGTCTTTTTAAAGGAATAAATCAAACTCTATCAATCTAAAATGAACCCCAATGAATTGTACAAAGAAAAATGTTTATCTAATAATAATACTATCGAAAAATAATTAGGAATTAATTTCATTGAGAAAAATTCAGAACTTTCTAATGTTCTACCCTTAATCATACATCATCGCTATCATTTTGTTCTTGGATAAGAGTGTGAATATGAAAGAAACAGTATGTAAGAGGAGTGGACTGAAGGAAGAATTGGTTATTAGTTAACAGGAAGCTAGATTTTGTTGCTTAACAAATAGCTCACAAATCTCTATGTCTTAAAGCAGCAAAAATTTATCTTTCTGGGAGTGTATTTCAGGTCCGGGCAGTTCTCCAGTATAGCTGATCTGCAATGCGATAGCTCAGCTCTGTATCTCCATATCAAACTATGCTTCCACTATCATTGCAGCTGGCAAGAGAGATACAATGAAGGCCAGCACAATAACTTTTAAATGCATTCACTCATAGGTAATATTTCTCACTTGTGCTCACATATCTTTAGCCAAAGCAAGTCACATGGCTACTTCTAACTTTTAGTGAATAAGTACACTCTTAGTTTATGCATGGGAGGAGATGAATTGGAAATAATGGTGAGCAGTCTTAGTGTCTACAATACCAGACTTCGGCACCCTAGCTATCAACAAAGTCCTTTTTTTTTTTTTTTTCCAAGACAGAGTCTTACTCTGTCACCCAAGCTGGAGTGCAGTGGTGCAAACTTGGCTCACTGCAACCTCTGCCTCCTGGGTTCAAGCAATTCTCCTGCCTCAGCCTCCTGAGTAGCTGGGATCACACACAGGCACCTGCCACCACACCCAGCTAATTTTTGTATTTTTAGTAGAGACGGGGTTTCACCATGTTGGCCAGGCTGGTCTTGAACTCCTGACCTTGTGATCTGCCCTCCTCAGCCTCCCAGAGTGCTGGGATTACAGGCTTGAGGCACTGCGCCCAGCTTTCAATAAAGTCTTTAGATAGGATTGGAGCTGAACAAAACAGAGAGAAGGAACAGGTCAAAGCATCAGGCAGCATTCTGAAGATCAAATTCAAATGTCACCTATTGGTGATTTCCTGACCTACCTGGGATGATTTTGTTTTCTGTCCCTATAGCACATTGTTAAAATAGCACTCACCATCTTGCTGATATCTTGCTTTCCCCTATATGACTATGAGAGAGAGAGAAAATGCCTTTCTCAATTCTGAACTTTAGTGCATAGGACAATCTCTGACACATAGAAGCTGCTAAAAGAATGAAATACTGGAAATGAGTTGGAGGAAGAGAGAGGAGAAAGGAGGAAGGAAGGAAGGCAACAAGGAAGAAAAGCAGTCCCATTCAGCAATGAAAAAAAAATGTTCACTAGTGTGCTCCTATGTCTTTGAATACCCTATATATAGCAATTTTGAAAGCACTCCAAAGCAATGCTAGAGTGTATGGCAGAGGCTGCTGATTGAATACCAATACCCATTCTTCCCTTCTTTAGTATTAGAAATTCTAATTTTAGAATTTCCCAGTCTTTCCCAGTCTTTCTTGTAGATAGATGTGGTCAAATGATTAACTTCTTGTTAATGGGAGAGAAGAGTAAATGATAAGAACAACTTCTTGGCCATACTTTTAAAGGGAAATTTTGTGCCCTCCACTGACCCTTTTTTCTTCTTGCTGTTACTGCTTAGAGAAGCATTTTAACCACAAAATGCAAGTTGCATGTTGAGGATGGCAGAACAAGAAAAAAAGAACCTAGGTCACCAGCATTGCAGCTACCAAACCAGCTATGGACTGCTTCAATTTGGACAGTTACTGAAAGAGAAATGTATTTCTATCTTACCTATAGCAGTTATTCTCCTTATCATCTTAGCAGTGGACTAACTCGGCAAACTTAACACTACAGTATTTAACATGTTTACACACACACACACACACACACACACACGTGATCTTTTTTGTTCTAATGCTAAGGCAGCAACCATAAAATAAAAATACAGTGATAGGCAAGTTTAGATGCAACTACTCTGTAGATAAATGTTTCAGAAAGCACAATATAACGCAGAAACCAGTGTTAATTTCACCATAATGCCACAACAACTATAGAAATGTAGAAAGGTTTGTTAATTAAATCAGAGCCCCAGAGATAAGCATTCTAAAACCTTTGTGAAACACATTTAAAATTGGAATTTTTTGCTTAAAGGTATTCATAATTCATTCCAAATAAAAAGTAATAGAATGTCAGGGTTTTGATTATATGAACTTCTGTTTTTATGTGAAACTGAATCAGTGCTATAGGATCATTCCCTTCACTGACTTGTCCACATAGATTATTAAAATACATTGTATCTTTCCCAGTTTTGCCCTTTAGTAGCAGCTGTACAATTTCATTGAGGGCATTACCACATTAATAGTCCCACATGTGTCAGAATTTGCATGAAATAAGCAGTTATGAGCAATTACGATTTTGCCAAGAAACATTCTTTAAACTCTCTTCAAAGCCAATGACAGATGTATGTTTCCTGATTTTAGGATCTAATGGACTTCAACACTGGGCAGCAGCGTTCAAAAAATTTATTGTATATCTTAAAAATCAGTTCACCTAGGTGTACTAAAAGGAGGGCTTACCGAAAGGATAAATTCAAAAAATAAATCCAATGTTCTTATTCAACAAGTGTGAAAATGATAAACTTCAATTTCTCTCTAAGGCTGAAAGACGACCCCACCCACCCCCCGCAAGAAAACCCCATAAAAACCAAAAACAACCAAAAGCATGCAATGCTCCTAAATGTTTGAGTTTCTTTTTCAATAAATAGGAAGACCCAGAGAGAAGCCAAAACATAAAGAGTGGCTGCCTTGAAACATCACTTACAACATGTTGCATATTTATCATAGACAACATGCCCAAACTGTATTCATTTTCAGATAAACATGAGCTCAGGGAGAGAAATGACTTTGAATGGCTACGGCCCAAATCTGTAATTTTTCTTCAGTGGGATTCTGAATGTCTTTGGGTACTGCTAATGTTTGTTTCCTTTCATGGTTAAGAAAGTCCAAGTAATCCTTTCTGATTATTTGTCAGGAGTAAATGTAGCATAATCAGATTGTGCAAAACATTTTTTTGAGGGGGTTAAATAAAAAAGGAATAAAGAAGATTCACACACATTAAAGCAGAACACTAGCAGACGGAACAGCATGCTGTTAGCACGGATTCTGTGTATACTTTGAAACTGGCAAAATCTCAATTTTTCAATTCCTCTATTATATTACCTAGAAGGTGAAGATAATATAAAGAACATGAATATTCTCACTGCATTCTTGAGAATTGTGCAATAATAATAATTTTAAAGTTTTCTTTAAATATGAATTTATTTTAAAAATGAGAACAAAATTGAATCATTTTCTGGTATCTATTGTCACTTATTGGCATGAATTTAAATTTGAAGCAATCTGCACAGCAAATTTCAATAAGAGGATATTTTAAACAAACCCCTTTTGACCCCAATCTTTCACTTGCCTAATATATGCGAGTGAGAGCTGCTCATATAAAACATATTCTGACCCAGCAACTCATATTTACCATGGAGTGGAAAAAGGCGGTTAAGAGTATTTATAGTAGCAAAAATAGCTTTTGCCTCTTCTTCATTTATGCTAAACCAATGAACGAGCATATCATAGGGCTAAAGAGGGGCAGAAGTAAGACTCTAGTGATTTCTCAGTCCTATGTACACAAAGACACTGAACTCTTTCACAGCTAGGTAGAAGTCACAATGATTAACAGATATTTTATTTGGCAGTCAGAATAAAAGCCCTTCAAAGATTGACATATCTTAATTTTGGGAACCTATAAATGTATTACTTTACATGGAAAAAAGGATTTTGTGGATATGATCAAAAATTATGAAATGGGGAGATTATGCTTAATTATCCAGGTGGGACTGCTATGGTTTGAATGTGTGGGTTCCTCCATAATTCACATGTTGTCACTTTAATCTCCAACATGGTGGTATTAAGAGGTGGGGCCCTGAGGAGGTGATTAGTTCATGAGAGCTTCACCCTCATGGATGGATTAGTGGTGTTCTAAAGGGTCTTGAGAGATAGATTTTGTCTCTTTTTTGCCTTTCTGCCTCTTCCATCATGTGAGGACACAGCAAGAAAGCACCATCTTGGAAGCAGACAGCAGCCTTCACCAGACCCTGAGTCTGCTGGCATCTTGATATTGGACTTCCCAGCCTCCAGAATTGTGAGAAATAAATTTCTATTATTTATAAATTACCCAGTCTAAGGTGTTTTTTTTTTTTGTTGTTGTTTTTTTTTTTTTTTGGTGACAGCAACAACAAAAAACAAATGGACCATTGTAATCACAAGGATTCTTATAAGAGGGAGACAAGAGGGCAAAGTCAGAGACAGAAGATACGATGCCAGAAGCAGCATTTAGACGATAAAAGGAGGAGCTGTATGCCAAGGAATACAGGCAGCCTCTAGAAATTGGAAAAGGCAAGGAACCAGAGTGTCCCTTAGCGGTTCCAGAAGGGACACAGCTCTGTAGTTACCTTGGATTTACCCCAGAATATCCATTTCAGACTTCTGACATCCAGAACTGTAAAATAATAATTTTATGGTGTTTTTCCTACTAGTTACAACAACATTAAAAAACTATAAAGCTTATAAAAGAAGAGAGGGAAGACCTCATTTTTTTTTTATTAAGGAGGCCATTTGTTTTTATACTCCTAAGGGCAAAGATTCATTTAAAACTTGCATGTGTTATAGACAATGCCGGGTTCCCTTTAACTGCCTTAATGTAGGCCCTTACCCTTGCATGTCTGACAATAACGTAGGCCCAGAGTGTGCCTGATGCATGCCTAACCTTCTCCAAAGTAGCCTCCACTGCTACATTCAGTGATGCAAATATGATTCTACAGACCCTCTTTAAAATTCTTAGGTATCTTCCCCATAATATTCATGATGGAATGCACATAGTTTAGCTCAATACCTAAGTCCCCTTCTAAAAATCCTCTCCTACTTCTTCCACTCCCCTCCTCTCCAGCATGTTTGCCTCTCCTCACAATAAACACACACCCAGGCACACATACATACACACACACAAACACCACACACTCCCACAGGCACACGTGCACATACACACGTATATGTGTATATTAAATCTAACATAAAAGTACTCGTAGAAGGATTTCACTTTCTCAGATTTATTTTATCTAACTAACATCTAATTCCTCAAAATTGAGAAAATAGTCACTTTCTCAAGAAGGCTTGCTTCCCCGATTCCTCATTATAACTATTATAATGTAAAGCTCCATTTTTTTGTTCCCATTGAACACTTTACATCATTATTATAGGACTTATCCACCAGTGCTGCGAAGATGCACCTTGTGTTTATTTGTCATTAGACAATTAATTATCTGGTAGCCATGACTGAGTGTTTTCCAATTTTCAATTTTTTTCTTGAGCATCCCACATGGTGTTAATACACTAGGTGGTCAATAAATGCTGAAAACATGAGTGAATGTGGTCACGATGATGGGAAGGGTGCTGCTCTTTGAGAGTAGTAATTATTCTTGAGGATTTTTTTTTTTACCAGTGGTAATAATGGTCACAGCCATCCTTAATCTTTTCTTAATTCTCCTTGTAATAAAAAGCTACTTCCCAAGACAGCATTCTGTCCAAAAATTTAGACCATGGGGACCCTCTAGATATTTTGTGCCTATAAACCAGCAACACCAACACCAACTTAACATGAGGATTCTCCACTCTGGCAATATTTGAGTCAATCATTTATTTATTTATTTATAAGAAAGCAACATATAGCTCTTAGAAAGAGCCCATTAACATATATTAATGCTCAAATTTATTACTGCAAATGCAAATGATTAGAAAGTATGGAGCAAAGACAAATGCTCAGAACAGACTAATACTAACTTAGGAAACACTTTGTAAAGAAGTTAGTTGTCAGGAAAGCATTAAAAATTTTATTTGACCTAATTTTATGTAAAATAGAAAGGATATTGGAGAGATGGTATAATCATAGATTCTTAAGTTGCGAGGATCCTGGAAAGTTAATAGTCACTTCTATAAAGAGAAGTCGGTCTAGAGGAAGCAAGATGCATAAATATTCAGTGAAAGATTGGATCTAGCTAGACTGAAAGAACTGAATGGGGAACCTGAAATAAATAGACCAACTTCTTGCTTATCATTGTATATTAAAAATTTAACTGTTTGGAGCTTAGGAACAATATTAGTAATATGATATGTACATATCCCATATGCTTCATGACATTATTTTATCCCAATTGAGAATAAAATTATTTGTAATTTAGTAATAAAATATCAATATATCTCTTTTGTAAAAGACAAAAACAATTTAGTAATACCATAAAACTTCTCCTTACAGTATCCGTCCCATATTCTCTATGTTAAAATAAAACGAGTCTTTTTTGTTTACACAAATAGACTATGGAAAGTAGTATAATCAAAATCTTATTTTTACTCTCTATAGGGGCAATTGCTGCTTCTCTACTTGGAGGCAGGTAGATAATGTTCCCCTTATCCGAATGCACCTTCATTCCATTTCAGATTTGTTGCAGTACAAATGAGACTAGGAGAATTCCCTGAATGTCTATGGTAAGATTATTCCCATCAACCTGTAAACATGCTGAAATGTCTCCCATCTGAACCATAATTATTCACCCCTCAATCTCCATTCACCTCCAACATCCTACCACACTTATCTGCTCCACAAAAAGCAAAACTTCTAAAAAAGAATTTATTCTAAGTAACTTATATTTTCAGTCATTTTCACATTAAGTCAGTATATTCATGTTTCTATTTTAACAACTGTACTAAAGGCTGGGGACAAGGTTGCCAACAACTTCCTTCTTAGTCAATCCAATGTTCATTTATTAATTTCCATCCAACAAACATGATTATTCCTTCATTTTAACAACACTTTTCCTTGGCTTGTAGAACATCACACACTCCTGGTTCTCCTCTAACTGCACTGGACAATCTTTCTGAGTCTCCTTTGCTAACTTTTTCTCCTCTTCCCGACCTGGAAGAATATCCCAGGGCTCTGTTTCTGGTGTTTTTCTTTGTCCTATATGTGCTCACATATGGGCTTATTTGGCCTCATGGCTTTACATCCTATCTATAGCTTTAATTCTGGCTTATCAATGAGTTTCACACTCACATAACAAACTACATTTCTACTACAATGATAACAATAAATGCTTACAATGTGCTGGAAACTATTCTAAGATTTTTATATGGATTAACTAATTTGATCCTCACAACAACCTTAGGAGGTAGATCTTATTATTATAATTCTATTTAGTAGAGGATGTGAATGAGATACAAAAATGTCACGTTGCTTACTCGGCCAGGAAGAAATAGCCCAAACTTAGAGCCCCAATCTTACTTATCATAGGGCTCTGAAGTTTAGTGGGTTCAAAATATAACTGTTGAACTTTATTCTTTAAACTTGATCCCCTCCTGTCTTCTCCATTTCTTTAAAAAGATCCTAGTTGATCATCCTTGACTCATCTCTTTCTTCCACAATCAACATTGAATCTGTTGGTCAAGACTAGTTCATTCTCTTTTTTGAAAAAATTAACAACTTGACTCCTTTAAACCACCTCCACTTCTTCTGCCCTATTTTAAGCCATTAGCATCTCTTTCCTGGACAATAATTGGCCCCCACTCCTAACTTATCCCTCTATTCAAGTGTTGCTCCCCTCCCCTTTCATTTTCTCCTCACAGCCAGAATATTCTTTAAAAAGTCATAAAATGACATGGATCAGATTATGTCACTCCTTTTCTCAATACATCCAATAACTCATTAGACATTTTCATACCCTGAAAGGCAGTAATTAATCTAGATACTCCTTACCTCTCTAACTCCCTTTTATTCCAACTATACTGGCCTTCTTGATGTTCTTCAAATATCCTTTGCATGGTTAAAATTAACTGTCTTTTTATTTGCTGATTCCTTAAAATGGAAAGATGCTTCCTCTGATATTACATGATTAGTATACGGCAGGGAGGCAGTTTGTCACAAACTTAAATTTTCTAGAAAAAGTAATATAGTTGGTCAATGTTAATCAGTTCATCCATTGACTCATTCATTCATTCATTCAACAAAGAGTATTACTTACTTATGCTAGTAACTATAAAGTTACGAAGGGCTACAAAGATAAAGTAGACATATTCCAACTATACTTTCTATAATTAACATTCATTTACAACTCCCCTCTAGATTTCTAACAGTTTCCCAATCATAATTGATGAATTTTTTCCTGAATAATAATTTTGAGACAATTATTTTGGTCACATATTAGAAAAGGATTCAAGATAATACCAGAGAACAACCTCAAATTTTAGAGATCCAAGTGACACCCATGCAAGCGTAAAGAACATAAATGCATGCCTGTAGACTGGTGGACATGGCTCCATTTACAGCTAATAACCAAGACTACATGTAGAAAATTTACCAAAGAATATGATAGAAGTCTTTACATAGATACCAGAAAGAAGAGTATGACACTGTCCATATAGCAGTATTTTTTTTTTACTCAATGACTTTGCTACATTCCCTAATACGCATATAGTTTGTGGCTATAATTTTCATGTTTTAGAAACATTTTTATTTTTGCTTTTTTTCAAAGAAGGAGAAGATGGTATTAAGGAATAACTTCTTAGTAAAATATTTGATTATAATGAATTATTTTAATTCACATAACTTAGTCTTTCGCATTTATCCTATACATTTACTAACTAGAATCTTTCTTGTAAGAGCAAAAAATAAACCTAAAATTGGAACTCCCCCCCGATTATTTCAGTCTTTGTATCAGCAATACTGTCTCATCATACTTCTATCTCTCTCTCTTTTTCCCTCTCTCTTTCCGTGTGTGTGTGTGTGTTCGTTCATTTTCTGTTGCTTATAACAGAATACTTGAAACTGGGTAACATACAAGGAAAAAAATATTATTTCTTACATTCTGGAGGATAGAAAGTCTAAGATTGAGGAGCGTCATCTGATGGCATGGACTCTCTAGAGTCCCAAAAGAGCTCAAGTTATCTTACGGAGAGGGGGCTGAGTGTACTAACTCAGGTCTCTGTTCCTCTTCTTATGAAGCCATCAGTCCCACTCCATGCTAACTCACTAATCTATTAATCTATTAATTCATTAATCCATGAAAGTATTAACTCACTCATGAGGGAAGAACCCTCATGGCTTAATCACCTCTTAAGGGTTCTACCTCTCAACACTGTCACATAGAGGATTAAGTTTCATCATGAGTTTTGAAAAAAGACACTCAAATCATAGCACAAATATAATATTTACTGTTAAAATTGAGATCAATATAGCCAAGAATGGTTGGGAATGGGGAACGAAATCAAATCAAATATATTCTGAAAGAAGTCTTTTTACAAGCAGACATTTAAACATCTAAAACATCAGTCATCTGGGCAGTGTTAGATGTTCCTAGTGTTTTCCAGAGGATACAAAACATAGTTGAAAAATATTGATATGATTAACATGTGGTTTTTAAGGTCAGTAGCAGTAGCATAGGCAGCAGCAACAGTCATAGCAAGTGAATATAAGATATTGTTAATGATATTCCAATGTAGCCATAGATTACACAGTTTATTAGGATATTTATATTAATGGGAGTTCATCATTTATGGTGTTATCTTACATATTTATAGATAGTGATGCTACAGAAAAAAATATATAAAGCTTTTGCTTTTATAAAGAGAGTTGTACTTAGACAAAGAAAGAGAAACTCCTTTTCTCATTTGGAAAAAAACATTATCAGTGGCAATCATAATAATTTGTGACTCCTTTTATGTGTTACGTGCTGTAAAGTACTTCAACTTAACCAGAGTGGAAGTTGACTGAGATGTATGATTGACCTTAGCCAAGACCAGAGGATCTTATTAGCTGAGTCCAGCCAAAGTTGCCAACCTTCAGAATCATTAAGAGAGGTATGTTGTGCAATAAAAGCTAACTGATACAGAAAATGGAACTCAAAATACATTTATGAGTCTATTTAGATGACAGACTGAAAAGTGCCACTGAAATATCAGAGAGAGAGAGAAGTGTGCATACATGAGAGCAAATCTAGATATGGGATATAGCCATATCTAAAAGGGTAAAAAGAAAAGACACCCGGCAAAATAGAAAAAAAAAAGTGAGCAGCATTCTTTGAATACATTATAATTTTTTCAGCATGTTGTATACATGGTCTGAATATATGTATTTTTCCTTTGAGTAAGCTTACCACAACATTTATCTAAAGCCCCATTCTTGCTTTACTATCATTCCATTTACCTTGGGTCCATAGGGTTGCAAACATACCTGGCCAGTTGAGTATCACATTCCTCTGGACATTATGAATGATTAAAGGTTGAACACATGGTCCAATCATGGTCAACGAGACATACATAGAGAGGTTTCCCTTTTTCTTTGCATTTGAACCTGACAGAGAGATCGATCTAGTGTTGTTGGCAGCTGCCTTATTAGTATATGGAAAATGAGAATGACGACAACATGGAAGAGAGCAGAGTCAAGAGAAATAAGAGATAATAGGGTTGAGGGAAAATGCTGAAGCTCCTGCAATAAGTCACGCCTAAGGCCAGTACTTCCCTTGAACAAATCAGCTTGATGAAATAATGAAGGCTCTTTTTCTTAAGCCATTTGAGTGGAATTTTTCTGTCTTTTTTCAAACAAAAGGATCCTAACAAGAAAAAAGAAACATACTTAAAGACCATTTGGACCATTTGCTTCCTGTATCTCTGATTAATACAAAATAAACATTAATCAGGCTTTAAAAAATATTTTCTGTGATCTTTATCAGTGGTGACAACTATAACAACCACCTTCACGCACTAGGCATTCTGGTATGTACTTTATATAAACAGATATAACACATTGCATTTAAGCTTTAAAACAGACTTGCAAGTTAGCTATTATTAATTTAATTTTAAAGATGAAGAAAAAGAGATATAGACAGTTATGGCTCAGTATTCTATTTATAGATTAAATCTAATAACTAGTTTTATATGTAATCTAATTAAGAGAAACAAAATGTCAGAATTTAGGAAGTCATATTTTAAATAGAAGCCACACTTAGCCTTCAATTATAAAAACATTATAAAATTAAAGTATTATAATTACATTTCATATATAAGAAGGGGTTTTGAATTCTCAGAATGAAAAAATAAAAATACTATGTGCTCAAAATCAGCTCAACTAGCTAAGGCTATACGTGCTCACATAATGAGCTTTGTCATTGTTACCAATCTGTCAGATTACGTGAAAATATAGATGAGAATGACAATTTGCATGAAGTTACAGTCCAGACAACAAAACATGCATTTACTAGATGAGATAACCATAGAAATATAGGTCCTCTCATTTTATTTCTATTTCAAGTGGTTAAGATGCTTTGATAATTGAAAAATCTAGGCTACAGATTGCCTATTTTTGCGTACATCTTTATTGACAAGCCATGGTTTACCACAGAACATTTATTAAACATATCCTTCAAGAGTACAATGTTTTATCCCATAAGCATTTCTTGATTGCAGACTATTTAGAAATACATTAGAATATTCAAAGACTTCCTGTGGCTTTGGCAGAATGTTACAAATATTACACTAATCAGCTATTAAAGAAATACCTCTATGACTATAGACTCAATTACCAAGAAAAATATTACTTTTTTGAACCCTTGGATAAATAATGACATGATTTATATTTTATGTCAATCAAGATAATTTCTTATGCATTCCTTTTTCCTAAATCAATATCATTCTCTTCCTTATTCCCCAAATAAAATTTAAAATCCTGAGCCTGTCATTATTTTAAATAGGTGTTATTTTCAAAGAACACATTTGGAAACTTAAAATGAAATCATACGTAATTATGGGAGGATGAGACTCTAGAACAACTGCAGCATTGTGCGATAAAATATCATTAATATCCAGGTGACCCAAGTGCAGTAAAATGTGAATCACTCCAAGTCCTTCCCCCAAAGTATTCACAAGATTCTCTCCGATGTGCATGTGTTTGTATGAGGCTGGTTTGGTTGCGATGAACAAGCAGAGGCTTTTTACTCTCACAATGAGAGCTATCAGTCTCCTGCTTCTGGATTCACGTTAAAATTTTCAGAAAAAAAATTTCATGTTTACAAAATGCAAAGTTATGTATTACCTTTCCTAAAGTGGGTTGTAATATTCAATTTGCCTAATCTATTGGCATATATTTCTACATGTGGCTGTAAAAAGAAACTGAGTCACAAACATCCATAATAGAAATATTATTTTGGCAATGAAGAGCCAACCCAAATGTGATTTATAATCAGAAGACTGCCCTTTAAAGTAGACACTGACAGTTTTCTAGGGTTTTTTCCTATATATGTGTGTGTGTGTGTGTGTGTGTGTGTGTGTGTGTGTGTGTGTATACATTATTTGTACCCCAAGGAATTTAAATCTCTACTCCCCAGCCTCCACCTTAAAAATATTTGATAAATAGAATGTATTAGAGAAATACGGATTCTTAAATTCATGTAATAGGACAGATTTTGCAAACTGAGTTATTTAAATTGTAAATATAAACAGTATGAAGTTCATATTTAAGGTGACTGTGGATATTCAAAAAGGCATCAAGAATAAGTGAAGCAAAAATAATACTTTTTGTTTCCCAGCTGGCAAGAGTTGAAGGGAATCAAGCCATAATAATCTAATGATAGAGAAAGACAAGGGAGAAGCCAAATCATTCAGGAAGAATTGCCATATGGCCAGAGCTGGGAACAAATGTGGGTGTGACTTACGCATTCAGTTATGCAGAAGGGGAACCATCAATAATTGCAGTCACTACATCTGAGATCTGTAGATTCTCTCCAAATGCTCTTGAGTTTATTCTTTCAAGAAGTACTTATTATGAGAGTAAAAAATGTGATTTATGTATAAACAATTGATCTCATCACATACTTTCAGATTGTAATTTTCAGCCAAGTGTATGACATTTTTAACAACTGCATTTTACCATTTATGAATCAATTTGGTCTCTTAATGTAATACAAGTATTCTAAGAATTCCCAATCTGATTCATTTTGACAAAGTACCACAACTTAAGCAAATTCAAACATCACCAATAGCTCTACAGTTAACTAAATTTTCACTTTTAAAATAAATTACATTGATCTTGTATGACTGTCATCTGGGATTTCAAACCCACACTTTGGGAATTAAGAGATAGAGATATTTTAAAAATAGTTTATCTGATGAAGTGTCTTATTTTATATATAGCTATGTGTGTATGTCTCAAGCTGTTTTACCCCAAAGTGAAAGGATACTTGCATGAGAAAATAAGTTTATAATTTAATGCAATACATAAATATGGACAAAAAGCCTTCTCATTTTTTAAAAATAATTTTTAACTTCTTAGAAAGATACTTGTTAGTGAATAGTGCCATGAGAAAAAATATATATGTATAAAATCATAAAATTAGATGTGAATTTTATTGCTTATAAAGGTGATTAAAAATTAACAATTAAAAAAATGACATAAAGGAAACATTAGTTTCAGTTTCCTGGGAAAGCTCCCAAACAAATAAACTCTATTTATTTTGTCTGCGGCTTATTTGTGAAAGCTGAGTTTGGATAGATAATCTTTCC
This sequence comes from Homo sapiens, assembly GCF_000001405.40. Lineage (NCBI taxonomy): Eukaryota > Metazoa > Chordata > Mammalia > Primates > Hominidae > Homo > Homo sapiens. The sequence goes on along the minus strand of NC_000002.12, from coordinate 211,114,394 downwards.
AGTTTCTTGTCATCTCTAATAGAATATTCTGACACATTTTTCCCTAACACCAGCCTTGCCCAGGAAAGAAGAATATACATTTTATAATGTAATGGATGAAAATAAAATGATTGGAAAGTAATAATGATAGTGGGCATAATAGTAACTAGCATTTATTGAGTACTTATGTGTCATGCACTTTTCTAAATACGTTTGATGAAAAACTTCACTTAGCCTTCCCAAAGGTCCTATAAGATGGGCACCATTACAATGATGATCTGACATAGGAGAAAATTGAGGCATAGGGAAGTTAAATAACTTTGCCAGGGTGATATTACTTATAAGCTTGAGAACCTGGAACCCAAAGCCCGTGCTCTTGAGAACTAACAATACTGCCTTTTCCATGGTAGTATAATACACTTGCTGATTTAACAAGCTGGAATAGATATGCTTCCCGGTCTTAGCACAGCTTGAGTTTATGGTAAAATAAACAGGCTTGGCATTTATGATCATGCATTCAGTATTTTTGGTAACATTTACTTCCACTCAACATAATTATGACTTAGTTTTAGAAACTAAGGAGGAAAATTAAAATATGGCAAATTTACAGCTTTGGGTACCAATTTCTTATTTTCTTAAGGAGAGCATGTAGACAGTAATGTTGAATCCCCATGAAATGAATACTCTGGTTAAAAAAAGACCTTCTTGTCTTTTGGGGGAGGAATGTAAGCCAAGAAAACAAAGCCAAGTCTAGTGGGCAAACTCTGTTTCTCTTATTGGGCTGCACACAGAAGCAGATTTTTCAACCCCAAAAATGAGATGCTTTTGAAAATCCTCCAAAAAGCCATTGAACTTACACCAGCAAATATCCCCTAACCCTCTGGAATAAACAAGAGAATCTGGCACTACTCCATGTGAGCTGTCACCTTTACTCTGCCTGTTCATAGACTTTCTGGAAAAGAAAGTAATGCTTCCATCTGGTCACAGCAGCAAAGAAAGCAGAAATCACTAAAGTGCTTCCACTGAAAATCTGAGAATAAATCCAGCAACTTTGAAACCCAAGCGGGGGGGGGAAATACAGAATTTGATTTTCTTCATAATGAATAGTCCTCAGTATAATGCTTAGGCATGGACTACTGGAGGAATTACAGAAGATTACTAACAATTTTCTCACTTTTACTTTGGCTCAGATTATATAACCATTTGTGTTTTCTTAGTAGTAACAAAAAGACGTTTGAAATGTTCTGAAGATGTCCAGGCAAACAGAGGGTTTATTAACTTTATTTGAACCACTGAAGTTTTAGGATTTCCTTTCTAAAATGAATTGCAGACAAGCAAATAAAATTAAGTAATTAATCAATAAGTAAATAAGATAAGAGGAAAAAAGAAAGGTTGGTTTATACTAGAGAATAAAGTGAATTTAGCCTTAAGATCGAACTATTTTGAGGGAAGGTGAGTCAGAGGAAATTTAAAACTTGGGATCACTTGATATAGCTTCTAGAGGTAACACACTGAAAGGGTTGACTTCATCCGAGGGCACCTAGGTACTTGCTGACACAGAAGTGTAACCATGTTTCTTCGAAGACTAGGCATATGTTAGGCACTGCTTTTTTCTGTTCCACTTCCATCCACTTCCTTTAGTCCAAGCATTTAACCTTAGAACTTTGGGCTACCTGAATTTCTTGCATTATGTTTTTTAATCAAGGAGATACTCGTGTCACTTTTTCAGATTTCAGCTTCACTGTCACTATCATAAATTCTGAAATAAGTTATCTATGCCAATAGCCATTTTTTACTCTATTTAAACACTTCGTAGAAAAGAGGATCAGGAAAAATAACTAATGGGTACTAGGCTTAATACCTGGGTAATAAAATAATCTGTACAACAAACCCCATGACATGGGCGTGCCTATGTAACAAACCCATATGTGTACCCCTGTAAAAGTTAAAAATAAAAACCTGTTGTGTTCTACTTAAATGTTTAATAGCAATCCTGAATATTTATGCTGACATCTATGTATCTAACACCCGATCAGACATTCTGCAAACAAATTAAAATACGAATAAATTCTCATTTGGGTTGAATATTTTACCAGCAGTAAAATTATAATATTTAACTTAGCTTCTTCCTTTTAGAGGAGAGTTTTAAAAACATACTTTTATTAATATTCAACTGAAGTTCTAATCTTATTTTACATATAATATTGTTGACAGTAACTGTAATGGATTTCAAAACTGCCACAAATTATGAAAATCTCCTCTATCAAGATACAGAATATATTTTCCTACCCCTTGAATCTGAGCTTATTTTAAATGATCAATACAATTAAACAAAAGTGAAGTTATGTTGTATCAAAACATCCACTTAAGTTCTTTGATTTGTACCATCCTTCAAATAAATGTTGTACTCTCCCCAAAATAAAAAAATAAATTAAATAAATACAATTTAGGAACACCCACAGTTCTCAGCTATTTGCCAAATAGAGCTGACTGATACCTCCCATGTCTAATGAGGAATCCAGCTATCTGGGCCCAGGTTACCTAGAAAGAGGTCACAAGACTTCTGAGCAAAAACCCAAAACCTTTCAGTTTTTACTTTTTCCTTCTAGGATGCTGCCTTCTTCACCTGAAGAGTCATTCCAGCTATTCTCACTTATTCCTACTGATTCTCTCAACATATGAATGAGGTCATTCAGGACTACCAGCTATCAGCTTTTCTGTCTCCTCACTGAAGCTATATAGGTAACCCAAGAGAATTCTGCCAAAGAATCACACACTTGAGCCCAGACTGAAATGAAGAGGCTATGTGCAAATAAATTGTTTTTAACTACTAATTTTTGGGGTGATCTGTTATGCAGCAATAGAAAATTGATCATTGATATGACTTCGACAAGAAAATAACATTATTATGATTTTCATTTAAAAGCGGATATTTTAGTAATTATCTAAAATATATCCAAAAAAGACTAATAGGAACTATCTATGTGTACCAGAAAAGGAATGTTGGGATTAAGGATAGTTTTTGCATTATTATGACATTTTAAAAATGTCTATGTATACTATGCACAAATTAAATAAAAACCAATTAGTTTAAAATCAGAATAGGTAAGTCTTTTTCAGATTAAAAATAAACTTTTATAAATGCACATCCATTCTTTCGACTTATTTAGTCTCTCTAAATCTTATAATAGATGAAGGTACGGGTATTTTAATGAGGAAATTGCATTTGGTATAGTTGCGTGAATTGGAAATAGGTTTCACAAACAACTCTAGAAACTGAATTGGCATCAAAAAGTAAAAATCTATGTTATTCCAAATGAAAATGGTAAACAGGAAAGATAAGGTTACCATAATTCTATAACAAAGATTCATATACATTCATACTATTGATGTAAGATAGTTGCTGGACTGATGGTAACCCACTTGCCAAGTTATATGTTTTAACTTCCTTAACTCCACAAAATGGCAAATTGATGGCACAGTCAGACTTTAAATATTATAGTACCAAATAATAGTGGATAACCTTATTTATATGTCTTCTATTAAAATAATACAAAAAGAAAGGGAAGAATATTAAAATTACTTCTTTTTACTTCTTACTATAATGTTAAGAGGAGACCACTCAATTGCTCCTTATCTTGCTTCCTGAAGCCTCACTTCATGTTACCTGAGATTCAGTCTATCATTGCTTTGTTCTCTTGTCAAGGAAGGCCAAGAATTTTATAAAAAGAACTTCAAATGCTCTTCTATTTTCAACATAAGTGAAGTTCACTGGGTTTAAACAAAAGCTACAATGCTGAATAGACAGAGTGTTGGTTACCAAGGTGGCAAGTGTCCAATGATGGAAAGACCACATCTGAAGAGCAGTAGCTTGGTGTTCAAGGACAATTTTAGCAAACGGAACAAGGGTGATAGCTTTCTTTTCTAATTGAAGAAGACAGATAATTGATCATCAGAGTTGTTAGAGATGCTGCAACAATGAAAATGCATATCTATATCTGGAAGGGGATTTTATACACAACAGCAGTGCTTAAAGGGACATTAAAGGGACAGTATATTATATCCACACTGATTTTTATAAACATAAATATAGCCAATGTGGTATGTTTCATGCTTTTAACCTCCTGATAGCAAATATTTTGGTGAGATTTCCTGAAGTTATTATCGTTCAGGTTCACATTCCATGCAAAGCAACCATCCTAGTTGTAGACCATGGAAATTGCATGTGTGCAGAAGCTATTTTTTTTTTTTTTTTTTGAGATGGAGTCTTGCTCTGTCACCCAGGCTAGACTGCAGTGGCATGATCTCTGCTCACTGCAACCTCTGCCTCCTGGGTTCAAGCAATTCTCGTGCCTCAGCCTCCCGAGTAGGTGGGATTACAGGTGCCCGCCACCCCACCCGGCTAATTTTTGTATTTTTCATAGAGAAAGGGTTTCACCATGTTGACCAGGATGGTCTCGAACTCCTGACCTTGTGATCCACCCGCCTCGGCCTCCCAAAGTGCTAGGATTACAGGCGTGAGCCACCATGCCCGACCACTCTCTTTAAATCAACTCTACAAGTCTATATTACTTTTTTCCTACATAACTGATGAAAGGAGACCACACACATAACATAGCTTTGGCTCTTAGTCCTCCACTCTCTGCTTGCCTGACTTCCAAATTGTCTCATATTTTATCTCAGGTAATATTAAATATTACTGCTGAACTTTATGTGCTTTTATTTGAGGCATTTGTCTTACTTTTCCTTGACATGGTTCTCTCACCACTTGTAAGTAATGCAAATTGAGTATATTCTTGTATTTTTGATAAAGGAAGAAAAAGTAACGGGTAGATAAGATTATTGCTTACCAAATTAAAGAATATTATTTCATTGATAGAGTCTTAATAGTGTCTGGAGGTAGGGAGGGAACAAAGACAAAATATGGGATTTTGGATGTCTGGCTTAATGTAGTTCATTCATTGTGAAAGCCTGTTTGTACTGAAGAAAAAAAATGACATAATAATATAGGATTGTGGACAGAGTGATGCCAGGGTTCCCTGTCTTGAAAAGTAAATAGCCATTTGATGAGCCTGGTTGAGCTAGCTAAGGTCCTGAGTCCTTTCATGAAAGCTGGCTGAGTAGTCTAATGCTCAGAAAAACGGACTTTCATAAAGGTCTTAAACAACTAATGTAAGTTATTTGAAATTTCATCTTCCTGGACAAGACAATCTTAGAATGATCAAGTCAAGTTGTAGATGGTTAGATGACTGATTAGATTATTTCTCTTCTTACTTACAGAGGTCAGGAAGAATCTATCTCCAAACTTCAGAGACAAAAGTTGAAAATAGTTAAAAGCTTGGGTCAGAGATATTACATAAAGTTTATTCCCTTTGGAATTTTTGGATGAGCCCAGAAAGGGTTTAAATTTAACTTAGTACCAAAAACAACAGCAGCAAATATCACAATATCAAGAGTGAAAAGAAAAAGCCATTAAGCCATGAAACCTCTTCAAAGGCATCATTTGTTCACTGAGCACTCAAGGCTATGTAGCATTATTTGTCACTGATTCTGCAGACAAGGAAAAGATAACAAAATGTTTTCTGAGAAGGCAGTTTGTTCCAAGGTAAGATTGAGTTAAATAACCAACATTGTTCTTGGCCAAAACGCCAAAAGGTTTGTGTTCCTCTTCTCTGTAATTGAACTTGTACTGAGCACACAAAGATTAAGAAAAGACTTTGGAAACAAACACACATTTTAAATAAAATTTATCTTAAAAAAACTATTTTGAGAATCCCAATTCATTAAGAGAAGCCTCATTATAAATATAATCAATGATAATATAGACTTCATTGAACACGGCTTCTTTCCTAATATATTTAATTATTGAAACTATTAAAAGTATGTTATGGTAATAAAGTCTAATTGCAATATCATTATATAAAATAATTCTAAGTATAATATTATAGTAAGTTTACATAGTTCTATTGTTACTACTGAGATCCTTCAAGATACATATTGAAAGAAACAATGGAGTGTCTACATTCTGCTTAATTTTTTTTTTCTTTTTTTAAATGGGGGTGTTCAAACTGAGAAGAAATGCTACAACGAGAAAGAGAAGGAATTATAGTCTGGTGGAAGAAGAAAATAATGAGAGGTATACTACTATTGGCTGACAGTAGGAATCTTGAGAGAGTGGGGATGGTAGGAGAAGAGAATAGAAAGGTTAAAGAGGTTGTAGGCAGCCTACAGAATGTTCTCAAATGATCTCCAACTCCTGGTATTGACACACTTGTGTAATCTCCCTCCCTTGAAAGTGGGTTCATTTAGTGACTCACTTCTAACAGACTACAATAAGTGATGGGACATCACTTCCAAGATTAAGTTATGGAAAGACTGTGGCTTTCATTTTGAGGGCCTCTCTCTGTCTCCTCTTGGACTTAGGGGATCCAGTTGTATGCTGTAAATAGGCCTATGAAGAGACTTACGTGGCACAGTAATGATGTATCTGGACAGTGGTTAGGGAGAACTTGCCAACAACCACATGACTGAGCTTGGAAGCAGATCCTTCTTGATATAGTTTGAATATTTGTCCCTGCCCATATCTTACGTAGAATTGTAATCCCCAGTGCTGGAGGTGGGGTCTAGTGTAAGGTGTTTGAGTTATGGGGGTAGAACCCTCCATGGCTTGGGACTGTCTTTGCAATAGTAAATTCTCTCAAGATCTGGTTATTTAAAAGTTTGTGGCACCTGCCCGCTACTTTCTTGCTCCTGATTTTGCCATGTGACCTGCCTGTTCCCACTTCACCTTCTGTCATGACTGAAAGCTCCCTGAGGCTTCACTAGAAGTCGAGCAGATGCCAGCGCCATACTTCCTGTACAGCCTGCAGAACCATAAGCTAATTAAACCTTTTTTTTTTAATAAATTACCCAGTCTCAGGTATTTCTTTATAGCAATGCAAGAACAGCCTAACACACTTCCCTAGTTGAGCACTGAGATTACTCTATCTCAGTCAACATCTTTATTCTAGCCTTATGAGAGACCATAAAACAAAGGCATCACACTAAGCCGTATCCAGATTCCTGACTCATAAAAACTACAAGAAAATAGAAGTTAGTTATTTAATAGGGTTTTGGAGTAATTTGTTACACAGCAATAAATAATTAATGCATAAGTATTTGGTTGAGCATATCAATGTAGTATTTGATGTGAACTTTCTTTTCTACTTCCTGCAACTATCAAAATTTAAGTAAAATATCCATCTCTCATTATTTCAGGGAATGTAGTGAACACTTAATTGCTCTGCAAGAGTGAGAGTCTCAGGAGATCTGGGATACATGTTTCTAATTGGTTGTTATAAATCCCAAAGAGATCTTTTTAGGGACACAAAGAAGGACAAAGTAGGTAGGTAGCAACGTCGTTTTTAAAGGAGCTGGCAAGTAAGACGTGGTCTTATCTTGCATAAATCTACACCTGACCTTTTAAGTTCTAAAGTTTAATCACGCTTTACAGAGGGGCATTTACTCTTACTAAATAGAGCAAATCACTAGGACATCGGTGATTGTTTTTTTTAAACTTATCTCTCAAGCTTGTAAGTAATGCTCATAGAATGTCATAAACCTAAAGGGAAAGATGACTGGCATCCTGAATTTTCAGAATACAGTAACTGAATTTTATATTGGGTAAATAAATTATAAGCATGTATTTAGAGAAGAATACAGAAAGTTTTGCTATCATTTTGAAAATAATTTATAAACTTTGAATTTTGTTTAAAAAATTCTCACAATATAGAACTGTATGAGAGAAAAAGGTAAAAAAAGGAAACCACCACCCATTCCCTAGGGGTAACTAGTGGACACTAAAGACTGTATCCTAAACACATTCTACGCCAAAGACAGTGACTGCCATAAGGAAGGCACTCAATAAGTATTTGTTAAACTAGCACAAAATATATTTGCTGGATTTTAATTGAGAGTTTTAGTTTATATGTGAATATTATCTGAATTCTAACACCTATAGGAGCAGTAATTTCACATGCCTAGGAAAATTTCTGGAAAATCTTCAGGACATGCAATAAATGTTCCCCAATTCATTGCAGAGGAGCAAGAGAATCGCCTACTTTTTATTAGGAAGGGCTGTGCCATTGCCCCTTTCATTCCTTGGACAGAGGAGGGACCTGCTTTCCAACACCCACCACCTCACCTTCTATAGCTCCCAGCCTCCAACCTCATCTCAAGCCCAGAGAGCTCCAAGAAAATCTTAAGTGAAACAAGAGGTTTTTTTTTTTGCCAGAGGAGAACTTAGTCCTTGGTGAGCCTCCTGGCTGGATAGTTGCTAAGCTGCAGGCCATTGAATCAGAGCAGAAGTTTTCAGACTTCTTAGCGGAATTTGAACAATGTACCCTGGAACTTAGGGATCCCAGTGGGTGGACTCACATGGCTCACTTCGGAAAAGTCTGATGGAAAGAGACTAAATGGAGTTGCTTTGATAGCAAGAAGAGGGAAAGAAAGTTGTTGTGGGGAAGGCTGGGCTTTCAGAACATGGTAGAGACACTTTTCTCACAACATTATGGAAGAGAGCTGGGTTGGAGTCATCTTAAAGCACTAGCCTGTTAGAATGACTGAGTGACATTTTGTTTCCATTTTTTAGTTTACACTTTGTAAACCTAGGGTAGTTATTCTTCCCGCTCCCCCATTGCCATCAGGGAAGGGCATCTTCATTAAGCTGGTGTAGACTTTGTGCATTTGAGGCCCCTGGTACTGCAAGGACAGGTAGTGAAGATAGAGGGTCAAGTCTACATGCATAGAGCAGGCCACTGAGCAAGGCCACGTACAGGCCAGAGAAGCACATGGGGTGTGGTAGGAAGTAAGCAGTTTGTGGAAGGTGAGGCAGATGCTCTCAAACTGAGCATCTAACAGAGCCTTGCTAATGCTTCTCAGCTCCTGCCTCTCCTTCCTCTATGCAGCCACCACCTGCTGGGACTCTGCACCTGGGTGGGTCTGCATGAGCCCGGCAGGTGGGTGGGTGAATATCTGCAGCCTGGTCAGCAAGTGCAGGGACCACAGGGTGTTGATGATGCAGATCTCACACAGCCCAACATCTGCTGGGTCACAGTAGTGATGGTCTCCAAAGAGAGTAGAGAATGGAGAGAAGGGTGCCATTTCCTCTGGTGCAGGAAGTCTAGCATGATCTCCTGTCTGTCTACAGGTGGTGCCCTTTTCCAGGCAGGTGATGCGGTCCCTTATTGAATTTCCTGAAAGACTTGGGGTGGTCAGTGAAAAAGTTGGGCTTGTCCTCCTTGATGATAACCAAATTTGCAGAGCTGGTGCCAATGAGAGCCCACCACATGCCACACCCTTTTGTCCCTGAAGCTGAGAGCACTGCCATGATGAGGAACAGCTGTTTCATGGGGGCCACCAGGCGGCTCTGACAATTAATGTCTTTTTCTCTCTTAGGATATATTTCTTCAGGTTCTGTGAGATCCACCAGTACAGGAGGCTTTTGAGAGATAACCAAGGTGTATTTATTGGCTAAATTATTTTAGAAACATCCTTAATAATTCAGATAAAATAGTCAATGAATTCTCTTCATTTATTCTAGGGATCATTCTCAAGGCTTTATTCCTAAATAGTTCTGTGTCCAACCATTAGTTTAGGAAGGCTTCTAGTTGTCTTATGCCTACTATATGATTGACAGACACCTACTTCTTGAATGTTATTTTGTCTGCCATGAATACACCTTTTTAGGAAGGTGCTTTTAGGAATACTTAAAAGTTCAGAGAGCTGGACCATCATTGAACTTTCAGAGAACCTTGTAAGAACTATTTTGTGTTGCTTGCTTCTGAATATTTGCTTAATAAATATCTGTGTGCAGTAGAATTTTTCTGTGATTTATTTTCAATAACATCTGACAGCAAGGGTACAGTAAAATAGAGGTAGGTTTAGCAGAGCAGGATAGAGCAGAGATAGTTCTCACATTTCTTTGGGGGATGCACCCATTGTTTACCAAAAATAACTTAAATATTGTGTATGACCACACTGGCTTGTTTAACACTCCCTAATATGATGTCCTGCCAGGAAGAAGTCAACCAGAAGAGAGAGGCTGCAGGGGTGTCAGAGCAGAGGCTAAAGTCGGGGGTTACACAGGCCAACTAGTGAGTGCTTATGTCAAAGAACAGTGTTATATGATTCACAACGGGTAAGTCTTTGAAGAAGCCACATGATCATTTTATGAGGAAAAGAGCCAGCATTTGGACGTACGCCAGCATTTGGAACACTGATACCAAAGTACAACAGAATCAGCCATGGTGATTTTGTTAATTTCTTTCTATTCCTTGCCCATGCTGGAGGAGCCAAAGCAGCAGCTAGCTGTGGAGCAGAGAGAGAGAAAACAATAGAAAAGGCAGAACATGCCTCCCTGAGCAGCTGAGTACTGAGGAACAGCAGCAACTTTTAATTTGGTGTGAGATGAAAGTTCTGACTTGGATCACACTGAATATTTTAACACCCCCAAATCAGACTATTCTGATACTTCAGTAGTATAGTAGCATTGACCAAAATAATTTTTTCATGATTGAGCTCTGTCAAGTTCAACTAAGTCATTAAACTACACGTAGATACACACTAAAAGAATTTATTATAAATGCTATATCATCATGAGCTTTGTTCACCAAAAATATCTTGGAGATATTTCAATGTCAAACATTGTAGGATTTACCATTTTCTCTCCAACAGCTTTGTAGTACTCCATACTACACACACCATACTCAGCAAACCATATTTTATTTGACCAATAATTACTCATTAGCCAAGTTTATTCAATGTTTTACTATTGCACACAATGCTTCAATAAACTTTGTGTATTAATTCAACATAATATTATGTTCAACTATAGGGAATATTAGTAAAGGTCTATTTCTTGTGAACAAGAGTTTGTTATCTGATATTGAAATCATCATTATATACTCATGTCATTATCCTGGAATAGTTTATATAAACTTAATGTCTCCAATTTTTCTTTCTCATTCTCTCTTAAAACCACTCCAATCAGATTTTCAATCAAACTATTCCACCTAAAGTGTTATCATGAATATCTTCCACATTGCAAAATCTAATAGCCAGTTCCTCATTTTTCTTGCTTATCAGAAGCATTTGACACAGTTGACTCTTCTCTCTTCCTTGAAATATTTTCTTCATTTGGCTTCTGGGACACTAAACTCCCTGGGCTTTATTCACATCCTTCTTGCCTTTTCTTATCAATCTCCTCTTTATGTCTACTGCCTCTCAGTGTTTTAGTGTTTCGAGATGCAATACTTGGACCTACTCTTTTTCTACCTACTCTTATTCTCTTAGTGACTTCATCCTGTATCATAGCTTTAACATAACCTACTTTCTATATATTGATGATTCCCAAATTTGTAGCACCAGCAGAGATATTTTCCTTTGAATCCAAACATATATTTCATCTCCATTCAACTTCCACTCAATCCATTTGCATTTCTAATAGGGAATTCAATATTCCAGAATCAAACTTCTGACTTTTTTAGCTGCTATCTGTAGTCTCAATATAAGTCCAGTCATATGTCAAATGACATTTTGGTGAATGACAGACCACATATATGGAAGTGGTCCTGTAAGATTATAATACCATATTTTTACCATACCTTTTCTATGTTTAGATACACAAATACTTAGTGTTGTGTTGAAATTGCCCACAGTATTCAGCACAGTCATAAATATATTGAACAAAGGAAAATAATTTATTTCTTGCAAGTGCAATGTGCAAGGGTAATTTGTGATAAATTAACAAAAATAGCTGTGGCTTAAGGCAATGTTAATATCTTTTGTTTTCTTTTTTGAGGATAATTTTAGTCATGGTTATAAACTGTATGCTGCTGTATGCCTGAGATTGTCTAGTCTAAAAAATATTCATTGTATCATGACACTTCTAGTTGTTTGTATTGAAGAGATAGACATTACAAACAAAAATTAAAAAAAAAAAGAAAGAAAGAAAGCAAAACATGATACCTTGGGCTCTTAAACAAAAAGAAATTAAACTTTGATGAAGAAACAGGTGGAAGAGAACCTTGCAAAAAATACTTGTGGGAAGAAGCATAGTTGAAGATGTGCAGCAACTAAATTTATGGCAGTCACATCATAGAATCTAGTATCTTCATTCCAGGTTTACTCGACCTTGCTTCTCAGCAAGTTAATGATAGAATGCTATTGTTGTATTTTAGCGCTAACTGGCTTTTTTTGTTACGAATTACAGTAATCCTCCCATATTTTCAGGAAATACATTCTAAGACCTCCAGTGGGTACTTGAAACCACAGATAGTCCTAAGCCCTGTATATACTTTTTTCCTATACATACATATAATAAACTTTAATTTATAAATTATGAACAGCAACAGATAAATGGCAATAATAATAAAATAGTAGAACAATATACCATAATCAAATAGGACTCAATATGTGTGCTGGAGTAGACCTGATTGACTTTTAATAAATAAAAAGTTGGTTCATTTTTGAAATGGGTAATACATGCACACAGTACACAATTCAAATATGGTAAGTGATATTCAGTGTAAAAACATTTCCTCTCCCATCCAGTCTCCCAGTCAGTCCCTTACCTATGCAGGGAAGTAAAACAGTTCCTTATGTAAATACAGAGATATTCTATGTACAAGCAAATGTATATAAGTGTGTGTATAATCATGTAATCCAGAATATATGTTGCCACTGACTATGCAAACAATTTTACTTATTTTTCTTCATTATATACCTAGAATTAGAGTAGCTGGGTCATAATGTAGATATATGTTTAATGTTTTTAGCAACTGCCCAATGATATTCTAAAGTAGTTGTAACATTTTATTTTTCCACCATTTGTGGTATAAGAGTTTCAATTCTTCCACATCTTCATCAACACTTGGTATGGTCAATCTTTTTAATTTTACCCATTTTCACAGGTGTATAGTGGTACCTCATTGTAATTTTAGTTTTGCATTTTCCTAATAGCACTGCACATCTATTAATATGCTCATTTGCTATCCAAACATCTTTGAGCCATTTTGATGGGTGTTTAGTAGTATATTATGCTTTTAATTAATATATTCCTGATTAATTATATTAAGCGCATTTTCATATGTTTATTGTCCATTGGGATATTCTCTTTTGGCCATTTTTGGTCCTTTTTCGTATTGTAAGTTTAATATATATTACATGTGCAGTTCTTTGTCTATTATGTATTTTCCCCAGTCTGATGCTTACATTTTTACTTTCTTAATGGTATCTTTTGATGATAAAATGTACAAGTTGGGTAAATTACAATTTACCAGGTTATTTTTTCTTTTCGTAGCTAGGGATTTTGTTGCTTTGTATAAGAAATCTTTGTCAATCTAATTCCATGAAGATATTCTTTTATGTTTTATGGGAAAATTATACTTTTAACTACTACAGTTAAGTCAACTTAATTTCCCTGTGTAATGTAAAGGAGCATATAGGGTTTATTTATTTATTTATAATTTTTTATGAATATCCCATGGCTCCAATACCATTTATTTTGAAGATATTTATTTTCCCTTTGAAGTGCATTGGTGCTTCTGGTGTAAATCAAGAGGTTGTGTATGTGAGGTCCATTTCTGCACTCTCTTCTGTTCCTTTCATATATCTTTTCCCCTTACAAAAATATAAGACATTTGTTATAAGAGGTTAGGTTGTAGCCTCTCTGTGTCTTTTATCTTCTCATATAACTTTTGGAATTGTCTTAAATACTTTAACAAAAAATCTGCTGGGATTACATGGACTTTATTTGAGGAAAATTTACATCTATGATATGGCTGGGCTTTGTGACTCCACCCAAATCTCATCTCAAATTGTGATCCTCATGTGTCAAGGGAGAAAGGTGACTGGAATAGGGGCAGTTTCCCTCATGCTGTTCTCATGATAGGGAGTGAGTTCTCACGAGATCTGATGGTTTTATAAGGTGCTCTTCCCCCTTAGTTTTCTCTTCTCTCACCTACCGCCATGTAAGACATGCCTGCTTCCCCTTATTCCATGATTTTAAGTTTCCTTAGGCCTCCCCAGCCATATAACACTGTGAGTTATTTAAACCTCTTTTCTTTATAAATTACCCAGTCTCGGGTATTTCTTAATGGCAGTATGAGAACAGACTAATACAATCTAGCAGTTTAGAGTCTTTTATTCTATGAACATGGCATATTTTCCTATTTATTTAGATCTTTGATTTATTTCAGCAATGTTCATTTTGTCTATAGTTTGTGGAAAATTCTTTCATATAGTTTATTAATTTTATTCTTAGATATTTTATGGTTTCAGTGAAATTATAAATAGTATTTAAAAATCTTGTATTGTATACTTGTTTGTTGCTAGTTTATAAAAATACAGCTCATCTCGTATCCTGTGACCTGGCTGAATTCACTTATTAGTTCTTGTAGTTTGTAAATTTCTTTGTATTTTTTAAATTCACAATCATGTTGTCAGTGTATAATGGCAGTTATACTTCATCTTTTTACTCCCTCCACTTTAACAATGGCCAGAGTAACCATCTATCTGCTCCACAGCCAACATAGACTAATTCTCCAGAAGGTAATTGTTATGGAGTATAACCCTGAACTCATTTCTCAGCAATACTCTACAAAAATGATGGTTTTGGAAGGGTACTTGAATGTTAGTAGCCTGCCCATTCCTCTAAATACAGGCATACCTCAGAGATATTGGAAGTTCAGTTCCAGGCCACTGCAATAAAGCAAATATCTCAATAGAGTGAGTCACACAAATTTTTTGGGTTGTTTATGATAGAGGACCTGTGTTCTCTAACAGTCAAGGCAATCCTAAGCAAAAAGAACAAAGCTAGATGCATCACATTACCCAAATTCAAATTACACTCTAAGGCTGCAGTAACCAAAAAAGCATGGTACTGGTACAAAAACAGCCTCATACACCAATGACACAGAATAGAGAGACCAGAAATAGTGCTGTACATCTACAACAATCTGATCTTCAACAAACCTGATAAAAATAAGCAAATGGGAGAGGAACAATTTAATAAATTGTCCTGGGATAACTGGCTAGCAATATGCAGAAGACTGAAACTGGACTCCTACCTTACATCATATACAGAAATTAACTCAAGATGGATTAAAGAGTTACATGTAAAACCTGAAACTACAAAAACCCTGGAAGAAAACCCAGGAAATACCATTCCGGACGTAGGCCCTGGCAAAGATTTCATGACAAAGATGCCAAAAGCAATTACAACAAAAACATAAATGGACAAATGGGACCTAATTACACTAAAGAGTTTCTGCACAGCAAAAGAAACTATCAACAGAGTAAATAGACAACCTAGAGAATGGGAGAAAATATTTGCAAAGTATGGATCTGACAAAGGTCTAATATCAAGACTCTATAAGAAACAAACAAATCAACAAACATGAAACAAACAACCCCATCAAAAAGTGGGCAAAGGGCTCGAAAAGACACTTTTCCAAAGAAGACATGCATGTGGCCAATAATCATATGAAAAAATGCTCAAGGTCACTAATCATTAGAGAAATATAAATCAAAACCACAATGAGATACCATCTCACACTAGTCAGAATGGATATTATTAAAAAATAAAAAAATAACAGATGCTAGTGAGGTTTCAGAGAAAAGGGAACGTTTATACACTGCTAGTGGGAATTTTGTTCAGTCATTGTGGAAAGCAGTATGGTGATTTCTCAAATAACTCAAATCAGAAATACAATTCAACCCAGCAATCCCATTATTGGACATATATTCAAAGGAATATAAATCATTCTACCATAAAGACACATGCATGCATATGTTCATTGCAGGACTACTCAAAATAGCAAAAACATGGATTCAACCTGAATGCCATCAATGGTAGACTGGATCAAAAAATGTGGTACATACACACCATGGAATACTACACAGCTATAATAAAAAACGAGATCATATCCTTTGCAGCAACATGGATGGAGCTGGAGGCCGTTAACCTAAGCGAACTAACACAAGAAAAGGAAACCACGTACTGCATTTTCTCACTTATAAATGGGAGTTAAACATTGAATACATATGGACACAAAGAAGGGAACAACAGACACTGGGGCTTACTTGTGGGTGGAGGGAGGGAGGGAGGAGGATGAGGATTGAAAAACTACCCATCAGGTAGTATACTTATCACCCAGGTGACGAAATAATATGTACACCAAATTTCCATGACATGAAATTTACCTATATAATAAACCTGCAAATATACCCCTGAACCTAAAAGTTCAAATAAAGTAAAAAGTTATGTTTACATTATACTGTAGTATATGAAGTGTGCAATAGCATTAAATCTGTAAAAACCAGTACATACATTAATTTAAATATGGTAACAGTCATCCGAGCCTTCAGTTATTCATAACGGTTTTGCTTAAGGGTCCTACCTTCAATGGTTGGCTGCTCACTGACCAGGGTGGTGGTTGCTAAAGGTTGGAGTGGCTGTGGCAATTTCTGAAAATAAGAAAACAATGAAGTTTAGTGAATCAATTGACTCCTCTTTTCACAAAAGATTTCTCTATAGCATGCAATGTTGTTTGATAGCATTTTACTGACAGTAGAATTTCTTTCCAAACTGAAGTCACTCCTCTCAAACCCTTGTGCTTCTGTGTCAACTAAGTTTATGCAACACTTTAAAATCTTTTGTTGTTGGTTGGGAGTGGTGGCTCATGCCTGTAATCCCAGCACTTTGAAAAGCCAAGGTGGGTGGATCACTTGAGGTCAGGAGTTCGAAACCAGCCTGGCCAATATGGTGAAACCCCGTCTCTAGTAAAAATACAAAAATTAGCCATGCATAGTGGCAGACACCTGTAATCCCAGATACTAGGGAGGCCGAGGCAGGAGAATTGCTTGAACCTGGGAGGCGGAGGTTGCAGTGAGCCAAGATCACACCACCACACTCCAGTCTGGGCAACAGGGTGAGGCTCCATCTCAAAAAAAAAAAAAAATTAAAATCTTTTGTTGTTATTTCAACAATGTGATGTTCACAGCATCTTCCCTACAAAAGTTTCTATCTCAACAAATAAACCATTTATTTTTTGCTCATCAATAAGAAGCAACTCATTTATTCAAGTTTTATCACGAGATTGCAGCAAGTTAGTCACATCATCAGGCTCCATCTCTAACTCTAGTTCTCTTACTGTTTCTACCACTTCTGCAGTCTGAAGTCTTGACCCCATCAAAAAGTTACTCATGAGGGTTGAAATCAACTTCTTTCAAACTCCTGTTAATGTTGATATTTTGACTTCATGATTCTTTCATGAATCATGAATGTTGTTAGTGGCACCTAGACTGGTGAATCTTTCGTGCAAGGTTTTTAATTTACTTTGCCCCAATCCATTAGAGGAATTACCTATGGCAGCTATAGCCTTATGAAATGCATTTCTTAAATAGTAAGACTTAAAGTTAAAAATTCTCCTTGATCCATGGGCTGCAGAACGGATATTGTGTTAACAGGCAGGAAAACAGCATTAATCTTCTTGTACATCTCCATCAGAAATCTTGAGTGACTAGGTGCATTGTCAATGAGAAGTAATATTTTTTCTGAGATGTAGGTCTCAACAGTAGGCTTAAAATATTCAGTAAACCATAGAATAAATGTATGTGATGTCAACCAGGTTTTGTTGTTCTACTTGTAGAGCACAGGGAGTGTAGATTTAGTATAATTCTGAAGGACTCTAGGATTTTCAAACTGTAAATGAGCATTGTCTTCAACTTAAAGGCACCAGCTGCATCAGCCCCTAAGAACAAAGTCAGCCTGTCTTTTGAAGCTTTGAAGCCAGGCATTGATTTCTCCCTTCTAGCTATCAAAGTTCCAGATGGCATCTCCTTCTGATAAAAGGCTGTTTTATCTAAATTGAAAATCTGTTTAGTGTGCCACGTTCATCAGTTATCTTAGCTAGATCTTCTGTAAAACTTGCTTCAGCTTCTATACCAGCTCTTGTAGCTTCTCCTTGCCCTTTTATGTTATGGAGACATCTTTCCTTAAACCCTGAACCAAGCTCTGCCAGCTGCAAACTTTTCTTCTGTAGCTTCTTCACTTATCTCATCTTTCATAGAATTGAAGAGTCTTGCTGTGGATTAGGTTTTGGCTTACGTAAATGTTGTGGCTGGTTTGATCTTTTATCCAGACCACTAAAACTATCTCCACATCAGCAAAAAGGCTGTTTTGTTTTCTTATCATTCATGTGTTCACTGGAGTAATACTTTTAATTTTCTTCAAGAGCTTTTCCTTTGGATTCACAATTTGGCTATTTGGCACAAGCAGGCTAGCTTTCAGCCTATCTTGGCTTTCAACATGTCTTCCTCACAAGACTAATTATTTCTAGCTTTTGATTTAAAATGAGATACAAGTTACTTTTTTTTTTTCCTTGAACACTTAGAGGTCAGTAGGCTCATTAATTGGCCTAATTTCAATATTGTTGTGTCTCAGGGATTAGGGAGGCCCAAGAAGAGGAAGAGACATGAAGAAATGGCTGGTTGACGGAGCAATCACAACACCTACACCATTTATTAAGTTAGCTGTGTGGGCATGGTTCATGGCATCCCAAAACAATTACAATAGTAATTTCAAAGATCACTGGTCACAGATAACCATAACAGGTATAATGATCACAAAAGAGCTTGAAATATTGCAAAGATTACTAAAATATGACACAGATATACAAATTGGGCATATTATTGGAAAAATGGTGCTGATAGACTTGATTAACAAAGGGTTGCCACAAAACTTTGATCTGTGAAAAAAACTACAATTTCTGCAAAGCACAATACAGTGTAAAAACCCCGAGATGTGCCGTATTTAAAATCTCTCCATGAATAAAACACAAGACCCAGAGGATTACATACTGAGGTCATATCATTTTTGTCCCCATCAGAATTGCTTTCAGTGAATGTTACTTTGGCATAATGCTATTAACTTACATTGAGGAATATTATTAAAAACAGCCAGTGAACCAAGCTGTAGTATTTCCTCTAGCGGTGCCTTTCCAGATACTATTTGCTGCATTTTGTACAGTTACAACATGAGAGCACAAGAACTATATTTTTTTTCTGTAGACTCAGTACAGGAGTAATTGTAAGTCATTTTTATCTTGAGAATCCTCATATGTATGCAACTGACCATGTTTTCTTATTGCACAGACTTCCAGAAAGTTCTTAGTTGAGGTACATTATTTACATATTTACAGCATCAATTTTGTATAGTAACAATTCCCACCTCTATGCTATCTTTTTTGTTCCCATTTTTTCTATTTTATTCCAAGATTTTAAAAAGCAACGGAATTTTCTCTGCCGCAAGAAACTAAAAGCATTTCTGCTTTATGTACATACTGTACATTAAATTCAATAAAATTATCTAATACAAAGTTATTTTTTCCAGATCTTGGATTTATTTTTAATACCCACATTTACATATTTTAAATGGATTAAAGCAGGTGAATGTATTAATGATTAGAGATAATTATATTAATTTGGATTCTTAATTGTGATAGAAACTTAATCTAGCCAACTTTGAAAAGAAAGGTAAGAGTAGTAGCAGTTGACAATCACGTAATCTAAAGGAAGGTTGTTGTTATTTGAAAATTGACAAACTAAACCAGCAACGAAACAGGATCTACAATAGTGATTTTTATACCAAACAGTCTGCCATTGAATCACATGGTCTTCAAATTTGATTTCCATCCTTTGCTCAAATTTCAAAGCTCTAGAGGAACGCATTTGACTGGCCAATCTTGAGTCACCTGTTCACTCCTTAGCTGTACTAGGGTGGTGGACTGAAGTATTCTGCCACTTCAGCTTCAGTAGTAGGAGGCAAACCCTGGTTTCAACATTTCACTAAGACCGCACACAGAAAGAGAGTGGAAATCTTCTGGAAAGAAATGGATATGCTCATAAGAAGGAGGAATAGATGCTAGGAGGACTGAAAAAAAGAAGACAAATGTTCTTCCTCCCTTCCATCATGAGAGTCAGCAGCGGAGGTTGAAAGGACAAGAGCAAAAGAGAAAAGAATGCTATGTTCTCCTCTCTGCAAAACAGGGACTTTGTATACTGAAAAATTGTATTTATGGAAGCAGAGAGATGACGTGGGAAGAGCACGCAGCTTGGAGTCAGAAGCTATAGGTTTAAATTCTGGCTCTGCCTTTTATAAAATATGTGACTTGGAGGTAACTATTCTCTCTGACCCTTAGCTCCAAAATGTACAGAATGGAAACAATATTCACTTTACAGGCTTGTTGTAAGCATTCAATAAAATTATGTAAACAAAATAAACATAAGCTGCTTTCATTCCCTGCCACACATTTGACATTTATTTTTGCTCAAGATGGAAATTCATATATATATACACACACACACACACACACACACACACACACATACAGATTGTCCTTTGCTCATGAACTTTGAACTTACCAATGTTCACAAATAAGTGGCAGAATTAAAACCTGTGCAACCTGCCTATCACCAATAGAGGGCATTAGCAGTCACACCTGGTCACTTTTGATATTTGCTATTTCTAGTGTATAGTTTTATTCTTATTTTTGATATTTTACAAAAAGTATTAATTTCATTATGTACAATGAGTATAAAACTGTGAAGACCGAATTGTTGATACCTATAGAGTATGACAGGAAATCCTATCTCCATCTTTTCTTAGTTTAAATTCTCCAAAATTATCTGTAAATATAACAATATTTAGATAACACTTATACTTCTTCTAGCTTCCTACCTAAAAGTGGAGATTTTATTCTTTAAAACTGTTGGATCCCAGTTTCAGTGTCACCACTTCAGGGATTCGATATATGCTGGATTCTCTGTTGTCAATTTGTCCTGATTGCCAGCTTCTTCTTAGATATTTCTGCATATCAAGGAAGAAGCTGGGAACTACATTTTCCAGATTCCCCTTCTCCACCTGGTTTCAAGTTAGAGTCAGCTAATGAGAGACACTTGCATGAAATCTAGAAAGTGAAAGACAAGGATAGACCATTAATTCACAGAAACAGATTTGGACAGATATGTGTGCTGGTGTCAGAGGTAACGTTTGAAGCAAATTTCAGGTTAATTTCTTAAGAACTAGCTGCTTAGGTGCTGCAGGATAGGGTTGCTGGTAATAGCCTTCCTAATTTTTGTTCCCTGGGTGCTTCCAGTCATGGCATAATTCTTTATTTCTTCTAATTTTACATTCAAATATAAACCTGTATATTTGAAATACATGGAGGTTTTTCTTGATGCCTGACTGCAAAGAAAGTTTCCCATTCAATTAAATGGAGGAGCTGACTGTTGATCTGAGTCTGTTGTATAATTTCACAAGTGGAAAACCATACTAAACAAAAAAGAAACAAGCAAACAAAAATTGCTGCCAAACCTAACTATATCAACCTCTGCTCCAATTCTGTTTCTGATGTAGTAAGTCAGGGTGGGACCTAAGAATATGCATTTTACTCATCTCCCCCAGATGATTCTGCTGTAAGTGGCCTAAGATTACAACTGAAGCAAAAACAATGTAAGACTTTGGGCTCTATTAAAATTCAACTATTTCCATAATATTGTATGCATTTTCATTCATTTATTCCTACAAGTGACTGAAGTGGGTCCTTTGAACAGGTTAACAAGAGACTGCAAGGAGGAGGCACGTGTGCTGGGGAACCTTCATGGGAAGATACATTTTAAAAGAAGCTGAGAATTCCAAATACAGACTTGACTCTTTAATCATTCTTTTTCTGTGGCA
Source organism: Homo sapiens (assembly GCF_000001405.40). Classification (NCBI taxonomy): domain Eukaryota; kingdom Metazoa; phylum Chordata; class Mammalia; order Primates; family Hominidae; genus Homo; species Homo sapiens. Next base: position 211,092,637 of record NC_000002.12, on the reverse strand, counting down.
AACTGGGAGGAAAAGAAGTTGGAAAACTAGTTGCAAGAAACATGAAACGAATATAAATAACAGCTTGGGAACTTCTAGAAGTCTTTGAATTAAACTCAGGGAAAGTAGATGCCTCAACCTACTGCCATATATCAGTGCCCATTGGTTCATTGGAAAGAGATACTTCCAATTACAAAAAATACTCTGGCGTGACAATCACAAAACCTTGATGGCATACAACAATAAATGTTAATTTTGGCTTATGGGTCCACACATGGGCTAGGAGGTTCTGCTGATTTAAGCAAAACTCAACTGATCTTGGCTGGCCAGGCTTAGACATCTGGGTCAGCTGGTGGATTGGCTCAGGGTTGGCTGGTCAAGGAGGATCTCAGCTCTCTGGGCTCTGCTCCTCACGGCTTCTCATCCTCTAGTACTCCAGCAGGGCTTATTTTCTTTGTTGAGGTGGGGATCTGAGGGAGAGTGGTAGTACATAGAAACTTCAGAGGGCTCTGATCAGAACTGGCACACCAGCATTTCCGTCACATTCTTTAAACCAAATCAAGTCACTAAACCAGCTCAGATTATAGGATGAGGAAATACCCTCCTTGTTGGGAGATGTTGCAAATACCTTACAAAAGGCATGGATACAGGGAAGAATTTGGGTTATTTTTGCAATCAATATACCGTAGTCCAGATGGGATCACATCCTGACAGGCGAAAGAATGTCTTGTCTATACTATTGTCCTTCTCTGCTTTTCATGTTACATTTCACTGCCAGTAATCTAGAAAAAATAAATTTTGCCAGGTGTGTGACCACAATTCAATGAAATGATTTTCCTGTTCAGATAATAAAGAGATGAGAGAGAGCTGTATAATGGCACTCCAAGTCCTCTGCAATATCTAGGGAAAGAAAAAGCATCATCACACTTCCCACATAGGTATAAGCGTCAAGTTGGCAATAGCTACAAATACTATCCTCTGCCAAAAATTCAAGTCAGTTTCCTGGTATCTGTAGTGTTCCTTATCAACACCTAACAGGAAAGAGAACAAGCTTTGTTTTGTTTTTCCCTAAGTTTCAACTTAAAAGGCAAACCTTATTGTCTCACATAAAATACAAGGGTAAAAAAAAAAAAAATAGGAAAGAAAAAGGAAAGAAGAGTAGGAGCGAACGCCTCCCCAGATTGATAAAAAGGAAACTTATGATTATGCCCAAGTTAGTGGGTTCCTGTTCATATGGCAGGTTGGCCTTTAAAATCATTTGCAGGCCCCTATGAGCCAAGTTAATTTTTTTTTAATTTCAAGGAAATGAAAAGAATGTAGGTGATCTACGGTAAATTTTATAAACAAGTTTAGTGAAACGTTCTTGCCTTCTAAAGCATCAAGAAAGTCTTCAGAGGTCTTGGCTTATACAGCAAAGGGTTACTAACAAGGCTCACATGTTTCTCTTTCAGCTTTAGTCTTTTTCTACATAATACAAATTCAGTTTGTATTTTCTTTAAAAAAATTTTTGTAATGAACTTTCCTCTCCTAAACTTTAGCATTGATCTGGAAATATAATGCATGCTAAACTAACTCAGGATTTATTTTTAAAATCATGACAATATCCATAACTAGGTTGTGTATACCCAATGTCCATAGCAGCAAAACATTTAAAAATATGTCTCTGCTACTATCAATGGTAAATCCTTCCACTTACTCAGTCTTCCTCTTTTATTCTGACTTTTATTATATCCTCCTATGTATGGTATTATTGACTTGTTCTTTTAACTTGGTAAATTAAACAAAGAAAGATATTGACTAGCATGTAATGAGCCACGGTAACAGAAATTATATCTTTGATTCTTCTTTTTACACTATTTCTCCCTGTCTCTGGATTCCCTCACACTCATCCCAAGTTCTCGGTCTATTCTTCATCCTGATATTTTTGTTTCTCATAAGATTTAAAAATAATATTAAGAAGAAAAAAGCATCACACAATGTGACATGTAATTGATAAAGCTTAATAAATGCCATCTATACTGACTGTTTATATGCTAAGAGTACAAAAAAATCTTTGTAGAAAAAAAATAGTAAAATTGCTATTATTCAGAAAAGCCTTGCCAGGTTTTTAGCCACTTTCATACGGTGCCATGTTTTAAAAATATGAAAAATGCTTATGTTGCCCCCTCTTCCACATTGCTAGCCACTCTCAATATTTGATTATTTGGCATAAAATACATAGAGAGATTAATAGTCACTTTATATGGTTCCTCTCTTGTCCTCCCCTATCCCTACCTGTAGAGAAGAATAGAATAAGAGGAATTGGTCTCAGTTTTCATTTAGCTATGTAATATTTCAAATTAATAAATATCCTACTTCATGGATCCAAAGCAGTTCATAAAATAAAGGTGTATCTCATAATCAATGACATGTTAGATTCAATAAAATATATAGTACTAAGCATATCATTTCCCATTCTCTTTTGTCTCCACCAGTATTCCCCCAGTGATGTGAACTGTGAAGCAAGATTTCTCGTATCAGACCAAGGGGCTATGTAAACAGATTGTGTGCACTGACTTAAAAAGAACGTATGGTTAAAAAAAGATACAGGACCATTTAAGTTATGTATAAATAAACAAGTTAGCTTTTATTTAAATAATAAATTTGCTTGGAATCTAACATGTGATTCTTTAATAAGACCGAGCTCGGTTAAGACATAGTCTTGGAATGTTTCTCTGAGTTATATGTTTATAAGAGGCACTGGAACAGCAATTCAGCCTGTACCTCCAATACAGTGTTACTTCCCTAATATTTGGAAAACTTCAGGGTAAAAGATGAATTATTCTGGGTAATAATGTCCCGTAAATATTATTGTAGTATCAACTACAAGTAAACAGATTTTGGCTCCATATCCATATAAAACATTCCACCTCAGTATAGAGTAATCTTGTGAAACTCTGTGTGGTCCTTATCCCCGCAGGCATTTGAAGCAGAAGCTGTCTGTACTTCTGTCAGGATTATAATAAGCTGATTCTTAATTGGGTGATAAAGGAAGGACTCTGAAAAAACTGTCCCTTCCAAACTTGGAGTCAAAGATCTTATGGTATGACTGTACATAAGGCTCATACACTCTATATTTTGAAAGCCAGTCCTAGCTACAAAAAGTATGTATTTGTAATTTCATGAAAACTAAGAAAACACAATGAACATTCCTTTTTAATATCTATGATATTATTCTACTTTCTATTCAAAAGTGGCCTTATTTTTCCCTCTTTCAACCCATGCTTTGTGCTCTGTTTTAAAAAGTTGACTACCGAAGATGAATCTAAACATAGCTTTAGGTTACTCTTTGGAAACTGCTGACTTCACTAAAACAAAAATAAAAGTAAAAACTATAAGTCCTGAAATAGTAGCAACTATTGTTCAGAATATTGCCTTCGTATCATTGGAGAAAAATTTAAAGTGCATATTACTCTGAAAAGAACTGGTAATATCGAGATACACAAGAGTGTAACTCTAGTGGGTAATAAAATTATTCCAAATCCTGACATGCATTTACTGCCTTATTCACAGTTTTCCTATTTCATTTTATACAATATAACACATGAATGGAGCTCTTACAAATCCTTCTTTTCTGGCTTCTATCCTGTTTTGTAATCTCATAGACTCCTTCCCCTGACTCCATGCCTTTAGTTCCTTGTTTACTGTATTTATCAATTGTACAGAAATACAAACCTCTGAAACCAGATTTGCTCTCAAGAATTCTGTCATATCGAACACACTGATTGCTACACATTCAGTTTTTGACCTGACATATTTAAATAGAAACCCAATCCTGTGCAGTATGGGAGAAAGTCACTGGACAAAGAACTACTGATCATGTCCACGCCTTAAAGTGTCTTCCCCAGAAATTAAGGGGATATGCAAATCTGAATAGGAGAACTGAATCACACTGGCCAAGCTTGGGCAAGACTAGTGTATGTGCTCTAATGTGACTGTATGTATGTTGCCATACATAGCTGTAACCTAAATCCCTGCAAAACAGGCTAGGACATACTGTTCCCTAGAGAATGACCAAAAGGACAAAATATCTATTTGGCATGTTTTGGCTTATTTGTTTTTGACAGAATATATAACAAATCTGTAATAAATCAACAAACCTATAATATAGGTATAACAAATCTGTAACAAATGTAATCAGCTTATTTCATGAATCTCTAGGTCCACTTTACTTGCCTCCTTTTTTCCCAGACTTTTTACTGCTTTTCCAACATCCACATTGAATCTGATTAATTACAGAGTTCTTTCTAGGCCATCTAAGCTTAAATTTCTCTAATTGCAGAAAAAAGCAGTGAAGTGCATTAACAAGCAGATGCAAACAGCCGAATTCAACTAAATTCCACTCCCCAAATCCTACACCAACCACCAATTAGTTCATCCTAAAACTAACTTCTCTACCTTTAAAACAAGTTCTTTAGAATCAGAATGATTTTTCATCAGCCTTGAACCACAAGTATGTACAGGAGGGTTTACAAACCTGTCTTGAAAATCAAACATAGGATACCCACTTGCTTCTGAGTACCTTTAGGAAGTTATCAGATGACTATAAAGCCAAATAAAGCATAACAGATGTCCTAATTCAGCTAAAATCATGACTCTGATAGGCCCAAGCTAAGGAATTGGAAGGTGTTCTGTCTTCCAAAGTCTTTTTATTGTCTCTGATTGAATTAAGGACTGAAACCAAACAAAAACAAAGTAATGACTGTCCCTAACGAAGAGGAACCTGGGTTTCCACTAGGATTGAGCTATGGCAAATAAAGCTGTTTAAGTACAGCTGTACATACAACCCTGTACATACATCTCCTGTACATACAACCCTCCTGGACTATTCAGGGAGATCTTCAAGAAAGAGCTTGCTTCAGGGACAAAGGATCACAGCACAGGAATCCCACTCAGCAACATGGTCTACTGACTGGAGACCAGTGTGAATTGTGGAGTGTGGGAGTTGAATATAAAACTCTCCCCACCCTGTTATCCTTCCGCTTGTGTGGAGTTGCCAGACTTCAAGGTAGTGTGTTGCTTGAATAATGAGAATATCATTGGTGACAGTGACAGCATAAAGACTGAAAGCATTTTTCTCAACGCTCTATACTTCCACATTTTTCTGTGACTCTAGGAGTAAATGCTAGCCTCCAAAATGACTAGTGCTGCCATCCCTGACCAGCTGTTGACATGTTGACCCCAAGTCTACTATAATGTGACTTAAAAGATAAATAAATGTAGCATTGGTTATGTTGTAAGGTTGAGAAATAAGACTCTTGTTATGGTTCTAATACTCTGAGGTCAAGGAATTCTCCTATGAAACTCTCTTAACCATGCATCATAAAGGAAAGGAATATTACTCCCTTGAATTTGCATTGAAATGTCCTGAGTCCTGAAAAAATAGTAATAGTTGTTTTAGAGAAGTTAGCAGACTATGGCCCTTAGGCCATACCCAGCCTTCCACCTGTTTTTGTAACAAACAAATAAAACAAAAAACAAAAATCCCCAAGTTTTATTGGAACACAGCCTCGCTCATTTGTTTACTGACTGCCTATGGATGCTCTGGTGCTACAACAGCAGAGCTGAGTAGTGATAGAGATGGTATGGCCCATAATCTAAAATATTTACTCTGAAGCTCTTTCCAGAAAATTTTACCAACTTCTGTTCTAAAAGTAGGGCACACAACTCAAACCCCTGGAAGCAGAGTGGGTGACACAGAAGCAGCTGCCAGCCAGCAGGGCTGTCTGAGTCTGCAGCTTAAGAGTCTAGGCTTGGCGAGCATCAGTCCCAACAACAGCAGCCAATCTTATCCAGATACAGCATCTATTTGCCCTCCGATCATCTGTCACTCTCCATCAGCTATACCCTGTATTGCAGCATCATGCGTTCCCCCTTGTCAGTTCCTATGTCAGCTGGCTTCCAGTTGAATAAAGACAATAAAAAGTATGTGGGGAAAAAATGGAAGAAGAGAAAGAAATCTAAGTATTTCTTGACCTTTTCTCTGCTTTTGGCAGCTTCTTGTGCAGAGATTGTACCTCTTCCATGAATCCATTCCCTGATAGATTCACCTTCTGCGATTTCAACCTCCACCTTATAACCATGATTCCAAATTCTGATTATATCATTTCCTCCTTGTCCTTCCAGTTTAGGGGCACAATGACTTGCTGCTATTGCTAATCTTAAGGGTTTTTCAGGATCCCCTGTTGGAATTCTCAGTACTTACATCACTTAAGTTACTACCTCCCTACATTAAATTCCCTTTGTGGTAAATAATTGAGGTGATTTCTACTTTTCTAGTACGAAAGGGTCACTGGTATCTCAGATGAGAGGAAGCAAAGCAGTTCTGCTTAAGTGGCCCCTTTGTGCTCTAGGGGCTACTAGCAGCTTCAAGGATCAGGCTCCGCTACCAGGGATTGTGAACAATAACCAGGCTTAGTTTGGAATGCAGTTAAATCACATCTTGAGGATTCTCTGAAGCACTTATGTAGTAATAAAATTCTTACAGGAGCAGGTGAGAGCTTGGCATCGGTGAAATTCAGGCACAGATGTTAATGTGACTTCAGTTATCATTGAGGAGTGGTAAGGAATAGGACATTCAAGTTCCAAAAAGGATTCCATTTTTAACTATAGTGCTATTGATTTGTCATTGTGTGTAATGCCATTCAACATTTTCCTTAAACACTAATTGACAGAGTTATAATTTCTTCTAACAAAAGAAGAAATTGATGAGATTTCAATCTGATGGTTTTAATTACTGTCATTAAAGACACACATGAGCTTTCAGACTTAAACGCCCTCTCCCAGTTCTACTCTGGTAAATTCTTTGGGAGTTACAGAAGCCACTATAATTCAGACTCATAGTTTGATAGGAAAAGTCAGCCCTAGTTAAATGCCATCAATAGCTAACGCAGTTTGGACAGTTTAATTATGTACTTGTCTGAACACTTGTCACACTTCTGGTGACTTCAAAGCAATGTAGTCTTCAGCACTAAAATTTGCAGTGTTTTATAATCAAACTTATTAGTGCTTCTTCACATTACAAGACTATACGAGATATGAAGAGGTTAAGTAACTTGACCAAGACTATCCTGAACTGACAAGAAAAAATCGAGAGCTGAAACAATTAGCTAAGTGGTTCAAGCAAGATTAACAATCCATCTTTTTTTAGGGGGTGCTAGGAGTTTAAATTACTAAACTAAGTATCTGATAATTACCTAAACTCTCAGATCTCAGATTAAAATCATCGTCCAAATTCAGCATCACAATACTTAGTGAATTTCTTAGTGCTGTGTTTTTTATAGAAATTATGAACCCTTTGTTTCATATTTAAAAATTCTGTCACTGTTTTTGAAGTGTTACATATTTATATCGCCACCTGGTGGATTGATTTGTAATGAAGGCAGGCATATGGCTTGGGGTGGAAAAGGTGAGAACAAATCATCCTGGAGCCATTCACCCTTTTAAAGACACCTTTTCTCTCAGGTGCCTCACCTCTAACGCTGTACTTGAAAATTTTGTTCTGAATATAAACAGCCAGAGAAGGAAATTCAGAATCATGTTATTAACAGACATGTTTTGCCTCCTCAAGGAGAAACAGATCAATGAAGTTCCCAGTGGCCAGGAAAACATGAATATATGTTAAAGTCATTAATGGCTGTGTTGCTTCTGTTTAGCAGTAAGGTATAATGACACAACTGATTTGCTTTTTCCTCATTATGTGGTGTTAAAAAGGAGAATAATTATGACAGGGAAGATAGGGATGGCTGTATTTTTAAAATTAAAAGTAATGGATAAATTTAGTGTAAAATTTATCTTTTTCTAGAAATAATAAATTTTGTAGAAAATTAGACAGTTCTCTTATGAGATATATCTGCTATGCCCTTAGAGATTAATTGGGACTCTGTTTCTGTGTGTTTATTCTCATCTATAACCACTTTAGGACACAGCTGCCGTTACTTAAACAAGTTAATTGTGTTGGTCTGTTTCCACATTAAGACAATTTTCCAGGGTCATTTCTGCAGGATTTTTTTGAAATGTAATATTCCTTGTATGTCCAGGGTACTAAGAGTTCATGCCTTTGTCTTTGGAGACAATGGTGTCCTTGCAACTGACAAAGCTTCTTTTCAAAGGAATAAGCTTATTTATGTTGAATCAGCCTCTTTACTTCTATACGACTCCTTTAGGTTTGTGATAAGAGTGACTAGCAGAAAGAATAACTGAAGACATCCTTTATATCATTCAAACTTTTTTCTAGCATTTATGAAAACTAATAAGAAACCAAATCCTCAACACTTACAATTGTTGGAATATTCTGGTTAGTAAACCATTTTATCTTAAAAATGAATTAATATTCATAAGATATTTTACTCATTAAACTGGTATTTTACATAAATCTTTTCTTACTTTTTTTACTCATTTTCTAATTATTATTAATTAATTGGTTAAGCAAATTAAGAAGTCAAGAAGTACCCAGTGATTACAAATTATATAAAATATTAAATATCTAAAATTAGTTTCGACCCTAGGCAAACATTTCAGACCCAGTATATTTTCTTCATTGTCTTAGCATAAAACAAATACAAAAAGTCTCTATTTGTATTTGCAACTACTGGATAGGTGAATGACACTTTAAAACTCTAGGGATCTGACAATGAATGCATTGATACACACCAAATAAGATATATTACAAATTTTGGTCTCATCCATAAAGACATACATTGGGTAATCCAACCCTTATTATTCAGAGTAAAAGCAGTACTTTGGAACTTTTAAAAGAAGACACACACATGTGCGTGCACACACACATACGCATACACACAAACACACACACACATATCTGTTATGTAGGATTTGGGGCATTTAAAAGAAGCTTTATGTACATAAAAATTCATTAATCTTTCTGGTCTTTTCAGTTGGCTTTGGAATATATATGTGTGTGTGTCTCTTTATATATATTATTCAATGCTTACATAGTTATAGATATTACTAGTATTTTAGCTCAGTATCCAATACTATATTTGGCACCCTGTTAGTTGCACTCTGGTGATATTGTTGTCCCTTTGCATCTTTGATCCTTTCCTTTAATTTTACCCTACATGTTACAAGAAATTATAGATCTGTATAATTTAGAAGGTCAAAAATTTCAAAAAGGTTTTCTTTTAAACAAAAAATAACAGTCCAAACTTTCTTTCCCCTATTTCCCAGCCCTCAGAAACAACTACTTTGATCTTTTGCCGATGATTATTTTACTTGTTACATTAATGCCTTTAAATAAGGTGGAGTGCATATCCCACTATGGAAGTGAGAAATCTGTTTTCTTTCCTTTCCTCACTTTATCTACAGCCTGAACTTCCTTTCTATATCTCTTCAGAGAGAGATTACTGATTGCCTTATTTTTTTATTAGCTTAGTTTTCCATTCTTTTTAAAAACATATTCAACCTCAATGCTTTTACCTCATTGCCTATATATTCTCTCAAAACATCCAAAGACTGCAGGTATTCTACCAGTGAATCTTCCTGAAGAATTCTCTCCTGGAAGCTTCTGATCTGCTTCAGTCTGAACTTGTTGCCTCTGTGCTTGGTATAGAGCTGGCATCTTTATGATCTTTGTTGGTTATATCATCTTTGTGGGTTTGGATCTTGTACTTTCCCTAATTCGTGCTCACTTCTCTTCTGGATCACTCTTTTATATGGTGGAACATGTTCTGAGAAAGGGTATAAGGAGGTAAAATTTTGAGACCTTGCCTGATGAAATATCTTTGTTGTCCTTTCATTCTTAATAGTTTGGTTACATAGATAATTCAAGTTAGGAAATTACTTCCCCTCAGAATATTGAGAGCCTTCCTCCACCACTTTCTAGTTTCCACTGTTCTTGTTGAGGGGTTCAAAGATATTATGATTCTTACTCTTTTGTAAGTAACTATTATTTTTTTCTTTCTATAAACTTCTAGGGAGCTTGTCTTGAATTCTCTGGATTTATATGACAATAGGTTTGTTGCATGTCTATTTTAATCTATTTGGTGGATATTCACTGAGCTCTTTCAATCTGAAAACTTCCTTCTCTTCTGAAAAACTTTTCTGGAATGAGTTCATTGATTTCCCTCCTCATCTCCCTTTTCTCTTTTGTTTGTTTGAGACGGAGTCTCACTCTGTCACCCAGGCTAGAGTACAGTGGCACAATCTTGGCTCACTGCAACCTCCGACTCCCGGGTTCAGGCGATTCTCATGCCTCAGTCTCCTGAGTAGCTGGGATTACAGGTGCATGCCACCACACCCGGCTAATTTTTGTATTTTTAGTAGAGACAAGGTTTCACCATGTTGGCCAGGCTGGTTTCAAACTCCTGACCTCAAGTGATCCACCCGCCTCGGCCTCCCAAAATGCTAGGGTTACAGGCGCGAGCCACGTGCCTGGCTCCCATTTTCTCTAAAATTCTTATGCCTTGATATTAGACTTCCTGGATTGATAGGTTAATTTATGTTTCCTCTCCCGAGTACATTCGAGACAAGCTTTTGAAAAATGTTGTCTTTCCCTGCATACTTCCCATTTTCTTTTCTTTTCCTTTTCCTCTATTTTTAATGTTAGAGGATTTCCTCAAGTACCCAGTAGTCATGGGTTTTCTGCTTATATTTAACACCTGGACACCAACAATTGATTCGAAGCTCATAACTGGATCTTTCAAATGTATACTTTGCTGTAGGATGCCTTGGGTGAGCCTTTTAGCTGAGGAAATTTGAGGTCAAAACCTGGTTGATTTCCCAAAAAGGTATCTCCAGTTCTTTTGCCCAGAGGGTAGACTGGTACCTGTGTTCTGTGGGTTAAGGGGAAAGGAGGACTGGGGACTATTAGCACCCAGTATACATACACTTCCTAATGCCTAGTTTCCCTTTCATACCTTTGATCTCAACTCCATCAGGTGTTTTGCAGACACAGGAACAGACATTTTACTCTTTCCAGAGAATAAACCAGTCTTTTATTGCAATAAAGGAGGAAAATATCCTACTGTAAGAAAAAATGGAAGGGTATCTTACTTGTCTTTTAATGCAGTTCCCATTTTCACTTTTGGAAGTACTGATAGGGCAATCCTCTCATTGAGAGATGAAGCTTCTGTTCTTCCTTCTGAATCTGAGTGAATTTGCTACCGATTTTTACCTGTAGAATACAGCAGATCTCATGTTAAGTGATATCAAAAACTAGGTCATAAAGGGCCAGGCAACTTCCATTTTTCTGGCTGGGAATACTCACTCTTGGTGTCCTGAATCATCATAGAAAAAGCTCAACTGCCTTGAACACCCTAGTTACTCTAGTCAACAATCCATGATGAACCTGTTTTTTTTCTAATCTAGCCCAGTCATTAGACTGTAAGTGGAGAAGTAATCCTTAAAGTAGTTTCACCAGCTGTCTTAATCTGTTTGGGCTATTTTAAGAAAAATATAGACTGGGTGCATTATAAACAACAGAAATTTATTTCTCACACTTCTGGAGACTAGGAAGTCCAACATCGAGGTGATGGCAGGTATAGTGTCTGATGAGGCCCCACTTTCTAGATCACAGATGGCCATCTTGTGTTTTTACCTATCAGAAGGAGGCAAACGGAGCTTTTGGGGCCATCTTTTATCAGACACTAATCCCTTTTATTAGGGCTCCACCCTCATGATCTAATAACTTCCCCAAAGTCATACCTCCAAATACTATCACACTGGGGAATAGGTTTTAGAATATGAATTTCTGGAGGGATGCTAACATTCAGCCTATTGCACCAGCCCTTGCTGTTCTAGCCCCCTGCCATTCATTTCAACCCCATTTTGCTCCTAGACATCATAACATAGAGAACAGCAACCCTCATTGTGCACTTTTTGAATTACCAATCTACAGAATTTGTGAACGTAATAAAATGGTTATTTTTTTTTAACACTACTAAGTTTTGGGATAGTTTGCTATGCAGCAATAGATAACCTGTACACCTGATAATGCTGATTCATGAGCCATTTAGGATTCTGATTCAAGTCAGGTTAGTTCTGGGATTTCTTCTCCACAGGCTTAAGATTGTTTATTCCAATCTGTTAGGTCCTTCGTTACTAGTAAAACTATGGTTTCTATAATCTCTTTTCCTGCATTCCCAGTTTTTCTACATGTAGGCCTTAGACAAATAAATCCCTTTCATTTCACATTCAAGGAATGCATAGTAGGTACATACATTCTAGCCACCTTTACCTGAAAGCCTATTGTTATTTGTAAACACCTAATCTTGTTCATATATCCTCCATTGAACTCCATATAGAATGATTATCATGAGGTGAGGTTTATTATGTTTTGTTAGTGGTGTTGAACACATCCGGGCTAAAGAAACTTTCCACATTCCTGGTGGGTATTGCTGCTGGTGATCCTGATATTCCTTTGTTTACTGCTGTGAATAGCCCAGGATTTCTTCATTTGAACTCTGTCTGATATTTAGAGATTTTTTTTTTTTGCCTCACAGAACTATTTTAATTTCTAAATAACCCACTGAAAAATGTAACCAATAACAATGTCATTGAAGTATGTGCCTCTGCAGCAACTCTTTTTCTATAAGAAGTTAAAACACCTCAAGTGGTGTACATATTGATTTCATTTTAGCAGTCGTGTAAAGCGAAAACTTGAAAGCAGTGTGGAGATGCCACCTCACCATTGTTTAGAACTTCCATGAGACCTTGTTTTCTTGGGTAAGTCTTAACACTTCAGCCTAATAGCTAAGCCCACTCATCAGATTTGACCTGAAATTGTATTTACTTCCTACTGGTCCAGTGGTGTCTTTTCAACAGTGCCTCGTGTAAGACAGTCTTTTGATCATCTTTTGAATCCAGCTCAAGTTTTATTTCTTCAAAGAAACCTTATACAGTGGAATGAAAAGAGAGCTGTACTCATCTCAGAAGAGCTACATTCATATACCAGCTCCTTCTCTAAAGTCTTGGTTCGTTTCCTCAGAAGTTTGCGGTAATTTGTTATAATCTCTAAATACAGTGTTCCTCATCTCTCCTCTATAAATGAAAATAATAATACTTTCTCAATGTTTTCCTGGGACTGTTAGAAAAGGTAACGATGTTAAAATATTTGTACACAATTGTAATGAGCTAATGAAAGCAATAAACCACAGGGACAATTACCAACAGCAATTGCCTAGAGTCTTGTACTTCACATATCTAATGCGTATCTGGCTCAATTTTATGTTTTCACCCTTGTTTTACTTTCTTCCTCAATGAATTTACATGAACATGCTTTATGTGTTTCTGGAAGAGTTTTGATTAAATACAAATATAAATTTAAAATAAATTAATGAAAGATGTTTAGCCTACATATTATGCTTTGAATTCTATTTATTAATATTTATGTTTCTAGACCATATCATGTTAGGTCATACATCATATGAGTATTATATTGCCAAATTAATTATGATCAACTGAAAGATAGGTAACTTGTATCATGTATTTTTTTGTGTCTTTCTTCCAAATCCAACTGGTTTCAGATGGGCAATAAGTGATTTCTAAATGCACACAGAATATATTTGGCAAAACAGTTTCCAGTACAATGCCAGGCAGGGATTTGGAGGAAAAAGCAAACAAACAAACAAACAAAAAAAGTAGTTTATCTTACAGATCTAGGATTTATGACATAATTTTATACCAACCAATGGCTTCCTCATTTGCATTTATGCAATTTTTCCAACCTTCCTACTAAAATATATTTTTTCCTAAATATATTCTGGTTTTGTACTCAAATATTTATTCTTACCCCTAATGACTCACTTTCAACTGGTTTTAAGTTGTCTGAAACATTTCCTTGTTTATTCCAAAACAACATTCAACACAACTACCTGATTTTGTCCGTATTTGTTTCATTAATCCTTGAACATTGGTATTGGTCTGTAATTTTAAAACAAAATTGTAGCTGGTAGAAGTTTGCAAATAAACCACAAAGTACTAGAGAAAGAGTGATCCTATGTCTCAGAAGAGTTAACACCTGGCCTTATTAACTTAATGATACAAATTATCTAGATAGCTTAAAGTAGACTATGGTGAATAATGCATCTATTGAAATTATATTTTACTGCACATTTTCCATGGAGCCAATTCACACAGTTGACATGAAATGCTTATATAATCTTTATTTGTAGAGAAAATAAACCTCTACAATCTAAATCATCACAGATTCTTAACACATGACGGGCACATTAGTTCGCCTTCTGTTGGGTAGCCCTAAAACTGTTTTCCTCTCACAAAATGTATTTTTTCTGTTCCAACATCCAGAATGGAAAGATTCAAACTTTCCTCAATGGAAAGCCTGTCTGGAAGAATATCTCCAGCAACTATGCGTCCTATGAATGGCCTTATCTACCCGTATTGTAGGAATCCATTTTCAGTATTCCCAGGCTTTTTGGCAATAGGTGATATGCAAATGAGAAGCACGAAATCATGGCAAACATCTATTATTAGTGCTCTGCTGCACCACTCATCTTCACTGTGCAGGCCTCTAGGCTTAAGTGAATAATAATCTAATTCAATTAAAAGTGCATCTAGAGAACCATGTAAATTTATACTTAGTGTTGATAACATGTTTTGTAGCTTTTAATATTTCCTCTTATGTACTATTCATAACCATCTTTGCAGTCTCTCTCTCTAAACAGTTTCCTGGTGTTTCTTACCCCAGCCATTCAATTTAAAATTTTAGCCAAAGTGTTTGTTTCATGTTTGTAGTATTGAAAGTGAATAAAACAAATGACACACCTACCTTGTTACACAGATTAAATATAAGCTTCTTCCAGAACAATCCTTTTGCGAGATTAATATCTCATTAGTGAGTGGTATGAATATCTATCAATATTTAACAGAAAAGATTCTGACTTTGAATTCTATTCACCAATAATTAACACCCATACTGATGTTGTAAACGAAAGGATTTTGCATTCATTTTGTTGGCAGAATGATTTGAGACCAAGGAGGAAATGCCATTTGACAACCTCTGCACATTCTTCATTCTAGGGAGAAATGCATTCTGCTGGCTGTCCAATCAATTATGCAGACAAAATGAATTTCATCATAATTCTGTCAACAAAATGCTAACTTGGTTAAATTATTCTCTCCACAAAATGAATTAACTTAAAAATCCTTTTGTCCACAAAATAGATTTAAGCATTTAGTGAAGCCTTGTAAATACTATTGTCTGTTAGTTTAGTATGTGTAATGCAAATATGTGGATTGCCTATGTCAGCATACTTAGTTCTTCAGAGGTTATGGACTTGTCTGGTGCAGCTTCCCTTTTTCATTTACAGTCAAGTGGAGAGCAAGGTCGATTATCTAGAGAACAGTGTTTGGTAGATAAATGTGGCATTGTCCAAAAGTACTGTAAGTTAGATCCATTTGAACATCATGCACTTTTATAAAGTATAATTTAATAGGCTTGCCATCTAAATCTTTAATTAACGGCTTCAAATTCAACAAGTCATTTTCGAGATAATTTTTTGTAAAGAAGAGACTGTTGACAAGTTGCTGCCAAAGGAAAACTCTTTAAACATACACTGTATCATTTAAAAAGTATCCATGACCACCTTCTAGAATATTATTCTCCTATTTGATCATATTAGTGTTTTTAAATAAATGACTTGGTAAATGCATGAATGGTGAATTATGTAATAATCTAAAAAAATTAATTGGACCAAGCTTAGCTTACTTCATAACATCCTTTTCAAAGGATTGTTCAACAACCTGATATCCAGAAACATACTATTTGATATTCACTTATTGACTTTACTTGTTTATTAAAATATGAAATAGTAGTTTAAGAGTAATATTTTTCCTTTTGATTCCTATATTTATTCAATCCTGTAGACTGGCATGTGTCACCAAACCTAAATCCAACTAGAACAGAGAGTTTTTAAAGTATTAAATATCATCTTTTCTTTCTATACTTTATTGGCTTTATTTAATAGGCTTGCCTATTAAATATTAACTTCTCTTATACTATTAACTTCTCTTATTCCAGTAGTTGTCAAATTATTTCATGTGAAAAATGATCATGTTTCATATCACACCTTTACAGGATTTTTTTTTGTTCAACTGGAATAGAATAGGCAGAAAAAGAGAGTTAATAGGAAATTAATTAGATAGCTTTTGTAGAAAATGTTTATGATCTAGAAGCATAAAGTTTAGGGGAATTCCAGTAATGGTAACAATATGAAAAAGAGGTGCCTTTCCAAAACATTGCCTAAAAACCAATAAATATATATTGTTGGGGTTTAAAAAATTAAAATGTTGTGACAATTCTGTATCACTTTAAAAAAATAATGTCTTGAACATACACGTGCATGTATCCTTTTGGTAGAATGACTGATTTTCCTTTGCGCATATACCCAGTAATGGGATTCTTGGGTCTAATTGTAGTTCAACTCTTAGTTCTTTGGGAAATCTCCAAACTGTTCTCCATAGTGGATAGACTAATATACAGTCCCACCAATAATGTATATGTATTCCTTTTCCTCTGCAGCCTCACCAACATCTGCTATTTTCTGACTTTTTAACAAAAGCCATTCTGACTGGTGTGAGATGGTATCTCATTGTGGTTTTGATTTGCATTTCTCTAATGATTAGTAATGATGAGTATTTTTCATATATTCACTGACTGTGTGTATTATCCTATTTTGGAAGTGTCATTCCATGTCCTTGCCTACTTTTTAATGGGGTTGTTTTTTGCTTGTTGATTTAAGTCTCTTATAGATTCTGGATATTAGGCCTTTGTTGGATGCATAGTATGCAAATATTTTCTCCCATTCAATAGGTTGTCTATTTCCTTGATAGTTTCTCTTGCTGTGCAGAAGCTCTTTAATTAGACCTCACTTTCAATTTTTGTTTCTGTTACAATTGCTTTTGAGGACTTGGCCATAAATTCTTTTTCAAGTCCAATATTGAGAAGGATATGTCCTGGGTTTTCTTCTAGCACTATCCACAATAACAGAAACATGGAATAAAACCAGGTGCCCATCAACAGTTGATATGGTTTGGCTGTGTTCCTGCCCAAATCTCATCTTGAATTGTAGATCCTATGATCCCCATATGTCATGGGAGGGACCCAGTGGGAGGTAATTTAATCATGGGGGCGGTTACCCTCATGCTGTTCTCAGGATAGTGAGTGAGTTCTTATGAGATCTGATGGTTTTATAAGGGGCTTTTTCCCCTTTTGCTTGGCACTTCTCCTCCCACCATGTGAAGAAAGACATGTTTCCTTCCCCTTCTGCTACAATTATAAGTTTCGTAAGGCCTCCCCAGCCATGTGGAACTGTGAGTCAATTATACCTCTTTATAAATTACCCAGTCTTGAGCAGTTCTTGTAGCAACATGAAAACAAACTAATACAACAGTGGACTAGATAAAGAAAATATGGTATATATACACCATGGAATACTACACAGCTACAAAAAAGAATGAAATCATGTCCTGGAGGCCATTATCTTAAATGAAAGAATGCAGAAACAGAAAACCATATATCGAATGTCATCACTTATAAGTAGGAGCTCAACATTAAGTACACATGGACATAAAGATGGGAACAGTAGACACTGAGGACTACTAGAGGTGAAAGAAATGGAAGGGCAAAGGGCTGAAAAATCACCTACTGGCTACTATGCTCCCTAAAAGGGTGATGGGTTCAGTCATACCCCAAACCTCATCATCATTCAATATACCTTTGTAATAAACCTGCCCATGTACTGCCTGATTCTAAAAAGTTGAAAAAGAAAAATAACAACAATAACAAACAATGTCTCCAATGGTTTTACTGTCAGAGTGAAATAAACATATCAATAAATGTAGAGATCAGCAGATTTTCTTTCTGGATACGAAAAAGATGCAATAAAACCATTTAAGTGTATATGTGAACTGAATTTTACCACTGGGTTTAGACTTGAAATAAAATGAAAATCAATAATAAAGTTCAGAATTATTTTTTCTTTTTGTGTAGTTTTGTTTCTAATAACTCCATTGCTATATTCCTAACATGAGAGCAGAGACTGGCGGCACTTAGCAGATTTTCAACAATCATTTGTTGAATGATCAAATGAACAATCATAAATTCTCCTTCTCTGAAAGTACACCATATTTCCTGTAACTTAACCGAGATATACAACATTTCGCTTTCTCCCTAAAAATGTTAATCTTCTGTCATAAATAACAGCAATGGGTGAAGAAAAGCAGCAAGTAAAAAACATTGCTAGACTCGTCTACTTTTGACAACAGAGGCAAAATTCTCATTTGCAGAAATAAAAACTAGAGTTCTAATGACATTTGCTCCTGTTTGGGCCAAATATATGCATAAGAATTGGGTTCCCTTCTTTTTCCATAAGACCATTTTCTATTCTGTTATATATGGAAGACACAAACTTTAAAAACTATTGTATTTAAGAGAGTCCAGATAATATAATCCAAGCCATACTACTAATAATAACAAAGTTAAGGACAGCGGTGACTAAAAATGGGACAGTTAAGTCCTATGAAATACTTCAAAATTTCTAGAAAAAAGAATGACTAGCTGGAAGCTTGTAGATGACTAAATGCACATGGATTATCATTCTCAAATTTTGAATACTTGAAAACATTGTAATCCAATACTATTATCATGAGTCTCAAAATCTCTGCTACAGTGACATTTTCTTTTACAATTTTATAGTCACAAATTAAGACTGGCATATATATACATCTATTTATATATGTATGTATATATTTGTTTATACATATGCCTATATTTACCTACATATATTTGCATAATTCTATATCTAAGTCCTGTTTTATTTTAGGATATAAACGAAATTATATATATATTATTGACATCATATATCACATATATATCACAAAGACAGCACTAATGATTAAACGTTGGTCACATGGTCCATAGGCTGATTCAAAACACATTATATACAATGCATAGTATTTATTAATTATGTTAATTTTCTACTATAGATGTTTGGCAATATAAAAATGATAATAGCAATTATCTCTGCTTCCTTTTTATATTTTACTTTTGGGTTTTTCAACCATAGCACATATTGCTTTTTAATAAAAAAGCATTTAAAAATAAAATATATTTTTATAAACTCAGCTTAAATATATATATATAAATAATATCATAAGGCTTGGCACAGTGGCTCATGCCTGTAATCCCAGCACTTTAGGAGGCTGAGGTGGGTAGATCACCTGAGCCCAGGAGTTCAAGACCAGCCTGGCCAACAGGACAAAACCCTGTCCCCACAAAAAATACAAAAAATTGCTGGGCGTGGTAGTGCACACCTGTAATCCTAGCTACTTGGGAGGCTGAGGTACAAGAATTGCTTGAACCCAGGAGGCAGAGGTTGCAGTGAGCTGAGATTGCACCACTGCACTTCAGCCTGGGTGACAGCGAGACTCTGTTTCAAAAAATAAAAAATAAAAATAAATAATACATATTTTAATACACTACATTAACAATAATTTTTTAGGCTAATATTATATAGTATACGTGAGTGTGCATGGATATCTTTGTGAATGTGGTGTGGCAAGGGGAATAAGGAAACATACTCTCGTATTATGTCATACTAAATACCGATTATCACTTTGTGTAGAAATAATACCAAAATGGGCCGGGCGAGGCGGCTCACGCCTGTAATCCCGGCACTTTGGGAGACCGAGGCGGACGGATCACGAGGTCAGGAGATCAAGACCATCCTGGCTAACAAGGTGAAACCCCGTCTCTACTAAAAATACAAAAATTAGACAGGCGTGGTAGCGGGCGCCTGTAGTCTCAGCTATTCGGGAGGCTGAGGCAGGAGAATGGCGTGAACCCAGGAGGCGGAGCTTGCAGTGAGCCGAGATCGTGCCACTGCACTCCAGCCTGGGCGACAGAGCGAGACTCCGTCTCAGAAAAAAAAAAAAAAAAAAAAAAGAATACCAAAATGCTTGTAAACTTTAGGGGTCATGTATGTAGTCTTGCCCAATTCTACAGTGTAGAGCCAAGTTTGACCAAGATAAACTCCTTTATAACATGACACCATATTTATACTCCCACACCAATCAGTCATTGGAGATGTACCTCCCAGGGAAGGGACATAACCATGAGCAAGCAGGCTTTCTGAACCTGAGGCAATCCTTGAAGGGGCTGTCTGCTGACAATATTCCCAGCAGCTGGAGAAAGAAGACTTTCATCAATTAGGGATCTGAAGGGAACATCACAAAATTCACAATGAACCTTTTGCACCAATCCAATCCTTCAGCTCCAATAACCTATAAACAGTATATTTTCTAAGGATCAAGTTGTTTAAAATGATACAGTTGTGTGTTTACGTGCATAGAAGAAAGTGTGAAAAGTAAGAGACAGGGATCTTTAGACATGCACTCCTGATCAGGCTCGAGCACTCCAAGGTCCCATCTTGTCTAAAGTTTCCTTGCCAAGTTTGAGGTGAAAAAGTTTCTGTTCATTTTTCGTGGACTTCTGAGTTATAATTAGTGGATCCATGATATAGTCACATATTCATAGAAACAGTAAAGTCTAAATCCATACTGAGGAAGGAAAATATTTTTCCTAATTGCAATATTAGCTACATAGATTTCTGGCCAAAAATAATACAGATTTATAGTACTGAACTGATCAGGATTGGTCCATTTTATTTAATCTTCTTCTTTCAGACTGTATCTTAGACCTGAGGCAGAGGAAATTGTCTTCTTACCTTTATTTGCCTGGAGAAATTATATTCTTTTTTCAGGATTAAGCATAGGTGCTATGTTCTCCAGTGAGCTTTTCCTAATTCTCAATATGAATTGAAACACTCTCTTTTGTGTTCATATAGTATTCAGTGAATCATTCCAATTATGTATCTTATCATACTAAAATTACCTTTACTTATAGAACTCTTATCCACTGGAATGAAAATTCCTTAGACTTCAGGGCTGTTTCTTAAAATGTATTTTTGTCTTAGCAGTAATGAAACCACTAGCTATCACATAGAAGACATTTGCTATTGAATAGGAAGATGGCAGATTCTGCACAACCTCATTCCTGGATAAAAAGTGTGCTCCCAAATAGAGGATTTGGGCGGAAAATGAATTGATTAGTGTCTAGTTTCCATTAGTTGAAAGCCCACTGTATGCTGGGCTGGGAGATGGGCAGTGTTAACGTTACCACTTTGCATCTACATGTTGATTCCTTTATAGAGCTATACAACAGATATAGAAACTGAGGCATAAAGAAGTTAACAAAAAAATAAACATGTTATGGGTAACACTGTTAGTGAAGGATAGACATGAGAACCAAGTGATCTGATAGTTTTTCTTTTTTTTTTAACATAGACCTCCAGAGAATTCAGCTGCCCAAAGTTGGTGAAGTTGGTGAAATGCATTAATTTTTTAGCCAATAGGGTCAAATGAAATATTGTATGGAAAAGTGGTTAGCAAGTGACAATTTAGTTTCTAAAACTCCTGGTTGTCATAATAATAATTGTTGTTATTTTGTGAAGCTTTTGTGCTTCCAGGTTTTTTTATTGTTATTAAAAAGGCTCACATAACTAATGTCCTGTTCCACAGGGAAGGCTAATGTTGGTTAGAAAGCTTATTTCTATTATACTTTCTGTCAGCACAAGAAAAAGAAAGAAAAAGTGCTTCTATATGGATGTTTTCTATTTTGTATTATAATTACTATCTATTCCAGCAATTGCATTTTTGAAAGAAATATTACAAAAGAAGCAGGCTATGGTAAGCAAAGAAGCATATTGGTGGTGATAACTTCATGCGAATAGTGACAGTCTTTTGAGTTGCCAGCATTACACAATAAACCATGCTGGAACTAAAATAACTTGAGATTGGCTACATTGTATCACTAAATACCGTTTCTCATCTACATCTTCTTGTACAGGCTGAGAAGTTAACGTTTAGCAGAAGTGAAAGTGAACAATAACAGGAGCAAAATGTTGCATTAATATTTAATGTAATACTTTTTGAGAGTATAAAGGGAATAACACCATTCAAATGCAAATGTAGTCTCTAAGGATGATGTTTTACTGAGAATACCTTTATTTTGCTGAAGTTTTCCTTGTGAGAAATAAGAACACTGTAAATAACTGTAAGCTTAGCTTCTAACATTTTTATATGAGTCTGTGATGGTCTTCTCACTTTTTCTATAGTTCTCTAAAACAGTAGTTCCTAAACTTTGGAATTTCACACATCAGTAAATAAGGATATTTCTTTTAAAACTACCATATAATGTTAACCATTATTTAATAAAAGTAATTTTAACCCAATAATTACAAAATAAATGATAGTCCTATAATTGAACGTATTTGGTTTTATGAAATACTATGCAAATAGTTCTTTTCTCTTCCTTCCTTTGCATTCAAACACACAAAATCTATGCTTGGCATACAAAACTAATTCTCATTTTCATCTCAATTGAAAAAAATATACACAGATAGTCCTTGGATTCAAAGTGGTGTTTTTTTGTTTGTTTGTTTGTTTGTTTTTGAAATGGAGTCTCCCTCTCTTGCCAGGCTGGAGTGCAGGAGCACGATCTCGGCTCACTATAACCTCTGCCTCCCAGATTCAAGTGATTCCCCTGTCTCAGCCTCCCAAGTAGCTGGGACTACAGGTGCATGCCACCATGCCCAGCTAATTTTTGTATTTTTAATAGAGACGGGGTTTCACCATGTTGGCCAAGATGGTCTTGATCTCTTGACCTCGTGATCTGCCTGCCTCAGCCTCCCAAAGTGTTGGGATTACCGGCCTGAGCCACTGCCCCTGGCCCTGGTGTGTTTTTATAAACTAATTCACTTCTTATTTAACCTTATTTGATTTCAATGAAAAAGTCAAATACCTGAGAAAGTTCACTCTGCTTGGTGTTCACAGAATTTACTAAATCAGAATATATTCTAGGCCTCAGTTTACTTGATTGCATATTTCAAAAAGTAGATTCATATTGAAATGCTAAATTTCAATAAGAAACAAATGTTCTATAAAAGAAATCAATCGAACATTTTATAACTTAGGAAAATTGACTATTCTTCTAAGAGATTTGGACCAGAGAGTGTTTCTTTAATGATAAAATCATTTTATCTTTTTCTTGTTATTTACAGAACAGAATGAAAAAGGCAGCCTAATTCCCTAAGCTATTATATCACAACATCTGAATTTATGCATATGTTCAAAATGGCTTCACAAGCTTGCAGAGAAGGACATTACTGTCAGTGGGAGATATGATTCACTACTTTAATAAGCTCTGTTTATGGATTTCAAGACAAATAAAACATATATGATCTCCAGTAAGCAAGTGGGTAAATAACAGTTGAAATAAATTGGTTAAGAGAGAATTTCTCCCTAATCCCTATGATTCTGATAAACTCATTTCAGGAAACTATATTCATTCCAAGGAAAATAAAGAATAAATAAGAAAGAATTTTAGAGCTGAACAAAACTAATTAAGGATTTTTGTGAGAAAAAAATAAATCACTTGGCTAAATAGCAACCAAATAAAGTTTACATTAAGCAACTATGAATACTCACCAGGCATAAATACAAAAGAAACAAATTATTTGGCAGACTGCATGGAAACATAAGTAAAAACAGCTAATACCAAATGATTTTCTCAAAGAAATCTTAGATAAATAATTTTCAGAGATTGAAGAAGTAGACTGTTCAACTCTGAATCGAGCATTTTTAAATTCCAAAACACTATGCTTTCTCGTTATTCACATAACTCCAAAGAAAAAGACAGAACACTTGAGTAGTTCCTGTCAAAAGTTTTACACTTCAGTGTTCATATATTTACCTACAGGTTGTGTGCAAGACAACTCTGGTGAGACTGTGTATCCAGAAACTCCTCAGGGCAGCCCCCATCCCTGCTGTCTTATTCCGGACCATGCTATGCTAATTAAGTATAGTCAGTAACAGGACTAAACTCTCTTTCCGAGAATGGCTGGGATCCAGAAAGAAGACAACTGAAGGAACTTGTCTGAAGGATCAGGTATTAGGAGGGTATCAAGACAGCAAGTCATAAAGAAAGGAAGGCGTGTGTGTGTGTGGGTGTGTGTGATGAGCAGCAGATAATGGCAGAACAGTGTTAAATGAGCAGAGCGCAGGATTGTGAGTTTTAGGTCAAAGTAGAAGAGCTGGCATCAGTGAAAAATGAGACTCCAATAAGGACACCCGATTTTTTCAGAGTGTAAGAAAGACCCTGAAACTAGAGGAGCTGAGGCAGTTAATATGGAATCAAGTCAGGGAATTGGGCACATGAATATACACTGAAACTCCATAGACAGGGATACAGGGAAGAGAACAGGGGCTTAGTCATAGGAGAACAATGAAAACTCCAAAACTCAGAGTACTAAAAGTACAACAAATGCCACAATGACAGTAAAAGACAAGGCTGATTCATAAGCTTTTAAGATATTCATAGTTTTATTACTTGAAAGCCTTCTTATAATCTGAACAGAGTCCAGATCTGTGGCAAAAATGAAGCAGAAAATAAGACTTAATTCGGCAGTCCTTAAATATTCTAATCTTTTTTGTTGTCGTTTTTCTTTTTTTTATGAGACAGAATCTCACTCTGTCGTCCAGGCTGGAGTGCGGTGGTGCAATCTCTGCTCACTGCCATCTCCACTACTTGGGTTCAAGTGATTCTCGTTTCAGCCCCTAGAGTAGCTGGGGCTACAAGCGCCCACCACCACGCCCAGCTAATTTTTATAGTTTCAGTGGAGATGGAGTTTCGCCACATTGGCCAGGCTGGTCTTCAACCCCCGACCTCAGGGAAAGATTCTAATCTTTGTGACAGGATCCCCAAAGATCTGTACATTTCCTCAGTTGTAGTAACAGCAGTCTTTCAGCTTTCAAGTTATCTCACAACTAAGTCAGCTAGGCATTATACAATTCTTCCCAAGGATCTGTTGGATGAAGAGAAGCTGGTCACAGGAAGTACTAGTAGTATGAGGATCGAAAGTACAGTATAGGTAGTATTAGCTTCTAAGTCTTCTGTACTGGCATCCAGTGACATACTGCCACAACTTGCCTAGCAAGTTACTGTTTATCTTGTAAGTTTATTTACCTCAGAGGAAAATGTTAGAGTTCAAATCAATTTAACTCATTTTATTCCATTCACAATTATTTATTGGTTATTATCATGTGGCAGGCATTGTACTAGGGCTTAGAATACAGACATGAATAAAATTATTGTTTTCAAAACCCAAAGTAGTCTAGCAAAGAAATACACATAAACATCACATACATCTCACAGTATATTTTTATGACTCCTTTATAAATGCAGCAGTAGGACCATGCATACTGTAACAAACTCATTAACAAAGACAAAAGCACAGAGTGTGAGTGATTAACTCTGAGGGCCTTTTTTTTCTTTTTTGAGACAGGTCTCGCTCTGTCGCCCAGGTGGTGTGATCACAGCTCACTGAAGCCTCCACCTCCTGGGCTGTTAGAGGGCTATTGGAAAAGGTCAACGATGAACTCCCCACTGACATTAAAATTTGTCTAATCTCTTCAAAACACAAAATTGGGTTGTGTCATAATTGGGTCATTACCAGTTTTTTATGCGGCGGGGAGGAGTCTATGAAAGAATAGGTTGAATTATTTTGTCAAGTTTTAAAAGTTAAGAATTGTTTACCAGGCTGGGCGTGGTGGCTCACGCCTGTAACGCCAGCACTTTGGGAGGCCGAGGTGGGTAGATCCCCTGAGATCAGGAGTTCGAGACCAGCCTGGCCAACATGGGGTGAAACTCTATCTCTACTAAAATACAAAAATTAGCCAGGGGTGGTGGCAGGTGCCCATAATCGCAGCTAGTCGGGAGGCTGAGGGAGGAGAATTTCTTGATCCCAGGAGGCAGAGGTTGCAGTGAGCCAACATCACGTCATTGCACTCCAGCCTGGGAAACGAGAGTGAAACTCCACCTCAAAAAAAAAAAAAAAAAAAAGCAAAAAACAAAAAAAAAAAACAGAAGAATGGTTTACCAGCATTTCCAGACTTGCCTTCTTATTCCCTTTTCCACCTGCTTTGGTGTCACAAATCATAATACCATTTTATCTAGAGCAAATGCACAAAGTGTCATAGTCAATTTGTAGTGTCCGATGATAGCCCTCAGCTGTAGGATAAGAAGTTTTAGGAACTGAAAGAGCCATTACATAGACAAAGACAATAAAGTAGGAGAGGGAATCCTAAAATCCCCCAATTCTTAAGCCAACAAAAACAAAAACGAAACAAAACAAAACCAAAAAAACCCAAAAACTGATTTGAAGACTGTAAGGCAAAAATGTGATTTTTCCTTTTTGTAATACGTTCAATTAAAAACTTCATATATAAGTGATTTAACGTTTTAATAATGTTTAAACTATAGTTCTACAAACCTAACTAGAGCCAAGTGCAGTATTTAAATATTCATTGAATAAAGTAATGGATGAGTTGGAGAAAGAATTACACTATATAACACTACAAATTGAGATCAAAAGGATTATCTTAATATTCCTAACCTATCCTAATGGGATTATTTTTGACCTTGGAAAGGGAATCAAAGTGATCTCTGACTATAGCATTTTTACAGCAAGAGATAACCTTATCTAATTCAGGGAGGTAGTAGAGCTGATTATGCTGATCAAACTGTACAAATGAGGAGTGCTGAATTACAGTCTTCAACATGCTGCTACATTGCATTGTGACCTTGTGCAAATCACTTAATCCTGGTTTCTGCACTGGGAAAAGTACATAGAATTTACAGGCAGGTTAAAAATTTGGGTAACTTTATACCACAAGTCTTTGCAATAATAAGAATAATAATAATGTTGTCAGAGTTTAAGAACCTTCGATAAAAAAATTAATCATGACTAGTTATATTTATTCATTATCATTTTTAGTTGTAAATATGGACTTTCTTTATAAAGCTAATAGGAATGTGAAACAGTCTCTAAAGAATTGGTTTTACCATTTTTGAAATTTTCCTCCACAGAAACTTTAAGGATTCTAACATTCCTAAATTGGTGCAGAGTGGTCTCATTTCAACTCAAAAATACTGACCTTTTTTGGGATTCTGATTGAACTCTGGAGTGAAAAAAGCAAAATTAAGTTACACTGATTATAGATGGGCATTAAAAGGTTATTCGTACTTTCTGCAAAGGGACAGTTATAGGCAAAGCATGTGTTCAACTGAAGCTGCAGTGTCTGATTGGGTGATCAGGCACAGCAATTCTAATCTCATCTTGCACTCTGTTGTTGATTGCTGTTCTTTGTGTTATGGCTACAAAATCCCAGAATAGAAGTTACAGGATGAAGATGCCATCAGAGATTATAAAAATGAATTTGATTTTATATAGCATCTTTCATGTGCCTTGTGTTTTAAAAATGGAAAACTCATGAAAGATATCTGAATGACAGAAACGGAAATGAACATCACTATTTTCAGAACAGACATAATCCAGTCCAATGGCAATGGAAACTTTTCCCACAAGAACAAGTGAAACGCAGTCTACTCTAGAGGCATTTGCAGGCATTGAAGGACCTGTGTCTCTATAAAAAGAGCTTTTGGCTACATTCTGAAACTGCTAATAAGAATACTGAGACCACTTCGGTTTTATTTTTATGTGGGAAAAATTCCATAGAATTGTTTATAAAACACTGTCTTACTGGCTTTCTTATCTTTAACCAGTAGATGAAAATAATAGCAAAGCTGGTGTTTCTAGTATTCACAACATGAGAACAAAAAGAATATGGCAGGACTCAGTCTAATTCCAATAGCATTCTTAAGAAGTAAAATGTAATTGCTCACCGTTGAGCCAATTATATTAATATTTTGTAATGCCAAACCAAGACATATTTAATGCCTCAGCAATCTAGAGAGGGGGTTGAAAAATTCCAATGTAACGTAATTTCTCTTGTTCTTGTCTTATAATTAAGCATTTGTTATTAAACCTATCTCAGGAGGTATTTGGGGAACAAAGAAAAACATGATTAGATGCAAAATGCCTTATGCTAAAAATGATGAGACAATAAGATAATATTCACATACTCAGATGGATATTCTTTAGGAAAATCTTCCCTAACCACTGCCACCTCTCCTATGAGATCAGGACACCTGCTGTATGTTCTCATAATGCTGTACTTCTCCTTCATGGTAGTTGAAATGATTACAATACTACCTCTGATTAGAATCTGTCTTGCTGCTAGACCATAACCTTCAGGTATTGTTTGCCATCATGTTGTCAGTAATTAGCACAAAGTATATTCAGTTAATACTTATTGAAATGAATAATTTCAGAAAGAAGCAATCTTATCACTTACAAACCACTATCATCTAACTCCTATTCCTAAATATACCAATTTCAAAAGGGCATTGTCTTTGTTATAGATTCCAGAGTTTAACCTTGTTAATTGGAGCAAATAAAGCAAACAAAAGTATCTAAAGCATTAAGAGACAGCATTTTCAGTCAGCTCACTTTCTTTTCCTGTAAAATCTTTATTGGCAATTTCTGCATACCCAACTCAGAAAGGTCAAGTGCTCCTAATCCAGCTGCTTCCTAACGGGAGACACTCTGCTTTACTGAGAGACCATTTTCAGCTCATTTAAAACACTTCTGGACAGAAAGGGAAGAAGCAGTGTAACCAGGGGGATTCACCTACTAAAAGATTTCCCTGTAAGTAACAAAAATTTTAGGACAAAACTATGGTAATACTATTTTAAAGATGTAATTATATAGTGCTTTTCTGCCTAGGGGTTCAAGACATTATTACATTTGTCCTCCCAAGTAGCTTTCTAAAAATTACAAATGGCTCATCACACAAAAGCCAAGACAAAAAGCACAATATTAACATTCAGGGGCCATTTTCTTTGTTCAAGTAGATTATTTATTCTCCCATTAAACCTTCATCGTTCAAAAGATACTGACTGAAAAACCACAATTATGCCTGTTTCTTAAATAAAAATAATCAGAATCTATAGCTCATTTATCCTAATAGTGATTTTGTATCATTTTTATCATAGTCTAAGAATCCTGGCCAAAAAAGAAAAAAAAAGAGATACTCATAAAAATTATCTGGGGAGTTAAGTGTATATATGTTTATATTTTTACTAATAGAAAAATTAGATTGAAATAGGTAGGTAGATAGATGTAGATATGATTAACAGATCTTTTAGAATTCAACTTTAAGGAAACTCCATGCCATAAGGCTTAGAGCAGGACAACAAGGACTTCATTTTTAATACAGTCCTTTACAGTATGGCCACTGAGAAAAGATGATAGAGAAACTCAGGGGTGTTGTTTCAATTTTCAAATGAAAAAAATTAAGACTTTAAACTTCTTTTGGATCATTCACAAAGAACTTTTTCAACACAGGTAGTACGACCAGTCCATCCTATTTGATCTGAAATCTTCATCGCTTTTTCAAAGTCAACAGTGTTCTTTGATTGCGTCACAAAAGAGATTTCAAGGAATCCTCTGTTCCTGCATCTTGGCCTGTTGTCCCACTCTTCTACTTCTAGAGACCCTCAATATTTTATTCAAATTTTTTTTTCAGAAAATTTTACTTTTCTCTTTGAAATAAGGAGAGAAAAGATATTGGTCAGGGCAGAATTAGAAATATTTTGACTTATTACTCTCCAGGTGGAAATATTCAGTTTATTTCAGTCTTCACAATAAAGCCCTGTGCCAAGTTTTAAAAATTAATATATTGGCTCCTGAAGTCATTTTTTTCTCCACAAAATTTATAACCATTCACAGTTTTTTTATTACTCAAATCATCAATGCACAAAGCATCTTGTTCTTGCACAAATGAAGGAGCAAGAACATGTGGCCAAAATTGAGAAGTAGGCAAAGTTCATCTTTGTTTCCACAAGATGTCAATTCAGCTGTCTTTTTCTATTCTTTGGAATTCCCATCAAATATTCCTAATTATGTCCTAGTGAGCTAACATTTTCTCTACCATTAATACGGAGAAGTATACAAAATATGTCATCTTCTTTTGATTAAAATGTAGTCAAGTGTATTCAAAATTTTAATATTTAGTTGTGTGAGCAAAGCAAGGAGATAATCAAGAATAAATTAGAATAAATCGATGTTTCATTTAAATTTAACACTGACGAAAAGCGCAATGATGTCTAAGTGACAGCCACTGTGTTATGAACTTGATGTTCATAATAGTGAATACTTAACCGCAACCATATGTGATAGGACGATTATCTGTACTTTGCAGATGAGAAAAATGTAATTCAGTGAAGGTAACTCAATTGCCCAAGATTACACTGCTAGCAAATGGTGGGGTATGGTATAGTTTGATGGAAACCTAGTGTTGTGATTTCAAAGCCTTTTAGTCAGTGCATTACACTAGATGACCCAGAGAAAGCAAGACTGCTTGTTGTCTGTTTAGCTGCTGCATTTTCAGTTAAAAAGAGATCTCTTCAGAGTATAAAGGTCAGAACTATATTAGTACTAAGGAACTAAAGTCCAAAACCAGAGAATACATCCCCAGAGAGCAGTATTTCTTGAAATGGGCTTGTTCTCCTAGGTCCAGACTATTTACATTTTTAGGAAACCAACTGAATTCCAGCCAAGATTACTGAACTGCTTTTTATAATAATGGAAAATCTAGGATAATGAGAGAAGCCTAAAAAAGATTGGAGATAGACAAATACCCTTTAATTTTTAAAAAGTGCTGAAAGTTTTTTTTTTGTTTGTTTGTTTTTTTACAACCTATAGCCTAGTGAACTGGACTTTGATCGTAGGCAAGATTCTCAAACACCAATAAAAGCATGGTTTGTGAACAGCAAAGAGAGAAGAATCAGTAATTACCAGGATATAGCAGGGGTCAAATTCACGTCAAACTTCCCTCTCTTGTTTTAAAACACATAAATTGTTAGGCCTAGAACAATATGGTGGGGGAAGGTATACTTGGAACTCAGCTAGATACTTGATAAATAGGTAACGTCTTTTCAGCCAAGATGGAGTGATAGAGGCTGTTTGAGGAAAAAAAATCATTAGATAAGTACCTCGGTGAGATAATAACTGTATGTCATTTGAAATAGTCTCCTATGGCTTGTCAGTCATATGACTCTCACTGGGCATTGCTGTAATAAAAATTATCTGGGTTTTCATTGAAGCAACTTATGATTTGTATATACATAACATTTACAGATAATGCTGAGATGGTTAGAAAATTAGTTGAAGAAAACATTTTTTTTCAGACTGAACTAATTAAAGGATTTCAATCAAATGAGAAGAATAAAATTGAGACCAGTCTACAATGTAAACATATTTCAAAACAAATATACACATTTTGTCAAATAAATAAAAATCTATTAAAAAGAATAAAATTAAGTCCAAAAATTGAACTCTACAAACATAAGACTGTAGAAGTGTGGCTTAGTAGTAGGACATGTGGGAAAAAGAGCAACTCAAGGATCTTTGTCTAGCACATCATAAATAAGGCACATCATAAATAAAGAATAAGGTGGGAGGAATATAAAAATGGATAAAATAATTAAAAGAAGCATTAAAGGTAGTCAGATAGCTAGAATGATCCAAGTGAGAATTTTACTCTTTTCTACGTAATTTCAGATTCACCTGGAATATTTGGTTTAATTCAGGGCACTACGCTTTAAGTAGCATTTACATAAATCGGTAAGTCTTAAGAAGAGGCAAAGTAGAATGATAGGAGCCAAATACAATTATGAAAAATAAAATAATGATTGCTTAGTTGGGAATAAAGATGATTTACATAGGAATATACAAGCTATCTTTGTATGATGATGAGATGTAATGTAGAAGAATTAATGCAGAATTAGGAAGCTATGTAGACAAAGATATGTAGTTAATACAGGTAGGAAAGAAAAATGCTAGTGTTTATTAAACTCATGTGCATCTGACTCTGTGCTTTCCACTCTGCAGTTGTACCTCACTCTGATCATCAGAGCTCTCAAAGGAAGGAACAAGCTTGGAATTAGTATGCCCTCCATCAGGAGTGCTTAGGCCTAGGTCTACAACCTAGAAGGCCACTCTATGGTGCTTAAATATAGAGAACTTAAGTACAAGGATGGGTTAGGAAAACCTAAGCATTTTTCAACTGGAGTGCTATTGGATTTGTGCAAGAAGTCTTCGTTGTACAGGACTTTGTTACACATTGCAACATATTTAGCACGCTTAGCTCCTGAAGCATTAAATGCTAGTAGTATCCTCCAGTCATTGTGCTTGAGCAAAACTGACAATACTCATTTCCAAGTGTGCCCCGATTGAGCAATTCTCTTATGCTTAAGAACCGCTATACTACTAACATTGAAAGATCTTTTCGATTTCAAATTTGATTGTAATCAGATCATCTATTGAAATATTAAATTTGTACATTGCTATGAACGCTTCAGACTACCATGACTTTGTGTGTCTGAGTTTTGGCCTTCCTTCTATTCCTCCCTTTCTTCACATATTTACTGAGTAGCTGATATGTCAAGTCACTGTCCTTGATACTGCACACACAAGAGTGAACAAAAAAAATGGAGAAAATAAAAGCTGTCTAATGGAATATGCATTCTAGTTGCTGGTGAGGTAGTACTTCTCCCCACATTCCTATGCCACCAAATGCTGAAAGCTTTGCTTTGAAAGGTTAAACCTACCAAAATATTAATCTGGCTTCCCGGAAGAGAAGAGTTGAAGATGGTGCAGATTGTTTGGTTTGAGAGAGTATGACTGGATCCCAGGACACTGAAAGTCAGGGGCAGCTTTTCTAGAATGACACAGATTGAGGTATGCTCCAATTATGAATTAGTGAAAAGAACTGCATGCATAGAAATGAGTGTATGGAGACTCTAAACTAATTTCTGGGGATCTGGAGCTGTAGGGCTCCCTTGAGTTTAGCAAAGAGGTAGCTAGTACTGTCTGGGAGATACCTGTTTTCAAATGGAACATGCAAGTATGAACCAAGTGAGAGAATACAAAGTTGCCTAATAACAGAAGACTGGAAGACCTGCTCACTTTCTTCAACTACATATGCTTTCAGTTTATTTCCCCAAAAATTTGAGGAGAGGCCTGCCAAATGATGTTGGGCTACCCCCTAAAGGGAAGGAATACAAATTAAGCCAAATTTTATTTAGATTTTTTTAAATGATGCTATTGTGTCAGATTACCTGGAATATACGGACTATCATTTTAACAGATAACTTTAAGTATGTTTTGCTTCCTATTACATGAATTTTATGTTTAAGGTAGAACAATTTAAAGGGAGATATGGTAAACAAAAGAATATTCTCTTTGCCTTTAAATCTTGTAATTATTCAAAATGAACCTGACAATTAGCTTTTTAAAATTAATTTGGGTGCCTGGGATGGAGCTGATGAGGGCATTGAAAGAGTGAATGACTTGCAAAATGTTTCTATTTTCTTACAAAAAGTATGTATTTGTGGGGGAGGTGAGTGAAGATTCACTCTTTATAATGTTATCTTCCTTAAAGATTATATATAAAAATGTAAATAACTATGTATTTGAGATAGTTCCTATGTCAGTAAGAAAAACTATATATATATATACATATATATATACACATATATATACATATATATACACATATATATACATATATATACACATATATATACATATATATATACGTATATATACATATATATATACATATATATACATATATATATACATATATATACATATATATATACATATATATATATAAAATGCAGAAATAGTCACAACAGAAATTGACTTAAATAATTACTATGATTAAACACTAAATTTAGCTTTGCATTCTCTGAAAGTGAAGGTAGGAAGACAAAGAAAACATAGATGCCAGTTCAACAAAGAAATTTTTTTGTTTTTCCTTGGCATTATGTAAGTGTTGAGTAAGTGTGTCAACAAGAGAGGGAGATATATATATATATATATATATGATAAATGATAAATATATATTATATATATTTTATATATATTTGATATGTATATCAAATAGAAGTTTAATATATGAACAAGTCTTATATGGAGCTTCCTAATTCAATCTTTAATAAAATTATCCTACATTAGATGATAAATCGTATAATTTTTAGATGTTATTTTTATGTCGTACCTTTCTCTTAAAAATTTCATATTGATTATTATTGATTTAATCTTCTCAGATAAGAACTTGAAAATTTTACCTGTACTGGATTCCCAAATCTAGTCATACACATCTCTTTTACTCTTCAACCTGATCTCTGTGCTTCAGTGAATATGTCTGAATTTTAAAAATTGTATTATAAATAATACTCAATATTTAATATCACCATTAAATATCTTATAAATAGCTAATAGTCAATTATTTTTTCGTTTATCTCTAAAATAGTTTTATGTTTTTTTCTTCCTCTGCCATGTTTATTTTCAAATTTTGACATACTTCTTTTAAATCTATTTTACCTCCTTCAGAACAAGGTTCAAAACTGCCTTCATGTAAGCTTTCTTGATGTGCCACATATCATTTACCTTTATAACTTTTTAGCTCTTGTGTACTTGTTCTCATCATAAATGGTTTTGCATGTTTGATAAAACGTAAGTTTCTAAAAATGAAAGTCCCATATGACATCTCTTTTGAACCGTATTTCCCATTCCCCCTCTTTCCTGAAGACTTCCCATAAATGTTTGTTGATTAAAATTTAGATCAAGCAATTTTAACTTGCACTAGAATAGTAGAACTCACATTTTTACTTCATGAGATTCTCCATTAGGAATGCTAAACTTGCTTCCCCATATAATTAAATACTTTGCTTTTCAAAGAGGCAGAGAAATAATTGCAGGTAAGTAGAAAAAAGGTTACTGACACAAAGACAAAATTAGTTTCAGAGTGGTCCTCTATCCAGTCAGGCAACAAGTTGCCTTGGCATGAAGGTTAAAAAAAAAGCTTATGAAGTAAGTGTATTGAATAATCCATAAACTAAATTTCTAAAGTTATCAATTTTTAAGTTAATTTTACTTCCATAATTTATTCAATACTTAAAAGTTATTAAATTCTAACTTGTACTCAAGTGTATTTTGCCACTCTAATGGTTAGCAACGCTGAATTCGAGTTTATCATTTTTTTAAGACATAAGAAATACAGTAAGTAATACTTTTGGTATGGACTTTACTTTTTATTTTTTTTTTTTAAGGATTGGATATCAACCTAACTCCTTGCTAAATGTTATTGGGATAGAAGAGAATTACAGTGCTTGATATCAAGAGTGCATAAATTTTTGGAAAGGCAAGATTTTCATAAAGTCATTGCATAGAAAACAAATAGAACACATTGATAAATATGATATAAAGCAAGTTTTGGCAAAATTTAAGATGTGTGATGTAAAGCAGTTGCAAAGGGAGTTAGGTACAATCACAGAAGTGAGGTGTCGTAACAATGACAACGCTGTACATAAGGCTCTGTTAAGTGTCGGAAAAGCAGATGAAAGTGGGTATGTTAGAACTAGGATAATTCCATGAGCAAAGTACAAGGATCTGAGTGATTGTGGTTGTCTGGGAAAGAGCAAGGAGTCTGGACTAGCTGCTGGAGTAGTGGTTTACCAAGGTGGGTCAGACCACAGGGTCAGGATACGAGGTAGAGAATCATTGCTGTGGTCCACGAGCTTCACAGGGGGCAACATGACACAAATGGAAATATTAAACATGCCCATCCCCCATCTCAACACCTACGTTACACGTATATTTACAAAAACTGCCATCAAAGCTTTAGCTGGATATGTATGTAGCAAAAAGAGTAGCCATAAAGACACATATGGTTTGGAGTCAAATATTTTTCTTTTTCCGAAGAGATCTGAACGGGGGAGGTAAGTTGAGAGTGATCATGGGAAAGTAACTGTTCTTGCTATAATGATGTAAAATACTAATGTAAATTGTTTAAGAGATAGCTTTAAACATAATGAAACAATTAAGATAAGGTTTCTGTTTCTTATTGAAAGTTTCCATGCTGTGTTTAAGAATTAGATTTTGCCCTAGTGAGGTGTGTGTTTACGTGTATGTATGTGTTTGTGGGTGTGCAGATAGAGATGAAAAATGGAGAGTAATTTCGGAAACTGAGCTATGTACCAAGAAAGATGATGAAAGTTATTTCTCTCAGTGTCATGCTGGAGCTGACTCCTATTAGCTGGCCAAAAAGCCCATTGCGCACATCTTTTCCCAATTCTGTATTTAGTGATAGCACATCCGTAGAATAAAATTGGTCATGGTGAGCGTACTTACACCAACCCTTACAAATCTGGGTTTATTTGGAAACCTATTTGTTAAACATTTACTATTATAACACTGTTCAATGGGCACTTTTCACTTGGACTAGGCTGAGAAAAGTCGTATTTAGTAGATAAATGTAAAACCATTCCCTTGAATATTGTAATACTGTCATTTTCCTTAACATTCTGTAATATCTAATACCACTGCACAATTGAAAGGCTGAGCTGTAGCTAGAAATGGGGAAAAGGGCAATGAAGGGACATGAAGCTCTTGGTAACCAATAGTAAGAGACTAAAGGAAACTGTTCATGTATCATATTCATTCTGGTGTATTATCTGGATGCTTCAATGCTGGCATGAATAAATAAACCCTAAGGCAAGCTGCAGAGAGTCCTTTACTCCCAGGCCTCTTCTCCCACCAGCTATCAGTGTCTGCTGTTTCAGGGTACACAAGGAAAGAGACACATATGAAAAAGAAATACATTTTTCTGCTCCTTAGAGTTCTTGGTCATGAAAACCAAGACAGTCATTATGTGCTCCACTGCGTATTTCTGGCTCTTCACCACAGCATTTCATGCCGGGATTGTATTTACCTGTCCCCATGTGATTAGGGGTAAGCAAAGCACCCCTCATGTGACTACTTCTGGCCAATGAGTTGTGAACATAATGGCATGTTTTATTTCTACGTTAGTGCATGTAATTTTTAGGATGGTACGCTCCAGAGATTCCTATTCATCTGACAATGTTCAAGATGGTGGATGCTCTATTTCTCTGGATCCCAGAGGCGCTATGATGCGTGGGGTCCCTCTGCTGGGCTGCAGTGGACATGAAGTATGAGTAAGAAGTGAAACGTAATGTTACTGAGATTTCATGATACTTTATTACTGCCCCATAATCTATCTTATTTAGACTGATGCTATTACCTGGATGTTTACTGCATATGAGAAGATACCTAGTTCAAATACTGTACTCCAGTCCTGATTAAGGGAAAAATGCTCAGCCCATGACAAAAAAAAAAAAAAGATTAGCAAAGATAATCTTCTGATAGATATAATTATGTCTCCTGCTTCCTGATGTATGAAACTTTAAACTTTTATTTCATAGAAACTTGGTATTCTATTGTGAAAAATCTCTCTAGTACTTTTAAAATTTAAAAAGTTCCAATATTCTGTACAGATAAAATGTAATAGATCATTTGACCATAAAGTTAAATATACAGAAATAGCTTTAAGATAAATAACTGAAGCAGATAGAGTATCACTGCCCCTCCCCCTCCTCCTCCCTCTCACCAACCCACCACTCACCAAATAGAACTATAGAATGTAATTTTGGTTTCAATTTCACTACCCATGCTCTGACCATTCCATTTCATATAGGTAAATATGAAATAATACAAAATAAGTGGAAATTTGTGGGGAAATTAACAACTATGATCAAAAGAAAAAGTGAAGAGATATCATTATTCACTATAATGAATGTAAAATCATAATTATTAATTTTATGAGGACATTTATTTCCTGGGTTGCTTTGGTAATAAATTATGACAGGCACTGAATTGGAAGTATCTTGATAAAATACTAGACTTTTAAAAAATATAACCTCAGCAGTTAACTAATTTTAATTATATATAAAAATATTTGGACTTGGCAAATTTTCTAAAAGTCAGAATATTCAGTTTTGTGCACTGTGCTGGAGACACAAAGAAATAAGATTGATCTGATTGCATTTAACAGATATAGGGGCATAGAAATTTATACAAGCATAATGCATTTTTTTAAAGTGAATATCTTTTCAAGAGCTTTATAAAAACATAAACCTGTTCAGGTGTCTTTAAATTATGCAGTTTATAGCTGATATGAGACAGCACATAAACTTAAATGTTGTTTCATCAGTCTCAAATATCATAGTATAAAAATCACAGGTTAATATGGGTTAATAACAGATTCTTTAGAGTAAGAAAGGCATATAGAATATATACAAAGGAAAAGGAATTTAAGGACCCATGGCTATGGCTCTCTCAACTGACAAAAATTAAATGAAATGTAAGTCTTATAATAATAACTCTTGTTTCTATCAGACCACTGGCTTCAGGGAGTTCCCAGAATTTGACAGAATTTTTAGTCAAAAAATCTATGAGTGATATAAAGGACATTTACTTTGTCTTGTAAAAAAAAATCGATGTATTTGGTAAAACTACATATGTTATGTGTGCATGTATAAATACAAGAATATTGTGGTTAAAAAAATAACAAATGTATATAGTGTACGAAACATAAGCTTTCCTTCAATTACACAGTCCCACAGCCACTGAGGCAGTAATTCCTGTTAGCAGTTTGGTATGGAACTTTTCCTACTATTATTGTGCCTCTAGAAACACATATAAAGACATATGCTTTTTGTTTTTATACATGTTTAAAACATATTTTTATACATTTTATATAAACTACATGTTTTACATATTTTCTGCAACATATTTTAACCTATTTTGAAGTAATCGTAGATCCAGGAAGTTGCAAACAACTTGCTTTTAAACTTAATATGATTGGACATTTTTTCATAAAAATATGTAAGATTCCATCATGTCCTTGTAACAGCTCAACACTGGTTAGTATTCATAAAATGAAGTCATAGTATGACTTGGCTACAATTTATTCAAACTTTTCCTTTTTGGCGCTCATTTAGATTGTTTTCAATTTGTCACGTAAGAAAGATCTGAGAAACAGCATTCCAGGTAGAACGAACCATAAATGCAACACATTTGAGTATCTTGCACTGGGGAAATGTGTAGAGCACTCTAGGAACTGACAGAAGGCCAGTGGGGCTGCAGAATAAAATGTGATGGACAGAGGGGTGTAAGAGGAGACGAGGACAGAACACGGAAGGCCTTGGAGATGGTGGGAACCCATTTAGGTATTATTCTAAGGGCACTGAGGGCCCATAAACAAGTCTTAAGCACATCATGAACACAATCTCCTGCAACTTTGTTAAAGCATAGATATGGTTCAAGTATGGAGAGTGGACTTGGGGACGGCAAAAGTAAAAAACGGAAAAATAATTAAGCTCTTCTTATTGTCTAAGCAATAGATAAAGGCTTGGACTCACGTGGTCAGGTGGTGCCAAGAAAGACATGAACAGATTGCACATTTATTTTTTGAAGGTGTAGCTGGCATAAATACATGAAATATGAAGGGCTAGGGAAAGAGAAAGGTCGAGAATTAATCTTAAACTTCTAACCTTTGTAATGGGTGGTGATGGTGCCATTTATTTGAAATATGGAACCACTGGGAATAGATTATGTAGAGTGTGAATGGAATGGATGGGTTTTGTTTTCAACATGCAAATTTGGAAATTCATCTGAAACATTCAAATAGGAAAGTTGGACATATAAATTTAGAGCTCCAAAAAGAAGTCTGAGTGAGAAATATAAATCTGTGAGTCACCAAAATATAAATGAGACTTTGAAAGTCATAGAAATGAATGAGATCACTAAGCAGAGGTAGAGTAAGTAAAGAAAAGTCAGCCCAGGACTGAGCTTAGAAGAACTTTAACATGAATAGTTATGAAGATAAGTATATAACAAAGGAAAATACAAAGGAATAAAGTGGTAAGTAAAGAAGAGCATGCTGTTCCTGAAGCAGAGAGAGGAAAGTATTTCAAGGAGAAAATGGTCATCTGTTTGAGTCATTGTTGAAAACCTAGTAAGGGAATATCAGAAAAACATCCATCATATTTGTCCACAAGTAGGCAATTGATTAACAAAGATTTTAGTTGAGATATGGTTTGGAAACCAATTTTGAAGTAGGTTGAGATAAACTGGGAAACAGAGTAGAAATTGTGTGTGTGTGTATAGTATGTATACTTTATGTGTGTGTTTAAAATTATATGTGTATATATTTATATATACAAATATATAGTGTAATTATATAATTACATATAATTTATATATATAATTATATATATGTATATATAATTATACATAATTATATATAATTGATATATATAATTATGTATAATTATATATCAGTATATATAATTATACATAAGTATATATAATTGATATATATTATAGTTATATATACTTATAGATAATTTATACATATAATTATATATACATATATATAATTATATAAGTATATATACTGATATATAATTATATATAATTATATATATAATTATATATATCTATTGATAATTATATATATTGATAATTATATATAATTATATATATTGATAATTATATATAATTATATATACTGATATATAATTACATATATAATTATATATACTGATATATAATTATATATAAATTATATATACTTTATAATTATATATAGTATGTACAAAATTTATGTAATCCCTTTTCTAGATTTGCTTTAAAATTATATATGGACAATATATTATTCATTACATATAGTATATCTACAATATATAAAATGTTATAAATATATTTTATATATTATGTATGTTATATATACTACATATAGTATATTATACATATTATACATACATTACTTATATATGCATATATTATATATTATGTATACATTATATATTATACACTATAAATATATATTTATATTTATATATTTTATTTATATTAATATATAAATATAAATATACTATATAATAGATAATATACACTATAGAATATGTTATATAGTGTTGTAATATACCATATAAAGTAATGTATAATATATAGTATATAATTTAATCCCATTTCTAGATTTTCTTTAAAATTACACATATATACAATATACTATATATTATATATTTATACTATATATTATATATAGTATAAAATATATAGACATATAATTTATATATTTATCTAATGATTTATATAATATATAATTATACATATTATATATTATACATCTATATATTATATAGTATATATTATATAAATTATATTAGATATATAAATTATTAGAATTAGTAAAAGGAAAATATATATATGCATATCAATTTAGTACACTTGCATAACATATGCTCCATTATATATATTGTATAATATATAGTGTGTGTGTATATGTGTATATATAATATAATTATATATATAAATATATATATATAATTATATAATTATAGATATAAATATAATTATATAATTATAGATATAATTATATATATAATTATATAATTTTATATATATATATAATTTTAAAGAAAATCTAGAAGTGGGATTAGATTGTACCTGACAGGGTGGAAAAGGCATAGGAGCATTTTTTTTAAACCAGGAAATGTATTGTAGCATGTGTTTATGATGATA
Organism: Homo sapiens; assembly: GCF_000001405.40. Classification (NCBI taxonomy): domain Eukaryota; kingdom Metazoa; phylum Chordata; class Mammalia; order Primates; family Hominidae; genus Homo; species Homo sapiens. The sequence continues at coordinate 211,051,166 of NC_000002.12, read as the reverse complement.
GGAATGATATAGGGAGGAGGGGTAGGGATTGATGTTGGAGGAAGTAAGTATCTGGGGAAGTGAAGTCTTTTAGTAGGTAAGAAGGAATTATATTAAATAGGATGCCCATACTTTCTAGTTTCCCTTTAATAGTCTCAGTTTCCACATACTGAATTGTTATTAATAACCTCTCCCCTACTCTCACATACACCTGGAGAGATCAGTTTCTCTAGTATACAGGAGGGAAAAAGGAGAAAATAGGCGCAGAAGCAGGTAAGAACATCGTTTTCATGGTGGGAAGATGAGAATGTCTCAATCAGAAGACTTATAACAAAAGCTGAATTTAAAATTCAATGACTAAGATCTTCTCTTCACATCATCCCACCCTATGGAATCCCACGGACTCTATGGGTTCGGTTTGAAAACCAGTGTAAGCATGGAAAACATAGTCTACTAAATTCAGTGGCTGTGGTGACCAGAGGAAAATGATCATTGTCTGTATTCTCTAGCCGTGATGAAGCTTTAGCACAGTGTGGCAGGAAAAGCCAAATGCTTCTAGGAAAATAGGTACCCCAAGGATTCTGTTGTATTGTAGTCTCCCAGGAGTAAAGTGCTCATCAAATCTCTACCCCGGAGTTTGAATAAGTTTTACCAGCATATGAATTCATCACAGTGGTTCTTACTATTAAGTCATTATATGTCCTTGAATCTACCTTTAGGGCATATATTTAAACCCAGTTGAGCTCTTTTAATATATCTCTATTGAGGTATAGACAGCATAGCAAGTACTTGTATTTATTTTACCCTCTTGGCAAGAATTCCTTACATATGTTATAGAAATATAATTTTCTCAATAGATGCTGCTTTAATTTTTGTAATATGAAGTGACACAGTATACTGAGTAAAGCCTTTTCAGCTCCTTACAAATAATGTGATTTTTGAGATATACTATTGGGCCACTCCATAGGAAATGCTATCTACAAAACATTCTCTCAACACGTAACATATAATCCAAAAGATCTCCAAATTGCAATGTTGAATATGGGGTACAACTGTTTGTTATAAACAGCATTGTCTTTTTTAGGCTGTTGCTTCCATTTGTGAAAAGCAAATCTCTAAAACGTAACTAGGGACTTAGAAAAGTAGAATTTCAAAATTGCCAAATGTCTCCTCGTTGCCTTAAGGTAGAAAGGAAAAGGAAGATGTAACAAGTTATGACAGCGGATAACATATGTTCCAGTTGTCTATTGCTGTGTAATAAAACCACCACAGAACATAGTGAATTAAAATGATAATACACTATTATCTCTCATTGTTTGAGGGGTGACTCAAGTGGTTCTCACTTTTGGTTTCTGATGCAGTAGCTACCAGATAGCAGCCAGCTCTGGAGCTGACTGAGAACTTGACTGAGCAGCCAGTCCGGGATAGCTAATTCACATAGTGTACCAGTTATCAATGTATTGACTAAGCTCCAAATTCTCCCTTTTTGCCTGCTTTGTGAAATGCATTTAGGTTTTTAAAGTGTTTTTTCTGTTTGCCAGATGGCATTGGAGTCTGGTCAATAGAAGTCATTGGAGAGCTATTACAGGAGAAAAGGGTTTTGCTTTCTAGTTCCAGTGTTGCTTACTCAGTAGTTTTCTACATCAGTGCAGCTTCTCCAGCACCTGAATCCTGCGGTGCATGCTGATCTGCAGCACCCAGCAGCAGCAGCTCTGCCCAGCACACTTCTTGGGCAGCTTTGTAGTAGAGCACCTCTGGTGAGACATCTCCCTGTGAACAGCTTTCCCTGACTCCTTAGTATCAGATTTCTGACAATTTACAGACATTTTCTGTCATTCAGTAGCTATGCTTTATTCAACAAGGACTGGATCTCAGACCAGCCCAGGTTCAGGGGGCAGGAGGTCTTGGGGTCTTGTTGGGGGTGTGGAAGCGGAGATCCAGCTCTGTTTTTGACATTCTATCTCAATACCAGTGGTAATGATTGTTCTAGATTATACTGTATAATATGTGCTATTGTATTTTATATTGTATCTGCTATTCCTATATCTTTATATTTTGTTTCATACTAGTCAATCCCGTACTACTTCAATCCTGTGAAACTTTCCAGGTTCAAATAATTGTAGGGTTTCTCTTTCCTGATTGAACTCATCCTGATACACATGTCCAGAAATTGATGCTGGCTTTCAGCTGGGGGCTAAGCTAGGGCCAAAAAGAGAGCCAGTACATGGTGTATCCATGTGGTTGGAGCTTTCCGTGGCATGGTGGCTGGGCTCTAAGAGAGCTTCTTATGACCTAGCTTGAGAAAACCAAGAACATCACTTCAGTATCCAGTTGGTCCAATAAATCACTCATGGTAAAAAATTTCAAAAGGAGAGAGGTAGCAAAGAATTTGACATCACATTAATCGCAGCTACCATAACATACAAGATTATGTATGGTAGATATTTGTATATAAAGACATCAATTTAATAAAATTGTTCATTCATCCTCTGATTGATTTATTCTTTCAATAAACATTACCAACTATCTTCTGTTTGCCACATCTGTGGAAATTCTTCCGGAAATATGAATGCGTTACAAGACCTGATTTACGTCCACTGAGCTCTCAACATTGTTGGGAAGTAAAATTCCTGCCTATTTAGAGATAAATACAAAGTGTACCCCAAAGTGTTAAATTGAACATAATAAATTGCCAAAATGCATAAAATTGCAGTGAAGCCCAGAGCAAATCCCAGAGGTCCTGATTTGCAGCCCAGTCTTTGGATTTACCACAAACAAACAAACAAAATACAGTATCTAATTGAAAATAAAAGGTCTGGTTGTAGAAATATTTTAGAATAGGCATCCATCATTTTGCATGTCACAACTATGTCAAGAAGTCCCAAGAGAAATTATTTCTGTGAAAATATTTTCTTTTCTTTGTTAAAAATTGTGTTACCATCTCCATCAAAAAATAAGAAAAATGTGATTAGAAGTTTCTCTTGTATATAACTGGCATCCCAACCATATCCATTTTTGGCAGAGCCATATTTTAAGGACTTTATCATCTTCAACTCAAGAGCCTGAAGAAACTAAGATTACTACAGTGGGTATCAGCAGTTTTGGATGTGTAGGAAAAACAAACTGCATTGCATACCTAAAGACAGAATGCCAAGCAACAAGAAGCATATTTTTAAGTAACAAAACTAGAACTAAAACCGACAAAAAAGGCTATTTAGCTTTGCAAAAGCCATTATTTTCTTTACATCTATTCTAGAGAGTAATTAAATTCTAAGCAGCATTAGAGTTCTTTCTCACATCATTGATAAAAAGACTTGGGAAAAGTCCTATCATGTGATCTACTTCTAAGTGAGGAAATAAAAGGAAATTGTAAAATGAGAGTCTCACCTGAGACTCCTGTTAGAAATGAAACTTCTCTGAATGAAGATCATGAAATCATCTTCTAAGGAAGCAACCTGAATTCCACTCAGGGAATTTGCTCTAGGAAACCTTTGTAAGGAAGGCGAATTAGCATTTAAAGAAGCTCTTTTGAGTCAGAGTGCAGAATGTCACTAAGGAATTATTAAATTCTTCTGCTGTGAGCCTTGGTTATGAAGAAAAGTGTTTTCCAATAAAATAGGGTAACACACTGAGCTCCCCACATGCATCCTGAAACGTTGGCTAACATCACATTGCTATAAATGTCAGTGTTCTTTCCTTCTCTTCTCTCTTTTTTCATCTCTAAACACTCTCTACCTCTTGAATGTCTTAAAATATCAAATTCATTTTGAGTCATTACAATACTCAATTATTATGTATTTCCCTTCATCATTAAGGACGGCACTATTTTCAGAAATAAAGCCTGAATGTTGGCTTCAAATAAGCGTTCATTCAAATTCTAATTAAATTACTTTGCTGAAACCTATTTGAAACAATTAGTTATTGGAGCCAGCAGTAATCAGAGATTACACATACACCGAATATTTGTGCAGTCCAGAATTTTGAATAGGTTATATATAAAAATATAATAAAGATGACTACTTAGGAGGTATTAAAACAAGGAATTTTTCCACTTTAAACTGGCATTTATAGTGAATGTAACTTCAAATGTGTCCAAATCTCCTGGGGTGTGTGTGTGTGTGTGTGTGTGTTGAACGTAAGTGGAAAAGGTGTAAATGGGAAGGAAAAAATGGGTAAGTAGACTATGTGATATGATTTTGGGAGCATGGTATATTGAAAGAAAGAATGTGATGGTGGTATAATGGCACTTGTCAAGAGAAAGTCCCTGAAGCAGAAAAGTGTCCCCATGCTCCCATCATCATTTAACCAGGCAACTCATTCCATTTTTTTAGAGTCATTCAAGTTCCATATCATGATGGTTGCAGAAGTAAATTGATGATTCATTTTTATTTTAATGTTGATGTTGAAGAAGCTTATCAATTCCTTCCTTCATTCTTTGGGCTCTCCAATTTTTGTCTAGCCCTATTTTCTTAGCTATATTAGTTAATACAATATAGGCCAAACTGGCTGTTTAAATACTGAGAACATTAGAAATCATTTTCTTAATATGATTTTAAATGTGCAAATCTTTCTGGCAAGAATGAGTTTTTGAGCTAGATAATTGAAGAATGAGGAACACTGATAAAAAATTAAGAGGACATTTTCAGGAAGGACATTAAATATGAGTGAAGATGCAAACCACAAGTTTTTTACCAAACTTGTTATGATGTAATTAGCTCATTTATAAAATACTTTATGGTTTTATTTTCAAATATTTTCTCTTCTCTTCTAGATCTAACCTTTTGTTAGTAGAATAACCCACACAGAATTGGCTTGCATCTTTAATGCTTAACAACCACATTAGAAAATATCTCCCCTTCTTGCTTCTGCTTATTGCCTATATGTTTGTCTACCATTGGACCATTTCCTATAGCACTGTAAGCCTCTGAAATTATCCAGATGGATGTATATCTAATTGAGATCAATTCTGGGTCACTTAATTATGGCCTTCAATAATATTCCATAAGAATCGAGTGTCATAATGTGAAATTTTATCATAAAAATTTCTTCTACTTCTCACATTTTTATAAAAATCCTATACATATATTTTATCCATTCTCTTTTTCCATTAAAAGAGTAGAGGAGCATAGATAAAATTAAGAGGATATTTTCAGGAAGAGATAAAATATGACTGAAGATGCAAAACAGATATTTTGCCAAAGTATTGTGATATAATTAGCTCTTTAATGAAAGACTTTATATATATATGTGTGTGTGTGTGTATATACATATATATATATATAAATATATATATGTATATATTTAGGAGAGAAAGAACAACTCTTACATATACAAGAATTCCTTGAGTTAGTTTCCATGAAATGCATTTCTATACATTTTTCATCATGGTTGTCATGTTGCCTGTGTAATACCTGACTATCTTACCAAGTGGTCAAGGACTTCTCTCTACCAAGTGCTTTTCCTTAAGTAAACATCAAAAACATTTTTAATTTAAATACAGTTAGCCATGATGAATTTGGGGATTTTTCTACCTCATTTCCCTGAATTATTCTTCAGTTATAGTCACTCATGGACTTTCTGAGAATTGCCCTTTCTGAAAAGGACAACTGTAAACTGAAATCTCCAATCGAAACTTCTGCCTACAATGCAAATTTACAAATGGTGCAAACTACTACTCCAAAGTTCACAGATAATGTGTGATTAGAGTGATTTATGTGAATGTCTCACACATCCAAACTCTGTTGCGAGTCCAGAAAATGATGGAGACTGATTTGAGGGGACGTGGTGATACCTTCAATACAGCTATTTTCACTCATAACCAAATCAATGACCGTCACCATTTTGTCTCCTCATTAAGTGGTTGCCACTTTCCTTCTTTTAGGCTCACAAGCTAGAATGAAAGCTGACTTAAAAATCAGACTGTTCAAAGCTCCACATTATAAAAATGCACTGAGTCAGCAATTAGTAAACAGATTATGTAAATAGAACTCCTGAACCAAGTGCTGACATTTAAGTACCAAAGCTTACCTAGCCTCAGGCTCTTCAATTTATTGCAGCAGACTGAAATGTAGACTGCTAAATCATTTGTTTTCAGGTTGTATCATGGGTTTATCAGAAACTATATTAGTTTGTCCATGAAAACAATTTTCTCACTATCATGTTGCCAGAACAAAAAAAAAAAAAAAAAAAAAACAAGGAAAAGGAAAAGAAAAAGAAAAAAAGAAGAAAGATCTTTGAAACATTAAAATCAGCAGCTCTCTGTAGACACAGTATAAAAAGCAGCGGGCTGCAATGTAAAGGTGAGCTGTTCTTAAAACATTTTTTGCACATTTCATACAGATTTCAAATTCTGTGACCTCAAGAGTTACTTTTTCTGTGGTTATAGTATTCAGCTGTGTCTATGTGTCATCTGGAGCATATACATTCTTTTCCTTAAATTTATTTTGGTTCATGAAAAACTATAAATCATCTACCAGGAGCCTGCATCATAAAGGGGAGAAAAAAAGACATTTTACACCATTGACTCCCCTCACTCCTTTTCTTTCCTTAAAACCCTAAAACAGTCTATATTAACAATGGGAAACATATTCTTTAGCTAGAGAGGAAATGCCTGCTTCACAAATAATGATTTATCATTTTAGAATGGAAAGCTGCATTAGCAAACAAATGAAAATGGCTAAAAGTGTAACCACTTTGCCTGGCAATTATATGTGTGACAGATTCATTTATCTACCTGTGTGGAGCTTTAATTTGCACTAGCACTTAACAGTTAATTGTTGAAGGGCACTTTTCTGCAATAAAAGTGGGCTTTTTTTCAGAGTACCCTGAAACGGAAAACACTTCTAAATAAACACCTATGCCATTAATTATCCGATCAAAACAATAATGAAAAATGCCAGAGAAAAGAGATAACAGAAAAAAAGTAAAATACCATTTGTGTAAATAAATTAAAACATCAATTATTGAATGATTAAATGATATCATGTTATTTTTGGACCAATGGATGAAGTTTACAAGAAACTCTTGCAATAAACTTTCTAAAAATCCTTCACAGAAAGACATAATTATACTTGTTTATACTTAAGAATTGAAATATTATTAAAATACAACCCAAACCTTACCATTGTTTGGAATATTCAATATTCTTCTCTTCTTCAGTTTTCTGTCTTATGTACATTTATTGTCATACTTTTCAATATATTTTGGGATTTCTTTAACTATTACTTGATGAAACTCTCCAACATAAATAAATTAGTGATAAAAAGAGGGCTTGAAATTTAATTGTCATTAGCAGCTTTCATAAAAAGTTGGGGCAAGAATTTCATAAATTCTAAAATTGTTGATATATCAAGTCAATAAAATCATAATAGAAGAATTTGGATAAGATAAATTTATATTTTAAAGTTTCATTATATTTTATCAAGATTATTCAAGATTGGGCTTTATATCACAAGCTTCTTCCTAGTTTTTAGGAAAACCCCTAGCACCTTGCATTTTAAATAGCACTTTTCCTAAATATTTAGTTAGTGACTACCTTAGGGGAAGAGGAAGAATTGACAAGGTATAAAGGGATAGTTTGGTAAAAACAAAAGAAAATAACAACAATAAAAAACCCAAGGCCATACAATTTGAACATGAATGCTCACTTCAAATGATGTTCTGAATAATCATAGGTAAATAACTTCTACAAGGCTCGATGTCTTCAGCTTTAAAAAGAGAATACTGCTTCCTCAGAGGATGTGTGTGTGTGTGTGTGTGTGTGTGTGTGTATGTGTGTTTGTGTGTGGTGAAAAATGAACTGATATTCCAAACCACCCAGCACAGTTAGTTCCTGGTCTCTAACTATTGCTCGATACATGCAATTATCATGGCTTTCCTCTAACTCTACGTACCTTCCTCAGATTTCCCTCCTTTAAGATTTTCCAAATTCAACCATCAGATAAAGAATGGTTTCTATGAGCCAGGAATTTATTAAGTTTTACAAAGATTAATAAACCATCACCACTGTATGCTAAAGACTGTCAAATTGTCCTTCTACCTGTCCGCTTTCTTCCCTGCCTTTCTTCCTACTACTTCCAAGTGTATTTTCATAGATCTTTCCAGGAACTGCCAATTATCTCCTACAGTTTTGCCTGTCAGTGAGTAAGAAGCAGCCTCACTGATTTCTCATATATTCTAGGTCCTCTTCTCTTGATCCAGTGCTTTACAAGAGCAGTCTCAACTCTACCATTCAGTTGTTGCCCTTTGTGAGTTATGCTTAGCTCTGATCCCTCCTCTGGGGCAGATAGATGTACCAGGTGCTCCAACGATCAGAGATGGATTTTTCTTGCCCAGAGCCATTACATCAAAAGCAGAATCCAAAGTCATATCTAAGGAACATAGGGGAAGGCTGTGAATGTCCACTTGAGGATTTTAAAAAACACTACATTTTCCTGCTATTGAGATATCTTTTCCTCTAAAGCAAGCTATTACTATAAGTCCTCAAAATGCAGTAGGTTTGTATTTCCATTCATTTGAGCTTTCTTATTGATTTTACTCTACCGCTTCTTGATTAGTAATATGTGTATTTACTAAACTGTGCTTTATTTTAAAATACAAGATATTCTGACTGGTTAGAACCTAGAATATCATCTAGAATAAGATACCCATTTTGTAGTTCTAATTTTACTATGAAGAAATTGAAGATCAGAGAGACAAGTGAGAAATAAAGTATGATTTATTAAATATCTAATTTGTACAAGACAATAGACATTTGTCCTATAGAAATCATGACTTTTCAGATGAGGAAGCTGAGGCTCATAGTGTTTCTGGAACCTCTTTAAAGTCATAAAACTTGACAAACTGCTAAGCGAAAGAACTTCAGCAAGGTTCTAATATTAAACTATTTTTGACATCATCTTTTGTTATAGAAAAATACCTTTTACTTAGAGAGATGAATTGTCTTCAAATATTCCAACTAGTTAGAACAAGAGGTAACATTTATAAGTCAAGTCTGCCATTCTTCAATCTACTGCTTATACCACCATGCCAAAATGCCTAAAACTTTTAATCCTGTGATAATTCAAAAGTTACAACCACTATATAACATATTCTAATTTCTCTTGATTATTACTCTTTTTTGGAAGTTATTTTAAATCTTAAAAAGATATATCTATAGAAAATATGTAAGCATGTTCCTTCTGTCTCTCATTCAGCTGGATATTTTACTAGGTTACAAATAAATAAAAGTAGTACATCTTGAAAAATGTTTTAAATACAAAAATGAACAAAGAGTGAAATGTAATTCCATACACATATACTTATCCACTTATATGATAGTATTTTTAGACAATCATGATAATGAACACATATCAATCATTTGCTATGTGCCAAGCACTATTCTTTGCACTTAATATAAAATGTATAACTGAATCTTTATGACAATTATGTGAAATATTTACTGTTATTACTTTATTGATGCCAAACTGAGTCAAAGAGAGGTCATGATATATAAATAGGCTTCTAAAAATTGCTCTTTAACTTAACTGTATTTTAAAATCATTCTTTCAAGTAATACACTAATGGCTACTTTATTTACAGTATGTTCAGCAGAGACCATCAGCTTCTTACCAGTATCTGTTATCCCTTTGTCTAAAGCAATACAATTTTTAGTTGGTCAAATGACCATTTAGAATAAAGACTACATCCTTGCTGTTAAGCTTGGCCATGTGACTACGTTCTGACCAATACCATGTAAACAGACATTTTTTCTGCAACCCTTTAGATCAGGGTTGTACAATCTTTTGGCTTCTGTGGGACACATCAGAAGAAGAATTGTCTTGGGCGGGCCACACATTAAATAATCTAACACTAATGATAACTGATGAGCTAAAAAATAGCAAAAAAAAAAAAAAAATCTCATGTTTTAAGAAAGTTTACAAATTGTGTTGGGCCACATTCAAAGCTGTCCTGGACCACATGCAGCCCACCCCCATGGGCTGGACAAGCTTGCTCTAGATCTTTTTTTAAAAAATACTAAGACCCCCTTGCCCCTTTTTCTGCCTCGTACATTGTTCCATTCTACATCTTGAATGTGGTTACTTCCCAGCTGGACCATGAAAATGAGGAGCCATATCATATAGATGGCAGGCAGTGAAACGGATAATCTGGGTCCCTGAGGGCTTCGTGAAATAGAGATGGCATACTGACACTCAAATTCACATGACAGAGAAATATTCTTCTATTTTTGTATTATTTAATTTGTGTGTATGTGCTTCCTTATAGTTAAATTCAATTTTAATTAAACAGTATGGATGAAGGAAACTTCCCCAAATATTCCCCTAATCCTGAATATGTAAATTTATCTTCAGGTTTTGTTATTCTGCTAAAAAAAAAAAATACGCTGCAGTGACTATTCTCATTTTTATACTAATATCATAGTATTCTAGTATTCTGCTATTATAATAGTATTCCTAAGAGAGATTCCCAGAAGCAGAACTGCTAGGTTAAACAGCAGGCAACTTTTAAATTTTAATAGTTCTGCCCTTCAGAAGGTGGTACCAAGTTCCAACAGTACGTGAGATTAAGCTACCTCCTACAGGCTTTCTAATACTGCATGCATCTCTTTTTTAATTTGCTTTCATTCATATGCCTCTGACAGATAAAAATTCATTCCATTTGTTGTTTTAAATGTATTTGTCTAATCACTTGTAAAATGCAACACATTTCTTATGTTTGGATATTTCTACTTCTCAATCTGTGAATTACCTATTGAATTCTTTGGCGGCTTTTATATGAAGTTGATAAGAGCTTTTTTACTGACAGAAAGCTATTTAATATTTACTAATGTGAGAAATGTTTATGTTTTTTAACTTTATTTCTTACAATGTTAATTACTTGAATTTGTATTTACATCTTTTTCTTTATAGCTTCTTGTCAAGCTTAGAAGAGAATTACAAATGATGTTCTCCTATATTATTTCTGAGTAAATTAAATTTTGTTTGCAAACAGACATAAATATATAATTGTTTTTGGCATAAGGAGTAAGACAGTGTTCTAATTTTTTTTGAATGCATAGACATTTGTTCCATCAAAATTTACTGACCACTACACCTTTTCCTACAGATTTAAAATCCTACCTATAATACATTTCAATATCTAGTAGAAAAAGTTCCACCTGCATTTGTGTTTCAATTTTTTCTAGGCTATGCTTGAATAATAATAAAATTTGAATATATTATTTTACATTATCTAAATGTCTTCCTTTTATTTAAAACACTCACACTAACAAATACCTTATTAAAATCTATTGACTTTTACAAGAATGGCATTGAAAAATGAAGCAAATGCTTATGTAATAAGTAGTTACAGTTAGTTGTTTTATACAAAATAGGCATTCCTGAGACAGCTACCATAAGGGCCTCTTTTTTAATATATATATATAGTTCTACGGTACATGTGCACAACATGCAGGTTTGTTACATAGGTATACATGTGCCATGTTGGTTTGCTGCACCCATCAACTCATCATTTACATTAGGTATTTCTCCTAATGCTATTCCTTCCCCCGCCTCCCACCCCGACAGGCCCCTGTGTGTGATGTTCCCCGGCCTGTGTCCAAGTGTTCTCATTATTCAGTTCCCACCTATGAGTGAGAACATGCGGTGTTTGATTTTCTGTCCTTGTGATACTTAGCTAAGAATGATGATTTCCAGCTTCATCCATGTCCCAGCAAAGGACATGAACTCATCCTTCTTTATGGCTGCATAGTATTCCGTGGTGTACATATGCCACATTTTCTTAATCTAGTCTATCATTGATAGACATTTGGGTTGGTTCCAAGTCTTTGCTATTGTAAATAGTGCCACAATAAACATACGTGTGCATGTGTCTTTATAGTAGCATGATTTATAATCCTTTGGGTATATACCCAATAATGGGATGGCTGGGTCAAATGGCATTTCTAGTTCTAGATCCTTGAGGATTCGCCACACTGTCTTCCACAATGGTTGAACTAATTTACACTCCCACTGACAGTGTAAAAGCGTACCTATTTCTTCACATCCTCTCCAGCATCTGTTGTTTCCTGACTTTTTAATGATCGCCATTCTAACTGGTGTGAGATGGTATCTCATTGTGGTTTTGATTTGCATTTCTCTGATGACAAGTAATGATTAACATTTTTTCATGTGTCTGTTGGCTTCATAAATGTCTTCTTTTGAGAAGTGTTTGTTCATATCCTTTGCCCACTTTTTGATGGGGTTGTTTTTTTTCTTGTAAATTTGTTTAAGTTCTTTGTAGATTCTGGATATTAGCCCTTTGTCAGATGGGTAGATTGCAAAAATTTTCTCCCATTCTGCAGGTGCCTGTTCATTCTGATGGTAGTTTCTTTTGCCATGCAGAAACTCTTTAGTTTAATTGGATCCCATTTGTCTATATTGGATTTTGTTGCCATTGCTTTTGGTGTTTTAGTCATAAAGTCTTTGCCCATGCCTACGTCCTGAATGGTATTGCCTAGGTTTTCCCTATTAAATAGGGAATTCTTTCCCCATTTCTTGTTTTTGTCAGGTTTATCAAAGATCAGATGGTTGTAGATGTGTGGTGTTATTTCTGAGGCTCTGTTCTGTTCCATTGGTCTATATATCTGTTTTGGTACCAGTACCATGGGCCTCTTATAAGGGCCTCTTTTAAAAAAAATCATCTAATTCATCATTTTACCAGAGTCTAGGGCTTATTCCTCAGTTTTAAACTGTAATCTTGTTAGTTCCCATCATTTGTGGGTACATTTTCTAGATATGCCAAAATATTAGTAAGGGAATCCTTGCAGTTTAAGTCTTGATTGGGCTACGGTAGTTCTTCTAAGTGGGACTATATGTTCAATAAGGAAGCATTTGATCAGAGATTCCCCTTTGCTGTTGCCTCTTTCCTCAGTTTCCAGCTTCACTATCCTTATATAGAGTATCCACCCAGAAAAAGGGTACTGGGCAACTTCTCTGAAGAAAACTGCAGCTTTATATGGACACCCCATTTCCACAGTATGTATTAGCCCGATCCTCTAATGCCTCCTTTCAACCCATAGTAGAACAGAATAGGTAGTTTTTTCATACTACCTTTCATATTGAAGAGTAATATCTGGGTTTGATTCCTTGTTCTGTTATTTACTAGCTGAGTGAACTTGAAATTATTTGTGACTCCTTTACAATTTTAGTTTACACATCAATAAAATGGGGATGACAATGTCTACTTTGCCAGGCTGTTGAGAGTATTAAATAAAAGAAAACCACACATGCCTCCTATAGTGCCTGACATAGATGACACCCCTAACAGATAGCACACGTTCATATCACTGTTGATTATACATCTTCCAAATCATCTCTCTTATCAGAAACTTGGCCATAGACTCCCAGTATTAGTCTCCAGAAAAAATAAGCTAAACCATTCTATTATTACAATAAGTAAAATACACATAAATAAGGTATAAACAAAATTTTGAGCTTTCAGTAATGTATCTTTGAGTCAAAATTGTTTAATTTTTAACGAAGGTTTCAAATACTCAAATTTTATACCAATGTAAACATTTCAAATTCAATAACTAGTCACATCAAGTAAACCTTACTCACTTCTATAACATGCTACTGATATTATACCAAATTTTACAAAGAAAAAGTAAAACATACACTTCTTATTTTGATGGCAGAGTGTATTTTTGCCAGAAACTTGTATTGATTTGGAAACAGCATGAGATCCTAAATAGAAAAATGTAGCTTCAAATAGAAAGGTACAAGTTAGAGAATTTGGAACTGAGTCATTTTTGAGATTTTAAAAGGTGCTTTTAAACAATGTATTTTAATCATACGAAATGATTCTCCTAAGATTTAAATATAGGAAATTTGGAACTTCTAGTTAAATATATGCATGCAAGTGACTACTGAGTTATTCCAATTCCATTGTGTGAATTGAATAGATAATATACACTTGAATAGATCATAATACTCTATGCAAGTTCACCAGAAACTAAATCAAGTACCAGACGAAGCACTTCAAGCATTTCTTAAAAATAAAGAATATTGGAAATAAACCACAGGGACAAGAAAAGAAAGGATAAAACACATTTACTCCTTAAAGATATAAGTGGAAGGTTTTTTGTATGTGAGTAGTACAAACAACTTGGGTTTCCAGATTTTCACAGGAAAAGAAAAATATTACCCACAAACAAGACAACTTGAGAGAAAAGCATCAACGCTTATATTTTTCTTTTAGATATTGCATAATAGTTAGCGTATTTCTGAGGAAATGGGATTTTGTTTCTTGTTTTATCTTGTACAATTTCCTTACTTGAAAAAGCCTTCAAAAATCTTTTCATTTTAACTACTTACAAAAATTACAATCACCTATAATCTTTGCCCCTGTTCTTCTCATAAGGTTAAGTTCAGTTCAAACTATTTATATAAGCCAAGTCAGTATTTCATTGTCCAGCTTTTGCCTATAAAATCGACCTGTGTGAGTCCCTTTTGTAATGCATGTCAGAAGAAAAATACTATGCCCAAGTTGTTACTTTCAATAAGCACACTGTTTAAAAAACATCTTCATTTTGCTTTGCAAAACTTCAGTTTGTATTTAAGGTATTTCTATTTGAAGGAAGAATTACCATATTAACATGTACTTATTTGAGCCTAAAACTCCCTTGAGTATTGTCTATCCCTCTACCCTCCACATCTTGGTAAAGCCATTGCCTGGACTGTGCAATGGACACCAAGAGGATTGATTGCCGTAGATGTTGCCTACTCCCTTCTCTTTCTACCCTTACCCCCAAGCCCTCCCTCACCCCCACCCACTGCTGCCAGATTTTTTTTTTTTTTTTTTGAGATGGAGTTTTGCCATTGCCCAGGATGAAGTGCAGTGGCACCATCTCGGCTCACTGCAACCTTTGTCTCCCAGGTTCAAGCGATTCTCCTGCCTCACCCTCCCGAATAGCTGGGATTACAGGCCCGCTACCAAAATTACCAATTACCTGGCTAATTTTGTATTTTTAGTGGGGATGGGGTTTCACCATTTTGACCAGGCCGGTCTCAAACTCCTGATCTCAAATAATCCAACTGCCTCAGCCTCCCAAAGTGCTGGGATCACAGGCATTTGCCACTGCACTTGGCCAATCTTGAACCCAGTTCAAACCTTCTCATTGCTGTGGAGTTTTAAGACTCCTGATTCTTTTACCTCCCCTGCTGACACACACACATACACACACACTGCCTAAAGGATGGAGTAAAAACTTCTTAGCATGGCACAAAATGTACTTTTCGCCACATTTCCTATCACTACCTCAGAGACAAGTCTACGCTCAAACTGATCTGCTTATTCTTCCCCAAATACAGCTGGCATTTTCGTATCATGTCTTTATCTGTTTACATTTCCTGAAAGGTCCTTTTTAATTTATGCATAGCTTTCTCTCTGAAAGTTTCACAACCACCAGGAGGCAGTATAGTGTGCCCTTTCCTATCATCTCTAATTGCATTTGCTGATACATGATTGCATTGGTCATAGATGTTTTTATATCAAAACATTTGTTGCATCTCCCTGATGAGATGGTTCTGGAAAGACTTCCTATTCTAGTGATGACAGGTTGGGCCATGAGATCTGCTTCATCTAACAAAATGAAACTGGCATGGGCACTTAACACTTCCAATCAGAAGATCTGGCAGAAGGCAAAGGTATTTTTCTAGTTCTCAATTTCCCCATCAGTAACATAGGACAAATAATAAAATAAAACTGAAGGGCTTGACATAGTTCTTAGAATGTTGTAGATGCTTAGTAAGCTTTTAAGTATTTTGTTAACTTGTAAGAATAATCATTTTCCAAGTTTATTAGAACACAAAAGAATAAGAGCATTATATTCAAAGATTAAGTAGAGTAATAATTCTGTGTGACTATTATTTTCAAAGCAAATTTAGTGCTTCTAATAATTTTTAGTTAGGTGATCTCATCAGACTTTATAGGAAAATTGGCAGGAAGAATAGTGGACTGGATCTCTAATAAAATAAATTCTGTAAAATAGCAGCACAGAAAAATTGAATTCTTCCCTAACACTGCACTTGTATTCTATATGTGAGGATATATGAGATGGGCCATCCTTGAGAGACAACACAATCTGGTTGGCATTTACCTTTACATTAGTTAGTGATATTCATTCACTAAATGCTAACTTTTAAGGTTGAAAAAGGAGACCAAGCCAAGTTGATCAGCTCTGAAATCCACTATTCAAAATAATTTTCAGCTTTAAGACTGGCAGTGTGTTCACATAATGATTTCATGTGCATTCAACATCTTCCAGAGAGCATGCATTATCTAATCTTCGTAGAGCCAAACAATGATGAAAAGGAGATAAAAAAACATAAACTTCTTTGGCTCTATAATAGAATTCATCACCTGAACCAAGGTCATGCTAAGCAAGAACAATCCTTGTCCAGAAAACAATAAAGCCAACTTATGAAAAATGTTCTTGAGTTCCAGCATACGATGAACTGTAAATCACTATTTATGAAGTATCCAATTTACACTGGTATTCTATATGATGGTCATAGTCAATAATAAATAAAATAGTTTGAGAAAACTCATTTAAGTTTTTAGCACTAAGACACATAATTCCTATTTTAAAATGGAAGAGTCATTGATGGAGTTTTTATATATGTAACTCATTTACAAGATGCATATACATATTTTTGTTTTGTCATATAATAAATTGAAATTTCATGCCATCAAACGTGTTTAGAACTGATTGGAACCTGGATTCAAAAATTTTGGGTGAAATTAGTTTTTCTCCAAATAGAATGAAAATGCTTACTGGTTATAACAATAAATTTACTGAAAAATCTATTAATCTATACTCCAAATTCAATAGAGCATACTGCAATTACAAAAATATTCCCTTTCATTCTTCCTATATACAGAACCAACAAATAGTATTTTATTTGTGCATATTTTTTATCTTCACTGTTCTTGACTGAAAGACTAAGGACAAGGATTAATGCAGAAGTATTTCTGTTATCTTGAAAGGATATGGGTGGAAAAATTAAGCGATCTGAGCCGAATAGTTTAGGAGAGAAAATGAGATTGTGGTGGTTGTGTCTGTGACAAGAGAACCCTCTTAATGATAATACTCTGAGATTTACTTAGAGAATGCCACTAGAATAGGATTACCCTGGATGGGATAACACACATTACATCATTAGCATTCACTCTCTGCCCTCTGGTGGTAGATATTACCAGCTGACTAGGATGGGATTAAGGTTCTAAATCAATCAGCAATATTGATGATGTATAATGTTTCTGTCACAGTGTTTATTAAAATGAATGTATATCAATATTAAAATATTTCATTTTCTTTTAGTGATACTTTAATTTTGCAACTGCATTATTCAAACCACTAGCATAAAATTGCCTGGTTGGAAATAAACCAGGAGATCTAATTACAGCCCCCAGATGCAGAAACAGTCTTCGACTTCCTAGTAATCTGTTCACTGTAATCAGGTGGCTTTGTTGTGCTTATCTAGAAATACAAAGAATTTGAGAAAATCAGTACATTACATAATTGCTGCATTTATCTACATTTATCTGTTGTATTCTGAACTACTTAATGCTGGACAATTCTGCTTTGAGACATTAATTTTTCAGACATTGCGTTTGTTCAAGCATTAATTCAATGTCTACACTGCTTTGTGTACCACACATATAATTAGTAGCACTTTGCCAACCCCCTTTAACAAGGAAGGCCTCTTATGAGAGCTTTGTGAAGCTTCTCATGTGATATCATTAGAGGATGGATCAGAACTGTATTTTACAAACTCCTGTCAAAAAACACCTTTCTTACTGTTTTGTTGATGAGCGAAATGCCACATTGTAGATTAATTTCCCTGATTTATCCCCAACATTTTGGTGGGTATATATCTATCTATATATATATGCATATGGTTGGGAAGAATGTGAACAAAATCACACATTTTCTTTTTCTCGTGTTCTTTTGCTGTCATCCTCCTTTTGCCTTGTCCCCCAAAACAACGTATGATTCCCTTTGTACACACAATCTGTGCATGAAATGACTCCTCTTTACAATAGACAGGACAGCCTAAGGGCTGTGAATGTCTGTGGAGTTTTCTGCAGCCAGAGGCTAAAGAAGCAGCATCTCAATGGGGCATAGAATAACTAATGATGCTTGGAATATATCAAACACAGATACAATTAATATCAGATTTATTGATTTTTACTACTAATAAAGATTTCTAGCTTAAAGTTGGTGATTTTATTTATTCTTCTTAGTTCTTTTGTATTTCTGATCAAGCGCTTTAGTGCTAGTGGTTTGAATAATATAATTGCAAACAGGAGAATACAGGCATATAATCAAAGATGTAATACAGAGATTTAAGTGTATGAAAGTACAAATGGAATGTCTCTATCTCAGAATGGAAGAGTTTAGAAAGGTTCCAAAAAGGTAATATTTGTTTTGAAGTGCAGAGATGAGAGATTATTTCACTAAGAGTAAAGGTATGTTCAAATTGGCTATCCTGTTTCTATTCACTTGGTTTTAGTCAGGCAAAACCAGGATAGGGTAGAGTATGCTGTGCTAACAAAGAACTCCAAAATCTCACCTTAACATAGCAACGATTTCTTTCTCAGCACACGTCCATTCTGTGTCTGTTAATCACAGTTACCCAGGTAGAAG
Organism: Homo sapiens; assembly: GCF_000001405.40. Lineage (NCBI taxonomy): Eukaryota > Metazoa > Chordata > Mammalia > Primates > Hominidae > Homo > Homo sapiens. The sequence continues at coordinate 211,032,496 of NC_000002.12, read as the reverse complement.
GAGGGGCCTCCTCTTCTATCATTGTCAATGCCAGGATAAGAGAAATCCATGAAGGATCCCACTCCAGCAATTACATGCTCCGGCCTAGAAGCATCATAAAAAAGTTCTGTTCAAAACAGTTTGGCCAAAATTACTTGATGCCTAGGAAATACAGTCCTTTCACATGCCTGGCGGGGAACAACCTAGAGATAGTTGATAAACAATATTAATGACTACCAGACATGCTTTCTCCAAAAGTACCTCCCTATTGTGGAAGACAATGGCTATGGTTTGCTGCATTTACTAGAATCCTTTAGCACACTGTATTTTTCTACATCCTTTTCTTTGTTTTCTTCTAATTTATCTAATTTGCCACTGAGTTCATGTTCTTTCTTCAATTCCTTTGTATTTCTATTACCACCTGCTTTCAAGCAGCTAACATTTTTACAGGAGAATATGTGCATATAGGCAAAAATATAATTGCAGAGATTTAAGTGCATAAAAGTAAAAATGAAACGTCTCTATCTCAGAATGGTGGAGTTTAAAAAGCTTCCAAAAAGGTAATATTTGCATTGAAGCGTGGAGATGAGAGATTTCATTAAGAATAAAAGCATGCTCAATGCAAAGAGACATGATTAATGCACAGACATGCTAATTGTTTAACATAGCCACCTAAAATTCAGATTCTAGGGAAGTCTCTGGTTGATCTGTCTTACGTCATGTGTTCATGGCTTGGCTAAGAAAAAAAAGAACATTGTGATTGACAGCAACATCAATATTATTGCAATTATGAAGGATGCCTATCTGAGAAAGATAGAATGAAGAATGAGAAGTAATGCTGGAACAGAAAAAAATAAAATAAAATATAGTTTTAAGTAAAGTCATACCAAAATGACTAAGGTTTTGTATGTCATATCAGTTGTCTGGCTTTAATTGTCAAAATGATGTAGAACCAACTAAAGGAATTTAAGAATTGAGTGACAGGTGCAGACTGCAGTTTAGAAAAATCTCTCTTTCTCCCACAGTATCATAGAGGATGGACTCATTAGAACTTGAAGCAGGGACCTCTTAGGGAGCTATTGCTATAATTTAGTTGAAATATGAGGAAGCCACAATAAAAATCAGCAGTCGAGGTTAAGACAAGGAGAGCAGCACTCCCAGATATGTAGAGAACATATAATAAAGCAGTGTGTAGGGATCAATAGGGTGATAGATGTGAGTACAAAGGAGAAATAAATGCAAGCTGACTTAGGAGTCCTGCCTTTGGTGGATGGTGGTGCCAGTGATTAGGGGGCAGAGGAAGGGAAAGCAGGTTTCCATGAAATGGTGAAGGTGGCAATGAGCTCAGTCCTCAGTCACCCAGAGCTCTCTCCACTATCTTTGTGTCCTGAAGAGCAATATTTCAAAAAGCAAAACCATTTTTTGATTAGAAATACCTGACAAACCGAATGCCACCCAGGGTCATATCATTCCTAGGAGTGAGGTCATCATTGCATATTTAATTTGAGTTAAATCAGTTTTAAAAGAGTGTACAGTTAACACACATTGTAATATTTAACAGGGTATTTTCAAATAAATAACTGTTGGAAATAGTATAATATCACAAAATTATCAAATAATGATATATAAAATTGATAGATAAAAAGCGTATTTTTTAAAAACGGAAAAAAATATTTTTTTCATCCAAGCACCTACCATTAAAGGTAGAGCCATGGTTCAACTGCCACAGTATACACCAAGAGTACCTTCAGGCTCCTCTAGTTTCAAACATTTTATTTTTTCTCTTAACTAATTTCCGTAAGTTATCATAAATCCCAAGCTACATGGGTGTCCTAGATTTCATAACCAATTTCCACCTTTCTATTTTACTTGTTTGGCCCAACACTATGAAACTGCATTTAACTCTGTCTGTGCTGAGAGTCACTATATAGCATTTTACATTTCCTTCCTATATGCCATGTCCATATAGCTAATTCTCATAGTCACTTTTAAATCCATTTTAAGGCACTGTAGGATATTCAGAAATAATCATTTTAACAAATTCAAATATAATTACACTTTGTTTTGAATTTAACTTTCAATTGTGATGATTTAAGCTGACCTAGAAAAAAATACAAATTTTTTATTCATTTATTTATTCATGCATGCTTCAGTTTGGGAAACATTAAGACCTGTATATGTGCAAGGCATTAGAAAATGAAAATATGAATAAGTAAAGATAAAGCATACATTTGAGTAACAGTAATATGAGATAAAATGTGAACTAACAACAATTTGAGAAAAAATAATAAATTCTGTTATGTTACTCCTCAAAAAGAGCAAATCACTTCTTCAACTGCTTACTGATAAGCACCATGCATTCAGATTGGTTTTTGATGTTGGAAGAAATAAAAGAACGGTAGAGGAAATGAGAAACTAACCAAGGTAATGCCTTTTAGGAAATAAATGTAAAATCTGAACAAATTATTTACATGAAAATGAGTATAACTTGAGTTTTTCTTTTTCAATTAAGCTTAATTTTTAATAACTTTGCACAGGAGAATGTTTTGAATTGAATTTTAAGATTAAAATTGAGAAAATATCAGATAAGTCATGCCTCTAAAACTGGTTATTATTTCACTCTTAGCAATTTTCTATACAATCCCATTTAATAGATGACAAGCACAATTTTGCCAGTTCTCTACTCAGGAAGTCAAGTCAATGTAAATTCCCAAAAGAGAAAAATAACAATAAATTCCATCTAGTCTTAATATGGAATATGCAAAAGTCTTTAGGGATCAAGGGAGCTTTGGTTAGATGGGATATAATTTAATCACATCACTCTGTATACCACAAATCATTTTTCATAAATTTTTATTTTAATGTAATTTCAAATTCATAGCAAAATTTCAAGAATATAAGGAACTTCCATATACACTTCCCCCACATTCACTAATTGTTTAGATGTTCTCCTATTTGTGTTCTCTCTCTCCAACAGATGCATAAACATATACACCTTCCCTCTCTAGATAGCTAGATGGATGAAAGTATACACACACACATGGACATAGCTTTTTTTAAATCCATTCAGAAAAGTTGGAAATACTGTAGCTCTTAATTCCTAAGAACTTCCATATATATTTTTCAAAACTAGATATTTTCTTAGTTAACCATAGCAAAATGATCAAAATCAGAATATTTACAATATAATATCTAATCCATACTCCATATTTGTTTTTAAATTATTCCAATAATGTCCTCTACTATTCTGTTTGCTGGTCAAGGATCCACTTCAGATTTTTTTGCATTTATTTGTCATGTTTCATTAGTTCTTTAATATGGAACATTTCCCCAGTCTTTGTCTTTCTGGACCTTGATATTTTTTAGGGGTACAGTGTAATTATCTCACTGATTGGCAGGCATGTCATAGAAGTGATGTTGTGTCCCTTTTGGTTCATTGTATCAGGAGGCAGATTCTATGAATTTGTCTGAATATTAATAACTCTCATCACTTGGTTAAAATGGCCTCTACCAGATTTCTGCCCAATATATTTTTATACATTCTTCTTCTTTTTTTGAAATGGAGTCTCACTCTGTCGCCCAGGCTGGAGTAGTACAGTGGCGCTATCTTGGCTCACTGCAACCTCTGCCTCCCAGGTTCAAGCCATTTTCCTGTCTCAGCCTCCTGAGTAGCTGGGATTACAGGCACGTGCCACCACGCCTGGCTAACTTCTGTATTTTTAGTCGAGATGGGGTTTCGCCATGTTGGTCAGGCTGGTCTCAAACTCCTGACCTTGTGATGCACCCGGCTCAGCCTCCCAAAGTGCTGGGATTACAGGCATGAGTCACCAAATATATATTAAGGTGATTTCCAGTGATGAGTTGTTGAAGATTGTTTCTGATTTCCAGACATTTTTAAAAACTTATTTTCACAAAAAATCTGCACATGTATGTTTACAGTGGCTTTATTCATAATTACCAAAACTTGGAAGCAATCAAGATGTTCTTCAGTAGCCGAATGGGTAAACTGTGAAATATCCAGACAATAAAATACTATTCAATGATAAAAAAGAAATGAACTATCAAGCCATGAAAAGACAAGGAGGAATCTTAAATACATATTACTAAGTGAAAGAAGTCAATCCGAAAAGGCTACATATTGTTTAACTATATGACATTCTGGAAAGGGCAAAACTGTGGAGACAATAAAAGAACAAGTGATTGACAGGAGTAGGGGATTGGGAGATGGAGGAATAGGAAGAGCACAAAGGATTTTTAGGGCAGTGAAAATATTCCCTATGGTGCTGTAAAGGTGTTTACATGCCACTATACATTTGCCTAAACCCATACAATGTACAACACCAAGAGTGAACTCTAACATAAACTATGGACTTTGGGCAGTTAGGATGTGATAACACAGATTCATCAGTTGTAACAAATGTACCCCTTTGGTGGGGGATGTTGTTAATGGGGAAGGTTATGCATGTGTTGGAGTAGTGGGTATATGGGAAATCATTGTACCTTTCTCTCAATTTTGCTTTGAACCTAAAACTATTATAAAAATACTCTTTAAAGTAAATATTCTTTACATTAAATAATCTACTGTTGTGACCTTAAGACACATTCTAACAATGAGACAAAGTAGTCAAAATTAGACCATTTCATGTAGCTCAATTCAATTACACAAATATTTATCTGTGGGAAATATTACCAAGTAAAAGACACCTTGAACAAGTTACAATTTAGTAGGGAGCCAATCAGGTTAATAGACATCTATTCTGCCTCATATAAGCATCAAGTACCTCAGGAAGTATCCAGACTAACTATAGATAATATACACATTATATAGATAATATATAATTATAGATAATAAAAAACATATATGTAATCAGGTTAGAACAAATTAAGTCATTCAAATATGGAGTATAGAAAGAAGGTGTTTTCTATTTTTCTTTTCTGTTGCCCATGCTGGAGTACAGTGGCACCAACATGGTTCACTGCAACCTTGACCTCCTGGGGTCAAGAAATCCTCCTGCGTCAGCTTCCTGAGTAGCTGGGAACCCAGGCGCATGGCATCATGCCTAGATAATTTAAAAAAAAATTTGTAGAGACAAGGTTGTTGCTGAGGCTGGTCTCAAACTCCTGGGCTCAAGCAATCCTCCGTCAGCCTTCCTAAGTGTTGGGATTACAGGCATGAGCCACTCACCATACCCGACCAGAAATTATTTTCAATATAATAAAATGCAAAAGCAGGAAAAATAAATGAGTAATTATGTAGAATATAGATTTTTTAAAAGTCTTGAAAATATTTAGGAAAGAGGCAATCCTGTTTCAGAAGCACATAAGTTATATGTTTAATAATAAATCTGGAAAGATAAGTTGGATAGAGATAGGTAGAGAACTTTGACTACTACAAGTAGAAATCTATACTTTTTTAAATCAAGTAATTGAAAACATTTGGACAGACCAGAACTATGATAAGTGTTGTAATTAGAGATAGGAATGGGCAGGTGGATAGAGAAAAATGGCAGATAGGAGGAAGGACTAAATTACAGCTCCCACTCAGTTGGACAGAGCAGTGTGTGGAGACTCACATTATGAGACTTTGCTCCAAGAACTACTGCAGGAACACACCAGGAAAGTCAAGAGAATCCACAGACCCTTTGAAGGAAGCAGATTGCTCCTGCGGGCCCCAGGAGACAGCCCCAAAACTGTGAGTGCCAAAAGTGTGAAAGTGTGAAACAGGGATTCTCCATCCCCAAACACACACCTTCACTGGGGGGACCTGAAGGTCCAGATCACAGGAGAAGGATTTGACCTTAACTGGAGCTGAGACAAATTTAGATAGCCAAGAAAAATACAGGGGTAGAAGAAGCAGTGGGAAGAGTCCTGTAGGCTCTCTCAGTCCCCAGGGAAGGCATTTCTGACTTTGTCTCACAGGGGTCCTTGAGGAGAGCTGCCAGAGGAACTTGGAAAAGACCACAGGGAGAAGGAAACTTCCAGCTGAACTTTGTAACAATTTCCACCTAACACGAAGTTTCCTGGACAAAACTCAGGGAAGGGAGGTGAATCCAGAGTGCAGACACAGCACAGAAGCCCCACAGCAGGTAGGGAGGCACAAAACCTGAAAGTCCTGCTTGCTTTCACAGCTGGGAAGCTGGTAGCCTGGGGCAAGTTCACAGCCCTGCTTATCTGCTGCCTGGAAACAAACTTAGTGCTGTTGGGGAGGGTGGGCACAAGTGGGAGTGAGACCAGACTTTTGGGCTGCATGGGAGCTTGGTGAGGCCTGTACCTGCCAGCTTTCCCCCACTTCGCTGGTGACCTGCATGACATAGCATAGGATGCTGTAGCCCATAATCCCCCAGGAATATAACTTCATTGGCCTGAGAACCACACCCCTAACCCCCATAGCAGCCACAGCAAGCCCCACTCAAGGAGAGTCTGAGCTAACACACACCCAACCCTGCCCTCACCTGATGGTCTTTCTCTATCCACCCTGGTAGCTAAAGACAAAGGACAAATTCTCTTGGGAGCTCTAGGGCCCTGCCCACTGATACTGCCACAGATGATGCTCTTTTGAAAGTGCCACCTCCTGGCAGGAGGCCAACCAGCACAAAACTAAACCAATAAACAAAATTACAACTAAGGATACTCATGTTGCAGGAAGTCAGGGACCCGAACAGAGGGACTGGCTGAAGCCATGGCAGAAGAACATAAAATTGTGAAGATTTCATGGACATTTATTAGTTCCCCAAATAAATACTTTTATAATTTGTTATGCCTGTCTTTACTACAATCTCTGAATATAAATTGTGAAGATTTCATGGACATTTATCACTTCCCCAGTCAATACTCTTGTGATTTCCTATGCCTGTCTTTAATCTCTTAATCCCGTCATCTTCGTAAGTTGAGGATGTATGTTGCCTCAGGACCCTGTGATGATTGCGTTAACTGCACAAATTGTTTGTAAAGCATGTGTGTTTAAACAATATGAAATCTGGGCAGCTTGAAAAAAGAACAGGATAACAGCAATGTTCAGGGAACAAGGGAGATAACCATTAGGTCTGGGTGCCTGAGATTCGAGCGGAACAAAGCCATATTTCTCTTCTTTCAAAAGCAAATAGGAGAAATATCGCTGAATTCTTTTTCTCAGCAAGGAACAGCCCTGAGTAAGACAATGCGTTCCTAGGGAGAGGTCTCTAAAATGGCTGCTCTAGGAATGTCTGTCTTTTACAGTTGTAGATAAGGGATGAAATAAGCCCCGGTCTCCCGTAGTGCTCCCAGGCCTATTAGGACGAGGAAATTCCCTCCTAGTAAATTTTAGTCAGACTGGTTGTCCGCTCTCAAACCCTGTCTCCTGATAAGATGTTATCAATGACAATGTGTGCCCGAAACTTCATTAGCAATTTTAATTTCACCCCAGTCCCGTGATCTCACCCTACCTCCATTTGCCTTGTAATATTTCATTACCTTGTGAAGCATATGATCTCTGTGACCCACACCCTATTTGTACACTCCCTCCACTTTGAAAATCACTAATAAAAACTTGCTGGTTTTGCGGCTTGGGGGGCATCACAGAACCTGCTGACATGTGATGCCTTCCCTGGATACCCAGCTTTAAAATTTCTCTCTTTTGTACTCTTTCCCTTTATTTCTCAGACTGGCCAACACTTAGGGAAATAGAAAAGAACCTACATGAAATAACATTGAATTATTGGGGGCAGGTTCCCCCGATATATTCACAGAGTCCATTTCACTCCCCTGCCACTTCCACCAGAGGAGGTGCTAGTATCCACAGCTGAGAGACCTGAAGACCTTTCATGTCACAGGACTCTGTGCAGATACCTTCCAGTACCAGCCTGGAGCACAGTAGCTCCTCTGGGTGGCTAGATCCATATGAGAAATAACAATTACTGCAGCTCAGCTCTCAAGAAGTCATATAACTAGGAAAAGGGAGAGAGCACTACATCAAAGGAACACCCCATGGGGCAGAAGTTTCTAATAGCAGCTCTTGAGCCCCAGATCTTCCCTCTGACAAAGACTACCCAAATGAGAAGGATCCAGAAAAACAATTCTAGCAATATGACAAAACAAGATTCTTTAACACCACCAAATGATCACACTAGCTCACCAGCAATGGATACAAAGAAGAAATCCTGAATTGCTGGAAAAAGAATTCAAAAGTTTAATTATCAAGTTAATCAAGGAGGCACCAGAGAAAGGTAAAGTCCAACTTAATGAAATAAAAAATAAAAATGATACGAAATATGAAAGAAAAATCTTCAATGAAATAGCATAAATAAAAGACAACCACAACTTCTGGAAAGGAAGAACTTACTTAGAGAAATGTAAAATGCACTTGAAAGTCTCAGCAATAGAATCAAATAAGTAGAAGAAATAATTGCAGAGTTTGAAGACAAAGCTTTCAAATTAACCCAATCCAAAAAGAAAAATAAAAAGAATTAAAAAAAAATTAACAAAGGCTCCAAGAAGTTTGGGATTATGTTAAACAACCATACCTAAGAATAATTGGTGTACCTGAGGAAGAAAATAAATCTAAAGTTTGGAAGACATACTTGAGGGAATAATTGACGAAAACTTCCCTGGCCTTGCTAGCGATCTAGACATCCAAATATAAGAAGCTCAAAGAACACCGGGGAAGTTCATTATAAAAAGATCGTTGCCTAGGTACATAGTCATCAGGTTATCTAAAGTCAAGATGAAGGAAATAATCTTAAGAACTGTGAGGCAACAGCACCAGGTAACCTATAAAGGAAAACCCATCAAATTAAACAGGAGATTTCTCAGCGGAAACACTGCAAGCTAGATGGGATTGGGGCCTTATCTTCAGCCTCTTTAAAGAAAACAATTATCAGCCAAGAATTTTGTTTCCAGCAAAACTAAGCTTCATAAATAAAAGAAAGATACAGTCTTTTACAGATAAACAAATGGTGAGATAATTTGCCACTAACAAGCTAGCACTACAAGAACTGCTAAAAGAGGCTCTAAATCTTGAAACAAATCCTCAAAACACACCAAAACAGAACCTCCTTAGAGCATAAATTCACAAGACCTATAAAACAAAAACATAATAAATAATGCTTTAAAATAAGGTATTCAGACAACAAATAGCACGAAGAATAAAATAGTACATCATATCCCAATAATAACATTGAATGTAAATGGCCTAAGTACTCCACTTAAAAGATACAGAATAGTAGAATGGATAAGAATTCATTAACCAAGTATCTGCTGTCTTCAAGAGACTCACCTAACATATAAGGAATCACAAAAACTTAAGGTAAAGGGGTGGAAAAATACATTTCATGAAAATGGACACCAAAACTGAGCAGCATTGGCTATTCTTATATCAGACAAAACAAACCTTAAAGCAACAGCACTTAAAGACAAGGATGAACATTATATTGTGATAAAAATTGTCCAACAGGAAAATATTACAATCCTAAATATATATGCACCTAACAATGAAGCTCCCAAATTTATAAACAATTACTACTACAACTAAGAAATGAGATGGACAGTAACACAATAATAGTGAAGGACTACAATACTCTACTGACAGCACTAGATAGCTAATCAAGACAGAAAGTCAACAAATAAACAAACTATACCCTAGAACAAATGGACTTAACAGATATTTACAGAACATTCTACCCAACAACTGCAGAATATACATTTTGTTCATCAGCACATGGAACATTCTCCCAGGTAGACCATATGATAGGCCACACAACAAGTCTCAATACAGTTTTAAAAACTGAAATTATATCAAGTATTATCAGTGGAATAAAATTGGAAAGAAACTCCAAAAGAAACCCTCAAAACCATGAAAATTAAATAACCTGCTCCTGAATTATCACTGGGTCAACAATGAAATCAAGACGGAAATTTAAAAAAACTTTGAACTGAATGATAATACTGACACAACCTATCAAAACCTCTGGGATACATCAAATGCAGTGCTAAGAGGAAAGTTCACAGCCTTGAATGACTACATCAAAAAGTTTGAAAGAGCACAAATAGACAATGTAAGGTCACACCTCAGGGAACTAGAGAAACAAATCAAACCCAAACCCAGCAGAAGAAAAGAAATAACAAAGATCAGAATAGAACTAAGTGAAATTGAAACAAACAAAAAATACAGAATATAAATAAAATAGAAAGGTGACTTTTTGAAAAGATAGATAAAATTGATAGACCATTAGCAAGATTAACCAAGAGAAGAGAGAAGGTCCAAATAATCTCAATTAGAAACAAAATGGGAGATATTACAACTGATACCATAGAAATACAAAAGATCATTCAATGCTACTATGAACACCTTTACACACATAAACTAGAAAACCTAGAGGAGATGGATAAATTCCTGAAAATATACAATCTTCCAATAACAAGCAGTGAGACTGAAATGGCAATTTAAAAAATGCCAACAAAAAAAAGTCCAGGACCAAATGGATTCACAGCTAAATTCTATCAGACATTCAAAGAAGAATTGGTACCAATCCTATTGACACTATTCCAAAAGATAAAGAAAGAAGAAATCCCCTCTAAATTAGTCTATGAAGCCAGTATTACCCTAATACACAAACCAGGAAAGGACACAGCAACAACAACAACAAACAAAAAAACAACAACAACAACAACAAAAAAAACAAACAAAAAAACCACCATACACCAATATCCCTGATAAATATAGATGCAAAAATTCTCAACAAAATACTAGCTAACTAAATCCAACAGTATATCAAAAAGATATTCCATTATGATTAAGTCAGTTTCATACCAGGGATTCAGGGATGGTTTAACATCTGCAAGTCAAACAGAATTAAAAACAAAAATCACGGCCAGGCGTGGTGGCTTATGCCTGTAATCCCAACACTTTGGGAGGCTGAGGTGGGCAGATCACAAGGTCAAGAGAATGAGACCATCCTGGCCAACATGGCGAAACCTCATCTCAACTAAAAATACAAAATTTAACTGGGCATGGTGGCACACACCTGTAGTCCCAGTTACTCGGGAGGCTGAGGCAGGAGAATCGCTTGAACCCGGGAGGTGGAGGTTGCAGTTAGCCGAGATGACACCACTGCACTCCAGCCTGGTGACAGAGCAAGACTCCATCTCAAACAAAACAAAACAAAACAGAACAAAAATCATGTGATCATCTCAATAGATGCAGGAAAAGCATTTGACAAAATCCAGCATCCCTTTATGATTAAAACCCTTAGTCAACTTGGCATTAAGGGACATACCTTAATTTAATAAAAGCCATCTATGACAAAACCACAGCCAACATAATATTGAATGGGGAAAAGTTGAAAGCATTCACCCTGAGAACTTGAACAAGACAAGGATGCCCATTCTCACCACTTCTATTCAACATAGTACTAAAAGTCCTAGGCAGAGCCATCAGACAAGAGAAAGAAATAAAGGGCATCCAATTCAGTAACAAGAACGTCAAACTGTCACTGTTTGCTGTTGATACAATTATATACCTAGAAAACCTAGAAAACACTCATCCGAAAAGCTCCAAGAGCTGATAATTCAGCAAAATTTCAGGATACAAAATTAATGTACAGAAATCAGTAGCTCTGTTATACACCAAACAGCAACAAAGATGAGAATCAAATCAAGAACCCAACCCCTTATAATAGCTGCAAAAAAGTAAAATACTTAGGAATATACTTAACAAAAGAGGTGAAAGACTGCTACAAGGAAAACTACAAAACATGGCTGAAATAAACTATAGATGACACAAACAAATGGAAATACATTCCATGCTCATGGAGGGGTAGAATCAGTATTGTGACAATGACGATACTGCCAAAAGCAATCTACAAATTCCATGCAATATCCATCAAAATACCACCATCATTCTTCACAGAACTAGAAAAAACAATCCTAAAAGTCATATGGAACCAAAAAAGGGCCTGAATAGCCAAAGTAAGACAAAGCGAAAAGAACAAATCTAGAGGCACCACATTACCTGACTTGAAACCGTACTATAAGGCCATAGTCACCAAAACGGCATGGTACTGGTATAAAACTAGGCACATATACCAATGGAACAGAATAGAGAACCCAGAAATAAAGCCAAATACTTACAGCCAACTGATCTTTGACAAAGCAAACAAAAACAAAATGAGGAAAGGACACCCTGTTCAACAAATAGTGCTGAGATAACTGGCAAGCCACATGTAGAAGAATGAAACCAGATTCTCACCTCTCACCTCATACAAAAATCAACTCATGATTGATCAAGGACTTAAATCTAAGACCTGAAACAATAGACATTCTAGAAGATAACATCAGAGAAATCCTTTTAGTCATTGGCTTAGGCCAAGACTTCTTGATCAAGAACCCAAAAGCAAATGTAACAAAAACAAAAATAAATACATGGGACTTAAGCTAAAAAGCTTCTACATAGAAAAAGAAACAATCAGCAGAGTAAACAAACAATCTACAGAGTGGGAGAAAATCCTTACAATCTATACATCTGACAAATGACTAATATCCAGAGTCTACAAGGAACTCAAATAAATAAGAAAAAAAAATCTCATCAAAAAGTGGGCGAAATAGACTGTTCTCAAAAGAAGATATGCAAATGGCAAACAAACATATGAAAAATGCTCAATATCACTAGGAAATGCAAATCAAAACAATAATGTGATACTACCTTATTCCTGCAAGAATGGCCATAATCAAAAAAATAAAAAAATAATAGAGTCGATGGGGGTGTGGAGAAAAGGGAGCACTTTTACACTGCTGGTGGGAATGTAAACTAGTACAACCACTATGGGAAACAGTGTGGAAATTCCTTAAAGAACGAAATGTAGAACTACCATTTGAATCAGCAATCCCACTACTGGGTTTCTACCCAAAGGAAAAGAAGCCATTACACAAAAAGATACTTGCACACACATGTTTATGGTGGCACAATTTGCAATTGCAAAATATGGAACTAGCCCAAATGCCCATAAATCAATGAGTGGATAAACAAATTGATATACACACACACACACACACACACACACACACACACACACACACACACCCCCACCATGGAATGCTACTCAGCCATAAAAAGGAACAAAATAATGGCATTTGCAGCGACCTGGTATGAATTGGTAGACCATTATTCTAAGTGAAGTAACTCAAGAATGGAAAACCAAACATTGTATATTCTCACTCATAAGTGGGAGCTAAGCTATGAGGACACAAAGGCATAAGAATGATACAATGAACTTTGGGGACTTGGGATGAAAGACTACAAATTGGGTATACTGTATACTCCTTGGTTGATGGGTACACCAAAATCTCAGAAATCACCACTAAAGAAATTATTCATGTAACCAAACACCTCCTGTTCCCCCCAAACTATGAAAATGAAAAATCAAAACAACAACAACAACTCAAACTATACTATAGGGCACAGTAACCAAAACAGCATTGTACTAGTATAAAAACAGACACATAGACCAACGGAAAAGAATAGAGAACCCAGAAATAAGGCCACACACCTACAACTATCTGATCTTGGACATACCTGACAAAAAACAAGCAATGGGGAAAGGATTCTCTATTTGATAAATGGTGCTGGGATAACTGGCTACCCATATGCAGAAGATTGAAACTGGACCCCTTCATTGCACCACATATAAAAATCAACTCAAGATGGATCAAGGATTTAATGTAAAACCCAAAACTATAAAAACCCTGGAAGATGTTCTAGGCAGTAGCATTCAGGACATAAGAATGGGCAAAAATTTCACGATGAAGACACCAAAAGCAGTTGCAACAAAAGCAAAAATAGACAAATGGGATCTAATTGAACTAAAGAGTTTCTGCAAAGCAAAGGCCTATCAACAGAGTGAACAGAACCTACAGAATGGGAAAAATTTTTGCAAACTATGCATCTGGTAGGGGTTCAATATCTAGCATCTATAAATAACTTAAATTTACAAGATAAAAACAAACAACCCCATTAAAAAGTGGGCCAAGGATATGAAAAGACACTTCTCAAAAGACCTACATGCAGCCAGCAAACATGAAAACAAGCTCAACATCACTGGTCGTTAGAGAAATGCAAATCAAAATCACAGTGAGATACCATCTCACACCAATCATAATGGCTATTATCAAAATGTCAAAAAATAACATGCTGGCGAGGTTGGAGAGACAAAGGAACTCTTGCACAATGTTGGTGGGAGTGTAAATTATCTCAACCACCATGGAAGACAGGGTGGCAATTCCTCAAAGATCTAAAAGCAGAAATACCATTCCACCCAGCAATCCATTACTCAAAGGAATATAAATTGTTGCATTATAGAGATGCATGAATGTATATGTTCATTGCAGCACTGTTCACAATAGGAAAGACATGGAATCAACCTAAATGCCCACCAGTGATAGATTACATAAAGAAAATGCGGTACATATACACTATGGAATACCATGCAGCTATAAAAGTAAATGAGATCATGTCCTTTGCAGGAACATGGATGAAGGTGGAAACCATTATCTTCAGCAAAGTAAGGCTAGAACAATAAAACAAATATGACATGTTCTCTCTTTTAAATGGGAGCTAAATGATGAGAACACATGGACACATGGAAACAACACACACCTGGGCCTATCGTAGGGTGGAGGAAAGGACAAGGGACAAGATGAGGAAAAATAACTAGTGGGTACTAGGCTTAATACCCAAGTGATGAAATAAGCTGTACAACAAACCCCCATGTCCTAAGTTTACCTATATAACAAACTTGCACATATACCCATGAACTTGAAAGTTAAAAAATAGGAATGGATTTAGAAGATTCAGTGTAGAGAGCAATTAGTGTGGTAAAATACAAGCCCACGTGACATATAATAAAAGTCATTACTATGGTGGTAGCAGTGATAATGATACATTTCATATCTATCATGGAAGTAGACAATTGAGAAAGGATAAGAGTGTATGTGGTTGCAGCAGACATTATGGTGCTCATCCATATTCCATTTATGTGACCAGTACACACATCCATCAGCTACCATGAGCATTATCCCCTAAAGGCTCAAAGCTGCCTCATGTCACAGGAAATGTGCCTTCCACTGAATTGAGTGAACTAGCATGGGAAGTTACCCACCCCATCTTTAAAGGTGCCTATAGTCAGTTAATAGTTAATAAGGCACAAATGACCAGTCTTGTGTTAAAGGGAAAACAATTCTATGGTTTAGTTTATGCTCCAAAACCATATCCCTTCCTCCTCTTTACCTAGTATCACATTCTTACTACACTCCTTTCCCTTCTCTCACATCTTTACAGGTATTTCCTGACAAGCTCTCCTCCAGTAAGTCACAATATCAAATTCCTGGCTCAGCCTTTGCTTCTCAGAAGTCCAATCCAATACAGCAGGTATGTGTTGTTTGGGGGTTGAGGGGCTGATATCTTGGGCATGAGACATTCAAATAGTATCTGTTTTTAATAGGACTGTAAGGAAGATAAGCTAGTTTCAAAAGGAAAAACATTAGTTTAGTGAGGATATTTTGCTTTGGAAGTACCCATTTGACATTTAAAAATACTTGAGAAACAAAAGACCTAGATCTTGTAGGGGGGGATTAAAAATACAGAGAGGTGGTTAAAATCAACAAGCAGGGAGAGAGAAAAGAGCCAGAGGCAGAGAGAGGAAAAGAGGCAGAGGTAGGAGAGAGGAGAAAAGAGAGAGAGAGATCTCAAGAACAAGACTACAAAAAGAAAAGAGTAGGCCCATGGACCTACAATTTGGAAATGTCAAGATGAAGAGGAGCCCGTGGAGGTAATTCAGAAGAATCAGTCTCCACAGGCAGTGAGATTTTCAGAAAGGAACAACATCATATATCTTCAAGAGGAGTAGAAAAAAACTAAAAAAAAAAAAAAGGTTTTGGGCAAAGCAGAGGAGGTTGAGTTGGCTGATGGAGTTACTTCTGTGTGCTTGTGGAGAAAGAAACCAAGGCTTCATAGAATCGCATGCATTATTAAGATGTAAGGCAACCATAGTTAGTGATCACTTTCACCAGAAATATACTAGGTTGCACGGTTCAGAAAACGCTGCTGTGTCTCGAGAATTCTCAGTATAGGAGAACTTGAAGTTAAGCAGCATATGAGCTGTTGATAGAAATACTGGAAAGCTCATACTGATTCATTCTCTGGGGCTTCAGAGAAAAGCTTTCAGAATCATTTTGCTCCAAAGGGGTTGCCTTTCTGATTTATTTTTACCATTCTCATTCCCATAGTCTGCTCTTAATTTTCTTCTGTTTTTGACTGAACAAAACTGTCTTAGCTCAGGCTGCTAGAACTGAATACCATAAACTAAGTAGCTTATAAACAATAGAAATTTATTTTTCATAGTTCGAAAGGCTGGAAAGTTCTTGATCAAAGCACCGAATCAAAGCATATTTTCTCTGGGGCTTTTTTTAAAAAAGGGCACTAATGCCATTCATGAGGGCTCTGCCTTCATGACCCGATAACCTCTCAAAGGTCCCACCTGCAAATACCCTTATATTGAGGATTCAGTTTTAACACATAAATTTGAAGAGGTGGGGCGGGGGAAGCAAACATTTGGTCTATAGCAAGAACCAAAAAGAAGACACTGTAAAATCTCACCTTGTTAGTCATTTCCCATATCCTTCACGTATAAGAAATTCATACACTCTCATTTTTTCTTCGAACTCCCCAATACTCATAACTTAAGATTAACTGATCAAAAATGGTCCATTTTAAAGTAATCTATAACGCGAACTTGAAACATTAAAATATAGTAATAAAATAATATTAAAGCATTAGTCCCTCTTAACCAGTGTATTTTCAAAAAGGTCAAAGCAGAGACAGTAACATGTTAAATTATCAGCAACACAAAGGATTTCCCAGATGGACACTTATGAAAAATATCCAAAACATTTGCATATGGTATATAAGTAAATTAATTTGCCTCAACATTCTATTTTTAAATGCACACTCTCCTTTGTCTCTTCTCTAACATTAATAGATTTACCCTATCTATGACCCAGGATTTTTACAGCATCAGTATAGCTTTTAAATAAGGTTAAACACATTTCAAACTGCCCAAGCCTTCAGCAAAACCATTTTTTTTGTTGTTGTTGTTTTAATAATTGTGGTAGTAATATAAGCAAAATCCCATCTTCATTTTTTAAGAGTAAATGGTGAAGTACCAGAGTGCACTGAAGTGGCAGGTGCCATAACAGGACCTTACTTAGACCAGGATTTCACTACATATTTCTACTGAGAAGGCATAATAGAGAAAAAATACAATGTGAATCTGAATACCTGGGTTTGTTCACCTTTAAAAACTGATAGTTATAGATAAAAAAATAAACTTCTCTTTCACTCTATAAACAAGAGCACAGTTTTACTCCCCCAGGATCAATATTAATCACGCTGTATAACTAACCCAGAGCCCTTGGTAACAAGGAGGAGATAGTGAATTCAATTTTATTTTTGTGACAGAGGTGCAAATAAATACGTTCTGAAGAAAAAATTTTTTAAAGGATCTAATTTTTAGGCAATACTATGATGGGAACTCATTTATAAACATCACTTTCAATATTTATACACAGGTATTGCATGGGTCTAGTTAACGTTAAAATGTTATACTTATCATGGTCAAATATAACTTCTCACTCTTGAGAGTTATCACTCTATCTGGCATATTATTCCAAAACATGTTTCCATTGCCTTAGTGTGTGTGGGAGAATATCTGAGTTTTGGAAGGTTAAAGGGCTGCAAGATTTCTTCGTGAAAACAGCAAGGTCACATGTAATTGGCAGACACAGTAGACAGAACAATAGGGAAGTGGTGGAGGTGGAAGGAAATAAAATGCAATTTAATAAGACAAGTCCAGTTCGAGGAGAACACAGGGTGAGTGCCAAATTGATTTTACAAAAGAGCATAGGTCAGCTCCCAGTGCACACTTTTAGTACAATGGACTCAGTGTTTATTGTTTTCCTTTCCACGTGGAATGTAGGAAGACACACTCAAACTGTGTGAGCTTGCAGGAGAGTATCAGCCACACAACGTCAGCCAGCAAACTTTGAGCACTGTATGACTTGCAGAATTTCCCTTCAGTTTGATGTTTAATAGGTACATTCAAATTTTATTCCTCTTTAATACAAATTGTACTTAAACTTACATTTACCTAATGAGTCTCCTTTCTTCAAGATACAAATAAAAATTGAGAATAAATCATCTCCTGGCCTCACTGTCCTCAAAGCAGTAAATCACAAACCTTTTCAGTTTTTCTTCTAGACCCTAAGGGTCCACATCCATTTACAGTTTTAATCTCCTTTGGTGTCACCACTTGGTCATTTAAAAGCTCTTACCTTTTACTTTGGTTCAAAAGGCTCAACTGGTTTCAACTGTCTCCTATCCAGGTATCTCCTCTGTGAGGTCCTCTAAAATCGCATTAAAACTAACTTTTGTGTTTTTTTTTTTTTGCATTTACAGATTATAGGGGATGATTGGCAAAAATTAAAGCGTTATACGTTTTAGTATTTCCTGTTGTGTTTCAGATACTGGTCCTGGATTTTTTAGGAGGCAATTATTTGCCTTGTGAATGAGTGTCGGGGTAGGGATGAGGAATGGGAAAATCTATTGCGGGGAAAACAGATCAGCTGAAAGCAATTGTGCAAAAGGTTCGCCACAGCATACCGGACCAAGAGCAATGGTAATCACCTGCTTGAAGTTGCTTCAGCACCGTCCATATTACCTTTAATGCTAGCCTAAAGTAGAGCCCTTACTAACTTGTCTAGAAATGTAGAAGCATAGAATTTTAGAACCAGAGTGAATACAATGATATTGAGATAAGGAGGTTCATAAAATCTCAATAACAAGATTCATAATGAGATATTAACAATATAATGAAATTCATAGAAAATTAGAGAAAGCAGAAGAAATTTCTAGGGAAGAGAAAGATATTGCTTACTCTTAAAATACTGGCATCATTTATGAATATTTTGAAAAATAAGCCAGTCAAATTTGGTTTAGAAAATGTCATCTTGTTTTGCATGAAGAACTCGTTTTCTGTGTTCCAGAGCTTTATATAAATTTATCATTTATATGACATAAACACAAATAATGGCCACAACACAACTAAGCATATTGATTTTTTTAATATTGACCCTGCTCTGTTTTTTGGAAAGATCCCCTGAATTAAGGTTATCAGATGTATTCAATCTGAATGATAATCTAGGTTGAATTCATATCCCATGCAAATCCCTGCCCCACATGTGTACCTTATCACATCAAAATGAAAAGAGAAATAATGTTCATTCTGCTCTATTCACTAAGACAAGAAAGTAGATGTATGAATTTTGTGAAGATTGTCAACAATAAGGAATAAAAGAAGTTTCTGATTTATTCTGATTTAACTAGAAAATAAGCTTAATCAGAGCACCTGTTCCACAAGCAGGCTAGTTAATTCATGTTTTACTTGATTACCTGAGATTTCAGTAGTTACTCAGTGGATAGAAGAGATACTAAAGACAGGTAATTCTAGAAGGAAAGCAAAGCTTGCAGATTAGATACTTGTTTCAAAGAGAAATATAAAAATAAATGAGTTCGCCTTTGAATTTTACAATATTTTGTTTTTGTTACACAATAAATCTATTTTTTATCTTGTAAAACTATACAAAGCCCCCCAAAATAGACAAATTGATTGCAAAGATCACTAATGACCAATAACCATGCTTTAATAAACTAAATGGAATTAGCTCACATACTTCTGTTCCCTAAAGCTACTTCTGACTATCCTGTTCTTAAAATCGGGTTCTTTGGCAATACACTAACTATATTAGTCCATTTTCACACTGCTATAAAGAAATACCTGAGACTGGGTGATTTATAAAGGAAAGAGGTTTAATTCACTTACAGTTCCACTGAGATGGTTGGGGAGGCCTCAGGAAACTTAAAATCATAGTGGAAACGGGAGGAAACACATCTCTCTTCACAAGGAAGCAAGAGAAAGAAATGCAAAGCAAAGGCGGAAGAGCCCCTTATAAAACTATCAGATCTCGTGAGAACTCACTCACTAGCACAAGAAGAGCATGGGGAACCACCCCCATGATCCAATCACTTCCCAAGAGGTTCCTCCCCCAAATTACAATCCCCAATTGTAATTGGGGATTACAATTCAAGAGGAGACTAGGGCGGAGACACAGAGCCAGATGATACCACTAATGTAAATTTCCTAAGTATGCAAGGTTGGCAATCTTTCACAGTAAGTATTTGATTTATCTATAACAGGGCCTAATCTCTTTATTGCCATTCTTACCATGTCAGTTCTAGAGTAAATCGTTTATTTCTGGATTATCAAAATGTCTTCTGTTTATTATGTTTATTCTTTCTCCAACTCCAGTTTCTCCTATATAAACTAAATATTTCCCAGGCTCCCTCTAGATCTCTCTGAATAAAGTCATTCACATCTGAAGAAGCACGGCTCATAGCAGAAATCACTTTAACAATCGTTTCAGTTTAGTATGTACTCCTTTTCTCTCTTTCCAAAATCTTGGATCCCAAAACTCTTCCTCCAATTTCTTTTCAGCATATAGCTACATTGCCCTATGTCTCTGAAATCTTTATTATGTTTATATCTCCAACATCTATTTAAGTTCCCTTTCTCTTCTGCTGTAGGAGTTTTCTATTGCTACCAAAACAAATTAACAAAAACTTCTTAGCTTATAATAACATGCATTTATTATCTTTCAGTTCTGTCAGTCAGATGTCCATGCTGAGCTCAATGGGTCCTTTGCTTGGGGTTTTAGAAAGATGAAATCAAGGTGTCAGCCAGATAGGCACTTACAGGTGTGCTCTGGAAGAAAATCCACTTCCAAACTTACTTAGCTGGCTGGTTAAATCCCATTTCTTGCTGTTGTAAGACTGAATTCTCTCGTTTTCTTGCTGGCTGTGAACCAGGGATCATTCTCAGTTTTAGGGGCTATTAGCATTCTTTGGATTGTGGTCCCTTTATCATCAAAGCCAACAAAGATAGACTCTTGCTTATGGAACAAGGGAAGGAAAATGTAAGCTCTCTGAATCATTTTCATGCTTTGAGTCCTTCTGAATTCTTCTGCTTCATCCACATGGCAGATTTCTTAGGCTTTTAAAGGCTCATGTAATTACATTCAGCCTGCGCTGGTAATCCATGGTAGTCTTCCTATATTGAGAGCACCTGATTACTAACACCTGCAATTACACCTGCAAAGTCCCTTTTGTATGCAACCTTATATAACCATGCACGTGTAACAGAATGCAAAGGTCATGAGAACCAAAAATCTGCCTCCCATATCTTCCATTGCTAGAAAATATCGCAAAAGAGGATTGAGTCAGCAAAGATAGTTTTTCCTTTTCTTTTTGTCTCTCTAGTTCTTTTTGTCTCTCTAGTTCTTTTTGTCTCTCTAGTTCTTTTTCTCTCTGCCCATTCTTTTAATTCTGATCACCAAACGCGTAGGGCCAGGACTGCTTAGAGAATGAGGAAAAGCAGATGTAAATTGGTAATTACATATTTCACCGTAGATGCTGGAGACATAGGAACCAAGAATCTCTTTTGTTAACATTCATATATTGTTCATTTTTTCACAATAATTATGCTAGCATTATTTTCCTGAACTATTTTTTTCTCTCCTTCTAACATTAGTGTTTTTCGATCATGACAATTACCTATTCATAAAGCTCTGCCTATGAATTAAAATCCAATCCAACTCTGTCTGCACCAGATTGTCAAGTGACCTTGTCTTCACTGAAAGTGACAAATTTATCTCTGTCATAATTTAAGACTCATGCATCAGGCAATATGGTATCCTTGTAGCAGCATAAGGCAGATAGGACATGGAAAGGAATCAAAACCTGGACAGAGACCCATCAGCAGAGCAAAACAGTAGTGAAAAAAAAAATCTCGTTAAATGGCATACAGGTAGCTTCATCATTATATATGGGACACAGTAGTAATCAATACGTGTTTAATAAATAAAACTGAGAAAAAGTATATTACTATAAATATTAGCCTGAAATTTTCACAGATAAGAAAAAACTCATCTGCAGGCCATGGAAAGTTTAGTAATAAATATTTGAGAGGCCAGGGTGAACAGCAAAAAGACAACAGAGTTTTGAGCCTAAGTCTCCAGATCTACCTTACCCAAATGACTTATTTTCTGCACATCTGACTTTTTTGACTTGCAAAATGAAAATAACTGCATTAGTCAGATGTCTATTGCAACGATGCATTTTAGGAAACAATGCAAAAATCTCAGTGGCTTTCTACAATAAGTGTACATTTCTCAGTCTGCAGGTCCTCTTGGGTAATATTCTTTCAGCTGCGGATTATGCTCAGGAGTGTTCTGTGTCTCATATTCTGAGATGATGTTTTGAGGGGCATCAACTAATGGGGTATTTTTTTTTTCTTATAGTGGACGACAGAAGCTCTTCAATGGGCCATTAGAAAAATGTGACATCTTTTAATTCCTAAGAACTGGTACACCAACATACACTTCGCCAGAGAAAGTCACATGGCAAACCCAGCATTCATGGAGTCCTAATGAATACTTCTCCCTTGGGGATTGAAGGAGAAAGTCATTAGTTGCTGAACAGTAATCTAATCACTACAAACACTGACCTTGAAAGTTTGTTAACAAAGACAGCCCTTACATTTAATCAAGTAAGTACAAAACATCAGTCTCCAATATGTTCCCTTTCTAAGGAATTTTCACAAATACTTGTAACAATATAATTTTTACTTTATGTGATGACTTTAGAGCCAATATAAAATCCAAGGCTAGTATACAGTTCCTATCCCATTCAGAACATCAAGTATATGTAACTTACCATCTTCATCACTAGCACTGTAGCTAAGTCTTCTATAATCTCCTTCTCAACATCCAAAAAAACCAGAAATTCTGTTGGCTCTACTTCCAGATTGTATCAAATTCACCTCCAACATAGGATATCCAAGCCCCTAATCTTTTGCCAAGCCCAGGCTACTGAAAGGGCCTTCTTCCTGGTCTACCACTTCCATCATTTTTCTCCTAAAAATCTTCTTAACACACCAACTGAGGATCACTTTTTAATAAAATCTCTTTTCACCTCAAGATACTCCAATGGGTCCCTATTTTAGTAGAATAAATTCCTTACAACGGCCTATAAAGCCTACGTCATAGGGCTAGCCTATGTCTAGCCCTAGGTCATCTCTCTGATTGTGTTTTCTGCTCTTTTCCACTCACTTGCTCTGCTCCAAACACACAGTATTCAGTTGTTCAGCTGCTCTTTGCATGTACCAGAGATGCTTCTCCTTTAAGAGACTTTGTGTCTCTTTCTAGTGGTTTGTTAACATTATTAGTGTTTTCAAAGAAAAAATAACTTTGTTTTAATCCTCTTTATTAATTTTTGCCTATTAATGTAACTTTCTTTACTTTATTTGATTCTATAAATTATTATTTCCTAACCTCTTATATGGATGCTTAGCTCACCTACTTTAATCTTTTCTTCCTTTCCAATTCACAAATAAGGCTATAAATTCTTTCTAAGAGCTACTTTGTTATATTCCATAATTTTGCTGAGAGGTATTTTCATTATCATTCAATTCTAAGGGTAATTACCATTGAGAATTTTTTCTTCAGCCTATTAGGTATTTAGAGGATTTTTTGTTTGTCTTTTTAGTATGAGGTATATAGTTTTAAAAATACCCTTTCTGGTATTGATTTCTAAATGAATAGCATCGTGCTCAGAGAATGTGTCCATATCATACGGGGTCATGAAAAATTTTTGAAACTTGATTTATAACTAGAATGTGATCAGTTTTTGAAATGTTCCATACGTGCTTGAAAAGTTGTTGGGTGGTAATGTTAGTTAGATGTCTTATTTGAATAAGCTTGTTATATGCATTGTTCAAATCTTCTAATTATAATTGATTTATTTTGTCTGCTTGATTTATCAATAAGAGAAATATATTAAAAATCTTTTTTTTGCAGTTTCTTCTTTTAACTTCTTCAATTTTACTTGATCTATTTAAAAACTATATTAGGGTCTTTCTAGTGCCTAGAATGCTACCTTGCACAGAGTAGAGGTTTGATACCTATTTGCTGAATGAATGCGTGAATGGTTATGGTTCCTCTGGATTTATTTTTGCCCTGTCTTTTTTTATGCAGAGAGAATGGTATTTGGTACTTAAGAGCTTATATTCTGAAGCCTGACTGCATGGCTTCAAATTTCACCTTTGATACTCAAAGTCCTATGATTCTGTGCAACTTTCTTAGTCTTTCTGTGTCTCGTTACTTCATTTGATAACAGGGATGACAGCAATACTCTCTCCCTAAGGTTGTTGTGAGGACTAAATAATTTAAAACACAGAAAGCATTTAGAACAGTATATTGCACACAGTAAGTATCATACAAGAACTCTTATTCCCCCTTTTCCACCCCTCATTAAATTAGAAGTTTTACTCTTTGTAGATATTATAAAATTTTAATTTACCTACTTAACTACACAAAGTCTAAAATTAAAGCCAAAGAATCATGAAACACTTGAGCTCTTATTACCATCTGTTGATATATCTGCAGTTTAGGCCAAGATTATACATTTAACATTTTTAACCTTAATTAGACATAATAGCTGATGATTTATACTGCTACTGCTTACTTATGTATGAACTTATTTTTGTTAATTTTAAAAATGCATCTTTCTCTCTTTTTCTTCTCTCTCCAAATTTTTTTTGAAAATCCTTTTAAATATTTTGTTCTTAAATTTTTTACTTGATGAATCTAAGTATAAGTTTCTTTTTAATGTTTTTATGGTTGGCTTTCATTGTGCCTCTTGAATGTGAAGATTCATGTCTTTCTCCTGCTCTGGAAAATTCTAAGTTATTATTCTAAATATTGCCCTTCTTTCTCTTTATTCTCACCCAAGACACCAATTAATTTCATGTTTTACATTTCTTACTCAATCTTTGAACTTTATTTACCCATATTTAATATATACTTTCTTCTTGTGTGTCTGTGCAACCTCATTAAATCTTTCTCTGAGTTCACTATTACTCTTAATGCTCTATTCAGCTATTTTCAATGTGTTCACTTTTATTTTTTTGATTTTTATTTCTGAGAATCTGTTTCCTTTTAAACCTATGTATTTGTCTTTTTTATGTTTCTTGTTTCTTCTTTATACATTTTAAATTCTCTTTCACTTCTGTAATAAAACAGGCAAGTGTCCTACTGCAGAGTAGTGCTCTCCTCACAGCCCCCACCCCTAGTTTACTCACTAAAGTATTTATTGTCTTTTAGTATAAAGGATGTCTCTAATTCAGCTCAATCCCCTGCCTCTGGGCCCATGGTCCTGGTCTCTGCACCCAAGGGTCTGCCCTCGAGTAATTTCTCTTTTTTCTTTAAGGAGAACAGATGTTTGCAACTGAATAATTCTATCAGCCTTTTTCCTGCATGTAAAATTTTGGGAGTCTGAAAACTTTGTCTCATTTCATTCACTCTTAGTCCCTTTCAGTCTAATCTGACAGCATTTTTGCTGGTATAACATTTTGCAAAAACCTTGTGGAGCGCCCATGTATGTCATAAGTATTTCCATCGTTAGACAAGAGGCTTCACCACAGATTTTTCCTGGATAATCTCATTTCTATTTATGGCTTCAGCTGAGATGGTTGAATGGATATATGAGTCTCATACCTCATCTCCTCTGTAAAATATTGTCCAGTCACAACCTAGGACCTCTCTCTAGGGTACACTTTCCCAACAGATAATATCTTCACTTTAGCATTCTTAGAAACAAAGATAGGCTGAAAAGCTTCCAAACCATCAAGTGCTAGTTCTTTTTTGCTTAATAGTTACTTCTTCAATTTATTTCCTTCCTCTCTCATCTTACTATAAGCAGCAAGGAGAAAGCTGGCTGTATCTTCAACACTTTGCTTGTAAAGACCCTCAGCTAAATATCCAAGTTTATCACTTAGATGTTCAACTTTTTACCCAACAGTAGAATGTGATTTAGCCAAGTTTTCTGCCACTATATAACAAAGGTTGCCTTTCCTCCAGTTTCCTATAACATGTTCCTCATTTCCTTTTGAGATCTCACCAGAAACACCTTTAATGTTTTTATTTCTATGAATATTCTCCTAATGATTATATATATATATATATTCTTTAAAATGATAGACGGTTTTTCTGTCATGTTCTTTATTTCCTTGTAAACCTACACCAGAATAAACTTTAATTTCTACATTTCTACCAAAAGTCACTTCATGGCAATCTAGGCTTTTTCTATCACATGACTCAAAGTTCTCCAGCATCAGCATCTACCCATTATGCAATTCCAACTCATTTCCACATTTAGATATTTCTTACAGCAGCACCTCAATGTTCAGTATCAAAATTTGTATGAGTTTCCTGTGTCTGCCAGAGAAAATAACCAAAACATGATGGCAGGAAACAACTAAAATTTATCTTATCATTCTGGAGCCAAAAGTCTGAAATCAAGGTATTGGCAGGACCACAGTATCTGAAATTTTAAAGAAGCCTCCTTCTTTGTGTCTTCTGCTACTGGTTGCTCTAGGTGTTGTTTAGCTTGTGGTAGCATAATGCCAATCTCTGCCTCTATTGTCATATGGCAGTCTCGTCTGTGTCTCTGTATTGTCCTTTTCTTTGTGTTACAAAGACATCCTGGATTGGATTTAGGTCACACCCTTGTCTAGAATGATTTCATCTTGAAATTCTTACTTTACTTTTATCTGCAAGGGCTATTATCCCAAATGAGGTCTTATTCTGAGATTCTGGGTGGATATAGCTTCTGGGTGACACCACTCAACCCGCCTTAAATATTTTTAAATAATACACCTATTTTAGATAGATATAAACTCATTGTTATTGAAATAATTGAAGTCAAACCTATCTACAACATTTGTTTCTTATCGTTCCCTCTAACAGTATAAGAAAAAGATCAAGGATTAAAATTTAATAACAAACAATATATAAAAATCCAGGTCTGAAAATTGAAACTAAATAAAATAAAAGGCAAGGGGCTTTTATGATTTTTGTTTTCTTTCTTATGTTGCAATAACATTTTAAATTACATTCCCAAGGGCACAGATATAAAAATATCCTAACGATATAACAAGGCATGGTAAACACAAATGATTAAGGTCTAATAGTGTGACCACTTGAGGACACTGAACACAACAAATCCTATGTCACCTATTCACACTGAGGTACAACATTCCTTAAAGTAACTTATAACAACAAGCTGCTGCTGCTTCAAAGTACTCAAAAGGATTTCACAGCCAAGATAAAAAAGGATTTTGTTGGTTGTCTTTTCCTTGAAATAATGAAAAATTAAATGGAATTCCCTTTTACTACCACTTCAGTGCTACGCTATATGAATATAAAATGGCCATCATAATGTTTTCAATATTATAAACTCTTAAAGCTTTATCTGGCATGTGTCCATGTAATTCTTGCATTGTTGATGGGGAATCCCTAATGGGAATTAACTATGTTGTGGCTGATTCAAGGAGAACACAAAAAGTTAGGAGGGCAGGAGAACTTGTCTATGAATTGATTATTTTCATCCTCATTAGTAGCTTTGAAACACAGCAAGAGAATCATGCAAAAAATAAATCAGGATAGTCAATAGTGATAACTGTCAGCTGTAATGACCTAAAGACACATATGTAATTTTGACTACAACAATGCATGGATGATAAAATCAGAACCAGTTCTAGGAAAATGAAGAGTTTGTCTTTGATATTCAATAATAGGTAATGGCCTCCTTTCCCCCATTTTACGTCTATTTTACAGAATTGATTACATTAACCCAATTTTTTTCATGCTTTTCTACAATAATCTATGGCTACTGGTATAATAGTCTAACAAATATTCTTCCTATTTGACTTCTATTATTATCCTTGTCTCCCATTATAGGCTTCTCTTTTGTCTCCTTGATATAGAGAAACCTTATGTCTACTATCAATGTCCAATGACTAATTTACCATGAAAATAGTAAATACTTGCTAATTTGATAATTTTATAGTCAAGAGCACTGTTTTCCTTGTTGTTTTGCTTGATTTTGTTTTAAATAGGAGAAAGGAATTATCACAAGGTACAAGTACACTTCAGGGGAGTGACAAATGTGTTCACAATCTTGATTGTGGTAATGGTTTCACTAATGTAGACATATGTTCAAACTTATATAAACAATTAATCTCTAGAAACTAGAGACTAATTTTACCTTGATATCATGCAGAACTTCGGAGCACAAATTGTTCCATAGTATTAGCCTTATCTTGAAACAAGGCATCAATCAGTTATTGGCTGTAGGCTGTCCCAGCTAAGGGCCTCTGGCATACCTAAGGACAATCCTTCATCTAAGAGAGCAGTTGTGAGCATTAGGAACCAATATGTACAGCAACTGAGGAACAGGTACAAAGGTGTATTTGAGGAGAACTGAGTGGGACACCAACAGGATCCATGACACCAATCTTGCCATAGTGTTAGCAATTTTATTAGCATTTTCAAAAACTAACTTTTGGCTTCACAGATTATTTTTATTGTGTGTTTGTTTTCTACTTCTTTTGTTCTCTGTTCTTTTACAATTAATTTATAATTGATAAATAAAATTTTATATATTTGTGGTATAGAGTGTGATATTCTATAGTATGTATTCATTGTGAAATGGTTAAATCAAGCTAATTAACATGTCTTTCATCTCAAATACTTATATTTTTTGTGGTGAGAACATTGCAGATTTACTCTCTTAGCAATCGTCAGGCATTATTCCCTGTTCTTTATTATTTTTGTCTGCATTTGTAAGGTTTAATTGGCTATACCATTTCCAGATTCTTAAGGCAGACACTTAGGTTTTTTTAGCCTTTTAAATATATATATGTTTAAAATATAAAAAGCCATATATCTATAATTTTCTTTAAATATTACTCTTTTCATATTCCACAAGTTTAATATATCCTATTTTTATCATTTCATTCAAAATATTTTCTAATTTCCATTGTATTTCTTCTTTGAAAATATGGCATTTAAAAATCTATCTTTTAACTTCAAAATATTTAATTTTAAAAAATATTTCTTCCTGTGTCCATGTGATCTCATTGTTCAATTCCCACCTATGAGTGAGAATATGCGGTGTTTGGTTTTTTGTTCTTGCGATAGTTTACTGAGAATGGTTTCCAGTTTCATCCATGTCCCTACAAAGGACATGAACTCATAATTTTTTATGGCTGCATAGTATTCCATGGTGTATATGTGCCACATTTTCTTAATCCAGTCTATCATTGTTGGACATTTGGGTTGGTTCCAAGTCTTTGCTATTGTGACTAATGCCGCAATAAACATACGTGTGCATGTGTCTTTATAGCAGCATGATTTATAGTCCTTTGGGTATATACCCAGTAATGGGATGGCTGGGTCAAATGGTATTTCTAGTTCTAGATCCCTGAGGAATCGCCACACTGACTTCCACAATGGTTGAACTAGTTTACAGTCCCACCAACAGTGTAAAACTGTTCCTATTTCTCCACATCCTCTCCAGCACCTGTTGTTTCCTGACTTTTTAATGATCGCCATTCTAACTGGTGTGAGATGGTATCTCATTGTGGTTTTGATTTGCATTTCTCTGATGGCCAGTGATGAATATCACACTCTGGGGACTGTTGTGGGGTGGGGGGAGGGGGGAGGGATAGCATTGGGAGATATACCTAATGCTAGATGGCGAGTTAGTGGGTGCAGCGCACCAGCATGGCACATGTATACATACGCAACTAACCTGCACAATGTGCACATGTACCCTAAAACTTAAAGTATAATTAAAAAAATAAAATAAAATAAGACGGTGGCACCCTAGTGCAATAAAGAACAGTGCTGGCAAAAAATAAAATAAAATAAAAATAAATAAAAATAAATTAAAAAAATTTAAAAAAGAAAAAATATTTCTTTTGGATATTTTATCTTTACTATTTTATTGTCAATTTCTAGTTTAATTCCACTATGATCAGTGACCACATTTTATGTGACTTAAATCCTTTGAAAGTAGTTTATTTTTGCTTTATGACCTAGCATAGGGTCAATGGTAATAAATGTTCTATGAGTATTTTAAAAGAAAGCATATTCTACAGTGGTTGGAGGTAGTGTTCTTTTTAATGCCAATTAGGACAAAATTTCATTTAGATCTTCTATATCCTTACTGACTTTATTTACTATTTGTTCTACTTCTACACTGATCAATGACAAAGATATCTTAATGTGTTTCAACATTTGTATATTTGTGTATACTTCCTTTTAGTTGTGTTAATTTTTTCTTTATTCTATTGAGGCTATAGTATTAAGTGCATCCAAATTTAGAATTTTTTTATCTTACTGGTAAATTGACATTTTTATTGTTGTAAAGTGTCCTACTCTAACTTTATTTCAAGTAATTCTTATTATATTAATACCTACCTTGTTTGACACTAATATAGTGACATCAACTTTCTTTAGGGTGGCTTTTGCATGATATATATTTTTTTCACTCTTTCTATTTAAACCACTTTGTTTCTTTTAGATTAGGATGGATCTCTTACAAGTCATGTATATTTGGTTTAATGATGATTATTCAGTCAGATAACCCTTTTAATATTCTGATCTGTAGTTCTGATAGTCACTCGAATACTGTCATAATGAGGTGTGATAAAGGAATGAAATTATTCTAACAACATTTTTTTGAAAACATTTTCCTGATGTTATTGCAAAAGGACACTGATAGACACATTCTTAAAAATTCAAAATTTTAAGAAATATTTTCTTTAAAATATTTTAATGTAAAATATTAAATATTTTAAAACGCCCTTCAGGAAACAATAGCTCCATCTTGGTATCAAATCAGAAGAATTTCTCTAATGTTTAGAACTTCTAACTCAGAATGAGTGATGACAAACTAGTGGATAATATATTTTGAGTTTGTTGTGAAAGTCCCCAAAAACCTTATAGGCACATGTGACCATGTAATGAAATCAGATATACACATCAACACAGAAATGTAGCCTCAGTTATATTTCAGAGTAGTGTCCATAGTCACATTTACAAGGCAATGGTCAAACATTTTTGAAAAATAAATTATAAGACAATACAGTAATGTAAATGAAAGCAAATATACTACAATAGTTTAAATAATTTATTTGTTTCTATTTTGGATAACAAATTGGGAATGAAGAGAGGAACAAACAACTTTTATTTTTAAAGAACAGAGATTTGTTTGTTTTACTGGGTTGATATATCCATCCTAGAAGAAACTTTCACATTACAAATCTTGAATAAGTTCTGCATTTGAGATCTGCTACCTGTCTCTAAAATAATTTTATACTAAATTTTCTAAAATGTCCAGTAAAATGCCTCAAGAAGGAGCTTAAAGGCCGCCTGGGGCAATGGCAAAAGCACAAATAACAGAATTTTTAGTAGAAGAAATGTGGCATGATCTGGACTATAGTTTATGGACAATTGGTTTGACCATAGTGTAGAATAAATGGAAGTGAGTTTAGACCAATGGTGGGAAAACAGTTGAGAAGTTGTTACAAATATCCAGATGAAATTTAACAGATACATGGATTATAATAATACGTATATAAATGGGACAAAGTGGTAGAAACAAGAATCTTGGAGAAATAAAATCCATGCAACTTGCTGGGTTTGGCAACAAACTTGGGAAAAGCGTATATTCAAAAGTGGAGTTTCAAGCCTGGGGATAGGGAAATCAAAAGGAAGATACTATATGGAGAAGAAAATCATGAGTTTTCCTCCACATATATTAAATATAACATTTTTATTAAATTATTCAGAGATACATGTTCTACTGCAGCTGGAATTGTGGAAAAAGACAAAAAGAAAGGCCGTGATTATTGGAATGAGTTATGAAGGCATTAAAATCCAATTAAATACATATGTAGTATAGAGAAGGAAGTGAATGGAAACAAAGCAGAAATTTTTGGCACTTCCATGATTAGGGGTAGAAGACAGGAAGAAGAACCAGAAAAGGAGATGAAGAACACAGCTCACATAGAAAGTAAAACTCCATGTCTCAGAATTCCTGAATGTAATTATAAGAACAAGTGAAACAGCTTTTGTCTTCCAGTATCGGTTTTAATAGAGTGAAAAGATTGTGAGCCAGATTTTAGGGGTTAATAAGAGGGTATATAGAAGTGGAGGCTGATAGCAGAGATTTCTTTTTAAATAGCTTTTGGCTGAAGATTTAGAAAGCATCAGGTCAAATCAAAGTGTTTTGATGCACTAAGGTAGACCTGAGTGCATTTTTACATATTAAAAAAACTAATTTTCAACAAATAATTCAGGAACAATTGGACATCCACATGCAACAAATAAATAAATCTTAAACACTGATCTTACCTTCGCCACAAAAATTAACTCAAAATGATTCATAGACCTAAATGTTACATGCAAAACTATAAAACTCCTAGAATAACATAGGAGAAAATCTAGGTCACTTCATATTTGGTGTTGATTTTTTAGCTATCAAAGGGACAATGTATGTAAAAATTAATTTATAAGTTGGACTTCACTAACATTAAAAACTTTTGACTCAAAAGACACTGCTGAAGAGAATGAGATAAGCCACTGACTGGGAAAAATATTTTCAAAAGACACATTTAACACGGTACTGTTATCCAAAATATACAAATGACTGTTAAAACTCAACACTAAAAAAAAAAAGCAACCAGATTTTAAAAATGGGCAAAAGACCTGGACAGACACCTCACCAAAGAAGATATGCAGATGACAAATGAGCATATTAGAAGATACTTAACATCATATGTCATTAGGGAATTGCAAATAAAACACTGAGTTACTACTGCACATCTCTTAGAATGGCCAAAATCCTAAACTCTGACAACATCGAATGCTATTGAGGATGTGTAATAATAATAAATCACAATTATTGTTGGTGAGATTGCAAAATGTTCACTTTGGAAGACAGTTCAGCAATTTCTTTCAAAACTAACAATGTAAACATACAACTCAACTGTTAGGCTGCTTGGTATTTATCCAAATGAATCAAAAATTTATATCCACACAAAAACCTGAATTCAGACGATTATAGCAGCTTTATTCACAATTGCCAAAATTTAGAAGCAACAGAGATGTCTTTCATCAGATGAATGGATAAACTGTGGTACATTCAGACAACTGAATTACTGATAAATAAAAATAAATGAGCTGTTAAGCCATAAAAAGACATGGAGGAATCTTAAATGAATATTACTAAGTGAAAAAAGCCAATCTACAAAGGTGCATGCTGTGTGATTCCAACTATATGACATTCTAAAGAAACCAAAACTATGGAAGTAGTGAAAAGATCAACAATTGACAGGGGTTTGGTGGGTGGGAGGGATGAATAGGTGAAATGAGAATTTTTTAGGACAGTTAAACTATTCTGTATGATACTATAATGGTTAATACACAGCATTATAAGTTTGCCAAACCTATAAAATGTGTAACACCAAGAGCTAACCCTAATGTAAACTGTGGACTTGCGGTGATTGTTTGTCAACGTAGGTTCATCAGAACATACCACTCTGATGCATTATGTTAATAGTATGAGAGGCTGTGCATGTGACAGGGCAGGGGGTATATGGGAACTGTATTTTCTGCTCAATTTTGCTGTGAGTGTAAAATTGCTCTAACTGTAAAGTCTATTTTTAGAAAAGAGGGAAGAAGAAAGGCAGACAGATACAAGATATTAAAAAGATACAAGGAAGAAAGTAAGTAAAGTAATTGGTAGAACAAGAGATAAAGTGTACATATGAAAACAACTAGAATAAGGTTTGGCATATGGTAGTACCAAAAGATACACTTTAAAAATACCATATATATGTATATACTGAGAGCTACTATAAATACATATTTAATTACTTTTAGAGGAGCTAACAAAATGTATAAGATACAGTTTCTCCCATAAGAACTCAAAATCTAGCTGACGTAGGCAGAAATATATGGAAAGTTCTATAATAATGCTGGTGTTAAAAGTAATTTTAGAATATGTGTATATCTTGTCATAAGGCAGGGTATGATTATGATCAAAACAAGCATATGACAAATACTATACAATTTTTAAATGCAAATAATTCTAGACATTCATGACAAATGACTGATCCCTTAATTTCTGCCCTGCGCATTTCCTAGTATACCTTAATGTGTGAAGCAAAGCCAAAACTTGAATCCTAGATGGACACTGTATTTCACTGTCACAAAATGTTTTTTTTTAATAATGGAACAAGCATTAAAGTAACCTAATTTTCTAGATGGATTTTTTACCTTATAAAATATTAACTCAGGTTCAAAGATAGGACTTATAATGGAAAAGATATGGGAAGCAGAGAGACCAATGTCATAAAAGAGAGCAATGGTATCAAAATAATCTTTTCATGGG
Organism: Homo sapiens; assembly: GCF_000001405.40. Taxonomy (NCBI): domain Eukaryota; kingdom Metazoa; phylum Chordata; class Mammalia; order Primates; family Hominidae; genus Homo; species Homo sapiens. The sequence continues at coordinate 210,998,079 of NC_000002.12, read as the reverse complement.
GAAAGTTTCAGAAATCTTTATCATAGGATTTAGCCATTTAGGATTAAAAATCAGACTGTTATAGTCGGTATATAATATGCACTGCGATAAAAAAGCATCAAGTTTGAAATCAATGAACTAATCACATCCTTGTAGGATTATCCCCCAGTATTTTAACCATTCAGTTGGGATTCAATGGTCGCTGTACTATAATTTCAATTATATTTAAAATGTGGGTAACTATAGGTGAAATAATAACATCTTGGATTTGCATGAAATTAATACACAAACTGCTTTCACATATTCTTTCTTACATTCTTAGTAAAAAAAAAATCTTTTGTTCAGTTCATTTTCCCATCTTCTGCTCCCTCCTACTTCCCCTATTCCTGCTTGTTTTCTTTTCTCTCTTGCTCTTGCTCATACACTCATGTTCACACACACTTACATAGACATACAGTACATAAAGACACAGTCTGAAACAATTCTTTTCATATCTATGGTTCTAAAATAGCTTCCTCACATGTGATTTCCTTTTTGGTTGTTGTTTTAAGGATGACTGCATTACTTATAATTGGGAAATGTTTGTTTTGGTAAGGTAAACCAGAGACCTAGTCTGCTGTCTGGAGGACTTCAGTTTTTAAAAAAGAAACAAAACATATCTGCTGTGTTTACTCATTTATCTATAAATAATTCAACTAGCATTTATCAGGTACATATGATGACCCTAAAACTATACATTTTTCCCATTTGCACAAAGAAAAGAGAGTGATGGATTTTGACATCAAAAATTTCATAATCTTAGTCTATAAAAGCACAAACATTACTATAGTGGGCCAAAGTAAACACTAAGTTAGGGATACTGTATTTCTTATTGTCACCAATTACTGTTCTGTGGAATCTAATTGTACATATATGAAATACTTTTATAATGTTAAAGGACAATATACGTATAAACAAACATTTACAAATGTTATATGTTCCTTTATTATAAAATCCTTAACATATAGAAGTGATTTAATGATAACTTTAATAAAAATATATATATTTAGAAACTCCTTGGTTGTTAGTGAACCTATTGGTTAAAGGGGCATTTAATTAATAATGGAAAAAATAGCAGCAGAAGAAGAAACAGGAATAATTAATAATGAATGAATTACATTAGTTACTAGATAACCACAATGCATGTGTTATTGTATTTAGAGAAAAAGTCAATAAATTTTAGCTTTAATAATTTTGCTTTTAATTTTTGGTAATTTATTAGCTAAATCAGATACAGATAAATAGATAATCTGTATCTATAGAAACAGGTAAATAGATAATTTGTAAAAATGAATCTGGGAGAAAACACCCATGATCAGAGATGTTTTGAACATAAATACATAAAGAATAGGCTTATTACATTAATAAATTCTTGATTCAAACTTATATGTGAATTTATCTTTGAACACAATGAAGAAACAGGGAACATATTTACCCTCAGTCTTAAATAACTAAGAAAAACTAGATAAAACTAATAAAATAATGACCTTCAGGCATTGTACAACAGGCAACATAGGGCAATGACTCCAGAGAAAATAAAGTGAGTCATATAGTTGAACCAATTTATGGTATACAGATATTTTCCAAGACACAAAGTAGGAGAAGAAACCCAAACAGATCCCAGCAGTTAATGCTGAGCATTTGAAGAAGTCAAGAGAGCTAGCATTCACAACACAGGGCACTGGAGTAAAGAGTTTCACAAATAGAGGGCTCTGGACATCTTCAGAGGGTCCCACTTTAGACTTCACTGATCTCTTTTTAACATTTTTTATCAATACATAATATTTGTACATTTTATGGGGTATTTGTGATATTTTGCTATACCCATAGAATGTGTAATGATCAAGTCAGGGTATTTAAAGATATCTATCACTTCAAGCACTTATTATTTCTATGTGTTGGGAACATTTCAAATCCCTACTTGTAGTTATTTTGAAATATACAATATACTGTTTTTAACTATAGTCATCCTACTCTGCTATCAAACATTAGAACTTATTTCTTCTATCTAGCTGTATTGATTAGTGCATGCATAAAAAAAGCCTGAGGCCAGGGAACAATAAACAAAGTAGCATGCAAAACAATTCCTAGTTCTAACACAGGGATAGGAATATTTTATGCTTCAATGGTCAGAGAGGAAAAGATTCATAAGAGGGCATTTGATTGAGTAATAAGGGTACTGCTACGGTGATAAGACTAAATTTATACTAGAATAAAGGCTGTTCTTGCTCAACATAACAAAAACTAAAAGCAAGCCTGAAAAGTTAAAGCTGTCTTCAAATAATTTCACTGTGTCTGAGATCAAAGGTGAAAACATCCAAATAAATATAAAATTCCAGTGTCCAACTATATAAAATTTATAATGTTTAATATCCATTCAAAAATTAGTAGGTATGCAATAAATAGTAAAATATGACTGACACTGAGGAGACAAAATTAATGAAAGACCCAGAAATGTCAGAGACAATACAACTACTAGAAAAAGATATTAACACAGCCATTGTTTAATTTACATATATGTGTATATTTATTTCTTTCAGTAATGTAGATAAAAACATGAGCTCATTAAAGATACATGGGAGACATAAAGAAGTCAAAAATTAAACTTCTGGATATAAAGACATTCAATGTCTAAAGTAAAAATACACTGGATAGGATTAACAGTAGCTGAGATCGTACAGAAAAAAGATTATTGAGTTTAAAGAGAACTATGGTGACTATCTGAAATAAAACACAGGGAAAAAACAACTCAACTATGTGAACTGATGAGTGTAAGAAAACGTTATGTGGCCTCAGATATATATAATTGAAGTTACAGAAAGAGTAGAGAGGGGTAAACAAAAGATAAATTATGAAATAATTATGGAAAGTTTTAAAATTTGATGAACATTATACCCATACTAAAAATAAGCAGAATGAACTTCAAGCAGGGACAACAATGCACAGCATAATCAAATGACAAAATCCAATAATAGAGAAAATATTAAAAGCAGCAAGAAGGAAAAGATACATTACCTGGAAAGGCATAATGAGAGAGATGACCACAGACTTCTCATAGGAAACAATGAAACCAGAAGACAGTGTAGCAGCATTTTAAAAAGGCTGAATGAAAAAAAAATCAACGTAGAATTTTATAACTAATGAAAATATCTTTCAGACACAAAGGCTAATATTTTCAGCACCAGTAGAACAAAACCATAAGAAATATTAAAGAAATGTCTTCAAACAGAAGGAAAATGATGCCAGAGTAATATCCAGATGCAATAAAAAAATAAAAAGTACCAGAAATCGTATATATAGAGACAAATACATAAGACATTTTTCTTATTTGAAAAGTGCCTTTAAAAAACAATTGACAGTTTAATGCAATAATAATAATATATTGCAACATTTGTAACAGACAGAAGTAAAATGGATGTCAATAGGAGAAAGTTCTAAGGAGGGAAAAATGGAAGTATATTGTAAAATTTTCATACTATATGTAAAGTTGTATATTATTTGAAGGGAGACTTTAATTTAAATGTGTATACTACAAACTCAAAATTATAATAATAACCAGAAAACAAAACTAGCAACAAGAACAAAAAATATAGAGCAATAAGAAAAATACATGAGACAAAATGAAATTATAAAAATAATCCAAAAGTAGGTAGAAAAAGAGGAAAAGGAACAGAGAAGACAAATAGAAATATGATGGATTCAAACCTATGTCAATAATCACATTAAATATAAATGGCCTAAACACCCTAATTAAAAAGCAGAGATCATCAGATTAGGAAAACAAAGAGAAGATCCAAATACATACTGTCTACAGAATCCAACCTTAACTGTAAAGGCACAAATACATTTAAAGTAAAAGGGAGTAATAAGAAAATACTGTGCTAGCTCTAATTAAAAAAAAACTGGATTGACTATATTAATCTCACAGAAAATAGTCTTCAGACCAAAGAACATTAGCAGGTATAAACAGGGTAATGTTATAACAACATTATAATGACAGAGGTAAACTTATCAAAAAGACATATAATTTCAAGTGGTTATGTTTCCAATAATAAAGTTTCCAAACAAATAAAGCAAATCTGATAGAACTAAAAGGAGAAAAAGATAAATCCACAAGTATAATTTAAAGTATGTTTAAAGTTAAAAGATGGAACAAGATATACTATGATTGTGGATTTGCCTCTTCCTTTATTTTTCAGTCACTCTCAATAATTGATGAAGCAAGTTGAGAAAAATTCATTAATTAGATAAAAGTCTTAAACAACTTTATCAGTAAACTTTACATTACTGACATTTACAGAATACTTTTCCCTCAAACAGTAGAAAGTACATTCTTTTCAAGTGCACCCATAATATTTATTTTTATAGATCATATTCTAGGGCATAATATATATTTTCATAAACTTAAAGGGATTAAAACTATACAACATATAATCTGTCACCACAGAGAATAACACTGAAAAATCAGCAACAGAATGTCATCTAGAAATCCTCAAGTATTTGAACACTAAACACACTTCTCAGATGTCAGAGTAACCCATGGGACAGATAAATTATCACAAGAGAAAGTAGAAAGATTTTTATTAATGAATGAAAATAAAAATGCAACATACCAAAATTTGTGTAGAACTAAAGCAGGACATGTATAGAATTAAACACCTATTAGAAAAGAAAAAAGTTCTAATTTAAATTATCTAAGCTCCAATCCTAGGAAACTAGAAAAGGAAAAGCAAATTAAAGTCCAAGTAAGCAAAAGAAAGAGAATAATAAATATTAGAGTAGAAATCAATGAAACAGAAAAATAATTGGGAATATCAATTAACCCCAAAACTGGGTCTTTGGGATGTCAAAATGAAGGCACAAATATGTTTAATGTAAAAGGAAGCAACAAGATACACTATGCTGTAATTTTATTTAAAAAGACAACTGAAATGACTATATTAATATCACACAAAATAGGTTTCAGGGTAAAGTACATTACCTCTAGCCAGACTAATCCAGAAAAAAAGGAGAGAAGACACAAATTACTAATCACAGGAATGAGAGAGGAATGTTGCTATGGATTTTCAGATACACAAAATTTTCTTACCAAGTAGTAACATCATATAAATCTGATTTTGCAATTCAATCTCAGTTTCTAGTCAGAAAGGAAAATTTAGAGGAAAAAAAGAAGATGGGAAGCAATTCAGTGGGTTTTGTTTCTGTGAAGAGATAAAAGAAAGAAGCCAAGTATTTTTTCTTCTTTCTTCTTCTCTTACATTTTTAAGCAACAGCAATGAGTTGTGACATATAGTTGCTGAGAGAAAGGACATTTGTTTTCCTGACTCAGTGCCTCTTCTGCAATCCTACTCATTGATAAATATCTGAACAGAGTGAACCAGAACATTGTATATAAACTTACAATTTTTTCATGGATCCAGTACTGCATAAGCTCCAATGCCAGACTAGACTAATCTCTGCTGGTGCCTTGTTTCAGCCAGTAACTACTGCCAAAGACTTCAAAAAGATAACTATCCTTGCCTGTTCTGGATCAAATTGTCCCACACTTTGACATTCTGGAAAGAATCTCTGTTTTCAGATAGTGACAATACATATAAGGTTCTATACCCATGTTAATTGATACTTTGGCACTATAGAATTATTTTTTCATCTGAGATATTATAAACATATTTTCTGTTCTTAATAAAAGTCAAACAACTATTTTAATGACTTTTAAAAATGCATTTCTCTAACATGTTGAAATTTTAAATATAAAGTTTGTGGATGAGAGAAAAAAAGTAACGGAATCTAAGGAAGAATGGCAAAATCATTCCCTTGAATCACTAATGTAACAATAACACTTGTTTTGACTAAGTACTTACTACATTCCAGGAAGTAGATTAACCACTTACATGTAATATTTTATTTAATCTTCAAACAATAACCCATTGAGGGAGTTATTATTCTAATTTTGCTTGTAAAAACATATTAGGCTTGGTGAGATTAAGCTATTTGCTGATAGCTGCACAGCAAATAGCAGTCTGTTTGGCTCTACAGGCATGGCTCTTAACCATTAGACTGCACTGCCTTTTTAAGAGGACACCTAATCCATGTGCATTGAGCGTTAAAAATACAAATGTTAAAGACAAAGGCAAGTTAGCATGACTGAGGACACACAGGCTATAAATGATTGCAAATAAAATGATCCTGACTAATGAATAACTTACATGTTTTTCCTATCACATCCAGACTAAAAATTAATCATCATTTAAAGTAAATTATAAAAAATTAATTTATAAAAATGACATTATAAGATTCTTAAGGTTCTACTATATTGTTTCTTATTACTTACACATTATTCATTTTATGACTTCTACTCTAAACATTTCTATTAACTTCCTAAAATACCACCTAATTTATTCACCTAAAAGTTTAATACAACTTCAGATTCCATGAAAGTTTGCAGATAATTTAAATAGAAATTTTCTTTGGGCAACATTCCACACTTTTCTGTGTCAAATTAACTAATTTCCAATATTTCTTGTTTCATTATATCTCTTTTTTTTAAAAGTGCCTCTGGTGAGTGTATGTGTTTATTATAGAGATCTTATCTTTAATATAAACAACTCAGGAATGAACTCTTGTTAGAACTCTGTTCCATTCTGAATATATGTATAAGTAATTTATTTTACTACAATCATACTTGATATAAAAATATTATTATAATATCTAAAAGCATTTCTGTTTGGTGGCACCAAATAGAAATTTATGCGTTGTAAGCAAATAACTATTTTTTATCTCAGGAAGCAAGATTCCTTTGGATTGGCAGACAGTAATGCTCAACGGTGCCATTGAGAAAACAAGCTGCTTCTAGCTTGCTGCTACTCTCCATCCTTAGCACCAACAACTGGATGTCTAAGAATTGCGTTTGTTTTAGGGAAGAAGGAGTAAGCTTTAGAAACAGCACAAAGTAGTTCCATCTTATGGGCCAAAAATAAGTAATACAGCTATGACCACACCCAGCTGCAATGGAGACTGAGATATTTAGTTTCTATTTTGTTTTGCTTAGCTTACCAGTTTTCAAGCAGAGAAAAGCAAGCAAGAAGGGAGAAAAAAATGGATGTTGAAAGAACAAATCTACATCATTTGCTTGATTTTTATAGCAATATAATTGCAGGTAGTTGAGGAAAAGTACTATCCCAGCTGGGTAAGACGTCTCACCTGTTGAAGTTTTTATGACAGTAGCTGCTGTGATTGAAATGCTAGTTTCTCTCAAAGTGATTTCATAAAAGGGTTTAAAATATAAACACCAATGACAACTAAGTTATACTTGGTGCTATTGCTATACTCTTGTAGTTAACTTAAAACAGAAAATAATATGTTGATTGGTTTATCATTCACCTCATTTCAGACCTTAAGCACGCATCCATATATTTTTTCTATTACATGATTTTGGGGATATATTTAAAGTAATCATTGGGTCCTTCAAATATCCAGGATAGGCTTCAAATATTTTCTTTTTCTTTTTCTTTTTCTTTCTTTTTTTTTTTTTTTTTTGGAGAGAGTCTCGCTCTGTCGCCAGGCTGGAGTGCAGTGGCACAATCTCGGCTCACTGCAAGCTCCGCCTCCTGGGTTCACGCCATTCTCCTGCCTCAGCCTCCCGAGTAGCTGGGACTACAGGGGCACGCTGCCACGCCCAGCTAATTTTCTGTATTTTTTAGTAGAGACGGGGTTTCAGCGTGTTAGCCAGGATGGTCTCAATCTCCTGACCTCGTGATCCACTCGCCTCAGCCTCCCAAAGTGCTGGGATTACAGGCGTGAGCCACCGCGCCCAGCCAGCTTCATATATTTTCTAAGGAAATATTTTTTGAAATATTTAAAATGACATTACTGGCCAGGCATGGTGGCTCATGCCTGTAGTCCTAGTGCTTTGGGAGGCTGAGGCGGGCAAATCACTTGAAGTCAGGAGTTTGAGACCAGCCTGGCCGACATGGTGAAACCCTGTCTCTACTGAAAAAATACAAAAATTAACTGGGCATGGTGGCACACATTTGTAATCCCAGCTACTCAAGAAGCTGAGACAGGAAAATCAGTTGAACCCTGGATGCTGGAGGTTGCAGTAAGCCAAGATTGGGCCATTGGGTGACGGAGCAAGACTCCATATAACTATAACTATAAACTACATTACTCATGTGCGATAATTTCAAATGAACTAAAATAAAACTAAACGATCTTCAGTAACTACTAGTAACTAGTAACTATATAACTGAATTAATAAGAAGAACTAAAATAAAACTAAACTATCTTTAGTAACTAGTAATACCTGGGCCACTGCTTCAGAGAGGCAAGCCCTAAGTTTTGGTTTTTGAGCCATGGCTGGGGCTGGAGCAGCCAGGATAGGTGTAGCAGTGTCCAAAGGTTGCACAGAGCAGTGGGGCCCTGGTTCTGGCCCATAAAACCAGTCTTCCCTCCTAGGCCTCCAGGCCTGTGATGGGAGGGGCTGCCATGAAGGTCTCTGAAATGCATTTGAGGCCTTTTTCCCATTTTCTTGGCTATCAGCATTTGCCTTGCTTTTAGTTATGCAAATTTATGCAGCCTTCTTGAATTCCTCCCCTGAAAATGGGCTTTTCTACCACATGGCCATGCTGCAAATTTTTCAAACATTTACACTCTGCTTCCATTTTAAATATAATTTCCAGTTTCAGGACATTTCTTTGCTCATGTATATGACAGTTGTTAGAAGCAGTCAGGTCCCATTTTGAATCCTTTGCTGCTTAGAAATTTCTTCCTGCAGATACCCTAAATCATCACTCTCAAGTTCGAATTTCTGCAGATCTCTATGGCAGGGGCACAGTGGCCTTCAGCTTCTTTGGTAATGCATAGCAAAAGCAACCTTTGCTGAGTTACCAATAAGCTCCTCATCTTCATCTGTGACCTCATCAGCCTGGACTTTATTGTCCATATCACCATCAGCATTTTGGTCAAAACAATTTAACAAGTCTCTAGGAAGTTCCAAACTTTCCTCATCTTCTTGTCTTCTTCTGAACCCTCCACACTCTTCCAACTCTGCCTGTTACCCAGTTTCAAAGCCACTTATACATTTTCAGGTATCTTTGTAGTAATATGCCACTCCCCAGTACCAATTTTCTGTATTAATTATTAGTTCATTCTTGCACTGCTATAAAGAAATACCTGAGACTGGGTAATTTATAAAGAAGAAAGGTTTAATTGGCTCATGGTTCTATGGGCTTTACAAAAAGCATGATGACTTCTGGAGAGGCCTCTGGGAATTTTTAATCATGGCAGAAGACAAAGGAGAATCAGGCATGTGCTACATGGCCAGAGCAGGAGGAAGAGAGGAGTGAGGTGCTATGTACTTTTAAACAACAAGATATCATGAGAACTCACTCCGTATCACAAGAAGAGCACCCTGGGGGATGGTATTAAATCATTAGAAACCACCTCATGATCCAGTCACCTCCCACCAGGCCCCACCTTCAACATTGGGGATTACCATTCGACATGAGATTTTGACACGGACACAGATCCAAACCATACCAAATAGTTTAGGAGAATAGGAGAGTAAATTCAAAAGGCAAATATGGCATGACTATGAGATAGCATTAAGAATCTCTTGACAGAGGTCATAATTTTAAAATGAGACTATTTCATTTTGGTTGATTTTTATTGTTCATCTCTTCCACTCAAATGCAGACACTATTACAAAAGAGATTTTTTATTTGTGTTTTTCTAATTGTCATAGTCTTGGTGCCAGAAAGATTCTATGGCATGGTGGGAACACAATAAATATTTGTTGATATATTTTCTGACTTTTATAAGTAATTTTTCATTTAAAAATTTTAACTGACAGTAATCCATACTTATGTACAATATTCTTACAGGTTTATTCATTTAAGGCCATAGAATTTAAAGAATAATGTCTGATAAATTAAAACCCTTATATACCACTTACATGATCTCACACATACGTGCTGGATTAGCACTGAAGAATCCTTTGTTTTTTGTTGTTTTAAGTCCAAACATCACAGAAAGAAAATTTGTAATATTTCTCCAGGTGGTTAATTTCTTGGGAGTTCATTTTAGTATACTTGTTAACTCCTAAATGATTATTTAATTTACATACTGGCAAATGTAATCACTTTGTAAGAGTGGTATCTTTTGTGAGGGAACAATGATCATGTAGTTCCTAACCCGTTTCCACTTAGAATCATCTAGGATGCTTTAAGAATATATGAATTCCAAGGCCTCACCCCTTACCAATTGAACCAGACTTTCCAGGGCTGTCCAGATACCAGTATTTTTAAATTATTCCAATGTGCATCTAGGACTAATAATTTTCATAATTACTGTTGCATTTTTTTCCAAATAGAAATGATATATTTTATTTATTTAACTGGTTGTAGGAAACAAAATTTTAAAATGTAAAATTAATTTACTCCCTCTTTAGATCCTAAGTGATTCATCTGCCATAAGATGAGTCAAATTGTAATGAAATAATCCTTTAAATGTTGCTCCATTGATTTGGTAGATATGGAGCAGCTGTTGTTCAATATTCAAGCAGGCATCTAATAACAATGTTATTTTGCCTAAAAAGCTACCACTGGTGGTAAAACATTGCTGGAAGATGGCCGAATAGGAACAGCTCCGGTCTGCAGCTCCCAGGGAGACTAACGCAGAAGGTGGGTGATTTCTGCATTTCCAACTGAGGTACCCAGTTCATCTCATTGGGACTGGTTGGACAGTGCGTACAACCCACAGAGGGTGAGCCAAAGCAGGGGATTTCCTGTTCCTAACCAAGGGAAGCCATGAGAGACTGTAATGGGAGGAATGGTGCACTCCAGCCTGGATACTGTGCTTTTCCCACTGTTGTTGCAACTGGCCAACCAGGAGATTCCCTCTGGTGCCTGGCTCACTGGGTCCCACCCCCACGGAGCCCAGCAAGCTAAGATCCACTAGCTTGAAATTCTCACTGCTAGCATAGCAGTCAGAGGTCGATGTGGGATGCTCAAGCTTGGTGAGGGAAGGGGCGTCTGCCATTGCTGAGGCTTGAGTAGGCGATTTTACTCTCAGTGTAAACAAAGCTGCCAGGAAGTTCAAACTGGGCGGAGCCCACCACAGCTCAGCAAGGCCCCTGCAGCCAGACTGCCTCTCTAGGCAAGGCATCTCTGAAAAACAGGCAGCATCCCCAGTCAGGGACTTATAGATAAAACCCCCATCTCCCTGGGACAGAGCACCTGGGGGAAGGGGCAGCTATGGGTGCAGCTTCAGCAGACTTAAACGTCCCTGTCTCTTAAGAGAGCAGCAGTTCTCCTGGCACAGTGTTCGAGCTCTGATAAGGGACAGGCTGCCTCCTCAAGTGGGTCCCTGACCCCCTGTATCCTGACTGGAGGAAACCTCCCAGTAGGGGCCAACAGACACCTCATACAGGAGAGCTCTCGCTGGCATCCGGCAGGTGCCCCTCTGGGACGAAGCTTCCAGAGGAAAGAACAGGCAGCAAGATTTGCTGTCTTGGAGCTTCCGCTGGTGATACCAAGGCAAACGGTCTGGAGTGGACCTCTAGCAAACTCCAGCAGAACTGCAGAAGAGGGGCCTGCCTGTTAGAAGGAAAACTAACAAACAGAAAGGAATAGTAGCAACATCGACAAAAAGGACGTCCACTCAGAGACCCCATCCGAAGATCACCAACATCAAAGACCAAAGGTAGATAAATTCATGGAGATGGGGAAAAAACAGTGCACAAAGGCTGAAAACTCCGAAACCCAGAACACCTCTTCTCCTCCAAAGGATCACAACTCCTTGCCTGCAAGGAAACAAAACTGGATGGAGAATGAGTTTCATGAACTGACAGAAGTAGGCTTCAGAAGGTGGGTAATAACATGCTCCTCCAAGCTAAAGGAGAATGTTCTAACCCAAAGCAAGGAAGCTAAGAACCTTGAATAAAGGTTAGATGAATTGCTAACTAGAATAACCAGTTTAGAGAAGAGCATTAATGAACTCATGGAACTGAAAAACACAGCAGGAGAATTTCGTGAAACATACACAAGTATCAATAGCCAAACAGATCAAGCAGAAGAAAGGATATAAGAGATTGAAGATCAACTCAATGAAATAAAGTGAGAAGACAATATTAGAGAAAAAGAGTGAAAAGAAATGAACAAAGCCTCCAGGAAATACGGGTATGTGAAAAGTCCAAATCTACATTTGATAGGTGTACCTGAAAGTGATGGGGAGAATGGAACCAAGTAGGAAAACACACTTCAGGGTATTATCCAGGACAACTTCCCCAACCTGGCAAGACAGGCCAACATTCAAATTCAGGAAATACAGAGAACACCGCAAAGATATTCCTTGAGAAGAGCAACCCCAAGACACATAATTGTCAGATTCACCAAGGTTAGACCAATATCCTTGATGAACACTGATGCAAAAATCCTCAGTGAAATACTGGCAAACTGAATCCAGCAACATATCAAAAAGCTAATCCACCATGATCAAGTGGGCTTCATCCCTGGGATGCAAGGCTGGTTCAACATACGAAAATCAATAAATGTAATCCAGCATATAAACAGAAGCAAAGACATAAAACCACATGATTATCTCAATAGACGCAGAAAAGGCCTTTGACAAAATTCAACAACCCTTCATGCTAAAAACTCTCAATAAATTAGGTATTGATGGGACTTATCTCAAAATAATAAGAACTATCTATGACAAACCCACAGCCAATATCATACTGAATGGACAAAAACTGGAAGCATTCCCTTTGAAAACTGGCACAAGACAGGGATGCCCTCTCTCACCACTCCTATTCAACATAGTGTTGGAAGTTCTGGCCAGGGCAATCAGGCAGAAGAAGGAAATAAAGGATATTCAATTAGGAAAAGAGGAAGTCAAATTGTCTCTGTTTGCAGATGATATGATAGTATATCTAGAAAACCCCATCATCTCAGCCCAAAACCTCCTTAAGCTGAGAAGCAACTTCAGCAAAGTCTCAGGATACAAAATCAATGTGCAAACATCACAAGCATTCTTATACACCAATAACAGACAAACAGAGAGCCAAATCATGAGTGAACTCCCACTCACAATTCCTTCAAAGAGAATAAAATACCTAGGAATCCAACCTACAAGGGATGTGAAGGACCTCTTCAAGGAGAACTACAAGCCACTGCTCAATGAAATAAAAGAGGATACAAACAAATGGAAGAACATTCCATGCTCATGGACAGTAAGAATCAATATTGTGAAAATGGCCATACTGCCCAAGGTAATTTATAGATTCAATGCCATCCCCATCAAGCTACCAATGACTTTCTTCACAGAATTGGAAAAAACTACTTTAAAGTTCATATGGAACCAAAAAAGAGCCTGCATTGCCAAGTCAATCCTAAGCCAAAAGAACAAACCTGGAGGCATCACGCTACCTGACTTCAAACTATACTACAAGGCTACAGTAACCAAAACAGCATGGTACTGGTACCAAAACAGAGATATAGACCAATGGAACAGAACAGAGCCCTCAGAAATAATGCTGCATATCTACAACTATCTGATCTTTGACAAACCTGAGAAAAACAAGCAATGGGGAAAGGATTCCCTATTTAATAAATGGTGCTGGGAAAACTGGCTAGCCATACGTAGAAAGCTGAAACTGGATCCCTTCCTTACACTTTATACAAAAATTAATTCAAGATGGATTAAAGACTTAAACGTTAGACCTAAAACCATCAAAACCCTAGAAGAAAACCTAGGCAATACCATTCAGGACATAGGCATGGGCAAGGACTTCATGTCTAAAACACCAAAAGCAATGGCAACAAAAGCCAAAATTGACAAATGGGATCTAATTAAACTAAAGAGCTTCTTCACAGCAAAAGAAACCACCATCAGAGTGAACAGGCAACCTACAGAATGGGAGAAAATTTTTGCAACCTACTCATCTGACAAAGGGCTAATATCCAGAATCTACAATGAACTCAAACAAATTTACAAGAAAAAAACAAACAACCCCATCAAAAAGTGGGTGAAGAATATGAACAGACACTTCTCAAAAGAAGACATTTATGCAGCCAAAAGACACATGAAAAAATGCTCATCATCACTGGCCATCAGAGAAATGCAAATCAAAACCACAATAAGATACCATCTCACACCAGTTAGAATGGCGATCATTAAAAAGTCAGGAAACAACAGGTGCTGGAGAGGATGTGGAGAAATAGGAACACTTTGACACTGTTGGTGGGACTGTAAACTAGTTCAACCATTGTGGAAGTCAGTGTGGTGATTCCTCAGGGATCTAGAACTAGAAATACCATTTGACCCAGCCATCCCATTACTGGGTATATACCCAAAGGATTATAAATCGTGCTGCTATAAAGACACATGCACACGTATGTTTATAGTGGCACTATTCCCAATAGCAAAGACTTGGAACCAACCCAAATGTCCAACAATGATAGACTGGATTAAGAAAATGTGGCACATATACACCATGGAATACTATGCAGCCATAAAAAATTATGAGTTCATGTCCTTTGTAGGGACATGGATGAAACTGGAAACCATCATTCTCAGCAAACTATCACAAGGACAAAAAACCAAACACTGCATGTTCTCTCTCATAGGTGGGAATTGAACCATGAGAACACATGGACACAGGAAGGGGAACATCACACACCGGGGAAGGTTGGGGGGTGGGGAGAGCGGGGAGGGATAGCATTAGGAGATATACCTAATGCTAAATGACGAGTTAATGGTTGCAGCACACCAACATGGCACATGTATACATATGTAACAAACCTGCACGTTGTGCACATGTATCCTAAAACTTAAAGTATAATAAAAAAAAATGTTAAGGCCATCCAGAGAGAAAAGTCGGGTTACCCACAAAGGGAAGCCCATCAGACTAACAGTGGATTTCTCTGCAGAAACCCTACAAACCAGAAAAGAGTGAGGGCCAATATTCAACATGCTGAAAGAAAAGAATTTTCAACCCAGAGTTTCATATCCAGCCAAACTAAGCTTCACAAGTGAAGGAGAAATAAAATCCTTTACAGACAAGCAAATGCTGAGAGCTTTTGTCACCACCAGGCCTGCCTTACAAGACCTCCTAAAGGAAGCACTAGACATGAAAAGGAACAACCAGTACCAGCCACTGCAAAAACATACCAAATTGTAAAGGAAGAAACTGCATCAACTAATGGGCAACATAGCCAGCTAGCATCATAATGACAGGATCAAATTCACACATAACAATATTAACCTTAAATGTAAATGGGCTAAATGCCCCAATTAAAAGACACAGACTGGCAAGTTGGATAAAGGGTCAAGACCCATCAGTGTGCTGTATTCAGGAGACCCATCTCACGGGCAAAGACACATATAGGCTCAAAATAAAGGGATAGAGGAATATTTATCAAGCAAATGGAAAGCAAAAAAAAAAGCAGGGGTTGCAATCCTAGTCTCTGATAAAACAGACTTTAAACCAAGAAAGATCAAAAGAGACAAAGAAGGGATTACATAATGGTAAAGGGATCAATGCAAGAAGAAGTGCAAACTATCCTAAATATGCACCCAATACAGAAGCACCCAGATTCATAAAGCAAGTTCTTAGAGACCTACAAAGAGACTTAGACTGCCACACAATAATAGTGGGAGATTTTAACACCCCACTGTCAACACTAGACGGAACAATGAGAGAGAAAATTAACAAAAATATCCAGGACCTGAACTCAGCTCTGGACCAAGTGGACCTAATAGACATCTACAGAACTCTCCACCCCAAATCAACAGAATGTACATTTTCTCAGCACTACATCACACTTATTCTAAAATTGACCATGTAATTGGAAGTAAAACACTCCTCAGCAAATGCAACAGAACAGAAATCATAACAAACACTCTCTCAGACCACAGTGCAATCAAATTAGAACTCAGGATTAATAAACTCACTGAAAACTGCATATCTACATGGAAACTGAACAACCTGCTCCTGAAGGACTACTGGGTAAATAACTAAATGAAGACAGAAATAAAGATGTTCTTTGAAACCAATGAGAACAAAGACACAATGTACCAGAATCTCTGGGACACAGCTAAAGCAGTGTTAACAGGGAAATTTATAGCACTAAATGCCCACGAGAGAAAGTAGGAAAGATCTAAAATTGACACCCTAACATCACAACTAAAAGAACTAGAGAAGCAAGAGCAAACAAATTCAAAAGCTAGCAGAAGACAGGAAATAACTAGGATCAGAGCGGAACTGAAGGAAATAGAGACATGAAAAACCCTTCAAAAAAAGTCAATGAATCCATGAGCTGGTTTTTGAAAAGATCAACAAAATAGATAGACCACTAGCCAGACTAATAAAGAAGAAAAAATAGAAGAATCAAATAGATGCAATAATAAATGATAAGGGGGATATCACCACTCATCCCACAGAAATACAAACTACCATCAGAGAATACTATAAACACCTCTATGCAAATAAACTAGAAAATCTAGAAGAAATTGATAAATTCCTGGACACATACACCCTCCCAAGACTAAACCAGGATGATGTTAAATCCCTGAGTAGACCAATAACAAGTTCTGAAATTGAAGCAGTAATTAATAGCCTACCAACCAAAAAAAGTCCAGGACCAGACAGATTCACAGCTGAATTCTACCAGAGGTACAAGGAGGAGCTGGTACCATTCCTTCTGAAATTATTCCAAACAATAGAAAAAGAGGGAATCCTCCCTAACTTCATTTGATGAGCTCATCATGATCCTGATACCAAAAACTGGCAGAGACACAACAAAAAAAAAGAAAATTTTAGGCCAATATCCCTAATGAACATCAATGAATATGGATGCAAAAATCCTCAATAAAATCCTGGCAAACCGAATCCAGCAGCACATCAAAAAGCTTATCCAACATGATCAAGTAGGCTTCATCCCTGGGATGCAAGGCTGGTTCAACATATGCAAATCAATAAATATAATCCATCACATAAACAGAACCAATGACAAAAACCACATGATTATCTCAATAGATGCAGAAAAGGCATTAGACAAAATTCAACAGCCCTTCATGTTAAAAACTCTCAATAAACTAGGTATCGATGGAACATATCTCAAACTAATAAGAGCTATTTATGACAAACCCACAGCCAATATCATAGTGAATGGGCAAAAACTGGAAACATTCCCTTTGAAAACCAGTGCAAGACAAGGATGCCCTCTCTAACCACTCCTGTTCAACATAGTATTGGAAGTTCTGACCAGGGCAATCAGGCAAGAGAAAGAAATAAAGGGTATTCAATTGGGAAGAGAGGAAGCCAAACTGTCTCTGTTTGCAGACGACATGATTGTATATTTAGAAAACCCCACTGTCTCAGCCCCAAATCTCCTTAAGCTGATAAGCAAATTCAGCAAAGTCTCAGGACACAAAATCAATGTGCATAAATTGCAAGCATTTCTATACACCAATAACAGACAAACAGAGAACCAAATCATAAGTGAACTTCCATTCGTTATTGCTACAACAAGAATAAAATACCTAGAAATACCACTTACAAGGGATGTGAAGGACCTCTTCAAGGAGAACTACAAGTCACTGCTCAAGGAAATAAGAGAGGACACAAACCAACGGAAAATCGTTCCATGCTCATGGATAGGAAGAATCAATATCGTGAAAATGGCCATACTTCCCAAAGTAATTTAT
Source organism: Homo sapiens (assembly GCF_000001405.40). NCBI lineage: Eukaryota > Metazoa > Chordata > Mammalia > Primates > Hominidae > Homo > Homo sapiens. Next base: position 210,980,355 of record NC_000002.12, on the reverse strand, counting down.
TAATTCAGTGCTATCCCCATTAAGCTACCATTGACTTTCTTCACAGACTTGGAAAAACTACTTTAAATTTTATATGAAACCAAAAAAGCGCCCACATAGTCAGGACAATTCTAAGCAAAAAGAACAAAGCTGGAGGCATCACGTTACCTGACTTCGAGCAATATTACAAGGCCACAGTAACAAAAACAGCATGGTACTGGTACCAAAACAGATATATAGACCAGTGGGACAGAACAGAGGCCTCAGAAATAACACCACACATCTACAACTATCTGATCTTTGACAAACCTGACAAAAACAAGCAACGGGGAAAGGATTTCCTATTTAATAAATGGTGTTGGGAAAAGTAGCTAGCGATATGCAGAAAAGAGAAACTGGACCCCTTCTTTATACCTTATACAAAAATTAACTCAAGATGGATTAAAGACATAAATGTAAGACCCAAAACCATAAAAACCCTAGAAGAAAACCTAGGTTATACCATTCAGGACATAGGCATGGGCAAAGACTTCATGACTAAAACACCAAAAGCAATGGCAACAAAAGCCAAAATTGACAAATGGGATCTAATTAAACTAAAGGGCCTCTGCACAGCAAAAGAAACTATCATCAGAGTGAACAGGCAACCTACAGAATGGGAGAAAATTTTTGCAATCTGTCCATCTGACAAAGGGCTAATATCCCGAATCTAAAAAGAACTTAAACAAATTTACAAGAAAAAAACAAACAACCCCATAAAAATGTGGGTGAAGGGTACGAACAGACACTTCTCAAAAGAAGACATTTATGTAGCCAACAAACTTATTAAAAAATGCTCATCATCACTGGTCATTAGAGAAATGCAAATCAAAACCACATTGAGACACCATCTCATGCCAGTTAGAATGGTGATCATTAAAAGGTCAGGAAACAACAGATGCTGGAGAGGATGTGGGGAAATAGGAATGCTTTTACACTATTGGTGGGAGTGAAAATTAGTTAAACCCTTGTGGAAAACAGTGTGGCTATTCCTCAGGTATCCAGAACTAGAAATACCATTTGACCCAGTAATCCTATTACTGGGTATATACCCAAAGCATTATAAATCATTCTACTATAAAGGCACATGCAGAAATATGTTTATTGTGGCACTGTTCACAATAGCAAAGACTTGGAACCAACCCAAATGCCCATCAATGATAGACTGGATAAAGAAAATGTGGCACATATATACCATGGAATACTATGCAGCCATAAAAAGGATGAGTTCATGTCCTTTGCAGGGACACGGATGAAGCTGGAAACCATCATTCTCAGCACACTAACACAAGAATAGAAAACCAAACACCACATGTTCTCACTCATATGTGGGAGTTGAACAAGGAGAACACATGGACACAGGGAGGGGAACATCACACACCAGGGCCTGTTGGGGACTGGGGGGCTAGGGGAGTGATAGAAGAAATACCTAATGTAGATGACAGGTTGATGGGTGCAGGAAACCACCATGGCACATATATAGCTACGTCGTAACAAACTTCCATGTTCTGCACATGTACCCCAGAACTTAAAGTATAATAAAAAAAAAAAAAAAAAAAGGAAGAAGAAGGAGAAAAAAAAAGCTACCACTGGTAATCTTCACCTTTTCCCTAGTCTAAAAGGCCCTGCAAACTTTTTGAAGCCCAAACTTCCAGGACATGGGTCTCAAATGTCTCTCTTTACACTACTATCCTAATTATAAGAATGTGTGTTGTTTTGTGTTCTCCCCACCTTTCTTTGAGGGTCATAGCCTCAGAATTATGGCAAGAATTATTACCTTGTAATGCTGCAATCTGTGAGTCAGAATAGTTGGGTTTAATATAGATGAAGAATTAAATCTAGATCTCAGATTTTTTTTTTTTTTTTTTGGAGGAACTTTAAAGCAATGTGCTTTTGCTCACTAGTTTTTTGAAGAATCTATTCTCCCAGGTTAAATTGGGAGCTCTTTATAGAAGGGTGCTACTTCTTTAGTGTCATATTTCCCCAAATCTACAAATGAACAAACAAATGAGAACTTCAGCCTGAATGAGAGTGTGGGTGTGAGACTGTTTGTGAGCCTGAACGGAAATGTGGGTGTAAGACTATCTGATAGAATTTTGTTAAAAACTTCTATATGGGTCGGGCGCGGTGGGCTCACGCCTGTAGTCCCAGCACTTTGGGAGGTCGAGGCGGGTGGATTATGGGGTCAGGAGATCAAGACCATCCTGGCTAACACGATGAAACCCTGTCTTTACTAAAAACATAAAAAATTAGCTGGGCGTGGTGGCGGGCGCTTGTAGTCCCAGCTACGGGGGAGGCTGAGGCGGGAGAATGGCATAAACCCAGGAAGCAGAGCTCGCAGTAAGCCGAGATCGTGCCACTGCACTCCAGCCTGGGCGACAGAGCGAGACTCCATCCCAAAAAAAAGAAAACAACAACAACAATAACAACAACAACAACAACAACAACAAAACACTTCTATATATATATGGCCATTCCATGATGAAAACCATCTCAAATTAGTATTGAGCATTATATTAAATTCTAGGTTAGTAACAATCCATCTGCTTCTAAGTCCATGTCATGAAATGCTAATTGATCATGGTACTAATAGTACTGAATCTCAGTGCAGAACTTCACAAAACCAGTCACTGCTATTTGATTGAAGTTAGCCATTAAATCATTGTGCAGTGTCAATATCAGAGGGATTTACGTAAATGATGAGACACAAGAAAATGATAACCATTATCAGCACAAGTAATGAATATTCTCAGGACACTTTAGGTAATGCAATACAAGAAAAATAAGAAAGAGGCAGTATAAATATTGGGAAAAAAATTAAAATACATATTCTCAGAAAAAGAATTGTCTAAAAGTAGAAGAAAATCCAAATAAGTAAGTTGTGTGGAGGTCAGTTACAATTATCTGTCTACACACATACTCATGTGTGTATTAGCTTTTCTATATACCAGAATAAATTAAGAAAATGTAATAAAAAGATACCATTCCGCAGAAGTAATATACATGTAAACATTCTACAGTTAAATTTAATAATAAATTTAGAGAAAATGTATAGAGAAAACAATAAAATTCTTCCAAGAAAGCTAAAATAACTCTTGAGTAAGAACATAGAACTAGCATAGTCTGTATGAGAATCAATAGTGTTACCAAGAGACCCCTAAAATTTATCTATAGATATAATTTAATTCCAAACAAAATCCTAATACTGGTGTTGAGATAAAAGTATTTCCAAATATTACTTGGAAAAAAAATGTGTGAAACCAGACAATACAATTTTTTAAAAGACTAATGAAGAAAAATTTGTCTTACTAAATAAAATATAAATCATGGATTATTAAACTGTGAGGTAAAGGAATAAGCATTAGAGCTATTAGACAGAATGCAACATCAGAGGTAGGACCAAGTATATATATGCTGAATAGTCAAAATGATGCTTTTAAAACTTAATCAGTATATCATTACTCTGCTCAGAACCTTCTACTGCCTTCCTAAATCACTCTGAGTAAATGCCAGTCTTCAGAATGCCTGCAGCACCCTACAGAACCTGGCCCTTTTCCTAGCACACCCCCTTCACTCATTGTTCCAGCTGAGAATGCCTCAGGCTTTTGCACTTATTATTATTCTACCAAGGATACTTCCACAAAATCACACTGCTAGGTCTTCTATTTTATTTTTTGCTCAAAAGTCACCACAAGAGTATGGAGGTCTCTAATTCACTCTTATAAGATGTATCCTGTATCCATCTCCCTCATTCTGCTTTATTTTTCCTTGGCACTTATTGACTGAAATGCATATTTATTTGTGCATTGTTTTTCTCTCCTCACTAGGATGTAAGCTTCATGAGGCAGGAAACTAGTCTTTTTTCTTCACTGCCTATGACAGCACATAAAATCATGCTAGAGTATTCTAGGCACGTAATCCTTATTTTTGGAATAAGTGAATGAATGAAAAATGAATGAATTGAAACAACTAACCTAATTCAAAATTCAATCAGCTCCCTAGCTTACAACGTCACCACTTTTGGGAAAGCATTAGATTAGGGCCATAGTCTCATCAAGCAGTCTTAGTGGCCCTGAAGGGTTTGAGGCTCGCCCAAAGAAGAATCCAGCTGTTCCATAAATACACAGCTTTCATATAGTAGAAGATACCACCTTCCTTAATTCCTTGTAGTCTACTATCATCTACTATCAGATTTTTTTTTCAAGCCATGCAGGACTGTCGAAGGTACTCTGTGCTGGAAGAATAATATTAACTTTGGCTACTTCCTGTATAGTGGAATATCCCCATTGAACATTCATAAAATGTATTTCCGCAAACTGTTAAACAGCTACACACCTCCTTCGAGGAATACCCTTGGTTTTATTTTAACTGTGATTCATCCCTTTATCCCTCCTTTATATGTATCTCTAAATGTAAAAAGTGATCATCCCTGGGTAAAAAAATTAAAAGTAATTTTTATATTTTTGCCGCTTATTTGTGTTTTATACACCAAATATATATGCATTTATAATAAGAATGAAATTAGAAGTTATAAAACCAACTGAAAAATAATACAAGAATACAATACTTAGAACCAAAGCAGGGAAGTATCACTTCAATATTAATCTCCTATCACAAAGACCTCCCTTACTTTATATTGTGTAGAAAGGAAGAACAGGACGATGAAAAAATGTGTTTATGAATTATACCAAAAGGGCTTGTACTGTTATAATAGAGACCAGAAAGGATTATTTGATGTTCATTTAGCAAGCAACATAGTAAAATAATTTATTCCACTGTTTGTATGTATCCTTGACTGTTTCTAACAAGTGACCCATTCTTTCTTAATATGGTTATTTCAAAGATCTGTTTCTTATTTTTTCATCTTGCCTTCTCTAAAATGCATCATTCTCCACCATTATATTTTGTAACAAAATGATCCAACAATATTACTAATATTATATGGCCCCCACCCTGTTTTCTATGGTGGACAAAAGGGACTCAGGGTACAAGGGGGTACAAAGGAACTTTATGCAAGAAAAAAGAAACAGGAACACGAGACTAAAGATGAAAAGAATTGAAAGTAGAAACTTCACATTCAGAAAGAGTGATCCAGATTATAAAGATATACCTCTAAAGTGAGAAGAAAATGCTATGACAAACCAGAGAATAACTCAATTTCCATGCCTATGAATATTAGAAAAAGTATTTTAATCTAGTTGATTTTTAGTTTGTTTTAAAACTTTATCTAAAAGCCAGAATTGACAAATGGGATCTAATTAAACTAACGAGCTTCTGCACAGCAAAAGAAACTACCATCAGAGTGAACAGGCAACCTACAAAATGGGAGAAAATTTTCGCAACCTACTCATTGACAAAGGGCTAATATCCAGAATCTACAATGAACTCAAACAAATTTACAAGAAAAAAACAAACAACCCCATCAAAAAGTGGGCAAAGGATATGAACAGACACTTCTCAAAAGAAGACATTTATGCAGCCAAAAGACACATGAAAAAATGCTCACCATCACTGGCCATCAGAGAAATGCAAATCAAAACCACAATGAGATACCATCTCACACCAGTTAGAATGGCGATCATTAAAAAGTCGGGAAACAACAGGTGCTGGAGAGGATGTGGAGAAATAGGAACACTTTGACACTGTTGGTGGGACTGTAAACTAGTTCAACCATTGTGGAAGTCGGTGTGGCGATTCCTCAGGGATCTAGAACTGAAAATATCATTTGACCCAGCCATCCCATTACTGGGTATATACCCAAAGGACTATAAATCATGCTTCTGTAAAGACACATGCACACGTATGTTTATTGCGGCACTATTCACAATAGCAAAGACTTGGAACCAACCCAAATGTCCAACAATGATAGACTGGATTAAGAAAATGTGGCACATATACACCATGGAATACTATGCAGCCATAAAAAACGATGAGTTCATGTCCTTTGTAGGGACATGGATGAAACTGGAAACCATCATTCTCAGTAAACTATCGCAAGGACTAAAAACCAAACACCACATGTTCTCACTCATAGATGGGAATTGAACAATGAGAACACATGGACAGAGGAAGGGGAACATCACACTCTGGGGACTGTTGTGGGGTGGGGGGAGGGGGGAGGGATAGCATTAGGAGATATACCTAATGCTAAATGACGAGTTAATGGGTGCAGCACACCAGCATGGCACATGTATACATATGTAACAAACCTGCACGTTGTGCACATGTACCCTCAAACTTAAAGTATAATAATAATAAAAAAAACTTTATCTTAAACTTGTTTTTGCCTATCTTTACACTATTTTTTTTCCTCTTCTGTGGCTACCATCAGTAGAAATACCATTAGAAAATGTCATAGGAAGTGTGTAAGTGTGTGCTTATTTGAGGGAACTGATGAGGGGAAGAACAGCCAGGTGTGCACTTTTCAGCTATTTCTGCTGTAGTCTCCTGCATGACAATAGAAGCCCTGATTTGCACAATCTCTTGGTTGGCTACCAGAATAGCAGTTATCATGTTCTCAAGGCTAACAGAGAAAAATACATGGGTCTAGCAAGGGAAGGGGGAGTTCTAAATAAATTTCTAAACAATATATACATTTTTTTCGTTATAAAAGTAGTACACATTTTATTTTTCCACTATTGATGAGTAATTCATTTAGTTCCATATCTTGGTTACTATGAATAATCTTGCAGTGAACATGGGAGTGCATGTATCTCTTCAACTTGTTCATTTCATATTTTTTGTATGTATCCCTAGTACATTTTCCAATATTGGGGTTTTAATATTCCATTTTATATATATGTGGTATATATACCCAATGAAATACTATTCAGCATTTAAAAAGAAGGAAATTTTGCCATTTCCAGCAACATGGATGAACCTGGAGGATGTTGTGTTAAATGAAATAAGCCAGGCACAGAAAGACAATTACCACATAATCTCACTTATATGTGAAGTATAAAAATGTGAAACTCATAAAAACAGAGTAAACTGGTGGTTATCACAGGCTTGGGGTAGGAGGATTGGGCAAATGTTAGTCAAAGGACACAAAATATTAGACAGAAAAAAATAAGTTCAAAAGACTTATTGTATGTCATGGTGACGACAGTTACTAACAACGTATTATATATTTGAAAATTGCTAAGAGAATAGATTTAAAGTGATCTCAAACCAAAAAATGGTATGTGAGGTAATGTATATGTTAAATTCCTTGATTTAACCATTCGACAGTGCATACATATATTAAAACATGTTGTGCACCACACATACACACAATTTTTTCTTGTCAATTAAAATTGATTAACCAAATTTTTTTTGAAATAAAAGTGATTAATGTTTATAGTGGAGCAATTGGAAATATATAATGAAAAAGAAAAGAAATATATTCATAATCTTAATATCCATAGAAAACCACTGTTAACGTTTTAGTATAATTTCTATTTTCTTTTCTCACAAGCACAGACACATATACAGTTGGAATATTATCACTATAGAGTTGTATAGCTCACATTTCTCACTTAATATTTTTATAATAATATTTCTATTAAATGCCTGATTTAGGCACTGTCAAATTTAGCTGTTACTTCCTTTGAGGGGTGAATTGTGGCTTAATTTTTATTTTATTTTTTAAATATAACTGAAAGGAAAGTTTCTGGTGACCAAAAGACACAGACCAGTAAAATTACATAAGAAGCACTCTGAATATTTTGATTACATATAACATACTCTGTCAGAGATGAAATTCTTTGATAACCCAAACATTCTCCAAACACTAGAACAGTAGGACTACACGTTCAGCCCACAGACAAGATCCTTCAAAGACAACCTCGCCAATAGTCAAGCTTTATTACCTTCCTTACAGAAGAAATTGTGCGTCATGTGACATCTATGAATTTTTTTAAGTTATTGATCTACAAGGGAACCAGTTTTAACTCAATTTACTTATAAAGTCATAAAAATGGAAATAATAAGCAAGGCAGATTTCTAAACAAAGGAACATTAAACAGTAGTTGCAAATTCTCCTATGGCATCTTCACAGTGCATCCTATATTTATTGGAAGGGGTAAAGAAACATAAGACCCATTGCTCAAGAAGAATTTTTAAAACCATAGTTGATTAATTATTTCTGCTTCCCATAAAAATAAAAAAGAAAACAATAATTGCATGGTGTTTTCAAAGGACATCCTATTACAAATTCCTTGAAAACACATTGCCCATGAATATATGATAATTTGTCATGCAGATGGCCATAACTTATTCACCCGTTTTTCTATTTAGTTAGGTTATAAATTTTGTTGCAAGTCTGCAAATACAGTACTGTGTGGGAGAGGAGTGATATATTGCCTCACCCATTGCTGGGTTCATGGCTGGGACCCTAAAACAATAGACAGATTAACAAAACAAAAATGTACACATTTATTTAAAATCAGTTTCACAAGACACAGAAGGTTTCAGAAATAATGACCTCCCCAAACAGGGCGCGCTGCATTTTTATGCACAGTCTTGCAGGGTACTATTGGAGGACAAAAGGATATAGTATAAAGGTAATAAACTGGGAGGACATAAATAAGATCTGTTTGTTCAGACTCTTTGTGTTCCCATGTGACACTTCTTTCCTCTAGGTATAGGAAGGACCCCTCTGGAATGAGCATCTTATGACTCACTTTACAGGAAGGTCAGATAATTCTTTTATGGCCTGCTTGAGGGAATAAGGGTGGGGGAAAGTCAGACTTTCCTGTTTCTGCTGGTTTTCCAAATGCTGAGGTACCATATTTCGAAGTGGTGTGTCCTGAACATCAACATTCTCCTGTCTGAAACTTCCCTAAGAAATTTTATAGTCCAGAAGCTGAGTTGGTGGATTGTCCCAAAAGCCATTCAACCAGTTTCTCAGACCCCAGAATAGATCATTCCAGTTAAACAGTTAAACGTTATGTCTCAGTTCAGGAAATGATGTTGCAGGTTGGCTTCCACCTAAGTTAGGCCTCTATATGGTATGATCAGCCAGTTACTAAATAAGTGGCATTTCTATTAAAACAAAAGGAAAACAAATGTTGATGGTTAGAACAAACTACAAATTCAGGGGGTTTTTTTTGTTTTTTTTTTTTTAGTCTAGAAAGCAGCCAGTGGGGAATATTTCTATATTCGAGTCTGAAGCATCTTCCAGTGGAGTGAGGGCAGGCAGTGTCAAGCTGACAGATTTTCCTGGTTTGCAGTTTGCATCAGGTGTTTCAGTGAACTTTTTTGAGTAGTTCATTTACCAACAGTATGAAGATTATCTGTACCTAAGCTATTGTGATGTTCTCTCTGAAGTCTATAACTAGAATTTATTTTGTGCTTACTATGTCCCAGCACTAAGTACTTATATTTTAATATTTACATATCTTAACTCACCGAATCATCACAACAGGGCTGTTTATGCAAGCTTAGGCCAATATTACATAATTTGCTCTAAAACATTGAATAAAAATATATTAAAAAATTATACTTGTATTCTATAAATCTACTATGATCATATTTCCAAAATCTAATACAACAAAGGGAAAACTGTGGTTTAATATTTACTCTAAATCTACAGGCAAAAACACCAAATATAAGCAAATTGAAATAAACCACTAATAAATAAAGGTTTATCTGCCAATTTACAAAGATGACTTATGTTACTCATAAAATAAACTAGAGTCATATGCTGATTGCAAAAGTTGTTCAGAAAGGGTAGTAGAGTAGCATGTGCAAGATAAGCCTCCTGTGGCATATACTGTGGTCATATTTGTCTGATCCACCTTCTGTTTAAAATGTTAGTCTTAGGGGAAGATAATTGAAAATGCCCTCTTTTTTTCCTCCTCTTCCTCCTACCTGTTCAGTCTGGGAGTTATTTCTCTGAATAAATATATAGAAAGAGAAAGAAAGGTACCAAGTTGATCTTGAGAGACGACTTTTGATGTGGCATAAAATTTCACTCTTGTAAGCTTAGAACATTGTCCCTACCCAGGTAAATGGTGGGTGCTATTTTGTTGCTGTTAGGTCTATTTTCTTCATCTGTTATTTCGCATAACAGTAAAACAGATACTCAGATGACTTATATAACTTTCATTAGTTTCATTAGGTGGTGTCTATAGCATTAGATGCTCTCTGAAAAAAGAACCTAAAACAAGGTGTATGTAAAGACATTTTATTTGAGAAATGATTTCAGGCAGCAGTTAAGTGGGAGACGGGTAAGATGAAACAGAGAAGGGCAAAGCAATGGGCCGCTGGATTCTCCAGCTGATCTCCACTGTGGGTAACTTGAGCAGCACCCCACCAGGATCCTTCATGGAAATGTATTAAATGTGCTGCAGACTTGTTCACCTAAGGAACCAAAGATGGGAATGTTTATCCACTAACGCTAGTGTTTCATTGTCAGTGATTGCCTTAGGGGAAAGTAATGTCTAACACTTCCAGGCTGCACATGGGTGTTTGTTAGGCATAGTCTCTCAGGCATCTCCACTGCAATGTCTGCAAAGCTCTGGGGAAGAAAGAGAGAAGGGGCCGGGTGCAGTGGTTCACACCTGTAATCCCAGCATTTTGGGAGGCTGAGGGGGGCAGATCACCTGAAGTCAGGAGTTCGAGACCAGCCTGTCCAACATGGTGAAACCCCGCCTCTACTAAAGTGAAAAAAATTAGCCAGGTGTGGTGGTGGGCACCTGTAATCTAGCTACTCAGGAGGCTGAGGCAGGAGAATCGCTTGACCCCTCGAGGTGGAGGTTGCAGTGAGCCAAGATCCTGCCATTGCACTCCAGCCTGGGTGACAGAGGGAAACTTTGTCTCAAAAAATAATAATAATAAATAAAAAATAAAGAGATAGAAGATTCTGCAGAGACACAGCTGCACAAAGCTAGCTGGCTCATTCATGGCTGGAGTAAATGGTAGACCAAGATTATGTACCCCCAATTTTAAAGTCACACACAGAATAATCATATCAATAAATATTTATTTAACCTATTATGTAATAGGCATTGTGATAAGTGTTGGAATATAAAGGTGAATAGGATATAGTTTCTGTCATTGAGTGGCTTATGGTCTAACATAGTAGACAGGCAAGTAAAAAGAAATTATAATACAATAAGTGCTATAATAATTATTAAGTTCTCCATGCTATGATAAGATAAGGAAAGACAACTAATCTAGACTTGTGGGAGTTGGAAAAGATTTTCCAGTTCATATTAATTCCAAGTTAATAACTTCTTATGTTGTACACTATTTTAGTCATAAGGTTTTCTGAATCTTTGAGAAGATAAAATGAAACCAATTTTAATCTATTTTTGGACAGCATAAAACTCTGGTGGAACCACATTTACCTGGCACATCTCTTCTTTAATGTATAGAAAATTATGGATACCCCAGTTTGGATATGGAATTCCTTTTAGGTAAGACTATTACCATTTTCTAATTATGCATATTTTAAATGAAGAAAAGTTCTTATTTTTTCATATTTTAGTAATATTGTTTAATCTATTTCACCTTCGATGTCTGCTGATAAATACTCTGTGATTCTGGTCTATAATTTTTAAATGTATTCTTTATGCTTTAAAAAATCTCTAGTATAAAGTACTTAGCCACATTCAAAGTTAAACATGAAATTATCATAAAAGTTTCAAAATAATATCTTAGTTATCAAAATGACCATTAGTGAATACACATGCTGCTTTCTGAAAACAAACACCTTAACGATGAAAATAAACGTCAAAAGTATTAATCAATAAGCATCGTATTTAAGCTGAAAAGTCACTATGTATCAGTGACTAAAACATTTTGTCCTTGCTGACAAAAACTTCCTTTATGGTAGACTGTATTAAGGTCACTTTGATCCTCACCGAAACTGTTAATATACAAGAAAAATCACAGATACGTGTATCTCTTTTGAGCAACAACAAAAAACATTAAATGGAGAAATGATTAAAGTTAGACAGCATCCCCTTTAAAATATGTAGGTTTTAAAAATAACATTATAAAGAAGTTCTCAGTATTGTACACTGGTACTTGCAAATAGTTTTGAAATTAAAATTATGCTGTAATTTACAGTTTCAAAATAGCTGTATTCAAAAGTCTTTCTATGGTTACACCCAGAAAGGAAATCATTTAAAAAATCACTATAAATGGGAATATGATGACAATGGAGTGAATTTGGCTATACTTTACTAATTTGTCAGAATGTTGGTAGCCCAAAGAGATACTAAGTTGAATATTTTGTAAAGATTTTGAAGCACTAACAGAAGTTTCATGATTTAAGGGGAAAAAAAAGCCATAGACAGTTCCTTCAGATTATCAAATAGTGCATTTCTCAGTCTTCTACTTGGACTTACATCTGGATGATTCTATATGTCATTCTGGCTTTGTCCCGTAACCTTCCATTGTCATTGTGGCTTTATACTATAACTCTCTACGCCAGTGCACAAAACAGCAAATTTTAAGGAAGAGAGGTGGAGCTCAGGATACAGAAATGTTTGGTTGCACCTGCTAAAGAACAAGCAGAGATGTTTGAGCACCAGCTATAGATACACTCAGACCTTAGTATACCCTCTCTGCCACTCCTACACTTAAAATGGGTGTTCAGGAAGGGAAGATAATGGAGAAGGAGTTTTGAAACTGGCTTCTCTCAGAAGTGGCAGCAGGAAACAGGAAGCTGAACACCTGCTCTCCACTTAGGGTAGACCTACCTCCCAGGTATTGGCAAGTTGGAATTTACCCATTAGCCTGGTCTGCCTGATTTTTCTCTTGGCTCTATGCATTCTAAGCCCCACACAGCAGTTAAGGTCATCCATTTAATGGCTATTCCTTCTCATCTTACTCAGGGGAATCTGCAAAGTCCCTCCATAGCCTGCATGACCACCCTGAGCTGCCTGCCTCTCTAACCTCATTTCCAACAATTTCCCCCTCTGTTCTCAGCCACACTTAAGAAACAAACACAAAAAGCAACTCACAAACATAGCATTTGCACTGTTCTTCCCTCTTCTCAGAATGCTTAATTCCACTATTGCTTCATGGCTTCTTCCTTAATTCATTCAGGTCCCTTCTCTTTTTCCTTACCAGGGCAAAGATCTCTGCCTACATACAGAAAACACTGTCCTCTCCACCACTTTCTATTCCTTTCCCTGCCTTATTCTTTACAATACTTATCACTTAATATAATCATTGTGTATTTATTTTGTCAGCATCTTTTTGCCTCATATGAATTAGAAGTACCTTGAGGCATGAACTTTATCTGTTTTGTTCAATGGTATTTTTATCCCTAGTATCTACAACAGTGACCGCTACATTGTTGGCACTCAATAAATAGTTGTTGACATACAGAAAGGCATGGAAGGAGATCTGACAAAGTTGCTCAATTTTATTAGGACTGTCAATAAGCTTATAGTTTCATTGGTCATAGCAAATTTTTCAAACCTCTGAAAATTCCCTCTGGTGGCAAATGGGATCCTCCAAAGCTACTCTAGTGTAAATTTCATTTGTCAAAGCCATTAAAAATGTTCAAGAGATATGAGATCTTATTGAAGGGTAATCAGAGAATCTTACCCTCAAGCAAGTTTAAAAACAGCCATATTACAACTTTAGCATACTTTTAACCTGTTTCCAGGCCACCGGATATGTTTGATGCTAAGCATAACACAGTTAAAATTGGTTTTATGGAATTTTCTAGACTTACTAACTTGTGCTCAAATGGAACAATGCTGTTGATTAGAAATCCATTCATCAACAGACTATATGGGGCACTGACAGGAAAATGCCCTTGATTGCAAAATTGCCCACATTTTCTCTCAAAGAATCTAGCAGTATAGATGTATCCTGTGTTCCCACTTAAGCAAACATTCTGTCAGGAAGACAGAAATGGAATTCTTCATCCTGGACCCTGTACTTTATGCTCTGGAAGACATACTATTTTTTAATACTCTAACAGCTTGTGTCCTAAATAAATATGAAGAGGAAATGTTAGAAATAGAAGGATTTTTGCTATGCGTGCAAGATGTGGCCAAATATTTAAGTCATCATTCAACTACCTCTATAGGATGGGTTGGGCATTACAGAAAACTAATTTGTAAACTTGCCTCTCAATTTCAGACTCAATAATTCCTAATATGGGGCTGAAATCAGACACACACACACACACACGTGTGTGTGTGTATATATGTGTGTATGTATATATATATATATATATATATATATATATATATATATATATATTCTCTCTGTGATCTAAAATTTAAATTTTATTGTCGACCAGATAAATAACTCCCAATGTAAAGAGCAGTCATCTTGGAATCAGAAGACTCAAGTTTTTCTCTCAATTCTGCCATTCTCATTATACCAAATTACCATCTAAGGAGAACCAAACTGTCTTTGTCTGTGAAATAAATTAAATATCACCTACCTTAAAGGGTGGGTGAGAGGGTCAAATTAGTTAAATGATGTACATATGCCTGGTACAGTGTGAACTACTCCAATAATATCAGTTATTTGTTCTTCATCATTTAACATCATATTCTAAATTATTGCAGAGTCAGAAGGATTTAAAGAAAACCAGTCAGTATGGAGTCAAGCACACTCGTCTTCCTATCATCTCCTCAGATCAGCACTGGTGATGTGCTTTCTTTTTACTGATGTTTTATGCACCCAAGGTTCACAGAAAACCCTGGCCTATTAATATGATTCACGATGAGAACAAATGCATTGCGAAATAATCTGTTCATAATACTCAGTTATTCTGTGGCAGAGCTCTTCCCAAAATATATTTTTTATTCATTTGAAAAGGTATGTTATGCAATTTTCTGTCTTTATAGCAAAATGAAAAAAAAATTAAGTACTAGAAAATAATTTGCTCTCTTAATCTCTCTAGCCTCTTACCTCCAGAAATCATTAGAAGAGAGAGAAATTGTAAGCTTTGGCAGCTTGTGGTGGATTTCTGAGGCGACCTGATTTTCTTGCAAATTTTGCTTTGTGGTGAGCTGGCAGGAAGGTGGAAGAATATTTTCATATTCACAAATATGTCCTAGGTGACATAAAGCTCTGAGGACTCTTCTGGCTTCTATTGTCTGACAAGTCATCTTAGAAGTTCATTGCTTAACCGTTTTTTACTGTAAGACTATGTGCTTTCCACACTAGAACAACCAATATGAAATAACAATTATCAGTGAAACAGGCATCCGTATTACTTCTACTTGGTATTACCTAGGCAATCATTGTTCTCATTAAGAGACTCTTTTGCCCCTCTAGGGGTAGTTGGATTGGGTGTTAACAGAAAAATAATTTGCAAACTTGACTCCCAATTTTATTATCAATGACTCCTAATATGAAACTGAAATATGGGTACCCTAACCTCCACTCATCATAACCTCAGTCTATTTATCATCTTATTTTTACTCATATATCTTACCTGATAAAGGAAGCCATTAGCTGCAAGATTCCTATCCTGAAAATTAGCAGTGATAACTTTACTCTTTTTAGGTGCTCATATTTGTATAAAAAGCATAGATATTAAACATATATGTAAGACACAATTTAAATGTATTGATGTCTTATACACACACACATACCCACATTTATATTCCACCCAATCAATAAATTGCATTCCAGTTGATCAATAAATTACAAGAAAAAGTCATTATTATAAACTATAGCACAGAATTCTAATGGGTGAAGAAGGAGCAGCATGTTTAGTGGAAACCCAAAGGTTATATGTACATATCTATAGTTGCCAGGCCGCCACTACCTCTTGTATTCAGATGCATACATTATTTCACCGTGTACATTTCCCTGGTAATTCCAGAGGTTTTGTTGACATATCTTTCAAAGCAAAATTCAGGCACATATTTGTTTCCATTGCTCAAAGAAAACCCCCTTAAAAGACAGATTGTGTGGTGCCATTGGCTAAGCAGCTTGGAAGATGCAGTTCTTGCAAATATCTATTAGTTACATCTGCCAGATCTGTAGAAGAAAACAATTCTCCATCCTGAGTCACCCAGGTGATAACATAAGAGGAATTGTTACCTGGGTGTTTTTCTCCTGTATGACTCAGAAAGGAGATTTACTTTTTTTTCCATCAAAATTAACCCTCATTTCTTATTGTCTGATATTATCTAATCATTGTTAAGGTGTAAATCACCAGAAGGGTGCTGAAACAGTTACATTTCTCATACTTCTTAGTACAGTTTAATCTTAGCTGATCCTCAAAGGATCTCTAAATGATGACATTTTAGATATGATGGAAAGCCAGTGGAAAATGTATTTGCCAGGAGTACCTTTGTTTTAGATGAAGTTGTTGAGATAACTATCGTTTCCATTGATTTGCAAGGCTTTTCCTCCATACCTGGTCAACAATAAGATTATATCTAATCATTCTGTCACTATCATTGTTTCTTTCTAATATTGAACTAGATGTCCTGGGTAGTATAGTAAAAAGTTAAGTAAACAAACAATAATTGGAGATTCCATTTACAACAACAACCAAAATATTAGGTACTTTGAAATGTATCTACAAAAGATGGGAAAGATCTTTATTGATATGAATTATAAATTTTATGAAAGATTTAGAGAAGACATGAATAAATGAATAGACACATTTTGTTCCTGAGAGAAAAACTCAAAGGTCATTTTTCTCCAGGTTTTTCTAAAGAGTCATTGTAATTTCAATCAAAATTTCAATAGGAGTTTTTGTGGACTTTCGCAAGCTGCTTCTAAATACATAAAATATCAAAGGGCCAAACAGAGACAAAGTTGTTTGAAGAAGAGAAGTTCTGTGAAGAGTGAAGAGTGTGGTTAAAACAGCTAACAAATCTTATCATAAAGCTAAATAATTAAGTCAGTGTCATATTTGTGCAGAGCTGGATAACTGGACACTCGAAGAGGATAGAGAACTCAGAAACAGCAAGTATATATGAATGAAACAGCCACAGAATAAAAGATACTAAAGCATATTGGCTTTCCTCTTAGGAAACAAAAATGCATCCATATTTCACACTAAGCATGAACATTGATTCCAGGTATATTAAATACTTAAATGTAAAAAACAAGTCTTTTAAAACTTTAGAAGAATGTTTAGAAAAATATAGGAGGTATTTTCTTAAGCATGATGTAAAAAGCACAAACCATAAAGAAGAAACCTCTTCTCTTTACTAAAAATCACTATGAAGAGAGTACAAAGACAAGTCACAAACTGAGAGAATGAATATCTATAACATGTATAACTAAAAATCCATCACCTCTTGAATCAGTAAAAACCATAATAACTCTATAGAAAATGAACAAAAAGATAAGTAAATATTTCATAGAAGCTCAAATCACTAATAAACATAAAAGGTGCTCAAACTCATAACTAACCAGAGAAATGCAAACAAACTAAAACCACAGTCAGATGCTATTTTACATACACGAGAAAGACAAGAATGAAAATGTTTGACAATCCTAAATATTGAAGAGAATATGGAACAACAAGATTTCTCACAAATGGCCAATGAAAGTATAAATTAACACCATCAATTAGGCACTTTGGCATCACATAGAACATACTCTAGGATTCTTGTTTACACTCAAAAGTAAGACCCCGACAGCAAACCACACACATGTTCATGGCATCATTTTTATATCCATTCAAATATCAATTAGCAAAAGAATGAAATAATAAAATGAGATACATGCATAAATACACAACTAAAATGAGGCATATGCAGTGAAAATAGCAAAACTATTGTTATAAGAAATAGCCTGGATGAATGTCAGAAACATAAAAATGAGTAAGGAAAACAAGTTAAAGAATACACAAATTACAGTACCATTTATATACAAAACTAAAAATGTAAAAGTAAAGGATAGAGAGTCAATATTCTACACAATTTTAGCAAAACTGTAATGACAGTGAAGGTCATGATAAAGACAAAGATAGGAAGTATGAAACTCCTGGGAAGGAGAGTGATGAAATCAGAAAGTGGAACACAGATAACCATGTGATACCATTCTACTCTGTAAACCAGGCAGTGGGCACATAGGTGTTAATTTTAGTACAGTTTTTTTTTCTAATTGCACATGTCATGTATACTGATTTATGTGTATTAAGTGTTTCGTCATAATAAAAGCTTTAAAATTCTACTATTCTAAGGGACCACTTCAAAACATTTAGACCACATGTACGGCATTGAATTCTCTTTAGCACACCTATGTGATTCATCAGTCTACTTTCCTTCCTTGTTGGAGGTTATAATGATGCATTTGGAAACAAACTTGGTGTTTATTCTGTTTTTGTTTTCATGAGTGATTTACTTTGTGCATTACTTAAATTTAGTTTACTGAACTGTGAGAGGTTTTTTTATTTTCAAAATTATACATTATTGACAATATTCAGTGCTGATAATATTCTTATTCAGTTTATGTTTTGTTACCAGTGTTGTAGTTTTCCACTGTCTTAAATAAATTTTCTAAAGAGAAAGTTCATTGTTTCAAGGTCAAGTATAAATTTGTACAATGTGGTGTATTCAGTGTGGCGAGGTGGAACCACTTAATATTCACAATAATACATGACATTTATTGAGAGATGTCCAGAACACCAAAGCAAATAATCTTATAAATGAACATAGAAAAAACTCATTGACAAAATATGCATAATGCATGCTTTTTCACTCATAATTTAAATCATATTATGAACACCTTAATCCATAATTATTTAGGCTGTGTTTGGCTACAGTGAGTCAATAACAAACAGCTTAAGATGAGTTCATGACAAAATTCTATGACATAGCACCTTTCTCTTTGAAAAGAAGATGAAAGAGAGAGAGAGAGAAAGATGAGTAAGTAAAGAAATAGAGAAAGGCTGGTTGGAACAATCTCGGTTATCTAATACCTGAAGAATGTCAAGTCAAACCAACTTTGAATAATCAATCTGAGCATGACACAAATACTTTGAAAATACCTTGCCAGGAAAAACCATTCGGGTTTTTTATGGTAGCTGACCACAGAACTACTTTTACTGCTTAGCCAAGCAACTCCTCCACACTGCTACAGAGAGAGCAGGCAATTCTAATGCAGAAAAGATTATTCCAAACTCAAGTTGCTTTTTTGTCTCTTTGAGATATGGATTTTGATATACAGTTAAAGTATAAATGCCAAAATATAAGTAAGGTTAAAGTAGCATGGGGATTTATGTGGGTGTGCTCACATGCACACTTGCAAACTAGAAAAATTTTTAAAAATTATTTAGTCTTGAGCATCCCATACAGAAGATATTTATAAGAAATATATAAATATATTTAGATATTTATGTGTATACTTTCAGAGTATCAAGAGTATCTTTGATTTTTATAAAATAAAACCACAAATGCATCACAGAGCTATCTCTTCTAGCACATTCTTCTTGAAATAAGAACTTCAGGGCTCACTTCTTAATATTTATGATTCTAGCATTCCTATCATGTTTTGCTTTATTTTTGTAGGACTAAGTCCTTATTTGTAGCTATTTTCTATAACTAGGATTTTTCATAGACCTTTATTGTACATAAACATAAGCATATTTTAACTATGTTTTAATAAAAGAATATATTCATAACCTATGTAACTATATTAGTTGTTAATTTTTTGGCACAGGATAAAGATTTTTCTTTAGCCATGCAAAAAAATTAACCTCTTCAACTTTTTTCTCCCCCCCCCAAATTTTTTTATAATGAGATGTAGGCTTTTGATACAAATTTGAGGAAATAGGAGGCTATTTTAACTTTAATATAAACTATCTACTTGTTTCTTTGATCCTGCTTCTGAGTGGTTTTCAGGTGTCTTTCTAGCATGCTATTTTAAGCTAGTTAGCAGGTACAAATGAAATAAATAACTATTGAGAAGGCTGTAACAGCAAAAGTAACAATGAGGTTCAGAAATCAAGCCTGGTTAAACAAAAACACAGTAGAATACACATTGCAGACATAAGAAAAATATAGACCATTTAAAAGGTAGGGACTCAGCCAGGCACGGTGGCTCATGCCTGTAATCCCAGCACTTTGGGAGGCGGAGGTGGGAGGATCACCTGAAGTCAAGAGTTCGAGACCAACCTGACCAATATGATGAAACCCCGTCTCTACTAAAAATACAAAAATTAGCCTGGCGTGGTGGCATGTGCCTGTAATCCCAGCTACTCGGGAGGCTAACACAGGAGAGTCCCTTGAACACCGGAGGCAGAGGTTGCAGTGAGCCGAGATCGCGCCATTGCACTTCAGCCTGGGCAACAAGAGCAAAGATCTGTCACAAAAAACAAAAAGTAGGGACTCATAACCCTGCATTAATTTTCACCAATTCCCTCTTCATTTTAATTCAATAAATACTGTATAGAAAACTGAGAACCTTGATTACAGTATCACTTGTTATGAGGTAGGTATTTTTACTACAAGCAATGAAATTTTGGGGAAAATAACCTACTGAAATATTTGCTTTCACAGATTCCTCAATGTTGCTTCCTACTCAAACAATTTACTTTGAAAATATGTTGTAATTCTCATAATACTTTCAGATGCTTTCACGTCTTTAAGACAAAGCATAATTCTCTGTGGTAATATCTACCAAAGTTTTGTTTATATACACTTAAAATTCTAAACACTAAAAGAAAAATTTATATACAGAAGGAATCCTTTTCTGATTACAGAGACTTAAGTGCCACCCTTCTTAAGAAGGAAAATTAGACTCTATGATGATTCAATGTCATTTTTTTAGATCAAGATGTTGTATGTGGCCAAAGCGGGTTTCATTTTGAGAAAAAGATAATAGATACAATAGATTGCACCATGAACTATGTGAAGGAAGATCTACATTATAACACCTGTCACTACCATTTACTACGAGTTTGATCTGGGACAAGTAAGCCCTTCCTTGAGCCTCAAATTCCTTATCTGTTCAGTGGTTCTCAGGAAGCGAATTAAATAATGTTTGCAAACAGTCTTCACAAATTATCAAGTGCTCATACATATTGGCGATAGGTATGTGATGTGTTGGTAACAAATAGACACCACACTATCAGGGTTTAATACTATAAAAGTTTGCTTTTCACACATGCAAAGATCATTATAGACCTAAGCTACTTTCTGATGTAACTACCTTCCACACCGTTATTCAGGAATTCAGATTTCGTTATTTGGTGGCTCCACCATCCCAACACACAATCTCCTTGTTTGCAGGAACAAGAGAAGAGAGAACTATATGGTCACCACGCAATAGATGTCATTTCTGCCACTAAGACACTGCTCAGGACTAAACACATAGCCTTACCAAACTGCAAGAGGTCTAGGAAATAACAGGATGAAGATGGAATTTTAGAAACTGCCACTGTCTTTGACTCAGTTCTAAAAATAATGCAAAACGTATTACTATTTTCCACCATTCCAGAAGGGAGATCACATATAGGATAGGCAAAATAATATACCCCAAATCATTTCTATTTATTTAGAAATACATTTACATTTAAGTATTACTTGAATTTGGGGCAATTGACATATTTCAAGACCAATAAAGAAAATAAAAATAATTGGCTGAGCCCAAGAACTGGCTGTTACCTCAAATGGGAAAGTTTTCTCTCTTTGGGGTTTAGGTTACTATAGAAAAGACTGGCCAGGAATGAAATATTATGAAGATCATGCTACAGTGGCCCTATACAATGCTACTTCTGCTGGTGCTCCTATATCCAGGAATCTTCCAGGTTTCCTACTTTGGAACTAACCTTTTCAACTACAATGGAAAATAGAGTTACTGCAGACCAAACATTATTTTATATATCTATCGTTTTCCCCAATGTGAGAAGGAAGATACATTAGCACATTCCCTCAGCAAGAGTGAAAAAAAAATTAATTCAAAGTACAAAGCAAACAGAAAATTCAGCTGAATCATTCCAAACAAATCAACAAGATCACGTCTTAAAAATGGTTTACTGCTGCCTTGTAAGAGCTTGCGGGTTTGCAGGAAGAAAGTAAATACTTCAAAATAATCCAGCTGGAAGGTCAAAGAAGTTAGACACCTGTGCACTCCTGGCATGTTGAGGGATAATATTTATTATTGACTCTTGGGCAATAAAACCGAAATCCCACATATGCTGGAATTGATTCTCATAGGTTTGGTATAGCTTTAGCTAATGGCTTATAGATTGTGAAATCGTAAGGCCCTGCTAGAAGAGCCTATTAAATCTGGCAATGGAAACAGAGGGTCATTGGGCCAAGGCCAGGTGAATAGATTTCCTCAGTCAGGCAGGAAAACTACTCCCTAACAAGGTACCCTACTTTCTGAAATCCAGATAAATAGAGATACCCAAAGAGGAGGCTGTAAAGAAATTATGATTATGATGCATGACTGGATCTCTATGAATGAAAAATTACGACTGCACAGGGTGTTAATGCTTTTTGGGCACAAAACAAGACCCACTCTAGTGAGTCAGGGCAATCCTCCATGAATTCACAAAGGAATGGAATTAACAAAATGAGCCTTATACTTAATTCAGTGTACTTCGGTCACCTCCCTACAACCAGTCAGCTGGGGGAAACAGACATTTGCACGGCTCTTTATCCTAAAGGAATAAATATAAAGAAATGCAGAAAATGAAAAAAATAGAAAATTTTTAGATTTTGAAAGTTGCTCCCAACATTAACATTCAGAATACCAGATGTTATCTATTATTACATGCATATGGAGAATTTTGAATGCCTGTTTTTAAAAAGGAGAACTTTGTTTTTCTCCTCAAGGACCACTTGGGAACTCTCAGTTCAGCATTACACACATTAGTCCATAGAAGAGTTCTAAAACAAATTGCTATTATTTTAAGTTGTAGATTGAAAAATTGATTCAAATATGGTACAGAAAATACACGATCTTCATTCTGGGTATATTTGTAACCATTAAAGATTTGAGAATGCTATAACATGCACTAGAGTTCCCAGGTTTTAAATGTTGCTATTGGGTCTCTGTGTTTAAATAGTTCACATGATACAAGCTGCTAGCTTGGTTCAGTCTTATTTGTTTTAAAAAAGAAAATATGTTGAGATCAGAAAATTGTACACCCAAAAAAGGGATACTAAATCAATAGCATATACATAGGAATGAAAATATTGAACTAAGCTATGCCTTACTAATATAAAATTGGTCTCTAGATGTTTATCATCTAAATGTCCAATTATATCCCTCACTTTGTAAGGCCCTGGTAGTATTAGTTAAGTCTTATTCTAAATGGATACCTATAAGACATCGGTAATACTCTCAAGGCAAAATAAATTAACAGAAAATGTATATGTTGCAAGTGTATGCATATTTACACAGTATTAGAAATGGTCTGAAAGAACCATAAAATGTAATTTCATATAAAATTATACATCAAGTGACTAACCATTGTATTGTCCGTTAATAGTTTAGGCTGAGGTCTTGATAATCTTACAACTCATCTTTCCTCCTTGTAGGATTCATAAGAGATAATATAGAGAAAATAATTCAAAATTCTTCATAAGCATCTAGAATAATTAGATAAGATGTGCAATTCTGAGTGTTAATGTTGAAAACAGCATAAAATATGCACATTTTACATTTTTAAATTTTTCTTTATTTAAGTTTAACTATTCAAGGTAATGCCAAATAGGAAAAAGAATGCCATTTTGTTGATATCTGGGAAACAATATTTTCCATCACAGGGATTATCTGATAAACTGTGCTCCATAACACAAATAATTTCATTCTTCTTCCTTTCTTGCCGAGTAGTGAAAAAAAGAGGATGGCTGGTTTATCTCAAGTAATCAGACATTTAATAATAATATAGAAAATACACTTTATAAAATCACAAAATAGAGTAATTATTCTTCCACAACACATCTGACACAGTGAATAAAACATATTATTGCTTAAGGAAATGAATAATTTGTGGTAACATTTTTTAAACTTGGTATATGTGGCTCTGAAAGACATGCTGAACAAATGGAGAGCCCAAGGAATATCAAGGAAAACTAGTTATAATCTTGGTAATTGGTGTGATCTCACTTACATTCTCAAACAATGCATAGGACTGGTTGTCTGTCATACTTTGGCACCAAATCAGAAGGTGGTACTTCTAAGAGACATCTCAAGATTTCTATCCCAATAACAAATTATTGCATTGTACAGTAGGGCACATTCTGCTATAAATAAAACCAGAAGCATTCTAGTTATATAAAAATATTAAAGAATAGTAGCAATGACAACAGGCTACCCTTGCACTTTCTCTGCCTAAGTTTCACAAGCAGATAGAAGGTAGACACTATCCTATATAGTAGATGATACTTGTATATAATATTGTATATATAACATTGATTCTTCACAATTTCATAGACAAGTTTAATGAAGTGGAGGCACATGTTCGGGACCAATTTTTATAAACAAGTTATCAAATTATCATCCTGAAAACAAGGTTAGGGATCACCTAACAATTAGAACCTTACTGAATTGCACTAGCGTCTTTTAAAATAAATGCCTAAATACTGCATTGTTTCAAAACACTAAGGCCTGAGTCAAGCCTATGAGTCACTATGAATAGCCCTGGATGTTGGGAGATAAGAAAACCAATGAAGTCTCCATTGAAATATGCACTGGGGTTAGGTAGTCTGTGGATAGTTATGAGGGGATTTGAAAACTTACCGGAGGAGACTTGTTTTAGGAGACAGGTGAAAAGGAGGCATCACAAATTCTTAAGGGATGAAGAGTTGGGGGCAGTTCTAGAAAGATAAGCAGAGTCCAGGGTGAGTAGAAAGGGAGAGAGATTGGAGTCAGTTCAGAAAGACAGTAACTCAGCAAGAATAAATGGAAGTTGGAATAAGATTTAGCTAGAAACAGAAGCATGGGATAAGACGATGAGTAAATCCTAATGCATTTCATAAGAAGAAGCAACAAACCCTGTAGAAATACTAAATATGGGAAATGAGAGTAAGAAATGATAAACATGCTTCTTATAAGTGTATGTGAAATGAGATAACTCCAAACTTTTCTATGAAAACTGGAAAAAATAGCCATCAACACAAAATTCGAAACAAAGAGGGGGCAGTAAATCTGAATCAAGAGGGATAAACATGTAGCATTTCCTAAATATATTACCAGTGAAATACTTTCTTTGTTGAACTTGACCTTGGGCATGTTAAATTTGAGTAACACAAGATATCCAATTATTTTAAGGTTTTCACTGAGGGGTAAGAATTGAATCTCTAAAAAGGAATGAATTCAAACTTAGAAGTTGCAAGAAGAGAAATAGCAAATTATTTTTTAATGTTTTTAGTTACTCCACCAATAATTGCCAAATAGATTTGGTTTGCTTAAAGATAACAGATACAGTTATTAAAAATCATAATTTTCAGTGAAGTCTCACAATTATATCAATAAAGATTTTATGCTGTTATTCCTGAAAATGAATAAAATGTACCATTTTGCACCTGTTTTGTGGCTTTTTTGTAACAGAACTCCAGGTTTTTAAAATTCCCCCAACAACAACAAAATGCACAATAAAAAAAAAAACAAAACACCCCAAGCCTCATGCTTTCAATTAGAATTCGATGTACATTTCTTCCAGTTGTAATTTTCTTGTCTATCATTCCCCAGATCCCAAATTAGACTTATTTGGCACAATGCCAGAGGATTGGTCTCTAAATCATAATGGCATTCGGCTTTTATATACAACACTATTGATAATATCAGCAGCAAAGCTGGGCAGAACTAGAAAGGAATAGGCCACAGATGTAGTTCCAAATCTGGCAGAGTGACTTAAAAAACACAACACATTCAATATTAAACACTGTTTAAAGAAATTAGACACACACTAAACATCAGTAGGGGCAGAGAGTGGGTGTGAGAAAGACAGATAACACCTAATTAAAATATTTTAAATCATGAACATTAAAAGTGTGTACAGTTGTGCAGTATTTTTATTC
Source organism: Homo sapiens (assembly GCF_000001405.40). Classification (NCBI taxonomy): domain Eukaryota; kingdom Metazoa; phylum Chordata; class Mammalia; order Primates; family Hominidae; genus Homo; species Homo sapiens. The sequence continues at coordinate 210,954,424 of NC_000002.12, read as the reverse complement.
TTTAAAATAAGTTTAATGTAGTTATATACTCCAAACACTTTTCAGAAAGGAGTTAAGACAGTTGACCTTATAAACATGAACATATTTTATCTACATGTGGGTTAGTTAGTACATGAGTTTAGCAATAAACATCTCAGAACAACCCCACAGTCAAAAAAGCTTAAACCAGATGTCAAGAGAAAATAGAGTACCCTTAAATCAAAACATTGATATAAACTTGAAGTATCAGTTAGCAACTGTGAAAAGATAATACTAGAAACTGGCATCTCATATTTTTAAAATTTGAAAAAATAATTTGGTGCAACAATTTTACTGAAAAGAGGATTTCAGATTTTAGAATAGCCCTGTAACTAAAAGATCTTTAGATAACTTTCACACTTTTGATTAGTCTACATACAATTAAGATTTTATTTGACATTAAAATCATATCAACCTATTTCTGTTTTAGAATTTTAAAAAGCTAGTACATGTAAGTGTGTATGTTCATGTTGACATAAATCCTTCTGAAAATTTAGTGTGACAGATTTTCTGCAATATTGATAAACATTTGTGCTATTAAGTACATAGCCAAACCATGTGTATTTTCACCATGAAAATAAATAGCAGGGAAAAGAGTATACCACCACAAGTTAATTACTATGTGTCTTGATGACTACTAAGATAAATGAAAAAACACTGCTTCTGTGGACATGCCAAGAATGGGATAATGAGAAAAAGGTTTGTATGTGTATCTCTAAGAAACTCAGCCCTGAGAAGAGTCTTTTGACTTTATTTTTACCTTACTTTAGGACACACTATTATTGACACAAATGCATACAAACCATCCTAGTCTTGGAGTTGGGCTTTCTGATAAACAGTTCTTCAGATTCAGTAAATGACATATAATTGTCATAATAAATTCCTTAGCCTCAAATGCTTCTTGAGAAGCATGACCTCAGAATCGTGGAAAACTATTCGAGATCAATAATAATACCAATATGACAATACAGCATGTATATATATTAACTCCTATATTCAAAAACATTGCAAAGAATCACTCAAATTCAATTTCCCTGTATATTTTGTATATCTCGGTTTAACTTGTCAGTGGTTTTAAAATTGTTTCCAAAATACACGCAAAGATAGCAGAGGAAGGTTGCCTCAATCTGTGAGCACATTCTCCGTAGGAGCCACCAAAAATGTTTATTGAAGGTGATCCCTGAAAATGCAACATGAGGTGTAATGTGGAAGCAGCCAGTAAAATAAGCCAGATAGCACCCAGGATGAATTAATCTTAATCCCACAGGGAAATTCTGGGAAACGGTGCAAAACACATGCCTCAGACCCTTCCCACTCAAGGGGCAAAGGAGTTGCAATATTTATCTACCAATTCTCAAAAGCTATTTGAATAGAATTTCTAGGAGAAGGTGTTGATTTTTTGGCACTTCCAACTTGCTGTGCACATGGGCAGTATGACTTTCTGCAGTTTCTTTGGGAAAAATAGTCATCAAACTCAGGTATTCTGATTTTGGCAATTGGAAAGGTGGCTGGAATACACTAAAAAGTCCAATGAATATAGAAACAGTACTGACACTTCTATTAAATCTTTCTTTCGAGGGGAATAAAAAATATCTTTATTTTTCTTCTCCATTTTTGCTACTCTTCAATTCTTGAGAAAATAAAAGAAAAAACAGAAAGCACATCTGAAGATAGCCCAATTTAATTTAACTGAACTTTAAATTGTGAAATTCACAAAATTAATTCTCCAGTATAGAATAAATAAGAATATAACATAATTTTTTCAGTTTCTTTCTACTAGAGACTAAAGTTATGTATTCGCATTAATAACCTTTAGCTCAATAAATTTTATCGTAATTCGCAAGAATTATATGTTTCCCTAACATCTTGAAAAATTGAAAGTGCAAAGACTTTAAGTACATAGTTCGTGTGTTTGGGACATTGTATATATTTATGTATCACCACTCAAATCAAGACATGAAATATTTCTGTCACCTCAGAAACTTTTCAACTACTACTTGCTAGTCAATACATTCCTTCTTTGCACTCATTGTCCTCATTTATATTACTTTATCTCTTCTAGGCTTTGGTATAAATGAACTTACATTGTATGTACTCTTGCCTATGGCTTATTTTGTTCAGTGTTTCAAAACCCATCCATGTTGTTGCATGCCTCAGTATTTTATGCCTTTTCAATGGGTCAGGGGAATTCAACTGAGTGAATATACCAGTATTAGTTTATCCACTGTCCTGTTGATATGCATTTGAGATATTTTGAGGTTTTGGCTATTGTGAATTAAAACTGCTACAAATATTTTTGTCAAGTTGATATGGTTTGGTTGTGTCTCATCTCGAATTGTAATCCAAATTGTAATCCTCATGTGTCGAGGGAGGGATCTGGTTGGTGATTAAAATATGGGGGTGGTTTTCCTCATGCTACTCCCATGGGATAGTGAGGAGTAAGTCTTACGAGATCTGCTTGTTTGATAAGTGTGGAGCTCTTCCCGCCTTGTGCTCTCTTCCTCTCTCTCCTGCTGCCTTGTGAAAAGGTGCCTGCTTCCCTTTTACCTTCTGCCATGATTGTAAGTTTCCTGAGGCCTCCTAGACATGCTTCCTGTTAAGCCTGCAGAACTGTGAGTCAATTAAACCTCTTTCCTTTATAAATTACCCAGTCTCAGGCATTTCTTTATAACAGTGTGAAAATGAACTAATACAGAATTCTTGGTGGACATACGTTTTTCTTCTCTTAGGTAAATATCTAGGAATGAAATGGCTAAGCCATCAGGTAGGTTTTTTTCTGTTTTTTTTTTTTTTTCTGTTTTTTTTAATTTATTTATTTTTTTATTGATCATTCTTGGGTGTTTCTCGCAGAGGGGGATTTGGCAGGGTCATAGGACAATAGTGGAGGGAAGGTCAGCAGATAAACAAGTGAACACAGGTCTCTGGTTTTCCTAGGCAGAGGATCCTGTGGCCTTCCGCAGTGTTTGTGTCCCTGGGTACTTGAGATTAGGGAGTGGTGATGACTCTTAAGGAGCATGCTGCCTTCAAACATCTGTTTAACAAAGCACATCTTGCACTGCCCTTAATCCATTTAACCCTGAGTGGACACAGCACATGTTTCAGAGAGCACCGGGTTGGGGGTAAGGTCATAGATCAACAGCATCCCAAGGCAGAAGAATTTTTCTTAGTACAGAACAAAATGGAGTCTCCTATGTCTACTTCTTTCTACACAGACACAGCAACAATCTGATTTCTGTATCTTTTCCCCACATTTCCCCCATTTCTATTCGACAAAACCGCCATCGTCATCATGGCCGGTTCTCAATGAGCTGTTGGGTACACCTCCCAGACGGGGTGGTGGCCGGGCAGAGGGGCTCCTCACTTCCCAGAAGGGGCGGCCAGGCAGAGGCGCCCCCCACCTCCTGGATGGGGCGGCGGCGGGGCGGAGGCGCCCCCACCTCCCTCCCGGACGGGGCGGCTGGCCGGGTGGGGGCTGCCCCCCACCTCCCGGATGGGGCGACTGTCAGGCGGAGATGCTCCTCACTTCCCAGACGGGGCAGCTGCCGGGCGGAGGGGCTCCTCACTTCTCAGGTGGGGCGGCTGCCGGGCGGAGGGGCTCCTCACTTCTCAGACGGGGCGGCCAGGCAGAGGCGCTCCTCACATCCCAGACGGGGCGGCGGGGCAGAGGGGCTCCCCACATCTCAGACGATGGGCGGCCGGGCAGAGACGCTCCTCACTTCCTAGACGGGGTGGCGGCCGGGAAGAGGCACTCCTCACTTCCCAGACTGGGCAGCCGGGCAGAGGGGCTCCTCGCATCCCAGACCATGGGTGGCCAGGCAGAGATGCTCCTCACTTCCCAGACGGAGTGGCGGCCGGGCAGAGGCTGCAATCTCAGCACTTTGGGAGGCCAAAGCAGGCGGCTGGGAGGTGGAGGTTGTAGCTAGCCGAGATCACGCCACTGCACTCCAGCCTGGGCAACATTGAGCACTGAGTGAACGAGACTCCGTCTGCAATCCCGGCACCTCGGGAGGCCGAGGCTGGCAGATCACTCGCGGTTAGGAGCTGGAGACCAGCCCGGCCAACACAGCGAAACCCCGTCTCCACCAAAAAAATACGAAAACTAGTCAGGCGTGGCAGCGCGTGCCTGCAATCGCAGGCACTCGGCAGGCTGAGGCAGGAGAATCAGGCAGGGAGGTTGCAGTGAGCCGAGATGGCAGCAGTACAGTCCAGCTTCGGCTCGGCATCAGAGGGAGACCGTGGAAAGAGAGGGAGAGGGAGACTGTGGGGGAGACAGAGGGAGAGGGAGGGGGAGGGGGAGGGGGATAGGGAGAGGGGTTTTTTTCTCTTCTATTGATTTAGTTGCTTATCCTTATCTAAAAACTGCTTTCTGGATTGCCATAGTAATCAGGGAGTATAAGTCCACCAACTTTGTTGTTTTTCAAAATTATTTTGACTCTAAGAAGTCATTTACATTTTCATACACATTTTTAAATGAGATTATCAAATTTTACAAAAAAGCTTACTGAGATTTTTGTTAGAAGGGTATTGAATCTGAGAACAATTTTGGAAAAATTTATATCTTAACAATATTTAATTTTCAATTCCTTTTTTTTTTTTTTTTTTTCTGAGACAGAGTCTCACTGTGTCACCTAGGCTGGAGTACAGTGGCGTGATCTCAGCTCACTGCAACTTCTGCCTCCTGGCTTCAAGTAATTCTCCCTGCCTCAGCCTCCGGAGTAGCTGGGATTACAGGCACCTGCCACCACACCTGGCTAATTTTTGTATTTTTTAGTAGAGACAGGGTTTTGCCATGTTGGCCAGGCTGGTCTTGAACTCCTGACCTCAGGTAATATACCCGCCTTGGCCTCCCAAAAGTGCTGGGTGTGAGCCACCGTGCCCAGCCTAGTCTTCCAATTCTTGAAGACAGTATATCTCTCAATCTACCTGTCTTCTAAATTTTTTCTTAGAAATGTTTTCTAGTTTCTTGTATAATGTTTATGGTGTTTGTAGTCAAGAAGTTTCCAAGACAAATTTTGATATGCTGCACAAATTTTTATTATCATTCAGGTAAAAACCTTTTTCTAATTTTTCTTGTGATTTTTTTCTTTGACTTATCCATTATTTAGAATTGTGTTGCATAAATTCTAAAACTGTGCAAGATATTCTAGAAATGTTATTATATTGGTTTTTAACTATTTCTAATTGTGTTAGAGAATATGCTCTAAACGATTTTAATATTTTAAAATCTGACTTATTTTTTAGCCCAATATATGGTCTATTATGGCGCTTGTTCTATGTACACTTAAAAATGAGGTATATTTTAGTGATCTATTAATGTCAATTTGGCCAAATTGATGTTGCTATTTAAATCTCCTATATATTTGTAGTTTGCCTGGCATTTGCTTACTTGTTCCATCAACTAGAGAGAGAATGGTACTAAAATCCTGCACTTTTAAAAAATTGTTCTCTTTATTCTGTTAAGTTTTGTTTCATATATTTTGATAGTTTATTATTAACTATGTACATATTTGGTAATTATTCCTAATGAGTTGATCTTTGTATTATTATTAAATATTACACCAATCATTTTTTAAATTAAATGTACTAATTTTTCCCAATTGTTGACTTCCCATATAGTTCTTTTTAGTAATTTTCATATATGTCTTTCAATTGTCCATCTCTTAAGAAATCTTTTTCATACATATTTTATTATATATTTATCAGAGTTATTTTAATGTCCTTGCCTGATAATTCTAATATTGAGATAATCTGTCATTCTGTTCTACTAACACTTTTTTTTGGTATATTAACAAATCTTATAATTGGGCATAATACCTTGAATATCTTGTAGATAGTCTGGATTTGTCATTTTCCTCTAATAATTTATTGAGTTTTATTCTGTCAGCCAATTACATTACCAATGGATCTCTTAATATGTGAAGGCTTGGTTTTATGTTTGTAAAGACTGATCCATTTTAATTTTTTTCCTTAGTCCTAGAGTCTCTCTAACTGAATAAGATTTTCTTTCCCCTCCAGGAAGCAGCCGCTAAATTTCTGCTCAGTACTTTAGTTCAATTAACTAATGTTTTCCCCTGGACTACTTGGAATGTGTCCCATTCATGCATAGATTAGAGGTCGGCCAAAGATTTGAGGGGTGTTGCATGCAGATTTGAAGGCTCTCTTTTATGCAGCGTCCTCACTTCAAAGACATCACCTTTCAATCTTCAGCTGCTTTACAACCCCATGCTCCAACCGCTGACTCCTCAGGTGATAAAACAGCAGCTTTCTGTATTCTAATTAGAGCATGTCATATCAATGTGGCTTTCACTCAGTGTTATTTTTTTTCAAGGACTGAATCCCCCCTCTGTTTCTGCCTGCTTTTGGTCACTCTTCAGTGCTTGCGAATAATTGTGTGTGAGTGTGTGTGTGTGTTTGTGTGCTTGCATGTGCACACACTACATATATATAATACAGATATATATATAGTTCAGAGTATATAATTGCTTTTGAATAGGAGAGTTAGTTTAATACAACCTTTCCCAAAAGTCGGTTTTGTAGTTGTTCTTTGTGTGCATGTGTTTTATAAAATACTGGTAATAGTAAGATAGAGCATTAGGAAAGTTCTGTACAGATATGTGTAATCCAGCATCTGTTTATCTATTTACATTGATAGAATTCTCAGTAGAACAGGTTAGTTTTTCAGCAGAAGTTATTGCCACAATAAACAGCTTACATATAAGTGATAGTTGAAGATAACAAGTATAGCAAAAGAAGACCCTACTAACAATTGACTTTTCAACACAAAAGCATATAGAAACATTCATCCACTTGGGATTCATGTTAGAAAAGCAGACAATAAGTGAATATAGATGATGGGATGTTTATTTGTTTGCTGAGCAGAGATCTATGCAACCTAGGAATTAAAAAAATGAGGAAGCAGCTTGTTACACATAGGAATAGAGCAGGGATAGGCATGTGCTCACCATGCTAGGAATTGACAGCAACTCAATTGTGCAGGCAGGTCACCCTGTATGTGATGAAAACCTATTACTATTAGATAAGGCAATACATCTGCTGCAATGAAATATAAAGGTTTAATTAAGTAGATACTAGCTGTGACATGCGGTTGTGAAAAGTGTAAGTACATTAAGGAAAATAATCACAAAGAAAACAAACAGAGGTAAGGGACCAAACCTATCATTTACTTAGGGATACAATTAGTCTAGATTCAACTATAATCCAGGATCTTCTAAATTAATATATTCTTAAAAATTCCATCTATTTCCCAACTGGCTGACTCCCTAAAGGGAATTATCAATTTCATTATACTGGATAAAGCACAAAGAATATTAATTGCAGTTTCTATAGAATAAACGTTCTTGAAGCTCATTTTCCTTTCAGCCTTAAAGTTAATTCTATGAACAGGCTATTAGAAGTCAAAGTAAGTGTATTGTTAATAAAAAATCAGATTAGTGTATTATTTTCTAGCCACCTATCCAAAAAGAAAATAGTAGAAATGTTTTGAAGACTTCAAATACTTAATCTCAGTAATGGACAGTCTACCTATTATTCTTTTTAAAGTATATTTGTAGAGAAACCCCTCTATTCTCACATCTATTATAAGCTTGATGCTGGCAAAGGAATATATAATGAAATCCCTATATGCTCAATCCACGCAGACCTGACACATTGTATGTACAACTGAATTCCATTGATATTTCAAGATTCTTTTCAGAAAGGCCAATATTCACAAAGCTTTAATTACAGTACTTTGCTTTCACTCCACATCAATTTAGATTCCAAGCATCAGTTATGTCATTAACATAAATCTGCATACAAGTAAAGATTACATAAATGTCATTTCAAAGTTAGCACAGAGCAAATAGAAATAGATGAGTCTTGCATTGAAATTCCTTTCAATACCGTTTTAAGTAGTACAGGTTTTAACCTGGCCCATGAAATCCTTTAATGAGAATTTTCAGCTAGATAATTTGCCTACTTCAACAGGAAATGTACTTATGAACTTGGATCATTTCTAAGCATAATCTCAGTATTTTAGGATACCAAATGCTTTCACTCCTCTCTGTATCTCCATTAATAAATAAAGGGAATGCAATTGTATGATTTCTGAGCATGGTATTATCATACCTGCACAAATAATTCACAGATTTACAGGGTTAAACAAACATTATGTGAGACCGTTGTTTTCGACTGACCTCTTGCACTAGGTCCCAATAGACCAGACCCACCAAAAGTGAGTCACTCATGTTAAATGTCATACAATCAAAATGAAGCTTTAAAGAAGCGGATAGATCCTGAAAAAGACTAGTTTTTCCTAAAAACAGAAAATTTCAGTCTACCCGAATCAACACAATAAGGACATTCCCTCTGCTTTAACCCTTACAAAAAAAAAAAAAAAAAAAAAAGTAACATGAAGTTACTAAATATAAATCAATCAGCTTCTTCTTTTTCTCTATTGTTCTGTTTTCTGGCCCACACTTTATAAAACTCACTGTTCCGCTATTGCTCAGTGGGAACTCCCACTCTATTTCGGAGAATCGAGGCTGCTCCAATTCATGAATTGTGAATAAAAGCCGATGAGATCTATAAATAAATTTGTTATAATTTTTCTTTTGACAATGGTAATGTAATTTCTGCCTTAATATGGCATATTTGGGATTTTTTTATTAACCTTGCCACTAATGCCAGTGTCACACTTTTGCTTTCGTCACCCCGTTTCTTTCTAAAACTCTTATCATTCTGATCTTAATTCCCATTCAGATAAAGAAGACTCCCAAATATAATATTCCAAAACTCTTTCTTATACTTGCTATTACTTAAAACTATCCTAGAAGACCTATTGGTCAAAAGCGAATCCACTGGGATTTTAAAGAATATTTTCCTATATGATGCCATTCTCAGGATGGTTTCACCATCTGTTTTTGATTTTCATAGTACCAATAACGTTTTAATTATATCTAGGCAAACTACTTAGCTTCTGTAGCACACTCTACCGAACTTACTTTTGTCATATTATAAAAATCATCCAGCTCAATTGCCTTTTCTTTTCCTCATCTTAATTATTATCTTGGTAATATTTAACAGAGTTGATTACTCCTCCTTTTTAAAATTATTCTTTTGGCATCTCTGATACTACACTTTTAGTAATATTCAAGTTCCCTCGCCATTCTCCCAATCCCTTTTGCTGTCTTGCCTTCCCAGGATCTACATTTTGAATGCCCAAAGGCTCAATTCTGCATAGTATTCTGTTATCTGCCCATGTAGTATCTCCCATGCCCATAAATTTCTAATACCGTGTATTGTATTTTCTGATTACTCCAAATATATGTCACTAGTCCTAACCACCCTCTTGAGCTCTAGAATCCTATGTCAATCTTTCTGCTTAGCATATATTCCTGATCAGGAACCTATCTGAATATCCCATAGGCACCTCAATATTAATGTATTCAGAACACTCTTAAATTCCCCCTGGAATGTATTTTTTCTGAGATTTTTTTCAGTTAAGTGAATTGTGTCACTATCTACCCAGCTGTTTAGGTCAACAACCTAGAAATAATGTGTGGTTCCTTTTTTTCTCCACTTGCCTTTGTATGTAAGCAAATCCTGATGGATCAACCTCAAAACCTAGTAAAATCCATTCATATCTCAGTATGCCCACCACTATCATTCTAGCCCTACCCATTATTTTTTATGTAGACTACTGGAATAATGTCTAGCCAGTATCTCTGCATTTTCCCTTCCTTCTTTTAATCTATTTTCTATCATAAGGCTTATTTTTATAAATATAAATCCGATTTGGCCAGGTGCAGTGGCTCACGCCTGTAATCCCAGCACTTTGGGAGGCCGAGGTGGGCGGACCACGAGGTCAGGAGATCAAGACCATCCTGGCTAACACGGTGAAACCCCTTCTCTACTAAAAATACAAAAAGTTAGCTGGGTGTGGTGGTGGGCACCTATAGTCCCAGCTACTCTGGAGGCTGAGGCAGGAGAATGGCGTGAACCTGAGATGGACAGTTTCCAGTGAGCTGAGATCTCGCCACTGCACTCCAGCCTGGGTGCAGAGCGAGACTCCGTCTTAAAATAAAAAAAAAAAATTATATATATATATATATCTCAGATTCATTGAGTGCCTTGCTTAAAATCCTTCATTTTTCCTCTACTGCCTGTAGAAATTTCAAGCACCTTGTAATGTTCCATAAGGCCATGGGTGACCTGCAGATAGATAATTCTCTGAGATCATTTCCACCTTCCCATGTCTGGCTACACTCATTACTCTCTAGTCACACTGGCCTTTCTTCTTCTTATCAAACATCTTCCAACCTCAAGACATTTGCACTCACTGTTCTTTCTCCTTGAATTATTGTCCGTAGATTTGCTCAGAATAAGCTTCTTCACATTATTTGGATCCCACTGAAAATGTCAGAAGGCCTTCCTTGATCGCTGAATCTAAGGTCATTGACTCGACTATAATTTTCCAAACTACCTAAACGTGTTATATCATTATACTCTATTGTTTTCAGAGAACTTATAAACATCTAAAATTATTGTGCTTATTTTCTACTTGTTTTATATTTGCCTTTCCCCACTGGAAAATAAGTTCTGCAAAAGCAGAGATTTAGTCTCATTACTGCAGTACCTAGAACAGGGATTGGCAATCGGTAGGTGTTTAATAAATAGTTGTTAACTGAATAGATGAACACATTTTTTTGAAAGCGAAAGCTAAAAGAAATTAAATTTCTCAACATAAAATATCTAATAAATGGCAGAACCATGACACTACCTATGGTGTTTGCTTGAGACTATTAATCTAGCAAAAATGTGTGGTTAGAATGGGGACACGTGGAGACTCAGACATTAGATAAAAAGCAGTTTTGACAGGAAAGAGAAAACTCAATGATGCCTAGGATGAAAATGAGGCAAAAAGAAATGGAAAGTGGAAGTGGATGCAAGAGCCTTGGAAAAATTAGGCCTTGAAATAATTGCAAGTTTACTGAATGTGAAGAAAATAGAGGAATCAAAATTAACTCAAAAGTTTCTAGTCTGGGTGAGAGTAAAAATACTTGTTTTATCAGAAAAATCAAGACAAAGCCTAGACATAGATGTGTTTGGCATTCAGTATGGCAATGCGTGTACCTGGTAGTACATCCAGGTGGATATGGTCTTTAGTCAACTGGAAGTACGGTTTTGATGTATGAAAAAGAGATTAATATTTTGTTTTTAAGTCAGTATTACTAAGATATAATTTATATAGAATAAAGTTCACCGTTTTAAATATACAGTTTAATGATCTTGGAAAATGTATAGACATTCACATCACCACCACCACCATCAAGATATAAAACAGTTTCATCATCTCAAAAATTTTGCTCATGCTCGCTAATAGTCAATCTCTTTTCCGATATTCCAGTCGCTATCAGTCACCAATCAAATTTTTGATGCTAGAATTTTGCCTTTGTCATAAAGTCATACAAATCGAATCAAATAATATATATCTTTTTACATCTGGATTCTTGCACTCAGTAAAATGATCTTGTAATTCATTCATGTTGTCACATGTATTAGTGTTTTTCATTGCTTAGTGGAATTGAATGATATATCTGTATCCAGCTTATTAATGGGTATTTTGTTGATTCCAGTTTGAGGCTATTATCAATAAAAATGTTTACAAATATTAGTGTGTAGAACTTTGAATAGATGTGCACTTTTATTTCTGTTAGGTAAATATACAGGAGTGGGATTGCTGGGATATACGGGAAGTAAGTGTAATGTTCTAAGAAACTGCGGAGCTCTTTCCCAAAGCTGGGAATTCATGTCATCGTGAATTCCCAGCAGTAATATATGAGTTAAGTTAATTTACACCCTCTCAGTACTTGGTGTTGTACTTTTACATTTTAGCCATTCTAGTGGTAAGTAGTAGTATTTCATTGTGGTTTTAATTTGCACTTCCCTAATGACAAATGATGTTGACTATCTTTTTATGTGCTTTTTTGCTTAACGTATGTTGATATGGTTTGGATTTGTGTCCCTAATCAAATCTCAAGTTGAATTGTAATCCTCATTGTTGGAGAAGGGGTCTAGTGGGAGGTGATTAGATCATAGGGACAGATTTCCCCCTTGCTGTTCTTGTGATAGTGAGTTCCCACAAGATCTGGTTGTTTAAAAGTGTGTAGCACCTCTCCCTTTGCTCTCTTACTCCTGTTCCAGCCATGTGGGATGTGCCTGCTTCCCCTTGCTTTCTGCAATGATTGTAAATTTCCTGAGGCCTCCCCAGCCATGTTTCCTATACAGTCTGTGGAACCATGAGCCAATTAAATCTCTTTTCTTTAGAAATTACCCAGTCTCAGGTAGTTCTTTATAGAATGTGAGAATGGACTAATACATATATGTTCTTTGGTTAAGTGTCTTCAATTATTTTATACATTTTTATTATTGAGTTGCAAGAGTTCTATGATATATTATGGATATAAGTATTTTTATCAGGTGTATGTTTTACAAATATTTCCCCAGTTATGGCCTGCCTTTTCAACTCTTAACAAAGTTTTTGAAGAATAGAGGTTTTTAACTCTAATAAAATAGGATTTATCAAACTTTTGAAAATAATTTGCATTGACATGACCTATATATAAAATCTATGCCTAATCCAAGGTCCTATCAATTTTCTCCTGTATTTTCTCCTTGATACATTTTATAATTTTAGTTCTTAGATTTAGTTATAGGATCCAGGTTGAGTTAACTTTTGTATATAATGTACAATCGAGTACATTAAAAATTGAGTTTTTTAAAAAATATATTATTTGTATAGCAATGCCCAGTTGTTCAAATACCATTTGTTGAAAAGAATATTATTTCTCCATTGAAGTATCATGGCACATTTGTTGAAAATCTAGTGGCTAATGAGTGTGTGTGTGTGTGTGTGTGTATGTGTGTCCGTGTGTTTCTGTATATGGAATGTTTATTCTTATCTGTTGTTCCATATGTCTATCTTTATGCCAATATGATTACTGTAGATTTATAGTAATATTTAAATCCTGATACTGTAAGCCTTCTCACTTTCTTTCTCAAAGTTCATTTTGCTATTTTAAGTTTTTTGCATTTGTATATTAATATTATAATTAATTTGCCAATGTTCATTTAAAAAGCATGCTAGTGTTTGGATAGAAATTAAATTGAATCTATAAGCAGTTCAAGAAGAAATGCCATCCTAACAACACTGAGTTTTCAGATACATGAACACAGTATACCTCTCCCTTGTTAAGTGTCTTTAATTGCTCTCATCAATATTTTGTCTTTATTATCTTAAACATCTTGCATGTTTAGTCAGATTTATTCTTAATTGTCAAGTGTTTTATGATATTGCAAATGATAGTTTTTCTTTAAATTTATCTACATTTTCAATTGTTCATTGCATATGGGTCCAAAAACTGTGATAATTCCAATATCTGCATCATCTCCTGATTTGATTCTGTTGAGTTCTTTATCTCTTCACAGTTGACCTCCTATAAAGCAGTTGGAATTCCAGGAGTATTTCAGTTTGTTAATACTTGTTAATACTGTGGAGGAAAGACCACAGCTTTACAATTACATCAAGATCAAGGAGAATTTTGTTGGAATGGAGAAAACACTAACTGTAATGTTAAAAGACAGGAAACTAAATGTCCATCAAAAGTAGTATTTATATATGGCACTAAATCAATGCAGATTGAAAATACAAGGGAAAAACTTGAGCAGCATTATTTTGACACTTTCCTAAAGCATAAGCATAGCTGTGTTCCAATAAAACTTTATTTGAAAAAAAAAAGTTAATAGGCCCGATTTAGCCTGTGGGTATAATTTACCACCCCTTGTCTTAGAGAAGCCAGAGAGGTATAAGATAAAATGCAGAGGAAGAAGAGAGTGAAAAGGGGCCCAAAGTCTTTCCTATGTGCAAAGGCCTTTTCCCATTCTTCCCAAATTATCCTATAAAACTCTAGTAGATAAGTACATACTCAGTGAAGTCTCTCCTTTCTTAATTATGGATTCCTCTTTTGACCTTTACTTGACTGTATTATAATTCTACAAAGATACATCTATCTCATCTAACACATTAAGAGGTCCTTGAGTGAAGGTAATATGTCTTATTCATCTTTGTGTAGACATTTTTAGGAGTGTAGAAAAAAGTTGAAATAATCATGTGAGCAACAAAATTGACTTTCCTGATATCAAACCATATTCATTTTGTTGTGGCAAAATCAGCTTCATTTTATTATTTTCTTGAGAAATTTTTGGCTGTGAGAAAAGTGGAAGAATGTTTAAGAAGCAGATGATAGGGAGAGAGATCTGTAAGTGGATAACATACAGTTCAAAAAATGGACTTCACATGGTGGGTGTCCCGGAGTAATGAAAGTGGAATAAAGGGGGATAAAAGTAAGATTTAGATAAGCTATAAGGAAGAAAGGAAATAAGATTTTTTAAAGTACAAAGATTATCGATGCAAATTTAATTACTTTGATCCACAAACCCAGTACACTAATTTTGATCATTCTACGTGGAAAATGCAAACATGATTAAAGTTTTCTGTGAAATAACTAGATGGCACTTTCTTGAGGTAGAGAATGTTGTCTCTACAAGGCAGTGAGGTATTAAGAAGGTGTTCACTAAAGGTGTTGATTGATGGGCAAAGAGTCCCTTTCCTCAGTATTTCTAATTATTTTATCTGGATTGCACCAATTGAAGAGATAAAAATAAGGAAAAGAAAGACAGGATGTTTATGTTACAATAACATAAAACTCTGTTGCTCCTGAAAAGAAAAGAATATGGGTGTAACCTGTCAAGTTCTTCAAACTTAGAAAATGTGTTCAATATACAGTGATATACGTATTTCCCACAGTGTTTTTGTATTTCCTTTGAGCAATTCACAGTAAATAGATTCAAGCTTTCTCAGTTATGTCTCAAAATCCCAATTCTGATGTGGCTTTTTATATTCCCCAGTGTTGCCGTGTTTCCAGACCTTTCATTTTTCTTCCATCTTATCTCAAGGCTGAAAGAAGTTTATCATATTATTAGACAACAGAGCAGAACAAAACAATACATCAAGCCTCAGCACTTGGTATTGCTTTGCAGAGAAAACCAGGTGAATTCCTTTACTGTGTGATTAGTGAAACAGAAGGGGATGTATCAGGTACTGTGTTTTAGAAATTGAAAAGAGTTGATATGTTTAATTAATGGTTAAAGGAACAAAAGTATAGCGAATAGATTAGAAAGTAAGTAATTGAAATAAATATGCAAAGCCTGAAAAAAACTAAGAGATTTATTTTTATAAAAATCTTAGGAACATGTAGGGCAGAAATAAATTCAGATGTGATACCTAAATTAGGAACATATTAGAACATTTTATTCAATAATATAAAAGTGGGATTCTGGGACCAACTGTTATACTTTTACATGTAAAATTCCATTATTACCATTAACATAAATATGTATTACAATTAATTCTAGTAACACACCTAAATTGATTATTAAATGTTCCCATCTATGTATCACATTGAGTCTTTTCCAAAAATAAATATCTTAAATATCCATAACCAACACTTTTCCAGAAGTAGCCCAAAAAAATTAACCTTTGTCATGTTAAAAGCTTTTCAGAGATAAACTAACACATAGAATATTATTTGTTGTTATATCCAAATACATTCAAGAAAAATCAGAATAAGTATCACCAAATCTT
Source organism: Homo sapiens (assembly GCF_000001405.40). Taxonomy (NCBI): domain Eukaryota; kingdom Metazoa; phylum Chordata; class Mammalia; order Primates; family Hominidae; genus Homo; species Homo sapiens. The sequence continues at coordinate 210,938,703 of NC_000002.12, read as the reverse complement.
TGGGAATGAATATTGGATTCATTTCATCTTCCATTTTGGAAATAAATGCTATGATTTGTGAGGCTATTCTAAATTCCACTTGCCACACTGAGCTTCAAATGTATGGGAAAGGTTGTTCTCTGGTATTTATAGATCTAAAACACAGCTGATGTCCTCATTCAGCTACACACTCTGGATGATTATTGCATGCCTCAAGTGAGTACTATAAGGCACAAGAAATGCAGACCACATGAGAAATGGAGTCATTTTCTCCACATGCAGGACCTGAAAAATCCATCCGATTATGAAATGGAATGTGCATTTTACAAGAAAGGCAGCCACAGGCATGAGTTAGGGCCTGCATGCTAGCAAACCATCAGAGCAGGAGCCTGTGCTAAACACAGAGCGAGGCTTCGGGGCAACTTAACTCCTCTCAGCTTTCACCTTTAAACTTCTATTTTTGGGTTGGGTGATAATAGATTCTTGGCTCTTATGCTTCTCAGAAAAAAGAAAAGGAAAATGATTATTGTAATGATTTAAAACATGCTTATTTTTCTTTTTTACCTTATTTATTTTCCTGTGTATACTATTAGGTTGGTGCAAAAGTAATTGCAGTTTTTGCTATTTCAAAAACTTCAATTATTTTTGCACCAATCTCATACTATGTAAAACAAAAAGGAATTGCCTTCAACTAAACTAAATTAATTAAATTTTTGTATGTCAACTATGTTAAACTCTGTGGAAAGTTACCTGCATAGAGCTTATTATCTAATAAGAAAATTGAATGAATCTTGATATTAATAGTAAAGCGAAGTTCAGATTAGCCACTGAAAACTTTTGAATTACTAAAATTATGTTAGAACTTAACAGTTGTTTGTTAAATGTAGAACTGTTACTCTGGCATTGTGAGAAAAAAAATAAACCTTCATTATTTTACAGGTGTTTTGGTTTAATGGATACAGATTAGTACATTATACTTAGACCAGTATTTGTTCATTTAAAAAGGAACACTTCTGAAATACTTAAGGCATTTAAAAGTTTATTCTGTTGACATTACCGACATTAAACATTTAGCAGTTGAAGTTATCTGAGAAATTTTGTTTGCATTGCTAATCTACATAGCTATTTTTTTCTCTCTCTCTTGAATTTGTGCATTTTCAGGTAGGACAAAGAAAGAAAAACAGAATGCAGAAAGGGAAAAATAATTGGCATTTTCTGAGACCAACAAGTTATTCTCAATTTGGCTAGCGTAAAGAATTCCTGAAAGAGAGGAGGAGCAACAGTGAGTGGTCTACCTGGAAACCTCATCATAGTTATAAAAAGAGAAGGCAGGTACATTGGGAATAAAGGAGGAGACTGCAGTGGTGAAGAATTAGGAATACTATATGTAACATTTTGAATAAAAGATGTTTTTCTTCAGATATGCAAAATTTTGTTCCAGTTTGTTTGACATAAAGCTTATAGACTCAAGTCAAACTGCTCAAGACAAGAAGAAAAGCTTTGTGATACTGAAAGAAGCCAAAGTCCTTTAAAATCCTTTCAGTGTGTGGAATACATTTCAGGGTTGCTTTCTCCTGGAGCCAGCCAGCTTATGCATACTAAAGTTGTCCAGTTTTATTTTCCACACCAAATGCATTTGAAATCCTTGACGACACTATATACAGTAAAAAAGTAGAATAGGGCTCTTAAAGTGGTCTAATATTTTGTTCATATTGTCCTTTAAATTTAAATAGCAGGAGTAAACAAGAAGTTCAATGTTCCATATGTGAATTTCAAAGACACAAAATTATATTTTTCTGTGGTGTGGTCCATATGTTTAGACTAGAGCTTTTCATGGGTGAGGCAGAAGACAATAAATGGAGAGTCATATTTTATTTCCTTTCTCAACTGTAAATGATGTATTCCTGTGTTGTCTCCCGTTAACTACATCTACTATAGAAAATAAATCATACTTATTGCTCATCTTACATTTTTGCTGAATTTCACATAGAAGTTTCAGTTTCCATGAAAAATACAGTGCTACTAACCTCAGAATGCTCGTTATAGTTATATCAAAATTTACCACATAACCAGGATTTGAAACATTAGTATTAATGTTCCATTTAACCCTGTCATATATTCAATTACATTATTGAAAATTGATGTAGCAAGAGACATGTTCAAAAGGAAGATGTTATTGCCTATTGTTGAAATTAAAACCTCAAAGGGGCCAAGAACATACAACTGGGAAAGGATGGTCTCTTCAATAAATGGTGTTGGGAAAGCTGAATAACCAAATGTAGAAGAATGAAACTGAACCTCTCTTACCATATACAAAAATCAAATCAAAGTTGATTAAAGGCTTAAATCTAAGACCTGAAACTATGAAATGACTAGAAGAAAACATTCAGGAAACAACCCAGGACATTAGTCTAGGTGAAGAATTTTGTGTAAAACCTAAAAAGAACGGACAACAAAACGAAAAATAGACAAATGGGATTACATCAAGCTGAAAAGCTTCTGCTTGGAAAGAAAACACTCAACGAAGTGAAAATAGCCTACAGAATGAAAGAAAATGTTTGCAAACTATCCATCTCACAAGAAATTAATAGCCAGAATATATAAGGAATTCAACTCAATAGCAAAATAATAATAACAATAATCTGATTGAAAAATGGGCAAAAGACCTGAATAGATATTTCTCAAATGAAGAATACAAAGTTTAACATACTTCTATGATTAAAAACTCTCAATACATTAGGTATTGAAGGAATGTACCTCATTATAAAAACCATATGTGACAAGTCCACAGCTAACATCATATTCAATATTGAAAAACGGAAAGCTTTTCCTCTAGGAATAAGACAAAGATTCTCATTCTCACCACTTTTATTCCATATATTACCAGAAGTCCTAGACTTAGCAATTAGGCAAGAAAAAAGAAAGGCATCAAAATCAGAAAGAAAGAAGTAAAATTGTCTGTTTGCAGATGACATGATCATATATGACACAGTTTAGATGTTTGTTCCTCCAAATCTCAGTTGAAATGTAATCTCCACCACAGAGGTAGGAGGTATTTGGGTCATGGGGCCAGATCTCTCATGAATGGCTTGGTGCTGTCCTCATGATAGTAAATGAGTTCTCATGAAATCTGGTTGTTTAAAAGTGTGTGGCACCTCCCTCCCTCTCTCTTTCTTCTGCTCTTGCCATGGGATGTGCCTGCCCCACCTTCACCTTCTACCATGATTGTAAGCTTCCTGTGGCCTCCCCAGAAGCTGAGCAGATGCCAGCATCATGCTTCCTGTACAGCCTTCAGAACTGTGAGCCAATTAAATCTCTTTTCTTCATAAATTGCCGAGCTTTATGTATCTCTTTATAGAGACTTAAGAATGGACTGAGACAATATGTATAGAAAATCCTAAAAACTCCACCAAAAGTCTGTTAAAAATAAAGTTTTAAAAATAAAAACAAAGATATCTGAAATTAGTAGAAAATTAAATATCTATATATGTAATGAAAGAAATATTTTCTCCCCTAAGAACAAATTTACATATCATAATGGCATACCATATACAGAAAAAAAAATGATTCTGACCTATCAACAATATAATCTATTCTCATAAATTAGCGACAAAGAATTAGGAATACTATATGTAACATTTTGAATAAAAGATGTTTTTTCTCAGATAAAGGAAGGGTCTCATGTATGTCTAAGTTAAAAATGTAAGTCATGTAGAATAAAAATTAATTTACTTGGCATCAAACATTTTTACAACAATCTCCAATACTATGATACAGGAAAGCAATATTTTTAAGTTACGAGGAAAACAAAATGACACTAAAAAAATTAGTGCCCAGCCAAATTTTCCTTTCTGTATAAAAGAAACAGACAAGAAAATTTCCCTGTAAGTCCTTTCTGAAATAAAAGTATTTTGTACTAAAAAAATTTTTGCTGTGGAAAATATGAGTCTATGAGATCCATTTATGTACAGCATTGAGGCTAATCAACTATGAGAATCATGGTATCAAAACGGAATCTTTGTTGTAAAACTATGTGCTCATCAATTGTGCCAATGAAATTAATTTCTAGTTCTGTTGAAATCAATTAATTTGAAGTATAATATTTTATTAAAATACGAACATATAGCATAATCCCATTCTTGCAATATTACCATCTCATCCTTCTGTTAAATATTTATTCTTCTATTAATATCCAGAATCATGTACACAAAGTGGTTATGTTTGCATAGTATATTTTTGTTAGTTTTTATTAATTCTTTTGGTTCTATGTTATTTCAATTTTTGTATTTAGCATATTATATTTTAAAAACTTAGTGGAATTATTTTTAAAATATAAACACATTTGTTAAATGAAAACAAACAAACAAAAACCTAAGTACATGTGTTATCAGTCCCATACTTGCTCAGTCTACACAACCTGGTCATATAAAATGAACCACAGAGCAATGATAGAACTGTGTAGTGAGTAGAGATTTACTCACCCAGAGTAACATTGTGGAAGTCTAAAACACAAGGAATGAAGGACAACAATCAATATCTGTTTCTCAAACTACAAACATACAGGATGACCACTCATTCATAAAAATGGTAGTTTACATTTAAATAATACGCACACATGAGTCATTGAAAACAGAACTGAAATCCTTGATTGCTACAATTTCTTGATACAAAAGATTTATTTTGGGAATGCACATTTTATATAAGAAATTAGAGCATCAAAATTCTAATGCTAAAACACTAAAGAATAATACAAACCAATGTTTATCATTTCTGAACCAATATTCTGCTCACAACATTAATAACAACAGTGTAAGACACTTCTACTTTTCCAATGTGCGTGAGAAGCGAAGGAGTGGTATCATCGTTTCCATAAATCTGTGGCTATTCTAGGTAATGTCTAACTACAAGAAATGATATTTGTAAATATATTACTTATAAAGCTGTATACTATGATATTCGCAGGAATAGACATTATTTAAATAGAGACTATATCTCTTATTTACACAAATCATTATGGAAAACTTTGACTAAAACTGACCCTCATTATGTGATAGGGAAATCCTGTTACATAACAAAATAGTTAGAGACCCAAGCACTTTAACATTAACTGAGAGGCACTAATTATTTTAATGAAGGAAGAGGACTTAAGTTCCAATAATTATTGTTGAAAAGTAATGCCCCAAAATATTTTAATCAAGTCATTCCCATATTTTACTCATAACATATATAAAAAATAAGTTACAAAAAAGTATTACCTCAAGTGGTTCTTAGTTGTTTTGAGTATAGATTCTGAGGTTTTAATAAACATAGCTTACTTTTAGCAACTGAAGTTCATTAAACAGTCAAGGTCTATGCTTTAAGGTTTCTATTGAATGTACAGATCCATAGACTCAGGTCTTCTGTTTATTAAAGTAATTAAAATGTACATATCACTATACCCTTAGTAGTCCAGTAGTCTCCATGTCATTCTAGAGTTAATGAGTAAAAAATGGGGAGGGGGTTCTCAACAATTCATTGGACTCAGCCCACTGCCTTGTGCAGATTTGTATTTAAACTCTCCAAGTTGGTTAGCTTTAATTCTTGCTTCTTGTACCTCTAGAGATATGTGCTCATAGGTTCTCTGCTTTAAACAGAAAGAATAACTATGCAATTTTTTATTTAAAAGATGAATGATGCACTGACCATTTGAATCAATGTTGCCTTTTCTCTTATAAACTAAAAGTAAAATCCTAAGCCCCCATCATGTAAACAGACCTCCTCTTGGCCAAGGTGACCCCGGAGAAACCTTAAAAACTGAGTTCCTGGCCGTGACAGGCAAGGAGATCAGATACTCCTCGTTGTAACCACTCCCCTTTGAAATTTAGACAAAACTGACCAGAATTAATGTTAAAATAGAGATCATAAGACTGATAAAATAGATTATTTTTGGCAATAAGATGCCAAATTATTAATAAGACCTAAGGCCATGCAAGGCAAGGGTTAAGTCATGCCTGTAGCCCAATAACCTTGCTGAACAGGTCATATTTGCCTGACTCTGATGTAGCATTTTTATCTTAACTTAAACATTCTTTTTTGCTAACTCCTAGTGTTTAGACACAATTTTGTTCCTTTAGTCAGTGTGTATTTTAAAAAATCTCTGAATCCACCTGTAATTTGTAAGCCCCTGGTTCAAGATTTCCTGCCTTTTTGGGCTAAACCAATGTATACCTTCCACATACTGATTTAGGTCTTTGCCTGTAACTCCTGTCTCCCTGAAATGTATAAAACCAAACTGTAATCCACTGTCTTATGTATACTTTATCGGGACTCTCTGAGACTGTTTCTGTGGGCCACAGTTACTCATGTTGGCTCAGAATAAACCTCTTCAAAATGTTCTAAAGAGTTTAGTTTTTCGGTTAACATTTTTTTTCATTTGGCTTCCAAACATTTTACATTTGTGCTCTTTTCCTCTCTCTACCACGGAGGTAACATTTTCTTTCATCACATTTTTCATAAGTGATAAATATATTCTTTATGATTCTTGTATATATTGAGTACTTTATCTCCTTTACATATTTCAACATCCACAATTATTTTCCTGTATAGTTTTGGAAGGCAGCTATGCTAACCACTATACCACCAACGCAGCCTATATAGCTTTGACTCATTATAGGTATTTTGTTGTTTTTGTTTTTTGAATTTTGTTTTTGAGACAGGGTCTCCCTCTGTTGCCCAGGCTGGAGGGCAGTGGCATCATCATGGTTCACTGCAGTCTCCACCTCCAGGGTTCAAGCAATCCTCCTACCTCAGCCTCCCAAGTAGCTGGGACTACAGGCACATAGTACCATATCCAAATAAATTTTTTGCTTTTTAGGGATGGGGTCTCACTATGTTGCCCAGGCTGGTTCAACCTCCTGGGCTCAAGCAATTCTCCTGCCTTGGCCTCCCAAAGTGCTGGGATGACAGGTATGAGCTACCCGTCCCCCAGCCTGTTTTTTTTTTTTTAACTCACTCTGAAAAACAGTGTTTTTTACATATATTTTTAAAAATAATTTTAGAAATCTTGCTACACGGGGGAGAAAAATGCAATTTCTGACATCTTATATGCTCGTGAAAAGCGTTAATCTCTATTCCATCCATTAAATGATCACAGTTTACCATTTACATCATATGGTTTAATGAAACTAGCTTTGCAAGAAGGATGTTGTTAAATTATATAAATCTCACAATAAATTTATCTGGTAATATAATCAGTATAACAGACAATGTTTTGCTAAATCATAACTTTAAGTCCTCTTTTGCGGTAAGGAAACTAAAGAAACATTTTATCTATTATATATATGCACACCTCTTACACAGAGCTTTATTCACCTTTTACACTAAAGGAGTTGTTGACTCCATATCCTGAAGAAGTTGAAAGCTAAGAAAATTTACATCATTACAGGAAAGCTTATACACAGGGAGGAGGGGCCAGAGACTAGCCCAGAAACTGAAAAGATCACATCCAAATTTTACAGTTCTTGTGGGAATAGAAAATACATGAAGTTTGTGTGATGAACATTTGAAAAAGTTAAAGCTGGGTCTATTGTCCAGGTCAAGCAACAATAAACATTTCACATTGGCAAGTAAGGCAGTGACTTAAGTGATGTAAATTGAAGGGTCCTGAAAAGTAGCCCCCAACCCTCTGAACAAAAATGTATCTCCCCACTATCCCACTGCAATGCCTGAAATGTTTAGTATTGCTACAAGTACTTATGAATTAAGGTAAAATCTGTAAAGTGCAACACATTAGTTAGAATGGTAGGCCTGAATAATGGCCCCCAAAAATATCCAGGTCCTATATTACTGTATATGGCAAAGTTGACTTTGCAGATGTAATTAAATTAAGAATCTGTAGATGGAGAGATTATTCTAGGTTATCTATGTGGGTCCTAAATGTAACCACAAGTGTCCTTCTAAAAGAGAGGTAGAGGGAAATTGGACTACATACAGAAGAAGAAGAGGCAATATGTTGACTGAAGCAAGATGCTACCCTCCTGGCTTTGAAGATGGAGGAATGGACCAGAAGCCAAGCAAAGCAAAGAATGCAGCTATGGAAGTTAAAGAAGGCAAGGAAACAGACCTTTCCTAGATCCACTGGAAGGAGCTTAGCCCTGATTTTGGACTTCCAATCTCCAGAACTATAAGATAATAAGTTTGGGTTTTTAAGCCACTAAATTTATGGTAATTTGCTGTAGCAGCAATAGAAATTTAATACAATTAGTAAGCATATGGATGGTTAAGTCATTTGAATCCCACCCATATAGGTGCATTCTGATTAGGAATGGTGTTAAGAAGCAAAGGGTAGCAACATGGATGGCATTAGGTATTATAGAATTTTATTCTGAAGTCAAAACCTGCTAAAAAAAATACAGGGGCTTCAACAGGCAGCAATTGAAAATACCACATTTTCTGTTACTACTTCATATTATTGTTTATTTAATTCTGTTCTAACAAACATCATACTTGGTCACATAATCTCCATAAAGTAATCAACTTCTAACTTGATAGTGGAGTGGAATTTCAATCTCTATTTTATCCTAGAAAACACATGGAGAGCAGATTCTTATAAAAATGCAAAAAAAATGTTGTAACATTCTCTTTTCAACTGAGTGGGAAAACACCCTACACACATAGGGTATTTCAATTTTTCTTTTTCTTGTCATTTATGTCAGAAATAAATGCCCTATTGTTGAAAAGGCTTGCCATCTGACTATCCTTACTGTATTCAGATGAATGACATGATGTTTATGGAAGTATACCAAAGAAATAAAAAATGCTCGTTTAGTGAGAACTGACAATCTATTTATAAAGGTGATTATATCCTTATCATAATCTAAAAATATATTATGACATTTTTATATCAATATAAAATATATTATGTTGTATATTATGTATTACATATTTATTACATATAAATCTTTATTATACATATTTATAATATATATACATATATATGTATATATAATATAATATATACATATATATGTATATATAATATAATATATACATATATATGTATATATAATATAATATATACATATATATGTATATATAATATATACATATATATGTATATATAATATATACATATGTATAAATATATACATATTTATACATATGTACATATTATTACATATAATAAATATGTAATAGATAATATATATTTATGTAAAATATATTATATGTAATATTTTATATTATATATGTAATATAATATATTTTACATATTATATATTATATATGTAATATAATATATTTTACATATTATATATTATATATGTAATATAATATATTTTACATATTATATATTACATGTAATATAATATAATTTTATCTATAATATATAAAAATATATTTTTATATGTTATACATATTTTATGTATAATATATTTTTATGTCATATATAATAATAATATATTTTAAACCTCCTTTCAAACCAATGTCAGAAATATTATTTATGCAGTGTTTAAGACATTGAAGGGAAATAATTGAATGCAATTAAATCAGGAAAGTTTCAAGATGTATTTTTAACCAAAGACAGTCACGAATTGACAAGGAGGAAAACAAATTTTTGCAATCACTGAATCCGGAGCTAAGAGGAAAAGCAGTCCAGTCACAAAGGCTAGAGAATTTCCCACAAACCAACAAAGAGTAATAATGTAAGTGACACCTCTATGGTTTAAACTGGATATAGCAAGTAGAATCTGAGTACATTTTAAACCCCATTATGGCACTTTGTTTAATGGCAAGTGTGAAACACCCCTGCTAAATCATTCCTGGCATAATCAATGTAGTCACTGCCGTGTCTAACTGCATTTTCATAGGTCTGCTGCCTTAGCACATTTCCAGAGTTATTTCTTCCTCTCCTTCACCAGCTCTCTACTAAAATGCTCTAGTAATCATCCTTTACTCAACTTGAAGGCTGTGTCCTCTTCAGAATGTTTGTCTATGCCGATGGCCTTCTGAGTTTAATGGCTTGTAATTACTGTTCCCTCCTTAAACTGTATAACTTTTCTAACTGTAAAAGTAAGCAGTATTCTGCCAAAATCCTTCCCTCTAGGAGAAACAAGAACGTGAAGCAAGGTTATTGGTATCCACGCCAAAGAGAAAGAGACTGACAAAGCCGATTCATCCACTTGTCTGCAGGATCAAATTAAAGGCACAAGCCAACGCTTTCCTTTAATCCTTGACCTGGCTGGGGCAACATGAAATAACCTTATTCCTCATCTGTGTCAGTTGAAACAGGGTCATTTTGAGAGTGAGCCAAATTTGGGCTATTTATTTCCGTTAATACAATCAATTATTATGACAGTTCATCAAGGTTGGGAGTGAGTGAAATTTCTAAAAATGCTTGGTCTATAAGAATTCTATTATGAGTGGTTCTGTAGATTAATGTCAGCACACTAATATTCAAACATCCTTGACCTCATCTCATATAAATAAATCCAAATGCAAATATCAGTCAGTCAATATATGTTGTATGTCTAGCTCCCACACAATTTTTATAGCACTTAGATAGATTCTCTACCAACAAGGAAAGTAAAGTAAAATATTTGTAAAAACTGACAAATATGGTTAGTGATGTTCTTCATAGATTTTGACTGACAATTTAAAAAGTGCTAAAGAATATCCCCAGAGCAAATATCACTAAAATATTTTTGAAGTGAGTAAAATCTGTACAGAAAAGTAAAATTTTATTCTATTTACATTCAGATACTATTTTAAATAATAAAATACACAAAGAAAATGTGATCACTAATATAGACAACTTTAGCCCCCTCAGGCTATCTCACACATTTGTGTATACTGTCCTGTGTCATTGTATTAGTCCATTTTCACACTGCTATAAAGAAACTACCTGAGACTGGGTCATTTATAAACAGAATAGGTTTAACTGACTCACAGTTCCACAGGCAGGGGAGGCCTTGGGAAACTTAGAATAATGGTGGAAGGTGAAGAGGAAGAAAGGCACTTCTTACCTGACAGCAGAAGAGAGAGTGAGAGCACAGCACGTGCAGGGGAAACTGCCACTTTTAAACCATCAGATCTTCTGAGAACTCCCTCATTATCATGAGAACAGCAGGGGGGAAACAGCCCCTATGATCCAATCACCTCCCACCAGGCCCCTCCCTTGACACATGGGGATTACAGTTCAAGATGAGATTTGGGTGGGGACACAGAGCCAAACCATATCAGTCATTTAACATTTCAGTCAATGACAGACTACATGTACAATGGTGGTCAGATGCCTTGTAGCCTAGGTGTGTAGTAGGCTAAGCCATCAATGTTTTTGTAAATACATTCTATGATGTTCACACAACAATGAAATTGCCTAATGAGGCATTTCTCAGAATGTATTCCTGTCATTAAGTGATGCATGCCTGTATACATCTGGTATAAAGACAGTAACACCTTTTGCTTGTGAGGTATACATCAAAACACAATTTTCACAACGGCATAGGGATGAAAACTTCCATATTTAGAATATTTTACACGGTATAAATGTATCTCAAGTAGTCCCTTTCCCTCCATAAGAAGTCAAACTGTACATATGCAATCAATGCAAGACCATTTTTCTTTCCCCTGGACTAACATAATATTTTGAAAAAAAAAATTCCTTTTTCTCCAGTCTTGGAGGTGAGCTGAACTGCTTATATTTCTCTTTAAGAGAAACTGTTTGGGATGCATAGCCGATTGACAGTCTGCAGATGCTATAACTTTACACCCATCCCATGCACATGCAAGGCCACTTCCAGTTTGCTGCCTTCAGTCAACAATTGAGTATGGCAGGGAGTGGCAGAGAGTAGTAGAACTCTCAGCCACCTGAGAATTCTCACCCATCCAATTCTACTTGATATGGGATTCCTCTAATGGGCAGCTTTGGCTATGGGGCTCTCCATTGGCTTGGCCAAAACTTTCTCAGGACTATACTTGCACTCTGAGACTCTTAATCCAATTTTTCTCTCCATTGCAATTGAGATGTGAAGGCTCTCTGCCTACTCCTGTTTCTTCTCTGTTTGTCCTCCAGAAGCATTACCCTGGAAATCTCCTGCACATCTAGTTTAGTCTTGGCATTTTCTTCTTGAAGGGTCCAAATGTAAACAGGTGATTCCAGGAAAGAAGTCAGCCCCATCATTATCATTCACAATCTTCTTCTGACTGTCACTGAGCTTCTCATTCCTATAATTCACATCCCTACAACCCTAGGCTCTGCAGGGTTAGAAGTCCTGCTCATCAAGAAGTGTGTACTTTTGCCAGGGGCATAGCACAAGTTTCATTGAATTACAAGCTACAGCTGCTACCTGGGCTCTTTGAACTCCTTATGCTCAAGAATCCATAGACATGAAAGACCATCTTGGCATGCTAAATTGACTGGGCAGCACAAGGAGATAGAATTGCTTTTATACAATAGAGTTAGGGAGGATACATGTGAAAGCCTGGTGATCCATGTGAGTGCCTCCTGTACTCCCTTGCCCTATACTAATTATAAATAGATACACGAAACAACCTGAGACTGAAAAAGATATAATTACCTAAGGCTTAAACTTCTCAGGAGTGAAGGTTTGGGCCACACTTCCAGGTAAGCTATTAAGACTGACAAAGTAACAAGCTAGGATAAAAGGAATTTGTAATTGGAAGAGGAGTAATTCAACCTACTAGCCAATAAAATCCTTCTTCTAAATTTTCTCCTAGGAATAATGGTCCCCAGAATCATGAAATAACCACCCATATATAGGTGCAGAAATGGATCTCTGTAGCACAAGGAGACTGTGGCAGGTATGGAGGCGTCCCGTTTAGCTGTGGGAGCATAGCTGGTTGGAATCCTCCAGCTGCCATGACTTTGGATTCACCACAGCATTCACGCCAGTCCACACCTCCCCTGGGAGGTCCCAGCCAATGACTGGCCTCTACAGGGGTATTAGAACCTGACCACTCCTGCCCCATGTTGATTCTCTGATGAGCAGCTTTCATTTGAGGACTCCTGATCAGCTTGGCCAAAACTTTCTCAGACCTGAGCTTTACTATGAAACTTTTTCACAGGCCAGGCGCGGTGGCTCACGCTTGTAATCCCAGCACTTTGGGAGGCTGAGGTGGGCGGACCACGAGGTCGAAGATAGAGAACACAGTGAAACCCCGTCTCGACTAAAAATACAAAAAATTAGCCGGGTGTGGTGGCGGGCGCCTGTAGTCCCAGCTACTCGGAGAGGCTGAGTCAGAGAATGGCCTGAACCCGGGAGGCGCAGCTGGCGGTGAGCCAAGATCGCGCCACTGCACTCCAGCCTGGGCGACAGAGCGAGACTCCGTCTCAAAACAACAACAAAAGCACTTTTTCACAGATGGGCAGAGCTTCACCATGATATGGAGGTCTTCTTGCCTATGCTTATCATCTTTTTTATGTTTCACAACCATTTCTCCAATAAATATCTTACATATTTAGTCTTGGCATCTACTCCTCAGAGGATATAAACTGACACAACTTCTTATTTTTTTTAAAGAAAAAGATGCCCCACTTTAATTCAGCATACCATAAGCAGATTAAGTTTCCTAAAACACAAGTTGGATTGTGTCACTTCCTTGTCACTATACATTTCAATCAGTATCAGTCCCAACCACATTGCAATACAATGTTCTTACATGATCTAGTCAAGGACATTGCACATATTCTTTTCAAAAAACTTCTTGCTTCAATATGACTAGTCTTCTCTCAGACTCTAAGTGGGAATGAACAAGGGTTCTTTTTACTACTTCCACAATATTATTTGTTTTCTACAAATATAAATCTTAATATTTTCTCATGAAATATTTACTGAAAACTTAAAAATTAAAATTTTTGTGGATTTTCATATCACTAAGAGCTATAAAATCTAATAGTAGCATGAAACTTTTAAGTTTGTGTATTAAACTTTTATTTTATTTATAAAATTGATTGGAGCAAAAACTGATTCTAAGTTTTAACACTATGGCCCACACTTTCTCTTCAGAAATTTGGCTTTGAAAAATATATATGTATGCAAAACAATTGTTTTAATTCAAAAGCATTTTTACCATAGAACAATTATAAAATGCATAAAAGCACAATATAAAAAATAACCCCTAATCACACTGTCCATGGTTATTAACCATTAATACTATTACATAAATATCTAGCAATTTTCTGTGCATGCATACCTATATTAAATATTAAAACGTAGCATTTTACCAGTCATGGTGGCTCAGGCCTGTAATCCCAGGCAGAGGCAGGTGGATCCCTTGGGCCCGGGAGTTTGAGACCAGACTGGGCAACATAGTAAGACCCCATCTCTAAAAAAATTTTAAAAATTAGCCTAGCCTGATGGTGGTACACACCTGTAGTCTCAACTACTCCGGAGGCCAAGGTGGAAAGATTGAGTCCAGTAGGGTGAAGCTGCAGTAAGCCATGATCATGTCATTGCATTCCAGCCTGGGCAACAGAGCAAGACTCTGTCTCAAAAAAAAAAAAAAAAAAGTAAGTAGCATTTACACACATAAATTTGAAAGCAAACAATGTTGGCTGCTTTGTTAACTGATATTTTTGCTAAATAATTTTGTTAACGTCATTAACATTTAAAGGTTAAAAGTATCAGAAGTACTAGGATTCATTGAACCAATTTTATTGTATGCAAAGTTTAGTTTCTTCAGAGTTTTAAATAAATAATTTCACAAAATATATATTTATAAAACATCTTTGATGTTTGCTTAAGGGTAAATCTCTAGGATTCTGGATCAAATTTCTTTATGCATTTTTTAGGATTTTGATGTATGTTATCATCATGCATATTGCTTAAAAAGTTCTGCAAAATTACATTAGTATTCTCTCAAATTTTAGGGTTTTTTTCGTTTTATGCGTGAAGTATTCTTGTGTTTTCATTTATTCATATTTTTACATATTCTTTTTTTTAATAAACTGACATTTTCTTAATGATATACTGCGTCTAATATGAGGGGGAATAGGAATGTTTGCTTTGGAGTCATTCAGACCTAGATTTGAGTTCTGGTTATGACATTTACTAGTTGTGTGAGTCGAAGCTTGTCACCTAACTCTTTAAGACCCAGTTTTGGCTGGGACCCTTGGTGGCTTACGCCTGTAATCCCAACACTTTGGGAGGCTGAGGAGGGTGGATCACCTGAGGTCAGGAGTTTGAGACCAGCCTGACCAACATGGAGAAAACCTATCTCTACTAGAAAATACAAAATTAGCCAGGTGTGGTGGTGCATGCCTGTAATCCCAGCTACTTTGGAGGCTGAGGCAGGAAAATTGCTTGAACCTAGGAGGTGGAGTTTGCGGTGAGCTGAGATTGTGCCATTGCACTCCAGCCTGGGCAACAAGAGCAAAACTCTGTCTCAAAAAAATAAAATAAAATAAAACAATAAAAACCTGGCTTTGTTCTTGTTGTTTTTCTGTAAAATTGAGATAATAATATTTATATCATTGACTGGTAGTAAGCATGACATAAGATAAAAAAAGTTTTAATTCATTGCTTAGTATATAGTTACTGTTCAAAAATTTTAGTTATTATTGGCATATATATCTTGAATCTTTTTAATTATTGTTAAATTTCTATTTCTATTCTTTCTCATTGTTCTCTCTGAGGTGTTTGACTGTCAAATCAGACACACAAATGTCAGTGGTTTTATCCAATATCAAGTTTCCAACATAGCATTAAGGATATGGGCAATCGTAAGACACTGGCAAAGCATGAAGATGTATTATGTGCTATATCATATAATATATTCCTACTATTTTTATATAGGGAGTCAGTGACCTTTTTAAGCAATTAGAAATGGGAAAAAAGTAAATTACTCTTTTTTGTGTGTGTATATCTTAGTTTCTTTCTGGTAACATATTTCACTTTCTGAATAACTTCCTTTAACAGTTCCTATAGAGTAGAGCTATCAGCGTTAAATTCAAACAACATTTTTTTTTGTTTGAGAATATATTTCTACTTTAAAAAAAATTTTGCTGGATATAAAATACTGAACTGAGATATTTTTTTCCTTTAGCACTTTAAAGATGCCACTCCATTGTCTTACAACTTATATTGTTTCTAAAGAGAAGTTTGCTGTGATTCTCATCTTTGTTCCTCTGCATGCAATGTGCCTTTTTTTCTTTTCTGGCTACCTTCAATATTCTTCCTAGTTTTATGTTTTCATGTGTGTTATCTTTTCCTTTATCACCTAATTTTACTTTACTTTTTAATTTAATTGCAATCTTATCTTTATTTTATTACAGTAATTAACCTGTTTGGTGTTCTCTAATCTGTGCTTTGAGTTCTGAAAAATCTTAACCAACAGCTCTTCAAATGTTTCCCCTATCCCATTCACTCATCACATTTTCAAATTCTACTTACACATATTTTATTTTATTTAGAGACAGCATCTCGCTCTGTTGCCCAGCCTGGAGTGCAGTGGTGCAAGCATATCTCACTGCAGCCTCAACCTCCTTGGATCAAGGGATCCTCCCGACTCAGCCCCCTGAGTACCTGGGACTACAGATGTGAGCCACTATGCCCAGCTGATTTTTGTGTTTTTGTAGAGATGGGGTTTTGCCATGTTGCCCAGGCTGGTCTTGAACTCCTGGACTCAAGTGATCCACCTACTTTGGCCTGTCAAAATATTGGGATTACAGGCATGAGCCACTGTGCTTGGCCTATTTACAAGTGTTTTAGATCATTTAATATTGTTCCAGAACTTGGATGCTCTATTGTTGTTGTTGTTTTAGCTTCCAACTTCTTTTCTTTATGTTTCATTTTCTGTAATTTTAATAGCCTTGTCTTCATGTTCACTGATTCTTTCCTCAGCTGTATTGAGTCCACTGAGAAATCTTCATCACCATTTCTGTGTTTCTCATTTCTACCATTTTGATTTCCTTCCCAATACTTTCTCTCTCTCTCTCTCCCTCTTGCTCTCTCAGCAGATTTTGATTATTGTTCACTCTCTTTATTAGGGACTTTGCCATATTAATCATAGTAAATCATAGTTTTTTCTATTTCTTGTCAGTTCCACCATCTTTAATATCTCAGTCCAGTTCCAATGATTACTTTGTCTTTTGGCTTGTGTTGTTTTCTTATTACCATATTGTGTGCTCCACCTTATTTTTATTGATAACTAGACATCTGTGTAGGACAGTAAAGACTGTGGCAAGAACTCTTTTTAGGAAAATGGTCTTAACTCTATCTCAGCTAACCCTTTAATGTATGAGTTTGAGTCAGTCTAGTTAGGAAATAGGCTGGCTTTGGAGTTTGTTCTAGCTAGGTTTAAACTCAGCACATTATAGACTTCAAATTCTCTTAGCAATACCTTGTGTTTAGGGTGGTGGCTTCTTTGCCGAAGAGATTTTTGTTTATTTGTTTGTTTTGTTTTGTTTAAATAACTGTTCCACACTGAGATTTTATCTGCTCTTTGCACTGTACATTAAGGAGGGTTTATTTGGTGCAAGTTACTTGCTACTTGATGTTTGTTAGCTTGGCAGTGGGGAGCAGGGTGTGGACATTCTGTGTTCTGTTAAAACTTTAGGCAGACATTATGTCTTGTGGGTCTTAAGGGTTACTTTTTTCAGTGCCCCTTTCTTCCCTTGGCCTTGTAGACAGTCTGTTCCTTTCCCATGGATAGAGGGTTTTTCTCCTGTTTCCTTCATCTAACTACAATAGATTTTCTCTAATGTCCTTAGGACAACAGTATTTCTTTGCCTCTCTCCTCACAAATTAAGGGTTTTTTGTTTTGTTTTGTTTTTTCCCTGGGGACATAAAAGTGAGAGTCCCAGTAAAGTTCTGTGCCTTTTTCACAACTCTTCTCCTTCTCTAGTTTTGTACTGTGAACTTTCTCAGGACACGTCTAATTCTGTGTATGATTATCTGATGGGGTTTGTTTAAGAAAAGTCTGCAAGAGGATGGGACAATTATTATACTTGCAGTTATCTTTCTAGTGCACCTTTGGCTGCCCTCCATCAATTTGCCAATTATCCTAATTAAACCCTCATTATCAGGGCTGGCTACTTCCTCCCCACATAAGCTAGAATTTGTACCTCCCCTTTCTCTGCAGGTGCTCTTTTCTTTTCACACTTGGGGCCATTTGGCTTTCCTGTAACTTCACCACCTTAATAGGTTCAAAGTAAGTCACAAACTTGATGTTTGTGTGGTAATGTTTTTGTTTTAAATTTGACAGTGAAGTTCTTTCCAAATTTCAACAGCCCTAACTGGAAACCGGAAATCCCATATGAATTACTTTTGTCACTTCAAACTCTACAAATATATCTTATAAAACAGTACACACAAATAGGTTTCATTATAATAGGATCATTATTTACTTGTTTGTTTGTTAAGTCAATCATTCACCAAATATTTGTTTAGTGCCTATGCTGAACATGGTTTTTTCTCAACAAATTACTAGAGCATAGAAATAACTTTCTGTACATCTAAGATTTTATATAAATATACATATATATATTTAAGAGCTATAACAAAAAGAAAAATAAGAGCCTCAATATTATCTCTATTATTAAAGCATAGATTTGTATGCACACAATGGTCCATTTGGTTCAAATCCATGTCTGATAAACATAATTGTGGGAATTAAGTATAAATTAAATTTTATACATTCATTTATTATAAGTGTTAATAAGGAAAAACTGAGTTCTACTATTATCTAAGTGAGCCTTTGAGGAAAGCACCAATAAGAGCTTGTGGATAACTTGAGGGTTGTTAAAATAATAGTTTACATTTACATTTTTAAAATAGATTTGATACTGGAACAACAAGGAAGATAGTGTTATTTACTGAATGGATCTGTTCCCACTTCAATCACTGATTGCCTTTTATCTGTCATTGACATGATTACTGTACAAAGATTAAACATCCAGTGAGTCGGGATGTAGAGTTAAATGTCATATGTTACAGAATGGTATTGTTTAGTACACGGAAGAAGAAAAGGAAATAGGGAGAAGAATACAAAGTCATCAGCCATATTTAATCCAGGGAAGTCAAGTGAGTTAAGTTTAGTTGGAAGAATCCACCAAAAAGCTATTTCCTAACAACTGGTGGAAAGATAAAAGCTTTCCAAAGGCTACTAGGGCATTTCAAATTAAATAAATTTTCCAAAAATAGACTACATGTTGACAAAAAACAGATACAAGTAATTTTCTCATGTTATTTTATTCTAAATAAGTGCCTAACCTTCTTGCTTAAAGGTGACCAAATACTCTCTACCTTACAAGCAAAATCAGGCCTAGGCTCAGTCTATAATCAACTGTCATTTGCTCAAACCAAGAACAGAATGTGACTTTATGTCTGAGCAGTGTATTTCATTCTGTCAGCCTGACTTCTTGGGGTTTTACTCATCAAAAGCTCAGCACATAAACACACTGCCTGCAGCCTTGCATTGATTGTCAGCACAATTAATTGCCAGGAAAACCACAGCTTTATTAAGTGTAGGGCACTAACAATAAAAACATCACTATTTATAGCACACAGCATGGTGGGATATCTATACAAATAAAATATAACAATAATAAACAAAAGGCCAGCCTGTAGTTCCACAGAAGAACATCAATGAATTTGTTTTAATGCCAAGCCTCAACAGGATACTCAAGTGTCCCTAAGCATAAGATACTGCAACCTCTACTGAGAAACAAGAGCTTTTTGTGATCTCTGAAATGTGAAAAGTGAATGTCAGTCTCTTTAAAACTATTTCTTATAGTTTCAAATCTCTAGTGCCCCTAAGACCAGCTACAGAAATGCTGTCTAGGTAGAAGAAAGAAGAGAAACAACATAGGGTTCAGTCACAGTAGTTCCCCCTCATCCATGGTTCTGCTTTTTATGATTTTAGTAATTGGTGGTCAACTTCAGTCTGAAAACAGGTGAGTACAATAGATATATTGAGAGAGAAAAAGACCACATTCATGTAACTTTTATTATAGTATATTGTTATAATTATTGTATTTTACTATTAGTTATTTTTGTGATTCTCTTACTGTCATAACTTATAAATTAAACTTTATCATAGGTATGCACATACAGGAAAAACATAGGATATATAGTGTTTGGTACTGTTCATGGTTTCAGGCACCCAATGGGGGGGTTCATGGAACATATTCCCTGCAGATAAGGGGGGACTGCCTATGTATGAAGTATTGAAGAATGTCCTAGAATTTAATTAGTGGTGGCATTTTAAGAGCAAATACATCTTGATACATCTTGGAAAATATAAACTGTATATATGTATCATCGAGGAAACTGTAGAATAAAGACTGAATAGTCTACTTCTTCAGATTAACGTTTTGAAAAGAAGAGAGCAGGTTTCTATATTATTTCATTTATATAGATATATATCTTTATAGATATTTACTGTAATTTTACAGTGCAATGTTGTCAAAGTCTTACAGAAGCTAACACACTTTAAAAAGAGGATGAGGAGTATAGAGATTAACACATATTGAACAGTGTATGAATTGTTGGAGGACCAACGGTTGCCTTCAATACAACATTGGTTTGTTCCATCACATCAAAATATGTTGATTATTGTGGCTAAAGAGTCTATGCAACAAAGCTTGTCTGCGTGGGAACCATTTAAAAATGATATATCCATTCCATCTAAATTAGAAGAAAAATGATATTCATTTGATTAAACATCCTTTTAAAATTTTTTTTCAGATTATGTGTTGTGAGGCTCAGTGAAGTAATATATACAAGGACATCAATCTTGGCAGTGTGATGCTAAGAATCAAACCAACCTCATTCTTGCATTGGATCTAATATATTTGCACCTTGTATAACACGAAAAGAAACAGATGACTTTTTAAGGCCACTTAACTGTGAAGTTTAACTAAATTGAAATGTAAACCGATATTTTCTTTATAATGTCTGTATCAGATGTTTTGTTAAGTGCATTATATACTTCAATGCAGACCTTCTAGTTCATGCACAGAAGCAGTTTCAAATGTCATTGAGAACAAACCCTAAATTTAACATGAGAATACTGAGACTCAGGCTAAAATTACCTACTCAGGTTCTCCTACTGGTCGTTGACAGAAGTAGCATAGAACTATCCTTATTCCTTTCCTTAAACTCTGTCATACAATAAGCTCCCATTAAGCAACTATCGTACATGATTCCAGGAAAAACTGTAAGAGCAGAGATATTTCAGTGAGGAAACAATGATTTCTAAACTGCAGAATTGAATTGAGTTTCAAAACTTTAAAACATTTTAACTTGTCACAGCACAAACGCAAAACTCCTTAAATACAAAAAACCATATCTTATTTATATTTGTAGTCTTAGCACATGGTACAGGTAGATACAACACATTTGCTGTTCTTTCCAGTAACCTAGATCTTCACTTATTTATTCATCTTTGCAAAATGAACAGTTTTCAGTCTCTCACCTCAAAATAAATGTACAAGATGGAGGGTTTCTTTAACAGAATTTGGCATATAATTTTGCTATTACCATTCTACTTGTTGAGAAGGTGGAAGAGATGAGAAGCCGCAGAAATCCCCGAGAGCTCCTGTGAAAGAAGGTTTGCAAATTATTCTCTGCAATCCTAAGTTACTCTCAGTCATCTAAAAGGACAAAACAAAACAAAATGGACCTTTGACAAGAGAGAAAAAAGTTGAGACAAAACACCACACACACACACACACACACACACACACACACACACACACACACACACCATCAGATGTTGAAAACACGATTTTTTAAGTATCTGCACTCTGGACACCTATCTAGTTTTCTATTCAGACAAGGCAAATGGCTGTGGCAACAGTGAAAACAGAGTAGGTACAAATACAAGCAAATTCTAAATATAGTCTTATAGTTTCCTGGAAAGATAACGTCTAAATTTTATATAAATTATATGTACACATACAACACATATTTTTATATAAATTTTATATATACGTACATATATATTTAAAATTTGTTTCTAGCTTTGGAGTCAAGTTCAAGCATGTGACCATATCCTCATAACTGTGTGATCTTGAGAAGATACTAATCACTTTTGTCTTCAGTTTTCTCATTTGCAAATTGTAACTAAGAGTATGTCATAAACCTTTTGTGATAATTAAAAATAACATATCTAAAATTTTTCACAAAGAGAATACTCAATACATTTTTGTAATCTTCTTGAGAATGTAATTTTATAAGACTTAAATTCTCTAGAAGCAACAAGATTCTCAGGAAGCTATTGATCCTACTGGTTAAATTTGAAACTCTTTCTGAAATGACTCCAATAATGGTAAGAAAGGTACTTCGATTAAATTCAATTAAGAAAGGTACTTCACAACTTACATAAAATTTCTTTTGGTAAAGAAAATATCAGAGCATATTTTAAGATTCCATAAACTGCTGGGAGAACAACATATTTTATGGCTGTCTATATTTTGTCCTTAGGACAGAAAAATCAGAGCATATGAATCCTAGGAAGCAATACGCTCCCAACAGCCATTTCAACAAAGAGCTACTCAAATTCTATATACAAGACCATATCTGATAACATATGGAGTGATTTTTATCTGACAACTGTGTCCAGCTTTTCAACACCCATATTCTTATTATTTGAGGAGTATTGTGTTGAGAAACAAGAAGCAAACAGTGAACTGACATTCCACAAGGAGGCCTTTGTTGTTGCCAAATTTACTCTTAACTAATCTCTTCCTTCTGTAAATTATGGCAGGCAACTATGGAACCAAAACAGAATAAAATGCTTTCATCTTGTAACTGTAATGTTCAGCAGAAATTTATCATAAAATCTTTAAGAGAAAACATAAACTTTTTTTTGTGGAGCTACTTTGTTATTTCAGAAAGAGAAAACACTTTTTTAAAAATTCAGATACCATATTCGTAGCTCTACCTCTCTTAATGGACTAATTTATGGGACATGTGAAGTTCAAAATATATACAACAGACAGGTGACTCATATTATAACTACATTAAACAAAAGGTACATCTTTATTTGTGGTTATTCGTGGTGTGTGTGTGTGTGTGTTTGTGTTTTCTGGTTGAATTGATTAATTTATATATTCTAGATATTAGAATATTAGATCTTTGTTGGAGGCATAGTTTGTTAATATTTTCTCCCATTCTGTACTTTATCTGTTTACTCTGTTGATAGTTTCTTTTGCTGTATAGAAGCTCTTTCGTTTAATTAGGTCCCACTTGTCAATTTTTGTTTTTGTTGCGATCACTTCTGAAGACTTAGTCTTTAATTATATCCCATGGCCGATGGCCATGGTATTTCCTAGGTTTTCTTCTAGAATTTTAATATTGTGAGGACTTACATTTAAATCCTTAATCCATCTTGAGTTAATTTTTGTGTACAGTGAAAGAAAGAAGACCAGTTTTATTCCGCATGTAGCCAGCCAGTTATTCCTGCACCATTTATTGAATAAGGAATCCTTTCTCCGTTGCTTATTTTTGTTGACTTTCTTGAAGATCAGGTGGTTTTAGATGTGTGGCTTGATTTCTGGGTTCTCTATTCTGTTCCCTTGGTCTATGTGTTTTTGTACCAGCACTATACTGTTTTGCTAACTGTAGCCCTGTAACATAGTTCAAAGTCAGGTAACATGATGCCTCCAGCTTTGTTCTTTTTGCTTAGGATTGCTTTGGCTATTTGGGCTCTTTTTTGGTTCCATATGAATTTTAAAATAGTTTTTTCTAGTTCTGTGAAGAATGTCATTGGTAGTTTGATGGGAATAGCATTGTATCTGTAGATTGCTTTGGGCAGTATAGCCATTTTGATATTGATTCTTTCAACTCATGAGCATGAAATGGTTTTTCATTTGTTTGTGTCATCTATGATTTCTTTCAACAGTGTTTTTTAGTTCTCCTTGTAGAGATCTTTCAACTCCTTGGTTAGCTGTCTTCCTAGTTTTTTGTTTTGTTTTGTTTTGTTTTATGAGCAGTTATTGTAAATGAGATTGCACTCTTGATTTGACCCTCAGCTTGAACATAACTGGTATATAAAAATGCTACATTTTCTATGTTTTCTATAATTTTTGTACATTGATTTTGTATTGTAAAACTTTACTGAGGTCATTTATCAGTTCTAGGAGCATTTTGGACTGATGTTCCTCAAAAGAGGACACACAAGCAGCCAATAACAAGGAAAAGTGATCAACATCACTAAGAATTAGAGAAATGCAAATCAAAACCACAATGAGATAGCACCTCAGGCCAGTCAGAATGGCTATTAATAAAAAGTCAAAAAATAATAGATGTAGGAGAGGCTGCAGAGAAAAGGGAACACTTATACATTCTTGGTGGAAATGCAAATTAGATCAGCCACTGTGGAAAGCACTTTGGAGATTTCTCAAAGAACTCAAATCAGAACTACCATTCTATCCAGCAATCTCATTATTGGGTATATACCCAAAGGAAATAAATCATTCTACCAAGAAGACACATGAACTCATATATTCATCATATCATTTGTTCACAAAAACAAAGACATGGACTCAACCAAAATGCTCATCAATGTTGGGTTGGAAGAAGGAAATGTGACACATATACACCATGGAATACTATGCAGTCATGAAAAAGATTGAAATCATTTCCTTTGAAGCATCAACATGGATGCAGCTGGAAGCCATTATCCTAACTCAATTAACACAAGAACAGAAAACCAAATACCACGTTCTCACTTATAAGTGGGAACTAAACACTGGGTAAACATGAACATAAAGATGGGAATAATAGGCACTGGAGACTACTAGAGGGCAAAGGGAGGAGAGAAGGCAAAGGTTGAAAAACAACCTATTGGGAACTATGCTCAGTACCTATATTTTGGGTACCCCAAACCTCAGCATTACACAGTATACCCATGTCACAAAACTACACATGTACCCCCTGAATCTAAAATAAAAGTAGAAAAAATTATTTAAAATAAATAAATACAATTTTTGTCAGCTTAAAAAAAATAAAAATAAAAAACTTTTTAAAGACTGGAGGAACTGCTTTCTGAAATCTATGCTGAAAACCACATTCTCCTGAGTGCTGAAACATATCCAGTTCACACATCTGTTACTCATTTATGCCACTGAACCAGAAGCTAGGTCAGAAGAGTGGAGTTAGAAACACTGGTTTGCTAAGCCTTTCCTTCTTCACTTTTTTCCTCACCACTTCCATCTTCCCAACAAGCAGCTTTGTGACTACCAAATGATAGAAAATGTATTCGTTGTGACCAGTACTAAGATTGTGTCTGCCAAACATTGCTTACGCACTTTTTTAACATTGGTTTTTAAATTTTTATTTTGTAATGGTTTTATATTTACAAAAAAACTATGAAATAGAGTTCTTATACAGCCCACACCAGTTTCTGCTTTTATTACCTTCTAACATTACTATAGCGCATTTGTTATAATTAATGAATAAATAATAGAACATGTTAACTAAAGTCTATTATTTTATTCAAGTTTCATTCATTTTTACTCAAAATTGTTTTCTGTTTCACCATTCCAGCCAGGATATCACAATATATTCACTAGTCATGACTCCTTAGGCTCTTTTTGGTCGTGTTTCTCAAAGTTTCCTTGTTTTTGAACGGGGTTTTGAGGGGTACAGGTTAAGTATTGTGTAGAATGTTCCTCTAAATTGGGATTTGTCTGATGTATTTATTATGATTCAACTGAGGTTATTCATTTTGTGAGGAACATCTCAAAGGTAAAGTACCACTTTCCTCACATCCTCATATTATTTCAAGAGGGCAACTGTATTAGTTCGTTTTCACGCTGCTGATAAATACACCCGAAACTGGCCACGAAAAAGGTTTAATTGGACTTACAGTTCCACATGGCTGGGGAGGCCTCAGAATCATGATGGGAGGTGAAAGGCTCTTCTTACATGGCAGCAACAAGAGAAAATGAGGAAGAAGCAAAAGCAGAAACCCCTGATAAACCCATCAGATCTCGTGATACTTATTCATTATCACCAGAATAGCATGGGAAAGACCAGCTCCCATGATTCAATTACCTCCCCCTGGGTCCCTCCGACAACACAGGGGATTTCTGGGAGACACAATTCAAGCTGAGATTTTGGTAGGACATAGCCATACTATATCAGCATTCTATCAACATTACTGTTAGCATTAAACTTGGTCACCCACACGAGTTAGTGTTTGTCAGGTTTCTGCACTGTAAAGTTACTCCTTCCCTCTTTCCCACACTGTACTCTTTGGAAAGAAGTCACTGTACACAACGCAAACCTGAAAATTGAGGAATTATGCTTTGTATCCTTGAAGGAGGAATATCTACATAAATTGGGATTATTTCTATTTGGAATTATTCTGCATGGGAGATTTTTCCATTATCCCCACTTACGTAATTATTCAATAATTTTTATCAGGATGGGCTCAATTTTTTTTTACTTTGTGATATAATCCAATATAATTTCATTTATTTTGGTGCTCAAATTGCTCCAAATTTGGCTATTGAGAGCTTTCTCAATTATGGCCTTTTGACATGCCCCACGATTGTTTTTCTTTTTTTCTGTTTTTGTTGCTGTTGTTGTTGTTTTTTAGCACCTTCTTACTTTCTGGCATTGCTGTATGTTCCAGGTTCATGTTATATATTTTCTGCCACAGTCCTAGTATCAACCATTTTTCCCAGGAACCTTGGTTCCTTTCATTAGGGAGTGGTAGCAGAAAACAAGATCTCGATGCTATTAGAAGTCATTGCTCCTAGGCCCTCTCACCTGACAGAGCAAGGAAGTAATTATCTGCTACATATAGCTATAAATATTTCTATATATGACTATCTGTATCTGTGATAAGCTGAATATGAATTCATAAGATATCTCCAACTCTAATCTATTACTACATAGATCATTCTGGCCTCCTTCTCTATCTGTAATCAATAGTGAAAAATCCGGCTCCCACCATCAGACATGCATTTACTTATTGGCACAATTCCAGCATACATGAATAGTGGTATCAGCATTGTTAATCCATACCACTAAGGGAAACAACCAGCATAGAGTGCTTCTATAAAGCTTCTTTCACCTTTGCTCTTACAGATCCACTCATTTTCAGTTACTGAGATCAGAACCTTTCCTATACTCTCTTCATTAAGGACATTTTATACATTGAAACACAGATTGTGTTGTTTCAAGCTATATTCTATCCTGGGATACCCAACTTCCTAAATGTATTTTTTATATTTTCATACATTAGGGCTCATTCTTTGTGCTATAAAGTTTTATCAGTTTTGAAAAATATATAGTGTCATGTATCCACCATTACAATATCATACAAAGACAATTCGCTGCTCTAAAAAAATTCCCTTTTCTTCGCCCGTTCAACCCTCAACCAACTTCCCACATCCTTGTCAACCACTAACATTTTTCTCATCTCATAGTTTTGCCTTTTTCAGAATGTCATATAATTGGAATCACAGAGTTTGTTAACTTTTTGAGCTGTTTTATTTCACTTAGCAAAATACATGTAAGGATTATCCATATTCATGTGGCTTGATGTCTTATTTCTTTTCAAAGGTTTTTTGTTATAATTGCTATAATAAAATGCCATATATAAGCAGGTTATAAACAACAGAAATTTTAATTTTCAATTTTTGTGAGTACATAGTAGGTATATATATTTATAGGATACATGAGATATTTTCATACAGGTATTGAATACATAATAATCACATCATGGGAAATGGCGTATCTATCCCTTTAAGCATTTATCTTTTGGGTTACCAACAGCCCAGTTATACTCTTAGTTATTGTAAAATACACAATTAAGTTATTATTGACTACAATCACCCTCTTGTGCTATTAAATACTAGATATTATTCATTCTTTCTATTTTTTTGTACCCATTGGCCATCTTCAGTTCCCCCGACACCACCCCACTACCCTTCCCAGTCTCTGGTAACGATCCTTTTACTTTCTATGTCCATCAGTTCAATTGTTTTGATTTTTAGATCCCACAAATAAGTGAAAATATGCAATATTTGTTTTTCTGTGCCTAGCTTATTTCACTTAACATAAAGATCTCCAGTTCCATCCGTGTTATTGCAAATGACTGTATCTCATTTTTTTACGGCTGAATAATACTCCATTGTGTGTATGTACCACATTTTCTTTATCCATTCATCTGTTGATAGACACTTAGGTTCCTTCCAAATATGGGCTATTGTGAATAGTGCCACAATAAATATGGGAGTGCAGATATCTATTCCTTTCTTTGGGTATATATACAGGAGTGGGATTGCTAGATCATATGGTAGCTCTATTTTTAGTTTTTTGAGGAACCTCCAAACTGTTCCCCATAGTAGTCATACTAATTTACATTCCCACCAGCAGTGTACAGGAATTCCCTTTTCTCCACATTCTCACCAGCATTTGTTATTGCCTGTCTTTTGGATAAATGCCATATTAACTGGGGTGAAATGATATTTCATAGTAATTTTGATTTGCATTTCTCTGATGATCAATGATGTTGAGCAACTTTTCATATGCCTGTTTATCATTTGTAGGTCTTCTTTTGAGAAATGCCTATTCAAATCTTCTGTACATTTTTTGATCTATTTGATTATTAGATTTTTTCCTATAGAGTTGTTTGAGCTCCTTATATATCGTGGCTATTAATCCCTTGTCAGATGTTTGCAAATATTTTCTTCCATTCTGTGGGCTGTCCCTTCATCTTGTTGATCATTACCTTTGCTGTGCAGGACCTTTTTAACTTGACATGATCAACAACAGAAATGTATTTCTCACAATTCTTGGACTGGAAAGTTCAAGGTAAAGGTGCTGGCAGAGTCAGCATCTGGTAAGGGCCCATTTCCTGGTGCATAGAAGCCTTATTTTTGCTGGGTCCTCACATGGCAGAAGAGATGAGGGAGAGCTGTCAGGCCTCTTTATTAAGGGCACTAATCTCACTCCTTAGGGCTCTGCCTTTCATGATCTAATCCTCTCCAAAGCCCCATCTTTTAATACCATTACCTTGGGGGTCAGGATTTCAATATTTAAATTTTGAAGATATATAAATTTTCAGGCCATAGCAATTGCTGAACAATATTCCTTTGTATGGCTGTACCACAGTTTATTTACCAATCACATATTGAAAGATATCTTTGTTGCTTCCAGTTTCGATGATTATGAATAAAATTGCTATAAATATTTGTGTGCTGGTTATTGGGTAGACATAATTTTTTCAAAGTAGCTGTGTGGACATATATTTTTAACTCATTTGGATAAACACCAAGAGCACGATTGTTGAATTATATAGTAAAAGTATATTTATTTTTCTAAGAAAACTGGCAGCTGTTTTCCAAAGTGACTGTATAATTTTGCATGCGTGCCAACAATGAATGAGAGCTCCTGTTGCTCCATATCCTCGCCAAAATTTGGTATTTTCAACATTTTAGATTTTGGCCATTCTAATGGTACATATGGTATCTCATTGTTGTTTTAACTTACAATTCCCTCATGACATAGGATATTGTGCATCCTTTCGCATGGGTTATTTTTATCTGCATATCTTTGGTAAGGTGCCTGTTCAGATCTTTTTCCCATTTTTAAATTAGGTTGTACCTTTTCTTATTAGTGAGTTTTACCTTGACTTATTTTTGAATATTTAATTAACCTTGTATATCTGGAATAAATCCCACATGGCTCTGCTGAAAAATTTTTGGTAAATATATATATATATATATATATATATATATATATATATATATATATTTTTTTTTTTTGGATTCAATTTGCTAATATTTTGTTTAGGATTTTCATATCTATATTCGTAAGAGATGTTGGTCTGCAGTTTTTCTTTCTTGTAATCTACTTATATGGCATCAGTATTAGGTTATTACTGGATTCCTAGAATAAATTTGAAAGTGTTCTTCGTTTCTATTTTCTGAAAGATATTATGGAGAATTGGTATCATTTATTTCTTTAATATTTGGTTGAAATCACTAGTGAAACCATCCAGGACTGGTGCATTCTTTTTTAGAAGGCTATTAATTATTGATTAGTTTCCTTTTTAAAAATAACTTCAACTTTTATTCTACATTCATGGGGTACATTTGCAGGTTTGTTACATGGGTATATTATTGCATGACACTGAGGTTTGAGGTACAAATGATTTTGTCGTCCAGGTAGTGAACATAGTACCCAAATAATTTCTTTAACAGATACAGTCCTATTCTTATTATCTTTTTCTCCTTGTATGAATTGTGGTAGTTTATGTATTTCAAGAAGTTGGTTTATGTCTTCTGAGTTATCAAACAGTAGGGATAGGGCTGTTTAAAATATTTCTTTATCATTTTAATGCTCATGGGTTTAGTAATAATGACTCATTTATTATATTTGTGATATGTATTCTTTCTCTTCCATTTTCTCTTCTTTCTTTCTCTCTTTTTCCTCCATTAATCCTGTTTGAGATAATGGTTCATTTTATGTGTCAATTTGACTGACTCATGGTGCCCAGATATTTGGTCAGGCATTATACTATGTTTCTGTGAGGCTAGTTTTGATGAGATTTACATTATAATTGATGGATTTGAGTAAAGTAAATTGTCCTTCACAATGTGGGTGGGCCTCAGCCAATCAGTTGATGGCCTGAATAGAACAAAAGCCCAACCTCCTCTGAAACAAGGGGATGTTTCAGGAGATAGACTTCAGATGTCATCTACAACATAGGCTCTCTGGGGTTCTACAGCAGGAGACTTGAACTGTAACCCTTTCCTAAGTCTCAATCCAGCCTTCTGGTTCCCCTAAATCAGATTTGGGACTTGCCATAAAGCACCCAAAATTGTGTAAGCCGATTCCTCAAAGTAAATTTCTACATACATACATATTATATAGGTTCTATTTCTCTGGAAAATCCTAATACAGAAGTATATACTTACTGATTTTTCAAAGAGCCAGTTTTTGGTTTTACTGCTTTTCTCTATTGATTTCTGTTTTCAATTTTATTGATTTCTGCTTTAACTTTTATCATTTCTATTCTTCCTCTTGCTTTAGAATTAAATTGCTCTTTTTTGTCTAGTTCACTTTTGTTGAAATTTGGTCTTGCTATGTGTGTGTGTGTATATATATTTATACATACATGCATATATACACACATATGTATGTGTACACATATATATACACATATGCATGTTTTCCTCTAAGCACTGCTTTTATTTCATCCCATACATTTTTATAAGCTATATTTTGATTTTCTTTAGTAAAAAGTATTTCTAAAATTCTCTTGATTTTTTTTCTTTGACTCATGTATTATTTACAAGTGTATGGTTTAATTTCCAAACATCTGGGTATTTTCCAGCTACGTGTCTACTGTTCTAGTTTATTTCAGTTATGATGTGAGTATATAGCTTGTTTAATTTATTTTCTTTTAAATTATTGTTTAAAGTATATGTTATTCCCCAGAATGTTGTATGTCTTGGTGAATGTTCCATATAGGCTTGTAAAAACCATGTACTCTTATGTTTGTTGGAATACCATAATAAACATTAACTACGTTAAGTTCATTGATGGTTCTCTTTAGGTCAACTAGTTCTCTACTGAATTTTTGCTTCCTTGATCTGTCAATTATTGAAAGAGGGATATTAAAGTCTCCCACTATAATAGTGAATTTTTTATGTTTCCCCATCAGTTTTATCCATTTTTACCTCACCTGTGTTAATGCTTGTATTAGTCCATTTTCATGCTACTGATAAAGACATACCCAAGACTGGGTAATTAACAAAAGAAAGAGGTTTAATTGGACTTACAGTTCCACGTGGATGGGGAAGCCTACAATCATAGTGGAAGGTGAATGGCATGTCTCACATGGCACAGACAAGAGAAGACAGCTGTGCGGGGAATTCTCCCCTTATATAATTAACAGCACAAGAAAGACTCGCCCCCATGATTCAGTTACTTCCCACCAGGTCCCTCCCACAACATGTGGGAATTCAAGATGATATTTGGGTGGGGACACAGCCAAACCATATCAATGCTCTATTATTAAGTACCTGCATGTTTCGAATTATCATGTCTTCTTGGGGAATTAAGTCCTTTACAATTAAGTAATGACTTTATTTAACTTTGATAATTTTCCTTATTTTGAGTCTACTTTGAAGTTAATTTAGCTACTTCAGCTTTCTTGTGTTAGTGTTAGCATAATATATCTTTCTTTATTCTTTTATACTTTTAACCTATCTGGTCTTTATATATATTTGGTGGGTTCCTTATAGGCAACATATAGTTGGGTTTTTCTTTTCTTCAATCCAACAAGATAGTTTTTATCTTTAAATTGGTATACTCTAACCATTATATTTAAAGTGATTATGAACATAATTGGATTAATATATACTATGTTTGTAACTATTTTCTGTTTGTTGCACTTGCCCTTTGATTCTTCTTTTCCCATTTTCCACTTTTTTAGAATTTTATAGAACTTCACTGATCTCTTCCCTAAATTTATAAATTATACTTGTTTTTAAATGTGTTTCAGAGTTTGTCTAGAATTACCCATATACACATTTAAGTAATCTAAATCCACATAAAAATAACACTATATTGCCTTATGTGTCATACTCTTTCATGTGTCTTAAAATAGAATACTCCTAATTCTTCCGTCCCTTCCTTACTTTTATAATTTCTATTGAATACTTCCTTTATTCCTCTACCCTCTATTTTCTATTTTCTCTGCTTTGCTTGAATTCAGAAGGCATAGGCTTCTAATACTAACACTGAGGTGCTACTTATTAAATTATGCAAACGGATATTTGAATTCATAGTAAAAATATAAATAGTTCAAGGAGTTGGATGTTGTTTAATCTTGATCAAGAAACCAATAACTTAGGGAATTGAAGGGGTGTCTAAGTTTGCTCTCAGGGCCCTTATGTATCTTGATCAAGAAACCAATAACTTAGGGAATTGAAGGGGTGTCTAAGTTTGCTCTCAGGGCCCTTATATATCTTTAGGATGTTTGTAACTGGATGGGCTTTTTATTTTTTTTATTTTTTTATTAATTTTATTTTTATTTTTATTTTTATTTATTATTAGTATACTTTAAGTTTTAGGGTACATGTGCACAATGTGCAGGTTAGTTACATATGTATACATGTGCCATGCTGGTGCGCTGCACCCACTAACTCATCATCTAGCATTAGGTATATCTCCCAGTGCTATCCCTCCCCCCGCCCCCCACCCCACAGCAGTCCCCAGAGTGTGATGTTCCCCTTCTTGTGTCCATGTGTTCTCATTGTTCAATTTCCATCTATGAGTGAGAATATGCTGTGTTTGGTTTTTTGTTCTTGCGATAGTTTACTGAGAATGATGATTTCCAATTTCATCCATGCCCCTACAAAGGACATGAACTCATAATTTTTTATGGCTGCATTGTATTCCATGGTGTATATGTGCCACATTTTCTTAATCCAGTCTATCATTGTTGGACATTTGGGTTGGTTCCAAGTCTTTGCTATTCTGAATAATGCCGCAATAAACATACGTGTGCATGTGTCTTTATAGCAGCATGATTTGTAATCCTTTGGGTATATACCCAGTAATGGGATGGCTGGGTCAAATGGTATTTCTAGTTCTAGATCCCTGAGGAATCACCACACTGACTTCCACAATGGTTGAACTAGTTGACAGTCCCAACAACAGTGTCAAAGTGTTCCTATTTCTCCACATCCTCTCCAGCACCTGTTGTTTCCTGACTTTTTAATGATTGCCATTCTAATTGGTGTGAGATGGTATCTCATTGTGGTTTTGAATTGCATTTCTCTGATGGCCAGTGATGGTGAGCATTTTTTCATGTGTTTTTTGGCTGCATAAATGTCTTCTTTTGAGAAGTGTCTGTTCATGTCCTTCGCCCACTTTTTGATGGGGTTGTTTGTTTTTTTCTTGTAAATTTGTTTGAGTTCATTGTAGATTCTGGATATTAGCCCTTTGTCAGATGAGTAGGTTGCAAAAATTTTCTCCCATTTTGTAGGTTGCCTGTTCACTCTGATGGTAATTTCTTTTGCTGTGCAGAAGCTCTTTAGTTTAATTAGATCCCATTTGTCAATTTTGGCTTTTGTTGCCATTGTTTCTGGTGTTTTAGACATGAAGTCCTTGCCCGTGCCTATGTCCTGAATGGTAATGCCTAGATTTTCTTCTAGGGTTTTTATGGTTTTAGGTCTAACGTTTAAGTCTTTAATCCATCTTGAATTGATTTTTGTATAAGGTGTAAGGAAGGGATCCAGTTTCAGCTTTCTACATATGGCTAGCCAGTTTTCCCAGCACCATTTATTAAACAGGGAATCCTTTCCCCATTGCTTGTTTTTCTCAGGTTTGTCAAAGATCAGATATTTGTAGATATGCGGCGTTATTTCTGAGGGCTCTGTTCTGTTCCATTGATCTATAACTCTGTTTTGGTACCAGTACCATGCTGTTTTGGTTACTGTAGCTTGTAGTATAGTTTGAAGTCAGGTAGTGTGATGCCTCCAGCTTTGTTCTTTTGGCTTAGGATTGACTTGGCAATGTGGGCTCTTTTTTGGTTCCATATGAAAAGCAAGTCCTGAGTGACCTACAAAGAGACTTAGACTCCCACACATTAATAATGGGAGACTTTAACACCCCACTGTCAACATTAGACAGATCAACGAGACAGAAAGTCAACAAGGATACCCAGGAATTGAACTCAGCTCTGCACCAAGTGGACCTAATAGACATCTACAGAACTCTCCACCCCAAATCAATAGAATATACATTTTTTTCAGCACCACATCACACCTATTCCAAAATTGACCACATACTTGGAAGTAAAGCTCTCCTCAGCAAATATAAAAGAACAGAAATTATAACAAACTATCTCTCAGACCACAGTGCAATCAAACTAGAACTCAGGATTAAGAATCTCACTCAAAACCGCTCAACTACATGGAAACTGAACAACCTGCTCCTGAATGACTACTGGGTACATAACGAAATGAAGGCAGAAATAAAGATGTTCTTTAAAACCAAGGAGAACAAAGACACAACATACCAGAATCTCTGGGACACATTCAAAGCAGTGTGTAGAGGGAAATTTATAGCACTAAATGCCCACAAGAGAAAGCAGGAAAGATACAAAATTGACACCCTAACATCACAATTAAAAGAACTAGAAAAGCAAGAGCAAACACATTCAAAAGCTAGCAGAAGGCAAGAAATAACTAAAATCAGAGCAGAACTGAAGGAAATAGAGACACAAAAAACCCCTTCAAAAAATTAATGAATCCAGGAGCTGGTTTTTTGAAAGGATCGACAAAATTGATAGACCGCTAGCAAGACTAATAAAGAAAAAAAGAGAGAAGAATCAAATAGACACAATAAAAAATGATAAAGGGGATATCACCACTGATCCCACAGAAATACAAACTACCATCAGAGAATACTACAAACACCTCTATGCAAATAAACTAGAAAATCTAGAAGAAATGGATAAATTCCTCGACACATACACTCTCCCAAGACTAAACCAGGAAGAAGTTGAATCTCTGAATAGACCAATAACAGGAGCTGAAATTGTGGCAATAATCAATAGTTTACCAATCAAAAAGAGTCCAGGACCAGATGGATTCACAGCCCAATTCTACCAGAGGTACATGGAGGAACTGGTACCATTCCTTCTGAAACTATTCCAATCAATAGAAAAAAAGGGAATCCTCCCTAACTCATTTTATGAGGCCAGCATCATCCTGATACCAAAGCCGGGAAGAGACACAACCAAAAAAGAGAATTTTAGACCAATATCCTTGATGAACATTGATGCAAAAATCCTCAATACAATACTGGCAAACCGAATCCAGTAGCACATCAAAAAGCTTATCCACCAGGATCAAGTGGGCTTCATTCCTGGGATGCAAGGCTGGTTCAATATATGCAAATCTATCAATGTAATCCAGCATATAAACAGAACCAAAGACAAAAACCACATGATTATCTCAATAGATGCAGAAAAGGCCTTTGACAAAATTCAACAACCCTTCATGCTAAAATCTCTCAATAAATTAGGTATTGATGGGACGTATCTCAAAATAATAAGAGCTATCTATGACAAACCCACAGCCAATATCATACTGAATGGGCAAAAACTGGAAGCATTCCCTTTGAAAACTGGCACAAGACAGGGATGCCCTCTCTCACCACTCCTATTCAACATAGTGTTGGAAGTTCTGGCCAGGGCAATTAGGCAGGAGAAGGAAATAAAGGGTATTCAAATAGGAAAAGAGGAAGTCAAATTGTCCCTGTTTGCAGACGACATGATTGTAAATCTAGAAAACCCATCGTCTCAGCCCAAAATCTCCTTAAGCTGATAAGCAACTTCAGCAAAGTCTCAGGATACAAAATCAATGTACAAAAATCACATTCTTATACACCAATAACAGACAAACAGAGAGCCAAATCATGAGTGAACTCCCATTCACAATTGCTTCAAAGAGAATAAAATACCTAGGAATCCAACTTACAAGGGATGTGAAGGACCTCTTCAAGGAGAACTACAAACCACTGCTCAAGGAAATAAAAGAGGATACAAAGAAATGGAAGAACATTCCATGCTCATGGGTAGGAAGAATCAATATCGTGAAAATGGCCATACTGCCCAAGGTAATTTACAGATTCACTGCCATCCCCATCAAGCTACCAATGACTTTCTTCACAGAATTGGGCTTTTTGTTAATACCTGCACTGAGAGCACCCCACGGGTTTCCAACACAGCACTGCTGACTCACACCTGATTTTGTATGTGGTAACAGACTGAGAAGCCTACCTCAGTTTCCATAGCTAATCACACACTTTGAAGGGCTCAAACACACCACAAGCATTTGAATATGTGAGAATTTGTGGTGTAATTACCTCTTTGATAAATGTACAGTATCTTTATTAAGGGTGCTGACTGGGAACATGATAGAGATCTAACACACCGCAGTGAAATCTGTTCCCTTCCAAGACACCTGGTTTATCTCCACTCATCTTTATTTTTGAAATGAAATGTTCCTGACAACCAGGAAATATGTGTACTTCCTCTTGTGCACCTAAAACTTCTCTCTTTTTCTTTTCTCTGCCATCTCCTTCTCATCACTCTCTTCCTTCTCCCAAACAGGCTTGAGAAATGTAAAAGTAAGAGAAATGATGCTGCAAGCTTGTTCTTCATAAAAGAACAGCTTTTAATTAAATTAGAAAAAAAATACCGCCACAGGCAACACTTAAACCGACAATGAACGCATTCTGTTAATCTTTGCAGAAAGGCGCTGTACACTGCACTTAATTTAATTAGGTAGAGAAAAGGCCTGTTCAGTCCTAGGGGGTTTACCAATGTCCTTTTAAATTGAGGACACAGCATTTATATAAAGTCATTTTAATATCAGGCAATACATTTCTAAACAGTAATTTAAAAATATTACTTGCTATTATTAAATGATACTTTGTTGCAACTTCTTACTTGAGGAGACAACTTTCATTTCACAGAGAAATTTCACCCACCAACAGGCCTTTTGCTCCCCTCCGGTAATTTATTGACTCTGAAAGTGTTAAATAATTAGGACTAAGTTCTCTGGAAAACAGCAGCACAAGAGAAATACATGTCAAACCTATATTACAATGGCTAATGTATTTGGATTATGTTTCACTTCTGGGCCATAGTCGTGAGTGATAACAAATAACTTTTTATATTAAAAATTATATTACAGTTGAGAAGTACGTTATATTGTGAGGTTACTCCCAGCACTACAGACACATTAAGGAAAACTTTAGAATATTTTAGTTCCTGTTTTTTTTTTTTAATTCCAAATCTTTCTCTTTGACACTTAAAAAAATCTTCATTGATGATTTTTACCCCTTTGGATCACCTCAAGAAGCTAGACAGCTTATCAATCTGTCATGTTCACAAATTATGATAGAAAATCACCTAGGGATCACATTGGGTAGCCAGAAATAAGCAGCTAGAGTTCAATGAGCAAGTTAGATACTAAGAAATGTTTCATTTTATGCAGTTTTTTCTTTATTTTATCCAGAATCTCAAAAACACTGTTGAAGTGTTCCCAGAGAGCATTATATAGTAAATCAAAATGAAGGTCTATTTTCTAATTCCTTGGATTTTATTCACGAATTTATCTATTCATGAGAGTTGTTGAGTGCCTAATTAAGGGTACACAGAAGCCTAGGTGAAAATGATAACCCATTGGATTAGGCAAACCCAGTCTCTAACAGCATAAAGCTTAGGATTTATCAGTCTTAGGAGATGTTTCTGTCTACGGTTTCAGGTTTAAGAAGTGGTTGGAGCAGTTTTTAAGCAATACTACTCTATGAATAAGGGGTTGACTGGAGATATGCTTATCCAATTATTAGTTATATATCAGTACAACAAAACACTTTTCCAATTATGAGGATGAGATGTTGAAGAAATTAATCCACAACAAGTGGCAAAAATTCACTTTGAGCAATAGCTAGTAAGCATCTAATTTTTGGTTCTGGTCTGAGAATTCAAGCCGACCTCAAATTTAAAATTGCTGTTTAGGGACTTACTAAAGAGTCCATTTT
This sequence comes from Homo sapiens, assembly GCF_000001405.40. Lineage (NCBI taxonomy): Eukaryota > Metazoa > Chordata > Mammalia > Primates > Hominidae > Homo > Homo sapiens. The sequence continues at coordinate 210,900,193 of NC_000002.12, read as the reverse complement.
CAGACAGAATGTTTTTTGGCATTCATTTGCACAGAGACTTATATAATTGGTCTAAATTCATCCCACCATTTATGCAAGAAGAATTCATTAAGCGCTCAGCACAGAGTCAGGACAAGTGGAAGTCTCAACAAATGCTGGGTATCCAAATTACACAGGAGATACTACATCAGGGTTAGGAACACAGGGTTTGCTGCCAGGTAGAGATGGATTTCAGTCCTAGTTTTGTCACTTATTTGTTGAAGTATCTTAAGCTTCTTACTTAAACTCAGATTATTCATGTTTAAAATAATAATGACAGCTGTCCAGAGTTGTTGTAGTAAGGATTACATCTTAGTATAACCCAAAATATTTGCTACTGCACTTACATATAGTGAGTACCAAAAAAAGTTGGATATTATTGTATTTGGTAGCAGCAAACAAGGCTTCAAAATTATGTTGCAGTCCTTGATGACTTAGATGAAATGCATTTGCCAGGTAATAGAAAACCTGCCTCAAATGATTTTAAAAAAGAGAAAGTGTGTCATCACAACTAAAATTAATCTAGAAATAGAATAATTACAAAAGTTGTGATTATGGATTTAACAACATTTTCATTGACCTACATTCTCCCCATCCTTTTTGTTCTGCCATTTACAACATTGACTGTTGCTCCCAGACTTGTGTACTCATGATCATAAGGTGGCTGCCACGGCTCTGCCTCCATATTTTCACAGGGCATTATCTAATGGCCAAAAGTGGGAAAGAGAGTGTCAAGAAGTGTAAAAGGTCTGAGATTTGACACTGTTTGGAGGTTATCAAATTAGCCTGCTAGCTTCATGGATGTTGACGGAAGACATGAGACCTCTAAGTAAACCGGAGATGAACAGTCTATTACTCATAACAAAAACAATGGCCACAGTAGCATCACTTTTTGAACAATTTATCAAAGCTACAGTTCTCACAAGGAAATGTGACAAGGGTCTGGTAATGCCTGCATGCTTGGCAGATTGTTTTCACAGGAGAGGAATTCTGATATTAGGGTATTATAATCTTTTATAATGGACTTTAAGCAATCCACTTGACTTTTGTGCTGGAGGGGGATATTATCTTTGTTTTTCTGGGCAGTAAACAAACATGTCCTTTGCTCCAAAACTGTCTCTAACTTCAAAGGCCGTTAACTATACAAACTCCTTAAAAGAGTCTGGAATAAAAAGGCAGTGAGTACAGAACACAAGAACCCCTATGCAGAGCATATCTCATCAAGTCCCTTGTTAAAAATAACAAGAGCTTTCTCAGAAATTTCCCGAATTTATTTGTTTCATTCTATATATTTGGGTCTCATTTGCATTTTTAGTTCTAACACTAGAAAGGAAAATGGGAGTGCTTGATTGATTTTTATTAAGCAAGATGTAACTCCTAGGACTAAGGAGGAACCAGCCTCCCATATGGCACTTCAGCTCCGCCACATCTGAAAAGGGACATTGGAGTTTTTCTTAAAATGAGAAAATAGAAGCTGGGCACAGTGGCTCATGCCTGTAATCCCAGCACATTGGGAGGCCGAGGTGGGTGGATCAAGAGGTCAGGAGTTCCAGACCAGCCTGGCCAACATGGCGAAACCCCGTCTCTACTAAAAATACAAAAATTAGCCAGGCATGGTGGTGGGCGCCTGTAGTCCCAGCTGCTCGGGAGGCTGAGGCAGAAGAATCGCTTGAACCCAGGAGGAGAGGTTGCAGTGAGGCAAGATCACGCCATTGCACTCCAGTCTGGCCGACAGAGCGAGACTCCATCTCAAAAAAAAAAAAAAAAAAACGGGAGAAAATAGAGAATTATTATCAGGCAATTAGCCAACCAAACAGGGTCTGCCATACGTCCGTGTGTGTGTGTCTGTGTCTTTACTAAATGACTTCAGTCAGACACACAAGTATAGCAGATATAGGCATGACTGCATGCCTATATCAAAACATCTCTTGTACCCCATAAATATATACACATGCTATGTACCCACAAAAGTAAAAAGTAAAAATTTTAAGAAATACTCTGCCTCCACTTCTGCTTCCACTTTTGGTCCCTACCAATTCTGCTGCTTTTTTCTGACTATGCATCTTCTTTTTAAATAATTGTGGCGATAAGTACATAACATAAAATTTACCCTCTTAACCATTTTAAATGTACAGTTCAGTAGTGTTAATGTGAATATATATTTACATTGTTGTAAAACAGATCTCCAGAACTTTTTCATCTTTGAAAACTGAAACTCTCTAGCCATTAAACAATAACTCCCTTTCCTCTCTTCTCCCTAGCCCCTGACAACCACCATTCTAGTTTCTTTCTCTGCAAATGTGACTACTTTAAATACTTCATATAAATGGAATCATACATTTGGTCAGGTGTCAGGTGTCTCACACACACACACACACACACACACAGACAATGAATCAGAAAATACATACATTGAATATATATTATGGTAACTGACTCATAGTAGGGGATTTAGTTATTAATTAGCATGTAATTTTTAAAACTTTATAATAAAGGAAGTTTCTGTTGGGATACTCTTCTAAGAAAGATCATAGAGTATTAATTATATTGCCTCCTTTTCATTTTTTTGTTCACTAATAATTATTTTCCAAAAGTGCATATTACTACTAAACGTCTGAGAAAGCAATATTCAATATAGCTACTGTGAATCATATACTACCTTCGTCATACACTTAGTGCTTTATTTATAACCTCAAGTGTTTTTGTGGTAAGATCAAAAGGACAGGACCTTGGATTAGCCCATGTTTCCATGTGGGTGTCAATAAGGAAACTACCTCAGGAGTTCTAAAATTTCACTTATAAGCAATAAATTTATGTTGTCTGTGCATAAAAGATGCCTTAAGTGGAATATTTCTGTTATTGCAGAAAGTGTTGAACACACTATCTTGGCTATTCCATATGCAGAGAATAAAGAATTGCTCATGTGAAAGAATCAGTTAGAAGCCACCCTATGGCCTAGACAATTATGCTATTGAAAAGTTGGACAAAAATTGTATAGTACATGCAAGTTAATAGACCCTTTTCATATTTTTTCTTTCTCTGTAAACTTACTGAGAAACCATGGTCAAGAAGCCATTCTGATTTGGGGACTGTTACTTCTGATTGCGGTGAGTGCTCCAGATGATTTAAACTATAATTCAACCTCAAGTTCCTGCTAGGATAATCATAGGCCTGTGCAGATTCTCTAATAGTATTTCTTACTACAATACACATAATCATTCATTCCATAGACATACAGTGAAAGTTCATTATGTCTAGTGGATACAAAAATGAATGAGACATAGTTTCTGACCTCAAGGGCATTCACACAGGAAACTTCAGTTAAATATGATTCTTTCCATAATAAAAGAATACACAGGATGCAGGAAGAGGATTTAACTGCTGGAGGGTCAAGGAACATCCCTAAAGTGTGCTTTCACTCAAAGTCTAAGTCAGTGAGGTCAAGGACAAAGATAAATCTTCCAGTACAGAATATCATGAACGAAAGCATGGAGGCTTGAAAAAATACGGGCGAGGCCTCATCACTTAGGGACTGCTATGGTGGTTCCCTGTGGAAATGTAGAAATAGAGGAAACAAATTTTCCCTTTAAGGGTCAAACTGTAAAGTGAAAACATACAGTGCCATATATGGGCAAAGTATACAAAGAAAACTGGATGACTTTCAAGAACAAACTGCCTGTACTTTGCTTGAAATTATAAGTATACATAATGAAAGAAAAGGGGTTTTAGTCTGCCCTGGAAATAAAGGATAAAGGAGAAGGAAAGGAAATTTTGAAAGGCACAGTAGTTCTTTAGGTACTGTGGACTTTAGGAATTCCAGTCCCTTTGAAAAGTAGTGGTAAACTTAATGTAATGCCACTGAGCACCCAATTCTCTTCATTCCCCTTGTTCAATTCCATTTCTAACAAACAGTCTGCTGACCCTGATTTAGCTTCACATAGAGATTTGCCTAAAATGATGGGCTGCACTAATCTTGCCAACCTCAGGTTTTCTGTTCCACTTATGAATGAACATGCATCAGATCACATATTAAGATAATACCTTCCGCAAAAGAGAATGTGCCAGTCATGCCAGGTGTAGTTCTCTCATCCTTGTATTGAATATGTTACTCATATGAAATTATTCCTTTGCTATTTTTATTAAATTGGTTTCATTTTAATAGAATAAGGTGATATAATCTTTATACCATCTTGTCAAACTTCCCATTTACCGCCACTTAATAGTTAGGACCACGAATTTTTTGTATATAGTTTTCACATAGTTACGTTTATATATAGTCAGTGTCCCTTAATGATGAGGACACATTCTGAGAAATGTAATGTCAGGTAATTTGATCATTGTGCAAACATTGCAGAGTCTGCTTACACAAATCTAAATGGTGTAGCCTACTACACACCTAGACCATGTGGTATAGTTTATTGCTCTTCGGCTACAAACCTGTTCAGCATATGACTGTATTGAATACTATCAGCAACTATAACACAATGGTAAGTAATTGTGTATCTAAACATAGAAGAGGTATGGTAAAAATATCGTATTGTAATTGTATGGATCACTGTTGGAGATGTGGTCTATCGTTGACCAAAATATCATTACATAGCGCATAAGTGCAAATGTATATTATTTTTATATATGTACATATATACAGTTTTGCATAAAATTATTGTAAATTTTTCTAATATTTACATTTTATCTAGATAAAATCATACGAGAAACCCATTCTATATTATATAGAACAGTGGTCCCCAATCCCTGAGCCTTGGTCTGGTACCAGTCTGTGGCCTGTTAGGAACCAGGCCACACAGCAGGAGGTGAGAGGCGGAAGAGCCAGCAAGCACTACTGCCTGAGCGCCACCTCCTGTCAGATCAGCAACTGCTCTAGATTCTCGTAGGAGCATGGACCCTATTGTGAACTGCGCATATGAGGAATCTAATAGGCTATGTGTTCCTTATGAAAATCCAACTAATTCCTGATAGTCTGAGGTGGAACAGTTTCATCCCAAACCATTCCCCTAAACCCAGGTCCATGGAAAAATTGTCTCATGAAACTGGTCTCTGAAGGTTAGGGACCACTGATATATATTTTACATAAATAAAATCATATGTGAAATAAGGGTGGTTTATTTAAAGAAAGGGTATGTAACAGTTTAGAAGAGAAACAAAATCAGGCAAAGCACTAATAAGCGCTCATTTAAAATGTGAGATCAAAAATTTTAAATATACCAGCTATTCAGTTGTGTATTTTTTTCAGCTATGATCTATTGTCACCAGCGACCATCAAATGCAGCTGTGCATGTGCAGACACTTACATACACATACACAGCATGGGCCCATCTAGGTTTGAGCTTTTCAAACAGAATTCCTAAAAGGTAGTCAGGAGCAAGGGCAACAGAGGTTTTTCAAAAGATACTCATTATAAACCATAGAATCTGGGCCAGCAGAAAAGGATTATGAGGTTTATTCAACTGAAAACAGTAGATGGGGGAGAAGGGGTTATCAATGAAGTCAATGTCTCAATAGGAGAGATAGTAATGGGAAGAATTTAAGCAAGTGAGCTCTAAGGATAGGATGTTGTAGTTGGGAGTGGCTGTTTGCATTTGAGAAACCCAAAATAATGTAATTTAGGTAAATGACAAGGTCCAAGGTAACAATATGGAAAGAAGTGAATATTGAAGGCTACCAAACATGTGAGGAGATAGAAGTGCAGAAGTGCAATGCCTGGAGGTATTTTTTTTTCCAAATTGTATTTTAGGTTAAGCGGATACATATGCAGATTTGTTTCATGAGTAAATTGTGTGCCACGGGGTTTGATGTACAGATTATTTAATCACACAAGTAATAAGCGTAGTACCTCATGGGTAGTTTTAAATTCTTGCCCTGTGCCTACCTACACCCACAAGTAGGTCCCAATGTCTGTTGTTCCCTTCTTTGTGTCCGTGTGTATTCAGTGTTTAGCTCCAACTTATAAGTAAGAACATGTGACATTTGGTTTTCTATTTCCTGCATTAGTTCACTCAGGATAATGGCCTCCAGCTCCATTTATGTCAGTGCAAGGACATGATTTCATTATTTTCCTGGCTGAGTAGTATTTTATAATGTATACGTAACACATTTTTTTTTTTATCCAGTCTACTGCTGATGGGCACCTAGGTTGATTCCTTGTCTTTGCTTTTGTGAGTAGTGCTGCAATTAACATATGAGTGAATGTGTCTTTATAGTAGAATGACTTATATTCCTTTGGTTACATACCCAGTAATGGGATTGCAGCATTGAATGGTATTCCTGTTTTAAGTTCTTTGAAAAACCTCCAAATTGCTTTCCACAGTGGCCTAACTGTGGAAATTACACTCACTCCCACCAGCAGTGTGTAAGCATTCCCTTTTCTCTGCCACCTCACCAGCCTCTGTTGTTTTTTGATTTTTTAATAATAGCCATTCTGACTGCTGTGAGATGGTATCTCATTATGGTTTTGATTTGTATTTCTCTAATGATTAGTGATGTTGAGTATTTTTTCACGTTTATTGGCTCCATGTATGACTTCTTTTGAGAAGTGTCTGTTCACGTCTTTTGCCCATTTTTTTAATTGGGTCGTTTGCTATTTGCTTGTTTATTTCTTTAAGTTTCTTATAGACACTGGATATTAGACCATTGTTAGATGTATAGTTGGCAAAATTTTTCTCCCATTCTGTAGATTGTCTGTTTGCTCTGTTGATAGTTTCTTCTGCTGTGTAGAGTTCTTTAGACTAACTGGATCTCACTTGTCAATTTTTGTTTTTGTTGCAATTGCTTTTGGAGTCTTCATTATGAAATTTTTGCCAGGGCTTATTTCCAGAGTGGTGTTTCCTAGGTTTACTTCTAGAGTTTTCATAGTTTTAGATTTTACATTTAAGTCTTTGATCAATCTTGAATTGGTGAAAATTCTTACATATGGTGAAAGGAAGGGATCCAGTTTCAAACTTCTGCATATGGCTAGCCAGATATGCCAGCACTGTTTATTGAATAGAAAGTTCTTTCTCCATTGCTTGTTATTGTCAACTCTGTCAAAAATCAGATAATTGTACGTGTGCAGCTTTATTTCCATATTCCCTAACCTGTTCCATTGATCTCTGTGTCTGTTCTTGTACCAGCGCCATGCTGTTTTGGTTTTGCTTGCCTTGTATTATAGTTTGAAGTCAGGTAGTAAGATTCCTCTAGCTTGGTTCTTTTTGCTTAGAATTGTTTTGATTATTTGAGCTCTTTTTTGGTTCTATATGAAGTTTATAATTGTTATTTCTGATTCTGTAAAAAACCGTCCTTGGTAGTTTGAAAGGAATAGCATTGAATCTGTAAATTGCTTTGGGCAGTATGGACATGTTAACAATATTGTCTCTTCTTACCCATGAGCATGAAATGGTTTCCATTTGTTTGGCTGGTCTGTAATTTTTTTCAGCCATGCTTTGCAATTTTCATTGTAGAATTCTTTCACCTACCTAGTTAGCTGTATTCCTAAGTATTTTATTCTTTTTGTGACCATTGTGAATGAGACTGTGTTCTTGATTTGGCTCTCAGCTTGGATGTCATTGGTATATAGAAATGCTACTGATTTTTGTACATTGATTTTTACATCCTGAAACTTTGCTGAAATTGTTAATTAGATCTAGGAGGCTTTGGGCAGAGATTATGGGATTTTCTAGGTATAGAATCCTATTGTCTGCAAAAAGACATAGTTTGACCTCCTCTCTTCCTATTTGGATGCCTTTTATTGCTTTCTCTTGCCTGATTGCTTTGACAAGGACTTCCAATACAATGTTGAATAGGAGTGGTGAGAGTGAGGATCCTTTTCCTGTTCTGGTTCTCAAAGGGACTACTTCCAGCTTTAGCCCATTCAGTATGATGTCGGGTATGCATTTGTCATGTATGGCTCTTATTTTAAGTTACGTTCCTTTGATGCCTATTTTATTGAGGCTTTTAATATGAAGGAGTGTTGAATTTATCAAAAGCTTTTTCTGCAACTATTGAGGTGATCATGTAGTTCTTGTCTTTATTTCTGTTGATGTGATGAATCACATTTATTGATTTGCACATTGAACCAATCTTGCATCCCAAAAATAAGGCCTACTTGATCTTGGCAGATTCACTTTTTGATATGCTGTTAAATTCAATTTGCTGATATTTTGTTGAGGATTTTTACACCTATGTTCATCAGTGATATTGGCCTGAAGTTTTTTTTATTGCTGTTGTGTCTCTACCAGACTTTGGTATCAGAATGATTCTGACCTCCTAGGATGAGTTAGGAAGAAGTCCCTCCTCCTTCATTTATTGGAATACTTTCAGTAGGATTTGTACCAGCTCCTTTTTACACGTCTGGCAGAATTTAGCTGCAAATCCATCTATTCCAGGGCTTTTTCTGGTTGGGAAGTGTTTTCAAATTACTGATTCCATTTTGAAACTCATTGTTGGTCTGTTCAGGGATTCATTTTCTTCCTGGTTTAATCTTGGGGTGTTGTATATTTCTAGGAATGTATCCATTTCTTCTAGGGTTTCTAGTTCTGCATGGGTGTTTATAATAGTCTCTGAGGGTTTTTTGTATTTTTGTGTGGTCAGTGGTAATTTCTCCTTTGTCATTTCTAATTGTGCCTATTTGGATCACCTCTTTTTTTATTTATTAGTCTAGTTAGTGTTCTATCAATCTTATGTACCTTTCAAAAAGCCAACTTTTGGTTTCAGTGATCTTTTGTATGTTTTCTCATGTCTCAATTTTCTTTTGTTCAGCTCTGATTTTGGTTATTTCTTTTCTTTTGCTAGCTTTGGAGTTGGTTGGCTTTTGTTTTTCTAGTTCATCTGGGTGTGACATTAGGTTGTTAGTTTGATATCTTTCTAGCTTTTTGATGTGGGTGTTTAGCACTATAAACTTTTCTCTTAATACTGTTTTAGCTGTATTCCAGAGATTCTGCTAAGTTGTAGATTTGTTTTCATTAGTTTCAAAAATGCTTTGATTTTGGCCTTAATTTCATTGTTTGGTTAAATGCCATTCAGAAACAGATTGCTTAATTTTCATAAAATTGTATAGTTTTGAGAGATATTCTTTGTGTTGATTTCTATTTTTATTCCACTGTGGTTCTAGAGTGTAGTTGATACAGTTTCATTTTTTTTAATTTGTCGAGAATTGCTTTATGACCAAGGATGTAATCTATATTAGAGCATGTGGCATGTGCAGATGAGAATATATATCTTGTTGTTGTTGGCTAGGGTGTTCTGTAGATGCCGGTTAGGTCCCTTTTGGCAAGTGTCAAGTTTGGATGCCTGATACATTTGTTGGTTTTCTGCCTCCATGATCTAATACTGGCAGTGGGTTGTTGAAGTCGCCCACTATTTTTGTGTGGTTATCTAAGTTTCTTCTTAGGTCTCTAAGAACTTGTTTTATGAGTTTGGGTCCTCCTGGATTAGGTGCATATATATTTAGGATAGTTGTGTCTTATTGATGAATTGAATCCTTTATCATTATATAATGCCCTTCTTTGTCCTTTTTGATCATTGTCAGTTTAAAGTTTGTTTTGTCTGAAAGAAGAATCATACCCTCCATTCTTTTTTATTTTCTGTTTGCTTGATAGATTTTTCTCTATCCCTTTACTTTGAGCCTATGGGTGGTCTTGCATGTGAAATGGGTCTCCTGAAGAAAGCATACATTTGGGACTTATTTCTTCATCCAACTTGCCACTCTGTACCTTTTAAGTGGGACATTTAGCCTATTTACATTCAAGGTTAATATTGATATGTGAAGATTTGATCCTGTCATTGTGTTGTTACCTGGTTGTTATGTAGACTTGATTGTTTGGTTGCTTTATAGTATCAATGTTCTATGTCCTTAAGCGTGTTTCCGTGGTGGCCATTAATGGCCTTTTGTTTTTATGTTTAGCACTCCCTTAAAGGCCTCTTGTAAAGCAGGCCTGGTGGTAATGAATTCCCTTAGCATTTGCCTGTCTGAAAAGGATTTTATTTCTCTTTCACTTGTGAAGCTTAGTTTGATTGGATATAAAATTCTTGGTTGGAATTTCTTTTCTTTAAGGATTCTGAATATAGGCCCCCAATCTCTTCTGGCTTGTGGGGTTTCTGCTGAAAGGTCTGCTGTTAGCCTGATAAGGTTCGCTTTGTAGATGACCTGCCCCTTCTCTCTAGCTGACTTTAATATTTTTTCTTTCACATTGACCTTGGAGAATCTGATGACTATGTATCTCTTTTTTGAGACGGAGTCTCGCTCTGTCGCCCAGGCTGGAGTGCAGTGGCGCGATCTCAGCTCACTGCAAGCTCCACCTCCCAGGTTCACGCCATTCTCCTGCCTCAGCCTCCCGAGTAGCTGGGACTACAGGTGCCTGCCACCACGCCCAGCTAATTTTTTTTTTTTTTTTTTTTGTATTTTTAGTAGACATGGGGTTTCACCATGGTCTCAATCTCCTGACGTGATCCGCCCCCCTCGGCCTCCCAAAGTGCTAGGATTACAAGTGTGAGCCACCGCACCCAGCCGACTATGCATCTTAAAAATGGTCATCTTGTATAATATCTCACAAGGGATCTCAAAATTTTCTGAATATGAATGTCAGCCTCTCTAGTGAGGTTGCAGAAATTTTCATGGACAATATCCTCAAACATATTTTCCAAGTTGTTTGCTCTTTCTCCCTCTCTCGTAGAGATGCCAATGAGTTGTAGGTTTGGTCTCTCTACATATTCTCAAATTTTTAGAGGTTTTGTTTTATTCTTTTTTATTTTTTGTTTCTTTACTTTTTATCTGACTGAGTTGATTCGAAGAACCAGGCTTCTAGCTCTGAGATTCCTTCCTCAGCTTGGTCTATTCTGCTGTTAATACTTCTGAATGTATTATGACATTATTTTGTTTGTTCGTTTTTGAGATAGCATCTTGCTCTGTCACCCAGGCTGGAGTGCAATGGTGCAATCATGGCTCACTGCAGCCTTGACTTTCCAGGGTCAAGTGATCCTCAGACATCAGCCTCTCAAGTGGCTCAGACTACAGGCACACACCACCACATCTAGCTAATTAAAAAAAAATTATAGAGATGCGATCCCACTCTGTTGCCCAGGCTGATCTCAAACTCTTGGGCTCAAGCAATCCTCCTGCATGAGCCACCATGCCCAGACCTATAAATTTTCCTAGTGAATTTTTCAAGCCTATTAGATCAGCTTGAGTCTGTCTTAAAATGGCTATTTCATCTTTCAGCTCTTGTATCTTTTTACTGCATTCCTTAAATTCCTTGACATGGGTTTTAGTTTTCTTCTAAATCTCAATGAAATTCACTGTCAATCAGTTTCTAAATTCTGTGTCTGTCATTTTAGCCATTTCAGTCTGGTTTAGAACCATTGCTGGGGAGTTAGTGTGGCTGTTTGGAGGTGAGAAGACACTCTGTGTTTCTGAGTTGTCCTTTGGTGGGGCTTTTTGCTTTTATATTCTTTGATTTCACTTGGTGGTTTCACTGTGGTGTAAGTCAGGTTCAGTTGACTAGCTTCATTTCTGAATAAGTTAGGTGGTCAAGGCTTAGCTCAGCACTCCTGCGCTATGTGTTCTAATCTTGGGAGCTTGGTAGCATACCCACAGCTTTGTTCTCTGGCCCCTCAAGGTTAGGCACCTGTTTCACTGGAGGGGCAGAGGATTCCCAGTCCAACAACACTCTGATGGCAGGTGCCAGCAAAAAAAAAAAAAAAAAAAAACAAAAAAAAAACAAAAAAACTTAATTAGGGCAGTGGCAGTGGGGTCGGTACTGTTGCATGTGCAATGTGGCAGGTTGGCAAGTTCCACATGCACATGCCAGCAAAGCAATGTGGGGAGGCTGTGGGTGATCGCATGCTGCCAAAGAGTTGGGAAGGAGCCGTGTGCAGGTGTGCACTGGCAGAGGCCCATCTGCAAAAGCTATTGGTCAGGTGGGGTCTGCTGGTGAAAGAACTATGGAAGTGGCTCCTGGGAAGCACCCCGGTTCGGCACCTGAGGTTGTGCTGCAAGTAGTTGAGGCCAGGCAGAGACCCTGGGTGAAGCCAGACTGGCCCCATCCTATGGGCAGCATAGCCCTGTTCTATCCAGTTTTGAAAGTCAACAAAGGCCAAAACCGCCTAGAGAAGTGTAGCAAGGCTTGGGAGATGGGCTTCCCTGACTGTGCTCCACCGTAGCCATTCCTGCGCCAATCCCTCTGGGTTCTATGGAGGCCTGAGTCCTGTCTCTGCCAACTCTCCCTGCCAGCTCAAATGTCCATGGTGGTCATGGTGTGTCCTGCAGCTAGGATTTCAGAGGTCCATGGAGAGAGTGGTCCACTCCACACCTATTTAGCTAATTTCTTCCCCAGGAGCCACTAGGGACCAGGAATGAGTCCTGGTGTGTGGCAGCCTTTTGAAGGGTTCCCAGCTTTCTCCCACTTCAGCTCAGGGTCTGCATCCTCCCTCTGTCCACTCTCAATGCCTTCCTTCTGCTTGGAGTGTGCTCATCTTATTGATGGTCTAGTCTCTCAGTCTGAATGCATTTTTTTCTTGTACTATATTGACAAAATCAGGTTTCCATGCTTTAAAAAATGCAGAGACAGAATTATTACCATACTAAATTCAACTGAGTAATAAGGTCTCCCTTATTATGTGGAGGTAATCTCCCCGTGAAGTCTCTTAAGAGAACACCCAAGAAATTTTTACCCTAATAGTTACACTTAGCCCCTGCCTAGTAAGTATGTAGGCGTTTTGAACATGAACCTGATGTGTTTAAGGAACAGTGAGAATCTCACTGCCTTAGTTTGGGCAATCCCAAAATTAACTCTTGAGGCAAGAAACTGGAAAGCACAAATGAGCAATAGGGAAATGTGATAGGAAAGTCAGCGAGATAAAAGAGTATGTGTTAATGAGCAATATGCTCTTTTAGGCTAACAGTGTTAAATCCTTCAGGGACTACCTAAGACACTAAGTATAACAGGCATCAACATTCTCACTGAATGATATGAGGCTGTGTCATTTACCCAGGACTCCCATCTCTCATTATTGAGGGTTATCCTCAGAGTGGTTCTCTCTCCCAACTCTTTCCCCATACATTCACACATTTCTGGGTTACTTAGATGCAGAGAAACAAGCTCCTGATAACTTTGAGACAGCCCTTGAGCAAAGTCAATGTGAGAGTCAAACACTTAAAGTAGGAAGCTATCAGCCTGATGGGTAACAGAGCTTCAGATGAACTTAGGTGGAACAAGGGGATAGGAGATAGCATCTGTGGCAGAACCCTTCTAGTATTGTTCAGCTTTTTCATGCCTTACACGGAATCTTCTTTGTTGAAATTATTCAGCATTGTGCCAGTCAAAATCTCTCTCTCTCTCTCTCTCACACACACACACACACAGACACACACACAAACAAATAAAGCTTAAAGCAAAGAATTAATGAAATTGGTGTAGCTTGTTCTATGAGCATACCTGGACTCAATATAAATTTCCTTCACCCTTATATAGTACATCCACTGATCTAGAGTAAATTGCCCAGTGGGGTGAATAAAACTTTATTTCAGAAGGGTCAAAATCCCTGATCATCTGCTCTCAGCAGGCTGTGATGGGTACAATTACCCACTGAGTGTTATTACTAGGTACAGAAAGAGTAAGAGGCATCCTAGTGGACCCCTGAGTTCCAGTCACACTGCTCTCTAACCCCATTATATAGCAGCCATCCGAGATCTCAATCCTGGGAGTCAATCAACCCTTCCAGTATAAAAACTACTTTTTTTGTCCAGGGGTCTCTTAGCATGAGAACAAAAAAATGCATCTTTATGTTACTTTCACATATGTCCTTGTTGAAAATTTTACCACATATAGAGTTTCAGAGACCAGGACCCACAGCCCAGCAGAATCCATAGTTGTCAGGACAGGAAACACAAATATCCCAAGTGGGTCAATTAAAGTCTTACTTCCACACCCTTGGTTCCTGACCTTGTGTGTATTTTCATGTGTTTTAGCTATTGGGAAAACAGTACCTTACAATGTCTCTTGGTTTAATATTTATAATGCCTTTTATGGGACAGTACTCAAAACCTGTAAGAAATTTTTCCCAAGATTGCACTTTGACTGAAACTTAAAGAGGCATTTCCATATTTGCAATGATGATAATTTCTAAAAATTCACTGTGTGGTAGAACCAGTTGATCCCGTGAGTTTGTGCCCATTTTACCTCTTTTGCTTAAAACAGGTCTGTTTTATTAAAGTCATGTTATGTAAGACCTCATGTTGTAAATCAGATACTGTCTAAACTAATAGCAGTGCTGATATCAGCACTGAAGACAAGAAACCAACAGATACTGAGAATAGTATCAGTTCCAGTAAGAATAAATTGCTGCACCTTCAAAGATAGAAAGGATTTCATGTAATCAATTTGTCATGAAGGGCTGGTTAGTCTCCTCAAAGTACCCCATCTAGAACTTTAGACTGATTTTTGCTTCTGATAGATTGAACGTTCAGCAGCAACAATACTGCATCAACCTTCATGAAATGTAGTACTTACTGGCAGGCCTGTGTATAGCCTCCATTCCTGGCACCATGTATATTCTGATCATGTACCTACTAGGCAAGCAAGGGCTGAAGATCAGAGGCTGATCAACCTTCACCGAAAAAGCCATCCTACCTACCTGGCTTGTCTGTGCATTATCTGTGGAGGATATTTTCTTTGAGATCAGAAACAAATACATGTGTACCTTTAACCCAATCTAGACAGTTCATCCACATGACAGATCACCTTCACTCTTCCAATATTGCTTTTCAGGCTTCTGTGAATGACTGAACCATTTACCACTGCCCATTAATTCACATATATACTTTTCACTGACACCTTCTTCCAAACAAAGGAGATGATCAAGTATACTGATGAATTTATTACTCCTGGGAGGATTCTGCTCACCACTGGCAACTATGACCATACCTAATGGACTATAATGTAGCAAACATTCATTTTCAGTTAGTGCCAACACGTTCACAGATCCTTCTTCAAAGCAGGCCCAACATTATCTTCCTCCATCAGCTGGTCATACAGAACTCCTCATGAACCCATAGGTGTAAATTCAGGGAGAGTTGTCAGGGCAACCCACATAGGTAATGTAGGAGCCTGAGCCACCTACTTGTATAACTTACGTATGTATTCTGGACCAGGTTTGGCTTGATTCCTAGTATCCCACTTTCATCACATAATAGATTATTGCTGTACCTGCTATATCTTCTAAATTGGTGGATGTATGGCAAGTCCATGGTCATAACAGATGGCTTTGCTTGCAATGTCAATTGATGGCACTTGGTCAGGGGTTCAGTCTGTACTCTTCCTAGAAGCATTCCAGGAGTTTCTTTTCAAACAGCAAGTGATTATCCACTTCAGAATATATGGTTGTGCATTAGAAGTGTAGGGGTCTACGCTATATCTCTCCTATGTGGACTTGTCAGAGACGTCACACGGTATAGCTTCCATGAATACCTACAGCACCATTGGAACTGCTGAGTCATATGGCCTCAGTAGTAGGGAAATAAGGAATCTTGCTGGCACCACGACTTGAAAATACTGCAAACCCTTTCTTGTTTGAAACATAACCCACAATTCCCAGTCTTCACTCATTAAATTGTTAAGAGCAGTATTGGCATTTGTGATATGTATTCAGATAAACCAATGGATTAATTAAATAGCAGCTACTCCCTTTGTATCCTTTTTTTTTTTATTGAGACCTTGCACTCTGTCACCCAGGCTGGAATGCAGTGGCTTGATCTTGGCTTACTGCCAACTCAACCTCCAGGGCTCAGATGATCCTCTAACATCAGCCTCCTGAGTAGGTGGGACAACAGGTATATGCCACCATGGCTGGCTACCTTTTTAACATTTTGTCGAGATGGGGGGCTCACTATGTTTCCCAGGCTGGTCTTGGACTCCTGGGCTCAATTTATCCTCCTGCCTTGGCCCCTCAAAGTGCTGGAATTATAGGCATGAGCCACCATGCCCAGCTGTATCCTTTTAAGTCTTTGAGAATGGCACTAATCTCTGAAATTCTAATATGAATGTGTTATTGCCTCTGATATACTATTTCGGCCCATGAGATAGTTTCAGGAGCTTCCACATGGTTCTTCTACCATAACGACTCATTACATAGACCAGGAACCCATGTAGAGGGTTTTAGCAGCTGCTATGAATATCTATCCTAATTATGCATTCAGGAATCAGAGAGATAAACTTGGGCCATGCTCTATTTATTTCTTGGCTCTGCCTGCATCCATTCTAATAACAGGGGCATGAAGGTGTTTTGGGGACCACTGACATCAATGTCAGCTTAGATTCTATAGGCAATGACTCAGAGTATCTAAATATTACTTTGGGAAATGGGTGAAGGTCTCTTTGGAAAATGAGCAAATTGGGTAATATTTATTGTTAATTCTTGTGGTAGTGTTGCAGGGCTTCTTTCTGAAAATGGTTCCAGTCTCCCAGTTGATTGATGGGCTCTGAGTCTGATAAATGGCTCAGGACTAGACACTAGTGCAGCAGGGGCTACATGTCTTGGCTTGTGCTATACTGAGCTATGGTGGCAATAAAGAAAGGTAAGTTGTTCTTGAGAAAGAAAGTATTTTCAAGTGAAACATCTGAATCAAACGAAGCTATCACATGGTCCTTAAGTAATGCAATATTATTTCCTCTAACAAGAAGGAAGACATTCATTTTCAGGAGAATCTAGGTATTTCAAATGCATCCAGCCTAATATTCCAGGTTGCAGGGTTCCAATCCTTTCTTGTCTTGGGTATAAAACTGCAGGGTTGAGTATTCAGTCTCTCTAGTAGTTTTGCCACTTCTCCTATCAAACATTGGCCTGCTCTTCACCAGAATCTCCCCTCTAGCTGTAGCAGATACGGGTCTCTAAAAATGCCGACATAGAAGTTTTCTGGAAGGCACAGCACTCCCTGAGAAGATAGTTTGTTAATCTGAGACTTATATTCTTTTTCTTCATGGATTCCAGAGCATTTAAAAAATGCCAGCCAACTCCACCATCCTTATATTCACCTTTGACTTTATATGTTCCAAGTAATAGAACTTTTGTAGAAGCCAATGCTTGTCACTCCACCTCTACCTGGTCCCAATTTAACCTAGCACCAAATGTCATCCCCACCTCATATACCGCCCAGCAAAGTGATCCTTGCTTCCATCTCACTGACAAATGATCCAATTTTAGAGTCTAATGCTGAGGATCTGCTTTCAAGGGTCATTTCCAGTACTGTCTTGACTTTGGTTCCCCTAGAAAGCACACTTTTAGTCAAACACTTGGGTTCAAATAGTTTGGTGAGGTGATTCCAAGTAGTACATGTGAAGAGTGGGGAAGTACAAAGGGAGAAACACCACAACAAAGCACGTTAACAGGTCAAATATTGTTGATGTAGCTGGAACTCTATTTCACTGGAGAAGCCTTGAGAAACAATAAGAAAAAAATGTCTAAGAATTATCCCATTAGAGTGAGGGATATTTATCTACTGAGATATTTATCTACTAACTGATAGTGAGGCTGAGATATTTATCTACTAACTCTGATCCCCAATTATTTGAGGGTTGCCCAAGAGTTTTAACTCCTAGCATTTCAAGTTGCACCTGGTGAGGCACCCCAAACTCTGGCTTGGAAAAGAAAGCCCTTGGTCAAAGAGGAAGAGCCACAGGACATTGATGGGGAGAGATTTCAGAGTGCTGAGAGGTAGAACCAGTTGGGCTGAGAGAACATGCAGGAGCATCAGTAGCATTTGCTACATCAACAATGGCTGTAATTTACAGGATAAAAAGGTTGGCACAATCCTGGTTGTGAAGTGTCTTAAATTATGTGCCAAGAATCTGTCATTTCATCCTGAAAGTAATGGAAGGACATTACAGAATAATAGCAGAAGTGTGCTAGGTGTGGATTTTCATTGTAAATAAGTCTGTCTAGTAGACTGGTGGAAAGTAATCTGGAAAGACTAACACTAGAAGCAATAGGAAGAGATAGAAAGCTTCTATATTAGCACAAATTAGAGCTAATAAAGACCTCATCTACTAGGTAATGAAAAAGTAGATAGGCCTATAACTCAAATGAATAAAGAATTTAGAAACAAAACAATTGTCTTTATACTAAATGGTCAAGTTGAAAGAAAGCACGTATTTTTAGGATTACTTGAAATATACAGTAGGAAGAGACTGAGAAAGAAAACTTATCAGATTTCTTATTGTTATTGTGTCCTTTCATTTCAACAGTAGTGGAGGGTCTAACTAAATTACCCAGAGCAGTGTTTCTGAAACTGTGATACACATACACACCTCCTGAGGATGATCTTAATATGCCAATTCTTATTCAGTAGATCTGGAGAGGGGCTTAATAGTACACATTTTTAAGAAGATTCCAAGCAATGCTTATTATCTCACTTTGAGTATCGAGATGACAGAGTATTTTAGGATGACTTCATCTATTCTTATTCAAACTTAGGTGAAAACTTAAAAACAAATAAGTGTATTTTCTGAATGTTGCACTGTCCTTATCTGTGCTTTATGTATCTATATCACAAAATTGTCTGTTCATTAGGGTACAGATAAGTTGAAGCAGGGTCTAACTGACAACAAGCCCCATTCCGATACATTGCAAAATTCACAGAATAAGATTTCATAGGTTGAACTAACAATAACATAATTATTTAAAATACCTCCTGCAAGATTACAAAATAAAGGCAGTGATTCCTGGACCATTTTGGTTGCTTAAATAAATTTACAGAGTATTTTCATGCTGAAATACATACAAACTCACAATGTTAGATGTAAAAGTTGAGAGCTCATATCATTCAGTCTCATCAGTGTGGCACATAGAAGAGACAAACTGCTTTAAAATAAATAAATAATAAATAAAGGCCCTCATCTTGCAGATTAATTTTTTAACAAAGAACGAAATCATGGTATGTTTGCTGGGCAGCTGTATTTCAGTAGTATAGCTTTTACTTTGTTATTTTGCTTAAATGCCTATTGGTTTCACTAATTAGAAGTCAAAGAGATGAATCAGGCTGAATTTGCTTCACTAAAACACTTTTGGGATTTTCACTACTAGAGTCCTATCTCATTTGATGTATTAAAAATTTTCTCCATTATTAAATTTACAAAAATCTATTTAAGTAGGGGTATCTATATCAACTTGGGAAACTAGGATTTCAGGAAATGCCTTCAAGATGTAACTCAAATGAGACAAATTTGAGAAATGGCTGAATAATCCACCAACAGGAATAGAGAGGTCAACTGGAAGAATTCATAGAAATGACCTCAGAAAAAACAATCCCTTCGTTAGAGTAGCAGTGGCAGAATGTACTCAATTTCATTCAAGGGGCCAACTGATAAAAAGGCAAATCTTAATCCAAAAGTACTTTACTTTAGGAAACATTCAAAAAGTCAGCAGTTCACAATGAATGAGAGAACTAAGGGGGACCTACTTGTAGCTCATATTTGGTGTCCACAGACTCCAATGGCTACCTTATTTCTGACATTTAGGAAATAGAGATTCTAGGTAGAAGATGGTAAATTGAATAAATGCACCAATTCCTCCTACCACCAAATACACTCATGCATGTGCACACAAGATATGCTTAAAAATAGAACAATTGTTGGGCCATAAACTGTAAATAATTCTAAAAAGAAAGAAATGGAAACTGACGGAGGAAAGGAACACCTATGAAACTCAAAGGAAACTACTGTCGGAGATTGTAGTAGCGGTAGTCTAGGTACCACTCTTGTGAGGGGAGGCAAAGCTAAGACTGGGAGATTTGGAGGCAACCAGTAGAGGAGTTAGCTATTGCAGTAGGAGTCATTTTGTTCTCACCATTTCCAGATCACAATTAAGTGGGAGTTGCAAGGAAACCCTACATGCCAAAAACTGTGAGATGCATTAGATACTTCCTTCAAAGGAAAATGTGCTATCTTAAATGCAGTCGTTAAAAAACAAGGAGAATTTTTAGTTTTTAACTAAAAGGTATAGGAAAAGAACAACTGAGAGAAATTGGTGTTAAGATTTAAAAATAAAAGTAGATTTTAAAATGCAAAAATACCTAAGAATATTTTGAAAAAAAAAAGAACAAAGAGACTGTAATTGCCCTATAAGAGATTAAAATATACTATAAATCTTAAATATTTAAAAGTGGTATTGGCACATTAAAACATAAATAGATCATGGAAACTAAACTGTCATACAACATAAAGCCATACAGGAAAAGATTTACATATTAGACCACACAAGTAAAACTCACACGCGAGTAAAAGTACCATCAGGATGTTAAATTATAAGTGACTAAGAGAAGAAATTACAATATGTGCAACAAAGGATTAATATTCTTTATATATCAGAAATTCTTACAAAATATAAACAACTCAACAGAAAAAAAGAAAAGGATATGGACGGGGAATTCCCAGAAAATAAAATACAAATGGCTATTTAACATGTGAAAAGTGCTTGATCAGAGAAGAAATCTGGGAAATGAAGATTATGATAATGAGATATGATTTTCCTTATCAGTTTAGTCAAAGTTTGAAGGTTTGACAATTTCAAGTTTTGACAAGCAGAGAGGAAGAACTTTTAACACCACTGTGGAAGGTAATATCTCTATATCTATTAAGTTTTAAATAGATATTTGACTAGTACTGGCACTGTTTGATGACTAATCTAAAAAATAGCACTGCAAGCACCAAAAAAGCATGTTCAAATATGTTCATAATAGCATTGTTTTGAAAGCAAAAATTTAGAGAAAATCTAAAGTCAAAGACTCGAAAAAAAATTAAATTAACTGTGGCATTTAAAAACAATCATCACTACAGCTATTCACAGGGAAATGTCTCTAAGACCACATATTCTTGTGTCAAATGAAAAAAAATAGAAAAACAAGTATAGTGAGCTTCTATATATATATTTATATATATATATATACCAACTTATGCATATGTGTACATATATACATCAATTTATGTATATGTGCATACATGCATATATGTGCATATATATGTATGCGAGTATGTGTATATACATGTTTTATATCTCTATGAAACTTAATTGATAACAGTATATGGAATCCCTCAAATGATAACAAAGAAGGCTGTGATTTAGTGAATCTGGGAAGACAGTGCCAGAAGTCAGCAAAAAAAAGACTTTATTTATTAGGTAGGTGCAAAAGCAACTGTGGTTTTGCTATTACTTTGTTGTTGTTATTTTTGTCATTGTTTTGAGAGAGTCTCTCTCTGTCCCCCAAGCTGAAGTGCAGTGGTGTGATCTCTGCTCACTGCAACCTCGGCCTCCCGGGTTCAAGCTATTTTCCTGCCTCAGCCTCTTGTAACTGGGATTACAGGCACACACCACCACACCCGGCTAATTTTTTTGTATTTTTAGTAGAGATGGGGTTTCATCAAGTTGGCCAGGCTGATCTTGAACTCCTTACTGCAAGTGATCCACCTGCCTCAACCTCCCAAAGTGTTGGGATTACAGGCATGAGCCACCACGCCCGGCCATCATTACTTTTAAATAGCAAAAACCGCAATTAATTTTTTACCAACCTAATATTTTCCCTTTATTATTTAGAGAATATTTTTATTGTATAACTACCTTGATAATTATTAATGAATGCTGAAGAGATTGGTGGTCTTAGAAGCTCCGGGCATATTTTTAGTATGTGTATTATTTTAAATATATGCTTAGTTACATAAGTCATGAATAGAGACCATTTAACTAGAGAAACCTTAGGGAAATGTTATTAGTCAATGTAGTCACCTCCTCTCACCATATTATGCTGCCCAAAGGTGGAGGAAATAGGGATATGTCAAAAGAACAAAGGAGTCGACTGCCATACTTCCCAATGGTTACAGTGGGTTAATTTAAACATTGATCAATAGCCATTATCATTGGGTGTAACTGAAAGAATAAATATCCATGAGCCCATACTGACATAAATAAAAAAAAATAAATGGGAGTTCAGGACAGTTCTTCAGGTGGCCTTGTATTGGCCCAGTTCTCATCCCTTTCTTGCTTGCAGTTCTCAAGAATAACAGTAGAATGTACCAGGAATGCAATATTCTGAGATAGGGAGGAACTGTCCGGAAGAGCCTGGGACTTGTTCCTGTCCCTCTTAGGGAATGTAACACCTTGAGTGAGGAAGGAACTGCCCTGGACAGCCTACGCATTTTTCTCTTTCTGCTGGAGCAGGATGTCCTTTAAAGTTTTGCCCAGTGAGTCATGTGACCCCTGAGAAATATAACCTAGGGAGGCTGTTTTTTAGGGTCCCTCAGCTGTAGTGCAAGTGGGACAAGCACAGTCAAGAAATCACCTGTCTCAGATAGCTTTCTCGAGCCTTGGAGGACCTGCTCACAATAAAACCTGGGTTTCTTTTGACCCTTACTGCCTGTAAGTAGCAAATCTCCTTCACGTAACTTGTGTCTGAGTGTGTTCTGTCTCAACAGATTTGCACAAGTGGGTAACCAGTCCACAACAAGCCTGCTTCATTGGGGGTGGGGGAGAAAGATAAGTCTTTTTTTTTCTTGAGACAGAGTCTCACTCTGTTGCCAGGCTGGAGTGCAGTGGTATGATCTCGGCACACTGCAACCTCCGCCTCCTGGGTTCAAGCGATTCTCCTGCCTCAGTCCTCCGAGTAGCTGGGATAACAGGCACTTGCCACCATGCCCAGCTAATTTTTGTATTTTTAGTAGAGACAGTGTTTCACCATATTGGCCACGATGGTCTCGATCTCTTGACCTCGTGATCCATCCACCTCGGCCTCCCAAAGTGCTGGGATTACAGGCATGAGCCACCATGCCTGGCCAAGTTAAGTATTTGTTACAGAAATTACAATTAATAACTATGCAAGGAATGAAGAAAATAGAAAATCACCATGAGAATTTCACAGTAATAATTTCTGCAAGCAAGATTCGCTAATGAATGCTAACACTAGTGGGTAAAACTTCAGGAGAATCAGGATATTTATATAGCTTCAAAGTATCTTTGCCAAAATACATTGACTACTATGGTGGTTTTAACATATGACCACAATTCTTTTAATAGTCTTACCTCCAAATGATAAAGTTTAATTTGTCTCCACTTGAGTGTAGGCTGAACTTAGTAATTCCTTTCTGACAAATAGCGTTAAAAGAGAAAAATTATAACTTTGCAGAGGAAAAACCTAGCTAACACAACCTTAATCAAGGTTGGTGTCACCAGTTTTAAGTTGATATTAAGTGCTCCCTGGCATGATCTGTGGAGAAGAGGGTCTTAAAAGTTAGCTATCTCCATCTTAAACTACCTCTAATACAAAAGAAAGTGAAGAGTTAAGAGATAATAGCAGTACACTATATGAGAAATTACTGACCCTGAGCAAGAAACTTCACCTCTGTGAGTCTGTAGACTGGAAATAATACTATTTTACTGTTATCCAAGCTTCATATAAGGCACAGCATTAAGTATTAGAGTGATCTAATAATTAAACAAGCATTTAGTTTGCACTTTCTTCTTGGAAAGACAAAACAAAAACATTTAAATAAATTAGACAGCCTATGCAAAGGTGGGTTGTGTTGTGTGTGTTTGCATTTGTATGTGTGTGTTGAAATCGATAGAGTTGGAAGCAGAGAAGAAGCAGAAATTAAAACATATTCTCTGGGACACCTTCATCTCCAGATGTACATATGTGCAACAAAAGCAGTGGTTAAACAAAAACCGTACTGTCACATTGACCCTTCAGTTACATGCATCACTTCAAGATCTTATACAGTTAGAATTCTCTCATTTATTAGATTGAAAAAAATATCACAATATACCCATAGGATAAAAGTAGATTTCATTCTTATTTATCTATTTAAATATTGACCCTAAGTCTGTGTGGCCACCCATTGTTTTTTGGGATCTTGGATCCAATCACATTCTGATAAACTGTCTCATGCAGGTCAAAGTCTTCCTAAAGAAAAATGTATTTCTATTGCTATAAACTGTTCTTCTGTTTGAATGCTATTTTGAAAATATTACTCCCTCTCCTCAAGCTAAATGTATCCTCTCTCTTTCTAGAAATGCATCTTCATGATTATATTTGTATATTTTATTATTACTCTAATTGGTTTTTTAACTTGGCAAATTCTCTCAGATTGTATGTAAAGATGACTTTTCTTGAGGCTTACTTTTAATGTATGAGCCACACAATAATATTTAGCATTAGCTGCATGCCAAATATACCATAAAATGTGGTGATACAAACACGCTGATATTCAGACAAATAAAGCTAATAAAGGAAGACACATATTAAAATATTTTTAAAAATATAGTCACTAATCATCCTACAAAATTTTTTGAAGTCTTCTTTTGCTAGTTTTCTACTGAAACTTCTTGGTTATATTTTTCCATTAATGGTCTACCTAAAATAATGTCAAAAAATACTTCATATATTCATCACTTTTGGTGGGGCAATTGGCTGGCTGCCTATAATATATTTAGTAATATTTTAGTCAGAAAATAAAATGGTAATGGAATAAGGTCTTTTTATTCTACCTAGAGAATATCTCTGCCTCTGAATACATTTTAGAAAAACACTAAAAATAAATGATCACAATACTACCTACTAAGTGAGATCAGTGAATAGGTATGTGTGAGCTCTAGCCTATATGAAAATAACTAGAAACAAGTTTTTTTATAATTTGTTTAATTGATAACTAATCAGAGTTTTAAAATTTCAGCAGTTTTTGGTTCCAGGGATATAAAAAAGAATTACAGGGAATGATTTGGAGAAACAGAGAGAGTGAGCTTTCCCATAATGTAATCTTTGGTTACAAGATCATAGAAAAATAGTTTATTTAGATACTAATTTGTCTTTTGTTTCTGCTGTAATACCTCCCTTCTTTTACAATAAGGCAGTCAAGCTCTCCTTGGACAAATTTATATGCAGTAGCACATTGAAGAGACTTTGCTTGGTTGATGTGTAGCAGTAGGTGAGGAGGACAGAAAATAGAAAGAGGGAGAAAAAGAAGAGAAGAGATAATGTGAGAGAAATGGGGAATATTGCCAAGTCTGAGGAAGGGACAGAATCCGGTAGATAAAAACCAAGCTATCTTGTAGCCCATCATGGACAGCCCTGAGGAAGTCTCAGGACCAAAGAGGAAAATGGCTACAAGCAATCTAAGTAAGCTAGACCCTTGTCTCAGGGCTGGCATCATTTGCAAAGATATCTATGCTGAAGTATGGCATAACAGAAGTAAAACTGCTAGTTTGTGTGGAGCCACCACAACGCCTTAGAGAATTAGAAAGTTATTAGCTACCAAGATGCACTGAATACAAAAGAGGTCTTCCCCTGTTTATTGTCATATCAGTATTTTCATACCAGTTTTGTGGATTCTTGTACAATCCCAAGGCATGAGAGTATCTCAGTCCCCATTCCTAACAAAAAACTGTGGAATTACTTAAGAATTTGAGTTGACAAGTAAGACTAATGATGTTTTCACATGGTTTTATGATCACAAATTAAGTTTTCAAATGTTTCCTATTTTATTTCCTCATTGATTGGTAATTATTATGGACTAAGTATTTGCATCCCCTCAATACTCTTATGTTAGAAACTAATCCCTAAAGTGAGGATATTTAGAGGTGGGGGAGGTGATTAGGACATCAGAGGGGAGTCCTCATGAATGGGATTAGTACCTTTATAAAAGAGACCCCAGAGAGATCCCTTACCCCTTCCACCATCTGATAACACAGCCAGAGGTCAGCCATCTATGACCCAGGAAGCAGGCCCTTACTAGATTCTGAATCTGATGGTACCTTGATCTTGGGTTTACTAGCCTCCAGAACTGTAAGAAATAAATTTCTGTTTTATATAAGCTGTGCAATCAGGGTTTTTTTTGTTTTAGCAGCCAAAATGGACTAAGATAGAAATGAATATTTCATATACTCACCATGGTTCTGTTGAACACTCGGTTTCTCTTATTGTTTATAATTTACTATTCTATGTTCTAAAATTTTAAGTGTTCTATCTCATACACACACACAGCCTCCAGTTTGTCGTTCTTTTCCACTGCTCCAGCACGTGGGCTTTGTGGATTTATCTCTCTTCAAATAAATGGAAACTGACAATAATGGGTCAGTTTATGTCTTTGCAGTGGTGCTTTCCCTTCCATTTTAAAGTTAATGCTGTGTGTACCAAGTACCCCTTCCTTGTACTGGCACTCCCTGGTTTAAGAAACCAAATAATTCTTTAAAATAACATGAACTGTGATTCTACTATCAAGAAGAAATCTCTCAGTGAAAGAAATTCTTTTTGGAGAAGGATTAATGAGCACTTTGCTCTGCATGGCTGCTAGGATAGGAAGCATGTGGTTTCCTTTCAAGCAGAGATCTTCCTCTTTCATTTTTGAAGTTTCAAAGATTGAGGAGACAATCACTGGTAACCTCTGTCCTAGAAAGTTGCTATTATAACTAATATGTCTATCTGCATCGTGTTTAATATATGAGGTAAATGGCAGCTGCCTGATCTCTAGCATCACAACATGATATGTTGTTATTATTTGCCCTGGAAAAATTCTCTAAGTATTCATTTATTTTTTCAGGCAATAAATATTTATTGAATTGCTATACTAAGAAAGGTATAATTTTTAACCTTAGATATTTAGAATAGCAAAGAGGCCAGTTGTTAAAAATGTTTGATGAGATCAGAGAATCAGGGCCAAATTATGTAAGGCTGGGAAGCCATTATAATGAAACGGCTTTGAACTCCGAACAAGTAAGTAAGTCACTAGAGAGTTTAGGCCAGAGGAGTGTTATAGTTTCACCTTATAGTTAAAAGGATCACTCTGGCTACTTTTGAGAGCCAACTCTACCGAGGAAAGGTTGAAAAGAGAAAATCAGGGTAGGAGGCTTTTATAATAATCTAGGTAAGAAATGACAATGGCTTGAGCTAGGTATTAGCAGTGGAGGTGGTGAGCAGGTTTTGTATTCTTGATAGATTTTAAAAATTAATAGAATTTACACATGTATTTGAATTTGATGTGGGATGTGAGAGAAAAAAAGAGTCAAAGATGGCTCCACTATCTCTGGGCTGATTTACTAGAAGAATGAAGGTGATATTTACAGCCATTTAATGCAATGGAAATCTGGAAATTAGGCTTTAAAGATGTTGGGTTGAGCTATCAGCCATCTTAGTGGAGACATCAAGTAGGAGTTAGAGAAACAATCTTAAATTCAATGGCAAAGTCTACGATATAAATTTAGATAAGTTTCTAAAAATGCAAGCTTGGGAGATACCATAGTATAAAGTATATCTAAAGCCATTAAGTTGAATACAATGACTAAAAAGTGACTATAGATGGCCAAAGAAAAACCTGAGATTCGCGGTCCGAGAGCTCCAATATTTAGAGGTAAGAGAGATGAGGAAGACCAAGCAAATAAAACTAACAAGGAGTGCAAAATGAGATAGGAGAAAAATCTAGGGCAGTGTGGTGTCCTGTAAACCACATTTATAACAGTGTTTACGGGAGGAGAGAGTACTTGTCTATATCAAATGCTGTAGCTAAGTCAAGTCAAAGACTGAAATTTGACAAATGAATCAACCTGCAGGTCACAGATGACTTTGAGGAGAGCAGTTTTAGTGGGATGGTGGTGGCAAAAGCCTGATTTGGATACCTTGAAGACAGAAGAGAATGAGAGAAATTAGAGACATTTCCTGTGGTATTGAGCAGAAGGCCCAAGCGGGATTTTTGACATTTATTAAAATATATGCACATGGGAAAAACTGAAGAGAACATTCATCAGTGAGAAGCCAGGTGGCAATGACACCTTGAGACCTAACATATCGTTTTGTAAGTCCTCTTTTATGTGTGCATATAGTCCTCTGCCTTTCCAAAAAATGTTTTGTGATCCACAGGAAAGGAGGATTACTCACACATAAACCAACATATATAATATTTATATACCATCTACTGCATATTTTGTGCATTTATATGTTACATATAAATAAATAGACTTCGAGAATTTTTTAAATACAAAATTCTTTCAAAGCTGTGTGGCAAAGTAGGGGCCCGATGAATGGAGGTGGTAACTGGAAGAGAATTGAGAGTAAATGAGTTTTGTTTTTTTTTTTTTTTTCAAAGTTATGGGGTAGATGTGTAGGATGTGCAGGTTTGTTACATAGGTAAACATGTGCCATGGTGGCTTGCTGCACCTATCAACCCATCGCCTAGGTATTAAGCCCAGCATGCATTAGCTATTTTTCCTAATGCTCTCCCTCCCCCAACCCCACTCCTTCACGGCCCCAGTGTGTGTTGTTCCCCTCCCTGTGTCCCTGTGTTCTCATTGTTCAGCTCCCACCTATAAGTGAGAACATGTGGAGTTCAGTGATCTGTCTTCTGTTTCTGCATTAGTTTGCTGAGGATAATGGCTGCCAGCTCCACCCATGTCCCTGCAAAAGACATGATCTTGTTTCTTTTTATGGCTGCACAGTATTTCATGGTATATAGGCACCACATTTTCTTTATCCAATCTATCATTGATGGGCATTTATGTTGATTCCGTGACTTCGCTATTGTGAATACTGCTGCAACAAACATACATTTGCATGTATCTTTGTAATAGAATGATTTATATTCCTTTGGGTGTATACCCAGTAATGGGATTGCTGGGTCAAATGGTGTTTCTGCACGTAGGTCTTTGAGGAATTGCCACTCCATCTTCCACGATGGTTGAACTAATTTACATTCTGACCAACAGTGTAAATTGTTCCCATTTCTCCGCAACCTCCCCAGCATGTATTGTTTTTTGACTTTTTAATGATCGCCATTCTGCCTGGCATGAGATGGTATCTCATAGTGGTTTTGATTTGCTTTTCTCTAATATTCAATGACGTTGAGCTTTTTTACATGTTTGTTGACTGAATGAATGTCTTTTTTGAGAAGGGTCTGTTCACCTCCTTTGCCCATTTTTTAATGGGGTTTTTTGTTTTTTATTTTCTGGTAAATTTGTTTGAGTTCCTTGTGGCTTATGGATATGAGACCTCTGTCAGATGGATAGATTGCAAAAGTTTTCCCCAAATCTGTAGATGGCCTGCTCACTCTGATGATAGTTTCTTTTGCTGGGTAGAAGCTCTTTAGTTTAATTAGATCCCACTTGTCGATTTTTGCTTTTGTTGCAATTGCTTTTTGTGATTTTGTCATAAAATGTTTGCTCATGCCTATGTCCTGAATGGTATTGCTTAGATTTTCTTCCAGGGTTTTTATAATTTGGGGTTTTACATTTGAGCCTTTAATGTATCTTGAGTTAATTTTTGCATAAGGTGTAAGGAAGGGGTCCAGTTTCAATTTTCTGCATATGGCTAGCCAGTTCTCCCAGCACTGTTTATTAAATAGGGAACCCTTTCCTCATTGCTTATTTTCTTCAGGTTTGTCTAAGATCGGATGGTTGTAGATGTGCAGTCTTACTTCTGAGTTCTCTCTTCTGGTCTGTTGGTCTATGTGTCTGTTTTTGGACCAGTACCATGCTGTTTTGGTTTCTGTAGCCTTGTAGTATGGTTCGAAGTCTGGTAGCATGATGCCTCCAGCTTTATTCTTTTGCTTAGGATTGTCTTGGCTATATGAGCATTTTTTGGTTCCAAATGAATTTTAAAACAGTTTATCCTAATTTTGTGAAGAATGTCAATGGTAGTTAAATGGGAATAGCATTGAATCTATAAATTACTTTGGGCAGTATGGCCTTTTTCATGATATTGATTCTTCCTATCCATGAGCATAGAATATTTTTCCGCTTGTTTGTGTCCTCTCTAATTTCCTCAGGCAGTGGTTTGTAGTTCTCCTTCAAGAGGTCATTTACTTCCCTTGTTAGCTGTATTCCTAGGTATTTTAATCTCTGTAGCAATTGTAAATGGGAGTTCATTCACTATTTGGCTCTCTGCTTGCCTGTTGTTTGTGTATAGAAATGCTTGTGACTTTTGCACATTGATTTTATATACTGAGACTGCCAAAGTTGCTTATCGCCTTAAGAAGCTTTTGGGTTGAGACAATGGTGTTTCCTAGATATAGGATCATGTCATCTGCAAACAAAGACAATTCAACTTCCTCTCTTCCAATCTGAATACACTTTATTTCTTTCCCTTGCCTGATTGTCCTGGCCAGAACTTCCAATACTATGTTGAATAGGAGTGGCGAGAGTGGACACCTTTGTCTTGTGCCAGTTTTCAAGGGGAATGCTTCCAGCTTTTGGCCATTCAGTATGATATTGGCTGTGGGTTTCTCATAAATGGCTCTTATTATTTTGAGGTATATTCCTTCAATACCTAGTTTATTGAGAATTTTTAACATAAACGGATGTTGAATTTTACTGAAGGCCTTCTCTGCATCTTATGAGATAATGATGTGGTTTTGTCTTTAGATCTGTTTGTCGATTTGCATATGCTGAACCAGTCTTCTATCTAGGGGATGAAGCCAACTTGATTGTGCTGGATAAGCTTTTTAATGTGCTGCCATATTCGGATTTTCAATATATTATAGATAATTTTTACATCGATGTTCATCAGGAATATTGGCCTGAAGTTTTTTTTGTTGTTGTTATATCTCTGCCAGGTTTTGGTATTGGGATGATGCTGGTCTCATACAATGAGCTAGGGAGGAGTCCCTCCTTTCAATTGTTGAGAATAGTTTCAGAAGAAAGGGTATCAGCTTCTCTTTGTACTTCTCATAGAATTCAGCTGTAAATCTATCTGGTCCTGGGCTTTTTTTTGTTGTTGTTGGTAGGCTATTTATTACTGCCTCAATATCAGCACTTGTTATTGGTCTATTCAGGGATTCAACTTCTTCCTGGTTCAGTCCTAAGAGGATGTATGTGTCCAGGAATTTATTCATTTCTTCTGGATTTATTTAGTTTATTTGCATTGAGGTATTTATAGTACTCTCTGATGGTTGTTTCTATTTTTGTGGCGTGGTGGTGATAACCGCTTTATCATTTTTTATTGTGTCTATTTGATTCCTCTCTCTTTTCTTCTTTAGTCTAGCTACCAGTCTATTTTATGAATTTTTTCACAAACCAGCTTATGGATTCATTGATTTTTTTGAAGGGTTTTTCGTGTCTCTATCTCCTTCAGTTCCACTCTGAGCTTGGTTACTTCTTGTCTTTTGCTAGCTTTGGGATTTGTTTGCTCTTGGTTCTCTAGTTCTTTTAGTTGTGATATTAGGGTGTCAATTTGAGATCTTTCTAGCTTTTTGACGTGGGCATTTAATGCTATAAATTTTCCTCTTAACACTGTTTCAGCTGCATCCCAGAGATTCTGGTACATTGTTTCTTCGTTCTCATTGGTTTCAAAGAGCTTCTTGATTTCTGCCTTAATTTTATTATGTACCCAGGAGTCATTCAGGAGCAGGTTGTTCAATTTCCATGTAGTTGTGTGGCTTTGCATGAGTTTCTTAATCTTGAGTTCTAATTTGATTGTGCTGTGGTCAGAGAGACTGCTGTGATTTCAGTTCTTTTGCATTTGCTGAGGAGTGATTTACTTCCACTTATGTGATCAGTTCTAGAGTAAGTGCCATGTGGCACTGAGAAGAATGAACATTCTCTTATTATGGGATGAGAGTTCTGCAGATATCTATCAGGTCCACTTGACCCAGAGCTGAACTGACGTCCTGAATATCTTTGTTAATTTTCTGTCTCAATGATCTGTCTAATATTGACAGTCAGGTGTTAAAGTCTCCTGCTACTATTGTGTGGGAGTTTAAGTCTCTTTATAGGTCTCTAAGAACTTGTTTTATGGGCTGGGTGCGGTGGCTCATGCCTGTAATCCCAGCACTTTGGGAGGCCAAGGTGGGAAGATCACTTGAGGTCAAGAGTTTCAGACCAGCCTGGCCAACATGGTGAAACTTCATCTCTACCAAAAATGTAAAAATTAGCTGGGTGTGGTGGCACATGCCTGTAATCTCAGGTACTTGGGAGGCTGAGGCAGGAGAATCACTTGAACCCAGGAGACAGAGGTAGCAGTGAGCCAAGATCGTGCCACTGCACTCCAGCCTGGGCAACAGAGTGAGACTCTGTCTCAAATAATAATAATAAAGAAATAATAACTTATTTAATGAATCCGGGTGCTCCTCTATCAGGTGCATTTATATTTAGGATCGCGCTTCTTGTTGAATTAATCCCTTTACCATTATGTAATCCTGTTCTTTGTCTTTTTTTTTTATCTTTGTTGGCTTAAAGTCTGTTTTGTCAGCAACTGCAACCCCTGCTTTTTTCTCTTTTCCATTTGCTTGGTAAGTTTTCCTTCATCCTTTTATTTTGAGTCTATGTGTATCTTTGCATTTGAGATGGGTCTCTTGAATACAGCACACCGATGGATCTTGACTCTATCCAGCTTGCCATTCTGTGTCTTTTAATTGGGGCATTTAGCATTTAAGGTTATATCATTATGTGTGAATTTGACCCTGTCATCCTGATGCTAGCTGGCTATTTTTCAGACTTGTTTACGTAGCTGCCTCATAGTGTCATTGGTCTGTATACTTCAGTGTGTTTTTTTAGTGGCTAGTAACAGTTTTTCCTTTCCATATTTAGTGCTTCCTTCAAGAGCTCTTGCAAGACAGGCCTGGTGGTGATAAATTCTGTCGGCATTTGCTTGTCTGAAAAAGATTTTATTTCTTTCTGCTTATGAAGCTTAGTTTGGCTGGATTTTAAAAAATCTAGATTGGAAATTATTTTCTTTAAAAATGTTGAATATTGGCACCCAATCTCTCCTTGCTTGTAGGGTTTCCACTGACAGGTCTGCTGTTAGTCTGATGGGCTTCCCTTTACAGGTAACCTGGCCTTTCTCTCTGGCTGCCCTTAATATTTTTTCCTTCATTTCGACCTTAGAGAATCTGATGATTATGTGTCTTGGGGTTGATCTTCTTGTGGAGTATCTTACCAGGATTCTCTGGATTTCCTGAATTTGAATGTTATCCTGAAGTGCGTTTTCCAACATGGTTCCATTCTCCCTGTCTCTTTCAGGTACCCCTATCAGTCATAGGTTTAGTCTTTTAACATAATCCCATAGTTCTTGGAAGTTTTATTCATTCCTTTTCATTCTTTTTTCTCTGATCTTGTCTGCTTACCTTATTTCAGCAAGATAGACTTCAAGCTCTGATATCCTTTCTTCTGCTTGGTCTATTGAGCTATTGATACTTGTGTTTGCATTGTGAAGTTCTCGTGTTGTATTTTATCAGCTCCATCAGGTCATTTATGTTTCTCTCTAAACTGTTTATTCTAGTTAACAGCTCCTGTAATGTTTTCTCATGGCTCTTAGCTTCTTTGCAATGGTTAGAATATACTCCTTTCTTTCAGTGAAGTTCATTATTGCTCGTCTTTTAAAGCCTACTTCTGCCAATTCACCCATCTCAGCCTCAGCCCAGTTCTTTGCCCTAACTGGAGACATGTTGAAATCATTTGGAGGAGAAGAGATACTCTTGTTTTTTGAGTTTTCAGCATTTTTGCATTGATTCATTCTCATTTTCATGGATTTATCTACCTTTGATCTTTGAGGCTGCTGAGCTTTGGATGGGGTTTTGTGGGGTCTTTTTCATTGATGTTGCTGTTGTTGTTTTCTGTTTTACTTTTAGCAGTAAGATCCCTCTTCCATAGAGCTGCTATAGTTTGCTGAGGGTCCACCCCAGACTCTATTCACCTAGGTTCCTCCTGCTTCTGGAGGTATCACCAGTGGAGGCTGCAGAACAGCAAAGATGGCAACCTGCTCCTTCCTATGGGAGCTCTGTCCCAGATGGGCACTGACCTGATGCTGGCCGGAATGCTCCTATATGAAGTGTCCGGAGACTCCTATTGGGAATTCTTAAATTCTTAAATAAGCAGAGTAGGTGTGCTGCACTGGGGGGAAATCCCCCTCGTCTGGGCTGCCCTGACTCCCCAGAAAAGCAAGCAGAAAATACTAAGACCACTGATCCATGATACCACAGCCACCCCTCCTCCTAGGGGCTCTTCTCAGGGATATCAGAGTTCTGTCCATAAACCTCTGGCTGAGGATGATGAAATTCTCACAGGGAGGCTCCCCGCCACGGTGAGGAGGAGACAATTGGGGTCCCACTTAAAGAAGCAGTCTGGCCACAATCCCTCACTGCCTCCTTTGGCTGGGGGAAGGAGTTCCCTTTGCCCTGTGCTGCTCCCAGTGGGCCCTCGCTCCATCCTGCTTTTCCTCACTCTCCGTGGGTCACCCCAACCGCCTAGTCAGTCTCAGTGAAGAATCTTGGTACCTCAATTGAAGATACAGAATTCACTCACCGTTTTCATCCTTCTCAGTGGGAGCTGCAGAGTGGAGCTGTTTCTATTAGGCCATCTTGGCCGCTCCTCCAAATTAGTTATTTTTCAGATGAAATAAACCAAATCATATCAACATGACTGAATTTCTTTGTTCTTAAGAAATATCAATAAAGAGAGTAAAACATATGTGCTTTTTACAAAATCTCTACTTAAAATATCTGCTTTGAGTAGATGTCTAGATAAAGACTGCTCTAGATAAACACCAAGCTATCTCTATGTGCTCTCACACCATCTTGAATTTCCCTTATTTTAGTTTTTATCACACTTAGGATTAGTGCTTATATAAATAACTTTCTCAATAGATTTTATGTTCTATAAAGGCAGAAACCAAATCTATCTTGCTTACTAAAGTATCCTCAGAAATGATACATAATAGTTGCTTAGTAAATATTTTTAATGCATTAATAAACAAATAAGAGAATTGAAGAAATATAGTGAGTCTTAACCATAAATGCTGGAAACGTGATAGCTACAATACTTAATATATCAAATTTCCAAAGTTTATGTAGAGTTAAAAATTATTGCACAAAATAAAACATTATCAAATGAATTCAGAATACTGAACAGTAGTACAGAGTACAAATGCTAAATTAAAATTTTATTCATCCTGGAACTGTAAGTAAAACTCATGGGTGAAAGAATTATTGCTAGTTTTTTAATAAGAGTAATAAGTATGCTTTTGCAAATTATTTCTTCATACGATCAGAGGGATAACTGATAACAAATGGCTCTTACTATTTTAAATTATTATTGGCACTTTATTTCTTCTCTACCTACTTTGCATGTTATACTTACACTGCAACATAGATGAAATAAATCTTATGCACTATGCCCTCCATTATGGCAGACTGTTTTGTTTTTTGTTTTTGTTTTTGTTTTTTGCCCAAGTCCGTCTTCTTCTTCCTCTACAGTAATAGATTTATTTGCTCAAATAGCTACCAGACACTCTCAATTTCCAGTTTCCCAGTAGCCAGGCAACTAAATTATCTTCATTCTGGAATAATGAAAGTGATGTAAGTCATTCCCTGAAAGATCTTTAAACAAGTAGGGTCTCTGTCCCACTGTCCCTGGCCTGTTCTTTTATCTCTTCCCATTAGCTGAAATGATGATGACCATAGGAACCTTGGAAGCCCCAAGTTAAGCCAGGATACTAGTTTTCTATTGCTGTTGTAACAAGTTTCCACAGTTCAGTGGCTTAAAACAACACAAATTTATCATTTTACAGTTCTTGAGATCAGAAGTCTAAAATCAGTCTCATTGACCTAAAGTTAAGATGTCTACAGGGATGGTCTCTTCTGCATGCTCTAGGGCAGAATCTTCCTTGCTTTTAGAGGATCTGGAGGCAACTTGCTTTTCTTGGTTAGTGGTCCCTTGCTCTATATTTAAATCCAGCAGTATATATCACCTTTAAATGTCTCTCTCAATCTCTGACCTTTGCTTCCATTGTCACATTGCCTTCTCTACTCTGACCTTCCTGACTCCCTCTTATAAAGACCATGATAATTACATAGGGCCCACCTGGACAATCTGGGGTAATCCCATCTCAATATGTTCAACTTAATGACATCTGCAAAATTTCTTTTGCCATGTAAAGTCACGTGTTCACAGGTTGCAGGGATTACGATGCCAACATTTTTGTAGGGGGACATTACTTGACTTGCCACAGCATCCAACAACCTAAGTCTCTAAATGCTCTGATGGAGCAGAGCCACCCATCAATGTATGAATGATCATACTGTTACTAAAGGCACTTACTAAAAGACACATTTCTTTGTTCTATAAACCACTGAATTTGGAGTGGTGTGGTGGTCACTTTGTTACATCAATCTTGCCTGCCCTAATGCATCTGTTTTGCAGCTCTGTATATGATAGCATAGAACATGTAGAATTGTTAATGTGATTAACCATAGAAATTAATAATATTTCTATATGCGTAAGCCATTATCTCATAATAATGCAGCATTTACTGTGTTAATTTGTAACTTAGTGTTTATTTTCCAGATAAATTTCATTTAAAATGAAGACTTTTTTAAAAAGTCACCTTAGAAATTAGATGTAATTTTAGGCTGTGGTCCTGTGTAAGTGTTGAAATTGATGATCTTGACCTTTGGATTCCAGATGGATCATTAAAAAAAAAATCCTGCCAGTTATTCTCTAATTTCATACTGTGCACTCCATCTGTTACCCCACTTGCTTTGGTTGGGGGCTGCTGGTCTGGCTCACTCTCTACTACTCCACAGAGATAAAACTTAGCTGAAATTTACACATATTATAACATATAATAGAAGAATTCTAGACTACCTAGTCTAATAAGCATAAAAAACCAATTAGATTAACCAACAAGTCCTAAGTTTTAGAGGGAATACTTTCAGTGCTTGCACATGTGTTTTAAATTTAGGTTGGAATTCAGATCCAGAGCATTTATGAATTTAATTTGAAAGCTTCTGAATTTATAATAGAAGCTTTTAACAAGCATATAGTCAAAAAACACTGTAAATGTCTAGAGGTACTAAGCCAGTCCCTAAGAAGCAATCAGAATTGGATGTATTGCTGCAGTATCCAATTTGGCGAGTCAGCTCATTGTCTCATTCACAGTTATTATTCTGCAACAAAATAATTGTTTAAAAAACTTAAAATAAGTTTCCAAAAATAGGCATGTTCTTACTTTTACTAATGAGGACAAATATTCAGGAAATAAAACAAAGGCAATATGCTTCTATTTTAGATAGTGAGGACTTGGATCTCCTGCATCCTGTGCATTTCCTGCCACATGAGAAATTCTCTCTGAATGTGTGCTTAACTAGCTATCTTAACTAGAAACTATATAACTAAATCCATAATGTTCACTATGGCAACGAATAAAGCATAGGGTAGCAGATTAAAGAAGTGACATTTTTTTCACACACTGCACTATTTACTGTAGAAATATATACAAGGTTCTGAACCCACTTTGTGTTTCACTACTTCATGGCCAACATGTGGTGAAATACAGATGGTATGAATAAGAGCAGTTAGAATATGAATACAATTGAAATGCAGAAGTGGTGCATTCTTCTGCCACCATTCTAGAATAGGCTTTAAAAAAAAGAAAAGAAAAAAAAAAGACTAGCCAAAGACAGCAACTGTAGAATTATAGTTTTTGCCACTTTTTTTTTTTTTTTGGCCTCCTCCTAAAACATTCCTCCCTCAGTGTCAATCTTCAGCTCACACATGCTTTGGTGAGTCATTTAAAGTGTGAAATCTATTTTATTGAAGAAAGAAAATCTTTAAGTATAACATAATTTTCAGAAAGGAAGTCTTTTGTATAAGATATAACAAGACCAAGGGAGTGGCAGATACAGTGGGGATGCAGTCACTATCTACGCTTTGTCTACTACTGGAATTCAGCAGTGACATTTACAACAGACTGGGGCTGGGGAGGAAAGAAGAGGCAAAATGAAGATAAAATGATGTTTGACTGGGAGCTGGAATATTGGCTCAGGTCCAAGAATTTACATATGAACTACATGGGGCTACAAGCAGAGGCCCCTCTTACCCTGGGCTTTGCCACTCATTCATGGCTTTGCTGCTCAAGTGAAAATGTGCTTTGAGGGTTGAAGAATGCATGGATTTGGTAACTGCAGTATGTACATAATGGAAGGGAATGTCAGGAGACAACATCCTTGGCACAAACATCCGTGACTTTATAGAGAATGCTACCTGCAGAGGACCTCAAGTGACTATTATCTGTGGCCATCAGTTGGAACTACAGTGAAGAATATGATGAGTTCCATTGGTAGTAGAAATAGTCTTCATAAACCCAAAGACTCCCAGAATAAATAGAGTAAGAGTTTTAAGAGAACTGTTCATCACATATAAGCAGATTAAGGTAAAAGTTGGTGACAGACTGGTTACCGCTAAATACAGGTTTGGGAAACAGGATTAAGCTCCAGGACAAGCTAGAGAATTCAAGGGCAAATGGCTTTTACTATGGATTTTTTTCAGATTATAGCTTGGAAAGACAATAGTCAAAGGAAAATAGGAAAATTTAGACTACGAGTGATGGTATCGCTCTGTTAAAATATCAGAGAACTTAAAGCACTAAAATACAACATATCTGATTCAAATATTATTGAAAAAGCTTCAAATTTAAACATATAGTAAATAATAAACAAGGAGGCAATATTTTTTTCAATCTTCAGAAAATTGCAATCAAGGTAATGGGATTATAGGTAGAAAACTCCATCTGTGATTTTAGCATATAATGCAGAAAATAAAGGATTTGAGCACACAAAATGTTTGCTTTATTTTGAATTATAACAGGGGTTGCTGTCTCTGCCAGAAATCTTGTGTTCTGAATACATTTCCAGATGCAGTTCTGTTGGACTAACTGAACCACAATGAATCATTTCCCTCTGGATAGCCTAGGATTCAGGTGTACCAGGCAGTAATAGTCTGTATGATAATGAATAGAATCAGCCTCCGTGTACTGTTTTATGTACAATCATAACTTCAGCTAGGATATTCATTTAGTTTAGGAAAGTATGGAGTCCAGGAGTCTTGACTTAAAATTTTCATGTTCCCTCTGACCTCAAACAGATTTCAAAACATATTATTACTGCGTCCCTCCCTACAGGCCACACATGAAGTTCCTGAGTGTGGCAGTTAGCCCCAACTCCCCCAGATACCTATGATATTACCCTATCTCACTTTTTGATAATCACCTTTGGTGTGGAAATAAAGTCAACAACAACAACAAATTCCACAATGCTTACTAATGCATCACTTTCTCATCTTGCTCACAGAGATAGGGACTTCTCACATTTTCTCAAATATCCCATGCCTGACATCAATTCTTCCAGCTTTCTTAAGGCCATTTACTAAACTACAATTCATTTGCATCATTCCTGTAGGAAATTTTTAATTTCTTCAAAACCACTCTTTTGCCAAGAAAGGTATGATTTGAAAGTGGCAGCAAACATGGTATGTTTGCTGCTGAACTCAGGCAGGGCTACACAGAATAGCAGAAAGAGCAGACTCTAAAGTTAGAAGACTGCAGTTCATTCTCAACTCTACACTCACTAGCAGCAGGATTTCTGTGCAAATCACTCAATCTCCTTACACTCTCCATTTCCTTACTTAAATAGGAATTCAAATCCTGCCTATGCCCACTTCAAATTGCAAGGTCCGCATATGTGCCTATTCTAGAATCTGTAAAGTGCCATAAAGCATATGATTTTTACAAATACATAATGTGTCCTTAAAAGCAATTCTCTAGGTCAGTTTCCTGTACATTATAACTGCCTCTCCCCGATATGTGGGGTTTTTTTCTGTCATGTTTGCTGGCCTGTGACTGGCAAGCAATTACAATGAGTAATTCCATTTTGGAGAAGATAATAAAGCGTGATATCGTAACTACCCACAGAGCCTCAAAAGTATTTATGTTTCCTCTAATAACCTGGTGTGATGCTGTTAATCTTGACAAAGCCTGCCTGGCAGGTGCTGGGGAGCTGAATCTTCATATTCTCTCACTGTTTGCTGACTCTTCCACAGGGAAGACTCCGAGCTATTAAAATGCAATGGCCCTGCTCTATTTTTAATTACATTTAGTTTATTAGAGGAACAATCCGAAGCATAGCAAATACTGGGAACTGACTTCCCCCTATTACCTCAATGAAGGCCTGGAACATTTCATCATTTACAAAATGGGTCATGGGGAGCTATTTCTTCACCAAGGTAAGTTAAAACACAATTTAAAGGAGTAACAGAAATGTATCACTTCCAGAGGGATCCAATTCTTCACTGACAATTTCCCCTTCGACCTAGTTAACATTTTTGTTCTAAAACTTATTATAAACTTTATGTAAATAAGTAGGTATGCATCAGGATGAAACTTCAAACTTCTCTCTTCCATATCAATTGCAGTCACCATGAAATAAACCAGAAATGTGTAATATATAATAATTTCTTTAGAAGAACTTCGCAGGTTGTAAGATATCAGTACATATAATTCCCACAGTTCTGAGGACAATATGCTGTGTTTCTCGGTTGACCAAATCAATCCACTTCCTTTCAATACACAATATTATAAAAGCTGTAATTTCATGTATTATTATGTGCAAATAGAATTTTAAAAAATGCCCTCTATCTTATTTATAAAGAAAGGCATATACCATAGAAGAAATATATATTTTCCACATTTATCATAAAGTTGTTTTCCAATCCCATTTGTGAACTGAGTCTATACTTTGGGCAAACGGCCATTATCTTTAATCATCTAGAGCAGCCAGAACATGGCAGGGTGTGAAATACAGATTGTATGTTTTTTCCCCTCTCCTTTTCTCTTTTGAGAAGGGGGTTGTGTTATTGTTTCCAAAGCCTGTGTAGGGCTATTGTAACACACAGCAGAGATGCAAACGGAGCAAATGGCTAAAGAAACTATTAGAGAATGGGCTAGGTAGGGGTGCTTTGTTTGAAAGAATCAAGCATGGGGTTGTACATTTTTGTTTTGTTTTGTTAAATATTAAACACTGCCCTGGTGAATATTTTGGTTTCTCTTTAATCCCCAGGAACTCTTATTTTTTTTTAAAAAGTAATCAATGACCCCCCCCAATACATTAAATCACACTTAATAAAGGGAAAATAGTACTTATAAAGGATTTAATTCTATTTTGCAACCTTAGAAAATTTGAAAAAACAAGTTTTTGTATATGCTCAGAAGTTTGGTTTGCTTAGATCTGATTTCCTCTTTTAGAAATGTGCTTTTGTTTCCTTCATCTTTTTCCAATCTGTAAGCATAGAATAACAACAACAAACAACAGGAAACTGAGGAAAGTAGAAGTATGCAAGAAATTACATTTCTTATTTATTTTAATCTTTTGAAACAATATTTTAAGTGATGCATTCAATGAATACGTATACAGCATCTATTGTTACCTTTTGTTAGCCACTGGATACATACTAGGGAAGTAAACATGGAGTCCTACCTTCTGGAGAGTTTATGGACTCATGGAAAAGAAACACAACACAAAATAATTTCGTTTTTATGGATGTTATGAAGCATAAATGAAAGGAACTACTGAAATTGTAACAGCTTGAATTGAATGGGTAGGAGCAGTCAAGGAAAGATCCACTGTGAAAATAATATTTAACATAAAACCTGTTGGAAAGGTAGAGATAGCCTATGTGTGAAGAAGGATGACGGGCAATGGGCTGTGTTTGGCAGCCTTGAGAAGATAAAGAATGTGGCTTTATGGGGACTAAAAGAAGCCAAGGTGTGGACAGCTAAGGGGTGGGAGGCATATGGTGAGACTGGAGGACATAGGCAGTGGCATCTTACTCAAGTCTCCATGGGTCATATTGAGGAGTTAGGACCCTGTGAGGACAATGAAAAGGCATCTGAGGATTAAGCCGAGAGTGACTAATTTTAATTTTGTAAAGATCATTCTGGCTTCACTATAGGATCTAGAAGGGGGCCAGGGTAGTTACATAGATTCCTGTTGAGGAAAAAAAAGGCAAAATTCCCCCACTCTGTAAGTATTGGCGATAATTTCACCAAGATATATAAACTTCGATGTTATAATTTCTAACCTCTCAACCTGTACAAAGTAATAGTGGATTCTACAAGGATATTCAGTGAAAACAGAGATAAATTCACAAATAAAAATACGTTAATGAAGCTACAAAAAAGGACTTAGTGGTTGTTTAAAGACGAGAGAGTGAAAATGTGGTAAAAGTCAGGAATATTCCAGATTTACAGACAGCCTAAGTGCCATTTGAGCATCCTGGAACAAAAGCTAATTTAGAGGAATGAGCGTATTTAGCCCTATGATTCATAGAAAAGAAAACAAGATATTTCCTGGCCCTCACAGGATTAAATGTTTGAATCCAAATTTTATAGAAAAATTGAGCCTGTTTAAGAAGTAACTGCTACAATACTGATTTTATAGATAATATAAACTATAAAAAAAAGAACATCAGTATTAGCTGAAGTGGTCAGAAAAGGAAAATTATAAAAGTTATGTCATTTGAACTGTGCCTTGATGGAGCAGTAGGCTTTGGAATGGTAGACTGAGTGACGGGGCAATGGGCAGTTATGCTTAACTGAAGTGAGAGCTTCCTTCAGAAAGCTGAGGAAAATGTTAAGAATGAGCAGTCTTGGCAGATTCTGGATAGCCTGGAATACCAGAAATAGAGGCTTGGACTTAATATAGTAGATATTGTGAAATGATTGTAAAAAGAAATTAGATGTTCCTGCTGATTATTGTAAATGATAGGCTAGAGTTGACTGACAGATTAAACTGAGGACAGAGAATGTCAACAGTACATCCATGACAGGATTCCAAGCATAAATTAACTTAGCTCTGGACCACAGATGTCTTAATGGAAATGGACAGGAAGAATAATTATTTTTAAAATATATTATGAATTATTTCAAATAACTCAATAATAATACAGAAGATAATCAGTGTTCATATACCCACCACCCAGCTCTATTAACTCTTAGTAGCACATAAGAGTTTTTCAAAGAGCATCTATAACTGGCATTCCCTGTTTGCCTATCTCAAAGTGCAACTACTATTGTAAATTCAGTGTTTATCAATTCCATAAATCTATATTTTTAGCATATTTAAATATAAGTACTATAATTTGTCATTTTGCTGGTTGTTATACTTTATAGAAATGGCAGCAAACAGTACATTTTATTTTGTAACTTACTCTTTACACTCAATACTATTTTTCCGACATTTGGCCATGTCAATAAATGATGCTTGCACTTCTTAAACAATGTATTGATTTTAATGTTACAATTATAATATGAGTTAGATTTACATTCTTTAGTGACAGGAATTTAGGATGGTTTCAGTTTTGGCTAGTGAAAGCATGGCTCCACAAAAATTCTTATATCTTCCTAGGCACAAATCTTATTCACTTTTTCTATGTATGTCCCAAGAAGTAAAATTTGATGATTGTATGATAAAAGCATCTTCACGTTTATTAGCTATTGCTAACATTCTCCAAAATAGTGATTTCTGTCTGCACCAACTGCATGCATATGTTAGTTGATCTCCTTATCTCTGTCAATATTGGTTTTGTCAATTTTTGCCAATCAAATAGACATTAAATGGTTTATAATTGCCATTTTAACTTTCATTTCTAGGATTACAAGGGTATCGGCCATATTTTCCTTATTAGGCTTCTTCCTTTAGAAATTGTTTGTTCATGTATTTTGCATATTTTCTATTGTATTGTCTTCTTTTTTATTTGTAGGAGTCCTTTATTCCTAACCATTCCAGTTAATGTATGTTGGAAAAACTACTCTTATTTCGGAGCTTTTGTTTCCGTCTTAATAGTATCTTTTTTGAGCATGTTTTTAAAATGTGATTAAATGTATGTATTTTCTTAATTGTTTGTATTTTTAATCTTATTTAAGAAATTCTATATTATTTAGAAGTTTTAAATAAAATTTACCTTTTCACATTCAGGACGTTAATTTATCTGAAAATCATATCAGTGTGTGCTATGAAGAAGACATCCAATTTTATAGTATTTTTCTATTTTCTTGTCAATATGTATAAAATAATTTA
This sequence comes from Homo sapiens, assembly GCF_000001405.40. Taxonomy (NCBI): domain Eukaryota; kingdom Metazoa; phylum Chordata; class Mammalia; order Primates; family Hominidae; genus Homo; species Homo sapiens. The sequence continues at coordinate 210,856,325 of NC_000002.12, read as the reverse complement.
TTATTTCTCTCTTTATTTGTAATGCCTACTCTTCTAAATATGAAATCATCCTAAATGTGTAGAACTTCTTGTACATCCTGTGTTTTGTGTCATTGGGTGTATTTTTGCTAATTTCACAGTTCCAATTATTATGGATCTCTGGAAGTCTAGGTATCTGGTAAATCAAGCCTGGCTACCTTATTATTCATCAAAATTGCTATGCCTGTGTTTTCTATTTCATTATACCTATGAATTATAGGGTCAGCATTTCTAATTTCACCAAAAAACTTGTTAGTAAATGCAATTAAATCAAATTTATATATTAATTTAATGAAAATTGATATTTTGATGTTACTAATATTATCCAGTCTTTGAACAGGTACAGTTCTTTTCATTTATTTAGTTTTTTTAATACCTTCCATTATTATTTTGCAATTTTATCCTAAAGGTTTGAACATTTTTATTCAGGTTTGTTTCTGGATAACAAACTTTTTATTGCTACTGTAAACTGAAGCTTATTCCCTACATTTTCTAATTAATTTTGTCACTGGTATATAGCTTTGTTACTGGTATATAGAATTTTTATATGTTGAGTTTTTATCCTAAAACCTAAGTCCTAAAATCTTACCAGAGTGTATCAACTCTCTAATAAGTTCTAAGAGTATGACAATTATTTTGAATATTCTATGTAAGTAATCATATCATATGCAAATAAGAGGTTCTGTATCTTCATTTACAACTGTATTTTATATTTTGAAGAAAAATTAGTAATAATTTCTGTATTTAATAGCTCATTTTTAATGTTTACCTTTATTGTGGTACATAGGGCTTATTTCTACTCTCTCAGTTTGTGTTTTCTTTTTACTTTCCTTTATCTCTGCTTATCTTAGATTGTTCTTTTTTAACGTCATTTTCTCCCTCTGTAGCAGTTAGTCTCTAAGATGACTTCCAACGATCCTTCTTTCTGTGTTTATACCTTTATGGAATCACTTATCCTTCATTGTCTTCGAGTAAATAGAACATGGCAAAAGTAATAGACATCACTTCCAAGAATAGGTTATACCTGCGTAAACAGACTGGCTTAAATCACAAATGAGCTCCCATTCACAATTGCCACAAAAAGAATAAAATGCCTAGGATTACAACTAACAAAAGAAGTGAAGGCCATCACCAAGAACTGTAAACCACTGCTCAAAGAAATCAGAGATGACACAAATAAATGGAATAATATTCCATCTCATGGATAGGAAGAATCAGTATGGTTAAAATGGCCATGCTGCCCAAAGCAATTTATATATTCAGTGTCATTCCCATTAAACTACCATTGACATTCTTCAAAAATTAGAAAAAAAACTATTTTAAAATTCATATGGAACCAAAAATTGCCCAAATAGCCAAGGCGACCCCAAGCAAAAACAAGAAAGCTGAAGGCATCATGCTACTCAACTTCAAACTATAGAGGGCTACAGTAACCAAACCAGCATGGTACTGTTACAAGAACAGACACATAGACCAATGGAACAGAACTGAGAGCCTGGAAATAACGCCATACACCTACAACCATCTGATCTTTGACAAACCTGACAAGAACAAGCAACAGGGAAAGGACTCTGTATTTAATAAATGGTGCTGGGAGAACTACCTAGCTATATGCAGAAAATTGAAACTAGACCCCTTCCTTACACCATATACAAAAATCAACTCAAGATGGATTAAAGGTGTAAACATAAAACCCAAAACTATAATAACCCTAGAATAAAATTTAGGCAATACCATTTAGGACATAGGAATGGACAAAGATTTCATGAAGAAGATGCCAAAAGCAACTGCAACAAAAGAAAAAATTGAAAAATGAGATCTAATTAAATTAAAGAGCTTTGGCACAGAAAAAGAAGCTGTCAACAGAGTAAACAGACAACCTACAGAATGGAAGAAAAGTTTTGCAATCTATGCATCTAACAAAGCTCTAATATCCAGAATCTATAAGAAACTTAAACAAATTTACAAGAAAAAAAATCCCATTAAAAAGTGGGCAAAGGACATAAATAGATAATTCTGAAAAGAAGACATACATGTAGCCAACAAAAATATGAAGAAAACTCAACATCACTGATCATTAGAGAAATGCAAATCAAAACTGCAATGAGGTACCATCTCACACCAGTCAGAATGGCTGTTATAAAAAGTTGAAAGACAACAGATGCTGGTGAGATTGTGGAGAGAAAGGAACGCTTCTACACTGTTGGTGGAAGCATAAATTAGTTCAACCATCTTAGAAGACAATGTGGCGATTCCTCAAAGACCTAGAGGCAGAAACACCATTTGACCAAGCAATCCCATTACTGGGTATACACCCAAAGGAATATAAATCATTCTATTATAAAGACACATGCATGTATGTTAATTGCAGTACCATTCACTATAGCAAAGACAAGGAATCAACCTAAATCCCCATCAATGATAGACTGGATAAAGAAAATATGGTACATATGCACCATGGACTACTATGCAGCCATGAAAAGGAACGAGATCGTGTCCTTTGCAGGGACATGGATGGAGCTGGAAGCCACTGTCTTCAGCAAACTAACGCAGGAACAGAAAATCAAATACCACATGCTCTCACTTATAAGTGGGAGTTGAATGATGAGAACACATGGAAACATGGGGGTGAACAACATACACTGGGGCCTGTCAGAGGGTGGGCACGGGAGAGGAGGAAAAGCATCAGGAAGAATAGTTAGTGGATGCTGGGCTTAATACCAAGGTGATGAGATGATCTGTGCAGCAAACCACCAAAGCACACATTTACCTATGTAACAAACCTGCACATTCTGCACATGCACCCCTGAACTTAAGAGTTGGAAATAAAGAGAGAGAGACTGACCTCTGTCTTGGAAGTGCTCTCTCACTCATTTTTGGATTGCTCATTTTGGGGGAAGCTAGTTACTGTATCACAAGGTAGCCCAGTTGAGAGGCCTGGCTAGGTGAGTAAGTTTAAAAGCATCTTCTGAAGTCTGCTATAGCCATGTGAGTGAGTTTAGAAGCAGATCAGATTCATCAAAGATGTGGACAAGAGTAGAGATTGTTGACATGAACATAGTTGACATAATGATCTTTGGGTTTGGACTGGGTTGGAAGTAAAATGATGACAGAATACTCCAGATATTTAAAGAACTGGAATCTAAAAGACTTTTTAAAGAGAACAGGAAGTACCAAGTGAGCAAAAATAATAAAGGCAATCCACACCCAAGAGCAGGTTCAAAGACGTTAAAGTATATATGGAGATGTGATGTGAAAAGTTGGGAAAGAGCTTTTATTTACCAAGAGAAGGATCTGGCTGTATAGACTAAGAGGAAGGTTATGTCATGCAAAATACGATACTGGTCACTGCAAATCAAAACGTTGACATAGTCAAAGTTATTTAGCTGTTTAAGTAAAGGCTTTATGTAAATGAAGAAAAAAACAGGATCTCTGCCTTTTTTTTTTTTCTTGAGAGAAAGTCTCATTCCATCGCCCAGGCTGAAGTGCAGTGGCACCATCTTGGCTCACTGCAGCCTCGACCTTTCTAACCCAAGTGATCCTCCCACCTCAGCCTCCTGAGTAGGTGGGATTACAGCCACGTGCCACCATGCTGGGCTAATTTTTGTACTTTTTGTAGAGATGGGGCTTCACTATATTGCCCAGGCTGGTCATGAACTCCTGGGCTCAAGCAATCCACCTACTTCGACCTCCCAAAGTGCCAGGATTACAGGTGTAAGCCACAATGCCTGGCCAGGATTTCTGCTTTTCTGCATTTTGTGATAAATGAAAAAGCAACAAGATGTTTTGCTTATTCTTTACTTAACGTTTTATACCCAAATCATTTCCACAAAATTTTGAAGTATCTTCACGAATTATAAGTCCAGTTTATGCTTGCTTTAATGAAAATTATGGTATTCTTAATTTTACTTTTAGAAAATTATTTGTGTTGAATTAGGAAATATAAAAGGTATGCATGTGTGTATGCATGCATTTGTGTTTTCATATACCATTTTTTGAATAAAAAAGAAAAAGATGTATTCTTTTTCAAAGGAATCATAATAAATTATTTCTCAAAACATTATAATAATATGCAATCTAATGAGATATCTCATTACTGTTAAAGTCAGCTTATCAAAGAATATTGGTGACACAAAATCGGAAAGTTTCTAGATTCTGATTTTCTATAAACCATTTAAAACCAACCAATTATTTTAACTAAAATAGTTCTTATTTAAATAACAAGTTTTCATAAACAAATACAATGTTTTCCTACAGTGGTATCCTTTTCTTAAATTTTGCCCAACTTCTATTTCCCAGATAGGTTCGAATTTAGTCAATAATTCAATGGGTTTTTTTTTGTTTTTGTGGAGGTTTTTTGCTTTTGTTTTTATTAATAACAGCACATATTATCATAGCATAAATTCTTTCCCACATTGAGAAATTACTATTCCTAAAATTAAAAAATAGCATTCTACTCCATAAACTTTATCATATCTTTTATTTTAATTAGTCATATTCTGGATATGTGTGTGCTTGAACATTTTGCATTATTTCCTTTGCCCAGGAAGATCACAAATCTAAACAAGAATAAAGCAGGCTAACACCTGTCAGGTTAATGGTAATTGTCTTCAGCTTAGTAGCAGAATAAACAATAGTACATCATTAAAAGCACCTGACAACTCCCTCTCAACAAAAGTGATTTTGTTGACTCTGAAAAATACTGGATTCTATTTCTGACCAAATAACTGACATTTTGTATATTCTTGAACAAGTCAAATGACTTGTACTCACAAGATAGTTATTTCTTAATATTGCATAACATTATAGCGAGAACAATAGTTTTGCAGATTTTGGTGGATTATGTGAAATGCAATGCTCTTTTATCCCAAAATAGTGCTTTCCCTATAACTTATATACTTTATAACCATTATTACAGGACCTAGCATGTGTACAAATAGAGAGTAATAGGTAAATCATTTATTTAATGAATTGCATTTAGTAAAATTTGATTTGTGTATTATAGTTGCATAACAAAAGGAATTTTTATCTGTTTTTACTGATGGGGCCCAAACACTTGTAATAATGACTGGCAAGTAGTGGTGCTCAATAGTTTTTGGATGAATAGTTAAATGAAAGATAGTTGACAAGTTGCTTGTGCTAACTTCTTATTCCTCTCAAGATCTACAGTGCTCACTTAAAATCTATACTATGAAACTGAATATTAAGTGAATCTCAAAAATACATTAAAATTATCTAAAACACCAGCTACTAAACACTAACATAACAGCATAAACTACACATGTTTAACCCTAAGAAATGTTGTGATGTTTATATTGTGAAGGTGAAACTGCATTGACATTTGTTATGCAGTGAAGATGGTGTCCTTTCATACCCCAAAAGACTGTGTTCAGTACCACGGTTTGGCAAAATGGTAAGAATTCTTAATTGTTATCTTCCATCAGGAAGATGAAAGGCAAGGTATATTTTCAATTGTGTGCCTCTAAGCACTTACCCAAAGGCAAGCACAGAAAATGTGTTAATTAATATGAAATTTGACCTATATTCTTTGTGTTTAAATATGGAGTTTTGTAGCATAAAAATTTACACTTAACCATTTCAGAGACAATGCAGTTACAGAGCCTTTAATTTCTATATCTAAGTAAAATGTGAAATTTACATTACTAAATTAAGTGTAAAATGTTGAAATAGAGAAGGAATTCCTATATACTTAGTGTTTACCATGTGTATGGTCCTGTAATATATACAAACACAGAGCGAGCGAGTGAGAGAGAGACAGACCACACTTTAAGTGTGTTTCCCAAAGGTTTAGAGTTTTCCTTTGATGACTTCAGCTAATCTAATGAAGGGGTAAGCATTCAGCAATGACATGAAAATCATACCTGTTCAAACAATAACACTGACTGGTGACAGAGAGTAACTATAGAATTATGTGAATTCATGAATGTTTATTTACTCCATCAAAGGTTTGAACAATTTAGAAGGGGCAAACATAGCAGAACCTTGGAAAAGAATGCAAAGAAATCAAAATTTTAATACAACTTTAGAGAAGCCATCAATTTGACTACAGACTGAAATGAAATTTGATTACAACAAAGAGAAGACTGAAGAAAAAGCAAGATTGGAAATTGGAAGAGAGCAAACTGCTGTGAATTTAATCAACTACAAGTCCCAGATGTGAGTAATCAACACACTGTAATCAGCATGGAAAGGGACTGCATTGGAAATACATTACAGCTGCCAGCACTAGTGGGGCTGGACACTCTTCTCACAGGGCACATACCTCATTTCATCTGATGCTAACAACCCTTTCATAGTCAAACGAAGGTGGTTCCTAGAGGCTTACTCCTTTTAATGATTATCCGTTATTTACGGATACAGACCTTTGGCAGAATCTGCTTATACTTCCTGAGATGACCCAAACAAATATATGTTACCATTCCGAGAGTTTGATGTTTAGAGTCCCTTTTCATTATGCCATAAACTGAGAATTTTCAATGTGATTGCATTGGATAAATGTATATACTTAAGGTAATATGTAATTAGTAAATACCAATTGTTTAAATATCTCTTGCTTAGAGAGGGACTTTTAGCAAGAAAATTTAAGATAATATTGAATTTCTTTCAGCACAACTATGGCAAAAGCATGGTAGCCTTGACAAAAACTTCTTTACTAGCCATGATCATAAGTTATTAGCCCCATCAGTTCCACAGAAAATGACACATTATTATGCAGCAGGGCCAGTGGAATGAGACCCCATTTCCTGAGGCTCAACCATAACATCTTATGACACAGCAATTCCACCCATAAGAACATACCTTAAGGGAGAAAATCGATAAAGCAGGCAAAGCCTTTTATGGATACTATTCCAATGTTGTTTAGAATTTAAAAAATGAAAACGAATTTTTCTCCAAACAAAAGAAATGTGATGTTATTACACATTCATGTTATGGATGCAGCTGCTAAAACAAGGTTCTTAAAAATAGTTAATGACATAAGAAAACATGCATAAAATTAAGTAAAATTTCATTATTCAAAACTCAATAAAAGATAAAATGTTAATTTTATTTAAAAATGCAGTATACGTAAAAAAAACTTAATTTTTTTAAAATTTGATGTCCTTTTTTACCCTAGGAAATTTGCTTGAATGAGCTCAGTTTCATAAATATATAACAAGTCCCTAGTCATTATCTCGAAGAAATATATGAAGCCAATATTTTCCTGACTGCTGAATGGTAATATTTAGGCTGAGAATATAATGTAAACTATGTACACTTCTTAGTAGTTTTGTCTCTAAATGCTTTTTTGCTTCTTTGGCAAAAGTGTTCTTTGCTGCTTAAGCATTTAAAATATTCTATGCCTGGAAGTTCTGTTTGTTCTCCTGGAGATAAATGTGTGTGTGCATGCATGTGTGTGTACTCATGTATGTGCATGCATACACACACAGATCATTGAGCAGTTGCTCACAGAAAATCTGGGATTGAGACTTTGAAAACTAGATGAAAGGCATAAGGAGATGGAGGAATGATCATCTCATACAGGGGATCAGATTGACTAAAGGAATGTCACCTGAAGATGGAGGCTCTACATTTATAGGTTTGTCTGAGGTTTGATAACTCTATACTGTTGTTAGATGGAACATTTTGATTGTTTTGTATGGTGAGAGAATTGGGACCCCACAACGTGTACAAGAAAAGTTCCCCTTAAAGGAGGTCCTCAGTTACCCTACATATGTTGTCTTAGCCTACAGCTATAGACTAGATATGTATGGCAAATCCTGGCATAGGAAATTAGAATTGTGAAGGTAAACCCAAGGCCATTAGAAAGGAATTCCCTTTGCTTTTTGAGAGATTTTGGGGGGTTTGGAAAGACATGGGAACAGTCTTGTTGAAAGGAGGAGAATTGTACTTTGGCACAGAGTGACAAAATAGGAGCTGGGCAGAGAAACACCTGACCCTGGTTTCCTTTATCACAGGTAGGCCCCCAGAGTAGCCAAACCTAGCAGAACTTTATAAATTATTCTCTGTGTTTTACTTCCTAGAATGCACTCCTGAACCTCAGTTGAGTTTTGTTGTAAGTGTCAAGTCACTACAGTGCCATAGAAATTAAGGAAAGGGTCTGCCGCCCTTGGGTGGGAGAGACAATAAATTCTCTCCGCTTTCCCAAGGTTAGTGATGGTAGCAGAAGAGCCAGATTAAAGGATGGGCCCTTTAAGCAGCTGTTTAGGGTTCCAATTTTACAGGGTAGCTAAAATATCACATAAAATGTAGTGAGATAATGCAAATATAATTAATCAGAACTCTTTTCAAGTAATGTCCTGTAAGTGCTTGAAAGAAATATTTTGACAAGCCACTAGTGTTGAGTTTAAAATCCCCAACAAACACTCTTGTGTAACAGTGGAATGCTAAACTACCTTAAAGTGCATGGTTAACAGTTACAAAAGTACACTTACATAGCAGGGAAAAAAAAAATCTACTATTTGGTAACACAACAGAGCAACTATAGTTAACAATGATTTATTGTATATATTTTAAATATTTTCAAATCAACTAAAGGAAGTGAAATTGGAATGTTCCTAACAGAAAGAAATGATAAATGCTTGAGGTCTTGGATACCCAAATTACCGTGGCTTAATCATTACACATTGTATGTTGGTAGTAAAATGTCACATGTACTCTGTCAGTATGCATAACTATTATGTATCCACAATAATTAAAAACTAAAAAAAAAATAAAGATGAGGCACCAGTTAACTTTCAGGACTTTGCAGTGCAGAGGAGGGTATGTAAATCTGGGGCTAGAGCTGAATCACTTGGAACAATATGTACAGATAATCACCTTCCCCAGGAATGGCCAGCTTCTTCTCTACATAATGGAAAATATTTAGAAATAAATATTTCATGTGATGGCTGGCATCACATGGCTAGGTTGCCTACAGTGTCCAATCCTGGGACTACCCCAGGCAGCCACATACTGAGTCTGGCTCTGAAAAGCCATGGTGGGCCCCAGTGATGGCTGTGTCCAATCTCCAGAGGACATCAGCCACACTTGAAGGAGTGCAGTGGGATGAGGAGGAGGCTGGAGCCAAAAAACAATAGTGAGCGTAAGACAAACTTGGGCGATCCTAAGGAAAAGTTGTGGGGCATTTGAAGAGAGACTAAAACTAGGATCTAAACCACTATAATTCCTGACATTGAAAGTTAATGTCTTACTTCCAAATAGACTCCATGAGGGCAGAGGTTTTAGCTGTTGTTCACTGTTAGGTTCTTAATGAGGGAGACAGTGCTTTGAAGATAGTAGACCTTGATGATTATTTATTGAATATGTTAAAATGATCTCATTTTACACTCATATGCTAGAAGAAGCTTAGACATGGGCCTAATATAGAAATGAATATATACATACCTACATATGTATATACATACTACATATATCTTAAACAGAGAATAAAATACACATATAATATAGGGAAGTATACTAAAATGCCAACAATGTCTATCCCTGATTTAAGTTATTGCAAGTGATTACTTTTTCCTTTTTCATATATTTCTGTATTTGTATATTTTACCTAATTACAGTTACTGCTACCAAAAGAAATGCAATTAAAGATCTATACAAATATATCCTAACAAAAGATATTAAATGAAAATACTCAATAGATAGCAAATCATAATCACAAAGACCTTACGTTTAAAATTGCCTCATATCACAACCCCTGCTACACGCTTCACAAGCACAGTTCTTTTACATGTTGAACCAGCAAGTACCGTATCAGAAAGGAACATTGCAAAAAGAAAACGTTTAAAAACTGATAGAGAAAAAGAGCATCTATTATTTTCTGTGTCCTGTGGAGTGGCAATTAAAAAATGGGGTAAAAATGCCCTAGCTAAGATTTCAGCCCCCATAAATGATGCATTTTCCCCCAGAAAGCAATCAGATGGAAAATGAAAACATATACGTTTGTTTTTGCCAAGTTCCAAGTAACGCACTATACCTCTGACGGACACATTTCTTTTGCAGCCTTGTTAATACTTTTGACCAGGAATAATTTTATAATTTGGGCTGGAAAATAATTTGATCTTCCTAAATAGAATATAAGTATTGTTGGTCTGATACTTTTTCTGTTGGTTCAAATTTACCTAATTTTCTTTCTTCATAAATTCTTTCCTCATGTACTGATCTTCCTACAGGGAAGAACAAAGATCTATGCAGATCGGCCATTTTAATGAAACAGTCTTTTATTCCCTAGTCTGACTCTGCTTTGATATCTTTCACAAATGAGTTAAAGGGCAATAAAATGTCAAAAGGAAGGAGGACAAATATCTTCCAGGATTAATGGCTGTTTTACCTCCCTCCAGACATGCATCATTTTTAGGAAGGCAGGAAGAATCTGCACACCGAGGAGCACAGAGAAACTGAGCAAACATCAGGGTTGCTTTCATGGGTCCTCATTACAAATTAGCAATTAAAATACTGGAAAAGGCATTCATCCTAGTGATTTCTGTGGCTCTAGATTCCAAATTCTTTAACTGGAAGCACTTTCCAAAGATGCCTAAGACGACTGCTCTAAGAGTGATTTCTGAAGGATGCCCAAGACTTTCCCTAAAACCCAAGCAAATTAACTTAAAATATGTCTCTAATTAAGAATCATCATTTCAAAAACAAAGTTGTAAAAGAACAGGTAAAGCTCCCAATCCTAAATTTGTTCCATAGAGATCTATTTCTCTGTGTTTATTCATAAAGCCAAAAAATATATATTGATTACCTACTCTAAACCAGGCATTGATCTATGTAGTATTTGACTAGGGTGGCAAGGTTTATGTTCTAGTATTGTGTACATTCCAATGGGATAGATTTTTTTAAAAAGTGAGCAAATAATTTATAAAGATGGACTGGAATTGGGGCTCTGGGAGACATGAGCAGGGTGCTGTGGCAGGAATGAAGAAGAGTAGTAGGGACATGGCTGATCAGTCATGGCTGCTCTAAGGGAAACCCTTCTTAAATCTTAAGAAGTGTAGGATGGTGGGGTTAGGAGTGTCCAGGAGGCAAGAATTGAGAGTGAAATCATTTGGGCATGAATAAAATATGCTTAAATGTTGGTTACTAAATGAATGCTATCTGTGTCTTCCTTCATAAGTGTTCATAAGGGAGACCACCAGTTTTTAAAACCAGGGTCAGGCAGATGTTTCCCAAATTGAGTCTGTATCATTTGTCCTCCTGGACCATAGGCTTCAATATTTACAGGCATATTAGGATGTTCCTATGTGCATGGTTCCTAGAGCAATGGTTTTCTGTTTTTAATGTGCATAGGAACATCCTAATACACCTGTAAATATTGAAGTCCTGATCCTACTCTACAGATTTGATTTCTTGAGTTTTAATAAGGAGGTCCTGGAATTTGTCTTCATGAGTGATTCTGATACAGATAGTCTAAGAACCATACTTTAAGAAAAACTTCTCAGGCCGGACACAGTGGCTCACGTCTGTAATCCCAGCACTTTGAGAGGCCGAGGTGGGTGGATCACCTAAGGTCGGGAGTTTGAGACCAGCCTGATCAACATGGAGAAACCACGTCTCTACTAAGAATACAAAAATTAGCCAGGCATGGTGTCAGGTGCCTGTAATCCTATCTACTCAGGAGGCTGAGGCAGGAGAATCGCTTGAACCCGGGAGGTGGAGGTTGTGGTGAGCCAAGATCGTGCCATTGCACTCCAGCTTGGGCAACAAGAGCAAAACCCCGTCTCAAAAAAAAAAAAAAAAAAAAAAACCTCTCAAAAATTTCTTCTCCTCAGCAGCATGGCCTGGACTTTGCCTAAGAGTTGACATCATAAGTAGTTAGGCTAAAATTGAGGTTGGTGGCCCAACATTCTTGGTCCTGCCTTATCCCAAAGCCACTATTAAGGCAAAAATGCCTTTGTATATGTTAGAAAAAAAACCTCTCTGAGTGGGGCTTTATAGAAAGTCTCCTTTCCTCTGGCAGACATAACACTGAACTAGTGTACAAAGCTTGGCTAAAAGAGAATGTACTGATGTTAGCTCCACTGTTCCCTGGACTAGGCTGGGTCTGTCAACAGGCTTGACCAACTGCAGACTATAGCCCTGCCTTCATCGCAGGCACATAAATCAAGATGTGCACCAGCAGACACAAAGATGGGAACAATAGACACTGGGAACTCCAAGAGGGGAGGAAGTGGGTGGGGGGAGGGTTGAAAACTGCCTAGTGAGTACTATGTTCATTATTTGGGTCACAGGATCATTAGAAGCCCAAACCTCAGCATCATGCAATATACTCACATAACAAACTTGCACATGTACCCCCTGAATCTAAAATAAATATGCATCAGAATCAAGAGTGCCAAATTATTTTACATTAAAGTCAATTCATCTTGTGTTTGTCTTTCTCCTAGTTTGCAGGGGCTATAACTAGTTTTAATGGTTTTGTGTTGCCAATCACATGTTGCTTTTTCACTTGGCAGCATAATTTATATGATGTGAGAGATACTTGGGGGACATCTTTTGTATATTCCAATTCTTTTACTGTCCTAAGTCCAGGAAAGCCTCACCTCTTTCTTAGTCTTTTTTGCAGGTTCTTCCTCTACCAACCAACCTCAAAATCCTTAGGATTCAGTCCAAATCCCTTTTTCTCTTGTCTTTCTACATCATTCCCTGAATAACCTATCCATTCCCATGACTATAAGCACCATCAATATCCGATAATTCAGAGATTGATAACTCATAATCTAGTATGAATTCTAGATTTGCATATGTAATTAACCCTTGGATGTTTGTATGTAAAGGTATGAAGACAAGGATTTTCAAAAGCGAATTGCTGACTTCCCTCTTTCAAAACTATACTTGCCCCAGTTTTATACCCCTTTGATCAAAGTTGAAACCTGGGTAACATTCTTGTTTCTTTTCCTCTACCCTCTGCATTTATCATGGTCTAAACAGGAAAGGAGAAACCACTTATATATTTACATCCAAGGAAATCTTATGCAGGGAATTGATTACCCAGGTGATTTAAAAAAATGCTGAGCAGCTAAACAGAAGTTGATGGGACAACTCAAAAATTAGCAACAGAGCCAGTGAAGGACATGGTGTTATGGGGGCTTAGAGGCTAGCAACATCTAGTGGAAGCTAGAACCAGAGCAAGCCAGTATGGAGTGAGTTGGAGCCATTAATGAAATGCTGCACCTGCAGAGATGTGCTCTCTTATTTCAATCTGCAGCCGGTGACTGTGGCAGTGGAAGCCAGCCACAGTCAAGGAATGCAGCCTGAAACGCAGAATAGAAAAGTTAACAGTGAGGGGTGGATCTGATGGCACAGCCACCAACACAAACAAGTATTCCTAAAAATCTATCTCTCACCTTCAACCACGCTATCTGTATTCTTCCTGCAGGCTTCTAACATGTCTCGCTCCAATTTATACTCAATAGAGCAGCCAAATAAATCTTTTCAAATGTAAATTTGGCCTGTTTGAAATGTAACAGTCCACCTTCACTCCTCTGTCTGCTGAAAACATATCAATGGCTTTTTATTGTACCTAGCATGGCAAACACTTAGCTTCTGCCTGCAACACTCTACATAATCAAGGCCCTGCAACCTCATGTTTGACTACCATCCATCTCACCCAATTCATTCCATGACCCTAGCCTACTGTTAGCTTCTAGACCATACCAAACTCTTCTCATCCTTAAAGCTTTAGCAATCTTGCCTCTGCTCAGTTCTTAAATGAATGCCTTCTTCTCATTCTTCAAAGTTGATGCGATGCCACCACCTAAGATGGCCAGCCCAGGCAACTACATCTGAGTGGAACACCTGCCCACCACCCTGTCTGCTATGCTCAGAGTTTTTTTCTCAGTTTTTACGTGTGTATTTAGTTGCTCCTATCTTTTACTATTAAACTATAGGCAAGACGAGATTAAAAACTCATACTATTCCCACTTTTCTTTATATATTCAGAATTTAGCATAGTGTTTGGTACATTATCTCTATTCAAAAAATGTTCATTGAATAAATGAATAAATGCATAAATCTAAAGAAGACATTGAAGATGAGCAGGAATTTAAATATATTAACTTTAAAAAAGGTACAAACATGATAAAGAAAAAAACTGCACAGATGACTGGTATTTTTGTTTTTCTAAATAGTCATTATTACAGAACATAGCAATTATAGTACTAAAGATATTAAAAATATCATAAATGCTATTGAAGGAAAAGTTTCCTGGTTGTGTTATAGAAATCTAATAATTACTCATACTTTTAGAGGTATAAAAATCACTTCTTTTTAACTTCCTGTAAAGCTGTATTTCTGAATCTTGTTAAACTACAGATTCTGATGTAGTATGTCTGGAATGGGACCTGATATTCTGTATTTTTAACAAGCATGTTGGTGATTTCCAAGCTACTGATCCAGGGATCACATTTTTGAGTAGCAAGAAAGCCATCAAGTTGATGAGCTGGATTTACATGAATGTTTTCCAATGTCCACACCTTTTTAGCTTCTTTGCATTCTGAGCTGGAAAGTAGAAAGAAACTACAAAATCAATACAATGCAATGTGCAATTAGTCTAATTAGTTTCTCAGTTTCATTTTGTTCATCTGAAATTATAGTCTCAACCTCTATTTACTTTACACCAGCATTCTCTAACAGACATTTTAGTTCAAATTTTCATCATTAAAGCAGTAATTAACTCATGCTCAAGGACCAACAATTAATGTACAAATCAATAGCCATAACCTTCATTTGTACAATGCTTTACAGCTTACAAATAACTTTCAGGTACATTATCGTGTTTAATACTCACAGCAATCCAAGATGTAGCCAAGAGTCATTAACCTTATACTACAGAAGAAAAAGTTGATGTAGAGAACATTAACTGTGGTAATAATCAGCAATACATTCATAATTTTAAATTTATAAATCACTTTAATATGCATTAGTTAATTTGATTTGCATAATGATCCTCAAAAGCAGATAAATATCTGTACTTGGTTATTGATCATATGCAGCTGCAATGCCCAAAACATATTTTCACATCAGTTTTCTTGCATAGCTTCCTCCTTGACTATGTTTAAATAATCTAGACTATGGAATCAGAAAATTTAGATTTGAATTCTTGCTCTATCATTCAATCCCTGTAAAACTTTGTTCAAGTAACCACAATAAGGCTCAGTGATTTTATCTACAAATTGGAAGACATAATAACTTCCATTAAAGGAAGCCGCATTCTTCTCCCTAGGTTTCCAAAAAGGTGACATCTACTCCATGACCTAAGAAGGAATAGTTTTAGAGCGACACTTTGGGACTATCTGTCTTTATACTCCTAGAGCATACTTCCTTGCCAGAAGTAGACACTGACTTATCTAATTGGAGAGATGGGAAAGAGTCTGACATCACTGGTCACACCTTTCTATTGAGAAGGGTTAAGTTATTAAATTGATGGTTCCCATCTGGTATTCATGATATCTTGTGTGCAAAACTAAAGCATTCTCCAGCATGCATTAATACTCCTGTTCAAGGATGAGGGTTTTCTTCTAAAAGCAGGTGTATAGTGTCAAGTGATTCAGAATCTAGACTCTGGAGGTTCTTTGAACACAAAGTTATAGAAAAGACTGAGATTCTTTCATGCAGTTGACAAGGTGTCTTCTCCAAGTACTTTATCTACCTGCAGATGGAGATCATGGTCTAAATCCAGGAGAAAAGTATTAGAGCAGGAGGTTAATTGTGGTTGCATTATCCAGTCCTGCTTTCCAACTAAAAAGTTAACATTTTAATCATTCTCAGATACTTGTATCTGCTTCTCAATTGGTTTAGTGCTTGGAAAGTAGGTAGAGTGTAATTATCATTTTTCAGAAAAAATCCAACACCTACTTTGAAGGGCTCATAGGGGAACTCAAGATTTATTGTGTTGCATAGTTTGTAACACCCAATTAGTGGAGGTACCATTATTAATATTGTATCTTAACTGGCTTATTGGAATGGGAATAATAAATTTACATGTTATATAAACAAGTGAAAAGGGACAAAATAAAAGAAACTGAGCCTATATGATAGATACATCAGCATTTATGAAGATGTAAGTACCAATTGTGAATTTTAGCTTAACAAAACAAATTAACAGATCACATTCTTGAATATGGTTGTCCCTCCTTATCTGTGGGGGATACCTTCCAAGATCCAACTCTTACCCCTGCCATGAATACCTGAAACAGCATATACTACTGGACCCCATATATGCTATGTTTTCTCCTATACATCTGTAATAATAATAAACATAAAGTTTCCTTTGTAAGTAGAAACAGTAAGAGATTAACAATATTAATAAAATAGAAAAATTATAACAATGTACTGTGATACAAGTTGCATAAATCTGGCCTCTCTCTTGCTTTCAAAACTAGCTTATTTGCATTGTACTCACTTTTCTTCTTCTTGTGATGATGTGAGATGATACAATAAGGTGAACAATATGCAGTGAGTTGAAGTGTGATGAATGAAGTAGGCATTGTAATGTAACATTAGGCTACTATTGACCATCTGTATTCTTGAATATCTGCAATCATCCTTGATTTGCAATAAATGGCTTGGTGTCACTGTTTCAGGGGATCCTTTGCTGAAGTCTTTGTATAAGGGCAATGTTTTATGGCACAATATATTGCTGTCAATTGGAGCATGCTTCCTGTTTATGTCATACACTTACAAATTTAATGCCTTTTCCATCTTAACTAAGCACTTATCATGCATTGTGGCTGTAACTTTTGCAGCTTGAGGTATGACAGCAAAGCTAGCACAAGTTTCTTTCTCTTCACAATTTTACAGATAAAAGATTCATTCTTACCATAGATCCTAGCAACCTCAGCATGATTTTTTTTCCTTCTTAAGTCAATAACTTTCATCGTATTACTTAAATGAAGCATTTTATGGCTTCTCCTTGGCATATCTGAATTGCCAGCACTATCACTTTTGTGTTTTGGTGCTATTATTAGCTAAAATAAGGGTTACTTGAACACAAGCACAGTGATACATGACAATACATCTGACAACTGAGAGGGCTACTAAGTGACTGACACTAAGTGATTGATGGGTAGCATATACAGCGTGGATACACTGGATGAAGGATGAGTCATGTCCTGGCCAGGAAAGTAAAGGATGGTACAAAATTTCATCACGCTACTCAGAATGGTACACAACTTAAAATTTATGAATTGTTTATATCTGGAATTTTCCATGTAATATTGTCTGATTGTGATTGACCCACGGTAACCATGGAAGGCAAAACTGCAAATATGGTGGAACTACTTTATTATCTTTAGCTCTGTTTAACAATTTAGAGTGAGTGTAGAATCACAGGCAGGTGATTTGCCCAAGGAAGTATACTTGACAAGTCTCAAGGCTAAGGCTTGAAGAACTGATTTTTTATTTATATGTGTGCTATTTTTGTTATGCTTAATTGCCTCTTATTTCAACTGTCTCATTGATATAAAACAATACATCAATATATCAATTAATATAAGACATAACTAGATTATAATGCACAAAACAAAAAAGTATGTATACATCTCAGTTATATGCTTTGAGGTCTCACAATTAACCAAATATCAACTGTAGGCACCGTAAATTTTTTCTTTATTACATATATAATTTTTAAAAATTTATCTTACCTTACAAATTGCTCACAATTAAACTTTACTATTACTATCATTATTATCTATATTTACATTTATAGATTTTACTTTGAGTCAAAGATTTCAAAAGGAAAAAATAACAGTAATTGTTATTACATAGGCTCAGGCCCAGAAAACTAAATATCTTATAAGATATCTCCTGATATGAGAGCCATCTGCTTTCCAGGAAAAAAAAAAAAAGGGAGGAATGACCCTGGGCCATTAGCACTGAGGAATGTCTGGAGAAGCAACCAAATATCCACCATGACCAAACTGGTTCAGAGTCACATTAAGGTAAGAAATGTCCTATTGAATCAGAAATACCATAGTCATTACCCAACTTTAAAAAATTGTGATGTTAATTAAAAAAATATAAACACAAGGAAAAAAAAATCCAAACATCTTTCTTCACAAAGGTTTTGACAGACAAATGAAGGACAAAGGAATGTTGAAAATGACCAAAAGATTCATGAGAAAAGTAATTTCAAATAAGAAGTACCCAAAACATACTAGATATATATACTAGGTTTACATACTACCTTTAAGTTCCTTTGAGAGCGCTTATAGATAAAGGTATAATGACTGCTAATATTATCACAAAATATAGATTTTCCACATCTTCCCAAATTGAGTACAGTTTCAGTAAACACTCAGGATTTAGAGGCTCTTCTAAATTTTTGATACCCCTATTTGAGTGAGTCCTGAAACTGAATAGAGGGGAAGGGGACAAATAATCTAATCTCATATAATACAATTATAATTATGATTATATTTTCGAAAACACTTTACAAAAGTGCTTCATCATTAGATTAATAAACTTCCAATTTAACCCCCCATTTTAATCAATTTAATAAATGTATGTTAAGTATTTACAGAATAAACAAAGATGAGCACAGTACTATGTTGAGCCTCGAGGGCATCCACATTTATTAGAGTTGAAGTCCGTAGCAATTATCTAAAATCTAAATAATAATTGCATAATAGAGGTACATAGAAAATATAATGGAATCAACTAGAAGGAGGTCTGGAGAAGAGGGTATATCATGGAAAGAAAGTCAGAGAGATCAAATAAGATCTACACAATTAGGAAAACACCGTTCTCAAATGCTCAACTTTCTTTTTCTGGTTTATCCATTGAATCACACAGTCTCTTTCTCAAAGCTCAAATCACAGAATTCAGTGATATGGCCTAAATCTGGGTGGGGGTTGGAGTGTTTCCTGGTGCATCTAATGAATAGTGTGTCACATAGGCAGACAGTATTCAATAAATGGCTCTTGTTGATAACAACGTAACTATAAGTAATTTGCACTCTCAGGGTATATAATCACAGCCCATTGATTATCAAAAGATGATTAGGTGAAAGTTTACAGTCATTTACAGAAGAGGTAGCACATAGATAAGAAAGAGAAGAGAAATCTGTTAATCATACGGATGACCTAGGAAATAGAGCAGAAAAGCATCAATGTCATGAAAGGCATGAAGCAAGGTAACGTGCTAGCTTCTGTGCAAGCAGTTTCATTAAAACGTGCCAGGTCTGGAAAATAGTGAGTAAATTGTTATTTTTAGGGTGCAGAGAACATATTCCCAAGTCCTATGAAATGGTGTGAATACAGTGGGCTTCAGTGGAAAAATTTATTACTTTACACAGAAGGTAAATGACAAGAAGAGTAAGAGAAAAATCCTTTCATTAAAAAAAAAAGAAATAGAAAAGAAATAAAGGGAGAAATTCTCATTACCCATGATATAACTGTATTTACTCAATAAAATATAATGCAGACATGAGAAATACTGTAAATTTCCTATATTTTCCTCTTCAGGATAAAAATTATATCATTTAAGAAGTCAATGTAGGAAATGTTATTTTAAAATCATGTGCTAAATTCAGGGGAAAAAATGGCTCTAATAAGATATCAAAAATAAGAAAAAAGAGTTTTAAAATAAAAGAGAATGTTAATTCAAGGAGATAGTGACTTTTCATTTTCATGATGTTTTATAGTATTCAAAATATATCACAGTATTTGAGGTAGGGTGAATAGGTATTATTATCTAATTTTACAAAACAGAAATGAGAGGAAGAAATTTAAATGTATGGAATGCTTTCTATTTCTGGTAATATTCCTACAAGAAAAAGTTGAGGAGCTGTAGAAATTAAGTTAAAACAATTTTTGATCAAAAAGCTGCCAAAGAAGCCAGTACTTGAGGGTCCAGGCTCATTGAGAAAAGGAAAATCAGATTGAGATTAATCTAACATTTGGTGTTGCTGCTTTTACCTCATGGCATTTGCTGATTGGTGATTGGCATAAGACCAAGAGGCTAAAAGGTTGAGTAGAGTTTTGTGGCTGAAAGCCTGGAAATCTGAGCCAAATTTTTAAGTCTTAGAGGGATGTAGGGGTAAAAATTGCCAAGCATGGAGCTTCCGAAACAGCCAAGATTAGAGGCCAAGACACTAGACAGAAAGGAAGTACAATGAGGTAAATCCAAATTTATGTTTCTATTAAGATGAGAAGAGCTTTCCACAAACTGACAGAGCGTGGGACACAAAAATTGAAGTCCAGGGCCAACCAAGTAAGCACTTCCCTGAAATATACTTTAGAGTTTGAGTTAGACTCCTGAGAGGAAGGCAGCATCAATCAGAACCTCACATTATTTGTATAATTTTAATACACAGCTCCTGGCCCTCAGCAAAATTACCAGACATGCCAGAGGATGGGAATTGAAGGTCAAGACCTCAAGAAAATCAGACAATAGAACTGGTGATTCAGATATTAGAATTACAAGACTTAGACATTAAAATTACTCTGGTTAATGGTTAAAATAAGATAGATAAGAAGGAGAATTTCACCAGATAATGGGAGTCTATGAAAGGTATCAAATAGAAATTTGAAAACTGAAAAAATATATATAACAAAAGTTAAAAATTCAGTAGTTGAATCTAACACAGCAGAAATGATCACTGTAACAACTAAGTATACACATACTTTTCAAACAAGATATATTTTGGGGTGAAAACTGACACACTGAATATGCCAAATAACCAATCTAATCTTGATGATCAACATCAGATGACTTATATAACCAGCTACCAATATTTATCACATAGGTATATTTATTCAGACAAAGTAATAATGACACAACTATAGTCAATGGAATAGAATAGAAAATCCAGAAGCAAACCCATATCTATTTAGATAGTTGATATATTTCAAAAGTCATCGTTCAGTGCAATGTGAATAGTATACGCTTTTCACAAATAGTGCTGGGTCAATTGAATATACAGATGGAAAAATTAACGTTGTTTATATTTCATAGTATAAAAAATCAATCCCTGACGGATCATTTTATCAAAACTTAACAGTTTGCAATAATGTTTTTTGAAGGTAACACAAGAGAATATTTTAGTAACTGGCAAATATCCAAAGTTATCTTAAACAGGACACATATACACACAAACCCTAAACATAAAAAAATGATTAATTGATATCACAAAAAATGATAAATGTAGAAAAATGTAGAAATAAGACACTGGGTGGGAGAAAATATTCGAATACCTGCAACAGAAAAAGGCTCTTATAAAGAATGTTACAATGTTTAAGGACTTTTTTTTTCTCCAAGATGGCAGATAGGAGGCTTTGCTAATATGTCTAACTGACTTGGAAAGAGCAAAATAGTGTGCAGAGACACATGCTGTGAACTTTTATCCAAGAAGCAACACAGGACCTCGGCAGAAAAGCTGAAAGAAACTACAGACACTTTTCAAGAAGCAACAGGCAGCAGCATACATGAGCCAAGTGGAAATATGTGAGTCTCTAGAGTGTGAAAGTGGGAGAGACTGTCTTGGTGATACACACTCCCACTGGGGAGCTGGGCAATCCAGACCACAGAACAGCATCTTAACCCTGCCCCGTGCTTGAGTTGATTTGAGCAGATGCTTGCATTAGCTGATGGGAGATGAGAGGACGCATCAGTTCAGTCCAGCCCCAGCCAACAGTGCCCCACTCTGGAGTTAAGAGCAGAGCCCAAGTCATTACACGTCCTGCAGAACTGTCTACAGCCTGAGGCATCAGAGAGCTTCTCCAGTTGGCTGACAAGAGATATTAGTGACAAATCTTCCTCAGAAGGAAGAACCAAAATTACATGTGAATAATCATAGCCAAAATGGAGTGTTAAGGAGAGAGTAGTACAGCATATATGAGAGTTCGCTGGAAGAATCTAACACACACACACACACACACACAAGCAGGGAGAGATCACACTCAGAGACTTAGTAATCAATGGGAAGGATAGGTGAAAGTGCTCTTGGCCTCCCTCACCCTTACAGCAAACTTCTGGTATCTGAGCTCAAGGAGAATTTATCTGCCCTCACAAGCACAGATACTAGAGGGGGCTGCAATTTGGAGACTTCTTGAAGGCATTACCTTGCTTGCACAAGGATCTCCATTTTCCCCTGGACATGAGCTGTAGTAGTGAGTGCCATACTGGGTGCTCACCCATTGTGGGACTTTGTTCAGTTCAGTGTCCTTCAATCCTTGTATCTTCACATCACTAGATCCCTTGCAGATATTCCCCAGCACCAGCCTGGATTGTGGCTGCCCTACAGGGCAGCTGGACCCAGAGGAGCAGCAAGATTCACAGCAGTCTGGCCCTCAAGGACCATCACTCCTAGGGGAAGGGGAAGTGCACCACATCAGGGGAACACCTCATGGGACAAAATAAACCAGAGTGCAGATCTTGAGTCTAAATTTTTCGTTTGTTGAAAGTTTCTTTCAGCAGAGGCACAGGTGCAGTGCTGGCTCAGTGAGAAAAGACTGAGCTTCTACCCCAGCAGTTAGGCAGCCCCAGTGCACATGAAGGGACTTTGAAAAGGGGACTCCTTCTCCTCCTTGCCCACCACTGCAGACACAGCTGGGGCTTCTCCCACAGGAGCTTGATGCAGGTGCACCTGTAGATTACTTTTCTGGAAACCTCCAGGGTAACTGGATCCCCACAGGCAGAGTGCCCTCCAGGCTCAGGCTTATATGAGTCCCAGTGCCTCTCTACATTGAATGTCAGCACTCCTGCAGAGGTAAAGAGATGCCTAACTGATCTAAATAGCAGGACAGGAGCATGACAAGGAGGTGAATTGCTTTTCTACTGGCCTAGAAAGGGAGCTGAGCTGGCTCCCTCCCTTCCCCCTGAGAAGATCACAGTGCATTTCACTATAATTATCATTTGTACTAATATATCTTAGTAACAAAACAGAAAATGAATTTTAACAAATGATACAATGTATAGTAGCATCAAAGAAACATTGAATACTCAATAAATCTAAAAATGATGTAAATTATTTGGACAGCTATAAATTATTGAGAAAATTAAAAATCTAATTTAAAAAGTAAGTGGTAGAATATATAAAGTAGATGAATTGGAAAACTCAGCTTTGTAAAGATGTCAATTTTCATCAAATGGATAACCATCTCTTCAAACGGATCAACTAGCCATCTGTCAAGGTTGAGACCTCTGCCCACCATTGGGGCATTGCATATACCTACCTGCTTCTGCTGCAACTGGTTTTTACCCATGGGTACCTCCTACTGTCCTGAAGGCTGAACTGTTCAACTTAGTGAAAAAAGAATACCGTGGAAAAAGTTAAAAAGTGCACACCACTGTAGGAGATATAATTTGGATGTTTGTCCTGCTCAAATCTCTTGTTGACATGTAACTCCCAATGTTGGAGGTGGAGCCTGGTGGGAGGTGTTTGCATGAATGGTTTGGGCCATCCTCTTGGTGATAAGTGAGCCCTTGCTCTGGGCTCCCGTGAGATCTGGTCATTTTCATATGTATGGCATTCCCTCCCCAACTCTCACTCCTACTTTCATGATGTGAAGTGCCTGCTCCTGCTTTGCCTTCCACCATGAGGAAAAGCTCTCTGAGGCCTCCCCAGAAGCCAAGCAGATCCCACTGCCATGCCTCTGGTACAGCCTGCAGAACCATAAGCCAATAAAGCCTTTTTGCATTATAAACTACCCAGCCTCAGGTATTTCTTTATAGCAGTGCAAGAGCAGCCTAATACAGATTAATGACACCTCTGCCATTCTGGCCCCACAGGAGAGAGTGAACCTACCCACACACCCAACACATTATTACTACAACCAGCACCTCAGAAAGCCATTGCACAAAGATTTTATATAACCAAGGAATTCATACAGAGACTTTGCCACTGAAAACACTCAG
Organism: Homo sapiens; assembly: GCF_000001405.40. Lineage (NCBI taxonomy): Eukaryota > Metazoa > Chordata > Mammalia > Primates > Hominidae > Homo > Homo sapiens. The sequence continues at coordinate 210,832,430 of NC_000002.12, read as the reverse complement.
AGCCTAAGGTAGGTGACCATAAACTAAACACATTAAAGTCACATGTTTGAGAGGAAAAACATTCTTTTAAAACCCAGTAAAATAAAAAATAAATTTAATAATAATATGAAAAAATAGTCTACCCAAATGAGAGGAAAGCAGAAAAGTAATTCTGGTCAAATAAAAAAACAGTTTCACAACACCCCCAAAAGATCACACTACCTCTCCAGTAGTGAATCCAAACCAAAATGAAATATTTGAAATACCAGATAAATAATTTTAATAGTTGATTATAAAGTTGCTCAATGAGATCCAAGAGAAAGTTGAAAATCAACATAAAGAGATTAAGAAACAATTCAGGATATAAATTAAATTTTCTAAAAAGGAGAGATATTTTAAAGAAAAACCGATCTGAACTTCTGGAAATGAAAGACACACTTAGGAAATTTTAAAATGCAGTGTGAATTTTTTTTTTTTTTTGAGTCAAGGTCTCACTCTGTCGCCCAGGCTGGAGTGCAGTGGCACAGTCTTGGCTCACTGCAAGCTCCACCTCCCAGGTTCATGCCATTCTCCTGCCTCAGCCTCCCAAGTAGCTGGGACTACAGGCACCCGCCACCACCCCCAGCTTTTTTTTTTTTTTTTTTTTTGTATTTTTGGTAGAGACAGGGTTTCACCATGTTAGCCAGCATGGTCTTGATCTTCTGACCGCATGATCCGCCCCTCTCAGCCTCCCAAAGTGCTGGGATTACAGGCGTGAGCCATCGTGCCCAGCTAATGTGGGGTGAAATTTTAGCAAAAGACTAGACCAGGTAGAAAAAGGAATTTCAGGGCTTTAAGGCAAGGCTTTTGAATTAACCCAATTAGACAAAGATAAAGAGAAAATAATTAAAAGAAATGAATAAAGTCTTCAAGAAATATGGGATTATGTTAAACAGCTAAACCTAAGAATCATAGATGTTCCTGAGGAAAAAGAAAAAGCAAAAAGTTTGAAAAACCTATTTGAGAAAATAATTGAGGAAAGGTTCCTTTGTCGTGTTAGATATTTAGACATCTGAATAAAAGAAGCTAAAAAATTCCTGGGAGATCCATTGCAAAAAGGACATCACCAAGATGTATAATCATCAGGCTATCTAAACTCAAAGTGAAGGAAAGAATTATAAGAGAAGTGAGACCAAAGATTCAGAAAACATATAAAGGAAAACCTATCAGACTAATAGCAGACTTCTTAGCAAAAACCTTACAAGCCAGAAGGGATTGAGGCCCCATGTTTCGTCTCCTTAAACTGTCATGCAAGAATTTTGTATCCAGAAAAACTAAGTTTCATAAATGAAGAAGAAATGAAGTCTTTCCCAGACAAGCAAATGCTGAGGGAATTTGTCATCACTAGATCCCTGCAAGAAATGTTAAAAGGAATTCTAAATCTTGAAAGGAAAGGTTGATACGGACCAGTATAAAACCACTTGAAAGCATAAAACACACAAGGTTCATAAAATAGTAACACAATGGAGAAAACAAAGTAATTACATAAAAAATCAATATGATGACTAAAACAGCACCTCACATGTCAATATTAACATTGACTGTAAATCATCTAAATGCCCCACTTAAAAGATGTAGATTGGCAGAAAGGATTGAAGAAACACAGAACAAATACCTGCTATCTGCAAGGGGCATATCTGAAATGTAAAGATTCTTATAAAATCAAGGTAAAGGGATGGAAAAAAATATTCCATGCAAATGAAAACTAAAAGTAAGCAGCAATAACTAATTTCATATCCAATAAAAGACTTTAAAGCAACAAGAGTAAGAAAAGACAAAGAAGGTCATTACATAATGATATGGGGCTCAATTAAACAAGAAGACATAATCATCCTAAATATATATGTACCTAATATCTGGAGATATCAGCTTTATTTAAAAATTACTATTAGACCTAAGAAAAGAGACAGACAGCAACACAATAATAGTGGGGGACTGCAACACTCCATTAACAGCACTAGACAGATCATTGAGACAAAAAGTTAACAAGGAAACACAGGACTTAAATTGGACTCTAGAACAAATGGACATTTACAGAACATTCTACCTCAAAACTACAGAATATACATTCTTCTCATCAGCACATGGAACATTTTCCAAGATAGATCATATAGTCGCCACAAAACGAGTCTCAATAAATTTTTAAAAATCAAAATCTTGACAAGTATTTTTTCTCAGACCACGGCAGAATAAAACTATAAATCAATTCCAAAAGGAACATTCAAAATTACATAAATACATAAAAAAAAAATCTGCTCTGAATGATCTTTGGGTCAACAATAAAATAAGAAATAAAAATTTAAAAAATTGTTTTAATGAATGATAACAGTGACACAAGTTATCTATACCTCTGGAACACATCAAAAGCAGTGCTAAGAGGAAAGTTTATAGAGCTAAATGCCTATATCAAAAACACAGAAAGGTTACAAATTGACAACCTAATGTGATACCCCAAGGAACTATGGAAACAAGAAAAAAAATCAAATCCAAAGCTACCAGAAGAATAGAAATAACAAAAAATAGAGCAGAATTAAATAAATTTGAAGCCAAGAAAATACAAAGGATCAATGAAACAAAAATTTAGTTCTTTGAGAAGACAAAATTGATAGACCACTAGCTAGATTAACCCAAAAGAAGAAGATTCTAATAAGCTCAATCAGAAATGAAAATAAAGGCATTACAACTAATACCACAAAAATACAAGGGATCATTCAAAAGTACTATGAACACCTCTATGCACACGAACTAGGAAATGTAGAGAAAATGGGTAAATCCTGGAAACATAACAACCCTACAAGCTTGAATCAGGAAGAAACAGAAATCCAGAACATACAAACAACAAAAAAAGCTATTCCAAAAGATTGAAGCTATTCCAAATGATTGAGCTATTCCAAAAGACTGAGAAGGAAGGAATCCTCCCTAACTCATTCTACAAAGCCAGTATCCCCCTGACACCAAAGCCAGGAAAGAATATAACAAAACAAGAAAACTGCAGGCCAATATCCCTGCTGAACATAGATATAAAAATTCTCTACAAAATGCTACCAAAACAAATCCTACAGCACATTAAAAAGATAATTCACCACGATCAAGCGGGTTTTATTGCAGGGATACAGGGATGGTTCAACATACTCAAGTCAATAAATGTGATACATCACATAAACAGAATCAAAAACAAAAACTATATCATCTCAACATATACAAAGAAAGCACTGATAAAATTTAGTATCCCTTTATGATAAAAACCCTCAACAAGCCAGGCACAGAAGCAGCATGCCTCAAAATAATAAAAGCCATATATGACAAATCCATAGCCAACATCATAATGATTGGGGCAAAGTTTAAAGCATTCCCCCTGAGTACTGGAAGAAGACAAAGATGCCCACTTTTACCATTTCTAATCAGGCAAAAGGAAGAAATAAAGGGCATCCAAATTGGAAAACAGGAAGTCACATTATTTCGGCTTCTGATATGTTATTATATCTAGAAAACCCTAAAGACTTCCCCAAAAGACTCCTAGATTTGATAAATGAATTCAGTAAATCTCAAGTTACAAAATTATTGTAAACAAATCAGTAGCACTGCTTTACACCAACAATGACCAAGCTGAGAATCAAATTAGAAACTCAATCCCATTTACAATAGCTACAAAAGATATAAAATTCCTAGGGATATACTTAACCAAGGAGGTGAACTATTTCTACAAGGAGGACTACAAAACACTGATGAAAGAAATCATAGATGACACAAACAAAATGAAAAACATCCCATGCTCATGTATTGGAAGAATCAATATTGTGAAAATGACCATAGACCCAAAGCAATCTACATATTCAGTAAAATTCTTACTAAAATACCGTGGTCATTTTTCACAGAATTTGAAAAACCAATCCTGAAATTCATATGGAACCCAAAAAGAGCCTGATTAGCCAAAGAAATCCTAAGTGAAAAGAACAAATCTGGAGGCATCACATTTACCTGACTTGAAATTATACTACAAGGCTATAGTAACCAAAACAGTATGATACTGATATAAAAATAAACACAGACCAATGGAACAGAACACAGAGTGCAGAAATAAAGCCAACTACTTACAACAAACTGATTTTTGACAAAAAAGTAAAAGCATACACTGGGTAAAGGACATCCTATTCAATAAATGATGCTGAGAAAATTGGATAGCCACATGCAGAAGAATGAAATTGGATTCCTATCTTTTACTGTATATAAAAATTAACTCAAGCTGGATTAAGTCTTAAATTTAAGATCTGAAACCGTAAAAATTCTACAAGAAAACCTAGGAAAAACTCTTCAGGACTTTGGCCTAGGTAAAGAATTTATGACAAAGACCCCAAAAGCAAATGCAATGAAAACAAAATAAATCAACCCACCTTAACAAAATAAATCAGACCTACCTAATTAAACTGGAAATTTTCTGCACAGCAAAAGAAATAATCCACAGAATAAATAGACAACCTATACAATGGGAGAAAATATTTGCAAACTTTATAACTTTGATAAAGGACTAAAAGCCAGAATCTCAAACAAAACTGCAAGAAGATGCTTGACCCGGGAGGTGGAGGTTGCAGTGAGCCAAGATCATACCACTGCACTCCAGCCTGGCAGACAGGGTGAGACTCCATCTCAAAAACAAAACAAAACAAAACAAAAACTGCAGGAAGAAAACAAATAATCCCATTAAAAAGTGGGCAAATGACATGAACAGACATTTCTCAAAAGCAGATATACAAATGGCCAATAAACATATGAAAAAATGCTCATCACCAGTCAACAGGGAAATGCAAATTAAAATGACAATGAGATACCACCTTACCCTAGCCAGAATGGCCATTATTAAAAAGCCAGAAAACAATAGGTGCTAGCATGGATGTGGTGAAAAGGGATCACATACACTTTTGGTGGGAATGTAAATTAGTACAACCCCTATAGAAAACAGTATGGAGATTTCTCAAAGAACTAAAAGCAGATCTACCACTTGATCCTACAATCCCACTACTGGGTACCTACCCAAAGGATAATAAGTTATTCAATTAAAAAATCATCTTCACAAGGATGTTTATCAAAGCACAATTCACAATTGCAAATGTGGAACTGTGAATTGGAATTAACCTAAGTGCCCATCAGCTAATGAGTGAAGAAAATAAATGTGGTATATATACGCTATGGAATACTACTCAGCCACAAAAAAAAGAATGAAATAATGTCTTTTGCAGCAACTTGGATGACGCTGGAGGCCATTATCTTAAGTGATATAACAGGATTGAAAAACCAAATACCCCAAGTTTCCACTTATAAGTGGAAGCTAAGCCATGAGTACACAATGGCATACTGAGTCATAAAATGAACATTGGAGACTCGGATGGCGAGGGGACAGGCAGGGAAAGGAATGAACAGTTACCTATTGGGTACAAGGTATGCTATTCAGGTTGACAGTTACACTAAAAACCCAGACTTCACCACCATAGGATGTATCTATGTAACCCAAAACTACTTGTACTCCAACAACAGCTATTGAAACAAAAAAAAATTAAGAAACAAAATAAAATAAAATTTGCCCTTCCCCATAGAAAAAAAGAATATTTGAGGAAAAGATAGATAATTAAAAACAACGACAAAAAACATGGACAAGTTGCTTAAAAGGTGCTTTATAAAATGACTAACATATAAAATGTTCTCAACTACTACAATCATGAGTTAAATATGAAGTAAAATTACAATGAAATACCATGGCACACACACTAGAAGGACTAAAATAAAAAGACTGACAATATAACGTGTTTGTAAAAATATAAAGAAACTGGAACTCTCAAACACTACTTATGGGAGTATAAACTGATACAATAACTTTGGATTTTATTGGTGTCTAGTAATGTTATACATAAACCCTCTCACCCAGGGATCTGAATTTTAACAGATATACATATATGTTTATAAAAAAACAAATATAAGAATATTCATAACAGTATTATTCTCAACAGCCCAAAACTGGGAACAACCCAAATGTCCAGCAATATTAGAATAAGTAAATTGCTTTATTTTTACACAATGCAAAATAGTGACAATGAAATTGAACAAATTACATGCAACATAGATGAATCTCAACATGATGTTGAATAAAAAAAAAGGCAGACACAGAAGCATACATTCTTTATAATGCCATTTATTTTTTAACAGAATTCAAAAATTCTGTTAAATGTCAGAAAAGGGATTACTTTGGGGAAAAGAGCCTAAGAGTGGGCATGACTGGGACTTCTGGGCTACCTGTGATCTTTCATTTCTTGATCTGGTTAGTGAGTATATGAATGTGCTCATTTTGTGAAAATTCATTGAGCTGTATACTTATAACATGTGCACTTTGCTGTATACATATTACCCTTCAAAAGTAGCTGTATTTTTTTAAAAATATGTTAAGCACTGTTAGGTGCCAGGCACTATGTACAATGCATAAGGCTGGCATTTTTTTCAGAGCTTTTTCATACTAGAACTGAAAAATATCTCACCCTTCTTCCTTGTTGATGTCATGTGTTAAACCCTAACTAATAAAAGAGGGCATTTGTAAGTGCAATCTCAGGTGAGAAAATGCATAGAGGATATTTTAGCATAATAAACCCAGAGACGTGGAGAGACAACCATTCTGGCAATGGAAAATGTTTGACTCACAAATATTCCACCTAAAACACCTTGCAGGGCTGTCACCCCTCAGCCCATCTAAAATAAAATATGATAGAATTGAGTGACTGGTGACTAAATTGAAGAATTAACAGAATTCAACTCTACAAGAAAAGAATGGAAGACTGGTTGAAAAGAAAAGAAAATATGCCAATTCAAAAGGAGAGGGATTTGAGTTCACAAGTGATGACAGACTCAGACTCTGAGACCTAAGAGAGAAGAACCCATGCCTGCCGAGGATCTCAGTGACACTGTTCAATTCAAAATCAAGAAGGGAGTACTCTACAACAACCACTTTCTATGGATGTGCCCAAGTTGGTAGATACAACTTGAACTCAAAGTAATAGTTATATTGAGCACTGAATAGGTATTTGACTAGCAGATAAGGGCATTCAATAATGCACTGTACAAACCTTCCAAATTACCAGGTAATGCATCACACTAGGATTATCCTGCTAGGGGAAGGGGTACAGAAGGTACTACTATAGCACAGGGTAAAGCTGCACCTGAGTCAAAGTAAGCCATGAACTGAGCCGAAGAACAAGCTGCCTGGGGGTGAAAGTAGATACCAAATGAGAAGTAATTGTGCTAAGAACACCCTCATCAAAAGAGAAGGGCATGTTGAAGTTAGCCATGTTCTTGGCACTAGAGTTGCTAGGAAAGCAGGCCATTTAAGAGTAGATATTTAAACCAGATTACTGGAAACATACCCTGATATGGAAAGATAGTTTCTGCATGTTGCTTGGGGAAAATGCCAGGAGTAGAAGACCTAGGAAGGGCAGTGTATGTAGCCACATCATTCATAATAGAATTTTAAACAAAATCTGTACTGTTTTTTGAAATGGAGGAAAGATCCATCACCAAGATAGAAGAGCTGGTAGAAAGTCCAAAGAGAACTGTGATCTGTATTACAGTCCTAGTCATAGGACCTATAATAGAAGATAGGAGAAATGCAGCCATGTGGGAATGCTATTAAGGTACTGTAGCTGAGGACTTCTAGAAGGTCTAGAGTGAGTGCCAGGGGAGGAGGAGTTTGAACTGTAGATTAAACAAGATAAAGAACTGTAACAATAATCTCTTAGAAAATAGAAGTGGGTTATGGAGCACCCTTGGGATCCCTCCTCCTGGTGATAGGAGGTTGAAAGACCCAGGATGTATCAGCCTTAGTGCAGGACTCATTGCGTGTCTTAAAAGCAGTTTTTAGGAGCAGAAAAGGCCAAAAAGGCAAATACCAAATCCTTTTACCACAAATAAAGAAGGAATAAAAATAATTCTGTTCCTGAGGTAAGACTGGAGAAAAGTGTATGGTGTAATAGAGAAGGAAGATAGGGATTCAGTCAGGAAACCAGCATGATCAAATGAAAGTTAGCAGGAGCCATTGAGAGTGAGTTGGGAGCAGATCTAGAAATTCAGTTTTAGACAATCTGGACATTAATGATACCTTAGGATCTGAGCGATGGGAGGAAAAATTAAAGGGAAGCTGATGTTAAACTGTGTTTTTTCCTTCGTAGATCTGCAGCCACCATCCCCATTTGTGTTTTTGTTTTCTATAGAGGTTCCATGTGAAAGGCAAAGGCAGACTCCCTTGAAACAACTTATCTTCCTATCTTGGGGATAGCCTAACTCATCGAGGAGATTGTGTTTGGTGTTCCAGAGAAGAGGGAGGAAAAGAGGGTGACAGGGAAGGGAGCAGATTTCCATGACACAAAAAGGGAGAAAATGCCTGCAGATTATTTCCAGACTCTTTCTCAGTGTTCTGAGGAGGTGGCTTCAACTCTGGGGGAAATGGATGTAAAGTATACCTAGGGATGTTGGATTCCGAGTTCTGAACCCTGGTGCATGCACAACTGAGCTATGTGATTTCAAGTGTACTCTTGGTACCTAACAGCAATGTATATCTGCATATCATGGCTCCTATACATTCCTGATATTGCTTCAGTACTATCAACTATGGAAAATGCTGAGCTGACTCAGTACAAAGGAAAGGAATTTGTACTGTTGTGCTATGCTTATAAAATACTGAGGGAGGATTTCAAACTATTTAAAACCAGATATGGCACAGGCATCTCTATATCAGGCACTGGTCCTGAATAACATGCATAAATATCAGTCATAAATATCTCAGCCCTGGGCATATGTCTTAAAATATATGTGATTTATTTTATTATACGGGAAGATAGACATGTGTTCAAATACACATTTAAACATTTTATTATTTTAAATAAAGTTTAACTCATCTGTACATACCTTGTGGTTTATTATATAGGTGACTAAAGCCTAGTCATAATATTTCTGGTGAAATAAGGCTCTGGCTTATAAAATAATCACACACATACCCCTTGTGTCAGAAATGTTCTTGTTAAGATACCTGAGTTTCAGATGCCCCAGCTCAGCTTTCAACAGTAAAACCTAAGTCAATTTTGTAGCTCTGGGACCAACACAGCAGGGCTTCACTGCTACTCACAGTGTGCTCCATGTATTATCGTGCAGAATCTCAGTCTTCTCCCCCTGCTGCCCCCACAAACATTAAAGTTTGAGAAGCACAATGGCATGAGCTTGTCCAATTTAAGAGAGTGCATGATTTAGCCTCTATGGTCCCCCACTGTTTCAATTCAGTTTGGGAAGTTTAATTCCGTTCCTTCTAAGTGCATTAGAAACTCCTCTTCCCACAGAAATGCCCCAAGAAAAGGCCTGATTCATGGTACTTAAAACACACCCACATACAGCTTTAATAGCTAAAGACTTGCATAGGCTTCAAGGACATGGTCTGCTAGTGATAAAAGACAGAATGCATTTTGGATTTGCATTAGTAACATAAAAGTAGCTTCATGTCCCAAAGTTATCATCAATGCTTCCACAGAGAATAACATTTAATGATCAAAATAGGTGAATAGTGAATAATTCCTAATCATTATAAGCATGACCGCTAGGTCTGTAACATACTTAGGACCTTTGTTTTATCAATTCTACCTTGTTTTCCACCATACCTACCCTTTTCAAATTCTGTAGCATTTTTATAAAAGGTAGGAAAACATAAGTTTATAAGTAATGCTCTTGGTGAAAAATTCTAAGAATTTTGGTAATGCATAAGGCTAAACAAATTAGCTGGCATAATTCTAGATTATTAGTTTTTAATTTTACTTTAACTTCTAGGATACATGTGCAGAATGTGCAGGTTTGGTTACATAGGTAAACATGTACCATGGTGATTTGCTGCATCTATCAACTCATCACTTACCTATTAAGCCCAGCACGCATTAGCTATTTATCCTGATGCTCTCCCTCCCCATGCCCCTCTGACAGGCCCCAGTGTGTTTTGTTCCCCTCCCTGTGTCCATGTGTTCTCATTGCTCAGCTCCCACTTATAAGTGAGAACATGTGGTGTTTGGTTTTCTGTTTCTGTGTTAGTTTGCTGAGGATAATGACTTCCAGCTCCACCCAAGTCCCTGAAAAGGACATGATCTCATTCCTTCTTATGGCTGCATAGTATTCCATGATGCATATGTACCACATTTTCTTTATCCAGTCTATCATTGATGGGCATTTGGGTTAACTCCATGTCTTTGCTGTTGTGAATTTCACTCACTTTTTAATTGTACCTTTTTGGTGTGTGTACCTAGCAGTGTCTTCATTTTTTAAATATAGAAACTGAGGCACAGAAAAAACTAAGTAAGTTGCCTAAAGTTACATAAGAGAGTTTCTTAAGTAACTTTAGAACAAGAGCAAGAAACAGTAAGGTCAGGATTAGAAAGCTCATGTTCTTTGTATACTACAACACAGTTTCTTCTTTCAGGATTAGGTTGAGGGCTTTATTTTAATAAAAATATAACTGCAAACTTCAATAAGTTCTCTATTATAAGAAGCTGATGCCCTTCTTAGAATATAGCATTGTTTAGATGCCATGGTGTTTTGCTGCACCTATGAACCTGTCATCTAGGTTTTAAGCCCTGCATGCATTAGGTATTCATCCTAATGTTCTCCCTCCCCTTGATCCTACCCCACAACAGGCCCTGGTGTGTGATGTTCCCCTCCCTGTGTCCGTATGTTCTTATTGTTCAACTCCCACTTATAAATGAGAACATGTGGTATTTGGTTTTCTGTTCCTGTGTTAGTTTGCTAAGAATTATGGTTTCCAGCTTCATCCATGTCCCTGCAAAGGACACGAACTCATTCTTTTTTTATGGCTGCATAGTATTCCATGGTATATATGTGCCATATTTTCTTTATCCAGTCTATCACTGATGGGCATTTGGGTTGGTTCCAAGTCTTTGCTATTGTAAATAGTGCTGCAATAAACATATATGTGCATGTGTCTCTATAATAGAATGATTTACAATCCTTTGGGTATATACCCAGTAATGGGATTGCTGGGTCATATGGTATTTCTGGTTCTAGATCCTTGAGGCATAGCCACATTGTCTTCCACGATGGCTGAACTAATTTACACAGTGTAAAAGTGTTCCTATTTCTCCACAGCCTCGCCAGCATCTATTGTTTCCTGATTTTTTAAAGAGCACCATTTTTTTTTAACTGTGTAGAAGTTCTTTAGTTTAATTAGATCCCATTTTTCAATATTGGCTTTTGTTGCAATTGCTTTTGGTGTTTTAGTCATGAAGTCTTTGCCCATGCCTATGCCCTGAATGGTATTGCCTAGGTTTTCTTCTAGGATTTTTGTGGTTTTCGGTTTTACATTTAAGTCTTTAATCTAACTTATGTTTTGTATAAGGTGTAAGGAAGGGATCCAGTTTCTGTTTTCTGCATATGGCTAGCCAGTTTTCCCAGCACCATTTATTAAACAAGGAATCCTTTCCCCATTGCTTGTTTTTGTCAGATTTGTCAAAGATCAGGTTGTTGTAGATGTGTGGTGTTATTTCTGAGGCTTCTGTTCTGTTGCATTGGTCTATATATCTTTTTGGTACCAGCACCATGCTGTTTTGGTTACTGTAGCCTTGTAGTATAGTTTGAAGTCAGGTAACATGATGCCTCCAACTTTGTTCTTTTTGCTTAGGATTATCTTGGCTATATGGGCTTTTTTGGTTTCATATGAAATTTTAAGCAGTTTTTTCTAATTCTGCCAAGAAAGTCAATGGTTGCTTAATAGGAATAGCATTGAATCTATAAAATACTTTGAGCAGTATGGCCATTTTCACGATATTGATTCTTCCTATTCATGAGTATAGAATTTTTTCCATTTATTGTGTCCTTTCTTATTTCCTTGAATAGTGGTTTGTAGTTCTCCTTGAAGAGGTCCTTCATGTCCCTTGTAAGCTGTATTCCTAGGTATTTCACTCTGTTTATAGCAATTGTGAATGGGAGTTCACTCATGATTTGGCTCTCTGCTTGTATGTATTAATTTATTTTGAGCAGAAAAATAAAATGATTCACACTGAAATAAAGATTATTCTGGCAAACATATGCAGTGGTTTAAGAAGACATGTTTTTGTCAATTCCCCATTAAGCCTTTTGGTTTCTAAACCAAAGCTATGGCTAACATAAATAACAGTTAATATTTATTTATTACTTACTCTGTGTCAGGTGCTATGCCATGGCAAAGCTGTTGTCATCCTGGGTTCTTGAATGATTACGTGGCACAGAGCCTGCCTACTACCTTGTTATATGAACAAGAAATAAACTTCTATTTTATTTCAGCCATTAAATTTTTGCATCTATTCATTACAGCAGTTTGGAATACCCTAACAAAGACAAGTACGCATCATTTATTATTCCATTTGTTACAGGTATGGAAATGAAGACTTGGGATACCTGTTCAATGTTTCACAACTAGTAAGTGGTAGAATTGAGATGGAGTTGACATTGTCTAAGTCTAGAGCAATTGTTCTTAACCACCAGATCACAATGCCCCCAAGTTATAAGGCTCCATGAAGTGTTCAAGTTCTTGTGTAATATATATGGCTCTACATTATTTAATCCTAAATTCGTAAATTTAATTCCTCAGCATTTTAATGTTCCTGTACCTTTGCCTTTAGTATTTCCACCTTGGAATGCCCTGTCATTGAAATCCTTTCAGTTTCCCAAGGATCTGCTCATTTGTTACTGCCTTAATGACTGACCTGACCCTCTAGCTCAAATAATCTCATCCTCCCATAGTTTACTTTTTAACTATCTTAGACTACATGATAATCTGTCTTGCTCAATGATTTACTTCAAATTATCATCTCCTTATTTAATTTTGAAGGCTTTTTTTTCGCCTTGTGAAAGGTGCTCCTGTGTTCTCTCCATAACAATTTGTCCTTCTTTTTTAATCCAGATGTACAATTTTGTTCAAGGGGCAAAGTGTCCAGCCCCAGATGAGGAAAGATAGTAAAGGCATGATTGTCTTTTAAATCTGTTACACTTATCCTTTGCCCCATTTTCAGATACTTTCCCATCTTTCCTGCACCTAAGAGTTGCCCAGTGACAGGGTCTAACTAACAAAAAATAAGGGATAATCTGCTAAGAAAGCAGAATTTTTTCTTCAGGGAAGATACTCCTTCTGATATGAGACAGACAGGGAAAGAAAAAAAAGAGAGAGAAATCAAAGAAGAAAATCTGCTTCCTCCTTCCTGATTTGGGGCAGACAAATGAGGATTTGATATTTATAGCTATAGAAGTCTTCTGAAAACCTTAAGATGGCCAGGCTAAAGACAAAAATCCATGATTCTGGGAAAAGTAGTACAGATATATGAAAAGAGCCTAATCTTTTATATAATCCATGAGCTCCTATGTCAATTTTTAGACTGCCTATCTACCCTTATTATGTGAAATAACTGAATATCTTTACGAGCTAATCTTAGCCATGTTTTAAAGCTAAAATCATTCCTGATACAGAATCACACCTGAAACAGCACCTGATTATGGTCACCAGGACTATTCACAAGTATTCCACATCCCCTCCTTCCACATTCATATTCAAATTACCACTTCCTCACCCACTTTGCAGTTAGGCACATGGCCATGTGACTTGTATTAGTTGGCAATACATGAGCAGACGTGTTGTGGGACACCTCTGGGTGGAAGCTTTAAGAGCATATACAATTCACAGTAAGTATCCCTTCTCCTGGCATAGTCATCATGGTGCATATGTACAAAATCAAGTCTCAGCCTGGGTTCTCTAAGAACTATGACGTGCAGAGCTCCCAGATTGACACATGTTAGACATGTAGATAAGCAGCGAATGAGCCCTTGGTTTATTAAGCCACTGGGATTTTGTGGTTGTTTTATGTGTAGCATAATTGAGCCTATATTTACTTATCCTGACAGAATCAATAGTCACAGGCTGATGACACATACTTTCTTTCTCCACGATCTGCTACATCGATTCCACCAAAACATAGTAAGTTTGAGAAGTGTTGAAACAAAGGAACGATAACCACAGTTTAAAAACAAAATTATTTAGAAGAATATTTTTGTGCATGTGAAGATGTATTGTTAGCAGAAACTCCATTTCTACTATAAAAAACGTAGAGAACTAATACTTATTAAATGCCTATTAGCCACGAGACAATAAAATATAAAAGATAAAATACCATAATGAATAATGTTACCAACACAGAAAACAATGGTAGTTTCATTTAAATAAATCTTTAAACAAGATATTTTAAAAGAAAATGTATGTGTAAGTTCCCAGAAATATTATGAAATGCTAAGTATTGTTTAGCAAAGAATAGTTGTCTTTCTTATCATTGTGGAATGCTGCCAATCAAGGTTTTAGCCTTGATATAATTAGCTATAGTACTAGCAAAAGTTAAACCAAAAAAAAAAAGCCTTATGTTATAATAATCGCTGACCCCAAAGAATTTAAATTTAGAATTTAACACTGTAAAAAAAGACTAACTTTCAAAATCAAAAGCTCTAATTTTAGGCTAAACTGTATTAGCTTGTATATGCATCACAAAAGCCTTTGGAATTTTATTAGGACAACATTGTTGGAATTAAATAACACCAATTTTTAAATAAACCAATATAAAACATTACCACCCAGTTGTGGTGGTTAATTTATCTGTTCACTTGGCTAGGCAATAGTACTCAGACCAGTTTAGATGTAGCTGGGAAGGTATTTTTAAAATGTGATTCCATTTAAGTCAGTAGACTTGGAGATTATCCTACATAATGTGGGTAGGCCTCATCCAAACAGTTGAAGGCCTTAAGAGAAAAAGACTGAAGTCCTCCCAGGGGAAAAAGGGATTCTGTCTCCAGATTACCTTTAGCCTGGAGACCAACATCAATAGGTCACCAAACTGCCAACGTGCACTACAGATTTTTTACTTTCCAGCCCCCATAATCATGTAAACCAATTAAAATTAATCAATTAGTATCATTATTTCTCTGTGTGTGTATATATATATATATTCAGAAATATATACACACATAATGAATATATATTCACACAATCAATTAATATCTCTATATACAAATACACACACACATACATAAATTTTATTGGTTGTATGTATTGGTTCTGTTTCTCTGGCGATTCCTGACCAATATACCCGTTATTTTAAATTGTTCATCACATGACCTCAAAAGTCCTAGGGGTTAGAAATTATGTCAGCCAAAATTAGGAGCTATGTAACATAGAAATTTAGTAACATGTATAGCTTACAGAGTGTAAATTAGCTCTATTTCTGAAATACCAGTGTTACAACGGTGTCAGGTTTTAAGGTTTATAGACATATAAAGACATCCACAACCAGAATTCTTCAGCATGCATAACATCTTTCACTAGTCTCCTAGATCATACTACCAAATTTGATGACTAAGGGATCACTTACAAATCTGTTACGGGTAATTTATAAGCACTAAACCAAAAGTTGAAAGAAATGAATAAACAGACATCATGATATATTAAAGCCTGCACATTCTCTTCACAGCAGAGAAAGCATCAAACTGAAATGATCACTGTTATACAATAGATTAACTTCTGGAATGACATTGCTAAAATATTTTATTTTTAATATTACTATCATTTAGAAATCACACTGTTATGTGCCTGGACAAATAAAAGGCATTCTTCCAGGATCAGTGACAGTGATAGGAGAGACAAATTTTAATAGAAATGCAAGTTCATTTCTATTAATTGACTAATCATTTCTTCTGATACTCTGTAGACTAGTTCCAGTATAAACATCACTTTTGTAAGTTTAGTTATCTCTAGTGGAAAGAACAAAGGCTTTCAAATCAGGAGTCCTGAGTGTTTCTCTCTGCTCCAAGTATTTAGACCACATAAGACCATGGGACCATGTAAGATCACGGGACCACGTAAGACCACTGCACTTCTCTGTTTCTCAATTTCTTCACCTCAGAAATAAGAGAAGTATTTTTCCTTAAAGTACTAGATTAATTAGTTAATATGCAAGAAAGCAGAACCCATGAAAGATACAGATACTGAGCAGAGTGTTGAATAAAATCCCAGGATGACATCAATTATAGAAAAGTATCAAGTATTAATAAGTATCAAATACTGTACTTCTGTTTCTTTAAGTATTGTATTTTTCACACAACGTTTAAACTTGTTTTAGAGGCAATAAACAGAAATTATAATAGAAAACAGTCAGGCTGGGCACAGTAGCTCACGCCTGTAATCCCAGCATTTTGGGAGGCTGAGGTGGGCGGATTACTTGAGATCAGGAGTTCAAGACCAGGCTGGCCAACATGGTAAAACCCCGTCTCTACAAAAATTAGCCAGGAGTTGTAGGGCACACCTGTAATCTCAGCTGCTCAGAAGGCTGAGGCAGGAGAATCGCTTAAACTCGGGAGGCAGAGGTTGCAGTGAGCTGAGATCGTGCCACTGCACTCCAACCTGGGAGACGGAGCAAAACTCCATCTCACTCCATCTCAAAAAAAAAAAAAAAAACACATAGTCAAGTCATGTCATAAAGAAAATAGCTTTGAATGAAAATAGTTTTGAATCTCTTGGTACAAAGTAAAGGTGAACTATATGAGACTTAGTAACTGTGATTTGAGAAATTATTGAATTGTCGAAACAATTATTTTTCTAGTTGAAATTGACAACACATACTAAGGTGTCCATGTTATAAAAAAGATATGTGGGGAAATATCAGAGCAAAAGAAAGATACCCTATGAATAAAGAAGCTCATGCTCTCCTAGAACAACTAAGAAAACTATTGAGCTTCAGAATAGACGCTATGGAAATCAGAAATGTTCTGGTCTTTATTGGTTACTTATGCATGCCCTACGGAGGAGGATATTTGTGCTTCAACAATAGACTTCATCTGGGTACCATCTTTGATTCAATATTACTTAGAAAATATAGCCAAATAACTGGAATATAATTTAGAAAATTACCACAGAAAATGTCAACACACTGGGTAATATAGATAATAGTTAAAGAAGCGGAGAAAAATACATGCAAGCTCTAATTGTGCCTCGAAGTATACCAATAACACAACCATTGAGTCATCTGTTTATCTTATGGTTCATCAGCAACCTATACTGACAAGGATATCTGAAAATTTGATGCATTTCAGAGAGAATGGCAGAAGGAATTAAGGCACAAGGTAAAATATGCCTTGCTAAGCAGGAAACTGTTAATTAACAAGGCAAGCAAAAAAGGCAGTTAGTAAAAGAATGGAGACTCCGAGACATGGGTGAGAGCTTTACCAAATAAGACTCCAAAAAGAACAGATGTTTTTGCTTCAAGTCTGTTCATAAATACAGACAAGAAAATGAGGATGTTTGCTCTGAACATTTTACAGAGATAGGTTCAGATCATGGGAGTTAATTGTCCTTCACACCCATGAGCCCCAACCATTTTAAAAACACTAAGTGAGAAATACCAACTTAGAAGACAATGCAGCGTCAATGATAATAGCTTATGTTTGTTAAGAATGTATTATATACCAGGCACTCTGCAAAGCACTTCACATGCATTCTTTCAGTGAATTCTTAGCAATCTGGTATGTACATCTTGTTATTATCTCTCCTCACAGGATTAGATTCTGAGGGTAGTAAAGATCTCACAGCAAATTAGTGGTAGACATAGGACTCCACTGGTAATTTTTTATTTTTTGTTTTTTTAATTCCAAATTCTGTATTCTTAGCACTATGTAATCACTATATCATCTCTTGACACAGAAATTACACAATGGGCATAATGACATAAAGAGAGCTTTAATATTCTTTCTTCTTTTTGTTGATGAAAACCTATCTTACAGTAAAGCAGGATGATGACATTTCTCTTACACCATTCAATAACTGCCTGGCAAACAATAGCCTAGGACATTATGTTCAATTAGTTCATGTCAATCACATGCACATTGTCATCCTCCTTACAAATTTGAGATGTCTTCATCAAACCATTTTGTAAATCACAGGCTAATTTGCATAAATCTGAGAGAACTAACTAGTACATTGACTACATGCATACACACAAACTACAAATACATATGCATATACACATATTGGTGTTTGCCTATTGTAATGGAACTGTTTCTTCCTAACCACTACTTTTCACACAGGCAGATAGAGGCCTACTTCTCTCCATTGCTCCTGTCAGTGATGATGCCTGAATGCCTTGTTCTATACCTAAATTATTATTAAAAAGCACAGATACCAACACTGTGAACTCCAGTTAAAAGGTTATAGAGCTCCACTCTCTCACCCTGCCATAATCATTATATTGTAGAGTATATTAGACATTAAGAAAGCCTCCTGCAAAAATCAATTCCCAGTTGTCAAAGCCTGCCTTTCGAGAAAATTTATAAGCAAAATCTAAGCCCTAGTAATAACTCACTAAAGCAAAAAGCCAACTTCCCAGTACAGATAAGATCACATAGAAGGAGAACAAAGAACCCCAGCTGTAGCAAGACCAATCTCAGTCACAACAACTCAAGGCCAATCTCTTAGTCACAACAACTAAGGGTTATGATGCAAAGAGAAACAGGAAACTACTTAAATATCTTTGATAATTTGTTATACAGATAAATATGCACAGTAATCTCGGTACTGTTCTTATTACACACAGTAGTTCCAGTCATTTTCAACAAATCCTATTGTTGTCCATAGCAAGTTCATAGGTAAAGAATATTGTCTCAGGGTGTTGAATCAGGGAGAAACTACTTCTCTGTTACAGACTAGGCAAAACTTTTTATACCACATGTCTTGCAAAAGGCAGTAGTCACCTGTGAGATACAAATATATGTCAAGTGTTTTTAACCTGAATATCAGAAACTTTTTTTTAAAATCTCTAAACCTCTTGAAATTACTGTACATGCAAAATTCATGTGTATATTAATTTTTCTGTAAAGAAATTTTTGGCTTTCATCAGTTTCTCAAAAGTATCTATGACATCAGAAATGGATAAGGACTACTATAGTATTATATGTAAGGAAAACATGCATATACCACTTTAAAAGATAACATTGTAAAGCAAAGATCCTCTCACCTGTCATCTGGGGTAAAGAAAAAATAATGGCAAAACAAGTATTCATTGGGGGAGAAAGCAAAAAATACAAATAAAAAAGTAATACTCCAGGAATAATAGTCATAGAGAAATGATTCTTTCACTTCTCTACAATGTCTAAAGCCCAAATTATATTATTCTCAGATTTTCTCGATGCTATTTAAAGGGAAATAATTCACCTAAAATTTGGAGACAATAAACAAGCAGCAATGATGGGTGTGGGTTTGTTGCAACTTGTTTTTATTTAAAAATGTATTATGAATATCTTTTTCTTTCAGCATAAAGGTAAACAGATTGTCATCTCTTAATTTTTATGGAAAGATAAAGAAGCAATAGCTGATTAAAGCACACATATAATAGAAAGGTCAAAGAATAAAGATCTATGGGCTCACTCCAAAATTCAAAAAAATAAAATAAATAAAACAGAGATAAAGGAAGAAAAAAAAGAACTGAGAGAAGGTTAGGCATTTACATTGCAGAGCTAATCTAAATATAATTAGGCCTAACTCAGCCTTTCTCCCAGAGTTCATAAACCTACACAAAGAAGCTCTCTGTGGAGCAATATAGCCAAATGTGTCTTCCTTTAATGATCCATTTAAATGGCCAGTCTTGTCCTACCTGCTCTCAATTTTTCTGTTTATGCCGTCTACTGCTTTTTTTTTAAAGTACTTGACTATTTGCCTGTGTCTAAGCTGTTTATTAGTGCAACTTGAAACCAAAGCAAAAAGAACCTTTACTATAATGTCTATTCTGTCCATTTCGGCCCAGTTACACCTAATTTCCCATTTTATTTAACTATGGACAGTTACATGAAACTCACATAACTCCGTGACTCAACTCAGAGAGAAAAACTAGAAATGTAAGAAAATGCCATTTTAAAAATGTTTAACTAGAAAATCGAGTCTTATTAATGATGAGATTTTTAAAAAATTAATGAATCATTGCATAAAGAAAAAAATCTAAACTTCCAAGTCAGGCAGATTCAGGTTTAAATCCCAGCCTCAGACTTAGGGTTTCAACGTTCACATGAAAGAGCTTAGGAAATGTCATTCTCATCCTTACAAAAAGAAATAAACAGCAACAACAACAAAAGAATGAATTGAAAATAAATGATTTTCCTTGGATTCAGAGAACTGAGGTCTCAGGGCAAACTTGAAATTTAGAGAGGCAGATAAGATCTGCTTACCTGGAGGAGAAACTGCTACAGCCATTTACTGTAGAATATTTAAAATGATCACTTTGATGAATTAGTAGAGGCTGAATGCAGACAATCTTGAAAGTGAGAAAGTACTGGGGCCGAAAGTGTTCAGAGGGATCCCACATATTCATGGGTTTAACCTCCAGGGACCTCACAAAGTTTTCATGGTGAAAAGTCAAGAAAGATGTTCTTGTAGCTCTTGCAGGGGAAGGAAATGTAATCATTGTGAAATAAGCTCTAAAGATTCTTCATAATATAGGCCTGTTCTCCAGAAAAAAAGACTTTACCAGAGCTACGGGAAGGGCATTTCTCCCATTTTAGCCCCCTCCAACCCTCCTGTCTAGTCTAAGGGAGAAACAATCTAGCCTAATAGAAACAATTGAAGGTCACAGTTCAGAAACAAGTCCACCAAAATTATAAGATAACAGAGCATTTTTTCTTCTCTATGCCTTGCCACCATCCAAGTCTCAAGTAGACTATAGCTGAAAGAGCTGCAAGACAACTGTTTGAGGAGGGAAACTTAGAGAAACTCAAAGCCAAAAAAAGAAAAAAAAGACACTAAAAGCTAACACAGAAAACATTTGAAAAAGCAGATTAACATAAAACTTTACACTAAAGCCCTATTTACCTCAGTTATTATTACCCAATACAACATTCTGGTTTTCAACAACAAAATAGAAGATATTCAAAAAGGCAAAAAGCATAGTTTGAAGAGACAAAGCAGATATCAAAACTAGATTCAGATATGACATAGACATTGGAATTATTAGACAGAAAATAAAAAATAACTATGATTAATAAGGTAAGAACTCTAATGGAAAAAGTAGACAACATTCAAGAACAAATGGGTAGTATAAGCAGAGAGATTGAAATTCTGAGAAATAATTAAAAGACAACGATAAAATTAAAAAACACCATAACAGAAATGAAAAATGTCTTTGATGGAGACATTAGTAGACTGGGCACACTGGAGAAAAGAATTAGTGAGCCTGAAGATATATCACTAGAGGCTTCCAAAGCTAACATGCAAAGAGAGAAAAGAATGTGGAAAATAATAAAATGATAACATCCAGAAACTGTTGTGGAAAATTTTTTAAATGTGTAACATAAGTGATATTGGACTATGAGACAGAATATAAAAATAGAGCAGAAAATTAAAATAATGATTGCTGAAACAATTTTAAATTTAACGACAGACACCAAACTACAAATTCAGAACATTTAAACATCTAGCAGAATAACAAAAACAATGAAATTAAATCTAGACATATTAAATTTAAACTGGAGAAGGCTGGGCACAGTGGCTCAAGCCTGTAATCCCAACACTATGGGAGGCCAAGGCAGGCGGATCACCTGAGGTTAGGAGTACGAGACCAGCCTGGCCAACAGAGTGAAACCCCATCTCTACTAAAAATACAAAAATTAGCCAGGCATGGTGGCGCATGCCTGTAATCCCAGCTACTTGGGAGGCTGAGGCAGGAGAATCGCCTGAACCCAGAAGGCAGAGGTTGCAGTGAGCCAAAATCGTGCCATTGCACTCCAGCCTGGGTGACAAGAGCAAAACTTCGTCTAAAAAAAATAAATAAATAAATAAAAAATAAAAAGAGCAAAAAACTGCAGAAAACCAAAGACAAAAAGAAAATCAGAGATAAAAAATAACGTCCTAGTGGTAAAGAAATGAGGATACAAATTACAATTGATTTTTCATTTTCTATCAGAAACTGCAAAAAAAAGTGGTAGAAAAAAAATATTTAAAGTGTTCTTAAAGAAAACACCAGTCTAGAATTCTATAACCAGTAAAATTATCCTTAAGTAGATAAGCAAAAATAAGTACTTCCTCATGCAAACAAAAACAGAGAACTCATTACCATAAGACTTACTCTACAAGAAATGTTAAATGAAGTTCTTCAAGGAAAAGAAAACTCTTCAAGGAGAAGGAAAATTATGTATGTCATAATTTCAAATCTACACAAAAAGAAAGTCTGTCAGAGAAGGAATAAATTAAAAAAATATTCTTACTCTAAATTCATCTACAAGAAGACTTTGTTTAAAATAATAACAGTAAGGTATTGGGTGATTATAGCCTATGAATAAGTAAAATAAATGACAGAAGTGTCATAAGGAAAGGGAGGGAGAAATAGGAAATACTTTATAATAAAGAATCTTACATAAGAAGTAGTATAGTGTTATTTATAGGAAGACTTAGATCAGTTAAAAATGTATACTGACAGTCAACAGTAATTTATTGTACATTTTACAATAACTAAAAGAGTATAATTGGATTATTTGTAAAGGATAAATGCTTGAGGTGATGGATACCCCATTTACCTTAATGTGATTATTATGCATTGCATGCCTGTATCAAAATATCTTATATACCCCATAAATATATATGTATACTATTGTACTATTTACACACAAATACTAAAATTTAAAATAAAAAAGTATACTGAAACTCTAGAGAAACCACTAGCTTTTTTTTTTTTAAGAACTATAATTTCTATGCAAAGAGAGAGAACCAAATGGAAGCATACAAAATAGTCAACTAAAACTACAGAAGACAAAGTGTGGAAAGAAGGAAGAAAAAATAAATGTAATGAATAAAAGACAGACATGGTAGATATTAACCCAACTATATTAATAAGTTTTTAATGGGAGTGGGGTAAATGTACCAATTAAAACACAGAGATCAGAGTAAATAAACTATATACTGTCTATTTACTATTTACAAGAAACTATACTCTATACTGTCTATAATAAGCCTACTTTAAATATAAAAACAGATAGACAAAAATTAAAGGGATGGACAAAACTATACCCTGATAACACTAAGCAAAAGAAAGTTGGAGAACTACATTAATTTCAGACAAAACCAACCTCAGAACAATAAAAAGTATTCAGGATAAAGAGAGTCATTACATAATGATAAAGGAATCAATTCTCCAAAAATACATAACAATAATTAACATATATGCACCAAAAAACTAAGCATCAAAATACAGGGGGCAAAAACTTATAGAACTTAAAGTAGAAACAGACAAATTCACTATTATAATTGGAGATTCAACACCCTTCTTTTCCTACTTAACAAATTAAGCAGTCAGAAAATCAGTAAAGGTAAAGTTGACCTGAAGAGCATGATCAGTTAACTTGAACTACTTGACATTTATATAACACTCCATCCAACAACAGCAAAAACACATTCTTCTCAAGCTTGGAAAAAACCCACCCTGATAGACCAAATTACAGGCTGTAAAATACACACGAACAAATTTAAAACAATAGAAATCATACCAAGTATATTCTCAGACCACAATGGAAATAGAAACCAAGAGCAGAAAGAAAACAAGTAAATTCCAAAATATTTGAAAACTAGGTAACACACTTCTAAGTATCATATAAATTACCAATAAATCTCAAGATGAATTTTTGAAATATTTTTAACCCAATGAAAATAAAAATACAACCAGTTAAAATTATAAGACAAAGTGAAAGTAGAGCTTAGAGAGAAATTTATGGCTATATATGTACATATATATGAACAAAAATCAATCATCTAAATATGTACCTTAACAAACTAGATGAAAAAGAGCAGTTCAGCCTAAAACAAGCAGAAGGAAATAAATAATAATTCATGCAGAAATAAATTAAATGAAAAATAGAAATACAATAGAGAAAAATCAATAAAACCAAAAGCGGTTTCTTTGAAAAGATAAATTCCAGGCTCACCATTTCACAAAATGTAAATTACAGTAAACAACATCCCTTCTATGTTTACACATTTTTTTTTTTGTTAGTAAAAGTGAGACAGTGATGCCTATTTTATAGATGATTATGAAAAGGCAATTGACATGGTATCTGGTACTAAGAGTTCAATAAATATTACATAGGAATTATTAATTTTATATCTCTCATACTAAGAGGGATACCAAAGGGCATATGTAAGACAAAGAAATGAAATAGAGAGAAAAGGGAAAGAAAAGAGAGTTACTGTAGATTTGAAAACACATTAGAAGCAAGTTGAACCTTCCAAAACTAAGCAGTGCCAATAGTGTTACTATTACCTTCTTAATAAAAAGTTTTCCTAATTGAATTTCATCCCACAATAAATTCTGGATAAGTAGCATGAATTAACACACAGGCTGAAGCTGAAACTAAGCTTCTTTCTCTTCCCATTTTCTCCATTCAATCCTCACCACCTCCAAAATTCTCACCTATTATCCTCTAGATTACAGTCAGGTTCCTACTTGGGCCTCTGGTTGGAAATAAGATTGTAGTTTTCAAGTACATGACGTGAGTTATTTAATCTCTTTTTTTTTTTTTTTTTTTTTTTGCATTGGATAAGGAAACCAGTGCTTGAATTACAGAATGCTGTTATCATCAAGAAAGTGTATGTATTTTCTAAATATTATAATTGTGAGGTTGTGCTCTGATAGCTTGCTATTGACACATTTTATTTTGGAAAATTGGAAGTATGAATTAATACAATTTTGGGTGTCCTTTGTTATCTCTACCATTTCTGGGGAAAACGACTCAGATCATATTTGCTGGCAGAAACCAGAAAGTAACCAGGCATCTGTGTAGGATTCTTATGGCTGAAAATGAGTATAAGAAAATAAGGAATGCATGATATCTGGATTTTAAAATTTCTTCAAAAGAGAAGATATTTTATGCTGTAAATTAACATATCTTTGGTAATTGAAGAAAATTTTTTGATTTGCATTTTAATTTCCATTATGGAAATTAATAAGAGGGTATTTATTTTGTGACTGTGTATTTTAAAACAATACTATACAATACTTTTTGCATACTGTCTCTGACGATCTGGATTGGCTAATATAATCTGCCATAGCTTGAAATGAGAAATAAAATACTGAGTGAATCTTCAGCATAACCCATGACATTTTTCTAGTTAAAATTAGTTATTATGAGCAAGTAATCCAAGCTTTTGCGGGCAATATCTAAACTGTTCATTCTATTGGCACTATTTGGTAGGTTGTGGCTATGACCCGGCTAGCTTCACTGAAAGCTCAAATACACCGAATGACACAGCAAGTAATAATTATGGATACATGTAACTGTGTCACCGCAATATATTCCTTCTATAGTGATGAGGTATAGCCTTGAGGGTCAACATAACTTCACCACACATAGTACAAAGGCAGTGAATCTACACCGTTGAGTTTCTCTGAATTGGTGGATTCCTTACTCCATTAAGAGCTGCCGTGAGAATTAGAGAATGAGCTGAATGCTATATTTTATTATCTGAATACATGAGCCAATTCTTTTCCATGATAATAGGTGGCAACATACATCTACATCTTCTGAGCCACCTTTCCCAAGTAGTTGTATCCTAAAAAATACTCTAAGAACTGTAATTTCATGAATTTCTATCATGTTCTGTGTCCCAAAGATTAGATGAGTGTCTAATGAACTTATGCTTTACCTTGGAAATCAAGTTATCATATTTATGTTACATTTGTAAATTTTGTTAGTTGATAAGACAGCAACAAATAACCAGTGCATTTCATGTGTCTTTGACTATTTTAACAAAATAAGGTACAGGAATTAACCTATACACTGTTAATGCTTTGGCAATTTTGAGGATTCATTCAAAATTTTTCTTTTCCAAGTAACTAGTAGTTTTAACATGAGTTATACAAATAGTTTATTCAAATAATTTTAAATCTGATTTGATGTAAATTAGAAAAATTAAGTATTGATCAGGTAAAAATATATTAAATTTAAATAGCAATTATAATCCCAAAGAACTAAAATAACAGAAAAGAGTGTTTATGACAGAAGATTATACGAATATTATGTTTTATCTGGGAAAAGAGACCATTCTTCAGGTAAATTAATAATAATTATTACCTACATGATAGATTATGTAAGATGTTGGCCAGCTGTTTCTCATTTCCACTGAGTACTGACTAGGAGAAAATATGTTTTAAAACTCAGCAGAATTTAAAAAAAAAACTGAAGAAATATTTTGGGAAACTCTTTTTATGGTAAAGAGTGATTATTAACATTGAAAAGTATAACTATAAGCTCGATTAAGGTTTCTTTCTTAAGGGATGCGTTACATATCAGGATACAGACTAAGTATAATACTCAAACACTTGATGGCCAGTAAAGTACTTATCCTCTAATGTGAAAGTTTTTCCTATAAGACTAAATGTGTTGTAGTTAAAAATGAAAAATAATCTGACTGAATTTAATTATCAACTTTTGCAGATGTGTTATTCTCCTTGAGTGTTTCATTGTTGCTATCACATTGCATATGTTTGATTCTACTTGCTATTTTGGTAAATAAGTGGGGGGAAATAGCTTACAATGTCACACAGAGCCCTACATTGTCTACCTGCTGGCCCATGTTACCTTCATAACCTCCTATTAGTCTTCCTCTTCCTTAGTCCTCTCCAGTCATAGTGACGTATTTACTATTCCTTCTGCCTGGAACTCTCTTTCCCATATATTTGCATGGCTAAACCCCTTATTTCTTTCAGGAATTTGCTGAATTTACGTTCTCATGAGATGATCCCTGGTAACTCTATCTAACACTAAAATCTGTTCCCTCTATCACCATTAGCCAGGACACTCTCAATTCTCCTTTCTCTGTATTTTTTTTTTCTTATAACACTTGTCATCTTCCAATATATTATATAATATTTTTATTATGTTTACCATGTACTGTCTCATTTCTTCCCACTAAAATGTAGTCCCCATATACTTAGGAAACTTTGTTTCGTTCATTGAGTTACAGGTATACAAAATGTCTAAAACAGTGTTTGGTACTAAGTGCACATCCATTGAATAATGAGTAAATTGGTGAATAAAAAAGATAGATTCATCTGAGTGTTTGCCCAAATTGAGTCAGTGAATACCTGATTATACATAATTCCAAAATGTCTTATCTGCTGTTAACCCATGAGGATTCTGTAGTTCAAGTGCAATGAATTGTAGGCACAAGAAATAGATGGAGATATACACATATACAAACATAAAAAGTAGATGTCCTGGGATCAAAAGATAATGGCAGTAACTGCCTATATAGATTTTATAAAGAGTTGCAACCCCAAACAAATACCTTAAAATTTTATGTCAGCCTTCATATAATTATATTTGCTGCATTCCTACCATTAATCTTATCTCAAATATTGTGATAGCTAATTGGCAAGTAAAATGAGGATACTATTTTAAAACTTGGAACTTTTGATTCAAAGAAAAAAATTGCAAGTTTGTCACATAAGAACGATGCTAAATTGAGTTAACCTACTCATCCCGTGCTTGCCTTCTGTAACTTTCTTTAAGCCATGACATTTACTGATTTTTTTTCTAAATCAAGAAATAAGGTAGGTGCTTTACATTAATTACTTCTGGTCCTCTAGTAATTATTGTAAAATAGGTATTGGTGTACTATTTTTCAGGAAAGACAAAGATTTAAAGAGGTTAAATTCTGCAAATACACAGCTAAAATGTAAAAGAGCCTGGTTTCAAGCCAAGATGGTCTGGCTTTAAGACCCATGGTCTTTCTACTAAGGAAGCGCCTCCCTTACTTATGGTTGTTTCTGTCCCTTTCCCTAGAAGGTGGCATTGTTACAGGTCATCAATTCAGCCAGTATTCTGGCTCCATGGCAGCCACCATGAGAGCGAAGCCAGGGATGTGGAGAAGAAATTTGCAAACTCTCAGACCCTTTTGCCTATAAAACATCATGGCTTTTTGCAAGACTTCAGATCATCAAATCAGTTCCTTCTTTACTCTTCTCCTCTGCACTCTACACTCTACTTTTTAGGCAGAATGTTTAGTGCTACAAGCAAAAATAAAATAAAATAAAATTGAAGACCAAGCATGAGACCTATTCTCAGATATAGCTTGTGTTTTTTAGCCCTAGTTGGCAATTCTTCTGTTTATTTAATTTTGTTTCAAATTAACAATGTATGACCTCAATAAACAGAAAGTGACATTTCAAGACCATATAAAAACTGCCAGAACATTATACATAATCTCTATACAAAAAGTTTTTATATGAACTTTTTATGACTTTATTTTTTTTCCTTCTCTCCCCTTCACACACTACCTTCGCCTTTTCTGTACCTAAAAGCTGTAAATGTCACTCACTAGTGGAGCACAAGACTCAAGCAGTGAAATTCTCTTAAACAGAATTAATTATTCTTTCATTAAGCAATGAAGTAATCATTCATTCATGCTCACTTTCTAACCAGGAACGTCTGAAGCACAATAAAGAATAAAAGCCAATAGGTACTTGAATTTTGAGTAGAGTCTACCAGTTGAATCAGATACCATTTACTGACAAATAGCTATCTCATTTGCCAATGAATGAAGGTAATACTTGGCCTCTGCTTTCAAGGAGTCTATGGCTTATGAATTGTGGAATTTAAAGTCAACTATATATATAGTCACCATGCACTATATAGTTGTGTGATGATAGAGACGTCATTTCACCTATCCGTATCTATAAATATAATAATAGTGGTAATTACAAAATGATACTAGATATGTAATATATACCTTTCAATGTTTTAGAGTTGTAGCAAAGGATACATGAGATCGCAAATTGAAAACATGCAGCAGAGACATTTGTCATCATTCTAAACATCACATGCTCCCCACATTTCCCAGCGATGCTTGCAATTAGGCAGGACCATGTGAGTATTTCTTGCCAATGGCTTACCATAACTGTTATGAGTCACATTCAGACCAAACCATTTAAGAAGTGAAGGTTGACACTACTAGCATTTTCCCTTTGGTGAAAATGGATACTTTGTCTTTAGACATCAGAACAATGACATGGGTAACCCTAAATCACTGAGTCAATGCATTGGTAAAGGAATCATAATAAAGTCTTCGTGTGTTAGAAATAACCTCTCCTTTGCTGAGCTACTAAGAATTTCAGTTTGTTTGTCATGGCAACATAAGTATAGCCTTTCTTGAAAAACAGAAATATCCTGGTATAGTGAAATATTGTGGACACTCAATAATTTTTTGCTGAAAAAAAATTCCATGGACACTACATTCCACAAGACAGTATGACATTTGGTGTTAGATTGTGCAGTAAAAACCACAACTGGGAATTTATCTGGGACAGAGGAATGTGATCAATGTTGAATGGGATTTCATGAGGCAAAGTAGACAGGAGAGTTATTTATGCAGATAAGAAAAATTACCTTGGCAAAGGAAAGTGAGCTGGGATGAGCATGGTAAGTTTTTGGTAGTGAGATCTGCATGTCTTGAGCAGATATGGGAGCTGTAGAATGTTACAAAATTATGAGATAATGAACATGCTGAAAACTGGACAGAATTTAGATTTCATTCAAAGGCCAATAAAAAATTAGAAGAGATTATGAGTCAGTGATAAAAGTAGTGATTAAGGAAAATGTCTAGCTTTACCGTTTATAAAATATAAGTCAGAACAGTAGTTCTCAACTGTGGCTGTGCATTAGAATCACAAGCAATCCCATTACTGGGTATATACGCAAAGGAATATAAATCATTCTACCATAAAGATACATGCATGTATACATTCATCACAGCACTATTCACAACAGCAGAGATATGGAGTCAACCTAAATGCCCATCAACAGTAGACTGGATGAAGAAAACATGGTACATATACATGGAATATCATGGAATAATACACAGCCATAAAAACAAATGAGATCATGTCCTTTGCAGTAACATGGATGAAGATGGAGGCCATTATCCTAAGCGAACTAACATGGGGACAGAAAACCAAATACTGCATGTGCTCACTTATAAGTGCAAGCTAAAACATTGAATACACATGGACACAAACAAGGAAACAACAGACATGGGGGGGCTACTTGAGGGTGGAGGGTGTGAGGAGGGTGAGGATTTAAAAAAAAACTGTCAGGTACTATACTTTTTACCTGGTTCATGAAATAATCTGTACACCAAACCCCTAGGACACACAATTTACCTATATAACAAACCTGCACCTGTACCCGTGAATGCAAAATAAAGGTTAAAAAAAGAATCATATAGGAAACTACTAAATGACACCGAGGATTCTCCCCTTATTCCTGATTTAATGAATGAGTCTGGGGATCAATGTGCTTTCAAAGCTGAGCAAGTGCTTCTAATTATTCTAAATTGCAACAAGCATTGAGATACTGGGAAATCAGGGGATCTTGTCTTCTTGAAGGCCAGTTATAAGAATGATACAAGACACCCTTATAAGTATGATAATACCAAGATTTTGCTTATTTTACTCAGGGTTGAAGTGGGTGTCATAATGAGGAAGTAATAATCTGGATCTTTCTTTGCCATTTTTAATTCCCCCAACATTGGAGCAAGAACAAACTGCACTGGGGCCCTTCTATTCTTTTTTCCATTTATTTAAATCTTGCTCTGTAAATTCCAGGTTCTACAGCACAAGGTGAGAAGTTGAACCACACAAATTCCTCTCTCTATTCCATCTCAGCAGCCCAACATTCTAAGTCCTGGATCTAACCATCATATGAAACACTAAAAGATTAAATATTTTGTTTCATTTACTTGTTAAAGAGTTATCCAAACCTCTAAGTGGTTTGACCAGGCTTTCCGTCTCTGTTGCTTTAAATTTTTTAACTCTGTAACATACTAAAAATTAGTATGGTCCTATCACAAATATCACCTATTTGTGATGGGTATATGATTTGGAATAGGACCTAAGTTATAATGTGCCAATATAGTGATTTCTATCATTTATTATATAACTTCTTGTTCCCAACTCCTTTTCCCATACTCCCTACAGGCACCTCAAACACATTGAGGCTGAATGAGCCAAAAAAAAGAAAAAAGAAAAAAAAAAAGAACTCTAATCAGCTTTTTCAAAACATACAGACTTCAGCACAATGGAATATTTCCTCACCAGAGACTTTTATGAAGGTAGTGATCAATTTCTTAAAAGGCTAACAGACCTCCCTTTAGCTTTTTAACAAAATTATCCCAGTCATCAGAAGTTGTGCAGGCCAGAGACTCTAGCATGTTCAGCTTCATAATTTTGAATAAAATTTTTAAAAGATCTGAGTACCTCTTACATAATGACACTTATTTATTGGCCCCACGTAATATTATGTTTGTGTGTTTATTGAGGGTAGCTTTTTGTGTTACTCTTTGCACTTTGCAGGCTTTGAAAAACTCTCTGCCCCCATAGGAAGCCATTTTGATCTAAAGGAGTCATTCTCCAAAGAGCATGAAACTGTTGCAATATTTATGAAATCTAAAACCTCTACCCTTGATCGTTTTAATAAAGATCCCAGAGGAAGGTGTTGAGGCTAATAAAGAAGGGAGGAAGAAGGAAAAGCAACATATAAAAGAATCTAACAGCGTACTCTCAGCAGACTGCTAAAATGTAAACAGAGTGGTGATCAATGATAGACTGTTTCTAAATTAAAATCTTAAAATGCATATTAATGAATCTTTTTGAAAAAGCATGTTATATTGAGAATGGCACTTAGGCAAATAGAAACAACTTTTATTTTAGATTCCAGTTCTCATTCAGCTGAGTTTCCTGACTAGAGAATACTTGCCTAGTTAGTGCACAGAATTGTATGGTTCATTTTTAAAGTAATCTGGAAAGACGATTTTTAAAGAAATACCCCAAACATAAACAGGTCAAAATGTGGCTCTCAATTTATCCCTGAAGGGTCTCTTAGAAAGCCTCACAGATGCTCATTTTTATAAGGCCACCTGCCATACCGATGAAAAGGATGGGATCGCTGTGAATAGCAAGGGAAAAAAGCCAACCACCTGGAAATAAGCATGAAAAACTGAAAAGATTAGAATTCAGTATCTCGATTCTAGGAAACAACTGTGCAACAGAAAGCAAATTCATGAATCCAAGAAGAAACAAATTTAGAATTGGCCTAATTCAAATGGAATATTTTTCTATGATCAGTAGCATAGTAAAACCCCGTCTTTTTTTTTTTTAATCAAGTAAGTGTTTAGATGAGTGTGATGAAGCATAAATTAAAAGGCAAGAGGGTTTTAAGGGATGGGGCTGGCAAGTTGGTCAGTGGGGAGGTAATGCAGACTGTTGTCACACAGACTGGTGGCTTTCAGACTTTGTTAAAGCACTCAATTATCTCCCTGCATTCTACCCTCTTTCATCCATTTACCTAAAAGAAAGTGCTTTGTGGAACTAAAATATCCAAAATGATAAAAATAGAACTAGTCTGGTTAAGCAGGGAAGAACAGAGTAAGAATGCAGTGAGAGGACAGAAACCGCTTAAATTTCCCCTCCTAACCCCATCACCACCACAGGGACCCTGAGTTACTTCCAATAATCCTTAAGGCTTTCAGAGAGTCATTTTGAACACCACTTAAACAGACAATGGTAAATATTTGCACACTTTAAGCAAAAGATGAACATGTCCAGATTGTTATTTAGATGTCAAGCATCATTCTAAGAGAGGATGGGTTTGAGCTTGTGAGTTTGAGGGCAGGGAGTTTGGAGACTATTGCATTTGTCTGGAAAAAAGAAGGCTAGGTTTCCCAACTAAGATAAAAGTGATCAAAATGGGTTGGAGACATATTTGGGAGGTGATTTGAGAAGACTTGGTGATTGATTACACATGGGAAATTCATGGATCAGGTGAATTCAGTAGTATATCCTAAGTTAGTTCCAAGCACCATGACTGGTTAAAGGGTACAGAGAATGTAAGAGGAAAAGGTGGGTGTTTGTTGGGGGAAACAAATTGTTTTAGTTATTACCAGGTTGGGGTGTGTGAAATGTTTAGTTGGCGAGAATATATATGAATATGAGTCTTGAAAGACAATTCTAGTCTGCAGATTTTTATTTAGGGTAACTAACACGTAGATGGTAACTAAAATCCTAGCAAAGAAATAGGAAAGAAGAATCTATTTAGACTTGAAACCTATGTGCCAACAACACTTAAGGGATGGACAATGAAGAGAAGTATATGATAGAGTCAGAGAAGACTGTGTGAGAAAAGAGAACAAGGAGAATGTCCTATCAAAGAAACCACCAGAAAGTTGTAATTAGAAATAAATTATCAGCACTGTGAAATGCAGCAAACAGGTCAAGAAGGATGAAGAGAAATAAAATATATTGAGGTTAGCATTTAAGAAGTTATTCGGGGACCATAACAATCAGAAGTCAGGCAGGCTACAATTGGTTGACAAATGAATAAAAGTCTAAAAGGAACAGGTGACGACTACCAGAAGAGCAGGAGGAAAAAAGAACTGGACAATAGAAGAGGATTTCTAAGCCAAGTGGTCTAGCACACAAAACAATGGCAAATAGTACATATACAATCAATATTCCTTGAAGGAATAAATGAATGAGTGACTACCAAAAGAATTAATTAAGTAAGTGGGCAGAATAGCGTAACAGGTAGCATGAAATTGGAGAAACATAATGTATGCTTATAGGGATTATATTAATTTATGTTCATCAAGCTCCTTCAAATCCTTTTGGGAAGTGGATGAGAAATTAATTATTTAATCAATAAGGAATCCTTATAGTATTCAAATTTGCTACAAGTCTGGCCACATTTTATAATCCTGGCACTTGTAAGGAAAGGAACTGAGCTAACATTTATTCATTGAGAGCACTTTGCTTGCATTATAGCATTTGATCTTCAAACAACCCTGTGAGGCAAGTATTATCATTTCATCATCCTACAAATGAGGAAACTGAAGTTCAGAGGGGTTAAGTGATTTGCCTCAGGTCTTACATCATTATTTGTATGGTACTATTCTCAGCTATCAAAATCAGCAGCTATAAATACTGTATAAAAGAAGAAAATAGGTCTGTGAGTGTAATTTAAAAACCATTCTGACTGGAGAAATTGAGTGGCAACAGAATATGTTTAGAAAAATCGAATGGAAGTCAGGAAATTCTTCAAACACTGCAGTATATAGAGGATGAGAGAGTGAGAGTAGGTTTTGGAATCGGATTGCCTGTGTTCTATGACCTTGGGCAAGTTATTAATTCTCTTAATGCCCCAATGGCTTCATCTGACAAATGGGCATTAGAATTCTCTCTCCCTAATGCATGATATAATATATGCAAAATACTTAACACATTGTCTGCCACATAGTAAATTTTGATACTTTTATCATTGGTAGCATTATTATTATTACTTTCTTATCTGGTACTAGAGTGACATAGAGGAAAATTGTAACTGTGACATTCTTTTTTAAAAAAATGTGTGGAGATCCTGTGATACAAAGCACAAAAGGGGATGCTAACGAAACCTGGTATCAGAGTATGCTCTAACCAGAACAACTCCAGCAGCATCTCACAGGTGAGAGATGTAGGTTTGCTGCCCAAGAGGATGAGAGTCAGGCCAGATTTGTCTAAGATCTATAACTGAAACCCATGAAAGAACAAAAATAGTTTCCTGATTTGTGCTGTATAGATCATGGAATGAAAACACCCTTTAGCTCTGTAGCTGACTGATAAGGTGACTTGATTTGGCACAGTGGATATTCATAATATATGACAGGCAGCCACGCCAACATGGGGATGCTGCTTCTAAAAGGTATACCCTGCTATGGAATAAACCAGCCCTCTGGGAGTAGAATTTTTTTTTTTTCTGAGGTGAGAACCCTAAGGAAGATAAGGCGATTCTGTTTCTCTGGATGTTCTCGTAAATAACTGTCCTTGAAAAACTGCATTAGTGCTCCATCACCCTGAAGTTAACCACTGAATATCTTCGTCATCACCCTGTTGCCTAGCCTCCCTGTAATGAAGCTACCCAACTCTAGATAAATCCAGTCCTGGAAAGGGGGTTCGGTGTTGAAGACTTCCGCCTCATAATATTCATGACACTGATTAAATTGATTGAAAGGAGGTTTTGATTCTAGAAACAAACGTACAAAAACAAAGTGACATTCTGGAGCAAATCAGGATGACAAAGTAAAGTTATTTATCAAGCTTGGCCTTTGAGTGCCAAAGTTTGCAGGGACCATGTTCTGTAATGGAAACAAATTTCTTAAAGGGTGCCTATGGGAGTCAAACAGCACATAAAGGTAAAATATAGCTGAGAGCTCAAAATGATGAAAAGATGACCTGTGGCCCTTGGGCCTAGCTTCAGTCTGAGGAAACATTTTGTTAGCTTGGGATAAAAAGATCAGCAAATGATCTCCCTCATTTATGTTCTTGCTATCTTTGAATATAAATATCATCTATGGACAGTGAAGATAAATACTACAGAAGGGCACAATGGATTGGAAGAATATGATTGAATTATGTGCAAAAATATAATAAAAACATAATAATATAAATGCAAGACGTCCCTACACAATACTGTGAGAGGAAATATATTACCGTGATAAAGAGCCTAAAGGCACTAGCATCAAACTTCTAAGCCCGAATCCCAGCTCTATCATGTATTATTAAGAATATGCTTTTTGAGGGGCCGTGCACGGTGGCTTACACCTGTAATCCCAGCACTTTGGGAGGCCGAGGCGGGCAGATCACGAGGGCAGGAGATCGAGACCATCCTGGCTAACATGGTGAAACCCCATCTCTACTAAAAAATACAAAAAATTAGCCAGGCGTGGTGGTGGGCGCCTGTAGTCCCAGCTACTCGGGAGGCTGAGGCAGGAGAATGGCGTGAACCCGGGAGGCGGAGCTTGCAGTGAGCCGAGATCGCGCCACTCCAGCCTGGGTGACGACAGAGCAAGACTCCGTCTCAAAAAAAAAAAAAAAAAAGAATATGCTTTTTGGGTAGTCATTTAACTCCTGGTGGCCTCAATTCCCTCATCTGTAAAACGAAAATTACATTGGTACCTATGTCCTGGGGGCCAGGTAAAAAATGTTTCTCACCTTATTTAACTATGTAAGAGTTTGTTTAGGTCTCAGGGTTTATTTCCTGTATTCATATTTATATCCCAAATTCCTGAAAGAGTATCTGGCACATAGTAGGCACTGACACACTTGTTGAATAAATATGGAACGAATTATCTCTTTAATGTAATCATTGGATTACCTATGAGTTTTCCTATGATACATTCAAATTTTTGTGTTGCTTAGTGCCAAACAGAATCAAGGGTACTTTACATGATCTTGAATGGATAGTTTATATAATCTGAAAGATTATTTAATGAAAAGTATAAAGATTGTAATTAAATCTTGGTAAGCCACAAAAATGAGGGGCAGTAAAGAACTGCTTATTAAAAATATTTGAACACAGAAAAGTTTAATGGACATTCTAAAATCACATTGCTTCTTAGTGTTATTAGCTATATAAAATTAGGCTGTCAAATACTGCTTTATGAATAGTCAGTAAGGAAAGGAAATAATCGCAAGGGACAAATCACTGTCATTCACAGAAGACTACCTGGCAGACTAAGAATTAAGTTCACTCTTCAGGGCACGCTATCCTCAGCTGTTGTAAATACGCCGGAATGTCTCTGTCAGCAGGCTCAATACAGAGGCTGCCTTCACCAATATGGTGCTTGCAAAGAGCAGTCTGTTGCTCAGAGGGAAAGGGAACAAAGACATTTTGTTTCCAATTATTGTCACTTTGCCTTTTAGCTCAACTGAGCAGTTTCAGGACCAGTTACACAGAAAGGATTCTGAACATAAGAGTAACTAAACAAAATCCCTCTAATTAAATGCCAGTTGGCTAAGGGCAGAGGACACCTACAGTCTAGTTTGGAGGAAGTTGTCTCTACATGGAGTCAGTAGGTTAGAATTTGGGGGTTAGAAAACACTTTTACATTTGCAGACTACTCCACTGCCTCTCTCTGGGACACGTTTAGTCCTTAGCTACCCATGAATTTTCTCAGGGGCTTGCTGATTTATTGATTTTTATGATATATCATAAAATCGAGGTCTTCGGTATGACCATTGCCTTTTATAAGTCATGCACAATAGCAGTTTCTTGGTCTATTTTTCTGCCTGCTGTTTTAAGCGTATACAACCTTATCTACTTGCATGCCTGATATCACTTAAGATTCTCACATTTACATATTCAGCCAAATTAGCAGAAGTCAGAGAGCTGGTTTGTACACTGTGTTCAAGAAAATCTCAAGATTTTCTTTGTCAAATCATGACCTGTGCAAATCATAATAGAGTCGATCTGTAGCTATCCTTTTAGTTCCAGTTCTGAAATCACAGAACCTTCTGGAGCTCTGAGGTCTAAGATGCTCCAGG
The DNA here is from genome assembly GCF_000001405.40 of Homo sapiens. Lineage (NCBI taxonomy): Eukaryota > Metazoa > Chordata > Mammalia > Primates > Hominidae > Homo > Homo sapiens. The sequence goes on along the minus strand of NC_000002.12, from coordinate 210,794,946 downwards.
GGCCATGGCAGGAAGTGAATGATGATACCTGACCAACAGATCTTCATGGACCACTGAATGAATGAAAGGAATATCATTGTACAAATAGCAACACAAAATATCAATGATCCTATTCTTACAGTCATTTGTGGACTATATAACTGTTGTTCTAGAATCTTCTATTGGAAACCACAGAGTTGTAACCTACTTTGGGAGCTATAAATCCCTTGGAGCCTCTCTGGAGTAATCAATGTTCTTCAAATCCAAATGTAAAGGAAGCATTGTTAGAAGAACGAATAACCATCTCTTGTACATAAATGTACTTTCCAAATGTATACTGAAAATAATAAATACATCAAGTCAATAAAATATTTCCTAAAAGCATAATATCTACTCATTGTTACATATTTTTACCATTAACTAATTCTAAAAGTTGAAGATGGAAAATGACTGCAAAAAAATGTTGATATTCAAATGAGGTCCTCTCATTCAAAGAGATTAGATGTAATCCCAAAGAACAAATGGTAAACTTGATAGGCATCAAAATGGGCAAGAAAAAGGAAAAGTGTCTCAGCTATCAAATCTTCAGCCCAAAGAAGAGATCTGGAGTTACTGAAGCTTATTTTAGGTGAACTAAAACCTATCTACCTTCATACGGTATCACCATTCTGCTGTAAGATACACATTAATGTGGCTCTCTAATTAGCACTGTGATATTTTCTCCTTCTTCTCCCTTTATATAATAGCTAAATCTAAACAGTAAATTTGCCAGTCTACTATCACAGCATAAGTTTTATGAGACTTTCAGTAAGCCATTATTCTTGATTATTCATTCTTTTCATTTCCTCTATCACCTTCTATCTGTAGAGATCTTAGTCATAGACGAGTGGCTTATGCTGACATATTGAGATTTTAAAAAACATTTATCTTGTGATAGGTGAAATGGTCTATATGTTTTAATATCTGAATATATGCTCCAAGTCTGACTCAATTCCCCAAGCAGTATAGAAGGTGCCATCTAAACACTTCAGGTAGAAGTGAATCATTTACATCAAGAAATAGTTCTTGCTAATAGCATCTACAATGATTTCTACTTTACTCACTTCTCAGTGAGATGAATGCTTTCCTCTACTAATGACCTTCATATTATGACAGGGATCATACAGAAGCCAAAAGTGTAATTGTTAACTGTAAGTTCTCCATGAGCAGAAATTTAGTTCTTTTTCATTTTATATTATACCATTACCTCCTAGCTTAATAATTGTTATATCGTAGATGGTTATTAGCTTTTGAATGAATAAATGAGTGAATTATATCAGCAAATTAGTAACTCAACAAACTTACTTTGGCCTGAAACAATTAACTCGGTAGTAAAAACAAGATGTAGATTAGAGTAGTTGAGCGGGGTTTTAGAATCCATACCTCCACTAACTCTTCCTCAAAGTCATTTTAAACAAATATGCAATCTAAGTGAAAACAGTCTGTTATCTTTCTAGGCAAATCTTTCTTCAAGGTGGCTCCCTTGGCATATCCTTCCAACAAGACTACATCCCAACCCCAAGCTTATCTTATAATGTCATTCTAGAATTGCAATTGAATCATCAGCTAAGCCAAATGCGTGCTTTTTCCTCATTTCATTTTCCTGCCAAATATTTTTGTTGAAATTTCCAAAATTCTGTACAAGCCAGCCATGGCATTACCTTTCTTGATTATTCTGAATCATTTGAATATACGCTCCACAAGGACAGAGATCTTTAGTCATTTTGTTTAATAAGTCATTCTAAGCACTCAGAACAGTGACATACAATAAAACTAAATATTTGTTGTATTTGTTAATGTTCCATCTATCACACTTAAACACACAACAGCCTTCGATGCTTTATGCCACTGTAAAATCCTCTGCCTAAATTTCTTTCTTGTTATCTGCCTTCATACTTTGTTTTCCAAATTCTGCTTCCTTTACTCAAAAGCCAATTAAGAGAAAAAGCACTATAATGGATACAGTGGAGACATTTCGTTATTTACTAGACTTCTACTTAGATATTGTTTTTTGGGGCTGTTCGCTGGTTCCACACTATAAGACGCTACTACTAAGTGACAGAACAGGAAGGTGTCAGATGAAGAGGGTGAAATAATCATTATTACACACATCAACTGTTACAATTTGTAAAGCACTTCTGTATATGCCACCTTATTTAATCTTCATAACTGTACAGTAGAGAAAGGAAGGTCTTATTTTCTCAGTATTCAGAAAGAGACACTGAGGTTCAGAGAAGATGCCTGGCCTAAAGTACACACAACTAATAAAAGTTTGAGCATTTTTGTACCCCTTCCCCTTACACATTTGCTTTTCATCTAGCACTTTAGGTCCAAATGCATTCTAGAGGTATATACATAGAAAGTTAAAAACAAACAAACGAATGAGAGACAAAGATACATCTTATGTTTGCTACTCTAGATTGCTGAGTGATGGCTGTAATCACAAACTATGTGAGTAAAATGAAAGACTGAAGACAAGCCTTAATCTCTTAAAAACAAGCCCTCCAGTGGAATAAATCTATGTGCAGTAAAAATTGGAAAACTGTGTAGAAGGTAGAGAAGTATGTAATGGCACAGGTGGACAATCTTTCAAAGTGAAAGAGATAATTGTAATTCTGCAGGGATGCACACCCTCCAGACCATGTGGCAGCTGCTTTTGAGACCTCTGCCACACTCTGCTCTGCATGTCCCTGAAGTCAGTGGGGGAAGGCGGGCTTCTTTCCTTTCTCACTAATCATCCTTGACATCCAGTTGGCACACGCATCAGAAATAGTCTATTTGCAGCTTACTAGGTCAGCCTGGCACTGTGCAAGGAGAGTGTCAGTATTTATAAGTAGCCTAGGATTGTGATTAGAGTCACTCTGCATAGTTTGAGGAGCTCTGTGATACCTGTGCTGTCCCTGGGGATTCAATTTGCAGATACGTTTCTGTGTCCTTCGAGGGAGGAAGATTCAATCTGAAGTTAAAGAATTCTAAGCTTTAAGGCCCCTCACTTTCATGGGCCTGTTCCAAGGCCCTAAAAAGAGTCAAAGTAATATCTGTACATAGCCAAGTATTTTGTTAAATTAATAAAAACTGCTGTGTTTACCTATTCTATCTACTCTTCCGTTACATTTTCCTTGTGTCTGGTGGCATTGGAGTAGCTGTTGGCACTTATTAGAGAGAGCCAAAGGTGGTTTATATTGGAGATACATTGTGTGTGTGTGTGTGAGTGGGTGTTATTTACTATGGAATATGTAGTGGGATATATTACATATATGTTATTTATATATATGTGTGTATATATAGTGTGATATATTATATATAAAATATATTATAACTTATATATTACATATATAATATATAACATATATTACATATATAATATATAACATATATTACATATATAATATATAACATATATTACATATATATGTTATTTACAGTCACTTCCATGAATAGTTCAACTGTTGATATCAAGATTGTCCAGCTGGTAAGTATAAGAGATGGCACACAAACTGAGCTTTGTCTGGTTCTAACCCTAATAAATTTAGCACTACAGTACATCGCCCTTCAAATTCTTGATGATCTGTCAATAGGTATTCAATTCCTTAAGTTAAAGGCAAGAGAAAAGAGTCTTAGCCATTTGACGTCTGACACTAGATGCCATTTTTTTTTACCTGGCCCCAATACACTTGTCTAGGCTTATTGCTAATTGTTGCCTTCTTGTACACACCAAAAATATGCTACATTTCCCTATATCCTTATCTATATATTCTTGCACACGCTCTTTCCTTGGCCTGAAATGGCCTGAACCAATAACATTTCTACAGGTTCTAAGTAAATTCTGGTTGGTTTAACATGAGGTACTGAAATTGATGAATAAAAAAGTCATAATATAACAATATTATGAAGACACTAATGATAATTGTTTAATGAATGTTGTCAAACAGTATTTTAAAATTCTTATGGTACATGGAAACTGGTAATGACCCAAAATCTTACAGTTACATAAGAAACTTTTTTTCTAAATTTGACAATTCCAAAATCTCATGACAACACCAAAAATGAGTTTTGAAGATGAAAATAACTTTTCTAAGTTGTCTATATTATCCAATGTAATTTTTTAAAATCATGCCTGGTCAAAAAAAACTTAATTATGTTTGTCTTTTCTCTGTAGAAAGTGATTATTACAAAACTGTTGTCAAAGATTATGTGGTAAGAATGTAGGTAAAAAGTTATTACAGAGGTGTGTCAGACATTCAGTTAAAAATAAAAAGGTGTGTTTTTTTAGATTTTGTTATTTCTATAGTATATTTTACCTTTTTAAAATTTGTACTTTGATATGATTTTTTCATCCTACACATTTATTTTGTTTTGATAATTTTACACTATTTTCCATAAAGAAGACCATCAAATTTTATAAGCTCTTGGCTCTGTGAAACTTAAGTTTGGCTTTATTGGTGGATTTTATAGATAATACAGATTAAGGATGTGTCCTACAGACCTGAGTTTAGATGCTCTCAGGACAGCACAAGGGGCCTCCCTGGCAATATAGAGAAGATGAAACTCACCAGGAGCTGAAGAACTCAAGAACTCCTGCCCTGCTTCAGGACTCAGCAAAGGAAGCCCTGGGGAGTCAGGATTGCAACATTCGCTTATGTTCCATAGATTTGTTTCCTTAGGCACTTACAAAAAATACAGGGAGAATTCTTAGGAAAGTTGTTCTCAGCAGACCTGCATGTGAGTGGTGTTGATGCTGGACAGCTGAGTAGGAAGACGATTTTGCCTGTCCTCTAGGGACATTGGGGGAAACGCCTAGGGGAGAGCCTCTAGGAGTTACTATAAAGGACTTCTGGAAACAAGACATCTGAAACCCTCAATGGCTAGTCAGTGGTGACAAAGGGTCAAGAAGCTTTCTATTGGAGCTACTGATCCATAGGATGTTAAAAGCAGAATGGGTGAATGCAGCGAGCAGCAATGCTCAGTGGGAGCCATATCACTCCTAGGGGATGTTTGGAAATACGTAGAGATACATTTTGTTATTGAAATGATAATGAAATGCTGCTGGCTTTAGGGAGCAGGGATTCTGGATGGTCTTCAATGTGCAGAATGGTAAAAACCAGTAAATCCATGCTCTGCACTAGTTTATAGTCTTCTGCTGGATATTAGCATTGAATGGGTGATGACCCCATTTAGTGTTACTTGAGTCTTTTTATATAAACACAAAGTACCTTTATACGGTTTTAATATACACTGAATTTTATGCCATGTAAATGATAGGAATTTGTGTATAACTTCTCCAGGCTTGTTCATCTCTTCAAGTTATGATGACTTTTTTTGGCAAAGTAGAGTGTGTCATTTCATTACTAATATACTGTACCCAAATTATTATCTATGTGCAGTGTTGCATTTGTAGGAACTGTATGTATACACAGAAATATATTTACAAATCAACTTCAAATTGTCAACAGTATTTTAAAGTCTTATAACCTATCCACTATAAGCATGTGCAAGCGTGTATTTCATTATTTATTCTATTGTAGTGGTACCTGAAAACATTCATATCACCAAAGAATAATTCAAAGACGTTTATTTAGTTATTTTTCCACAGAAAATTGGTATCTTATATATGGAGGAGTGAGCTGATAAGTTGAAACAAGTAATAATGGCAAGGCAGAATATGAGAAAGAGGGTTAGGCTGCAGTCTGGAGACAGTGAATTTTGTTCATACAAAACTTTAGGTAAGGATATTGGCTGGCAACAAACATGGAAGTCAAGTTATGCATTTTGACTTCGAGTAGGATAGTTAGGTTACAAAATAAAACAATTTCAGTTATTTATGGATTCTCTAGGAAGCCTTGAGGGTTTTTGAAGTGAGCATACATGACAGGTTGTCTGTGCTGTATCCCCTTAGTTAGGTCTGCATCATTTCCTTCATTACAAATGTTAAGTCTTAATATATTAATAGTTTATTTTAAATTACGTCTTTTAATTCTCTTTTATATTGAACTAAAGATAACATTTAGTTTTTAGGAATTAGGTAAATAGAGGGTTAACATCATCTATGACTCATATCAAGAAAATAAAGGGGTTTTATAAAAATATTTGCTATAAAAAGTTGAGTGTGATAGGGTTTGGGACTGTTAGTGCCAAGCAAAGCGGCAAGCAATATGTTCATTCTTAGGGGCTTTCAGTTAAGATTCTCCCCTAACTCACAGGTGTCTCCCTCACACAGAAAGGGATCTCTAGCAGAGTATTTTCCATATGAGAGGAATCCAATTCAGGTCTAACAAACAGATGAAGGCATTTAAAATAAAAATTAGATTTCACAACCCTCATGTGCTTCTGGAAATAGAATGAAGGATTTTTTTGTTGTTTTGGGTTGTATTTAAATGATCCACTGAATAGAAATGTGATTTGAGAAGTTTGGTGTCTCAGAAAAATTGTAAGTAAAGAAGTAAGTAGAAGAAAATCAATATTTCTTCTCAGAAACCCTTCAGGTTTGGCCTGGGGAAGCTCAATTGAGTATCATCTAAAAATGAGTAATTTTAAAGAAAATTTTATGAGAAATAAAATCAGAAGGCTTCTAATTACCAAAACAGTGAGGCCATGTTAGATATGCTTGCAGCTAAATAATTTTATTGCTTCATGTAATAAATGGACAAACCAACCTGGATATTGCAATTTTTTCCAGGAAGAGTGTTTCACGTATCAGAATGCAGACATATCAGCACTTCATTCTGATACTAATAGTCACATCACAATTTTTCTGAAAACGATGGAGATTGCAACACACATGTGTGTACATACATGTGTATGTATATGGGCAAATATATATATACACACACATACCTATCCATGAATTCTTGCTTCCCCTCCCAGTGCAACAGTTTAATATTCTTTATTTATTTATTTATTTATTTATTTATTTATTTTGAGACAGAGTTTCACTCTTGTTGCCGAGGCTGGATTGCAATGGCATGATCTTGGATCACTGCAACCTCTGCCTCCCAGGTTCAAGCGATTCTCCTGCCTTAGCCTCCTGAGTAGCTGGGATTACAGGCATGCACCACCACACCCGGCTAATTTTGTATTTTTAATAGAGATGGGGTTTCTCCATGTTGGTCAGGCTGATCTCAAACTCCCAACCTCAGGTGGTCTGCCCGCCTCAGCCTCCCAAAATGCTGGGATTGCAGGCATGAGCCACCATGCCTGGCCAACAGTTTAATATTCTTAAGTTTGTAGTAGATTCACAATGATATTATCTTTGTAATACTTCTCAAAAATTATTCATTTTGTTGTACTGGTTAAGATTTCAATTGTCTTTGGGAGGCCGAGGTGGGCGGATCACGAGGTCAGGAGATCAAGACCATCCTGGCTAACACGGTGAAACCCCATCTCTACTAAAAATACACAAAATTAGCCAGGCGTGGTGGCGGGTGCCTGTAGTCCCAGCTACTTGGGAGGCTGAGGCAGGAGAATGGTGTGAACCCAGGAGGCAGAGGTTACAGTGAGCCGAGATGGTGACACTGCACTCTAGCCTGGGCAACAGAGCAAGACTCCTTCTCAAAAAAAAAAATAATAAAATAAAAGGATTTCAATTGTCATGATACAGAATAATTAAGCATTTAAAACTAATAAGCAAAATGCCATTTAAGGGTTCTGCTTATTAAAATATTCATAATAAACATGGTAAAACAAATCAAAAACTGGGAACAGATCTTTGCAAAAAATACAAAGAATCTATATGTTAAATTTAACTAACAAAATACTGAAAAAAAATCACAAAATCCTAAGGAAAAAAAAAGCAAATTTCTGAATGAGACTATCGTAGATGAGCAAATATGAAAGATCATTCCTTATAAAAAGTCAAACTCTTATGTAATCGCAAAAATGCAAATGAAAATCAGAGTAAGGTACCTTTTTAAAGCACTAGATTAGCAAAGATTTGAAATTCTCATAATATTGAAAATTAATGAATATATAGAATAATGGAAGTTAGTAAGCATTAAAGGAAAGCACTGTTTAAATTATGATTTTATACAACCAATCTAGAAAATAATACAGCATCAGCTATTAAATAACAGGTACATATCCATCAATATAACCCAGAGATGTTACATATAATCCAAAGAGTTTTACTTTCGATAAACAGAAAGAAATATAAAAAGGAAGAAGGAAATGAAAAGAAAGGAAGATAAAGGAGAGGAGAGAAGAACAATCTAACTGTGTCTGTCAACAGAATAGATCAATGTTTTGCTATTTAAATAATGGACTACTATGTAGCAGTGAAAATGGAAAAAACTGCCACTATACTCATCTGTGTAAATGAATTTTAAGCATTATGTTGAGAGAAAAAAGTAAGTCACAGAAGAATATATAATACCATTTATATATGTTCAAAAAAGCAAAACTAAAAAAAGAGTTAAAGAAACATACGTAGATGATAAAAATATCATTAAAAGACAAGGGAATAACAAACTTTAGAGCAATGTCTAGCTCCTGGGAAAGGCAAAGAAATATGTTTTAGGAAGACATTCAACAAAGTTTTGGAGGCATTAGTAATGCTCAAGTTTTTAAACGGATCAGTGATTTTATTAAATAACTTAAATAATGAAATTATTGAAATAATTATATTTTCTATAGTAATTATAACTATATAACCTACATATGTTACATATGTATGTTTTGCACATAAAATATTTTATAATTTTTAGGAAGAAATTAATAAGCCCCAATTTTAAAAACCAAAATTTAAAGTATAACATATAGAAAACCCCCCACAGTCAACATTTTTTGGGTAGTCTTCATCTTCTAAACCCTGGATATTGGTGCAGGAGTGGAGCATCAGAGTCGTATGTCATAAATGCCACTGCTCCAAGTTTAAGTCTAAGGCAGGAGAGAACTATGCATAGAAAATAACTCCAAAGTCCTTTAGGTTTCCTCTGGCTCCCAACAACTGGTGAAAGGATATCAAATATTAATACAAGTGATGTTGAAAGTAAAAAGTTACATGTGTAAGAATAGTTGAATCAAGAAACAGCTCATGAGAAAAACTGACATTAGAGACTTTCGTGATATATGGGATTTGGACATGAAAAATGTCTTCAAAAACTTCGTAGTCTGACATTTGCTGCCAGGAGGCAGGCTCCTTGACACAAGGCTCTTTAAATTGTCTGCTAAGCGTGGCATGTACTGTAGTCTCTCACTCAGGATGAGTGGGGGCATGGTTTTGTCTGGGCCTTTACCCTGTGCCTGGCTCTATTTCACTTGCTTGCGGAGAATATATGGGCTAGAATGGCTCTCCCTTAGATCCAGTTTTCCCTAAGAGTAGGTACTAAAAGAGAGGCTGGCGATGATAGCAAAGGCTCTCTGAATTTGATATTTATGAGTCAGAATATGAGGAGCTTCTGTTGTCATAAAGTGTGACCATATTCAGTACAGTATTTCCACCGGTACTCTACCCCTATCTCCACTATCACAACTTACCTATTAAGTGGAGGAAGATGCTGTCTCCCTACAGCTTCAACTCATGTCACTTTATGAAAGCAGAGCTCACACTAAAAAAAAAAAAAAAAAAAAAGAGGCCACCATAAAAAAAAAAAAGCTCTGAATCCAGAGATGCATCTGCTATAACAGGGAAGGAGGTACAACCACATACACTGACAAGCAGGGAAGTTCTAGTCAGAGGATTTGGTGATGAGCATATGTTACAATCAGATATGCAAGGGTAGCATGGTTCAGAGAAGGTTAGTGGTAAATAGCCAGTGTTAGGTTCCAAGAAGTCAAAAAGCAGGTAATTTGTGAGGCTGCAGTGAGGGAAAAAGTCAGTATCAAGGAGGTCTGAGAGCAGATGCTTGGGTTACTTTTGTGCACTGAGGTTCTGAGGTGAAATTCCAGGGCCACAAACTGGCAAGATTAAGGCAAGATCCTAGTCTCAGAGGAACTGTGAATGAGAAATCAAAGTAGAGATGAGAGTACAAGAAAATGGAGATAGCATGCATTCTCAGAAATTGAAGTACAAAATAAAAGATGTGTTAGAAGAAATAGTCAGAATGAAGTCGAAGCAGGAATCTGGTCAGAGCCTATCAACAACAAAGCTGGCAATGCATGTATACTCTCCCTTCTACCGGGCTGGGGTTTTTCAAAATTCCCTTCAGATAAGGAATTCCAAATCCAAAGCAGATCTGAATTTGCAGATGGAAGAAGAGTTTCACAGCTCTAAGGAATGAAGTGATGAAAATGCTAGGCGTATGAAAGGCTCTGTTTCATTCCAGCAGACAAGAATGTTCTATTACCTGACCAAAGTTGTACTTTAAAGCTAACTAAGAAGGGAAGGGGATCAGAAAATGTGATCCCAACCATGCCTGTCGACTCCTGGAGCATTGCCTTTGTATCCAGCAGCACCTAGAACACGTGCTGGCAGGTACCTAATAGTCTTCATTAAACACTGTTGAATGAATGAATGTACAAACCTGTGGGCATAGGTGGGCTTGCTATTTCCCACGAACACCTGGAAACTTGATATCTGTTGTAATACCCTCCTTCAAAAATCTAACCAGGAGAATAAGCCAGTCTGATGCTTGGCAATTCCCAGTTGGGTGAAATTATGTTTCAGCTACTCCAAATTTATTCCACACATCCATCACAATTTCTTCACTGCAAGTAGCTCCTCATTCCCATACAAAAAGAGCCTACTAAAAGTACCACATTCATACTATTTTTTAGTCTTCCTTCCTGATTTATGCAGGTCAATATCAAGCTTTCTAAGTACAGTTTGAACTTTTTCCCTAAGTTGCAAAATGATTATATTCATACAAGCAGCAAATATTTTATAACTGGGTAACCAAGTAAGTGCCAGTAAAGACTTTGATGTTCTATACATACAAAATTCAAATGGTATTCTGCTAGTTAAATTGTTTCCTATTGCAACTCCTCAAGAAATACTCATTTCCAAAGTCATCTGTCCATACCAACATCTACAAATACCTTTCCTGAATAATATAGTCATCTTATACTTCCCATAGACATATATCCCAGATAAAATCTCATCTTAATTTTTTCCTGTATCTAAGCTATGCCTCTATTATAACAGACCTCAAAACCAATTTTCTTTCTTAGACTCAGCCTATCTTGACAGCTCTTGGCTCTTAGTGGTGCTTTGTTCCTTTCTGCAAATTACTAGCAATTCCAATGATAGTAATGGGTTGATAGTGAAGACTTACTAGGAATTGCTATACTTCTGAAAGTTTCTTAGTATTCGCATGTTCAAATACAACATAGGTGTTATATATACTATACATATTTATGTACATTAAACCTAGATAGATAGATAGATAGATAGATAGATAGATAGATAGATAGATTTATGGTTTTGTTCATGGTTTCTGGCTCATAACTCCCATAGTCCTTGTTATGGTAAACAGAATTAAACCTATATATGTAGATAGATAGATAGATAGGTTTATGGTTTAGTTCATGGTTTCTGGCTCATAACACCCATAGTCCTTGTTATAGTAAACAGAATCCCCCTCTCTGCCCTCCTTTCACCTGCCCACTGAAGAACTCTAATCTGATTGTGGGTCATAAAATCCTTATTCCAGAGGGGGTCCTGCCCTATACTCTGGAGGAAGGAATGTTGCACAGAGAGGCCAAGAAGAGTCTGAGCAGACAGGCCTTGTTGGGTTTAGGTCATACCCTTGTCTTAACACATTTGTACATGGCTGACATGACAATTGTGCCTATCCCAATGCATTCTCCACAAAAGGCCCAAGAGAACAGGGGGTGGGGGCTTCCAGAGAGCTGAACACGTGGAGGCTGACAGGAAGGTGAATAAGAACTCATACACATGCTGAGATGTGGTGCACCCCAACTCCATGAGGACACAAGCTCCTGAGTTCTTGGGACCTGTCCAGAACTCACCCTATGTACCTCTTAATCCAGCTGTTTATACATATATTTAAAATATTGTTTGTAATAAACCAGTAAATGTGTTTCCCTAAGTTCTGTAAGCTGCTCTCGCAACCTAATCAAACCCAAAGATGGGGTCATGGGAATCCCAACTGGAAACCAATTGGTCAGGCTTGCAACTGGTGTCCTTAAGGGACAGACTTGAGGACTGAGGCTTCAACCTATGGAACCTGATGCTCTCTCCAGATAGATAGTGTTGGAATTGAAATGGAGGACGCCCAGCCTGTGTTCATTGCAGAGCAGATTGCTTGCTTGCTGGTGGAGGTTAACATATTTTAGGGTCATAGAAGTCTTCTGTTGATTGTTGTCATTGTATGAGAGTGAAGGAAAATAGTTTGAGAGTTTTTCTCAACAATAGGATCCATAATAATTATTTCATTCACTCATTCATTCACTCACTCACTTACTATTGGACGAGTGGTTACCTTTTGCTTTAGGTATTTAGGGCGGCTTCAAGTCTAACTCTATATCAGCTAGTCCAGAATGAACACATTGCCATCATGAGGCCAAATATTTTCTATCATTTGTCAGACTGCTGCCAAGGTGGCAAAAATCACTCTCTGTATCTGACAAGGCTCTTTAACTGAACAATGAACTCACATGAAAATGATCGATGACTAAGAGTCACTAAAAATACTTTTCAGGCTTTTGGAAGTTAAGGAAACAATTTGTGATTTTTAAAATAGGGCAACTTAAATCTTTTCTGAGTCTTTTCATTAAAACACTCTTAATCAGAGTTCATAACTAAAAACTCTAAACTTTTTTTCTGGGATGCAAACTGTGATGGCTATGGCTTAGAACTACAACCATATGAGACAACATCCCAGGCATTAACACAATGCAAGCAGGGCATCACAAAACATTTGACTAAGCAAAAAGTAATACACAATCTCTATGCTGCTTTTAATTCAAATGTTTTTAATATTTTTTCTTGATCCTAAATATGGCAACCCTGCTTAACAATATTTAGGCAGGATATTACTGGCAATTACAAAAAAATTAAAATTAAGGAAAGGAACTGAATTGGATTATTTGACTTAAAAGTGCTTTTACTACTAATCTTTCTCCTCCAGCAGCAGCTGAATAAAGGCAGGGACAACACCATGCTTCAGTTCAGCTATTCTTTTCAGCCTAGCTGGCTCCAGATGCTAGGATTGCTCTGGAAATGTAATTAGTTTCAATTAACTAACATCTGTCTAAAAATAAACAATATATTTGCGATTCAGGTAAAGGAAAGCACATTTCCACGGTGCAAGCTTGTTTACTAAACAGTCTGAAAAAAGAAGGCTAAGAAATCCTGTTTTGGTCATTAAGAGCTAATTTATTAGAAATGGATTTTAAAACATATTATCTGAGATTTTCTTCATTTTTAGGTTTCTAGGTTAACCTCCAACGTAATTACGAGTCAAAATCTGTATACATAATACTAAGCCAAATCATATTCCAACAAATACCAATTCAGCTGAAATCTCAGCATGTTTCAACTCCAGCCAAGAGTTCATGTAGTCCAAGGAAAAATGTAAATCTAGCTTCAATACGACAAAAGAAGAGTCCCCTTGGAATTGGCCGTAGTAAAATTTGAGTGGCTTTTCATGGAATGATATGCATGAGGGAAGAATTTGGCCTCATGATAGTTACGAATGATTCTTTACATAGGAGCTATACATAATAATAGAGGTGATAAATCTCTAATTTGATGTACCACATGTAGAGATCATACTAAACATTGTCAGGCTTAGTGGGAATAAAACTCATGCTTCATTAAAGAGCTTGTTCTTTGCATGTGCTTATGGAGCCACTAGCATGATACACTTCTATTCAAATCTGAGACTTTTGTGAATGCAGAATTGCCCATGGCTGAACATTGTAAACATAGAAAATAGATATTAATCTGACTATAAGATGGTAAATAATTCATGTCCTATAAGACCTATGTGGAAAAACACTTGGCTTCTTGTTCATTCTCATATTTGTAATATATAGGTAGAATTTCCTTTAATCATCATCCATAATAAAAAATCAAATCAAAAATTATGTTCAACTTTAAGGGGTTAAAAAATTTGATGCTACTAGCTTCAAACCTCTACCAAATGAAGATTTGTAAAGCACTTTGGCACTTTGCTGCCATCCTGTACCAGAGGAAGAGCTAAGCCAACTGCAGATATTACAATTGGCCTTCTAAAAGTAACTTTTTCACATTAACTATTCTATGTGTAGAACGAGATTGTCAATGGTGACACATTTCAATCTAGTCAGTCTATTAGCATCATGGCTATATTTCTCACAGCTCAGTTCAGTTACATAAATCATACACTTAGAATAAACAACAAACAGTACTAAGAAACAGTTACTATAGTCATTGAAAGATTAAAGTCATTGAAAAACAACTTCACATTTACTTCTTCCCTTTGCATTTATACATACTAAATCTTCCCATTTGGGAACAAACCCGACATGCACACACAAGCACACACACACACATATATCCTTAATACTATGTATTTCTTTCTAATTCATGGCCAAAATTCTTGATGGAATAACCTACACTGATTCTCCATTTTCTCATTATTCATTCATTCTCAAACCATGCTCTAGTTTTATCACTTCACTAAAAAACAAATTTCTCTACGTTCTTCTTACATTATGTTGAGTTTAACACAATTAGCCTTCCGTTCATTTGAAAATACTCTGTTATCCACCAGACTCCTGCTTTTATTCACAGTTTCCTGCTCACTCCTTCCCTGTTGCCTTTGTTGGCTCCCCTCCGTGTTCTCTTTAAATGTTGGTGCTGCCTTGGGTTTCATCTTAACCCTCCTGTGTTCCCATGTGATGCAGTCTCCATGGCCAATCCCATTTATGGCTTCAACCACCATCTCTGTGCTGACAACTAATAAATCTATATATTCACTCCATATCTCCTTTCTAAGCTCTAAATCTGAATTTCTAACTGTCCACTGCTTAGTTAACTCTACATGGTTGTTCTCTATGTCCAAAATGAACCTCTTCAACTTTCTTCTTCATCAATTGGTTCCTCCTACTAAACTCCCAATGCAATGTATCTCATTATCATCCACACAATCTCTCAAACCAGAAAAATGAGTATTGTCCCAATTTCCTCTGACTTCCTGACAACTACTGTTTTAGGTCAGGCCATCATCTTCTCTCGTCTGGATAAGTACAACAGCCTCCTTGCTTTGAGAGATCACCACCCTACCTTCAACCCCAGGCCTTAACTGTTCATCTTTCACAGTCTAAATGCAAAACTGACCATGTTACTTTCTTAATTAAAAGTTATAATTGGCAATTAAATGTCTTAAGGGTAAAATTCTTTTACTTAGGAAATAAAGGCTTTTTTATTAGGTTCATATCAACTTTTTCACTTAGAGTTGCATACCACCAAGCTCTGGTGTGCCAGATGTTCTGTTGTCAAGTTGGCTACACTGGGAACTACATTTTCTAGAATCCTCTTTTTCTATAGAGTTTCAGGTAAAAACGGACTGAAGGCAAGATCATGAGTCATTTAGGAGGGAGAAGTAAAGCAAACGCTATTACATTCTGAGGTCATCGATAGTTAGAGGTGATGACAGAGATGCACAGGTGCTGGAAAGTTCCAGCTTGGTCTCTCTCTATTCCATGTCAAGTTCTCATTCATGACTGCCAACTCTGCTAAGTGACAGAGGCTTCAGGCCCCACAGCAGACACTCTGCTGCAAATTCACTCAGGTGGTAGCCACACTAACTAACAAATATCTGCAGCCTTTTATACCAACCCTCCCTTGCAACTCTACTCCAGAAGCTGCTGCTACCTCCCAGGTTTTCTTGCCAGCTTCATTCCAAGGCTAGTGACATTTTTCTGATTCTTCAACTCTCCTTTTTGAACCTTCACTTTCCCACCTCCTCCTATAATTGTGTAAGTCTAATCCTTATAATAAATTCCTGATTTGGTAATATTCCCTGGCTGAACCCTGACTGATACATCTGATGCACGATCTTCATGGACAATACTCATATACTTGAGGTCCTCCCAACAGGCTTGTGCCCATGCTATTCCTCTAGCCTGCTGTCTATTTTGCCCAGGCTAGCTCTCTTCTCCCCAAGTTTCTCTGATTAATTTCCATCAGTCTCATATTCAACACCATTATCATGTTCTGTCATGATTTCCCTGCTATGAACTGCTTGCCTTCCCCTGACATTATATTAATTACCATAACATATTATAATTACTAAGTCATCTGCTGTCACCTTCCCTAGATTGTGAGACTCCTAAAGGTAGGTACAATACTATAATATGTTTACACTTTTAAAGCCTTGCACAGACTTTATGAATGAGATCTGAAATAGTAGCCAGATAAGAAACAACTTCAGTCAAATTGCCTGACATCCAGATATATGGAACAAATTTTTTATTTATTTTCAAAGATTTTGGCCTCAAAAGACACACACTAATTGAAATGGGACCTCGGATAGCAACAACAGATATTTTGTAGAGTTAAAAACTCAAATTCAATGCCCAAAGGACTGCTATCCCCATTTCCATTTCATTTTATAACCTGTTAAAAGCCTTCCAGGTATACTTCATCCTATGCAGTAGTTGTTTTCAAACTGGGTTTCTAAAATCCCAAGGATTGTTGGAATTGCTACAATGGTCCTTGTAGAGGAGAGGAAGAAGCTGATAAACCCCAGATAGGAGAATGGAGGTGCTTAGCCCAGGCACTGACACCATCAGTGTTCAATAAGTCATTATCAAATGAAAACTTTCCACATATAAAGGATCATAATTCACTAACAATTTTAGACTAAAGAATGAGAAAAAGAAATAGATGGTGACTCTGTTTACTTAGCTCCCAGAATGTGCTAGCCTATTTTTATACATTTCCTATTTGACTCTCAGACATTATATGAAACTGATACTATTGCTCCTATTTTACAGGTAGGAAATTTTGGCTCACAGAAGTTAGGTAAATCACATGGAATTGGGTGTGTAGGAAGTGAGTAAAAAGAATTAGATTTCAGCATTACCTGACTTCAAAATCAATGTCTTTATACCAGAATACATGTAAATAATACATGCCAATGTGTATTAAAATGGACACCAAAGAAGGCTAGCGAAGGGTGTGTACTTCTGCTCTGTGTAAGTCCCCCATAGTATTGCAGTCTATTTGGTTTTTCCAAATTTTCCTTGCAACCAAGATTAAAAAATAAAACATGCCTTTCAAAGAACAGCAGTCTATTTCTAAGTATATGACCCCTACTCAGTCAATTTAATAAACATTTATTTAGTACCAACTAAATGCAAGTCACTGCATACAGCATTAGGAAAGATATAAAATGAGAAAGGCACGGTCCTTGCCCTTCAGGAGCTCAAAATCCAAAAACATACATTAACAATTCTGAATGGAGGCAGATGGTGATAAGTGCTGTAATGGAGGCACTTACAACGTGCTAAGGAAGCATAAAGCAGGGAGAGATTGATTCCAACCATGGCGTAATAAAACACCTTAGTAAATGTATATTTCATTCTGCACCCAAGAAAATCTTTTATGACCCAAGCCAAAGGATGCATTTCTTTGTAAAATACCAGAGCTTATTCAAGAAACTAATAGACAGGACTTTTGTTAGCAAGAATAGAATTTAGTTACAATGGAAGCAGACCTACCTATACGCGTTTTTGATAGCAATTGGAGGAAACTCACGGGTCTATTTATTTAAAGGGCCCTCAGTCTCTTTAGAACAGACTGTACATGGTTCTACCTACAAATTCAGGTTCATTCATAGTATTTCTTTTCAGTTCAATTATACTCTTAAAATGAGACTAAATAGTCATTCTTGATGTAGGAAATGTAGGAGATTTCAAAGGAGGCAGCTCATATCTAACCAGTGAAAGATGAAGGTAAGTAATTTTATTTTCTTTTTAAATTTTAACAAGAAGCAACTATAGCATCTTAGCTAGTTGAAACTTCAATTCAAAGTTCTTAAATAACTGTGAATGAGGCCAAGAATGCTAAATGACTTCCTCTATGTGTCAAGTCAATTTATTAGGTGCTGGCACCACTGTACCAGCTAAAATTGGTTAGACTAGAAATAAAAGTGAAAGCACAGAAAATTCATACAATTCCATTACTATAGGATCAAATTATGGAATTCACCCTGTTGTTTAGAAGTCAGAAGTATTCTCTATACACAAAGGAAAATAGATCATACAAAGTAATAATATTTTAAAATAAGGAGGTTCTTGCATAATGTAAAAGTGCATCATAGAATAAGCTTCTTTGTTAAAAAAAGTTTTCTTAAGGTAAATATATTCATCAAAAAATGTACATTAATAAAAGGTCATTGTGTTATTATTTCTAAAAGCTGTCTCCCTGGTAGAATATTCATACCATATAGCAAAGAACAAGTAGGAATTTGCCAAATGCCAATGGATCAATTAAAGGTTTTGGTTGTGTGAAATCTTGAATTTGCTTTAGACAAAAAAGGAAATTGATGGGAATTTCTATGTTTTGAATATGGGTTGTCCCCGGTACTCATGTAGAGGCTTGCTCCTCAATGGAACAGTGTTAAGAGGTGGTGGGACCTTTAAGAGGCATTCAGGTCATAAGAGATCTCCCCTCATGAAGGGATTAATACAGTAGTCTTTTTGGAATGAATTTTTGCTCTTGTGGGAATGGAGTAGGTCCCACAAGATCAGGTCATTATAACGCAAGGTAACCTCTGGTATTTTGCCTTTTTTCACACGTCCCTTCCAATTCTCCACCATGTTTTTGAGGAAACACAGGGCCCTTACCAGAAGCCACCAGAGGCAACCTAAATTACCTCATCTCAGATGTTCTGTTACAGCAACAAAAATGGACTTTGACAGTAAGAATTCATGATCTTATTGCCTTCTAACTTTTTGAAGCCTTTCTACTTCAATTATTCTATCTCTCTAGCATCCTCAATCTTTCATTCTGTAATACTAACTCCCTCTGTAGTTTCAGAGTTGAAAAGAACCTTCTTAAGTCGAGTAACAACACCATTCCTACCAATATATTCTATTATAGATTTTTTTCTCTTCTCTTTAATTGTAACAAGCAGTTTATAACAGCTGCTTCTACTTTGTCACCAGTGTTTTTATCCTTAGGGCATTTAACCTGGCCTTTGTCCCAATTCTTGCCATTATACTAAAATAGTCACAATGTCTATCAATTACACGCTCCAAATTTGATAGCCATTTTCTAGTTCTTATAATAATGATAGCTTTCTTTTATCTAATTCCAATGCTGCTTATTAGGTGGAAAACACTTCTTCCCAACTCCTGACATCTTTTTCCTGTGAAGAAGGCTCAGTTAATATAACTCAAGGCCTTCAATTTTCCCTTTACTCAATCTAATCTTGGAGAGATGATGCGACTTACCTGATTTGTAAATTTTGTAGGAAAACCACACATGTTGGGCTTATCTCCAGCTTCTTCTTTTTCTTGGGGGTGAAGCTGCTATTAGTCCATTCTGACCTTGCTATAAAGATATACCTGAGACTGGGTGATTTATAAAGAAAAGAGGTTTAATTGGCTCACGGTTATGCAGGCTGTGCAGGAAACATGATGCTGGCATCTGCTCAGCTTCCAGAGCAGGAGGGAGAGACAGCGTGGAGGTGCCACACACGTTTAAACAACCAGGTCTCATGAGAACTCTATCACAAGAGCAGCACTAGGAGGATGGTGCTAAACCATTAGAAACTGCCCCCATGATCTAATCACCTCCCACCAGGCCCCACTTCCAGCACTGGGGATTACATTTCAACATGAGATTTGGCTGGGGACACAGATCCAAACCGTATCAGCTGCCTACAGAAAGCTTGCATTCTTTTCTGCTTCCCTATACCCAAGTTTCACACATTTAGTCACCCACATCAGCCTAGACAGACAGAGAGTTGACTGTGATCAGAGAAGTTAAATTGACCTAATTCTAAATTCCTGT
This sequence comes from Homo sapiens, assembly GCF_000001405.40. Classification (NCBI taxonomy): domain Eukaryota; kingdom Metazoa; phylum Chordata; class Mammalia; order Primates; family Hominidae; genus Homo; species Homo sapiens. The sequence continues at coordinate 210,775,022 of NC_000002.12, read as the reverse complement.
TAATAGGACTATTTAAATCTCACTTGGCTCCTGGACTCCATCACTAGTAAAGTTATCTTTGTGTCCTTAAGTTTTCTTTATTGAGCAAAACCTAGGTATAGAAGAAGGGTGTCCCTTCTAAACCCCAACATTTTGTTCTTGAAACCCCCTCTCCCATGACTTCCATTTTTCCTCCCACCTCTCTTATAGTTCTTTCTTTATTGTTCTTGCGTTTATTTTTAATAATTCCTTTTCCTCTTCACAAGGATGTCATGTTTAATGTACTCTTTCTCTCTTCCTTCCCCCTCTTTTTCCCTCTCTACACACACATACGCACACACATACATACATATACACATCTAATACATACATATACATATATATATACACACACACACGTGTGCACACACACCCAAATATATAGCTGGCCCTTCATATCCATGGGTTCTGCATTCATGGATTTAACCAACCATAGATGGAAAATATTTGCGGAAAATATTCCACAGTTTCTAAAAGCAAAACTTGAATTTGCTGTGTACCAAGCATTACACTGAATCTACAAAAATGAAGTGATGTGTAAGCAGGCATTGTATTAGGTATTATAAGTAATCTAGATATGACAAAGTATATAGGAGGATATCATTAAATGATATGCAAATACTATGCCATTTTATTTTATTATTTATTTATTTATTTTTATTATACTTTAAGTTTTAGGGTACATGTGCACAACGTGCAGGTTTGTTACGTATATATACATGTGCCATGTTGCTGTGCTGCACCCATTAACTCGTCATTTAACATTGGGTATATCTCCTAATGCCATCCCTCCCCCCTCTCCCTACCCCACAACAGGCCCCGGTGTGTGATGTTCCCCTTCCTGTGTCCATGTGATCTCATTGTTCAATTCCCATCTATGAGTGAGAACATGCGGTGTTTGGTTTTTTGTCCTTGTGATAGTTGGCTGAGAATGATGGTTTCCAGCTTCATCCATGTCCCTACAAAGGACATGAACTCATCATATTTTATAGCTGTACTATGTCATTTTATATAAAGGACTTGAGATTTGTGTATTTTAGTATCCAAGAGGAGTCCTGAAATCCATTCCCCATGGATACTGAGGAACAACTATATACACACTCATTGAATACATGGGGGAAGTTCAGTACTTTCTTCTTCCATTGAATAAATCTTCAGACTGCTCCTCCTACAATGTCCATTTTTTGTGATTTAAAATGACCATTAGGCTGGGCACCATGGCTCATGCCTGTAATCCCAGCACTTTGGATCACCTGAGGTCAGGAGTTCGAGACCAGCCTGGCCAACATGGTGAAACCCCGTCTCTACTAAAAATGCAAAAATTAGCTGGGCATGGTGGTGTGCCCCTGTAATCACAGCTACTCAGGAGGCTGAGGTGGGAGAATTGCTTGAACCCGGGAGGTGGAGGCTGCAGTGAGCCATGATCGCACCACTGCACTCCAGCCTGGGTGACACAGCAGGACTCCATCTCAAAAAAAAAAAAAAATTACCATTAAACCAACCATTCTGCCTACAAAAATGGAGTGATCTTAGACATCTTTTATCTAATTTCCTATATCCAAGCATTTGCTAATAACTGCCTGTATGTCATCAACTTTTAGAGCTTTGCTTATTCTCAATAATTATTAATAAATTTATATGTATGAAAAATTTACAACGTGACATGCACAGTATTAGATGAACAAGAGTAATGAAAAAAACAGACATGGACTCTACTCTCAAGGAGCTTACATTCTAGAAAAGAAGGTATATAATAAACATTTCTAAATACCAACTGTGACACATTATGGAAAAAAGTGCAATTGTAAAAAGTAACAGAAGCAACTGATTTACAGTGACAGATAAGGGAATGCTTCACTGATTGACATGTAACCTGAAACCACAAGAATAATTGAGATTAGGAGAGATCAAGCAGAAATTATAATTCTTAGATGGAAATACATGCTTATTTTATTATACCTAAGTGATGCACATACAACTTTCATTCAATTGCAAATTATAAATGTTATAAAATTAAAAAATTAAATATCATCAGAAGATGAGTTTTTTTCTAGATTATAGGAGAGATGTTATGTTACAAGGTTAAAATATATATGTATATATACACACATGTAAACATGTGTATTCTTTTTAAGTTCTGAGATACATGTGTAGAACATGCAGGTTTGTTACATAGGTATACATGTGCCATGGTGATTTGCTGCACCTGTCAACGCATCATCTAGGTTTTAAGCCCCGCATGCATTAGGTATTTGTCCTAATGCTCTCCTTTCCCTTGACTCTGCAGCCCACAACAGGCCCCAGTGTATGAACTTCCCCTCCCCGTGTCCATGCGTTCTAATTGTTCAGCTCCCACTTATGAGTAAGAACATGTGGTGTATGGTTTTCTGTTACTGTGTTAGTTTGCTGAGAATGATGGCTTCCAGCTTCATCCATGTCCTGAAAAGGACATTAACTCATTCTTTTTTACGGCTGCATAGTATTCCATGGTATATATGTACCACATTTTCTGTATCCAGTCTATCATTGATGGGCATTTGGGTTGGTTCCAAGTCTTTGCTATTGTGAACAGTGCTGCAATAAACATACATGTGTCTTTATACTAGAATGACTTATAATCCTTTGGGTATATACTCAGTAATGGGATTGCTGGATTCAATGGTATTTCTGGTTCTAGATCCTTGAGTAATAGCCACACTGTCTTCTACAATAGTTGAACTAATTTACACCCCCACCAACAGGGTAAAAGCATTCCTATTTCTCCACATCTTCATCAGCATCTGTTGTTTTCTGACTTTTTAGTGATCACCATTCTAACTGGCGTGAGATGGTATCTCATTGTGGTTTTGATATACATTTCTCTAACGATTAGTGATGATTCGCTGTTTTTCATATGTTTGTTGGCCCTATCAATGTCTTCCTTTGAGAAGTACCTGTTGAGATCCTTCTCTCACTTTTTGATGGGGTTTGTTGTTTTTTTCTTGTAAATTTGTTTTAAGTTCTTGTAGAATCCAGATATTAGACTTGTGTCAGACGGATAGATTGCAAAAATGTTCTCCCATTCTGTAGTCTGCCTGTTCATTCTGATGATAGTTTCTTTTGCTGTGCAGAAGCTCTTTAGTTTAATTAGATCCCATTTGTCAATTTTGGCTTTTGTTCCCATTGCTTTCGGTGTTTTAGTCATGAAGTCTTTGCCCATGCCTATGTCCTGAATGGTATTGCCTAGATTTTTTTCTAGGGTTTTTATGGCTTTAGGTTTTACATTTAAGTCTTTAACTCACTAAGAGTTAATTTTGGTATAAGGTATAAGGAAGGGGTCCAGTTTTTGTTTCCTGCACATGGCTAGCCAGTTTTCCCAGCACCGTTTATTAAACAGGAAATCCTTTCCCCATTGCTTTTTTTTGTCATGTTTGTCTAAGATCAGATGGTTGTAGAAGTGTGGTGTTAATTCTGAGGTCTCTGTTCTGTTCCATTGGTCTATATATCTGTTTTAGTACCTGTACCATGCTGTTTTGGTTACTGTAGCCTTGTAGTATAGTTTGAAGTCAGGTAGCATGATGCCTCCAGCTTTGTTCTTTTTGCTTAGAATTGTCTTGGCTATATGAGCTTCTTTTTGGTTCCAAAATGAAATTTACAGTTTTTTTCTAATTCTGCGAAGAAAGTCAATGGTAGCTTGATGGGAATAGCATTAAATCTATAAATTACTTTAGGCAGTATGACCATTTTTATGATATTGATTCTTCCTATCTATGAGCATGGATTTTTTTTCCCATATGTTTGTGCCCTCTCTTATTTCCGTGAGCAGTAGTTTGTAGTTCTCCTTGAAGAGGTCTTTCATTTCCCTTGTAAGTTATATTCCTAAGTATTTTATTCTCTTTGTAGCAAATGTGAATGGGAGTTCATTCATAATTTGGCTCTCTGTTTGTCTATTATTGGCATATAGGAATGCTTGTGATTTTTGCACACTGATTTTGTATCCTGAGACTTTGCTGAAGTTGCTTATCGCCTTAAGGAGTTTTTGGGCTGAGACAATGGGGTTTTCTAAATATAGCATCATGTCATCTGCAAACAGAGACAATTTGACTTCCTCTCTTTGTATGTGAGTAACCTTCATTTCTTTCCCTTGCCTGATTGCCCTGGCCTAACTTCCAATACTATGTTGAATAGGAGTGGTTAGAGAGGGCATTTTTGTCTTGTGCCGGTTTTCAAAGGGAATGCTTCCAGGTTTTGCCCATTCAGTACGATATTGGCAATGGATTTGTCATAAATAGCTCTTATTATTTTGAGATAGTCCATCAACACCTAGTTTATTGAGAGTTTTTAGCAAAACATGCGTATTTTCTTATAGAAATCCATTAAGCTTCATGAATGCCAAGAACCAAGTTGGCCAAAGACTCTTAGGCTCAAGTTTTTTTAAAAAAAAATCTTAATATTTGCCCACTCAACATGTTTTAAAATGGACCTGCACCAATAGACATAACATATATGATTTTCACATCAATCACACTACAGCCACTCCTTTGAAAATGAACTTAAAGTAGGAGGTTGACTCCAAATTCATTGATTACCCATCCTGTTACCCTCAAAAATGAAGATGATGATGATGATGATAATGACAGCAGCTACAATTTCATAAGGCCAGAGCATGAACACTGTATTCAGATAGGCCTAAAATCATATCCCAAATTTAATTTCTCTTTCCTCATAAAACTGAACTCCTAAATTTAAAGAAATGTTTATAGTACTATGATAGCGGTCTATAGACAATATTCTTATCATTTCTCAGAATAGCATATTCCAATTTAATCTCTACATCATCTGACAAGTGTACAGCCATAAAGTCTTATATTGATGGGGATTAGGGAAATGCTTGAGTTTCTCCATGTAGCATTTTATGTTTAAAAGCAGAGGCTTAATTACTCATATCGTTGTCACTGCTTCCTCCTAGGATATTTTGTTTAAGTTATGAAGTCTGTTGCCAAATAATAAAAGTATTATGTTAAAACTACTTCAAAAAAGCTTAAGATATTTGCTGGAGTTAAGATATTCAAAGAACATGTTTAAAACATGATTAAATATCACACTTCTTTTATAGCTCAGTATATATTTTGTGAATTTAGTTTTCTAATGAATATGTGCAATTTCTCACAGATATGAAATAAAGAGTAAATGCATTTCTCATTTTTGTTAAATGGATATTTCTAGATTTTGAACCCAGTTGTGACATTGCTTGGTATTTAGGCAATTTCCAATGTTGCATGCTTAGGATCAATTTTAGATGTTCAAAAATACAGCCCATGTTTCCATCTAGATTTCACACCCATCAGTACTGCAGGGTAGAGCTTAGGGGACTGTTGCTCAGTATCATTCATTTTCCTTACTAGTCGTTAAGGTTTCAAATACACAGTTAAGAATGAAAAATGAATAAACAAATTGGCCTTGTCAGAGCTTGTATCACCCAGTTAGAGAGGCAAGAAAGGAAAACAAAGAGAAAAAGTTAATATGGCCTTGTTCCACTGGCGGAGCAGCGCTAAAGCACATAGTTCAGAAAAATTCCCTTTACCTCCATTTACCCAACATGGAGACAAATGTAGTTCTAGTAGTGCGGGGAAACATACACTTGTGCAAGGAATCTGACAGAAAAGGACTTCCACACAAACATCCCACTGCTCGCTCTGCTCTCCTCGAATGCAGGACTGTGTAGAGACTGCTGACAATATCACATGCTAAATTCATTTTGTGCTTGGTGGGCATGATTTGTTCTCCTGACAGAGACAGAAATTCACTAGAGACACAAATGAGACTGTCACACTCATTCCACTTGTGTGCTGAAACAAATTGAAGTGCCACAGTTGGCGGAGTGGGGGTTACATAAAGAAGTAGTTATTGGACCCCTCAGCCTTTTTTCTTAGAGAAATCAGAGGGGAATAGCTGAGGCAGGCATCTTTCTCAGCTCTCACTAGGGAGAAATCCTCAACAACCATCGCCAAATACAAGGTAAAAAAGAAAGGACACCCATTATGATTCTTTTAAGTTTAGGTTTAAAATGCGTTGGAGGACTTTGAGTTGTTATTTTAAGTAGCATCATCCCACTCTGTAAATGCATATATATTTTGACTCCTTTTTCTGTCTATCCAACTCCTCTTCATAAAATACCCTCCCACCATTCACCGCCCCAAGCATCCCCACATCCTCTCCTAGGAAGAGCAATTAAACCCCATTATCCTTTAGGGGTGCCACTCAAGCACAATGGTTACTGACAGCCTGTGAAATTGTCACCAGTTAATCATCATCAAGGTGGCTCAGAGCTTTTGTCAAGAGCAGCCTGAGGAATTCAGCCTGGAGCCCTGCAAGCTGCTCTAGCACTATCAGGAGTCCTTCCCACTCTCAGGGAATCCTGTTTCGGGAGAGTCCTTAATGATCAGTTCCTACTGGAATAAAGTCTTCTGGAACTGCCCATGGGGTAGACAGCTGCCTGCCGGGTCATTTTTCCACAGTATTTAACTGCCACCAGAATGGTAGTCCTTAAAGTGGCCAGTTCACATGATCCTGGAGGGAATAAGAGCTTCCTGTCATTTACATATCATTAAAGAAAACCCCAGGGCAAACCACAAGATACCATCCGGTAGCAGGGAAGGTGACAGTCATGTATCATCCTGCGGCAAATCCCAGCCTTGTCAGCCTTTTTGTCCTTGGGCACCCACAATTTCCTTTCCCTGCTGGTCTGAGAGCAGGGTTTGGAGGCCTCCATAGCGTAGTGTTTTCTGTTCAGTGCTCCTTCTTTACTCTCAGACTGCGTTAGGTATAAGGGCAGTTTTTATAAGTCATGTCAGTCTATTAACCTTTAGAACATTGCTATTTTCCAGGCTTAATGTCAATAAATCTTGTAAGAACTCAAGATAGACAATCCCCAGTATGCAACTCCAAGAGCAGCATTTGAAGGCTTCTGGCCTGGCTTAGAAAGGGCAGCTACCTCCATTTTCCTCAGTACACCTTTCAACAGGCATCCCATAGAAAAAGCTTAACAGTGTTGCCTTTGCTCTTCAGTTCATAGAAGTACAGGGGAGTCAACCAATGGGGTGCGGTTAACAAATATTCACTAAATGCTTTCTTTACGTAAGTTTTCCATAGAAGAAAAAGGTGAGTTATAATGTGATCCTTCCTATAAAATTTAAAAGGAGAAAAAAATAAAAAAAAAATTGAAGGAAGCAAAACCATACTTGTTTTGCATATTTAGATTTCATGAAGTCTATGGTTTTTATACCAGCAATAAATTACTTTCGGATAAAGCTTTTATGAAATCATAGTTTATAAATATTTAGTGGTAAAAAAAAACCTAAAGGTAGACATCATCCAGCACTTAGAATAGAAAACTGGATGGACCCTAGAGATTATTTTTATTAACCTTCTTCATTTACTGATAAGGGAAACAGAGCCCTAGTGGGTAAATGGCTGAGAGAGCTAGCACACTGTAGTGCAAACACCGTATAAATACTCCTTGAATAAATAAATGAATGGATTGGCCCAAAATTACCCAGAAAGTTAGTACAGACAAAAAATCAGAATGACTCTGGATTCTGAAGCCTGTGTTTTCTTGCCATATTTCTCTGTATATTATTCAGCCCATTTATGCAGATGAAAAGTCAGGGAACTACTATATGATAATAGTAAAATATTTATTTATAGAGGATAAAAGGACAATTAAAGACAGAAAGAAAAGCAATAAACAGGCACTGTAAAATCAGTAATTCTAAGTTCCAGGAAGATGGCAGGGAGAACTGCCCTGCTTGGGTGAAAACCAATTTTATATACTTTTCAAACTTTCAAGAACATTCAAAAATACAGATTATAAACTGTGGTCTTATGAAGCTACTTCTGGATCAATGTTAATGAAAACACATGCACTTTGCTTCATGTGTGGATATAACTTCTCAAAAGGTATGTGATGGGGATGATATTTTGAAAAGCCTCCAGATATATTTTATTTCTTTTTAATACAAATTTTCTCTTCTCCATAAGCCCTTGTAATACCACAGGTGGGCCAAGAAATGTATTGCCTAGAAGAGGGAAAAAACAAAATTCAGTGTAGAAAGCCATCCATCACAAAAGAAACTACAGGGAAAAACCTCCTTTGGAAAGAGGATGGGGAAATGATGATGGAGCCTGGATAGGAAGAAAATAGTCAGATCAAAGGGTCTGATATCACTGTTTTCACTTCCTTAAGCTCAAAGCCTCTTAAGAGGAGCTGGGAGAAAGGGAGAAGTTATAGAGGTAGATACAACCAGGTAGATTTGAAGGAACCCACAATTACATAGGCTATGACCCTACTACTCTGCACATAAACTGGAGGGAACTGTGAATCTTAGGAAGCCTTCATTTTGGCATAGTACTGAATCCAGCATGGCATAATTCTCTCTCCATGAAGTAGCTGTGGCTGAGCAGGTGCCTGAGTGCAGTCTCCCTGAGCCATGCCCATTGCAAATGAATATGCAGAGAAACAGTGAAGAAGGGTGTAGGGGTGTGTGTGTGTTGTGGACAAGCATATACTGGGCTTATAGGTTCTAAGATAAATAGTGGACTGGAGTCAGCCTGGAATAAATACAGGGAGTCAGTGGAGGCCTCTGAAATCTATGATGTTTCACATGTAAATGAATCTCCTACATTCACAAATGTGTCTTCTTTCACTTGGTTGCTCTGAGACCTAGCTCTTTTTTGAGGTACTGTCTCTAACTGCTGGTGGTTTTTCCTTTCATATTCTTCACATTGCTGGTTTTGGAGATTGCTTCTCTAATCTCTTCAATTACCCATTCTATCTGACTGTACCTCTCCTGCACTACCTTATCTCAGTAACCCAAAGACTCAAAGTGTGTTTGTGGGGATGTGGAGTCACTTCTTTCCATTTCTTGAAATGTAAGACCCTGGTTCATTGACAATCTCACAAGCACCACTTGTTTGATAACTGACATTTCCATTTCCACAGTTACACAGAAAATGTTCAGATGTACCGGCTTTTTAATTCCTGGCTTGGTCCTTGACCTGCTCTTTAACGGTCTTCCAGTTTTTTCTGCAAATAAAACTAAAAGTCATCTTTGACTCTTTTTTTTTTTTAAACTCCCACTGGCCTATCAACTTTTGGGGCATCTACATCACCTCCAAGTAGCCCATTTGCTTCTGAAGATGCTTCTGGGGACGAGGAGGCAGGGGAGTACCTTGATAAATTGAGCCAAACTGCACACCCCTGCCACAGTGACTGGTTCAGAGATGGGAATATGATCCACATGGCTCAGTAACTATAAGGACATGTTTGTGGGGAGCTTTTGGAAAAGCATCCTTCTTGATCATCTGAGAGAACTACCTAAATAAGTTCTTACTCTTTCTGAACAACATGTTATAAAAATGTGCCATCTGGAACTGCTGCAGACAGTTCTGCTATGATGTTACCTGCTCTGAATCAAAGCATACGTAAAATTAAGTGAGCAAATAGACCTCATGGTCTATTCTAATGCACTAAGGCAAAAAAATAATCTGGGAAAAGAAGTGGCCAGAATTACTAAAATAGATAAATAACCAAAGCTTTGATTGGCTGAGACACACCGGCAAATTCTTAGGAGAATTTCTTGAATCTTGAGTTGGTAAATTCATTAAGAAACAGATAAATTACTTAATTTTTCAGTACTCCCTTTGGAAAATTTAAGACCACTCCAAAACTGTTATTGTGTTAACCACTGGGAGGCTTGTCTGTTACAGCAGCAGGTACTATCCTAACTAGTATACCCTTGAAAACTCTGGCAAGAAGTTTGAATTCTATTCAGCATGCAACAGGAAAAAGCCAGAGGAGGGTAAAAAAGCAAGAGAGTGATATGAGCATTCTTTCTAACTTTTCTCATCTACTCTCTAAAATTCCAAGTCTCAATGAACAGATTCTGACTGAAAAGTGGGCCCTGATATATAGACTAGCGCATTTTTAAAGGCTGTATTCACATAAGATGATAGCTGTCACTCTATGAGGCTTCTTTATGCACTATAGGTCTCTCTTGAATTTGTTTCTTTCAATTTTTCCCTAATAGTCACTTAAGTCAGTAATGTATTCAGAAATACCAGGAAGGCAACTTCAATTCTACCCAAATAATTGTATATTGCTCTGGCCTTTTATTTAACGTAGGCCCTCATGCTTTCTATTGCTCCTACCTTGAGCCAGCTGTATGGGCACACAACCTGTGTGGTCAAACAGCCCACAGATTTAACAGGGCCCAGTGCTGGATTTAATGCTATTTTGTTGCTATCTTCAAATTATTGATATTTTGAACAAGAGGATCCGTATATATTTTCATTTTCCCTGAGTCCCTCAAATTATATAGCCAATCCTGCTTCCACTCATCACCATTACACATACCACACACACATATACACACTGACAAAGACTCTTCTCCTTGACCTAACTTTAGCCAGAGTTCCTCTGAGCCCACTTTTGAAAGAGGCCTTGATCTTGGCCCCCATTCTGTTTTTGACCTGCCCAGCCTAGTCTAAGTAAAGAATCCTGCTTAAATCAATTTGGAGATAATCTTCTACCCTTGATACCTAATCAAGATCTTTATCCCTCACTTTTGATGTCTAAGTCCTTGGTCTGTCTTTAGCAATAATTTTCTTAGAATAGTTTTGCTAGAATCCCCTTACCTTTGATGTCTCCTCTTAGTAATTTTTCATCAATTGATCCCCTCACTCTGCTCATTGATTATCAATTTCCACCTGTCTTACTTGTCTTTTCCGTTTTTGGAGTTGAGCCTGATCTCGCTCCTCCATTGCAATACTTCGATTGCAATAGTCTTGAATAAAGACTTTCTACCATTCTAACAAGAATCAGTGATATGGTTTGAATTTATGTCCCTGCCAAAATCTCACGTTGAATTGTAATCCCCATTGTTGGGGGTGGGGCCTGGTAGGAGGTGTTTGGATCATATGGGAATATCCCTCCTGAATGGTCCAGCCCTTCTGCTTGGCAGTAAGCTCTCTGAGTTCTCACAAGATCTAGTCATTTAAAATTGTGTAGCACCTCCTCACTCACTCTTTCTCTCTTGCTCCATTCTCACCATGTGATATGCTACTCCCCATTTGCCTTCTGCCATGATTGAAAACTTCCTGAGGCTTCCCCAGAAGCAGATGCCACTATGCTTCCTGTGCAACTTGCAGAATCATGAGCTAATTAATTCCTTTTCCTTATAAATTACCAGGCTCAAGTCTTTCTTTAGAGAAATGCAAGAATAGTCTAGTACAGAAAATTGGTGCCAGGAGTGAGGTATTGCTATAAAGATACCTGAGAATGTGAAAATGACTGTGGACCAGGGTAATGGGCAGAGGTTGGAAGAATTTGGAGGATTCAGAAGAAGACTGCAAAATGAGGGAAAGTTTGGAACGACTTAGAGACTGGTTAAATGGTTGTGACCAAAATGCTGATAGTGATATGGGCAGTGAAGTCTAGGCTGAGGAATTCTCAGATGGAAATGAGAAACTTATTGGGAACTAGAACAAAAGTCATTCACATTATGGCTTAGCAAAGAGCTTGGCTCCATTCTGTTCCTGCCGTACGGGTCTGTAGAAGTTTGAGCTCGAGAGCGATAACCTAGGGTATCTGGCAGATAAAATCTCTAAGCAGCAAAACATTCAAGATGTAGCCTAGCTGCTTCTAACAGCCTATGCTTAGATGCAGGAACAAAGGAATGGCTTAAAGTTGTAATTTATATTTAAACAAGAAGCACAACATAAATGTTTGGAAAATTTGCAGCCTGGATATGTGGCAGAGAAAGAAAAAGCTTTTTCAGGAGAGTAATTCAAGTAGTCTGTGGAGCAACCACTTAATAGAGAAATTTGCATAACTAAAAAGGAGCCAGGTGCTAATAGCCAAGACAATGGAGAAAAAGCCTTGAAGGCATTTTAGAAACCTTTGCAGCCGCCCTGTCCATCACAGACCTAGAGGCCTAGAAGGGAAGAGTGTTTTCATGGGCTAGGCTCAGGGCCCCACTGCCCTGAGCAGCCTCGCGACACTGCTCCCCAAATCCCAGCCATTCCAGCTCCAGCCATGGCTCAAAGAGGCCCAGGTACAGCTAAGGCTGCCACTTTGGAGAATGTGAGCCATAAGCCTTGGCAGCTTCCATATGGTGTTAAGCCTGCAGTTGCACAGAATGCAAAAGTGAAGAATGCTTGGCAGCCTCCACCTCGGTTTCAGAGGGTGTATGAGAAAGCCTGACTACCCAGGCAGAAGTCTGCCACAGGGGCAGAGCCGCCCCAGAGGGCAATGCCAAGGGGAAATGTGGAGCTGGAGCTCCCACACAGAGTCTCCAATGGGGTACTGCCTAGTGGAGCTGTGAGAAGGGGGCCACTATCCTCCAGACCTGAGAATGATAGATCCACTGACGGCTTGCACCCTGGTCCTGGAAAAATCTGAAGGCACACAGCTCCAGCCCATGAAAGCAGCATTGGGGGCTAAACCCTGCAAACCCACAGGGAAAGAGCTGCCCAAGGCCTTGGGAGCCCACTCCTTGCAGCAGTGTGCCCTGTATATGGGACATAGAGTAAAAGGAGATTATTTTGGAGCTTTAAGATTTAATGACGACATTGATTCTTCCTACCCATGAGCATGGAATGTTCTTCCATTTCTTTGTATCCTCTTTTATTTCATTGAGCAGTGGTTTGTAGTTCTCCTTGAAGAGGTCCTTCACATCCCTTGTAAGTTGGATTCCTAGGTATTTTATTCTCTTTGAAGCAATTGTGAATGGGAGTTCACTCATGATTTGGCTCTCTGTTTGTCTGTTATTGGTGTATAAGAATGTGATTTTTGTACATTGATTTTGTATCCTGAGACTTTGCTGAAGTTGCTTATCAGCTTAACGAGATTTTGGGCTGAGACAATGGGGTTTTCTAGATATACAATCATGTCATCTGCAAACAGGGACAATTTGACTTCCTCTTTTCCTATTTGAATACCCTTTATTTCCTTCTCCTGCCTAATTGCCCTGGCCAGAACTTCCAACACTGTGTTGAATAGGAGTGGTGAGAGAGGGCATCCCTGTCTTGTGCCAGTTTTCAAAGGGAATGCTTCCAGTTTTTGCCCATTCAGTATGATATTGGCTGTGGGTTTGTCATAGATAGCTTTTATTATTTTGAGATACATCCCATCAATACCTAATTTATTGAGAGTTTTTAGCATGAAGGGTTGTTGAATTTTGTCAAAGGCCTTTTCTGCATCTATTGAGATAATCACATGGTTTTTGTCTTTGGTTCTGTTTATACACTGGATTACATTGATTGATTTGTGTATATTGAACCAGCCTTGCATCCCAGGGATGAAGCCCACTTGATCCTGGTGGATAAGCTTTTTGATGTGCTGCTGGATTCGGTTTGCCAGTATTTTATGGAGGATTTTTGCATCAATGTTCATCAAGGATATTGGTCTAAAATTCTCTTTTTTTGTTGTGTCTCTGCCCGGCTTTGGTATCAGGATGATGCTGGCCTCATAAAATGAGTTAGGGAGGATTCCCTCTTTTTTTATTGATTGGAATAGTTTCAGAAGGAATGGTACCAGTTCCTCCATGTACCTCTGGTAGAATTCGGCTGTGAATCCATCTGATCCTGGACTCTTTTTGGTTGGTAAGCTATTGATTATTGCCACAATTTCAGAGCCTGTTATTGGTCTACTCAGAGATTGAACTTCTTCCTGGTTTAGTCTTGGGAGAGTGTATGTGTCGAGGAATTTATCCATTTCTTCTAGATTTTCTAGTTTATTTGCATAGAGGTGTTTGTAGTATTCTCTGATGGTAGTTTGTATTTCTGTGGGATTGGTGGTGATATCCCCTTTATTGCATCTATTTGATTCTTCTCTCTTTTTTTCTTTATTAGTCTTGCTAGCGGTCTATCAATTTTGTTGATCCTTTCAAAAAACCAGCTCCTGGATTCATTAATTTTTTGAAAGGTTTTTGTGTCTCTATTTCCTTCAGTTCTGCTCTGATTTTAGTTATTTCTTGCCTTCTGCTAGCTTTTGAATGTGTTTGCTTTTGCTTTTCTAGTTCTTTTAATTGTGATGTTAGGGTGTCAATTTTGGATCTTTCCTGCTTTCTCTTGTGGGCATTTAGTGCTATAAATTTCCCTCTACACGCTGCTTTGAATATGTCCCAGAGATTCTGGTATGTGTGTCTTTGTTCTTGTTGGTTTCAAAGAACATCTTTATTTCTGCCTTCATTTCGTTATGTACCCAGTAGTCATTCAGGAGCAGGTTGTTCAGTTTCCATGTAGTTGAGCGGTTTTGAGTGAGTTTCTTAATCCTGAGTTCTAGGTTGATTGCACTGTGGTCCAAGAGACAGTTTGTTATAATTTCTGTTCTTTTACATTTGCTGAGGAGAGCTTTACTTCCAACTATGTGGTCAATTTTGGAATAGGTGTAGTGTGGTGCTGAAAAAATGTATAAGGTAATTTATAGATTCAATGCCATCCCCATCAAGCTACCAATGACTTTCTTCACAGAACTGGAAAAAACTACTTTAAAGTTCATATGGAACCAAAAAAGAGCCCGCATCGCCAAGTCAATCCTAAGCCAAAAGAACAAAGCTGGAGGCATCACGCTACCTGACTTCAAACTATACTACAAGGCTACAGTAACCAAAACAGCATGGTACTGGTACCAAAACAGAGATATAGATCAATGGAACAGAACAGAGCCCTCAGAAATAATGCCACATATCTACAACTATCTGATCTTTGACAAACCTGAGAAAAACAAGCAATGGGGAAAGGATTCCCTGTTTAATAAATGGTGCTGGGAAAACTGGCTAGCCATATGTAGAAAGCTGAAACTGGATCCCTTCCTTACACCTTATAAAAAATTAATTCAAGATGGATTAAAGACTTAAACGTTAGACCTAAAACCATAAAAACCCTAGAAGAAAACCTAGGCATTACCATTCAGGACATAGGCATGGGCAAGGACTTCATGTCTAAAACACAAAAGCAATGGCAACAAAAGCCAAAATTGACAAATGGGATCTAATTAAACTAAAGAGCTTCTGCACAGCAAAAGAAACTACCATCAGAGTGAACAGGCAACCTACAAAATGGGAGAAAATTTTCGCAACCTACTCATCTGACAAAGGGCTAATATCCAGAAGCTACAATGAACTCAAACAAATTTACAAGAAAAAAACAAACAACCCCATCAAAAAGTGGGCAAAGAATATGAACAGACACTTCTCAAAAGAAGACATTTATGCAGCCAAAAAATACATGAAAAAATGCTCACCATCACTGGCCATCAGAGAAATGCAAATCAAAACCACAATGAGATACCATCTCACACCAGTTAGAATGGCAGTCATTAAAAAGTCAGGAAACAACAGGTGCTGGAGAGGATGTGGAGAAATAGGAACACTTTTACACTGTTGGTGGGACTGTAAACTAGTTCAACCATTGTGGAAGTCAGTGTGGCGATTCCTCAAGGATCTAGAACTAGAAATACTATTTGACCCAGCCATCCCATTACTGGGTATATACCCAAAGGACTATAAATCATACTGCTATAAAGACACATGCACACGTATGTTTATTGCAGCACTATTCACAATAGCAAAGACTTGGAACCAACCCAAATGTCCAACAATGATAGACTGGATTAAGAAAATGTGGCACATATACACCATGGAATACTATGCAGCCATAAAAAATGATGAGTCCATGTCCTTTGTAGGGACATGGATGAAACTGGAAACCATCATTCTCAGCAAACTATCACAAGGACAAAAAAACAAACACTGCATGTTCTCACTCATAGATGGGAATTGAACAATGAGAAAACATGGACACAGGAAGGGGAACATCACACTCTGGGGACTGTTGTGGGGTTGGGGGCAGAGGGGAGGGATAGCATTAGGAGATATACCTAATGCTAAATGACAAGTTAATGGGTGCAGCACACCAGCATGGCACACGTATACATATTTAACTAACCTGCACATTGTGCACATATACCCTAAAATGTAAAGTATAATAATAATAAAATAAAAAATAAAAAAAATAAAAAAGATTTAATGACTGCCCTGCTGGGTTTCAAACTTGCATGGGACCATTAGAACCTTTCTTTTGGCCAATTTATCCCTTTTGGAACAGGAATGTTAATGCAATGCCTACAATTCAATGCCTATAATGTATCTTGAAAGTAACTAACTTGGTTTTGATTTTACAGGCTCACAGGTGGAAGGGATTTGCCCTGTCTGAGATGACACTTTGGACTTTTGAGTTAATGCTGGAGGGAACTATTGGGAAGGGAAGATTGTATTTTGCAATGTGAGAAGGACAGGAGATTTAAGAGGGGCCAGGGCTGAATGATATGGTTTGAATATATGTCCCTACCCACATTTTATGTTGAATTGTTATCTCCAGTGTTGAAGGTGGGGTCTAGTAGGAGGTGTTTGTAACATGGGGGCATAACCCTCATGAAAGGTTACCTTATTTCCTTGGTGGTAAGTGAGCTCTCTGAGTTCTCAAGAGATCTGGTCATTTAAAAGTATGTGGGATCCTCCTGCTCTGATCTTGCCAGGTAATGTGCCTGCTTCACCCTTTGCCATGATTGGGGCTTTCTGAGGCTTCAGAAGCAGATGCCAGTATGATTCCTTATAGCCTGCAGAACCATGAGACAAATAAATACATTTTCTGATAAATTACCCAGTCTCTGGTATTTCTTTATAGCAATGCAGGAACAGCCCAGCACAATCAGAATCATTTTTTCCTCAACACATACAAACACATGCCACATGTGCACACAAACACACAGCTTCACTCCATTGCATCTATTCTTGAATAATAGCAGAAATAGCTAAGTTTCAATAGGTTTTATTCCTATTATGTGCTAAGCAGTGAAGTTAGTGTTTTATATACATTACCTCACTTTGCTTTGATAATTACCCAGTGGGAATAAGGTTTTTTATTATGCAGGTGAAGCAGGAAGAGATTAAGTCATTTACCCAAATTTGCCCATCATTTAAGAGACTGCACTAAGATTTGAACCAAGGGAGTCCAACTTTTAACTGCCTAGAAATCTTCTAAAGTAGACTTTAGGTTCTGTGTTTAAAAGGGAGAGAAGGAGGGCAACACTGTATCTGGTTTAACTTTTCCCTGCAAATCACCTCTGCTACTTTGATTCAGAACCACATCATGTAGTCCATATGATTATCAAAACCACAGATGACAATAACCTTTCTTGAGTAAAACATACGAATATGTGGCTTCAGTAAGCGAAACAAATTTATTTCAAATTGTGCTCCACTAATATTCTATGAGGCAGCTAAGAAAACTAAAATTTATGCACAATATTCCCCTTAATCTCCTTAAATATCAAATTTTGACTCATCCAGTTGTTTAACATTCATAACATAATGTTATAGGAGTTGGGGATGAATTATTAATCAGAATCTGAAAAAAATTCATAATTACATATTTATAAAAGTAATCCCTATCTTTGGTTCTACACTTGCAAAGAAAAGGCAGCTGAGTCTGTGCTAGAAGGATCCAGCTGCCAGCTCTTTTCATTGCAGCAAGAAACAATTGCAGATGTGATATCTTTTAAATATGCTCAAAGTGCACATTTTAAAAATACTTGGATACTTCTAAAAAATAAACTGAAAAACAGTATTTCTCAATTTTTTAGAAGTATCCAACTATTTTTACTTCTAACATTATTGCTATTACTAACATCAATCTGTTAGTAAGAAACAAAGGCCTTTTATCCATTTTTTTAAAAAATCAGGTTAATTCCTGCCAATGTCTCAAGTTAACTGCACTTAACCTAGGGTGCCTTCTACTTCTCATCTGGGGCTCTGAGATGTGACAAATCATCCTACAATTAGAGATGGATGATCCTTTCTCCTCCCTGCTCTGTCACCTTCTACTTTAGGATGCTCTTTTCAAATCATTATTTACTTTCTCCTTACTTCCAAGAGATGAGCCATACTTATTGTAGCAATGACTCATTTCATTTTCCAGCTTCATGACACAAAAGCTCTAAATGAGTTCCACTTTCCCATGCCACAGGGTAACAACAAGAAATTGTCATTGCATTTATCTTTAAAATAGTCATGTTTTATTTGCTTATGATCAAACATATCCTTTTTGAGAGTCAGCTCTTTAAAATTTTAATTGCATTTTTCCCATTCACAATAAATCACATCAAAATTATTTTTAATTTTCCTAACATACTATGTTTCTTATATTCCTGTGCCTTTAATATTCTCTTGTTTGACTCACCTGGCAAGTGAATCCCATCCTTCCAAAATAACTTCAGAAGCAGCTTACTTTAGAAGATTCCCTGCACTCATCCTTCCCCAATAAATATGTGGGAATCAAATGCCTCTCATAAGCTTACCTTTATCATAGCTCTGATTATCAAATTGTAGAATATCAGCATATTTTCCTGATTGGATCTCTGATATTAGATCCTATCACAATCTAACACATTGTAATAAATGTTTGTTTAAAGAATATCAAAGAAAATAGAAATTTTAGGGAATTTTTTCTGGGTGACTATTAATGTTATGTGTCGCTTTTTATATCTGCACAATGGGTTACATCGCTGCACAGTGTTAGTACACACTGTTTGATCAAGAATCTCCTAGTGATTATTTGAATAATTTCATAATGGTTGAGCGACAACACTCCCAGTATTTATTCTGGTTGCACATTCTACTGGTGTCAGTCAGAACGTGATTCCTGGACCAAGTTTTTAGTTAGTATTTGAGAAAAACATTCCTAACAGCTCGCTTTTCAAGTCCTCACTTCATTTCATAAAAGAGATGCTGGAAAAGGTGACAGCCAATTTAGTTCCCACATGGGTTGTGTTTGTTACATGGTATTTAGTTACTTTTGTTTGACTCTTAAACTAGGTCTTTCCTTGGAACAAATTAAGGTAATTTACATACCATTTACTTATAACACCAACCGCCTAATAAAAACACTACCCGATGATACCCTTACTTAGGAAAGAGAGTCCTTCCCGAAGGGTAACACTCCCCCTTCATCCCTGCAAAAGCATCCAAGTAATTACTGTTCATAAACCATATCTCTAGGACTAAGCATGATGAATTATTTTCTTTAGAATATTCCTTCTTTAAAGACATGTGGATTATTCTCATCTTCTAAACCCCATCTAGGCCACCTGGAAATATTGAGTATTTATGAATTCACTAATAAAGAACTTCAAAGAAATGTTTTTGATAATATTTTATAAAAATATAAATGTTAGTATTCTCATTATACATGCGCAATAAGGTTTAGATATAAAGTAAATTGTGAGTAAAGTAATAAGTCTTGATAAGAATAGTAAGTATTAAATCTTTATTGTATGCTTACATGAAACAATACATTTTCACAACAAAATGACAATGAAGCTTTTGTGCATTATGACATTCTGTACTTCCTGTAAGAAAATGTGTCTATATTCTTTCAGAATTCTTTGCTCACAGTGATCTTTTTACTGTTTTATAAAAGCTAGATTTCTCTTTTTATAAAAAATAAAAATACGTATTTCATAGGTTTAGAGTATATGATGGTACTGAAAATATAGGCTACCAAGCATTCTCAAAACTCTCCCTGTGAGGCCTTGGAGGGAGGCTCTTCAGAAATAAAAGCCAGCACCCCAGAAAAGGTGAAACTGGGGTTATATAAGAGACTCATGTAAATTTCCAATTGCGAAAATTATATCATATATATTTAGAGTCCAGAAAAAGGAAAATGTGGCTTCAAATATAAGCCTCAAAGCTAGTTTCAAGGACAGATGTTTTAACTTGCAGGTGCTAATTTTCTATCTAGCTGTTTCTCATATGGACAACTATATAATTCCAAAATAAATATCAACAAGAATTTATTTATTTAACAATAAGTAATGATTACCTGCAACTCCAAGAAGATAAGCTAGTATGGTGTGAGTTTGGGAGAACACCTAAACACAAATGCTGAATATTTTAATGAAATATACCACTACTTTGGAAAATAGATTCAAATAGGCTAAACATTCCACACACATACACACACAAAAAGTTTCATTAGTGACGGAATTATTTCCTTTCATATTCATTTAAAATTTGGAACATCGTGTGTTTATTGTTACGTATCCTGAGTAGCGAAATGTTGACAAGTCAGTACGTTCATTTAAATTGTCTAATAATCTGTCATTTGTATTTTACGAAATGGAAAGAGAATTTAATTCAATGTCTTGCCAGTTTAACCACTGATCTAGGTTCTTTTATATGCCAGTGATTTTGATAATATTTGCTCATAGAAAACAAATATAAAGCTTGTCCTTGTAGGATATATAAACTCATTTATATGAATAATCACCAACAGATTATGACTGTGAAGTAGCTTCACAAATCCCCAGTGTGTAACACTGAACAGAGAAATTAAATAAATCACAGTAGCCCAAATCAAACTAAGCAAATCTCTCTTCTCGCTGGATTTTACATTAAATTTCACTAGGTTGTTTGATTTACCCTGAGGTTACCAGGGATCATTTTATAGGTGCTAGAGACAGATAGAAAGAAAGCAAGCAACTAATAACTTGTGCCCTCTTGGAATTTTTATCCTAGCAGAAAACAACAAAATAAATGACTACTAAGTTCCCTCTGTTTTTAGCAAGATTGGCTCCTAAAATTTCAATTCCTGGGACATCTGATTGCTGTAAGTTAACATCTTCCTTTCACAAAACAGCAGAATGACCCAACCTGACTGTCCTACCAGTAGAGGAAAGACAGCCTACTGAGAGCTCCTGTGGGAGGAATGGCTGATATTTCAGATCTGTAACAGAACACAGCCATACCTCTGATATTCTTGCCAGACCTCATGTTCCAAATTTTGTGTTATAAAACCAGAATCATTATACCCAAAATAATCCCAATGAATACAGTCTAATTCCTGTTACCTTATATTTTAGACTCTAAGAAAAAGATGTTATATGTTTTGTACACAACATGCTTTGGTTCAAAGTTAAAGTCTGATTCCTTCAAACTTTTTCCCAACACTCATTGCACACTGAAGGGACAGGATTAGCCAAGAGTGATTTTTATAGGGAAAAAAAAGGGAGTTTCTGAAAGCATGTTCATCTTTTGCCTCTTTTTCTGGTCCAACACAAAACAATTCCCAACAACAAAGCAGAGTCTCTCTTCTCTTGATTGAATAACCCATCACTAGAGATCAGAACATATTGCAGCCCTTCCTTACTCAAGTGCTTTGTGAGTCTTGCTAAATACAAAATGAATTTTTTATTTGCTCTTACTTTCTAGCTCACCCACTTTCCGTTTGGGCTTTTAATAATTACTAGTCAGATTTTTTTTTTAAATAAAACAAACAAGACTGACCCAAGGCCTATTTTCTTTGCCAAGGTCATTCTCCTTGCTCAAGATTTCTAATCACTTCTTCAAGTAGATTGGCTTCTACATGAAGTTTATTCACACCGTTGTGAACAGTGAGGACATACGGAAGGATCTTATTTGCCAGTTTACAGCAAATATTGTTAGCAAATTTTATGATGTTTTCACTTCAGCCTAAAGTGTTTCTGCCACAACAAAACAAGCTAATGTTAATTTGGCCAGTGTAGACGCTGAAAGAGGATTTCCCTTGAGGTTAAGAGATATAGACAAAAATCAAGCCCCAAGACATAAAAAATTATTTAAAAAATAAACCTTCAATGAACCAAAAAATTAGAATCATTTTACTCATACAAAAGTCCCATTAAGCCCCTCCTTTCTTGCATTCATTTAATAATTTATGCACTCAACAAATCTTCACAGAGCAGTTACTTTGGATCGTTTTATAGGTGCTAGAGACAGAAAGAAAGCAGCTAACAACTTGGGGCCTCTTGGAATTTATATCCTAGCAGAAAACAACAGAATAAATCGTCTACATAAAATATATAATATGTCAGATGGTAATCAGTACTGTAGCAAAAAGAAAAGAAAAAGAAAAAGCAGAGAAGTGAGGTAGGGAACACCTGGTCAAGGAAGGAAGAAGGCTAGAAAGGATAAGGAAGGTAAACAAGCAGAGGACCCACAGGAAAGGAGGCATGTGAGTAAATGCTTAGCAGAGATGAGGGAAGAAGCTGAGGGCCTATCCAGGGGAGACAACAGACGTGTGTCTGAAGTCAAGTGAGCCCGAATAAGGAGATTAAAGGATAGAGATAAGGCAAGGGCAGCCAAGGCTGGAGTGGGTCTGGGTGGAGCAGCGTGATCCTGCACAGCACCTGGGCCCAGCCTGGATTTACTCTCAGCGAGGTGGGGTGACCTTGACGGAGTTTGAACAAGAGAACAACACAATCTGGCTTCAGTATCACTTTGGCTGCTACATACAATAAGGAAGGGGCTGGAAGGATAATGGCAGGGCAGAGAGGCCTCGCTGCCCAGAACTGTCAAACAGAACTTTTGAACCTGCTTTCTCTAATGAAGTTTCTCAGCATCTGTTTCCTCATGTGATAAAAGCATAAGTGTACCTGTCACATCTTCCAAAGGGAAACTCCTCTACTAATACCAAGGCAACTTAATGTATGTTAAGAGTCACTCTATCAGTGCAGCCAAAGCTCCCTCTGGACCTAAATGCTTTGAGAGGGCTTCTTAATTGCATCTAATTAAAGAGCATGTAAACAGTCTTAATTTGAGATGTCTATGTGAGGATGAAGTTTAATCACATGATATTAAATTTAAAAACCCTTCTCTATAAGTGGATTTTTTCCCCATCATATGAAAAGCTGATATAGCTACATTCTCTGGACTAGACATATGGTGTGCTGGCTTTATAACCAAGAAAATATAAACAATTTAACTCTGACACATGCTTAGAATTCTATCATATGGTATCAGATCACATACCTTAAAAATCAGAATTATAGAAGAAAAACTTAAAAACATTTTTATGTTTTAGGGAGATGTTTTTCATCTTCACATCAAATCGCCATTGGATTTCATTAAATAGAGGGAATTTTCAATATACTAATGTCAACATGTTTAGAGAAATGTAGTTATGATTTGAGATTTCTAATTTGGGCTACTAGAGTTCATTATTAGTTTTCCTGGGTTCTGCAAAATTCATAAAATTATATTCAAAATATTCTGTGTATGCATGTGTGTACAAAAATTGTGCTCATAGATTTGCCAGAGTTTCAAAGAAAAGCTCTACCCAGTGAATTTTAAAAGCATGGCACAGTCAGTGTGAAGAAATAATTTCATCACAAGAGAAGTAAGTGTATAAGTAACATGTTAGTATTTATCCTGAAAGCCTTTTTTAGAGTCTTCTAAGTGCAGAGTACTACAGAGCCCACAAAGAACCTAAGGCAAGAACTAACTCTCATAAAACTTACAGTTTTCCCCTAAAAGATAAATAAAATCTATACACAAAAAGAATCAGGAAAGGATAAGGAAGTGATCTAAGCAAGGAGCAGAAACCCAGTCTCATTGAATGAGGTAAAAGTGAATTTATTATTAGGTCAGTGACAAATAATGGCAAAAACTGCAATTACTTTTGCACCACCAACCTAGGAATCAGAAGAACTGCACAGATCTCAAGTGCGTGAAATATGCCCAACTGTCACAGGAGTTGAGACATTTTTTTCTTGCTCTTTTCTTTTCCTTCTGCTCTGCAGAATATCTGATCCATTCTGCTGTCGGCCATCTGTTTCTAATAGGCTTACAATTTTTGCTTCTCCAAAAATTGGCTCAGTTTTGGACTGCCATAGTGACAACGGGGAATGCCTAATTCACCAAGCTTCTCTTGTCTCCCAGCTTGACAAAATCTGATGCAGCCTCTGTGTCTCCTAAGAATATATCAGTTCTTTAGAGAAAGGGAATCTGATATTCTCACCTTGAATTCTGAATCCATCCCTGGTCCACAGAGAGGTAGAATCATCTACTATAAGCCTAGCCACCTGGGGACTTAAACACATCCATAGACAGTTGCACAATATAGGTTGACAGCCCAAACCTGTCTGTCTATCCCAGTAGTCTGTGACTAAGTGCCCAAACTGGCCAGTGTTAAGTTTTGTCTTTAATTTTTAAAGCATCTGGGACATAATTTGTACTCATTAAATATTTTTTTAAGTGAAAGCAAGTTTATTTAGAAAGAGGAATGAAAGAATGGCTACTCCATAGACAGAGCATCCCTATACTCATTAAATATTAATGCTTTCACCAAGCACACACTTTCATGAGTCTCACATACATATTCAAACACAACTATTATACTTACAAGGTCTCACCTTGTCCTGGGTAGCCAAAAAGATAATGACAATCATAAACCTCCTTCCTGTCCTCAGGGCTCTTACAATTCATTACAATATAAAACAGTATGTGGTAAGTGCCAAATGGATGATCCATACGGGAGTGCTATAACTAGAATATCTGATACCTGAGACAGGTCATTTTTCAACACACCTCTGTTCCACATCACAAAATTATTTTCAGTAATAAGCGTTAAATTAGCTATAGTAATAAATCCTTCAGTAAGCATCATATCTTTCCATATAACATGAAAGTTAACTTGGACACCTCCTGGTATATTTGTAATGGGTCAGAAAACTTACATTGAGCACAATTCTTGTCCTCGACCCACACAGAACAACATATTCCTGTATTTAAGCAATAGATTTGAAATAAACTATGAGAACACAGTGATTGTAAAGACAAAAAGCATTATTTGAGTTACTTTGAATCTGTCACTCTGGAGTCTTAATTGTGCTTAACATTTAAAACACTAAAATAGAGTGGCCAGAGTGAACAGTTACAAATCAGACCCAGCTGAATCTGATTCTAAAGAAAATCTCTTCAGTTTCTCCTTTAAATTAACATGTGTATCTAAGTCTGCATGTCTTGATTTAGTGGTAGTTTCACATGTATTCCTAAAACTCACAAGTAACTAGAGCAAATGTTTACAAGTTAGACCAACAAAATGTATTTTTAGGAAAGAGGGTTTATTATTGACGTTATTTACAATTGCCATCCGTGGTGATAATAAAACATAGACCGAGATTTAGCCTGTGTTATTATTGTTTTTATATTCTCTACATACAATGCATCCTGGGCAAACTGCTCCTCCTGCCTCCAATGCCCTGCCTTAATATGTGATACCAGATACCAAATGCCCTGGCAGTGGAGTGAAAGGAAATTTTAATGCTAGTATTATTTAGGACATAAATACCACTAGCTAAGTCTGAAAACATATATTAATATATTGGCTTAAGGGCTTAAGACATTATTGAGATGACTGAGAACTGTGCTGTCATGAAATGTTAGGAAATATTATCAGGACCTTCTTGTACTCTATCTCTCAGTTGTAATTCTTCGTCAGTTGTGTCCATTCTCAGATAGGCTCATCTTTTCAGGTATAAAGGTGTCTGCCAATAGCCCTCAGCCCTCCTTCAATTCTCTAAGCAGGCCCAGCAGAAAAAAAAAAAATGTGTTTTTTTTTCCTCGCTGTCATTCTAACTCTGACTAGGTCATATGCCCATCTTAAACAAATTAGTGAGGCCAAGGATGCACAAGGACTGGACAAATCTGGTGACTGTGTCAATTCTTGGAGCTAAGAGTCAATTAACTGCAATCCAACCATAAGAGTGGGAGTAAGACATGGTGCTTCAATTACTAGAGAAAAGAGAACCTTCTGGGCAACAGTCGTAGCTACCCTGTGCCAGTCTTTGGGCTTACCTGTGATGGTTTAATTTATGTGTCAACTTGGCTAGGCTATTGTGCCATTATGTGGTCATATACTGATCCATATGTTGCTGCTGAGGTTTTTGTATTTTTAGTTGTAATGAACATTTAAGTCAGTAGACTTTTAAAGTAGACGACCCTTTATAATGTGGGAGAGCCTCATCCAATCAGTTAAAAACTTTAAAAGAAAAGGTTGAGGTTCACTGAAAAGGAAGGAGCTGTGCTCCCAACTGCCCTTGGAATCATGACTGCAATGTCAGTGCTTGCCAGAATTTCCAACCTGTCCTGGACCTACCAGCCCCAGTAAGTGCCTCAGTCTTCTGTAGAGGAATGGCTCCAAAAGCTGACGGATATTGCAATGTTAGAGTGCATTTATCACTTAAGACCTGCTCGCCTATCCTGAAAGGGGCCAGAGGGCACATCTTTAACCACATGGTAACCATGACTGTGAGAAATCCATTTGTGAGGGAAGCCCAGCATCCTTGAAGAGTTCTGTAGTTACTCTTTTCTATAGGTCAGAAAATACAGCGGGGACTGCTGCCACAGAATTGGAAACCTAAATGCAGTGGGGAGTCATTGGATCTGGAAGTGGCAGGGGCTAAGATGCAACACTTATTTGCTAAAGGCATGGCGGGCATGATTACCACAAGGGACAGCACAGTCAAAGCGGTAATCAAAATAGTCCAATTTGCAGAAACCTATGGCTAGTTGATCACAGTGTTCCTAGACATAAAATAGTTGAGCAGTCAACTAAATTCTTACTTCATCTGTTTAAGTGGCAACATTCTAGGTCCAGCGAATAAAAGTCCTACCTGAATCATCAAAAGTGAGCCATGGCCCATCAATGAATTCTCTAGAGAACCCTGACTGATTTAGGGTTTTTGCACTTTGAGATAGTGTAAACTATCTTTATATACATAAAGAAACTGAGGGTGAGAGAATTTAAGTAATTTGTCCAAATTCATACATTAAGAAATTCCGTAGTCCTGGGATTTTTACCATGCTCTAGAAACAAATCCAGATTATTAACTACTTAATTCTAGCTCCTAGCCAAGTACATGACTTATACAGAGTAAGTGTTCAATAAATATCTGTTGAAAGAGTATCCAAAAAGAATTTTACGATGGTTTCTAAAAATATATTAAACATTAATATTACAATGATCATTATAAACATATTACTGATAATAGTCTAATAAATAAAAACTAACAAAAACATGTTAAAGTTACTAATAAAACTGATTTGGTAGACAGCTGGAGGGAGAAAAAGGGAGAGGGAAGTTGCATAATAACCACAGAAGAATTTTAACATTAACGTTCTATGGTGCAATGTTGGAAGATGAAGACTTGACTTACCCTACTTTTTGCTCTTGATAAATATAACAAAGGAAAATTTAAAAACAAAAGTACAATTTCTAAAGAATATCAACTTCTTGTGGTATATTTTTTCTCCCAAACTATTGTTCTCAAATTTGACCTACACAAATAGCTTTGAAGAAGGAAAAGAAAAAAAAAACAGTTTTCACTTGGAAGTAAAAGACTGTAAATCTTCTTTCCTTGCTCTGGCTATAAATTTGTTGGGGAAAAAAAGCCCATCATGGGTTCTTGACTCTGTCACCATTCCCATCTCTGTGAAACTAAAATGTAGGTAGTATCTTTTCCTGACCAGAATTCCATCAAGATATCACCTCATTAAATTCTAACAACAATGACAATGAAAAATAATTGAGTGACATTAAGTTACTGGTAAGATCTTTATATCTATCAAATGATTTTTAAATAGATATATAATAGATACGTTCTTGACTACAAAAGTATTTATACGTTGGCAAACATACTCAAATCTAAATTCAAGATAAACAAAAAATGATTGTTTTCCACCTATTCTGAAATTTTATTATTTTTCATTAAACATATATATTACTAAATATTTGTGAGTCTCATTTCTTCAGACTCCTCAGGCTTCAGAGCTGTAAATAATACACTTCAATTGTTTAGGCCACCCAGTGTTGGGGTGATCGGACCCAACACCAGGTGATGGGGGTGATGAAGTCTGACGGAGTCAAAGGAATGAGAAAAGACAGTTTGAGAGAGAAAGTGGGTCCAGGAAGCCATCGCTAATGTATGGAGGCTGCAAAGGCCCCGAGCTCTGGAAGCCCATGCTATTTATTGGTAATCCAACAAAGAAACAGGTGGTGAGAATGTGGGGGTCGAAAGGGCGTGTTGCATTAAGCACATGATTTACAGCTGTGATGATTTAGCATATGCTGTGCTACTTGAGATAACGGAGAGCAGGTTCTTTTAACTCAAGATACAATCGATCCTGGGAGAGCAAGGAGCCAGCAAGTCTAGACACATTCCAGAGCCACGAGCCCTGGATTCTATCCAAGCCACGAGGGGTTTTATGCCCTGGGCTTAGATTATGGTGCGTCAGGGTAGCCCTTCTACCCTTTAGCACAGAGCTTGGCATTCCAAAGGCCACAAGGGGTTTTAGACCCTGGACCCCGGACATGTTCCAAGACTCTTTTACATTATACCAGACATGCAAGCCCTGCCTCAGCTTCTCCCAACACTCAGCTTTTCTCCCAACAACCCAGTATACAGTAATTTGTTATAGAAGCACAAACTGACTGAGACATGAACACATATGGCCACTCCTAGGGTCTTGCTAAAACATCCGAATGATTTCTTTAAATTGTATCTGACTTCAATGGGACTTATGTTATTACTGTTGCTGTATATTTGGCCAATAAAAAGAAAGGAAGGAGAACTTTTAAGTTTGGTAATTTTGGGATTTGGAATGTGAGTTCAATAGCTTTTATGTAGGCCCAAATTTCTGCAGTGGCCATGCAGTAAAGTAGAAAAGCATAAAGAAATAGAGAAGGCAGAAATGCAGTCAGTGTAAAGTGGGATTGTAGAATCTCTTCATTCTAGTTGAGATTTGCCATGTAGGAACTTGGGTGCAGCATTGCCAGATGCTTTAGATTTTCAAGATAAGCCAGAAATCCAAATTTCATGTGATTTTAAAATATCAGTAACAAATGTTTTAACATTTAAAGCTGTGTGGGTATGGCAGGATGCACACGTGATGGAAAGCTCATGTGCTTTACCTTCAGCGCTATGGTCACTAGCTTGTAATTCCTGGTTCAAATGGTACACATAATTAGTTTAATATTATACAGCCTTCCTTAACTGTTGGGAGCAGAGTGCTACAAACCTCAAATGTTCAGAAGCAAAACTGTAAACTATGATTCAGCTTACGAAAAACAATATAGAAAATAAATCAATTCCTGGTGTAAAACTAATTGAGCAATATTACCTTACACATGCAACAGAATTGGGGTAGGCTTATTTCAATTCAATAAACACACAGTGCTCTGCCAGGCAGAACCTATTCTAAGAAGTAAAATATCAGGAAAAATCCCACATAAGCAATATTGTCATAATCACAAACTGTTACAAGTCAACATCGTCAATCTATAAGCAAAAACAACTAATTAAATCCAGAATCAGATTCAACAGTTAAAAATTCTTGTTGCCAAACCAGCTATTTTTTATCTACAGATAAATCTTGATTTGACATAGCCGTAAGTTACAGCTTCTAGGCTTCTATGCACCCACCCTCCTTTTATAAAAGCAAAGAACACATCATTTAATTATTTCACGAGTGCAACAATTACAGGATGCAATCCAATCAAAAGTTCGGTCAGCATCCTACCTTACAAATACTTAGAGGCTTGGCTAGTGAAGTCAGTTTTATTGTCCCTTCCTGTATTCTTGCCTGTAGCTGTCCCTGATATTTATTGTTTCACTCCAGACTTGAAAAGTCTGCTCTCATAAAGAGGCTGGCATGACTTAACAGTATTTAAATCAAAGCCTCAATATGCAAAGGAATTAATATTTTACCAATGGAAACATTTCCTAAAGCTTTCAAAAATACCTGTCTGCTTCTAGAACTCTAGCTAGGTACCCAGCACCTAACCTTCTTACGTAGCGTTTGCCCGTGCTTCAGATTTAGCATTATTACAGCACTTGTCACAAGTCTTGTCTTGATTTTAAATAACTCACGTATGTGTTTGTCTCCACAGACTTGTTCTAGATATCTGGAAGGTAATGATTTGGTCTTATTTATCTTTTATTATTCGCTGATAGATGACCAACCCATAATAAGGCCCTACTCAGAGTAGATACTCAACAATGTTTATAAATTACAATATAAAAACCTGAAGATTTAGAGATATGAAAGCAAACCATCCTTTCCCTTGTATTTTTTGTTTGATTTTAGTTGGTAACTTCTTTCTGACTGCAGCTGTTGCCAGTCCATAATGTTACAAGATATACATCATCTTCTTGTTGAATTACACAGAATAGCTTTTGAGTTTCCCATTTGTCAACAGAAGATATCTCTTAAGACTATGGGGATAATACACATACACATTATATACACTGACCCTTTAATAGAGTGTGGTAACCAATGACAGCAATGATCGCATTATATTAAATTCACTGTTTATCTCTTCCTTAGAATACAAGTCCCTGAGAACACTGATCATTGCAAGTCTCTTCACATTTCCAACACTAAACAGAGCGTAGAGCTTGACAAGATATACTCAGTAAATAACATCTCTTAAAATAATGATCAATAATAAATACATTTGAATAAAAATGATAATAACAGGCCAAGTGGTAGCTCACACCTGTAACTGCAGCACTTTGGGAGGCCAAGGCTGGGAGAATGACTTGAGGCCAGGAGCTAGACCAGGAGTTAGAGACCAGCCTGGGCAATACAGCAAGACCTTGTCTCTATAAAAAGTAAATAAATTGAAAAGACAATTGCCAGGCATGATGGTACACAACTGCAGTGGTAGCTACTGAGGCAAGAGGTGAGAGGAGGCTGAGGCAAGAGAATTGCTTGAGCTCAGAAGTTCGAGGTTAAGTGAACAATGATTGTGCCACTTCAGTACAGCCTAGGTAACAGGTCCTGTCACAATTTTTTTTTAAAACAATAACAGTCAATTAAAGAAACAAAATAAAATGTAGTAAAAGGACTTCCGGTTAAGATAATGATAGCTGTCTAAATTCAAATCTCTCCATGCTTCATTCAAAAATTATACAGATAAACAAAAGGAATAAAATTTTTATCTTTTCAGAAAAGCTTAAAAACAAAAAACACAACAATCTTCATTTACCTGGAAGTAGAAAAATATGTACCAATTACTATTGGAACATTTCTGCAGCTCCTGCTACAACCTTTTGCAGAGACTATGTGGGATTTGGAAAGTGTACCAAAAAGAGAAGAGGGGATTGAGAAAAAAAAAATATGTTCCCACAAATAGAAAGTCCCAACTAAGAAGAAAAGATATATTAAAAAGAAACAAAATACAAACAAAAAGAGCCCGGGTACATCCAAGCATTGACCATAGAGATGCGATGTAAAAATTCACATACAGAATGACTTCAACAAAAATGGCAGTGCAGGTAGCTCCAAGGACCTGTCCATCCACAGAATTTCTGAAAAATCACGGATAACTTTGAAAATCAACTTTGTAATAATTCTGGAAAAATTCAAAGACTTACAGGAACCAAGGAAACTCTGAATCAAGAAGGACACAACTTAGAAATTGTAGAAAAGATTTGTGGCATTTTTACTTGCCCTAGCCCCACCTACCTTCCCAGCCCAGTGGTTGTCTTGAGAGGGCAGCCCACATTCACAGTGTGGGACACTGGTCCCTGATTCTGGGGACAGCACAGCAGATCTTATTCTCGAAGAATTGTGTTTGTCTATGCTAACTTGTCCGGGGGCTACCTTAGGAGCTGACTCAAAACATTTGCTTTTGTTTTACCTAAAGCAGAGTACACTCAGGGCAGTAAAGCAGGTATGCAGAGGGTATTCCTAAAAGTCATTGCAAGGGAAGTGAATAATTGTGGCAAAAAATAGACACAGATACCCTGGCAGGAAAAGTTGGTGAGAACATTCCTTTGGGTTATTAGGAAATTCAGAAGCACTCCTGCATATTGAGAAATTTAAGAAGTCATGTGCATATGCAAGGCAAAGCGCATGTGCAGAAAAGACTTTCGAAGACCCTAAGCTTTCACCTCTAGTTACTCAGGGTGAGCAGTAAGTTAAGGTCTAGGCAGAGTTGTACATAAACCAGCCAAGTATTGGAGAGCCAATCTGCAAAGACTGACAGAGTTTTGTTTTCCTGTTTTTTTCTTTCTCTTTTTGGAAGAGCTTAAGAGGAATTAGTGTTTTCTTAAAAAGGCAAAACTATACTGAAAAGGAAGAAAAAAACTGGAACATTGATACTTCTCTACTTTAAATCTAACTACTAAGCTACAGTAATTGAAATCATGTGGTACTGCCATACAGCTAAGCATATAGACCAATGGAATAGAATTGAGAAATAAACCTGTATGAAAAAGGGTGTCACAGCCACTCAGTGAAGGAAGCATAGTCACCTTAACAAATAATGCATGCCATAGCGATCATAAATGACACATTCATGAATAGTCACTTTAACAAATAATGCATTATAGGTGTCCATATGCAAAAGAATGAAGTTGGACTCCTACCTCATACCATATACAAAAAAATAAACTCATAATGGATAAATAACTTAAATATGAGCGGTAAAACTATAAAGATGTTAGAAGAAAGCCTAGGAATAAATCTCCATGACCTTGGACTTGGCAATGGATTCTTAGGTATGACACTAAAAGCATGAGCAACAAAAGAAAACTCTTACTCCTCAAAAAGCATAACAAAAGAAAACTTATTCCTCAAAACTAAAAATGTTGCTGCATTCAAAGAACATATTCAAGGAAGAGGAAGGATACCTATATAATGGGAGAAAACATTTGCAAATAATATGCCTAAAAAGGATCTAATGTCTAGAATATATATTTTTAAAACTCTTAAAATTCAATAACAAACAAACATTTAAAAATCACCTCAAATAATTTCAAAAATTAAAAACCAAATAAGTTTATTAGACTCAGGAAAGATAGAAAAAAGGACAAAAGTATATCAAAAAGGAAAAAATTAAACATTGCCAAAGAAAATTAACTTTGAATGCAATATAATAGCATTAAAGAAACACAACCAGGAGATTAAAAATAAGATAAAGTTGTACAAAAAGTCAGAAAAGAAAATGGCTATGAAAGTATTCAAAACAATCTAATATTTGTATAATTTGAGTCCCCGAGAAAGGAAAACAGAAAATTTAACCTTAGCACAAGGAACTATTCTGGAAATAAAAGATCTAAATTTATTAATTGACAGGGTGTAATTAGCACCTAGACAAATTGACGCAGATTTATCAATGTCTAGATATATCATAGTAAAACTGTTAGAATTTGAAGAAAAAATATCCTCTCAGCATAAACCTCTAGGCATAAAGATCAAATAATGTACAAGTAGACAGTCAGAAAATTCTCCAAAGCAATCCACAAAGTAAAGCAATAGTGGAGTATCTTTTTAAAAAAAACCTCAAGAAAAGCAGATATGAACAAAGGGATTGTTTTAATCCAGCCAAGCAATCCAACCTCTTAAGTGTCAATAATAAAGGAAAACAAATTTAAATAACCAAGAATGTAAGCAGTTATGTAACTATGAGTTCTTCTCGAGTTATCTACTAGACAAGGAGCTTCATTCAAATAAGAGATACCAAAGAAACTAGCAAAGTCACTTATGATGAAGATTTAATTTATTTAGTTACAGATCTGAAACTTTCATAAAAAAAAGGAACCAAACATTTGAGGAAGAAATTATTCCAATTCTCTATAAACTATTCCAGAAGATGGAAGCAGAGGCAATACTTTCTAACTCATTCTAAGAGACCAGCATTACCCTAATACCAAAACTTAACAAAGATATTGTAAGAAAACTAGAGCCAATCTCTCTCATGAACATAGAAACAGTCCTCACCAAAATACTAGCAAACTGAATCCAATGATGTATAAAAAGAATTATACACCATGACATGCCGAAGTAAGATTTTTTTCCCAGGTATGCGAGTCCGACTCAAATTTTAAAAGGAATTAATGTTCTAACATAAACATTGCAGTAAAAAAAAATATATGAAAAAATTGTGTGCATACTGAACGTGTACAGACTTTTGTCCTTGCCCTTATTTTCTAAACAATACAACAAGTATTTTAATAGCATCTACATCATATTATATATCATAAGTAATCTAGAGATGATTTATTAAAGTGTGCAGGAGAGGCCAGGTGCGGTGGCTCACGCCTGTAATCCCACCACTTTGGGAGGCCAAGGCAGGCAGGTCATGAGGTCAGGAGATAGACACCATCCTGACTAACATGGTGAAAACTTGTCTCTACTAAAAATACAAAAAATTAGCCGGCATGGTGGCATACTCCTGCAGTCCCAGCTACTCGGGAGGCTGCGGCAGGAGAATCGCTTGAACCCAGGAGGCAGAGGTTGCAGTGAGCCAAGATTGCGCCACCGCGCTCCAGCCTGAGCGAAAGAGCGAGACTCTGTCTCAAAAAAAAAAAGGAGACAGGAGAATATGTACAATTTATATGTAAATACTATGCCATTTTATATTGGGGACTTTTTTTTTATACATACAGAGTCCTAGAACCAATTCCTCAAGGACACCAAGAGACTGCTGTACTTTCTTAGAAGACTTTTCAGCATTCATGTAAAAAGAAGCAATTTAAACTACAAATTTTTCTTTATTCCCTTTGATATAAGGGGCAAAAGTAACATGGTTTACATAAAGTAAAATACTTTTTTCTTTTAAAAATAAAGACTGCAGTTTTTTTAATATTAAAAATGAATTAGTATAATCCATCATATCAACAGGCTAAAGAAAAGAATCATAAGATTATAGCAAGTTATAGCAAAAGATGCAGAGAACACATTTGACAAAAGGTAACACCTATTCATAATAAAAACTCTCAGCAAACTAGAAAGAGAGGGGGACTTCCTCAATTGAATCAAGATCATCGACAAAAGCCTAGAGCTGACATCATACTTAATGGTGAGTTTCCGTCCTACTGAACCTGCAGCTGGAGTCGCCCCTAAAGCAGCAGGAGGATTCCCACAAAGGACTACCCCAAACTGTCTGAAGAAGAGGCTGGGTGGAATTCCAAAGAAGGAAGCACTAAATGCCAGGATGATCAAACCAAACCATTTATTAGGGGAACTTAATACAGAAGGGGCTTCAGCTTCCTCATGATGGACAGCAAGGAAAGATTTTCTACCTAGGAATATCCATTACAAAGGGGTGGGGTGATAGAGTTTATATGGAGGTTAAAGAAATTTAAGCTCAGGGCCCAGGCTAGTTTCTAAGTGTTCAGCAACATGTTTGATCTTTCAGTGTTTTGGGCATAACACCAAGAGTGAACCCTAATTTACACTATGGACTTTGGGTGATAATAATGTAACAGTGGAGGTTCATGGAGTGTAGCAAAGGTACCACTCTCATGTGTGATGTTGTAGAGGAGGCTATGTACATGTGGGGACAGAGGCATATGGAAACTCTTTGTACTTTCCACTCAATTTGCTGTGAACCTAAAACTGCACCCTTAAATGAATGCACTTACCTCGATTTAATAAAAGAATCCATGAATCTATGCTGATATAAATAAATGAATAAACAAATAGACATAACTCAAATTTCTTCCTTATAATGGAATCCAACTGACAAATGTAGAAACAGTAAGGAAGTTAGAAAATTAGCATTAGCACCCATGATAATGAGTCAATTGTACAAGAATATTTATTGGATGCTAAAACCAATGGTTAAAGGTTTGATGAAAAGCAAACTATTTACACAATTCTAAAGTATCTTCTCACAAATTACTTAGTAATTACAAAGAGTAAAAAACTACTTTCTAGGGGAGAAATCAGGCAAACTCTACGTTAACCAAATAATTAAAGTTAAGATCACTAGTAGGGGACAAACCAACATCATATGACTTCTGATAAGACACACTGAGGATACATCACATCTGTGGTGCTCCTGCCAGAAACCTACTCAAGTCATATAAAAATATCAAACATTAAAAGAGATATCTGGGTTTTTTGTTTGTTCCTGTAATTTTTAATTTTTGTGAGTAGATAGTAGACATACATATTTATGTAGTATATGTGATATACTATACAAGTATACAGTAGGTAATAACCACATCCATCAGGATGAGTATCCATCACCTCAAGCATTTATCCTTTGTGTTACAAACAATTCAATTATACTCTTATTTTTAAACGTACTATTAAATTATTATTGACTATAGTCACCCTGTTGTGTTATCAAATACTAGGTCTTATTCATTCTATTTTTTTAAAAACATTACCTAAAACCAGACAGTTAATACAAAAGCTGACATAATACTAAAGCATATGAAAGTAGCAATTTAATAAAGAGAATTGAAATACTGTCTTCTTTGCCAGATACATATCCCTTAAGTAACATTCATTCCTCATTATTCTAAGGGTCTTCAAATTCTTCATAACCTGAACATAATCATGTGGAAAATATCAGAAAAACTGAAGTTGATGGCAATTCTACACAAAACTAGCTTATACTCAAAAAATGGCAAGGTCATGAAAGAAAGAAATACTGAGAAACAGTTCCAGAATAAAGAGATATTATAATCAAACCAAATGTGTGATTTGGGTTCAGATCCTAAACTAGATAAGAAATACATATATGTACACACACATATATGACTATAAATGACATTAAAAGTAATTGGCAAAATTTGAATAAACCCTGTAGATTAGACATCTCTACATTAAGTTAATGAGTTTGGTCATTGTTTTGTGTTGTATAAGAGTGTTCTTGCTCTTAGGTAATATATGTTGAAGTATTTAAGGATAAAGGGGCATTTACTCTCAATAAGGTTCACAAAAAAAATTGTGTGTGCGTGTGTATATTCAGAGAATGATAAAGCAAATATGGTAAATGTTAGCCATTGGGAAGTCTAGGTAAGGAGTAAATAGTCATTTGAATTCTTGCAATTTTCTGTAAGTTTGAAATTATTTTAAAATAGAATATTATACAATTTTTTAAAAGCAAATCTAAGTATGTAGTAATATATGTAACAATGTTAAGTTGTAGGATATGCTTATACAGTAGGTTGTAGGAATAGGATATCTAGTAATAATTCTGATAAACCTATTTCCTTGTTTGGATGGAATTAAAAAAAGGAACTGGAATTGACTCTTTCTATTGCTTACTATTCTTCATGATTCACTGAAATGCAATGTTCTGAGCATTTCACAGCAGTAACCCAACCTCTCTTCTCTTCCTTATTCATCTTTTCAGAAAACCATCTTTCTTTATCGTTTCATGAGATCCTCTTTGGGCTCAATATAATAGAAGCTTCCATCAGTTTTTGTAAAATACAGAACCATGAACTCTCTAAGCAGAAAACCCTTTATCTAAGACTTAGTTGATTCCTGGATGAGTATCTCAATTTGAGGTACTGGAAGTGAATAATTTATAAAGTTATTTCAGCAGTATGAGTTAGATTTCTGATATAAACCTATTTAAATAAAATAAAAATACTAAACAGTGAAAAATATAACAGATACATATTTTCAGAAGCATTAATTCCCTAAAACCAAACAAAATGTTATAAAAACTGACAAAATAAAGCATGTTAAAGTAGCAGTGTAATAAACAGAGAATAATTTTTTTTTATGCTGGGCACAGTGGCTCACGCCTATAATCCCAGCACTTTGGGAGACTGAGGCAGGAGGATCACTTAAAGCCAGGAGTTCAAGGCCAGCCTGGTCCACATAGTGAGACCTCACCTCTACAAAAAAATTTTAAAAAGTACTCTCAGCTACTTGGGCAGCTGAGGCAGAAGGGTCATTTGAACCCAGGAGTTCAAGGCTGCAGTGAACTATAGTCATGCCACTGCACTCCAGCTTGAGTGACAGAGCAAGAACTCATCTCGAAATAAATAAATATGTTTTTTCTCTCACCAGGCATATCTCTCTTACATATACATGCATTCTTCTAAAGATTTTTAAACTGCATTCAAAATTATCAAAATTGCTCTCCAAAATTTTATTGGCCAATTTTATTTTAATGAACATGTCAAATTATTTGAATGAAAAATTCTGGAAGATAGAAGATTTCATGGCTATTTATTCTTAAATAATTATTCCCCACTTTATAAACATTAGATACCTGAAGTAAGCAATAGCATTTCCATTGATGATTTCAGCTTGATTCAGTGCTAAAATTCTTTAGTGTTTCCATATAACCATTGGTAGCCTGCCCCCAGACTTTGTGGCTATTTCAGTCAGAATTTCTAAAGTCACCACTCATTTTTTGCAACAGCAGCTAATTTCTAAACAAAGCAAAAGACGTTGTTTTATTTTGAGACATATGGATTCAGTGAGTCCGACTATACACCCATGAAAAATCAATGTTTTCCACATGATGATTTAGCTTATCTTGTTATCACCATTGATTTAATTGATCAAAACGAATCAACTTCAATCATAGCTATTGCGTCCATATGAGCCATTTGCATCAGCAATTGTAAATATATACTTTTAACATCACTTTAGAGGGTTCTATACCAGTAGTGCAGCAGTTACCTACTCTGATCTGGCAATTACCGATGGTAATGTAAAAAAGTTGACTTTAAAAATGATCATGCACTGAGTAAACATATTGCCACTCACATATTGCCATACACAGCCACTCCACCAGTATTAGCATTTATTGGTTCTCTTGTTACATATAGTAGTTGATAAATGGTAAGATGCTACCACAGATTTTAAAAAATGAGGAGCATTATGCATGATATACACTTCAAACAAATCCAGCATCTTAAAGACTCCCATTTTTGTCATTAACTATCCAATAATAATGTTTGAGACTCACATCAAAACAATATAGAAAAGAAAGAAAGAGGGTGAGGGTACAGATGACAAAAAACTGTCTGAGAGTTATTAATTGGTGAAGCTGGGTGATGAGTTGATATAAGTTCTTTATAATGTCTTTCCTATTGTGCCAACTTTTATGTTATGTTTGAAATTATCCATTATATTTGAAATATACCGTGTTTCATGCTATTGATATAAAACTATATGCAAAAAAAAAAAATCAAAGTTTAAAAAAAGGTGCAGAGGATATAGATAATATGCTAACTTTTGGGCTTAAAACAAAAGAATATGGAGGTAGAGGTACACATATTTGTTTATGTGTATAAAGTTGATTCTGAACAAAATAAAACTTAAAAATTAAATCATATTTCTATATAATTTAATAAAAATGACTGGTTTTAATTCATCACCTTAAAATATTTGTATTTATGTTTAAGACGTTGGACAGCAACTTGTGATCATGCATGTCTCCTCATAGTCCACCAGGACATGACTCAACACATTTTTACTGTCAAGCATCATGTATATCAATGATTTGCTGGTATTAAGGATAAAGTAAAGCTAAGAATTTAAGTTACAACAGAAACATTAAAAAATGGAGACCATAATTGATGAACTGAGTGTTTTACCAGTCCATAAAGAAGCAATTCTGAAGAGTTTACATTTCAGCAAATGGTTAAGAGCATGAAACTCAGACTACCTGGTATCAAAATCTGCCTCAATTATTTACTAGTTGGGTAGCTCTTGGGCTAATTCCCTGACCTCACTGACACTCAGTTTCTTCATCTGTGTAATGGGAATATCATACCTCAGAGGGTTGTTGTATTATTGTGTCCAGAATTGGTTCCTTCCAGTAGGATCTTGGTCTCGCTGACTTCAAGCGTGAAGCCACGGACCCTCGCAATGAATGTTACAGTTCTTAAAGATGGTGTGTCTGGAGTTTGTTCCTTCTGATGTTCAGATGTGTCCAGAGTTTCTTCCTTCCGGTGGGTTCGTGGTCTCGTTGACTTCAGGAGTGAAGCCACAGACCTTTGCAATGAGTGTTACAGCTCTTAAAGGTGGTGCATCTGGAGTTTCTTCCTTCTGGTGGGTTCGTGATCTTGCTGACTTCAGGAGTGAAGCTGCAGACCTTCGCAGTGAGTGTTACAGCTCATAAGGTAGTGTGGACCCAAAGAGTGAGCAGCAGCAAGATTTATGGTGAAGAGTGAAAGAACTAAGCTTCCACTGCATGGAAGGGGACCCAAGTGGGTTGCCTCTGCTGGCTGGGTGGCCAGCTTTTATTCTCTTATTTGGCCCCGCCCACGTCCTGCTGATTGGTCCATTTTACAGAGTGCTGATTGGTGCGTTTACAAACCTTTAGCTAGACACAGAGCACTGATTGGTGCGTTTTTACAGAGTGCTGATTGATGCATTTACAAACCTTTAGCTAGACACAGCACTGATTGGCGCATTTACAATCCTTTAGCTAGACAGAAAAGTTCCTCAAGTCCCTACCCGACCTAGAAGCGCAGCCAACTTCACCTCTCATTATTACATAAGTTAATCCCTCTAAAACTGGGTTTAAGGTTTTAATATTTTTAACCACAAAATCAGTAACATAACAAAAGTAGGAACAAAAATAATAATATAATAGAAATAATATATTGCATTTTTTTTTGAGTCCATGGCACTAGAATTAGAAATACCTGACTCTAAGGTCTGGCTCTAATACTTACTACCTATATGACCTTGGGCACATTACTTAACCTTAGTCTTCTAATCTGTATAATATACATATGTAAAAAGCACTTAGTGGAACCACACACACAGTAAATACCCAATAGAAAGATAATTCAAAAGGTATATTTTACTCTTATAAAGTTTATTTGCCAAACTTTTATATTGATCATAACATGAAATCATTATGCTATAAAAATACATACTGAAGAACTAATTATAAAACATTTTGCTAAGTAATTTACAATGGTGGTAGCACAGGCCCATAGTCCCTTAACTGAAACTCTTAAGCCTCATATATTTCATAATTAGAATTTTTCAGATTTTAGAAAGATAATACACAGCAAAGGCTGCATATTTTATACCTCCAGTGAGGTCTGAAGTAGCATCCAATAATCAAACACATTAATATTCTGTACTGAAATGCATGAATATTCAAATTGAATATAGCTTTACCAAGATTATAAGTCACCTCAGCTCAGTAGAAGTCAGGTTTCGCAGCCAAATGACTTAAAAGAAAGCTTTTAGTTTTCTCAGATTTGAGATTTCAGAATTGTAGATAAGAAATCATAGATCTGTATTTGCATAGCTACTAACAAAGCAAGGTGCACAGATTTCTTTATGTGCCTGTTAACTGGATGATTGATATAAGAAAGTTTTCACAAAAACATTTTTGTCTTTTGCAAAGAAAGAATCAAATGTTCACTTTACCCACATTAAGTTTTATGAGTTAACTGTGAACTCATGTGCTTTTCTAGCCAAAAGTTCTGGTAGGACCACAAAATACAGCTACGTATCCACTAGGAGATCTGTAACACTTTCTGTATCTGGATTAGATTCTCTTTAGGATATTCAGTAGCTTTGCTTCAGGTCTTCCTAGACTACTAAAATACAAAGTGACATATAGGTAAAAAGGATTTCATTGAAGGAAGAGAAGAAGGAGAAGGCGGGAGAGAAATCTTCCATTCAGATTAATTGGGTCCTTTTGCAACTCAGAGTTTACTCCTATAATAACGAGCATTTTTAACGGTTTTGTCCAAATTTTTGTCTATACTTCTTTTTAATGCTATTAATATAATCCAAAGACTGTAAATTTTATCTTTTCCAGGAAAAGTGTGTCCATATAATTTTTTTTTTTTTTTGAGACAGTCTCGCAGTGTCGCCCAGGCTGGAGTGCAGTGGCGCAATGTCAGCTCACTGCAACCTGCGCTTCTCAGGTTCAAGTGGTTCTCCTGCCTCAGCCTCCTGAGTAGCTGAGGCACCTGCCACCACACCCAGCTGATTTTTTGTATTTTTAGTAAAGATGGGGTTTCATTTTGTTGGTCAGGCTGGTCTCAAACTCCTGACCTCGTGACCTGCCCACAGCCTCCCAAAGTGCTGGGATTACAGGCGTGAGCCACCGTATCCTGCCTAAGTGTGTCCATATAATTTTCTAGATGTCATTGGTTTGAATAGTCTTCAGAAAATGACTTTTTTTTAAACAAATGGTCAATAAATAACCATACTTTTAGTTGTTGCTCTACTTCCCTGGATTTACACTGATTACTTAACTCTCCATGTATTTAATTAACAGGAGAAATCAGTAGAATGCGTTGATTGTCTGGGTGAAAGGCCTTATAATTACGCTGACAACTATTATTAATAATTACAAAAGTAATTCAGGATAACTTAATTTTGCATGTAGTAAAATCAATAAGAAAAACCACACACTGAGCCTGCAAAAACATTATTTATAATCAATTGTAATTCCTTTCTCAGCAAATTTATTTTTTATATTTGGCATACATCAAAGCTATGGATGTTTAAAGCCCAGAAGCCCAGAAATAAAATGAAATAATCCAACAGGCATTTTTAAAATGAGGCATTTCTATTTATAAGTAGAAATCCTATTATTATCTAAATAGTATATTATACTTGGCCAAAGTCACTTTTAGGAAGATAACCAAAAAGAAAGCTAAATGTTAGAAAAATTATTTTTCAAATATTAAAGAATTTTAATTAGGACCCCTGTTGATCCATTTATGTGGGATTTTTATTATTTTTACCTTTCAGGCTACAAAAATCAGCAGTTGACATCAAAGCCAAGGTAGACTGGTAAATTTTAAACTTGTTTATTCTTCATCTAATGAATGCTTTAACCATCCATGAGAAAGAATCAACAACCTTCTACTTAAAAGACAGCAGTTGTTTTTAAAGCTTCATGCTTTATCCACTATGTCTGATAAGAGTGATTACTGGGGATCGTGGTCCATTCACTTAAATATCCAGAGTAAAGTTTCAAACTCAATGGGAGAAGAACACTACTACCACTGCTGTAACTGACCAGTCTGGAAGTACTTCTTTATCATGCTCAAAGCTGAGGTACAAACCTTATCTTTTCCCAAACCAAAATAAATCACTCAATGTCCAGCCTGACACTAACTACAAAAGATTTTACAAAAGAAGTAAAGGGTCTCTGCGGGTTTACTGAAGGAAAGGAAGAGACATCTAATTCTTGTGAGTGCCAATTGCAAATGATTAATGAATCAACCCAAGCTAACAGGAATGGGAGTAAATCAACACAGGGTCAAGTGGTCTAGGGGTCAAAAGGCTGAGCAAATAAGCAATTTGTTGTGATGTTTATAGAGAATTTTCCCAGGGAAGGTCACAAAATACTGTGACTGCAAATAGAGTTATGAAAACTCCTCTGCTGACTTCTGGGGAGGAGCCATCTGCATTCCTGATGGGTGCACATAAAAGCATCTGTCCTCAGGTGCCTCTGATCTTGTTAGAAAACAAGGTGTCTTGAGGACATCTTCTCTCTACTCTGTTTACTAGAGCAGACAGATTCTAGACTGCACAAAATGAATATTAAGAAAAAGGTGAGAGGAGAGGGAGTGGGAGGAACCCTAGAAGGTGAAATAAACAGAATATAAGCCGCATAAACTGAAAGGAAGAACATAAGAAAATCTGCTTCTTTGTTTATCAGAGTTTCAAAGGTTTGCAGAAATTGTTGTTAATAATAAAGTTCATAGGCTCTTAGCACCTACTGCAGATAAAGAGAGGATCTTTAGGCTCTAACAGACGAGAATCTCTGCTTTACACATAAAGAAACCCTTTTAAGAAGAGAGAAGATTGCGTTCAGATCAGTTATTACTAACCACTGTTATTGTTTCTGGTAACCACTGGGAGAAGCAGACTGCTGTTCTGCTGAGGCAGAGCAAGGTGAAAAAACACTTACCCATCAGACAACCTGTGTGTTCTTCAATCTCAGAAGAGTGAAAAATGCCTCCAGAAACATAACAACAACAAAAAAAACCCTGGGTTGTCACTTCTGTGTGAGAGTATTGAATCTAGGGTCCACAAAACACTATGTTAAAAGTCCCCAAATCTTACTCCCTCCATATACATGTGATATCCTGATTAATCTGTGTGCATTGTTCTGAGACTCTTACAGCCTCCACCAGATTCTCAAGTGGTCCTTAAAGGTTTAATAACCACCATTATATAAGGTTTAATATCCTTATAACCAGTAGGAAGTAGTACAGGACTGAAAGGAAGAAATAGCAGTGACCCTCTATTTAGCTAGCTAACTCCAAAAGAGGGCTTGTCGTGAACCTCTCTCTCACTCTCTCTCTCTCTCTCTCTCTCTGTGTGTGTGTGTGTGTGTGTGTGTGTGTAACAAAAAACTGAGTCAAGATTCAAAAGTCTTGGTATTATATTGTTAATATTAATAATCATATAATTTTAATAAATTTTATAACAGAGTGGAGAATTTTACCAAGTGACAGGAAGCCTGTAAAAAGAACTAAGGATAATATGTTAGATAGGGTATTTGCTGACTAATCAACATATTGTTAAATTGAAACTTAAAGAAATGTTTTATAAGTCCCCAAGCAGATACAAGGC
This sequence comes from Homo sapiens, assembly GCF_000001405.40. Classification (NCBI taxonomy): domain Eukaryota; kingdom Metazoa; phylum Chordata; class Mammalia; order Primates; family Hominidae; genus Homo; species Homo sapiens. Next base: position 210,730,803 of record NC_000002.12, on the reverse strand, counting down.
ATAGCATCAAAAGGGAAATTGAAAGAACTGTGGTGATGCATACATAGGTAAGCAAATACGCCTCAGATTTCGTTGGTTCATATAAAGAAATAACACAGATTAAACATTTTAGTTATTAAACAGTACATATCTTGCATAATTTTTCCTTTTCCATTCTGCTGGTGCTCCAAAAGGAGTATTCAAAATCAAATGTTGTCTCATGAAACATCCACGTGAAATTATTTTATAAGATGAGTGAGTAATAACCTTTGCATTGAAAAACTTAGGAAGTTTTAAGACTGCTTATGAAAGATAATATATTGATATGAGAAAGCAAAATTATTAAAATCTTGATTAAAATCCTTTAATTTCAAGATTGAAAGAGTAAGAAGAAGCATAATTAACTGATAACTAAAATTAAATACAATGTAGATAAGAAGATATTTAGCTTTTTCCTGGCAAGATAAAATCCAAGAGACATAAGTTCTTGTAGATGAGGTAAGTAAATTGTTATTTGAATCTTCAAATTATGGAAACCTCTGAAAAAGGGATTATAACACTAACACGGTCAAATATTTTGGTTTTCAAAAAGAGGAGATTATTAAATTCTGCTTGCACCAAATGTTTAAATTGGCATTGTTCCCCTCCCAAAGTTTAGAATAGGTTATTAAAAATGGATTTGAGTACTTAGAATAGAAAGTGGGGCTACTAATGGCCATCATGAGCTAACTGGGAAAAGTGATGCCAATATGAATAGTTTTCCTTGTGACAGAGCTTCTTCAGCTTGGAGAGTTCTAGATCTTCGAGCACACTCTGTAGGTATTTCTCTGTACTGATCAATATTTCTTATCAATGAATTTGAGTGAAGGCCTAAAAAGAGAAAATAAATTCCTACTGCATTTGGTGGGATCAGTGCAGTTATGATAGTTAAATGATTCAAAAGCACAAAGACCAAAACTGGAAGGACTTGGAACCAACACAAACAAGATGGAACTTCTTACAAGCTCAGTGGGATCCCTGTAAGATATGTGTTTTTCATAAAAAAGTAAACAAGGATATATAGATATTTTAGCTTACCTTAATTATACAAGCTAGAAAATAGTAGATACTCAAAGAGACTGAGGTATAATTAATGATAAAGTATATGGTCATGAAAATGCAATACTCAGAACCATAGGGTATGTAGAGTCACTAATTCACCCTCATGCAACTATTCTCACACTCTGCTTTAAAGTGCCAAGCTGAGGGTACGGATATAATGATCTACCGGATTCCTTGGTTCTGAGACCCTTAAATTTTCATACTTGAGGCTAGGTAACTCCCAGATGCAGACTCTGAAGCAGTGACTGTAAACTCAGAAACTCAGAGCTAAGAAGCGTGAATGATAGGGTTGCTGACAAACCAGATAGCCCATAGGCTTCCAAAGGGGGAGACCCAACTCTATTCCAGCCTGTTATCAGGTGGCAATATAGGCCCATGTGGTCAGATCTTCCAACTGCTTGACAGAAAACAGAAATATGCATTTTCATATGCAATCTACTGGTTTCTTAATATATTGGCAATTAATTTAAAAATTGAGTAAATGGAAGAAGATATATTAGTGAAATAGACGTTGATAAGTTAATATTGCTTTGTTATGGGAAATTTAAAGTGCTCTAGGCCTAGCTTTCATTAAACCTTCATGTTAGTGCTACTTTGAACTTATTCTTGGGTTTCACCATTCCTCTTTTTGTCCTAACTCCTCTAACGCAAGCTTCTACCTTGGTTCTTGGCATGGTCTGGAATCCTATAGGGCTGGTTTGATTGTTTTTGCTCTTCATTGTTCTGAAAGCCCTGCCAGGGACAGTGGAACTTCTCAGAATCTTCATTTCTGTAGCTGTTCTTTGTCACAGGTCTCCCTTATTGCCCTCAGATGCACACTGCTTTCATGTCTAGGCTGGAAAAATTGCACATTGTTGCTAAAAAAAAATGTCTACTCACTTTTTTGTTTAGTGTCTGATAAATGAAACAGGGTCACGTCATAATGTCTGGCATGTCAGGCAAAACACGCAAGGTGCACCATCAATGTCATGGTCTTTGCTATTTGTAGTTTATTATGGCAATTTTCTGGCAGTAGGAAATAAACTGTCTTAAGTTGGGGGGGTCTCTTTCTAATTTACACAAAGGTATCTTTTGGGCTGGATGTGGACCTTCCCACTTTGCAAGTTCTACCCTTATAGATTTTATTGTAAAATGTTTAAGTTGGATTGGCTACAAATAGCAGAAATTAATGCAAGCTGGCTTTAGCAATATTAAAAAATAAATTAGTTGTTATAGAATTCCAGAAATAATGCAGATTGGGAAAGAGTGATCTAACTACATTACAAATACATGGAGCAACCTCATTAAAACACCTGGGAGAGAAAGGTGGTGACACAAAGCACAAAGAACTTTGGAAACAAGCAAAGTCTATAAAAGGCAAAATAATGTTCACATAAGCACTGTACTCTAGTTGATAAAGATATTTTCCACAGGCAGATGGGTGAACAGTTCTGATGCTGCTATACATGTATAATGGAGTTAAACAAGTAAATGAATTGCAGTAGATGAGAGAGCCATGTTTTTCACTGTTCAAGTGGGAGCTTAAAGATAAGCAAGGGAAACATGATAGAATAATTCACGTGCTAATGTGTTTGAGGTGTAGACATGACTATGAACTTATGTTTTGTTTAATATAGATGCAGATGATTGCATACAAAAATATTTATAGATAGGTGTATATGCATGTTAGTATATACAAGGGTTATTATGCATACATCTATTTCCTTGTTCTGCTAGCTTAGAGGGCCGGAAAACAATCACACTCCATTAGCAACAAGCATACCTAACACCCAATGTTGGCTTCTAATACTATTCCTCAATAATAATAATAAAAAAAGAACAAGGGCTCTTTAGAGAAATGGCTGATTCTAGGACTGGAGCAGGAAATGTACAACATGAACCTGAAATATCTTACAGTGCCAGAAAGTAAGGAAGTGGTTTAAAACCAAACCAAAACAAAACAAAACAACCCTACAATGACAGATGTACTCATTAGCTTGGGCTGCCATAACAAAATGTCAAGGACCTGGTGGCTTAAACCACAGAAATTTATTTCTTACAGTTCTGGAGGCTGGAAGTCTGAGATCAGGGTGCCAGCATTGTGAGTTCTGGTGAGGACTCTCTGGCTTGAAGATGGCCACCTTTTCACTATGCCTTCACAGGAGCAGAGAGAGATGGAGAACAAGCTCTCTGTTGCCTCTACTTATAAGGTCACTATCACTTTATGAGGGCTCCATGCTCATGACTTCATCTAAGCCTAATTACCTGAAAGGCCACATCTCCAAATACCATCACATTGGAGATTAGGGTTTCAACTTATGAACTGGAGAGGTGGGGGCTACACAGTTCAGTCCATAGCAATGAGGACATGTCAAATGGACAAAGTAGCCATGCCACAGGAACAATTTGGGCAACAAAATTAAGTTTCGTGGGATTATAACCCAAAGTATAAATGCCCATGAACCCATACTTACATGAATGTTGAGTACATAAACGGGGAATAAGAGAAAAATCTCTCATGAAGAATTTCAAATAATGTATGTGGATACTCAGTTCTAAAGGAGATGAAACATAACTCCCTAAACCTTAAGTGTAGGCTGTGCATAGTGATTTCCTTCCAAAGATTACATTGTAAAAAGGAGGAGGTAAAAGTGTAAACTTAAGCAATCTGACAAACAGTATCTCAACCAGGCAATTAAGGTTAATATCAATACAAATATGCCACCTGGATAGTATATATCCTTGATATGATGTGATAGAATGATACTTTCTTTTTCTGGTCTTCCTTTCAAAAACATGTAAGCTCAGTCTAACCATGAGAAAAACATTAGGAAATAATTGTGGAATAGTCTACAAAATATTTGGCCAGTACTCTTCAAGACTGCCAAGGTAATCAAAAACAAGGACCATCTGAGAAACTGTCAGAAACAAGGAAGCTGATGAGCAAATATAGCCTGGTGTCCTGGATGGGATTCTGGAACAGAAAAAGAATATTAGGCAAAACCTAAGAAAATCTGAATAAAACACTGACTTTAGTTAATAGTGTTTCAATATTGCTTCATTATTTTTAATATTATAAACGCATGATACTAATATATGTTAACATTCAGGGAAACTGAGTGTGAGGTATATGAAAACTCTGTGCTATCTTTGCAGTTTTTTGATGAATCTAAAATCATTACAAAATGAAAACTTTATTAAAAAATAAATACATAAGTGTGAGCATACAGGAATATACTACTAAAGGCAAGGAAGACATTTGAACAACCAGACCTCGAGAAAAGCATGAAGAAGTACAGCTCTGTTACCTCAAGTGTGGAGTTCTTGTATCTTCATCTGGTTTACTGCCAGTAAAATGATTCAACAAGAACTACTCACAGCCTTTGCCTCTCTCTTGTCCAAATTCTAATTTCCAGGAGAAAATATTGATCAGTCTAGCAGAGATCAGATGCCTAACATGGACTTAAGTGGCCATAACGGAGAGAGCAGTGGTTTAATGGCATGCCTGCATTCTGTTTATTGTGAACAGATCCAAGAAATAGGGAATGTTAGTCCCAGCTACCAAATAATCTATACTCTAAGGAAACTTGAAAAGAAGCTATTGAAACACAACTGGGCCAAGCTATACCAGACTCCTAGACAGAAGGATAAATGAAAGCAATGAACATTTCAGTCCTGCCTTACATTTTTAATTGGTATATCACTTCAGTTTGAGTGAAGTGCTATAACAACAAGAGCCAAAAATTAAACAATTCAATAAAATAGAAGTTTATTTTTATTACATATAACTATCCAAATATGAGTAGCCTCAGCATGTTGGGTGGCTCTGCCATCCTCAACACTTGGCTTTCAACTCTGGGACCATGGCTATTTGTTACCACCATTTCCTAGCTACCAGGGAGAGATTAAAGAGAGTAGAAGACAATAAGCTCTCTTATGAAAAATAAAAAGTAGAGAGAAATTGTATACATCATTTCTATTCACTTCCCTCTTCACTCCCACCCCTCATCAAAACATTTATTCTACCTGTTACAGGTCATGCCTAATTGCCAAAGAAGCCTGGGAAGTATAAACTCTATCCAGGTGTCCGTAACCAACTATAATATGCAGTATTCTATTTTAAAAATGAAGAGAGAATACTGGGAATTATTAATTATCTCTGCCACCACCAATAATCCTTATCCATTTGTTCCCATGGATAATATTTTCTATGTTGATTAATTTACCTGGCTAAAATCTTATGAGCCTCCACCACCTGTGTTTAAAGGTATCCAGTGAAAACTTGCAGTTCTATTTTATCCTAGGATTTTTAAATAGGTTTTATGATTGGCCTATTACTGTATAGAGTTGAGATGACTTTATGTAGCCTTGATGTAACCTAAACACCACAAATATTGGGATTCTTCCCCAGTATCCATCCTATTCTCCAGTTATGAAATAGCCAGGCTGATAGAACCACTCAAGCTTCAGAAAGGTAATCCAATTCCCCTTGCTACAGTTATTAGTTCAGGGCAAGCACATGAAATAATTGGATCTAATAACAGTGACTCTCAGAGATTTTGTTTAATGGTTTGAGATAGGGAAGTTCTTTTTCTCCCCCAGGAAATAAGATCATCCAAAGCCCTGATGATATCATAAACTTCTGCATCAAACCTATGCCACTGATGAAATTTCTGTGCACATTGCTTATTATATAAGCTGGTTTGAGTTGGGCTTTCTATTACTAGTAAGAGAACTCATTCTGATTGATGAGTTTTGTGTCTACCTTATCAAATGCTTCTGACAGTTAGAAAGGACAGTATGCCTCGGAGCAGCATTTTAACAGGGGCACCTTAATCAATACAGGATTATCAAGTCCTTGTTAATTGGTGCTCTTTTGTATTTGAAGGGCACATGTAAAAAGGAAAAGATGCCTTGTCAAAACCTTAAAGACAAATAACTCTGAAATGGAGACAGAGTTTTAATTGTTGACTTGCTCTTCTACTTCTCTTATTGTCTAATCAAGGATCTCACCCCTTATAATGAAATGGCTACAGTTAGGATGAACAGAGGGGGTTAAACTGTGAAAAGATTATTATGAATGATCTTACATATGATGTGGACAGATATGGTCTAAATAAACTTGTAAAAGTTTATTCCTTTGAGTTACACTTTGAAATGTTATCACATAACCCCATGATGCCAGCATGCATCTCAAAGTCAGTGGATCCTTTTAAGGTTTTGTGGAGTCATATACATCTTTTAGCACTATGACATCTAGCTCCATGGAGGGCATATCTACTATCTGCAGTATGGGGAGAGGGTGAAATGAACAGACTTTCAAGCCAATATGTGTCAAAGATTAAATAAAGCTAAACAAAAAACAATAGCAACAAATATAGACACCAAGTCAACAACTTTTTAAAAAGCCAAGCCAACCTGTTTGGCTAAATTTGACTAAGTCTTTTATTTCAGGGGGGAATATGGTCAACGCCTAGGAACACTTAATTTTTACTCTCTTTAATGAGACTGCAAGATTCCATGGGGATAAATACCACAGTTTTACATTTCTCTTAAATACCTTCTCCCCACCTTCCCTGCAGAGCTGAGCTTCCACATTCCTCATATAAAACTTACTTGTTGGCCAGGCGCGGTGGCTCATGCCTATAATCCCAGAACTTTGGGAGGCCAAGGTGGGTGGATCACGAGGTCAGGAGATCGAAACCAACCTGGCCAACACGGTGAAACCTCATCTCTACTAAAATACAAAATAATTAGCTGGGCATGGTGATGAATGCCTGTAGTCCCAGCTACTCAGGAGGCTGAGGCAGGGGAATCACTTGAACCTGGGAGGCGGAGGTTTCAGTGAACTGAGATCGCCCCACTGCACTCCAGCCTGGTGATAGAGCAAGACTCCGTCTCAAAAACAAACAAACAAAAAAACTTACTTGTTGATGGATGGGTCTTAGTTCAGAAAATCCGAAAATAAACCTTTTTTATATCATAATGGCTACCCAATGACTTATTTTACCTTTTGTTTTCTATTTTTCAATTATTTGTGGACTGTAATAAAGATGTATCCAAAATACTGCATAGAAAAGCAGTTCTTATAATTGCACAATCTACATGAATGAAAAAAATTAAAATAAAAGCACTAATGAATTAAATGTAATTAGATTCAGTGGAATAGACTGCTTCATTTGAACCTGAGGAAATGGTAGCTCATTAAATGCTTTTCATCATACCTCTATGAAGCTGAAAGATATTATTCTTTCTATATCATGATTAAAATGGGAAAAAAGGAAAAAAAAAAGTGACTGAGAACTGATAGTGAAACTCCAAACAAAACTGTATGAAGATTAAGACGAGAGAACAAGCACCATTTACAAATTGGCAATAAGGAACTTGGGGTGATACTTTCTTCCCCTCTTTAGCATCTAGGGAATTTCATAGCAGTGGGAAAAGGTTACAGTAGAAGAGAATAAGATATTGCTTTCTTCCTCAGGCTATATTTATAAATTCAGCACAGAGGTTTTTCTCCAGAGCTTGGTAGAGAGGCTGAGCATAACTACATAGTCCAGCAGTGTCTATGACCATTGTGTGCAAGCAAGAAAACCAACTAGGGATACATTAAGAAAAATCTGTAAACAATTCAACATATAGAAGAAGACTCCCTTGCCCCCCAAAAAAGCTAGATAAATGAGGCTTAGGAATTGGCAGAAACCAGATTTGTTCATTACCTAGGGAGCAGTCAGTCCCCCATAATCTCTTCTCAAAAGAATGAACTCCAAATGTTTTCTGTCATTATTTCACTTGACACAACATTCAAATTCAAGGGAGAGAAGTCTCATAAACCTAGCTTAGTCTCATGGTTAGAAGGGCTACAACCTCTTAAGTAATAACTGCAGTAGACTGTATACAAACTGAAGACAAGGAATTCCCCCTGTCAAATTTGGGATTCTATTAGCAAAAGAATGGATGTCAGTCCATTTTTTAAAAATGACAAACATCCACTTCCACAATTAGAAGCCTGAATCAGGTATTAGACAAAAGAAATGTTCACTTTACCACCCACCTTTTTTTAAAGAAATATCAGGTTTTTTTTAATCCATGTTGAACATAAAAGTACCTGTTAATCATTCATCAGAACAAAGATAGATTCTTACAATTTCATTTGCGGATAAGCTAATGATTGCATCAGAGCCTAAAATTAATATGAAGGTTCAAAATAATAGGATCTACTTTGGAAAGATAGTTATTAGTTCAAGAATTGAGAGAACATTACAACACTGTTTATATTTTAAATTTCTTATCAGTAGACAACTCTCATTTAAAAATCTTTCTTATGTAGACCAATGTGGATTACATAAGTGAATAGATTTTATAATAAAAAAAGACAAGACTCATTGTGAGACTGAGAAATGAAAGTCTATTAATTTCACAATATTAATCATTGAGGGGGCTTTCCTAGCCTTCTTTAGGCTTTAGCTGGAATGTCAATTTTTAGCAGACATCTGCAGCTATCTTCCCAGGTGGTGATGGAACTAGCAGTCATACTACGCTACAGCAGCAAGAGCTGTTCATTGTTCCCCAACGTATGTTTTCCTCTACCTGCGTAACATAGTGAAATAATAGCCAACCAAATAAACACTGTGTTTCCCACTCTTTCTTTCAATTATCCTCTATGTTTTGGTAGATGAAATAAAGCTTCATGAGATACCTTCTGAAATCCTCTTGAAAAGACTTAACAAAAAGTCCATTGCCTTTATATCTATGGAATTTCTTTCCTGATAGCTGGAATATAAATATGAAAGTAGGACCTGGAGCAGCAACATTAGAGTATGAGGTGATCTTGAAATGGATCTGGAGACTTCTTACATCATAACAAAATAAACTTGAGTCCCTAAAACTTTCATGAATCAGAAGTGCTCCTTAGACTTCTATCTTGCTTAAGCCGCTATTGTAATTGGGATCTGTTACCGCTAATACTAACTATAATACAATTACCAACCCACCCTAGCAAATGGCCACTTCACCCACACGCGGCCCATTACAGTAGTCCCTTCCCCCACAAGGCGGTTTTCCTAGCAAAAAAGCACAGACTTTAAGTTGGACCAATTCGTGTCCTTAATGGAGACTTTATATATAGAAGCCTACATCCTTTGGGGCTGTTTAATTTGAGTAAGTATAGCATTGATCACAACCTCTTAACCTCTCCTATCACGTGGAGACACTTTCTATGGTATGAGAGTATACAAACAGAGCACAGAGCTGGGGGAAGAGGAGACAAAAATATCTGATATCATATGAGTTTCTGATATCAATTCTATTCAGGCACTGGGTATGGCTCTGGAGATATATGGAAGATCAAGACCCAGCTCCCACTCCTAAAAAATTCACAGACACAGTGATCTTCATTGTGTTAAATGAAATGATAAAGACACACATAGGACATTTAGAAAGAAAATAAGGCAATTTTCTAACCAAGTATGTAAAGGAAGGGAGAAGAAATGAGAGAGGTGATATCTAAGAAGGCCTAATGGAAGAGCACTTATTTCAACTTTTATTTAAGGTTCAGGGGGTACATATGCAGGTTTGTTACATGGGTAAAATGTGTCACTTAGGTATTATGTTCATAAATGTCTTTGTTTCCCTTTAGAAACCGTTTTATTATACACACATATACTAATGCATTCCAAATTTATATCTTTGTATATATATACACGGTAGTATATAGTGTGTTCACATGTTTGTGTGTGTATATACACTCACATGCAAATAATTTCAAGATACAGCCTGGATAAGATCATTTAGGGAGTATCAGTAGAAAAGAAATCTGAGTACTGGGCAGTGAGGAATTTCACCATTCCGGGACTGGGGAGGAAAATTCAGCAAAGGAAACAGAAGAAACAGCTGCCAATGAGATCAGAGGAGTATCAGAAAGAGGCTTTGTCATGGGCAAGTGAGGCATTTTTCTGGGTGGACGGAGTAATCAAATACTCCTGATCAATTAATCTTCAAATTTATGGTTAAGAAGTGTTCCCAGCAATGCCACTCTATCAATGTTCAGTACGCCCCCAGCCTTAACCATTACTCTGTCATCAGTATAAGACGCCAGTACAGTGACACTTGACAAAGACTGGTTTCTCTCCTAGAAACTGGGAAAGTATCCTTTTAATTCTTAACATCTCTTCCCAAAAATATGGTAATTAAATCACGTTTAATTTGTTTCAGGGCCAATGCAAGAGATAGAAGAAGCAAAGAAAAACAATTCATGCCTGGTGCACAGTTACAGGTGCTCAATGTGTATTGATTGAAGAAGTGAATAAAAGAAAGAGGTTGGGCTACATTTCCCCTTTGATTATACCAAAGATGGGAAGGATAATTGTGAAAAGAATAGTTTTGACTACAGGCTATTAGGATGGTCCAAAAAGTTTCATAAAGTTATACGTGATAGACTCTTTTTTCATTATAATTAGGAAGCAAAGAAAATTATCTTAAACATAAAATTAGAAGTTGTTTTAGTCGGTTGGAAAACTTTGCAATCCTTTGGCATTTCTAATTTTCTTGCCTCCATAACTCACCGTGCCAATATCACATACAGCTCAAGGATTACTCCAATTTAGGAGCTTCAGTTTCTTCCGTATTGAAGGTAATTCTGATTGATGGTATTAATATTACAGTATTATATCAGAAAAGCTATCAAAAAAATCTAACACCAATTTTTATTACATGGAATGACAATAACAATTACCTGGGAAAGTACAGACAATTTTCCAAATGAATTCTAAGTTTCATCTAAAGTTTTATCGATTTTACTTTGGAAGCAGAGACCGGGACATCAGATGAGTTAAATAAGTCGTTCTTAAAGTATGATCCTTACACCAGCAGAAGCAGCATTGCCTGGGAAATTGTTAGAAATACAAATTCTCAAGCCCTAACCCAGGCCTACTGAATCAGACACTCTGGGGGGACCCCAGAGGCCAGCAATCAGTGTTTTAACAATCTGTCCAGGGGACCACAATGTGCAGTGGAATACAGTTTGAGAAGCACAGAGTTAAACAATAGGAAAACGGGAGAGCAAGCTATAAAGAGTAGGAAGAAGACTAGCATAGGAAAGAGAGAGAAGAAAGATAAAGGGAGAAGTAATAAATGAGGAGGCAACAAGGAATATGAAAATGAGGAAGAGAAAGGGAAGGAAGGATTAGCAGGGGAGTGAAAGGAAGGGAAAATCATAGGTATCCTTTGATAGCAATAAACAATTAGGTGTCTACCGGCTAATTCCAAAGATTCAGCTCTTCGCTGTTTGATAAAAACCGTAAAATTCACCTGGCTAAGAAATTTAAAGATTAAAAATACCACTAATTACTTCACAGAACTGTTAAGAATTGAGAAAGATAAACAATTTTCTAAATATCCTGGCACCAAATATTGGTAAAATCTGTTCAAAATTTTTGGCCAAAAAAATAGTTTAATATTAAATGACTTCAACATAGCCACTTTAACAATCCTTTTATTTCTCCATTATTAATCATAATTTTCACTTATATTCTGCTAGAAATTCTATTCTTCATTTCATTCACCTCTTGGCTTGCTTTAACTCTGCTTTCATTCTAGATCCCTCACAACTTTCTTGAAACTCCCTTCAGAGCCAATACTCTAACTTATCCAACTGACTTCCAACTGATAGGAAAAGTTGAAAAGGCACTAACTGAGGAGTGACGAGATGAGGTAAGGTTCAACAGTGTGACACAATTTTGGTCAGGAATCATAGATGAGATGGATATTTCTTCAAACTAAGACAGGAATACTTTCCTTTTAAAAGAGCCTGAAAGAAACAGAGCCAAACGTCTTTTAGTATCATTTGACTTCCTTATAAAGATTTGAAGATTTCCTGGAGTTTTATTACCAAGAGAAAGCACCTGAGAGGCCAACTAATTCCAAAGATTCAGCTCTTCTTCGTTGTTTAATAAAAACCATAAAATCCACCTGGCTAGGAAATTTAAAGATAAAAAACAACTAATTAAACTTAATTGGGTCAGTCTGGGCAGGCTGATTGCCCTGTTTGATTGGCCTCGGGAGAATCTGATCATGGATTCACCAACTGCAACTTGGCAAAAGCAAGCCTGAAGCCAAGACAGGTGCTATATTTCTGTCCGGCTAGAGAATTTAGTTTTTAGGAAGAAATACAAAAAAGAGGTTAAAAAATGAAACAATGTACTGGGGCATAGCACAACCAACCACAAACAAGTCATTCCAGACTCATCCTATTTTCTCAAAGTGAGCAAAGGGAATTACTTGAATAATTCAGACAGCAGGCTTATTTTGTAGGAGGCCTTAGATTTCCCTCATCCAAATTAACCAAGTATATTTTATCAGTTTTTCTTTGCAGGTTTTTTTTTCTCGCTTGCAACCCAGAGGACATAAAGAGAGCTATGTAGGATGAATCAAATACATGCAGGAAGGTGAAGTTTGTCTAAGGGACCCAAATCACAATATACTATAGATTAAAGCACTGATTTCTAGAATCTAAGAGCAATCTTATCCCAACAGTGTACATACTTATGGTAATCATTTATTCCAGAGCCCCTTATTTTGGATGTAGTAATAGTTAATCTGGTTAATATTTCGATTGCATCAAGATAAAAATGGTTTTGCACATAGAAGTTATTTTATACCTAGAAAATTACTTTAAGCTTTCAGTCCTACATTTTACCGTTTATAAGAACTCAAAGGAGTACATTTTCTTTAAGGATATGTAGATACATGTTTCTCAAAGTGGTCTGCGGAATACCTGCATTAGAATTATGGGTTAAAAATACAGATTTCTAAGCCCCAGTCCTAGCTACTAAATCTGAATCTCCCACAGTAGGTTCAGGGAAACTGCATTTGAAAAACAATGCTTCCCAGGTGGCTCTTGTTCATGCTAAAACCTAAGAAATGTACTTCCAGAATTTTGCTGAGTGGCATAGTTGTTAAAACTTTAAAGGTCAGCTCCATTATATCATGCGACCTTGGGCAACTTGTTTTACCTTTTTGTGCCTTGTTACTAAAGATTGTTAAGAATTTCTATTCCAAAATGTTGTTGCAAAGATTAATACATGGAAAATTTTTAGTACGTACCTGGCTAAATAAATCTCAGCTCCTGCTGTCTTTAACAGTAACATCACCTAGATAAAAATAAGTCAATTTAAAAAAGTGATGTCTCAATGAGATCCACATGGTGACCCTGTTGTATTCCTACATTTTCACAGTTCCTGCAATGCGCTAAACAGTCTTCACTAAAGGCTAATTTATCTATGTGGTTTCTTGAACCTTCTTTGTGTCTTTTATTGCACTCCTAACAGTTAGCTGTCAATCTCATAAAAGAAAAAAAAGGAAAGAGACAGAATAACCACATGGGCAAACATTTTTTTTCCTATGGCACAAGGACATAACAAGGATAACATAAGAGATCAAACCTTTATGAAGTGATTACCATGTGGCAGGTATGACCACATGTAACTGAAGGATGTTGCTGTAGATCCCATGACCCCCAATTACCCAATATAAAGCCTGATGACCCAGAGAGAAAAAAACTCAGACACAAGCCAAAACTGTAAAAAAAAAATCAATCAAATTGGTGATGCAGATTGTGAAATATGCTGTTTCTCAGGACTCTGGGACATGTAAAATATTTCATAAACTGAGTAAGAACAAAGGAAAATAATGAGTTTCATACCATGTAAAGGCTACATCCAGATTATATGTGCCTCATCAACCATGGTTTTTAGGTTGCTTCTGAAGATTCATGTGCATAATCTCATTTAATTCCCAGAAAACTATGCAAGGAAGATATCATTCCTTTTCACATGGAAGAAAAATAAGGTTCAGTGACCCGCCCATAGTCTCACTTCATATTCTATGAGTGGCTGGCTGTTTTTGGCTCCAAAGTCTTGCTCTTCATCACTAGGCCTGAGTAGTACATACAAAGGAGCCTGCTGGGTAACCAGCACTGACATAGGGTCTGTGGACACAGCAGTGACATGCCTTCATGGAGCTTTCGGTCTAGCAGAGAAGGTAGAAAATGAATACATCCTGATTAATATTATAGGTGCCATGGACCATAGGAGGTAAAAGGATTTCTAAGAGCATATAACAGACTAATGTTATTGTGAGGATAAATAAAGACCTTCATCAGGGAGAGACATTTAACCTGAAACATAAACAATGAGTAGGGTCAATAAGAGAAAGGCAAAGGAGGAGTATTAGTAATGGAGGGAGCTGCATGTGTGAAAAACGTAAAGCAAGAATAAAACAGATACTTTGAAGGAAAATAATAATATCCAGGAAGGTTGGAGTTCCTCAAACAAGACTGGAAAGGTGGGCTGGAGCAAAATAATGAAAGGCCTTATGGGTCAGGTAAGACTTTGGAAATTTATCGTGACAGCAAAGAAAAAAACAAATCAACAAAAGGATTAGGTAGATGACTGGTAGGAGCAGATTTTTCAATAATTCACACTCATGTTAGTGACTGGTAAAAACAAGGTTAGTCTAGAGTTAAGAGTTTCAGCCTTCACTCAACATTCCATGGCTCTCTTAATGCTAAACTCTTGCAAATTCAACTAATGCACTATGAATACAATAAGTACTATAAATACTTTGTAATTTCTACTAATGTATAGCTCCAAGCACCACCTCTTATCTTGATCTCAAGATGTACATCAGCTGTTCCACTCTTGGCTTATTGTCTGCAGCTACGTAATAACAATACCCTGAGCACCCATTAGAGTCAATTTTATTGGTAACTTCTGCTTGCTTAGGAAGACCATCATCAATCAGCTTCTGGAAATCAAAGCCAACAGCAGCTTCTATGGTGACATATACTTGCTTTACACTGAGTACTAGAACCATGTGGAAAGACAGAACAATTTTTTTTAAAAACTCAGGACACAGAAGTAGCCTTTTTGTGTCATGTTGATAAGTCACTGGCTGCCTTAATCAATTTTAGTTGGAGTCGCCGCTGACTACACAATGAAACTCATTGTGCTAATCTCGAGTAATGCTTTAGCCAGGAATGTTTCTCACAGCTTCTAATTTTAACTTTTCATTAACTGATTAGCTGGAGATTAAAAAATAGGTGTGCGAGTAAGTAACTAGGCTGCCTTTATTTCTTTTTTGATTTGCTACTAACTATAAACAAGATTACAAACTTTACCCTTTTATTCTCCCCTTGCTGTTCCTGTTTCCCTCCTTTATCTCTCAAGTGCCTCTGTCTCCTGAAATCTTCCTCTTGGCTAACCCAGTCCCGCTTCTTCATACTTTTTCTCTCGAAGTTCCTCTTCTACTTTAAGAATTGGGTTTAGAACTAAATGTTTTCAAGAATGCACCCAACCCCTTGGAGGAAGAAGCCTCAGAATGTAAAGGAGAAATAGAAAATAAATAATGTACATTGTAATTTGATGTTGTGATTCTCATCAGCGTCTACAGAGCAAATAGATAAAAGTTGGGGCACTGCCTTAAGAGATTCTGCATCAGGAAAGATGGAAAGAAAAATGCTCAGCAAGCTCTTCCCCCTGAACTGATTGTTCAACCAGTAAGCCACCGCTGACTATTCTGAAATTAAATAAAAACCTTGAATATTGGCATTTATTAAATATTCTTTTAAAATTGTCTTAGTATAAAAAGATTTGGTGCCCTCTCCCCCACAATGGGTCATGCCCTTATGTAATCTTCTTTTGAGAGCAGGTGGGACTTGTACAGACTTCTAAACAGTAGATTATGACAAAGGTGATGGGATGTCATACCCATCATTAGGTTACTTTATATAGCAAAGGTGATACTTTATATTTAGCAGGTGATGCTCCTACCAGTATGTAATATTATATAAGACTCTGACTTACAAAACTGAAGAAGGAAATTCTCCTGGTGGCCTTAAGATAAGCTGTCATGTTGTGAGAGGGCATAGGAGGAAGCTCCCATAGCAAGGAAATGTATGAGGTCTCTAGTAGCTGAAAGCAGGCCCCAGCTAACGGTGAGCGATAAAATGGGGCCCTCAGTTCTACAGCTGCAAGGAGGTAAATTCTGCAAAGACCAGAAAGCACTTAGAAGCAGAACTTTTTTCATTTAAGGATCTGATGAGAATGCAGCTTAGCTAACACCCAATTGCAGACTATGAGACCCTGAGCAGAAGAAACTCCAGCTAAGCTGGGCCTGTACTTTTATCCCACCGTGTGTTGTAAACGCACCTGATAGCAACAACTTAAGCATACCCTGAGAATGAACCTGTATAGGAGATGCACGTGAATGTGTATTTGGAGCTAAGGAATCTGGGAGTGGCCAACCCGGAGATTCATTGCTTGTTTATGAGGAACATCTGAGCCTCCAGCTTACGAAACACAGGAGATACAGGGCATCAAGGTCCTGAGTTTGGGTTGAATGAAGGTTGCCAGGTGGGGGTTGTTGGGGAAAGGATGCTAAGTGAAAATGTTATATAAACTGTATGCCTTTTACAAGCAGTTGCAGTTTCCCTGTCCAGCCCACTGCCACTGGACTCTCTCCCCTGTATATAAATCCCCCCAATAAGACATCTTGTTTGCCAGCTCTGGATCTCTTCTTCAGCCTCTTGAACCTGGTGTGTCCCCCATTGGAGTTAATAGGGGTTTGATACAACACACAAAAGTTATAATAGCTGGTTCTATTTTTTTCACTTCCTCGCTTTGATAGTATTTCATTAACATTTCCAACCTGGTTTCTATTGCAAGAAGTGTGACATAAAACGGACTTCTTTGTAGGCGTTCTACTCTTGTTCTTTTGTACTTTGTTAGAATTTTCTTTTGTCTTAACCAAATTAACCTACACACAGTCTATACGTTCTTCTTAAGAAAGCCCAGATAAGAGACATCTCAGGAATGGCAACATGAGGAGCCTGTGAACTCTGTTGCCAGTAAAACAATCATAGCTGGTGAAAATTGCTGCGGTGGGGGGAGAAAAGGTTTAAAGTCTCTATTATCCTAAAGGCATATAGGAAATGGAAAACACTTAAAATCTCCCCTGAACAGTGAGAGTCAGTGGCATTTTGAGGCATTACCTGCACTTCGGCATGATGGAAGCTGTACTTTAGGCAGATACAGCCAAGAATACAGGGTCCTCTTTCCCTCTAGCCTTCAGTCAAGAGGTATAGTATTTCTCCTGGCAGGGTAAGCCACAAGTACTTCTCATCCTGTATCTGGTTTGCAGAAGCTCTATTCCAGGCAAGAGTGGCTGGCAGGTCTGGGGTTCCCTTCTTTCACTCAGCCCTCATTCAATCGGTGGAGACTTCTCCAGGTGCATCAGACCAAGCATACTGTTTCCTGATCGCCCTTGTCTCAGCTTGCTTGTAAGTAAGGTAGAGTTTCCATGCTTAAAAAGGCAAGCCAAGAAGACCAGAGGCTCATGCCCCACACAGTGCCCCACCTGTGGAGAAAGGGTATTGCTTTGGAAACAGGTCACTGTCCTTGCCCCCAACTGTGGAACAGTGGTGAGGAGGACTTGCTCTTTTGCACTTAAAGGGAGACTAGTAGCTCCAGGAAAGCAACAGGCTAAACCACAGAACACATAGAAGTTTCCCAGAGAGAACCAGAGAAAGAGACAGCAGCAAAGACTATCCCTTCAGCAGTAAGAACAAACCTCAAAGTCTAGCTTCAGAGTGTACCTCTTCGAAGAGGCTAGAATTAAATTGGATCAGACTGTGGAGCAATTTACGACCCAGGACACTGCTGAAAGCAATAAAACAATTAGCTACAACTAGTGGTGACTAGCAGCTGAGCGTGGCAGCAAAGGACACAGACTGTTTACCAGATACCAGCGGAAAAGATAGCCAAAAAATGGTGTTTTTCAGAGGCTGGGTGGTTAAAAGTGTATAGGAGTATGGGAAGATGCTGGTCAAATGATTTATAATCACAAGTAATGGGAGGAATAAGTTCAACAGATCTGTTGTACAGTGTGGTGACTATAATTAATGATATATTGTGTTCTTGAAAAGGCAAATGGAGTGGATGTTAAGTGTTTTCACGAAAATATAACTATGTGAGGTGACACATTTTTTAATTAACTAGATTTGAGCCTTCCACAATGTAAATATACTTCAAAACATGTACATTATAAATACAATCTTATCTATAAATTTAAAAAGAGATATCCCTGTTAAAGTCATTGTCAACCCAAGTGACTGTGCAATGCATGAGGTAACATCCTCTAAGGCAGCACACTTAGAAGGAAACAGACTTCACTAAATATAATCCAGTAAAGCAACTGAAAATCTAAACAAACATCAACCACAATGAACTCTAGAGGAGCATAAGTATTAGTATCAAGATTTGGGGCTGGGTACAGTGGCTCATACCTATAATCCCAGCACCTCGGGAAACGGAGGTGGGTGGATTACTTTAGCTCAAGAGTTTGAGACCAGCCTGGGCAATATGGTGAAACCCTGTCTCTGCAAAAAAATAAAAAATAAAAAAAGCCAGGCATGGTGGCGCGTGCCTGTAGTCCCAGCTACTCCAGTCTCGGCTACTCCAAGTGGGAGGATCACTTGGGTCTGGGAGGCAGAGTTTGCAGTGAGCTGAGATTACATCACTGCACTCCAGCCTGGGCAACAGAGTGAGACACCACCTGGAAAAAAAAAAAAAAAAAGTTGGATCTCACATAGATAGCTGGAATGCAAAATGGTATAGCCATTTTGGAAAAAAAGTCTGGCAGTTTCTCTAAAGGTTAAACATAGAGTTATCATATAACCTAGCAACTCTACTTCCAGGTATATATCCCCAAAAAATAAAAACAAATCTCTACACAAAAACTTGTAAACAAACGTTCATATTATTAATAACCAAAAAATGGAAGCAACCCAAATGTTCACCAACTGGTGAATGGATAAAATGTGGTATATTTATATAATGGAATATTTGACAATATAAATGAAGTATGGATACATGTTAGAACATGAATGACCTTTTCAAACATTATGCTAAGTAAAAGAAACTAGTCACAAAAGACCACATATTTTCCAAAGAGACAGAAGTAAATAAGTGATTCCATAAAACTGGGGCCACTGGGAGAAAATGGAGAATGATTGCTAATAGTTATGGGTTATTTTGGAGGGGGGTCATAAAAATATTTTAAAACTGATTGTCATGATGCTTGTACAACTCTGAATGTATACATTTAATTGTATACTTTAAACGGGCGCATTAAGTATATAATTGAATTAAAGTATGTAATTGAATTGTACACTTTAAATGGGCAAATTGTATAGTAGGTAAATTATATCTCAATAAAACTATTCCTTTAAAAAAGAACTGCAATGCAACCAGTTATTTTCCTAACTGAACCAATATTATATTTACCCTATTAGAATTTCCTTTAAAATTTTATGTTTGCCTGATTTTTAGAGCATTTCTTTAGTTGTGTATTAGAGAGAATTTTAAATTTCTTGGCCCCGTCCCAGATTTCTTTTAATAACAAAGTATATATTGCTATAAATGAATACACAGCCAGGAACTGAAAGGTTTGATATTGCTCAGTAATATGTGGTTTGCCTCAAAAGATTCTGAGGCTTAGTAAATAAAACCCACATTGTCCCTTCTGTTCCTAAATCAACAGTTTGCTTAATTCATCATCAGTGCTTCTATTCAGGCATACAACATACTTCTATGTTGTATTTTCAGTTTGGAAGAGACAACCTTTAAAATGAGGCTTATTCACCCCTCAAAAGCACCGGACCTGGAATTTTGAATCAGTGCTCCACATCTGTGCTCTTTAAGGAGGCAGAGTTTAGTCGTTTAAGAAAAGAGATTGAAATATATCTTTCGGTATTGAAACATCACTTTATTAAAGCAAATGCATATAAGTAATATTAACTAATGAAACTAATGAAATGTAATTCCATCAGAGAAAGTCTTCTTTAAGAAATAGAGTTATGATGCATTTCTTAGTATTAAGCAATTACAAAGACAGACTTTTTAAATGCACATTATCAATCAAATCTCAGCTTGTGGTTGAAGACACTCTCTGAAGGTTCATTTTCTACAGTACTCAGCATTGGAGGGTCCAAAAGTCTATTAACTTCTTTATCACAGCCACAGAATATTTTTCAGAGTGTCCATATTCATCAGGCGAAATTAGTTTACCTTTGCAATCTACTCGTGTTTACAATTCTAGATCCTTCCCTGATGTAGTAGAAAGGAGAAACCTCTTTATCTAACCTTACATTTCACACTTGGTCAAGGTCACCCAGAGAGTGTGCTTTCACACAGAGTAGTGCTGTCCTTTTTTTTTTTTCCTTTACTCTTTTTAACTCCTCCCTCCCAGCAGATATTCAACTCCTTAGGCAGAACTAGTTGTAACTTAATATATATTTGTTTACATTTTAGAAATAAGGTAGCACCCACCTAAAAACCGTAGAAACTATTCTAAAGCACCAATAATAGCTAAGTAATCATAATACTGTGACAACAATTCAAGGAAGACTTTTAAGTAGAAATAGTGCTTATTGAGTATGACAAAATGCTGACTTTTATTTGGGGTCAGTAAGATGCCTTTGTTTAGCCAACCACATCTAATTCAGGAAACAGATCCTCTCCTAACTGGTGGCTGCAGCAAAAAATTGCTGGCAAGGATGAATCATTAAGTCCTGCTAATTAGTAGGGTATTATTCCTTCCGTCAAATTTGAAGTATAATTGATTTAACACCTTAATTTTAAGATATGTCACATTAAGTTATTTTTCATGTCTCAATAGTAATCTTTTCATGTTTTTAACCCAGTCATTCAAAAACTATAGATCAAGCAATCAATATATTTACAAGTTCCAAGGAGGTGTGAGTGATTATGCTGGACTTTATGGAGAATACAAGGTGCTTTGGTTTGAATGTTTATCCCCTCCAAAACTCATTTTGAAATTTAATTGATGTGGGACCTTTAAGAGGTGATTAGGTCATGATGGCTCTGCCCTCATGAATGAATTTATGCTGTTATCCCTGGAGTAACTTTTTATTACAGGACTGAGTTTGTTGTAATATCCGGCAATTTAGCCATGTTTTATCTCTCTGGCCCATGCACTCACTTCTGCCTTCCACCCTTCCACCATAGGATGACCCTCACCAGATGCTGGCACCATACTCTTGGACTTCTCAGCCTCCAGAACTCTGAGCTGAACAAATCTGTTTTCTTCATAGGTTACTCAGCCTTGGGTATTGTTATAGCATCAGAAAATGGCCAGAACACATGGTTAGAGAAAAATCTCTTTTGTCACCAAGGTACTTAAATATTAATTGGCTAATTGGCAACTAAATAAGAATATTTTTAAAGCCAAAAAAAAGATGTAATTAGTATGCCAAATGAATTGATTGAATCTTTTTAAAGCAATGATCATCATATTGGTCTTGAGATTATCACACATTGGTTTTATTACTCATAGCGCTCACATTGGCTGCCCAATACCTTCATTATAATTAGCAGCAGAAATAAGAATATTACCATTTCCTCCAAAAATGGGAACTACAAAACAGTTCAATTTCTACTGGCAAAAGTCATTTTTATTTTGACATGGCATTATAAAATATTGGACTTTAGATTATTCATAGAAATATTTCTTAAAGCATTTTTATAACCAATTATTTTTGCATTAGACTGTCAGTGAATATTCTAGCAATTATGACATAGACAGATATTTTAAGGTTTAATCTGCTAAACCAAGTAATCTACAAACCGCAAAGTTGCCTATACTTCCCACATCAGGGAAACAAGACAGTGACAATTTGAACTGAAGAGTTTTAAGAATATTATGAAAAGCACTTACTGCAAATCCATAGCTCAGTTATTTTTTAATTGCCCTTTTTAAAAAAGGGATAGAGAGGCCTCTTGCACCAGATTATTTATTGATGATAGATGTGTGACTCTATATATACGATACACCGTGATCCTTGGCTATATAAACTGTTCATATCAAGGAAGCTGTTCATATACACAAAAGAGAAGCACTGACCTGAAGTTCCATTTCATCTCTAGTAAGTGTCATATCATAATTTCTTTAATCTCCTTTTAAATTCGATTAAACAAAGAGCAAATATGTTACTGCTGTGCCAGGGTGACACATTCATTAATCATAATGCAATTTATAATTATGAGCTACATTTGTTTATTACACTAAAATAATAGCTGCCATATGAGTAACTAATCTGATGATAATCTACTAAAAGAGTTCAACACTACCTTATATATCTAAGCTATTAAAAGGATTTAAGGTGATTGGAGAGTTTTCTGTTCTGTCATAGAAAGTGTCACAGGCTGTTATGAAATGGTCAATAGAAAATACATACAGCAGCAGGTTTCACTGGGAAGATACCTGTAAGTACACAGAGAAAAAAATCCTGCCTTTTATTTTTATAGCATCATAATTTTAGTTACAAAAGCTGTTAAGATTATAGTACATGAAGGCTTAACATTGTTAAAGCAATACATTTTATGATATGTGCACAAAAATAAAAGTAACTACAAATGCCTGGTTTCTAACTCATGCTGATAGTTAGGAATTTTCTCTTTCTCATGAATTCATGTTTCTTATAGATAACAAGCTTCCTTGGGGAAAAGAGCCATGGAGAGAGAAGGGTGGTAACTATTACTGAGCGTTTACAAAGTGCTAGACTCTATTAACATTTCTCATTCCCTTGGTGCCTGTCTCTGACAGCTCCCAAAGCTCAGCACTAATGCAAAAGCTTCAGCAGGTGGATGATGGAAGGTTATATGGTGTAGCTGCTTTCTAGAAATAGCACAAGCTTGAAATCAGACATATTTGGGTTCAAATCATGACTCTGCCAGATAGTAGATACGTGGCCTTAGGCAGATGGCAATCACTTGAGCTTCAAGTTTCTTATGTCTAAAATGAATAGAGGCTGGGCACGGTGGCTCATGTCTGTAACCCCAGCACTTTAGGAGGCCAAGGTGGGTGGATCACTTCAAGGCCAGGAATTCGAAACTAGCCTAGGCAACATGGCAAAACCCTGTCTCTACCAAAAAAAAAAAAAAAAAAAAATTAGCTGGGCATGGTGGTGCATGCCTGTAATCCCAGCCACCTGGGGGCTGAGGTGGGAGGATCACTTGAGCCCAGGAGGCAGAAGTTGCAGTGAGCTGGGATCATGCCACTGCACTCCAGACTGGGCGACAGGCAACACTCCATTTTCAAAAAAAAAAAATTAATTAATTAAAAATAGACTATTATCTACCATCAAGATAAAATGTTATAATGCATACAAATACCTGCCAAATCATGGATGTTCAATTAATTAGAGTTAATACTATTTTAAATATTTAAGGCTACAGTGTGGCAGGCACTGTACTAGGAAATAGAGATAAGCCTGACAGAGCAACTTAGGTTGATCAACTGTTTCAGTTTGCCCAAGACTTTCCCAGTTTTAGCACAGAAAGTCTTCTGGCATCCCAGAAACTCCTCAGTCCCAGGAAAAGCAGGACAGTTGATCACACTACCAGAGCATTTAACTTAACAGACTGTATCTAGATTCCAGCAAGAATATTCCCAGAGCATGAAACTGTAGTTTCGGAGAGTGGTCAAAAGGGAAATCAAAATTGTCTTCCCTAACCCTGAGTTGAAGCGAACATGAGAATCCTGGAGGATTCCAAAGGGGCTGGTGGGAAAATCAAGAACTGAATTACAAACAGAGGGTGTGAGGAAAATTGGGAGAGTAAACATCTGGCAGAGCCAAAAGAGATTCCTTGAAGCTCTAAACTGTCCATGAGGAAACATTCCTCATGGGTGGATGTGATCTGCCTGTGGACATTGAATGGAGAAAGAAAGTATGAAGTAAGCCAAATTGTGTAGGTAACCATACCACTAGGAGAGGAGCCATAGCAAAAACATCTTTGCTAATGTTTTCAATAGACAAAGCCTGACCGGACCACAGTCTCAAAGCATCACATAATCCATGATCTCGGATAAGTGCCTCCATAGTGCCTCTATTTTGTAATCAGGGAAACTAAAACTCCAGTTATTACCCTCAGCTTCATCTTCCTTAGCCATTGCTCCCAATGTCAGCCTTGCTGTTTTTTTTTTTCCTACTTTGCCTGAACTCTTATCCCAGTACTGCCCCAAGCTTGCTTTCTCCCTAAACTACTTTCCCAAGCAAACATCCCTATGGCCTCTGAAGGCCCCATCTCTATTAGAGACTCCCATCAGAGTCTGTCTACTCCATCTGTATTCCTCTTTGTTCTTGCCTTCTTCATTCAACTGCTGCTGTTTTAGCCCAGGCCTGCATGATTCTTTGACTTGCCGTAGCAGCCTCTAACTGGTCTTTCTTCCTCTATTCCACCCCTTTCTAATGTAGTTGCCAAAGCTGTCAAAGAGACTTCTAAAATGAAAATCTGATCATGTCTGTTCCCCACTTTAAAATCATTCAAGCACCCCACTGAATGAACAGGCCTATTCAGGACAAAGCCCTGAATTCCCAGTTTGGCTTGCAAGCTAAACACTTATGGTCTTTTCACCCGTGCCAGTTCCATGCTTCCCAAAGTGTGCACCATGGAGCACCATTTCAGTGTATATGAAAGTGTTTTATTAAAACAAGAAGTTCTTTGGTATCATAAATTTGGAATTCAAAAAAGTTTTTAATACTACAGGATTTCTTATGATGTTAATATAATATCTTTATGAATTTTCAGAACAGGAGTATAATATGCTTTGTTTCCCAAAATCAACTGACTAGGAAACACTTTTTGCAATGCTCCCAGAAGAACTAATGTTCCTCAAAAGATATTTTGGGGAATGTTGCCGTAAACCTCACTCCCTACCATCCCCCTACTAGTAGTAGTCTTTACCCAATGCATATACTAGTTCTGAAACCCATCGCACTTTTGATGCCCTCACATCTTTGCATGGGTTTTTGCCTCTTCCTGAAATGTTCTGCATTCACCCTTCCTCCTAGCTAGTTTATACTGCACCTTCAAGATTCAGTTCAAATATACTTTCTTAGGCCTCCTTCATCTGAATTAGATGCTCCTCCCCAAACTCACAGAGCACCTAGTCTGCTTAGCACTGTGTATTTCCCTGAGGACAAAGAACTGATTTACCTTGATTTTGACAGTGATTAGTCAAATATCTGGCATATAATAGATGTCTGTTAATTGTTGAATAACTGAGATGTTGAAGATGATAGTAGAAATATTTGAACCAAAATTTAATGGGGGAATTGGACCAGCAGTATAGCAACTGCCTGTCTGCAAAATTAATAAGAAGAAACAAAGCTGTCTTTCTGGAGTGCTCTAAGTGCAGAAAAATGAACTGCATGACCTCTGGAGTCTTCTACTTGCCTTCATAGTCTGTGAAGTTCTGGGAGAATAATACATGCCTCTATGAGTTTGATCTAGCCCCTTTCAAATGGATTATTCTTTATTTAAATAATGTATGACTTAGCCTTCCAGCTGAATATCAATAGGAAAAACAAACCTGATCTCAAGTTTCCTAATATCTGCAAGTTAGAATTGCATTCAAATTCAATGAGATTACCAAACTTTGATTAAAAATTATTGAAGATTTCTTTCCATTCTTTTCAATGTCATTTGCATAGCCTATCTTTTTCATGTTTATTTTGACTTTCTAAATCTTCTTAAAGAGATTCTAAATTATCTTTTCTTGGCATGTTCAG
Organism: Homo sapiens; assembly: GCF_000001405.40. NCBI lineage: Eukaryota > Metazoa > Chordata > Mammalia > Primates > Hominidae > Homo > Homo sapiens. The sequence continues at coordinate 210,705,095 of NC_000002.12, read as the reverse complement.
TAAAAACATTTGAATCTACAGATAAAATCTGTTGTATTTATAACCATCTTTTCCCCTGTCAGATACTTTTTTCCTTGTTCTTTTATGGCTTCTTTTTCTACTAATCCACTCTGCCAGGGAGTTTGACAGCTGTAATATGTGATTAGTGCCATTTTATACCTCAATGTATAGACTTAAATTTAGTCACAGTGGCTCTACTTGAAGTTTTGATTTGTCAAAATATTTTAGTCTTAAACGATAGCTGCCCACACATGCCTTTTACAAAAACAATTCTTACACAAAAAAGATTTATAGTATCCCTGCTTCTTAGTAATTCTGAACAGGTCACCTAGAGCAGCTGAAAATGGCAGGTTTCATTTCATTCTCTCTATTTTGGGTTTGGATAGACACAGTGAAATTTTTTATGCATGCCAGTACTTAAGACTCAAGGAGCTAACTTTCTCACCAACTGGAAAGAGTTGTCTGCTAACTTTGCTTCTTCTATTCACTCTTCAACACACTCCAGTGTGGCTTCCACTCCCCCACCTTATGAGAACCTTATTTTAAATGCTTTTAACCTTTGTGACATTCCTCAGCAGTGATGGATTGAGAGGTAGGAAAACACAAAGTACTTCAAGTACAGATAAGAAAAAGAATTTTGGGAAAGTGAGATTTAGTCTCCAATTATTTTAACTATCTAAATTTTCACCCCTCTACCTGTGCTTTTCCATTTTACTGGCCCAGAGCACATGAAGGCAGATTGTCATTCTTTTTAAAGAAAAATGTTATCAGAATACCAGGAAAATCAGAAATTCCTAAGTCTAGTTTGTGACATAGACAATGCATTAAAAAGCATACTGTCCTTGAAGCGCCTCATTTTTACTCTAAATCTAGATTTATACCTATGAACTTATTACGTGAAGAATTGACGTATTTTGTGTAGTCCCAGCTACTCGGGAGGCTGAGGCAGGAGAATGGCGGGAACCCGGGAGGCGGAGCTTGCAGTGAGCCGAGATAGCGCCACTGCAGTCCAGCCTGGGTGAAAGAGCCAGACTACGTCTCAAAAAAAAAAAAAAAAAAAAAAAAAAGAATTAAAGTATTTTGAAGGTTTTTAATGTAAATGTTAAGAAAACAGCCTCTTACAGCTAAGCTTAGGATGTCATAAATTCCCTGAAGGAAAAGCTATGTTCAATATTATTTAATCCGTTGTGCCTACCACACAGGCATTTCAGTATTTTAAAAAGCACTATATATTGAATATTAAGTAGAGGATGGAGGCAAATGACTAATTGTGAAAGACATATTAATTTCTCACTCTCAAATCCACTTGTTGGCATTTCCAATCATTGTTGTGGGGGATATCTTATTTAAGAGAATAGGATCACCTTAGTTGGAGCATCTACCAGAAAAGTAGAAAAGTTTCTTCGATTAAGCAACAAAAGGTGTTGATCTTCTACAGAGATCAAACTAACTTCCCATGGTCAACTCTTAATTATGTCAGAAAGAGACAGCATAGAAACTTTCTCCACCAGGCTGAGATGCCAGATTCATATCTTTTCATCTATTTCAGACGGCTACAGATTTCTGGAGAAAAATAATACAATGGGATATGCTTGTGTTCACACAACTCATCAAGGCCACCCTCAAGATTGCCTGGCTTATTTTGTAACACCCTAAAAGGATGATTTCAGGTCTCCTATATTCTCCTCACAGGTCTCTGACCTTTCTCCATCCTCTGCCATTTCAGAGAATGATCCTCTATCTCTATCTGATTTTGCCGATAAAATAGAAGCTTCAGAGAAACATCTACCACTCTCATGACTAATTATGCATACCTACTCACACAGGCACTCAGATTCACCCATTTTCCTACTCTGAAAATGGAGGAAGTATCGCTCCTCCTGTCTTTCTTACTTTTCAACTTCTCATCAACTTCATGGCTGGAGATTATCTTCCCTTGCCTCCTACGCTGCATCTCTCCTCTACTAGATTCTATCTCTTAGCACTTAAGTACGCCTTACTCATTCCCTTAGAAAAAAAGAAATAAAGTCCTTAGACCCCACATTCTCCTAAGCTACTCTTCTATGGCTTTTGTCCTCTTAACTCTTATAAAGAATTCTCTATCTTCACTGTCTCTACCTTCAACTGACTCTTCAACCCATCCAGTGTGCTTCTGCTACACCACGCATGAAAACAATGTTCAATAAAGTCAATAACCTTTGTGACTCAAAGTTTTGCTTCTTCATTTTATAAGACTTTTTAACAGTATTTGACAATATTGAACCCTCAGTCCTTTTTAAAACACAGTTTTCCTTGGGCCCTAGGACCCCAGATTTTTCTTGTTTTCCTCCCACTTCACTATGACCAACCTGCCTCAGTCTCCCTCATCTTCCTTTACTCAGCCTTTAAATGTAGGTGGGGGTGGGGAATGAAATCCCTGGTTCTCCACAGTGCTTTTCTTCTCACTTGAAACTGTTGCTAACTCATCTTATTCCCTCCTACAGCTTCAATTACCTTCTATATGATAGTAACACCCAAAATTATGTCTCCTACTCAGAACTCCCTTAGGAACCTCAGATTGTTTATCTCACTGTTGAACTGAAGTCTGCACTTGGATAGCTCCTAGGTACCTGAAACTCCATATGCCAAAACTAAACTTATGATTTTTATTCCCAAACCTACTCCTTATCAAATGTTTTCTGTGTAACCTGAGCCCTATATTCTTTATCTTATAAGGAGAAGGTATGACAATTACGGACAAGAAACACTTTTACTGGACTAGCAACTTTTACCCACTGACAAAATGTATATATCTGTTGGTGGATCAGGGAGGCTTATGAAGTACGGCCTACTCTCTTCCACACATTGTCAAATACACACACACACACACACATAAACAAAGGGCTCCCAGATTCCAAATAAGTTTGTGTTTCTTCAGGCTGAAGTAAGGACTGAGGAATGGTGAACTTAGTTTATCTTACCCAAGCACTGTGTACTCACCTCTGTCCTTTTAGGGATAACCAACAAGGCCACACCCCCTTCATCTGCATAGAGAACATAGCTTCTCTCCTGTCTAAGGCATTAGCCCTTTTAATGTCTACTCACCATAAAGTCCCAGCATTCACTCATATCATATCCTCTAGCATCACTGAGCCGTTCACTGTTCTACCCCTTTCCACTGCTAGATGGAAAAGACAGAAATTTATTTCACAAAGTAGGAGGATATGAAGGAATGTTTCATCAACTTGTTTATGCCTGGGAAATATATAAAATGTTTAGCCATATCCTACTGTCAAGGTTATAATATTATTTACTTACCTTCTAATCAAATTTATGGTTTTTTAAAAAGTGTTAATGTTACTTTTAAAATTGCTCTCTATCTCCTTAAGTATGAGGAGCATGAGACTTAAGGTGTCTGAAGATGAGTTCATTTTTGTGAAACAACTTTCTTAGTAAATGGAATCACCATCCATATAGTTGCTCATTGCTCATGCCAGAAATGTGGAAGTTATCCATATTTCTTTCTACCTCACTCATCATGTTGAACCAATCAACCAAGTCCTGCTAAACATGTTATGTATTTTAGAATTCATACACTTGCCACCATTTTTTTTACAATCACCACCCAAATCCAAGTCATTATCCTCTATCACCTAGAATACTATAACAATCTCCCAGAAGTCTTCATGCCCAATCCTGTGTTTTTGCAAATCATTGTTATACTGCAGCCAGAGTAATAAGTTAAATTATTAACCTCAACTTCTTGATAATCACCCAATACAGCAAGAAACAAAATTCCAAAATTTACCTTTAATGAAATTCTTAAAAATCCATTAAAACACTGAAGAAGTCACCAAGTGCAGTGAAGATAAAACAAGAATGCAAGAATACATCAAGGAAAAAAAAATGTATTTCAGACAGAGTTTCAGACAGAGTTTACCATGTTTTGTCTAATATAACCCCTGAAATTCAAAATCAAATGTACTTAAAAGCTTGATGTTGGGTTTGCTCCTGCAGATCCACTCTACACCTATTCTAACCTGTTCTGTCCTGCAGTCAGCTGACTCCCGTGGACTGCATTAACCAGGTGCCTCTGCCTTTAGCTTCCCATTAGATTTGGTTAATAAAAATCATCTCAGAAGATGATAGAGTAGGAAGATAGTATGGTTGAAATATTTATCCACCAGTTCTTTCCCTATTGAGCCACAAGTTTGGCAGTGGCCATGTTTCTTTACAAAAGGACACAGATCCGGTTAGGTGGCCAGCAGGATCTTTCCCCATACCAACTCCATCTCCTATGCCCTTTGTCCTTCAGAGATTCTGGCTCCCTGTTGTTAGTCATATGGTACTTCATCATCTCTTAGTGGTCTCCCTACATAAGACTATACTCTTATAAGCAAACTCTATAACAAATTATCCTCAGTTACTCCATTTAGATGGGCTGCCTGCTTTCTGTGGATATCCTGCCTGGGAACATTGTTTAGAACAATAGGAAGAGAGTACATGGATGGAGGTGTGGACTTTCTCGAGAATAAATTTGGCATCACAGAATGAGAACATAGACACACCATCTTTACAGAAGGTAGCCCACAGATGAGTCTAGGGTGAGACTGAATTATAACCATCTTTGGTTGCTGAAAAGACAATTGTTGATGTGAGGATGGGAGGGCAAATAAAGGCTGAACAACTCACATACAAATAAATCTCTGCCAGTTATAATATTGCCCAGGCACTGCCTCACATAGATTTTGTGCAAATGACTGGCTCAAATGTGATTAGTCACCTCAATCAAAATGTGTTATTATAGAAAAAGGATACTGCACAGAATCATTTAAAAATACTTTAAGAAGAAAGGAACAGGGAAAACAAATGGTAGACCAAAAACACAATAACTGGAAAAAATATTGCCACCAAGTAGATGAAAATCATAGCCAGGCACACTGCCGTGAATTCAAAACAACTAAGTGAATTAATCAAGGACTTCAAAGAAGAACTACAAGAACTCAGGAAAAAAAGTAGCGAGAGAATAGAGGGAGATGAAACATAGTCTTACACAGCTCAGAAAAAAGTGAGTTAGAATCACAAAAATCCATCAGAAAAAAAAGGAGACAATACTGCTAAAAACACAGTAATAGATATAGAAAAGAGGTTTGGGGAAATTAATTGGAAATAATAGAAATTAAAATTGTAAAAAGGAGAGAGAGGCATATAACACTAATATCCTCTATTTCTTACACAGAATATAAAATGCATTATTTAAACTTAGTAAATCAAGTAAGGGATATAAGTTTTTAAAGGAGGTAATCAATAGATAACCTAATAAAAATAATGTTATCCATGGAAATCATTTCATAAGGAGAAGGGGCTCAAAAGAAGAAAATATATACTAATTTTATTCATTCTGAAAAGTGATGGATAAAAACTAAAGATGTATTAATAAATGATATCTATGTCTTTACATGATGTAAATGTATCTATGTCCCTCTATGTACAGGAATATAGGTGTAGATATAGATGCATTATTTTTAAAAAACTAGAAAAGGGGGGAAACTCAACCAACCCTGCCAAACTGAAAAGCAAGGAGAAAAAAAGAACAATATAGAAGAGAACAGAACATTCAAGACCTGTGGAACAATTTCAAAGGTAAAACACATGCAAAATTGGAATTACAGAAGGAGAAGAAAATTTTTAAAATAATTATAGCCTGGAATTTTCCAAAATTTATGTTAGATAACAAACCAAAAATCCAGGAAGTTCAGAGAACATGAAGCAGGCAGAATAAATGCCACAGTCTATACCTAAGTATATCATATTCAAACTTCAGAAATTTAAACCCAAAAAGAAAATCCTGAAAGAATGTAGAAAGAAAAAAATACCTTTATCAACAGAAAAAGAATAATAATTACAACAAACTTCCCATCAGAAATCATTTAAGCAAGAAATATAATATTTAAAGTGTTGAAAGGAAAAAAATACCACCTAGAAATGTACATCCAGCAAATTATCCTTCACAAGTGTAGGAGAAATAAAAAACTTTCCAAACAAAAGCTGAAAGAACTCATTGCCACCAGACATGCTGTGAAACAAACATTAAAAGGACTTTGTCACAAACAGGTATTAACCTAATACCAAACAAGTCAAGGAATTATAAGAAAGGAAACTACAGACCAATAATCCTCATGAACCTAGATACAAAATCCTCAATAAATTATTACCAAATCAAATCTAATGATGTATAAAAATTATACACCACAACCAAGTGGAACTTGGATCCACGTGGTATGCAACGCTGGTTCAACATTTGAAAATTTATCATTGTAAATCCACCATTTCAATAGTTTCTTAGATAGCTAAACATAGTCTTACCACATAATCTAAAAATTGTGCTTCTAGGTACTTATACAGCTAATTTAAATATGTATGTCCACAAGTAAACTTGCATGTTAATATTTATAGCAGCCAATTCTCTCTACTGAGGACTGGCAGCAACCAAGATATATTTCAATAGGTAAATGGAAAAAACTGTGCTATATTCATATAGTGGCTATTCAGTGACTAAAAAGAAATGAGGTATCTGTGTTAGCTTGCTAGGACTGCTATAACAAAATGCCACAAACTGGGTTGCTTAGAAAATAAATTTATTTTCTCATAGTTCTGGAGGATGGAAGTCCAAGGTCAATGTGTCAGTAGATTTGTCTTTCAACAAAAGCCATTCCTTGGTTTGCAAATGGCCACCTTCTCACTGTGTCATCACATGGTGCTTCTTTGCGTATGCATCCCTAGTGTCCCTCTGCTTGTCCAAATTTTATCTTCTTATAAATAAACCAGTCATATTGGATTAGAGCCCAATTTAATGGCCTCATTTTAATTTAATTACCCCCTTTAAAGGACCTATATCCAAATAATCATATTCTGAGTTACCGTTGGTTAGGACTTAATATAGCTGTTAATATAGCTCCATTAATATAGCTTAATGTAGATAGAGATGGCTATATATAAAAACTATTTATACATATGTGTATACACATAAGTTAGCATGCACACAGATATTCCCTTGCTCTGTCAGCTGAGAAGGCCGAGAAACAATGACACCCCATTAGTAATGATTACACATAGCACTCAGATGTTGGTTTCTACCACTAGTGTCCAAATAAAAGCAATCAGGGCCCCTTGGAGAAATCGCTGATTCTAGGATTTTGTCAAGAAATATACCAGCTGAACATGGAGCATCTTCTAATCTTGTAGAGTCAGAAAGTAAGAAGTGCGTAGAAAAGGAAAAATCACAACGATAGGAATAGGTCAAAGAGAAAGGAGTCAAATGAAGACAGCCCTGGATGGTCAATGCTGGAGTGATTTGAGCAACAAAATAAAGTGGTATTGGATTAAAAACCATTGTATAAACAGATATCCAGGAGCCCATACTGATGTAAATAAATGACTAATAAATTTTGGAGAAGAGGTACATCTTCAGTGAAGACCCTCTGCACTCAAAGGCGATGGAACTTAACTCCCCGCTCAAGTGTGGGCTGCACATCCTGGTTTTCTTCCAAAGAAGATAGCACAGAATAAGGAAAATAAGAAATTTTATAAGGGAGATGTGATGAAAATGACACTTCACCTTTGTGGTCTTCCTCCCCATAACACATAATCTCATCTAGTCATGAAGACAATTTCATATAAATACAAAATCATATTAAAATTAAAACAGAATCTCAAAAGAATGATTATGAGTTAAGTAATTTTCAAAAGTCATCTCCTTCTCAACAAAAAGCACCAATCCTGGAAGACTTCAAAGGGATTGATATCATGTCTTTAATTTTGAAAGTCCTAATATACTACAGGTATGAAACCAGACGAAAATAAAACAAAAAAGAGCAAAACAGACTGATTACTCATTTACAAATGTGCACATAACTATTCTAAATACAATAAGAAACTGATGGATATTTTTTAACATGATTATACTTTATGGAAACACGCCTAGAAGTATCTTCTTAAGATTAGAAACACAACAAATATATCAGCTATCACTAATATTAATATTTATAATTCTTTCAGAAGAATCAGCTGAAAGAAAGTCGAGTGAAAAGTAGAGGACGTAAAAATTTCTACAAAAAAAAGAAAACTCACTATTTGCAGATTAAATCTTACAGAACTCAAGAGAAACAACTGAAAATAATAACAAACACTAAAAGACTTCAGTAAAATTGCTGGGTACAAAATCAATATACAAATATAATAGCCTCAATATATACAAATAAAAACCTGTTAGAGGATATAATGGAAGAAAATATGCCATTTATAGACATAATTTTGAAAAAATAACATAACTAGGAATAAGCCCGGGAAATGTATATATTTATGTAGAAAACATTAAAGTGTTACTAAGAAAGCCAAAGACTAGAATAAATGGAAAAGCAATCTCTGTTCTTGAATGTCAATGCTCCACAAATTAATTTATAAGTTTAAAGTGACCCCAATAAACTAAAAACAAGCAACACAGTGGAGAAAGTATAATCTTTTCGATGAACAAACCTGGGGAAGCAATAAATCTTAACTCTTACTTCACACCATATGCAAAAATAACCTCTAGATGGATTGCAAATGTAAATGTGAAAGAGAAAACTGTAAAGTTATCAAATTAAAAACATAGATAAGCACATCATGACATTTGAGTAGGTATGCAAAAATTTCTGAAATGGTATACAATTCATGCTAACCAAAAAGTAAAACATTGTTCAATTTAATAATTCAACCTTAAGATTGATCCGTCAGAATACACCAATGAAATTCAGAAAAAGGCAAATGATAGAAAGGAAAAAATGTGCAATACACACACAAAAACACATATTCAACTATAATCAATAAAGGGTTCAAATCCAGAATAGATAAAACACTTCTATAAACCAGTAAGAAAAAAAGAAAACCCAGCGATAATAGGCAAAAGATTTCAGCAACCAGTTCACAATAGATGTCAATAAACATGAAAGCTATGCAGCTTCAATTAGTCATCATAGAAATTGCAAATTTAAATTACCTTGCAAATCACCATGCCTCTTCCACAATAGCCAAAATACTGTACCAAAAAAAAAAATACACATGTAGGTGAGGGTGTGGAGCAAATGAAACTCATGTACTACTAGTGAGAGTGTATGTTGATTAAAAACAACTTTGAAAAACTGTTTGGAAGCATCTACTAAGGCTTACCACATATGCACGCTCTCTAACTCAGCAATTCTCCTCCCAGATAAATGGCCAACATAAATAAACACATATATTCACCAAAAGCCATGTACACGGATGTTCATAGCAGCCCTATTCAGAAGAGCCAAAAACCAGCCAACTACCCAAATGTCCATCAATAGAATAGATAAATAAAGGATGTTATATTCATACAAGATACTATGATTCAACAATGAGATGAACAATCTGCAGCTACATAGAAAAACAGAGATGAAATTTATAAACATATTTTTGAGCCAAAAAAGCCAGACACAAAAGGGTATATGGTGTTGATACTGTTTATATAATCAAAGCAGGCACAACTAATTTATGGTGTTAGAAATAGAATAATGGTGAAGAGGTAGAGATGAAAAGGGGCTTCTAGGGAACTGGTTCTATTCTGTTCTTTGATCTGGGTGGTAATTACATGGGTGTGTTCACTATACAAAAATATCAAGCTGTGTATTTATGATATGTGCACTTTTCTGCATAGAGTTATTTCAAAAACAAACTTTACTGAAGCAAATTTTTAGAAAAAAATAAGATAAACTTCATATAGAAAAATTAATAGCATGAATTAAGTGGAGCTTATCAAAGTTGAGTAATAATGAGAAGGCACCAGCCTTTTAACAAATCATATTTTAAAATTATGATAGTTAAAATCATAGAATAAACTGGTCATTGTCTATTCTAGAACCATCATCCTGCCTTTCTCTACCCTGATTTGAGATCCTGGGGGACTGAAACTCTGTGGATTTATCATCAGACATGCTAACGATTGAATTCTACAATGGCAGGCACCAGCAGGAGATTAGAGGGAAGGGAAGAGAAGGAAGTCAGGTTATATATTTCCTTGGCTCACGCTCCTTTTGTGCTGGGGCTGTAACTGTGAAAGTGGTTGGAATCTTCTATGGCCACAGCTACTTTTGGTCCAGTCTTTTCAATGGCTGCAGAACCCTTCTTGGGTTATGGCAACAGTGATTCCTCTTGTGGTTCTCCGGGGATGCAGGTGTAAAGGTCTTCCTATTGTTGCTACTCCCTGCTACTCAACATCCTTGTTAATTCCCTTAACTTTGCCCACTCCTGTGTATACAGTATGTTTCATTCTCTTCAAATAACCCTTTAAATGTACCGCCGATCTCCTATGACAGCCCTGACTAACATATACTAGAAACATTGCTCTTATAAATAGACAAATAGATTATTGGAGCAGATAAAGATGTTCAGGAACATACAGGAATGCAGTATATGGTAAATGTAACAAGCATATAAGTAGAGGAAATAAGAATTATTCAATAGTGTCAGGGTATCTAGATAAACTTCCAAATTTAAAAAGAGAACTAATATTGTCTACTTCTCTCTCTCCTAAATCTCCAAGTGGATCAGATACATTTTTAAAAATGTGTTTTTCCATAAGTAGTAATCTCAGACAGACAAAATCTGAAGTGTACGTAAAACCCTTATTATATATGAATTGACAACTTAAAAGTAGCTGTTCTTTCTTTTCAGAGAAATAAATAAAAACCTACCATAGATAAAGTCAAGTGAAAAAACAACGAAAATCAAAATGGAAAAAATAATTGAGATATAAATAATGAACAAAGGCCCAATTTCCTCTGTATATTAAAACTTCTGCAAGTTAATTTTTCAAAGTACATGAAACTGCACATCAAGAAGGAAAATGTGCATGTGAATATTCCCATTGAGAGGTGAGGTCTCTTTCCACACCTTAAGCAGAGTTTGGCTGTGTGGCTGGTTTGCCCAATGGGATGCTAGCAAACATAATGCATGCAAAGGCTCAACATGTGCTTACTCATTGGGGCTTCCACTTTTCTTGCTTTTGGAACCCAGCCACCATGTGAAAACAACACAGGATAGCCTGTAAGCTGCTAAGAACTTAGAGCTCTATCACTTCCTTTAATCCATCAAATTCCAGACATGTGAATGAGCATATCTAGGACTAATCAGCCACCAGCTGACAGCAGCCACATGAAGGAACACTCGAAAGACCATCAAAACTGCCCAGTTGAGCCCATCCAGACTGCCAGTCTACAGAATGTGAGTTAATAAATGCCTATTGTTTTATGCCAATAATTGGGGAGGTGGCTTGTTACACCAAAAAGGCTAATTGATACAAATAGAGAACTGTTAGGGAAATTTTCAATAGCTATCAAAAATAAAAATGTACATTCACTTTGATCCAGTAATACCATTTATGGGAAATTATTTTCTATATGTGTGCCTACATGTGTGTGGGATATACCCATATGTGTACAAATAGTTATTTCCACATTGTTTGTAATAGCAAAATATTAAAAATAACCTATAATTTCATCACTATAGGAATAATTAAATATGATCTGACTTATTTATACAATGATATTTTATGAAATAATTAAAAAGAATGGGGCAACTGTCAATGTAATGATGTGGAAAAATCTGAAATGTATTCTTAAGTGAAAAAAGTAATGAGTGGGACAGTATGCTATAATTAGAGTTTAAAAAGTGTATTGTGGTATGTATGCACTTTTGAATATTTTCATAAAAGTAGCTGCTCTGGAGAAGAGAAATTACTACCCGGGGGACAGTTGTGGAAGGATGAGATTTGTTTTCATTGTACACTCTGTTTACATTTTGAATGTTGAACCATGTGCATGAATTACTTATTCTAAAATTTTTTAAATTCATGATCTTTTAAAACTATTCAATATTTTCCCATTGCTCTTGGGATATGATCTAAAATTCTATTGCGACCCTGCCTGATCTGTCCCCCAACAAATTCTCCAGCCTCCTTGTAAGTCCATTTTTACTTCCTGTATGTCAGTCACACTGGACTTTATTAATACCTTTGTACACGCCTTGCTTCTACCTGCCTCATGACTTTTACACACGACTCTTGGCTTTGTTTTCTTTCTTCTTCTTCCCCTTATAAACTCCATCATTTACCCCTTATCATTTCCTGATTAACTCTTGTTTTGGGTATCAACATTAATATTACTTTCTCATGAAAGCCTTTTTGGATTCCTCAAATCAGCCTAACCCCTCATGTGTATTTTTTAGCATGCTTCTATTTTTACATTCTAGTCATTTTTCTAACAATGAATTATAAAACTTATTTAGTATATGTTGTCCCTGGTGGACTGTAAACTCCATAAGGACAGTTTAAAAAAATCATTTTTATCATTGAATCCTCAATCATAATGTTTGAAAAAGGTAGGCACTCAATAAGAACTTATTGAACTAATAAATTAATCACGGCACATATCCGTATAGGCCAATCACTAATAAGCTTGCCCTTGAGCAAGTTATGTAATTCACATAAGTCTTAATTTTCCTGTTTCTAAAAGATTTTTGAGAGACCTCTCCAAATTACCTTTTCTATCTGCTTCAAAATTTTATGAGTCTAAAAAATACTGTAAGATAGTGTGTTGCTTCCTCAAATCAGGCTGAGATGAGTGGCCGAATCTAGACCAGGAATACATTATATTATTGAATCTCTCAGAAATGTGGTGCCTCTTCACAAAACAACATAAAAGGCAGACCTGGACCATCTTAGACTATGTCTTTGGGTCTATGTAGTTAATATTTTTCATCTTCTTAACTGGTTTGGTGAGGTTGTCCAGTAGCTCAAATCCTCTCATCTATTGAAAAACTTTAGCTAGACTAGAATAATTATCAAATTCTTACTCCCGAGGCAGTCCACTACCTAGAAGTCCCAAGAACCCAGGTTAGAGAAAGCAGACTTTCTACTGGCTGACTTGACTGATGAGAAAATTCCTTGTCTCTACCCCAAGGAAAAGACCAAAGGGAGGGGAAGAATGGCTGTATATGCTAATCATGTGTTTCACTGTCATCAACTAAGAGTGGCCTCAGTGGATAACTGATCCTGTCACCTAATTACTGTCAGAAAGTATGGCTTAATAACACCCACTGTAAAGCTTTAATAATCATTTTGGCAGATCTCCAAAGATTAATTGGCTTATAGTTAACAACTTCATATCATAGGTCAATTCATTTAGTTACCTAGGGGTATATTTTTATAAACATTTTATCTTGGAGATGTACCAGGAAAATGTCTTTGATTAATATTAGGCATTCTGGTGTTACCTTATTGATATGTTTATGGCTACCATGAATGATTGGAAACACCCACTTTTACTTTTTTGTTTTTTTTCAGAAGAAAATTATTATGACCATATTGTATAAATTTTATGCCAAATTCCACTTTCTGGCACACAATTTTGGGAACTTGAGTGTCCTTTGATTAATCTGTTGGAACAGACCTGACACTTAAAAATTTTCTGGAATCATATGGCTTGTCAAATACTGTACTCAAATTCAGATGGCAATTAGAGGTGAGGAACTTGACATTCACTGATTTTCTTACTTTCAGGTTCCTGCCAGAAAAGATATTTTCAAATTATCTAATGTTCAATTTTTAAAAGTGTTTGACAAGCAGTGGAACTCAAAGAGGATTTCAGTTACCCATTTTTCCAGATATTCTAAATTGTTTGACCTGTTTCCCATTGCCCTTACAATAAAATCGACATGTTTCACCATAGGTTACTATGACTTCTTGTAATTGCATCTCAACTTCTCTTCCTCTCACTCACTATGCTCTAGCACACCAGCTTCCTTGTTATTTTTCCAACTCACCAAGATTGTTTCCTCTTCTGAGACCTCACAATTGCTGTTCTCTATACTTGCAACATCTTTCCTTCTAACCTTGGCATGACTGGTTTCTTCTTGTCATTTAAATGTCCTCAAGTATCATCTTTCATCTAAGGTCTTTCTTATCTTCCTAGTTACTCCCCATCACATAATCCTGTTGTATCATCTTCATAACACTTATCATCATTTGAACCGAGTTTAATGATTCACCTATTCTCCCAACAGTATGTCATCTCTGACACCTTATCTGTCTTGTTCACCACTTTATCTTCAGTGCCCAGAACAGTGTCCAGCAAATTGTAAGTTCTCAATAAATCTTTTAAATATTTCTTAGTTGAATAAATGAATGAAGGAATGAATAAACAAAGCTGTGTTATGAAAGGAGCAACCTACACTGAGGAACACACAGCCATGAAATCTAGCCTTTATATTATATAAATAGCTTTGAGATTTAATACGTTATATCCTTCAGTGTTCCTCTTCAGGATTTATAAGAGATATTTATATTGGGTATTTATACACAGGACTAACTAGCAACTCAAGTGCTAGCTGAGATAGTATTTCTCTTACACCCAATCTTGTTTCTATTCCTGGCTGCCAAGAATCTCAGGGCCAAATCTGAGACCCATCTCCAAAAGTCAGACAGAAACTTACAGTGCATATTTGGAGTCCTGAGCTCACCCCTGGAGTTATTGCATAGTGTTACATTTACCTGTCTCTTTATTTTTTATCACAATGTACTGTGTACATTTCTGTAAGTTGTCTCAAATCCTATTTAGAATGAGATGAGTTGAAAAAAAATAACAACCACATAAATTATGCATGTGCATTTAATACCTGTGGGCAACTCAGGACCCCCTCTCTGCAAATCCTTCAAGTGCCTATCCTTCTCAGAACTAAGATGGCCTTCCAGGTTCACTGGTTACAACTCAATATTTGATCAAATGCTCTTTTATAGTATGTTTTTTCATTTCATAACATAGAGGCCATAAGATGTTTAAGTTCTTGTGTATTTATATGTTCTCCATAGCACCTAGAATAGTACCTGCCACATAACAGGTGTTCAACAGACATTTGTTAGATGAATGAATGTACAAATGGCTTAATATGCTGTGTGGCTCAATGAAGGGATACAACTATTTTTAAAACCTCTAGGGAAAAACAAAATAAGCTCAATCACTCAAACATTTTGGAATCATACCTATCAAAGCAATGGAAAATTGGGGAAATTTTTGTTTAACAGGTTTCTTACAAGAACAAAGAATTGATGATGTTTAACTACATAAATATTAACAGTCTAAGCCATGTTTTCAGGATGCAAAATTTTCCTAGGCACAGATTCATCAACTATGCCATGCCTTTGTATTGATTCTGAAGTGCTTTTTAGATGAAATGTAAAAGCCATTTGCTGAGTGTGAGATTTTTCAGGCTTGGGATTGTCAATAAATATGTTTTGCTATAATTAATAACTATATGTTCTTGCACCTGTGGAGAAGATGAAGCATCATTTTAATTTCATGTTCAGCAATAAACATGAGCAACTGTCTGCATGATTCCTCTTTTGATTCCAGCTGCCAACAGCTTGGAATAGTTTGAGTCCAGCTAACTCTACATTCCCTCATTAGCTGGGGTCCCCATTTATTTTTCTGCCTAAATGGGTAGAGAAGTCATTTTGTTTAGCTCATTCGGATCTATTGAGAAAGATACCAGCAAATCAACACCTGTCACTTTTCAGTAAATCCTAAGAGGAACTGGGCTTTGTGGCAGATTTGCCTTGGCAGGAAACAAAATACTCTAGGATTGCAGTAAATGACTGAATTCTATGAAACTGTTATCTCCTCCCCTAAAGTGGGGAATGATCATCAGTCTACTATGGGTATAATTAATCCAAATCACTTCTAAGACAATAAAATTTAATTATGGGTTCTTAGAAACTAATAACCCACCAATTATTGTTAATAGGCTTTTTCTTAATTGTAGCTAGTGAGTCAAATTTGTTGAGGCTATTTTTCCAACAGTTAATTTAAAAAAAAATCACTATATTTTTAGCTAAGTAGCTATGGTGTAACATTGCCTTGTAGTGGTAGACAAAATACTCCACTGACCTGTTTAGTTCTTGTATTTTAGAAAATAATTATTTAAGAACTAAATTCCTGGATGTGTTTTTATATATTTGGCATTTATTGTACCTTAGAAACTGTCCATCTTCATTATCTGTTAAGAGAGGCATTTCCAGGCAGCTGGATATCTATCTCTACATTAAATTTCAGGTACCTTTGTGTCCAGGTGTGAAAACATGGAAAATATTTTAAAGCTCATTATTATTATTATTTTATCGGATCCTATGGTGGGTCAATTGCTGTTGCATCCCTTGAATGTTTAGTAACAAAGACATTACGGATCTAATGATCCTTTTATCTATAAAGGGTTAACCTGTCCCCAGCAATCAGTAGTTTATTTTTAAAAAGGAATTTTTAAGAACTACTGTTTATTGAGTTTTTGCCTTGTGGCATGTACTTTTCTATTGCAGTCTTCATGGATGATTTTATTTACCTATTTTACAATTCTATAAACTAGCTACTATTACTTCTGCCACTTTATCAATGAGTAGACTGAAGCACAGGGAGCTGAGATAGCTTGCCCAAAGTTAGGCAGCAAGTCAGCAGTGGAGACAGGCTTTAAACCCAAGAAGGCTTGATTTTAACCATTATACTCTACTATTCTTTGTTGGCTAGAGGGTAAAAGGATGTGTATACATACACATGCACTCATTTCTTTAAAACCTATCATGTGCTTACTGTTGCAAAGCATTTTAATTGATACCAAAAAAAAAAATCCCACATGTGTGCATGCTATGTATGGGTGCCTTGTTAGAAAAGTCTGTCCAAAGTAATGGTTAGAGCCAAGCAGACATTATCTGTTATGTATTTCTAGCTATGCAACTATGTCAAAAATGTCTGCCTGTAACTCTTCTAAACCTCATCCAAATCTTTCAAGCAATGATTCTGTTTTGCTTTTGAGTCAGTCAAAATTACTATCATTATAGACCTTGACCTGAATTGACTTTAAAGTATCACCTAGCCTTCAACAACAAAATAATGTTTTCTGCTGTTGGGAGATAGGTATGTCTTCAAATGAAAAAGAAATGCCGTCCATACACTGATAAGATTTGTACTCTGAATAGTGCTTACAGCTGTAATGGTGACCTATGCACAGAAAACTTCAGACTTTTGAACCAATTATTTGCAAGTTGTCTAATTGGAGTTAAAGGTATATGATTAAGTATATATGGCTGTAAATTCTTTGCTACTCCTCCCTTTGAGAGACAGAGTTTAATTTCCCTCTCCTTGAATATGAGCTGAACTTAGGGTTGTGTTTGACCAACAGAGTGCAGTGAAAGTGATATTCTGGAAGGTCTAAGGCTAGGTCATAAGAAGACTTCCCACTTCTACTAAGGTCTCTCCAAATGCTCACTTTAGGAGGAGCCAACTGGCTTGAGACTTCCACATTAGAGAGGTCAAGTGAAGGCACCCTGGTCAAAGCCTCAGCAAGGCCCATGCCTCCAGTCATTCTGCCCAAGGCACTATACATGTGAGTAAAGCTGTCTTGGACCTTCAAGACCACCCAAAATACCAGCTGAGTACCCCAAATGACATCAGCCAAATGTCACAAGAGCAGAGGAATTATACAAGTCTGGTCCAAATTTCTAACCTATGTAATTATGAAATATAATAAAAGGGTTATTTTAACTCACTAAGTTTTAGGGTAGCTTGTTATACAGCAGTGGTAACCAAAATAGTATCATATGTGGCTCTGCCACAAGGAAATCACACCTGACATTGTGATTCTATCATCACAACACCAAAGCCCCCAGACCCCAAAGGAGTCACTTCACATTTATAACCAGATCTCACTTTCATATTTGGATCCATCTAAAGAAACATAGGGCTCTGACTCTCCCCTGTAACTGGGCCATCAGTGTTTCCACTGTGATATGGTTTAGCTCTGTGTCCCCCCACAAATCTCATGTTGAATTATAATTCCCAGGGTTGGGGGAGGGACCTGGTAGGAGGTGATTGAATCATGGGGTTAGATTTCCCCCATGGTGTTCTCATGATAGTGAGTGAGTTCTCATGAGATCTGATGCTTTTAAAGTGTGTGGCACTTGAACCTTCACTGTCTCCCTCTCCTGCTTTGCCAGGTGAAGAAAGTGCTAGCTTCCCCTTTGCCCTTCTGCCATGATTGTAAGTTTCCTGAGGCCTTCCCAACCATGCTTCCTGTACAGCCTGCAGAACCATGAGTCAATTAAACCTCTTTTCTTCATAAATTACCCAGTCTCAGGTACTTCTTTATAGCAACATGAGAATGGACAAATACTGCATTCAGGAATGAGTCTAGACAAGCTGGCTACTCTCTGGGAACACTTCTCTATCCTCTGAGTCCACTGAAAGGCCTCTAGCTCCCAACGCTTCTGAGTGTAGTTCACATTTTCATTGACATCTTCAAAAGGATCCAAAATTCAGTTTGTGTGACTGAATGAGTATTCAGACAACAACCATTCCTTCCTGATTTGTCCTTCCCTCCTTCCCGCTTCTCTCTACTCCTTTGATCTCCCTCCTGCTCTTGTTTACTCTTTCCCCTGCTGCTGCAGACTCATTGCTTCTCTACACTTCCTCCCTTCACCTCTGTGTGACCTCAGGTGGCCGCTTCACCTCTCTAAACCTCAGCTTCACATCTATAAATTAGGGATGCTGGAAGCATTAAAATGAGATCATATAATTAAAGCATTAGCATACCACATAATAGAGTAAGTGCTGAAAACATGTTCATTATTAATATCACTATTATATTTCAGCACTTTTTCATCAAAATCTGAATTTCCTTGAGCTCATTGAAGTCCACCTCTACCATAATCAGAACCGCTCAGTAAAAGTAACCACAGTGCCCAGAAAATCACAGCATGACATGCTGTGAAGCATGTCCAGCCCCATCACACAGAGACACTGTCTACCAAACTGTCACTGAAGCCATTCCAGAAATCCAAATTTGTGCCAACTAAATTATGCTTTATAATTTTATGATTCTGCTCAATAAAGCTATATTATTTCTGATGAACACTTTAAAGTTATTTAAAATTGGGTCAATTTAATATTTTAGAATATTAAAACTTGCTATAGTACTGAAATATATATTTAATGTTCAACCAAAAGTAATAATTTTTAGTTTTATATTTCTAGAATTTTTTTAAATTCAAGAATCTCTAAACATTTTAACATTGAATCAATTTCACTTTTACATTGTTAAGGAGTCAGTGATGACTATTAGGACTTCCTGTTTTAGGGGTCATAGTTTCTCAAAATATAATATTTGCTAAGATATGTACTTATAACCAACAGCTTTCCAATTTTTAAAACTAAGTATACAACTGCCTACTAGATATCTCCATTTGGACATTCCATAGAAAAAATAACAATAATAATGACTAACACTTACCATAGCACTTACTCTGTTCCCAGTACTATTCAAAGTGCCTAATTCACATTTTCTCAATCCAACCCTCATAATAACATTATGAGCAGGTATTATTATTCCCACATGAGAGAGGAAGCTGAGATATGGGAAATTTAAGCAACCTACTTAAGATTATGCAGCTACTGTCAGAGCCTGGATTCCAACTCAGGAAGACTAGCTCCAATGTCTGGCTTTTAATCACTGACTAGATACCATTTTCATTCTACCTCTAATAGACACCTGAAGTTCACATGTTGGAAACAGAACTTACCATTTTCAGCCTTTTCTCACTCCCAGGCTCTCTGGGACCAATAAAATCAGGTGACTTCTCACTGTTTTCCCAAGCCAGAAATGTGTAGCTCTGAAACTTAGTACCTCCTCTTACTCATCCAAATACATCATGACAGTTCTTTCTCCCCAAAATATCATTCCTAAAATTGGTTTCTCTTTCCTACTCTAGTCCAAGCAATCTCTCTCTATCCTCTCCTCTCTTTCTCTCCCTCCTTCTCTTTCTTCCTCCTGTATCATTATAATGGCTTCCTAACTAGTCTCTCTGCCTCCAATCCTAGTTTATTTAATTCGTTCTTCATTCTGTAGTCAAATTGAATTTTCCCAAAATGCAAAAGTGATTGTCACCTTCTAACTTAAAACACTTCAGCAGCTTCTTCTTATCCTTAGCAAAGTGTTCAAACTCCTTAACATGGTTTATAAGGCTCTATGATTTCCCCACCCTCATCATCAACCCTGTATGCACAATGCTCCAGTTATGCTCAGCTTCTTTCAATTCTTCAAACACAGGATGTTTTTCTTGCCTTGGGTCTTCATCCGCATTGTTGTCATTGTATAGAACACATCTACACTTCTTGGCCTGGCAAATTTTTATTTATCCTTTGGGTTTCAGCTTAGATGTTACTTTCTCATGGAAGCATGCCTTCCTTGATCTGCCCCGTCATTTGTTAATATAGCCCCCTAAATTTCCCTTTCAATCTCTAAAATGCCTTAAAACCAAGCTCTATTGTAATAGGTTTTTTCTCTCTCTGTTCATCACTAGGCTATAAGCTTTGAAAGTCTAAAAATGTTGTATTTTATTAAAGCTACTCAGTAAATATTTGTGAACTTAATGAATGAAGGTTAAGACACAAAGAAGCTTAGAAAAGTGATAGAGATATACATGAAATGACACACTCCTAAATTGTTTATTTTCTATCAAAATATAGATTTAAATGAATATACTATATGAAATATTCTATAAATTGAAATTAAGAAGTAAAAGGAACAGTAAGTGGTCATGAGCAAACCATAATGGAGAAAGAATAAGTGAAAATATGAATACATTTTTAGAGATAAGTACATACTTAATACTATGGGCATGGAGATATATACAAGCCTTCATTAAATGACTGGAACAATAACTAAGATTGAAGATAACAGATCTATTCATAGCATCAAATAGATTAAATATTTGGAACAATTAATGTTTATCAGTGTTTCCTTCATAAAGGCACATAAACTGTGCTAGTTTCTTGAGTACCTACAGGGCAAGGCTGAGGCTGAAGGCTTAACACAAACAGTGGTTTGAGATCCCTGCAGCCAAGAGAGGAGATAAGAACTTGGAACTAAAAGAAAGGACCAAACACATCTCCCTACAATCATTTTTTAGTATCAAAATATTGAAGATTCAATAGTTTTGAACATCAACTATATTTAAGCTCTGGGAACACAACAGTCAATAAAATAAATATGGCCTTACCTTCTATAGATCTGAATTACGTACCAGAGAGTCATGATTGTCTCTTAGCTGTATCAGGTTGAAGTAAAGAGATGCTGAAATGATGTGGAATTATTTATAGTGACAACCTTAATGGACCAAAGAAAACCACCATTGATTAAAACCCACCTCATCACATCAACATTAGTACAATGAGTACAACAACCAAAGAACCTTTGCATTTCTTTTATTCTTGAGAATATCAGCCTTCCAGAGGTTAGCATAGCAAAATCCAATAAGGTAAATAAGCCAGGGACCATACCAGGAGGAGTCAGTCTGCCAAGCACCATCCATTTGCGTTAAGAAGTCCCTGGGGCTCCACAGATCCACAGATTTCAGCAGAACCAGGGCACTAGAGTTAGTGAGGTACCTCTGAAGCAAGCAGGGCTTTGCTCAGGATTCTAAGGCACGTAATGATAGATTTGGCACAAATAATTTTTTGCCCTGGAGGCTTCCTCAATGTTGAGAAAGTTAACTCCGTGTTGCCTTATCTTATTCCAACCCAATGAATAAAATGTGAGCCTAATTCACATCAAATGCTTAGGCCTCACAGTTATTAAACTCTCTACAGGGCCTAGCGCGCTGGCTCACGCCTGTAATCCCAGCACTTTGGGAGGCTGAGGCGGGCGGATCACGAGGTCAGGAGATCGAGACCATTCTGGCTAACACGGTGAAACCCCGTCTCTACTAAAAATACAAAAAAAATTAGCCGGGTGTGATGGCGGGCCCCTGTAGTCCCAGCTACTCGGGAGGCTGAGGCAGGAGAATGGCGTGAACCCGGGAGGCAGAGCTTGCAGTGAGCCAAGATCGCACCACTGCACTCCAGCCTGGGCTACAGAGCAAAACTCTGTAGCAAAAAAAAAGAAAGAAAAATCTGTACAAACTCCTACTCACTTTTTAACTACAATAATACTATTTTTCCCCTCCAGCTCTCTCTATATTTTAGTTATGAGTGGGAAAGGAAGTGTATTGAACCTGGAAAATAATATAACATTATGTCCTCAGTTTAATTAGAAAACATTTTTTAAAAAGGATCCACATGTAATTCCTCTTGAATGGGGAGTTCAGCGAATTTTACAGTCTAATTATATTATTCCCTATACATTTCATTTGCAGTCTCCTATGAGGAAATTTCTGAAGAGTTATGGAAAACACTTAGCAGGATATTTCTTTTATGACAAAGTCCTCAACATCCTGCCGCATTTCAACCTTCGAGGCCTTGCATAGGCAGAGAGAAGAAAGGTCACTAAAGAGATTACTGAATGCCTGTAAATTTCAGACAGGAAAACATAGTTGTCTGGGCCCTGGATATTAGAATGTATCCTTTATTATTAAAACACATTTTCAAGTGATTTATGTCCTTTAATAACACATTTTGATCTTGTTGAATTCTCACTCCTTTCTAAATGTTGGTCATATTTTGTCTGTCTTCACTATGGCTGCCCAACAATACTGAGTGTTGTGAGCAAAATTATCATTTGGGGACATACACATCTTTCCCACTTTTTTGTGAGGCTGCTGGTGTTGCTTCTTCTGAACAAAAGCTCCTCACTGTGGTGTGTGTGATTCTAATAGGGAACACCTTAGCAAAATAATTAGGTAGGCTGGTCGTTTCAGGAGAGAGTAGACCTTTAGTCCTGCTGGAAAACCCTATTTTGTTTGTTTGTTTTGGTCAACAATCAATGGTTTTCTTTGTGGATGTAAGTCCTTTATAAAATGAAAGTTGTAAAGACTCAAAAATGATCTTTAAGCAACAAGAAGCATACACAAATGGTGCTAATTTTGACTTGCTAAGTCTTTGTTTCCATAGCTGCATTGATCTCAACAGCTGTAGGTACTTAAATTCTCTTTCTGGCACCTTTGCACCCTACGTTATGCACAAGAAAAGAAGTAGGAATGATTATTACCAATTTTTCACAGAGCCCAGGGAGCCACTCAGGGAGGAAAGACATTCTTCCTCCTACCACATTACCTTCACACTCGCCAATTGTAACAGCTTCTCATGAAATAGCACAGTAATATTAATTAGGAAAAATGGAATTTTTATATATAAGAACAAAGGGAAAGAACTAAACTTGAGCTAGTCTTTTTTAAGTTAAGGGTGTCTCAAATGATATGTAATGAAAGGTCTTTGTGGATTTGATTGGGTGTGTGTGAGCATTTATGGCACCTGTGCCCACAGGAGACTACACCAGCAGCCAAATGGCAACACTGGCATGTAATTACAGAGCACTCAACTGCATTCAGCCATGGTTTGTTTCTCTGATAATTTCCACTTTCATTGTTCAAGAGGCTGTGGACACTGTGGAAGCTGAGGTTCAAGTACCTGCAGCTGTTGAGATAAATGACTGTTATAGTTGTTTTTAAGTTTCCAATAGGAATTCTGTTTAAGAGGAAAGTTTGACAGAAGTGAAGTTAAAATATTATACTTACCTCTCCAAAGCTTTAAAATCCTAAATCTATAAATGGATCATTCTTTATTCCTCTTCATTTCACAAGCTGGCTGAGCTCCTTTTCTCCCTCTTCAATAGAGCCCATCCTTCTTGCACACCATTAAATTCTCAGTATGGAAAAAGCTACTTAGATTTGTTATTCAGCTCTACAGACATAGACCCTGTGTTGTCCGAACTTGTGATATATAATAGATTTGGACATTTAAAAATGTGTTAACATGTTTATATGAAAGAATAAATATGTTCCAAAAGGACAAAGCCTTGCCAAATCTGAGCACAAATGTTTCTACTTTCTTGGATTTCTCTCCTCCAACCAAAGATCTTAAATGTGTTATTTATCTGTTGTTAAGTCTTTTTAAAGTTTGGAATGTTGGAAAACAGAAAGGCAACCAAAACAAAAATTAATGTAATTCCATTTTCAGCACCATGAGGTCTATCCTGTCTTCTGGTTTTCCAAAGCCCTTTTGTCAACAAAAAACAGAGTTTATATAGACACAATGTTAAATTAATTATTATTAATCTTCAAATTTTACCATATCTTACAAATAGCCGGCTCACATTAATATAAAAATTAGGACCCTTTATTAAATTCTCACAATACAATGATTAACTAATTGAGTTTTTGACAGTTTCAGCAAACAATTGTTTATTTAAAACATTGAGTTACATATCTAAATTGGTCACTAACAGCCTGCTCACTTTTAGTCAACATGTAATTTTTATCTTCCTCTGTGAATATGTATGTGTGTCAAGTGTGTTTAGATAGAGAAATAGATGATAAGAGTAGAATAAAGCAAATGAAGTAAAATATTACCAATAGGTAGATCTGGGGATTTTTTTACTTTTAAAATTTAAATCCAAAATTATTTCCAAATAAAAAGTTTTAAAACTTCTACCTAGTTTAAACATCCACCATTAAGAGTCCAGTCTCAACTTCTGCTACTAGCCCTTTCCCTCCACACATACCCTGAGCTCCAGTCATAACAACGTCATTGTCATTTTCCTAAATGTCCTTACCTTCTAGTCTTCCTTGGCAACTGCAAGATCTTATTCAAGGCAACACATGAATCCATCTCCTTAAAATGCCCTTCCCTGATCTCTGCAGGCAAATTATTTTCTTTACTGTGAGAAATGATTTCTTTTTACATGCCTACCTTCACCAGAATATGATACAGAAAAGTGAGACTCCATTTCGTGTGACCTTGAGCATGTTACTTAACTTTGGTATGCCTAAGTTTTCTTATTTATAGTATGGAGATAACAGCACCTACTCACAGGGATATTTTGTGGATTAACTAGGTTAACTCATGTAAAGTACTTACAAATGCCTGAAAAATAGTATGGACTCCATAATGTTAATTATTATGGTGATGGTGGTTGTGGTGCTGGTGATATGTAACAGAAACATGCTAGAATAATAGTAGGAGAGATTGTGATATATTCTACATGAAACATGGAAGAAACTCATTAAATATTTTCAGGTGAATGAATCAAAGTGATCAGGGATTACATAATTATATGATTATAGGGGACCAGCCTGCCCAACATGGCGAAACCCCGTCTCTACTAAAAATACAAAATATTAGCCAGGCTTGTTGGCGGGCACCTGTAATCTCAGCTACTCAGGAGGCTGAGGCAGGAGAATCGCTGGAACCCAGGAGATGGAGGTTGCAGTGAGCTGAGATCGCGCCACTGCACTCCAGCCTGGGTGACAAGAGCAAAACTCCGTCTCAAAAAAAAAAAAAAAAAAAAAAAAAGATTACAGGGAAGAAGTAATGAAAGTCTTGACCACAGGAAGAACAAGGAAGTGAGGGGGAGAGAAGATGAATTACTTTAAGCATTCGTCTAGAGCTATACAAAGTGGTAATCAATTGACTGTGAGGTAACAAGGAAGAAATAAAAGCTGTTATAGCATAATTATCTTAGGACCTTCACAAAGCCATAGTTTCGGTGGTAAATTGGGGATATGGCATCAGTGTGCTCATTGGCACTATTTCCATCAGACAATGCTGGTCAGCCTCTGATTGGGTTAAGTTACTTTTCTGAGTTATGCAAGACATTTGTTTGAAAGTTTACTATATATTTGTGGCAATCTTTAATCAGTTTGTGGTTGTAGTTATACATTAGAAAGGATCCAGATCAAAGATGGTTTATAGCCATATAACCACATAATGTTATGATGAGACTTAAAAGCAAGGGAGGGACAAGAAAAAATGAAAAATGTGACAGCTAAAACTTATTTTTAACATTAATTTTCTCATCCCTATATGGGTTTGCATGGAAAAAATAAATAAGCAATGCAATCCTGGCCCAAAACCCTATTTTATCATAGAAGTAAACTGATTTTTGTACAGCAACATAAAATAAAACCAGATTCAACTGCATTACCTCTTAATAGTATTTTATTTAAAAGTTCACAATTAGAGCACTTGTAATAACAGAAAATATTTAAAAGTAACAAAGGCTGCCCTTGGGGAGAGACTTTTTTCTTATATGTAGAAGGAATGGTGTCCTTGCCCTTACAGTGGGTGGAATTAATAGTGCAGTGTGGGACCCCATAGTTCAACAGAATCCATCGTCTTAAGGGAATGAACCTTACTTCCAAGTTATTCCAAAACTGGGGGAGAGTGTGAATGACAAAAATCTGATTATTTCACTCGGGCCAAGTTAAAATCCAATGATAAAAACAACAACACATCTACATAAACACTGTCTACCATCTGCTGATATAGTCCAGAAAACAAAACTGCAAACCAGTATTCCTTAAAGAAATCCATAGTCTAAAGCAGGAGAATCGCTTGAACTTGGGAGACGGAAATTGCAGTGAGCCGAGATTGTGCCACTGCACTCCAGCCTGGAGAGTGTGACTCCATCTCAAAAAGAAAAAAAGAAAAAGAAAAAGAAAAGAAAAGTCCATACTCTAAATGCCTCTGTCACATTTCTCAACTTCAATATAATGGGAAGGGATAACAATATTCCTGGATTAGCCAAATGGGTGAGAATGAGGATCCAAAAAGAAGCAATACACAAACATCATGATGGAAGGTTCATAAATTAAATCTATATTTAATTTTATCAAGTTTTTAGAGTATTCTGCCCTGTTAAAGTGTCCTGAGTTTGCAGATAGTGTTTTAAAAATAGAGTATCTTAAAGTATAGAAAGAGTTCAGAAAATAGAACAGCAACTTTTCCTACCTTGATCACCATTAATCAGCACCATAAAAAGTAAAAAGCTACACATAAGCACATAGGCAAGCCTAGTCCACCAAAAATACAGTATTAGTAAATGGATGAAATCTCATGAAGAGTAACTTAGGAAGGACTGTAAGGTTTTGAAGAAGTGACTGACAATTTAATTGCAAAAGACACAGAATATTAAGGCATAACAAAGTAAACTGAAATGAAGTTTAGTTATCAATATTCATCTCTGAGAAAGTTGTGAATCAGTTCCTTTAGATAACATGTGGCTCAGGTTGATTTAATAATGGGGCTGGGGTGTCTGCATCTCTATGCTGCTTTTCCAGCACTGTACTGCCTGTAGTGGAAAAGACTCTTGGAGTCCACCTTGCGAGATTTCTGCACAGCTTCAGCAAAAAGTTTGGTCACCTGAAAATATAATGGTAGGAATCAGCACCCTCCATGAGATAAAAGTGAATTTTTAATGAATGAAGACAAAAGTCACAAGTGTCTGTCCCCAGTTTTCAAAGGGGTATGGGATAAAAGGCATAAAAGTTTTTTATGTAATGGAGACTTTCTCCCATGTCTCAGACCTCACCATGGGGACTTTCTTTTATATCTCAGATGTCACTGTGAATACGCTTATTTCTCCTCCCATAGGGATTAAAACTGATTCTGCATAAAAAATAAATATGATAGGCAGAAAGTTAATGAGTCTCCACTCTGTTTCTCCCTGTGATAAATTCGATGGGTCATGTCCAAGTGAAACTGAACATGCCTCATGCAATCATTTTCTGTGAATTGAACAAGCACTTGTGCTACATCTGGACCATCATTAACCTGTTGCTTTTATATGGTGGCTTTCATTTAGAAACAATGAAATAAAAGTTTGTATCTTTATTCCATGTCATGCTGTCACTTTTTATTCAAAGGATAATTGTAAGGAGAGAGCCATGGCCATTCATGGCCTTTGATTATCTCAATTGCTTGATCACCAACTGTCCCATTTAAGCCATGACCTACCATGTTAGCATCATTATTTTAGATTATTAAAAATTCCTCTCTATTCTGAAAGTTACAAAGAGGGGAAAAGAGAGATGTGCATCTACTGATTACACTCTTAAGGGAGGCACAGAAATAAAACTCCCATCCAGTCTATATCCAAGGAAAAGACTATACCTGAAAATTAGTGAGGAGAGGGATTCCACTATCAACAGCTGTCCTCCGAATCACATAATTATCATGGACAAATTTAGTGTTGTTGTTGGGAAGGTTAATCACTAGGTCAATGCTGCCATCTCTAATCAATCTGGAAAAATAAACAAAAACTTATAGACAACAAGGCATATTTTATAGTTAGTTTATAAAATACTAACATAAATTGCTCTCTTAGCCATTCAAGTCAATGCCATGCTGAGTTGACTGCCATCTGCCCTCCTCTATTGCTAAGTAGATGTTTAAATTACACTTATATAGGGATTATATTGTGTTCTTGAAGGAATTCTAGTGCAAGTCTAATGGAATGCAGATGTTTGTTTTCTCTTTAAAATGCTATCTGTTCACTCATTAAGAATTGGTAATTTGATAGATACTTATTTTTTAAAAAGAGGTGATCCCTCCACCATTGAATGCCCTTTCACCCCCATGTTCCCACTCCCACATTAACTCTATTGCCTCCTTAGTAGTGCTAATTATTGTTTTACAATGCCCCAAACACGGAGCTATTACATCCTTGGAGGCCTGCTAAGGTTTGAACACAATGCCATTATTTTATTAAAGTGATAATAATTTATGTGTTGGTTTCTCAAGAACGCTAACAAATAACATATTGCATAGAATGGCACAGCCATTCTGTAGGCTGCACTATCTTAAAACAGCAGAGAATTATCTCCTATGTACTTATGCCACATAGATCTTTAAGGGTTGATGCAATGGTATTCCTGAAGATTCACACAATCTGCTGAAATAAAATGTCGTACAAAATCTAATGATGACATGGTCTAAGGCATGAAAACCTGGTCAAGGAATGACCAATTAGGTAATCCAATGGATGACATCATCATAGTACTCAACATAGGTTCCTGTATGTAGTAAGTGCTCAACAAATTGATTTATTATGCACAACCTTAGTGAAATATAGCTGGTCATCTTATACTCGATGTACTTATCTATACACAATATAAGTTTGACATGAAATATAAAGTGCTGCATTACATTCTTCATGCTCTCACTTGTTTCCGTCAAGGAAAGTATCCTTACTAAGAAGTATTTTGAAACACGTTTCATATCACCATGTACACATGACGTTATGTATTCCATAGTGATGGAGAGTGAAACTTGACAATCATCCACAAATGTATTCATTTTTAAATTTGTTTTAAAAGACTTGCAATCAAGTAAGGTGAAATATTCATATACTGGTTCTCAAAGTTAATCCTCTAAATTATTTCAGAAAACAGTATGCCTAGTTCTTACTTTCTGATGGAAGAGAGGCTGGGATTCTGTCCTTCTTGAGACGGCCATGCCACTGGGGTGGCAGGGACATTGTTGGCGTTGAGCCAGTCTGATGTGGCTTCCGTGGCAAACAGCTGCATTTAAAATGAAAAAATCAATTACCGTATCACAGTGATTTCTTATTTTTATGGAACATGTAATTTAAAACATAAAGAAGAAGAAATTGCTGAACATGAGAAGTAGTATAGTGCCATGGATAGAGACTTGGACTCACAGTCCAGAGGCATGGGCACTTTAAACATTTTTTATATATTTGCAGTGATTTAAAAAACTTAAGAACCTCAATTTTATTTGCATTTCCATTTTAATAATTATATGTTTAATTTGAATTTAATAATTCAATGACAATTTCTCATAAATTTAATAATTTCTCAATTATTCATGGCTAATTCCTTGTTAGCAGGTCAAAAAATCCCCATGGCCACAGGCCCATCATAAGCCTTGGGAATAATTTTGTTTTACTCAACCAGGCTTTGTGTGGAGGTATTCACTGCAAAGAAGTTTTGCCTGTAACTGTCACAGCTAGAATCTATAACCTCATATGAAAACAAAAAAAGGAAAAACATATGGAAATGTGTTGGGACTTTGTCTCAATTGTGCTTAAGCTAAACTTTCTCAGTTTTTAGCTGGCAACTTCTATTGAATTTGTGGTAATTTTGTTAAAAGTTAATACCAGTCTTTTTAATGATTTGACTCTAAGTTTTGAAACTACCAAGTTAGTTAAACCTTTCATATCAAAAGGACATATTTTGGGCTATTTCTTTTCCAATATTCTGCAATATTTTGATTTGTGGACAGATTCCATGCTGACAGAAAACAACTTAAAACTAATGAACATACCTTGAAACCTTCATTGTGTAATTGTTCAGCCACACCAAGGAATCTTGGCCGGAATGATTGCTGAAAAGGAATTTCACAAAATTCACTTTCTAGATATACATGCTCTTCATTTATGCAATATGGTATTTCCTTACAACATCTTAAAAGACAATGTTACATGTTGCCGGATGCTTTATATTAAAAAATGACAAGTTTTATCCTTTTATCCTTCTATGGTGAGTGTGAGTTTTAGCTATATCCCAATGTCAATGAAATTCCATCCACATAATCTTGATCCCTGCTTTTCACCTTGTTCTTATCTCCTTTTATTCTCTATTTAATCTACTTGGTCTTTGTAAGTTCAGATCCACTTCGGTTCTACAAGGATCCTTTTCCTGGTCAGGGAGGACTTAAAAGATATGCGGGTTAGGAGCCAGTACCGAGTCAGGCTAGCTGTTTTGCCTATTCAACCTGCTCTTATTTCTTTTTTTTTTTTTTGGTTTTTTTTTTTGAGATGGGGTTTTTTGCTCTTGTTGCCCAGGCTGGAGTGCAATGGCACGATCTTGGCTCACTGCAATGCCTTCTGGGTTCAAGCGATTCTCCTGCCTCAGCCTCCCGAGTAGCTGGGATTACAGGCATCCACCACCATGCCCAGCTAATTTTGTATTTTTAGTAGAGACAGGGTTTCTCCATGTTGGTCAGGCTGGTCTCAAACTCCCGACCTCAGGTGATCCACCCACCTCGGCCTCCCAAAGTGCTGGGATTACAGGCATGAGCCACTGCACCCAGGCTCAACTTGCTCTTATTTCTAAGTTCTAATTTTGTACTGCTCTTCAATAACTAGGCCATTTTCCTAGTAGCTTATGCACTAGTCCCTGCAATAACTCAATCTTTGGAACTCTTTTTTCATTTACTCTGAGGCAATAAAAAGTTGTAGCTAAAGAATGAGCTCTAAAGTCAGTTAGCTGCATTTCAAATCCTGGCTTTCACCATTCACTAGTGGTATGAGCTTCAAAAAGTTAATGTCTTTGCCTTCATTTCTTCACTCAAAAACAGTGATGACAATAGTAGTATTTCAACTTTTTTTTTTGAGGCTCCACACCTTATTAAACTGTGTTACCTTGAATATCTTACTTAACAACTCTAAGATGCAGTTTCCTCATCTGTTGAACAGGAATAGTAACAGTTCTTACATTAGTATGAGTGTTCAATAAACTAATTTAGAAGTAAGCACTACTTAAGTGTTACTACTATAATTTAGCACAGTTACTTGCCTATTAATAGTTCTTAATAAATATTATTATAATTACAATAATTGTTTTTTCAGCCCCCCTAAAAACTAGATTCCTGCCCTTACATCCTAGTTTCCAAGCATGGGTTCCTCTACCCACGATTACACTTACAACCCAAACTGACTGCCCCCTCATTTATACGCATTTCATTTCCACACAGGCTTCCCTAATGCTCCATCTCACTGTTCAGATATTTTCCTGTAGTCCATTGCTGTGTCTTTCCTAGGACCCCAGGTGGACCTGTCTAGTGTCCAGCCCCTACCTTCCCTGGATTCCTGACCATTGCCATCAGGAGTTCCCTATTTCTGAACATACTTCCTGTGATCAAGAGCTAGTGTTTGCAAGATAGTGGTCAGAATGAAAGAAAACAACACTAGGTGACCTACCCAAAGATCAAACCCTGACCTTGACTTCATTAACATGAGTGTCTGAGTAACTGAGCTGGCGTATTTAAAATCACACACTGTTAAAAACATATCCATTCTTCTTTAAATAGGAACATTCTTGTTGGTTTCCCTTGTAAAAAGGTTTTAAACAGATGACATGAGCTAGTTACTTCAGCAAATGTCTTGTAACCTGTTTATAAACCATATTAGTGATGGCTGGAAAAAATCAAATGATCTTATTTCAGAGTCAGAAACTAGGAACTGTGACAATAAAACACATGTGATCCTTGCACAATTTTGATAATGTTTAGCCCATAACACCCCCTAATATTTACTTGCAGAGTATTTCTGAGCACAGATCTAAATCCTAAGAAAAGACCCCAAAGACTATGTTCAAATATAAAATTCTTTCAGATTCTGGCCCCCTCAATCCCAGAACTGCAGTTTTATAAGAGGAAACTATTGGTAAATAGAATAGATAAATGTAACTGGATGAATTTCAGCTGAGGCAGGCTCAGTGGTTATTCATGACTGCCTTATAGAACATGAATTTTAACCATGCCCAGGAAAGTAGCTTTTCATTTCCACTTAGGACCAAACAGAAAGAAATGAGCTTAGATGCAAGAAGCTCATGGTTAGACGTAAAAGAAAAAAACAAGTAAAAAATTAGAGAATAACTCTTAGTGACATCAGGACAATTGGTTAGACAGAAGAATAAGACAATTCAAGTTTCATTCTCCTCAGAAAAGGCAAAGGGCTAAATTTGATGGCATATAAATTTTTTTTCATGTTTTAAGATTCCTTGGTATATAACAAATATATATGAAATGTCCAAAATGAACTTCCAAATGTTGTTAAATACCCCTAATATGGAACATTACATTGTGACCCTCTGCTAAACACAGAATAGACTTCAGTAAGTACCAAATCACATTAGAAGGCTCAGCATAATGATCTCCAACACTTGCTAATTGATACATTAATCATGCACTCAACTTTCCTCAATCTTTTATACTTTCCCCTAGCAAAAATTCCCTGATAATATGTTTGACAATAATAAGTGCTAACATAACTTTTAACCAGGTTTCTAAAGTACCATCGCTCAAGTAGAGTGGTTCTCAAACTGTGGTCCCTGGCAGAGCAGCATCAGCATTACCTGGGAATTTATTAAAAATATGAAAATTTGAACCCCACCCCAGATCTATTGAATCAGGAACTCTGGGAGTGGATCCTAGCAATTTGTTGTTTTACAAACCCTCCAGGTGATTTTGATGCATACTTAAGCTTGAGAAAGGGGGGAATAGGGGATAGGAAGACTATCGTTCACTCATTGTGTAATATGAAGTCAAGATTGCATTAACCTTGGCTAAAATCACCACGAAAAACATTAAGGGAGGAGTACTAGAATGTAATTTTTTTCTTTGCCATTTTAAAGTAAAATAAGTCAGCAAGTCCTCTAAGACCTGCAGACACCAGGCAGAACCTCATTATGGAGCTGTTTCAGTGTTGTCCCCCAGGTGGAAAAGATAAATATCCAACATGACAGTATCGACAGTTCCCAGCCAGGAAACCACTCTACCTTCTGGTCTGGGTGTTGGCTTCCATAGGCACATTATAAACTTCTATCAAACATGTATTGAACACTTGTGACACATAAAACAGCCTCTCTACAAAAAGAAATTACAGCTGTCAGCTTGCATCTGAGTAGCCTCAGATTTAAAAGCTGATTGAAAATACCTGTGTAAGAAACCATTTGTTACGAAAGGTGAAAAGTACAAGCTGATTTATTTTCTTGGAAATGTTTATAAAGAAGACAGTCCTTTAAAAGTGAAAAATATATATATTTCCTCCAATGATCATTTTCACATTTATCCAACTCCTGGCTACAGAAAAGAAAGCCAAGTTAAT
Organism: Homo sapiens; assembly: GCF_000001405.40. NCBI lineage: Eukaryota > Metazoa > Chordata > Mammalia > Primates > Hominidae > Homo > Homo sapiens. The sequence goes on along the minus strand of NC_000002.12, from coordinate 210,671,396 downwards.
ACTATGTGATGCCTGTGGATTCTACGGGGACCTCTGGATTGACAACTCTATGGTTGTTCCTAATGATTCCATATTAAAGATAAAAGGTTATTCATGTCACTTGGAGTTGTCTTTTCAAATAAAATGCTTGCTTTGTGTTTCTGAGCGATGCTGAAGCGCAGATGTCAGATTGGTACTTGCCACTCCACAAGCATCACTGAATAGCCCAATCAGAGAGGAAAACACAGTGAGTGCTCTTGATCTACTCTAGAGTAAATCATTTAATGTTAAAGGGTCTTCCAGAAAACTTCAAAACAAGGCAGATTGCCTACTCACAGCAACTAAAAATAAATCCTAATGCGATGAAAGGTGGCTAGAAATATTACAGGAAAATCAAAGATGATTTTTGTTGCCATATAAACCTGTGTTATGCCTTTCTTATGTTAGAAATGCCTTGGTAGAGACACAGGGAATGTAATAGATTGAGAAGAATCCTTTGACAAAATCTACATCTTGATTCTTTTATCCTAAGTCCTAGTTATAAGATTGATGTTATGAATATTTCAAACTTCCCAGATACTTTGACCTATTGGATTTAACTTTGGAAGACCAGAAACAGAGAGTCTGTATGTGTAAAGGAGTAGGGTGGGAAAGAGAGAAGAAATTTAAAAGTTAGAAAGACTGCCATATAACAAGTTCTCTTGGAACTTCATAATAACTCACCTTCAACTAGATGCCTTCCATTGGATTTACTATCCCTAACCCCCATTTATATATTAGCAGTCTTTTTTGTGCTATTTTTCAGTTCTAACTTAATATATCCAAAAGTGTTTATATGAGTTCTTCTGACCAAGTAGGATCACGTTAAATAAAATGTTTTTTAAAAGTACAATGTATCCTAAAATATGGAACCCTAATTACTTTATCTGCAATTGCTATGAAGCTGTGGTAAAAAGTTGAGATTAGATTTGGCCCCATACTAACTAAGAAGTAGTCAAGTAAGTTTTATAGCTATTAACTCTCCATTTAGTATATTCTGTCACGCTTTTTCAGTTTATCAGACTAAGCATTTTTAAAAACACCATGAATGAAAATCCTACATATAGTAATGAAGAAACTATGCATTAGCTGATCAATTTTGCCATGGCTGTAAATATTTTCTTAAGTATAATTTTATTAAGTTCCTTTAAGTACTTTTTAATATATTTTTAAATCTGTGTCCGTATGCTCTCATGTGCAGAAAGTTCTTCGCAACAACTCATGTAGCTGCTAGAACATTTATTTCTTTTAAAAGGAAAGTATTGAAAGGTAGATTTTCAATAGCCAGCTCTCACTACTTTAAGAAAACATTATTTTTTCTAACAAACCCTTTTTTCCCCTACAAAGCAAAATTCTGTCCACTAATGCCAAAATTACGCAAATACTTCATAGGGATCAAATTAATTTTTGCTTCACATTTCCCTGCAGCACTAGAACCAAACAAGGCACAATTTTATACATCACTGCCTTCTTAAAGTGGCATTTTAAAATGTTAGCACTATTATGATTAGATGTGAAGATGTGGACTAAGGGCATGGTCTCCTCTGAATGCCCCCAAGTCTCACATTAAACTTTAAGCCATAACTGGAAGTTGGGCAAATATTCTCCTACTTGGGACTTAATAATACTTAATACCCATTTATAACATGATGAGTCTATCATATGGTGTGATTTGTCTCTAAACTGCCATTAAGCTTCACAATTGCAAGTCATCTTGTTAGCCTCTGCTCTAACTATTCACCGTCGTCCTTCTGGTACCTTTATAAAGCAAAATCCCAAGTTACTCTTTGCAGAAACTTCTCCAAAGCCACTACCTGTAAAGTCTCCAGAGTCTAATTTGCTAATATTAAGACACCCTAATGAGATGGAATCTAAAATAATCACCCACTGGCTTGAGAATACCTGGTACTGTTCTAATTATATTTTTATTGATTTTTATGTAGCCATGCAGAGTTTGAGCTTATTAAAAGCACAGCAGGGATATTATATAAGACCATTTGTTGTTTTTCATAGGACCCAAGAATTACTAATCTCAAATAAAAATGAATGACCAGTTGGGAAGCCTCTAGTATTTTTTCAGGAAATTTATAAACAGGACAGTTTGTACACTCTTGCAATTAGTAATAGTAATAAAAGTAGTTCTGAATAGTAATAAAAAGCATTCCAAATAGTAATAGAAGTTTCCTATCATTTTGCCCTAAGATTTATATTTAACTTACATCAATAAATTGACAGTGCATTTTTTATTGCATAAAGATATTCATTTCACCCTACTTTGACCTAGAAGGCTTACCAATGAATAATATTTCAAGAACTTCTACAGTATACTATGAAATAAACTGACTGTATTAGGCCCATTAAGTCACTACCCTTCAAAAACTTTCAATCTGGAGTGTTAAGTTGAGAAATTTAATCAAATAACATCAATGTATTCAACTTTGAATCCTTGGCATTTAGAAGTGATTGAAATGTGAAGGACTGAATGAATGAAAGGAAGGAAGGGGAGATGGTCAGGAGAGAACAGATATGACTTCAGTTTGAGAAACGTTGGATTTGAGATATTCAAGTGGAGGTATCCAGCAGATTGTTGGAAATATGGGATGGCTGAGGATGTAAATTTACAGGTGGTAGCTATAGATAGAAGAGTAGGTACTATAGACATGGATGAATTGGCAAGGGGGAAAATCAAGAGACAGAGAAATATCAAGAGAAACAGAGGAAGTGAGATCCAACCTCATATAATGCCTATGTTCAGGAACTAAGGATGGAGAGCTAAGAGTAAAACATATAGAAAAGACAAAACCAAAGAATAAGAGATTCATTTTTTAAAGTACCCTGCATCCCATTTAGAACAAATATCCCTTCACTAGAAACATTTTCTTTCTGTCTGTATTTTATTTTTGCACGGGCTGATACAACAGAAGGCAAAATCAGGAAGCAAATAGAGAACAAATGTCCCTTCTTCCTGGAAGTTGCCATAAACGGAAACGTAAAACAAATCTCCCTTCCTCTATACCACAATTAACATTCTATCCTGCCCCTCCCCACTCACCATGTATGACCATGGGCAAGCACACAGCCACAAACCACTTACCTGGATGCCTATCAGGATGCCTTTCTGGGGTATCTTAAATCCTGTGGAAAGCATTGCCTTTAGGAAGGCTGTATGAATACCTTCACCAAAGCAAGCCACCTGTTTAGAAATAAATAAAAAATTAAAATAGAGGATGCAAAGAATAGTCAACCACTCCTACCAAAAATTAAAATTAAAATACACACACACACACACACACACACACACATGCACGCACAAATGGAAAGTACTTTACTCATAGACTCCTTCTGTAGATTTTATTAATGTTGCCCAAAGCCTGTGCAATCTGAATCCAGGGATTAAAAGGCTGGCCAGGGCAGATGTATCTTATGTTTTTAATTAAGCATAATGAATGAATAAGCAATTCTTTTTCTATCCAACAACACTCAATGGAGCAACATAACTGGATTCTACTGAGAGTTATTTGGATACAAATCACAGCTTCTGGTCCATAATGTGGTAAGTTTCCGAATGTTAATATGACTTACTGTTTAAATAACAGTATGTGTCATATATACTATGCAGCCGTGCATGAATTTACCGGTCAGTAGCAGAAATGCGTAACTGCTGAATTGGTTTGGAGCCATTTCATAGAGCTTATGAGACAGCCTTCTGAGAAATTTAATAACTCCATGAAAACCTCAAAGGAACCTGTTTTTTAAAAACATCATTTTCATAAAGTGAAACAAAATATCCTGCTACTAGTCCTGAATACCACAGCCATATGGGGAAAAAACAATTCCAAACAAACTAACATATATAGTAATGTTAGAGTATACAGAAGTTCCATTTAGGTTTACGGTAATTGTGCTACAATATAACTACAAGTCAAATAGCCAACATAATTATAGAACAAGTGGTATATTTGAACCTGATAGGAGTCAATTCTGCCATGTATATCATCATTTGGCACAGGTACAGAACCACCATTAGAGTAAATACAGGGCAATTAGGCAGGAGAAGGAAATAAAGAGTATTCAGTTAGGAAAAGAGGAAGTCAAATTGTCCCTGTTTGCAGACGACATGATTGTATATCTAGAAAACCCCACTGTCTCAGCCCAAAATCTCCTTAAGCTGATAAGCAACTTCAGCAAAGTCTCAGGATACAAAATCAATGTACAAAAATCACAAGCATTCTTATACAGCAATAACAGACAAACAGAGAGCCAAATCATGAGGGAACTCCCATTCACAATTGCTTCAAAGAGAATAAAATACTTAGGAATCCAACTTACAAGGGACATGAAGGACCTCTTCAAGGAGAACTACAAACCACAGCTCAATGAAATAAAAGAGGATACAAGCAAATGGAAGAACATTCCATGCTCATGGGTAGGAAGAATCAATATTGTGAAAATGGCCATACTGCCCAAGGTAATTTATAGATTCAATGCCATCCCCATCAAGCTACCAGTGATTTTCTTCACAGAATTGGAAAAAACTACTTTAAAGTTCATATGGAACCAAAAAAGAGCCCGCATTGCCAAGTCAATCCTAAGTCAAAAGAACAAAGCTGGAGGCATCACCCTACCTGACTTCAAACTACACTATAAGACTACAGTAACCAAAACAGCGTGGTACTGGTACCAAAACAGAGATATAGATCAATAGAACGGAACAGAGCCCTCAGAAATAACGCCGCATATCTACAACTATCTGATCTTTGACAAACCTGAGAAAAACAAGCAATGGGGAAAGGATTCCCTATTTAATAAATGGTGCTGGGAAAACTGGCTAACCATACGTAGAAAGCTGCAACTGGATCCCTTCCTTACACCTTATACAAAAATTAATTCAAGATGGATTAAAGACTTAAACGTTAGACCTAAAACCATAAAAACCCTAGAAGAAAACCTAGGCATTACCATTCAGGACATAGGCATGGGCAAGGACTTCATGTCCAAAACACCAAAAGCAATGGCAACAAAAGCCAAAATTGACAAATGGGATCTAATTAAACTAAAGAGCTTCTGCACAGCAAAAGAAACTACCATCAGAGTGAACAGGCAACCTACAAAATGGGAGAAAATTTTCACAACCTACTCATCTGACAAAGGGCTAATATCCAGAATCTACAATGAACTCAAACAAATTTACAAGAAAAAAACAAACAACCCCATCAAAAAGTGAGCAAAGGATATGAACAGACACTTCTCAAAAGAAGACATTTATGCAGCCAAAAGACACATGAAAAAATGCTCATCATCACTGGCCATCAGAGAAATGCAAATCTAAACCACAATGAGATACCATCTCACACCAGTTAGAATGGCAATCATTAAAAAGTCAGGAAACAACAGGTGCTGGAGAGGATGTGGAGAAATAGGAACACTTTGACACTGTTGGTGGGACTGTAAACTAGTTCAACCATTGTGGAAGTCAGTGTGGCCATTCCTCAGGGATCTAGAACTAGAAATACCATTTGACCCAGCCATCCCATTACTGGGTATATACCCAAAGGACTATAAATCATGCTGCTATAAAGACACATGCACACGTATGTTTATTACGGCACTATTCACAATAGCAAAGACTTGGAACCAACCCAAATGTCCAACAATGATAGACTGGATTAAGAAAATGTGGCACATATATACCATGGAATACTATGCAGCCATAAAAAATGATGAGTTCATGTCCTTTGTAGGGACATGGATGATATTGGAAATCGTCATTCTCAGTAAACTATTGCAAGGACAAAAAACCAAACACCGCATGTTCTCACTCATAGGTGGGAATTGAACAATGGGAACACATGGACACAGGAAGGGGAATATCACACTCTGGGGACTGTTGTGGAGTGGGGGGAGGGGGGAGGGATAGCATTAGGAGATATACCTAATGCTAAATGATGAGTTAATGGCTGCAGCACACCAGCATGGCACATGTATACATATGTAACTAACCTGCACATTGTGCACATGTACCCTAAAACTTAAAGTATAATAATAATAAAAAAGAAAAAAAAGAAAAAAAAAACCACTGATGGCTAAATTCATTTCTTAAGCAAATTACAATTTCTGTGCAAGAAAAGTTCTTATGACTATAACCTTCAGCTGGTCACCAGTACATGTGGTTGCTGCTTTTCTCTCCACAGTGAACATTTTACTCAGTCAAGTACTGGGCAACTAACTTAAATAAGGTCAACCTAAGTTAATGAGTCTCAAATTCTATTGAAAAGAATTGGGTAATCCCATCATAGTGCAGATGCAACAACACAGACGAGGTTTTAAAAATTTTCTACAGAACCATAGAAAGTAGTTAAATGTGCCATTAAAGATTAGGACTAATATCCCCACTTTACCACTAGGAACATAAAATGCCCCTTACTTATATCAGTAGCTGAATGTTTATTTAATCCTACAACAAGCCATTTGGACACTGAAAATGTCTCTTTGAAGCATAATTAAGATTTTACTAAGCTAGAATTCTGATGTCAGTAATAAAACAGACCTCGTAATATTATACTGTATGACACTTGGAATTAACGACTCTTTCAAATAATGGAAGAAAAATTCTCTTTATACTTGAGAAACAGATATAACAAAGGGGAGCTGAATTTCTCATTCTTTCTTATTTTTATATTTCAATAACTCCCATAACATATGTATGGATGCAGAATGAACATAACCACTGAAAACAAATTTGCCATGCTAAAGAAAACAGCATGGGCCGGCTGCGGTGGCTCATGTCTGTAGCGGGCGGATCACCTGAGGTCAGGAGTTCGAGACCAGCCTGACCCACATGGAGAAACGCCATCTCTACTAAAAATACAAAATTAGCCGGGCGTGGTGGTGCATGCTTGTAATCCCAGCTACTCAGGAGGTTGAGGCAGGAGAATCGCTTGAACCCAGGAAGTGGAGGCTGCAATGAGCTGAGATCATGCCGTTGCACTCCAGCCTGGGCAACAAGAGCGAGCAAAACTCCGTTTCAAAAAAAAAAGGAAGAAAGAAAAATAAAACAGTATGAAGGAAAATAGATCTCTCTCTGATCTGAACCCTGGGCCATCTAAAATCAGCATTACTAGTAGTAGCGACCATGGGATCAAGAAGAACCTGAAGACTGTCTCCTTAAACCGACTGGAGATGAAACGTACATAGTGCCTTCATTTAAAAGTAAGGTTTTTTTTGCCCTTAAATTAAAAGAAGCAACAAAGAGGCAAAGAGTCCCCTTTCTAAGAGTCCAAATACAAACAGGACAGCCATTTATTCCTGACTGCCTGCCTTCTTGTCTCACTTGGCTTCTCATCACAGATCTTGCTTGTAACCAGGCAACCATATAAAACATCACGTACTTTGTTGCAATTAAGTATTTTATCCTTTTAGGTTTTCCTTAATACCAAGAGGAAACAATGATGGCTCACAGTCTGATATTGCCACTCGGATATGCACTGATGAGAATCTGAAGTTTGTATCTAGTAAGTCTGTCAAGGGCTAGGTGATTCATAAAATGTCCTGACACTGACATGGAGAGAACTTTCTAGAATCTGACAGCTCTTTACAAGAAACACATTTCACAATCCTAAAGAAACCTTCAGCTGACACAGCCCCAACACAAGTGAAGAGGGACATCCAGTGGCCGATTCCATTATAGTTTTTAGATAATCCCCAGGAGGTTAAAAGTAGTCCTAAAATTTTGCATGTATCTGCAGATTCCACAATGTTTAGGTCTATGATCTTTATAATGCTGTCATTCTCCATATTACTAGTAAAAATCAAATGATCTAATTTCATGGCAGCAAGGCAGGGAATGAGGTGTTGTTACAGAGAGACCCGAGAACCTTTAAATAAAAAGTAAGACACAGAAGATATTTACTTGGATGTCTAGATAAATACCTGGAAGATGTTCTCATGTGAAAATGAATTAGTAACACATGTATTATATTCCCATGTTAAAATATAAATAAGAATTTAGACCCTATTCAAAATAGAAGTAAAATATTTTTTAAATTCAAAATTCATAAGCTCTTTGAGTCTTACTCTGATAGCAGATGTTTTTATTCCCTTTATTTTACTGTATTCAAATCATAAAACCATAGATTTCAAAGTAGATTTAATGAAAGCTTCCATGGATTATTAACTAGTTACCTCTCCAGTGGAAGCCATCTCACATCTCAGAATGGGGTCAGCATCCCTCAACCGGGGCCAGGAAAACATGGGAGCCTGTTGGAAAAAAAAAAAACAGGGAGAAAAATTATGTGAGGGAAAAGTAGAAAATGAATAAGAGAGGATAAATATATTAGCAAATCATCTCTCACAGAGTTCACTTAGGCTACAGTAGACATGTAAAAAATCTCTTGGGTCCAAGCATCCGACTTGAAAGATGGCTTTAAAACTCCATTCCAAGAATTTCTTGAGCTCTTGGCCAAAACTTTAGGTTAAATAATCACAAATTAATTCTGTAAATAGGGCGCCTGAGACCAGTCTGGACCAGTGTTTCTAATCTGGCCCATGCATATTCCTATTGGAATGATTTCAAAGTCCACTGGGCATTGGTCTCTCCAGACAGAGTTCAAACACATTTTTTTCTCTTTGATAGGCTTTGGAAACATTCCTCTTCTTGTTCTGATCATTTGAACTTGCAACAAGCCACCTTGCCAGAAATGGCTGTCTGTAAGCCAGTTTCTGAGGCATTAAACTGTTGTTGACACCTCTTAAAAGCTTTGAAAAACATTCTGCTTGGAAACACCTTTGTGCAGAACTTTCATATGAACTAGAGTATAGGAGTGCCTCCTTTTCATTTATTTTACTGATGCAATTCATGAAAAACTAAGTTCTTGTTTCTCGCTATGTGTCCACTTATCTGGTACATGGAGGAATTTTATCAATTGCTCCATTGATTCTGGCACCCATTCTAAATTATGATGGGAATTCTAGCTTGGGAGTCATTTCACTGGATCATCTTGGTCAAGTTACATATTTCTGCATTTCAGCTTCCCTATTTCCCCATCTGTTGATACCAATTAGCCTCACTAGGGCTATTAAGATTGACAATTACTAAGTAATTTGAAAAAAACTAAGATTTATATACAAAGCTAACTAGGGAATGAGTAAGCTAGAAGATACAGTGCATTTAAAAAATGCATATCTACCTGTAATCCCAGCACTTTGGGAGGCCGAGGCAGGTGGATCACCTGAGGTCAGGAGTTTAAGACCAACTTTGCCAACATGGCAAAACCCCATCTCTACTAAAAATGCAAAAATTAGCTGGGCGTGGTGGCATGTGCTTATAATCCCAGCTACCTGGGGGCTACTTGGGGGGCTGAGGGGGAGAATTGCTTGAACCCGGAAGGCAGAGGTTGCAGTGAGCTGAGATCATGGCACTGCACTCCAGCCAGGGTGACAGAGCAAGACTCCGTCTCAAAAAAAAAAAAAAAAAAAAGCATATCTATCCATCAATATTATTTTTAGTTAAAAATTCATATATCAATTTACTAAAAGAAATAAGCATACTCCTATAACTATGAATAAAGAAACATGAACTTAAAATCCATATATAGAATCTCCAGTGGAAAAAAATATTTTTCAGTGGCTACTAATCGTTGGTCTCAAAAAAAATTTCTCTATTTTTCTACTAAAAGATTTAACAATATATGTTTGTCACAGTCTCCATGAATAAAATGCCACCTCTCCTCCCAACATAAAAAGTCACATTCCATCTCAATGCACTATAAAATTCAAGGCATCCTACATTATCAGCTTAAACAAGATTTTTAATTCACAACTTCAACTTAAAGTTCCCATCATAAAAGTCAAAAGTCCAAGTCTGAGCTGTAACACAATTATGGTTGAAGTCACTAGTACATATAGGAACGGAAACCTTTTGAAAACATCAGAAATTTGTCAATTTTACATAAATATATCAATATTAATGTTACATAAATATATTAATTTCATTGTGCTCTTCATCTACGTAATTCAAATACGTTTATATATCACTAATCCTCATGCCTGTCCAGCCAAGTAGTTAAAGGTCATAATTCTGTGCACCATCATACTGATGCAGCTAGGAGATCACAATGGCTTTATTATTAAGGTATTATTTAAAATATACATATGTATTGGAAATTAGTGAACAAACTTTAAATTTTCCTGGTCACTCTTTATAAAGGTGTCATCAATTTCAACAACCGCACAGCACCATATACAGCAACAGCTGTCTCAATTTTTCAAATGGAAAAATCATGCCACTGAAGAAAATATATACTAAGCAAAGGTGGTCAATGTGGTAGGAATTTAATCAACCCCACAGGCTAACCCTTTTTACAAAAGTCATGTAAGAGTTGGCACAATTCAAGCTTTATCCTAACAAGGTGTGTCCTGGATTTCTATTTACCAGCTAAACTAGCACCATCATGTGTCAGCTGCACAAAAAGCTTATAATTCACTCAGCTAATTGATTTTGAAGTTATACAATTCTAGATGGTTTTAAAAATTTTTTTGAAATGTACAACAGTTCACATAAAGTTGCCTATAGTACAACTGCAGTACATTATTGAAAGGAAATGTAAATCCCTAGTCCAACCCTTTAGTTAGAAGGTTTTAAAAGTAACAAGATTTTTGATGACAAATTGTTCTTTTAATTTCACTAGAACTCATAAAATGACTAATAAATTTTTGAAAATGTTACCTTAATTGCAACATAGTCAGCAGGAATTATGGGATGGTCCAATGTTGGAAGATGTTTCTCATCAACATTCTCTCCAATCATCACCTTGGTGGCCACATCAATGAAGTCAACCCCAAGAGTCTTGGAAACAAAGGGGAAGGATCGAGAAGCTCTCAAGTTACACTCAATCACCTGAAGAGATAAAATTCAAAATGAGAAAGAGGACATTGAGAGCCAGTAACAACAATATTAATATTCTCTCTACCACTGGTTTCCAGCTGTTATTAACTGGGGACCAGCTCTTGTTTTGCTAATCTTGTCTCTTTTCTCCTTACTGCTTGGATTTTTCCTGATACTTTCAGTCAGTATCTTTGAACTCTAACTTTCTTTCATGCCTTTTTCCAAATTGCATTCCCATGCACTGCTGACAGGTTTAGTTTAATGCAGAGCTCAAATAATGCCATACCCCTCCTGAAAACCTTCACTGGATGTCCACTGGCTTCAGATTAAAGTCTAGTCCCTGAAGGCCTTCTGTCCTCTTGCTTCATTGGAGACCTCACTGTCTTTATCTTATACTACCCTCCTGGCCTCAATCTTACTTTCCCAGTTCACCCATTTTACTCAGTAAAATCATCTCACTCAACTGAACTATTTACTCTCTCCAAATATGCTCTTTTCTCACCTTTACAGATGATGTTCTATCTATGTGTAATAATCTCTCTACCATCGTTAACTTGTCAAAATTCCAACCGTTTTGCGAGATCCAGTTCACAATACAAAATCTACCTTGAAGTCTTTTATGATCTACCCCTAACCAAGCATAGGATGCTCAAATACATGCTCATGCACACACACTGGCAAATACGTTCTCTCTGCTCTATAATTCCAATACCATTTTATTTGTACATCCCCTCTAGCAACTGTGATACTCTACTTTATAGTTTTCTACAAATTTACCTTCTTCCCAACCTTCACTAAATTACAGTATTTTTTGAGAGCAGAGGCTTGCTTAATACATTTTTGCAGCCACCAAATGACTGCGAGTAGGAGGTAAATCAATGCTGGTTACTACTATGGTCTGGATGTGGTTTGTCCCCATCAAAACTCATGTTGAAATTTGGTCCCCAGTGTGGCCATGATGGAAGCTGGAGACTAGTGGGAGGTGTTTGGGTCCGAGGGGTGGATTTTTCATGAATAAATTAATGCTATCCTGTTGGGGTAGCATCCTTCACCTAAATTAAAAAGGATAATCAGAGTCTGGTAGGAGTAAATTAATTCCCACAACAGTGGGCTGTTAAAAAGTCTGGTTTCTTCAGTTTCTCTCCCCTACTTTCTCTCTCACCATCTGATTCCTCTGCACCTGCCCACTCCCTTGCCACTCTCCACCATGAATGGAAGCAGCCTGAGACCCTTACCAGATTCAGCTTTCCAATCTTAGACTATCTAGCCACCAGAATCATAAGCCAAGTAAACCCCTTTTCTCTACAAGTTACCCAGACTCAAGTATTCTGTTATAGCAACACAAAACAGACTAAGGCAGTTACCGATTAGTTAAACTAAGTAGACTAAATTAATTAGGACTAATCTAGTTCATTTATCATTTTTGCAAATGGTATCGTCTCTGGGTAAGGAGTAAAGCAGAATTTCAGTACACAGAATTTATGACTACTCTACACATTCCATTTATTTATGATAGTCTGTCTCACCGTATCCATCTATACTATACTGTAGGTGGCATACAGTGACCTTCCCAGTGGATCAGTGTGCTTTACAAAGCTGTAACTGACTTATCAGTGCCACCAATAGCCTGGGCCTTCAAATAAGGTAGACATTATATGCTATGCATCATTCCACACTCAGACACAAACAGATCCAGGGGTCTCAGTTGCTCTTTGTCTGGTGTTCACAGAGAAGATTACCAGAGAGATGCAAACCAACATGACGTAACACAGTGGTGGTGTCCTCTCAGGCACCTTGGCATTTCTTACCAAGACATCATTTCCTTTGACAAGAAATTGGACGTTGAATGGACCAGAGATGGCAAAAGCCTTTGCAATCTTCCGGGTAGCATCCTTCACCTGAATTAAAAAGCATAATCGTATAGTGTGCTAAAGAGCATATCTTAGTTTTTGAAAACTTTCTAAAAGGCACAGTACCTTAAATTTGGATGTCTTTAATTTCTCTTCACAGACAGCTATATATCTACATTAATAATTATAATGGAGGGCACTATTAGGTTTCTATTAACAAAATAATATGCAATAAATACACACAAAATAATAGGAAAAGAACAAATAATTGTACACGATTATCTCTCTGCCAAATTCCCCTATCTACCTACAATTATATAACCTGGTTTTACATTGAGGGTTAAATGAAATCCTTTCAGTCTAGTTGCCTTAGCACCAGAAACTGCAGTCCAACCTCTATATCAATGTAATGACCTACCTGCTGGGAGGTACAGGCCCTGAAATTACATGGTACTGCAAAGAAACCAGAGAGATTTCTTTTGTGTTGCTTTTCTGTTGCCCTGGACTCTACAAGGTTAGATATTATGTTCAGAAGGAAACAGTGTTTCCCTGCAGGGAAGCCCTGCATGTCACATACAGGAATCCCTGTATTCAACCAGAGCCAGAATGTCCCTATACCAAGAGGGGGCATTGATTACAAAGAGCAAGAGCTCCTCACTCATTATGCTCACAAGAGTGGTTCAGCAATGTAATTGGGTATAAAACGAAGTAGAGTCTATGACACATTGAGCTCTGAGAGATTTGGAAAATCCTGAGTTCTGAGGATCATTTATCCTGACATGAGAAACTGAAGTACATTTGAGATCCAAGGACTTTTTTCTTTAATGCTTCTGCTATTACAAAGTATCCTGCTACCTCTACCTTCTAGAACAAAGACCTTCAGAATCCAGCCCAATGTACAACCAGAGAGACAGGTCTGCCTGAATTCTGATGGCAGGGTCACTGGAAAAGCTCACTAAAAAGAGCTGAGCCTGAGCCTGATCTAATATACCTAAAGACTAATGGGACCTCCTCAAAGCTTATTTAAGATGATAGGTTCGGCTGGGCGCGGTGGCTCACGCCTGCAATCCCAGCACTTTGGGAGGCCGAGGCGGGCGGATCACGACGTCAGGATCGAGACCATCCTGGCTAACATGGTGAAACCCCGTCTCTACTAAAAATACAAAACATTAGCTGGGCGCAGTGGCGGGTGCCTGTAGTCCCAGCTACTCGGGAGGCTGAGGCAGGAGAATGGCGTGAACCCGGAAGGCGGAGCTTGCAGTCAGCCGAGATCGCGCCACTGCAGTCCCACCCGGGTGAAAGAGCGAGACTCCGTCTCCAAAAAAAAAAAAAAAAAGATGATAGGTTCTAAATGTACACCTAGCAGTGCATATTGAGTACTAAGGCAGAGTCATTATTTTTGTTAAGTTCTTTATACGGCTGGCTCTCGGAGCTCAAAAGAGATATCAAAAAGTGCTGTTTGGAGGTGAAGTCAAGGGTGAGAAGGGAAAGCATAGATTCCAGAAAGTTCTCAAGTGACTGGTCCACACCTGTTTCACCACTCCTAACTGAGAAGCATTGCTTCAGATGCCGCTCACCTGTGTGTGGCCCTGAAACATTAGAATCCCCAGGAGTAGCAGTTCTCTAACTGCCATCCCCAGACTAGCAGCAATAGCATCACCTTAGGACTTGTGAAAAACGCAAATTCTGGAGCCCGATCCAGAAATATGAAATCAGAAACTGGGGGATGGAGTCCAGCAATGTGTTTAACAAGCTCTCCAGGTGTCTGTGATGCACATTCAAGTTTGAGAACCCCTGTACTCGCATACAACCAAAGGGGCTCAAAAGGACAGTGAAGAAAATTGTTATCTTTAGAATACCCAGGTGACTCAGAGCAAGGAAGTTAGCCTCATCATTAAATTTAACCTGCAGCATATCTTACATTGCTACCTAGCTTTAAAAAAAAAAAAAAAACCTTAGGTGTTTTTTTCTGAGTGTTGCCTTTTCCCTTCCACTTTTATTTATAAATGATGACCTTTTCAATGGCCCCTTGGCTGATGGTTTGTGTGGGCAGCATCAGAGTGGCATCTCCCGAGTGGACACCTGCATCTTCAACATGTTCAGAGATGGCATGAGAGATAACCTGGCCAAAAAAAAAAAAAAAGGATTTTAGAAAAAGTTTTCAGGTACTTCCTTCAAGGAAGCTACTCCCTCATCCTCCCCTTTGGTCCTAACAGATGCACTGAGCACTAAGTAGTTCCCTTGCTACATTCCTGATGAGAGCAGTAGAAAATGCTGCCTCTCTGTGCAGTAACAGATTTCCTGTAGAGGCAGCTAAGAGTGGCTGAGAGCCTACCTCCCTCATCCACTGATTAGCATGGGTATAAGTAATAGGAAAAGAGTAAAACTAAACCAATTCATATTGACTTTTAAGAACAGGATAGGAAGCTAAAGCATTTGAAAAGCACTTAAAATATCTTTATCTTTTAGGCACTGGGAAAGAAAAGAAGGTGGGAGAGCTCAATATCTATCTAGGTAAATGGTATAACTTAGGTGGACCAAAAATAAGTCTCAAAGATCTCATCAAGAGATCATTAAATGGAAGTTTGAAAGAGGAAGGAGTCGAAAGGAAAAATATTCTAGTCCTTTTTTAGAAGTAAGGAAATAAAAGTAATGTAATAATAAATAACCCAGGTTCAGGTGACTGGTATGTGACTGAGTTAGGATTTTGAATATTATCTGTCAGATTCCAAAGTCTGTGGTCTCAATCACTATAACCTATATGTTAATAATATGTGTGTCCTTGGGAAATGATGCAGCTGAGAGTAAGGGAGAATAATTGGGTAGGTATAAAAGACTTAAATAAATTACATAAGAGATTTGCTTATCAGATTTAGCAACGTCTTAAAACAGTGACATTTGAGTTTCCATCCTTCTGTTCTGTGACCTGGGCAAAGTGCTTTACTTACTTAGTCTTGGTTTCTGATAAGATAAGAATAACAATGGTACCTGCTCATAGAATGTTTGTAAGGATAAAACAGACCACATATAAGTAAGAGCTCATTTTTTACAAGAGCTTATTTATAAAATAATAAGAGCTCATTTTTTGGTGAAGTGTCTGGAAAAGGGGAGGCATTCACCCCACTGAGCTCAGGCACCCCACCCCACTGAGCTCAGCAACCTGCAGTTCTATGTCCATTTCTTAACATGGCAATTTAAAAACTATGTGAATAACCTGGAACATTTCCAAAAGAGGGAGTACAGGACGATGTGCAATAGTTGATATCTGAGAAAACCTTAGGGAAAGCACATATGCTGGCAAACCTAGAGCCAAATAAAGCCAACAAACCAGCATTATTTTACCAGTACAGTATTTGAAAAAGTACAAATGTCTCTAGGCCAGTCTTACATTCTCCACTTCCATATATAGGTATCACGTTCCTCTTATTTTATATCTCAACCTTCAA
Organism: Homo sapiens; assembly: GCF_000001405.40. Taxonomy (NCBI): domain Eukaryota; kingdom Metazoa; phylum Chordata; class Mammalia; order Primates; family Hominidae; genus Homo; species Homo sapiens. Next base: position 210,655,200 of record NC_000002.12, on the reverse strand, counting down.
ATACTTAAGATGTTGAAAAGGAAATAGATTAAGTTTTTGCTCTGAAACTCAGAAAATCAGGGATAAGACTTCCAAGGAAACAGACCTTAGTTCAAGATAAAGAATACCTGAGATGTCAAAAAAAAGTGACCACAATATATAATCTTACAATGTGTTGAGCTTTGTATCACCAAAGTGTTTAAAAGAAAACAGATGACCACCTTCCAGGGATGCTGTAAAGAAAATATCTGACTTGGAGGGTGGAGGGCTGGAATAAATTATCTCTAAAGGTGTTTCAACTCAAGATTATGTGATTCTGTTGTAAGTAGATACCATTACCATTTTTATTAACAAGATCTACTCTGAAATGCTAATCTGGAAGGAAAAAGAGAAAAAGATTTAACATCTTCAGTAGTGTTTTGAAGTATTTGCAAAGCAGAAGATGAATGCTAAGTTTGTATTTTTCCTTAAAGCAAGTAAAATGGCATAGACTCCCTACAACATAACTTACTACATTTTAAGAGAAGTCACAAATGCATTATTAATACAACTATAAAACTAAAGTAAAATATTCTTCACATTTTCATTTCTCCTTGAAGTTGGAGGTATTCATTGTATTAGAAATACAAGATGTGATATGGTAAGCCAATTTAATATTATTATCCTTATCCACTTTACTCTGTTTGACTTTGCCTTTATTAACCCAATAAAAAGGGAGGAGGATGGGAAATGAAGAAAGAAGAAAAACCAGGATTCGATTGGGAACTTCAGAAAGAAAAGTATTAGATGTTTTCATAATAGCCATTGAAACATAAAAGGAAAGACACAGACAAAAGAAAATGAGAGAGAAAATCTATTCAAAAGGAATGATGAGTACAGGATGATAATTACTTTTGAATATCATCAGAGAAATTCTAACAGTATGAAACATAGGAAATATGATACCCATGACACATCAACTGAATTGTCAGAGAATTTGATTTTTTTTACAGCTTCTCCACTATTACTGGAGACCTGTTTTATAGATATTATGAATTCTAACCTGTCAATATTTCAAAATTGTTAAAGAAAAAAATGATGAGAAGGCAGGAATGAAGGAGATGAGAATAAAGCACTTACCCTTCCATCTTTGCCAACAGCGTCCATTTCTACTTCTCGGGCCCCTTCAACAAATTTTGTCAGCACCACTGGGTGCTCCTGTCACGAAGGAAAACAGAGGAGCCGAACATTTAGCTAACGCTATGTATATAGTGTCAATAAGCCATGTACTTTAAGTATTATAAGTATCAGGGCAATACTTGCAAAATACTCAAGGCTGAACATAACTACATAAACTCATTACCTAATCTGTGCTGTAAGAACAAGGTTGTTCTTTGCTTGTAGTGAGGCAGAGGGTCTTTCTCCAACTTTGAGTGCTCAGCAAACTGACCATGAGTTCTGAATCCTCAAGTATAGGCATCCAGGTCAATTAGAGAAAAGAGGGGACTAAGGAGGAAGCAGAATATGGCTTCTTTCTCTGCTGTCAGAATCATGAATATTTCTCTACTTTATAATGACATATTATTATTGGTTCAGAATATTTCTTTCTTTCTACCCTTATCTTTTCTAAGCACTACAACTCCCTAAATCATATTTCTCTTTGAGAATTGTGGGAGAACTCAGAATGAGAGTGACATTTTCTTTTGGTCTTATTGGGCCAAAGATGAAATCCTTTACCTCGAGTTGATTTGTCTTATGCCACTTCTAGAGTATGACATTTGTAACTGTAAAATCAAGTATTTTTATTTATTAATCTTCAAAAGTCCTTCCTTTCTTGGCTGTTTCAGACACTTCTCATCTTGAAGTGCTTCCCACACTCATTTCCTCCATGTCAGGGTCGGGATGCCCTCCACAACATAATCCCCACTTGCTTTTCTCCATACTAAATGAAGAGGTTGAGGGAAGATCTCCAGGGTTTAGATATCTTCTCCTCTGTACCATAGGCTAAAACAACCTGGGCCACTGTCTTTTTACCAGGCCCTGCATTCACTTGCTTCCATGTGTCTCTTCCCCACGTGTATTCTATCTTTTCTCCTCAGCTTCATCTTTCAAATCTCAACTCACCCTTCAAGGCCTAGGTCATATGCTATCTCCTCCCTGAATCCTTCTCTGAATATCCCTTTTGCCTCTGAACACAAACTCCTTCTGACCACTATCATGAAATGCAGCATTATACAAGGCTGGCCTTCTGAAAAACACTTTCTTCCTTTGGTATCTGTAAACTACATTTCTGTGCTTCTTTCTTCAGCTCATTCGTGGTTCTTTCTTCTCCTCTCTGCCTTAAATGCCAGTATTCCTCCAGTGTCTGTCTTAGCTGTTCCTTTTCTTCTATACTCTCTCCCTCAGTGATTGCTTTCATTCTCAAATCTTCCATTAAAGTGATATGCTATTCATTTCAAAATCTATATTTCCTTCTCTATCTCTAGCCATGATCTTGGTCCTCAATTCCAAACCTATTATAATAACCCTTGCCTTTAAATCATATCCACTTGGATTCCTCACAGGCAGTTCACATTCAAAAGGTTAAAAAATAAATATATAATTCCTCCCTCTATACTTTTCTCCTTCCTCAGTGTTCCCTATCTCAATAAATGGCATCACTGTCTACCCAGTTATCCAAGGCAGAAAACTCAGGAGTTATCCTTTATCCTCTTTCACCCTCCACCTCCATTCATTCACTAATTCTTTTCAATGCATGTTCTTACTATTTCTCTCCATCTTTAGTGTCATTACTCTAATCCGAGGCACTGTCATCTCTACCCTGAGCTATAGCAACAACTCACTCACCTCTTTCCATGAATTTGGTCTTGCCCCATAATTCACTCTGTGTACTACAGCACACTCATCTTTTTAAAATAAAAAATATGACTAAAATTCAAACTCATTATAATGACCAATAAAGTCTCCTTTATCTGGTCCCTGACTACTTCTGCACCATCATTAATAATCAGCATCATGTTTGATGTCCTAGCCATATAAGGAATGCTTTATCAGTTTTGAGAAACTCCCTACTCTTTCTCATCTTCAGACCTTCATAAATGCTGTTCCTTTCTTCCTCCTACTCCCACAATGTAAGCCATTTGCCCAGTTAATTCTGAATCAACCATCAGGTATCAATTTAAAAGTCCCTTCCTCAGGGACTGGAGCCCAAGACTTTCACACTCTCCCTCAACATCCTGTATTTTCTCTATTGCGATGTTCATTGCTCATCATATTTAATTGTAATTATTTGAAGTCTGTTGAGCCTAGCAAAAAGAAGTCCTATGTGACAGTAGAGACCATATCTTTCTTTTCACGATTACAATTCCTGATACTGAGAACAATGCCACCATATAACAGGTGCTATAAATAAATGAATACATACATAGATTACTGATTGATTGGGGCTGGTTTTACTCTAGAGTCATTGAATTCAGTATCCCAGATGCTGCTGTAGTTTGATAGGGAACATTGAACTGTAAAGTACTCAATCACAACATCTCTATTATTAAACTTTGGTCCCATATGGATTCTATCCATACGCTAAAGGAAAAATACTTTAAAAATATTGTACTGAGATCCTATAAGGAGTGTTCGAGGCAGACAAGAGGGGACACCTGCCTCATCACTCACATGAGACCAGCTGAGTACAGTAGCCAGCCTCTGAAAAGGGCCGCATGGCAGGACCCCTGGCCAGGAATAAAATAGAGAAGACAGTTGGTGTCTCACTCCATTAGTGAAAACTGGCCCACTGGAAAGATTCCCTTCTAAGCTATCTGATTTGCACACAAACATGAATTCAAAGTCTACCTGGTTTTCTTCTTTTACACTCTTTGCCTCTTCTCACTCTTTATTCTTATCTACTCTTACCACTCAAACATCCTTGGGGAGCAGCTATCATACACAGAAGAGCGATCCAGCGTCATGTGTGCAGAAACAGTCCACGCACTTTATTCCTCTTTGAAATGCTCCTGATTTCACTCTTCCTCCCTCCAAATTCCACTTGCCTAACATCAAACTCTTCTCTATGAATTGTTCCCCCTTAAAAAAAAAAGCCCCAACAAGCTTTTGAAAGCTTTTAAAAGGAAAACATTACTTTTATCCTCTACAATACAAGATCAATAACCCCACTGGGTAAATCTTAAATGGATCATGCTGAGGTAACACTGAAGGAGAAGGTAAAGGCTGGGGGGCAGTGGAGGAAGGTGGCTGAGTTGCCACAAAATAAGAAATGCTTGTATTAACTCACAAACTGAATGTGCCAACAGGAAAAAATAAAAAATAGTTGAGTGAGGGACTTACTATTAAAGTTGCATGTTTGACTAGGCAAAGTTCCCAGATGTGAAAATTAAAAATCAGGAAAGCTTTCACTTGTTAATGGTGAGCATGGTTGAGCAGCCCTTGAGACTGGGAATTCCAGAAATACCCTGACCAGCATCTAATTCATGAGAAAAACAAAAATCATTGTCCTTTTAGACTCCTGGAGTCTAAAATCTGTTTTGATAAAATATGCACAGGTATTCCTCTTTTTCCACCAACCTTAAAAGTCTAGTTATAATTTAATGCCTTCAAGGTTTCTCATTCTTTTAGGAGACTAGAGGGTAGAAGAGGAAAAAAGAAAACTCATTCTAACACATTGTGTGAAAAGAAAACATACAAAGTAAGGTTGCATTAAGAGATAAATGTCACTACATTTTATTAAGAGATAAATGTCACTACATGTTTATTAAGAGATAACAGTCACTACAAAGAAATTGGACACTACCTGAGAAACTCTAGTCGCCTCTTCTAGGAATTTTTTCATCTCATCCTCAGAGAATACCACATTCATAGCAGACCCACTGGAAAAGGAAGGGGAAAAAAAGCAGGTCAGGTTTATGCTAATACTAGACTTGACTGGTTCTCAGAACAGTTCCAGACAACCTATAGTTCCAGTCGGGGCTGAATAAGAAGGTGCCTCTTGCTAAATTGAGACTTTTCTCCATTTAATCACCAGGACAATCAACCAAAGTATAAAACTGACGAAGCTGAGGATGGAAGAAGGTAAAGTGTAGGGGGTCAGTAAACCTGTATTAATTCCCAAAGGGAATCCTGGTAGCTCTAGAAATTATACTTCTCCAAAGTTTGCCCTTTCTGATTTGCTACATTAACACTCTGCTGGTTCCAGGTAATTCTTAAGCCTTAACAGGATTCAGCCCAGAACCTGATTTCCCTAACCTGTTTCTTCAGAGTTCATTATCAACAGCTGATCTTAGCCTACTGCTCTGTTGTCAAAGCAGGTTATGCTACTCCCTCAACCAGATTGCAAATGAATCAATTTTTAAAGTAATATTTGCTAATACAATGTGCAGTATGTGAATAAAACCTTTTCAACTATATCCTTTCTTTTTAAATGCTTGAGAAAAAATGCTATCTGAAATCAATTTACTCTGAATTTTGACATTTGCAAAATGGGTTGGGAGGGTAGGAGAGGAGGAGTAACAGAAAGCAAAAATAAAAATAAGAAAAATATTACTTTGCTTTTAAACAGCAGCATTTACCTCTTTTACACTACTACAAATTTATCTTTTAATGTTAAAATGTATTTTTAATTGGCAAATAGTAATTGCATATATTTATGAGGTATTGTGTGATGTTTTGATCTATGTATACATTATAGAAAGTCAATCAAGTTATTTATATATCCATCACCTCACCAGTTTATCCTATTACAAATTTCTGCCTAAAGGGCTTTCAGTTGCTTCATTTGTTTAAGAGAGGAAGGCTAGAGCAATAATGCTTATCATTCAGAGTATGTGAAACTGGAACAAAGATATAGATTGCAAAAAAGGAAAAAGAAGTGTGATAGTCAAAGCTGTTTTATTTTCCATCCTTCCTTAAATGTGTGCATGTTTAAATTAGTTTACATTAACTCCTCAAACAGGTAGTATTATTAGACTATGGTTTACACAAAATGACATTTAAATAAAAAGATTTCCACCTCGTTTGAAATTTTTCATTTTCATCATTTTAAAGGAACCCATCTCAAATTCCATTTACACTTTCAAATTGTGCAAAGCAAATTGTGTTTCTTTTATTATCCCTTGTTTGGTGAAGTTGTTCCTTACATGTGGTAACATCTGAAGAAAGTAAGTGATAATTCACAACTTCTTCTTTTATGATAAAACTTTGTTTTAAAGTTTAATATAAAAGATCCTCACTGTTCCTGTTCCTCACCCTTATAATTTATCTATTAAACAATCGGATCTCAAAAACTGAAAATTTTAAAACAAAGGCACTATCAGAAGGTGCTGACAATAGTCAAAGATAAGCTGTCATTTCTGGGTATCAGAAAACACGCTGGCGAGAGATACCTCAATTTGTGTGTCTTTTTTAAATTGTCCTGTTCTTTAATATAAAGCTACCCTCTCTGTTTGGTAAGGAGATGCCTTACACTACACTTCTAGATGAAGAACTGTAGTCTTCCTATGGCCACTCCCTGAAGGGAAAGCATTAAACTAGAAGACCACACATTGGTCCTTAAACTGGCTGTGATGGTTTGGAAATTGTTAATGGATTTATAAATTACTACATATAGAACCCTAGTGCTATTAGCATACAGCATGCATTTCTGTATCTCCCAATTTTTGAATCATTGTTTTGGAAAACAATATACAGTGTTACCTCAAAACATAGGAAGGCCTCAACAAGCAGGGGTAGTCCACAGACTTTGCAAATTCCAGTGCTTCATTCTAATTAATAGAAACAACAATAAAAATGTATGAGTAGTTTAAAATATGCAATAAAATTACAGAATGTATCATTAGCTCGAGTGGTAGCCCAGCTTCTTTATTCTCTAAAGGCACCATTAAATGTAAATTGGACACTGAAATACATAAAATTCCTAGCTTCTGATTCTAAATATCAAATCTTGTTCAAAACTGGTTTGAAATTATTTTCATTGTCTGAATCTTAATGAGAATACTGCTATCAACTCATAATCAGCATTAACTGCAATCATGGATATACAACAACTTTAAATTCACTAAGTGTATGCATTCTATCTGCCCTGTAGTTAACATATCCAATAGTCAACATTCAGTCAACATTCAGGTTGCAGCTCTTCAAAATAGAACATTAGAAACAGATACTTGTTTCTCTCCTTACCAAAGTATTAACAGCTTTCCAAGGTGCCTGAGCCACCTTCAGCTCATCCAAGACAGCTGAGAAGATGGAGCGATCCTCAGCCCTGTCGATCTGCAGGGGGCTTGTGCCCATGATCTTGACACCATTCTTGTATAGAGGAACTGCCAGGTTGTTTGGAATCTGGCCTCCAACTGATATGATGCAGCCACCACATGCCTGGAAAATACACTCACAATATCAGCCATTGGAATAACTTCATTATGAATGGACAACTATGCTAATATTGTGTCTATTTCCTTACTGATAATTCTTAACCTGACTGTGATATTTACATCTCTCCTACCAATGAATACTGTTAAATGATGCCACAAAATTTTTACTTTCTGGCACTTAGATGCTAAAATCTGTGCAAGATTTCCATACAAGTACACGTGAATATCATTTGTGACACTCACATGTGTGGCAAATGGAAAGGAAAATCAAGTCAATAAATGTTTGCTATGTACTCTATGCTATAATCAATTAATTCCTGGACTACTGCTGGAAATTCCTAACTGAATACAGATTTCTTCTTTTAACACTCCCTTCTCCTGTACACCTCCATCTCAGCACTTCACATTCAGATTAAGCAAGTCTGCTTCATCAAATTGCTCCTACACTCAGAGTTCTCCAAAGGTTTCCACTGCCTAGAGAATAAAGCATAAACTTTTGACCCCCAGGGCACTTAAGACTTTCCAGTCTTATCTATTATCACCCCTCTCAGCTCAAAAGACTACTCATTAGCTCCAACTAGGTATTTTCCCACTAACAAATTCTCTGCACCACTGAAACTTCCCTGGCTGTTGTTTCCTTTCTCTTCTCTTCCAGCTTATCTAACCTTTAGCTACCCCTTAGTTCCAGCCTAGATCTCAGGTCCCACTTTGATGTCCTTCCACTTTGATGACCTTCCACCTTCCCCTCTCCTTGGCTGCAGCCTTGGTACCTGTCAACAGTACCTAGTAACTGATTTTAGTTCCTACTGCCTCACTACTTGCTTTACAAACAGTGCCAGAATCTTTAGCCTTATTTCAGACATTTGTGTAAGATTTTCTTCCATAAGTCCAAATCTCCTATTAGCAGTCAAAACTTCAAGAAAAAAAAAAATAGTCCACTAAATCTCAAAGTTTCTCAAGACAGGTGTTGTTGTAGCAGTGAGGGTAAACCAGCGTGAGACGGTGAGGAAATAGATTTCCAGTCGAAGTCCCTTCCTAACTTGGTTCCTTCTGTGTACCACCCACCCCTTCTTGTCTAATTTTATAGACAACAAGACTGAACTTTCCCCCAACGTTTAGTCTTCTTGTGTATAAAATTAGGATAATACCTGCCTAAACACTAAACATTAAAGGTCCTATATACCGTAAGTGTATAAATAAATAAGACATGATTATTAATATCAAAAATCATATATCTGATAGGCCATTGAGCTTAGCATAATTTGTGTGTGTCCTAATGACCCACTAATGAATATTAGTAGAACTGCCAAAATGATAGATATGTGCCAAATATATTTTGTCATTATTTAAAATTGTTCTGAAATACTCTTATAAGGGATGAGGCTAATTTCTGTCTGATGAGAGCAATTACGGTACTGTGTAACTAAACAAACACCCTGCAATTGAGTGCTTAAAGGCATTGTAAACAGTACTGAAAATAATAATCCACCATTTTGCATATTTATAAGTGTACTTAAACTATTTTTATTTTAAAATATGTTCAATATAAATTTTTGCAAAAACCTTTAAAATACTCTCTTGGCTATAATCTTTTTATTTCCTTATTATGTTGGGTTTATCAGCAGTGTTGTTAATGTTTTAGAGACTTAAAAACAAATTACTCCATTAAATGGACACAAAAAATCTCTTATATGAAGGATTTTAGAATAATTTTTTTAAACTGAGGGAGAAGTAGCAACTTATAGCAAAAGTTTGAGTCAATTAGACTAAATAGGAGCTTAAAGTGTAATAAAAGGCTTTAATAAACACATCAATATTTTTCAACTTAGCTGTATTAAATTGACTTGTTTTTAAAGAAATTTCTGCTTTTTAAGGAATTAAAAATTCTGTTTTGCAATAAATTCAAAACAATAGTAAGATAATAGCTGCTACTCTTTAATAAAGATTCTACTATGTATCCTGGACTATCTGTTTTGACTTTCACACTATCCTTCTGAGGTGATTATTACTGTCCCCATTTTACAGCTAAAGAAACTGAGGCTCAGTAAAGGTGAAGTGACTCACCCATATCCCTTATCTAGCAAATACATGTATAGAGCTTGTACATGAACGCTGGAGTGCAGTGGCATGATCTCAGCTCACTGCAATCTCCGCCTCCCAGGTTCAAGGAATTCTCGTGCCTCAGCTTCCCTAGTAGCTGGGATTACAGGCATGCACCACCACGCCCAGCTAATTTTTTTTATTTTTAGTAGAGATGGGGTCCAGGCTGGTCTTGAACTCCTGGCCTCAAGTGATCTACCCTCCTTAGCCTCCCCAAATCCTGGGATTACAGGCGTGAGCCACCATCCCCGGCCTGAACTCAACTCTATAGATTGTAATTTCAACTATGCTGAAACTAATACACTTTCAGCTATGCTGAAGTAATAGACCAAATATTAGAATCTTAAGTTAACTCTACTTTTCTGGCTCATTTCAGGTGTAGTTAATGTTAAAGAATAAGAGAAAAGCTATTTTTAAAAAACTACTTTTTTTTTTTGGAAAGTAGTAGAAAAGCTTTCAGCACAAAACCAAATTCTCATCATTGACGACTAGAATCAGAGACCATCAATGGGAAGACAAATCACGGCCTCAGGAATCTTTTAGAGTAACAGTGTGATGGTGTCGTGCAGGTTTTCCCACAGGGCAAAAGGAATTCAGTATGAGAACATGTTTGTAAAATGTTAATATAGCACAGTTTTATGGAATAATCCAATCTCAAATTGATCCAACACCAAATATCACGGGACATGTAGGAACAAAGGGATGAGAACCTGGTAACCCACACAGGTAAATCATCATCCTTATCATAGCCATCAGGCCTGAATAGTTTCAAGAAATCTACTGAAATAAAATATTCTAAATTTCAAATATTGTTTAATAGATTTCTAAAATATTTAGGCCCAAAATTCCATTAAGCTCCCAAAATTCCATTAATCATACCTAGATCTGTTTGCATCCTTTTTACCCATCTTAGTTTTCTGTTTTTTAAAACCTGATATCACTAACTTACCATAGCACAAGAATATTTCTGAACCAGAAACTTATTTTCAATAGAAAAACATGAAAAGGAAATACTTCAAGCTTATTTGAGAACATCTTAACTTATCCTGGCCACTAATCACTTTGGTTAGTCCTTATTTTTATGCACAAATTAGATGTATTATGGAAAGAATGTCATGTGAGAAAATTTTTCTAACAGAAGTAGTATTTGCCTCATTACAAATGGCCATGGTTTTTGGAATTTTATGAATTATCTCCAATTTATAAAATTCTACTATCTGTACACCTGCCAATGAGAAGGATGATGCTTTATATTTTACTAATTTACATGTTAGTAAAAATGATTTATAGTTTAGGCAGTATTTTAGGATTACATTTAATTACAATTAAACCAAATGATATAAATGAACCTCAATTCTGTCTCGAGTCATGCATTCTCTAATGGGTTTTGCCTATCACTAATTAATGTCTGTCATTAATTCATTCATTTAACTTGTTTTGTGACAGAAGTACCATTGTCTACATTTACATATGTACATCATATTATGTCCGCCAACATATTTTAAATTACCTCCTAATATATAGTAATACTATATTTTAAATACCAATTAGTTTCAAAGAAGGGCCAACTTCTTTCTTTCTATAATACTGACTTCAGTTTTAATAAACAAATCTCATTAATAGCCATGTATAATTGTATCCAAAAGCAGTCATAGAAGTTTTTCATCTTTCTTTAAACCATTTCATGAGGACATAATTAATTATATGCAAAATGCCTGCTGCTATCATCTGTAATGTTTTTTAATATTTTTAAATTAGTATTTGACTTTTCACATTTATATCACAGATACTAGTTTTATTGTTAATGTCTTGAAGATAAGAACCTGTTTTTCCAGCTGTCTATCATACTGAACCTGGATTTACAAGGTGTTCGAGAAATATTTGTGGGATGCACTTATTTTGATCCCCACCTGTCTATCTCAAATGAATATTAAGGAGTGATTTAAAAACAACCATGTCAGAGAGAGGTCTAAAAAATGCTATATATTCTATTTAATGGATCAATTTTATTAAAGGATTAGTAGGCCAGGCCCAAGTAGACAACTATAATTATACATCCTTCCTAAACTTGTCTACTTTCTTTTGTAATAGTAAAATAATAACATTATTCTAGCACTATACTTTATACTTTACAATCTGACTTCGGCCATAAACTCTATGTTAACTTCACAGTATTTGCAAGTAGCATGTGTTTATACTCAGACGATTCATTTAAAATAAAGATAAAGCACGGAGAATTTATGTAACTTAAAGAAATCAATGAGGTTGTCAGTCAAAACTAAAATTTAAGTATTTTGGTTCCAATTTAGTACTTTTTTCCTTCTAATTGACCATATTTTCCACATAGAGATGATTTTCTGGTAAAAAGTAATAATAACTGTAATAATATCAAAGGCCTAACTACTGGACATCACTAAAATTTTCCAGTAGCTTTTATTTTAATTATAAGATAATTTATTTTGTTCTACAGTCTTATAGTAATCTGCAATCACATGAATTCACAGTGAAGATACTCAGTAATATTGGGATGGGAATGGAGGAACAACTGTAAGTGAAAGCTATAAAGGAAGCAAAATTATTCACAATGAACTCATTGATCTTAAACTGAAGACTAATGGCTTCATCTGATGGAACAAGGAATTAACTGGTCTTTTGTGAGCAATTGACTATTTTCAGGGAACTGGAACTGTTTATCATTAAACCACATCACACAAACTAGAAAGAGGCTGTTTATTGTATGTCTAGATGACCAATTCAATCACTCTGCAAGATATTTATGAGGGATCATCTTGTATTAGTTAATATGTATCTGGCACATGTTACCAAGTAGAGTTTTCAATCTAGCTGAAACCCTTAGAAAGAAAATGTAAATAAAAACTTTATGTGAAAAATAATCACTCTGGGCCAGGGGCTCAAAAATATAAGAATGGAGTGATTTTTTTTAGAGTTTTACTACAAAATAAGACAATGGATGCCACTGGCAGCCCTTTCTTCTAAGAGGAATTACTATATACATCTATATACCAGAATGCATATATATAAAGTGTATACTACATATATCTGTCTTCTTTTTTCTTTTTTTTCTGTTTTTCTTTTCTTACCTCCTGATGGTAGATGTCTAGGATTCTCTCCAAGGACAACTCTTCAAAGTACAGTTTGTCACACTCATCAAAGTCTGTGCTCACAGTCTCAGGATTGCAATTCACCACCACCGTCTTCTTGCCAAGTTGACGCAGTGTGCGGATACTAGAGACAGCACACCAATCAAATTCCACACTGCTGCCTGCAGAGACAATGAGATTGGCAAAAGGGATAAGAGAAGCACGAAGTTACAATACAAAGAGAAGCAGAAATGTATCACCAGTCAGTCCAGGCTAAGGAAGCTAATGATTTTCAATTCAATTTTTTAAACTCCAAGATATAAATTTCAAACCCATGATGCATACTGTATTAGTAGTAGGAAAAATGGGTACTAATTAAACAGCAAGGAAATATTGGGCTTGTCATATATGCTAAATTCTGCAATAGAAAATCTCAATATTTGAAGTATTTAGAACTTCAATGTTAATGGGAGGTAATTTTAATGATAAAAATAACCCTCACTTACTGAAAAGAAATTCAAAGTGAATATATTGACCTCAATACACAAAAATAGTTAATCCAGTGATGAGGATACCTGTGCTCTTTTTTCAGCCTTTCCACTTAATCTGCTGTCTGAGGGCTGAACCTAATGATCCCTGAGGTGCCTTGCAGCTCTGACATATCCTGATTGATTGAAGAGTCCTATCTTTTCCAAGCATATCCTTTTAAACTTGGCAAGGCCACCCATGCAGAGTGAGTGACCTTCTATAAAGAAATCTGAAGTGTAATAATGGCCTAAACACCTCAAAATATCACGTCTACTGGGATGCCATAGAATTGAAAGTCCACAGACTTGTACTAATTCTTTGCATTAAGATATTGTCTTCTAAAAATTCTTGTGAAAACACGTTATTCAAATATACTGGCATATTAATGGCAACTATCAAGTAAGCACACACTTGATTATTAGCTTGACTAGTCTTCTTTGGATCCTGATATAATGCAGAATTACTGCATGAATAGGTAAAATTTGAAAAGGAAGAAAAAGTACTCCAGAGAGTAGACAGGTAGATGCTGGTGAAATGGTCAGGCTATTTCACCATAAGATAACTGCCATGGCCTGAACGTGTCTCCTGAAATCCATGTGTTAGAACACTTAGTCACCAATGCAACAGTGCTGGGAGGTGGGGCCTTTTAGGAGGGTTTTAGTTCATAAGTGCAGATCCCTCATGAATAGATTAATGCTGTTATAGAAAAGCTTGCTAGCTGTAGTGGCTCCTGCCTGTAATACCAGCACTTTGGGAGGCTGAGGCAGGAGGATCGCTTGAGTCCAGAAGTGTGAGACTAGCCTGGCCAACACAGAAAAATTCCATCTCTACAAAAAATAAAAATAAAAATAAGCCAAGCATGATGGCACATGCCTATAGGCCCAGCTTCTAGGGAGGCTGAGGTGGGAGGAGTGCTTGAGCCTGGGACATCAAGGCTACAGTGAGCCATGATCATACCACTGCATTCCAGCCTAGGTGACATAGTAAGACCTTGTCTCAGAAAAAACTGGGGGTGAGGGTTTGATGGAGGGAATTTGTTCCCTTTGTGCTGTTGTGCCTTCTGCCATGTAAAGACAGCATTCCTTCCTTATAGGAGGCACAAGGTTTAAGGCGCCATCTTAGAAGCAGAGACCTATGTCTCACCAGACAACTGAACTTCCTGGCACTTGATTTTGGACTTCCCAGCCCCTAGAACTGTGAGAATTTATTTATAAATTACCCAATCTCAGGTATTTTGTTACAGCAGCACAAATGGACTAAGACAATGACTAAGGTGGTAAAGATATAACATTTTTGTCCTACTTCAAGATTTGTCCAAAGATTGGTAAACTAACATATCCTGAAGCTCTTAGTTCATTGTAAAAACTAAATAAACTATGCTTAAAGTAATAGAATAAGATTTAAATATATTCAAATCATAGATTTTTATCATTTCCATATTATAATGCTTTGTGGAGATTAAATATTAAATCCATATGTTGACTAATATCACTGTCCATTAAAATACATACTTGCATCTGTAATAATCTTTAGTGGTTATTTAATTGACTGGAGAGAAATGTCATATCTCTGGTGATTATGTTTTAATTCACCTACATAATGCTCTACCCATGCACCAAACAGACAAGATTTTTGCATTTGAGGTAAACGAAAGTCATATATGTTACGTAGGATGAGGTCAGAGGTGGTATCTGCAATGTAATTTCTGGCTAATGTATAAAGTCCTTGAGTAAATGTAGATCCTTATGAAAAACTATGCTAGAAGATAACAGGTCAAAATCTAATCCATTCCCAACTCCAGTGAAAGGCTCAATTCAGTTAAAAAGGATGAAAATTAAGTTACACAGTGAAATGAGAGGAGATAGAATTTGTAGTTGAGACCTGCATTTGAGTCCCACTCTACCACTAAATAGCTGTATATATTTGGGTTTTATTTTTCTGAACCCCAGCTTCCTAATTTGCAAAACATATATTACAGCATTTATTTGATATAGTTCTTGGAATAATGGAATTAACATGTATGAAGAAAACTATATAAATTGTGTAAAGTCCTATATACACATAATTTATTATTTTACCAATGTGATATGGACCACAGCCTAGCACCATCATTCCATGGTCATCAAAATTGACATCATGCTCCTGAGGAAATAAGAAAAGGAAGATGCAGAAATCATTAAGTGTTATTATTCCATTTAATTAAACTAGTTGTCCTATCATTAAGTATGTATTTCTCATCTTCCTCTTGTTAACATGTATTCTCTATTAGTCTCTGGAAACCCATAAGTATAAAGTGTTATACAAGCCCTACTTATTTATAAAAAATAGATATGGCAGAATTTTTTAAATTAAATAGTCATGAGAACATAGCATAATTGTATGATCATGTAGTCATTGTCCTTAATTTTTCATTTGTTTGATTTCATTATCTTAAGGCAGTTCTTAAAAGACTGAGTACAGAAACATATCATCATACCTGACACACATGATGCCTTTTTTTTTTTTTTTTTTTTTTTTTTGAGACGGAGTCTCGCTCTGTCGCCCAGGCCGGACTGCGGACTGCAGTGGCGCAATCTCGGCTCACTGCAAGCTCCGCTTCCCGGGTTCACGCCATTCTCCTGCCTCAGCCTCCCGAGTAGCTGGGACTACAGGCGCCCGCCACCGCGCCCGGCTAATTTTTTGTATTTTTAGTAGAGACGGGGTTTCACCTTGTTAGCCAGGATGGTCTCGATCTCCTGACCTCATGATCCACCCGCCTCGGCCTCCCAAAGTGCTGGGATTACAGGCGTGAGCCACCGCGCCCGGCCATGATGCCTTTTTTTATTACCTAGATATCCAAAGAGGTAAAAAATATATATTCCCTAATGTGAACTGTCTATGAAATCTAGAGCTTTCTGGATAGGCCAATTTGCCCATTCCTACCTGACCATTGTAGGTAACATAGAGATAGTTTGTTACTGATGGGTATTCTGCAGCCAGTGTATCAATCTGTAAGAGAAAACAAATAAAATAAACAAATAAGAATGTTATTATAATTTTTTCAAGACTAAATTTTTTGTGCTTTATATACATATTCCTTTAATTCCTATTACTGTAAAGTATGCAAACAGGAAAATGTATGACCCGTGGAATTGCTTTCTAATTCTGAAAATAAGAGAGAGAAAATAGTGATGTGGTCTAGTTATCACCTGAGAAACAGGGCATTGGATCACTAGTAGTAATAGTAACTCTCATGAACATCGCAAAGTGGTCCTATAGTCAACTGGTTACTAGGAAGACTTACCCCACCAGCTCTCTAAAAGCAGCTGTATATGAAATCTAAAATCTGAGCAAAATGACCTATACGTAAGGATCTCTTTGGCTTGCAAATTAATGCGCAGGATTTAAGTGGCCTGTGGCACTGAGCGGTGGGATGACACAACTACCATAAAGCCATAGGGGATGAACGGGGGGAGAACAAGATCTCATTGAACATATTTGGAAATCAATTCCACTCTCAAGGGCCAGTAACTCAGCTTAGTGAGCAAGAATTTGGGGCCGACAGGGCAAGCTGGTGTAAGGCAGGTGAGAAGGAAGAAAGATAATAATCGCTGAGTGGAAAATATTTAGCAAAAAGCTTGAGACCTAAGGGTATGCACGTGCCCCTTGAGCACACAGTGAAAAGTCAATGATTTTAAAGGACAAAAACCAGCTGGTGGTACTTTAAACTAAGACATCCCTTCCATTAAAGGCCAAAGGAAAAAAAATCACAACAGCACACCTATGAATGTTCATGCGTGATTGTCATGAATACTAGATGAGCTCATTATGCCCAGCCCTATCACAATGAATACTAAATGAACCATAATCATGGGGCACTTAATATAAAGTATTACCCTGTAAAAAGTTACTGCCAAAGGAGATAACTATTATTTTCAAGAGGGTCAGCCACCATGCTAGGAAATTTCAAGTCCTTCAATTACACTAAGGATTTCTTAACTACTTACATATTTGAACACAGGTCAAAAAGCAGAGGAGAGTTTAAATTTTTGTTTTGTTTTGTTCAGTTAGGCCAAGAAAATCAGGTACTCACTCTTATCTTTACATCCTAGTGTCCTTTCCTTCTTTCCCTTTTAAGTAAAAATTAATCACTTGCTGAATAAAATTGGTGACATTATGAGCATCAACCGGATGAGTATTGTCACTTCTTAATTCCACTCCTCTTTTTATTAACAATGGCCTTTTGAATGGGTGCCTACGTTTTACCACAGAAATCCTGTCAGTGGGGGATGGGGGAAAAGGGAAACTCCTTTACCTGTTTAACCCAAGGGTGGATGTTTTTCTTTAACCTCAGCTCCCTTGTCTGGGCCTCAGTGAGCCCAAGGCATTTTGAAATCTGCTTATCTGAGAACCCAATCTCCTTTGCCCTTTTCAGGGTTTCTTCTGTCATGGACTCACTAGGATTTAATAGAAAAGAGAGATTCAAGTTTAGACCAAAAACAATAAAAAGCGGTGACAAGTTCAATTTCAAGAACACCAAGGGCTTCTTATTTTCCACCTTCAAACATATTTAAGTCTTGTTATCTTTTAAAAATACACAAATAACTAACCCACTCAATCTTCTAGCCTCTATGAAGTCTTCTATTTGCAAAGCTGACAATCTCTGATCTCCTGCTTTCACACTCTATGCGACCTCTTCCCTGCTGCTTTTATAAAAAATGGCAAGTGCATTTACTGTTCTAATAAATGTGCTCATTAGTAATAATCAGAGACCTCACTCTCTAAATCCAGGAGCCCTTTTTCAGTTTTCATTTTCCTCAACCTGTCATCACAAGACCCTTTTGATGATCTATTTTTTAAAAAGATATTCTGGCTTCTACTAAGTGGCTTCTCGCTCTACTTTATTACTCAAAACTACCATTTACTAGTTTTGGGTTTCCCCCTACCCCTACCCACGGCTCTACCCTTTGTTACCTGCTTTTGTCTTCCCTCTCTCCCTCTCTAAATTTAGCCACTGTCATGGGTGCAAGTAGCATGACTGGTTGACAATTCCCAAATCCATGGCCGGTTCTCCAACATCTGACCTGTGCTCCAGGTCTTTATGCATATGAACTTTGAGAATCATCTTCACCTAGGTGTCCCAACATTGCATCAGTTTGGATATCCTCTCCCTAAATTACCTCTACTTACTAATATCACCCATCTGTCTATGTTGAGAAGACAGTTTTGTCATTTTATAATTGTTTTCCACTCAAACTAGATTTGTCTTATTTTCCCCCTACTCCTTTCCATAGCGTAGACTTTATTTGTGTTGTTTCTCTCATCTGTAATACCTTTAACATTCCTTTTACCTTCTCAACTTCTCCCTGACCCTCAGCAGCCCTTCAAAGTCCAACTAAAGCCAAGCCTCATTTGTGAAGCCTTTTGGTTTGCTGTCATCCACACTGAACTTCTTGTGCTTTTTACTGCCTCTTTTGCTTGGAACGATGGACATAGAATCATACAGTTTAGCATGTCCATTATCACCTGATACTTTTAATGTCTCCTAACTTTTATTCGTCAATCAGGCTTTTTCCTGCTGGATTTAAGTTCCATAAAGGCAAAGAATACATTTGGCTTATTTACCAGATTACTCCCCAAATCTACCACATTATCTGGCCCACAGACAGCATTCAATAAATATTTATGAAAATAAATAAATGAAGGATAAATATAAGTAATATAAACATATAAATAAAATGCATATATTTTATAAATTAAATGTAAATATAATTTATGAATATAAATTATAAATAAATGAAGGATAAATATAAAAACTTCAATTCCCTAGGTTTTTATTTTATAGAAAAGACAAAGAAGTGATTGAAATTAGCTCATAACTAGATTTCAAAATGCATGCAAAAATAATTTGTAAAGAGCTAAGGGACAGAAGAATAAAATACTACTGTAAAAGCATCTTTAACCAGATACCTGTGGGCCAGCTATTTCATGTAATTGTTAATACAATACAATTCAATTATAATAGTTTGATAGTCAATACAATGAAATTAAAATAGTGTATTGCCAGAAGATCTAACTTGCCTTAAGAAAACATTTTCATGAAATGCTGTTAATAAAATGTAATTGGATTAAATCTATTGCATTTTGTTCATTCTAATCATGAATCTGCTTTAATTAATTCATATTCTGAGTTTGGAGAAGAAAAAATCAAGCTGGTGTATATAATGGCTATTTCCCTGGATTTCCAGTGTCAGTATTAGTTTAAATTTTTGCAGCTACAGCTCTTCCTAGTCAATTTGCTTTTTCTATTGCACCTAAATTCTCTTCTGTCTCAAATCAGTGTGTTAAATCTCCCATTGAATTTAATTTCTTCTCTTTTTATTCTTATTTTGAATTTAGTTTTCCCAAGTATTTGATAAGCATTCTCTCAGAGCAATGCATTTTCCTGTCAAATTCTTGAATGCAATCCAATATTAAGTATTATTGCTGACTTAGTATGTGTGCCAAGCCCTGTGCTTTAGAACTGTGCCATCCAACATAGCAGCCCCTAGCCACATGTGGTTATTTAAATTGAAAAACTAATTAAATCTTTTAAGACCAAAAATTTAGAGCTACAGTCACCAAAGCCAGGTTTCAAGTGCTCAACAGCCACACATGGTCAGTGGCTCCAGTGTCAGACAGTGCAGATTACAGAATATTTCATCATCACAGAAATTTCTACTGAACAGTGCTGCCCCAGAAGATAAGGAAACAATATTTGAGACAATGAAATGATAGTGATTCAAAACACTTTATGGAGGGATAAGCTATGTGGTGCTACGTGAGGCCAGAGAAAGATAATAGTGTGAAAGGTTGTACTTGAGAAACACTACAGCAGTGGAGGGATGAGAACAGAGCTATAAATAAAGTTCAACTTGGCCGGGTGTGGTGGCTCACACCTGTAATACCAGCACTTCGGGAGGCTGAGGAGGGTGAATCACGAGGTCAGGAGTTTGAGACCAGCCTGGCCAACATGGTGAAACCCCGTCTCTACAAAAAATACAAAAAGCTAGCTGGGCATAGTGGCAGGTGCCTGTAATCCCAGCTACTCAAGAGGCTGAGACAAGAGAATCACTTGAACCCAGGAGGTGGGGGTTGCAGTGAGCCGAGATCACGCCACTGCACTCCAGCTCAGACAACGGAGACTCCACCTCAAAAAAGAAAAAACAAAGTTCAACTTTATGTAGATAAAGGAGTTGACAGGTGTACAATAGGCAATGGCAACAGTATTGGCTATTGTTTGAGAGCAGCAGTGGACATGGCACGTATGGGAAACATACTGAGGAAACTGGATGGTGAGGGTAGCCACATTCATTGTCATTACTGCTTTAACATTTAGTGAGTACGTGCTCTGTATCAGACCTGTCCTGCCTGTATTAATGATGGAAGATGAAATATTGTACTCTTACATTTAGGAGGTCAGAGTATGTTAGGAAGCACAAATAGCCAATGATATGTCTACATCATGAGAGGTGCTGTGGGAGAAGTGTGCACAAGTTGAAGCCGTGGCTCAGGGCAGGGGACCCCAGCTGCCAATGGAGAAGTCTGGAAAGGCTTTACCCCAGAGGTGACTTTAGAGCTTCAGAGAGCCTTGGAAACACCAAAGTTTGTGGTTACTTTTACTTTCAAGAAAAAGAGAGAGAGAGAGAAATTAATTTTGAAAGTAGAGGAAACATTTTTTTTTTCTTTTGAGACGGAGTCTCGCTCTGTCGCCCAGGCTGAAGTGCAGTAGCAAGATCTCGGCTCACTGCAAGCTCCGCCTCCCGGGCTCACACCATTCTGCTGCCTCAGCCTCCCGAGTAGCTGGGACGACAGGTGTCCGCCATCACGCCTGGCTAATTTTTTGTATTTTTAGTAGAGACGGAGTTTCACCGTCTTAGCCAGGATGGTCTTGATCTCCTGACCTTGTGATCCGCCTGCCTCGGCCTCCCAAAGTGCTGGGATTACAGGCGTGAGCCACCGCGCCTGGCGAAGATTTTTTTTTGTTATTGTTGTTATTTGTTTTAGAAAGGTATGTTTCCACTTTCCTTGCCAAGAATATGCTCCCAAACCAATTGCTCATTTGTTTATGTGCAAGTATGCACTCAGCCTTTCGGTGGAAGTGCTTGACAAATAAGCGATTTTTCTAAATTAGAACAATAACCACTTTTACTTAAATGACTAAAATCCTAACTCTGAAGAACAGTCATCCAGATACACTTAAAACACATGCCTTGAAAAGAACCATCACATCTATAATTGTGACCATGGGCTAACACGGCAGCACCATAAGTGCGGGTTCTTCAAATGCTAAGATAAGCAGAAGTCATGTAGTTATCTTTAGCTTTTTCAGTCAGGTTTTTCTATTTGTTTGTTGTTGCAATTTTTAGAGGGTCTTTAATTATTTGTTTGCATTCCTTCTTACATGGAATACCAGTCAGGTTTTCAAAGGTCGCTATGTTGTTTAAAATGAAAATTATAAATAATGGTATTAAATAAGAAAAAATTAGATTCCTCACATTTCTATTAGGGATGCAATAAATTTGCATTTGTGTCGTCTACATTCAGCAATGCAGTATTTTCATTCAGGAATGTAGTATTTTCATTTCTGGAATATGCATAATTTCTCTTGTTCTTTTTCACCACAAGAGTCTAACAGAATGTATGTAGACATCTCTAGCAAATATACAAAGTCTTCTGCCTCTACCTACTAATAAAACTGAACACTTATCAGCAAAGAAATAAAAATAATAAGAAAGAAGGGAGAACGAGAAAGAAGAGAGAAAAGAAAAAGGTTGATTGATAAGAATTGGCCTTGTGCATTAAAAAGTGAAGTGAGTTAATTTTGTACTCAGCTCTGGTGACGAAAAAAAAAAGCCATCTGTCACTAAGACTAACTCAACTGTTACTGCTCCCCTGCCCATAGCATTTCCCACACCAGAGAGTTTTCATAATTTAAAGAAAATGTCTGAGAAGAGCAACAGTAACACAAAATAATGATTGTGAATGATACTTCAGAATGGGAGTGAAAACTTTCTACATAGGCATCCCTTTAAATCATACTAGGTGAGAATTTTGAAACAGATGTATCAAGCTAGACCTGCACCTTGCATATTTTAATCTCACTAGTTGATTCTTAGGACATTTTCTTGGTGAGCCAAAAACTGCTTCAACTTCTGCCCAATTTTCAAATAACTAGATCAATAACAGAATACAATATTTTTAAATGTCTTAAAAATTAGAATGTATTAAATTGAAATGGTATATTAGTACATTCATGTTCATCTACCTTAACTTGAATACAGATATTGGGTATGTGTGATCATTGGATGTCCAAAGTAATGTAATTTCTATAGTATTTTGTTCATGGTCTCTCTGGTTATTTCTGCTCTTTAGACATGATCATGAAATAGTGCAAAACACTTAGCAATCCTCCTCACTGAGAAATCATTGTTGATACTGACCCACCAGGGCCATTAGAGAGGCACAGGCAAGTTAGATCCCTTCCCACAGTCAGTGCTGCCTAATTCCACAAGGTACTCCTAATGGAAGCAGGTCAATTCTCTGTATTGTCCTCACCTTTCCTCTCCTCTGTTTTCTCTCTTTGGTGTAACACCAGGCTGGCTGAGATGTCATTATACACAGTAGAAAATTGACTTTAGTCCCAGCTTATTCTGATACAAAATTGTATTGTGTGTCCCATTATAATCAAAGAAAAAAAAAGACAGTTCAAAGACACAATTCATTAGTTGTGGGGCAGTGATTTAGATCAGGTTAAATCTCCTCAGAGTCAAATAAATACAAGATGCATAATCTTAAGCAAACATAAAGCTCATTTAACAATGTGGAGACTCAGATAGATGTTCCTCATCTTTATCTGCCCACATTATGCTCCCTCCATTTTGTTTGCCAAAACCAATTTCCATCATGGTGGGTTTTTGTTTTTGTTTTTTTGATCAAACTAGGTAAAAGCTTATTTTCAAAACAAGGCTATAACATTTTTATTTTTCTGAAGGAAAATAAAAACCTTAATTTGAAACAAACTCAAAACAGAATAATTACTAAAAGAAATATAAATACTGAATTTATAATTCAACACTGCTTTTTGAAACCTCAATAGGGAATACTCCATTTATATTATGTTGTAAATCAAGACAGCTTTATGCCCAGCTAGAAATGTGATCAGCTGAAGAAAGCATATTGCACAAAAGCACACAATTTTAAAATATGCATAATAAATTATCCTTCTGTTCTTTGATATATATTTGTATGTACTAGTATTTTATGTTAATTTTTACTCTTTTGAACATATACACATTAAATCCATATTTCAGAACTGTGTCCTCTAAAATATGCTATTATATATACAACTATTCTTTCCCGTGCCAGTTTGCCTTGCTTTGAGAGTTCAAGGGCAAACTTTACAAAAGGTTAGACTTTCATCATTGCATAATAGAATCTATACAATAAAACAACACACCAAATGGCTGTGATGCTGGCCTTTTCATAATCTTCAGTTTCTTTCTACTTAGCAGCACAAAATGACTGAAATTTTAGAAGGTGAAAAAAATGTCTTAAAACCAGACCATCAGACTTTTACACACTCTGCCATAATCTTTTAATGGTGAGACAGCATGGCTCGGCTTCTATAGCAAAAAGTCTCTGGTGTGTTCTCTGGTTTACAAACAATACAAGCCTTTCTCCTCATTCTCTAAGACTTCCAATGTAGATATTGTTGTTGTTGTTTAAAATTCCTCCCTGTCATCTCTGAAATTTCCTCCACTCACACTTAGTCTTCAATAATAAATGATAAAAGGAAATGGAATAAATTCCCCTTAATGAGGAAATTTTCACCTGGCACAGAGGAGCTGGGGAAATCTATTAGCTGACTGGAGGAACGCCTGCAGCATTCTAATTATCAGGGGAGCCAGCGCACTTCACACAGTCCTCTCTTCCACTTGACTGGCTTTCATCTGATCCACCAACTCACGAGTAATACTAAACCAAATTTCCCTCCAGATTGCACAAGCTCTAATGTGAAAATGAGCACTCCACCTGGCCTACAATTATGGAATGGGTTTGCAATTTTATTATTATCCTCTTTAAAAAAAAAAAAAAAACACTCCAAAAGGCAGAAAAAAACTAAGCCTGACGTTCAGTAATGACATCTGCTTTAATAAGAGAATTGAGTAAGATATATGTTCTCTGACTCATGAACCCTCACTAGCCTCTCTCTTGAGTTTTTTACTGCTTCACTTATTATTTTTGGCGTTTCACGGGTTCAAGACCATGCCACAATCACAATAATGCCATCAGTGGAGAAATTATTTGTCACCTCTCTTCATTCAAGGAGACAAGTTGCTATGTGTTTCCTTACGAGAAATGCAAAAGACAATTTTCAAAAATAGAAGTGGCATTTAGAAAAGCAAAGTATAAAAACCCAGGCAATTGGGTAGGCACTACTATTTTGTCTTAATTTTTGAGTACCATGGCTGTTTCTATACAGGAATGAGGTCTTTGAAGGAATTTAAGAAGACTTGAATCTTTATATTTCTTGTACAGAGCAAATAATACCTAGATCCAATGTTCACGTGACAGTATGGCATCAAGAAAATTATCTAATAGTGCTAAGTGGACCCAGATTCTATCACAATAATGCTAAAATGTTACAAGTAATAGTTTTCAAAAAATGGCATACTTAAAACTATATTTCACCTTAAAGGCTAGTAATAATAACAGTAAAATCAACATTAAAAAGGAAACCTTATGAGAAACTGATAATGTAGATATCTTTAAATAGGCAAGTTTTAATTTTCTGAATTTCCTGTTCTTTTTTGCTAATCTTTAATGACCCTAATAATCCAGAAATATCATGATATTACTCTTAATCTGGTAAAGCCACTCATTTAGTATTGAATATAATGTCATAATTATGCTCTATGAATACAAGGAATAATGATGAAGAAAAACGCTTAATGTAGGTTAATTGCAATTTTTGAGCCATAATAAACCACATTTTGTTTTTTCATGGTTTTGTTTTTTTTTTTTGTTTTGTTTTTTTGTTTTTTGAGACATAGTCTCGCTCTCTCTCCCAGGCTGGAGTGCAGTGGCAGGATCTCGGCTCACTGCAAACTCCGCCTCCCAGGTTCACACCATTCTCCTGCCTCAGCCTCTCGAGTAGCTGGGACTACAGGCGCCTGCCACCACGCCCGGCTAATTTTATTTTTTTAATTTAATTTTTTTTTTGTATTTTTATTAGAGTCGGGGTTTCACCGTGTTAGCCAGGATGGTCTCGATCTCCTGACCTCATGATCTGCCCGCCTCAGCCTCCCAAAGTGCTGGGATCACAGGCGTGAGCCACCGAGCCCGGCCCATGGTTCTTAATTTAAGATGCAATGACTCTCTCTCTGCCCTTGATTTTACCAAATTTGAATTTTACCATTCGTCTTTACCAAGATGAAAAACAAATGGAAACTGCCTAACCAAAGTAGTAAGTTATGTCAATTCGTATATAAGAAAGTGTTCTGGCTGGGCGCGGTGGCTCACGCCTGTAATCCCAGCACTTTGAGAGGCCGAGGCGGGCGGATCACGAGGTCAGGAGATCAAGACCGTCCTGGCTAACACGGTGAAACCCCGTCTCTACTAAAAATACAAAAAAATTAGCTGGGCGTGGTGGCAGGCGCCTGTAGTCCGAGCTACTCGGGAGGCTGAGGCAGGAGAATGGCGTGAACCCGGGAGGCGGACCTTGCAGTGAGCCGAGATCGCGCCACTGCACTCCAGCCTGGGCGACAGAGCGAGACTCCGTCTCAAAAAAAAAGAAAAAAAAAGGATGCTGATACCAATCAAATAGCTTTTGCTTGAGCCAATTGGATTAACGGGTTAAGTCCATACTATGAAATGTTGCTTCTGTTATTTCTGATGAATACATTTATTTATAATTTTAAATCTATTCAATGTATGCCTTCCCCAAAATAAAGAAGATGTATTCAGTAAGCAAAACTCTGGATTTTCCCCTGAATATAAGATTTTTATGTGTACAGAATTTAAATCTAACAGATAAGAAGAAACACTTTATAAGGCCTCATAGAAAATAGGGATTGAATGGGCACTCTTTGATGTTTTACAATTTGTTATTGCAAATAAATTTATTTGAAACTCCTATATTTTAAAACATCTCCATCATCTTTGTTTAAATCATCATGTTTCCACAGAGCAGTTTTCCAAACATCACTTAGGTTGTACCAAGCAACAAATATATAAATATATTTCAATATATCTTTCTTTGACTTCTAGAAAGAATTACTTAGAGCCTTGTTAAAATAAATAACTTTTTTTTTTTTTGAGATAGAGTCTCACTCTGTTGCCCAGGCTGAAGTGCAGTGGCGTGATCTTGGCTCACTGCAACCTCCACCTCCCCAGTTCAGGCGATTCTCCTGCCTCAGTCTCCGAAGTAGCTGGAACTGCAGGCGCCTGCCACCACGCCCAGCTAATTTTTGTATTTTTAGTAGAGACAGTATTTCACTATGTTGGCCAGGCTGGTCTCAAACTCCTGACCTTGTGATCTGCCTGTCTCAGCCTCCTAAAAACTTAACAGAAGCCTATCTACTAATAACTACTGCTTATTTTTTTCCTAGAAAAATGTAAGATATATAAGAATAATTTTTGACTACATTTTTCTAGTTCTTGAAGGAAAAAATGTAAGCCATTTTTAGAAAGGAGGAAAAGGAGAAGTTATTTTTAGGAGGATGTGGGAAAATGCTAGAATTAAATTCCTGGTGACATGTCATATTCAGTCTATGTTGATATGAGGCTTACTACCTACATGGAAAGCAGATATCTTTATTATCTGGGGTTTTTCATAAGAAGACATAGAAAATGCACATTAAAATCCATGAAAGCAAAAATTACCATCCACTTGACACTACAACTGTATACTTGTCAGTTTATCAGCTGAAGAGTGGGTAGAAGGGGAGGGGTAGAAGAAGTAACTGCAATTTAATACTGCCAGGTGGATATTGCTGTGATGGCCATTACATTATCATCATTATAGTTATATAGGCAAATGGTGTCAAAATACCTACTTCAACCTTAGATAGGCAAATACCTTTGCCCAAAACCTGTAGTCATGCTCCACCATCCTGAGAAAAAGACTCATCAGCCAGATAAAATAATAAATGTGGCAAGTGTTCAGCACAACACCAAGAAGGTAATAAGTGCTTAATAGATACAATTGCTGGAGGAAAAGGAGGAAGGGAAAGAACCAGACCAACAGGGAGGAGAAAGAGGAAGAGAAAGAAGAGAAGAAGCAGGAGGAGAAGTTTAGAAGAGCAAAACTAGCAAGTCACCTACATTTGGCCCAGCACCTCAGCTCCCTTTGTTTTCTTTCCTCTCCTGTGTAGTATTTCTGTACTCACACTTTGAGGTGGTGAGGGCCACCATACTTACGACTCCCTGCAAGTCAAAATTGATCTTCTAGAGAGAGAGTGCTCTCGGGTATTTACTCCACTGTTAGGAGGCATGGTCGCTGCCTTATAGTCTTTGGATACGAAGTGCATGACTCTATCCTAAGGTCAGACTCAAAGGCTTTATGCCCCATAAAGGCATCTCAAGTATAAATTAGCAGCTGAAGAAATTCTGGGGTCAGCAACTAATTATCTAGCTTCTGTAATTATAGCTCTGGCAGCCTATTTTGCGTAAATTTAATTCCATTCTACGCTCAAGAGTTGTTTTACTCACACCTCCCTAAACATGGAAGGCAAGGTATTTGTACTTTAAAGAAAAGATACCTATAGACATATATTGTGTATAAATATATACAAATCTTTTATTATAAATAAAGCAAAACTTAAAAAGAAAATTATTATCCTGGGTCTTTGTACCCTTGAAAATCCTGTTTACATTTTTCAAAGGTGACTTGCTGGGGCTTTCTCCCTGCCAGACTTCCTGTGTTTTCCCCCAAGAGTTTTGGAAAAGGGCAAATTCCTCACAATGTCTCCTCTCTAAGTGGGGTCAACAATGCAGGTGGCTCACAACTTGACCGCTAAGCAGGAACTGATCTCCAGCTGTCTGATTTAAAAGTCATATCTCGCAAAAGAAGCTTTTGAAAAGGGTTAGTGACTAAAACTGAAAGTGGGAGCCCTGGGCTAGATTCCTTGTTTTCCTCTGATTGGTGTGACATAAAGTATGACACACACCTCGTGTGATTCAGTTTCACCATCCATAAAAATAGGATAGTGATATTTTTCACCTTTATTATAATAGAAATGTACTTTAAGGTCACCGGAGATATACAGTAGATGCCTGTATTTTAAATAAGTATTTATTTTTGCCTTAACCTTCTTCACTGGTTAATAAAATCATATCCCTTCATATAGTTGAAAATGTCTGTGAATATTTCTCACAAAAACTTCTCAGAAAATGCAAAAATTTGAAAACGTGAATAATTTTTGAAGATCAAGAATACACAAACACTGGTTAGTTCTCACCAGGAGTTAGAGATTTCACGATATACCTATACTGCCTACATGTATATAATCTTTGACAATATAAAACAATTAGATAAATCTCTTTTTATTAAAAAACAGTTTATTCAGAGCCTTCCTAGCTAATTAGTAGATACATAACTACTTTAAGAAATTAAAACCTAGAGATGTTGGTTTACAATATTTCCCAACACAGTCAGTTTATATCTTGGGCTATGTATTTTCTAATTAATAATTTTGTGAATTTTGTGAATTCAATCCCTTTGAACAACCAGGAATCATATGCATTTTGCTCCACTACAATTCCCCCTCCTTTGCCATCACTAAGAAATGATGATTTTCACTTTCTACCAAGAAAGTTTATTTGTTATATTATCATACAAATATTGTTGAGTGTTTATACAAAGCACCATATATCAATTCCCAAGAAAATATATGGTAAATAAAGAATTGGAAACCATTTGTATCTGTTTCAGAAATTATGACTTATACCTTATGCCACAGTGAACTCTATTCTGCATTCATACAAATTAACACAATTTTTTGCTAAGAAAGACCTATAATAAAAACATATTAAGACATTATGGTATTGGATACTTTCCCTAATGAAAATCACAATTTAATTGGGGGATGATATTAGGATATATGCAATATTTACGGAACAATGAAGTAAGACTGTGTGGCGTCAACTATTTCACCCAATGAACAAACAGGTAGCTAATATCCACTTTAGTTTTTCTTCTTATACTATCTTAATTTCTTCATAGTCAGATTTTCACTGTTATGAAAAATAGCATAAATAGGATAAAGAGCAAACACAATTTGTCAGTTCCTGAGTAGAATTCATACCTTTACCTACCTGTTTCTCACTATGTGTTTGGACCTTATAGCCTAGCTTCCACTCCTACCTACCCAACATCAAATGAGGACTTAATTCTGTTTCTCTCTTCTCTCTCTAAACCATGCAATCCTCTTGAAAGTGTCTTTCTATTTCATTTATTTTAAATTCTCTCTTCCTTCTTCCTTTGGCTCCCATGACAGTGGGATATATTGAAGGAAAGAATATTGTCCTTGGACTGAGAGATTTCTGAACTCAAAACCTGGCTCCAATATGGAGTAAGGAGAATTTACTTAAACATTCTGAGTCATCATTTCTTTCATAAAATATGGGATAGAGACACATACCTCCTAAAAACTGTACATCGAGACTTGTATGAGATAACATGTGTAAAGTTAGCTAAGAGCTTTTGTTTCTAACCTCCACTAAACTTTCATGAATTCATATTTCTGCTTCTCACATGTCCATTAATGTGTCCTGTCTATATATAGCTCTTTGTATAGGTTATAAACCTATATTATAGATTCAATGACTGGTGATTATTCATCAACAAATGGCTTTGGAACTAGCACAAAGCCTTACACATAGTAGATACCCAATAAATAATGACTGAATAGAAGAACAAATACCATTTGGTCTAATAACTAGTGATTATTCATCAACAAATGGCTTTGGAACTAGCACAAAACCTTACACATAGTAGGTACCCAATACATAATGACTGAATAGAAGAACAAATACCATTTGGTCTAATACCAGCTCCTAATAAAAAGAAATGCCATCAAGTAAATATATATCCCATCACGCTTAGTTCAGAGACATTAACACAGGAATAATGTATTAATTATTGACTATTTATAGATATATATACACATATTCTGAGTATGTGTTATTTTAAATCAACTTAAAATTTTTAAGTTGTATATTCTTATGAACTAGCAAACATACAATAATTAATATACAGAAACATAATAGGCACTTTATGAGTCATCTGAATATTACTCTGAAAACCTTTTAAGCAAAACATTCATCTTGTCCATGCCAGACTCGGAAGTACTCTCTCACAAATTCAAAAATGCACAATCATTTGCCAAAACTATGAAAACACTATTTAAATAACAAATGAAGACTCTCAGAACATTAAATATTTGATGTAAAATTTTATATCTATCTCAATAAATTATTACTTTAAAAATTAGTGGAGTCCTATCAAACCTATGACATCACCTAAAATATCCTTTTATTACATGGAACATAAAAGCAAATTAAAAATAAAATGTATTTTTGGCATTAGTTCACAGAGTTATAAAATTTCCCATGGTATTACTCTTCTCTTACAAAGAAATAAGTACTTGTATATATAAGCCCCATTTTTTAGTACACCTGAAGAGGTTCATTATATAAATGGCTTGGAGTATGAAGACTGAAAGCATAGAATGGTAATATGTAATAACTGGTAAGACTGTTTTTCTTTAAAGTTTGTTACTTCACATATAGTATATATTCAGCTAGCTGCATGACTGACCAGTAAAATAAGAAGGGAGTTTGTGTTGTTTCTTTTTGTTTTGTTTTTACTAGGGTGAAACTGAGGCTTAGAATATCGTGTGAGTTAGTAGTAATATGAGAAGACATAAGACCATTTTCTGCAAATCAAATTAATGGGTTCCACTAAAGTGTTCAATCATCTCCATTCTCATTTCTATATCCAAAATAATAGATGCTATCACAAAAACATGTCATAGTAAAGTATCACAAAAATTATAATGTGATTATATGTTATATTATCTTTCTTTAAATTACTTGTATATTTAGTAGTTTAAGATGAAAGTTGTTGATTTTTTTCTACCAGAAAATATACATTGTCATCAGAAAGTAAAGTACTGACCCTTCTGTTTCTTATATCTAAGTTCCAACAACTCTTAGGTGACACTTTTCCCCCAGAAACTTCAATCAAGCATAAGCACAAAACGTTCTTGCCTGATTTTTGCCATGCCTCATGAGCAAGTTAAATAAAAAGTCAATAGAAGTTAGCATGTGTAGGAGAGGACATTCAAAGGGAGTGTTCCAGCTAACGTGACACCTGCATTATTACATCTGCCAGAAGTTTGTGGCTGCAGGGAAATGGCCAACTTTACTGAGCTCAATTTAGCACTTGAATGCCCAAGTGGAACTCACCAGGGTTGTCCTAGATTGTTTTCCTAAGCAATAGGCACGCCTATGATTTTTCACCACTCACCAATGGACATAGTTTATCACATTGAACATAGTGATTTCGGATGGAAATTGGACCCTTGAAAAGTGCACTTTACTCTTTTTTTTAAAACTATATTGACTATAAGCAGTAAAGAGGAAAGAGAATATTAAAGTTATTAGAGTGAAGATAGCAAAAAAAAACCACATGAAACCTACAGAATATTAGACAAAAGCAATATCTGGATAATTTGTAAATAAATCCATAGTAAAGTTTATGTCAACAATAGGGAAACAAATACAAATTTTAGCTTCCAATACTCGTATGGTATAAATTGTATCACAATGGTTATATCTCCTACTTTTGAACGTGTAAAATGAATGAAAATAGATTCTTTTTAAGTAGTCATCTACAACATTGCTAACATAAATAGCGGCATTGTACATAAAAACAAGAGAGCAAAATGGACCATTGAAGGAAAATTGCCCAAAATGAATGGAATGCACAAGAACAAGCAATCATCATAAATGGTAGAAAACCTTCACTTTGATGATTTAACATGGTATAGCAAAAGCAGAGGCTGGCCATCTTCTTTAAGATAATCACTTGAAGCAAGGATTCAAAACTTAATTCAGCTTAGTTTTAGCCAGTAAAAGAGCGAAATTATACAATTTAGGCAGGTATAATAAAATCTCCAAGCTGGATATGTCAGTCAGAAATAGCTAAAGAAACCAAAAAAACAAAATAAGGAAATAAAAAAATTAAAAACAGTTACAGCCAGAGGGATAAGCAGATGCTTAAAGCTGGTAATTGTACTCTCACTTTTTTTTTCTTGCCTGTTCATGTGTCTTTTTTTTTTTTTTAAGTATCATGATTGTCTTTCAATATAAAATTGCCAATCCAAATTGGTATTATAAATAATAATGCTTGGGGGTGTAAAGTCCTGAAATAGTTCTTTCTCACAAGTTCTATTATAGTTGAATTCCTTACATACTTATAGCAAGGGGAGTCCAACTGAAGGATATTTGTACCTGTGCTTGTTTATTAATAATATAGTAGAAACCTTCATTATATATGCTGATTCTACCATGATAGGACTATCACCCCTTTATTGGCTACTGTTTCTAAACTGAAGCTGTCTATTTTAGGTAGTCTTACTTCTTATTTCCTCTAGATGTTATCTACACCTCTAAACAAATCTGTTTCTATACCCCAAGCAAACCTGTTTCTGTGTGTGTATATATATGCTTATGTTTACATATATTTAATATATTTACATGCACACTTACATACCATATACTTGATATGTAAGTATATAAGCATACACATATATGTATTATTTTTAAGCAGTCATCTATGGTATACACAAATATAAATATATTATATTTGATATTTAAGTATGTAGGTATATACTTACATGTAAGTATTCTTTCTAAGCTTCATCCACAATATTGCTCACATAAATAGCAACATTGTACATAAAAACAATGTTTACTTTTTACTAAAGTAAAAAGTATATAAGAATATAATTATATATCAAATATAAGGGGTTAAATAGCAAGTATCCTGGGTTCTGGAGTCCTGCTTAGACTTGATCCCAATTCTGTTATTTATTAGTATGTGATGTAGAGGAAACTGCTGAATCTCTCAGTGCCTCAGTTTACTATCAATAAAATTAGGACAATCACTGATTTCTTAATGTTGTGTTAGGAATTAAACAAAATAATGTGCTTAGAACAGTGCTTAATATGTAGTCCAAAAATTTTTGTGATTATTATCTTACCCTTGGAAGGCATTCAGAATTATTAAACTGAATCAAAATTCAAGTTTCAGTATTAAGAGTTATAAATTCATTATTTGGTTACAATAAGGAATAGGCTATATCAGAAGAACCTAGTTGGTGAAGACATTTGACATCTTTATTTGATTTATGGTACCTGCATTTCCTCTCTCCAGGCAGGAGATCTTTACATGACCAAAATTGAATCTATGCACTAATGGAAAAAAGAACTATAGGTGAGATTTTTATAATTTCTTACAGATCGGAGTAAGGATATTTTTCTTTTGGTATTTATTAAAATACTACATGGGAAGAGCACAATATGTGAAAGCGTCGGCATTGGGAGAGTGAGTATGGGAAAAATAGACTAAAATATCAATAGCTTAGCAGTGAAAGCTAATGGACAGAGATTATGCACATGTTGTGGTTCCACTAAAAATTTATATAGACTTCATTTTCCTCAAACTCCTTGCAGGGTGATCTGACAATGTGAAGTTAAAAGACCTTTGGTGACCATTAAACATCTAAATTCCAAAGCATACACATAACAAGTATTCGAATCCTACATGACACAACTTATATCGTACTGAGTAAAAAGAAACTTCTCAAATCCTAAAGAAATCCACTGTAAATATGTTATCACCCTAGGTCAGTTAATGCTACTACACCAGCCTATAAATTTGGGGAACTGCCTAGAACAGTCAGCTTCCCTACCATGCCCTTGGGTAGCAATAAGCAGTTTAAGTGGAAAAGGAGAAAGTCAGTGAGCGTAAACAGGAAAGAGATCTTTTTTTGGCTGAAGCTGTCTAAATAATGGTTATTACCTAAGCTGGTAAGAATAGATATTGCTTCAGAAGTCTTGTGAGGGTTGCCATTGCTACTATATTCAGGTATTAGAGACAGCATACTGAGTTCTGAGGGGGCAAGCACTCAAAGCTAGGATGCTGAGTTGATTATTCTGATACCTGTTGATATAGTTTTTATGTTTGTCCCTGCCCAAATCTCAGATTGATATTTAATCCCCAGTGTTGGAGATGGGGACTGGTGGGAGGTGACTGGATAATGGGAGCAGATTTCTCATGAATGATGTAGCACCAACCCCCTGGTGCTCTCCTGGCAATAGTGAGTGAATTCTTGCATAATCTGGTTGTCTGAAAGTATGTGGCACCTCCCCCACCGACTCCCTCTCTCTGGCTGGCTCCTGCTTTTTCCATAGGACACGGCTGCTTTCCTTTTGCCTTCCGCCATGATTGTAAGATTTCTGAGGCCTCCCTAGAAGCCAAGCAGATGCTAGCACCACACTTCCTGTGAAGTTTACAGAACTGTGAGCCAATTAAACCTCTTCATAAACTACCCAGTCTCAGATATTTCTTCATAGCAATGCAAGAATGGCCTAATACACCTATCCCTCTTGTCTCATCACCCTGCAGAAAGATGAGACTTCATACGTAATCATGAACATGAAACATGTTTATCTCTCCCCTTCAAAGAGAAGGGTTTCTGATTATAATTTCTACTATCTCACAGGCATGGAAAACTCATCAGTTATTTCCATAATATCTACCTAGTTACAATCATTGTTTTGTTTTCCCCATCTCAGTCTGTGAATATTTATATATACTAAATATGTGAGTATATCTTTTTTAATAATTTCCATTGTATTTTATCTTAAAATATATTGTTTGAAGCTATTGCATAAATAAGCACATTTATTGTTTACATTTCAAACATAAACTATGTTCTTGTTTTTATATTTCTTTTTTTATATTATACTTTAAGTTCTGGGATACATGTACAGAACATGCAGGCTTGTTACATAGGTATACACGTGCCATGGTGATTTGTTGCACCCATCAACCCGTCATCTACATTAGGTATTTTTCCTAATGCTATCCCTCCCTTAGCCCCCCACCCCCCAACAGGCCCCGGTGTGTGATGTTCCCCTCCCTGTGTCCATGCGTGGGTATAGTCTATTTGGGACTCAAATTCTGAACTTCATTTCAGATGACTATATGTAAACACAAGTCAGAGACTGACCATCAATTTAATGATATGCTCATCCTCTGCTATTAAATGTGTTTATCGGACTTTAGAACTCGAGATTGATTAACAACTGTAGAGTAGGAATTTTTATTCATTAGCATAAGGGAAAGCTATTTATCTTTTAATAAGAATAGCATTTGCATCGTAGCTATCAATTGCTTCCTTTAAAAAATAGGTCTGATATTAAAATAAGTGATGCATCATAAAGGAAATTAAGAAATGATACATTGCAAAATATAAAAGCAAATAAAAATTGTGAGTCTGAAAATGAATCTTTAAATATTTAACTATCATATCTACATATCTAAAATCATAATATATAATACATATCTAAAATCATAAAGTAACCTTTATTACAACAAGTAGCATTTTTATTTTCAGGGGAAAAGAGGAAAAATTTTCTTGGGCCCTCACAATATGTCAGATGTCATTTATACTTATATAAATTAAGCTTCACAAAAAAACTAGAAGCAGAGATTAAGAGAAAGAACATGAATCTGGAGAAATGAAAGAGGTGATGTACGTCTGATTCTACAGTGGGGAGGACTGCGCACCAATCTCTGGCTCCATAGTCTGCTCCTTCCAATGCACAAGGGTGGAACCAGAAAACCCACGTCTAGCATTCTATATTTTTTCTCTTAATTTACTTCTCTTTTCCCAAGTGAGAGCCCCACTGCCTGTCTTCTCAAGGATCTCTATGAAAAGTACAAAGGGAGTGCGGTACATTGGCAGCAGAGATAGATGTTGAGGCAGGAGAATTTTGGAGTTCTCTGAACGCACACCAAATAAATCGCTAGCTCCTAGGCCTACAGCTAAAGACAGCCATTCTAACACAGAAGCAGTTGAGATCTTCAAAGTAAACCATAAATAAATACAAATGAAAAAGAACAACTAATCTTCTCAGCCTCTCTCCAAACTCGCAATATGTAAGTCAGCTATAGGTCATTAATAGGGAGCTCTTGTTACTGTTGGAGCAGTACGTACCTTGATGACTAAGCCTCCCTGGATATTGAGGGGCCGAGAAAAAGCAGAGGACTCAGACCCAGACTAATGGTGAGTATAATTAAAATAGGGCAAGGAAACTCAAGGCCTTACATACTTAACATTCATTCCATCAGCTGTCGTATTCTTTCAACTTCAGACCCCTATGTGCCACAAAATGATGGAGACAGGTAGCTTTAGTGGCCATCTATTCTTGTTATTTATCTAATACCGCTAAATAACAATCATTATCAAATTGCTATGCGTGCATCAATGACACTTCAAAAAGAAAGGAATTAAACCATAAAGTGACACTCAGATAATGAGTTCAGGGTTTAGGTTTGCTAACGCCGTGGATCATCTGTGAGTTCCACTTCAGGTTTACTTTAGCTTTTGCTATATAATAGACACTTCAACCTCCCTGGATCAAAAACAAATTTATACAGTAGAGATGATTTTAAGTGTAAGTTTTTGAAATTTTTGAAATGATATAAAGCTTTACATAAAGAGTTTTAAATGTAGATCATTATGAACAATAGAAAATATCCCTATTTACAAATATATTTATGCCAGAAAATGGAGATTGAAAATGTCAAATTGTCGGCAAATAAATGCAACAGAATGTGGAAGTCAGAAAAATATTATAAATGATCTGTAACAGTGTGTTGTTTTAATCCTCCAAGGACCTTTTTCACTATCAATATACCCTTATTTATGCTTAGTTAGAATCTCAACCTGCCTTCTGGTTGTAACGAAAACTATTCAATTAAAACATTGAATTTGTCCAAAAATCAGAACGTATGTCAAGTGGAAATTTAAATCACAATAACATCTGCTATTTTCCACCCCAGGTCTTTTCCACTGCTGTGACTGGCATACTATAAGTTTCTAGCACCCCCATGTGGCTTAATTGGAGTGGTTTCATAGGCATTTGAAATCAGTTGCCTGAAACTGAGAACAGTAGAACAGACTATAATTTTACACAGAAGTTCTGCTGGCATCATAAACCAAGAAAGGGAAACTTAAGTCAGCAAAATTATAAGATAAATGTATAGGTTCAATTCCTAAATTATTTGCTGTCTACTGTTCATTTTATGTGATCACTAGAAAGGATGATTTACAAGCAACTATAGCTGGTTTCATCTTTGTCAGATAGAATTCCTCAGTTTTCAAAACCAAGCATTTGACATGGGCAATAATTAAATAGATGAAAAAGAACCTAATTTTTCTCAAAAAGAAAAGCAAGTGTTTTATTACCTAGTTTGTACACATATTGATCAGGCAAATACAGTAACCCAAGTATATGTTGCAATTGCTAAATAGTTGAGCAATCCAGGTTTTGAGATTTTCCACTGTCCTCAAAGATATTTTAAGTGATTAAAGTATCTACATTTTGTCAAATCATTTGAGAACAATTTTTATACAAACAAAATTTTTCCTTCTCTAAACACATCCCTAGTTTGCAGGTAAGACGTCTTTCCAATAGTAGTGTATTTCAGAGTGCTTTCAGAGGGAAGAAGTTCAAGAGGACTATATTGTCTTTCTTAATCTGCTAATAAATGCTCCTCTTATTGAAGATAGATGTTTAAAACTGATCCATGCTTTCATCAGCCTAAGGTGCCCCAGCAGTTTCCCATGAAAAATTTAAAAGTAGATTTTAAGGACTACATTATCAAAATATTCTCAACATAAAATGAAGTTTAAAAATAATTGGCCATGATGGAGATAAAAATGTAAATTAGTCAGAGGTGAAGAGTCTGTTAAGAGAAACCTGAATGTGGCTTAATTGTATGCTGAACTGAATGTCCCAATTTAAAAACAGTAGAGCGCAAAAGGAATGCATTTTCTCCTCAATATACAGCAATGTATAGATTGATATTAAAAGGGGAAAACAGACTTCAGAATGTAGAGGAAAATTTATAGAAAACAAATATTCATTTAATTGATTAATAAAATTTAAATCTAGATAATACTTCATAATTAAATAATACACGTTCATCAATGTATACCAATTTTGTGCATTCAAAAGACCTTATTACTATGTCTGATGACAAGGGTGGGAATAGAAGATGATTAAAAAGATTAATGGATACATTTCTAAAGGTAAACATCTAAAAAAAAAAAAACCTGCCATTTGTCTTCTGGCTACGGGTACTATTTTCCAACAATGGCACTATCTACCTCATTGAATCACAATGTAGACCAAATGCTTAAGAGTAGGAAGAAGACTCTTTAAAAATTGCACTGAAGGTGTCTGGCATGAATGAGAGCAGCACTGCCTTACCTGTTGAGGCCTTTCAGTGTCTTTTCCATGTTTAAAATATCACGCATCTTATACAAAAACCACTTGTCAATGTATGTGAGCTTCTCAATCTCATCAAGGGACATGTTGTCATCAATGGCCTGCCAAGAGGAGAAGAGATACTTTCTTTGGCAAACATTTTTCTAAATGTCTTATTTGGTTTAAAATACATAGCAGTCATGCCTCTGTGTGTTATTTAGAGAGCCCGAGACTGTAGACTGAGTTACAAAACATGAAACTGACATCACTGACATTCCTTCCAATAAACATAAAGATGGTGCCAACTATATCCACAAATGGCATACAGAGTAGGTGCTTGCCTTGAGTGGTGTGTTCTCAGAAAAATCTCCTAACAGGTTTTGACTCGCTCCTCTTTATTTGATTGTGTTACCCATTATACCCTAAATTTGGTACATCTCTTTGGAATTAAAGAAAGTCTCTTGAAACTACAGTTAAGCCAAATTGGTAAGAAAATCTAGAATTAATATAATGATCTCTTAACTTGTAGTGTTGATAGTTATCTTGTAGGAGATAGCATATTTTTATCACCTCACTCCACATTCACACAAACATACAATAGTCAGTGAGAATTTATGGGTCGGATCTGGCTTGGCTTTATTCCTCCAGAATATTTCCTCACAGAGGACTTCAAATAAAAAATTGTTTTGAATCAGTCACTATGATTTTTGTGCTAAGGCAGGCATTTTTTAAAATCCTAATATATTCCAAAACAATGTAGTAATAACTTCTGTTCTGATAGGCAGCTCAGCCTCTTCCTCAAGCTTACTTTATCAATTTCTCAAAAGTAAAACTACAACTATGGGTCATTAAGCTGAGTAGAAAATTTAACTGAAAAAAGAGATAAACTCTCAAAACCAAAATCTTTATACAAAAAGATGTCTACTCTTATTCTTGTATGTGTGTATGTGTACGTGTATATACCCTGTGAAAAATCTGAAAATATTCCAGAACAACATATTTTAGAATAACACACTGCGTTTTTAAGACCCATTAAGAAATATATGCAACTAGTAACTCTGCTGGTATATTTCAGCCCAGGGAGCTTACTTTTCTTAAAGCTTTTACATAATGATAGTATCAGAGAGACCATGATTATAATTGTTGAGATATGGCATGGCTCATAATTTTGTTGACTAGAGTAAGATGACATTTAACAGAAATACTCAAAGCCATGTTCATTTCCTAGTCAATGTATGTTTCTTTTGTTTAATTCTCCCTGTAATTACAGTCAGGTTCCCAAAGACTTAATATTCTGTCTTACTTTCTAAGTGATTAAAGGCACAATTAGCTGTCGGCCATCTACACTGTGAGGTGGAGAGAACCTTAAGTTACTGAAACTTTTAAGAGATCAAAGGAGGTTTTCACACAAGCACATACAGTGAGGGAGGGCCTAGAATCCTGTAGTCATTTCACTGGAAGGAAGGAAAGGACTACAGTCAAATCCATGATTTCTTTCTTTTATATATATATATATACTTTAAGTTCTGGGATACATGTGCAGGACGTGCAGGTTTGTTACATAGGTATACACGGGCCATGATGGTTTGCTGCACCCATCAACCTGTCATCTACATTAGGTATTTCTCCTAGTGCTATGCATCCCCTACCTCCCCACCCCCCGACAGGCCCCGGTGTGAAATGTTCCCCTCCCTGTGCTCATATGTTCTCATTGTTCCACTCCCACTTATGAGTGAGAACATGTGGTACTTGGTTTTCTGTTCCTGTGTTAGTTTGCTGAGAATGATGGTTTCCAGCTTCATCCATGTCCCTGCAAAGGACATGAATTCATCCTTTTTTATGGCTGCATAGTATTCCATGGTGTATATGTGCCACATTTAAAAGCTCATCATCACTGGTCATTAGAGAAATGCAAATCAAAACCACAATGAGATACCATCTCATGCTAGTTAGAATGGCTGTCATTAAAAATTCAGGAAACAACAGATCCTGGAGAGGATGCTGAGAAATAGGAATACTTTTACACAGCTGGTGGGAGTGTAAATTAGTTCAACCACTGTGAAAGACAGTGTGGCATTTCCTCAAGGATCTAGATCCAGAAATACCATTTGACCCAGCAATCCCATTACTGGGTATATACCCAAAGGATTATAAATCATTCTACTATAGAGACACATGCACACGTATGTTTATTGCAGCACTATTCGTAATACCAAAGACTTGGAACCAACCCAAACGCCCATCAATGATAGACTGGATAAAAAAAAAAATCCATGATTTCTCAACAGCAAGCAAGATCCTGCCAGTCTTAAGACCTCATCTCCAAGCACTGCAGCTTTGCTATGTAACATCACTGTAATGAAGTCTATAATGACCCCCAAACAAGTTTGAGGTTACTTTAATGTTCCAAAAATCAAAAATAATGCCCCGCATTCTCCCCAAATCAAAAGAGGTGATGATCCAGTCATCCTGAAATAAGACTGCTGTAAAAATCAGACCTCAGAGCAAGTTGCTCTTTCTAAGACTCATGAAAGCAAGCAAAGATTTACACACTCCCTTCATTCTTTTTCCCCTTCAGCCCTCCACCGTCCTTACACTCTCTGTCAAAATCACCAAGTTCCCGGCTGCTGTTGAAATGAACAGTAATGATGACCTCTAACAAACAGAAATCAGTTCCTTCTCCCAGCACTCGAGCAGGCAATAATTTACACGCAGCCCCTGCACTTCTTGCTCATACATAGGGTACCCTGTGAAAGAAAGAACCTCCACACATTTTTCCCAGATTCTCATCTTTTATAAGTCTGTTAGAAAAGAATGAGAGATTTGCTTGAGTTTTACAGCTTAGCTGGGAACTTGGAAATGCTTGCCTTTTTCATCTCCTTCAAAGTGGCAGAAACATGATTGCTAGACTTAAGGAAAAAATCTATTTACTGTCCTTTGCCTGAGAAAAAAATTTTATATATATATATACACACACACACACACATATGAATGTCATGAGCTGCTTCTTAAATAAAAGACTGAAATAGGGATAATAAATGATGAAGGTGAAATGGCTTTCTAAAATAACTTCTTATCACTGCTATCCCACCCGCCACCGCCAGAGAAAAATTCTAATTACCTTGAAACTCAACATGGGAAAATGTCCATCAAGAGATAATAGCAACTCCCAGAATTTCAGTAGGGCTTAAATATTTTCCATTTAGAAACCATAAGAGCGAGGAGAATATACATTGGATGCAATTAAGGAAATATCCCTTCCTCTCCTTCAGGTCTCTTAAGGACTCAAAATATGGACATAAAAGTTGCGATGAGTTCAAAATCACTAACAACATTTTTCTGTTTCTACACAGGCAAATTACAAAGACGGGAATCCTTTTAAAGAGAAAGTTCATGTTTTCACCGACTCATCCCACATGCACACACATACACACACACAAACATAAAATGGTCAGTAGAGCTTTGTAGAACCAGTGCGGTTTGATACTGTTGGAGGATTAACGCTTGTGCTTCCTTAAATGTCAAAAAGCCTTTCAGGGATTTCTGACCAGACAGATTCCAGCTGCCCAAGTCACCTTTTATAAAATCAGATGAGCTGAAACTTCAAAACTCTAAGCACAGTAAATATAAAAGTAGATTAACATGGCATTTAATTTGCATGAGAAGCAAGTAGTGGAGGGAAGTGAGAAATGTAGGGCCTTTTTTCCTGAAAGTAAGACCAATAAAATAATTACATGGAAAACCCTATAATCATGTGGGCCTTTATAGTCTGTTGCTGTTTTTTAAACACAGAAAGAGAAGCAAATAAATTAAGATTATTCTAGACTCAAGTGGCACATACTAAGGGACATTATTGTATGCACCTTCCTTTCTACAATACAATTTTACACATTCAAGGAACATGTAATAAAGTTAATAGTAAAGGACAAGTCAATATAGTCAAATCTACTTGAGTATTAGTACTAAGTATACTTAAAAAGGGGGACATTTTATCTATTTAATCATCCTTTAAAACTGCAATTTGCCCTTAAATCCAGGCTTAAAGTCAAATAAAAATGATAATTTATCATTAATTGTAAAAGACTCTAATGAAATCTATAGATGTTTCCAGTTTAATACTATAAAAGAATTAAAAATTTTCCAAAAATCCCTGATTTAAAACCACTTTGTGATTCAGTTTTATTTTAATGTCCAGACTGACTACATTCTGGAAAAGCAACTAGTAGCTGTGGGCCCCTTGTAACATCTTACCTTGGCAATGGCATAGATACGCGTGCTGCTTGGTTCAGACAACTCTTTTCTAAGATCTAAATTAGATGGCCATTCTTTGTTCATTGGGAGACGGGGAGTGAAACCTTCTATAGATGGGTGGCACATCCGTAAAGCTTTCTGGAAACTCTCCTCAAAGGTACGACCAATAGCCATGACCTGTAATACATGTTTAAGACCTCATATTGAAAGAAAGAGCTTATGTATCTTTAATTTGTAACTGAACTGGACGTAAAATATATTTTATAAAACAAATAAGAACAAAAAATATATCATAAAGCCTCTCAAATTAAAAAAAAAAAAAGGTGTTCCTTTTTTTCTTCCTCTCTCACTTTCTCCATGGTTTTGGTATAATGCATCTTCATTAGGTCAGTCTTTTACCACTCAGGGAGTTCAGCTGTATTTGCTGAGATTGATGAGGAAATCACCTGTACCTGCTCTGGACCATAGTATTAAAATAAGAAATTCAAGGTTGAAGCATAGAGACCTTTTCTTAGTAAGATCTTGCTTTATGCGCATGTTCTTTAGAATGGAAGGCAAATAAAAAGAAACCAGAAATATATTAACACTGAAACAGAAACTATTTGTAAATGAGTATCAGTCAGTATTCAAGACAGGTTGGCTTTCCTTACAGCTAAGCATTAATATTAATAGAACCTTGAGAGTCATAACAAATACTGATGATTATGATTTTGAACGTAGGAGGAGACTAAACTTTCTGTGACAAATTCAATGTGTCTTTCCACAATCTTTACAGCTCATCATACACTAATCAATTAGAAAAATTATGTGGTGATTTAGTTTGGACAAGTTGCATGTCAGAACTAAACTTAAATTGATCTTGCAACCTACCCAGTTATTTTCGCTGGATAAACATTGTTTGAATCTTTTCATAGAATAATAGATTGCTATGCATTTTTGGTCTCCAATTTAAAATAATAGCAGTCATAATGCTATTTTCAGTAAACTTTTGTGATTCCTCAAATAGACTCAAATTACCACTAATGTCAGTTTAGGAAATCTTCATGTCAATTATGTGACAAGATACATATTCAATGATCACTAAAGCCAAACAGATAACCTTTTCACACTGTTCCAAATTTAATTAGAAATAAGGGAAAATTTACAAGAGCAGGAATAAACAACCTGTTAATGCAATTCAGATATGCAATTTGCAAGTCATAGTGGTATCTTGAAGAGTTAGACAATATGTTTATAGATTGTCTAGCCTGGGCATGGAAAAGACTGCCAGAAATCAGACATTTTATTGTTCTGTAAAATTAAGGAAATATTTTGGGTATATTTAAGAAAATTTGAAGTATTACATATTTAAAATTTATCTGAAATTAGTTCTATAAGTAACTCTCCATATATTTTTATTATTCTTAAGCACAATCTATATAATGGTACATGGGATCCATTCAATTAAAAAAAAAACGTGTATAACAAAGGAATATGTATCTATAAAT
The DNA here is from genome assembly GCF_000001405.40 of Homo sapiens. Classification (NCBI taxonomy): domain Eukaryota; kingdom Metazoa; phylum Chordata; class Mammalia; order Primates; family Hominidae; genus Homo; species Homo sapiens. Next base: position 210,610,806 of record NC_000002.12, on the reverse strand, counting down.
GTTTGCTCAAAAATTGTGCTTTTCAATACTCTCTCTATATATTTTTGCTTTTTGAAACAGGTTCTCACTCTGTTACCCAGGCTGGAGTGTAGCGGCACTATAGGGCTCACTACAGACTGGACCCCCTGGGCTCAAGTCGTCCTCCCACCACATTTGCCCTATACTATTAAAATGCACCTTCCTTGAGTGACTATTTCACATTTTCCAGTGGAATGACTATAATGGGCTTCCTCAACCCTATTCTACTATATTCTCATAGCATCTATATATAAGTACTATCTTTTAATATTTACCAGAGATTAATAATTCATTGTCTATTCGGGTCAGTTTAGGTATTCTGAATTTACCAACTGCAGACAATGTATCTCAATTATCTATAATCTATTCCTTTTTTAAATCCTCCCAGTGTCTTGCGTTTAGTAAGAACTCAGGAAATGTTTGCTCACTTTTTGAACTAAATGTAAGGTGTTAGACAACAAAACTCCCCCCTACCTTTTATTTTTTGTTTGACAACAAAATCCCTCAGATAAGAAGCCCCAAATGAAAATATTACATAATTTTCTCAAGTTCCTTGAACTACCAATTTTATGGTGAACATTATTTAAAAAGGACCCTTCCCATGAAATGTAAACTAAATAACAGTTGTTTATTTGGTGCAAACACTAGCAACATAGATTTTCATGGTATTTGCGTTCTATTTCTTTTGTACACTAAAAAGTATGATTTGAAAAATAAGATTTAAAACAACTATAATGGAGAAAAAACTAATATTTAGTGTTTTACAACTAGTAAGACATTTTAATTTAAAAGGCCAATTTGTTGATTTGTTACTACTTTAAAATCTTTCATTAGTATCTTACAAATTAAGGAAGCCAAAATAGAAATAATTCTGCCTTTCATGTGTGAATATGATAGACCAGTAAAGCATTTCTTTTTCTTTTTCCCTGTATTGGTGACAGATTTAATCTATATTTTCTGTGATTAGTGACATGCATTTCTGAAATGGCTGGCCTGGGTTTAGGCTATAATCTGTGTTATGGGACAAATAAAGAACAATATGGAAAAATATGTCATAAACAGCCTTTTGCTCTGTACTCTAATCAACTTAGATACATAGACTAAAAGCTCCCACACTGGCCACAACAGAAATAGAGATGAGATACAGATAAACTAAGATAAATGGTAGATAGACAAATGATAGAGAAAGACTGAGATTTGTTCATACTTCAGCACTCATCTACCCCATGCAACATTTATGAATACTAATTTAATAATAACAATAATGATGGATTACATTTATTAAGAGGGGGTATTATAAGAATCCTGCAAGGTAGGTATTATTATTTCTATTTTATAGGTGTGGATCCTGAAACTCAGTCTTGCCTGAGAGTCTGTAGCTAATAAGTGGCAATGCCAAGAGTAATATCCAAGTCCAGCTGGTTCCAAGTTTCATGTTTTCTCCACTATCCCAAACCTTCTGGATGCAGAAAATGATTAGGACTTGGTGGAAGGAGGCAAGGGAGTGAATCTCAGCAGAGATATGAATTCCTTTCTTTCCTCTCACACAGAAGAACACTGCATCTTTGAAGATGCAATAATCAAAGGCTAACTTTAATTTCAAATAGTATAACAGCACATTCTAAAAAATCTTCTAAAGATGTTAAAAGCTTAGAACTTTTTAGTATAATTAAAGAGGGCTTAATAATCTACTATGCTCATATCAATTTAGAATTTTAGAGCTGGAAGGATCCTGAGAGATGAACTAGTCCAGCCTCTTCTTTTATAGATGTGGGGAATGAGGTCTCAGGAAGTTAGAGCCACAATTTGCATGAATGGACTAAAGTTGAATTCTTAAGCTCAGTTCAGTGGTCTTTTTGATATATTATATTCTATATTACTTTCTTGATTTGGTTATAAAATATATTACAACTCAGTTATATGTATATGAATGTGTTTTCATATGTGTATCTATACTATATAGCCAGATATATGGCCTCACCTTTTGAATAGGAAGACCTTCAAATCCAGCAAAATGGCCATGTAACATATGTAATATGTAAACAATCACATAGAGACTGTTAGCATATTAGTATGCTAATATTCAGGCAACTTTAACACTGTCAATTGCACCTTTAACACTGTCCATGTGTTGATGGTATCCAGGCAACTTTAACACTGTCAATGGTGTCACAAATTTAACAAAATAACTGAGAACAAGAAGAAAAGCGTAATAAACCAAGGACTCACCTCTCCTACACTTTTCATAGAGCTACCAATTCGGCTAGATGTTCCATGAAAACGGTCAAGATCCCAGCGGGGAATCTTGGTGACCATGTAATCCAGGCTAGGTTCAAAACAGGCTGATGTCTTCCCGGATACGACGTTCTTAATTTCTGGAAGTGGGATTCCTAGGGCAATCTTTGCAGCAATGAATGCCAATGGGTAGCTATAAAAAGAAGACAAATTTATTTTTTTTTCTTCGAGCAATTATTGAAAACAGACCAAAACATAAATTGGTCTTTCTTAAAATTTCTGGTATTATTCTACTTCAGGGTATAAGACACTTGATTCTCTGTTCTGCATCAATATTTAGTAGCCACTTGCGGAATAATAGGAGTCATGATACAAAGTATAGAGGCACAGGTCACAGGAGAATTTACTCTCTGTGCACTACATGCATTGCTACAACGCTCAACCTTCACCTCTTCAACCCAAAATCGATAGCTTTATTGATAAATAAAGTTTAACCTTTATTTGTATTTAACCTCCACTAAGATGAGAATCTGCAAAATATTTTTTGAGAAAATATATACATATCTGTACATATACATATCTGTACCTAAGAATACAGTGGAGTTAGCTAGTACAAGAGAGTACATAATGGTCAGAAAATGTAGGCATTTCAAGTTTGGGTCCTTGCTCTGTCTCCAAATTATCTTTGAACTTTGGGCTCCTTACAAAACTAACACTTTGAGAACTTGACTATCTTCATCCAGAATGTCAGTTTGGGTTATTCTGTTTGAGAAAATAATTCATAGAACTATAGAATTAAAAATGAGTTCTTTAGTACAACTTCCACCTAACAAATGAGGAAACTGATAAAGACAATGAGTGATGTGCTCAAAATCACACGGTCAACAGAAGAACCAAGTGAGAATGCAGAATTGTGACTCCTGTACAGGGCAACATGCCTTTCACCACTCCACGCAGTGCTGTGGAACTACGTAAAAAAAATATAAAGAAGTAAATATTGTGTTCATTTAAATGCCATAATTTAAGTGTAAGGTGCTAAATATATTATTAGAAACCAAAGGTTTTGATTACCTTTCCCTCCAATCATGCCTGCTAGTGGCTGTTACATAGACAGCAGATGTATTTGTTTGGTTGTAACAGTTACTTGTGAAAAAATTCCGCACTGTTCAGTCTTGTGGAGTTTTGATAAAATAAAAGTAATGTGTATTGCATGCTTGAGTCAAGTGAGCTATATTTTCTGTCAACTATTTGCTATAGGGCTATACACCTGAAGAAAACAGCTGAAGACTAAAATTAAGGATTAATCTGCACTTTTAACAACATCTGCAAAGTGCAATTAGGAAGCAGATTTTTCACAGCCTGCTTTAGCCACCTAGATTTTGATTCGTTTAGATTAGCCTGCAAACAAAGCCAGCTAGCAATATAATTTACCTCAATCTGGCAACAAGCTCATTAATAATCATGTCCTCAGGGTGCTATAAATGATTTGGAGCTAACATACAGAAAAAGGGAACATAGTTTGTAAATGCAGTACAGTCTTCCACTATCTGTCAATTTTTCATTTCTATCTGAAAAGAATCTGCAAACCCATGGTCAATTATTCTGGTCTTACCCAGTGGCTTTTGAGGCCAGAGCAGAGCTTCGGGACAGTCTGGCATTCACTTCAATGATGCAGTATTCCATTGAGGTAGGATGAAGGGCAAACTGAATGTTGCATTCACCCACAATGCCCAAGTGGCGAACAACATTGATTGAAGTACGTCTCAACATCTGAAACTCGGCATTGGAGAGTGTCTGGGCAGGAGCCACAACAACTGAGTCACCTATATATCCAAGAAGCACTCATTACTTGGTGGCATATTGAAATAACCAACTTCAGCGACTTAACCATCTACTTGCACGATGCAAGACATAGAACAGTCTGAGGGTTTGTTGGGATATATATGTGATATCAGGTATTCCCCCAATTCCTGTTTTGCCCATATTACTCTGATACAGTACTTTTAGAAACCTCTCTAACCTTTCCCAAGTTCATCTATCTAGTAAGTAGCTATCAAGGCTTCAATCGTCTACTTACTAGATTGACTTCAACTTCCCTGCTCTTCATCTCAAATTATTTCTGAAGTTCTTCCTTTCATTGAATATTATCACTCAGACTGGCTCATCAGCTGGCTTTCTGTATCTCATCCCTTTCCATCTTCACTTCCCTCATCATAGCCCCTTATATCTGCAATCTTAGTCTCCATCCCTTCTGCCTTCAAACACGCTCAGATCTTCACTGCCTCCGGAAGTCTTCTCCCAACATTGCCAGACAACCATACAAAGCTTCTCTCTCATTCTTTACATGAATGAGCTTCTTGAAAGTTTGCCAATTCTGCTTACCACTTGATACCATGTAATTCCTTTTAATAGAGCTCACAGAACTGACTTTGCAATGAAATTGTTCTCTTGGACATCCAAAAGAGCCAAATTAAATAATCAGTCTTGGTCTTGCATAGCATTTGATACTGCCAAAAACAAAGCTCTTTTATAAAATAGTTCTTGCATTGGCTTAGTTGGTACAGTACTACCTGATTTTCCTCTTAACTCTTTATTCTCCCCTTCTATCTTCAACAGTAATACTTCCTCTTTCCCCTGCCCTATAAATCTAAATGTTTCCCAGAGTTCAAAGTTCAACCCTATTCTCTCCTCTTTCTATACCTATGTCCTTGAATACTTTGTCTATGCCTACAACTTCAATTTCCCCTTTTATGCCAACAGTTTCCAGTGTCTTTGTATCAACTTATTTATTTCTATTTTATTTCTTAAATTCCATCTCCACATTCTCAACTCCCTTTTTTGACAGCTCTGCTCACACCCCAAATTTAGCACTTTTAAATCCTAAGTTATCATCTTTGCCCTCTTATCTAACTAGTGTACTTTTCTGAAAAACTTATTTCTATTATTGTGCCTATTTTCTCATTTACTGGGTGATTACCAGCTCAGTCTGCTTTAAACTGTCTCAACCTCCCTTCTTATTTCTCAACACTAAGTTTTATGGATCTTATTTCTACCATATTGCTTACCTTTGGCTCTTCCTCAATTAACTCAGTGTAATATCCGCCTTACTTCACAGGGTTTGTGTGAAGATCAAATTAAATGTGAGAACATTTTCAATACTGTAAAATACTATGCTTGTCCAAAATGTTATCACTAGTCTGTCAACTAGAAATAGTAATTTAAAGGCAACAACTTTATAAAGACTGCCTTGGCCATCAAAGACATGAACTGAAAGCATTACTATAGTTCTTGAAGATACTTTGCCTACCTGTGTGAACACCCATGGCATCAACATTTTCCATGTTACAGACAGTGACACAATTGTCATCAGCATCTCGAACCACTTCATATTCTATTTCTTTCCAACCTGTCACTGACTTCTCCACCAGAATTTGGTTGGTCATAGCAAAGGCCTAGAAATTGGTGACAAAAGATATCAAAGAGTAAGAAAAAGCACTGGCTTCAACAAGGATATTTGGCAAAATACCCTGGCATAAATCCTGGTCAGCACTGAACTCTCAAACCCCGTCTCCATTCTCCCCTGCACAGAAGGCACAATGTGTCAGAAAATCAGTGAGGTACTAGGAATAGCATCCTGCAGTGAATATGCTTGATTTACATTATTGAGGCTTGCCATTCAAAGTGCTGATATGACAGTAAATCAAACTAATTTAGGAAAAAGAGAAAATAATTGAGCAATCAGGCAGAGGGAAATGAAATTATTTCAGCAGCTAGGCTTCTGTGAAACCAGAAAATGTGATAAGTGTGAATAAATATGGAAAAATAAGTCTAAAGACTCTGGCTCTCTCTAAAATAGCTGAGGGTGCTTTGTACAGTGACACACACAATAAAAGTTAGTTGATGTTGATGAGGAGGAGAAAGGAGATGATGATGGTTGTAAACGGTTAGCCAAGATGGCATATAAAACTTGAGAATTAGAAGAATCATATGGGACTATTATTATGGTTAATCACTGCCTAAATGCTTAAATACTCTGAGTCATATATCATGTATGCCTGATTAGACAGATATGAATTAGCATAATTATAATTTCATATTTACGGCACACCCACAATGGGTAGAATACTGAACCCAAAATAGGAAAGTGGTAATCTTTGACCTTAGGACATGCAGTGGCTGATAATCCAAGGGAGAAATGTCTTATTGTCTTATAATATATTTGATTTGGATTGACAGTGAAAGGGAAAGCAGTTTGAATTTTTTCAAATTATTAATAGGCATTAAAATAATAATTTAATGTAAGTTTTTCTGTAATGTGCCTTAATAGGATTTTTTTAAACTTCAGTCATCACTACAGGCTCCAGCACGTGCAAATGAAAATGTGACACATTTGTCCCCACAGCTGCCCACGATGAGGTTCTCAAAGTGGTTAGAAAATTCAGTAGCCAATGTTAACAATTTAATAATGATTAATTCATCATTCCGGTTGCCTGCTAAAAGAAGAAATCTAGGAAACAAAGGGTATAAATTTGGAAAAGTATTTTGCATTCTAATGAAGTAAAATGGATATTTAGATACAGGGAAAATTTGAAATTATCTTCACCTGTTTCCTCAGCTTATTTTTATTTTTATTTTTTGAAGTCTTCGATTTTATGTAAAAAGTTAATTTAGGGACCTGGATAAGTTAATGCAGCTTTTAATGGTGCTAATTATAACCTCAAGAGAATAGGGGATTGTTTAGGACATAATGATATGACTAATTATTCTCAAGGGAAGAGCGAGGGTTTTTTTCAACAAGAAAAACCATTTAAGGGACTATTGATTATTTGAGTACAATATAAATAATTGAAAGCTATTTCATTCCAAAATTCTCTTTATTATAAACTTTCTTACATGAAAAGTTCAGTCTTCAGATTGGTTTCTTATAGAGTAAAAAAATTAATAGAGAATATGTATACACTGTCACAATTGGCAGTTATGAAGTTGTTAATATTGAAAATATTTGGAGCCTCTAACATGCTAGAGGAAATAAACTTTCTATCTTCAAAAACATGTTTTTGCTCTAAATATGTGATTCATATGTCCAGAATGGTAACAAGAAACATTTATGTGAGGTATGTTTCCCTTTTTTGTAATTTTCACAACTTTAGAAAAACGAAACCCAAGTTGTTTATATGTAAGTCTGCCATTGTAGTTATTTAAATATGCTGAATTGTACTTATCTGTTTTCAAAATTCTATGTCAACAATTCAAGGGTCTCATTTCACTTCAGTTCAAAAAGTAAGTAAAGATGAAGCAATAAGCTGTCCGTGAGCTATTTCCTAAATAATTCCCAAAATAGCCCTTACAGTAATTCTGTCAAATTCACTTCTATGACTGCCATGTAAGTTACACAGGTTTCTTGGCTGCACGTGTAATCATTCTTCAAAGACATTATTGAACTCCTGGTATTTCCAGGCACTGTTCTATTTTGTGGAAATAGAGTATAGACAAAAGTCTCTGTTTTCCTGGAGCATATTTTCTGCATTAGTCTCTAATTTAGTTTTTGTAGCATAGCTTACTTTTCTCAAGAGTTTTCCTCTAACATGCAAAGAAAGAAGTAGTTCCTAATATGTTAAAGTGATTTTGATAGAAAATAAATTATAAACCCTCAAATCTCTCGTGTTTTTATGAGTATATGGCAGTTGGTGGAGTTCAGTCATTTACTGTATTGAGTGGTTTATACCATGTATATTTTAGACACCTTAATTTTGAGTAAAGTCAAACTACTCAATGTGCTTTGTTTCACTTTCTGGATGTCACCCATGCCAGCCACATTATTTCTAAAAAATTAAAAATGAGACATTATGTCCTATTTTTCCTTAACCACTAAAACATATTTTAGCATTTTAAATATTTGAGAGTAGATTTTGAAACAAAGGAAGAAGGAGTTGAATTAAGTTCATCTCCTTGAAGTCAATAGATTGTACTATAAAAGTGGAATTTGAGGTAAAGTGACCACTGGTTTACCTTGAACCATGTGGTTTATCATTGCATCCTGGCATGAAGAGTTGCACTGCATGCTCTCGCAAAAGTGTCATCTTTTGGAATACGCTTTTGGAGAACATGATCATGATTTAATAAAGAAAATGTAATTTCTCATCTACATAACTTTCTCTAGTTGAAAAGGTCTATCAAGCCAGTTTTTTTGGTTGGTAAGAATATTGTCTACAAAAATACATACCTTTGTGCTGAGGTCCATCAAAGTCTCTCTGTTGGGACAGATGCCTGAGCCTAACCCACCCAGTGCATAGGCGGAACGGATCATCACTGGGTAGCCAATGGTGTCTGCTGCCTTCAGTGCATCCTCAATCTGTCAACAAGAACAAGGACTCAACATTTTAAAAGCTGAGCACACTGGCAGAACAGACCACACCAAGAGAGTCTGGCAATCAGGTAAACCAACTTATGTGGGGAGAGTGAATCTAGAAATGTTCTATTATTCCCTCATCTCATTCTGAAAAGCAAGTGTTGTTACTCAAATGTTAAGTAAAATTCTAGAAGGGAGGATATATATATATATATCTTCTAAGAAATACACTTTTGCGGTAAATTTTATCCTGTCCTATTGAAACAGAACCATGGTCAAAGCAGAAATAATCATCATTCATTTGAGAATGGCAGCCATATTGAATTATTGGATTTTTACGATTTTTACATGCAGCTTAAAAGTCTCTGTCTTAATGAAACCAGGTTCTCTGCTGCTGAAGCTAGCTTGATGTTACCACAATAAGCCATTAGGAACACTGTATATAAATGGATTTTTCATTTTCAAGTTCAGTCTGAGCATAGTCCCAGAAGCTTGGAATTCTTTTTTTTAACTTACAGAATACAACATATGGTGGCTATATTTTTCTGTCATGGAATATTATTACACTACCAATGGGAATGTAATTACACCTTTCCCATATGCCTGTTTCTTTTCCTGAGGAAGCAAGGACATAATTAAATCTGGCAATGAAAGAACAAATGTATGGCAAGAGCTTCCCAAATTGTGCAGCAGAGTTATCCTGGGATTATTTGATTGACAAGTTTGTAACACAAAAGATACTTGGTAGCATTGTCTTCTGAAACATACATAACCCATTTTTAGTTGTCCCAGCAGTACCTGCTTTATTCCTAAGGGTGTGCCTGTTTCTACCATGGAGAAGTTGGATTTAACACTGCCCCTAGCACCTCCACTTCACCAGCTATGAGCCTGAAGTCAAAAATAAAGTCAGGGGCAAAAACAGATATAAAGTGAGTTGATTCTTTTTCCTGGTAACTGTTAATAGCTTATTGATAGGCATAAGGGGCAATGGAAATAAATAACAGAAAAGCAAATCTTCCTTAAATATCTAAACTACAGGTTTTCCAGTCATTTTAATGACTGGATCCATTTTATTCTAAAATGTTTATTTTATTTAAAAAAAATTTAAAGCAAATTTCTCATTTGCAGGGAATTCACACATGCAAAATATGTGATTGATCCCAGAAACAAGGTAAAAATTGCTTTGTTATTGCAAGTTGGTATGGTTCTTAGTTTCAGTTCAGGAGATCTGAGATTCATTGGCACTTCAAGCCTTGATAAACCACTTCATCTCTGGACTTCTGTTTCTCTTTGCATAAAGTAAAATGTTAATACCTATAATTTCAGCATTGAGTGCTGTAATACACAATATTTCTAAACTATTAACACAATTCTAGAAGAAAATGCATGCAAGTATAATAATCTTAACTATTATTATTAGGCATGAAAAATCATTCTCCCTACAACACAAGACAAATAATGCCCTTGTTTTTCCAAAGCAAAGAATCCTTACCGATTCCACTGCAAAACTTGGAGCAATCTTTTCATTGATCTCATTTAGTTTATCTGAAAACAGCTGCCTGTCTTCCGTAGCCATAATGGACTCAACTGAAGTTCCCAGGACTTTCACACCATATTCCTTGAGCACACCTCTCTTGAATAGTTCCACTCCTAAAGAAGAACCAAATAGGATTAGTTTTTAAAATCTTGAATTTTGTGCCTTTTTTAATAGACAACTGAATACAACTACTTTTTTAATCTTAAAATCCGAGAAGTTACCACTGTCTACAATAGAATTGCACTTAGGGAAAAAAATTGAAATAAAAATTCTGAAGACGGTCTGACAAAATATGTTACTGATGCTACTTTTACTTATATTACCATCTTCTGAAAATCATTTTTATCCTTATTAATAAAAGTCATAGTATTATACTGAGCCTTAAGATTTCAATATATTCCCTTTCCTCCTAAAGTCCATTTCTATAATGAGATTCTATAATTTAAAAAATCCCAAATATATGAGTACCTACCTGGGCTAAAAAATTATCCTCAAAATGGTTTGTGTTTCCACTACCTAGCCACCTAATTTTGCCTTAGTCCTTTTTTTTTTTTTGACATACAAGTTATATCACCAATTGCTTACCCAAACTAGCTAAAGAGACTCTTATTCATGATCCAGTTCCAAAGATTTGAAGAATTTTAAAGAGAACAAAGCAGTAGACTCAGCAGAAGTATGAAGTAATAGTAGAAAGACTGATCTATGCTATCATGAAAATGTGTTTGAGAGGAAATTGCTGCAGGGCTGATACCTAAGAGCACTTAACCAATGTTAATTCTCATTTTTCATTCATAATAGTTCTCAAGACCTCAATAGCAACAGAGAAAAGCAATATCCTGCGATAGAGTAGAGAAATGCAAGAAACCTACTGGCCACTCTGGAGCATTAAAGTGAAAGGTTTCTTTGTCTATCAGCTATTTTGTGAAATTAACTAGTAGTATTCATCATATGACTATATTAAGTGGCTGTTTGCTAACTGCTTTCTCACACAGTAGAGGAAAGGTTTTATGAACACACAAAGCACAATTGTTAGATGAGCTCAAATAAAATACATTACACAGCAGTGCATATGTCAAAACTCTGCAATTAAGCTTATAAGAACTCACCACAGTTCAGAGCTGTCTGGCCACCCATGCCCAGAATTAACCCATCTGGCTGTTCTGCCTTGATGACCTCTGTGACAAACTGAGGGGTGATGGGAAGAAAGTAGACAGTATCCGCTTGCTTTAAGCCCACCTCATTGGTCTGGACTGATGCAATGTTTGGGTTCATCAGAACAGTTTTGACATTTTCTTCCTGAAAGAAACAAAAGAATCCAGTACATGAATATATGGTCTAAAGAAGAGAATGACCACACTTAAATAAAAAGACATGGGGTAACTAAGCTTTTAGGTTATCTGTGGGCCGTAGAGATCCGTAACAGGACTAGTGAATGGAAGTTAAAGGAAGACAAGCATTTGGTCAAAGAAATGAAGAAATTCTTGAAAATGAAACTATCCAAAAGAATTGGCTGTCTCATGAAGATCGCCATGAGGTGATCTTTGCCACTGTTGGCAAAGCTGGAGACCATTTCTATATAATTGGTCTAGAGAGCCACAAATATTACTGAACCCTGTAGTTCAATCAACCTTAAAAGAATAACATATTCCAAAAATTTTAAATTAGTAAATATAAAATGGAACTAGAGGCAATACGAAAGCTGCTTATAATTATGTGGTCAATTTTAGAGTATGTGTCATGTGGCAATGAGAAAAATGTATATTCTGTTGTTTTGGGGTGGAGAGTTCTTACAAAGGTCTATCAGATCCATTTGGTCCAATGTCAAGTTTAGGTCCTGAATATCTTTGTTAAATTTCTGCCTCAATGATTTGTTTAATACTATCAGTGGAGTGTTGATACCTCCCACTATTATTGTGTGGGAGTCTAAGTCTCTTTGCAGGTCTCTAAGAACTTGCTTTATGAAACTGGGTGCTCCTGTGTTGGGTGCATATATATTTAGGATAGTTAGATCTTCTTCTTGAATTGAACCCATTACTATTACATAATGCCCTTCTTTGTCTGTTTTTAAATCCTCGTTCATTTGAAATCTGTTTTTTCTGAAATTAGGATTGTATCCCCTTTTTTTTTCTGTTTTCCATTTGCTTGGTAGATTTTCCTCTATCCCTTTATTTTGAGCGCATGGGTGTCACTACATGTGAGATGGGTATCTTGAAGACAGCATACCATTGGGTTTTGCTTTTTTATCCAGCTTGCCACTCCATTCCTTTTAAGTGGGACATTTAGCCTGTTTATATTCAAGGTTAGTATTGATATGTGGATTTGATCCTGCCATTGTGCTATTAGCTGGTTATTATGTTGGTTTGTTTGTGTAGTTACTTTACAGTGACACTGGTCTGTGTGTCTACGTGCATTTTTGTATTAGCTGGTAGTGGTCTTTCTATACTTAGTGTTCCTTTCAAGATATTTTGTAAGGCTAGTCTGGTGGTAATGAATTCCCTCAATATTTGCTTATTCAAAAAGGATCTTATTTATCCTTCACATGTTAACCCCCAGACCTAAAATAAAAGTTAAAAAAAAAAGCTGCTCCCCCTTGTATTTATTTGTCTAAGAAGAACATTGAATGTACATTTAAAATGCAGAATAATGTGCTCCCTTCTTGCTGGAAGCACTGAGAGCCTTCTGCTGGTTTCTATTTATTTTCTAGATTCATGCTTGCTATAGTGCTTTAACAAAAAGCATTATACAACTGTTTGTACATATTTAAAAAACCATATGGTAAAAGAAATAAAACTATGTGTATGCATGCATGTGTGTGTGTATGTTTGTGTGTGTGTGTATATATATGAAGGTATTCATAGCTCTATCTCATTCCTTACATCGGGAGAGACCTTCAAAATAATTCTTTATGTAGGCTACTAAGGATAATTGTTTTATAAACCAAGATGAGGGTGACACTTAGCAAAATAATTATTATAACATACAGCCAGATGGTTCTAATTATTTCATACATTAGCATGTCAATTTTAAATTCTCCTAAAAAGTCAACAAAATATTCAGATAAAAGTATAGAAATTATTATTGAAAACCCCACATATCTTTGGGGAGGATCTGAATAAAACATTAAATATATTTTATGCTGCTTTAAATTCAAATAGTGACTTAATGCTTGTAATGTACTTTTTAGTAATGTATTTGATTTTTATACCAAGACTATGAAAGAGATTTCAACCTTTTGGATGAAGAAATTGAGATTCAGTAAGGTTAAATGGTTTGCTAAAGGTCACATAGCTAATAAGTGGCAATATTAGGGCTCTAATTCAAATGTTATGATTCAAATCCTATGCTCTTTCCTCAATACGAGTCATCTCTCAAGATTTTAAGAGTAATATTATTAACAAAATGTCAGGAAGATACAAACAGGTAAGCAAATGCTTTTATAATATGTGATGAATTTTAATAATTGAGTCCCAACTGAGAACATACCAGCAACAGAAGTTATAGAAAGCCTCACAACTAAAGAAAAGTACCAACAAACTTTAGTATATTTAAGTATTTTTCTGAATGTTCTATACAATGAATATGGCGATTTTTTATAAGTCAAATTATACAGGAAAAGATCCTATACATACACATGATGAGTGTTCATTTATTTTAAACCTTATTGCAATCTTAATTTTAAATCATTCTGATTTTTCTAATTCTTGTTGCAATATATGCACCAATTATTTTTTTAGTTTAAAAATCCACCTCTAGTTATTAACCTTCTAAGTGATCACAATCTAATCTAATAATTCCTGTTCTTTAGTTAAAACTATATAACTTTACCCAATTGATGTAAAACACATTAAAATACAAAACTATAGAAATTCTAATTATTTGCAAAACTCCCAAATAGAATAAAAACTGTATACAGTTAAATGTATTCTAAACTCTGAACACACTTAGATTGTGTACTAACTAATCTAAACCACTGGACAGTCTCCAATTATCTAATGAGAAATTAAAGCATAATACAAAGAAGTAAAACATCGTTTTGAAAATTTATTCCAAAAAATATGTGAGTATGCATGCACATGAATGGAGGAGAGTATTAAAAAATAAAAACAAATGGGAAAAAGAGTAAAGTCATTGAGACTGTGTTCTACCTCTTCAACAGACGCCCATCAGGTGAAAATCTTTGACTATAGAATACTAACAAAAAGAAAAATAAGAAAACCTTTGGCCAACTATTTTTCCCAGGTTTGCTGTCCTAGTCTTCTGTTGCCATTCTATGCTGACTCTACTAGCCTGGTCTCTGGTGAATGGCATTACACTGCAAAGCCTGAGGCAATGTCACCAAGAGCTCACATTGCCTCCGAATGGCCTGATTAGCACAACGAGGGGTACCAACTGAACTCCTCAAGAGAAATACATTAAATATACAACGGAATTTTTCTAAAGTTTTATTTTACTACAGTAAGTGTTGGGAGATCTCCAGAGAGTTTAAAGAAACAGGAAGGATGTCCTTCCACACCTGTGTATCAAATCTTTTTTTCTACTTGAAAATGTTGCCATATCATCCCGTTTCCCAGGCACTGATGGGAGAACTGTGTCCCCCAGTGACAGATAATAATTTATAACACCTGAACAAAATGTACTGTTGCCCTTGCTTCTCCAACTGGAGTTTCCCATTTCAACCACAGAGATGCCCGAAGCATCCTGTAGAGCACTTGAAATACTTTAAAGCACCAAAGATGCCCAAAATTTCTCTTTCACATAAAAGATAAGTATATTTGAAAAACTCACTGCCTCAAAAGAAATAAACAGCATAAATAAATGTGGCTTTATATGTTTTCACTATAAGGAGGCAATAACCTAAATAATTTTGGAGATTAACCTCCTCAATTTACAGATGTGCACATTACAGAAAGTTGAAATTCTTGCTCGTGATCAAGCTTCTTTAATACAAGATTTATAAAGGCACAGTTAAGGAAAATAATTATAGCAACTTTGAAAAGAGGTAGTGTCATAAATCTAAATTATAAAATACTAATTAGACTCATTAAAGGAAGCATATTAATTCTAGTAAGGATCATATTCTCTCACCTTCATGGCTTTTACAGCTTGAGATCCTGAGTAATCAAATTCTCCAGCCTGACCAATGGACAGACCTCCTGATCCTAGAATAAGGACTTTGGAAACCTATAAGCAATAAGAAAAAGACACTGTTATTACTGCTAAAATGGGGGAAATAAGGCATTTTCAAGATTGGAGAAGACAAACCACATTGTCTGAGTTTATGTGGTCATCTAAGGTCTAATGTAATGAAAAATATGTAATATATAGGGAAAAAGACTAATAACTTAAAACATCTCTGATTTCAATGTGACTTCCAAAGTTTATTAAGGTTTTTCTCTTAAGTAAAAAATTTTTGGCAGAGGTTTACATTTTATTTAAACATATATAAATATCCAAAAATATATACATATATGTAAATATATCTATGTGTGGTATTTTTTCAAATACACATATATCCTTCTAAATTTTAAATAATGATATGAATGTGTAGTTTATGAAGGAAATGGGTAAAAACTTTATCACACTAACATACATATTCAAATTAAGGATTTAAGTGTTATATTCTTGTCCATTTGCTTTTTAGAGGTAAAATAATACTCAGTACATGATGTTGAATAACAGTTATTCTAGTTGAAACAAAAAGAATTCTATCATCTATAATGATTCTGTAGTCTGAAATGTATCTCATGTTTACATAGAGCTATGGCTTTTTGGATAATGGGAAATAAATTCTAAACTAAACACTATTCTTTGTTATGTTATTACAAATACTCTGGAAGAAGTAAACTTTAAAAGACATTATTTTAAATCAAAACATGAGAAGTTCCACTAGACATCATCAAGAAGGAACCAAATAATTAGTTACAAAATGACAGTCTATTACAATATTACCAGTCATCTTTTATTAAACACTAGTATGCCTTACATCACTTAGTTTTTAAAAATCTTCATGTGATAGGGACAATCCAAAATTCATAAACCAAAAATAAGCCCACATACTGACCTCAACCCGAGATGCAACTAGTGCTGGCTTCGGTAAGACTGATGTAATGGTGGTAGCTTTTCCTTTCTTTATCAGTGAGAAAAAGGAATCAAACAGGTACTAGAAAAAAATACAACCAACTAGTTAGAAGCTTCAAAATTCCTAAGTTCACCAGATAAAACACAATATACCCAGTTAAATTTGAACTTCAGATAAGCAACAAATAATTTTTATTATAGCATTTCAGCTTTTTTTGCTTTTTTGTCAATAACTAAATATCTGTTAGTGTGAGAATTTAATCAAATAAACACTTCTGTTCACTTCAAGTCTTATAAAAAAGAAGTTTCCAACAAGCAGTAAACATATCAGATACCTTCTGAGAATGCCAAGTTTTTAGTAAATTGTATATCATTTGTTTCTTCTAAATCAAATTCTAGGTGGATATAACAATTGAAGCTATATCACTTATGATATAGAAAATTAGAAATACTAATTTAAATTTAAATTTCTATCGGCTCTAAAAAACAGTTTCTGAAGATTATTCTTAATCTTTGCCAAAGGATTTACTTCTGTTGTTTCACTAGATATGACAAATTACAACAAAGAATATTCATTTTGCAATTATTGGAAAGACAAAAAAGGAGAATTATGTGACAGTGGATATTATTACATCTTAATTGCAATGTTCCTAATCCGAAGTACTAATATATGCTAATTTAAATTTTAAATTAAAAAACTACTTAGCATGTGTTAGATGATACACATAACTAAATTTGATTTATGAGTTTCATCATGGGTTGGTAATATAATACTGATTTTGGCTATTAAGAACCAATATTTCCTAATAATATTAAAACAAGAACAAAATATAAATATCTAAAACGGCAATTCAGACATGAGAGAGTAGAGCAGAGCTTGCAGAAAGAAAGCTCTTATTCTCTTCCCCATTTTACCTCGAAGTCTTTTCTGAGAGTTCTGACAATGAAGATTTGCTACTGGAGGCCCCTGGGTGTGGGGAAGTCACAATAGACTTCAGATTTTTCTGGATATCACCAGAAGAATTTATTTGGAAAGATGGGTTTGAACAATGAACTAAGAGCTCACACACAAAAAAGTAAAAATATTTAGATTAAATACAAAACTCCTCTAAGCATTCCTTGTGGTTCTTTTCTGAAGCCGTCTGAATCATCTATGTATGTGCATGCATGCCCTCTCTCCCCTCCAACACCCTTCCCCTCCTTCTCCTGCTGCTGTTTATTCTCCCTTAGTGGCTACACAACCAGTTGCCATAGGGATTTTTGTGAAGTCACAGATGGGGGATTAAAATTTCATTTCAGTCATGAGAACGAGAGAGAGCAAAAGGGAATTCATTTGCATAGTACAACAATTGTAAATTTCAGAACTAAATATATTAGAATGATAATGGGTTTAAATAAAAATACCATCGCTTCGGGTTTCTTAAGGGCTTTCCCACTTTAAATTTTAAAAAAGATAAAAATTTCCTCTGTGACATTCATGGGGAGATTTTAATACAAAATGTGTGTTACCAAAGCACTCTTCTTGAGAATGTTCTGCTCAAGATCATCTGGGGTGATTATTTTGGTTTCTCGAATTTCCACACAAATACATTTTTTTTTTGCATACATAATAGGCCTCATCTTTTTGACGTACCTCAGTGTCTATTGGCCCCGGGGTGACCTCTGGGTGGAACTGCACAGCGAAGAAGGGTTTGCTCTCATGCATAATCCCCTAAAGGAATAAGAAACAGGAAGAAATTCCTTCTGTAACAATGAATGTCAAGTGTGGCTATGTATTATTCAGGGAACAATAAAGCTCAAATTTAAAAACTGAGTTAGATGCTTAACAAAATTTTTGTAACTAACAGTACTATTAAGTAACATGGTCCGATATCTTAAGGACTTACATATCTGACCTTTTTGATTAAGTATGGAAAATGGGTCAATGAAGACTCAACTGAATGTGTTTTCCTTTAAAATAAATAAATAAATAAAAAATTTGGTCTATAGTCTTTGGGACCCCTCTGGGTTCTGTTCAGAGTAAACTCAAGTCCTCATCTTATCCCCAAGTCCGAAATTACTTTTCCAAGGGTCTTCTCAAACACTACACCAGTGCCAAGTAAGTCCCAGAGACCCACCCAGATGGGGCTCAAACAGATTTGGACCAACAGCCCACTAACATTGAATATATGAGATAGTTGTTGATTAATAACTCAAATAGTGAATCTTAACAAGTCAACTGATGAGAGAATAAGAGAGAGAAATGACGTTTTAAAACACAGAGGGCTATGGGAGAAAACCTATAGCTGTTTTTCAACACTCAACCCCAAAAAAATCACAAACAAACAGGAGAAAGGTATTTGCATCATAGTGTATTTAAAAACTCTGGGTGAATATTCTGAGTGAATAATTTATTGCATATTTCAAAACAGCTAGAAGAGAAGATTTGAAATGTTCTCAATACAAAGAAATAAAAAATGAGGTGATGGTTATCCTAGTGTGATTTGATCATTACATATGATATGCATGTATCAAAATATCACATGTATCTCATAAATATATACAATGCTTATGTATCAATTATTTTTAAAAGCCCTGCGTTTCTCATCACCAACTGAACAGGTTTATTGACATCATTTACCTCATTTGTTTGATCGTTGACATTCACAAAAAGTGGTTTCCAGCCAGCAGGGAGGGTGTTGTCCAAGGCATAGCCATGATTCTGAGCAGTAATGAAAGCCTGTTTGTTTGTGATATTCAAAACAGGCTGATTCTGCCCTCTGGAGAGAAAAGGAGAAAAAGAATAGGGAAAAGGAAAAGTGAAGAGAATAATATAAATGTATTCCTTATAAAGTAGTGAACAAGTAAAGCCTATTAAAATTCAAAATTTCAATTGCTTAGTGAAAATCACTCTGTGAGAAAAGTCACAGATTGTTAATCCCAGTAATTTTCCCAACAAAAATCAATTCAGGAAGCTTTGTTGTGTGTTAAATACGCAGGTCTATTAAATTCTATAATCGGTTTTAGAAAGGGGGGCATTGCACTCATAACAAAAAGGGTTGCTCACCGGCTTAACAGAAACTAAGAAATATAAGTGACTTACTTTAAGAGAACTACAATAATTTTAAAGCCCGAGAGTTATAGGGAGATAACAAAGAGATGACTGCTCAGACCTGAATTATAATTTATGTAGAGGGTGGGCCATGGGAAAAAGCCTGATGTTTAATAAATTAATATTGTTTGAGGCAAAAAAGAGAAACCAAGAGGATCTAAAGGTTCCTCGGCTCTTAAGTCACACTTACCTTCTTAAAATGTTACAATGTTCTGAAATCAAGCTTAAAATCAGAACAATTTCCCTTGGAATATCATTTGATTGAGTATTATAACCTCAATTTATGCCAAGGGAAGGAAAATAACTTTAAATTATAGCAAGGTTATCATTAGAGAAGGCTGCTTTCCAAAAATGCAACAAAAGTGGTATCAGGTAGTCAAACAACTGTCAACCACGTAAGGTATGGTTATTTATTTTATTTTTTATTTTATTTATTTATTTATTTATTTATTTATTTTTATTATACTTTAAGTTTTAGGGTACATGTGCATTTATTTACTCTAAAGAAATGGCAGGTAAGTGCTCTGAGTTCTTTGTATTTAGTTAGTATGTCAGAGCTGGTTTACTGTAAGCAAAAGTGAAAATACCTCACCTGTTGGCCATGGACATCTTGTAGGTTTTGGCACCAGCAGCCAATCCTGTTATTAAGTTTCCTGTACTGATTCCAAACAATGGCTCCTTGCGATCACTCTCCAAAATCTAAATCAGGGAGAATTTTTATTAACCAATTAGTACAGTTCCAAAAAATGTTGCTTCTGAATGAACAAAAATGAGGTATCCTTTTTTCTTAAGAAGGTAAAGAGAATAGTAACTGAATTAAAGAAGAATATAAAAAAGGACATAATTGACAAATTTGTAGCATTATAATTCATTAAGATGTACTTTACATTCAAACTAAACTAAATCTAATTTAATATTTCTTTAGAGACCTGCAGGTCTTATGGGTCCCAAGGTCATGATAAGGAACCATGAGTTGTCGGTTTAAAACTGTAAAGCAAAATACATTTGGCCATTGGACTCCAGTTCTTTTAACTCAAGGACATGATCCCCAAGTTACTTTGCCTGAAGAAAAACCCTATTTTCTCTGATATTCTCTCCTCATTGGTTCCCCTACAGAATATCTCTACTGACACTGCCTCAGAAGTCACAAATACCAGCATTGAAAAATGCCTGAATAAATAAAATGTATCACAGCCCTTTGAGGGTATAGAGCGGAAGCCCCCACCTCCCACACAGATACACATGAATTCAAGGTTCATTGCACCTTTCTGACATTCTGAATTAGTGGTTCTGCAAGAGCTGGGTTCCCCGGTCCTCCCGCGATCAAAATCCCATCATACTCCATCTTGGTGAAATCATGGTTCCAGGGAACTAAGTGCACTTCAGCTCCTCGCTGGAAAAGAGACACAAGAATGATGAATTTAATAACATGTTTCTTTGCCAAAGTATAATTTTGCTAGACTTTCTCTTGACTAACCATTCCTTAAAGGGAAGGAAAAATTTGTAAACATTTAAAATAAATAATGCTGAGCAAAAATTTCTTTGGGGCCGGGCTTGGTGGCTCATGCCGGTGATCCTAGCACATAGGGAAGCTCAAGATAGGGGGGAATTGCTTGAGCCCAGGAAGTCAAGACTAGCCTGGGAAACAGGGCAAAACCCTATCTCTACCAAAAAAGATAAAACAAAAATTAGCCAGGTATGGTCCCAGCTACCCAGAAAACTGAGGTGGGAGGATCACCCGAGTCCAGGAGTCACAGGTTCCAGCGAGCCAAGATCACACCATTGCACTCTAGGCTGGACAACAAAGTAAGACCCTGTCTCAAAATAAAAATAAAAATAAAAATAAACACCATTAAAAGTTTTGATCCTGAAAAAATGGATAATGCACTCTCCTGCACTCAAGAGAAGTTTCAGTGCCTACAAATGCCATGACTGGACTGACAGGAGAGTAGGTTACCTTCACACGACCAGTTGCAAAAAGATATAAATCCATTTTCTGAAAATGTTAAGTTGGCCCACGTCAGACCTTTTTCAGTCTTGCCTTTTAGTCTTATCAAATTTTAATCAGCCTTCTTTCCTAGGGTTTTCTCATTTTCTGTAAGATTTATATTCGAATGGAAAACTTAGAAATTTCTTTTAATATAAAAGCACATAGGAAGGTGTCTTTGAGGGTTTCCCATGAAGCATTTCCTGAAACAAGGATTTAAGAGAACAAAAGCTTATTTGGAAGGTACTTCCATACTAAACAGAGAGGAAGTGACATCATGAAACACCCCAATAAATTATGCATTAGCAAGTAGTTACCACTAGGGATAAGTGAAGTTTAAGCCCAGTAGGGAACTCTGAGAGCCCGTGTGGAATAGTTACCTTAGAGACTGCCTATCCATGGGACAAAGGAGCCAGGGTGGTTAAACACTGGCTTTTTCTGTGCTTTGGTTGGGGGCTACTCCAGAGATCATTAATTCTATGCCATTTACTGCCTGCCAGTAGGCTCCAGCCATCAGGCAAAGAGATATAGATATTTGCAATTGGAAGATGGGCAACATGAATTAAAATGGTAACTTGAGATTGAGATATACACAGGCCATCCACAGCATCTGCTACCATGCATGCTATCCATGCAAATGTTTGTTAATAAAATTGACAAGAATTTGAAATCATGATTTGAATATTGCTGGTATTCTCTAATAAGGAGGTACGATGAAGAGTCTCCCAATACGCATGCTAATTTGGTGTTATGCAAATATGTGTGTATGTGTGTGTATGTGTATGGAGGGGAGATGTGTAGACAGAGACAGACTGAGAGAGGAGTGAGGAGAAGGAAAAATCCTAACAAAACTTTATTTAAGAAACATTATTATGATGGTTAAGTTCTCCTTGAGAATTTTTAAGGTTTAATTTTAACTGGTTGTCTAAGAGTTGATATAAAAACAATGTGAAAGTTCGTACTCTGTCAGGGCATGATTCCTACAAACGTGTGGTACAAAATAAATGTAAGCCCAAAGGAGATGCTATCAGACAGACTCTAGCTTTTTGGTCATCTCTATACCACAAAGAAAGTGAACATGATGCATCTCAGACTGTCAGTCAATTAATGACAAGAACAGTCATCATTTTCTTCCATGTTTTAGTGGCCCTTGAGGTTTTTTTTTTAAAGAAAAAACATAGCAGTCTATATTTTTAATTTGAACAGGGATAAATGTGTTATTTTGTAAATCAAAAGCAACAAGAAGAATGTAGACCCCTGACATTCTGAAAGAATGCATAAGTTTCTCTGTGACAGAGGAAATTAGCTGAACACTAATGGTCAATATGACAAACCCTCACCTTTGAAATGAACAAATTACTTACCTTTACTAGCAGGCGGATTACATTGTTTTTAATCCCACAGTCTACAGCTACCACTTTTGTGGGGTTTCCTTTGCCGTACACTTTGACATCCTGCCATTTTAAAAACCAGAGAATGAGAGGGAAGTCCCAGCTATGGGCAACAGACCAAAATCATAAACACATCTGACAATGTTTTGAACTTAGATTGGTAACAGATTGATTGTTAACTACTAGGGAGTGACTGGCAGTTAACAAACAGTTTGTAAGAAAGGCACAACAAGTGCCACAGACTGTATCTTTTTTATGAGAAAAAAAGACTTTGCTGTTTTATATAAACGGTTGATTATAGTAATAACAATGATCTCTAAGAAACTGGTTGCATGCATAGTTAACCATCTTTCTCATGTTTTGCCTCATTAACAACTGGTAGCAATGAAATGTTTAAGCATTATTGCCTGATTCAGCACTAGACAGATGTGGCAATAGATACATCATGCTTTAAATACCACTTGATCCTCAACTTGCAGTAAAGATCAAATGGGGTAAAGCTGAATTACTGTACATAAGGCTTCTGCAGTTGGGCCTAATGGATAAAATCAGTATAAGAGTCACAGGAATTGCTAAGCAGGTATAGACCACCAGTCCCTTTAGGTTGCCGTGCAATTGTTTGCATTTAAATGGTAGATTTCATAAAAAGATCCCAGAGCATATCATAATCATTATCTATGTCTGAAGCACGGCTGGGAGGCAGATCTATTTTCACAGGCATTAACCCAAGAAGCAGCTCCCCAAAGTCATAAAAGGAGAAATAATAGAGAGAAAGCCTAGAAGGGTGGGCACACACACCGGTTCCTGCTTTGAGAGTTAGCTAGCACGCTATGAATTTAGGATGATTTCATCGTTTGTGAAAATTTTCAGATGAAAAGTACAAACTGAGTATTTGAAAGAACAGTTTATTTTGACTGAAATATCTACCTCTCCACTAAGTCTGTATAGAATGTGAAATTATAATCCTTAGACTGTAGTTGAGGAAAAAATATATAAACTATATCTGGGGTTTTTTTTCTCCCACTGACTATTCTGAAGGAAAAAAAAATACCCTAATCCTTTCAAGATCTGGGGGGAGTTATTGCTGAATTGAATGTCACAGGTAATCTTTCTCATCAAATAATTTGAAAAAGTATAGATCTTTTCTTAACCTTAGGCTTCTGATGTAAAATAAAGCAATATTACCATCTAGTTGTAGCTACAGAAAATTGTAATTACAAGATAATGAATGAAGTTATCAACATTTCCAAGGCATGTAGTCAAACAAAACTCACAAAATATATGTAATCTCCTGATACAAATACGCATTTTATCATAGCTATAGTAATATTATTTAATTGCACTGACATTAAGAAACAAAGGAGCCAGCTTTCACCACTGCAGCATCTCCCTTGATTGGACACAGATAAAAACACAGATATGCTCATTTTTGCTGGTCTCTACACAAACACATTAAATACTGTCCATAAGAATAACAGAAGTTACACAAGACCTCATGGATACTTGCATATATGGATTTGTGCTTGGACTTAACAGAGAGGAATATCTTATGCAGCATTTTGCAACCTTGCTTGACCACAGAATTTTTTAAGATGAATTGCTCCACACCACTGTTTTCCAGTTTAGGAAATGCTAGACTAAACCACCAAGGCAGTTCTCAATTCTAACATTCTATCATCTATCATCACCCTCTATCATGCTGTGTTTCAAACTAAATCATTTCACAGGGAAATATGTAAAACAAGGGGAAGTCATATGAATGGGACCAATTTTAAAATTAAAAATCAGAAGTGAGTATTGCAAACACCATGATCAAATTCCATACATATAAGTAATTACATATCTAATTTAAAATTGATTTTCTTTAACAACACATACTTCTTAGGCTTCAGCATGTTTTGAATGCACATCCCTGCCCGACATGAACATCACGACTCAGTACTAATTTCTAGGAACCCAAAATCCTTGTCTCTCATTTTCACGTGACAGGAGCCGGAATACCAGATAATATCAATGTGTGTTTTCTCTGAGTCTTACATGTTACTGATCAGACTGTTTTACTCTTTTAATAACTTTTTTTAAAGCCTTTAAAAACTCTCACGCTGGAACTCTTCCTTATGAAATGTCCTCTATACGCCTTCTGATTGGTGCTGTATCACAACATGAATCATTTCCCAGATGAACAGGTGTCAGGAAGGGCATGGGAACATCCTTTCTAAAGACTCTCAATGACAAGGTTTTGTCACAGGAGCGGGTAGGATACCCATACAAGCAGAGTCAGTTTCCAGTCTATTCACATATTCACATATTTTACCATTTCTGATTTAAAATTCTTGAATCCTTACTCTGCATATGTAAAAGGTATAAGGAGTGAAACAATGTAAACTTATTTGAATATTATCACATGGTAGTATAAGGATGGTTACTAATAGTATAACTGTTAGTTGCATAACTATTATTTCTACTATGTTGAAAGGCAGTATGGGATGATGTTTTCTGAGAGACAGACACTAGACCAAGCCTTCCTATGTATAATCCTATGGCCATTCACACTGAAGAAGGTATTTAATCTCTCTACACCCTAGTTTCTTCATCAGTAAATGAGTTCCTAATAATACCCATCTCATATAATTACACTGAAGATGGAATAAATTAATCAGTGTAAAGCATTGAGAAGAAACCTAGCAGATAATAAGTACTCAATAGATCGTGCCTATTTTTTATTAATAAGACTTACAGTTATTAGTAATAATGATAATTTTATTATATTAATAATGGAGGTCATAGAACCATAAGAAACACTGATTAAAGGATTTGAAGGGAAAATAAGAATGTGCAATTTCTTTACCACCAACTGTAACTACCATTTACTGGCTTTGTATATTCCTTTATTTATTCATTATTTGTTGACCATGTACTATGTGAAAGGTACTATAGGCAGTGCTGGGGATTCAAATAAGTAAACCATGGCCTCTCCCCTCAAAGAGCCAACCAAGACAAGTGAAAGAGACAATCCTTTCAAAGAGTTAAATGCAATTTGATCCTTGTTATACTGAAGCTATTTATTAAATGACATGGGATCCAAAGGTGAGATGAGTCATGGAAGCTTCACAAAGGAACAATGAGCTGACTCTTGAAACTGACTTCTTCAGGCGAGAAGGGGAAGGAGAAAGCATGGGAAAAGATTTCTACGTAGAGAAGCAAACAAACATATTCAGGCCTTGTAAGAAGCAGGCCAAATAGAAAATTGGTTCACAGGGAGTCTTGAAGAGGTTTCTTGAATTCATGGAACATAAATCTAGAAATTGAGCTTTTTAAAGCTTTTCCGTCAAACTCCCATCAAAATGGAAAGAAAAATAGCATGAGGTTAGCCACAGAGACTCTGGAGTCACTTGAATTCAAATTGACACTAAACTTGGGCAAGTTACATTTGATTTTAAATAGACTTACTTGCTAAGCCTCAGTTTCTTCATCTATGACATGGAGTTTTTATGAAAATTAACTGAGTGTTCAAAAAAGCTTGGTTGTTATTATTTTCCTTGAAGACCAGAGCTGCCACATTGAATGGACCACGATAATTATGAAATATCATGGGCAAAAAAGTGTATGTTATATCTAGAAATAAAATGTTGTGGTGAATACATCTATTTAAAATCAAATTTTGCGTCCACATGTACATTTTCTACTCCTTCCTTTCTAAGAATTTCAATCGCCTTTGTCAAAATAACACTCACTTTCTACTTGGATAAAGTAGAGTTTCTCTGAGAAATTCCATTGCCACACTGGTGATGGAAGAGAAGTTTGTAGCCATCTCTGCTATAGTATAAATAAACCCCAAGGTAGAACCAGCCAATAGCTGTGATGCCACATAGGCTTCCACAGGGCTAAATTCTCCACATGTAAAGCCCCATGGTAACCAAATACATAGTCCTAGGAAAGAGAAGCTCTATTTTTAACTCCCATTGTATGTAGTAAAAACAGAAGGTAGCAATTCTTCCTTTAAGTTTCAAAGCGGATCAAAAACTTTTCTTTAAAAAAATTTCATAGCAGTATCCCATAAACATCTCAGATATCAAATGACATAATCACTATGCTCAACCTAACTAGTTGAAATCCTTAGCTGAGAAAGTAAGGTGATCTTTTACCTGACCTCATTCAGCCCCTCTTCCTCCCATTTGTATAAGCGGCCTAGGTTGCCGTATCTGTTCTTGCTACTACTGCTCAGTTCAGGCTCTCGTGAGTTTTGTTCTGATAAGTTACAATAACCTTCTAGTTGCTTGCTCTTTTATTCAGCTTTACTTTGCTCCAAAATGACACCAAATGAGTTGACAATAGTTTCTGGAAGTGCTGATTAGCCAATGATATGAAACCTTCTAGACCTAGCTTCAGTCAGTCCATCTCCACTTATCCTTGCCCAAGTGTGTAAACCAATAGGTGTGAACCCCTTGGTTCAGCCATCCCAAACTGTGCGTAACTCTTCAAATATACTATGTTGTTCTGTACCTCTATGCCTCTTGGCAAGCCATTCCTTCTGCCTGAAACAAAGTTCTCCTGGTTCTTCATCTACCTTACTGTTACTACCCGCTCTTTGTGTCTCAAAACAGGACTCACATTTCTACAGGGCCTTCTCTGATCCACCTATCCCATTTCAATGCTGCCCCATGCATGCCCTTGCAGCATGCTATGAACACTCCAAGGACAGCATTTATCACAGGATTCTGCACATGGTGATTTACTTGCTTGTTTGTTCCACCAGGCTCTATGCTCCCCAAGGACAGAGACTGTAGCTCAAGAAACTCACTCACACCTACATTAGTAGATATTCAATCAAAACCAATGGACTTCTTTCTAAAATGTATTCTTTACCTTTTTATAAATGTATACTAAAGATATTTCACTTTAGGGTGACTCAGTCATCGTTACGAACATTAATTTTGAAACAAAGCTATAACACAATAAATCTTTAGTGTATGAATAAATATTTTTCCTGCACAAAATGCCCCCAGATTCTGATTACTGTGCCTGATTTCTGTAAAATTCTCTTGGCTCTCTGGCAGGTTACTAGCTCTGACTCCTCATCATCACTGGACCTATCTTTGGCAATTCAGTGCTTCCTTTATTTTACATTGTTAAAATCCTAAGCTGAAGAATCAGAAAAGGTGGAAGGAACACTAAATTTAGTAAAAATCCTCTAAATTGGGGCATGAAGTTTCCCATGTAAGCCTGTAAGTAAAACCAGCTTTAAATGCACTGATTTTGTAAGGTGTATTTTAGCTGCTATGAGATCCCTTTCTACCCCTGAACACTGGTGCTTCTGGAAGATAAACTCTGCCTAAATAAAGATTTTGATATTTCAAGAAGGTCTAAATGGGATCAAATAAAACTACAAAATATAAAGGAAAACCCCTCACCTTGGTTGAAACCTCAGCAATCAAATTCTGTTTATTTGGATCCACAAAATCCACAGGCTGACCTTCAAATTCAATCTTCCCAAGCATGGTACCCTATCAAATTAAAAAAATTAGACAGTTAAAAGGAAGCAACGATAAAGGTGTTGACAAGATAAACTCACAGGGACTTTAAACAGCTGCTGCAAGACTTAGATGTCTTTATAACTACTCGTAACCATCATGGAAGATCTTCATCTTCTCAAACTGAAAAGATTAAGCAATTTGCACATACATTTTGGGAAATACTCTTGGAAATACAATTAGTTCTTCTAGGGCTGACACCATTGCCTGATGAAGGCAAAGTCAAAAGGCATCAGAATTCAGGTCTCCAGGCTCCAGGCTGATGCAAATCGGGATATTTAGTAAACTTACACTACTCAGCGTATATGACCTAAAGACATTTCATGAGAGAAATGGACAAAAAAAATCTATTGAGACAATAAGGAATCTAAAAATCACAAAAAAAGCGGGAATTCATTCATTATGATAGTAATATTAATTCACAAAGAAGATGAAATGCAACATAAGTCATAAACTTCTAGAATTTGAAATGAAAATATTCACTGTTTAGGCATGTTCATATCCAAGTGTTCCTATGGGCCTGAATTGAAAGAATGTTCAACCCTCTGTAAAGTTTTCACAAACTATCCTTGCTAGCTTGAACACGACAATGTCACCTTTTTTCAGCTGTATCTTGAGATTTACTTATTTGTTAGTAAGTCTGCTTTGAACTACTTAGAAAAATGGCATGCTATATTTAGTAATCAAGATTCTATTGAGGGGTAAAAATTCAAAATAATTCATTGATATGCCCTTCTCTGATGAAATTATTGCATGGAAGGAAATAGAAGGAAGCTTTCATTTCCCTTTTAAATGTATTCCTTGAAGGAGAAGTCACTTGGGGGTAAGTGAGAGTAGAAAGTACCTATGTGTCATGCAAGCATGATGGATGTTTCAGTGCTGTTATTAAATTCAGAGTGCTGCCTCTAAGTCTGGGAACACTACCTAAAAACCACCTTTCACTTCCATAGTAGATTACTACATTTCATGGTGGCCTGTATTTACTTTTATAATCCAAGTCGCATAACCCCTTGTCTATATTTATGGATCCCTAATTTTGAAAATTGGTTTTTAGTTCTCCTTCCCCTTTTCTTAAAACATGCTGAATGAAATACGATCTTACTTTTCAAATTAAGGTTAATAGAAGTGAAAGCCATAATATACATTTTTAATATGAACCACCATCACTGATAAAGAAATATGAGGCAATACTGTTTTGTCTGTGCCAATCTATTCCGCCAATTTTGAAAACCTAACTGCCTATGATAAAAGGAGGGCTCGTTTTAACCTAACATATCACATGAAAGACAAGTGCGGTCTTGTAAAGTTTTCCTGAATCATTAGGCCTGACTATATTTTATTCAACCTGCCAATTCTGCCATCTGAATTGATTTTCCCAACTGTATTCCTTTCCCGCCCTCATAGCCTCGTCATTGCTTACTGCTCACACACATCATTAGGCTGAGAGAACACAAGAATCTCCCTGGGATATATAATTTCACTAACACCTATTCTCAGGAAAATCGTGGTAGAGTGAATAAAATCAGAGGTGGGATAGAATGATGGCATAAACTCTCACTGTCTTCCTTCTGGTCATGGGTATTTGGCCATGTTTTTATTTTCAAAGCTGTTTTTTCCTTCTGTTTACAGAAAGCCTGTGTCAATATATATATGTATATATCCTAACAAGAAATCTACAAAAAAATTTTTTGAAGACTCCTTTTCCCATATGTACTTTTTTTTTTTTTTTTTGAGACAGGGTCCTGTAGTCGCCCAGGTTGGAGTGCAGTGGCATGATCTCAGCTCACTGCAACCTCCGCCTCCCGGGTTCAAGTGATTCTTCTGCCTCAGCCTCCTAAGTAGCTGGGATTACAGGTGTGCACCACTATAACTGGCTAGTTTTTGTATATTTAGTAGAGATGGGTTTCACCATGTTGGCTAGGCTGGTCTCGAACTCCTGACCTCAAGTGATCCGTTTGCCTCAGCCTCCCAAAGTGCTGGGATTACAGGCATGACCCACTGCACCCAGCCCACATGTGTAGTTTCAAATTGTGTCATTTATCTTTTTATTTTTATGTAATTATATTTAGTAAGAAAACTTTAGTTGCATTTGGGGAATTTAGTTAACGTTAGTGACGTAATGTTTCTTTCAGATTTGGAATATGGAAATTTCAAGTAAAATAATAATAAACTCAACAAGCAGATGGTGATGAGATATTCTCAGAGGAGGGGTCAGATGTTGTAGCAATCAGACTTCACTGAAAGCAAAAGATAACCTTCCCTTTTATCACCTTGGTTATTGATATGGTCTCAACAAAGACTATATAATTGAAGTAATGCATGCAAGGCTTATTTGGCACATTCATGAAAGATAATGCATTAATTTTACAAATAACTCTTTCACAAGGACAAAACAAATAACAGTAACAATGCTGTACACTTCCTGGAGTGTATTTTTCAGCATGTAGGTTTTCACTTCAGGCAAAATTGTTATGCAATTTGTTACCTTCTCCACTTGTTTCACTAAAGTTCTATCACATGAGCTGAATTATAAATTCCTTGACTTGTTGGTATAATGAACACATAGTGGGCACTCAATAAGCTGCCAGGTGAATGAATCTCAAGTCCATTCAGTTAAAAACATACCAATCAAGTATTCAATCTTGAAAATTACAGTGAAAATAGTAAAACAAAATAACAGAGACCCAGATAGCAGAAGCTGGCCAGATTCACTCCTTTACATATTAATGGATCCCTTAGGCACTGAGGGAAACACCACACACACACACACACACACACACCCGAAGAAACATAGATTTGGCTAAAGATGATGATTATACCTTATCCCGAATTATTTTAGTCAGCATTCTTGTGTCCACTCCATAAATTGCAGGAACCTATAAGAAAAAAATTGTAGTGACAGTGAAATTGGAGGAGATTAAATCCAGCATATTGTTTTCAAGTTACAAACTTGGCCTCATCTATCTTCTTGAGCAGTAAATAATTTCTCCACTCTTTCTTTTCTCTGACCCAGGGTGACTGTATTGTCAGAACACAGTAAATTGTTGCTACAGTTAGGCATAGGACTCTTAATACCCAGGTTCTTTCTCAGAGTAAAAAAATGAGAAATTCTGAACATCAATCTTCTGCTACACTTCTATTGCTTTTAACCCAGGATGTTAAGTAAGTTAAATCACATTGGTGAACTTCATAAGCAATAATATGCAAATCCATGTTTTGAGCCAAATGTTCCTGGCACAGAGTAGGCACTCAACACATTTTTCTGAAGGGCCATGTTGAGTAGTCATGTTGTACTAAAACATGATCATCCTGTTAGTCCATCAGGCAGGACCACCATTTGTTTTAAGGTTCTTTGACTACGTTGGATAGAGACACATGTGGTATAATGAAAGAGTAATGAGTTAGGAATCAAGAAAACAGGTTCTATCCCACGGGAGGCTTTTTACTAAAATAAGATTTTTTTAAAAAGAGGTTAAAAAATGAAAACATGTTCTAGTTTTTTTTTCTTCCACTAATTATCTGAGAAATGTTTAAGCAATGTATTTGTTCTCACCGGTAAATTGAAGGAGGTGAACTGGTTATTATCTTGGATTCTTTTCTACTCTACATGTCTGTGATCATGGAAGAAGGTTCAAAGCACATTTAAAAAACGAACTTACAAGCCGTTGGTTAGGCTTACACTAAAACTATTAGTTCTGACATAGAAAAGCTATGAGAACAAGTGTCCTAAATAACAAAAAGGAAAAGGAAAGCTTGGGTTGTTGGGGGCTGGGGGGAGAGAAGTGTCTCCCAAATGACGATTACAGAAATTAGCTGCCTGGATAAGGAAGATAAATTCAGATAATAGTTGAGAAGAAAATGGCTATGGCCCAGGATATGATATGGATGCCTTCTTCTCCCTTTTAAAATTTAGAAAGAATGAGATCTAAAGAGCCAGGATCAAGATTTTTTTTATTTTTCAGAAAGCAGCAATGTTTAGCCCCCATAGATAGACACTCATTGGAGAGGCAGCACTTTCGTAGAATAAAATTCTGTCAATTACAGGCCCAGCAGTTGAACAAAAAGCAGCTACAGCAACACTGGAGATGAAGTTAATTGAAGCAGGTCCATTAACTTAAGTACTTCTAACATCCAAACAAGGCAAATGCTCTTTTTTCATTGGAAATTAATATTTATGGCTGGGCGCGGTGGCTCATGTGAGCCTGTAATCCCAGCACTTTGGGAGGCTGAGTCGGGTGGATCACATGAAGTCAGGAGTTTGAGACCAGCCTGGCCAACATGGTGAAACCCCGTCTCTACTAAAAATACAAAAAATTAGCCGGGCATGGTGGCAGGCTCCTGTACTCCCAGCTACTGGGGAGGCTGAAGCAGGTGAATAGCTTGAACCCTGGAGGTGGAGGTTGCAGTGAGCTGAGATTGCCCCATTGCACTCCAGCCTGGGCAACAAGAGTGAAAGTCCATCTCAAAAAAAAGAAAAGAAATTAATATTTAAACTAAAAGTGTAAGATAAAGTTTTATAACCCTTTTCTTACATTATTAATATGTCAAATGAAATTATATATAATTACATGTCATAATGTTGAAGCCCAACGAGACTTGATGGTAATCTGCTTATACTCATAAGAATGAGAGATGATGCAAGTATTGCATAGAATGATTATGTGACCTGCACAAAGTTACACAACCAGTTAACAGTAGAGCTGGTACTAGAACACTAGAACCCATGAAGCAAGTTCCATTACTACATTCTAGATAAAACGGTGAAGGAGAGTAAAAGACTCAATTGCTAA
Source organism: Homo sapiens (assembly GCF_000001405.40). Classification (NCBI taxonomy): domain Eukaryota; kingdom Metazoa; phylum Chordata; class Mammalia; order Primates; family Hominidae; genus Homo; species Homo sapiens. Next base: position 210,577,799 of record NC_000002.12, on the reverse strand, counting down.
AGAGAAGAGAAAATGCTAAAATTTTATCTTACCCCTCCCTTCCCAAATGTGAAGTGCTACCAAGCATGTATGAGTGCCACCTAGTGGATAAACTGAAAATATGTGCTCATCAGCATTTAAGGAGGAATTCAGACATTTCAGCCTTTATGTAGTAAGAGAAGGAATCCCTCTCTGAAATGCAAAGATCCCAAACTACATGATCTTCCTCTGTCTGCTTGGCACTTCTGAATCTACAGGCACCTTCTCAACCTTCCTTAGGTGATGATGGATGCCCTATTACATTTCTTACCTTTTCTTCCTGTAGCCATTGCCCTAAACTCTTGGTAGCCAGCCAGTGGTTGTAGTCTTTACTATAATCCAGCACCAGCAAACCTGAAACCTAGAAAGACAGACAGTCATTTTAAAGAGGTTATCACAAGATATTATCCAACTCTTGTGAGTCAATTTGCATTTGTTTTTAAGTTTTATGATATCCACTGACATGAGACTTAGGATTTTTAAAAACAAGAGGCAAAAAAAAAAAAATCAATGCCCTTCTTTTAAAATATGTAATTGTTGCATTAATTATCCTGAGAGGGAGCAGGCTTACCTGGCTTGGTAAATCCTGAGACTAAACTAGGTCCCCCTTCTGACATGCATGGCATTTATCAAGAATTTAATTAATAATTACTGGCTTAATGCACATGATGAACAAAATCATTTTTAATTTATACTTAAAGCAGAGAAAAAATTGATGGGAAATTGTGAGAAATAGTGAAAACTAAGTTAAATGATCAGTTGAAGTCATTCAAAAATGGAATGGTGAAAAAATAGTATTGAATTTGGAATATAAATTTTTGAATTGTTTATATGATATATATTCCTAAGAGAGTATCCAAAATTACCTTGTTTAGGAAATCTTAATATGTTTACTTTTAGACTGGCATAAAAGCTATCTTTAAATCATCCCCTAGAGGCTAAGATTAAAAAGCAAATAATTGATACAGAATTCATTACCAAATTCCTTTTAAAAGGTGATTCTTCCCCAATCCTTTTATAGCATAGTTGTTATTTGAACTTATAACATTTTTTTCAAGTTAAGCCAAGTTTCATCCAACGCATTAAAATTCAAAGTGCCCTGAGAAATGAAACTCAAAATACTGTCAAGTTAAAGATTATTCTCATGTACCTAGGAATAAGATTGAATACATGAGCTTAATGATTTGTACTACCGTATTGAGGAAGAAAGTTTGGCCATCCTAATTCTTAAGAATAAGTCAACTATACTCCCTCAAATTGAGACTTTTTAAATGGCCACCACTGGTACTACCTTGATTCCATTAGACTCCAAATATTTGCTAAGTCCCAGTTCATCCAGAGCAGTAGTATCAGGAGCTCCACCATTCCCAATAATAGGGTTGGCCATTGTGAGAATCTGTCCTTTGTAGGCAGGGTCAGTAATAGCTTCTGGGTACCTGGGTAAACATGCCAAAAAATTATCAGCAAATAATGTATGTAACTACAAAGCTATAATCTGCATACATGCTCTGAATTATTTAACCCTTGAAAATGAGAAGAATCCAACAAGAATGTCTCTAGATTTTAACGTACCTGGGGAAATGTTATGACAGAATATAAAAATTTATACCACGATGTCATTGATATAAAGAAAAACCAACTCGTGAGTACCAAGGTATATTTTCATATAAGTTTTATTCCCTCAATTTCTTTAAATTTTTTAATTCCTTTAAAAATCCCTTGCTAGCATCTTAATTTTTAAAATATCCCTGCTCTATTTAAAGTTTGCAGATACTCTAAAGATTTCCCTGGCCTACCAGATATCATTGAGCCCAAACTGATATTTACTGTTGAGGGCTGCCAGTTTCACCAAGATAGTAACCATCGAAACATTGAAAAGTTTTTCTTGATATTTTTTAGGATACTGAAGAGTAGCCTGATTGTGTTAGTGGTGGTTGCATGAGTATATATGATTATTAAAATTCAATGAATATTTAGAATAAGTGAGTTAATTTATATGAAAGAATAACTCAATAAAGTTGATTTTTAAAATATTTTAATTTTAGAAAGAAGCATATAAGTTTGAAAGTTATTATCTGCTTAGAAAAAAATTCATCTCGCAGACTTGACTTGAGGGATTTCTGACTTCTAAGTTAAAAGATGCCAACTAACTATTTTAAAGTACTGATATGGAATTAGGGAGGAATGCAGGAGGGCTATATTTTTAAGTTTGGGTGAGAGGAAAAATACAAATATATCGTGTGTGTGTGTGTGTGTGTGTGTGTGCATATACATATCGTGTGTGTATATACACACACACACATATTTCTTATTCTTAAGAAGAAGAAACGTTATTCCCATGAATACCAGGAGCTATCTACACTTTTTCCATGCACTGGAATACACTGCAATTGAGGTTTTTTTCCTGCTCTCTTCCATGTCCACTTTCTGCAAAATGAGTTAAGCTAAATCCTTTTTTGTGGATTACAACTGAAAGTGAATTTAGGTGCTCAGGGGCACAGAATCAACGACTTTGAAACCAATAAAGTTTAACGCAGGCAGTAGTCAACATAAATTCTTCAACACCATCCAGACTAACGCCTACCAGAACTAACCTTGTCAACAAAATACATAGTCTTTCAGCTCTGCAATCCCTAAGGTGACTCGAGGGCTGTGGTGTTTTTCCGCAGCTTCCATCAGCTAATTTCTCAGATGTCTCTTATCTGTCAGGAACTGATAATTTTTTAACCAAGGCTTGCCCACAATATAAATGCATTGCTTAAAGATGAAAAACAAAATAACCCCTTTAATTATCAACCACCTTACTGAGTGAGGCACGTAATGAATGAAAGAAGCATTTCTCAATGGAAAATAGGGTCTATGGACTAATCTTATAGATGAATACCTTTTCCTACATCAAAAAAAAACTTTAATTAATTTGATTTTACTTCTCTTTCTTCTTTCTTTCCATAAAAGAACTTACCATTCCCTTTAAACATATGCTTACAATACTCTTCAGTAAATGAATAAATATACTTTGTTTTAGAGAACTACAGTGTTGGGAGCAAATTAATCCATCAGCTCCTGTTTGACTTTTGTGATGTGACAAGATTTATTACCTGTAAACTATCACAGAGAAGAAAACTCTAGTGCCCTCCATCATGCTGATCTATATTAAACAGTTGTTTGTTGGCAGGTATATTAACACAGCTAGTAATTAGTGCTGTCGAAAAGTTTAAATAATTGCCTGGTGAAGCAAAACTTTGCAAACAGATTTCATACACTGTAATTTAATGTTCTCACCAGTGGAACTATTTAAAAACCCCTCTAATATTCTTCATTTCACACAGGGAGGCAAGAGTTTAAGAAAGAATATAAATTAATAATATAATGGAAGTTTGGTCAATTAGTATATTCAGTATCAGTGAACCTAATGCCCCCTTGTCTTTATGAGACTAACTTGAATTTCTCTAAAGAATTTATCAAATATTTCATAGAATACTAGTTGGATTGAATCTGTATTGGAAACCCCTTCAATCAATCTAGTCATGTTTTTAAGACACATAATTGTTTAAATCCCCAGCTGTAAATTAGTATTTAATCCAACCCCCTCACTTTTTATATGAAGAAACTAGAACTCAAAAAGCTTAAGTGATGTTCCCAATATTATATAATTAGTTATCCTTAGAATTGAGACTAGAACTTCAGCCTCCTGATTCCCAGGTGAACAAACATTTATTAACTAGGTAAAAGCAGCCACTTAATTTCTGTAGCAACTCTCGTTTTCATTGCTGTACATGTTAGCAGGTCTTAAATACTAAGGCAGGTCACAGTTGATAATTATTGAAAATATTAGATCTACACAGATGCTCCCTCATTGATTAAAGATAATAAATGTATCTGTTATTTCAACTTTCTTACTAGAGTGCAAAATTATATAAAATACCCAAGGACTTTCTAATCTTCTTATAGTATTTCATATTAGATGTGCAAAATTGATTCTTTCCTAATGAAATAGCACTAGAATATACTATCTATTCTTTTCCTTGCTCCGATTTTCACCTTAATCAGACCCATACCTCCCCTTACAGAAACCATTTGGTAATCTCACATAACCTGTGTCCTCACAACCTAAGTTTCTAGAATTCATTTTGTTCTTTTTATCCAGGGGACCACCAGTGTGCCCATGTTGTCTTTCATTTACAGTAGCAGGAAGTTCATGTCTAACTTTCTTTCAAGGACGGCAGCAGTAGGCTATGCACAAGGCATGGTGCAACTTCAGGACAATACGTAGTCTTACTACGATGCAGTGATTTCAACTTACCACCATGAGTGAGATCTTCCAGTTATTTCTCTACTAGAGGAAAAATAAAGCCTTGGAAAAGCATTACTCACCCTCCCAGGCCAGTATTAAAAACCACTTCACCAGCAACAGAGGATGGATGGCCAAAGGAGTAACCTTTCATCTTAGTTCCATCTTCCAGGACAATGTGTGCTGTCTGTGCCTGAAGAAACAGTTGCATGAATCTTAGCAGAATACATAATACAAAACACACAAAAATATTCCAAAGGTAAAATACACAGACATATTAAATAAAGGCACAGTATATTTAATGAAACCATAATGCCCAGATTTCCAGTTGCTTTCCTATTACTTGTCACTTTTCTTCAAATATATAGCTCTTGTAACTGGCAGATGTTTTGTTTTGTTTTCTTGGAAGAGGAACTGAAGCATGCAGATACATTGTCTATTCTAAGTTTACTTGTAGAGTTGTTAACAAGCCAGAAATACTTCACTTTAGCTGAAATGTTATGTATCTGTCTTTTCCCCTTTATCATTCCCTAGCTTTGCTCAAGAATAGCTTTAAGGAAAGTTCATGAGTTTGCAAAAACATTGTGAATTGTACCATACAGCTCATCATCACTCTGAGATTTAGAGCCAGAAGGAATCTTCAAGATTATCTATCAAACTGTGTTCCACAGAGCTCTTGTGTTTGATGGAGTTGTCCCAAGGGTTGCCCTTTCCATGCCAGAATTATGTTCATGAAGAAACTGAAACTTTATCACTCTCTTAATGCTGACACAAAACCAAGCACTGTGGAACATTCTAGAAGTATATTGTATTTTGCTTTTTTATTAGAGTTAATTATATCCATGTCTACTTCCTTCTCTATACTATGGCATTCGGAATTTGATAACTTTGCCATAATAATCTTTGAGCCAGTGTCTACCAAATTCTTAGCTAAGAAGAGGGACAACTGGAAAAACATTTAAGAAGCAGACATCATCTACTCCTTATAAATACTCTAAATTCTGTTGTTGAAACCATTTAAATCTAACTCTCAATTTCCGTAAAATTCAAGGGAGAGAGAAATGTTTTCAACTACACCTTAGGAGACAAAATACAGATTCTCTAAGAAACTCTATAGGACAAACTAATTAGAATGTGGTTTTTAAAAATTAAAGTATAAAGAAAAACATATCTGCAATAATTGAGGAAATTAGAATCATAAATTGATATTTGATTATACTAAGTAATTTTTTAAGATTGATCTTCTTAGGATTGTAGTTACATTTTTAAGTTGTTGCCTTTTAAAAGATATACACTGTAATATTCAAGGATAAAATAGTATGATATCTGAGATTTCCTTCAAAGTAATCAGCAGTCAGGGGGATAGACAGGCATATAGAGAAAAGAAGTCTGGCCATGAGTCGAATTTCCTGAAGTAAAGGAGTTCATTGTGCTATTCTTTCTGCAAGGTTTAAGTGTAGTCATCGAAGACAAAAAAAAATACTAATTCTTCATTTTACTTCCCTTACAGTTTTAGGACTGAGGCCAAAGTGCCTAATCCTTTTAAATCTTGCCACCCCACCTCCACTCCCATTACACATACACACACACACACACACACACACACACACACACACACACACACACACACACACAAACTTTAGTAGGCAGCAGGAACTCCATAAATGATTTCTAGACCTTTGTTTCTATGTTCCTCTTGCTTTATAACATGCACTCAATTTTTCAAATGTTAAAATGAAGAAAGCCCGTTATTTTTCTATAATAATTCTCTCTGTAGAAATAAGATGCCTCTTTTAGATCCAAAGCACCCAAGTCTCTTGTCATTAGAATGATTGTGTTCTGCAATGTAAAATAATGTCTTGATTACCTTTAAACCAATATACTATATTCCGACGTCTTGTTTATGTGTGAGTGTGTATACCTATTAACTTACATTTACACACAAAACTATGTTAGTGTTTTCCATTAAAATTGATAGGATATGTTTAAGATGTTCCTCTCAACAGATAATTTTATTAGTTTTTTTAAATCAGAGGTACGATATGTGAATTTCAAGTTTGTATTTCTGAGAAAGATTGAACAATGTACTCTACTGTACATTTTATGTGTGTTTGTATGTGTGTGAGTGAGCATATGCGTGTGTTCCTGGGCAAGATTAGCCAAAAATATTTTGTCCTTTACTAGGCTTATCAAATTATCTTTGAGTTAAAGATTTATCTATTTCCTTCGACCCAGTGTTTGAAATCTCAAGCTTGACACTTTAAATAGTTGGAGTTTGTCTTCACTAAATTTAAAAATACTTTAGAGTTACTCAGCACAAAGGAAACCACAATAATTTATTTATTTATTATTTATTATGAGTGAAACCAGACTTCTATGGAAGAAATGATCTTAATACAGAAGTCTGAATTCTGCTTCTGTATCCAGGAAATCAGCTTCGCATGTTTCTTCTGATAATGTGCTATTCTGATTCTAAATTTTGTTTTAATTTGCTAGTTTTTGTCTAATTACAATTCAAGACAGAAGTTGAAGATTTTAGAAAGTAAGAGTGATAGTATTCAGTGTATTTCTAAAGATTATTATAAGCTATGCAAATATCTCTGCTAATGGGTCTGAATAGAAGTGTGTTTATTAGGAAAACTCCCCAGGTAACTCTGATGTGTTTTATTAGGTGAAACCTCTCGTCTAAGTAATGAAAATTTGCCATCGAAAAATATTTTCTACTGGAAATATTGTTTTTTTTGTTCTTGAGGAAATCGTGTGTAAACCTCCATGCTTTTACAAAATGAAAAGAAAAAGAAAAAAATTTAGATAATATGTAACTTTGATAGAACCTAAACCAACTGTATTTAGTTGGCAAAATTTGAGTGTAGACTGTAAATTTCAATAGTTTTCTACATATCAGTTTATCTGTGCTACTCTGAGACATGCTTGCTTAAAATATTACCTTTGTTTATATTTTTATTTTGCTTTTCTCTTTTCTCATCTGAGAATTTCAAATTATCCCATATCTGGGTTAGACACTTTCTGATCATTTTAAAGAAGGGTAAAAATTAGCATAAGAAAATCAACACTTGTGAGCCTATTCCTACAATTCTGTTTGGTATTTTTCTCACTCCCTTCATGAAACTAGTTTTCTATTTTGCTTTCCATCTCTGTAGTTGAAGAGACATTTGCTATTGCGTGAAATAGTCCCTGAGATTGTGTTCAATATGTCTTTTTGCTGCTTTAATTATATTTTTGGTTCTTTTGGCAGTTTTTATAGATCTTCCAATCCTCTTTCCCACTACACATTATATTGTTACAAAGCCTCTGTTTACTGCCTAAAGTACTCTCTATATATCTCCTAACTACACTGGCCCCTGATGCATTTAAAATGATGAGTGCCAATTGACTTATCTATGAATTGATGGACAAACACTGAACAAAGAGCTATTATTTGGAATCCTTTCTTCTAACTAACAGTTCCCCAAATGCTATTTCATTCCAAGGAGTATAAAAGAAATCACCTTGTTACTATCATAAGATATTTTAGTATCCTCAGTCCTCGTTGACAGAGGTCCACAGGCTAGGAATTAGATTATAACATTTAAGTATAATTTAAGTGCCTACTGCCAGAGCACGTCTTACTTTGAAAAGGGGAAGTACAAAGGAAATCTTAATGAAAAGAAGAGTGTATTCTTGTAGAATGTCAGGAAAAGTAACCAAAGGATTATATAAATGTGAGTTCTATAAAATAAAGGACCTTATCATGACATGATCCCTATGTGTTTAATAAAAATGTATATGCCAATAAGACCATTTAGACATTCAAGTCTCAGACACTGAACTCCTACCAGGTGTCAAGCACCTTGCTAGGCTCTGTAGATAAATGGATGAATGTCTCCAGTCTTCTCGTTTAGTAAAAGGCTAGATAAGGGAATGGATTACAAAACAGAGAAAACTTCAATAAGGATATCACTGAGGCGTCACTGAAATACGTGGAAATACAAAGATAAATATTTTTCCCTTGAGAGATTAAGCTTTAACCAAAGAATTTGCCCTTTCTTTTCCACTGATGTTTTAAGCAATAAAAATTAAAATTTCAATAAAAAAACTTGCCAAATTTTGTATTAAAAATCCAAAATTTAAAGATTCCTTCCTCTTGGCTTAGATGTCATTTTCTCGGAGAGGTCTGCCTTGATGGCCTCATTTAAAATTACAGTATGTTCCCCAGCCCTCTTTCTCCTTGGTCTGCTCTTTCTTCATAATACTCATTACCTTTTAACATACCATCTAGTGATTTTTTTATTATCTATTTCATCACATTAGAAAGTGAACTTCATGCAGGCAGAGTATTGGGTCTGCTTCTTGCACTAGTGCACCTCCAGCCTATACCAGTGGCTAGCACAGAGTAGACAAGTCACTAAGCTTTGTTCACACTTTAGTGAAATTACTTTAGTCAGATAATCAACTGAGTATTTAGCAGAATGTTTCTAAATGATTAAATAGTGAATTTGATAAGAGAGGAAAAGTTATAGTAGAAAAAAAAAGCATATGCTCTCCTACCCCACACCCATCCTCCTGATTATTTCTTTTAATTCTGAAAATATTAAACAGTAATTTTTTCATCTTACACTGCATATAATTTTTTATTTTAACCATGTTTCAAATTCTTAATTCACTTGTTTTATTATTGGTGGAACTTATCTAAAATGTAGATATCTAATGCAACGTTTTTTCTAGCAGTGGTTAGTCTTACGAATATTTTAAAACCTTAAATATTAAGTTTCTTGGAGTCTCAACCTCTCTCCCTTTGTCATATTTTCCTAGTGTATCTTGGAGTCACAACTGTCAAGTCACATCTGGTCCTACAGGCTAGTTATTTAAATAATACTCCAATTAAAAATAGTTCTACCTCATCACATAGTATCTAATAATAATAATGGCTCTAACTAATAAATAGTTACCTATTGGTTTTTAGAATTAACTTCACACTATATGAAATTGCATGGCCACCCAAGACAAAAATCCCATCATCACCTGCTATTGCCTCCTACTTGTTCTGCCTGCCTCCAGTCTCTCCTTACTTCTACCTGTCCTATGAAATATAGTTAAGGCTTTCTTAAACATTAATTGGGTGACACCATTCCCCAAATTCCTCAATTCACATTCAAAGTCCTCTCATCTGGCTCGCTCTCTATATGGAATACCTTAGATTCCCCACCTCTCTGTCAGTCCTTTGTGCATAAATGTCTTCCTCGTTGCCTTTTACATCCTGGTACTGCTTCCTAGTACCCATGGTGTGTACTAAATCAGAATTAATCACTGATTTTCTTGTGCTTCCACTGACTGCATTTGGTGTATACTGTTGTGTGTTACCTTTTAATTGCTAAAGGTATTTATCTACCGTACTAGATTTTAACTTCTCAATGTTACATCTGGAAAACACAATGCCTAATTCCATGCTGTATCCCCACTGAAATAGCCCACTGTTGTCCACACAGTAATGTTCTCACTACACAGTTGGTGAATGCATAGAAATGTACTTCATTATGTGATATTAGCATGTTACAATGCTGACACTATGGTGTTTTCAAAATAGTTATTTGATGCTCACTGACTTCTGGTCATTTTACTAATTTTCATCTTCTCCTCTTGAAAGCAAAGACAAATATTTCACATAGGTATAGTTCATGCTAAAAGATAGAAGATGAAAGTAAGGAATGAGTTAAGGCTGGGTGGCAATTGCTGCCCAAAAAGTACCCTTAGGCTTTCTTCTACCATTCAGGTGTCATATAAGTAATGCCTTCAGAAGAAGACCCAAAAAGGTGATTTCTAAATGTCATTCTTTAGGTTTCCTCATGAATTGTTTCTATCATTAATATTAATAATTACCTATGTTATGTAGAAATCTAATCCTCCATCACTAGGGAAAAGAATAAAGCTGCATTCAGTATATATAACCCAAACATTCTCTTTTTCTTCCTTTACTTTTCATCTAAAATGCTTGCCAAATTTTACTGTATGTCAGCAAAAAATTTGTTTGTTTTAATTCACTGATGTGGTCTCATGCTTACAATATTACATTTCTATACCAAGTCCCCAACTATGTTATAACTAATAATAATTCTCCCTCTATTAAAAATACTGAGGCTATTATATTTTTACTGTTTTTTGTTGTTGAGATCTATGTATAATCCTGGTACATCTTTGGCATTCAGTAAATGTTGGTATAATTAATTTTGGAAATAGTAATTAAAGATAACGTATACTTTAAACTTACACTAGTGTGAGTTCAAATGTTAAAATACCTCCCTTAAAAAAGCTGTAATACTGATATTTGGATAAAGTAAAGCGTTAACACTTCTTAAGCATGTCTGGTAGACGTAGATTGACCTGTCACTATCCTATTTCTACCTTCTGCCATTACTTTACTGATAACCTATTAAAACATAAACTGGGTTGCATATATAATTATCTATGTTTATTAAAGTCTATATGCAGTTGTACAAATAAGTTGAGAATTTGGATTTGAATAATAAATTTATACTGTTCTGGGAAAGGTATCTTACTTCAAACAGAATTATGAAGCTATGTTGGAAAAGTAAGGTTTGGGAGCATGTTGTGTCACCGAGAACTCCATTCTGATCAATTCCCTATGACATCCTTAATAACAGTTAACATGAACGTACTGAATACTATCTTTAAAGCCATTAGTGGGTTTTCTCATCTAATCTTCACAAAAAATAATGATGTAGGTAATATTGAAATCTCCATTTTACACTTGAACTAACTGAGCCTCAGAGAAGTAAAGATCATTCTATTAGCAACTGGAAGAGCAGCGGTTTCTGAACCCAGTCTGTTTGACTTATAACCTCTTTTTCTTTTTCTAAGCTTACTTTTATTTCTGCTTTCCAATTTCGTAAGTGAGGATTAAAAGAAATTTAAGCATGAACTCTATTTAAATTTATTTATAAGAGCCTTAATTCAAAATTGCCATGGATAAGCCACAACAGGCCCAGGTCAACCAAGAACTACCTATCTATAAATCTGTAAATTGTCAAAGTGAAATGTCAAGTCATGAATTACCTGAGTCATTATAATCTGAGGAGAATCAGCAGGTTTCGAGAACAATTTGCACTGATCCTAGGCCCTTGAGTTCTCAAGCACTGAAGATTGTTGGAACCCTAGATGCTGTGATGAATAAGGAGATCCACCTCTCAGTCCCCCCTCCCTTTTCCCCAGTGATGGAGGATTCAATTTCTAGATAACATAGATAATTATTCATATTAATAATGGAAAAACTTGCTGCCCTGCTGTGAGGAGTGAGGTCAGCAAACCATCTCCTGCTGTCAAATTTTTCAGGGTCTATCTCAGCTGTAGAGGGCTGCATTGCCCCATGACTTTCTTGGAATACCCCATGACCAGTGTCTAAGTTAGGCCTGGATAGAAAGGTTCAGGCCACATCCAGGAAAGTCTGGTGGGCAGCAGCTTCCTATCCCGTTGGCCAAGGCTTTATCAAAACTGCATTACAGTTTAGTTCTCTGTCCAGTTCTACTTCCTGAAGCTTCACAGATGCTGATCCCTAATAGAGAGCATGCTCCCCAAACATCATCTCAGCATTTGTTTACAGAGAACCTAAGTCATGCTAGGCACTTAAACCAAATGATCAGTCAAAGTCCTTATGCCAAAGTTAATGTTACTTCCAAGTTGCCTGATGTTCAAGAGTGGAGTCCACATGTGAACATTCACTTTATTTGAACAACCAAGCACAAGTTTAGCATGCAACTGCCTAAAATAAAATTCATACAGAGAGAGAGATTTTTCTGTACTTTCTAAAAATCTCATGTTTTTATGAGATTTTGTTTGAATCTCATAAAACAAAGAAATACGTTTAAACTTTTGAACCAATATGTTTAAATTGTGGCTGCAATTATTAACATTATTTCCATCTTTTTGAAATTATGTTTGTATGTTTTTCTTCTCCCACCTATGTAATTATATTCATAAAACATGTAAACATACTCCAAAGAAATAGGCCAAGGATTGTAGCTAATATGGATATCAAGAAAAATGCCTTAAGGTTACTTTCCACTAACAGTTTGGCATTTTTTAGTCTGGAGCCTACACGTATTGTGAATCTGGGAGCCAATCAGGTTATAAAATAAGCGGTGAAAAATTGTGTTCTCTTGTTACTTCATATAAATTTAAAAATTAAAGATTAAATTACTAGTCTCTACGGCCTAGTAATACTAAATGTTTCCTTTGTTAGAAAATTTATTGGAGGAAGATTCATAAGACTGCAGATTTTTTCACACACAATATTTAGAAGGACTAAAACGGAATTTTCCTATGTATATGTAATTGCTCCATGTTTAATCTTACTTTATAATTTTATTTAGTACTCCTATTTCTAAATTAAACTGAATTACAAAAATAGCTATATGATCTCCATTCTCATATTACTTTTATTTTTTATTTATTTATTTATTTTTATTTTTATTTATTTATTTTTTGAGATGAAATCTCTCTGTCGACCAAGCTGGAGTGCAGTGGCATGATCTTGGCTCACTGCAACCTCTGCCTCCTAGGTTCAAGCAATTCTCCTGTTTCAGCCTCCCGAGTAGCTGAGATTACAGGCACTTTGCGCCACCACACCCAGCTAATTTTGTATTTTTAGTAGAGATGGGGTTTCACCATGTTGGCCATGCTGGTCTCAAACTCCTGACCTCAAGAGATCTGCCTGCTTTGGCTTTCCAAAGTGCTGGAATTACAGGTGTGAGCCACCAAGTCCGGCCCCCATTCCTATATTACTTTTAAAATGAGCATTCTAGGCCGGGCGCGGTGGCTCACGCCTGTAATCCCAGCACTTTGGGAGGCCGAGGCGGGCGGATCACAAGGTCAGGAGATCGAGACCATCCTGGCTAACACGGTGAAACCCCGTCTCTACTAAAAATACAAAAAAATTAGCCAGGCGTGGTGGCAGGCACCTGTAGTCCCAGCTACTCGGGAGGCTGAGGCAGGAGAATGGCGTGAACCCCGGAGGCGGACCTTGCAGTGAGCCGAGATCGCAGCACTGCACTCCAGCCTGGGCGACAGAGCGAGACTCCATCTCAAAAAAAAAAAAATCATTGTTAACTAAATTTAATGTTGCAATTCTTAATATTTGTAAAGTCTGAGATTTCTTTCACAGGTTATAAGTAATTTTTAATGAAAATACATTTTTGTGAGGGGGGGTTACATATAAGTAGAAATTCCAATAAACTCTCAATTGTTTTGGTTTGTCTGCCGTGGATGTTGATATTATTGTTTCACCATTGTCAAACAATATTTCAATGTTCTAATGATGTTACAAGATAGAATACTGCAAGCTCTGAAATTTCTCTAAAAATCTCATCTCTTTTAGGGGTTTTAAATTTTCCTCACAATTAAAATTCATTGTAAGCCTACATTTATGGATATATTTTCATTTCTTAGTAAGATGATTCATAAACTTTATGGGACCACAAATAAGTGACTGCAATTTTACCCTTTAATACTCAGTCTGAGATTCAGTTTAAAAGGGTAGATGTTTCAAAGTGTTTTCCAGAATCAGAATAATGCAACAGCTATTAATGAGAGTCACACAGCTACATTCCCCTTGAAAAAGGTTTGAGCATCTGTCCCTGGTGCTATGCTAAACTGATTGAGAGGGCTTAGTCTTAGGAAGTAACAGTCAAAATTCAAACATAATTTGTAATTTAATCTATAAAAGTTTTTGAAGCAGCCTAGTGTTTATCATTATTGTTAGGTTCTCCTTTGCATTCAGTATTATGTTATTAAAAATCATCTACTCATTGCTCATGTATTGTTTCACAACCCATCAGCATTCTGAACTAATTCTAAGGACATCGATCCTTTACTTCGAACCAGTTTTCTTCGGGTCTTTTATATCAAGATGGAAAACAAGTCAAAATGAGACTTTTCTTGCAGCCTAAAATTGCATTAGGCTTTTGTATATGTGGAGCTTACAGGACTATAAGAGGAAGAAACACATTGAAACTGAAAAACAGCATGTTTTGTTACAAACACATGACAATATTTAGGTTGAAATGGAAGAAATACGTCAACTGTAAACAGCATTGCCCTAAAATGTCCTATTTATATAATTGTTGACAGCCATATAAAGCAAGAATCCTTCCTTATGCTTTGATTTAAACAACCTATTCTCAAAAAAAGAAAAGGAAAAATCAAATTTGTGTCGTATTGCCATAACATTCAGTATGTAAATGAGCCCTTGAGTAAGCAATAAAATAACAGCAGAAGAAATGACTTAGAACATTCTGAAGCCAGGTTAAACACAACTATGGCATCGGGTATATAAGTACAATAACAAAACTTCAAATTAAAAAGATCCATCTGTTGTTTGAAGCCTAATTAAAATTCTAACCAAATTTGCTAATGTATATTTTGTTTTACGTACAAAAACAGGCATCCATGTGTCCTTGTTTTAACTTCAGCACTTACATATCTGTGAAATGGGAGGAACAGAAATGTTTCTTCTCCTAGATATGAGACTCCACCACTAAAATGTTCTGCCTGTAAAGCCTTAAGCTAATTCAGCAATAGATTCCATAAAAGGTTTGAAAAAAAAAAAAAAACACCATTTAAAAGTCAGTAATTCCCTTGAGCTAGTAGTAAAAATGAAAATAATTTACTCTGGGATTATGGTATTGCTGTTGAATCATTTATCTACGTAAACTATTTGCACTTCAGAAAAAGTAGAGGCCCCACATGTTTTTTTTCCATTTTCACCAAGGCCTAAGGCTATATAACATACGTGCTTTCTGGCTTACCTGATGTTTCTAAGCTATTAGTTCGCCTCAGTACTCATCCTCTTAAAAAATAAATCTGAACTAAGCACTGAAAAGTAGAAAGCCTAAAGCCAGAATTTATTTCAGGTAATTATTGTGTAGATAATATGGTAAAAAGTTAAAATCAAGTAAATGAAATCTTATTCTTTTATTCTTGGAATTACACTATTAAGATATGGATTTTTGAAATTTAGAATTTCAGCACAATTTGTCTTTGAAATATTTCATGAGACTTCTCTGCAGTTACAAGGCCTAACACTTCAAAATTCTGAAGCACTGTAACAGCAGTAATCAATTAGGCCTTACCACATTCTCAGTTAATAATCTTACAACATTCCAAGTTAATATTAAGTCATCGGTCTTTGGTTAAACATAAGCCAATGTTAAGGGGACAAAATCAAAAGGTTAATTTACTTAAGTACTTTTATGTTTGAACATTTATAAACAAAAGATTAAGATTTATGAATCATTTTTATTCTAATAAGGTTTCTCATTGTAAATAAAATACAGCATTTATAAAAATTTCATTACAAAGTATGTTCATAAAGTGTAGGTTTATTAATATGCCTTACTGAGCATCTGCTATGTGGCAAGTTGTTCAGAATCCTGGAGGAACCTACATATCATAAGCTAATTTTTACTGTATGGTGGTGATAAATTAAAATGGTCTTATATTTCAGTCTGCATTATAGAAGAAACTTAGTAAAATTCTTTCATAATGTAGCAACCCTATTGATTCATTTATGAGAACTTCAAATTAGTCAGTTACCTCCCTATGAAATTTAAAAGATCAATGTATAGCATTTAACAAGTTGAAAAAAATAAAAAGCAAACAGAGTAGCCTTGAAAATATTTTTATAAGTTCAACTCATTTAGATCACATGAAGAAAATCAAATGGAAGCTAAAGATCCCTAGGGCTAAGGAGCCTAACACAAACTTTGACCTTGGCCCGCGCAGCTTTTTTCGGGCCTCCGTCATTGCAAATGCCCCAGGAAATACAAATCCCATCAAGGGCAGTCAGCGTAGCATACCAAACTCCTCCTGAAGGCTTGAAGTGAATTCTAGCATGCCCATTGCCTAAGAGATACTGAAAACTTTCTACAGCACCCCTCAATTTTTGGAACAGGTTGGAAATATGAAGAAAGTCTAATACAGATGTAAAGGCAGAGGAATAGTCTCCATTTCCATAGCAATAAGACCTAATGTCACCTCTAGATCGTCAGAAAGTCTGGCTAGACATGAGCAAATTGGAATGAGGGAGAGGAAAGCACAGGTCAAGATTAGTACTAGTCCCTTGGGCAGTTCTACAGCCAGAATGCTTAGCTTCTGACCCAAAGCTGGGACTAGGGTACTGAGTGATGTGCTTAGGGCCTAACTCTCAAAGAGATACACCATGACACTAACAGTGACAGCCTCCTTAAATTTTGCATCTCAGGTACCTCACTCACTTAACCTAGTCTAGGACATTTAAACTATAGTTTTTTCAAGAGTTTTATGTCAAGAAGCTCATAATGTCAAGGCGTTGTTGGTGACTAATAAATGAATCTATATTTTAGAAAATTGGGGATATAAAAAATGGAAAAAATTAAAATGTTCAAAAGAAAGGCCATCTCCCAATTAGAGAAGTATTGCATGCCAAAAGTATGTAAAGTTGTCCATCAGGCAAACTAATTCTGCAACAGCTCATTTGGGACTGAACACAATTAATATTTCAAAAATGTAGTTTGCCATAGATGAAATCCGTCCTAAAATGTGTCTATATGTAGTAAAAGTCCAATAAAATAGTTATTCTTAAAAGTGTGTGATAACCCCATCCCCACTCTTACATCTAACGTGTACAGAGGCTCCAATATGATAATGAGTTATATTTCCTGTGACTATCTTTAAAGCTACTACAATGTAAGTAAATTATTCTAATTGTAGGAGTTTTTATAGTTGCCAATTTCTAATCAAATGACAATAGCTCCTCAAGACGGAACTAAATAGATACTTCTATGTGAAAATCAGAATATAAAATCTTAAAAATGAATGCCTTTCAAAAGAAATAATGACTACCAGTGCTCATTCGTAGCTGAAGTATCAGAGAGGACACTTGGATTGTTAGGTTCCTAGCTTAATTATAACACAGGTCACCATTGTTAAAAAATGAGTGGATTAATGTTAGAAGGA
This sequence comes from Homo sapiens, assembly GCF_000001405.40. NCBI lineage: Eukaryota > Metazoa > Chordata > Mammalia > Primates > Hominidae > Homo > Homo sapiens. The sequence goes on along the minus strand of NC_000002.12, from coordinate 210,560,485 downwards.
GTACTTATTGAACACTTTTCTATTCATAGGGAACTTAAGCTTTACAATTTAATACTTTTGATTTCCAAATTCATTTGCAAGTAAAAATAAAACTATTTAGCTTTGATGACTTTCCCAGACTTGTGAACTCAGAATTCTGAAGTCTGTAAGTTTCTTGAAATCAGAGACTATACTCTTATGATCCACTTATTTCTATTTATCATTCTTCCTGTATACTCCCATGGTAGAGGTTCCGTGTTTATTAAAGAATAAATGAATGAATGAATGAAATAGGTTATTATGGTGTCTATTCTGCCTTTTGGAATTAAATTTGCCATACTGAAAAAAAAAGATTATTTGCTTCATTTTCCTTGAGTCTGATTTATTATAAGAAATATCTTCTTAGAGATGTTTAATATTAAGGCAAAGGTGAACAAATCATTATTATAAATATTTGAGAATTCTTATCAAATACCTTGTCATTGCAACAACTTGTAGTCCATAAAAAACATAAGGACTCTTTGATCTAACCCTCTACTAAGTCCTTCTACTAAAATGTATAGAATGGAATTTTTTTTTAAATATCCAGTTTTTGCTTTAAAATGTTCAGTTTAATGGTTTAAATTTAAAACTTTAAAGATTTTTGAGAATTGTTCATGTGTGACAATCACATAATTTGTCAAGTAAATCAGTCATCATTTGCACTATACAGATGACAAAACTTAGGTTCAGAGAATATGTGACTTGTCCAAGAACAGGGCATTAGGAAATGCATAACAGGGGTTAGATTCCAGATCTTTTTGTGCCCAATCCAGAGTATATCCCACTATTACACTGTTACAGCCTGCTGAATGTAATAATGAGTGCTGAACATTTTCAGTACTAATGGAAAAAGATTATGGTATCTAAAACTTTTTAGTATTTAGTATTTTATGGTTGTTGATCATTTATACCCTTGATATCAACTTTCTTTAAAATATAGAGCACCTTGAAATTCTTTCCTCTTTCCTGTAAGTAAAATACAACTGTGCCGATTGGCAAAGCACTCTATAAATATTAGCCGCTGACAAATACCCAGGGAAGGGCCACATAAAATTATAAGTGCGTCATTGCTGTCGTCAAACCCACCGTCTCTGTCATCAAAGAGAGAGGAAAAGCAAACCTCTAAATATGTCGAAAAAGCAACCCAATTTACAGGGCAATGATTATAGATGTGACTACAGGGTGTCTTTCCCAATCCATTTACCATCTATAACTGGACATAATGCTACTAACCTTTAAAGTGACTGTTCTCAGTGCCCTTCACTGACCATTATGTAACTACATCCTAATGATTTTAACTATCTTTAAAATATGATGTCCATCTAAAAATAGTAAATTTGGATATATTTTTCTAAGACAGTTGAGTTTTTAAAGTGAAGGCAGGAAGAAAAGTAGATAGAGGACTATTTCACAATAACTGAATAATAACACAAGTCCCCTTGGGCTGTTCTATGGAATTTTAATTCACTATTGTGAAGTTCAAGAACTTCTATTTTTTGTGCTTGGCATTCCTCCAAAACTCTGGCCAGTAATGATTGAGTGTGAGTAATGGCTTTTACACCATGAAATGATGGCTTAGTGCTCCTACAAATTTGTCATTCTTAGCTGTGCACTGTGACAGACCCTTGAAACAGATCTGTCACCATGAGCTAGAACTGCTTTCACAGTAATCCATCCACATAATTAGACCATTTTGTCGTGGTTGTGATTGTGGTGGTGGTTGTATGGAGCACTTATTGTGATCTTGGAGAATTGGATTCTAATTTCAATCATATCTGTGCCATTTTAAGTAAGTACTCAATTTCGCGGTTTCTGGGGTCTGATGAAGATGCACCTATCCTTACCTACATACCTACCTTCTCACAGAGTGAGAAGAAGATATTCCAAGTCACCCAACTTTGAAGTATTAGATGGCACATATAATCATAGGGGATAACTTTCATTACTATTGATTTTCTCTGAACTGATACATGAGTACCTTGAGGTATTACTAACAATAAATTCTCATAGTTTACATCTAGTTACAATGTCTTTGATGTTAGTTTAGAATATTCTCCTTTCCCATTCTTTTGCTATAATTAAGCTAAATTCAAGAAAATATATATAACTAGACATAATGCCACTAACCTTTAGTGACTGCTCCCAGTGCCCTTTATGGCCATTATGTAACTACATCCTAATGATTTTAACTATCTTTAAAACATGATGTCCATTTAAAAAGAGTAAAATTGGATACATTGGAATATGTAACAACATAAAAGACATTTTCCTTTCTGGTTTTCTTAATTTAAAATGGTAATTTCCTATACTCTTGTTAGAATCTTCTCAATGTTAAAGGCTGAAGTTGTTAACACACCACTAAGGCTACTATATGTATTTCCTCTTTTCTCCTGGGATCTTGAGCTAGTTTCTCTCTCTTTCTCTCTCTCTCTCCCTCCCATCCCTCACACTTCTCCCCTTCCCCTCCCCCTGTCTCCATCTCTCTTCCTTTTCTTTTACTCCCATTCCTTTCCCATCCCTATCCCTGGCAGCCACAGGAATCTATGAATATTCCTTGGCCTTGCAGGTGTCAGGACCAAAACCCCACTGAATCCTGACTTGAGCAACTGAAACAATAGAAGCTTAGTCAACTCAATGAGCATGCAAAGTATAAGCAGAACACTCCAAACTGTGAGTTCCCATTTTCACATCAACAGACAGAGGTTTTCTTTTGTTTTTTCTATTTCAAATTTTACAGCTTTTGCTGCTAAAGAAGCAATATATCTAAAGCTAATATAATTACTTAAACTTATAGTCACTAAAGATTATTTTCATTGGCAAAGTTCCTATGGAGTAACTTCAGGCTTCTCTGATAATGAACGTCTTCATAAAGTTGCAGGAAGGAGCAGAGGTTCCTACAGGAATTTCATAATTCAATGCTGGGGGGCAGGAAGAAGGGCAATTAATGTTTCTTTCCTGGGCTTGCCCTCTCAATTATAGATACCTGTGGAGGGACAGAATTATCAGCTGCTATCTGCCTCTATGTATTACTCTACAAAATGAAAATAATAAGTTTAGCCTGCCCAAAAAAACAGCCAGAAGGAAAAGGAAAAAGCTAAAGCAGTGTCTACATGATGACCTGCAAATCTCAAAAACACATATTTTCTAATTATGTTTTTAAAATGTTTAAATGATATTTCAAAAGAGAACTTTTCAGTAAGCCCTATTTATAGAACAGACCTTAACACACTGTGTACCATAATGTGGCTCACACACATATAAGCAGCTCCATTTTTTAAATCCAAACTGTAAGCAATAGTATCTAGTCACAGAAAGCTATCTATGAAAGAAAAGATGTTTCTTTTTCAAGCAGTGTACTTACATTTTACATGTTCACAAGAATTGTCATCATTCTTTATGTTGGGTAAAAATTACTGTCATGTTACTCAGATAAGATAAAAATTAGCATTTGCTAAGTCAGTAGGTTCCACAGTAAAGGAAACATTAATACATTAGTACTTCAGAGCTACATTCAAAACTGTATTTGCCTTGTAAGGGACACCTTTGCTTCACTGCTAAACTATACCCCATAGTATTTTATCAGAAACAATCAATATGGGTATTACCTTGACAGAAAGGAGCCTGATGCCAGGTCTTGAAAATTTCCATTTTTGGTGTGCAGTCACATTGGTAAAGCCAAAACCAGTCTTCAGTGTCCTCACCACTTTGAAAGCTGTCAAAATCCTCGTCATTTTGATGATTTGTGGCTAAAATTAAATGAAATTACATAAATTTTATGAGATTGTGTGATAAGACTTTTTAGTTAATGTAAAAGAAATCTGGGAGGGGTGCAGTCAGTGTTTAAGGCTGACTGCACAGCGATCTTTGAATTTCCATTCATTCTGCCATTAAATGTCTTCAGCCACAGCTCCTCCTTCTCTTAACCCCTCCTCCTGAGGTAATGTCCAGAGATGTTCCATGGGCATGTAACACAAATTGCAACACATCAAATACTACCTTCTCCTGCTAAAATAATGCTGGGGTTGTAGAAAACCAGCCATCCATCAAAGGAATTGTTTATGCAGCTGAATGGAATGACCTAGACATCATGGACAACCTTATCCTAAAGAGTAGCAACTTTCCAACATGCTAAGGATCACAGGCTTTTGCTTATGTCACATGTGATACCTAATATGCCTCATAAGAGATTTTGGATTCCCAAAGAAAGCTGAACGCTTGCCATTTTCTGTTGGGGTAAAAAGACAATGTTCTTTTTACAAAAAGTAAAAATCAGAGCATCCTACAAATAGCATTTTTACTATTTGTAAAAAGAACGTTAGAATAAACTTTTCTCCACAAATATACAATAAACCTATCTATATTATGTTTTGGGTTAATAGAGTAGTATACTACATTCTTACTATAGCATTGTTCTGTGTTTCAAAGTTAAAGCAATCAGTAATATCAAGTAAAACACAACTAAAGCAAAGTGGACTATTATATCCCTCTTAAGCCTCTTAGATTTGTAAAAACTTCATGAAACAATGACAAACACTGATTTTAATATAAGCACTATTCCTAAGTCAAGTTTTTTTAGTTATTAAAATGTTATATATAAAATTTTCCAAACTTCAGCATTCATATTTCAACATGAATAAAAAGTGATTCACTTAACCCTTCAGTCCCATGTTTAACCAGGCTCTCAAGGGGCCTCACTGGCTGGCAGATGCTCTTGCTTAAGTCACATGACTATGTAGAACAGGAAGTACTGCAGCAGTGTTCTTTGATACCCTTGCAAAGAAGGCCAAGGAATAAAGGCAATAGACTCATACCTAGGTCTTCTCATAACAGAAAAGATGACAGAAAATGACATAAAGATTGTAAGCTTCAATAACATAGAATCAGTGCTAGAGTTGGGGTAAGGATTTTTTTAAAGAGGAACAAAGTTTAATTTAAGTCCTCACGCTTACTTAATATATTCAAGTACAAACAGTATTTGATTTCAAAGTGCTTCATGGCTCCTGGTGATAGAAAGCTAAACAAAATAGGCTCATACTAGTTTATACAAATAATTAATAAAATAACTGGTGCCATGAAAGTTGCCCAAATGCAATGGGAAAATAAATAAAATGGGGAAAATAAGAAAGAAAGATCAAGTTCCTTGTGCATTTTCAGTAAAGTTTAAGCATAGAATTATGTTGAGCTGTGTTATACTGAAGGATGCAAATTCACCAAGTAGATAAAGAGGGGAAAAAACCCAGAAGGGATGCCGTGGCATGAGCAATAGCCTAGAGGCATGAAGTCATGTGGTATATTTTTTAAAAGCCTAGATGCAGGGTATAGAATGGGAAAATGAAAAGGTACCATATCATGGGAGACTTAGTATGCCTTAAAATGTTCAGCCTTCATCCATAAATAGTATTCATAATAGTCATGGAAGTATTTTGAACAAGAAATAAAGGCGAAATTTGTGTTGAAGATCATTGAAAAATGAATTGGAGGAGAATGAAAATAGCAAAAGGAAAACTCCCAACCTAGAGAACTGAGGACTGAGAAGCAGTACTTACTGGCTTAGTCCAATACTAGTTTACGCCTTGATCTCACCTCTTGTCTTTTTATGTGTGTGTGTGTGTGTGTGTGTGTGTGTGTAGTGAGGGTTGTCTTTCCTTAATTAAGAAAACGATATAAACTCAATCCTCATTATGGAAACTTTTCTTTTTAAGTTTTTTTTTCTTTTATTATTATACTTTAAGTTTTAGGGTACATGTGCACATTGTGCAGGTTAGTTACATATGTATACATGTGCCATGCTGGTGTGCTGCACCCACTAATGGAAACTTTTTAGGATGCAAAATAAATTTAAATCAGTCATAGTCCCATTACCCTAAGGTACCCATGCAATGAATACTATAATATATTTCCTCCCTTCATCACTTATGTTTTAATCAAATATGACAGTGGAAGTACTGAGGAGTCCAGAGCTTGACCAAGGAAAAGACTTCATCACCATTTATAGCAGTTGACTACAAAGCATGATGAATTAAACATGTTTTTCCATAGAAATGTCAACAATCAACAATTCTAGGATAGAATTCTCCTACTCTAAAGTCTAGAGAGAAATGTGGGCATGAGAGTTTTAATGGGCTTTCATTTTTATCAGTAAAGGGTCCCAGATGCAGACTTGCAAACTACGGTGTGTGTGTGTATATATATACATACATATATATATGTGTGTGTATATATATACATACATATATATATGTGTGTGTATATATATACATACATATATATATGTGTGTGTGTATATATACATACATATGTATATGTGTGTGTATATATACATATATATATGTATGTATATATACATACATATATATATGTGTATATACATACATATACATATGTATGTATATATGTATATATATTTTATGGTCCATGTCTTTAGTCATCAGAATGAAGGAGGAGAAGGCAGAAATTTTGGAAAATTTGATTAAATATTCTGAATTAGAGACTTGGAAAATCCATCAATTATAATTCCACAATGGAGGTTGGAACAGCCAATAAATAAAATAGTGGCTAGTTTCATACTTGAGTGTTCAGGCTAGACTGAAATCTATAACCAAACTGGAAAAAAATATATTACACATTAGTGAGGGAGTTTACATTAGGATAGATCAAAGGAGTTGAGGCTATAAGAGTTGGTTGGTAGGGAATGTTAAAGTCAGACATGAAAAAATTTAGTGGAAATGTTACACTTTTAGGACAGATTATTTTTCAAAACATTTTAAAAAATAAGCATTTTTTTCTTCTCTGACCACATGTACACAGTCCTCCTTCATATAAGCTGTCTGCACGCAGCTGAGCAGAGTGACAGGCATGAATGCAGGCACACACATCAGGCTGGGGACCCTGTGTACTTGGAAGTACATTCTTTGTGAGCCAGGTCATCAAAGGTTTTCTAAACTTATGAGTCACTCTCTGATAAAATGAATTTTTTTTTTTAGATTTAGTCTTCTTTTCTATTAATACATTTTAAAAAATAGAAGCATTTAGCCTGTGAAATCCCTCAGGGCACTTTATTTTATGAATTCCTTATTGACATATCTGGTATTGAAAATGTTAAAATGTCAAGTACTAGGTTGTATTCACTTTCATTTGATATTTAAAGAAATGTGGAAATACAGAATAATAGATAATAACCCACCACACAAACATAATCTCTGTTAACACTAAAGTATTATCTTCTAGCATTTATGTCAATGCTCAGAACATAGTTTTGAAAATTGCCATTGACTTGCATAATGCTTTTTGGAGGCAATATTATGTTAAATGTATTTTGATGTTATTACAAAGTTCTTTTAAAACATTACTTTAAATGATTACAAAATATTCCATTTTCATTGCTGCTACAATGCATGTCAATATTGCCATATTTGATTACTATTTACAAATTTCTCTCCAAAGAGAGTGTACTCACCTACATACCAGTGCAATATATGGGTGTCCCTTTAAAAATGTCCTCACCAACATTATGTATTATCTTTCATTTTATTTGCTCCGCTGTAGAAAATATTATTTTGCTTTCATTTCTATTTTAAATCACTGGTGAAGTTGAATACTTCACAGTATGTTTTTAATTGATACTATTCTTTTATCAACTACTGTTTACATTTTTGTTTCCATTAACTCATTTATATTAATCATTACGAAAATGTCTTTAAAGGAAACATAAAGAAACACTGACAGCCTGTGTCTATACTGATTTAAACAGTCCACTTCTCAAACAGTCCACTCTTCATTTAAACAGTCCACTGACATAAGCAAGGGAAGACCTGCTACAGATTGAAAAAAAAAATGAGAACAGGATGTCTTAGAGAATAAAGGTCTTAGGTTTTGGAATGAAGAGAAAATAAGGGTGTTAGTAATTCCTTTGAAGGTACAGAGACTTCCAACTGCCCTCTTGAAATGTTCCTAAGTAATGAATCAGAAACAACTCTAAGAAGTTGGTGCATCTATCAAAAAGTCTCTAACATAGCAAGCATGCAAGAGATGCTTCTGGAAAAATGACTGAATGAATGGATTGCTGTGTGCTTAATTCCTGCCTGATCAGTGATGATTATTTAAGCAGGAACAAATAAAATTACATCAGTTAAGCATGAGAGGAAATAAGGATGCTTAGGAGTCATGAAAAAAAAAACCTGGCAATCAATAATTCTATAAAGTCTATTTTTGAAGAGATACATTAAAGCAAGGAGTAAGGTATGACTGGAGAGCAAACAAATTCAGAGTAAAAGGAGGTGCAATAACTCCCTGAAGAAAGTTCTACTGTTTTGTGTTTGACCAGAAATGTGTGAAAATAGAATATAAAAGGTAGAAGTAATTGGGTTCAGTTCTATGATTTTTATTAGCCTTAGTATCATAACAAGGAACACGGTCACAATTAAAGATATGGATGAAGAAGGCATCTCTGAGGGAAAGTGGTGTGGATTGTACCCATGTAAAAGGCACACATTTTCTCCTATCACAGAAACTAGGACAAGCTGGTAGGAGGATTCCTCAAAGTTTGGCCAGGAAGAAGACTTAAAGTTGTTTGAAAACCTTCCCAATATGTCAAGGATTGAAAATGACAGACAGATATCATGTTGTTAGATGATGAGGGTTCAAACTAACCAGATATCCTTGGAAATCCAATCAAGTAAAACCTATTCATTAAGATCCAATTGGCATTTTGAGGAATAGAAAGTGAGGATCAAATTATGATGAATATGCTTATCAATCTAACATTTGATAACATAAAGTTTGGAGTGATACAAAAGAAGGTGAAAAATGAAGCTGGAAAAGAGACCTTGTAAAATTGGTTTCACATATTAAAGCTCAGGGCACATGTGATTTATTCTAGAATAACAAAAAAAAAGCTATCATTCATAAGACCCCATTTGCAAACACCTTAAGGAGAACAAGTTAGTCAGTACAAGGAGCATGTATTTATAAACAGTAAATCTTGTCATGCTAATTTCTGCTTAAAAAAGACACTACTCCCAGACCAAGTAGACATGTTAGATGTTAATTCAACAGCATGGAGTATATATTCTAGGCCAATGTTATGTGCATACACATTTGCTAAAGAATGTATATAAATGAGTTATTGCCAATGTAAAAGGACAGAGTGGATTATCCAGTGAATTCACGAAGTTTCTTGTGTATTTGTGAAATGAGAAGAACAGTGGGAAATGCCTTAGAAAGTTGATTCAGAATTCAGTGACTTTGGAAAATTGAAGACATAGCCAAACACAAAGTGCACCCAAAGGGAGGTCACGTGTAAGTTAGTCCAAAAAGAGAAAGAAAAACAAGCTGTAAATAAATAAAAGTTGTAGAGGATTGATTTATATGGAAATGAGCCAAAAAGCATATATAGCAATTATAAAACATAGCAAGAGGCCCAAAGTTAATCATGTTAAGCTGTAATTTAAAAATCCCAATATAGAAAGCAGAACTTAGAGTGGAATTTAAGAAAAGAAACTCAATGTTCACATAAAAAGCTAAATATTGAATAAATTAAAATTCTAAAAATGGAGTTTGACCATGAGCTAACTATTAAATTTAAAATCATGTCACATAGGAGTCCTAAGCAAAGTCTTTCAATCTTCCTGAAAGTAAAAAAATAATAATTATTATTCTTGTGTAATAAATAAGAAAGACCCCTCAATAGAAACTAAAACATTGGAAGATATAACCACAATATATTAGTATATTATCTGCATCTATATAGAGAGATATATAAATATGTACACCACTTGCTGTTATGCCAGTAAGTGAAAATAGGGTATTTAAATAAATCTGTTCTATTGGCTCCACTGATGATAAGTATGATCTTGCCTGAAAGTTGAGGTACTTGCCACTTGTTGATCCCCTGAGCTAGGCATTGGTATGCCTTCCTTGCTAATTTTAAAAACAATTCTTGAAATAAGCTAATGCTATCCCTATTTTATAAACAATAATGATGAGTCTCAGAGAATTAAGTAGCTTGTTCAAGGTCACACAGCTAGTAAGTTGCAAAGCCAAGACCAGAAATCAAGTCTTAGGCAATGTTCATCCTCTTGGAGCATGTCAATTATATCTGGAGAAAACAGGGGCAACAGCATGGAATGAACAGGAAAGAGTGACCTGGTTAAGATTCAATTTGATGGGAAGAATACATGAGTGGGAGGTAGCAAAAGCTGGATTTCTGATGCTCAGAAATATTTGCATTTCGTGAAAATCAGTAAAACATAACTTCAGTAAAAACTGAACAATGAGACAGAAGAAAGTAACCACAACTTCTCTGGTTTATTATGTTTTATATTAAATAAATGATAAGGTAATACGGAAATAAAGCTATTAATTTTTCAGTAATCCACCTAATAATAAAACTAATTCATCTGTGAGCCACGTTTCTAGCTGATTAACTGATTCAGCTGGACTTACCTAAAATAGCAAAGAATGTCTTATATGTTTCTATCTTGCATCTTATTGCTTGAAGTTATGTATTCCAGAACCATGGAATCTGGGTAATTTCATGCCATTAAATGTTTATGATTGTTCAGAAATCAAATCTAGGATTTCCAAAAGAATAATCAATTCAGGAATTATGTACTGAGTAGTTTCTATGTATCAGACATTGTATATCAGGAAACAGGATTGCTTTCTGCTGAAAGATGTTTTGTAGAAAATTGAAAACCTAGTAAATGTATTCCCTAGATAGTTTTACATAGCTGGATGAAATCTTCAAAATTATTTTCTAATTCCTTTGTTCTATAGATATAAAAACCAAATATCTAAGTAAGCCAAGATCATCTCATTATTCTTGAGTTATTTAATATTTGATCTAAAGCTGTTAGTAGACATCAGTATAGAAATATAAGTTCTGAACAATTACTGCATTTCAAATAGAAATAATTGTGTAAATGATGGAACAACTAGTAAAGAAACTAACAATTACACAAATCAAACTCAACACTTAATTTTGGCTGAAGCATTTTCTTATAACTTGGTCTAAATATGCCTACAACATAAATTTTACAAAATAAAATGGCTAAATAATTAGACAACATTCATTCTAAATAGCAAATACTGTTAAGAAAATGTAAAAAAAAATCATCATCAGTCTTCTTTGCACAACGATTATCATTGCAACAAAACCATCTTCTAACATGCTGACAGAACAAACAACTCTGATGGGCTTGTTTTCTTAACTTTTGTCAAGAGTAAACAAATGATTTTGCAAGATTCTAAAGAGCAACCCTAGCTGTGAGGTAGATGGTTATCTATGGCAATCCAGATCATGTGCCAGGACACTACTGGACCCTCTTTAAATTAAACATATTTGAGGATCACAGAGAAGCATGTGGTGCAACATGTCTTGAAGTTACCGACTTCGTGAAGTGTAAGGGGCAGTAGTTTACACTGGAATGACGTAGAGAACAGGTCACCTACGCACATTCCTACTCCACCCCCTTTTGTAGAAAATTTGTTATACTGAACCTGATTTCTTCCATGGCCTCCTATTTTCAGCGGAATGTGATTCAGGAAGATACATTCCACCCTCCTGGAAATCGGAAATAGGACCCGTGCTTTCACAAACATTAAGTTCCATCTTCCCTAAAACTTTATTGCAATTCCCCAGGAATGGATCACAGAGCTATTTCTTCCTCCAGGTTTGTAGATTTGTAAGTTGAGTCATAGGGCAGGAGTACCTTTTTTTATTTTATATAGGCTAAAAATTTGTTGGAGAAGATTAGTGATCTGGAGAGGGGAAAAAAAAGAAGAACAAGAAGGAGATGAAGAAGGGGAGGAAGAAGAGAAAGAAAGACAAAAGGAAGCCAACCCTAATCCTTGAATTCTACAAACTACTAACAATTAGTCAAAAGTGCCTACTTGGATTTCAATACCTGACATGCCTTTGAGTGTTGAAGAATTAAATGTTTTATTCTGGTATTGTTTTTTGATGTCATTTATTTTTAACCTATACTTGCCCCTATCAAGATCATTCTCAGTTGATAGTAAGAAAAATATGTAATGTTGTTGCTAATTTATCTTGCATTAGGTAATTGATTATTTCAAAAGAGCATTCTTGAACATCTTGTAAACTAAAAAAGCAAAGAACTCGGTATGAGGAAGTTAAAAACTCTGTCAAGATTTCAAAAATTTGTGTATAAAAATTAATTGCCATGTTAGAAGTCGAGGTCAAGCAGTAATGATAGAAATTTTGTGAAATGATGATTAGACATAAAATGTAAGACAAATGAGAGAAACAAAGGTACACAATAGAAAAAGTATTATTAGTACTATATTAGTGACTCTGAATGGCATAAAAATATATAACTCAGAAAAAGAAATTCTTTTCACATTAGAATATTTGTGCTAAAAATAACTGCATTCTTCAAATTATTAAAGACTTTGACCCCAAAAATTTACTTGTCCATAAATGTCTGTTTTTCTATAAATTAAAAAGGTTAATTAGTACTTGATTAACTAATTAACACTTATCTTATTATAACACATACACACTTGAAACAAAGATAGCTGTAGGACTTTCAGGGACCAGGGCTGTAACATAGGAATATGAAGGCCCAGTTATAAAATATTGCCACTCCCAACAGAAACTAAGGATTCTCTTAAATATATGTAGTGCTCCAAATTTGCAAATAGAATTGCACATTTTCCAGGTAAACAGATTCACTAATAAACCTTTAAATAAATGACAAATAAAAATAAGTAAAAGACATTTTATTAAACACATCTTTTACTTTTCTATCCATATGATAAGGTTAAAAGACTTAAAACCTAATGAAAATTATTAATATCTTCAATTAAGGGTCTTTTAGGAATGCAGTTTCTATTTGCATGCAAATCAAAGCACTTCTGACATCCTGTGAGTACTGTACCAAGAGAATTGCCATCCACTAGACTATATAATTCTTTCATTTTTGTTCATTTTTAATATATGGGGTAAGAAAAATGAAAAAAATATTGTGAAGGTAACCCAATATTTGTCTTGATAATATTTTAAATAAATTGAAATATTACAGTGAACTGAAATATCAGACTCAAATATGAAAATAAACTTTAAACAACTCCAAGTTAAACTCTGAATTTTCTGCATTTTTACAAATTGTCTTTGTAGCTAACTCTGCTTAGAGGCCAGAATTAATTTCAATGAAAATCAGTTATTTAAAACAAAGTGCTTTTTAAAATAATGTTTACATTTAAATAAAAGTTTATCATATTAACTGACCAAAAAAATAAAATAGCAAATATGTCAATTTAGCACCATTTTTTTAACTTCTATTTTCAGACCTTGGCTCATACATATGTAAATTCTTTGGCTCAGCTCTTAGGCAAACACAATGGTGTGGGGCAGCGCTAGTAACAGGCCAAGATGGCTCTTCAACACTGAAAGTCCATCCTGACTCCTGGCAGGGACCAGGGCCATCCAGTTATACTACGGTGTTCTTTCACCACCTCAGTGATGGCAGCTGGCTGGAGTCCAAAGCGTTTCAGTACTCCCAAGCTCTGACTACTTTTTTCTCTTCTTTTCTTCATCTTGCCCTACACATTTATCCAAAGAAAATATTTAGGATGTGAAAGAAGGGGTGTAGATAAGAAATGAATCAAAGGAGAAATGTGTGATTATAAAACAATAAAATACGTAACTGAACCTTACTGTGGCTTAACACACAGCCAATAGTGCCAAAGATCATATAACTTCTGTCTGCTGAAGTTTTCTCTTTATTAAATGGCATTGACAGAGAAAAACTATAAAGAATAATTAATTGAAATAGACTGCAAATCACTTAGCCAACATAAAATGATGCAATATTTTATCTGATGAAGAAACCTAAAGTTAAATATTGGTTAGATCAATTTTATCAATTTGTCTATATCCTATCAATCCTTCAAAGCCATATGAAATCATACTCTTTTAATGAACTTTATGTATGTATATCTTGTTTGTATCATACAATTAATATACTGTCCACGTACTCTTATTTCACACATTAATATCTTCCTGGTTGAAATCATTAAATAGCTCCACACTGCTTAACTACAGTGCGAAGTTAAAAATATAATATATTCATTTTTCTAAAGCTTTAGGCTTTTGTTTGCTTCATTCACGTTGTGTGATCTAAATTAGTATCTTCACTGTCTCTGTTTAATATCGACAAATTAGAAAGAGTAACAACCATGACCTCTCATAGTCCATAAGTAATAATTAATTCTTCAATTCCTTCTATAAATACTTATTAAAGCCCTTTTACATGCCAAGCATGGTGCTAGATCCGAGAATAAAAATAAGTCTGGAACACAGACTTGTCCCTCAAAAGCTCCCTCTTGAGAAGCCTTTCAGTTTTATTCTTAGAAGTGGACAAAAATGTGTATTTTCTACTCTCAAGATTGAACAATAAAGAATAACAAAAAGAACTAAAAATCTAAGAAGCTCAAGACCCCAAAGACTCAACCATAACAGGCTAAATCAATATTCCTCTCCAGCAGCTCTCCCAGGATGAAATGTGATCACCTATTAATGCACTTCACAAAATAAAAAACCTCCATGTCATCTTTCATATCATAGAAGTTGACCCACACCCTAGGAATCACTTTAGATCCAAAAAATTCTCAAGAGAACAAAAAGAATTACACTTTTTTTCCCAGCCAATACTGGCTAAAAGGTCTGATGATCAACACTGAGCAAATTAACTTGAGTAAAATTGTAAATATCCTCTACGCATGTGACTACAAAGACAAGGTATAAATTGTGAAATCTCACATTAATATATATTTTTAAAATACCAAGTGCTTTCTAATAACATATAAAAGATAAAAGCATGATAAAATATATCTCAAAATGAATTTAGATTAATATTAAATGCTATAAATACATAAGGCATCGTGTAAAAAATAGTAAGTCTTAAAATCTCAAAAACTTATGAAATTATAAATCCATAATGTATAAATTCATACATTTATAATTTATTGCTACTACCACACCCAATAAGAATGCCACAATATAATTACAAAAACACAGAGAAAAAATGTAAAGGCTCATACCAAAGTTATATTAAAGTTACACGGGTTTAAAACTCAGGAATAATAAAATTTCTCCAGAACTCCTTATCAGAATCCAATTAATTGCTCAGCTCACCACCGTTCCTTCTTTTCCAAATCTTGAATATGAGCAGCTAAGAAAAGATGAGCCACATCAAAATCAAAGCAAACAAACTTCTGACCGTTAGAGCTTATACACAGGATGGCTGGAAACAGGATTGCCATGACCAGACCCAAGTCAACAAAGCCTTGTTTTAAGGAGATTAATCTTTTTCTTCAGGCTTGAAAAACCCTGTGCTACGTCTGGGAAAAGAACTACTCCACTCCCTTGATACTGGGCTCCGTGTTTCTTCCAGACTTAAGATAAGACACATTTTCTTATCTCCTCTGAAGGAAAGAAATGGCTTCAAAGTTCAGGAGACAGGTCATACTGTAATACCAATAGGATGAGAGGCCTTGTTGGACCACCTGACTTAGAATTAGTATGAGGAGAAAAAAAAAATGTACTAGGCACTTCAACTCCATAAAGAAATTCTCAAAGTCAACGTATTTCCTCAGTAAATACATTCCCTAAATATCTTAAACTTTAAGACTAAATATAACAACCATTTTTACATACCTATTATATTATACTTCAGAATGCCATACCCCAGTTTAAATTAACTGGCAGAATTCTGCTCCAAATTTTATCTGCATTTATATTTCAGCCTGAAGAAAAAGATTGTCAAGGAATAGCTACCCTCTCAAACTAGTACGAGGAAAATTCTAATTAAATCCAGTTGAAAATAATTTGTGGCTTTAAAACTATTTCAAGTAATATTTACATATATAAATGTTACATAGAGTTAAGCTCAGCAACAAGCAGAATTAGGAGTTTTAATATTAAATATATAAAACATTCTTGAAATGAAGATGGAAAACAGCTACATGTTTGTACAGGTCAACTAGAAGCCTCAGAGCTGAGGTTTGACATGAATTCATTCTATTACAGTGGCTGAGTTATTTAACCTTTGTGTGCATCATTTTCTCATAAGAAAATTGAGTAGGATTAATCATCAAGAAGAGCTCTTGGCCTAAAGATGTACCTCATCAAATGAGCTGTGTGCAGAGAAAGAATATTTATAGTAATACATTTCAGAAGGAAGTTTCCAGGATTACGTACCTACTGACATGGACTGATTCCCAATGTGTTTTCTTTAACTGCTAACAAGTGTGCAGCATGCTAAGCTAGTCAATAAGTAGAAGCACACTCTATCCCTGGTTCTGTCATAACCTCATTCTATCCTCAGCCAAGTCTATTAATCTTCCTATTTCCCAGTTTCTCTAAAAACTGCGCAAATCAGTGTCACAAAAATGGCAGGGATGTGTACGAGTTAATGAGAGAATATCCATCAAGCCCTATGATCCCAGAAGAGAGCACCAAAGGAACACAAATTTGATTAAACCTCTCATGTCCCAGTGCTGATAGCCCTAGGAGAATTGTTAAGGAATAACTTGCGGGAGGGGGGGAAGTGATTCTTTCTTGACGTCCTAATTTTGTGTATCTAATTTATTCATCATTTATGCATTTATTTATTCATTCAACAAGTTGAGTATCTTTTATTACATACCAGATACCCCATTAGGCAATGGTGAAATGAAATGACATGGTCCCAAACCTCATGATACCTCATGGGAGATGCTAAAGAAATATAAATGAATTGGAGCTTTCAGTATATTAAGACAGCTTAGTAATCAATCTCACAATATATAATTACAAATTTTATTACAATATATGATTACAAACTCTGCAGGAATAAAGTAGGCTGTTTTGCTAGAAAATAATAGTGGAGAACAAAATTTAGATTGGATGCTTAAAACAGTCCGAGGAAACTGAGATGTGAATGATACATATTAATTAAATGGGTCATGTGGGAGGAAAAGCACCCCAGCCAGAAGGAACATCATATGTGAAGGCTTTGAGCTGGAAATTGATGATATCTTCCTGGTGAAACAGAAGGATATTGAACCAAGCAGGGGAGATTATCAGGAGAGATCTGAAAGGCAATCAGACCCCAGACCCTGTAGGTGTTGGCAGGGCATGTTAACATATTGATTTGCCATTTATAGTGCAATAGGAAGTCATTGAAGGATTTTAACATGGAAAGTGAAATTATTTTATTAATATTATGAAATAGATTAATTGCTGTATAGAGATGCACTGCATGCAACGTGAGCCCACATAGGAAGCTAACTGTGGTAGACCTGCTTGGGTGCACTACTTAGATCCTCTTTATTGGGCTAGTGCCCCCCTCTCCCAGCCACTGTGGGTGATGGTTGCTAATTGCTCACACCTAAAACCTTTCCCAGGGACTAACCCCGATTAAGGAGTGTTTCTTTAATCCATTATAGGGGCATGAGGTGCCAAACTCCTTTACCTCAAGAGTGAACAACTCTGCCATGTTGCTTGTGGTCCAGAACCTTCCCTGTGGATCAGGCTAGGGCTAGAATATACTTGAAACCATGTATTGAATTTACTCAAGTGATGGAGGTAGAAGTCAAACTGAAGTAGATCAGAGAGTGACTAGGATGTTAAAAAATAGACAAAACATGAGAAGAAAAGCAGCTAAGTGAAAGAATAGAAACTGGATGAGAATGTGGAGCCAAGAAGGGTTTCGTTTGTTGTTTTTATGTTTTTTATTTTTTGATGAAAGGTGCCCAAGACACGTTTGTAGGCTGCTGAGCCTGCTCTACTTGAAAAAGAGAGAAAAATTTGCATGAGAGAAAGAGTATAACCAAAAAATGAAGACTTTGAGAAAGAGAGACAACACGGCATCTAAAGAGCATGAAGAAGGATTGGTTTTTGTTAGGAGGGGGGACGTTTGCACCCTTTTAACAGGAGGGTAGGAGGAGATATAGGAAATATATCTTCTCTTACTGAAGGTTTGTTTACTTGGTAGTGTGAAAATGGGAGCATAACCCTTGATTGTTTCTACTTTCTAATAAAGTAAGATGTAGACTTTTCAATTGAAGGTTGGAGAGTTTAAACTAATATCTGTGAAGAGTAAGATCATGCTGTCATTAGACAACCACAGCAGGAAAGCCAGTAGTCTTGGGCTCCCATTTGAGATCCGTGACCATGAATTTATAGTGACATCAGAATGTCCATGCACATGGTTTTCTTCAGCCATTCTCAAACACAAGGGCTCAGGCATAGAGATGGAGGATTTTGCACCAAAGGTCTGAGTTTTGCCAGGCCAGTTAGAAATTGGGGTGTGGAAGTTAAGGTTATCTTGAAAGGAATGATTATAATGGTAGACCCTAGATTTTAAGCTAGATAAGAAAGAATGCTCAAAGAATTGTTACACTAAGAATACTTGAGTATATGAGATCAAAAAATAAGGGAGGAGGGGAAAAGGATGCTGGAATTTTGAAGGTGGCACAGTTTCTGGTAAAGAGTGGTCTAGATGTGGCCACAGCAGTTGGTACTGAAATCAAACGGGTGGCATAGGAATGGGATGGTTTACTAAAGCTGCTCTGCATCACACCTTTGGTTCACACAACCCTGATACTCCATGATCAACCAAAATCTGCCAAAAAACATGAATTATCTTTGTAAAAATACTTAACCATCATTACATTACAAAGCAGTCTGGATGAGTAAAGTGTACTAAGTGAAATGCAAATATTTTCCCATTTTTCCCTTTGGGGGAAATGTACTTCACATCACAGAAATACTGGTTTAAATAAAGTTCTAAGAACATTTTCTTTTTGCTTTGTTTTTTAGGGCTTAATAGTACTAATGTGGCCTTGGACTTCTCTTAGTCAGCACAACTGATCAATCAGCATTTCACTGATTGCTTAATTCCTCCTTCTCTACATAAGAGGGGTAAAAGCCCTTGCAAAATGTGTTTGTTCTGTTTGTTATTCTGGACAAAGCCGATAACGAGTTGCAGCTGCTGTACAGAGTGTACTGCTTGCTGAGGCCATTGCTTTAACTTATAGATAGAAAGGAGCAGCCAGAGATGTGCCTCAGGCTGAAGCCAGTGCTGCAAATGGGACAGCGCTCTCAAGCTACATTATATGCATTTCATTATCCAACAATTTGTTCTGGGAGGACAGTTTGATTGGCCAGGCAAGAAATTCAAAATGAGAGACTTTTAAATATCACAACTCAGCTAAAAGAGCTCTTCTGTTTTCTGACCTGAGAAATTCACTTCTATCAGTCTCAATAAAGATGCTTGTAATATTAGGTGATGCAGACTCTGAACATTTGTCCCTCTGGACTGAGTGCACTCCCGATGATCTGAGTCTTGGGGCTATGCCTCAGGCTTCACAATTCCTAGTGTGAAAGCTACTTGCATATCCACCCCTCCATCCAGCTGGGTTTTGTTCTGCTTTTCTTGTGTAACTAATGACTGTGAGTCAAAAAGATGGGAGGTCAACTACTTGCCTTTGACCATTAAATAGGTGTTTAAACTAAGCTAACTAAGGAATAACATTGTTTTTCCATTTCGTGATATCGTTTTCCATTTTATCCTAGATTCTTAACTAGGATGTGAAGAAAATAATAGTAGTCAATATTATAAAGTTTAAAATAATACAAAGTAGTCGATATTATAAACACAGACATATTTCTAGAATGGAACAATAAGATAGTAGGCTTCTATGTTTTATTTTAAAAGGTTCCGAAATTACCCACTTACCATTTGTGTGACCTTGAACAAGTTGCTTTAACTCCGAACCTCAGTTTCTTCATATACAAAATGGGAATACACCTACTATGGAGGTTTGCTGATAGAATTTAAACAGAATAAGTTACGCAAAATATCTGGTGTTAGTAAAGAATTCTCTCAGTGACTCATAGCAAGAGTATAAATTGGTCTAGTCACTTTGTAGCATGATTTGTCATTATACAGTGAAATGTAAAATGTGCATACCTTACAGCAATTACATTTTTTCAGGATGAAACTCAGAAAAATACTAAAACATGTGCACAAAATGATAGATACATACATAGATATATAGATATTCATTGCAGCATAAATGAACCAGTGGGAATAATATTTAAATGCATGAATGTTCTTTTCCCTTTTGAAATTATTTTACTGACCTTCTCCACAAACTCACCTATTTCTTTTGGGTGGTTTGGAATTATTACAACAGGAAGGCAAAGAGAAAGAAAAAGTTAATATTTATCTTCTGGCAAGGCAACGGGATTTGCAGTAAGAACACAGTGCTAACAAGTAGATTTAATCAGGGAGAGGGGAGTTCGTTAAATTCTTAAACTGCTTTAACTTATCATAACTCAAACTAGAGGATTCAGATTATATGAATTTTTCACATCTGGTGAAGTGGTAGGAAGAAGAATGGAAACACAGACGTCACATCAGCGTCCTTTATTTCCACTTCCACTTTCAACCCCTGATCCAGGACCACTCTTTAAGGCAGTAAAGGAGCAATGTAGTAGAAATGACAGCAGCAGGCCAGCAGATACCTATTCCTGAGACAGAGCCCATGGCATTCAGGGCCTGGAAACTGGGGACCCAAAATAACCCAAGTCTGGTTGTGACAACACAGAGGTTCTGAGAGTACAGGAAGAATTAAGAAGCCTGGGGACAAGGTAGAAAACCACTGCAGGTAGATCATAACAGACAAGGGACAAATGACCAGACCCCCTAACGCCCCAAAGAGCAGATGTCAACAGCACAGAGAGCAGACCAGCTCAGCTGCTCTGCAGATATCAAGGAGGACTCAGAGGATACATCAATCTGATTACCCTTTCCTTCTGCACCACTAAATCATGTAAACTAAACAACCAGATGCCCTCTTGAAGAGGAATAGGGTAAGCAGGTCAAACTTGGAAAAGTGGAACAAATTGACCAAGCAAGGACAGGGTTACCTAAATGGAGTATTGGACTGCATTACTGGACTCAAGACAAAACTTACCAGATTAGACTCGTAGATCAGATCAGTTATTTAAAAAATAAATAAAATAAGGTACTTTTTTGTACATTTGAAACTACTGCGGATAATTCCAAATCTTGCTTGAAAATAATCAATAGAGATTATTACAAAACACAATATGCCAATTTGTGGAATATTTTGCAGAAGATGAAAAGATCAAAGCAGATCTCTGTATACTGAGAATAAGAGCAAACACTGACATGGCATTTATTGTATGACAGGCTCTGTTCTGAATGCCTCACAGGTGTTCCCCATGTCACCCTTCAGCAGTACTATGAGGCAGATTCTGTTGTTATTCCCATTTTACATATGTGGAAAGTGAAGCACATAAGTGATCTTCTTGAGGTTCCACTACAAATTAGTCATGAAGCCTAAATAAAAAGAATTCTAAGGCATGCCAATGAGTGCGGAAAGCAATTTATACAACAATATACGCAGTAAAACATTAATAAAATACACTATGTACCAACCAGTACTACAATTTTTACCTGTAAGTGACTAGAAAAAGGTCTGAAGGGGTATTATCATAATAGTAATAAATTTTTCCTCTGATAGAGGAAATTATTTTTTCCCATAGGAAGATCTTAAACTTATTTGTAATGTTTCAATTTTTTCACATGATGAACAAAGCAATACACTGCTCATGTTACTGAAACTCGATAAAATATATGAAGCTAAAATTGGTCATCTAAAAGTATGATAATATATAATATTTATTTTCTACTTTATCTCCAATATGCTTATCATACAGAAATTATAACAAAATGCAAGCAAATGTTTTGGATAATTTGAAAGTTAATAAGTTGTACACTGTAGCCCTACCATCCCCACTGATGTCAAAGGGCTGATTTTTAATTATGCAATAGTAATTAAATAGGGATCAATGTCATTACCTGAGAAAACACCAATACAGAAATTGCTATTGTAGACAAGATAATTTCTATTTAAAAAAGAAAATGAAGTAAAGGATTAAAATTAAAATGTATAAGTATATCATTTTAATATATTAAATAAGTTTAGCTAATACAAAATTCAGTTCTCCTGAGTTCTCTTAAAGATCAACTGAACCTCCATTCTGGGCTATTTCATGCAATCTGTAATATACAAAAGTAGGATATTTCAAATGTGGCACTATAATTATGTATGTATCTGCATAAATATTGAAAGAAATAAGGATACAGACTTTATTATAATAGGAAATATAGGAATTTATAAAGTTTATAATGGCTTTTAAAACTTGAAGAACATATTAGAACAACATAAAAAACTCTGAAAATGGCATCTTATTAATTTTGAATTTCATTAAGTAATTATACAACCTATATTCCTATTTCAAATCCTGCCACAAACAAAGTGGCTAATGTAGAAGAGATAATGAATCATTCTGTGCTCCCCAAGACCAGGAGGATTGAAGAACCCATATTTTTTGGGAAGATAATCCATTGCTAATTACCAGAAAAATGCAGTTAAGAGTTATATGGTTTTAGCATGATACCTGATCTGTATAGCAGAGGATATACACATATATACAAATACATATATTTAACATTACATATAGCCTGTAGTTCTATCTAATACAGTGTTGTTCTTTAGCCTTAAAATATTAGTAGCACTGGGGAGTAGTATGGAAGAGGAAACAGCACATGTCTTGTAGGATAACAAATTACTCGAGCCTCTGCGCAAGGCCAGACTAAGCACAAATGCATCATCCATCAACAGTACCTGATGAATCACAACATCTCTGATCCTAAAATAATCATTGCTGTTTTATAATTCTCATATAAAATGGCACACTGTTCAAAGAAATGTGGCGACTTACTACAAATCAATGGTATAAGACATTCACCTTGGAATCAGGCTATCATATTTGATTAAGACTGCAATTAAACAGCACTTGAACAGTACACCTGTAACACCTAGAAAGCATTCGGGTATGTCAGTGCTTAATACTTCAGAGGGCTGTTTTGGCAGATGTTATTTATGCTACTTATGTGTGGCAGACACACCACTGGAGGAGGATGGCAGTTCATGCTAGAGTACACCATCCCATACACAAATCCTTTATTAACCCTATGCCTGTCTCTCCAACCAGACTGAATTACACAACTGTCATTCCTCCAGAAGACACAGCAAATGCAAAAGAAAAAATATTATTCACATAGAAAGAGTTTTACCAGTTATAGTTGGGTTTTTCCCCTTTTATTTTCACTAGCCCTTCTCACCACTCATTGGTTTGAAAATTAACCCTTAGCAATGTGCTGTAACTGAACATGCTGTTGATTTAAGGAAATGGAAACCCAAAACCCATAATTCATCTTTAGCTAATATATAATATCATTCTGGAGCTTATCAGCATGTCAAAGTACAAAAGTTTAAGAAATTCCTATTTAAATGCATCTGGTATCATTAAGGAAGTGAATGGTGGACTTTATATCTTTTTGGTTTTCTGGTGTGTTCATGAATATGATATAAATTCATGAGTGACTTTCAACTGATTATGTTTCTACCATGTGAAACAGTGAAATCACCACATAGGCTTCTTTCTTTTCATGTTTATTTATCTGGTACTATTTAACTTTAATCTAAGAAGTAATCTAAATTTTTTAAGGTTTCCAGCCAATGATTTATTCTTACGCTCTTTCTCTCTTACTCTCATTTCTCTCTTAATGGATATAAGATCAGGCAAATTAAAGTGTTCTCTACAAAAGTGTTATTTATGACAGTAAATATCCACAGTTGGTATTTGTAGTTCCAGTGTTCTTTGAAGATCTACTAGCTCAATTTGGATTGCCAATCCATGGGGCTTATATCTAAAGAAGTACCTAAATACGGCCAGGCGCAGTGGCTCACGCCTGTAATCCCAGCACTTTGGGAGGCCGAGGCGGGCGGATCACGAGGTTAGGAGATCGTAGCCATCCTGGCTAACACGGTGAAACCCTGTCGTCTCTACTAAAAATACAAAAATAAATTAGCCGGACATGGTGGCGGGCGCCTGTAGTCCCAGCTACTCGGGAGGCTGAGGCAGGAGAATGGCGTGAACCCGGGAGGCGGAGCTTGCAGTGAGCCGAGATCACGCCACTGCACTCCATCCTGGGCGACAGAGCCAGACTCCATCTCAAAAAAAAAAAAAAAAAAGTACCTAAACACTATTTAAATCAAAATACATATATTTAAAACTATCCAGAAAAAAAAATTGAGGTTATTAGTAACTAGAGAACTGATTTCTCCCCAAGTTAAAACTTGTATGCAGTTTTTAAAAATTGTGTATACATAAAGTCATTTTGCAGGAACTTAATCTCCATGTAGTCTATTCAGGATGGATTTAACTTAATACATGTATGATAAGTCTGAAATAGACTTGCATTGGAAATGGCAGGATAATGTCAACAGACCTGACCATGAATCCCAACTTTGTCACTTATGAGCTGAGTGCATCTGGATGTAATCTCTCCAAATAAGTTTTCTCATCTGAGAAATGAAGATCATAATAGCACCTCCCTCACAGTTGGCACCTACTTTAGATGGTCTGTAGGTGGGCAGCAATCTGACTTGGAAAAGCAGGAGTTATGCTGCGTAGAACTTTACCCAATAATGAGGAAGTTTCAATGTCATTATCAAAAAAAAAAAAAAAAAAAACAAGGAAAAAGGGAGAAGGGACTAAACTTTTTTTAAGTACATGTAGTAAAAAAGAGAAAGTGCTATAGCTGGGATAATGTTTTTGAAATATTAGCAGATGTATTTTCTTCCCCAGGAGTCCTTGTGTTTCCTACCTTACCCATTGAAACAAACACCAGCATTCCTTATTTCCAGAGGAGATGGTAAATACATCAGAGAATCACATTGTCATTCATCAGCTTTGATCTTCAAATCTGGCTTTTTTAAAGTCAGTAGCTGAGACAAACCTGGAATGCTAGGCTTTCTGGTATTATTGTGAAAAGGGGGATTTGTGGGTTCCAATGAGCCAGAGCTCAAATGATTCAGCATAGCATTTATAGTATAAAACTTAAAGAAGGGATGAAACATGAGGTCATGAGGTTTTTAAATGCAAAAAGGTAGATAGAAAGCTTTTAATATGTGGAGGGATTGGGAGGGGAACGGGGTAAGAGAGATTGAGCCTATTGAATCATTCTGACAGGGGTAGGTGCCTAACCTGCTCTCAAAGCATAGCCAGAAAACACTACAAGCCCTTGGGAAAACCCCTCACTCAGCATGGCACCAAAGCAGCATGGCAGGCATGGCAGAAGGACCACCACAAAAGCTGGGGTATGTTTCAGGCAGATGAGCTTAAGAAGCCTCCTAGAGTTTCAGAGTCTATTTTCTGCACAGAAAGTAGCCATGAGTTCTTGAGCATCCCCTGAGGAAAGACAGGGAAGTGCTCAGTGGGCCTGTTGCCGAAAGAGAGCCAGAGTTAGGGCATGAGGTGTAGAGCCTGAGCATGTAGTCCAGAGGCCTAGGCAGGCCCATGCAGACCCAGTACACCAGATGCTATACATGAGGTCCCCAAGCTAGAAGAGAACTGCTATGTCTCAGCAAAAGTCTGCAAGGACCAAAGAAGACCCAAGGAATAGGACACTCCTCCCCTCATGCCAGGATGACCTATAAGCCACCCAGTAACTTAGATCATCTATAAGGATAATCAAAGAAGGGACCAGGAAGAGAACGTAGAATTTGACTGAATAAACTGTATGTGACTAAATTAAATTGAAACAGCAAAAGTAACTGTTTTCAGCCAACTGAACAAATGGGGACTTGACCTAAGTTCAGTAACAGAAAAATAAAATGTTTCATTTCTGTATACCTGAGTTATGACTGTAAATTTTAAACCCATTACAATGTCTCATCAATTATATATTTCCATGTCAAGTAGATTCACTGAGACCTCTTCAAAATTTACTGCTTATTCCTTCTAAGATACTTTCAAGTTAACAAAAACATGCAATCAATGCTACATACTGCAGCCGATAACTGCCACAGTGGGACAATCCTAGAAATGCACAAATCTGGCCCACAGCAATATATAGTAATGATTTTGAGGAGTTGTTACAGGAGTGGATAGTCATTTATCTTTCCAGAGTAAGTTTGCATTAAGCAGAAGAGAGATGAAGTGATTACTGTGGTTCCTCCTCTTTCAAAGGTGCCCTTCATCCCTTTCCCAGCACAAGTGAAGATACACCAGAAGGGAGCAGAACATCCATCAATCACTGCAGGGCTGGCTGGACGCCTAAGCAACATGTGTATCCATGAGTAGCCCCTCGCGAGCAGTCTCTTTGCCATCGAAACACTGCTTATTTCCCCACAGGGTATCCTGACACTTCTTTTAAGAAGCTGTGTGACAGCAGCAACAGAGTGCTAACTCATCAGAATATGTGGCAGGAACATCCAACATGGCTGTATCACTCAAATTACACTTTGACTAATCAAGGAGCAACCAACTAAGGGCAGCTTAAGGACACTGGCTTAATTCAACGATTCACTGTCTCATTAAACCAAGTGGAGAGAGTTCTAGTGATTGGTTGCCCTGTTTCCCAGTGGCTTTCCTTTGAAGAGATGGAGGAACAAAAGATAATTTCTGATTACTCTGAAATGAACTTGCTCCCACAGTGTTTATGAATGATCATTTGATTAATGCCCCCTGGTAGGCCACTGTCTGGTGCATGATCCCTCAGGTTCCTTCCAGAAACAGCTGTAGGGATCATCCAAGAAGCCTCTAAACTGCAAAACTAGGAATTACTTAAAGTGACTAGTTTCCAGAAAATATGAGTTTTTATAGTTTTACAGAGTCAGATAAAAAGCATGTTATCACTGTTTACAGCCCAATGAATCTTGATATGCACAGCTTCAACTGGTACAAATATGTCTTAGGAAATGCCCTCCTTTGTGAAGCTTGTACCGGAGAACACAGACTCGAGAGCCTGACTTCCTGGTTCATATTCTGGCTCTACCACTTGCTAAATGAGTGAACTTGGGAAAATTGCCTAATTACCCTCTTTGTACCTCAGTTTTCCATCTGTATAATTAGAATAATGATATTATCTGTGTCATAGCATTGTAGTGAAGATTAAATGGGTGATTTCTAGGCAGAGTGCATGCAATGGTGTCTAGCATATAGTGTCAGAGAACTATTAGCTACTGTTTGCTGTTATTGTTGTTATTTTTGCAATCTCAAGACTCTATTCATGGGATTTCAATTCTCCAAATCCCTTACTGTATCTACATTTAACCCTTCAGAAAACCAGAGACCATTTCCATGGATTAAGGTCTTCTTTGAGTCCAGACGACTCATCCATAGGAAGTAGTATGGGAAAGACAGAGATAGACCTCACCAGGTGGCAATTCCCTGTCCTTCATGGTCACACTACTCTCCAAGAAAATCTTACACCTGTAAAGCGACTTCCCTCCCCGCTCACCGTTGCTCTTCCCCACATTTCCCAAGTTAATTGGCCCCTTGTTTTCACGGTGTTGTCCACTACCCACATTAGCTTGATAATAACTGAGATTAGTTCTTGCAGGATCACCTTCTTGAAGACCTGTTTAACCTAGGAGACCCGGTCAATCATAATCAGAGTATGATCTTTAAAACTGAGTACTGTGTCCTATCAAAACTTTAAAAAATATTTCCCATTTGGACTGTGGGTTGGCCCTCTGCCCAGTTGGTAGTTCTGCTTACCAGATATAAGGCACCCTGAATAGGAACTGTTTTATTGGCATTAAACTCACTGGTAAACACATATGTTTATTTAGAAATAGTTATTTTCTAAACCAATGTTTTCGAAACTAGTGAGTAATTTAATTTAATAGAGCAATTCAAAACTTTGAGCATTGGGACATATACCACTACAGGAAAATTTAAAGCATTTGGTTATCTTTCTTGACCTAAAAAAACTTTAATTAAAAAAAAAGACATAGTTAGCTATTGCTATACTTATTCCCTTTCTAGTCATTACCCTAGTCCTAAGAGGATACAGTAGAGAAACAGAAAAATCTGCAGTTACTTCAGATTTATGTATAACTATTTAAAAACAAGAGTAATTTGGAATTTAGAACTGCTAAGTATAAAGCCATTCATATAGTAGTTTATCAGGTGCTCTCTTCATTCTTCAGAATAATTTTTAATCTAATACATTCCAAGCAACACATTCCCCTTCCAAATAGCTCCAAGGTCAAAGACTAATTAGCCTTTTCTCTTGAAATTTGGCAACGATACAGACCTTGTTGCTTCACTTTAACGTTTTGAACTCTCTAATAACCCTCCAAAATTATTTAAATGCTCTCTAAAATGCCTCATAGTTCTTTGTGATCTGGTCAAGACTAATGAAATGCTTAAGCTTTCACCCCAGGGCCCCTAAATAAAAAAACCATGATGCAGAAATGTAGTGTTAATCAGAGACCTAACTTTAAAAGAATACCAAAGAATTGTGTGATTTTCAGAGTTAACAGTACTCCACATCCTTGGAAGAAAGCATCATGTAAGCCAATCAGAAAATCTTACTCTCGCTGACCTGGGAAACTTGAGCTGCTAACTTAACATGGAAGTATACATTTTCCCAACAAATAATAGAAAAAAACTGTATTCAAGGTGTTCACCTCACAAGAATAATGCAGTCTAGAAAACCATGTACCACACAAAGAAACATAAAAAATAGCGTTTTGACTATCCATGTGTACTTAAACTTTAACATCCAGGAGATCCTACCATCTAGCTAAAGTTTCACCTCCTATCAATGGCAAATTATAATCTTGTTTCCAAATCTTTTTTGGTGGTGGATTGTAAATAATCTAAGCACATCATCTGTCCAAAGAGCATTCTACTATTAACTCCTCCCGATAAACGACCTTTACTTCTGCAGCTCAAAGTTACCAGAAATTCTCTCTTCTTTTTTGTCTTTTCTCATTGAGTAGGCCAAGTAAAACAGAGCTGGTAGGCATAACCCCCTCAAATTTGAACAAACACTTGAATGCAAAGCTTTGGGTTGGATTGCCTCATTAAAATGTTCCCAATTGATTACTTTTATTGTTCAGTTTTTCAGTAGGCATGGAATAATAAGTACCAAAGAAACAGAAATCCTAAAATAACTAGTAAATCACTTGACAATTGAGAGACCATTACACGATGCTAAATAGAAACCACAGGAGCCAAGGCTGGCAGAAGAGTACTGTTCAAAATTACAAACTGGCAGAGAATTATCTGTTCTCCAGAGCTCGTACTTTTTTCCCCCGTCTTTGCCCTCTATGGCTAAAATTGATTCCCCAGGGTTTTCAGCCCCAAGGCCATGATCTCTCAACCTGCCGACAAGTTGTGCCTTCTGTCATCATTTTTTCTATATTAGAGATCAGAAATGTTAAGTCACGTCCTGGAGAGTTTTCAAACTTTGTAGTTTTATTCAACTGATGACATGGCAAGAGTTTTTAGGGCAATATTACCAGTTATTTGTCAAAGTATTTAAACAATACTTAAGAATAAAGATTTTTTAAAGTTTTCTTTCTCATGAACATTTTTCTGATATTAACTAAGGCAATTGTTGTCCAAGCTTACTGTGCATAATTAACTGCAAGGAATGATTATTAGAAATGCATATTCTTGGGCCACACTAGATCTGCCAGATCTAAATTGCTACAGTTAGAGGTGGGCATCTTTTATTTTTAACAAGTCCTCCAGTTGATCCTGAAGTAGGTGGTGGTTAGCTACATGCATAACAGAAATAGAGTGTGAATGGAAGTTGGGGCACAAAGAGAGGCAGTATTTACGATGCTGCAGTAAGTTTCTTAAACTCAGTTTAACAGCTGCCTTTATCACTGCCACTCACGACTACCACCTTAGGTTAAACTGAATAACCTCCTCAGCCTCAGCTTCTTCATCTAAGGAATGAAAATAATTATACCCACCTCAACATTGTTTTATGGATGAGTTTACAGTGTTGAAAACACTTAATCCCTCACGTCAAGCCAGAACCAAAAGAATCTTATGTAAATCTCTCTCTTGTAAAGTGGTTAGCAGAATTCTACACAATGCTCAGTAGTTTGGCTATTATTGCAACATAAGAAAGGAAATTTGATAGAAAATAGTGAATAATTTTATTTTTATAGTTGAGGTTGGAAGAAAAAGTATAAAGTATTAAAAATCAATGGAATTTTTAAAAAATCATTTAGAAATTGTTGGCATTTTCCACAAATACGTTTCCAAATCAGAAGAGTCTAATCTATTTGAAAAGTTCAGTAACTCCACTCATCAAAAACTGTATTACTTAACAATAGAACAAGCCATTTGTACATGGATTTTATCACTTTGTCCAACTTTTAGCTAAATCACTCCATGCCTTTATGCAAGTCACTAAGTTGCCTTCAGAATCAACTTTCCTATCAATGGAAATAATTATAAAGTGGTAACCCTTACCAAGATATTATATTACACTTTTAATAAAATGTTTAAGGTCTACAAGTTGAAAACCATTACAAGTTTAAATTCACTATAATTTACTACAGGAAACGTGAAATGCATAAGAAGAGAAGACTAATCTGGTGACAAGATTTGAAAATGCTTTTGACTAAAAATGTCTAGCATTATATTGTGGGTATATCTCAAGCCGAAATAGAATAGAATTGAACTGACATGGAGCAATGAATGGGCAATAAAATGGGGATAGAATAAATGCAGTTAAGATGAAACCAAATAGAATCCATATTTTATCCATCCTCATCCATCTCCACAATAAGGTCACTTATTATCAGGATGTCTAACCTGGTTTCTACTTCTAATGTGAAGTAAGACATTCTGTCTTACTTCTGGTGGAAGTATTGATTAAATAGTGAAGAGTAAGCAAAAATATTCTGGGATGCTATCTTTCCAGACTTGTTCTTCTTTTTGTCAGATTCAAAGGAAAATGCAGACTGAAATGAATCCCTCATTGTTTTCTCTCAAGATGCTAATGTTATGGCTTAAGCAACTGTAATGCAAAGAGTCCAACAACCAAGAGAAGGTAAATGAAAAAACCTTTCCCAAATTGCATAAACCTAACTGGAGAAAACAAATGGTGCAGGTTGACTCTCTGGTTATCAAAAGAGGTAGACTCTAAAATAGGTTTATTCTGGCAGAGCCTTAAAAAGGAAGACAACATTTTGAACAAGTCCCAAGAGAAAGTGGAAATTATTCTTGGTTCTCTGGTCTTTTCTCTCTGAGTCACTCAATTTAATGTCTAAATGATGTTTTAGTTCCACCTACTAAGTGCTAAGCCTTAGGAGATTGAAAAATGATTAAGGCTTGGTTCCTATGTTCAAAGAAATGAGAAGAGTGAAATACATACAAAATTAGCTCCAGAGAGAGTTATTTCTTTCTCATGATTATCCTAACACTAGCTTTATATTCCCAGTTCTATTTTCACTATAACTCCCTTTAAAAATCTTAACGGGGACATCTCACCATCTTGCATTCAAATATGCATAAAGCCAAACATATAATAATCTCCTCCCCCTAAAAAGCACTCCACATTCCAAACTTACTCACGACACTACTATTTTCTCAATAACTCATGCTGTAAAAGTTAACGTTTTTTATTCATCCTTTTGTTTCTTGTCTCATAGTCAGCTAGCCACAATGTCCTGTCAAATTTTCCGAGGAAGCTACTCAAAAAAAAAAAAAAAAAAAAAGTTGTCTTGATTCCTAGTACTAACTGTACTCTATTTCAAATCCTCTTGATCTTTTTCTATTATAGTCAGAAGTAATTAGGAAAATAGAGATCTGCCTCCCCCACACTCATGAACTAGGAGCTAAATGAATAACAACGTAGTAGATGCCATTGGAATGGCATCCTAGTTCACAAGGTTCACCACTGAGATCCCCAGACTTGGCACTGTTTCTGCTTTTCCTAAGGCACTATTGTTTGGTTAATCCAGCCCTTCTTTGAGCTACCTTGGTGTATTTCCAATAAATTACCTTTTCTTTGACTTATTGATTTCCATTACTTTTAACCAGAAGAACCTTAACCAATACAAAAAGAAATAAGATTGAGCATTACATGAATTAAATCAATACATAATGAGAGGAGATAGTCTCTCAAATGTACAATATTTTACTTAAAATATTACCAGAAAGCTTAATTGTGCTGTTGACACAAAGAAATAATGTATAAGTGTAAAAACAATTTTTATAGGGATCTAAAGTAGTTCTGGGTACATCAGAGAGACTGCAATTGGATCACTAAAAAAGTTTCTGTTTTCTGCGGTGGGGTAAATATGTTTTATCTGATCACAAGGCAACCTAGATAAAATGTGCCTCAAGATCATCACCTTCCATTTGTTCTAATTATATGCCCACTAAACAAGCAATTGAGTACTACTTCAAGTCTCCACAAACAGGGTGACTTGTGTTGAGGATGTAAGCACTTTAAAGAGACAGCTTCTATTTTAAATTAACAATATCCCTATATATTCGGTTACTGCGAACCTCATACAGAGAGTCTGATCATTCCTAAGAACACCAATAAATGCAAGCTTATGTTCCTCAAATGCTAGGGAATTTAACATTAAGTGTCATGAATTCACAAGGAAAATATCAGTCTCTGAGCCCCTGATGCAACCTTCTCCCACTCCACTGCATCAAATTTTAAAGCTGTATGACTGCCTCTCCCCCACAAAAAATTCTCTGTTTATTCATTTATTTTTCAGCCTTTTTTAATCTGTCAAGAATATATTAGGTAATGAAGTATCATGTTCATACTTACCACGATACTTCATGGGTAAGTATGGACATTGAACGTGTCCATAAGATGGACAATAACAAATAATTTATTAATATTATGCTAGTAAACATAACAAAGAACAAATAGAAGGTTCTATTAAGGCACTCAGAAAGGGACTTATCCTGGTCAGGGATATCAGGAAACACTTCCTGAGGAAATTGCATTAAAGTTGGACCTGAAAGATGGCCCCAGGTTACTCCTTCCAAATCTATTTTTCTGTCATTGCCAGTTTAATATTTAATAGAACTTTCAACACTTCTCTCACATTCAAAATCTCTACCCACTAAGAAAATAATTAAACTGAGGTGACATCAGGAACCACTAGACTAGGTGATCTCTTAGATCCCTTGTAGATCTAAAGATCTCATGTTTAGTTTTCAATATGTGCATAATGTTCCATCTTATGGGAGTCCTGCAGTTAGCTGGAGGTCCCTTATATTTTTGTATGTAAGAAAAGTAAATTGCAAAGAAATGTATGTGACTGGCCTACATTTCTAGGAAAATGATCAACTTAGTATAGGTGTTTTTGTTTATATAGTATCTTATGAACATAGAGAAATATGTGGAGAAATACAGCAAAGTATTATTAAAGGAAAGGAAAGAAATAAAGAAGAGAAAAAAAGGCTATTGAATAACTTAAAAATATCAAGGCTTAATTTTAATAAAAATTCAAAGGTACATATGCCATCTAATTGTGGTTTTGCCATTACTTTTAATGCCAAAAACAATTATTTTTGCACCAACGTAATATTTCTGCAAATCTGTAAAAACTGAAAATAGAGATTTTGGCATTTACCAAATAGAAATGTCATAGATAAATTACAGTATTGATTGATTAGTGACAAGATTATAGCAATTTGTATCATTGGTATCTGTTTTCATTTCAATACTATGCTTGCAATTGAGTAATGTTTAAATCTTTGTGATTTTTAAGTACAATCTGTGCTACCCATTCAAAGGCTCTCCTTAATTCAGCTTCATTCTCTCTCTTCAGTTTCCTACTGCTTCCCAAATGTATCCACCAAGCACTTTTTAACAGTAACCTCTAGTTTTATGGCTCTTGTGATAGATTTCAGGGTGTGTGGGGTAGGGGTGGCAGGGAAGTGAGGAAAGAAAAATGTCTTTGAAGTCTACTATGCGGCAGGCCCCATGCTAGGTGCTTTTCATTCATAAATCCATTTAGTCCTTTCAATATGTTAAAACGGACATATTACCACCTTCTCTCTTTTACAGATAAGAAAACTGAGTTAAGTAACTTCCTTGAGTCCATGGCACCAAAGAAATAAAGCTGGAATTTTCGCCCAGGACAGCCTATTTATAAAACTCATTCTTTTTTTTTTTTAATATATTTTAAGGTCTGGGATACATGTACAGAATGTGCAGGTTTGTTACATAGGTATACATGTGCCATGGTGGTTTGCTGCACCCATCAACCCATCATCTACATTAGGTATTTCTCCTAATGCTATCCCTCCCCTACCCCTCCAACCCACGACAAGCCCCATTGTGAGATGTTCCCCTCCCTGTGTCCATGGGTTCTCATAGTTCAACTCCCACTTATGAGTGAGAACATGTGGTGTTTGGTTTTCTGTTCGTGTGTTAGTTTGTTGAGAATTATGGTTTTCAGCTTCATCCATGTCCCTGCAAAGGACATAAACTCATCCCTGATTCTTTACCCACCACACTTTGTCCTCTGCCTCCCTTTCCATGCTCATCTCCCATTAGTTCCCCAGTGGACTCTTCATTGCAGTCATACCAGTCATGTGGGACTGCTTGCATTTTCTTGCACGTGCCATTCTTTTCTCTCACCCAGTCTCCTTTTCCCAACCTTGTCCTTGTCCTTGTCTTTCTCCTACTGCTGCTCCTTCTTCTCCTTCCTCCTCTCTTTCTCTCTCCCTCTCTCTCTCTCTCTCTCTCCATTTTACTTTGCTTGGAATGTACTACTCCTACTCCACCTGTATATTAAGCAAATTTCTACTTGTTTCCTAAGGCTCAGCCCAGCTATCCTCTCCTGCAAGCCATCACTGGTATGACATCTCCAAACGACTCAAGAGCTTCCTCTGTGCTCCCATTATGCCTACTTTTAGACCTCTATTGTGTCCCTTATCACTGCCAAAATTATTTGATTATTTAGCCACCAGCTCACTAAACTTTTACCTTCCCCACTCTAACTGTTGAGTCATCATCAAGCAGAAGCTGTAAGTTCTTTATAATTTCAAAGCCTCATGCAGGACCTGGAAGACATGAAAAATTTAATAAATGCGTGCTAAATGAATGAATAAATTAATTGTTCCCTTGAGTTCAGTACACAAATCCAGAGTAATTTACAGAGGACAGGTGAGTGAACAAGACAGAATGAACATGATAGTTTGCCCTGTTCTTAAAAGACAGCATAGTCTCTCAGATAAGTTAATTGTCTGAGGGAGGTTTTGCATCAGAATAATTAGCTGGAAAGTACAAAGTTTCAGAGAAATTATATATGCTTATATATACTAAGTTTTACATGGTGTGCCTGTAGAAGCTGAAGCCTAACTCAGGGATACCCAGCCATACCAAAGATTTCCTTGTCCTTGGTGTGGCACAGAAGCTGGGATAATAGGTATTTCAATAATGACCCAAGTAGAAAAATGACTGATGATGACAAGAGACTCCTTAGTTCTTATTACTACGGGAAAGGAGGATCCCCTTCCAATAAAAATTAGATTTAATTTCCTGTCTGTTCAGTGGATGAAACCTGAGAATTGAATTGGAATTAATAGAGATTGTAAAAACTAATACTTCTTACTTTACCAGATTTGGTATAAGTTAGGACTACTGGATTCCAAGCAACACAAAAGTACATTCAGCAACTTAAACAAGAAACACTGAAGGAGGTTTTGCACAGAAAGAACAGCCAAAAAATAAAGCCTTGGAACCAACAAGAACTAGTAAAGCTCTGAGGTTCTAGGAAACAGGAGTCAATGACCTTGTCTGAGTGCCATCTTTGAGCTGAATTCACTCCAATTATTTTCTTGTTACTCAACCTAACAGAGAATCTGATTGGTCCAGCATGGTTTACTATATCCATGAATTAGCTAAGGGAGATTGGAGTATTTTTAGGTACAGTCCCACTAAGACTCCAATCAAATAAGGATGACAAGTTCCCCATAGAAATACTGGGGTATAGAAACCATAAAATAAGGAAACAGATAAATACATTTGGGATGACAAAAATAATATATCCACTACTTAATTATAGTCCTACTTTGCATTATTTCGGTATAAGCTCCATGGAGACAGGAACTTTGACTAATCTTATTTCCTACTATATTCTCATCACTATAATATTAACTAGCATACAGTACGCATTCAATAAATATTAGTTAAGTTAATTTAATACCTTGTTTCTAAATAAATTGCCCTTTGGTTACACTAGCTAGATATCATGTAGGTTCAAGAAAGAAAAATATATACAGTCATTAAATGTTTATAAAAGTAAAACTATAGAAAAAAATCAAAGCCTGGGGCAGATTCAAACTGAGAACCCTGAATGGTCAGAGACCCATAAGAGGGCTCCAGAGGTTTATAAAGATAAAGAGCATAGTACATGTTAGAAGGAAGGCATGGGGAAGCTGGGAGAAGGGAAGTTATGTTCATTGAGTGCCTGCGTTCTGACAGCTGTTCTGGTAGGTGCTTTTGCATATGCTGTTTTATTAATATGGTATACCAAAACTTTGCGGAATATACAAAAAGTAATGACTATCATAGAATGCGGACTGCATTTCCCTCATAGTCATCTATATGGCTAGCCCTTGACCTCAGGTACCCTCCACTAAGCACACATTTGTTTTGCACAGTGAAGCCACTGCCTCTAGTAAAGAGCAAAGGGTCAGCATTGCTGGTCAAAGAAACGTCAATCTTTTCCAGTCCATCTCTGCCTCACCTTCAGGCACACCCACTGCAGGAAATAATGCCAAGCACTTTATATGTGCCTGCATGAACATTCATTCTTTGGATTATTGGATAAAGAAAATGTACCATGGAATAATATTTAGCCATAAAAAGAATGAAATCATGTCTTTTGCAGCAACATGGATGGGAATGAAGACCATTATCTTAAGTGAAACAACTCAGACACAGAAAATCAAAGACCTCATGTCCTCATTGACAAATGGGAGCTAAATAATGCGTCCACGTGGACACAGAGTGTAGAATAAAAGACACTGGAGACTCGGAAAGGTGGGAGGGTAGGAAGGAGGTGAGAGAGGAGAAATTGTTTAGCAGGTACATTGTACATTATGTATGTAATGGTTACACTAAACCCATGGATATATTGCACCATTACGCAAAAAAATTAATACAAAATACATTATACAAAAAAATTAATAAAGTGTGCAAATGCCACAACCAACTTACCTTTTCGGGTTATTCCTTCTCCAGTATCCCCCAAAGTTGTTAGCAACAAACTACTCACTCTGTCCTAAAATAAAGTCTGCTGGTTTAAGGCAGCAAAGAAGTTATTTCCAGTTGGTTCTCTCTACAGACAGTGAGGTCCAGAAAAAACATAAAGAACTTCACATTACATAGCCCATGCTTATTTTACAGATGACAAAACAGAGGCTTAGATAAGAAAAGAGAGTTGCCCAGTATCTCACAGCTAGTTAGTGTTAGGGCCAGGACTTTACCCTGGATCTCCCATTTTCTAATTCAGTTCTTTTCTTATTTCACCAGAGTTTGCTCAGATGTTGGAATTCCATGGTAGCTTTAAGTTGTTTACAATAAATAATGGATTAACTGCCTTAATTATGGATTAATATATTTTTTCACTTAATTTAATTATTGATCTCTGTCAGAACATTTTTCACAATCAAATGATTTCCAATACAACAGAGTACTTTTACCTGCTCATAAGAACCCAAGACCAAATCACGGATTTATCATAAGGTATTTTAATTAGAGGGTGCTCTTTTTTATATTTGAGGTCTCACCAAGATGGTGGTATGCTCTTTCTAATTATATAAGATGGTGATGAGGTCCATGAACCCAAGAAGTGATAGCAACTGTCCACTATTATCTCTGGAGATTTTTTAGATCAATACAACCTCAACCATTCAGATAAGGATGTTCCTTGGTAGCCAATCCAATAGCACCATCTGGTTGACAGAAGCAAAGACAAGCAACAGAAACTATGAGTCCAGAATAAATTGTTATGATTCCAGAGTATCTCACTCACATTTTAGATTCAAAATTTATGGAATGAAAATGCAATTCTCTTGGCCTTTTTCTTTAATTATCATATCAGTCAGATTTCTGACTTGCAAACAACAAAATCTACTCTAGCTAAAGTTTAAAAAAAATTCTTAAAAATAACACTTAACTACACCAAAGCTTGATCCTTAAAATACAAGAATGATAAATTGGACTTTATCAAAACTTAAAAATTTGACTTCAAAGGCATTGTTAAGAACATGAAAACATAAAACACTGACTGGCAGAAAATATTTGTAAATCATATTACTGGTAAAGACATGTATCCAGAATATATCAAGAACTTTGGTGATCTGCAGATGGTCTCCCTGAAGTATTCAACACTCGCATGTGAAGAAGTTACCCAAGGCTAGGAAAAGAACCACCTGGAAAGATCAGAGGGAACAGAAAAACTAAAAGACCTCCTAATTCACAGAGTATTAGAGTCAGAAGAGCCTTGCTTCAATAGTGGGAAATAATTAGCCATAGTCTATATGTGGGTCTGATTCCACCTAAGAAGTCATAAGAGCAAGATCCAAAAGGCTCAAACTGTTACCAAGTAATTAGCTGTGACCTAGAACAATGCTTAAGGATATTTATAATAAACCAAAAATCTCTAGCATCAAATAAATCACAGTGTCTGACATCCAATAAAAATTACCAGGCATGCAAAGAAGCAGGAAATATAATTGATAATGTGGAGAAAAATAAGTCAATCAAAACTAACCTGGAACTGACTCAAATTTTAGAATTGACAAGGAAATTAAAGTAGTTATTTCATAAGTTCAAGCAGTTGAGTCATGAGAGATATTTTTAAAAACAAGCATTAAACTTATGGAGATAAAAACTACAATGTCTGATATTAAAAATCTGCTGGATGGGATTAACTCCAAAGTATATATTGCAGAAGAAAAGAGCAGTGAACTCAAACACATAGCAATGGAAACTCTGTAAAATGAAACATGAAAAGAAAAATAATTTTTTAACAGAAAACTATGTGAAAATCAGTGGTTAAAATCTTCTAAATTTGATAAAAACTATAAACCAATAGTAGAAGCAAGCTCAATGATCCTCAAGCACAAGAAACATGAAGAAAACTACACCAAGGAATATTATAATAAAATTGCCCAAAACCATTAATAAAGAGAAAAATCTTGAAAATTGAGAAAAAAAGGAAACATGTAGAAAGAAAAAAGATGAGGATGAAAGGATGATTAAGGATTAAGGATAAACATATTTAAACTACTAGAAAAAAATCTGTCAATCTAGGATTCTGTAACAAGGAAATCTTTCAAAAAATTAGCCATTAGAGAAATGCAAGTTGTAGTTACCATGAGATGATACTACCTGCTTATAAGAATGGCTACAATTTGAAAGACTAGCCTTGGCAAATGTTGGTGAGGTCCTCAAAGAATTGAAACTCCTATACACTGCTGGTGGGAATATAAAATGTTGCAACCACTTTGATAAACAATTTTGAAGCTTCATGAAAAGCCTAACATACACTCACCGCATGATCCACTATTGGATCCCCTTTTTCCCCCAAGAGAAATGACAACATATGCCCATAAAACTTTTGCACATGAATGCTCTTAGCAGCTTTATTTTGTAGTAGCTAAAAACAAACCCAAATATTCTGATATTCATACAGGTGAGTGAGTAAAAAACATTGTAGTACATTCATACCATGGAATACTCAGCAATGAAAAGAAATGAACCATTGATTGCCAAACACAACAATATGGAGGAACCTCAAAATAATAATGTTTGGTGAAAGAAGCTAGACAAAAAATAATCCATACTGTATGATTCCATTTGTATAAAATTTTAGAATTCAAACTAATGTATAGTGACAGAAATAGATCAAGAGTCAACTAGAGACAGACAGAGTAGGCAAAAAGGAGAGATAATGAAAAGGCATTAAGAAATATTGAGTGTGCATGTTCTCACTTATAAATGGGAGTTGAACAATGAGAACACATGGACACAGGGAGGGGAACATCACACACTGGGGCCCATCGTGAGGTGGAGGACAAGGGGAGGGAGAGCACTAGGACCAATACTAATGCATGTGGGGCTTAAAACCTAGATGGCGGGTTGATAGGTGCAGCAAACCACCATGGCACATATATACCTATGTAACAAACCTGCATGTTCTGCACATGTATCTCAGAACTTAAAGTAAAATAAAATAAAGAAACATTGGGTGTGATGGCTAGATTAACTATCTTGACTCTGGTAATAGTTTCACAGATGTATACATATGCAAAAGTGCATAAAATTAAATACTTTATGAGTAAAATTTATTGGATGTCAATTATACATTAATAAACTTTCTAAAATATATGTGTTTTATATTTATCAAAGTTATATAAATTTAGCAAAATCAATACCGAGGCATACATCACCATCTTAGGATGAACTGGAATACATGAATAAATCAGAAATTTGATTTAAAAATATAAGTAAATAAACAATGACGATTTGTATTTCTCAGAACTTATCTGAGGAATATAACAATAAGCATATAGATGTGTTTCCAGGAACATGACAGAGACAGGCTGATGAGAAAACCACAGCTACCACAGCTGCCTCTGAGCACTGTATGCTGGAACGCATCTCTGATTATATCACTACAACCCAGAACAAAGCCATTTTTTCATTAGGAACTTTTGCATAAATCATTGCCCTCCCCGCCAACAAAGCCAAATACCTCTTCCAACATTTTCATCAGGAAAATGCAAACTTCACTGCTCCCTCATACTGGATGCTTTTGAACTAAAGTTTCAATTGGGTTTGTCTGACTGGTGGGGCTTGGGTCACGTGCCTGTGTCTAGATGCAAGCGAGGCTGGGAATTCAAGTTCAAAATCCATGTAGGGCAGGAAATACTCATAACGTGTCAGTTTCTCCATCATTTCTGAAGGCCATTTAGAAGATAATGGGTAGCTGCAAATAATGATAGTTGTCAATGACAATAATTATTCAGAATTAGACCTATGCCAAACTACTAACATTTCTTTAAGCATCACTTTCTAGGAAAGAAAATTTTGTACACTACAGTATTTCAAACTTCAGATGCAACACCTTTTTAATGTTTATTACTGATACTAAAGTGATGAATTATAGTTTCACTTTCAGAATGGCATCAAAAGAATATGAAATATATTAGGAATACTTTAGATGCACATAGTCTATTCATTTTTAAAGAATTTTCATATAACTTATCTGTAGTTTCAGAAAGTGGGATTACACCTTGGGCAAAATGCAATCAGTTCTCCAGAAGTTGAATTAAAGTATTAAATAGCAACTCTGATAAGGCAAAATTAATAATTAATGTGTAAAGATGGGACAGTTATACAAAGAGCAAGGAACAACTTGGCACAAGTTAATAAACACATCTAATTTTCTACAGAAACTCATCAAGAAACTTAAGATTGTATTCTGATTTTGTAAGACCATTTCAGAAGAAAATCTTAACTCTGCTGGTTTCACTCACATAATTGGTGAGAGAAGGGTAGGAACTAAAGATGTTTTTAAGGCTTTCATTTGGAATTAATAAAAACCTTAAAAAACACAAGAGGAGAAAATTTTGAGGTTAAGATAATGAGCTGAATTTGGTAAATTTAGATTTAAAGGGCCTGCAGGTCACCCACCTGGAAAGGTTCAGCATTCAGAAATGTTGGTCGGGAATTTAGGAAACACGTAATTGTCAGTGTCAGTTCTCAATCTTTATTTTGTTTGTATTTTGTAATAAAGAGAATTTAGTTCAGAAAAAAAAATAGCCGAAGCTTAATAAGTTAGAAACTTAGTTCTCTCCCACATCTGTTAAATACAGCAGTTGGGCAGCTATGAGGCTACACAGAATGAGACCCTGTTCCTTTTCTTACGTGACTTCCTTTCCCAAGGTCCAACATGGCTGCTGGTGCCTCAGCCATCATATCTGTATTCCAGTCATATAGAAAAAAGAAAGAAGAAAAAGTAGCAAGCCATTCCCTTTGGAGACACTTTCAGTAAGCTGGACATTACTTCCACCTTCATTCCATTGGCCAGAACACAGTAAATGGCCACATCTATCTACAAGAATGGTTGGGAAATATAGTCTTTATTCTAACCACGCATCTACCTACTTGAAAAATCTGGTCTTCTTTTACTAAGGAAAAGGAAGAGAACAGATATTGAGCAATAATTAGCATTTGGCTAATATACCTGGGACAAATGGCCCCAGCAATACTATCTCTCCCACTAAAGAAATTAAGTGGCAGTAACAGCATCATCATAGAGATCACTGCAAATCTAGTCTAATTTATAAAATTAGAAACTCACAATAGTTGGTACCTTGAGAAATATTAGTGACAAATCTCTGGAAAGACACAACAGACCACAACATACAAAAATGTCAGGGCATCATGACTATAGAGAACCATATATGGTTCTTAAACTATATGGCACTTAAACTATCATAGCATTACCAACAGCAATCTACTGCTACTAATCAGTTTTTATAGGGGAAAATGAACAAATTTCAGTCACATAGATAGCATGTATAATGGCCTGGGTCTGACATATAATTACGATATGAAATTAGAAACGGTGGCTAACAGTTACCAAAGGTATAAAACTCTAATTTTGGATGACCGTTTGGTTGGCCAGTTCAAACTACAGCATAGCCATAAGAGTTTTGACAAAATTATTTAAGACATCCTTCTAACTGCGAACTTTATGGTGTTTTATATCACACATTCCTCTAGGAAAAAAATTCAAAAGCTACATGCTGTGATTATTCAGATACAAAAAGAAAACTGGAAGAAACAACAATCAGGAAGAAGAAAAAAGGCTAAACTCTGTAAATGGAATAACTGCTATCATTTTTCTTTGCCATTACCTTGACAATAAAAGGGTTCTGTGGAGGCTCCTGATTTATGGTCCTTTCAGGCAGTCACTGCTGAACAAAGCCACATTGATTTCCCTCGATTCAAGGTGGGGCAGTTCAAGGCCACTAACAATTGCAATTCACACATCTATTGGTTGATATCTGTGAATTGCATCTGACCCAGACCAAATTTATGAATTGGGCTGATCTTAGTCTACTTGTCTTATCATCGACAAATAGAAACCTTTACTTTACAATAAGTCATGAGCACGCCGTGGACTTCTGACCTATGCCTGTGCT
The DNA here is from genome assembly GCF_000001405.40 of Homo sapiens. Taxonomy (NCBI): domain Eukaryota; kingdom Metazoa; phylum Chordata; class Mammalia; order Primates; family Hominidae; genus Homo; species Homo sapiens. The sequence goes on along the minus strand of NC_000002.12, from coordinate 210,517,326 downwards.
AGCTCTCTGGTTTGGAGACCTTAAGACTCTTTGAAGATTATGCACCAATAAAGTATATTAGTCTTTGATACAACTAAACGTTTAACTGCTGAGAACAGTATGATTACAGCAAGACTAACTTAAAAGAATTTAGTGAAAAAGTTCAATGTGTTTGTCTTGGACTTTCCTTAGGTTAGTGTTATTAATAAAGTGGAATTATAAGGTCCTTTATGAAATATTTCCTCGTTTATAAAACATCATATGGAAAATATGTAGAGAAATAAAATAGGGATATAGAAAAGACTAAGCCAAAACTCAGCACCAATAGACATATATTAATATATGCATAAAGACAAAGAATAGAGACAGGAAAAGGACATTAGAAAAAGCAAGCTAATATTTTAATAAATAACTGATATGGAATAAGAAAAGCCTGATATCATAGATGTGGTAAAGAGATGAATTGGAAAAATATTGAAGAATCAAAGAAAAAGTGAAGTCTTAACTATATAGCTGGGGTCTATCATTTAAAAGCTTTCTGCAGAAGATAGCATGAGCTGAGTTGTGAAGGACAAGTAAGGGATGATAGAGAGAACAGCATATATAAAGATAGCAAGACCTGATCCAGTAGCCCATGTGGAGCACTGCATGCAAAAGATGAGGTGGGGGTATGAGGTAGAGATAACCAGAGTTCAAATCATCATGTGCTTAATTCAGTAAGGCAGAGTTTAGTTTCGTCCTAAAGGCTCTACAGAACTACTGAAGGAGTTTAAACAGAGAAGTAATATGATCAGATATGCGTGTTAGAAAAATCACCAAAGCAAAGAGAAGAGCACATAGGAATGTGGTCAGAGGAGACAGAAAGACAATAACATAGGTTAGAAGTGAAAGGATTGTGAACTTAAAGACACTGGGAAAGAGGAAAAGGCGCAATTAAATTCAAGAGTTTGTTAGAAAATAGAAGGTGTAGGCATTGTGAATCAATTGGATGAGGTGGTGAGAGAGAAAGAATAAGAAAGAGAGAAGTATAAGAAGTCATCAACCGAACTTAAACCCCACTGACAGCATTAGACAGATCATTGAGGCAGAAAACTAACAAAAAATTCTGGACTTAAATATGACACTTGACAAATGGTACCTAATAGACACCTAAAAATACTCCACCCAGCAACCATAGAATGTACATCTTTCACATCTACACACAGAACATACTCAAAGGTCAACCACATGCTCAGCCATTCAAATTTATTGAATTTCAATAAATTCAAAAACATAGAAATACTCTCACACCGCAGTGGAATGAAACAGAAAGCAATATCAAGAAGATCTCTCAAAACCACAGAATTACATGAAATTAATAACACCCTGCTCCTCCTAAATGACTTTTGGGTAAACAATGAAATTAAGGAAGAAAATTTTTTAATTTCCTTGAAATAAATGAAAACAGAGATACAACATAGCAAAATCTCTGTGATGCAGCAAAAGCAATGTTATGACAAAAGATTATAGCACTAAATACCCACCTCAAAAAGCTAGAAAGATCTCAAATTAACGATCTAACATCACACCTACAGGAACTAGAAAAAGGTAAATAAACTAACCCCGCAGCTAGCAAAAGGAAAGAAATAACTAACAGAGTGGAACTGAATGAAATGAGACACAAAAATCTATACAAAAAACATCAACAAAACTAAAAGTGGGTTCTTTGAAAGAATAAACAAGATCAAGAGACCACTACCTAGATTAACAACAAAAAGAGAGAGATCAAAATAAGCACAATCAGAAACAACAAAAGTGACATTAGCACCAATCCCACAGAAATACAAAAGATTCTCAGAGACGACTATGAACACATCTACACACACAAAATACAAAATCTAGAGGAAACACATAAATTCCTAGAAACACACAATCTACTAACATTTAATCAGAAAGAAATATTGAAACCTTTAACAGACCAATATCAAGTTCCAAAATTGAATCAGTAATAAAAAAAAACCTACCAACCAAAAAAAGCTCTACAGCAAATAGATTCACAGCAAAATTCTACCAGACATACAAAGAAGAGCTTGTTTCAATTCTACAGAAATTACTCCAAAAACAGAAAGAGGAAGGACTCCTTCCTAACTCATTCTATGAAGCCAGCATTCACCTGATACCAAAACCTGGAAAAGACACAAAGAAAAAAAAACAAAATGCAGGCCAATATTCCTGATCAACATAGACACAAAAATCTTCAACAAGATACTAGCAAATCAAATTCAACAGCATATTGAAAAGTTAATTCACCATGATGATGTAGCCTTCATTCCTAGGGTGTAAAGTTCATGCAACATACACATATCAATAAATTCGATTTACCACATAAAGAGAATTAACAACAAAACATATGATCATTGTAAAAGAGGTAGAAAAAGCTTTAGATAAAATCCAACATCGCTTAATGATTAAAAAAAAAAACTCAACAAACTAGGCACTGAAGCAATGTACCTGAAAATAAGAAGAGTCATCTATGACAAATGCACAACCAGCATCACACTAAACAGACCAAAAAAAAAAAAAGAAGCATTCCCATTGAGAACTGGAACAAGACAAGGATGCCTATTCTTACCACTCCAATTCAACCAATTCAACATAGTACTAGAAGTACCAAGCAGACCAATCAAGCAAGATAAGGAAATAAAAGGCATCCAAATAGGTAAAGAAGAAGTCTAACTATCTCTCTTCACTGATTATATGATTCTATGCCTAGAAAACCCTAAAGACCCTGCCAAAGCTTCTGGAACAGATAAACACTTTCAGTAAAGTTTCACAATATAAAATCAATGTACAAAAATCCAGAGCATTTCCATATACCAATAATGTTCAAGCTGAGAGCCTAATCAAGAATGCAGTCTCATTTACAATAGCTACAAAAAAAAATACCTAGGAATACATCTACCTAAGGAGGTGAGAGATCTCTACAAGGAGAAATACAAAACACTCCTCAAAGGAATCATAGATGACACAAACAAATGGAAAAACATTTTATGTTCATGGATAGGAAGAATCAATATTATTAAAATGGCCACACTTCCCAAAGCAAGCTACAGATTCAACACTATTCCTATCAAACAACCAATGTCATTTTTTACAGAACTAGAAGAAACTATTCTACAATTCATATGGAACCAAAAAAGAGCTTGAGAAGCCAAAGGAATACTAAGCAAAAAGAACAAAGCTGGAAACATAACATCACCCAACTTAAAACTATACTATAAAGCTACAGTAACAAAAACAGCATGCTACTGCTACAAAAACAGGCATATAGACCAATGAAACAGAATAGAGAGCCCAGAAACAGTGCCACGTACAGCCATCTGATCTTTGACAAACTCAACAAAAACAAGCAATGGGGAAAGAACTTCCTATTCAATAAATTGTCCTGGGATATCTGACTAGCCATATGCAGAAAAATGACACTGGACTCCTACCTTTCACCATACACAAAAAGCCACTGAAGATGGATTAAAGATTTAATGTAAGACCTCAAACTATAAGAATCCTAGAAGAAAGCCTAAGAAACACCATTCTGGACATTGGCCTTGGGAAAGAATTTATGACTAAGTCCTCAAAAGCACTTGCAACAGAAACAAAAATTCACAAGTGGGACCTAATTAAACTAAAGAGCTGCACAGCAGAAGAAACTATCAACAGAGTACACAGACAACCTACAGAATGGGAGAAAATATTTGCAAACTATGCATCCAACAAAGGTCTACTATCTGGAATCTATAAGCAACTTCAACAATTCAACAGGCAAAAACCAACTTAACCCCATTAAAAAACAGGCAACAGACATGGACAGACATTTCTCACAAGAAGACATACAACGTATGTCTTCTCATATGTCAGCAAACATATGAAATAATGCTCCACATAACTGTCAGAGAAATGCAAGTCAAAACCACAGTGAGATTCCATCTCACACCAGTAGGAATGGCTGTTATTAAAAAGTCAAAAAACACAGATGCTGGTGAGGCTGTGGAGAAAAGGGAATGCTTATACACTGTTGAAGGGAATGTAAATTAGCTCAGCTACTGTAGAAAGCAGTTTAGAGATTTCTCAAAGAACTCAAAGCAGAACTACCATTTGACCCAGCAATCCCATTATGGAGAGAGAGAGATATATATATATATCCATACATATATATATATCTCCCCATATATATATCTCCATATATATATATCTCCATATATATATCCCCATATATATGTATCTCCATATATATATCTCCACATATATATCTCCATATATATATATCTCCATATATATATAAATATATAGATATATAGATATATATATATCTCCATATATATATCTCTCCATATATATATATCTCCATATATATATCTCCATATATATATCTCTCCATATATATATATCTCCATATATATATCTCCATATATATATATCTCCATATATATATCTCTATATATATATATCTATATATATATATCTCCATATATGTATATCTCCATATATATATCTCTCTCTCTCCATATATATATATCTCTCTCTCCATATATATATATATATATATATATATATATATATATATATATATATATAAAACTACTGGAGGATATGTATGTATCCAAAAGAAAATAAATTGTTCTACCAAAAAGACACATGCATACACATGTTCATTGCAGCACTCTTCAGAATAGCAAAGATATGGAATCAACCTAGGTGCCCATTAATGGTAGATTGAACAAAGAAAACATGCTGCATATATACCATAGAATATTACACAGCCATAAAAAAAGAATAAAATCATGTCCTTTGCTGCAATGTGGATGTAGCTGGAGGCCATTATCCTAAATGAATTAATGCAGGAACAAAAAACCAAATACTGCATGTTCTTACTTTTAAGTGGGAGCTAAACATTGGGTACTCATGAACATAAAGATGGCAACAAGAGAAACTGGGGAATACTGGAGTGGGGAAGGAGGCATGGGGACAAGGATTGGAAAATTGTTGGGTACTATGCCCACTATCTGGGTGATGGTATCATTTGTATCCCAAACCTTGGCATCACACAATATACCCATGTAACAAACCTGCACATGTAACGTCTGAATCCAAAATAAAAGTTGAAAAAATAATAATAAAAGAAAAACATAAGTAAATATTTGCACACATAAAAGTCACCATCCATGTTTCGGGCTTTAGAAACAATGCAGCTGGTTTTGTCATTCTCTGAAATGTGGTCTCTAGGAAAATGAAGAGGGCTAGGGAAAAATGGTAAGTTCACTTTTAATGATGTCCAACTTGAGCTGCCTGTGGGTGGTAAGGAAATATCAGGAGGCAATTAATTGGTGAATCTGAAATTTGGCTCAATTTGGGGTTCAATGACTCATGTAGAATAAGACTTAAGAGAAATTCTTTAACTAGAGAATGATGTTGATGTGAATAAATTTATTGAAGATTATTGAAACCACAATGTGTAAATAAGAAAAATACACAAGGTATATATGCCTGCAATTGTAAAATATTTCAGTCAGTTTTGAGTTTAGTCTATAGTCCTCCCTCATTCAGGAATTGTATTTACCCTCAACCAGGTGGATCTGGTAATAGCTCCTTTCTATGTTGTTCTAGGCAAACCCCATTACCGTCCTTGTCTCATTAGGTTTGACCGGGAGTATCACGTGAGCCTATCACTGAGTCTTAAGCTTTGCTTATGAAGTTGTAAAAGTCTTTGAATACTGAGTCTCTCTTCATCAGCTCCCATGGACATTTGCCCTGTGATTCTGCTGTTTTCTTTTTGTTTATTATTATAATTTAAGTTTGAGGGTACATGTGCACAATGTGCAGGTTTGTTACATATGTATACATGTGCCATGTTGGTGTGCTGCACCCATTAACTCGTCATTTAGCATTAGGTATATCTCCTAATGCTCTCCCTACCCGCTACCCCCACCCCACAACAGGCCCCAAGTGTGTGATGTTCCCCTTCCTGTGTCCATGTGTTCTCATTGTTCATTTCCCACCTATGAGTAAGAACATGCGGTGTTTGGTTTTTTCTCCTTGCGATGGTTTGCTGAGAATGATGGTTTCCAGCTTCATCCATGTCCCTACAAAGGACATGAACTCATCATTTTTTAAGGCTGCATAGTATTCCATGGTGTATATGTGCCACATTTTCTTAATCCAGTCTATCATTGTTGGACATTTGGGTTGGTTCCAAGTCTTTGCTATTGTGAATAGTGCCACAATAAACATACGTGTGCATGTGTCTTTATAGCAGCATGATTTATAGTCCTTTGGATATACATCCAGTAATGGGATGGCTGGGTCAAACGATATTTCTAGTTCTAGATCCCTGAGGAATCGCCACACTGACTTCCACAATTGTTGAACTAGTTTACAGTCCCACCAACAGTGTAAAATTGTTCCTATTTCTCCACATCCTCTTCAGCACCTGTTGTTTCCTGACTTCTTAATGATCGCCATTCTAACTGGTGTGAGATGGTATCTCATTGTGGTTTTGATTTGCATTTCTCTGATGGCCAGTGATGATGAGCATTTTTTCATGTGTCTTTTGGCTGCATAAATGTCTTCTTTTGAGAAGCGTCTGTTCATATCCTTCGCCCACTTGTTGATGGGGTTGTTTTTTTCTTGTAAATTTGTTTGAGTTCTTTGTAGATTCTGGATATTAGCCCTTTGTCAGATGAGCAGATTGCAAAAATTTTGTCCCATTCTGTAGGTTGCCTATTCACTCTGATGATAGTTTCTTTTGCTGTGCAGAAGCTCTTTAGTTTAATTAGTTCCCATTTGTCAGTTTTGGCTTTTGTTGCCATTGCTTTGGGTGTTTTAGACATGAAGTCCTTGCCCTTGCCCATGCCTATGTCCTGAATGGTATTGCCTAGGTTTTCTTCTAGGGTTTTTATGGTTTTAGGTCTAACATTTAAATCTTTAATCCATCTTGAATTAATTTTTGTATAAGGTGTAAGGAAGGGATCCAGTTTCAGCTTTCTACATATGGCTAGCCAGTTTTCCCAGCACCATTTATTAAATAGGGAATCCTTTCCCCATTGCTTGTTTTTGTCAGGTTTGTCAAAGATCAGATAGTTGTAGATAACGTGGCATTATTTCTGAGGGCTCTGTTCTGTTCCATTGGTCTAGATCTCTGTTTTGGTACCAGTACCATGCTGTTTGGGTTACTGTTGCCTTGTAGTATAGTTTGAAGTCAGGTAGTGTGATGCCTCCAGCTTTGTTCTTTTGGCTTAGGATTGACTTGGCGATGCGGGCTCTTTTTTGGTTCCATATGAACTTTAAAGTAGTTTTCTCCAATTCTGTGAAGAAAGTCATTGGTAGCTTGATGGGGATGGCATTGAATCTATAAATTACCTTGGGCAGTATGGCCATTTTCACGATATTGATTGTTCCTACCCATGAGCATGGAATGTTCTTCCATTTGTTTGTATCCTCTTTTATTTTCATTGAGCAGTGGTTTGTAGTTCTCCTTAAAGAGGTCCTTCACATCCCTTGTAAGTTGGATCCTAGGTATTTTATTCTCTGAAGCAATTGTGAATGGGAGTTCACTCATGATTTGGCTCTCTGTTTGTCTGCTAATGGTATAAGAATGCTTGTGATTTTTGCACATTGATTTTGTATCCTGAGACTTTGCTGAAGTTGCCTATCAGCTTAAGGAGATTTTGGGCTGAGACGATGGGTTTTCTAGATATACTATCACATCATCTGCAAACAGGAACAATTTGATTTCCTCTTTTCCTAACTGAATACCCTTTATTTCCTTCTCCTGCCTGATTGCCCTGGCCAGAACTTCCAACACTATGTTGAATAGGAGTGGTGAGAGAGGGCATCCCTATCATGTGCCAGTTTTCAAAGGGAATGCTTCCAGTTTTTGCCCATTCAGTATGATATTGGCTGTGGGTTTGTCATAGATAGCTCTTATTATTTTGAGATATGTCCCATCAATACCTAATTTATTGAGAGTTTTTAGCATGAAGTGCTGTTGAATTTTGTCAAAGGCCTTTTCTGCATCTATTGAGATAATCATGTGGTTTTTGTCATTGGTTCTGTTTATATACTGGATTATGTTTAATGATTTGCATATGTTGAACCAGCCTTGCATCCCAGGGATGAAGCCCACTTGATCATGGTGGATAAGCTTTTTGATGTGCTGCTGGATTCGGTTTGCCAGTATTATATTGAGGATTTTTGCATTGATGTTCATCAGGGATCTTGGTCTAAAATTCTCTTTTTTTGTTGTGTCTCTGCCAGGCTTTGGTATCAGGATGATGCTGGCCTCATAAAATGAGTTAGGGAGGATTCCCTCTTTTTCTATTGATTGGAATAGTTTCAGAAGGAATGGTACCAGCTCCTCCTTGTACCTCTGGTAGAATTCAGCTGTGAATCTGTCTGGTCCCGGACTTTTTTTGGTTGGTAAGCTATTAATTATTGCCTCAATTTCAGAGCCTGTTATCGGTCTATTCAGAGATTCAACTTCTTCCTGGTTTAGTCTTGGGAGGGTGTATGTGTCAAGGAATTTATCCATTTCTTCTAGATTTTCTAGTTTATTTGCGTAGAGGTGTTTATACTATTCTCTGATGGTAGTTTGTATTTCTGTAGGATCAGTGGTGATATCCCCTTTATCATTTTTTAATTGCATCTATTTGATTCTTCTCTGTTTTCTTCTTTATTAGTCTTGCTAGTGGTCTATCAATTTTGTTGATCTTTTCACAAAACCAGCTCCTGGATTCATTGATTTTTTGAAGGGTTTTTTGTGTCTCTATTTCCTTCAGTTCTGCTCTGATCTTAGTTATTTCTTGCCTTCTGCTAGCTTTTAAATGTGTTTGCTCTTGCTTCTCTAGTTCTTTTAATTGTGATGTTAGGGTGTCAATTTTAGATCTTTCCTGCTTTCTCTTGTGGGCATTTAGTGCTATAAATTTCCCTCTACACACTGCTTTGAATGTGTCCCAGAGATTCTGGTATGTTGTGTCTTTGTTCTCATTGGTTTCAAAGAACATCTTTATTTCTGCCTTCATTTCATTATGTACCCAGTAGTCACTCAGGAGCAGGTTGTTCAGTTTCCGTGTAGTTGAGTGGTTTTGAGTGAGTTTCTTAATCCTGAGTTCTAGTTTGATTGCACTGTGGTCTGAGAGACAGTTTGTTATAATTTCTGTTCTTTTACATTTGCTGAGGAGTGCTTTACTTCCAACTATGTGGTCAATTTTGGAATAGGTGTGGTGTGGTGCTGAAAAGAATGTCTATTCTGTTGATTTGGGGTGGAGAGTTCTGTAGATGTCTATTAGGTCTGCTTGGTGCAGAACTGAATTCAATTTCTGGATATCCTTGTTAACTTTCTGTCTCGTTGATCTGTCTAATGTTGACAGTGGGGTGTTAAAGTCTCCCATTATTATTGTGTGGGAGTCTAAGTCTCTTTGTAGGTCTCTAAGGACTTGCTTTATGAATCTGGGTGCTCCTGTATTGGGTGCATATATATTTAGGATAGTTAGCTCTTCTTGTTGCATTGATCCCTTTACCATCATGTAATGGCCTTCTTTGTCACTTTTGATCTTTGTTGGTTTAAAGTCTGTTTTATCAGAGACTAGGATTGCAACCCCTGCCTTTTTTTGTTTTCCATTTGCTTGGTAGATCTTCCTCCATCCCTTTATTTTGAGCCTATGTGTGTCTCTGCATGTGAGATGGGTTTCCTGAATACAGCACACTGATGGGTCTTGACTCTTTATCCAATTTGCCAGTCTGTGTCTTTTAATTGGAGCATTTAGCCCATTTACATTTAAGGTTAATATTGTTATGTGTGAATTTGATCCTGTCATTATGATGTTAGCTGGTTATTTTGCTCGTTAGTTGATGCACTTTCTTCCTAGCCTCGCTGGTCTTTACAATTTGGCATGTTTTTGCAGTGGGTGGTACCAGTTGTTCCTTTCCATGTTTAGTGCTTCCTTCAGGAGCTCTTTTAGGGCAGGCCTGGTGGTGAGAAAATCTCTCAGCATTTGCTTATCTATAAAGTATTTTATTTCTCCTTCACTTATGAAGCTTAGTTTCACTGGATAAGAAATTCTGGGTTGAAAATTCTTTTCTTTAAGAATGTTGAATATTGGCCCCCACTCTCTTCTGCCTTCTAGAGTTTCTGCCGAGAGATCCATTGTTAGTCTGATAGGCTTCCCTTTATGGGTAACCCGACCTTTCTCTCTGGCTGCCCTTAACATTTTTTCCTGCATTTCAACTTTGGTGAATCTGACAATTCTGTGTCTTGGAGTTGCTCTTCTTGAGGAGTATCTTTGTGGCGTTCTCTGTATTTCCTGAATCTGAATGTTGGCCTGCCTTGCTAGATTAGGGAAGTTCTCCTGGATAATATCCTGCAGAGTGTTTTCCAACTTGGTCCCATTCTCCCTGTCACTTTCAGGTACACCAATCAGACATAGATTTGGTCTTTTCACAAAGTCCCATATTTCTTGGAGGCTTTGTTCATTTCTTTTTATTCTTTTTTCTCTAAACTTCTCTTCTCACTTCATTTCATTCGTTTGATCTTCCATCACTGATACCCTTTCTTCCAGTTGATCGAATTGGCTACTGAGGCTTGTGCATTCGTCACGTAGTTCTCGTGCCTTGGTTTTCAGCTCCATCAGGTCCTTTAAGGACTTCTTTGCATTGGTTATTCTAGTTAGCCATTTGTCTAATCTTTTTTCAAGGTTTTTAACTTCTTTGCCATGGGTTCGAACTTCCTCCTTTAGCTTGGAGTAGTTTGATTGTCTGAAGCCTTCTCTCAGCTCGTCAGAGTCATTCTCCATGTTTCATTGCTGGTGAGGAGCTGCGTTCCTTTGGAGTAGAGTAGAAGAGGCGCTCTGATTTTAGAATTTTCAGTTTTTCTGCTCTGTTTTTTCCCCATCTTTGTGGTTTTATCTACCTTTGGTCTTTGATGATGGTGACATACAGATGGGGTTTTGGTGTGGATGTCTTTTCTGCTTGTTAGTTTTCCTTCTAACAGTCAGGACCCTCAGCTGCAGGTCTGTTGGAGTTTGCTGGAGGTCCACTCCTGACCCTGTTTGCCTGGGTATCAGAAGCGGAGGCTGCAGAACAGCGGATATTGGCGAACAGCAAATGTTGCTGCCCGATCGTTCCTCTGGAAGTTTTGTCTCAGAGGAGTACCCGGCCATGTGAGGTGTCAGTCTGCCCCTACTGTGGAGTGCCTCCCAGTTAGGCTATTCGGGGGTCAGCACCCACTTGAGGAGGCAGTCTGTCCATTCCAGATCTCCAGCTGCATGCTGGGAGAACCACTACTCTCTTCAAAACTGTCAGACAGGGACATTTAAGTCTGCAGAGGTTTCTGCTGCCTTTTGTTTGGCTATGCCTGCCCCCAGAGGTGGAGTCTACAGAGGCAGCCATGCCTCCTTGAGCTGCGGTGGGCTCCACCCAGTTCGAGCTTCCCTGTGCTTTTTTTACATACTCAAGCCTCAGCAATGGCAGGTGCCCCTCCCCCAGCCTCGCTGCCACCTTGCAGTTTGATCTCAGACTGCTGTATTAGCAATGAGCAAGTCTCCGTGGGCATAGGACCCTTCGTGCCAGGTGTGGGATACAATCTCCTGGTGTGCCGTTTGCTAAGACGGTTGGAAAAGCAAAGTGTTAGGGTGGGAGTGACCCAATTTTCCAGGTGCCCTCTGTCACCCCTTTCCCTGGCTAAGAAAGGGAATTCCCTGACCCCTTGTGCTTCCCGGGTGAGGCGATGCTCGCCCTGCTTCGGCTCATGCTCAGTGCACTGCACCCACTGTCCTGCACCCACTGTCTGATACTCCCCAGTGAGATGAACCCAGTACCTCAGTTGGAAATGCAGAAATCATTCGTCTTCTGTGTCGCTCACGCCGGGAGCAGTAGACTGGAGCTGTTCCTATTTGGCCCGATTCTGCTGTTTCCAACTGAGTCTTCTAGCTCTTAGATTCTTCTATTGAGATTATCACTGTTTTCTAGCAAGGACTGTGCTTCTTTTCTTTCTTCATGATATTAGGTTGGTGCTAAAGTAATTGCAGTTTTGGCCACTACTTTCAATGGCAAAAACTGCAATTACTTTTGCACCAACCTATATGTTGATTGAAAATATTTCAGAGCCCTAATTATAGGATGAATTTCTTCCTTCTAGGTGCTTTCTTTGCAATATGATTGTACTCCCTTGGAAATAGCTCATTTCAGAAAGCTGTCTGCTTTCTTCATGCCCAATACAGCATGAATTACACTAAAAACACACTCTTAGGCAGAGTGTGTGGTGGCCTCCTTCTTCCAGACTTCTGTTGACCTAAAGAGGTTAATGTATGACCAACGAGAAAAAGCTCCCAAATGCCTTATATATCAGCCCCTATTCCTATTTACTTTTAAGTAGTGTAGAAGTGAGTCAGAAAAAAAAAGTAGGTCGTCCTCCCAATTGTTCACTTTCCAAATTTATTTAGGATTGTGCAGACACACTAAATGATCCCAGTCACAACTGAGAAGGAAGTTTCCCGCCTTTTAATTTTTCTGCCAGTAAGAAGTGGGTATGCCACAATGTACTTAGGTCCTCCAGCATGGGGTAGAACTGGGTTTGGAGCATCTGTTGAATCTTATACCAAAAGAAATATAGCTACATTAACAGGAAATACACCCTTTTCTAACAACTATCCAATTGGAGAATCTATCCTTTACTTGCTTGTTACTCCAATACACAACCCTTTGGAATCTAGATACAGAGTTAAGGTGTACTGTGTCAGATTGCCTGGAATCAGAGCTTGGCTCAGCAACTTATCAGCTGCATGACATTGAGCAACTTACTTAACCCTACTTTTACTCAATTTCTTCATCTGTAAAATGGGGATAATAATAGGACCTAGCTCATGACACTGATGTGAGGATTAATGACACAACATATGACAAGTGATTAAAACAATATCCAGAATATAGTTTGCACTCAACGTTAGCTATTAATGTAAAATTTAAAAAAGACTTTTTTCTTGCATTTGTGGTGGTTTATTTTGCATTGTTTGTGGGGTTTTATTTGTTTGGTCGGTTGTTTTGTTTCTTAATGAAGATGGGAACCTGATGCTGCTAGATGGAAACTAGGGAAGAATAAACAATGGATCTTCACGGGTGGACACACACCATGCCTTGTTCCACTGTTTCAGGCAGTGACCCATCAGTATATGTCACTCAGGGAAAAAGAAAGCACAGTGGTATATCCTGGCACCAAAAGCGCAGCATCTCCCTGAACAACAAGCAGCTGGGCTGGGACAAAGCCAGGGAAGGAATGCAATCTCTTTGAAAAAAAAAATCACAACACATCTTCCTATTCTGACAGCCCAGGGGAAAGAGGCAGCTTTATGGAATAAAGCAGCAATGTGCTATGTGGTCTTCCAGTGAAAAGCATCAGAGAAGCACACCCTATTATTGTGCAAAAACCCCTACTTGTATGTACACTAAGAGCTTTGGCCGTCACCCGAATTGTGCTGTAAAGAGGAAAGGATTTTGACTGTTTTTCCCTGATACGGCATAAAATTCTTTCTTCCTGGATTTGGCGGGTGCTACCACAGCTGCTATGAACAAACAACATTGCAGAGGAAGTCTCCTGAATAAGAATTTTTCCATTGTAACCTGAATGTGTTCACCCTTCTAAGAATATTGTGTAGGTATCGTTTTTGGATTCCTAAAATTTTTATCTACGACAAAGGTGGCAAACTAAGATTTAATCCACCTGTAAATTCATCATAACCAGTTTACAAACAGTGGTTACAGACAGAAACCAAGAAAAGGGAAAAGATAAAGGTAAAAAGAGGCCACCAACAAAGAGTAAGAGAGAGAAAGACACAGAGAAGGGGAGAACACACACCTGCTGGAAATAATAAGAAAAATGTGAACTAATATTTATGCCGGGGGTTTTACTTTCTCCCTTCAGACGATAGAACGTTTATTTAATGAGTCTCTCTCTATCAACTTGTCAAGCAAAACAGCTCTACCTTCTGGGCCTCGAGCTTTGGGAAAGGAGCTAAAATGTCATTCCCCCACGAAGCTTCTTAAGCTGAGTGTCTCAAGTATATTGCACAGGGAAAATGAAAATCCCAAATAACCAGAATCTCCTCCGTCCCAAGAATTGCCTGCGCCATCTAGTGGCAGCATGTGACATAACCTTGAAGAGGTTACCAGTGGAATCTCTAGAGCTTCTCACTTTTTCTGTAGAGTTAGGAAGAGTTAAATTATCCACCTAGTCACAGGATGTCAGTGCTGGAGATACCTTAGCAAAGCCAATGATCTCAATTCTGCCTGCACAAGAGAACCATATACAGAACTTTTAAAAATTAGGTCAGTGCCTGGGTCTTCTGCCAAATAAAAGGAATCAGAATGTCTATGACAAGGGCCAAAGAAATTGGGATTTTTAAAAAGCTCTTCAGTCAATTAAGGTGAATCAAGCCTTGAGAAACACTGAGCTAATTCAACCCTTCCTTATTTTAAAATGTAAAGAGGAGGGACAAGTTACCCTTTTTGTTGCATTACTGGGAGAACAGAGATAGGAACTGAACCCCTCACTCAAATTTTGATATCTTATTAGAGCAATGTGAAAGTCACGAGACTATGAAGGGTCAGGGCAGGATGGAGGCAAGAAGCACCACTCAGACCCAGGAACTATGACTTCCCTTTAGAGTGGAGTTGTTTTGCTCTTTGCTTTTTTCTCTCTCCTGTCCTGAAATCCACTCCAAAATTGTTCAAACTAAATTAACATATGCAAGCAGCATTTATTTGAAAAGATGCTTTTTAACATTATATGTATATATGTGTGTATATATATATAAAAAATATATCTCTATATTTATATCTCTTTTATATATAAATATATATATCTATATGTATCTCATAGATATCTCTATATCTCTCTTTTATATATATATTATATATATATAAAATATACATATATATAAAAAAATATATATATATAGAGAGAGAGAGATTATTTTTTCCCAAGATGGTGGATTAGAAGCTTTCAGTGTGCCTCGACCACTTGGAAATAGCAAGATATTGCACAAAGATCAACTCTGTGAGCATTAATTCGAGAAGGAAAATTGGTAATATGGTTTGGCTTTGTGTCCCCACTCAAATCTCACCTTGAGTTGTGATAATCTCCACGTGTCAAGGGTGGGACCAGGTGGAAATAATTGAATCATGGGGGCAGTTTCCCCCATGCTGTTCTCATGATGGTGAGTGGGTTCTCACAAGATCTGATGGCTATATAAAGGGCTTTCCCCACTTCTCGGCACTCATTTTCTCTCCTGCCACCCTGTGAGGAGGTGCCTCCTGCCATAATTGCAAGTTTCTTGAGGGCTCTCCAGCCATGTGGAACTGTGAGTCAATTAAACCTTTTTCCCTTATAAATTACACAGTTTCAGGAATTTTTTCATCACAGCCTGAAAACAGACTAATACAGTAACTTGGTACTGGGTAATGGGAGGCTGCTGTAAAGATAGCTGAAAATGTGGAGATGACTTTAGAAGTGGGTAACAGGCAGAGGTTGGAACAGTTTGGAGGGCTCAGAAGAAGACAGGAAGATGTGAGAAAGTTTGGAACTTCCTAGAGACTTGTCTAATGGTTTTGACTAAAATGCTGACAGAGATATGGACAATGAAGTCCAGGCTGAGATGGTCTCAGATAGAGATGAGGAACTTGTTGGGAATTAGAATAAAGGTGAGTATTGCTATGCTTTAGCAAAGGGACTGGTGGTATTTTGCCCCTGCCCTAGAGATCTGTAGAACTTTGAACTTGAGAGAGATGATTTAGGGTATCTGGTGGAAGAAATTTCTAAGCAGCAAAGCATTCAAGAAGTGACTTGGGTGCTGTTAAAAGCATTCAGTTTTACGTATTCACAAAGATATGGTTTGGGATTGCAACTTATGTTTAAAAGGGAAGCAGAGCATAAAAGTTTGGAAAATTTGCAGCCTGATGATGCAATAGAAAAGAAAAACCCATTTCCTGAGGAGAAATTCAAGCCTATCACAGCAATTTGCTAAGTAACAAGGAGCAGAATGTTAATCACCAAGACAATGGGAAAATGTCCCCAGGGTATGTCAGTGACCTTCATGGCAGCCCCTCCCATTATAGGCCCAGAGGCCTGGGAGGAAAATATGGTTTCCTGGGACCAGGTCCAGGGCCCCCCGATGTGTGCAGCCTAGAGACTTGGTGCTCTGTTTCCCAGCCACTCTAGCCATGGCTAAAAATGCCCAAGGTACAGCTCTGGCCATGGCTTCAGAGGGCACAAGCCCCAAGCCTGGCAGTTTCCACATGGTGTTGAGCCTGTGGGTGCAGAGAAGTCAAGAATTGAAGTTTGGGGACCTCCACCTAGATTTCAGAGGATATATGGAAACACCTAGATGTCCAAGCAGAAATTTGCTGTAGGGTTAGAGCCCTCATGGAGAACCCTCTGCTAGGGCAGTGTGGAAGGGAAAGATGGGGTTGGAGCCCCCACACAAAGTCCCCACTGGGGCACTGCCTAGTGGAGCTGTGAGAAGAGGGCCACCATCCTCCAGACCCCAGAATGGTAGATCCATCACCAGCTTTCACAGTACGCCTGGAAAACTGCAAACACTCAGTGCCAGTCGTGAAAACAGCTGGGAGGAGCCTGCACCCTGCAAAGCCACAGGGGCAGAGCTGCCAAGGATGTGGGAGCCTTCCTCTTGCATCAGTGTGACCTGGATATGAGACATAAGAGTCAAAGGAGATCATTTTGGAGCTTTAAGTTTTAATGACTGCCCTATTGAATGTCGGACTTGCATGGGGACTGTAGACCCTTTGTTTTGGCCAATTTCTCCCATTTGGAATAGGTGTATTTACCCAAGGCCTGTACCTCCACTGTATCTAGGAAGGAACTAACTTGCTTTGGATTTTATAGCCCTATAGGCAGAAGAGACTTGCCTTATCTCAGATGAAACTTTGGACTTTGACTTTTGGGTTAATGCTGGAATGAATTAAGACTTTGGGGGACTGTTGGGAGGGCATGATTGTGTTTTGAAATTTGAGGACATGAGATTTGGGAGGAGCCAGTGGTGGGATGATATCACATGGCTGTGTCCCCACCCAAATCTCATCTTGAATTGTAATCTTGAAATGATAATCCCCAGGTGTCAAGGGCGGGATCAGGTGGAGATAATTGAATCATGGGGGCGGTTCCCCCATGCTGTTTTCATGATAGTGGATGAGTTCTCATGAGATCTGATGGTTTTATAAGGGGCTTCCCCCTTTGCTTGGCACTCATTCTCTCTCCTGCCACCCTGTGAAGATGTGCCTTCCACCATAATTGTAAGCTTCCTGAGGCCTCCCCTAAAAACCGTGGATAACTGTGAGTCAATTAAACCTTTTTTCCTTATAAATTATCCAGTCTTGGGAATTTCTTCATACAGTGTGAGAACAAACTAATACAACACGAATCCCCTGATATTGTGAAAGATACTCCAGCTCCCAAGGAGAAGAACGTGGGCAAACAGCCCTCATGATGGCATCTGGCTGACAATGTGTGAAGCCCCAGTACGTGAGAGGGGAGGAGAGCCTCCCTCTACTACTCACCTTTCCACTGGGGATCCCAGCAACCTAGGCTGAGGGAGAGCACTTTTTTCTCCCAAGTCCTGGAGCTAACTTGGAGAGAGGCTTGGAAGTGCTGAGAGGAAAAGACACAGGGAAAAGCTGCAGGCATTTTCTCAGACCCAGGACTGAAAGCAGGATGCCGTTTTTAACCCGAGTGCATACAAAGTCAGCCATTCTTTGGCAATCTGGCACCGTGGCTGCACAGGCATTTTTGTCTTGGGCCAGAGATTGGAGCGCTTGCTCTGGAGTGGTGTAGAGGTCTCTACAGCCAGAATTACAGAAAGTGCCTCATCAGTAGGCACTGGAATTGTGCTCTCCCCTGTCACAGGCCTGGAGCTGGAGGAAAGCTGCTCATCCAGTTTCTCCTGGATGAGGAGACTTGCAGCCAGGACCAGCTTGGAGACATAGAACAGGTTTATGTGTATCATTTCTGGGTGGCCCAACCTCCTTCTCTGGGATCACGGTGCAGTGGGTCCCTCTCCACTCCACTCCCAGGCAGAAATCCAGGTATTTGAAACACCTGGTGACATTGACTAGCAACCTAAGATACCCCACCCTGCCTGTGCAGAGATCATGGTACAGCAGGGCCCTCTCTGCTTCATGCCCAGGCAGATCTCCTAGCAGTTGCAGCTACCATTCACCCAGATCAGCATACCAAGCCACCCAACCATTCCTGTGTGGAGACTGTGGTGAAGCCCAGGCCCTCTCTGCTCCACCCTCTGGCAGATATCCAGGCATTTGGAGCATCCACTCACCTGAATCAACAGCCTGAGCCAGCCCACCCATCCTGTTCAGACACCATGGTGAAGCACAGCCCTCTTTACTCCATGCACAGGCATATCTCCAAGCAGTAAGAGTACCTGTTATCCTGGCTTGCCAGCCTGAGCTCTCCCGCCCTATCTGTGCAGAGATTGTGGTCCAGCAAGGCCCTCTACACTCCACACCCAGGCAGATCTCCAAGCATCTAGAGCACCCACTCTACTGGAATAAGAATTTAGGCTGCCTTCCATCCCCATGCAGAGAACTTGGGGCCAGAAAGGTTTCCCAGCTCCATGCCTAGATAGATCTCTGGTTTGAAGGCAAGAGAGGGAAATAAAAGGCATCCAAATAAGTAAAGAAGATGTCAAACTGTCTCTCTTCACTGATATGATTCTACGCCTAGAAAACCCTAAAGACCCACCAAAAGGCTCCTGGAACTGATAAATAACTTTGTAAAGATTCACAATACAAAATCAGTGTCAAAACTCACTAGCATTTCCATACACCAATAACACTCAAGCTGAGAACCAAATCAAGAATGCAATCCCATTTACAATAGCCACAGAAAAAAATAAAATAAAATACCTAGAAATATATTTAACCAAGGAGGTGAAAGATTTCTACAAGGAGAACTACTACAAAACACTGCTCAAAGAAATAATAGATGACACAAACCAGTGGAAAAATATTCTATGCTCAAACCCCATTAAAAAATGGGCAAAAGACATGGACAGACACTTCTAACAAGAAGACATACAACATATGTCATCTTCATACGTCAGCAAACATGAAAAAATGCTCCACATAACTAATCATCAGAGAAACACAAGTCAAAACCAAAATAAGATACAATCTCATACCAGTAAGAATGGCCGTTATTAAAAAGTCAAAAAACAACCGATGCTGGCGAGGCTGTGAAGAAAAGGGAATGCTTATACACTGTTGATGGGAATGTTAATTAGCTCAGCCACTGTGGAAAGCAGTTTAGAGATTTCTCAAAGAACTCAAAGCAGAACTACCATTCAGCCCAGCAACCCCATGACTGCATTACTGGAGATATATATATATATATATATATATATGTATGTATATATTGTTCTACCAAAAAGACACATGCATGCACATATTTATTGCAGCACTCTTCAGAATAGCAAAGACGTGGAATCAACCTAGGTGCCTTTAATGGTAGATTGGATACAGAAAATGTGCTACATATACACCATGGGATACTAAACAGCCACAAAAAAGAATGAAATTATGTTCTTTCCAGCAACGTGGATGCAGCTGGGGCTATTATCCTAAGCGAATTAATGCAGGAACAAAACACCAAATACTGCATGTTCTTGCCTATAAGTGGGACCTAAACACTGAGTACTCATGGACACAAAAATGGCAACAATAGAAACTGAAGACTGTTGGAGTGGGGAGAGAGGTATGGGGACAAGGGTTGAAAAACTGTTGGGTACTATGCTTAGTATCTGGGAGATGGGATCATTTGTATCCCAAACCTCGGCATCACACAATATACCTATGTAACAAACCTGCTCATTACCCCCAAATCTAACATAAAATTTGAAATTATAAAAAAATTAAATAAAAATAAAGTATAAACCTCCCGAGGTAAATAGGATATGAATATTTTTAACATTTTATTACATTTTACATATCATATTCAGCTTATTAACATGTTCTATATGCACAAACTTCACTGGGTATAGGAGATATAAGGATAAATTCTTCTTTATGACATGCCTTGCTTAAAGATTATTTGAAACAAAAGTAGATATAAAACAGTAATACATTTTTTAAAAATTTAAATCTGGGTCAAATGTAATGATGACCAAATAGTAAGATGAAATCTGGAAGAGTTAGCATACAAGAAGATACCCCTTAATTAGATCTTACACAAAGTTTGCTGAGCTTATTAGAGCTAATTCCAAAAATAAAAGAAGGAAAGATATAATCAGTTAAAAGATTTCCATTCCCTATTTGATAAAAAACAGACCAGCTGTCCAGAATATAATTATTTTTCTTTGACAGAAAATAAATGACATAGACAGTTAACACATAGTATTAGATAAATGCAATGAAGGAAAATAAAGTAGCGAAGAAAAAGTATAAGAAGTTTAAGTATTAAATAGGGTGACCAGGAAGGATGTTGCTGAGAAGGTGAGGCACTGAGCCGTGCAGCTATCTGTGGGACAAACGTCTCAAGCAAATAGAAGAGCAAGTACCAAAGCCCTGAGGAGGAAGTGTGCCTGCATGTTGGAGGAAGAGCAGGAAGCTAGCAAGAGAGTAGTGCAACTAAGGTTAAGTTCTATGTAGGTTATGTCACTTCTCTATTCAGTATCCTCTGATGCCTTCTCATCTCATGCTGAGAAACAGCCAAATTCCTTGCAAATAGGGCCCTAGATGATCTAGCCTCCATGAATTCATTGTCCTTCTCTCTTGCCAAGAAACATGATCTGCTGACATCCAGACATCTTTGCACAGGAGCTCCTCAAGAAGACTCAATTTGCTTAAGTTAATTCCTATGTTAGCTCTTATTTGTGTCTAGAAGAAAAGGAAATTATTTATTCAAAGACACCCAAGGAATAGAGGCAGGAAATGCTGATAACAAGATGGGGGTTATCAACCACCATCTGAGAGATAGGAGAACAAAGGCAGAAGGACTTGTTTCCACCAAAGGCTCTGGAGACAGAGAGACATACACAGTTTTGGTTTCATTCCTTACATAGTAAAATGTGGAGTGGAAAAGTTGAGCATTCTCTTGTGCAAATCACAGAACCCAGGGACAGATGCCACAGAAGCTTCTAGTGCCCCTGCTAGGTGGAAGTTTTTGGTGAGGTGCAAGTCCAAGAAATTCCCTGTATGGACTACAGGGCATGTTGGCAAAAATAGTATCTGAATATTTGATAAATAATAAAAAATATCTTAAGTTGCCTACCAATTTGCCTTTATTTTGCAGCAAGGAAGGAAGAACACAGGGAGGGAAAGAGGGGAGGAAGGTAAGGAAGGAGGGAGTGAGAGAGGGAGGAAAAAAAGAAAAGAGGGAGGTAAGGAGACCCTTATGGCACTCTATCCCTTCATGCACACACACACACTCACCCACACACACATACACAGTCACATATACCTCAAGCAGGTAGTGAATTCTATGCTCGGTGACAAATAAGAGAGAAATGGCAAAGCAAACATTGCAAGTTGCCTACTGAGTACTTTTCTTCATATACTCTTTTCCAAAACTTTACACCTAATTTGGAAACAGGTGTACAAAAGAATATTCTCCAGAGTAGATTAAATATGCAAGACAGAAACACAAAAGGAAAAATATTTTTCCGGGATTAAATGACATTTTCCTCAACTGGAATGAACAAGCAGGAAAAAACTGCAGTCTGCACATTGCTAGAGAGGCAGTATTTCCTACCACAAGAAGAAAAGCTGGGGACAGAGTGGGTACTGACACTGTTTTTATTTAAACTTCCGATATTTTGTTCATTGTGGATTTTTTGCATTAATTTAGACATCAGTAATTATACATTAAAATATGACTTGTGTGACTACTGAGTTTTGTGGCATCCCTTAGGCTCAGACCTAGTTCTTGAGTGGAGGCACATCACAGAAAGATGCCAGTTCTCGAAGCATGCCGCACCACTGGACCAAAAGTGTCATGTTGATGGGGTGATGGGACATCCAATGGTAACTTTAGTGGACAGATGACCTACAAATAAGAGGTTCCTCTGCTCCCCAAAATTTTGCGCTGCATAAGAACTCTGAACTACAGGGTTAAGTAAACCATAAAAAAGAATGAAGTTAGTAGCAAAATTGAGGCTGGGAATAAAAAATTAAGTTCTGCTTCTTGCACATTTGAGTTTATGGACTGATATTTGCATCCATTTTACCAATGATTTTCAACCCTGGCTGCATATTAGAATCACCTGGAGTGTTTTTAGTGTATACCAAAGACAGAACCCCACCCCAAAAGGCTCTAATTTAATTGGTATGTTTTAGAAGCTTGCTAGGTTATTATAATGTGCAGCCATAGCTGAAAGCCATTGCCTTATATTGTCAAGCATCAGTGTTGCATGCCATGTGCACCCCAACAATTGAGCCTCATAGAGAACCAGCAACCATGGCAGACTCCCTCACTGCCTTCCAAATCTTTCCTTCTTATGTGGCTTCAATCAAATCTCAGTATGCAGTGCATACTTCAGTGAAGTGTAAGACAAAACAGAGCTCACTACAAAAAGGAGACAGCTTGTGCACACAATTAAAATAACAAATAATTTTGTTATTTTAGACCTAGCCCAGCCATGATCCTGCTGTATTTTTTTTACTATTTTTTGCATTCATTTATTGAAATGATATTTGAAGCTGAAAGTGCTCACACAGGATAGGTGTTTGCCTTTGCATCTCCCACACAAATCTTGACAATAGGGCCGTTTAGGGTCTATGTAGAGAAATCTTGCTAGCCAGCAACATCTAGTTTATTTACAACTTTGATTGCTGTTATCTTCCCCTTGGTACGAGTTATAAGACTTCTGACAAGTTCTGTAAAACTTTGAAGTAGTTCTTATTAGGTCTCTATACACACCACACATAAGCACCCTCCCATTGGATGTCACAGTCCTTGCAGAATCCCTTCACCTAAAGTCTATAAAGTGTTAGTTCTTTAAAAAATATGTTTGCATCTATGCGATGATGTTTTTGAAGATGTCAAAACCATTTTATAGTTAGAAAATAAAGGAAACACATTTCAGAATAAAATTATACAAACCCATTTTTTTCTTATGAAATTAACATTGTCACAGCTTACATGTTTTCTTTAAATGTTCTAATGCCTGCATGATAGCAGCAGATGCCAAGCTACCTTCACTTCTTGAAGACTAGAAGTAAAGCCTACCTCGATACTCTGTTGCTATGGCTTGGGTTTAGATTAGGTTTAATTCTGGTTTTCAAGGTGCTTGTAATCTAATAGTCTATTGGTAGTTCAGCATTCAGCAACATGACACCATGATGGATGTCCCTGAAATAGTCTGTGTACCAGTTTGCAACTTCAGACAGCTTTATTAACCCATCTGTTCACTCATATGAATGAAATAATTCCTCTACAAACTACAAATAACTATCACCCCAAATGACAGTGCTGTAAATGAGATGTTCAACTTGGAGTATTTGCTTGCCCCTAGGGAAACGTTACTGCCAGGAAAGGTAAAACCAACAGCAGACTGAAAAACAACAACTTCCTTTGTTTGCCCAATGAAACTTACAACTGACTTATAAATAGGCAAGACAAATAGCCAATCATTAGGTGACTGAAAGGCGTCAGTAACGGCCAAAAATATCCCTTTACCTATCTATCCTGGGTAGATCCCCAAAATCCATTATTGGCATTGGATTTCCTTGATTAAATAGTGCCACTTCCTGTAGAATATATGTAAATATATATACTTAATACATCCATGGGAAGACTAAAACATTGTGACTAACAATTACATCTGATTGAATTGTTCATCTCACTCAGAAACACTGAGCACCTGACTTGGAGGAAGATGATGCAGAAAGGATGGTAAGTGGGATCGAAGAAAAATTGTATTACTTTATAACTTGCTTTGGGACACCCAGACTGTGTTCTTACAGAAATCTTCTGCTAACTCCCCTCAATTCTCGTCCAATGAACTCATCATTTATTCTCCTATTTGTAACCAGTATTTGAACATTATCTAAGAGAAGCAAGTGATGAAAAGATGAGCTGAGAACCCAACAGAAGACTTCTTCACTTTGAACCCACAGAGAGGAGTCCAGGGAGAAAATTCAAAGGATCCATAAACTTGAATTGAAAAGCAAAATTCCATCATTTATTTTCACTAATATATAACTGAAATTTAGTTTTCTGTTCAAATATAAATGCAGGCACCAAAACACGGTATTATTAGCAGAACCTGTGACTTTATCACAGATAGAACTTATAGATACTTTTATTTATTATTGCAGTTGTTGCAGACGTCTTGAAAATCTATGTGTCAGTACTTTGAATTTATTATTATTAGCCCAGCCGCTATATTCTGTTTATAATGTGTAAATAAGAAGCATACACATTACTCTATCACAATGTTTTAAGTTATTGTATAACTGTATTTCAATGTGATATGTTTTCTTTGAATCCTTTGTATTTTATATTGTTTGTTAAAACAGTACTCCAAGAGGGGTTAATAGGCTTCACTAGATAGCCAAAGCAGTCAAGACACCAAAAAAGTTTTAAGAACCCCTGCAATATAAACTTCTTTTCTCATTTTAGTTATTAATAATTCAATTTTTGTGCACTCTTACTACATATCCTGAGTATGTAACCTTTCTCAAAGAACTTACAGATTCTAAAATTAATAAAAGCAAGATAGGCAAAAAAAAAAAAGTATCTTCTAAATTCTGTGCTACCAGTTGCCCTCTAGGCTTCATGGTGAAATAAAGAAGGCAGATACTACCTATGTATACTTCATTCTAAAGAACACATTAAAAGTTATTTTCTGCAGATGATCAAACTTCAGTGATAGTAAACGTAGTAAATGCTTTTACTTGCATTTCTTAAAAAAGAAAAATTATCCAGTACCTATTCACAGTAGCTGTCCTATTTCTGACTTCTGTAGAGACTTGCTAGAGGACGATAGCAATTAACTTAACATTTTGGAACCTCTACTTTCATATGTACATAAAGCAGAAAGTTTTGGGTCATTAAGCTATGTAACTATGTCTAAAGGTTTTCCAGCCAGCAAATGCTGCTATATCTTATAACTTATTTTGAGATTTCCAAATGATGAATGTTATATAATGATAACATGGTATTGCACAGAAAAAGAATTCTGGAGGGATAGTGAAGTCTAACTCTTGTCTATTCATATATTGGTAGGCCACAATCTAAATTCATAGCAGTCAACTTTGTCGGCTTCTGCCCAGCCACCAGGTTCCTGGTTATCTAGCAACTCCCTTACAATAGTGTTGGTTGCTGTCAGTGGCTCATAAGCACTCTCACAAGCTTTATTGCTACCACCCTTAAATCTCCACTGAATTCCCTGCTAAGTTAAGAAACAAGAACTGAGAGAGCAGAATGATATGACTATTCCTCAGGTTAACAGAATGAAGGGAAGGCCTATGTTCCAGCTGTTATAGGACCCCCTCCCCTAACCTAGCAGAAGATTCCTCTTAGGAGACAGGTATCTGAAACTCACCAGGGCTGACAGATCTGTTCAAGGTGATCCCACATTTCTTAGGGGCCAAGAGGTAGAAACTTGGTGCCTTAACAGTGGAGGTGAGATGGTAACTTCCCATTGCCACAGGACACTCAGAACACCAGGAAAAAAACAAACATGTCCAGGTGCGGTGGCTCATGCCTCTAATCCCAGCACTTTGGGAGTCCAAGGCAGGCGGATCGCGAGGTCAGGAGATAGAGACCATCCTGGCTAACATAGTGAAACCCCATCTCTACTAAAAATACAAAAAATTAGCTGGGCATGGTGGCACGTGCCTGTAGTCCCAGCTACTTGGGAGGCTGAGACAGGAGAATCACTTGAACCGGGAGGTGGAGGTTGCAGTGAGCCAAGATCGCACCATTCCAGCCTGGCAACAGAACAAGACTCCGTCTCAAAAAAAAAAAAAAAAAAAAAAAAAAAAAAACACAGATACCAAATACATGCTTTTACAACCAGAACATTTCAAAATATCCAACAGTTAAATCATTCCTGCAGGAACTCAACACAGGCAGTAATTACATCATCCTAAGAAACAAAACAAAAATGAAACTCTTATAGCCAATTAAACTCATTCAAGTCAATTATCCAAATAATTCCTGCCAATACACAATTCAAACCTTCACTTCAAAAGAATTTGTTTACAAACCTACTAATTGCCTCCAGAAATTAGCATCCTGGAAGCATTATAAAGTGTCCTAGTCTGGAACATCATAGTCCTCAAGGGGATTTTCCAACTTTGCCCCTAGAACATTCTATATCTTACAGATGAGGGATCCTAGGGACCACAGAGTTTCAAGGGTCTTCTCTGAGACAAGAGTCTTCTGAAGCAGAAACAGAACTAGACTCCCAACCTAGGATTCTGTGGATAATATTATCTTACACACAAAAACTATAAACTGAGATTTTCAAGAATTACAATAACAGACCAACAGTTTCATTGTGTACATGTGTATCATGGGGTTCATATTTTAGATCCCAGTTTGATGGTACAAAAAATGAATTGATTCATTTCCCAAGAAATCCACCTTTTGTTACTTATAGCCCTGGCTCACCATTGAATTAAGACAGCCTCTCTTTTATTTCCACTTTGGATATATCCTATTACCATTAACTAGACCAATAAATGTCCTTCACTGTCCCCCCACAAACTTCTACAAGTATTCTGCACTCCTCTCTTTATAGGTGCAATGCACTTTACAACGAGAAGAGGAGCTCAAGGATAAATTCAGATGTAGTTAATATGGATCATTTTAAAAATTTTGATTCTGCAGCCAAATCACTTGGTACATACTTATGGATTTATTAAGTAATATTCATGTACTAGATGCAAGATTATTTCAGACAACCTAGGAAGGTCACATAAGCCTACATAGAAAATCTTCCCATGGCTATGCAGAAGAGGAAAAAAGGGATTGTGCACAATTACAGTCTCTATTAGAGACAATTTGTAGGTCAGAGGTAAGCCTATAAGCATATATATCTCCCCATAATTTTCCAGAATATTACTATTAGCAATAGGCTCTAGCTCTACAAGAACGTTTTTCTAAATGGTATTCCTGAGTGGTTACAGAGAAAGCTGAGAGTAGTTGAATCACTCTCCAACTGAAGCAAGGCTGTGTATAAAGTGAAATATGTTTATTTCTTTCTTCATCCTTCCTTCCTTCTTCCTTCCATCCTTTCTTCCTTTCTTCCTGCCTGCCTGCTTTCCTTCCTTCCTTTTTTTTTTTTTTTTTTGAGACAGAGTCTCGCTCTGTCACCCAGGCTGGAGTGCAGTGGCAGGATCTCGGCTCACTGCAAGCTCCGCCTCCCGGGTTCACGCCATTCTCCTGCCTCAGCCTCCCAAGTAGCTGGGACTACAGGCGTCCGCCACCACGCCCGGCTAATTTTTTGTATTTTCAGTAGAGACGGGGTTTCACCATGTTAGCCAGGATGGTCTCGATCTCCTGACCTCGTGATCTGCCTGCCTCGGCCTCTCCCTTCCTTCCTTTTTTATTTTATTCTTATAATAGTATGGAAGAAAGCAAGTATGATTGAAGTCCCACAGCTTGTTTGTAGCTCTGCCTCCCCACTTTATGATTTTTTTGGTTTAAACCAAATTTTCTTCTTTTAATGCTCCTTAAATAGTATTTATTTACTTGCTCCTGTGACCTCCAAATTAGAAGTGTCAGAGTGCTAGCAGGTGTATGTGCCAGGGAAGAAAACTTTCCTTCCTACTTACATATAAAACTAGACCAGCTCTGTTTCTGGGTCAGTCTATCAGAGTAAGGTCAATGTGCAAGGAAGAAAATATTCATTCCTGGGATGTGCCAGTGAATGAACCAGCACCAGCATGCATCTACCTATGTGACACCCAACAGAAGATTTGCTCTGTCCTCTGAAATGCTCTGTAGCCAGAAATTCAAAGCAAGGTCAGCAGCAGTTAAATACCGCACCCACCAAGTCAGACTGACCCTAGGTACAAAGAGTATCCATTAGGAGATAGGAGAGAAGATCCTTTTCTCTTTAAATTCTGCAATATATATTCTTTAGTTCTGAAAGGTAAATTAAACTCGAGATTTCCTTTTTCAGGGCTGTTTGCACTGATCCAGGCCTTAAAGATAAGCTTTCCCATCATCTATAAGTTTGCAGTGCAGGTAGACCAAATAGTTTTTCAAATGTTAACATAAGCAATTTTCTTGCTAAGCTCTCCAATGAATAAATTTTCATAATTCTTAATAATCTATTGTACCTCTAATTTCCAAGATTTGTATAAAAGTAAGAATTAAAAGAATATTCATGAGTATGAATCTGAAGCCCACTAAGACTTCTAGTTTTGCTAGAAAAATCTCAGTAAACTTACTTAGGATTTTTTTTTTACTTTATAATATAAAAAATTAACCTCTTTAGCATTTTTCTGGCTATGGAATACAATTATAAATCAAAAAGTAGAAGGAATGAAGGAATGAGGAAGAGGAGATAGGCATAGCTGTAAACATAGTTTTTTAACCCACAATTCCCAAAGAAAAACATTACTTTCCCAAGAGAGATCTTTCAGTTATTGTCCAAAAGATAGGTGGAATTTGTACAGTCACTGATAAATCCATTGGTTTATTTCTGCTCACAATGTGCGCCCTTAATCTCTGAAGGCAATGGTACCTATATACACAAAACAATCACTATCACAGCAGGTGCAGCAAAAGTAGATAGAGGAAACAGGCAGCATGTTAATAAGGAGACAGTTGGAAAACTACAATCTGTCAAACCTGGAAAAGAAATGTGGTCATGAACAAATTCAGGCAGAGTTTTCACTGTATGGGTCTGAATGATAATCACAGGCCCAGTCATATGTTGTCACACTTCCTCGCTTTTCAAATAAAAACTATGGCTTTGGAGATGTTGTAATAGAACTTTGCATTGACAACTGACTCTTCTTCCCTCTAAACCAGAGTAGGTGAGTTCTTTCCACCACCACAAAAGGGAATATTATACACATGATCTAACAAAAAGTATGATTCGGTTCTGATTTTTTCTCTTCTTTTTTTTTCTTCTAACCTTGAAGAATATATGATTTCTGCAGTTTAAAAAAAAAAGGATAATGCAAGCAAGCCAAAGAAAAAGGTGGTAGAGCAAATCAGTTTTTTAATAAAGAAAGGAAAAGGCCATTTCAACGCAGATTCAATTAGTCTCAAATCCAGAGGTTTCTCACAGGTCCCCAGCACAGACCTGTAAGTTGTACTGAGAGAGGTTTAGATGCCCTTTTTTTAAAAGAACTAGGACACATCCCCATGGTCCATGACACAGGCAAGAAAACTGATTTTGTGGCCTAATTCCATTCTCAAAATTTGAAACTCTAGTATTGTGTTGGTGCCTTCTGGGCATTTTCCTGACATTTCACTGATGCTAAACTGTTCTCCATTTGGCTTTTTACGAATTGATATGTACAGCTGGGAGCACAAACATGTGCAAAGGTAAATTTACTATCCGAACACTTGAATGAGAAAAGCCAAACTGTGGGGAAAAGAATTCTAAAAAATAAGAATCAGATTTCGCTTTAAAAAAAAAAGCATCACAATGTTCTAAACAACTCCTAAAATAATCTTAAACATAAGGACATCAAGTCATCGGAAGAATACCAATGTCAAGTCATGGCTTGGAGGAAGATCTGTGTAATTTCCACCAAAGTCCTCACCCCTCATTCCTTAATATGTACAACTGATGCTTTTCTATTTTATGTAAAGTGTTTTGCAAATGCAGGCTTAGACAAGCCCACTGTGTGTTCCAACCCACAAGACAGCCGCCTAAGCCACTTCTTTTACAAATTATGGAGCTGCCACAAACCTCAGGTGGCTCATATTGAATCTGTTGTATATCAAGGTCCATCTATCATTTGTACTAGCTAGATGTAAGACAACAGAGAGCAAGTCCTCCAACTGAATATCTAAATGGCTGAGGTCAGAGGGCAGAGAGAAGTGACAGTAAGCCAACAGGGAAGAAGCAGGGTGGGGTGAGCACTCCGGCTGAAGCCACACGAAAAGACAAAAGAGTGACATGTTGTTCAGTAGGTCCTTCTGAGAAAGTTAAGAATAGCTTATTTAAGGAAATGAGAATGTAGGTTAAGAATATTCTTGAGTTATACTTCATTTCCAAAAAATGTAACTAGGAATAAACAAAGACATGCTTCAATGTATATTTTTGTGTGTGTAGACAGCACAATTCATTTACAGAGTAAGAATTCAAAGCAAGCAAAAAATAAATAAATAAATAAATAAAAGGCATGGGTCCTGTTTTTAGGCTTGGTTCCTGGAAACAAACTCAAGGTAGAAATTGGCATGTAAGAGGTTATGGTGGAGTGCCCTCTGGAATAAGAGCTGTGAAAAGCCAGAGTGTGAGGAAGGCAGATTGAGCAAAGGAGAAGTTGACCTACAATGCATTTGAAAAGAGCTAGCTGGGCGCAGTGGCTCACACTTATAATCCTGGCACTTTGGGAAGCCAAGGCGAGCGGATCACCTGAGGTCAAGAGTTCGAGACCAGCCTGACCAACATGGAGAAACCCTGTCTCTAATGGAAATACAAAATTAGCTGCATGTGGTGGTGCATGCCTGTAATCCCAGTTACTTAGGAGGCTGAGGCAGGAGAATCGCTTGAACCCAGGAGGCGGAGGTTGCGGTAAGCCGCGATCGCACCATTGCACTCCAGCCTGGGCAACAGGAGTGAAACTCCATCTCAAAAAAAGAAAAGAGGCTTCAGCCCATCCTATGGGCAGCTCTGGATATAAAACGTAAGATGATAAGATGATATAAGGACATAAGATGGTCCTAGATTGAAGCAAGGGTGTTGGGCACGTGTACTTCTGTGAGTGACCAGTCATTAGATGCTCTTCAAAGACATTTAAGAGAATGAAAAGACAAGCTGAAGCCAAAGAGAAAACATCAACAAATGTTTTTACATATATCTCATAAATGACTTATATATAAAGATCTCTCAAAGCTATTATGAATAATATTAAGTAAATAAACATCCCAATTTAAAAGCTGGGAATGGGGGAAGGGACTAAAGATTTGAACAAACACATTACCATATATATATATACAGGGTGTGTGTGTGTGTGTGTGTGTGTGTGTGTGTGTGTGTGTGTGTATGTGTGTGTGTATATATATATGTATATATATACACATATATATACATATATATATATTTGGCTGGCAAATAAGCATTAAAAAATGTAACAGCATTAGTAATTAGGGACATGAAAGTTAAAATCACAATGCGATACTACTACAAATCCACCAGAATGCTAAAATTAGAAGGGCAGAATATACCAAGTATTGACAAGTAAGTACGTGGAGGAACTAGAAATCTCATAAACTGCTGGTGGGAATGTGAAATGGTACAATCATTTTGGGAAACAATTTATTAGTTTCTTAAAGTACATTTAACATACTACCCAGCCATTATACTCCTAGATATCTACACAAGAGAAATGAAAGACTGTATCCATACAAAGTATGAACATGTTACTTGTAGCTTTATTTGTAATAGCCAATGGCTGGATAGAATTCAACCATTCATCAACAGATGAATGGAGAAATACATCTTGAGAAGCAAATTCATACAATGGAATAAAACTGACAAATAGAAAGAAATTGACTATTAATACCTGCAATATAGATAAATCTAAAAATAATTATACTGAGTGAAAAAAATCAGAATTACATACTATAAAATTCTACTTATTCAAAATTCTAGAAAATGCAGAAATTATATATTTTCAGACAGCAGATCAGTGATTGTCCATGGCTAGGAAACAGAGATTGTCAGTGGAAAACAGGAAGGAGGAATTATAAATGGTATGAGGGAATCTGGGGGTGAGAAATAATGATCATTATCTCAATTTTGGTGATGATTTATGGGTATATACCTAAGTCAAAACTTATGAAATGGTATACTTTAGATACCGTTTACTTATGTCCATTATGTCTCATAAGATCTATTTTTATTTTTATTTTATTTTTTTTTTTTTTGAGATGTAGTCTTGCTCTGTCACCCAGGCTGGAGTGCCGTGGCACCATCTTGGCTCACTGCAAGCTCACGCCTCCCGGGTTCACACCATTCTCCTGCCTCAGCCTCCCGAGTAGTTGGGACTACAGGTGCCTGCCACCATGCCCGGCTAATTTTTTTTTGTATTTTTAGTAGAGACGGGGTTTCACCATGTTAGCCAGGATGGTCTCGATCTCCTGACCTCATGATCTGCCCACCTCAGCCTCCCAAAGTGCTGGGATTACAGGCGTGAGCCACCATGCCTGGCCAAGATCTATTTTTAAAAACTGTTACTGAAACACTAGGGATGCAGTCTAGATTCTGCTGCATGCCACACAGAAAACCAATCACTGAGACAATCAGTTTTTCCAGGGAAGAAGGCTTCAATCAGGTGCCAAAGAGATGGGAAATCAGTCTGAAGTCTATCTCCTACACCTACTAAAATTAGGGGGGTTTATAGCAGGAAAGAAATGCAATCATATATGAGAATACAGAATTTAGGGAGGGGTAAGGAAGAGCAGTTAGTCAACAGAAAGCAGGTAGTCAGTTAGGTAGTCATGATAGGTGGTTCTGGCATCTCATCGTCCAGATGTGGTGATCTGGTAAGTTACAGTCCCTTGATACTATCTGGGAGGCCTGATGGTTGGTTTCCTGAGAAAGGAACTCAGATAAGACAAATGTAAATGTCTCAAGTTTTAAAACCAGGAGGGTCAATTTCTATGTTTATTCAAAAGAAATCATAAACATCAGTTCTATGGGACAATTGGCCAGTTTCAAAATCATTCCATGGCTCTCTATTGTCTTTAGGATAAAGTGTAAGCTCCTTGTCATGTCTTATAAGAAGTTCTAAGACCACTGTCTCTCTGCAACCTCTTTTCTTTCTGGGCCTTGACCCCTCTCTGTGCTCCAGCTGGGCTCCTGGCATTTATGTGAAAGTGCTGTGACTTTGCCTGACTCATCTTTGCACAGGTTGACCCTTCCATCTGGGATGTTCCCCTGGATCACCTTCACTTGGCTCATCGCTATGCTTCCTTCCAAACTCAACTCAGATGTCACCTTCTATGAAACCTCCCTGACTGCCTCAGGTCAGGTAAGGTGACTCTCCCACCATGAGTTCTCATGGTTTCCTTAGTATCTTAAGACATAACATTTATGCACATTGTAGTCATTTGTTTGCTTATTCAGTTTCTTATTTGTGAGATATTTCAGTTCAGAAGCCACTCCTCAAACCTAGAATACAATATGCACTCCATAGACACTTTGCAACACCCATCTGAAGAATAAGTAAATGGATCAATGAATGAGCAAAAGAACCAACAAATAAATCAGAAAATATAATTCAGGGACATTTTAGAGGCCCAATCCTGACATATCCAGGTAAGGCCAACCTTGTGAATAAACAAGATACATGGAAACAGGTATAATGTGATTTTTGCAGACAGATGTAAAAGGTTTGTCTGGCAACATATATAGCTATGCCAGTTTATTTGAACTGTGTTCCTAAATATTCAGAGTGAGGGAAATACAGACTTGGTGCAGAGAGAGTAAATTAGGAATTTATAATGGAGAGTGGGAGTTACGAGAGGACCCATATAGTCAAGGCAGCATAAAAGAGCCCTGATGTCCAGCAGGGAGAAAAGGGCGAGGAAATGCTGGTGGCTGGAGCTACCTGGGCAGAAGGAGGAGGACAGTAGATGGTTAAGCATATTGGCTCTCAAGTCAGAAGGTCTGGGGTCACCACTCACGTGATGGTGACCTTGGAACAGTGAGATAACTATGTAAGTCTCTGTTTCCTCACATGTAAGAGGGATGAGTAGTAGTATTACTCATGAGACTACTTTCCAAAGATGAAAGGAAATAGTTCGAGTAAAGTACCTATCCTACAGTAAAGTCTTGAAAACAGTAGATGCTGTTATTAGGAAGGGGATGTGGATTAACCTCCCCTTCTTGGCCTTTATGTGTTCCTACCAACACCACTAATTGCTCTGGAAGGTTTATGAGTCTTTACACACAGAGCGACAGCATGCCTCCTGGTACCCTCAGCGTTACTTTGCTTACCCCTGGCTTAAAGGTATAGATCTTTATTAAAGTACTTAGGCCCCAAGATGAAAGGGTATAAAATTGAATTATTCCACCTGAAGAAGATCAAATTAAACTTTTATAACTTAAAAAGACTTATCTTGACTAGTTGTTCTTTATTCTGCGCAAAATATGTTTAAGTTTCTGGTTGATCAATATTTAGTCTAGATCTAAGGAAAAAACATGAGGGCATTAAGAACCCTAATTGACTGCCAAAAGAAGTTATGAATGCTCTTTCTCTGAAAGTATCTAAGTGAAATAACCACCTATAAGTACACATTGGGTTAGGCTGCAGTGAAAAGATATTTCTTTTTTCTTTTTAAATATTAGGAAATACTTTAGGGACTATGATATAACAAATGTAAATTGATGGGCACGATAACTCAAGGAATTTCAGTCTGTTAACCTTTAGAACCATGGCTTTTATATTCAGAATTGTGCTCTCTCTCTCTCTCTCTCTTTCTCTCTCTCTCTCTCTCACCAGCATATGTCAAACTCTAGTCTATAGTCTGCAAAAGAATCACATTAAGATTAAGATTCAGGTGGGAGCAGTGGCTCACATCTGTAATTCCAGTACTTTGGGAAGCTGAGGCGGGCGGATCACTTGGCCAGGCGGATCAGCCTGGGGTACATGGTGAAACCCTGTGTCTACTAAAAATACAAAAAATTAGCCAGGCGTGGTGGCACGGGTCTGTAATCCCAGCTACTCAGGGGGCTGCGGTGGGAGAATTGCTGGAACCCGAGAGTGAGCTGAGTGAGCCGAGATCGCACCATTGCACTCCAGCCTGGGAGACAGAGCGAGACTCCATCTCAAAAGAAAAAAAAAAAAAGGGATTCAACGTAGTCTACAAGAGTTTCATATGAAGATTTTTAAAATGCAGATTCAACCCAAACCTCCTGAGGTCTGGGAATCTGTGTTTTAAACAAGCTCCTGATACAATGTATGAGAATTGCTGCTTCCGAACTCGGAGTTACCCAGGGAAAAAAGTTTTATATAACTCCTTGAATGCCAAGTCCTGTCCCTCAGGAGGCAGGAAATTAGTCCTGAGAATTTCATCCTCCCTTTCTCAGCTAGTTCCAAAAACAGTCCTGGGCCCAGGCTTTGAGGCTCAGCCCAGGTGTTGTGATGATGTATAAGAAGCCAGTTAAAGAAGCCAGCTCCTCTCTGCAGCTGCAGCCCTGGCTGTTGCCATAGCCACTGGCTGACCAGTAGCATGGTCAGTTCAAGATGATCCCACAAGGCAATCACAGGATGAACCAGCTGGATTCTTGAAGTGTCCTTCTAGGTCTATAAATTCCACTGCTAAATTCCTATTGCCCTGAAGTAGCAGCTTCTCCACTTCTTATGAACTACATTCTACTTACAGTTACTCACCTATACACCTGCCCTCAAGGCAAATAGAAAGGAAAAATGAAGCACAAATAACGTGGCTACTAGGCAAGTAGGAAAATGTTAAGTTTTCTCTTTCAAATGACTGAAGAGCACCTGCTGTGTGGCAATTCCAAATCTTAAAAGAAGGACTGCAAAGGCCTGAGTATCTCTCTGTTGGCTACTCTCCCCTGCCAGGGTGTACAACTATCAGATATGCCAAAAGAACACATCAGAATGGGACAATGCAGGGCTTTGGTAATATATCATCTTTCCATGGCTGAGTTTTGTGTGGTTGGATGGGATGGAAGCAAAAACAATCCACTTGATTAACAATTCAGCGTCCTGAGAAGACCCCTCCAGAAGGGGATACTTTCCATCCTTCCCATCATTATGAAATTCAATCATATAGAGAAATGGGGACCTGCATAAATTTAACAATGCAATATAGACACATATTTTCAACAGCAAAGGGGGAAGTCTCCTTTTCTTTTTTCTCGTTAAAGACACATACTAACACTGCTTGATAAAGAGCCCATCACAAGTGTTAGGTGGAGAAAGGAAAAAGCTTAAATGTTTGTACATCTTTTACCAACTTTCTGGACTCACAATCTTTTTTAATCTCCCAAGGAAACCCCAGCACACCTGTGTTCCATATAATAGCAGCTCTCACCCAGCAGGTACATTGAGAGAAAGGAATCTGTCAGCACATTAATAAGATCCTGACAAGGCAGGGAGGAAAGGCTGCCAGTGCCATAAGAAATACTGTCTCCAGGAAATTAAAAGTGTTCCATAGTGCGCTTGGTGTACATCTGTTTATGTTCTTGTTTCCTCCACTGGCAATTGCTCCTGTCAATCCATGAATTCTGTACTATGAACGAAACAGAAAATTGCTTCAGTAGTACACAGTCCCAGCTGGGTGTTAAACCAGCAGTGTGGTGATATTAGACTCAAGCTTAGATGCTCTTGCTTTACACTTCTTTGAGCTAAAAAGAAAATAAGGTAATGTCAACAACAAAAAAAGAGACAAGTGGTACTTAGGAGAAAAGTGAAAAAAGTAAAAACCATTTGCTTGATTTTGTATGTGTGTGTCTGTCTGTGTGCGTATATGTGTGTTTGAAAGCAGGTGGGGAGTTTCTAGAAAAAATATAGGATATGGAGTCTCAAGATCTCTCTTTTACCCCAAAGACCCACCAGCTAACAAGGATCAAGGGAATAGGTAGGAAGAAACAGAGAAGGCATGGTTGCTAGGAGGTTAGAGGCAAAAGGAACACCACAGACACTATAGCATGCTGCGCCTTTGCTGGCAGACAGGGGCTATCAGTTACTAAAACTGCCATCATGTATTGGAGGACATTAACTGTCCACCAAAGTCAGTCTTCCCCTTCTTTCATTGTAGCTGAACACATAGCTGTTCAGCAGAGAACTTCATTTCACAGCCTCCTGGGCAGCTAGAGGTGGCCAAGTGACTAAATCCTCACCAGTAGAACACGAGGGAAGTGACAAATCCCACTTCCTGGTCTGTGCACTTCTCTGGGTGTGCCTGACCTTCTCACAAGCTGCAATACCGACACACCTATGACCAGCATGGACTTGATGAGAGCATCACACTCTGAGGGAGGTGGGAACAGAGATGGAAGGAATCTGTGATCCTGAATGGCCACATGGAGCAAATCTAATCTGAACTAAGAAAAATACATTTCTATGTATTTTGGAGATTATGTTTTGAGGCCTCTTTGTAACTAACATAGTTTTCACCCTAATATACATTATAACATTTTGAAATTAAAGTCTGAGAATGGAACTAAAATGCCCTCAGAATATAGTTGTTTTCTCTGTTATCAATCATCCCAGATTTCCAGAAGTATTCAGTTTTAGAGGCAATAATACAATGATTATTTCCTGAAAGTTCACACAAGACAGCTACAGTGATTAAAAGAAGGAACATTACATTTTTTTAAAAAATCATCCTAAATTTATCAAAAGTAGAATGATCCATAAAAAATTATAACTGTCAAATTTGTGTTAGCCACAAATGTGTTCAGCCACCATAGCCACAGGTGAAAGCATAGGTACTATTTGGGGCTAAAATTGTTGCCCCCCAAATTCATACGTTGAAGTCCTAACTCTCACTATCTCAGCATGTGGCTGCTGGAGAAGGGTCTTTAAAGAAAAGTAAGGTTAGCCAAGTCAGGCATATCACTTGAGGTCAGGAGTTCAAGACCAGCCTGGCCAACATGGTGAAACCCCGTCTCTACTGAAAATACAAAAATTAGCTGGGCGTGGTGGTGTGTGCCTGTAATCCCAGCTACTCTGGAGGCTGAGGCAGGAGAATCGCTTGAACCAGGGAGTCAGAGGTTGCAGTGAGCCGAGATCGTGCCACTGCACTCCAGCCTGGCAACAGAGCGAGACTCCGTCTCAAAAAAAAAAAAAAAAAAGAAAGAATGATAAGGTTCAATGAAGTCATAATCCACTATGATGGTGTCGTAAGAAGAGGAAATTAGGACACAGACAACACAGACTGAGGGACAACCATGTGAAGATAGGAGAAGACGGCATCTACAAGCCAACAAGACAGGCCTCAGATGGAATCAGTCCTGCTAACATCTTAATCCCAGACTTCTATCCTTCACAACTGTGGAAAAATACATTTCTGTTGTTTCAGGCCACTTGCTATGGTTCTTTGTGTGGCAGCCTGAGTAGATAAATACAAACAATAAATGTTAAATACTTTTCTTTTGTATCAGAACCAAGGAGGGATTCTCTGGGTTGGTTCTCTGACAAAAAGGAAGGAAGAAAGAGAAGGAAAGCAGGGAGGGAGGGAGGGAAGGGAGGGGGGAAGGGGGGAGGGGGGAGGAGGGAGGGAGG
The DNA here is from genome assembly GCF_000001405.40 of Homo sapiens. Classification (NCBI taxonomy): domain Eukaryota; kingdom Metazoa; phylum Chordata; class Mammalia; order Primates; family Hominidae; genus Homo; species Homo sapiens. The sequence goes on along the minus strand of NC_000002.12, from coordinate 210,478,899 downwards.
GAGGGAAATATTATTTCCAGCAATTAAAATCTTTGGGTGTTTACAAGTCACATGCTTTGATTATATTTAAATTCTAAATAATTCTACTTCCCTTCCGTTTAGACGCATGCTTCACATCATCTTCAGAAGTAAACTCCAGATAAAGACTTAAATATAAGAGGTAAAAAGCTAATAAAATAAAATGTGGGAAGTCATTGCAGTCTATGAGTAGACAAAGACATTTTGAATATGAAGCTAAATCCTCAAATCACAGTGTCACAATTAGATGGGTTTAACTTCATCGAAATGAAAGATTGTGATTCAATAAAGGATATCCTAGAAAATGTGAACAAACTAAAGAAAGTATCTACAATAACTAAAGTGAAAGGAGATTAATATACAGAATATACCCCACAAACACGGGAAAAAAAGAAACAAAACTCTTTCAAATCAACAGGAAAACAATGCAATCACTAATAGAAAAATAAATAAAGGAACAGGTAAAGCCCAATTGTCTAACAGGTATATGAAGGAAAGTTCAACACCATTAGCCACAGAAAAACTAAAAGATTAAACATCAGTGAGATTCTACATTATTCATTAGAATGGCAAACATTAGAACACTAGATAATACCAAGTGTTGGAGAGGAGATGGAAATGACAGAAACAATTGATATGTTGGAGTGAATACTCTTGGAGTGAACAATAGATACTGTTAGAGGGAATATAAACTAGTCCAGCAGTTTTGGAAAGCAATCTAACAACATTGGGGAAATTAAGTACAGAATCTCATATGATCCAGCAATTGACTGCTGGGTGTATGTCTCAGGGATACTCACACAGATTCATAAAAGCACATGTTCCAAGAATATTATTTGTAGTATGGAAGTTAGAAACAATGTCCATCATTAGGGGAAAGGATTAGTAAAATAAGATAGAGGCATACTATGAAAATATACAATTACCATCCTGCCTTGCTTAACAACAGTAATATTTAATTGCTTAAAGACTGTGAGTGGGATAAATGGATAGCCTTTAATCATTAAAGAAAAAATAATTGATAAAATGTCTCTCGTTTTCCTTTTCTCTCTTGTGAGTTGCTCCTTCAAACACCCATCTTTTAAAACATGAGAGATATCCAGCTTAAGACTCACCATGGGCCTCGGCTAAATCTTCATGAATTTGATGAGGTTAAGAAAGCAACTACATTTCCTAAGAAAGCAACTATTTTAAAAGAGCAAACCTGGGTGTGGGGAGGGATTAGGAGTAGAGTTTGGGATGGCAGCCTCAGAAGGACAAACTTAGGCCAAGGAGGGAGGGAGTTGGGGTGGAGACTGAGCTTCTCCAGTTGGAGGTCTGGAGCTAGGACTCTTCATTGAAACCGGAGAGAAGGAAAAGGAGAGAGTGAGGCTGACTTTTTAACTGAACTCCAAAATTCTCTGAGCAATAGAATGGGCCTAATATGTACCAGGTGGGATTTAATTTTAAATGAAAGAAAAATGTTTCAGATAGCAGGGACTGTTAAAACATTGAAATTGAATGTTGTGGATCTCCTGCTGTGTTGGTTTTCAGTATTTTTTAGAGCTTTGTTATCCAGTATTATAGTCCAATTTAGGCTAAGGAACAGAATAAATTTCCTAAGAGCTGTAATTTGTGTTTTCATGTGCTTTCCCCAAAGTATTATCAACTGCTATTTGATATCCTGTCCTTTGGGCATATTTTTGTTGTTGTTGTTGTTAATGATGGTGGTGCTTTTTTGTTTGTTTGTTTTAAGAAATGAAAAGAAAAGATTGGCAAGTCCCTGGAGAGACATTATCCCCCCACCCCCCGCCAAATTTTATCTATTGCGAACAGCAGAAATACCAGCATGTTCAGATCTAAAAGCAGTCTGTTTCTTCTCCAGGTTAAAAAAATATATACTTCTTATGACTCTGGACTTAAATTTGACTTTTTAAAAATAAGAAAAATTAAAGAAGGGTAGGAAATATTGGTCACATCTCCGCGTGATTCTAGGTCCTCACTTCTGCTACCCAGTAATTAAAATACCCTGCGTTATCCTTTAGAAATTACACGCCTGTGTCTTTAACAAACTGTAAGAGAGAAGGGGGCGGGTCTCGGGAACGGCGAAGGCTCTGATTGGCCCTCCTGGCAGGAACTGGGCGGTAAAATAGCCCTTCTGTTACTGTCCGGGGCTGCGGGGTGAGAGGCCAGGGCCGAGAAGGGCTTCAGGACGCGGGAGGCGCACTTGCTTCAAGTCGCGGGCGTGGGAACGGGGTTGCAAAACGGGGCCTCTTTGTCCGGGTGGGTTAAGGGCCCTGGCAGCTTTTTCGCGAAGGCGCCATGTCCTAGCAGTTGGGCCGCAGTGGGCCCGAGGTCCACTCGGACCGCCGAGACGGCTCGATGGCCCTGGAGCTGGAGGAAGGGGGATACCTGGGCGCCGCCGCCGCCCTCGCAACTCGGCCGAGGCCCCTATCTCAACCTAGTTTCTGTTTTTCCCCTGTTCTGCAGGCTTGCTTCCGGCGTCATGGCTCAAAGGGCCTTCCCGAATCCTTATGCTGATTATAACAAATCCCTGGCCGAAGGCTACTTTGATGCTGCCGGGAGGGTGAGTTTAGGATATGTCTGCCTGCATCCCTGCCTCTCCCCACGGTGTTCGGAAAGGTGCTCATTTTTGCCTGAGAGAGTTGAGCATCCCCCTTTAAAAAAATACATGATTCGACGATAAATACGTAAATTATTTAAAAATACATGTTAATATATACAAATTGAGCTCTAACATAATGTTAAATGTGTCATTGTTAACATTATTAATTGAAATAAACTCAATTATTGATAGTATAAATTTTAAAAATTGGCAAATATGTAGTTTACTATGTAATTGGCATTTTTTAATGTATTTTGGTTTGCTTCTTAAAAAGAGGTGAAGAATCCTAACGGTATTCACATGTGCCGTGTTACTCCTTTGTGATTATACACAAGTGCGTTCAGGGTAATGATGAGAGCAAACGGTGGTGTATGGTAAGGACGTCTTTAAACTGTTAGTGCTTAGAGAATTTGGGGACCTAGGAAACCTGAAGTTCTTTGTACCGGTGTCACTCCACAGGGCATATCCACAGCTGGAAAACAAAAAAAAAGAAACTTGTAAATTAAACTGGTTAGCATGTCACAAATCACTGTGCAAAAGAGAACCTGGATGTAAAATACTAGGGGCCTGTGTTTTCTCATGCCTCATTGGGTGAACATAATTGTTAAGAGGGAATACAGATATTTTTAAGAATACCTACTTTTGGCTGGGTGCAGTGGCTCACACCATTAATCCCGACACTTTGGGAAATCAAGGCAGGAGGATTGCTTAAGGCCACGAGTTTGAGACCAGCCTGTGCAACACAGCAGGACCTTATCTCTACTAAAATTTTTTTAAAAATTAGCCAGGTGTGGTGGAAAGCTTGTAGTCCCAGCTACTTGGGAGGCTGAGGCGGGAGAATTGCTGGAGCCTAGGAGATTCGAGGCTGTAGTGAGCTATGATTGCACCACTGCACTCTAGCCTGGGTGACAGAGACCCTGTCTCTAAAAAATAAAAAAATAAAATTTAGTTTTGAAAATGAGTTAAGTTGGAAACAAGGCACACGCTTTAAAAATTTTACCAGTTTATTTCTTTGAAACTTGTCAGCCATACAAAAGACATTTTATGTGATATAAAGGCCTTACAGATTTCATCCCTGTCAAATTAATCTGTGGGTCTGATGGTTGTTTTTTTCCTTAAAACACTTGTCACATTATAGATTAACTTGGGTCAGTAATGCAGGTAGGAGGAATCAAAGAGATGAAGAAGAGGTGTAGGGTAGAAGGCTACCAAAATGTATATGGAGTTTGAGTCAATCTGATTATTTTAAGACTAGTATTAAGCTGCCCAAACAAAGCTTTTTATAATTATCTTCAGGTCAGATGGATTCCCTTTGGCCATTTGGGCCTGCATTCTGCTTAGCTGTGCAGATTCTCAAGCTGAAGTATGTGTCTTGTCTTGCGGGAGGAGGACTTGCTGCTTCATACTGACTTGGCAAAGAGAACAGTTGAGGATTGTCCTAGTGACAGAAACCTTCAATAAAATGTACCTATTTAGACTGCCTATAAAGTAAATGCTTTTTATGAATTTAACCCTTTATTTATTTATTTATTTATTTTTATTTTTATTTTTTTAGACGGAGTCTCACCCTGAGCCCAGGCTGGAGTGCAGAGGCACAGTCTTGGCTCACTGCAACTTCTGCCTCCCAGGCCCAAGTGACTCTCATGCCCCAGCCTCCTGAGTAGCTGGGATTACAGGTGCACACCACCGCACCTGGCTAATTTTTTTTTTTTTTTGTATTTTTAGTAGAGGCAGGGTTTCACCATGTTGGCCAGGCTGGTGTCGAACTCCTGACCTCAAGTGATCCACCCATCTCAGCCTCCCAAAGTGCCGGGATTACAGGTGTGAGCCACCATGTCGGGCCAAATTTAACCCTTTGTTTCTAAGGGGAAAAATTCACAAATTTAAACCCTGACCCAAGAGTAATAATGTAGTTTATTGCCTAACGTAGTTTTTGGACAGGTCCTAGAAAGGAAGTAGCATACCAGTTCTAAAATTGTGTAATGTTGAACACGGAGGATCAAACCCTGGAGATCTGTCCTCCTTAATTTCTTAACACAAGATTTCAGTAAGGAACTGGTCTGTTTTCTGGCATCTGTCAGAAAAAAATAGAAAAGAAAAAAGGACTTTTAGAGACTTCAGATTATAGCTAGAGTTTGAATGATTTGGTGGTGTACCACAAGCAATCAATATTCTCACAGAGGTCACCTTTATTAAATGCAGAATGTGCCAAACAGAAAGTAACTTCCCTTCATAAGGCTGAGAGATTCTCATTATTCTTGATCTCTTGAAGGCCAGGCAAGATGATAAATTATATATGATCTATATACAGTAGATGACGTGTTCTCAATATAGATGCACTCTTCTATCTAGCTGAGATTTATAGGCCTTTTGTATTAACATTGAAGTATATTTTATCCTACTAAATGTATTTTCAAGTCTAGTTGAAATCTTAACCTCTTTGCAGAAATTGTTAAATAATGGGAGTGTGTCTGTCAAACAACGTCGTTTCTTCTAAAGAGTGAAATAAGGGATCATAGTGGTGCTTTAGATTAAATAATCCAGATGTGGTTGAAAGTCTGATTTGCCTTATCAAGGATGCTCCTCCGAAGTGAATCTTAACGTATCCTTAAACTATTGTTGTTGTTGTTAATTCTGATACTGCCTTCTTGCTGTTTTCAGTGTTAAGATTTTATCTCATTTTTAAAAATGAGATTCTGATGTGAGTGGTTAGGTTTATTTCTACAATCCTTACATGGTAAAATAAAATGTTTATACCCTTGTAACTTTCCCCCACATTGTTCTGAAATTTTAATTACTATGTGAAATTCAAGTCTTAGAATCACAGCAAGTTCTTAAAATTATTGAGGGAGACAATAAAGTGAGTTTTTTGGGTTTTTGTTGTTGTTGTTGTTGTTGTTTGAGATGGAGTTTCGCTCTTGTTGCCCAGGCTGGAGTGCAGTGGCACGATCTCGGCTCACCACAACCTCCATCTCCCAGGTTCAAGGAATTCTCCTGCCTCAGGCTTCCGAATAGCTGGGATTACAGGCGTTCACCACCATGCCCGACTAATTTTGTATTTTTAGTAGAGATGGGGTTTCTCCATGTTGGTCAGACTGGTCTCGAACTCCTAACCTCAGGTTATCCGCCCACCTCGGCCTCCCAAAATGCTAGGATTACAGGCATTAGCCACTGTGCCCGGCCTTCAGTGACTTTTTAAGACACTGATTCAGTGTGTGCAGAAGTTTAAAATTATTTTTCATTTGCCTTTAAGAAGAATAACGTAATGATTGTGTGAGCCTCACTGTTTGCACAGCATCTGTGGACCTTCATATGGGTGGTACTAACCCCACAGCCCCAGCCTTAGTGTATTTTCAATCCATATCTAAACTATTACTTGCCTTAGACCCTTGATCTGCTAAAGAATTAGTAAAAATGTCAACATTTACATCCCTGAATGAGAAAGACTTGTGATACACTATCTCATTTAATCCCCAAAGTACCTTTTGAAATTGGCGTGGCAGTTATTATTATCCTGACTTTATGGAGGTATTTGAAACATAAAGAAGTTATGAGTTGAGCAAGATCAGCTAATAGCGGGTAAGGATGTAGACAGGCTCATTCATTGAGAAACATTTGTGAAGCCCGTATTCTCTGCCAGACACTGTGCTGGACGTGGGTTTATGATGCTAAGTTTGATATTCTTTCTATTCTGCTTAAGGCTCTTGATATACATGAATTTGTTTTGCTTTTCTTTGGCTACTTCATTTTTTTTAAATCCTTTTTTTTAAATAAGAGCAATTAGATGTTTCTTTAGGGAATTTACCTTGCTGCAGCTTGAATACTAAAAATCCAGTAGTTTGAAAGCACCAAACATCTGATTTGTGCTTAATTTAATAAAAAGACTTTATTATAATATTGGTTTAAATAATAGACGATTACTATTAGGTGGAAAATTACTGTGAGCCAGTTTATCATTGGCAGTCTGTTTTAGTATTTAACTAAAAATTTTATTTAAAACATGTATAAGTTACAACGGTATTTTATAAATTTTGTTAATGTGATGTTGTTGTTTAAGAATAGAAAATAAATTGTTTAGTCTTCCAGGTGGAAAAATATGTCCTAAGTGGAAAAGAAATACCTTTCTGTCTTTGATAGCTTATAGTCCAGCAAGCTGGGTGACCCACATTATTTTGATACTTGTTTTCCTTTAATATCTAGCTGACTCCTGAGTTCTCACAACGCTTGACCAATAAGATTCGGGAGCTTCTTCAGCAAATGGAGAGAGGCCTGAAATCAGCAGACCCTCGGGATGGCACCGGTTACACTGGCTGGGCAGGTATGAAGTGCTGACTGTGAGCTGGCATAAGCATTGTGCTTAAGAGCCAGAGCATTTTTCCGAGAGCTGTCTGTCTGAATGGTACACCCTTAAATGCTTCCTGCATCTGCATATGAGTAATTGCTTCTGGGAGAGTGCTGTGCCCTCAACCCAACCAACCATGGTATCTTCTGGGTTTTTAATAGTGCCCTGAATTTAGGGCATGGTAAGCATATTCATGTAATTCATGCCTGACATTTGGATGGCTGCTATACTTGTGAGGAGAAAAATTGATTTTCAATATTACATAGTTAATTTGCAGATGTAATTTCAGTGGGAAGAATTGGGAAGAGTTCCAAAATACAATGCCTGAAGCGGAGGTAATGAGGATTGATCTCAGGAATAAAATATGTCCAGAAGCATGTTTTAAAAAGTTAACCCGTAACAGGAATCCATACAGGAATCCATACAGGGTAAAGTATTACTTCCATGAACTAATCCTCCCATATGGTCATTGCTGTTTGGTTTGCAATTGCTGCATTGCCAATCTCAATCATTGAGAGGCTGGAGGAGGTTTAGGAAGAAACAGTGCATTGATGTCAAAAAAAGGTGAGAAAGAGAAAAATCAAAGAAGAGGCTGGGCGCAGTGGCTCACACCTGTAATCCCAGCACTTTGGGAGGCCGAGGCGGGTGGATCACGAGGTCAAGAGATCAAGACCATCCTGGCCAACACTGTGCAACCCCATCTTTACTAAAACTACAAAAATTAGCTGGGCATGGTGGCTCATACCTGTAGTCCCAGCTACTCAGGAGGCTGAGGCAGGAGAATCACTTGAACCTGGGAGGTGGAGATTGCAGTGAGATGAGATCACTCCACTGCACTCCAGCCTGGTGATGGAGCAAGACTCCATCTCAAAAAAAAAAAAAAAAAAAAAAATCAAAGAAGAAAAGTTGAAGAACTGCAATTAATTTACCAAATGTAGAGAAACAAAAGACAGCTGTGTAATCTGGAAGAAAGCATAGTCTAGAGACTCAGTGTTTCCCATTCGCTTTAAAGAGTGGGCAAGGAGGAATAAGCTTGCAATCCAGGGAATTTTAATTTGATTTTAAGGAGTGGAATTTGTCATAAAAATGGCCTCATAGCAGAGATTGTGATTCAGTAGATCTTGAGCAGAACCCAGGAATTTGCCTTTTATAGCCATCAGTGGTCCTGATGCAGATGGTGATCTACAGACTGCAGTTTGAAAGCTTTCTGAGAGAAATTTATTAATAATAGCAATCTCTTATTAGTCTTCCTCTTTAGTACAGGTTGAGCATCCCAAATCTGAAAATCTGAAATCCAAAATGCTCCAAAATTTGAAGCTTTTTAAGCTCTGATGTGACACTCAAAGGGAATGTTCATCGAGCATTTAGGATTACCGATGTTCAGATTTGGGATACTCAACTGGTAAATATAAGCCAAATATTTCAATATTTGAAATCCAAAACACTTGTCCCAAGGATTTCAGATAACGGGTACTCAACCAATAATGACACATGATTCTATTTTTTTTTAAACAAGGGTAGGGAAGACAGATTAAACCAGTAAAATTAAAATCTCAGGGACTTTTAAAGTCAATGTTTTGTAAAAATAAGACTGGACTAGATAATGTTGGACCATTTTATTGTTTTATCATTTTTATGGATTGTAGAAGCTTAACACAAAGTTAAAATGAGAATGAAATGACAGGATTTTGTTTCAAGAAGGAAGGTATAACAGCTGCCATTTATTATCTACTGTGTTCCAGGTGTGATGTGGTTGATAGATAATGTCATCAGTGAATGTTGAACATTACTATTTATTTAAAATTATCGTGGTTTGAACAAAACAGGACAAGCACAGCGCACAGTTGTCTTGAGTTTTCCTCTTGATTGCCACATTGTAATAATATATAAGGCTCAAACTTACAGATCTTTTTCTAATATATATGGAGTTTCTATTATTTTGTTATTCCTTGCCAAAAAAAAAAATCACTAGTTAATTCTAGTACTGATTACAAAAGAATGACTTAAACTTCTAAATTGGCCATTCACATGTACTCATATTATTATTGTGAGTTACTTTGCTTTAGGAGGAAAAAAAAGGGGATTGATTTCAAGTTTGAATTAAGTTTGACAATGTTGGGAAGAGTCATTAGTCAGGCCCTTATATTGCTAGGGCTAGTTGAGAACCCAAAAGTTAAAAACTTTGGAAATAGCAAAGACATTTCACTCCAAAGTAAAATGCAAGTTTAATTTTTTTGGCTGTACAGGGTTTCTGGCTTCATCTTTGAATGCCAATATCCTTCAACCTTTTATCCTCAAGTATCTATGATACTCATTGCTGACTCCTGAAAGCAGCTTATATGGCAAGCATCTGAGGCAAATTGGCATACTAAGCAGTTTAGGATGTCCTTAGCAGCTGGTTGTTTTAAGATGTAACGTAAAATCTTCTAGATAAATTTGCTAATGGTTTTCAAGGCAAGGTTCCTAATGTCTCCTAATCGAACACTGTTAAAAAGCTATTATTCCCACATAAAATAGACTGCCTCCTCCAGTGTTTTGATAAGTAAAATGCTACCTTGCGCCAGTGTTTAGACAGTCTAAATAACGTAAAGCTCTGAGTTGTATAAGAAACTAAAACTGATTCAACCCCATAAAATCACAGTGTTAATACCTTCTCCTCCCATTATGTTATAGCTTTCCAAGTATCACTTATTCATAACTGCCGTTTTATTACCAAGAAATGCATTCACAAATACAATAAAAATATTTGGTGTTGTATGTCAAAGCAATGTTTACATAATTATATGTAGATTTTTATGTTACTTTGTGCCCCATGTTATCTTTCCAAAAAATGACACTCTTTAGGAAACACACATTATATTTCTTTAACTTTGTTCAGCATGAGAAAACTGCATGATTATTACAATTAGTTAGAACTTTAACATCTTATTTTGTTAAACGTCATTCTCCAGTATACGTATGGGCTGATAGCTAACACTGGTTAGATAGGATCAGGATTTGGGACAGGATTAGGTTCAGTTATCTATACCCCAAAAAAGAAAACAGAAGTATAGTGGTTTAAATAACTGTATTTTTCTCTTGTAAAAGAAGGCCAGAAAGAGTTGGTCAGTCCAGGCCTGATAGTGTAGCTTCAGGATGTTAATAGGAACCCCAGCTCCTTCCTTTCTGCTCCATCATTCCTCAGCCTCTAGCTTCTACCTCTTGCTCAAGGTGGCTGCTGAAGATCCAGTCATTACATCAGCTTTTCAGGCTGCTGGAGGGAAGAAGAGGCAAAGAAGAATGCATTAATGCATGCTCTCCCTTTAAAAAGCCTTCCTGGAAGTCCCACTCAACATTTCAGTTGTGCTTACTTTGCATTGGCCAGAACATAGTCACGTAGTCACTCTTGTTAGCAAGGAAGGGTAGTAAATGCAGTCTTTTAGCTTGGGTTCTGTTAATAGAGGAAGAGGAGAGTGAACTTTGGGATAAGACCTAGTAGTCTTTGCTGTAACTTCTATATAACAAGAAAAATGATTTTTTTCTTGACTTCTATGTTTTGCACAAGGCATTTGGACAGTGAGCCTCAATTTTTATGTCTGCTAAAGGATCTCTTCTGTTCACTTTTTGGGGGATTTTTGGGGGGATAAATTTACCAGTGTCTATAAAATATTTTGAAATTTTCCAAGCAATATTTTATCTGTTCTTTGTTTCCAGGGAGATTGATTTGGATTTTGATTCACAACACCTTAAAGTTTTGTGTTTTTTTTTTTTCATTCAGTAAGTCTTTGCGTAAAGCCTGCCACAGAAAGTAAGTATTATAGGAATGTCGAATCATAATTTTCCTAGAGCTAAGTGTAACTTAAATCTAGAAGGGACTAGCGATTGATTCTAAACTTAATACTGTAAAACATTACTATTTTTGTAGCTTTATTAAACAGTTACTTGCCATTCTTTTCTGCTTTCTCCCAAACCCTTATTTTCTATTGCAAAATTATAAAGTTTCCAATTTGTACCATGCATCAATTCATACTAAACCCCATAATTGTATGTCTTTGTTTCTACTTCATGACTCTAAAGAAAGCTACAAAACTGGGCTGCCCAACTTCTTAATACCTCATTCATGGTGTGTCTAGATTTGTCTTAGTTGCTCAGTTGATCTTGAAAATGAAAGGGTTCTAGTGAAGAGATGACACATTCATGTGTTTAATGTTAGATGTGTAAAGTTGACCCTTAACAATGTGCAGTTTAAGGGCACATGCCCATTGACACTCTCAAAAGTTTATGTATAACTTTTGTCTCCCCCAAAACTTAACTACTAATAGCTTGCTGTTGAGGAAGCCTTCCTGATAACATAAATAGTTGATTAACACATATTTTGTGTGTTACATTTAATCTGTTCTGTATTTTTACAATAAGGTAGAAAAAAGAAAATGTTAAGAAAATCATAAGGAAGGGAAAATACATTTACTGTTCATTGAGTGGAAGTGGATCATTATAAAGGTCTTCATCCTCGTTTTCACATTAAGTAGGCTGAGGAAGAGGAGGAAAATAAAGAATTGGTCTTGCTCTCATGGGTGGCAGAGGCAGAAGAAGTGAAGGGAGGTGGAAGGGAAGGCAGGAAAGGCAGGAACACTCAGTAACTTTGCAAAAATACATCGTAATTTCTGTCGGACGTTTTTGCTTTTTCATTTCTCTAAAAATATCTGTACGTTGGCAATTCTTCCACCATTTGCTTTAGTGTCAGTGCCCATACCATATACGAATCCGTGTCAGAAATGAAGTAAAAAGCAGTATTGAATAATCAAAACCCTTTTGCCAGACTGTCTAACATCAGTTCATTTTCTGGTGCTGCTTCTTCTATATCTTCCTCATCCTCTAGCACTGGTTCATAAGAACTCATCTTCATCAAGTTGCTTTCTGTTAATTCCTCTGGTGTGGCGTCTATTAGCTCTTGAATTTCTCCAAGATTCATATCTTGAAATCCTTCATCCCCATCCCCCACCTTTTTTTTTGCCATATCCACATCTCTCTCATGATCTCCTTGATTGGTGCCTGTGAAGTCATGCACACTATCTGAACCCAGTTTTCTCCAGCAGGAATTTATTGTTTCAGCCTTGATGGTTTTTGTGGCTTTACTGTATCAACGATGGCATCTCAGTGGTGTAATTCTTCTAGACTTTCATGATGTTCTCTCTATCTGGTTTGTTCCGTGAAAGGGTCACATATGCAAAGTGACCCCCAAATGCTGAAGTAGCTGAAAAATCAAAGGAGGAGGCAGAAAATCCAATTTGTCAGTAAAGGCTGTTTTATTGGAGAACTTAGAGACACAAGCATGGTCTTGGTCAGCCACAAGGCAGGAAGATCTCAACACTGCTACTCCAGAGACCCAGGGCTTACATACCATAGGGAAAGGCAACCCTCAAAAACAGGCAAGACGGCTATGTGTATCACAGCCTATAATTTGTGCATTAGCACCAAGGTTCCTTTGTTCTTATACTAGGGGCAGTAAATAAAGTAAAAACCAGGAGGCATTCACGGGGCCGGGGCTAATCAGAAGTCTGTGTAGAGGATTAGCCTACAAGATGGAGTCACTTTTATCTCCACAGTGTACTCCATAGCACTGACAATCCGTTCCGTAAAGTACTATTTATAATGAGCCTGAGAGGTCCTTATGACCCCCTGATGTAGAGGCTGAATTAGAGACCTGTTTGGGGCAAGTAGACCACTTTGATGTCTTCAGTGTTGAACTCTTGGGTTCTGGGTAGCTAGGGGCATTGTGCACTATTGAAAAAACTTTAAAAGGCAGTCCCTACTGGCAAGATATTTCCCTACATCAAGGAGAAAGCATTGGTGGAACCAAACGATTAAAAAAGGTTCTTGTTGTCCAAGCTTTCCTGTACAACCAAAAGATTGGCAGCTGGTGCTCATCTTTTCTCTTCAAGACCAAGGGGTTGGCAGCTTTATAAATAAGGGTAGTCCTGATCATAAACCCTACAGCATTTGCATTAAACAGTAGAGTTAGTCTGTTCCTTCTTGCCTTAAATCCTGGTGGTCATTTCTCTTCCTTACTAATGCATGTCCTTTGTGGCTTTTCCCCCCCCAGAATAGGGTTCAAAACCTTTTCAGGCAGATAGCCTTTCTCCTCGATTTTTCTTCATCGTACCTGGGAACTTGTCTGCTGCCTCTTGGTTGGCAAAAGCTGCTGCTTCTGTTATCTTGACATTTTTTTAAGCCAAACTTCTTCCTATAATTATCAAACCAACCCTTGCTGGCATTAAATCATACAGCTTTAGATCGTTTTGCTTCTAGTTGCCGTATATTGACTTCACGTTTTCTTGAATCATTTTAGAGTCCTGCACCAACATAAAGGCTACATTTTCAATATGTACTGCAGTTTCACTAAAAATGCAAGGTTTTTGTGCCTGCTGCTGTAACTGCAGTGATGGCTTCATGAATTTCCTTTTCATTCTTTACAGTGGTCCTTATGCTGGATTCATTTATCTTAAAATGGCAGGCAACTGCAGCTGCAGACCTCAATCTATGGTTACATTATATCAAGCAGTTCAGGTGTTTCGTGTAATGTCACGACTTTTTTCTGCTTCGTGGAAGCACTTTCAGCATCACTAGTGGCACTTTGTATGTGTCCCATGGTGTTATTCAAGGTTTACAATATTGCACTAAAAACAATTAAAAATATGCAAGAATCAGAAGAGATTACTCTTTCCTGTGATATGTAATTTACTGGAGAGACAGAGATAATGATCTCAAGCAGAGATAATTCACATCACATGTTATTTTAAGTGGAGCAACACTTGATTTCACATCAGCAACAGGAGGTGGCTAAGAAGTTATTGCTGTACTACAGTATGCACTGGAGTTAATTTACGAAGTTATTTTTCATCTTTACATTTTTTGACATCTCTCTTGACTGCAGGTGGCACTATGTACAGTCTGTACGCATAAGTTTTTTTTTTTTTTTTTTTGAGACGGAGTCTCGCCCTGTCACCCAGGCCGAACTGCGGACTGCAGTGGCGCAATCTCGGCTCACTGCAAGCTCCGCTTCCCGGGTTCACGCCATTCTCCTGCCTCAGCCTCCCGAGTAGCTGGGACTACAGGCGCCCGCCACCGCACCCGGCTAATTTTTTGTATTTTTAGTAGAGACGGGGTTTCACCTTGTTAGCCAGAATGGTCTCGATCTCCTGACCTCATGATCCACCCGCCTCAGCCTCCCAAAGTGCTGGGATTACAGGCGTGAGCCACCGCGCCCGGCCTGTACGCATAAGTTTTAATAAATTTTAGCTTTTTATAATAGATTTGTGTATATTTTATCCTAGTGATAAAATAGACTAGTAACTATATATATTTTGTGCATTCATGACACACCTTTTTCTTAATTTTTTCGATATTTCTGGTCTACACAGTTCATCTGCAAGTTTTTTCAAATTGTCGACAGAAGCCCAAAAAAGTTTCCACTATATATATATATTTTTAAATCTGTGTACGAGTAGACCCATGCAGTTCAGACCCATGTTGTTTAAAAGCCCACTGCACTTGGAACTGAAAAACTGACTCCTTTTTTTCCCCATCTATCTTTTCAACAAAAATTAAAACTAATAGAAGGTACTTATTAGAATTCTGCTAAAGTACTTCTGAGTGTTAAACATGCTTAGTAAAATGATTATTACAATTAGTTAGGACTTTACAATTTTATTTTGTTGTTTCATTCCCCAGTAGTATGTAGATGGTCTGATAATTAACGCTAGTTCAGATAAGATTAGGATTTAGAATAGGATTATTCCAAATAATTCGTATATACACAATGCTTTGTTGGTAAGGGTGATATGTACAGGTTTAAATAGAAATGTAACAGAAGCAAATAATTGCTTAAGAAAGTACTTTACACTTACTTTACAAACTGTTTTACAACTGAAATTATCTTGGCTTTTATTTTAAAATTGAAGCAGAGGGTATGAAATAGTGAAGAGATTGGTTAACATGAACTTTTAATAGAACTCAAACGTCATTTCCACTGCAGCCTACATATTTACACCTGTGAGTTGTCATAGTGCAATTTTACAAGCTGTATCCCTGACTTTTACCTTTTTTATTCACAGCAGAGGTAAAAATGCCCTGACCGTGGGAAAGAAAGGAGGGAAGAATTTTAAAAACCTGTAGCTGTCCCATATTGTCTAAAGAGGCAGTTATTACCATAAATCCCTCTGGTCTCTCTCATGCTCATTCAGGAATGAGATGTTATGATTAATCAATTTTTCAGACAGTAAATTAGACTTAACAAATTACTTCTATAATGTTCAAAAAAAGAATAATAAAATAGATTGACTGAATGTTGGTTCCCAAGGGAATAAAGATCATCAGTATGCAGTTTTATGATCATTTGACTGTTGGAGGACAGGAGTAAGATTAAAACACTCTTCGTGGTGATAAAATGTTACTGCAGTTAACATCTGAATGACAAGACAGGGTGCAGGCACGTACACCAATAACTACTGTTGTATGCCAGGCACCATTTTAAGTGTGTTGCATTAATTCACTAATCTAAACC
Organism: Homo sapiens; assembly: GCF_000001405.40. Classification (NCBI taxonomy): domain Eukaryota; kingdom Metazoa; phylum Chordata; class Mammalia; order Primates; family Hominidae; genus Homo; species Homo sapiens. Next base: position 210,463,392 of record NC_000002.12, on the reverse strand, counting down.
TCAAAAAAACTTTATATAGCCAGGTCTGGTGGTGGGTGCTTGTAATCCCAGCTACTCAGGAGGCTGAAGCAGGAGAATCGCTTGAATCCAGGAGGCGGAGGTTGCAGTGAGCCAAAATCGTGCCACTGTACTCCAGCCTGAGCAACAAAGGGAGACTGTCTCCAAAAAAAAAAATAAATAAATAAACCTTTATGGCCAGAATACCATTCATATCCTCATTTCACCGATAAGAAAAATGAGGCAAAGCAAGGCTGAGTACTTCATTCAAGGTTATAGAGCTAGTGACAATGTTAAGGTTCAACCCAAACAAGCCTGGCTCTTGAGTCCTGCTCTTTACCCTATGAGCATGTGTGTATATGTGTGTTTACTCTCAGCCTCTACATATGAGTTTATTCTGTACACTTTATAAGTGAAGAAGGTTTATTCATAAGCTATAAGATGGAGTAGTTTGAACAATGACATGATACTCATTCCATACAAACTTCATAGAAGTGGCTAATGACTAGTCAGATTTAAGTGTTTTATTAAAAGAAATAAGAGTCAGAGTAAGCCCTGATAAAGTATGAAAGGAATTTGGAAAGTAAGAAGGAAACAAGGCTTATTAGGCAAGAGTAATTACTATTTAAAAAGTTATTTAGAATTGGACATAAACCCTGAGAAGACTTACAGGCATTTGCAGCTAGAAAAATGAAAAAATCTCCAGTGTTTTTCTATAGAAGGTGTTTTTCCCCTTCCTAATCTTGTATTAATATATTCAGCATGGTTTCAGGATAGAAAATTAATTGGGCCGAGACAGAAGCTTTTCCTCATAATTGCTTCTTTTTGAAAAGGCTTAAAGATCTTCTCAAGTGAATTATCATCCATAGTCTGAAATCAATTGGTAGCTCCTGCAGCTGTTAATAAGTGATATTTTGAATGAACAGCCTCAGTTCTTTTCACCAAAATTCTCCTTTGTAAAATTTAGTACATGGGAGCGTAATGCATCATGATATTGATGTATGACATATGCCTGCAATAAGCATTGAGTTGTTCATTTTTAGCCTTAATCTTTTCCCAGTAGACTTACCGGAATTATGTGCTCATGGCTTGTGTAGCAGGGGACACATTTTAGTTATTTAGGAACCCCATTAAGAGTTGTTATATATGACTCTACACATAGCAGCAGACAGTACAGAAAAATAGCAAGCCTGGAGGCCCCTTAAGATCAAATCCACTGGTCAGCTACTGAGTGGTTCCCAGTGGTGTCCAGAGATCACTGGGGTCTCACCAGAGAACGTAATGCTACCTGCCATGGAGCTGGTCTGGGTTTTGATCCAGGTAGACTGTAGGTGCTAGTGGGGAGAACATTCTAAAGTGCTTTATAAAATGGAAACCACAAAACACTGGTAAGGAATTGTTATTATAAAGGATTAAATGAGCAGATAAGGTGTTCTTGTGTTAGAAATAAACATTTAATCAAAAAGATTCCTTCCCTTGCAGATAACATAGTAGAAAAGTTAAGTAAACCCAAGGGATGGCTGATCTCACTACTGTCTTTAAGAGACAATAAGGGAAAATGCTAGCCCTTATTTCATTTTTTTTCCCACTCTTAACTGTGACGATTCTTAAGGGAAATGATGATCAGCTCACACTTAAAAAAAAAAATACATACAGGACTCTAGGGACTTCTGTTCTGAAAGACATGACCCAATCTTCTGTAACCGACTCACAAAGTTAATGAGGCTAAAATTGGCATGTATTTCCTCTTTTCAAATATTAGATAACATTTTAAACAAGAGGATATGTAGCATAATCCCTAGAGTAATATTAACTTGCACTCTAAATGCAAGTCATTATAGTGTTTCAAGATGCTGTTCCTCTGATCTACCAAATGTATAGCCTTTGAGCTGCAGATTTCACATGTGGGTATTAGTTACTGCTGACACCAGACTTACTTGAAAGGAGTCACTCTGGCCAGGTGTCTTCTCTTTGCAATTTGATCTGTTTGTAAGTAGCTCTTCATCAGAGCCAGCATTTCAGTGTTTAATTTGAGCCCTGGCCAAGTGTCCTTCACCTTCACCTTCATTAGATGCACCTATCCCACCCAGCCAGAGGTGTTAGGACAAGTAGAAAGAGCTATGGGCATGGATTTACGCTGGATTCATTAGAGCACTTCACAATGGCCACTAGATAGATGAATGCAATTGTGGAGTTTAGACACCACCATTGGGCTTGAGTGAACCAGAGTAGGATGAGAGTGTGAAACAGATCAGAAAAAAGTAGGAAGGAAAGAAGACATATCTAAACAATCTGACTTTTACAGCCAACACCCAGAAGGCTTGGTGTTTGTCATTTTCATTCCAGTAACGTCAACACTTAGCACAGTGCCCAATTCATAGTTGGTGGGCTACAGGGCACTGGGGGAAGGAAAACAATGTTTCCCTGTTTTTTTGTTTTGTTTTTTTCATCTTATTTTCTATTGGTTAGTCAGCTCTGAAATTAAGAAGAAAAGAAAAGACACATCTTCAGAGTACTTATTTGCCCTCTTTATTCTCTGTTTTACTCATTTGTTTGGGGCAATATTATTAAATTAAAGGTGTGGAGTCACTAGTTTCCTCCCCAGATCATCTGTGAAAGCACTGGAGTATTTGAAAGCCACGGCCCACAATGCTCAGCTTTAGTCAGACAGCTGGGCATATGTCCTACTCAGTGGATTGTTGACAGTTCAGGCATGGGGAGAGTGCTGTGCACAGTAACAACAGTGCTCTAAAGACAAATGTGATTTTGTTGAAGAAATGGAAATGCACATGGTCAACATTCAGCACAAAATTGAGAAACAATTACAAAGGAACATGTTAGAAATTATCAACCTGATATAGAAAGACAGGTGGTCATACTTGCAGTCAGAGAATACTTTCACTTCTTATTTTTTCATAAATCTGAAAAGAAGAAAACATAATAATTGATGAGCCATTAACGTTTCAAGTAGGGAAAAATGTATTTGAACTTAGATTGGAACACCCAAGTGCCCCCTCCTTTGGGAAGTTCCTGTCTCCATGTCATTCTAAACTAATGAGTGTTAGTTAAGCACCTCCAGTGAGCCTTGTAGATCTAAAATCTGAACATGATTTTCCCTACCAGAGTACATGAAGGGAGTCTTTAAATGCCCTTGAACTGCACGAAAATGCCTCACAGAGCTAAAGTACCGTGGCACAAAGCTTTTTACATCACTGTAAGCTGGTCGTAAAACAAATGAAAAATGTTGAGGAATAATCTGTAGAATGCAAAATCGCAGAAAAGTATTTTGAGAGATTCATGTATCTGTGGAGATTTTTATCTCCATATGCATATGAGACACAGCAAGGTCTTGATTGGCCAAAATGAATAGGACTAATGATCCGTCAGAAATTCAAAGGCTTAGTATTAATTACTTCTCAACAGCTGGCTGTATTTATAGTACTGCTTGGCATAAGTTCCTGAGTAAGGAAATTGCAGATTTAGAAGTGTCCCTAAATAATTTACCCTCCCATCCCCAGGGTAGTAGCTACAGGAAAAAAAAAAAAATCTAGTTCACAGCTTTCGTGCTGAAGCCAGGACTGATTCCTATTACAACAGGAATTTTATTTGGTCCTCACAGCATGTTTGTTTGTTTGTTTGTTTGTTTGTTTGTTTGTTTTTAATAGTTATCAACATTTCAAGACCAAGAAATTCTTAGGGTAAACTGACAGGCAGTGCCAGACTTCCTGAACTTCTTGTACGGAATGACATCTATTCCTGGTCTTCAGAGCAGTACTCTCCTTGGAATGTTCTGCAGTAATGGAAATGTTGTTATTTCCATCGCGACAGCCACTAGCCACATGTGGCTATTGAACATTCTAAATGTGGCTAGCATGACTAAGATTGAATTTTAAATTGTGTTTACTTTTAATTAACTTATATTACTGTAGACATTTATGGTTAGAGGGTATCATACTGGACACTGCACTTCTAGATGAACCAGGCAGGTTGCAGGAGTAGTAATTCAAAGTACTATACATCTGGATGTGTAGATTTTCTTCTATGTTTTCTTCTAGTTGTTTTACAGTTTCTGGTCTTAAGTCTAAGTCTTTAGTCCATTTTGAGTTGACTTTTGTATATAGTATAAAATGAGGTTCAAATTTCATTCTTCTGCTTGTGGATATACATAATAGTCATACTTACGAATATGACATTTAGTAACACCATTTATTAAATATAAAATAATTCTAAACTCTAGATCAGTTTAGAGCAGATTTTTACAATTAAGTTCAATCAAAATTTAAATCTCATTCAAGTTTTTTCTGGTCTAGAAGAGAAGATGAAGGGAAGGAAGCATGTCTCCACTCTATTTTTTGCTTAGCAGACAGCACAAAAGGAAATGTAATGTGATATTCAAATTTAAGCCCAAGAATACACTTGGCTAAAACCGGCTTTTGTCACATTTTAAAGTAGATGCATATTCTTTGATAAAAAGATGAAAGAAAATATTAAAAAGATGAAACTGCCTACATCATTCTTTGTCAAAACTCGAACAATTTTGGCTGTTATGTTAGAAGTCAGTAGAAATGTTTTTTCTCATTAAGTGTCCTTCAGAGAATAGAATCATATTTGGGAATGAATTTATTAATGGATACAACTGTACTCTTTCCTCCCAAACCTGATTCTCCAACAGAGGGGTTTGCCATCTCAGTGGATGGCACCATTTTCCATTTAGCTGTTGAAGTTAGTCATCGGGAGGCATTTTGACATCTTCTTCTCCGCCATCCCCCACCAGGTTCTGCTGATTTTACTTTCTAGACAGGTATCTTTCCAGTTCATTCTGACAAGATCTGTATTGCACCACCCACCCTGTGTCTCGCTCCTACTCCTGAAGCATCCTCCTAACTGTTCCTCCTGCATCCACTGTTTCATACACTCCCTTGCAAACCTTACAGTGCAGTTATGGTGAACTTTTAACAAAACAAATCTAAGTATATTCTTCCCACGCTTAAAATGGGTGCATTTCAAATGAAACTCCAAATCCTAACTGGCCTGCTAGACTCTGTGTAATCTAGCTTCTGCCTGCCTCTCTAGCTTTGAGAAGAGCTGTCTTCCTTAGGATTAGGCCTACCAGGACATGGCAATACATCTAAAATAACAGTGGCTTTAACAGAACCGAAGTTTATTTTTCTCTTATGTAAGTAGGCAATCCATGGACTGGTGTGGCAGCTTCACAGTCCTCCAGGATTAGGTGGCTTTGATCTTTGAAACTTTACCACCCTCAGCACAGAGCTTCCAACTCATGGTCCTTAGACGATGACTGCTCTAGCTGCACCATCACATCTGTATTCCAGCCAGGAAGAAAGTAGAAAAGGAAATAAATCGCCAGTGCCTTCCCTTCAAGAACATTTTCCAAAGTTGCCTCCACTACTCCCACTGCATCCTGTTGTTCAGAACTTCGCCACATAGCCATACCCGGCTGTGAAGAAAATTGTTCTTAGCAGCCTGTGCCCAGCTAAAATCCAGGGCATTATTGTTGAGAGAAAGGCAAGATACATTTGGAAAACCACTTACTCTCCATCACAAGAGCTAACTCCTCATTTTCTAGAGTAGAATATGAGTCAGAAATATCTGACATAGAAAACTTAACAGATAGCACATAAGCATATTATTAGAAATAGACAGATACTAGAGAAAATGGCTGAAACTGATGAAAATGGTTGCCTCTGGAAGGCAGGAACACAGTAAACCAGAGGACTGGTGTTTTGCATATTAAATCTTTCAGTACTGTATAATTTTTTCCATGAAGAACATATATATTTTGATAAACATTGCATTTGAAGGCATTTCTAGGCATTGACTGAAGCCAGGCCCACAAGTATGTATTAGGACTGGGTGAATTTTCCCTGCAAAGCCCGTGAAGTTGTGTTTTTATTTCCCACCTTGCCAACCATCCCTGAGTCTTTGGTATTGATTCAAAGGTGGTGGTGTATGCATGGTTATTGTCAACAGTTGAGGACCATAAAGATCAGGTTTAAGACATTTGGCCACAAGCAGTCCTCCCTTTTTTCTGTCATTAGGACACATTCTATTATTTTCTATTATATAAAATACTGATGAGGTATTAAATGTCTGTGACATAATACATTTTGTCTTATTTTCCTGACCTGGGCTGATTTATAATAAGCATGTGCAGGAAACTTTTTCTAATTGGCAGCAGCACTCACCACTTAAAGTCCTTTTCCACCATGGATGTTCTGTGACAGGGAATGTAGACACAGTAAACTATCATCTGCAGAAGATTGCTTATCAAAATCCACAGACCCAGAGGCCCAAATGAGAGGTAGGGGAGAACTGGAACATGAGATTGTGGAATCCCAGAAACTAGAAAGATAATTCTCTGCCTATCAAAAAGAAAGTTTTAATCCAAATGTACTCTTGTGAGACTTGAGAAATGATTACCTGTTTTTCATGAGAAATACACCAAATCTTACAATTGCAAGCCTTAATAGGTTTTGTTTGTTAAATAGTTAAGCCAAGAGGAATTGTTGCTAATGAGAGACAAAGATCTGAAAGAAAAACAATCACTGGGCTTGTGTTTAATCACTTTTTATTTTCTCAGATCTCCATCATGTCATTATCTGGCTTTGGTGCTTACATAACTTAACTAGGAGAGTTCAGGCAGCAATGGGAATAGGAGGGCAAAATGAAAGGTTAACAATTTAAATGGATCACCTGCAGATGCGTGATATGGATGGAGATGAAGCCTATTAAGGACCTAATTTTAGAAGAAGCTCTTGACATCAATCATTTGTGAAAAGGGTTTTTTTTTTTTTCTTACCTACACACAAGGTTTTGTACACTTGTCTACAAACCTTAAGCATTGATGCATCTGATCATCAGCTTGTGGGATTACTAACACCAAGCCACTTTGAAAGAGCAGTCAAGGTTATTAACTTTGGCAGGAAATGAAAATTTGGCCTTAATATACATGTGAAATTGAATTGTCTGTAGCACAAAGCTTTGGAGATTACCCATGCAAAATGAGAAAACTATCTAAATTTAAAATTGTCCTCAGTACAGGGAAAGTAATTTTGCAGACAGCATTTTTACTGCATTGAAATCCGTGAAGATTGGCTCTATTAATTTAAATTTAAACAGAGGTTCTGTGTCTTCTAAAAATCGCAAATGAGATGGAAAATGTACTTCAAGGGAAAAAATGGGTTTCTGGATATGCTGCAGGCAGGCAGGCAGGCTTCCTACTCCACATCTTTGAGTCTGCCCTGAGACCAGTTAGCTTCAGAGGGAAGGCTCTTTCCACTGTGACAGGCATTTGAAATAAGGACATGCAGACAATGCCTCTATTACATATTTCAGGCTTCAAGAGTAGGGTAAGAAACTGATCAAGTAGAGCCCAAGGCAAAAGTCATTGGTGGCTTTTACATTACATTTACCAAAGTAGGTGGGCCCTCGACAGAAAAAAATCTAGGGGTTGAATATTTTTTCTCAGCTATCAAATAACTTTCTTATAATCCCTGCCTGGAAGGATACTGGGGCAGGGGATTTGGTTACATTAACTACCTTTTCACAAAAAAAAAAAAAAAAACACACACACACACAAAACAAACTTTTACGTAAAGAGAAATTGAAATTTTCATTCCCTGGTCTTTGAATTTCTTTAGTTCACAACAAACCCTTTCTTATTAAATAATTATTGGTAAATCAATTACATTTATTTGGAACCCTAGTTTAATGACACATCATTTCGACATCAAGAAGAATACATTAACACAATAACCAGAGTACAACAAAGACTAATAATAGGCTGTGTGTCTCTTTATTGGCCAGAGCCTTAGAGACCTTATTATTTAATAGAGTTGTCATAATGAGGAAACTGAGGACAAGTAAGTGGTTGGCTTATGCTGGTTCGTAGAGTTGCTTACTAATAGAGCTGAGCCTAGAATTAAAGTCACCCAAACTTCCAGATCATTAATAAATTTGCTACAGGTTATCAAAAATCGCTGCTGAGTAGACACCATGCCAAAAATAATAAAATAACTGCCTTTCCTCATCTTTACATTGTTTCCTTTTTTTTTTTTCAGGTATTGCTGTGCTTTACTTACATCTTTATGATGTATTTGGGGACCCTGCCTACCTACAGTTAGCACATGGCTATGTAAAGCAAAGTCTGAACTGCTTAACCAAGCGCTCCATCACCTTCCTTTGTGGGGATGCAGGCCCCCTGGCAGTGGCCGCTGTGCTATATCACAAGATGAACAATGAGAAGCAGGCAGAAGATTGCATCACACGGTAATCATGTTTCTATATGAGGATTATTTTCTAGCATCATTATGCATTAATTCTGCATGTGTTAACAAAAGAACATTCTAGTGAGTTTACTTTTCTCTTAGCAGATAAATCTCACTGCTGTCATTTGATCAATTGTCATATTCCTGTGTTGTAGTTAAGGAACAACGATTATAATCCCTATTTTAGTGCAAGATAAAAGACACTGTCATGTTCCAGATTAAACATCAGTTCAATAATGTAAATGAGATCGAAAGCCTTAACATATGATTACTAATCCAAAGTGCTATCCAAGATCTGTAATTCAAGGAAATGCAGTTCAGTTCCTACAGGTGGGCTGGGAGAGTCCTTCTAAGGGACCACAGACTGATTCAAAACGGCCTTTCTTAGAGGCAATGACATGCACATCCTGATTTTCATTTTGGTATAAATTATGGTGGTCCACTAGAAGCTGGTGAATTATGAAGAATTATTAAATGTTTGTACTAATAGACTTTAATTGTTGCCTTACCAGAGTTTATTAAGCACTCTTTCGGAGTTCTAAGAACCCTGGCTGCCGTGCAACTCTGCATGCATCGCTCTTAGGCTCCACTGCGCGTGCTAACACTCCAGCAACGTTTTAACCAGTGACTGTCCCTGAGTTGACCATGGTGTTTGATTCCCACTATTCTTTCTTATAGATTACTGTTAGGATGGCATTACCATCACCAATTTAGTTTGTCTAGGATCCGTTGGCTAATCTTATACTGTTTGCTGGTGTATATTTAAACAACAGGCTTTTTGGACTTTTTAAGATATCATAGTGCTGTATTCAAAAAAGGAATGATTTATACCCCTATTGTTTAGGCGTGTGTGTGTGTGTGTGTGTGTGTGTGTGTGTGTGTGTGTGTATGTATGCATATCTCCCTTCTCTCCCAATTTTTTCCCATGCAGTGATATTTTCTTATTGTAACTAACTTTTTCCACTGGAAAGTGTAACAAAAAGAAGGGGTGGGAGTCTTGCTCCACCCAAAATGATTTGGGAATCATTATATTGGATCATTTTCTGAATTGACGTATTCTTCAAAACACCTTTTTTTAAATACATGCCTATGCTACATTTCTTAGGGGCTAGACATTACATAGTATAACTTTAAAAACACATTACTTAGTGTGTCTAGAGGAAAAAAACTGAACATTCCACTCCAGAGCTGAGAAGCTTTTAATATAAAACCTGTCACCAAGCTCGACCAAAATGAAAGATGAAACAAAACAGTGATTTCCCCCAAAGTTTAAAGTGTGTTCCTTCCATAGTAGCTGACTTGCATAAGACTTGCCAATACAAAAACTGTTCCATACTCACCTAAATTTGAAACACAGAGACTACCTTTTAATTTTTTTTACATAGCTGATGTTTAAAGCCATCAGCCAACAACTGCTTTAGAGGTCCACAAGATACTCTCATTCAGTGAATCACTTGTTAAGTACCATCAGATAAATTGTAGTGCTCCCAATATTCTATATATAATGCCAGCCTTTCCATAATACATGCAGCCACATTTTAATAGTTTGCTATGTGAGAAATGTTAATGTGTTCAATGAGACCAAGATTCATAGATTCAAACAGATGGGAATTTGTATCAAAGCACTAATTAAACAAAATTAAATATGTGTCTTTACCGGCTGCTTAGCTTCTTCTGTAGCTTGTATACCTGGGGACAACACGCCAACTCTAGGGAGCAGCACTTGCCAATGTTAACTCACCTATACAACCCTCTTCTTCATGAAATCTTGAGGGCCTATTCTAACACACTCTTTGGGAAATGGTACAATATCAATATTAGTGTATTAAAATGCTCCTAAGAGTATGCTAAGATTTTTGTTGTTTTTGGTATATTGGTACTAAGGGTGTTGTTGTCATTTACCTTTTTAAATTTTGACATTTCGACAGTATTTATAGCCAGTAGGCTTGTTAAGGTTAAAAATATAGTATGTGAATATAATAGGAAAATACACTATTTGTGGCTATAGCTTTGATTTTTTTCAGATTTTTTATTTTATACAAAACAGAAAAAGAATGACTTGGAATGATTTGTAAGTTACGGAGTTTGCTTTATCTTTTCAAAGGAAAAATCTAGAAATTTGACTTAATTTCAAGAAATCCAAAATTATTTAATATAAGTTATTTAGTAAACCTCCTTTAACTTTTTACTAAACCTTTTTTCTCATTTTACAGACCTTTTGAGATCCCACGCTCACATTCTCTGTGTACTGCCTTTGTTGTGCTTCATTGCCAACATCATGTTCTAGCTAGCTTGCTTTTTCTACATTTTCTTAATGTAATGTTCTTTCAAAAGCATAATTTTTAAGTTTTAGAGACCAGACAGTCCTTTGAGATCATCAAAAGTCTAATCCTTACAGAAATTGAAATCCAAGGAAATCAGTGTTTCCCTATAGTACATATTCTTAACCTTGGGCCAGAATCTTAGGGTTTCTGGCAGTGTATAAAACCCCCAAATTATATTCAAGGAGGGAGCATTTGTGCTTTTCTTAAAGGGATCTATAACTCCCCAAAAGGAGGGTGTGTGTGTGTATGTTCATGTTCAAATTGTCCTACAAATGGCTGGGGAGTGGAGGGGAGGACAATACATTGCATTAATTTGTTCTACTGCCTGATACATATCAGATCTGTTTTCATCCCACCCACTTCTACACATCAGTGCCACAACATGAATAAAGTGTGTTGCCTGTTCCCAATTAGATGGCTAACCTAACATTTATAGTGCTTTGGGGCCAGTACTTAGAATGATGAAGCGCTCTGGCTTTCTGGTCCAGAAATATATAACCTCCCTTCTTGTAGTGTGACGAGTCAGTAATGGACATCTTTTTTTTTTTTTTAATAAGCAGAAAAGGGATTTAAAAATATTTATTGTGGTAAAATATACATAACATAAAATTTGCAATTTAACCATTTTTAAATGTACAGTTCATTGGCATTAATTATATTCACAGTGTTGTACAACCATCAGCACTATTTATTTTCAAAAAATGTTTTATTACTCCAACAGAAACTGTACCCATTAAAAAGTAATTCCCCATACCCCCATACCATCATCCCCTGGTAATCTATATTCTACTTTTTCTATGAATTTGCTTATTTTACGTATTTTATATAAGTGGATTATACATTTGTTCTTTTGTGTCTGGCTTACTCCATTTAGCATAGTGTCTTCAAGGTTTATCTACGTTATAGAATGTATCAAAACTTTGTTCCTTTCAATGACTGAATAATATTCCATTATATGTATATACCACATTTCTTTTTTATCTCAGAAAAGGAATTTTTAAAAGGCTATTTAGTAGGTTCTGGAGAAGGAAGCCTGGAGCCTATATAGCCAGTGTGGGGCTGTGAGTGCTATGGGGGCTTTGGAATTCCAGCTGCACTCCCTACTGTGTGATCTTGGGTAAATTACTCTAAACCTTAGTCTCTCATTTGTAAAATAGAGATAAGGAATGTTGTGCAGATTATTTATTTGAGATAATTGATGGAAATCACTTAGCATAAATTATGGCACCTAAACTGAAAAAGTACTTATAAATGTTACCTATTATTATGGCTTGTAAAAATCATTGCTTATGCTTCTACTTTTTTGTTGTTATTATACTTTGAGTTCCGGGGTACATGTGTAGAATATGCAGGTTTGTTACACAGGTATACACGTGCCATGGTGGTTTGCTGCACCAATCAACCTGTCATCTACATTAAGTATTTATCCTAATGCTATCCCTCCCCTAGTCCCCCACCCCCTGACAGGCCCCGGTGTGTGATGTTCCCCTCCCCGTGTCCATGTGTTCTCATTGTTCACTTAATGAGTGAGTACATGTGGTGTTTGGTTTTCTGTTCTTGTGTTAGTTTGCTGAGAATGATGGTTTTTAGCTTCATCCATGTCCCTGCAAAGGACATGAACTCATCCTTTTTTATGGCTGCATAGTATTCCATGTTGTATATGTGCTACATTTTCTTTATCCAGTCTATCTTTGGTGGACATTTGGGTTGGTTCCATGTCTTTGCTATTGTGAACAGTGTTGCAATAAACATACGTGTGCATTTGTCTTTGTAGTAGAATAAGTTATAATCCTTTGGGTGTATACCCAGTAATGGAATTGCTGGTCAAATGGTATTTCTGGCTCTAGATCCTTGAGGCATTGCCACACTGTCTTCCACAATGGTTGAACTAATTTACACTCCCACCAACAGTGTAAAAGCATTACTATTTCTCCACATTCTATGCAGCATCTGTTGTTTCCTAACTTTTTAATGATCGCCATTCTAACTGGCTTGAGATGGTATCGCATTGTGGTTTTGATTTGCATTTCTCTAATGACCAGTGATGATGAGCTTTTTTTCATATCTTTGTTGGCCACATAAATGTCTTCTTTTGAGAAGTATCTGTTCATATCTTTTGCCCACTTTTTGATGGAGTTATGTTTTTTTCTTGTAAATTTGTAGATTCTGGATATTAGCCCTTTGTCAGATGGATAGATTGCAAAAATTTTCTCCCATTCTATAGGTTGCATGTTCACTCTGATGATAGTTTCTTCTGATATTCAGAAGCTCTTTAGTTTAATTAGATCCCATTTGTCAATTTTGGCTTTTGTTGCCATTGCTTTTGGTGTTTTAGTCATGAAGTCTTTACACATGCCTATGTCCTGAATGGTATTGCCTAGGTTGTCTTCTAGTGATTTTATGGTTTTAGGCCTTACATTTAAGTCTTTAATCCATCTTGAGTTAATTTTTGTATAAAGTATAAGGAAGAGGTCCAGTTTCAGTTTTCTGTATATGGCTGGCCAGTTATCCCAGCACCATTTATTAAGTAGGGAATCCTTTCCCCATTGCTTATTTTTGTCAGGTTTGTCAAAGATCAGATGGCTGTACGTGTGTGGTGTTATTTCTGAGGCCTCTGTTCTGTTCTATTGGTCTATATATCTGTTTTTGGTACCAGTACCATGCTGTTTTGGTTAATGGACCCTTGTAGTATAGTTTGAAGTCAGGTAGCATGATGCATCCAGCCTTGTTCTTTTTGCTTAAGATTCTTTTGGCTATGCAGGCTCTTTTTTGGTTCCATATGAAATTTAAACTAGTTTTTTCTAATTCTGTGAAGAAAGTCAGTGGTAGCTTAATGGGGATAGCATTGAATCTATAAATTACTTTGGGCAGTGTGGTCATTTCCCAATATTGATTCTTCCTATCCATGAGCATGGAATGTTTTTCCATTTGTTTGTGTCCTCTGTTATTTTCTTGAGCAGTGGTTTGTAGTCCTCCTTGAAGAGGTCCTTCACATCCCTTGTAAGTTGTAGTCCCAGGTATTTTATTCTCTTTGTAACAATTGTGAATGGGAGTTCACCCATGATTTGGCTCTTTGTCTATTATTAGCGTATAGGAATGCTTGTGATTTTTGCACATTGATTTTGTATCCTGAGACTTTGCTTATCAGCAGCTTAAGGAGATCTTGGGCTGAGATGAAGGGGTTTTCTAAATATACAATCATGTCGTCTGCAGACAGAGACAATTTGACTTCCTCTGTTCCTATCTGAGTACCCTTTATTTCTTTCTCTTGCCTGATTGCCCTGGCCAGAACTTCCAATACTATGTTGAATAGGAGTGGTGAAAGAGGGCATCCTTGTTTTGTGCTGGTTTTCAAAGGGAATGCTTCTAGTTTTTGCCCATTCAGTATGATATTGGCTGTGGGCTTGTCATAGATAGCTCTTACTATTTTGAGATACATTCCATCAATACCTAGTTTATTCAGAGTTTTTAGCATGAAGGGCTGTTGAATTTTGTGGAAGGCCTTTTCTGCATCTATTGAGATAGTCATGTGGTTTTTGTCTTTGGTTCTGTTTATGTGACGGATTACATTTATTGATTTGTGTATGTTGAACCAGCCTTGCATCCCAGGGATGAAGCTGACTTGATCATGGTGGATAAGCTTTTTGATGTGCTGCTGGATTTGGTTTGCCAGTATTTTACTGAGGATTTACATATTGATGTTTTTCAGGGATATTGGCCTGAAATTTTCTTTTTTTTGTTGTGTCTCTGCCAGGTTTTGGTATCAGGATGATGCCTCATAAAATGAGTTAGGGAGGAGTCCCTTTTTTCCTGTTGTTTGGAATAGTTTCAGAAGGAATGGTACCAGCTCCTCCTTGTACCTCTGGTAGAATTCGGCTGTGAATCTGTCTGGTCCTGGACTTTTTTTGGTTGGTAGGCTATTAATTACTGCCTCAATTTCAGAACTTGTTATTGGTCTATTCAGGGATTCAGCTTCTTCCTGGTTTAGTCTTGGGAGGGTGTATGTGTCAAGGAATTTATCCATTTCTTCTAGATTTTCTAGTTTATCTGCATAGAGATGTTTATAGTATTCTCTGATGGTAGTTTGTATTCCTGTGGGATCAGTGATGATATCCCCATTTATCATTTTTTATTGTGCCTATTTGATTCTTCTCTCTTTTCTTCTTTATTAGTCTGGCTAGTGGTCTATCTATTTTATTGATCTTTTCAAAAAACCAACTCTGGGATTCACTGATTTTTTTTGAAGGGTTTTTCATGTCTTTATCTCCTTCAGTTCTGCTCTCATCTTACTTATTTCTTGTCTTCTGCTAGCTTTTGAATTTGTTTGCTATTGCTTCTCTAGTTCTTTTAATTGTGATGTTAAGGTGTCGATTTTAGATCTTTCCTTCTTTCTCTTGTGGGCATTTAGTGCTATAAATTTCCCTCTAAACGCTGCTTTAGCTGTATGCCAGAGATTCTGGTACATTGTGTCTTTGTTTTCATTGGTTTCAAAGAACTTATTTATTTCTGCCTTAATTTCGTTATTTACCCAGTAGTCATTCAGGAGCAGGTTGTTCACTTTCCGTGTAGTTGTGCAGTTCTGAGTGAGTTTCTTGATCCTGAGTTCTAATTTGATTGCACTATGGCCTGAGAGACTGTTAGGATTTCCATTCTTTTCCATTTGCTGAGGAATGTTTTACTTCCAATTATGAGGTCAAGTTTAGAATAAGTGTGATGTGGTGCTGAGAAGAATGTACATTCTGTTGATTTGGGGTGGAGAGTTTTATAGATGTCTATTAGGTCTGCTTGGTCCAGAGCTGAGTTTAAGTCGTGAATATCCTTGTTAATTTTCTGCTTGTTGATCTGTCTAATATTGACAGTGGGGTGTTACAGTCTCCCACTATTTTTGTGTGGGAGTCTAAGTCTCTTTGTAGGTCTCTAAGAACTTGCTTTATGAATCTGGGTGCTCCTGTATTGGGTGCATATACATTTAGGATATTCAGCTCTTCTTGTTGCATTGATCCCTTTACCATTATGTAATGGCCTTCTTTGTCTCTTTTGATCTTTGTTGGTTTAAAGTCTGTTTTATCAGAGACTAGGATTGCAACCCCTGCCTTTTTTTTGCTTTCCATTTGCTTGGTCAATATGCCTCCATCCCTTTATTTTGAGCCTATGTGTGTCTTTGCACATGAGCTGGGTCTCCTGAATACAGCATACCTATGGGTCTTGACTCTTCCTCCAATTTGCCAGTCTGTGTATTTTAATTGGGGCATTTAGCTCATTTACATTTAAGGTTAATATTGTTATGTGTGAATTTGATCCTGTCATTATGATGTAGCTGGTTATTTTGCCCACTAGTTGATGCAGTTTCTTCATAGTGTCAATGGTCTTTACAATTTGGTATGTTTTTGCAGTAGCTGGTACCAGTTGTTCCTTTCCATGTTGAGTGCTTCCTTCAGGAGCTCTTGTAAGGCAGGCCTGGTGATGACAAAATCTCTCAGCATTTGCTTGTCCGTAAAGGATTTTATTTCTCCATTTCTCCTTTGCTTATGAAGCTTAGTTTGGCTGGATATAAAATTCTAGGTTGAAAATTCTTTTAAGAATGTTGAATATTGGCCCCCACTGTCTTCTGGCTTCTGGGGTTTCTGCATAGAGATCCACTGTTAGTCTGATGGGCTTCCCTTTGTGGGTAACCCGACCTTTCTCACTGGCTGCCCTTAACACTTTTTCCTTCATTTCAGCCTTGGTGAATCTGACGATTATGTGTCTTGGGGTTGCTCTTCTCAAGGAGTATCTTTGTGGTGCTTTCTGTTTCCTGAATGTGAATGTTGTTCCTGAATGTGAATGTGAAGGTTGGGGAAGTTCTGGATAATATCCTGAAGAGTGTTTCCAACTTGGTTGCATTCTCCCCGTCGCTTTCAGGTACAGCAAATGTAGGTTTGATCTTTTCACATAGTCCGTTATTTCTTGGAGGCTTTCGTTCCTTTTTATTCTTTTTTCTCTAACCTTGTCTTCATGCTTTATTTCATCAAATTGATCTTCAATCTCTGATATCCTTTCTTCTGCTTGATCAATTTGGCCATTGATACTTGTGTATGCTTCACAAAGCTCTCATGCTGTGTTTTTCAGCTCCATCAGGTCGTTTATGTTCTTCTCAAAACTGGTTATTCTAGTTAGCAATTCCTCTAAGCTTTTTTCAAGGGTCTTAACTTCCATGCATTTGGTTAGAACATGCTCCTTTAGCTCAGGGGAGTTTGTTATTACCCACCTTCTGAAGCCTACTTCCGTCAATTTGTCAAATTCATTCTCCACCCAGTTTTGTTCCCTTGCTGGCAAGGAGTTGTGATCCTTTGGAGAAGAAGCAGCATTCTGGTTTTTGGAATTTTCAGCCTTTTTGCACTGGTTTCTCCCATCTTCGTGGATTTATCTACCTTTGGTCTTTGACGTTGGTGACCTTCAGATGGGGTTTCTGAGTGGATGTCCTTTTTGTTGATATTGATCACCAGTGGCGCCTCCAGAACAGCAAAGATAGCTGCCTGTTTCTTCCTTTGGAAGCTTTGTCCCAGAGGGCACCCGCCAGATGCCAGCCGGAGCTCTCTTGTATGAGGTGTCTGTCGACCCCTGCTGGGAGGTGTCTCCCAGTCAGGAAGCACAGGGGGGCAGGGACTCACTTGAGGAGACAGTCTTTCCCTCAGCAGAGCTCGAGCACTGTGCTGGGAGATCCACTGCTCTCTTCAGAGCCGGCACGCAGGAATGTTTAAGTCTGCTGAAGTTGTGCCCACAGCCACCCCTTCCCCCAGGTGCTCTGTCCTAGGGAGATAGGGGTTTTATCTGTAATTCCCTGACTGGGGCTGCTGCCTTTTTTTCAGAAATGCCCTGCCCAGACACTGGACATCTGTTTTTAAAGTTACAAACCTTTTGATAATACAAGGCCAAAAACTCTCCCCAGTAACACCCTGAGGAAGTACTGTGAGGAGAGGAACAGAACTATCCTGTTTGTGTGTCTTCATTCTTCTTTCAGTGACATTTCAGTGACTTGGCTATCTCTTCTAAAGATGGGTTGCATTAATATCAACATATCAAAACAAATAAATGAAGCTGCAACAAAGTGCTTGTTAGTTTGAGAGTTTCTGAAAACACATAAAATAACCATTATGATTTATCAGTGATATCATTTCTTTATTTTTATATCTTAATATAAATATTTTATTTTTAGTCTTATATCTTGAGAATATAGCATGTACAACTTGCAGTTAAGTCCTAGTAATCATCGAACCCAACTAATGAATTTTAGTGATTTGAATTCAAATCCAGAAAAAAAGGGATATGCTTCCTTTATTACCCTAAACTGTATTGTTTTAATAAGATGCTCTGAGCAATACTGTATTTTAGATAAATATTTGAAAGGTATTTGCTACCTACTTTGAATGTTGCAAATGCAAATGTGTTTGGCTGCAAAGTAAATGGAATGCTAATTATATATTGCCACCTAGTGGTAATGTATGTCCTAACATCAGCAAAAAAGGAATGGAGTTAATGCCGTGGTTCAAATATTTTATTTCAGTTGGAATATCATTGGAATCAATGCAGTAATTCGGTGTAATACTTCCATAGAACAGTATGTGTTTAAAAAAAATTACAGTAATTTTTTTTCATAGTTCTTTCAATCTTTGCAAAAGTAAGTCAAAAGTACTTTATATTGAACTTCTATATAATTTGACACATTTATATTAAAAATAGGTTCATATCAAAACTTGAGATATTCATTGTTTACTGTAACAGTTGAATTTGTATCTAATAAACACATTTTGTTTTCTTATGGCCCCAACGTTACTGAGCTCCCAGTTCTGGAATGAGAAAAAAAATTCTTAATAAATGTTTTTATTAAAAATTTAAAATTCGTATTCAAAAATTAAAAATTACTTTTAAAAATTAAGGGAGTGTGTGTGTGTAGATATATATGGTATCGAAGTAGAAAACAAAATGGCCCATAATTCTATCCATAAGCCCTATTGTTTTAAAAAAGGTCAAAGTATACAAGAAAATGTATTAGAAGAAAAAGGAAAGAAACCTCTAGCCAAGTTTCTTGGTTATCTATTTCTCAGTATATCTCTTCCTAAGATAACCACTGTTTCACTATGAATTGTTGCCTATATTTGTAGAAGAAAAAAATGGATGAGCCAGCATTTGCATATTTAACTAATTTGAGTTGCCTCAATTTGATGAGGAAATAATATGAAAAAGTTTAAACTGTTTCACTAACTGCAACTAGCCATGCTTTTTCAACCCCCACTTTCCTGCAGTTCCCTTAAAGACTCCTTCATAAGTTTCTCTCAGTCTTTCTTTCATAACTGTCAGCCACTTTCACTCACTAAAATCATCTCATTCTGCTTATTTAAAACCTATCCTCTTCATTTTAAATGTTTTCTCCCCCCTCACCACAAGCGTGTGGAAGTAGTGGAGAGGGAGATGGGAGAGGAAGATTGTTCTCTTTCATATCTGCCCTCCTTGCTGAGCTAGGATGTTTTCACTCACTGTATCTATAGCCTGGTGGTAACAATTGTTAGGTTTTTGTTTGCTTGGGATTTTGTTTGATTTTGTTTGTTTTTGTTGTACATATTGGTGGTCTCCAGAGACTGGCAGTAAAGGCTGTAAACCCCCTCAGCTCTACCCCTACCTTCTGAGTATGTTCAAATGAAAGCACAAGTGGGTGCCCAATTCTGCCAACTGTGCAAACACTTTAGGAAGAAGATACTCTTTAGACACACATACATACATACATACAGTCTCCTACCCTGTTTTTGTAGCTCAGAGAAAGTCACATTGCCCTCAAGCCCTTCTTAGACTTTATTCATCAAAGAGTGGGAAAGCCCGTACCATCTTCCAAACCTCCAGCCCATCTTTACCACTCATTCCACCAATGAAAAACCATTTTCTATCATTCCTTAATAATAACAAATTCTCTGGTGTAGATTTTGATAAAGTTCCTATATGAAAAAGAGGCACTTCAGTGCTGAGTACCTCTGAGTGTTGACTCCTGCTTAGAGTACTTCAAATACATCACTTTGGGGCGGGGGTTGGAGGGACCTGATGTTTGTTACTTCAAATGCTAATTAACCATCCCTAGTGTATAGACTGAAGTTAGATGACAGACATGCACAGGCACGGCACACTGCTTCTGCTTAACTACTTTAAAATTAAATTTCCATATAGATAAACACGATAATTTCTAAACTGGAAGGGACTATTTATTTCACAGATGAAAAATTTTAAGAACAAAGATTTAGTGTCGAAAGCTACCTGATAACATTTGTTAGGGCTAATGTCGTCTCATTACTACTTTCTTCCAGAGTTTCATTGGCTCTTTGTGCTAATATCATTTTGTTAAGTTTCACCAAAAATTAAAATGTTTTAACTTAAATAGGATCATATCAAATTTATAGGCTAATTTAGGGATGATTGAGATGCACTTCAAAATTTCATGTGACAAAACATCTAAAATAGCAAGGACATTTTTCTTCCCTATCATATTTGCTGCCCACTCCCCTCCCCCCAAAAAGGGAACATTCTCAGAGGTCAAACTACCAAAGATGGTTACTTTCCTAAACTGACTTCCCTCTGTGATCTTCTCCCCTACTTGCTGGTTCCTGAGGCTTCCCCTTTTGGTCTCTGATGAAAAGGGTGGGGCTTTGATGACCCTGCTGTGCCATGTCTATGACTATGCATGCATCTGGGGCCAGGTGATGTGGAGGACAGAGAAGTAAAGCAATGGGGGCTTATAACCCCCTCCTAAGACTGCAGTTCCTCCAATCTGTGGGGAAATTTCCCTCCCTCAGAGTTTAGGCTCCCAGGGCTCCCCTTGTCTTCGCACCTGCTCCCAGCATGAGATTGCTTTGTAGCTTGGGGCACAAGAGAACTGAGAAAAGGAAAATAAAGAAAAATGGAGGGTTAACCCATTCTCTCTGATATTAGGAGTTCTCTTTGTTCAGACAGCACTAGAGGGCTTCTTCTGGGTCTCTATAAGCCTACTTGTGCCTACTTTTGGGTTTTGTGCTGTACTGAGTTCAGACCGGGGAATACCAGAGAGAAAAAATGGTAAACTCACCATTGGTTTGGTGCTACTTCAGATTCCTGTCCTCTTCCCCTTTTTGCATGTTACTGTTTGCTTTTCAGAGACCTCAAATAGCTGCTGTATCCTGTCCAGGTTTTAGAGCCACATTTTGAGGGAGACACAAGGTGCAGAGCATGCTTGCTCCATCTTACCTGAAATCAGAACTGAAAGTAACTTTTTCTGAGAAGCTCAACTGAGTCTATCCGTAGGGATTGAATGAACTATAATTCAGTGGGGTTCTATGCAAGTATTACAAAGAATGTGACTACTCTGTGTGCTGTTATGGAACCATTGTCAAGATGTATTGTTAAATAGCAAGCTGTAGAATATTTATACATATGTATATTTATGCTTATGTGTACATAAAATCTAGGAATACACACAAAAAAATGGTAACCATGGTGATTTCTGAGGAGAACTAGAAGGCTGGGAGACTGAGGAGATGGAGACCTGACTGACACCTCTTGTACTATTAATATTTGCATGTATTGGCCAGTTGCAGTGGCTCACACCTATAATCCCAGCACTTTGGGAGGCTGAGGCAGGCTGATCACCTGAGGTCGGGAATTGGAGACCAGCGTGACCAACATGGAGAAACCCCGTCTCTACTAAAAATACAAAATTAGCCAGGTGTGGTGGTGTGTACCTATAATCCCATCCCCTCGCGAGGCTGAGGTAGGAGAATCACTTAAACCTGGGAGGCGGAGGTTGCGGTGAGCCGAGATCACGCCATTGCACTCCAGCCTGGGCAAGAAGAGCGAAACTGTCTCAAAAAAAAAAAAAAATGTACATGTATTATTGACTGTGATAGATGAAACCTACTTCAAGTAGGCCTGGTGACACATTAAGAAATAAACCAAGGAAGGAGATGATGGGCCATTTGAGTGTTGGCTTAGTCCTTTCTCTGGGCTAAATGCCCTAAAAGCCAGCAGTTCTTGGCTTCTTTGACCCCAACTGCTAAAATACTCACCTTAGGGCCTGCCTCCATGAGGAACTAGGGAGATTTCAGATAGCCTCAGCCATACATTTGTATTCTTTCATTTTATGAATGTATTTGTCAGTTCCATTGTTAAGTGAAGAAATTTAATGGAGGGCTAATCTGTGAACCGTGACTGTTCTATAAATAGATATTATATATGTATAAATACATATTTTGTGTGCATGTATATTTTTTTCAATGTACCATTTTTAAGTATACACCAATACCTGGTTCCTTTCAAATTATTTGGGGCATGTATTTTTATTTTTAGGCTAATTCACCTAAATAAGATTGATCCTCATGCTCCAAATGAAATGCTCTATGGGCGAATAGGCTACATCTATGCTCTTCTTTTTGTCAATAAGAACTTTGGAGTGGAAAAGATTCCTCAAAGCCATATTCAGCAGGTACCACGTTTTTGTGTTTTTAGGAGCCTTTTTAGGATCCCATTTACTTACTATCTGCCTAAACTATTGTTTATGTCTCTGTAGTTAGCACATTCCATATAAAGGAAGGTGTATCTGGACCTCTAAAGGTTGGGCACAGTCCAAGAACCAATAGCTTTCTACGGAGTGCTGTTGGAAACATTTCTGTCTCAAGAGTCCGAAGGCCAGTCTGCTCCATTTCAGAATTTAGAGGCCCTCTCCAAAGAGGATTAGAGCCAAATTTCACCTCCCAGATGGAGGATCTCCTTTGGTGGTGCCTAGAGGAGTTTATGCTTTTCTTTGACAGGCGAACTCTTGTAAACTGTAATGCAAAGAGCTCAAGATCCTCTACGCCCTCCCCCTTCTAGGCTAAATACAGTCCCACACACTTCTCTGATGGAGAATTAAACTGTGCCTTTCCCTGGCTATAAGCTGGTGTCTAATTTGTCATGTTCCCCAGTACCTCTTAGCAAAAAAGTCTTTACCTCCTCCAGGAAGATTTTTGTTCAGTTAACTTGTTATTTTGGTTGGTTTTCTCCCTGTAGATTTGTGAAACAATTTTAACCTCTGGAGAAAACCTAGCTAGGAAGAGAAACTTCACGGCAAAGTCTCCACTGATGTATGAATGGTACCAGGAATATTATGTAGGGGCTGCTCATGGCCTGGCTGGAATTTATTACTACCTGATGCAGGTAAGGAGTGATTATGGTGAAATTTTAAAATGTCCTTCCTGACCCATGTACTATCATGGGTGAGAAAACAGATATTCTAGTTCTAGTTTGTCATTCTGTCAACCACTGCATTACAGTACTCTCCTTGTAATTACTTGTCCTAGACAAACAAAAGTAATGTTTACGAAGGTGCCTTTAAAAGTGTATAAACATTAAAGGCCCTGCGTTTTAAAATGATGTTTGATTTGCAGGTGATCGTGCTTGCCCACTTAGTGCCACTTGTGCAGACTAAAGTGTTTTGACTTATAATTCTGTATGAAGTGCCTCTGCTCTGCTCTTTCAGCCAGTGCTTTGAATTAAAACTATTATTCCACATTAAAAGGTACAACTGATTCCAACAAATTCCAGGAATAAGAACAAAATCAATAGAAAACAAATGAGCACTTGTTGCCTAATGCTCACTTAGAGAGCAAAGCTGAGGAGACTTCTACTTACCTGAAAAACAGCTGAATATGCTCTGCCCTACAGTTCTTGGGATCTAATACTATTGGGGCACATCAACCAAAGTCAAATAGACTAAAGACAGATAGAATTTACTGCAGCAGACATAACTTGGGAGAGATCAGAAGAGGACTTCTCAGGAGAGCATCATTTTGGGAGACTTACGAAGCTCTCCTTAAGGAGAAACTGGCACTTCTGAATAAGAATTCATGGCAAAGAAAATTGATTTTTAATGGCAGCAGAGGTACCCCTGTCACCTTCCCAAGGCACACTGTGGCATAAAGAAAAGTGTTTCATTAACGTGT
This sequence comes from Homo sapiens, assembly GCF_000001405.40. Taxonomy (NCBI): domain Eukaryota; kingdom Metazoa; phylum Chordata; class Mammalia; order Primates; family Hominidae; genus Homo; species Homo sapiens. The sequence continues at coordinate 210,439,812 of NC_000002.12, read as the reverse complement.
TCAGCAGGAGTGCTTGGATATACATACTACCAGCTCTTTGAGTAGCTGGCTCTTATAATACAAGATCAGTGTTGGACCTGCCCTCTACCTATAAATAAACAAGGACAACAGAACTGAAAAACTCAAGATTATTATTATTTTTGAATGCAGAGTCACACATTGAGTGTTAGTGGCAATCAGAGACTAGCGTATTTATTCTACACTTTTCAATTAGAGGTTATATAATTAGGATGTTGACATTTAGACTTAAATTTCTTTATTTTTCTGGTGCATGTCTTCCTCTCTATTCCCAGTAGTAAATGTAGATTCCTAAAAGCTTTCAGGAAAGAAGAGTCTTCTGAAGTTTCAAGGTTAGTTAGAATCAAACATACTAGAGGCCCTCTCCAAAGAGGATTAGACAGCCTTATCGAAATTTCATTGAAACAAATAATCAGGAGACATAGTTGGTTAGTGACTAGACAGCCTCATCAAACTTTCATTGAAACAAATAATCAGGAGACATACTCTGCCTCCTTGTGTTAGCTGTAGTAAGAAATCTGAAAACCCAAGTATTGATTTTTCCATTTGCAGGTTATCATCTCTTTGAAATGATTTAATTTTTAATCCTGAAAGTCTATTCTAGTAGGTACGCCTTCATCAACATAAAATAAAACATCATTATTTTTAGGCCATGTTGGGTAATTCCTGCAAGTTTGAGGAGAGTCCACTCATTCTACTGTAACACTCTGAGCTTAAATGCTATTCTTTGTATGAAATGAAATCTGCCTTCTAAACAACTCAGTCCACTTTCAGAATCTTGTGGAAGTCATATTGTCAGCATTGCTTTGACCCCACCACGACCGCCTCCTGCCTGTGCTTCACACCACTGCCCACCCCTCACCACCACATGCCCCACACCTTGCCTAGTGAAACAGCACTTTGAATCTGTTAAAGACATTAGCAGTCATTGAATTAAGAACAGGACCAAAAGGAGAAACTAAAATGTGTATCAAAAATGGTGGCTCATATGCTGTATGTCAGTATGTCCTATGGATCTGTACGTTGTTATGTCAAAATAATGTGGCATTTAGATCAGTCCTAAATCCTCTGCAAAAAGACTTGATCTAGAGGCATGCTGTAGTTTGGAATCTAGATTCCAGGTCTCTTAACTTGTTAGTATCCTTTTTCTATTGAAAATACCACCTATCTCTTCTCTAAATGTAATAACGAAAGTCATGCTTGGTTTGTCCAGTGCATCTCTTTGTGACTTTTAAAGCTTGTTTTATATATTGAAACCATGAGAAACTTCTCTTACACTCACATTCATAGGCATTGACTTAGGAAAATTATTTATATGTATGTAGATAGCAATTAATATTGAAAAACAATATATACAAAATGCCGAGCACAGTGGCTCATGCCTGTTATCCCAGCACTTTGGGAGGCCAAGGTGGGCGGATCATCTGAGGTCAGGAATTCAAAACCAGCCTGGCCAACATGGTGAAACCCCGTCTTTACTAAAAACACAAAAATTAGCCAGGCGTGGTGACAGGCATCTGTAATCCCAAGTACTTGGGAGGCTGAGACAGGACAATCACTTGAACCCGGGAGGTGGAGGTTGCAGGGAGCCAAGATCGCACCATTGCACTTCAGCCTGGGTGACAAGAGTGAAACTCCATCTCAAAAAAAAAAAAAAAAAAGAAAGAAAAACCATATATACAAAAGGCCCTAAGAGTTAACTGATAGCAATTTTACTTTGTCCCATTGTTTAAAATTTTTAAATGAAATCACAAAAGCTTAAAATAAAGGCATCCAATAGGTGGAAAAATTGGATGAAATCCAAAACCTCTTAATGACCTTCCATTTCCCCTTAGCCATGCTTTTTTTCTGGTTTAAATATACTGAGACCTAGGAAGGTTTATTTGCTTCAGCAGAACTAATAATTTCCTTCTCATTTTTAGCCCAGCCTTCAAGTGAGCCAAGGGAAGTTACATAGTTTGGTCAAGCCCAGTGTAGACTACGTCTGCCAGCTGAAATTCCCTTCTGGCAATTACCCTCCATGTATAGGTGATAATCGAGATCTGCTTGTCCATTGGTGCCATGGCGCCCCTGGGGTAATCTACATGCTCATCCAGGCCTATAAGGTACTGTGTGTATTTTTGAAATAAATTTTTTTAAATAACCAAAAATTTATAATTTAAAATTAGTTTTATCCTAATCCATAAAGGAACAATAAATAAATCTCTTGTGGGACCTAAGATCACTTTACTAAATGAATTATAATTCATTCTCACCATCTATCTGTACCATAGCAGCCATTGTTTCATATCCTACTTTTAACAACACTTAGGTTGCAATGAGATATTGTTTATGATCCAGCATATTATCTAGCAATTCCACTCCTAGGTGTGTACTCGAAAGAACCAAAACCAAGCATTCATAACGGCATTATTTATAATTGCCACAGGTGAAAATAATCCAAGTATTCATCAACAGATGAATTGATAAAATGTCATATATACAATGGAACATATCACAATGCAATGGATTATTATTCTGCTATTAAAAGAATGACTTTCTGATACATATTACAACATGGATGAACCTTGAAAACATGCTAAGTGAAATAAATAGATATAAAAGGACAAATATTGTATGATTCCATTGTAGTGCATAAATAACACTAATAGAAAGCATGCCTTCACAGAACTGCAATCAACGCAGATTTTTAGTTGAGAAAAAAAAAGATATCTATGACCATTGGTGCCAAATCAACAAATTACAACTCTGCAGACTATCGCTGGGCGCTGGCATCTCATAAATAAGCTTTTAGTGTATCATATTCTACATTTCAGAGAATTAGATATGTTAATAATAGAAAAACTTTTTAAACTGCCTTATCCTACTTTTAAGAACACTTAGGTTGCAATGAGATATTAAAAATATCTACTCAGAATATTTCCTAAGTCTTTGATGAAGATATAGGAGGCAGTAAAAGATTGTAAAGGTCTATCTCTATTTTTCTGACTGCATATTTAATAAAGAACAGTTGTTCTTCTCCAGTGTGTAAAGAAACTTCCTAATAGTGAAGAGGGCATCAGAGTTACAAAGAAGATAGCATGTGTTCTTTGGAAAGTCACTCATGATAAGAGCAAGTTGCAAGTTAAATAATGCTGCTTCCTCAGTAACACCCACATAAACATACACACATGTGCAGAAAACTTAGACTGTACATGCCAAAGTCATGCACAGTTTTTTTTAAAGCCAAACTAGTCGATTTTAGTAATTGTCACTAGCAACATAACACATCCCTCTGTCACTAAATCCTTTACCCTTTCTTGCCAAGCCATCTCCCTCTTTCCTTCTTATCTATCAGGAAGGAATATCAATGGAACTTTCTTTTATATCCCGTATAATAAAATGTGTCCTTTGCCTCTGCAGGTATTCAGAGAGGAAAAGTATCTCTGTGATGCCTATCAGTGTGCTGATGTGATCTGGCAATATGGGTTGCTGAAGAAGGGATATGGGCTGTGCCACGGTTCTGCAGGGAATGCCTATGCCTTCCTGACACTCTACAACCTCACACAGGACATGAAGTACCTGTATAGGGCCTGTAAGGTAGGAGTCAGAACCACCAAATAGAAAGCAGCTCGGTGGCTCACACCTGTAAATCTCAGCACTTTGGGAGGCTGAGGCAGGCGGATCACCTGAGGTCAGGAGTTCGAGACCAGCCTGGCTAACATGGTCTACTAAAATGACAAAAAATTAGCCAGGTGTGGTGGCAGGCGCCTATAATCCCAGCTACTTTGGAGGCTGAGGCACAAGAATCACTTGAACCCGGGAGGCAGAGGTTGCAGTGAGCCAAGATCACACCATTGTACTCCAGCCTGGGTGACAAGAGTGAAACTCCATCTCAAAAAAAAAAAAAAAAAAAAAAAAAGCAGGTCTCCCAGGAGGTTGTAGAAAGAGTTCTAGTTCATCTGATTTAATTCATTTATCCCTAAAACCATAGGTCTTGGATAACAAATACAGTTATTTAAGGAAAACCTTGAAAAGCCTTTCAATTAAATTAGCATTCCTTTAAAGGGACATAATTCTACTCAACAGCATTAATGGGAGAAAAAAATAAAGATGTAGGGTGATTTTGTGCCTTTCTTCTTGAATAACCTTGTAGATACGTGACTCAGACAGCTCATTAAATTCCTCCCATGCTGTGTACTCTTTCAAACCATCCTTTTCTCTGCATTAATCTCCTTTCTCTGATGTGAAGGTAGTGTTTGATTTTTCAGAGTAATTTGTATAGACAACCTCTTAACTTTTGGGGTTGTCTCTGGAAGAAATCACTATACTAATTTAACTTGGTCTCATTTTCAGTTTGCTGAATGGTGCTTAGAGTATGGAGAACATGGATGCAGAACACCAGACACCCCTTTCTCTCTCTTTGAAGGTATTTTGTACACTTTATTTATTTGCCCTATAATATCAGCATCTACTTCTCTGCTTGGTAATTAATGTATTTAAGTTTTAGCAAAAAATTTTATAATTATTCTTAAACTACTTTTTTATTTCCTAATATGCTAAATCGATATTAAAAATCAATTAGCACATGTAATACCACAGTCCCAATACTGGTAGTCATCAGGTGACTCCCTTTTATGGAGCCAGGCACATGTTGGGCATTTTGCAGACGCCCTCATAAATCATTCAGCAAAAACATACAGGCACTACTACCTTCATGTCATAGCCGAGGAGACTGAGGCTCAGGAGCTTATGTTTGGTAAATGGCAGGGCTGTGACTTGAACTTGTCTGGCTCCATTCTTTCTCCAGTCTTCCACCGGGATATAAGGCTGAACACCTCACTAGTGATCTCTTCTAATGTTGAACTGCAGTGTATGTAAACGTAGATAGATTCACACTTCATTTAAATCATTGCCGTTAATATTGTAATGTTGTTAATGTTAAAAAATGGAGCCATCCTTCGTTTTTGCAGAGTTGTAACTGCTCTCGGGGGGTGTCAGTGAGGTGAGGAAAAAGCCATAGGATGCCGAAGGAGGAGGGCCAAGAGGACACCCCCACCCTCCAGTGCGGCCTTGATCCAGACCTTAGGGACGAGGCCATCACTGGTGGGCACCCTTTGTTGATGTTTGTGTGTTTGAATAGACTGAAATGCTGTGACTTTTTTTGTCAATAAAGATATGGGGGAAAAAGAACCATCCTATGAAATGGAGTCATTTGGTATAATAACTTTTGCCTCTTTCTCTTTCTTCAGGAATGGCTGGAACAATATATTTCCTGGCTGACCTGCTAGTCCCCACAAAAGCCAGGTTCCCTGCATTTGAACTCTGAAAGGATAGCATGCCACCTGCAACTCACTGCATGACCCTTTCTGTATATTCAAACCCAAGCTAAGTGCTTCCGTTGCTTTCCAAGGAAACAAAGAGTCAAACTGTGGACTTGATTTTGTTAGCTTTTTTCAGAATTTATCTTTCATTCAGTTCCCTTCCATTATCATTTACTTTTACTTAGAAGTATCCAAGGAAGTCTTTTAACTTTAATTTCCATTTCTTCCTAAAGGGAGAGTGAGTGATATGTACAGTGTTTTGAGATTGTATACATATATTCCAGAACTTGGAGGAAATCTTATTTAAGTTTATGAATATAACCATCTGTTACTGTTCTAAAAATGTTTAAAAGAAACTCAATACAGATAAAGATAAATATGTGACTATTATTGGGTATTACACTTCACTTCTCTTTAATATTTTTCCTCCAACTGGAGGGCAGACAATTTTCTGACTTGCTTTTCTCTAGGTGGTTCATTTTGAAAGGGGACAGAAATATAACTAAATGCTTCCAGGAGAAAAATTCCAAGAGTTACAATCTGGACTTGGTACCTAAATATCATTTTTTAAATTCTTGATGCCTATTTGGACTAGAGGTAAACATACTTTCAGATTGGCCTGTTTTTGTCGGTAAGGCATACAGCCTTCAGAAGCCAACATTTTTAATCAAAAACTTATAAAACATGATGATCATTGTGAAAATTCTGAGTTGAAGGTTAGTTTAAGATAAGCTAACAATAACAGTCTGTGTTTTCTCTAAAATAATCTGAGTTTTTTGGAACTCTTTATTTAAATATGTGTGTTTTTCAGTATTCAAATAAGATCAGGAAGCCAATTTTCTATGTATGAATATGCTTTAACCTAGGATTTCAGTCCACTCTGACTGACTTTCTAAACTTTAACTTGGGTTTTTACAGTGACTATGCATTAGTGCTGACTCTTTGGTATAAGCCATAAAATATTTTCCTTCCTATCAATTTATCTGAACTTTGGTCTTTTCACTAAATTGTACAGTATTCTACTTCTGTTTAAAAAGGGGAGATGAGAAAGGGAATACTATCTAACCAATAACTTGAACAAAAACACTAAACTAAGCATTTAATAGAAATGCTTTTTATTGAGGAGGTATTATCCAGAGTTCATGCTTAGAACAAATGCATCTTTGCGTATCCTAGACTTAACAATTCATCAGTTTCTGAGACCACAGAATCAGGTTTTCCGTAGTAGATAAAGACTCTCTGGTGCTTCAAATTCTGTTCAAGTGTTTTGACTCATCAGCTTCTACTCTTTCTATTACTGCCTTTGCCTGGCTTGTTTTGTCTCTTTGCAACTGATTTTGCAAAAAAAAATTGTAGCTTTAAAATAACAGGGTCTAAGTATTTTAAATGTGCCTATTTCACAGCTCTCTTGGTCACAAAAACATGCTATTTTTATTGGAACTTCAAACCAAATCCCCACTGAGTGTGTACTGGTTCCTGCAGGTAGCAGTCTCCTATTATCTCCTGTTTAGCACCAAAAGAGCTAATATTATTGGAAACTGACCTTTTAAAGGCCACTGGCAGTAGGATTTAAAAAGCAGCCCACTGCTCAGTTTCCAGGATCAGCTTCCTCCTTCTGTCACTTGTGTAAGTTGGCACTACCTTGTGCCTCTCAGATTGCTGAAGTGCTGCTGGTAAGCATGTGCATGCTCTGCCTTTCTTGTGAAAGTTTTCAATCAGCGATATCAGCACTTACAGTAAGAAGTAAAAGTAGTGCACAGCAAAGCTAATTTGCCTTTGCCTGGGGTGTTCAGCTTGAAAGAATAAAGCTCATTTGGTTTAGTTAAATGTCTTACTCTACTGTGCCTATGCTTTTAGCTGCGTTACTAAGCAAGGGAAAAATAACAGTTTCTCTGAGCCAGAGAAGACTTGATCACAGTTCTCCAAGCATCGTGATAGCAATGCTTAACCCCAGGAAGATTTCAAGGCAGGGAGAAGAACATTTCAAATAAGATTCTTGTTAACCCATTTATGCCTAGTGTTCCATTATTGGAATGCTAAGCTTGTGGGAGTCATTTACATCCTACTGCTCAAAGTCATTGCCAAGGTCTGATTTTTCACACAAAAAATTGCAACCCCCAGCATAAATGGGTTAGCTACTGTCATCAGTTAGCAAATTCATCCACACAAACACAATTAGAGTTTGGTTTTTTTTTAAGCTTTTCAAAACTTACTAAACTGGCACAATTTTATATGTATGCTATTTGTTGTATTTATGCTTAAGAGCAAAAAAGTTTTGATGGGATTTTAAATTCAGGCAAAGCCTACAACGCTGAGACAATCCCCTAACAACATGGTAGTAACTAAAGAAACTTTTATACTAGGCTTCTTAGTTTTAAAAGGAAGTGGCATCATTGTTTCAGTTCTAGTTTGTATTTTTCTCTCAGATATTTTTCTTCTTTAAAAATCTTTCCCAGAAGTTGGTTCCTAGAAAACTCAATACCATCATCTCTTATCTCTATACAGGGACTAGGTAATAAAACCTTCAAAGGTTGTCAAAGGTCATCAAGCAGTGTTCATTTATCCTGTCACATGTTTCTGTTTCTATAGTAATTTAGAAATTGCAAATAGTTAACTTTTCATCATGTAAAAAGTTAACATTATCCTATTTCCATAGATACCATGGACGGCGGTGTGGCCTGAGTTGTCAGTCTTTAATCCTGAGTCATGTGGCTCTCTTTTCATCTTTGATGTCAGTTCCAATTATTTGGCATCAAAAACCTTCATGGTAGGTAGAGTTTTAGGTAAAAGTGGATCTAGGGTTACTTTCTTTATTAACATTTCCTAAATAACTGAATTGAGAGACATACTCTGCTACTATGTCCTCAGGTTAATTTTTGTCTGATCTTACGATGCCCTGCCTTTTACTAGCTACTTTAGAAATAGAAAATGTGAAGAGTGACTATTTACATGTATACTCCTTTGGCTGCTAGAACTCATCTGTAGTCCTTTATTATTTACACTGAATTCCAATTTCATTTCTGCTTCCGCTAAGTAAGAGCACCTCATTCCTGTGTTTTCTCTACTATTGAGCTGTAGACGAACTGTTTCTCTAATTATAAAGCAAACTGTTTGGGATATTCAGGGAAACTACCCCAATGTTATGTTGTCATTTAATGGGAAAGGCTGGGATCATATGTATTTCTATGTTCTGTAAAGTATTTGACTTACTAGTTCTCAATAAAATTTTATTAGGACTATATATCATCATGTGCTTTTTGTTTGCTTTGGTTTAAACTTGAGAAATATTTTCCCTCAATGGCAAGTTATTGCGGGATCTGGCCAGCAGCCCGCAATGCAACGGGGCTCTCTCTTTGTTCCCAGGCAGATTGGTAGGTTGAGAAATAATAGACTCACACAAGATAGTGAAAGCCGCGTCCAGGGGGGTCACCGCCTTCTGGTTCTGCGGTGCCAACAATGCGCTGGATATACCAGCATTTATTATTAAGTTTAGTGAGGGCAGGGGTAGGTTAGTGAGGAATTTAGGGTCATTTGATTATGAGGTGAGATGGTCACGTGGGGATGAAGTAATGCTTTAACATAACATTTGTATGCAGAAGTACAGTATACAGGGATAAGAATTTACAATATAGTGTGTGCATCAGTAATTTCTAACAGAGCCTTAAAACAGAAACACATTCTTTCCATAACCTATGATTAGCAAGATATTAATCAGCAGTAACAGTTGCAGCAAAAGCTGGTTACAGACAATCCATAGAAATAGGACGTGAAGCTAGACAACTGGTTAGACCAGAAATTCTCAGAAGGGAGTATGCCTTAACCCTAAAGAGGCCTAGAAGAGCCATGGCAAGATGAGGGCATTTATAGCCCTATCTTATCCATATGGACAGGCGCCCCCCCATGCGTCCATTTATAGGCTCTCCACAAGGGTCGCATTCCATTCCCAGAGCTATGAATATCTGCTTTTCTGGGATAGGAATCTTGGTGATGATGTGAAACCTCCCTGACTGCAGATCCATTCATAGGCTATCTGCAGGGGGAAGCACATTACATGCTGTTGGCTCATACTGGCAGTCCAACCTGGCATTGTCTTTACACAATCCTGCATGCAACTTTGTATTTACAATAATCAGGAGCATTTCATCTTTTATTCCGTAGCAGTAGTTTCAGGGGGTTCTCCCTACAGCAAGTGAAGGTTTTTTTTCCCTATATATACTCCTGTTTCCTAGGCTTTGCTCCTTTTTCTTCATTGTTGGATAAAACAAGATTTGCACTACTGTCTGAAAATAGAGATTTATAAGAGGAAAATATTTTTAAATCTGATCATTATAGAATTAGGAGGAATCTACTAGCCTTCAAGAACAACATGTATTAACCATCTCATAATATATGAATCTACTGTGGGGTTAATAACTAAAGGCCTAATTCTAGAAATTTATTTTCCTGATGATCAATTCTGCTTTGAATAGAAAAGGGGGGGATTAAATGAGGCATAATTATAAAATATATATGCAGAGGTTAGAAAAATTTTGCTGAGTCACTTGGGATGACTTTGTGCCACTGCTTTTTATGACACAGCTAGTTAGTGTGACTTACCACAACAGAGATTGATAAATTATAAAATACTTGTTTTCATCTCTAAATTACAATTTGTGTGCTGGTACATATGATTAAAATGTCCTTCATACCCAAAGTCTGTTTATTGAGTGACTGATAATACTGAGGATAAATGCAGAGTTACATTTATTTCTCTCATTTGAATGAAGTAAAGGTATGGTAATATCAAGACTCTAGATGTAGGCAGTGAGGCATGGAGAGGACACTACCTTGCAAAGGCCACACAGAGATTGCAAAATGATGCTTAGAAAGGTCCTGCTAACTCTACGAGGTTAGTTTCCATTGGCAAGGCCAGCTCTAGTTTACCGCTCCCTGGCTTATCCTCCTACTATGAGAAAAATAATGACAGGCACAATAAGTTGCACCACAGTTGTAACCTCATGAATGAAGAAAACTTCAAAATATTTGTTTTTTGTGACTTACCTGTAGTATATTTTTTCCTAATTTTGCATTGGAAAAGATCTTAGCCTTTCTCCTCCTCTTCAGCCTTTCTCCTCCTCTTCACACTCTCTGAATAGAAAAGAATAATAATTTTTATGTCATTCTTTTTTTCCAAGATAGTTCCCACTGTGGATTCAAAGTTATTAAAATTCTCATGTCTTCTCTATTCTATTAAGCATCATTTAAACTGAAAACCTACAAGTCAGTTCCCTGAAAATTTGCTTTCTCATTGTTTCTCATCCAAATTTGCCCTCTTCCTTCTAAAGCTGTGGGTCAATTAACAAAACGAGAACTCAGGCTTGTTTTTATCTTTTTTTTGTAACAATGACAAACGTATTGGCTTTATTGGTCCCATGATGTAAACTGTCTAAACACTATTGTCCAGAAGCCCTGTGCTAGTGCATCCTCAGGGACTTATTTGGCAGTTTTGTGAGTAATAGGAGAAGGCAGCAAAGACAATAAGCCAAGAGCTGAAATAATGAGGATTGAGAAATGGATCTTAGCAGGGCTGCTGCTCATAGTCGACCAGTTCAATTTCACATTTCTACATTATGTTAACTTTTCAACCACGTGAAAATTACAACATGGTAACATTAAGTCTGCAACTAATGTTCTAATACTCAACAAGTAAGTGTTAGACAAAGCATTTGTGAGGCACTTAGTCATGTAGGGAGACACGAGACTTTATTATAAGTCAGTTTATAAAATAGTGTTCCAATTGCCTAATTTCTCTTTGATGGAGCTGGGATATTAAGAAAGGCATTTATAAACCAGAAAATACTGATGTGGCTCACTGTGAAAGATGATATTGTTTACTCAGGATTCAGCATTCAGAAATAAACATGCCCTCCCTTGCTGATGCAATCTGAACTGCTGGCACTTTCAGTTTTTATGATGCAGATATGCCATTTTATTAATCATACCATGACCAATGCCTTAAAATCATTTATCCCCAAAATTCATTAAACATGCTATCTTTATGTGCAAGGTACTGGCTAGGGGATCTGTTTGCATAAGGTAGACATCTCTACTCTGGCAACTCAGTCTGGTGAAGACAGGTGACTGGATAAGCAATTGCAAGGAAATGTATTATAATAATCCTATCACCACTCCAACTACTCTTCCCATTATTCCATAACTTCATGTATATTGGGTCTCTCATATGGCCTGCAGTTTCTATCTATGGAGATGGAGTTTAGAACTCTAATAGGAAGAAGACAACTTAAAAGCCAATCAGCCAGCCCAGAAGCACTCAGAGTTCTTTCATTTGGACTACCTTGATGATGAGCAAGGTGGAGGGAAATTTGAAGACAAAGAGTCCTTTGCCCCCTGTTGCAGGAAGTCAGGGACCTTGAATGGAGGGACCGGCTGAAGCCATGGCAGAAGAACATAAACTGTGAACATTTCATGGACATTTATTAGTTCTTTAAAGTAATACTTTTATAATTTCTTACACCTGTCTTTACTGCAATCTCTGAACATAAATTGTGAAGATTTAATGGACACTTACCACTTCCTTAATCAATACTCTTTTGATTTCTTATGCCTGTCTTTACTTTAATCTCTTAATCTTGTCATCTTCGTAAGCTGAGGCTGTAGGTCGGCCTAGGACCTTGTGATGATTGCATTAACTGCACAAATTGTATGTAGAGCATGTGTGTTTGAACAATATGAAATCTGGGCACCTTGAAAAAAGAACAAGAAAACAGCAATGTTCAGAGAACAAGGGAGATAACCTTAAAATCTCGCTGCCTGTGAGCCAGGTGGAACAGAGCCATATTTCTCTTCTTTCAAAAGCAAATAGGAGAAATATCACTAAATTCTTTTTCTCAGCAAGGAACATCCTTGAGAAAGAGAATGTGTCCTTAAGGGGAGGCCTCTGAAATGGCCGCTTTGGGAACGGCTGTCTTTTACAGTCATAGCTAAGGGATGAAATAAGCTTCCGTCTCCTGTAGCACTCCTAGGCTTATTAGGACGAGGAAATTCCTGCCTAATAAATTTTAGTCAGACTGGTTGTCTGCTCTCAAACCTTGTCTCCTGATAAGATGTTATCAATGACAATGCGTGCCTGAAACTTCATTAGCAATTTTAATTTTGCCTTGGTCCTGTGGTCTTGTGATCTCACCCTGCCTCCATTTGCCTTGTGGTATTTTATTACTTTGTGAAGCATGTGATCTCTGTGACCTACACCTTATTTGTACACTCCTTCCTTCTTTGAAAATCACTAATAAAAACTTGCTGGTTTTACGGCTCAGGGGGCATCACAGAACCTGCCGACATGTGATATCTCCCCCAGACACCCAGCTTTAAAATTTCTCTCTTTTGTACTCTGTCCCTTTATTTCTCAGAACGGCCGACACTTAAGGAAAATAAAAAAGAACCTACATGAAATATCGGGTGAATTTCACCTGATATCTGGCGCCCCACATGGTCTTTTTTTCCTAAGTGCATGTGGAGTAATGAGAGATACCCCATACTTTCAATATAAACCTGCAGGAAAACCATGCCCTAAAAATTTTGAGGGCCCATCTAAAACTTTAATTTGGGAAGACTGTGTTTTAACTCACATGGAGTAGTATTAAAAAATGACTCATATGGCTTAGTAATAGACTGGGCACCAAAGGGCTATTTAAAAAACAATTGCTCCTCTGGTGGAAGGGAATGCCTGGAGCCTACTTATTTTATTTCTTATCGGGAGAATGAGAATCATCATTCTACTTTGCATAGGAGGTTCAGCTCATTCCCTTAAAATGGGAAGATAAAGGCATTACCCCCACGAGGCCTCATATGATACTCCCCATTCTGAGCCCAGAACACCCAGAACTTTAGAAATTGGCTATTGCCATGTTTAGACTGTGAGTATGGGAAGGGGAAACTATTATGTCTGTTGTCCCCACTACCGTCCCCCACTCTCAGTATCAACGTAGATCCAGACGTTCGACTTCACTTACCTCCAACCTGACTGTTCACATACAGAGTTGTGTTACGCTTCCTTACATGCTGTTAGTGGGAAATATCAAAATTTGGATGAACAATCAAACTGTCCAATGCATTAATTGTCATTTATACACTTATATTAACTCCCATTTTGACTCCAAGAAAAGTGTAATGCTGGTTCAAGCTCGAGAAGGAATCTGGATTCTGGTAACTTTGCCCAGAGCTTGGGAATCCTCCCCCTCAATACATTTAATTAATGAAGTGTTACAGCAAATTCTAAAAAGATCTAAGAGATTTTTTTTCACTTTAATCGCTGTTATCATGGGCCTAATTACAGTCACTGCAATGGCCACCACTGCGAGAATGGTGTTACATCATTCTATTCAAATGGCTCATTTTGTTAATGATTGGCAAGCCAATTCCACCCAAATGTGGAATTCTCAACAAGGCATTGATCAAAAATTGGCTAATCAAATTAATGATTTAAGACAGGTTGTTATTTGGCTTGGAGATCAGGTAGTGAGTCTCGAACATCACATGCAAATGCAGTGCGATTGGAATACTTCGGATTTCTGTATCACCCCATATTCCTATAACGAGACTGATCATTCATGGGAAATGGTCAAAGGACACCTTCTGGGTAGGGAAGATAATTTATCATTGAACATAACTAAATTAAAGAAACAAATTTTTGAAGCCTCTCAAGTTCACTTACCCATTGTGCCTGGAGCTGAGGCATTAGATCAGATGGCAGAAAATCATTCTAGACTAAACCCCACAACTTAGATTAAGTCTATTAGGGGCTCCACTGTAGTAAATTTTGGAATTATGTTTCTCTGTTTAATTGGCTTGTCTTTAGTGTGCCGGACCAGTCAAAGAATCCCACGTCAAAATTGAGAGAACGAACAAGCCTTCATCGCATGGCACATTTGTATAAAAAGAAAGGGAGAGATGTTGCAGGAAGTCAGGGACCCCAAACAGAGGGACCGGCTGAAGCCATGGCAGAAGAACATAAATTGTGAAGATTTCATGGACATTTATTAGTTCCCCAAATTAGTACTTTTATAATTTCTTATGCCTGTCTTTACTGCAATCTCTGAACATAAATTGTGAAGATTTAATGGACACATCACTTCCTTAATCAATACTCTTGTGATTTCCTACGCCTGTCTTTACTTTAATCTCTTAATCCTGTCATCTTCGTAAGCTAAGGTTATATGTTGCCTCAGGACCCTGTAATGATTGCATTAACTGCACAAATTGTTTGTAGAGCATGTGTGTTTGAACAATATGAAATCTGGGCACCTTGAAAAAAGAACAAGGTAACAGCAATGTTCAGAGAACAAGGGAGATAACCTTAAACTCTGGCTGCCTGTGAGCTGGGTGGAACAGAGCCATATTTCTCTTCTTTCAAAAGCAAATAGAAGAAATATCGCTGAATTCTTTTTCTCAGCAAGGAACATTTCTGAGAAAGAGAATGTGACCCTAAGGGGAAGCCTCTGAAATGGCCGCTTTGGGGACGGCTGTCTTTCACGATCATAGCTAAGGGATGAAATATGCCCTGGTCTCCCGAAGCACTCCCAGGCTTATTAGGACGAGGAAATTCCGCCTAATAAATTTTCATCAGACCGGTTGTCTGCTCTCAAACCCTGTCTCCTGATAAGATGTTATCAATGACAATGCGTGCCTGAAACTTCATTAGCAATTTTAATTTTTCCCCGGTCCTGTGGTCCTGTGATCTCGCCCTGCCTCCATTTGCCTTGTGATATTTTATTACCTTGTGAAGCATGGAATCTCTGTGACCTACACCCTATTCGTACACTCCCTCCCCTTTTGAAAATCACTAATAAAAACTTGCTGGTTTTACGGCTCAGGGGGCATCACGGAACCTGCCGACATGTGATGTCTCCCCCAGACACCCAGCTTTAAAATTTCTCTCTTTTGTACTCTGTCCCTTTATTTCTCAGAACGGCTGACACTTAAGGAAAATAGAAAAGAATCTACGTGAAATATCAGGGGTGAATTTCACCCAACAGCCCCCAAAATTATTTTCAACTCAGCCAACTTCTCAAAAATTCACAGTATTACTATTAATAATTTAGGTTAAATTCATTTTTCTTCAGGAATCTTCCATTAAGATGCAAATATTTTAGAATAGTTACTGATCCTGCTATGTCATAAGCAGCTTATTAATTGGTTCATGACCTAGAGAGAAGTTAACTTGAACTCAACAACACTGTTGCTAGAACATGCTAGTAACAGCATCTTGCTAAGATTAAAAAGATAAAATGATAGCTGCTCACAAAATATTGTTTAGATGTGATGAGTATGAACAAGTAATTTCAATGTGCTGTGGAACTACACCAGCACTACCATGTTATGAGTAGCAAATGTATATACTAGACATGTCATTTTTCTTTATTTGCCATCATCTGCCATTCACCATGACTCATATGGAAGAATTTCATAAAGTGATGGGGGGCATCTAAAGTGACTTATCCAGGGATACTTCAGTGCTTAAGAACAAAGCTGACCCAGAAAGTATATGTGAGTTAATGAAACTGGTTGAAGAAATTTTGACGTTAGGGCTTCTCAACCATCAATGTGCATACAAATTACATGGGGATCTTTTTAAGTAATTTCTAAAATGCAGATCAGGAAGTGCCTGAGATTCTGCATTTCTAACAAATTACCAGATAATGCCCATGCTGGCCACCGAGCCTACTTTGAGTACCATCGAATTAAATTATCCATCATAAATTTCAACTAAATGGAGAAAAAGTAAACTCAGGAGTTGGCTTATGAGTTGGAAGAAATTAAATGATGTTTGTGAAATCAAAGGACTATGCAGTAGCAGCAGGAGCATGAAAGAGCTGGAATGATTGGGGTCTGATTTCTGATATGACACAAATTCTTATAATCTCAAGGCAAAGGGGGTGGTCTTGAGGTGGCCAGTATTCTGTACTGGTGATTTCAGCAAGTAAAAGAAAATTAATTGGAATAAATGTGTTTATAATTTGAATCAGATGTTTTTTCAATCCAAAGACTCACATACTTCTGGTAATATTAGAATGACAGGAAAGATATCTATACTAAAGAATTCATTTGAGTCATCTAGAATCATCAAGGCTCCTATGGGAAAAATGGGGTCCCTCTGCTTCTCATTTAGAATTTATAAGGATTCAAGATTAGCCAACCAATTTTTTAAAGATATTAAACACAAAAGCAGATCAATCACATTCTTTAAAAAAAAAATCTTAGCATGAGTAGTAATTGTATACTAGAGGTGTCATTTTTATTTATTTGCCATCATCTGCCATTCACCATTATTCATATATAAAAATTTCATAAAATGATGGTCTATAGTGCCTTAGAGGCCATTTATCCAGGAACACTTCAGTGCTTAAGAAAAAAGCTGACCCAGGAAGTTTGGAAACTTAATTGTAAATAGGAAAAACTCATTATTCCTCAACTCCTAAATTGAAGCCTGATACAGTAAGTGTGATTATTAATAACCCTATCTTCCTGTTCACAAAAGCATATTCCCTGAGTGTTTTATTTTTAGAATTGATCCAAGTTTGGTTGATTCACATAATCAGTGCATTTTCTACCACTTATAATAGTGAATGTCCAACATGTTTTATTTGATCTCTTACAAGTTCTTAACCTACCCAGTTAAAAATTGAGTTGCTAGGAAGTAACATTAGCAAGATGGCAAAATAGGAAGTTCCAGCCCTTGTTTCTCCACAGAAACACTGATATAACAATATGCAAACCAAAATACCTTTAGGAGAATTCCAGAATCCAGGTAAGAAGTTGTCCCTGGCAGGAACAAAACCAGAATATCCACACTGAATAGGTAAGAAAAGCAATTTCATTTTACCCACGTCAGCGTAGCTTAGCACTGGGAGAGAACAGCCCAGCTTGTGACTTCCTCTAAGGTGGAAAAAAGAGTGGTGCATGCATGAGTTCAGCATTCAGGGTTTTTGGAAGACTAACCTGGTGACTGATTTCTGTCTTACCCCATGTATCATTTGGATGCTTGGGGTGGGACAGTAGGATCACTGAGAACAAAAACAGGTGGAGGGAGGCTTGCTGCAGCCAGAAAGACTTAGTGTGATTGAGAGAAGGTATGCAAGTTGAGGCTTCTCTTTTGGGAGGGAGGGAAAATAGCGAAGCATGCATCCAATATTCTGATTGTTTGGAGGGCTGCCCCAAGGGAATGGTTTCTGCCTCTCGGACTACTGACTTAACCAGCATAGTTTGTATACCTGGGGGGGTCTCTGAGAACAAAGGACAGTCATGGGTCAGCTTGCTGCAGCTGGCATGACTCAACATAATCAGGAGCTGCACAACTTGTGGTTTCTTTCTCAAGAGGGAAAAAGAAGTGAACTGTGCATCGCACGTTCTAGAGGACTGAGGGATATCTGCCTCTCCTGATACAGGGTGCTGACAGGAAAACAGCATACTTTGGATTCCTGGTGGCCACTGAGAACAAGTGAGAGTGCAGCAGATTGCTACTGTAGGACCAGAGAATGTGTAATCCTACATATAGACACCAGAGAGAGAGAGAGAGAAAGATTACAAGCTAAAAAAAAAAAAAAAAAAGGCAAGCTTCTCTAATTGAGAAATTATGTGCACAGACCCAGAGAAGTTGCATCTCTCCCAAAAAGGTTTTGGAAGTTCCCAGAATGTCTAGCTTGGTGAAAGTCTTCCTTTGTATGAATCCAGTGTGTAAACACAGGGAGAGGTAGCTGTCTCTTCAAATGCATGGATCCTATCACAAAGTTGAGTCACATTAAAAAAAAAAAAAAAGTGATATACCGTCCAAACTAAGAAACAAAATAAATCTCCAGACAAATCTAATAAAATGAAGTGATACAAATTACCTGGCAAATAATTCAAAATAATTGTTGTAAAGATGAAATAAAACATCAAGAAAACGATGCATGAAAAAATGAGAATAGGCCGGGTGTGGTGGCTCACGCCTGTAATCCCAGCAATTTGGGAAGCCGAGGCAGGCAGATCACGAGGTCAAGAGTTTGAGACCAGCCTGACCAACATGGTGAAACCCCGTCTCTACTAAAAAAACAAAAATTAGCCGGATGTGGTGGCGAGCACCTGTAATCCCAGCTACTCAGGAGGCTGAGGCAGGAGAATCACTTGCACCCAGGAGGCGGAGGTTGCAGTGAGCTGAGATTGTGCCACTGCACTCCAGCCTGGGCAACAAAGTGAGACTCCATCTCAAAAAAAAAAAAAAGAAAGAAAAGAAAGAATCGGTGAACTCAAATACAGGCCACTTAAAATTACCCAGTCAGGGAAACAAAAAGAGTGAGGAAAGCCTAAGGAAATTATGAGACATCATCAAGTGAATCAAATTATGGGAGTTTCATAAGTAGAAAAGAGAGAGAATGGGGTAGAAGGCTTATTTAAAGAAATAATGGTTGAAAATTTCCCAAATCTGGGGAAGAAAATAGACATCCAGATTCAAGAAGACCAACAAGCTCCAACTAGGATGAACCCAAAGAAATCTACATTGAGATGCATTATGCAGATGCTCCTCAACTTACCATGGGGTTACATCCCAATAAACCCATCATAAGTTGAATATACCATAAGTCAAAAATGCATTTAATACACCTAACCTATGGAATATTATAGCTTGGACTGCTCTATCTTAAACATTCTTAGAACATGGTTAGCCTACAGTTTGGCCAAATCATCTAACACAAAGACTATTTTGTAATAAAGTGTTGCATATTTCATGTAATTTATTAAATGCTGTACTGAATGTGAAAAAGAGAATGGTTTTATGTATACTCAAAGTACAGTTTTTGTTGAATGTATATTGCTTTTGTGCCATCATAAAGTCAAAAATATCAAGTTGAATCATCTTAAATCAGGGACCATCGTAATCAAATTTTCAAAAGTCAAAGAATTTTGCAAGTAGCCAGGAAAAAAAAAAGTAGCTTGTCATATGCAAGGGAGCCTTCATAAAACTATCAGCAGATTTCTCAGTAGAAACCTTATAGGCCAGAAGAGAGTGATGATATAATAAAAGTGCTGAAAGAAAAACCAGACTGCCAACTACCAATATTATATCCAATGAAACTATCCTTTAAAAATAGAGAAATAAAGATTTTCCCAGATAGATAAAAGCTGAGGGATTTTGTCACTAGACCTGCCTTGCAAGAAAGCCTAAAGGACATGCTTCAATTTGGAAAAGACACTAAACAGCAACATGAAAGCACATAAAAGTATAAAACTTGCTGGTAAAGGTAAATATATAGACAAATACAGAATGCTGTAATCCTGTAACAGTGATGTATAAATCACTTCTAATTCTGGTATAGAAGTGCCTTGACCTGAATGTTTGTCTCCTTCAAAACTCCTTAAAATTTCATTGCCATTTTAACAGTATTAAGAGGTAGGACACTTAAGAGGTGATTAGGCCATGTTGGTTACCCCCTCATAGGTGGGACTGGTGCAGTTATAAAATGGTAAGTTTGACCCTCTTTTTCTCCCTCTTGCCCTTCTGCCTTCTACCATACAACAAGGCTCTTGCCAAGTGCTGACCCTTCAATCTTGGACTTCCCATTCTTCAAAACTGTGAGCCAAAAAGAAACCTTCTAATTATTCTAAATTACCCAGTTACCCAGTTTCAGATATTCTGTTATAGCAGCAAAAATAGGGTAAAACAAGAAATTAAAAGACAAAAGAATAAAATAAATATAAAAATACTTTGATACACAATATAAAATGTAATTTGTGACAGTAACAGTGTGTCAGGGTAAAGAGTAAAAGTCTTGAGTATTTGTAAGAGATTGAAATGAAGTTGTTATCAGCTTAAAACAGATTATTTTAACTATAAGATACTTTAAGCCCCATGATAAGCACAAAGAAAATAACTCTAGAAGATACACACCAAAAAGAGAAAGGAATCAAAAGCATGTCACTACAAAAAAATCATGGAAACACAAAAGAAGAGATAAAAAGAGGGACAACAAAGCTGTAAGACAAAAGACAACAAAATAGCAATAGTAATTCTTTTCCTATCAATAATTATATGTACATGAATTTAACTGTGTAATCAAAAGATATACAGTGGCTGAATGGATAGAAAAAAGAAGAATCAACTGTGTACTGTCTATGAGAGATCCATTTTCCATGTAGTACACACATAAACTGAAAGTGAAAGAATAGAAAAAGATATTTTATGCAAAGGATACTATTTTATGCAGAGGATACTAAAAGCTAAAACCAAAAGAGAACAGTGTTGGCCAAACTTAGACAAAATAGACTTTAACATAAAAACTGTCAAAAGAGACAAAAAAGACTCATATAATTATAAAAGGGTCCATTCACCAGGAAGATATAACAATTTTGTGTATGTATGAAAAAAATATATATATATACCTCAAATATCAGAGCACCCAAATATATGAAGCAAACAGCACAACTGAAGGGAGAAATAGTAACAATAATAGCAGGAGATTTTAATACCCCATTTTCAATAGTGGCTAGACCATCCAGACAGTAATTACCATCAGTAATGAAACAGAGAACTTAACACTATAGACCAAATTGACCTAACAAACACATACAAAACATTTCACAAAACATCATCAGAATATACATTCTTCTTGAGTGCACATGGAACATTCTCCAGACTAGGTCACATATTATGTAACCAAACAAGTCCTAACAAATTTAAGAAGATTGAAATTGTATCAACTATATTTTTGAGCCAAAATGGAATGAAACTAGCAATTAATGGTAGAAGAAAAGCAAAAATTCATGAATACATGGAAATTAAACAACACACTCTTGAACAACTAATGAGTTGAAGAAATCAAGAGGAAAAGTAGAAAATATCTTGAGACAAGTTAAATGAAAATGTAACATAACAAAACTTATGGAATGCAACAAAAGCAGTACTGAGGAAATTTTATAGTGATAAACATCTACATTAAAAAAGAAATATATCAAACAACATAACTTCACAAAAACCACAAAAAGAAGAATAAGTCTAGAAAAATAAGATTAGAGCAGAAATAAAATGGAGAAAGAAAAAAATAGAAAAAAAAAGATTAGAGCAGAAATAAAATGGAGAAAGAAAAACAATAGTAAAAAACAAAATTGAATTGATCTTGTAAAGATCAACAAAATTGGCAAACCTTTGGCTGAATTAAGTTTAAAAAAAGAAAGCTATTTAAAAGCTTCTGCAGAGCAAAGGAAACAATCCACAAAGTGAAGAGACATCTCACAGAATGGGAAAAAAATATTTTCAAACTATCCATCTGACAAAGGATTAATAAACAGAACATGTAAGAAATTTAAACAACTTTATAAGAAAAAAACCTAATAACCTAATTAAAAATGGGCAAAACATCTGAGTAGACATTTCTCAAAAGAAGATATATGCACAGCAAAGATATACGAAAAGATGCTCAACATCATTGATCATTAGAGAAATGCAAATCAAAGAAATGAACATCACTGATCATTAGCAAAATGCAAATATAATAAGATATCATCTCATCCCAGTTAAAATAACTTTTGTTCAAAAGACAGGCAATAACAAATGCTGGTAGGGATGTAGAAAAAAGGAAACACTTATACACTGTTGGTTGGAATGTAAATTAGAACATTCACTATAGAGAACAATTTGGGGGTTCCTCAAAAATGTAAAAATAGAATTTTCATATGATCCAGCAATCCCACTGCTAGGTGTATATTCCCCAAAAATAGAAACCAGC
Source organism: Homo sapiens (assembly GCF_000001405.40). Taxonomy (NCBI): domain Eukaryota; kingdom Metazoa; phylum Chordata; class Mammalia; order Primates; family Hominidae; genus Homo; species Homo sapiens. Next base: position 210,417,737 of record NC_000002.12, on the reverse strand, counting down.
ATGTCAAATATCTACACTCTGATATTTATTGCAGCACTATTCACAATAGCCAAGATATGGAAGCAACCAGAGTGTTCATCAACAGATGAATGAATAAAGAAAATGTGGGAAGATCCAAAGTTGCCAACTAAGTCACAGCCAGGAAGAGCTGTTTCTACTAAGAGACCAGACCATCAGGAATACAGGCACACACTGAGCAGATTTTCAGAAGGAAGCCATTGAGAGTAGATAGAGGGAGGACACAGACCCTGGGCTGAAGGAAGAGGAAGCTAGGAACGCTGCACTGGGTTACCAAGCACCAGGACTCATTCTGGGCACTGAGTAGCTCCCGGAGAAGAGATTAGTTAAATAGGTGTGGAGTGACCCACTCTCAACTTGGGCCTCTAGAATCCTAGCTGCAGAAGACCATACAACCCCTATATGAGCTTGCAGCACAGCCTCAGATTTCCAATTTGTGTGCATCTCAGCAGCCACTGCCATAGCTCCTTTGCAAGCTGACCTCATCTAGCCATCAGAGAGCTTCTGCAGAAGGGTCCCTGCCAGCAAGCATCTGCCCACAGCCTCACCCCACCACTTTGCCAGCTTGCACTCACTTGCAGCCTCCCTCACTGATTTGCTGATGCACATGCATGTGGAGACCCAGCTACCTTGTCACTGTCTGTTGCTGCTGGCACATGCGCCCAAGAACCTCACTGCACTGCCACCCTGTTGCCACTGGCTCATGTGCACAAACATGCACCCTGCTGCCACTGCCCCAGTGAAGCATTTTTGCCAGAACCCCACATTAGAGTGTTGTTGCCAATGGACAGGGAGTACCTTGGTCCTTTCAGTGCTGCAGACACTTATTCTCAAGGGGCCAGAGAACAAAGACATGGGCCTGGTTCAAGCCCCCAGGGTTAGAGCATGCAATCTGGGAGTAATGAGCTGAATCTTGGCCCCCTGAAATTGTCCAGAAATGAAGCCAGTCAGCTGAGCCCAACTTATACCACAATCAGATCCTCAAGGGCTTCAAAGAGTATAAAAGCAAAAAGCCCCATCCAAATGAAATATCATCTCACCCCAGTTAAAATGTTTTCTACATCCCTGCCAGCATTTGTTATTGCTGGTCTTTTAGATAAAAGTTATTTTAACTGGGTTGAGATGATATCTCATTGTATAATATATGACAGCACCTTCAAACATTAAAGGGACATCAGCCCACACAGATGAGAAAGAACCAGTGCAAGAACTCTGGCAACTCAAAAAGCCAGAGTGTCTTCATACCTCCAAATGACTGCACTAGCTCTCCAGGAATGGTTCTTAACTGGATTGAAATGGCTGAAATGTCAGACATAGAATTTAGAATCTGGATGGCAATAAAGATCATCAAAATTCAAGAGAAAGTTGAAACCCAATCCACGGAATCAAAGGAATTAAATGAAGCAATACAAGAGCTGAAAGAAGAAATAACCATCTTAAGAAAGAACCCAACTAAGCTGATAGAGCTGAAAACCCCACTATAAGATTTTCATAATATAATCAGAAGTATTAACAGAAGAATGAAACAAGCTGAGGAAATAATCTCAGAGCTAGAAGTCTGGTTCTTCAGATTAACTAATCAGACAAAAAAAAAAAGAAAAAAGAATTAAAAAGAATAAATAAAATATCCAAGAAATATGGGATTATGTGAAGAGATCAAACCTACAACTCATTGGTGTCCCTGAAAGAGAAGGATTGAGATTGAGGGCAAGCAGCTTGGAAAACATATTTAAGGATATTGTCCATAAAAGTTTCCCCAACCTTGCTAGAGAGGTCAACGTTCAAATTCAGGAAATTCAGAGAACTTCTGTGACATACTGAACAAGATGACCATCCCCAAGACACATAGTCATCAACTTCTCCAAAATCAATGTGAAAGAAAAAATATTAAAGAAAGCTATAGAGAAGGGGCAGATCACCTACAAAGGTTACCCCATCAGACTAACAGCAGACTTTTCAATAATAGTGGAAGAATTAAACACCCGACTGACAATGTTAGACAGATCATTGAGGCAGAAAACTAACAAAGATATTCAGAATCTAACTTGACACTTAACTAAATAGATCTAACAGACATCTACAAAAAACTTGCCACCAAAAGCAGAATATACATTCTTCTTATCTGCACATGGCACATACTCTAAAACTGACCACATGCTTCGTAATAAAGCAATTCTTAAAAGAAAACCTAAATCGTAACAACTACACTTGGACCATAGTACAATAAAAATATAAATCAATACCAGGAAGATCTCTCAAAACCATATGATTATATGGAAATTAAACAATCTGCTCCTGAATGACATCTGGACAAATAATGAAATTAAGGCAGAACTTAATAAAGTCTTTGAAACTAATAAAAACAAAGATACAACATACCAGAATCTATGGGACACAACTAAAGCAGTGTTAAGTGGAAGACTTACAGTGTTAAACACCCACATCAGGAAGTTAGAAAGATCTCAAATTAACAACATCGCATCTAAAGGAACCAGAAAAATAAGCGCAAACCAATACCAAAGCTAGCTGAAGAAATGAAATAATTAAAATCAGAGCTATACTGAACAAAACTGAGACTTGAAACACCATACAAAGATTAACAAAACCAAAAGTTGGTTTTTTTGAAAGAATAAGATTGATAGACTGCTAGCTAGACTAATATAAAAAGAGAGAGAGAAGATTCAAATAAACACTATCAGAAATGATGAAAGGGACATTACTACCAACCCCACAGAAATATAACAAAAAAAACCCTCAGAGGCTATTACAAACACCTCTCTACACACAAAGTAGAAAACATAGAAGAAATGGATAAATTCCTAGAAACAAACAACCTCCCAAGATTGAACCAGGAAGAAATCAAAATTGAACAAATAGTGAGTTCTGAAATTGAATCAGTATTGAAAAACCTACCAATCAGAAAAATCTCTGGATGAGACAGATTCACAGCTCAATTCTACCAAACATATAAAGAAATTACCAGTCCTACAGAAACTAAGCCAAAAACTTGAGGAAGAGGGATGCCTCCCTAACTCATTCTATAAGGCCAGCATTATTCTGACACCAAAACGTGGAAGAGACACAATGAAAAAAAGAAAACTTCAAGCCAGTATCTTTCATGAACATGATGCAAAAATCCTCAACAAAATAATAGTGAACCAAATCCAGCAGCACATCAAAAGCTAATCCCATGTTCAAGTAGGCTTTATTCCTGGGATGCAAGGTTGGTTCAACACACACAAATCAATAAGTGTAATTCATCATATAAACAGAACTAAAAACAAAAACCATGATTATCTCGATAAAGGCAGAAAAGGCTTCCAATAAAATTCAACATCCCTTCATGTTAAAAAACCCTCAACAAACTAGGCATTGAAGGAACAGACCACAAAATAATAAGAGCCATCTATGACAAACCCACAGCCAACACCATAATAAATGGGCAAAAACTAGAAGCATTCCCCTTGAGAACTAAAACAAAACAAGGAAGTTCACTCTACCACTCCTATTCAGCATAGTACTGGAAGTTATACCTAGAGCAATCAGGCAAGAGAAAGATATAAAAAGCATTTAAATAGGAAGAAAGGAAGTCAGAAGGAAGAAAGGAAGTCAAACTATGTCTCTTCACAGATAGTGTGATTCTATACCTAGAAAACCCCATAGTCTCTGCCTAGAGGCTCCTAGGTCTGATAAACAACTTCAACAGTTTCAGATACAAAAATAAATAAATAAATAAATGTACAAAATCAGTAGCATTTCTATATACCAACAATGTCCAAGCTGAGAGACAAAGCAAGAATGCAATTCCATTCACAATAGCCACAGAAAGAATAAAATACATAGGAATACAGCTGATCAGGGTGGCAAAAGATCTCTACAACAAGAATTACAAAACATTGCTGAAAGAAATCAGAGATGACACAAACAAATGGAAAAACATTCCATGCTCGTGGATCGGAAGAATCAATATCACTCAAATGGCCATACTGCCCAAAGCAATGTATAGATTCAATGCTATTCCTCTCAAATTGCCAATGGCATTTTTCCACAGAATTAGAAAAAAACAACTATAAAATTCATATGAAATCAAAAGAGAGCCCAAATAACCAAAGCAATCCTAGGCACAAAGAACAAAGCTGAAAGCATAACACTACTTTCAGACTGTGCTACAAGGCCAAAGTATCAGTTTTGTATCAGTTTAGTACTGATACAAAAACAGTCACATAGACCAATTGAAAAGAATAGAGAACCCAGAAATAAAGCTGCACACCTACAACTATCTGATCTTTAACAAAATTGACAACTACAAGCAATGGAGAAAGGACTCTCTATTCAATAAATGCTACTGAGATAACTAGCCAGCCATATGCAGAAGACGATTGAAACTGGACTCCTTCCTTTCACCACATACAAAAATCAACTCAAAATGGATTAAAGACTTGAATGTAAAACCTAAAACTATAAAAATCCCAGGAGAAAACCTACAATACCATTCTTGACATTGGCCCTGGCAAAGATTTCATGGCAAAGACTCCAAAAGCAATTGCAAAAAGAAAAAATGACAAGTGAGGACCTAATTAAAAGTTTCTGGACAGCAAAATAAACTATCAACAGAGTAAGACAGACAACCTGCAGCGTAGAAGAAAGTATTTGCAAACCATGCATCTGACAAAGGTCTAATATTCAGAATCTATAAGGAACGGAAACAAATTAACCAGTAAAAAACAACCCCATTTTAAAAATGGGCAAAGGACATGAAGAGACATTTCTCAAAAGAATATGTACATGCAGCCAACAAGCATATGAATAAAATGCTTGACATCACTAATTATTAGGGAAATGCAAATCAAAACCACAATGAGACAGCATCTCATACCAGTCAGAATGGCTAATGTTACAAAGTCAAAATATAACAGATGCTGGCAAGGTTGCAGAGAAAATGCCATCCTTATACACTGCTGGTGGAAATGTAACTTAGTTCAGCCACCATGGAAAACAGTTTGGAGATTTCACAAAGAACTTAAAACAGAACTACCATTTGACTCAGCAATTCTATTACTGGATATATATCCAAAGGAATATAAATAATTCTGTCATAAAGACACATTCATATGTTCATTGCAGCACTATTCACAATAGCAAAGACATGAAATCAACCTAGATGCCCATCAATGAAGGACTGGATAAAGAAAATGTGGTACATATACACCATGGAATACCAAAAAAGAATGAAATCATGTCCTTTGCAGCACCATGGATGGAGCTAGAGGCCATTATCCTAAGCATATTAGCACAGGAACAGAAAACAAATACCACCTGTTCTCACTTATAAGTGGGAACTAAACATTGAGTATATATTGACACTAAGAAAGAAACAATAGACACTGGGCCTACTTAAAGGTGGAGGCTAGGAGGAAGGAGAGGATCAAAAAACTCCCTATCAGGTACTATGCTCATTACCTAGGTGATGAAATAATCTGTACCCTAAAGCCCCAGGACACAATTTATCCATGTAGTAAACCTGCATATGTACCCCTTGAACCTAAAAGTTGGAAGGAAAAAAAATGTGGTACATATATATGATGGAGTATTACTCAGCCATTAATAAGAATGAGATCCTTTTTTTTTGCAACAACATGGACTTCATTATGTTAAGTGAAATAAGCTAGGCACGGAAAGACAAATTTCACATATTTTCACTTACTTATGGGAGATAAAAATTAAAACAATAGAACTTACAGAGATAGAAACTAGAGTGATGGTTCTACGGGCTGGGAAGGGTAGAGGTGGGTTGGGGGAAGTGGGGATTATTAATTATTATACAAAGATATAATTAGAATGAATAATATCTAGTGTTGGATAGAACAATGGAGTGATTACAGTTAACAATAATTTATTTTACTTTTTTAAACAACTAAAAGTAGAATTGAATTGTTTGCAACACAAAGAAAGGATAAACGCTTGAGGTGATAGATATGCTGTTTACCCTGATGTGATTATTATACATTGTATGCCTGTATCGAGATATCTCATGTGCCCCATAAATACATGCACCTAGTATGTACCCACAAAAATGAAAAAAAATATTTAAGTCACCTTTAAATGGATTAAATACTTAAAATAAAAGTTGCAACCATGAAACTCCTAGAAGACACAGAGAAACAGCTTCATGACATTGGTCTGGCAATGACTTCTTGAATTTAACACAAAAGGCACAGGCAATAAAAGCAAAAGTAAACAAGTGAGACTACATCAACCTAAAAATCTCCACAATGAAGGAAACAACACAGTGAAAAGGCAATCTTCGAAATGGGAGAAATTATTTGCAAATCATATACAGGCATACCTCATTCTGTTGCACTTCACAGATAATTTCATTTTTACAAATTGAAGGTTTGTGGCAAACCTGCATCAAGCAAGTCTGTTGGTGCCATTTTCCCAACAGCATGTGCTCACATCACGTCTCTGTATCACAGTTTGGTATTTTCTGCAATATTTAAAACTTTTTCTTTATTATTATATCTGATATGGTGATCTGTTCTCAGTGAAATTGGATGTTACTATTGCAATTGTTTGAGGGCATTGTGAACCACACCACATATAAAAAGTCAAATTTTACCTGTAAACATTATGTGTGTTCTGAATGCTCTACCACCATCTGTTCCCCCATCTCTCTCCTTCTTATCAGGCTTCTCTATATCCTAAGACACCACAATATTGAAATTAGGTGAATTAATAACCCTACAATGGCTTGTAAGTGTTCAACTGAAAGGAAGAATCACATTTCTCTCCCTTTAAGTCAAAAGCTAGAAATAGTTAAACTTAGTGAGAAAAGCATGTCAAAAGCTGAGATAGGCTTAAAGTGAGGACTTTTGCACCAAGTTGTGAATGCAAATGAAAAGCTTTAAAGAAAATTAAAAATGCAACTCCAGTGAACACACAAATAATAAAAAAAAGTAAGACACCTTTATTGCTGACATGGAAAAAGTTTGAGTGATCTGGATAGGAGATCAACTCTGCCACATTCATTTATGCCAAAGCCTAATCCAGAGGAAGACCCTACCTCTCTTTAGTTCTCTGAAGGCTGAGAGAGGTGTGGAAGCTACAGAAGAAAAGTTCGAAGCTAGCATAGGTTGTTTTATGAGGTTTAAGGAAAGAAGCCATCTCTGTAACATAAAAGTACAAAGTGAAACAGCAAGTGCTGATGTAGAACCTGCAGCAGAAGATCTAGCTTAGATTACCGACAAAGGTGGCTACACTAAACAACAGATTTTCAATATAGACAGCCTTATATTAAAAGAAGATGTTATCTAGGACTTTCACAGGTAGAGAGGAGAAGCCAATGTCTGATTTCATAGCTTCAAAAGTCACTCTGACTCTCTTGTTAGGGGCTAATGCAACTGATGACTTGAAGCCTGTGCTCACTGACAATTCCAAAAATTCTAGGGCCTTGGAAAATTATGCTAATTATACCCTGCCTGTGCTCTGTGAATGGAACAACAAAGCTTGGATGACAGCACATCTGTTTACAGCACAGTTTACTGAATATTTTAAGCCCACTATTGAGATCTGCTGATCAGGAAAAAAAAAGATTTATTTTATAAGATTACTGCTCACTGACAATGTACTTGGTCACCCAAGTGCTCTGACGGAGAGGTACAGGAGATTAATGGTTTCATGCCTGCTAACACAACATTCTTTCTGCAGCCTGTGGATCAAGGAGTAATTTTGACTTTCAAGACTTATGACTTAAGAAATACATTTTGTAAGGCCATAGCTGCCATAGATTGTGATTTGTGTGATGATCTGGTCAAAGTAAACTGAAAACCTCAGAAAAGGAGCCAGCATTCTAGATGCCATTTAGGAACATTTATGATTCATGGGAGGGGTGAAAATATCAACACTAACAGGAGTTTAGAACTTAATGTAATCTCATGGATAACTGAGGCATTCAAGACTTCAGTGGAGGAGATTACTGCAAATGTGATAGAAACAGTAAGAGATCTAGAAAGAAATGGACCCTGAAAATATGACTAAATTGCTGCTATCTCATGATAGAACTTGGATGGATGAGCAGTTGCTTTCTATGAATGAGCAAGGAAAGTGGTTTCTTAAGATGAAAGCTCTCCTGATGAAGACGCTATGAACATCGTTGAAATGAACATCGTTGAAACGACAACAAAACAATTAGAATGTTAAATAAATTTAGTTGATGGAGCAGCAGCAGGATTTGAGAGGACTGACTCTGATTTTGAAAGAAGTTCTACTGTGAGTAAAATGCTATCACATGCAAACAGCATCACATGATGCAAAGAAATCTGTCATGAAAGGAAGAGTCAATTGATGTGGCAAACTTCATTGTTGTCTCATCTTAAGAAATTGCCACAGCCACCCAACCTTCAGCAACCACCACACTGATCAGCCAGCAGCCATCAAGATTGAGGTAAAACCCTCCACCAGCAAAAAACTCAGATAATTATTATGATTTTTTTCAGCAATACAGTATTTTTGAATTAAGATATGTACTTTTTGAAGACATAATGTTATTGCTCACTTAATATACTACAGTATAGTATAAACATAACTTTTATATGTACTGGGAAACCAAAAAACTTGTGTGACTCACTTTATTGCAATACTTCATTGCAGTGTTCAGTAACCAAACCTGCAATATCTTCAAGGTATGTTTGTATATAATAAGGGGTGTCTTAGTCTGTTTGGGCTACTGTAACAAAATATCTTAGACTGGGTAATTTATAAACAACAATTTTATTGCTCTTAGTTTTGGATGCTAGAAAGTCCTAGATCAAGATACCAGCAGATTCTGTGTCTGATGAGGGCTCTCTCTCTGCTTCAAAGATGGTGCCTTCTTGCTGCATCCTCACATGGCAGAAGAGGCAAATGAGCTCCCTCAGTTGGTCCTATAAAGGCACCAGTTCCAGTGATGAGAGCTATGCCCTCATGACCTAGTCACCTCCCAAAGGTTCTACCTCTTAATACAAACACATTGAGGATTAGATTTTAACATATGAATTTTAAAAGGACACAAAATTCAGACAATAGCAAGGGGTTAATATCTAAAGCATGTAATGAGCTCCTATAACTCAATAGCAAAAAATATATATAATTAAAATGGGCAAAGTACCTGAATAGACACTTCTCTAAAGATGACATACAAATGTTCAACAAGTATATGAAAAGATGCTCAACATCACGAATCATCAGAAAAATGCAAATCAAAATTACAATGAGGTAACATATCATACCTGCTAGGATGACCATTATTAAAAACAAAAAATACAAAAAAAAATACAGAAAATAACACGTGTCGGCAAGGATGTGGACAAATTGGAATGCTTTCACATGGTTAATGCAAATCTAAAATGGTGTAGCCATTATGGAAAACAGTATGGAGTTTCTTCTAAAAATGAAAAACAGAACCACCATGTAATTCAGGAATACCACTTCTGGATATTTTTCCAAGAGAACTGAAATCAGAATCTCAAAGAGATATCTGTCCTCTCATGTTTATTGGAACATTATTCACAGTAGCCAAGTGGTATAATCTATCCATGGATAAATGGATAAAGAAAATGTGGTATGTACATACAATAGAATATTATCAGCCATAAAAAAGGAGGAAATTCTGACATATGCTACAACCTGTATGAACTTTGAGGACATTACACTAGGTGAAATAAGCCCATCACAGAAGGATAAATACTTCATGATTCCACTTATATGAGATACCTAAAATAGTCAAATGCATAATAGCAGAAAGAAGAATGATGGTTTCTAGGGGCTGGGGGAAGGGGAAAAATGGGAAGTTCAATGAGTATAGAGTTTCAGTCATGCAAGATGAAAAAATTCTAGACATCTGCTATACCATATTGTACTTAACAATATTGTACCTTACATTTAAATATCACTTCACCACTTTGAGCTTCACAATACTTGCCATACATTGAGAATTTTGTGCCAGATTGGTCATTTTCAAGCTCAAGTCTGAAGCAGTTCTGAAAATGTTATATTAAATTTCATTATTAAAAGTGGATTTTTGAGACTGCTGGCAAGATGGCCAAATAGGAACAGCTCTGGTCTGCAGCTCCCAGAGAGACTGATGCACAAGGCAGGTGATTTCTGCATTTCCACTTGAGGTACCCGGTTCATCTCATTGGGACTGGTTAGACAGTGGGTGCAGCCTGTGGAGGACAAACCAAAGCAGATGGGGTGTCGCCTCACCCGGGAAGCACAAGGGGTCAGGGAATTCTCTCCCCTACCCAAGGGAAACCATGAAGGACTGTGCCTGAGGAATGGTGCACTCCAGCCCAGATAGTGCACTTTTCCCACAGTCTTCGCAACCCACACACCAGGAGATTCCCTCCAGTGCCTACACCACCAGGGCCCTGGGTTTCAAGCACAAAACTGGGCATCCATTTGGGCAGACACTGAGCTAGCTGCAGGAGTTATTTTTTTTTCCATACCCCAGTGGTGCCTGGAATGCCAGTGAGACAGAACCATTCACTCCCCTGGAAAGGGGGCTGAAGCCAGGGAGCCAAGTGGTATGGCTTGGTGGGTCCCACCCCAAGGAGGCCAGCAAGCTAAGATCCACAGGCTTGAAATTCTCGCTGCCAGCACAACAGTCAGGTTGACCTGGGACACTCGAGCTTGGTGGGAAGAGGGGCGTCTGCCATTGCTGAGGCTTGAGGAGGTGGTTTTACCCTCACAGTGTAAACAAAGCCATGGGGAAGTTCAAACTGGGCAGAGCCTACTGTAGCTCAGCAAGGCCACTGTGGCCAGACTGCCTCTCTAGATTACTCCTCTCTGGGCAGGGCATCTCTGAAAAAAGGGCAGCAGCCCCAGTCAGGGACTTATAAAAACCCTCATCTCCCTGGGACAGAGCACCTGGGGGAAGGGGTGGCTGTGGGTGCAGCTTCAGCAGACTTAAACATCCCTGCCTGAAGGCTATGAAGAGAGCAGTGGATCTCCCAGCACAGTGTTCGAGCTCTGCTAAGGGTCAGACTGCCTCCTCAGGTGGGTCCCTGACTGGGAGACACCTCCCAGTAGGGGCTGAGAGACATCTCATACAGGAGAGCCCTGGCTGGCATCTGGTGGATGCCCTTCTGGGACAAAGCTCCCAGAGGAAAGAACAGGCAGCAATCTTTGCTGTTCTGCAGCCTTCACTGGTGATACCTAGAAAAACAGGGTCTGGAGTGGACCTCCAGCAAACTCCAACAGACCTGAAGCAGACGGGCCTGTTAGAAGGAAAACTAACAAACAGAAAGGAATAGCACATCCACTCAGAGGCCCCATACGAAGGTCACCAATATCAAAGACCAAAGGTAGATAAATCCAAAAAGATGGGGAGAAACCAGTGCAAAAAGGCTGAAAATTCCAAAAACCAGAAAGCCTCTTCTCCTCCAAAGGATCACAACTCCTCACCAGCAAGGGAAAAAAAACTGGATGGAAAATGAGTTTGATGAATTGACAGAAGCAGGTTTTGGAAGGCGGGTAGTAACAAACCCCTTTGAGCTAAAGGAACATGTTCTAACCCAACGCAAGGAAGCTAAGAACCTCAAAAAAAAAGTTAGATGAATTGCAAACTAGAATAACCAGTTTAAAGAATGTAAATGACCTGATGGAGCTGAAAAACACAGCACGAGAACTTTGTAAAGCATACACAAGTATCAATAGCCAAATCAATCAAGAGGAAGAAAGGATATCAGAGATTGAAGATGAACTTAATGATATAAAGTGAGAAGATTAGAAAAAAAAAAAGAATGAAAAGGAACAAACAAACCCTTCAAGAAATATCAGACTATGTGAAAAGACAAAATCCACATTTGATTGGTGTACCTGACAGTGATGGGGATAATGAAACCAAGTTGGAAAACACTCTTCAGGATATTATCCAGGAGAACTTCCCCAACCTAGCAAGATGGGCCAACATTCAAATTTTAAAAATACAGAGAACACCACAAAGATACTACTCGAGAAGAGCAATCCCAAGACACATAATTGTCAGATCCACCAAGGTTGAAATGAAGGAAAAAATGTTAAGGGCAGCCAGAGAGAAAGGTCAGGTTACCCACAAAGGGAAGCCCATCAGACTAACATCAGGTCTCTCGGCTGAAACCCTACAAGCCAGAAGGGAGTGGGGGCCAATATTCAACATTCTTAAAAGAATTTTCAACACAGAATTTCATATCCAGCCAAACTAGGCTTCATAAGCAAAGGAGAAATAAAATCCTTTACAGACAAGCAAATGCTGAGAGATTTTGTCACCACCAGGCCTGCATTACAAGAGCTCCTGAAGGAAGCACTAAATATGGAAAGGAACAACCAGTAACGGCTACTGCAAAAACATGCCAAATTGTAAAGACCATCAATGCTATGAAGAAACAGCATCAGAAACGGAAAAAATAACCAGCTACCATCATAATGATAGGATCAAATTCACACATAACAATATTAACTTTAATTGTAAATGGGCTAAATGCCCCAATTAGAAGACACAGACTGGCAAATTGGAAAAAGAGTCAAGACCCATCGGTGTGCTGTATTCAGGAGACATATCTCATGTGCAAAGACACACATAGGTTCAAAATAAAGGGATGGAGGAATATTTACCAAGCAAATGGAAACCAAAAAAAAGCAAAAAGCAGGGGTTGTAATCCTAGTCTCTGAAAAAACAGATTTTAAACCAACAAAGATCAAAAGAGACAAAGAACGGCATTACATAATGGTAAAGGGATCAATGCAACAAGAAGAGCTAATATATATATATATATATATATATATATATATATATATATATATATAACAAGAAATAAATATAGTTATATATGTATAGTTATTTCTTGTTAACTATATATAGTTATTTCTTGTTTATATATATATATATATTAGCTCTTCTTGTTGCATATATATATATATATATATATATTCTTAGAGACCTGCAAAGAGACTTAGACTCCCACACAATAATAGTGAGAGACTTTAACACCCCACTGTCAACATTAGACAGATCAACGAGACAGAAAATTAACATGAATATTTAGGACTTGAACTGAGCTCTGGACCAAGCAGATCTAATAGACATCTACAGAACTCTCCACCCCAAATCAACAGCCTATACATTCTTCTCAGCGCCTCATTGCACTTATTCTAAACTTGACCACATAGATTGAAGTAAAACACTCCTCAGCAAATGCAATCAAATGGATATCATAACAAACAGTCTCTCAGACCACAGTGCAATCAAATTAGAACTCAGGATTAAGAAATTCACTCAAAACCACACAACTACAAGGAAACTGAACAATCTGCTCCTAAGTGACTACTGGGTAAATAACAAAATTAAGACAGAAATAAAGATGTTCTTTGAAACCAAAAAGAACAAAGATACAATGTACTAGAATCTCTGGGACATATTTAAAGCAGTGTGTAGAGGGAAATTTATAGCACTAAATGCCCACAAAAGAAAGCAGGAAATATCTAAAATTGACACACTAACATCACAATTAAAACAACTAGAGAAGCAAGAACAAACAAATTCAAAAGCCAGCAGAAGACAAGAAATAACTAAGATCAGAGCAGAACTGAAGGAGATAGAGACACAAAAACCCTACAAAAAAAATCAATGAATCCGGGAGCTGGTTTTTTGAAAAGATCAACAAAATAGATAGACCACTAGCAAGACTAATAAGAAAAGAGAGAAGAATCAAATAGACACACTGAAAAATGAAAAAGGGGATATCACCATTGATCACACAGAAATATAAACTACCATCAGAGAATACTATAAACACCTCTATGCAAATAAACTAAAAAATCTAGAAGAAATGGAAAATTCCTGAACACATACACCCTCCTAAGTCTAAACCAGGAAGAAGTCGAATCCCTGAATAAACCAATAACAAGTTCTGAAACTGAAGCAGTAATTAACACCCTACCAACCAAAAAAAGTCCAGGACCTGACGGATTCACAGCCGACTTCTACCAGAGGTACAAAGAGGAGCTGGTACTATTCCTTCTGAAACTATTCCAAACAATAGAAAAAGAGGGACTCTTCCCTAACTCATTTTATGAGGCCAGCATCATCCTCATACCAAAACCTGGCAGAGACACAACAAAAAAAGAAAATGTCAGGCCAATATCCCTGAGGAACATCGATGAAAAAATTCTCAATAAAATACTGGCAAACCAAATCCAGCAGCACATCAAAAAGCTTATCCACCATGATTACGTTGGCTTCATATCTGGGATGCAAGGCTGGTTCAATACACACAAATCAATAAATGTAATCCATCACATACAGAGAACCAATGACAAAAACCACATGATTATCTCAATAGATGCAGAAAAGGCCTTCGACAAAATTCAATGCTCCTTCATGCTAATAAACAGAGTATTCGAATAGGAAGAGAGGAAGTCAAATTGTCTCTGTTTGCAGATGACATGATTTTATATTTAGAAAACCCCACCATCTCAGCCCAACATCTCCTTAAGCTGATAAGCAAATTCAGCAAAGTCTCAGGACACAAAATCAATGTGCAAAAATCACAAGCACCCTTATGCATCAATAACAGACGAACAGAGAGCCAAATTATGAGTGAACTCCCATTCACAATTGTTACAAAGAGAATAAAATACCTAGGAATACAACTTACAAGGGATGTGAAGGACCTCTTCAAGGAGAACTACAAATCACTGCTCAAGGAAATAAGAGAGGACACAAACAAATGGAAAAACATCCCATGCTCAAGGATAGGAAGAATCAATATCATGAAAATGGCCATACTGCCCAAAGTAATTTCTAGAGTCAATGCTATCCCCATCAAGCTACCATTGACTTTCTTCACAGAATTAGAAAAAACTACTTTAAACTTCATATGGAAATGAAAAAGAGCCCACATAGCCAAGACAATCCTAAGCAAAAAGAACAAAGCTGGAGGTTTCATGATACCTGACTTCAAACAATACTACAAGGCTACAGTAACCAAAACACCATGATACTGGTACCAAAAGAGATATATAGACTACTAGAACAGAACAGAGGCCTCAGAAATAACACCATACATCTACAACCATCTGATCTTTGACAAACCTGACAAAAACAAGCAATGGGGAAAGGACTTCCTATTTAATAAATGGTGTTGGGATAACTGGCCAGCCATATGCAGAAAACTGAAACTGGACCCCTTCCATACACCTTATAGAAAAATTAACTCAAGATAGATTAAAGACTTAAATGTAAGACCTAAAATCATACAAATCCTAAAAGAAAACCTAGGCAATACCATTCAGGACATAGGCATGGGCAAAGACTTCATGTCTAAAACACCAAAATCAATGGCAACAAAAGCCAAAATTGACAAATGGGATCTAATTAAAGTAAAGAGCTTCTGCACAGCAGAAGAAACTATCATCAGAGTGAACAGGCAACCTACAGACTGGGAGAAATTTTTTGCAATCTATCTATCTGACAAAAGGGCTAATACCCAGAATCTACAAGGAACTTCAACAAATTCACAAGAGAAAAACAACCCCATCAAAAAGTGGGTGAAGGCTATGAAGAGACACTTTTCAGAAGAAGACATTTATGTAGTCAAGAAAAAAACATATGGAAAAAAGCTCATCATCACTGGTCATTAGAAAAATGCAAATCAAAACCTCAGTGAGATACCATCTCACACCAATTAGAAGCTATTTATAAACTAGTGTAAAACACAGATTCCAATGTATCGTGTATCAAATTGCAATCATTAAAAACTCAGGAAACAACAGATGCTGGAGAGGATGTGGAGAAATAGAAACGCTTTTACACTGTTGGTGGGAGTGTAAATTAGTTCAACCATTGTGGAAGACAGTGTGGCGATTCCTCAAGGATCTGGAACAAGAAATACCGTTTGACCCAGCAATCCCATTACTGGGTATATACCCAAAGGATTATAAATCATTCTACTATAGACACATGCACACGTATGTTTATTGCAGTACTATTCACAATAGCAAAGACTTGGAACTAACTCAAATGTCTATCAATGATGGACTGGATAAGGAAAATGTGGCACATACAAACCATGGAATACTATGCAGCCAATGGAAAGGATGAGTTCACATCCTTTGCAGGGACATGGATGAAGCTGGAAACTATCATTCTCAGCAAACTAACACAAGAACAGAAAACCAAACAGCACATGTTCTCACTCATAATTGGGAGCTGAACAATGAGAACATATGGACACAGAGAGGGGAGCATCACCGGGGACACAGAGAGGGGAACAATGAGAACATATGGACACCGGGGCCTGTCAAGAGGTGAGGGTCTAGGGGAGGGATAGCATTAGGAGAAATACCTAATGTAGGTGACAGGTTGATAGGTGCAGAAAATCACTAAGACACGTGTATACCTATGTAAAAAAACTGCACGTTCTGCTCATGTACCCCAGAACTTAAAGTATAATAAAAAATAAATAAATAAAAGTGGATTTTAAGCTATTTATAAACCAGGGTAAAACACAGATTCCAATGTATCATGTATCAAATACTAGCATCTTAGGTAACTTCAATGCTTTAACTTGAGTTAAAATAAGATTTTAAAATAAGAAAATAATATTACTTTGAATAACAGGAGTTGCTTTCACATTTTATTGAGGCATACTAGAAGACCTTCTGTAGGTTTGGCTTTGATGGATTTTCTTCTGTTTCCTTAAAAAAGCCAAATTCATCATCTTTTCTATTTCCCACTCCTCTATGTTGTCCCTTCATCTGAACTTCCTAAGACAATTAATAGTATTACCAAATACCTGGGTGTTCAAGGCAAAAAAAGTTGCATATTATCTCAGACCATTGGTTTTCAAAATGCAGTGTGGAACAGCAACATAAATTTTTATTACCGAGAACTTGACAGAAATGCACATTCTAGGGTCCAATCAAGACCTGCTAAGTCAAAAACTCTGGAGGCAGGGAATAGCAATATGCCTTAACAAATCCTCCAAGTGATTGTGATGTTGGTCAAGTTTGAAAACCACTGTTTCAATATCAATCATCCCTTTATTCCAATTCGATCTATAGTCAGTCAATCAGTCATACTTCTGTTCTTTTGCTCATGACTTCTCCTCTCCGTAACTGTAGTACACCCTCCCTTTGAGAGCATGCACATCCCAACCCCTTTTCTGCTCAGCTTCTGTCTTAGCTCAATTAAAAGGCAATTAAAAGATCATCATAATCTCTCCCCACGTTACCTCAAGTACATTAAAAGTGCATGTACATTTCACTTTAATTTTTCTATTAAAATTTTAATAAATTTTTAAAAGATTGTTATGCTTTTTCTTTTGACAATATTTGGCTACAAATATTGTTTAATGGTTTTAATAATTGGCTGTGATTTTTTAGAACTCATCACACATAACCAGGAATTCCTGAGAAGTGAAGGTGTCTAACCTAAAATTCATGAATACTCAGTTTTAAAAATAGAGAAGTTAACATTATATTTTCTATAGACATTTAATTTGAAATTTGGTAATCTTAATTTTCTGTTGTTGTGTTGCATTTTAGAATACACACCCATATTTATAGGCCCATGAAAAATTCCTATGCCCAAATAACTATGTCTGTATTGCTTAACAGACAAAATGATCCTGCTCTGGTTTGTTCCCTGCACAAAGATGTTCTGGGAACAATGGGTACAGGACCATCCACTGTGATGCTGACAGAAGGCAGCTTGGAGAGAACACTCGCGAAAATATCTGTTTATATATACAGTATGTCTTCCCCACCAGACCCTCCACTCCTTTCAAGAAAGGACCCTGTTATCTACACCAGACCCTCTGAGTATATGCAGTGTGTAATGCTTATGGGTGCACAGAAAATGTGTGTTAAACCACCAAATTGAAATAACAATTTCACCAGCTAGAGAAATGGACTTAGAAATGTTTACTTAGATGTATTACATATAAGTTAATGATGCTATGTTTAACTTAGTTTTACTTTCTATTTTGTTTAATATAGCTTTGCTTCCTACTCAATAGTAACTACCTAGTTATTAAATCTGTCTAATTATTAAGGCAGATTTTTGTCCAGCAGATGTCAGTATAGCTCAGTTTAATAATTTCAATAGTTAATAAAGTTGAAAAACTAATGGAGATGATAGGAGAGAAAAATATTTGCACCCAGAATGGCATTTCTTTGTTGACATTTGAGGAAATTGTGTCTGAATAAAAAAATCCACATAACCATTCAAGCATATTGGAAACGCTGGAAGTACTGATTTCATAGCAAACATGGTGTTAATGCAAAATTTCTTCCACTTTAAAGTTCAAAGTGGTTTAAACTAGATGTCAGGTTATTGTTAGCTATAACCAAAATCAAAGGATGAGAGACAGTGCAAGGCTGTGTGTATATATATATATGAATGTGCAAATGTGAGTTCTGTTGCTGATTAAGACTGTTTTCTGAAAATAACTTTATTTCACTTTGCCAATTATTTACATCTCTTCTTTCTCTAAAGTAATATTAACCACCCCTCTATACCTTTTAAAATACAAAAGCTTTTCCATGGCTTTGAATTTAAAAGGAGAGAGAGCAAAGTAAAAGGAAGCCCAGTTTTTTTTAATTGAAGGAAAATTCACATAAAATCCACCAAGCCCAAAGTGTTTTGAAAGAGACTCAAGCCATCACACTGGCAAAGTATTATAATTAACATTATCTATTATGATTAGGCTTTTCCTAGCTCTGAATAATATCTAATTTTCTTATACCTAATAAAAATTAGATATTTCCAGTAAGCTTTAAAAGGCATGTTTTTATGTAGAAGTTGTCCTGAAATCAGGCCTTGTAACTTTTGGCCTCTGAATCTCTCTCCAGGCTCATATCTCCCTTCAGCCACCACTGTTCTCCTCTCTGCAGTCCAAACACACTTTCATTTCAGTTTCTTGATGACAGACACGTGAATTCCCACCAAAGGACCTTGGTAGTTGTTGCATAGAGGCCTCTCAGGGCCGCTGCAGAGACGGGATGTAGGTATGCATAGAAGGTGGACCAAGAGTCTTTCAAGGCTTCCCACCACAGTCTAACTAGGGGAGATCAATTTTAATCAAGTGGCTATAGTGGTAGCTATTCCCACCTGTATTCTTATTCCAGCCAAAAGTAAATAAAATGGCTCTTTTGATGCTCAATCTTCCCCAGCACACATGAACAATCTGAGACTCAGAGCTCTGTCAAATCTTTTTCATATTCTCCTTCACTTTTTCCCACCCACAGTCCCATCAAGCCTCAGATTGCCCTAAGAATCCCTGATGTACCATTCATGATGGATAGCCACTTATATAAAAATCACCTTCCTCTGCAGCAGCCCATTTACTGTACTTTTAAATTACCATATCTTAATTGGGAGAAAGGAAGTTTAGATTCTCAGCAATATTAGAGGATAAAAAAAGATAAGAAGCAACTGACTTTTATTAATAACTTTGTTGGAAAGCAGCAAGGCAACATCTGGAATACTTATTACCCACTTGGCATGCTGTTCATCTCCCTGGGTAAGATTCAACATGACAAGCCCTGTCAAAAGGAAATAAGCTCCATCTAGCTAAATTAGAATGATTAGGGTCATTTAGACAGAGGAAGTTTAATTTGTATGAATCTAGAAATTTTATACAAACTGGAATACCTAAGTATTTAATCTCCCCTGAAGTTCAATTTAAAATTGAAAGAGACTATTGCACAGATCCATAATGAGATGAGACATATTAGAAATTAATTTAACTATTACCGTACTGCGAGCATGTGGCCCAAGAAATCAAAGACTATTTCACTTGCAGTTTGTACATAATAGGAGAAAATGTTCTGCTATAATTCATTAATCATTGTTTTATTTTATGAACTCCTTAAATGGACACTTGAGTATCCAAAGTAAACTTGATATTTTTTCTATTGCTTTTTAAAAATTCTCCTACAAAACTATGTTATGCAGTGAACGTCAACAGAGTTCAATCCTAACCTTACCTTCTACAGTGGAGGTTCTTCACCTTTCTGGTGTCATGGACCACTTCAAGATCCCCTTAAAAGATATGGATCCACTCTCAGAATAATGTTTTAAATATATAAAATAGCACACATAGGATTCTGTGTTAAATATGTAAACAACACTTATAGAGAAAGCAACTGATTTTGAAATACAGATATCAAAATATTTCAAAATGTGTGATATAATAGTGTATGTGCTCCTTTATTAGCACATCTAATAACTATTGTAATTTTGAAATAATTGTAAGCAGAAATAACTGCTATAATACAGTATAAAAATATAGATGATTTCTATCAATGACAAAAAGTTATCAGGTACCCCCAATACAATTGTATTTGTTGCCTATATCAGTAATTAATTGAAGGAAATACTTCAGTTATAACTTGGTGAAAATTAATATGTGATTGTTTTCCATCCATGTTCATAGGCCACCAAATCTTTTCAATGACCATCAAGAGTTGGTTAAGAACCCTGGTTCTAGATTTCAGTTGATGGGTATGATGTAATTAAGAAGACTAAGGATGGTCACTATAATAGCTGACATCTGTTGACAGTAAATAATACTGTCTACAGACTACAAATGGGGATTGGCAATTCTTCAGGTAGACCAATTAACAGCCCACACAGAAAAGAAGACTTAATTACCAGTCTGGATCACAGCAGAACTGCCAAATCTGTTTCACTTGATGCCATGTTGCCAGACCACTAGGCCATCCTAAACTTGTGTGAGAATCCTGATTCAAATTACCTGGTTTCAATAAGTGATCAGAGTTCCTAAATCTTTTAGCTAATTCCATATCTTAAGATAATCTCTTATTTAAAATAAACTTTCACCTGTAATATAACAGTAATAGATCTTGAAGTGTTCTTGGAAACTCTTTATTACCTCCTTTAGTGTAAAGATCATAATACCTTCCTTGAAAATGTTGTGTTTCTCTCAACATTTATTCAGTGCCTATTCTAGACTGGGTGCTGTGAGGACTGAGAGCTGGAGAACCAAGACTAAAGAAGAACTTGGAACTGTCCTGCTTCTAGAGAACTCAAGAACTACTGGGTGAATGAGTAAATTACTAAATCCAACACCAAGTTGTAATTTTCATAGTAAGCTATGTATCAAGTACTATTGGGCCCCAGAGGAATAACAAGCCTTCTCAAGTTGGAAGAATAGGAAAGAGGGGAGCCAGAATAGTAATCTGCAAAATGTAGAAAAACGTAGGAGACAAAGATGAACAGGCAGAACTGTTGGGAAATTACTATATGCAGAGGTCATGCAAGACATGAAAAAGAACAGCATGTTTGAGAAAAAAAGTAGAGAGATGGGAGGTACAAAGACCTAGTTGTTAAAAGGTCTTAAGTTTCTCGTTAAGCTGTTTGGACATTATCTTGTTGGTCAGTAGTTACCTGAAGCAGCATCATCAGCATCACGTGGAAACTTGCAGGAAGTACACATTCTCAGACTACATCCCAGACCTACTAGCATGGAAATCTGGCAGTGGACCCTAGCAAGCTATATTTTAATAGCCCTCCAGATGATTCTCTTACACAAAAAGTTTGAGAACCACCACTATTAATATGAGAGAACTATATCGCCAATGATAGGCTCAGAAAAACCATCAAAATGTAGAAAAACCATCCTCTTCTAGCTTTAGGAGTAAGCAATGAGGTTGGATCTGCAAATGGAATGATTATTTATGCATCCATGTGGAAGATGAGTTGAAGGAAAGAGAGAATGAAATCAGGAAGACCATCAGGAGGCTGTGACATGGGCCAGGGAAGGACCAAAACCAGTGAAGTGGCAGTGAAGATGAGCAGAGGGGACAGACTTGTGAGAGGATTCACAGATGCAGCCAGTTAGACATGGGAAATAAGGGAAGAGAAATGTCAGAAATAACTTCTTTCTTGAGCAATGTCCTTGAAAAGCTTGCTTGAATGTCCTGGAGGCTTATGCCTGGCCTTTGATAATGTGGCCAGAACTCATATTCAAGGTTCCTTTACAATTTCAGTTTAGAAAAAGTATACACAGACCCGCTCCTAGTGAATGATAATGCATATATTTATTAGTTTCAGGAAATAAACCATTGAAGGCCCAGAACTTTAGGAAAAAAGAGAAGAACACACCAATCACGAAGACCTAATATCAGGCTTCCTGGAAAACTGATTGATTCCAGAGCTGGGGAAGGGAAAATATAAGATGAGCTTAGAACACTTTTGGTGCCACAAAGTAAAGAAATGCTCAAAAAAAGGATGAAGGCATGTTGAAATGATAACAGGAGCCAGCCTAAAGTAGCTTTGAAAGACCGAAGTTGAAACAATTTAGCAAGAAAATAAGTAATGATATTGGATTATGAGCTAGGAGTACAACATCATTTCTGTAGTATTTGTGCCAAAAATGCATAGCCTCGATCTATTCATAAGAAAACATAAGACAACAGAAATTGATAAATATTCTACAAAATACTTAAGCAGGATTTTTTTTTTTTTTTTTTTTTAAGACAGCGTGCAATGGCGCCATCTCGGCTCATTGCTAGGTTGGGACTGAGGTTAGAGGAACATTCCTTCATTCCTTCAGGGCTGGAGAATCTCCTCCAGGCAGGTATGTGTTCAGAACACTCGAGGCCTGAAGACTTTTGCATTGACTGCAGTGTGTCACCATTTCACAGCAACTCCAGGCTGAAACCAAATCCACTATTAGTTCATCCTCCACCAATCTGGAGGCAAGTAGCTGGGATTACAGGTGCCCGCCACCACACCCAGCTAATTTTTGTATTTTTAGTAGAGACGGGGTTTTGCCATGTTGGCTGGGCTGGTCTCGAACTCTTGATCTCAGGTGATCTGCCTGCCTCAGCCTACCAAAGTGCTGGGATTACAGGTGTGAGCCACTGTGCCCAGCCTGCAGGACTCTTTAAAAGTGTCATGGTCGGCTGGGCGTGGTGGCTCATGCCTGTAATCCCAGGTGGGCTGATCATGAGGTCAGTATATCGAGATCATCCTGGCTAACACGATGAAACCCTGTCTCTACTAAAAATACAAAAAAAAATCCGGGCGTGGTGGCACATGCCAGTAGTCCCAGCTACTCGGGAGGCTGAGACAGGGGAATCGCTTGAACCCGGGAGGCGGAGATTGCAGTGAGCCGAGACTGCACCACTGCAGTGGATGACAGAGCGAGACTCTGTCTCAAAGAAAATAAAAGTGTCAAGGTCATGAAAGTTGAGGGGAGATTGAGGGACTTACAAATAGGAAGAGACTGAGGAGACATGACTACTGAATGCAGTGTGGGATCCTGATTTGGATCCTGAAACAGAAATGGATTCATGGTGAAAATTTGGTTAAAAACCTGGTAAGATTTGAATAAAGTCTGTAATTTAGTTAATGGTATTCTAAGAATGCTTATTTCCTGGTATCAACAAATGTACATTGTAAGGTGTTAACATAAGGGGAAGGTGAGTGAAGTATGGGCACTTTACGTAACATTTTTGCAACTTTTCTGTAGGTCTAAGTTTAATTCACAATAAAATTTTAAATAAAAAAAGTGTTTCCATTTGAATCCTTTTGCTAGTAGAACTGTTTCACGTGGATAAACAATACCAAGTAGCTATTTTCTTGTAGGTCTAATGGCTGTAAGTCACTGTAATTTACTTGGGTATGCAAACCATGTCTTATATGTCTTGAATCCCTAAAGAATTTAGTCAGAGGCAGATTTATGTGAAGCTTCATAAACCTTAACTTTCAGGGCTGTTCACTTGCACAGGCCCCACTTAGTGTGGCACATTGCTGGAAGCTACAGAATATTCTGTCTAGGTAAGGAGGGGAAGCCAGGTTTCAATCAAAAGCATTTCTATGTAAACAATTCAGATAAATTACTTAAAGGGAGCTCAGAAAAAAAAGAGACTTGAATCTCTAAGACTCTGGTAACTTGCTGTGATTTCTTTTCTCATTCTAGAAATATTCACTCTTAAATATTCACTTCATACCTAATTTTTTATATAGATAGATAGATATAGGTATAGTAAAGAGGGCCCTCTGAATCAAGAGATTCTGGCCCAACAAACCTGGATAAGCTTCTAAGCTTCTGTACCTAGCATAGGTGTTCCATAAACATTTCAATTAAGTTACTTGAAAAATCATCTACACATCTGTAAAATGGAGTTCATAATATTGGCCAGTCACTAAACAGCAGAATTGGAAGTGCTAATTTTGGGAATTTTTTATAATAATTATCTATACATCATTTTCAACTTTTAAAGGTATTTTTACACTTATACTCATAGCATGTTAGTATTTTCAAGATCCTTAGAGATCTTCCAGACGTTTTCTGTGTGCAAATGAATGAATAGTCAGTCCCAGAGAGGTTGAGTAATTCATAATTCAAGGACACACAACTAGTGGTGAGATTGATTGAGGACTGGGGCACAGGCATATTGATTTTGAAGACGGTTAGAGAAGGGTTATCAGAATTTCTATATGTTGCCTGAACACAAAGACTTCAAAGTTTTTCTCCTACTGATAATTCCTATCCCAGACCGCAGAACAGCATAAGATAGCTTTGTCCCTCTTGGCACCCTCCACAGCAACATAGTGCAATTTTAAGAGACAATTATTCCATATTAAACTAGCCTTGTGTGCATTAACCAATTTCTAGGCAGAATTCTTAAGTCCAAGCAACTATGCTTCTGCATTAAAAAAATAAAGCATAATAATATAGAATAGGAGTTGGAGTTGGGTTGGGACTGAGGTTAGAGGAACATTCCTTCAGGGCTGGGGAATCTCCTCCAGGCAGGTATGTGTTCAGAACACTTGATGCCTAAAGACTTTTGCAGTGACTGCAGTCTGTCACCGTTTTGTAGCGACTCCAGGCTGAAACCAAATCCACTATTAGGTCATCCCCCATCATTCTGGAGGCAAGCCTAGAAATAGTTCCACTGCTGCCTTAATAGCATTTGGGATAGGAGCAAATGTTCTACATGGTGGCGCCTGTTGGAGCTAATCAGATAAATTAAGGAGTTGAGCATGTTTCCACCATTTGGTTTAGTTTTATTTTAGTCTCCAAGTCCCTTTGCTCCTTTTTAAGGCCTGGCACTTTCTCAATGGTGAAGGCTACACTGCCTTATCACTGAGAGAAGCTTCCTCAAGTAGAAGCACCACATGCCATATTCGTCCTAAGGGACACTGAGTGTCCAGCAAACCAACAGTGCAGCTGTTCTGTAACATTACAGAGGCCACCTCTTCGTCTCAGCATGCTTAAAATCATCTCCCTTCAGAAATAAATTAATGAAGTCTGCCAGAGAGAGTACACTAGTTTATTTGTTAGAGTGGAAAAGATCTTTTTTAAGATCAGGGTGTAAAGCTTGGATAAATAGGCTTTGGTTTTGTTTCCAGAAACAAAATAAGGTGTAGAGTTAAATAATGAGACCTAATTTTATCTTTGAAGAGAGTGACTACTCAAATCACAAATTTTCTGCCATTGCAGTTCTATTCAGTTAAGGCATATTATCTTGCTGGTATTCTACTGTTTTTACCTATAAAAACTTCAATTTTATATGGTTCAAACAAATATTTATTTATATTTCCAGATAATCGATTCAGCTCTCTTTTTTTAACTTCCCTGTGAATCTATCCCTTGACATTCCTAGTGGCAGGTGAAATCCCATGACCACAGTAACTGCAAATGACATCATCATGGGGTTACTAGGAAGCCTCTCTTATAGTTGATTTGCTGCTGACATGAAACAGTTTTCTTCACAAGTTCATGTATTGCCCTCAAAAATATAACAAATAAAATATAGGCAGATGAATTAGCAGAAACAGAAAAAGAGG
Source organism: Homo sapiens (assembly GCF_000001405.40). Classification (NCBI taxonomy): domain Eukaryota; kingdom Metazoa; phylum Chordata; class Mammalia; order Primates; family Hominidae; genus Homo; species Homo sapiens. The sequence goes on along the minus strand of NC_000002.12, from coordinate 210,391,876 downwards.
ACAAGCACCATTGTAACGAGGTTTGTCAGCCACCTTTTGCTATCTGCTTAACTAGCTGTAAACCACGCACTAGAGCTATTGCCTGGAGAAAATTTATGCCAATCAAATTATTTTGCCAATTATTTATCTGTCAAAAACTCTTTAGATCATGGGGAAGTTGAAATTTTCACCTGGAGAAAGGAATAAACTATTCAGAACTGATGCGCAATGCCTGGTTACTAGCAACATAAAAAAGCTCAATATAACTATGTAGCCATACAAGTTAGCACAGAATTAATGAATACAAGTTTGTCCCTCACCAATGAGCTAACTTTGGAAATATCTCCATATAGTCTCTATTTTAGCCTATTAAATAGAATCACTTTTCCACACCTACTTGTAATTCCTCATGTGACTACAGCCTTTTAAGCTGTGTTTCCACACAAATATCCTGTACCAGTCCAAGCTCTTACAAGGAGTGCTTGCAACGGGTGCTGGCTTTGTCTTATTAGCATTGCATTCATGTGTCAGGCATTGCACTTAGTAGGCAGTCAGTAAATATTTATTGAATTAATTAATGCTAAAAAAAGCATTGTTTTTTACAAAGTGCTTACAAAATTAGTGACCTGTTTTTATTAACTCCTGTGCTTACTCATTAAAGAATGTTGTAAACATTTTTGTCTTTTTACAGGAATTTACAACTGAGGAAACTGTATTTGTGTGATTGAGTGGTTTATTTTAGCTCATACAATGTACCAAAAGTTGATCTGTTGTCTTTGTTCCCATTCAGGACTCTACCCATCTTCCATAAACACTAACACTTCTTGATAGAATGACCATATAATTTATCTTCCAAACAAAAAAAAACTTGACAGTGAAAGGGGAAGACTAACTAAGCATGACCAAGAGGCACAAATCAGGATATTCCCAGGATAGGTGGTCACCCAACTTCTTGATACCCTACTACGTGCCTGCCATTAGGCTAAGTCGTGAGGAAAAAAGAGCGAATATGTCTGCCTTTATAGTTGACAGGATGGTAGAGTCCTGGGTGAAAGGCACCAGCACAAAGTCAATTCCCATTTTCACTTCATTCACCTCCAAAAGTCCCATTTCCTCTACCAGATGTTTTCATTCTAGATAGGAAGGCTGAAAAACACTGTGCTTTCTGATCATGCTTAATTCCCACCTGGTGAAGTCTTTATTAATCTTTGAAATCTTTGACCCAATCTATTCAAAGATATTAACTGCTGATAAAAGGAAACACGAATTAGAAAGTAAACTTCTAAAACAAATCCATTTATTCAGTAATTTAAAAAGTAAAAAGATAGATTCTAAGACAAAAATAAAGTCATTTTTCTAATTTACCTTTTTATTAAGGTGTCACTGACACAGTGTGCACAGTGAATTTTTACTGCCTCCTAGAGCAAGATGTAGAACAGTCTTGATACCTCAGAAGGCCTCACTGTGACTGCTTGGGAAGCCGTTGTGAATGATTTCCAGATAAAGTTGCTATTCAAAACTTACTGTCATGTTTTACATTTGGGCTCAGGCCCTTTGAATCCATAGGCTCCTGCAAAGCCTGTAGCAGCAGGGACTGGTAGTGTCTTGCCATGACTCCAAAGAAGATAGGTAAGAAATCGAATGGGAAAGGAGCTAAAACTGCAAGACAGGAGGATAAACAAGGAGAATAGGCACTGCCCAGCTCCTTTTCTCCTCATTTTCCCCAGAAAAGATAAGCAGCTAGCCATGTGCATGTTTAACATCCTGCTCTCAATAAAATGAACAAATAAAAAGTTCAATTGCGCACTAGCAGGGAGGCAGGAAGCCAGGCACTGTGCTAGAGACTCCCTGTACCTTGTTGAACACTCACAACCACCCTATAAAGTGGAGACCAGCGTCATTGTTTGTTTTACACTTGAGTAATCTGGGGACCCAGAGATGTCAAGCAATTTACTCAAAATCATACCATTTGTAAGTATTGGAACCTGGATTCGAACCTTGTCTGCCTTTATACCACTTTTCTGCTAGAAATGCATTTGCTGTTATAATGCAAACTTATCATCTACAAAGAAAGAGATGGACTTAGTTGTTCTGGAGGTGCTTTCTAGCTTTAAAACTAGGACTTCATGAAAATAATTTTTAACTCATGGGTAAATTATACGAGAAATTTCTTAAATATGGTTTCCCTTCACATTCTTTTGAATATAACTCACAAGAAGACAAAATACAAGAATGTTTAAATATACAAAGCAACATATTATTTAAGCTTTCTAAATCAGACTCATTCTTTCCCAAGGATGTAAAATCTCCTGAGTGATTACAAACTGACATTTGATCATTGATTTTGCTGCCAGTTGGTTCACAGGTATTATACTTGTTCTTGTCAAAGATTGCTTCTACTTTTGCCCTTTTCTAGTGTTCAGGTTTATCATTTCCCCTTCCTAAAGACAAAGAGATTCCAAAATCTCCTGAGATTTCTGGAATTCACTCTGGAGAATTCTCAACTTTATAAAGGGATCAAAACAAATCTGCCATGGAGCACCTACCTGAGGAGCTCAGAGAACTCTCCAAGGATTCTTTGGGCAGATGGGCTTTTGCAGATCTTGTACGCTAAGATAGGGTGGAGAAAGGAAAGAGCTGGAGAATGGGGTGTGAATTCTCTGTCACTTTTTAAAGTAACAAGTTCCTCTAGAGAGCAACTTGGTTCCTCTAGAGAGCAACTCATTACCTTCAGAAAGACTTTCCTAAATTGTGACTTATTCTATCAATATGCTTCTCAGTATTGCAAAGTGATTTAAACCAATTTGACCTTCACAATTGTCTGGTCATTTTGGTAAATATCAGTAGCCTTTACCAATAAAAGAGAAGTTAAGAACCGTATCTCCTTGTAACCTGGCTATCAGGTTAGCACATTATCTAAGAAAGCAAATCTCAGACTAGAGTCTGTCACTCATACAAATATCAAGGGTCCAGCAATCACAAAAGCAGGCATGCAGCCTGTTCTGGGAGCTTTGTGAAGTCCATCTCACTGTCCTTTGGGCACTCGGACAACCACCTTAGGAAAAAAAAAAAGTGTCCTGAGGCAGATGTAATGGTGCTGTCACAGCAGGATCAACTTTCTGGTCAGGAAAGGCAATGGAATTTCCTGTAAAGTTGTGGAGACCATGAACAAATGGTCCTAGAAATAGAGCACCTTTCAAAGGGTGTTAGGTTATTGGTTTCTTAATATTTTTAAATTTCTTTCTAGAAGTACCCGTTCTCTATTTCTAGCCAGTCTACATGTCTTTAACATCACTCAAGTTATCATTGAAAGAATATCTCTAACTTCCCTCATGCAAGCTAATGAATTCTAGTGTAAGTTCAGAGAGCAACATTTAAAGTACTTACTGCCTCTGGGGTATCAGTTCCTGAATAGGGATTTTCAAATGCTAAAGAACCATTGAGGTAATGAGTATTTCTGCTCCTAGGATATATATTAAAATAACTTATGCATATATATCATACTCTGTATGTATTTAAAGAATGTAAGAATTTTAAATTACAAGCAATGTAGTACTTGATGTGTGTTTTGCATTATGTGGCTTGGACTATTGAGAGAGTGGTAGAAGTAAGTCTCCAAACTCTCTCCTCCTCCACCCCCATTCCCAGGAACAGAAGCTAAGATATAAGCCCTGGGAAAAATAAACTCATCAGGGACATATATATGAACCTATGTATTTTTCTAGGTCATAAATATTTAGTGGAAAGGCCCTAGGGCAAACACTTTCTTGTAGAACTCTGTTCCTCTGCAATCTCCCTTACATAGTGTTTTTTCTGTTGCCCTTCTCTTTCTCCCTTGCAGCTAGGCAGTATGGTAACTGAGGCCTGAGGCTTGGAAGTATCTCTCATCTTTTTTTTTTTTTTGAGACGGAGTTTCGCTCTTGTTGCCCAGGCTGGAGTGCAATGGTGCGATCTCAGCTCACTGCAACCTCTGCCTCCCAGGTTCAAGCAATTCTCCTGCCTCAGCCTCCTAAGTAGCTGGGATTACAGGCATGCACCACCACGCCCAGTTAATTTTGTATTTTTAGTAGAGACGGGGTTTCTCCATGCTGAGGCTGGTCTCGAACTCCTGACTATCTCTCATCTTTTAGATGTCAAACAAGACCTGATACAACCAGAAAAAGGGAAACGGGGGTTCGGGCCAGTTCTGTTTGGAAAATTAAGGGATCTTGATCTCTCTGTCTTTCTCACACTTACCTCCTTCTCTAGTAATTAAGTGAACTCCAAAGCCTCACAAGGACCTTGGCAAAAGGGAAATAGAAATAGGCCTTTTTCACTACTTCACATCCAGACATTAAGATAAAAGAGTAGAAAGAGTTATCAAGACTCACAGTGATCTGACAAAGTAAGATGAGAAACCAGGAGGGATTTAGGGTCCAGTCTCCACAAAGTCATAAGGTATGCAAATACCTAGAGCATCCTCAGGATTCTAGCAAGTGCAGCCCTACAGTGGCTGTCCAGATCCCACTTTGCACCTATGGCATAATGCCACATACACCTTGGGCACTCACCCCTGTCAATGATGAATAGTTCTTGCCATTTAAAGTCTGTCTGAGCAAGAGTTATGACAAAGAAGAGAGAAAAAAAAATGAACCAATGGATGTGCCAATAAAACTTAAACTTGTCATGGCAAGTATAAAATGTTAAACATTCTGTAATCATATCACAACTGCATTTGTTAAAACGCCAGCTCCCAGAATACATGTCACTGAGTGAGATCAGGCAGCTAGTAGCCTCCAAACTAAAGTGTATTTAAAAGATAAAACACATTATTATTGAGCCATCTAGATTTCTAGCAGAAAAGTATTCTCAATTCCAGATGTCATATTGTTATGAACATTCCTCAACCTTGTTTTCCTGGACTGTTCCCTTTATTCATTTCAATCTGAGCTGCTTAGGAGAAAAAATCATTGTGCACATAATCTCTGAGAACAGAGAACAAACAGACTCAGGAAAGAGAGCTCAGAAATAATTCAGCTGGTTATTATTTTAATACTATAGCTGGAGCTTTGCCCCTCTTTTCCCTTTGAATCTCTCCCACAAACAACAAGATGTATTTTAGAACTAATTACACAAATACCAGCTTAAACCTCATTGTATTCTACAACAGCCTTCAATTATGGTACTGTATTTGGAAGAGAGCTTTGTACTGCCTCAAAAGCTCCAACTGGAAAGAGAATGTGCATGTCTAAAGAATTTCATGCTATGTATTAAATATTAATGCTGTCAAAGAGACCTTCAGAATTTTACAAACATTTGTCACTAAATATAGTTATTAAAAGCATTTTTTAGGCATTTTGAAAATTTTAAATGATTGGAGGTGAATATTAATTCTTACTACAAGTTACCTATATTTAGCAATATTTCACTGAATAAATATAAATGGATATATGTACTTCAATTACAGAAAACACACTGCAACTATTGGATACAGAATCATTATGAAAATAAGAAAACACTAAGAATTCTAATCAGAAAACTGTAAACAAGGGAAGTAACAAAGATGAATTGAGGCATTTTTGCTGAGCGGCATTTTCTTAGTGTAGGAGACCCAAGGACAGTTTAGCCCTACTCTAATGGGAACTCATGCATTGTTATTTATTAAGCACTATAATCAGGTCTATTCTAGTTCTGACACTCACAACCAAGTTTGACAGCAGTTTTTCCCATACCCTGGAAGCACTTGAGTCATTTTCAAAATTTGTGAATGACCCTTACTATTTGGATATCTGAAAAGACAGGATTGTAGTCAACTATATATGGATTGAGAAATTCCACAATAAAATGTTCATCCCAGAGCCACATTTTTAACCTCTCCTGCTCCCAATTTTTCACCACAATTATCTAACCAATGTAATAGGAAAATTCCTATGTCTCTGAGGGAATTGCAAGTCCCATGAAAAACATGACATTTTGAGTGAATACTACAGGAAATATGACAAGAAAAAATCAGAAAAAAGCCAAAACCTATAATTACTTACGGCGAGAGGAACCTAACCAAACAAAAAAAAATGACTTTCCCATCATTCTCACTAAAATCCCTTCAATTAGAAGATGAGATGGAGATGAGAAGGGGATGGAGCAATAACTATGAGAAGAACCCCAATCTTACCTGAGCCTCCAGATGGATGCAGGAATTCATATAGAATAGGAAGGGGTGTCCATGAACTTCCCACAACTCACATACAAAGGTTTTATGGTTATGAAGCATTGGCAGAAATCTTGTCTTGAAATTTTCATTCAACAATGTGGGTTATACAAATCAGAAGAACTTTGGGAAGATGAAGATATGAAATATGAAATAAATTTTAGAATTATGCAAATGATTATTGTTGATGTTTAGAAATGTTTTTTGAAGATGCATAAAAATAATAATCTTGATATAAAATTTTAGATTACGTCAATGAATTCTGGAAAATGAAAGGGAGAAGGTAATGTGTACATAAGTATTCAGTTTTCTTGGGGGAAGCCAGTAGAAGCTACTTAATTGTTGACGTTCATACTAAAATATATTGTACTTATCTTTAAAGTTATCCAACAATAGGTACAAAACATCTAAGTAACTCAAAAAAATGAAGAAAATATAATCGACTCTCAAAGATTGGTTTATATACATTTGATTCGTTCTTTCATTAAATTATAGTGAGATGAAATACACAAAGTTGTTACCAGTGACAGTAATCTCCCTTCTTTAATGGGATTTTATTAGGAAACAATACTACCAGGAAGCAACAGAAGGTTGGCTTCTGGAATATTTTACAATCGTGTCACTTAGTATAGACATGTTGTGTGAATATTAATATAGCCTGATATCAGGTTATTCGCAGCAGTGACCTTCAAGCATGCTAATATTCTCCGCAAGCTTGAGTTTAGAGAAAGAGATCTAACAGCCAAGAATCTAATTTCTTCTTTATGATAGAAAAATGAGGGAACTGAAGGGAATAAAGAGGTGCTTAGTCTCTTCTATGGATCATTCATTTAATACTAAGTGTATTGTTAATTTAACCATAGCTATCAAAATACTTAAACATAATATTTCTTCAAAATGGAATCATTGGGAAAATCATTATTGTATGTTTTATAGTTTTCAGTGTAGAGATCTTTCATCTCCTTGGTTACATTCATTTTAAGTTTTTTTGTAGATATTAATTCCTGCTTTTTCATACAGTTTGCTGTTAGTGTATAGAAATCCTACTGAGTCTTGTATGTTGATTTTGTATCCTGCAACTTTACTATATTTATTAGTTCTAATAGTTTTTTGGTGGAGTCCTTAGGGTTTTCTATATGTAAGAGTATACGGTCTGCAAACAGGAACAATTTAACTTTTTCCTTTCCAATTCGAATGTGTTTTATTTTGTTGTCTTCACTAACTGCTCTGGCTAGGACCTCCAGTAATATATTGAAGTGGCAAGAGTGGGCACTCTTGTCTTGTTCCGAATCTTAGAGGAAAAGCTTTCAACTTTTCCCCATTAAGTATGATGTTGCTTGTGGGTTTAACATATATAGCCGTTATTTGTTTTAGGTATGTTCCTTTTATATCTAATTGGTTGAGAGTTTTTATCATGAAAAATGGTGAATTTTGTCAAATGCCTTTTCTTCATTTCTTAAAATAGTCATATGGTTTTTGTCCTTCGTTCTGTTGATGTGATGTCTCACATTTATTGATTTCTGTGTGTTGAAGTATTCTTGCACTCCTGGGATAAATTCCACTTTGATCATGGTGAATGATCTTTCTAATGTGCTGCTGAATTCAGTTTGCCTGTATTTTGTTGAGGATTTTAGCATCTTTATTCATCGGGGTATTGACCTAGAGTTTTCCTTTTTTGTAGTTTCTTTTCTGGCTTTGGTATCAGTATAATGCTAACCTCATACAGTAAGCTCGGAAGTATTCCCTTCTCTTCAATTTTTTAAGCATTTAAGAAGACTTGGTATTAGTTCTTCCTTAAATGTTTGGCAGAATTCAGTAGTGAAAGCAGTCAGGTCCTGGACTTTTCTTAAATGGAAGACTTGCTAGTGATTCAATCTCCTTACAATTTTCAGTCTGTCAAAATTTTGTATTTCTTCATTATTTAGTATTGGTAGGCTGAATGCATCAATAAATTTATTTATTCTGGGTTATCCAATTTGTTGGCATATAATTTTTCATAATAGTCTCATAATCCTTTGTATTTCTGTTGTATCAGTTGTAGTGTCTCCTTTATTTCCAATTTTATTTTTCTGCCTTAGCCTAGCTAAAAGTTTGTCAATTTTATCTTCAAAAAACCAACTCTTAGTTTTGTTTATATTGTCTATTGATTTTCCCAACTCTCGTTTATTTCTGCTCTGATCTTTATTATTTGCTTCCTTCTGCTAACTTGTTTTTGTTTTCCTAGCTCCTAGAGGTGCAGTGTTAGGTTGTTTGAGATCTCTTTATTTTGATGATTTATGGCTATAAACTTCTCTTTTACAACTGATTTTGCTATATGTTGTACTTTTACTTTCTTTTTTTTATTATTATTTTTAGAGACAGGGTCTGACTCTGTTGCCCAGGCTAGAGTGTGGTGGCACTATCATAGCTCAATGTAACCTCTCCCCTGATTCAAGGAATCTTCCCAACTCAGCTCCCCATGTAGCTAGTACTACAGGTGTTATCATTTTGCCTAATTTTTATTTTTATTTTTTGGTAGAGACAGGGTCTCTTTACATTGCTGTATTTGTCTGTTTTCACGCTGCTGATAAAGACATACCCAAGACTGAGTAATTTTAAAAAGAAAGAGATTTAATGGACTTACAGTTCCACATGGCTGGAGAGGCCTCACAATCATAATGGAAGGTGAAAGGCATGTCTCACATGGCAGCAGACAAAAGGGACAACTTGTGCAGGGACACTCCCGTTAATAAAGTCATAAGATCTCAAGAGACTTAATCACTATCATGAGAACAGCAAGGGAAAGACCTACCCCCATGATTCAATTACCTCCCACCATGCCTCTCCCACAACATGTGGAAATTCAAGATGAGATTTGGGTGGGGACAGAGCCAAACCATATCATTCCACCCTGGCCCCTCCCAAATCTCATGACCCCACATTTCAAAACCAATCACACCTTCCCAACAGTCCCCCAAAGTCTTAACTCATTTCAGCATTAACTCAAAAGTCCACAGCCCAAAGTCTCATTCATAACAAGGTAAGTCCTTTTGCCTATGAGAATGTAAAATCAAAAACAAGTTAGTTACTTCTTAGATACAATGGGGGTACAGTGGGTAAATACAGCCATTCCAAATGGGAGAAATTGGCTAAGCAAAGGGGCCACAGGCCCCATGCAAGTCCAAAATCCAATAGGGCAGTCAAATCTTAAAACTCCAAAATGATCTCTTTTGACTCTGTGTCTCGTATCCAGGTGGGTTCCCATGGTCTTGGGCAGCTCCATCCCTGTGGCCTTGCAGCCAACGTACAGCCTTCCTCCTGTACGCTGCTTTCATGGGCTGGCATTGAGCGTCTGTGGCTTTTCCAGGTGCACTGTGCAAGCTGTAGGTAGATCTACCATTCTAGGGTCTGGAAGACAGTGGCCCTCTTCTTACAGCTCCACTAGGAAGTGCCCCAGTAGGGACTCTGTGTGGGGGCTTTGACCCTACATTTCCCTTCTGTACTGCCCTAGCAGAGGTTCTCCATGAGAGCCCTGCCCCTGCAGCAAACTTCTGCCTGGACAGCCAGGTGTTTCCATACATCCTCTGAAATCTAGGCAGACGTTCCCAAACCTCAATTCTTGACTTCTGTGAACCTGCAGGCTCAACACCCCGTGAAAGATGCCAAGCCTTGGGGCTTGCACCCTCTGAAGTTACGGCCTGAGTTGTACCTTGGTCCCTTTTAGTCACTGTTGAAGCAACTGGGACACAGGGCACCAAAAATTCTCTAGACTGCACACAGCACGGGGACCCTGGGCCTGGCATGAAACCATTTTTCCCTCCTAGGCCTGTGATGGGAGGGGCTACCATGAAGACCTCTGACATGCCCTGGAGACATTTTCCCCATTGTCTTGGGGATCAACATTCTGCTCCTTGTTACTTATGCAAATTTCTGCAACTGGCTTGAATGTCTCCTCAAAAAATGGGTTTTATTTTCTATTGCATTGTCAGGCTGCAAATTTTCCAAACTTTTATATTCTGCTTTCCTTATATAACTGAATACCTTTAACAGGACCAAGTCACCACTTGAATGTTTTGCTGCTTAGAAATTTCTTCCACCAGATATCCTAAATCATCTCTCTCAAGTTCAAAGTTCCACAAATCTCTAGCACAGGGGCAAAATGCAGCCAGTCTCTTTACTAAAACATAACAAGAGTTACCTTTGCTCCAGTTCCCAGCAAATTCCTCATTTCTACCTGAGACTACCTCAGTCTGGACCTTATTGTCCATATTGCTGTCTGCATTTTGAGCAAAGCCATTCAACAAGTCTCTAGGAACTTCCAAACTTTTCCACATTTTCCTATCTCCTTCTGAGCCCTCCAAACTCTTCCAACCCCTGCCTGTTAGCCAGTTCCAAAGTTGCTTTCACATTTTCTGGTATCTACAGTAGTGCCCCACTCTACTGGTACCCAATTCACTGCATAAGTCCATTTCCATGCTGCAGATAAAGACTGGGCAATTTGCAAAATAAAGAGATTTAACAGACTTACGGTTCCATGTGGCTGGGAAGGTCTCACAAACATGGTGGAAGGTGAAAGGCACATCTCATATGTCAGCAGACAAGAGAAGAGAGCTTGAGCAGGGAAACTCCCATTTATAAGACCATCAGATCTGTGAGACTTATTCACTATCATGAGAACAGCATGAGAAAGACTTGCCCCCATGATTCAGTTACCTCCCATCAGGTCCCTCCCACAACACATGGGTATTCAAATGAGATTTGGGTGGGGACACAGCCAAATCATATAAATGGTCTAGACTGGTCTTGAACTCCTGTCTTCAAGTAAACCTTCTGTTTTGAGCTCCCAAAGGCCACTTTCATTTGTCTCAAAAAGTATTTTAATGTCCCTTTTAATTTCTTTATTGATCCATTGGTTGTTCAGGAACATGTTGTTTAATTTCAATGTATATGTAAATTTTTGAAAGTTCCTGTTGTATTGATTTCTAGTTTTATACCACTGTGGTCAGAAAATGAACTTTATATTATTTTAATCTTAAATTTTTTAAGACTTGCTTTTTGTCCTACCATATGATCTATCCTGGAGAAGGTTCTATGTACAGTTAGGGAGAACATGTATTCTGCAACTGTTTAATAAGATGTTTTGCATATGTCTGTTAGGTCCATTTGATCTAGAGTGTAGTTTACATCCAATATTCTCTTACTGATTTTCTGTCTAAATGATCTGTCCTTTGCTGAAAGTGGGGTATTGATGCCCCCTACTATTATTGTAATGTGATCTATCTCTCCATTCAGATCTATTAATATTTGTGTCATATATTTAGATATTCTGATGTTGGGTGCATATATTTTTATAATTATTATATCCTACTATTCAATCATTCTCTATCGTTATATAATGGCCTTCTTTGTCTCTCTTTACAGTTTTTGACTTAAAGTCTATTTTATCTAAGTATAGCTACTCCTCCTCTCTTTTGGTCTCCATTTCAATGGAATATCTTTTCCTATCCCTTCGCTTTCAATCTATGTGTGTTCTTACAAGTGAAGTGAGTCTCTTTTAGGCAGCATATAATTGAGTCTTTATATTGATTTATTTGGCCACCTTATGTCTTTTGATTAAAGACTTTAATCCATTGCAGTCAATGTAATTTTTGGTAGGTAAGAACTTACTATTTTCATTTGGTTAATTGTTTTCTAGTTGTTTTGTAGATCTTTTGTTTTTTCTTGCTCTCTTGTTGTCTTCCTTTGTAGCTAAGTGATTTTTTCTACCAGTATGTATTAGTTCCTTGTTTTTTATTTTTTGACTGTCAATTATAGAGTTTTGCTTTTTAGTTACCATGACACTTACAAAGAAAAAAAAAATCTGGTTATAAAGGGTTGTTTTAAGCTGACAACAACTTAACTTTGAAACTAGAAAGACCTCCATATTTTTACTCCACTGTCTGCCTCATATTTTGAATTACTGATGTCACAATTTACACTTTTTATAGTGCATATCCCTTAACATAGTATCATAGCTATTGTTAATAGTTTTAGTTTTTAACCTTTATGTTAAAGATATAAGTAACTTACACAACACCATTAAAGTATTAGAATGAATGACTGTGTTCTTAACTTTATATGAGTTTTTTTACTTTTAGATGTTTTCATACTACTAATTACCATTTTTTTTCAGATTGAAGAATTCCCTTTACCATTTCTTCCCCCCCGACCCCCACCCCAAGACAGGCCCTCAATCTGTTGCCCAGGCTGTAGTAGCAGTGGCATGATCACTGGGCTCAAGTGATCCTCTCATCTTAGCCTCCCAAGTAGCTGGGACTACAGTCACACACCACTATGCCTGGCTAATTGTGTGTGTGTGTATGTGTGTGTGTGTGTGTGTAGCAGTGGGGTTTTGTCATGTTTCTCAGGCTAGTCTTGAACTCCTGGGCTCAAGTGATCTATCTGTCTTGCTCTCCTAAAGTAGAATTACAGGTGTGACTCACCATGCCTGGCCTATCATTTCTTATAAGAAAGGTCTGGTGTTGATAAACTCTCTCAGCTTTTGTTTATTGAGGAAAGCCTTTTATCTCTTCTTCATTTCTGATGGACAGATTTTCTGGGAATAGTATTCTTGATTGCCAGTTTTCATTCTTTAGTGCTTTAAATATATCATCCTACTCTCTCCTAGCCTAGAAAGTTTCTGCTGGTATGTCTGCTGCTAAGGTGTATTGGACCTCTCTTGTATGTGATTTGTTTCTTTTTATTTGCTGCTATCAGAATCTTTTCTTTGTTTTGGTTTTTGATGATTTGATCATTATATGTATTGGAATAGTCTTATTTGGATTAAATCTGCTTGGAGAACTTTGACTTTCTTGTACGTAGATAGTTTCTTCTCTAGCTTTGGAGTTTTCTGTTACTATTTCTTTAAATAAGCTTCTCCCCTTCTATCTTTCTCTTCTTCTTAAATTCCTATAACTTGAACATTCATTCTTTTGATATAAATCCTTTATGTTTTCTTCCATTTCTTTTTTCTCCTCTGACTGTATATTTTCAGATAACCTGTCATCAAATTCACAGACTTTTTCTCATACTTAGTTCTGCTGTCAATGCTCTCTATCGCATTTTTTATTTTATTTTCAACTCCAAGATTTCTGCTTCAATTTTTTATTATTCAGTCTATTAAGTTTATCATTCTGATATCTTGTTTTCCTCATTTTGTCGAATTGTTTCTCTTTACTGAAATTTGCTGAGCTTCCTTAAAATGATTATTTTGAATCCTTTGTCAGTCATTTAGTACATCTTTATCTCTTTAGGGTTGGTTGTTGGCACTCTATTTTGTCCATTTGGTGATATTGTTTTTCCCTGGGTGTTTTTGATCCTTGTGGTTGTATGTCAATGTCTGTGCATTTGAAGAAGTAGATACTTATTTCAGTCTTCATAGACTGGCTCTGCCTGGGAAATCCCTGTGACAGGCACAGTGCTCAAACGTACCAGAAGCCCAGGGAAGCTGTGACAAGCATGGTACTGCTCAAAACTCAGGGCTCACTGTGGCAGGAGAAGCAATGAGACAGGTCAGGAGCATGGGGCCTGCTGTGGCTGGCATGGTGCTACTAGAAGCCCCAGGTAGATGTGATCAGAGTGGCACTGGTGTATCAGAAGCCCATGTTGCTGAGGGTTACCTGTCACTGAGAGGTATCCAGAGCCCAGGGCCCCTGATGTCGGCCTGGCGATGGTGTGGGCCAGATATTGAGTTCACCATGCAAGCCTTATGCCTGATGCTGTACAGTCCCACTTGTTGTCAAGGCAGGCTCAGAGGCTCAGTCATAAGTTACCAGCTCAAGTATGATGCCTGAATATCCACCCAGTTCTTTGTTTTACTGTGATAGATCTCATGTTGGGATCTAAGGCAAAGTTCTGTAATCACTTCCCTCTCTTTATCCCAAGTGGACAGTATCTCTGTCTGTGCTGTGCTGCCTGGAATTGGGGAAGGGGTGGTGTGGGTAATGTAAAACTATTCTTCCTACCCTCCTAAATGCATCTTTTTCTTATTTTTTTATTATTGTGTTACAGCTAGGTACTGTTATCTCTCGGTTGGTTTCGTTAGTTCTCATGCAAATATTTGTGTGAGTGAATAGTTTTTCACATTGATGTTGCTGTGAGGGGATGATTGCTGGACAGTCCATTCCCACCATTTTGTTTTGACCCTTATAATTCTACTATTAAGGTTAAAAAAGTATGTCCTTCCCATGTCTGTCTTCTTTTTTGTTTTTGAGTCCTAAAGAAACAGTAACCTCATATCATGATATTTGGTCTCATATAAAAGTCCAAAATAAGTCAACCAGAAATATTCCCTAAGTTTGTATTTTTTTTTCTGTTCCTATTATTCTGACATACTTAGGAACTTCATTTTTTGGGGTCTGATCATTTTCTATGTTAGTTTAAAAAAATTCTCAGATACTGCACATAATGAGTCAATTAGAAATCAGTCAAGTTCAGTATTGATTTAGCAGAAGGGTAAGAGAAGCAGGCACTTCAATATTTTCCTATCTCCCTTGGGAAGATTAAGAAGAACTTAATTCAACCTGAAGTGGTGTAAATATCCTGAGATGAAGCCCCTTTTAACATGTGCACTACTGAACAGAATTGATGTAAGGAAGATAACCACTGTCTCAAAGTGAAAGTACATCTTCTATGAACAAGTTTACAACTGTTCAGGGCAGAGGGCAGAGACATAAGAATGAGGGAGTTGGGAATAGAACATGCTTTCTGAGCTGGTACGGAAATTAAAAATAGCCCAGAACTATCATTCATCAAATTTTTTTTTTTTTCAATTCTTAAGGTATTGCTGAGAAAGTAAAAAAGGAAGCACATGTCATCTGGTAATGTCCTTGAATGTTCAGTGTTTAATTTTATTTTGGGAACCTCTTGATCTTGGGACAGCTGTGAAGAAAGAACCTCCCTCTCCTAGCTTCCTGGAAGAGTACTAAATGATAGCCATATTCAAACCAGAACTGAGATGAGGAGCAATCTTTATTTCTGTTTAGGATTAGGGAAAGTCAACATTATAAAGATATATGTTCCTTTCTACAAATGCCGGGGAAATACATAGAATAGAGTTATGGAGCTCTCAACATTTTTATTTCAGAAGTTTTACAGAATTGCTAAGTGATTTTATTCCCCACAAGCATGATTCTTTCAACAAGTATTTCTCTTATTCAGTATTTTTTCTTTTATTTATGTATTTATTTATTCAATGAATGTATATTAAACATTCACTATTGCCAAAGCACTGCTAAGTGCTCATCACGGTACAATTTCACAGATGCTTAACACTCAGGGACGTTGTTAGTAGGTTTCTGTTTTTATTCACACAAAAGGAAGGAATGGACATTACTTCTCCTCCCTTGCATTCTGGCTGCTAGCTCTTGTTTCTCTCTGCATTGGGCCTTGCTCTCAAGAGCACTGATCTTTAATTAGTTCTCTTTAATCTGCATGAAGTGATTCAAAAGTAGTTAGCACTATACATGAAGTAGCAGTAAGTTGTGAATCATATTTTGAGGCTCTCTCATACAGGAAAAAAATTTAATTAATTTTTTATTATGAAGAAAATTCTAAAGTACTTATAGAAATTTAATCTGGGCTAGGTGTGGTGGCTCACGCCTGTAATCCCAGCACTTTGGGAAGCAGAGGCAGGTGGATCACCTAAGATCAGGAGTTCGAGACCAGGCTGGCCAACATGGTGAAACCTATCTCTACTAAAAATACAAATATTAGCCGGGCCTGGTAGCATGCGCCTATAATCCCAGCTACTCAGGATTCTCAGCAGGAGAATCACTTGAACCCAGGAGGTGGAGGTTGCAGTGAGCCAAGATCACGCCACTGCACTCCAGCCTGGGCAACAAGAGTGAAATTCCATTAAAAAAAAAAAAACACAGAAAAAGAAATTTAATCTGCAAATATCTAAGCACTCGTGTTGTGGTAAAAGTACAGCAAATACAGCAACTAACTACATCATATACAGGAGAAAAGCTAGCCTCCCTCGGAATGTCCCTTCCTCCAGCTCTTCCTTCACTTTACAACACTAAAAGGCAAATAGAGCAGAAGTGTTTCAAATTATTGTTGAATATTTATATTTTAAATATACAGCCAGGCACGGTGGCTTACGCCTGTCATCCCAACACTTTGAGAAGCCGGAGGTGGGCACATCACTTGAGGCCAGAAGTTCGAGACTAGCGTGGCCAACATGGTGAAACCCAATCTCTACAAAAAATACAAAAATTAGCTGTGTGTGGTGGCGCATACCTGTAATCCCAGCTACTTGGGAAGCTGAGGCATAAGAATCACTGGAATCGAGGAGGCAGAGGTTGCAGTGAGCCAAGATTGTGTCACTGCACTTCAGCCTGGGCAACAGAGCAAGACTCTATCTCCAAAAATAAGTAAACAAATAAATAAATAAAGATTATTGAGAATATATGGGGGGAGCAGTTTAGAAATTTTAAAAGGTTAATTCTATCTTTTGTGAACCTATATTTATTTCTAAGGGGCTTTATTTTTAATACCTCAATTATTATACCTAAATCAAGCATTATAGCCAAACAGTATTTTATGCCAAAGATTACTTAATGTAACAACTCCTTTTTACAGAAGAAAGTGAGGGAGGAATACATGCAACTTTTCACAAAGTGATCACATGAATAGAGTGAATACAATGTTGGAAGCAGTGGAAGTCCATATAAAAAATTATAGAAACTCCAGTAAAATAATACTGCATAAAATGCTGTTTGCACATGCACTGAGTGTTGCTATACCTCTATCCCAATTGTCAGCACTTTATTTGGATTTTTAAATTTTTAAGTATGCTATAAAGTATCAGTATACCTACCATTTAACACAAGAACTAAAACATTACAAATACATTTAAACCCGCCTATCTACCCATCCCAGATCCTATTTACTCTCATTCCCGCTTATAAAGAAAATTTCTATCTTGAATTTTAGGTTTATCATTTTCATTTTTTGTACTTTTATTCTGTCCATTTAGACCCTAAACAATATTGTTTTGCATAGTTTAAGCTACACAAATAGAATTACATGTTATATATCCTTCTATAACTTGCTTTTTATCTTTCACAATGTGTGTGAGACTCATCTACATTGATATCTGTACTATGTTATTCATTTTTGTTCCTATAGAGTATTTAAATGCATGAATTATAACAAATTTCATAATTTGTAATAGTTTTTGTTATCCATTTGTGTTTTTACCTTGTATACTTTTGAAATTTTTCACCATAACAATGCTGCAATGCATAGTTTTTTGTGTTTGAGTATCCCTAATGTATATACTCAGGACTGGAATTAATGGGCCATAGGATAGATACAATTTCAACTCCACTAGATAGTGTCAAATTGATCTACAAAGTACTTATCCCAAAAATATATACTTCCACAAGCACTAGATGAGAGAGTTCCTAATTTTAATTTTCTGGCAGTGCTCTAGAAATTCTTTTTAGCAAAACATAGCCATAAATCACTTAAATAAGAATCATATTGAATAACATTCTTAAAATGTAAAATGTTTCTTTGTGCTTTATTGCTAAGTTGGATCTTAGAGTTTTTGAGCCTTTTAAGGAATGACAACTTAGATAGGTATTATTGGATTGTGGATATGTTGAAAATTCCAAAAGTACTTTACAAATAAGTGGAATATAAATTTAATAACAGTAATGGTATCCATAGGAATCCCCTTATAGAATAGTTTGGTGATAGATTATGACTAAGGTGAGCAGGTAGAAGATTGGATCAAAAATACCCATTCTGCATATTAGGCATTAAAGCTAATGATTGGAACAAATCACACCAAATGCAAATATATTTTTTTTAACCAGAGAAGAATAAAGGGATAAAGCTATCCATGAGTGAAAAGGAAAGAATTGTCTGATTTATGTTTGGTGAATTTCAAATCCAATAAGCATCTACCTAGACCATGAAAGGTAAAAGTTAATAGCATGTTTAATTATTTGCTATTAAAATTAATGTGCTTTTCTGAAGGCTGAAAATTGTTTATGTAAGTCCCAGCACAAAGCCAATGCTCAGTTTCATGAGGCAAAAAGACCAATCCCTTTCTTTATTCCTTCATTCTCTCATTCAAAAATATTACATTTGCAGAGAAACTTCTAAGTATTTGGTATTTATGCTAGGCACAGTGATAAGCCCAAGGAGATCTCCATGCATGCAGAAACTGATATTGACAAGTACAAATTATATTGTTTTCTTGCATGCAGATCTCTAATACATTGTCTCTGTGTTGTCAGGTGTCTCTTTATTTGAGCTTTGATGTTGCTATTAACTGACTGACTGATAGAAACAGGATGAAAAGCTCCAGAAATCAAAGGACACAACCACGTAGGGATTTGTGGAAGGCATCCACCAAAATGCCTCTTGGCATTCATACCCTTCTGTAGTTTCCTCCCACATTGACTAGGATGGACATGCGTAACAAATAATATATCCAGAAGCAAATGTGTGTTGACTCTGAAGCAAGGTCAAAAAATGACTTTGTAACTGCAGCATCCTATCTTAGACAACCTGCTCTGGAGGAAGCCAACTGCCATTTTGTGAAGACGCTTAAGCAGCCATATGAAGAGACCCATATGGCAAGGAACTGAGCCCTCCTGTCAATATCCAACCCCTACTTTCTAGTCAACTGAGTGGACCACCTTGAAAGCAGGTCCTCCAGCCCCAGTCAAGTCTGCAGATGAGTGCAGGCCTAGCTGACATCTTGATTACAATTTCATAAGAGGCTCTCAGCCAGAACAACCCATATAAGCTGGTCCTGAATTCCTGATACATAGAAACTGTGTAAGATAAAAAATGTTTATTATTGTTTTAGGCTGCTAAGATGTGAGGTAATTCACTGTGCAGCAATAGATAACTAAAACAGTACTGGAAAGTCAAAATAAGAACAACTCTCTTTCTCCCTTTCTCTAAAGCTATAATGAATGTTTCTCTTTACTTTTTCTATATAAGGAATTATAACAGCTCAGTGTGGTTTCTCGTGCTATAATTCCAGTTACTTAGGAAGCTAAGGTGGGAGGATCACTTTAGGCAAGGGGTTTGAGACCAGCCTGGGCTTCATGGCAAGACCCCATCTCTAATAAAATAAAAATTTTAAAATTAGCTGGGTGTGGTGGCATGCAATTATGGTTTCAGCTACTTGAGAGTTTGAGGCCAGAGGATTGCTTATGCCCAGGAATTTGCAGTTGCAATAAGCTATGATTACACCACAGCCCAAATGACAGAGCAAGACCCTATCTCTAAAAAATTATATTACACTTAACGATATAATAACAAATTTTGTGCAGGTATTTGATCACTTTGCCCAAATTTTAGCTAAATCACCTCATGCCTTTATGCAGGTCACTAAATTGCCTTCAAAATTCACCTATCAATGGGATAATTATAAAGTGATAACACCAAGATATTATAGTATTATACTTTTAATAAAATGTTTAAAGCCTATAAAGTTGAAAACAAATAACAGTTTAAATGTACTATATAGTTTACTACAGAAAACTTGAAACACATAAGAACAGAAGACTTCTCTGGTGACAAGATCTGAAAATGCTTTTGACTGAAAATATCTAGTATTATATCGTGTGTACATCTCAAGTTGAAATGGAGTAGAAGTTTGAGGCTGTTATGAGCTATGATTGCAGCACTGCACTTCAGTGTGAGCAACAAAGAAACACTCTGTCTCTAGAATAAAAAGAATAAAAAGAATTATAATGGTCTCCTAGAAGGGAAAGCATCTAAGTATCTATGTCACTTGCCTAAAAATAAACTTAATATAGTATCTTAGTTCATTAGTTTGTTTAATGTTCTTTATAATAGAATACCTGAAACTGAGTCATTTCTAAAGAAAAGAAAACTATTTCTTATATCATTACAGAAGCTGAGAAGTTTAAGGTCAAGGGGGCATATCTAGTGAGGGCCTTCTTGTTGGTGGGCTTTTTGCAGCAAACCAAGGAGGAGCAAGGCATCACGTGGCAACAAACCTGAGTGTGCTAATATGTTAGTCCAGCTCTCTCTTCCTTTTCTTATTAATCCACCAGTTCCCCTCCAAAGATAACCCATTAATCCATTAAACCACTTGTCCATTACTCCATGAATGAATTAATCCATTCCTGCAGGCAGAGCCCTTATGATCCAATCATCTCTTAAATATCCCAACTCTCAATACTGCCACATTGGGGATTAAGTTTCAACATGAGTTTTGGAAGAAACATTCAACCCCTAACATACAGTAAAAAGCAAATGGATCACTGATTCTTTACCTCATTCAGAAATATGCATTGGGCACTAAGAACCACCAAAATAATGAGTAGATAATTGCACTTTGAATAGATCGTTAAAAAGAGGACACTGGAATTCAACAGAAAAGTGACAAAAAAATACCTAAAGCAAGAAAGGAGAGGGAAGTGAAGCACTCTTCTCAGCCAAGATCAGCTGGGAGACGGGAATGACTCCCCAGTGTGGGGAAAGAGTAAGTAATAGACTCACAGTGGACCACATTCCAACTGTGGACTCCTGCAGTCCCAGGCATGGGAGATCCCCATCACCTATGCAAGCCCTGAAACTAATATATGGAGCTGCCTGGAGATTAGACAATAGAACTGCTCCAGGGAATGAGTTTGTACTAGGTCCCCCACTTCCCCCAACTCCTAAGCATCTACAGCAAGGTGCCATTTTAAGAGCATAGCACACAACAGGCTATGAACTATCCTGGGCCCAGCAGTACTAGAGCTAAGTCATGAACAAAGTGCAGGATGCTGCTGCTGCTGGGACTAAAATGCAGTGAAGGCGAGGGCTGCTGCCAATGGGGCTGAGGCAAGAGCAGGGCAGGTGTTCCCTAGCCACCAGCCTAGGCTGCCATCACTGAAGGTGGCCCTATCCTCCTCAGTGGCAGGAATGTAGTACGACTGCTGCCACCCCCTTCTTGAGCATTCTCCTGGAGGCCTGGGAATCTCCTCACCCCTACTTACCATAGCAAGTACCTGCACATACCACTGTGGGGCCCTAAGTCAAGCCCACCCAGCTAAGCTTGAACCCCCAAAAGCCAAAGCATGCAGTCCAGAGGCTTGGAGATTAACCAGCTCACTCCACCAACATTGGCACCTGAGCACTTCTCTCATAGCCTTGAGGTTGAACCTACCCACCCTGTCACTACCCCCACAGCTGGCACCTACCTGCACATGCCATCTATGGGCATGGAGACTGGTCTGCCCAGTCCATTTCAGCCACCATTAACAACGCACATAGCACTTGGGATCCAGAGTGGTATCATCATGTGCGCCATGCCAGCTACTGCCATCATGCATGCCATGCCAGCTAACCAGTGGACGGAGAACACACCCACCTGCCCAGACCACTGCAGTTACTATTGTCATCCAAGTAAGCCATCTGGAGGCCCAAAAGTTGGCCTACCTGGACCCACTGACACTGGTGCCAGCATACACCACCCCGGGGACCAATGAAGGGTACAATTAGCCCACTGATGTTACCACTGGTAAATTCTTGTCCTAAAATAAATTAACTGGTTGTTTAAAGAAAGGGATGTTTGGCCGGGCGCGGTGGCTCACGCCTGTAATCCCAGCACTTTGGGAGGCCGAGGCGGGCGGATCACGAGGTCAGGAGATCGAGACCATCCCGGCTAAAACGGTGAAACCCCGTCTCTACTAAAAATACAAAAAATTAGCCAGGCGTAGTGGCGGGCGCCTGTAGTCCCAGCTACTTGGGAGGCTGAGGCAGGAGAATGGCGTGAACCCGGGAGGCAGAGCTTGCAGTGAGCCGAGATCCCGCCACTGCACTCCAGCCTGGGCGACAGAGCGAGACTCCATCTCAAAAAAAAAAAAAAAAAAAAAAAAGAAAGGGATGTTTACAAGTCAGAAAGTTGAGGCAAGTCAAAGATTGTGAAAGTCGTGAAAAATGTTATAAAAGGGAATTTACGCAAGAAATGCTGTATAATTTAAAAGTAATTAGGCCTCCTGAATGTAAAACTATTGAAGAAACAGTTTATGTGCAAGGCGTGTAAGGAAAGTAAAATATACTTTTGGTAAAAGGATCATGAGGCATAAGAATATGGATTTTTACCTACATTAAAAGGTTAAATATATATATATATTTTGTTTTGAAGGTTTAAGCAAGTTTTGAAACATTAATTGTAAAGGAAATTTTGTGTGTAAGCATATTGGCTAAAGTTAAAAAGGTATCATCCAATTTTTCTGTGAACTGGACATTAAAATAGAAGCATGACAGGTTTTTTAAAAGCATGAAACTGCTCTTCAAGAAAAATTAGGCCGGGCGCGGTGACTCATGCCTGTAATCCCAGCACTTTGGGAGGCCGAGGCCGGTGGATCACAAGGTCAGGAGATCGAGACCATCCTTGCTAACATGTTGAAACCCTGTCTCTACTAAAAATACAAAAAAATTAGCCAGGCGTGGTGGCAGGCCCCTGCAGTCCCAGCTACTTGGGAGGCTGAGGCAGGAGAAGGACGTGAACCCAGGAGGCAGAGCTTGCAGTAAGCCAAGATCATGCCACTTCACTCTAGCCTAGGCGACAGAGCAAGACTCCAACTCAAAAAAAAAAGAAAAGAAAAAGAAAAATTATAAAGGATTAAACAGAGTCTATAAAAATCTTACCTTATGGTCAGACATTAAAATTAGATAAACAATGTCTATAATATTTTATTAAAATTGAGTTGAACATTAATAGCATACTAATATAAAGGTAAAATTTAGCTTCTCTGGTATAAAATCATACAGAAAGCATTGTCAAATATAAAATGCTATTTTTTTGGTCTAAAAACTAATAAAAATAGGTGCTAAAGAAAATTCAGAAGGAAAATGGATATTGCTAAACCAAAGAGAAATGTTATCCAACTGCATCAAGGGACGCACTGGGGGCCCCAAGCCATGTGTGACGCAGTCCTCAGAGTTTATGGGTGCATAGAAATTTATACCCTAGCCAAACAGGTTACAGACAGTCACTTACTAAAAGATTACCCCTTGGGGGAAGGAGTCCAGGCTTAAGGCCATTTCAAAGTATCCAGACTGATTACACACAGATGCCTCCAACTGGTCATCTAAAGTATTTATTAGTAATAGTAGATCACCTTACTCACTGGGTAGAAGCTATTTCCTTTTCAAGTACAACTGCTAATAATGTAGTCAAGGCATTAGTTGAAAATATTATACCCAAGTTTAGATTAATAGAAAACATTGATTCAGATAATAGGACTCATTTCACTACACATGTCATTAAGAAATTAGCCCAGATACTGGATATAACATGGGGATATCATACTCCCTGGCACCCACCTTCATCAGGGAAAGTAGGAAGGCCTATTACACAGTTGAAAGTCTGAACTGCTCCCTGAAAAGACATACAATTATCCCTTTATGGGATGCTTTATGGATTGCCTTATCTACATTCTACTATTGATCTCCCTACATTTGAAACAAAAAATCAGTTTCTCCGAAATTATATACTTGGTTTATCTTCCACTTTCCCCTCCCTCAGAACTAAAGGTCTTTTAGCACAGGTGCCAATCCTAGAGTTTCCAGCACACCAACATCAGCCTGGGGACCACATCCTTGTCAAAAGTTGGAGAGAAGGAAAAACTCGAACTGGCCTGGGAAGGACCTTACCTAGTGCTCCTAACTAATGAAACCTCAGTCCAGACATCAGAAAAAGGATGGACCCATCACACCTCAGTCAAGAAAGTGCCACCCCCTCCAGAGTCATGGGCCATAGTCCCAGGCGAAAACCCTACCAAACTAAAGCTAAGAAAAATTTAACTCTCTTTCATCTATTCTATTACTCCTTCTTTCCTCGCTGTATTGCTGACCACCTAGTTATTAATGTAACCAAGTCAACTTTGCCTCAAACTATCATATTTGATGCTTGTCTTGTTATACCCTGTGGAGACTTGCCAAGTCAGAGGCCACTCTCTACTTCAGAAAAGTATCTTTATCCTTCCTAGTTCTCCTCAGACTAAAAATCTGTTAACTAGGATAAATTGGTTTGAGAAGAGTTTGATGAAGATTTCAGTATAAACTGGAAATCTTGTCCTCTTAGAGCAGAGCTTCTCTGCCAAAGTTGGCCCAATGATCTATAAAATACTAAAGAGCAAGGATGGACTGCCCCAACTAGTACTTGCAGTTTCTTAAAACCATATATTCATTTTACTAAAGGAGTTACCCTCCCCATTGTCAGCTAAACCAATGGAATCCAGTACAGATGACCATCACTGCTCCCCAGAGTTCTTCCCCATCATTATGCCATTTCTATGGTATAAGAGCAGAAGTATCAGGGAAGGAGTCTCATAGGATCCTTTGAAATGTCTTCATTGCCTCCTCACCTCATGCACACCCTTTTCCCTCGTCTAAGTCCTCCGCTAACCAAACCTGCTCTCGTTATCTACCCAAAGATAAAAACCAAAGTAGTTGTTGTAGAGGTTAAAGATTTAAAACAAACTATAGCAATTGAAACAGGGTATCAGGATGCAAATGCTTGGCTGGAATGGATTAAATATTCTGTTTGCATGCAAAACAAAAGCGACTGTTACACTTGTGCAACAGGCAGGCCGGAGACCTGGAGTGTCCCCTTTCCACTTGGGTGGTCCTCTCATGGACCAGGCATGAGCTGTATGGTAGCTCTTTCCAGAACCCCACAGCCTAGGGTGATGAGTCACGTAAGACTCTTTCACTGTTGTTCCCTGAGGTTAAGAGCCCTGTGGGTGAGTCCCTGAGGGCCATCTGGCCTCCAGCCCCTGATATTAACTTCACCTCATGCCTTTCATGGCAGGGGGAAAAGTTAGCATTCCCTGAAGACTTAACAGGGTGCAGTGAAACCAAGCCTTTTCAAGAGCTTACTCATCAGTCTGCCCTTGTTCATCCCCAAGCAGATGTGTGGTGGTATTGCAGGCTACTATTGCTGGGTATTCTGCCAAGTAATTAGAGCAGCACTCGTGCTCTAGTCCAATTGGCCATCCCTTTCACCCTAGCATTCTGTCAACACGATAAAAAAAGAAAATAGTAAAAGAAGTGCCTCACATGGGTCCTTTGACCTCCATGTTTATATAAATGCTATTGGAGTTCCATGAGGAGTACCAAATGAATTTAAAGCCCGAGATCAAATAGCTGCAGGATTTAAGTCAATAATTTCATGGGTGACAATTAATAAAAATGTAGATTGGATAAATTATATCTATTATGATCAGAGCAGTTTATTAATTACACCAGGGATGCTGTCAAAGGGATAGCAGAACATTTGGGGCCACTAGCCAGATAGCCTGGGAAAACAGAATGGCCCTAGATATAATATTAGCTGCAAAAGGCAGTGTTTGTGTTATGATTAAAACCCAGTGTTGTACCTTCATCCCAAACAACACTGCCCCCACTAGGAGCATAACAAGGGCCTTACAAAGACTTACCGCTTTATCCAATGAATTAGCTACAATTCTGGAGTTGGTAACCCTTTCTCAGGGTGGCTAGAAAGGTGGTTCAGTAAATGGAAAGAAATCATAGCCTTTGTATTTTTAGCTGTAATAAGTGTACTCATTCTTGTTAGGTGTTGTGTCATACCATGCATCCGTGGCCTAGTGTAAAGACTGATAAAAGCAGCACTTACTAAAACCTTCCTTAATTCTCCTCCACTTTATTCGGAGAAGCTTTTCCTTTTAGATTATCAAGCAGAACAACTAAGCCAAGACATGTTAAGGAAGTTTGAAGAGAAGAAATGTAAATATTCAAGATGGGGGATTGTTAGATATAGTGAACTCCAAGTTTCTCTTCAAAGAATCAATATGTCAGTATGTTCAGCTACCTTATTCTTTGATTCTCCATTTTAAAGTTTAACTTCCTGGTTCTCTTCGCCCCCTTGCCTCTAGTTTCAGTAAACAACTTTCCCGCCAATTCTAATCAGTAGTTCACATCTGTTCTCCTGGTCACCTGCTTTGACCTGAGTCACCTCTGGCTACCTGCTCCATCTTGAGTCACCCCTGGTCACCTGCTCCGTCCTGAGTCACCCCTGGTCACCTGCTCTTACCTGAATCATCCTGGGTCACCTGTTCTGTAACCACCCTTCCTGCCAAACTACTCTGGCTTATACCCCTGCTCTCTTTAAAATAGCCAATCAAAATTAACTTAGACTGTGTGGTCCAACCCTATCCAATAGGGGAATGACACAGCAGTAGGGGCTACCTGTATCAGGAATGAGAACCCCTTCCCCTCCCTTGTCCAGGCGTGCTCTCATCATTACTCCATCCATGAGTTGCACCCTTCTATAGAAGTAAAAATTGTCTTTCTGAGAAAATTAAATTTATGTTTGACTGCTATTTCTTTACAGCACCGAGGAACAAGAGGAACAAGCATTCGTTTCTAACACAGGAAGGGGGCTTTCAGGTCAAGGTAGGTGAGAGACAAATGATTACATTCTTTTGAGTTTCTGATAAGCCTTTCCAAAGGAGGCAATCAGAATATGCATCTATCTCAGTGAGAAGGATGACTTTGAATAGAATGGGAGGCAGATTTGCCCTGAGCAGTTCCCAGCTTGAATTTTCCCCTTAGCTCAGTGATTTGAGGGACCCAAGATATTTTTCTTTCACACCATCAAAATTATCCTTCATGAACGAAGTAGAAATATAGTATTTCCCAAATGAGTAAAAGCTGAGGGAATCCATCACCACTTGACTGGACCCTACAAGAAATGCTTAGGGTTTTATTTCTTTTTTCCAAGATGGTCTATTAGAGGCTTTCAGCATGCCTCAGCCACTTGGAAATAGCAAGACAGTACATAAAGATCAACGCTGTGAGATTTAATTCAAGAAGGAAAATGGGAACCACTGGAATCATGAAGGACACCCAGATCCCAGAGAGAATGGTAGCAAATTGTCCCCATTATGGCATCCAGATGATAAAAGCGAGTGAAGCCCCAGTACATTAGAGGGGCAGCCAGCCTCCCTCTGTGATTCACCTTTCCACTGGAGTTCCCAGTAACCCAGGCTGAGGAAGAGCACATGGTTTCTCCCAAGCCCTGGAGCTAATCTGGGGAGAGGCTTGGAGACACTGTGAGGGAAAGACACCGGGAAAAGCTGTAGACATTTTCTTAGACCTGGGACCAGGAGCAGGATGCCATTTTTAATCTAGGTGCATAAAAAGTCAGCCATTCTTTGATAATCCAGAAGTGTGGTTCTGTGGGCATTTTCATCCTGGGCCAGAGATTAGAGCTTGCTCTGAAGTGGAGTAGGGGCCTCTATAGCCAGAACTGTAGAAAGCACCTCAGCAGTAGGTTCTGAATATGTGCTTTCTCCCATTGCAAGCCTGGGACAAGAGGAGAGCTGCTACAGCTGCAGTTTCTCCTGGGCAGTGAGACAGCTAGGGCCAGCTTGGTGAACTAGAACTAATCTGTGTGTGTCACTGCTGGGTACCCTAGCCTGGTCCCCTGAAGTCATGGTACAGCAGGGCTCTCTCCACTCCATGCCCAGGCAGATCTCCAGTCATTTGGAGCACTCATTCATTTGCTTCAGCAGCCTGAGCTATCCCATTCTTCCTGAGCATAGATCATAGTGCAACAAGGCCCTCATTGTTCCACACCCAGGCAGATCTCCAGGCATCTACAGCACCAGCTCACCTAGATTGGCAGGCTGAACTATCCTATCCTTCCTGAACAGAGATCCTGGTGCATAGAGGCCCTTTGTGTTTCACACCCAAGCAGATCTCCAGGCATTTGGAACACCAGCTTACCTACATAGATCAGTAGCCTGAGCTGCCCCATGCTTCCTGGGCTGAGGTCTTGCTGCAGGGAGGGCCTGTCTGCTACACATCCAGATAAATAACAAGGCCTTCAAAGCATCTGCTTGCCTAGTTCAGCAGCTTGAGTCACCCCGTTCCTGCTATGCAGAGATCATGGTGCAGAAGGCAGCCCAGGCAGATCTCCAGGCATCTGGAGTGCCCAATGTCCTGGATTAGTTTAGGCCATCCCTGATTCCATGCAGAAAACGTGGGGCTGAAGAGGTTTCCTAGCTCCACACCTAGGCACACCTATGGGCACTTGGTAGTTGCCAATTGGATTCTTCTTTGGCACTGGTCCAGCTCCACCTTTCATGGCCCCTGACCCCCCAGGGCAGAACAGAAAGCTCAGAACAATGGCATATCATGAATCAGCCCATTGCCTGAGGCAACAGACAGCTTCAGCCAGTAAATAAAGCATCAAGTATATACCTACCATGTTGGCTGCAGCCAGCTCTTACCTATAAACACCATCTACTGGTTTGTAGATTGAACTGCACAGCCCAATGTAAAATCTGCCAGGAGAAGTGCATGGGGTTATAGAAGCAAAGCAAAAGGACCTTACCCATAATTCTCTACAGTCACACTCTCAAGAGAGGAGCAAAAAGGGCAGGGAAAAGAAAACAACAAGAATAATACTATAGGGAAAGAAGGAAAAAGAAAATTCCTACCCACACGAAAATAATTACAAAAATTAGAAGTGCCAGTCTCCAGATGAGAACAAACCAGCGCAAGAATTCTGGCACCATGAAAAATCTGAATGTAGTGACACCTCCCAAAGGATCACACTAGCAACCCAGCAATGGTCCATAAACAAAAATGGAAACCTAGAAATGACAAAGAATTCAAAAGTATGAATGTCAAGGAAGCTCAATGAGATGTAAGACAACATTGAAAATCAACATGAAGAAACTTCTAAAGCAATCCAGGAAATGAAAGAGGGGATGGCCAGGCACGGTGGCTCACGCCTGTAATCCCAACACTTTGAAAGGCAGAGGTGGGCAGATCACAAGATCAAGAGATCAAGACCATCCTGCCCAACATGATGAAACCCTGTCTCTACTAAAAATACAAAAATTAGCTGGGTGTGGTGGCACACGCCTATAGTCCCAGCTACTCGGGAGATTGAGGCAGGAGAATCTCTTGAACCCGGGAGGCGGAGGTTGCAGTGAGCCGAGATCGCGCCACTGCACTCCAGTCTGGCAACAGAGCAAGGCTCTCTCTCAAAAAAAAAAAAAAAGAAAGAAAGAAAGAAATGAAGCAGGAGATAATAAGATCTTGAAAAGAAATCAATCAGAACTTCTTTTTTTTAATGAAAATATCCATAATTTATTGGGAACCTAATGAAGCTCAATGTTATCTCACTTGATTATTTATTTATTTATTTGTTTAAGTAGCATTAGACAAATCATTGATGCAGAAAATTAACAAAGAAATTTTGAAATTAAACTTGACACTTGACCAATGGGAACCAGTAGATATCTATCTACACAATACTACACCCATTAACCATAGAACACCCATTATTCTCACTTGAAAACAGAACATAATCCAAGATTGACCACATGGTTAGCCACAAAGTAAGTCTAAATAAATTCAAAAAAATCGAAATCATACACAGCATACTCTCAAACCATAATGGAATAAAAATAGAAATCAATTCCAAGATCTCCAAACCCACACAATTATATGGAAGTTTAATAACTTACTCCTGAATGATTTTTGGGTAAAAAAATAAAATCAAGGCATAAATAAAAAACTTCTTTGAAATAAATGAAAACAGAGATATAACGTTTCAAAATCTCTGGGATTCAGCAAAAGCAGTGTTCAGAGGGAAGTGTAAAACACTAAACAATTATCACAAAAAGTTAAAAAGATCTACAGTTAATGATCTAACATTATACATAAATGAACTAGAAAAACAAGAACAATCTAAACCCAAAGCTAGCAGAGTAAAAGAAAAAAACTAAGATCAGAGATAAATTGAATGAAATTGAGACCCACAAATCCATACAAAGGATCAAGGCCAATAGTTGGTTCTCTGAAAGGATAAAAAAGATCAATAGGCCACTAGCTAGATTAACAAAAAAGAGAGAGAGAGAGGATCCATATAAGCACAATCAGAAAGGTGGCATTACAACTAACCCCAGAGAAACACAGAAGATCCTCAGATACTATTATAAACACTTCTATGCACACAAATTGGAAAACCTAGAGGAAATGAATAAATTCCTAGAAACAGCCTCTCAAGATTGAATCAGGATGAACAGAGCAGCATGCGGAGGCTCGCATCGTGAATTTTAGCCCAGAAATAAATTAGGAAACCTGAGACGACGCACAGACCCTCTGAAGAAAGCAGACTGCTCCTACAGGACCCGGGAGATACCTCAAATACTGTGAGTGCCCAAAGTGCGGAAGTGGGAAAGGGAGACTCTTGCCCCCAAACACACACCCCCACTGGGGAACCTGATCTAGTTTGCGGGAGAAGATTCCAGCCTTACCTGGAGCTGAGTCAATTTAGAGAGCTGAGCAAAATACAGGGGTAGAGGAAGCAGCAGGAAATGACCTGGGAGCTTGCTGGGTCCCCACATAGGCCATTCCTGCCTGGTAACACAGGGATCTTTCAGGAGGGCAGCCAGAGGCATGAGGAAAATGGCACAGGGAGAAAGAAATCTCCTGCTGAACTTTGTAACATTTTGAACCAGTCAAGAAGCCTCCTGACCAGAACTTTCGGAAGGGTGCGAATCCAGGGAGCAGACTCCACAGGTCGGGGAAGAACTAAAGCCCTTTTCTTTCACAGCTGGAAGGTGGGTGGCCTGCAGAAAGTTCTCGGCCCTGCTTGCCCACTGCCTGGAAACAGACTGGGTGCTGTTAGGGGGTCACAATGGGAGTGAGACTGGCCCTTTGGATTGTGTGGGAGCTGGGTGAGGCCTGTGACCATCGGCTTTCCCCCACCTTCCCTGACAACCTGCATGACTCAGCAGAAGCAACCATAATCCTCCTAGGTACATAACTCCATTGAGCTTGGAACCTCACCTCCATCCCCCACAGCAGCCACACTAAGACCCCGCCCAAGGAGAGTCCGAGCTCAGACACACCTAGCCCTGCTCCCACCTGATGGTCCTTCCCTATCCACCCTGGTATCTGAACACAAAGGCATATACTCTTGAGAGTTCTAGAGCCCCACCCATCACCAGTTTCTCACCATACTACCACAGCTGATGCTCTCTAGAAAGTGCAACCTCCCAGAAAGCTAACCAGCACAAAAGCTAAGAACCCTCACAGAGTCCATTTCACCCCCCTGCCAACTCCACCAAAACAAGTGCTGGTAACCACAGCTGAGAGAACCACAGATGGTTCCCATCACAGGACTCTGTGCAGGCAACCCTCAGTACCAGCCTGGAGCTGGGTAGACTTGCTGGGTGGCTAGATCCAGAAGAGATAACAATCACTGCAGCTCGGCTCACAGAAAGCCACATCCATAGGAAAAGGGGGAAAGTACTACATCAAGGGGACACCCCGTGAGACAAAAGAATGTGAACAACAGCCTTCAGTCCTAGACCTTCCCTCTGACAGAGGCTACACAAATGAGAAGGAACCAGAAAACCAACTCTGGTACAAAGTTGGTTTGTACCAAAAACAAAACAAGGCTCTTTAACACCTCCCAAAAAATCACACTAGTTCACCAGCAATGGATCCTAACCAAGAAGAAATCCCTGATTTACCTGAAAAGGAATTTAGAAGGTTAGTTGTTAAGCTAATCAGGGAGGCATCAAGAAAGGCAAAACCCAATGCAAGGAAATAAAAAAGAAAAAAAAAACAATACAAGAAGTGAAGGGAGAAATATTGAAGGAAATAGATAACTTAAAGAAAAAACAATCAAAACTTCCGGAAACACTGGACCCACTTATAGAAATGCAAAATGCTCTGGAAAGTCTCAGGAATAGAATTAAACAAGTAGAAGAAAAAAATTCAGAGCTCAAAGACAAGGTCTTCAAATTAACCCAATCCAACAAAGAAAAAGAAAAAAAGAATAAGAAAATATGAACAAAGCCTCCAAGAAATCTGGGATTATGTTAAATGACCAAGCCTAAGAATAATCCGCGTTCCTGAGGAAGAAGAAAAATCTAAAAGTTTCGAAAACATATTTGGAAGAATAATTGAGGAAAACTTCCCTGGCCTTGCTAGATACCTAGGCATCCAAATACAAAAAGCACAAAGAACATCTGGGAAATTCATTGCAAAAAGATCATCACCTACGCACATTTTCATCAGGTTATCTAAAGATGAAGGGAAGAATCTTAAGAGCTATGAGACAAAAGCACCAGGTAACCTATAAAGGAAAACCTATCAGATTAACAGCAGATTTCTCAGCAGAAACCCTACAAGCTAGAAAAAATTGGGGACCTATCTTCAGCCTCCTCAAACAAAACAATTATCGGCCAAGAATTTAGTATCCAGTGAAACTAAGCATTATATTTGAAGTAAAGATACAGTCTTTGTCAGTCAAACAAATGCTGAGAGAATTTGCCACTACCAAGCTACAACTACAAGAACTGCTGAAAGGGGCTCCAAATCTTGAAACAAATCCTGAAAACACATGAAAACAGAACCTCTTTAAAGCATAAATCTCACAGGACCTATAAAACAAAAGTACAATTTAAAAAGCAAGACTGGGTGTGGTGGTTCATGCCTATAATCCTAACACTTTGAGAGGCTGAGACTGGTGGATCACTTGAGGTCAGGGGTTCAAGACCAGCCTGGCCAACATGGTGAAATCCCATCTCTACTAAAAATACAAAAAAATTAGCCAGGTGTGGTGACACATGCCTGTAATCCCAGCTACTTGGGAGGCTGAGGCAGGAGAATGGCTTGAACCCAGGAGGCAGAGGTTGCAGTGAGCTGAGATTGCACCACTGCACTCCAGCCTGGGTGATAGAGCAAGACTCCATCTCAAAAAATAAAAACATAAAAAAAGCACAAACAAAAAACAAAAAATCAAAGTACACAGGCAACAAATAACACAATGAATGGAATGATACCTCACATCTCAATACTAACATTGAATGTAAATGGCCTAAATGCTCCACTTAAAAGATACAAAACTGCAGAATGGATAAGAATTCACCAAAAAACAATCTGCTGCCTTCAAGAGACTTAACCTAACACATAAGGACTCATATATAAACTTAAAGTAAAGGGGTGGAAAAAGGCATTTCATGCAAATGGACACCAAAAGTGAAGAGGATTAAATAGTCTTGTATCAACAAAAATAACTTTAAAGCAACAGCAATTAAAAAAGACAAAAAAGGAAATTATGTAATGGGAAAATGCCTTGTCCAACAGGAAAATATCACAATCCTAAACATATATGCCCCTAACACTGGAGCTCTCAAATTTATAAAGCAATTACTAAGAGACCTAAGAAACGAGATCGACAGCAACACAGTAATAGTGGGGACTTTAATACTCCACTGACAGCACTAGACAGGTCATCGAGACAGAAAGTCAACAAAGAAACAATGGACTTAAACTATACCTTGGGACAATTGGACTTAACAGGTATATGCAGAACATTCCATCCAACAACCACAGAAAACACATTCTATTCAACAGCACATAGAACTTTCTCCAAGATAGACCATATGCTAGGCCATAAAACAAGTCTCAATAAATTTAAGAAAATTGAAATTATATCAATTTCAAGCACTCTCTCAAATCACAGTGGAATAAAACTGGAAATCAGGAGATCTGACAAGATGATTGAATAGGAACAGCTCCAGTCTGTAGCTCCTAGCGAGACCAATGCAGAAGGTGGGTGATTTCTGCATTTCCAACTGAGGTACACAGTTCATCTCATTGGGACTGGTTAGGCAGTGGGTGCAGCACACAGAGGGCAAACAGAAGCAGGGTGGGGTGTCACCTCACCCAGGAAGGGCAAGGAGCTAGGGACCACCCTCCTCCAGCCAAGGGAAGCCATGAGGGACTGTGCTATCTGGCCCAGACGTTACGCTTTTCCCATGGTTTATGCAATCTGCAGACAAGGAGATTCCCTCTTGTGCCTACACCACCAGGGCCCTGGGTTTCAAGTACAAAACTGGGCAACTGTTTGGGCAGACACCAAGCTAGCTGCAGGAGTTTGTTTGTTTGTTTGTTTGTACCCCAGTGGCACCTGGAATTCCAACAATACAGAACCATTCACTCCCATGGAAAGGGGGCTGAAGCCAGGAAGCCAAGTGGTCTTGCTCAGCAGGTCCTACTCCCCCAGAACCCAGCAAGCTAAGAACCACTGGGTTGAAATTCTCACTGCCAGCACAGCAGTCTGAAGTTGACCTGGGATGATTGAGATTGGTTGGGGGGAAGGGCATTTGCCATAACTGAGGGTTGAGTAGGGAGTTTTCCCCAGACAGTGCTAAGGAGGCTGGGAAGTTTGGACTGGGTAGAACTCACCACAGCGTGGCAAAGTGGCTGTGGCCAGACTGTCTAGATTCCTCCTCACTGGTCCGGGCATCTCTGAAAGAAAGGCAGCAGCCCCAGTCAGGGACTTATAGATAAAACTCTCATCTCTGGAACAGAGCACCTGGGGGAAGGGGCAGCTATGGGAACAGGTTCATCAGACTTAAAGGTTTCTGCCTGCCAGCTCTAAAGAGAGCAGCAGATCCTGACAAAAAGCACCTCACAGTGCTCAACCTCTGCTAAGGGACAGACTGCTTCCTCAAGTGGATCCCTGACCCCTGTGCCTCTTGACGGGGAGAGACCTCCCAGCAGGGGTCGACAGACACCTCATACAGGAAAGCTCTGGCTGACATCAGGCCAGTGACCCTCTGGGAAGAAGCTTCCAGAGGAAGGAGCAGGGAGCAATCTTTGCTGTTCTGCAGCCTCCGCTTGTGATACCCAGGCAAATAGGGTCTGGAGTGGATCTCCAGCAAACTGCAGCAGAACTGCAGAAAAGGGGCTTGATTGTTGCAAGAAAAACTAAAAAGAATAAAGCAACAACATCAACATCAACAAAAAGGACGCCCACACAAAAACCACATCCGAAGGTCATCAGCCTCAAAGATCAAAGGTAAATACATCCACAAAGATGAAGAAAAATTGTGCAAAAATGCTGAAAATTCCAAAATTCAGAATGATGCTTTTTTTTTTATTATACTTTAAGTTTTAGGGTACATGTGCACAACAGGCAGGTTAGTTACATATGTATACATGCGCCTTATTGGTGCACTGCACCCATTAACTCGTCATTTAACCTTAGGTATATCTCCCAATTCTATCCTTCCCCCCTCCCCGCACCCCACAACAGGCCCCAGTGTGTGATGTTCCCCTTCCTGTGTCCATGTGTTCTCATTGTTCAATTCCCACCTATGAGTGAGAACATGCGGTGTTTGGTTTTTTGTCCTTGCGACAGTTTGATGAGAATGATGGTTTCCAGATTCATCAATGTCCCTACAAAGGACATGAACTCATTCTTTTTTATGGCTGCATAGTATTCCATGGTGTATATGTGCCACATTTTCTTAATCCAGTCTATCATTATTGGACATTTGGGTTGGTTCCAAGTCTTTGCTATTGTGAATAGTGCCACAATAAACATACGTGTGCGTGTGTCTTTATAGCAGCATGATTTATAATCCTTTGGGTATATACCCAGTAATGGGATGGCTGGGTCAAATGGTATTTCTAGTTCCAGATCCCTGAGGAATTGCCACACTGACTTCCACAATGGTTGAACTAGTTTACAGTCCCACCAACAGTGTAAAAGTGTTCCTATCTCTCCACATCCTCTCCAGCACCTGTTGTTTCCTGACTTTTTAATGATCGCCATTCTAACTGGTGTGAGATGGTATCTCATTGTGGTTTTGATTTGCATTTCTCTGATGGCAAGTGATGAGCATTTTTTCATGTGTCTTTTGGCTGCATAAATGTCTTCTTTTGAGAAGTGTCTGTTCATATCCTTTGCCCATTTGTTGATGGGGTTGTTTGTTTTTTTCTTGTAAATTTGTTTGAGTTCTTTGTAGATTCTGGATATTAGCCCTTTGTCAGATAAGTAGATTGCAAAAATTTTCTCCCATCTTATAGGTTGCCTGTTCACTCTGATTGTGGTTTCTTTTGCTGTGCAGAAGCTCTTTAGTTTAATTAGATCCCATTTGTCAATTTTGGCTTTTGTTGCCATTGCTTTTGGTGTTTTAGTCATGAAGTGTTTGCCCATGCCTATGTCCTGAATTGTACTGCCTAGGTTTTCTTCTAGGGTTTTTATGGTTTCAGTTCTAACATTTAAGTCTTTAATCCATCTTGAATTAATTTTTGCATAAGGTGTAAGGAAGGGATCCAGTTTCAGCTTTCTACGTATGGCTAGCCAGTTTTCCCAGCACCATTTATTAAATAGGGAATCCTTTCCCCATTGCTTGTTTTTGTCAGGTTTGTCAAAGATCAGATGGTTGTATATATGTGGCATTATTTCTGAGGGCTCTGTTCTGTTCCATTGGTCTATATCTCCGTTTTGGTACTGGTACCATGCTGTTTTGGTTACTGTAGCCTTGTAGTATAGTTTGAAGTCAGGTAGCGTGATGCCTCCAGCTTTGTTCTTTTGGCTTAGGATTGACTGGACAATGCAGGCTCTTTTTTGGTTCCATATGAACTTTAAAGTAGTTTCTTCCAATTCTGTGAAGAAAGTCATTGGTAGCTTGATGGGGATGGCATTGAATCTATAAATTACCTTGGGCAGTATGGCCATTTTCATGATATTAATTGTTCCTACCCATGAGCATGGAATGTTCTTCCATTTGTTTGTATCCTCTTTTATTTCATTGAGCAGTGGTTTGTAGTTCTCCTTGAAGAGGTCCTTCGCATCCCTTGTAAGCTGGATTCCTAGCTATTTTATTCCCTTTGAAGCAATTGTGAATGGGAGTTCACTCATGATTTGGCTCTCTGTTTGTCTGTTCTTGCTGTATAAGAATGCTTGTGATTTTTGTACATTGATTTTGTATCCTGAGACTTTGCTGAAGTTGCCTATCAGCGTAAGGAGATTTTGGGCTGAGATGATGGGGTTCTCTAGATATACAATCATATCATCTGCAAACAGGGACAATTTGACTTCCTCTTTTCTAATTGAATACCCTTTATTTCCTTCTCCTGCCTGATCGTCCTGGCCAGAACTTCCAACACTATGTTGAATAGGAGTGGTGAGAGAGGGCATCCCTGTCATGTGCCAGTTTTCAAAGGGAATGCTTCCAGTTTTTGCCTACTCAGTATGATATTGGCTGTGGTTTTGTCACAGATGCTCTTATTATTTTGAGATATGTCCCATCAATACCTAATTTATTGAGAGTTTTTAGCATGAAGCATTGTTGAATTTTGTCAAAGGCCTTTTCTGCATCTATTGAGAAAATCATATGGTTTTTGTCATTGGTTTTGTTTATATGCTGGATTACATTTATTGATTTGAGTATGTTGAAACAGCCTTGCATCCCAGAAATGAAGCCCACTTGATCATGGTGGATAAGCTTTTTGATGTGCTGCTGGATTCAGTTTGCCAGTATTTTACTGAGGATTTTTGCATCGATGTTCATCAAGGATATTGGTCTAAAATTCTCTTTTTTGGTTGTGTCTCTGCCAGGCTTTGGTATCAGGATGATGCTGGCTTCATAAAATGAGTTAGGGAGGAGTCCCTCTTTTTCTATTGATTGGAATAGTTTCAGAAGGAAAGGTACCAGCACCTCCTTGTACCTCTGGTAGAATTCGGCTGTGAATCCATCTGGTCCTGGACTTTTTTTGGTTGGTAAGCTATTAATTATTGCCTCAATTTCAGAGCCTGTTATTGGCCTATTCAGAGATTCAACTTCTTCCTGGTTTAGTCTTGGGAGGGTGTATGTGTTGAGGAATTTATCCATTTCTTCTAGATTTTCTAGTTTATTTCCATAGAGGTGTTTATAGTATTCTCTGATGGTAGTTTGTATTTCTGTGGGATTGGTGGTGATATCCCCTTTGTCATTTTTTATTGCATCTATTTGATTCTTCTCTGTTTTCTTCTTTATTAGTCTTGCTATCAGTCTATCAATTTTGTTGACCTTTTCAAAAAACCAGCTCCTGGACTCATTGATTTTTTGAAGGGTTTTTTGTGTCTCTATTTCCTTCAGTTCTGCTCTGATCTTAGTTATTTCTTGCCTTCTGCTAGCTTTTGAACGTGTTTGCTCTTGCTTCTCTAGTTCTTTTAATTGTGATGTTAGGGTGTCAATTTTAGATCTTTCCTGCTTTCTCTTGTGGGTATTTAGTGCTATAAATTTCCCTCTACACACTGCTTTGAATGTGTCCCAGAGATTCTGGTATGTTGTGTCTTTGTTCTCATTGGTTTCAAAGAACATCTTTATTTCTGCCTTCATTTCGTTATGTACCCAGTAGTCATTCAGGAGCAGGTTGTTCAGTTTCCATGTAGTTGAGCGGTTTTGAGTGAGTTTCTTAATCCTGAGTTCTAGTTTGATTGCACTGTGGTCTGAGAAACAGTTTGTTATAATTTCTGTTCTTTTACGTTTGCTGAGCAGTACTTTACTTCCAACTATGTGGTGAATTTTGGAATAGGTGTGGTGTGGTGCTGAGAAGAATGTATGTTCTGTTGATTTGGGGTGGAGAGTTCTGTAGATGTCTATTAGGTCCACTTGGTCGAGAGCTGAGTTTACTTCCTGGATATCCTTGTTAACTTTCTGTCTCATTGATATGTCTAATGTTGACAGTGGGGTGTTAAAACCTCCCATTATTATTGTGTGGGAGTCTAAGTCTCTTTCTAGGTCTCTAAGGACTTGCTTTATGAATCTGGGTGCTCCTGTATTGGGTGCATATATATTTACAATAGTTAGCTCTTCTTGTTGAATTGATCCCTTTACCATTATGTAATGGCCTTCTTTGTCTCTTTTGATCTTTGTTGGTTTAAAGTCTGTTTTATCAGAGACTAGGATTGCAACCCCTGCCATTTTTTGTTTTCCATTTGCTTGGTAGATCTTCCTCCATCCCTTTATTTTGAGCCTATGTGTGTCTCTGCATGTGAGATGGGTTTCCTGAATACAGCACACTGATGGGTCTTGACTCTTTATCCAATTTTCCAGTCTGTGTCTTTTAATTGGAGCATTTAGCCCATTTACATTTAAGGTTAATATTGTTATGTGTGAATTTGATCCTGTCCTTACGATGTTTGCTGGTTACTTTGCCTGTTAGTTGATGCAGTTTCTTCCTAGCCTCACTGGTCTTTACAATTTGGCATGTTTTTGCGGTGGCTGGTACCGGTTGTTCCTTTCCATGTTTAGTGCTTCCTTCAGGAGCTCTTTTAGGGCAGGCCTGGTGGTGACAAAATCTCTCAGCATTTGCTTGTCTGTAAAGGATTTTATTTCTCCTTCACTTATGAAGCTTAGCTGGGCTGGATATGAAATTCTGGGTTGAAAATTCTTTTAAGAATGTTGAATATTAGCCCCCACTCTCATCTGGCTTGTAGAGTTTCTGCTGAGAGATCAGCTGTTAGTCTGATGGGCTTCCCTTTATGGGTAACCCGACCTTTCTCTCTGGCTGCCCTTAACATTTTTTCCTTCATTTCCACTTTGGTGAATCTGACAATTCTGTGTCTTGGAGTTGCTCTTCTCAAGGAGTATCTTTGTGGCCTTCTCTGTATTTCCTGAATTTGAATGTTGGCCTGCCTTGCTAGATTGGGGAAGTTCTCTTGGAAAATATCCTGCAGAGTGTTTTCCAACTTGGTTCCATTCTCCCTGTCACTCTCAGGTACACCAATCAGACGTAGATTTGGTCTTTTCACATAGTCCCATATTTCTTGAAGGCTCTGTTTGTTTCTTTTTATTCTTTTTTCTCTAAACTTCTCTTCTCACTTCATTTCATTCACTTGATCTTCAATCACTGACACCCTTTCTTCCAGTTGATTGAATCAGCTACTGAAGCTTGTGCATTTGTCATGTAGTTCTTGTGCCTTGGTTTTCAGCTCCATCAGGTACTTTAAGGACTTCTCTGCATTGGTTATTCTAGTTAGCCATTCGTCTAATTTTTTTTCAAGGTTTTTAACTTCTTTGCCATGGGTTCGAACTTCCTCCTTTAGCTCAGAGTAGTTTGATCGTCTGAAGCCTTCTTCTCTCAACTTGTCAAAGTCATTCTCTGTCCAGCTTTGTTCTGTTGCTGGTGAGGAGCTGTGTTCCTTTGGAGGAGGAGTGGCACTCTGATTTTTAGAGTTTCCAGTTTTTCTGCTCTGTTTTTTCCCCATCTTTGTGGTTTTATCTACCTTTGGTCTTTGATGATGGTGACATACAGATGGGGTTTTGGTGTGGATGTCCTTTCTATTTGTTAGTTTTCCTTCTAACAGTCAGGACCCTCAGCTGCAGGTCTGTTGGAGTTTGCTGGAGGTCCACTCCAGAACCTGTTTGCCTGGGTATCAGCAGTGGAGGCTGCAGAACAGCAGATATTGGTGAGCAGCAAATGTTGCTGCCTGATCGTTCCTCTGGAAGTTTTGTCTCAGAGGAGTACCCAGCCATATGAGGTGTCAGTCTGCCCCTAATGGGGGGTGCCTCCCAGTTAGGCTATTCAGGGGTCAGGGACCCACTTGAGGTAGCAGTCTATCCATTCTCAGATCTCCAGCTGCGTGCTGGGAGAACCACTACTCTCTTCAAAGCTGTCAGACAGGGACATTTAAGTCTGCAGAGGATTCTGCTGCCTTTTGTTTGGCTATTCCCTGCCCACAGAGGTGGAGTCTACAGAGGCAGTCAGGCCTCCTTGAGCTGTGGTGGGCTCCATGCAGTTCGAGCTTCCTGGCTGCTTTGTTTACCTACTCAAGCCTCGGCAATGGCGGGCGCCCCTCCCCCAGCCTCGCTGCCACCTTGCAGTTTGATCTCAGACTGCTGTGCTAGTAATGAGCAAGGCTCTGTGGACATAGGACCCTCCAAGCCATGTGCAATATATAATCTCCTGGTGTGCCATTTGCTAAGACCATTGGAAAAGTGCCGTATTAGGGTGGGAGTGACCCGATTTTCCAGGTGCCATCTGTCACCCTTTTCTTTGACTAGGAAAAGGAATTCCCTGACCCCTTGTGCTTCCCATGTGAGGCGATGCCTCGCCCTGCTTCAGCCCATGTTGGGTGTGCTGCACCCACTGTCCTGCACCCACTTTCGGACACTCCCCAGTGAGATGAGCCCGGTACCTCAGCTGGAAATGCAGAAATCACCTGTCTTCTGTGTTGCTTATGCTGGGAGTTGTAGACTGGAGCTGTTCCTATTTGACCATCTTGGCTCCACCCCAGAATGATGCTTTTCCTCCAAATGATTGCAACTCCTCTCCAGCAAGGGCACAAAACTGGATGGAGAATGAGTTTGATGAATTGACAGAAGTAGGCTTCAGAAAGTGGGTAATAATAAATTCCTCTGAACTAAAGGAGCATGTTCTAACCCAATGCAAGAAAGCAAGAACCTTCAAAAAGGTTACAAGAACTGCTAACTAGAATAACCAGTTTAGAGAACAACATAAATGACCCGATGGAGCTGAAAAACACAGCACAAGAACTTTGTGAAGCTTACGCAAGTATCAGTAGCCAAATCAACCAAGCAGAAGAAAGGATATCAGACATTGAAGATCAGCTTACTAAAATAAGGTATGAAGACAAGATAAGAGAAAAAAGTATGAAAAGGAATGAACAAAATCTCCAAGAAATATAGGACTATGTAAAAAGACCAAACCTAAGATTGATTGGTGTACCTGAAAATGCCAGGGACCAACTTGGGAAACACACCTCAGGATATTATCCAGGAGAACTTCCCCAACCTAGCAAGACAGGCCAACATTCAAACTCAGGAAATACAGAGAACACCACTAAGATATTCCTCAAGAAGAGCAACCCCAAGACACATAATCATCAGATTCACCAAGATTGAACTGAAGGAAAAAATGTTAAGGGCAGCCAGAGAGAAAGGTCAGGTGACCTACAAAGGGAAGCCTATCAGACCAACATTGGATCTCTCTGCAGAAACCCTACAAGCCAGAAGGGAGTGGGGGCCAATATTCAACATGTTTAAAGAAAAAATTTGCCACCCAGAATTTCATATCCAGCCAAACTAAGCTTCATAAGCGAAGGAGAAATAAAATCTTTACAGGCAAGCAAATGCTGAGGAATTTTGTCACCACCAGGCCTGCCTTACAAGAGCTCCTGAAGGAAGCGTTCAACATGGAAAGGAACAACTGGTACCAGCCACTGCAAAAACACACCAAAATATAAAGACCAACAACACTATGAAGAAACTGTGTCAACTAATTTGCAAAATAACCAGCTAGCATCATGATGACAGGACCAAATTCACACATAACAATATCAACCTTAAATATAAATGGACTAAATGCCCCAATTAAAATACACAGACTTGCAAATTGGATAAAGAATCAAGACCCACTGGTGTGCTGTATTCAGGAGATCCATCTCACGTGCAGACACACATAGGCTCAAGATAAAGGGATGGAGGAATGCTTATCAAGAAAATGGAAAGCAAAAAAAAAAGCAGGGGTTGCAATCCTAGTCTCTGATAAAACAGACTTTAAACCAACAATGATCAAAAAAGACAAAGAAGGGCATTACATAATGGTAAAGGGATCAATGCAACAAGAAGAGCTGACTATCCTAAATATATATGCACCCAATACAGGAGCACCCAGATTCATAACACAAGTTCTTAGAGACCTGCAAAGAGACTTAGACTCCCACACAGTATTAGTGGGAGACTTTAACATCCCACTGCCAATATTAGACAGATCAACAAGACAGAAAATTACAAGGATATTCAGGACTTGAACTCTGCTCTGGACCAAGCA
The DNA here is from genome assembly GCF_000001405.40 of Homo sapiens. Classification (NCBI taxonomy): domain Eukaryota; kingdom Metazoa; phylum Chordata; class Mammalia; order Primates; family Hominidae; genus Homo; species Homo sapiens. The sequence continues at coordinate 210,349,065 of NC_000002.12, read as the reverse complement.
GACCTAATAGACATCTACAGGACTCTCCACCCCAAATCAACAGAATATACATTCTTCTCAGCACCACATAGCAGTTATTCTAAAATTGACCATATAATTGGAAGCACTCCTCAGCAAATGTAAAATAACGGAAATCATAACAAACAGTCTCTCAGACCACAGTGCAATCAAATTAGAACTCAGGATTAAGAAACTCACTCAAAACCACACAACTACCGGGAAGCTGAACAATCTGCTCCTGAATGACTACTGGGTAAATAATGAAATTATTTGAACTTCTTTGAAACCAATGAGAACAAAGAGACAATGTACCAGAATCACTGGGACACAGCTAAAACAATCTTAAGAGGGAAATTTATAGCACTAAAATGCCCACATCAGAAAATAGGAAAGATCTGAAATTGACACCCTAACGTTACAATTAGAAGAGCTAGAGAAGCAAGAGCAAACAAATTCAAAAGCTAGCAGAAGACAAGAAATAATTAAGATCAGAGCAGAACCGAAGGAGAGAGAGACACAAAAAACCCTTCAAAAAAATGAATGAATCCAGGAGCTGGTTTTCTGAAAAGATTAACAAAATAGACTGCTAGCCAGATTAATAAAGAAGAAAAAAGAGAAGAATCAAATAGATACAATAAAATATGATAAAGGGGATATTACCACTGATCCCACAGAAATATAAACTACCTTCAGAGAATACTATAAACATCTCTATGTGAATAAACTGGAAAATCTAGAAGAAATGGATACATTCCTGGACACACACCATCCTAAGACTAAACCAGGAAGAAGTCAAATCCCTGAATAGACCAATAACAAGTTCTGAAATTGAGGCAGTAATTAATAGTCTACCAACCAAAAAAGCCCAGGACCAGACAGAATCACAACTGAATTCTACCAGAGGTACAAAGGAGAGTTACTACTATATCTTCTGAAACTATTCCAAACAATAGAATAAGAGAGACTCTTCCCTAACTCATTTTATGAGGCCAGAATCATCCTGATATCTAAACCTGGCAAGGACACAACAAAAAAAAGAAAATTTCAGGCCAATATCCCTGGTGAACATCAAAGCAAATATCCTCAATAAAATCTTGGCAAAGTGAATCCAGAAGCACATCAAAAAGCTTATCCACCACAATCAAGTTGGCTTCATCACTGGGATGCAAGGCTGGTTCAACATATGCAAATCAATAAATGTAATCCATCATATAAACAGAACCAGTGACAAAAACCACGTGATTATCTCAATAGACGCAGAAAAGGCCTTCGATAAAATTCAATGTCCCTTCATGCTAAAATCTCTCAATAAACTAGGTATTGATGGAACATGTCTCAAAATAATAAGAGCTGTTTATGACAAACCCATAGCCAATATCATACTGAATGGCCAAAAGATGGAAGTATCTGAAAATCGGTGCAAGGCAAGGGTAACCTCTCTCATCACTCCTATTCAACACAGTATTGGAAGTTCTGGCCAAGGCAATGAGGCAAGAGAAAGAAATAAAGCATATTCAAATAGGAAGTCTAATTGTCTCTGTACGTAGATGACATAACTGTATATTTAGAAAACCCCATAGTCTCAGCCCCAAAACTCCTTAAGCTGATAAGCAACTTGAGCAAGTCTAGGATACAAAATCCATGTGCAAAAATCACAAGCGTTTCTATACACCAATAATAGACAAACAGAGAGCCAAATCATGAGTGAACTCCCATTCACAATTGCTACAAGGAGAATAAAATACCTAGGAATACAACTTACAAGGGACATGAAGGACCTCTTCAAGGAGAACTACAAACCACTGCTCAAGGAAATAAGACACCACCAAAGGGAAAAAAGTTCCATGCTCATGGATAGGAAGAATCAGTATCATAAAATTGGCCATACTGCCCAAAGTAATTTATAGATTCAATGCTACTCCCATCAAGGTACCATTGACTTTCTTCACAAAGTTAGAAAAAACTACATTAAATTTCATATGGAACCAAAAAAGAGCCCACGTAGCCAAGACAATCCTAAGCAAAACCATCAAAGCTGGAGACATCATGCTACCTAACTTCAAACTATTCTACAAGGCTACAGTAACCAAAACAGCATGGTACTCGTACCAAAACATATATATAGACCAATGGAACAGAACAGAGGCCTCAGAAATAACACTACACATCTACAACCATCTGATCTTCCACAAACCTGACAAAAAACAAGCAATAGGGGCCAGGCGGGATGGTTGGTGCCTATGATCCCAGCACTTTGGAGGCCAAAGTGGGCAGATCATGAGGTCAAGAGATCAAAACCATCCTGGCCAACATGGTGAAACCCTGTCTCTACTAAAACTACAAAAATTGTGTGCTTGTAGTCCCAGCTGCTCGGGAGGCTAAGGAAGGAGAATCACTTGAACCTGGGAGGCAGAGGTTGCAGTGAGCCAAGATAACACCACTGCACTACAGCCTGTCGACAGAGCAACACTCTGTCTCAAAAAAATAAATAAATAAAAATAAAAATAAAGCAATAGGGAAAGGATTCCCTATTTAATAAATGAGGCTGGGAAATCTGGCTAGTCATATGCAGAAAACTGAAACTGGACCCCTTCCTTACACCTTATACAAAAATTAACTCAAGATGGATTAACTACTTAAATGTAAAATCCAAAACCATAAAAAAATCCTAGAAGAAAACCTAGGCAATACCATTCAGGACATAGGCATGGGCAAAGACTTCATGACTAAAACACCAAAAGCAATGGCAACAAAAGCTAAAATTGACAAATGGCACCTAATTAAACTAAAGAGCTTCTGCACAGCAAAGGAAACTCAAACTGAACAGGCAACCTACAGAATGGGAGAAAATGTTTGCAATCTGTCTATCTGACAAAGGCCTAATCTCCAGAATCTACAAGGAACATAAACAAATTTACAAGGAAAATACAAACAAACCCATCAAAAAATGGGCAAAGGTTATGAACAGACACTTCTCAAAAGAAGACGTTTATGTGGCCAAGAAACATAAGAAAAAAAGCTCATCATCACTGGTCATTAGAGAAATGCAAATCAAAACCACAATGAGATACCATCTCATGCCAGTTAGAATGGTGATCATTAAAAAGTCAGGAAACAACGGATGCTGGCGAGGCTGTGGGGAAATAGGAATGCTTTTACACTGTTGGTGGGAGTGTAAATTAGTACAAACATTGTGGAAGACTGTAGCAATTCCTCCAAGATGTCAAACCAGAAATATTATTTGACCCAGCGATCTCATTACTGGGTATATACCCAAAGGATTATAAGTCATTTTACTATAAAGACACATGCACATGTATGTTTATTGCAGCACTATTTACAATAGCAAAGGCATGGAACTAACCCAAATGACCATCAATGATAGACTGGATACAGAAAATGTGGCACATATACACCATGGAACACTATGCAGCCATAAAAAAGGATGAGTTCATGTCCTTTGCAGGGACATGGATGAAGCTGGAAACCGTCATTCTCAGCAAACTAACACAGGAATAGAAAACCAAACACTGCATGTTCTCACTCGTAAGTGGGAGGTGAACAATGAGAACACATGTACACAGGGAGGGGAACATCATACACCAGGGACCATTGTGGTGTAGGGGGCAAGGGGAGGGAGAGCATTCGGAAAAATACCTAATGCATGTGGGGCTTAAAACCTAGATGATGGGTTGATAGTTGCAGCAAACCACCATAGCACATGTATACCTATGTAACAAACCTGCACATTCTGCACATGTACCCAAAACAAAGTAAAATTTTAAAAAATTCAAAAAATTAAAAACTGGAAATCAATTCCCAAAGGAACCTTCAAAACCATGCAAATACACAGAAATTAACTAACCTGCTCCTGAATGATCATTGGGTCTAAAGTAAAATTAATATGGAAATTAAAAAATTATTCACACTCAATGACAATAGTGACACAACCTATCAAAACCTCTGGGATATAGCAAAGGTGATGCTAAGAGGAAAGTTCATAGCCCTAAATGCCTAGATCAAAAAGACTGAAAAAGCACAAACTGACATTCTAAGGTTACACCCCAAGGAACCTGAGAAACAAGACCAAACCAAACCCGAACCCAGCAGAAGAAAGGAAATAGCCAAGATCAGGGAAAAACTAAAAGAGATTGAAACAAAAAACATACAAAAGATAAATAAAATAAAAAGCTCATTGTTTGAAAAATAAATAAAATTGATAGACTATTAGCAAGACTAATCAAGAAAAGAAGAGAGAATATCCAAATAACTCAATAAGAAACAAAACAGGAGATATTACAACTGACACCACTCAAATACAAAAGATAATTCAAGGCTACCATGAACATCTTTATGTGCACAAACTAGAAAACCTAGAAGAGATGGATAAATTCCTGAAAAATACAACCCTCCTAACTTAAATCAGGAAAAATTAGATACTCTGAACAGACCAATAACAAGCAGCAAGATTGAAATAGCAATTAAAAAATTACCAACAAATAAAAGTCCAAGACCAAACAGATTCAAAGCAGAATTCTACCAGACATTCAATGAAGAATTGGTACCAATCCTATTGACACTATTCCATAAGATAGAGAAATAGGGAGCCCTCCTCAATTCATTCTATGAGGACAGCATCACCTTAATACCAAAACCAGGAAAGGACATAACCAAAAAAGAAAACTACAGACCAATATCCCTGATGAACGTAGATGCTAAAATCCTTAACAAAATACTAGCTAACTGAATCCAACAACATATCAAAAGGATAATCCACCATAATCAAGTGGGTTTCATACCAGGGATTCAGGGATGATTTAACATATGCAAGTCAATAAATGTGATATACCACATACACAGAATTAAAAGCAAAAATCACATGATCATCTCAATAGATGCAGAAAAAGCATTTGACAAAATCCAGCATTCCTTTGATTAAAACTCTCAGCAAAATTGGCATACAAGGGACATACTTCAATGTAATAAAAGCCATCTATGACAAACCCACACCCATCATAATACTGAATGGGGAAAAGTTAAAAACATTCCCTCTGGGAATGGGAACAAGACAAGGATGCCCACTCTCACCATTCCTTTTCAAAATAGTACTGGAAGTCCTAGCCAGAGCAATCAGATGAGAGAAAAAAATAAAGGGCATCCAAATCGGTAAAGAGGAAGTCAAACTGTCACTGTTTGTTGCTGATGATTGTTTACCTTGAAAACCCTAAAGACTCCTCCAGAAAGCTTCTAGAACTGATAAAAGCATTCAGCAAAGTTTCTAGATAAAATATTAATGTACACAAATCAGTAGCTCTTCTATACACCAAGAGTGACCAAGAGTTCAAATCAAGAACTCAACCCCTTTTCCAATAGCTGCAAAATAAATAAACAAACAAAATACTTAGGTGTATCCATAACCAAGGAATCAAAAGACCTCTACAAGGAAAACTACAAAACACTGCTGAAAAAAATCATAGACAACACAAACAAATGGAAACACATCCCATGCTCATGGATGGGTAGAATCAATATTGTGAAAATGACCATACTGCAAAAAGCAACCTACAAATTTAACACAATTCTCATCAAAAGACCATCATCATTCTTCACAGAATTAGAAAAAAAGCAATTATAGAATTCATATGGAACCAAAAAAGAGCCGCATAGCCAATACAACACTAAGCAAAAAACATATCTGGAAGCATCACACTGCCTGATTTTGATTTTAAACTATAATATAAGGCCATAGTCACCAAAACAGCATAGTACTGGTATAAAAATAGGCACATATACCAATGGAACAGAAGAGAGAACCCAGAAATAAACCCATATACTTACAGCCAACTGATCTTTGACAAAGCAAACAAAAACATAAAGTGGGGAAAGGACACCCTTTTCAACAAATGATGCTGGGATAATTGGCTAGCCACATGTAGAAGAATGAAACTGAATCCTCATCTCTTACCTTATACAAAAATCAACCAAAGATGGATTAAGGACTTAAATCTAAAACCTGAAACTATAAAAATTCTAGAAGATAACATTGGAAAAACCTTTCTAGACATTGGCTTAGGCAAGGATTTTATGACCAAGAACCCAAAGGCAAATGCAATAAAAAGAAAGATAAACAGCTGGGACTTAATTAAACTAAAGAGCTTTTGTATGGCAAAAAGAAGTCAGCAAAGTAAACAGACCACCCACAGGGTGGAAGAAAATCTTCACAATCTATACATCTGACAAAGTACTAATATCCAAAATCTACGACAAACTCAAACAAATCATCAAGGAAAAAAACAAGCAGTCCCATCAAAAAGTAGGCTAAGGACATGAATAGACAATTCTCAAAAGAAGACATACAAAAGGCCAACAAACATATAAAAAATTCTCAACATCACTACTGATTAAGGAAATGCAAATCAAAACCACAATGTGATACCACCTTACTCCTGCAAGAATGGCCATAATTAAAAAATCAAAAAACAGTAGATATTGGTGTGGTTGGCAGGGGGGATCAGGGAACACCTCTACACTGCTGGTGAGAATGTAAACTAATACAACCACTACGGAAAACAGTGTGGAGATTCCTCAGAGAACTAAAAGCAGAACTACCATTTGATCCAGCAATCCCACTACTGGGTATCTACTCCAAGGAAAACAAGTCATTATACGAAAAAGATGCTTGCACACGTATGTTTATAGCAGCGCAATTCACAATTACAAAATTATGGAACCAACCCAAATGCCTATCAATCAATGAGTGGATAAAGAAACTGTGGTATATATATGCAGTGGAATACTACTCAGACATGAAAAGGAATTAATTAAGAGCATTCACAGCCATTTGGATGAGATTGGAAACTATTATCCTAAGTGAAATACCTGAGGAATGGAAAACCAAACATCATATGCTCTCACTGATATGTGGGAGCTAATTTATGAGCATGCAAAAGCATAAGAATGATACAATGGACTTTGGAAACTTGGAGGGAAGGGTGGAAGGAGGGTGAAGGATAAAAGACTACAAATAGGGTGCAGTATATACTGCTCGGGTGATGGGTGCACCAAAATCTCACAAAATCACCACTAAAGGATTTACTTATGTAACCAAACACCACTTGTACCTCAATAACCTATAGAAAACTAAAATTTTAAAAAACTGAATCAGAAAGAAATTGAAACCCAGAAAAGACCAATAAGGAATTCCTAAATGGAATCAGTAATAAAAAGCTTAAAAAGCCCCTGACCAGATGGATTCACAGCAGAATTCTACCAAACATATGAAAAAGAGCTGGTACCAATCCTACTGAAACTATTCCAAAACATCAAGGAGCAGGAACTCTTCTCTAACTCATTCTATGAAGCCAGCATTACTCTGATACCAAAACTTGGCAAAGACACACACACACACACACACACACACACACACACACACACACACAAAAGAAAACTATGGGCCAATATCTGTGATAAAGATAGACACAAAATTCTTTAACAAAATAAGAGTAAACAAAATTCAACAGGAACATCAAAAAGTTAATTCACTACGATCAAGTAGGCTTCATTCGTGAGACAAAAGGTTGGTTCAACATATGCCAATTAATAAATGTGATTTATCACATAAACAAAATTAAAAACAAAAACCATATAATCTTCTCAATAGATGCAGAAAAAGCTTCTGATAAAATTCAACATCACTTCATGATAAAAACCCTTCAGAAATTAGACGTTGAAGAAACATACCTCACAATAGTAAGAGTCATCTATAACAAAACTAGAGCCAACATCCTACTGAACCGACAAAAACTGGAAGCCTTTCCTTTGAGAACTGGAAGAACACAAGGATGCCTACTTTCACCATTCCTATTCCACATAGTATACTGGAAGTCTTACCTAGAGAAATCAGGCAAGAGAAAGATAAAAGTAAAGAACTCAAGTTCTTTACTTTACAAGAAAAATAAAAGTAAAGAACAAACAAGTAAGAATTCAAAGTATATCTCCTCATGGACAATACAATTTTATACCTAGAAAACTCTAAAAGTCTCCTGGAACTGATAAACATCTTCAGTAAAGTTTCACAATACAAAATCAATGTAGAAAATTCAGTTGCATTTCTACACACCAATATCATTCAAGCTGAGATTCAAATCAACAATGTAATCCCATTTACAACATCAACACAAAAAAGTTCCTAGGAATACATTTAACCAAAGAGGTGGAAGTTCTCTACCAATGAGAATTATAAAACACTGCAAAAAAAATCATAGATGACACAAACAAGTAGAAAAACAATCCATGCTCATGGACTGGAAGAATCAATATCCAGAATCTACAAGGAATTTAAACAATTCAACAAGCAAAAATCAAATAACCCTCCTCACTCAAAAAATGGTCAAAAGACATGAACAGACATTTCTCAAAAGGAAGCATACAAGCAACCAACAAACATTGGAAAAAATGCTCTAAATTACTAATCATCAGAAAAATGCAAATCAAAATCACAGTGAGATATGATCTTACATCTGTCAGACTGGCTATTATTTAAAAGTCAAAAAAAAACACATATTGGAGAGGCTATGGAGAAAAGGGAATGCTTAAACAGTGTTGGTGGGAATGTAAATTAATTCAGCCACTGTAGAAAGCAGTTTGGAGACTACTCAAAGAACTTAAAACAGAACTACCATTTGATACAGCAACCTCAATACCTGGTATATATTGAAAAGAAAACAAATTAGTCTACTAAAAAGACATATGCACTCACATGTTCATTGCAGGACAATGCACAATAGCAAAGACATGGAATTAAGCTAGGTTCCCATCAACAGTGGGTTGGGTAAAGAAAATGTGGTACATATACACCATGTAATATAATTGGGCTGTGTCCCCACCCAAATCTCATCTTGAATTGTTGTTCCCATATTCCCCACGTGTCATGGAAGGGACCTGGTGGGAGATATGGTGAATCACATGGGTGGTTTCCCCCATCCTGTTCTCATGATAGTGAGTTAGTTCTCACAAGATCTGATGTTTTATAAGGGACTTCCCCCTTCGCTGGGCACTCATTCTTCTCCTTCCTGCTGCCATATTTGCTTCCCCTTCCACCATGATTGTAAGTTTCCTGAGGCCTCTCCAGCCATGCTGAACTGTAAGTACATTAAACCTCTTTCCTTTATAAATTACCCAGACTTGGGTATGTCTTTATTAGCAGTGTGAGAACGCACTGATACACCATGGAATACTATGCAGCCATAACAAAGAATAAAGTTGTCCTTTGCAACTGGATGCTATTATCCTAAGTTAATTAACACAGGAACAGAAAAATCAAGTACTGCAAGTTCTCACTTATAAGTAAGAGCTAACCACTGGGTACTCATTGACATAAATACAAGCAATAGACACTGGTGACTCCTAAACAGGGGAGGGAGGACAGGGGACAAGGGTTGAAAAACTATCTGTTGGGTACCATGCTTAGTACCTGGTTAACAGGAACATTTGCACCCCAAACTTCAGCATCACATAACATACCCCAGTAATAAACCTGCACATATAACCCCTGAATCTAAAATAAAAGTCAGAAACAAAAAACACCAGAAAACAGAAATGCTTAAGGGAGTCCTACACCTGAAAGTGAAACAAAATTATCTACTATCCATGAAAACACATGAAAATATAAAAACCACTGGTAGAGCAAACACATAAACAAAAAAGACAAAAGACTCAAATATTACCACTACGGAAAACCAGCAAGCCACAATGATAAACAGTAAAAGAGAAAGAAACAAACAAAGGGTATACAAAACAACCAGAAATCACTGAATAAAATGACAGGAATAAAGCTTCACATATCAATAATCCTCAAAGTAAATGGATTAAACTTTTCACATAAAAGATATACACTGGCTGAATGGATTTAAAAAATGTGGCCCAACTATATGCTAGCTACCTTTAAAGACACATATAAACTGAAAGTAAAGGGATGGAAAGAGATAGTCCATGAAAAGGGAAACCAAAAGCAAGCAGGAGTAGCTGTACTTATATCAGAAAAAAAAACATATTTTAAGTCAAAAACTATAAAAAGAGACAAAGAAGTTCATTATATAATGATAAAGGGATCAATTCAGCAAAGGCATACACTTCTGAACATATGTGCACCCGACACCAGAGCATCCAGATATATAAATCAAATATTAGAATTAGAGGGAGAGAGAGTTTCCAATACATTGAGGATTTCAATACTGCACTCTCAGCATTAGAAAGATTATCTAGACAGAAAATTAACAAATTAACAAAGAAACATTGAATTTTGCATTAGACCAAATGGACCTAATAGACATTTGCAGAGCATTTCATCTAATAGCCACAGAACACACATCCTGCTCATCAGCCCATGGGATCACTCTCCAGGAGACATCATTCTCCAGGACAGAAAACAACCCTCAACAAATTTTTCAAAAATCAAAATTGTGTCAAGTATATTCTCAGACCACAATGAAATAAATGTAGACATCATTAACAAGAGGGGTTTCTGTTGTTGTTGTTTCCAAGATGGTGGATTAGAGGCTCTTAGCATGCCTCAGTCACCTGGAAGTAGCAAAATAGTGCATAAAAATCAGTTTTTTTATACTTAATTCAAGAAGGAAAATGAGAATTCACCAGAATACTAAAGGACACTCCAAGCCCAGGGGAGAAGGTGGGCAAGCAGCCCTAGTGATGGCAATCAGCTTATAAAAGTGAGTGAAGCCCCAGTACAGGAGAGGGGCAGTCTGTCTCCCTCTGTGACTCACCTTCCACTGGAGATCTGTGTAATCAAGGCCATAAAAGAGCACAATTTTTCTCTCAAACCCTGCAGCTAACTTGGGTACAGTCTGAGAGACAAAGAGAGAGAGAGAGAGAGAGACCAGGAAAAGCTGCAGGCATTTTCCTAGATCTGAGAATGAGAAGAGGACTCCATTTATAATCCAGGCTTATACAAAGATAGTCATTATTTGGCTACCTGGCAGCAGTAGCCATTGCAGGCATTGTGGTCTAAGCCCAGAGTTTGGAGTGTATGCTTTGGAATGGGAGCCAGAATTGAGTGGCATATGTCACATGCACTCCATCAGTAGGTGCTGGAATTAGACTTTCTCCCATTACAGGACCACCACAGGGGGAGGCTTGAAGTTTCTCCTTCGTGGTGAGACTTGCAGCCACGAACAGCTTTTGCGACCTGGAACCTGTCTGCCTGTGTCATTGCTGTGTGCCCCAGCCTGCTTCATTGACCAGTTAGGGAAGAGTGCCTCACCAGCTCTGAAGAGTAAGAGGGGGGCAGTCCCTACTTCCCCAGATATCTAAACCTCAGGCAGACAACCCCTAACTAAGAGAGGAGTACCGCCAAACAAGGCATGCCTTGGGTCAAAGGAAGCACAAGTGTGATGCCACTCACTGTATGGGGTACCATTAATGCCTGTGAATGAATCTGGGAAGGGGGTCATCCATCACTCAACCCTTGCTCCTCTCCCCATGTACTGCTGTGAATGTGGCAGGGCTCCTCCTATTGGGTCCTAGAGGTGATGGGATGAAAGAGGCCACTTCTCCAGCTTCTCCAGCTTCTCCAGCAGCTTCACCTCTGCCAAAGGGAAGTATACACTGAGGGAGGGTGTTTTTCCCCAATTCTCTGTCACCATTGCCTAGGCCAATGGCAAGCACATGCAGAGTAAGAGCCAACCTGCTGGCTCTTACTCTTTCTCAAGTGCCATCTACTGTACTGCAGCCTGAATTACACCACGAAAATATATATATATATATATATATATATATATATAATCACCACAAGCGGTGTCTGAGAAAGTCACTGCACAAACCTAACTGCAGCCAAAAGACCCATACAGATATTTGGCCCTCTAAAAGCACCCAGGAACAAAACCAAGTGATTATACACAACATACACCACAGTCACACCCTCGAGGGAAAAAAGAATAAAAAGTCAAAAAGCCCAAACCAAATGATAGCAACTTCAAAAAAGAAGTGCCAGCTCCCTCTGATGAGAGGGAATCAGCACATGAACTCTGGCAATACAAAAACCCAGAGGGTTTTGTCACCTCCAAAAGACTGTACTAGCTCCCTAGCAATGAATCTTAACCAGAATGAAATGTCTGAAATGAGAGGTGCTGAATTCAGAATCCAACACAAAGAAAACAGGAAAACGATCCAGAATCTGAAAGACAACATAGCTATATAAGAAATAACCAAACAGAACTTCTCAAATGGAAAAATTCACTTAAGGAACTTCAAAATACAACAGAAAGCCTTAACAATAGACCAGACCAAGCAGAAGAAAGAATGTCAGAGCTCAAAGACCAGTCCTTCAAATCAGTTAAGTCAGACAAAAATAAAGAAAAAAGAACTTTTTAAACATGAGCAAAGACTTTGAGAAATACAAAATTATGTAAAGTGACCAAACCTACAACTTGTTGGCATTTCTGAGAGAGAATAAGAGAAAGTAAGCAACTTGGAAAATACATTTGAGGATATAATTCAAAAAAAGTTTCCTCAATCTTGCTAGAGAGGTCAACATGCAGAGATACAAGAAATCCAAGTGTATTAGCTTATTTTCATGCTGCTGATAAAGACATATCCAAAACTGGGAACAAAAAAGGTTTAATTGGACCTACAGTTCCACGTGGCTGGGGAGGCCTCAGAATCATGGCGGGAGGCAAAATGTACGTCTTACATGGCAGCAGCAAGAGAAAAATGAAGAAGCAAAAGCAGAAACCCCCATGAGATCCATCAGATCTCATGAGACTTATTCACTGTCATGAGAATAGCATGGGAAAGACTGGCCCCCATTATTCAATTACCTCCCCGCTGGGTCCCTCTCACAACATGTGGGAATTCTGGGAGATACAATTCAAGTTGAGATTTGGATGGGGTCACAGCCAAACCATATCACCAAGGAACTCCAGTGAAACACTCCAGATGATGACCATCCTGAAGGCACTTAGTCATCAGACTATCCAAGGTCAACAGGAGAGAAAAAAATCTTAAAAGCAGTAAAAGAAAGGGACCTATTACCTATAAAGAAAACCCATCAGACTAAGAGATGGGTTTCTCAGGAGAAACCTTACAATTCAGAAGAGGATGGGGGCTCATTTTTAACATTCTTAATGAAAAGAAATACCAGCTAACCCAATGTAAGCTTCATAAATGAAGGAGAACTAGAGTCTTTCCACACAAGCAATTGCTACCAGAAATTTTTACCACCAGATGAGTCCTATAATAGATGCTTAAGGGAGTTTTAAACATGGAAGCGAAAGAATGATATTCACTACCAGAAAAGCAGATGTAAACACATAGCCCACAGATGCTATAAAGCAACTATAAAATTGAGACTACAAAGCAACTAGCTAACAACACTATGATAGGAGCAAAACCTCACATATCAATATTAAGCTTAAATGTAAATGGCCTAAACACTCCATTTAAAAGACAGAGTGGCAAATTGGATTTAAAAATCACCCATCCTTCTGCTCTCTTCAAGAGACCCATCTCACATGTAGTGACACTGATAAGCTCAAAATAAAGGGATGAAGAAAGTTCTATCACGTAAATGAAAAACAAAAATAATAGAATTTTTTTATTATTATACTTTAAGTTCTGGGATACATGTGCAGAACGTGCAGGTTTGTTACATAGGTATACACGTGCCATGGTGGTTTGCTGTGCCCATCAACCCGTCATCTACATTAGGTATTTCTTCTAATGCTATCCCTCTCCTAGCCCCTGATCCGCTGAAAGACCCTGGTGTGTGATGTTCCCCTCCCTGTGTCCATGTGTTCTCATTGTTCCACTCCCATTTATGAGTGAGAAGACACAGTGTTTGGTTTTCTGTTCCTGTGTTAGTTTGCTGAGAATGATGGTTTTTAGCTTCATCCATGTCCCTGCAAAGGACATGAACTTGTCCTTTTTAATAACTGCATGGTACTCCATGGTGTATATGTACCACATTTTCCTTATCCAGTCTATCATTGATGGGCATTTGCATTGGTTCCAAGTCTTTGCTATTGTGAACAGTGTTGCAATAAACATACACATGCATGTGTCTTTACAGCAGAATGATTTATAATCCTTTGGGTATATACCCAGTAATGGAATTGCTGGGTCAAATGGTATTTCTGGTTCTAGCTCCTTGAGGAATTGTACACTGTCTTCCACAATGGCTGAACTAATTTACACTTTTACCAACAGTGTAAAAGCGTTCCTATTTCTCCATATCCTATCCAGTATTTGTTATTTCCTGACTTTTTAATGATTGCCATTCTGACTGGCATTAGATGGTATCTCACTGTGGTTTTGATTCGCATTGCTCTAATGACCAGTGATGATGAGCTTTTTGCATATGTTTGTTGGCTGCATAAATGTCTTCTTTTGAGAAGTGTCTGTTCATATCCTTTGCCCACTTTTTTGATGGGGTTGTTTTTTTCTTGTAAATTTAAGTTCTTTGTAGATTCTGGATGTTAGCCCTTTATCAGATGGATAGAGAGCAAAAATTTTCTCCCATTCTATAGTTGCCTGTTCAATCTGATGATAGTTTCACTCTTTAGATTAATTAGATCCCATTTGTCAATTTTGGCTTTTGTTGCCATTGCTTTTGGTGTTTTAGTCATGAAGTCATTGCCCATGCCTATGTCCTAAATGGTATTGCCTAGGTTTTCTTCTAGGGCTTTTATGATTTTAGGTCTTACACTTAAGTCTTTAATCCATCTTGAGTTAATTTTTGTATAAGGTGTGAGGAAGGGGTCCAGTTTCAGTTTTCTACATATGGCTAGCCAGTTTTCCCAACACTATTTATTAAATAGGGGATGCTTACTCCATTGCCTGTTTTTGTCAGGTTTGTCAAAGATGAGATTGTTGTAGATGTGTGGCTTTATTTCTGAGTCCTCTGTTCTTTTCCATTGGTCTATATATCTGTTTTGGTATGAGTACCATGCTGTTTTGGTTACTGTAGCCTTGTAGTATAGTTTGAAGTCAGGTAGTGTGATGCCTCCAGCTTTCTTCTTTTTGCTTAGGATTGTCCTGGCTATACAGACTCTTTTTTGGTTCCACATGAAATTTAAAGTGGCTTTTCTAATTCTGTGAAGAAAGTCAATGGTAGTTTGATGGGGATAGCATTGAATCTAAAAATTACTTTGGGCAGTATGGCCATTTTCACTATATTGATTCTTCCTGTCCATGAGCATGGATTGGTTTTCCATTGGTTTGGGTCCTCTCTGATTTCCTTGAGCAGTGGTTTGTAGGCCTCCTTGAAGAGGTGCTTCACATCCCTTGTAATTTTTATTCCTAGGTATTTTATCCTCTTTGTAGCAATTGAGTTTGCTCATGATTTGACTGTTTGTCTATTATTGGTGTATAGAAATGCTTGTGATTTTTGCACATTGATTTTGTCTCATGAGACTTTACTGAAGTTGCTTATCAGCTTAAGCAGATTTGGGGCTGAAACAATGGGGTTTTCTAAATATACAATCATTCCATCTGCAAACAGAGTCAATTTGACCTCCTCTCTTCCTATTTGAATACTCTTTATTTCTTTTTCTTGCATGACTTCCCTGGCCAGAACTTCCAATATGTTGACTAGGAGTGGTGAGAGAGGGCATCCTTGTCTTGTGCTGGTTTTCAAAGGGAATGCTTCCAGCTTTTGCCCACTTAATATGATATTGACTGTGAGTTTGTCATAAATAGGTCTTATTATTTTGAGATACGTTCCATCAATACCTAGTTTATTGAGAGTTTTTAGCATGAAGGGGTGTTGAATTTACCAAAGGCCTTTTTTGCATGTACTGAGATAGTCACCACTGATCCCACAGAAATACGAACTACCATCAGAGAATACTAAACATGCCTCTATGCAAATAAACTAAATAAATTCTAGAAGAAATGGATACATTCCTGGACATATACACCCTCCCAAGACTAAACCAGGAAGAAGTTGAATTCCTGAATAGACCAATAAGTTCTGTAATCGAGGCACTAATAGCCTACCAACCAAAAAAAAAGCCCAGAACCAGGTGGATTCACAGCCAAATTCTACAAGAGGTACAAAGAGGAGCTGGTACCATTCCTTCTGAAACTATTCCAAACAATAGAAAAAGAGAGACTCCTCTCTAACTCATTTTATGCGGCCAGCATCATCCTGATACCAAAACCTGGCAGATAACAAAACAAAAAAAAATTTCAGGCCAATATCCCTGATGAACATTGATGCAAAAATCCTCAATAAAATACTGGCAAACTGAATCCAGTAGCCAATCAAAAAGCTTATCCACCATGATCAAGTTGGCTTCATCCCTGGGATGCAAGGCTGGTACGACATACACAAATCAATAAACGCAATCCATCACATAAACAGAACCAATGATAGGAGTCACTATTCTTATGTCAGATAAAACAGACTTTAAGCCAACAACAGTAAAAAAGGACAAAGAAGGGCATTGTGTAGTGATAAAGTATTCAACTCAACAAGAAGATTTAACTATCCTAAATATATATGTACTCAACTGGAGCACCAGAGCTATAAAACAATTACTTCTAGACCTAAGAAAAGGCTTAGATAGCCACATGATAATAGTGGGAGATTTTAATACTTCACTGATAGCATTAGACAGATCATTGATGCAGAAAACAATGAAATTCTGAACTTAAATTTAACCCTTGATGAATGAGAGTTAATAGACGTCTATAAAATACTCCATCCAACAACCACAGAACATACATTCTTCTAATCTGCACATGGAACATAAACTAAGATTGACCACATCCTAAGTTGTAAAGTAAACCCAACAAAATTGAAATCATATCAAGCATCTTCTTGGACTACAGTGGAATAAACCAGAAATCAGTACCAAGTGGAACTCTCAAAACTGCACAAATATATGGAAACTAAAAAACTTGCTTCAAATAACATTTTGGTAAATGATGAAATTAAGGCAGAAATTTAAAAATTCATTTAAACAAATGAAAATAAAGACACAACATACCAAAACCTCTGGATGCAGCAAAAGCAGTGTTAAGAGGAATATTTATAGCACTAAACACCTACATCAAGAATATAGAAAAATCTCAAGTTAAAAATCTAATATCACACCCAGAGGAACTAGAAAATCAAAGACAATCACAACCCAAAGCTGGCAGAAGAAAGGAAATAATTACAATCATTGCAGAACTTAATAAAATTGAGAACAAAAAACACACACACACAAAAAGGGTCAATGAAATGAAAATATGGTGAAAAGATCAACAAATTCATGGACCACTAGCTAGATTAATAAAGAAAAAAAGAGAGAGAAAAGATCTAAATAAGCACAATCAGGAATGACAAAGGTGGTATTACAACCAATCCCAAAGAAATACAAGAGATCTTCAGAGACTATTATGAACCCCTATAATATACAAATTAGAAAATCTAGAAGAAATAGATCAATACTGGGAAACACATAATCTCCCAAGATTTAATTAGTAAGAAATGGAAACCGTGAACATACCAACAATAAGTTCCAAAGTTGAACAAGTAGTTTCAAAAACCTACCAATCAAGAAAAGCCCCTGATCAGATGGATTCACAGCTAAATTCTACAGGACATGCAAAGAGGAAACAGTACCAATCCTACTGAAACTATTCCCAAAACTTGAGGAGGGATTCTTCTCGAAGTTATTCTATGAAACCAGTATCATCCTGATAAAAAATCTGGCAAAGACACAATGCAAAACAAAACCATAGGCCTATACTCCTGAAGAACATAGATTCAAAAATTCTAAACAAAATACTAGTAAACTGAATTCAGCTGTACATTAAAAAGTTAATTCACTGTGATCAAGTGGGCTTTATTTTGGAGAGGCAAGAATGGTTCAACATATGCAAATCAATAAATATGATTCCTACTCACCATAGCAAAGATATGGAATCAACCTAGTTTCCCATAAATGGTCAATTGTATAATGAAAATGTGATATATATACACCATAGAATACTAGGCAGTCATAAAAAAGAACAAAATCATGTCCTTTGCAGCAACATGAAGGCCATTATCCTAAGCAAATTAATGCAGGAAAAGAAAACCAATACTGCATATTCTCATTTATAAGTGAGAGCCAAACACCGGGTACTCTGGACATAAATATGGGAACGATAGATACTGGGGACTACTGCAGGGAGTGAGGAAGAGGGCAAGGGTTGAAAAACTAACTGTTGGGTATTGTGTTCACTATCTGGGCGATGGGATCATTTGTAAACCAAACCTCATCATCATGCAATATACCCTTGTAACAACCTGCACATGTACCCCCTGAAACTAAAATAAAAGTTGAAATTATAAAAAAATTTTAATGTGATTCACCACATAAATAATTAAAAACCATCTGAATAAATGCAGAAACAACTTTTGATAAGATGTAATGTCCCTTCATGATAAAAACTCTCAAAAAACTAGGCATTATAGGAACATGTCTCAAAATAATAAGAGCCATCTATGACAGACCCACAGCCAATATCGTACTGAATGGACAAAGTTGGAGGCATTCCCCCTAAGAACTGAAACAAGACAAGGATGTCTACTCTCACCTCTCCTATTCAACATAGTACTGGAAGTCCTAGCCAGAGCAATCAGGCAAGATAAAGAAATAAATGGCACCCAAATAGAAAGAGAAGAAGTCAGATTACCTCTCTTCACTGATGATATAATCCTATATCTAAAAAAAAAAAAAACAAAAGATCCTGCCAAAAGACTCCCAGACCTAATAAACAACTTCAGTAAAGTTTCAGGATACAAAATCAATGTATAAAAATCAGTAGCACTTCTATCGCAAATGGCCCCTGTGGAAAGGAGTTTGGAGACTTTCAAAGAACTAAAAATACAATTACATTTGACTCAGCAGTCTCAATACTGGCTATATACTCAAAGAAAAATAAATCATTCTGCTTAAAAAAATACCTGCACTCATATTTATCACAGTAATATTCACAATAGCAAAGACATGAAATCAATGTAGGGGCCCATCAGTGGTGGATTGGATAAAGAAAATGTACATACACACCATGGAATATACTACATAGTTATAAAAAAGAATGAAATTTCCTTTGCGGCAACATGAAGGCAACTGGAGGCCATTATCCTTAGCAAATTAATGCAGAAACAAAAAAACAAATATCATGTTCTCACTTATAAGTGGGAACTGAACATTGGATACACACAGATATAAAGATAGAAATAATACAATGAGGACTCCAAAGGGAAGTTGGGGTGATGGAAGGTTGAAAAACTCTCTATTGGGTACTATATTTACTATTCGGGTAACAAGATCAATAGAAACACAAACCTCATCATTATGCCATGTAATAAACCTGCACATTTACCCCATGGATCTAAAATTTTTAAAAATGGTAAGAGAAACTTTGGAAATTGTGCAAATACATGGAAAGCAAACAATAACAATATGCTCCTGAATGACCATTATTGGGTCAAAAAAGAAATGGAGGAAATAAAAAATAAAATGAATGAAATCAAAATACAAAATACCAAAACCTATGAGATACAGCAAAAGCAGTGCTATGAGGAAAGCTTGGAGCCATAAATACCTACATCAAAAAATAGTAAGATTTAAAATAAACAATCTAATGATGCACCTCAGGCAACTAGAAAAACAAGACCAAACCAAACCAAAATTAGAAGAAACAAAAATAAAGATCAGAGAAGAAAGAAATAAGATACAGAAAAAAACAAAGGATAAATGGAACAAAAAGTTGTTTTTTTCAAACAAATAAAAAATTAACTACTTGCTATACTAACCAAGGAAAAAAGTGAAAAGACAAACAAAGAAAACAGAAATGAGAAAGATATTACACCTGGTACCACAGAAATAAAATAGGTCAGAGACTATTTGAACAACTATAGATAAACAAACTGGAAAACCTAAAAGAAATGGATAAATTCCTAGACACATACAGTCTACCAAGACTGAATAAAAAAAATTAGAAAACCCAAATAGACCAACAACAAGTAATGAGATCAAAGCAGTAAAAAAAATTTCTCTAACAAAGAAAAGTCCAGGACCAGATGGCTTCACTGCTGAATTCTACCGAATTCAAAGAAAAACTAACACCAATTCTCCTCAAACTATTTCAAACATTGGAGAGGAAACAATTCTTTCTAATTCATTCTACAAGGCCAGAATTACCCTCAGGCTAAAATCAGATAAGAATGTAAAACAACCACTAAAAAAAACTGTAGGCTAATAGCCCTGATGAACATAGATGCACAATGCAAAAATCCTCAACAAAATACTAGCAAGGCAAATCCAACAGCACATCAAAAAAATAATACACCATGATCCCAGGTATTTATCCCAGTGATTCATGGGTTGCTCAACATATGCAAATCAATCAGTGTGACACCTCACATCAACAGAATGAAGAATAAAAACCATACAATTATTTCAATGAATGCAGAGAAAGTATTTGATAAATTTCAACATCCCTTCATGATAAAAACCTCAACAAAATAGGCATAGAAAAGATGTACCTCAACATAATGGAAGGCACATATGACAAACCCACAGCTAAGATCATACTAAATGAAGAAAAGGTGAAAGCCTTCCCTCTAAGAACTATAATAAAACAAGAATGCCCACTTTCACCACTCCTATTCAACATAGTACTAGAAATCCTCGTCAGAACAATCAGGCAAGAGAAAGAAATAAAAGGCACCCAAATTGGAAACGAGGAAGTGAAATTCTCTCTTTACCAATAATATAATTTTATGTCTAGGAAAACCTAAAGACTTCACCAAAAACGTTTTAGACCTCATAAATTCAATAAAGTTTCAGGATACAAAATCAATTTCAAAAATCAGTAGCATTTGTATACACAATAATGAAGTAGCTGAGAAAGAAATTAAGAATGCAATACCACTTATAATAGCTACAAGAAGATAATGAAATACCTAGGAATAAATTTAACTAAGATAAAAGACCTGTACAAGGAAAACTATAAAGTACTGGTGAAATAAATTGAAGAGAACACAAAAAAATGGAAATACATTTCATGCTCATGGATCAGAAGAATTAATATTGTTAAAATGGCCATGCTGCCCAAAGCAATCAACAGTTTCAATGGAATCCCTATCAAAATACCAATGTCATTTTTCACAGAATTAGAAAAAACAATCCTAAAATTTTCATGGGGCCAAGTAAGAGCCCAAAAACCAAAGCAACATGAACAAAAAGAACAAAGCTAGGGGCATCACCTTACCTGATTTTAATATATATTACAAGACTTTAACTAAAACAGCATAGTATTAGTATAAAAACAGTTACATAGACTAATGGAATAGAATGGAGAATCCAGGCCAGGTGCGATGGCTCATGCCTGTAATCCCAGAACTTTGGGAACCCGAGGCAGGCAGATCACTTAAGGCCAGGAGTTTGAGCTCAGTCTGGCCAACGTGGCAAAAACCCGTCTCTACTAAAAATACAAAAAATTAGCCAGGCATGGTGGTATGCACCTGTAATCCCAGCTACTCAGGAGGGAGAGGCAGGAGAATCGCTTAAACCTATGAGACGAAGGTTGCAGTGAGCTGAGATTTGCCTCTGTACTCCAGCCTGGGCAACAGAGCAAGACTCTCTCTCAGGAAAGAAAAAAAAAAATAGAGAATCCAGAAATAAATCCATGTATTTACAGCCTACTGATTTTTGACAAATGTGCCAAGAACATCCATTGGGGAAATGACAGTATCTTCAATTAATGGTGATGGGAAATTTGGATATCTACATGCAGAAGAATATAGGTATCTTCTATCTAAGCCCCTATCTTCACTACATCACATATTAATTCAAGGTACATTATAGACTTAAACACTTAAAACTATAAAACTACTAGAAGAAAACAGAGGGAAAACTCTTCAGTACATTGGTCCGGGCAAAGATCTTACACCTAAGACCTCAAAATCACAGGCAACAAAAACTAAAATAGACAAATGGTAGCATATTAAACCAAAAAGCTTCTGCATATCAAAAGAAACAACCAAGAGAGTGAAAAGACAACCTGTAAAATGGGAGAAAATATTTGTAAGCTATTCATCCAACAAGGCATTAATATCCAGAATATCAAGGAACTCAAACAATTCAACAACCAAAAAAAACCCCACAAATAATCATATTAAAAAGTGGGCAAAGGATATGAACAGATATTTCTGAAAGTAAGGCACACAAATGGCCATATACAAATGGTATATGAAAAAATACCCAACATCACTATGCATCAGAGAAATGCAAATGGAAACCACAATGAGATATCATCTTACTCCAGTTAGAATGGCTGTCATTAAAAAGATGAAAAATATCAGATTCTGGTGAGAATGCAGAGAAAAGGAAACTCTTAAACACTGTTGATGGGAAGGTAAATTAGTACAACCACTATGAAAAATAGTATGACGATTTCTTTAAAAACCAAAAAATAGAACTACCATACAATCCAGCAATCCTACTTCTGAGTATTTATCCAAAGGAAAAAGAAATCAGTACATGAATATGTGCACTTGCATGTTTATCTGAGCCCTTGTCACAATGGCAATAGGACAATAGCACTATCCAAACATCCATTTCTCTGTTGATAGACACTTAGGTAGAATCAATTCAGTAAACAATATAACCATGAGCACTGTCTCATGGAATTTATAGTCTAAGTGAGGACAATAATCAATAAATGATTCAATTATTATAAGCTATGAGTCCACCAAATGAAGTATTGCAATATGGGATGAGAGGAGTGGAACCTACTTTAGATAGGGTGATAAGTAAGACCCTTCTGAAGAGAGGACTTACTTCTAAGGTAAGACTTGAAAGGGAATAAAAACATTCATTCAAAGAAAGATTAGAAGAACAATTCAGGAAGAAAGAACAGCATATCATACTAAAGAATGAACTGAAGAAGGCCAGAATGTCTGTAGTCCAATATGTGAGGGGGAGAGTGGCAGGAGATGTTGCGGGAGCTCATCCATTTTTCATCAATATTCTAGGAAACATAAATCACTGGGAGAGGACACACTATGAAAATAACTCTACTCACACACCAGTCTGCTTTAGATAGGCCCTCTCCTTTACACCTAAATAAATATTTACAATTTGAGGGAAGAAATGGAATCAGCCTAAGCATAAGACATGAGGACTCAGAACTTGTTGGTTCCTCATCCTCCAAGCTCCAACCACAAGTTGTTTCTCCCTTTGCCAAGATATCTGGAATTTCCAGACTTGCAATATTAATGCACAGCCCTGTACATGGTCTTATATACCTATGATGACAGCCCAGTCATGAAGCTAGAGAAATGCAAAATAAGAAATTTTGCTAAAATTCTTTAGCAAAAGCTAAAGAATATGAAGACTAAATCTGAGGGAAACCCTAAGGTATATTGGATTTAACCATTATTGAAGACATAAAAAGGTTTAGTCAGAAAGTTTCTGGTGCTTCTCAAGGAATTAGTGACAGCTTTAGAGTGTGAAGACCACATTTCTTGAGTGTTCAGACTTAAAATTCTGTCTTTGTGTAAGACCTTTCAGACTCTGTTTGCTGAAGAAAGAGACTGAAATGTAAGACCTAGAAGTCATATTGTAACATTGCAGGCTAACCAGGTGTTGAGAGACCCCTTGCTATTTATTTAGCCATGTTGTAATGCCCTTTCCAATCCCAAATTCATTCTTGCTTCTAGAAGATTATTGAAGTGGGACTTGCGAGACATATAGTCTCTTTCAACAAACAGCAATATAATTCTTCCTTTACACATTCCAGGGAAGAAAAAAAAAATATCCTTTCCAGCTGGTACACAGGCTGTGATGCACTGGAACTACCTGAATCCTAACCGCCAAAAGGGCACCAGGGAGGATTTTAATATATGCAGTACGAGTGTGTCAAAAACAGCATCTTACGAGAGATTTAATCTGTTCATTTGAAAGAGTGCGGTACAAATGGTCCCGTGGGGCTCACCTCCAGGGCCGCCAACGATTTCACACTTGATGAGAATCAATATGTGTGCTTGGTCTTGACTACAAATATTTCATTAGAAGCTGAGAAAAGGGCCCCTGCTACCCCATTTTGCTTTCTTCCCGGCTTTACTGGTCCCAATTTCTTCCACGTCAGAAATGCCCATCACATTTCATATAAAAGAATGTATCCAGCAAATTAAAAAGCTAGAGACCTCAAGTTGAAATTAATACTTACAGGGTAACAGGTGTCTCACATTTTAAAAATCCTGGCACTGGTTTACAGCAGCATAAGAGTGCCCTTTGTGCTGTTTCCTCCTCTAGCAGAACTGCTCCAAACACAAGGACTGAGGCCGCCAGTCTCTCAAGAATGCCTAACGTGCCATAGGGTGGCCTCCTGGAGACATGAATACTCTCTTGGGCCCGAATTAGAAAACCTTGACCAGGACAAGTAGAAGCAAATGCACTGTCAGCCATGGGCTATTCTTATCCCTGCAGTTGTTGCCCATCTTCAAAATGGAGACAGCGAGACTCATGCTGTCTGAAGACCCTAAGACAGGCTTGACACAGGGTCCCTCTGTTTTTTTTATCCCACCCAATGTCATTCATTTTACTTTGGAAGGCAGTATTATTTCTTCTCCCTATCAAACTTTGTATTAAAGCATAACATACATTTGGAAAAATGCAGAAATCTTAAGTGTACAACTTGATGAATTATCACAAAGTGAACAAATTCATGTAACCACCAGCTCCTTCAACAAATTCATGTAAACACCAGCTCCTTCACTACCTGACCTTCCTCTCCACTACCCAACACTCCTCTCTACTACTATCCTGTCTTCGAATACCATCAGGTAGTTTCTCTTGGTCTTGAACTTTATATAAATGGAACCATAACACTGTGTGACACTGATCTATCTTATTACATGTACCTGTAGTTTGTTCATTCTTATTGCTGTGTAGTGTTCCATCACAAGGATATATGATATTCTATCCATTTTATTGCTAATGGGCATTTGGGTTGTTTCCAGTTTTGTGCAATTATGAATATCATTGCTAAAAATGTTTATGTACATTTTTTTTGAGACAGAGTCTTGCTCTTGTTGCCCAGGCTGGAGTGCAATGGTGTGATCTCAGCTCACTGTGACTTCTGCCTCCCGGGTTCAAGCAATTCTCCTGCCTCAGCCTCCCAAGTAGCTGGGATTATAGGTGCCCACCACCACACCTCGCTAAATTTTTGTATTTTTAATAGAGACAGGGTTTTGCCATGTTGGTCAGGCTGACCTCGAACTCCTGACCTCAGGTGATCCACCCACCTCAGCCTCCCAAAGTGCTGGGATTACAGGCGTGAGCCACCGTGCCCAACCTATGTACATCTTTATGCATATACATACACATTTGTGGGGGACACATGACTATGAGTGAAATTGTTGGCTTTTAAGATATGCACATGTTTAGTATTTATTCTTGGCCTTTTTGTCCTGGAGGGTGCTTTCCACTTAATTTCCCAGAAAAATATCAGCTGCCAAAATCTCTTTTGCCAGTTTGTTCTTGGAACTATGCTAAATATTGTAGGATGATGGTGAGTTAATGGGCAGTCATTGCCCTTGGACATTTATGCTCTCAATTCCTTCTCAGGAGGCAACCAAGAAGGATTTCTGATCAATAGTCTGACCATTCGGTTACTGTTTTCTTACTGCCACAGCCCCTTTTCTTGAGGTAGTCTCTGCATCGTGTGCCCTTTCTTGCCATGGTCTGGGATTTTCTGTCCCTTTCATACTCCCTCTCTCTTGCCAGAATCACATACTACAGCATCAGAATTACCCAGTGAAGCAATCTCTGAGCAATTTTAATCACTATAAATGTCCTTCCTTGAGAAATCCTACACCCCCACCTCCAGGGGAAGCAGCATGTTAACCATGTAAAGAATCACGCTGACTCAATTTCTACATGACTTACTATCTGCTTCATAAAACAAGATTCCGGAGCACTGGTTCCAGCTTGGCCCTGGATATATCATGACCTCTAACAAGGTAACTCTGAGAGCAAAAGAAGAAAAATACCAGTCTTCACTTACACAAGTATTGGATTTATTAACTGTTAAAGAAACAATACTAGTTAAAAACTTAGTGACGAAAGGAGTGTAAACATTTTAAAAAATCATCTTTATTATCCAGTCCCAGTCCTTTATCAAGTTTGCACTTAAACACCCATTTATTCTTAAAAGGAAACAGTTTACATTTTAAAATATTTTTGGAGTACCTCATAATCCCCAGTTAGAAAGTTATTTATTTTTAACCGAAAATTATTTCACTCATCCCTGTTAGTTTCATATAAAGAACAGCTGACGACTATTCTCTTAATAGCAACATTTTATTAATTAAAATTGCTTTTAAGCCACCTTTTTCTTCCTTCAACTAAGTACTGCCAAAGCCATTAACTTTTCAGAATGGGTTCTAATAGTCAATTTTGTTCATCCTCATTCTCTCTTCTAACTATTCAAATATTCAAATTCTTTCTCTTGCTCAGATTTTGGGGCTCCAAACTGTCTTGAATCATTTAAGTATATCTGCCAACACCAAAACCCGTAACATTCTTTCATTCATTTATTCATCCATTCCATTAAAAAAATGTTTTCAGCTTACTGTGAGTTGGGAGCTGGAGAGTCATTGGAGAACAAGAAAGATGAGTCCCTGATCTGATAAAGCTCACTTCCTAAATGTATTAGAAAACAAATAAAAATTCAAAAATTATAAAGTCCATGAGAATAATAAAAACAGATGCTAGACTAAGTAATAACCAGAGGAGGGGTTACTTAATATAGCATGATTCCATTAGGTCTTTCAGAGAAAGTAACATCTGGATTAAAATCGAAGTGATCTTAGGTAGTAGCCATGAAAGAATATATAGAAAAAGTGTTCTGAGAAAATAGTACAGCAATGTCAGGCCCTTAGGAGAGAAGGTCAGAATGGCCAGAATATAACCAAAAAGGTGGAGAGAACTCTGAGAGGAGTTCAGGGAGACAGGTGGAGACTAGATCAAATCCAGCCTTGTTGGCCATTGTTAGGAGTTCATCTTGTAAGTTCCAAATGTGATGATTCCATTAATGAATAATGACATACATAAACTTTTCTCAGATAAGTGCTAGGCTTATGATCAGTTATTGTGCATTCTTCCAATTTGTGATTTACAGTATACCCAAGATCTCCCTGCCTTTGGCATTGCTAACATTCCAGTAATTCTTTTGCTTCTTTGAGGCCCTCTTCTTCTGAAACATAACCTTCAGTTGGATCTTTTTTTTAAAATTTATTTTTGAGACAGAGTCTCACCCTGTCACCCAGGATGGAGTACAATGGTGCAATCTCAGCTCACTGCAACCTCTGCTTCCTGGGTTCAAATGATTCTCCTGCCTCAGCCTCCAAAGTAGCTGGGATTACAGGCACCTGCCACCACGCCCAACTAATTTTTCATATTTTAGTAGAAACAGGGTTTCACCATGTTAGCCAGGCTGGTCTCAAACTCCTGACCTCATGATCCACCTGCCTTGGCCTCCTAAAGTGCTGGGATTACAGGCATAAGCCACTGTGCCTGGCTGGATCATTTTTTTTTAACAAGGCAAAATTTAATTCTACTACAACTGAATAGCTGAGGTGTGATCCTTGTTGTTTTTCACATGTCATTATCCTTCCCTTAGTCATTAGGAAGCAGTAGGGTTTAGATTTCATTAAAACCGGGTTCTACTTCTGTTTTTGACACTTTTTTTTGTTTTATGGGTGTTTTTGTTTGTTTTTTGAGACAGGGTCTCACTCTGTTGCCCAGGCTAGACTGCAGTGGAACAATCGTGACTCACTGCAGCCTCCAACTCCTAAGCTCAAGCGATCCTCTTGCCTCAGCCTCCCTTCAAGTAGCTGGGACTATGGGTGTGCACACCACGGCTGGCTTGTTTTTAACACTTTTACTGTGGGTAACTAGCATGTAACTTTACCTCTGAGTCTTTTTATCCATAAAGTGAAATAATACCTACCTCAGAATTGTTGTGGGGATTAAAGGACATGGAATACGTTAACCCTCAACAGATGGCCACTAATAATATACTTTTCAAAAAGCAAAAACCATAGAACTTTGCAGTAAAAATGAGATGCTGGGATCTTACCCTATCCATTCCTCTAATTTTGTATTTAAGCCTCTCTGAAGCTAAAATAATTGTCAGTAGTCACACAGCTAGTAGCTAGACGTAAACCAGATCTCACTAAATCAATATACTAATAGAAAAATAATTCAACCACCTACTATTTGCTTTAGCTTTGAGGTTGGGCTTTATGAACTCCATAATTATTCTCTGAATCAATCACAAATGCAGCCTGATTCTTGAGGCAAGTTGAAATTGGAAAAATGTGTGGTCTAATAAATGCTACTTATTAGGGCTTGGGAGATTCAGAACCATGAACTCTACTTTTTACTCAATTTGTTAAGGGGGAAAAAGCCAATAAGAAGACATAGTTTCTATATAGATCTCATCCACCAAATGTGGATTGTGACTTACAGACAGCTCAGGGGAGGAAATAAACCTTAGCTGACCGAAGAACTTTGGTAAGCAAATTATTGGAGATAGTGGATGTGTCAACTTAGGGCCCAAATCTAGAGGAGGAACTGTGGTGTCGTTAAATAATGTGAAAGCCACTTACTTCAACTGCTTACTATTGGAAAGTTTTCAAGTAGATATCATACACACATGAACTGATTTATGTAAATGTAAGGGGAAAAAATCCTGAGTCTTAATTGAAGGTTTGACAAGTTGGCTTTTACATATGGTTGTGCTCATATTTAATCTTTATTGTTGGCTTTTTAACTTTTTTATTTTATTATTTATTTATTGTATAAGCAAAGTGTAGTCACAGAAGAAAAATAAAAATATAGATTAGCAAATAAAATTAACTCATAATTCTACCACTCAGAAATAACTATTAACACAAGTATGCACACACAGACACACACATGTTAATTCACACACTTAAATTCTTATTTTGCTCTATGACAAAGTGAATTAATACAAGCCTTTAAACCTAATATAGTACCTCATTATATCAAAAAAACTCACAAAAATGAAAAAGCCATTTCATACTACAAACTTCAAAATTTCACAATTATTGTGCTAAGTACTTAATTACCCAGCATTCCCTTTTCTTCAGGAATGTATAAAGGCCTTATGGCAACAAATTCAATTCTAATTCAACAAGACTTTATTAAACACTTTTAATTGTTCCAATATTTAAGAAAATATAAAATAAGTATCTATGTTTTTAAGGAATTATTCCTGCAAGGAGCACACAAAAATTTCAACTTGGGCAAAATGATTGATAGAAAGCAAGAAATACACATTGAATTTCTGATCAATGTCTCTCTTCAGTGTTTCCATTACAAAGTGGCAACATTTCCTAACTCCTCCTTCTTCATAAGAGTATTATAAAAGCAGATAAATTTCATTATGCACTTTGCTCTCTCAATATTTTGTAAAGTTTGCTGTCACCTACTTGCTATTGCAGTCCTCTGGATAGAAGGAATTTCTACTATAGTTTGCAGACACAGAAGATGAATTTTTAAATTTTATATATCTAGAGAGAGATCAATCTTTTTGTGGGGTGGCAGGAAGGACAATTGATGCAGCCACTTTTAACCTACTTTGTAATTTTATGCTCTTTTACATTTTTTTTTCTAACTTGGTTTAATATCTCCTTAATACTGTAAGGTGCCTTGTACACTGCTGCTTCTTTTGCTTGAAATTCTCTTCCCCCTGCCCCTTCGCCTATAAATTCCTCTCTTCCTGTGGTTCCCAACCCAATTATCCCTTCCTTAAGGAGACCTTTGCCAATGCCTACAAGTCAGTTATTCCAACTCCCGTGTTTGCATATTCCCAGTTTATATCCTCTTTCAAATATCTCAGTTCTCCAAGAGAACAAGAACCAAATTCATCTTGTTCAACCAGTAATCCTAATGCCTAGCATATAGTAGGTGAGAAATATGTGTGGAATGAGTAAATGCCTGTGGTTGCCTGGTCAGTGAAATGAAGGAAAAATATTGGTCGCTCTCATTTCCCAGGCCCAACATTTCCAAATAGAAAATAATTATTTTATCTTAGCCCAAAGAACCTAAAAACTTATACCATCATTCAAGAAACAGGTTAATAACGTGGCAAAGCTTGGCTACGTGGCAAAAGAAGCACAATGGATTAGAGATAGACTATAATAGACCACTTTTAGCAATTTTTTTTTCCTTTTGCCATTCCCTGCACTTTGGTATCTGAAAAAACTTATACAGCAAATGGTACAGTTAAGTATGAGGAATACTTGGAAGATCCGGACACAGAGCATGTCAGCTGTCACCAAGAACATGAATCCTCAGCTGTTGCCCTTTTTTCTCCTTACAAGTAAGTCCTGTCACACAGCACTATAAAAAGGAGGGGGCATGTCAAGAGAAATTTCATTTTGTTCTGATTATCATATTAAGTTACTCATGATCATAGCTTCAGAACACCTCTAAATTTGTTCTCCACATGTAATTTCTATGTAACTAATAATGCCTATGTGACATACATATACATTGTGCCCAATAGGATCAACCATTTCAAAAAGACCTCAGTGCTATAAATTGTGAATATTTTTAGACTTTCCTTCTATAATATACCTGACCCAAAACACAAAGAACGTTGATTAGGAATAAGATCTTACACCTCTTTTCTTTGAAGTTTCAGATTTTCTACATTTTTGTTGTTGTTGTCGTTTGTTTTAGTTCTTGGTTGTTTTTTCTAAAATAAACTTTTTATTTTAGAATACTTTTAGATTTGCAGAATAGTTGAGAGGAGAGTTCAGAGAGTTCCTAAGTATCCCACACCAAGTTTTCTCTATTGTTACCATCTTACAGTATATGTTACATTTGTCATAACTAATGAGCCAATACTGATACATCATTAATTAGCAAAAGTCTATGTTTTATTCAGATGTGTTTAGTTTTTACCTATGCCCCTTTCTTTTTTCTTTTTTTTTCCTTTTTTTTTTTTTTTTTTTTTTTTGAGACGGAGTTTCACTCTTGTCGCCCAGGCTGGAGTGCAGTGGTGCGATCTCGGCTCACGGCAACCTCCACCTCCCGGGTTCAAGCAACTCTCCTGCCTCAGCCTCCCAAGTAGCTGGGACTACAGGTGTGTCAGCACGCCCGGCTAATTTTTGTATTTTTAGTAGAGATGGGGTTTCGCCATGTTGGCCAAGATGTTCTTGATCTTCTGACCTTGTGATCTGCCCGCCTCGGCCTCCCAAAGTCCTGGGATTACAGGCGTGAGCCACGGCGCCCGGCCACTAATGACCCTTTCTTTTCAGGATTCCATCTAGGATACTACATTACGAATACTCACGATGTTTCCTTAGGCTTTTCAAGGCAGTAAAATCTTCTCAAACAGTCCTTATTTTGGTAACATTGACAATTTTTAGAAGTTATTGTCAGAAATTTTGTGGAATATTCCCACAATTTGGATTTAGTGGGTGCTTTTCTTCATGATTAGACTGGGCTATGGGTTTTTGGTGGTCAAAGACTACCTCAACCACAGAGTCAAGGTTAATATCAAAGCAATGTCATGCTATGCTAAGAGCAGGTACCCTTGATATGTTAAGAATGGTACTTTGCCTTTGTGATTTCTACTTTGAGAAAAAAATTCTATACCAACATATTTTCCTCTGTGCATTCATATATCAGTAATATATATAGTTAATAACACAAAGGGATTTAGGTATATAGTAGAATCAGACAATTTCCCTTCATGTTATGAAATAAAGTGTTCCTATTTCAATTCGGGGTATTTGAGTTTTTAAAACCAAGATCATTGGTGACATTAGTAATGTAAAACATATGTTGAGTGAGTGGATAAAACATATGGATTAATATATTTTATATTGTTTTAATTTATTTTCCAAATGCAAGGAAGACAAAAATATTTTTGCCCAGAACACATAAATCTCCTTTATCTGTTTAACCTTGTCACAGATTTTAAGGGATTTGTGCACATGAAACAAAGTATTGATAAAAACTATGAGTTAAAGCAAGATATATCTATCTCTCAGTAATTGCAGAAAATCCCAATCTATCTTTGAATGATCCAAAGGAAAACTGGTGAACAAATTTCTGCTATTTATGAAGGTATTTCTGTTATAAACATAGCATTATTTTAAAAATCTATCCTGATTATTTAAATATGAGACAGTATTCTAGGTAAAATATGTTCAGATTCTTCTGACTGTCCTGTATGTAAAAAATGAGTATCAGCAGCTAAATTTAGATAATGATTGAGTCCTTGATATGGGGAAACAAAGGAGGGAGCTATCAAAATGTTTTTCCTGTAATATACATGGATAATATAATTCAGTAGATCGTGCCACCATGTGAAAAAGGAGACTGATTAACTGTGGGTCAATTGTAACTTAGGTGAATTATTTCTGATCTGAGAGTCTTAATCTTGCTTAGTTGTAATATATGGACAGAAATAGTGACCTTCTCCAAGTTGGTGAATGCTTTTATATCAGACCCAAGAAAGTGGCTAATTAATCTGTATCTTTAAACACAACTATATTTAACAATTAGAATATGTGTGTATTTACACATACATTTGTACACATGTATGGATGTATATATACACACATACAGTAAATGTATATATGTATATATACACATACAGTAAACATATGTGTGTTTGTATATATATCCTTTATATATATAAAATGTATAAATGTGCTCTTTTAAAACCCAAACTATTTTTTTAAACTGGTTAATAACTACTCATTAATTAAATATCTCACAAGTTAAAACAACAGAGATGAGAGTGGGACTGAGAAATAACTGATTACTAATTGTAACCCCCTCTCTGGCAGAATTTACCACATACAAAGTTATAAAGTGCCCATTGGTGGTCTTAAATTTCTCGATATGAGTCTAGCCTTGCAAACTGAGGAAACCAAGGACAGAAAAGGAAAAACTTTCAAGTTACCACAACTTGCACAGTGTTGATAATTAAAGTTCTTCTCTCTCTTTATGTCTCTAAAAATGTATTTTGTCTCTCTAGTATGGACAAAAGATTTATGTGATAAATAATTAGACTTTACACCATTTAGAAAATAAATATCTATAAGTATCTACTTTTCTTGGAAGCTACTTTACTATTAGAAAAGTTGTTTTGCAAGAAGGTAAATCTTGCTGTCATTTCCATCCATTTGATATGCTTCATTAAATTATACAAAGAAAATTAAATTATAGGAAGTCATGTTGAAGTTTTTTGGCATAGAATTCACTACAATTAAAGGAGAGAAAGAGTGCCAGAGTCTGTGCTCCCTAGAAGGGAAGCCACTTTAAGACATGATGGGCTTTCCTTATACGTCTGCTTTTTTATTTTTAACCACCACCACCTCTTTGCTGACCAACATTTCCTTGCAAATTATGGCAAGGGGGGAGGAGCATGAGCAAAGGAGCTGTGTGAAAGTTGGTGATACTCCCTGCCAAAATTCCAAGTTGAAATGGAATCCTTCAGTAAAGTCTCTTAGGCAAGGTGGGAAAAAAAGATTTACAACTTCAGCAGAACTGTAATTCTACCAAGAAAAAGTACAGTCAATCTACCTCACTGTCACCAAAGGATCTGAAGCTGGCTTTGTCATATATCTTTCTCCTTTATATATGGAGGTGGGGGGGGGAGAAAAAAAGGAAAGAGAGTTAAAAAAAATTGATGAAGCCCTGACCCTTTAGATTCCATTTATAGTCTGAGCCGGAATGCCATCCCCCTTGACTAGAGAACTGTCCAATCCAGCCGCATGTGTCAAGATTCTATTAGGCACTAAGTGAAATATATATGCATGCCCTTATGCCGTTTAACACTCTGGGTCCATCTTCAAGACACTGGGCTGTGGATCAACCCAACCACCACTCCTCTTCCAAGAATCATTTTGACAGGTTCTTTTGGAGGAACTCCTTCTCTTTTTAACCCACCCTTTTAAAAAAAAAAATGGCACCAAAGAAAGACGTGAAGAAACCTGTGGCTGCGGCTGCGGCTGCCCCAGCCCCGGCACCGGCACCTGCACCTGCCCCTGCCCCAGCCAAACCCAAAGAAGAAAAAATTGACCTCTCTGCCATTAAGGTAACTAAATGGATGAACTGTTTGGTCACTGAAACATCTTTCAATAGTAAGGATCTCTAGGAACTTGCAAAGGCGTGTATTTTTCATTGAGAGGAATAGCATTATTTAGTGAGCTGGTAGATTATGAAGAAGAGAATCCTGCTTTAAAAAATGAATGCCAGCATATAATTTCAAAAATTATTAGAGTATGGTATCATATGTGAAGCCTGTGCTTGCTCTATTTTTTATTCTCAAGTTTCCATTTTCTCCTAAATTGCACTTATACTGTTTAGGAGAAAAGTATATATGCTTAACAGTGTTGCATTTAAGAATATTTAAACCAGTGTTTGGGTTTAAATAAAATCTCTCTGGAAACCAGATCCCTTACTTACAAATTACATCAAAAGGAACGTTTTAGCCCCTACTTATTTCCAGAAGTTTAAAAACAGCTGATGGCCCGGTTGTCCTTTATGTATTTGACAGTTACTTTCCTTCTTCTGAAAAAGAAGATTTTTTGCAATTCAAGTTAATTCTCCCTTCAGCTTTGCCTAATAAAATTTGATACAACACTAAATGAGATCTCAGTGCAGAAAATTATGCACTCAAGTGTTTCAGTGACTGTAACTGTCATCTTGTTTATTTATACACAGTATTTAATTCAGAATTTGTGAGTTTCTTCTAAATGAAACTAACAAAAATAATTATAAAATTTGTTATTTACATGGCTTTTAGCTTATGTCTTAGAGTATTTGCCTACTGATCTTGGACTAAGAAAAATGTGATTAATTATTGTGTTAACACTTTGCTGTGATCAAAGTTCTCAATTGCCAAAAGATTATCTGCTTTTGGAAAAATAGGTACGTCTGTTAACTTCCAGTGATGTGACTCATTAAATGTGCACCTTCTCTTCATTCACTGAGTTCTGATTGGCTCATATTACAACTTGAAAATTTTTATCTAAGGAAACCTGCCTTATATGGAAAATCAATGAGCAATAGTACCCATGAGGTGAACTTTTCACTTAAGCCAAAAGTTGTATATGTAATAAATCTCAATTTTGCCAATTTACCATTGTTTACTTGTAACTATGATGCTGACCCATAAACAAACATTTCATTGACCATTTAATATAACTATAGAATTTTTTAAGTCCCAAAAATATTTAGTTAGATCACCCTTAGACATTATGTAATGAAGTTAAATATATTTATAATTTATATAACATTCCAATTAAACATGAAATTTTGTTTAAAGTATAAGTAAATTATCACGAATATTTAATCTTTAGTTTGTAGGTATTTGAAGTATTTGAAAAAAATTGGTCATGGAATATAATATTAAGAACTATTCTTAATGGATATCCATTTAGGAGGACAAAAAAATGCATGTCAGGTCTTCTGATAAATGTTTTTCTAACTTGAGGACTGCATGCATACAGTTCTTTAAGAGGAAACCAAATTTTTCATCTCCAGCAATCCTAGTTAATGTATCCTTTATAGATGCATACTGTCTACATTACACAATAAGTGAGATCATAGCCATGATAGTAATTCTGATTGTCCCTCATCTTTAACTCTGCACTCTGTAGTAACATAAGAGATATGAATCAGTGTCAAAGCTAGTCCTTTATTTATTGTGATTTATAAGACAATGTTACCTGTTTGTATCTGGTATTACAAACTTCTGTAAAGAAAAGAAAATGTACCTCTTTACCTAAGAAGCAAATGAAGTATCTAACTAATGAAAACAGGCATTAATTTTCTTCCCTGAGGAACTGTGTAAGAATGAGTACATAAATAAAAATTGTTTGGCAGGTGAGAGATCTCCAAGAAAAGACAAAACATCTCTTTTCTAATCCAGAAATTAAGCCAATTACTTGTTCATAGTCAGCAGAGAAGCAACACTTTTCAGAATCTTGAAAATTTGTTTATTATTCTGTCAATATGTTAAATTGACATATTGACATTCGTCTGTCAATATGTTAAATTGAGTTGTACAAGCTTAATATTGTGTAATATTGTGAGGATACAATATAAGCTTATACAACTAAGCAAAAGAAGGAAATACCCCTGGAGTGTCTCTATGAGAATTGGGTATGCTCCATCTTTATTATTTCATTGCAGAACAAGAGATGTGATGGATTCTAGTAAGGGACACAAATCAAAAAGAAGTTAAATGAATCTGGAAGAAACAGGAAAAAAAATAACCTTTATCTTCCATCCAGAAGGCCCATTTGCAACAGAGAAAAAAAAGAGAAACAAATGGAAACTAACACACTTTTGTAAAGAAATGTAAATATCTTCAATGCTTTGCATTCATTAATATGAAATAAATCAGTGCATATTTAGATGTATTCTAGCATGGCCAAAGAAAGTGATACAACTCAAGAATTTTATAAACTTTAATTTTATCCCAGGAGGTAACAGGCCTAATTAAAACATACATTAAAACATTTTATATTATGATGTTTTTAATCACTTAATAATGTTTCTAGATATATTACCTCATAAAAGCTATACAATTTTTTCAAGCAGAGAAAATGAACTTTAAAGAAATTAATAGAGCTGTTATATGTATTCATTAACTTTCTGAAAATTCAATAAAGAACAAAACTTAATTGGATTATAAACTTTCTTTCATAAATCAAAAAAGATTAGAAACTTAGCTGTCCTCTAGACTTTGAGTAATGCTGTAGTTTAATCATAACTGCCTTTGTGTAGTACTATAGTCATAGCCATGGTAAAATTTAATTTCTCCATAGTATTCCCAGCTAATATCTATGTTTCATATTGTAATATACTACATTTAATAGCCATATATTTGATTCCCCCATAAATCTTGAATAATCTTGAATATAATTAATTAGTTTTATCAACTGCTTAAATGTGCTTTCCAATCTGATTTCCTGGTTTGTTAGTTATTAGTTTACAACATTTCTTCAATTGTTCTGACACAAATTTTATGATACTCTCTGAAGGAATGCTTACTTGATGTCCAATCCTAATGGATTTTCTATGAGTACCCTTTTCAACAACAAAATACTGTTGATATTTGAACACTAAAGTTATTGTCCTTGGTGGTTCTAAGCACTCTTTGCCTTCAGAGAGCTAATACTCCCAGTAATCCAGAACAAAAGAACACAGCCTAAGAGAATCACAGTTACAGGAATTAAAACACAGCATAAGTATGGTTGTAGGTTCAAAAACAAGAATATGCATTGCTCAAAACTGCAACCAAGCAAAATAATGAAAGTAATAACATAACCATGTACCTAGATTGTAGATCTTCAATGTGTAAGTGAATTTTCTGCATGATGCATGCATTATATGTCAGTATTGCTGTGAGGTGATAGGATTGTGAATCATGTCTCTCACTGTGCTGTTTGAGTTTTAATTCTCGTATTCACCACTTAATCAGGTCAGCCGTGACTAGATATTGTGAGCGATATTATAAAACGTGGTAAAGGTACAGAATGCATTGACAGAAACTATCAAATAACGAATTTTGCATCAACAATTGACCACATGCCTGGGAAGATTTAAACTTTCAATTTAATATGTAAGGTAGAAATCTAATGTTCCCAAATACATTTACTTACTGATGGGTATTCAGTGGAGGCAGATAGTTTTATACGCATTGTGGCACCCAATTTGTTTTGGCCCAGGTATAGGATTACTTTTGTTCATCTGTAAGTTCTTTTTTCTCATTTCCAACAAAGCTAATATAAATCCAGTTTCCTTTAGAAGAATTTCTGAGAAAAATCAAATGAAGTCATGCTCCACGAAAGGCTCTGAAATCTATAAAGCTTTTTGTAACAATAACCAATATTCATTGTGAATTTGCTCTTTGCCATGTTATCTTATTTAATCCTCACAATATTACACTGAAGTTATTGTATCCACAATTTAGAAGTAAAGAAACTGAGCTTAAAAGAGGGTAAGTGCTATACATATGATCAAATAAGTAGTTAAGTGATGGACCTAGGGTTTAACTTAGCAAGCAAAATCCAGAGTCAACTGTGTTAACCATATCCAAAACTACCACCCTTATTTATAAAAAGTAAGTTGCTGTTTCTAAGAATGTGTAAAGGAGCCCTTTTTACTCTTAAGGGTATGAGGTAGAGTGGTTTTTATATTGCCCTGCACAGTCCTGTGTAACCAGAAGAGGGGATGACAGACACATCAGAGCAAGTTCACCAAGACTTTTGACCTTGACTGTTCACTACTATTCTGTTCTCCATAGCTTTTCCCTATCTTAGCACCTGACAACTTGGGTGTTTTGTTCTGCAGAAGGAGGGTGAAATATCAGGAATCTAGAAATATTCCTGCCCATTTTGTTCCGTCTTCCTATAAGATGTTGTAAATGGAAAATGGATATTTTTCAAATGCTATTAGATATAATGAAACTGAGTTTTTTTAGTAATTTTGGTTTTGTTTAATTAAACACACATACATCAAATATGACCTTCAATTTTTGCTATCAGGCTAATATTCTAAGGAGGGTATGAGATCTCTATTTTGTTTACAAATAAACAGCATTATTTAAACTGGAAATCCCAACCTATATTCTTTGGGATGGTATGCAGAAATACAATGCCACATGTACAATATGATAAAACCTTAACCCTAACTACTCTGAGTAAAAGAACACATGTAATCAATTTCTAATTCGAAAAACACAGGTAAAAATATGTATAGGTTGTTTCTAACTTTTCTTTACATAATCTTAAAAGTTTGTTTTCTTTTACTCTGGCCTTTTAATAGTTCAAATTAATTTTTAATACAACTGTAATGTTAGCCAATTGCAATATTAATCCATTTGCAGTGTAAATATAACCTCAGGAGCAAATCAGAAATTACTTGACACTATCACTAGGTATCAGTATCACATTTCCTCTTTCAAATGTCTGTCTATGCTGTAACAGAAGAGAACAGGTGGAGAGAAGTGGGAAAATATTAAAGGGCATTTTGTAATTTTCTCTAGAATTATATTTTGATGGATAATGTCTTTGAAAGGAAAATGCAGCTTTGAAAAGAAGAGATATGTTCACCAATTAATAGTGAATAACACTTTTAAGTAAAACTAAATATTTGCAAGACAAAGAGACCATAAAGTGACTGTGCCAAATTTAGCTCTCGGCATTTTAGTGCTGCAAATGAACCCCTGGCAAGTTGTTTTTAGAACTCATTCCATAATTACCTAGTATTAAGCACCATCTGACTCATGGTGGAAAGGATTATATTTAGTCTGCTGATACTACACTTTCTTCTGCTGCTCTTCAGACTGAAATACTTTTCATATAAAAACAAGATCTTCTGTGATTTGTTTCTATATCAACTTCTACAGCTTGTTTCTTACCTCAAAGCAGAATTTGAAGGGCAAAAATTACAATATAAAAGTAGAAATGGCTTCAATTATACTAGTTAAAAGGTATATTATATGGATGATAAATTCTGGCTATTCTGGTCACAAATTAATAACAGTGAAGTGAAGCCAGAGAAGAAAAGTATCCCTAAAGATATAACTACATCTTATCAACTTTATACTCTTCCTTTCACTGTGATAAAGTACCTAGTAAATGCCCCGTGGCATATGTCTCCTGTTTATAAAAAAATCCAACTGGCTTGAACATGGTGTTATGAAGTTATGTTTTGTTTATCTAAATTACTTCAGACTAATATTACCTTTGAATTTTTAGGCATCCTTCCTTTCCCATTAAAATGAGTGAGTTGAAGTAGATTCTACTGACAAAAGGATAGAAAACTCACAACATTGTAGAAACATAAGGAATCCTAGAAATCGTGCAGTAGAATATTTTCTACTGAAGAAACTATAGCCTAGATGAGAGAAGTTATTTCATCAAAAGACACATGATTTATGATAAGAAAGCTAAAACAAAATTCCCAATCTGGCTCTCTTTCCACAAGTTCTTGAAGTCTCCAGGACAGCAATGCCAATATTCTTATCCCTGCGGTCACAAAAGGAACTTTTATTCCAGACAAATAGGAAGAAGCAGATATTTATGTCTTAAAACACACACACAAAGAATTTTTTAAAATAATGAACAAAAACACAACGTAGGTTTTTAAGAAATTACATGCAAACAAATGCACAAAGGAGACAAAAGTATGGCCAGCTCTCAAGAAACTTTAAATTTCTTTACCAATTATTAATCATGAGAAAGCTAATGAGAAAACTGAAAAAGTATAACAGGTTGTGCTTCTAGATTTTTATTAAAATTCACTTAGACCTCTCTTAGTTCCTGTAGGTCTGAATTGTTTTGTTTTAATAGTTGAGTTTTTGCTCTTATGTGACTGAATTCAGTTGACTGATCTAGGACTTCATAGCACAAAATTAAGGATTTTATCTCAGACCAGATCAATTTATGCAATCTAACCACCTAATCTCTCTTATATTGCAGAAACTGGGCTGGTACCATATTCTCAATACTCTTAATTTCCCCTGTTTATACCATATTATAGTGACTAGAATATATATATATATATATATATATATATATATATATATATATTAGCCTAAGTATATCCTATGTTGAAGTCAAAAATGCAAAAATATTTATTTCCTTCGACTTGAGTTATTCTGAAGCACAGAACTCCTAAGACTTCCAAAATAGTGCTTTTCCTGGCCTTTTATGGTGGTTCCTAGAAACTCTGTGAGATTGGAGTGAAAATTAGGTAAAGTTTAAGGATTTATATACATCCAGGTCTTTGGTCTCTCTGCCAGGCGTTAAATCAGAGAGCACACAGCAGTGTTTTCTTTGATTGAAAACTGGCCCTGATTATATTAGCTTCTTTATTTAGCCTTTCTAGTCATTAATCCCCATTGTATGTTGCAAGGACCATCAAGTTCTTTGAAGAATGTAGTCCATGTTCCTTCCCAGGGCATTTTCCCCCAGTATTCGACATTACATGTCTCCCCAATTATCTTTAATTATAGCTCTTCTTCTTTTACTAAGGCTTAACCTACATCAGTTCCAGAGCCTGTTTGATTAACAGCGTTTTAATATTTTTTCTATAACTCAATTCTTTGTTAGGTTGGTACAAAAGTAATGGCAAAGCCGCAATTACTTTTGCACCAACCTAATATATACATTATCTGATGTTTAATTAGTTAATTTAATCTCATTATTACTATTAGAAAGATGCTTCTCAAAGTAAAAAAGAATTTGTAAACATTGTAATAAAAAATTTTTAGTAGCAGTATGTTGTAGACTACTGTTACCTAAATCCGACATCAATTGATAGCACGAATCATAAAAACGTGGAATGTAACTAGTTTACTAAGAGTCTAAGCAAATATGTAGGCTAGAATATAAAAGAGCCTTAAAAAGAACAAATTGGGGATTGGAAAATTAGAAGTCCAGGTCAAAAACATTGATATAAAATCTAAAGGAAGGTGCTACAAATATAAAGGTACATAAACAATAATTCAAAATGAACATGCTAACTTTGAGCAGGTGAAGTCTTTTCCCTCAGGGTACACAACATTCTAGAGGAGAAGTTTATATTTGAAGGGGGAGCTTAGGATATACATGTTCTAATAATTTTAACTTAATGAAAATCTATTGAGCTTCAAATATAGGCAAGGTATTCTATAGAGAGTTACAGAGGGATAAACCGTAAGAATAAGGCAAGGGAAGTGCTCTATCGGAGACAGGTTGGGGTAGGCTCACATCCAGGTCCACATCAGGAACAAATGACTTCGGGAATGGCCTACGCTTCCCAGTTTACAATCAGGAAGGTTAAAAAATTTTCAGTGGGATGAAGAGCTGGGTGATGTTGAATACTGGGGGAAACAGAGAGAAAACGTTTCTTTCAAGGGAAACAAATGTTATCAGGGCTTGTTGCATATTTAATTTCTAAAAAGAAGCAATGAGAGGAGAGCATTCCAGAGAGAAGAAAGGTAAATCTGATCTTTAAAACTAATTGATGACATAGAGAACTGAAGCCAAAACCAGCTGACATTGTGTATTCATATTATACAATTAATTTACCTTTGTTCAAAGGACTGATTACCCCATCATGATAACCCCAAGGAAGAGAGAGAAGATAAGTTTTGTCATTTATAAAAGTAAGCCAGACAGAAGAATCGCTTGAACCTGGGAGGCAGAGGTTGCAGTGAGCCGAGATCACGCCATTTTACTCCAGCCTGGGCAACAAGAGCGAAACTCCATCTCAAAAAAAAAAAAAAGTGTGCCAGAGGAAAAAAATTGGATTTCCCATTTATTCTATGAGCACAGAATCTAGGTCTTCTAGTTTTTAAACTACAGTTTTTTCTCTAGACTATACTGTAGCCTTCCCTACTGTTGTCACATAAAGTGCTCAAATATTTATGTTGATTCTCAGTAAGTACCAAAAAAATCTAAATGCATTCTCTATGTGATAAAGGTATGGAGAAAGACTAGGGTGAAACAGTTAACAACTGCATACCACTTAACTGCTTCTATTATAATAATAACAAACTTTATAGTATCCAAGTCATTAGAAATAGCTTATTCATAACATAAATTCAACTTTTTTTTTTTTTTTTTGAGATGGAGTCTTGCTCTGTAGCCCAGGCTGGGGTACAATGGCGCGATCTCAGCTCACTGCAACCTCCACCTCCCGGATTCAAGTGATTCTCTTGCCTCAGCCTCCTGAGTAGCTGCGACTATGGGCGTATGTCACCAGGCTCAGATAATTCTTGTATTTTTAGTAGAGGTGGGGTTTCACCATGTTGGCCAGGCTGGTCTCAAACTCCTGGTCTCAAGTAATCTGCCCACCTAGGCCTCCCAAAGTGCTGGGATTACACGCATGAGCCACCACACCTGGCATAAATACAACTTTCATTTTTTTAATTTATTTTTTTTTTGTGAGGGAGTTTCATTCTTGCTGCCCAGGTTGGAGTGCAATGGCACGATCTCAGCTCACCGCAACGTCCACCTCCAGAGTTTAAGCAATTCTCCTTCCTCAGCCTCCCCAGTAGCTGGGATTACAGGCATGCTCCACCACTGCTGGCTAATTTTGTATTTTTAGTAGAGACAGGGTTTCTCCATATTGGTCAGGCTGGTCTTGAACCCCCAACCTCAGGTGATCCGCCCGCCTCGGCCTCCCAAAGTGCTAGGATTACAGGCATGAGCCACCACACCCAGCCCTAAATACAACTTTTAAACTTACTTTCCAGTTTACTCAATAGATTTTACATAAATTAACCATATTTTATATCTAGGCAAGGACACTTTTTTACCTGAAAAAAATTATTAAATATGAAAATAATTATGTTTAGTAGGGCAATTTTGATGGTTAATTTTGTATTATTTATAGTTATTAGCTCAACTAATGATATATGCTAGTTCTCAATAATCATAAGATGATTCAAATTTAATAACATAATTACATAAATATAATTACAAAACTAAAAAAGAACACAAAGATAACATGGTAGGCTCTGATGCTTTCATTTATGTCAAAAATTATAAGATTCCAAATCTTGTAATATTCAAAGTTACACATTTCCACCTTTGTCTTTCCCTTCCATTTCCCCCAATGATTCAAAGCATTTTTTATTTTTCTATTAAATTTCATTTCCCAATAACCTTTCAAAATGTCAAGCTATTTACGAAAATGTTTACCTGTGTACTAATAATTTTAAAATTGTATTTTCAATCTTCATTTTGGAACTCAAGATTCTATGAGATATTTTTTCCTACTTATAAACTTAGAGCCAAAAGTGATATGCATATTAAATGCTGATTTCTTCTGAAATGGTTTCAGGAGAAGTTACAAAGTATATGTCTTTCTAGAAGGGAAGACTTCATGTTTTTTGTGACCATCCCCCTAAAAACAGTTGCTGAAGCAGTACTCAAGTTACAATTAATCTCCAATATACATTATGCCTGTGAGCTGCTTTAAACATGTAGAAAACTGATAAATATTTTGTGTGAACTTTAGTGGACATCCTAGGAGGATCTTTTCCTGTACCACTTTTCCCAGTACCATTTCCAGAAGGGAGTTGCCCGCTATTTTCAGGTAAGCTACCATGAAAACCCATTGCTGGCCAATCCCCTAGATACCTTTAAAATTCTAAAATACAGTTTTGGTTGGACAAGGTGACTCATGCCTGTAATCTCAACAATGGGCAGGATGATGGCTTGAGGCCAAGAGTCCAAACTAGCCTGGGCAACATAACGAGACCCTGTATCTACAAAAAGTCAAAATAAAAATTAGTCAGGTGCAGTGGCACATGCCTGCAGTCCTACCTACTCAGGAGTCTGGGGTGGGAAGATCACTTGAGCCCAGGAGTTCAAGGCTGCAGTGAGCTGTGATTGTGCC
The DNA here is from genome assembly GCF_000001405.40 of Homo sapiens. NCBI lineage: Eukaryota > Metazoa > Chordata > Mammalia > Primates > Hominidae > Homo > Homo sapiens. Next base: position 210,304,600 of record NC_000002.12, on the reverse strand, counting down.
ATTGCACTCCAGCCAGGGTGACAGAGCAAGACTCTGTCTCAAAAATAATAAAATAAAATAAAGTACAATTTTGTATTCCACAAGCTCTGCCATGCATTCTTTTGGCTTCTTGGTCTAGGGACTGAGCCATAGAGTGTTTGCCAAGGCAGAAGTAGAAATAGAAACAGCATGATCTAGTAAGAACTTATGTGTAGTTAAAAAAAATGTATAGGATGAGAGTAAAAGAATGTAAAAATGATCTATCAGCTTTCCTGCCTAGAAAAACTTCTGAAAATAAAAAAAATGACTACTCAGCCATTATAAAGATAACAAGGAGGGAAGAAAATAACCAGACCTAACGTAAGGAGACTAAAGGAGAATGATGAAAAGCGGAGATCAAAACTATTCCTGGCTTAGATTATGCTTGCAAAAGAGTGATCTTTAATTGGAGATTGAAAGACCTGACCAGATTGTCACTTGGGTGCGCTCTAAGAAACATGCAGAATGTGCATGGCCTTTTCAAGTCCTCTGAACTTTACCATAAAGGACAGTACACTTCAGAGGATGCTCCTGCTATAGCAGTTGCCATTTGAAACCCCAAACCAGTCCCATCCAAAAACTTGCATTAATACCAAAACTTGCTGACTAGAAGTTTGTAAAGTCCACTGTCATCAAGAGAAGGGTCTGGCCCAAGACCTTAAAGAAATTCTAAGCTCTTCTGCCATCAAACAAATAGGAAGCTTCTTAAAGGAAGATGCTCCAAGAGAACATCTTGGAAATAAAGACCATAAAAGTACCGGCAGGCTTCCATCTCACTATGGCTGTCTACTCCAAGGTTCTGGTCATCTAAAAATAGCTCTCAGGGTACAGATCCATCTTTCCCTTTGCCCTAAGAAAGCTAAAGAACTCTCCAAGGGGTGTGGCAACTTATCTCTGAAACCTGATGCTAGCTGTGAGGTCAAAGCTTGCCCAGAAATAAAAGGAAGCCTCAGCCAGGGATGACCCCACTCAGGGACCGGAGCAGCCCTCAACTCACTCTTCAGCTTCCCTGCTGTGTTGCAGCCCAGCCGCTCCATCATGGTGGGTCCTATGAGACAATAATTTGTCATTTATAGGAGAAAATAGATAGAGGATATGATCTTATTGAGAAGAAAGATAGGCAAAAATGGAACTGAGGAGAGAACATATTCAATATGAGTCTTTAGTATCTACTTTTGGGTTTTGTTGAGATCCATTAAAGATAGGAGAAAATAATTAGAGCTGTTTATCAGCTGGAAAAATACATCTTCCAAGAGCTGTGCTTTATGCTTCACCAACTCTTGCTGTATCACATAAGATTCATTATATCTAAATTTAGAAGAAAAAAACCTGTAGCTACAGCAAAATATTATACATTAAAATACAATCCAGTGATGCTGATAGCTAAAACTAAGTAAACTGCTTTTGATGCATTGGGTTTTGTGTACTATTTTTTTAAGCACTGGTTAAATAGAAGACAGACTTAAGGTAGTCTTTTTAATGTGTATATCTGTACTTTAACACCGTGTATCTTATTAGACATATCTTAAATATACTATAGATTATTTTTCTAGGAAGTATTAAATGTAGCATTTAGTTAAATCATTAAGATGCAGAAAGATATTCCCTAATTATCTTTTGCAATAGCTTTTTATGTTCCTAGATTCAAAAGTATCCTAAGGCAACCTTCTAATGCCAAGACACCTACATAGCTTCCTAAAAATCTCAGAGCAACCAGCACTCATTCTTCTGTCAATGCATTTGAAAGAGTACTAGTTTTTTTTCTTTCTTTCTCTTCTTCGCCACTGCAGTCCTTCAGTGCTGACCAGATTGCTGGTAAGTGAATTGAGTTTGTCTGCTACAGATGTAGGCACAGCACTGCCTAGTTTCTGCAATATTACTTATCTTCAAGGCATGTTACACTATGGCTTAACCTGTTAGTGTCCAAGCTACGCCTGAACTCTGAAAAGTAGGCTGACTTTTGGAGCTTACTTTGAAGATTACTCAGGGAATGAGCTGGATACAACTAAAAATCAGCACATTTTTGTTTGGTTAAAACATTCTTTGTGGTCAATTTCTTTCTAACAGATCGAGTTCTCTAAGGAACAGCAGGATGGTAAGTTTAAAAGCTATGGTTCTTAAATGTGCACACTCATAAAGATGGCATGTGTGAAAACCAACTCCCTTGGGATGAGTTTAGCTCTTCCTAATTATCCCCACTGGTGTTGCCATTCTGAATATAAATTGCTCTCGATCACTCTAAATATAAATTAGCTCAATCTGAAACCCTTGCTGATACTCAGTAATCAAAGGTTTAACAAACAAAAGATAAGCACCACAAATAGGCCCTTATATTTGCTGATATCTAAATAAAACCAATTTGATACAATAGATAATACCATACATATATATATATATCCCAAAAAGATGTAGATTTTAGATGGCTAAATTGCTAATATAATCCTTAAAGAGAGATTTGACAAGTCTGAATTGTCAATTTGAAAAACAAAATTGATTACAAAACTGCCCAATTACTAAACCTATATCATTTCAATGGATAACATAGTGAGTTGTAGAACAAAAATGAATTCAGAAACAAAGAAGAAGGATTAATTTATCATAGAACTGTAGAAGGAACATTAAATGTCTCCTGGTTTAACCCCTCCCTGAGATATGCAAGACAGACTCCAGAGAGGTGACAGGACTTTCTCAATGACTCAAAGAATTAGTGATAGGAGCAAAATCTGACATTAGTTTAAGTTGATTACAAATTTATTTTATAAAAACAATTACTAGCTAGGAGACTCCAAACTCTTAAGATTCAAGAGAATCTGAATAGTTTCCCTAAAAAGTCAACCTTTTCACCTTTGGGTCTTTGGATCCAACAGATCCCATACTCCACAGGAGCTTGATGTTTTCATTAGCAAGTGCAGGGAGGAATGTTTTATGGAGTGAAAGAGTCACATATCTAAGTGAACTGAGACACAAATAAACCTATAGATGGAAGGAGGAGAAAAAATTAGCTTCAAAATATTGTATAAATTAGAATATTGGTCATAAGTAGTATGTCTATATTACATATATTAGATATGAAAATATAAATAATTATAATTATAGGTGATTAATAAGAACCTATTCAAATACTCAGTTCTCTACCTAAAGGATTCCACATTCTTCAAGTCTATTTCTGCATCTGAAATAGTTCATATTTGAACATAAATTGAGAAAAAGGGATATTTACTGTAGTACAGACTCACATGCATCTGTATCATGGTTGATGGCCTCATGTAGACAGATTAGATGATATGGTGACCCATAACTCAAGATTATTTGAAATTATACTATGAAGGACTTTTTTCTCATTGAAAACAGTTGGTGATTCTACCATAATTTGTTTGATTTTTAATGCATTTTAACTAGTGATGCTGCTACATTGTCACCTACTGCATCCCAGTCCTCTCAAATAGCTAATTTACAATTGTTGTGACAAAACTATTGTAGGATCAAGCAATGGAAGACTTAAAAACCCTTGCAAGGACTCAATGATTTAACGTTGAGCATTAAACCTTTTATTCCATCTGTGAAATAGATTTTAGACACAGAAGTTCAGCAAACATGGGTGTAGTATACTGTTTTCTTTGTGGCAGGAAAACAAATGTAAGCATTTTAAATTATGTGGAAAAACTATAGTTTCTTAAATGAAAGCATTCTTTAGTTTGTTTCCTTGTTTAGTGGTTAAAGAATTTTGTTCATGGCTGCTCTATTGGAATCTATCACAGGATTGAAGGAAAGGGTGCAAAAACTGGAAAATGACAACATTCTAAAGGTCTAAGTCTTGTGCTCTCCAGTAGACACTAGCCACATGTGGCTATTTAAACTTTAATTAATTAAAAATAAAATTTAAAATCCATTTTCCTCACTTGCACTAGTCACATTTTAGTGTTCAAGAGCAACAGTTAATAGCCACCTTTTTGGGCAGCCCAGAATGACAACAATTCCATTATTACCAAAAAGTTCTAGAACAATACTGTTATAGACCAGAAGTTAGCGAACTTTTTCTTAAAAGGCCAAATAGTAAATACGTTAGGCTTTGCTGCCAGTATAGACTCTGTAAAAACAACTCCACTCTGTCACTGAGGTGTGAAGAAAGCCATAGACAATTCATAAAAGAATGGGAATGGCTGTATCCGAATCAAATTTTATTAAAAAGAAACAGGCAACCAGCCCCTGGAAAATAGTATAACCAGCCCTGGTATTAATTCTTCAAGAGAATAACTAAACTTTGGGTTAAAAATCTGGGGTAATAAAATAGTGTCTTTCTGGTCTCTGCCTTTAAATCACCAAAAGTGTTAATGTCACAGTGATTCTATTACAGCCCATAAAATCCTATTTCTACTTCGGCATCTGACCAGGGTAATAGTGAGCCTGCTGAGCAGTCTGTCCATGAAAGCCTGAAGCCAGTAACAAGAATAGTTCAGTTTCACATGTCCCTTAGAAAGATGAAAAATAATATTTGACTAATGACTTCTCAGTGCCTGCAGCAAGTTTTTTAGCTTAGGGAATTGATCTGTAGTCAAATTGCATAGAATTCGAGGGGGAAGTTTTAACAAATAATGGTAACATGATCTGTAGTGAATTGTGAATATAATGTCAGTGCGATGTTAGATTAGGGGAGGGAGGAATAGCAAGATGGAATACTTTGCTGAGTAATCTATCTAGACAGCACCTTTTGATCTGAAACCACTGATAGCCTAAAAAAATGCTTTCACTTCTACCAATTTATTCACAAATGATTTTTTGAGTATTGTTGATATTAACTGGAAGTCATCAGCAGTACTTTTGGGTTTCCCAGAAAATGTAATCTAGTTTATAAGTTCTAATTAAAATGGTTGTACTGGCCCCCAGATCCACCAAAGACACCCTTTCTGTCTTTGATATACATTTCTAAATTTTTTGTCACTATAATTTTGAAAGTCAAACCAGTTCTATCAAAAGAGAATGATTAAATTTAGAGAAAGTCATCAATACAATGATTATAATTAGAATAGAGAACACTTTAAAATATGTATTCATAAAAGAATGGGAATGGCTGTGTATACTTAATACATACACGTACACACAATGAATCGAGCAAACTGGGAAAATGTGACTAAAATTGATGGCGTCTACCAATGTGAATATCTTGGTTATGATAATATAATTTTGCAAAATGTTACTACTGGAAGATACCGGGCAGAGCATACAAGAGATCTTTCTGTATCATTTCTTAGAACTGCATGTGAATCTACAATTTTCTCCATAAAATTGTAATTACAAGGCATAGCGAAATTCTAAAGCTGATATAGCAACATATGTCATATGTATTATTTGATAAAAGGGTAAAGTATAAAGAGATTATCACAGCAACATACCAAAACAAATATTTCTCCTTCTGAACTGATTATACGAGGAGCCTAATAGAGTCACACATTAGTTAATAAACTATAGAATGTATAGATTTGTCTCACCTTTCTAAATTTTTCCTGAAAAATAAAGTTATTCCTGGAGAAAGCTGGTTAAAGGGATAACCTAGGAAATTTGTACCCAAGAGGAGGTTTTTCTACATAATTTGAAAAGTTTGAGTTAACCTCACATACCATGAGCCTGATTGAAAATTTGTTCTTTCTGAAATTTTGTTAATCTTGTTAATTATATGAGAGATTATTAAAGTTTCTCAAGGCCTTAGAATTTTTTAACCCAATCCAGGTTTCCAGGCAGGTAAAGGAAATATGAATATGACTAGGAGCTCCAATTTCCATATCTGATTAACAATAACAGGCAACTTAAAGTTGGAAATGCTGTTTTAAAATAACCCTGAAAAGAAATGCTAAGTTTTTGCCAATGATATTTGGAGATACAAAAAGAGAATCCAGGATAACAACTTGCATAGTTGGCAGAAGTTGTAAAACTGAAGAGTTTGAACTGAATTTTTGATAAGGTTAGGTTTAATTAATAGGTTAGAGGAAGAAAAGAGCACTCTAATGCTTCTTGCTTTTTGCAGAATTCAAGGAGGCATTTCTCCTGTTTGACAGAACAGGTGATTCCAAGATCACCTTAAGCCAGGTCGGTGATGTCCTTCGAGCTCTGGGCACAAATCCCACCAATGCAGAGGTCAGGAAAGTTCTGGGAAACCCCAGCAATGAAGGTAACCCATCAATTTTTCCAAGAAGTGTGGAAGTATAGGGAAGTGTGTAGCAGTGTGTGTGTGTGTGTGTGTGTGTGTGTAGTATGTGTGTGTGTGTAGTATGTGTGTGTGTGAGAGAGAGAAAGATTGATTTAAAAATGTTTCACATAATAGGGCTCAGTTTATTCTTGATTGTGGTAAGTGTGCCTCTTGGCCATAGAAAGTCTCAGCTTTTTGCTTTATAAAATAAGTTAAACTTCCTTTGAGAATTTGCAAGCGTGGTAAAATGTCATGCTAATATCTAATGTTAAGCATTAGATATTAGAAATAATACCTAATGCTAATATCATTTCGAATGTTCATAATTAAAGGCTAATGTAATGAAATAATATCCAAATCTGCACATTTTTTCAGACTTCAAATCTTCAAAGGCAAAAACACATTTTGGCAAAGATGTTAAATATGATTTAAAACACTTTATAAACAATTCTGAGTAAATTCCAGTGGCACAGTTCTAGAGAAGTTCTCCTCTGATAAAAGCTGTGGAAATGAAATTGCAACTTTGTCAAGCAACTGAAAAATACATGCTGACTGCCATGTGCTCTGTCCTTTGACACACTGCTTCTATGAGTGGACAGAAGCAGGGTGTCAAAGGACAGAGCACAAGGATAATCCTAGGAAAAAAATCAGTGATAAATGTTAGTGGCAAAATTGCAGAAGTCATTTACTCAATCCAGAAATCCAGTCATTATTCTAGAATAAGGAAATTATTTTTAATCCCAATGGTTTTATTGAAAAGTATAATAGTCTAATGGAAAATGATACTCAAAACAAACAAAAAAGACAAGACACATTTGCAAGTTGTTTGACAAGGGATTAATATCCAAAATATGTAAGAAACTCAACAGCCAAAAAAAAAAACCCACGAATAATCCAATAAAAAAATGGGCAAATGAACTGAATAGACATCCTTCAAAAGAAGATATACAAATGGCCAACAGATGTATTTTAAAATGCTCAATATCACTAATTACCAGGGAAATGCAAATTAAAAACCACAATGAAACGCCATCTTACCCACTTAGAATGGTCATTATTAAAAAGACAAAAAATAAATGCTGTGGAAGATGCAGAGAAAGGGGAACTTTTATATACTGTTGCTGAGAATGTAAGTGCAACCATTGTGGAAAATAGTACGGTTTATCAAAAAACTAAAAATAGAACTATTATATGATCCAGCAATCCCATCACTGGGTATATTTCTAAAGAAAAGGAAATCAACATGTCAAAAAAAGTCTGTATTCTCATGCTTACTGCAACACTATTTACGATGCCCAAGATATGGAATCAACATAAATGTCCATCAACAGATGAATGGATAAAGAAAATATTTTATATATATGTATATATATATATATATATGTACACACACACACACACACACACACAATGGAATACTATTTAACCATAAAAAATGAAATTTTATTATTTGCTGCAAGATGGATGAGCTTGGAAGACATCATGTTAAGTAAAATGAGCCAGGGATGGAAAGATAAGTCTACATGTTCTCACTCATATGTAGAATCTAAAAAATTTTGATCTGGAGAAGTGGAAAGTAGTGCTTTCTAGAGACAGGAAAGGGTGGAAGGAATAAGAGATAGCCAGAAGTTGGTTAATAAATACCAAAGTATAGCTAGATTGGATGAATAAATTCCAGGGTTCTGAATAAATTCTAGTGCTCTAGTCCCTCCTGAGTAACTAAGACTACAGATGTGCACCACCACACCCAGCTACTTTTTGTTTTGTTTTAGTTTGTTTTGTAGAGATAGGACCTTGCCATGTTGCCCAGGCTGGTCTCGAACTCCTGAGCTCAAGCATCTGCCCGCCTCGGCCTCCCAAAGTGCTGGGTTTATAAGCGTGAGCCACTGCGCCCAACAGAAACCTTATTTTTAAATGCCACTTCCCAACTTACCAAACATCTATCTTTAACGAAGAGAGGAGGGAATAAGACATAGCCAGAGGTCAGTAAATGAATACAAAATTATAACTAGATTGGAGGAATAGTTCTAGTGTTCTAAAGCACTATAGGATGACTATACTAGCAACAATTCATTTTCAAATAGCTGAAAGAGTTGATCTTGAATGTTCCCAATACAAAGAAATGATAAGTGTTTGAGATGATCAGTATGCTATTTATCCTTATTTGATCATTACACATTATACACATGTATCCAAATATCACACTTTACCCCGTAAATACATACAATTAGTATGTGTCAATCGAAAATAATTTTTGAAAGAGATACAAAACTGAAGTTTTTCAAGTAGATATTCAGGCTGTTTATCTTTGCCATTAGGAAACAGAGAGAGGGGTATGAGATAACAAATAATCTTTTTCTTTCCCTTGACAGTTGAAAATTCTTTGGTGACCTTCCTTTGTTAGAAGAAAACTTGATTTCAGGAAAACTCAAAATCAGCCTGCTTACTTCATTTTCTTTGGAAGGAAATTTCCAATTACATCATGTAGAAAAGCCAAGAGCATGAGATAAAGTGAGCAAGCAATAGGGCAAACCCTATTTTTATTTTTTCTTTCTTTCTTTTTTTTTTTTTTTTTCTGAGGCAGGGTCTCACTCTGTCACCCAGGTGGGAATGCAGTGGCATGATCATAGCCCACTGCAAGCCTTAACCTCCCAGGCTCAAGCAATCCTGCCTTAGCCTCCCAAAGTGCTGGGATTATAGGCGTGAGCCACCACACCCAGCCAAACCTAATTTTAATTTTTTTAATTGATTTATTTGCGATAGGGTCTCACACTGTCCTCCAGGCTAGAGTGCAGTGGCATGATCTTGGCTCACAACAACCTCCACCTCCCAGGCTCAAGCAATCCTCCCACCTCAGCTTCCCAAGTAGCTGGGGACTACAGGCATGTATCACCATGCCTGGCCTTTTTTGGTTTTGTTTTTGTTTTTTTTGTAGGGATGGGGTCTTGCCATGTTGCCCAGGCTGGTCTCAAACTCCTGAGCTCAAGGAGTCCACCTGCCTCGGCTTCCCAAAGTGGTGATGTTACAGGTGTGAGCCACTGCACCTGGCTGAAACCTTTAAATGTCACTTTCCAACTTAGCAACATCTATCTTTAATACAATTATTTGGTAAAATACTCATTTATTCAGCATTCAAATTTAATTTTTTAAATATTACTCAATGTAATTTCAGTGTAAAAATATAAATTGCGTGTAATAGAAATATAGACAAGTAGTAAAAAAAATTTGATTTGGTGAATACATAACTTTACCCATTTGTATACAACTGGATAGTATAAAATAGACTGTCCAGATTTTCCATGAATAAGATTTACCTTGTCAGAAGATAATAAAGTCCTATCATCTCCTGGCCTCTAAGGTACAAAGAAGTCAGAAGATCACAAAATATTTGACACACACTCTCTCCTTGTAAACTGCTTAAATTACTTAAAATTTAAAGAAAGGATTTAAAGAACGGGAAGGCCCTCAAAAAGCTGGGGACAAAGGTGGAATATATACTAAAGCTAAGTTTTACTGTATTAATCCACTAATGAGTTTGTTGTATCTCAGTGCATTTTTCTATTGCTTGCAAGTATTTATGGGAAATATTAAATGGACAATACTAAAAAAAAGCTAACACTTATTAAGCACTCAGTTTATACTAGATATTCTATTAAACTTTGCATTCATTAGCTCATTTAGTTCTCACAATAACACTATTAGTTATCTCTATTTTACAGATGATAACTTGAGGCACAAAAAGGTTAACTAGAGCACTGTCAGAGTTGCAAATGGTAGACTGGGAATAAAAGCTCAGGAACTGCAATTCCAGACCTCATGCCATTAACTATTACCATATTCTTGATATTTTAGCAATTTACCAGCTGAAATTTAAGCTGTGTGAAGGTTTTTCAGATAACCTAGAATAACTTTTCAAGTTTAAATTGTGACTCAGAGTTAGTATTATGGTAGCTAATAACCCTCAAAATTGCAATTTCTTACAGAGCTGAATGCCAAGAAAATTGAGTTTGAACAATTTCTGCCTATGATGCAAGCCATTTCCAACAACAAGGACCAGGCCACCTATGAAGACTTTGTTGAGGGTCTGCGTGTCTTTGACAAGGAAGGCAATGGCACAGTCATGGGTGCTGAACTCCGCCATGTTCTAGCCACCCTGGGTAAGGGAATTTATTTCAGTGGACTTAGTGAGACAGAATATATAGAAAAGAACATGACAGGAGAATCATGTCACTACCAAAATAGGAGGAAAGACTACAAAGGGAAAATGGGAAAAAAAAATAGTCAAAAGTTAATGACCATTTCAATTGGCCTCAGTGGCAGTGAGTTTGGTGAAAATGTTAACTTAAAATATTGGTAATGAATAAGTAAAGGAAAGCATGGTAGTTCTTACAGGACACTTTGTATGACAACAGATAATGTGTATTTAATTAACTCATTCAAAAACCAATTAGTTGACAATATATTAAGTACCAAAAGAATGGGAAAGTCACAGTTCCTATATGTCAAGAGTTTAGTCTCCAGAGCCCTTGACTGATGACCTATGGTGGATTTTGAAAATAACACATGGCCTTCTTTCTGAAAGGAGAGTTTTGTTTCATCAGGTGAAAAGATGAAAGAGGAAGAAGTGGAAGCCCTGATGGCAGGTCAAGAAGACTCCAATGGCTGCATCAACTACGAAGGTAGAATCAATGCTCACTGGTGGTTACAGCAACTCTTAACTGATCAGATTGATGATGGGCTCCTTTTGAGCTTCTTTTCCTCTTCCTTCCTTATTGACATACATATGACAATCAATTGCATAACTCTAAAAAGATATGTGAGGATCTGAACATATAAATAACATTTATTCCAGTGTGTTTTAGCAATACTGTGCATTGTTTTAAAGCTAAAAATGTGTTTTCACATATATTTTTTGTTAGATCTTCAGAACATCCCTATGAGTTAGACAGGGCTGATGTCAGAATCAAATTTAATAGAATATTAAACTTGAAGAAATCTCAAAGTCATTTACTAATATGAAGCAATTATGAAAATGAAACTTCGGGCCAAATAGGTTTAGTTACTTGGTGAAGGTCAAATCACTAATGGCCAGGCTGGTGGTAAAATTTACTTCTTTTCCTTGTCTAGTGTTCTTGCTTACATGAAAGTCAGCCCACAGTTGCCAATTGTTTAATTCCTACTACCAATTTACAGCAGCTTCACCCAGAGGGTGTGAAAGCAATGCACTACAGAAAACAAAGATGCATAATATAATTTACAAATTTAAAAATTTTTTAATTTGTAAGAAAATTTAAAAATGTTTCTATCCCCAAAGAGAATGAATCAAGTTACATATAAATAAAGACAAAAAGAGAAAAACAAAGAAGAGAAGAGAATGAGAGGGGAAGAAAGGAGAAGAAAGGAAAGGAGGGAGAAGAGGACAAAAAGAAAGGGCTTAGCCAAGCATATCTTCACTGACAATCTTGATTAAACTTCACTTTTTTCCCCGTCGACAATTCTTCACATTTGGCTATTACCGTAAATACACTCCATAGAGAATCATTCAATAAATACTGTTTGAACAAGTGGACAGTCATCTAGAAAATAAAGTCAAATCTGAATTTTATGCCAAGACAAATTTCAAATAATTTACATGTGAAATGTAAAAGCTAAAAACATAAAGAGCACAAAAATCACAGAAGAATTAATTTTATAACTTTGGAGTGGTTACGTTTTTTCTAACAGTGACACAAAAACCAGACGGCATTGAAAATCTTGACAAATTTAATCACATACTTTAAAAAATCTATATGGCAAAAGCCACCAAAGCAAAGTCAAAAGACAGCAAACCAGAAAAAAAAAAAATTCAATTAATACCAGAAAGAGCTAATTTTCCTAATAAAAAAGAACTACTACAAATTAATAAAAGATCATATCCAATAGAAAATTAGCAAGTACATGAACAGACAATTCATAGGAAATAAAATGAATAAAATAAGATGACAAACTACATTAATAATTTTTAAAAAGCAAATTAAAACTACACTGACAGCTGGGCGTGGTGGCTCACGCCTGTAAATCCAGCAGTTTGGGAGGCCCAGGTAGGTAGATCACTTGAAGTCAGGAGTTCCAGACCAGACTGGCCAGCATGGTGAAACCCTGTCTCTACTAAAAATACAAAAATTAGCTGGGCGTGATGGCACACAGTAGCCTGTAGTCCCAGCTACTCAGAAGGCTGAGGCACGAGAATCGCTTGAACCCGGGAGGTGGAGTTTGCAGTGAGTGAAGATCGCGTTACTGCACTCCAGCCTGGGTGGCAGAGCAAGACTCCATCTCAAATAATAATAATAATATAAAACTACACTGAGATATCATTTTTCAATAAGCTGATTGCCAAAGATTAAATGTTTGGGCACACTTTGGGCTGAGGAGAGGGTGTGGAAACAGGCAATTTCATGTATCACTGATGGGAATGCATGTTGTTAAAACCCCTAGGTTATGGTGTGGTACTACTAATTGCAGCAAATCTACTTCTGGAGAGACTTAGTCTCTAGATATACTTTCACTCAAATGAGATGACCATATATAGATGGTTATTCATTACTGTGCTGTTCATAACTGCCAAATTTTTTTAACAATTTAATGTCCATCAAAGTATAATTTCATCAATGTATCAATGTGAAAACAATCGAATGTCTATCAATGTATCAATGTGAAATTCTCTGCAGCCCTAAAAAATAGGGACACTCTTGTGTACAGTTATAATATCTGTAAGATAAATTATTAATTGAAAAAAGGAATACAAAACAATGTATAGAGTATGCCATTTTTTGTGTAAAAAGATTTTTAGAAACATATTTATGTGGTCTTGTATATGCATAAACAGCTCTGTCAATTTAGCAGTAAAAAGGGGAACCAGTTGCCTAGCAGACAGTGATGGGAAACATTTTGTTGTTATATACCCTTTCATACGTTAAAGAAAATATTTTAACCATAGCTGGGCACAGTGACATGTGCCCGTAGTCCCAGCTGCTTGGGAGGCTAAAGCAGGAGGATTGCTTGAGCCCAGGAGTTTGAGTCAAGCCTTGACAACACAATGAGACCCTATGTTAAAAATAAAAATGTATGTGAATGTACCACTTATTCAAAAAATTAATTTGCAAAATCAGGGCAAAGGTCATAAATCCACTACTAAGAATTATGAGCTATACACACCTTAAATACAAAAGAAAAGAAACTATTGTTACAGCTAAAAATAGGATTGAGCTAACTCATTAAACCTCTCTTTTATTAAATTTGACTGTTTCCTAACTCTAAATTGTCTATTTTGTCTATTTTGCTCCTACAGCTTTTGTCAAGCACATCATGTCTATCTGAATGGAGCTCTCAAGGTATATACCAGTTCCCTCTTTAATATTTAAGGATTTCTTGATATTGTGTTTTTTAAAACTTGACAGCTTCAGTTTATATGCTATAGATTAATATTGGTTCTTAATTACGAGATATTTATATTAATTAGAAAATATTAATGCCTTGAAATGGGTTATTCAGAAATAGAGCATTTTTGTACGAGATATAAGCAAAAACCTATGAGGTTTTTGCTTCCATTCATAAATTCTATCTTTGTGACTGTACTGCAATTATGCAGTGGAGACTCAACAAACCAGAGACTAGTTAATTAATTTAATTGGAACAGAACACTAATAAAAGCACAGGCAAACGTTTTTTGGATAACCAAAGTAGTTTTTAACAGTTTCTGCTCTAGAAAACCGTGTTATAACAGTCCAAATTCAAGCACTTGCAACCAGGTTCTTACAACTAGGAATTGGCTCATCTTGTAAGTGCTGGTTCACTTTGCGCTTTTTATTGTCTTACACTTCACATTATTTCCTCCTGAGTTTTCTTTCTGAAAAGATGCAATCAATATCTAATTCATTTTCCCTTTTTCTTTACAGAACAAGCATTGTTTAGGAAGACTGGCTGGAAACTTATTTTAATCACACCCATGACAAACTCTCCAGATCTGTTTACCATCATTCAGGAAAACAAAGCAATCTGGACGGTTCAAGACTGAGCAACTCCCTGAATTTTTATACATCTTCAGTTTTTCTCTGAATTGAATTCATACCACACAAACAAAGTGTCTGCTGCTCTAGATGAGAAGAATAAAATATTGACAATCTCAAATCCAAGCACCATTCTTTATTATCTACCATGAATCAACAAACATTCTTAAAACAATAAATCAATAAACAATTTTGGTCAGTCTGGAATGTTCAAGTCACATTGCATTTTTATTTTCTTAATGAAAATAATTTTTAAAACTTCAATTATTTTGTTAAATGTAGAGAATATTGACAAATTATAAACTTTTAAAAGAAGAAATCACTGAAGTCTACATAGCAATAACAAATTGAATAATAAAGATAATCATATGTTACTGAAAAAGTAAAATAGAAATCTGAGGAAATTCAAACTGGATAAGAGACATTTTATAAAAACTATGCAGGTAATTTAAAGCGAAAACAGGTTTCTTCGGATTTGTGTAAATCATTTTGTTCATGGCTTGATCTATTTCACTTCTAGTGACAATCTGGCCTATTAGAAAAGTCTAGCAAGCCCTTGATCCTTCTCACTTAATGTCTTCAAGGATAAGATTTAAAGTGACCTTTCAGCTATAACTTTTTAAAAAACCCTCTGGGATGGGATTGTTGCTTAAGAACTCAAGATCCTGTTTATTAATATTCTCTCTCCAACTATGATTCCCTCCCCTTTGCATGTCCATGTCCCAAAATATTAGTTCAATCTTTTAATAGATGTCAAAAGTGGTAAGACAAATTAACAGAAACATTCATAGTGTAAACTTTATTTCAGAATGCTATCACCTGTCACTTTTTCTTTAGAACACATTCTGAGGGTGAAAAAATTGACTGTTTAGAAGAGATGAGTGGTAAATACTTCTCCATACCCCCCTAAAAAGATAATTTTAATATATAGTATTATAAAATATTTGAAAAGCACCTGCCTGCCTATAGATCTTTGGAAGCTGAAACAACTTTCTCCTGATATTGGGAGCTTCAAATCAATGTGTTCCTTCTGTCTGGCAAAGGGTCACTCAGATTTCAGTGGCAGAACTTTAACTTCAACCTCTGCTTTTGTAGTCAAGATGATGTTGCGACATTGAAATCACTCTTTTAAGGAAAATGCACTATAGTTTCATGATCTTTAAGGCCAAGTTTACCTAAGACCAGGAATTGGAAATATCACAGCCTCATCCAGTAGAACTTTCTGTGAAAAGGAAAATCTATATCTGCTCTGTCTTATATGGTAACTACTAGCCACATGCAGCAATTGAACATCTGAAACGTGGCCCATGTGATGGAGGAATTGAATTTTAATTGTTTCCTTTTAATTAATTTAAATTCGAATTTAAATAGTAACATGTCTCTTGACTACTATATTGAACCACTGTTCACAGCTCTTAATATATATTTATCTGCAGGTGTTATACCAGGCAATTAAAAATGTTTGTTTTAATTACAAATGACACTATGTAGAGAAGTTGACTGGTACAAATAATTCAATCATAAAAGTCTCATTTTTGTTTTGGGATATGTGACTAAATGTCATTTCTTCTATACTCCTTTAAAAATTTTTAATTAGAAAAATGTGATGTCTGCAAGGTATTAAATTTTTAATCTCAAGTTTTATATTTAGTGATTCTCCCTCAAGACCTTATAAAACCACTTTAACCCTCAATGGGATAATATCTAGTACATTGTCATGGGAACTAACCTTATTAAATTACCATGTGTGAAATGCCTGTAACTCAAGTAACAGCAGGTGCAAAATAAAGTAGCAGGCGGAAGAGTGACAGTAATTTTTAACATCTACACCAGCTGGCAAAAATGACAGGTGCCTAATTCCTCAGTCTTTAAAAATAACTTTTGAGAAGCCTACACAGCATAAGCAAATATTTTCAAGTTTATTTTTTAGCTATCTTCGAGTTACCTTCCTGACAAAATGTAATAATATACACTGATTTTTGCAGAAAATTATATTTGAAACTTAAAGAGTGCACAGGAACTTAATTTATTCTCTATGAACAAAATAAACAATTATTATTAAATTGGGGAAAAAATTTAATTTTTAGATTTCACAGCAAAAATTCAAGAAACATTATATAGGAAAGAATTCATAATGTGTCTTTCTTGAATTCTATCTACATTTCTTTTTCTGTGGTGGCAAATATAACTTGAAATTTAATAGAACAGAGAAAAAAATATCTTCATTTAAGTTCTAAGTCTAGAGGAAGTCATGAATCTATAGATATATTTCATAAACCACCTCTATATTCCAAAAGAAAAGAGGAGATTAAACACCAATTATTTGGAGTCCAAAGAATTATGCTCACTTGAATTATCAAGATAACTGAAGCTAATGAAGAACAAAATGAAGAAATTCAGAAATGATCTTAACTTTACAGTTCCATGAGTGAGCCCCAGGCTAAGAGAAGTCAGTGCAAAAGGGAAGGGTGATGAGGTTCCAAGGACCTGCTGGGAATCTTTTCAGCAATTTCACACCAAGATAGATTTTTTTTTTAGTTGATCATTAATAGTTGGTAAGAAGGAATACTAGCTATACCTTTCTTTGGCCTTCATCTGCCAGCAATGTGATTATCCAGAGCTACTCTGCCTCCACCATGGCCATGCAAAACCAAAAAGCAGTACTGTTCTCAGACAAGGGCAAATGTGGCTGATGCCCTGGATCTTATATTTTAGAGGAAGCCACTCCAGCCCTCTTCCAGCCACATACCCACAAAGCCAAGGAATCTATGCAGAAATAGAACATAGGGCTCCAGAGCTGGTGGCCCCATTCCTAGACCACAGTTTAAATTCCCAGGATTCCAGACTACCTTGCTTGAATGGCTGGCTCTAAGCTCTCTTCCAGGACTTGGGTAGGATTCTTCCTAGGTCCATCCCCCAGGGAAGATTGCCTCTAGTGTTTTCAATCCTAAGAGCAAGATGTGCCAAAGCCAGCTGTTTTTGTTTTGTTTTGTTTAAGGATGAGTTGCCTAAAAGACCCCTGCAGTGTAGGATGCAGCTAAAGATAGGAATTGAAAGAGGTCAGGCCACTGTATTCTGGGGCAGATGACCAAGGAGTCCAGAAGTTCTAACATGGTCATCTAAGTTATTATAAAGCTATATTTGTCAAGGGAAGACATAAGAGTATGTATTATTTAACAGTTTGATTGATAACAAATATTTAAATTTATGGTGTGTATTTCTATTTGTACTTTTGCCAAAGGCCTAATAAATGTAGGGGTGGACCTTCTGGGAAGGAATAAAGTTCAGACTTTTCAGGGACAGATATTGAAATTGCCCAGAAATACTCTTAGTTTCTTTGAACTTTTAAAAAATGATAGCAGACTCCTTAGTCAGTAATCATGTAGTTAACAAAGAAGAATTTTAGTAGCACAAAGGTTAGATTTTTCTTTCTATTCTTGAAAAGACAGAAAAGGTTGTCCTTTCCTATTGTCTTCTTTCAAAGTGTGAAAGAGGAAAATCAACTTATCTCATAATAGTCTGTATAAGATGAGAATAAGTGCAATGCTACTAGCAGAGTAGTAAGTAATCAATAATGCTTGGTGGCACAATAAAAAAGTATAAATTTAAAGTAATAAGTAAAAGCGTATTTGGGGAAAAATATTTTTATACTTTTTAAGAACTATGTTAGATGTTCAACACATAATATGTATAAAAATATACTTCATGGTAATCATTTGATGACAACTGGTGAAGTTCAATTTGAGCTATAATTCAGCAAAAATGTCCAAATGTAAAACATATTTTCTTCTCTTTACTTTTCCACCTTCATCTGTTAGACTTCTTCAGAGGAATCAGTACATGCCCTAAAGAGTGGATGATTCAGAGTCAGGCTTAGGTTTGAATTCTGCTGCTATCACTTCTGAGCTGTATGACCACAGGAAATTAATTGTGGTCAATTTCAAGGTCATCTTTTACAAAATGGAATGTAAAAGAGTTGTTTTGTGAATTAAAATAAATTAAGAATTTATTTAAGTAAATGTATTTAAGAATTTATTGTTTATTAAATTATTTATAAAATATAAAATATTAAGTTAAAGTATTTATTTAAAAATTTATTAAGAATTTATTTAAGTAAAGCAAGATGGCTTACTAGAAGACCCTAGTACTCATCCCCCTCACAAAGACAGCCAGAATAACAAATAAACTGCATTTAGTGAAAATAACTGAAGGAGAGCACCCAAGTGCATCAGAGGAGCAACAGAAATCCTGGTGAGCACAAAAACTCAGGATGGTCACATAGAAAACAGAAGGAAACACCAGGCCTCCACCACCCCATCCCCAACTGGGATCAGCTTGGAACCAGGAGCAACTTCCTACAGAAAGACGGTAAAGTCACAGGACCCCAACAACCCCCATCAACACCTTGGACACCTACAGACCTCACGACTGGGGTCCCCTGCAGCCCTCACAGGCACTAAGCTCCACTGAGGGAGCCAACTGGAGTCCACACAGTTGTGTGCTCCCTCAGAGAAGAAGCTGACACTGTGCTCTATCCCCTGTGGCTCAAGTAGCTACTGTGCTACACCATTTTGGAACTGGGACTATGGCTGGAGTGTGTCTCATTCGAGGGGTGAGTAGCTATGGCTCCATTTTATCCCAGTAAAGCCACTACCAAGGCACCACTACCAAGGCACCACAGCCCAGTGGCCCAAGATCCCTGAGCTGAGCTGTGCACAGCTCTTACATTCTTCCCCACTGGGGCCATGCAGAGGTGGAGCTGCTCCACCTAACCCTATCCCCAACTACTCTGGCCAGAGTTGAAGCAGTACCCTGTCTCCTGGGAAAACAGTATTTTGACCACTCAGAATAGTCATGCCTTCCCAGGACCAAGGGTGAAGCAGTGCCTTTCATCCCACAAAACAGTGCCTTGGCCACCCACAGTGGACATGCACCCTAGTACCTAAGCTGAAGTGGCACTCCACATCCCAGGGAAATAGTGTTCAAACCACCAAGAATAGTCATGATCCCCAGGCCTGGGCTGAAGCAGCATATCACCCCTGGAGAATCACTGCCCTGGCCATGCCGAGCATCCATGCATCCTAGGGCTGAGATGACATAGTACCTCACATCATGGGGAAACAGAGCAGTGGCTAGGCTGAGGCACTCTTCCCTATAGGCCAAACAGCTCTAATACCTTGTTTCTTTGGAGCTGGCCACCTAGAGTCTGAGATGTTGAGATACCTCTTTCCCTGTGAAGTGGAGTCATTGCTGTGCTGGGCCCTTGTCCCCTGGGGGCCCAGGGACAACTTAGCTCTGCCATTCTGGGGTACTTGCTGCTAATGCTGCATCTGGCTTCACGGGGTCTGAGATATTGCCAAGCCCAACCATCCCAGGGTCATCTCTAAACCAACCTATTGGCTCAGGTGCCTAAATTTTAGTCATACCTTGCTCCATGGGTACAAATTTCCAGACTACCCTTTCTTCCCCAGAGTTGGGCCAGTGCTATGCCTTGCCCTCCGGGGGTAGACTCATAGCTACAGCTACAACCTGGCCCTCTGGGCCCAAGCTGCTAGGGGGTTCCTGAATCACAGATCCTACCTCTGTGGACAACCTCCATTCAACCCCGTCACAGAGTACCAACATGCACCCCAAGACCCAGGTACTATAATAGACTTGTAAGACCTTGAACCTAGGACCCCATCCCCACAGCCACTCTGAAAACCAGTATCTGGAACCTGGTGTCACTACAACTGCCTGTAGGCTGTGTCAGACCTGACACCAAGATGGGTCTCCTCAGTTATGTCTCCCCACTGTGGAGAAAATTAGAATAGGAGGTCTCCAAAAACCCTTGACACCTATGACATTAACAATTTATGTCATCACTGCCACTGCCACAAACCTCTACAGCCTAAGCCACTGAGGCACTCACAGTTATTCCTGATATTGAATGCAACTGAAGCAGCTGCACGGAGACTATACCACTGCACCTATTCAGAAACAATCGCAATGCCCTTCTCAACTGGTACAGTAAAACCCACCTACAGATGAAAGCTTTTCTTTATAAAAGTTACTCTAGAAAGTTTGGAAGAAGGACAATATAGTCAAATTGTCAAAAGACAAAGAGAAAATTCCAAAAACATCAAGAGAAAAGCATCAAGTCACATATAAGGGAATCCCCATTACACTAACAGCAAATTTCTTCACAGAAATTTTACAGGCCAGGAGAGAATGGGATAATATATTCAAAGTGCTGAAAGAAGAAAATTTCTAAACAAAAATATTATATCTAGTAAAGCTATCCTTCAGAAATGAGGAAGAAATAGTCTTTCTTAAGCAACTAATGAAGGAATTCATCACCACCAGACTGGCCTTACAAGAAGTGCTCAAGAATGTCCTACATCCGGAAGCAAAAAATGATAATTACTATCATGAAAACATGCAAAAGTATGAAACTCACTGGTGGAGCGGATACACAAAGGATAAAAAGAAAAGAATCAAAGTTTGTCACTACAGAAAACCGCCAAATGACAATGATAAAACAATAAGAGAGGAAGAAAGAAACAATGGATATACAGAACAACCAGAAAACAACAAAATGACAAGAATAAGTCCTCACTTACCCATAATAACCTTGAATGTAAACAGATTAAATTTCCCACTTAAAAAACAGACTGGTTGACTGGATTAAAAACATAACCCAACTATATGCTGCCTACAAGAAACTGACTTTACCTGTAAAGACTATATGAGTTGAAAGTGAAGGGATGAAAAAAGGTATTCTATGCACACAGAAACTGAAAGCAAGCAGGCGTATACTTATGTTAGATAATACAGTTCACATCAAAAATTTTGGAGAAAAAAAGACAAGAAAGATCATTACATAATAATAAATGTTCAGCAAAAAAAATAACAATTATAAATATATATGGACCCAACACTGGAACACCCAGATATAAAAAGCAAATATTATTAGAGTTGAAGGGAGAGATAGACTCCAATACAATAATACTTAGAAACTTCAACTTTCCTCTCTCAGCATTGGACAAATTACATAGACAGAAAATCAACAAATAAACATTGGATTTAAACTGCAGTTTAGACTGAATGGACCTACCAGACATTTATAGAACATTTCACCCAAATGCTCAGAGTACACATTCTTCTTTTCATCAGCACACAGATATTTTCAAGGATAGACCACATTATAGGACAGAGAACAAGTCTCAACAAATTTAAAAATATTAAAATCATATCAAGTATCTTTTCTGACCACAATGGAATAAAACTAGAAATCAATAACAAGTGAAATTTTCAAAGTTGTACAAATACATGGAAATTAAACAACATGCTTCTAAATAACCAAAGGGCCAATGAAGAATTTAAGAGAAAATTTAAAAATTTCTTGAAGCAAATGAAAATAGAAATACAACATACCAAAACTTATGGGATGCAGCAAAAGCAGTATTAAGAGGGAAGTTTATAGCAATAAGCACCTAATCAAAAAAGTACAAAGAGGCCAGACCTGATGGCTCATGTTTGTAATCCCAACACTGAGAGGGAAAGGCAGGAAGACAGCTTGAGCTCAAGAGTTCAAGACCAGCCTGAGCAAGACAGGGAGACCTCATCTCTACTTGAAATTTAAAAAATGCTAGCTGGGAGTGGTGGCATGCACCCTTAGTCCCAGCTGCTTGGAAGGCTGAGGTGGGAGGATCTCTTCAGCCTGGGAGATCAAGGCTGCATTGAACTATGATCATGCTGCTACACTCCAGCCTGGGTGACAGAAAAGGTCCTGTCTCAAAAGGAAAAAAAAAAGTAGAAAAGTTTCAAATAAAAAAACTAACAATGTGTCTCAAAGAACTAGAAAAGAATAAACCAAACCCCAAATTAACAGAAGGAAAGAAATAACAAAGATCAGAGCAGAAATAAATGAAATTGAAACTAAAAAAATACAAATTATCAATAAGGTAAAAAGTTTATTTTTGGAAAAGATAAACAAAATCAACAACACATTAGCTGGACTAAGGTAAAAATATAATTAGAAATGAGAAGGGAGACATTACAGCTGATACCACAGAAATATAGAAGATCATTAGAGACTATTACAAACAATTATATGCCAACAAGTTAGAAAACCTAGAGAAAAATGGATAAATTCCTGGACATATACAACCTACTAATATTGAACCAAGAAAAAATAAAAAACCTGAACAGATCAATTATAAGTGTCAAGATGGAATCTATAATAAAAAGTCTTCCATCAAAGAAAAGCCCAGGACCTAATCACTTCCATGCTGAATTCTATCAAAAATTTAAAGACGAACTAAGTCCAATTCTTCGCAAATTCTACCAAAAAACTGAAGAGGAGAGAATTCTTCCAAACTCATTCTATGATGTCGGCATTGCCCTGATACCAAAACCAGACAAGGACACAAGAAAAGAAAACTATAGATCAATATCCCTGATGAACATGGATCCAAAAATTCTCAAAATGCTAGCAAACCAAATTCACCAACACATTAAAAAGATTATTCACCATGATCAAGTGGAACAGATCCACTTGAAAATATATACCATTTCAATAGATGCAGAAAAAAAGCATTTGATCTAATTCAACATCCCTTCATGACAAAAATTCTCCACAAGTTAGTTATAGAAGAAACATACCTCAACACAGTAAAGGCCATATATGGCCTTTAGTAAGTTTTATATGTCCAAACCTACAGCCAATAACACACTGAAAAGGGAAATTTTTAAAGATTTTCCTCTAAGACTTGAAACAAGACAAGGATGCCCACATTCACCACTTTTATTCAACACAGTACTAGAAGCCCTTGACAGAGCAATTAAGCAAGAGAAAGAAAGAAAGGACATCCAAATTAGAAAAGAGGAAGTCAAATTGTACCTGTTTGCAAACAATATAATTTTATATATATAAAGCCCTAAACTCTCCACTATAGAACTGATTATGAATTTACTAAGGTTGCAGGATGCAAAAATCAACACGCAAAAATTAGTAGTGTTTCTATATATCGAAAACAAAATAGAAAAAAAAATCAAGAAAGCAATCCCATTTACAATAGCTACAGAAAACAATACCTAGAAATAAATTTAACTGAGGAGGTGAAGGATTTCTACAAGGAAAAGTATAAAACACTGATGAGAAAAGTTTAAGAGGATACAAAAAAATTGAAAGATATTCCAGTTCATGAATTGAAAAAATATTGTGTGGCCGGGCACGGTGGCTCCCAGCACTTTGGGAGGCCAAGGCGGGTGGATCACGAGGTCAGGAGATCGAGACCATCCTGCCTAACATGGCGAAACCCCGTCTCTACTAAAAATACAAAAAATTAGCTGGGCATGGTGGCGGGCGCCTATAGTCCCAGCTACTTGGGAGGCTGAGGAAGGAGAATGGCGTGAACCTGAAAGGCGGAGCTTGCAGTGAGTGGAGATCGGGCCACTGAACTCCAGCCTGGGTGACAGAGTGAGACTCTGTCTCCAAAAAAAAAAAAAAAAAAAGAAGGAAGGAAGGAATATTGTGGAAATGACCATACAACCAAAAGTGATCTATAGATTCAATGCAATGCTTATCAAAATATCAATGACATTCTTCACAGAAACGGAAAAAAAAATTCTAAATTTACATGGATTCACAAAGACATCAAACAGCCAAGGCAATCCTAAACAAAACTAACAAAACTGGAGGCATCACAATATTAGACTTCAAAGTTATATTACATAAATAAGAAAAGAGGAAGTCAAATTGTATCTGTTTGCAAACAATATAATCTTATATATATAAAGCCCTAAACGGTCCACTATAGAACTGATTATGAATTTAGTAAAGTTGCAGGATACAAAATCAACATGCAAAAATTAGTAGTGTTTCTATACATCAACAACAAAATAGAAAAAAAAATCAAGAAATATATATATACACAAAGCTATATTAGCCAAAATAGCATGCTATTGGAATAAAAACAGACCAATGGAACAAAATAGGAAACCCAGAAATAAATCCACATATTTACAACCAATCGATTTTTCACACAAAGGCACCAAGAAGATTCATTGAGGAAGAACAGTCTGTTCAATAAATGGTGCTGGGAAAACTGAATATCCGTATGCAGAAGAATGAAACTGACCCCATCTCTCACCATACATAAAGATCAACTCAAAATGAATTAAAGAAAACTTAAATATATATGAAAAATTAGAAGAAACATAGGGAAAATGCTTTAGGACACTGCAAAGATTTAATGGAGAAGACCTCAAAAGCACAAGCAACCAAAACAAAAATAGACAAATGGGATAATATCAAACTAAAAAGTTTCTGCCCAGCAAAAATAAAAATAAAAATCAGGCCAGTGCAGTGGCTCACACCTGTAATCCCAGCACTTTGGGAGGCCAAGGCAGGCAGATCACAAGGTCCAGAGTTCGAGACCAGCCTGGCCAACGTGGCAAAACCCTGTCTCTACTAAAAATACACAAACAAGCCAGGCATAGTGGCAGGCACCTGTAATTCCAGCTACTCAGCAGGCTGAAGCAGGAGAATCACTTGAAGCCAGGAAGCAGAAGTTGCAGTGAACTGAGATCGTGCCATTGCACTCCAGCCCGGCGGACAAGAGGAAGACTCTGTCTCAAAAAAAAAAAAAAATCAACAAAGAGACAAGCTGCAGAATGGGAGAAAATATTTGCAAAGTATTCATCTGACAAGAGATTAATATCCAAAATATACAAAGAACTCAACAGCAATATTAATTATAATTATAATCCAATTTTAAATTGGGCAAATGAGCTGAATCGACATCTCTCAAAAAAAGACATAAAAATGGTCAAAAGGTATATGAAAAAAATGTTCGACATCACTAATTAACAGAGAAATGAAAATCAAAACCACAATGAGATTTATCTCACTCCAGTTAAAACAGCTTTTATCAAAAAGACAGGGAATGATGGATGCTAGAGAAGACGTGGGGAAAGTGGAATTCTTGTACACTGTTGGTAGAAATGTAAATTAGGCTAGCCACTATGGAAAACAGTATGAAGGTTTTGCAAGAAAACTAAAAATAGAACTACTGCATGATCCAGCAATACCACTACTGGGTATATAGCTGATATGGTCTGGCTGTGCCCCTACCCAAATCTTATCTTGATCTGTAGCTCCCATAATTCCCATGTGTCATGGGAGGGACCTGGTAGGAGGTAACTGAATCACAGGGGTGGGTTTTTCCTGTGCTGTTCCCATGATAGTGAATAAGTCTCATGAGATCTGATGGTTTCACAAAGGGCAGTTCCCCTGCACATGCTCTCTTTCCTGCCACCATGTAAGATGTTACTTTGCTCCTCCTTTTCCTTCCGCCATCATTGTGAGGCCTCCCTAGCCATGTGGAACTGTGAGTCCATTAAACTTCTTTCTCTTTATAAATTACCAGGCCTCGAGTATGTCTTTATTAGCAGCATAAGAACAGACTAATACAATTGCCAAAGGAAAGGAAATCAGTATATCAAAGGGATATCTGCACTTGCATATTTATCTCAGCACTATTTACAACAAACAAGATATGGAGTAAACCTAAGTGTCCATCAATAAATGGATAAAGAAAATGTGGTATATACACAGAATGGGATTTTAGCCATAAAAAAAGAACAAAATTCTGTCATTCACAGCAACATGGATGAGCTTGGAGGACATCATGTTCAGTGAAATAAGCCAGGCACAGAAAGAGAAACACTGCATCTTCTCACTCATATGTGAAAGCTTTAGAAGTTGATCTCATAGAAGCAGAAAGTAGACTAGTGGTTACTAGAGGTAGGGTAGGGCAGGGGTGGAGGAATAATCATAGGTTGGTTAACACATACTACAAAAATACAGCTAGACAGAAGGAATAAGTTCTTGTCTTGTATAGTATTGTATGGTGACTATAACAATTTGTCATATATTTTCAAGCAGCTAGGAGAGTGGATTTTGAATGTTCGCAACACAAAGAAATGATAAATGTTTGATGTTATGGATATGCTAATTACTGATATGACTGTTACTCATTGTGCACAAGTATCAAACTATCACATTTTACCCCATAAATATAATTACGTTTCAGTTAAAAATAATAATTTTAAAATGTGAATTATTTGGCATGTGGGAAGCACTCATATTTTTCTTCTCTTTTTCTGGTACATTCCTCTGGGTTTATGAATGTGTCACAGTATTGGATATACTTTATTTGTATATTACTCATTCAAAGATCAAGTTCAAACTACAGAGAAATCTACTCATTCAAACTAAGCAAGAAATAACAGACAGAAATTAACAATGCCCTCCCCCAAAACAATTTATTATAGAATTAGAGAGTTCCATTTAGTTTTTCTCTTGTTTTATCTCTCTGAGACATGTAGTATTATTTATCCACTCTCCTTAAAACACTCTGTTCCTTGGTTTATGAGCTCCTGGGATGCTACACTTTTGCTTTTTTTTCCTTTCTTGCTGCTGCTTTCTCTGTTCATCTCTTAAATCGTTTTGCTGCTCAGGGTTCTGTCCTCAGCCCTCTTTTCTTCTCACACTATACATCCCTCCTGGGCAATCTCAATCTCTCCATGTGTTACATTCTCATCTATATGCTCCTAATTCCAAATCTTTATCTTATGCAAGGTAAAATTTCTCCCATGAGCTTCAAGACTGTGTATTCAACAACTTCCTGGACATGGCACACTGACATCTCAAAATCATCTTAAAATCAAATATCCAAAAGAGAACTCTCATAATTTCTTCCAACTAATTCACAATGTCATATCTGACTTTACCCTCTACGTCATCCCTGTCCCTCACAATCAATCAATAATCTATCTCTTCAATATGTTTTAACCAATCTAACTCTCTACTTTTTGATTGTCATTGCCTTTGTTCACACAACCATCAACCTCTCCCTGGATGATCACTGCAGCCTACTGTTTTGCAGCCTACTTTGACTCCCATCTTACTACCTTCATCCCCAACTCCATTCCAACCTAGTCTCATCATTCAACCAGAGTCATCTTTCTAAAATGTAAATCTGATGATGTCACTCTCCTGCTTTAATCACTTTAAGAGCGCTATTGGTCCCAGGATAAGTTCCAGATACTCTCTACCCAGCTTGCAAAACTTCTAATGATTGATCTCTCTCTCTCTTTTTTTTTTTTTTTAAAGACTGAGGTTTGTTCTGTTGCTGGGCTGGAGTGCAGTAGCATGATCTTGGCTCACTGCAATCTCTGCCGCTAGGTCCGAGCAATTCCCCTGCCTCAGCCTCCCTAGTAGCTGGGATTACAGGTGTGCACCACCACACCCGGCTAATTTTTTTTTTTTGTATTTTCATAGAGATGGGGTTTCACTATGTTGGCCAGGATGGTCTCGATCTCCTGACCTCATGATCCGCCCACCTTGGCATCCCAAAGTGCTAGGATTACAAGTGTGAGCCACCACGCCCAGCCGTGATTGATCTCTTCATACTCTCCAAGCCTCATCTTTCACTACTCCTCACTCCTATTCTCACACTATACATGTTAGTGATGCTGAATTCCTGACAGCTGCTCAAACTCCCAACACTTACTCATTTCTGGAAATTTTCAAATGCTGCACCTTCTCTTCAAAGGTATTATACTTCCTCCTTCTACAACTTCATCTGACTAACTCCTGCTTAGCCTTCACAGCTCAGCTAAAGTTCTGAAGTCCTCTAGCCTAAAATTGGATATCTCCCCTCTGTTTTTCTGTAACATTCTGTTCTAACCCACCACAGCATGTATTATCCTAGATTTTCACTGCCTGGACTTTTTATTATCTATATCCCATATTAGATATTGAATATAAACACACAATATTAATATAGATATGATTAAATTAAATAAGATCCTTGAAGACAGGCATGGAGTCTTGTTCACTGCTTTTCTGGTTTCTACTACTTTTCTTCACTATTACACCTTTCAAGAGAATATTATATTTGATATTCAATTTTTCATGTCCCAGTAACTCAGCAATGGGAAAACAAAATTTTTACAAATGTTTTATTTCCATAGCCAATATCATAGTAAATGGGCAAAAGCTGGAAGCATTTCCTTTGAAAACCGGCACAAGACAAGGATGCCCTCTCTCACCACTCCTAGTCAACACAGTATTGGAAGTTCTGGCCAGGACAATCAGGCAAGAGAAAGAAATAAAGGGTATTCAAATAGGAAGAAAGGAAGTCAAATTGTCTCTTTGCAGATGACATAATTGTGTTTTTAGAAAACCCCATTTCCTCAGCCCAAAAACTTCTTAGGCTGATAAGCAACTTCGGCAAAGTCTCAGGATACAAAATCAATGTGCAAAAATCACAAGCATTCCTATACACCAATAATAGACAAGCAGAGAGCCAAATCATGAGTGAACTCCCATTCACAATTGCTACAAAAAGAATAAAATACCTAGGAATACAACTTACAAGGGATGTGAAGGCCCTCTTCAAGGGGAACTACAAACCACTGCTCAAGGAAATAAGAGAGGACAAAAACAAATGGAAAAAAAAATTCCATGCTCATAGATAGGAAGAATCAATATCATGAAAATGGCCATACTGCCCAAAGTATTCCCCCAAGCTACCATTGACTTTCTAGGCAGAATTAGAAAAAACTATTTTAAATCTCATACGGGACCAAAAAAGAGCCCATAGGGCCAAGACAATCCTAAGCAAAAAGAACAAAGCTGGAGGCATCAGGCTATCTGACTTCAAACTATACTACAAGCCTACAGTAACCAAAACAGCATGATGCTTGTACCAAAACAGATATATAGACCAATGGAACAGAATAGAGGCCTTAGAAATAACACCACACATCTACAACCATCTGATCTTCCACAAATCTGACAAAAACAAGCAATGGGGAAAGGATTCTCTAATAAACGGGGCTGGGAAAACTGGCTAGCCATATGCAGAAAACAGAAACTGGACCCCTCCTTTACACCTTATAAAAAAATTGACTCAAGATAGATTAAAGACTTAAATGTAAAACCCAAAACCATAAAAACCTAGAAGAAAATGTAGGCTATACCATTCAGGACATAGGCATGGGCAAAGACTTCATGACTAAAACTGAAAACAATTGCAACAAAAGCCAAAATTGACAAATGGGATCTAATTAAACTAAAGAGCTTCTGCACAGCAAAATAAACTATCATCAGAGTGGACAGGCAGCCTACAGAATGGGAGAACATTTTTGCAATCTACCCATCTGACAAAGGTCTAATATCCAGAATCTACAAGGAACTTCCATGTACAAGAAAAAAACAACCCCATCAAAAAGTGGGCAAAGGATACGAACAGACACTTCTCAAAAGAAGATACTGATGCAGCCAACAAACATAAGAAAAACAAGCTCATCACTGGTCATTAGAGAAATGCAAATCAAAACCACAATGAGATACCATCTCACACTAGTTAGAATGGCAATTATTAAAAAGTCAGGAAACAACAGATGCTGGTGAGGATGTGGAGAAATAGGAACGCCTTTACACTGTTGGTGGGAGTGTAAATTAGTTCAACCACTATGGAAGATAGTGTGGTGATTCCTCAAGGATCTAGAACCAGAAATACCATTTGACTCAGCAATCCCATTACTGGGTATATACCCAGAGGATTATAAATCATTCTACTATAAAGACACATGCACATGTATGTTTATTGCAGAACTATTTACAATAGCAAAGACTTGGAACCAATCCAAATGTCCATCAATGATAGACTGGATGAAGAAAATGTGGCACATAACACCATGGAATACTATGCAGCCATAAAAAAGAATGAGTTCATATCCTTTGCAGGACTTGGATGAAGCTGGAAGCCATCATCCTCAGCAAACTAACATGGGAACAGAAAAGCAAACACCTCATGTTCTCCCTCATAAGTAAGAGTTGAACAATGAGAACACATGGACACAGAGAGGGGAACGTCACACACTGGGTCCTGTCGGGGGATGGGGGACAAGGGGAGGGAAAGCATTAGGACAAATACCTAATGCATGTGGGGCTTAAAACCTAGATGACAGGTTGATAAGTGAAGCAAACCACCATGACAAATGTATACTTATGTAATTAACCTGCATGTACTGCACATGTATCCCAGAACATAAAAAAAGCATTCTTTGCACATAAAAAAAGAAATTGTTATAAAAATTTCTATTCAGAGAACGATTTGACATCTTGTAGGTATCATCTCTTCAGTTGACCTTTCCTCACTTAAGTGGAGAAACCACTTAAAATCGGTGGAACACTATTTTAACCAGGATTACGTGACTGTGCCCAAGTTCAATATAAAAGCATGTTGATTAGAATTGAAAGAATTGTGAATATTGTGATATCTGACATAAGATGTGGGAGAAACTAAGGGCATGCATGTCATTAAATTGCTGCTCCTGATAATCTAGAGAATTCTCTTCATCAATTAGTCTATTAACGTCAAATATTATAAGGACAACATTAAACTTATCCACATTTTGAAAGTATTCCTTTGGTTCCTGCTCAATCTACACATCAATGAATAAAACATTAAAAAACAGCAGCCCTCATCAATTTATATTCTGTTGGTGGGAAAATAGATAATTAAATAAGTTATATAGGCAATTATCACATAATAGTGCTATAGGAAAATACAAAGTAGTGGAGAGAGAATATGGAGTGCAAAAAGAAGGGGACAGCTAGGGGGGAAAAAAAGACCAGTGAAGAGCAAGTTGAGAAGTTGAGAAAAAACTGAAATAGGTTAACCCAGTTTCTTTCACGTGGTCTTAATTCTAAAAACTGTTTCTTCTGCATAGATAAGTAATTCAAAATCATTGGTATATTTCCTTACCATATATAAGTTTAGAATATCTGTCAGATTCATTATGTTGTAGTTCCTGAACATAATACAGAAAAAAAAAACTTACCAATATTTAATCTAGTAAAACCAGTGCTTTTCTGCAGTTGGCTTTTGTCTCAATAATCCAAATTCAGGTTTCATTACTTTTGGTGAATAAAGTACAATAAAACTTTATGCTCCAAAACATAACCACACACTCCAAAAATTAAGAGATATACCTTGCTATCATTAATGGTTATCTATAGACAGGTAAAATTGTAAGGTTTTTGTTTGTTTGCATGTTTTCTTTATGTAGGCATTTTTGGCTTTTTTAAAATTTGGGGTGTATTACTTTTGCAGTTAACAAAAACAAAATAAAAGCTGCATTTAATCTTTAAAACTCATAATGGTAATAGAATTGGGTCAAAGGAAGATTCAGTGATGGCTCTTTTCTTTTTTATTGTTATTGTTTTGGGGTTTTTTAAATTTTTTTTAGTACTTGCAACAATGAGAACAAAAGAATGCAAGGAATTTTAGGTACTTAAAAAACCTCAAATTACATAAAAATTAACATATATTTAATGAAAAATAAAAATTAAATAGATATTTAATGAAAAATTCCACACAATTACCAAAGTTACCTAGTTTTCATTTAGTTGTTCACAGTGGGAAAAAAAAAAAAACCCAGCAATTTTCTCACATGATTTCAAAATACAGGAATGAAGGTATTTCTGTTAGGAATTACTTGGCAAGAAGACTTGAGTTTTCATTTACTTTGGGAACTATAGTGATATGGTTTGGCTCTGTGTCTCCACCCAAATCTCATCTCAAATTGTAATTGCTGGCCGGGTGCGGTGGCTCACACCTGTAATCCCAGCACTTTGGGAGGCCGACACGGGCAGATCACAAGGTCAGGAGTTTGAGACCATCCTGGCCAACATGGTGAAACCCCGTCTCTACTTAAAAAAATACAAAAATTAGCCGGGCATGGTGGCACGTGCCTGCAGTCCCACCTACCCGGGAGGCTGAGGCAAGAGAATTGCTTGAACCCGGGAGGCAGAAGTTGCAGTGAGCCGAGATGACGCCACTGCACTCCAGCCTGATGACAGAGCAAGACTCCGTCTCAAAAAAAAAAAAAAAAAAAAATGTAATTCCCATGTGTCAAGGGAGGGACCAGGTGAGAGGTGATTGGATCATGAGAGCAGTTTTTCTTCTATGCTTTTCTAATGATAGTGAGGGAGTTCTCAGGAGATCTGATGGTTCAAAAGTGACATTTTCCCCTGCACTCTCTCTCTCTCCTGCCACCGCGTAAGATGTGCTTTGCTTCCTTTTCACCTTCTGCCATGATTGTAAGTTTCCTGAGGCTTCCCCAGCCATGCAGAACTGTAAGTCAATTAAACCTCTTTCCTTTATAAATTACCCAGTTTCAGGTAGTATCTTCATAGCAGCGTGAGAACAGACAAATACATATAGCTGGACAATGTTCCTGGTTTACTGATTTCTTTGCTGAGCCTGTGCATTTGTAATGTGATGTGTGTACTATCCATGACGATGGTAAAGCAAAGCAGCAGAGTTGGCTTCCAAGTAAAATCATTTGGTTTGCCTTTTGCCTTGGCAGTCAGGAAGATCAGAACAAATTTAATATATTTTACAAATCTCCCCATATAGTTATTTTTTTATTTCCTCTACATCTTTTCATCTCAATTTTTACCTTTATTTTGAACTGTCCTATTGAAAATTCTTTTACTGTAAGTCATATCAAATCTGTTTGGAAATATTGGTGGTGTAAATTATAATAAGCATATTGTTAGACTACATGGCTTCATCTTTCTGGATATAAACTTTATTTACTACCCATGAAAATCAACTTCCTGCATCAAATAAAAAAGATAATAAAATGGATCATAAGGTTTCTGGACATCAAACATTTTCCACCAAATAATATTTCAATGAGTAATGTATAACTGAATCAGAAATAGATTTAATTTCCCTTGAAATTTACATGGCTTTAGATTGAACCTAGCACATTATTTGCTGACTTTGCTAAACCCAGATAGAAAGGGAATTAACTGAAGTTTTCTAAACCAACAAAATTATAGTTTTTCTGTTATAACTGAAAAAGGTCAAAATTGAGAACTATTATAATAACATAATAGAAAATATAAAGACCTGCAAGGAACTAATAATAAAATGAACTCCTTTATTGTGGGTTTCCTTACTTCAGTGACCAAACTTGCATATGAAAACTCCTTCATAATACCTGTTTGTAACCATAATTGAAATTAAAATCCCATTCCATTCTTGATTACTGTGCCATCACAGCCTTTTGTGTGTTTTCTCTTGTACTATGCTAAGCTTAAATGCAAACCAAAAAAAAATCTGTACATAATACAAGCTTACTACCAGAATCCTGGATAGGCTTAGAAGTCAATCTTGTCATTTGATGAATTTCTGTCCCAACTTTATTAGAGATATTGTGGAAAACAGGAAACAAAAGCATACACTAAAGACATTTTTCCCCAGTGGCCACTTCTTGATTTTTAAAGAAAGAGAAATTAAGTATTTACATTACATGTTTTCCCTTCAAAAAAATCTCTCGCAGAACCAGAAAAAGTTGTCCTAAACAATGGGTCTCTTTCCAATTTCATGATATTGTAAACCTTGTAATAATTATTTCTCTTTGCCATGATGGTTGCAACTCATCTCCAGCATCTATGCAAGACTCTATAACATGAATTCCTGTGTATAAGTCTTTGAGGTTTAACTTTTGTACAATTTACTCTTTTGAAAACTATTCAATAACATCCTTCAGCCATGTTTCATATGGTAAATTAACCTTTTTAAACCTCCAGTCAAATGACTGTTTTCACCTGTCTCAGTGTCATTTCCTACAAAGTAATAGTTCATCTTTGGCCAGCAAAATTATCTGGGTTTGTGCAGTGAATTTGCCCTACTGTTGTCTTTCCAGAATTATTTTAATGTGATATTGAATTTTGTATATATCCTATAAAAAAGTTCAAAATTGAAAATTAAAGGTGCTTATGGTATGGATAAGAAGTGGATAGTCCATAAACAATTAATGAAAAATAAAATGAGAAAGATAAAAATTAAGTACAATAAAGCATTAAATCAGCCCTAATACCATACTCAGTGTGTTGGTTGACTGGATATTCAATTATGAAATAAAAGAACACAATTTTAAAATGTGAAATACTGGAAATGTATTATCTAATACTTGAGATTAAAAGTCAAGGAAGATTTTCTTTAGTATACGTCTTTGGGTCACTTTGCAGTACAGCTTTTATAAACACTTTATAGTAACTTTATCCCCCTTAATTCATCTAGTTTGCTTTTCTCTTTTGTGAACTATTGAGCTTACTTGATGCTTTGATAAGGTTCCTCATCCTTTTTGGAATGAAGAGAAAGATACAATTTGCAATTAAATGTTTATTGAACAAATGACAGCTCAGTTACTGTTTTTTAAAGTACCGAGGAAAGTTACTTGCATTTGTTCTGCTCTTTGAGTAGAGTGTTGTGATAGAAGGTTATGGACTAGAAAGCCAAAAAGATTTAGATAAGAAATTATAGGCAGGCCACTTAGTCCCACTGAATTTGTTTCCTTTTTTGTAAAAACGGGGATAATGCTACCTTCCCAGCTATGTGCATTAGGTGAAATAGCCTGCGTTTGTCATATATAGTAGTTATTCTGTAAGTGTTTGCTACTACTGTGATGACCATATGTAACTTACTGCTCTGTGTTATTAGTTTTGCTTCAGCTACTGTGTGTTCGTGTGTGTGTGTGTGTGTGTGTGTATGTACATACTGTATGTATATAGATATATAATTATATAAAACATCTGATGTCTCTGGTTAACTTTAATAAAAGAACTTACATATTTGTGGTTAATTCTCTCACAAAGATCCCTTCGGAATTTAATATAAAACAAATTGGGAGTAAACTACTAACACTTTGACTCACATAAATGATTTACCCACAATTAGGGAGTCACCTGGTTGTCTGTCATTCTAAAAATATATGATACCATGTTGTCATGGATAAAATAATTTTGGAAAGGAAAATACAAGAATTGGTCTCTTCACAAATACCTAGAAAGCCCTGAAAAACCGCCTGCCTAAGGATAGGAGGCATGCCAGTTAGTCTCTAGTGACTCCCTTTGGCAGAGCCAATAAAGGAGCGCTGAGCCTGCTGGAGGAGCAGCAGGCAGTGCTGAGAACGTCATTACAAGGACCCAAGCCTTTGAAGTAGGGGGAAGTGGAATGGGATCAACATGTTTCAAAAAGCAGGAAAAAGTACTTCTCCTCCAAAGAAAAAGTTTCAATTTACTTTAATTACTGACACTTATCTCACCTTGCAAGCTCTAATTATGTAAAGCAAATGCTTTGGTGGTTCTCTTTTAATGGTGCTATTTTGGTACAGGACAACCATTAAATAATTTATAACTGGAGATGGTCTCAGGAAGACTCCTCTAATCCAATGCATATTCCATCAGACAGGAAACAATGCCAACAAATGAAAGCATTTTTCACAATTTCCAATCTCCTTTTTCATTTAATTCTACCAATCATGCTTGATTAATAAGATAAAGAAACGTATTAGAATAGAACTGTTCTTGGGAATAGTATTGTATATGATTTTAAGAAATGCTTTAGTGTGCTGCATGTAATGTGGAGTCCAATCCCAAAGTTACTGAACTGCCTTCTAAGGAAGGTAGATCCAACTAATTTCAGATTTTTGTTTTTGGTGTTTGTTTTGTTGAGCACAAAGATAAGCATGACATGCAAATTTGGCCCACGTAATAGAACTGCATTAGTTCTATTACAACTTCTGTCATCAGAGAGTGTGACAGAGATTGATGGAGAGTGTTGACAGGCAAGAGGGGCTTTCAAAGAGAGTCAGTCTGAAGGGGATTATGAAGCTATTTGCTATAGGACATATAATATAGAGACTCTTCTTGCTTTCTCTATGAAGTCTCCAGAAGTTTCTAAATGACTTCCTCATATTACAAGTGGGTTCTTTCAGGATAGTGAAAGAGGCAGATGAGCTGGCAACAGACCTATGCTATTACTAATGATAACACATACAAGTCTCAAACTATTTTAACACATCCATATTAGAGTGTAGTAGTTAAGAGTGGATTATTGTGTCTGCCTGGGTTTAAATCCAAATTCTACGTCTTACTAGTTCTATGAACTTGGGCAAGTTACTTAACTTAAACTCAACTCCAGATTCCTCAGCTGTAATATAGGAATAACAA
Organism: Homo sapiens; assembly: GCF_000001405.40. NCBI lineage: Eukaryota > Metazoa > Chordata > Mammalia > Primates > Hominidae > Homo > Homo sapiens. The sequence goes on along the minus strand of NC_000002.12, from coordinate 210,268,263 downwards.
TAATGAGCACAAAAATTTCTACCTAACAGAGTTATGATATTTGAGATGATTCACAAGAGGCAGTTAGCATAGTGTCTAGCTGTCACTAGATACTGGCCATTGTTATCATCATTGTAAGGACTACAGAAGATCCAAACTTTTACTTCCATACGTTTGTTCCTATTGTTTCATCCATCAGGTGTGTCCTTTCCCCACTTCTCTATAGGGATAAATCCATTTATCCTTCAATATTCAAGTTATTCATGCCCTTTTAGTTGAAGATGTCTGTAACCTATTCCTTCCCCACACCCAAAACATCTCTGTGCTTTTACAGCACTTATATTGGCAGTGTGTTAGTTTCTGTTCTTCCCCAATGGTTTGTGGCTCTGTTTAGAACACATATTACATAGTTAACGATAGCTGACAATGTAACCCAAAGGTAATGATTAATAAATCTTGGTCAACAGGAATGAACTGATTTACTAAAATAAACTTACTTACTTTTCTGATAGATAATCAGCATGGGGGAAAAATTTTGTCAAAATATTAGTGGGAATTGTTTTTTACTCTATCTCCTTTTCCCTCTTCTACCATCAGACATTTACGAGACATCTCTTATATGTCAACTATTGGGTCTTGAATCCCAAGGTCAGTAAAAAATGGTCTTATTCTTAAGGAGCTCACAGTCTGGATAGGGAAATAGACCCAGACATAAATAATTACAAGGTAAACTGAGTTTCAGCATGTTGTGGGATGTTTGTGGTTTTGAGTGGTTTAAGAAATTCAGAAAAGTTTTCCTAAGATTTGCTTATAAATTTTAGAAAGGAGATTCTCATGGATGTTTATTTATACAAAAATGCCAGATAAAGCAATTTTTATAAGATGCTAGAGAGTATGTAAGCTCTCTAGAATCTGCAATTTTATATGGACAGGAAATTAAAGGCAGAAATTATTAAAAGACTTGTTCAAGTTTGCTAAAGGCAAGATAAGGATCAGAACTCGTACATCCTTACTTTGCTTAGGGTTCTCTTCAGCACATCCTTCTGCCTCTGTTATATGGCAATAGCTGTTGAGATTCTATCTCATGACTAGATTAGTAATATGCTATTTTAGCTAAGACATAGATTCTTGTAAGGCAGAGATAATGTCTATAGAGGATATGGGGGATTTTGACTTTCCAGTATCTGTTCCTTCTTCTTAACCACATCCTAATTTTCTTTGAGGAATTACCTCCACCCCCATTGCATTCACCTTGGTGGGACAGTAAATAGAGTTGCCTTCTCTTCTCCCACCAAAGGGGACTTGGGTCCTTCTCTACAGCTTTTCTCCTGTGGTCCAGATAAGATGTGAAGCACGATGTAGCAGTCAGAGTTCTCCAGAGAAATAGAGCCAATGGGAGATAGATACCTATTTACCTACATAGATAGATACCTAGATAGGTAGATATACACACATCCATTTGTCTATCTATCTCTATATATTGGTAGGTAGCTAGATAGATAGAGAGATAGAAGTTAACGAATTGGTTCATGCAATTGTGGGGACTAGCAAGTCTGAAATGCATAGGGCAAGCCAGGAGGCTGGAGATTTGAGTAAAGTTGATGCCACAGTTTTGAGTCCAAAGGCTGGAAGCTTAGGCAGAATTTCTATGTTGCAGTCTGAAGGAAGAATTACTTCCTCCACAAGTGTCCTCATTTTTGCTCTTAAGACCTTCAACTGATTGGATAATTCTCACCCACATTACAGGAGTTAATCTGCTTTACTTAAAGGCAACTGATTATAAATGTAAATCACATCCAGAAAACACCTCTTCAGCCACATCTAGAATAGTGTTTAACCAAACAACTGTTACGATAGTCTAGCCTAGTTGACACATAAAGTTAACTATCACAGGTAAGCATGTGACCTCAATACTAACAGGACAGTTTCTTCTAGTGTCTGAATTCTTCAGCAAAGTGATTCCATGACAGAATAAATTATTAGAGGACATTCGTTCTAGAGCAACAGTCAGGTAAAAATGTATCAGGGATAAATGTTCTAGGGATCATCTTCATTTGGGAATCACCACAATTCTGTTTCAAGCCTGGTCCTCCAAACTTCCCTGTGACCTGGAAGCCTCTCCATATTCCTCCATTAATTTTCATTTATTCTAAAGGAAGCCAATCAGATTGTATGGCTTGCGGGTCTAGAAACCTCCAATAGCACCTTTTTTTAGACTAGTCAAGTACAATAGTAAGAAGAGGGAAAGAGCAGAACAAGGAACTGGATCTTTAACTGACTGTGACCAATCAACTGAGCTAACTCACCACCTTCAGACCAGCCTAGAAACTTTTTGAGTATTTGATTTTGCATGAGGCCTTGGTTTCACCAACACACCCAGCTTTTTTTTTTTTTTTTTTTAAGAGATGGGGTCTTACCGTGTCAACCAGGGTCATCTCAAACTTTGGCTTCAAGCAATCCTCCTGCCTTGGCCTCTCAGTGCTAGGATTACAGGTATGAGCCATCATGCCTGACCTCTACTGTTTTAAAAATACATAGTTCTAGGCTAGGCACAGTGGCTCATGTCTGTAATCCCAACACTTTGGGAGGCCAAGGTGGGCAGATCACAAGGTCAGGAGTTCAAGACCAGCCTGGCCAACATGGTGAAACCCCCATCTCTACTAAAAATACAAAAATTAGCTGGACATGGTGGTAGTTGTCTGTAATCCCAGCTACTCGGGAGGCTGAGGCAGGAGAATCATTTGAACCCAGGAAGCAGAGGTTGCAGTGAGCTGAGATCACGCCATTGCACTCCAGCCTGGGTGACAGGGTGAGACTCCCTCTCAAAAATAAATAAATAAATAAATAAAAATAGTTCTAAATAATAACCGAAAAGGCTATAATGTTAATTTACTAAGCAGTTTACATATATTTGGTTGTTTACTGATTAAAATCACCCTATGAGCTACTAGTACATAGTATTATTATTTCCATTTTAAATATAAGAAAGTCAAAGCTCAGGGAGATAAACTAACTTACTCAGCATTATACAACTGGGAAATAGCAGAGCTGCAATGCCCAGAAGGTCCAGGATGACTCCCTCATTCATCCCCTAAACCACCTCAAATGTTTTCAATTTTTTAAATTGTAGCTCTTTTGTATGGAAAAATATTTTTATAAGACATACATAAAATATCATTTATATATGTCTTATAAATAAATATATATTATATATAGGTTCTCAGATGGATACTCAAAAGGAATAATTGAGGAGAAAATAGTTTAAAAAAAAAAAACACCAAGAGAATAAAGTATCCAGGGACTGGCAACAATAGGAAGCCATTACTACCTTAGATCCCAAAAGAGAATGCTCCTTCTTCTCTTGCTTCCCATATTTCAATCTGCTGCAAGTGCCTTCTATTGACAAAATCCAACCAGAAGCCAAGGGACAAGGGAGTGTAGGTATTAGAGTCTGTAAATATTAGAGACCCTGGCCACAGAGCAAAGCAGGAAAGGTCAGAGAATGGATTCAGAGAGGCCCACAGAAACTAACTGGGGTACTTTCTTAATAGAATGCTGAACAGTGTTTTCTTGAAAACTTATCATCATGGTCCTCATCAAATCAACCTTCATTATGACCTCCTATTGTTAACACAAATAGAGACTACAGAAACTTCCCTAAAACTTCCCTTCTCATGCACAGCATGGCGAGTATCCCACAACCTCTGCAGGACTTGCTATGCCATTATGAAACAGTTCAGCCAGCAGCAATAATCCCCAGTCTCCCAAAATAAATAAATGAGTCTGTGTTGGAAAATGGAAGAGAGTTGTCAGGGTGCATGCACCCTTCAACCCACTGACATCAAACCAAGTAAGAGGACTGGCAAGAGAGCCACTCAAAGAACTTGACACAGGCCCCTGAAGTTAGGAAATCTTAAGGTCTTCCATCTAGACTTCTGAAAATGTCTGAATGGCCTTAAAAGTCTCTGCCTAGAGATGCATCTAAGGCAGCAATAGGAAGAGAAAAAGGGTACATAGGAGGAAACTGTACTGCCTCCTGCGCAGGGCAAGAGGGCAGAGTTTTGCCTTGGGCCAGGTGGACCTGTGGAGGTAGTCATCTGGGATCACTTTGAATCCCACTCCAGAGCACTGCCTGGAGGGCCTCTGAGACTCAAAAAGTGCCTGTGTCAGGCAGACTTGGAAGTTCGAGGTTGAGAGCTCAGCAGGATGAGCCAGAGGAGATGGCCGTCCACAGGCATGAAATGTGCATTCCCCACAGCCAGAGGGAAACCACTGCTCTACCACACCACACCAGCCACTGAAAGTTGTTTTCCTTTTATCTGAATCCTCTCCCCAACCCACTTACCAGACCTGTCCATCAAGGCTAAGAAAAAGCAGCTAGGGAGAAGGTCCACAGGAAGTAAGGAAGATAGAAGAGGCTGAGCCCATTTCTCACTACAGCTGTCCAGGCGTGAGTTGGAGGTAAGGGAGACATTTTGCACGGGATTTGGAGTCATTACAATGAATTGAACATTTTAATTACTAAGATAAAATTTTTCTTTTGACTGAAAGTAACAGGAATGGGTTTTGGTTTTTTGTTTTGTTTTGTTTTTTAGAGACAGAGTCTCTCACTAAGGCTGGAAATCAGAGGCAAGATCATAGCTCACTGCAACCTCAAATTGCTGAGATCAAGTGACCATCTTGCCTCAGCCCCCCAAGTAGCTGGGACCACAGGTGCTGCCACCACACCCAGCTAATTTTTTAATTTTTTTATAGAGACAGGGTCTTGCCATATTGCCCAGGCTAGACTTGAATTCCTGGACTTAAGCAATCCTCCTATCTCGGCCTCCAAAGTGCTGGGATTATGGATGTGAGCCACTGCAGTGGGCCCAGGAGTGTTTTTTATGGTGTAAGAGTAGAAAATTTACTGTAAATGATGGAGGATTTTGACCAAGAGGGAAGATATCAACAGAGAGAACCTTAAGGGGAGTAGTGAGGCTGAATAAAGCTGTTTCTTGGCTTTTACCCCCTCAACTTCAGCCCACTCAACAACAGTTATTATTGAAATACAATTCCTTTTTATCTTGCCTCTTTCAAATAAAAAGGCAATGATGGCTGTGTAGCTACACCACTGTCTTTATACTGCATCATACCATCCTCTGCAGAATTAATTATTAAATCAAATATCAGAAGAACTTTTCTGGCCAGGCGTGGTGGCTCACGCCTGAAATCCCAGCGCTTTGGGAGGCCGAGGCAGGTTGATCACTTGAGGTCAGGAATTTGAGACCAGCCTGGCCAACATGGTGAAACCCCATCTCTACTAAAAATACAAAAATTAGCCAGGTGTGGTGGCACATGCCTGTAATCCCAACTACTTGGGAGGCTGAGGCACGAGAATCACTTAAACCTGGGAGGCGGAGGCTGCAGTGAGCAGAGGTTGCACCACTGCACTCCAGCCTGGGTGACAGAGAGAGACTCTGTCTCAAAAAAAAAAAAAAGCCTTTTCCAAGTGATTTTCTTAACTCCCAAAATGTCATTTTCTTCTTTATTGATTTTGACCAGTTAAATTCTAAAATCCATTATTTGCATATTACCTATGCAATGACCATCACACAATCACCTCCTTGTCAACTTGCACCTGTTCAGCTTTTATTAAAGTTATTTATGGAGGATTATTTCTTTTTATATTAAAAGACATCCTTTTTATGTTAAGAATTTATCATAGAACAATTTGGATGTAGGATAATTTGCTACTCTGAAAAAAAATAGCAAAAGCCAATCACATTTTATTTCACTTTTTTCTCAAAATCCTTTTAATAATTGACCTTAAACAAAATACGAAGGATGGGCTACATTAAGCAGTTTATCTGTAATGTTTTATTTGTGTAACCTGAGTTATTCTAGGCTTTCCCAGATTGTGGGAACAGATGGGCTGACAATAACAGCAAAAAGCCAAATTTCACTAATGTTCTGTTTCCCATCCCCGAATTTATTGAGACAAGACATTCAGGCTCTTACAAAGGACACTCACTCCCGTCACTCTGCTCCCAGTGTTTCCAAGAATCCCCAGATATTCATGCACATCCTTCCTGCCAATCATACTGAGCACCCATACTGAACCACCATGTGCCTTTGCTTGGTGGCACCTGCTGTGTACTACCAAATCTGCTGGGTACTTGCCATTTTCCACAGGCATCCATTGGTCACCAGAATATTTTTTGGATACCCACAATTTGCCAATGTGCATCTGCTGCATTTGGCCATGTTCATTGGGCACAACTATCTCCTACCCCTATTGAGCCACTGAAAACTCTTAAGATGTCAAAATAACAGTCTTCTGTTTAGAATAAAAGATAATGCCACTTTACCCTTATGTTAAATTCTATTAAAGGGTCCCTACACAATGCTACTGCTATGATCAATATTTACAGTTTAAAAGAAATTTGTTTCAGTTAAAGTATGATTTTGTACCATGAACAGGACACTGTGTAAGGATATACAATTTGTGCCCAGATGAAGAGTTGAGTAGGGCCTGTTAGCCAATGTACTGCTGGGTAAGCCATTGGTGAGAGCCTATATCTCCTTGAAAGATGAGAAGACTTTTTCTTTCCACAAAGGAAGCATCATCTTGCTAAGCCAGAGTCTTGTGCTCCTGGGGCTGCATCTGCCCAAAGCAGGCATCTTATTCTGGTTTGCGCAACAGTGCTACGAAGACTGGCAGCAGGCTGGGGCACACACATTCATTTAGTGGGGCTGGAGTGAGGACCCAAACCAAGTGACAGCCACCATGTTGTATTTAGAATCATGCTTCTGTCTATTCACCCACCCCCAAGAACCAAGAACTAAGGCTTTCTTACTTCAAATATATTGTGCACATCTTCATCTTTCCTCAACAAATTTTCGCAGAAGGCTCCTGGGTCCTCCTTGCAAAGGAGCTTCTCAAAAGCTCTCTCAAATATGTTTGATCAAAGATGACCAAATATAGATAGTACCCCTTAGACTGAAGCTAGACTCCTACTATCATTAAATAGTTCTGTGCAGTGTCTGAATGCTTGATGTGATTTTTCATGAAATCTTTTCTGTCATAATATTTTATATTTTGAGGAACACCTTGTTCCGTAAACTGAAGAAAATTAACTATACTTCCAGGGTTCACATTCACCTTGGGCTGCAGTGTCCTGCCCTTAAGATAGGCAAGTTCGGCTGGGATGGTGGCTCACACCTGTAATCCCAGCACTTTGGGAGGCCGAGGCGGGTGGATCATGAGGTCAAGAGATCAAGACCATCCTGGCTAACACAGTGAAACCCCATCTCTACTAAAAATACAAAAAATGAGCCAAGTGTGGTGGCGGACGCCTGTAGTCCCAGCTACTCGGAAGGCTGAGGCAGGAGAATGGTGTGAACCCGGGAGGCAGAGCCTGCAGTGAGCCGAGATCGTGCCAATGCACTCCAGCCTGGGTGACAGAGCGAGACTCTGTCTAAAAAAAAAAAAAAAAAAGGGCAAGTTCTCTATGGAATGATCATAGCAAGCATGGAGATACAGCTTGTTCCTGCACAGATCTTTAAGTGACATTTGCAGACTTGAGAAGGACTTTTATTTAGTCAAACAAGCACTAAATTTAACATCAGAAGATGTGAATTCTATTATTTCCACTGGCTCTGGCCACAGTCCAATTTTCTAGGCCGTAAAATGATGGCAAAACCAATTCCACTTATTTTACATGATCGTTACAAGTATCAAATGAAAAGAATTGAGGAATGATAAAAGCACTGGACAAATGTAAGTCATCACTATCATCTGCTAGCCACAAAGACCTAGAAATATTTTTATAATTAAAAACTTTATATAATGATGCCTATTTAAATGTGATATTTTAAAAACACATAAATAGAAACTATATTTCTCCTGTTTATCACATTTTTCAAGTACTTTTACTGCCAATTAAATTTCAAAGTATAATTATTCCTTTTATTAAAAATTATTATTTAACTTGCTAATGTCATCAATCATTTATATGCATACCTCCTCTCCCAACCTCAGGATATATGTGGAAGGAGCACTGGACAGGGAATGTGGAGCCCTGCACACATTTCTTACTGGCTGTTGAATTTGAGCAGGCTGTGTCTCTTCAAGTATTTCCTTCTGGATCCTAAGATTTTAAGAATTTAAATAAACGGAAGCAATTTAACTATTGGAACACAGTCTTGCCCACAGATAGAACACTACATTCCCTTAAGAAAACCTAGGTTATTTCCTAGTATCTGCTATAGGTGGTTAGTGAAACTAAAGAGATAGAAATTGTTCTGGAACAGAGATGCTTTGGTAGTTGGAAGAAGGCAGAGTATAAGCAGGCTGCTCTGAGAAACAAATAAGCTGACTGAAGTTAAATGGGCATTAGATGTGGTAATCATGTCAGGTTCATTACTGAAAAACTGAAACAGAGAGGGCCACAGAAGAACTACAGACAGGCTAAGTGACAGAATACTCCTCTTTCACATCTACATTTTAAAAATCTTTGTCCCACTTATCTATTCATGTATGAAAGTAATTCCTTTTGCTTGTGTGTAAATCTTTTTGTGTTTTTCTGATTATTAGCTCTGAACTTTCAAAGAGTCAAAGCAAAAATGAAAATGATGGACTACATCACCATCACTGTTTTCTAAAAGGAAGTATTAACAATTTGACTGCATACACATATTTAGTTTATAGAACCCATTTCTAAGGGAAACTACGTCTAGAATGTAGCTTTTAAAAAAGCTAATGGGTTAAGACAAATATGTGAACAGTATTAAAAGTAATTTTCTAGTCTGTTAACTGTTGGAAGGTCAATTGGAGTACCAGTCAATGGTGTCAAAGCATAAAAACAGGAGAGGTTTGCATCACTTTTAAATTTCATACTATTTTTCTTCCACAATTGACCATGGCGTTTTAAAATGATGCACACATTGATTCCTGTGATTTTTGTTTTCTTTATTTCTTAGGGTATCTAGTAGGACTTTTTGAAACTTTATTTTTGTAAATTCACAAGTTAAAAGAAAACATATAGGAAGTCCCATGAATCTTTCATCCTTCCTCCCCCAATATGGACGTCTTGCATAATTATTGTACAATAACAAAAGCAGGAATTTGACATCAGTATTAATCCACAGAGCCTATTCAGATGTCACTAGTTACACATACATTCATTTGTACATGTGCGTATATGTTTGTAGTCCTATGAAATTTTATCACATGTGTAGCTTCATGCAATTGCCACCAAAATGAAGATACAGAAATATTGCATAACCCCAAGGCTCCCTCTTGTTACCTTTTTACAGCCACACCCTTCCTCCCAAATCCCTAACCCTTAATTTGTTCTCTATCTCTATAATTGTGTTATTTCAAGAATATCATAATTCATTTACCTTTACATGAATGCCTTGCACATGCATTTCTTGTATGCATGTTATACAGCAATAAAAATTTAAATGTTAAAAAAAGAATTTCATAAAAACAATCATTCATGATTGGCTTTTTTTGCATTCAGAATAATTTGCTCGAGGTCCATTCAAGTTGTGTTTATCAAACTGGGTTGTTAAAATCTAAAAGAAGTCATCGTTCTTCACATGTCTCATTTGAAAGTCAATCCATGAAACTCTAAATATTCATCCTCATTTGGTGTGAAAGAAAAACTGATTTACTTTTAAGTGAGGCAAGTATTTTCAGTAGGATCTCCTACTATTCCTGTCTTTTTTATTATTATTATTATACTTTAAGTTTTAGGGTACATGTGCACAACGTGCAGGTTTGTTACATATGTATACATGTGCCATGTCGGTGTGCTGCACCCATTAACTCGTCATTTAACATTAGCTATATCTCCTAATACTATCCCTCCCCGCTCCTCCCACCCCACAACAGGCCCTGGTGTGTGATGTTCCCCTTCCTGTGTCCATGTGTTCTCATTGTTCAATTCCCACCTATGAGTGAGAACATGCGGTGTTTGGTTTTTTGTCCTTGCGATAGTTTGCTGAGAATGATGGTTTCCAGCTTCATCCATATCCCTACAAAGGACATGAACTCATCCCTTTTTATGGCTGCATAGTATTCCATGGTGTATGTGTGCCACATTTTTTTAATCCAGTCTATCATTGTTGGACATTTTGTTTGGTTCCAAGTCTTTGCTATTGTGAATAGTGCCACAATAAATATATGTGTGCATGTGTCTTCATAGCAGCATGATTTATAATCCTTTGGGTATATACCCAGTAATGGAATGGCTGGGTCAAATGGTATTTCTAGTTCTAGATCCCTGAGGAATCGCCACACTGACTTCCACAATGGTTGAACTAGTTTACAGTCCCACCAACAGTGTAAAAGTGTTCCTATTTCTCCACATCCTCTCTAGCACCTGTTGTTTCCTGACTTTTTAATGATCACCATTCTAACTGGTGTGAGATGGTATCTCATTGTGGTTTAGATTTGCATTTCTCTGATGGCCAGTGATGATGAGCATTTTTTCATGTGTCTTTTGGCTGCATAAATGTCTTCTTTTGAGAAGTGTCTGTTCATATCTTTCACCCACTTGTTGATGGGGTTGTTTTTTTCTTGTAAATTTGTTTGAGTTCATTGTAGATTCTGGATATTAGCCCTTTGTCAGATGAGTAGATTGCATCTACTTTGTCAGATGAGAAAGCCAAATCATGAGTGAACTCCCATTCACAATTGCTTCAAAGAGAATAAAATACCTAGGAATCCAACTTACAAGGGATGTGAAAGACCTCTTCAAGGAGAACTACAAACCACTGCTCAATGAAATAAAAGAGGATACAAACAAATGGAAGAACATTCCATGCTCATGGGTAGGAAGAATCAATATTGTGAAAATGGCCATACTGCCCAAGGTAATTTATAGATTCAATGCCATCCCCATCAAGCTACCAATGACTTTCTTCACAGAATTGGAAAAAACTAAAGTTCACATGGAACCAAAAAAGAGCCCGCATTGCCAAGTCAATCCTAAGCCAAAAGAACAAAGCTGGAGGCACCATGCTACCTGACTTCAAACTATACTACAAGACTACAGTAACCAAAACAGCATGGTACCAGTACCAAAACAGAGATCTAGACCAATGGAACAGAACAGAGCCCTCAGAAATAATGCCACATATCTATAACTATCTGATCTTTGACAAACCTGACAAAAACAAGAAATGGGGAAAGGATTCCCTATATAATAAATGGTGCTGGGAAAACTGGCTAGCCATATGTAGAAAGCTGAAACTGGATCCCTTCCTTACACCTTATACAAAAATTAATTCAAGATGGATTAAAGACTTACATGTTAGACCTAAAACCATAAAAACCCTAGAAGAAAACCTAGGCAATACCATTCAGGACATAGGATGGGCAAGGACTTCATGTCTAAAACACCAAAAGCAGTGGCAACAAAAGCCAAAATTGACAAACAGGATCTAATTTAACTGAAGAGCTTCTGAACAGCAAAAGAAACTATTCCTGCCTTAATACTGTTTCTTTGATCAGATAATTATGTTCAGAACATATGACTAACCACAAAAAAAGATCTTGTTCTTCCATCATTCTTCTAGATTAATTGGTCCAATATATCTTAGATTATACTTCATTCGAGCATTCTAATAAAATTATTACCAAAAATATGCTTCATAAGGAAAATAGAAATTATAAGTATTTCATCTCCAGTTAATGTAGTCATGATGGGCAGCAATATTCTTAAATTAGTTTATGGCAGAATAGACAACTGTTAATCTCTTAAAGGAAAATGCCCTGAATAGTTAAAGATAGAGAGAAGAAATAAAAGTGCACTCTCAATTTCTTAAGTTCATTTCATCTTACTTTAACTAAAATATAGCCTTTCCCTGAGAACTGTTTTCTCTGCAAGCAAAAATGTCTTGCTTCCTATTTTACTGAGAGAAGAAACTAGAAGAGCCGCCATAAGCTCTCTCCACCTCTCTACCCACCTACATGCATCTCTACCCATACGGTCTGCATTTCCTCCAGTTACTATGGAATAGCTGACTGTGACCACCCAGTTCACTTGTCCATCTTCTGCTTTCTCAAGAACATAACTTCTGGAATTCTGTCCCCCTCATCCCTCCAAGGAATTGTTACTTGTCCCTCTATTCAATCATTTCCATCAATATACATACTTGTAATATCACCCATGTTTTAAGAAACCTTAATTCCACTTTCCCCTCTATCTCTTACCCCTATTCTCTGCTCTCCCTTACAGTAACACTCCTTGAAAACATCTCTACTTATTGTCTTCAATTCCTCTTTTTGAATCTGCTAGGGTTTTATGCCCACCACTCCATCAAAACTGCTCTGATCAAAGCAATAATGTACTCCCATTTTTTAATTGAATTCTCAGACCTAAACTTAATTGACCTGTCAGTTGCATTTGACAAAATTGATCACTCCCTTCTCCTTGAAGTACTGTCTTCAGATCCCTATGCTTTCCTGGTTGTCCTCCTGTCTCCTGAAAGTTCTTTTGTTTTCCTAACTTCAACTATCTGGTTTTCTCTTCACTCACTTCCTAGGGGATCCCATTCAGTCTCATAACTTCAGGTACCATTTATATGCTGACAACTCTCAAATTAATTCTGTAGCCTAGCTATCTCCCTGAACTCCAGACTCATACAACAGAGTGTCTGGTCAACCTCTTCTTTTGGATGTTTCATAGTTATCTCAAGCATGAGATATCCAAAAATGAAATGCCAGTTTGCCCTTCCAAAGCCTCCTCTTCATATAGTTTTTCTCCTCTTAGTGAAAAACCTTGAAATAATTCCTGATTCATCAATTTCTCTCACTCCTCACTTCCAATCTATTAACAAATCCTTCAACTCTAGCTGCAGAATAGGTGCAAGTTTTGACCATTCTGCATCTTCCTCTACTACCAGCACTCTGGTTCTCAAGCTACCATAACTCAGTTGGATTATAGCAACAGCCTTTAGATTCATCTTCCTACTTCTATCATCATCTGTCTTACAGTCCATCCTCCACAACACAGCCACAATTATCCTTTTAAAATTAAATCAGATTATCTCACTCCCCTGATCAAAACCCTCAGTGCATTTTCTGCTCACTCAGGGTAAAAGCCAAAGACCTTATAATGTTCTACAAGGTCTTACATTATCTAGCTCTCACTACATCTCTCATTTCATCCATTATTCTCCCTCTTTTACATTCTCTTCTTGCTACTCTAGTCTCGCTGCTTCTTGAGCATGGTGAGTACACAAGGCCTTTAACCCTGTTATTTTCCTGCCTGGACAGCTCCTCCAAGTTACCCTCTTGGCTCCCTCCCTCACTTCCTGAATCTCTAGATGTAACTTATCATTGACCCTAACCAGCTATTCATCTCATTCTGCTTCATTTATATCTTTTTAGACTTTATCGCTTTCAGATATGCCATTATTTGTTTATTTAATATCTTCACCACTACTACCACCACCAGCAGAATGTAAGCTGCATAAGAGCAGAGTCTTTGTATACAGCACCTTGAACAGTTCCTCACACAAAGTAGGTACTCAATAAGAATTCTTGGAAAATATTTCTGATACAAAATATAGTTATACTAATTATCTTTAAAAATGAAAACAGATGTTTTGTTGTTCTTTTGAGTTAGGTTTTTAATGGAAAGAGTTTTAAATAGTTTCTTAATTTTGAGCATTTAAAACCTTTAAAATTACATTTATTGATATTCAAGGAAACTTATTTTGGTATTACCCTCAACCCAAATAGAACTAAAGATATTTACATCTCAGATTTTTAAAACAATATTTTTATGAAACAATTTCTGGCTCACAGAAAAATTGTTAAGTAGTACAAAGAACTTCCATGTATCTTTCACTAGATTCACAACCATTTTTATATGATACAAGACAAGTACAATGTTTCCACATTTGCTCTATTGTCCTCTCTCATGTTGTAGGGTCCCCAGTTCTCCCCCAACTGTCTTTCTGTATTCTGACCAAAAATCATGAAGTGCCTTGACCACTCTGTGACCCAGCCAGCTGCAGGCCTTTCCCAGCAGGCTTGAACCAAAACTGGGGCCTAAACATTCCCAGGTATCTAAGACATTGCCCAAAACACTGAAGCAAACTGTCCCTGCCCTGAGCCAAATTCCTTAAAATCTTAAACAAACTTCATACCCTGACCCCCTCACTGGCGACACACTTAGCAAGAACACCTCTTTTCTCTGTCATGAGGATTGCTGCAGCACTCTGTAAGTAACTTCCCCTAATAAATGCTTTGGCCTGATCACCCTGGCATTTACTGCTTCTTTCTTTGGAATCCGTACCAGCCCAAAACACACGCTTATACAAGGGAGTACGTTGCAGACATCATGCCCTCTTATTCCTGAATATTTCAATGTAATACTGATTTCTTAATGTCTACTAATTTCAAATGGGAATAAGTAATCTAAAATACCATTAGCTGACTAACATAAAATATAAGCCCACAATACAATTCTTTCTGATTGTGTTAAGAATAAAATAACACATATACTAAGTTCTCAGTTGCTTAATAAGTATGTTCTTTATTCCGCTCATAAAAGAGCATAGAAACACCTAGTAGTATAACTTGGTGAGCTTGGGCCAAAAAATGACACGTCCTATAGAAAAAGTAGCTTGAATTGGAGCTACTGGTCTTGTTTATTAGTAATATTTCTACTAGAAAAATGAATGCAAATTGTATGTTATTGTCATGCTGGACCCCTATTAACCTCAGCAGGGATGGCACCAGGTTTAAAAGGCCGAAGAAGAGACCCACATACAGCAAATAAGACATGGGGTTTCATTTGAGAGAACTCACATACCAGGGCAGTCCAGTGGTAGCAGTCTGAACAGGAGAACCGGTCACTGCTTGCAAAAAAGCATGCAGTTTATACAGCACTTTCGGTTAGCAACCGCCCCCACCAGCCAGCAACTTCCACGTGGCAACACTTATTTCTTCAGTTAAGTTATTGCTTTCAGGTGTGTCTGTTACACAGGGTCATTCTCAGGGTATGCTTAATTAAGAGATTGCTGTCACGTAAGTCTACCATACAGTGATAGAGGCAATAGATTATCACAAAGCTCTTAGGAATAAAACAAACAAACAAGCCAATGCAACAACAAATCCTTATAGCAATTCCCAGGTAAAGAAGAGTATGCAGAGTGAGGAGAAAGGGGGGTGAAAAATGGAGGAAGAATTTGAGCTGAACTGATAAGGGTGGCTTGGGTTCCAATGAATAAGAAAAGGAGAGGAGGGGGCTATCTTAAGAACCAGGCCGAGAGAAAGACCCAGAGACAAGAATGTGAAATGTGTGCTCAGGGAGCCACAAGGAGACTAGTATGGTCAGAGTGGAAATGTACATGTAAGAGAACAGCACAGAGACTTCAGACAAATGTGGTAGGGCCTGATTGAAAAGGACCCTGAGTTTCAGCCTATGGGTTTTGAACCCTTTGAAAGTGTTTAAACAGAGAAGTGAAATGAAACTACTGAAGTTATTTGAACAGAAAAGTAAAGAGCTCAAAGTGAGGCTCTAAGAATATTTTTAGAAAATTAAGAAATTGAAGAGGAACTGAATTGAGCCACTGTGCCCAGCCTACACCTAGGAAACATTTTTTTTAAAATAATTTATGTTCCTTCCTCCAGAAATTCTGATTTAAGAGCTCTGGAAGAATATCACAATGATTCAGCTGTATTGAGCCATTGAGAAGATAAACTATAAAGGATTTGTTGAATGAATGAGAAGTCAGTTATTATTTTAAAATTTTAGGCCTAAATATCTAAAATGTAGTGATACTATAATAAATCAAGAACCTCCTTAGAGGGTAATCTTTATGAAAAAGGGGACTACGTCATCTTTATTTGCCAATGAATTCCTAGTGACTAGCGTGGTGCCTGGTGGCTGGTGGTCATTCGGCCAATATTTGTTGAAAACATGAATGGATTAATTCAGGAGAATAAATGAAAAA
The DNA here is from genome assembly GCF_000001405.40 of Homo sapiens. Lineage (NCBI taxonomy): Eukaryota > Metazoa > Chordata > Mammalia > Primates > Hominidae > Homo > Homo sapiens. The sequence goes on along the minus strand of NC_000002.12, from coordinate 210,252,324 downwards.
ATAGTTTAGGACAAAATTAATTTTTGAGAGCATGAAGAGATAATCAGCAGACCACTAGAAATACAGACTGAAAGTTAGGAGATTGTTAAACTGAAGTGATCTAACATCTAAGCGTATTAGAAGCATCAATCTAACATTAGAGGTTTTAAAAACATACTTAGCACTGCGGATTTAAAAAAAAATAAGATACTGTTTTCATTTTCAAGATACTAAATCCATACTTATATTGCTTTTCTAGATGAAAGTGATAATTTGATGAGATTTTCAAAAAAGGTGAGCACCAGAAAATATTAGCAGAACAAACAGATGTCAGAATGGAGAAGGTTAAGAAATGTGTGGGAAACTGAAGGCATGAAATATAAGTCACCCTTTGAAGAAATTTGGAAATGAATGCAAAAATGGGAAATAGGACAATTAATTTAAGAATCAAAGGAAGGTTATTGCCATTTGGGATAAACAAAACTAATTTTTTTTTCCAGTATAAAAGGAATTAGGTACAGAAAGATTTGGCAATCGCCTTCCTTTTTGCTACTTCTATGTTCTTTACATGTTTCCTTTGTTGCCCAAATCATAACACAGTATAATTAGGTCTGTATTTCTGTGTCCCTTTCTTGACTCCTCCTTGACTATCTCATTCTCTTTTGTAGTCCTCGCATCTGGCACTTATGAGGCATTCAATAGTTTGTTAAGCCTGAACTGAAAACTCAAAATGAGAGAGGATAATTGAAGGAACACAATCCTGAAAGAGGTAGGTATGTTTAAGGTGGAGGAGAAAGCCTTGGGTAGGGGAGTGTGGTGGTGAAGACATTTCAGCCTTCGAGACAAGTAGAGAGAACTGGATCTGTAAAGTAAAGGCTCATTAGGAAATACAGCGGTAGAAAACTAAGGCAATCCCATTAGATGAAGTTGATTTGCTAAAGTAGGGGGTTGTCTTCTGAAAGGTGTGGAAGGGAAGCTGAGGAGAATATTAAAATCACCTAGGAAACTTTTCTTTTTGTGATGGAGTCTCTCTCCGTGGTCCAGGCTGGAGTGCGGTAGCATGATCTCAGCTCACTGCAATGTCTGCCTCCCCGGTTCAAGCGATTCTCCTGCTTCATTCTCCCAAGTAGCTGGGATTACAGGCATGTGCCACCATGCCCGGCTAATTTTCTTTTTTTTTTTTTTTTTAAGTAGAGACAGGGTTTTGCCATGTTGGCCAGGCTGGCTGGTCTCGAACTCCTGACCTCAAGTGATCTGCCCATCTCAGCTTCCCAAAGTTCTGGGATTACAGTCATGAGCCACTGTGCCCAGCCTATACCTAGGAAACATTTTTTAAAAATAATTTATGTTCCTTCCTCCAGAAATTCTGATTTAAGAGCTCTGGAATGAGACCCTTGGCTTTGACATTTGTAAAACTCTTGGGTGTTACTAATATGCAGCCAGAGATAAGAAGTGCTGGCTTGGTAGAACTTTAGTATTCAAATGCAAGTACTTAGCATCAATTACTCATACTGTCTAGATTTCAAAGAGAAAAAAATGACAGTAGACCAGGAAATGTCACGTCTACTAAGGCAGTGAATGTGATCATTCTGTGTACTATACTTCACTGACTCTCATGTCTGCTTCAGCTGGTATAAAAGAAGTTGTCAATTATGGTGCTGGTTTTTCTCTACAAGCTCACAGACTTCTGAGAAGGTAAGTTATCCTTAATGACATTTCTCTCTCAAGTTAGAGATTGGAACCCCTTTACTCATCTGAATGCAGTTTTTATTTTATGCAAGTTAAAATGCAAAATTTCATAAGCATAACAACCATGTTACTATTGAATACCGGATATCTCAGGTTGAGCAATAGAAAGATCTCCGTTTATTGATATTTTTAACACCATCGCAGTCACAAATAAGATCACTTCACATAGTTCTGCTAAGTCTCCAACCACATCATCAATAAATGGAACTGGGCCTGTATTTACTTAATAAACTGATTAGGGGAGATTGAATGCAGAGTGTTAAGGATAATAATAATCTTTGGCAAAGAAAGGGAAACTAAATGAAACACCAGTCTGCTTAGCTCTTATATAAAAGTAGTACTTGGTTAACATCCACAGTGAATAGAAACTTGCAACCTGCTCCTGGAAATTGTTCTCTTTTACTTTGCTTCAATTATTTACTTTACAAACTTCAAAAATTATTCTGAAACCACTCAATGTTTAGCCTTCCTTCGAAATTAATACAAAACAACTTTCTTTCATCCAAATTTAGTGTCAAGGATAATAGCTAACATTTTTTAGCTTCCTATTACTTGTCAGACACTGAGCTAAATGTGTCATTTCATTTAATCCTTATCATGTCACCACAAGATAACAGCTATTATTATTATCCTAGTTTACAGAAGGGGAAATTGTCAGAAAAACTTGCCCACGGTCACAGAGCCTGTAAATGGAAAAACCAGAATTAAACCCAAATCTTTTCAGCAAACGCTGGGCACGGTGGCTCATGCCTGTAATCCCAGCACTTTGGGAGCCCAAGGTGGTGGAACACCTGAGGTCAGGAGTTCGAGACCAGCCTGACTAACATGGTGAAACCCCATCTCTATTAAAAATACAAAATTAGGCCAGGTACGGTGGCTCACGCCTATAATCCCAGCACTTTGGGAGCCTGAGGCAGGTGGATCACGAGGTCAGGAGATCGAGACCATCCTGGCTAACAAGATGAAACCCCGTCTCTACTAAAAATACAAAAAATTAGCCGGGCGTGGTGGCAGGTGCCTGTAGTCCCAGCTGCTCGGGAGGCCGAGGCAGGAGAATGGTGTGAACCCGGGAGGCGGAGCTTGCAGTGAGCCGAGATCGTGCCACTGCACTCCAGCCTGGGTGACAGAGTGAGATCAGTCTCAAAAAAAAAAAAAAAAAGAAAGAAAGAAAAGAAAAGAAAAAAAAACATATATATGGTGGCATATGTATGTAGTCCCAGCTACTTGGGAGGTGGAGGCAGGAGAATCGCCTGCACCCGGGAGGCGGAGGTTGCAGTGAGACGAGATCACGCCATTGCACTCCAGCCTGGGCAACAAGTGTGAAACGCTGTCTCAAATAAATAAACAAATCTTTCAGCATAAGCTCAAGTACTTAACCACTGTGTTATATTATATATCGGAAATTAGAGCTGAAAGCAATTACATGTATCTTAATTAATCTGGGGTGTGGCAATTTCTCTGGATAGTCTTCATTTTGTGTTCTCACAAACTTCTTAAATTGAGAACTTACCTGTGTGAGAAAGTCTCCTGCTATTCTTTTGCACACAGCAAGAGAATGCTTTTACTATGTGGGTTTTTGTTATTGATTTTTTTTTTTTTAAGGAAAGTGTATGTTTCAGCCCACTTTCATAGTAAGGTATTTATAGGAATTGGAGACAAAGGGTTAGAGTAGTCAATACAAGTATATTGAAGGACAAAGGCTGTATAAAACTATGAAGTGCCTGTAGTGTTTAGATTTATGTTACTCTATTGCCATCTTCTGGTTTTATTATAAAATGCATTTTATAAATGTTGATCTGGTTGTACAGATAGGGAAGAAATATTTTCATAGCATTATGTATCACAGAATGTGAACTTTGCATACCTTTGGACTAAGCTCTTTGCTTTATATATAATTTACTCATTTGTTAATTCATGTATTAATTAAACAAATATTAATGAATCTAGGATTGAGCTGAGTGCCTGTGGGAGGAGAGCCAAGATGTGGCTCATTCCACAGGGAAAACCTAGAGCCTTAAGGAAAGTAAAACATTTATTCAAAGTCATCCAGATGTTCCACAGACATATGGCAGCCAGAGTTTATCATTACACAAATAAATATATATATATGTGTGTATATATGTGTATATTCCTTAAAGTTATATGAAGCACTTCTTTCAGAATATATGACTCTTTGAACAGTCATGTGAAGTAATACAAGAATACAATATCCAGCCCTTGTCTACACCCTTCTACTCTTATGCCCTGCCATTGTTCCCTTTGAATTTAATGTCCGACATCATTGAAACTTTGTAGTCACCTGCATACAAGTTGGAGAATATTGTTCATTAAAACACTATAGCATTGATACAATTTAATAAACCCAAATATATCTGTAGAACAGGACAAATACGAAATCAGATGAAATTATCCTGAACTTTTAATGCCTTAGAGTTGACATATCTATAAAAGAGGAAGCAGCAAACTGGTAACCCACTAACTGAAGCTAGCTAAATCCCACTTTGTTCAATCTGCATTGTGGATTTCTTTTCAATTACTTACAAACTTTCAAATATTAAGGTATTTATATAACAATCCTAGTTTTTTATTATGCTTGAAAAATGGAAAGATCTGCAACTGGATGAGCACTGCTAAATGGTAACAAATGGGCTGGCGCTGAGTAGACTTTGTCCTCTTTGGATGGGGCATGGATTCTCAGTTTGCCTTAGTCCCCACTAGATATCCCTATATAATCTATTTTTGTATGTAAAATTATTCTCTCTTTAATAGAATGTTTCAAGCATAAAAATATTATACAATAATATAACAACCACCTGAGTACTCACCACAAAGGTTTTCAAATATAAGTTTACAAATAGAAATGAACTATTTTGTAAAACTCTCCCGTGATCCCATTCCTGCCCTCCCCATCATGAAGTAACTGCTATTCTGATTTAGTTCTTATTATGTTGCAGGAAGTCAGGGACCCCGAATGGAGGGACCAGCTGAAGCTGTGGCAGAAGAACATAAATTGTGAAGATTTCATGGACATTTATTAGTTCGCAAAATCAAAACTCTTATAATTTCTTATGACGGTCTTTAATCTCTTAATCCTGTTATCTTCATAAACTGAGGATATATGTCACCTCAGGACCCTGTGATGATTGCGTTAACTGTACAAATTGTTTGTAAAGCATGTGTGTTTGAACAATATGAAATCTGATTGTAAAACATGGGTGTTTGAACAATATGAAATCAGTGCACCCTGAAAAAAGAACAGAATAACAGCGATCTTCAGGGAACAAGGGAAGATAACCATAAGGTCTGACTGCCTGCGGGGCCAGGCAGAACAGAGTCGTATTTTTCTTCTTGCAGAAAGCGAATAAGAGAAATATCACTGAATTCTTTTCCCAGCAAGGAATAACCCTGGGGAAGGAATGCATTCCCAGGGGTAGGCCTATAGACGACCACTCTGGGAGTGTCTGTCTTATGCAGTTGAGAGAAGGGATGAAATACGCCCTGGTCTCCTGCAGTGCCCTCAGGCTTACTAAGATTGGAAAATTCCAGCCTGGTGAATTCTAATCAGACAGGTTGTCTGCTCTTGAACCCTGTTTCCTGTTAAGATGTTTATCAAGACAATGCATGCCCAGCAGGACATGGACCCTCATCAGTAATTCTAATTTCGCCCTTGCCTTGTGATGTTGCTCTGCCCTTGTGATCTCTTATTGCCCTTTGAAGCATGTAATCTCTGTGACCTACTCCTTATTCGTACACCCCTCCCCTTTTAAAATCCCTAATAAAAACTTGCTGGTTTTGCGGCTCAGGTGGGCATCACGGAAGCTGCTGATATGTGATGTCGCCCCCAGAGGCCCAGCTGTAAAATTTCTCTCTTTGTACTCTTCCTCTTTATTTCTCAGACTGGCCAACACTTAGGGAAAATAGAAAAGAACCTACGTTGAAATATTGGGGGCTGGTTCCCCCAATATTATTATTCACATGCATATTTTATACTTTGATGACAAATGTGAATATTCATAAACTCAGTATACTATTTTTTAAACTTTTTATAATGATATGCTTTGGGTGTGTCCCCACCCATCTCATCTTGAATTGTAGCTCCCATAATTCCCATGTGCCATGGGAGGGACCTGGTGGGAGTTAACTGAATCATGCGGGTAGGTCTTCCCTGTGCTGTTGTCCTGATAGTGAATAAGTCTCATGAGATCTAATGGTTTTATAAAGCACAGTTTCCCTGCACACACTCTTGCCTGCCACCATGTAAGATATGACTTTACTCCTCCTTTGCCTTCTGCCATGATTGTGAGGCCTCCCCAGCCATGTGGAACTGTGAGTCAATTAAACCTCTTTCCTTTATAAATTACCCAGTCTCGGGTATATCTTTATTAGCAGCATGAGAACAGATTAATACGTATAAAGAGTATCTTATTATAGAAAGTCTGGGCCAGGCGCAGTGGCTCACGCCTGTAATCCTAGCACTTCAGGAGGCCGAGGCAGGCAGATCACGAGGTCAGGAGATCAAGACCATCCAGGCTAACACAGTGAAATCCCGTCTCTACTGAAAAATAGAAAAAAATAGCTGGGCGTGGTGGTGGGCACCTGTAGTCCCAGCTACTTGGGAGGCTGAGGCAGGAGAATAGCGTGAATCCGGGAGGCAGAGCTTGCAGTGAGCTGAGATCGCACCACTGCACTCCAGCCTGGGTGACAGAGCTAGACTCCATCTCAAAAAAAAAAAAAGTCTGTGCCCTGATTTTTTAACTTAGTGTTATATTTTGGTTTTTTGTTTTTGCTTTTTGTTTTGAAACTGGGTCTTGCTCTGTCACCCAGGCTGGAGTGCAGTGGCATGATCTCAGCTCACTGCAAACTCTGCCTCCCAGGTTCAAGCAATTCTCCTGCCTCAGCCTCCCCAGTATCTGGGATTATAGGCACCCACCACCACACCAGGCTATTTTTTGTATTTGTAACAGAGACACGTTTCACCACGTTGGCCAGGCTGCTCTCGAACTCCTGACCTCAAGTGATCCATCCACCTTGGCCTCCCAAAGTGGTGGGATTAGAGGCGTGAGCCACCACACCCAGCCAATTTAGTGTTCTATTTTTTAGATTTATCCATATTACCATTTTAACTCCAGTATAGCATTCTATTGTAGACTATGACAGAATTTATTTATATATTCTGCCTACTAATAAAGACTTAGGATACTTCTAATTTGTGTATGACTACAAATAATTCTGCAATACACTTATAGATGTCCTTTTGTGGGCAGATGTGTGTTTTTTCTAGACTGGTGGTTTCAAAGAGTGTGTTTCAGAATCACATGGAGGACTGGTTAAAACAAAGACTGGGGGGTCCCACCCCAGGTTTTCTAATTTCAGTAGATCACAAACATTCAAATAATACATTCATTACAACACAAAGGGTTAATTTTGCTCTTTAATCTAAAAATATTTTTATATATTTGGTCTTTTGTCATATTTTGATATTTTTCTTATTTTTTTCACATGTAGAAGCAATTTTTCTATATCATTCTTTTGTTACCTAAGAAATTTTACACTTTTGTTCTAGGGACAATTTTAGAATGATGTCTTAATGTAAAACCCATTGATCCTCTATTAACTCTCTCCTATGAACAATGATAAAATTAGTCTGTTTCATTACCTGTCCCTTAACCTTTCTCTTTCACCATTCATTTTTGGTGAATAACATTATTCTTCTAGTTGTTTTCCTTTGTACTATTAAACATGATTCCCTAATCAAAACTGCATGCAGTCCAATACTCATTCGTGATAAGAATTCCCTGCAAACTTAGGAGTAGAAGAGAATTTTCTCAACTTGATAAAGAACACCTACAAAAAAAAAAACTACAGCTAACATTTCACTTACTTTGATAATCTGAAAGCTTTCTTACTAAGTCAGGAAGAAAGTAAGGATGTCCCTTCTCACCACTCTTTGTCAACATTTATTGGAAGTCCTAGTTAATGCAATAAGACAAGAAAAAAATAAAAAGTATGTAAATTAGAAGGAAGAAATAAAGCTGTCTTTGTTCACAGATGATGTGGTTAATGTATAAAATCCAAAAGAATCGACAAAATGTCCTGAAACTAAAAAGTGATTATAGCAAGATTATAGGATACAAGGTTAACATACAAAAGTAAATTATTTTCCTATATAGTAAATTATTTCCCTATATATGAGCAATGCATAAGTGGAATTTGGAATTTAAAACATAATACCATTTACATTAACACCCAAGAAATGAAACACATATGTATAAATCTAAAAAAAATGTGCAAGATCTATATGAGGAAAAGTACAAAACTCTGATTTATTTTTATCAAAGAACTAAATAAATGGAGAGATATTCCATGTTCATTGATAGGAAGACTGTGACATTGTCAAAATGTCAGGTTTTCCCAATTTGATCAATAGATTCAGTGCAATCCCAATCAAATTCTCAGTAAGTTATTTTGCAGATATCAACTAACTGGACTCTAAAATCTACATGGAAAAGCAAAAGACCCAGAATAGCCAACACCGTATTGAAGGAGAAGAACAAAGTCAGAAGTCTGATACTACCTGACTTTAAGACTTGCTATTAAACTACAGTAATCAAGACAGTGAAAGAATAGACAAACAGATCAATGAAATAGAACAGAGAATTCAGACCCACAAAAACAGAGTCAACTAATATTTGACAAAGGAGCAAAGGCAATGCGATGAAGCAAAGATTCTCAACCAGTGGCATTACAACAACTACACATCCACATTTTAAAAAATGAATCTAGAAACAGACTTTACACCTTTTACAAAAATTCAAAATAGATCATAGACAGAAACAGAAAATGGAAATGAACAAAACTGTTAGAAGATGACATAGGAGAAAACCCAGATAACCTTGGTTATCACAATGACTTTTTAGACATAACGCCAAAGGCACAATCCATGAAAGAAACAACTGATAAGCTGGACTTCATTAAAATTTAAAACTTCTGCTCTGCAAAAGGCACAGACTGAGAAAAATACTTGCAAAAAGTGTATCTGATAAGGAACTGTTATCTAAAATATACAAACAATTCTTAAAACTCAGTAAGGAGAAAGCAGGTTTAAAACCTGATTTAAAAATGGGCCAAAGGCTTTAACAGACCCCTCATAAAAGAAGATATGCAGATGGAAATAAGCATATGAAAAGATGCTCCACATATGTTATCAGGGAAATGTAAATTAAAACAACAATGAGATACTACTAGCCACTGGGAATGTTTTTGAATGAACAAAATCCAAAACTCTGACAATACCAAATGCTGACAAGAATGCAGAGCAATAGGAACTCTCATTTCTGATGGGAAAGTAAAAAGATACAGTTACTTTGGAAGACAGCTTGCTGGGTTCTTACAAAACTACACATGCTCTTACCATATGATAAGCATTCACATTCCTCAGTAGTTATCCCCAATGAATTGAAAACTTATGTCTTACAAAAACCTATACCTGCGTGTTTATAGAGGCTTTATTCATAATTGTTGAAACTTGGAAGCAACCAAGATATCCTTTAGTAGGCAAACAGATAAATGAACAGTTGTACAACCAAACAGTGAAATGTTACTCAGCACTAAAAAGAAATAGACAATCGAGCCAGAAAAAGACATGGGAGGACCTTAAATACAAACCACTAAGTGAAATAAGCCAATCTGAAAAGGCTACATGCTGTATAAGTCCAACTACATGACATTCTGGAAAAGGCAAAACTATAGAGATAGTGAAAAGATCAGTAGTTGCTTAGGGATGAGCAAGGAGGAGGGAATGAATAGGCAGAGCACAGAGGATTTTTATTCTATTATTTAATTATTTTTCTTAGATATAATACTATAATGGTAGACACATATTATTATACATTTTTCAAAACCCATAGAATGTACAAACACCAAGAGTTGGCTCTAATGTAAACTATGGACTTTGGGTGATAATGATGTGTCAATGTAGGTTCATCATCTTAACAACTGTACCACTCTGGTGCACAGACATTGATAGTGGGGAGGTATACCTGAGCAGGGCAGGCAACATATGGGAATTCCCTGTACTTTCTGCTCAATTTTGCTATGAACCTAAAGCTGCTCTAAAAAATAAAGTCTATTTTAAAGATACAAAAACAAATCACACTGTATGCAGGCCTTCTGCCAACAGTTCAGCTGCCAACCCATTTTTTATTTTTTATTTTTTTTATTTTCTATTTTGAGATGGAGTTTTGCTCTGTTGCCCAAGCTGGAGTGCAATGGTATGATCTCAGCTCATTGCAACCTCCACCTCCCAGGTTCAAGTGATTCTCCTGCCTCAGCCTCCTCAGTAGCTGGGATTACAGGCACCTGCCACCACACCCAGCTAATTTTTGTATTATTAGTAGAGATGGGGTGTCACCATGTTGGCCAGGCTGGTCTCAAACTCCTGACCTCAGGTGATCCGCCCGCCTTGGCCTCCCAAAGTGCTGGGATTACAGGCATGAGCCACCATGTCTGGCCTGCCAACCCATTTTTTTTATAAATAAATATTGCTTTTGCAATTCAGAGTGAGCCCCTCACCTTTAGAAAGTGTATTTTTTCCTGGACTTTCTGAAAACTGCTGCCACTGGTGCTTTAACCATCCTCTGTGCTTCTTTTCACTTTTTCCTGTAGGCTTCTGCTCAATTTCAGCCCTACTCACATCATTTCCCACATATTTTTGCAAATGCAGGAGAAACTTTTTATACTTAAGGGCGAGTTCCTTACTTTCATGAAGCATATTTTTGTGGCTTTTGCCCAGTAGCATCCTGCTCTTGGTGGTTGCAAAGGAGGGTTATGTCTTTTGCATTTCAGGAGAGCCTTTTCTGCAAGCAGTTTCTTACATCCATCAAGACTGGGCCTTCTCATTTTTGTATGTACTTTTTTTTCACTTCTTTTGAGGTTTTTATCAGTTCATGGGTGGTTTGTGAAGACTGTATTTATGTTAAACTCTGTAAAATATTCTCATCTCCTAATTCAGGAGAATATTGAGCTTGTAAATTGTTACAAATGGAGTTTATAAGTTGTTGTTTGTAAGTTGTTAGAGTTGCTTTTTAAATAATTTTTATGAGTAGAAAGAAACATGTTGGCTCAAGTAGTCAGGTACATACCAAAAGCCTCCTATGGATACAGAGGTCATTTATTACACTTTATCTAGTATGTCTACATGTTTCATAATGGAAAGAGCAACGGATGCTATGAACTGGCCATATTCCCCACTTCAGAAAGGTGGCCCTCATCCCCAGCTCTGGGAGTGTGGTGGACTGACAGCTTTTAGCCCAACCTCCAATGGCAGCCCACATTCACCAGGTTGATGCTGGTCTATAAAGGCCTGGCACTCTTGTCTCAATTCACAACTCTGAAGGGTTATCCTATCTTTAGAGCTCCCTGTGGGATTGGCTGAGGCCCTTGTTGCTACAACATTACAGTTTAATTCCTACTCCTGACTAATCCTATTTTCTTTTCTCTTCACAGGTATTGATCTAAGACCACTCCTCAATAAACTTTCTACAGGCACATTTCCATCTCAAAGTCTTTTCTAGGGACACAGCCTAAGACCACTGGTTCGATATGTGGACTCAAGAGGCAAATTCTAAAATAAGACTTTTGGAGCTGGATCACGTCACCATTGGCAATGAGGATTCCATCACTGGAGGTAGAAAGAACATGAATATCCCCGAGCAAGATGTACCAATGCAATTGTTAAGACTATCATGAGTAATAAGCTCAGATGAGATGTAGATCAAAGTCAGTGCACTGAAATGAACCAAATCTGAGGCATCTGAGAAATTCAGAGGAAGGAGTAAATATTAGGCCTATGGTATTAGATGACCTTGGGGAATATACTAGTTTGCTAGAATCACTTTCTCAAAGTAGCACAAACAACAATAATTTACTGTCTCACCTCTGAAGACTAGAAGTCTAAGATCAAAATGTCAGCAGGATTGTTTCCATCTAAAAACTATGAGAGAGAACCTGTCCTATGGCTCTCACCTAGCTTCTGGTGGTTTTGCAGCAATGTTTCATGTTTCTTGGCTTGCAGAAGCACCACCTTCATCTCTGCCTTCACTTGGCATGCTCCCTTCATGTCCAAATTTCTCCTTTTTTATAAGAATATAAATCATATTGAATTAGGTCAAACACCAATAACCTTATCTTAACTTAGGTGATTACATATGCAAATACCTTATCTCCAAACACAGTCACAACCTGAGGTAATGGGGTTTAGCACATAAACATATTGGTTGGGCATGGTGGTTCACGCCTGTAATCCCAGCACTTAGGGAGGCTGAGGCAGGCGTATCATGAGGTCAGGAGTTTGAGAACAGCCTGGCCAACATGGTGAAACCCTGTCTCTACTAAAAATACAAAAATTAGCCGGGATGGTGGTGCACGCCTGTAATCCCAGCTACTCGGGAGGCTGAGGCTGGAGAATCACTTTAACCTCGGAGGCGGAGGTTGCAGTGAGCCGAGATCATGCCATTGCACTCCAGCCTGGGCAACAGAGTGAGACTACATCAAAAAAAGAAAAAAAAGAAAGGAAAGAAGGAAGGGAGGGAGGGAGGGAGGGAGGGAGAGAGGCAGAGAGAGAGAGAGAGAGAAAGAAAAAGAAAGAAAGAAAAGAAAGAAAAGACAAGAAAAGAAAAGAGAGAGAAAGGAAGGAAGAAAGAAGGAAAGAAAGAAAAAGAAAAAAGAAAGAAAGAAAGAAAGAAAGAAAGAAAGAAAGAAAGAAAGAAAGAAGAGAAGAGAAGGAAAGAAAGAAAGAAAAGAGAAAAAGAGAGGAAGGAAGGGAGAGAAAGAAGACATGAATTTTGGGGAACACAATTCAACTCAGAGGTGAGGGAGATATGTGTTAGGGAAAAATGAGAGGATATAGGCAAATTAAATTTAATTTAATTCTCAATTAAAGCATAGATGTATAAACTCGGACATTCTTGAAAAGATGTAAAGAGATTCTCATCTCTCTCATTTCAGGCAGAGGAACGGCTGAGGATCATGCCCAGGATTTGATTTCAAAGACATCAGTGCTCCAGAGAAAATTGAATTCTCAATCTTGGCAAGTTTGAGGGTTCACTAATTGGAAAGTACTGAGACCCTAAAACATAGGATGAGGACTTTGGTTTGAGACAATCAAGAATCTTGAATCTCAGGTCCTCCTAAATCCTCAGGGTCCGCAAAGGTGGCCCACTCCTCCCTGTTAAAGACTAGTACTCTCTAATGACTCAGGTGAAGAGGCTCTGTCTTGCAAAGCAATATGTACATCCTTCAAGATCTATTCTCATTCCCTCTCTTCTGGCCACAAGAACAATAACTCACGTTGTCACAATATAGTCTGGTAGAGGAAGTGCTGAGCCTACTAATATAGGAATAGAATTCTATCTCAAATGAGCCGCAGGAACTAGCCAACATGTACTGGCAGGAGGGATGAGAGTGGGTATGAGATTGGATCTTTACAGTGATGGACCAAGAAGAATTGAAAGTAAAGTTAAATAAAGAGAGGTAGGCCAGGTGTGGTGGCTCATGCCTATAATCCCAGCACTTTGGGAGGCCAAGGTGAGCAGATTACTTGAGGCCAGAAGTTCAAGACCAGCCTGGCCAACATGGCAAAAGCCTGTCTCTACTAAAATTACAAAAATTAGCCTGGCGTGGCAGTACACACCTGTAATCCCAGCTCCTCAGGAGGATGAAGCAAGGGAATTGCTTGAACCCAGGAGGCGGAGGTTGCAGTGAGCCAAGAGCATGCATTTCGGCCTGCTCACAGAGCAAGGCTCTGTCTCAAAAAAATAATAAATAAGGAGAGGTTGACAATATGGGAGCACTCTCCAATGATATAATATTTAACACCCTATAAAGGACTTCTGTAAATGGTGATATTATGCTGCAAGGATATTTTCAGACAGTGTGGAGAAAGCATTTGTCCACAGAAGTGAAATAGAAATACTAGAACTGACATGGCAGACAGCGGGAAAAGGAATCAAAAGACCCTTAGAAGCTGGCATGCTAAAATGGACATATTATGTAAGTCTGAAAAACCCAATAGAGGAGTATGTTGAAGGACACTCTGTCTACAAAAATAATAAATAAGGAGTTCTAAGAGAGGCATCAGCATCATTAAATTCATTGGTTTCTATCTCCCAGAGGCCAGGGTTGACAGCTATTACAGAGCTGAGCTCTTTCATAAGAATTGACATCATAGGCTCCTAGACTAATAGAGGCCAGATGGGGGTACTTACCGATGAGAAGCAAGATGAGCACAAATATTGTAATAATCAGTAAGGTTGAGGGATTAACCAGAGAGACCTGACCTGCAAAGAGAGAGACCTATGGAGATAATTAAAAGAACATAGCATAACTAGGAGCAAAACAGATGGGTAGCCAGCAAGGTATTGCTCAGCCTATAAAATCTAAACAAACCAAGACAGGATGATCAGGAGCTTGAGGGCAGTTGCTACAAAATAAAGTCACAGTGACCTCCTGCTCAATTTTCAGACGTGAGCTACTTTTCAGACCCAGAACCCTTTTCAGACTGAAGAGAAACTGGAGAAACAATCCTGAAACACCACAGCAAAAGTACACAATGATAGTTCCCTCATCTTCCCAAAAGGATCTATGGCCATTTACTCAGATGACAGAGAACTGTTAACATATATACTAGAAACCCAAAGTATTATCATGGCACCCATGACAGTGTGGTAATATATGGAATCCAGAAAATAAGTGGAGTCCTAGCCCAGATTTGCTTCACAGTGGATCCACTAGGTCCATGGACACACCACTGGTCATTCCCTAAATGTACAATGGAAACAGACATACATGGAATTTTTCAGAACTCTCACATTTGTATCTTGGCCTATGATATAAGAGCTGTTATAGTGGGTATATTAATTTTCTAGGGATACTGTAACAAAGTATCACAAATTGAGTAGCTAAATAAGAGAAATTTATTGTCTCACAGTTCTGGAGCCCAGAAGTCTGAAATAATATCAACAGGATTGGTTCCTTCTGAGGAACATGAGGGAAGAATCTGTTCCAAGCCTTCCTCCTTGGCCTGTAGTTGGCCATTTTTTTCCCTGTCGCTTCACATCATCTTCCTTCTATGTATGTCTGTCTCCAAATTTTCCCTTCTTATAAGGACACCAGTCATAGTGGATTATGAGTCTACTCTATTCTTAACTGATTGTATCTGAACAACACTCTTTCCAAATAAGAGTCAACAAAGGGGCCAGGAGCCAAGAAATGCAAGCAACTTCTAGAAAAGAAAAAGACAAGGAAATGGATACTTCCCTAGAGGATCCAAAAGGAACGCTTTGATTTTAGCCCAATGAAAGTGATTTCAGACAATAGAGTTGTCTGCATAAGTTCAATAATGGGTTTTTTAAAAACAGTTGGAGACATTATTTATTTTACCAAGGCTGAAACTAAAATAGCCTCTTTTTAGGTAAAGTTGCAGCAAAACTAACTCAAAAGGAGTCTTTATAGCCAATCAATTCTTGCTGCATTTTATGCAGACAATCAGGCAAGCATAATAAGCCTAAAACTCCCCTTGTACACAAGTTGGCCCTGCTATAATTTTCTCTTTAATAAAAAAAGGCAGCTAAATAAATTGTTTCAAGGGTAAAGTGTAACACTTAATACTAGATTTCGGTCTTTACTTTTTGAGTACAGATTAAATCATTATTTCTTGGCTACAATAATCCTCTAGAAAGTACCAGATTATAATTTTTCTTCATATTTTTAGTTGATGCCCTAATGGAATAGGTTCCTTTTCCAGACTCCCGACCTCCAGAACTGTAAGATAATAAATTAGTGTTCTTTTAAGACATCAAATATGTGGCAATTTGTTACAGCAGCAATAAGAAGTCGATACAGGAAGACAGAATTCTTAAGAGGTGAATGCAGTAAACTAGCGATTCTCAACTAGGACTCTGCCTTCCAGTCACTGATTCACAAAATCAGATGTGGGAGCAGGTATTTTAAAAATGTTCCTCAGGTGAATCCAATATTCACTCACAGTTGAATGAAAGCTTTCAGTAGGTAAATGAGAGATCAGAATTCAAAATTTCATGCAAGAAATAGGCCTTCTAAGCAAAAACTACATTTCATTACATCCTGGTAAGTATTTATAATTTTCTCAAGTTATTAAATCCCCCTACTAACTCAAACATTGTAACTAAATAGGTTGGGTACAAAGTCATAATTGCCAAAAGTACAATTTTGTGAATAGGTTTTTACCTTCTCACAAACTTACCACTTCATAAATTACAGATAGAGGCACTTTGCCAATATTCTTTAAGACTTTTCAGCATTTTACCTTCTGTACATGCCTAAAACTGTCACCAAATCTTTTTTGTATGTTTTTTGTTTGATATTTAATTAAGAAAACCAAAATCTCCATCTGCATAGGTCCCTCTACACTCTAATTTTGTATATCTCAAAATCCTTAGGAATCATCTGTCATTTCCGTAATGGCTCACTTGCCTGTTTGTATCCACTCATCAAATATTTTTGAGTATTTGGCACACATAAGACTCCCCTTGCACATCCTTTGTACTTGTGGGGATACACAGACAAATAAGAGATAGTCCCTACCATCAAGAAACTATTTCATCTGTGCTTCATTAGCAATGTGTAAATACCACTATAACTGTGACTTTTACATCAGCTTATAATGTCTATGCCTATTTCTCTCCCAAGACGGCAAGCTCTTGAGGGCAAAAACCAGATCATATTCATCTTTGTACCTGTAGAACTTGATAAATACGTGCTTCTGTGTGTGCCTGATTGACTGAATCAACCTGGATGGGGAATAAAGTAAACACAAAAAAAATTCACTCTGCAAATCAAATTTTTAAGATGATAATATGAAAAAAGTCACATTATATTCAGAGGATTTTACCAGATGCAGACGACAGATATGGCAAGGTCAAGGCCACATGGTCACCAAGCATTTCTTTCTCCTCCTGAGCATAAAGGAAGACAATATTTTTTAGACCCCTCACATCTAGATGGAGCCAAGGGAGTCCACGTGTGATCACATGATGAGTTACAGCCTATGGCACATACGTCAAAAGAGCATACGCCACTTCCAGGCCTGGCCACTAAAGTCCCCCTTTAGATTTTAGATCTGCTCACTCTTGCTTTCTTGGCATCAAGTCCAGGGGAAGACATTCTCTTTCCAGCCTCAGAATTGAGTTTATTTTCAGAGGACATGATTAACATGTACAGCTCTAAAATAATCACAGTGTGCAAGTCACAAACTTTCAGCTGGAAGAATATAGCAGCCCCATTATATCCGTTACCTTTTGCTGCAGCAGTGCTGCATAACCCAAAATCACAGAAGTTCAATGGCCTACGGTGATAAGCATTTATTGCTCACATGCCTAAGTCTGCTGAGATTTTGCTAGGAAGGCTCTGGTTCTTCTCATTGCCTTCTCACGGCGTGGCAGGAACACAAAAGAATAATCAGTAACATGCAAAGCTTCTTGAGGACTTGGTTCACTTTTGCCTAACTCTATTGGTCAAAGAAAATCAAATGTGTTGGAGAAATAAATTCCAACTTTATGGGAGGAACTCTGAAGGTATATACTAAAGAGTGTGGCACAGAGAAGGGTAAAGAACTGCAACTGTTGATGTAGTCTACCACATCCATGGGTAGAGTGGGAAGAGAATGTTTCTCCAAGGAAAAAGTGGCTGCAGTTAATAGAAAAAGTGGAAATAGGCTCTGTTTAGTAAGGCAACAGATGGCCACTTCTGACTGACAGACTTCAGGGAAAAGCAGGGTATCTGAAAATAGATGCTATATTACTTTCTCAGAGCTACTATAACAAATTACCATAAACTGGGGGTGGCTTAAAACAATAGAAATGTATTCGGTCACAGGTTGAGAGGCCAGAAATCTGAAATCAAAATGTCAACAGGGCAATGATTCCTCCACATTTTGCCTCTTTCAGCTTCTGATTATAACAAATTACCATAAACTAGGTGGCTTAAAACAATAGAAATTTATTCTGTCACAGGTTGAGAGGCCAGAGATCTGAAATCAAAGTGTCAGCAGGGCAATGATTCCTCCACATTTTGCCTCTTCTAGCTTCTGGTGGCCCCAGGCACTCCTTGGCTTGGGTATTGAAAGAAAAGCTTGGAAATATAATGTCCCCCACCACCCAATATGGTATGGCTTTGTGTCCCCACCAAAATCTTATCTCAAATTGTAATCCCCACATGTTGAGGGAGGGACCTGGTGGGAGATGATTGGATCATTGAGGGTGGTTTCCCCCATGCTGTTCTCGTGAGAGTAAGGAAGTTCTCACAAGATCTGATGGTTTTAAAAGTGGCAGTTTTTCCTCCACTCTTACTTCTCTCCCTCCTGCCGCCATGTAAGACGTGCCTTGCTTCCCCTTCACGTTCCACCATGATTGTAAGTTTCCTGAGGCCTCCCCAGCCATGTGGAACAGTGAGTCAATTAAACCTCTTTCCTTTATAAATTACCCAGTCTCAGGTATTTTTTTATAGCAGTGTGAAAATGGACTAATGCAACCCCCCAAACTGGGAAGGAGCCTAGAGACTATAGAATGACTTGGGCAAATCCAACTTGATGAGTAGGTGAGTTTATTAGGACTTAACATACAGGGCATTCCTAGGTGGTAGCAGGACAACTCTGGAGATTTGCCCCACACACCCCCTTACCCCACCCATCTTCAAGCTGCTTTTAAGCTAATTTTCTGGCTTTTCTTCTCTGTGTGTGATGAGTGTTTTTCTTGGTATGTCCCCAGGTACTCTCCCAAATGTTTGTGTTCTCAGGGAACACAGCACATGGTGTTCCTTGGCTGAGCACCATGACCTTGGCTCACCACCCAGTCTTCAGGGCTCAAGCAGTGGACATACACCCTTAAGTAACCTGGTGGAGAACCCGTCGCATTACACTTGGGGTTACAGACTCCAGTGTCTGTTACCATCTTCACATGGCTTTCTTCTCTGTGATTCTCCTCTTCTCTTCCTGTACAGACACTTTTTTATTCGATTTAGCATCTACCTGGTTAATCCAGGGTAAGATCTTTAACTTAATTTCATCTGTGAGACTCTTTTCCCAAATAAGGTCACATTTATAGGCACCAGGGTTAAGACTTGGACATATTTTTGGGGGGCCACAATTCAACACGCCATAAATGCTATTATAAAAAGTCAATAAAGGTAAAAGAAAAACTAACACAGAGTTTCTTTCTGGTAGTGGGAATGGACAGAAATGATGTCTGAAATATGTTAGAAGCAGAATCACTGGCATTTGGTGACTTCATGCAGAAGTGAGAGAAATTGGGCCAAGAATTCAAGCCTAAGTGGCATAAAGAAGAGTAGTACAATAACACTAACAGCTTAGGGAAGTTGCAGGGAAAACGGAGTAAGGGAAATGGTAAGTTGGCTTGAATATAGTGTAGATTGGTGAAGATGAAAAAAAATTGAAGTGGAAAGGAGACAAATTTATGATGATCATCTAGCTGATCCTAAAGTATCAAAAACTTGATTTTGAATTCAGAATTTTCAGAAGTCATATTTTGAATTTCATCTTGGGTCTGTATAGCCAACTGTTTATCATACACATCACTTTTATTCCAGGTAAATGGCTCTTGAAAGGACAGTTTCTAGAAAAATCCTTAGCCAGGTAAATGGCTCTTAAGAGTTTCTAGAAAAATCCTTAGTATTTTGTTTCTATTAGTAGGAACAATTATGCTCCCCCAGTACCATAATTACCTCAAAGTGTTCAATATCATGTAATGTCTTTGGGATAACAGTAAGAAAATAGTAAGTTAAATTCTGGGTTCATATCATGTTTATTTTGTAAGAGTCCAATTTCTTTTAAATGAGAAATTAGAGTATAGAGTCTACTGAGAATCTCTACTAACTAGAATATTTTATTAACCAGAACATCCCTATCTCATGACCATCAAGATAAGTGACAATCTGATACTGCCTTTCTAAAGGTAGATGCCTTTAGTTATGGACAGCCTCCTGCATTTCACAGACAGGACTCTGTGTAGTTACTTGCATCACAGATTTTCTTTTATCTCTTCTACAACCTCAATTATAGCCTGTTCATTTTATTTCTGCCCTCAAAACAGTGGAGTCAAGTTGCTTCTAGAGAACTTACCAGCACAACTAATCCAGAGAGATTTAAAAAAACACAGGCTCCTCACTGTGGGATGCACAAACAAGCTGAGACACTTACTAGCTATCTGATCTTAAGGGAAACCACTTATTGTTTCTGTGCCTCAATTTCTGCCCTTCATCTCTCACCAGATGTGTATACCAAACCCAGATGTCTTGCTAATTAGCAAAGTAAACATCAGAAATATATTTTCATTGGTAAAATTAGTGACTTGTTCAATAAGTTAATCATCAATCAGATCTCACTGGAATAATAAGTGGTATTCAAGATATACGATTAAACTCAAATATTTCAGAAATGCATCCCATGCTTGGCACCTCAAGCTTGATCCTCAAAGAATCCAGTGTCCATCCATTGGATTTCCGATGCTAACTATAAGAGTAATAGAATCTTGCCTCTGGAATATTGTTGAGCCAGCTTGAAGTCATTAGAGCACTAAAGAGGACAGAGAGCTAGGTTTTTATCTTATTCTATGAACTGTTGTATACTTGCTTACAAATACATGTTTAATACATGCCTATATAAGTGGCAGAATTTGGTCTGATATTTTTATTATAACCTATCATCAACTCAACGTGTGGGGAAACCGACAACCCCACTGATCTTAAGCTTTTCCACAGTTAGTGCTATTTGCCAAAAAGATAAGAATCTCAGGGTTGTATGTGGTCAAATAAGTTCCCTTCATAACACTCATTACTTTGAGAAAAACACTTGTTTGAATTAAATAAACATAATTAATTCCTACTTTCATAAATCCTAATGTAAGAGACCATGTATAGTACTCCCGAATAATAACAATTTTGAATGAAGAGCTAATATTTGCTGCTATATTATTAAGAGACTTTACTTGCCAGCAATGTAAATATATTGTGATCAAAGATTAGTATAAACAAGTAATATAAAGTATCTTGGCTTTTAAGAGCTAAGTAAAGAATGAAGATGTCAGAATTCACCCCTTGACTGCATTCCTATTCAAATTCGAAAATCTGGGGTCACAAGAATGAGGCATGAATTTAATAAAACAATTAGTTTTTCACCACTAACCCCAGGGACCAGGAAAATTATCCTCTGTAGTAGTAAGAAATTCAAAGGTATAGTTAAGAAATATAAACCTTATTTTTCTCCACTGTAATTCAATTATCAAACTCTAAGGATGTTTCTAGTATAGCTCTAATTTTGCAATAGTGCACTAGGAGAAAGCCAATCTGTAAAGCAAGTTTCTATGTCATTGGAACAGATCAAGGTCCAAAGTGTCTCTCTCTCTCTCTTTCTCTCTAATGTTCTTGTTTAATGGAATGCACTTTCAAATGTAATTTATGCCTTGCTTTATGGATCACAAAGATATTTTGTTAAATATGCCAGATGATAAATACTTACAAATTGTTTATCAACTCTTATACCATCACCCCAAGAAGAAAATGAGCTAAGATTTTCTTTAGCAGCAAAGGTGATTATCTCATCCAGAAGTAGCTGGGTGAAAATTCACAAAGCAAATGTTATTGACTGCCTATCAGTCTCTGAGTATGAAAACTATTTCCCTCTGAGTAATCAAAGAAAATCCCTGAGATTTCTTGCTGCTCTTTTCTGTCTTCCAGATAGGCCTAGTGGTGGGGGTTGGGAGGAGGTGGGATTTGCCCTCAATCTGTAGACTCCACCCAATCTGAGGCATGGATTGAGGCAACCAGCCAGCAGAGTCCAGGAAGCTGGCATAACCAGGCCTAACCAGGAAGGATGCAGTGTCTCTTCTGGCTTCTGCAATCTTTGGATCTGACCTCTTTTATGAAGTTTGCCCTGGGATGGCAGGACTAACCCTCGCATCACAGCAGGAGCTCCCAAGAGATATTTTTTACCAATCCTTCTCTTTTCATGCTCGTACCCAGTACCAAAGTCTCTCATGTTTTCTTTCCTTCTTTTGCTCTTAAGAATCCCAAAATCCCTGGGGCCAGGAAGGCCTTGGGCTTGGATCTTCAGGCAGAAGTGGGCTGTTTTCACAATAACCTGTCACAAAACAATGAAGTCTTTCTCACCCACTCAATATTTCCAAGCTCCAGCTCCAATCCCAGACCATGTGTTCTGAAAATTCCATCTTGAAAGAGAGGTAGTTGATGCATACAAGGTTTTATCCACCTAAAATATAAGAAGGAAAAAAATATTAAGGATAATAGTGTTTGTTATGAGTGGGGTGTTTTACAAACATTTCTTTTATCCTTACAACAATCTTGTGAGGTATTGCCATTTCTCAGTTGAGAAATCTGAGATCTGAGATAAGCAACTTGTTCAGGATTATACTAATATTATCTGGTTGATTGAGCCCATTTACTCTCCCCACCTCCACCCCCACCCCAAAATTCCCTTCCTCACTCTCTCTCTGTCTTTTCCTCCGTGTTTCCAACTCTCATTTTCTAGATCAAAGTTCAAAATAATGAAAACAGTGGGTAATTAGCTTGTGAATAGATACAGGCTTAGCTCCATTGCACTCTAAGCACCTGATTTATATTTATGTGCTTTTGTCCGTCTCCACAGACAAGTTCCACAGGTTTAAAAAATATGCTGTGTTTGAGACCAGCCTGGCCAACATGGTGAAACTCCGTCTCTACTTAAAAAAATACAAAAATTAGCCAGGTGTGGTGGCAGGCACCTACAACCCCAGCTACTTGGGAGGCTGAGGCAATGGAGAATCGCTTCAACCGGGAGGGTGGTGGTTGCAGTGAGCCAAGATGGTGCCACTTCACTCCAGCCTGAGCGAAAGAGCGAAACTCCGTCTAGAAAAAAGGGGGGGCTTTGTTCATTTCTGTTTATAATATCTGGAAGATCGCCTGGCATGTAGGCATGTATAAGGCTTTCAATAAATACTTGTTGAATGAATTAACGGACAAGCAGATGAGTGAAATAGAAAAGTCTACAAATAGACCTAAATACATAAGGGAATGCAAATGATAGAGTTCATATTTTAAATCAGCAGAAAACATGGATTATTGCAATGAACTGAATGTTTATGTCCCCCTGAAAATTCATATGTTGAGAAACCCTAACTCCCAATGATACAGAAGGGCTGGACTCCTGGGTAAACCCCACCCTTAAGCTTGAAACCTCAACCCTAAGTGAAGACAACTGACCCTGTTTTTCTGCCCAAATGTTGCCTTTTTGGCTTGCCCCTGCCTCTATCTTATGCCCATGAAAGACTTCAGCTGGCATGGCAACACAAGCAGCTGAGCATCAGTGATATAAGTGGCTGAGCGTCAATAATACAAGTGGCTGAGGAGCAAATAGAGAAACAACTGAGTGTCAGAGACTACAGGTAGACATGACTAACTTCAGACCTTGTGGCTTCAGAGAGGGGACCAGCTGAAGATGGCTGGGCTTCAGGGAGTGATCATCTTTCCATCCCCTTTCCAGTTTCCCTTTCCACTGAGAGCCGGCACCGCTCAATAAAGTCTTCCATATTCATCA
Source organism: Homo sapiens (assembly GCF_000001405.40). Classification (NCBI taxonomy): domain Eukaryota; kingdom Metazoa; phylum Chordata; class Mammalia; order Primates; family Hominidae; genus Homo; species Homo sapiens. The sequence continues at coordinate 210,228,959 of NC_000002.12, read as the reverse complement.
CCTTTCAAACAGTTCATGTGACCTGATTCTTCCTGGATGCTGGGCAAGAACCCAGGTGCCGAGAGGGCAGGGGCTGCCACCCTGACCCTCCACTAAGCTGGTTGGCACTTGGCCATCCTGGATGCAGAGCTGAAAGAGCATTGGTTGAATACACTTGAACACCACTACAGGGTTCGCACGGAGCCTGCTCCCACCAGAGAGGAATGCCCAGCGGATTCCAGCATTCAGTTCACTCAAGTTTCCACACTTGGTTGCTTGCATACTCTCTCCCACAAGGAGTGGCCAGCGATGGGTTGAATGAAACGAGCCACTCCAGTTCCTGCCTGCAAAGGGGGTCAAGAGCACTGTCCCGTCTCATCAAGGGTATTAAAAGGTGGAGTTGGCCAGGCGCAGTGGCTCACACCAGCAATCCCAGCACTTTGGGAGACCTAGGTGGGCGGATCACCCGAGGTCGGGAGTTCAAGACCAGCCTGACCAACATGGAGAAACCCAGTGTCTACTAAAAATACAAAATTAGCTGGGCGTGGTGGCGCATGCCTGTAATCCCAGCTACGCCAGAGGTTGTGGCAGAAGAATCTCTTGAACCCAGGAGGTGGAGGTTGCGCAGAGCAGATGCTTCTTTCTCTTGATTGAAAGAAAGGAAGGATGGGCATGTAGATATATTTGAGAGAGGAGATGGGAAGTTGAAGAAGTTTGCAGCAAATTGAGATAAGCACAGGATGGCTAGTTTTGAAAGAAAATAAATAAAGCTCTTGAATTAAAAATGTGATTCATGGCCCACATAGTTTTAGTTCATAAGCTGACACTCAACAATATTAACATTAAATTATAGATTAATTTGACTAAATATTTTCCCTTTGATAAAGACACCTATCACCCAAGGAATGTACTTTACAGAAGTAATAACTTTCAGTTTCATGTGGAGTTTAAGCAAATACATTCAGGTTTCTATGGAAATAATGTTAAACCTATGTACTCAAATAAAGCTAAAAGTGTTGTGTTTTGTTTTTTTCTGTTTGTTTGTTTCTGAGACAGGGTCTCACTCTGTCACCCAGGCTGGACTGCAATGGCGCAATCTCGGCTCACAGCAGCCTTGACCTCCTGGGCTCAGGTGATCTTTGCACCTCAGCCTCCTGAGTAGCGGGGACTGCAGGCATAGGCCACCAAGCCTGGCTAATTTTTGGTAGATATAGGGTTTTGCCATGTTTCCCAGAGCCTGGCCTAGAACTTCTGGACTCAAGCAATCCACCTGCTTTGGCCTCCCAAAGTATTGGGATTACAGGAGTGAGCCACCGTGTCTGGCCTTAAAAGATTGTTAAATGGAGACCAGGTGGAATTACTATGGCAAAGGGCATGTATTGCCAGCAAAATCTTCCCATGAAGGCTTATCTTACCCTAAATACAAATCAGCTATGAAGAGGAATAATTCTGTATTATGCAAGCAAAATGGTTTAGCAATCATCCTTGTGACATTGTCCAAGATCTATATTACAGAATTACAGATGCTTAGATTTCTTTAGTCTAAGACTGTAATGCACTAAAACTTATGCAACACTTCTATATTTGATTAGATAAGTTTTGCTTTGCACCAGGGGAAATAAATAAATACTTTTTCTAATGAGCTCTGTATACAATGACTATAAAAAAAAAAAAAAGGAGAGCCCTAGAAGATAAATTTTATAACTTTTCTTTTACTTTGAGCAGTTTTTCCTTATAAATGTGTATGATTAATATTTTGGTCATATTATATTATAGGTATGGCTCATAGAGAAGCAATTTAGAAGCAGATTAGGGTTTGAAGTTGGAAGCTTAAACAAATCCATTCTTAATCCTGACAATAAAGTTTACTGTCAAAATTGTTGGTTACAGATACTTAAATTGCTATTTATTTTTTTAAAGAAAATGTTCCAAAACATAAAACAGTAACTAGTTTTGAGACCATTGTCCTCTATAAGGGAAAAGAAAATATTTCAGACACATTTAACAGATGCCAATTTCAGTTTCTCAATTATGTCATCAAGGTATTCTTCAAACCAAATATAAAAATATATATATAATTTCTAATCACTCACTTTTTATACATTTATAAACAGGCAGATACAGATACAGATACAGACACAGGCAGTTATTTGGGTTAAAGAAGCTGGCATTTTCATGGGGTTTAGAAAGGACCGTGTAGTCCATGACATTTACTACCAGGTATCAGAGGAAAAGCATAAGCAGTTCCTTTTCTTGAACATTTGCCTTCTAATTGAATAGGCATTGGAATACACAAAGTAGAGGGTTTTTTTAAAGGATTTGTTCTTTCTTTTATCTACTACAAAATATGAGTATTTCTCAATGATGACAATAATAATTACCATTTATCGAATGTTTATTGTATTCCTGTCTTTGTGCCAACCACCTGACCTCCGTTATCTGAAAAATCTTTCCAACAACCCTATGACATAGATATTGTTATTCTTCATTTACAGGTGAGTAAATGGAGGTTTACATTTGTATGGAACATGTTCTGCTACTTGAGATAATGGGAATAGGAGCCTAGGAGGGCTAAAAGCAAGGAGCCAGCAAGTCTAGACACATTCCAGAGGACATTATGTCAGTCATGCAAGCCCTGCCTCAGCTTTCTTCCCAACCCTCAGCCTTTTTTCCCAACAGTATATAAATAATGTGGTGTTCCTTTCAATACAGGTGTCTCTAATGCTAGTTTGTTCCATTCTTGGTGAAGTTAATTTGAATCACATTTGGTTAGCATGTTTATCAGTTTTTTTCTACTGAGTTTCCTTTTGTGAAGTAAGAACAAATATGTTTATGAATGTAGAGTTAGCTGTGCTAAAATTAAATGAAAAGTCAAGCAAACTACCCAGATAGTTTAAGCCAATCACCCAGGATTTCATGAACCCTTTGAGCCATTTATGTTTCCCTTGAGGGATATTTCACATCTTTTACCTGAGAGTTCTACAGGGCATGCTTTTATTAGTTGAAATGTCACTGAGGGCGAGAGTAATTGTTCAACGGATGTACTTGAACTTGGACATTTAAGAATTAACAGAACGGGCTGGGCGCAGTGGCTCACGCCTGTAATCCCAGCACTTTGGGAGGCCGAGGCGGGAGGATCACGAGGTCAGGAGACCGAGACCTTTCTGGCTAACACGGTGAAATCCTGTCTCTACTAAATCCTGTGTCGGATTAATTCGTTCTACTTGCTATTACCAATAAATAGCATGGGCTCCCAGAGCTATGCCTGGCTAACTCTATCACCTTCAAGGGTTTGCTCAAACTATTCAGCCTACTTTAAGTAAATCAATTTCCAAGGTTACAAAATAAACTTCACGTACATTTTTATGGTTAGGTATTTGCGCGTATTTGGGGGCTCCATAGCTTTCATCCGTTACTCAAAGCGCTTCAGGACGCTAAAAAGGCTCAGAGCTGCTTCGATAAACAAGAAAGAATGCTGCAAGCAAAGGCAGCAGTTTCGCTGTAAAATCCTATTGCTGACAGCCAAGACGGGCGTATTCCCTCGCGACCAGCCTGTGGCGTGGTTGGGGCTCCGGAAGGGCGCGCGCGAGCGCTTTTTTGGGAGGACACCACAGGTGGACGCCTCAGCTGATCGTCCTCCCTCCCGGGGACCCTGCCCCGAGTCGCCGAGTAGCCGCAGAGTCGCCTCCGTCGCCCCGCCGCCCCTGTGTTTCGGACATGGCCGCACGCCTTCTCCGAGGGTCCCTACGCGTCCTGGGCGGCCACCGTGCGCCGCGCCAGCTGCCCGCCGCGCGGTGAGTGCCAGCCGGGACTTCCGCGGCTGCAGGCCGGGAGGCTGTGGGGTGGGGCAGCGAGTCACTCCTGTCGCTGGCTTGAAGCAGGGCGGTGCGCGCGCGGCTGGGAGTGCTCCCCAACTCCGGCGCCGGGCTAGAGCTGGCCTCCTTTCCTGGATCCCGCGGACTGGGTGCAACCAGCATCTGGGCGGAGGAAAAAGGGGTGTCAGCCGTGCCGCCCCGAGAACAGACCGCCGAGCCCACGTCGGGGAAAGCCGAAAGATTTCTCCAGAAGTTCATTCCGGAGCCCCAATCCAACCCGTCTAGTTCAGCGGCCTGCAGTGGGACCCGGGAGCCTGCGTTTTGGGAGGAGGTGGTCACCCCCTGGGCCCGGCTGCAGGAGCGCGGGCTGCGATCTGTGTCCCAGTTCGAGCTGTGAACCCGGCGTTCCCCACGGCTTAGACTCGCCGCGCGGTAGTGAACTTGGGACCCGGACTCAGTGCCCGGGCTGCGGCGCGGACCAGAATTGTCCAGGACAAACTGGGCTAGAAATGACCTGGCGAGGGTTCCATCAAACAAGGAAATTAGCTTTAGATATATCAACAAATCTAACTAAATACAGAGGATTAATGAAGACAGAGTCTAAGTAGTTCAGTGACTACTAAGGTGGTGTTTATAATATGATCAAAAGTTTCAGATACTGTCTGATGCATAAAATCTATTCACTGGGTAAACAAATTGGAAGCATGGAGAATTCATTATTTAATAAGGGTGAAGGAACTGGCAAATTTGCGAATGACAGCATTGGTGTAAGCTACTCTAATTTTATTTGAGAGCTATGAAACAAAATGCCTACTTTTCCTGGGGAGATTTGGGAAGACGTCACTGAGAAGGTGACTTTTCTTTAGGATACATACTTAACTCTTCCTTGGAACATTATAAGACAGTGATCCTCAAACTTTTTTTTTTTTTTTTTTTTTTTTGAGACAGAGTCTCACTCTGTCGCCCAGGCTGGAGTGCAGTGGCGCGATCTTGGCTCACTGCTGCAACCTCCGCCTCCCGTGTTCAAGCAATTCTCCTGCCTCAGCTTTCCTGAGTAGCTGGGACTACAGGCACGCACCACCACACCCGGCTGATCTTTTTAGTAGAGACGGGGGTTTCACCATATTGACCAGGCTGGGCTCAAACTCCTGACCTCGTGATCTGCCCGCCTCGGTCTCCCAAAGTGCTGCCTCAAAACTTTTTGATAACAGGGCTCCCTTATGCTCTTAAACAGGACCTCAAAGGACTTTTGTTTATGTAGGTTATATCTATCCGTCTGTCGTTATCGAAAGGTATCTACATAACTGAGAAACTTTACAGATATTTAGTTTATTTAAAAGTTACAATAAGAAGCTCATTACATGTTAACATAAATAACAGTTTTTATGAAAAATAACTTTTCCTAAACAGAAAAAAAGTGAAAAGAGTGACATTGTTTTACATTTTTACAACTCCCTTAATGTCTGGCATAATAGAAGATAACCAGATAACTATATCTGCTTCTGTTTTATCCATTGGCGTAAGTTAGTTTGATTGAAGCATGGCAAGAAAATCTACCCTCAAATAGAGAACACTGGAAAAAGGGAGACCTGAGAGACCCTCTGAATGGGCTGGGGGGCTACAGTTTTGTTGTAACAGCTTTTTTACCTTTAATGTGCAAAGGAATCACCTGGGAATCTTGTTAAAATACAGCTTCTGATTCAGTGGGTCTGGGATGGGGCCTGAGATTGTGTATTTATAACCAGCTTCTAGGTGTGTGGAAGGTGCTGGTGGAGATTGTCTCCCTTTTAAAATGTAGGAGACTTTAAAAAAACAATAATAGCCTAGCCAATAAGATTAGTTGCAGTTTATTGCCTTAGAGAAAAAAATGCCAATTTTTCCATTACAGATTTCTTCATCTTTAGACTGAGAAATACATGTTGCAATAAACTTGCTGCCAAGTGTTTTGATTTTCTTCCCTCTGCATATTCTCTCTTGACCACCTTTGACTGACCTGAAAGTCTTTATTCGTTTGGCATTTCTTTTGCTTTCCTATGTCTTTATATATTTTACTTAAAAATATTGCAGAGATTTCCTTAACACAGTACAGGCTATTCAATTTTAAGATCCAGTAAGACTCGATTTTAAATTCTGGCTCTATTGTTTACTCATTATGTTGACAAATGATTCGGTGTCTTACAGCCCCAGTTTCCTAATCTCAGCATATTTTTTTCCTGAGGGAAACTCTCAAGTATGGAAAATCTATATGGACAAATACGTGCTTTATAATTTTATCTCTACTAGCAAGAAAAAGGAGCCGATCATTTCCATTATAGGGATAAAGTAGATGTTAGTTTATTTGATGCAACAGGACAATGGTCAAGGTCCCCTGCATGTCCTGGTCCCCTGTTATCTCTTCTTCCTAGAATCTCTGGCCTCATCTACTCTTCTCAGCCCACTCTGGCTACAATTGCCTCCTTGCTCTTTCTAGAACACATCAGACACCATTCAGACATACAGCCTTTGCTCTAGTTGTTCTTTTGTCCTAAAATTCTTTTATTCTAGAGGTATGCCTGGCTAACTCTATCACCTTCAAGGGTTTGCTCAAATCTCACCTTTCTGGTTTAACCTACCCTGACTGCAGCACTTTTTTTTCTTTTCCTTTTTTTTTTTTTTTTGTTTGTTTGTTTGTTTTTAGTGACAAGGCTCACTATGTTGCCCAGACTGGTTTCAAACTCCTCAGCTCAAGCAATCCTCAGGCCTCGGCCTCCCAAAGTGCTGGGATTACAGGTGTGAGCCACCAAGCCCCGCCTACTACATTATTTCATACGGCAACCTCTGTCTCTGCCTCCCCCCAGGCACATACTCCTGATCCCTTCTCTACTTTTCTTTCTCCATAATACTTACCACCTTCTAAGGTATTATACAATTTGCATATTTATAGTTTATTGTTTATTCAGTTTCCCTTTGTTAGAATGTAAGCTTAAAAGCCAAGATCTTTGTCCTCATCTTAGTCCTTTGTTCGTTATTGTATCCCAAGTTACTAGAACAGTGCCTGGCACAGAATTGGCACTCAGTAAATATTTGCTAACTAAATGAATGAATAAGCCACAAAAAAAATGATACTTAGGGAAAACTTAGAAATAGGTTGTAATAGCGACTGGGCACAATAGCTCATGCCTGTAGTCTCAGCCCTTTGGAAGCTGAGATGGGTGTATCACTTGAGGTCAGGAGTTCAAAACCAACCTGGTCAACATGGTGAAACCCCGTCTCTACTAAAAATACAAAACTTAGCTGGGTATGTGTGGCAGGCGCCTGCAATCTCAGCTACTACAGAGGCTGAGGCAGAAGAATGGCTTGAACCGGGAAGGCGAAGGTTGCAGTGAGCCAAGATTGCATCACTGCATTCCAGCCTGGGCGACAGAGCCAGACTCCATCTCAAACAAAAAAAAAAAAAAAGGAAAGAAACATGTAATAGTAAAAAGTTATTTTTTTAAAAACCCTTTAAGTCTACTTTGATTAATTACATGAAATAGATCTTTTCTGGATAAGGACTAGAAAAGAAAAGGCAGAGTCCAACTAAGGAAGAAATACACTAAATTAGAATTTAATGCAAAATAGAAAAAGCATCCTTTGGCAAGATTTGAATATATGATAAGTTTTTTAGATGTGAACTTGAAAATGTACAAAATGATGCATAGATTTTCAAAATTTCTTTCAGGGGTACTTCAAGGGTAAAAAAGGCTGAAGACCACTGAACTAAAGGAGCTACAAAACTGTCTCATTTGAAGCTTGGTGTGGGAGGGATGGGAGTAGGTCTTAAATAATTCCATTTTACAGAATCTTTATCAGAGATTGATGGGTATTTTTATCTCCACCCAGATTGGCTTTGTAATGTGGCGATTACATCAACATGGTTTGCATCTTATACACCTGCAATTTGAAATTGTGTGATTCTGGTTAAAATACTAATTTTGGAGGCTTTGCATTATTTTAAACATTGTATATGATATGAAAATTTATCAGTATTACTCTACCGTACTATTTGAATTTTACATAATGTGATCCATATGTCACCTGACAATACTACATTTCACCTCAAGTCAGACCTGTGGTTAGTTCTAGGCATCATCTTCTTTAAGGATTTGGAGATGGAGACCGAGTTGAATAATGATAAGGTACTTCTTAATTCCAGCTACATGAGGTAGATCCCATCAAAAGTGGTGGCGCCCAAATTTGAACCCAGCTTTGTCATAATTCAAACTCTTTCTACTTGCCTCTCAAGTTTCTCTGTGAAAGAAATCCATGTTGTTCAGTGGCACTAATTTGGATATGAAGAGTAACAATTCACTTACTTTTCCTATTGCATATATATATTTTTAAGATGTTCTCATTCCGGAGGGGAAGAACGTCTAGAAACTCCTTCTGCTAAAAAATTAACAGATATAGGAATTCGAAGAATCTTTTCTCCAGAGCATGACATTTTCCGGAAAAGTGTAAGGAAGTTTTTCCAAGAAGAAGTGATTCCTCATCACTCAGAGTAAGTGGCACATTTTCCTCTAATGTAATGTATACTAGGGGTATTATAGGACCATTTCCTAGAATGCCATATATTGCTATACAGAAAACATAGTATGTTCAGGGCTTTATTAACATTTTTACTGCTCTTCACTGTAGTACTATAAGATCCCAGGATTCTTAGAGCTTTTTAAATGAATTTTAAAATGTACTATACACAAATAAGAAAATTTGAAAATTTACAACTTAGTCTAAGAGTAGTGTTTTTGAAAACCATGGGTAAGTGGTAACAAAATACTAGTCAATTTCATAGTCTTTCTTTTTCTGCTTCATGAATTAATTAAACTGTAAAAACCCAAAAAGTCAGCACAATGCAAACCTTGGTAAGCAATTGGTTACCTCTGGATAGTTCTTGATTAACTAATTATTATTATTTTATTGACCAGAAACTTATCTATTTCTATTACAATAAGATTTTGCTTCATTTCCAAAATTCACTCAATGCTAGTACAGATGCTCCTCAATTTAGTATGGGGTTACAAGTTGAAAATATCATAAGTCAAAAATGCATTGTTATTATGTTAACACTGTTACTATGTTATTATAAAAACAAAAAAATTCTCGGCACCGTTATTATGTTAGAAGCAGAAATTAGAAGATTAGTAAAATGAAGAGAGAAATGGTTCAGGAACATCATAGGTTTGTGAGGTTTTACACACCTAGCCTACTAAACCCCATAGTTTAGGCCAGCCTACATTAAACATGCTCAAAACAATTACATAAGCCTACAGTTAGGCAAAATCATCTAACACAATGTCTACTTTGTAGTAAAGTATTAAATAACTCATGTAATATATTAAATATATTTAATATATGTTAAAGTGAAAAACAAAATGGTTATATGGATACTTGAAGTAAGCATGTTTTCGACTGAATGTGTATTGCTTTTGCACCATCATAAGTAAAAAAATTGTAAGTTGAACTGTCATAAAGTACAGAGACATCCGTACTTTAAAACATTTAGAATGGTTTTTAAATAGCATTAAAAGTAACTTCCATTAGGTTTTTACTAATACCTTCTTGGTAAGAATGACCAAAATAAGCTAAACTCAGAAGCCAGAAGCCATGACTAGTCTTCGGTGAAAAGCAACTAGCTTCTGTTTTTTGAGGACTTGTTTGTTTGTTTGTGTGTTTGTGTGTTTTTTAAGACATGGTCTCACTCTGTTGCCAAGGCTGGAGTGCAGGGGCATGATCATAGCTCACTGCAGCCTTGAACTTCTGGGCTCAAGCGATCCTCCTGCCTTAGCCTCCCAAAGTGCTGGGATTACAGGTGTGAACCACCACATCGGGCTTCAACTAGCTTCTTAAAGACAAAAGAGACATTGTACACTTTGCTCTGGTAGGATCTCTTGTTTATTTCTCACTGCTTTTAAATTTTATTCCAGAAAAAATGTTAAGAAGGCTTTGAAATAAAATAATAGGAGCTGACAAATTTTAAGTCAATAATAAAAATATTTCCAAAGCTACTTTAAGCAAGAACTGTATTCAAAACACACATGATAATCCAAGTCTTAAAAATTTTTGTAGTGTCAGTATCTTCAAATACCCCATATCTCACTATAATCCACTTAAAAATACAAAAATTCTCAGATATTTTTTCACTATCTCCAACTAGCCATCTGTTTCCTCATTCTGCCATTCTCATTTTTAAAGAAGAAAAGCTGAGGTTGCCTACCTTACACAAATATCTAATTTTTTCAGAAGTTAATTTGATATAGAGCCATGGTGTAAGGTGCTTCTGCTCTCCTGTTCTTCCTATTTAAACTGTAATGAGGTTCCCTACTTTGTCAGCTTTTGTATGCTTGTACCATAAGTTCAGCACTTTAAGGAAATATGCCAAGGAGAATTGCCTTTTACAATACAGGTTAGGCAAATTCCCATGACAACATGCCATAACTAAGCTTGTATGTAAGAGTACCTGCTGAGCAAAACTACATCAATGAATATCAGTGGGTATAATTTTCAAGTCCAATAAATAGTCAAGATGGGGGAAGACAATGGCAAATATAAATAAGAGGAGAGGGCTGGGTGCAGTGGCTCATACCTGTAATCCTAGCGCTTTGGGAGGCTAAGGTTTGAGGACTGCTTGAGGCCAAGAGTTCACGACCAGCATGGGCAACATAATAAGACCCCGTCTCTACAAAAAAAAATTTTTTTTTAATTAGCCTGGCCTTGTGGCAGGTACCTGAAGTCTTAGCTGCTCAAGAGGCTGAGGTGGGAGGATTGCTTGAACCCAGGATTTTGAGGCTGCAGTGATCCATGATTGTGCCACTGCACACCAGCCTGGGTGACAGTCCTGTCTCAAAAAAAAAAAAAAAAAAAAGCAGAAAAAAGGAGGAACAGAAGTGATAAAAGAGTCAGAGGCAAATAGAAGCATATGGCTAATGTAAATAACTACCTTAAATTAAGAATGCATTTCTACACAAAATCATTCATAAGTTCAAAGTTGTGGCCATTTAAATAATATTTAAAAATTATCTGAATTTAAAATATTTGTTATTTGCAGATGGGAGAAAGCTGGAGAAGTAAGTAGGGAGGTTTGGGAAAAAGCTGGAAAACAAGGACTGCTTGGTGTCAATATTGCAGAGCATCTTGGTGGAATTGGAGGGGATCTGTACTCCGCAGCTATTGTCTGGGAGGAGCAGTAAGTATGGAGACTTTTAAGGTTGAGTCTTGTTTTGTAAACACACCACTCACCTTTCTGAAATGACCAAACAAACAAACAAACAAACAAATGTTTTCTAATCTTGGAAGATTGAAAATTCAGTGTAAAATGTAAAAGATTATACCGCTCATGCACTCTTGCACATTTTTTGAATGTGGGATAATAAGAAAATCCTTTTAAGTTGCTGAAATAGGTGCTATTGAAAATTAAAGAGATAGTTTTTTTTTCCTGTCAATGCTTATGGTTACTTTTCCCCCTTAGAAAAGATATTTGAAAGAGAACAGCAGAGTAGAAATATACTTCCATCAAATATATTAGAAATTTAATATACAAGAACAAATAAAGATTGCAGTTGAAAAATGGGCAAAGAATTTGAAGCAATAATTCATCAAAAAAGAAATGCAAATATGTTTTTTTAAATGAGAAAAGTTCATCCTTAGTAACAATCAAATGCAAATTAAACTGATCTGGAAGTATCATTTTGAGCATCTATAAAATTAGTGAAAATGAAAAATCCTAATACCCAGTGCTGACAAGATTGCAGTGAAAGTGACATACACTATTGGTGGCATTATAAATTAGAACAATAAATTTTGGGGGGATTAAAAAGGTGAAAACATATTTTAAAAAATATGTTCCTGCTCTTTGACATAGAATGCCACTTTGGGGAATTTATCCTAAGGAAATAATTTAATAGGAAAAATAGATGCTGTGTTCAGAAATCATTGTCATGTTAGGTCACAGTTCTCCAAATGCTGAAGCAATCTAAATGTCCAGCAGTGGGAGAATGGATAAGTAAATTATGGTACATAAACAACTTGGAATATTTTGCAGCTATTTAAGATTAAAATATATGTAAAAAAAATAGGATTTTGTTGTGTCATATAATTTATTTTTAAATTTTAAATTTTTATTTGTGTGTGTGTATGTGTGTCATAATTTTAAAAGAAAATAGCAAAGTACAAAATTCACTCCATGACTCCATGTTTTGTTTTGTTTTGTTTTTTGGTCCTTTTTTTTCTTTTTTTCTATTTTTTGCTTTTTTATTTTTTATTTTTGTTCTTTTGTTTCTTTGTTTTACCAAGACTCCGTCTTATTAGAATATATCCTTATGGCAAAGGTAATTAGAGGAATACAGTTATTATTCCACTGTGTTAGAGGAATACAACTGCAGGTGATTCATATTTTAAAATATTTTATCTCTCAATTAAATAAGTGTTCATTGAACTCTGGTAGACCACTGTTATTGTGTTGGAACCAGAAATTTTAAAATTAGTAAAAACAAAAAGAGAAAACACTCAGGAATGTCATAGGTTTGTGATGAGATAGGCCACTACCAAACAATTTGATAGGACCTTAATACATTGTTGTTATAATAGTCGTTTTTTATTGCTATTTTATGCTCTAATTTTTCTTCTTTTTTCATTCTAAGAGCTTATTCAAATTGTTCAGGCCCAGGTTTTAGTATTCATTCAGGTATTGTCATGTCCTATATTACAAACCATGGCTCAGAAGAACAGATTAAGCACTTTATTCCCCAGATGACTGCAGGCAAATGTATTGGTGCAATAGCAATGACAGAGCCTGGAGCTGGAAGGTAAGTTAATATTTAGTTGGCTTTGGATTCTTGGAAGCAGTGCCTTAACATTTTCTTAGTACTTGGTTAATACATAGACTGAGCTATATGCTAGGAGGAAGGCAAAGATGAACACGGGATAATTCATGACCTCAAGTCGGAAAATAACAATAAAGCGGATTATAATGTAAGCTATGTTTGAGATATTAACATAGTTTTATGCAAAGAAAATGGTAGTGTGTAAGTTGAATTTTCACCATAATGAATTTTAGGTGTAGGATGAGATTCACATGTAAATGCCAAGCAGTTTGTTACAGAGGTATATTTGGAATTCTGGAGACAAGGATGGAGTAGCAATAGGTTTTAAAAGTCTTTCATTTATAAGAGTTGATACAATAGGAATGAATAAGATCACATATTCAGTTATTTGCTGGTTATTTCATAAGTGTCTTCAGTGTGCCAGGTATACAGTAGTGAACAAAACAGATGTGGCCTCTGTGCTTATTGAGGAGAAGGGCAAGGGCAAGAAATAAGCAAGTATATATATTTGTAGCTATAAATTATGATAAGTACTGTGAAGGAAATGAAGTACTGTGAAGGAAACAAAGTAGTGTGCTGTAGACTAATGGTATGTTTGTGTTTGGTGGGATAGGGAAAAACGAATTTAGATGTGAATGCTAACAAAGGCCTATAAAAAGTGGTTGTATTTAAACTGAGATTTGACAAATGAGAAGAAACCAGTTTTATAAGAATGGGAGAAAGAGCTTCCACAGAGTGGGACCTGATCCTCAAGAGGAAAAATGAAACACAAAAAAGGGACCAAGGAGGAAAATCTGGGCATTATATTTCATTTGGAACTGTACAAAAGAAGATGGAGCAAGAGAGACAGAAGGATTGAGAGTTTTAAAGAAATCTAGACATGAGTAGGAAGAGAAGTCAGTTGGAAAGGCTGTAGGAAAGGAGAAAGAAGTTAGTAATGTCAAGGCCACCGTGATGTTGAGAATGGAGAAGAGGTTTTGGCAGGCCTGATGATCCTTTGTGATTTCAGTGGGGTGGAGGGGCAGAAGTTACCTTTTATGGGAGTGAGGTGGTTGTTGAGAAAACAGAGGCAGAGAACACAAAGTAATCTTTCTCAGAGCTGAGTGGTAAAAGGAAATGTAGAGAGGGGGCAGTGGTTTGAGGCTAACTGGTAAGGGAAATTATTTATGTTAAAGACAGCAGCAACTTGTGGGTCAACAGAAAGCAAATAGTGCAAAGAAAGAACTTAAAGATGCCAAAGAAGTGTAAGTGAAAATCCAGGAATTGTTTTTGCGGAGGTCAGGCCCTCCTTTTTTATTGTAAGATTTTCTTTTCTGACAGTGTTATTTATTTTTAAATCTCTTAATATTCTATAGCATGACTTGCAATATGTTTACATTGTATTTATCTTTTTAAGATATAAATCCCTAATTATAGGTCAATACTAACAATTTTGTCAAAGATTAAAGGTTTCTGTTCACTTCTGTTGCCTACAAGTGTGATCTAAACAAGTAGAAATTTAACCTTGTTCCTTAAAATTTGCTTTTAATTTCATTCTCTAAGATAACTACCTGACTGACTGCCAATATTCAGATTGAGTTGTATTAGCTCTGTGGTTAGCATGTTCCACTTCCAGCTCATTGCATATTAGCTCTCAAAAAGAGGCTATAGAATAAATGAAATCTTGATTTATCTCTAATTTATACATGCAAACAAAGGTTCATGTGATTTTTGTTTAAAGTCTCTGGCCTTATCTGTGGTTAAGTGTATATAATTAAGAAGGAAACCTGAGAATGAAGATGGAGAAAATAAGCAGATTTCTTTCTTTCTTTCTTTCTTTTTCTTTCTTTCTTTCTTTCTTTCTTTCTTTCTTTCTTTCTTTTTTGGAAGGTCATTGAAAGTCATGAGAGGATATAGTAAATAAGTCAGGTATTTAGAGAGATGAGCAAAGAGCCCATGTGGGTAAGAGAATATAAGAACAGAGAAAAGCCACAGATGAAGAAGAGTAATAGAGTGTTGAGGAATTACGGAATTATGGCATGAAATTGGCATGAAATAGGGAAAAACACGTGGGAAGAAAAGAAGATAGAAGATGGAATATGGTTCATTTTGCCTGCCCTCAGAGATGGATTGAGCACTGTCTATATTTTTGGTTTGATTTGGCCTCCACAGAAAAAAATGTTGCAATTGTTGAAAAACATCCAGAGTTTCACTGGCCCTTTCCCCTTCCATGGAGGAAAGCTTCATTATATATAATTATGTATCTTTGTATGTTGTATTACTTTAGCATTTTATAAATGCTTTCATGTTTATTTTATTATTTTTTAAAGAAATAGAGATGGGGTCTCGCTATATTTCCCAGGCTGGTCTGAAACTCATGGACTCAAGCATTCCTCCTGCCTCAGCCTCTCAACATGCTAAGATTATAGGTGTGAGCCACTGCACCTGATCTCATGTTGATTTTATTATATGGCTATTATAATAAGATATATGGAATATAGAGATATGATTTCTGTATAAGAAGGAAACAGAAAATAATAAATGAAGTATTTTGACCAAGTTCATAGAGCAAATTGTTGACATCTTTGGAGCCAGAGTGTTCTGACACCAGCTGTGTGATCTTGGGTAAAAATCTCTGAGCTTCAATGTCTCTTATCAATGAAATTGAGAAAATGATACTGAAGAAGATTATTGTGAGGGTCTAACTTGTTGGCTTTACTAAGTAGTATACGTTTTCATTTTTAATATTTCATATATAACATTCAAAAATTTAGGAAAAATTTACAAACTGAGCTATGTCATTACCTTTATTTCCTTTGATATGTCCCTGTATAGAAGAATTTTTTTTTTTTAAACAGTCTCGCTCTTGTCACCCAGGCTGGAGTGCAATGGCGCGATCTCGGCTCACTGCAACCTCCACCTCCTAGGCTCAAGCTATTCTCCTGCCTCAGCCTCCCAAGTAACTGGGATTACAGGCGCCCGCCACCATGCCCAGCTAATTTTTGTATTTGTAGTAGAGACAGGGATTCAGCAGGTTGGCCAGGCTGGTCTTGGACTCCTGACCTCAGGTGATCCGCCTGTCTTGGCCTCCCAAAGTGCTGGGATTACAGGCATGAGCCACCACACCCAGCTATAGAAGAATTGTTTTAATAAACTATGTACAGACATTAGTTACCGATACTTTATACATACTTATGATGAAAAATATGATGTTAGAATACAATAGCATTCAGGCTGGGCACAGTCTCTTGTTTATAGTGGAGGTCGGTCATATAGGCACCCTCTGCCTGGCATGTACCAAAAGTTCAGATCCCTAAAAGGAAAGCAGGTATTCAGCATAAGCCAAATTGTTTGCGCAAACAGTTCAGACAGTAAGCCACTCTTATGAGTACTGGGAATGGTGGGAACTCTCCTGAAATCCAGATTCTCAGATGTTAGCCACGGACAATGTTGTAACAGGCCTTTCTAAGGATAGCAGTCTCAGGCCTGCTATATTAATTCTTTTCTGTATACTTGGCATTTTAATAATATAATTTAACAAATGTTTATTGAGTGCCCGTTATGTACAAAGCAGCATGCTAGGCACCAAGCATATAAATATGATCTTGATACACCACATGTTCTCAAAAAACTTGAGTCAGATAAGTGTGGTAGGTGGGAAAGATAATTCCTTTTTATTATAATTGAAATTCAAAGTAAATGGCTCTAAGAGAGTATATTTGTTGCTTTATGGCGTCTGTGACAAATTAGCAGAGACTTGGTGGCTTGAGACACAGAAATTTATTCTCTTACAGTTCTGAAGGCTAAAAGTCCAGAATCAGTATTGTTGGGCCCAAATCAAGGTATCAGGAGGGCCACACTTTCTACAGAGGTTATAGGGGAGGATCCACTCCTTTCCTCTTCTATTTCTTGGTGGCTGTTGGCGTTCCTTGCCTTGTTGCCTCGTCACTGCAGTCTTTGCCTTTGTGGTCACATTGCCTTCTCTTCTGTCTATGAAATCTCTCTTTACCTCTCTTTTATAAGGACATTCATGTTTGCATTTAGGGCTCATCCAGATAATTCATGATAGTCTCTCTATCACAACATCCTTAAATTAATCACATCTGCAAGATTCTTTTTCCATGTAAGGTACAACAGCCTCTAGGGTATAGGACCTGATATCTTTAGGGTCATTATTCAGCCTAATACAGAGAGTGATTTAAAAAAAAAAAAAATGCAACCAGGTGCGGTGGCTCACGCCTGTAATCCCAACACTTTCGGAGGCCAAGGTGTGCAGATCAACTGAGGTCAGGAGTTCAAGACCAGCCTGGCCAACATGGTGAAACCATGTCTCTACTAATAATACAAAAAACTTAGCCAGGCATGGTGGCATACGCCTGTAATCCCAGATACTGGGGAGGCTGAGGCAGGAGAATCACTTGAACTGGGGAGGCAGAGGTTGCAATGAACCAAGATTGTGCCATTGCACTCCAGCCTGGGCAACAAGAGAAAAACTCGGTCTCAAAAAAAAAAAAAAAAATGCTGAGGGGCATAAAATAAAAACACCACTGTATTTATTACTCAGTTTTTGCATTGCTATAAAAAATACCTGAAACTGGGTAATTTATAAAGAAAAGAGGTTTAAGTGGTTCACAGTTCCACCAGCTGTATAGGAAGCATGGCTTGGGAGGCCTCAGGAAACTTACAGTCATGGCAGAAGGCAGAGGGGAAGCAGTCATGTCCTACATGGCCAGAGAAGGAGGAAGAGAGAGAAGGGAGATGTGCTACATACACACTTTTAAACAACCAAATCTCATGATAAGTAACTCACTGTCACAAGAACAGCAAGGGGAAAGTCCTTCCCCATGATCCAATCAGCCCACCAGGCCCCCTCCTCCAACACTGAAGATCATAATTGAACATGAGATTTGGGTAGGGACACAGAGCCAAACCATATCACCCACATAAAGAAGACAAATTGGAAAAATTACACAAGTAATGTGGACTGTTTATACACTCTGCTGTTTATTATAGGATATTAATAAAAATTGGGACCTAAGTGTTTTAACAATAGGGGATTATTTCTTAAAATTATGGTAAATCCATGATGATGCTCTATTCAGCTAATAAGAAGTCATTAGATATTGTTAACAGATCAAAATCATATTATATGGTTCCAGTTTTATAAAAATGCATATATATGTATAGTTATGTCCATAGAAAAATATTGGAAAGATATACCTTTAAAATGTTCATTCCAGGAGATAAAATTATTTTTAAAATTATTTTTCTCCTTTGGACTGCTGTGTTCTTAATATTTTATTTACTAATATTTGTTTCTCTTATATTTAGAAAAATAATCTATTCTACACTTAGAGCAGGTTTGTTAGAAAAAAATGGCATTTGAGACATACTCTTTTTTTTTTAGACAAATTCTCACTGTGTTACCCAGACTAGAGTGCAGTGGCCTGATCATGCCTCACTGCAGCTTCAACCTCTCAGGCCCAAGTGATCCTCTCACTTCTGCCTCCCAAGTAGCTGAGACCACAGGCGTGTGCCACCACACCCAACTAATTTTTTAACTTTTTGTAGAGATAGAGTCTAGCTTTGTTGCCCAGGCTGGTCTCAAACTCCCGGGCTCAAGCAGTCCTCCAGCCTCAGTATCCCAAGGTGCTGGGATTATAGGCATGAGCCACCATGCCCTGCCTAATAGCTAAATTTTTGATCAATAGAGACAGGGGAAGGAACCAAGGTGTTTAAAGGCAGCAAAGTACATGGTGACACGTAATCTCAGGGATACAGTGAGGTTTGAAATGTTATGTGAGTCCCACTGGGGTCTCGAATGTTAGTTGGGCTTTGTTATACTACTGTATAAAACCTGGCTAATTTATATAATAAATCTTAATCATATATTTATTTGTATAAGTGCTTTAGAATATAATAGATCAGCATGGTTTTTCAGTGCAATTGTGTGAACATTCTTAATACTCAGCAATTTTATAATGGTGTAGCCAGTTTGAATAATCTAATTTACATACATACTTATATCATTTGTATAATTTAATTTTTATCATTTGATGAATTTTTTATCTTTTCTTTCAATTACAGTGACTTACAGGGAATAAAAACAAATGCTAAAAAGGATGGAAGTGACTGGATTCTCAATGGAAGCAAGGTGTGTAAAAAAGGACTTCTATAGCCCTTCTTTTCAGAGTCATGCCATGGGTAACAATGTCTCAAAGACAACTCATTAATTCTATTAAATCTAGGGACTCAGGCAGGAATTGAATTTATCTAAGTTGTTTTGGAGACAGTAAATTTACAACATATATTACTTAAGATCTGTGGTAGCTTCTTCTATATTTCATTTTGCATGCCCCCTCACTAATATGGCAAAGGTTGTTTTAGCTTCCAAACAGCCCTTATTAAACCAGAAAAAGACAAGGTGAGGCTCACATTGCCCAAATGTGGGACAAATATTAATAATACTTAAACTTTATGTTGATAAAAGATTGGGGGAAAAGCTTTCTCATATAGATCAAGAAGAATTTCAAAAGATTCTAGGAGAAGGCCAGGCACAGTGGCTCACACCTGTAATCGCAGCACTTTGGGAGGCTGAAGCAAGAGATTGCTTGAGCCCAGAAGTTTGAGACCAACCTAGGCAACAAAGTGAGACCCTGTCTCTATAAAAGTAAAAACTAAAAAAATTAGCTGGGCATGGTGGTGTGCCCTTTGGTCCCAGCTACTCACTCAGGAGGCTGAAGAGGGAGAATCACTTGAGCCAAGGAGGTTGAGACAGAGTAAGACCCCCTCTCAAAGAAAAAAAAAAAAGATCCTAGGAGAAAAAGATATCAGTGATACAGTGATAGAATTTGAGAGCCATTTGAGAACCATTCAGTTCTACTAAATTAATCAACTCACTGGTAGAATTGGAGAGCGCTTCCAATTAAGGTTACAAATGGGCTCAGGATCTCTGATATCAATGAGGGCAAATGCATTTGATATCACTGAGGGCAAGTGATATTGCCCACCTGAAATGGTATCTGGTATATACTCAGTAAATATTTGTTGTTGACTGAGTGTTACGTGAAGGAAAGATGTTCATTTTATTTACTGTTCTAAAACAATCTTTCTGAAAATATGTGCCAAGGTCTGTTGAAGAATTAGTTTTTATAAGTTTGGGCTATTATCTCTGTATTTACAAAATTGAATCACTGGTGTTCTTCAAATATACTTTAATAAATATTTGTTTAAATAATTTCTCCTAAGAATTATAATTAAACGGATGATAGCTCCAACATATAATCAGTTAACTCCTCACATATAGAAGGCTTGTTTTGAAAGGGGAGTGGGATATTTGGTCAGAAGTGAAATGGGAACCACATTCTCTTATGCCTCTAGCTCTCTAAGCAGACCTCGTCTGCTCAGCCATAGGGTTTTGTGGGAACCACACAGGAAAAGTACCACTGACTCTGTTTCAAAAACTCTATTAGAAATAGCAAAAAACTGAAAGCAAGTAAAAGTAAAGGAATGGGTAAGCAAATACGGTGCATCTGAACGAATGTGCAGCCATTAACACTAGCAACACAAAGTTTTTAACAGTACAGGAAATAATTATACATTAAGTGAAAAAACAGGATATAGAATGCAAGTATAGGAACATTTTTACTATATTAAAATTTAAAAATATGAGAAAGGAAATTATCAATGATAGTTGTATTATGTACTTATGGAGAATTATATTTTCCTTTTTCTTTTGAACTTTACATTCTCTATACAATATCTGCAATGATTTTCTGTTATTTTATAAGCATTTAATATCCTCCTACCACCCAAAAATGTTGGCCCTCATTAGGGATAATTTCAGCCCTATTCAAACTTTGGAGTGTCATAATTAGGAAACAAACTGAGAAAGTCCACTTGCAAGGAAAATTCTCATATAACTCTATTAGAAAGGGGGATCCACCATGGTGTTTAAACTCACTTTAGGTCGCACTGTTGTAGAAATGGTTCAGATTTTATTAATCCTTTGCTATAATTACTTCCAATAAGAACTTCTGGAGAACTCCACTTGATTTACCAAATTGAGCTCAGCATATTAAAATGAATAGTTTTTGCCCAATGAATTTCTCCTCCCTTCCTTTCTATTCCATTGTTTATTTATTATCTGTAGTTAAAACATGTATGAGACCATTTGAGAGCATACTGTAGATACTAATTCCTGGATGCTGTGTGATGCAAAACAAACAAAAAAGCACTCATAGCATTTCAACTGTGGCAGCTATACAGACATTAGGAACTAGACAGAAAGGTAGGAGCTTGGTAGACTTATAAGGTTTTTGAGCAAGGGAGTCGTGTAATGGAGCAATACTGTTGAAAAAATATTTTTGCCAAGTTGTATAGAATTTTTTTGAGGAACATCTTTTTCAAAATATATTTTTAAAACATCCTTTGGCCTCCTCTGTGCCAAAAAGAATTCTAAGCACTTAAGATAGATATATGAATAGGAAATGGCTATGAGCTCCTAGTAAGGAGGCACGTTGATGATCTTTTATTATTGTGTCACCTATAACCATACTGCCACCACTATATTCATTTGCTGTTGTGTAGACAACACTAACATTATTTGCCCATTTTTCATTATTTGTATGTATCAGTGCTGTGCATTTTAGGTGATGGGAGTAACCAACATCATTTTATACCCCTACTATTTCAAAGAGAGAGAGATAAAAACAGATCATTTTGGTAAATTTGAGGTGTTGTAGGACCGCTTAACCCAGCCTGGAGAATTTGAGACCTTTTGGCCAATCTGATGTCTAAACCACCCAGGATGAGTACAATTCATTGCAGCAGAGTTGGGAAAGGGCCTTTCCCAAGTAGCAGAAACAAGATTTTCAAAGACTCATAGGTCAGGAAGACCTCGCAACGTGATGGACAGCAAGTAGTTTAGTAGAGCTGACTGAAGAAGAGGAAATTGGGGAAAGTGGGACAAGCAATAAGCCAGGTAAGGAGAGGTAAGCTAGTGCCAGTTTGTGATAAGTTTTCTATTTCCTGCTAAAGGTTTTGAATTTATCCTGAAGCCTATTAGGAGCTATTCAAAAATTTTTAAGTGTGAAGGTGATATGATCAGATTGCATTTAGAAAAATCTCTTTGACATCATGATGAATGATACAGCTGTAGAGAGATCAGTTGTAGGAACTTAAGAAATGATGAGGGCTGGAAATAAGGTAATTACAATAGACTTGAAAGGAAGTGAATAAATTCCAAAAGTATTAAGATGGGTTAGAAAAAACTAGATGCTGAATTGAATATGAAGCAGGATGATAATGTAATTTATTGAAGCATTCATTGAGATAGGGAAATAGGTTGATAATCAGGATTGGATAGGAGTAGGGGTGGGAAGGAATATGTCCTGCCCATGAGTCATCAGGTGGAACTATCCAGAAGCAAGTACTTATTCAGGTCCAGGTCCTATCAAGAAATGTGGCTTACCAGGAGTTTGAGGCTGCAAAGAGCTATGGTCACACCACTGCACTCCAGCCTGGGTGAGAGAGACCCTGTCTCTAAAAAAAAGAAAAGAAACATGGCTTAAATAAAGATTTGGAGACATCAGCATGTAGAGGGTGACTCAAGCCGTGAAAATGATTGAGATGAACCAGGAAAGATGCAGAATGAGAAGATAATTATTAATATTTGCTCTGAGTATACTGTTTTCTGTATCAATATCATCTGATAATCCCTCTCATTTGGCTTGTCATTTTTCCCTCCTTAATCATAGTTTCCTATTTAGACCATTTTAAAGGAAGCAGGATATCAATTACAAAAATCAAAAATAGTCCTTTTCAAAAACTGATAAATCTGAGAATAAATAATATAGTGCCATTTACAGCAGATTTTCTTTCTTTTTATTTTTCTTTTATTTTCTTTTCTTTTTTTCTAGAGACAGGGTCTCACTCTGTCACCCAGGTTGGGGTGCAGTGGTACAATCATAACTCACTGTAACCTCAAACTCCTGGACTCAAGCGATCCTCCTGCCTCAGCTTCCTGAGTAGCTTGGACTATATATAGGTGCACACTACCACATCAGCTAATTTTTAATTTTTTTGTCTCTACTATTTTGGCAAGGCTGGTCTTGAACTCCTGAGCTCAAATGATCCTCTTGCCTCGGCCTCCCAAAGTGCTGGGGTTACAGGTGTGAGCCACCGGGCCCGGCCAGATTTTCTTTTCTTATCAGTGGCTTCCTTCTAAAATACAATTTATCATCATAATAGACAATTTGGTTTCATTTTTAAAGAACATAATAATCTCTGTTTATTATTATTATGTATAATATTAATAGTGAAAAGAAAATCTATAGGTTTCATTCTTTGAAGCATTAAGTAATTTTTCCCCTGATCCTTGATAACATCATGTGTGAATAATCAACTTTGCAGATATTTGGGTAGGGTACAGAGAGAGGTATCAAGCATGTCTTGTCTGTTTTAGTTTTCTGTAATATACTTTCTCCCAATCATAACTTGCACATAGAATTGAATTATCATGGTGCATTAATAATGTACTTGGGGTTTTGCAGGTGTTCATCAGTAATGGGTCATTAAGTGATGTTGTGATTGTAGTTGCGGTCACAAATCATGAAGCTCCCTCCCCTGCCCATGGTATTAGCCTTTTTCTGGTGGAAAATGGAATGAAAGGATTTATCAAGGGACGAAAGCTACATAAAATGGGATTAAAAGCCCAGGTGAGTGATAATGTAAATCATATTCAGATACTAATTGAGTTTACTGTTAATCAGATAGGAGACTTACATAGAGGATTACATGTGGCACAATTTTATTTCCTATGCTGAATTCCTAAAATATGCTTTTCTGATGTGGTAATGAGATTTATTCTCATTTATACCACTCTATCTTTCTGATGGTCAGCAATAGAAATGAATCAAGGTATTTTGAATATCTGTTTTAGAAATGGCAAAATTAACTGCATGGTAACAAGCCATCTATTTGTAAAATGCATTAAAGAAAAATATGAAATAAAAATAAAGTGTGGCCAGGCACAGTGGCTCACACCTGTAATCCCAGCACTTTGGGAGGCTGAGGCCAGCGGATCACCTGAGGTCAGGAGTTCAAGACCAGCCTGGTCAATATGGTGAAACCCCATCTCTACTAATAATAAAAAATTAGCTGGGTGTGGTGGCAGGCACCTGTAGTCTCAGCTACTCGGGAGGCTGAGGCAGGAGAATCACTTGAACCCAGGAGGCAGAGGTTGCAGTGAGCCAAGATCACGCCACTGCACTCCAGCCTGGGCAACAGAATGAGACTCTGTCTCAAAAAAAATAAAACAAACAAACAAAAAAAACCCAGAAAATGTTCTTTCTATACATTACCAAAAATGCATGTTTTGCTTAATATGTATTAGAAATCCTTAGTTCCAAGTACCTTGAGAACTGGACAGTATTAGAGCTGGAATGATAGTGTATTGCAGTAGGAAAGCCACAAGGTTTAGAATCAGATGGCTGTGGGTTCAAATCCCTGGTTTACCACTTACTAGTTATGTTCATTAACTACTCCAACTTGGCTTCCAATTTGTGTTTTGTTTTTTTGGAAAAAATAATATTCACTTCAATATTCACTGGGTTATTGGAAGATTTAAATGAGACCATTCTCTACATTTTTTGTATGGTCTCTTAGGATACCGCAGAACTATTCTTTGAAGATATACGGTTGCCAGCTAGTGCCCTACTTGGAGAAGAGAATAAAGGCTTCTATTACATCATGAAAGAGCTTCCACAGGTCAGAAGTGTTTAAAGATTCCATCTTTTGACTGAATAATGAATTGGAATAGAATAATATAGAAACATGTTATTTCTATATTATGCATTCAAATTTATACATGCAAAACTTGTGAAATAGCTAATCATTTGAGTATTAAAGTTGTAATAAAAGTATGAGTTTTATAGGGTAGTTAAGTAAATAACTGAACTCAGTAATATCCAATCAAAGCTTATAAAGTAAGTAGGAAAAACAGATATTTCAGTTCTGTGATTCCTTCTTAGAATGATTTTAGCTTCTTAACTACAATTCAAAAACTTTTAGCTCTTTGTAAGGAAATGTCTTGCAAAACATTTGATAGTTTGCCAGTTTTTAAATAATAACTGTGAATCAAAGGGAAAAGTATAAAATTCAGACTGAAAAGTTTTAGCCACATAGGGTCAGTCCCTAAACAGCTATGGTTTTAAAGTATGGTTGACAAGTGATTATTGAGCCTCAGATGCCAGTGTAAGGGGGTACTCCTGCCTAGTGACTGCCATGAAAAACACCAGCATGATGGAATCAAACTGACTAAGGCTACTTTTACATTAATAGGTAGAATTTAACTTATGTGCTTTAAGATGTTTATTTCCACAGATATATTGAGTCATACAGTGTGCAGAGATTAATAAATTGAAATAAGCAACTGGGGATTGTTTTTAACTCACATGTGAGTAAAGAGAAGAAAAATTAAATTGCATATATATAATGAAGACAGTCATTCATGGGCATGGTGTTATGTGACTGTTGTCCCAGCTACTCGGAAGGCTGAGGTGGGAGGATCACTTGAGCCCTGGAATTCCAGGATGTAATGAACTATGATTGTGCAACTGTACTCCATTTTTGGCAACAGAGTGAGACTTTGTCTCTTAAAAATTTAAAAAGATTATAAAAAAATAAAGGTAGTCATTCATAAAAATAAAGGATTTGCTTTAGAAAGTGATTAGAGATATGTCAAAAGAATCTCATAAATCTGTTTTCTTATAAGGAGTTAAGATATAAATTAATCTTTATGAGTTTATTATAAAGATAATTTATAGGATTTATCGTAATTGAAATTGTGTGAAAATCACTTGCATAATTAGAGTAATGTTTAAGACCTAATTTTTGTGTTATAGGAAAGGCTGTTAATTGCTGATGTGGCAATTTCAGCTAGTGAATTCATGTTTGAAGAAACCAGGAACTATGTTAAACAAAGAAAAGCTTTTGGCAAAACAGTTGCTCACCTACAGGTAAGCTTGTCACTGTGGTTTAGTATTAGATGGTATCAGTTTACTAATCTGAAATGGCCTGGGGTAAATAGAAGTTTGGAGTTATTTTCATGTAAGGTGATATTAGAAACCATGGAAGTGGATGAGATCACTAAGGAGAGATAGTAGAGAGTAAGACAGGAGTGGTCTTAGGACACAGTCCTTGAGGAAGACTACAAGATTTAAAGGTAGAATTCATATTTGGAATTCATATTGTCTGAAAAGGAGGAGCCTGTAAGATGACTGAGAATGAATAAACAGAAAGGAGAAAGCAAATCAGGAGAGCTTTGTCACAGAAGCTGGAAGGAAAGAGGGCTTCATGGAGTAGGGAGTGGGATCAATTGCTGCTTAGGGGAAAAATAAGACGAAGGGCAAAGAGTGTTCATTGAATACAATGATATGGAGATTATTTAGTAAGAGCCATTAATGGAGGTGGAGGGTGACACACCCGATGAGTAGATAGAAATGAGGACGTAAAACAATACTGATGGTAGGCAACTCTTTCCTGAGTTTGGCTGTGAATGGTAGTTGAGAGAAAGGGTGGTAAGCGAAGAGGGGAGGGGAAGGAGATTTGAGATTCAAGGGAGATATTTGGGAGTTATTAATTTTTTGTCGTTATTTTTAGGATGGGAATGCGGGTGCATATTTTAATACCTGTATATAAAGAAAGGATTTAATAAAGAGGGAAAGGTTGTAGATAGGAAGGAAATAATCAACTGCGTAAGGTCTTTGAGAAAGGGTGAGTTTGTGGATGCTGACACATGGAAAGATAGGCCTTCCCATCAACAGGAGAGGGATTCCTTCATTTGCACAGGAAGAAAGGAGCAAAGGACATCTATGAGTTCAGACAGATACATCACTCTGTTGGTAGAAAACTACAAAAGTTCTTTATAGAAGACTTCTATTTCTTTAAATAACGTGGCCAGGCACACTGACTCACGCCTGTAATCTCAGCACTTTGGGAAGTTGAGGCAGGCAGATCACTTGAGGTCAGGAGTTCGAGACTAGCGTGGCCAACATGGTGAAACCCTGTCTCTACTAAAAATACAAAAATTAGCCAGGCATGGTGGTGCACACCTCTAATCCCAGCTACTCGGGAGGCTGAGGCAGGAGAATCACTTGAACCCAGGAGGTAGAGGTTGCAGTGAGCCAAGATCGCACCACTGCACTCCATCCAGCCTGGGCTACAGAACAAGACTCCATCTCAAAAATAAACAAATAAATAAATAAATAACAATAGAGAAAGTCCTTGAAAGACAGGTGAGTGAAGGAGGCATGGAGGTGTTGCAGAAGGGTGAGGGAGGTATGAAATATCTTCTTCAGAATGAGAAACTAAACTACTTTCTGCTTTTTGTGTATCAATCAGCTTTATGATAAGAGTTTAGCTTCCCAGGTACAAACATAGAGAAAAGACAGATGATTGTGTTTACCTAGGATTGAGTTTTCCCAGGAACTTGAGGGTTTTTGCAAAAGAACTCAGTATATAGTGGCCGCAGTCACTAAATATGCTAATTAAATTTTAGACCCTATAGTTTCTTTTTAAATGAAGGAATAGTTTATAATTCCTTCATGTGGTCATCAAATTGGCAAAACATCTCACCAGCAAAAAACCTGGAGTTGGGATTTGACTTAAAAATTTTTAAGTAGAATGACTGGCTGAAAGGCTTTGTGAAGGGAAAGGTAGAAATGAAACAACTTGGTGGCTTTTCAGAACCAGCATTCTAGAAATTATGTTCAAGTGTGGTTTATGTCCTAACACAGCTACTTGAATCTCCGTAGTCTAGTCGTGTTCTCTCTCTCAAAAATAGTTTCCTATTTGTAAATATATAAAATGTATTTGATTTGCAAAATTGTAAAATTTTGACTATAAATCTTTAAAATTTATAACGTTTGTAAATATTTATAAAATATTTTCCTACTTGTGAATATCAGAGACTGCCTCATAGCGTTGTTGTGAGGATTATGTTGTAGAAAAAACTGGGTTCTTGTCACAGGACCAGGATAATTTGGGCACGCAGACACATTGTAGATTGAGTAGGGCAGGGTTTATTAAATGAAAAGGAGAAAGGAACTCTCAGCAAAGTGAAAGAAAGTCCTGCGAGCAGTTCTCCTGCCTCACAGATTGAATCCTAGGTCATCACACAGGAACAGGAGAGGCTAGGCTCCTCTCCTCTGCAAACAGTGTGAACTTCCCGAGGCTCCACCCCGTCCTCCCAGTGCACAGGTGGGCATTATTCAGAAAGGATCAGTTGGGAAAGGGCAGGCTTCATCTGGGACCAGCAGTCGGGTTTTTCAGCCTTTAGGCTGTTTAGGCTTGAAGGCAGGGTTTCACCAGAGACCCTCGGCTGTCTCCTGTCTCTATCAATTAGATGGGGTAATATACATAAAGCGCTTGGAATATTGCCTGGCAAAGTAAGCCCACATTAAAATTAGCTGTTATCCTTATTTTATTCCTTACATAATGCCTTGCTCCATTTTGTTTCAATATGGGAGACCTTTTTACCATCTACTTCCTCTTGCTCTTGATCTAGACCCTCTCTTTGTCGTTTTGGGAACTGTTTGCTACCGGTATTGTCATCAAATTAACTTTTTCCATCCTGAAAAAAAGTCTTTACATCCTAACTTTTCTTATTGACATAACAAACCTAAAACAGTTGTTCTGAATCTCTAAAAATGAGGTACACTCAATCAAGAAAACATTTAACAAAACAGTATGACTTGACTTGATTAAATTCTGATTTCCTTAAGAGCAAGGATGTTATACTTTATATTCCCTTTCATTTATGGATCACTGATTTACACGTATCAGAGGTTCTCAGTGAATGCCCTTTCACTCAGGTGTTTAGAAATGTCAGGAATGAGGTGGAGGTGGGTGTGCACAGTTGACTGGAGGTATAACTTGTATAGTGCCCTGGAGGACAGTGTTGTTAAATGTCCTGTAATTCACATTTGGATTACAACTAATTGTGTCACTCAAAATATCAATAATTTCCCATTGAGAAAAACTGACATATATGATTTTTTCCTTTTTGGTTCACTGAACAAATATATATTGATTGCCTCCTAAGGGTAATGTGTTCAACTGTAATTTGATGGGTGTAACTCTAGAAACACATACTACGCTCCTGGCAATATGAAGGAAGTGTTACCACTTGATATCACTCTGATTTTCTCAACTGTACCCAAAGTGGAATGAGTATCATTTGCTTCTGAAATCCAACCACCACCACTTAAACATCAAAAATGTTTACTAAAACACTTATACCAAGGCCAGGCATAGTGGCTCACACCTGTAATCCCAGCACGTTGGGAGGCCTAGGCAGGCAGATTGCTTGAGCCCAGGACTTTGAGACCAACCTGGACAACGTGGCAAAACCTCATCTCTACAAAAAATACAAAAATTAGCCAGGTGTGGTGGTGTGTGTCTGTAGTCTCAGCTACTCAAGAGGCTAAGGTGGGAGGATCGCTTGAGCCCTGGAGGCAGATGTTGCAGTGAGCTGAGATCTCACTATTGTACTCTAGCCTGAGTGACATAGCAAGACCCTGTCTCCCTGCTCCCCACAAAAATGAATACAAAAACAAAAATATACCTTTAGCCTTATTTTGGCTAAAGGTATAACAGTTGAACCAAAAGACATGTTTCCATTCCTTTGGAAATCTACATTTCCTGTGTTTATGAACTTAATACTAGATTACAACAAGGATGACTATATTATTACCCAGATTGCCTGAATGGCTCAGAAGGCATGTAATTTGACATTTAACCATGAAGGAAATAGGAAAGTGGTCCATATTGTTTTCTCATAGGGGAAAAATATTCTTTTAAAATATATATTTATTGTATTTTAATAGCAAAAAATAAATAACTTTAATCATTCCTTTTTAAAGAAGTATCATTTTATTGTTGCCTTCTTTCAAAGTTAGTTCCCTAAACTTTCAGTAGGTGGCAGTAGCATTCTACTTCCACAGGTCACATTATTGATAGCTAGTAGTATTGTTTTCCAAGTAAGTTTATATGTTCTGAGATTTCTGAGATATGTCTTCTGATCTTCCTATTTTATCTAAATAAATATATTTGAATAATATTTTCATATTTCAAGCTAGGAGTATATTCAGAGATGATGAATAACCGATACTGTACATACCTATACCTTGTATTCAAGAGCTGGGTACACTATGGATCTAGTTATTCAATTGAAATAGAAGAGCTTTAAATGTTACAATATACTTGGCCACATGTCATTTTATAACTATATAACTATTCAGTTTCCATTCTCTTTGTTATCCTTGAATTTTGGACATTTTGGGGCTTTCTGACCAGTTGAAATGCATGTCACAAAATTTATTTTCTTTTTAGAATAGAAACCTACGTATGGATGTAGCAATAATTATTAGGATTTTTAAAATCTATGCTCTCCATAGTTTATGTCGATCTTATGGTTTTTTGCGGAATAGACAATAAAACAGTAAAATCCAGATGTTAAATAATAATGGATATTATTGCTTGACTGCTCCCTATCTGCCAGACACTGCTAAGTGAATGGTCTCATTCTTTTTCTTCACAAATCTATATAAGTATTTTAATTATTTTTATTTTACAGTTAAGGAAATTAAGGTATAGAGAGGTTAAGTAACTTGCCCCAAATTACACATATATTCTAATTCCAGAACCTACACTCTTTACCTATATACTGTTATTACTGCCCAGAAGTGCAAAGCAGATGGGCCTTTTTTCTTTTCCTATTTCCTTCACTCAGTGGGCAACGAAGTGAAAATGGAATGTTTTTTCTAATCTAATGAGAGCTCTTGGTTAGTCATTTCCTGTGTGGTATGTGTTCTTAATTCTAAGGGCATAAAGAATTAGGGAGAGGAATAGAGAGGAAAAAAATAATACTTCTTCTTGACATGTGTCTAAAATGGGAATATCCAGTTTTTAAGACCTTGAGCATGGGACTAATTAACTATCAAATAGCAAACCTAGTGTGTTTCATTTTATATTTTAACCATAATATGTGAGAGCAACTGATGCTGTTGTTTAAATGAATACTGGGCTAGATAACCTCTCCAAGGTGTTCTCCATTTCCATAATTCTAAGAATTCTGTCATTCAGAACTCTGAAAAAGACTCCATCCAGCCCACTTAGTAACTTCAGAATAATTTTTAATGCTAGCTGCAGTATTATTTATTAACAAATATAAATGACTTAAAAATACTGCTATGACCTTGTCGATCATTCACTAAGAGCACTTGACTAGTAATGTGTGGTCTAATTTTTAGTTGCCTTTGATTAGAGGATGATTTCAGAAAGCATAATGCAGTGTCTGCAGTGAAAAGCAAAGACCAAATCTGTTTAGTAACGCTCAACCCAATGGCAAGAATATGTAAATATTTAATCTTTTTATCCTCAGAGAGTAAATTATGTACTCTTGGAGACATTATTCTCTCAGACCTCTGGACTTCACTGAATGCACTGATGCAAGAATTCTAAATCATTCCATTCTGGTTTGAAGTTTTACTTCAGCTTCTAGAAGTTTCCAGCATTTACAAAGGAATGACTCTTGTATGAGAGAATCAGGCTTAGATATCTTTACTCTTTCATATTGTAAAGACAGTGCATAAATTCCCAAATGTGGCATCATGTAGGCAAAAAAATATCTTGAGACTTGTTGGATCCACCCTTATTTTCCAAATAAAGTGTCATACATAGTGTCATTGAACTAAACTAGGAGTAGGCTTAGAAACCATCTTCAGGGATTTTCATGGAATACTCATCTGTTTTCGATATATAGATTATTTGCCTATTTTTTTCTTTTTTTGTTCCATCTTTATATTGTCTAAGAGTAAACTTCAATGTGTGGGTTGGGAGTGGGAAACTTTGTGCTGATTAAAGGGTAGATATTTGACCTAATTAAATATATGATGAATAGAAATGGAGATAGAAAAAATTAAGGGAAACAATAAGCGGGGAAGAAAGTTTTGATGTGACCCAGCATGTTCAGAACTAGAGGCCAGAATACAGAGATGGAAGGAGTGGGGTGCCAACCTTCTCATTGCTTAGTTTTGGAATCATTCGATGCCAGTTACATTCTCTGTTTCTAGAACAGGGTGAAATAAAACCAGGGGAAAGACAGTCAGTTGGAGTTTTCATCAGCACAGTAGTTATGTTGATATACCTGTAAGGAATCTGCCCCTCAGAGCTTTACTCCACCTGATACACCCTGGTCTTGCTTGGTCCTGGGTCTTTTTACACTCCCATTCTACTCTTTTCCAGAAATGGTAAGTATCAAAACTGTCCCAACCAACAATGACAGTGAAAGAATCAGTTTTATAACTTGAGAATTGCTGTAGCCAGCATTAAAAGCAGACCATGTATCTTCTGAGAATGTGTCCCACCACCCTCCTTTGAGAACACAGCTGTGGCTTTGGACTTGGTAGTACCTAGGTGGGATGTGTTTAATTTCTAGTTTGAGTTTCACTGCACCACCTTTGCCTGTAACTTTCCATGTATATGCTATTAGCCACAGTGAAGTTCTTACTCATTTCACAGCAGAATGATCAGAACTGTTTCTATCTGAATTTTCACAAAGAAGATAGGCCAGCTGACCATATCTGGGCCTTGGACCTAAGAAATCAACTAGAATGGAGTATACTTTTGGAGCTACCCAAAGTGGGAACCCAGTATTTCAAGTTCAAGCCAATTTCCTGAGGGAGGCTCAAGAGTCAGTGCCAAAGAGAACAGATATACACTCCAAGTTCAGAGTGTGAGAGCCTAGAGTCAGGAATGAAATAAAGCTTGATTGAAGCAAGGACAGTCAGCAACAATTGAGAATGGTCTAAATAGAATGATTTCCAAAAATGCTAATGGGTTGTCCATGGCCAGTAGGAGGAGGTAGGTACATAGCTATATTAACATTGATAATCCCAGACCATTCAGTCCAAGCTAGAGACTGCTAAACAAGCTATTGAGAGGTACGGGAGGTGTATTCATCCATTTTCATACTGCTATGAAGAAATACCTGAGACTGGGTAATTTATTAAAAAAAAAAAAAGAGGTTTAATGGACTCACAGTTCCACATGGCTGGGGAGGCCTCATAATCATGGCGGAAGGTGAAGGAGGAACAACAGCACATCTTACATGGTAGCAGGCAAAACAGCGTGTGCAGGGGAACCACTCTTTATAAAACCATCAGATCTCATGAGACTTACTCACTATCACAAGAACATCATGGGACAAACCCACCCCCATGATTCAATTATCTCCCACCACGTCCCTCCCACAACATGTGGGGATTATGGGAGCTACAATTCAAGATAAGATTTGGGTAGGGACAGAGCCAAACCATATCAGAAGGGATAATGTGAAGGGATGAAAGAGGATGAGGGTACTGGATTTTGATCTCTTTAGTACTCTGATTTTATTCTATTGCTTTCTACAGATCTAGATTAAATACTGTGCAATATTAAATAATACCTTATATTTTGATGTTTATGAACATATATAGAAACCCCTTGTCCCTCCAGATGTTAGAAGCAGAGTAGCAAAATCTGTATACTTAATTTCATTAATAAAGAAAAAAATCTTCAAGGATTTAATCTCTGGAGGAAAAAGCAACAGGTGTTTTCAACGGCTGTACCTAAATAACTGTACCACAAGATGGTGCTCACACATTAAAGTCATGCTGTTTTTCAAGAATTTTGCCTCGTCTAAATTTTACAATCTGAAACAAGACATTGTTTATGTTTTAAACTATTTTTGCATCTTTTAGTACAAATTTCCTTAGCACTGAAATATAGTGAGTTTTAAATTTAAGCTGATTTGGTAACAAATGCCATTTTTATGGAGGAAAAAACCAACAATTCCACTTTTGTTTGCCCTAAAGATCTTTTATTGTATAATTTCTGATATGTTAAGTGGGTTGAAGTTTATATTTCTACCATGCTCACTTTTTTCTTTTATTTCCTTTAAATTCAAGACAGTGCAACATAAATTAGCAGAATTAAAAACACATATATGTGTAACCCGAGCATTTGTGGACAACTGTCTCCAGCTGCATGAAGCGAAACGTTTGGACTCCGCCACTGCTTGCATGGCGAAATATTGGTATGCATGCTACAGTAATTAGAGTGCGGTGTGTGCTCAGACTGATATGGAATTCTGCCAATTTTAAGCTCAGCCTTGAGGGTCTTAAAGGAAGAAATCTGTGAAATGAAAAATAAAAGTGAGACTCCACTTTAAAAAAAAATGCTAAAAAGTTCCATTAAGCATATGTATAATGTGCTAAAAATGTTTCAAGTTGGTATTTAATTTTTTTATCCTAATAGGCAAGCAAAGTTAGTATTTAATTCTTAACTTGCTATTGAAAATAAAATATTAAGAGTGGGAAAATGAAGAGTGATATTGATAGGATGACTGATTCATTCATTCAAGTAATAGTTTAATTTCAAATTATCTGAAGAGTGGCAGTATAGTGAGGCTGAAAGGGAACAGTAAAACTTAGGAGTCTTGAGATAGAGTCCAAATTCTTTTATTAAATAACTATAATTAAACTTAATTCCATCCAGGAAAATGTTTTTGTTATCTGTGAAATGACTAAGTTGGACAGGATTTTTCTATTTAAGGTGCTTTCCAATTTTAAGAAAAAATTCAGGAAGAACTGGCTGTCCAATCAAAGTTTCACAGGCTCTATTAAGTGAAAGGAGAATAAAAATCCTATTAAGTTTAGAAAGACTTCGATTTGAATTAAAGATTATTAGCAATGGTGTTAAAGATGAGTTGAATGAAAAAACATCCCTGTATGTCAGACTTTTGTATATTTTAAGATTTTAGAATATACAGTCTAAATCAGATTCTGGAAGTAGATTTGGTTTCCTCTTTTTAAAAACAAACATTCTCCCATATCATTAGCCCAAGAGTAACTTAGAATAAATTCCTGTCATTATTCATTAACTTGTGTTCAGTTCAATCACAGGTAGAACAGGGGAAATATTTTGTGCTTTATATAATGATCCCATAATAACAAAATTGCCAGGTTGAAAAATAATGTGGAATTACTTTTCAGAAACTTGCACTTTTGAGGAGACTTTTTATATTTACATTTACAAGAAGTTCTTTGACTAGTGGCAAAAAGTGTAAAAAAAATTTACATATTTTTGGAAAAAGAGAAGTTTGGATAGCCATTGACCTTGTTATTTGAAAACCTCAGGTTTATACACATGCTCATATTTCACACTGAAACACAGGAGGCAACTAGTTATAGCCCAGTAAATATTTCACTAAAATACTTGCCAAATATAAAAAATTAGAGAAATCCAAATATTATTGTCCCCAAAGTCTTGTCTATTAATAATTATATTGTTAATATATTGCTTAGAAATATCCTCACCTGTCGTATGGTCTGAGTTTTAAATTATTTTAAATAAAAAGAAGTATCTACCCTTATTTTTGCTTTATGCTTCCCACTATTGAAAAATAAGTAGTGGGGTGCTGTAGCTTGCCACTGTAGTAACTCCTACTTGAGAAGCTGAGGTGAGAGGATCCTTTGAGCCCTGGAGTTCAAGACTGTAATGAGCTATGATTGTGCCACTGTATCCCAACCTAGGCCCTAGAGTGGGTGAGACTCCATCACTAAAACAGACTCACAAACAAAAAGAAAGAAAGAAAAGAAAAATAAGTAGAAAAGAATTTTGAACTAATGTATTTTTATGTTAAGGTGAATAAAATCTCTATCATGAATTTTAATGATAGAATTGTGATATTATCAGAAAAGAATTTTTCTCAAGCACTGCATGTTTATGTATACAAACATTATATATAATACTAATACATACACTTCAGGAATAATAATCTCTATATAATTTTCTAATGTTTCCTATATGATAGCATATACTTTGTTAGTCTGCCCTCTTAGGTTTTCACTTTTATCTTCAATTTATTTCTGAAAAGTCAGAACCCTAAAAAATTGCTTTTTTATACTGAAATTCAGAATCGTGATCTTCAAGTAGAAAGTGACATCATTGGAGAAAAAATGCATATTACAAGGGCAAAAAGAACTAGGTGGCTGAGTAATTTAGATCATATAGAGAATCCAAATAAATTAGAACATATTCAAGTCTTTACTGCATGTTTTTCTAGCCTCAAATAGCCAAAATCTAATCATCTGAGTTTTCTACCTTTTGTTTCTAGCCTAACAAAAACCTAGCAAGAAATATAATTAATGAAAAAGGTACTCTTATATGAAAATTCTCTTGAAATATATTTCATATGTAATTTTTATCTTCTTTGCTTAGCTAATATGCCGTTCTAATTGCTTAATAAATGTGCACATTTAAACAATTGTAAATAATTAGTTTTCTGGTTTTGAAGCACCTCATGAAAATCCATTTCAAACATTTCTTTTCTGCCTTTTATTTTGGTCATTTAGGGCATCTGAGTTACAAAATAGTGTAGCTTACGACTGTGTACAGCTCCATGGAGGTTGGGGATACATGTGGGAGTACCCAATTGCAAAGTAAGTATAGTTTTCTGATACACTCTTCTTTATGATGTGAAGAAAAAGGAAAATTTCTTTACTTTGTACATCAAATGTAGAGGGAAAGGAGGTGTGCAATCTTTTGAATTTTTCAGCTGAATACAGACAAAATGTATTCAAGCAAATGGAAACAGCTTTTTTTTTATCAACTCCCTACTAGGATTTTATTTTTCTTAAATAAAGTAAAGAGACCAATAAACAAAAGCTTGATCCTTGGCTTTATTTGAATCCTTATGTAGAAGGACAAATAGTATTTTCAAAAATTTTTTAATTTTTTTATTTTTTATTTTATTTTGAGACAGTCTCGCTCTGTCACCCAGGTTGGAGTACAGTGGCATGATCTGGGTTCACTGCAACCTCCACCTTCCAGGTTCAAATAATTCTTGTGCCTCAGTCTCCAGAGTAGCTGGAATTAACAGGTGCGTGCCATGACACCTGGCTAATTTTTTTGTATTTTTAGTAGAGGTGTGGTTTTGCCATGTTGGCCAGGCTGGTCTCAAACCCCTGGCCTCAAGTGATCTGCCTGCCTTGGCATCCCAAAGTACTGGGATTACAGGCGTGAGCCACTGCATCCGGCCAAATACTACTTTTTTTTTAAAACCAAAAAAAAAAAAAAGCAATACAGAAAAATTAACTGGCATATGAAAAGGATCTAAGTTGTCACATATCTTAAATATCTGATTATTTGTTTTGTTCTAAAAAAATTAAAAATCTTCTTTCTAAATAGATTTATTTCCTTCAAATTGAAAGAAATCAAATATATCTTTTTATCATATATGAATATTCTTATCAGTTTGAAGCAGTACTAATTTGTAAATAGGCAGTGTCCCCATTCATATTTCTTCCTCAATCTCCAGAATTTCCTTTTCTCCTAACAGTCTTTTGCCTCAGAAGTCTCCCCATAGCTTTTTTTCCTCATCACCCTAGAAAATATATTTTTCTGATTATTTAGCAATGATTTTGGTTTAGAAAATTTTCCCAAGGAAATTTTTTATTTATACAGAAAAGTTCAGTTTGTTCTGAATCTGAGAGTAAGAATGCTATAGGCTTCTAAAAATGTTTTAAGATTATCTTAATATAAAGTATCTAAAGGGAAAAATTATGAAACCTACATTCAAACTGGCAGCCTAATGATTTCAAATTTATCTTTTTGGTAAGTATAATTGGAAACATTTAATATGCTTATAGTCCTTAGAAAAAATATTTTACTAAAATTACATTAAGAACAGAAGCTATGTAGTGGCTCAATGTTTGTGTGGTTTAGTTCACATTTAAGAAAGGCCTATTAGGTGGGGAGAAGGCAATCATCTAAATGGCTTAAGATTAGAGCGTGGCATAAGCCTTGGTCTCTGTTTTCTCGGAGTCAACTCCTTCAAGTTGGTACCAAGCAAACAATGTAGATTGATGGCTTATTTGAAATCTCTGGTTTCAGTTTGAGAGACTTATATTCTCTTTAAGAAACAATAATCACCTTTCTTGGCCAGTTTGTTAGTTCAAAGATTGTATCAATTTTTAAACTAGACTGCTATTTCTCTTCCCATATATCGCCTAATATCAAAAAAGCCACTGAGGCCACGTGCGGTGGCTCACTCCTGTAATCCCAGCACTTTGGGATGCCAAAGCGGGTGGATCACCTGAGGTCAAGAGTTCAAGACCAGCCTGGGCAAAATGGCGAAACACCATTTCTACTAAAAATACAAAAAAATTAGCTAGGCGTGGTTGCAGGTGCCTGTAGTCCCAGCTACTCCAGAGGCATGAGAATCGCTCTAACCCGAGAGGCGGAGGTTGCAGTGAGTCGAGATTGCGCCACTGCACTCCAGCCTGGGCGACAGAGTGAGACTGTCTCAAAAAAAAAAAAACAAACAACAACAACAACAACAAAAAAGCCACATAGACACATTGGCAATATGTGGATGTAATGTATAGATTTTGATTTGATAAAAAAAGAAAAATCTTCTAATTGTGTTTCTTATATCCCCCAGACTAAACTACATTAGTTTATATATATGTTGCTGAGGGTTGGTTTCATAGATAAGAGGTGTTTTCTCTGCTTTTTTATTTTGTTTTTTTGTTTTTGTCTTCTTTAATAACTGGTCTTCAGCATGTGGGTTTATTTAATAAGTCTTACTCATTAGGCTCGAGCCCGTGAGGAGTGAGATTTAAGCCTTGTCATTTTAAGATTTCTCTGCCATGCTGGGAAGAGCTGCCTTAGATGTAGAACTTCACTGCAGTGTGGTTAAACATTTCTGCTGCCGCCTTTCACTGTTAATTTTAGTTGATGACTAAATTTAATTAGTAACATATAAAAGGTCTACTAATCTCTGCTTTACTCCATTGGAACTTCTTTAATGTAAAAAGAAGCCTAGCCCATTTACAAATATATATATATATATCTAAACGCATTGGGACTGCTGAAGTAGGCTTACAGTAGGTAAGTGCTCAAAATGCAGGTGCTAGATTTTGTAGAGAATAGCAAAATCCGTTCAGAAAAAAATGTTTGAAAACATAAATATCTCAAGCTTTTAAAGCTTTCAGCAGAAAGTTCTGAGATTGTAAATTTCCTTTGTAACACCGTAAATCATATCAGTAAATATTTACTGAGTGTCCATTTCTTTGTAAGGAACCCTGATGAATATGGAGAAGAATAAGTCCAAAAGTGGTATGTTCCTAGAGAGCTGGCACATTTAATTTGTCTTAAAAATCAAATTTAAACAAAACAAAACACCAAGATTATACTTGAGAAAAAAAAAAGAAAAGCCTTTGAGTGTGTCTACCAGGAAAGTCCAAAGTTCAATAACTAGCTCTAAGTGCTTTGGCCAATGAAAGTGTTGCAATATACAAAAAAGATATTTGAAAAAGAGGCAGAATACCTACATCCTCATTCCAGTCTGCCAATGATGTGTTGTTGGTGACCATTAAATAGCAACCATTAATTAGGAAATATATTAACTTCTCTCTACTTTAGTTCCTTTACCAGGGAAACAGTATTAACATTTATCCCTCCCCAATCCCAGAGCTGAGAGGATAAAATGAGATGAGAAAAGATAAAAACAACTGTACAGTGGTACGGTTGTTATCATGACTATCAAAAGTGAACTTATGATATTTGGGTTTTTTTTTTCTTTGGTGTGGGTATAGCAATGGACTCAGCCACTTAGTATTTTAACTCCACACATTGCTGAAGTGACTATTAACCATTTCCAAAAAACAAGTTACTTGTTAACTTTCTGGGAAATAATATTTGCTAAAGCATTAGTTTATATTCCTGATAGTGATAGTGGTTGTGGGAATGCTAGAAAATATGTATCTTTTTTCTTTTGTTTTCTATAAAACCAGTGGATTTCAACTTTTTAGGAAACATTAAAGATAAAAAGAAACTAAGACATCCTGTGCATTTCCTAATCTAAAACAGACTTTTTAAGAGTGTTATCATATGTGCTGAATTTTACAAAATTAAATCAGATGAAACATACTCATTATTTTTATTTTGAATTTGTAATCTCTTTAATCAAATTAATACAAAGCTATACAGATTATTAACATCTTAATAGTTTTTTTTACTATTATTCCAATTTAGGATGAATGCCATATTGAAAAAATAAGTAATTTATGAAGGACTTTTATTGTTTGTACTTCACTAATTGAATAGTTTATGAGTTACCTGGTAAGACAAAATTTACAGTTTCTAATATATTTTATTTATTCATTCAATCATCTGATTTATCCAGAGCTTATGTGGATGCCAGAGTTCAGCCAATCTATGGTGGTACAAATGAAATAATGAAGGAGCTGATTGCAAGAGAGATTGTCTTTGACAAGTAGACATCTGCCCACATCCTGGAGTCCTATTACAGCTAATCTCGTTTTAAATCTGCTCAAGATAAAATGTAACTTGGAAAGCGAGGAAACACTAAACATGTTTTTACCTGCTCTCTCTATAGAGAAGGAAATAAAATATAAATATAAGATTAACACAGTGGAAGGACAAATCTTTGAAGCCAAAATTCTAGTTTTCCAATATAAGGTTTAACTTACAGTTTTTTATGTAGCCAAAGGTAAACGGTTTTCTGAATCTTGCCTAGGTGTTTCATTTATCTCTAAAATTCTAAAAAGCATAAATCATTCAAATCTTCAAACCAAGGCAGAAATAATTTTATGTCGCTATAGTATAAAAACATTAATAAGATAGCACATTGACTTTTAAAGGGAAAAGTAAATATAACTTAGCATGTAAACTCATTTCGGCTACCATTTGCTCCAAATTCCCTAGAACAGTGGTTTTTACCACTGTACTCCAACCCCGTTTTTAAGCAATGGAACTCTTTCTTCAAACAAAAGCTTATGCAGAACATCTCTGTGAAACGCTGCTGAGTGAGAACTGCTTTCATTGAAGCTGGAAGCCATCATACCTTACTGCCTTGAAACCCCTAGGACTCAGCTAAGTATTTGCCTAACCCTGACCAGGGAATGCCTTGGTTCTGTCAATTGCTGACATCTGAGAACACAGAATAATCCATCATTTTTAATTTCAAGATATTGGTACATTTTATAGGTATCAAAGCAATGGCTTTTCTTTTGCAACAGTTAATGTATTTATTAACTTAATAATTACTTTATGTCTTCTATAAACCAGGCTGTTAATACAATGATGACAAACAAAACTGGCAAGATCACTAAAAAATAAGTGAATAAACAAATAAGTAGTAAAATAAGGTAAGAAGTAAATATGTAAAAGAGATAATTTCAAGCATAAGTGCAATGTAAATAATAAAGTAAGCATTTAAAATTCAAAAGTGAGGAAATGACATTTGATTTAAGACTTAAAAGTAATTACAAAAAATAAACCATTAATTTAAAGTAGCTTTAACATGGAAACAGATGTATTCTTACTCAACTTAGAACACAAACATTT
Organism: Homo sapiens; assembly: GCF_000001405.40. Taxonomy (NCBI): domain Eukaryota; kingdom Metazoa; phylum Chordata; class Mammalia; order Primates; family Hominidae; genus Homo; species Homo sapiens. The sequence goes on along the minus strand of NC_000002.12, from coordinate 210,187,870 downwards.
TATTTGGTATTGTTGATATTAAACATTGTTTTTTAATACAACCATTACAACTGGAGAGAGGAGAGGGAAGAAAAAATATTTTGATACCAGTCTTTTTAAAATTTTTTTTATTGTACTTTATTTTTTAAGATGGAGTCTCGCTCTGTCATTCAAGGAGTGCAATGGCGTGATCTCTGCTCACAGCAACCTCCGCCTCCCAGGTTCAAGCAATTCTCCTGTCTCAGCCTCCTGAGTAGCTGGGATTACAGGCACGCACCACCACACCTGGCTAATTTTTGTATTTTTAGTAGAGATGGGGTTTCGCCACGTTGGTCAGGCTGGTCTCGAACTCTTGGCCTCGTGTTCTGCCCACCTCGGCCTCCCAAAGTGCTGTGATTACAGGTGTGAGCCACTGCACCCGGCCTTTTTATTATACTTTAAGCTCTGGGATATATGTGCAGAACATGCAGGTTTGTTACATAGGTATACACATGCCATGGTGGTTTGCTGCACCCATCAACCCGTCATCTACATTGGGTATTTTCTCCTAATGCTATCCCTCCCCTACCCCCCTACCCTCCACAGGCCCTGGTGTGTGATGTTCCCTTCCCCGTATCCATGTGTTCTCATTTTTCAACTCTCACTTATGAATGAGAACATGCAGTGTTTGGTTTTCTGTTCCTGTGTTAGTTTGCTGAGAATGATGGTTTCCAGCTTCATCCATATCCCCACAAAGAACATGAACGCATCCTTTTTATGGCTGCATAGTATTCCATGGTGTATATGTGCCACATTTTCTTTATCCAGTCTATCATTAATGGGCATTTGTGTTGGTTCCAAGTCTTTGCTATTGTGAACAGTGCTGCAATAAACATACGTGTGCATGTGTCTTTATAGTAGAGTGATTTATAATCCTTTGGGTATATACCCAGTAATGAGATTGCTGGGTCAAATGGTATTTCTGGTTCTAGATCCTTGAGGAATCGCCACAATGGTTGAACTAATTTACACCCCCACCAACAGTGTAAAAGCGTTCCTATTTCTCAACATCTTCTCCAGCATCTGTTGTTTTCTGACGTTTTAATGATTGGTATTCTAACTGGCGTGAGATGGTATCTTATTGTGGTTTAGATTTGCATTTCTCTAATGACCAGTGATGATGAGCTTTTTTTCATATGTTTGTTGGCCACATAAATGTCTTCTTTTGAGAAGTGTCTGTTCATCTCCCTCACCCACTTTTTGTTGGAGTTGTTTTTTATCTTCTAAATTTGTTTAAATTCCTTGTATACTCTGGATATTAGCCCTTCATCAGATGGATAGATTGCAAAAATATTCTCCCATTCTGTTGGTTGCCTGTTCACGCTGATGATAGTTTCTTTTGATGTGCAGAAGCTCTTTAGCTTAATTAGATCCCATTTGTCAATTTTGGCTTTGTTGCAGTTGCTTTTGGTGTTTTAGTCATGAAGTCTTGGCCCATGCCTATGTCCTGAATGGTATTGCCTAGGTTTTCTTCTAGGGTTTTTATGGTTTTTAGATCTTACATTTACATCTTTAATCCATCTTGAGTTAATTTTTGTATAAGTCATAAGGAAGGGGTGCAGTTTCAATTTTCTGCATATGGCTAGCCAGTTTTCCCAACACTATTAAATAGGGAATCATTTCCCCATTGCTTGTTTTTGTCAGGTTTGTCAAAGATCATATGGTAGTAGATGTGTGGGGTAATTTCTGAGGCCTCTGTTCTGTTCCATTGGTCTATATATCTGTTTTGGTACCAGTATCATGCTGTTTTGGTTACTGTAGCCTTGTAGTATAGTTTGAAGTCAGGTAGCATGATGCCTCTAGCTTTGCTCTTTTAGCTTAAGATTTAATTGGCTATATTGTCTCTTTTGTGGTTCCATATGAAATTTAAAGTAGTTTTTTCTAATTCTGTGAAGAAAGTCAATGGTAGCTTAATGGGGATAGCACTGAATCTATAAATTACTTTGGGCATTATGGCCATTTTCACGATATTGATTCTTCCTATCCATGAGCATGGAATGTTTTTCCATTTGTTTGTGTCCTCTCTGATTTCCTTGAGCAGCGGTTTGTAGTTTTCCTTGAAGAGGTCCTTCACATCCCTTGTGAGTTGGACTCCTAGGTATTTTATTCTCTTTGTAGCAATTGTGAACGGGAGTTTATTCATGATTTGGCTGTTTGTCTACTATTGGTGTATAAGAATGCTTGTAGTTTTTGCACATTGATTTTGTATCCTCAGACTTTGTTGAAGTTACTTATCAGCTTAAGGAGATTTTTTTGGCTGAGATGATGGGGTTTTCTAAATATACAACCATGCCATCTGCAGAGAAAATCTGACTTCCTCTCTTCTTATTTGAATACCTTTATTTCTTTCTCTTGCCTGACTGCCCAGGCCAGAACTTCCAATACTATGTGGAATAGGAGTGGTGAGACAGGGCATCCTTATCTTGTGCCAGTTTTCAAAGGGAGTGCTTCCAGTTTTTGCCCATTCAGTATGATATTGGCTGTGGGTTTGTCATAAATAGCTCTTATTATTTTGAGATACATTCCATCAATACCTAGTTTATTGAGAGTTTTTACCATGAAGGGGTGCTGATTTTTATCGGAGGCCTTTTCTGCATCTATTGAGATAATCATGTGGTTTTTGTCATTGGTTCTGTTTATGTGATGGATTAAGTGTATTCATTTGTGTATGTTGAACCAGCCTTGCATTCCAGGGATGAAGCCAACTTGATCGTGGTGGATAAGCTTTTCGAGGTGCTGCTGGATATGCTTTGCCAGTATTTTATTGAGGATTTTTGCATCGATTTTCATCAGGGATATTGGCCTGAATGTTTTTGTGTGTGTGTGTGTGTGTGTGTGTGTGTGTGTGTGTGTGTGTGTGTGTCTGCCAGGTTTTGGTATCAGGATGATGCTGGCCTCATGAAATGAGTTAGGGAGGATTCCCTCTTTTTTTATTGTTTGGAATAGTTTCAGAAGGAATGGTACCAGCTCCTCTTTGTACCTGCAACAGAAGATGGCTATGAATCTGTGTGGTCCTGGGCTTTTTTTGCTTGGTAGGCTATTAATTCCTGCCTCAATTTCAGAGCCTGTTATTGGTCTGTTCAGGGATTGGACCTCTTCCTTGTTTAGTCTTGGGAGGGTGTATTTGTCCAGGAATTTATCCATTTCTTCTAGATTTTCTAGTTTATTTGCATAGAGATGTTTACAGTATTCTCTGGTGGTAGTTTGTATTTTTGTGGGATCAGTGGTGATATCCACTTTATCAGTTTTTTATCATGTCTATTTGATTCTTCTCTCATTTCTTCTTTATTAGACTGGCTATCAGTCTATCTATTTTGTTAATCTTTTCAAAAAAACAGCCTCTGGATTCATTGATTTTTTGAAGGCTTTTTCATGTTTCTAACTCCTTCAGTTCTGCTCTGATCTTAGATATTTCTTGTCTTCTGCTAGCTTTTGAATTTGTTTGCTCTTGCTGTTCTAGTTATTTTAATTGTGATGTTAGGGTGCTGATTTTAGATCTTTCCTGCTTTCTCCTGTGGGCATTTAGTGCTATTAATTTCCCTCTAAATACTGCTTTAGCTGAGTCCCAGAGATTCTGGTACATTGTCTCTTTGCTCTCATTCATTTCAAAGAACATCTTGATTTCTGCCTTAATTTCATTATTTAGCCAGTAGTCATTCAGGAGCAGGTGGTGTTCAGTTTCCATGTAGTTGTGCGGTTTTGAGTGAGTTTCTTAATCCTGAGTTCTAATTTGATTGTACTGTGGTCTGAGAGACTGTTTGTTGTGGTTTCTGTTCTTTTGCATTTGCTGAGGAGTGCTTTACTTCCAATTATGTGGTCAATTTTAGAATAAGTGCAATGTGGTGCTGAGAAGAATGTATATTCTGTTGATTTGGGGTGGAGAGTTCTGTAGATGTCTATTAGGCTCACTTGGTCCAGAGCTGAGTTCAAATCCTGAATATCTTCTTAATTTTCTGTCTCATTGATCTAATATTCACAGTGGGGTGTTAAAGTCTCCCACTATTATTGTGTGGGAGTCTAATTCTCTTTGTAGGCCTCTAAGAACTTTCTTTATGAATCTGGGTGCTCCTGTATTGGGTGCATATATATTTAGGATAGTTAGTGTTTCTTGTTGCATTGATCCCTGTAATGCCCTTCTTTGTCTTTTTTGATCTTTGTTGGTTTAAAGTCTGTTTTTAGAGAGACTAGGATTGAAACCCCTGCTTTTTTTTGGATCTCCATTTGCTTGGTAGATATTCTTCCATCCCTTTATTTTGAGCCTATGTGTGTTTTGCACAAGAGATAGGTCTCCTGAATATAGCACACCAATGGGTCTTGACTCTTTATCCAATTTGCCAGTCTGTGTCTTTTAATTGGGGCATTTAGCCCATTTACATTTAAGGTTAATATTGTTATGTCTGAATTTGATCCTGTCATTATGAGGCTAGCTGGTTATTTTACCCGTTAGTTGATGCATTTTCTTCATAGTATCAGTGGCCTTTACAATTTAGTACGTCTTTGCAGTGGCTGGTACTGGTTGTTCCTTTCCATATTTAGTGCTTCCTTCAGGAGCTCTTGTAATGCAGGCCTGGTGATGACAAAATCTCTCAGCATTTGCTTGTCTGTAAAGGATTTTATTTCTCCTTTGCTTATGAAGCTTAGTTTGACTGGATATGAAATTCTGGGTTGAAAATTCTTTTCTTTAAGAATGTTGAATATTGGCCCCCATTCTCTTCTGGCTTGTAGGGTTTCTGCAGGGAGATCTGCTGTTAATCTGATAGGCTTCCCTTTGTGGGTAAACCGACCTTTCTCTCTGGCTGCCCTTAACATTTTTTCCTTCATTTCAACCTTGGTGATTCTGATGATTATGTGTCTTGGGGTTGCTCTTCTTGAGGAGTATCTTTGTGGTGTTCTCTGTATTTTCTGAATTTGAATGTTGACCTATCTTGCTAGGTTGGGGAAGTTCTCCTGGATAATACCCTGAAGAGTATTTTCCAACTTGGTTCCATTCTCCCCATCACTTTCAGGTACACCAATCAAATGTAGATTTGGTCCTTTCACATAGTCCCATATCTCTTGGAGGCTTTATTCATTCCTTTTCATTACTTTTTCTCTAATCTTGTCTTCATGCTTTATTTCATTAAGTTGATCTTTAATCTCTGATATCCTTTCTTCTGCTTGATTGATTCGGCTATTGATACTTGTGTATGCTTCACTAAGTTCTGGTGCTGTATTTTTCAGCTCCATCAGGCTATTTATGTTCTTCTCTAAACTGGTTATTCTAGTTAGCAATGCTTCTAACCTTTTTTTCAAGATTCTTAGCTTCCTTGCATTGGGTTAGAACATGCTCCTTTAGCTTGGAGAAATTTGTTATTACCCACCTTCTGAAGTCTAGTTCTGTCAATTCCTCAAACCCATTCTCTGTCCAGTTTTGTTCCCTTGCTGGCAAGGAGTTGTGATCCTTTGGAGGAGAATTGACGTTCTGGTGTTTGGAATTTTCAGCCTTTTTGTGCTGGTTTTTCCTTATCTTCATGGATTTATCTACCTTTGGTCTTTGATGTTGTTGAACTTTGATTGGGGTTTCTGTGTGGACGTCCTTTTTGTTGATGTTGATGCTATTCCTTTCTGTTTGTTAGTTTTCCTTCTAACAGACCCCTCTGCTGCAGGTCTCCTGGAGTTTGCTGGAGGTCCACTCCAGACCCTGTTTGCCTGGGTATCACCATCGAAGGCTGCAGCATAGCAAAGATTGCTGCCTGTTCCTTCCTGTGGAAGCTTTGTCCCAGAGGGGCACCTGCCAGATGCTAGCCAGAGCTCTCCTGTATGAGGTGTTTGTCGACCCCTGCTGGGGGGTGTCTCCCAGTCAGGAGGCAGCGGGGTCAGGTACCCACTTGAGGAGGCGGTCTGTCCCTTAGCAGAGCTTGAGCACTGTGCTGGGAGATTCACTGCTCTCTTCACAGCCAGCAGGCAGGAATGTTTAAGTCTTGACGCTGCGCTCCCAGCCACCCCTTATTCCAGGTGCTCTGTCCCAGCGAGATGGGAGTTTTATCTATAAACACGACTGGGGCTGCTGCCTTTCTTTCAGAGATGGCCTGCCCAGAGAGGAGGAATCTAGAGAGGCAGTCTGGCTACAGCAGCTTTGCAGAGCTGCGGTTGGCTCTGCCTAGTTCAAACTTCCAGGTGGCTTTGTTTACACTGTGAGGGGGAAACCGCCTACTCAAGCCTCAGTAATGGCGAATGCCCCTCCCCCGACCAAGCTCGAGCATCCAGGTTGACTTCAGACTGCTGTGCTGGGAGTGAGAATTTCAAGCCAGTGGATCTTAGCTTGCTGGGCTCTGTGGGGGTGGGATCTGCTGAGCTAGACCACTTGGCTTCCTGGCTTCAGCCTCTTTTCCAGGGGAGTGAACGGTTCTGTCCTGCTGGTGTTTCAGGCACCACTGGGGTGTGAAAAAAAAAAAAACTGCAGATAGCTCAGTGTCTGCCCAAATGGCTGCCCAGTTTTGTGCTTGAAACCCAGGGCCCTGGTGGTGTAGGCATCCGAGGGAATCTCCTGGTCTGCAGGTTGCAAAGACCATGGGGAAAATGTAGTATCTGGGCCAGAATGTACAGTTCCTCACAGTACAGTCCCTCCTGGCTTCCCTTGGCTAGGGGAGGGAGTTCCCTGACCCCTTGCACTTCCTGGGTGAGGCAACACCCCACCCTGTTTTGGCTCACCTTCCATGGGCTGCACCCACTGTCTAACGAGTCCCAGTGAGATGAGTTGGGTACCTCAGTTGGAAATGCAGAAATCACCCTATACCTATACCATTCTTTCCTAGAACTATACAGCTTTGATTTGCTCTTAGGCAGAAGTTTGTATAGTTGCCAGCTTAGGATCTTTCTCATATGCAAAGTGGATTAATATAATTTTTTATTAGATTTTACTGTATTTGTGGCTTTCACTTTTCTCCTACTGCCAGAAAGTGACAGAGGACTAGACGGACCCCTTCCACACTGCCCCACTTCACTGCAGCCTCTTTTCCTTCCATTCCCAATCTTGAAGAAAACTAGATTTTAGGAATGAAACATCTGTAGGTTTAAAAAGTAAATTAGCACAGTAGGAAAAGTCTGTTGTGTAGAGATGGACAGAGTTAGGTTTGAATGACTGCCATTTAGGAGCCGCTCAACCTTGGGTATGTTGTTTACCTTCCCAAGATTTTGTCAGGTGCAAATGACAAAAGAAACCCAACTGAAACCACCCTAGGCAAGAACTTAAGTTTAGTTGCTTAAAAGTATTGCAGAGCAGCTCATATAAAGACCTGTAGGAACTGGAGTTTCAAGGGCCTGATTCTGGAGCTTAGAACTGCCAGCATTTATGCTATATCCATTTATTACTACTTTTCTTTGCAAATTGGCCTAATGAACCCTGTAGAAGACCTTCATTATGAGCCCTGTAAAAATCACCTTGTGCTGCTTCAGGCCTGCATCTGTCATTATAAGGTAGGGAAGAAATGGACTATGATTGACAGTTCCATCAGGAATATGTGGACTGGGAGAAGCAGTCTCTGAAGCAGTGTGGTATTATCAAAAGAAAGGGAACAAAAAAGGCTGCTGGGCAGACCTAAATCTCTCTCCTTCTATTCCTCTTTCTCACACACACACGTGCACACATACATAGTGATTACAGTCCTCTAGAGCTAGGAATAGTTTCTAGTAATTTATGTATAGCAGAAAGTGAAAAGATTTCTAAGGTAGGATGTTTTCTTACAATGATCTCTGGGATATTTTCTATTCTAAGCCAGTGGCTTTATCTTAACAACTACAGTCTTGTTTTACACCCCCAAAAGAAGCATGTTTTGTATCATGGGCTTAAAGCTGAAACAAACAAAAAAAGGGAATTCACAATGTGCTTCTTAATCTTTCATTTGGTTTTCATTTCTTAAACAGCTTATCTTTATGTTTTGCTTGTGTGGCTTTGATTGTTGTCTCCTAGGGAGGGAACTTATCTGTATCTCATGCAGTGCTGAGTGCTCAAGAAATGATAAATAATAATAATGCTTAAAAGAACAGGCTGGACCAACACAGCAAGAAAGAAACATTGTGTAAATATAAATGAGAGTTTAAAAGCCTGAGTAATTTTGTTTTTTGGCTAAGAGTTTTAGGATCATGATTGCTTTAAAATTACTCTTGCCCTTTGTTTCTTTGATGGTGTCATTGAAAACTGTTTTGATTTGCTATTTTAAAATCTAACTCTTCAAATTTTTACTAATCTAGTAATTCTAGTAGCTTATTACTCAAAGTATAAGATTTCTAGCAGAATTTTTCTCATGTCAGTATTATTTTTGGCACACACAGCATTTATTTATTTGGAGTCATTGGAAAGATTTGACACTGAGATTGAAACCAACTGTAGGTCTATGTCTGCTGCTTTACAATAAATGAGGAAAAGAAATTCTACTATAATTTTTAAAATGTCATTTTTAAGAAAAAACTTATGGAAAACTTCAAACTTACTAAAAAATAGAGTACAATATAATGAACCTCCAGCTTCAACATTTGCCAATCTCCTCCACTTTTTTCCTCACATATTATAGGGCAAATCCCAGATTTAATGCTACTTCACAAACACAAATGTATTTCAGAATATGTATCTAACTGGTGAAGATATTTTTACATGGCCACAAGGTTATTATCATACTTTAAAAAACCTAAATTTAATATATAAGTCCAAGTTCACATTACATTTTCCTTGACTGCATCAAAAATGCCTTTTATAGTTAGTTTATTCAAATAAGGATCTGAACAAGGTCCACAAATTGTATTTGGTCTCTCTCTCTCTGTCTCTCTCCTTTTTTAAATAGCAGTCCTCCCTTTTCTCTTTTTCCTTTCTCTTTATAAATTTCATTTTAAAAGTTAACATATAGCATATTTTCCCTTTTTTGGTATTCATACGTAACAGTAAAATTGCCTTTTTTGGTTCTGAGAGTTTTAGCATTTATAGATTGATGTGATCACCACCACAGTTAGGATATACAGAACAGTCTTATCACCCCCAAAAAACTCCCTCAACAGTCTTTTCACCTCAAAAAATTCTGCCCTTTATAGTCACACCCTCTCCACACCTATTACTATAGTATGTTATCTTTCGAGAATAATTTCTTTCTCTTAGCAAAATATATTTATGATCCATCCATGTTGCATGAGTCAATAGCTTCTTCCTTTTTTGGTGCTAACTGTAGGCATGTACCACAGTTTATTCATTCACCTGTTTACAGACACGTTGGTTAAGATTAAATCTTAATATCTTGTTAAGGTTAAATATCCTGGAGAGGACTTGTTGTGTCACATGGTAAGTGTGTGTTTAAACTTATAAGAAACTGCCAAACTGTTTTTCCAAAGTGCCTGTACCACTTTGCTGACCAACCAGCAATGTAAGAGTTCCAGTTACTTTGAATCTTCTCCAGCACTTTGTTTTTTTAATTTTTGCCATTCTAATAGGTATGTAGTAGCATGTCACCATGGTTTTAATTTGAATTTCCTTTATGTCTAATCATGCAGAACAATATATCATGTGCTTACTTGCCTTTCACATATTACCTTTCTTTTGCCCATTTTTTAATTGTGTTGTTTGTTTTCTTTATGGTGAGTTTTGAAAATTCTTTATATATTCTGGATACTGTCAAGTACAAGGCAAAGCTAGGCTAACAGATTCAGCTGCAAAAAAACAAGACCTTTTTAGACTCAGTTTATTGCTTACATAGAGAGTAAAAAGAAGAGTAGCTAAAGGATCCAGCTCTTCGTTACCTTTGTATAGGGAGACAGTGAAACAAAAGAAGCCACATGACCACAACAAGAATGATAGGATTCCCTGTTGCTGAGGAGCCCATTTCCATGATACTGCTAAGCAGTTTTTTTTAATAGCTGCATTTGTGCCTTAAGGGTAGCAAGACAGGAAGCCTTGTACCTCATCAGAAACCATGAGATAATGACAAAGGGTCTTTGGCAGCCTCCTTGGTATACAGGGAAGCCAGTAAGCAATGGCATGTAGCACTACCTCACAAGCCCCCATGCTTTCCTATTCCAGGAGGATCACAAAGCATTCTGCCAAGATTCAGCTGCCATTCAAGCCTTGCTTATGTGGCCTATGCAAGGTTGTCAGCCGCTGCAGAGCTGTTCCGCTATAGATACAAGTCCATTGTTAGATATGTGGTTTGCAAATATTTTCTCACTGTAGCTAGTTCATTCTTTTAACAGTTGATTTCTCAGAACAAAAGTTTTTTAATTTTGACGAATTTCAGTTTACCACTTTTTTATTTTGTGGGTCATGCATTTGGTGTCATGTCTAAGAACTCTTTACCCAAACCCAAATCATAAGGTTTTCTATGTTTTCTTCTAAGAAGGTTATATTTTATATTGTTCATTTAGATCTATATTCCCTTTAGTAATTTTTTTATAAAGCATGAAGTTTCATGTTAAGGCTTACTTTTTTTGCATCTAAATATCTAACTGTTCCAACACTACTTATTGAAAAGAGTATCTTTTCAGACTGGATAAAGAAAATGTGGTACATATACACCATGGAATACTATGCAGCCATATAAAAGATGAGATGTCCATTGCATGTCCATTGGAGGGACATGGATGGAGCTGGAGGCCATTATCCTTAGCTAACTCAGGAACAGAAAACCAAATACCGCATGTTCTCACTTATAAGTGGGAGCTAAATGATGAGAAAACATGAATACATAGAGGGGAACAACACACACTGGGGCCTTTTGGAGGATGGAGGGTGGGAGGAGGGAGAGGATCAGGAAAAACAACTAATGGATACTAGGCTTAATACCTGGCTGATGAAACAATCTGGACACAAACCCCCATGACACAAGTTTACCTATGTAACATACCTGCATTTGTACCCCTGAACTTAAAATGTTTAAAAAGAAGAAGAAATAAAACTTTTTCAGGGCAAATTTGTAAAAATAGCAAAAGAAATAAAGGGCATCCACATTGGAAAGGAAGAAGTCCACCAAAAAAACTACTAAAACTGATAAATTCAGTAAGTTGCAGGATACAAAATCAACATACAAAAATCAGTAGCATTTCTATATGCCAACAGCATACAATCTAGAGAAGAAATCAAGAAAGTAAAACCATTTACAATAGCTACAAGTAAAATAAAAGATTAACTTATCCACCTGATGAAGTTGTAGAATTGTTGAGAGGGACTCAGGAAAGTCACCTTAAAGGCTCTGTTTGCTTTCCCGCTCTTCTTTCTTCCTGCTGCCTGGGAAATGGATAGTTATGATTGGGGTTCCACCAGCCATCTGGGACCATGAGATTGCTTTGAAAATGGAAGCCAGGGCTGAGAATGGAGAAGATAAAATAATAGAAAGGAGCCTGGGTCTCTGGTGACTTTGTGGAGCTGTTATAACAGTTCTGGAATAATTAATCTGTAGACTAATTTTACTGCATTTTATTGATTCTTAAGATGCACTATTTATGTATCATTAAAAAAACACTGCCAATCAAACTCATACAATACTTTCTTATTGCATGAACTGTGAAGTTATTCTGATCTCTGAAATGTTAAAGTGTGGAAAAAAGGTGTCTTAGAATCAATAAAATATGTTAAAGGATTAACCCTTCTGTTTTAAAGCTATCATTATTTTGAGTTTTCTCATACATTATACACAACCTATTTTCCTAGTTTTTAATTTTAGACTGAGAACTTCTTGAGGTTTCTTAGTCCACTTTCATTAGGGAGTTCCCATTTTAAGTATATTTTGATGAGTTTTGACAAATGCATGCACCCATTTGACTTCCACCATGGTCAAGATATAGAACTTTTTTGTCACCCTTTAATCCCATCCCAGTCAATTCTCCCCACCCCAACCCTAAGAAACCACTGATCTGTTTTCTGTCATTATTGGTTAGATTTGTCTTTCTCTAGAGCTTTATATAAATGGAATCATCCAATATTTATGATTCTGTGTCTGGCTTCTTTCACTCAGCATACTGTTTGAGACTCATCCTTGTTGTTTTATATATCAGTAGTTTCTTCTTTTTATTTCTGAGTGGTATTCTATTATACCACTATAATAGAATACAAAGAAAAATGTACCATAATTTCTTTACCCTTTCATTTTTTTTTTTTTTTTTGAGATGGAGTTTTGCTCTTGCTGCCCAGGCTGGAGTGCAATGGCATGATCTCCACTCACTGCAACCTCTGCCCCCTGGGTTCAAGTGATTATCGTGCCTCAGCCTCCCAAGTAGCTGGGATTACAGGCATGTGCCATCATGCCCGGGTAATTCTGTATTTTTAGTAGAGATGGGGTTTCACCATGTTGGTCAGGCTGATCTGGAAATCCTGACTTCAGGTGATCTGCCCGCCTCGGCCTCCCAAAGTGTTGGGATTACAGGCGTGAGCCACCGTGCCCAGCTCTTTATCCTTTCAAAGGTGATGGATCTTAGGGCTGTTTCCAGTTTGAGGCTGTTGTGAATAAAAGTGCCATGGATATTCATATACACAGGGAATCATTTTGTTCCCCTGTAGTCATGGGCCAGTTCTGTTCTCTGTTATACTTAGCCCTGGTTCGAAGATTCTTATAGGTCTTGCTACCTACCTCTACCTTTTGTCTGCTTGTTTATAGATACTGGTTAGTTAAAGCTAAATCTGTCCTGAGTAGGGATTATCATGTTTAGCCGTTCTGCTTCTATTTCCCTCTCTAAACCTGATCATAAAAGAAGAATTAAATATACTGGAATATAACAGTGGGGGACAGTTTCTCAGGGCATAGAAATGTGGAGAAATAAATAGGACAACCTCGAATAGAGTAGGGTAGGGTAGGGTAGGGTAGGGTGGGGTGGGGTGGGGTGGGGTGGCGTGGCATGGCGTGGCGTGGCATGGCGTGGAATGGAATGGAATAGAATAGAATAGAATAGAATAGAATAGAATAGAATAGAATAGAATAGAATAGGATAGGATAGAATAGAATAGAATAGGATAGAATAGAATAGAATAGAATAGGCTTTCTATTCTGTGAGAGGTAGTGAGGAAAGAACTCTGGCTTTGGACCCAGTCAGGTCTGTCTTCGAAATGGGCCATTTATTAGCATAAGAATCTAGGTACATTAATCTCACTGAGCTTCATATTTTTTTCACCTGGAAAATGAATATAACATTCACTTTCTGGGATGTGAAAATTAATTTATCCAGACATTAAATATGCATTGAGAATCCACATGTGTCAGGCCCTGTCCTAGGCTCTAGGGATACAGCAATGAGCGAACCAGCAAAAGTGCCTGACTTCATGGAGCTTATGGTCTAATTTAGGGCGATAGACTACAAAAGTAAAAAAATCAAAATCTATGTTACATTACATGCTGATAAGTGCAATGGAGAAAAACAAAGTAACAAAGGGGGATAGAAAAGCCCCTTCTTGGCTGTGAGTTGCTTGAAATTAAAGATTGATCTTTCTCCTTTATCTCTAGCATTTATCACAGTGTCAGCTATACTAAGTGTTGCATGAATGTTTCTTGAGTGAAAGGAATGACTGAATAAAAACCAGTGTTGAAGAGAGAAGTTTATCTCATGAAATCATTGTAATACTGCTTACCTGGACATTTTTTAAAGCTTCCAGATAGGTAATTATTATGTCAGCAAGAATGGTGCCCTTTACTTCTCCTTGTTCTTGCTGGATTTTAAAGTGTTCTATTCTTACCACTGTTATATTTTTTCTTGGAAATCAGAATGCTTTTAATGTACCTTCTAAATGATATGTCCTTGATTTTAAAAAAACATTAACTACATGCACTTTTCAGGCTGTTGCTGAGTAATATAGAAAATAATTTGACAAATGATTCAGTATATCAATTTTTGTAATAAGGAGAACTGATATTCTATAGTGTCTGGAAAACTCGCATGTATATGCTACAAATAATAAAATCATGCTTTAGAACAATATTCAGTGTCAAGGGATAGTGTGCTTAACATGTAGCTAAATGGGATAAAAAACCAGTATGCACAGTGTCATACATATAAAATACAACAGACTTTGCATATGATTGTGGTTTTCTTCTTTGTGCTTTCCTATATATTTTATATCAAACCTGTATTATTTTGTTAATCATCTCCCCACATTCCTATTAAACCGAATATAAAATAGGGAAAATGTACATGTATGATAGCTTGATAGATTGAAATATTTATTTAAGGTCTGTAACATTTAGCAGGCGGCAGGGCTGACTAGAAGATAAAAGAATTAATCTGGAGCGGCCGGGTGTTGTGGCTCACGCCTGTAATCCCAGCATTTTGGGAGGCCGAGGCGGGCAGATCACCAGGTCAGGAGATCTAGACCATCCTGGCTAACATAGTGAAACTCCGTCTCTACTAAAAATACAAAAAAAAAAAAAAAAAATTAGCCGGTCTTGGTGGCGGGCGCCTGTAGTCCCAGCTACTCGGGAGGCTGAGGCAGGAGAATGGCATGAACCCGGGAGGCGGAGCTTGCAGTGAGGCGAGATCGCACCACTGCACTCCAGCCTGGGAGACAGTGTGAGACTCCGTCTCAAAAAAAAAAAAAAAATTAATCTAGAGTATTGGAAACAGCCTACCTCCCACGGCTATGTGATGAACAAATTACATAATATATGTAGAAATGCTGTATGAATCACTATTTGTGTAGTTACAAAGCTTAATCCCTTTGTCATCCTCTATAAACTCCATGAGGACAGGGAATTTGTTTACTAATATATCTTCATTAGCCATCACAAAACATGTGTTCAATAAACATTTGGCAAATATATAAATATTTTGTTTGGTAGCAAAAAATTATTTCACAGGAGAAAACTACCATTAAATGATTTGATGTCTCTACAGTTCCTTCAGGTTAAAATCTGAATTCCTGTCATTCAAGATTTACTCAATCTAGTTGACAATGTACTTTTCTGCCCCCCAAATATTCACACAACATCTCCTCAAACCACCCAAGGACACTATCTCCTGAACTATTGATGCCTTCCTCCTCTCTCTTAAGTCTTTTAAACGTCCAACTCAAATCCAGAATCTTCCTTTGATCTATCTTAACACATGCTTATTAGATGTCTCAAACTGCTAATTAAAAAAACAAAACTTTAAAAAATACTTTATTCATTTTTGCATTTCTGTCCCCAGGGACTAGGACAGTCCTTTGAATATGGTAAATATCCAATAAATACTTACTGATTTAATTATTTTTCACAACACATCATTAGCTTACAATTTTTATTACAATGAAAGTAAATCAATTTCCTAAAATTCTTCCCTTGCCCCATATCGAGGTGCAATTATTCAGTAATTAAAAAAATATAGCTCCAATAAATGCAGCTGGTCATAAAAATTATTTCAGTAATATCACAATCTACTAGAAGAACCAGGAACGAGTAGCTAATTTTCCAATTCCAGTTATCTATGTTACGGATTACGCTTTGTTATGACTGCAATTCCTTGGATTTCTCCCCTCTTCCGCCCCCGGGATCTTATCCAATTGATAAGGTTAAAATAATGGCTATTATCCTTCTGGCTTAAAAAGCCTAGTGCTCTTCGTTCCTTAAATCATTTCATGTGTAAATTCGGTGCTTAGGAAAGACTGTGATACAACATCTAAGAAGCTACATTTAGAGTTCAGTTTTAAAAAAATCGAGTTCTTGGCTGGGGAAGTGCCCAGGTGCAGGTTTGTTTTGTGGTGAGCGGTTCGCGGGGCCAGGTGCAAGACGCTCAGAAGTGTTTTTGGGTGTCGCTGGCCAACTATCTCCACATAAACTCCGTTTGTTTATTTGACAGCGTTACTGCAGAGGGGAGTTAGGTCCAGCGCCACTCAAACCAGATTTGTAGAGACTTAAAACTGCTTTGTCTGTTTTTTTTTTTTTAATCATAAAACCACCCAGTTGGATCCAAGGCAAATTTGTCACCTACTTCAGGGCCCCTCTGAGGGTCAGAAAGAATTATGAGCGCATTTGAACGCACGGCCCAAATAAAAGCAAACGCACGGAGACTTGCGGACTTGACAATTGTGAGAAATCTCTTAAAACTCGCCTGTGGAGCGGCGGGCGAAAGCCGCGGACGCCAGCAGTAGTCGAGGCCCCGGCGCGGACGGCAGGGAATGAAGTCGCCTGACTTTTCCTCAGGGTTTTGTTTTTCTGTCACGGAGGTACAAAAATAGCAAAGCAGGGGTGGGAAGTCTCCTGGCCGTGTTTTTTTTTTTCCCCCTCGCCAGGGATGGCACTGGGAAAGAGAAGGGAGGAAGCAGGAGCTGCACGGAACCCGTCCCGAGGGAGCCGAGGTAAACCCTGCACCAGAGTTAAGGGAGTCGTGCTCCTGCCACTTCCAGAACACTCCGAGCCGCTTCTGCAGGCCCCGCCCCCTGCCGGGGTTTCCCCGCCACCCGCTTCATTTGCATGGCGCTGCCCCTCCCCCGTTGCCATTGGCTAGCGCCGGGCCCCGCCCACTGCTCCCAGACCGCGGCAGGGTTCCGTCCCCCCGAGCCGCACGGAGCTGCGGGCAGCGGGCGGACTGTTAAACCGCGGCGGCGGCGGCGGCGGCGGCGGCGGCGGCGGCGGCGGCGGCGGCCGGGGCGGGAGCGGGGCGCGCTCTGGAGACGAGTCAGCGGCGCCCCGGGTGGGGGAGGCGGGCGGGCAGCTAGAGATCACCTCAGCAGCCCCCACCACGGCCGGACCGAAGGTGCGGCGGCGGAGGGGAGCCAGGGCGCCCCAGCAGGCGAGTGGCCGGCGTCTCAGCGGCGGGATGACGGGGGTGGGTCTTCCCTCTTGGGGACGGCGGCAGCGCGGGGAGGGGAGAAGACTGCCGGGTGGACTTGCGGGTCAGGCGACCGACCGGCAGCCCCTTCGCCCCCCGAATCCTCTGGGCTGCTGGACTCTGGTCTCGGCACGGGATCGCGCTCTAGGGCGGGGGTCTGACCGCAGCCAAATTTAAACGGCTAAACCTAACAGCCTTGGCAGCTGGGGAGGGAAGGGGTCTAGGGAGGGGTGGGGGCGGACCTGGACGCCGGTCACGTGGGGGGTGGGGCTTGGCAGACCTCCCTTTTGTTTTGGCTGGCGCGTGCGCAGAAGGCAGAACACGTGGTTTCCTGGACCCGCCTCTTGCCTCATCGGCTGAGCCTCACCCATTGGGGGTGTGGTGACGGCTCTTTTGAGGCGGCTCTGAGGCGGAGCCCACTGGATTTGATGAGACCCCTATTTTATTTATTTCACACTTTCTTTCAGGAAAACGTAGATTTGGGCTTTAGAGTTAGATGGGATAGAGCAGAATCTAGGGGATTTTTGAGGGACGGTGCTTCCAAGTTTGTGTCACCGGTGTGCTGAGGAAGGGACCGGTCTTGCTGGAAAAAGTCAGATTGCGTGGTGTTTGGTAGCAAGAAATACCAGGCGGTATCCTGGCCGTTTCAGAAACCACAGGAAAGGAAAGAGGCTGGCTTTGCAGTCGGGAGGGCAGGCACTGGATGGACGTTCTTGTAATGTTTTCTTACTCTGGGAGAGTCCGTTTTTGTTTGTTTTTTTGTTTGAACTGTGGTAAGCACATTCCGTTTTTGATTCCCCAAACTTCAGGACATTCATGTTCTGGCGAGGTTTAGGAGACAAACTTCCTTCGTCTTTAGCCAGTTTGCTTAACTTCATCTGAGTTTGGGTCAGTAATAATTTTAAATATTGCTGGATGGGGCAGGTTTGTTAGCCACAAAACCTAAGTGAAGTGAGCACTGCAGACAAAACTGGCAATTTCTGACTAGGAAAAAATGACTCTAAAAATAATTCAGTATTGAGAAAGAGGCTTAACAGTGAGTGGTCTCTGCCTTTCCCGTTCTTAATAACTAGCCATTTCTTTGGGTTAGTCACCTCTCTGATGTCAAACTTGTTTCGTTTTTGTAAAGTTTCATAATATGGTCTCTGTCTTAAGAGATTGTAAGAAAGAAGAAATGCCTTGTATTAGGAAAAGTGATTCCTAATCTCTACCAATTGCCAAGTAGTGTTATTTTTATAACAAAAGTGAATTTTTTAAAAGCCCACATGTTGGGGAAATATAAACAATGAATTAATCATGAAATAGAATATATTTGAGTATCTTTAAAATCTGTTGTAACCATTATCTTTGGTTCTCCCTCAGTTTCCACCTACTTAGATCAGTGTCAGCGTCTGCAACCATTTCCTCATGGTTTTAATCTACATAGATTATTCTCTCCCGCAAACTGTCTGGAGTAATTTTTTATGTGAAACTTCTTAATCCAGGCCAATTCTCTCACATTGACTTTTAACATTTACATTTTAATTTTGTTTCATGATGCGCCTTTGCAAATAACAATCGATTATTTTGTTAAATCTTATTATTATAAAGTAATTGGAAAATAGATGAGTGCAAATAAGAAAACTATAAATATTTTGTACTTTAAATATTTCTGTCTGCATATATGTGTATTTTTCCTAAAACTGAGACCACATGGTATTTTCATTTAACTCAGACATTCGCATATCATTATTCTTTGAAAAATATTTTTAATAGCTGCTTAACATTTCGCCATGTAACTATCATATTTTAAATTTTTTCTGTTGGCACGTATGTGGGATGTTTCTGGTTTTGCTAGTGTATATTTCACTACAGACAATATCCTTTTACATAAACCTTTGAAATTTCCCCCCCTTAGATTTGTAGAAGAGGAATTACTGGGCCAAAGAGTCTGTTTTTGTTGTTTGTTTGTGTGTGTGTTTTTTAAGGCTCTTATGTCATCACCAAATTACAGAATGTTGTATTGATTTACAGTGATCTAGTGGTATGTGTGTGCCTCCCATTATGTCTTTGTTTATCACCTAGTATTAGGCTTTAAAACTAAAAACCTTGCTTTAATTTGCATTTTAAATTTTTTCACTCTAATCTGTGATGTATCTTTTATTTTTTAACTTATTGTAAAGTGCTTGAGAGAAAGAAATATATTTCATGTTTGACATGCTGCAGATCACTTAGTGGGTGCTCAATAAATACTTGCCAGTGGGCTAATATTTATCTTTTTTATCTATGGAAGATCAGGAAATTGTCTTTTGCTTTTTGTTTTACTCAGTTTACTAGTACATTGTTAGTAATATACTATTATTGTTGGATTCATAACTTTTACTACTTTTTCATTCAGGTGAGGCCTCAGTGATCTGATCACAGTTGTCTACCAGAAGGTCAATTAACTTCTCATAGCCCAACTGCTGCATTATCCAAGAACTTCATCCAATTTTGATGCCATTTATCATGATACCTTAGATTATTTCATTTCCTTTACTCATTCATCTGTCTTCTATGAAATTAACGTAAAGGTTTCACTGATCAATGTAGTTTCACTTGTAGCTTTTACTGTGTTTGACAAAAAATGATGCCTGCTATCTGAAGTTCCTTTATTATTGAGATGGTTCTTGGTAGCTCACTTCTTATTGCCTATAGGATCCTTTATGCCCTTTAATCTACCACATAAATCTTATAAATAATATGTAATCCTTGTTTTCATGATGTTTTTCATGTATTCAGATAATCTCTCCATACCCTTATTTTGTCTATATAGTATTAGATGGTAGTTGAAGGAGGCAGAGAGCTGCTTTCTTCAGGTATAGAATTATGCTTAGGGTTGTTTACTGATTGGGTTCATCAAGATACAAACAGAAAGGAATGGGGCTGCTTGCAGCAGGAGTGACATTTATTGGACAATTAGCAACTAATTTACTAATTTTAAAGCATATCTCTCATATCGCTATCCTTAAAGCTGATACTGCATTATAGTACTTTAATGGAATAATTTACATCATGATGACCCTGAATCATAAATACAATCTTACATTACTTTTAGTATGTTCCATTTAGAAAGGCAAGGAAGATATATAATTTCCAAGAGATTTCTACCTTTCTTTTTCTTTTAAATGTTGTTTTATGGGGACTTTTCACTGAATTGTACTCCTTATTCCCTAATCATGTGGGATAAACACCCAGCAAATGTTAATAAAAACGGTACTATTAAACTTGCCAGTAGATAGTCTATAATAAAAATCCAAAGACTATTCATAATGGAAATTTTAAATACTTGATGTTATTTTTAGGTTCTTAGAAACATTTCTGTATGGACGTGAAAATTCATTAATAATATTGAGACTTTGTTAATATTCTAAAAATATTTATGAACTTTTTGTTTATTTTATATAATATTGAGGCTTTGTTTCCAGTCCAAGACAATTCTCAAGTGTGTTGTTTTTATTTAAACAAATTTTTATTCAGCAGTAGGTCATTAATCAGTGTTTATTCATGTGAAGTTAAATTGAAGCTAAAGTATATAGACTGAGCAAATGTGATAGTGTACTTCTACATGTAGATTTTTGGATCCAAATCGATATACACAGAAAAAAATGACTATGAGTCATGCACTTACAAGTGAAAAGTAATAATTCTGCTTGAAGTATGATCTGTTTGATGTGTTATGTAGCCACCCAAGTGGCTTTATCTTTAATTAAATTCCTTTAGTCTTCAAAGAGAATTCCTTTTTAGGCATAGTTTTCAAAGTGGAAGAAGTTCTTGCTTATAAAACATCATTGAATATAAAGTACTGAGCTGACTGAATCCTAGTTATGCCAGTTATTGCAGTGTTTACTGCAGTAAATTGAGAATTCCTGTAAAGTGGCATGAAGAAATCTTGAAAACAACACTGTATTTTGTATTCCTACTTTCCATTAATTCCTGTATTTTTGAGGAATAAAACTGTACCAGTGTGAGCTCATTCTTTTTTTGTTTGTTTAATTGGACTTTTCCCTGCTACAATTCAGTAACTTTGAATCCTCATATATTTTTTATTTATTTATTTTTAAATTTTTGTAGAGACAGTGTCTCTCTGTCACCCAGGCTGAAATGCAGTGGCACGACTGTACTCCTCTAGTCTCCTTATAGTCTAGAGATAATGTTTAAAAACTTCTCATATTTTGCTAAAAGAATTTGTCTTTTTTCTACTCTTTCTTTCTGTAATTGGCCTAGGTTAGCTATATGAAACATTTAGGTCACAAGTGTGGAAATAATTTATTATTTGACCCTACTTCAGGGTTCTCCCCTCTCTCAAAATACTGTTGGTAGTCTTTTCACTTTATTTAAGCATCAAGTATAAATCTGCTGTCTTTCTGATAATGTTTTCCTAGTTTGTTTCTTTGCTCTGCATTTAAGAGAGCTGGGATTATCCAGATTCCAGTTAAAAGAATAAATTTAATGTTCAGGGGCAGATTTGGATAGGATATTTTCCATGGCATATATGGAATATATGTATGCATTCTAGAATATAAATCAGAATCTGGAGCAGTATTTTAGGGGATAGGAATTCAGATTTGGCCTTTAATCTTTAATGCACATTCTCAGGAGGAAGAGTGGTTCTTATATAGATTATCAGTTTCAACTCTGAGCGTTGAGATTAGATTAGCAAATTTTTTATTTTTCTTTAGAAAGTTTGTCAAAAATTTTTTGAAATATGTGACCTATGTATTAATTTGTAAAGGTCTGATTATTAACTGTCTGGACCAACTCAGTAACTATTGACTTGGTAATTATCTCACTGTGTACATGCACCTTTTGAGGATGATGGCTTTTACTGTATTTCATGATGTCCAAGGGATCAGATTGCATTTAATTAATGCTAAATTCATAAATATGTATGGTTTAGAAATCTTAAAAAATATAGATTAAACTCCTAATGGAAAGTCTGGAGACAACAGGGCAAGACCTTTTATTTGTAGTACAGTAGTCCATCTTTATTTTTGGGGTATATGTTTCAGATCCCCAGTGGTACCTGAAATCGCAGACAGTACTTAACCCTATATATACTTTATTTTTTTCTAACCATACATACATATGATCAAGTTGAATTTATGAATTAGGCATAGTAAAAGATTAGCAACAACAGTAGTAGAACAGTTATAACTATACATAAAAGTTATGTGAATGTGCTCTTCTTGCTCGCTCTCAAAATATCTTACCTTACTGTACTCACCTGTTTTTGGACTGCAGTTGACCACAGGTTACTCGAACCATGGAAGTGAAACAGCTGATAAGGGGAGACTACTGTTACACAATTTCAGAACAACTAATAGTAACTCATGCTTTCCTTAACTCACAATGAACGTTCTTTGGATTAAATTGTAGACCCAAAATTAGAATTTATGGTATAGATTTAACTTTACAGTCTACCTATTGTTTTTATCAGATTAACTTAATTTTATTTATAATAATTTCAGAGCAACTAATAGCAACTAATGCCTTAATTCACAGTGATTGTTCTTTGGATTAAATTGTAGTCTAAAAATTAGAATTTATGGTGTAGATTTAACTTTACAATCCCCCCTTGTTTTTATTAGATTAATTTTATTTATAACAAATTTAATATAACCAAAAACAAAAAAATTGATTCTTTCTAGTTTTAAAAAATGTTTATTATTTAAAAACATAAGCTTTGTCTTGTCTTACTGAAATTCTCTCTGGTGTTTTTTAATAAGACTTCTTAAAAAAACCGGAGATACACTGAGTTTGGAATTGCTTACTGGAGGATTATTTACTTGATAGACTATCTGTAACAGTTTTATAACAGACTGGTTTTTGTTTTGTTTTGCCATCCATAACATTTCTGGGCTGCTGATGTGCTAAGGAATTTTTTTTGTTTTTTGTTTTTTGGTTTTTTTTTTAGTAAAATTGGAATGTAAGTTGAAAATTCTGTTGTAAAAACGTAAAAGTATGCCAGTGCTTTGGTGGGCAGATCACGAGGTCAGGAGTTCGAGACCAGCCTGGCCAACATGGTGAAACCCCATCTCTACTAAAGATACAAAAAATTAGCTGGGCATGGTGGCATGCATCTGTAATCCCAGCTACTTGGGAGGCTGGGGCAGGAGAATCGCTTGAACCCAGGAAGCGGAAGTTGCAGTGAGCTGAGATTGTGCCATTGCACTCCAGCCTAGGTGGCGGGGCGAGACTCCATCTCAAAACAAAAAAAAACAAAAAAAAAAAAACAGAAAAAATAAAAGTAAAATTTATACCCAAGAAACATAGTTGGTTTTTGGATTATCTAGAACTGTTACCTATTGACAGAATCAAGATTATGTATCTAGTTGCTTTCTTTGAAAGAGGACTGATATATTTTCATAACTTAGTTTTGCTTCTTAAATTCTGTAAGTTTGATATTTTCATTTCTGTGTGTTGTGACAAAAAGTTTAATTCTTTTTTCCAGTTTTCTTCCTTCTAGGTTCTTCGAAGTTCTGCATCATTAGACTAAATTCTTTTAGAAAAGGGACCTCTTGTTCCTAAGTATCTTGGGTGTATATGAAAGAAATAATCATCAAAGATGATGGTGGTGCCTAGAGTAATATAATAAAGTATTTTAGTAGTTGTAAAGACATTTCTTAGATTTAGCAAGGATCCAAATACTCCTGCCCAATTATGTGTATAATTGGAAACCTAAATAATTAGAAACTGAGTATTTATAGGAAGATCCAGGTGCTTTTTAGAAAGCTATTTGAGGATTTATTTTCCATAAACTTTCCATAAAGCCTAGAATACTATAGGTGCCTAAAAATATTAAACAATAGATTTGGCCAAAAAATTGGGGGACTGAAATATAGTAGTCGATAGTTGATCCCTGGTTACAAGACTTGGCACACATACAGAGGAATAGAAAATAGCTTATCAAGATGTTTATGTATTGATTACATGTTGATATATGATACTTTATATATATGATGACATTAAATTTAATTTTTCATGTTTCTTTTAAAAATATGTCTAGTAGTAGCAAGTTTAAAATTACATATGTAGCCACTTCATATTTCTATTGGACAGTTACATTCTATACTAATGTTTCCTAATTTTTTTGCCTTGAGACTCCTTCACAATAAAATATATCTCATGAACCTTCTTCCTTGAAATTTTAAAATAATTTTACCATTTTGGATAGTATTTGTTCAAGAAATATTTATTATGAGCCTGCTATGTGCCATAAAATATTCTAGAATACGATGATGAGTGAACACATAACACCTGCCTTCATGTAGCTTTTGATCTATTTGGGGAAAATATGTGATGAAGTAATTTCTAGTAAAAATTTTTAAATGGATCATTTGTTATAAGTATACTATTGTATATAAAATTTCATGTAATATAATTTTATATATTTCTTCATTTATTAAGTGATAGTTTGGTGTTCTCTGAGCTTCCTGGATATGTGGTTTGGTGTCTGACATTAATTTGGAGAAATTCTTAGTCATTATTGTTTCAATTTTCTTTTCTTTTTCTCTTCTCCTTCTGGTATTCCCATTATGCATATGTTACACCATTTGTAATTGTCCCACAGTTCTTGGTTGGATAGTCTCTTCTTCCTCAAACCCCCTGCCATCTTTGTTCTCTTTCCTTTTTAGTTTTGGAGGTTTCTATTGCTGTATCTTCAAGCTTAGTGCTACTTTCTTCCACCACATCCAGTCTGCTACTAAGCCCATCAAAGACATTATTTTTGTTGCAGTGTTTTTGATTTCTAGCATTTCATTTTTATTCTCTTTTTAGAATTTCCATCTCTCTTCTTACATTACCTGTCATTTGTTGCATGTTGTCTGTTTTTTCCATTAGAGGCCTTAGCATATTAATCATAGTTGTTTTAAATTCCTGGTCTAGTAATTCCATCATTCTTGCCATATCTAAATCTGGTTCTGATGCTTGCTGTCTCTTCAAACTATGTTGTTTGCCCTTTAGTGTGCCTTGTCGTTTTCTCTTGAAAGCTGAACATGATGTGCTGAGTAAAAGGAACTCTAGTAAATAGGCTTTTAATAAGATGTAAGGATAGAAAAGATGTTCTGTATTCCAGTGATAAGGTCTGTCTTTCAATGAGCCTGTGCCCTGGGCTGTGAACTTCACTAGTGCTTCTCAGTTTTTCCCTGCTTAGGTAGGATAGAATGGCTAGAGGCTGCTGGAGTTGGATATTTAGTTAATATGTAACCTTTTAAAAGCAATACATTCCTTAAAAAGTAATATCGGCTTTGCTATCTTCATCTGCTTGACCTGTTTAGCATTTGACAGAACTGACCATGTTATACACTTCTAAACACGTTGGTATCTTGATTTCATACACTTCTGGATTTCCTCCTATCTCGATGATCTTTTCAGTTTTCTTTTAGCGTCCTTCCTCTTTTATAGCTCCTCTTCCTTTGCTCAAGTAAATGTGAGTAAACCCCCACGTTTTGTCCTGGGCTCCTTTCTCTTTGCTTATACCCACTCCCTAGGGTAAATACTATTTATATGCCAGTGACTCTGCAAAATAATCTCTCTAATTATGAATTCTTGCTTGAACTCCAGACTTGTTTTTATAGCTGTTTCCACTTGAATGTTTAAAAGACACTTAAAAAGTAACATATCCAAAACAGAAATTTTTATTTTTTTCTTCTTCAACTTTCTTCCTCCCCAAGTCTGCTCCCTTAGGTCAGAAAATAGCACCACTGACCACCCAGTTGCTCAAGCTAAAAACCTAGGAGTCATCCTTGATTCCTTCCTTTCCCTTAATTCCTGTTAAGTCTTTGTCAAGCATTGTTGACTCTGTCTTGAAACAAGTTCTTTAATTTTTTAATTTTTATTGATATACATATATATATATATATATATACCTGAACCACTAAATTTGGGGGTAATATATTAGACAGTAATAAATAATGAATACACTTGGATATGAAGACCAATTCTTCATATCAGCTGGATACGTCCAATTAGTTTTGGATAAAAATATATGTGTGTGTGTGTATATATATATATTTTTTTTTTTTTTAAATAGAGACAGGGTCTCACCATATTACGCAGGCTGGTCTCAAACTCCTGGGCTCAAGTGATCCTCCCGCCTTGGCCTCCCAAAATACTAGGATCACAGGCATGAGCCACCATGCATACCCATCATCTACCCCATAAATATATACACCATCTTTGTACCCACAAACTTTAAAATAAAAATTTTAAAAAATTTTTATGCTTTTCAAATCAGTATTCCTCCTTACTCATTTTGCCTTGAACAAATTGTTTACTATCTGTATAAATGAAATAATACCTAAAAAAATAAATAAAATTTAAAGCTATGTCATGGTCAAAACCACTATTCAGCATTAATCTGAATGATAAACTCAGTGACTTTCAGTAATATGTACATCTAATTTCTACGAACTCTTGAACACATTATCTTCTGAATATATATGTCAGAGGTTCCCAACAGTTCTATTTTAAATAATTATTTTAAAAAGTTTATTTAGTATTTAATTTTTAGGAAGTCCAATTTAGCAACTTTTTGTGAATAATGCTTTTGGTGTCATATCTAAAAAAAGCTTTGCCTAAAGCAGTGTCACAAACATTTTTTCTAGAAGTTGTATAGTTACAGGTTTTACATTTAGGCTCATGATTCATTCTGATAGGTCTGACCATTTTTATATAAGGTATGAAATACGTATTCAGTTTCATTTTTTTTTCCCTATGGATGTCCAATTAGTTTAGAATGATATGATTTAAGAAACAAGGTTTCTACATTTAATTGCCTTGCTATCTTTGTCAAAATAATCAGGCCAGGCGCAGTGGCTCACCCCTGTAATCCTAGCACTTTGGGAGGCTGAGGTAGGCAGATCACCTGAGGTCAGGAGTTTAAGACCAGCCTGGCCAACATGGTGAAACCCCATCTCTACAAAAATACAAAAATTAGCCGGGCATGATGGCGGGTACCTGTAATCCCAGCTACTTGGGAGGCTGAGGCGGGAGAATCACTTCAACCTGGGAGGCGGAGGTTGCGGTGAGCCGAGATCACGCCATTGCACTCCAGCCTGGGCGACAGAGTGAAACTCCGTCTCAAAAAAAAAAAAAAAAAAAAATTGGCCGTATGTGCGTGGGTCTGTTCCTGAGCTCTGTTTTTTTCCATATATGTGTTCATCCTTTTGCTAATGCCACACTGTCTTGTCTACTAGAAATTGGTAAGTTGTGTGAATCCTTCAACTTTGTTCTTTTCCAAATTGTTTTGGCTATTCTGGTTCCTTTAACTTTCATATAAATCTTTGAATTAGCTTGTAGATATCAGCAAAATGTCCTGCCAAGATTTTGTATCTAAACTTATAAATCAGTTTGAGGAGAATTAGCATCATAACAATATTGAATAGTTTTATCTGTGAACATAGTGTAATGCACTATTTAGGTCTTGATATTTTTATGGGTGTTTTGTATTTTTCAGTATAAAGACCATGTGCATCATCTTGTGTTTAGATTTATACCAAAGCATTTTTGCAGGTGTTGGAATTATTACTGTTTAAAAATTTCTATTTCTAGTTTTTTATTTCTAGCATATAGAAATATAAATGAGTTTTGTAGGTTGACCTTGTGTTTGCTGCCTTATTAAATTCATTAGTCGAGGAGTTCAATCCCTTGGGATTTTCTATGTAGAAAATCACGTCATCTGTGAATAGAGACAGTTTTACTTACTTTCTAATCTGTGCTTTTTATTTCTTTTTTTTTTCTTGCTCTACAGCACTAACTAGGTCCTCCAGTACAACATTGAGTATGAGTGGTGAGAAATGTCTACCTTGCCTCATTCCCAGTCTTAGGGCAGAAACATTCAGTCTTTCACCATTAATTATGATGTGAGCTATAGGCATTTGTGTACATGCTTTTTATCAGATTAAAGACATTCCCTCTCCTTCCTAATTTGCTGAGTTTTTCTCATGAATGGATATTGAATTTTGTCAAATGCTTTTTCTCCATTTATTGACATCATATGGTTTCTCTTTAGTCTATTGATATGGTGAATTTTAGTTATTGTTTTCTTTTTTTTGAGACGGAGTCTCGCTCTGTCACCCAGGCTGGAGTGCAGTGGCGTGATCTCGGCTCACTGCAAGCTCCACCTCCCGGGTTCACACCATTCTCCTGCCTCAGCCTCCCGAATAGCTGGGACTACAGGTGCCCACCGCCACACCCAGCTATTTTTTTTGTATTTTTAGTAGAGACGGGGTTTCACCTTTTTAGTCAGGATGGTCTCGATCCGCCTGCCTCGGCCTCCCAAAGTGCTGGGATTATAGGCGTGAGCCACCGCGCCCGGCCTGTTGTTTTCTTTAATGTTGAACCAGTCTTGTGTTCATGAAATAAGCCATACTTGAACATAGTATCCTTTCTATATTTTGTTGTTTTGTACAATTAAAAAATAGTAATTGAAATAGGTGTTGTTACTACTTGTGAGTACCAAAATCCTGAAATGCCTTTAAATATCATGATCAATTAATTTATGAATTTAGTCAACAAATACATGATAATTACTGTGTGCCAGGCATTATTCTAGTGCTGGAGATTAGATCATTGAGTTCTTGCACTTAAACTACATTCTTTCCTAGAATGTAATATAATGTCAGGTGGCAATAGTGCTATGAAGAGCAATAAAGCAGTGTAAGGGAATGGAGAGTCATGAACCAAGAGGCTGAAGCTATTTAAAATATATTGGTCAGGGAAGGACTCTGATGAGGTGACCTTAGAGCAGAAGTAAATGAAGTGAGGGAGCCAGCCATCTTATTTGTAAAAAATTGTTTCAGGCTGAGAGAATAGCAAACACAAAGTCACTGTGTCAAGAGACTTGCTTGGTGTGTTTCAAATACAGCATAGAGGCCGGTGTTTCTGGAGTGCAGTAATTCATGGAAAGAGTTGTAGAAGGCAAAGTAGTCAGGAACCTGATAATACCAATTTTGTAGGCTATCGTAAGGACAACTTTGGATTTTAAATATACTGGCAACCACTCATTTTCTCACCAGGTTATTTGTTGCGCATCTTCTGTATGTCAAATAGATTTGCATGTTGAGGATACAGTAGTTAACAAAACTGTTCAAAAATCCAAGCCTTTAATAGAGCTTAGAAGTGTTAGTGATAAGTGTAGTTGTTTATATAATATGGAGGTCGTCAGAAGTGGTAGTTTAGAATATTCAGTTGGGAAACATTGTTATGTAAAATGATTATATATCTAGATAATTTAAATAATTGGAAGAAATGTACTTATATTTTGTGCTAAAACTATACTGAACATAATTTAATCTTTTTTATTTATAGGAGACATAGCTATTTTCATTAGTTTCTTTTGGTTGCAAAGTAGAGAGACTTACTTAGGCTAGGTTTTTTTTTTTTTTTATAAGGATACACTTGGGAATAGAATACAGAAGGACTTAATGGAAATCCCTGAATAAGAGCTATGATATGTCCCGGACTTTCATAGACTAGAGCTTAAAAGTCTTCATATCCAAGTGTATTCATTATTTATTACTGTGTAGTATATTACCCCCAAATTTAGTGGCTTAAATTACGTGTTATTTCATAATTGCTGTGGGTCAAGAATGTAGGCATGTAAGCTTAGCTGGGTGCCTCTGGCTCAAGGTCTCTCATAAGGCTGTTGTTAATCAAGGTGTTGGCTAGGGCAACAGTCATCTAAAGGCATTACTGGGAAGGATCTGTTTCTCAGATCACTCACATGGCTGTTAGCAGGCCTCAGATTCTTTGCTATATGTTGGTTGGAGACATCATTTCTATACCATGTGGGTCTTTCTAGCTCATAACATGGCAGCTGGCTTCCCTGAATAAGAGAGGGTGGCCAGATGGAAGCCACAGTCTCTTTGTTACCTAATCTCAGAAGTCATCTTATCACCTCTGCTACATTTTCATTAAAAGTGAGTTACTAAATCCAGTCCCTGTTCTAGGAGAGGATTAAACAAGGGCATGAATACGAAGAGGGTGGGGATTATTAAGGTTATTTTGGAAGCTACCTGTCCTACCGGTAAGCCCTAGAGATCTCACCCAGAGATTTTGTATATATGTTTTATTCTAGTTCTCTACCATAAATGGGCCTTAGCCACTTTTAATCTTTGCATTTTTTCCCTTTCTCTTTTTGCTACGAATTGTATTTCTTAAATACTAATCTGCTTTCTTTTTTTTTGACAGGGTCTTGCTCTGTCACTCAAGCTGGAGTGCAATGGCACTATCATTTTTTTGCAGAGCCTGGATTTCATCATGTTGCCCAGGCTGGTCTGGAAGTCCTGGGCTCAAACGATCCACCTCTTAGGCCTCCCAGAGTGCTGGGATTATAGGCATGAGCCACTGTGCCCAGCCATGTGTATCTTTTTTTTTTTTTTTTTTTTTTTTTTTTTCTGTGACAGTGTTTTGCTCTGTTGCTCAGGCTGGAGGGCAGTGGTGCAATCACAGCTCACTGCAGCTTCAACGTCCAGGCTCAAGTGATCTTCCTGCCTTAGCCTCTCAAGTAGCTGGGACCACTGGCACATGTCGCCACACCTAGGACATTTTTTAGTATTTGTAGAGAAGTCTCCTTATGTTGCCCAGGCTGGTCTCGAACTCCAGGGCTCCAGCAATCCTTCACCTTGACTTCCCAAAGTGCTTGTATTACAGGCATGAGCCACTGCACCCACGTCTTTTCTCTACTTGTTATATTTAGCTTTTCCGTATCTTTATCCAGAGACTAAGATGAATTTTCCTGCCTTGTGATATTTCACCTTCTGTCTCTGCTGCTCGCTAGTTTGGTTATATTCATAGTACGCTGTTCAGATTTTTGAGAGGGACAGGTGTGTGGTGTGGGAGATAAAGTTTAGTATCTTTTGAGGAGTGCTGTAACATCAACAAGAAGCGTGATTAAAGCAGTTTCCCTCAGAGAACAATGTAGACACTAAATACTATTGTGGGTGTTTATTGATTAGAAGACATAGGTCTTTGAGTTGGTCAAGTAACAACTTGAATCTTGGAAGAAATTTCCTAATGCTAGCTTGTTTTAGAATTGTTTTTCTATTTCCATAAAAGAGTATAAACTGAAAAAAACCATCTTTTTTTTCTTTTTTTTTTTGCATTTAGGATAAATGGGAATCTATTTGCTTATTTTTGAGGCATTATATAAAAGTGTATAAATTTTGAGACATACAGAAACTCATATAGAAATTACATTTTGAGACATTATACAATAAAGTGTATACATAAAAAGGCAAACATCTATAATTTTTTTCACTCAGTATTAACCATTAACATTTATTCATTTTGCATTTAGTCTTTTCCCCTCAAGTAATAAGATTTTGTAGTTAAAATGCAAATCCCCTTGAACTATCACTTTTAGTTCTGTTTCATGGAACTTAACTTGATGCAACTACTAGTACAAGTTTGGTAGGTATTTTTCTGGTTCACTTTTTATTCTTGCAAACAGACACAAATGTATACGTATATATGGTATGGTTTTGTGTTTGTGTTATATTTATATGGTACTATACTATATATATATTTTACAGTGTTCTTTTTTATTTTTAACTTGATACTGTTTTTAAGGTCTTTCTGTATTGATACTTTAAGTCATTCCTTTTTAATGGCAATATAGTATTCCATCACATTTTATTCTCTGTTTTGTTATTGTTAGACATCTAGATTGTTTTGAAAGGATGTTTTGCCATTATGAACATTACCCTTTGGTAAAAATGTGTTTGACAAACACATTTTCTACATTGTGGTCAAATTACTGAACCAATTTATGATCCCAATAGATATGAGAAGTCTTACATCTCATGATATGTATGTGATGTTTTCAGAAAAAAAAAATTTTTATCAGTTTGGTGATTGGAAAACTAGGCTCTTGTTTTGTTAATCTATATTCCTCTCATTACTAGTATGATTAAGTCTGTGTTTAATGACCATTTGGATGTCATCATCTGTGAAGTACCTGACTGCTCTATCTTTTGCTCATTTGTAGGAATTCCTCCTATAGTCTAGATAACTAATATTTGTCTGATATATATGTTGCAAATATTTTCTCCTAGTCTGTCATTTTGCTAGTAACCGTTTTTTTAATTACATAGAAATTGTTGTGCTTTTATTTTCTTCTTGATCATTTTTGTTGGACTTTGTAAAGAATCAGCTTTTGGTTTTGTGTTTTTAAGTAGGAATAAAGGAAGTAGAGTTATAACTAGCACCTGGGGACATACACTATGAGAGTGTGCCATTTAAATGACTATCAACTATTATGTGTTGAAACAAAAATTTTGGCATATCAGGTTACAAAATACTAGGTATCTTTAAAAGCTTATAATTGTTAATGACATAAAATTATTTTACAAACTATTCAGCCTTCATAATGTTTAAGGGTACTGGGTTGCCTTTTTCTGCGAATCAATATATGGATTTATACTTTTGATAATATGCAATGAAATTTGTTTAATTATGGGATAAATCTTTAGCGGTTATCTGACACTGTCTCCGCTATTTTCTAGGCAGGAGTAAATGCATATTCTGATGCATATTCATTTGTGAAAAGGGTAAAATTGCAGATACGTTTAGAGGAGACATTGCATTAGGCAAGTTTTTACTATCACATATTTTTAACAGCTGTGAAGTTATATGTTTTTAGTTCTGTTCACTTAGGTCATCTTTTTCTTTTCTTTGAGACAGAGTCTTACTCTGTCATGCAGGCTGGAGTGCATTGGCGTGATCTCTGCTTACTGCAACCTCTGCCTCCTGGGTTGAAGTGATTCTCCTGCCTCAGCCTCCTAAGTAGCTGGGATTACAGTTGCCCACCACCATGCCCGGCTAATTTTTATATTTTTAGTAGAGACAGAGTTTCACCATGTTGGCCATGCTGATCTCGAACTCCTGATCTCAGGTGATCCGCCTACCTCGGCACCCCAAAGTACTGGGATTACAGGTGTGAGCCACCACGTCCGGCCTCACTTAGGTCTTCTTACACATTATTTATTATATTTTAGTTCTTGTTATTAATACCGTTCAGGCTGTGATGATTAATTTCAGGAATAGAAGTTTAGATAAATTTATTATATTTTATAAAGATAAGCAATTCTTATTTTTGGCTGAAAGTACACAATTGAGTCACATTTTCTATTGTTATTACCAGATTATAGGCTGGATTTTTTTTTTTCTTTTGACTGTAATTAAATGTTGTCAAAAAATAGAATTCTGAGATGTAATTACATCCACAAATATTTGTTGAACACCTATTATGTGCTAGCAATGTGTAGCTTTAATTGGGGTTTTAGCTATTAGGCCCCCAGTCAGAGGGAAGAATAGCTTAATCTTTGTTGAAATAATGTTGGGAGTTGGGAGATGAAGGAGGAGTTTTGTTCCTTCATGTTCTAATCAGAAACATTGAACATGTTGCCCTTAGAAAAAAGTATAAGCATAAAATTTTTTTCTAGATATTTGACCATTTATTTTTACATTATTGTAGGTTTCCAATACTTATCTACAGGAATCGCCATGACCCCAGCTCTGAGGGAGGCAACAGCAAAGGGTATCAGCTTTTCATCTTTGCCAAGTACCATGGAGTCTGACAAGATGCTCTACATGGAAAGTCCCAGAACTGTAGATGAAAAGCTAAAGGGAGACACCTTTTCTCAGATGCTTGGATTTCCAACTCCTGAACCTACTCTTAATACTAATTTTGTGAATTTAAAACATTTTGGCTCCCCTCAGTCTTCAAAACATTACCAGACTGTTTTTTTAATGAGATCTAATTCTACATTAAATAAACACAATGAGAATTATAAACAAAAGAAATTAGGGGAGCCCAGTTGCAATAAGCTGAAAAACATACTGTATAATGGCAGCAACATTCAGCTCAGTAAAATCTGTCTTTCTCATTCTGAAGAGTTCATCAAAAAGGAGCCTCTATCAGATACCACGAGCCAGTGCATGAAAGATGTACAAATTATTCTGGATTCAAATATAACCAAAGACACTAATGTAGATAAAGTACAACTACAAAACTGTAAATGGTATCAAGAGAATGCACTTTTGGATAAAGTTACTGATGCTGAGATTAAAAAGGGTTTATTGCACTGTACTCAAAAGAAAATTGTACCTGGCCACTCAAATGTGCCTGTTAGTTCTTCAGCTGCTGAAAAAGAGGAGGAAGTACATGCTCGTTTACTTCATTGTGTAAGCAAACAGAAAATTTTACTTAGCCAGGCTAGAAGAACTCAGAAACATTTGCAGATGCTCCTGGCAAAGCATGTTGTTAAGCACTATGGTCAGCAGATGAAATTGTCTATGAAACATCAACTCCCCAAAATGAAGACATTTCATGAACCTACCACAATTTTGGGTAATAGTTTACCTAAATGCACTGAAATTAAGCCAGAAGTTAACACATTGACTGCAGAGAATAAATTGTGGGATGATGCAAAAAATGGCTTTGCACGGTGTACAGCTGCGGAAATCCAAAGATTTGCATTTTCTGCTACAGGGCTGTTGTCTCATGTTGAAGAGGGTTTGGATTCCGATGCAACTGATAGCAGCTCTGATGACGATTTGGATGAATATACCCTTAGAAAAAATGTGGCAGTGTAAGTGCAAAATTATTATTAGACTATTTTCTGTTCCATATATAGCAGCAATTATCTTAGTTTCCAGGTATGTTGACAAGAAATAGATTTTCTAAAATCTTAATGCTATAATCTTTTTTTTTTTTTTTAATTTTTATTTTTGAGACAGAGTCTCGCTCTGTCGCCCAGGCTGGAGTGTAGTGGTGCAATCCTGGCTCACTGCAACCTCCGCCTCCCGGGTTCAAACAATTTTCCTGCTTTAGCTTCCTGAGTAGCTGGGATTACAGGTGTGTGCCACCACACCCAGCTAATTTTTGTATTTTTCGTAGAGGCAAGGTTTCACCATGTTGGTCAGGCTGGTCTCGAACTCCTGACCTTGTGATCCACCCGCCTCGGCCTCCCAAAGTGCTGGGATTAGAGGCGTGAGCCACCACATCCAGCCACCATAATCTTTTATGTTATAAAACTTTTGTTGAATTTTTTTAATGTTTTGTTTGTTAAATTATTGTGTGTGAGTATATACATACTATTTAAAAATAAATTTACTCAACTTTTCTATCTAGGAAAAACCCATACAGGAATAATGAAATTATTGAGCTATAAATAAGCATATTTTCTATTCTTGAATAGGCTGTGGACAAGGCCTAATCTTTGTTTAAGTGATCTAGTTAATATGTGTATCTAACTAAAAAACTTTAGTCTGCACATAGGGAGCCCTCATTGTCTTTGGGAGTGTATCAGTTGAGAGTACATGTAAGTTGACTTACTACTTTTTTTCCTTAACTCTCTACTCGTACTCATAGCTTTCAGAACTGACCTTTAACAATTCAGTTAGTTTTTGCTAGCTTAGTATAACTAAAACAAAACTATAATGTCAGCTGTAAGATATCTATTGAATGCTTATTATGTGCTAGACACTAAGATTCAGTTGTGAGCAACATATTCACAACCTCTGCCTTTTGGGGCATGTACTTGAGAGAGAGGTATCTCGATATTGAATAATAAAAAGCAGAGAAAAATAGTTTCAGTTATCACACCGTGATAACACTACAGACCAACTCTGTCCAATAGAAACTTCTGAGATGTTGGAAATCTTTTATGTCTATGCCATCTAATAGGCACTAGACTTATGTGGATATTTAACACTTAAGATTTGGCCAGTGATACTAAGGAAATGAGATTTTAATTTTATTTAATTGACTAAATTTTAGTTGAAATGGTCAGATAAAGCATAATTTTTAATTTAGTTTTCAGGGGATCTATTACTGTCCCCAAATTGATGTGAATTATTGTTTGTATATATAGCATTTTGGGGGAAAGAAGTCTGTCACACATGGATACATACAGGGGCACAACACTCACTGG
Organism: Homo sapiens; assembly: GCF_000001405.40. Classification (NCBI taxonomy): domain Eukaryota; kingdom Metazoa; phylum Chordata; class Mammalia; order Primates; family Hominidae; genus Homo; species Homo sapiens. Next base: position 210,152,150 of record NC_000002.12, on the reverse strand, counting down.
GGCTTTTTAAAGGGTGCAGGGTGGGAGGAGGGAGAGGATCAGGAAAAATAACTAATGGGCACTAGGCTTAAAACCTGGGTGATGAAATAATCTGTATAACAAACCTGCATGACACAGATTTATCTATGTAACAAACCTGCACTTGTACCCCTGAACTTAAAAGTTAAAAATAAACTTTTTCAAATTCTCAAAAATAAATGAGAATTACAGAATTAGAAGCCAAACACATTGATATTTACTATGAAATAGAAGATCAGTATATTAGTTTTTATAGTGAGAAATAAAATATAAAGCAAAGTAAGCATTCGGGTCTTCTAGTGTTCTGATATCACTGTAATTGAAATTTGTTTGCATGTGGAATTTATAGTAGTTAATAAGCGCAGATTATTTTTCTGGCTGGCATTGTGCTAGTTATTTAACATATGATATCTCATTTAATTCTTTCAACAACCCTAGCAGGTAGTTGTTATCCTTATTTCACTTAAGAAGAAACAGACTCAGCATGGGTTAAATAATTTACCAATGGTTAAAAAGCCAAGTAAGGGGCAGAAACAGGATTTTGCTCATATATATGACTCTAAACACATACTTATTCTCTTGTAATATGCTGTTTTCTCAACATTGCATCACTGATACTTAGAGCTACAAGAATTATTAGGTACATGTGTTCTGAAAGAAGTCTGAAAATTTACCAATTTTTGTATATACAATGCTTGTGAAGTATTTAAATAAAATGTAGTGGGCACATTCAGTAAATTTTTTTGTTGTTGAGAAGAGCTAATGGAAAGATTTGTCTTTTTTAAGCTAGAAACAAGAATAAGAAACTTTTGGGCAGGGCTTGGTGGCTCACGCCTGTAATCCCAGCACTTTCGGAGGCCCAGGTGGCCAGATTGCTTGAACCCAGAAGTTCGAGACCAGCCTGGGCAACATGGCAAAACCTCATCTATACAAAAAATATAATACAAAAATTAGCCCGGCATGGTGGTGTGCACCTGTAGTCCCAGCTACCTGGGAGGCTAAGGCAGGAGAATTGCTTGAACCCAGGAGGTGGAGGTTGCAGTGAGCCCGTATCACCCCCTTGCACTCCAGTCTGTGTGACGGGAGTAAAACTCATATCAAAAAAAGGAAGAAAATTTTGTCTTTTCAGACTGTTTTGAACTATGTTATTTTCATTAGTAGTCTCTTCATTGATTTCCTATAATGCTTAGTCTGCCATACAGTTTGTCATTAAATTGTGTTTTGTCCTATGCAGTTGGCTAATATATCTGTTAGTCTTAACCAACCAACCCCTATTAAGGGTAGATACCACACTTTGCACTTTCTGATAATTTCTTTTTTTCTTTTTCTTTTTTCTTTTTTTTTTTTTTTAAGATGGAGTTTTGCTCTTGTTGCCCACGCTGGAGTGCAATGGCACGATCTCGGCTCACTGCAACCTCCACGTCCTGGGTTCAAGCGATTCTCCTGCTTCAGCCTCCCAAGTAGCTGGGATTACAGGTGTGCACCACCACGCCCAGCTAATTTTGTATTTTTAGTAGAGATAGGGTTTCTCCATGTTGGTCAAGCTGGTCTCAAGCTCTTGACCTCAGGTAATCTGCTGACCTTGGCCTCCCAAAGTGCTGGGATTACAGGCATGAGCCACCGCACCCAGCCAACTTTCTGATAATTTCTTCTCAAAGGCATGTCAATTTTGATTTTTCAAAACATTTTAAGATTTACATTTATTTCTTGAATTTAGTGAGGAAACACTAAGTTTAGAAATTTGTGTAAAACATATACAGAAATGGTGAAATTCAAATGATAGAAAAAAAATTTTTTTTTACTAAATAACGTACCTCCTATTTTTCACCAACTCTGCCAGTTTATTGAGGTAAACTGAAGGAAAGTAACCTGGAAAAAATTGGGTTCTGGTTTGAAAAGTTTATTTCTCCTGCTGTCTTTCTTTTTCCCATAATCAGCTAGAGGGGATTCAGAGACTGTAGACATAAATTTTAAGAAAATAATGTATCTAAGAAATTTAATATCAGTTCATTAAGGTAGGCTTCTGGCCTCTTGCATTATTGGCCTCTTAATATTATGATTAATGCCTTGGTTATTAAAGCCCCACCTGCATTTTAGAGGTCACATAAACTTTGTTTTAAGGTTAAACTCATCTGATCTATACAAATCAATAATACTAAATTTATGTAACAGCTCTTTATATTTTTTATTTCACTGAATTATTTGATAATTGTTTTGGTTTTTTTTTTTGGTTTTTCTTTAATACTTGAAATCTATTCAACATTTCTTGATTTCATATATCTTCCCATACATTAAATACAAAATGTTGTTTTGAATATTTTTGCTAACACTAATAGATTTCTTGTGGGAAAGACTGTACTCAACATTATATTAATTTTGAAATTGACTAAATATTGAGAGCAAATGACATAACTTTATTTGTATCTTTTGGTGTGAATATAAAAACAGTTTCTGCTTTTTAAAATTAGAATTAATCAGTTCTATCTTAGGTCATTAAATACATTTTTAAATTTAAAATATCCTTATAAGTTTATTTTAAGTTTATTTTTGTTATTTTCTTCTCTACGTTTGTGAAAAGATTTTTCAAATCTAGATGAGTATTTTTAATGTATAAAGTTCAGAGTGAAACTTTAAACATAAAATACCAAATAAACAGATGCATTTTTTGGTTCTAAATTTTTAATAAGTGCTAACACAAATTTTCATTGTCTTTATTGAATATGTTGATTTCTTACCTTAAATTATAAGTCCAGAGTAGTAAATACTAAAGTTGACTTCAACTTAATTTTAAGCAACATGAGTATTAGTGTACTACTCTTTTATCGTATAGGCTAGTATTGTCTTCTGTTTAATGATTGCTTGGTATTTGTTGAGTGAGTGAATGACTATTTCTGTGTTTGTATATGTAGTTGTAAAGACATAAACATTGAGGCTAGCAATCTGAAATTTCTCTCTTCTATATATGGTTTTTAAAAATTTCATTGTGGAGTTGCATTGTGTTTACTTGATGTTTTTTCCATTCCTTCCTTTGTTTCTAATATTAAATGGGCCACAAGATGTATCTTGTACGTCATAGACCCCCTCCCCCCATGAATGTTCAATGACTGAATAAATGAAATATACCAAAATATGGACATTTAAAAGTAATGATTTTATTATAATTTTCAGTGTTTGTAATTTTTAAAGTTGATAAGTAAAATGCATTATATTTACCTTAAAATTTTAGATTATATTAATATTATATGCCTTCTATTTTTCTTTGAGTTAGTAGCCCTGATAGGAAAAATTGATCAGGAAGTTAGCTGTGAAGGAATATAATTGTTTTAGAAAATTGGAAAGTATTCACATTAGTCATTACAATTACCATTCTTGTTTTAAATATATATTTCGCTTGACTTTGTTACTTTTCCTCCAAAAATGTAGTAGGCAATAAATTAGTTCATAATGATATTACTAATTGACTTTAATTCATAATGATATTACTAACGGACTTTAATAATAACTTTTGGTTGAGAGGCTAGTATGCATTTGAAGTAAAAGAAAGTCACTTTTCCTTTGGAAAGCATAATAGAGGGACTTTATGTTTTTTGTAGATTTAAGATATAGTCCTTCCACTGTAAGATGAATGGATTTTTGCCTCCAATGTTCTTTTTATTTGGTGAAGGAGCCCAGTCAGGTCCATGAACACTGAACTGGTTAAATGTGAGGGGATGTGGGTGAGTCGCTGACAAAAGTTGGCTACAGTTACGTTATTTCTCATCTGGTGGTAGAGCCATAGAATTCTAGCATTTCTTTTCTTCTTTTCCTGGGGAATGATGATCAGTTACATTTTTCCAGGCTGCATTTTGGGGAAACACAGATTTTGACACAGACATGTTTTAATTCTCCAAGGGTTGTGGAAAAGGAAGAAATAATGCTGCTTGTCTTATTCCAGGAAACCTACCAATATCTTCCAGATCACACAATTGTTTCAAATGTTGGGGAAAAAAAATCCCACTATTTCCCTAAATTGGTCAGCATATATTCAAATTTTCTTTAAGTTTTTACTTAGATATGTAAATAAGCAGACTTGATTAAGGGAATTCTTTTCAACAGATTAAGGCATTCACCAAAGAAAAAAGGGGAATTGTTGATGTTTAGTAAGGGCTGTTGGGTGACTCCAGATTAAAAAATAGAAAATAATTAAGTTTTTGCAGACCCATAGAAATGAATACTCATGGTTTTGTGCTTGCTTTCCTGCTTTGCCAATGGAAAGGAAAAGAACTGAAAAGCAAGGTGATCCAGTATTTCCCTTTGAGGAACTGGATAAATAGGAGTAGAAACTCAGTGCCAAGATTCAAAGGGCAAAGAGACTGAAAACATTTCATTATTAATTGCAAACAAGAGTAACTTAATATTTGTATAATGTGGAGTTTGCAGGTTGTTTTTCTATTTGTTATCTTTTTTTATTCCCTGCATGTCTGACATAGATGAGAGAAGTTGAATTTTGTTTTGTTTATAAGGAAAACAAAAAGTTGAGTGAATTCTAGGGAATTTGCAAATTATACTTAAATGAAGAACCTTTTCCTTTCTGTGGGAGAAGTGGAATGGAAGTAAAGGGCAGAAATTCAAAAGTGTAATTGTGAACAGACTAGTAGCTAAAAATGGTAAAGAAATATTTTATTTTTATTTTTATTTTTAGGGAAAAGGTCTCACTCTGTTGCCCAGGCTGGAGTACAGTGGCATAGTCATAGCTCACTGCAGTCTGAACTCTTCAGCTCAAGGGATCCTTCCTGCCTGAGTAGCTAGGACTACAGATATGTGCCATCATGTTTGGCTAAGTATTAAAATTTTTTTGTAGAGACAAGGTTTAGCTATGTTGCCCAGGATGGTCTTGAATTCCTGGCCTTAAGCTATCTTCCTGCCTTGGCCTCCCAAATTGCTGGTATCACAGCATGAGCGACCATGCCCAAGCAAGAAATATTGTCTACTGTGGCATGTGGACATCTTTGAGGGAAGTAGTACTTCAATTAAAATAAGCTCATTTGTTTTTAAAAAGGCTTTTTTTTGAGCAACGTGATGTTTAAAAGACTATGTGTTTACTAGATTTTCTCTCAGTGTTGTTAGTTAATGGCAAAGCTGGGATTTTAGCCCAGATCCTTTAACTCCCATTTAAGCTGTACTTCTATATCTACAGACTTTAGCTGGCTTAGGCCAAAGTTAAATTGACTGAGTCATTTTCAACATCCACGTAACGAAAAGAAAAAAAAGCTGTTTTGTTTTCAAAGGAAAAATTAAGATATTATTATAAAGTTGAAGTTTTTAATGAAAAAAGCATCAGATTGCTTGTATATGTATGAATTTCTTTAAATCTTGCTATAAATCAGTGAATCACAATCCTCTCTTCTTCACCCCAACACATCTGAGGATGATCAAGTAAATAACTGTTTTGATTGCCTTGATTCTCACAGAATCAGGTGGAGAAACTCATCCTCTTGGACCATATTGCTTAGAAAACTCTACAGGTGATCATAACATAATTTTCTTCGAGACTTCTATATAATATGTGTCACTTAAAAGTTCTACATAACCTTTATTTAAAAATAAACCACCTTCATAGATGAAACAAACTGGCATTTATGTCCTATATGGAGAAACCAGAATAGTAAAGCCCTTTTGCAGAAGTTATGCAAGTGTTAATTGTATTTATCATCGGAAACGATCACCTTTGTTTTCCTAATTTTGACAAGAAAGCACAGCTAAGCTGAGTGATAGAAGCAAGATAGTCGAGTAGGAGATACCAGTCTTCACTCCCGAACAAAAAACAAGAACTAGATATCTTTCCATGAATGAAAGTAGCCTTGGGAGGGCTCAAATGTTTAAGTATGAATTTGTAGCAACATAGTGGAGTGAACAAACAAAAATCCAGAGGATAACTGCACAGAAAGGATAGCTGGGGAGACTGGCATACCTGAGACATCTGGAGATGGCTAGAAACAAAGAAGGGTGGGGGCTACCGGTATCAGGCAAATGGTAGGTGCTACCATAGTCACCACTGACCACAACATCAGTATCTTTTGCCATTGAGGTGATCAACAGTCATCACCACTGTGGATCCCCAAAGAGGAGGATGTGGTTGCACCCTCTACCCCCACCACCACCACCAAGAAGGAGCTGCCTTTCCAGGACTGGGACCACCACCCTCCCAATCCTGACATGAGCCCCAGACTCCAGAGCTTCCACTGCCCCATACATGTCCACACACCAGGCCTTGGCTCCATGGCCGCATACCCACATTGCAGACTCTGTCCCACTATGCATACTCTCACCTCAAACACAAGAACCATCATGGCTGTGGACTAGCCTCAACCCAAGCCTTGGAGCCCAGGTTGCTTTGCTATGAACATTGGCTGCATTGCTACTCTTTCAACATCTGTGCCTCAGACATCTGACATCTGACATCTTCACAATATACTAGACCACTCCTTGGACCCCAGAACCTTTGTAATTCCCTGTGTGCCCATGCCTCAGAAACAAGAACCACTGCCTTTATGGAATAATCTGTATCCTGCGCCCTGGAGCTGTGGTTTCTGTGTCTATGAAACTACTTCTACCACAGTGAGTGAGTCCATGCCTCAGACCCCAGAAACATTGTAGCTGTGTGTGTGCTGCTGCTTTGGATCTCAGCCCCCTGGCTGATCTAAAAGCAGTCACATCTTGCACATTGTTACTAACATGGGAATGGTGGAACCTGCACTCTGAATATGGGTGCCACCTCAGCCCTAGACCCTGGAGCCATGGTTCCTACACATGCTCATGCTCCAGAACCCAAATTGTTGGCTGTTTCATGGATGCCTCATATGAGATACCATTGCTGCCACCACTGCAAATGCACCTGCAAGTCAGACCCAGTGCCAAGAGGGATTCCACTGGCCACAACTTTCCTGGCAGGAGAAAAAGAGATGAGGAGGACCGACCCCACCAGTCTTCGTGACTGGAGCACCCAATAACCCTTGCCGCTGCTGTGGACAGTGGCTGCTGAGGATCCTTGTAATCTTTGACAGTGCTAACATCAGTTGATAGAGCTGTACAGAGATTATGCTGCTATGCCCTTACTGGAGTCAGAACTGTCACACTGCACCCAGCTGGTGTCCTCACACCCACCTGAAGGAGAAGTTTTTTTCTCCACTGAAACCAGTATATGAAGTCAGAAGGAGGTGACTGCTTCATCAACTATGCAGACATTAATGCAAAGTAACAAGCAACGTGAAAAGCCAAAGAATCATAAAACCACCAAAGAACATGATACTTTTCCAGGAACTAATCCTAAAGAAATAGAAGATCTATGAATATCTTGGCAGATAATTCAAAATGATTCTTTTAAGGTGGCTCAGTAAACTACCAGAGAACACAGAGGGGCAATTCAACAAAATCAGGAAAACAATACACAAATAAAATGAGGAGTTTAACAGAATGATTGAAATTATTTAAAAAAAGGTAACTAGGCAGAAATTCTGGAGCTGAATATAAACTGAACAAAGTGAAAAATGGCAATAGAGAGCATCAGAGCAGAATTGATCAAACAGAAGAAAGAATCTGTGAACTCAAATACAGGTTATTTGAAAATATCCAGTCAGAGAAGGAAAAATAATGAAAAGGAGTGAAGAAAGCCTGTGTGATTTATGGGATATCCTCAACAGAGCTAATGTTCACATTATAGCAATTAAGGAAGTAGAAGAGAGAAGGGGTAGAAAGTATTTTTAAAGAAATAATGATTGAAAACGTCACAAATCTGGGGAGAGATAGTCACATCGGGGTAAAGGAGAGTCAAAGTTCTCCAGTCATTTTCAAACCAAAGACCACACTACAACATATTATAGTCAAACTGTCAAAAATCACAGAGAGACTATTGAAAACAGCAAGAGAAAATCTTCACATACAAGGGAACCCTCAGGAAGTTATCTGCACATTTCTAAGCAGAAACTTAGTAGGCCAGGAAAGTGTGGGATGATATATTCAAAGTGCTGAAAATAAGAAAGAAACCTGCCAACCAAAAAACCAAACCCAGCAAAACTGTCCTTCAGAAAGGGAGAGAGAAGACTTTTCCAGACATACAAAATCTGAGAAAGTTCATCATCACTAGATCTGCCTTACAAGAAATGGTAAAGGGAATTCTTCAGGCTGAAAAGAAAAAGAATGCTAATTAGGAACATGAAAACATATGAAAGTGTAAAACTCACTGGTAATAGTCAATTCAGAATACTCTAATAATGGTGGTGTATAAATCACTTGTTTTTATTATAATTAAAAGACAAAGCTATTAAAATAATAGCTACAATAATTTGTCATAGGATGTACAATATGAAAAGATGTAAATTGTGATATCAAAAGCATAGAATAGGAGGAATAAAAGTATAGAGAGTTTGTATATGAGATTGAAGTTATTATCAGCTTGAAATAGACTCCTAATAACTATGAATTGTTCTTTCTTAAGCCTAATGGTAACCACAAAGCAAAAACCTATAGTAGATATACAAAAGATGAAGAGAAAGGAATCCAGGCATATAATTACAGAAAATCACCAAATCACAAAGGAAGACAGCAAGAGAGGAAGAAAGGAACAAAGGATCTGCATTAAAAACAAAACGAAAACAGAAAACAGTGAACACAAAGGCAATAATAAACCTTTACCTATCAACAATTGCCTCGGATATAAATGGATTAAATTATCCAATTTAAAAACATATATAGTCAGTGAATGGATTTTTTTTAAGACCCAGCTAGCTGTATGTGCCCTGTGAGAGACTCACTTCCAGTATAAGGACACACACAGACTAAAAGTGAAGGAATAAAATATGGTATTCCATGCAAATGGAAACCAAAAGAGAGCAGGGGTAGCTACATGTATATCAGAAAAAAAATGCACTTTAGGCCAAAACATGTAAAAAAAGACAAAAAGGTAAGTATATAATTGATAAAGAGGCCAGTTTATTAAGAGGATACTACATTATAAACATATGTAACCAATATCAGAGAATCTAAATATATAAAGCAAATATTAATAGATGTGAAGGAAAAAATAGACTGCAATACAATAATAGTAGGGGACTTTAATACCCCACTTTCAATAATGGATAAATCATCCAGACAAAATCAAAAGGAAGCATTGGGCTGGAACTATAGTTTAGGCCAAATGGACCTAACAGAGATATATAGAACATTCCATCCAACATTGTAATACACATTGTTTTCAAGTGTAAGGGAACATTCTTCAGGATTGATCATATGTTAGGCCACATGACAAATCTTAACCAAAATGATTGAAATCATATCAAGTATTTTTTCCAGCCAAAATCATATGAAATTAGAAATCAGTAACAGGAGGAATTTTGGAAAATTCACAAATATGTGGAAATCAAGAAAAGCCAATGGATTAATGACTAAATTTAAAGAGAAATTTTAAAATATCTTGAGAGAAATGAAAATGGAAACACAGTTTACAAAACTATGGGGTGCAGCAAAAGGAGTTCTAATAAGGAAATTTTGTAACAATAAACACCTACATTGAAAAAGTCATCTCAAACAACATTATACTTCAAGGAAGCAGAAAAAGAACAAACTAATCCCAAAATTAGTACAAGAAAGGAAATAATGAAGATCAAAGCAGAAGATATTAGAAAAACAATAGAAAAGATTGATGAAACCAAGAGTTGGTTTTTTTGAAAAGATAAGCAGAATTGACAAACCTTAGCTAGATTAAGAAATGAAAAAAGACCCAAATATATAACATCAGAAATGAAAAAGGAGACATTACAGCTGATACCACAGAAATATAATGGATCATAAGAGACTATTATGCAACATCTCTATGCCAACAAATTGGATAACCTAAAAATGTATAAATTCCTAGACACATAGAATCTAACATGAATCATGAAGAAATAGAAAATTGGAACTAACCAATAGCAAGTAAAGAGATTAAAACAGTAATAAAGTCCCCCATCAAAGGAAAGCCCAGCACCTGATGACTTCACTGTACTCAAACTCTTAAAAAAAAAATTGAAGAGGAGGAGGGAATACTTTCAAACTCATTTTATGAGACCAGCATTACTCTGATACCAAAGCCAGAGAAGGACACTATAAGAAAAAAAAAAAAAAAGATTATAGGCCAATGTCCTTTGTCACTATCCTTGCCAAAATACTAACAAACTGAATTAACTACACATTAAAAGGATCATTCACCACAGTCAAGTGGAATTTATCCCTGGGATGCAAGGATGGTTCCACATATACAAATCAATAAGTAGGATACACCACATTAACAGAATGAAGGACAAAAAACATTCTTAATACATTTGCAGAAGAAGGATTTGACAGAATTCAGACTCTCAACAGATTAGGTATCGAAGGAATGTACCTCTACCAATAAAGGCCATATATGATAAGCTCACAGTTAACATCCAATTTAGTGGCAAAAACTTGATACCTTTTCCTCGACCATTTCATCTGCTTGGGCTATTGTAAGAAAATACCTTAGACTCAGTAACTTATTAACAACAGAAATTATTTTACAGTCTGGAGGCTGGGAAGTCCAAGGCCAAGTTGTCAGCGGATTCAGTGTTAGGTGAGGGCTTGTTCTTTCCTTCATGTTGGCATCTTCTACCTCTGTTCTCACATGGTAGATAGGGAGAACAAGCTTCCTCAGGCCTCTTTTATAAGAGTATTAATCTCATGATAAAGGTGGAGCCTAATCACCTAATCATCTCCAAAGGCTCACCCTCTTAAGGCCATCACATTGGGAATTAGGTTTTAACATATGAATTTTGAGGACACAGTGTTCAGATGATACCACCTACTCTGACCAATCTATTCAACATATACTGGAATTGCTAGCCAGGTTCATTAGGCATAAAAATAAATAAATAAAAGAGAAAAAGGAAAGAAAAGAAAAAAGAAAAAGAGAAAGGGAGAGAAAGAAAAGAAAGAAAACAGAGAGGAGTGGGGAAGGGAAGGGAGGAAGGAAGGAGGGAGTGAGGGGAAGAGAGGAAAGAAAAGAAATTTTAAAAAAGTATCCAAATCAGGGAAAGAAGTTAAATTTTCTTTGCTGATGACATCTTAGAGATAAGAAAAGTGTAAAGACCCCATCAAAACAATGTTAGAAATAAATTAATTAGCGTTTCAGGATATAAAATCAATCTACAAAGATCTGTATTATTTCTATACACTAATATTAAGCTGTCCAAAAGAAAACCATCCTACTTAAAATGCTAACATACTTAGGAATAAATTTAACCATGGTGGTGAAAGATATGTACACCAACAACTAAACATGAATGAAAAAATGGAAAAAGAAACAAATGGAAAAACATCCTGTGTTCACGGATTGGAAGAGTTGTTAAAATGTCCATACAACCCAAAGCAATCTACAAATTCCATATCATTGTTATCAAAATTCCACTGGCATTTTCCATAGAAATGGGAAAAAATTCAAAAATTTATGTAAAACCAAGCAAGACCCCATGAGCCAAAGCAATCTTGAGCAAAAAGAACAAAGCTGGAGGCACCACATTACCTGACTTCAAAATACATTGAGAAAACTATAATAGTCAAAACAGCATGCCACTGGAATTAAAAACACACATATGCCTATGAAACAGAATAGAGAGCCTAGAAATAAATCCATGCATTTATGGCCAATTATTCTTTAATAAAGATGCCACGGGCACACAATGAGGAAGGGATAGTCTTTTCAACAGTGTTGGGAAAATGGGTTATCTACATATCAAAGGATGAAATTGGACCCTTATCTTACTCCTTATTCCCACATCAACTTAAGGTGATTAAAGACTTCAACATAAGACCTGAATAAAACAGAAAAAGCTTCTCGACATTGATGTTGGCAAATATTTTTTGGATATGCACTCCAAAGCACAGGTAACAAAAGCAAAAATAGACAAATGAAATTGCATCAAACTAAAAAGGTTTGACACAGCAAAAGAAACAGCAGAGTGAAGAGACAACCTATGAAATGGGAGAAAATATTTGCAAACTATACGTCTGAAAAGGGAGGATTTCCAAAGTACATATGGAAGTTAAATTACTCAATAGTAAGAAAACAAATAACCTGATTAAAAAATGGGCAAAGTGGCCAAGGAGGTGTAGCCCGGTGGATCGCTTGAGCTCAGGAATTTGAGACCAGCTTGGGTAACATGTCAAAACCTTGTCTTTACAAAAAAATACAAAAGTTAGCCAGGCATGGTGGTGTGCACCTGCAGTTCCAGCCACTCAGGAGACTGAGATGGGAAGATCACTCGAGCCCAGGAGGTTGAGGTTGCAGTGAGCCAAGATTGCGCCTCTGCACTCCAGCCTTGGTGACAGAAAGAGACCCTGTCTCAAAAAAAAAAAAAAAAAGGAAATGGGCAAAGGACCTGAATAGACAATTTCTTTTTCCAAAGAAGATATACAAATGGCCAACACATAGATGAGAAAGTGCTCAACATCACTAATCATCAGGGAAATACCAATTAAAACTATAATGAGATACCGTCTCACACCTGTTAAAATGGCTATTACAAGAAAAAGAATAACAAATGTTGGAGAGGATACAGATAAAAGGAAACTCTTGTACACTGTGGGAATGTAAACAAGCACAGATATTACAGAAAATAGTAAGGAGGTTTCTCTGGAAATTTAAAATAGAATTACCATATGACCCAATAATCCTACTTCTGGGTATATGTCAAAAGGAAATTAAATCAGTATGTTGAGTTGATACCTGCACTCTCATGTTGATACTCATTTACAGTGGCCAAAGTATGCAATCAAACTGACCATTGACAGATGAATGGATAAGGAAAATGTAGTGTGTGTAGGTATGGATGTCAGTTAGGAGGAATAAGTTCTGGAGATGGTCAGCATAGTGACTGTAGTTAATAATAACATACCGTGTTGAGTCCCTGACTTATGATGGCTCAACTTACAATTTTTCAACTTTAAGGTGAGTTTATTGAGACATAATTGAATGCATTTCTTTTTGTTTTGTTTTGTTTTGTTTTGAGATGGAGTCTTGCTTTGTTGCCCAGGCTGGAGTGCAGTGGTGCGATCTTGGCTCCCTGCAACCTCTACCTCCCAGGTTCGAGCAATCCTCCTGCCTCAGCCTCCCCAGTAGCTGGGATTACAGACACCTGCCACCACACCTGGCTATTTTTTGTATTTTTAGTAGAGGCGGGGTTTCGCCATGTTGTCCAGGCTGGTCTTGAACTCCTGACCTTAGGTGATCCATCTGCCTCAGCCTCCCAAAGTGATGGGAATACAGGTGTGAGCCACTGCACCTGGCCAATTCAATGCATTTCGACTTATGATATTTTCAATGTTGTTACCATAAAAAATGTTAAATGTTCCCACCATAGAAAAAGTATATGAGATGATGGATATGTTAATTAGCATGGTTTAATCTTATACAATGTGTACATATAGGACAGCATTGTGTTAATATATAAATATGTACACCATAAATATGTAATATTTTTGTCATTTGAATCTTAATAAAGCTAAAAAAGATTTTTAAAAAGCGTAAGTCCCAATGTTAAGCTTCCTTAGACAAATCTAAACACTGCAAATATTATTTCTAAAAGTTTTTTTTATAGAATTGATATCATTAACTTTTTTTAACACTGCCATCTTTTATTTTAGATTTACAGGGTATGTATGCAGGCTTGTTACATGTGTATATTCCATGATACTGAAGTTTGGGGTCTGATTGATCCCATTGTCCAGGTAGTGAGCATAATATACAATAGTTAGCTTTTCAACCCTTACCCACCCCCTTCCTCTCCCCTCCATTAGTCCCCAGTGTCTATCGTTGCCATCTTTATGTCTATGTTTACCCAATATTTAGCCCCCACTTATAAGTGAGAACATGCAGTATTTGGTTTTCTGTTTCTGTGATTAGCACTGTTTTTAAAAATAAAATAAATTTTCATAGTTGTAAAAAAAAAATCACAGCTCATGAAAATTTGTACTTTCGATGTAACATGCTTCTTGGATTCCAAAATGCACATTTTTATCACATTTTAATGTTTCTAATAGATGTACCTTATATAGATATGTACAATTTTTTTTTTGAGTCAGAGTCTTGCTCTGTTGCCCAGGGTGGAGTGCAGTGGCACAATGATGGCTCATTGCAGCCTCAACCTCCTGGGCTCAAGTGATTTTCTTAACTCAGCCTCCCAAGTATCTGGGACTACAGGTATGCACCACCATGCCTGGCTAATTTTTCTGTTTTTTGTAGAGACAGGTTTTTGCTGTGCTGCTTAGTCTGGTCTCAAACTCCTCAGCTCAAATGATCTGCCTGCCTCGGCCTACCAAAGTGCTGGTATTACAGGCATGAGCCACTGTGCCTGGCCAGATGTATAGAATTAATATTATATTATTTTCCCACCCCAGGGAATTATGTTATGAAATTGATTGTATTTAAATTTTATGGCATCTTTAGCACTGAGGAAATGCAATATTTCAAATTTATGCATGTAAGCATCAGGATCATTTAAAATAATATGTTGCATAATATATTTAAGATTGTCAGAAATATTTTTCATTTAATGTCTAGTAATATTTTAAAAATGTATGTAATTCATTCTGTTACAGCATTTTAAAATGTAAATTTGTGACGTATTTGGCATTTAGGGGAATGATGTCAATATAATGTAGATTTTTACACACTTTGTGTGTGTATCCACAATGTGGGTTGTTTCCAGATTACTTCAAACTTGTTAGCATTTTGAAATGATCAAGGTCAAGCTTTTCTCAACTAAAGAGGAATTCTTAGCAGTAGCTGAAGATCTAAACAAAATGCTAAAAGTCCTATAGAAATATCCTCCTGTAGCTCAGTAAGTTGCTGGTTTATTGGCTATACATTTTTCTGTGTTGACTAAGCTTTAAAGATATTTTGCTTGTGTTAAAAAGAAATTGACTAATGAAAAATGCTGTCTCTAGAAGATATTTTTAATTTTTATTAAACTGGTTTCTATTAGAACTAATGTCTTCAAGGATGCACATCAAAAAAAGAAGAGACCCAGGATATGAAGCTTTAAATGTGGACTGCTTTATTTTAGGTACAAATGCCAGTGGAAACTTTCCATTTTTATAATAATCATTATTGTTTTGTTAGGGCTCAGATTTAAAAGTTCCTTAGGTATTGTGTGGTCTGGCACTATCTTCACAATAAGTCTAACTATTTTTATTTTGCAGAACATGAGGTTATACAGAAGTGCATATATTGTGTTAGAGCAGGAATGCCTGTACTTGATTCTGGCTTAGTGGTAGTCATTTTTTTGATTAATAAAGGTAGTTTTAATTTTTATCCTATTTCTTTTCAGGGCCCATTATAGTGTTTCGCAGGCCCATTACTAACTCATTTGTGTGCATTAGGAAAAGATTTTCCTTCCACTGAGCAGATGTAGGTTTGTAATTGCAGGGTTTGGAGTACAGAACTCTTGCTGGATTTTACTTGCATCTTCATCCAGGCCCGTGTACAGTTCAGTTTGAAAACATTACATGGTTGCCTGGCTTCCTGAACAAAAGTGAGACATGCACACACATACACACAATGCTTATTGAACAGTGAAATTGTTTCTTTAGCAAATAAATGTTTTGATTAGTTTAACATTTATTTACAGTATTTCCCTTTTAAAAATATGTCCTTATTTGTCAATGTTTGATGTTACACAAAGATTTTACAAACATATTTAAGACTATTTTACAGGCTATAACTTTGAAAATTCTTTCCATACAAGAGAAGAGGCGTGGTAGCGATAGAATGCATAAATATTTCCCAATCTCTCCTTTTTTTTCTTTTTTTTCTTTGAGGGGTGGGAGGATAGATAATAAGAGAAGAAGACTAAATTTGCCCATCCCATATATGAATTATTTTTAATTAATACTGAAATTTTCAGTTTAGGCAGTTGACACTAGGTTCTGCCAGAGTTCTAGGCAGAATTGCATAAGATCTCAAGATGTGTTTACTCCATTTATTCTTCCTTTTTGGAACCCTTTTTAAGTTCCAACCTCAGATAGTCCTTGGACATCCTAAACTGCACTTTTTAATGTGGTTTATCTTCATGCCAGAATTTCTAGAGGTCACAACTGTATATTTATTTTTTTGTTTTTGTTTGTTGTTTACTTCATGAATGTGTGCATATATGTGTCTATATTGTGTGTGTACAACTTGATGATAGAGTATGTAAGTTATTAACTTGTATGTCAGTAAGGCTCATCTTAAAGACAATGAACATTTTAAATGAGAACTTGTTAGCCCAAATGATCCTAATAGCATGAAATATTTTCGAGGGAGGAATATGTTATTTAAGGTATATGTTAAGCTTTTATAACAAGGAGAAGTCAACATAAATATATAGAATTTATTTTTCTCTCATTTAACGGTCAAGAATTAGATATGCTTTACAGGGTTTAGCAGAGACCTTTTAGCTTTGCTGTTCCTTAGGATGCTGCCCTTGCCTGCATTGTTGAGAGTCACTGGTACTTCATTTCATTTCCATATTCAGTCATTTTTAATGATAAACCCAATCATTTATAATGGCCAGACCTAGAAGTTGTGCACATAATTTTGGCTCACGTTTTATTTTCAAGGACTTTGTTGTATAGTCAGACCTAACTGCAAGTAAGGCTGGGAAATAAGGTCTCTAAGCTGAGCTGCTGAGGGCTCAGCTGAAACCCAAGGAGCTCTATTATCCAAAAAGTATAGGAGGATGGATATTAGGGGAAAACAAGAAGTCTATTCAGTTTGCCTCTTTGGCTACCCAAATGTCCATGTACCTCTTTCTCATTCATAAAACATACCATCTTCTCAAGGATGATAACCCAAAGTCACATTCATTGGGTAAAGTCCTCTATATCGGGTTTCTGTGTGGTTCATCATGATGTGGTGACCAATAAACTAAGAGACAAGTTTCCTAATTTTCTTGACCTCTTGCTTCTTGTATGATGGTATAAAGGACAAGGAAAATTCCCAATGGGAAAAAAAAGAATGGGCCATATATGATAGTTCCTGTTCCTTACAATAATAGACTTCTTGCTCTGGCAGTGGAGTAAGGTCTTGCTAGGACCTTAATTTTGCTTTCTGAGATAAGCTCCCTTGTCATTTGTCCTTCATAGTCCCTGACCTTGCTCTTTGGGAATTACTCTTGGTCTATGATTCTTTGTGACTGTATCTAACATGGGTGTTAGTGTACTCTTATTGGAGACACCACTGCATTCTCACCCTGCTTTCTATTGGTGCAGATTTGGCTCCCAGGGATAGTCTTTGTTAGGCTTATGGTAGTATTTCCTAGTCGAGTTCCCTCCGAAATGTAGGTTTCCATTCTCTTTTTCTTCCTGTCAGTTATATGTGAAAATACCACAGCCAAAGATCTCATTTTGTCATAGTTGTTAAGCCTATGCACTTATTAATTTACTAGTTATTTTCCTCAGACTATCCACCTCTCCCTCAATTTGATAACTGCCTTAGTGTAGTGGCTACTCTACACATGCTCTAACAAAGCTTTAAAGTAAGCTGAAATTTATGAAGTTGAACAGCAAGTAATATAATAACCTGTCAGAACAGAATTCATCACTCTTTAAGGAAGACCACAAAATCCACACATTAACAACATAATCATAGTACCCTTAAAATATGTATTTATATAAAACCTACTAGACATGTGTGTATGTATGTGCACATGTGTGTATTCAACTATTAGGCATGCAAAGAAGCGGAGAAAAATTATTAATGGAAACTGATGTGGAAATGATAATGATCATGAAAGTAGTTGGCAAAGAGCTTAAAATATCTATTGTAAATATGCTCAAGGACTTAAAAGGAAAATGTGAACATAATGAAAGAAATTGAACATATAAAGAACCATTGAACGTTCAGAAGCTAAAAATATCTGAAATGTAAAACGACTTCAGCTAACAAGGGAATAGTCATTCAGAAGAAGTGGTTAATAAATAAAAATCACTGCTAACTTCTCACTAGAAGGTATGTAAGCCAGAAAAATGGAATGATATATTTAAAGTGCTGAAAGGTGGGGAAAAAAAGTCAGTCTAAAATTCTCTGCCCAGTGAAACATTTTAAAAAACAGAGACAAAATGACATTTCCAGATAAGCAAAAATAGAGAGAAGTTGTCAGTATACACGCACTAAAGAAATTTTAAAAGATGATCTTCAGGCTGAAGGAAAATCATACTGGGTAAAAACAGATTTACATAAAGGAAAAAAGAAATGTTAAGAAATGGTAAATATGTGGGTCTGAAATATGTAGAAATTAAATCACACATTTCCAAATAACTCGTGGATGAAGAAGTCACAAGAGAAACTATAAAATGTTTTGAACTGAATAATATTAGAAACATGACATATCAGAATTTGAGGGATGCAGCTACTAAATTACTGAAGCAATGCTGTATGGCTATACATGTTTGTATTAGGAAAGGAGAATAGTGTAGTCTGTGGTCTAAGTCTCCTACTTAAAAAGCAATAAAAATAATACTAAATTAAACCCAAAGCAAATAGAAGGAAAAGGTGATGATAAAGAGTGGATATTCACAGAATATAAAACATGAAAACAATGGAGAGAATTATAAACTTCTAGCAAGATTATTTAGAAGAATACTAATAGCAGGAAGAAGGAAAAATATCACTATAGATGTTCTGGCATTGTGGAATAATTGGGGGATACAAACCATTCTCTGTATTCCCAGGTTCTGTATCTGTGTATCAACTAACTATAAATGGAAATAGCCAAGAAAAATATAAAATAATGCAATAATAAAAAATATGAATTAAAAAGAGTATAATAACTTTGTATTATGTATTATAAGCAATATTTACATTGTATTAGATATTATAAGCAATCTAGAAATTAAAGTATACAATGGAGTGTATGTAGCTTATATGCACATGTACATCATTTTATATAAGGGACTTGACCATTTCCGCAGATTTTGGTATCCTCAGGGGGTCCTGGAACCAATCCTTATACTAAGGGATGACTGTATTATGAACAAGTACATGTCAATAAATTCAACAATTTAAGCTAAATAGGCTAATCGCTTAAAAGACACAAATGACCAAACTGACACAATGAGAAATAGAAAACCTGAAAAACCTTACGTTAAAAAGAAAAATTAATAATTATAAACTTTCCCACATAGAAAACTTGTGGCTCAGATGGCTTCACTGATTAATTTCATTGAAACTCAAGGAATAAACCATTCCAGTCCTACATAAATTCCTTCAGAAAATCAAGGAGGAGAGAAGACTTCTCGTTTTATGAGGGTAGCATTAGCTTGATTCCAAAACCAAATATGACAAGAGAACAGCAGATCCATATCTTCTTTGACTATAGATGCAAAGAAAAATCCTAAATGAAATAACAAATAGGGTCTAGCAAACAGTAAAAATTCATCATGACCAAATGAGTTCATACCAGGAGGTCAAAACAAAGATGTAAGTTTGTGATGTTGACAGTTAGTACCAAGAGAAATTGCATTCAAAACCACTTAAGTTTAAACAGCTTGTACTCATTTCTTTTAGCAAAAGTTAAGTGGTGGCTGCAAGCAAGCAAGGATGGGAATTGAAGTCATAATGCTACCTTTCTGGGGAATGAGTGATCTCTGTCACTGTCCAGGTGGTCTCCACTCACCAATGTCTTTGATCTTTACTAGAGATAGGGAACCCACATTATGGTCAGCATGTGGTGGTCTGTGATCAGTTTTGCACACTCTAGAAAGATTCAGGGAGTCAGTGGCAGACCAGGCTTATATGCTAACTGGGGAGTTGGGACACTCTGAGTATGCTGGTGCATTAGTTATATGCTATTTGGTTACACTGTAAGTTATGTAAACCATTAACATTGATTATATAAGTTGTTTACATAAAATGTTTGACTTTGGGGTATAACATGTTGATCTTGTTTGAGCAAGTTAGCCATATATTTATCTGTAACATCTTAATTATTAACAATCTTATTTTTTTTAGAAAAACATGTTTTCTAGGAAGCAAACATTTTTGTTTACCACTTATAAGCATAGCAAACATGTTTTATTCACTCCTGTTAAAATGTAGGATAAGTTACCCTCTACAGAAAATTTATTTCAGGCCGGGCTTTCTGGCTTATGCCTGTAATCCCAGCACTTTGGGAGGCCGAGGCGGGTAGATCACTTGAGGAAAGGAGTTGAAGCCCAGCTTAGCCAACGTAGTGAAACCCCGTGTCTACTAAAAATACAATTAACTGGGTGTGGTGGTACATGCCTGTAATCCCAGCTACTCAGGAGGCTGAGGGACAAGAATCCGTTGAACCTGGGAGGTGGAGGTTGCAATGAGGAGAGATCGCACCGCTGCACTCCAGCCTGGACGACACAGCAAAACTAAAAAAAAAAAAAAAGAAAATTTATTTCATATATCACAAAGCGTCCGATGCGATTTGGTTTACTTAAATTTAATCTGGTATTGCTATTTTTCTATATTAGTATAATTTAGTCTAGTATATGAACATCATAACAATGATTTTTGTAATCCTAACTTGAGTATCAGAATATCTTTACCAGAAGTACAATAATATGAGTTCTATGGCATTTTTTTCTGTTATATTTCATTATTCACTAATCATCAATATTATAGCCAAACCAAATTGCATATTATAGGGGAATTTTCCAACTGGAGCAAAACTTAAAGAATGTTTAAGATCATCTTTGATTGCCCTAAGCTCACTTCTATGCCATACTTCTGCAAGTCCTATCAACTTTAAAATGAACCTTGAATCCATTCTTTTATCTACATATCTTTGTCTCCCCTCTCCTTCCCAGTCAAAGCCATTTTTATATTCAGTGTTTTAGTCAGAATAGGCTATATTTAGAGTTACAAATTAGCATCCTAATCTCAATGGTTTCACACAGCAGAGGTGTACTGCGGCTTACATAAAGTCCAGTGTGATCTGGGCTATTCTCCTCCTCCATCTTGTAGCTATACTCTCTGCACTACTGGTTTTGAAGATCCTCAGGTGAACTGGAAATGACAATGTCACTTTTGCTTACAGCGCATTTGCTCAGAACTAGTCAAATGGCTCCAACATAAATGCATAAGCCTGGGAAGTGTAGGGCGGTACGTGAAATATTTAGAGATCACAATGATCTGTACTACACCCAGATTATTACAGATAACATCTTAGTTGTTTTCCTGACTTTTTTTTCATTTCCTACTGCAGTGCTTTCTCCACCTAGTAGCCAAAGTTCTTGAAAAAAAAAAAAAAATTGTTACCACCTTGCCAGTAGTTTCCACTTTGTTTTAAAATCCAAACATTTTATCCTCACCTGTGTAAAATGCTACGCGCTAGCATGCTTGCCTTCTCTGATTTTGTGATTGGCATTTAGTGTTGCTAACTGTTAACTATGAATAGTATATTTTGAATAGGTATTTTATTTTGTCCACAGTTAGGAAAATGTGATTTTTAAGTGTCAAATTTATGAAACCACAGTAATGACTATAAACAATAAATAATAATACCAAGAGAAATCCTAAATCATATGGTGTCTTTAATCACATTGTATGCAGTTAGAATCCTTAAAAACAGTGGCCTTTCAGAAACATTGATATAATGTAAAATCCTGTTATAATGAATAAATTCTATATAGCAAAGCCATAATAATTGTGTTCTGTTTATCTGACAGCAAATGATCTCTTAGAATAAATATTTTCTCTGTTTAAAGATTATTTGAAAGATATTCCATTATGGTCCAGTGCATTTTAAAAAATTAATAAACTATTTTTTAGAGCAGTTTTAGGTTCACAGCAAAACTGAATGGAAAGTACAAAGAGTTCCCACATATCCCCTGTTCCTACATGCTACAAATGCATAACCTTTCCCAGTGTTAATATCCCACAACAGAGTGGTGTATTTGTTACAATTGATGAACCTACATTAACACGTCATTGTCACCCAGAGATCATCATTTACATTAGGGTTCACTCTTGGCGTTCTACAGTCAGCGGGTTTTGACAATAAATGAATTTTTAGATAAGTTTTTTATAAAGTTTACATGTTGTCATTAAGTCATTGTTGTCCTACAGTTATATCTTCAGTTTCTGTCAGTTTTTTTTTTTTTTTGCAATCTGCATCTCCTAATTAAATATCACACACATATACCACCCGTAATCCCCAATAATTTTTCTCTAGCTGTAGTGCTCTTGCCAAATGACAAGAGGTACTAGGAGGAGCTAGGAATCAACCCTTATTTTTAAATATGCATGAAAGAAAGGCTTTATGTAAATTCTTTGTGATCTGTAGGTTGTGAATCCTAGGAATCAGGTTTTTAAGGAACAGTTTATCTTAAATATTTTAAGGTCTATATATTTGGTATGCTTATTTGAAATGTAGCAGAGCATTTATATTTTTTATAATTTTTGATAGCTTTTAAAAAATGATTTAAATAATTAGCTAATAACGATGCCTATTTTAACAAATAAAAATTACTTATAGTAAAATCGAATATGCTACAGTTTATTACATGGATTTAGATTTAGCACCATTCAAATGGATTGTCTGGTACTTGACATCTACTTACGTATAAAAGTTTTATGTAACAGTTTTTACATGGTGTTTGCATTGTCATTCATGTTTCCTTTTCTTTGCTGGTTTATCTCTGTTTAAGACCTTCTGCACTGATAAAGAATTGAATAGCAGAGGAATTATCCTACTACAGGGTATGTAATATTTAATGAAAACAGGTATTTGTGGGGTGGAAAGGTAGGAAAATTATATCTTTTTCTTTGATAAGAAGTCAATCTGCCATTCTCTCTTCCTGTAATTACATGTTGTAGAAAGGAAATTTGCTTTTATGATGGGAGTTAAGGAAGTTATTAAGCAGTGTTTGTGAAACTTGATTGCCTTTGTGCTTTGAGTAACAGTGTTTGTTTTGTTCACAGTAACTGTAGTACTGAATGGAAGTGGCTTGTAGACAGAGCACGAGTTGGCAGCCGATGGACTTGGCTTCAAGCTCAGATTTCAGACCTAGAATGCAAAATCCAACAACTAACAGACATTCACAGGCAAATTCGTGCCTCCAAGGTATTGTCTGTCTGTGTTCTTCTACTTTTGTTAAAAATTGTTAATGTTTTCATTCCTTCTCATTTGATCACAAAAATAATTGTTACAAGGTTTTATAAAAATGTAGCCAGTTTATGTTAAAATTTTTGATATATTATTATAAATTGAAGCTATTTTTGTAATGCCTTTTTGTATTTTAAGATCATTTTATCATACTTTTTGAGCAATTCAGAACTTCCTTATTGGATTCCAGTTAATATAAGTGATAAACGTGTTTTCAAATTTCTAAATCATAAAATACATAAAAACCTTAACATCTTAACCATTTTTGAGTGTATAGTTGTGTTATTAAATACATTTGTAATGTTGTGCATCTGTCGCTATCCATCTCCATAACTCTTTTTACCTTTTATAACTGAAGCTCTAAACCCATTAAATAATAACTGTCCACTTTCCTCTCTCCTCAACCCCTGGCAACTATGTCTGTCTCTTATGATTTTGACTATTTTAAGTACCTCATATGAGCAGAATCATAAGTTTTTGTCTTTTTGTGGCTAGCTTATTTCACTAGCATAATGTTCTCAAGTTTCATAAATATTGTAGCATATTAGAATTTCTTTCCTTTTTAAGACTAATAATTTATTGTATGTATATACCACATTTTGTTTATTCATTCATCCGTTGATGGACACTTGGGTTGCTTCCAGTTTTTAGCTATTGTGAGTATGCTATGAACATGGATATAAAAATATCTCTTTGAGACCCTGTTTTCAATTCTTTGGGGTAAACACCCACAAGTTGAATTGCTGGATCATATGGGAACTTTATTTTTAATTTTTTTGTGGATCTACCATACTGTTTTTCACAGTGGCTATACCAGTTAACATTCCCACCAGCAGTACACAAGGTTCAGATTTCTCCAGATTCTCGCTAACATTTATTTTCTGTTTATTTTATAGTAACCTCCCTAATGAGTGTGAGATGGTATCTTATTTTAGTTTTGATTTGCATTTGCCTAATGATTAATGATGTTGAACATCATTTCATGTGCTACTGGCTTGGCTTTTGGATATCTTCTTTGGAGAAGTACTTATTCAAGTCCTTTGCCCATTTTTGAATTGGGTTGCTTGCTTGTTTTTTTCTTGTTGCGTTTTAATTCAATATATAGTAGATATTAATTTCTTATCAGATATATGATTTATAAATATTTTTTCCTATTCTATGTGTTGCTTTTTTTTTTTTTTTTTTTTTTTGAGGCAGAGTCTTGTTCTGTCACCCAGGCTGGAGTGCAGTAGTGTGATCACTGCTCACTGCAGCCTTGACCTCCCGGGCTCAAGCAATCCTTCCACCTCAGACTCCCAAGTAGCTGAGACTAGAGGCTCGTGCCACCATGCCTGGCTAAGTTTTTGATTTTTTGTAGAGATGGGATCTCCCTCTATTGCCCAGGCTGGTCTCGAACTCCTAGACTTAAATGATCCCCTGATCTTGGCCTCTCAAAAAGTGCTGGTATGACAAATGTGAGCCCCTGTGCTCAGCCTTGTTCATTGCATTTTTACTCTGTTGATATTATCTTTTCCTGCCCAAATTTTCAAAATTTTTCTGAAGTCCCATTTGTCTACTTTTTCTTTTATTACCTGTGCCTTTGGTGTCATAGCTAAGAAATCATTGCTAAATCTAATGTCATGAAGCACTTACCCTATATTTCTTCTTAGAGTTTTATAGTTTTAGGTTTTACATTGAGAGCTTTGATCCGTTTTGTGTTAATTTTTGTGTGTGGTGTTAGGTAAGGGTCCAGTTTCATTTGTTTTCATTCAGATATTCAGTTTTACCTGGTTGAAAAGACTGTTTTTCCATTGAATGGCCTTGAAAAGTTTGTCAAAAAACATTTGACCATATATGTTAGGGTTTATTTCTGGGTTCTCTATTCTATCCCATTGGAATATAGGTCTGTCTTTATGCCAGTACCACATTGGGTTTTTTTGTTTTTGTTTTTAATTTCTTTTCTTCTTTTTTTTTAAAAAGAGACAGAGTTTCACTATATTCAAGACCAGGCTGGTCTTGAACTCCTGGGCTCAAGCCATCCTCTCACCTCAGCCTCCCAAAGTGCTAGGATTATAGGCATGAGCCACTATGCCTGGCCAGTATCACATTATTTTGATTTCTGTAGTTTTGTAATAATTTTTGAAATCAGGACGTGAGTCTTCCAGATTTGTTATTTATTTATATATATTTTTGAGACAGAGTCTCAGTATGTTGCCAAGGCTGGAGTGCAATGGCACGATATCAGCTCACTGCAACCTCCACCTTCCAGGCTCAAGTGATTCTCATGCCTCAGCCTCCTGAGTAGCTGGGATTACAGGCATGTGCCACCAAGCCCAGCTAAAATTTTTGTATTTTTAGTAGAGACGGGATTTTGCCATGTTGGCCAGGTTAGTCTTGAACTCCTGGCCTCAGAGTGATCTGCCTGCCTTGGCTTCCCAAAATGCTGGGATTACAGGTGTGGGCCACCGAGCCCAACTCTAGATTTGTGTTTTTTTAGAGATTGTGTTGGCTTTGAGGTCTCATGAGATTTTGTATGACCTTTAGGATAAGTTTTTTTTCTGTCTATAAAAAGAGTTGTGGAGATTTAGATAGGGATGCACTGAAACTCTAGATTTCTTTGAGTAGTTTTGATAGCTTAACAACATTAAGTCTTCCAATCCATGAATATGGGATTTGTTTCCATTTATTTATATCTTCTTTAATTTCTTTCAGCAATGTTTTGTAGTTTATACAAGTCTATCAACTCCTTGGTTATCTATCTATTATATTCTGAAGTGTTTTATTCTTTTTGATGCTGTTGTAAGTGGAATTGTTTTTGTGACTTTCTTTGCAGATTGTTCATTGTTGGTGTATAAAAAACGCACCTGACTTCTGTGTGATCTTGCTACTCTGCTGAATTTATTAATTTGAACATATTTTTGAAGGAATTTTTAGTGTTTTCTACATATAAGATTATATCATCTTAAAACAAATCATTTAACTTCTTTTACAGTTTGGATGCCATTTATTTCTTTTTCTTGCTTAATTGCTTTGTCTAGAACTTCCAATACTGTGTTGAATAGAAGTGGTGAAAGTGAGCATTTTTGCCTTGTTCCTGATCTTAAGAGGAGAAATGGTTCAGTCTTTAACCCTTGAGTGTGATTTTCAGGGGGTTTTCATATGTGGCTTTTATTATGTTTAGGTAGTTTTCTTTGATTCCTACCTTGCTGACTGTTTTTATCATGAAAAGATGTACAATTTTTTCAAATGCCTTTTCTTCAATTAAAATGATGATAGGGTTTTCTTTCTCCTTCATTCTGTTAATGTTGTGTATTACATTAATCGGTTTTAATACTGAACCATCCTTTCATTCTAAGAATAAATCTCACTTGGAATAAATCTCACTCAGTCATGGATTGTAAACCTGTTAATATGGTGATGAATTTGGCTTGCTAATTTTTGGTTGATCACTTCTGTATCAGTATTTACAAGGGATATTGATCTGTAGTTTATTTTCTTATAGTGTCTTTGCCTGGCTTTGGCATCAGGATAATGCTGGCCTCACAGAATGAATTAAGAAGTGTTCCTTCCTCTTTGATTTTTTGGAAAAGTTTGAGAAGGATTGCTATTTGGTCTTCTTTAAAAATTTAGTAGAATTCAGCATTGAAGTCATCAGATTCAGGGCTTTACTTTATCAAGAGATTTTTGATTACTAATTTAATTTCCTTACTAGTTATATAGGCCTATTCAAATTTTCTTTTCTTTTCTTTTCTTTTGAGTTGGAGTTTTGCTCTTGTTGCCCAGGCTGGAGTGCCGTGGCGCAATCTCGGCTCACTGCAACCTCTGCCTCCTGGGTTCAGGCAATTCTCCTGCCTCAGCCCCCTGAGTAGCTGGGATTACAGGCACCCGCCACCACATCCAGCTAATTTTTGTATTTTTAGTAGAGACGGGATTTCACCATGTTGTCCAGGCTGGTCTCAAACTCCTGACCTCAGGTGTTCCACTTGCCTTGGCCTCCCTAAGTGCTGGGATTACAGATGTGAGCCACCACACCCAGCCCAAATTTTCTATTTCTTTGAGATTTAGTCTTCTTAAGTTGTGTTGTGTTTCTAGGAATTTGTTCATGTAATCTAGGTTATTTAATTTGTTGGTATAGTATTATTAATAATACTCTCTTGTCATCTGTTTTATTTCTTTAGATTCAGCAATAACATCCCCAGCTTTATTTCTGATTTTAGTATTTTGAGTCTTTTTTCTTTGTTTTCTTAGTTCATCTAGCTAAAGGTTTGTCGATTTTGTTGATGCTTTCAAAGAATCCACTTTTAGTTTTGATAATTTTTCTAGTTTTTCTATCCTCATATTCGTTTTAGCTCTACCCTAATCTTTATTATTTCCTTTCTTCTGCTAGCTTTTGGTTTAAATTGTTCTTCTTTTTCTAGTTTCTTAATTTGTAAAATTAGGTTGTTATTTCGAGATCTTTTTTGTTTTTTTTAAATGTCAAGCATTTATAACTATAAACTCCCCCCTTAGCACTGCCTTCACTGCATCTCATAAATTTTGGTATGTTTTGTTTTCATTTTCGTTTATTTCTAACTGTTTTCTAATTTTTCTTGTAATTTCTACTTTGATCTATTGGTTGTTTTAAAATGTGTTAATATACACAAATTTGTGCATTTTCCAGTTTTCTGTTAATGATTTCTCACTTCATTTCATTGTGGTTGGAAAAGATAATTTTTATATCTTTCTTTTTATATCTGTTGAGATATAATATTTGGCCTAACATATGGTCCATCTGGGAAAATGCTCCATGTACACTTGAGAAAAATTTGTATGTGGTTGTTGTTGGGTAGAATGTTCTTTAGATATCTGTTAAATCTAGTTGGTTTATTGTGTAGTTTAAGTTGTCTGTTTCCTTACTTATCTTCCATCTAGTTGTTGTGTCCCTTAACAAGAGTGAGTTATAGAAGTATCCAACTATTATTTTAGAATTATTGATTTTTCTTTGCAATTCTATCAGATTTTGCTTCATATGTTTTAATTGTCTCTTATTAGATGTGTAAATGTTGCCTGATGCATTAGAAACCAATACTATGACACTGAGTTTTTTGAAAGAAGAAAAGCTTTATATTGCAAGTTGACTGACAAGGAGACTGGAGGGTCAAGCTCTAATACTGTCTCCTTGTGCTTTTTTTTTTTAACTTAAAAAATACTTTTGTGGGTACATAGTGGATGTATATATTTATGGGGTACGTGAGATATTTTGACACAGGAATACAATGCATAATAATCAGATCAGGGTAAATGGGACATCCATCACCTCAAACACTTATTCTTTCTTTGTGTTATAAACTGTCCAATTATACTCTTAATTATTTTTAAATGTACAATAAGTTATTGTTGACTGTAGTCACCCTGTTGTGCTATCAAATACTAGATCTTATTTATTCTCTCTAATTATATTTTTGTACCCATTAGCCATCCCCATTCTCCCCCACCCTTCCCAACCTCTAGTAATCATCATTCTACTATCTCCATGAGTTCAATTGTTTTAATTTTTTAAGCTCCTACAAACAAGTGAGAACATGCACAATTTGTCTTTCTGTGCCTGGCTTATTTCACTTAACATAATGACCTTCAGTTCCATCCACGTTGTTGCAAATGACAGGATCTCAGTCTTTTTTATCACTGTATAGTACTCCATTTTGTATATGTACAACATTTTCTTTATCCATTTGTCTGTTGATGGACACTTAGGTTTTCAAATCTTGGTTATTGTGAATACTGCTGCCATAAACATAAGGGTGCAGATACCTGTTCAATATACTGATATCCTTTCTTTGGGTATATGCCTAGGAGTAAGATTGGATCATAGGATAGTTCTAGTTTTAGTTTTTCAAGGAAGCTCCAAGCTTTTCTCTGAAGTGGTTGGGAATATACATTCCCACCACCAGTGTGGTTCCTTTTTCTCTACAACTTTGCCAGCATGTTTTATTCCCTGACCTTTGGATAGAAGCTATTTTAACTGGGGTGAGATGATAGCTCATTGTAGTTTTGATTTGCATTTCTCTGATGATAAACAATGTTGAGCACTTTTTCATATACCTGTTTTCCATTTGTATGTCTTCTTTTGAGAAAGGTCTATTCATATGTTTTCCCTATTTTTCAATCAGATTATTAGATTTTTTTTTTCTATTGATTTGTTTGAGCACCTTATGTATTCTGGTTATTAATCCCTTGTCAGACAGATAGTTTGCAAATATTTTTGCCCATTCTGTGGGTTGTGTCTTCACTTTGTTGATTATTTCTTTTGCTATGCAGAGGCTTTTTAACATGATGTGTTAACGTGTTAATTTGATTTGTCCATTTTTTCTTTGGTTGCCTGTGCTTGTGGGGTATTACTTAAGAAATCTTTGCCCAGTCCAATGTCCTGGAGAGTTTTTCCAATGTTTTCTTTTAGTAGTTTCATAGTTTGAGGTCTTAGATTTAAGTCTTTAATATATTTTGATTTGATTTTTGTATATGGCAAGAAATGGGGGTCTAGTTTTATTCTTCTGCATATGGATAGACAGTCTTTCCAGCACCATTTACTGGAGACTGTTTTTTCCCCAAGTTCTTGGCAACTTTGTTGAAAATGAGTTAACTGTATATGTATGGATTTGTTTCTGGGTTCTCCGTACTGTTTTGTTGGTCTGTGTGTCTATTTTTATGCCAGTACTGTGCCGTTTTGATTAATACAGCTCTGTAGTATAATTTGAAGTCAGTTAATGTGATTCTTCCAATTTTGTTCTTTATGCTCAGGACAGCTTTAGCTATTCTGGGTCTTTTGTGGTTCCATATAAATTTTAGGGTTGTTTTTTCTATTTATGTGAAGAATGTCAGTGGTACTTTGATAGAGATTGCATTGAATCTGTAGATTTCGTTGGGTACTATGGATATTTTAACAATATTAATTCTTCTAATTCACAAAAATGGAATATCTCCTTTTTGTGTGTATCCTCTTCAGTTTCTTTCATCAATGTTTTATAGGTTTCATAGTTGAGAACTTTCAGTTCTTTGGTTAATTCCTAGGTATTCTGTTTTATTTGTATCTACTGTAAATGAGTTGACTTTCTTGATTTCTTCTCTAGATTGTATGCTGTTGGCATATAGAAATGCTACTGTTTTTTGTATGCTGATTTTGTATCCTGCAACTTACTGAATTTATTTATCAGTTTTAATAGTTTTTTAGTGGAGTCTGTAGATTTTTCCAAACAAGATCATATCACGTGCAAACAAGGATAATTTGACTTCTTCCTTTCTGATGTGGATGCCCTTTATTTCTTTTTCTTTTTTAAAAAATTTGCCCCCCAAAAAGTTTTATTTCTTCTTCTTTTTAAACTTTTATTTTAAGTTCAGGGGTACAAGTGCGGGTGTGTTACATGGGTAAACTTGTGTCTTAGGGGTTTGTTGTTCAGATTATTTCATCAGCCAGGTATTAAGCCTAGTACCCATTAGTTGTTTTTCCTGATCCTCTCCCTCCTCGCACCCTCCATTCTCCAAAAGGCCCCAGTGTGTGTTATTCCCCTCTATGTGTTCATGTTCTCTCATCATTTAGCTCCCACTTATAAGTGAGAACATGCGATATTTGGTTTTCTGTTCCTGAGTTAGTTTGCTAAGGATAATGGCCTCCAGCTTCATTCGTGTTTCTGCAAAGGACATGATCTCATTGTTTTTTATGGCTGCATAGTATTCCATGGTGTATGTGTACCACATTTGCTTTATGCAGTCTACCATTGATGGGCATTCGGGTTGATTCTATGCCTTTGCTATTGTGCATAGTGCTGCAATAAACGTACACATGTGTGTATCTTTATAATAGAATGATATATATTCCTTTGGGTGTATACTCAGTAATGGGATTGCTGGGTCAAATGGTATATCTGTCTTTAGGTCTTTGAGGAATTGCCACACTGTCTTCCACAATGGCTGAACTAATTTCACTCTCACCAGTGGTGTAAAAGCATTCCTTTTTCTCCACAACCTTGCCAACATCTGTTATTTTTTGACTTTTTAATAGTAGCCATCTGACTGGAGTTAGATGGTATCTCATTGTGGTTTTGATTTGCATTTCTCTAATGATCAATGATGTTGAGCTTTTTTTCATATGATTTTTGGCCGCATGTATGTCTTCTGTTGAAAAGTGTCTTTTCATGTCCTTTGCCCACTTTTTTATGGGGTTGTTTGTTTATTTCTTGTAAATTTGTTTAAGTTCCTTTTAGATGCTGAATATTAGACCTTTGTCAGATGCATAGTTTGCAAAAATTTTCTCCCATTCTTTAGATTGTCTGTTTACTCTGTTGATAGTTTCTTTCTCTGTGCAGAAACTCTCTAGTTTAGTTAGTATACATTTGTCAATTTTTGCTTTTGTTGCAGTTGCTTTTGGCATCTTTGTCATGAAATCGTTGCCTGTGCCTATGTCCTGGATGGTATTGCTTAGGTTGTCTTCCAGCATTTTTATAATTTTGGGTTTTACATTTAAGGCTTTAATCCATCTTGAATTAATTTTTGTATGTGGTGTAAGGAGGGGGTCCAGTTTCAATCTTTGCATATGGCTAGCCAGTTATCCCAGCACCACTTTTTTATTTTTATTTTTTTCTTTGGAGACGGAGTCTCACCCTGTCACCCAAGCTGGAGTACAGTGGCGTGATCTCCGCTCACTGCAACCTCCGCCTCCTGGCTTCTAGCAATTCTCCTGCCTCAGCCTCCTGAGTCGCTGGGACTACAGGCACATGCCACCATGCCTGGCTAATTTTTTTTGTATTTTAGTAGAGATGGGGTTTCACTGTGTTGCCCAGGCTGGTCTCGAACTCCTGAGCTGAGGCAGTCCACCTGCCTGAGCCTCCCATGGTGCTAGGATTACAGGTGTGAGCCACCGTGCCTGGCCAGCACCACTTACTGAATAGGGAATTCTTTCCCCATTGCTTATTTCTTTCAGGTTTGTTGAAGATCAGACAGTTGTAGGTGTGTGGTCTCATTTCTGGGTTCCCTTTTCTGTTCTGTTGGTCTTTGTGTCTGTTCTTGTTCGAGTACCATGCTGTTTTGGTTCCAATAGCCCTGTAGTATAGTTTGAAGTTGGGTAGCCTGATGCCTTCTGCTTTGTTCTTTTTGCTTAGGATTGCCTTGGTTATTCAGGGTTGCCTTCTATTTCTTTCTCTTGTCTAATTGCTCTACCTACAACTTTCCAGTATTATATTGAATGACAGTGGTAAAAGTGGGCATCCTTGTTACGTTCTAGATTTCAGTTTTCTCTCCCATTCATTAAGATACTAGCTGTGGGTCTATCATATATGGCTTTTATTGTGTTGAGGTAAGTTCCTTTATACCCAATTTATTGAAGGTTTTTATCATGAAGGATGTTGAATTTTCTTAAACACTGTTTCAGCATCAATTGAAATGACCATATGGATTTTGTCCTTCTTTCTGTTGATATGATCTATCAGATTGATTAATTTGCGTGTGTTGAACCATCTTTGCGCCCCTGGAATGCATCCTACTTGATTATGACAAATGATATTTTTAATATGTTGTTATTTGGTTTGCTAATTTTTTGTTAAGGACTTCTGCATCAATATAATCAGGGATATTTGCCTATAGTTTTCTCTTTTTTAAAAATGTGGTTTTGGCTAGTTTTAATATCACAGTAATACTGTCCTTGTAGAATGACTTTGAAAGTATTTCCTTCCCCTCTATTTTTCAGACTAGTTAGAGTAGGATTGATACTACTTCTTCTTTAAGTGTTTGGTAAAATTCAGCAGTGAAGCCATTGGGTCCTGGGCTTTTCTTTTTTTTTCTTTTTTTTCTTTTTTTTCGAGACGGAGCCTCGCTCTGTCACCAGGCTGGAGTGCAGTGGTGCGATCTTGGCTCACTGCAACCTCCGCCTCCCAGGTTCAAGAGATTCTCCTGCCTCAGCCTCCTGAGTAGCTGCAACTACAGGTGCGCGCCACCATGCCCAGCTAATTTTTGTATTTTTAGTAGAGACAGAGTTTCATCATGTTAGGGTTTCACCATGTTCGCCAGGATAGTCTCAATCTCTTGACCTCGTGATCTGCCTGCCTCGTCCTCCCTAAGTGTTGGGATTACAGGCATGAGCCACCACACCCAGCTCTGGGCTTTTCTTTAATAGAGGACTTTTTTTTTTTTTTTCTCTTGAGACAGGGTCTTACTCTGTTGCCCAACCTGGAGTGGAGTGGCACAATTTCGACTCACTGCAGCCTCAACCTCCTGGGCTCAAGCAGTCCTTCCACCTCAGCCTTAGTAACTGGGACCACAGGCACACACCACCACATGTGGCTAAATTTTGTATTTTCTGTAGAGATGGGGGTTTTGCCATGTACCCAAGCTGGACTCAAACTCCTGAGCTCAAGCAGTCTGCCTGCCCTGGCCTTCCAAAGTGCTGGGATTACAGGTACGAGCCACCATGCTTGGTATAATGGAAGACTTATTAGTGATTTAATCTCCTTACTCATTTTTGGTTTGTTAAAATTTTCTATTTTTTCTTCTGTTTTTTTTTTTTTTTTTTGAGTTGGAGTATGGAGTTTCTTGTTGCCCAGGCTGGAGTGCAATGGTGCGATCTGAGCTCACAGTGCGACCTCCACCTCCCGATTCAAGCAACTATCCTGCCTCAGCCTCCCGAGTAGCTGGGATTACTGGCATGTACCACCATGCCTGGCTAATTTTATATTTTTAGTAGAGACAAGGTTTCTCCATGTTGGTCAGGCTGGTCTTGAACTCCTGACCTCAAGTGATCCACCCGCCTCGGCCTCCCAAAGTGCTGGGATTACAGGCATAAGCCACCGCACCCGCCCCCCTCCTTTTTTTTTTTTTTGAGATGGAGTTTCGCTTTTGTTGCCCAGGCTGGAGTACAATGGCGTGATCTCACCTCACTGCAACCTCTGCCTCCTGGGTTCAAGTGATTCTCCTGCCTCAGCCTCCTGAGTAGCTGGGATTACAGGCATGCGCCATCACACCCGGCTAATTTTTTTGTATTTTTAGTAGAGACGGGGTTTCTCCATGTTGGTCAGGCTAGTCTCAAACTCCCAACCTCAGGTGATCCACCTGTCTCGGCCTCCCAAAGTGCTGAGATTACGGGCATGAGCCGTCGTGCCTGGCCAAAATTTTCTATTTTTTTATAATACAGTCTTGCTAGGCTGTATGAATCAAGAGATTTGTTTATTGATTTTAGATTGTTCAGCTTGTTGGTTTATACTTTTTCATAATAGTCTCTTATAATCCTTTGTATTTCTGTTGTATCCATTGTAATGTCTCCTTTTTTATTTGCAATTTTATTTGAATCTTCCCTGTTTTTTTTCTTAGTCTAGTGAAAAGTTCATCTTGAAGGATATATTTGCTGGATATACTATTCTAGGATAAAAGTTTTTTTCTTTCAGCACTTTAAATATGTCATGCCACTCACTCCTCACCTGTAAGGTTTCCCCTGAGAAGTCTGCTACCAGACATATTGGAGCTCCTTTGTATGTTGTTTCTTTTCTCTTGCTGCTTTTTGAATCCTTTCTTTATTCCCTCCCTTTGGGTGTTTGATTATTAAATGTCTTGAGGTACTTTTCTTTGGATTAAATTTTCTTGGTGCCCTATAACCTTCTTGTACTTGAATATTGGCATCTTACTGTAGATTTGGGAAGTTCTCTGTTATTATCCATTTGAATAT
This sequence comes from Homo sapiens, assembly GCF_000001405.40. NCBI lineage: Eukaryota > Metazoa > Chordata > Mammalia > Primates > Hominidae > Homo > Homo sapiens. Next base: position 210,117,326 of record NC_000002.12, on the reverse strand, counting down.
ACTTTCTACGCTGATCTCTTTCTCTTCCTCCCCTTAAAGGCCAGTATCTTAGGTTTGCCCTTTTGAGGCTATTTTTTTGATCTGGTAGGTGTGCTTTATTACTTTTTATTCTTTTTTCTTTTGTCTCTTCTGAGGTATATTTTCACATAGCCTGTCTTCAAGCTCAGTAATTTTCTTCTTTTTGATTAATCCTGCTGTTAAGAGACTCTATCTTGTGCATTCTTCATAATGTCAGTTGCATTTTTCAGCTCCAGAATTTCTGCTTGTTTCTTTTTAACTGTTTCAATTTCTTCATTAAATTTATCTGATAGGATTCTGAATTCCTTCTTGTGTTACCTTAGATTTCATTGAGCTTTCTCAAAACAGCTATTTTCAGTTCTGCGTCTGAAAGGTCACATCCCTGTCTCTCTGGCATTGGTCTTTGGTGCCCTATTTAGTCCATTTGGTGAGGCCATGTGTTCCTGGGTGTTCTTTATACTCATAGATGTTCGTCTGTGTCTGGACATTGAAAAGTTAGTTATTTATTAGTCTTTGCATCTGCACTAATTTGTACCAGTCCTTCTTGAGAATGCTTTCTAGATATTGAAACACCCTTGGGTGTTGTGATCTAATTCATTGGTCACTGCAGTCATATCCCCAACTTTAGTAACACTGCATCTTTTGTGGACTCATAGAGGTATGACCTCAGTAGTCTCGGGTAAGATCCAAAAGCATTCTCTGGATTACCAGTCAGAGACTCCTGTTCTCTTCCCTTACTTTCCCCCAGGGAAACACAGTCTCACCCTCTGTACTGAGCTGCTTGGAGCTAGGAGAGGCGTGACACAAGGACCACTGGGACTGCACAGGGTCAGATCCGAAGACAGCACAGCACTGGTCTCACCTAAGGCCAGCAGTGACCACTACCTGGCTATCGTCTGTGTCTCCTCAAGGCCCAAAAGTTCTATCATCAGCAGGTGGCAAATCCACCCAGGCTTGTGTCCTTCCCTTAAGGGTGGCAAGTTTTCTCCCCAGCCCCGGGTGGGTCTAGAGATGCCATCTTGGGACTCCACCTGGTGCTGTGTTCTACTGCAGCTGACCAAGTCACAAGACAAAGTCCTCCCTACCCTTCCTTCCTCTTTCCTCAAGCAGAGCAGTCCCTTCCCATGGCCACCACTGCCCCAGGGCCACAGCAAGTACTGCCTGTCTACGGCCAATGTTTACTAAAGGCCCAAGGCTTCTTCAGTCAGCTTTTGGTGAATGCTGCCAGTCCTGAGTCTCTCCCTTCAGGACAGTGGGCTCCCCTCTGGACCAGGGTAGGTCCAGAAATGCTTGGTGCTTTACCCCACTGTGGCCAAGCTGGTAACCAATCTGACTTTTAGCTCTTATAAAGATGCTGTTTTATGTGGATAGTGTTCAATCTGGTGTTCCTATGTTGGGAGGTAGTGGGGGTACAATTGCTGGAGGCTTCTATTCAGCCGTCTTGTTCTGCCTCCCCTCTCTCATGCTATTTTTATGGTAACATTTTTATTAGAATAGATTTGGGGGTAGATATTGGGATTAACAGGTGATTGGTAGAAGGAAAGGAAAGTTTTGGAAAGTTCTTGGGCATGTGCAGTTATTGCTTCATGCTAACTCATGGATTGCATGTGCAAATTCAGGGGGAGTTAATATGAAACATGCAGTGTAAATTTAGGCTGTGATGTCAGTAAGGTCATCTGTGCAAACTTCTGTCAGCCATTTTGGTTTTAACTGATTTTTGCCAGTTTACTCTTGTTCTCACAAGGTTAGAGAGTTTTGGCGTCTCAGTGGGTTATGTCTTTAATTATCTGCTATCCTACAAACTCAAGAATTTTTGCTAGTTACTGACTTCTTACTCCTTGGGTTATAGTTTGAGTTTCAGTATCTCAACAAGTTGTTTATTTTCTTATCTGTTATCCTATAAACATAGGAATTTAGACTGGTTTTCTTAACTCTTTGTGGCATGGTTTCATAAATGTTTATAATTGTTATATCTTGTTATAGAGTCTTATTAATATATAATGTCCTTATCTCTCGTAACCTTTTTTAATTTAAAATCTGTTTTGTCTGATATTGTATATAATTTTTAAAAATCCTTCCACTTTCAACTTACTTGTGTCGTTGGACTTAAGTTGAATCTCTTGTAGACAGTATAGAGTTGGATTCTGTGTTTTTATCCATTCTAATTTCTGTGTTTTGGGGAGTTTAATCCATTTACACTTAACGTAATTACTAAAAAGGATAGACTTACTTCTGTCATTTTGCTATTTTCTATATATCTTATACCTTTTTTGTTTTTCATTTCCTGCACTACTGTCTTCTGTTATGTTTAGTTGATTATTTTTTGACACTGAAATGTTTAAATTTCTTTCTCATTTCCTTTTATATATATTCTGTAGATATTTTCTTTGTGGTTGCCTATGGGGATTACATTTAACCTCATAAAGTTATTACATTATAATTTGAATTTATTCCAGTTTAACTTTAGTAACATATAAAAACTCATTTCCTTTACAGCTTTGTTCCCACCCCTTTTGGTTGTTGATGTCACAAAATTATATCCTTATACTAATGTGTCCCAAAGCATACATTAATAATCATTTTAAATATATTAGTTTCTTAAATTATGTAGAAAACAAAATGTGGAGCTGCAAACCAAAGTTACCACAAGTCTAGCTTTGGATCTATTATATTTTTTTAATGTACTAGTTATTTAAATCATGTAGAAAGCAAGGAGTTACAAACTAGTGTTACAATAATACTAGCTGTTATAATTATGCATGTATTTAACTTCATTGAGATTTTTCTTTCATCATACAGCTTTAAGTTACTATCTACGTCTTTCATTTCACCTTGCATGACTTCTTTAAGTATTTTCTGCAGAGTAGGTCTACTGGTAAATGACTCTCTCAGCTTTTGTTTACTTGAGAGTGTCTTAATTTTTTTTACCTTTGAAGGACAATTTTCCCGAATAGAATAGGATTTTGGGTTGGCCAGGGTTTGTTGTTGTTGTTGTTGTTATTTTGTCTTGTTTTCTTTTGTTTGTTTTTTGCTTTGAATATGTTGACCTAACTGCCTTTGGACCTCCAAAGTTTATCATAAGAGGCTACTGATAGTATTACGGAGGATCCCTTGCATGTGCTTCTCTCTTGCCGCTTTCAAGATTCTTTCTTTTTGTCATTCAGTAGTTTGATTATAATATGTTTCTTTGTAGTACTCTTTGGATTCATCTTATTTGGAGCTCATTCAGCTTTTGATATTTGTAATCATGTCTTTCATCATATCTGGGAAGTTTTTAGCCATTATTTCTTCAAATATTCTCTCTGCCTGTCTTTCTCTTCTTTTTCTGGAACTCCCACATTTATATGTTGGGCCACTTAATAGTGTTCCACGTGTCCCTTAGACTTTGTTCACTTTTCTTTAATCTGTTTTCTTTTTATGCTTTGCACTTGATTATTTTTACTGTCCTGGCTTCAAGTTCATTGATGTTTTTCCTGCCTGTTCACATTTGCCTTTGAATACCTCTAGTGAATTTTTCATTTCAGTTATTATACTTTTCAGCTCTAGAATTTCTGTTTGGTTTCTTTTCAGGTTTTCTATCTCCATATTGATGTTTGCATTTTGTTCATAACATCTTTTTCTTGACTTTTTCACATCATTTTTTTAGCCTTTTGTGCATCTTTAAGACAGTTGTTTTAAAGTCTTTGTCTAATAGATCTTCCATCCTGTTTTCAGGGACAGTTTCTGTTTATTCTTTTTTTTCCTTTGAATGCTCCATTTTTCCTGTTTCATTGTATGCTTTTTGTTTTTTTTGTTGTTTTTGGAAACTGGACATTTGACTCTAATAATGGAAATCAGATTCTTTCCCTTTCTGCAGGACTTTTAAAATCATTTTTGTTTATTATTTTGTTTTTCTCTATTGTTGTAGGTTGTCGGTGTGGCAAGAATAAGCCTGAAGTGTATAGTTAAAATCTTATTTTTTCTGAGCCTGCACGTTTTCTTGGAAATGCCCAGTTGCTTTCTAATTTTCCCCATTGGTGCAGTTGTTTTAAAATGTCCTGCTTTTAATGTCTGGCTCCCAAAAGGGGAAAAGAGAAAAATGAAGAGAGGATTTTTTTTTAAAGGGTGCTGGCCCTTTAAATCCCCAGGAAGGCCTTCTGCCAGAGGAGGAGGGAATTGCAATAAAAGGAGGGAGGTACTACAACAATGGTTGCCTCTTTGTCTGTACCTCTGTGATCAAAGGTTGCAATCAGTGATCAGAACACAGATCCCTAATATTTGCAGAACAGGGTCCTTTTCCCCTACCCTGACTTATGCAGGCTGTATATAGATTGCTTCAGAAATGTATGAATGGCTGCCTGCCATGGGACTAGGTGTGGGGATGGGTAGCTGCTATTGTGCTAAGAGCTAAAATTGATGAAAATTAACTGCACATTTACTGTCCAAGCCTGCCCTTTGAACTTGCAAGTCTTCAGTAAACTCCAGATTTTTGAAGTAATGACATTAGACAGATTCTGCCAATGCAGGTGGTGTCTAGGTGGGGTGACAGATTCCTGGTGGTTCCTGTTCCAACACATAGAAACGATAAATATTTGTGGTGATGGATATGCTAATTACCCTGATCTGATCACTATACATCATATGTATTGAAATATCATTATATATACCATAAATATATACAATTATTATTTGTCAATTAAAAAATAAAGTAGAAAGAAATAAGAGACATGCACTGAAAGGAGTTTTTGACATTTGGGTCTCTGGACACTTAAACTTTGTGTCTTTGTACATCTCAGAATATCTTCATTTTACCCTCACTCTTAAATGGTATTTTACTTTGGTGTTAAATTCTAGTTTGACAGTTATTTTTCTTTAGCACTTTAAAGATGTGTTTTATTGTTTTGTTTGATACTGAGGAGAAGTCTACTGTCAATGTGATTATTTTTCTTTTCTGGGTACTGTCTTTTCTATCTGGTACCTTTAAGATGTTCTTGTTGTATAAGGTGTAAGGAAGGGATCCAGTTTCAGTTTTCTACATATGGCTAGCCAGTTTTCCCAGCACCATTTATTAAAGAGGGAATCCTTTCCCCATTGCTGTTTTTGTTAGGTTGCTGCTATGAAGACACATGTACATGTATGTTTATAGCGGCACTATTCACAATAGCAAAGACTTGGAACCAACCTAAATGTCCAACAACGATAGTCTGGATTAAGAAAATGTGACACATATACACCATGGAATACTATGCAGCCATAAAAAATGATGAGTTCATGTCCTTTGTAGGGACATGGATGAAGCTGGAAACCATCATTCTCAGCAAACTATCACAAGGACAAAAAACCAAACACCGCATGTTCTCACTCATAGGTGGGAATTGAACAATGAGAACACATGAACACAGGAAGGGGAACATCACACACCAGGGACTGTTGTGGGGTGGGGGGAGGGGGCAGCGAGAGCTTTAGGAGGTATACCTAATGCTAAATGATGAGTTAATGGGTGCAGCACACCAACATGGCGCATGTATACATATGTAACAAACCTGCACGTTGTGCACATGTACCCTAAAACTTAAAGTATAATAATAATAAAATTTTTTAAAAAAAGTTAAAAAAAAGAAAAAAAAAGATGTTCTTGTTTATTTGATGTTCTGCATTCTTACTAACAGGTATCAAAGGATTGTCTTTATGTTGCTTAGTACTCAGAGTACACATTTTTAACTATACAGTTCACTGAATTTTGACAAATATCTACTCTTGTAACCATCACTATGATCATAATGTAGGACATTTCTATAACCTTCAAAAATGTCATTCCTTCCTCTTTGCGGTCAATCTCTTTCCTTCAGGCTCTTTTCTCTGGCAACCACTAATCTGTTTTCTATTGCTATAGTTTTGCCTTTTCTAGAATTTCATATAAGTCAAATAATAAAACATTAATCTCTATTTTGCTCTTTCACTTAGCATAATGCTTTTAGGTTCATCTTTGTTGCTGTATATATAAGTAATTTTTTCTTTTTTATTGTTGAGCAGTATTCCATTGTAGGATTGTACTATAATTTGTTTATCTGTTTCCTAGGTCATGGAAATTTAGGTTGTTTTAGTTTTTGGCTATTATGAATAATGCTGCTATATATATTCATCTATAAGTTTTAGTGTAGACATGTTTTTTTTTTTCAGAGTCCACATTCATTTGTTTTAATTTCTTTTATATTTTTGAGACAGGGCCTTGCTCTGTTGGCCAGGCTGGAGTGCAGTGGCATGATTACGGCTCACTGCAGCCTTGACCTCCCAGGCTCAAGCGATCCTCCCGCCTCAGCTTCCTGGGTAGATGGGACTACAAGAATGCACCAGCGCACCTGGCTAATTTTTGTATTTTTGGTGGGTTTGGGGTTTCGCCATGTTGCCCAGGCTGGTCTCAAGCTCCTGGGCTCAAGCTATCCACCTGCCTCAGCTTCTTAGCCTCAGCCTCTTAAAGTGCTGAGATTACAGGTATAAGCCACTGCACCCAGCCCAGAGTCCATGTTTAGTCCAAGGTGTTACATCTTTCTTCAAGTCTAGCATATTCTCTGCTACTATCATCCAAATATTGTATGTTTGTCAATTTTTTTCTCTTCCATTTTTGTGAAATTCTCATAGATTGAGAGGTTCAAACAAATTTTTCATGTCTCTTAACCACTCTTTAATTTTTTAATCTCATTTGTCTCTCTGTACCACAAGGAATTCTTTACTGTCTTTTAATTTGCTAATTCTGTCTTTGACCATATTCTGCTTAGACTTTGTCCTGTATATTGGCTTTTACATTGGCTTTTACTTTGTGATAATGCTTTTTATTGATAATTTCTAATTAGGTCATTTTCAAACCTGTTTAAAAACATAAATGAAAAGGAATAGGTTTCTAGAAATTCAAGGCCTTACGAAGTTAGCAAAACTGCCTCTCTCTACACTTTATATGATAAGAGATAGGATTGAGAAAACCTTTGAATAATAAAGGACCAAAGTGATTTGGAGCTAAATATCAGACTAAGGATACCATCCTCTGCAAAACCTTTGAGCTGGATAAAATTACACTTAGTGCAGTGGAGGAAGATTAAGAATGTGGATTTTCCATCAGAACTTAATAGCTTATGAGAATCCCCACAAGGAAGCAGAGAAAGAGGAACGGGAGAAAGGAGTATGTAGGTAGGTATAGGGGTTAGAGGGTGAAAGAAATATCCTTTGAGAATGCATCAGAGAACTGTGGGTGTGATTGTCAGTACATGGAACTGCCTGAAAACAGAGAGATGGGAAGCCTTCTGAGTTTCTGAGTGAGTTCTACCAAAGAAATTACAAGCTTGGCCTATAAAAAGCCTTTTACTGGCCAAGACTTAAACCAGTCCTTAGGACGCCAACCTTCTATGAACAAGAAGCAGGTTAAGAGCTTTGCAGTTCCTAAAGAAGTCAAAAACATTTACTGATATTGCCAAGGAAGGTAATATAAAAGAAAGAAGCTTTATATTTATATTTATATTACCAATATAAATTTTAAATTTATATTACCAAGGAAGGTAATATAAAAGAAAGAAGCAGGCTGATTCAGGAGCCATAGAGAACAGTGAATAGAAAGAACCCTTTAATAGGAAGCACAAATTAGGGCCTAATTAAGCCATACACCTAGGGTAAGAAGCTCTCACAATATTGGTCCAGCAGAATGTTAGCATTAATATAGACCAATAGCTGACATATATTCTTTATTCTTTACATTTCCAAGTGGGAATGTTCATTGTGATCTATTTTTCCCAAAGAATCAGCGATACAAATGAGTTCTTATGCAATCTAAATATTGCTAAATATTTATTTGTAACCTTGTTTTTGTGGGAAACAGTATTCTATATGGTCATACTGTAGACATCCTGGAGATAATCTAATATTGAAGGTTGATAGGGATAGGTCTGAAAAGGAAAAAGCTGAGAAGGGAAGGGATCAGAGTCCTTGAACCATGTAGTTTGCCTAGCCTCTCCTAGGGGTCTGCACATCCACAAAGATTAATAAATTTTAGGCTCTATCTATCATGAGTTTATATTCTGGTAAGGGAGATAAAACCTATAATCGTTTCAATATATGTAATATATTCGGTAATACCTGTTTTTTTAAAAAATTATACTTTAAGTAGAATACCTGTTTTTCTAAGATATTTGAAGGGCCATAGAGAGAATACTTATGGGTCAGAGGGTCAGAGAAAACATTAAGAGAAGAAAGTGACATCTCAGTATGACTTTGGGGGATGAACAGTAATTTTTTGATGAACCAATGGAACTAGAAAAAGGCGTTTTTTACAGGTTTGAAGGTGTGAAACAACATGATCATTTTCAGGAATGACAAAGTAGTATGGTATTTAAAGGAGCAGAAAGTATGTGTTATACAAGAAAAGGAACAAAAGCTAGGAAGTGATGAAGTATGTTTAATACTTGGTAGCAATTAGTGGTGGTGTCTATAGGAAGGTAGGAAGAAGGATAGACATAAAACCTTAGGCTTACTAGTTCTGTGAGATTTGAGGGAACCACATTCACTAAGTGTTTCCTGATGAAAGTTTATTAGTTACTTTTTCTCATTGTTCACTGTTATCTTTACAGGAGCCTTCAGTTTACAATTACCCAGTCGTTTCAAGATCACCGCATAATCTCTCCTCTTTGATCATTTTCCATAAAGGATATAATTTCACACGTTTTTTATAGCAAATAGAGTTCTAAGAATGAGTCAAGTATAAAACAATTTAGATATTTCAAAGAAAGTGGGTTTGCAGTTACATTGATGAATAAGATTTATATTTCAATCTAGACAGTCTGATTCATAATCCTTTAACTTAAGAAAGGATATTTTAATATTCTATATTTTCTAAGCAGTACTGTATACTTCTTGTTTAAACTCTTTTAAAAGCTTGATTGCAACATCTACTGGAATAAATTGTTTTAAGGAAAGACGTATAAACTTCCCTGTAATAACTTATATGACCTTACCTTTTTCTTAATTCAGGATAAATGTGTATCTGGCCCTTTGTTCCTTTAAGAATATCATTATGTTTATTTTATGGAACATGCCACAAAATTAGGTTATTAGAATACAATGTTTTTGTTATTTTAGTAGTTTCTCATTACATTTATTAGGAATTAATCAAAGTGTTTAGTTGTTTATATGCAACTTAGTTGAAATGTTATTATATAAGAAAAACATCACTTTCCTTGCTCTTATAGCTTCTTGAGTTATTGTAAGAAAAAAATTGAGAAGGATGGCCAGTACTGTCTTGAAATAGAACTTTCTGTTTAATGTATTTTAAATGTAAAAAAAATTGTTCTCACTTAAGTTAGAGATAAAGGGAAAGGAAAGAGATTGAGAGATGCTGTTTTGTAAATATCCTGTTTCAATAAGTGCTAGTTTGTGCCTTAAGTCAGAAAACACATCATTTGCCCCTTTACCATTCTTCTTATGGTCTAAACTTTGCTTAAATTTTCAGAGGAGAAGGCCAGGCATGGTGGCTCAAGCCTGTAATCCCAGCACTTTGGGAGGCCGAGGCAGGCGAATTACAAGGTCAGGAGATTGAGACCATCCTGGCTAACACGGTGAAACCCCATCTCTACTAAAAATATTTTTTAAAAAATTAGCCGGGCGTGGTGGCGGGCACCTGTAGTCCCAGCTACTCGGAAGGCTGAGGCAGGAGAATGGCGTGAACCCGGGAGGCAGAGCTTGCAGTGAGTCAAGATTGCGCCACTGCACTCCAGCCTGGGCAATAGAACAAGACTCTGTCTCAAAAAAAAAAAATATATATATATATATTTTTTTTTTGAGGAGAAGAAAGCAGTTATTAGCAACATCCTTTGGTGGTTCTTGCGACAGCTTTGTCAACATATTACAGATTCCTATATTTCCTCTTCTCCCTGCTTCAAACTTTCTAATAAGACAACAGATTCTTCTCACCCTCAGAAAAAAATTGAAATATTTTTCTTGGGAGAACACTGGCTATATCAAATGGTTTCTCTCTTAGATTTCTTTTGTTATCCTGCAGTAGGGGCTTCCACATTTTAAATTGTACCTTTTGTGTGTTTTAAATTTTTTATTTAAAGTTTTACTTAAAATTAACTTTAGTGAATTTATGTGAATAATAGAGATGTTGCTGAGGCAGTTCTTTTTTCACACAGTGTTTTCTCTGTGAAGACCCTGCATTGTCAGGATTTCTCTTCTCAGAAACAGTTGATTTGCTTTCATCTTATGCTAGAGTTTTGACTTGTTTCAGTTGTTGTAACTCGTTTTTCTAAAAATATTTTTTGTCTTTCTTATCTATGTTGTTTTACATATCAGAATATCCTTTTACTAATTTTTTTAAGAACAGAAACTCTCTGCTGTGTCCCCAGAGGATTAAATATAAATATTCAACCCTTTCCTCTCCATTCTTGGCAGTGGTGGATCAGAATGGGCCACTCTCCTCACACTCCAACAGTTTTGTCCAGGGTAGTAGTTTATGGAGGAAAAAACAGATTATGAAGTTGACTATGACGGTCTCCCTGGTTGAATTTTAATTTTTTTTTTTTTTTTTGACAGAGTCTCTGTCACCCAGGCTGGAGTGCAGTGGTGCGATCTCGGCTCACTGCAACCTCCTCCTCCTGGGTTCAAGCAATTCTTTTGCCTCAGCCTCCCAAGTATCTGGGACCAAAGGCATGTGCCATGATGCCCAGCCAATTTTTGTACTGTTAGTAGAGACAGGGTTTTGCTATGTTGGCCAGGCTGGTGTTGAACTCCTGGCCTCAAGTGATCCACCTGCCTCACCCTCCCAAAGTGCTAGGATTACAGGCGTAAACCACCATGCCCTGCCTCCCTGGTTGAATTTTAAAAATATAATTCTTTATTAAACTAACTATAGCAGGCTTTGTACTTATAGAAAGGTAGTATTCTAAAGGTTTGGAAATAGAACTTTGAAATTCAGAGTAGAGTTTTCCCATAGATGCAGATTTATAAATATGGATTCTGAAATCAGACTAATCTATACAGACTGATATCAGACTAATCTATACAGACTGGCCCATACTATAAACTGGAATCAAACCAAAGACAATTGCAGTTAAATTGATAAGGTGGAACTTGTGTTTCTTTGACATGCAGGTACTTGTGGAGAAACCTAGTGAGAGTAGGTTTGAAATTTCCTCTTCTCCCTGCTTCAAACTTTCTAATAAGACAACAGATTCTTCTCACCTTCAGAAAAAAATTGAAATATTTTTCTTGGGAGAACACTGGCTATATCAAATGGTTTCTCTCTTAGATTTCTTTTGTTATCCTGCAGTAGGGGCTTCCACATTTTAAATTGTACCTTTTGTGTGTAGACTTGTAGAAATTTTGAATGGATACTCTCAAGAGCTTTTCAGACTAATGATACCATATCTATTATATCTAATTTATTTTTTTAAATACCAAATGAAATAAGAACTTTTGAGCATGTTTCTTCAGATTTCTTGACGGCCATATTTGTTCATTCTAAGAAAACAGTAATTGGGATCAAGTGGCTCCCCTTCTCCTTGGAAAAGTCAGCATGTTAGCACTATTCAAAATGTAGATTTTTTTAAAAAGCGCATTTACTACTTTTACCAAAAATTTTACTACAAAATAATAAAATATACATTTAATACCATAACTGAATATGTGCATTCTAAAGTTATATATTCTCTAAATTACATAGTGTAAACTAAAACTCATATATAACACATTATTATCTATAGGCAATTTCCATCTTATAAATAAGACTTATGCATGATGTAGGTGGCCCACAGCAATCATTTAATTCATTCCATTTTTGAAATAATGCACACTAATATTAATGTTAGTTTATTTTTTATTACAATAATATAGTATTTTAGCCACATTAGGAGTGTAATAATTTTCCAACTAGCCTATAGGAATTTATTAGCATGTTTCAAATATATATATATATATTTTTTTTCAAATATATATATATATTTATATATGTAAAACCTGTGTGTGTATATAATATATAATATATGTAATATCAGTATATATATAACATAATATCTGTGTATGTGTAATATATATATGGTATATATTACTGTATTATTTTCAGGAGGAAGGGTGGTAGAATAGATAGGAAGGAAAGAAATTTTACAGTGGGAACTGATTATGAAACCATTAAGATCATGCCTTTGCACTCCTTTTTTCTCTTTCTCTGTTGTCTCCATTGCCTCTGAGGAACCTAAAGTTGAGAACAGTTGGAGTGAGGAAGCTGGGGAATGGAGGAGAAAGCCGAGCAAACCAGTTGAGGAATAAGTATGTTTGTGAGTAGGAGGCAGAGAGTACAGAGACAACTTGATCCCTATTCATTCCCCCAGTTCCTTACATTTCAGAATATACCCCATCAAAGTTGAAAGCTTGTGTCTTTATTATTAACACAGCTACCCTGAAAGCAGTGGGAACTTTGATTGGCCTAGAGAGTACTTTTTCTCAGTGGTGCAGTCCTATCCCTGGTTGCTGGCTGACAGCAACAGGGGCAGGGCTCCTTAGGGTGCTCTGAAAGGAGTTAGGATAGAGTTAGATTGTTGTTTGGATGTTTGTAAATTTGGTGTTTTAATTTATAAAATTGGGAGTGCTCAAATGTAAAGCACAAATAGCAATGCTAGTGATGAAAATATCAGGAGATTCTATCAGGAAATATTCTAGATTTCAATCTGAAATGTCCATGTTCTGTGTATAATATGCCTTTTTTTATTTTAATATGTCATGCTTTTAATGCCAATAATTAAAACCAATTAGAAAAAAACTGCATGTATTTAAGTTAAGAAAATATTTTACAAGTCCAACCTATCAACCATACATGTTATTTTAGCTACATGTGTTTTAAACCAGCCAGTTCTTTACAGAGTTAAACTATCAAGTTTATATTTTCTGAATTCCAAGAGATAAGTGGAAGCATAGATTCAAGTGCATTGTAGCATTAAAGGTGGCTTAATAATAAGTTTGTTTTCATTTCAACTTTCTCATTGTTTTTTGTCTAGGGGATAGTGGTCCTAGAAGAATGTCAGCTTCCAAAAGATATTTTGAAAAAACAAATGCAATTTGCAGACCAAGCAGCTTCACTAAACATTCTAGGGAATCCTCAGGTTCCCCAGGAGTGTCAAGATCCTGTACCGGAACAAGATTTTGAAATGTCACCAAGCAGCCCTACTTTACTTCTTCGAAACATCGAAAAACAGGTAAAGTCAAAGTAAGGATATCAGTGGTATGAAATGACTTTTCATTGATTTTGTAAACTATTCAAATAAACATCATTATATGTGTATCTTCCTGGCATATGTGTTATTAAACTAGGCCATCTGGCATTAAATACAATTAAAATATTTGACATATGACCAGTCTCCATTATAATACCAATATAATTTAAATTATTTAAATATAATATGTAAAGTAATGGAATTGGTATGGCTATAGGATGATAATTTATTTTTACAGGGATTAGAAAATCCTTTTTCTAACAAAATTGTTTATCATTGGATTTTTTTCAAGGAGAGAGAACAATTGTACCAGTTAATATGTCTGAATGGTTGTTTGACTAATTTATTGAACAAGATTTTTAGTGAAAGATAATATTGGAATATGGATTTGTTCATAAAAAATGATTATGTAAATGGAAAGTCAAGAAAGCTCCTAACAATTACTTTGATTCCAAAGCCTTCCTTGGTATCTAAATTCTATTGTGGATAACTCCACAAGCTTAATTATTCTGGCCAGTCTATCCTGTATCTGTCCTTGGAAATCCAACAATTTATTTTGATTTAGACTTTAGTGGCTCTTAAACAAACTCAGTTTCTAGGACTTTTTTTTATTATTATTATACTTTAAGTTCTAGGGTACATGTGCACAACGTGCAGGTTTGTTACATATGTATACATGTGCCATGTTGGTGTGCTGCACCCATTAACTCGTCATTTACATTAGGTCTATCTCCTAATGCTATCCCTCCCCCCTTCCCCCACCCCATGACAGGCCCCGGTGTGTGATGTCCCCCTTCCTGTGTCCAAGTGTTCTTCTCATTGTTCATTTCCCACCTATGAGTGAGAATATGCGGTGTTTGGTTTTTCGTCCTTGTGATAGTTTGCTCAGAATGATGGTTACCAGCTTCATCCATGTCCCTACAAAGGACATGAACTCATCCTTTTTTATGGCTACATAGTATTCCATGGTGTATATATGTCACATTTTCTTAATCCAGTCTATCATTGATGGACATTTGGGTTGGTTCCAAGTCTTTGCTATTGTGAATAGTGCCTCAATAAGCATACGTGTACATGTGTCTTTATAGCAGCATGATTTATAATCCTTTGGGTATATACCCAGTAATGGGATGGCTGGGTCAAATGGTATTTCTAGTTCTAGATCCTCGAGGAATCGCCACACTGTCTTCCACAATGGTTGAACTAGTTTATAGTCCCACCAGCAGTGTAAAAGTGTTCCTATTTCTCCACATCCTCTCTAGCACCTGTTGTTTCCTGACTTGTTAATGATCACCATTCTAACTGGTGTGAGATGGTATCTCATTGTGGTTTTGATATGCATTTCTCTGATGGCCAGTGATGATGAGCATTTTTTCACGTGTCTGTTGGTTGCATAAATGTCTTCTCTTGAGAAGTGTCTATTCATATCCTTCGCCCACTTGTTGATGGGGTTGTTTGTTTTTTTCTCGTAAATTTGTTTGAGTTCTTTGTAGATTTTGGATATTAGCCCTTTGTCAGATAGGTAGATTGCAAAAATTTTCTCCCATTCTGTAGGTTGCCTGTTCACTCTGATGGTAGTTTCTTTTGCTGTGCAGAAGCTCTTTAGTTTAATTAGATCCCATTTGTCAATTTTGGCTTTTGTTGCCATTGCTTGTGGTGTTTTAGACATGAAGTCCTTGCCCATGCCTATGTCCTGAATGGTATTGCCTAGGTTTTCTTCTAGGGTTTTTATGGTTTTAGGTCTAATATTTAAGTCTTTAATCCATCTTGAATTAATTTTTGTATAAGGTGTAAGGAAGGGATCCAGTTACCACAAAAGAGCCCGCATTGCCAAGACAGTCCTAAGCCAAAAGAACAAAGCTGGAGGCAGTACGCTACCTGACTTTAAACTATACTACAAGGCTAAACAGCATGGTACTGGTACCAAAACAGAGATATAGACCAGTGGAACAGAACAGAGCTCTCAGAAATAATACCACACATCTACAACCATCTGATCTTTGCCAAACCTGACAAAAACAAGAAATGGGGAAAAGATCCCCTATTTAATAAGTGGTGCTGGGAAAACTGGCTAGCCATATGTAGAAAGCTGAATCTAGGACTTTTTTACTTTAAAGCTGAGCCATTCTTCACCATAGTTGCATCATTACATTGTTCCTCTGGGAAATTATACAGATTCATGCCTGCTTGCATCTAATTTTCCTGAGTTTTTCTGACATACAAGGAAGTAACTAAATACAGGTTACTGTCTTATTCCTGATAAACCAAAATATGGTATAATTTCTTCCACCCTGTATTTGTTAAATTTATAATTGCCCAGAGTTTTTCTTAATTGGAATGCATAATCAAAGCACTTATGAATATTTTGCAATTTAGAAAGCTGTTTGGTAATTATCTGATGTCAAATTATAATGCACTTGACCATATAAGCATTGATTTAAATTAGTTTTTGTTATATTTCTATATTCCCACTTTCCTCTTTCTTTTCCCTCCCCTCATCCTATAGGATCAACCCTTGTTCGGTTTGATCCTAGTTGTTTCACATTCTAGAGTAATTCATTTGCTTACACAGTCAAATCTACTTTTACCATCTTTAGGTCACTACTTATTCATTGGAAATTGTAATCTGTTTAAATTAATTCTAAGATATTTTCATTTCTAAAAGAGATTTCTTGTACTTTTTCCTTTCTCCTTGATATCCCCAGTTTTTTTAGGTTGGACCTGAGATGACATCAGAACTGCCTAATTTGCAGATCCTAGTGTAAAATGAAGTTGTGGAGCCCTTTGTTAAAAACAGTTATGAATTTAAAGACAGTGACAGCAGAGCACTAAGCAAGCATAGCCTCCATCTGCGCTCAGCCTGGTGCACAGGTTACATGCCCATGAAGCTGGTCCTGGGTATCATTTTAGGTCTCATTGCTGATGAAACTGTCAGGGCCTTTGATAGTATAGGGAACCAAGAGTTGTGAGAGCAGTAATGGCTCTATGTAAAGAGAGCAGAAGTAAAAGATGCAGAAAGGGCAGCAGCAATTACTTGTAGAGGTTGTTAATAAATTGCCTATGAACAAGTCATTTGTTCTTGAAATGTGGTAATAATGCTTTTTATAGGCCAAGTTTTAAAAGCTTAAGTTGTTTTTAAATACTTGGTGGCCGGGCATGGTAGCTCATGCCTGTAATCCCAGCACTTTGGGAGACCAAGGTGGGCAGATTGCTTGAGCCCAGGAGTTTGAGACCAGCCTGGGCAACACAGGGAGACCCTGTCTCTACAAAAAATACAAAAAGTAGCTGGCCTTGGTGGCACACACCTGTAGTCCTAGCTACTCAGGAGGCTGAGGTGGAAGGATCACTTGAGCCCAGGTGGCAGAGATTGCAGTGAGCCAGATGGCACCACTGCACTCTAGCCTGGATGACAGAACGAGACACTGTCTGAAACAAACAAAAAAACTTGTTGAGGAAGATAGTCTAGGAGTGAGTTAAGTGGTAGGTATGGCAAGCCCATTATTATGCATGGTTTTCTTAGGATAATCTACTGATATATAACTGTTCACTCATAATCTTTTGGCTTGACTAAAGTAGTTTTGTTAGAGTTGGAAGTTAAAATATAAAGGCACTATTGAGTTGTAGACTATCATTTAAAAAATAACATTGATTCATAGTATTAATAAATGCTTGCATTGTTAGATAATATGTAGTTCATAAATTGAAAAGTATTAATACCTTGTTTTTAGTACTTTAGGTCAGCTGTTCCCAACGTGTTTGGCATGAGGTACTGGTTTTGTAGAAGACAATTTTTCCGCAGGGTGGGGATGGGGGGATGGTTTTGAGATGAAACTGTTCCACCTCAGATCATCAGGCATTAGAGTCTTATAAGGAGCAGCAACCTAGATCCCTTGCAGGTGCACTTCACAGTATGGTTCGCGCTGCTATGA
This sequence comes from Homo sapiens, assembly GCF_000001405.40. Classification (NCBI taxonomy): domain Eukaryota; kingdom Metazoa; phylum Chordata; class Mammalia; order Primates; family Hominidae; genus Homo; species Homo sapiens. Next base: position 210,100,156 of record NC_000002.12, on the reverse strand, counting down.
GAATCTAATGCTGTGGGTGGTCTGACAGGAGGCGGAGCTCAGGTGGTAATTCTTGCTGGCCCTCTGCCCACCTCCTGCTGTGCAGCCTGGTTTCTAACAGGCCATGGACAGGTACCCATCAGCAGCCCGGGGGTTGGGGACTTCTACTTTAGGTGATTTAAAATGAATTTGCTACTGGTGTATTTACATTATAAATCTTGTTATGAATAGCTAGTGTTTTAACTTACAGTTGATTAGTTTTTGTTTTCAGAGTTCAAATTACGCTTCTCTTAATTTTACTTTTCTTATTCACATTTTCTCTGTGACTTTTCTATTCCCCATATGACTCGGGTATGTGAGATTTTATGGGGCCAGAATAGGCTGATTCTTAGGGTAAAGATAGGGATTGTAATTTCCCCCTTCCTGGCCCATTATTCACATATATCCAATTAGCGACGTCCAGTGGCTTAAAAGATTTTAGATGATGTTTTTTGGAGGTGGAACAATGACAGGAATGTTTTAGTGTTTCCAACCGGAAGATGTGAGATACTTCAGAATTTATTTGCATGACTAATGATTACTTGCTAAATGGATAAAGAATCCATTTCTATTGGTGATTTTAAAAATGAGCTTTAATCTAAAAACTGAGTAATAATTTTTAAAATGACATCATTAGGTGCATACTATCTTCAAAATAAATGGTGAAAACATTTCAAGGTCTTTCTCATGAAAGATTTTTTGAAGGGATAAAATATTAGGCCTAATTTTATTCTATTATTTAGTCTCACTTCTAATAGCATGTTATTAGTTTCATACAAATGAAGCATTCTAAAATAATTATTTCATATACCCCTTTATTTCACAATAGAGTATCTTGCAGTATTGAAAATGTTGAACTACGTCTGTATTTTTTAAAAAGTTGGTCACACTATATTAAGTGGGAAAACCAGGTTTTAGAAAATTGATGTAGCATAATTTAATTAAAAGTATATGTGTTCATGTTGAATGTACACTCATGCTTACATATACTCAGAAAACTCAGTGTGGAAGGAGAAATATATACCTAAATGTTAGCTCTGGTTTTCTCTTTGAAGTATGATTACAGATGACTCTCTTTTCATTTTTAAAATGTCTCTATATTTTCCAGTTCTTCTATGATGAACGTGGATTACAGGTGTAATGAAAATAGTTGTCATTCTTTTGTAGAAATGTACTATTCCTTTTTATGTGGCCTTTGCTTATTATAATTGTGATTGTTTTGAGAATAATATTTATACATATTATATAATTTAATATTTATTACATATATTTAAGTCTGGGACAAATGTCAGTGAAATCTTAGGTGCTAAAAAAAAAACTCTGATATTTGTGAATTAGGAAAAATATTGAGAAACAGTGTGTTGTTAGATTTAGGCCTGAATTTGAATCCTAGTTCTATTTCATACCAGCTTTATAGCCCTTGATCAAGCTACTTAATCTTTTTTTCTTTGCTAGAATTTACTCATCTGTTCTGTTATTAATAATAGTGATGTCAGTACCTCTAATATTATCTTCTTTGCTGGTTAGTTGTAAAGATTGAAATATTCTATGTGTGGTGCCTAATATAATGCCTGGCACATAGTAGGCACTTAATAAATTGTATCTGTGATTTTTAATTATTAATTTTCCTGCCTCAAGGGTAATATTATATAAAGGCTGTTAGCTGGGTTCAAATGTGTTAGATGATGGGATGGGTAGATGAAGGAACAATAATAAAAAAAGGATATGGAAAAGAATGGGTACTTAAAGTATAGATTTATTTGTAATAAATGGAAAAATCAGTTGTATAAATTGTCTTTGTCAAATAAAACATTTACTAAAATAAAAACATGTGTGTCATGAGAAGTTAAGGATTAATTGGCACTATGCATCTGAGCTTTAACTCACATTTCTTGCTTAGCAGTAGTAAAAGGTTGACTGTTTCCTTGCAGAGTGCACAGTTGACTGAGATCATCAACAGTTTGATTGCCCCTCTCAACTTGTCCCCAACTTCATCACCCCTCTCTTCCAAATCCTGTAGCCATAAATGTCTGGCTAATGGCATTTACAGGAGGTAGGTATCAATGGAATAGCTTAGCTTTTAAATTCAACTTTGCCTATTTTATCTTATTTTGATTTTGTTTTGATATTTTAAGTATTATAGCTACTTTTTTTGTACATTAGGGGCTACTAGAGTACAATCAATATACCATGGATGCATTTTTTGATAATATTAAATTTACACAATTAAGGTAATGATAAATCTAGGAATGAGGGAGAGAGATTTCTGGGAAGTTTCATAATGTTTCTTAAAAAAAGAATAGTGGTGATAACATTTGCTGTAGAAGTACTGCCTTATTTAATATACCTTCCACTTTGTACCTTTTGTATTCTTGAGCTCCATGCTGTCGTTGCAGTGCATTTTGAGGAAAAAAGACCCTAGATATAGTTTAGGCACAGAACATTGGTAGCTATCACCCATTAGATTCAGCTTAAGTTTTAATCATTTTGTATTTTAGCTTTATATAAGGTAAATTTTTTTTACTATAATTAATAACTCCTATAAACATTAACAATTTATCTATATTAGCAAAAATATATACACTATGAATCTTAGTCCTTTTTTGGGAACAGCATTTGTTGTGCTTTGTTTCCTTTTCTCTTAGAACTTTTCCTTTTGAAGATAAAATTAGAAGACATACCAATAGAATATCATTTTATGTGTGCATTGTCTAATTTTTTTCAGATAAAATTGGAATGTTGGCTTCTTTGCTTTAATTACCATAGAGAACTAAGTGTAATTTTGGGAAATATTTGTGTTAAAAATTATATAATTTATTATTTTAATAACTTTCTAATATAGCATAAAATGAAAATTTATAGCATGGTGAAAATTATGCTAAGTAGCCATCAAATTCTTTGTGAAATTAGTGGATGTAAACAAAGTCTTAAAATAAAAAGCTGAGGTGGGCAGATTTCATGAGCTCAGGAGTTCGAGATCAGCCTGGCCAACATGGAGAAACCCCGTCTCTACTAAAAATACAAAAAATTAGCCGGGCGTGGTGGTGTGCTCCTGTAGTACCAGCTACTCAAGAGCCTGAGGCACAAGAATCACTTGAACCTGGGAGATGGAGGTTGCAGTGAGCCAAGATCACACCACTGCACTCCAGCCTGGGCAACAGAGCAAGACTCTGTCTCCAAAAAAATAAATAAATAAATAATAAAAAATAAAAAGCTGACATTTGATTTTTATTTCTAATTGGTTATTTTGAACATCTAATCTTTAATACTTTTACTATTTTATTTATGTTGAGTTATGTATCCATTGTTCTATTGTGGGAACAGTTCTATTGGTTTTGCTTTATTTTTTCTCGACTTTATATTCATTCCTCATATCAGTGATAAAACATGTTGAACGTAAAGATTCTTACATATTGTATAGGATAACTATGATATTTTCATTTATGAGAACGTATCCTAATTAGGAAAGTCATAATGTAGGTGAATGTATTTTAAGCTGCCCCATAAAACACATCAAATTGGTGTATAAGCATTGTGATTTGGGGCTAATCCCATTTTAGATAATACTTTGTTTACCTAATCAAGTACTACACAGTTACACACATAGTTACATGTGTGTGTTCATGTGTTTGTGAATTTTCATTTTAATATACTTGCCTGTATTTCTGGTCATTCATTTGCAAAGCATTGATTGCATAATTATTTATTGTATGCCACATAGTCAAGTCCTAGGGACACAAATATGAAGACAGAAGTCTTCACTTGTGAATAACTCACAGTCTGGTTGGTGAAACATGTAACTACTTAATAAAATATTATGTAATAAAAATGGAATTGTGTGTAGTTGTTTGAATACTGGCTTTTAATAACTGTTACACTTGAAAAAGATACCTCATAAAGATATGTAGATCCAAATGAAAGAAATGGAAAATTGGCCATGTTTACTAAATTACATTTTTTAATTCTGTCTACTAGTAGTTCAAAGGTTTTTGTTGGAATCAGCTACTGAATACTGTCTTTCCTCATGTCAATTAGTTGTTGCTACAACCTAATTGAAAAGGTTTGCTTTTGAAAGTTTTTAACAAGTTCAAAACCTATGAAAATGTTTTGATAGATTTAAAAGCAGACAAAAATTTTGTTCTTCACGTTTTTTGAAGTGTGCTGATACGTGTTTTAATTAATTACATTTTTGGCAACAATGAACTCTTTTTAAAATAGTTGGTACATAATGTGTGTTTCAAAAAGCATTTATTTTCCCATTTGTTGTCAAAATATCATATTTTCCTTGAAGGAAAGGTATTTATTTTCTAACATTTGCTAGATAATGTAATACTTTCTCTACTTTTTATCAAAGAGAAAGTGATCAAATTTAGAACAGTTGATAGTTATCTAAAATGCATAATTTATCTTTAAGTTTAATAGCTCTTTATAAGTGCTTTGTTACCAGATAACCAGCAAACTACCATGTAAAACAAACGATTTTGGGGGATACTCCTGACTCCTGATTTCATTAAAATGTTTTGTAAAGATTCCACAATTTGTGATAATATGTATTAAAAAATCTATAAATCTATTTAACCAGAAACATAGAAACCAGACTATATTGCAGATAAGAATAATAATAACACTGAAGGAAAAGTAGCAAATTTTGAGGAAACGTGGTCTATTGTTTCGTATGCCAAAGAGAGTACTGAAAATATCTGTTGGTTTTGTCAGTAATGTGTTGAGACTTTGGCAAGAGAGACTTTGACAAGAGCATGATGGAGAAAGAGGTAAGAGTGAATTAGTAAGAGAATTGGAGAAGAAGTAGAGAGAGGGGGTCAAGATTACCCTTCAAGGCCACTGATTTTAAAGGCTATAATAAAAGGGACATACAAAGTCACAGAAAATATTTTGTTTTTAAGATGGAGGAAATTTAAGCATCTTTATTAAAATAAAGGGAAAGGAAGGAGCTACAGGTGAGAAATGTAGAAAACACCTTATCACAAAGTTATGGAGGGATCTTATTACAGGAAAAAATATGCCTGTTCCTTAAGAGTAGCATGAAATAGATTAAGATATGTGTGGATGCACTTGTTTCTGAGGTGATTATAGACTGGTTAAGATTATAGACTAGTTAATCTGAGGTGATTATAGACTAGTTAAGACTAGTTAAAGGAGCCTGAGGAGCTTTGACAAGTAAAACATTTTTCCTTTTCCCTTATTCCTTCTCATTTTCCCTCCCCTCCTCTCCTCTCCCCTTTGTTTTTGGAGCCTGAGTAATCTACCCCTAGGAAAGGGTGTTAGTGGTTTCTAAGAATTTTTTTTTTTTAATCCCTTAACTATAAATATGTTTATAATGAAAAGTACTTAATTAATGCTTATAAAACTAGTTAAGAATTGAACTTTTAAAATATTCTCTAATTGAACTTTCTATAAAATAAGTACATAGTAGTGAAATTCTACAAATTTTAGTTTTTTAATGTTACTCATGTTTGAGAATATTACTATAGATTTTTAAAATTAATCGGAGATACAATTTTATATTATAGCATTATATGAAACAGCTTTGATTCAAAGATATCTGGATTGAAGTAATGTGAAATGGATCTCTATGAGCCTTTTGACACTGGGAGTAGAATATCAAATGAGGCCTAATTTTATTTCTTATATCTTGCTATTTTCCAATACCTTTGTTATTTTTCCTTCACATAGTTGTATATGAAGAAAACATCTTTCAGATTCAAAGGTTTTTAGGAGTAAGGGCTTAGTCTATTTAATGGTATTTCAGACTTGACACTTAAACCACAAAGCACTTTCTGAAGATGTCCTTGTTAAGCATATAAATACTTCTCGGAAGCATATAAATACTATTTATGTATTTATAATAAATGGGCAGGTAAGAAAACTCATAAGTATTTTTCAAAATTATAAAACATACATAACAAAAATTTACCATTTTAACTATTTTTAAATGTAAGTTTAATGGCATTAAATACAATCAAAATGTTGTGTAATCATCATCACCATCCATCTTCAGAATTTTTTTTATTTTCTCAAACTGAAACTCTATATCCACTAAACAATACTTCCCATTCTTCCTTGCTTTCAGCTCCTGGCCACTACCACTTTACCTTCTATATGAATTTGACTACTCTAGGTACCGTATAAGTGGGATCACATAGTGTTTGTCCTTTTGTGACAAACTTATTGTACTTAGCATAATATCAAAATTTATCTACATTATAGCCTGTGTGTTAAAATTCCCTTTTTAAGGCTGAATAATATTCTATTTTTATATAGACAACATTTGATCTGTGGATAGATATTTGATTGCTTCTGTCCCTTGGCTATTGTGAATAAGGCTGCTATTAACATGGATGAACAAATATCTGTTTGAGTCCCTGCTTTTAATTGTTTTGGGTATTCTAGAAGTGAAATTGCTGGATTATGTGATAATTCTATTTTTAAATTTTGTTTATTTCAAAAATTAGAAATTAGCAAATATTAATTGCCAAGCCAAAAGCTGAGAGAAAGCCAGAGCTCAAAAAGTAAGCAAAGCACAGCAGTCTGCTTTTTTTGAGGCTAAATTTAGACAAAATTAAATTGAAGTTTTGATATCTTTTGGGGGAAGGGAGGAGAGAAACTAAAACCAAATCCAGCAAAATCAAGCTGAAGATTTAATAGATTGTGGAATGATAAGAAGATAAATCAGGCCAGTTGAGATTCCTCATGCCTGTAATCCCAGCACTTTGGGAGGCCGAGATGGGCAAATGGCTTGAGGCCACGAGTTCAAGACCAGCCTGGCCAACGTGGCAAAACCCCGCCTCTACTAAAAATACAAAAATTAGCTGGGTGTGATGGTGCATGCCTGTAGTCCCAACTACTTGGGAGGCTGAGGCACGAGAATCTCCTGAATCCAGGAGGCTGAGGTTGCAGTGAGCCAAGATCGTGCCACTGCCCTTCAGCCTGGGTGACAGAGTGAGACTCTGTCTCAAAAACAACAACAACAACAACAGCAAAAATGAACATAGGTCAAAGCCCTTGGCTCTGCCCATGGCAGGAAGATGAAATAAAATCTTTGTATTTAGTAGAGACCATTCTCTTTCAGGGCCTATGCCATTACAGTAAAGGTACATTGGAAGTAAAACTGTTTCCCTTTCCCCACCACTAGGGACCACAGGGAGATTTGCCTTGGGGCTAAGCAGAGCAGAAGATTAAAAAAAAAAAACAAAAAACCTATCTTTGAGATGTTCTGATCATGGTGGAGACTTTTTACATGGATTTTCAATCCAAGTTTGCATCAATGAGTGATCCAAGAGATCCCTAGTTTTAAGTGGTTCTGGAATGGCAGAGGCAAATGCAGATTTCCTCTGGAGGAAGGCACCTTTTTTAGCCTAGGGAAATCCTCATGAATAATTTGCCAAGGGCAGGGATTAACAAACAGGCAAATATAATCAAACATATAAGGAGACAGAGCAAGAAGAGTAAGAATAAGGAGTGCACAACAGACAGCAAAAAAAGATCATAAAGTTTTCAGATATTAGAATTACCAAACACTGATGACTTTAAAATGGTAGCCTGATTATAGAAATAAAAGATAGGCTTAAAATGCCAGCAGGGAACAAACTATATCAAGTTACATAAGCACATTTGGAAAAAGGCTAAATAAGACTTCTGAAAAATACTGAATATAATAACTAAGTAAGTGGTTTCTGCAGCAAACTGGACACAGTTGAAGAGAGAATGTGTGACATAGAAGAAGTATTAGAAGAAAAGTTCCAAAATGTAGCAAAAGATATGAAACAATGGAAAATACAGAAGAGTCATTTTAAAATGTAGAGAATATAGTGTGAAGGTCTAATATGACACTTAGTTGGAGATGTGGAAGAAGCACTATAGAAAGAAATAGAAGCAATATTTGAAGAGAGAGTGACTGAAAAATTACTTGAACTGTTGAAAGACACCACATTCAGGAAGCCAAACACAGATTTTGGATCAGGACAACTAAAAAGAAATCTACCTCTGGACATATAGGAAATGTGAAAAAACAAAGATAAATGGAATGTCCAAAAGCAACCAGAAGTGGGAGAAAGACATAATCTTAATTGAAACATAGTTAGACGGATAGCTGACTTCTCAATAGTAATAACAGGAGCCAGAGTACAGTGGAATGGTACCATTAGTATGTTGAAAGGAAATAACTGTTTACCTAGAAACTCTATACACAGAGAAATCATCTTTCAAGTCTGAGTGTGAAGGACAAACATTTTGAGACAAACCAAGGCTGGGAGAGTAGACTAGTAGACTCTAAACATAAAGGATATACTTTGGGCAGTAGTATATTATCTGGATGGAAAATTGGGATGAAGAAGGGTTCAAGAACAAATAAAATGGTAAGTAACCATATGGGCATGTGTAAGTGAACAGTAGTAAAATATGTTTTGTGGGGCTAAAAAAAGTCTATAACAGCAATAACATAGAGGTCAGAAGGAGGAAATCGATTCAGATTGCACTGAGGTGCTTGAATTATTCAGGATCTCAGTAAAAAAGTACTGATTTAGCTTTCATTATTCCTAAATTAAGTATAATAGAAGAGCTTCACATAAGAGGGGGCATTTCCTGAGTGCTAATGCTCTGTTTCTTGACCTGTGAGTGGTGGTTATGGGAAAGTGGAAGAGTAAGGGGAGTTATTGCTTCATATTTACAAGCTAAACATGAGATAAATGCTTTAAGTACTTATGCATATGTATCTTATATTTCATTTTTTTAAAAGGTTAAGAAAATAGGATATAAACTATATACTTCAAAAAGGATAAATAGAAAATAGTCACATAGGAGGTCACATTTGCCTTCATAGTTCTGAAAAAATACTTAAATGACATTATTCATCCTAAACCTATGAACAAAATTTGACTAGTCCCACAGGAATGTGATATTTAGTTTGTTGGTATGGAAACAAAAAGAATTAAATCTTATTTCATGTTACCTTAAAATTTGGTGATGGGTACTGATCTAGTTGTTGAGTTAATAATCCTTACCCTTTATCTGTCAAATCTGTCTTAATCTCAGATGTCTATTCTGTCTTTCCTGATAAAAGTCATCTTACATACTTTTAGAAGGCAATGAAAAATGTCTAAAGGAAAGGACCAATAGCTACAGTTAATTGTCCTCTGTGACCTGAAAATTAGTTGTGAATTTTGAGGTACACACTGAGCTGAAACGTGTAAATTAATACAAACATTAGATATTATAGTAGCAATATAATAATAGGAAGTTGCAGAATGTTTATAGATATAGGTAAAAAGATATATTTAAAAATAACACGGCTGGGCATGGTGGCTCATGCCTGTAATCCCAAGACTTTGGGAGGCTAAGGCAGGAGAATGGCTTGAGCCCGGGAGTTTGAGACCAGCCTAGACAATATAGTGAGACCCCATCTCTTCAAAATTTTTTTAAAATTAGCTGGGCATGGTGGTACACACCTGTAGTCCCAGCTATTCAGGAAGCTGAGGATCTCTTGAGCCAGGACAGTTGAGGCTGCAGTGAGCCATGATCATGCCACTTGCCCTCCAGCCTTGGTGACAGAGTGAGACCCTGTCTCAAAAACCCCCCAAAAACAACAAAGCAGGACATTTGGTAATTTACTGTGATAATATATACTTTGTTTTACATGATTTTAAAAATTATTGTGGTGCCTAAATATTTATATTCTCTGTTCCAAAAAATTTATAGTCTTAACCCACATTTGACAATCACTCAGTGTCCCCTCTAATCCAAGTTCTACAATAATATTATCTTAAAGGGTAAATGTTGGGCCTGTTAAAATGTAGTATGCTACTCAACAGATCACTGACCAAGAGTTCAAATGTATGTCTTACAGTAAGCATACCAGATATTGGGAGACAGTATATGGTTGTGTGAGAAGTAAATGAAACTCAGAACTTTTATAAAACATTTATAAAAACTCAGAACAAAACCTGGCACATAAGAAACAGCCTAATAATGTTAGCCATTGATATTGTAATGTGAGGACATAAAGTATATTAAACTTTTAGATATAGTCTTATTTATTTCTTATCTTAGATAGTATACTAGTCGTTGATTCAGCTATTCTTACTCTTTAAAAAAAGTGCTTTAGTGTGGCCTGAATTAGGATAAGGATTTGAGGGCATTTGTAGGTATCCCTTTGCACACAACTGTGTAGATGGCACAGTAGGCCAGCTGTTACTAAAGACATTCATTATACAGTTACTAGAAGTCAATGAGGCACTATTTTTCCGTCATCTCTTGGGAAGTTGTTTTCTTTCTTGCCTTTGGTCTACTTGCCTTTGGGACTCCGTAACTAAATCAAGCACTCTAAAAATTAGCATAAACACACCTTTGGGTTTTATTCTCATACAAAAATCTATCTCCTCAAAAGACCATCTTGGGACATTTAATCTCCCCCATGCCCCTCCCCCCAAAAAGATTTTAACTTTTTATTTTTAATCAATTGTAGTGTTTTTATAATTTAGTGGTTTCAGGGCAAAGTAGTTATGAGAATACACAACTTTTATATATTTTGTTTACTTAGACATTTTGTGACTTGGGCAGGTGTGTTAATCTCTTTACACCTCACTTCTTTATTTTAAATTTAATGGAACGTATTTTCTAAAGTAGTTACTAGTGTTAATATTCTTCCATTTTAAATATTTATTTTAAGGAATTCTATTTTTTCAAACAAATACACAGTAAAAACATAAGGGTTCCAATCCAACCTAATATGTATATCTTTATAACATCACTGTTTTGCTCTTTTGGATGTAATAATTTTGTTAGCCTAAATCAAGAGAACTGGTAAATAGAGAGAAATTACTGTACTCAATGTGTCTTAGTGACTTCAAACCCTACCCTAGAAACTATATGGAAAGAGGTATCCGTGACAGTAAGATGATTGTGGATTCCACTTAAGTTCCAAAAACTTTTTCAATTAAACTGTTTGGGAAGAATTGTTTAAATAAAATGTATTACACATTGCCTTCTTTGGGTGGTATTGAACTTAATTTTCTCCCCAAAATGTATCAGTCATTTAATGAGATTCTGCTTAAGAAATTTAGGACACCCATTTGTGAGGGTAAATTCCATTCATCAGGGCAAACACAGATTGCAGGTAGCCCTGGAACTGAGGAATAGCTTTGATTGTTGGTAACATTTGCAGGTCCACAGCTTCCTGATCAACCTTACACTACTCTGTAATTTCATATGTCTCTTTTTTGGTGTTGAAAACCCCACCTTCCTGATGGCTGGGCTTCCACAGCTGCTGCTTCTTAAAGTAAGCATCAGTATGATGTTTGAGGATTTCATATTGCTGAGAGCAATTTTTGTGGAGGTGGCGATGGCAGATTTCTGGTGTGTTCCTCGTAGAGGAACTCGACTGAGGACCAGAGATCCAGTTACAGGTAACAAGCCAATGCCCACCTGCTTCAGGAAAATCACCTTCTTGCCTCTGTGGCGGCCAGTGAGGATGATCAGAGTGCTCCTGGGAGCTGGCTTGCAGTTTTCTCACATGCTAACTGGCTTGCAGTTATTTGCTGTGGCTCAACAGCTTTCAAGGCACGTCTTCCCTAAGATAATATCAAGGCAATTTGTGAAGTTTAATCACCTGGGTACCACTGTTCTTGTCACCGCCAACTGATTTTCTAATGGCTGCAAGAACCTCTTTCTGTTTTCAATCTTGGATTCATTGGGTGAGTATTTCCTTTTATGCATGTCTTTCCTAGAATACATAGCAGATCAGGCATATCTGCCAATTCTTCTGACAATTGACAGGATTTCGGCCTTTGGATTTTTAGCCTTGAAGTTACCCCTTTTCACCTTGCCACTAGTGTCAGCCTTCTTGCCTTCAGGCTTCTTCTCCTTAGTATCCGGCTTCTCAACTTTTTCACCTGCCATCTTGTAAGATGGGAAAGAGCTGAACTTAATTTTTTTGATAACTCAGGTTCACCACCATGATAACATTCTCAGGGGTTACTGAGATAAATAGCTGTATATCTATAAAACAATTCACTGAATAATTAACTAGTACCTACTGAGTGACTTCTGTGTGCCAGGCATTTGGATTGGATACCAGGTATATGATAATGAACAAAACCAGATGGAATTTCTATCTTTGTGATATAAAGTCTAGTTGTGAAAAAAAAATGACACCACCTAAATGATCACACAAATGTATAATTTTAAACCTTGATCAAGTGCTATGAAGAAAATTTTTATTGTTAAGAATATTACTTTGGAATTAGATCACGGTTCAATCCCAAATTGACCAATTGGTAGTATTGATCCTGCACGGCAATCTGAATTAGATAGAATGAGAACAGCCTGTTTTCTGGGTTGTGTTGTGAAGATCAAATGAGGTAACAAATGTGATGTTATTTTGTTAATTTTTTACGTGCTTATTATCTGTCTTCCTGGACTTGAACATAAGCTTCAGGAGAGTAAGAATTTTTTGGTCTATCTTACTGAACTGTTGTTTTCCTTAGTACTTGGATCAGAGAGTCACATCATGGGCATGAATTAATATTTGTTGAATGAATGAAATGTTGTTCATGATTTCTTGCCCATACTCAGCATTCATAAGGAATATTTTGTACTTAACGTATTTTTTCTTCCCTATAGTCAGATTGATATTCTATTTGTTGCTTTCGTGGCTGTCTCCTGCAGTTCTGCTTCTCTTCCTAATTTGACTCTGGACTAGAAAATCAGATAACCAATGTGATAGATGACATAGATGTCTCTGTAATAAGAGATATTTAAAAAAATCTGTAAGAGAGAAGGCCTCTCTTAAAAGCAACAAGAGGATGGCCAGGCATGATGGCTCATGCCTGTTAATTCCAATAATTTGAGAGGCTGATGCAGGAGGATCACCAGCAGTTCAAATCCAGCTTGGGCAACATAGGAAGACTCCATGTCTACAAAAATTAAAAAAGTGAGCCAGATGTGTTGATGCATGTGGTCTCAGCTGCTTGGGACGCTGAGGTGGGAGGATTGCTTGGTCCCAGGAGGTCAGGGCTGCAGTGAGCCGTGACCATGCCACTGCACTCCAGCCTAGGTGACAGAGCAAGATCCTGTCTCAAAAAAAAAAAAATAAAATAAAAAATAAAAAAAGGAACAGGAGTGAACTTTCATGCATAAACTTACTGAGATCTCTTTTTGTTATTTAAAGGCCTTTTAAACATTTCAGCTACATTCTATATATATAGTTGATGTTGCCAGATAAGGAAACTCATAAATGAAATGTTACAGTTCTTCTAATAAAGCATGCTTATTATAGCTTTATATCACATTATATCATAATTCTTGTATATAATTAGGTTAGAAGAAATTTAAATTTTTAATTTTTAAAGGTTAGCCTCATTCTATATACTAATTTTTGTGGATCATATAGAACTTTTGTTTGATATAATTCTCTTAAGTATTTAAGTATTAACTCATACTTAAATATGAATTCTTCATAATTTTAAGTATTAATGGTAATGATCTGTCCTCACAGTGCATTTAAAGTAAACTTACCTGGTTAATTATTTCCCAGGGCATGTTTGCACACTTGCTATTTATTGATTACTAACTCCTATCTTTTATTTAATAACAATATCGCCTAGAAAAGTGTCAAGAGTTTTTTTTTTTTTTAGCTTTATTAATCTTGGCAGTATGGTCTCAGATGACTCACCAGGAACTGTGCAACTAAGAAGATTGAGTCTTCAAACAAATGAAGCATTACATTTTATTATCATAGGGATAGTTTTTGGTTTTCAGATCTCATACTCTAAAATGAAGATAAAATGTTATAAATTAATCCTTGTTTATCCCATGGGGTATTATCTTTGAGAAAGTGAATTCCTACTTGAAATAGTGTCTAGATTTTTGTCATTGTTTGTTTTGTTTTTGCTTTAATGAGTCCCAGAATATGACATGAAATTAAATTCCGATGAATTATTGCCATGCTATTTATTTCTACTAATGATAATTATCTCATGTGACATGCAACTATCCTTTCTTAATTGGATATCATAATTGAAAAACTGCAGTTAGGCTGGCAAACTAATCACATAAAAAGTAAATTTTTTACCCTCAATATTTTCAATAGTCACTTCTCAATTATGAGAAAACATTGTTTGTTAGAAGCATATTCTAAGTTGATGTTTTCAGTATAATTTTGGATTCCTGTGAATGACAATATTATATATAATAATTATTAATAAATATTTAATTACAATAAATATATACATAGTTTACTTTTTCCTTTATAACTCTAATATAAGCCTAAAACCTAATATTATATAAGTGAATATATTAATAAATTGTGGTACAACCACTAGATCTAATATCATGTAACTATACAAAATTATGTATGTAGAAAATATATAATCATATGGAAACATGCTTATATTGAAATATTAAGTGGAAAAATGCGGACACTAAAATTATAGTACAGTATGATTTTATAGAAAAAAGATGTGAAGGGTATAAATGAAAACTATATTTCTGTTGAGAAGATGGGATTTTGAAAAATATTTCAGCTTTTATTCAAGTTTTTTTGTATTTTTGTTTTCCTTAAAATATAAAATAGAAATTATCTGTAAGTGCCTCAGATCAGACAAATATTTGACAAACTTTATGTCTCAATTATCAGGTAGAAAAGTATGGCTATCATATTGGTTTCCTCGTCTCTTTGCCTTTATGTGTTAAAAAGTCCCACTTTAAGTTAAGAGCCAGAGATAAGAATGACAGATAGTTCTGTAATAATTGGTATTTTCCCCCATCTACTCTTATTGTGGAAAACTTCAGACATATAGAAAGCATAGTAAAGTGAACCCACATATTCTCAGCTTTAACAGTTTTCAAAATTTTGCTAATTCTTTTGTTATTCCTTTTCCTGACACACTTTCTTTTTCTAGGCATTTGTAAAGCAGTTTCTAGTGATTGTTATTTTAACTATAAATAGTTCTTTATATTTCATTGATAAGCCTTTTAACATACCTACCACTTTATTATCACATTTAATACTGTTAACCATAATTTGTTAGTCTTGAAATTCTCTATCCATATTCAAATTTCTGCTTGTCTCAAAATTATCTTTTTATGATTAATTTGTTAAAACCTGTATCCGAAGTCCATAAATTACATTTGGTTATTATGTCTCCTAAGTCTCTTTTATTTTCAATAGCCATTTCAAAATGTATTAGACATCCTAATAAAAGAGAAAAAAAAAGGCTGGGCATGGTGGCTTATGCCTGTAATCCCAGCACTTTGGGAGGCCGAGGCGGGTGGATCATGAGGTCAAGAGATCGAGACCATCCTGGCCAACATGGTGAAACCCCATCTCTACTAAAAACAAAAATTACCTCGGCGTGGTGGCACATACCTGTAGTCCCAGCTACTTGGGAGGCTGAGGCAGGAGAATTGCTTGATCCTGGGAGCCGGAGGTTGCAGTGAGCCGAGATCGTGCCAATGCACTCCAGCCTGGCGACAAAGTGAGACTGTGTCTCAAAAAAGAGAGAGAAAAAAAAAAGAAATCACTATATTGCTCAGAGTATATTTTCTTGCCATCTTTTTAATATAGTCTTTTCATAGTTTAGATCTATTAGAAGTAATTTTATATCTTTTTCAGTTAATATTATATCTGAAGCTTTTTATACTTAAAATAGTTATTTCCCACTTCAGTACCTACAGTAAGATGGATCTTAATTTTTCTTTCTAAGACGGAGTCTCGCTCTTGTTGCCCAGACTGGAGTGCAGTGGTGCGATCTCGGCTCACTGCAACCTCCATTTCCTGGGTTCAAGCGATTTTCCTGCTTCAGCCTCCTGAACAGCTAGGATTACAGGTGCCCGCCATCACACCTGGCAAATTTTTGTATTTTTAGTAGAGACGGGGTTTCACCATGCTGGCCAGGCTGGTCTCGAACTCCTGACCTCAGGCAATCTGCTTGTGTCGGCCTCCCAAAGTGCTGGGATTACAGGCATGAGCCACTGCGCCCAGCCTTAATTTTTTTAGATACTACATCTTATTTTTAAAGAATGTCATTTTACAGTGTACTACAACACATTTTCTTATTGTTAGAGTTGAAGAGACTTCCATTTTTGAGTAAGAGATGTAGTTTCTCTACTTATTACCCAGAGTAAGGGAAATGGTCTAGGAACTGTTTTCTCTATACCAGGCAATGCCAGATCTTGATCTATTTGATCATTTGAGAGAGGTATTTACTTTTGCCAATTGGAGGATAAATAATCCTCCTATTAAGTTTAAGTCTTATTTTTTATTAGTTTCTTACTTTTTTTTTTTTTTTTTTTTGAGATGGAGTCTCACTCTGTCGCCCAGGGCTGGAGTGCAGTGGCATGATCTCGGCTCACTGCAAGCTCTGCCTCCCGGGTTCATGCCATTTTCCTGCCTCAGCCTCCCAAGTAGCTGGGACTACAGATGCCCACCACCTCGCCCGGCTAATTTTTTTGTATGTTTAGTAGAGACGGGGTTTCACCGTGTTAGCCAGGATGGTCTCGATCTCCTAACCTCGTGATCCACCCAAATTTGATTACTGCCATCCTAAATGCCATTGGGTTATCTGAATATGTGATGCATTCGTATCTCCCAGTACTATCAAGGATAAAGGAGGTAATAAATTCAGATATTGGCAGGACTTTGTGTAGTAGGGAAAGTATGGAAAAGGTTGCTGCCTACCTTAGTTACAATAGGTTGAATTCATCAAAGGACTTCCAACTGGAAAAGGAGAAACTTGAAATAGAGATTACAAGTCATGCAATAACTATGATTCTTAGGTGCATATGTTTATGGATATATTAGTTTCCTAGGGCCGCTGTATTTTAAGCCACTAATTTTGTGGCTTAAAATAACAGGTGTTTCTTATTACACAGTTCTGGAGGCTAGAAGTTCAAAATTAAGGTGTCAAGATCATACTTCCTGTGAAGGTTCTAGGGAATCCTTCTTTGCCTCTTCCTAGCTTCTGGTGGTTGCCTGCAGTTCCTTGACTTTCCTTGTAAGACATACACACATCACTCCAAACTCTGCCTCTATCTTTACATGGCATTCTTTGTGTGTCTCTTCTTGTAAGGAAATCACTGATTTGATTTAGGGCTCATCCTCATCCAGTGTGTCCTCATCTTAACTAATCACATTTGCCAAGTATTTCCAAATAATGTTACATTCTGAGGTTCTGGGTAGACATGAGCTTTGAGGAGACACTATTCAACCCAGTTTAGTGGGTGTGGGCATTTGTGTATAGTTTTATGGGTGGAGGGGGACACCTAGGAAACTATCATAATCTCTGTGAGAATGCACATTCTAATTTTCTTCAGAGTTTATTTCTACTTTTACTTAAGTAGTTTAATTTGAGAATGGTGTGAATGTGGGGGAAATGTTAGAAACCACTGACTTAAAACAATAGTTTTAAATTGTATGTTGAATAAGTCCCTATTTGCTGCTATTCCTTGAACTTAGTTTCCTTGGCTCCATAGTGTATTTTGAAGCAAAGGGCAGGACATATGCACCATGAAGTGGTAATATGAAAAGATGGAGGCCATTAGTTTAGCATGTGCTGGTATTCGTCTATTTTTCCATAAAGTATAGCTCTTCAGTTAATCATTGTCCTGGTATACAAGGGAAATTTTTAATTATGACCTTCTTACTATGAGTAATTCCTGGCTTTTGAGGATATCTTAAGGATATGGATCTTTCACACTCCTATGCTGAAGATCTTTGAATTTTCTTTTCCTGTGCTTGACATCGAGTGCTGAATGTAGTTTAGTACATGTCTTAGATTCCAAATGTCTAAAAGCATTTTTATCACATATCATTAAGTAGCAGCATTTTCCAAAGCAGTCATCTATCATGTTGTAATCTTTCTGATTGGATGGTAAATGCATCCTTACAAATTATCAGCATTACAGTATTTCATCAAAATGGAATATGCACTTTGGGAGGCTGAGACGGAAGGATCGCTTGAGCCCAGGAGTTCCAAACCATCCAAGAAATTTGACGAGACTCTGTCTGTATGGAACATAAAAAATTAGCCAGGCATGGTGGCATGCACCTGTAGTCCCAGCTACTCAGAGGCCTGAGGCAGGAGCATCACTTGAGCCAAGAAGGTTGACACTGCTGTGAGCTGTGTTCATACCAGATGCACTCCAGCCTGGGAGACAGAATGAGATTCTCTCTGAAAAACAAAAAACCCTAACTTTGTAAACCAAAGAGTCAGATTTAGAAGGAAACTTCAAGGCAGTGGAAATATATATCTTTTTTTAAAGTTGTCTTGTAGCCTTCTATTTAATAGAGCTTCTTTGGCTCTTAGACTAAAATGTTTAACATTTACTTATTCACCAAACTAATTATTTAGGTGTAGTGTGTGTTATGCATATGCTGTACTAAACCCAGGGCTGGAATGATAAACCTGACAACATATGTGTATGTACAGTATTTCTCCATTCCCTCAACAAATAATCATGGTGTATCTGCTATATGTAAGGCATAATATCAGGAATTTCTGATGCAAGGATAAACAAAATAGACACAGTCTCTGCACTACTGACAGTCTAGAAAGGAAGACAGATTAATCAGATAATCATGCAAATAAATATAAAATTATCACTATGAAAATGCTAGGAAGGAGAGGTGAACAGTGAGTGCTCACCTTTCAGAGCTCAGGGAATTTGACCTAGTCTTTGGAGGGAGATCATGCAGGAGCTAGAAAACTTCCCCAAGGAACTGACTTTGGATCTGAGAGTTAGATGATTATTGGAAATTATGTAGTGAAGAGGATGTGTGAAGATTCTAGGAAGCAAAAATAACATGTAGATCTTATACAGTATGAAGTGTGAATTATTTATAAAGAAAGGAAGCAGTATGGTTGGAAATGTCAACCTAAGGAAAGAAAATGAGGCAGAATTAATATAGAGACTTTATTTGGGTCAAGGTTGAGGACTGCAGCCTGGGAAACATTGGGAAGTGCTCCATTTGGCCTTGTTACAAGCAGGTGTTTTTTTGTTTGTTTGTTTTGTTTTTCTGAGACACAGTCTTACCCTGTTGCCCAGGCTGGAGTGCAGTGGCACAGTCTTGGCTCACTGCAACCTTCACCTCCCTGGTTCACGCGATTCTCATGCCTCAGGCTCCCAAGTAGCTGGGACTACAGGCATGCACCACCACGCCTGGCTGATTTTTGTATTTTTGGTACAGACAGGGTTTCACCATGTTGGCCAGGCTGGTCTCAAACTCCTGGCCCCAAGTGATCCACCTGCTTCAGCCTCCCAAAGTGCTGGGATTACAGGCATGAGCCACCATGCCCAGCCACAAGCAGATAAGGCAAAAAGGGACAAGGGACTTTGTCTAAGACCACAAAAGGGGCTGATACAAATTTATGTTTGACATGAATTCTTACTGGTTTACAAAAGTAACATTGATTACTAATTGGCTATATGTTGTTGAACTATAGTTTGTTAAGGTGTCTAGTGTATGGTATGTTTTGGCTACTTGGTGTCAGTTAGTCTACAGCCCACATAGCAAGTGGCTTCAAGAGTTAGGTATTTAGCTCAAGCGGGGAGCAAGACATGACTGCTGTCACATTTTTGTTTGTTTATTTTTTATTTTTGTAGAAAAGGTCTCGCTTTGTTGCCCAGGCTGGATTCAGACTCCTAGGCTCAAGAGATCCTCCTGCCTCAGCCTGCTGAGTAGCCAGAACTATAGGCATGCCATGTCACATTTTAATGCTTCTCTGGGCCTGGTAATTTAAAGGGACTTGAATTTCTCAGATTAAAAATTTGTTTTCTTTCTCAGAACACAGAGAACAAGGGAAAGCATCATGCAAGATGAGACAAGGGAAAGCATCATGCAAGATGAGGCAAGAGAACTATGGAAGAGGCCAGACCTATCAGGGCCTTTTAAAAGATTAAGGATTTAAGTCTTTCAAGAGCAATGGGAGGATGTTGGAAGATTTTAAGCAGTGTGTGTGTGTGTGTGTGTGTGTGTGTGCACGCGTGTGTGTGTGTTGTAGGGTGGCAGGGCAGGTATGACAGGATCAGATTGTTCTTTCCAAATAATTGGTATAGAAGGGACTAGAGGGGAAAATGTGGATGAGGGAGACCACTTTCAAGGCTATTGAGTAACCCTGGTACAAGATAGCTTGGATTAGGGAGGAGGCCAGGGAAATATAGAAAGGTATAAGCCTGAAACCCACTCTCACTACTTCCCCATCCTCAATTATTTAATTCCTTTTCAGAACAAGTTATGTTATATGCCTGCAACCCAAAGGATCTAAACTACATCATTTGGAAGATTTTTATTATTCTCCAGCTTCCAGTTAGAAATCTAAAAAAAAAAAAAAGGAATGTATTGCTTCAGCTGGTTCTCTCCCACTTGTAAGCTTGCTTTTTTAGAAGTACAATGATAACCATATATATATATATATATATATATACACACATACATATATATATATATATACACACATACATATATATATATATATATATATATATATATATATATATATATATATATATATACACATACATATTTTTTTTTTTTGAGACAGAGTCTCACTCTGTTGCCCAGGCTACAGGGGCTCAATCTCAGCTCACTGCAACCTCTGCCTCCCAGGTTCAAGCGATTCTCCTGCCTCAGCCTCCAGAGTAGCTAGGATTATAGGTATGGGCCACCAGGGCCAGCTAATTTTTGTATTTTTAGTAGAGATGGGGTTTAATTATGTTGGCCAGGCTGGTCTCGAACTCCTGACCTCAAGTGATCCTCCCGCCTTGGCCTCCCAAAGTGCTGGAATTACAGGTGTGAGCCACTGCGCCCAGCCGATAATTATATTTTGATAATTATTCTACAACAATATTTGATGGTGGCCTGTTGCATCCTCAGTTTCTAGGGTTTCATAGATACACTTTAATCTCAGTGGGAACACTAAGCTTTATCATTTATTGAAATATTCTTTTTCTTCTGGACCTTCTCCTCTTCTTATTATGACTTTAAAAAAATTTTTTAAGGACTGTCATCTAGGCAGGAGTTGTGGTGCACACCTGTAGTCCTAGTTACTCAGAAAGCTGAGGCAGGAGGATCCCTTGAGCCCAGGAGTTTGAGGCTGCAGTGAGCTACAATTGTTCTACTGCCTTCCAGCCTGGGCAACAGAAGGAAACCCTGTCTGTAAAAAAGAAAGAAAGATTTTTAAAAAGAGATAAACCTTATTTTTTTTTAAAAGAATGTCGTGTGATGATGGTTTCTTATATTGATTTATTAATGATATCCTTGTCTTACAGATATCATTAGGTTCCTATTTTAGTCAATACTTAATTACCTGAATCATCATCTCCTGGGGAAAAAGCATTAGATTACAGAGGCACAGGATCAGGCTTGTGTTGTCTTCCTCAAAATTTTCTCAGGATTTTCCTCATGTTTTGCTTTCAATGAGGTTAATTGATTGGGCCGTCTCATTATTGTTAATGTGTGAAATAAGTGAATTTATCAGTGGTTTACAATAACCATTTACAATAACCTTCATCCATTATTTATGGAAATGATTTTGTACTACATTAGCTTTGATGAGAATATGCAGTTTGCACATTGATTAGTAGTGAAATAAACATATCTCACATCTTTAAATTTCCATGTATTCATTTATTTGAGGATAGATGTTGATGATACTTTGCAAGAATTCTTATTAATTAGAAAGTGTTAGAATCTAAGGATAATTTGCCTGCAGATGGGAACATAAGAAAAGAAATAAAACTGAACTTTTTTTCCTCTGGTAATATGTTAGCCCCCTTAGAAATTTAAAAATTGTATACTGTAATGCACCACATAATGATGTTTCTAGTCAACGAAGGACCACATATACAACAGTGGTCCCATAAGATTATAATGAAGCTGAAAAATTTCTATTATCTAGTGACATTGTAACTATGATAATGTTGTAGAGCAATGCATTACTTTTTCTATGTTTAGATACACTAATACTTACCATGTCTATCATGTTACAGTTGCCTACAGCATTCAGTATGGTAACATGTTTTACAGGTTTGTAGCCTAGGAGCAAGAGGCTATACCATATAGCCTAGGTGTGTAATAGGCTTTACCATCTAGGTTTGTGTAAGTACACTCAATGGTGTTCACACAAATAAAAAATAACCTAACGATGCATTTCTCAGAAGGTATCCCCATTGTTAAGTGACACATGACTGTATAACATTTAGTGACACAAAGATAAGCTTTCCAATTATCTTTAAGCCAGCCTATGAGCCTCTAGCCAGTTCAGAAGTTGTGTCCTTTCATTTCATAAGATGAGGGCTCATCTTCTTTGGGCTAAGCCTTCCATGGGGAGGGGAAAGCTAACATCTCATTAACAACTGGAGTTGTAAATAGTGGTAAAAGTTAGTTAAGTAGGTCTCAGGCTCTGGAATAAGCTTTTAATTTTCCCTAGACACATCCTTGAGCAATGTCTTTTAAGAGCCAGTGTAAGTTCTGCCTAAATGTGCTTCTGACTTGCTGGACAAAGAACCTCTTTTGGTGCTGGATCTACTCCTAACTTCCTGGATCCTACATCTCCTGACTTAACTGCCTCTAATGCCAGCTACCTACTGAAACCTGTCTTCTTCTTGACCTCGACTCACTTCTATGCTAGCCACTTAGCCTGTTCAGTGCCTAACTTCATATTGGCTCTCCTGTATGCCTTCTGCTCCCCCTTGATATGACAGAAAATAAAATCTAGCTGTGAGATTGGACCTGTTAATTTGAGAGAAGCATTATACCCTAAATCTTTCCTAGCCATCAACATGATGAAAGATTTTTAGAACCTTTTATTTACCGAGACTTAAAGCATTCTTGCTAGAGCTCTCTGGAGACTTAATATTTTAAAAGTGAGGTAGTTGTCATCAACTCCTTTTTTCTATATTGGTCTGGCCAGTAGTGCATAATCAATTACGTATTTGTTGAATGTATGATAGTCACCAAATGCCATATTTAATTATTTTATTTAGTTTTACCAACACAAGCCATTCAGACACCTTTATTTCTGGTTTCTTATTACTATGTAAAGCATTCTTGAATTATTTACTTTATCCACAAGCTAATATAATATTTTATAGTAGCCATAAATATGATTCAAAAACAATACTGCTATAGAAAAACCATATTTTATATTTACTGGTAAACACCAATTCTACTTGAACCAAATAGCATATTTAGAACTTATATATTGAACAGCAGTATCACATAATAGCAGATTCATTTGTTAATATTAGAATACTAAATTGACTAGCTTTTGTCTACATAACTAAGGTTAAAATTGGTACCTTGTAGGGCCTGAAAAGCTTAATTATTGTATATATAATATGATAGTATAAATGAAGTTAAATTTATGTGGCAACGAGGGTTATCATCCTCCTGATGTTCTGATATTGTAAAATATTTGAAATATTTAAATATAATTTTTAAAAAATAATATAAAGAATAAATATAAAATTATGCTCTTTTCATGTGTAGCTTAGGTGATCTATTTCATTATTTTATAGTTGTTGTTTCTGTAACATTGGAAATTTTTAAAAAATGCTAAAATGTAGTAGGGTTACAGCTCTGTTTCAAAATTCACTGAAATGTTATTAATATGTAGTGCTTATATAAGAGCAACTAATAGCCAGGTGCAGTGGCTCATGCCTGTAATCCCAGCACTTTGGGAGGCCAAGATGGGCGGATCACCTGAGGTCAGGAGTTCAAGACCAGCCTGGCCAACATGGTGAAACCCCATCTCTACTAAAATATGAAAACTAGCAGGTAGCAGGCATGATGGCAGGTGCCTATAATCTTAGATACTTGGGAAGCTGAGACAGGAGAATCACTTGAAACCAGGAGACGATGGTTGCAGTGAACCGAGATCGCACCACTGCACTCCAGCCTGGGCAGCTGAGTGAGACTCCATCTCAAAAAAACAAAAAACAAAAAACAAAAAAAACAGAAACTAATAATGGAGTGATGACTTTAGTTCTTTTAAAAACCTGTAATCTATGTATTTTCATCATACACAAAAAGAATTTTGTGTAAATAGTTAAAATACTGTAATTGACATGAATTATTGTTTTACAATGAGCAATTACATTACACTAGTAAACTCATGAGCATTTTCTAACTTATGGTATATTTGTTTTGCAGGAGAAAATAGATGTAAAGATGGTTTTCACAACTTGAATATGTAATTTCCCGTTAATACAAAATATTTTACCAATTGTTACCACAAAATTGGTTAAAATTAATACTTTTCTGTCATAATAGATCAAGGCAATTTACATTTAGTTTTCTTTGTCTTTTTTGTTTGTTTTGTTTTGTTTTATTCCCTTCCCACGCCCTAATTATTTCATGGCATTTCAGTGCATCAGAGAATTTAGATGAGCTGTCTTCCTCCAGTAGCTGGTTACTTAACCAGAAGCACAGTAAGAAAAAGAGAAAAGACAGGACAAGACTGAAATCTTCATCCTTGACTTTCATGAGTACATCAGCCCGAACAAGGCCACTTCAGAGTTTCCACAAACGAAAACTGTACAGATTGAGCCCTACTTTTTATTGGACTCCACAGGTAAGGCTGCCTTTGGGAAGAAAACATGATCAAAGATTCACCATCAGCATATTTCATGCATGAGAAGATGTAGATTGTTATTTAGCATAACACTTATTTTGAATAATTACATGTAGAAAACTTACAAATATAGTTTAAAAATGATATAGTAGATATTAATAATACTAAAGTGGGCTTTAGTAATTTTTTAAACATTGCAAGCAGTGTACTCTGAAACTTCTCACATCCCCAGTTTTTTTAAAGATCTATTATGCCTAAACTAATTTGAGAGAAAATGAAATGTCAAGATGATTTTTAAAATGTACTGTCAAAGATAAGAGGGTAACACAAATGTACTACATATTTGTCCATAAATGTTTGCTCAGAAGAAGAAAATCTGCACAGCTGTCAGTTATTTTGGAAGAAGTAACGTTGCTTTCCTTTTTAGGTTTGATATTTATTAATCTTGTTGAGTGCTCCTTTTCCTTCTTCTAGAACATAAGCAATACAGTTTTAGATGCTCATGCTTACAATTTTTACAAATTAAGTATACTTCATTAGAAACATTCATTTTGTAAAACATATTTTTCATGTGTGAACAAAATAATGGGTATACTTCCTTTAGTGTACTTCTAAACCAGCTGTGATGAAAAGCAAAATAAGTTATCTCTAGTTCTTGCTGGATATGCTTCCCCCTGACAATTAACGTTAGATTTCTTAATATATCAAAGGAAAGAAATTATTGATACTACTATTTAATATTGTTTCTGATTATCATTACGTTATCTATTTAAATATGTTTATTAAAATAAAGATGCTTTGTTTTATTAGGAAACAATTTTAAGCTCTTTTATCAGGGTCCAGTTATAAATAGGAATGTGGATTCTGACAAATTAGCTTTCATTGAAAGACTTTTCCTGCCCGGCACGGTGGCTTATTCCTGTAATCCCAGTACTTTGGGAGGCCAAGGCAGAGGGATCACTTGAGGTCAAGAGTTCGAGACTGGCCTGGCCAACATGGCGAAACCCCATCTCTACTAAAAATACAAAAATTAGCCCAGCGTGAAAAATACAAAAATTTGCCCAGCGTGGTGGCGGTGCCTGTAATCCCATCCACTAGGGAGGCTGAGGCAGTAAATCTGATTCCAAAGCCCATGTTCTTTTTATAAACATTTATAGCAACAAAAATAAACCAAACCTTTTGTGAGCCAGAAGTCAGTAAAGACAGTATATTTCAGGGTTTATAAGGTTAGAGGTATTAGGAAATATATAGAAAAGATGGGTTTTGAAAGACAAGCAGAGTTTTGAAGGTTATGGTGAAGAGAAAGAAAGGATTTTAAGTGAATAATTGGAACAAAGATGAAAAAAGTGATGGAGAATAGCAAATTCTGTTACCCTCAGCTTATCTCCCATATTGTCACCCCAATAATTATTTACCTTTCTAAACTTAATTTAAATGTCATTTCTCTCAGGAAGCCTTCCTTGACATGCCCAGAATGGTATATATATTGTTATAGCACCCTGTTTTAACCTTGCTGAGCTGGAATTTATTATACTATTTTATAATCATTTCTTTTCTGACTTTTCAGAAAAAAGTGTGTTATGTTTTCAGAGAATAGGGGCTGTATCTTTTTATTTCCAGATCTGCAGGGCCTTGAAGAGTACCTGTCTGATAGAATGTGCTCAGTAAATAATTGTTTAATGTGTTAAAGAATTAACGAAGTGGAACATAGGAAAATATTTAAAAGGCAATAGAGAATTGGAACTGTGTGTGTGTGTGTGTGTGTGTGTGTGTGTGTTTGTGTGTTTCCTAGATTTGCCTACTGCAGTGGTCTAGAATAGTGATATTCCATATCCCATAGAACTTTCTTTTTTTTCTTTATGGAAAGTCTTGAGAACCATAGAACTTTCTGTAATGATTCAAATGCTCTATAAATCTATACTGTCCAATATGGTAGCTCCTAGACACATGTAGCTATTGAGCACATGAAACATGGCTTATGTAATTGAGGAACTGAGTTTTTTTTTTCTTTTCCATTTTTTTTTTTAGACATCTCGCTATGTTGCCCAGGCTGGTCTTGAACTCCTGGGCTCAAGTGATCCTCCTGCCTTAGCCTCCCAAAGTGCTGGGATTACAGGTGTGAGCTACTGTGCCCATCCTGAATATTTAATTTATTTTGTTTTTATTTTAATTTAAGTAGCCACACATGGGTAATTGCTACCAAACTGGACAGCACAGATGTAGACTCAGACTTATCCTGATAAGTAATCAGTATGTCTGGAACTCATATTTTGTTTTCTAATACCATTTCCTACTAAAAGGAATCGGGGATTTCTGGAGAAATGGCTGGTCTCCAGGGCTGGGGAAGAAAAGGTATGATTATCCTGGAACATCGTAATGTTAACAGAAAGCAAGGAAGTGTTTAAAAAAATGATAAAGACATGTTGAAAGAACACAGAAGCTAGCTTGAAGAGGCCCCTAGTGGCCAAATCTAGGACTATTTGGCATCAAAATAAATAAGGACAATATTGAACCATTGAAAAAATAGGAACTCATGAGTCCATACTGATGATAGATAAATTGGTGAAAAGGAAAACTTTTCCATATGCTAGGATGCTGATTAATAAATGTGGAATAAACAGTCAAATTAGAGAATCATTTTGCAATCATCATAGTAAAGATTGATTGGACAAGAATCATTAATGGGTATAACTCTGGGGTCAGGATTGAGGAGAGGTTTGATGAGGAACAAGATTTGCATGATCTTAAAGCAGGGGTCCCCAGTCCCCTGGTCACAGACCAGTACTGGTCCGTGGCATGTTAGAAATAGGTCACACAGCAGGAGGTGAGCAGCAGCTGAGCGAGCATTACCGCCTGAGCTCTGCCTCCTGTCAGATCAGTGGCGGGAACTCACGGGAACTCAAACCCTATTGTGAACTGTGCATCTGAGGTATGTAGGTTGTGTGCTCCTTATGAGAATCTAAAGCCTGATGATTTGAAGTGGAACAGTTTCATCCTGAAACCATCTCCCCATCTCCTACACCCCCAATCTCCTGTCTGTGGAAAAATTGCTTTACATGAAACTGGTCCCTGTTGCCAAAAAAGTTGGGGACTGCTGTCTTAAAGTGCCTCCTGCCAGTTGCCAGGGGGCATATAGTAACTATATATACAGAAACAAACAATACTTTGCCTGAGTGATCAAAACTACTGTCACCTGTGAGGGAGGATAACACTGTGTAGTATTCTGACTAGAAATGTATAACCTGAATTTAATCATGAGTAAATATCAGACAAAGCCAAAATCAGACATACAGTATTAAAAAACAACTGGCCAGTATTCTTTTAAAAATGTCAATGTCATGAAAGCCAAGAAAGGCTAAGGACTTGTTTTAGATTGAAAGAGACACTAAAAAGATACATGACAACTAAATGAATATATGATCTAGAGCAGAATTCTTTTCAAGGGAAAAAAAATTATTGGGACAATTGAGGAAACTAGACTATTGATGGTAGATTAGACAAAATATTTTATTAATGTTGAATTCCCTGAATATTATTGTTTTTGCAGTTATGTAAGAAAATATCCTTATTCTATGAAATACACATTGAAATATTAAGGGTAAAATGGCTAAGGCATCCATTGTATATAATAAATAAACTTCCCTTCTGGAATGGTACCAGCCATGTGCAACCAAAAAGAGAGGGGAGTGAAATATTTAAAATATTGAAAAGCAAAAACAAACGCTGTAGTGGGCAGAATTGTGTCTCCCCACCACCACCCTGAAAGATATGTCTATGTCCTAACTCCTGGTTCCTAGGAATGTAACTGTTATGGGTTGAACTGTGTCCCTAAGAACTCTTATATTGACGTTCTAACAGCTAGCACCTTAGAATATGACCTAATTTGGAAATTGGGTCATTAAAGATGCAATTAGTTAAGATGAAGTAATCAGGGTGGGCCCTAATCCAATATGACTGATGTCCTTATAAAAAGGGGTAACTTTGGTCGGGCATGGCAGCTCATGCCTGTAATCCCAACACTTTGGGAGGCCGAGGGGGGTGGATCACCTGAGGTCAGGAGTTTGAAACCAGCCTGGCCAACATGGCAAAATCCCGTCTCTACTAAAAAATACAAAAATTAGCCAGGCATCATGGTTTGTGCCTGTAGTCCCAGCTACTTAGGAGGCTGAAGCATGAGAATCGCTTGAACCTGAGACGCGGAGGTTGCAGCGAGCTGAGATCATGCCACTGCACTCCAGCCTGGGTGACAGAGTGAGACTCTGTCTCTAAATAAATAATTAAAAAAATAAAAATGAAAAGGGGGAATTTAGACACAGATGCATGCATACAGGATGAATGCCACATAAACATGAAAGTTGAGGTCAGAATGACACTTCTACAAGCCAAGGAACACCAAAGATTGGTGTTACTCTGTTGCCCAGGCTGGAGTGCACTGGCACAATCTCAGCTCACTGCAACCTCCGCCTCCCGGGTTCAAGCAGTTTTCCTGCCTCAGCCTCCCAAGTAGCTGGGATTACAGGTGCCCGCCACCACACCCGGCTAATTTTGGTATTTTTAGTAGAGATGAGGTTTCACCATGTTGGCCAGGCTGGTCTCAAACTTCTGACCTCGTGATCCACCCGCCTCAGCCTCCCAAAGTGCTGGGATTACAGGCGTGAGCCACTGCACCCGGCTACATATGTTTTATTTAAAAAAATTTTTATTGTGGTAAAATACATATTACATATACATATAACAGAGCAAACACCAGAAGATAGAGGATAGGCCTAGCAGAGTCTTCCTCTTAGTCCTTAAAAGAAACCAATCCTGCTGACATCTTGATTTGACTTCCAGCCTCCAGAACTGTTATTTCAGCCACTCAGTTGTGGCATTTTGTTATGACACACCTAGCAAACTAATACAGTGGACATTTTTGTTAGTAAGGTCTTTGTAGTTGCAATTAAGGATCCTGAAATGAGATCATTTTGAATTTAGAATGGGTCCTAAATCCAGTGATTGGCGTCCTTATAAGAGAAAGGAGAGGGCTGGGCGCAGTGGCTCACGCCTGTAATCCCAGCACTTTGGGAGGCCGAGGCGGGCGGATCACGAGGTCAGGAGATCTAGACCATCCTGGCTAACATGGTGAAACCCCATCTCTACTAAAAAATACAAAAAATTAGCTGGGCGTTGTGGCGGGCGCCTGTAGTCCCAGCTACTCGGGGGCTGAGGCAGGAGAATGGCATGAACCCGGGAGGCGGAGCTTGCAGTGAGCGGAGATCGCGCCACTGCACTCCAGCCTGGGTGACAGATTGAGACTCCATCTCAAAAAAAAAAAAAAAAAAAAAAAAGAACGGAGAAAGAGATTTGAGACACAGAGAAGGCTATATGAAGATGAAGGCAGAGATTTGAGTTATGCTTCCACAAGTTAAAGAATGTCAGGGGCCAAGCAGACACAGTGGCTCACGCCTGTAATCTCAGCACTTTGGGAGGCTGAGGAAGGCGGATCATTTGAGGTCAGGAGTTCCAAACCAGCCTGACCAACATGGTGAAACCCTGTCTCTACTAAAAATACAAAAGTTAGCCGGGTGTGGTGGCAGGTGCCTGTAATCCCAGCTACTCGGGAGGCTGAGACAGGAGAATTGCTTGAACCCAGAAAGCAGAGGTTACCGTGAGCAGAGATCCTACCACTGCACTCCAGCCTGGGTGACAGAGTGAGACTCTGTCTCAAAAAAAAAAAAAAAAAAAAAAAAAAAAAAAAAAAAAAAAAAAAAAAAAAAAAAAAAGAATGTCAGGGGCAATAAATAAATAAGTTAAAATCAAGGTGTTGGCAGAAAAAGTAAAATTTAAATTTAATTTAATTTTAAAAAAAGAATGCCAGGAGCCACAGAAACTGAATGAGTCAAGGAAGGATTCTCCCCTAGAGCCATCAGAGGGAGTGTAGCCCTGCCAACACATCAATTTCATACTTGTCCTTCACAACTATGAGAGAATTAATTTCTGTTGCTTTAAATCACTCACCTTATGGTAATTTATTATGGCAGTCCTAGGAAACTTATACAGAGTTTGGTGCCAGGAAGTAAGGTGCTGATGTAACAAATACTTAATGGTGGAAGTGGCTTTGGAACTGGGTAATGAGCAAAGGCTGGAAGAATTTTAAGGTCCATGATAGGGAAAAGCCTAGGTTTTGTGAGAGCTCAGAAGGAAATGAGGAAAATGAAAGACAAAGCTGCTGTTATCTTAGAGAATATGTATATCATCATGAACAGAATTTGCTAGAAACATGAATGTTAAAGGTGCCTTCAGTGAAGTTTCAGAAGGAAATGGGGGACACGTTATTAGAAACTGGAGGGAAGGCTATCCTTGTTATAAAGTGGCAGAAAACTTGGCTGAATTATATTCTACTGTGAGGTGGAAAATAGAACTTTTAAGCAATGAACTTGGATATTTAGCTGAGGAAATTTCCAAGTAAAGTGTAGGATTTGTTATCTGGTTTCTCCTTGCTTTTTAGAGTAGAATATGAGAGGAAAGAGATAAAGTGAGTAAGGAGCTGTTAGGTTAAAAGCAACCAGAGCTTTGATGATTTGGAAAATTCTCAGGCTATTACAAAAAGTGATATAGCTTGCTCTGGGGATTACCCAGAGCAGAGACAAACTTTTGCTGGGAAGGTTAGGTATGTAACTCATGGATCCAATCAATCATCTAAGCAGAAGCCAGGAACAGAGATAAGGTTATCCAGAAAGAATTTTGAGAGAACACTCCTGTCTTAATGACATGGATTCCCTTGACATATGTGAGAATCCCACAAAGATTTTGAGAATTTTATACCTGAAGCAACACTACCAGCTTAAACCAAAAGGGGCAAAGACGAGACAAAATGAAAAAGGTTGTCAGACCCCCAAAATTTTACAGGCAGGAAATGCACTGATAGAACAACTCAGTTGCAAACACTTATTACCCGCCAATAAAAAGGAAGGTAAATCAGACCTAAATGTGACAGGAAAACAATAAACTTCTAGAAGAAAACACAGGAGAATGTCTTCATGTCCTCGGGGTGGCTGACTTCTTAAACAGGATACAAATATCACTAATCAGAAAATACTGCTAATTTGGGCTTTGTTAATTATGAACTAATTTTCATCAAAGACAGCATTAAGACAATAGAGTACACACTGACTGAAGAGATTTGCATTCTCTGTGTGTGTGGGTGTGTATATATTCAACAAAGATTTTATATCCTGAATATATGTATATATTTTTAAATGGCTAAAAAAAACAAGAAAAAAGAGATAACTTAATTAAAAATAGGCATAAATACAGTTACATACTTTAAAATAGTAAAGTGGTAACTTTTGTTATATGTATTTTACCACAATAAATTTTTTAAATAAAAAATATGCAGCCGGGCGCGGTGGCTCACGCCTGTAATCCCAGCACTTTGGGAGTCTGAGGCAGATGGATCACGAGGTCAGGAGTTTGAGACCAGCCTGGCCAACATGGTGAAACCTCATCTCTACTAAAAATACAAAAATTAGCCGGGTGTGGTGGCAGGCGCCTGTAATCCCAGCTACTTGGGAGGCTGAGGCAGGAAAATTGCTTGAACCCAGGAGGCGGAGGTTGCAGTGAGCTGAGATTGTGCCACTGCACTCCAGCCTGGGCAACAGAGCAAGACTCCATCTCTAAATAAATAAATAAAAATAAAATAAAATAAAAATATGCATAAGACTTGAACAGATCTTTTGTAAAAGAGGATATCCAAATGGCCAATAAACATATGAAAATGTGTTTAAAATCATTGCTTATCAAGGAAATGCAATTAATACTACATCAATTTTTTTTTTTTTTTTTTTTTTTTTTTTGGAGACAGGGTCTCACTCTGTCACTCAGGCTGGAGTGCAGTGCAGTTAAGTGATCTCAGCTCACTGCAGCCTCAACCTCCAGGGCTCAAGCTCTCAAACAATACCCCCACCTCAGCCTCCGGAGTAGCTGAGATGACTGGCACATGCCCCCATGCCTGGCCAATTTTTCCTTTATATTTTTTGCAGAGATGGGGTTTCGTCATATTGCCCAGGCTGGTCTCAAACTTCTGAGCTCAAGTATCTGCCCACCTTGGCCTCTCAAAGTGCTGGGATTACAGGCGTGTACCACTGCACCCAGACTAACATACATCTATTCTTATAATCCAGCAATTCCACTCTTAGGAACTCATCCAGGAATAATGAATACATATACACACAAAGGCTCTCCGGAGAAAGAGAGCAATAGAATATATATAGATATATAAGAGAAGATTTATTATGGGAATTGGCTCACATGATTGATTATGGAGACCAAGAAGTTTCATAATATGCTGTCTGCCAGCTGGAGAACTAGGAAATCCAGTGGTGTAATTCAGTCCAAGGCTGGAGCCCTAGAACCAGGGGGAGGAGGATGCCTGGTATTAAGTCCTGGAGTCTAAAGGCCAGAGATCCAGGAGCACTGATGTCTCACTGAAGGCCAGAGAAGATGAATGTCCCAGCTTAAGAAGAAAGGGAATTTGCCCTTCCTCTGCCTTTTTGTTTTATTCGTGCTATCATCAGATTAGGTGAGGGTGATCTTCTCTACTCAGTCAACTGATTCAAATGTTAATCTGTTTGGAAAACACCCTCACAGACACACCTAGAAATAATGTTTTACCAGCTTTCTGGGCATCCATTCACCTAGTCAACCTGACACATAAAATTAACCATCACAGGGCTCATAACAGCTTTACTCATTAAAGCCCCAAATACAAAGTAATCTAAATGCCACCAGCAGAATTGTGGTATATTTATACAGCAATAAAAAGGATGGACTACTGATAAAACAACAAAGATGTATCTCCCAGACAATATGTTGAGTGAAAGAAGTGAGAACAGGCCTGGTGTGGTGGCCGATGCCTGTAATCCCAACACTTTGGGAAGGCTGATGGGGGAGGATCACTTGAGCCCAGGAGTTCAAGACCACCCTAGGCAACAAAGTGACACCGTGTAGGTTTTTGAGTTGGAAATGTGTCATACCCTTGGTGGTGGTTACCAGGGCATATACCTATGTAAAAATTCATTATGCTGTATATCTTTGCCATAGAAGTGGGCATGTGCCCCATGCTGCACATTCAGAGTAGCCTATCCCCGTTGTTTTGGCCATCTATTGTTGCATGACAGACTATCCCCAAACGTAGTGATTTAAAACCATTTTCTATTATCTTTCATGATTCTGTGGATTACCTAAGTAGTTATTCTTCAGCCTTGCCTAAGGTCTCTCCTACAGTTGTAGTAAGATTGTGACTGGGGTTAGCCATCTGGATGCTTGGATGGGCTGGAATAGCTGGGCTTCCTTCACTCTCTGTGCCTCCCAAAATGCAAATATAGAAGCTAGGAGTTCTTCTTAAGACTTAATCCTACAACTAGCACAGTGTTTTTCTGTTTAATTTATTAAAGTGATACAGTGTAGGATTTAATTTAGGAGGGACTATACAAGGGCAAGAATACTGGGAGTCATGGTTCATTGGGGCTGTAATTGAAAACTACTACAGTCCATCCTCTGGTTCCCTCTTTCATATGTAAAAACCATTGAACACCTTCCTTCCAAGACCCCTGATGTCTCAACCCATTATGGCATTAGGCTCAGGCTTGAAGTCTTGGAACTCATCATCAAGAATCATGTCCATGGCTGGGTGCAGTGGCTCAAATGCCTGTTATCCCAGCACTTTGGGAGACTGAGGCAGGTGGATCACCTGAGGTCAGGAGTTCGAGACCAGCCTGGCCAACATGGTGAAACCCCTACTCTTCTAAAAATACAAATATTAGCCGGGCGTGGTGGTGCGCATCTGTAATCCCAGCTACTTGGGAGGCTGAGGCAGGAGAATCCCTTGAACCTGGGAGGCGGAGGTTGCCGTGAGCCGAGATCATGCCACTGCACTCTAGCCTGGATGGCAGAGCAAAACTCTGTATCAAAAAAAAAAAAAAAAAAAAAAAATCATGTCCAGGCACCTCAATTGAGAGGTAGACAAACCTTTCTGAGGTGTTAATGAAGGGTCTTACAGTCTCATCCTTAGATCTTGACACTGAGGCCACAGTTTTACTGGCAGTTCCCTGGATTTGATCTTTTACTGATACCATGTCTAACTGTGAGAACCTTTTGGTGTGTGGAGTAGCTGGAAATGAGAAACAGTCTTATTTTTGAATGGGGAAGTACTGGCTCTGTTTTCTCTAACTTCTGCTTGAAAATGTAACAGATTCTTTTTTTTTTTTTTTTTTTTTTTTTTGAGACAGAGTCGTGCTCTGTCATCCAGGCTGGAGTACAGTGGTGCGATCTCGGCTCACTGCAACCTCCGCCTCCGAGGTCAAGTGATTTTCCTGCCTCAGCCTCCCCAATAGCTAGGATTACAGGCACCACCACCACACAGGGCTGTTTTTGTATTTTTAGTAGAGATGGGG
Source organism: Homo sapiens (assembly GCF_000001405.40). NCBI lineage: Eukaryota > Metazoa > Chordata > Mammalia > Primates > Hominidae > Homo > Homo sapiens. The sequence goes on along the minus strand of NC_000002.12, from coordinate 210,065,118 downwards.
TTTCACCACGTTGGCCATGCTGGTCTCGAACTCCTAACCTCAGGTGATCCACCTACCCAAAGTGCTGAGATTACAGACGTAAGCCATCATGCTTGGCCTAACAGCTTCTTTTTAAGATCATCCTACACCATCCATACTTTATCATAGGCAATTAAATGAAACCATTTGGCCCTTTGCACATTCTGCCTAGAAACCTTAGCTAGCTCTATGAGTTCGTAATGTACTCCTTCTATACTCCACTTTTTTGTAAGGAAGTGTTACACTAATTTTTTTTCCTGTGTTTTTTTTTTTTTTTTTTTTTGGTGGGGGAGGGATGAGGTCACACTGTGTCACCCAGCCTGGAGTGTGGTGGTACGATCATAGCTCACTGCAGCCTCGACCTCCCAGGCTCAAGCAGTCCTCCCACCTCAGCCTCCCAAGTAGCTGGTACAAGCATGTACTGCCACACCCAGGTAATTTTAAATTTTTTGTAGAGACAGGGTCTTTCTATGTTGCCTAGGCTTGTCTTGAACTCCTGGGCTCAAAAAATGATCCTCCTGCATTAGCCTTCCAAAGTGCTAGGATTACAGGTATGAGCCACTGCCCTGGCCTAATTTTTCTACTAGAGCAGTAAGATGGAAGAGGTAGAGGTAAACTGATAGGAATAATTATTTAGAATAATTATTTGCAGAGGTTATGATTCCTTTGCTAGACAGGATTAATAAAAAGCATAGATTGTTATGCATTTTTACTTGACTTTGCTCATTTTACAACACTAATGATAATGTCAAATAATAATAGCTAATATTTATTAAGCAATTATGTGTCAGGCATCATTTTAATTTCTGTATTAGTCCATATTCATGCTGCTGATAAAGACATACCTGAAACTGGGTAATTTATACAGGAAAAAGGATTTAATGGACTTACAGTTCTACATGGCTGGGGATACCTTGCAATCATGGTGGAAGGCAAGGAGGAGCAAGTCATGTCTTAACGTAGATGGCAGTAGGCAAAGAGAGAGAACTTGTGCAGGGGAACTCCTCTTTTTAAAACCATCAGATCTTGTGAGACTTATTCACTATCACAAGAACAGCAAGACTTGGCCCCGTGAGTCAATTACCTCCCACCGATCCCTCCCACAACATGTGGGAATTCAAGATGAGATTTGAGTGAGGACACAGCCAAACCATATCATTCCACCCCAACCCCTCCCAAATCTCACGTCCTCACATTTCAAAACCAATCATGCCTTCCCAGCAGTCCCCCAAAGTCTTAACTCATTTCAGCATCAACTCAGAAGTCCACAGTCCAAAGTCTCATTCGAAATAAGGCAATTCCCTTTCGCCTATGAGCCTGTAAAATCAAAAGCAGGTTGGTTACTTCATAGATACAATGAGGGTACAGTCATTGGGTAAATATGGCCATTCCAAATGGGAAAAATTGGCCAAAAAAAAAAGGGGGCTACAGGCCCCATACAAGTCCAAAATCCAGCAGGGCAGTCAAATATTAAAGCTCCAGAATGATCTCTTTGACTCTATGTCTCACACCCAGGTCACACTGATGCAAGAGGTGGGCTCCCATGGCCTTGGGCTCCTGTGGCTTTGCAGAGTATAGCCCCCTTCCTGGCTGCTTTCACAGTCTGGCGTCTAGTGTCTGCAGCTTTTCCGGGCACACAGTGCAAGCTGTCTGCAGATCTACCATTCTAGAGTCTGAAGGACAATGACCCTCTTCTCACAGCTCCACTAGGTGGTGCCCCAGTAGGGGCTGTTTGTGGGGGCTCTGACCCCACATTTCCCTTCTGCACTCCCCTAGCAGAGGTTCTCCATGAGCACTCTACCCCTGCAGCAAATTTCTGCCTGGACATCCAGGCGTTTCCATACATCTTCTGAAATCTAGACAGAGGTCCCAAACCTCTTGACTTCTATGCACTTGCAGGCTCAACACCACATGGAAACTGCCAAGGTTTGGGGCTTGCACCCTCTGAAGCCACAGCCTGAGCTCTACATTGACCCTTTTCAGCCATGACTGGAGCAGCTGGGACACAGGGCACCAAGTTCCTAGGCTGCACACAGCACAGCGACCCTGGGCCCAGCCCACAAAATCACTTTTTCTTCCTAGGCCTCTGGGCCTGTGATGGGAGGGGCTGCTATGAAGACCTCTGACATGCAGTGGAGACATTTTCTCCATTGTCTTGGGGATTAACATTTGGCCCCTCATTACTTATGCAACTTTCTGCAGCCAGCTTGAATTTCTCCTCAGAAAATAGGATTTTTCTATTGTATCGTCAGGCTGCAACGTTTCCAAATTTTATGCTGTTTCCCTTTTAAAACTGAACACCTTTAACAGCACCCAAGTCACCTCTTGAATACTTTGCTGCTTAGAAATTTCTTCCACCAGATACCCTAAATCATCTCTCTCAAGTTCAAAGTTCTATAGATCTCTAGGGCAGGGACAAAATGCCACCAGTCTCTTTGCTGAAACATAATGAGTCACCTTTGCTCCAGTTCCCAACAAGTTCCTTATCTCCATCTGAGACTACCTCAGCCTGGATTTCATTGTCCATATCATGATCAGTATTTTGGTCAAAGCCATCCAACAAATCTCTAGGGAGTTCCAAACTTTCCCACACTTTTCTGTTTTCTGAGCCTTCCAAGCTGTTCCAACCTCCCAGTTCCAAAGTCGCTTCCACATTTTTGGGTATCTTCTAAGCAGCGCTCTACTCTATTGATACCAATTTACTGTATTAATCCGTTTTCACACTGCTGATAAAGACATACCCGAGACTGGGAGGAAAAAAGAGATTTAATAGACTACGGTTCCACGTGGCTGGTGATGCCTCACAATCACCGCACAAGGTGAAAGGTGCGTCTCACATGGCAGCAGACAAGAGAAGACAGCTTGTACAGGGTATCTTCTCTTTTTAAAACCATCAGATCTCATGAGACTTATTCACTATCACAAGAACAGCACAGGAAAGACCCACCCCCATGATTCGATTACATCTCCCGGTCCCTCCCACAACACATGGGAATTCAAGATGAGATTTGGGTGGGGACACAACTAAACCATATCAACTTCTAAATGCTTTAAATATATTTTTAATTTGATATTCATACCCCATTTTACTTAGAGAAACTGAAGTACAAAGTGGAATGAGAAGATACACATATTTAGCACTATTTAAATGAATATAAATACAAATTTGGTAGTTTTCTCTTAAATGTTAATGCCGAATCTTAACACTACATCTTTCATAAGCTTGATTTCTACATCTGATTTGAATCTTTTATGAGTTTTTCAGACTGTTTCTTTCTATGACTAGCCCATATAAACAATTGTTAAAACTTCACGTAGTTTCTAAGGCTGTTTAAGAATGTTTGGCTTTCTTATTCTAAGAGAATCATATCTTTTGCTGTCTAAGCCACTTTATTCATTACTGGTACACTTTAGTTTATGCTTGGAGAATCTATGCTTCTTTGTGCTTGATAATGTTGCTTTATCTACCTAGAATATAGATGTATCTTTAGATCCAGAAAATACACTGGTAGGCATAGCTAGATGTGAAAATGTTTTTCAGAATAATACTCTAGTATAATTCTTAAAATATAAATGTAGCTAATAGCATTCTTTAAAATTTCACTTGCAATTAATAATTTAAAAATGTTTATCTGATCATAATATGCTTCTTCAGCTCCTTCTTGATAGTCTTTATACCCAGTTGCTGTGCAACGTTAGGCCCTATACTATTGATGTCTCAGCCTTAGACAACAGAAGCCACCCTGATTAACTCCTGGCAAAGGAAGTTCTCTTTCCCACTGGGAATGGTGAACAGAGGCCTCTGGCATCCAAGATTAGAATTCCTAATACACTTTCTATAGAAGCGGGTTGTAGGTAATTGGACATACAAATTGTTTATATAGGAAGCTAATAGTTACAATAATTATATTTTGAGTTAGGGCAGTCTACTTATTGTATTATAAGATTTTAGTTAATAAACCTAATTGTTTGAGTAAGAATAAGTCAAGAAGTGTATTCAATCACTTAGATCAGAGGTTATTTTATATGAAATTAATAAAAGTAGAAATGGTTGGTTGAAGGTAGGGAAAAGCCCAGAGTTTTATTTGGTCATGCTCCCAATCACCCTCCTCCATATTGGGGGTGGGGAGTAGCAGTGGTGATTACTTCTTCTCTATTAATAGTTGCAGCCCTTGAGCAATAATAAATAAATCAATGTGATATAAATATTAGAAACATGAACTGGGCAGAAGTTTTAAATGAATGAAACTTTATTTGCAGGACACTCACTTATCTTGTATTATCCCCATCATGGTGGTTCCCACCCCTCTGGTATCTAGTGATGTTATGTATGCTTCCTGTTTTCTCATGGTATTCTTCAAATTACCCAGCTCTTTTCTTTTCCTCTTCTTATTTCCATACAAATATAACTGGCCTGTTTTGTCACTAGTTGACCTGCTAATCTCTGGTAAGCTGTTTACCAATGATACTGTTACTCTGAAGAACGCTATTTGCATATCAAGACGCTGGTCTTGCAGAAGTAGTAAATTAAATTCAAAATGGTCACATTATTAAGATTATGGAATGTTGGGTGGGAAACTATTTTGAGCAGGATAATTTTTTCATTTTTTATGAATTTTAGCATGTAATCCACAAGCCATTTCATATTTATGAAAACAGCTGTAGTGACCTAACATGTATAAATTGAAGTAACATTAATAATGAATATTATAACCTTTATGAAATAAGGCAGAACTATTCCTATTTTAATTTGTTCATCTGTGATCTTTTATCTGTCTCCTATGGCAGATTTGCAAAAGTAGTGTTTGTAGTCTGTATCATCATTGTTATTTCATAGATTCTCAAATCATAATGCTGAGTGGTTTAATAAAATAATCCAGTGGTACGAATTAAGGTACATATAATAATTTCATTTGAAAGTTTTCATTTCCTTTTTAAAATGTGAATGATTAGGTATGTAAACTTTATGTGAATGCAGGCCACTTTTTTGAACAAATAATAGAAGATTTTAAAGAAAAATAAAGATATCATCTCATAGAAATTTAAATTCTTACTGGAAGCTGGGCATGATAGCTCACGCCTGTAATCCTAGCACTTTGGGAGGCCGAGGTGGGTGGATCACCTGAGGTCAGGAATTCGAGACCAACCTGGCTAACTTGGTGAAACCCCATTTCTACTAAAAATACAAAAAATTAGCCAGGCGTGGTGACACGTGCCTGTAATCCCAGCTATTTGGGAGGCTGAGGCAGGAGAATCGCTTGAACCCGGGAGGTGGAGGTTGCAGTCAGCTGAGATCATGCCATTGCACTATCTCAAAAAAAAAAAAAGTTACTTAAGTAGTATTTTTATGCTGCTGGGAAGCCAACTCTTTCTTCCATGCCACACCTACTGGAGCATCTGCTTTAGACAATGGGAATTATCTTAGTTGAGGATTTTCTTACCTTGCTGTAACAATTCTGTACTCCAGGGACTTCTATAGGTTGACTGGAGAGATAAATTTATAGCATGTATAACATATTCCTGTGAGAAAATATGCTTTATATAATTGCAGATAAATTTGGAAGCTACCAAATTAAAGAGTCTAGAAGTTATTTTTTGTAGGGAAGCAGCACATTTTAGTGGTTTCATACTGGATTGTAATCCTTGTTCTACTTAATAGTGTGCAGTACTGTGCAAATTACTTACTACTTTGTTTTCCTCATCCATAAAAATAGGACTACCATCATATGGCTACATTCAGCTGGAGGGCCAGCTGTGCTGGCGGAAGTGGGACTCACTTGCTCTTCTGGCAGGTGGTGCTGGCTGTTGGTTGGGGCAACTCAGTTCTCATTGTGGCCTCTCATGCTGCATTAGCTAGAATGGCTTCCTTCCATGGCACCTCAGGACAGTGCTCCAATATGACAAGGAGGAAGTTACATGCCTCTTGAAGCCTAGGCTCCAGATCTTTTTTTTTTTTTTTTTTTGAGACGGAGTCTCGCTCTGTCACCCAGGCTGGAGTGCAGTGACGTGGTCTCAGGTCACTGCAAGCTCCACCTCCTGGGTATGGGGGAAATTCAGCCAGATATTGGGCAAAATTCACCCCCGATATTTCATGTAGGTTCTTTTCTGTTTTCCCTAAGTGTCAGCCGGTCTGAGAAATAAAGGGAAAGAGTACAAAAGAGAGAAATTTTAAAGCTGGGTGTCCGGGGGAGATACCACATGTTGGCAGGTTCCGTGATGCCCCCTGAGCCGTAAAACCAGCAAGGTTTTTTTTTTTTTTTTTTTGAGACGGAGTCTCGCTCTGTCTCCCAGGCTGGAGTGCAGTGGCGCGATCTCAGCTCACTGCAAATTGCGCCTCCCGGGTTCACACCATTCTCCTGCCTCAACCTCCCGAGTAGCTGGGACTACAGGCGCCCGCCACCACGCCCGGCTAATTTTTTAAAAATATTTTTAGTAGAGACGGGGTTTCACCATGTTAGCCAGGATGGGCTCGATCTCCTGACCTCGTGATCCACCTGCCTCAGCCTCCTAAAGTGCTGGGATTACAGGCATGAGCCACTGCGCCTGGCCAAAAGCAGCAAGTTTTTATTAGTGATTTTCAAAAGGAGAGGGGACTGTACGAATAGGGTGTGGGTCACAGAGATCACATGCTTCACAAGCTAATAAGATATCACAAGGCAAATGGAGGCAGGGCGAGATCACAGGACCACAGGACCAGGGTGAAATTAAAATTGCTAATGAAGTTTCGGGCACGCATTGTCATTGATAACATCTTATCAGGAGACAGGGTTTGAGAGCAGACAACCAGTCGGACCAAAATTTATTAGGTGGGAATTTCCTCATCCTAATAAGCCTGGGAGTGCTACGGGAGACTGGGGCTTATTTCATCCCCACAGCTTCGACCATAAAAGTCAGCCGCCCCCTGAAGCGGCCATTTCAGAGGCCTACCCTCAGGGACGCATTCTCTTTCTCAGGGATGTTCCTTGCTGAGAAAAAGAATTCAGCGATATTTCTCCCATTTGCTTTTGAAAGAAGAGAAATATGGCTCTGTTCCGCCTTGGCTCACTGGCAGTCAGAGTTTAAGGTTATCTCTCTTGTTCCCTGAACATTGCTGTCATCCTGTTCTTTTTTCAAGGTACCCAGATTTCATATTGTTCAAACACACATGCTCTACAAACAATTTGTGCAGTTAATGCAATCATCACAGGGTCCTGAGGTGATGTACATCCTCCTCAGCTTACGAAGATGACGGGATTAAGAGATTAAAGTAAAGACAAGCATAGGAAATCACAAGGGTATTGATTGGGGAAGTGATAAGTGTCCATGAAATCTTCACAATTTATGTTCGGAGATTGTGGTAAAGACAGGCGTAAGAAATTATAAAAGTATTAATTTGGGGAACTAATAAATGTCCATGAAATCTTCACAATCCACGTTCTTCTGCCATGGCTTCAGCCGGTCCCTCCATTCAGGGTTCCTGGCTTCCCGCAACACCCGGGTTCATGCCATTTTCCTGCCTCAGCCTCCCGAGTAGCTGGGACTACATGTGCCTGCCACCACGCCCGGCTAATTTTTTGTATTTTTAGTAGAGACAGGGTTTCACCATGTTACCCAGGATGGTCTCAATCTCCTGACCTCATGATCTGCCTGTCTCAGCCTCCCAAAGTACTGGGATTACAGGCGTGAGCCACAGCGCCCGGCCCTATTGTTTGTTTTTTTGAGAAAGACTCTCACTTTCTCTCCCAGGCTGGAGTGCAGTGTCAACGATCTTGGCTCACTGCAACCTCTGCCTCCAGGGTTCAAGTGATTCTCATGCTTCAGCCTCTTGAGTAGCTGGGATTGCAGGCAAGTCCCACCATGCCCACCTAATTTTTGTATTTTTAGTAGAGATGGGATTTCACCATGTTGGCCAGGCTGGTCTCGAATTCCTGGCCTCAAGGGATCTGCCCACCTTGGCCTCACAAAGTGCTGGGATTACAGGTGTGAAATACCACACCCAGCCCACCAGATCTTAAACAACATAATTTCCACTGCATTCTATAGGACAAAGCAAGTGACTTGGTCAGCCCAAATTCAAAGGGATGGAGAAATAGGGGCATACACACAGGGATGGAATTTACAGCAAAGGGGAAATTTCAGCAAAGGGGCATACACACAGGGATTGAAGAAATTTGTGACCATTGATATTAAACAATCTTTGCCTTGGCGTCTGCTTTGGGACACAGGGACAGCTCTAAATTAAGACATTAGCTGAATCAGCAATGAAGAAAAGAAGAAAAAGGCTACCTTCTAGAGGTGTGTTGATATTAAATAAGAAAATACATTTGAAAGATACTTAACTGAGGCCTGGCACGATGGCTCATGGCTGTAATCCAATCTTTGGGAGGCTAAAGCAGGCAGATCACTTGAGGTCAGGAGTTCGAGAGCAGCCTGGCCAACATGGTGAAACTCTATCTCTACTAAAAATATAAAAATTAGCTGGACATGGTGGTGCATGCCTGTAACCCCAGCTACTTGGGAGGCTGAGGCACAAGAATTGCTTGAACCAGGGAGGCAGAGGCTGCAGTGAACCGAGATCATACCACTGCACTCCAGCCTGGGTGACAGAGCGAGACTCTGTCTCAAAAAAAGATATTTAGCTCAGTGCCTGGCATATAAATCCTCATCAAATGTGAATGACGTTGATGATGATAATGATTCGGTGATTAGCACAACATCAGGGAATCAGTGATGGTTTTGGTGTGGAGGAGTGAAATGATAAAAGTATTACTTTTGAAAGATTAATTTGGTTCCTTTTACAGTGCAATTTGCAGCGGGGAGAGAATGGAGGAACAGAAATTAGCTAAGAGAGGCTGTGCACGATGGCTAGGCGAAGGTTCCCAAACCTCAGTTCTTGACTTCTACACAGGCTCAACACCACATGCTCAACACCACACGTAAGCTGCCAAGGCTTAGGGCTTGCACCCTCTGAAGTAATGGCCTGAGCTGTACCTTGGCCCCTTTTAGCCATGGCTGGAACTGAAGCAGCTGGGATGCAGGCACCACACCCCAAGGCTGCACAGAGCAGGGGGGTCCTGGGCGCAGCCCACGAAACCATTTTTCCTCCTAAGTCTCCAGGCCTGTGATGGGAGGGGCTGCCATGAATGTTGCTGACATGAGGTGGAAACATTTTCCCCATTGTCTTGGTGATTAACATTCTGCTCCTTGTTACTTATGCAGATTTCTGCAGCAGGCTTGAATTTCTCTCTGGTAAATGGGTTTTTCTTTTCTACTGCATTGTCAGGCTGCAAATTTTCCAAACTTTTATGCTCTGCTTCCTCTTGAATGCTTTGCCACTTAGAAATTTCTTCCACCAGATACTCTAGATCATCTTTCTCAAGTTCAAAGTTCCACAGATCTCTTGGCCAGGAGTAAAATGTTGCCAGTCTCTTTTCTAACACAGGGCAAGAATCACCTTTATTCCAGTTGTCAACAAGTTCCTCATCTCCATCTGAGATCACCTCAGCCTGGACTTCATTGTCCATATCTCTATCAGCATTTTCATGAAAGCCATTCAGCAATTCTCTGGGAAGTTCCAAACTTTCCCACATCTACCTGTCTTGTGAGCCTCCAAGCCTCTAGGAAGTTCCAAACTTACCCATATTTTTCTGTTCTCTTCTGGGCCCTCTAAACTGTTTCAGTCTCTTCCTGTTACCCAGTTCCAAAGTCACTTCCACATTTTCCGGCATCCTGATAGCAGCACCTCACTCTTTGCAGTACCAATTTACTGTGTTAGTCCGTTCTCACACTGCTGTAAGGACATATCCAAGACTGGGTCTTTTATAAAGGAAAGAGGTTTGACTTACAGTTCAGCATGGCTGGGGAGGCTTCAGGAAACTTACAATCATGGAAGAAGGGGAAGCAAACATGTACTTCTTCACGTGGCGGCAAGAAGAAATACCAAGCAAAGGGGAAAAAGCCCCTTATAAAACCATCTCGTGAGAATTCACAAGAACAGCAGCATGGGGGTAACTACCCCTATGATTCAATTACCTCCCACTGGGTCCCTCCCATGACATGTGGGGATTATGGGAACTACAATTCAAGATGAGATCTGGGTGGGGACACAGCCAAACCGTATCACTGATACATAGAAACACAACTGATTTTTATGTACTACTGATTTTGTACTCTACAATTTTTCTGAATTCATTTAATAGCTGTAGTAACTTTGTTTGTTCTTTGGGGTTTTCTGTATCTAGGAACATGTTGTCTACAAATAGTATTTTCTTTCTTCTTCTTCTTTCTCCTTTTTGTCTTTCCTTTTCCCATTTCCCTTCCTTTCCCCCTTCCCTTCCTTTCCCCTCCTTTTTCCCTTTCCTACCCTTCCTTCTTCCCTTTTTATTTCTTTTTCTTGCCTAATTGCTGTGGCTAGAACTTCTAGTGCAATGTTGAATATCAGTACCAGATCTTGGAGAGCTTTTAGTCTTCATCACTGAGTATGATATAAACTGTGAGTTTTTCATGCCCTTTATCATGTTGAGGAAGTTCAGTCCACATGTTTGTGAGTATATCTCTTAGAATCCCAGAAGTTGAATTGCTGGGACAAAGAGTTTGTACATTTATAAATTTTAATTTTTTTTGCCAAATTGCCCTCAATAGAATTGAACCAAATTACATTCCCACCAGCAATGCATGAGGCTGCCTGTTTGCCAACATCTTTATAACACAGTAAATTATTAAAATTTTGGGCTTTTTTGCCAATACAATAGGTAAAAAATGGTGTTATAGTCTAGTTACCATTTTTTTTTTTTTTTTTTTGAGATGGAGTCTCGCTCTGTTGCCCAGGCTGGAGTACAGTGGTGTGATCTTGGCTCACTGGAAGCTCCGCCTCCTGAGTTCACGCCATTCTCTTGCCTCAGCCTCCCAAGTAGCTGGGACTACAGGCGCCCGCCACCACGCCCAGCTAATTTTTTGTATTTTTTTTTTAATTAGAGATGGGGTTTCACCGTGTTAGCCAGGATGGTCTCAATCTCCTGACCTTGTGATCCACTGGCCTCGGCCTCCCAAAGTGCTGGGATTACAGGTGTGAGCCACCATGCCCGGCCGTCTAGTTTCAATTTACATTTATTTTAATATGAGTTAGATCTGGACCATCTTTGCATATGTTTAAGAGCCATTATATTTTCTTTCTGTAAACTGACTAACTATATCCTTTGCCCATTTTTCTGTTGAGGATTTGTTGCCTTTTTCATATTGATTTGTAGGAGCTCTTTATCTATATTAGGAAAATTATATTTTATTACATTTTTTCTGATATATACATATATATTAAGGAAATTTGCCCTTTGTTTTTTATGACTTTTTTTCACAGTTTGTCTTTTCTCTTTAATTAATGTTTTCTTTCTATGCAGAAGTTATTTGTTTTTTAATGTGATTGAATTTATCAACCTTTTCATTATACTTTTTGGGTTTTGAGTCAGAATTTAAAATTTTTCTTGAGTTACAAAATAATTATCTTGTATTTTTTTTCTGTTTGTTTGTGTTGACATGAATCTCGGTTTATTTCCCACGCTAGAGTGCAGTGGTGTGATCTCAGCTCACTGTAGCCTTCGCCTCCCAGGTTCAAGCAATTCTCCTGCCTCAGCCCCTCAAGTAGCTGAGATTACAGGTGCCTGCCACAATGTCTAGCTTATTTTTGTATTTTTAGTAGAGACAAGGTCTCACCATGTTGGCCAGGCTGGTCTCGAACTCCTGATCTCAAATGATCTGGCCACCTCGGCCTCCCAAAGTGTTGTGATTACAGGCATGAGCCACCACATCTGGCCTGTTTGTTTTCACTAGAGATTATTTTATTGCCCAATATTACTTGTTCAGGAGAAGTTTGAAAAGACAAAACAGTCCATTGTAATCCAAATGATACTTCACCTATGACCAAAAAAAATGGACCATTATCTTCCCTTCAGGCCTTTAAATAAACTTGAAGTTACCTGATAAAAGCATTATACACATTGCATTTAAATGGCTATAGTTCTTAGTATGCTATCATTCATGCTTCCCTTTCATATTGATGAGCATAAGGTTAGTTAGCATCTGCTTAACATGAATGAGACTTGAGAGATGCAGAATTCCACCAGGTTAAGCCCGCCAAGTTGACAAGTCCAGTTCATATGTGCAAAGCTGATGTATGCAAAATTTATTGTCTTTCCATTTAGGAAGGACTCCTATTGAGGAAATAGAGCCTCATGTACAATAGCAGAGGCATATACAACTATTTAGAATAGCCTACTTATTATGTCTTTCCTTCTTTCTTTTCTTCCTTCCCTCCTCCTATCTTCTAGTAAAGAAATATTAAGTACCTACCGTGTGCCACACAGTGCCTAGGCATTGGAGATACTGTGGTGAACATGACAGAAAGGGTTCCTACCTTCATAGAACTTATATTTAATTGAGAGAAAAAGTGTAAATGTTAACTAATGCTGTGCTTTGGGGAAAAAAATAGAACTAAAGTAAGGAGATAGAAAATTCTAGGAAAAAGGAGTTTATTTTAGATAGGAGAGTCAGAAGTCCTTTCTGGAATAACTGACGTTAGATTAGAGACTTGATTGAAGTGAGGAGGGAACAAACCACACAGAGATTTAGAGTTAAAGCATTTCCAGTATTTCTGAGTCATTAAACATATTAAGGAAAAGCCATCAGCAAGAAGGAGAATATAGCTGACCTTGGTAGAAATTAATAATTCAAAGAACAGACAATAACTTCCAGGGCAGCCTGTTGTACTAAAGAAACAATCATGAAACAAACAAACAAAAAAAAAGTGCCTTTAGAAATTTAAAATAAGGCCTAGTGTGGTGGCTCAGGCCTGTAACCCCAGCACTTTGGGAGGCTGAAGTAGGAGGATCTCTTAAGCCCAGGAGTTAAAACCAGCCTAGGCAACATAGTGAGATACTGTCTCTACAGAAAATTTAAAAATGATCCAGGTATGGTGGTATCCACCTCTAGTCCCAGCTACTCTAGAGGATAAGGTGGGAGGATTGCTTGAGCCAGGCAGTAGAGGCTGCAGTGAGTCTTGATAGATTGTGCCACCACTCTCCACCGTGGGTGACAGAGCAATACCTTGTCTCAAAAAAAAAAAAAAAAAGGAAAGAAGAAAGAAAGAAATTTAAAATAAAATAGCTATAATTAAAATTTTTTAGTATAAGAACTAGAAAATAGAGTCAAATAAATCTCCCAGAACACAAAGAGAAATTATACATGACTATTTCCACAGCCAAAAAGAAGACATGATGTCTTCAGTTTGATAAGGCCCACAAACTTTTGAGCATTGTGAATTAAATAAACAGCCCACTCCTAAACAGATTCTCATGAAATTTCTGAATATCTAGAAGATAAGATGTTAAAGCTTCGAAGGGAAAACAGCTAACAAAAGCAAACTATGACCTATAATGGGTAAGAATGAAATTGCCATTGAAATTCTCATTAATGACTCCAGATGAAAATAGAATAATGTCTCCAAAGTTCTGAAGGAAAATTTTTTTGATTGTAAGGGTGAAATAAAACTGTCATTATTTTCACATGAAGTAATTTCATAGAAAATCCAACAGAATCAATAAATTATTAGAACTAATACTATTTTTCCACATTAGTAATAACCAATTAAAAATATATTAAAAAACAAGGTACATTCCCAAAAGCATACTGTCAATTTTCTGAGAATTGACTATATATATATATGACTACTATGGAAACAAATTTAAAACTTTTATATAGGATATAAAGACTTAAAAGTGGGAGACATCCAGTTTCCTGAATTTAAGGTAATCTTAGTCAAAATACCAGCTGTCTATTTTGGAAACTTAACATTCAAAAGTGAATATGGACAAATAAAGGTCCATGAAGAGAAGGGAAGGAGGGTAGACAGGACTACCAGATACTGACTTAACAGTTATAAAGTATGTGGGAACTAGCTCAAGTATAAACAAATGGGCCCAGAATGAGTTCTCCATAGCAATAGTATTTATGTAGATTTAAATATTAAGATATGTTAAAGGCTCAAGTGATCCTCCTGCCATGGAATGTTCATCATGTACATTCCATGCACACTTGAAAAGAGTGTATGGGCTGGATATGGTGGCTCATTCTTGTAATCCCAGCACTTTGGGCTGGTCGCAGGAGTTTGAGACCAGCCTGGGAAACATGGGGAAACCCTGTCTCTACAAAAAAATACAAAAATTAGCTGGGTGTGGTGGTGTGCACCTATAGTCCCAGCTACTCAGGAGGCTGAGGTGGGAGGATCACTTGAGCCCTGGAGTGGAGTGTGGTACAATCACAGTTCTCTGCAGCCCCAACCTCCTGGGCTCAAGTGATCCTGCACCTCTGCCTCCCAAGTACCTGGGAATATAGGTGTGTGCCACTGTGCCCAGCTAATTTTTTTTTTTTTTTTTTTTTTCTGTAGAGATGGTCTCACTATGTTGCCCCAGGCTGGTCTTGAACTCCTTGGGCTCAAGCTATCCTCCTGCCATGGCCTCTCAAAATGCTGGGATTATAGGTGTGAACCACGCACCTGCCACTCTTCAAAGTTTTAGGCATCCACTGTATCCCCTGCAGATAAGGGAGACTACTATATTTATATAGCTGCTTCAGCAATCTAACGACTAGTGCTTGAGTGGTATGTCTGCTCTATACTTTTGCTTTTACCTATTACTTTATATTTAAAGTGGTTTTCTTGTGGATGTTATATATTTGGGTGTGGCTTTTTTATCCAATCTGAAGTTTCTGCCTTTTAATTAGAAGTGCTTAGACCATTTATACTTGATGTAATTTTGATAGGGTTAGGTTTAAATTGACCATCTTGCCATTTGTTTTTTATTTCTCCCATGTTTTTTGTTCTTTTCTTATGCCTTTTTTCTGCCCCCTGGAATTAATTGTTCTTAAATTTGCCTGGTGTTGTTTCACTCTATGCATACATAGATTATTATTTAGCAAAAGATTGAAAGACACCCTGTGAGGATTTCTGGAGCCTTTCTAGGCTTAACTTCTTTTCTGGCATTCTGTTCTGCAAATGACAGCTGCCTCGTCCTTCCCCAACTCAAACATCTGTCTCTGCCAGTCAGCTAGACTGCTACTCCCTACTTGAGCCACCTCCTTTGTGCCAAAGTCTGGGTATATACCACCATGCAACAAACTGGTAGATTTAGAGGATCACCTCATTTGTTGTTCATTTCCCAGAGATAACACTCATGTGCTGCCTATTGTCCAAGTTCTGAAAACAGTTGTTTGACATCAGTCCTATAGCTGTTCTCCTTCATGGGCAGAAATGAAAATGCCTTTTCTACTATCAAAACTGATTTTTTAATAGCAACTCCAATTGTAGCTATTACTTAATATCTTTTCTCACAACAAGTTTGAAAGTGTCTGTGATCATCTGTCACACATTGCATTCCTTGAGAAACACTATAATGTCTAGTTTCTTATTTTAGCTTCTAATTTCCTACTATAGTATGGCAGCCAACAAAATCATTTTATTGAAAGAAAATTTTTCTTTTAAAAATAGGGTCTCACTATGTTGCCCACTTTGGACTCAAACTCCTGGGCTCTAGTGATCCTCCCACCTCAGCCTCCCTGAAACAATTTTTTAAAGGTCAGAGTGACCTTTCAGTTGCTAGGTCCAATTCTGCACTTCTGACTCCAGTGGTATGGTAGGAACATTACCATAGAAAAACCTCCAGGTACCACAAAATAGAATGTAAAATATAAAGAATATTTTGTATAATACATAAATCATCTGGTTAAAAAAAAATCCTCAGAATAAGAGAAAGGGAGAGGAAAGAGAAGTGTGGTGGGTGGAGGGGTGGGGGGGTGGAAGAGAAACATACTAAGAATCCAGAGAAATAAGTGACCCATTGAATTCTGAAGCTTTCTTATGAATATTTTCCAATTAAACTCCATAGAAGTTTTTATTTTATATTCCTGAGAGTGACTGGAGGCAAAAACCTGGAAGATGTGAGGAGTCATTTTAGAAATCCTTCATAAAGCCAAGAGTCTCCAATGGCCGGCTATAGACTTTGTGAATGGGTGAACTAGAACTCAGATCTACTGTACAGAGATGCAGAGAACTTGCCTTTCTTAGCCTTGGGCTGTGGTTGGAAAGGGAAAATAGAGTGCCTGCATAGAATTTATAATAAGTCAGGCCTCTTTTATTTTTGAAGTTTGAAATCATGCTACTCAAGTGTTTTTGTTTTTGTTTTGAAGATAAGAATTGGGTTTTAAAATAGGTTAGAACAGTAGTTCTAGATGGCTGGCTCAGACAAATAGACATCCTTTCTAGGGGAATAAACTCTCAACAGAAGCTTCCAAATGTCCCATGAACAAAATTTCAACAAAAATGAATTCCCAATAAGAAAAAAAAAATCACAGAACACACAACACTAAGGCCACATGATGAGAGTCAGTAGAAATGAACAAACAAAAACAAAACCATACACGTATGTATTAATATATGCATGCATATGAATATACAAAATAAATCTCTCTAAAATGTGTATATGTATGTGTGTGTGTATATATATATACACACATATATACACACACATATTCCTACAAAATAACTTCAAATATTAGAATTATCCATACAAAATGTAAAAATAAGTAAGTTTAATTTTTTTTAAGGAAAATACATCAGAAAATTGCTAATATGATTAAAAAGGGTATAGACAGAGCTAAAGACAGAATTGCGTTGAAAGATCAAGCTTAATAAAATTACACAAAAGACAGCACAGAGAGAAATAATAAATGGAAAATATGAAAAAAGAATTAATAAAAATAAAGGTTAGAGGAGAAAGTCTAACTTAGGTCTCCAGAAGCTGGCTTCTGCAACCACTATTACCCTGAAGCTCTGGCAGGAATTTTTAAATTGGATGCAAATGCCAGTAATGATAGTTATGGGGATGCTTTTGGTGATGTTTTAGGAGGCATGAAGCACATGGCCAGTTTTCACTTCAGAGCATTTTTGACCAATGTTTTCCTCAGAACATTTGATGAATACTGAGGCTGCACAGAGCAGGATGCTTAACACATAAATGGCAAAAGTCCCTTATAAGCAGGGTGGCATTGTTCAGTATACTCTTAAGATTAGAGGTCTGGATGACTGGGGATAATTCTATAAAATAAATCAAATATTTGGTTGAAAACCTTGAGGGGCAAATCATATGTATGAATCATACTAGGGCTGCAACCCAGATTTAACTGCTCATACTCTCAGATTAAGGAGAGAAGTCTCTATTTTATCTAGCTAGTAGTGGGGATAGAGAACCCCCACTAGAGAAAGATCGCATCCTTTGGAACCTATGTGGTTTTTAAAACATACCATCTGTCATTGAATCAAAGATTAGTAAGCATGGTGAAAAGGACTACATGACCAAAATTCAAGAGGAAAAACAGACAATAGAGACAGATACTCAAGTGATTCTGATACTGGATTTAGATGGGAAAAACTATTAAATGATTATTTAAAAGGAATGCCTTTAAATGCATTTTATTTAGAGAATGCCTAAATAATCCTGAACAGAGTGTTAGTAGAAATACAGACATTAAAGCCATTCTGATAAAACCTCAGATGGAAATGAGGAACATGTTATTGGAAACTAGAGGAAAAGTGATCCTTGTTATAAAGTGGCAAAGAGCTTGGTGAAATTGTATTCATGTTCTAGTGTCTTGTGGAAGGTAGAAATTGCAAGCAATGAAATTGGTTATTTGGCTGAAAAAATCTCTTAGAAAATTGCTGAAGGACCAACCTGGTTCCTCCTTCTGACTGCTTATGATAGAGTGCCAGAAGAAATGACTACAAGAGGAACTGTTAATCAAAAAGAAAGCAGAACTTAAAAGATTTACAAAAGTCTTAGCCTATTCATATTGTAAAGAAAGAGAAAGCCTGCTTTGGAGAAAACACTGAGGGTATGGCCAAGGAGCCTTTTGATAAAGAGATTAGTATCAATCAGCCCTCTCTACAGAAGCCAGGAGATATTCTCCAAGACAATAGAAGAATGGCCCTGAAGGCAATTTAGAGATAATGGAGGCTGCCCCTCCCAGCATAGGCCCAGAGTGCAAAGTCCCTTCGGGCAAAGAAGTTTCAAATATGGAGCCACCTGAGCCTGTGAGACCTCTCAGCATGCACTGCCCAATAGAACCGTACATTATGGGTTCTGCTCCCCACCACTGGCTTCTCTAAAGTGTGGCTCTGGTGGGCCTGATATAGTTTAGGCTGTGATGGCCAACCCTGTAGGCAGCACAGGTGGTAGATTTTGGTGGTGTCTACACAGTCTCTGCCAACACTTAGGGAGCCATGGCTTAGGCTATGTGTGGCAAAGCCACTCATGCATGATTCTAGCCTAGGAGAGCCACAGGCCCTTGACCCCAAGTCACCTTGAATGGCAGAGGCAGAATAACCACCTGGAAGAGCCACAAGCTTGGGACTGCAGCCAATAGCTGTGGAGATGGGACCATAGCCTACTGGGTCTGGAAGGCAAAGCATCAAGCAGAAGAAGGTTATTCTGGAGCCTTCAGGTTTAATGGAATTTGCCGTGTTGGGTTGGTTTGCTCAAAACCTGTCATTTCTTTCTTCTTTCCTATTCCTTTATTTTGGAATAGGAATATCTATCCTATGCCTCTCCCACCATAGTATTTTGGAAGCATGTAATATGTTGGTTTTAGAGGTTCACAGCCTCAGGATGAATTGTACACCTTGAGTCTCACCCATATCTGATTTAGATGATATTTAGATGAGATTTTGGACTTTGGAATTTTTTAGTTGATGCTGGAATGAGTTAAGATTTTTGGGCTGCTGGGATGGAATGAAATATTTTGCATGTGAGAAGGACATGTATTTTGGGGGGCTTGGATGCAATGCTATAGACTGAATGAGTCTCCCCCAAAACTCATATGTAGAAACCTAATTCCCAATGTGATGTTATTTGGATAGGGCCTTTGGGAAGTTAATAGGTCATGAGGTCATTAATGGAATTAGTGCCCTTATAAAAGGAACCCCAGAAAGCTCTTCCTTCCATCATTTGAGGTTACAGCCATCTTATCAGTGAGAAAGTAGACCTTTGTCAGACACTAAATCTGCCAGCACTTTGATCTAGTACTTTTTAGTCCCCAGAACTGTGAGAAGTAAATTTCTATTATTTACCTAGTCTATGGTATTTTGTCATAGCAGTCTGAATGGACCAAGACAGAATCTTATGGTAAGCCTGCTAAAAAAGTAAAGACACAGAGAAAATATTAAAAGCAGCCAGAGCAAAAAAGGCACATTGCTTTCAAGTGGGGGCAGTAATAAAACCTAGAGCTAACTAATCACCAGAAATAATGAGAACCAGAAGAATGAAAGTATCCTTAAAGTACTGAAAAAAAATAGCCAACCCAGAATTCTGTATTCATAAAAATATCTTTAAAAGTGGTAAGATGCAAATGTTTCAGACAAGTAAAAACTGAGAGAATTCGGAGAAAGCAAACCTACACTATGATAGTAGCAAAGGGAGAAGTAATATGATCCCACATGGAAGTAGGGAACTGTAGGAAAGAGCTATGAGCAATGAGATGAGATAAATATATGGGTGGTATTCATGAATGTTGATGATACAAACAATAACACCAATATATTGTGAGGTCATAAATATATATAGAATTAAAATGCCTAACAATGGTAATGCAAAAACAGGAGAGTAAATGGAGTTCTAATGTCCTAGTATTTCCAGGGAAATGGTAAAAGGAATAATTTGTATTATACTGTAAAGGCCAGCTGGCTAAGGATGCACATTGTAATCTCTATGGAAACCACTAAAAGAAAATAAAAGAATAAATAAATTAAAATTAAGAGATGGGAAAAATTTAAGAAAATATTTGATTAATCTTAAAGCAAAGTAGGAATCAATGAAATATAAAACATGCACACAATATAGAAAGTGAACAAGTCCAGTTACTGGCTCCTTGAAGAGGTTAATAAACTTGATAAACTCCTAGCAGGATTATTCAAGAATAACCTTAGCTTGGTTTGACATGTTAAAAATCGGTTAATGTGGCCAGGTGCAGTGACTCACACCTGTAATCCCAGCACTTTGGGAGATGGAGGCAGGCTGAATCACTTGAGGTCAGGAGTTCGAGACCAGCCTGGCCAACTGGTGAAGCCCTGTCTCCACTAAAAATACAAAAAGTAGCTGGGCGCAGTGGCACGTGCCTGTAATCCCAGTTACTCAGGAGGCTGAGGCAGGAGAATCGCTTGAACCCGGGAGGCAGAAGTTGCAGTGAGCCGAGATCCTGCCACTGCACTCTAGTCTGAGCAACAGAGCGAGACTGTCTCAAAAAAATAAAATAAAAAATAAAATCTGTTAATGCAATTTGTCACTTTATAATAGAGTACAGAAGAAAAGTCATGTAATCATTTTATTAGGTTCAAAAAAAGCATATGATTAAATTCAACATTAATATATTTTTTTTCAAGTTCTTTTGGCAAGCTAGGAATATATTCTGATAAAGAACCATACCCCCCCCAAAAAAAAACAAACCCTGCAATCCATATCATTCTTATTGTGATAAATTAAAAGCATTCCCATTACAATCAGGAACAAAACACATATGTCTCCTTTGATCATTTTTATTCATTATTGAATTGGTGAACCCATCCAGCATGGTTGGAACTCCCTAAAAAAAAAACTAGTAGGATTGAAGGAAAAAAATTACAGTTATCATTCCCAGCTAGTATGTTTAGATAATCAAAGACTAGAAGAAGCTATATATTATTAGAAAAAGAAAGTTTATAGCAAAGTTGTAGAATATTCAATATATAAAAGTTAATTATATTTTTACATCCCTTTTATGATTGAATTAATAAATATTAAAGTTAATTGGGAAAACATCTAGCAAAATATTTGTAAAACTTTTTGTAGAACTGGAAAATTTTATTTAAAGATAACCTAAATAAATGTAGAGATATGCCATTTATGGATGCTTTGGCTGTGATATTCTAATACGGTTTTTCCTTGCAGACTTTGCCTTCAAAAGAAACAGCATTTTTAAACACTACACAAATGCCTTGCCTGCAATCAGCTTCAACTTGGAGTAGCTATGAACACAATTCGGAGTCTTACCTATTAAGAGAACATGTATCAGAGTTAGATTCCTCTTTCCATTCTGTTCTATCATTGCCATCAGGTAAGCCTCCTTGTAACAATTTCTAAGTAACGATATTTTCTGTACTGAAATCTAATCCTCTAAATACAGAGAATCTAATAAATCTTATTTTATCAATTTTTTTTCAGTAGATATTAGAACTAAGCAATGCCTTGACAATTAAATTTGTTGTAGAGGAATTAATCTAGTCACATGCACGGTTAATGTTCTATCTGTGTAAGTTGATTCTTTAATTCCTTCTAAACCAACTTGATTTACTTTGGGAAATTACTAGGTTTTTATCTTGTTAAATTTTGAGCATTTTATTGGTAACATGGCTGTGCTGTTGAAATGTTTCTGAGTAATGGTAATTCAGTGTTCTTTTTCTAATGTGCTGTTATACATGGAGGTTTCCCTGTCATAAAATATTTCTCCATTTATAATCTGCATTGAATTTCTCAATGCAGAGGGAAGAAAACTGCGTACCTATAAGTATAGTCAACCTCAAGAGTATCTGTACTTTATAACTGAGTAAATGAGGCTTATACATCCTTACATCTCTAAAGTGTTTTGTTTTGTTTTGTTTTGTTTTGAGACAGGGTCTTGCACTGTTGCACAGGCTGGAGTATAGTGGCGTGAACATAGCTCACTGCAGCCTTGACCTCCTGGGCTCAAGTAATCCTCCCACCTCAGCCTCCCAAGTAGCTGGAACTACTTGGGTGCATGACACCATACCCAGCTAATTTTTAAATTTTTTTGTAGAGATGGGGTCTCACTATATTGCCCAGGCTGGTCTTGAACTTCTAGCCTCACGTGATCCTCCCACCTCAACCTCCCAAAAATGCTAGGATTACTCTAGGTGGTTTTAAATTTTCAGTTCTTGATTTTTGTGGAACCTTTACACTCTTGTCTATATTGGAACTAAAGTAAATATTTAGGGGAGAAAGAAAACATCCCTCACATTGGTTATCTCCGGTTCTTCTTTACTGGGGGATATCTCAACTTAGCTTTTGTTCCATTTTCCGCTTATGGTTCTGATGGTCTTTTAAATTCTCAAAATCAAGGGACTGATTTATTTGTAAAGCACTATGTTTTGAACCTGTCTCCCTGCCCTGAATCTCAATTTAGTTTTTATCAGTAGTAGAGTGGTTTCTTAGCTACACCATTACCTTGATTTAAGTTTTTAACAAGAACTATTTTATTCTATATTTGAGGAAACCTTAATAATATGATAAAATAATAATCCATATAACAATAATAATGTAGCTAACATTTAGTCTTAGCATATACTGAGCCTTGTATATATTAAGCACATTACATTTTCTTGTTTAATTCCCACAACTCCATGAGAATAGATATCTTTGTTCTGTTCATCTTACATATGAGAAAACTAAGCTTCGTGATACTACTCATCCAAGATTACTCGGCTAATAAATGATGAGCCAGAATTTGAGGTAGTCATTCTCCAGAACCAAACTACTCACCATTACTTTACTGCCTGTTTTCTTATTAGCAAATATATTTCTCTGATGACATAACCCTGAGAGCTGGTATAAATACTCTTTATCCTAAGACTCTTATGCCCCCTCTAATAAATGAGATTAGATTGTTTATCTACTATTTCATGATATCCATTCCTTCTTACATTCAATAAAAATCTCAATACCTACTATATGTAAGTACTAAATAAATGCTAGGAGTATAAATACAAATAAATCCCTCAAGGTACTCGCATTCTAGTTTAAAACAACTGAAAGGTAATGTTTCAAAGCAATGAAATATTTTTACAAAAGCTGACAGGTCACGTGCGGGTATTAAGAAAGGCACATAGACCGAACAAGGACCTTTTCTTGTTAGATCATGTTTTCCCACAAATTGCAAAGAACAGTGGTAGAATTGGTGATACTCTCCTCATAAGTATAATATTGCTTTGGAGAAACAAATGCAACAAATTTATGTTCAGGTAATTGGAAAATATCAGAATCCTGAAATGTTTAAGGAGCATTTTAAAGGAGAATATTTAGTTTTTATTCCCATTTTCATTTTGTCACCTAATTTTCATATGATCATAATATCAAGATTCAAACTCATCTTACCTCTGTCCCTTGGTACAAACTCCATGATGATACTCATGAACTAATTTTTGTTTTGCATATTTTTCCACACCTGAGTATGGATCTGCCACTAAGATACATTATTTGAAGAAGAGATCATTTTTTTCTGTTTAAAATCCAGACCCAGCCAGGTGGGCACAGTGGCTCATGCCTGTAATCCCAACACTTTGGGAGGCTGAGGTGGGAGGACTGCTTGAGCTCAAGAGTTCAAGACCAGTCTGGGAACATAATAAGACTTTGTCTCTAAAGAAAAGAATTTTCTAATTAGCCAGGCATGGAGTTGTGCACCCGTAGTCTCAGCTACTTGAGAGGCTGAGGTGGGAGGATTGCTTGCGCCCAGGAGATTGAGAATGTAGTGGGCCAGAATCATGCTACTGCACTCCAGCCTGGGCAACAGAGCCAGTCCCTGTCTCAAGAATAAAAACAAATAAAAAATAAAATCTAGGCCCTTTCTGGGTCTATCCTCATTTATGTATTCAAATGAGTTTCCTTAAAGTACCTTCTTTCAGTAGCCAAATTTTCACTATTATCAACTGCTTTATAAAATATGTTCTCAAGGAAAAGTTAGGTGTCTCTTAATAAATGCTTTTTAAGATGATTTTGTTTTTTCATTCTTGGCTGAAAGAAAAAACCTTTAGTAAATGTGAAGCATAACTACTTCATTGCTTAACTCCTCTTTGGTTGTGAGAGTACAGAATATAAACATAGTAAATTGAAAGTCTCCAAGCCTCTATTTAAAAACAAAACTAGCTTGTCAATAGGTTTTAATCTTTATAAAAGTATATTCATTGTGATATATAATATGGTAAATTAAGGGAATGTGAACTTTGATGTTTTCATAAAAGGTTGCATCTGACTTATAGTGGTTTTCTCCCAAGACGTTAAAAGCATGTAATTTTTTGGAAGCTTCATTATTTCAAATGCAAAGTTTGTAGGGATGGGATGGAATGGATTTAGAGTCAGCCAGATTTGGGTGTAGGTTTTCTTAAAGACTTCTTGGGTATATTTGTTTCCATTCATCTGTGAATAGTATTTATTAATACTTATAATTACTGTTCATCTTATGTACTATTTTAGGAAGTTCATGAAGTTGTTTCTCTGTTAGCTTTTTAATTTGTTGATTAAGTGCACCTAACCAGTAATTTCTAAAATACTGCTACCAACATGCTTGGAAAGAGTATTTTGTCACTTCCGATAGTTGTTACATCTCAAACTTTTGCTTATTTTCTTAAGCTTATGTGCTATTTATAGAAAGAAAGCAATTTTAATGTTACAATCTGTAATCCTAGTATTACAAAGAGTGGTATTTGAAAATACCTTTTTTATTTTATTTTTCCAGATGTGCCTCTTCATTTTCACTTTGAAACACTGTTAAAAAAGACTGAAATAAAAGGCAATCTTGCTGAAAATAAATTTGTAGATGAATATATCATATCTCCATCACCTGGTATGTCACATTTACAGTTCTTGTACTCTATATGCCTTTTTATGTCTTTATACTTACTATTTTTGCATTCTAAGAAAAATAAAATCTAAGAAAAGAATACATGAAAATCCTTAATTTTTAATACTCACTTTTTACAACTCATGTACACATAAAATACAAGAACAATCTTAACATGAAATGTGCGATACCTATTGAATTGTAATTATGAACTATTACTGATAAATATAATAAAAATTTAAATAAATGTGGAGAAACAGCATTTCTGTATGGTAAGATCAATAAATATATAAATTCTTCCTAATAGTTCATATGATTAATGTAATGTAACTCGAAGTTCTCATAGAATTTGTTTAACTTAAAATAATTCTAAAGCACAATGGGAAGACTAAACAGGGGAAAATATAAAAGGAATTATTATAAAAAGTTTAGAGAAAATCTAGCCCAAGCACATATGGAAACATGACAAAAATCTATAATAATGTAGAATCTATTTTGTTTATATTTAAGAAAATAGATCAATGAAGTAAACTCTATAGTTGATTATATATCAGGGAAGAATTGTATATTAGTGGGAAAGTGGAGAACCATTGGTTCTCATGGAGAGAGTCTTTCCCAGTAAAATTCTTTTACATACTCATTTAATGCTATGAATCAGAATAAGTTCTAGTTAATTCCAAGAATTGTACATAAAACATTAAAACTACAAAATAAAACTTGAGGAAATTATAATGAAATGTTTATGAGTTCTGTAAATGTGGGTGAGTTCTATGCTTGGAAGCAATTAGAAGAAGAAAGAAAACAACATATTTTGATTATCTACAAAGTTAAAATCTAAACATCAGAAAAGTCATATAAATTTAAGATAAATTATTTCTACATGAAATAATCTACCTCAAAAACTCGAGTCAAATGAATACCTGTTAGAACTGGGGTCTTATTATAAAATAAATTTATAAAAATCAGCAGCTTTTATAAGTACCAATAGTAACTAGATAGCCTATGTAAAGGAATAAATTCTGTTAGACATATTGACAATGAAAATATAAAGTATTTTTAATCAAACTTAACGAGTACCTACATGAGGACTACTTCAAAAGTTCAGTGAGAAACATGAGGACATTCCTATATGGAGAGAAATATCCTGTTCCTGTCAGAAGACAGTATCATAACTAAAGTTGTCAATTTTCCCCAAATTAATTTACAAGTAGAATATAATCCTAATCAGAATCAGAGGTATTATTGGAACGAAGTTATTCTGGAAGTTTATCTCAGACAGAAAATGTTGAATAGCCAATTACATTTTTAGAAGATTAATAGCAGGACTATGAAGTTATAATCACTAAAACATGGTGGTTCTGATAGAAGGCAGATCAAGGGAGCTTAAAAAAAGCCTAGAGACAGAAGGTGGTATTTCCTACCATGTTGATAAAATGGCTTAGTCAATAAATAATAATGACAACAACAACAAATTCTTATGAAGCATCATTTATATGTCAGCACTGATTGAAGGGCTTTATATTACTTAATTATTTAAGTCTGTATAATTCTATAAGGTAGGTATTACTATTCTCCTTGACTAATCTTCCCCAAATTACAGTTGAGTAATAAAAGAGCCAGAATTCAAACCCAAGCAGTCTGGCTTGGAGCCATGCTCTATATAACTAAGTTTCCTTTGTAATCAAAGGCATTAAATAACGACTCTTTGGAAGAATTAAAAACTGATATCACTAACTCATAAAGCACTTTAAAACAAATTTAAGGTGGATGAACATTAAAATACATTTCAGTTGGATTAAAAAGTTAAATGTTAAAAATGAATGTCTTAAAAGAATAACAAGAAAAAGTAAGTGTACTTGATGATAATAATGAAAATAATATTAACTGAGCTTATAGTCAGACACTATGCAAATATTTACTACTTTTGCCTGCAACATTAATGATTTTAAACATTATAATCATCAATTTTGGCACAACTATAGTAAAAATAGCACCCTCAAATATCTTGGATATTAAGAATTGATACAAGCCTTTTGAGGAGCTCTGCAAAATGCATTACAAGGCGTTTAAACTACGTATTTTTTTATAAGTTCAGTGTGGCTTAAAAACTCCCTTGTTTATTTTGTACCTATTCCCAATAAATGTTTACTGGACTGTTAACCCTGCATTCTGACCCAACTATTCCATTTCCAAGAATCTAGTCTAATCCTAAATATGAAAGCTTTTTTCGCAACTGTATTCATCTTAACATGTTTTTGTGATAATGAAAAATTAGCAACAACTTGAAAAGCATAATAGGGATATGGTTAAATACATTACAGTGGAATATACAGCCTTAAAAAATATCTTAAAAGTTCATATAAGGATGGAAACCTACTTATCAAAGAATGTTGTGATATAAAAGGATAAAAATATTTTACTTCTATATCTGGTAAAATTATAGTCGTGTAGAAATATTTATTGTTATATCAATCAAATGCAATGTATGGACCTTGTTGAGATTGATTTGAATAAGCCTGCTGTTTATAGACACACATATAATTTTTGAAACAGAGAAATTTGAACATGGACTAGCTGTTAGATATTAATGAATTATTGTTAATTTTGCTACTTGTAATAATGCATTGTGGTTACATAAACCCAGACGTACTTTTTCAGTTTGTTAGAGATTCACACTAACATATATGTAGATGAAAAGACATGTCTGGGATTTGCTTTTAAATACTCTAGCAAAAATGTTGGTGGGAGAGATGAAACAAGATTGGTTATAAGTTGTTCACTGCTGAGACGGAAGGATAGGTATACGGGAGTTCATTATTCTAGTCTCCTTTGTGTTTATTTGAAAATTTTCCACAGTAAAAATTAAAGAGAAAAAAGATGAAGGCACCAAGGATGAAGAACAGTTATCTATGCTTAGGGGGAAAAGCCTAAAGAAATACAGAAAAATATAAGTATTATGTGCAGTTACCTTTTAATGATGCGATTTCACTTGTTGGAATTTGTCCCGAGACTAGATTGTTTTCAAAAGGGAAAAAAATGCATCCATGAAGATGATTATTTTAAGAATGTCTCTAATAGCATTATCATTATGATGATAAGTATCATGGCCAACAGCTAGGAAATAGCTAAAGAACATTGTTTCTAATCACGGAATGTTATATAACCATCTGAAAAAGTAATAGAGTATGTGATAAAAATATAAGTATGCATTTAATTAAAATTATGATTTCATACTTGAAATACATATGAAATATAAAACGTTATTGACTGAAAGAGTATGCAAATATGAAAATATATGCTATTAGAGATTAGATAATTATATTTCTTTTAATGTTGTTCTACTATTTGATTTAAAAAAAATAAGGCAGGTCAGGTGCGGTGGCCCACACCTGTAATCCCAGCACTTAGGGAGGCTGAGGCAGGAGGATCGCTTGAGCCCAGAGTTCAAGACCAGCCTGGGAAATATAGTGAAACCCCATCTCTACAAAAAATACAAAAATTAGCTGGGCATGGTGGCGTGCACCTGTTGTCCTAGCTACTTGGGAGGCTGAGGCAGGAGGATCATCCGAGCCTGGGAGGTTGAGGCTGCAGTGAGCCATAGTTACACCACTGCACCTCAGGGTGGGTGACAAAGTGAGACCCTGTTTGTAAAAAAATAAAATAAGGCAGTTAAACGTGTTAGGCACACAATTAAGGGGAATGCATAAATAATGTAATGAGAAATTTCATCCTATATATCTGTCTTAAATAGCTGGTCATTAATTTTTCTTTTGCTGTTAGTGATTTGAGTTCAGAATTTATTGAGCACTTAGTGCCAGGCAGACTATTAAGTGCTGAAGAATCAAAGGTGAATTACAGGAAGTCAAAATTATAATGTAATGGAGGAAGACACAAATAACTATTATATAGTATAATGGACATAGATGATAAATACCTTTGAAGGCTGAGTGTGGTGGCTCATGCTTGTAATCCCAGCACTTTGGGAGGCTGAGGTAGGGGGATCGCTTGAGCCCAGGAGTTCAAGACCAGCCTGGGCAACATGGTAAAACCCTGTCTCTACAAAAAATATAAAAATTAGGCAGGCATGGTGGTGCATGCCTGTAGTCCCAGGGACTTAGGAGGCTGAAGCAGGAGGATTGCTTGAGCCCAGGAGCTTGAGGCTGCAATGAGCAATGATCGCATCACTGCACTCCAGCTTGGGTGACAGAGTGAGACTCTATCTTAAAAAGAAATTATATAAAGAAGATATAAATAAGGAGTATGTAACTACTTAGAAGGCAGAAAAAGAGAGGTTCAGGGAGATGAGAAATGGGCAAGGAGAGGAACTCCAGAAAGTTGGTGATGCCTAAGTGCAGCTTCGACTACTTAATTGGAATTTACAGAGAAAGAAGGGTGGAGCGTTCCAGATTAGTGCTTCTCAAACTTTAAAATGTAAGCAAGTTACTTCGGGGATATTGTTAGAATGCAGAGTCTGATTTAGTAAGTCTGGAATGGGACCTGAAATTCTGCATTTCTAACAAGGTCCCAGGTGATTCAGATGCTGTTGGCCCATACTGAGTAACAAGTCTTTAAATAACAAAAACAAACATATGTCTTGTCATGGAGACATGACACAGTATGATATATTCAAATATCTATAAATAAGGCCAGGCACAGTGGCTCACGCCTGTAATCCTACCACTTTGGGAGGCTGAGGCAGGTGGATCACCTGAGGTCAGGAGTTTAAGACCAGCCTTGGCAACATGGTGAAACCCCGTCTGTACTAAAAATACAAAGGCTAGCTGAGGGTGGTGGTGCACACCTGTGGTCCCAGCTACTCGGGAGGCTGAGGCACAAGAATCACTTGAACCCAGGAGGCAGACGTGTAGTGAGCCGAAATGGCGCCACTGCACTCCAGCCTGGGTAACAGAGTGAGACTTCATCTCAAAACAAACAAACAACAACAAATATCTACAAATAACTTGGCATTCCTGTAGGGTAAGTTGTGTGAAGGCAGTAGACAGATCTTTGCTTGGATTTATCCTGTATGGTCCATTAGATTTGGCAGTTTACAATGGCATTGCTGATTTCAGGCAACAAGCAGAGAAAAGCCAAACTGTAGTGGGTTGAAAAGTGAATGGATGACTAGTTTAATCATGAGGAATACCAGACAAAACCAATTTAAGGGTTTATACTTACCAAAATGTTCAAAGTTATGAAAGTTATGGAAGACAGTGGAACTGTTTCAGATATAAGACCTTAATGAGATCTGACAACTGCAATGCCATCTGCAATGAATAGTTGAAATTATCTGTAAATAACATTATAGAGATATTGGTGAAATCTGAATAAGGTCTATAGATTAGCTAATGGTACTGAACTGCATGGCTACATAAGAGAATGTCCTTTGTTTTGAGAAATACACATTGATGTATTTAGGGCTAAAGGGGCATCATGTCAGCAACTAAATTTCATTTGTGGTCTGAAAGAAGGAGGTAAAGCAAATGTGATACGATGTTAACATTTGGGGGATTTCAGAAAAGGGTATACAGAAATTTTTTGTTCTATTTCAAGTTTTCTGTAATTCTGAAATTAGGTCTCAGATAGATGGAAGAGGAGGAACAATAGCACCATAACCCACACAAGCAAGCCAGAAACATAGAGCTCAGTCTTTGTCACCCACACTTCCTCCAACTTGGTCTAAACCAATTGCCAAGTTGTCAATATGATCTTATGTGTTTGAGTTCCTTTTGTGCCTTCGACTACTCTCACAGTCCAACATGATCTCTTATCTATACTGCTGAAATAGACTTTTAATCCATTTTTCCCTTTAATCACTGTAGGCAGTGACCTCCTCAAAATGCAAATCTAATGTCACACCTGCTCCCCACCCCATCCCTTTAAATCATTCGAGAAGGAATATTCTTAACACCTTAAAGCCCTATCTACATAGGCTGGCTCCTCCCTCATGATTCTTTCTCACCATGCTTCCTTACTCTACAGTACATAGCTGTTCAGTTCCCAAATTTGTCCTGTTCCCTTGGGCCATTGTACATGCTATTCTCCTCCTTCCCCTAGCTATCAGCTATTTCTGTTCATATTTGGAGTCTGTCACTTCATCTGGGGAAGCCTTTCCTAGAGCTCTTACTAGCACTCTTATACATTCTCAGTAACATCATGTAGTTTCACAACTGAAATGAATATTTTCCTATCACATTACAATTGCATTCCTTAACACCTGTAAACGACAAGGGCTGCTACAAATCCTAGTTTTGCTTACCTAGGGTTTAGAATAATGCTTGCCATGTAATTGGTTCTCTGTAAAGTTGTTGTTGGATGAATAAAAGGGAAGGAAGTAAAGACAGGATATATGAGAAATGCTATGAAAGTGTGATCTTAGGATGAACTCTAGGAGAGGATTGGGAGAGCAAGAACTGAAAGGCTGGGAGGTTTATCAATAGAACAGGTGAAGAGGATGTGTAGAATTGTCATACATTTCCTACGGTTTCAAGGGTCCATGAAAACCTTACAAGACAGTAACGAATTAGAAGGAAAATAAATGTGAAAAAAACATTTGAATAAAATTTAATTTAAAAATCAACTTTTGGCCGGGCGCGGTGGCTCACGCCTGTAATCCCAGCACTTTGGGAGGCTGAGGCGGGCGGATCACGAGGTGAGGAGATCGAGACCATCCTGGATAACACGGTGAAACCCCGTCTCTACTAAAAATACAAAAAAAAAAAAAAAATAGCCGGGCGTGGTGGCAGCCACCTGTAGTCCCAGCTACTCGGGAGGCTGAGGCAGGAGAATGGCGTGAACCCGGGAGGCGGAGTTTGCAGTGAGCCGAGATCGCGCCACTGCACTCCAGCCTGGGAGACAGAGCGAGACTCCGTCTCAAAAAAAAAATCAACTTTTGTGAAAGTTGATTCCTTCACAAAATTTGATGTTTTCAGAAGAGTGGAGAATTGCTTGTAGAAAATAAGAGAAACGTTAATTGTCTATGATTTGCTTAAATGCTACAGCAAAATGTTATTAAAAGAATGGACACTTTTAACACCTACACACGTTTTAACACACACATACATTTTAAAATCCACCTCTCACAATTCTAGTTACCATTTTAGTACGTTTAGATTACTCCTGCCATGCTGTTTTCTTGTATTAATAACTTTCAGGGTATTATCATCTGTGATGCATTTATGATTTTTCATTTGCTGTTTGACATGCAAGTGCATCGTTGAAATCTTAGGGTTTAATATTGATTCTGGAAAACACTTCAGCTATCACTTCTTCAACTATTCCCTCCTTTTCACTCTTTCTAGTCTCATCTTGTTACCCCATTGCGGTCTTTTTCCCTCCATATTTTCTATCACTCTGTTCCATCAAGTTATGGAATTCCTCTTCCAGACCCTGATTTTGATTTTCAGCTGTGTCCATTCTGTTTCTTAGCCTAGTGATGATTTTAACATTTGAACAATTACATTTTCTATTTCTGACATTTCTCCAGAGGGCCTCTTACCTGTTTCTCTTGGCAATACTGTTTTAAAGAGTTGCTAATCTGTATTCCATGAATGCTTCATTATTTCTTGAGATGGTTCTTCCACTTGTGGTTTGTACCTCTTTTTTGATTGTGTTGGTATTCAGATTTTTGGAGTTTTCTATACTCATCATTGAAGCTGTGATACTCAGTTAAAACTCTTCTACCACTGCTGTTTATGGGACACTTTTGATGGGAAGGGAATTTATACAACATTTGAAATTTTCAGACTAATTTGGGGATGGGCGGGACATTTCAAAGCAGGGCACCTGGGCATTGCCTTCTCTCTCCAACCATTCATTTCTCTGCCTAAAGCTCTGATTCTGTTAGTCTGACTGAGATATTGGCATGTGCAGTCAATATCCAGATAGTTGTCCTGCTCCCAGTTTTCCTTTCTTGTGGGTCTAGAGCACCTTTAGTGGCGTCACACATCTTTGTGGCAGTACTTCACTATGTGCTTCTGCTCTGGGTTTCCTCTTCAAATTCCATATAGTATTAGTCTTTTAGAGATTCCTCAGAAATTCTGCTTTACAGGTTCCACTTTTTGCTTGCAAATGTGGATTTATATGTGCCTATCTGTGCATGTACCTATGTAAAACGTATTTGTCTATCATGTTTAGGGTCATTTGCCATCTTGAAACCAGACACTCCTTGTCAGCTGGTAGGCCATGCCCTTTATTTCAGTGTGAGTTTGGCACTTCAGCTTACATATTTCTTTTTCCACTCCTTTCCACATCTCCAAACCTTTCAAAAAAAGAAGCCAATTTGGTTGTTAGACCAAGGCTGGAAATAAGGGGGTTCAGATATACAATCATGATAACGCTAACATTTACTGCACACTTATCACATCAGACACTTTTACTTACTACTACAGGAATAAACTCATGTAATCATTATCCAAGGTCGCTGCTATTATCCCTATTTTACAGATGATGCAACTAAGGCATCAGAGATATTAAATGATTCTGGTTCTTGCTCGCACAGTCTAGTCTGACCATGTTGAATCTTACTTGGTCCCAACTTATTTCCAGATTTAAAGGTAAGCAAGAACTTAAAGATTCTGATCGCCAAGATTTATATATCTGAGCCAATCCTCACTCTATCAAGTTTCTGTAATTTGGAAGACTTTGAGAACAGATCATCTTCCCTTTTCATCCCCCTCAAAAAAATGGAGAAAATATAAGAAACTGGAAATTCCTGGGGATGTTTTTAGTTGGAGTTGTGTGTCTTGGTATTTATGTTTATCTGTAATTTTGAACTGGTATCTTAAAATTCTGCAGTTACAAATAAAAACAGATTGACATGTTCACTGTCTGTGTTAAGGAACTAAAACTTAATATTTCCTTTTCATTTGTTTTAGTACATAGTACTCTGAATCAATGGAGAAATGGATATTCACCTATATGTAAGCCTCAAATAAGGTCAGAATCTTCTGCACAACTGTTACAGGGAAGAAAGAAAAGACATTTGAGTGAAACAGCATTAGGTAGGTTAAAGTGAGGATATAAGCAGTAGTGATAAATATTAAAAATTAAAAATTCTGATTTTAAAATAACCTCTCATGGGAGTTTATAATCCAGAACAGCCACTAATAACACAAAACATCTATGAGTCTACAAACATGAAACAGCATATTCGTAGTTAATTTAGAATTATTTGTGGACTGGTATCTACCCACTTTATGGCAATTAAGTATTTCCCTCCTATGTTCCCTGACTAGTTGTCTTCTACCAATCAGTCCCTGGATGGGATTTAATCTTCAAAGTTGTGTTCTATGCTCAAAATAGGCTAGTGCAAAGTTGCCTTACAGAAACTGTTAACCATTTATGGTACCTACTGTGGAGATGTTGATGCACTGCAGATTCCTCAGGATTTTGAGAAAGTCAACAAGATTCAACTTATATATATATATAAAGCTTTAAAAACATCTAATAAGATGCAACATGAAGTATACATTACCTAAGATATAAAATGTTTCACTTAAATTGACTGACACTTTAGATCTAACTTCAAGTTTGATGTACATACAGGAATAAAATAAAGAAATGTCATACTACAAATAAATAACTAGACAATTCCAAAAGGGTAGGACATCTGGTCCAGCCTGTCAAAAGTCAATGTAATGAAAAATGATTTATTCTAGACTATAAGAAACCTAGGAGACAATGGCCAATTTTTATATATAGATCCTTATCTGAAGAAACTAGCTATAAAGGACTTTTTTTTAACAAATGGAGATATTTAAATATGGACTGGGTATTAGATTTTATATTATGCAGGAAATATTCTCATTTTAAAACACTTGTACTAAAATAAGGGCAGTAAGTAAACGCATACATATATATATTTACTACACACACACACACACACAGTAACTGGGAACCAAAACAGGAAAAAAAAAAAAAAAGAACTTGGAAGATATACAGAAAATACTAACAGAAGTAAACTTCTAATCAATATCCTGAGAGATATGAGAAATTTCATCTATGAAACAAGAACAGGATGCTGTTTTAAAAAAAGAGTACCAGAGAACAAGTACTTTCGGAAACATGTACTTATAATAGCAGAATTTTTTCAAAAAATTAAGAGTGTTCAGAAGACCAAGGACAGATACCTCACATAAATTAGGATAAAAAGTCAGATATGAAAAATGAGATTAGATAAGAAAATTAAGATAGTTCTGGTGGTTCAACTATGAATAGGAGTCACAGGAAACAAGAATAAAGGGATGAGATGAGGGATTATTCAGGGAACAATAAGAAATATATTCGATAAAAACTGCCAAAGCCCCAGAAAATGGAAATAACTTGTGGCATGACTGCAAGTAAGGCTCCTCTTTTTTCATTTCCTTTTTTGTTTTCTAATACACGAATTTAAACACACACACACAAAACAAGGAATCAATCACCTGTCATCTAATTAGGAAAGTAATTCTAATGATATTAGACTTGTTTAATGTGTAACATTCAATGGTTCTTTCCATGGCAGGAGAAAGAACTAAACTTGAAGAATCTGATTTTCAACACACAGAATCAGGATCCCATAGCAATTTTACTGCTGTTTCCAATGTCAACGTTTTATCAAGAATCCAGAATTCATCACGAGTAGGTTTTTCCATATGTTGAACTCTAAAATAGCTTTAAAAATAAAAACACCTGATTTTGAAAATAATTTATATTTTGCTAATCTATAACAGCCTTACTAGCACATATTAACAGACATTTATAACTATCTTGTTAGAAAACAATATATTTGATTCATACAACTTATTTTTAACTATGAAGCTAAAAGTTCATTAATATTTGGTTATAGCTTCTTTTTATGTGTTAAAAATTTAAACATTATCATGATCATCTCTATTCCTTAACATATTAAGCTAAATAAAGTCTTACTAATGAGAATTCAGGACTTTCTTGTTCTTGTCCTGTTTTTTGTTTGTTTGTTTGTTTTTTTGTTATCTGGCCAGGGAATAGAGAGGTCAAAAGGTGGGAGGGTTTAGAAATGAATTCCGAAACTCAGGAACCAGGAATGCATAAATGAAGAGTATACTGAAGGGCTGACCAAAAATGTTTCACTGCCTTTCCTAATAAAAAGTGGTTACTGATCATTTTCATTGACATTTAGGGTGATGTATGTTGGTCTTTTCTGATAAAGAGTTTTGCATTTAAGACCTATTTTTTGTGGTCTTAAAAATAAGCTTGTATGCTTGCACACATAAATACACATTACACATCTACCAAGAGATTGTTCTGATTTACAAAAGATAGAAAAATGTTTTATTTTTTGGTTTTCTTAACATTTTTTAGTCAGACTTTATAACAATGTATTTACAAAAATTATGTAACGTGTACTGCCATATTTACATAACTGATGAAAGGAGGGTATCATTACAAGTAACTAGACAGTACTGTAAATCTACTGTAATCCTGTTTTGCAGAATACTGCACGACGGAGATTGAGAAGTGAGAGCTCTTATGACATAGATAACATTGTGATTCCCATGTCATTAGTAGCCCCAGCTAAATTAGAGAAACTCCAATATAAGGAAATACTTACTCCAAGGTATGTATACTTACATCTTCATATTTTTCTTCCTTCCTTCCCTAATAAACTTAAATTTTCAAAGTGAAGAATTTTAATTAATGAAAGGAGCATCCTTCTCCCAGTTCCTTCATAGCCATGGAGGGGAAACGGTGAAAAAAAAATTACTCGTGCCTTAAGTGTTATATAGTATCACAACTTTATTTCTCAGTTTTTATTAAGATTTAGGAATTCCTAGACTACTTTAGCATTCTTAGTCTTTTTTATTATTATTATCCAGTGTTATCTACTATGTATATGACACTAAAAGGTACTTTAGTGACATAAAAACTATAGCAACAAATAATCCTTGCCCTTGAAGATACAGGTGTGACATAAGTTGCAAAGAGTTCTACGTTTTCATGGGGTATTCACACTGTAAGACAGTAATACCTGTGACCAAAAAAAAAAAAAAAAAAAAAAGATTTTGATGCATTGCCAAGTCAGCAATAAACACATTCAAAAGATGAGTGGGAAGGTCTGGGAAGTCATCCATGAAGGAATGGGAAGGTGGAGAAGGTATTTACATAGGGATACGACAACAAAGGCACAGGACAAGTGTGTAAGGCTTAGCCAGATACTGTTTTGTGCAGGTTGATAATGGAAGGCTAAAAACAAAGTTAGGTCCAGATTGATAATGGAAGGCTAGAGACAAAGTTAGGTCCAGATTTGTGGAGGTCCCTGAATGCCATACACAGATCTGCTCCCTACTGGCAGTAACGTTAGCCAAACTTTTTAGAAATCATGAATGCAGCTTCTTAAGAATATAAATGACACCAGGAAGTAGAGACAGAAAAGGCTGCAAACAGAGACAGGTGGGTGACAATTTCAGTCAATTGCTATACATCTCTATTCTAATTTCATTTCTTTTACTACTTCATAATTACTTTGAGGTATTAAGAGCATAATATTCTAGAAGAGTTATATGAGAACTCAATCTGTGGATACTTGTTGCATAAGTAATAACATTTGTGGCTATGACGTTCTATAGCAAAAATATATTTCAACTTGCAATGGTAGGCTGGAGCTAGCTGGCTGAGCAGATAGTTAAATATAGAAGACTTCTGTGAGCCAGTTATTAAACTACTGATGGCTCAAAAGGGGCTATGGTAGGTATTTTCACACCAAAGAAATTGGCAAACATACAAACCAGGGTTTTTTTCCTTCTCTGTTACTTTTTGGCCAGGCCAGTTTATCAGCGTACCACTGACTTCAGTCAGTACATAATTATTATGTATAAAATGCAGCTATACAGAACAGACTATTCACCATAAGGCCAAAAATAAAGTCTCATTTTCTCTTTTGTCCTTTTCTCATAATACAAATGTTTTTCTTTTAAAAAATTAAGTATTAAAATACAACAATTTGAACCATGGAAGTGCCAAGGAAACACTAATACATTTAGCTGTGCTGAGTATAAAATTGCCACATTTAAATAAATAAAAGCTGTTTAAAATTGGTTTTTATCTTCAACAGCTGGAGGATGGTTGTTCTTCAGCCTTTGGATGAATATAATTTAGGCAAAGAAGAGGTAAGCTGCCTTTCATTTAATGGGATAATTGCACATTATGTATTATGAAACCTGCTTACTTTGACATTCAGGGAACTAAAGGAATATATAAGCCCTTTAACTTACACTGATTTTTTTCTTTTCACTTATGAAAAGGAAGTTCTTTTAAAAGAATATTCGAAAAATGTTTTGTGCAAATTTGACTACCAGCATAATATAGAAATACACAATAATTTAAAAAGCCAAGGCCGGGCGCGGTGGCTAATGCCTGTAATCCCAGCACTTTGGGAGGCCAAGACGGGCGGATCACGAGGTCAGGAGATGGAGACCATCCTAGCTAACACGGTGAAACCCCGTCTCTACTAAAAATACAAAAAAATTAGTCGGGCGTGGTGGTGGGCACCTGTAGTCCCAGCTACTTGGGAGGCTGAGGCAGGAGAATAGCGTGAACCCGGGAGGCGGAGCTTGCAATGAGCCGAGATCGCACCACTGCACTCCAGCCTGGGCAACAGAGCAAGACTCCGTTTCAAAAAGAAAAAAAAGCCAAAAGAAAATATAGCATTTGTTTATGAGTTTTTGAGATACTGAATTTACGTGAATATCCACATTCATTGTCAGTATTAATTATATTTTTCTGCATGAGATTAGTCTCACTCATTATTTAAGTTTAAATGCCATTTTCAGAATCTTAGGACCAATTTGCTCTTCGGTTTAGAAAATTTTGGACTTTAAAAAAGTAATGTGGTAAACATATCACGTAATACCTGTAGAGTCTCGGGCGTAAAAGTAATCAGACATTAATGTTTCTGTAGTGAAATATTCATAGTTGAGTTGGATAAACACTAAAAATAGCCTCACATCATTTCAGATCAGGCTATGTCACCAAATGAATTATGAAAAATTTGTTTTTGCAGATTTTTGGATTTTGGAATTGCAGGTAAGGGGTTGTGAATAGGTATGGATAAAATTATATCAAGATAAGATTATAGGGAAAAATACTGTATAACCAAACTAATTCCAAGGTGATGGTCTCTAGAAGATGACACTGTTGAAGACACTTGGTTTCTGTCAAGTAACAATCTTTCTATGTCCAGTGGTCATGTTTTTCAACTACTAAAATTTACCTTCTAATGCCCTTTCCTCTTCTAATGTATTCTTCCTTACTTCTGAATGATCCTAGCCAAGAAACCCAAATTCTTAAACACCCTAACTAAGGTAGTATTCCAGGTTCAAAACCTAGATAAGTCATTCATTAAATTAATGCTGACTTGTCTAAGATTATTAGTTTTACTTTTATCTGATATTAACATCTTCTTAGAATAGTATGTACTCCACAATGGACGATCCATAAAAACTCCTGAATGAATAAAACATTAAGACTACTGGTACTAAGCTATGGCAAATGGAAAGTATTACGAACTCATCTGTAGCCTACCGAAGTCTTCAAATATGAACCAATAGGAAACAAGTATTTTTAAGTTTTTTGAGGTGGGAGGATTGCTTGAGCCCAGAAGTTCAAGGCTGCAGTGAGCTATGACTGCACCACTGCACTCACTACAGCCTGGGCGACAGAGACCCGTGTCTAAAAATAACAATAATGAAATAATTTTTAAAAAATTTTGACTCCCCTTTTACAGGAATTTGGAGTTCATCTCATAACATTTGTTCTCTCAACTTACACAGATAGCATTTATTTTAGTTTGCTTCCTACTGTTTTCTACATGAGAAACTCTTTGAAACCTGATCTTATATTTCTTTTTTTGAGACAGAGTCTCGCCCTGTCACCCAGGCTGGAGTGCAGTGGCACGATCTTGGCTCACTGCAACCTCCGCCTCCCGCGTTCAAGCAATTCTCTGCCTCAGCCTCCCGAGTAGCTGTGATTACAGGCGCCTGCCACCATGCCCAGCTAATTTTTGTATTTTTTAGTAGAGACGGGATTTCACCATCTTGGCCAGGCTGGTCTTGAACTCCTGACCTCGTGATCCACCCACCTCGGCCTTCCAAAGTGTTGGGATTACAGGCGTGAGCCACCGTGCCCAGCCTGATCTTATATTTCAAAATGTTTCTGATTAAAACAAAAATCTTTATTTCTAATTCCAGATAGAAGATCTTTCTGATGAAGTCTTCTCCCTAAGGCACAAAAAATATGAAGAGAGAGAGCAAGCCAGGTGGTCACTATGGGAGCAAAGCAAGTGGCACAGAAGAAACAGCAGGCAGGTTACAAATTTAAAACCCCAAGCCATAGAATCCATGTGAAATGAACAAAACCTCTGCATGAATTTTGGGTGAGACCAGTAAAAAGGAAAACATGCTGTTGTAACATCAGCTATTGTGCACCAGAAGTAAAATACTACATAGAATGAGCTTGTATTCAAAATATATTTGAGCTAATTATATAATGATGAAATTAGTTTCTGTATTTTCCTCTCTTATGTTGTCAGCCTCAGGAATGGATTTAACTAACAAATAATGTGAAAATTCTCTGTATATATAAAGTAGGTCATTTCAATCTACTTTAATAATGGACCTCACACTGGGGACTGGAGTTTAGGTAATCCATTTTAACATCACTACTTCCAAAATATGTTTTTCTTTAAAAAAATAAAAAATTTCTCAAGAAACCTGTTTAATCTAAAATGCAAAAAGTCTAAAATACTTTTAGAAACACAAATGAGCTTTGAGGGAAGGGGAAATAAATCAGACATAATTATTATATATATGAGAAAATTCCTATTTTATATTTATTATACATTTGATCATTTTTAAAATAGCCAAAACTCAAAAAGGCAAGATTGTGTGAAGTCTGGTAGTCACTTTAGTTAAGGAGCATCTTTCATTTAATTAGTCAGACAAAAGACAAAAGCAAACCCAAATAAAAAACAAGAATAACCCTCCCCCCACAACTGTTATAATTCGGTAAAATATTTCATAAAGTACTATTTCATCCTCTGAGTATGAAAATAATAAATAGCACCAGGGGAATTTTTAAAAATCTTTGGGCAAAACTGTTTAAAGTTACCAAGTTAACTTGACTCAGTGATACCTTGGGTTGTTCATAAATTTTCAAGACCTCAAAAAATAAAAAATAATTGTGTTTTCCTGATTTTCTTGCTAGAGCTTACAGTAAAAATGTTGAAGGACAGGACTTGCTTTTGAAAGAATACCCTAATAACTTCAGTAGCAGTCAGCAATGTGCTGCTGCAAGTCCTCCTGGGCTTCCTTCAGAGAACCAGGATCTGTGTGCATATGGCTTACCTTCTTTAAATCAAAGTCAAGAAACCAAGGTAAGTGTAATATGTATGATTAAACTTCCCATTCCTTGACTTTTAACTACTTGTTTGTAGAAACTACTTGAAAAAAATTAAGTTTATTACATCATTACATAACAAATTCAATAAGTTAGGTATAGAAGATCTGTATTGCAGCATTTTGTGTCCACTACTAACTATAATCACCTTGTGTAACAAGTCAATACGAACTTCCAAGTACTTATTTATCTATTAGAGAGTGGAAGTACTATCAAAGTTTCATTACGAAACAAACCTGATTAATGAAGAATAGCACCTGCTACATGGCCAAAGTTAGCTGCTATTTCTTTCTCCTCATATCTTAAGATTTTTACATGCCTCACCACAGACCCAGTTCCTACTTTAAAGGGACTGCTTTCTAACACTGCATCCATAAAGTTCTTACACCTTTCTTCCTAAATAGATACTGAAAAAGAACTAGATCTAGAATGGAATGGAGATTATAGAATTAATAGGCAAGTTGCAGAAAGCTCAGGAAAGAAAAAGTTAATAGGTACCTTTAATAATGAAAATGAAGATACTGTAGAAGTATATCAAACCTAAGAACACTTTCCCAAAGTACTCTTAGGTCGGAAATGAAGACCACTGCCTATGGCAGCATTTCCTCTTCTTGGCAGAGGCAAAGTAAAGAAATAAATCCCAAAAGTCACTCAACAATTCTCAATATATTCCATTTTGAGTTGCTATTTAAGTTGAAATGAAAAATTGTACATTTATGTGCTAAAGAACAGAACAATTATTACAATATAGACATGTACAGATTACTTGTTAGATGAATTTAAACAAAACAAGTTAGTTGAAACTTAACTGAAAATTTTTCCCCTTTCAGTCTTTGTGGTGGGAACGACGGGCTTTTCCACTGAAGGGTGAAGACATGGCAGCCTTATTATGTCAAGATGAAAAAAAGGATCAGGTTGAAAGGTCAAGCACAGCTTTCCATGGTGAAATCTTCGGTACCAGTGTACCAGAGAATGGCCACCATCCAAAAAAGCAGTCAGATGGAATGGAAGAATACAAAACCTTTGGTCTAGGACTTACTAATGTTAAAAAAAATAGGTGACAGGGAACAGGTTAAGAAAACTATGTAAATGTAGGAAAGATGGGAGGAAATAAAGCCCTGTTCTGGATCCCCCATCCCCTCCAGAATAAGAGCATGTTCTGCATGTATTAATCTTTTATGCTGTTTATGAAACAGGCAAGATAAGTCTGTTTTTCCTTCTGGAACCATAAGGGTAACCAGATTTTCATCTACAGACAAGTGGTAGTCATTTGTGTTTATCATGCAACTTACTTACAAACACCAAGATATTAATTGCTGCAACTTGATGTCAAATCACATTACTGGGTAATTTTTAAGACTATGTACCCACACCATACATACATACATATATATATACACATACATACAAACCTGTGTGCCAAGTGACAGCTATTTTTTTATATACATGGTAATTCATTAAAATTGCCTTAGTAATATATTAGAATATACAAATATGTGTGTATAAAATAAACATACACACACACACACACCCCTATGTAGTTTTTAAAACACTGGCAATGACCCACTCCCCTTGGAAATGCATGTATGAACTACCCTATGAAATGTAAGCTGCAGAATAGATAAAACACAGGTTTCCACTAATAAAAGACATCTGAACGTCCTGAATATAGAGACAGAAGTTTTTTGTTGTTGTTGTTGTTGTTTTAACATGTTTAACCAACAGAAGTTATTTACAGAAATTCATATATCCAGGCAACACAAAACTCCTTTATTCAAAATCACTGCTATCTTTGGGACTAAACACAGGCTACTTTCTGTTTACTCCTAACAAAATAAAGCAAGCAAATTTGAGTCAAATATTGGTGCACTTTAATACTATCACATCTTTGAAAACTCAATTTGAGTTTTACCAATTAATGTGTCTCATGAAGAGAAGACACCAGTTTTAAAATGAGCCACAAACAGTAAAGCCCTATCAGTATAAAATTTGAAAAAAAAAAAAAAGATGATTGTATTTCTAGATTAGCAAGAAATTAGTTAATTCTGGCTGATTTCTATTTCTAGCTAATTTGGTCATTCTTTGCCATAGCTTACTCTATTCAAATAAACATATATTCTTGCTTGCATCCTAGATTGGAAATTAAAATTTTTCAAAGAACAAAGCTTCAATATTGGATACTGAAGAGTATACATGAAAGAAAATTCCTTTTGAAGCTATTAAACCATTTTTTTCCTATGTGAAAGTTGAGGACAATTTATATAACTCACTTTTTGTCATGTAAAAAAGGTTACTCAAGTTGTACTACCCACATAACTGAAAATATTGGCCATTTGGCCTTATCTGTGAGATTTGACACTAAGTTTTTGTTAGAGATTGGAAATTATACTAGTCCTTTTAAGGGGTAAAAAATTCAATTCAATACTGACAAACTTTTGCTTGTAGTTTTACTGTACATTTATTTTTAAAGAAAAAGAAAACAAAAGCCAGACAAACCCAAGTTGTCCAGGCAAATAAACTCAAATCTTTGTCACGTCTGATATTATAATCTTCTATGTAAGTTTTTTAATTAAAGTTATTTCTATATGCCGTGTGTTGCTTGTTATTAAATGCGACGTATTCATGGCACAAAGCTTTCCCAAGCTGAATAAAAACAAACATTAACAAATTTTTACCTTGTAATGCAGGAAGAAACCCAAGCAAGCTCTAGTCTGTGCTTAAGTGTTAGCATTCTTATTTTTTGAACCTTATTTCTCAAAACTTATAGTAGCCTCAAGAAGTCTATTGATATTGGTCATGTTTATTTCTTGCCATATTTATAACACAGCAAGAGTATTTACAGGAATGAAGTAGCTGACACATATTTTTAGACTCTGTATAATTCAGAACAGTTATAAATATTTAGTTTATGGATTGACTCTGTATCCTGTCATCTTTTCGCCTACCTGATCTTTCTTGGAATAAAATAATATATCCTTGGGGTCAAGATCCATAGTTCCAGAATTTTCTCAGCCATCTGGTTCTGCTACAGCGTAAAATTAGACTGGAAATAAGACAACGTTAAGTAAAAAGCTTCTTTTACCTAACCCACCTCCCAAGGGCTCCATTTGTAAAAGTACAGACCAGAAATTCTACCACTTCCCAGATCCTTTCCAGGGTACCACCCTATTAAGCATTAATTTCTTCATTTTTTAAATGGGGACAAAAATATCTGCTTTATTATTACCACTTACTTATAGAGGTGATTTACAGATTTAATGAGAATATATCAAAGTACTTTATAACTCACAAAAATATAAACTTATATAATGCTGTTTACTTTGTGTTGAGCATATTCTAAATTCTGGGACTAGTACTGGAAACTTTACATATATAGTGTTAGCTCTTAATTCTCAACAGAACCCCACAGTTGCTATAATTACATTTAATGTATAAATGACTTTAGAGAAACACAAAAAAGATTGGGTGATTTGTTAAAGGTCCAGCTAGAAAGGGGCAGTCAGAATTCAACCCAATATTACCTCCAAACAGAGGTTTTACTTTTTCCTTTCTACTCAGAGCTAACACAACAGCATTATTTAACGTTCTTAAGAATGGTGGGGAGGAATCACTGAATAACCTGCTTTGACAAAACACCCTGATAAAATCTATGCTTGTATTTTAGAACCCCTGGGTTTCACACATTGTTTTTATAGTTTTCACACATCAAGTGTAAGGTGAAAA
Source organism: Homo sapiens (assembly GCF_000001405.40). Lineage (NCBI taxonomy): Eukaryota > Metazoa > Chordata > Mammalia > Primates > Hominidae > Homo > Homo sapiens. Next base: position 210,020,286 of record NC_000002.12, on the reverse strand, counting down.
GTGATAGATTTTAAGAACCAAGAATATGGTATGCACCCCACCCAAACTTATAAACAAATCACAATAACATGAAATAGAAAAAAACCATAAAGACTTCCTTTGCTTTTGGAAAACAGCTGAGAAACAACAAAATTCTTTTCAGAAGTACAGACAAAATTTGTTTTTGTAGTGTAGCTAATATGCCCTCCTTAGACATTAAGACACTTTTCTGTTTGTAACCCTAATGCAGCCGTATTTTTACTTTATAAAAATCAAATCTCTCAATAAAAACAGTATCTTACTCACTAATCAATAAATTGCATCACTAAAAATGTAGTTATACACACCAATTTCTGACCTCTTAGAATATTCTGCACAATCAGTTTTAATCACTGGAATGAATAACTGCTCAAAAAAGCAGTACGGCTTCAATTGCATTGTGATTTGGTAGTCAATATTCCTGTTTTCCAGTAAAAGGGAGATTTCATGAACAGGAACACTGGGCTCCTTATGGTTTCACCGATCAAGAGAACGTTTCTGAGCAGCTTCTGAGCAAACATTTCTTAATAGATTGATCACAGATCTGGGGTCTTCACTCCTCATAATAGCACTGCCAGACACAATCATGTTAGCTCCTGCCTGGAAGAAGTAAACAGTTAGGTTATGCCTCAAAGGAAAATGTAGAAAAACCTAAAACAGAATTCCTGGACTAGAGTGTCTACCCTTGCATCTGTCAACATTTCAATCATATGAGAGCCACTTTGAGATTAAGCAGACTTAAGCAATCTAGTTCAATAAGAAAAATTTAAAATGTTCACAGATGAGGATGTCAGACTATTTTTAAATGTGTCTAAGAAATCATTGACCTTTCTGGTAAACCAACTCTTAATAATCTACATGGTATCTTTGCGACCTTTAGATAAGGTTTAAAAGCCTTTACTCCTCAAGTCCACTAAGGTTTTTCCCAATATGCACCAATGCCTCTACAGTTACTAAAAAAACACTTTTATTCTTTGAATTATATTTATATGAATTTGTGAGTGTGAAAGGACAATTATTGCTAAAAATGTAAAATTATCCATAAACTACGGCAAAATTAAGTGAGTTCTCGTTTTTGTGTCAAAAAATAGAATGTCTCTTTATACTTCATTGCATTTCAGAATGGTTTTGAAGTGGCTTTAAAAAAGTTTTTAAGATACATTTAAATATGGAAGCAAAGAAATTGAAAAAGAAAAGCTAAAAAATTGGGTCCAAATTTAACTCTGATCTTCCTAGGATCTGATTCAAGGATGGAAACCCAATCTGTTTTGTGATTCATTGCTAGAACAAAGAGGGAGAAGTGGGAGAACCACAGGCTGAGGAAAATTTTTCCAGACAGATAGTGTCACTTCATGTATGACAACATTTCTAACAATATTCCTCACAGAAATTATAAAGGTGAGTTTTATAGGGTTAACACTGCAAATATTCTCTTCAGTTAACCCATTTATGCCTAGTGTTCCATTATTGGAACGCTAAGCTTGTGGGAGTTCTTCATATCCTGCTGTTTAAGGTCATCGCCAAGGTCTGATTTTTCACACAAAAAATTTGCTACCTCTGGCATAAAAGCAGGAATAGTATACTGGCAAAGCACAGTTTAGTACAAAGCAATTCCACAAGCGATCAAAAGGATATGAGCTCACTCATCATCTGGCCAGCCCCTCCTGCATAAGTATTTACTACTGTCAAGCTTTTGATAGGTATATATCAAGCAGAAACGTGTGGCAGTTATACAAGAACCTGGAAGTAGATACATCACACTGTGGAAGAAAAGCAGTCATGTAAGCTTTAATCACTTGCAGTGCTACCAGAAGGGCTGGCATCCTCAGGAGCCTGACTATGCTAGACTAGCTATCTGAAAAAAAAAAAAAAGTAAAAAAAAGTTTTTACTTCTATACAGATAGCCAAAGAGGTATCAGGCCTAGATTTTCATCAAAAATGGTTCTAGCAAGTTCTTACAAGGAACAACTAAATAATATGTAGGTTCTAAAGAATAATGTAATAATTAGGTCAATTAGATTTATCTATTTTCCCCCCTTGGTAGTACCTTTTAATTCCGTATTTTGGAAAAATTTCTCACTTCCAAGGCCGTGAAACTTAATGATCTTCCAAAGGGCTGAAATTCAACATATTCTTTTATAAAAAAGAACTTTCTTCAGCCTTCCTGAGAAAACCAGGATTTACAATTTTAACAATTTATGTGATTTTAGAATATCCACTTACGGGCCAGACGCCATGGCTCACATCTGTAATCCCAACACTTTGGGAGGCCGAGGCAGGCAGGTCACTTGAGGTCAGGAGTTTGAGACCAGCCTGGCCAACATAGTGAAACCCTGTCTCTACTAAAAATAAAAAAATTAGCCAAGCATGGTGGCAGGTACCTGTAATCCCAGCTACTCAGGAGGCTGAGGCAGGAGAATCGCTTGAACCCGGCAGGCAGAGATTGCAGTGAGCAGAGATCACGCCACTGCACTCCAATCTGGGCCACAAAGAGAGACTGTCTCAGAAAAAGAAAAAAAAAAAAAAAAAAAAAAAGCATATCCACTTATGGCTGTTTATTTTCCTAGTTGTACATGTGAACAAAAAATACTTTTCCAAGAAAGAAAGTCAACTTAGGAACCACAGAGGGAATCGCTGGCCCATGAGACAATGTCCTGGAGACATATTTGACGGGAAATTGGTCTAGTCATAGTTGAAGAGCAATCTCACCTCTGCACATTTATGGACAGTGTCAGGACCTACTCCACCATCGACCTCTATATCCAAAGATGGGAACTGGGTCCTCAACCAGTGAACCTAGATATATACATGAGGAAATAAGTAACTCCTAAAGTGGGTATGTTGGTGGGGGTGGGGGTGGGGGACAATCAAACAAAAAAATCCAACAGCAAATATTAGCAATTAAAACTCCAATTGTCTCACACAATAACTATACCAATACAACATATTACTGGGGAACACTTGGTTTTTAATAGCAAGCTTTGTTCTATTTGGCAAACAGCAATCTGTATTGTCTTTGCAGAGACTGTCATGTAAACAAGACAGACAAATCCTCAATAGTCAATGACAACTTCCAAGAGATCTAAAAGTTAGAGATAATAGTTTCAAAAGGAAATTTCAAGACTTCCAGGCGTGGTTGGCTGCCACCTGTAATCCCAACACTTTGGCAGACCAAGGTGGGAGGACAGCTTAAGCCCAGGAGTTCAAGACCAGCCTGGGTACGTAGTGAGACCTCCTCTCTACTAAAATGTGTAAGAATTAGCCGGGCATGGTGGTATGCACCTGTAGTCCTAGCTACTCAGGGGGCCGAGGCAGGAGGATCTCTTGAGTCCAGGAGGTCAAGGCTGCAATGAACCCTAATTGAATTACTGCATTCCAGCCCAGGTGACAGAGCAAGACTTTGTCTCAAAGAAAGAGAAAATTTCAAGATAAAGATGTAATACTTCTCTGATTTCCAAATCAGAAATCTATTACAGCATTTATTATACTGTATTAGAATGATCTGTAAGCATCCCCATCTCCTCACCTTCAGAACAGGTTATGCCTAAATATACAAGCCTTTCAATAAATGCTTACTGAATGAACACACTGTAAAAGCCTCACCCCAAAATCAAATACTTCTTTTACCTTTGGCATCATATCTTCCATGAATTTCTGCCCTCCAAACCCCGGTTCCACTGTCATAACCAAGGCCATATCTATCTGATTAGCCCATGGTGCCAAATACTCAACTGAGGTTCCTGGTTTGATGGCAAGGCCAACCTGTAACAGACACAAATATGCTATATCACATTTACAATTACTTCTGTATTATATTATTGTGGCATAGCAGGCCCAGTAGAAATATCTGTTCTTATTTTTTAAAAGTTAACAAGACTATTAAATGTAAGTATTTTCAACAAGCAGTAGCTTTCAGAAAACTTTAGTGGAATACATAAATGCTATGTGACAAAGAAGTTAAATCCTGGCATCATAGCTGAAGAACAGCTGCTTAAGTAAGGTATTCTTTACCTGCAATGGGCCCTGACTGTGCCACTGCACTTCAGCCTGGGTGACAGAGCAAGACTGTATCAAAAAAAGAGAAAATTTCCTGTTTCCCGCAAATCTTCCCAACTGAGAGTGAATGTTACAAAACACTCTCATCACGATTTCTTACCTTCATCCCATTCTCCCGAATGTCTTTAATCAAAGCCCCTGGGTTCTCAGTAGCCTCGAGATGAAAGGTGTACTGATTGGCTCCTGCTACAGCCATTGGCTTTACCCACTGTTCTGGCTTGGACACCATCATGTGCATGTCTAGAAAGAAAAGACACTTCAAAATATTACTGAAAAATACCTGGCTCATGTTATTGGAAGCCAACCTGTATGTAGTTTTTGCCACTTCTGATAAGAACTCTTTGGCCATCACACAAATCATTATTTAAATAGTTCTAATTCAGTATAGGTAGTTTCCTCTTATTTTGAAGACAAGGATTTATTTAAATTCATTTACAAAAAACACTATTTTCCCACAAAAAGCATACAGTGCTGTATATAAAAAGTTAACATCTAAAAATCAGGAAATCTAGGTCCAGGTCCAGGAAATGCCACTCTAAAAAACTTAAAGAATAAGTCATACTATCCATGCAAACTAGTTTCCTCTAGGAAAAATTAAGTGATCCTTTTCATTTATTCTTTCAATTTATCGAGCTATTGCTGCATCATTAATTATTCTAGGTCCTAGGGTTAGAGCAAAAACATGAAACTCTCCTGTCATAGGGATTACATTCTTAATGCGAGAGTCAAACAATAAACAAAATAAGTAAGTAAAATGCACACTAGGTTGGCAGTTAATATGGCTGGTGTGCCTGGGGAAGGAGATACACCAGTCAGAGGTCAGGGAAGCATGTGGTGAGGAGAAACCCTTCAGCATTCTGCAGGCCACTGGGAAAAACCACCACAGTGAAGTGACAAGATACTATCGACTGAGGAAGCTACGATAGCAATAACCCAGGTGAAAAATGATGGCAGCAATTCGGGATGGATATGTTCTTAAATAAGAGCAAAGAGAGCTGAGGATAGATGAGATGTGGAGGATAAGAGGATCCTCCATGGATAGATAGATGAGAGGAAAATAAAGATGGCATCAAGGATTTTGACCTTATCAACTAGAAGAACGGAACTGCCATTAATTGAGAGGCAAGACTGCAAGAACAAATTTAGGGGGAAGGACATGTTGACTGCAAGAAACCTGATATTCATCCTAATTCTAAAGCTTGATTCATATAAACACATAAGGTGAAAATGGGCATGGCCTTCTTAAAGATCTTGATTTAAAACATAATAGCATTTCATAAGAAGGAGAGGGCAGCTTAAAACAAGCTAAACCAAGAAATAACACTGTGAAGAATCCTGTGTTTGATAGATGGTAGTGAGGAGAGGTTTTAAGTTTTTTATTTTGCTAGAGGAAGCACATTTCTGAAACAGCCAAGCTATATTTAAGAAAAAAATTCTAACATTTCAGAACAATTATGAAATACAATAAAGCCTTGAAAAAAAAAAGTCAGAAAAAGAAAGTATAAAGCTTGACTAATAAAGTCAAGATTAACGTTTGTATTTCTAATCCAGCAAAAGTAATTGTATGAGAACTTTTTTTTTTTTAATAGAGATGAGTTCTCACTGTTTCCCAGGCTGGTCTCGAACTTCTGGCCACAAGTGATCCTCTGACGCTGGCTTCCCGAAGTGCAGGGATTATAGGTATGGGCCACCACACCCGGCCTAAATTAGAACATATTTTAATAGGTAAAACTTTATTCTTAAAAAAATGTATTAAATCTGGTGTTTCTTATTCTTTGCATCATAAACAAGGAAAATTCAAGCCGGTTTAAAATACCTACTCCAGGCCGGGCGCGGTGGCTCACGCCTGTAACCCCAGCACTTTGGGAGGCCAAGGCGGGTGGATCACGAGGTCAGGAGATCGAGACCATCCTGGCTAACACGGTGAAACCCCATCTCTACTAAAAATACAAAAAAATTAGCTGGGCGTGGTGGCGGGCGCCTGTAATCCCAGCTACTCGAGAGGCTGAGGCAGAACAGCGTGAATCCAGGAGGCGGAGCTTGCAGTCAGCCGAGATCGCTCCACTGCACTCCAGCCTGGGCGACAGAGCGAGACTCCATCTCAAAAAAAAAACAAAAAACAAAAAAACCTACTCTATTCATTCCTTAAGTTACCAGACTGCTAGCTATGTCATCCTTACTCAACCTCTAGCATCCAGTAACCACTAGCAACCCTCAATGGAGAAGTTCTATGGTGTTCAGGGAGTCAATGGTTCAGCAAATCTGTGCATAGTTAACATTAGATCAGCAATTCCCAATCATTCTATCATCTATTATAATCATAATCTATTATTCATAAACTTGGTCAACAATATGCTGATTAAAAAGAATCTAAGGTCTATTAAATTCTAAGTTACATTAAAAAAACACTATATATGGCTAGGTGCGGTGGCTCAAGCCTGTAATCCTGGCACTTTGGGAGGCCAAGGCAAGTGGATTGCTTGAGCCCAGGAGTTTACACTCTTAAAAATTATTAAAGACCCCAAGAAACTTCTGTTGATATGGATTATATTTATAGATATTTAATGTATGAGAAATTCAAACTAAGACATTTTAAAGCATGTAATTTTTGGCGGGTTTGGTGGCTCACACCTATAATCTTAGGAGGCTGAGGAGGGAGGATGGCTTGAGCCCAGTTTGAGACCATCCTGGGCAACATAGTAAGACTCCTTCTCAACAACAACAGAATAATTAGCTAGGCATGGTAGTGTGCCCCTGCAGTCCCAGCTACTGGAGGGGAGAGGTGAGGTGGGAGGACTGCTGGAGCCCATCAAGACTGAGGCTTCAGTGAGGTATGAAGGCCACCACTGCACTCTAGCCTGGGTGACAGAGCAAGACTGTCTCAAAAAAAAAAAAAAAAAGGATAACTCTATTACCTATTAATTAAGAGTGGTATTATTTGTTTTACATTTTTGCAAGTTTTCAGTGTCTGGCTTAACAGAAGACACCTATATTCTCACATCTGTTCTGTATCTAATCTGTTGTAATACAGATGTTCTGTAACTTACAATGGGGTTACATCCCAATTAACTCAATCTAAATTGAAAATACTGTTATCTCTAACTGCATTTAATATACCTAACACACCAAACATCATAGCTTAGCCTAGCCTATCTTAAATGTGCTGGGTGGTAATTTTATAAAGGTTAGCTGCAGTGTGCACTCTGTAAACCCTATCAATGAGCTTTTCATTCTTTGTTACATTAAAACCCATTGTTTGTCTTGTATTTTGAATGGGTCTTTTAAGTACTGATTTACTGAGTTACACACATCTTACAAATAGTGACAGATTTCATTCCATAGTACCCCAAAATCACATTTGGTAAAATAACTACAGATCTCATCAGAAAAGCTTGTTAACTGTTGGGACGCTATCAAACCCAGAGTGGTAAGATACACAAGTTTTTTAAAATTCTAATTTTGGGAACAAAAACTGACAAGGTATCTTTCCTTGAAGAGACAGCCTCATTTAGTTAATATTTTTTAAATGTCATTAAAATAGCCAGGTCTGAAAAACCATAGTTGATCTGTCAGTTGTTCTTTCAAACAAACATAGTGTTCTGGAGGAAAGCAGCTAGTTCAGATCACACCTCTATGGTGCAAGTGGTTTTCCTTGAGAAAACCATTATGTTCCAGTATGCAGCAATGCAGCACAAGCACTTTATATGCACTTCCTACTTTGCCACACAAAATATTAAAAAGGCATGTATTCAGGGACCAAGATTTATTAATTTCTACTGCTTCATCAAGGATATTTATTGCAAATGCATGATGATGAAGAATAACTCCTGATACAGTCCCTGCCTTGAGTTGGTTAAGGCACCAGCAAACTAACTCATCAATGTTTTTGTACCATCAGTAGAAATAATGGCAAATAATTTCTTAGGATTATGAAAATAGTTTTGATATACTCTCATGGATGACCCGAAAGGGTCTTAAGGATTTGTGTGGGTCCTTATACAACATACTTGAGGATCACTGATTTAGACAATAACAGGAACAGACTTTTCCCATCACTGTATTTCTTAGACATTTATTTCTACTCAATATGAAAACTGAACAGTTAAGAATGTTAGCGTTACATATACAACACAACATGTAATCTAGGTCCTAGAATACATTCATGTATCAATTATCCAACAACCAAAATCCAAGAATTAAACAAATGTTTCTCAATATAAAAAACAAAGGTAGTCGGGCTCAGTGACTTACACCTACTATCACAACACTTTGGGAAGCCAAGGCAGGAGGATGGCTTGAGCCCAAGCATTCAAGATTAGCCTGGGCAATACAGGGAGATCCCATCTCTACAAAAAGTAAAAAAAAAAAAAAAAAAAAAAAATAGCCGGTTGTGGTGGCACACACCTGTAGTCTTAGCTATAGCTGTGGCGGGAGGATTGCTTGAGCCCAGGAGTTCAAGGATGCAGTGAGCTATGACTGTACCACTGTACTCTTGCCTGGGTAATAGACGGAGTCTGTCTCTTAAAGCAACAACAACAACAACAACAAAAAGCGAAAAACCAAAAAACAAGGGTCACAAAACCCAAACATTAAAGTGAATGGAGTTCATTTATCTTTTAGACCAAATTCTAGAAAGATTAATTAGCAAGTTTATCAACAAATTAAAAACAAGAAGAAAAAGCAGATTGTGTGTGGTGGCAGCAACACAGGATTGCTAAAAGGAAAGGCACTGACAGGAAGGGATATAGACAATAGTATGGTGTGACAATGGGAGCCCAAATAAAAGGGAGCGAAAAGGGGAAAAAAAGCAAGCATTAAAAAAATTCACACAAGCAAGCCAGAAGCGAGGATTCTGGCCATTGGTTGTACAGTGGGAGAAAACAATGCTATTTATTTCATCTACCTCTCATGGTCATGAGAACAACCGTAATTCATAGGAAAAGTCACGGTATCTGCTATATAAGCTAATCATGGCTTAAAAGAAAGTTTAGATAATCAGAGGACTATATCCCATTATATGGAAATTTCAAAATGGTGAATATATTGGTGGAACATTGTTTCCTCATGCCACATAAATGAGGTAATAATGTACATTTTCTTTGGTGAACTCAAAGTAGATAGATCCTACACAGAGGCTGGAGACTATATTCAACAGAATTTTCTGTGATATTGGAAATGTCCCATAGCTGCACTGTACAATATGTGACTACTGAAGACTTGCAATGTGATTAACGTGAATAAGAAACCGAATTTTTAAGTTTATGTTATTTAATTTAAAAAAAATTTTTTTTTTTTGACATGGAGTGTCACACTGTCACTCAGGCTGGAGTGCAGTGGAATGACCTCAGCTCACTACAATCTCCACCTCCCAGGTTCAAGTGATTCTCATGCCTCAGCCTCCTGAGTAGCTGGGATTATAGGTGTTTGCCACCACGCCTGATTAATTTTTGAATTTTTAGTAGAGACAGGGTTTCACCATGTTGGCCATTCTGGTCATGAACTTAAGTTTATTTAATTTTAATAGCTACATGTGGCTTATGACTACCATAGTGAACAGCACAGAGTCCTTCATAAAACTGGTCAGCAATATGCTGATTAAAAAGAATCTAAGTTCTACTAAATTGTAAGCTACGTTAAAAAAACTATTTATGGCTAGGCTGGTGGCTCAAGCCTGTAATCCTAGCACTTTGGGAGGCCAAGGCAGGTGGATTGCTTGAGCCCAGGAGTTTGAGACTAGCCCGGGAAACATGGCGAAACTCAGTCTCTATTTTAAAAAAAAGAAAAAAATAAATAACACTATTTATAAAAATGTGTAAAATTTCTCATGTTTAAGAGATCTGGCAGGTGAGACATTGCTAACTTAACATAAATCACTTGTAGGCCACTAAGTAATCTTAAAAATCTTAATTTACATTGTACTAGGACATTGGAGTGAATATTTAGGCACCACTTGTAGAAAGCTCCAATTTGCACAAAATAAATGGCTTCTGGACCATAAATCAACTGATTCATAAATTCACTTAACAATTACACTGAGCCCTGATCATGTCTATGCTTAGCTTTAGGAAAACCACAGTAAACAAACTGGATTCAATCCCCGCCCTCAGAGAGTTTATAGTCTAATAAAAGTAATCGCAGATCAAAGGAAGTTCTCAGAGGAAAATCAACAGGTGATAAGATAATTGGATAAAGGTTAATTTGGGAGAGGACGCTCAAAAAGGCCTCTCTGAGGAAATGACAAATGACTTGAGGCCCAAAGATGAGGCAGCCAGCCAAGCTACTACCTTTCCATGCAGATTAGCCAAGGCCCAGAGGCAGGAAGAAGTTTGGCTTGTTACTGGAGTCAGGCCAATGAAGACCCAGGATAGGAAAGTTGGGGAAAGGGTGCCAGATGAACTTGGAAGTTAAAATCAACCATCCAGTTTTCCTTTACTTGAGCAACACATCCAGCTTCAGATGGCGTAACACCCACTTACCAAAGAAAGGGTCCTGGCCTAGCTGCTTTCGAAGGCTTTCTACCACAGGGTGACCAAAGGTGATGTTGGGAACAAAATGCCTACAAGACAAACAAAATCTACTCTGAAAATGTTTTCAATTCAGTTTCTGTATCTCTCTCAATATGAATTCTGACACAGGTTGAGGGGATTGTCTGCAATGTTTTTCAATTTAATACTTAATCATCAGTATTAAATAATACTAAAAATAATGGGTCATTTTGGTTTTACTAGGCAATGTCTCCTTGACATTTCAACAAATCACGTCACATATATTTTCATAATGATTTGACTCCGTAATTCACGACCCATGACAAGTAGAAATGGAGAGATGATAAAATCAGAAACCCTCAGGCTTTATGACTTGCCCAAGTCACACACTAGTTAGTAAGTTCTGGACTCTAATATTGATCTCCTGAATCCTAGTCTATCTCAGGAGGCCTGTGGCTACTTCTAATCACTTCTATCACAAGGCACTAAATGACAGTTTCTTTAAACTTTCTTAAAGATGACTAATAAAGAAACATGATGTGTTTATTAGTAACGACCACCTTTCACCGAGGGTTTACTACATGCCAAGCATCGTAATTTACTTCATTTCATCTTCACGACAGCCTTACAAAGTAGATGCTATTATTATCCCCTTTGAAGAGCACAAGATAAATAAAATCCTTAAGTAACTCAGTTAATAATTTGTGGAAGTGGATTCAAATTAAGTCTACCAGCCAGGCACAGTGGCTCACGCCTGTAACCCCAATACTTTGGGAGGCTGAGGCGGGCAGATCACTTGAGGTCAGGAGTTCAAGACCAGCCTGGCCAACATAGTGAAACCCTGTCTCTACTAAAAATACAAAAATTAGCTGGGAGTGGTGGCATGCACCTGTAATCCCAGCTTCTAGGCAGGCTGAGGCAGGAGAATCGTTTGAATCTGGGAGGTGGAGGGTGCAGTGAGCCAAGATCGTGCCACTGTATTCCAGCCTGGGCGACAAAGCGAGACTTACCTCAAAAACGAAAACAAAAACAAAAACAAATCAAGTCTACCAGACCCACGGTACTTATCCTTTACCCTACTCCAGTTAATCTTTTTGTTCTATCACTAGTTCACTTAAATCTTTAACAAAACCGGGGCCGGGCATGGTGGCTCACACCTGTAATCCCAGCACTTTGGGAGAACAAGGTGGCAGATCACAAGGGCAGGTGTTCAAGACCAGCCTGGCCAACATGGTGAAACTCCGTCTCTACTAAAAATATAAAAATTAGCTGGGTGTGGTGGCGTGCGTCTATAATCCCAGATACTCAGGAGGCTGAGGCAGGAAGATCGCTTGTACCCAGGAGGTGGAGACTGTAGTGAGCTGAGATCACGCCACTGCACTCCAGCCTGGGCAACAGAGCAAGACTCCATCTCAAAAAAAAAAAAAAAAAAAAACAAAAACAAACAAAAAAAATCCCCTATATGCAAGTACCATACTAGGTGCTTCAGAATACTGTTTTGTAAAGGAAATACGCTACAGTTCCTATGACAGAGATTGACAGCTAATGAATGACTCACCAGAATTCACAACCCTACTGCTATCGTATAGTTGTCAGTGGGATGTCAACTCAGTCAAACCTTTTCATTCCCAGTTCCCTTTATATTCAAGTGGCCCATGTGACTTTACATCCCAGTTCCCAGTTCCCTTTACATCCAAGTGGCTCATGTGACTCTCACCACCAGACTGTGAGTGCAAGTAGTGTGTCACTGCAGAGCTCAGAAGGTTAAGGAGAATTCCTTTCCTATTGCCACTTTACCCTTCTGCCAACAAAGCCCTTACAGAATGGAAGAGCCACAGAATGGAATAACACTCACACTGAACTCTTTTATGAATGAGAAACTAGAATGCTAAGCTACTGAAATCTGGGCTTTGTTAAAGCAGCAGGTATTATCCTATATGAGGATTACAAGAAAAGCTATACAATAACAGGCAGGTAACGTGATTATAGATAAAACATACATAAAATAAGAGCAAGTATTAGAGAACGTTAAGAAAGAAGTTCATGAGATTTACAAAATAGGATTTATAAAGATGGGAAAAGAAACAAAGGCTGAAAATGAAGCAAAAGCAGAAATAAGCAAGTTACAGTCAAAGACGTGGAGAGTGGTATTGACCAACTTTGGCTAGTGTAAAAAAAAGATGGGAGGTTGGTAGTATCACATTAAAGGTGTCAAATGCCAAGCTCAGTGTCTGGACTTTTGTCCTGCTGTAAATATGAAGTAAGATCTTAAAGTGAGAAATATTAATAAATAAGATAGGATGGGAAATAAATTACAAGAGGGTAGGTGACTGCAATTGCCACTTGGTAAGTGGCAAGGAACACTAAGAATGACAAGACAGGCAAAACTGATTGGATCTGTTAAATGATTAGGTGTGTGGGAGGGGAGTTAAAATACAAACTATGTTTAAGGTCTCACAGTTAGATGACAGGTAGAATGAGTGCTAATAAAAACCAAACTTATATGTGGGCCACACACAGTTCTAAAGACTTTCTGTATATTAAATCATTAAAACCTCACAACAACCCTATGAGGTAGGTACTTTTATTAACTGTATTTTACAGATGAGGAACAGAGGCCCAAGGTCACACAACCAGTAAGTGCTGGAGGCAGGAATTAAACATAGGCACTATGGCTACAAAGTCCAGACTCTTAACTACTATGCTCATCTGTCCCTATAATGACAACAAACGAAACAAACAAGGGGAAAAAGTCTAGCGGAGAAGAGATTCAAGAGAGAGAGGTAAGGATTCAGGACACATCTGAGAGGGACACATAAGGTGGATGGGAACAGACACTTTCACTCAATAACACCTTGGTCTTTGGAGGTTTAATTTCTATCATTAAAAAAGTGATTCTAACATTTGCCTGAGCAATGATTGTCAGGGCTGTGGATAAGATGCATGTGTTTACTTAGAACTTGAAATAAGGGTCACAGAAGCAGGCAGTAAGGCCTATTGAATGTTTTACAATTCTGGAATTAAAGATCTGAATTTCACATACTGTTCTTTTAATTTGCTGTGTAGTCTGGGAAATAGTTTCGTTGTCTTAACAGTAGGTTTCATTTATTATGAAAATAAAAGTATAATAACCACCTCCCGAGTAAATAAAAGAACCAAAAAAAATACACTTTTACTTTTTTGGGAAAACCTAAACAAAACGTATAAAAATACTAACCCCAAAGTTACGTGACTTAATTTGTGCTTTTGAAAATCAATTCAATGCACTAGGTTCACGAAGTATATTGGAAGAACAAGAATGCATCAGTAGTCTCAAAAAAAAACCCAAAGGCTACGCTAAGCCATAACAAAAAGGGGCTACAATCCTAAGCACGAAGTCAGGGTGTCCCAAATTTGCCAAACAGTAACCATGAGAGCAGTTCTAATGTATTTACAGTCTCTACCTCAGCCTACTGACTCCAAAGAGGACCGGGAATCTGAATTTTGAACAAATGCCAGAGGGAGTTAACAGACCAGCTTGGAAAACACTTAATTATTTCACTTAACAGAGAGAAACTTCACTAAAAAGTCTGCTTCATCATTATCTTATTCTGCCTCTTTTTCCTTTAAGTTATTTCCTGGAGTTAGTTAAGTGTGAAAGAAATAAAATAAAATAAAAAGGTATCCCTTTCTTCCAGGGACTTACTGGAATTACACTATAATTTTTTGTAATACAAGGATACAATTTTCTCTCTCATGTTCCATCATCACTCCTAAGCTTTACTTACGTAATTCTAACACAATCTACTGCAGACAGATCAAGCCATTTACCCTATCTCCCAACAAGGCAAAGATGGTAAGAGGAGGATTAGAGTTGCTATAAAAGGTACAGGACTGTAACTAGAACACAATCTTCCTGTGAATCAGGAATCACAAACTCAATGCTGCTGAGAGTTAGGTAACATCAAAGAGCAAAACAGAGCAGATAGGGAAAGGGGCCAAATGAAGTACACCCCACATGACTAAAGGTGAGGCTGCCCCTGTCAGCTCCAGCGCATGTCACCTGGTAAGACTGAGGGCCCAGTGCTAGCAAGTCTTTGAACTGTTTTTTTTTTTCCCCCAAAAGTCAGAAATGCAGTATTAATGTGAAATCGTCCCAGTTTTAAATCCTGGTAGCGAATTTAGAAATTAATTCTTTGCTCTGTTCCCATGGTTAGGATGAACACATTCTAGTCACTGTCCTGTCATGATGCATTTATGTGTTTTCTAGGGTTTTTTTCCCCCAGAGAATCCACTTGTCCTTTGTTTCACATATCCAGTCATGCTAGTGCTCCACCTTCCACAGTATTCCCCAGACTGGTTTCTGACTTTCTAAATGAAGAAATTCAGTTGTAATCAGGGGAGAAATTGGAGGTCTTAGTGGGGAGGAGACTAGAAAACAATAAGCACATCCAAAGTGTAATGTTGGATGAGATTTTTAAAAGGGGCCAGGAAAAAAAAAACACGAAGGCAGTCCTGGGAGGGAAGGGACATTGTGGCTGGCCACATTTCAAAAAGGAGTCCACAGCCCACTTTCATAGCCCTAGCCTAGTAGACACCACAGCACATCACGTAGGGGCACTGGCACCAACTCTGCCAGGCTCTGCTGAATCTGGTGAGACATCAGGGAAGAAGCTGAATCTCCCTACACTGGTTTCCTCCTTTGCAAAAGGGGAATAGAAACAGCTCTTAACTCAGAAAGTAGAGAAGATTAAAAGGGAAATAATTTTAAAATTGTGTATGCAGAATTCAGTTTTTCCAAACCAAAGTATCTCCTGGCAAAGGGGAAGAGGAATCAATAAAAAACAAATACTTCATTTTTTATTTTTTTGTTCCCAAAACTCTGATCCATGGTAAATACTTTGCCTTACTGAGCTCAGTCTGCCATAGAGCTGCAAGGGGACAAAAGTGACTTCTGAGAGACTTCTCCTATTATGATTAAGCTATTCATTCATTCGGCCAACAATAACTAAGCACCTTATGGTGCTTTTCCAGCAAAGAATATATAGGTGAGCAAAAAGAAGATAAACTTGGCTTTCAGGAAGCTTATAGGGTAGCAGGAGAGACATGAAATAAGTTAACAAAAATAAGTATACAGTTAACAGAAATAAATACACAAATTATTAGTTGCTTTTTTGAGGCCAAACAATGTCTTAGTCATTCCCTGTAAGCCTAGGAACCACAGAAAGCATTTCATTTGAGACAACACAAGCTGTTGCATTGCTTCCAACCCTGGCTCCACCATTTCCTAGTTATGAGACCACTGGCAGATGACTTAACCTCTCTGTGCCCAATTCCTCGCTGTCAAATGCTGGTGGTAATAACACCACCAATTTCAAACGGTTGTTTGAGTTAATTCACAAAAAAACTCCAGAACAGAAACAGTCAAGTGCTCATAAACATTGCTACTATGGTTATCATTAATAATCCTGACTGGTGAACCGAAACAATTACTTTCCCCAACCATTAACTTACTCAAACATAGTTTAATTAAAACCAAATTGCTCAAATAGACTCACAAATATACACATAGCTGTTCCATCCTGTGACCCTCTAGGTATTTTCTCAGGCACAAAAATGTAGCTACTTACCTTTGAGGTAGACACTCAGGGTATTATTACCTGTGACAGTTTAGGGCTTTCAAGCAAAGATGTCAAAAATAAAGTATATAAGTATAATTACATATAATGGCCAATTAAAAGCCAACCTTTGTGAGAGGTAATATTTACTAAACTTTTTACACATTTGGCCTATTATTTTTAGTACTCTATGGTCAAAGTTTTGTCATTATCAGTTGGGTGGACTCCTAAGGTAACTGGGTAAAATGCCAAAGAGAAACAATACATTTAACCACATAGAGCAATGGAAGATAAAACTCTTCAAAGCCAGATTAACATTAAAAAGAAAAGGAAATCATCACCTTTAGAAAATAACACCAATTTGCAAACTGAATGAGGGAACACAGGGTTTTTACCTATTTAAAATAAATTTATTTTTCCATCCCCACTCAAGATAATGGTATTTATGATTTTTATAGTCAGTTAACAGTGGGGCTCAGAGAACTACTTGGCAAACCTAGGAAGAGCCAAGTTGCAAGTCTGTCACAATCTTCTGTAATCTTGAGGGAGTCTTACTGCTTTCTCTGGGGTTGTTTCCTCATTCTGTAACCAACTTCAGAAACTAATATCCTGACTCCAAACAATATTATGTGCTGTAACTACGGTGCTTAAAAATTACTTACAAAAAACTGACCTCCCTGAAGAGCAGGGTGCCTGAAGAGAAAATAGACAGGAAAATCAGAATTGTAATAATGATGTAATTAACAATTATAGAGAACTTAATATACGCCAGGCACTGTAAACTTCTCATGTACTCGCTCATTTCATCTTCCAAGATGCCTAAGCGGTAGGTTCTGTTAGTAGTTCCATTTTTCAAATTATGAAACTGAAGCTCAATGAGGTTAGTGGCTTGTCCAAGGTAACCCAGCAAGTGGCAGAACTCGGGAACCTAACCGCAGGTGCCAACTTAAATCGTTAGAGAAGTCTGTTTCCCCAGCTTTGCCACTAACTAGCTATATGAGCTTGGGCAAGTCATGCTTCTCCCCTTGGGCCTCAGTTTCTCTAGCTGAAAGTGAAGAAATGTCCTAAAGATTTAGGTCGCTTCCGGGTCCTAAGTGATGGAAGACCACACGTTACGTGGGGGGAGGGGAGGAACTGAGGTTTGGGACCCGGCCGCAACCCAGGATACCGCGTCGGTTCTGCTCCTGCTAGAGCCTCCAGGGCTCCTACCCCACACCCCTTCTAGCATCGCGTTCAGAGTGAGGCGCTCGGTGGTACAGGGACGCGGTACATCCAACAAGCAGTCAATAAAGGTGCACTGATCCGCCCCGCCGCGCGGCAAGCCCGACCGGAGCCCGGAGGAGTTACCCGTCCATTACGTCCAGGTGCAGATAATCGGCCCCAGAGTCTAGCATCCGGAGGCACTCGGCCCCTAAATTGGCCAGGTCGCTGTTGAGGATGGACGGGCCAATCTTGCAGCCCGACGCCATACCGCTGGCTCCCAAAAGCAAGTTACCCACGAGTCCCCGGCAAGGCTAGAGCGTCACCCCGATTGGGCGCGCAGTTTTGGCCCCGCCCCTTCTCCGTACAGGCTTCCGGATTCTACCGGAAGCAGCCACTCTGCGGTGAGGAAGTCCCGCCTCCTCCTGGGGTGGGGCGCTGTCAGCCGTCCGCCTGGGGCGGGGCGGGGCACACGGGCCTCGTACACCTGATTTTGACCTTCCTTCTTGTGCTGTTTGGATCTTAACGTCCTCGCAGTACTCAAGGCGTTTCTTAACCTTTTTTCACTTTGCTTCTCCTGCAGTTCCCTCTCCTCGGCTCTTGACTTAACATCACTTTTTGTTTCTCCACCCTTTGCATATGCCTTTCTTTCCTCTCCAGCGCCTATGCTGGCCCTTTAAAACAACAATTAAAAACCTTTCTTCCTCGTATTTCTCCTAGAGCTCTTCTTTTGAGCTGGAGGAACCCTGGCTCTGCCAGATACTAGCTGGGTGACCTGGCAAATCACTTCTTAACTTCGGTTTTCTCATCTGTAAAGACAGTGCCCAGCTTTAGGGTTGTATTAAATGAGTGAAGCCAGGTAATGCGCCCAGCAGGATGCCTGGTGCTCAGTACAAAATGGTAGTTATTATTATATTACCCTCTTTTTCTGCCTTTGCAGTTCCTCCTTACCTTTTTTGTTTTTCCCTCTGTTGAGGCTCAGAAAATGATAGCCCAAAGTGAAGGCCTCAGACGCAACAGTGTTTCTCTGACTTCCTGCCCTGCTCTCTTCTCAGTCTCATTCTAGGAGGCAGGTCATAGAAACTGGAGCCCATCTTCCCTAAGAAGAGTCATTGAAACCGGAACCCCCTTTCCCTGAAGCCAGACACAAAACCCAAAAGCATTACTCTAACTTTCCTCCACCTTTCTGTGTAAAAACTGGCCATAAATTATTTGACCCATCTCAACTGTAGGTTATAAAACTCCTCTTCTAGAGAAGGTTCTATCCCATATCCAGGAGGAGGGAATGCTGCACAGAGAGGCCAGGAATCTAAACTAGACTGGCCAAGGCCAGGTCAGTCTATTAGCATTAGATCGCCTATTTTGTCCAATCGTATTTCTACATGGCTGTCTATACTTTGTTGAACCTAAGTATAAAAATGGGTAATCACCCCTGTACCTTTGGGTCTTCATTCTGAAGGCTCCTGTGTCAGGTAAAACTATAATCAAATAAGTTTTTATGCCTTTTCTCCTGTTAATCTTCTTTCTGTCAGTGATTTTCAGCAAACCTTTGGAGGGTGAAGGGAAAGTTTTCCCTTGGCCCCTACACCTCTCCAATGCTCATTCACAAATTGTGATAGGTTTGTGTGCTGTTCACACACAGTTCAGAAATGGATGAGTATCCTGATGCTAAATGTGCCTAGGGTCAGGAAAAGAGACAGAAGTAAAACCACTTGGCGGGGATAAATGGACTTAGCAAGAGCAATCCTTAAGGGGTCAGAATAGAGCACTTGTACTCTGTGTAAAAGACGGAAGTGGTAACTTGGACTGAGAGGTGACAGCGTGCTGGCAGCCCTCGCTCACTCTCGGTGCCTTCTTGGCCTTGGCACCCACTCTGGCCGCGCTTGAGGAGCCTTTCAGCCCACCGCTGCACTGTGGGAGTCCGTCTGGGCTGGCCAAGGCCGGAGCTGGCTCCCTCAGCTTGTGGGGAGGTATGCAGGGAGAGGCACAGGCGGGAACTGGGACTGCAAGGCACTTGTGGGCCAGCGCGAGTTCGAGGTGGGCGTGGGCTCTGCGGCCCCGCACTTGGGTGGGCCGGCTGGCCTGCTGGCCCCGGGCAGTGAGGGGCTTAGCACCTGGGCCAGCAGCTGCTGTGCTGGATTTCTTGCCAGGCCTTAGCTGCCTCCCTCTACGGGGCAGGGCTCGGGACCTGCAGCCCACCATGCCTGAGCCTCCCCTCCATGCCGTGGGCTCCTGCGCGCCCAGCGTCCCTGAGGAGCGCCGCCCCCTGCTCCACAGCACCCAGTCCCATCGACCGCCCAAGGGCTGAGGAGTGCCGGCGCACAGTAGGGGACTGGCAGGTAGCTCCACCTGCCGCCCCAGTATGGGATCCACTGGGTGAAGCCAGCTGGGCTCCTGAGTCTGGTGGGGACTTGGAGAATCTTTATGTCTAGCTGAGGGATTGTAAATACACCAATCAGCACTCTGTATCTAGCTCAAGGTTTGTAAACACACCAATCAGCACCCTGTGTCTAGCTCAGGGTTTGTGAATGCACCAATGGGCACTCTGTATCTAGTTAATCTGGCAGGGACTTGGAGAATCTTTATGTCTAGCTAAGGGATTGTGAATGCACCAATTGGCACTCTGTATCTAGCTCAAGGTTTGTAAATGCACCAATCAGCACTCTGTGTCTAGCTCAGGGTTTGTAAATACACCAATGGACACTCTGTATCTAGCTAATCTAGTAGGAGAACTTTTGTGTCTAGCTCAGGGATTGTAAACGCACCAGTCAGCACCCTGTCAAAACGGACCAATCGGCTCTCTGTAAAATGGACCAATCAGCAGGGTGTGGGTGGGGCCAGATAAGAGAAGAAAAGGCTGCCTGAGCCAGCAGTGGCAACCGGCTTGGGTCCCCTTCTGAGCTGTGGTATGTTTGTTCTTTTGCTCTTTGCACTAAATCTTGCTACTGCTCACCTTTGGGTCCACACTGCCTTTATGAGCTATAACATTCACCACAAAGGTTTGCAGCTTCACTCCTGAAGCCAGCGAGACCACGAACCCACTGGGAGGAATGAACAACTCCAGACGCACCGCCTTAAGAGCTGTAACACTCACCGCGAAGGTCTGCAGCTTCACTCCTGAAGCCAGCGAGACCACGAACCCACCAGAAGGAAGAAACTCCAAACACATCTGAACATCAGAAGGAACAAACTCCGGATACGCTGCCTTTAAGAACTGTAACACTCACCGCAAGGGTCCGTGGCTTCATTCTTGAAGTCATTGAGACCAAGAACCCACCAATTCCTGACACAGGACCACGTATTTCTGGCCACATTGTGAGGGCAACCAGATCTTTAACAATCCCACTGGGAAATCTACCAGTTATTCCAGTAGATGAAAGCCTGGGCAGAGAAGTTTATTTTTATTTTTTAAAGGTAGATTTGCAAAGCATGAGTAGAGTAGAGCTCAGTTTGTGGGGAGGGGTCACGGAGAGTGTATTGGAGGTGTCTAATTGGATGGTGACCTCAGGCCAGACTGGGGAGGTTGAGGATGGACAGCAAGGCATTAACAAAGGCACACCCCAGGAATCCAAAATGAACATCTTCCTGAAGGAGTCAAGCTATTACCTACATTAAGAAATGAAACTTAGGCATCTTTAATGTTTTTAGATTTATTTTATCATATGTGCATACCTAAACACAGAAGTCTTAATATCTTTCATAAATATCTTTCATAAACATTTCAGTATTTATTCATATGCATTTTTTCCATGTTCTTTGGTCATTCAGTACTCATAATAGACTTCATAGTTATCTGAGGGAAGTCGGCTGTGTAGTCAATTTTTTGTTTTAACCTATAAAATGGCTAATAAAGGATTTTCATCCTGTGGTCACAGTGACAATTCAAAGATTTATGGAGGTAAATTGATCTGTAATCCTAAATGATCATAAAATAATATCAGTAAATTTGTCTTAAGCTTTTCCAAATACATTCTGCCCTCAACTTGTTTTTATTCTCCTGAGTGTCAAATCAAAATTTGTTTCTGAAATGCTGCAGTTGAGACCCACTAAAGTAAAAAGAAGTGGGATTTTTTACTCCCTGCCAAGACAAGGCCATGGAATGGGAAGTGTGAGGTCACAGGGCAACAGCATGACTTGGTGTGATAGCAGCGAATTCTGGAGACTGTGTTCTATTAAAGTATCCTTTATAACTTGAGGAAGGATATTTAATTCATGTTTCAGACTGTACTTCTATTCATTTATGACCCTTTCTTCCCTAAAAGCCCCTCCACACACATCCTATTCTCATCTCAGATACTCTCAGAGCTGGGCAGCAGAGTGGAGAAAGTTCTTTGTTGACTAAAGGAATATAATGCTAAAGAAGAGAGGAGCTATCACCTTGTTTAAGGTACTCTTGGAGGCTTGAAACAGCAAACCAGTTACTCCCAGCCTGTGCAACAGGCCCTAACCAGATCACCAGTACCACAGATTTTTCCACCAGCACTGCCATGCCCATTTATGCCCTTTGATTTTGACACTGTAGTTCTCAGTGCCTTGTCTTAATACACTCAATAACTCAGTTTCTTTTTCAGAAAAATGACATAGCTTATCTAATAGAATTCTAGAAAGCAGCAAATACTGAAAAATGAAAGTAAAATGTTTTGCTATAGGAGATCCTATATCCAGAATTTAAACTGTTTTAATTGGATCTGAGTCATACTATCATGGATAACACATGGTTTATTCCAAGGTCTCTCAAAAGCTAATTTCAGAAGAAGCAACCTCTTTGCTGAGTCTAATTTTTTCTACATGGGAAGTGGGTACCTTTTTTGTTTTTCCTCTGAATAAGATAAATATCATTAAGTATCATGGCTTAAGAAATGATCTACTATTACCAACACTGCATTTATCATATGTAGTAATTAGCTTTTAGTCATGTACTTAATAATATTTTGAACATTTATCTTGAGCTTTTTTCTAATCTTCCCCAACTTTTTTTTTTAATAGTTATTCCTTTCAAACTCCAGGTAACAGTATTCCTGAGAATACATCTTGTGACAGTTTTATGCACATACATATAGATACTTTAGCCATTACACATAAACATTCAACACATTACATTCAACACATTTAAGGGCACCTTAAATGGAACAGATGCACACATCTGCAAAATTTCAGTAGTCCCAGTATGAAAACATTCCTACTCTATAAGGCCCTGTTTCTCAGAGTGGAGGCTTTTTTGCAAGTTACAACATTGCTTAGCTTATTGAAAGTTGCTAATAGACTTCACACACAAGAGTGAAGGAGTCAGGCTAAAAGACAGACAGACCAGCATAATCATGTTCAGAACAGCCCAATACTTTTAAAATACATATAAAGGTATTTATGATTCTTGTTGAATATTTAACAATCTTCTTTGACTTCTTTGCTATTTAAATATTTCATACAATTATACATAGATAATTTGAAGAAACTGGAACAAAGCACACACATATATAGAGACGCGCCAATAGCCCAGACACTTGTAATTACCAAACATAAGGCCTCTAATGCTAATTTAGCAGCATAATTTTTAACAGGTGAAATATATCAGCTTGGAATCATAAAACCACTTAACATTTATATTCCTGCACTTGAGAATTATTTCAGCATTAACTGTAAATAACATGATAATATTGTAAAACATAAAAGAGTAAAAGAGGTCATTTACTGCCTCAATTTTCTTTCAATTGTTAGATCTGAAATTTTTAGTTTTGTTCTTTTAACTCATGGATATCTTTCATTCTCTTAGTGAATAGGACCATAACCCCAAGTTATATTTGAAATTATAAACCACAGTATAAAGTATGCCTATTTAATAAGCAATTCTAACAAAAAATAATTTTCCTTTATGATTAAGGTGGGTTTAGTAGGTATCCTCTTTATATATGTATACATTTCACAGCCAACGCACTCAAAGTTTAAGCATACAGAATGTGTTTTAAATTCATTGCAGGGTAATTAAAGTCTATATTTAACTTCATCTTGAGGACTACAACACATACACACACACACGCACGCACACATACACCACCGTACCAATTTAAGTATGTATATGAGTTTGTATATGCTTGGTTGTTAGGTAACAGTTTTCTAATGTAAACTGTTAAAATTTTGAAATTCAATTGTGAACCACGTGATGCACAGCCCTACCATAGGATCAGTAACACACTAGGTGTTGGCCTCACAAGCCTTCTAAGTGTTACACTTTTCTTGAAGTAATTGAACTTCAAGTTAAAGGCCTATTTGCAAAATATATAAACTGGAGGTGTCTATGAAGAAATTGCTTACTTTATACATTTTTCCTTATAAACTTAGATGTTCCAAGTATCATAAGAATATTGTTTCTATTAGGAAAATGTTATTTTATTAAACCGATTCTAACAACACTAACCTTAATATCTGAAAATATGCCCTCCAGGGCAGGCACAGGATACTATAAGGAAAAGTATTACTAATCACATTTTCCAATAGCTTCTAATCTTGGTATTGATGTAGTCAGGGCTAGGAATAGGAATACCATCTCTTTTAAGTGATTATATATACATTTAGTTTTTATAATTGTATAGGCTGTTTAGGTTCTTAATTCAGAATTATTTCTGATGATTTCTAGAATATTCTGTAATATTCTAATGTGATAGATTATGAAATGGGATGATCTTATGCCATCTGCATTTTGATTTACAACATGCAATGAAAATGATAGTTGAAAAATAAATATCTAAAAGTCCACAGCTCTCTATATAGTATTTTTTTCTTCTTCTAAATGGCTGTATTGTTACTCAAAACAAAAATGGCTGCAGGCTTGTTATTTAGTCTCCCCAAAGTAATATTTTTCCTATTAATTATTTTTTTATGTAAATTGCTACTTGTATAGCCAACCTGAATTGATATTTTTTAAACTATAAAAATAAATATTTGCATGAGATGTATAATGTGAGTAATCTCAAAAAATTGCATTCTATTTTTAGATCATATCATTTGTTAATATTTCTATGAAAGCAGCAATGAATAGTATATATTTTTAACTGCTGAAGGCTTCTTGAATCATAAACAATGTGCAGTGAAATGGCTCTTTCCCCTTATTCCTCCCTGGTTTTGTGATTTTCACACAACTAAATCCTTTTAGCCATTGACTTTTAAGATGTTTATGAAACATCATGTGTATTGGCAGCAAAACCTATTCAGATTTGTGCCACCCATTAGAAGTAAAGTGCTATTTTGTAATTAATCTTTTTCAAGCAAAAGTATTGAACTTGTAGTAGAGAGATCACTTTCATGTCTTCTCTATACCTGCAGAGCTTACAAGATACAGAATTAAACATGAGACTCATCTAATACTGCATCCGTTTTCCCCAGCTCAGTGGGAGTAAAGGTGAACTGACTAGATAGTAGCGGGTTCTCCATGCCATTTTCCTCACTGATATGAAGGACAGTGTCTCCATGCTGTAGGAGGCTGGATGTCTCGAGGCCTGTGAAGTCATCAGGGTCAGAGAGTTGGGCAGAGAGTGGACTGTGTGCAGTAGCACCTTGTGCTTCTGTGTCCTCCTCCTTTTCTCCTTCTTCAGTGGGGAAGTTCTCACTCTGTGATCAAAAGGATCATAACATTATGGAAAGATAGGATGGGTACCAGAGAAGAACATCAAAAAATGTTGTTGTCTAGTGGTAATTGGAAAAGGAATCAGATGGCTAGTCCCAGTTCCAGCCTTTGTTATAGGTAGGACCTTACGTAGGCCTTTCCAACTTTCTAACCCTCAGTTTTTGAACATGTAACATGAACACAATTTTTTGTCTTGCTTATCTTGTAGACTGTGAGGATCAAATGAGATAATAATGCTTAGTGTTAAAATGTTTTTTAACCATTAAAGACTATACAAATGTATACAGTAACATTGCCCTTTAGTTTTCCTTAAATACCACATGAGAAGAATCTGACACTCTAAGAATTCATTTATAAAAATGAAAAGAAAAAATATACCAAAACAAGAAAAATATCAACAGGAAAAATAGCAAAACAATGAGGAAAAAGATGAAAACAAAAAGTTCCTTTCATCTTATAGGACATAGAGGTTCTATATTTAGAGGCTTTATCTAAACTGGTAACTTAATTTTTTTAAATTGAACTATCTTTCAGCTATCCTTTATCTGAATGCTTGGAAACACAAGTGCTTTGGATTCTGATTTTGGAATATTTGCATTATATACTTACCTGGTTGAGCATCCTTAATCCAAAAATCTGAAATCCAAAATGCTCCAATAAGCATTTTCTTTGAGCATGAACTTTGAATATTACATCAGCACTTACAAAGTTTCAAATTTTTCTG
The DNA here is from genome assembly GCF_000001405.40 of Homo sapiens. Classification (NCBI taxonomy): domain Eukaryota; kingdom Metazoa; phylum Chordata; class Mammalia; order Primates; family Hominidae; genus Homo; species Homo sapiens. The sequence goes on along the minus strand of NC_000002.12, from coordinate 209,994,588 downwards.
AAAAAAAGTTTCAGATTTTTGTATTAGGGATGCTCAACCTGTATAAACCTGTTTTAAAGAGCTGTTTTAGCTGCAAAGTATTTCCTCTTAGGTTTTTCATAGGTAAAAATAGCAAGGCTTTTCTTGGTCCTTCTTAAGCAGATATATGCCTGGCTATACTTTATATAGATTTTTCTCTTTCATGATGGCAGGAGCAGTATCTGTTTGGATAACAAAGCATTGCAGACCTGGACTTAATTATATGGAATAAATGTGCATATCCAAGTGGCTGCTAGAAGTAAGTACACAGGGAGCAAGCCTTGCCTGTTTCTCTAGTGCCCTCACCTGCTTGGGAGACACGCTGTGGAGATCCGCAACAACTATGGCGGGAGAAGATGTGAGGACTGGTTCGTCCATTGCTTCTGGTTTCCTAGAAGGGGCTGGGCTACAGCCCTGTAGTTGGCCTGTTGCAGGAAGCGCATCTGTTGGGGCAGCTGCTGGCTCTGGCTGAGCCTCAATGAAGGTCACAGATCGTTTCTGATCCGCTGCAGGTAGAGGTGAAACAGTAAATTGGGGAGGAGTTGGTGGAAACGGACCGTCAATGCTTAATAGTTGGTATTAACCAGTGTCTCCTGGGGATTTTTTAAAATAAAAACATTGCTGGTTTATTAATAAATGAGAGCACGTTTGAACATTTTGCGCATGTTTGATTTTATCTTCTTACAAAGAGTAAGACTTACGTAGAAAAATCATTTTCACGTAAATGGCCTAAAATAACATTTGTATAGAATATTAATTGAAGTTGATCATTCCTCATAACAACTGCCAACAGGACTTAAAAGTCCCTATTATTCATCATAGCTTTACCTTCAGTGAGACATACAGCAAACCCAGTCCTTGGCTTCAGTAAAGAAGCCACATCCTTTTATAGTCAAATTTCCCAGTATTAGTGGTTTACCTTGGGCTCTTCCATTTTTTATAGGTTCATGGGGGTACAGACAGGGACTGGGGAAGGCAAGAAGAAAAAAAAGACACTACAGTTTTCTGGGAAACTCCTTCCCTTATGTTAGCACCTCCCCAAAGGTGTGCTTATCTCCATCAGCTTGGTTTTTGTAAGCCTTCCTGGGTGAGTTGCATGGCATCATGTCAATGGTATAGTCAGAAGGGACACAGGAGGCCTCACCAGACGGCTTCGTTTTAGGTTGAATGCTCCTGCGAGTGGTTGACAGCCGAGCCCCTTGGCGATTTCTGGGTTCAGTCTGAGTTTTCTGACGTGATAGTAGAGGACGTCTTAGCTAAAGAGAATAGGCAGAATAAAACTTGCAAGAGGGTCTAACTGCCTAGGAGGAAATTGTTTCTTTATTTATATGTTTCTGTGGATTCTTATGGTTGTTCCTTACATTTATAGCTGATAAATTTATTTCTGCATATTTAACTATAAGTATTTTCTTCTGACATTCCCTTTAGCTAGTTCATCTCCCAATTATTAGTCCTTTATATATGCCAAGAACATTGACTAACATAATTTAGATCATAAACTTGAGAATTTCAGTAATTTTAGGATGCAAAGTGAATAACTATTGCTTACTGATCAACCTTTGCTCATTTAAAACTTATAGCTGGACATATGCTTTCAAAGGGGAAGTTTATTTTCAAAACCTCAGATGCTGGCCAAGTGCCTGGTACCTGAATCAATAATGGGAAGCTCCTAAGGAAGCAACAGTGATAAGCTGCTTTCAGACTTTTATTTAGAAAGTAATGTAAAAGAACTCCACCTAAGGAAATCTCTAAAGATGATCTTTACTTCAGTTTGCTTTAAATTAAATAATCTTGAAATGAGAAAGAAAGGACTTCTTTTTCTTTGCCTTTATGCAGAAACAGGCCTTAAATCAACTGTATAACAAATCTTCCTCTATCAATAAGTTTGGCTGGTAAAGAAAGTTTCTGGGTAAGGAACAAATAGAATTATAGCCCCACTTACTTTACCACATAATCAGCTTTGCTAATAAGAAAATTCAGAGCTAAAATAGAAGATCGAAACATTTGGCTTGCCTAAGTACTTACCACGTTTTAAAGTTGCTCTGTGCTGCTTATTTTAGGTAGGGTGAATGCAAAATATAAACTTTAAAAAAAAAACATTGTTTTATTTATTTAGTTAGTTTTTTAGAGACAGAGTCTTACTATGTTGCCCAGGCTGGACTCTAACTCCTGGGCTCAAGCAATCCTCCCACATCAGCCTCCCCAGTAGCTGGGATTCCGGGCACGTCCAGCAGCAAAATATCTTAATATACATGGGCATTAAAAATCACACAGAGCTTCCAATTCGTAGGATGGTTCTCTTGCGCTTTAAGGGTCTACTTACCTGCCTCAGGCCCCTCTTCCTCCCCAGCGGCTGCTGAACAAGGAGGTTCTGTTGACCAGGTTCACTCTGTATACTTGCCACCCTGCCAAGCATCAACAGTGTTAGTGTACCCCGGAGAGAGTACAGGAGACTGTCCTCTGGTGGGTGTTAGCCAAAATCACTTGTATGATACAGTCACTTCAAAGATACCATTATCTTTGAAGGATGGTTGGGAGAGTCCCTGGGATGGGTGTTTTCAAATGTTTGGGAGGGAGGACAAGGCCTTGTAGCCCCAAGCTGCCAAAATTGAGATTCTGTTTTCAATCACTGATGCCGTATCTATCATTCAGAAAACATTGGTTTGATCACACCCCTGGTTTGGAAGCCACCAAAAGGTATAAGATGTCATATTCTAATCTCAATTTTTTTTCCAAGGGGAAGGGAAACGGTGGTGACAAACAAACACAAACAACTCTATCACATGGATGGGAACATCTTTTTAAAATTTCAATTTAAATGAAAATAAGATGGACAAATATCGAACACATCAGACACAGAATTTATTTGGGTGAAGGGGCACATTCAACACATGTTTGCAGCCTGAAGTCTCTGTGACTACTGAGTAAATGAATAGTCACATGGGTAAACAAATGTTTTTTTAAAAATGGTTTTAGATTTAAAAGGCTGGCAAAGTATAGCTATAGTTAAGCTATCATTACAACTCAGGAGCTTTAAAATCGAGTAACTGCACTCAAACATACCATGCAGTTTATAAAAGCAACAACCTGCTCCCCCCAAATTTACTGTGTATGTGTGTCTTTTGTATGCAAAAAATGACTGGAAATAGTTGCTATTTTAGTGTTGGGTGAAGCTGAAAATACTGACATGGGCCCATGGTCCTTTTTCATTCTGCATGCATGTATAAAAGGTATTTATAATGGGCGTGGGGATGAAAAAAGAAGTATCCTGTGCCCCAGAGAATATTACAATTCTGTGGATGATGCCAATGTGATTATTTGGTTAATGGTTAATTAATTTCTGCTTTGCCTTTGCAAAAGGAGAGTCATCTACAGATAGTTCTTAAGAGTATAATATTCCACAGAGGAATCCAGAGTCAGCAACTGCCCAGGGAAAAGAAAGACTATATCTGTTCATTTCCATTTTTTAAATAAAGAGCTACTTAAATACCCAGCTGCAGTAGTAAGGAGAGAAACTGGTGGTGAGACAGGCAATCAGATGTTTCCCCTTTTGTGTTAATAATTGGTTAATCATCACAAAGTTGACACAGTCACATTTGTCATTTTTTAAAAGTCTTACACTTCCACTAAAAAATCAATGTGATTCCCAAATAGGGTTTATCACGGTTTTTATGAAATAAGGATGTAATTACACCATTTGGGGTTCACAATAACGAAATTCATAAAGAGTACCAAAACAGGTGCTTTTTAAACTTTCTTGTTCTCCTGAATGTCAACTTCAAAAATATCCATGTGCATTATCCTTATACATATATAACCTTGAAACAGATGCGACCTTTCCATGAAGACAGAAAATTACCCCAAAGGAACAATGCAATAAATTCTGATAAGCAATCCAGACAATGTTGCTGGCATGTTTGAAATGACATCTCCTTATTAATTATACATGTTAACATGTCTGTTAAATTGGAAAGAGTATTCAATAACCATATGCACAAAAGTAGAAACAAGCTTCTCCTAATACTAAGCAAAGCTTTCATTGGAATGGATTTTTCATTGACATCTAAATGTTACCTCAGTTCCCTTGGCCATTAAGAGGAGGTTAATACTTACCAACTACCTCCCATTAAGGTAGAGAAAAGAAGTTAGTTGATGTACAATGGTTTGAACATGAAAAGTGAGGTACATAGCATGCTTTCTTGTTTTACATTTGATGTTGTAATGAGTTTATTGCTTCTAGAATACTAAAAGGAAGCAGGTAATAAAATGTTTTGAAAATAATAGGGCAGAGAAAATGAAATTGAGGCAGTCCACTTGTCTCATTTTTATTCAGGAATCTGTGATTGTGAGAAAAATGGTGTAAGAAAAGAAAAGAAATGCATGTTACTCAGGGAGTGTTAAATGTCAAAACATAATGGTAATTTCATGATGATTATTCCAGGAGAGGATCATAAGCATCGAAATTTTCTCTATGGATAGAGAGGCTTATATCTAAGAGACGTATCAAGTTTATAGCTTTAGTATTTAGCTGTTCTGTAAATGATACAGCATTTCATCATGGAATGCACCCATCAAAGATGAAATTACAAAATATATCCTTGGAAATATCCCAGCTTATAAATTATACTCGCTCTAAAAATGTGATTGCTAACATGTTTATATTTGGAATATCGAAGGCTGGCTTAACTCTGTACAGTTAGGAATAAGCAGCCAAAAAATTCACAATGATAATTTATACAGAACATGTTTCTTTTTCTGGGGTCTATATCAAATTGAAGTTGCATATAAAAAGTTTCAGTTTAGCTTCTCTCCACATCATGTAATATTTCAGTCATCTGCAGGATTTGTGATGTATGACTATAAGATGTGCAATACTAGAATGAACCAGGAGAAGACTAAGGGGTTTTCACTAAGCACCTCTCTATGTTATGTCCAGTTTTTATTTAAATTTTTTGAAACAGTCCCACCATAGTCCCTACGTACTACAACTGCAGTAATCAAAATTATTTTTCCCTTTAGGGAAATACTATGTTATATTTGATAGTCAAATTTTAAAATATTATATTGTATTTTATGGTCACAAAATATCATACTCCAATAGACAACTGAATCCTTTCAGATAAGTGAAATGTGTATTTCATGCTCTGAAAAGTTGAGACTATATGTCGAGATATGTCAGAGTAGTGGGACAACTTCTTATAATTGTCCAATAGAGAAAACTGGTTTTCTAATTTTTTTTTTTTTTTGAGACAGAGTCTTGCTCTGTTGCCCAGGCTGGAGTGAAGTGGCACTATCTTGGCTCACTGAATCCTCCACCTCCTGCGTTCAAGCAATTCTCATGCCTCAGCCTCCTAAGAAGCTGAGATTACAGATATGTGCCACCACACCTGAATACTTTTTTTTTTTTTTTTGGTATTTTTTGTAGACACAGGGTTTCACCATGTTGTCCAGGCTGGTCTCAAACTCCTGGCCTCAAGCAATCTGCCTGCCTCGGCCTCCCAAAGTGGTGGAATTACAGGCATGAGCCACGGTGCCCAGTCAGGTTTCCTAAAATTTTTAATCTTGGGAATGAGATATGACTGATTTCCATAGTTTTGGCCAAGTAATAAGGTGGAACAATAAGGATATAAGCAAATAAAGTTTTCTAAATTGAAGCTAACATCTTACGATATATTTAGGAGTAAATAATCTCTTATATTTTTGAGTCAATGAAAAATATCACTATGGTAAACCATATAATCTAGGTCTTAGAGAAGTAAATGCAACTGGGGCTCAGCAGAACTGGTGTGACCCATATTATCTACAAAAACCAAAAGCATCTTTTTTGAAATGCAAGGAAGTAATTTATAAGCTAGGGAAATTTAGAGAATGTTAGGAAAACAATTCTGACATAGATGACCTCTTCTCTCCTATATCAGTATAATGGCCTGGATTGCAGTATATAAATATGTATGCATCTCCTAATGAAATATATACCTGATACTATGGAGGCATATAGTGCATAAAGGATATATTTTATAAAGTATATCTTTTATGCACTATATACACTTCATCCTTTATAAAGGATGCACTTTATAAATAAGGTATAAAGGATAGGTAAACAAGGGCCATTCAATAATGCAATAAAAATTCATATCGCTCATTTCAAAATTACAAAAAAATTATAGATTGAAGTATATTTCCCATAAATTAAAAATTTAAGTAGAAGCACTAGGTGAGACCAGCACATGGAAAAGTGAATTCATATTTTCATTGCTTTTATCTGTGCTTTTGGTTTCAATTTTAATATGGTTTAGAGAAATGTAGAGGTGGCACAAAAGACATGCAGCATCATCGTTTACCCTGAGTGATTGCCTTGTGATAGGAATGCATGAAGCCAGCACTTCACGGGAGCGATAAGGTATCTGTAGAGAGCAGGGAAATACGCAGTAGACTAAATCCTACTTCCCCTTTTCTCAATAAAAGATTATTGTTTAAAATTTACTTAACCTCAACAACATCTGAGAAACTATATCTTAAGTGCCACATAATTTAGAGATTACAGGCTAAAAATCACATTGAAAGGGGGAATAATCTGGATCTTAGATATCCTGTGAGAATTGATTTAGCAATGGCAAAGTAGATATCTGTGTATCACAACATATTTTCTTAGTCATTAATTCTCAGCTACTTAAAAAGGTTTTTTTATTTTTTTTTATTTTTTGGTATTTTGAGAGTACTTGCCAAGTTTTTATGCTTTGAAAGTGTGTATAATCATGAGATGGGTTCCACTATATAGGTTATTTTTCTTTCTTTTCACCTAGACTATATAGTCTTGTTCAAACATTTTTATTTTTCACTGTGATTAAAAGTATCCTTGCAAATTCAAGTAGCATTATAATCTTTTTTTAAAAAAAAATTAGAGTTGACTGTCAATTTCTGCCTTTCAAAATGTTCTAACATGTCCAACCAAAATCTAATTCTTTGGTGTAAACATCTGGCCATAAGTTCTTGAATAGCCTCTGTATGTCTCTATTCTTCTGGAGAGAAAACATGTCCATGGATATGTGTGCGTGTTTCACGGCAGAGACAGAGAAGGAACATCTACAATGAATTTCTATATCTCTAAGAGCAACAGTCTCTAGAGAAGAGAATTCTCCCATGGAATATGATTTCATCTTATTAATTTCCAATACAAAGAATCTTTTCTGCAAAGCATAGTGTTTCTAATAGGCTATTTCTGGGGATGAATCTAAAAGAAACCAGTTAGCACATTTAAAAAAAAATCCTAGAAGTAATTTTCTATAGGTATGGCAAATTTTTATTGATTTCCACCTATTCATCAGGTTATCTTGGTCTCTTCCTTATTTAGCCCACTCCATCCAACTTACCCCTTTTGTCTAAAACAAATGTCCTTTCAAAAGGAAATTCTCATGCAAGTTTGGTAAAATGTTGTAAGAGCATGGGAGCAGCAGAGTTTATTATTTTCCCTTAGATATGCTTCCTGATATTCTCTAAGCTTTAAGGCCAGATTTTCATCAGGACTACTTTGGGTGTATTTTAGGTCCTCAGTGTTGGAGTGTATGTTAAGCGTCATTACCTGGTTAATGCCTTACTACTTCAGGATTTTAAGAGTCTGCAGCTTAAAGGAAGTTCATGCCAAAAATAAGAAAGTCTGGAAACTAAATATAAAAAGTATATATCCTATTTTGTAAACCAACCTCCTAGTAAATGCCAAAAGTTCCTCTCCTCCAAAGAGAACTTGGTGACGTGATGTAGTTCAAGAGATACAATTTGCAGGGTATGGCAAAGGTGGATGTGCTACTGGTTGGTAGAAAGCCTCTGTGCTATTAGAATTATTTCAGAAGCCAAAGTGAATGCCTCATCTTCCCATTTCTTAATGACCACAACTGGGTCTGGGTGACTCACACCCAGAACTAAAACACAATGGTCACAGAAACAACGGATCAACGGCAGTTGATCTAAGACAGTCATCAAAGTACTACCATGACTGACTAATTCAGCTGTAGACAAATCAATAGCTTTGGCTCTGAACCAGTCTCACCTACCAAAAACTTTGTGTATATTTCCATTGACACTGGAACCAGGACACACTGAATTGGTTTAGAAAACTACAAATAGGTCCTCTGAACCCTGAGCCTACCAGAGAGGGCCAAATACTTGGGAGAGTTCATAAAAACAATCTCAAACTCCTGCCTTCTCTCACCAATCCTTACTCATCAAGAGTAGAATTTGGCCTAATTAGAAAAGCCCCAGCACAAAGCTAGCTAAGTGGAAGTCTGATTCAATACTCTCTACTCTCAGTAGGCCACTGAAATTGTCTTCTAATCAAGGTTCCCATCACACATGTAATTTTAAACATTAAATACCTGCTTTCTTTGAAAGAATGAACACTCTGCTAGACTTGGTTCAGATCTCTTCCAACACCGTGAATAAAGGGAAGCCCTCTTGAGGACTGTTTTGTTTCTCAACTTCCTCCTTGCCCCCAAAGCTCCTGCTAATGGAATTAAGTCTGCATTCTGCAGCACTTCCACATTTACCACCAATAAGAGACTGATCTGTCAAGGCAAGGGCTGGCAAACACGAATGTCATGAATTATGGGTCTGGTTAAAAAAAAAATACACCCGATGATGGACTAAATTTCCCATTTTCAATTGCAAAAGAAAATGTGAAATCTGAACAAGATGCAAAGAAAACAAAAGACAACCTTTCACAGGAACAGCCTCTCAACATTTCCTCATCTTTGTGATAAAGCAATAAACACGGGTGTATTGTACTCACTAGATAGTGCAAACCTGAAAGGGAATGTTATCTCTTGAGATGGCACAAAGATACTCTAAGGATGAACAAGAAGCCTTACCCCTAATGAGGATTAGTTGAGAGGTGTGAATCAACAGCACAAGATTAGGAATGTTTGACGTGGTTTATCTGAGTGTTAAAGGTGCAGTCCCCTTTTCTGAAGCTTTAAACCAATAGCCAAGACATTACATTATTTGCATCATAAGACTTCTCTTACTTACCAAGAACTGTTTGTGTCTGATATTTCATGCAAGTTTTGGAGTCACCTTTGTGCTAGAACAGACATTCTTTGTATAAGTGTTGCTGGAACAAGCTACTATAGAAGTCTGCCCAATAGCATGCATCAAAGAGAAGGAATTATAGTATATAAATTGTATCCACATTACTATTCTTTTTATAACATCATTGTCTATTTTCTTACAATCAATGGTATTAGCTAAAAGACCTGTCTTGATTTAATAAGGGGCTTCTTGATGATGTATTAAAGGGCCTCTGAAAAACAATTCTTAATAAATATCAGTGTGGGAGGGAATAATTAGATGGGATAAATTTAACATTTGGCATACCAGACTTTTTAGACATCCGTGGGAAATGCCCCATAAAGAATTCTATAATTTTTTTAAAGTAAGCTTTTCAGGCTTACTTGATTGACATTGAGCTCTGAAGCTGAAAATGAAGGAGGGTTTGCTACACCTTTGACTTCCAGGCTCATATGTTCATGAACAACAAAGGGCAAGGAATGGAAATAGATATTAAGACGGGGCGAGAAGAGACAGAGAAGACAGAGAGACAGAGGAGACAGGGAACAGCTAGTTTCCCAGCACAGACACCAATAGACAGGTAGCATTGACACTGTACCTAGAGAGGCTGCCCTCGGCGGCCAGGCCCTGGGAGTCATCGAGGACATTAGGTTCACTGCAGGAGGGGTAGGGAGATGAAGCATTTAGGGAAAGAAAATGAAAAAAAAAAAGAAAAAAGAAAAAAGGCATGCAATTTTCTGCTTCCAAGAACCAAAAATAAATAGATTTAACCGAACAAGGAAGGAAAAGGAGACAGTCAACCATTTCACCTTGTGCTGGGTTTGTCAAGACATAGGACTCAAGGCAATGGGGGAGGAAGGGCTTTGGATGGATACAACTCTCAGAGGAGTAACCTATTTATTGGTCAAGAGTTAAAATGAACTCCGAATGGGCCCATAGGCTCTGAAACACATTGCAGAATGAATCTGTAGAAGATGAAACTACCATTTCCTTTGGTAACCATTTGGCTAGGTGGTGATTATTTTTAACCTGTCTTATGTACATGGTGTTTCATTGACCAGGACCCTGCTTCTTTCTTGTGCATTCTAACATTAGCACACAGAAACCACTTACCATGAACTGCCACAACCAAGCTCTTGGAACTGATGCCATTAAGAAAAGTAAAGAAAGAACACAACTTTCCCTGCTAATTTTGCAGTGAAAATGCAAGTAAACAAACGGAAGGAAGATATCTTAGAAAATTCACATGGAACTCGCATTTACCTCCTTACTCTCCATCCTCTAGTGACTGAATTGTAAATGCCAAAAGAAGAAACCTGTCAGGTTGGTGAGAGAATAATTAAATTGTTTATCGATTGATTGATATGTATGTAGCTGAACTGAGATTTGTGAACAGAAACTGTCATGCTTTATCTGTCCTTCCTTCAGTGCCTAGCATTGAGCTAAGCATCTGTGAGGCAATAAATACTCGTTAAATTGGAGAGAACTAAACCATTTAGAAAACTGGAGTGCCTGGCCCCAAAGAATTGAGGCTCACCTAAAAGTTCACTATAAAAACAGCCTCTGTCCCTAGGAAGAGACTCACTTTCCCTTATGTACAGAGACAGTATTATTACCTTCGCTAGTCTTCCAAAATATGAATGAAGCCCAAACTATTTAACTATATTATTTTTTCTTGATTTCTAGAAATCAAGAAAATGTACAATCAAGATATGTATAATAGGACAAATTTTCTCCCTGCAAACAACTTGACCCCTTAATGAATATGTAAAAAGGAAATTGATGGCCTGGTTATTTTAGGTAAATAACAATGAAAAACCTCTTTATGAAATTTCTACAATTCTATAATTTAAATAAAACTTTCAAATAATTGATTTTTAAAAATATTCTTCATAGAACCATGCACATTGCTAGCAATTAAAAATAACTGATAGCTACCAATATTAGCTGCTTGTGTGGCTTTATATCTTTTTTAGGACATGTTATTGTTTGGCTTTGATTTTGTTCACACTTTTTGTGTATAAGACTTTCTTTTCAAAGGAAAATTACCAAATGGTAGGTAAAACAATTTCTTACAATGATACAAACCTTTATATAGTATTAATCTTCGTAATAATTAAATGGTACTTATATAAAACATTGCCTTCTTAAAAAGTATGCAACTTGTTTATTAATGATTTATCATTTTACCCTATTCTTTGATATTCTCCAAACTTGGGCTTTATTTCACAAATTTTATTTCATCTGTGTAGTTCACGAACCATTTGCGAAAGGATTTGGGTACAGGGTAATTATTCCTACATATAAACTGGTTTTATGTGAACATCAGAATATGCCCTGAATTTTATTATTTTCCATGTCTGAATTGTACTACAATGAATCTATAGGTATTAAAAATAAGCAACACACTAAAATCACATAAGGTCAATTCCTTGAAAAACTCAATTCCTAAAGTGAAAATATCATTGGTTCCAAAACATTTATCTACTTAAGATAAATGTTTTGACTCATGTGAGATCATTTTCATTATACTTTCATTGTGTGTGTGTGTGTGTATATATATATATACATGGGAAGTTTTTTTTTACTTATATTCTTAAGAGACAGAGAACACACAAAATATTTAAAGGGGTTTTGTCATGGAATCATAGAACTATAGATGAGAAGTTATCTTAAAGATCATTTTAGCAAACCTCTTCATTTTACAGAGGGAGAACTGTGGATTACGGTTAAATGACCTGCCCAAGGTCACACTCAGTGGCATAGATCCTTTTCTGCTTGGTTAAGTGTCACTACCTACAACTGAATACTAATAATATATCAGAAGCCTAAACTTTACCAAAAACATAAAGATGGTCCAAACTCTTGCCAAGTACCCATCATTAGCTTAGCTAATGATAAATCTGAAATACAAGAATGCCATTTGACAACAGAAAGAAGACCATGTGTCTATGGAAAATTTTTAAGGAGAGACAATACTTGGAAATTGGGATCCCTTCTACTAGCTTGGCTTAGAAAACTGCAAAGTGTTGCCTGCAGGAACCTAGTTGACAAATCCTTTGTGGAATGATCTATCTAAAAACATTACCATTGCTTGCTTCTCTTTCTGTCTTTGTAGAATAACAGGAGTGTATTTTCAGAATTTCTAACTTTGCCCCCAAATGCAGAGTACAGTATAACCATAGCTGTTTACCTCTGGCTGGGTAGCATGCCCACCTCAGCCTGAGGTACAGACATGCTGGAGACATGGCTGGAGAATCGCCTCCTTCCAATGGCACTCAGGAGGTAAGCTTCTTGTTCACTTACCACGCTGGGCATGCTTATAGAGTCATCTAAAAGGGGCAAAGGAATAGAGTGTTACAAAAACTATGACACTGATCAGAAAAACCCAACCAAAGCTGTACTTGGGTTCTGTCCTTGGCTTGTGTACAACTTAGGGCTGTGTGTAAATCTAAATTATCATTGGTCCCTTCATACAGATAAAAAAACTTAGACCTTTGGGGGTAATGATAATTCTTCGTGTCTATACATCTCCCACCCTTCCACACTAGAACATCCTTCATGAAATAAATGTAAATTTTTACAAGTAGATTATTTGTGAAAGTGAACAGGCATCAGCAAATTTAAGATTTGAGAAAAGCTAGCACATAATTTTTTAAAAACATTCCATAAATACTTCAGGAGACTTTGTTATTGAATGAATCAAATACATTTCCTTGACATTCAAAAACCACATTCAGTACAGTTAATAATTTCTAGACTGCTGAGGGAAAGACAATTTCAGATATTTTTAGGAAAAATATTTGAAAGCTATAAAGTTAAGAAATAAATGCTGATTTTAACCGAAATTTTAAAATTTAAGTATGTGATTTTGTTTTCTCCATAGAAGCAGAGTTTTTTTTGTTTTGTTTTGGTTTGTTTGTTTTTTGTTTTTGAGACAGAGGCTCGCTCTGTTGCCCAGGCTGGAGTGCATTGGCGCGATCTTGGCTCACTGAACCTCCGCCTCCCAGGTTCAAGTGGTTCCCATGCCTCAGCCTCCAGAGTAGCTGGGACTGGAGGTGCACACCAACACACTCAGCTAGTTTTTGTATTTTTAGTAGAGATGGGATTTCATCATGTTGGCCAGGCTGGTCTTGAACTCCTGACCTCAGGTGATCCACCCGCCTCGGCCTCCCAAAGTGCTGGGATTACAGGCATGAGCCACCGTGCCCAGCGAGAAGCAGAAATTAATGTATTCAAATTCATATGAAAATTAACTTTAGCACAGTATCTATGACAAAGTGACTTAATTCTAAATGAGCTAATGTTGTTTGTTGATGAACACTAATATTCTTTGATAAACATATTGAGTTTTGGAGAATGTGTGCTACTGTGTAAGACCATCTGATACTATTTATTTAAAATATCAAAGTAATCATATTTCTAATTGAACTTATTTCAAATCAAAAGGTGAATATAAAACGTGCTAGCAATTTTAATTTGCTATATAATCACTGACTTAAAATTGATTCTTGTTATAGAATGATATTTTCTTTTTAGATATGTCCACAGGAAAGAGAATAAACAAATGTGTCTTAAAAATATAAAAAATGTGGTAGGATAGATTCAGCTATTTCTACAGAGCCCTTTCCCAAATCCTATTGATTATTCCCCCTTATTTGTATTCACATATCACTTAACACTTATGTCCCCAGTATTTGTTTGGTGATGAATCATGTGCTGTCTACCAGTAACTCTTTTGTTAGGTGTTCTTTATTGTAAATGTCTCTCATCTCCTCTACATAACTATATCTATTATAAGATCTTAGAAAGCAGAGAATGTATCTTTCTCATACTTCCTTCTTCCTTATCTTATACCCGATAGGCCTTAATACAAGTCTGATTATTGAATGTAAGAAAGTTTAATTCAAAACAACAATCTGGTTTTCATACCCCTCCCTATTTAAATTACTACACACCCATATCACAAACACACAATACCATTTGTTAGCAATCTTGCTTTCATTGGGATGGTTACGATGTCTGTGATCAGAGATATAAGCAAAAAATTGCATGGCTCCCCAGTCCCCCTGCTGCCTCATCAGTATGTTAGTGTTGGCTTTTGGCCAGTGATATCCCTGTTTAAGTCTTACTTACTTTTCTTTCCTTGCTCCTTCCTACAGGTTAGGTCATCTATTATTTATAAGGTTACCTGCAAAATATATTTAGCTCTACAAAAATAGGTGATATCATTTCCTATAATTAATAAGAATTGCTGGGAGAGGCTACTTCAAGCATTAAAGAAAAAATTGATTTTCTTTAAGTTTTACCCATACTTAGTGGATATTTAAACTGCTGATCCTTTTCTCTTTCATGGTGTTTTCTCAGTCAAGATTTCCCTAATTACAACTTTAGGTGTATTTTCATGAGCAGTCACCAGGGTGATTTAGACAGAAATGTGTCTATAGGCCAGGCACAGGACAATATGATTTTTCCCTTGTCTGACCAATGCTGAAGCTAACTGCAAATATTACTGGTAAGTACTGACAAAGCATTTATTTTTTCTCTTCTCTTACATTCCCAACTGTTGTAGGACATTAAAACACTTTTATTCATCTTAGTTAATTAAAATTCTAACCTCAACTCTCGTTTCTTCTACTTAATTTAGTTCAGAGTAGAGCTTTTTGTTGTTGTTTGGTATGGAGAGCCTCTGAGTGAAGATCTAAATTTTGTTCTCATTCATATGGCATTGACAACACAACTTTGCTATAAACGTTATATCAGAGTATCTTAACACACAAGTGGAAAATAATTAATGCAATATTAAGACCCCTGAAATGACAGTAGCATTTTAATGGAATCTTTCACCCTAATTTTACTTTTTATAACCTCCTGTGAAGCATACATATGTAGTATTTCTCCTCATGTCATAACACCAAATCTCTAGCACATGCCTTAGAAGTTTCTGGGCTGACCTAGTCACTGGGGATTCTCTTAACTCAAATTTGGAGTACTTTCCCTCAAGACAGCCTGCTGGTTTACATACCGGCTGGTAGAGCCAACTGGTCTTTTCTGAGTCCTAGGCATATACACGGCTCACTTTTCCTTGCTTAATGAGGCCATTTAAGTTCCAATCAACCCTCTAAGCAAGATGTCCAGGAAAAAGGAGAATAAGTGCTTTCCTTGGTTAGTTATCCACAATTTAAATGGGAGTTAGTGGAAAAAGTTGACTATATAGGTTTAAAGAAAATTTAGGAGTTTTTAGATAGGAGTTGTTGTTTTTGAGACAGAGGCTCGCTCTGTTGCCCAGGCTGGAGTGCATTGGCGCGATCTTGGCTCACTGCAACCTCTGCCTCCCGGGTTCAAGTGGTTCCCATGCCTCAGCCTCCAGAGTAGCTGGGACTGGAGGTGCACACCAACACACTCAGCTAGTTTTTGTATTTTTAGTAGAGATGGGATTTCATCATGTTGGCCAGGCTGGTCTTGAACTCCTGACCTCAGGTGATCCACCCGCCTCGGCCTCCCAAAGTGCTGGGACTACAGGCATGAGCCACCGTGCCCAGCCAGAAGCAGAAATTAATGTATTCAAATTCATATTTACTTTTTCCCTGAATTCTTTTTAAATGACCAAAGGGTATCAAGGAATTTATAGAAATGCAGGCATTAGGAATCATGGAATCAGTCACATTTCCCCTAGAACTCCTTTTGTAAAAATGACTAGGGGATCAGAAGCGGAAAAGGTCAGAAGGGCAGTAATCCTTCCCAAGCCCCTGCTCGTATGGCCAGGCCATGTCTACTGCCCAGATTCTCTGGAATGACCTACTTTCCTCATCTTCCTCATCAGTCCGACTCAGGGTGTCCTGCGAAGCCTGCTGGGATGGCTCACTGTCCTGCTCCCAGACAGTGCCCGTGCCCGTGTTAGAGCGGGACATGGTGGCCAAGCTCAGGCGGTAAGCAGAGGTGGAGGTGCCCACGGTACTGATGGATGTCTTGCCTTGGTAGGCTAGAGGATGCGAGAGACCAAAGGAAATGCATGGTGAGAATCTTAAATGTCCACTTCAAAGTCCTCCCTGACCACTTGTATTTTTTAGGAAAGGTTAGTTAAATAATGTGTCCCAGACAAATGATCTTTATAACAAAGTTGCAAATGAAAGTGGGGATTTTTTATTTTAAAGAATCAATATTGGCCACTGATATAATTAAATAGTTCCCTTGCCAGAACATAACATCTGTAACAATATTAAATGCTTTGACATTGTTGCCTTTCTTATTGGTTTTCTATTTTATTTTCCAAGGTTGGTAGGATGCAAATTAAATTTGACCTGAATTGTAGCTTCCAACTTGGCAATTTTTACTAAGAAATATATCTTATCTGACACAAGCATATCAAAGTAATAAATAAGTTGTCTGATGTGAACCCCGCGATGCATAATCAAAACTGTTCTTATTCTCATTTTCTGGAAATTACAACCTATAAAATATCCCTCAGTTCTATGTCAGGTTATTTTATTACAAAGTAGAATATTTGAATGATAATGTGTAAACTTCACCAGGATTATACCTGTCAATTTTTTGTTTTTACCACATTGTCTGCAAAGAACAATAAAAGCTTTCAAAAGAAAGCAAATAACCCTTCCCTCCCACAAAAAAGAAAACCTATCACATATTACATTTTACTTGTGGGTAATGACTGCCCTCTAATGGCAAATAATGATTTATTTTCCTTCCTCAGTAATTTGCTGCTAATACATAGTTATAAGAAAGAAAGCAATGTACTCTCAAAGAATACCTTTAGAATAATGTAAAGAAAGTACCTCCTAGTTTGCCAGCTCTAAGGGAATCCTTCCCCTTCCAATGTGTGAAAAGTTAAAGTTAAAGGCTTTATAAATCAATCACAGAGATCTGGCTGAAAAATCCCCTTACAATAATCACTTTCTATGTGACAGTAGTAAGTTATTTACTTGTAAATTATTTATCTATTTTCTACTGTGTCTGTTTCCTCATTTTTTACAGGGACTTTCAATTATATACCTTGAAGGTATTTGTATAGATTAAAGGAAATAATCTACCATAAAATAGAAGCTCAATAAATGAATGTCCCCCTTCTCTTTTTCCAAAAGGAAATAAAGGTAATGATTTAAACCATTTTTCTTCCAATTAAATACTCAAGAAAGAGATTAACTACTAAAATGAAGATTAAAAAATATATAGAAAAGGAAAACTAAATTCTTATGATATCCTTTTGATTTCTATTTTGTTACTGACAAAAGAGGAAGTCAAATCTAGTGGTGGTCAAATGGCTAACTTATTAGAAATGGTCAAATCTAACAGTGTACCAAAATGGCTAACATATTCATAGTTCCAAAAAGTGTGGTGACCTGGACAGAGGGATTCTTTGTAGGCTGTGAGTTCCATTAGTCAAACAAATTCACAACACTCTCATGCACACTCACCTGATCCACTATGAACTGCCTCTTTTAGAATTTTTAGTTCACTGTTGAACTCAGCAATGAGCGAGCTCTTACACAAAGGGCGTGGTATGAAGCGCCGCTCCAGCTGGTCGGCAATATGTTGCCGGGCGGAAAGCTCTTCATGATTCTCTGCTGGTTGGGCCAGCAGCTGAAAGGAAGGCATAACATTCTCAGGGCCTCAATTTTCCATCCATAAAATGGGCTAATTGCTGTACCTATTTCATTGTTGTGAGGAATAAATAAGGTAATGCATGTGATGTTCCTAGAACGGCACTTTACACAGGAAGTGCTTAATAATTACATCGTTTTAAATCACTGCCCTAAGAAACTGAGGCATGAAAAGACCAAGTGTAGATGGGTACCGAGGGTCTTGGAGGAAAAACATACGTTAAGTATCCTATGTTTTTCTTATGTTTATTTAAAATCAGATCTCAGTCATGTCACTGAAGATAGAAGATTCTCCAAACTATTCCACTGGACCAATCTTTTGGGTGGGTAGAGTGGGGGATGATTAGTAGGGAGCGGGCAAAGTTTTACAGACTCCAACAAAGCTCTTACTGTGAAGGCATTTCTAGTGTGAAATTTTTATCCTCTGGAATATATTTTTGGGCGGTTTTCTCATCAAGCATGGTATTAACAGGCCCTACTAACTGGCAACAGTAGGTACCATGAGCACTCCTGCCATATTCCTGCCTCAGTAGAGAGCCACACATTCATTTGAGCTTGCCACTTTCAGGAGGAGAAGCACACACCACACCTTGCACTGGATGAAAGGGCGCAAAAGCACAAAGATGGGTATTCGGGTCCGCACGATGAAGTCGAGGAAATCCCAAAGGGCCAGGCCTCCCACCTTCCGCAGAGCCATCTCCTTCACCTGGAGGCTCAGCCAGTACCACTGGCTTCCGAGCTGCCTCTCAAAGCAGACGAGAATCACCTTCAGCGCTTCACACCGGGAAAAGAGAAAAATGAGCCTGCGGACGTGTGCTTCCGAGGAACCCAACCTACATCCAGAGCCCTTTATGCACCTTTAGAAATTTTCTAAATTTCTAAGCTCTCTCCATGTTTCTAAAAACTTCGTATGTATTCCCGAGCAAGAGTATTCTGTACATCGAGACAAAAACGTGTATGCTAAGTGTTTTGATTCTGATGAAGATTACTCAAGTATCTTTCTTAAGTGCATCTTAAGAACTACTATCTTGGAAAATATAGAGCAATGTGGTCCACTGAATTGAAAGGAAAATGTTTCATAAACATGATGTGTGGCTAACGTTTTACCTTCCAAAAGTTTTATCATAATAACTTTATGGTAATACGGACATATCACTCACATTCTTAGCTAAAACATGGATCTTAAAAATCTTTTCCTTTTTTCTTTTAACCATAAAAATAAATATTTGTGTTACTAAAAGTAAAATAAAACCATGAAGAAGTGCACAAAGTTAAAAAATATTAAGTCCTTTTCCTTCCCAGTTCCCTTCCTGACCCCACACTAAACTGCTCCCCAGAGGTAACCAGTAAATGCGTGCAGGGTATCTTTCCAAAAATAAAAAACACCTTCCTTCATCACACACTACGTCTGTTACTAAACCCTACTGGATTTATTTGTCCATATCTCTTTCCTCTCAGATTCCAGCAGCCCTTCACAATCTACATTTATTTTTATTTTTCAGGAAGCAGATTTCCCAAACCGTGTGTCAGGACAAACCAGAGTATTGTGAAGACATCAAAGATTATGACGGGAGCTCCCTCTGCCACTACAGCTTTTACCATGGAGTCTGCCATGGGGCAGTCAAGTGACCTGGGTCTTCTTGATCATTCTTAAGGCCCATGAATCTCAGCATCTAAAAAATGTGTATACTAAACACATTTTGATTCTGATTAGGAAAACACAAAAATCTTTCTTAAGTGCATTGAGTGACTAAATGCACACAGAAATCCAATTCTCTAAAATCCTCAAGAGTCACATATGCCTTTACCATCTTTAGGATGTTTCCAGGAGAGAACCATGCCATGTAACACAGAGAGAGAGATTGCAAGATTCCTTCTTACCCATATTCCTCCTCAAAGTCTCACTTTTCACAGCAATTGCTTATCTCAATTCCTTTCCCTCAACTAAACAAACAAACAAACAAATAAAAAACAACACTCCTCTTTCTCTACCATAATTCTGATGACGTTTTCACTGTTACTAGGCCTGTTGGCTGACTTTGGCTTTCTGCCATTCTACTTTCCACCTAAACCTCCATCAGCCTAAGACATAGCAGTGTATAAAAGTGACTCAAGAACAGAGACTCATTCTAGCTCTGTCACTTATTAAGATATATGCCTTCAGGCAAGTTACTCAACCTTTCTGGGCCCCAGCCTCTTCACTCCTAAAATGAGAATAACACTAACTTCTTAGAGTTATTGAGAAGATGAGAGGATTCAATGTGGTAATAGTGTAAAGCACAGAAAACTGCTTGGTGCACAGTAAGTGCTCAAAATAAATGTAAAAACAAACTTAAAATACAGGTTCAGTAGCCTGGCCATGTAACAAAGTAAAAACAACTCTTTACTGAAAAGGCAGACAGTGGAGAGGACAGAAACTCATCAAGTGTCTTCTCATATCCTTCCTGTACATGGTGAGCCCCTTTCCTCCATCATCCTCTGTGCAATCCTAAACTTCATGTAGGGCTCTATGATAGAGCTTAGATTTGAATTCTACTTTTGTATACCTTGGCCAACTGAGCATCCATATGGGTTAGTCCTAGGTACATGCATTCCTTGTGTCTTTTTCTCCTTTTTCATTTTCATTGTCAATCCCCTCATTTTCAAACACATCCCATTATAAGGCAGTTCAAACACCCCTCCATACTCCAAACTCCAAGGACTCATTTTCATCAGTGTGTTTGTGTTCATCTTATACTTCTCACCAATATCTGCTTTGGTGAATTGAAAAATATCAGGCAAGACTTTCTCATTTTGAAATTCCCCACTGCCAGTGCCACTTATTCTCAGCGCTATGGCAAGAGTGGTCTTTTCCTGCTGGCCCAGTTCATTCAGGGCCAAAGAGTGGCTTTCCATTGCTCCCCGGGTCACGACCAGGTTAAAGGCAGCATAGGATAACGGGAAAGTAGGAGTCAAAGAGGGAAAGGGATTGGGAAGCCTATGGGAGCAGGACTGGACTGGCCTCACTAGAGTAATGATCAAAATGGAGATTAAAGACATGTTAAGGGAGGAAAAAGAGCTAGTAGGGGCATAGCATATTGCAAGGTCACCAAATCTTGCAGCATAGGATGTAGACTGCCCAAATACAGAACTCCATTTATATAGGTGACAGATCAATGAGCCCCACATGTTGTGCAATGCTGTGTCTTTGTATACTAGACTGAGTTTAGATCTTATAACAGCTACTGAACCTCACTAGTGATCTGGTACTTAATCAGCATGGAAGAATCTTTACTGCAGATGCCTTCCTTACAAGCCCAGACACTCATATATAAAACAGCCAAGTAATTTAGGCATGGCAGATGTGAAACCACGTTGTTTTTTGGCATATGTTTACTGAAGGAAACCAGACTTTTTTTGCAAGGGTAATGTTTCTTGTTCAAGTGGCTTCTTTAAATACATTCTGGATTGAGGTCTCTTTAAATACATTCTGGTTTGAGGTCTCTCTAAATTCTTTCTGAGTTAAGTTGGAACTTAACTAAGTACATCTATTTATTTATTTATCTATCTATCTACACATATATTTTCACATACATATACATACACATGCACAAACAGAGAGAGAGAGAGAGAAAGTACCAACCCAAGTATGCTGCTTGGCTGGTGGACTCAGCCAGCCCTTCCCTGCGCAAGTCTTTCCCCGCATCCCCAGGGGTGGAGCAGTGGGCTGGGGAGCTCTCTAACATGAAGTTCTTGCTCCTGGATGTGCTGATGATCCGCGGTGGGAGGAGTACATTGATGACTGTCTGCAGCAGCAGCTGCACCTCAGGCTGCTCCAGCCATGGGCTATCTGAGGGGCAGAATTTGGAAGACGGAAGTGGAAAGAAAAACATCACAAGGTAGACTGTCCACAGTAGATACAGAAAAACTCAGCTCTTTCCAAGTCCAAACTACAACACCCTAGAAATTCAGGTGTTTCCCATCAAGTACAGCTTCACCAATGGACAGAAACAGTGTTCCTGGCACCTGAGTATTTTCTCCATAGTGGGTACCCAACAACCTGTGGTCTTAGCCAAATGTCTCGCTTACCATTTCAATCTCCTTTCTTTTTGCAAATACTCATGATGCACTGTACTTACATTTGAGACAAACTTTTCCTAAAAGAATCCCTCTACCCCTAAGAAGAAAGAGTAATGAAAATACATTGGAATTTAATGACAGTGGCAGGATTTCTGCTAAACCCAGTGTCCACGTAGGTTGTACAAGTTTGTTCACCTGTCAATTCTTATATTGTACTTCAACGAATACCATTTTCTCAACTGAATTGAATGACTGTTCCCCTGATTTTTGCTGTACTGAAATGACTTTAAATAGGACGTATCTCCTAAGAAGTAGAGCAGAGAAACTCTGGTCCCAGGTAGCTAAACTGAAAAGAAAGAAAAACTCTTATTTCCTAAGATGACCCTATTTAAATCATTCAGACTGACTTCAGTGATAGCCTTCATGGGAACAGGAAAAAGAAATAACAGCCTGACATTTAAGAGAACACAACAACAATGATAAATTTCCTTTAGTTAAATTAATCAGACCTTTGCTTCCAGATCCTACTGTGAGCACAAATGGGATGAGCAGATTTAAAAGCATCCCCTCCCTTCGCTCTTGATTGGTGAATGGGGAGATCACATGGCTTAAAGGAAAATCTTCTTTTAAAGCCTGTGCAGCAATAATAGAAGAAAAGATTAATTGACCACCACACCCATTTAGTATGTTTGTTTTTACACAGTATGATGGAGACGGTGACTCCCTGCTGGCTGCTCCTGTAAACTATGAGTTCAATTGTTGTCTGTACAGCATACAAGCTTCACTCAAAACTGATACTTTACCATTGTCTTGATATAATTGAGAGCTATACACCTAAAAAGATAGTAACATCTTGAATATTAAATGAAAAATTAGAATACTTATGGTCAGGTACAAAAACAACTTCATGTCCCCATTAATTTTCTCTATTTTTCTACCAATAAATATTTTAACAACAAAGGAGAAGGAAGAAAATCAGAACTTCTCACTTGCTCCTTTTGGTAGTTATTCCTCTGGCCCCTGCCATGAAAGGCCTTCTTCAAGCCAGGAAACAATATGCAATATACAAAGAAATATGTGATCTTTGTACGCAAGTTATTAAAGTGTATCACTTTAGGGATGTCACTGTTTCTCTTCTGCACAGTAGCCACAGCTCTTACTTGATCTCTTTTCTACCATCTACCCATTCTCTGGATGATGAGCCATCAAGCTTGGTTGTCAAACGACGGATGGGTCAGTTATCCATTTACATCAGTTGTGTACTTTCCATTGATTATGGAGCTTTCCAGTGATTTACCATTCTCTAAAACTGGGTGACACACAGAAATACTCAGGAGACGGGATTCTGCAATTTTTTTTTTTTTTTTTTGCCTTGGGAATGATTATTTTAATTTTAAGAAATAAATAAAGGGGGAGAACTTTCTTTAAAAAAGCACTCATAATATTCAACCCACAATCATTAAAGAAAATTAAGATATTCAAAGTCTAGTGATAACATTTGAAAGAATTTTATATTGCAATTCTTTCTGAAAATAATTTAAAACCAGATTGTGAATATTACTGCCTTTTAATTAACAATTGTGAGCTGATTATCTGTGAACCATTATTTTGCACACATTTTCAATGACTGAAGTGGTTCCTGAAGTTGTGGCAGGACTAAATGACTCTGCTATATTTGAGATCTCAAGAAGAATTACAGAAGCACAACTTAGGGCCAAGCTCAGGGCTGAAGCTCCAAATCTATAAAAGTTTAGAGATGTTTACACTTTTGTTTCACAGATTTTGCCCAGCCTTTGCAGAAAAAAACGAGAACACCATGATCTGGTGCCTCAACCAGCAACTTAATGAGCGTGACAAACAGGTAAGGCAGTCACACCTGTATCTGCAATGCTACAAGCCGGACAACAGCTGTGCTGAAGGGCAGAGGTGGTGAGAGATAAGGGCTGAGATGAAGAAGGGGTAATCCATCAGCAACACTGGAAGGTCCTACCACTCCCATCACCTGAAATACAAACAGAGCACATGACCAGCCTTGACTATTGCAATTTCATGCAACCGTAGTAAAGGAGTCTCAATGATGATGATAATAAAAATGATAAATTGAAGGTTGGACATGTTACTTTCAATCTTTTCTTTCTTGTTGCCTTCTGAAGGCATGTAATGTCTGGAGTCAGATCGAACATTACACTGAATTCAGCCAAGGTTTTGTAGAATGTTGTTTATAGTTAACTATGTAAATAATGAGAGATGAACCAAAAAGCTATTCTAATCAGGAGATTGGACACTTAGTTGTGAATTCAAAGGAATGCGGTCAACATTCCTTGATGGAGCAAATACTGACAACAATGATGATGGCAACAGCTCTATTTGCACTAGGCATTCCAACTACAGACTTATTGCTCAACTAGTGAAGCAGCAGGTCCTATTTAATGAGATGCTCTAAGATGGTTTCCACACATTTTACAAAACCTTGTCAGGACCAGACTCTAGATATTACATAAACAATTAAATTTTTTTTTCTTCACATAAATCCTAGACTGGCCAACTCATAGTGTCATTTTGCACCATAAGAGAAAAATATCCTCTTTGCATTTTAAGTTCCCCACCCCAGACTACCTCAACTTCTAGCCAATTGTGCAGGCTCCGCCACCCCACTCTCCAACTGGCAGCCCTCAACTCTCAGCGCAACTTGAAGAGGTGAATTGTCAAAGTAGTGCATGGGAAGCAGCACACCAAAATCCCTTCTGTGTAGGGATGGGTTCCTGGATCTCCCCACACACCACCTTGAAATGTACCTCACTATTTTCAGTGTCACCTGAGCCGTCTGTTTTCATGGGCAGATAGGGGCACAAAGTGGTTGACCTGTAAATCTTCAATTCAGAGAAGTCAATAGCAGAGTTACATTGTGCAAAGTTTCATAAGATTGCCACTTGGCTACTCACCAGATTGACACAGACATTGATCAGTGACCTAAGGTGAGGCAGGAAGGATATGATTGGCTGCCTCTGAAGTGTCAAACAAACCCCTTCAATCAAATTGCTGGCAGGCTCCCACTCAACCTGTCGCCTGGAATACAATATAGGCGCCATTAGCGTCTTGGCTCCCTTCTGGAGAGTCTGAAACAAGTGAATGAGACAGTGATTCTGATGCCATCTAAGACAGGATGTGTCTCTGGGATGAAGTTTACCCATATTGTTCCAAAAGCACAGAGCATACTGGGAGGGGAAGAAGATACTGAAAACGTAGCAGAGGCAGGCCTGCCCCACTCGACTAAATCTATTGAAGAAAAAACAGAGATGATGAATGGGTTGCATTTTAATTTCCCTGGTTTTAGCTTTGACAGAGGGTCCTAAGACTACCATCATAGAAAACTGATCACAGGGGTAATTACTCCCAATAGAACTAATCTGACCCCAGCTACATTTCTGAAACCTGTTTATCAGATTACACACGCCCATCAGTTTTTACACCAGACTACCACTAATTTGATTTATATAGCTTAACTCCTGCCAAGAAGATCACATTAGAAGAAAATAGTTTATTTAAACAATGTTCTTTCTTGGCCTCCCAAGACATGATATGTATTTTTTGGCTACTTTCTATGGTAGTATAAATGGTGTTACTGTATACATAACCCAATTAAATGAATATGGGATTTTCTGTAATAAAAGTCAATCCATTTCATAATTCTTCTAGTACTGATTCATCCCTGTGGCCCCAAAATAAACAGCTTGGGCTTTACTGATATTAACAGTATTTCCTTATATTTTCCTGGCAATACTTTCTAAGCTTATATTTTCTAGCGAAATGGAATCTGCAATGACAAATGGAAATGTATTCATAAATGAGGCTATGTGACATCTCCGACACTGAAGGTAATATGCAGGTCAGGTTCAGTCAACATTTCTTGTGTTGAACTGAGATCACCTAATGAATTTAAATCCAAGCCAACTCCATATTCATAGCCTATCTCCCGAGAAAATTGCCTATAACTGACCAAGCCTATGTACTAATCCAGAAATCTACTTTCGGGAAGCATAAATGGGTCATTTTTGGAGATGTTTAACGTCTTTAGATATGAAGTATTTAAGAAAGGAATTTATTTTGACGCACCCTTGTGAGACAGTTATAAATCTTTGATAAGCCATTTGCTGATAGACACAAATGTTCTATTGGGATCACTAAAGAAATAGTGTTTTAAAACAAGCATTTCCATGCCATTGAAATAAATAACCTTGAAATAATGTATAGGTAGTCATCACCACGGTATAAAAGAATATAAAAACAAATAATCAATTATTAGAATAAAACTTTTCCATTTGTTTTTTTAATGACTCCTGAAAGCTGGATTAGTGTGAAGGAGATTATGGACTAATACCTGAAAAATTCTGATGAATTGAACATTAAGTGCTATAAATTCTTGGGAAGGAGTCACACTGATTTTTGGGTTTAGTTTAAAAGGACAGAAAATTTTCTCACTAACCTAAACTTGAAATTTCCGAGTAAGTGGGTTTACCAGTGTTAATCTGTTGAACTATCTGCTCACTATCACTACAGTTTCCAAACTCGGCTCACATCTCTAAGTAGAGTGGTTCAAAAACATCTGCTAATATGTAGGCTACCAATTAATATTTCCCAGGTCACTGAACAAAGATCAAGCATTAATAGTGTTCATTTAGTACCACACTGAATTAGGTAAAAAAGTGAAAACTAGGTGTTTGTTTTCAATCCTGCGAATTTTTAAGCTTCTGCTTGGCGATTATTGTAAAGCTTGGAATTTCTCTAAACTGGTACCTAAATATGTTAACTAGCTATGTTAAATATAGTATTTTGAACATAAAATTCCTTTTCTTTTCTCATTAGTTGTTTCATTTATAAGGCCAACCCTCCCTTATTTTAAAAGGGATTAAAGGGTACTAATTGAAATTTTTATATGTGTCAGATGAGGAGCATGATAGCTAAGAAATGGATAGATTTTTTTCAAGATGAGCACATATACTTTTAAAGAAAATGTTATTTTTCTCAAAATGTAGGCTTTGCTACTTAGGCATTCATAGACCCTATTAACTATGCACATATACCAAAGAAAACTTTCAAGTCATCCATTCAACTCCAGAATGATCCACCATCTTAAAAAATGACAAATCTTAACTTTGACATTTGTGATAGCAACAGCTAACTCGGAGGCATTCTCACCTCAAAGTAGGCATCTTATGAATTTTGTTGAACATTCTATCCAATCTTTTTAAAATGAGGATGAGGGCCGGCCTCACTGCCTCAGCTGTCCAGTCAGTAATGGGTAGCATCTCCATGATGTAGCGCCGAAGCCCACGACTCTCCATTGTCTGAGTGTCATATGGTGCCAGCTTCAGAAGGGAGTGTGCAATTTCTGCCAACCTAAAATATATATATATGTATATATATTTTAAAGTATAAGCTTAGAATTACACAACAGGAATTTTTTTACACAGCAACATGTTAATCACCCCTTCCAGACCACCAACTCCCTGAACTAAGAACATTCTTCCCAACATCCTCTATCCCTCTGCTCTCCCACACATCAGAACAGTGATACCTACATATGCATATTAATAGAGAATCATAGAATGCTTCAGAGACAACATGTAAAGAGCATCTGATGAGGAAACTAAAATCCAGAGAGATTAAGGATAGGCCAAATATATTTAGAGAATGTCATTTCTGAGAATGTGCATGTGTATATATACAGGCATATAAACACACAAATACATGTATATTATAAATATGACATATATGCATATAAAAGAGAACTAACTTTAATGAACAATAAAATTACTAATATCAAACGTCCTTGTAAATTTCATGGCTTCAGAACTCCCTCAGTACCCACAGTCAAGGTCAAAGCCACCCTATAAAAAGTGCTCTTGGTTTTTGTTGCAACCCAAGGGGTTCTTCAGGCTCCATTTCCATCCCTCTCCTTTAAAGCCTCCTCCTCTCTTGTTATCTTATACATGGATCCTTTCTCTCTGTTGAGATTCTTCATATAATAGACCCAGTTGTACTGTCTGAATGACATTGGTTTTGGTCGCCTCTACTTCTTAGATTTCCCAACTCGGTTCCATACAGGAACTGCCAGAGGGAAAGTTGTGCTTCTCTCAAGGTTGGCCCAGGCTTGCAGTCACCAGACCCAAGTGTTGATGTCCTAAGTGTCAGATTTTCTGAAGGAGAATTGGCCAAATAGATTAATTGGGAAAATGAGGTTTCTAGTAAATGTAATAGTTAATGAAATAATCTTCAGAACTAGATATGGATTACCAATTTCCAAATAATACAAATACAATGATGTACATAGCCTTAAAGCCAACTTAATTTAATTTTGTATGAAGGAGAAAGTATTTAAACATTTTACAGTGGCTCCTGATAAAATATACCGAGTAGATGCAGAATGTGTACAAGATAATATTAAGAGGTAATGTATACTCATTCATAAAAATATCTTACAACTATTCTGTATGATTCGAGCTTGATTTTTTTCCTCAAAAAAAAGCTTATATTCTAAAAAATACTCCTAAGACACAGTGGCTGAAATGTTCATATTCTTTGTCAAGATAGTGAAAATTCATTTGAAAACAAATTTCTTTAGGAAGGGTAATACATTAAGTTACTACCACCCATTATTTGAATCTTTGGCTTGAATCAGTACATGTTGAGTTAGGCAGGAAAAGGATCCTATGGAACTGGAATGTAGGACAGAGGATTCCTGATGGACGAGGGTAGCAGAGAGGCCTAATGTTACCTAGGAATGCATGTGTGGATGGCATCAGCAGGGGCAGCCATACATGGAAAGTTTTCAGGATTGTTACTAAAGAGAGGAGGAGATTTGAGATAAATGGAAAAATAAGATTTTTTTTTTTTTTTTTGAGACAAGTTTGTACTGGAAAAGCTCTGAAGATAATCTTCTCTGAGTCATGGAATCTTAGGGTTGAAAGAGCCCATAATAGTCATAATATCCTGTAGGCAGTCAGGTTCACACTGGCACCTCTTATTATTATTATTTTTCTAATACAGCTTAAAAGGAAAACGAAAAAATACAGTTTCCCAGGACCTCCAAAAATCTCATAAATAAGACCTTCTGGCCGGGTGTGTTGGCTCACGCCTGTAATCCCAGCACTTTGGGAGGCCGAGGCAGGTGGATCACGAGGTCAGGAGTTCAAGACCAGCCTGGCCAAGATGGTGAAACCCTGTCTCTACCAAAAATACAAAAAAATTAGCTGGGCGTGGTGGTGGGCACCCGTAATCCCAACTACTCGGGAGGCTGAGGAGATTGTGCCACTGCACTCTAGCCTGGGTGACAGAGCAAGACTCTGTCTAAAAAAAAAAAAACAAAAAACTTCTAAGGTCTGGTCTGGGCCCAGAAATCTGTATATTTTTAACTTTTATTTTGGAAAATCTCAAACATATAAAAAGGTAGAGAGATCAGTATATAGTAAGCCCCAAAATACCCATCTCTCAACCTCAGCCTTCCAAGTAGCTGGGACTACAGGTGCACAGCCCCATGCCCGGCTAATTTTTGTAGTTTTTGTAGAGATGGGGTTTTGCTATGTTGCCCAGGCTGGTTTTGAGCTCCTGGACTCAAGCAATCTGCCTGCCTCAGCCTCCCAAAAGTGCTGGGATTACAGGTGTGAGCCACTGTACTTGGCCTACAGTGACTCTTGTTTTACTTATACCCCCAAACACTCCCCCTTTTCCCTACCCTAGACTATTTTAAAGTAAATTCCAAGCATCACATCATTTACCCAGACATATTTCAGTATGTGTCTCCAAATTTATGGACTCAGAAAAATTAAACACAACACAGTATGACATTTAACAAATTAAAAATAATTCTTTTTTAAAAAACCCAAATATTCAGTCAGTTTTCAACATTCACACATTATCTCATAATTACTTTTTTTTAACAAATTAGGAAAAAATAAGGCCCATAAATTTCAATTTGTTGATATGTCCTTAAGTCTCTTTTAATATGTCGATTTCCCCCCTTCTGTACTTGTCTTTTTTTTTTTTTTTTTGAGACAGAGTCTCACTCTGTCACCAGGCTGGAGTGCAGTGGTGCGATCTCGGCTCACTGCAACCTCTGCCTCCCGGTACAAGCGATTCTCCTGCCTCAGCCTCCTGAGTAGCTGGGACTACAGGCGCATGCCACCACGCCCAGCTAATTTTTGTATTTTTAGTAGAGACGAGGGTTTCACTATGTTGGCCAGGATGGTCTCGATCTCTTGACCTTGTGATCTGCCCAACTCGTCCTCCCAAAGTGCTGGGATTACAGGCGTGAACAACCGCGCCCGGCCTTATCTTGTTATTTATTAAAGAAATTCTCTGTAGCAACACTCTGAATTTTGCTGATTGAATCTCCACGGTGTAATTTAATCTATCCTACTGCCTTTGTATTTAATTCGATTGGAAGTTAAATCCAGGGCCTACATCTGCAGACTCAGTTTTGAATTTTTGGCAAGAGTACTTAGCAGGTGGTGTATGTGGTGTGTACTTCCGCCAGGAGGTACAGGATTCCTAGTTGTCACTCTTTTTATATTAGTTGTTCTTAGTCACTGCACAGATCCACTGATGCATTAGGAGTAGTGCAGTGGTAATATCATGTAATTCTTTGTCTCACATATTAACTATAGCATTGTAATAAAGAGAAATTGTGATTACTCCAAGAGAACTGAAGAGTGAATAACTGTTTGAAAGGATCTAGAGGGTAAGAGCTCCTCAGCTGATTTTGATAGGCATCCTGGTTTAGGAATCACAGCCAAGGCCACTACCTCTCTGATTATTTAGATTGTTCTACAATTGCTTTATGTGACTGGCTCCATGGATAGAAAATTCACTACTGTACAAGGCAACTTATTTCATCTTTGGAGGTCCACACTGTGAGAGGTTCCTTTCATGTTAGGCCTCCAAATTCCCTTTCATTTCTTCCTACTAGGCTTAATTCTGAAAGCATAAATCCAATCCATCTTCTCCATCATGACCCTTCATTATCAAGAAATAGTTATTGTCTCTTAATTCCCATTGTCTTCTCTCCAAACTGAACATATTCACATTGTCCTGGAATTCTGTGTGAATGTGGGTGTTTTAAAGAAATCATTTTAAACAGCTTATACATTCTTTTGTTTATCTCTTTCTCATGAATTTGATATACAGAAAATAATTCTTTACTTCTCAGGTTATTTGTGTGACAAATAAGAGTATATCTATATGCACTTATTTCTTTTCTCTTATTATTTTAAAGATAACATTGAGAAGTGCTTGTGAGATAATCAATCTGTCTATTTTGAGCTTCCAAAGACTACGTAGAGCTGAATTTAAGAGCCATTTTATGGATTACTACCTGAATTTCTCTAATTCCTGGTCATGTGACAAAATAAATTTGCTTTGTGCATAAAACAAAATTTCCCTTTCCCACAGTCTTTGCTGTACTATCACATGTATAATCAAAAAACTTTCCTATGGTTCTTTCCCAGTGGGAACACAAGAGATTTTCCCATTGAGAGGGTGAGGGAGAGAGGAAAAGAGAAAGAGAGAAAGAGAATGAGAGAGATAGAGACCACACACGAGAGAGAGACAGACAGAGAAAGAGAGAGAAAAAGAGAGAGAATTTGCAGATTCTATTATCCAGCTGCTTTGGCAGCACTGGGTTGGACAAATGAAGCAATACATTTCTGTAGGGCAGAGACTCTAATCAAGAATATTTTCTTCAAGAGCCTTGTAATCAACCATACATTCTGCAAATTCAGAAGTATAGATTGCCTTAGCAATGTTTCTTAACTTGTTGGTTTGATTCAAATTATTTTGGCAAACATTTGCATTTTTTATATCATCCCATTTCTCTTTCTCTTTTTAAAAATCAACTTTTCATCCTTGGGTGACATTATCTATTCTTATAATTTAAGAACGATTTAATACTACCCTCAATTCGCAAATTTATATATTAAGCTCCAACTTTTACACATATTCAAGTGCGCACTTAACTTATAGGAGAGCCTTAATTACATCCTTTGCTTAGTATAAGTTCAAAGCATCTGGATCTGCCCCTAATCAGCAACACAGAATGTCTCTATTTGGTCAGAGACTATGGCAGGCCTGTCTTTTTCAAAAGCTTGTTGTGAGAAATTGCGTTAATAAAGGGCATTTAGTCTAAATATTCCCTGAGCAATAAAAATGTTGCCCTCCTATTGATCCAGGCCATGAAATAGCTGTGCTCTTGAATGACATTATCCTGGCTTCAGATCAATTGCTCTTGCTGAACTGCATTATGACATTGTGCCAACTTTATATACTAACAGGCATCCAGCCATGTACAACCAGCACTTTATCTACTATGGGGATGTTGTTGAGGACTCTGTTCATCATACTACTCTTCCCTTTTAACAAACACCAACCAGGAGACTGTTGAAGCTCAGAAAGCAATACGCCAAAATGAAGACCTCAGAAGCCAAGGTTTTTCACTGATCTTCTCCTGCCCTCCTCTCTGTGGCCTCTCATTCTTTTCCAAGGCTAGCCATGGAAACTGGAGACCCTTTTCCTCAAAGCAAGTCATTGAAACCAGAACCTTTTTTCCTGAAGCCAGCCATAAAACTTAAAAATATTACACTAAATTTCCCCCATCTTTCTGTGTAAAAACTAGCCATAAAGAAATTACCTGACCCATCTTGTTTGATTGTAGGTCATAACAACGCCCCCTTTCCAGAAAGGGTCTTGCCCCATTCCCAGAAGGAAGGAATGCTAACCAGAGAGGCCAAGAAGAATCCAAACATACAGGCCATGCTGGGTTTCCTCACTTGGTCTATTAGAATGGGATCATACCCTTTTTGTCCAGTCATATTTATACATGGCTATCCATACTTTGTTAAACTTAAACAAAAATGGAGAGCTTCCCCTGTATTTTTGGGTCTTCATCCTGAAGGCTCCTGTGTCAGGTAAAACTATGATCAAATACATTTTCATGCTTTTTGATTATGATCTGCCTTTTATCAGTTGACTTTCAGCAAACCTTCAGAGAGTGAAGGGGAAATTTTCCCTTGGCCCCTACAAGATTTTTCTTGTTCTTCGTATTTTAAAAAAGTATTGTTTCACCGAGCAACTGTTTTGTTTTTAACTTATTTATATTATGATTTTGTAATTAATCTTTTTTTCATTCTTTGCTTTGATAACTAAGAAAGTCAAATTTATGGTTCATGAATAATATCTAATATGATCTTATATTGATTTCCCGTGCTAATCTTATCATAAAAATAATTAACTCCTTGAAAATCTTTCACATTATCCTGACTCTATAATTTGTATACACTCTCCCTTCAAATATTTTCTGAGTTTCCTCAAATCCTTTATATAATAATACATAAATGTAAATGTGATTATAGTACTTACAACTTTGTATCATAGTTATTTTCTTATGTGCCTCTTGCATTGAACCGTGATAATCTTGAAGACCAGGACCTTAGTTTACATCCCCAGTGTTTAACATAGTATTTGAACCATTCTCATTAGCATTAGTATCTATTGTGTCCAGATCTGTGCCAGGCACAGAGCTAAATCATTTCCAGTTCATTTAACCTTTAATAGGTATTGGCCTCTAGAGGGAGCGCCAGGCCTCTCTGACTCTTGCTGTCCCCTCCCTCCAAATGCCCTAAGAAGAGTATAAATACAGTCAGGTTATGGGACAGTCACTATCTCATAGTCTCTCTCTCTCTCTCTCCCTCTCTCTCACACACACATACACACACACACACATCCATCTTTTAGGAATATTTTTCCCTTTCTCTCACAAAATGGCCATTGGTCATAATGATTTTCTGACTCTGGGAATGTGATGTTTCTCTGTTCACAGAATTGCTTAGGTCAGCTAGAGAAGACCAGCGGGAAAGGAAGTGGAGGGGCTGAATAGATTCCTAAGTTGCTATGACAGCAGTACCTTAACACTCCAAATGTCCCTCCCCTTTCTCTGAAGGCTCCCATCTAGGAGCTGAACTTCTCAGTGTGAAATAAGCTCTTCCCCATTACTGCACAGCAGGGAGTGTGAACTCCAGTGAGGCTCTGGGGTTCTCCAGGGCAGTACTGGGTGTGTGCCCACAATTCAAAGAATGTGAAATTACACTGGAAGAAAAAGAATCTATGCTCACTGTACATTTCTGTCTTCTCATTTTCCTCCATTTAGTACTTTCTAAATTTAAAAAAAGGCAATAACCAGGAAACTGTGAGTTTTGTGAAATTGCAACGTTATTTGGAAGTGGCTGAACCTAACTCTACTTTTACCTTTATAGATACGTTAAAATTTCCAAGTGAATCTTTTGTTACCCATGACATTTTTCTTTGAAGGGATTTTTATCACCCTTAACAAACAATTACAAATCTGAATAGAAGGTCCTCTGGAATCACGTTCCTTTTGAAACACAAATACGGCCTTTAGCATGAATTTCAAGTGAAATGGCATCTCTGTAGGAAGACGAAATACGAGTGCACAGGGAAGTAATTCTGGGGCCTTTCCCTAGCACACTAAGAGTAAAACATGTAAATGACGACTGGCCTCATCTAGTTCAGAATTTTTACCAGGACACATTTTTTTAACGGTTGGAAGGCTGTTTATATAAAGGGGATTTCAGGCCCAAGCCAAGTTGGCTGAGTTAAAACTGCTTACTTCCCTGCAGGGCTCATTACTGGCTTTTTAGGGACCCTAGAAGCAGAAAGTAGTTGTGCATTCCTCATGTAAAATAACAGAGAAGAAACATTCAATTCTTGTGAAAAATTCGAATCTGGGCAGTAAATAGTAGTGAGAAGAAGGCTACTTTTCTAAGAATTCAGGTGATAAAATTTCCCTTTCTTTCTCTTTTATTGAGAAGCACATATATAAACTGTGCTTTTCTATCTTAAGAACATTTTCCCCTTGTCCACGCTAAGATCCTGTTTGATGGACTTAATGCACACTTTAGCAGAGGGTTCTGTATGATGTGTACCTAAGTCACCGGAAACAAATCATTCTATATTAAGAGTTTTTCCTGGAGAACCCCCACTCTCAACCCAACACACACATTCAGACACATGGGCCAAGCTGTGTTCACACTTGGGGCAGGGAAAGCGAGGCCAGTACCTCATGTGAGACTTCACATCCAGCAGTTCCAAGGCAATGACCCGAGGCTCCCCAGCCAGATTTTGCAAGATCTTCAGCCGTGGCCCACAGTGCTTATAGAACTCAGTGCAAATATTCAGTAAGGACTCCCGGGGTCTTCTGAACTCTTCCCGAGCAATTCGTTCATCCAGTTCCTCTCTGGGAATGCCTTGCCCTTCCTCCAGTAAATGAAGGTTTTCCCTGGGAAATTGTGAAAGATTAACTAGGGGTCTGAAAATGTATTCATGTAGCAGCTGTGAGAAGAGGGTATCACACTGAAGAAAAATATAAGATTCCTAATGAGTTAATGAATCAGTAGGGTGAGGCCAAGGAGAACCTCATCCGAAGGATAAAGAAAGCTTAGCAGCCTAGAAGAGACTGTCATCCCAAACTGTAGTAAACCCACTTTTGGGGGTTTACCCAGAAATAGTATGTTATGCATCAAATGAAATCTAATAGAGCCATAAACCAGCTTAAAAGGCAATCATCTCAAGATGTCAGAACTGGTATGAAATTAGAGCAAGTCTTTCTGTACCTGATAAAGTGCAGTTTGGCTCCTTGTTCCTGGTACCTGGGAGTCAGAAAAACAGTCTACATAACTATTAGAGCAAGAACGGGGTCCTTTGGTTGGGGCTTCTTATCGACTTTCATATGAAAAGCCCTTGAAGCTATACATTTTGATAAGCTCACAAATATACATATATTACTCCTAAAACATAAAGGCTTTATCTTTCATTTGGCTAACACATATATTGCAATTATAGCTGCTGCAAAAGTTGTTTTATTGTTGCGTGATTTGGGTAAAGACGACTATTATAAAAATATATACAAACTCATAGAATATAGCCAAATGAGAGAAATTTTTGGACATTTTGAAATTTAAGTTATAGTTTTAATACCATGTGCTCTGTCTTAAGTGACAGGAAGGAGAATCATGGCTGACTTCCTTTCAGTTCTGGAGACTTATTGCTTTATGATTCATGGATACTAAGACTTTAGAAGCCCTCTTTCTTCTTTAGAAGCCCTCATTTAATCCAGTGAGCCTAGAGAAGTCCCTAAATATCACTTAAGCTATAGTATATCATTTTCCCTTAATATAGGAAATTGAGGCATAAGTTAACCATCACACCAGGCAATTTATAGCTGGGTTTGGAATTTATTTTTGTTTTATTTTTAATATGAATATATATGATGAGCAGGGAATTAACTTTACATGAATAATGATACACACTTAAAAATAGGCTTCAGAGAGAGTGAAAAATTATTGAATTTCTCCTTATGATTTCCAGGCCAACTATTCCATACTGGGAAAAGAACTTTTTCTTAAGCTGATTTTGGGTTTGCCCTATCTTAAATCTTCCTTGTAGGAGGAAGCTAATTAGGCTTTTTGTGTATGTCGGAATATTTAAAGCTAACACAGATGGAATGAAACGGGTAAAATATTAACTAGTATAGCCAGTATCTGAGTTACACCACAACAAGAGAAGGAGATTAAGTTAACAACCATGAAAAGCACCATTTGAGGGCATATGTCAAAGTTTGGATGAAATGTCTGCAGAAAATCTGTCCAGATGAAAGTAAGTTGACTCTGAGTGCCCTGGGAATGATAAACCACCTCCTGATTATTATTGTTTATTTGCCTTTTGTTGAAGGTAAATGAAACAACACTGGAATAGTTCAAAGACCACCCAGGAGGCAGAGAACATCTAGAATGCTCAAGCAAACAAAACAACACAAATGCCTATTTATGAAGTTGGTTTAGATTTCTCTTTGACAATTTCAAAAGAAGCCTTGGTATTTTCTTGTAACTCTAAACTCTCACCTTCTTTTCTTTTCCTTGGAGGTTTTCACACTCAATATTGACTATGTTCAGGGTTCCTTTCATTCTCAACAGCTGACATTCGGGTTGTATGAAATTGAGAGACCATAGAAGAATAAGGCGCAGTGAATTACCTGGTGTTCACCCCAGACGACATGGTGTGATTGGCTGTGGTGGTTCCCTTATGACCTTGGTCACACCTGCTCATCTGTGGGGCTGTCATGGGCCTGTAACAATGACAGTAATCACCACAGCAAAACAACAACAACAACAGAAATGGAAACATTTATTAAATCCTCAAGTTACTGAAGCACACATAAGTTTTAAGTTAGTTTTAGAGTCTTCAAAAGACAGGCTGTCTAGCTTTGGGCTTTTCTGTTTGTTCTGAGAGGCACTTTAAAAGAACATTGATTCCCAGGGGTTTATAAGCTCATCATGATTTAAGTTCTTCCACTTCTTTGTTCTGAGTAATAGACTCGTCAAAATGACTCTTCCAACAAGACATTTATGAAATATCTACAGACTTCTAAGTCTGTACCAGTTGAGAGTAAAGAGGTCATTCTTCAGTTCTACTGGGTAGTTCACCATTCTAGATAATAAGTAAAAGGCAAGGATGTATGTACCACTTTGGCCACCTACACCATTATCAACTACTCTATTTTTTCTGAGAAACTATCAAAGAATAAAAGAATTCTCCTAGTCACATCACACCTAAGGCTACCCAGGAAAGTGAGTAAGTTAGTATCTTATAAGTCAGTAATTTAGATCGTTAGTAATAGATTTGAATCATCTCATTTTATATCTGCCAGATTTACTTCAAATAATAGGTAAAATTTGCCTCTGTATTGGCATCTAGGACGAAAAAGGCATAATGCAGTTTTTTTTAAAGCAACTGCTTTTATGAAATCATCAAGGTTTGCTTCTTTGTTGCTCACTTTCTGTCTGCTGGGGATGGCTAGAAAGTAAGCTTTTAACGATCACACCAGATCTCCTCTTCCTGTGCCTGTTGTGATAGACACAATTTAGAGATGGCTCCCAGTATCTTTGCCCGTTGGTGTTACTCTAGTGATTATGTTACATTATACGGCAAAAAGGGGGAGTATCTGCATAGGCCTAATCTAGTCACACCAGCCCTTCAAAAGCAGAGAGTCTTCTCTGGCTAGGGCAGAGAGATTTGAAGCATAAGGATTCAAGATGCTATGCTGGTGCGCTGCACATGTATACATATGTAACTAACCTGCACAATGTGCACATGTACCCTAAAACTTAAAGTATAATTTAAAAAAAATTAAAAAATTTAAAAAAAAAAGGATTCAAGATGCTATTGCTGGTTGGAAGGTAGAGGGGGAGCATGTGAGAAGAAATGCAGGTGCCTTCTCAATGCAGAGTGGTGCCTGGCTGACAGCCAGCCAGGAAATGGGACCTCAGACCTAAAGCCGCATGGAACTAGATTCTGCCAAAAAATTGAATGAGCTTGGAAGTTCATTCTTCCCCAGTGCCTTCAGATAAAAGTTCAGACTAGCTGACAACTTGACTTCCACCTTGAGAAACCCTGAGCAGAGAATTCTTATCTTCTTTTTGTAAATACAGTGAAGCCAATTTTGGTTTGAGTAACTACTACCAAATAATGAAGCTAGTCTTCTCTGCCAAAAGAATATTAAATGCACTGGAATATTTAAAGCCACATAATTTTAAATGCCAGAGCTCCATCCATAACTCTTTGTGACACTTCGAGTAAGTCAATTTTGGATAAGTTAATTGACTTATCCTTATAAAAAGGTATAGAAATGAGGAAAGCTTTAACATTACGTAATATGAGGAGAAATAGGCTGAGTATGGTGGCTTACACCTGTAATCCCAGCACTTTAGGAGGCCGAGGTGGGTGGATCACTTGAGGCCAGGAGTTCGAGACCAGCCTGGCCAACATGGGGAAACACCGTCTCTACTGAAAATACAAAAATTATCGGGGCCTGGTGGTGCATGCCTATAATCCCAGCTTTTTGGGAGGCTGAGGCATGAGAATTGCTTAAACCCGGGAGGCGGAGGTTGCAGTGAGCCAAGATTATGCCACTGAACTCCAGCCTGGGTGACAGAGTGAGTCAGTCTCTCTCTGTGTGTGTGTGTGTGTGTGTATATATATATATATATATATATATATATATATATATATATATATATTAGAAATACAGTGGCATTTGGGAACAATTGACTGCTTTTCTTTCTTCTAGTTGTAGGAAAAGGCCAGTGACATAACCAGATGGGTACAGAAGGAAGAGTGTAAGTCTTTCATTTCTCTTTAGGATATTCTTCTGGGACTTTCATGAAACCATCAGCAATAGCATAGAAAACTATTTCTCCTTGGAAGAGATAATTTGTCATGGCTGTCTGTGCCAACTCTTCCCATTTCCTTAGTTTAGGTGCATATGAACATTTCAGGATGATAGTCTACAGAAGGCTTTTGGGCAATATTCTGCTTGCCTAGTTTGGCAATGTAGCTCATGATTAGAAACTAAACATCTGTTGCTGCTAATGAATTACAATCCCACTCTCTCTTTTTCTTGCTGATGCATGCTGAAAAAGTCCTTCCTGGACTAAAGGGCTTCCCCCTTACCAGCACAGCAAGATGGGGCTGGGGGAGTTGGTGCCTTTTGGTGGAGGCGTAGACAATTTCACACTAAGGATCTGGCACTTTAGATTGGACACACAGCATGGCAGAATGGAATGGAGGAGCAAAGACACTAAACCCAGGAAGAAGGCTTCCCCATCCCTATCCTGGGGAAGAATATTTCCTGGCAGCTAATTTAGATGGGAACAGAGCAGAAAAGCCCATCATACGCATAGTGTCCTGCATCCACCTTCCCCACTTGCATTTTATTTTTTTGTCTCATCCAGGGCTCCCTGCCTGCCCCTTTCCTGCCACATGGCAGCTTAGTGACTCTGCTTCGGCACCCAAGCATCTTGCGACAGGACTAACTGCTTGAACTTTGTTTAGGGCTGAACTCTGGTGCCAATTTACCTTACCATTCCCAAATTTCTCAATCCTCTCTCCGCATTATTTAATCCTGTCCCACAGAGAATCTATTAATTCAAGCAGTAGGATAACATTCTGCTGTTTATATTGGTTATGTAGTTTCTGAAATTATAGTTAAAAACACAACACTTCACAAACAGTAAAATAATAAAAGAATACTTAGTTGGAATTGTAGGCATTCCATGTCTCATAAAATACTATAATAACTAATAAAAATGTAGATTACATCTTTAAATTCACTAAATTGGCCCTCTTACACAAGATGTGTTTACCACTGGGTTATAACTGCTGGAGAAGCTCAGCAAGCTATATGCAAATGTGTGTTTAGCAATGATAGTAAGAATATTATTACTATTATTATACTACTACTAATCAGAATGCTTAACATTATTTATTCAAATAACTCACGAACTGTTCACAGTTATAAGGCATAAAGGGCTGAGTTTAGGAGGTATCTGTAAATAAAGATTGGGTTTTAGATTTTTATCCATCACATTTTTTTCTTATTTTTTTTTTTTCAGTGGAAACATATGATGTAAGGCTGTAGCTATTTCTGCCAATGGGATTACCTGGTGAGGACCTCTACACTGTACAAAAGGGCCTGTAGGGACGTCGCAAGAGCAGCAGTGGCCGCAATCTCCTCTCGGGCAGCAGGTACTGTCTCCACCTGTGATGTCTGCCTCTTTAGCTTTTGTAGGTAACATGGAACTAAGGCTTCTAAGACCATCAGCATCTGAAGACTTTAAGCGACAGAAAGAAAACCGAGTCACCTTTTACATTCTACTTTTGTTGGTTGTGTCACACTTAAGAGCATAGAACAATGAAAAGCATCTAGAGATATATGAATTCTAAGGCCCCTTGCCACTCCTAATCAAAAGCAGTTAAAGCTGCTGGAAATGTTGACCAACAATTATTAATTCACTAACCACCTGCTAAAAGGCGATGAATCTTGCCTTAAGGAAACATGTGATCTAGTCGGGGGAATTAGCCATATATACAAATAAATGGTTGAAAGAATAACAGAATGATAATAGGTGGAGCTATATAGTCCATCTAGAGAAACAGGCTTCAGAACAAAAATTCAATTCAGGAGTTTGCTGAGAGTGATTTTCCAGCTGCAACAATTTTGAGACAACATAAAACCCTTTCATGGGAGGCTGGCTTCCTGAACTTAAAAAAATAAATAGCAACAAATGTTGGAAACAGCCATTATGATGAAGTCTGACAATGCCTGCTTACCAACGTGAGTGAACACCACTCACTGGATAGGGCCCACACTCAATTTAGTATTGGGGTGCCAGAAACACCTTGAAGGGGACATGGAGATTAAGTAGTTATTATGCAAAGTGGGTTTTCCCCTCTAAAGTTGTAAGTGTATAACACCACCAACATAAATCTTTTTTTTTTTTTTTTTTTTTTTTTTGACAGAGTCTTGCTCTGTCAGTCACCCAGGCTGCAGTGCAGTGGCATGATTTCGGCTCACTACAACCTCTGCCTGGGTTCAAGTGATTCTCCTACCTCAGCCTCCCCAGTAGCTGGGATTATAGGCATTCACTACAATGCCCGGATAATTTTTGTATTTTTAGTAGAGACAGGGTTTCACTATGTTGGCCAGGCTGGTCTCAAACTCTTGGCCTCACGCAATCTTCCCGCCTCAGCCTCCCAAAGATCTGGGATTACAGGCATGAACCACCGCACCCTGCCATCTTTTGTTTAGAGATTCCCCAATTGTGTTAAAGTTTAAAGATTGTGGGTTCTAGAAAACAGCAGTGATGAGTTGATATCCCAAAGAATCTGAAATCAAGATTTTCTTTGATCTATTCTTTTTCTTACAGATACCAATGAGTTTTTGCTATGCTCTTTATAATACTGAATACTGGTTTTTGGTAATATAATTTTGCCTATAATATGTGCTCTATAAGCAGGAAATGGCAATTATCAGAATTTCATGGGTACGGAGAAAGAACTATGATACTCTTTTGAGTTCTCCTATTTTTTTGGCAACTTGAAAAAGGAGGCAAGAAGTCGGTTCTGCTTTCTGTAACAATAAAAAGTACCTTGCTGCAGACTAATTGTCTTACTAGAAAGGGTGGACAAAATTTTTAAAACACATCGAAGGTACCAGGTAGAAGCTAAGGCTAGCAGATATCTTTTGGAGGTACCAGACTTCTGGGAGAAAGAAAGCTTCTTCAGTTCATCCAGCCATTGTGCAGCACTCTTTTTTTTCCAGGCATCTGCTCGTTTGTAAATTGCTTAGGGCCAAAAGGCTAAGGAGAAATCCAAGCAGAAATGTCAGCTAAGAGCTATGAAGCTAAGCAGGATTTTCAGTAGCCTCATAATTGCGAGGAAATATATATTGGAGTTCAGGGACTTCCAAAGAGGAGTTAGGCCCATGGAAGGCTGATCCTAGCAGTGTGAAATAAATAGAACAGCCCTTACAAAGACTGAAACCCAACTTTAAATCAAATCAATCACACACTGAATTAAAATGATCTGCCCTACCACAATTGCTAGTCAGAGAGTAAAAATGAATCATTTTTGGAGGAAGATAACATCGGGTAGATCCTCAAAGCATTTCTAATTTTTTTAATGCAATATTCACTAGTCAAAATTACCCAGTCCTGCTAAAACCAAATGATCAAATCCAAGGAAAGGAACAGATGATATAAACAGAGCCACAAGTGATCTACATACTAAAGTTATCAGACACAGACTTTTATGAAACAATGACTAAAATGTTAA
The DNA here is from genome assembly GCF_000001405.40 of Homo sapiens. Taxonomy (NCBI): domain Eukaryota; kingdom Metazoa; phylum Chordata; class Mammalia; order Primates; family Hominidae; genus Homo; species Homo sapiens. The sequence continues at coordinate 209,952,097 of NC_000002.12, read as the reverse complement.
ATAAGAGATAACAAAATGGAGAATTTCATCAAAACTCTGAAATCTATTAAAAAAGTGGAAATTCTAGAACTGAACACTAAAATATTTGAAATTAGAAACCTGAAAGGTAAGTGTTAATAGTAGATTAGACACAGGAAGAGATGAGTGTGAACTGGAATAAAGAACAATGGAAAACATCAAGACAGAACAGAGGGGAGAAATGATAGGAAATGCAGGAAAGAACATAAGAGACATATATAGAGCATGTGGTTAAGGAGGAAAAAATACATATACATAAATGGAGAGGGGAGGGAAAATGGGATAGAGGTAATATGTGAAGAGTTATTAGTCAAATTTTCTAAAATTATTGAAAGCTATCAAGCTTTATATTCAGGAAACACTATGAATCCCAAGAAGTATAAACACAAAGAAAAATCACAACTAGGCACACCACAGTCAAACTGCTTAAAACCCAAAGCAAAGAGAAAATCTTAAAAGTAGCCAGAGAAAAAGACACATTAGGGCAGGGCACGGCGGCTCACACCTGTAATCCCAGCACTTTGGGAGGCTGAGGCGGGCAGATCACGAGGTCAGGAGTTTGAGACCAGCCTGGCCAATACGGTGAAATCTCATCTCTACTAAAAATATAAAAAATTAGCTGGGTGTGGTGGTGCATGCCTGTAGTCCCAGCTATTTGGGAGGCTGAGGGAGGAGAACTGCTTGAACCCGGGAGGCGGAGGTTGCAGTGAGCTGAGATGGTGCCACTGCACTCCAGCCTGGGCGACAGAGTGAGATTCCATCTCAAAAGAGAGAGAGAGAGAAAAAAAAAGGACACGTTAAATTCAAATGTGCAATAAGATCTAATGCTGATTTTTCAACAGATATGATAAGTCAGTAGAAAATGGAATATTTTCTTTTTTATTTTATTTTATTAGTTAATTAATTTATTTGAGACAGGTCTTGCTCTGTTGACCAGGTTGGAGTGTGGTGGTGCAATCTCAGCTCACTGCAGCCTCAACTTGGGCTCAAGCAATCCTCCCACCTTAGCCTCTTGAGTAGCTGGGATCACAGGCATGCACCACCATGCCCCGCTAATTTTTGTATTTTTTGTAGGGACGGGGTTTTGCCATGTTGCCCAGGTTGGTCTCAAACTCCTGAAATCATGCAATCCACATGCTTTGGCCTCCCAAAGTGCTGGGATTCCAGGCGTGAGCCACTGCACCTGGCCTGAATATTTTCTTTAAATTAAAAAAAAAAATCCAGCTGGGTGCGGTGGCTCATGCTTATAATCCCAGCACTTTGGGAGGCTGAGACGGGTGGATCACCTGAGGTCAGGAGTTCAAGACCAACCTGACCAACATGGAGAAACTCTGTCTCTACTAAAAGTACAAAATTAGCCAGGTGTGGTGGCACATGCCTGTAATCCCAGCTACTCGGGAGGCTGAGGCAGGAGAATCGCTTGAATCCGGGAGGTGGAGGTCGCTGTGAGCCGAGATTGTGCCATTGCACTCCAGCCTGGGCAACAAGAACGAAAACTCCGTTAAAAAAAAAAAAAAAGCCAAAGGTAGAAAATAATAAAGATAAAAAAGGAAAGAAAAGGCAGACAATAAAACTACAATAGCAAAAATCAACAAAGCCCCAAATACTGGTTATTCGTAAAGGGAAAACTATTGATAAACTCCTGAAAAGAATAATAAAAAAAGGGAGGGAGCAAAAATTCCCAGTATTAGAAATAAAAAAGTGAACTCAATAAAAACCTCATAGTCATTAAAATTTTTTTTTTAAAAAAAGCATATCAGGAACAAATTTCTGTCAATAAATTTAGGTACTTAAATTAAATAGAAAAATTCCTAGAAAAATGTGACTTACCAAAGCCACCACCAGGATAAAGAATCTTAATTTTAAAATGTTCCCACAAGAAACCACATTACTTACAGTTTTGTGTATAAATTCTACTCAATATTTTGGGAAGACAAAATGCTCATCTGAGGCAGGCACAGTTCCTCTGCCTGTAATCCCAGCACTTTGGGAGGCTGAGGTGGGAGGAACACTTGAGCTCAGGAGTTTGAGACCAGCCTGGGCAACACAGTGAGACTTTCTTTATCTCTCAAAAAATCAAAAAACTTAGCAGGGTGTGAAGGCACCCGCCTGTAGTGCCGGCTACTTGGAAGGCTGAGGTGGGAGGATTGCTCGAGTCTGGGAGATCAAGGCTGCAGTGGGCCATGATTGTGACACTGCACTCCAACCTTGGCAACAGAACAAGACCCTGTTTCAAAAATAAAAAAAAGCTAATCCATACCAAATTTCTACAGAGAATAGGAGTTTTTAAAAAGGGGTGGGGGGCTGGGCGCAGTGGCTCATGCCTGTAATCCCAGCACTTTGGAAGGCCAAGGCGGGTGGATCGCCTGAGGTCAGGAGTTTAAGACCAGCCTGGTCAACATGGTGAAACCCCATGTCTACTAAAAATACAAAAATTAGCTGGGTGTGGTGGCGGGTGCCTGTAATCCCAGCTACTCGGGAGGCAGAGGCAGGAGAATTGCTTGAACCCAGGAGGCAGAGGTTGCAGTGAGCCAAGATTATGCCATTGCACTCCAGCCTGGGCAACAAGAGCAAGACTCTGTCTCAAAAATAAAAGAAAATTAAAAAGCGGGGGGTGGGTAGGAGAGACACTTTCCATTTCATCTTATGAGTCCAGCTTAATCTTCATATCCTTGATACTATAGCCTGACAAGGACTTTATAATAATGGAGGGTTACAAATACACCTGCTAAAACGTTTACCAGTGGGTAGTTAATAAAGTAGTAGCTAAGCAAGACATCCTTTTTGTTTAAGCACTTGTAACTTTTTTAAGTATCCAGAATTGGTTTATCTTGAATGACATAGAGCTACCTAGAATATCTCTTCTACTCCTAACTTCCCTGTGATCCTAGCAATAAAATTCATTAGATAAGACCTTTTTAAAGAATAAAAATTACAGACATAGCTCTCATTAACATAGTTGTAAAAATGCTAAAATAATTGCAAACCAAATCTAGCAATACTGAAAAATGATAATTATACAACCCAGTTACAGTTTATTTTTAAGGAGACAGGAAAGTTTTAATTTTGAAAATAAATCAGTGTAACCTATCACACTTAGAAAATAAAGAATAAAAATCATATAATCATCTCTATAAATAGAGAGGAACATTTGGTAATATTCATTATCCATCAATAAGAAAACTCAAACTAAACTAAGAATAGAAGGCAGACTCCTTAATAATTAATTTCTTAATGAGTAATAAAATTACTTCCTTAATCTTTACAGGTATATTACAACAAAATCCTTTAGCAAATACTATTCTTAGTGATGAAATATTGGAAATCCCCTCCATACCCCGGGATCAGAAATGAAACAAAGATCCCACCATCATCACCATCATCACTTCTATTCCATTTTGTATTAAGGTTCTAGCCAGTGCATTAAGGACAGAGAAAGGAATAATGTGTACAAGAATTTGAAAGGATAAAATACAACTCTCATGATTTGCAGATGACATAATTAATTAAATAGAAAACACTAAGAAATCACACATATAAAATAAAAAATACTGATAACTTCATTTAAAAATGGGCAGAAGACTTCAGTAGGCACTTTGCAAAAGGAGATGTCCAAATTTTGATAAACATTTATCTGAAAAGCTTCCAAACCTTTTAATTTGAAAGAGGAAAATGGAAATTAAAATGATAATGGATGTCACTACAACCCAACAAAATAGCTAAAATAAAAAGACCGAAGATAACAAGTGTTGATGAGGCCATAGGGTACTAGAACATTTACATACTGTTGGTGGGAATGAAAATTGAAACCACCTTGGAAAACTTTTTGGTAGTATCTACTAAAGCAAGAAATACTCATAGTCCATGACTTAGCCCAGCAGTTCCATCCATAGAAATGCATAAATATTTGTGTACAAAGACATATACAAAAACATTCATTGCAGCTTTATTTATAATACCTTCAAACTAGATACAACACAAATGCCTGATAACAAGAGAAGAAATAAATAAATTGTAACATAGTCATACAATTATTATGACTATTATAAGTGAATGAAAAAGAATCAACTACTGTTACACACATTTATATGAATGAATCTCATGAAATAATACTGAATGACAGAAGTCAGACATTAAAAAGTAGCTACTATACTATTTCAGTTAAACAGATTTCAGAAATAGGCAAAACTGATTTATCATATTAGAAATCAGGATAGTAGTGCCTCTATCTGATTTTTCAATCTGAGTGGTAGTTATGTAGATGTGATAACATTATGAACATTCATGGAACTGTAAAATTATGATTTTTTTAGTGTTTTATGTGAATGTTACACTTAAATAAAATACTTTTAAAAAAAATTAAGTACAACAGAGACTTGCTGTTACAAATGTTGAAGTCCTATAGGTATGTTACTTATTCCCATGAGAGATATCCCAGGGAACCACTACTTAAGAAACCCTGACCTTACTGAGACATCAAGATGTCATCTGGTTTAAACTGACAGAATGGAAAATTAGGAGGATTAAAAAAAATTCTAATTTAACTTAACAATATTAGACTTTGGCTTTTAACTCACAATGACAAGGGAATTTGATTGTGAACTCTAACACCTTTTGATTTCAATGTGTTTGAATTTTGACTTGAAAGAGAATTTTATGACTCAATGGAAATTTGGTAAAATTTGAAATGGGAGAACTTTTTAGTCAAACTTAGGTGTTCTCTATGTTGCAGGAATATTGGAGAATCTGTATGCATTTTATTATTGCAGTGTCTCAATTGCAGAATATCTGACATATCTGGTTAACAACGTAGCTGAACACACTTGGAATGGCAAATAGAGTAGAGAGAAGATGTTTACAATCACGTATAGAATGGATTTGGAGTTAACTTAATGCAGGATTTGATCCATTCTGGAACTTTTTGTAGATCAGTGGTATTATAGGAACAGCAAGAAAATGGGAGTAGGAAATCCCCTCCATACCCTGAGATCAGAAATGAGACCATCCTGCAGCTTTGTTCTCCTGAAGGCCACAGCCACATCCGTGCCTGACCACAGGCATACTGTTTTTCTCCCCATTGCTCCAGAAGACAAAAATTCGAGAATATTGGGGAAAACACTTCTTACTCATTCCTCATGTGTCCCTCCAGTAAAAAGAGTTCAATTAATATAAATCCCGCTCCTCCTGGCCCTTATTCATTCTCTTATGGGAGAGAGAAACAGGCTTAAGGTGCAGGGCAAATATATAAAGATATATTGGGCATAATCAGCTTGGCTCCTTCCTTCTTCCTGGAAGAGCTTGTCAACAGAGTACAACTTTTAATAGATCAGATTTAAATCTCAGACCAGAGCCAACATCTTTGAATTGGGATGACTCATTCTTCATGTGAGTCTTTGAATTCTCTGTACTTGGCAAAATGAAGGCAAGATTGATATTCTTGCCCTTTGTGTTACAGAAATTCTTATTGCCCCTTGAAAGGAGTTTTCTTAAATAAATATCTGTTATGAAATTTTGTTTGCTACTAATTCACATTACTTGTGAGGAAAAATATTTTCTAACAAGACTAAATACCTTAGCATCTGCACAAAATTCAAATTAAGGGATTTCAAATGAATGAAGATTTACTATTGTTTTCCAGAACCTATGCTATGTTTCCTAAACTTTGTTTCTTCTTTCCTTTTCTTTTTTCTTTCTTTCTTTTTTTTTTTTTCTGACAAAGTCTTACTCTGTTGCCTAGGCCAGAGTGCAATGGGACAATCACAGCTCACTGCAGCCTTGACCGCCTGGGATTAAGCAATCCTCCTGCCTCAAGCCTCCCAAAAAGTTGGGACTACAGGTGTGCAACACCACACCTGGCTAATTTTTAATTTTTTAAAATTTTTGTAGAGACAGGGTCTCACTATGTTGCCCAGGTTGGTCTCAAACTCCTGGGCTAAAGGAATCCTCTTGCCTCAGCCTTCCAAAGTGCTGGGATTATAGGTGTGAGCCACCACACCTGGCCTAAATTTAGTTTCTAAAAGCTTACTTGTCAGAATGTTAGTCTGATATTAATCAGCATAACCTTTGTATTCATTCAATTTTATTTTCTCTGCCATATTTACTTATCACAAGGCACAGAATAAAGGGCTGCAGATACCTTCTGAATGATTCGGGAGCATACGCCACCACAGTGACACAGAGCTTAATGGCTTCACTGATAGAAAATGTCAGATCTTCGTTTCCATAGCAGAAATCTGAAGGAACAAAAAGTAAAGGCAAACTATCAGAGTGGATTTTGCAGGAGATAAAGAAGCACCTATTACTCCTAATGTTATCATTCCAGTATATACTGTAGCCTTTTCTTGTTAAATTTTATTCCTACGCTGTGAAAACTATTAATTTCTTCATCTCAAGGGAACGAAATTCTGTTTTCTAGTTTTGAACAATCAGATGTAAAATAAAAATACTTTTCTGGAGTGTTTAAAAAAATCTCAGATAATAGAAGACACTGAAGGGCATTTAAATTGCCTAAGGTTGAGGCTTTACCCTGGAGTTATCTCTAGTTCTACACATTCCATGATAATAAAAGACCATTTTGGAGAGTTATTCACTTAGAATTACCCAAGATAACCCAACTTTCTGAAAACTGCAGTGCTACAGCAGTGGTCTACTGAGCATCATTTTAATATAGTTTTCATGGCAGAGAATTCCTTACTCTTTAGGATTCATAAGAAATTTAAGAAAAAAAATGTACTCATTCAATTTCTACTACTGTTCCATTTATTTTTGCTACTTTGATTTAGTTATATATACACACACATATAAATATACGTGTATGTGTGTATAATACATATATTTATATTTAACAACTGCAGTGAGAAAAAGAATGTCAAAGCAAGTTTTGCTTTTACCTAATGACTTGAGAGGCTTCTCAGCTTTGACCAGCTCTAAGATGTCTAATATGTCGGTGGTCTCTCCCTCTAGGGACTGCAGCAAGTCAAACAGGCACTGAGCTGACACACCTTTGCTGGGCCCATTATTGGCAGCATCCTGATAAAGAAAAACAATTTTTGTTTATTGACTCCCACCACAGTAAAACTATAACTTGACAGGAATTCAAATTTTATAAATGCTATTACCAGTAACAAGTACAACATCTACCTGGAATTCAGCTTACATAATTCTGGATCCCGCAATGCTGTGGTATGATTTTGGAGTGGTACACCTGACTTTTAAGGGATCTATTAAATTCTAATATAGAACAAAAGAGATATTTGTAAAAGCTCACAAAAATACAGCGATATATGAACTTCCAAAAAGTTCATATCAATGGTTCCTTTAATTGAAGATGGCAGAACTAAGAAAATTTCTATAATTGATTGGTTGAATACTACAAATATGTTTGCGGAATGTATGCTTATTTTAACTAACAACGCTGGGAATTTCACAGGTCTTCTTTGATAATGTATCTCCACATGGAGATACTTACAATTTTAAATCTATTTAAAATGGCTTTAAATAATTCACTGAAACAACAAATCCTTATGATGTTCTTCTGTGCCAAGCACCAGGCTACACACTGAGGTTATAGAAAACCAAAAACAAAATGCAAATAAAACAACGATACAACAATAACTAAAACCAAACAAACAAGCAAAGACAAAAGCATACAAAGGTCTTGCTTTCATGAAGATTAAATTCTGCTGGTTGAGTGTCGTAGAAATTCATGTTAATGAAACAAATAGATATAACATGTGATATGGTGGTAAAATCTCTGAAGAAAAAGAAAAACAAAGCAGGGTAGGTGGTAGAGAGTGACAAAAAGGAATGAAAATTGGGAAACCTTCCTTTTACCGTTTTCTACTTTCCATCTCTTTTATGAATTGAATATTTAAAAAACTGTAGAGTTGGTCTATTTATGTGTTAGGAGCTGAGATGAAAGCTGAAGAGGAATGTTGAAGAGAAATGATATGCTTGTTGAAAGAAATATTATTTATGGTATGCATGTCTCATTGGTTAAAGAAAGAGAGCTCAGAGACTGAATATACAAACTGTCAATGACTAAATCATATATAAAGATAGAACTTTGACCCACAACCTGCAACAACCTGCTCAGGAAACCAACCCATTGTCTACAATAACCAGCTCAGGAAGCCAGCCTAAGTCAGGCTTGTAGGAAGTCAGGCCACTACCTCCAGTGGTAACCAAACAATAACCTCTGTAACAACTGGCCCAAAGTAACCAGGACTGGCATAATAACTGAGAGCTTTCCTAATTTTTGTCCCTGCTTCCAACTTAGGACCAACCAGAGAAAGCCCAATATACACCCCTAACCCATCATATAAGATGCCCAACTACTAGTTAGTTCACCTGCAGCTTCCCCAGGCCAATAGCTCCAATCAGGACATACCTGAAGCTTCTCCTTTTTTCACTATACAGTTTTTCGACTCCTCTGCCTGCCTTTGCATCTCTGCCAAAACACAAGTGATGGTAGCCAACTCCCTTGCCATAGTAAGCTCTAATAAATAACCTTTGCTTTTCTCATTTTGTTGGTCTTCATTTTTTTTTCCCACAGAGCTTACTTACAGGAAATTCCAGGAGAGGGGCCACACTAGCAAACAGCTGGAGCACAAAGGGCTTCCGGTGTAGAATATAGAACTGGTGACAGGCAAATTCGATGGCTTGACGCAGCTGGGGATTGCTTTCATAGTCGGAGTACACCTATGGAAAAATGCCAGATATTCAAAAAATGCCTTAATGAAGTATCAAAGTTGTACTCGCTTTTAAAACTCATGGTCATGGGAAGCTTGGAGGGAAATGGCTAACTTTGTAAACTGGTAGAGAGGAATGTAAAATGGCATAAACTTTCTCTAGATAAATTTAGTAACACACCTCAAAATGCTGAAAATCTAAACATACTTTCTTTCCAGGAAGTTTGTGACTAGGAATTTATCTCAAGGAAAGGACTAGACACATGTATAAACATGCATACATAAGAAGGCCTGCTGCAAGACTGGCTATAACAGTGGAAAATATGAGACAAATTATTCATAAATATATCTTGGTTAAGTGAATTATGGTATATACAAATCATAGAATGCTGTGCAGTAATTTTAAAAATGCTGTAAGGCTAAATATAGCTATATAAAATGCCTATGATATTCTTAGTGTTATATGAAAAAACTAGGTTACAAACTTGAAAATATATAATTCTGGAGTGTGTGTGTGTGTGTGTGTGTGTGTGTAGGAAAGAGTGCCAGGATTTGTAAGTATAAACAATGATTACCTGGGAGAAAGGATTTTAAGTGAGCCTTATCTTTTCTTTAAACTTTCTCCATCTTTTGAATTTTGTAATGAACATAATCGCTTTTGGTAATCAGTAAAAAAAAAATACTTACTAAAAAAATAGAGAAAATTGCAACTATCTAAAAATGAGGAAGAGAGTCCTGTGATAGTAACTTTCTTGCCCCCATAGGTTGAGCAAACTTAACTTTGTATGTGTTGTGATCATAATTTTTATCAAAACTTCCTCAAAAATAGAGAACTAGGATGAGCCCCTGGGCCCTGCCTGATTTTATTTAGTACTCCTAAATGTAGCCAGCTATACATTAGACACGAGTAAATAAAAATTGTTCCTGCTAAATTACCTTCTCCAATCCCAACACACCACATTTACTGGGAATGAAAATCTCTATTCAGTTAGAGGTCAGGGAATCTCTCGGGAGAAACATCAGCTAAACACTTGCCATACATGTGACTCAAGAACAGAAGTTCTCAAACTTTCTAGGGCAGTGGTCCCCAACCTTTTTGGCATCAGGGACTGGTTTCATGGAAGACAATTTTTTCATGGACCAGGGTGAGTGCGGGGGATGGTTTCGGAATGAAACTGTTCCACCTCAGATCATCAGGCATTAGATTCAGGAGCATGGAACCTAGATCCCTTGCATGCACAGTTCACAATAGGGTTCCAGCTCCTATGAAAATCTAGGGGTGGGGGTTCCTTACAGGCCACAGACCAGTACTGGTCCCTGGCCCGGAGGTAGAGGATTCCTGTTCTAGGGCATCAAAACCATTTGAAGGTCTTGTTAAAAACACAAACTACTGGGCCCTGATCCCTGAGTTTCTGATTCAGTAGACCTGGATGGGCTCCAAGAATGTGCATTTCTCTTTCTTTAAAACTTTTTTTTGTTTTAGAGATGTGGTCTTGCTGTGTTCCCCAAGCTAGTCTTAAGCTCCTCACTTCAAGAGATTCTCCCACCTTGGCCTCCCAAAGTGCTGGCATTACAGGCGTGAGCCACCACACCTGACCAGAATGTACATTTCCAACAAGTTTCCAGTTGATGCTGATGCTGCTGGCCCAGGGACTACAACTTAAGAACCACTGTCCTAGACGAAATGGGAAAGCATATCCCAAGTCTGGGGCTCTCAGAGTAGAAAGGAACATTGTGAACTCTTGCAAATTTATGGGGGGATTTCATTTGTTGCCTTCTGTTGTCACAAAAGAAGATGATAACACCATCATTAAAAAGTTTCAGTATAGATCTAGTTGAACGGCTAGATATGAGCAGTACTCATGTTAATTTTCTGGTTGGGAGAGGAGGTTCTGGGCACCTGCAGCATGGTGGGGAGAATCCACTGGTAGCCGCTGAGAGAGAAGAGGTGGTTGAAGTGCACCGCGGTGTTGATGACGGTGGCAGCATACTGCCTGAGCAGGGCACTGTCTTCCGGGTGGAGGATCAGAGCCCCGTTAAAAACGTTGAGGAAAAGCATGATTTCGTCTCCCCATGGAAACTCGCTCGGCATGCCCAGGAACATTTCCTCCAGCAGCTGGATCCACAAGCTTTTCTGAAGAGTGTCGAGGCCAAACAGTTCCTTTCCAGCTGTGAGAACATGAAACAGCAGAGACAGAATTAGCCCCACACCAATCCTGTCAGCATGAGAGGTGATCAAACCCAAGGCGCTGCTGTTCTCCGTTTGTTCCAGCTCCAGGATGTGAAGATCTACTGCTGAAATGTTTTCCAGCACAATATTACTGGCCTTGATACAGCACTTCCTTTTCTCCATGAACTTTCATCATCACCTCTTTAACTAACTGTGGGTAAGGCAGAGCAGGCATTGGCAGTGTTTTACTGCTAAATAAACATCTGTTGGAGAAAAATAAATTATTTCAGCTAGAAAATAGCAGGGATGGGACTACTGCTTGGTCTTTTAATTAATGGTCAGAGGCTAGAGCTCTATCTACTGCTGAAGCTGAAGCGTTTTGTTTTTTGTTTTTTGTTTTTTTGAGATGGAGTCTCGCTCTGTCGTTCTGTCTGGAGTGCAATGGCGCAATCTCGGCTCACTGCAACCTCCATCTCCTGGGTTCATGTGATTCTCATGCTTCAGACCCCTGAGTAGCTGGGATTACAGGCACCCGCCACCATGCCCAGCTAATTTTTTTTGTATTTTTAGTAGAGACAGGGTTTCGCCATGTTGGCCAGGGTAGTCTCAAACTCCTGACCTCAAGTGATCTGCCTCCCTGGGCCTCCCAAAGGCCTGGGATTACAGGCATGAGTCACCTTGCCCAGCCTGTCTGAAGCTTCTGGATGAGGGCGATAAAACATAGAGATGCTAATTTAAGTAAATTGTCTCAAATTAATAACTGAGTAACAGAGCGAGGCTCCAAAGTGGGTCTCCTTCTGTGTCTCTCTTTCTCTCAATTGAGGTATTATTTAGAGTAAAATGCACAGATCTTTAGAGTTCATTGAATTTTGACAAAAATATGCACTATGCACTCATGTAGACAACATTCCATCAATATACAGACCATTTTCATCACCCTTCTGCCCCTTTCCAGGAAATTCATTCCCTCCAAATCCAGAGGCAACCACCATTCTGATTTCTGTCATTCTAGATGAATTTTGCCTCTTTTTGAACTTCACACAAATACCCGGTCTTTGTTTAGTCAAGTATTCTCATACCCTAACAACACCATCCTACCCACGCTTCAACTGCTGATGACTAGCTTAGAGCAGTGGTTCTCAAAATGTGGTGCTTGGGATAGCAGCATCAGCATCACCTGAGAACTTAATAGAAATGCAAACTCTTGAGCCCCATCCTGAAACCCGGAGGTGGAGCGTGGGGCCCCGCAATCTGTGTTTCAACAAGTCCTTCAGGGGTCTCTTGTGCACACTCAGGTCTGAGAAGCACTGGTTTTACAGCACTGTCTGCTGATTCAGATGCTCTCCATTTGAGAACAAAACAAGTGCGTTTAGGAGATATACCTAATGCTAAATGACGAGTTAATGGGTGCAGCACACCAACATGGCACATGTATACATATGTAACAAACCTGCACGTTGAGCACATGTACCCTAAAACTTAAAGTATAATAATAATAAAATTTTAAAAAAAAACAACAAGTGTGTTAGAAAAAGCCCCAGAGAGGCAATGTTTCTTTGTTTGATACCTTGAGGATCACTGAAGAGTGAAAACTCAGCATCAATAGCACTACGAGGGAATGAGGGCAGGCGGAGGAGGTCTTCCTGAAGCATGGAGACGTGGGACTGTTTGTGGGCTGTGGGGATCTTCTGGGTTAGGGAGATGAGAAACAACACCCGCCCTACTTCTTCCAGCTTTCGGGTGAACACCTGGAGAAAACAAAAGCAGGAGCAGACAAAAAGGAGTATTAGAAACTCCAGATTTATAGACTGAAAAAACTAAAGGAAAACCTTTAATGGCAAACTGGGTTGATAAAGTCGGAAAAGGGGAAAAAGTGAAATGAGGGAGACATGTGTTTTTATCCTTTACCACAAGCAAGAGCAAACAATTCTCAATTGCCTCTTACTTCCTTCTGCCTGCTTTACAGAAGGAAATGTTCCTTATGGAGTTTTAGGCTGGAGAGGAGCATAAGGCAAGCATTGTCAAGATTAGTTCAATATTAAATAGAGCCCATTTGTTTGGATGCTATAATATGGAAGACCTTCACTAACAGGGTCAGTGAGTCAGTCAGTTCCATTGCCACCAATGCCTGAAGCTGTTTCCTGGGAGTTCCGGGTTTGTCTTTAAAAAAACAAAGACTGATGTGAGATCCAGGAAAACCCTATCTTGGGACAGAAGCTCATAGGTCCTTGATTGGTGCTCTGAGTTTAGAGGGCATACACATGGGGCTCTTGGTTCTTAGGTCCTTTTCTCTTGATGATTAGGAAGTTTATATGCAGTGAGTAGCTACTGAGGAAACTTCTGAGCCAGACTCATAGGCCTCCATGTTATAATCTCCCTGAGGAACTTAGAAGTCTTAAGGCTCTAACTTGAAGTGTACATCAGAGCAAGAACTCCATTTGATGGCATTCTTTGAAAACTTGTTCTTAAACATGATGAATAGACACACACACACACACACACACACACAGAGAGAGAGAGAGAGAGAGAGAGAGAGAGAGAGACAGAGACTAGGCAAGCACCATTATTGATTAGGGTTTCAATTATCTTACCCCAAAATCATGGGCTGGGGTAATTTGAGGAGAATTGTTTTAGGAATTGTTTATATTTAAGATCTAATAGTTTTGCCCAACATCTCACACCTTGCAACACATTTAGTATTTTCTTTCTTTTAAATAGAATGTCGGTAGTTAATTGTAGCTATATTTTTAATTACTTAAGTGGTCTAATTCTATGCGATGCTCACCCATTTCATGAAGATATTTTTGGATATTTTGAAGGCAAATTATTATCCTTGATATGTACAGAAAATTGAAATGATCAAGTATCCTGAAATTCTTTAAAGATTTTATTTAAAAATGAATGTAATAAATATGCAATATTAAAATTGTATCATTTTTAGAATTGTGTACTAAAGCTATATTTTGCATGCAGAATAGTGACTTTCCTTAAGCTCAAAGTTTGATTTGAGATTAAATGTGAATATTATTCTGTTCTTCAACCTTAAACCTAAGTACAGCTGCTAGACTATATCTCTTCCTGTTTCAAGAGAAATTAATAACATGCCCAAGGTCAGATCCCTGGTCAGAGGCAGAACTGGGATGAAGTCCAAATCTTTGAACTTTAGTTTAATGCTTTTTTTTTCAAGCATACTAGAGTGACCCCTTTTACTGTGTAGCCAGCTAGTGTAAACCACTGGGATAATTTACATAGCTACATTATGTGTATTTCCAATCCAATTTTACAGAAATGTGAAATGAAAATCTACATATAGAAAATAATAGGTAAATAATTAGGAGATTTCTATTATTTATACTCAATAATTCATCATTACACTACTCCAAGTGAGTGTTTCTTACTACCTTTAAGCAATGATCCAATTTGTAAATCTTACACTATTTAGGGGAATAATTTGTTGAGTGAGGGCCAACTACTGTCTCCAGAGAGGGTCAAAATGGAATCATAAAATCTCAAAGTTGGCAAAGTATGAACAGATATCTACTCCAACAACATGACAAAACCATGGAATAAAACTGACGTGGTCTGTCACCTGTTTCTGAATGAGCTCCTGTCCCTTCTCTGGATGCATATGTACAAGATTCAGCTGGGGAGATACTGACCTCCGGAAAGGATAAATATCTCGAACATAGGTCTGTGTGGATTACATAAAGAGACAAAAAAAAGAGTTCAAAAGATTAAACATCTTTTCTCATTTCTTCTTTACCCAAAGATCTAAGCACTAGGATGCTATGCCAGGAGAAAAGCAGCTAAAGGCAATGTACTAAACAACACTCTGGAAGATCACTGTAAAGTGATGTCAGCGAGCATCCTGAGGCCCTTCTGCTCATTAGATCAGATCAGCATGGTCTTGTTTAACATGGTAGAAAAGAGATGCAAAACAGCATTCAAATTCCAAATAGACACACACAGGTATTATACGGGCAACGTAATTTTTCATGTAATAATGATCAATACCTAAGTGTCTTATCTAGCTTATCTCATTTAACTATTACAACTGCTCTAGCATGGATACCATTATCATTACCTTCATTTTACACACAAGAAAACCAAAGGGTAGAAAGGTGAAGTCGCCAGTCAAAAGCCCCATTGATAGTAAGATGGTGTGACCCAGGTGGCCATACTATTACCTTCTAAACAGCGATGCCTCCCTGACTGTGAGCCACCCTCAGGTAGGCATGATAAGCCTTTGGCACAACTCAACGGGGATGTCACTACTGGTGTCTCACCTTATTGTAGTGGATAAGGTTCCATCGTTTATCCATAAGAAAATAATGTGTTGACTGGGATTCTGGGATATTAAAAAACTCCAGACACTCCTAGAACAATAGCAACAAATTTTAATAAATGTTTATCAGGAAGATATTATGTGCTAGGTAGTAAGGTGACAGATACAAATTTTGAAAAAACAAGGTAACCTCTTACGAGAATTATCTGTATATATTGATGTCTTATGTAAACTGTATACGTTAGATATGTGTGTGTGTATATGTGTATACACATACACACACACATATATATATACACATATATATACACACATACCATGGCTGCATATATACCCACACAGAGCTATCCAAAGAATGGTACGATAAAGACTGATAATGTGATATGGACCATCTGATCTCATAGTGCCCAAAGATGTACAATTATAATTCAGACTGAGTGATGGACTGTGGAGGAACAGTGGCACCTACTGGTCTCAGCATCAGGAAGAAAGCATGTTTGAGAAACACTTAAGAATAATATAAACTATCATGCACTGTGCACATTATATACTATATACTAGGCATAGATAACTTGTATAACCTGAACTAGTATCTCAGTACTGTTGAAAATGAAACTGAGACTAGAGAAGTCTTATCACTTGATTTAGGTCACACTGGTTGTGGTGAAGGCAGCGTTTGAATATACTCTGTTTGCCTTCCTGCTATCCTACCATTCATCGTGAGTATAAAAATGGAGTATTTGTTGAAGTTGGGCCTTAGAAATTCTCTGGAGATGTCTGAATGAGGACAAAAGGAGTAGTAATGTCCCTTTCTACTGAAATAAGATGCACGAGTTTGGAAAAGTTGATTTTTTTTCCAAAGGTCTCTTCTACTTACATCTGGGCCCAGAACTATGTTCCTGAAAATCAGATTACTAAAAGTTTACTGACTAAAGTCAGTAGAAGTGGGGAAAATTATGGAAGGAAATAGCATAAGGAAATAATAGTGGGGCAGATTTTAGAAGAGTAAAGAAATGCATACATCCATTTAAAGACAGAAAAATGCCATTTTATTCTAAAATGGATCTTCAGTGAGGTGGCCATAGCATTGTCCTTAAAAATTGTTTCTGTTAAAAGTCATTCCTACCTTCAACAGGGCTTCAAATTGAGTGTCTTCATGGACTGGTAACTGGGTTGGGATATCGCACTCATTCTGTCCATGAACTACCAAGGTTTTAGTACCTACAGATGATAAAAATAATAACAAACTGACTTTTACTATAGAAAATTTGTATTTTAAAGCATAAAATATTAAAATATTATCAATAAGCTGATGTTTTTACTGTTAATTACAATTCTTAATTCATAGTTACATATATATTTTATTTATTTTTAACCTGGAAATTTAAGATTAATATACATATATTTTAAATATATTCACTTATTAAAAGTGATAGGTATGGAGTTCCCAATACTTTTAAAAAATTTTTATTTTTAGTAGAGACGAGGTTTCGCCATGTTGTCCAAGCTGGTCTCAAACTCCTGACCTCAAGCAATCCACCTGCCTCGGCCTCCCAAAGTGCGGAGATTACAGGAGTGAGCCACCGCGCTAGGCCAAGTTCTCAATACTTCTACCTGTCTTTTACATGCATAATTGTATTTAAATCTCATAGCCACCCCATGATGTGGGTGTTATGATTTTTTATCTTACAAATGAGGAAAAAGAGAAATGGAATAACTTAAGAGACATATTTATTTAGTGGAAGAGTTAGAATTCAAACCTCAAGCATTTCAACAAGTAGTACATCCCTGTTTTCTAGATGAGGTGACCAGGCAATAAAAGTTAAGAAAATATAAACAGGGATATTAGCAAAACCAAAACATGTACTTGAAATGTAGCTGAAAGCTACATTTTCTGTATTCTTCTTGGCTGATGGAGACAATATTTATTCTACTTCATTCATTAATTACAAATCTTTGTGAACATTATGATATACCTCAATTTTTAGTGAGTTGTTTTTAAGTATGTTAAAAATAGGAGTTTCTTTGCTGTAATAAAAACTGATCACTTTTTTTGGATAATCTACAGAACCTATACATACACAATTCCCATTCATCGAATGCTTATCATGAGCCAGGTATGGCAGCAAGTATTTCACATATCTCAACTCATTTATTCCTCACAATTGTGAAGTATGAATTATATCCCTATTTTATACACAAAGAAAGAAAGCTTTGAGAAATAATGTACTTCTTCACAGTTAATACTAGTTATGTGACTAATAAATGACAGTGCTATGATTTAAACACAGGCTTTTTTGCTGCGAGAACCTGTGTTCTCATCTCTACATAATTCTGTCTTTCACTTCTATTTCAATACATGTATCATCTCAAATTTTCTTAGTCACTGCACAAGGATAAAGAATTGTCCAAATCTTTGTCTTAAGGCAAAACAAGCTATCCGAAGTGAAAAGGAACCGTATCTTGAGTTTACATCACGCTTCATGTTCTTTTGTAATGCTCCTTCTTCCTGCTTTCCCCTTTTCCAATTTTTCATAAAGCCCTCACTCATGGAGTTTACAAAAGACTGGAGTCCATGCCATACAAACAATATTATTCTTGCACTGCCAAAAATTCACTCAAACAAGCTTTCAGTTCAGCTGGCTCTCTGCAATAGACTTAAATAAATCTTCAACCTTGGCAGCCCTTCAAGGACTGATTCATGCGGATCTCAGTTCTGAGTCTCCCTTTTCAGCTGGCAACCGCTGACTTTTTAAAGGGTCTATTGTATTTCCTCTGATTATATTAAACAAAAATTCTTTGAAGCACTCAATACTGGGGGTTAGAACTCTGAAAATTTTCTCATGAATGAAAGAGACTCTTAGTCTTTCAAAGGGCTATTTATAATTTTTTTTTAAAGTTATGTTACTAAAAAGTAGTAGTGGCTTACCTGGCATTGAAGCGGTCACCAGGAGCTTCACCTCACACTGCTCCTTCTTCATCGTCTGCTTGAGATCCTTGAAGAAGAGGCCCTCCACGTAACCCACCACCTCCCACAGGAATGTCAGGGTGGCTGAAATGGCATCCATCCCCCACTCGCAGGGGGTCCGCACAAAGTACATGATTAATCCTACCTAGAAGTCAGTATAAGAAGAGTTCACAAAGCTACAATAATCCCGAGCTCACATTCTCATTTCCTTAGCTTTTCTTGTTTTAAACTCGACCTTCTTCTGTGCCTTCATATTCTCTGTTCAGATGCTTCTCTAACACTTTCAATGTTACCAGGAGAGGGCATAACTGGAAAACTGACCACACAGGCTGCTGTACATTTTTATATATCATTAAAATGGCGAATTCTTAAGAAAAAAGCAGATCATTCCCCCCTCCCCCCACCCAGGCATCATGTCACTTGGTAGCTAGGTACTTGGGCCATCTAAAATTCATCTGTATAAGAAGTTTGTCCAAGCACTATTTGCAGCTTGGATTATGTCTAATAGTCTCAAACCTAAGAGCACACTGCTTGGCTAAGTTGATGAACTTCAAAATTTTTGTGTGTCTTCTTTTTTTTTGTTTCTAAATTCAGGGGTACACGTGTAGGTTTGTTACATAGGTAAATGTGTGTCATGAGGTTTGTTGTGACAAACCTTACATTATTTTATCAGCTGGGTTGTTTGCATATCTTCTAATGTAATTTTGAAAAACTGTGTGCTCTTTTGCACCTTTTAAAGTTGACATCTAAAATGCCTCATTCAAGTTTATTTTTTGTTAATAGGAGGTAGAATATGTTCAGCATTCTATACATTGAAATAAGATGAGGACTGACTATAATTGGAATATTTGATGAAATAACTTTCAATTATCCTATTCAATAATGTGCAAATATTCAGAAAGAAATAGTGTAAATTTTTTTTTCTTGTGGGTTTTAACCATTGTTTCTTCAAAAATTTTGTAGTCCTGGAAAACTTTGTAGTTATGTTGAAAGAATCAGTGTCGCAAACCTAATCTGTTTTGGTGTTCTAAATGCTGGACACCCTAAGGAGGGCCAACCCTCACCCTTAATAGAAATTTATAAAACATAGGACCAGATAGAAAGTCCTATGGGTTAAAGTGCATTGATCAATCAGAAAAGATGATTTCTTAAAACTACTAATAACATAGAATTCAGATTCTTTCTCCAACCTACATGCCTGTCAGTGCAGCCTGGTAATCTCTGGGATGATGGGTTGGGTCTTCCTTGTGTGCACTAGAATAATGGTTGAGATGGCAGACTTACTCAACAAGTGTTAGTGCATATCTGTTAAGTTGAGTATTTGGAGATTTATTTCTTTTAAAACTATCTGGGCATCAAGCTCCCTTAAAAATATTTTTGTTGCGGAGCTAAAGGATGGAGGAGAGCAATGGTCTGGGCAAGCATTTCTCCTATTCAGTGACCTGGGGAAGGGGCAGGTACACAGGCAAGCGAAAGAAACACTGAAGGCGCTCTCATCTCCAGTCCCTCTTTGGGCTCTTTCCACACCAGCCTGGATGGAGTGTAAATTTGGCAGGGCACACACCTAAACTGAGGGAGGCCCTGACATTTGGCTTTCCAAATCCACCTTTGGTTTTCGTGTGGTGTAGACAGAACCCAGAAGTAGTGGATGCTTGGCTGGAAAGCTTTCCAGATAGAACGGCCATAGGCTGTTGTCACTGAGCAGGATGCTGTAGCTGGTGGACTTCCTATGTTAGAGCCCTATGGGACTCATGGCAAGAACTCAGGGGGTCTAAAGCACCCACAGAAGCTAAGGGGAGGTTGAGTCTCCTGGCAAACAGTGCCAGGAGCAGACAGGCTTTGAGTGACAGCAGCCATGGGCTTGAGTTTGTGCCCATCCAGATATCCAGCAACCAGCCAGACTTAAGAACATGGTCTCACAAATGAAGGACCCAGATAAAATGCAAGGGGTGAGATGTGGAACACAGGTCTTTTTTCTTCCCAACTCCACATAGCTATAGAGACAAAAGCAGTGTGAAGGAGGGAGAATTCCTAGAGACTATGCATTTTTATCCAAGAGAGACTGAAAACCACCAAAATGTACTGTTTATGTTTTGGTACCGGTCTGAACTTAAATCTGGATTGGACATTTATTCATATTTTTTTCCTTTGCCAACCAGCAAGTAGGCACTCGGAAGAAAGATGACCAAATTAGTCTTAGACAAGAGAAAGGAATTACAAATGTTCTCTGCACATGGGGGTTGTGGTGGGAGTTAAATTTATCACCCTGCTAGGGATGCATATGCATATGGATAACTGAAGGAGTATGCTCAGCACAGACATTAATTTGGCTATTTGTCTGCCTGGATTAAGGGGCAGTTTCAAGGTGTAGTCATCAGGTTCTAGTCCCCAAACTGCATATTCATCTGGGGTTTAAAAAAAGAATGTGAAGAAATTGGTAAGTCTCAGAGGATCAGAAAAGAACTGCCAGGGCAGTTAAAACTGTCATAGACAGTTGCCATGCAAAAATATATACACAAAAACTTTCCATCTAGGACAACAGTTGCATCTGTGTGTGTGTGTGTGTGTGTGTGTGTGTGTGTGTGTGTGTGTGTGTGTGTGTTTAAACATAGAGATAGGAAAAGAGGAAAAAATACTAAAAGAACACATGTTTTCTCAACAGAAAACAAAAATAAACAACAAACATAAGAAAGTTATATATTGCTAAAGGAAGACAGAGAGGAACTGACATTTATATTGACTGTCCTCCATATGTCAAAGAGTATGCCAGGCAGGGGCTTCCCTACACAGAATTTAGTTGACCAGGATTTGCCTTTAGTAATGTAATTAATGGAAATTTATTGAAAAAAATCTTCTAAGACCTTTTCATCATGGTGCTGCTTCGTAATTGGAAATGAACATTTATAACTCACCAAATAGTTGAATAGGATGTGAGATGTCTGAGCAGGAAAGTCTCCAATATTCAAGAGAAGTTTGCGCAGCATGTACATTAACTCATCCTGAAAGAAGAACAGAATTTTTAATGTTTCCTTCAGCTGCCATGCTGTAGAAAATAAAATTAACTTCTTGAAAATTCGGGATTGGGTGAGGGATTTTTTTTACTTTTGCCCACATATTGATTTCAATTATGTTCAACATTTTAATATAGTATATGTGATACTTGTTAAGTAGTATTTAAACCATCTGGAACACCTTTCTCCTAGGAGCTAACACATAAAAATCACTGAGCAGTAAACGACTTTGTTCTTTTTAAATTGACACTGTGTGTGTAGGTCACAGGCAAGTCACAGGAAAGCTGTATATTTAGTTAACTCTATTGGCCATGGTAGCCTGATATGACGGGACTATGAGGAGGACCTATGTTGAAAAATCATTAAACAAACCATGTTTTTGTGAATGTCTTAATTCTGCTTTCTAGGTTTTGAGTCAAAGAGAAAAAGAGAGGTTACAAGAGACTAGATTGAAATGTCTATAATTAACTTTACCTTTCAGAAACTAAACTTAACCTTCCAGTGAATATGACTATAGCATAGAAATGAACAAATAATTTTTAATCATCGCTGTATTTTGCCACTGCTTGAAAGACTACTTTTATTTGGCATGATCTTCTTACAAGGTGGTCTGACAAATCAGGTTTTTGGTTAATGAAAAATTTTAACATATTCTAATAATCATACCTGCATCAGACTGCCAAGCATTCAGAATTCAATGAAGGTACTCAATAGTAAGAACATTATACTTAATTTAATCTTGCAGTATTTTAGGATCCTCACTAGCAATGTAATATATATATATATAGAAACATGAATTAATGGAGAAATTAAAAACAGCAAAGTTAAGTATTGCTCATCATTATCATTATTTAAAAAGTACTTATTGGTTGTGTATTGGAGGGCATTGAGTTGCATGCACTGCACTATAAAGTTCTTTGCATGATTTTAACAGTGTTCACACTTGTAGCCACAGAGCTACACTAAAAAGGAAGAGGAATTTACTTGTCTATTGCTGATGGTCAGTTTTTCCAGAAAATGTCGAAGAACCGTTGATGGATCTTCAATTAGACAGTTCCATAAGACTTGTTGAGCCACAGCACTCACTTCAGAAGAGAAAGAAAGTTGAACATTTGTCTTTAATGGAGTTAAGTCTATGAGATAAAGTATTTGACAATTTACAAGCTTTAGTCTCTGCTTTTTGCCTTAAAAGGCTCTGTGAACTCTTTTTTCTTTTGCAACGTAGGTGTTTGTTCTCTTCGTTGTTGTCTCTGAACATTTTCACATGTAAAGAACAGGTTACCAAAAAGTGTAGGAGTTGTCTTCAGGTATCAGCAATGCTTTTGCAAAGAATATCTCTGTGAATATATGCAATTGTCTTTGTTGTGGAAGTCACCCCAATAATAGCAGCAGTCAGCACTTATTAAATTACAGTCATATTTTATTGTTTATTTTATGGAGAAACTATGAAAGACTATTTGGATTTTGAAAATATGTTTTGGTTTAGAATGCATATGAATTAGGGATTTTTTTTTCTGTCCACATGAGTGCTTCAAACAGTATCTCCTTCAGCAAGATAAAGTAGTTGAGCCAGTAACAATTAGGTTCTCACTTCTAACGAAGAAGTCTTAAGAATAAATAATTAATCCTAATGAGAAAGAAAGTGCTATTTCTGTGGGGAAAGCGGTCAGGCTAAGATTGTCTAGAAGTACCCAGACTAAGAAAGCAAGTGGGTAAAAAACAGGGCCAGTAAGCACTGAATGGTCTTTAGTTTCAACGTGTTTCCCAATTCCATTGGTTTTCAAAAGTAGGAATACAGAATTTAGCATAAATTTATTTCAAATAAATGATACCAAATTTTGATTCAGAAACAAGCCATACAGTTAAAGTTAAAGGACATATAAATAATATTAACAAAAATATAAATCCAGAGCTGTAGCTTTCATGTGTCTCTATAACTAATTAAAATAGGTGTGAGTTTTTCTCAGGTTGATATTGATTGCAAAAATATCTTTACATGTGAAATAAGCCAGGCACAGGAAAACAAATATTGCATGTTTTCACTCATTTGTAGAAGCTAAATAAGTTGATCTCTCGGAAGTGGACAGTAGAATAGTGCTAACTAGAGGCTAGGAAGGGGAGGCGGGAGGGAGGCATGGGAAAGGTTGGTTAATGGATAAGAAATTACAGCTAGATAGCAGGAATAAGTTTCAGTGTTCTTTAGCACTGTAGGGTGACTATAGGTAACAATAATTTATTCTATATTCTCAAATAGCTAGAAGAGAGAATTTTGAGTGTTCCTAACACAAAGAAATACTGTTTGAGGTGAAGGATATGCTAATTACCATGATTTGATCATTACACATTGTATACAGGTACTGAAATATCACTGTACCCCATAAATATGTACAATTATTATGTGTCAATTAAAACTTTAAAAATGTTCATGTTATTTTTATTTTAATTGCTTAAGTAAGGCAGTTTCATGCTTAAAACATGAAAAATACAAAAAAATGCAAAGAGAAAAATAAGACTGGGAAGTCCACTCATCACAGAAACAACTATTAACAGTTTGGAGTATGTCATTTCACATACATGAAATATATATTTACGTGCATTATTTTATTTTATTTTTATTTTTGAGATGGAGTCTCACTCTGTTGCCCAGGCTGAAGTGCAGTGGTGCGGTTTCGGCTCACTGCAACCTCTGCCTTCCAGGTTCAAGCAATTCTCCTGCCTCAGCCTCATGAGTAGCTGGGATTACAGGCACGTGCCACCACGCCTGGCTAATTTTTGTATTTTTAGTAGAGACAGGGTTTCGCCACGTTGGCCAGGCTGGTCTCGAACTCCTGATCTCAAGTGATCTGCCTGCCTCAGCCTTCCAAAGTGCTGGGATTACAAGCATGAGCCACCGTGCCCAGTCTACTTACATGTATTTTAAAATAGTACTATATATAGAAAATATTCTCTGGTATTCGGTTTTTTACTTAGCAATGTATTAACACTTTTTATATTAATATTCATCTAGAATGCAATTCCAGCATTCACAGAATGTTATCATATGGAGGTACTATGATTAACTAATTGCTTATTGTTAGGGATTTAAAGTCTTTCTAAATATTTTTTATTTTAAATAATGATCAGTGTACAATGTCCTTTATACAGCCCTCATGATTGTCTTAGGAAATTGCTAGAAGCCAAATCTGTGTCAAAAGCTTTTCACACTTTTAAGGTTTTTGATACATATCATGAAACTCTGTTCTAGAATGCTTGTACAGAGTTTTATACTTCATCAGCAAAGTATGAGGATGCTCTTTCCCCTGCTTTTTCACCAGCAATAGATATTTTCATTTAAAGTAATATTTGCCGACTTTCTGGCTGAAATGTAAGATTTATTACAGTTTTAAACAACGATGTTGTCTCCAGGTGTTACTGGCCATTGGATTGCCTGCTGATATCCTTTGCCCAGTTTTCTAATGGGGTTTTAAAAAATTATTAGTGAGTTATAAGAGCTTTTTAAAATGTAACGTTAAGAAATTAACCTTTGTCTGTCACAAATGTTACTCATCTTTTCCCTTAGTTTATCGTTTCATTTTGCAATTATTCTTTTTAGGTAGTTAGCACGTCAGGAAAGGTAATCACGTAAGAGAGATGGTATTAGTGGTGTCAAGCTAATAGCTAAGATTTCTAAGGTTTGATTTCTATGTGGCTAAATAATTATTGTGTTGTTCTGTTCTCTGGTCACGAACAATGCTCCTGGACCCAATTACCTATTTTAAATGCAATTTTTTTGGCCATAAAGGTAGAGGGAGAAGGAGGTGGAGAGAGTGATACTGTTAGCGCAGTATGTTACAAATCTGTAATTATAATATGTGCATAAAACAGTTCAACATGTGGCCAGTAGATAATGTGTTTAAGAGCAACCTACTGTCTTCTATCAGATAAACAGCTTAAGAATGTCACTGATGATCTGACTGTTCAAAACTGTACCTGCTACTCCATCTTCCCGCACCTCACCATCCTCCATCAGATGAACAATGGGAAGTACTGCTGCACAGATGCATGCTGGGAACACTGCTTGTGGGGGCTGAGGCACATGGTGGTTCGGCGTGTGTTCAGTGGTATGTTCCTCATCTAAAATGGGAGACAAAATCAGGGTGCTTTTCTCAGTAACGTAATTCTTTGTTGCTACTGTTGTTTTGAGATAGGGTCTCACTCTGTCACCCAGGCTGGAGTACAGTGGCATGATCACTGCTCACTGCAGCCTCGACTTCTTGGGCTCAAGAGATCCTCCTGTCTCAGCCTCCAGAGTAGCTGGGACCACATAGGTGTGCCACCACATCTGACTAATTTTTTTATTTTTTGTAGGATGAGTCCTCACTGTGTTGCCCCAGTCGGTCTTGAACTACCGGGCTCAAGCAATCCTCCCACCTCCACCTCCCAAAGTGCTGAAATTACAGGCATAAGCCACTGCATCTGGCCTCAGTAATATAATTTTAATGCAACATTTCTCAGTTCAAGGCATACTTATTTAAAAGCATAATCCTAGCAATGAGAAAATGCCAACATCTTAAAAAAGATTACGTTACACAAAGTGCCTCTTCATTTTATAACAAATAAAAAAAACCAGCCCACTTTCCGAGTACTATTATTCTTGTTTGGTAGAGAAGCGAAGCACAGACATTCTGGGACAAGTGGATCGGTTCACAATATTAAATTAATGAAGATAAAATTCTAAGCGGAGACTAAGACATTTTTCATAGATGCAACTGGTTGTGTGCATGTGAGTGTGTGAGAGATAGTAAGCAGTAATATGGGGTAGAAGAAAACACACATGCATTTAGGATAAGAATGACATAGCCCACCCATATTAATGTTTTCATCCTCATTGATAAATACAATAACAAATTAAAAATAAATATAATTGCATATAGGAATAAAGGAAAAAGGTTAGATTTAGTAGGCAAGGAAGGTAGAAAAGGTATTTAACAGCTTATTAATATGAAAATATACATGTCACTTTTCTAAAGCACTAAAGAATTGTGAGTGTTTGATTCTCAGATTAAAACTTACATGACTATTTGGGATTTTAGAAGGCCTATGAAGGACTAGAGGGTTAAGAGACTTATACTGTCATTCTCAGTCTGGGCTTTGAGAGGTGAAGCCAGCTGATCTTCTGGGTTGGATGTGGACTTGGAGAACTTTTGTGTCTAGCTAAAGGATTGTAAATGCACCAATCAGGGCTCTGTGTCTAGCTAAAGGATTGTAAATGCACCAACCAGCACTCTGTAAAATCGCACCAGTCAGTGCTCTGTGTCTAGCTAAAGGATTGTAAACGCACCAATCAGCACTCTGTAAAATGGACCAATCAGCGCTCTGTAAAAGGGACCAATGGATGTGGGAGGGGCCAAATAAGGGAATAAAAGCTGGAATAAAATAAAATAAGGGAATAAAAGCTGGCCACCCAAGCCAGTAGCGGCAACCCGCTTGGGTCCCCTTCC
Organism: Homo sapiens; assembly: GCF_000001405.40. NCBI lineage: Eukaryota > Metazoa > Chordata > Mammalia > Primates > Hominidae > Homo > Homo sapiens. The sequence continues at coordinate 209,925,475 of NC_000002.12, read as the reverse complement.
ACATTGCAGAAGCTTTGTTCTTTTGCTCTTCACAATAAATCTTGCTGCTGCTCACTCTTTGGGTCCGCATTACCTTTATGAGCTGTAACACTCACTGTGAAGGTCCGCGGCTTCATTCTTGAAGTCAGCGAGACCAAGAACCCGCTGGAAGGAATAAATTCTGGACACAGCTTCGTAGTAGATGCATGTGGAAATCTTTAAAAATGTATATATATATAGTGGACCAAGCACTTCTGCAACAGTGGAGTATAGATCCCTGAAATCTGTTCTTCCGTAAAAGCAATGAGAATACTGTGAAATACACTTTTTTCGGAGCTTTCAAAATTTACCAAAAGCTTGGAACTATTTGAGGAGCATGTATTAAAAAAACAACAAAAAAAAAAAGGAAAAAAGACCAGTGGTATTTCTGGCTTTTTAACTTGTCCTACTCACCTCCCTGTCTTCCTAGGTCCTTAGGAGCCTTGAAAATTGACAACCTTGCAACCATGGTAGCTGTTAAAACCAGCAGCCTAGCAGCCACTGGATGGGCAGAGCAGTTTTGGAGCCCCCTAAAAGCCTCAACACCAGAGAATTGTCACTACTTGACCTATCTAGAACCCCATGGAAAATCCCTGTTCACAAGGTTTGTCTTTATTTAGCTTGACTTAAAGCTTAGTGCAAACAGCTTTATCCCCAGGGCATTTTCCAAAAAAAAAAAAAAATCAGCAACAATTATTTAACATTGTAGCTGTCTGAGGTGCTCATATGAGTTGGGAGAAGCTGGAGGCTGACAAAAATCTTAAAAGGCAAATCTGGAGAATGAGATTTCTAGGGGGCTTGCAAATCACTGACATATTCCTGGTTATCTAGATGGCTGTACATATGTACAAGGTTGTGCACATGCCCAGGAAAGACCTGAGAAATTCGTCATCTCTCATGTTTGGCTAACCTTGAAGCTCTACACAAGCAGAAAGTACAAAAATGAAGGGCAGAGTTTTAAACTACTGGAACACTGAAGATGTGCCTCAACACACCCAAAGTGGTCCTCAGTAAAGGCTGGAAGACTTATTAGTTCAAGGCACTTAAGAAAATCTCTGTCTAATCATTACCTGACCACTAATGTAACTGAGCAGGGATTTCAGTGCTCACACTCAACAAAGGCTTATTATGGACTTTACAAATTAGTCAAGGAAAGTTACTAAACAAACAAATAGCAACACAATAATAAAAAATCCTGATGAGGAAAGGGGGACATTTGATTTGCAGAGTTTCCACATTATATAATTTAAATTGTCCATTTTTCAATAAAAACTTATGAGACATATAAGAAACCCGGAAAATATTGCCCATATACAGAAATAAAAGCAGTCAACATAAACTAACCCTGAGGAAGCTTAAATGTTGGACTTACTAGACAAAGATTTTGTCAGCTATTATAAATGTTTTATTTTAATATAATGTTATGTTATATAAAACATATTATCTTATAAAGTTATTATAAGATAAAGATATAAATAAAACTGTGTCTTTCACATGGCATATCTTATATTTTAAAACGGCAGGCACATATCTTACCTTATCCAAAACTGCAATAAATGTAAACTGACTAATCAAAAGGCAAAATTAGCAGAATGGATAAAAACAAACAAATATGAATCAACTGTTATGTTTAAGAGACGTAATTTAGTTTCAAGGACACAAATAAGATGAAAGAAAAGGATGAAAGAAGATATGCCATACAGATAGCAATAAAAAATGATGTGGAGTATCTATGTTAACATCAGACAAAGTATACTGTAAGTGAAAAATTTTTACCACAGGCAAAACAGAGCATGTTATAATGACAAAATAATCAATGAGAAAGACACAACAATTATACAAATATCTGCATATCAAGATTTCATGGTACTGAGAGAAGGATTGACATACAGATCAGTAGAACAGAACTGAAAAACCATAAATATACTACTACATTTATGTTCAATTGCTTTTTGACAAAGGTGCCAAGAAAATTCAATGGAGAAAATGGTCTTTTCTATGAATAGTGCTGGGACAACTAGTTATCTAAATGCAAAATTCTAACTCATAACATAACACATATTAACTCAAAGTTGATTACACACCTAAATATAAATGCTAAAACTCTTAGAAGAAAACATAGGAGTAAATCTTTGTGACCTTGGATTAGACAAATTGTGACCTTGGATTAGACAAATTGCGACCTTGGATTAGACAATTGTTTCTTAGATATGACACTAAAAGCACAAATGACAAAAGAAAAACACACACATTGGACCTAATTAAAATAAAAAATTTTGTGCCTCAAAGTTACCTTTAAGAAAATAAAAAAGACACTCGCTTCTCAGCCTTTTGGCTAAGATCAAGTGAAGAAAGTAAAAAGACAAACTACGAAATGGGAGAAAATATTTGCAAATCATATATCTGATAAGTGACTTATATCCAGAATGTATAAATAGTTCTTATAATTTAACAGTTAAAAGACAAATTGCCCAATTTAAAGTGGGCAAAAGATTTGAATGAATACTTTTACAAAGAAGATATACATATGGTCAATAAGCATATGAAAAGATGCTCCATACCATTTGTCATTAGGGAAGTGCAAATAAAAATCACATTGAGTTACCACTTTATACCCACAGGGATGAATAAAAACAAAAACAAAAACAAAAACAAAAACAAAAACTAGTGACACACACTGAAATCAGCTGAGGAGGTTTTAAAAACACTGATGAGTCCTACCCTCAGAGATTTTGATTTGGTCTTAGGAACTTTCTTTTTAAGCTTCCCAGTTGGTTGTAATGTACTGTAGCTAGGTGGAGAACTATTAACTGTCTAGAATGATGTATTCTGAACCCTCAGCAATATGATTACATGCAATGTAATTAAAATAGAGCCAACTTAAAAATAACAATTGCTGAGGTAAATCAACAATTTTTTTTTAAAGGATGCCATGCTAATTTTTTTTAGAATGTCAAGTCATGAGACAAGTTATTTAATGAAGACAATGTAATCAAGTGAGATCATGATATTAACTGGAAAGTGTTTCAAAACACATAAGTCAGGAGAAATAAAACGTATGCAAGAGGACACACCTTCAGCACTGACGGCTGAACGCACTGACCAGACTGACCCGCGGCGGAAGGAATAATTCCTGTGGGAAGTGCTGGAGGTGCAGGATGGACTCACAGACAGTCGACGGGATGCCAGATTGGTGACTTCTTCTACTGGCAAACAAAATGGGGAATGTGAACTTTGGCTTTATAACAAAAGAGTTATTATTATCACATTGTTGTTGTATCACAAATGCATACTGCTCTCAGACCATAAGGCTTAAATAATTTTGAGTGTACTTAGAAAAGGAAAAATAAAAATTAAAAAAGCCCTACAGAGGAAAGACAGAAAATATCCCCCGAAGTTTTTACAAAAGCAGGACAGAGAATCACTCAATTCAGAATGATTAATTAATCATTTTTGATACCAACTGACAAACTGCACTTGTGAAGGTTGAAAGTAGTTAATGAAAGATTGGTTGCATTTACTTTAATACACATACTGGATTCAGCAGTTCCCTGAATCATTCATTTAATGTAACTAATGTCCTCCTCTGAAAATGGCTAACTCTAAACTTCAGAAAACAACTTTTCTCTTTCTTTGGTTAGCGTCAGGAAGTGAGAGAGAGATGGAAGGGGGCATATCACCTCATGTCACATAAAATTGTCAATGTTAATTTCAGAGCACGTTATTTCCCTGAGACTCAGCCCCCCAAGAAGTCCTGTGTGCAGAGGGCACCTTCTTCTTCCGGTTCTGAGTTGGGCGTGCATGTGGGCTCATAGCAAGCCTCCTGGGTGATGGGGATGGCAGTGATGAGGCTGGCTTCTCTACCAAGTCGTTTCTTTTCTTCCTCCTGCTGCAAGTTCTTTAAGATGTGTTCTGCCCTTTGATGGGAGCGGGACACAGCCCGGGCTGAAAAGGATTTCTGTGGAGACATAAAGGCAAGTTCATTTAATAGCAATTCTTCTGCAAGGTCACAGGCATAAAGAGTGTTCCAATGAATGACACAAACGTAGTAGTTTGTCCTCAGGAAATGTTAGGATACCCATGATCCAGTTTCATGGATATTTGTCCTTTTACCAAATTTCCAAGCTGTGTATGGTTAAGCTATTTTTTTTTCATTCAATCAGAATGATTCTTCATGAACACATAATTTCTGGAAGGAATCCTATTTCATCTCAGGATTTGCAGGGATATCAATGATTTGCTCTTTAAATATTATGATCAAATAAAATTTTTAAGTACTCTATTTCTTTCTAGAATGTTTTGAACTGTTTTTAAATGGACATTTATTTCAGGCCAGGTGTGGTGGCTCACGTCTGTAATCCTAGCACTTTGGAAGGCTGAGGCGGGTGGATCACTTGAGGTGAGGAGTTCGAGACCAGCCTGAGCAACATGGTGAAACCCCATCTCTACTAAAAATACAAAAATTAGCTGGGCGTGGTGGCGCAAGCCTGTAATCCCAGCTACTCAGGAGGCTGAGGCATGAGAATTGCTTGAACACAGGAGGCAGAGGTTGCAGTGAGCCGGGATCACACCACTGCGCTCCAGCCTGGGCAACAGAGCGAGACCCTGTCTCAAAAAAAAAAAAAAAGAAGAACATTTATTTCATAAGGTTAATAAAATTGAAAGTCAGAATCATGGAAAGGACAAAGAAAGAGAGATCTCTCATATAAGCCAGTTAGTTATATGGCTTATTTCATTTCTGTAGCTCAAGTATTTGTCACACTATAAACACTTAATAATATTTGTGGAAACAAAGTTATGGAATGAAAAATATGAGAGCTGATAGTGTTACTAAGGTTGAATGTAAAATCTGACTCTATTTAACAGTAGCCAAGGCATACTGGAAAAATACCAAGAAAAACTCACTCCTCCATAGATGAAGGATCAGGAACAATGAAGAAAAGAAGATTCACTGTACAACAGCTATTCTATTCATGTCTTAATTATGATGCTTATGCCCAGACAAGCTCCAAGAGCTTTGGAGACAGAGTCAGTGGCCTCTGAGCAGGGAAGTGATCACTGGAGTTCTTCTCTATCCACTTGAAGTAATGTTTATGCACAATGGCAATTCCAGAACTCTTTGTTGGCTTATAGTCACACAGGGTTCAAGAGACAGGCAGGGGATGTTGATTACTCTTCTACAGGGCTGCATTTGTAGATAATCCCTTTATGGAGGATCTTAACATAAGACTAAAGGTTTCCTATGTTGAAAGGTAGAGTAGCAATTAAGAGCATTTTTTTTTCTTTTTGAGATGGAGTTTCGCTCTTGTCACCCAGGCTGGAGTACAATGGCACAATCTCAGCTCATTGCAACCTCCACCTCCTGGGTTCAAGTGATTCTCCTGTCTCAGCCTGCTGAGTAGCTGGGTTTACAGGTGCCTGCCACCATGCCCAGCTAATTTTTGAACTTTTAGTACAATCCATTTTCAGAGCCAGATAGCTAAGCTGGTTTATTATATTAAGGCATAAGGTAAGAACTGTGGAATGAGAAAGATAACTGGATATAAAATCAAGGTACTTGATTTCAAATCCACAGTGAGCTTGGGATACAGATTGTGGCTGGCTCAGATGAACCCACCACCTCTTCAGGAGAAAAATCAAAGATAACTTTATGTTGGTGGTTCAGATGCTGAAATTACTGCACATATGGGAGAAGAACCAGGTGTGTATTTCTCTTTGGCAAGGTACCATCAGATATGAAGGTAGAATTAAAATAAAATAGGTATATTGTGATGGGAAAGAGTTTAAAAAACAGTTCTCCAAAGAAAGCGACAAATGCCTAGAAATACTATGAGTAATATGCAAAGATGTTCAAACTAATTTCATATATTCAACTAAATTTTTCAAAGAAGTATGAATAAAATAAACAGTAAGTTGTTTTGGCCATTCAAAGTGGCAATTAAAATAATAACACTAGTTAATAAGATACTTTTCAATTCTATTCTATAAGGACAAAGTGATATAACTTTTCTGGGGATATTTTGTGAGATGCGTCAAAAACCTTTAATGGTTATTATTTTATTATTGCCATAAATCCCATAGGAATTTATGCAAGGAAACAATGATAAATTTGTGCAAAGAGGTGTTCTTTTTTCTATTTTTGCTTTATTTTCCAAATTTTCTACATTACTCTTGTAATTTAGAAAAATACTATTAAACAGGTGAAAAAGGCATATTCTGAAGATGAATTTTTTTCAAAAGGTGCATATTCTTGTTTTTTGTCTATAAATGGACTGTGTTCTAAATCTGACCGTTTATGAGTTATATTACATATAGCAGTAATAAGAGCAGGGGTGTCAGAGTGATGTCTGTGATGATGACACTGATAATCAACAAAATGAAGAATAAACTAAGGTTCAAACAAGTAAATAGCTGCCAACTCTCTTCTTTTTCTTATTTTTTTCAGGGCCAGGGTCCTTAACTTGGCTTGTGTATTATTGGTTAAATAAGTATGTTCGTTTGTAATAAATAGAGGCAAAAGGGCCACCTTTGGCCAAGAAATCAATGCCTAATGCTTTTAGTAGCTTTAAAGGTGGCTTCTGCTTTGATTATAAAACAAGACTTTTTTTTTGAGATCTGCAAGTACTCACTACTCGATATTATTCTCTCTATTATATTCACAAGGACAAAGATCTTTTGTGCTGACTTTCTGTGTTATTATTACATTCTTATGATGAGAATGAACAAATTACCACAAATATTAATTGTTCTCTTTTACACGTACACCATGGAACCTGGAAGTGTCTGTTACTCACAGACTGGTCTTCATTAATGGGGTCCTGGACACTCCCGCTGCACTGAGGAACCCACGGTGGGTCAAACATTGGGACGGATGGCATTCCAAGCACCGGCGAGGGAAGGGTGAAATTGATACTGGGAGGCGGAATCTGTTAGTTGACATCAGAAAAATTAGGTGAGAGGGAATATAAGCTAGAATGAGGCTGAAGTATAATGATGACACAATCTGTCTCAGGAAGTGTTAATCATCCAAGTGACTTCACACAGAATGAACAAGAATTTTAGAAAAGGGCTATTTGCCAAGATTTTCTGTTATAGAGCACAAGATGAACCTATCTGGGCCTCAGTTTACTAATTCATTAAAGGCTTTCAATCAAATGATCTCTATTTGAGTTTATCAACCCATCCTCCAAAACATACCTGTAAGTTTATATATAGCAAAATGTTTAGAAGATAATTCCCCAGACTTTCATATGCTTACCTCTGGGAATGCTGGTGAGATTTTGAGGTTTATAGAGACTTGATTTTCTTACTCTATATTCTTCTATATTTTAATTTTTTAACAGTAGGAATGCATTCATGTATGTTAGGTTTACTTATATGATCAGAGAGAAAAAAGAAGAATATCTTTGGCCACATACTGTGACTTTGAGGTTCAACGGTTTAAACAAACCTTGGGTTGGGTTTGCTAATGTAACTCCTCTGTGAGAAGTATCCCTCACCTTAAAAATCTGCTGTGCCCCTTCCTCCATCCGGGGCCAGACCTGATAGCGAAACCTCCAGAGCGTGTGGAACTTGAGGACAGCGTTCAGCCTCTGCACAGTCTCCGGGTGGTGGAACTCTGACATCAGCATGTCGGACACGGCCTCAGGCACCTTCACTGCACACAGCAGGAACATGGCAGCTAGAGACAGTCAACAATTCATCAGCTATGCTTTTAAAATATTGCTTAGTTCCTGGGGTTGGGGAGAAGTGGAAACTGCTTCTATCTTCTGAAAATGACTCCTGAGCTATATGGAGCTAGGCTACCAGCACTGGCAAAAGCAAACCTTCTTTGTACCACCCACAACCTTCCAATAGCTGGTGCGAGGGCAGCAACAACATGACATTTCAGTAGAATCACTCACTCTAAGCAAAGTTTCCTTTGACTCACAGTGAAAAGTGAATGCCAGAGGAAGCAAATGAAATTAAAAAAGTACATCCTGAAATATGTTTTTTAGGAGATAGCCAGAGTCATCTCTTAGTAACCCGAGGACAATAAATAAAGTTATCCTTTAAAAACTACCTCATTTACATTAGCTACACTTTAAAAATTCCACATCATAGGCTCTATTAGAAACATATATCCTTCCCAGAGATAGAAGAGGTTGAGAAACCAAAAGAGATTTAATGAGTCATAATACCATGAAAAATTATTGTGAAAAGCCAAATATCAGTAAGTGAAAGGCCAGGTTCCATGATAGGTTATAAAGCTAATGAATAATGAGCTTTATAAATACACTTTATAACACAGATAGAGGAGCCAGTGGCAGTTATAAAAACATACCCTACATGAGTATGTCATGAATCTCTCATGTTCTCTTTCACAGATCCTAACAATGTGCTTAGGCAGTTGTGCCAGAAGAAATGGGGTTAAATCCTAGTAGCTCTGATACTTCTCTGCCATGAGATCTTGTGCAAGCCTCTTAACTTCTCTTAGCTTGCGATTTTCTTTACTGGTGAACCTCCCAATAAGAACAATAATGATAATACTAATACCTGCTTCCAAAGTTGTTTTTAGAATAAAATAAAAGAATATATGAGAAAGTGCTTTGTGAAGTGAAAAGTACAACGCATTTCTAAAGTATATTGTTTTTTAAAAATAGAGGCAATGTAGTTGTAATGGGAAGGGCATCTATCTGTGCAGTCAGAAAATCTGGGTTTGGTTTCCTTGCCCTTTGAGCTGTGTGAACTTAGATAAGTCCTTTCAATTATCTGACTCAAGTTTGCTCATCTATAGAATGGTTTATCAATAAGATAATGCATATGATCTAGTTCTATAACAAATGCTAGTTATTGTAATCATTATCTTTTGATAATACTTTTCTTTAGCCTACTAGGTGTTTAAGTCTCCACTCTTTCTCCTTTCCTTGCTTTTCTTTAAAATGAAACCCACCCTGCCTCAATTTTTAAACACTAGGCTCATTATTTAAGTCACTGCAGAGTTCTATCATAATCTCTACTGAAAAAGTTTTCTTGTAATGCTCACGAATCCTCAGATCCAATGGTATTTGTATACCATTTGTTTCCTTTCAGTTTTTAATACCTTCATAATCTCCTTGAAGAATTATTTTCCTTTGCTTCCACAGCTTGAGATTATTTGAGTTCTGTACTTTTCTGATCACTTTTTCTGGCTGGGCTTCTTCCTCTGGTCCTCTAGATGTGGAGAAGACCAGTGGCTTAGTGGTCACTCCTCATCTCTTTCTTCTCTACTGACCCTCTCCCAGAGAGCCCATCTACTCTCACTATTTCAGCTGCCATGTATACCAACTTGTTCCCCATGTTTACCTCTAACTTTGGCCTTCCTCTTTAGTTTCAGTGTCATGTCACCAATCATATATTACCAACTCTCCTTCATCTAAAAATTACTATTTCTTTTTGAAAAAAATTAAAAATTTATTTTAAAAATATGCACTTAATATTTGTACACATGGAGTACATGTGGTATTTTGTTATATGAATAGAATGTAATGATCAAGTCAGAGTACTTAAAATATCCACCACCTTGAGTACTTATTATTTCCATGTGTTGGAAACATTTCAAGTCCTGTCTTCTAGCTATTTTAAAATATACAATACTTTGTTATTAACGATAGTCACACTACTATGCTTTTGAACATTAGGACTTATTCCTTTTATGTAACTGTAGGTTCGTACCCATTAGCCAACTTCTCCTCATCCTTCCTCTACAACAAAACACTATTTTTAAAACCAAAGTATTCCACATATTGCTGCAGTATCAAACTTAGTAACAATTCACACTCTGTATACAACATTGCTGTATGGCTCAGAAACCACCACTGGTTTTTCACAATTCAGTGGAAGGTCCACAATCATAAGCCTGTCATTCAAAGTCGGTTACAAGCTGAGTCCCACTCACCTTTCTAATATTATGGACTTGTGACCCCTCTACAAAAGCCATGCTAGCCATGTTAGTTTTCAGTCTCCTCAGGCTTTCCAAAAAGCCCAGTGCACGTCCACATTCACCCAGTTTTTGTTTTTTTTTTTTTTTTTTTTGAGACAGAGTCTCACTCTGTCGCCCAGGCTGGAGTGCAGTGGCACAATCTCGGCTCACTGCAAGTTCCGCCTCCCGGGTTCATGCCACTCTCCTGCCTCAGCCTCCCGAGTAGCTGGGACTACAGGTGCCTGCCACCATGCCCGGCTAATTTTTTTTGTATTTTTAGTAGAGATGGGTTTCACCATGTTAGCCAGGATGGTCTTGATCTCCTGACCTCGTGATCCGCCCGCCTCGGCCTCCCAGTTTTGCACACACCATCTTCCCTTCCTGGCTAACTTCTAGGTGTTCTTTAAAGCCCCGTCCACCTGTTTATATTTTCCATGGAAGTTTCCATGACTATCCCACATTTGGGGAGTGTGCCATTCCCTGAACTCCTACAGCGCTCTCTGAGAAGCAAAAACCTAAGCTTTAATGTGAACAAAGATATTTTACCAAGATATTTATTGCAGTATGGTATAAAAGAGCAAAAGGCTGAACTCCACCTAAATTTTCATCAATAGATCTTGTTTAAATAAATTACAATATGTCAATTCATTCAGTGGAACATTTTGTAGCCATTAAAAAGAGAAGAGGTAAAACTATAAACTGATATTTAAAAACAGTCTTCTAGATATAAATGAAAAAATTCAAAGTGCACTTACAGCATGTCCCATTTGCATGAAAAACAAAACATTCAATACACAACTTACATATATACATACATATATGTGTGTATTTATATACACACACACACACACACACACACACACACACAGTTTACCCTAGAAGGATTCCTGAGAAACTTAAAAATTGTTGCCTCTGGGGAAAGGAATGGTGCTGGGAGGGGGAAGGGGGCTGGGGGATGGGGAGAGGGGGGCGGGTCATAGGAGAGAGGGCAATACTTTTAGCTTCATACAATTTTGTATTACTTGAATTTTTATCACGTGTATTTTGAAATTAAAATAACCAGATACAAATTTAGCGATCTGTATAAAAAGTGGAAAAATGAAGAATACACATTTTGCCTCTATCACTAACTAGCTATGTGGCCTTGGACAAATCACTTACATTTTAATACATTTGCTTTGATATTACCTTTTGGACACAGAACATTACTCACATAAGATTTGATAAAGTAAATTACAGTGGTGCATGTTAAATCTAGGAGATGACACAAAAAAGAATTTTGTCTCTTGTGAAATATAGTGAAAGTGCAGGATCTGGGGAAAATCATTCTCTATAATTTGGTAACACCCTGAGAGAGACATATGCTATGGTGCAGACCATATGGTGAAATTGGAAGGGAGCACACAAACCCTGGGTCTACCTTCCTATAGCACACAGCTCTAGAGTCTACAGTTATAGCAATTGCCATTAACTTGACCTAGGAGCAAAAATAGAATGGAAACACCTCTCTTATTTAAACACTTGGATCAGTAACAGCAGTGGCAGCAGGCACAGGGTTCCAGGTGGTCTTTCTTTACCTGCTGCCCCTGCCATGTGCTCATCCATGCTGAGCAGGAGCTCCCAGGCAGCTGGCTGGATGTCTCCGTACATCTCCTCTGTCAGAATTGGTGCTGCCTTGATTAACAGAGATAAGGGAGCAGGCGACAAGCTCATCACCTGGGAAAAGATGGAAATCATGTTTTAAAATCTTTTAAGACAGTGAATACTGCACTTCTCTTGAAACTTAAAAGCCACGTCCCCTCTCTCTGCTTGCCTTAAGTGACCTTAAAATGCTTTCTAAAATGGGAGCATATTTAGTTGACATGGCATATGATAGATAAGCTTTATACCTTATAACTGAAGCATAATTAGAAAAAAATACACTAATTTTATGACGTTTTCACCACAAAATTGCTTTGCGACCAAGGAGTAAACTATATATTGAGTACAACTCCACAAGAAAAGAAAGACTCCAGGAAATACATCTTTGTGTTAAAAGTCTTCATAGATTTTTAAAGGATCCTGTTTTCCTTCCTAATAGTAGATTTCCACCAAAAACTATAAGCAGCCTGTAACTGATGAAAAAGCCCATTGTGAACATGCATGGCATTTCCCTTTGAAATACATAATACATTGTGGTTATTGCCCCAGATTAAACCACAAAATCCTTTATCCATTATTTCTGACAATTTGGGTGACAAATATAGGTTCTAGACAAGTCATCATCATTTCACATTCCAGAAAAATATGAACAATTTTTTTGGGGGGGAGAACATAATGATTTAGAGCTCATGTTGTAATAACAATATAACAATGTGTCAAGCACTGGATAAGTAGGTACATGAACCATTTTCTTTAATCCATGCCATAATTCCTTGGGACAGGTCTAGTGTTGTAACCCCCATTTTATAAATGAGGTGACTAAGATCAAGAGAAATTAAATAACTTGCCCAAGGTCCCAGAGCCAGAGCAGCAGACATGGGATATGAACCCAGACTGTCTCATTCCAAAACCCGTAAGTGTCACTGTTACACACATGTGGGAAGTTAGCTCTCCTGCAGTGAAGACAGTGGGGAGAGCTGTGGTTCGAACCGAAGTTCCCAAGCCTTGTCTGTGGAAGCTGGCTATATAGCAAGAAGAGATTTCTTTTTTCCTGGCACACTTGGTGGCACTCTTGCTCACCAACTGAAGGGGCTTTATGCCAACACTGTACCAACTGATGTTGTATGTCCCAAACATTAGTAAATAGGCTGTCTGGAGTCCCCTCCCTGTTAAAAGTTCCATGAATCCTTCTGATCCAGGTAACAATACCTGAAGTCTGATGTACTTCAGCATTCCGGAATCTTTTTTTCCTTCCAGATTGGCATCTGAAACTCTCTTCTTTAGAGAAGGTGTCCTCAGGCATGACTTATCTGAGCACTGAAAAGACCAGGGATATGTAATGAAGAGTGATGTGTTTTCTAAAAACCCAACAGTGCTATATGTCCCCGCAATTCTCCAGGCAACCATCTTCTAGTGGAAGCGATAATTAAAGGCCTTTTTGTGGGTCCACATTTTCTAAAATTTATAAAAGCAGTTTATTTATAAAAGCAGTTAATTTTATAATAAAAAATTAGCTTAGAGATATTGAGTAATGAATTCCTCTTTGACCTTTGAGGAAACTGGGATCTGGAGAGGTGGAGGAACTTGACTGAGTTGCAAAGCTAGTTATCAGCAGAAAAAGGAAAGGACAAGGATCTCCCCATTTCCATTTCAGGGCTAATTATATTTCATCAAGCAGTTAAAAAACACAAATCTTTTAAAATATTTAGTCAGATAAAATCCACTCTATCCAATAGTCCCTTCATAGGGTTGGATGCTGCAAGTTGAATGACTTGGTCATAAAGGAGAGAAAACATTTCATAGAGAAGTGTTAGGAAGTTAAAGGTCAAATACAGGACCCATCAAGGAAGCATGAGTTCATAGTATCCATTATCAAGGACTGAGTTGTACAGGTAAAATGATTTCTTTTCAAAAACCATACTCTTCTGTAAGAGGCAGCAGCTCTTCTTAAAAATTGTCTCCTCAACCAGGAGATTCATCTACATAAGGACGAATAAGACAATTTCTTCCTCTAACTCCTTAAATGCCAAGGGATGGACTGAATAATGCAGCTGGGAGAAGGACTGAACCTAACGAAGGCAGGCTTATTTATCCAGAGTCCTGATTCTTCCTATTTTTGCACTCCAGGCTGTGCAAAGAGGGAATCGTTCTCCTCAAACAGAATAAATGCTCATTTGTTTTTCCAGTGCCATGTCAGTGAAACACTTTCTCCCTCTAGCCAAGGGAAAAAAAACTGAACTTCTTAAGAATTTTTGAACAGAGCTTCATAGTGTTATGGATAAAGATATTTTGAAAGAAAAGGCAAATCTAAAAGTGCATGGATATTCCAAGAAAGTCTTTCAAAACTCTGACAAAACGACCCAAGAAAATGCATCTATTATGTGACGAGTATAGAACCAACTTTTAAAATGAACCTACTTCAAAACAAGTGAATCAGGGCTCTTGTTGTGCTTTCTAAAGAAAAAATCATGGAGGTGCATATGTGGGAACACATATTATTTGGGGAGATAACTATTGCTTTGCTTTTTTCCCCTGTGAATGTGAAAGCAATATATAGCATAAATAGCATGCCCATTTTATATAACTTGAAGACTGTTCTAAAATCATATATAGCAATAGTTTTCCACATTAATATGGAGGTGTATCTGACCCTTGCAAAAGAGTCAAGATACTAAAAACTGGCACCTCTCTGTTTTATTATTTATATTTATAAAATAATAAATGTACCCCTGCTTGCACTCATTCTCTCTCCTGCCGCCCTGTGAAGGGCTGCCTTCCACCATGATTGTAAGTTTCCCAAGGCCTTACTAGCCTTGAGGAACTGTGAGTTAATTAAGCCTCTTTCCTTTATAAATTACCCAGTCTAGGGTATTTCTTTATAGCAGCATGAGAACAGACTAATACAATCCCCAACCCAATGATAGCCATTATTAGGTTCCTTTCAGCCTTTTCCCCCATGCATCTTAGCACAACTGTGATGATGCTATGTGTGGCACACAATTTTAAATGATTCATTTTACTATGATTTTATAAAGAGTATTTTTCCATTACAATTATTTGAAAATATGATTCTTAAATTTTGCAAATATTTTACCACTTTCTCTTTTGGTTGGACATTTTTTCTCCAGGAATTCTTTTGAATAATATTTCTTGATTAAATTACAGGAATTTTAACCAGGCAGATACAGGAAAATACTCAGCACACCAAAAAAAAAAAAAAAAAAAAAGATGAGCATTTATATTTGTCCCTGATACCCTGTGTTTCTGCCTACCAAAGTATAAGTCAAGTTCCTCAAATATTTAATATCCTACCATGTTACCTTAGGAAGCATGGTGTGTTCTGGTGGCCTCATGACACTTAGGGTGCTTGTTTTAGTGGAAAAGGAAGGAAGCTGCAAGGGCTTTCACATCAAGGTGATAAGCTAGTAACTCTTTTTTAATGACTTGATTAGAAGATAGATATCACAGAGATGGGGGTATATGTGTGATGGGTTTGGGTACACTCTTGTAAAGGTCTTAAAGTCCCTCTATTGGTGTGACTCCTAACTCAGACTACTGGAAGGAGCAGGAGACTAGTTCCAAAGGCATCTACTAGTGGTCCTTTGAAGAGTTAGAGATTTCACTGGACTACAAGATGCACCTAGTGGTTGAAATGACACATCAAGCAGGGATCTGTAGAGAAACTCAAGATTAGCAACCCAAGACCAAAGGACAGAATAGTGATAAATTCTGGAAACAAGAGTGATAAATTCTGTCCTTTGGTCTTGGGTTACTAGTCTTGAGTTTCTCTACAGTTCCCTGCTTGATGTGTAATTTCAACCACTATGTGTATCTTGCAGTTCAGTGAAATTCAAACTCTTCAAAGGACCACTAGTAGATGCCTCTATTAGTGATAAATAGAGATTAGGGATAAATTCTGTCCTTTGGTATTGATAAATTAGTGATTAATTCCTCTACTCAGTCATTGTTGAGGTGGTTCTACCAGAGGGAGCTGTGTTCAATGGGAGGCAGTTATGCAGCCTCATGCTCTGTCAGGGATACTTGGGAATCCCTGCTATGGGATAGGGTAGAACTTGGACCAATGACATTTTTTCCTATGTATATGTCTTAGAAAAATCCATCCTAGTTGACTCTGTGACTCCTCTCGGCATCCTGACCACTTTTGATTAGATTACCAATGCAAAACCAATTTTTTGACTGGCTAAGGATTTATCACTTGTGGTGTTTGGCCCAAAAGAGGAAGAGATGGCCCCCTCAAATTCCTGTCCTAGGGAATTAAGAGAAACAGTCTGAATCATTTAGTGATGGTTGCTGTGCAGAAAAATAATGATGCCATCTTGAAATTTTCAGTCTATGTACAAGATGAGTACAGCAATAGGAGCTGGCCAGGGGATAAAATGTCTGTGCAGATGGAGATGATGCGGAAAGAAGCAGAGATGAAAGACTATGTTCATCCTGAAATGGACAGCAGCTTTGGTTCTCATTTCCCTGAGGCTTAGCTGTTTCTTTTCCTGTCCCTAGTTTCATGAGATTCTACTGTATCCTTTGAAGAATCTCCCTAATTGTTTGAACAAGTTCAATCTTCTGTTCCTTACAACAAAAATTATTGACTAGAGAGGAATAATAATGGTTTTAAATAAAATTTTGCCTATTCATTGAATAATTCAAGAATATTTTTTGAGTTAACCATATGCCAGAAACTAGACTAACTTCTGGAGTAGGTGCCTGCACTCCTAGAGAAGTGTAGGAAAGACAGATGACAAACAAGTAAACAAATGAAAAGTCAAGATAAATAGAAAAGGAAATGCATGCATGAAGGAGGACTCAGTGTGGAAATAACAAGGTATTTATATATTTCTTCTTCTTTTTTTAATTCTAAAAGAATTGTAACACTGTAATAAGGTGTTTAAAATTTGTGGAAATTGAAGTCAGCCTACTGGGCTCTCTGAGAAAGGGATTTCCTCGTTTCTGGGAAGAAGTTTATGCCAACAGAAATGCAGTATTTCTCAAAAGGTAACCTAGACTCTTTATGCCTCATACGGCTTTAACACATGAATTATGTAAGTTATAGTGGACAGTCATCCTGGCCCATGAAATTAAGATCCAGGGCCTGGTCTTGGCCTTACAATAATGTTGCTCATAGATAGCTTTAGGAAAAATGTTGGTTCTGCAGGAAGTCAGTTGACCTCTTGACATTTGCACTGGAATTTGCTTTATGGAATTTACCCACACTGTGTCCTTTATTTTTTTGAGCATGTATCACAATTTGTTCCTCTCTCCTTTTTGGTTGAAAGAGGAAAGAATTTAATCTGCTCCTTTTTTAAATTAACAAGCATTAATTAAACATTTATCCTATTTATAACATAGCTTTGGACAAAGTACAGACATAGAGGAAAAATCTCAGAATTCTTTGGTAAAGGTGATATATACATGTAGAATGACATTTTGTTTTTTAAAAACCCTCAATTTTGGAAGTACACTAAAATAGACTAACAGATTGTACAGTGAGTCCCTCAGCATTGAAATGTAGATTAGCAAATTGATCAGAATTAGATGGGTTACAAAATGTACTAGCTGCCACAAATATACTCTGCCATAAAAAACCAATTAAAAAGAAAACAGGAATGAAATATCAATTGCTCATAAGACACGATTTTATTCAGAATACTGCTTTTACTCTTGCTTCATTGCCCACTCTGTTTTCATTTTTCATCTGGAAATGTGGGCACTGTTCATTTATCTGGCAGATTCACAACAGGCAAATGAAAAGTATCATGAGAGAAAGCAAAGAGCTTGTGGAGGAGGCTAGCATTTTGCAAATAAAATGTTTATCACAGAGGAGTCAATTCATCTTTTTAGCTCTCTACCTGAATGACTAATTACAATATGTTAAAGTTAGAAGCACTTATTCATGCTTTACTTTCCCTTTCCTTTTCAGAAATGTAAGCAATAGCAGAAGGTTGGTAAGCTTTTTCTACTGCTTCAGGCCAGGGGCCTGGTTGAGGCAGAGTGGAGGGCACTCATGAAACACCCTAGGACTACAGCTCTACTCACTCACTTAATATTAATAACTGCTCTACTATTACATAAGTGAGTACTCTGTTAGGTTATCATGCAGGATACAAAATGTGAAAGACTTCCTCAGTTCTCAAAAAGCTTATAATTAAGTGTAAGAACATGCCACTGCTCGCAGGATAAAATGAAAGCCTTCCCATGGTCCCACATGGTCTGGTCTCGAGCCGCCTGTGCAGCTTCATCATGCATCACAGTCCTCTGTGCTCCAGCCATGGCCCTTCATACTCACCTCTTCTCGCTGGTTGGCAAATCTGTATCCAATTAACATCTATGCATCCTTTAGTTAAAGCTCACCTGTCACTTTATTGGAAAGGCTGTCTTTTATTTTCCCCTACAAGACCAAAGCCTCATTCATAAGCTCTCTTAGCACGGTGTAGCTCTCCATTATTTCACTTATTGCAGATGTAATTTTACATCAATTTGGGAGTTTTATTTGATCAATGTCTGTCTTGGACTAGATTATGTGCAGTATATGGGGGTACAAACTGTATTTTTTTTTTTTTTTTTTTTGCCCATTATTGTACCCAGCGCAAAGTATGGGCTCAGCATGGTCCACAGGTTCTTTAAAAGCCTGTTGAATAGATGAACGGCTGGCTGGCTGGATGGATGGATGGATAATTGAAAGAAGAATGAGAAAACATGAGTAAAATACAATTATAATTTAGTTGAAGAAGGAAGTAAGGAAAATAACATTTAGTGTCCATCTGCAGTAGGCCCTGTGCTTAACACTTGAAGAATCAAAAAAGTTTCATGGAGGAGATGGCATTTAAGTTGGATCTTAAAGAATGTTTGGGTTGGGCTATGTTAGATTAGAGGCCTAGTGCCAGCAAAAAATATAGCAGTAAGAAATTCTGAAGTGTGTATGGAGAACAATGATCAATAATTTAGGCTCACATATTTTTGAAACTTTCAACATATATGGTTTTAACCTAAAGCTAAGGGAGTTTTTATAGTAAGAAAGAATTTACATAAATAAAAATAGATTTTCTTTAAATGCAGTGTCATTTATGTTTGAAATATATATACAATGTATATACATATACATGTATGCACACACAAACGTATTTACTTTTTTTCTTTTTATGTCATTATTTAGTAGTTTATTTGTACCCCACATTGGTCTATTCTCCACCTTCATTCCCCTCAGAATTTGTATTATTTGCATAACATGAAATGCAAAACAGTCTAGTTTAAAAAGCCCTGACTCTGATGTTCCATATTTCTAAGGTTAAAGTCTAGCTAAATACATTATAGATATAAAGTGTGGATAATCTCAACTTTCTGAGCCCCCACAGTTGAAAAACCTGTAAAATGGGGATAAAATAACTCTTGCAATGGTTTTTAAGAATCAAAAGGCACTTGTCAATGAAATGTACTTACTTTATACCCTCACACATACATTTAGAAAAAAACTAAAAGATCATACCCCATAGGATGAACTTGCACACTTAAGAGGTACATCAGATATATAATTTTTAAAGAATATTTTGTATTATTAAAAATTTCTTCAATGAACATGTATTGCTTTCATAATAAAAAAGTTGTAATTAAAAAAATCCCTTTGTGAGCACTAAGGTATAACAAATTGCTACACGACTCAACTGGATTTTTGTTGTTATTGCTCATGTTCTCTCATTGTTTGATGTACATATTATCTCTTACCCCCTCCCCAGGCCAAACCTGGTTTGCAAATTCCTTAGAAAGATTTTCTGCTTCTAGTTTTTTTTTCCTTAACAGAATATCTAGCCTAATATTGTGCCAACAGAGGACACATAATAAATGCCCGTTGAAATGAATAGGTGTTATATAAAAATCTCTTTGCAAAACCACTTAGGAAAAGCAGCTGCAGGGGCAGCCACAACATTCAGTCAGGCATCTTGGCTGTGACGCCTGTTCAGGGGCAGGTGGAAAATTTAGGCCTTCCCTGGCAGAAGCACAGCAGCCCTGGTCACTGTCTTCATCTCCTGCCAGCTCAGCTGCTCAGGGTAGTTTTCAGAAGAGGGCAGCTGAATACTTGAAAAATGTAATAGTTGCTTGAAGCAATTTCCTTTAGTCTGATTTGACCTAGATGACTCTTTTACTTGGCTGTGAACAGTGGGCCTATTTATGCATATTTTTTAGTACATAGTTGTATTAGTTTCCTGTTGCTGCTGTAACAAGTGACCACAACCTTCATAGCTTAAAATGACACAAATTTATTATTTTACAATTCTGGAGGTCAGAAATCTAAAACGGATTGGCGGGGCTGTGGTTGCTTCTGAAGGCTCTAGGAGATAATCCATTTCCTTGTCTTATCTAGCTTCTAGAGGCTGCCAGTATTCCTTGGCTCATGGCCCCGCATCATACTGACCTCTGCTTTTCTCAAGACATTTCCTTCTCTGGCTCTGACCCTCCTGACTCCTTTTTCCACTTATAAGGACCCTTATGATGACATCAAGCACAGCTGGATGCCCACTGTAAAATTTTCAATCACATCTGCAAAACCTCTTCTGCCATGTGAAGATATTCACAATTTCCAGAGATTAGGATGTGAATGTCTTTGTGGGAGAGGCATTATTCTGCCTAACACAATAACTTATTCGTCATCGTCATCATCCCTATGCAGTCATATTTATTTACAGAATAAGACAAAACCTGAGGAAAGATTCCATGTTTACTCATGGACAAGAAAGACAAAACATTTGTCTTTCTTGTACATCTCTTCTGCTTATGTTTAGATGCACACAGACCTGATTGTTACAATTGCATTTGCTTGAAAATTCTTATTTCCAGAGAAGAAATTGTTATGACATCATGTTTCTAGTATTAGAATATCATTCAATGGTCATTTACTTACTTCTTTCTGTTTCTTGCCCCGGAGAGCCACACTGCTGATGTTGCTGCTTTCCCTCAGGGAGTCCACACTGTCTCCATAGAGTAGCTTGATGGCTCTGACCAGTCGGGCACAGGAGCGGCTGTGGTGCAGGTAGCAGTGGGGATGGCAGTAGTCAACGTGAGTGCAGATGAAACTCTGCTGATTGCACAGCAAGATCATCACCTGGAATACAAACATTCCTGAGACTCAGCCAGGCAACCAGGGTACAGATAAACTGAACATATCTATGGGGTGGAAGATGGGAAGTCAGAATGTCAGCTTCCCTGGATGTGTCTTGAAATCGCAATGGTCCAATAATTCCCAAAGGAGGACAAAGGGTTCTTTATCCACATGGCCTTTTGTTCTCCCCCCATTCATACTTGATAGAAGGATCTCTTTGAAACATTAAAAGGTTAACAGGTCTTCAAAAACTTAAAACAATTATTGTGGAGTGTATGGTTTCCAAATATTCTCAAATGGAGATTCTGAACTTAAAACTAAATTTTTTTCCAGCTCTTATATTGGGGAAGGAACCATATGAAAGGGCATAGACTGGTGAGAAATTCTGTCCCAGAGGATCTGGCTGACCTTTGACAGCTGTGGGACACCTTTAATGCCAGCCCACCCATGTGGGACTTGAAAACATTTCCACTTCTTCTCCTCTGGCCAATCATCTTCAACTAGAACTTGAACCTTACTGTACAGTTTCATTTCCACTCTCTGCAAAGTGATATTTTTCCTCTGGCTTTTAGAACATCCTAGCTCTTCTCTTGTAGCTAAATCAAAATCAAATCCTCACATCTCCTATAATTCTCCCATTAAAATTACAGAAGGGAATTCATTTGATTTAAAGGATATGGTTATTTTAAGATAAGGAATAAAGGCCCTTGCATTTGGAACTTCTTAAGGAGCTTTTCTTAAAAGGCAATAGCATATGCAGAGCCACAAGGTCAGTCAATAGTGTGTAGAGTATCTTCTGAATGCTTCCATCCTTCATGAAACTATAATAGTTCCCACCTTAACAACTAACCGGTGAGGGACTGTGTTCCATATTGAACACAAAGAGAGCACAAAGCAAGATGATGTGGGCAAGGCCAATATGTTGATTGCAGCCATGTGGGAGATCCTAAAGCAGAGGACCTAGCTAAGCTGTGCCAGAATTCCTGACCCATAAAGACTATAAGCTAATAAATGTGTATTGTTTTAAGCCACTAAATTTGTGGTAATTTGTATGCAGCACTAGAAAATTAATACATTCCCCCTCTAACCATGTGTGTATATATAGTATATATATATTACATATATACTATATATATAGTATATATATATTACATATATACTATATATATAGTATATATATATTACATATATACTATATATATAGTATATATATATTACATATATACTATATATAATATATATAGTATATATATTACATATATACTATATATAATATATATATTACATATATACTATATATATAATGTATATATAAATATATATAATGTGTATATATATAAATATATATAATGTGTATATATATAATATATATATAAATATATATACACAATTTCCTGCAGGGAGTCCACACTGTCCACACACACACACACACACACACACACACACATATAATATAATATATATATTGTATATACACACACACACATAAGTCAGCTCTCCATATCCATGGTTTCTGTATCCGTGGATTCAACCAACTGCAGATCAAAAATATTCCAAAATATCCCCCCAAAATTTTGTTTTTACTAAAATGCACAGACATTTTTGGGAATCATTATCAATACAGTATAATAACTACTTATATGGAATTTACATTGTATTAGGTATTATAAGTAATCTGGAAATGATTTGGAGTATGTGGGAGGATGTGCATAGTTTATATGCAAATACTATACCATTTTATACCAGGGGCTTGCTCATCTGTGTATCCTGGTATTCATGGGAGGCCCTGGAACCAATCCCCATGGATACCAAGGGATGACTGTACACACACACACACACACACACACACACACACACACACACGTGTATACAGGCATACCTTGGAGATATTGAGAGTTCAGTTCCAGACCACCAAAATAAAGCAAATGTTGCATTTAAGTGAGTCACACAATCTTTCTATTTCCCAGTGCATATAAAAATCATGTTTACACTATACCATAGTCTATTAGGTGTGCAATAACATCATGTCTAAAAAACCAATGTACATACCTTAATTAAAAATGCTTTATTGCTAAAATATGCTAACAATCACCTGAGCCTTTGGCAAGTTATAATTTTTATTTTGCTGGTGGAGGGTCTTGATATTGAGGGCTGCTGACTGATGAGAGAGAGAAGTGGTTGCTGAAGGTTGGGGTGGCTGTGGCAATTTCTTAAATTAGACAATGAAGAAGTTTGGCCCATTAATTGACTGTTCTTTTCATGAAAGGTTTTTCTCTAGCATGTGATACTGTTTGATAGCATTTTACTCACAGTAGAACTTCTTTCAAAATTGCGATCAACCCTCAACAACCCTGCTGCTGCCTTATCAACTTAGTTTATGTAATATTCTAAATTATCTGTTGTCATTGCAATAATGTTCATAACATCCTTACCAGAAGTAGATTCCATCTCAAGAAATTACTTTCTTTGCTCATCCATAGAGGTACTTCCTCACCCACTCAAGTTTTATCATAAGATTGCAGCAATTTAGTCACATCTTCAGGCTCCACTTCTAATTCTAGTTCTCTTGCTAGTTCCACCTTATCTGCAGTTACTTCCTCCACTGAAGTCTTGAATTCCTCAAAGTCTTCCATTAGGGTTGGCATCAACTACTTCCAAACTCCTGTTAATGTTGATATTTGATCTCCTCTTATGAATCACAAATGTTCTTAATGACATCTAGAATGGTGAGTCATTTCCAGAAGCTTTCAATTTACTTTGCCAAGATCCATCACAGGAATCCCTATAACTGTCTGTGGTGGCAGCTATACCCCTGCAAAATGTACTTTTTTTTTTTTTTGAGACAGAGTCTTGCTGTGTTGCCCAGGCTGGAGTGCAGTGGCGCGATCTCGGCTCACTGCAAGCTTCGCCTCCCGGGTTCATGCCATTCTCCTGCCTCGGCCTCTCGAGTATCTGGGACTACAGGTGCCCGTCACCACGCCCGGCTAATTTTATTTTGTATTTTTAGTAGAGACGGGGTTTCACCGTGTTAGCCAGGATGGTCTTGATCTCCTGACCTCGTGATCCGCCTGTCTCGGCCTCCCAAAGTGCTGGGATTACAGGTGTGAACCACCACACCTGGCCACAAAATGAACTTCTTAAATCATAAGACTTGAAAGTCAAAATACACCTTGATCTGTGGGCTCCAGAATGGATGCTGCATTAGCAGGCATGAAAGCAACATTAATCTTCTTGCACACTTCCATCAGAGCTCTTGAGTGACCAGCCACATTGTCAATAAGCAGCAATCTATTGAAAGAAATTTTTTTTTGTTTTTTTTCCTGAACAGTAGATCTCAACAGTGGACTTAACATACTCAGGAAACCATGCTGTGAAACAGATGGGCTGTCATCCGGGCTTTATTTTTCCATTTATAGAGCTCAGGAAGAGTAAATTTAGCATAATTCTTAAGGGCTCTAGAATTTCAGAATGGCAAATGAGCACTGACTGAAACTTCAAGCTGCCAGATGCATTAACCCCTAACAAGAGAATCAGCCTGTTCTTTTAAGTTTTGAAGCCAGGTATTGACTTCTCTCTAGCTACGAAAGTCCCAGATGGCATTTTCTTCTAACAAAAGGCTCTTCTACATTAAAAATCATTTTATAGTATAGCCACCTACATCAATGATCCTGGCTAGATCTTCTGGATAACTTGCTGCAACTTCTACATCAGTACTTGCTGCTTCACCTTGCACTTTTATGTTATGGAGATGGCTTCTTTCTTTCAACCTCATGAAGCAACCTCTGCTAACTTCAGACTTTTCTTATACAGCTTCTTCCCCTTTCTCAGCCCTCACAGAACTGAAAAGAGTTAAAACCTAGTCTCTGAATTGGGCTTTGGGTTTAAGAGAATATTGTGGCTGGTTTGATCTTCTGTCCAGACCACTAAAACTTTCTCCATATCGGCAATTACACTGTTTCACTTTCTTATTGTTTGTGTGTTCACTGGAGTAGCACTTTTGATTTCCTTCAAGAACTTTTCCTTTGAAATCACAACTTGGCTTTTTGGTACAAGAGGCCTAACTTTCAGTGCATCTTGGCTTTCAACATATCTTCTTCACTAAGCTTAATCATTTATGGCATTTGATTTAAAGTGAGAGACACACAACTCTTCCTTCACTTGAACACTTACAGGCCATTGTAGGGTTATTAATCAGCCTAATTTCAATATTGCTGTGTCTCAGGGAATAGGGAGGCCCTAGAAGAGGGAGAGACACAAGAAGCAGCTGGTCCATGGAGCAATGAGAACACACACATTTATTGATTAAGTTCAACATCAATATGGGTGTGGTTCATGGTGTCCCAAAACAACGACAATAATATCATCAAGGATCACTGATCACAGATCACCATAAAAAACGACAATCATGAAAAAGCCTGAAATATTGTGAAAACTACCAAAATGTGCCACAGAGACACAAAGTAAGCACATGCTATTAGAAAAACAGCACCAACAGACTTGCTCAATGCAGGGTTGCCACAAACCTATAGTCTGTAAAAAATGCGATATCTCCAAAGCACAGTAGAGTAAAGTACAATAAAATGAGGTATGCCTGTATACACACAGACATGATACATAAATATACATATTTGAATGCATAAGACAGTGAGGCAGTCAGGATGAAGGGTATGATGTGGAGAGAAAGGATATTCGCTGAGGTGAGGACAATGTGAGGACACATCACATTTCTCCTTGAGACATTTGCTACATCTTAGGCATAACTGGCCAAGAAGCTAGGCAGAGCCTTAGGCAATCTCATGGGGGCTAGGAGGTAAAAATTAGAATTTGGAATTACCAAAGAAGGGAGAAACTGAATAGTCTAGTCCCTGTAGAGAAATGAGGTCCAAATAAGTCCGACTGACACTGGATGACAGTTTTCCCTTCTAGGCATTGGCTGATTGAGTAGCTAAGAAGAGAAGCAAAGACCAGCTGACAAACAGAGTAGAGACTTTGGAAATTTCATTGTGATGGGGAAACACAAATTGTAGTTCCTGACTCATCAAGAATGAGAGGCCCTGTGACATACCCCAGACTCTCACTGGGAGTCTTGGACATCTTCATATTAAAAGGTGTGTGTAGAGGGTGTGGAAGGACAGGCTAGAAATAGTCCAAGTCCAGCTAGTATAGTCCCTGACTGGACTGAGGTGATCTGCTTCTTTGTTGTCTGCCAGAGGACAGGGTGAATCCTCTCTGGAAAGAGAAAACATCAACTAGAGCCCCGGTGCTTTTTTTTAAATTAATAAACTTTATGTTTTAGAGCAGTTTTGGCTTCACATTACAATTGAGCAGAAAGTACAGATAATTCCCACATATACACTGTCTGCATACATGACAACCTCTCCTACTATCAACACCTTGCCTCAGAGTGGTACACTTATTACAATCAATGAACTTATATTGACACACCATTATCACCCAAAGTCAACAGTTTACATTAGGGTCCACGCTTTGCTTTGTACATTCTGTGAATTTTAACAAATGTATAATGACATGTATCTACCACTGCACCTCTATAATTTTTTTTATACACCATGTTTAGTCAATATAATTACAAGGCATTTTAGGAGCAGGACCAAGAAGAGTAAAGAAAATAGATTCATATATTGAAGTTATCAGCTGTGGACTTGATCATGATATCTGCACTCCCATGTTTGTTGTGGCACTGTTCACAATAACTAATATTTGGAAGCAACCTAAATGTCCATCAACAGACGAATGAACAAAGAAAATGTGGTACATATACACAATAGAGTACTACTCAGCCATAAAGAAGAATGAGATCCTGTCATTTGCAACAACATGGATAGAACTGGAGATCATTATGTTAAGTGAAATAAGCCAGCCACAGAAAGACAAACATCACATGTTCTCACTTACTTGTGGGATGATCTAAAAATCAAAACAATTGAACTCATGGACATAGAGAGTTAGAAAGATGGTTACCAGAGGCTGGCAAGGGTAGTAGGGGGTTGAGGGAGAGGTGGGGAAAGTTAATGAATACAAAAAAATAGAATGAGTAAGACTTACTATTTGATAGCACAATAGGGTGACTATAGTCAATAATAACTGTACATTTAAAAATAACTAAAAGAATGTAATTGGATTGTCTGTAACACAAACGATAAATGCTTGAGGAGATGGATACACCATTCTTCTTGATGTGATTATTTCATATTACATGCCTGTATCAAAACACCTCATGTACCCCACAAATATACACACTATGTACCCCCAAAAATTAAAAATAATTTTTTTTAAAAAATCTGTGATCAATTATGAATACATCACAATGGAAATTTTAAAATATTTTAACTGAATGATATGAACATATATCCAACCTTGCATGATGCAGCTAAAACTGCTTCTAGATAATATTTATAGCTTTAAATTCATGTTAGCAAAGTGGTTGCAAATCAATCATCTGAGTATCCGTGTCAAGAAGTTAAGAAAAAAACAAAAACAAATTAAACTCAAAAAAAGTAGAAGAAAGTAATAAAGATAATAGAAAATATTAGTAAAACAAAAATTCAACATTCTAAAAATGACAAAATGAAAATCTGGTTCTGGGTCTTTTAAAAGACAAAATTGAAAAACTCTTAGAAAGACACTATTTAAAAAAGAAGAGAAGACAATCCACCAATATCAAAAACAATAAATGTAAATCACTGTAGATCCTACAGAATTTAAAATGATCTTAACAGAATATTATAAACAATCTTTTTGCTGATAAATTTGAATATTGATATTAAATGAAAAAATCTTAGCAAAAAATATCAGTTTACCTGAATTACTCCCAGAAGAAATATAAAATCTAAATGGTCTTAGCTGTATTACATAAACTGAATCTGTAATTTAAAACTCTCCCATAAAGAAATTTTTAGGTTTAAAAGGCGTGGCCAGTGATTTCTTCCAAATATTTAAAGAAGAAATAGCACTGTTCTTACACAATGCTTGCAGAGGTGTTTATTTATGGAACACTACACAGAAAACTAAAAGGCATTATTGAAAGACATTTAAAGAAGCTCTAATAAATGGAGAAACAGACATTAGTGGAGCGACCATTTTAAACATTGGAAGATTCAATATCATAAAGATATGATTCATTTAAATTCATCTATGTATTACACTCAAGGCTGCTTTGGAAGTTTTTTTTTAAATTAATTAAAATCGTCAGGGTGATTCTAAATGGATGTGAGTCTAGCCAAGAGTAGACCAGGCCATTGTGAAGGAGAAGAACAACAAAATTGGAGGACCTACATTTATATGAGGAAAAGGAACCAGACACAACAGAGTAGTAGTATATGATGCCAATTACATGCATTTCAAAAACAGACAAAATGAATCTATGGTGTTAGAAGGTAGAACAGTGGTTACCGTCAGGGAAGAGTAGCGTCTGGTAGAGGACCTGCGTAGGATTTCTTAGGTGTTGATAATGTTTTCTCAACCTGGCAGTGGTTACACAGGTGTATTTACTTCATAAAAATGTATTGAGCTGTATACATAGGTTTAGTATGCTTTTCAGTGGGTAGGTTAGAGTTCACTAAAAAGTTTACCTTAAAAAAACAGCTGCCTCAGAGATTCTCAAATCAGTCAGTTCTGGTGACTGCTTCCATAGTGAAGGTGAGCCACCATATATCCGAGGACCATTATGCACCAGCTAGTGCTCATCTGACTTTTCCAGGAAGTCAGATTAAAATCAGGGTGAATGGTGACCCCCGTGATGGTCCTGGGGATACCCTGCCACTTGTACAACTGAGGTTACATTCCCTTACCTTTCTCCTTACTTCTTTCTTCATGCTCAGCTCAAGTCTTGGACTCCACCCCGTGCCCAGAGTTTCCCTGGGATCACCTCCTGCCTGTGCCCTCTGGCTCACCCTCGGACATACGACATTCACCATCTTAGAGTGTCCTTGCCCCAGTTTAAAATTTGATCTAATACACACCCAAGAGCAACACCATGACCGTGCTCTCAAAATTCGCAGTAACCTGTTTAAAACTGATGGTGATACCTACGCTGTGTCACTCAGGTTATCTTGACCACCAACCTGGCCTCATGATTTTCCCTGATTTATGGTGACCTGCAAGCCAGCCATAACCAAAAAAACTTGGTCTTAGTTAAGCTTAAGATGAGTACAATCCAGCAGAATACCAATTCTAGAGAGTGTTGAGATATTCAGGTAAAACATAAGCCCCTGCTTTCTCTTGGAGGCTAGATCGGATTGATGATTTAGTATAATCTCTTGTCCTCCCTCCTTGGATCTTCCCCAGTGCCAAAAGAAATTGATCTCAGGGCTGTTTCTGAGATTCCTACTTACATGAAGCCACGACATGTTTCTGTGGTAATTCTCCTCCGCGCCGGCATTACTCATTCCCTCTGGCTCAATGCTGGGCTCGCTTGCACTCCAAGGACTCCCTTCTTCAAAAGAAAAATACCAAGAAAGGTTTCAGTGTTCGGTCTCCCTGGAGAGCATGTTGGTATGGTACAGTTGTCCATGCTTCTGAATCCTAGGGCAGACTACCATGGCCCAGTGGGTTACAGGGCATAGCATTGACTTTGTTGGAGGAATATTAACAGGAGCTGTCCCCTTCACCACCAGCTGAACTGGCAATTTCAAAGACATTTATGATCTCTGTTATGGTGGCTTCCATTTTGAGAGATGGGAGCAGAGAAAAAAAAACAGAGTCAAGTCCTTGAATTGCTGAGATGAGCCAGTTATTGATTGAGTGCGCCCAAATCCATTCCAGACTGACCAGACCTTGCAGGTGTATTTAAGGAGGGACAGCAACTAACCTGCCTCACAGTGACTGCTGCCTCCACTGTTCTGTGACTGCAGCTAGTGCTATTGCTCTAGCCACCAGGCTTTGCTACCAGAGCTATTTCAAAGATGGGCAGGTACCTCTGAAAACCTAAGGAAATTTGGAAGCAATTATGTCCAACTGTGGACAGCCCTTGTGTCCAAACTCCTCTCTGTGTGAAAGTATAAAGGAAATATCTCTCAAGAATTCCCTACTTGGTAGACTACACAACAAAGCTTTCCCCTCAAATCTAAAATCTTTTATAGATCTTTTTAATGACAAAACAATGTTTTCAACCTGGCTATTTTGACTCAATTGGTCAGGATAAATCGATCAATTTAAATAATTAATTGCAATAATTTTTCCCCAAATTAACTGATGATAATGCTCTAGCTTCAGACTTGTAAAAAAAGAAGTCATATATACTTTAAAAAAAAGTCTCCTTAAGAAATAAGCTGAATCTTAAGTAATGCATAAATCAGCTATTTTCAAAGGC
This sequence comes from Homo sapiens, assembly GCF_000001405.40. Lineage (NCBI taxonomy): Eukaryota > Metazoa > Chordata > Mammalia > Primates > Hominidae > Homo > Homo sapiens. The sequence goes on along the minus strand of NC_000002.12, from coordinate 209,895,436 downwards.
GAGGGTGGGTGGATACAGAAGCATTTTCTATTTTAAACCTTCTTTGATTAAATATACTCAGCTTTTATTTCAGCAGACTTGATCGATAATTTATCCACACTTCTTGCTGACTTTTGAAACTACTTACCTAGTAAGGAGAGCTTTCTATTTTGCCTTGCATACAGAGACTGAATGGCAAAGTGAATGTGCTTCAACTTTTACCTAATATTTAATGTTAGGCAGCTGGTGAGTTCTACTTTCATGCCTACTTAATCTTTTGCTTGTCTATTAAGATACTAATTAGGGCCCATATTTTGGACTGCCATATTTTGGTATTTGAAATCTCTTTAGAGCCTACAATGACAATCTATAACTCTCATGCTTTGACTGTACACTGATTTCATTCTCAGGTGTTTAACACATTGTATGGTCATCTTCTAATTTATCTTTAGAGCATCCTTGCATTGTAGGCAAGAATTATTCTCACTGTGTAGTCAGAGAAAACAAATCCCTGAGAACCTAAATGACTTGTTGAAGATCACTCATTGTCAGGTCTAGACAATCTTTACTCTCTGAGATTTTGGTTGTTCATACTGGTAAATAGAGACTTTAAAATATAGAGAATCTTTAGGTAGTCCTCCCCAAGGGAATTACATTTGACATTGAATGTTCTGATCAAAAGAATGAATACACAAGCATCGGAATTTCAAAGACTGTCCTTTTCATTAAAGTGTTTTCTTTCCCTAATGAATACTCCACATCCTTGCTGCTCAAAGTGTCGTCCTTGAAATCAGCAGCATCGGCTCCACCAGAAAGCTTGTTAAACATGTAGAATCTCAGATCCCCACCCCAGATCTGCTGAATCAGAATCTGCATTTTAACAAGCCTCTCCAGTGACCCATATGCACATCAAGGCTTGAGCTGCCTTGCTCTACCAAGGGTAGTATGGTTTTCAGGCTGAACAGGTTGTCTATCCTATGGCTCTGCCCTCCATCTATTTATGTGTAAGAAAATGGACTTCAGCTCTTTTGGGACTTGGGCCCTGTCTTCCTACCCCCCACGTCCCTGCACACCCCACTCCTCTATGTTACCTAGGTCAGTGACAGTGTCCCTGCTCTGGGACAGCTGCAGCTCCTCAGCCTCAGACTCTGAGTCCTGCCGTGATAACTTGCTGCTCTTTAAGCTGCCGACCCGGCGAATGCTGGACAAGGAACCCCCCTTCTTCACCTGGAAACTGCGGGTTCCTTTAATCTGGAGCAGGCGAGAACCTCCTATCCTGATCTTCCTGCTGGGAACTGTATTAAAAGAATAAAATAGGGCTTTTTCCCCCCTAGTGTTCCCCAGCCAGTGTTATATCCATCTCTCCCCAACTTGTCCCTGATCAGCCTCCTCTGCTGGCCTGGATGAGCACTCTGGACAAGGAGCTTCTCCCAAGCCCCCAGTCCTGCAGGAACCACCAGGAAGGGCTGGTGCAGCTTATTTCTTGGACACAAAGCTCATCGGAACTGGGAACAACCTGCTCTCTTTCTGGCCCAGGTTTCACTAGCATGAGTGTGCTTTTGGGGCAGCATCAACTAGGACTATTAGTACACTTTTATCATGGGATTCCTTGATTCAAGAGAACCACAAACCATTTGTTTTTGCTTTCCTTTCGAAATGGGACTTACAGACTTCTGTAAGCTGTCACGTAAACCCCTTCATTTTGGAATACCTCATTCAGAAATAAGAACCAAAGGTGCTTCTCTCTCCAATAGTCAGCAGTGGCTTCCACTCTGCTCCTCAGAAAAGGCACTAAACAATCTGTCTTCACTGGGGTGCTTTGGGTGAGCATGAGTGTGAAATGGCTCCATTTTCAATGCACTTAATGACTTCATACTATCCTCCTCTCAGTCAAAAGGCTGGGTGAGATGTGATTCCAAATGGTGCAACCCCCCCGAGCCAAACTTAAAACAGTCTATGCATACCAAGAAGAATATGCATTATTCATCTTTAGTGTTCTGGAAGAAATAGTAATCAGTGAGGAAAATAAACGGGTAAAAGAAATGCATTTAAACTTGAACCTATCTTTCTTTAAATCAACAGCATCCTTATTTTCCATAGTCATATACACACCTCCTTCCTTTTCAAGATTTGGTGTTTTCACACACTGATTTTATAAAGGTGGGATAAAGTAAGTTTTCAGGGTTTAAAGTCCATTACCAGGAAGGGGCCAATTTTATAAGCTTACCTTCTTAAGACATGAACAAGATTTCTTACTAATTATTTAAGGCACAGTTATTAATATTTTAAAATTCCCAATCAGAAAGTTTGCATGTTAGTTTCAGGTTTCTCATTCATGAGAGAGTTAATGTGACTGTGATAGAACTTGTATAACGAAAACATTAGCTAAATGTATACTTTTAATGCCATTTAAAGGAGGTCAGAAGAATTCCTGCTGAATAATGTGAAAGTTCTGATTTACTGTTGTGATGGAGAAAGATTAAAATTATCACCATGCAGCTGGTAAAGGCCCCATGGAGCTCCCTGAACACATCTGAGTAGAATTTCACATCTGGATGGAATTTCTTGCAGCACAGTTAGACAAATCCCACAAAGGCTATGAACCATAAAGCTGCATTTTAATTATAGCACAAAACTCACACACTATACTTTTCAATATTATTTTTATGTTTAATTAAGACTTTATCACCTATCTGAAATATGTTTGAAACAGAAAATAATTAAAATTTTGTAATGACTACGAGTGCAATTTCATGTCTAAGTAGATTCGGAAGCACAGAAAATATTAAACAGATAATTCTTAGATTTTTACAGAGGCACACGCTAATATTCTTTGCCCAATTTTATGACACTTTTTGGCCTACAGATGCAGCAAAATAAACTCAAATTAATGTAATCAGAAAGAAATTTAATTTTGAGAGCTTGTTCCACCAAAAAGGATAGTTGGAGATATCCTATAGCACTGAAAAATTACAGTTCAGAATTATGGCACTGGTTATTTACAAGGAGCACAGCAGTTAGAATTTATATTTGGTATTGTACATGAAAAACATCAGTTGAGATTGTGCAGCACTGAATTTTAGCCTTTATCTCCATGACAACAAGAACTAGTACAAAAGTGAAACAAATCCATCTAAATTGGATAAAACATCTTTGGCCTTTTCTTTCACCTCACTTTGTATCAATTAGCAAGTCCTGCTGGCTGTACATTTCAAAATATCATAGGATTTTGACAGCTCCATCCCCTTTTCCCTGGACTAATGTAACTGCATAACTGCTTCACCTTTCCCTCTACTCCCATAGATTAAGTCATCTTTTAAATGCATAAATCATAAATACACACCTTATATCACATTTCTGGTAAAACCTACCAACAACTCTAATGCACTTAAAACAAAATTAAATTTCTAACCACATCTACCAGACCCTGTTTGCCCTTTGCATACATTTCCAACCCATCTCCTACTATTCTAAATGATTATTTCACTTGAATTTTTCCTGGTAGAATCTGAATTGTCCTCAGCGTGTTTATTTCAAGAACTGGCATCTTAAGGTTTTACAAAACCAAATGGTATAAAATTTTAAAAACTGTAATTAGCAGTGTCTCTATTGTCTTCATTTTCATATTGGCTTTAGTAGCTGACAGCTTGTCAAATGGATTAAGGAATATTTAGGAATCTTTGGGAAGATTTTCGTCAACTGATTAAGGACATTTTATGGATATATTCTCATTTAACTTATAACTGCAGTTTTCCATTGTTTATTAAACAACTTTCATATGTTAACATAACCATTCTGTGTGTAGAAAAAATATTCAGCATTTGAGTGTTGAAATATTAAAGCCAATTTACATAAATAATAATCACATCAAATTAAAGTTCTTAAAATTAATCAGATATTTTATTTTATAAAATGGTGTAAATTTTACTCTGCTGAAGTTTAATTGTGTAATATTAGGAATTATCTACTATCTTAAATATAATTAGCATAATAACTTTGAATAAGGAAAGAAAAGACTGCCTTCTAAATTAAAATCTCTTTGGGATATGTTTAAAAGAGGGAAGCTTCTCATCATATGCAGTATAATTGTCTGAAGTAAGTAATATTTGAAAAAAATATTCATTTGATACTTCTTCATATTCAAAAATTGCTCAAGACTTGACTTATCCTTCCTGCAACATGGCCTCTTTTGGCCATAAATTCAATAGAATATGATATATGATTATCTGTATTTTAAAAATGTTGTGAAAACGTTTTGATCTTGAACTATTCAAACTTTTCCCAATGTATATCTATTCCCTTTTAAATATTGTGTGTTTTCTCTATACAGGGCTATTCCTTCTAAGAATCGTTCATTTGTTGTTATCCAAAATTTATTGAGTCATTGTCTATAGGATGCTAGAAAATACTTCAACACATAAAATCATTTTTGACTCTTCTAGCAAATGTGCAGATGTTCTTTTAATTGAAATTCATTGGAAAAACATGGAAAGGTAATGGAATTTTTAAAATGGCAAAATCAAATAGTGAAGTTGGCAGTTTAAAGGAGGCTCTAGAGGGCAACTTAAAACTTTGCAATCTTTAGTTCATAATTAGGATTTTCTATGTGGATTCTAATCTAGATGCTTATTATGTATATTTAAAAACCCAACAACAATAGCTATTTATTGTGTACCTACAATTCACCAGGTATTAAGTTTACACTTCACTTGCATTGTCTTATTAAAAGTTTTCAACATCGCAATGCAGTAGGTGTTAACCCAGTTTTACAGAAAAGGGAACTGTGGCTTAGAAGGTAAATAACTTGGACAAGGCCACATAGTGAGTTACTATATATCACCCATTTTAAGATGCACAACTTGTTCACATTTTAACATATCTGGAAATTGGTATTTGTCATGCAAGAGATGACATCTTATGATCACTTGCACCAGGTAGCAGTTGTGACACCTTTGTTATTGCTTGTCTGTGTGAAAATGTAAAGCACCAGCAAAAAGTTAAACAGAATGAGTGACAAGATCTTTTAACCCTAAGGAATCAAGTGATAGTGAGGGGTAGGTGGGTGGGTGAGGTGGGTAAGTCAGATGTGTTTAGCAACATTGCTGAAGAGGGACTAAAGGTGGGCTAACTTCATATGGGTGCAAGTTGGCTTAAGTAATTAGCACAAAAAACTTTACTTTTTTTATGAATCCATTTAAGAAATGATGCATCACTAACATTGTGATGCCACAGAGGACATTATCACACATAGAAACATAGACATATTAGATAACTGTGAGTTGAAAAGTAATTAAGACATTTAAACTCTGAGTTGAAGATAGTTTACAAAAACCTTAACCAGTTAATTTTATTTATATATATACATATAGGATTGCACAAGAATGATATATAATAATAATAATAGTAAACTACTTCTAATTAGGTCTGAATGTCCTTTTTCAATAAGAATAAAAGACAAGTAGCTGGGCACGTTGGCTCACACCTGTTGGGAGGCCGAGGCAGGTGGATCACCTGAGGTCAGGAGTTTGAGACCAGCCTTGCTAAAGTGGTGAAACCTCATCTCTACTAACAATACAAAAATTAAGAAAATGTGGCACATATACACCATGGAATACTATGCAGCTATAAAAAAGGATGAGTTCATGTCCTTTGCAGGGACATGGATGAAGCTGGAAACCATCATTCTCAGCAAACTAACACAGGAACAGAAAACAAACACTGCATGTTCTCACTCATAAGTGGGAGTTGAGCAATGAGAAACATGAACATAGGGAGGGGAACATCACTCACCGGGGCCTGTCCGTGGGTGGCGGGCTATGGGAGTGATTGCATTAGGAGAAACACCTAATGTAGATGACAGGTTGATGGGTGCAGCAAACCACCACAGCACGTCTATACCTATGTAACAAACATGCACGTTCTGCACATGTATCCCAGAGCTTAAAGTATAAAAAATAAAAATAAAAAGACCTAGGGACAGAGGGACAGAAACATGAATGACCAAATTAGGCCAAGGTGTGTATGTGCATACAAGTGGGTGAATTTAAGTTAATTATAATGGAAATGATATGTACAGATGGAAAATACTGAACTATTTTTAAAATACCACTGTCTAGAAAACATCCTTAGCCAGGCCAAAAGAAATTCTGTAAACGCTGTAACACTTTTATCTTTCTTAAATAACATGGTTCCATAAATAACTTTTCTAGGTCATTCTTATCTATTGAAAAAATTACAAGCAACCTGTAGGCTGAGTATATTACTTGAAGACTCATAAAGTAGTCTCCCATTTAAAAAATCAAATATAAAAACTTCATATCTGGTTAATATCTGGTCTATTCCATGGTTAGGGAACTTGTTTAATGTGCATTTAGCAATGCAGAAAGACTGTAGCTGTTCTTTCTGTCTTCATAGTTTCACAAAAATGATTAAATAAGCCTAGTGCTTTATTAATTGATGAGATTAGCCCTACAAGTGTTTAGCAGAGGTGTAGTTTTTAAAACGAGATTCTATTTACCAAATTAGTTTCACATTAAGTAATGGTCCCCAAGAATTTCGTGCGAATAGATGCCATTGATGTTAAGATAATTGAGAAACATAATATTATTTTTTCTCATTTTATTATGTTTTACATTTTAATAAAAGCATATTAAGAAAAGAAAAAAAATACAAAAATTAGCCGGGCGTGGTGGCGGGCACCTGTAATCCCAGCTACTAGGGAGGCTGAGGCAGGAGAATCACTGGAACCTGGGAGGCGGAAGTTGCAGTGGGCCGAGATTGTGCCACTGCACTCCAGCCTGGGAGACAGAGTGAGACTCTGTCTCACAAAAAGCAAACAAATAAAAAAGCAACAAACAAACAAAAAAAACCAATAAAAGACAAGCTAAGTGATAAGAGAGCATTATGTAAAAGTTCAATTGGGAGTATTTTTCTTTCCTTATTGGTAAATCAAATAATGGTTCATCTTATAGCTGTAATGGAATATGGAGAGTTTCTGAGCTGGAATTGGAAGCCAGGCCTCTCTGACTGCAGAGACCAACTTCTAACAAGCATGATTTTCCATCATAAAGCCTACACAGTCAGTATTGTAGGAAGTCAACAATTTGGGTACACAATTTTGTAGTTTAGACCCTAGTGCAAATATCCTATGAGAAACAAGAAACCCTGAAACATGAAGGAACCTTTGTGTTTCCATACCTTTCTTCTCCTCGACTCCTGCATCTGATTTGAGAGTGTGGCTGCTGCTGTGGAGAGAATCTTTTGAGTCTTCATTTTCGTCCAGGACCCCAGCAAAGCTGATCTTCCTCTCATATCTGTGCCGGTCCAACTCGGGATCCAAACGAAGTCTGCAGCTCTCCAAGTCCTAAAATGCCAGTGAGGAGCACATGAGTGCTGGCATCTCCCCAGCACTGCATTGGTCTCGCGGCAAGCCTCCCACCATTTTGAATTATACACAACTGCGTTTAAACAGCCAGATTCCTTTATCTGACGCTAATTTTAGATTGTGACCATGCAAATCTATTCTTGACTTAAAAAATAAATAAAATCTTTCCTAATTCATAGTATTTTTCCCCTTTTCCTCACATGCTTTACCTTCCAAAAGCATAGGCCTTGATCCAAATCCAAAACTATCTTCCTTACCTTCTAACTCTTTGTCCACAGTTTTGGCTGCATCTTTGGCCTTTATCTCTTATTTAAAAATCATGCATCAAGCATGGATGTGTTAGGTACTGAAGGATAAATAAGGAACTTTTTTTAATCTCTAAAGGAGTTCAGAATCCCAAGATAGAAACTGAGAAGGCAAACAAGTGATAAATTTTAAGACTGAGAGTAGGAGCTCGGAAATCAGACTCGGAACTGTGCTCGACAGAATAACAGCCCCACAAAGATGCCCTAATCCCTGGGACCTGTGAATATGTTGCCTTACATGGCAACAAGGATTTTGTAGATGTGATTAAGGCTAAGGACCTTAAGATTGGGAGATTATTCTGGGCTAGCTAAATGGGCCCAATCACAAATCCTTAAAAGTGGAGAGCCTTTCCAGGCTGTAGTCAGAGGAAGCTGTGGCTATGAAAGAAAGATGAGAGAGATGCGATGTTTCTAGCTATAAAGATGGAGGGGCCGGGCTCGGTGGCTCACACCTGTAATCCCAGCACTTTGGGAGGCTGAGGCGGGCAGAACACCTGAAGTCGGCAGTTTGAGACCAGCCTGACCAACATCGAGAAAAAACCCCGTCTATACTAAAAATACAAAATTAGCCGGGCGAGGTGGCGCATGCCTGTAATCCTAGCTACTCAGGAGGCTGAGGCAGGAGAATTGCTTGAACCTGGGAGATGGAGGTTGTGGTGAGCTGAGATTGCACCATTGCACTCCAGCCTGGGCAACAAGAGGGAAACTCTGTCAAAAAATAAATAAAAAATAATAATAATAAAAAGACGAAGGAAAGGGCTATAAGCCAAGAAATGTGGGTGGCCTCTAGATGATGAATAAAGGGTGAGGAAACAGATTCTTCCCTAGAGCCCTAGGAATGGATGCAGCCTTGCCAATGCCTTGATTTTAGCCCAGCAATACCTGCCTTGGATTTCTGTCCTCCAGAACTGTGACATGTTTGTGCTGCTATAAACAGCTAAATTTCTGGTAGTTTGTCACAGCAGAAATATAAAATGAATAAAGAGTTGATGTTTGAGTTAAGTCTTGAGGATTAAGTAAAGATAGTTTGGCAAACAAGTGGGGAAAGGCAGTTCAGCCTTAAGAAACCTCATGCATGAAGGCCAGAGGCTCAAAGCAGTATCACACATTGGGGGAATTTCTTACTCCCTTCTAAGAGGATATAAGTATGACAGGAGTTCCATCACCATCTGAGGCTGAACACAATGATCTCATATAATAAAGTAAGCCTCGAGGAAAGTAATTACTTAATAGAAGTTTGGTCTCTGAGGCCCCAAATTGAGAATTTGACTTGTCCTGTGAATAGAGATTTGTTTATCCTAGAGATCATATTTATTCTTTTTTATTTTTAATTTTCTAATTTTTTAATTTTTTTGTAGATATGGGGTCTTGCTATGTTGTCCAGGCTAGTCTCAAACTCTGGACCTCAAGTGATCCTCCCACCTCAGCCTCCCAAAGTGTTGGGATTGCAGCCATGAGCCACTGTGCCTGGTCAAGATCATATGTAATTATTAACTTATAAAGCACTTTTGGAGTACCTAAAAATATATATAAAATTCTAATTTTATTTTTATACTGTATTTTTCTAATTATGACATAATAAACCCTTAGATTCAAATAAATATAAAAAATAAAAATATTTTGTAATTTTTTAAAAGATTTTTAAAAAGTTTGCACCAAGATTAAAATCTTATGCTTTTGATTCTCATCAATAAGATAAAATTTTAGGCTGGGCACAGTGGCTCACACCTGTAATCCCAGCAGTTTGAGAGGCCAAGGCAGGCCGATCACGAGGCCAGGAGTTTGAGACCAGCCTGGCCAATATGGTGAAACCCCGTCCCTACTAAAAATACAAAAATTAGGTGGGCGTGATGGCAGGTGCCTGTAGTCCCAGCTATGCAGGAGGTTGAGGCAGGAGAATCAGGAGAATCACTTAAAACTGGAAGGTGGAGGTTGCAGTGAGCCAAGATCACACCACTGCACTCCAGCCTGGGCAACAAGAGTGAAACTCCATCTCAAAAAAAAAAAAAAAAAAGTTAACATTTTAGACTCTACATTTTGTTTCTTGTCCTTTTGGCTTAAGAACAGAAGTTACATTTTGACTCAGAAAATTATATCACACCCAGAAAAATATAGGAACTACATGGAATCTATTTTACCATCATCAAGAATATTCTATAAATGTAAGTGCTTCCCTGAAATTAATCCCTTTGAGAAAAAAAAATAACCTAATCTACCTTCCACTGTGGTAGCCAAATCTAATGAGGGAAATTTCTTAGTTGGGATAAGAAGCAATCATATAATAATTCTGATTCACAAAAGTAGTTCTCCCTTCCAATTTCTTCTTTTATCTGCTTGTCCAAATCCTACGTAGTCTTTCAAAGCTATATTCAAATGTGCCCTCTTCCAAGAAGGTTCATCAGAGCTGTTCAGCCCCTTCTTTGGCTAGCCGTGGCTCTCTGCTACTTTCTCAGGGACCCTCTTACATTTTGCTTCAGAAAGTAATTTTTTGTATGTTGGTTCTCCTGTTACAGTATAGTTATTTCTGTATCACCTTCATCCCCACCCCTGCAACCATCACACCACCTTGCTCATACTTTATTCTCAATAAATATTCATTAGTTTTGTCTTGGTAGCTATGAATTGTATTTTGCTTCTGATTTTTTTAACTTTAGAAACCTTTGAAATCCAGTGTTTTTTTTTTCTTTTTTTAAAAAGAATTAATTTAATTTAATTTTAAGTTTCAGGATACATGTGCAGGGCGTGCAGGTTTGTTACATAGGCAAACGTGTGCCATGGTGGTCTGCTGCACCTGTCAACCCCTCACTGAAGTATTGAGCCCTGCATGCATTAGCTATTTATCCCGATGCTCTCCCAACCCCCACCCCCACACCACCAGACCCCAGTGTGTGTTGTTCCCCTCCCTGTTTCCATGTGTTCTCATTGTTCAGCTCCCACTTATAAGTGAGAACATGCGGTGTTTGGTTTTCTGTTCCTTCGTTAGTTTGCTGAGGATAATAGCTTCCAGATCCATCCATGTCCCTGCAAAGGAGATAATCTCATTCCTTTTTATGGCTGCATAGTATTCCATGGTGTATATGTACAACATTTTCTTTATCCAGTCTATTATTGATGGGTATTTGGGTTGATTCCATGTCTTTGCTACTGTGAATAGTGTTGCAATGAACATACACATGTATGTATCTTTATGATAAAATCATTTGTCTTTAACCCATCTTGAGTTAATTTTTGTATAAGGTGTAAGGAAAGGGTCCTATTTCAATTTTCTGCATATGGCTAAGCAAGTTTCAGCAGTATATTTTTTTATAACCTGATTTGTTAAATTCCGTTGGCATGGTTGGTACAGCCTCTAGCACAATATTGCACAAAAGGACCCAATATGCTGTTTTCTGTAACAAACGAATGTAGACATACAGAGACCTCCTTACCACCTTCCTCTTTATTATTATAGACTCATCTATGCATTTGATGGGAATTACTGTTTTCATTACATGTTGCTTAGTCATCATCGATTGGTCTCACTAATTCAACTGGGAAACATTTTAGTAGACCAGCAGTTTTATAAACAAAATTTTGTTTAAAAAATATTCCTTTGTTGTTCTCAAGTTTAGAAGATAATATTTAGAAAAAATTTGCTTATGCTGTTTTAGACTATAAATCTTATAAAAATGCTGCCCTTCCCTTTCTTTAGACATAATTTAATTGCACGGTTTACAAAATGCTACCAGAAGTTGTTTCTTTGTGGGGGAGGGGGGGAAGCACACTAATTAAGTTACATTTAAGGATCTATCTGGTGAAAAAATGTCATTTTGGCTGTATTTATGCTTACTCTGTGGATTTACTGTTCAGTGCCATTTCTTAAAAAACCATATAGCCTTAAAAAAGAAGGAAATTCTGACATATGTGACAACATGGATGAACTCTGAAGACATTATCCTAAGTGAAATAACACAGTCACAGAAAGACAAATACTGCATGATTCCACTTATATGAGTAAGTACGTAAAATAGTCAAATTTATAGAATCAAAGAGTGGGGGCCAGATGCTGTGGCTCACGCCTGTAATCCCAGCACTTTGGGAGGCCAAGGCAGGCGGATCATGAGGTCAGGAAATCAAGACCATCTTGGCTAACATGGTGAAACCCCATCTCTACTAAAAAAAATAAAAAAAATTAGCTGGGCATGGTGGTGGGCGTCTGTAGTCCCAGCTACTTGGGAGGCTGAGGCAGGAGAATGGTGTGAACCTGGGAGGCAGAGCTTGCAGTGAGCCGAGATTATACCACTGCACTCCAGCCTGGGCAACAGAGCAAGACTCCATCTCAAAAAAAAAAAAAAAAAAAAAAGAGTGGAATGGTGGTTGCCAGGGACTTGGTGGGAGGGCAAAATGGGGGAATTACTTAATAGAAAGGCATAAAATTTCAGTCAAGGAAGATGCTCCATAGATGTGCTGTTCAACATTATAGCTACAGTCAACAATAACATATTATACACTTAAAAATTCATCAAGAGGAGAAATCCAATGGTAGGTGCTCTTACCACAATTTAAAAATAGAAAACAATTGTAAGAATTTCTGTGTTGGTAAAACATTTCAATAAGTTAGAATGTGGCTTGAGTTTTCTTTACTACCAACTAGGGTTAGATAGCTGAAATGTGAGAAAAAGGTCCTTTCCCTCTTTATGTTATAAAGGCCACATCTCGACACAATACACAAACGTACACATTAACAATGAAAATCCTAGTGTAATGAATAAAAGATTTCAGAGGCCCAATTAAAGGTGACATAAAGTAAAAATTTTCCTCTTGCTAACTAACTGTAGGTTAGTCAAATTATATTAATCAAATTTAGAAGATTTGATTGATCTTTTAAAAATAAATTTGTTACAATAATAAGGACCATTAAACTCTAGTTTTATAGAATTGATAGGGAAAACAAAAATAACCTAGTCAAACTTTAGGATTCTTATTTTTTTTATTACAGTGGATCAAAATGGTGACCAATAACAATCTGAAAACTTAAAAGTAGATGTACTTTGTGCTTTTATGAAGACTTCAACATCATTAGAATGCTGATAGGGATAATACTGATAGAGGCCTATAGAAGTGCTGAGTGGTGGCCTTGATTTGATTTTACAGAGTAGTCTCAATATAATAGTGAAAGTGACAATTCAGAAAATTAAAGATTCAGGTTATTATGAAATTACATAAGGGCAGTAGAAGAAACTTCTCTTTTCAATATCCAAATGGTAGTGTCACAGTCCAAATGTGGGTGTTTCTCTTGAGAGCAGACAGTTTACTCATAAATATTTCTAACTTGAAAATATCCACTTTCTGTTCTAGAGTGTGAAGCAATGAATGGTCTTCCTAGAACTCCGGAAAACCAGAGGCAGAGGTGTCATGCAGTGACACCGGAACCCCCATTCTTTCACTCCTCTCCCCACACCGCCTGGCCTTGCTTGGGACACGGCCTTGCTCATGCCGAGTTTGGTTTAAAAAGGAGGAAACGTGGCCAGGCGCGGTGGCTCACACCTTAATCCTAGCACTTTGGGAGGCCAAGGCAGGCAGATCATGAGGTCAGGAGATCGAGACCATCCCGGCTAACATGGTGAAACCCCGTCTCTACTGAAAATACAAAAAATTAGCCAGGCATGGTGGCACGCGCCTGTAGTCCCAGCTACTCGGGAGGCTGTGGCAGGAGAATGGTGTGAACTGGGAAGGCAGAGCTTGCAGTGAGCAGAGATCGCGCCATTGCTCTCCAGCCTGGGCAACAGAGCAAGACTCCGTCTCAAAAAAAAAAAAAAAAAAAAGAAGGAGAGGTGGTGGATTGTGGATTGTAAAATTTGCTTAAATGGAAACACATAGATTGTTTATGTAACGATTGCTCTGGGAGATAGTCTGGTTCCTCAGCTCCAGCTGGATGATGCCTGTGATGAAAGAACCACTGGAAACTTGGTGCCCATTAGAGAACTAGGAGTGAAGGAAAATTGACTCCAAGGTGTGCCCCGTGCCACACACTCTGTGAACATGCCTGGTTCTTGCATAGTATTTATATTTATATCATTGGTTAAACAAATCAGGCCTTCATGGTATACCACACAGGAGTGTATATGCATGCACGCATGTGTGTGTGTGTGTGTGTGTGTGTGCATGCACACATGCATGGTCTTATTTCTGTCTATCCATAATCTCTAGGAAATGCTACAGAAATAACAATGTACGTTTGGGGATTTTAGACACTAAATACTGGAGTACTTTCAACCATAATTTGAAAGAGAACACTCATTAAGAAGCAAATTTCTATACAGATTTATGAGCAGTTGGTATAAAAAAATTTGTTGGTGAGTTCTGGAAAACATTAGCCATAAAACTCCTCATATTTTCAGAGTAAAGGAAGCTAAAGGCTCCTAGATATTCCCAGCATAATTGATAGTGATCAAATAAACATTGTATCCAGTAGGAAAACCTTCACTGATTTCTAGATTGACTTTGGAGTTATTATTATTTGTAATGAGGAAAAGAGCATTTCTTTTTATGTTTCAAAATCCCTTGGTTGAATTTTTAAAATTATGTGATACACTAGCCATGGAACATTTAAGAAAACTGTGAATCTTGGAAACCCAGACACACGCCTGGCCTCTCCGAGTAACCTGATTATTAACTTGCATGCTTTAACTTACCACCAGAGGCTCAGTGCGAGGTCTGGGCAGGCAAGAAAAGGTCTCTCGCAGGAAGGTGGTAATCTCCAGAAGAAGCTGACATGCTGCCATCTTCAAGGCAAAGGGGCAACCGCATTTAGAGGGGTTCACAGTACCTAGGAAATGAAAGTGTTCTTTCATAAGGAGACAAATCAACAAAAAATACAGAAATGCATAGTTTGATGGACATAGCTACACATGTATAGAATCAAATTGCATATGAGAATGTTACCTATATATGTCCAACATCCAATTACATATGAGGACTTCATCTATATCTATGTAAGTTCAATTTACCTATTCCTTTAGCATGACTTATGCACTAACATAAGCATCTCTCTCCCTCCATTTTGCAAATTCTACAGAGTGCTTCAGTATTAAAATATTGAACAAGCAGAACTAAATTATTTTCCTTAAAGCATCATAGAGTAACAAAATGCAGCTCCAACTAGACTAGAATACCTTTTAACGAAAACAGAAATGGGAAGTAATTTCGCAAGATTTCTACGCTGCTATTCAATCAGATTTAGACTATGTATATGGCAGTGAACTAGATTTGGAGCTATAAAAATTCTGTCAGTTCATTTTATGAGGGATGTCTGTCTTGCTGTTTTGAGGGCAGTGAAGTTGTTTCAGCTCTAGTCCAAATGTGTTTCTGCAACACAGACAAGACATACTTACTGGATCACATATATCATACAGTTTGTGCAAGCTAGCCTGTCAAATTAAGGCATAGCTATACTAGAAATGTACAAATATTCTCTTTTGCTCTGCAGAATATTGACCTTTGAATTAATAAAGCATTGTATCCACTAGAAGCCAGCTAATAGATTTTGCTCTAAAGACAGATAATGGCCATGGTAACACCATAGTGATTTTTTTAATTCTCAGAATTAGTTCTCAGATATGTGTCATCACAACTGATGACACAGGATGATGTAGAAATATATTATTTACGTGTTCAGAAAAAATCAAAGCCATGTAGAATTCTTTCTCTTATAAAAGAAAGGAAATGGTTATCCATTTTAAATGAATCAAGTCATCAAGCAATCACAATATCATTACATATGAACAGTCCTAAAAATATCTCTAAAATGTTTCCTGGGTGTTAGGCTTTCTTAATTGAATAGAATACATACTTCACGATTTCATTTGAAAATAGGTGGAAATTACGGTCTTTCTGTAGATATTTAAGCTATCGTTTTTTTCAGGAAAACCATTTTCTCTCCTGAGTTAATTTGTTGCCGGGGACTTTGCCTCTCATCAAGAATGGAAAAGACAAGCTTCTGTAGAATTTCCAGCCCGAAAGTTGCTTGCACCATAATCAGCTTTTAAATGCAAGATGAGCTGTGTATTGACTTGAAAGTGGAACTAAAAATCAGACATATCAATCTTATATGTGTCTTATAGGGGCTATTTGACTAAATATTGTGTGGATATGCAACACTTTTTAAAAAATAATTGAACACTAGACATTCAGTATAGACTTTTGGGTCTGCCGTTTCACTCCTAAGGTTATCATCCAGGCTTTTCTTACCAGTCCTGCAGACAATGAGCTTAGTCTTAGTCTAGGCTCTTTCAGGGCTATCATATTAAATAT
Organism: Homo sapiens; assembly: GCF_000001405.40. NCBI lineage: Eukaryota > Metazoa > Chordata > Mammalia > Primates > Hominidae > Homo > Homo sapiens. The sequence continues at coordinate 209,879,476 of NC_000002.12, read as the reverse complement.
CCTGTTATAATAAACAAGGATTGAGTTCTACCTAGTCTCAACAAAAAACTAATATTCTAGGCAGAACATATTGGTAAATGACACTTATGCAGTCTAATGGAGATTCAAGTTGTTTTGGCCTAGGAGGATGCACGCATTTAATGTTGCTTCAACTTCTCTCTGTTCTGAAGGGCCCCTGGAAGTTCCAGGATGGCTTAGAATGCCTTCTGGCTAGATGGGTCTTATGGTGGGCCTTCCCTAGGTTCCGTGATTGTTGGATAAACCTCATTCTAAGATAGTCTAGGCTACTTTAGATATCTTTGGGGCCAACCTTCATTATTAGGTTGAAAGACTGACATAATAATTTGGTGTTTTGTCAATGGCTACGTCAAGAAGATTTGCTCTGATTTGATAAGGTCTTAGAAGGGGTAACATGATTTAAAAATGCAAAAAAAAAAAAACTTTGGAAGGAACGTGGAAAGGAAGATCATAAGAGTTTTCTTTGATTCTTATTTAGTCCTGCCTAATGTTACGCCCCATCCATTCTTTTACATTTCATGACTGCAACAATGCAGTAGGTCTGAATCATCTAATGAAGGACAACTCTTAACATGTAGTCAGGGAGCTTGAATTTCAAACCACAGGGGAAGGTCAGGAGGAAGAGATCTCACTATGTTCATCATATAAAGATACGAATTCCATAACTATAACTGGAATTTTGTATTCCATAAAAGGCAGTGGTACATATACACAAAAGCTTGTATGGTATAGAACACACGTATGCACAAAATGATGTTGAAGAAGGATGTAATAGGAATCTTTTTGTCTCTACTTTTCTATGATGAAATTCTATTATAAATTTAATAAATAGGTACAGTACAGCAGACATTCACAGTTCTAGCAACCTCTGAATATTTTAATATTTAAGTGTCATGTTAAATACTATAATATACTCTGTTTAAAATTTTCAATATTTTAGTGATTTGGAAAATATTTCACATTCAATTTTATTTGGTCTGATTTTGTTTCCTGGAGCAATATAAAAAACACAAAACCTGACAAAATCTCTTCTAGGACAGTAAATTTTCCACAACTATAGTGCCTCAGAGATATTTTCTCAGAGAAGTCTAATACCAATATTTGTTTTGTCAAAGACAAGAAAAGAATAAATGTTCCATCTTGCCTGCAGCTCCTTGCCCCTCTCTGTCTTCTCTTTCTGGTTCTTGCCTTGTCTCTGTGTGGCTTTATGCACATGCTTTACACCCATGCACAGGGAAAAGGGGAGAAGGAGCAGTGGAAAGACATGGGGAGGTGGTAAGAATATGAAGGAGAAAAGAGAAGTATTAAGTGCTCCTAAAGCAGAGGTTCTTACAAGCAGGGGTTCTTGTAGTAAAGGGAGTCTCCTTACTGTCATCTAAAAAGTCTTCCTCCTCATCCTCCTTTCTAAGTCTCCTCTTGGTCTCTTCATCGTAAATGAGACCCAGCAGGTTGGCTGGGCTCTCACTTTCCCCGTGGCACAGCTCATTCAATCGGACGCCAATTGCCTAAAATGGGAAGGAAAACAATGAAACAGCACAAACTAAGTCAAACTCTAAAATAGGCTCTCACATTACATCAGACATAAGCAACCAATTAATGAGAATTATTTCCAGCATAAGCCTCTTCTGTATGCCACAGTGTTGTTTCCACCATATTTGCCAGTATGGAAACCAGAAATGGAAGAAACAGCTATCCCCAAGGTCATTCAGTCTAAAGACTTGTAAAAACTGGAATGACACCTTTGTATATTTGTACAAAAGTTTTTCTGAAAATATTTCCATTTACTCAAAGGTTATTTATTTTATAGATATGATACAAGGGAGTACACAATTGCTTTTAATGGAGGATTTTGTTGCAGTAAAACATCAGAAGGCACAGTTCCTCAGAGTGCTTCTGATTATGCTATTTTTAATGAGAATGTCACTGTCATGCTAATGAGTTTAGAAGTTGGCAAGAATTCTGTTGCTGCAATTTTTTTCTATCTGTCATTATATATGTACTTATTGGCTTCTTTTATAGACCTTTTTCCTCTTTCCATAATACTCTATGAATTAGTAAGAAATGCTAACTTTTCTTTTGGTAGAGTGCCCAACAACATTAGAAATATGAGTTTTAATAACTCAGCACGTGGATAATATTGGTTTTTACACGGTATTCTTAGAACTAACATCCTTGCTATCTGTTATTGAATCATCAGGCACTATTGTCTGGTTTATCAAAGGAATTTGCCACAAGAAGAGACAAAAAACACTATCTCTATCTAATTCATTTTATTTCCAATTATATACTGCATGCAACAATAGAAGAGACACAGGCTCAGGAGTGAGAGAGAAAAAGTTAAACAGATCACTGAACTTGGGGTTTGACAGTTTGGATACTCTGTGTTTAAGTAAGAGCAAAATTCCAGCTAAGTTTCTTCTTTCTTTCTGTATCATACTTTGCAAATATTTAGAAAAGTTACTAAATTCTCAGCAAGTAAGAAAATATACTTACTACTGAAAACCAACATGCTCAAGCTCTCTAAGTGAAGATTATGCTCATACTCTTTAAATGAAAAGACATTTTTGAGTGTCTTAGATATCTGGAAACCGAAAGGTCTCCCTAAACTCTGGAATTAAGTGAGGAGCTAAAAACCAGGAAGCAAAAACTATACCAAGGAGAATGCAGTATGTGGGATTCTAAAATTTTAGCTGCTAACCGGGTAAGTTTTAAGCAAATGATACAAATCGTAAAAACAAAACCACCACCACAACAAAAAGACTTATCTTGGTGCTGCTATTTTGGAGATCCTCTGTTAAGGAGGTGACATACAATTATGAGTCTGGAATGGAGCCAACAAACTAAATAGTGAGACTCAAAAGGGAAAAATATCTACATTGACCATTCCAGGATGTTGTAACTAAGCAACTTAAATTAAGTCCACAGTTTATAAAGCTTAAAGGGCTGCTCAAAAAATGAACTTGTCTGGTGTAATACTATATGTCTAAATAATAATTTAGATCTCTATGTCTCACCCAAAGCTAGAAAAATGCCTCAGGGCTATGTTTATTCGTCTCTTCCTTCATTCATCAAATATTTATTAAGTGAGGTAATTTGTTAGGTTTTAAATAGAACATAAAGTTGAGTAAGTTGTTATAGTACACTAGTACCTTTGTTTAATGTGCCTTGGTAGATTATAAGCCCACATAAGAAAGATTACTGTTTGGCAAATAGGAAGTTTAGAGGGGCTAGGAGGTTTGCCCAAGGTTGCTCAGCAGGATTCAAACATAGGATGTCTGACTGTCTATGTCTGTGTTCTTCCTCTCAACGAGCTTACAGTCTATTGAGGGATGTAATAACATAACGAAACAACTCATTAACTGGCTAAAGAGACTAGAAACACTTTATTAGCTCATAAGATAGATTAAATTCAGCTCAGAGAGGGAGAGGGTCGGGGAGCTGTGGGACTGGAAAACTACATTTTGGGTACAACGTGCCCTACTCGGATGATGGATGCATTAAAATCTCAGAATTCACTGCTATAAAATTAATTCATCTATGTGGTCAAAAACTGCTTGTACCCCAAAAGCCACTGAAATAAAAAAATAAAGAAATAAAGAGAAAATTTAGTTCAGAGGATCACAGAAAATCTCACAGAAGGTCTCAAAGTTTGTAGACTTTGACAAATTGGTGTTTTGACTGATGGAGAATGGGGAGAGCAGACATTCGAGGGGACGGTCCTGAAAGATTTATGTTCATGGAAATGCACTATGTGCTGAGAGACTGACAGAGGGGCCACATAATTGAAGTTCAATTTTGTGAGAGGAAATAATGTACAGGAAGGCTGAAAAGGTAGATTTGGATCAGATCCTACAGTTCTTGAAGTTGAACTTCATTTCACATTCTTGAGAAGGATGAAAGGTAGTTTCTGAGTGGGAGAAGTAACCTGATCACTTATGCCAGGGATGTTGTACTAGCTACCCAGGAATGCTGAGACAAGCATGGACTCTGCTTTCAAAAATTCATGTCAGAACTGATTATTATTGAACATACATTAGGAGGAAAGTATTTAAATACATATTCTTTAGGTACATTAGCTCATTTCAGTTCATCACTCATAATCTTGGAATGGTCTGAGCAAAGGTCGTGGAGAGGGCAGTGATGGCAGGCTAAGCAGTTTGGGTTTTATCCTGAGGGAAAAGGAGGGCCACTGAAAGCATTTTAAGTGGATAAGAAACACACTCTAATTTGCATTGTAGCCTAATCACTCTGAGAGCAGTTTGGAGAATGAATTAGAGGGTGCAAGTCTGGAGGCTGGGAGATGAGGATGAATGTCATATCTTGGGTGGGCTGGGCTGTAGGAAGATCTTTTCACTGACAGTGTGTAGGATGCATTAAATGAGAGGAGACTGTGAGGAGAAGACCAAATAGGAAAAAAGTTTAATCATCGAGATGAGAAGTCATGGGGATCTGGCCTAAGGGGCTTCAGTGACATGAAAGAGGTGGGATCAATAGGGGAGGAGATTGGGATATGCTCAAAGGTTGGCATCTCAGATGACGGTGGTATCAATAAGAATAGAAAGCTCAGAAGGGTTGTAGGTGGCAATGTGTTTACTTGAGGAGAAGGGTTTTATTTTGGAAGATTGAGTTCTAGGATATTAAATGAATGTTTCCAAAGTGCAGCTGGCAATGTAGGTCTGGGATCTGAAAACTGCTATGGTTAGGGAAGTCTGTACTTACAGGTTACAGTTGGAAATATAAGAATAAATGTAACCCTGAAGTAAGTTATATTGGAAGAAATTAAGAGAGATCCTGGAGAATATCTGTTTATGACGAGGGAGGAGACAGAGGACCAGGAAAGGAGACAGAGAATTAGGCACAGAGGTGCAAGGAAACTCTGAAGCATGATGGTTTCAAAAAGACAAAGGACAAAAGACAGAGGTATGTGCAGTTGGCAGTGTCAAATGCTGCAAGAAAGTCAGAAGACTCTTGGCCTGAAAACACTTGTTTGTGAAATCTCTTGGTGACAATCTCCCTATAAACCTGAAACTCTCAAATGTGTAGCACTTAATGGTTTTCCTCTCCTGTAGGAAGCCAATGGGATTATCAATTGTGACTGTTGTTTCAGAGAAGCCTCTCAATAAGACCTTCCTTGAATGAGACAGGTAATAAATGGGGGGTTGGAACATCTCTCCACATTAAAGAGATTACTGGTGCCTCTATGTATCTCATGATATGCATTTCATTGACACTGCTTGACTTGTATAAACCTTCATAAGGTTAAAACCGAATATAATTAAATGAAGGATAAGTACAATGGAATCACATAATAACTTATCTCAACGATTTACAAAAATAGATATTACATAGGAGAAACTGTGTCTTCTCATATATAATGTGCAATCGAAGCCTGAAAAGGGCAGTGCTAAGTGTTGATCATTGACATTAGCATTAATAAAGTGTTCTACTCCAACATATCATACACACACACACACACACACATACATACGTGTATCTTTTTAAACAGGATGTTTTTATATAGGAAAGAAAATCCAAAGAACAGCAAATAAAGAAGGAAAGACTGATACAGAAAGACTGCACACATACTAAATACAATTCATGCCTTTTGAATAACTTTGGCACTTTGCAAAAAAGATATGGGTAAAACTGGAGGAAGAATACCTTAGTTGGTAAGCACATTGGTAGACACATTCAGCTGAATTATTAACGGAAATTGTAACAGTTATTCCAAGTAATCTTTAAGAAAAGAGGAATATATGGAACCTCTTTATGTGTGTTTATGTTCAGCTCTGTCTAAAATTAGCAGAAACTTGGTCCTCTTGAATTTCCTTTTATTCTTCACCTTTTTTCCTTCTATGGTAAAGAAGTTGTAGTTATTTTAAGGGTCCATTTTGTTAGAATTCCTAAAGAAGTTTCATTCATTCACTTTTAAATTTATTCACTTACTCATATGCATACATAAATATGTGTTTATGTGAGTGCAATTTCCAAAGGCTTTCAGGCAACTTAAAGGAGGCACATCAACAAAAGAGAAAATTTCACTAAGAAATTAGAAAAAATCATGCCTTACAAAATATAAATTAGAATAGAAACTGAAATAAGGGTGTATTTTACAATTATAACAATGACTTTCAAAAAGATAATTCTTGATGAATATAGCAATTAGAAGCAAGGCTTTGAAATCTAATCTGTGAGATGGAATAGTGGTTCCTCTACTTACTATTAATAGATATGTAAAATTTGGTAGGTCGCTTGACCTGTATAAACTTCAGTTCTCTTAACTGTAAAACAGAGATAGTAATGTCTAACCTCATAGATTTATTGGGACGATTAAATGAGTTGCTTATTTTTTCCCAAAGTGTTTCCTTCAGTACCTGGTACATAACAAACACTCAATAAATTGTCTTCAAAACAAACACAATCAATCAAAAAATGACTCCACTTCACTTAAGCAACCTAATTGTTATAGAAGAAAACCGAAAGCTCACGTCTCCCCATTGGTAGAAGAGCTTGGCTGCATTCCACTGCAGCTTCTGGTTTCGCTTGTTGCCCACAATGGGAGAGCGTCCCCGGGAAAGTCCTTTCTTGGTGATGTTCACGTGGTGCCCTTTCATCCACTCTGGCCAGTTGCCACGGTTGCAGCGGTGAACAAAACGAGCACATTCCAGGAACAAGGCTGCTCTGGCCACCACAGGGGCTTCCTGTGTAGGGTTGTTTAGGAAAGAATAATGTGGGATTAATGAACAATAACTTTAAATTGGTCTTAAAGGGAATTACTGTGTATTTTTAGTTTATTTTCCTCTTCATGTTTTGATTTATATTGGCCATATTTCCCAGGGTGGTGTCAGTATGGCCAACACAGTAGTGAGAAATCTGGAAAGCAAAATCCCCCCCAAAAATGTGGATCTTGAAGGATTAGACATTTTAGGTAGGTTTCTGTGTTGCTTTCTCCTTCTTCTCAAGAATCTCAAGTAATTACATGTCTCCAACTTTGTATATTTAAGGGTGACAGCGATTTGAGTGTAGAGTGAAAGAGCTTTTAGTGAGGTCTTAAAGATGAATCTTTTTTTGAACCCTAAATTTTACATGAAGCAAACAAATATTCCATTTCTAGAACCAGTCTTATTTTAACCAAGAGCGTCAGAAGTAATTTTGTACCAGCAATAGTCTTTTGTCTATAACCATCCATATGTTCCAAAGAGGTAAAATTGGTTCTGCACATTTTGGCTATTAAAAAAAGAAGTTCAAGACCAGCCTGGCCAACATGATGAAACTTCATCTCCACTAAAAATACAAAAAATTAGTCAGGCATGGTGGAGCGTGCTTGTAGTCCCAGCTACTCAGGAGGCTGAGGCTTGAACCTGGGAGGTGTAAGTTGCAGTTAGCTGAGATCGCGCCACTGCACTCCAGCCTGGGAGACAGAGTGAGACTCCACCTCAAAAAAGAAAAGGAAGCTCAATCTTGCTGAGTTAGTCTTTTTTTTTTTATTTTGTCATAAATAACTGACTGGATTATACTTAAATAGGCATGGTTTTAATTGAAAATGTTTGATAAAGAGGAGATTAATTGATAAATGATAGAGCATTTCTTCAGAAAGACATGGCTCCACCTTGTCATGTCAAAATGTGCTTGAAAAAAAAAAAAGAAAAAAGAAGAAACATCTTTTAGCTGATATCCAGAATCTGGTAAGAATCAAATACTCTACTGAAATCTTTGAAAGATTTTTTAAAAAAAGTTAAGGAAAGAAGTAATGAGAAGTTTTCCATAGAAGGTCAATAGATCATAAGAAAATATATATCAACTATTCATGTGTATTTTGACTTGTGTCAGTTTTTTAAAAAATACATCACAATATTATTTATCATTTTAGGGTTACTAATAACCATAGGTTACTCAGTAACCACAGATTTTCAAATTGAAATAATTTTTAATAATGGTAAGCAGTAGTATTCTTAACAATGTATCAATCCATAAAGTTAAAATAGAGGCTAACATAGACTGTCAATTACATGTCAGTTAACTTTTAGAATTATAATATATAACATCCCTGTGATCTATAAATAATGTCCCCCATTTAAGATTTTTTAAAATGAGGTATAATTTTTCACTATCATATAGCATGAAAGGGGTGAATATAGGAACATAAAATTCAACCCAGGTCTCATTGATGCTGGTCCTATGCTAGTTTCTCTTTGGCATTTACATTGTCTTAATTTATACTCCCATAAATCTTAGTAAAAGATAATTTGTAGAGTGCAAGTAGAAATTAACTATTAATACTTAAAGTGGGATATTAGTCCCATGTACTATTGTTTTCTAAAACATAAATATATAAACATATCATTTCCCCATTTGATATCTATTATAGCCTCCATCCACCTCAACCATAAAACAAATAAAGATATCCAAGCTTTGTGATTTGGGTCATCTCCTTTTCTATGCCCATCTCAAGTGCTTTATGGTCCAATTATGTCAACTTAGTTGCTATCTCCCAAATATGACATCTTCTGCCATTCCACATGTTGTCTCACGGCTTGCAGAGCCTTGAAACTCCTTTTCTATCCAGAAAATTCCCATTTTTAAGATTCAGGATTCAGTTAGTTACCTCCTCTGAGAACCCTTCTTAAATCCCTTCCCTGGACAGGCAGAGCTGGTTACTTTACATTTTTGGGTACCAAAGTATCCCAAACACACTGGATGATTCAAGTAAGTTAGTTCCTTAAGCCTTTCTTCATTGTATATGTCTTAAATGCAGCCATCAAAAATTACAATGAAAATATATTTATGTAGGTACTTAATTTTACAAAGAATATTATGTATTACCACAACATGAAAAATTAACCTATGTGAAAGACAGAATGCAAGATGAACACTAATAGTGAGTATCTATCCTTAACAAAAGGTGGATACTAATGATGAGAATCTATCTCATCAATGCATGGGGTCAAGACTAGGAAGCAGGTCACAGGGATAGAAAAACTTGAGATTGCAAGGAGTCAGATGATCTTCTGCATTAAACCCAGCAGTATTGCAGTGCCATGCCATATAGACTAAATATCTACATTCTTTCTTGTATTAAGTATTCATTTCACTAAACAGTTCAGATATGCAAATCTGTGTCTGGTAAAGGTTGGAACGTTTGTCTCTAAAACAGAATGTCAGTTTAGAGGTCAGGCAAGTGATGCAAATTTATTCTTAGCCTGTCACAATATGACACATTGCCAATATAAAGCAATGTGGATTCAAAGCTTAATGACAGAAAGACATAGGTAACACTGCTGAAATAGCATTATATTGTGAACCCTGGCTCCTTCAGGATTAACAAGGTTGAAACTTAACGTGGACCATATGTATGGGGTAGAGGATCATTTTATTGCCTCTAAGTGTTAGATGGCAACTGAGAGGATTAACAATAGATGAATGAACAATCTAAATAGTGATATGTAAGGCTTCTTATATGGATTAGCTTGCCTTCTTTAGATACAAGAATTCTTAAAAATATATTGCTGAAAAATTACTTTAGTTGCTTAAGAAGCCCAAGGCATTTTTGAATCAAAACCAATTTCAATTCTCCTGTGCTCAAAAACTTCTCAGGATAAAACTGAGATATTATCAGTTACAGGCTGTGGGAAATTCTAATCCAAGTTTGGAAATGCAATTGAGATCAATATGAAAATAATTCTCATTAACTATATGGTAAAACATAAGGGGGAGGTTGGTAATTATCTGATGAATTTTATGCATGTAAATAGCCAAACCCATTCATGTTTGGAAATGTCACTGTTTCCATCAAGGATGATGACATAGAGTCACTCAAATATTGCCTTTTTATTATAATCATTATTAGCCTGGTGGATGATGGCAGGCTTAGAAATTCTATATTTAAGATGGCAGTAAATAATACCAATTTCTGGGGTATTTTAGTATATATATTACTATACTGAAAATTGAGGGTGATGCTAAGGTACAAATCTACGGGCAATAATGTCCAAGATCATTAGTAAGCAACAGCTAATTAAGTTTGCTGAGTTTGCAATGTGTGTGCAACAGCATTCAAGGAATTCTGGTGTGAGTGTGGCTATGAGGAATTGTTTTCATTCAGTTCCTTTTAAAAGGTAGTTTAGAGAGTATTGATTTCAGGGGCAGGGTTATGGAATACCTTGGACAAAGGATTCTTCCTGAGCATAAAGGAAAGTCAATTTTCCCTCTTTTGATGGAGCTTACCTCTTATGGCTCAGTGCAATCTGAAGAAGCAGCAAAAGATGGAGGCATGACATAATGGATAGGGATGGATTCACATCACAGAGAAAAACAGCACAAATGGAGAAAAATGAATCAGAAGAATGCCGCATAGCTGAAAAGAACCACAGAGTATCAGAGGCACAGTTACAGGTGAACATCTAAACAAAATTTGACACCACTGGCATACCACAGAGAATTTGCTGGTGGTCCTAAAAGAAAAGTAGGCATATTTAAATTTCTTCTTTCTTATTAACATGTCTGCCCAGATCCCTTTTTATGCTCCATAATGTCACAGAGAGGCTTCTATTCCATTATATTATAACTTCGTAGTTTCCAGACAAGCAAGAATCGATTTTAACTGGGAAGGCAAAATATTAGATTGAACCTATGAAATTTCTAAATTCGAAGGTCAAAAATAGTCGTATCAGCAATTTCATATAGTTCAATCTTGTATGAGGTGTTCTCTGCATGGGTTACAGGGTTGTCCAGTTGAAACTACAAAAAGTCTAATGAATGTCATTGCACAGCATGGGAGTCTCTTACAGTCTACAGGTAGAAAACATCAGGAGTCTGGCTACTTTCCTTGACTTCTTTGCCATTTTTTCCTTGAATTTTATAAGATCATTATGTATATTGAATACTTCCTTTATGAAAGTGAGGCAGAGAATTGAGATACTAATTTCGATAGCTGTGCTTTATTTTGCCTGGGGACCTAAAAAATATTGTTGCCAAGATATGATGGTTAATTGAAGCTTATAATTGCAATGCCTTCCTTTCCCTGGAGGACTATATCTAAGCTTACAATGTGCGAAGAAATCTTGACTGATCCTGAAAACTCATATAACACTAGATAGAAACTAACTGTTTTTAAAGACTAAATATTTTATGTGGGCCCCTAGGGAATTACATATTTTTTATTGCCTTACAAAATAAAATATAAAGCTGTTGCTGGTGCAGGATACCTGTTTATCTACAACCAATGGAAATAAGCAGTTATTTGGGGTCTTAGTAGGCATTCCAAAGTTCTTTGCTAGGGGGCATATACTTCTGAGTCAGTATTTATTACTTAGCTGTATTGAATTCTCTGCCAGACTGAGATCAATAAATAACTGACTCACTAGCTAACAGGCTGCCTCCATCCCTGCCTATTTCTACAGTAGCTGTGGGTAGGCTGAAGACCAACATTACAGGTTAGCACATGGTCTGGAAGGCTAGTCATTTTAGCACTTACTCAGATCATGCTAATATTTTGGGTATTTTAAAAACCAAATGAGGACTTCTGTTTCTGACAATATGATCAAGTAAGAGTGAAGAATTCATTTGATTTAGAACACCTGAAATGGTGGGTAAAATATCCAAAAATGTCTATTTTTATTTTGCTTTTGTTTCTAAAGTGAGATCGAAGACAACTGGAGAGTAGAAATTACAAGAAAGTGCAATTCTGAGGGTGGGGGTAGGGATAAACTAGATAGAAATATTTGTCCTGAAGGTTTCTGCTGACTATAGAGAGACCGGATGGGTTTCCAATGGGCCACAAGTTAAAAGTTGGCACAAGTGGGTCGGTGGTCAGGACATGTACTCCTCTGACATAAAGCCAGGATCTCAGGAAGGAGCCACCCTCAGTGGATGAATAAGAAAAAATCTGCCCCAAAGAAGTTGGTTTGCCTGACAAGGTTTGGCTCTGGGTAGGACAGAGGGGGAGAAACAAAAGGAAAAAGTCTTTTACGAGAATGCTTAACAAAATCCCACATTCTCATACAAGTTTGGAGCACCGAGAATGGGCTAATTCCATGCCCCCCAGCCCCCAAAAATAATTTTTAAAATGTTCTTAGATTGATAATGTTTCCAGGTGTCTGACAAAATAAATGGAAATTCTCTCTGGAGAAATACTTCAAACCAGCACTTCTCAAACCTTCATATTTGAGCCTAGGCGTCACTTAGGAAGATGGATAAAATAAATTCCTTAGCTCCATCCCCAGATATTCTGATTCAGTAGATCCATTGTAGGGCCTGGAAATTTGCATTTCTCACATGCTCACAAGTGATGCTGATGTTGCTGGTCCACTGAAAAACACTACTTCTAACACAGGTCTTAAATAATTCCTACAGATAAAGTGCCAAGGAATGAGCTACATTATATTTCAAAATAACTAGAAGAGAAGATTTGGAACATTCCCAACACAAATAAATGATAAATGTTTGAGGTGTTGGATATTCCAGTTATCCTGATTTAATCATTACACATTGTATACATATATCAAAATATCACAAGTATTCCATAAATGTGCACAACTATTATGTGTCAATAAAAAGTACAACATAAAATAATCCACTGTGAACAAGAGTCAGAAGAAATAAAGTACAGAATGAAGTTCACAAAGACTACAGCGATTGGAATCGTAGTGTATCAAACACATTTAAAGATAAATGTGAGTATCGAAAGTATGATGAAGGAATTAGATGATGAAAGTTGATTAGGAAATTTTAAAACAAAATTTAAATAGAATTTTTACAAATAAAAATGTAGTACTTGAAACTTAAAACTCAATGGATAGACTAAAACACAGTTAAAACTCAATGGATAGACTAAAACACAGGTTATATCAGGTTTTTCCAACTGCAATACTATTGACTATTTGGGTCAGATGATTCTCTCTCTCTCTCTCTCTCTCTCTCTCTCTCTGTGTGTGTGTGTGTGTGTGTGTGTGTGTGTGTGTGTGTGTGTGGGGGTGCATTTTGTATTATGGAATGTTTATCAGCATCTTTGGTATTTACCCAATCCCCAAGTTGTGACAACTGAAAATTCCTCCAGACATTGTCAAATGTTCCCTGATGGGCAAAACTGCCCCTTGTTGAGAACCAAGGGATCAGACACAGTTGAAAAGAGAAAAGGTGAAGTGGAAAATATATCTGATAAAATTATCCAGAGTTTAGCATAGAGACAAAGAGATGAAAAATATGAAAGAGAGGTTATCAAAAACAGAAAATAAAATGAAAAGATCTATCTTATATATTTTCAATTTACAGAAGGAAAGATTAAAGAAAATGTGAACGACACAATATTGAAAAGATAAGTTGAGAATTTTTAGAATAAATATCGTATTTCAATTACATAATTCAAGTACCTAATGAACCTCAAATAAGAAAAATGCTAAGAACGTTTTAGTAAAACTGCAAAATATAAACAATAAAGAGAAGATATTCAAAGTGACTACAGTGGGAGGAGGGCAGATTACCTATAAAGGATTGTCAATTAAGCCAGAAAGGAATGAGATAATATCTTTGAAGTGTAGAAAGAAAATGTCAGCCTATAAATACAATTCTAGCAAAAGTATCTTCAAGTTGAGATCAAAATAAAGAGATTTTCAATTAAATTGTAATTGAGAGATCTACTGCCAATTGATTGTCACTAAAGACACTTCTGAAATAATCTTAGGAGGAATATCTAAGATGCAAGGAAAATGGTGAACAAAGAATATGTTAAATTTGGGGAGTAAATTTAAAACTCATTTACCTAAAAATCAATACAAATAATGTCTAATTTGTGAATATTAATGCAAAAGCAAGATAGAACTAAATCTTGAACAACAGGAACAACAATTGGGGTTGAAGCCCTCTTTTTTTTTTTTTTTCTGAGACGGAGCTGGAGTGCAGTGGCGGGATCTCGGCTCACTGCAAGCTCCGCCTCCCGGGTTCACGCCATTCTCCTGCCTCAGCCTCCCGAGGAGCTGGGACTACAGGCGTCCGCCACAACGCCTGGCTAATTTTTTGTATTTTTAGTAGAGATGGGGTTTCACCGTGTTAGCCAGGATGGTCTCGATCTCCTGACCTCGCGATCCGCCTGCCTTGGCCTCCCAAAGTGCTGGGATTACAGGCATGAGCCATCGCGACCGGCCGAAACCCTCTTATTTTTTGAGGGAAGAGTAAAGGAATTCATTGATGGACTAGAAACAGCAGCGTTCGGAGGCTCCCATTGAAAAAAAAAACATAATAAACGTGTGAATCCTTCACCGGCAACCAAGGTATCCAGGTTCTCTCGTCAGAACTAAGAGGCTGCCGTGACCCGTGGAGAGAAAGAAAAGCAGTGTGGTGCGGCAGCGCACCTGGGAGCCACAAAGGGCCAGGGAGTGTCCTCCCCCAAGCCAAGGGAGGCAGTGAGTGAGCATGCTACAAAGGCAGAGAAGCCGTGCTTTTAACATGGAATTGTGCAACCCACAGATCCGAAGATGCCCCTCACGAACTCACGCCACCAGAGCCTAGCATCGCAACCCCAGAATGCGCAGACTCTTAACAGCCTCTCAGCTGGAATCTGCTTAAGCCTACTGAACTCCCGGTGGGAGAAGCGACCAGCACTGGCTGCCTGCTGTTTAAGCCATTTGAACTCCTTGTGGGAGGGGCAGCAGCCAGCAGTGGGACTCGCAATGACCTAACATGCTAAGCTCCCTGGGCAGGGGAAGGGTGGCACCCATCTCTATAGCCCAAGGCTGTGCTTTTCCCCTGTTGGTGCCAGGGAAGCTGCACAGCTTGGTCCCAAGACAAGTCCCCCACAGCCCAACACACCAGCTGTGGCAGTCTGCGGCCAGAGTGCCTCTTCAGGACTGACCCTGACCCCTCTTTTCTAATGGGGTGGGGTTTCCCTGCAGGAACTCCAATAACTCCAGCCAGAGGCTCAGGAACAGAATCTGGATCCCCCTGGGCCTGAGACCCTGGGGAAGGGGTGGCCTCAGTCTCTTCTTCGGGCCAGCAGACTTAGCCTTTCCTCTGAGGAATCCCTGAGATAGCTCTGAGGAATCCGGGCAGCCCAGACGGGTGGGTTTCCCCACAGCAAGGCACACCCCCTCCACCAAAGGACAAAGTGCTTCATTAAATGGGTCCTGTTCCTCGTGCCACCCAACTAGGTGAAACCCTCCAACAGGGGTTGTCAGACACCCTATAAAGGGGTGATCCTACTGGCATTCAGGTTGGTGCCCCTCGAGGTCAGAGGTCCCAGAAGGAGCAGACACCCATCTTTGCTGCTCTCCAGCCTCCTTGAGTGACATCTCCAGGCACAGGAGTGAATCAGATGAATAGGGCCTGAAATGAAGCCCCAGCAAACTGCAGCAGCTCTACAGAGGAGGAACCTGACCATTGAAATAAAAATAAACAAGCAGAAGGCAACAACAACAGCATCATCATCAACAACAACACAAAAGCCCCCACAAAAACCCCATCCAAGGGTCAGCAGCCTCAAAGACTGAAACTAGACAAACTCACGAAGATGAGAAAGAATCAACGAAAAAATGCTGAAGACCCGAAATGTCAGGGTGCCTCTTCTCCAAATGATCGCAGCGTCTCTCCATCAAGGGCACAGAACTGGACCGAGATCACATGGACAAATTGACAGAAGTAGGCTTCAGAAGATGGGTAATAGAAAACCACACTGAGCTAAAGGAGCATGTTATAATGGAATGAAAAGAAGCTAAGAACCTTGATAAAAGGTTAGAGGAATTGCTAACTAGAATAACCAGTTTAGAGAGGAACATAAATGACTTGATGGAGCTGAAAAACACAGTATGAGAACTTCGTGAAGCACACACAAGTATCAATAGCTGAATCGACCAAGCAGAAGAAAGGATATCAAAGTTTGAAGACCACCTTGCTGAAATAAGGAATGCAGACAAGACTACAGAAAAAAAGAATGAAAAGGAATGAACAAAGCCTCCAAGAAATATGGGACTTCATAAAAAGACTGAACCTACGATTGACTGGAGTACCAGAAGGAGATGAGAAGAATGGAAACAAGCTGGAAAACACACTTCCGGATATTATGCGGGAGAACCTCCCCAACCTAGCAAGACAGGCCAACATGCAAATTCAGGAAATACAGAGAACACCATTAAGATATTCCATGAGAAGATCAACCTCAAGACACATAATCATCAGATTCTCCAAGGTGGAAATGAAGGAAGAACTGTCAAGGGCAGCCAGAGTGAAAGGCCAGGTCACCTACAAAGGGAAGCCCATCAGACTAACAGCAGGCCTCTCAGCAGAAACTCTACAAGCCGGAAGAGATTGGGGGCCATATTCAACATTCTTAAGAAAAAGAATTTTCAACCCAGAATTTCATATCCAGCCAAATGAAGCTTTATAAGCAAAGGAGAAATAAAATCCTTTCCAAACAAGCAAATGCTGAGGAATTTCATTACCACCGGGCCTGCCCTGCAAGAGCTCCTGAAAGAAGCACTAAATATGGAAAGGAAAAGCTGGTACCAGCCACTGCAAAAACACACTAAAATATAAAGACCAATGACACTATGAAGAAACTGCATCAACTAGTGTCCAAATAAACCAAATAACCTCATGATGAGAGGATCAAATTCACAAATAACAATAACTAACCTTAAAGGTAAATGGGCTAAAGGTCCCAATTAAAAAACACAGACTGGCAAATTGAATAAAAAGTCAAAACCCATCAGTGTCCTGTATTCAGGAGACCCATCTCACTTGCAAAGACACACATAGGCTCAAAATAAAGAGATGGTAGAAAATTTACCAAGCAAATGGAAAGCAAAAAAAAAAAAAAAAAAAGCAGAGGTTGCAATCCTAGTCTCTGACAAAACAGACTTTAAACCAACAAAGATCAAAAAAGACAAAGAAGGGCATTACATAATGGTAAACAGAACAATTCAACAAGAAGAGCTAACTATCCTAAATATATATGCCCCCAATACAGGAGCACTCAGATTCATAAAGCAAGTTCTTAGAGATCTACAAAGAGACTAAACTCTCAAACAATAATAGTGGGAGACTTTAACACCCCACTGTCAATATTAGACAGATCAATGAGACAGAAAATTAACGAGAATATTCAGGACTTGAACTCAGCTCTGGACCAAGCAGACCTAATAGATATCTACAGAACTCTCCATCCCAAATCAACAGAACATACATTCTTCTCCGCACCACATAGCAAGAAGTTATTTGAAGCCAATGAGAACAAAGAGACAATGTACCAGAATATCTGGGACAGAGCTAAAGCAGTGTTAACAGGGAAATTTATAGCACTAAATGCCCACATCAGAAAGCTAGGAAGATCTCAAATCGACACCCTAACATCACAATTAAAAGAGCTAGAGAGGCAAGAATAAACTAATCCAAAAGCTAGCAGAAGACAAGCAATAAGTAAGATCAGAGAAGAATTGAAGGAGATAAAGACATGAAAAATGCTCCAAAAGAATCAATGAATCCAGGAGCTGGTGTTTTGAAAAAATAAGCAAAATAGATAGACCACTAGCTAGATTAATAAAGAAGAAGAGAGAGAAGAATCAAATAGACACAATAAAAAATGATAAAGGGGATATCTCCACTGACCCCACGGAAATACAAACTACCATCAGAGAATACTATAAACCCCTCTATGCAAATAAACTAGAAAATCTAGAAGAAACAGATACATTCCTGGACGCATATGCCCTCCCAAGACTAAACCACTAAGAAGTTGAATCCCTGTATAGAACGATAACAAGTTCTGAAATTGCAGCACTATTAATAGCCTACCAACCAAAAAAAGCCCAGGACCAGTTGGATTCACAGCTGAATTCTACCAGAAATATAAAGAGGAGCTGGTACCATTTCTTCTGAAACTATTCCAAACAATTGAGAAGGAGGGACTTCTCCCTAACTCATTTTATAAAGCCAGCATCATCCTGATACCAAAACCTGGAAGAGACACAATATAAAAAGAATGAGCCTGATGAACATCTGTGTGAAAATCCTCAATAAAATACTGGCAAACCAAATCCAGCAGCACATCAAAAAACTTATCCATCACGATCAAGTCTGCTTCATCCCTGGGATGCAAGACTGGTTAAACATATGCAAATCAATAAATGTAATCCATCACATAAACAGAACCAAAGACCAAAACCACATGATTATCTCAATAGGTGCAGAAAGGCCTTTGATAAAATTCATCATCCCTTTATGTTAAAAACTCTCAATAAACTAGGTATTGATGGAACATATCTCAAAATAATAAGAGCTATCGATGACAAACCCACAGCCAATATCATACTGAATGGGCAAAAGCTGGAAGCATTCCCTTTGAAAACCAGTACAAGACAGGGATGCCCTCTCTCACCACTCCTAGTCAACATAGTATTGGAAGTTCTGGCCAGGGCCATCAGGCAAATAAAGAAATAAGGGGTATTAAAATAGGAAGAGAGGAAGTCAGCTTGTCATTGTTTGCAGACGACATGATTTTATACGTAGAAAACACCATCAACTCAGCACCAAAACTCCTTAAACTGATAAGTTATTTCAGCCAAGTCTCAGGATAGAAAATCAATGTGCAAAAATCACAAACATTCCTTTACAGCAGCGATAGACAAGCAGAGAGCCAAATCATGAATGAACTCCAATTCACAATCGCTACAAAGAGAATAAAATTCATAGGAATGCAGCTAACAAGGGATGTGAAGAACCTCTTCAAGGAGAACTACAAACCACTGCTCAAGGAAATAAGAGAGGACACAAACAAATGGAAAAACATTCTATCCTCATGGATAAGAAGAATCAATATCATGAAAATGGCCATACTGCCCAAAGTAATTTATAGATTCAATGCTATTCCCATCAAATAACCATTGACATTCTTCACAGAATTAGAAAAAACTATTCTAAATTTTATGTGGAATCAAAGGAGACCCCATATAGCCAAGACAATCCTAAGCAAAAAGAACAAAGCTGGAGGCATCATGCTACCTGACTTCAAACTACAATGCTGACTGACTTCAAACTACAAGGCTACAATAACCAAAACAGCATGGTACTGGTACTAAAACAGACTTATAGACCAATGGAGCAGAACAGAGACCTCGGAAATAACACCACACATCTACAACCATATAATCTTCAACAAACCTGCCAAAAACAAGCGATGGGGAAAGGATTTCCTATTCGGTAAATGGTGCTGGGAATACTGGCTAGCCATATGCAGAGAACTGAAACTGGACGCCTTCCTTACACCTTATATAAAAATTAACTCGAGATGGATTAAAGACTTAAATGTAAAACCCCAAACCATAAAAATCCTAGAAGAAAACCTAGGCAATACCATTCAGGACACAGGCTTCATGACAAAAAATACTTCATGACAAAAATGCCAAAAGCAATTGCAACAAAAGCAAAAATCGACAAATGGGATATAATTAAACTAAAGAGCTTCTGCACAGCAAAAGAAACTATCATCAGAGTGAACAAGCCACCTACAGAATGGGAGAAAATTTTTGCAATCTACCCATTTGACAAAGGTCTAATTTCCAGAATTTACAAGGAACTTAAACAAATTTACAGGAAAAAACAACCCTATCAAAAAGTGAGAAAAGGATATGAACAGACACTTTTCAAAAGGAGACATTATGCAGCCAACAAACATGAAAAAAAGCTCAACATCACTGATCATCAGAGAAATGCAAATCGGAAACACAATCAGATACCATCTCATGCTGGTCAGAGTGGAGATTATTAAAAAGTCAGGAAACAATAGATGCTGGTGAGGCTGTGGAGAAATAGGAACACTTTGACACTGTCAATGGGAATGTAAATTAGTTCAACCATTGTGGAAGACAGTATGGTGATTCCTCAAGGATCTAGAACCAGAAATATCATTTGACCCAGGATTTACATTACTGGGTATACCCAAAGGAATATAAATCATTCTACTATAAAGACACATGCACACGTATATTTATTGCAGCACTATTTACAATAGCAAAGACATGGAACCAACCCAAATGCCCACCACTGATAGACTTGATAAAGAAAAGGTGGTACATATACACCATGGAATAGTATGTAGCCATAAAAAATGAGATAACGTCCTTTGCAGGGATATGGATGAAGCTGGCAGCCATCATCCTCAGCAAACTAACACAGGAACAGATAATCAAACACTGCATGTTCTCACTCATAAGTGGGAGTTGAACAATGAGGACACATGGGCACAGAGAGGTAAGCAGCACACACCAGGGCCTGTTGGGGGATGGAGAGTGAGGAGAGGAAACTTAGAGGATGAGTCAATAGGTGCAGCAAACCACCATGGCACACATATACCTATGTAACACATCTGTACATTCTGCACATGTATCCTTCTTTTTTAGAAAAAAATTTAAAAAAAAGAAATTCATTGATTTTAGACTTTTAGTTAAATATGTATGTGATTTCTATAAACATAAAGGGAATATAATAATCTACAAACCAGTAAAGGAAAATAACTTTTAAAATGTGAAACTATACCAAAGCAAGAGAAATAAACCCTAACACAATCTAAAAGGAGGCATGAAATTGAAACAAACACACACATGCACACACAATGAAAAAATAAAAAGTGTAATAAATAAGCAAAAATGACAGAAGTGAATCTAAATATGTCAGTAATCACAATCTGCACAAATAGACTAAATTTTCTAGAAAAAAATTGTTTAAATGATGAAAAAAATTAAATATAAACCTTTTTTCTTTTTTTCTTTCTTTTTTTTTTTTTGGAAACAGGGTTTCATTCTGTGGCCGAGACCAGGGTGCGGTTGTGTGATCTGGGCTCACTGCGACCTCTGTTTCCTGGGTTCAAGCTATTCTTGTGCCTCTGCCTCCCAAGAAGCTGGGATTACAGGCATGGCTAATTTTTGTATTTTTAGTAGAGACAGGGTTTCGCTATGTTGGCCAGGCTGGTCTTGAACTCCTGACCTCAAGTGATCCGCCCACCTTGGCCTCCCAAAGTGCTGTGATTACAGGTGTGAGCCACCATGCTCGGCCCAAATACATGCTTTTAATAAGACATACACCTAAGTAACAAACAGATAGAAAAGTTGAAAGTAAAGGATTGGCAAAAAGACATGCCCAGCCAATACTAACCTAATGAAATTGTTGTAGCTATCTATTAGCCTTGTAGAAAAACATATCTTAAGGTAGAAAGTATTACTAAAAATCAGCGTGCCACTTGATAGTAATAAATGGTTCAAATCATTAGAAATCGTAATATTTCTAAACCTGTTTGCTTCCAAATAAATAAAACAAAAAATGTCATCACTGTAAATACAAATGAACGTATTTGTCATCATTGTGAGGGATTTCAACACAACTAACAGTAATTGATAGATCAAACAGTGAGAAAACAATCAGAAAGTAGATTCAAATAACCCAATTAATGAGTTTGATCGTACGTATATCAATCACTGTGTTCTACAAGTGGCGAATACAAATTCTTTTTGACAACACATGGAACATTTATAAAAACTGATAATATTTTAGGTCATAAAGGAAGTCTAAATTAATTCTGAAGAATCAGTAACTTAGAAATTAACAACACAAATTGATTTCTAACAAAACCCTGGATTTTATAAATTAAAACACACACATATATAGATACCTATGAGTCAAAAAGGAAATAGTTAAAGAAATTAGAAAGTACTTAAAAGTAAATTAAAACAAAAATACTGCTTATCAAAATTTATGGTATGCAGTTAAAGTAGTACTTAGAGGAAAATTAATAGCTAAGTTCTTAGTTTACAATAGAGAAAAGAATATCAATGAACTAAGTAATCAACTTAACTAAAGAATAATGCAATTAGCCCAAAGCATGAGAGAAAATAATAAAAATAAGAGCAAGCATTAATAAATTAGAGAACATACAATAGAAAGATTAAAAAAATGAAATAGACAAATGACTGGTACATCTAGTTAAAAAACTGGAAACAATTTTAGAAATAGAAATAGGTAACTACAGATACTGCAAAGATTAGAACTAATAAGAATGTATTCTCAGCAATTTTATGCCAACAAACCTTAAAATATAGATTACATTGATAAACTACTGAAAAAATTAAAATTACTTAAACTGTCTCAGGAAGAAATAGAACTTTTCAATAATCAATTCAGATTTCAATTTCGATCATCTCTAAATATATCCGTGGACTCAATGCAATTCCAAGTATAAATCAAATGATTTTTCATGGACTCTGATAAGCTAACTATAAAATTTCATGTGGAAGAACGAAGAGCCTCGACTAGCCTAAGTGATGTTTAAGTTCTAACTATTAATACAGAGTAGGTTGACTCAGGATACATGGAAAATGGAATAAAACAAAACCCAGGCCAGGCGTGGTGGCTTACACCTGTAATCCCAGCACTTTGGGAAGGCAAGGTGGGTGGATTACCTAAGGTCAGGAGTTCTAGATCAGCCTGACCAATATGGTGAAACCCCTTCTCTACTAAAAATACAAAACTTAGCCAGGCATGGTGGCGGGTGCCTGTAGTCCCAGCTACTTGGGAGGCTGAGAGACAGAAGAATTACTCGAACCTGGGAGGTGGAGGTTGCAGTGAGCTGAGATCATGCCACTGCACTCCAGCCTGGGCAACAGAGCAAGCCTCCATCTCAAAAACGAAAAAATAAATAAATAAATAAATAAATAAATAAATAAGTAAACAAAAAAACCAAAACCCAGAATTACATCATGCTTATAAGGACACCTGACATTTGATTAAGATGGAAATGCACATCTGAGAAGAATGCATTAACTAGTCAATATATTGTGCTAGGATAATTATTTTTCCACGAGAATGAAAGAAAATAAAGAAAATGAATTCCTATCCTATACTATTCACATAAAACATAAAGACTTAATTGTGAAAGTTAATCTTTAATACTTTTAGAGAAAAATATAAGAATGTCTTTGCTACCTTGGAATTTCAAGACAGAAGTGCTAGCCATGAAGGATAATTTTTATGAATTATATTAAATTAAAATCTCTTCATTAAAATGTATGAAAAAATTGAAGAAGAAAACAAGCTGAACACTGGGAGATGATGCAATGTAATGAACAGAAAAAAGATTAATATTGACATCACCTATAATCTTTTAAATATCAGCAATAAAAGATAATCTTCCAATAAGAGAATGAACAAAAGACACAAATGAAATATTTTACCAAAGCAGAAACAGAAATAGTAAATAAACTGATGACAAGACTTCTTAAGCTTTAGGTTAAAATATAGATTAAAGGTTATTACTTTAAAGCACCACATTGTTAAAAATAAAAATATTGGACAATACAGTGTTGGCAAGAACATAGAGAAACAGGAGTTTTCATTATATCGTTGGCACTTATTTGGAATTTTTGAAACTACTTTGAAATACAATTTGGTATCATATAGTAAAATTGTAACTCAATAATTTTACTCATAGGTTTATTTAGGAAACTATATATGAATAGAGACCCATACAGAAAAATATTAATAAGGGCATTGCTAAAATTAGCCAGAATTTTGAAAAAAATTAAAATGTTCACCTAACATAGAGTGGACATATAAATTGTGGTATGTTCAAACAAATGAATACCATTCATGAGTAAACATTAACATATTAACACTAAATGCATCAACAAGGAGGAACTCAAACATAATGTTAAACAAATAAGAAAGAGGATAGCATGACTTCCTATAAGTTAATTTCAAAACCAGACAAAACAAATGAAAACAAAATAAAATAATATATTCTCTAAAGACACATACCAATGTGGTAAAATAAAGCACAAGAAAGATATTAAAATAAAGTTCAGAAGAGCAGTATCTTCTCAGAGGTAAAGGTGTGTGATTAGGTAAGGGAACACAGAAACTGGAAATGTTTTGTGTCATGGATATGTGATTTTTAGATTTTTTTCTTTAAATTCTATGTACTTATGATATATATTCATTTTGTTTCATTTTATTTTATTTTATTTTATAAGTTCTTGGGTACATGCCCAGGATGTGCAGGTTTGTTACATAGGTAAACTTGTGCCATGGTGGTTTGCTGTACCTATCAACTCATCATCTAGGTATTAAGTCCAGCATGCATTAGCTATTTGTCCTGATGCTCTCCCTTCCCCTGCCCCCCTAACCCTGCTGACAGGCCCCAGTGTGTGTTGTTCCCCTGTGTCCATGTGTCCATGTGTTCTCATTGTTCAGCTCCCACTTATAAGTGAGAACATGTGGTGTTTGGTTTTCTGTTCCTGCATTAGTTTGCTGAGGATAATGGCTTCCAGCCCTATTCAAGTCCCTGCAAAAGACATGATCTCATTCCTTTTTATGGCTGCATAGTATTCTATGTTGTATGTGTACCACATTTTCTTTATCCGGTCTATTATTGATGGGCATTTGGGTTGATTCATGTCTTTGCTATTGTAAATAGTGCTGCAATAAACATACGTGTGCATGTGTTTTTACAGTAGAATGACTTATAGTCCTTTGGGTATATACCCAGTAATGGGATTGCTGGGTCAAATGGTATTTCTGGTTCCAGGTCTTTAAGGAATCACCACACTGTCTTCCACAGTAGTTGAACTAATTTGCATTCCCACCAACAACGTAAAAGCATTCCTGTTTCTCCACAGCCTCACCAGCATCTGTTGTTTCTTGAGTTTTTAATAATCACCATTCCGACTGGTGTGAGATGGTATCTCATTGTAGTTTTGATTTGTATTTCTCTGATGATCAATGATGTTGAGCTTTTTTTTCATTTGTTTATTGGCCACATAAATGTTTTCTTTTGAGAAGGGTTCATTCATATCCTTTGCCCACTTTTTAATGTTTTTTTTCTTGTAAATTTGTTTAAGTTCCTTGTAGATTCTGGATATTAGACTTTTGTCATATGGATAGATTGCAAAAATTTTCTCCCATTCAGTAGGTTGTCTGTTCATTCTGATGATAGTTTCTTTTGCTGTATATTCATTTTTAAAATCTGCACTCTCATGTCCATTGCAGCACCATTCATAATAGCCAAGACATAGATTCAACCCAAGTATCCATCAATAGGTGAATGAATAAAGAAAATGTGGCATATACAAAACAATGAAATACTATTCAAGCATTTTTTTATGCTACATTTCATAGTTAGACTCTTTTTAAAAAATTCATTACCACTAGATTAAGAGGACAATTTGATAGTTTAGTTTTGTTATTACTAAATTATTTCTAATTTTCTTATGATTCAAACGAGAATCATAAGATATTTCCTCTTTCATGCATTCCTATCTCCTTGAAAGGACCTAATTTGCATTGATCATTAAATATCTTGTGATGTTAAGCCCCAATATGAATTATATTTGATGCAATAAGCCTGGAAGTAAGTGTGAATTAGACCTATGGTAACTGAAGGTCTTTTCCTGGGAGAGTCCTGGTTTATGTCTCTTTTCCTCACATAATTATTGATAACTCTTTCACTCTTGAAAGTGTCCTATTTTGAAAAAGAATTATATATGCACTCCTTCTAAAACTGTCTACTTATGAGGCTCAATAATTTAACATTAGATTTCCTCCACTCACAGACTAGGGAGAATTCTATGATCCTATGGATGGTCTTATACTTATGGAATTGTTCCTAAAGCAAACTGGCATTGGTATTAGTGTTATTCATGCTAATAAATTACCAAAAAATTAGAAATCACTGCTTGTGCATGTTACAAATTCAACTGGATAAATAAGAAAAGACTATTTCACTTGAAAAATATAGGAAGTAGACATACCTTTTGCTTGAACTGTTTAATTTTTCTTTTTATTTTCTTTTTAGTTTTGTACTTGCAGATTATATAAATCTAGAGATGAAATCAATCCTTTCTAAAATATGTCTTTTAAAAAATGCCTTACAGTTGCATCTGCTAAATTAACCCTAAAGAGAAAGATTGTGAGGAAAAGCTGTACTGGACTTAAAATTGAATCAATTATCCCTACATTTAGTGGTCATAGCAATAATAAAAGTAGCATTGTTTAGAACCAACAAAAAAAACAGGTCAGCAAAACTTTGAACACTGACATTTCTAGTATTTCTTTCATCTAACAATTCTTTTTAATTCTGAAGAAAATTACAATCTTAAAAAAATCACATTTAAATTCTATTTTTAAGGACATAAAACAATGAAACTATTCTAATATAAAATTATGTCAAAATGCAAAAATTGTATTTAAGCTGCACTTAAAAAATAAATGTAACAAAGCAAAACAATAAAAGAGAGGTGGGAGAAAATGCAAGATTGAAATATGATGATGAATTGAGCACATTCATTTTTCCCCTCCTCCTCCAAATTCTATTTGATGAAATGGCGGAATCTATAACTATGTCTCTATCTATCTGTGTATATGTATATCTATCTCTGTATATGTATATCTATCTATATCTATATCTGTATCTGTGCCTATATCTAGATCCACATGTGTACCTCATTTGCATATCTACCTAACATATCTACATCTATGTTTATTTCTATATTTACATCTATTTATATTATATACATATATCTAAATAAAACCACAATGCATTGAAAAACACGTAAAACATACTTAAAAACTGAGGCATTCTTGAAAGATTGGAAGTTGGTGAATCACATATTGGATGAAACCAAATACAAAGGAAACAAAAGCTAAAAATACCTTTAGCAGAAAACATCAGTGAAAGTTAGCATAACCCTGAGGAACCCCTAACCCAGATCAATAGGTATGAACAATTGCAGTTATCACATCTGTACAAATGACAGTAAACACCAAATGCTGCTTTGATTCAAGCACGTACGACATATAGCTGCATTACCTTCCTCTCAGTCTGTCAGAATTCACCAGCCCCTTTAGTTCCTTCACTTTCCATAGCTGAGAAACTGATTGTAAGTGTGTCCTTATTTGGGGTTCATCTCTTGGCTTAATTCTTTTGCTCTCATACCAACAAATAAGACAATGAATGTGAAGGTGCTTTATAAACCATCAAGCATAATGAAAATGTTATGAGTATTATTCTCTACCAACACCTCTGCCAACCACCACCACCACCATCATCACCTATGCCTTTTATCCAACCAATCATGTCTACCCAGATTCTCTCTCTTTTTGCCTCATAATGGGAACTACTGAGCTCCTTTAACCCTTGATTGATTCTGACCTCTGGAATTTGGACCTCTGAACACTACACACAGCTTGACCTTGACCTTGAATCAAAGACTGTCAGGTATGAAAGGAACTCCTACTACCCACACACTGCTTGATCCTCCTGTACATTCACCCCTACTGGATCCAGTCTAGTGGCAAAGACCTCATTACTTCCAGATGCAGGCTACTCAGTCAGTGGACACATATGCTAATGAGAAAATGCCTCTTTACTTGATGGCTCAAAAGACACTGCTTATAAGCTCCAGCGCTCCTTCATTTTCTTTCTTACCATGAGACTTATGAGATCAACCAGCCTCTGTCACCTTCACTTTCCTAACCACGTTTAAGCTATTGGGTATAAAATATGGAATTTATTATTATTGCATGCTTTAAAGTAAATGGTCTCACATAATATTTTAATAAGAGAGTCAGTATGGTAGAATACAAAACTGAAGGGCTTGGAAGATAGACCCGGGTTCCAGTCTGGCTCCATCCTTTGCTGACTTTGTAGTCCTGCCTATTAATCGGTCTTTCTGAGCTTCAGTGTTTTCCTTTGGCAACACGGTGGGCATACAATAAATACTAATCATTCATCAATCAACCTTAGAATGCTGTACACTAAGACAT
Organism: Homo sapiens; assembly: GCF_000001405.40. Taxonomy (NCBI): domain Eukaryota; kingdom Metazoa; phylum Chordata; class Mammalia; order Primates; family Hominidae; genus Homo; species Homo sapiens. Next base: position 209,851,666 of record NC_000002.12, on the reverse strand, counting down.
CCGGAAAAAAAATCACTATACAAACACAATCTTCATTGGAAAAAGGGAAAAATAGGTGCAGCCCTCCAGTTGAGTTTTGTTGTGTTATCACTAAGAGAACCATGCCTGTCACATAGGAATCCCTCAAAAGACATTTGCTGAGTTAATTAATTATTATATGGTGAGTATCTTATAACTCACATTGACTCTGGGCTTCTAAATACCACCACCCTTTCCATTTGATGTATTTGATATGTAAAGAACTGCTACTCTCCCTCCCCGATTATATACAGTCCAAAATTACTTACTACTCAGGGAGGAGCTGAGGAGTGCTCCACTCACCATCACTGCTCTCATTATTAACCAGTTAGTCCAAGAATTCCTTCTGTCCCCTAATCAAATCCTGCTGCTTACACCAGTAGTGACACTGCACGTGGTGTCTGATATCTTCCACTCATATCAGCACTTTCAAATCATTGCCAACCTGAGAGCTATAAAGTAGGAATCTGTGGCTATTTTAATAGGTATTTCTTTTTCCTTTTTTTTAACTTGTAAATTAACAGAGCATTTCTTAAGTTCAAGTAAGATGAAGTGTAGTTTACTGACTATTAGTATTTTTGGTGACTGGCTGTTCATATACTTTTCCATTGTTTAAGTGTTTGTTTGTTCTTTTCTAATGAATTTGTTGCATTTATTTATTTTAATCTGCTCCTTTGGGAACAGAGCAAGATGTGATTAAGACAAACCATGCAGGACTCAAAAGAGTGACAGCTAAGTTTCCACTATCCCACCTAGAAAACAGGGGATTGGCTCCTTGCCTTGTCAAGCTCTCCTGCTTTAGACAGACATCTCACTGTACTTTGATTGTTTAATTGCCACAAACCCCAGCTCTCCTGGAGACCTGTGATTTTCTACATTTTACAGTCACCATGGCACATATCAACACACATTGAACATGATGCAATTTTTAAAAAATTCTCAAAGGTCACTACCCAATAATGAGAAACTGACTGAAAAAAATCTTATATAACGGAAAGCAATCATTTTGGGTGATTATAAGTGGTATTAATATTTCAGCCTTAAGTGAAGCCACATACCTTGCTGGTCACTAAATATCCTTAGAGCAAAAGCTGCAAATGTCACAGAGAAATTTCATGAATTACATTATAAGGCTTGGATTATTTTCCAAGGTAAAATATGAGTGACCACTGGTCACTTATTCATGTGTCATAAAACCCGAAAAAAGGATCATTTATTGGCAGGCTTAAAGTTTTTTGTTCTAATAAAAATCTATTTCAGTTTGTCTTCTTTAAAAGTTAAAATAAAATACTTTTTTTCCTGATGTTTACTTGGTATTTTGTACCCAGTGTTTATGCATCATATGAAGACTTTATAAATAAAGATAAATAAATTGAGAGGCTGAGTTCAAAACTCACATGTGGGCCTAATTTACCTGATAAAAACACTTTCTAACCAAGATCCACTTCATACTCTTTAATCCTTTACACGTGTATAATAGCACACAATGTTCAAAGTGTTTGTGCAATTCATTTCAATTGATCTTGCTTCATATTTTTCCTCCAATTGATGGATAATGAAATCAAGGCTTGGTGAGCTTAAAGGACTAATACATGGCAGACATAAGACCAATAATATAATAATAATGGCCCACTTTATTGTGTAGTTCCTGTATTTCAGGCACTGTGATGAGGGCTTTATATCTAATATCTCATTTAGTTTTCGCACTAGCCCGAGGAGGAAGCTATAGTATTGTTATTGCTCTTACACTCATTTTACAGAGGTTCAGGTGGTAAATGTCAGAGTGATTTTAACTCAGTCAGTCTGATTCCAGAGCCTTCACATATTTAGACAGTCTATTTCCCAGGGCATATTAATTAAGATTTTTCTCCCTTTTTCACCATCTTTCTTCCCCCTTTTATCACTAATTCTGAAAAAGCAAACAAACAAACACAGGAGGATTACAATTGGGGAATCATGCTTACCTCTGTTAATAGTGCTACTTGGGATGGGGGGCAGGGTGGGAAAATTCTTTCACCAACTTACTAGATCCAAGGCAGCTGCTAGGATGGAGGCATCAGGAATTGTCCCTGGCTCACAGCAGTTTAACAGAAATTGGAAGCGTTTCATGCCTTGTCGGATTGCTCCAAGATTCACCACGTTTTTGCTTTTTCCACCATCTTGGTTGGGAGAGAGATGATCATCAAAACTGTGGCAACCTGTAAAGGTGGTGCCATGGTGGAGGAATGAAAGAGAGAGAACGTAAAGGATCACAGGTTTAAAAAGAGTTTCAAAGATATAACAGTGTGTTTTCTACAGTGTTGGCCAGAAAACTTTCTCCTTCACTCCACTTCCTTGCTCTCCACCCTAATGTTTGATTTAAACACATCCTGACTTTTGGGAATCTGGTGACACATGACATATGAAAATGTAAGATTTTACCTAAATATTTAAATACAGTGTTTGATCATTTTACTTGCAGGTCTTCTTTTGAATACTAGTAAGAGCTTTTGGTGTATTTAAAATTATTCTTCCTGTAATCAACAACTTCTGTTTTTATGGAAGTTGCAATCACTGTGCAATTTCAGATCTGTTACAACAAATTGATACAGCATTGGTACAGCATTGTGTATAATGTGTACATTGGGTACAGCATGCTGTACAAATTGGTACAGCACTGTGGTGAAAGGAAAAACCTTTTCTCAGTTACAGTGCAAAGAATCACTGGCTACTGGAGGTCCAGAGTTAGGGTTACCACTCTAACAATTTGCATTCATAGTAGATAAAAGGGGGTGTTTACAGTTATGGGCCTGGGTTTACCATGACAGTGCACCACATACAAGGATGTCAACCACTATATCCACTAATGGAAAAATGCGGGAACCTACTCTATCAGGGGACACATCCTTTGGAAGCAGTTTAAGCCTGGGACACAGATTCATTTAGACTTTATTACCACCAGATTTAAAAATTATGGCAAGGCATAAAAATAATTACCAATCTTGGTCTACAACTTTCACAATGACTCAATCGTATTGACGTATGTCAGTATGAAATAACATGATGTCTGTGATTTGTTGTACAATACATTTAAAAGAGCATGAAAGATAGATGAAGCAAATATGGCCATTTCTAAATTATTTTTGCAAGTGTGATGAATATTTTGCATCCATTGAACCATTCTCTTTACTTTTTGCCTACGTTTGAACACTTTCATAAGCTCAAAAATGGCTCAGAAGATAAAGTATCATTATTGAAATTTCCTATATTTCATTCTTTATGGTTATGTTTCTTTTCCAGATGCAAATATTCCATATTCAAAAGTTCAAAATTCAATACCTTCAGTGTTTTTTTCCAGTTAGTATAGCATATTTTTTATCATATGCAAAAGGAACTACCATGAGAAGAATCTGATGGTGGAAAAAATTCAAAAGACAAAATCTCAAATGATACAAAGAAGAAAAGCTATAGACGAGGAACAAACAATTCCAGGAGAGCCTTGTTTTCAAGCAGCTCCCTTTCAAAATGCTACTCTATTTCCTCACTGGACATTACCAAAGCTACTAGAACAGGTAAATTCCTGTTATTTTTTATAACTATATGTCACTTTATTAATCATTTATATATACCCCTTTAATAGTATATAAAGTATACTAATATGTATACCAAAGGATTCTCATCTGTTAAAAAGTATAAACAGTCCCTTAAACTTTGAATTAAAGAGACATTTCAAATAATAAGATTTTTCTTTTTTGTGAATCCAGTTGTTTTATTATTTGTTGCTATAATTAAGATTTAAAATACATTAGGTAATAACTGCCTAAAATTTGTAATGGAATTAATATATAAGACCAGATAGATGATCAATGAAGTTATTCTTATTTATCAAATTTATTAAGAACAGTTGAGATCATTTTATTTAAGGAAGCATGAAGAATATGTATTTCACAAATTTCTTCAATTTTTATTTGACAAGATTACCAATTTCAAAAGAATTGTATTCAATACTACTAAAAGAAATGCCATTTTAATTGCAAGAATTTCAGAAATAATGCAGTTAAGGGATGTAGGTAAAATAATGAAGAGAGAAGTCATCAAAACATTCACTGACAGCAAGAACCTATATTCTTTGCTTCACAGAATAATATATATTTATTACAGGTCAGAAGATCAGCAGAATCCTATAAGCACAGGACGTAAGAATCATGTTATTAATAAAAGCTAATTATAATGGACATTTTCCATTGTATTTATATAGCATTGTATTTATATAGCATTAATAGATAAGAATATATTTTTGATATATTTTGGTACTATTTTTGAGCACTTAGTATATCCCAAGTACTGTATGAAATATTTTATAATTAATTTTCTTTATTTTTTGCCATAGCCCTATAAGATAAGTTTTTAAAATTATTTTAAAAGAGAATGTATTTTTGGGGTGTATGGGTCTGTTGGTGAGGAGAGAGTGGTGGACAGAGACAGAGAGATAAAGAGAGAAGGAACAGGTGAAGGAACAGGTTAAGTAGCCCAATCTGTTTATACAATGGACAGTTATAAAGGCAAGATTTAAATTCAGATCCACTGAGAGTGCACAAACCTGCACTCTTACCACAATGCCACAATGTAATCTCTAAAATACCAAATGTTTATATGGAAGAAGGTCAGACTTTTATACTCTGCTGAAGGTAGTGATCATGTTAGAAAAACTTAATGTAAGAAATAATTCCTCATTGTACATATTATATTTCTTGGGTTTTCTCCTGTATTTTTAATGATACACTGATGATAAAATTGTATCCTGCTGGCATTCCATATTGTACTACTAAAAGAAATGTCAAAAAGTAATTTGGCTGCAAAATGTATTTTTTAATCAATTTTTTATAGCAATACACTAGGATGTAAGAATGCCTCTTGGCTTCCTTAGACATAACGATTACTTTTTTAGCCTCAGTATATTTTAGCTGCATTTGTTTAATATTTATTTTTTATGTTGAGGTGTATATTGAGGTGTAATTATAATTCTATTTACGTAGAATGCATTTTTATAAGCTTTTAAATCCAATAAGGGATGTATAAAAATATCCTACTTGTTTTTTAATATTATTTTTAGTTGGCAAATCATTATCATATACACTTATGGGTACAAAGTTTCAGACATATGAAATCTAGTATTTCCTTAAGCAGCATTTCCCATTGTGTTGATGGCACAGCTGAGAACATACAAGATGTGCAGTAAACGTGTTGATTACTTGAAAAAAATTGTTTTAATTGATCAAACACCTTCCCTCAAATAGAGACAACATGATTTTTAAAATGAAATAATTTCAGTGAATATGAAAACACAAAAGAAAAAGCTGATTTCTGAATGTAATTTCAATTCTATTTCATGTTCACCAGATACAGTTTTTATTTATTGAATAACTTTTAAATTTTAAAGAAATTCTATTGGCATTTCATCTCAAATCAGTGAAGTTAAAGTACTGCATTTAAACTGAGGGTAAGAAGGTTTGATGTTTGTTCTCTTTAACAACTTTAAAGAAAGAAACAAAGAAATTCTGTAATTAAGATAATTTAGATGAGAAAAGACAACACATCTATCATGGTTGGGTACGAATCATTTATACACATAGATTGCAAAGGAAAGAAAGAAAAACAAGGAAAGAAGGGAAGAAAGAAAAGAAAGAAGAGAGAGAGCAAGAAAGAAATCAAGAGAAAGAAAAGAGAGAAGGAAAGAAAGGAAGGAATCAGAAAAGGAAGTAAGGAAAAAAGCAGGCTCAAAAATAGAATGATGTTTGCGCAATAAAGGGCAGTAGTTGTTGCAAAATACAATGTACTTAGATAAGCAGATAATGTTGTTTAAGCTGGAGATACTCATTTTCTGCAAGCAATTCCAAAGGAATATCTTTTTTATAATTTTTAAAAAGCAAGAGAACATAGGCAAAGAATAGTGATATACAAGCTATATTCTCTTGCCAGCCCAAAGCACATAAAATATTCCAGATAACAATCTCAAATATTATGGCTTTGTTTTCTAGACATGCAAAAATAAACTGCATTTCAGGTATTGTTGACACAAACTCATTGTAGAATCTGGCTCTATGAATATTCCATATCAGATCTTTTGAATCTGTGAATGGAATACAAAGAATATACGAAGCAATGGCTAAAATCCGTAGGAATCGTGGTAATAAAAACACAAAGTCCAGAATGAACTAACATTTGTAAGAAATGGTAATGATAATGTGTTTGGAACATGAATAAGAAGAGAATGTAGGAGAATTAAAAGGAGAGTGTAAACAAGTCAATTATGCTTTTATCTTTTCCACCAAGGAGAAAAATCTACAAACGGGGAAGCATAGTGCCATAATCAGGTCAGCTACAATGAAATGCCATAGACTGGGTGACTTAAAACAACAAACATTTATGTCTCACGGTTCTGAAGGCTGGAAGTCTGAGATCAGGGTGTCCGCATGTTCGGGTTCTTGGTGATGGCTCTCTTCCTGGTTATGTCCTCATGTGGCTTTTCCTTGGTGTATGCATGCAGAGAGACCTTATGTCTCCTCCTTTTTTTTTTTTTTTAAGAAGGGCATTAAAATCGCATCACAAGTGCTCCCCTTATGACCTTATCTAAACCTAATCACCTCCTAAAGCCTCCACCTGTAAATACTATCACTTTGGGGATTAGAGCTTCAAGACAAATTTTTGGAGGATATACACATTCAGTTCGCAGCAGACAGAAAAAGTTCACTTAAGAAGAAATATTAGGGCAGGCATGGTGGTTCATGCCTGTAATCCCAGCACTTTGGGACACTGAGGTAGGAGGATCACTTGAGGCCAGGAGTTCAAGACCAGCCTGGGCAACATAGCAAGATCCCCCCACCCCCATCTCTACAAAAAATGTAAAACAAATTTAGTGGGGCATGGTGGTGCATGTCCATAATCCTAGCTACTTGCAAGGCTGAGGCAGGACGATCATTTGAGCCTGGGAGTTTGAGGCGGCAGTGGACTATGATTGTACCATTGCACTCCAGCATGGGTGACAGGGGAAGACCCTGTCTCAAAAAGAAAGAAGGAAGAAAGGAAAGAAAGAAAGAAAGAAGGAGATTTGGAAAGAAAAAGGAAGGAAGGAAGGAAGGAAGGAAGGAAGGAAGGAAGGAAGGAAGGAAGGAAGGAAGGAAGGAAGGAAGGAAAGAAAGAAAGAAAGAAAGAAAGAAAAGAAAAGAGCAAGAAAAGAGAAAGAGAAAGAAAGAGAGAAGGAAAGGAAGGAAGGAGAGAAGAGAAGGAAGGAAGGAAGGAATTTTGAAAAAAGAAGAAATATTCACCAAATGTGAGAGACCCTACATTCTTTGAGTTTAAGCCTCAGTTATACTTTAGTGCATAAAGAGAACTTAAAGATGTGATTGCAGCTCCAGTCAAATGACATCCAGTTAGCATGACACATACCTGGAGAACACACTTTAGTTCCACACTTCATTCTCAAAAAAGCACAAGAAAATTTCTTTATAATACTGACGTCTGACCGTGAGACATATTGTCTCCAAAATATCGTGAGGAGTGGAAAGAGTGTAAAAGGATTGAAAATGACAAATGTCCTGGTTATTAGGAAGATTCTTAAAACCACAGAGACTAATAAACTTGATGTTTGCCCTCGCCAAATTCTTTAAGAGATAATTAAATAGATAGGAACATTTTCAAAAGAGAAGTATCATAGGAATCACTGTAACTTCATTATGCTGAACTAAGTCATGTTCTTTTTGATAGAGTTGTAAGGATATCATAGGCATGTTTTGCTAAATTCTGGTGATGTTTCTGTAGTGATATGGGAAAGTTCTCTGATCACTAGAAAATTAACTGTATGGTTCACTAAAAATCTGTACCCACAAATTATTAATTAATCAAAGTCAAGTAGAAGTATTCTTAGAGTTACATCTTTGCATTTGTCCTGTTCAGTAATAATATGAACAACTTGGGTGAGAACAGGGGAATGTGCATGTCTCTGCAGACAGATCTTTATAGTACAAAGAAGAAAAGACAGAGTTCAATTTAGTTTTGATTCTCTTTTCATTCATTCATTCATTCATTTGCTTATTTATTTATATTTTAATCTCAAAGAGGAGTGGAAAGAGTGTAAAAGGATTGAAAATGGATTCTCCTCAAAATTATTGATTCTGTCTCTTAATTTCCTTCCTGGGGGAGTGACTTAACTACCTCCTAAGTTAATGAAATAATAAATTTTCATCATTTTTGAAATGAAGAACAAATAATGGCTATATTAAAGTATACCATGATATTCATCCATGTGAAAAAAAGCTAGCAAAAATTAATCAATACAAACCAATTATGTGATATGAAAACAGAAAATGTAATTTTAAATTGTGTTCATATACTTCATGTAGTCCTCAAGCTTAATAGTTACACTATCTACTATACTAATTAATTTTAAATATGGCATATTGCATTCCATCCTAAGTTCCACATTTTGTAGAAAAGCATATCATCTAACTAAAATACATAATAAAAAGGAATCAGAATGGTGATGGATCTAGAGACACTTCCACATAAGGAAAAGTAAAGAAATCAAAGATGTTTCTAACTAGCAGCAGTGAGATCAAAAGAGAGAACACGAAATGGATAACATATGGAGCTTGCATGATATGTGTGTGTGAGAGTGTATGTGATGTGTATGTGTGTGCATCTTGGTACAGACATCATAACTAGGACAAATGAAGCAAATTTGTGGATAAGTATGTCTTCAGAATGTAAGGAAAAATTCTCTAATAATTAAGGCTGTCTTGCTCTAGAACAGGTTGCTTTGTAAAGTTATAAACTCCCCCTCAGTGGAAGTGTGCAGAGGGTGGCTGGCCACCTTTCAGGGATATACTGAGCAGAATTTGTAAGTAGATAGGTGGGTGGATAAAAGGATCTCTGGAAGTTTTGTAAAGTTCTCAGATTTTAATAAAGGATAGAACAGCAGAAGAGGCTGGATCTTACTCTTTGAAAACCCAGTGCCCATCATGGAGTGAGGAACACAGTAAGGCTTCCATAAATGTCTGTTGAATCAAATTGCAAAAACAGAAGCTATAGACAGTGGTAAAAGGCATGTATGAGAAAGAAATGAATGAAAAACCAATGAAAATAGAAAATGGACCACTTAATCTAATCAAGTTTTTGTTCTGTGTGATAAAAGTTGAATAGAATTCTTAGGATGCATGACATTTACCAAGACGCTTGAAGAAATTCTCCTCTTCATCTCTTCCATTTTCCATGCCACTTCCTGGCCCACCTTCAGAAAGCTTCACAGCACTAGTGAATTTGACCTGAAAAAAGAAAAAAAAAGGAAAGTAGAGAGATAAGATTCAAAGGTAAATCTTTGTGGTTAGATCAACTCTTGACTTGAAAATGAGTTGTTTACTCATTTTCATACTATTACTTTGCTCTTCTGGCTTCCACATCTGGTTAGTTTGGTCATCAGTGTAGTTCATTCCCATGTGCCAAAAAAGACATCACTGTAACTAAAAGGAGGAACCAGGTCCCAGATTAAAAGCTAAATAATCAGGTGCTATAAAAATAATTGAGATATTCTTAGAGTTTAAATCTGATAAAGTCCAAACTGAAATTAATGAATAGCGAGACATAGTCATTCTTTACAAATACCACAATTGAGAATCAGACCAAAGTGAAAGATAGCTAAATAGAATACTTTAAATCTCTGTGAAAGAATCAGTATAAGGTAATTTATAGAGTGTACTATAATAAAAATGTAATAACATGTTTCTCTTTCTAAGAATTAAAATATGTTCTTCATCTTGCTTTTAGCTCAGCAGTACTCAAAATTTTTCGCACAGCAAGGAAGCTATGGGCCACACAAACTCAAATACATGACTTATGTTTTTTAGCAAATAGAAGGTAAGGAAGGAATGATACATATATTTTCTAAATATGCTATAGTCTTGCATATTATTTGTGTAATTTCAAAATATCACTTTTAAAACAGACTAGATAAAAGAAAACTGGTTTGGCTGGGCGTGGTGGCTCACACCTGTAATCCCAGCACTTTGGGAGGCCGAGGCAGGTGGATCACGAGATCAAGAGATCGAGACCATCCTGGCCAACATGGTGAAACCCCGTCTCTACTAAAAATATAAAATTAGCTGGGCATGGTGGCACGCACTAGTCCCAGCTACTCGGGAGGCTGAGGCAGGAGAATCATTTGAACCCAGAAGGCGGAGGTTGCAGTGAGCCGAGATTGTGCTACTGCACTCCAGCCTGGCCACAGATCGAGTCTCCATCAAAAACAAAACAAAACAAAAACAACAACAACAACAACAAAAACCCACAAGGAACAAAACAAAACAAAAACAACCCTGGTTTTAGTGAGATTAGAAAACAAAAGAATGCAAGCAAATAATTTGTACACATAAAAGGAAACATAACTCTTATCATATGCTGAAAATTAGGCATACAAATGACCAGGCCATGAAGCAACCACAGGGTGGACTCTCAGAAGAAACCTTACGTTACTCCAGTGCTTCACAGTATTACGAAGGAGGAGTGTAGTGAAAAAGGTCATCCCGAGATTCTTTCTTCTTTTCAATACAGACAGTGGTTCACATGGTGCCAAAAGTAGTGGGAAAAGGATGAATTATGTGTGTCTTAATATGTAAAAGGGATCACTGTAAAATTACCAGATCCTTGGACAGGAGTTTGAGATGTCAGTCATTTCATAGGTGTGTTAAAAGTTAAAAATAGCTGGGAAATAATGTCTATATACATCCCTATATCTGCATTATAATTTTATATAATTTTTTGACCACACTTTTCTTTTTCCCTTCCTATGATAGCCTACTACTTAAACAATTTAGTTTCCATTGCTTATCTAAGTTTCCAAAGTTAGCTCATCTGGAGAGTTTCTTCAGCTTTTCCTTATTTGGCCCCTGCAGGTGTTTGCTATTTCTCAGCCTTCACATGTTTGTATCAGCGACTTCAACAGTCACTTACACAAGTTATGTCCTGTTTACCTTGGAGCTTTGCCTGATGAAAGAGAGTCGGTCCACAGAGCTAATGTCCAGGAGGTCCTCCACACCATCTGCCAGGCCTGAGAGGGATGATCTCTTCAGCCAGTTCCCTATTTAATAGTTAAATCACTTAGATCAATGTAGCATTTTCTATCCAATCAATTAAACAGAAATGTCAACATAAGCCCAACAAGCGATGAAAGTTACATGGCTTGGTATAAATAGAAAAACAAATTGTTTTCAATGTACATGCTTTGAATAAAAATGTTCAGTGTTAGACTATAAAATTGCATAAGCATGTGGGACCAAGACGAAAAGAATCTGGGTTGAAAGGAAACCATCATCTATCCAGCTTCACATCTCTCATTAAAGCCTGTGAATTTTACCTCTTAAATACTTCTCAAATGTGTTCATTTATCTCTGCCTACATGGCCACCACCCAGTCCAAGCTTCCATTTACTTATACCTCACCTACTAGCTAACTTTCCTTCTGGTCTCCCTTATCTACTTATGCTCCCTCCAGTATGATTTCCATGCAGTGAAGTTTTGCAAAAAGTTTACTTGCTTGAGTTACTCTCCTGTTCAACATCCCATCTTGGCTATCTAGGGATCTAGAATGAAGAGTCAACCTGATCTGGCCCCTATCATTCTACTATAGTCATACCGCCACTTGTCCCCTTGTTTCAGTTCCTTCACTTCCCTTCAGCCTCCTAATATCTTTGCAAATAATGGCTACCTGGAGTGCTCTCCTTCCTTCTCCCAAGTATCCCGGAGATCTTAATGCCACTACCACTAGGAAGCCTTCCCTGATTTCTGCCTCCTCCCCCACATTCAGGTCAGGTCTCATTGTTGCATGCTTTCGTAGAACTATGTATATTTCCTTCATAAAATTCATAGTTTGCAATTACACTTAGTTGTATGATTATCCGCTTTAATGACTGGGGCTCCTACTATATTACAAGTTTAGCAAAGTTAGGAGGCTGTGTGTATTTGCTTGCTATTTAATCCTTGATGGCTAGTGTAGTGATTGCACACAGAAGAGGCACATAGTAGGGTATTGAAAAATACTGTGGGAAAAATTAAATGAATGAATGAATGAAGTCAGTCTAGGTCTTATGACTTGAAGGTCTTCTTTTTCGGCCCTACTATGCATCACTGAGTTGATCTGAGGACATGGTTGGTAATAAGATAATCCATAAACAAATACAGACATACTTTTACCTATGGGGAGTTTAAGCTTCTTTCGGAGGGAAATTCTGCGGGATCGTGAGCGGGCACGTCGGTCAGAGGTGGTCCCTGAGTGGGCAGTCGTGCATTCTGAAGTGTCCTGTTCAGACTGGCTGCTGGTGTCACTTGCTGCACTCTGGGACTTGAACATCTTACGCCAGAAATCTTTCCGCCCCAAGTTGGCTCCTTGCATTTGTTCATCGCTGTAGGCAAGCAGAGGATAGGGTTAAACTTCTGACAACACTTGAGAAATTCTCCTAAATTTCTTTCATCTTCCTGTCAATGATATTTAGGCAAATCATGCAAAATGATCTTTGATGGGCTGAAATGTGGGAAGAGTGGGCATTGAAGTGGGAGGAAAGAGATCAAGGTTCATCTTCTGAGCTCTTCTTGAAAATAGTCATGTCTCTGCTATGACATGAGGTGGTCAGGTTTTTTCAACTTTAATAAAAACATTAAATATTATTGCAGGTATTCATCTGCAGGTGTGAGTCATAATACCAGAAGCACTTACAATTTCACTGCAACCTCCGCCTCCCAGGTTCAAGTGATTCTCCTGCCTCAGCCTCCGGAGTAGCTGGGACTACAGGCGTATGCCACCACACCCGGCTAATTTTTTGTATTTTTAGTAGAGATGGGGTTTCACCGTGTTAGCCAGGATGGTCTCAATCTCCTGACCTCGTGATCCGTCTGCCTCAGCCTGCCAAAGTGCTGGGATTACAGGCATGAGCCACCGTGCCCAGCCAATATTTAACTTTTTATTAAAGATCCCTAAGGCTTGTGCAGCACTGTTCCTCATTCCCCACGCATCACCCCAGTATAGTATCATACTTGAACACCAAATACTCTTAAAAAAATATTTAAATGCATGGAATGCCATCACACCACACCCGGGAAATGCATTATCCTACAACCAGTAAGTCAAAGAAACTTAGGTAGGGCTTGCAAGTAAAAAATAAGTACAACTCAGTAGGACAAATAGAAATACCTGCAAGGGGATTTTTGAGTAGGGCATTCCACAACAGGAAAAAGACCAGTGGCCAATAATATGCAGAATTTAATCTCACCAGAAATTAAAAAACATAGGCAGCTGAAGTAAGATCTTTATTTTTACTCAATAAATTAGCAGTGATTAAGGGAGTTCATGAGGGGTGCGGGGTGGGGGGTGGGGAGGAGAGAAAACAATGGTTACTATTATACTCCCAGTGGGGAGGTAAAATGATCCAACCTCTCTTTAAAGTAATGTGGCAATACGATATCCAAAGCTTATATCACCGCCCTTGACAGAGAAATTCAATTTCCAGAAAGTAATCTCATGGAAATTATGGGACAACGTACTAAGATGTAGGTACAAGGCCGGGCGCAGTGGCTCACACCTGTAATCCCAGCACTTTGGGAGGCCGAGGCAGGCGGATCATGAGGTCAGGAGATCGAGACCATTCTGGCTAACACGGCGAAACCCCGTCTCTACTAAAAATACAAAAAATTAGCAGGGTGCGGTGGCGGGCGCCTGTAGTCCCAGCTACTCAGGAGGCTGAGGCAGGAGAATGGTGTGAACCCAGGAGGAGGAGCTTGCAGTGAGCCGAGATAGCGCCACTGCACTCTGGCCTGGGCGAAAGAGCGAGACTCCGTCTCAAAAAAAAAAAAAAAAGATGTAGGTACAAGAAGGTCAAAAACTCACTGAGTTTTTATTGGTCAACTTTAAAAAGGAGGAAACAATCTAAATGTTCAACACCACGGAAACAGTTGAATAGATTATGGGATTTCCATATGGTGGTATACTCTGTAGTCATTATAATTTTATTTTAGAGGACTATTATATGAAAAATATTCACTATATACTGCAAAGTGAAAAGGTAACAATCAAATGGTTTAAAAAGAACATCACCAGGTTAATTGGGGGAAAAAAGTACACATGTGGCCACATGTCTGAGTGTGGTTTTGTGTGCACACATGCTCAAAAATGTCTCCAACATAATACACCAAGAGTTTACAGAGGTTATCTCTAGTTGGTGGTATTTCCATTTTTAAACTACTTTCCCTTTATGTTTTTCTGTGTTTTCTACATTTGTCAGCTTGAGCAACATATATTACTGCAGTAATTTGGAAAGTACAAGGTAGAGAAAATACATAATATTTGATGAAACTTATTTATGGGGTTTTAGCTATTGATTTGCTTACAAGTTTTGGGGCTGAATCAACCCAAAATTTGACAGTACTGTGTAAAGCAATTATTTTCTACAGATATTTATATGGGTATCCAGAATTTCTTAAAATCTCATCAGAGTACTGAATATTTTTAAGTTCTTTTTTTAAAAAATAGGGTATTCTGTTTACCAAATATGGTATGAATTTAAATCAGTTTTCTAAAATTTGATTTCTCAGTTACTTTTTACCAAATGATTACAGGGTATGAAGCATTTCTCACTTTTGGTAAATGCATGGCATGATACGTGTATGACTATGTAGTCTGGCTGGAAAAACATCTGGGGAGGCTATAATTTCTCAATTTCCTCAATAAAATGTTACATCGGCTTTGTCCAATGGTGTGTATCAATATTGAGTTTCAAAGAAATTAGTGCATAAAACTGCTTTAATATGACTCAGTGAATGTGACTATTATTTAAGAAGGAAGAGGACACAGGGCCAGAAGGGGAGGGAAGGAAAGAGACAGAGAAGCTAGAGGAGGAGCCAGTGTCATCTGAAGTAACCACCCATCTTTCTCCAGTGCTAACTAGGGGACATTTGACATGCTTACCTTCTAGGCCTATTGGGATCATGAAAAAGTTCCATGTTTGACATTTTATGACATCTCTCTAAGTGGAAATATTTATGTAGAGGCATATTGAAACATGTATCTTCACATAAGAAGAAAGAATAGATGTGCTAAATGCTAAGAAATTAGGTGGTGTTTACAGAACACTGAACAAAAAGAATATTTTGGAATTTAGAAAACTTAATAACCTAGAAATATACAGTGAATGGCTTTATTTTTTAAGTCCAATTTGGCTATTCGATCATTCTCATTGATCAGATTAGCTCAATAGTTGCTGGTGTTATTTGAAAAGAAAAAAAAAATCTCTTCTTTTTTGGGCAGACTTTCTGAGTATAAAGCCTTTTAACTAGTCTCATGGCTAGTCACAGAACTTTGTCTTTCACGTTGATTATTTTTCCTTAGAGCTTATGTTTGAATTTTTACTTAAATGTACTTAAAGACTACCTTAAAGGGAAAACTAAAACTGAATTTTAAGAAAGGAAGCTAAAGAAAACAAAAGCTTAATAATAATCTGACACTTTTATCCTTTCATTGATTGATTGAATCATTCATTCATTCATGAAATATAGATTAAGTGCCTAGTATGAGCAAGCCTAGTCTCCATACTGGGGCTATAGCCATATGCAAAAACTCACATGTTCCCTGAGCCCATGGAATTGATCTACTTGAACACTAAATAAACACAAAATTGTGTTTATCACAAATTTGTGTTTACTACAAAATTTCTAAGATTTTGAAGTGCTACAAGAACTCTGTGGGCATTTTTTCTTTGAAGATTTTGTTCGCTTGCTATGAATTACCAAGGTCCTATCTGATAGCTGTGTGCTTCTCACTTTGATTTCCCTGACTGTGAAGAAAGGATACCATAATACCTAGAATATTCTGCAGGATTCCTGGAAGAAAAATCACTTAATACTGAGTAAGGTTTGGGGAAGCAGAATGGTATACCTAAAACGAAGTACATGTTTACACTCCACTTGTGGATTAGTAGTTCTCAAAAAGAGAAAAAATACAAATAAAACTTGCATAGAACTAGGCTGTACAATTAGTGTCTATGATAACCCTTATATTTTCTGGGGGCACTAATTTAAAGATGTTTTTGATTTTTCCATTATGAAAAGTGTAGATTAACTGATGTCGGAGGACACTGGAATGGATCTCAAGAGAGGACCAAGGTACAATGTGGTACAGTCTATGTTTCAGCTAAAGGTGAGAACTGGAGAAGTTTTTGATACTTATTTTGGGAAAAGCTTCATTAAGTATATTGACAGCCATTCATACATTTAAGTTTTTAAAAAATTATAAGTGATTTTAAGCAAGAAACTGGAGGACACTCCCAGCCCACCTGGTATATATGCCATTTTTCAAGGTGTATCTTCAGTAGTGTGCATGAAAAGCAGAAGTGAGGGAGAGACTGGAGATGGGAAATGTAGTTAGGGAGGCTTCTCATAGGCACAGACTGGTTATTTGTGATTTGGCCTGGAGAGTTAGTGGCATTGGGAATGAAATGTAAAGGGTAGAAACAAGGCAAAATTCAAAGGAGATGAAAAACAAACAAATAGCAGTTTGGAAAATAGAAATTCTTCCAGAGTGAAGTGCATAGCCGTCTGCACTGGAGACAAAACCAACGCTACTTACTGCTCTGGAGTCTGTGAGGGGCGACCAGACATGAAGCTGCGACATTCCTCAGGTGCAGAGGATACCTGGCCTTTATCCACAATGCTTCCCGCCTCTGACCTATGCAAATGGTGCATTCCAACAATTACAGCAGAGCAGGATAGCAAGTCTTAATACTTCATACACTTCATAAAACAAAACACTCTGTTGTAGACAACTTTGCAGCTTGTGAACTTTATGTCACCAGGAGTCTATGTTGTTTAGAATTTATACCGCACCATTAACTCATGACTTAGCAGCCTTTTTGCTTCACAATATCACCATTATTGCAAACAGAGTCATTAACTGCAAGCAGGATTTTAAGTTTAGGAGTTTATTTTAATTTTTAAGTGGCATTTAATATACAATAGGCATAAAATAAATATATGTTTACTAGAAGGAAAAACAACAGGCTATTACTTAATCATTTGTCTTTTACCACATTTAGAGTAGAATTTACTGAACAGGATCATATGGCATCAGTAATTGCTTTGCCTTTCTGAATAAAAGTGTAAATTATGTACAGAAGAGACTAAAACAGGTAGCGTTTTACCATTTAATTAAGAGCTATGACGTGTAGTTCAAGTACAAGAAAATTTAAGAACAACTGAGCTCTAATTCATATTAGAGGCAGCATTTATTTGACAGTAAATTCATTCATTTTCTAAGCTGCAGCTACACCACACCAGTGAAACCACTTACGCAAGATAATTTTACCATTCCTATGCTGACATTTCAGCACAGGAACCACACAAACAGTACAACAGATTTTATTCTACTGACTTAAGGCAAACAGTAATATTCAGAGAGTTCAAGCTTCCAACCTTTTACTGCCTGCAGGCTTAGATTCCTGTTCATTCTCCTCCACCTTTTTCCCTGGTGCTAACTTCTCGGCACTGTCAAGCAGAGCGCTGAGGGCCACTCTCCTGAAGACATTCCCATGAGCCTCTTTGATAAACTGGACCAGCTGACGAATGTCACAATACAGTCCCTGTTTGGAGGCAAGAAGGAAGTTGGAGAAAGAAAGATAGCTGTGTGATTAAATAGTTTTTCCAGGTAGAGAGGAAGAAAGTAATTCCTTAGGCTTAGATGAGCATTGGAATCATTAAGACAGGACAGTTTACTATTGATGAAACTGGTGGTATACTCCCTCTACAATGTTCCTATAGAAGAACATTACCAAGGCCTTTGCTGGTCATCCTTGGTATAAAAAAGGATGGTTATCGTGCTTCATTCAGAAAGTTGGCTGCATCATTAGAAAGACATTAATTTACATTTTAAACTATTGGATGCCCAAGCTTTAATTTTCTCTTTTAATTGTAACTTCTGAAGAGATGCCTGCAAAGAAAAAGGTAGTCAAAAATTTGTTTACATTAGAGATTTTGGTCCCTGTTCAGCTTCTCCAAATTTTCTGCAACATTATGACAAAATATGTTAAGTCCTCCAGACACTTCTACCAAAGACAGATTATTCAAAGGATGATGTGTTTTGCTGGACAGATTTAGCAAAGTACATATATGTTGTAGCCCATTTGAACATGAACTCGACTACAAACTGAAGGTGACGTAGGGCTATTAAAACCAATATATTGGTGAATCAATATTTAAAAATATATGCTGGACTTTTACTTGAGAAATTAAGCTTTGGATCCAGCATTTCCCCTCTCTCTCTGCTCATGAAGAAGGTAGTTACTGTATTTTTTTTTTTTTTTTTTTTGCCTTAGGAAAAGTTCATGGCAAGGCAGAATGCAGAAGCCTAAAGAACACTTACCTTCATAGTTTTGGTTTTCAAAACCTGAGACCACTGGGACAATTATGTCCATAATTTTTAGGAAAGTAGAAGGTAGGACCCTTGGAGAAAACACGGATGGAGAACGCTTTGGGTTCTGTGGGAAGCAGGGCGCTGTGCCCCTCACTCTGCTCTGCAGTAGTTCCTCTAGGAATGGGGCAAGACTCCAAAAAGGAAAGATTCCAAACTCACCAGAGAGTGCCCAGCCCTAAGCACACAGCAAAGAGTACTATGTGAAATCAGAGGTGTAGGCTAATCATTGAGACCTGTGGAACCTCCCCAGGCTCTAGATGCTTCCTAAGACTTGGGGGTCTTTACACAACACTGTGAAGTGGGGAACCCCAAAAATGACAGAAGTTTGATGTCCCACTGTTCTTATGGGATGGGAGTTCAAAGTCAAACTCAAGATTTCTTTTTTAATATAGTATTTTTCTATACATGAGTTTGTAAAAAAAGATGTATAAGCAGTCGTGTATATTATAACCAACCTGTTAAATTACTTTTGCTATGACCAAATTGTATGCATGGATGGTACCTGTGCTACACTCAAGCTCCAAGAAAATTGCTGGGTTGGCTTTGGCTGTCAGCAAAGTTCAACTCCTTTAGTTTGGGATTTTATCTCAAGTTAAGTGAATTGTTTCAATAGTTATAATAGCTTAAAATAATTTCCTTGATTTGAGTACATTAGCTGATAGGGTCCACATGTGCAAATGGAATGATTTCCGCATAGGAGTCATAATATCTAACAGACTGGTAGGATAGAGAAATGCTTCTTTGCCTCCCAAAGATACCTGAATTCACCTATTCATGTTAGATTTTTCAGCCTTAATCTACATTTTCGTATCCAAAACCACAATCTTCTTGGTGGTAATTAAGCACTAGCCTTTTAATTTTTTTATTTCTATAGGTTTTGGGGAACAGATGATATTTGGTTACATGAGTAAGTTCGTTAGCGGTAATTTGTGAGATTTTAGTGCACCCATCCCCCAAGCAGTATACACTGAACTCGATTTGTGGTCTTTTATCCCTCAACTCCTTTCCACCCTCCCCCTGAGTCCTCAAAGTCTACTGTGTCATTCTTAATGCCTTTAGCACTAGCCTTTTATAACCTGGTTCTTCCCTATCCTATTGTGACTTCAGTGGTTTAATTAACAGTCTTTCAAGACAAGTAGCTAAAAGATTACAGACAGTACTTAATAAAAGAAAACAAAACCAATTTCAGCAACATATTTGCATTAATTTTTAAAGTAAATATGGCTTCAAATAATACTTGGGATAACATTCTTTAGTATTTTACGAGCCAACAAGCTGTGCTCTAGAAACTTTCTGAAGGGCTCAGCATACTTTACAATTATTTCACCAAACACTCTATAACCTTTGAGATGGGAGAGGAAGATAGCTGAATTTGCAAATAGGATAATGAGTAACAAGGAGAAGAAAAGTGTTGTTAAGGCTCCATTATGACTTACTGGTGACACCGGGGAAAATAGATATTTAAACTTTAAAGTGTAGACTTTTAGATTTCAGCTTCTCTTACTCATGGCCACGACAATGAGTACTTTTCTCAGGGCAGAGACTGAGAGCTCCTGTGGGAAGAGAGGAGAGCTTCTCACCAGATTCTCAGGGCTGTGCAATTCATGTGTGGTTGAAGCGCAGCGTGTGATGAGGGATTTAAACATGGCGCTGACGATAATGCCTTCCACATTTTGGGCTGTGGATTTGTTGTCCACTGTGGTGAAGTTATTTCCAAACCCAGCCTTGTCTGGAATGCAAAGGCACAAATTAAAGACAATGTTTCCTTTAAGCTACACAATGGGTAGGAGTAAGGCAGTACTTGGCACCCAGGAATTAGTGAAGTGCTATGTGAAATACAGAAACAAGGAATTAAAGATGCCCCAGGTTTAATAATCTCTAGGCAGATGTGGAAATGAATGAGTCATAGTCTCCTTCAGAGCCTTTACTGTGATAAAACCAATTGCATTTCCGGAATGGTTTTATTGATAAATCTTAGCAAAGGAAAGGAAACCAACTCTTAAGTTTAGGAAAGATTTTTAGGCTTAGAGTAGTTTTTAAATAGGTGATCACTTACAGAAAAAAAAAGAAAAAAAAAAAGCTCCTAAATAACCCCTCAATGGAGAATTCATTTTCAAGCTTTCTGGTGGTGAGAAATGCTACTTTCTCAAAGGAAATTGTTCAGTCTGTCTAAAGTGGAATAAGGTGGGGCCAACCAGGTAGCTGGGAAGGGAGAAGAAAGAGTCAGGCAGGAGCCCTGCAGGGAAGCTCTCAAAGGCCCTGGGAAAGACAGAGTCCTGCCAAGAACTGCAGAGTTCTCCCAGAAATTTCTTGGGCAGGTGGAGAGGGGAAACCTCCCCTCTTCCTCAGAGCCACCTCCTTCTTGCTCACACACATGTGAAATGCCCGTGAATGGAAGCCTTCGACCTCCGTGGCATTTTATGCCAGTTTTTCACAGAAAACTGGATCTTTCATAGGTATCCTGTGCCCGTGCCAGAGGATTTCTCATGGCCTGTGAACTACCTGTGAAATGTGACAAAGGGCATGGGCAGCTCCAATATTCACCAGATGGGGACCTATGTCTGCCTGGCTGATTCACTGTGATCCACTCCCACATCTCAAGCAACGCAGGAGGAATTTATCACCTTAAAGTAATATACTTTATTACCAACCTCTCACTGTCTATGCCAATTGACAGGGGATGATCTCTAGATTTCACATTGATGAAAGATTTCTGTTAGTCTATGCTTATAATTTCTATCTCAAATAGTTTAAAAAGGAGAAAAAAATCATTTGCAATCAAGAATTTCTCTAGCATTGTCTCAACTGCCATCCTAATTTATTGTCTTTTTAATTTATATTGTGTTTGGTTTAAAACAACTCTGCTAATAGATTGTTTGAGGGGTTCTATAGAGGAGCAATATTTTATTTTAATGTGAAACCAAACAATATTCCTGGGTTACAACCAGGAAAACTGCTTCTAAATCTAGCAAATATATTTTCATTATAAACTAATCAACTGTGATCATACATTTGTTATATAAACAATAAAAGCCTATACTACAAAGCTATCCTTCCCAGACTCTAATTAAAATGTGTATTTTATTCAACTCAGGCTTCATGCATTATTTTCCTTGCATTGCTGCATTTGCATTCACACTGGACTGCCAGTCTTTGGTTTACTATAAATGCAGTTAACACTTATTGGTCTCCCCCTGTA
This sequence comes from Homo sapiens, assembly GCF_000001405.40. Lineage (NCBI taxonomy): Eukaryota > Metazoa > Chordata > Mammalia > Primates > Hominidae > Homo > Homo sapiens. The sequence goes on along the minus strand of NC_000002.12, from coordinate 209,829,972 downwards.
ACTTAGGCCTTCATACTAGAGTTTTCTGAAAGCCATTAAGTTATAAAATAGCTTGTAGGTTTATCTGTGCATCCATTTGCCTTTTTAAAAAAAATTAAGTATGTGTGTGTCAAAATTGTGTTACTACTATGTTTACTGCAATCGTAAGGTTTTTTCTCCCATTTTACTTTGTGAAAAAATTGTCAGGCACTGTGCCACTATAATGCCTGTACGTTATAGATACTCATTTCACATCCGTTGAACTAATGAACATGATCACTGCCTCAGAGGTCATATAACAGAATGTTATATGAGAGAGAGGAGTCCCATAAGTGGTAGTATAAAAATTGAAGGGCTAGGTGAGAACTCCACAAGCTTTACCAAACTTTCATTTACTGTGGTAAGTTGTCCTCAGAAAGCCTCCAAAATGTGTCATCAGAGATAATGTGCAAGCTTTTCTTGTTTATACTCTATACACACACCCACACACATGCATGGACACATACGTATCTTTTCCTCTAAATTCTACCTCCACAAATTTAGTGTCCCCTTGAAACACTACCTGATTCACCTCACAACGACTTCTCCTAGAACTTGGGTGCAGCTTTACTTACTGTCAGTGACCGGCTCCATACAAAATCCTAGCAAAGCATGCAAGAAGTCCACTACATTATTGAGAGAGTCCTTGTTCACATAGTCCCTCATGGTTTGTCGGAACTGCATCTTATCTAGCTTGTATAGCTTAGTGAGGCAGTTCTGGGCCTGCAATGAAGGAAGAAAAGTGAAAAAGTCACAAGTACCAGCTTAAGCTATGGATACTGGTAGTCTGAGACAGAAGCCTTCAGAAGGCAAGGGTTTCCAACCATCCCCACTCGCTGGTGACAGGCAACCCTGCTAGCCCCTCTTGTCTGAGTAAGATGTGAGCACAGACAGACTGAGAAGTCTGAGGGTGTTTACATTGAGAACAACTGCTCCATAGGAAAAACCCCAAAGCTCAAAGCTAAGGTCTAATGCTGGTCTCAGAAAGAGTTCAGTATTTTCACCAAGATAGAGATTTTAAGATCTTAATGAAAAAAAAAGTTTGAAATTTAGATAAGTGATAGAATTGACAATCCATGTTTAGAAAACCTCAAAGGCTTTGTGTGCAATGGGAAGATGCATGCCACACTATATCTGAATAAAAGAGACAAAAGAATGTCTATACAGTGGAATGAAATGGGACAATGACCGAAGTCTCTGGGTTGAGGGGAAAAGGGATAAGGATCAAGAAAGAAGGGGTGGCTGAGTGAGGGCCACCTTAATTATGGATGAAGAACTCTGGACAACCAGGCACAGGCATTGAAGTCAGATTAGGGAAGGCAATTCCTGAGAATTGGGATTGTATTAGTGTCCTTAATTGTGGCCCAGAAGAAAATTTAGTTATATCATCATTTTGACAAATCAAGGCCCAGGAAAAAATTCTTGGAAATTTTGAGAGAGAAAAAAAAAAGATTATAAAAGACTGAAACTTGGAATTAGCAATAGGCTTCTTGGTATAACTTTGTTATAATCTCTCCATCTGTATTGCAAAGTCAGATGGATTGATACATTTTTCATTTTTCCTTTATTATGTCCTAGATTTGAAATTAGGTATTTTTATTCCCAGGGAGTTTACAAGTTTCCAGATATTGAACAAACTCATTTTTATTGCAAAATAAATGCTGCTAGCTATAAAATGAAGTTTGCAAAGCACTTAGGTAAAATATATTTTGCATAAAGAAGTATTTAATTGTCATTCTATAAAGAATTTGTGAAGATGTTTATTGCAGCATTTATAAAGCTCTTTAAAACCCTGAGTTGGCAGGTCCTGAAGTACAAATTATTCTGTGTTTTCTATAAAATACACCAAAAAAGGCATAATTTCAAATCTTCTCTTTAGAGGATATTAAAATGTTTGTATCATCTGTATGAGTTCAGTGGGAAGTTTAAGCAAGCCTAAGAATATCAAACTTTAAATACTTAAATTCTGAATGAATATCCTGAATTTCTTCAAAAGATATAAAACTTTTAAGAAATGAATTCCTTTTCAATAATTGGAGACTACCAGCTAATGATTAGATTAATACTCTAAGATACGCTGAGGCATTAAATGATGAAATTGCTGGGCAGTTTGACAAATATCGTTAGAATAACCTTCTGTTTCTTGGAAGAAAAAAGGCTAGGGAAAGGACCTTGTCTGGTAAAGGTGAGAAATATTCTTAGTATTTTAAGTAGTTTCTGAAAGGCCAATGGTAGAGAAATCTGAAAATGTTTAGCTTCTGGAACTGGATATTTCTCAAGGAAAATTTCCCATATTTATATCTCTTGGACAATGTGTTTACTGAACTAAATAAGCAAATATAATATCAATAATGAGCATTAAACAGAAGGAGATAATAGAGGAATTATCCCATAAGTCAAATTGATTAGACAGGCAGAACACTGGCTGGATGCCCTCATAGGAAGTGTTCGGTGCTCCTGGGGAGGAAAGTATGATGAACTAAGTGATAACAACAGCTCCTCAAATGGCTTCCGATCCAACTCACCCTGCTTTCTGTGAATCCAGAAAGACAAATCTTGGTTATCGGAGCCAGTTTATACTTCCAACTAAAGCATGACGCTTTTTATTATGTTTGTTTATTATGTTTTAGTGTTTCATGTCATGAAATTGGTCTTCTGCATGGGGAGTGATGTGGTTTATTTGTCTTTGAAGGCATTTATTCATACTGTAATACAATTTAAAATCAAAGATAAAAAATCATATACACATGTGCAAAGATGGGGGAGATGCCAGCTTTCTATAGCCTTATTAATTATTATTTTCAAATTTTGGCCTCAAAATCTAGATCTTGGTCAAAAGTTTCAAGTTTCAAAATTTAGAAGCTAATAGTGCAAATATAACCCCCATATAAACATAATAAACTAAAATAACGCAACACAATATAATATAAAACAGCAAAACAGAAAAGGATAGATAGATAGATAGATGAGAGATGATGCATTAAGCAAGAAACCCAGCATGCTAATACTGTGTGAACATTTCATGACAAAACCTAATATCAAGGAAAAATGGGCTGGCATTAGATTTTGACATGACCCTAAAACTCTGTCAAGATATGCCAAAGGATTTCTGGAACTCAACTTTGCATCAAACTCCTTTTTTTTAAGAGAATATTTTCGTATGATTTCAATTCAAACATACATATGAAGCAACCATCCCAGCTCAGACTGTGGAAGTAGGTTATTGTTCAAATTGAAAAAGAAAATTAACAGTCAGCAGAGGCAAATAAAAATGAGCTGGAAGACCATTTCCAGTACAGAATTACGTTTGGCAAGCCCAAATGCAGAGTTTCAAGTTTCACACAGTTGACAAGGACATGATCTCAAATATTCAGAAGGCAAGGTTCATTCTCAAATAAAGCAGCCAGAAAATGACTGGTTACTTTTACAGTCCTCTTTTGTCCCAATAAGGGCCATTTTCCATATCTTAGGCAGGACAACAAACCAGGTCCTAAAACTTTGACCCCTTTCTCCAATATGCAATATGTTTCTACAGTACCCAGGCAGATGATTAAAAAGTCATTTGTTACAGGCCATCAAAAGCTTGCTAAATGTATTCATCTGTGCAAAAGTTCTTTCAAGCTGCAATTCACACATTCCAATTATATATATTTTCACTAATTGGGAGTTGGTCTGCCCTAGGCAGGAGGCAGAAATGTTTTCCCAATTAAACTTTCCTAAGCCTGGGTTTTAGATGGCTTGAGATATCTCATGAGAATCTCCTCACACCAAAACAGCATTAATTATTCCTACAAAATACAATATTTTTCAGGGAACACTGACCCTCATTGTCAAAGGACTCATTCTTAAACAGAAGGGAAGGAAGAGGGAGAGGAAATGGAATCTACTTTAATTCTCTTACATTCTCTCGGAATACCTGGTGTCTCAGACGATCTCCAGAGAGCCCTCGGTGTCCTTCACCACAACCATAGGCACATCCCAAAGACTTCACTATTTTGATGAGCATTGTTAGAGCAAGCCTATGGTTGCTTACAGGTGTACTTTCATCCTGGTACCCACGAATGAGAAAGAAAGAAAAGTCTGTTTACTTTGTCACTGAGGTCCTTTTGCTAAGATTCTATTGTATGATTAAATCAAGTTTATATGTTTTACAGGGAGCACCTGCAATTTGGAAAACAGAATTGTAACGGGCTCAACAAACACGCTCAGTTTTCTAAAATTTAGTCTATGATTTAAAAGAAAAAAATCTACGTATTTTGAACACCCTCTGTTGCTAGAGAATATAAGTATAGACTTCTCTGTTAGAAGACATGCTTTTATATCCTTGACTGCTGTTAGACAACCACCTAAAGAGAGACAGTGCAGACTATCAGTGATGAAAGCGAATAAGTTTTATTAGAAACTACCCTCATCAGTAGGCTTCTGATACACCAGGAAAGGATTACTGCCAAGTTTCTGCAACTGATCAAAGTCTGGAGCTTCGAAATTTCATGGCAACTTCTGACATTTTTGAGGGCTTTTATTTCTAATTGTATACTTTCACTGTATTATAATACATATGCACAAACAAGGTGAGAATATACAGAACTTTATAAACACGTTCAGCTTGATTCTTCCCTTAAGGCTAAATAGGAAGGCCCCCTGAGATGAATCATGAGAATTGATATCATCCTATCTTTTGCCCAATTTAATCTTTGTTGTTAGTGGAAAACATGGCTTCCAAAAAAGGAACTTCCTTGAATTATTTCCAAAGAAGCATAAGGAAGCAGTTGCTAAGGAATGATGCAGAGCCCAGTGTGGAAGAGTCACTTTCTTTGGGAAGCTGCAGCCTGTCTCAGTCCTTCTACCACATTCCACCATCAGCACACACACCACAAACCTGGGATTCCAGTGTCTGTTCCTTAACCACATATGATGTTAGATAAGTTAACTAATCTCTTTGTGTTTTTGTTTCCTTACCTGTGAATTTAGGATTCTAATAGCTGCCCTTCCTACTTCATAGGTTTACTATGCAGAGCAAATTAAATAATGGATGAGAATTGTTCTGCAAATTGTAAGGGACTTTTCCATAGCCACATGATTGGGTTGACGCATAAACTTTGGAACCAGATATAAGTACTCAAATGTGCGCATGGTATGGAAGGAATAGGGGCTTATCTATACATTAGCATGGGCCTTACTATGATAAGGTTGACTTTCTCCTCCCCTAATGTTATCGAGTTGGTCCCCCTTTTCTTATCTGTAAGCTCTTGTAGTGGAGGTGGTGCTGAACTCCAGATATTCCCCTTGGCACTGCAGCATTCATTCTCTGAGCTATTCCAAGTGCTGATGGCTCACTGCCCTCAGATGAGTGCCTCTGAAGGCCACAGCTAGAGAGCTGCCTCACCCAACATTATACTCTCCTCCTGGAGGCAGTCTACCTCTAATGACTGGACAGGGCCATAAAGGGACCTGGGGTGTGTTTGCTAAAAAGGTCTCTTTGCCTCACCTGGGGACTACTTAAAGAGCCATCCCAGCTTCAAAGCCCTCTGTGATTAGCTTAGGCCTCTATTACAACTACACTGCAGTTCAATTTCTCCCTATGCCCCATGCTGCTTCTTCATACCTAACAGAGGTTAATGCTGAGAAGACACTCCAGTAAATTGCCTGCACGCATATCTTCATATTGGAGCCTGTTTCCAGGGACCCCTACTTAAGACAGCTCAGAAGGTTGCAAACAGAAGACTCAAACTTATCAACAGAACTGTATGTATATAGGTTGACTATCCTTATTCAAAATGCTTGGACTAGAAGTATTTTGGATTTCAGATTTTTTCAGATTTTCGAATATTTGCATATATATAATGAGATGGGAATAGGACCCAAGTCTAAACACAAAATTCATGTATGCTTCACATAGGCCTTATATACACAAGCTGAAGATAATTTTATATAATTTAATAATTTTGTGCATGAAATAAAGTTTTGACTGCATTTTATCTGTGACTTGTCACATGAGGTCAGGTATGGAATTTTCTACTTGTGGCTTCATGTTGGAGCTCAAAAAGTTTCAGATCTTGGAGCATTTTAGATTTCAGATTTTTGGATTTTTAGTTTGAATTCCGATTTTAGCTTCAACATTTACTAACTATATAACCTTGGACAAACTACTTAACCTACCTGTGCCTTACAAAATTGGAATCATAATATCTATTTCATAGAGTTGTGAGAATTAGAGTCAAAACATGAAAGGCATATAATAATAGAAAAACTAATTATTATTATTAATAATAGCAAAAATAATTATTAATTAAAATAATGATAAAATTAATTATTTTTATGTGTGGGGCGCTGCTTTCCTCTGGAGCACCTTTATGCAAATTAGAAAAGGCACCCCTCTAGGTGGAGAATTAGAAGAAGATGAACCCTCTGAATGGTAGTAATCCTTTGGTGAGTGGTTCCGAAAGCAGAGGTTGGACTGGATTTCAATCCTCACTGGCTTCCTTCGTCAAGGGCCTTTGTGTAGAGGGCTCTGTAAAGGCTACAAAGCCTTATGCAGCAGTGCCTCAGAAAAGGTCATCCTGAGCAAGGGCTTATTTGGAAGACTGGTTTACACATATTTTAAAATTATTATAAGCTCCTTTAAAACTTTTCTAGCTCTGGAAGCTCTTTGTAAATATCTATTCAGGTTTTTATTTCTTTAGACCTTCAGATGTCCTTGGGATTCAGGTTGCTTTCATAGGAGACATTCAGAAAGATGTAGCAACTTACAGGCAAAAAAATTGAAGATATTAAATAACATTCCAAGCTCTCAGTACAAGTTGTGGCAAATATAGAAATGGAAATTAGATCTTCCTTTCTATCTTAATCAATTCCTATGCTTCTGTTATTACTAAGTTGCAAAATTAGATAAACCTTCTGATTCCACTGAAGATAACAGATGGGTTTGGGGCAGAACAAACCAGTGTGAATCACAGAAAGAAGGCATTTGACCCACCATCAGGTTTTATTTTATAAATTATTTGTACTAAAAAGAATATTATTTTGGTAACTAACTATAAAACATATCTATCTTGGTGGCTGTATTGGAGACCACATAATCTGACTTTAAAAATCCCATACTGATCAAAAGTGATAACTCTGGTCAAAATAACATCTATTACATCAAGCTATATAGTCTAGATAATACCTAGGTGCTAAATAGTCAAGATACTTGTAGGTTTTCAATAAAAATGTGGTTAAAATGCCACTTGGATAAAATTTCAAAGCTAAAAAAGGAAAAGCAAAAATGAAAACAAAACACTAATTATAAACCTCAGAGATCTTTAGCATACATACAAAACCTATCAGTTTAGTTGGAACATCTAAGCTTTGCTGATAAAAGCTTATCAATATTTCATAATATTCTCTTTTTTTTGGTTTCTAATTTCCCTTGAATATTATAATGGGCAAAACACCACTTCTAATCTCTTTGTCCAGACAGAGTTGATATGTAAAAAATGGAAATTCAGTAAGAATCTCACCAGTTTCTGTGTTTATAAATTTGGGCCTTATAACTTGTATTTGTTTGTTAATTCCTAAGTAACTGATCACTGAATGATTCTTTAGATCTTAGCATATGCAATCAAATCTCTTGTGATCTATACCATTATTTAGATAATTTTCATTTACAGTCAGATCTGAAGTTCCTTGCATTGTCCTCAGTGATAGATAAGGTGCTAAGGTGTTGGGAAACTTAAAATCCAATAGTTTGTTAGAATTGCCTTATGATTAATACATTCAAGGCAAGAGAAGAAAATCGTATAGAAAAGGCTCAGCAACCAAGATTATCGGAGCAAGGATATTTGGATCAGAGTCCACAAATATTGGGAAGAAAAGAGTAAACAATAAAATGAAGAAACCAGATGATAAATGCATATTAAACATGTGTCAAGTGGGACTCGAAAGAAATGAGGAAGAAATTGTGAAAGAGGAAGGAGTATTGCAACGCTTGCTCAGATGTGAAAATATGATAACATGTAAGAAAAATGGACAATTTATAGTTTATACAATATATATCTAGATGGTATATATCTAGAACTCTACACAGTATAACTTCACATGTGTAAACACTTGACATGATGTGTAGAGTATTTGTTAGAGATTAAAATCTCTTGTTGATTTCAATTTCTGAATATCATTTCCTAGCTGAAACCATAAATTGAGATTAGTGTAAGTTATGTGAATTTAAGCTGTAGTAATTTGTATTTAAAATTAAAAAAGAAAACCAATTCTTGATGTTAAGAAATCATATACCAGATGTTGACAAGGCAGAGGGAATTAAATTTAGGAACAATTAATAATAGAAAGACTAAAGCCATGGGGATGTGCCACATTGAGACATGAGAGGGCTGAATGAGGCTAGGAGAGTTAGTCCCACTTCAAACCAACACAAACTAATCAAGCAAAATTCTTCTCTTGCTTTCCCCTTAACTGTGGTTGAAGCTGGCTGCCAAAAATGTGTTACTTAAAAGAAATAATTTTACATTGAGGAAAAATTATATTGCTTGTTATGGGCTGAATATTTGTGTATTAGCAAAATTCACATATTGAAGCTGTAATCCCTCAATCCGATGGTATTTGAAGATGGGTCTTTGGGAGGTAATTAGGGTTAAGTGAGGTCATGATGGTGGGGCCTGGTCTAGTGGGATTGGGCCCATATAAGAAGAAACACAAGGAAGCTCTTTTGCTCTCTCTCTTTTGCTTTCTCTGCATGCACAAAGAAGAGGCCACATGAGAACACAATAAGACAGTGGTCACCTACAAGGCAAGAGAAGAGGCTTCAGAATAAAACTAAACCTGACAGCACTTGGACTTCCCAGCCTCCAGAACCATGAGAAATAAATTTCTATTGTTTAAGCCACTCAGTCTATGGTATTTTGTTATGGCAGCTTGAGGAGACTAAGACATTCTTCAATTAGGTCAGAGTCTGAAAGTTTTCAGAAAGGTTATACTTGGCGTCAGACTGAGAATTATGGCAACATAGCATAACTGAAATGTTCTCTTGCAGAAATAACGACTAGAGAATTAGCTCTAACACTGCTTGGATGGCAATAGATATTGGATTTAGAGTACAGTTGCATTCAACTGTTTCTGCTAATGCCTACTGAGAACCTAATGAAGAGATTTCTCCACTCTCCACTTTTTTGCTCTAGTGACTAGGTGCTGTTCAGATTCAATAAACTGCTGGCAAGCAAGCTTTAGAAAGAAATTAGGTATGACATTTCATGAGGACACATAAGGTGGTTCAGTCATACCTTCTCTTGGTTCTTATCATTCTTCTCATAAGGGCCGCCTCCACCTCCTCCACCTCCTCCTCCATCACCTCCTCCACCTCCTCCATCTCCACCTCCTCCTTCTTCTCCTCCACCATCTCCAGCTCCACTAACAGCAGGGCCTCCGAATCCACAGGTGGAACTTCCAGATACTCCTTTGAATTGGAAAGCTCCCTCACTTGGCCTCTTTTCCAAGGTCTCATTTTCCTTGTTTTCACTCTTCTTTCTATTCTTTTCTACACAGGGCACCACACCAAGTTGAAGCAAGCATTCCACAATGTTTAGCGCCACGTCACAGATACGAGAGCTGATGTCATGATTAAGGACAAGATAAACAGCCTTCAGAACTACCTGAGGAAAACAAGATAAACACAGCATGATTAAGTTACCTGCACTCCCTCTTCCTAAAGAGATCTGATTATTCTGTTTAACCCATTTCCTTAGGCTAGTCTATGAAATTGGGTAGAAATAATTTAGACAACTGTCAAATTTTCCTATAAAAGTTGCTGTGGAATCTTGTGTATTTACTTAATAGAGCGTGTAAGTCACCCAAAGTATTAAAAATATATACATGTATTATCTCATGTACATCTTCCAAAACATGCTATGATATCAACAGTTAATGGGGATATTGAAGCACAGTGAGTTAATGAGAGAGTAACTATTTGTCCAAATGGAAACTTGTTCTATTGATTTTTTAAAATAAAAATGTTTTAATCTCCTGTCTTTCATTCATTACTAATAATGGATAAAGAACAATGATTTCCTTTTGCTCGTTCATGACTGTATCATTATTCATATTTCATTTAAAGTACAAAATATTTGCATGTTTAAATTATGTTCCTTTATTGGTTTTAATATTGTAAATTATTTGCTAAGCCAGGATTCCTAATGTGCAATAAAATTTTGTGAAATATAATTGTAAAATACAACAACCCCTTCATTTGCTAATAACTATACTTGAGACAGGCACTCTTGAGAATGCAAGCTTAAAACTTTTAAGAATTTCTATTCATTTTTTTCTGGTTACACAGGAGGTTTGTAGTCTTGTTAATACCAAAATAAAATAAGTGAAGAATTTTTTTGCCCTCATTCTAGACATAACAGACTTATTAAACACACACGTATGTGTATTTATATATGTATATTCAGGATTCACTAATGGTTTTGGATTATAAAAATATTCTGAGATCAGATCAAATCTAATGCAATGCTTGAAAAAAAAGTAAGGTGCACCTATGATGGTTGAAACATTGGTGAATTTTTTTCAGTGGGTGGCTTTTTCATTTCAAGGTTTGATATTTCTAAGAATCTATATGCCCATTTTATATAACATTGCAAAAATGCACCAAATAATTAATATCTGTCTAACTTTGGTAAGAAAAATTCTTGCTTCTTACAGAAAGATCAAGCATTCCATTCTTGTGGACAAAGTTATTGGTCCCGTCAATATGTTCTGTGTCCTCTAGGTAGCTGTAGTTTATGCAGGAGTCTGTGAGGCTTCGAGGTAGGTTAGCACATGCCAGAGGTTCATGTGGCATCTCCGGGATAGGCACCTGGTTGCAGAGTTTCCTCATATGCTCATTGAAAAAGTCTGCATAGCCTACGTTGAATGACGCCAAAGTGGTATTGAAGGTCGCAACTGTGATGGTGGAGATCTGAGATCGCACTAATAAAATGAAAGCAATGTCTTAGTTCTCCCTACATTAACCTACAATACCAGTTAGACAGTTATACTATTACTTCAATCATGACCACAATAACAGCTGTAGTTTTTGAAAATATTTAACTTATAGTCTCAAAGCTAGTCTCAGCTCTCATGGGACTACTGAAGCTACTAAGGCCATATGATGTGTGGAAAATATTAAAGATTGTAGAAAATGTGAATTATAACTGGCTTCCTTAAGGCTGAGATTAGGATTTAACTTCTGTCTAACACTGACTTAGTTTAGTTGATCAGAATGGATGAATTTTACCCATTGTTAGATGATAGATCATACTGATATAAACTATTTGTTTATAGCATTTTTATCCAGTATATTAAGGAACAACAAACATGAATAATTTTTTTCTCCTTTGGCTAAAAGTAACTGAAAATAAATTTGTGGTGGTAACTAACAGATATCATTGAATACCTGAAATACAGTGCAGATCAAAGAGGGACTAAATTTATGCTTCTATGAGAACATAAGAAAAAAATCAATTATTCTGTTAAAAGTACAGAATGAGAACCTGTCTTGGATTATACCCAGAGACACATGTTTGCTGCACACAAAACACACAAGAACTTATCTAAAATAGAAGCTGTCTCAAAAAAAAAAAAAATTGGTGGCCTTGGAAGGCAGTGACTTTCCTCCCGCTGAAGGTATACAAGCCCTTCAGAGAGATCTCATAGAGGGAATCGAAGCACTGAATCTAGATGTCTTCCAAGGTCTCTTTCAGCCCTGTGGGTCTATGAGCTTTTGAAAAGAAATATGAATGGCTTGTCCTTGCTCTCCCTGTGAGAGGTATGGTGTTTACAGTGCGGTGTTAAATAGTTCTTGCTACTAAGGATATGCTAAGAATGGCTAACAAAAGCAATTCAGCACAAGAATGCCAGTTTTCAGAAAACACAGGAAGCGGATTACAATGGGAAAGTAACATGGTGTAAGGACAGAAAACAAAAAAAGAACTCTGAACTCCTGCCCGTAGGCCCCACCTCCTACCCACCTTCCTTGACGGTGTTTTCTCCATGGCTGTTGGAGGGGTCCGGCAGGTCGCTTACCAGGGTGTGATGGGAGTGGGAATGCCTGGCGCTCAGACTCTCCATCTCAGTGGCTGCATCTGAACTGCCTCGCCGGGTCAATTTCCCTGGGATGAATAAGAGCACCCCACAAGAGGGTTTTAAAATCTGAAAGTTATTCTGCCAAGATATTGTCTTTCCCAAGGACAGCAGGGAGAGTGTGGGGCTGTTAGGAAAAGTGTGAAACACAGACAAAAAAAGCAAGAACTGAACTTGCCATGGGGATATTCAGGGTCAGGATGATTGATGAAGCTGCCTGTGATAAGGTCAGCCCCAATCTTAGCCAAATGTCAGAAACCGTCTGTTGTGGCCCAGCTAGCTGTCAGCTCCCAATTTTAAATTGGCCTATTTAGTATGCAATCCAGAAAGAAAATATATATAATATATATATTTTTTTTCCTTTGCTTTGCTTTTTTCAAAAAAAATCCAAGTTTAATAAAAATCTGCTGTGTAGATTCACAATGGAAATTAATGCACAGAGCACCCTAAGGCCATGTTTCTTTGTCTAGAATGATCTAAGAAATAAGATTGTTACCTGTCCAATTTCACAGAACTCTTGCATAATTACGTCAATTATCTGGATTTATTTGGCTGTGAAAACACAGCATTATTTTGGTACTGGAGAACCTGAATTTGAGCCCCAAATTTCTTGGCTGAATTGTTCAAGAAAGATTCAGATTTGCCCAGAAGCCCTAGATCCAGTTCTAAACAGGTCACTTAAACTCTGCCCTATTTTGGAAGGCCTTGTGGTCACCTAAAATGGTGGTTTGCCAGCCTCCTTTCTCAATTCCTCGCCTGTCTTCTCCCAGCCCAGAGAAACTTCCAAAGGAGAATGTGCTGCGCGTGGGGGACACATCCAGGTGGTCCTCGTGAAGCAGGAAGGGCACTCCCATTCTCCGTGGCCTCCTCTTGCCTGTGTGGTGGAATGGAATGGAGCCTTTCCTCTCTCGGTCTTCTTTGCGGCTCTTGAACTACAGTGATGAGAGGTGTAGAATTAGGCACAGGGCAAAGAAAAGGTTACAATCTGCTTCCCAAGGGGCTCCATGATCTGCAGTAAAATACAAGAAATGTGCCAGGAAGAGAAGACCCAGAAAGTCACTGAATATCATCCAATAAAAATGGGAGAAATTTCACATTAAAAGAGTGAAAGAAACTAAGTAAAAGGCCATGTATTCCGTGGGCCTTTCTCCTGGGTTTGGTTAGACTAGTGGTTTGCAAAGTGTGGTCCCTGGACCAGCAGCATCAGCATCACTTGGGAACTTATTAGAAATGCAAATTCTCAGACATATTATATTAGACCCTCAGAAGCTGAGGTCCAGCAATGTGTGTCTTAACAAGTCTGGTAGGTAATTCTGATGCACACTAAAGTTTGCAAATCACAAGGTTAGAGTCACTACTTGAACCAGCCTCTCTTTTTCTGTTTCATTTTTCATGATGGTGATCCATTGTTTCAGTTAGCCAACTTTAAATGTGCGCCACTGTTCGTAAGAAGAGTCAAAGAAGATACAGACCATACATTGCCACAAACCCATCATTCCTACCAAACAAGTTCAAAACCAAGTGCAACTAAAAGTTTAGAACTGCTAGGGAAGCTTTTAAAATATAACAATTCCTTAGCCTACCTTCAGCAATTCTGGTTTAATTGGTCTGGGATTGAATCTGAAGATGTATTTTTTAAAGCTCCTTAAAAATTATCATATGCAGCCTGTATTGAAAACCACTTTTTTCCTTTCAAATGATCAATGTTTTAAGAAAATTGATAGCCATTGTCTTTTGTTGCATCATTAACAAAGGCAGAAAACTGCTTACTTAGCAACACTTTCAGCTCATAATAAGTTAATATCGTGTTCTGTGTTCTTTGTTGGCATAACTAAACTAACAGTTTTGAAAAAGAGAAAGCAAACCACTATATATATACATATACACAGGTCTACACATATTATTTTCTGTTTATCTCCAATTACTTACAAAAAAGAGAGGCAGAGTAATGGCAGAAAAATATAACGTATTTAACTAGAAGACCTACTTTTGAGTTTGGACTCAATCTTGGGCAAACTACCTAAAATTTCTAAGGGTCAATTTCTTACCTGCAAAATGAGGAGAATAAGGATGTCATTGGATTAAATGAGAACTATTTATATAAAGTACTTGATAAAAATGAGTTGAACCAAAAATGAGTTGAAAGTTACCATCATCGTTACCACAACTACTTCCACCACCACACTACTTTACACTGCTTTATGCATATGATCAGAATTGAGCTTCATGACAACCCTGTGGAGCATTTAGAATAGGAAGTTCACTCATTCACACAGAGGGACTTGCACAGGGGTATGCTGCAAGTCAGTGTCACATCTAGGAGCTGACTTCGGTTTCTAAGTTCCCTTTCCCACCTCACCCCATACTGCAGTATCATCAGAAACATCTCATGTCCCACTGACATTTTTTATTTACCAAAATATCAAAGAGCATAAGCATTTCTACTCACCTTTTTAAAAATATTCATGCCCAGGTCTGAAGAAAGATCTGGGACTGCAGATCTACGCAGATTGGTCAGTGAAACCTTGGAAAAGGCCTCAGAGCTAAGAGATTTTTCCTCCTCGTTACACTTCATGGTGAGATCCTTAATAAAGGTAGACAGTGATCAAGGACTTAGGACTTTACATCCAAATACTGTTCTTATTGAAATGTCACATTTTTAATAGGGATGCGCCTATAGCTTTGACATCTTTGAACAATTGAACTTGTATGTCTGGACTTCTGGAATCCAAATTCTGCTAGTGAGAATATATATTTCATATTAATTGTAATTTCTGTTTGAAGTTTTCAGTAGTGAGGTCATGTAGCCCCAGATTTAGAATGCTAAGAAAATAGAGAGAAGATGGATCTCTCTTTTTTTTTTAATTAAAAAGAGTGTTTTGTTTTGTTTTTTCCATTGAATGATTCAGTAAAGCAGATATCCACTTAGGCAGAATATCTACTACTAAAACAGATTATATTTCCTTTTAACTCTGCTATTGCTCATGTTTGTTTTCAGAATATGCAGAAAAAAATTTCAGACTCAGCCAATTCACATTTAAGTAAATCCAAACAACTGGAACACACTACAAGTCACATTTTTCTCTACATTTTCAACACCTGGTGTTGACGAGAAAGAGGGCAAGAACAAGTGTTCAAGCTGGTATTAGGTCATTCATTTACCAAAAAGCAATTGCCATGAAGATATCACCATATCAGTACACATTCAGTTTACTTCTCTAAACATTTATAATAAATAGCAAGACTATCAAAATGCAATATTCCTAATGATGACATTAAGACACTGGAAAATGTTGGCCAGGCGCGGTGGCTCATGCCTGTAATCCCAGCACTTTGGGAGGCTAAAGCAGGTGGATCACGAGGTCAGGAGATCGAGACAATCCTGGCTAACACGGTGAAACCCTGTCTCTACTGAAAAAATACAAAAAAATTAGCCGGGTGTGGTGGCGGGCGCCTGTAGTCCTGCAGTCCCAGCTACTCAGGAGGCTGAGGCAGGAGAATGGCGTGAACCCGGTAGGCGGAGCTTGCAGTGAGCCAAGATCGTGCCACTGCACCCCAGCCTGGGCGACAGAGCGAGACTTCATCTCAAAAAAAAAAAAGACACTGGAAATGTTGAGTTATGCAAAAGAGGTTACATCACGTTTAGTAAAATCCTATGTTACAGATTTTATGATATTGGTAATCAACAGATTTAATGTCAGAACTCTCTATTAATTACTACTTTGATTATCCAGAAGACCCAATTTTCCACTATTCCAGATAAACAAAGACTTATACTAAATTAGCATGTGCAAGAGGTGCACTTCTTCAAATGATTAAGTGCTAAAGCCAGCAAAGGGTCAAGCATGCAAGATGGAAGGGAAAAGATAATAGAAACAGTGTAACCCACCAACCAAAAAGTCAGCACTAGAGTACCTAAGAGCTGGATGCACAGAGAAAAAAAGAATCCATTATGGCAAAGTTGCTGGTTTGAATGACAATGAACCGGGTTTTTCTTACTTGGGTTTTGTGGGTGTTCACTAGTGAGGGAGCTGCTGCCACCATGGAGCTACTCCTGGGTCTGGGCAGGAGAGGAATATCTGGCTCCGGAGGCTTTTCTGGCTTCTCTTCCAACATGTGTCGCAGCCTTTGTAGATAGTACATCAGAGACCACTGAGTGCCTTCCTCAGACCAATGGGGCTGAAGTAGGCAGCGCAGAACAGCAACGTCAAAGTAGGTGGCATAGCGGGACCTTTGGCACGGAGGTATCACAAGAGAGGCCCTGTTCCATGGCAGAAAGAAGATAATTATACTGACAATCAAGCTTTCAGAGGGGCAGCACAGCATGGCTTATAGCTCTACTTTTCTCATTTGTTTAGTTATTCATTTACTTGTTTCTTACGTAGTTTACTCTAATATCCTTCCAACTGGTCTCTCTCATTCCACTTTCACTAAACATCTCCTGAAAGTAGAGATATTGAGAGAGTTTTGAAGGATGGATAGGAATTAGCAAGGCAAAGTTGAGGTTTGGGCAGGAGGGAGGATTAGCATTTCTGTCAGAGGGAACAATGCCTACAAAGGCATGAATTTTAAAAACCACGAGTTTGAAGGGGAGACCCTAAGTAATTGGTGAGTAATTTGGGTGATGGACAATGATGAGAGTGAGAGCTATAGAAATAGATGAGGTTCAGATTAAAATGCTTCCTTTATGCTAAGATCAGGTTTGACTTTTACCCTGATAGAAACAGAAATGATATTTGCCTTGCCTACTTCATTGAGCTATTTTAATTTCAGTTGTGAAAATATTATGTAAAATAACTAAGGAAAAGCTACAAAATGCTAAGAAACAGAAGTTTTGCTATGAGGAAAAT
Source organism: Homo sapiens (assembly GCF_000001405.40). Classification (NCBI taxonomy): domain Eukaryota; kingdom Metazoa; phylum Chordata; class Mammalia; order Primates; family Hominidae; genus Homo; species Homo sapiens. The sequence goes on along the minus strand of NC_000002.12, from coordinate 209,812,990 downwards.
AAATAAAATAAGTTTGAAAATTCTAAAGTTATATATCCTTGCAAGAGAGCAAGACTAATTTTTTAAAAATCTCAAGTTCCTGGGATTCTATTATTCAATTTGAACACATAATATATTCATTACCTAGTGTTCAATTTAATTCTACTACAAAGTAGTTTTAAGAAATTACTCAGATTAATACACCATCCTATGTATCTTAGGTTCAACAAATTGAATGTTTGTGTCCCACAAAATTCAGATTTAAAGGTAAGTTTAACTTTCTCACCTTGAACATGTGGTCTGGTAAGAAAGACAGACAATAAGTGACAAAATATAAACTTAGAACTTCCGGGATCCAAGATGGTATCTTAAATCTAAAATCTAAACTTAACTCCCAAGCACAATTTCCTTCTGATTTAGGTGATGCAAAAGAGAGATGTTTGTACCCTACCATGAACTAGCAAATGATGCTACCCACATACAAAGTGCTCTCACAAAAAACGCAGCCACAGAGAGTGAGTAGGGATTTTCCTAAACTTCTTAGGCTCATATTTTTTTAATTAAAAAATCTACGGCTCACTAGTGGTTCAAGAAAATAATTCCATAGGACACAGCTACTATTTTAACCTATTAACTAGAATAAAAACTATGGTGCCAGGCGCGGTGGCTCACGCCTGTAATCCCAGCACTTTGGGAGGCCGAGGCGGACGGATCACGGGGTCAGGAGGTCGACACCATCCTGGCTAACACGGTGAAACCCCGTCTCTACTAAAAATAGAAAAAAAAAAAAAAAAATTAGCCGCTCTTGGTGGCGGGCGCCTGTAGTCTCAGCTACTCCGGAGGCTGAGGCAGGAGAATGGCGTGAACCCGGGAGGCGGAGCTTGCAGTGAGCCGAGATAGCGCCACTGCACTCCAGCCTGGGCTACGGAGCGAGACTCCATCTCAAAAAAACAAAACAGAACAAAAACAAAAACAAAAATACTATGGAGTAAGGACTTGGATGTTTGGTGAAACTTTTGTCTCACTTAATGACCATTTGTTTTGAGTCATTGGTAAAATACATTTCTGACTGTGGGTTTCAGTAAAAAGTTCAAAAATACAAATCCAAACCGTATCTGTGCCCTGCAAATTATTTTTACAGCTCTTCTACTTCCCTATCGAAGCACATACCATACTTTATTATTTTTTCTCTTGTTAATAGCATTGTCTGATGGATTGAGGTACAATTGCCTGTGTACACAATGGTTTTGAATTTCAATGCTATCTTACAGTCTAATATTCTTGAATATTTTGACAAGTAGGAAATAAATATAAACTGAAGTTCAAACACAGAAGTGAGTTGGCAGTCATATGAAAAGAAGCCTTCTACAATCCCTAAATTCCCGTATATGCTATGCCAGAGTTTATCCTTTTTCCAGAGACCTAGAATATTCTTTGGACATCCGTTTTGTGACAACTTTTAATCTATCATAAAGTCTTACAGAATCTCCTTCCAACCACTTCTCATCAGTTCCACAGACACCACCCTAGTTCTAGCCACTAACATCTCTCATCAGGCTTATTGCAATTACTTCCTATTAATCTACTAGTTTTTCCTCTTATTCCTCCACTCCCTGGCTCAAATCCTTTCAATATATTATTCAATCCCCTTAGAATAAAATGCAAGCTCCCTTACAGTAGTGAACCAGGCCTGAATAGTCTGGCTGGGTTTACCATTCCAAACTCATTCTCTATTATGCTTGCCCTGGTGTGCCAGTTATTGATTTATTGCCTCTCAGCCCCAAATACATTTTTGGGTAAAAAGCCCTGTTTTAATATTTTCTCAAATTGTCCAGCATGCCACTTGATTACTCCTGAGACCCTGAGTGCCACTTGTGTATCCTGAGACCCAGTTTGAAGGAAACTAAAAACTTTGATTTTCATTTCTACCCATTTCCTAAAAGGCTTTCACTGCTCTCCCTTCGCCCACCCATCCCATTTCTCCTTCTTAAAGATGAATGACGCACGCAACCCACTCCTCTCAGCCTATCATTTATACCTCAGATGACAGGATTTCCTTCCCCCCACCCCCATGCTGTAATCTTGGATTTATAAACAAAAGACAAAGTATAGGGTTGGCTGGCTACCAGCTGGGTAATTTTAGGTCCTCAAGGCTTTGTGAAAATCATTTGATTTATTATAAGAGCCTGTGAAACTGTTGTTTTCTTGACTAGTCTGCTGTGGTTAAGACAGTTATTATTAGTTCGACCAAATTATTTCCTCCCCATTGGAATAGCTGGTAGTTGTTCTTCACCCGTTACCCTCTGCCCCACACTTTAAAGTCCCCAAATGTTTCTAGTTAGTAAATTAGATTAGGGAGTTCCATAAATTACTTCAAATCCCTAGAGCAGTGCTCCATATGAGATAACCATGAACCACGTTCATGAGAATCCTTCCTTCCAAGAAGGATACGAAGGAGGGAGGTTGTTAAAAACGCAGGCACCAGGTCTTGCCCCAGACTTCCTAAACCAGAATTTCAGAGGATGAGGTCCAGGAATCTTTATTTTAAACAACATTCTCAGGTACTCCTTGAATACTCTTTTTAAAAAATACACAAATTGCTTTATTGGATATCAATAAACTGCACACATTAACTATACAAAACGTTTCCTTGATACAAAATGTATGAAATATAAGTACCAATGTACTTTTAAAAATGTAAACATCTTCCTCCCAGGCCTACCTGTTGGGTTCCCAAAATAGTTCTGGGAGATACATTGGGCAGACCAGAGCACCCCACTTAGGCCACCGACAAGTGACAACCATTACTTACAGTCCCTCTTGAGACATTGTTAAATTGCCTGGGAAACAGGTGCCAACCACACCAAACAGGAAGCTGAAATAGCTGCTCAGGCCCAGAGCATCTTAGGCTCTGACACGTCCTGGTGTCAGCCACCGCCTTCGAAGGCCCCATGGCTGAAACTGGGGGTGGATTATTGCATAGTCAAACCTCGCGGAGGGTGGCCTGAGGGCTCCTTCGGGGAAGGAGTGGGGAGGGTCCCCTGACTGGGGTGGACACTGTCTGTCAGCTCTTGTCCTGTAGCTCAAACAGCTGTATCCAAACAGTTCTAAATACACAAACACATGCAGAAAAGCCAGTTCAAGAATGCCCCCAAGCTGGGGCTGCCAGCTGCCCTCCCGCCAGCCATCCACAGACATGGCCACGGGAAGGCCTCTTTCAGAGTCCACTGAAGGATCCAGCAGAGGAAACAGAACCGGAAAATGGTTTTCATCAAAGTCCCGTGCGGCTGATGCATCCAGAAATGGGGGCGCTCAGGAGGGAATTCTGTGGCATGAGGACATGGTGTACTCCTTCCTTCTGGAGCTTGGGGAGGCTGTTGGTTGGCGGGGGCAGGGTGTCTGGTAGGGAGAGGAAGAGGGAGCCTCTAGGGTCAGCGAGGGCCCCCTGAGCAGCCCGACTCTTGGTGCTTGTGGAGCAGGGCCATTCGGGAGAAGGTTCGAGCGCACGCCTGGCACTGGTACTTCTTGACGTCCAAGTGGGTCTGGAGGTGGGCCCGCAGGTTGGAGCGGTCGGCGAAGGCACGGCTGCAGTGGGTACAGGAGAAGGGCTTCTCACCAGTGTGGGTCCGGACATGGCCCCGCAGCAGCCAGGGTCTGGAGAAGGCCTTCCCGCAGGTTTCGCAGGCGAAGGGCAGCGTGTGGCTTCGGATGTGTTTCTTGAGGGCACCCAGGCTGAGGCATTCCTTATTGCAGTATTGGCAGTTGAAGGCTTTTTGAAACTGGGAATCCTTGGCCTCAGAGACCTGGGCCAGCTGCTTGCACACTTGGCCCAAGCCTGGGAAGGTGGTATCGGCCTCCGCCTCCAAGGAAGAAGCTGAAGTGGAGGAGAAAGACGAAGAAGGCTGTGAACGTGGGCTGGGGGACTGGGAGCCTTTCCCGCTGTCCTCATCCGACAGTGAGGTCAGTTCTGCCGCCTTGAAACTCTCTTGGGGGAGTCTCAGTTGGAGGGAGGCCCTGGCAGTTGGTTGTGCTTGGAGCGCCAGGAAGGCGTCCCAGATGAGTGTTGGCAGCAAAGCAGTGGAGTTAAGGTGGGCCTGGTGGTAGGGCTGCTGCTGGAAGGTAAACTCTGGATTCGAGTCCGGCAGTTTGCTGTAGTTGGGCTTCCGATCAGGGTCAGGGAGCTTCCTGACGAGGAAAGAGCGCGGCATGGTGGCAGAGGCAACGAGGTCGCTGAGTAGCGCAGAAGTAGCGCAGGCGACCCACTCACTAGGCCGAGCCTTGGAGCAATGAGTGCAGCCGCTCCGCCAACTCCCTTAAGTACTCCAGGGGAGCAGGGTGGGACCTTTCCGGCCACGCCTCTTTATCACTTTCGCGCCAATTGGAGGCGTGCCTCCCCCTAAGGCCACGCTCTGAGCAAGTGGGCCGGGCCTGGCTGGGCTCGCGCAGTAGCAGCCTGGGCCCGCCTTACTTTTTTTTTTTTTTTTTTTAGTGGCGCGATATCGGCTCACTACAACCTCCGCTTCCGGGTTCAAGTGATTCTCCTGCCTCAATCTCCTGAGTAGCTGAGATTACAGGTGCCCGCCACGACGCCTGGCTAATTTTTGTATTTTTAGTAGAGAGGAGGTTTCTCCATGTTGGCCAGGCTGGTCTCGAACATCTGACCTCAGGTGACCCACTCGCCTCGGCTTCCCAAAGTGCTAGGATTACAGGCGTGAACCACCACGCCCAGCCTTGAACACTCTTAATAATCCTATATGGAATCACCGTAACTGAGAAGATACGCTGACGGTGTTGTCCCTGAGGGCAACAGATGACTAAATTGGTATCTTTCTCTATATACAAAATGTATTGTTTGAAAGTAATTACCAACTGTACAGTTGAGTCCCATAAGCATTAACTATTTTCTAACAGGGCATGTTAGTTCAGCAGATGATGGGCTGCAGAACAGCAAGACTCCAACAACATAAGGCTGTGATCAGAGACTAGAAACATATCCGTATCTTATGTAATCAAAATTTGTTAAGTAAAATCACATTTCAATTGATTGATATTGAAAGAGACTCCATTTGAAAATATCAATAAATTAACAAGACGTTCAGTAGCAAATATTTAAGTACCTCCCTTTAAGGTGTTATCCAATCACTAGTTTATTTGACTTAATGTGTGAGCTGTACTGCACTTAATATTCAATAAAAAGCAAGAACTATCAATAAATATTTTTATTTCATTTAAGATAGTATTATCAGGTACGATCAAAGTATCACCATCCAATAAAAGTCATTTTAATTAACCAGCAGACTAACATGTGAGAAATAAATTTTCACAACTGGATAAAAATGACATGAGGGAGGCCAGGTGTGGTGGCTCATGCCTGTAATCTGAGCACTTTGGGAGGCTGAGGCAGGCGGATCACGAGGTCAGGAGATCGAGACCATCCTGGCTAACACGGTGAAACCCCGTTTCTACTAAAAATACAAAAAATAGCTGGGCGTGGTGGTGGGCGCCTATAGTCCCAGCTACTTGGGAGGCTGAGGCAGAAGAATGGCGTGAACCCAGGAGGCAGAGCTTGCAGTGAGCCGAGACAGCACCACTGCACTCCAGCCTGGGCGACACAGCAAGACTCCGTCTCAAAAAAAAAAAAAAAAAATGACATGAGGGAAGCTTCTTAGATCATGTGATAGAAAAGTTCTTTTCAACTCTAATATCCTCTGAATCTAAAAGTTATTTCCTGGAAAAAATTAAAAATGAAAATGTTATAAAATAATATGAATACAACTTTTCTTCTAAATGATATATGTAAAAATAATGAAGAAAAGCACATATATAAAAAGTTATTAATGTTTATAGCTACCTGATGGCTCATGGATGATTTTCACTTATTTTAAAAATATTGTATGTGTTTACATTTTTTCTGTAATTGACCCTATACAAAATTATATGCATAAGAATAAACAACATGTTATGACAGAAAAGAATTTCAAAACTGGCAAGAATTTCTTTAGTCTACTTTCCAAGCAACTATGGCTTTGGAAAGTCAAGTTATCATTAATTAGGGTTGAGACCTGATAGCAGAAAGTATTGAAGGCAGATAAGCACTCCGGAAATAACAATCTATGGAAGCAAAGAACTGTCAGTCTTGACTCTATGCAGTATTTACTGAAGCATAAATCAACTCTCTGCATATAGTAATTAAAGATGAAATCTAACATTAATTTAAAAACTAGCTACCTGTTTACTTATTGCAGAGTGCAGAGAAGACTGATGTGCAGTTCACTTAAGTTCAGAGCAAAAGAGATAATGAATTGTATTTGATACATGCAGACAGCTTTTGTTACTAGGATATTGGCATTGTTTTGTTATTAAAGTTCTCTTCTTTTCTGATTAATGCATGAGCTCTTCCAATAAAGACACATGAACATTTGTATTTTCTGAAAGTTTTACTTTGCATCATTTCCATGGCAACCAACCACTGCAGCTGGGCAGAGAGAAAACCTCATTCATTTTTCCAAAGTGCCACTGATTCATGTCTAATTAACACATGTGGGTGTACGTTGCTGTGGGCGACTACGCACATATATGTCAGGGAATGCATATAAATATATATATAGAGAGAGAGCTTGAGTATTGACATATCAGAGAATAAGAAAAAAATATCTGTTCACAAATAGTAGTCTTGAACATTATAGCTGGCTTTTGTTTTTACTGGCAAATCAGAATGGAACCATTAACACTTGATTTTGTCAGAGAAAAGAAACATCATTTACTGTCTACATGTCTATATTTGTAAATTTCTATGCTTATTATGGATGAGAAAGATTATATAAGAAATATAAGCTAATGAATATTTTTATGACCTCAGGATTTTACACTGTTCTTGGTTTTTATGATATGTTTAAAAGTCAGACAGAAGCGTAGCATTTGAAGTAAAAGATTACTTACTCTTATTTGAAATTAAGTTAAACTTTTTGGAATTTGTATAAAACAGAATTAGTGGACAAGGAATGCTCAACAATTGATGTGAAAAAATATGTACAGAAATAGCCACAAAAATTTTAATATATTAAATGATGGTGACATTATCATTATTACAGCCAGCCTCCAACATAGCCCCCGATGATCCCTGCCTCCTGCTATTCACATTCTATTGTGGTCCCTTCCCACTCTGCACTAAAATTAGTTGGTGTGATCCAAAGAGTATAGCAGAATTGATGGTATGTCATTTCAGAGATTAGGTTGTAAAAGATTAGGTTATAAAAGATTAGGTTATAAAAGATTAGGTTATAGAAGATTAGGTTATAGAAGATTAGGTTATAAAAGCATCCATTTTTGATGCTCCCTTTCTTTCTTGAATAATTTGTTTTGGGGAAACCAGATTCTATGTTATGAGCAGCCCTATGGAGAGACACAGATGGTGAGGAATTGTGTCCTCTGGCCAATGGCCATCTGAGTGAGCTTGAAAGCAAAGCCTTCAGACCAGTCAAGCCTTCAGATACCTGCAGGCCTGGCCAACAGCTTGAGAGACTCTGTGCCACAATCACTCAGCTAAGCTGTTTCAGCATTCATGATCCTCAGAAACTATGCAAAAAAATAAACGTCCTTTGTTTTAAACTGCTAGGATTTGGGATAATTTGTTACATAGAAATTGACAGCTAATACAGATTTTGGAACCAAGATAAAACCCTAATTTTGAAAATTGTTTCTTAACAAGAAGTAAGGAGTGTACTATTGGGAACTGGAGAAGGAGAATCCTTGTTATGTAGTAACAGAAAGTTGCTTAGCTGTGATGTGGAAAGTTAAAAAATAAGTGCCTAACAAACTGGGTGATCTAACAAAGGAGACTTCCAAATAAAATGTTGAAGGTGCCTTCTAATTTCTTCTTGCTCTTATAGTAAGTTGAGGGAGAAAAGTTATGAACTAAAGGAAGAACTGTTAAAGACTAATGAGCTGGAACTTGATTTTGAAAAATCTCAGCTTCTCCAGATGGGAAATAATGCTAAAATTAAGAAATGGCTTCTGATAATACATCAAATATAAAGAACTTTTGGAAAAATGTGGTCTAAAGATGAAGCCAAGGGTGGGAGTTGCACAGTCATTTGTTGACTTCAGAATGATCTCAGGCCATACCCAAGAATACCGTTCCATTAGATAAAAGGCCCTTTCGGAGCTTGCAGTGAGCCGAGATTGCGCCACTACACTCCAGCCTGGGTGACAGAGCGAGACTTTGTCTCAAAAAAAAAACAAAACAAAACAAAAAAAAAACTCTCTAAATTAAATGTTGAGAGTGTGATTCAAATCCAAATATTTATAACTTTTTTACATATATATATATATAACTTCTAAGAAACTTAAGGGCACTTAAGTTTCTTAGAGGTTCAACAGAAGCACAAAATAGAAATGAGATTATCTCAGAGATTTGTAGATGTGGATTTTTTCCATTCTAGTGGACCCTAAAAAGATTCACAGTGAACCCACAAAGTTTTAAAAATAATTGTATCAGCAAAAACACTTCCAGAGACAGTACAAGAGGAAAAAAGAGGCTATTAGACTCCCAAAACTTTACTGGCAGGAAGCAAGCTGAGGAAACTACTCAGCTGTAAACACATGCAATCTTTTTTGAAAAAGGAAAGCTGATTTGGAGGATAGAATTAATAGCCCAGAGGGTGGAGCCAAGAACCATGGGCAGGAATAGCACTGAGTTTTAATCAAGGACCTTCCAATATTTTTCCACCTTAATTTCAAAACTAATAAGGACGAGTGCCTCTCATTTTCTCTCTTTGATTATACATGTCCAGAGCAGGTATCCTATGCCTATTTTACCACTGTATGTTGGGCGTGTTTGGTGCAGATAACCATATCTCTTTAGTCCACAGGTATTTTAAATCACTTTGGTAACATCTCATAGGTAATAGATGAGTAGGAAGTAATGATTAATGTAGAAATACTTGTTTGGAAGCAGTTGCAGAAATCTAAATAAAGGCTGGGAATGGCAGCTCACACCTGTAATCCCAGCACTGTGAAAGGCTGAGGCAGGAGGATCACTTGAGGCCAGGGGTTCAAGACCAGCCTGGGCAACATAGCAAGACCACGTCTCTACAAAAAAAATGTTTTTAAAAATAGTGGGACTTGATGGTGCACATTGTATTCTTATCCACTTGGGAGGCTGTGGCAGAAGAATTGCTTAAGCCTAGGAGTCTGAGGTTACAGTGAGCTGTCATCATGCCACTGCACTCCAGTCTCAGTGGCAGAGTGAGACCCTGTCTCTAAAAAATTAAATTAAAAAAAGAAATCCAAGTAAGAAATGATAAGGATATGAACCAAGCCAGTGACTATGAGGTTGGAGAAAAAAGATTTGACAGACATTAAGAAGGCAGAATGTAAAGGACTTGATGTGGAGTGAACCTCATATTTTTGACTAGAATATCTAGGCCAATAATGGTGGCATATACTGACATAGAAATAAATGAATATATGAATATTTAAATAATACAATAAATGTAGAGACTCTAGTACAATTTTGTACACATAGATATCCAAAAAGGTAGTTCTTATTGTTATTCTCTTAGTCTGTGTCCTAAGTAACTACCTTTCCCCAAATCTGATTTAATTATGTCATTGATAACTTTGTTGTCATCAAATAAAATGAAACCCTTGTGGAGGTGCTGGTGGTCATAATGGTTACTTTTGAGTCAGTGGAAGGCTAATATAGGAAGAGTTTGTACATCTTCAAAAGAACTGTGTAGCCAGATTTTAGGAGAAACGCCCTTGATTCCCATCTGATGGTGTTCACACCCTTTATCATCTTCTCTTGAGTGCAGGCAGGAACTGTGATGTATTTATGACCAATAAAATATGGAAAAGGTAAAGGGATGTCACTCCCATAATTAGGTTACCTTATATGACAAAGGTAATGAGACATCACTCCTGTGGTTGTGTCACATTGTAAACACTGTATTAGCAGACTGGAATTAGAGAGGATTTCTCTCCCTTGCTGGTTTTGAACAAATCAGCTACCATATTTTGAGGTAGCTTATGAAGAGGGCCATGTGGAAAATAACTGTGGGCAGGCTTCAGAAACTAAGACCAGTCACCAGCCAATATCCAGCAAGAAAACAAGGACCTTAGTCCTAGAACTGCAAGGAAATGAATTCTGTCAACAACCTGAGAGAAACTGTAACTGGATATTTCCCCAGTTAAGCCTGTGAGGCAACTGCAGTCCATGCCAACACCTAGATTTCAGCTTGGTAAGACCCTGAAGCAGAGAACTCAACTAACTTGTGCCTGGGTTTTCCCCTAAAATCGAAAGATAATAAATGTGTGTTACAGAGAAGTTAAAAAAAATGCAAGAACCATAGACAGAAACTACAGAAAAACAAATTTTGATGATGTATAAGAAGGACATTCCACTAAACAGAGCTACCTAAAACTAAAACAAACTTCAAGAGGGAGCACTAAATTGATCATTGCTTAAAGTTGTTAGTACATTAGCTAAGTTATAGGAGATGGGATTGATTATCCTCACAGAGTTCCTTCCATATTACTTTTAAAATTTTTAACTTTCAAATTTTTGTTTTAAATTGATGGATAATATTATATATTTATGAAGTACAATGTGATGTTTTAATATATGTTCATATTATGGCATGATTAACTCAAACTAAGTTACAGATTCATCATCATCTCACATACTTTTTTTGTGGTAAAAATATTTAAAACCTGCTCTTTTAATAATTTTGAAATAAACAATGCTTTATTGTTTATTATAGTCACCACTCTGTGCAACAGATCACTAAAGCTCCTTCCTCTCATCTAACTGAAATTTTATACCCTTTGATCAACATCTCCCTTTCCCCATCCATCCCCCTCTCCCAGCTTCTGATAACTACCATTCTACTCTACTTCTACAAGTTCAACACTTTTTAAGATTCCATGTATATTATATAATTTTAAATGCTTATCGCCATTGACCTGGGACAGTAAATCAGTGGATAAATACAAACAACCCTGTTTACACAACCAAAATTGCTATCAAAATTTCATATTCTCTACCAGCAGAAGATTATTCAACTAGGCCACTTGCTTTTAAAGTCCAAAGAAAGACACAAAGACATATACATTATTTACATATTATTTTTTTAAAGCGCAAGATAGTAGTATTTTGGTTAAAAAATTGTATTAATATGACTGTGCTTTAAACAATTCTAAGAAATCTTTCAAAAACAATGCACCCATGTAGCCTGATTCTAGTGCCAGTTGGAGGTAGATCATTTAAAAATTATCAAATGAAAAGGTAAGTCAGATAAAAAGCAAAAAAAAAAAAAAAAAGCAGGGGTTGGCCGGGCATGGTAGATCACACCTGTAATCCCAGCACTTTGGGAGGCCGAGGTGGGTGGATCACAAGGTCTGGAGTTCAAGACCAGCCTGGCCTACATGGTGAAACCCCATCTCTACTAAAAATACAAAAATTAGTCAGGCGTGGTAGCAGGCACCTGTAATCCCAGCTACTCGGGAGGCTGAGGCAGGAGAATCGCTTGAATCCAAGAGGCAGAGATTGCAGTGAGCCGAGATTGTGCCACTGCACTTCAGCCTGGACAACAGAGGAAGATTCCGTCAAAAAAAAAAAAAAAAAAAAAAAAAGCAGGGGTTGCAATCCTAGTCTCTGACAAAACAGACTTTAAACCAGCAAAGATCAAAAAAGGCAAAGAAAGGCATTACATAATGGTGAAGGGAACAATTCAATAGGAAGAGCTATTTTAAATATATATGTACCCAATACAGGAGCACCCAGATTCATAAAACAAGTTCTTAGAGACCTAAAAAGAGACTTAGACTCCCAAACAGTAATAGTGGGAGACTTTAACACCCCAATGTCAGTATTACACAGATCAATGAGACAGAAAATTAACAAGGATATTCAGGGCTTGAACTAAGCTCTAGATCAAGCAGACTTAGTAGACGTTTACAGAACTCTCTACCCCAAGTCAACAGAATATTCATTCTTCTCAGTGTCACTTGGCACTTATTCTAAAATCGACTACATAATTGGAAGTAGAACACTCCTCAGCAAATGCAATAGAACTGAAATCATAACAAACAGTCTCACAGACCACAGTGTAATCAAATTAGAAATTGGGATTAAGAAACTCAAAACCACATGATTTCATGAAAATTGAACAACTTGCTCCTGAATGACTCCTGGGTAAATAATGAAATTAAGGCAGAAATCAAGAAGTTATTTGAAACCAATGAGAACAAAGAGACAACGTACCAGAATCTTTGGGACACAGCTAAAGCAGTGTTTAGAGGGAGATTTATAGCACTAAATGTCCATATCAGAAAGCTAAAAAGATCTAAAATTGACCTGCTAACATCACAATTAAAAGAGCTAGAAAGGCAAGAATAAACTAATCCAAAAGCTAGCAGAAGACAAGAAATAACTAAGATCAGGGAAGAACTGAAGAAGATAGGGACATGAAAAACCTTACAAAAAATCAACAAATCCAGGAGCTGTTTTTTTTTTTTTAAATAACAAAACAAATAGACCACTAGCTAGACTAATAAAGAAGAGAGAGAAGAATCAAATAGACACAGTAAAAAATGATAAAGGGGATATCACCAATGACCCCACAGAAATGCAAACTACCATCAGAGAATACTATAAACACCTCTATGCAAATAAATTAGAAAATCTAGAAGAAAGGGATAAATTCCTGGATGCATACACCCTACCAAGACTAAACCAGGAAGAATTTGAATCCCCGAATAGCCCAATAGCAAGCTCTGAAATTGATGCAGTAATTAATAGCCTACCAACCAAAAAAAGCCCAGGACCAGATGGATTCACAGCTGCCAGAAATACAAAGAAGAGCTGGTACCATTCCTTCTGAAACTATTCCAAACAATTAAAAAGGAGGGATTCCTCCCTAACTCATTTATGAAGCCAGCATCATCCTGATACCAACACCAGGAAGAGACACAACAAAAAAAATTTCAGGCTAATATCTCTGATGAACATTGATGCAAAAATCCTCAATAAAATACTGGCAAACCAAATGCAGCAGCACATCAAAAAAGATGTCCACCATGACCAAGTTGGCTTCATCACTGGGAAGCAAGGTTGGTTCAACATATGCAAATCAATAAACGTAATTCATCACATAAACAGAACGAAAGACAAAAGGCACATGATTATCTCAATAGACACAGAAAAGACCTTTGATAAAACCCAACATCCCTTCATGTTAAAAATTCTCAATACCTAGGTAATGATGGAACATATCTCAAAATAATAAGAGCTGTTTATGACAAACCATAGCCAATATCCTATTGAATGGGCAAAAGCTGGAAGCATTCCCTTTGAAAACTGGTACAAGATAAGGATGCCCTCTCTTACCACTCCTATTCAACACAGTATTGGAAGTTATGGCCAGGGCAATAAGGCAAGAGAAAGGAATAAAGGGTATTAAAATAGGAAGAGAGGAACTCAAGTTGTCTCAAGTGTCCAGACAACATAATTTTTATATAGAAAACCCCATCATCTCAGCCCAAAAACTTCTTGAACTGCTAAGCAACTTCAGCAGTCTCAGTATACAAAATCAATGTGCAAAAATCACAAGCATTCCTTTACACCAACAATAGGTAAGCAGCGAGCCAAATCATGAATGAACTCCCATTCACAATTGCTACAAAGATAATACAATACCTAGAAATACAGCTAACAAGGGATATGAAGGACCTTTTCAAGGAGAACTACAAACCACTGCTCAGGGAAATAAGAGGACACAAACAAATGGAAAAACATTCCATCTTCCTGAATAGGAAGAATCAATATTGTGAAAATGGCCACACTGCCCAAAGTAATTTATAGATTAAATGCTATTCCCATCAAACTACCATTGACATTCTTCACAGAATTAGAAAAAAAAAAAACACTTATTTTATTTTTTTAAAATAATGAATTTAAAATAAATTAAATTTAAAATTTATTTTAAATTGTATATGGTATCAAAGAACTATCAAAGGAGACCCATAGGCTGGGCACGGTGGATCGCGCCTGTAATCCCAGCACTTTGGGAGGCCGAGGTGGGCGGATCACAAGGTCAGGAGATCAAGACCATCCTGGCTAACACAGTGAAACCCTGTCTCTACTAAGAAAAAAAAAAAAAAAAAATTAGCCAGGCTTGGTGGTGGGCGCCTGTAGTCCCAGCTACTCGGCAGGCTGAGGCAGGAGAATGGCGTGAACCTGGGAGGTGGAGCTTTCAGTGAGCCAAGATCACACCACTGCATTCCAGCCTGGGTGACAGAGCAAGACTCCATCTCAAAAAAATAATAATAATAAAAATAAAAAAATAAAAATAAAAATAAAGGAGAGCCGTATAGCCAAGACAATCTTATGCAAAAACAACAAAGCTGGAGGCATCACACTATCTGACTTCAAACTATACTACAAGGCTACAGTAACCAAAACAGCATGGTATTGGTACCAAAACAGACATATAGAGCAGTGAAACAGAACAGAGACCTCAGAAATAACATCACACATCTACAACCATCTGATCTTTGACAAACCTGACAAAAACAAGCAATGGGGAAAAGATCTCCTATTCAGTAAATGGTGCTGGCAAAACTGGCTAGCCATAGGTAGAAAACTGAAACTGGACTCCTTTCTTATACCTTATACAAAAATTAACTCCAGATGGATTAAAGACTTAAATGTAAAACCCAAAACCATAAGAACCCTAGAAGAAAACCTAGGCAGTAGCATTCAGGACACATGCATGGGCAAAGACTTCATGACTAAAATGCAAAAAGCAATTGCAACAGAAGCCACAATTGACAAATGGGATTTAATTAAACTAAAGGGCTTCTGCATAGCAAAATAAACTATCATCAGAGTGAACAGGCAGCCTACAGAATGGGAGAAAATTTTTCCAATCTACCCATCTGACAAAAGTCTAATATCCAGAATTTACAAGGAAGTTAAACATATTTACAAGAAAAAAACAGACAAGTCCATCAAAAAGTGGGCAAAGGATATGAACAGTCATTTCTCAAAAGAAGACATTTACACAGCTGACAAACATATGAAAAAAAGCTCAACATCACTGATCATCAAAGAAATGCAAATAAAAACCACAATGAGATACCATCTCATGCCAGTCAGAATGGCGATTTTCAAAAAATCAGTAAACAATAGATGCTGGTGAGGCTGTGGAGAAATAGGAATGCTTTTACACTGTTGGTGGGAATGTAAATTAGTTCAACCGTTGTGGAAGATAGCATGTCGATTCCTCAAAGATCTAGAAACCAGAAATACCATTTGACCAAGCAATCCTATTACTGGGTATATACCCAGAGGAACATAAAGACACATGCACACATATGTTTATTGCAGCACTATTTACAATAGCAAAGACACGGAACCAACCCAAACACCCATCAATGATAGACTGGATAAAGAAAATGTGGTACATATATACCATGGAATAGTATGCAACCACAGAAAGGAAAGAGATCGTGTGCTTTGCAGGGACATGGATGAAGCTGGAAGCCATCATCCTCAGCAAACTAACACAGGAACAGAAAACCAAACACCACATGTTCTCACTCATAAGTGGGAGTTGAACATTGAGAACACATGGATACAGAGGAGGAACAACACACACCAGGGCCTGTGGTGGGGTTGGGGGTGAGGTGAGGGAACTTAGGGGACAGGTCAATAGGTGCAGCAAACCATCATGGCACTCATATACCTATGTAACAAACCTGCATGTTCTGCACGTGTCTCATTTTTTTTGTTTGTTTGTTTCTTTAGAAGAAATAAAGGAAAAAAAAGAATATTGTTTAACAATACAAAGGAATGAATTACTAATACATGCTATAATGTGGATAAATCTCAAAAACATTATGCTAAGTGAAAGAAGCCAGATTCAAAAGGCCACAGACTGTATGAATTCATTTATATGAAATGTCTAGAAATGCAACCCAATAGAAATAAAAAGTATATTAGTGGTTATCTGGGGCTGGGTGTGGGAATGGGAGTGACACAAGGGATGGGCACAAGGGACATTTTCGGGTGATGAAAATGTTCTTAAATTGGATTGTAGTGGTAGTTGCACAATTCTGTAAATTTACTAAAAATCATTAAACTGTGTATTAGTTCGTTTTCACGCTGTTGATAAAGAAATACCTGAAACTGGGAATATAAACAGGTTTAATTGGACTTACAGTTCCACATGGCTGGGGAGGCCTCAGAATCATGGCAGGATGTGAAAGGCACTTCTTACATGGTGGCAGCAAGAGAAAAATGAAGAAGCAGCAAAAGAAGAAACCCCTGATAAACCCATCAGATCTCGTGAGACTTATTCACTGAGACTTATCATGAGAATAGTACAGGAAAGACTGGCCCCCATGATTTTATAATCTCCCCATGGGTCCCTCCCACAATACATGAGAATTCTGGGAGATAACATTCAAGCTGAGATTTAGTGGGGACACAGCCAAACCATATCATTCCACCCCTTGCGCCTCCAAGTCTCATATCCTCACATTTCAAAACCAACCATGCCTTCCCAATAGTCTCCCAGAGTCTTAACTCATTTCAGCATTAACCCAAAAGTCCACAGTCCAAAGTCTCATCTGAGACAAGGCAAGTCCCTGCGCTTATGAGCCTGTAAAATCAAAAGCAAGTTAGTTACTTCCTAGATACAATGGGGGTACAGGTATTGGGTAAACACAGCCGTTTCAAATGGGAGAAATTGGCCAAAACAAAGGGGCTACAGGGGGCATGCAAGTCCAAAGTCCAGCAGGACAGTCAAACTTTAAAGCTCCAAAATGATCTTCTTTAACTCCAGGCCTCACATCCAGGTTACACTGATGCAAGAGGTGGGTTCCCATGGTCTTGGGCAGCTCCACCCTGTGGCTTTGGAGGGTACAGCCTCCCTCTCGGCTGCTTTCACAGGCTGGTGTTGAGTGTCTGCGGCTTTTCCAGGTGCATGATCCAAGCTGTCAGTGGAACTACCATTCTGGGGTCTGGAGGACAGTGGCCCTCTTCTCACAGCTCCACCTGGCAGCACTCCATTAGGGACTCTGTGTGGGGCCTCTAACCCCACATTTCCCTTCTGCACTGCCCTAGCAGAGGTTCTCCATGAGGGCCCTGCACCTGCAGCAAACTTTTGCCTGGGCATCCAGGAGTTTCCATATATCTTCTGAAATATAGGCGGAGGTTCCCAAACCTCAATTCTTGACTTCTGTGCACCTGCAGGCTCAACACCACATGGAAGCTACTGAGACTTGGGGCTTCCACCCTCTGAAGTCACATCCTGAGCTGTACATTGGCCCCTTTCAGCCACAGCTGGAGCAGTTGGGACCCACGGCACCAAGTCCCTCGGCTGCACACAGCATGAGGACCCTGGGCCCAGCCCACGAAACTGCTTTTTCCTCCTGGGCCTCTGGGCCTGTGATGGGAGGGGCTGCTGTGAAGGTCTCTGACATGGCTTGGAGACATTTTCCCCATGGTCTTGGGGATTAACATTAGGCTCCTTGCTCCTTACTTATGCAAATTTCTGCAGTTGGCTTGAATTTCTCCCCAGAAAATTGGTTTTTCTTTTCTGTTGCATAGTCAGGCTGCAAATTTTCTGAACTTTTATGCTCTGTTTCCCTTTTAAAACTGAATGCCTTTAACAGTACCCAAGTCACCTCTTGAATGCTTTGCTGTTTAGAAATTTCTTCCGCCAGGTAACCTAAATCATCTCTCTCAAGTTCAAAGTTCCACAAATCTCTAGGACAGGGGCAAAATGCCACCAGTCTCTTTGCTAAAACATAACAAGAGTCACCTTTGCTCCAGTTCCCTACAAGTTCCTCATCTCCATCTGAGACCACCTCAGCCTGGTTTTATTGTCTATGTCGCTATCAGCATTTTGGGCAAAGCCATTCAACAAGTCTCTAGGTAAAGTTCCAAACTTTTCCACACTTCCCTGTCTTCTTCTGAGCTCTTCAAACTGTTCCAATCTCTGCCTGTTACCCAGTTCCAAAGTTGCTTCCACACTTTTGGGTATCTTTTCAGCAATGCCCCACTCTACTGGTACCAATTTACTATATTAGTTCATTTTCTTGCTGCTGATAAATACCCCAAACTGGGAACATAAGTAAGTTTAATTGGAGTTACAGTTCCACATGGCTGAGAAGGCCTCAGAATCATGGTGGGAAGTGAAAGGTGCTTCTTATATGGTGGTGGCAAGAGAAAAATGAAGAAGAGACAAAAGTGGAAACCCCTGATAAACCCATCAGATCTCATGAGATTTACTCACTATCGAGAATAGCATGGGAAAGACTGGCCCCCATGATTCAATTACCTCCCCCTGGGTCCCTCCCACAACACGTGGGAATTCTGGGAGATACAATTCAAGTTGAGATTTAGTGGGGCACAGCCAAACCATACAAAACTGTAAACTTAAAATAGGTTAATTTTATAGTATGTAAGTTACACCTCAATAAAACTAGTCTTAAAAATGTTCCCTTTTAAAATACTATGTATTACTAGGCTATAATTTTATTTGAAAGTAGGGATATACAGATAGTCTCAGGAGCTCTTGCCCCATAGGTGGAGTGTCAAACCTCATGACTCCAGGTGTCCATAATTTCAACTGGTAATAAGAAGAAATAGACTATTTCTTGTTTCTGGAGAAGGTGTTTATAAGCAAATTCACTATGTGCACCAAATAACAAGGGTAGGGTTAGAATATTTACAAAGAATAGACTTTTAAATTCCTATGTGATTTAGAAGCACTAATTTTAATACAAGGATCTAGCGGTATAAAATATTCTTATATATTAAAACAGATCCTTTAACATCTCTGCAACATAATCTTCTGATAGCATCATTTGAGTTCTGCACTTAAACATTTTAAGTAACACCTAATTCAGACATCTCATTAAATCAGAAGCATCTTTTCCACTTTCGCCCTAGTTTGTTTAAAGGAGAGCCATTCATAGCATATTTCTACAATTATTAATTATACTTTGACCAAGAATATGTATACACATATTATGCAAATACATATTTTAAGGAACAGAGGCTATCGAAGTAGTTAAAAATGCATATTTGATTTTTGGTGACCAGTGACACATTTTGTCCCTAACATTGCAATCAGGTACCTGGAATGTGATGGGCCTCTTTCCTGGGAAGTTTGGGAGGACAGACTTCCATCAAAGGAGTTTCCTCGGTGACAGCCTGAAATGGTGGCCTTGGGTGAGATGGAATCAGACTGGAATGTTTCACAAACCACCTGGAGTCCCTTTTGGAGGCAGAGATAGCAGATTAGGTTTTGTTTTTTGTTTTTTGTTTTCCCCTGTAGCTATATCATCTAGAATTAGCTACCATATTACAACATGGTTCCATATATGGGCTTTTTTTCACTATAGTTAATTATGATATTATGGGCCAAGGGATTTTGACTTCATCTCAGGGAGAATAGAAACAGATTTCTAGGGATCACCTGTGTCATTTCAAGCATCAGGCAAAGTAATTTCATATATTTTATTTCATTTTATTCTTAATTATTTTCTTTTTCATCTCCATACCCAGTATCTATAGGAGAGTTACACATCAAGAATTCATCATACAGAGGTGAACTGAATAGAAGCATGAGGCTAAAATAGAAGCACCAGGTTAGTAGTACCTAATCAGATTGAAGCCAGAACATGAGAACAGAAGTACAAGGTTAACTTTTCCTTCATTCATCAGTGGAGAGATGCAATACACTTTTCTAATCGGACACAATGACCTTTATTCTGATTTATAAGTACACATTCAGCAGTTCTGTTACCAGGTAGCTTATTTTAATTACATTTAGCTGATAAATGTAATTCTGCCCAGGTGATGTGAGATATTTTTCCATAGGCATTATAGGTGAAATTCTTTACTAAAGTATAAAGACCCTCAACAATCTATCTGGAAGGTTAGCCCTTACGATTTTAATTTTTACACACAAAATAAGGCATTATTCAATCATGATGGACAGAGAGATAAATACAGCTAGAAATTTCATGAATTAAGTCTTCTGAAGTTGACCATAAAATTCTTTAGCATAATGTTAGGTGATTTAGAGATTTAAAAAATTAGATGAATCTGACCCTTAAACTCATGAGCTTACAGTTATGTCTCAAGACAGGTAAGTATAGGTCAGAGAAGCGTGTCCAATAGAAAGATAATGCAAGCCACAAACAGCCACATATCTGATTTTAAATTTTGTAGAGGCCACATTAAAAATAGTGAAAAGGAACAGGTGAAATTGTTTTTAATAATATATTCTTTTTAACCCCTAATTATCATTTCAACATAGAATCAATATAAAAAGTATTAAGATGGAACCGGGCGCGGTGGCTCATGCCTGTAATCCTAGCACTTTGGGAGGCAGAGGTGGGCGGATCACGAGGTCAGGAGATCGAGACCATCCGGGCTAACATGGTAAAACCCCATCTCTACTAAAAATACAAAAAATTAGCTGGGCGCGGTGGTGGGCGCCTGTAGTCCCAGCTACTCGGGAGGCTGAGGCAGAAGAATGGCATGAACCCGGGAGGCGGAGCTTTCAGTGAGCCAAGATCGCGCCACTGCACTCCAGCCTGGGCAACAGAGTGAGACTCCGTCTCAAAAACAAAGCAAAACAAAACAAAACAAAAAAGTATTAAGATGTTTACTTTTTTCTTCTTTCTTTTAAGACAGGGTCTCGCTTACCCAGTCTGGAGTGCAGTGGTGTGATCTTGAATCATTGCAACCTCCATGTCCCAGGTTCAGGTGATCCTCTCCACTTAGCCTCCCAAATAGCTGGGACTAAAGGCATGTGCCACTATGTCCCGCTCATTTTTCTATTTTTAGTAGAAGCAGAGTTTTGCCATATTGCCCAGGCTGGTCTCAAACTCCTGGGCTCAAGTGATCTGCCTGCCTAAGCCTCCTAAAGTGCTGGAATTACAGGTATGAGCCACCATGCCAAGTCTACATTCTATTTTATACTATATTTTCAAAATCTGATGTACATTTTACAGTGTCAATTCAGACTAGCTGTATTTCAAGTGTTCAATAGCCACATGGGCCTAGAGGCTATCATATTGGACAGTGCAGGCTTAGACTAATAAGACAAGAGTTTAGGGGGAATTGGGAATTGAGATCTTTTTTTTTTTTTTTTTTTTTTTTTTTTTGAGACGGAGTCTCACTCTGTCGCCCAGGCTGGAGTGCAGTGGCACGATCTCAGCTCACTGCAAGCTCCACCTCCCAGGTTCACGCCATTCTCCTGCCTCAGCCTCCTGAGTAGCTGGGACACAGGTGTCCACCACCACACCCAGCTAATTTTTTTGTATTCTTAGTAGAGACAGGGTTTCACCGTGTTAGCCAGGATGGTCTTGATCTCCTGACCTTGTGATCTGCCCGCCTCAGCCTGAATTGAGATCTTAATTGGTCCTTAAAAGGATAAAATTTAGACGAAGGAAAGAGAAGATTCCAGTTAGAGGAAACAATTTGAGCAAGGATTTGGAGGCTAAAATGAGCAGGCACTATAAGTTAGAGATAATAGATAACTGACTGAAGGGATAATCAGAGACAGGGTCACTTAACAAAGGTGGTGCCAAGTGGTGGGAGGCACAAAAAAAACAGGGAGAGGAATTTGGTCTTGCAGCGACAGTCAATAGGATCCACTATAGGTTCCTAAGGAGAAAGCGACATGACAAAAGATGGCATTTGCATAAAATGCCTTATGTGGAATGGTGAGTTAATAAATAAATGATGTATTAGGAAAATTAGTCAGGAATTATTAGTGGTATTTATGCAAAGAAGAAAAGTCTAGAAGTATAAAACTCAATTAGGTAGGTTCAGCTGCAATTTAGTCATGAGGGCCTGGATTTAGAGGATAGTAGTGGTCATAAACAATAAAGAAAACATCTGAGCAACATAACGAAAAGAAGACAATATGACTTAGCAGGAAATCAAATCGAGAGGATTAAGTATAACATAATATGAGATGTATGTATTTCATTGTATCTAAGATGTCATCATTTAGAAGACATACCATTATTTTACGTAACATTAAGAAAAAAATACCCTGTTAATTAAACTAGGACATGTTACTTGTATCATTGAGGATTTTTTATTTTATACTAGTTGAAAGAGCTATTTTACATTTATTTAGGCACAGCTTTTTAATTATATTTCCATCCTGTGTCTATGTAAGAGGAAAGTATAAGTGAAATAAATTGGTGTAGGTATTCCTAAAACTCCTTCACATTTAAAATTTTCAACCCAGAATTGTTAATACTTGAGTTTTTCCAAAGAATAACCTCCTCTGTATCAAGAGTGTTATCTCTTAAAATACTGCTCCACTATTCCCTCTGACATATGCTTATAATCCACTGACCCTGATGATGCAAATTTAGATGCTGGAAATGACCAAATTCATGCTGCACAAGAATTACAACCATATCAAGACAGCTACCAGTAGGGAGATCATAAGGGGCCAAAGATTGTCAAGCATACTCAATTTCAAAGATGTTAAATGTGAAAAATATATACATCTTACAGCATACAAATCACAGCGTCTGTACTTAGTAATTGCTCACTAAATGGTAGATGTAATAGGACTCCAAAATTTCCAGGTTGGAGGGTAAAAAGGGTGATAATCTTCCTGAGTAATAACAGTTGGAAAGAGGATCCAATTTTGACGGAAGGCAGCAAGTTTCACTTTGCACGTGTTGAATTGAAAGTGAAAGCAGGTCATTTAATGCCATAAGTTAATGGTAGTATCGATTTCTATGTAGCTTTCAATTACTCCGGACTTCATTCCTTTCTTTTCTTGATCAAACATGACAAATTTGCACTGAATTACATTCTGCATCTTATATCATATTTTGCATCTTCCGTTTTATGTGGGTTAGTCTTGACCCCTCATTAAACTTTAGATTCCTTAAGGGGTAGGACTATCTTATAACTCCTTCCAACTCCCTCTTTCTGACCTCCGGCAGCATTATTCTACCTACATTAGAGTTACTTAACAAGCATTAGGGGATGCAATAATTGAGAACAAGGTGATATGTTATTTAATCTGGGATGTAATGATAACTAACACTTATTGAGTGTTACATGTTAGCCATTGAGATAAAGCACAACTCATTACACACTAACCACCGAGATAAAATACTAGTCGTATATGGTCTTATTTCCACACCTGCACGCTTTGGGGAGATACAGAAAATTAATTTTCATACGACTGATAAAAAACCTGAAGCTGTTAAAAGTTGCACATTCAGAAAGGAGGAGTGGCTTTGAGCCTGGTAGTGATTCTAGAACTCATGTCTTTCCCTTCACACTACACTATGTCCAAGGACTTTCTGCCTCCCTTCTTCTTATGATTATAATAAACTAACCTCTAAGTGTCTTGCATCTTGATTTGGTGATTCACAGGTCCGGCTTTGACTGTTGATAGGAGAACTTCTCTTAGCTGAAAAGACGGAAGAAGTTCCATCGTTTTGTAAGGTTTTAAGTTCTTTTTATTTCATAAGTTCATTTCATTTTCAAATAGAAAAGCTATTTTAATAGAACATTATTACTTTAAAAGAAGACATTAACGCATATTGTAAGAGATATTCAAATAACCAATTCAAAAATCTTAGCATTTTTTTGGTTATTGATGTAGATATTCATCTCTTCAGTCTGACTCAGTAAGTTAAGGTGCTAAAAAGTTGGCAATACTGAAAATAACAATAATAGTTAACACCTACTCAGCACCTAATATATGCAAAGTTCCTAAGCATTTTACATATACAGTCATGCATCACTTAAGGACAAAGATACGTTCTGAGAAATGTGTTGTTAGGCAAATTCATCATTGTGCAAACATCATAGAGTTTACTTACACAAACCTAGATGGTATGGCCACCTACACATCTAGGCTATATGACATAGCCTAGTGCTTCTAGGCTACAAACCTGTACAGTATGTTACTGTATTGAATCCTGTAGGCATTTATAACACAATGGTATTTGTGTATCTAAACATAGAAAATATCAGTAAAAATACAGTATAAAAGATAACAAATTATACACCTATATAGAGCACTTACCATGAATGGAGCTTGCAGGAATGGGTGTTGCTCTGGGTGAGTCAGTGAGTGAGTAGTGAGTGAATATGAAGGCAATGCTAAATTTATCTTTAAAAAGCTTTTATTCTTTAATAATAAATTAACTTTAGCTTACTATAACTTTACTTTATAAACTTTTTAGTTTTTTAAACTTTTTGACTCTTTTGTAATAGGCTTAGCTTAAAACAAATACATAATACAGCTGCACAAAAATATGTGATTTCTTTATAACTTTATTCTATAAGCTTTTTAATATAGTCATATATTTATAAATTTATATATTTATTTTACTTTTATTTGTATATTTTTTATATTTTATACTTTTAATATATTTTATAGTATATATTATTATATATACTAGTATGTAGTATGTATAGTATGTATTAAAAAGTATAAAAGTATATTTTATGCTTTTTATATACTTATAAACGTATGTACTTATTTTATACTTTTTTTTAAAACTTTTTTTTTTTTTGAGATGGAGTTTTGCTCTTGTTGCCCAGGCTGGAGTGCAATGGTGCGATCTCTGCTCACCGCAACCTCCACCTCCCAGGTTCAAGCGATTCTCTTGCCTCAGCCTTCCCAAGTAGCTGGGATTATAGGCATGCGCTACCAAGCCCAGCTAATTTTGTATTTTTAATAGAGATGGGGTTTCTCCGTGTGGGTCAGGCTGGTCTCTAACTCCTGACCTCAGGTGATCCGCCCACCTCGGCCTCCCAAAATGCTGGGATTACAGGCGTGAGCCACCGCGCCCGGCCAACTTTTTTGTTTTAAAACAAGTGCAGCTACTGCTTACTCATTATGTGCCAGGCATTCCTATTTTTGGTTAAAAACAAGACACAAACACACACATTAGCCTAGGCCTACCCGGCATCAAGATCATCTGTATCACTGTCTTCCACCTTCATGTCTTGTCCCAAAGGAAGGTCTTCAGGGGCAATAACACACATGGAATTGTCATCTTTTATGATAACAATGCCTTCTTCTGGAACATCTCCTAAAATACCTGCCTAAGATTGTTTTACAGTTAACTTTTTAAAAATAATAAAAATAGGTAGTAGGAGTAGAAGAAATATATTCTAAAATAACAATGAAAAGTATGGTATAGTAAATACATAAACCAGTTATATACTTGTTGGTTATTATTATAAAGTATTATGTGCGTATATAATTGTATGGGCTATACTTTTATAAAACAGGCAGCGCGGTAGGTTTGTTTAAACCAGCATCACCACAAACACATGAGTAATGCCTTGCACTATGTTACCATGGCTACGAGACCAC
The DNA here is from genome assembly GCF_000001405.40 of Homo sapiens. Lineage (NCBI taxonomy): Eukaryota > Metazoa > Chordata > Mammalia > Primates > Hominidae > Homo > Homo sapiens. The sequence goes on along the minus strand of NC_000002.12, from coordinate 209,787,608 downwards.
TAGGTGACAGGAGTTTTTCAGCTCCATTATGATCTTATGGGACTACTGTTGTAAACACAGTCATTGACCAAAATGCTGTTATGTGGCGCAAAACTATAACTCATTTAACCCTTAAAATAACTCAATAATACTACCATATTATTATGCCAATTTTACAGGGTAAGAAACTAAGACACAGTGAGTTAAACTTGCCCAAGGTCACTTGACCCTTGCATGAAGGTTATAGCCCAGACTAACTTTAGAGTCTGTGCTTTAACTATTACATAAAGCTATCCTGGAGGTAAAATTCAAATCAGTTACATCTTTATCTGAGGACCAGGAACAGTGGGAAACTAAGATGGCAATGTCTCATTCAAATTGTGAGTAAACTGGTGCCGAGAAGGAAGGTGATTTATCAAGATCACCATGTGCCATTGCTTTTTCTTCTGGCCATGCTGTCTAAGCTGAGTCTGGTTTCTTAGTAGTTTTTATATATGTGTTAAATTATAGCTTATATGTTAATAAAAAAGATTGTCCATTGTCTGCACAAAACCCTTATGAATTAAGCAAATTATATATATGTGTGTGGTGTATTTTAAAAATATATAGGTATATATATATATATATATATATATATATATATATATATGCTTCTGTAGATTTTCCACATAATTTATTTCTTTTTAAATTTTATTATTAATACTAAAAATAGAGTTGGGAATAGAAGACTAGAATTTATTAAGCACTTACTATAAAGCAGGCACTTAATGCACTCTCATTTACTTCTTACTAAAAAGCCCTATAAGGTGGCATTATCACCTCAATTTTACATAAATGGAAATGCTTAGGAAAGTTAGGTTATATACATAGTAAGAGATAGATTTGGAGACTTGGAGGTAGACAGTGTGAGCCTGCTATGCACTTTTCAATCTATGATGTTGTGTTCTTTCTACAGTTGAACAGTGGGACTATTTCATTAGATAATTCCTGAAGAGAAATGCTTTGATAACAATACAACACTAAGATGATTTTGTTAAGGAGCCCCTGCTCCATTTACCATGATGATGATGATAACATAATAATAATAATAATCGCAGCTGCCACTTACTATGTGCCAGACATTCTTCTAAGCAGTTTTACATATATTAGCTCCATTCCTCATAACAATCTTGTAAGTAGTATTAATATGATATTTAAATTCCCAGTTTACAGATGAGGAAGCTGAGGCACAGGAAGTCTAAATGAATTGCCCAAAGTCCATGCTCTTGATTCAGAGTAGTTTCTCCTCATGTGAGTAAGCCCTATATCAGGACACTTAAATAACTACATGTAGATATTTGCTTCTTTTTGACTTCTTAGGGGCAAATTATCCCATCACTCTAACTACTGTGTGTGAGGGAATCTGCTAATACTGTCCTACTGAGTGTCCAAGTTACAAACCTGTAATGATGTTCCTGATGGGCTTCACCAGTGCGGTAAAGCCAGAGACTCCGGGCTGTCTGTGTTCCCACATGGGCTGCCATATAACAAGCCCACTGGCCAGACGGAAGGTGAGGTCAGATTCCTAGGGGGGAGGAGAAGATATATGTCCAATAACTGACATGTAACAGCTGCTTAAAGGGACCAATCAATGCAAGGATTAACATCACTCACAAGGTTATTTTCAGAGTGAATTTATCTGCCAAACCTTCTCTCATTAGTCAGATGAATGTTTCTAGAGTAAACCAATGACCCAAAGTTATCACTGCAATTACTATGAAAATCCCAGCTGTCTGCTTTATCCAAAATTAATGACCAATCAAAACATAGCTTTGGGCAAAGCATGGGATACACAAACTATTGTTTTGTGTTTGCAGTGATTGAAACTTGTTTATTTCAGGAGCCTTGGCAGATCTCTTCACTTTGGTTATTATTATCATTCCTCTTAATTTTTTAGTTGTCCTTATTCTCCCTCATAAGGCAAAATACTCAGATACTGGCTATTTTGACATTCTATTGTCCAGTCCATCTTTTTTCTTACATTTTATGGAATCAGGCACATATAATTTGACCCTTCATAGTGTATTATTTTGTAATGTTGTCTTCTTAACAACCTTTAATTTCTTGAGGGCAAGGATAAATCAAGCATCCTCCTTCCCTCTCAGCCCCGAGCATCATCACAATGTTTAACATAGCATTAGGAACTGGGTACACAACAGATACTCAATAAATACTTGCTGAATAGGGCTGACTTTACAACCCATGCTCACTCAGTTTATCTATGATTTAAAGTATCTTTCAAGAGCATATCCTCTGCTATCATATTGTATAAGTACAAATACATGACATTCTGAGATTATATCTTAAACACTTCAGTCTCTCAAAACAATGTAAAGATAGAAGCAGAGAATGTGATCACAGATTAACGAATACATCTGAGACCCAGGAACTCACTTAGAGCAGTGATTTGCAACCCCAGCTTGCATATTATAATCACCAGGGGAGCTTTTAAATCTAAGAGGCCCAGGTATCACTTACCTCTCCTACCCAGACCCATTAAATTAGAATCCTGAGAGATTTTCTAAAGATCCCCCTGATGACTCTCACACATAGCTGAGGTTGAAAACCATTGGGATGGAAGGAAAAGAACTCAGAAGCAACTGGAAAAATAGAAAAACAAAAGCAACTCTGTACCTAGTGAAAAGAAACCTAAAGGCTAGACTGGGATTCTGACACCACTTGGCAACAGAGCCACATGGTTCCCACAATGGGAAAGTCTTTAGAATTCCCTGTGGAAGTATTAGAAAAGCACATAAAGCATTTGGCTAAATTCATTCTGCATTTATTCTGTAAACATTTATAGAGCACCTACCATATACCCGGTACTATTCTAGGTTTTAAATACAACAGTGAACAAGGCATACAAAAATCTCTGTTCGTAGTGCAGAGAGGAAGTGAAGGGCTGTGTCAGACAAAGTGTTGTCATTTTAGACCAGAGGATCAGGTGAAGCCTTATTGAGAAAGTGACTTTTGAGTAAAGTTCTGAACAAAATGAAGGAGCTGTCATGTAGCTATCTCCAGGAAAAGTATTCCATGAAAGAGGATCAGCAAACACAAAGGCCCTAAGTGTGCCTAGTGTGTTCAGAAACAGCCAAGAGACTGTGTGCCCAGAGTCAAGTGAATGTGAGAAAAGCAGAAAAAAAAATAAAATTGGAGAAGTCATTGAGTGTCAAATAATATACTGCCTGATAGGTCTTGATAAGGACTTTAGCAATTATTAAGATGAGAAGCCACTGAAGGTTTCAAGTAGCAGAGTGACATGACTGGATATATATTTTAATAGGTTCACTCAGGCTGTTGAGAATAGTTTGAGAAAGGGCAACAGTGAAAGAATAGACTATTTTGGAAGCTATTGTTATATAGGTGAAAGATGATTAGATGGGGGTACTAATAGAGGGCAAAATGAGAAGTGGTAGATTCTCAATGCATTTTGAAGACACAGCTTACAGAAATTGCTAATAGTCTGGAAGTGGAGTGTGAGAGAAAAAGTTGTCAAGGATTTTTGGCTTCACGATTAAGAAAGATAGGTAAGATGAAGGAGGAGCAGGTTTGGGGATTTCAGAAGCCTAGTTTTAGACATGTTAAGTTTGAGATATCTGTTGAACATTAAGCTAGAGATACCGAGTAAGCACTTAGACAGACAGCTGTGGAGTTAAGAGAAGAGTAACCCAAATTCCCTTGAAATGGACACGAGGAGGTCTGCATGGTATTGTATGTAGAAGCAGGAAATTAACATTAAGCAAATCTTATCAGATTTGTCTCTACAAATACAGGAAGCCAAACCTCAATTGACCTGGTTTTATTGATTAGTTTCTGAGTTCAGTCCTTTTCCATGTTTCTCATGAGAAATCTTAACACAAGTAAAACTCCTGTGGAAACTGCAGCAGGGAGTGATCTCTCTTATACTGAAATCCTGGGCTTTAACATCTGATCTATTAGCATGACACAGCACTCACTGACTGTCATGGTCATCATTTTGTTTTACTAAATACATCTCCAAGTAGATTGTATATTTCTTGAATACAAGTTGAGATCTCCTTCTTCTGTGCATTTCCTGGAGCATCAGTACAATACCAAACTAATATGTTCATTAATTGAACATGTTTTACCTTCTCCAAATAAATCCAATCACTCTTCAGACCTGAATGCCTGTAGCACCTGTGGCCTTCTCTTGTGTTGGTATCTTCCTTTGTAAGTCTTCCTAACTTGGATAAATGTATAAACTCTGGGCCTCTAATGTCTCTTCCAGAGTTTCTTTTAATGGAACACACAATGCTATGTATACATACACAAGCAGAAACTCAATAACTGGAGAGGACACTCTTTATCATTCAAACAGTTGTAAAGCAGGTAGTCTAGAAGGATCCTGAGAAAACCAGAAGTGTAAGTACACGTAGAGGCAATATCCCCACATTTCAGATGCTTTTCTTGCTTTCACTGAGAATCTGTTTCCAGGATGTCATAAAGCAATTCTGAATGTATTTACTAGTAGCTTACAGAGATTTAAAGAAACAACTATTATTTTAAGTTCCATTTTAAAGTTGTTTACTTTACACATATGGATTGGTTAAAATCCCCTGAAGGGCTTGCTTTTTGTTTTATTTCTTGCTGTTTCTCCAGCACATTGAACAGTAGCTAGCATACAGCAGGCACTTGATAAGAATTTGTTGAAAAAAAAAAAATAAGTGAATGTGGCAAAATCATGACAATGTTGATACCATATTTAAAGAAGATGCCTTAGTTTAACAAATATTCGTCATTTTTCACTGATAAAATTAAATTTGGTCTAAAATTAATAATATATTAAACAGGATTTTCAGACTGAATTTTATATAAACTATTTGAGCTAATTATAAATTAAAAAATATAAAATATGCATTGAATAATACACTGTGTTACAAAAGGATGAGTCATTTATATTAGATTTATTTACAAATTAGTGAACTAATTTATTCACTTAATATTAATTAAATACCTATTAAACACAGATACTATGTTAGCTACCACGGGTACAATGATAATTCCTACAAACAGACCATTTAGAATCTAGTAGGGGAGAAAGCCACATAAAGGGATGATAATAAACAAAGTATAACAATAAAGCTGTACCTAGAATATTATGGAAATAGAGAAAGAGGGAAAGATGGATCTCAAATGAAGTCCTAAAGGATAAGTAGGAGTTTACTAGAAAGAGAAGTGAGGTATGAGGGCATTCCGGTCAGCAAGAACAACATGAGAAAAGATCTGAAAAAAAGTATGTTATGTTCTTGGAGAGACTTCAAACATCTGGAGTTCACAGACAGGAGAAGTAGTCAGACAGGTCATAGAGGGCCCAGTTTACCAGACTAAGAAGCTGGAGTTGTACTCTCTGTATGACGAGAAATTAACAAATTATTTTAAGTATGTTGGTGATATTGTCTACATTTTTGATAGGTCACCTTGGTGTTGAGGTTAGATTTTATGAGACAAGCCAGGAGACTGAATCTAGTTAGAAAGTGGCTCAAGTAAAGGGTCCATGTAAGATATGATACAAGCTTGGGTTAAGGTAGTAAGTAGGGATGAAAAATATGTAATAAATTTGGGCAATATTTAGGAGAAAAAATGAGTGGGACTCTGTGATTAGTGGAATGTGCAAGTAAGGATGAGGGATAGTGAAAGGTAGTTTGAGTTTTTGTGAATACATCCATTATCTAAAATATAGAATCTAGGGACGGGGCTCATTACAGGTGAAGTTTGAATTTCCCATGGATTATTTATTTGGAAAAGTCATTTGACAATTTGTTCTAGAGGCAAAGATAGGAGCCTGGATTTGAAATATATAATTAGGTGACCTCAGCCTGCAGGATACACATGGTAAATGAAGTCAGAGGAAGTCTTCCTAGCAGAAAGGAGAGTGAGAAGAACAAAGTGTCAAGAATGCATCTCTGGGGACCCCCAATGTTAAAGCGGCAGACAACAAAGATGAGCTCTCAATAGAGATAGAACAGACAGAGTCAGAGATGCAAGAAGAACCAGAAGGGTGTGGTGTCATCAGGAGAACTGAACCTTTCAAGAAGAGGGCATGATGATAGTTTTAAATGCAGCTGAGGTTTAATGAAATGAGGGCTGCAAATAGAGATTAGATTCAACAACTCAGAAGTTGTTCATGACCTGAGTGGAAAAGAAAAACAACTCTGGTACAGAAACCTAAAAAACAGTGTAGTTTTGTAGAAAATCAGATAGGATTGGGTTTGAATTCCATCTTGGTTACTCACAGTCTTTACTATTATCTCTCTGGATCTCAATTTCCCTCTTGGTAAAATGGAGACAAAGATACACACATCCCTGTGGGTAGTTGTAAAAATTAGAAATGGCAGTGAAAATTTTCTGTCACATAATAGAGGCAAATAGAAGCAAGAATAAGAGATTGAAGAGTAAGTAAATGGGAGGTGAGGATATGGAGGCATGGGTTCATGCTTTGATTACATGTTGGCTTCCCATGCCTCCTATAGCACCATGTCTTATACAAGCCCCATCCTGCAACACTAAGTGCTGAGTGGGAACCTGAGGGGAAAAATCAAGGAAAGGACTGACAAGCTGGGCAGCGCAGCACACTGGGTTTAGAGACTACAGCGTTGCAGAAACATTAGTCTGAATGGTTGTGTGGTTTCCCCAGCAGCATGCAGATTTCTGGGTAGGGATAGAAAATGTGAATTTTGGTCTTGATCTGGAGTTGGAGTCATGAAAGGCAACTGCAAAGAAGCATAGGGATTAAAGGATGTTAATGGTGCTGGTGAGGGGAAGTTTACATGGGTAGGGAAAGACCATAGGCTCCAACAGAACCTGATAACGGCAGGCAAATGAAAGATGTAAGGCGGTGGCTCTCAATCAGGACCAATTCCCTCCCACACACCCACCTGTGAACATTTGGCAACATCTGGAGTCATCTGTGGTTGGCACAACTCAGGAGCAATGGGGTGTTACTGGCATCTAATGGATGGAGGCCAGAGATTGTACTAAATATCCTACAATGCATAGGACAGTGTCCCATAACAAAGAATTATCTGGCCCCAAATGCCAACAGTGCCAAGGCTGAGAAATCCTGATCTAGAGATTGTACATTCCCCAACAACTTGAAAAAACCAGACATCTCTCAAACAGAAAAGCCCTTGTGGCCAAAATTACTGACTGAATGCTTTTTATTCTCTACAGCTTCAAGAACAATGCTTTCCCCATAGCAATGACAAAATGATTAAACTATAATGATAATATAATAAAAATGATAAATATATTATTACCACTAACTATAATTGTTTATTTATATCAATCACTGTGTAGTATTTTGTATGAATTGTCTTACTCCTTTATAAATGCTCCATTCCCAAGCCATAAGTTAAACATGAGGGTCTTAAGTCAGCTTTTCGAATTATTTGAGTAGTCACTCCTGAAGGGAGATCTTGCTCCTTTTCTACTAATAATACATAATACCAGCAGCAATAAAATACCAACACTAAAGACAACTAACATTTGTTAATGAATTTCTTTGTATCAAGTTGAATACTATAACTTGTTTAATCTTCACAATGCCCTATAAATTTATTCTTAGGTCCAATTTATACTTGAGAAAATGGAGGCTTATAAATTATTTGCTCAATGTCTTACAGTAGAGCACAGCAGGCACTGGATTCAAATACAGGCTTATCTGTTTCCAAAACTTAGACTCACAGCTATGTCTTAAAAATAAAATTACATCCACCCTGGGCACTCCTATATTCCCACATTTTTCCAGGTGATATTTGTCAACATATAAACATCTTTTTTGGGCTACTTTTAAAGAAGACTTGTTTCCTGTCCTCTCCATTTTAAAGGCTTCATTTCTAAAAATGCTGTTTTTAGCACTTGGATCAGCTTCCAATAATGACAAGTCTACTCAGTGTGTCAGTCATTAAATATTTATTGAGAGTCTCATATATGACAGACACTATTTGAGACACTAGAGATACAGCTGTCACCAGGACAGGCAGACTCCCTTCACTCAAGGACCTCTGTTCAGTGAGGGTGAAGGGCAACAAACATGCAGACAAATGCATAAATAATTCCAGGTACTTGTAAGTGCTAACAAGGAAAAAAATGTAGGATAGCATGCTAGTTGCTCGAGAGTAGCCAGGGAAGTACTTTCTGAAGTGTTGCCATTTGAGTTCTGAGTAAACCAATGACAAGTACATGGCTATGTGAAAATCTGAGTGTAGAAGGTAGGGTCAGTGTTTCAAGTTGAAAAAAACAGTGTAAGGATCTGAACACAAAAATGCACTTGTCAAGTTTGAGGGTGAGAATCCCACAAGCCTGAAGATGGTTAGTGAATGAGAGAAAGGCCAGTGAGATAGAGGGAGATGAGGCCCAGGAGGTGCACAGGGGTAGGTCCTGCAGAGCTCACAGGCCAGGTGGACAGTCCCTATTAAAGCAGTGCTTCCTACTAAGTATCACCTGTATAAAATACTTTAAAATGGGAAGCTAGAGATTTTAAAATGGCAAGTTAATTTGACTTGACACCTAAAGAGTTTAGTATGTTTGATGGGCAATGTGGCCAGTGTATGTGTTGCATTTTGGGAATTTATAGGTGGTTTCAAATCTATTTCTCCTAGCAATGGACAGAGTTAATGGAAAGTGAATTTTTTAGGAAACTAAAAATGAATGAAAATACTCACTAGTCTGTTCCCTTCATGGTGACTGTTAATGTTCACAACCACCTTCATAAATATATTACTAACTTGAACCACTGCTAACTTGATCCATTCACTGGGTTATAATATTCTATTAAAGAGCAGATGAACATGTCAATTCTTATCTTAGCACTTAAGTGAAATTTGTTAATTTATTCATTCACAGAAGTAACGAATAGTTCTTGATTTCTTTTCATGCATTGGAACTGCAGTGTGTGTCTTACATATATATTCACCCCGTGTTAGAGCAACTGAGGGGTTAAGTAATATCAACAAAATCACACAGCTAAAAAGTGATGGCACAGTGATTTCAAATTATATTGTCTCCTCCAAGTGGATATGATTGTATTTTGAGATAACTGGTTTCCATGTAATCCTATGTTTTGTATTTTAAGCATTTAAAAATATTTTAAAAAGCAATTCTTAGGCTATACCCTACTGTCTAAAAGTCCATAGAACATAAAAAGTTAAAACTTATTTTTTTTTCATTTTAAGACAGAGTCTCGCTTTGTCACCCAGGCTGGAGTACAGTGGCACGATCTAGGTTGACTGCAGCCTGTGCCTCCCAGGTTCAAGAGATTCTCCTGCCTCAGCCTCCCGAGTAGCTGGGACTGCAGATGTGCACTACGCCTGGCTAATTTTTGTATTTTCATTAGAGATGGAGTTTTGCCATGTTGGCCAGGCTGGCCTGGAACTCCTGACCTCAAGTGATTCACCTGCCTCTGCCTCCCAAAGTTCTGGGATTACAGGTGTGAGCCACCGCGCCTGGCTAAAACTTAGACCCTGTATTATAAGAGAGGTAGTTACAAGATGCTATAAAAATGCAAAGGGGGTAGGAATGAAGTCTAGATGGTGAGGTCTAAGGAATAGCTTCATGTTAAATATGATATTAAAGTTGCATTTTGAGGACTATGACAGGAATAGAGCGGGGAAAGGAGAATAGAGCAATCAGCAAGGGCATATTCAGGGAATGGCTGTCATGGTTTCAAATGCTGGATCATGAGGTGGCCAGTAGGGACCAACAGTCTATAAATCAAGAAAGCAATTTAAACCCTACATCATGCTTGACCTTTTATTCTATGCTTAATATGTTGGGCATTATCATGAGGCAGAGGGAGAACCACTGAAGATTTTTAAGTAGGTAAAGGCTTTGTGGAAATTTGTGTTTTTGAAGCAATGTTCAGTAGTTTAACACAGAAATAAAGTTCTCCATGCCTTGACTTGCTGTAAGGTCATACAAAGACATGCCCAACCAAATATGGAAATATCATTTGAAGTCTACCCTCACCACATCTCCACCCACTCCAGCTCTAACACTGGGTTTCTGCTTACCTTGATCCTGTGTACCAGGGGAGCAAACAGAAACACGAAGAGCTCCACAGTAGCCATGGAGTTCTGGAAGATCTTTCTTCGGTTGTTCTCTTCTTCGTCATTAGAGCTGCTTTGGCAAGGCTGCCCTGGAGAACCCTGGTTTTCAACCTGGTGGATGAAAGCACTGCTGCTTCCACCCCAGCTGGAGCCTCGGTCTGTACCCCCAAACCGCTCATTGTTGCAGTCCTGGGGGGCCTCCAGAAGCATCCAGTGTAGAGTGTGAAGGAGCTTTGTCTCAGCAACACCCAATTTATCCTGGTGGCCTGCATGGGACAATTACACAGGCAGGTTAAGAAAAACTCTGTGACCAGGGCAATAGATGTCAACAATGGGTCTGGGAAGAATATCCCTCCTTTCTCTATACTTCTTACAACCACTGCTAGCAGGGCTCATTCTTGCTTTTTGGACTTCCCTACTGGCCGCAATCTCTGCAGAATGATATGCTGCCATGGGGGCAGAAACTGCTGAATCACTTTTCTTCAGTTAGGTACCCAAATATATTTCCAAATAGGCAGCGTAGTGGTTAAAAATATAGACTCTGAAGATAAAAGCAATCCTATTTTAGACAATGTGACCTAGAAAGGTCCCTCTATAGGAGTGATATTTGAGCAGAGGCTCAAACAAGGGGAGGAAATGGGATGGAGAAGAGTATGTACGCTAACGTGGGGTACATGGGTAGGACACATTGCCAGATGAAAAAAGCAATCTGTAAAATATTCTAAAAAATAGTTCTTATGCACATGTGCACACATACTCATACACAGTACTACAAAGCTGGAAAATGTCTGAGGCAAATATGCCCAGTTCATGAGAGTGGTTGCTTTAGGAACTGAGAGAACAAAAAGGATGACCTTGGCTAGGACTCATCTTGGGCAGGTGAAGGTCTTAGCTTGCCTCTAATATTTTAATTTTTTTGTGTTGTTTTTGTTTGTTTGTTTTTGAGACGGAGTCTCACTTTGTCACCTAGGCTGGAATGCAGTGGTGCGATCCCAGCTAACTGTAACCTCCGCCTCCCAGGTTCAAGTGATTCTCCTGCCTCAGCCTCTCGAGTAGCTGGGATTACAGGTGTGCACCACCATGCTCAGGTAATTTTGTATTTTTAGTAGAAACGGGGTTTCACCATGTTGGCTAGTCTGGTCTCGAACTCCCGACCTCAGGTGATCAGCCTGCCTCGGCCTCCCAAAGTGGTGGGATTACAGGCATGAGCCACCACACCCAGCCTATCTTAATGTTAAAAGGAGAATATATTCATATATTACTTGTAAAATTAAAAAATTAAAAACAAGACAGCCAGTTTCTTTATCGGTAAAATGAAAATAATGAGTATAAGTGTGAGGAGGATTTTGTGATAATTAAATGAGATAATATATGCACAGTGCTTGAGAAAACAGAAACTACTCAGTACAGGTTATTATGATGAGTGTTGAACACAAAGGGCAATCACATGCAATAAAGAAGTAATGCGGGGCACCAACCTAGCTTGTTTCGGTTTGAAAGCAGGGTTGCAGTGCAGTGGAGGACATGAGGCAAAGCAGCTTGCACCAGTTCCCATCTGGAAATGCTCTGGATGGCTTCAGAGAGAGCTGGAGAGAGGCCATGCAGCTTGTTTTCTACCAACACTCGCTCAAAGGACTGTAAATACAAAAACAAAAACAATAAGAAAAGCCAAAATCCAAAACCACGTAAACTAAGAAATTGAAGATTCTGGTTAGTGAAAAAATGAACAGCAAGGTACTGTACCCCTTAAAAGATGCAAATTACTGGACCAAATTCTTTAGGGAGAACTCATTGCATTTTCTTGTATATGTTGATGTGCAATGGGTCAGTAATAATTTTCTATTATCTACCCATTTGCAGGCTTTTGAGCCAAAGTAAATGGCTTGAATTAACAAAACGATTTTTATTTCTGTTAAAATAAGCTTCCTCTAACAAATAGGAACAAAACATTTAACCTCATGAGATTTTTGGATGTATATTTTATAAAATGTTGCCGAGTCATCCAAAAGACTGTCACAACTGCAGACCAAAATAAGTTTTTTGTGAAAGTGTCTTGAGAAATAGAATTTATGTCAGTTTCTTCAACTGGTGTTAAGATACAACTTTGGAATCCCTGATTTATCTCATGGCTTAGCAATGACCCGGCACAGAACACTCTCTACCTAATGCCTGGAACAATAAAAGATACTTAATATATCTGTGGAATAAAGAAAGAAAGGAAGGGAGAGCAGGAAGGAGGGAGGGAGGAGGAAAATAAGCCATCTTTACTTTGCTGGTTATTAAATTTTCTATCCTTGCCAGGGATACTCAGAGAGTATCAGAGAGTGTAGCACTCCGGAACAAGTAACAACTCTGACCTACTTAATTATTGTTTTTTCTTTTGAGGGAGGAGAGAATATCACTGTAAGGTGTTGGAGAAAATGTAGTTACGAAATATTGGAATAAATTTAATAAACATTTGGCATGTAAGAACAGGATTGGTACTTGATGCCCCAGTCAATAAAATTGTATAAATGTTCTATATAATAATCATAAACAAGTCCCAAGTGTTCAAACTGTATTATTGGAATTATTAGGATACCAATAATGTGAGAAAGACAGGTATCCTAATATGGCTTACTACAGAGATATCCAAAGAAAACTTTTTACTTTTTGATTCAAAAAAAGAAAAATAAGAAATTCACCTTTATAATGAAGGGCACACTGAGGTTTTGGTAAAGAGCATAATGAGAGATGTAGTATTTTGCTTTAAGAAACTAGATAAAGGCCTTTAGATATGTTGGTGATATAAATACAAATATTATAAAATCATCAGCCCTCAGATATCTAAGTATTCATTAAGTAAAGGATGCATATATTAGACACTAAAAGATTATAAAGAATTTATACACTCTAATGAATATATTGTAGAGGATGAGTTATGCATTTCATAATCTCAGAGTATTCCGGGTAATGTCATTTTCTCATTAAGTGTCACTAATACAACTTTTAATAATTTTTTTAAAACTTGGGAAATTGTTTTCTATATTGAGATATATATATATCTATCCCTATCTATTAACGTAACTTTTTGATATTGTGTGACTGCATTAAAAATGCCAAAAATATCTTCGCCAAGAACAGAGAAAGTCAGGATTATTTTAAGCTAGTATAATTGTCAGCATGGTTAAGAAAGTCTGAGATTTCAAGTGTCAAATTACTCTAACAAGCTAAATTCAATGACAAATTCCATTAAAAGGTCCTTATAAGAAAGTTATATTTTAAAAAATGTGTTTGTGACAACATTGAAAGATAGGAGATGCAACAAAACAAATTCCTACGTGAGTGGGCATGTATGTGTTTAACTTTCCAGTTGGCTTCCATCAGAATTTTTTGCCCTAACACATCTCAGAGCTCCTTACCACAAGGTCATCCACATAGCTATTTGTAAATATGCATGGCAATATCCAAATTGGTAGATTTCCATTTTTAGGTTATAATATATGCAATGTAAAGACTTTTAGGTAAGCTCCAAATATTAATGAAGGCTGTGAAAAGTCCATTTCAATTTTGCTTCATGATTTCATGTCTTATTTTCTCAATTTGTGAAACAAGAATTTGTAGGGATATAAGATTCCCTTAGAATCTCAGGACAAATGCATTTTATTTTGTATAAATATTAACAGTATTATTTTCACAATTATTTTATATTATTCATTTTTAGAATTGGAGAACATATGCAAGACATAAAAGTGCAGAAATGCATATATTTTGTTCAAGTAGTTCTTTCACAGGCACTCCATCATATGAACTTCCACTATAAGTCTCAGTTTTGTTGATTAAGGATTCGACTTCACACTTGCAGGTGGCAAAAACACCCTACACCACCTGGTTCCCTGTTATCTCTCTGCCTTCTCTTCTACCACTCGATCCCGCCCCACCCTTTCACTTATTCCCCAGTAGGTGCTAATTTCCTTTAACATGTTTCCTCTGCTCTTCCCTCAGCTGTCCTTCCCTCCCTTCCCCTTGTGTCTTTGGCCAAGGTTCACATTAATGGGTAGATAAGCCTTATCTATCCATTCTTATAAAACTCCCCTCCCTAGTGCTTCCTAGTATTTCTTTTTGCTTAATTTTTCTCCATAGTGCTTACCACCATCTGGCTTACTATGTATTTACTTATTTGTTTGTGGCTTGTCCCCTTTCTACTAGGATGTAAACACTGTATTTGTTTTTATCATTGTTCTATTCCAGCACAGAGAATTGTGCCTGGCACAGAGTGGGTGATCAATAATATTTGCCAAGTGAATTAATATATATAGTCCGTTTGATTTAAAATCTGTCTTTGGGTTCAAACCACCACACAGAATAGGGAAATAATTATTAAATGGTGAAAATCACATACCACACAAGAAGCTTCATATTGCTTCCCCAGTTTGGGCCTCAAAAATGCACTGAAAAATTAATAGAGATATTTGTTAATAAACATAAGTAAAATTATTATTAAAGCATCCTTGTGACGTATTTTTCAATGAATAAGACAGGATGCTATGAAATTCAAATTTCATGCTTCCTTATAGCTTTTTAATGAGCAGGTGTTGAACAGCTGATGACATTTTCTTTTACACGTGTAATTGCATATATGAAAGAGAAGTGGATCTCGATGGTTTTCGGTATCCACTCTTAATCTGAAGACTTCTAAGATTTTAAATCGCCAGTGGTCAGAAGTGGTGCATTACTTACGTGTACAGTCATAATAAAAACTGAAAATTGAACACGGCTTATGGGTCATAATTTCCAGAATCTAATATCTTATCTGATAAATCTCTAAAATAACAATAATAAAGAAAACCTTTTCTGTTTATTGGAATAGGTGTCAGGCCTTTCCGGGGTTGTGGGGGAAGGTCCCTTATCACAAATCCTCAGGAGATTTAACTGGGGAGATTAATCTGAGCAAAACGGTTAACAAGTGGGCATAGCAGATATTCGCCAAACAGGAGCTGGAAAAACAACAGGTCACTGGGCTAGAATTACAGCAGGAGATGGAGGGGGAATTGGACGCAGGAGCACAACCAGTCATAATTATCTAGCTCCCCGCCCCCTCTTCCCAGGCTCTCTGCCCTCCCACCCCCTAAAATAATGTATACATTTATGCGACAACTGCCAATCTGCTTGTCGTCAAACTTCACTGAAATATATACATATATATACATATTTTAATGCGTGTTTTTAAGCTGGTGCAGAGGGCTTGTTTTCCAGCCCCAGAGAGGGAGCTGCAGGCTGTGGCGCGGCCTCAGCGGCGGCGGCGGCAGCGGCGACCCGGGCGGCCCCAGGAGCGCCCCCAGCCCAGGGCGGCCCGCGGTGCGCCCTCTGCGCCCCTCACCTGGTTTGCCGCCACAGGAAGGTCTGGATGGGCAGGGGGATGCCGCGGCCGCCGTCCTGCTCCTGGCCCTCGGAGCTCTTCCTCTTCACCATAATGGTGGCTCCCGGGAGTCCTACTGCAGGACCCAGCTCTGTCTCCTCGCTAGCCGCCGCCGCCGCCTCCTCCCGCTGCTCCCAACTCTCATCCCCTCCTTCCCCGAGGCAGAGCCGGCTCTCTCCGCCCTGATCCCCCGTGCCTCTCCCCTCCCCCCACCCCTCCCCGCGCGTGGAACATGGCTGCGGGAGGAGGGGAGGGCTGGAGGAGCCGCGGAGCGAGGAGGGGGGCGCTCGGAGCAGCGGTCCGCCTCGCCGCCCCCGCACCCGCTCCCTGCTTTCAGCACCTCCCACTGTGGACAGCGGCCCGCGCCGGGCTGCACGGCCGGAGAAGCGAATCCGGGGCAGCTTGAGCCGCAGGGGTACGGCCCAAGAAGTCCACGCTCCGCATCGCAGGCGCTCGTCCCCTGCGCGGCCTCTTCAGCCCCCGGAATTCGGCTTTCCCCGCTCCGAGCTGCACTCAGGAGTGTCCCCTGTCCTGCTTTCCAACCTCAGCATCCAAACTGTCGCCGTCTGGGTAGGAGGAGCTTTGGGGAACCGCAGAGCAGTCGCTAACCCTGGCATCATTCTCACCTCCAGCAAGGAGATCAGGAGTCCAGGGGTTAGCCGGAGGAACACATGAAAATTATTAGAAGTGTAAACCAGGAAGGTGAGGCAAGGTTGGCAAGTGAGAGGAAGCTTGAAAGATCTTAGATATGAGAAGTTATTTTTATATGATAACCACAAGAAATAAACCTTGTTTGTTTTCCTAAAGCAGGAATACAAAGTTCCCAAAGTAACCAGTTGTGGATATCAGTTAATTGCAAATTGAGGAAGAACATTTGAATCATGCTGTGAGGAAATGTGGTTTATTACAGTCCATTAAATGCACTTGGGTGATCCTGTTCGCCCCCAGTGATAGCTACCATTTTCCTTCAGTTGTAATAGTCAAATGCTTATATGTTACATATATTAATATTTTATAGTTGGATTGCTGTTAGATATATTATCTAGGAGTAAAACAAGTAGGCCGGGGAGGGGGGTGAGGTGGGGTGAAGCAATCGGAATAGTAACTACCTGCAATTCCTCCTCCTCCCCCTCCTCCTTCTCCTTCTTCCTCCTCCTCCTCCCCCTTCTCCTCCTCCTCCTCTTCTCCTCCTTCTCCTTCTTTCTTCTTTCTTGTTCTTTGACGGAATCTCGCTCTTCAACCAGGCTGGAGTGCAGACGTGTGATCACGACTCACTGCAGCCTTGACCTCCCAGGCTCAAGAGATCCTCTCAGCTCAGTCTCCCCAACAGTTGGGACTACAGGTGTGCACCACTACTCCCAGCTAATTTTTTATTTTTGTAGAGATGGGGGTCACACTATGTTTCCCAGGCTAGTCTCAAACTCCTGGGCTCAAGCAATCCTTTCACCTTGGCTTCTCAAAGTTCTGGGATTACAGGCATGAGCCACCATGCCTGGCCTCATCTTTTAGAGCAAAGATATTGGTGTAATCCATGAAATGAAGAATCAGACTCCAGGTCCTAATCTCAACAGATGTAATATTTCATATATAATTAACAGCATAGTATATATCAATATTTTTTGCCATAGAAATAAATTCTTCATTTACTTTCTTGAAGTTATCTTTTATTATGAATCTCAAAAATATGGATCTTATGATCTCAAATATGGATCTTGAAACAAAGAAAGATTCTAAGTACAGTTTACTCAAGGCATATTTATTGAGTGTATTTTATATACTCATAGCTCTATGGAGCTATATGGACTCTTGCTCACAAGGAAGTCTGAATATTAAGAGAAGACAGACATGAAAAGAGAAAAGAATCATGGGAGATACGAATGCAGATTCAGTTATGAACAAAAGGTCAAGGCAGAAATTATGTGTAGGAATCAGATGGAGACTTTGTATGACAGGCTAGAAAGTTTTCCTAGAAGGCCTTTAAGCAGAGAAGTAGAAACTTCATATCCATTTAAGTGTGAATGACATGACAGGAATGTAGGGATTATTTGAAACAGGCAAAAGTTGTATTAGGAACCCCAGTATGAAGATTAGAGAAATGTTTTATGAGATCCTGAACCCTGATCATAATAGCAGAACTACAGACAAGGGGGTGAGTTTGAATAATATTGCAGAGGTAGAATTAATAGGATATGATGACCAAGTGGGTATGGGAAAAGAAAAATAGCACATTGGTTAAGAGCTTAGGTCTTGAGCCAGACAGTTTTGGCTCTAGCCCTACCATTAACTAAATATAATATCCTAGAAAAGTGAAAAAACTGCTAAGATTTTCAAAGAATACCTTCCCCTATAGAGATGTTGTGAGGATTGAATGTTAATACTTGTAAATGAAGAGGACACATGGACACATACAAGGGAACAACACACACTGGTGTCTTTCAAAGGGTGGAGGCTGGGAGTAGGGAGAGGATCAGGAAAAATAACTAATGGGTACTAGGCTTAATACCTGAGGGATGACATACATAAATCCATACAACAAACCCCCATGATACAAGTTTACCTATGTAACAAACCTGCACATGCACCCCTGAACTTAAAATAAAAATTTAAAAAAAGAATTTAAGGGAGTCTCAGATCTATACTAAGCTTTCAATAAATGTCAGCAAAAGCTCCAAGTTTTCTGTTTTGGGCAACTGAGTAAGTGGTGATCTCATTCAAAGAAAAGGAGTTGACAAAAAGAATCGTGTTCTTATTTTATGTGCGCGTACGATGGCATTCATGAGTTTTCCTTGAGTCTTTTTTGGAAATATGAAATGGAGGTAGCTAGAAATATTTGTGTGCAGTTTAGAAGAGTTAATTGGGTAGAAGAGATTGATTTTGTAGTTAACACTGTATAAAAAGTAGTTGAAACCTTGGAAGTAGATAATCCAGACAAATAAATGGAAAGAGAAAAGAAAGGCCCCATTTTGGAAGTGTAGGGGACATCAACTTTATTGTCACAAAAAATGCTGTTGATGGGTGACAGGATAGAATAAGATAGTGGGATAGGCTGAATTCTAAGACGGCCCCCAAGATTCCCATGTCCTGTTATATGCACACACCTTCCTCCAATTACTCAAGCAAATACTAATCTAGGTGCTGCTGTGAAATGATATATATGAATCTTCTTGAGTTTTTAAAAATTATTATTAATAGACTTTATTTCTTAGGGCAGCTTTAAGTTTGCAGTATATAAACACTCTCTTTCCTCTAGCCCATAGTTTGTTCTGTTATTAACATTTTTGCATTGGTGTAGTATGCTTGTTATTATTAATGAGCAATATTGATGCATTATTATTAACATCATTATTGAGTTATATTGAGCAATATTGCTCAATATATTGCTCATATTGAGCAATATTGATGCACTATTATTATAAAGTCCATAGTTTATGTTAGAGTTGACTCTTTGTAATATATAATTCTATAAATTTTGCCAAATAATGTAATCCATCATGAAGGTATCATAGTTTCACTGCCCTAAAAGTCTCCTGTGCTCCATCAAGTCACCCCTTTCCCCCTCTCTCCCTGTTTCTGGCCACCACTGATCTTTTTATTATCTCAATATTCTGCCATTTCCAGAATATCATATAATTGGAATCAATTGGATGTAGCTTTCTCAGACAGGCTTCTTCACTTAGCAACATGCATTTCAGTTTCCTCTATGTTTTTTGGTAGCTTAATAGCTCATTTATTTTTATTGCTGAATAATATTTCATTATGTGTATATGTCACCATTTATTTATCCATTCACCTATTGAAGGACATCTCAGTTGCTTCCAATTTTTGGCAATTATGAATAAATCTGCTACAAGCATTCATGCGCAGGTTTTTGTGTGAATGTGAGTTTTCAACTCATTTGGTTAAACACCTAGTAGCATAATATCTGAATTGTATACTAAGACTATGATTAGCTTTGTAAAAAATGCCAAAATATCTTCCAAATGGCTCTAACACATATTTTTTTAAGATAAGAGACTTGGACATATTTATGGGCCAGAAATTGAGGGTCATTAAGAAAAGGAATGCTAAGAATAATTCAGAGAGGGGAATAATTAACAAACAAGACTCCGAAAGAGACTATGTTTTATGTATAGTTGGACCGATCATCCTTGGCTGGAGGAATAATTCCTACAATGGGAAATTAAAAAGTAATAATGGTAGAGGCTAAATTAGCAGGAAAAGGGGAAGGATGAGAATAGAAGAGTTCAGGCTTAATGTCCTACATAAACTGTGAAGGAATTGACAAGGTAATTTTCTAAGAGTGAGATTTGAAGGCAGAGGAGTATGGCATTTTTCAGAAAAATATTAATAGATAATGTACAGATAATTTACATTGAGTACTTGTTATATGTCAAGGTCTGTTTTAAGCACATCAGTCGATTAAAACAATATTTAAAGAGGAGAAAACTGACACATAGCAAGGTTATATAACCTGCTTGAGGTTATACAATAAATGAAGGAAACTGGGAAGCCTGACTTCAAAGTTCTCTTCCTACTTTCTACTGTAATACTGACTATTGTTAGTTGTGAGGGTTTGGAAGAAGTGCTGTAAGTCATGTGAATGAAAACTGCTCAAGGACAGAAAAGAATCGCTCCATTGATGGTAAAAAATAAAAAAGAGCTAATGTCCCTTTCCATTCCCAAATTCCCTTGAGGCAGTGAGTCTTGTGGGGAAATCTATAATAATAAGCATTGTCAATATCAGTTTTTAAAATAACTTTTCAGTGGAGAATCAATATTACCATTGTGGTTTACTTCTCATGTACCCACTGAAAACCCCCAAATATTTTACGTGTGAAACAAAAACATGTCCTATCTAAATGCTTTATCTACATTGCCTTCTGTCATAAGTCTCATTTTGAATTCAGGTAAGCACTATTGGAGGAAAGTTAAGAACTGAATTGGTCTGGTAAATTACACCACCACAGTCAATGAACCAGCTCTATGGTAATCACTGCATGTTATTACCATCTCACTGTGCAAGACATTGGGTTGGATGTGAACCTTTCCCAGTGATGGTGCCCAATGATGTAGTGGCCTTGAGCCAGGAGAGAAAACTGGTTACTGGAACTTAGGAAGCATGTGAAAGGAAACTGTAAGATCTAGACAGATGTAGCTAAAGGTATGTCAGCCCTCAAGGTTATCTTCTTTTTTTAACGGAAGGGCACACTTTCATAGTGACCAGATTCCAAGTTGCCAGATGTGTATAAAAATACTCTTGGCAGATAGGCTGAGCAGAGGAGAACTCTGGCTGGGTTTTGGAAAATATTGCTATAGTAAGCAGAATCTGGAATGTTTTGTAAGTACATGAAAGCTACTAATAATATAAACAGTCATAGTAGTTAATAAAAGCAGTTTTTGAAAAAAGCCTACCATTACCATTACTCTATGGCAACCCATTAGAAGTTGAAGGTGAAGCATGATTGCTATATCATGCATCAGTCAGGAGTGTATGATGATTACTCTATGGCAACCCATTAGAAGTTGAAGGTGAAGCATGATTACAAAGGGGACACTTACCTTGGGGTCACTCCCACTATGCAGAGGTGGATACATCCCATGTGTCTTGTTCATCCTTAGCCCAAATAGCTGATCTGTCCGAAGAGGACAGTCTCAGTGATATCTCAGTGCCAGAATAAAGCTCCAAAGCCCATGGCCTCCATGGCCTATACTCATGTAAACGCTTTACACTAGCTGATAAGGCTCTCCATGCTCTGACATCATTTCATACATCTCTTTCTGCTCCATTTTACTCTATACAAATTGGCTTCTTGAGGACATTGTATTGCATTTTTTCTTTCATATCTTCATGTGGCTTGGCACCAGCCTAATTATAACTCTTCACCTCATATGAGGCTATTTCTTTTTTTTTCTTTTTTTTATTATACTTTAAGTTTTAGGGTACATGTGCACAACGTGCAGGTTAGTTACATATGTATACATGTGCCATGTTGGTGTGCTGCACCCAGTAACTCGTTAACATTAGGTATATCTCCTAATGCTATTCCTCCCCGCTCCCCCCACCTCACAACAGGCCCTGGTGTGCGATGTTCCCCTTCCTGTTTCCGTGTGTTCTCATTGTTCAATTCCCACCTATGAGTGAGAACATGCAGTGTTTGGTTTTATGTCCTTGCAATAGTTTGCTGAGAATGATGGTTTCCAGCTTCATCCATGTCCCTACAAAGGACATGAACTTATCATTTTTTATGGCTGCATAGTATTCCATGGTGTATATGTGCCACATTTTCTTAATAGTCCACCCTATCGTGTTCCAGAAATGTTCTATTACATTCTTCTGTGTTTTACTTCATAAAATTCATCATTCTCTGAATATATCATATTTATTTGTTTTAAAGTTTGCTATGTTAAGCCTAGAGAATAGCA
Source organism: Homo sapiens (assembly GCF_000001405.40). Taxonomy (NCBI): domain Eukaryota; kingdom Metazoa; phylum Chordata; class Mammalia; order Primates; family Hominidae; genus Homo; species Homo sapiens. Next base: position 209,765,702 of record NC_000002.12, on the reverse strand, counting down.
TAATAGTCTATAAGGTAACCAGGAATAAGTCTAACAAAAATTATTTAATACCTTTGTGGAAAAAAACATAATAAATTGTTTAAAGGTATAAAGACTTGCAAAAATGAGGAAGAGTCATTTTAGTAAAGACATATTTTGATATTCTTTAAATCTAATTTTTTTTGTGATTTTTAATGCAACCTTAAAAAGCTGTTCTTAAAATTCAGATAGAAAAGTACAGAATCAAAAATGGCTAAGATAGGTTTGAAAAAGAAGAAACTAGTTGATGAATTATAATGCTGTATGGTAATTAAGACAATGTGATAATAACATGGAATAGAAAATTAACGAGTAGAAAAGAATAAAATGTCCAACAATGAAATCTAAGAAAATCACATGACACAGTGGGATGTGTTGTATCTATTGAGAAAAAAAACAAGATTTCTATGTGAAACAGTACCAAATAATAAGTTTAACATGAGTTAGAGACCTAAATTTGAAAAGTAAAACTTAATTTTTAAAGATAAACAGATTGTTTAAACTCCTGGTTTCTTATAAATTATTTGAGTTTTTCTTGTAAAAGATAAAAAAGTTAAAGCTACATAAGAAAATATAGATCTTTTAAAATATTAAGTAGTCTCTACAGTGAAAGACCCCTAATAAATGAAAGTAGATATTCTATACTGGGAAAAGATATTTGCAATACATTCAATCAACAGAGATCTAGGACCCAGAATATATCAAGAATTATTGCAAAAGCAAAAATCAAAGACAAAAAGTGAAAAAAATGAGAAATGATAACATGCTCATATCTCATCAGTAGCCTCAATAATAATCAACGTGTTCAATCTCATAAATAATCTGGGAAAGGGAATTAAAACCAACAATTTCACTATTTTCCAATTACACAAAATTAAACGAGTTTTTTTAAAAGACTCATAATACCGAGCTTTGTTAAGAATTTGTAGAAGTGCCAGTAAGGATTTACTTTATAAAATCATTTAGAAACAAATTTTAAAATATCTAGTAAAATTGAAACATGTGCATACTTCAATCTAACAATTCTCTAAGTAGCCCCTGAAGGACTTATCACATGCACACACAAAAAGAGAAGAACAGTAGTTGTTCATTACACTAACATTTTAGTAGTGAATTCTAGGGATCCTATGCATATTCATATACAGAAGAAGAAATAAATTATCTGTAACATATTCACACAATGACATAATATTTAACATTTAACACATATGAATTAGAGCTCCATATAGCTACATAGGGAAATTTCCAAAACACAGTGTTGAGTGAACAACTTGTGAAATGATCTTATGGTATAATAATATTTATTTTAATTTAAAATATGCAAAACAATGCTATATATTTTAGGTATATATAGGCATAATAATTTAATAAAAACATGGTTGGACATTATCTTGGTCCAAGCTTCTCAGAAAGCAGGGCTGGAAACACTGGCCTATGTGTTAGTTCTTATTGGTGAGAACAATCTAAGGGGGCAGGAGTGAAGAAATCAGAAGTGGGAAAGAAGGCACAGCTAATAGAATGGTGCATTACCAGACTGAGTGCTACTTGGTATCAAATGCAGTTGATTACTTGATCTGGAGACTACCTTCTAGGAGCCCACTTCTTGAAACTACTGCTTCTCAGGAGAGTTTGTCTACAGAAGAAAAGTAGAAGAGTTCTTTCTGGAGGTACATTTTGCCTTATGGGGTGTTAGCTCTTCCACAGTGCCTAGACACATATGTGTGGGCTCAAAGAGGGTACTACAGCATGTCATGTCTTAGCATCAATACAGGGAATTTCTGGGTCCCTAGCTGACAGTAGGTAGCAGGGGCATTAGGCAAGATGAAGTTGGCAACAGTCCGCTTAGCATTAATCTCTGTAGAGGTGACTGCAGCTGAAAGAAGTGGTGACTGGCTCCAGAGTCAGGTGACGCCAAAAGGATCTGAGATGGCACAAAAGTTCAGAGACGACAATATCCATTTCGAGATACTTAAGAGAAATGACCCTGGAGGCTGACTACCTGGGTTCAGATATCAGCACTGCTGCTCACAAGCCATGTAACGTTGGGAATGCCATTTAATATCAATGGGAATCAATTTCCTTATCCAAGAAATGGGAATAAGAGTAGCTATTTTGTAAGGTTGTTATGAGGATTAGAGTTAATATATTTTTTGGTTACTATTGTTGTATAACAAATCGTTAGTCTAAATCTTAACAGCATAAAACAACCATTTTGTTGTGCTCATGATTTATGAGTCAGGAATTTGGGAGATCTCAGCAAGACGTTCTCATTTAGAGTCTCTCCTGCGATTACAGTAAGATGTGGCTGGGGCTGTTGTTATTTTGAAGACTTGAATGGGCCATGTACAGCAGATGAATCACTCACATGTTGACAGTTGATGATGGCTGACAACTGGGAGCTCAGTTTGGACTGTCCACTGGAGTGAATATACAGGGCCTCTCCTAAGTGTCAGTCTCAGGGTAGTTTGACTTTTTACAGCTCACTTCACTCAGAGTGAACATCCCAAGAGAACCAGGAGGAAGTTGCACAGTCTTTTCTTATCTAGTCTCGAAAGTCACATAGCAACATTTCTGCTGCAGTTTATTGGTTATAAGCAAGTCGTTAAGGTGGCTCCAGAGTCAAGAGAAAGCGATATAAACCTCAAATCTCAATGAGGAGGAGTATCAAAGAAATTTTGGACAAGTTTTAAAATTACTACAGTATAGATAAAGCACTTGGAACAGTGCCTGTTCTACTCTGTAATTAGTAATATTCTTTTCACATTATGACATAGATTTTAGCCTTTCAAATGAACTCTTCTGTAGCTCAGTGTTTTTTTTTCATCTTGTCTTAATATTGCAATCCAATGCACTTACATTTTTTTTCACTTGACTTCTTATTAGGGCTTATTAGTCAACACATCCCTGAAGCACAGGGTTAAGTGACTCAGCATCACACACTGATGCCTGTACAGTACAGAGGTAGATGCTAGTTCCTGACACCATTTTAGGATTCACATATTTGAAATCATAAAACATGAATGGTCAGTTCTTTAATTGGCCAGATATCTGTTTTAACTTTAATTTCAGTGGCTTCACCAAAAAAATTTATACCAGATATCTGATTCCTATCAATTGTCTCACAGTCTGTTTCAGGAATACAAAATCTTATTCTTCTACAGAGATTTAAGAAGGCAAAAAGAAATGTATATATTGTACTTCAGGTAGACTTCAATATCTCAAAGCCTCCTTAATTTGTTTCTTGTTTTATAGACAATCACATCTTTCAGTGTTTAAGTTGGTTCACGATGCTAGAAGCCATATTTTTTGAGTCACCCAGTATTCATTTTCCTTCGACACGAATATGGTTTGAAACATTTTTAATCCTGAGCCTTCATTATTATATATACTATTTGTCATATGATGTGATGAAAATGTTCAAGCTTTCATTTCGTATTATGTCATAATGGAGGAGGCTTCATTTTATTAAGGTGAAAAATGCCAAACTGCCCTTTAGAAAACTACATCTCAATTTAATCTTTGCACTGAAGTATAGAAAAAAATTTTTTAAAAACTTTCTTTATACTACCACCTGTTAAAAAAATGCTGCAATTCATGTTTTCCTAGCTTTTAAACCATTTCTGCAGAGGAGCCAATTTATAAAAAATTAAATAGTTTATTTTAGAAAGTGTATTCTTGTAAAATGTGGAAATGCAATATTTGCACTTAAATATTCTATTGACATATTTCTATTCATGAAATGTTTGTTTGTGTGTGACTGGCTGGAATTTCAGAAATACCTTAATTGGTGAAGAGAGCCTGTAATGCTTAAGCTGCCTTGTGAAACAGGGAGAGAAGGTCTTGCTGAAGCACTTCGTCCTTGCTGCTGCTCTTGTCTCTTTACTCCTCATTCTTCACTTGTGCTCTCTCCCAGAATGGCAGCTTCTGTCTATGACTCAGCCATAGGACAGCAGTGCTGACCCCAGACCCTGACCTCTCCCTAGTAGAGAGAAATTTCTCATTCCACAGTGAATACAACTATTATTTTTTGTACCCATAAGTGTATCCAGGAGTCTGCTTCCAGAAAATCCAACAGTATAATCATGGGAGGCGCTTTCTCCCCAAAGGAGGGGAAGCTGATCTGCAGAAGCATTTGCAATTTGATTTCAAATATCATCAAACTCTGAAAGTTAGTGTTTTCTCTTTTAAAGAGGCAAGCAATAACTATTAATAGAACCAAAGAACTAATTGAAGATACCTGGCATTGAAAGTGAGTAACAGTAGTGATTATGATTGGGAAGTATTACTAACACAAGTAAATATTAATTGGTTTGGAATACTTTAATTCTGCTTTTTCAGCATTATCCTTCCAATTGATGAAATCAAGATCTCATAAGCTTTCCTAAGTCCCTCTGTGAAATGCCATTTCACATGGCACCTCTGAGTTACCAATATACCAAGACCCATCTCTTTTTCTGTTTCATGATTCAAAGTGGTGTGCACCTGGATCAATATTATTTTATGTCAATGAGAACTAAGCCACATATCAATCTTCATGTTGAATAACTAGGTATCTAGAAGAGGTTGGGTAGGCTTCTCAAAACTAATGATTCAAAATCCTAGTCATTAGAATCTTACCAGAGGAATTTAAAAAGTATGAGTATCTGAGTTCTAGCCCAGATCAATTAAATCAGAATTTTTGGAGGGTGGGCAAGCTTCCGAATATTTTTACAAAGCTCTGCAGATGATGATAATGTGCAAACAGAATGAACCATGGCATCCTAAATCCAACTGAATCCAAAATAAATGTGCAGTAGAAAAAGCAGGTAAGTAGCCCCACCCAAAGGTAAATGCTGAATATGTTAAAGGAACAAAATGATAATTATCTGACTTTTATTATTTTAGTATAGAAAACATGGCTACATAAAAAAATTGAAAAATAGATGTAAACTATTCTAACTGTTGTATAAAAAGGATTAGCCAAGAAAGTGGAGTTTTTTTTCACCAGGAAAAGCAGAAAAAGATGCCATCAAAGTACAGACAGTCTACCAATTTCTACCATCAAGCCTTTAATTAACATTTGAACATGGAACAGGACTAACACAAAGTATGTATCATAGTGTGTAATAATCAGTGTTCTTTGATTCCTTTGAGAAGTAATTCAAAATCTACTTTGCCTACTTTAATTATATTTTTTGAATGTGCTCAATGCTTACATAGATATGGAGCTTTTGATGTTGATTCAACCTGTGAGTACTAGTTTTCTTCTCTATTGTTTTTACAATCTTATGTGTAAATATATGTGTGTGTATATATACTTTTTTCCTTCCAATATGTACATCTTCTTTAAAGAAATGTCTGTTTATGTCCTTTGCCCATTATTCAATGGGATTGTTTGTTTTTTACTTGTTAATTTGTTTAAGTTCCTTATAGATTCTGGATCTTAGACATTTGTCAGATGCATAGTTTGCACATCTTTTTTTCCCATTTTGTCATTCGTCTATATATTCTGTTGATAATCTCTTTTGCTGTGCAGAAGCTCTTTAGTTTAATTAGGTCCCACTTGTCAGTTTTTGTTTTTGCTGAAATTGCTTTTGGAGTTTTCTTCATGAAATATTTGCCTGTTCCTGTGTCCAGAATGGTATTGACTAGGTTTTCTTCTGAACTTTCTTTTAATAGTTTTAGGTTTTACATTGAAGTCTTTAATCCATCTTGAGTTGATTTTTGTATATGGTGAAAGGAAGTGGTCCAATTTCAATCTTCTGCATATGGCTTGCCAGTCATCCCAGCACCATTTATTGAATAACAAGTCCTTTCCCCATTGTTCATTTTTGTCCACTTTGTTGAAAGTCAGATGGCTATAGGTGTGTGGTTTCATCTCTGGGTTCTCTAGCCTGTTCCATTGGTCTATGTGTCCGTTTTTGTAACAGTACCATGCTGTTTTGGTTACTGTGGCCTTGTAGTATAGTTTGAAGTTGGATGGTGTGATGCCTATGGCTTTATTGTTTTTGCTTAGGGTTGCTCTGGCTATTCGGGCTTTTTTTGTTCCATATGAATTTTATTTTCTAATTCTGTGAAAAATATTAGTGATAGTTTGATAGGAATAGCGTTGAATCTGTAAATTACTTTGGGCAGTATGGTCATTTTAACAATATTGATACTTCCTATCCATGAGCATGGAATGTGTTTCCATTGGTTTGTGCCATTGCTGATTTCTTTCAGCAGTGTTGTGTAATTCTTATTGTAGAGACTCTAATCTATCTGGTTAGCTGTGCTTCTAGGTATTTTATTCTTTTTGTGGCTATTGTGAATGGAATTGCATTTTTTATTCAGTTCTCAGCTTGGATGTTATTGGTGTATAGAAATGCTACTAATTTTTATACATTGGTTTTGTATCCTGAAACTTTGCTGAAGTTATTTATCAGTCTAGGAACCTTTGAGCAGAGACTCTGGGGTTTTCTTGGCATAGAATCATATCATCTGCTAATAGAGATAGTTTGACTTCCTTTCTTTGTATTTGGATGCTTATTTTTCTCTTGCCTGATTGCTCTGGCATAGACTTCCAGTTCTATGTTGAATAAGAGTGGTGAGAATGGGCATCCTTGTCTTGTTCTGGTACTCAAGGGGAATGCTTCCGGCTTTTGCCCATTCAGTATGATGTTGGCTATGGGTTTGTCATAGATGGCTCTTAGTATTTTGAGGCATGTTCCTTTGAAGCCTAGTTTGTTGAGGGTTTTTAACATGAAGGGATGTAGAATTTTATCCAAAGCATTTTTTTCTGTCTATTGAGATAATCATGTGGTTCTTGTTTTTAGTTCTGTTTATATGATGAATCTATTTATTGATTTGCATATATTGAGGCAAACTTGCATCTCAGGAATAAAGCCTATTTGATCATAGAGGATTAGTTCTTTGATGTGCTGCTGAATTCAGTTTCCTAGTATTTTGTTGAGGACTTTTGCATCTATATTCATCAGGGATATTGGCCTGGAGTTTTCTTTTTTTGTTGTATCTCTGCCAAATTTGGGTATCAGAATTCTGCTGGCTTCGTAGAATGAGTTAGGGAGGAGGCCCTCCTCCTCAGGTTTTTGGAATAGTTTCAGTAGGAGTGGTACCAGCTCTTCTTTATATATATGGTATAATTTGGCTGTGAGTCATTCTGGTCCAGGGCTTTTTCTGGTTGGTAGACTTTTTATTACTGTTAAATTTCAGAACTCGCTATTGGTCTTTTCAGGTTTTCAATTTCTTCCTGGTTCAATCATCGGAGGTTGTATATTTCCAGAAATCTCTCCATTTCTTCTAGGGTTTCTAGTTCATGTGCATACAGTTGTTCATAATAGTCTTTAGGGCTTTTTTGTTTTTCTATGGGGTCAGTGATAATGTCCCCTTTGTCATTTCTGATTGTGTTTATTTGGATCTTCTCTTTTTTTTGTTTATTAGTCTAGCTAGCAGTCTATCAATCTTATTTATTCATTCAACAAAACAACTTTTGATTTTGTTGATCTTTTGCATGGTTTTTCACCTCTCCATTTAGTTCAGTTCAGCTCTGATTTTGGTTATTTCTTTTCTTCTACTAGCTTTGGGGTTGGTTTGATCTTGTTTTTCTAGTTCCTCTAGGAGTGATGTTAGGTTGTTAATTTGAGTTCTTTCTAACTTTTTGATGTGGGTGTTTAGCACTATAAACTTTCCTCTTAACACTGCTTTAGCTGTATGCCATAGGTTCTTTTGTCTTGTATCCTCATTTTTGTTAGTTTCAATGAACTTCTTGATTTCTGACTTAATTTTATTGTTTGCCCAAAAGTCATTCAGGAGCAGGTTGTTCAATTTCCATGGAATCGTATGGTTCTGAGATGTCATCTTGGTATTGATTTCTATTTTTACTGAGCCGTGGTCTGAGAGTGTGGTTTGTATGATTTTTAAAAAAATTTGTTGAGAATTGCTTTATGGATGAGTGTGAGGTCAATTTTAGAGTATGTGCTACGTGCAGATGAGAAGAATGTATACTCTGTTGTTGGTGGAGTGTTCTGTTGATGTCTTTTAGGTTCATTTGGTAAAGTGTCAAATTTAAGTCCTGAATATTTTTGTTAGTTTTCTGCCTTGATCTAATACTGTTAGTCGGGTGTTAAAGCCTCCCACTATTATTGTGTGGTTATCTAAGTCTCTTTGTAGGTCTCTAAGAACTTGTTTTATGAGTCTGGGTGCTCCAGTGTTAGGTGCATATGTATTTAGTGTTGTTGAGTCTTGTTGAATTGAACCCTTTATTATTATGTAATGCCCTTCTTTGTCCTTTTTGATCCCTGCTGGTTTAAAGTTTGTTTTGTCTGAAATCAGAATAACAACCCCTGCTCTTTTTTTGTTTTCTATTTGCTTGATAGACTTTTCTCCAACCCTTTTCTTTGAACCTTTGGTGTCATTGCATGTGAGATGAGTCTCTTGCAGATAGTATACAGTTGGGTCTTGCTTCTTTATCCAGCTTGCCATTCTGTGACTTTTAAATGGATATTTAGCACATTTACATTCAAGGTTAATATTGAAATGTGTGAATTTGATCCTGTCATTATGCTGTTAGCTAGTTGTTACATAGACTTGATGTGGTAGTTGCTTTATAATGTTAATGGCCTATGTACTTAAGTATGTTTTTGTGGTAGTCAGTAATGGTCTTTCATTTCCATATTTAGCACTCCCTTAAAGACGACTTGTAAAGTAGGTCTGGTAGTAACAAACTCTCAGCATTTGCTTGTCTGAAAAGGATTTGCTTATGAAGCTTAATTTGGCTGGATATTAAATTCCTGGTTGGAATTTCTTTTCTTCAAGAATGCAAAATATAGGCTCCCAATCTCTTCTGGATTATAGGGTTTCTGCCTGAAGGTCTGCTGTTAGCCTGATGAGGTTCCCTTGTAGGTGACCTGCCCCTTCTCTCTTGCTGCCTTTAATAATTTTTCTTTTATATCGACCTTGGAGAATCTGATGACTATGTGTCTTAGGGATGGTTATCTTGTATAGTATCTTAAGGGAGTCCTCTTAATGTCCCGAATTTGAATGTAGACCTCTCTAGTGAGGTTGAGGAAATTTTCATGGACAATATCCTCAAATATGTTTTCCAAGTTGGTTGCTCTCTCTCCTTTTCTTTCAGGGAGGCTAATGAGTTGTAGGTTTGTTTTTTACATAATCCCATATATCTAAGAGGTTTTGCTCATTCTTTTTTATTCTTTTTTCTTTATTTTTGTGTGACTGAGTGGATTAGAGGAACTGGTTTTTGAGCTCTCATATTCTTTCCTCAGTTTGGTCTATTCTGCTGTTAATACTTCTGATTATATTATAAAATTCTGGTAGTGAGTTTTTCAGCTCTATCAGATCAGTTTGGTTCTTTCTAAAAATGACTATTTCATCTTTCAGTTCCTGTATCATTTTACTGGATTCCTTAGTTTCCTTGGATTGGGATTCACATTTCTTCTGAATCTCAGTGACCTTCATTGCCATACAGATTTTGAATTCTGTGCCTCTCATTTCGACCATTTCAGCTTGGTTAAGAACCACTGCTGGAAAGCTAGTGCAATAATTTGGAGATAAGACGACACTCTGGCTTTTTGAGTTGCCAGAGTTCTTGTGCTGGTTCTTTCTCATCTGTGTGGGCTGATATTCCTTTAATTTTTGAAGATGTCCTTTGGATGGGGCTTTTTGCTGTTACACTCTTTGATGCCTTTGAGGATTTGACTGTAGTATAAGTTAGGCTCCATTGACTGGCTTCATTTCTGGATGATTTCAGGGGGCCAAGGCTCAACCTAACACTTTTGGGCTGTGTGCTCTAATGCTAGAGGCCCGGGACCAGGCTCATGGCTTTGTTTGGTGGCCATGAGACTTGTCCCGGCCCCCCAGGATTAGAGCACACAGCCCAAAAGTGTTGAGCTGTTAAGCACCTGCTGTGCTGGAAGGTCCTAGGTATTTATTGCTGGTTTGCTGGCAACAATACTGCAATGGTGGGGTGCTAGCAAAAGTGCTTTGTTGAGGTGGTGACAGTGGGGTCTGCATGCATGCATGTGCAGGCACCAGTGGGGTAGCGGGGTCCTCATGCATATGTGTGCCTTGCAAAGTGATAGGGAAAGCTGCAGGTGAGTACACACTAGCAAAGTGGTGGTGGGGAGGTCCATCTGCAGAAGCTTTCCAGTGGTTAGATGGGGTCTGCCAACAAAGAAGCTATGGTGGCAGCCACTGGGAAGCACCCTACTTGGGCATCCAAAGCTGTGCTGCAAGCAGGCACGGTGAGGGAGGGAACCCAGGATAGGCCAGCAGACAGGGTGTGCTTAGATTATCCTGGACCCATCTCATAAGCAAGACAGATCCAACAGTCAACAAAAGCCAAAACCACTTAGAGGAGTGTGGCGAGCCTTGGGGGCTCATATTTCACAGCAGCTTTTCCCACATCAAACCTTCTGGGCTCCTCGCAGACTAGAGTCCTGTCCCTGACAACTCTCCAAACAGATCTCCCTGTGAGCTCAAATGTCTGTGGGGGTTGTGAGGTCTCCTGCAGCTGGGATTCTAGAGGTCTATTGTGAGAGTGGGCCACTCCTTGCCTGTTTAACTCACCCCTTCCCCAGGGTCTGCACCCTCCCTCTGTCCATTCTCAATACCTTCCTTCTGAAGATCTGCTTGGAGTGTGCCGATTTTGTTGGTCTGGTCTCTCGGTGGGAAAGCTCCTCTTAGCTGCATCTAGTCAGCCATCTTGGCTCTTCTCCAATATATTTAATGACTCTTGTATTCCTCCCCCAAATTTTATGGACCTATGTAGGTATTTACATATTGTACGAAAGAAATAAAAATGTTCAATGGCTTAATCAGGATGTTTTATTTGGAGCTAATTTGGTTGGAAGAAACAGAGACCCATTCAGACTAGCTTAAAGGAAGGGAAGTATTATAAGGAAGGAAATCACACAAACATGGAAGTTATGCTGTGACCCTACTGAGACAGAACTGTGGATGAAACAAAGATGCTAAATGGACTACAGCAGCAGTTCTCACTACAGCTTCCTTGTTCATGTGAGTCAGCTTCATTCTGTGGGTCTGTTCATCTCTGATCATTTTGACCTCCAATTGCCCAGCCCAGGGTTTAATCTAGTCTTTAGAAAAAATAATCAAACAAACAGTTTGTTTTTCCCGTACTCTCACACCCCACAACCCAGCTAGCATTCTCTACTTTAAAACAATTCTGACACTATCTTCCTGGACATAGCATCAGATCCCACAGGTTGAAGGCTCATTTCTACAAGCCTGCCCCTCACTTCAGATGTCAATTGCAAGCCCCAGATTGTTTTCCCTGTGCTTCTCATTGAAGGCAATAAATCGAGGCTACCACCGTCCCCACCTTGGGTTTGAATAATTTGCTAGAGCAGCTGACAGAACTCAAGGAAACACTTAAAATTTACTGGTTTATTTTAAGGATATTACAAAGGATACTGATGAGCACCAGATGGAGGAGATGCATAGGAAAGGCAAGTGGGAAGTGATGCAGAGTTTCATGCTCTCTCTGGGTGCACTACCTTCCAGGAACCTCCACGTGTCCAACTATCTGGAAGCTCTCTGAATACAGTCATTTTGGGCTTTTATGAACACTTAACTATGTAAGCATGATTGATTAAGTCACTAGGTATTGGTGATCAATACTTTCAGCCCCTCTCACCTCCCCAGAAGTTGAGGGGTAGGGCTGAAAAGTCTCAACTCTCTAATCATGCCTCGGTCTTTCTTGTGACTAGCCCCTATCCTGAAGTTACCTAGGGACTGCCAGCCATCTGTCAACTCATGAGCACACAAAAATATACATCACTTTGGAAATTCCAAGGATTTTAGGATTTTTATGTTGGGAAACAGGGACAAAGATCAAAGATATATTTTATAATACTACAGCTGCTTTTGACTCACAGAATCCCTAGTAGTTTGATAAACTGCGAAGTTGTTTAAAGTTGAAAAGTCATGTTCTAAACCATGACTATTTACGACAGCAGAGGCTATGAAGAGAGGGGCAGACTCATTTTGAATTTCTGTGAGATCCAGGCAATGAGTGGCAGCTCCAGGATAGGGGGCCAACAGAAAAGGTAGCTACCTAGTTTTTTCATATGTGAAAGAATCCTTCTGGATGTAGGAAAAAGCCTGAACATGACGTTAGAAGATCTGTGTTCAACATATAGTTCTTTTATTAACTAGCTGTATTCTGCATAATCTTGGGAAATGACTTCATATCAGTTTCCTCTCTATAAAATGTGGCAGGAATATATATCCCAGAGGATTATTTTAAGACTTAAATAAATAAAAGGTTGAAAATGTTTAATAAAACTAAAAGCATTAGACAAAAGCAAGGGAATAATTACTTCAAAGTACCAGAACGTCAGGTTAATTGTTGCTGCAAAGAAAGCAATGCAAAATAACTGCTTATGTATAAATATCAGCTTCACTGTCCATTTTCACACATGCATCCAATATATTATTGCATCACCTCATGCGTGAGTTTTCCAGAACACTGAAGAATAAAGTTAACTACTTCCACATGAAGTAGGGGGACCATATGGATGATTCTAGCTTCATTATTGTTGAGGAAAACCTGAGGTTTGGAAAGGCTAATTTACACTGGTAGTAAATTATAGACCAGGATTTGAAGTCATTCGATCATGAAAGCTATAACTTTTTATTTAGAGTAAAGGGTACCAGTCTCTTTAATGGTTGTCTTTCCATCTATGCTACTACCTCTTCCCTTGTCTTCCTGAGGTAAAAATCAGGGAGTATGAACCACGTGAAATCTCACTACATCTAACCAACTCAGGAGTCATTACAATACAGCCTAGGCCAAATGAGGTTCATCGTTTGTGTTGGCTAAAGATGGTTTTTACATATGAGTATGGTTTTATTTACTTTTTCTTTTTCTTTTCTTTTTTTTTGACAGGATCTCATGCTGTTACCCAAGCTGGAGTGCTGGGCACGATCTTGGCTCATTACAACCTTGACCTTGCAGGCTCAAGCGATCCTCTGGCCTCAGTCTCCTGAGTAGCTAGGACCAAAAGTGTGAGCCACCATGCCTGGCTAATTTTTGTATTTTTTGTAGAGACAGCTTTCGACATGTTGTCCAGGCTGATCTTGAACGCCTGGGCTCAAGTGATCCCCCTGCATTGGCCTCCCTAAGTGCTGGGATTACAGGCATCAGCCACCATGACTGGCCAATAATGTTTTTTATATTTTTAAATGAACAAAAATTAAAGTAAAATACATTTTGAGACATGTGAAAATTATATGAAATTCAGATTTCAGTGTCCATGAATGAATTTTTATTAGAACACAGCTACACTGATTTCTCTATGTTTCGCCTATTGCTGCTTCCATGTTACAACAGCAGAGTTGAGCAGACAGAGAAGGTACGATGAGTGAAATCTGAAATATTTGCTACCTGGCTTTTCACAGACCAAGTTTGCAAATCCCTAATCTAAATCATAGGTTTTTTAAAAAATTTTTTTTGGTGGGGGAGGAGCCAAGATGGCCGAATAGGAACAGCTCCGGTACACAGCTCCCAGCGTGAGCGACGCAGAAGACGGGTGATTTCTGCATTTCCATCTGAGGTACCGGGTTCATCTCACTAGGGAGTGCCAGACAGTGGGCGCAGGTCAGTGGGTGCGCGCACCGTGCGCGAGCCGAAGCAGGGCGAGGCATTGCCTCACTTGGGAAGCGCAAGGGGTCAGGGAGTTCCCTTTCTGAGTCAAAGAAAGGGGTGACGGACGCACCTGGAAAATCAGGTCACTCCCACCCGAATATTGCGCTTTTTGGACCTGCTTAAAAAACGGCGCACCACGAGATTATATCCCGCACCTGGCTCGGAGGGTCCTACACCCATGGAGTCTCGCTGATTGCTAGCACAGCAGTCTGAGATCAAACTGCAAGGCGGCAGCGAGGCTGGGGGAGGGGCGCCCGCCATTGCCCAGGCTTGCTTAGGTAAACAAAGCAGCCCGGAAGCTCCAACTGGGTGGAGCCCACCACAGCTCAAGGAGGCCTGCCTGCCTCTGTAGGCTCCACCTCTGGGGGAAGGGCACAGACAAACAAAAAGACAGCAGTAACCTCTGCAGACTTAAATGTCACTGTCTGACAGCTTGGAAGAGAGCAGTGGTTCTCCCAGCACGCAGCTGGAGATCTGAGAACGGGCAGACTGCCTCCTCAAGTGGGTCCCTGACCCCTGACCCCCGAGCAGCCTAACTGGGAGGCACTCCCCAGCAGGGGCACACTGACACCTCACACGGCAGGGTATTCCAACAGACCTGCAGCTGAGGGTCCTGTCTGTTAGAAGGAAAACTAACAAACAGAAAGGACATCCACACCAAAAACCCATCTGTACATCACCATCATCAAAGACCAAAAGTAGATAAAACCACAAAGATGGGGAAAAAACAGAACAGAAAAACTGGAAACTCTAAAACGCAGAGCGCCTCTCCTCCTCCAAAGGAACGCAGTTCCTCACCAGCAACGGAACAAAGCTGGATGGAGAATGACTTTGACGAGCTGAGAGAAGAAGGCTTCAGACGATCAAATTACTCTGAACTATGGGAGGACATTCAAACCAAAGGCAAAGAAGTTGAAAACTTTGAAAAAAATTTAGAAGAATGTATAACTAGAATAACCAATACAGAGAAGTGCTTAAAGGAACTGATGGAGCTGAAAACCAAGGCTCGAGAACTACGTGAAGAATGCAGAAGCCACAGGAGCCGATGTGATCAACTGGAAGAAAGGGTATCAGCGATGGAAGATGAAATGAATGAAATGAAGCGAGAAAGGAAGTTTAGAGAAAAAAGAATAAAAAGAAATGAGCAAAGCCTCCAAGAAATATGGGACTATGTGAAAAGACCAAATCTACGTCTGATTGGTGTACCTGAAAGTGATGGGGAGAATGGAAACAAGTTGGAAAACACTCTGCAGGATATTATCCAGGAGAACTTCCCTAATCTAGCAAGGCAGGCCAACGTTCAGATTCAGGAAATACAGAGAATGCCACAAAGATACTCCTCGAGAAGAGCAACTCCAAGACACATAATTGTCAGATTCACCAAAGTTGAAATGAAGGAAAAAATGTTAAGGGCAGCCAGAGAGAAAGGTCGGGTTACCCTCAAAAGGAAGCCCATCATACTAACAGCAGATCTCTCGGCAGAAACCCTACAAGCCAGAAGAGAGTGGGGGCCAATATTCAACATTCTTAAAGAAAAGAATTTTCAACCCAGAATTTCATATCCAGCCAAACTAAGCTTCATAAGTGAAGGAGAAATAAAATACTTTACAGACAAGCAAATGCTGAGAGATTTTGTCACCACCAGGCCTGCCCTAAAAGAGCTCCTGAAGGAAGCGCTAAACATGGAAAGGAACAACCGTTACCAGCCGCTGCAAAATCATGCCAAAATGTAAAGACCATCGAGACTAGGAAGAAACTGCATCAACCAACGAGCAAAATCACCAGCTAACATCATAATGACAGGATCAAATTCACACATAACAATATTAACTTTAAATGTAAATGGACTAAATGCTCCAATTAAAAGACACAGACTGGCAAATTGGATAAAGAGTCAAGACCCATCAGTGTGCTGTATTCAGGAAACCCATCTCACGTACAGAGACACACATATGCTCAAAATAAAAGGATGGAGGAAGATCTACCAAGCAAATGGAAAACAAAAAAAGGCAGGGGTTGCAATCCTAGTCTCTGATAAAACAGACTTTAAACCAACAAAGATCAAAAGAGACAAAGAAGGCCATTACATAATGGTAAAGGGATCAATTCAACAAGAAGAGCTAACTATCCTAAATATATATGCACTGAATACAGGAGCACCCAGATTCATAAAGCAAGTCCTGAGTGACCTACAAAGAGACTTAGACTCCCACACATTAATAATGGGAGACTTTAACACCCCACTGTCAACATTAGACAGATCAACGAGACAGAAAGTCAACAAGGATACCTAGGAATTGAACTCAGCTCTGCACCAAGCGGACCTAATAGACATCTACAGAACTCTCCACCCCAAATCAACAGAATATACATTTTTTTCAGCACCACACCACACCTATTCCAAAATTGACCACATACTGGGAAGTAAAGCTCTCCTCAGCAAATGTAAAAGAACAGAGATTATAACAAACTATCTCTCAGACCACAGTGCAATCAAACTAGAACTCAGGATTAAGAATCTCACTCAAAACTGCTCAACTACATGGAAACTGAACAACCTGCTCCTGAATGACTACTGGTTACATAACGCAATGAAAGCAGAAATAAAGATGTTCTTTGAAACCAACGAGAACAAAGACACAACATACCAGAATCTCTGGGACGTATTCAAAGCAGTGTGTAGAGGGAAATTTATAGCACTAAATGCCCACAAGAGAAAGCAGGAAAGATCCAAAATTGACACCCTAACATCACAATTAAAAGAACTAGAAAAGCAAGAGCAAACACATTCAAAAGCTAGCAGAAGGCAAGAAATAACTAAAATCAGAGCAGAACTGAAGGAAATAGAGACACAAAAAACCCTTCAAAAAATTAATGAATCCAGGAGCTGTTTTTTGAAAGGATCAACAAAATTGATAGACCACTAGCAAGACTAATAAAGAAAAAAAGAGAGAAGAATCAAATAGACACAATAAAAAAATGATAAAGGGGATATCACCACCGATCCCACAGAAATACAAACTACCATCAGAGAATACTACAAACACCTCTACACAAATAAACTAGAAAATCTAGAAGAAATGGATAAATTCCTCGACACATACACTCTCCCAAGACTAAACCAGGAAGAAGTTGAATCTCTGAATAGACCAATAATAGGAGCTGAAATTGTGGCAATAATCAATAGTTTACCAACCAAAAAGAGTCCAGGACCAGATGGATTCACAGCCGAATTCTACCAGAGGTACAAGGAGGAACTGGTACCATTCCTTCTGAAACTATTCCAATCAATAGAAAATGAGGGAATCCTCCCTAACTCATTTTATGAGGCCAGCATCATTCTGATACCAAAGCCGGGCAGAGACACAACCAGAAAAGAGAATTTTAGACCAATATCCTTGATGAACATTGATGCAAAAATCCTCAATAAAATACTGGCAAAACAAATCCAGCAGCACATCAAAAAGCTTATCCACCATGATCAAGTGGGCTTCATCCCTGGGATGCAAGGCTGGTTCAATATACGCAAATCAATAAATGTAATCCAGCATATAAACAGAGCCAAAGACAAAAACCACATGATTATCTCAATAGATGCAGAAAAAGCCTTTGACAAAATTCAACAGCACTTCATGCTAAAAACTCTCAATAAATTAGGTATTGATGGGACGTATTTCAAAATAATAAGAACTGTCTATGACAAACCCACAGCCAATATCATACTGAATGGGCAAAAACTGGAAGCATTCTCTTTGAAAACTGGCACAAGACAGGGATGTCCTCTCTCACCACTCCTATTCAACATAGTGTTGGAAGTTCTGGCCAGGGCAATTAGGCAGGAGAAGGAAATAAAGGGTATTCAATTAGGAAAAGAGGAAGTCAAATTGTCCCTGTTTGCAGATGACATGATTGTATATCTAGAAAACCCCATTGTCTCAGCCCAAAATCTCCTTAAGCTGATAAGCAACTTCAGCAAAGTCTCAGGATACAAAATCAATGTACAAAAATCACAAGCATTCTTATACACCAACAACAGACAAACAGAGAGCCAAATCATGAGTGAACTCCCATTCACAATTGCTTCAAAGAGAATAAAATACCTAGGAATCCAACTTACAAGGGATGTGAAGGACCTCTTCAAGGAGAACTACAAACCACTGCTCAAGGAAATAAAAGAGGATACAAACAAATGGAAGAACATTCCACGCTCATGGGTAGGAAGAATCAATATCATGAAAATGGCCATACTGCCCAAGGTAATTTACAGATTCAATGCCATCCCCATCAAGCTACCAATGACTTTCTTCACAGAATTGGAAAAAACTACTTTAAAGTTCATATGGAACCAAAAAAGAGCCCGCATCGCCAAGGCAATCCTAAGCCAAAAGAACAAAGCTGGAGGCATCACACTACGTGACTTCAAACTATACTACAAGGCTACGGTAACCAAAACAGCATGGTACTGGTACCAAAACAGAGATATAGATCAATGGAACAGAACAGAGCCCTCAGAAATAATGCCGCATATCTACAACTATCTGATCTTTGAAATACCTGAGAAAAACAAGCAATTGGGAAAGGATTCCCTATTTAATAAATGGTGCTGGGAAAACTGGCTAGCCATATGTAGAAAGCTGAAACTGGATCCCTTCCTTACACCTTATACAAAAATCAATTCAAGATGGATTAAAGACTTAAACATTAGACCTAAAACCATAAAAACCCTAGAAGAAAACCTAGGCATTACCATTCAGGACATAGGCATGGGCAAGGACTTCATGTCCAAAACACCAAAAGCAATGGCAACAAAAGACAAAATTCACAAATGGGATCTAATTAAACTAAAGAGCTTCTGCACAGCAAAAGAAACTACCATCAGAGTGAACAGGCAACCTACAAAATGGGAGAAAATTTTCGCAACCTACTCATCTGACAAAGGGCTAATATCCAGAATCTACAATGAACTCAAACAAATTTACAAGAAAAAAACAAACAACCCCATCAAAAAGTGGGCAAGGACATGAACAGACACTTCTCAAAAGAAGACATTTATGCAGCCAAACACATGAAAAAATGCTCATCATCACTGGCCATCAGAGAAATGCAAATCAAAACCACAATGAGATACCATCTCACACCAGTTAGAATGGCGATCATTAAAAAGTCAGGAAACAACAGGTGCTGGAGAGGATGTGGAGAAATAGGAACACTTTGACACTGTTGGTGGGACTGTAAACTAGTTCAACCATTGTGGAAGTCAGTGTGGAGATTCCTCAGGGATCTAGAACTAGAAATACCATTTGACCCAGCCATCCCATTACTGGGTGTATACCCAAAGGACTATAAATCATGCTGCTATAAAGACACATGCACACGTATGTTTATTGCGGCATTATTCACAATAGCAAAGACTTGGAACCAACCCAAATGTCCACCAATGATAGACTGGATTAAGAAAATGTGGCACGTATACACCATGGAATACTATGCAGCCATAAAAAATGATGAGTTCATGTCCTTTGTAGGGACATGGATGAAATTGGAAATCATCATTCTCAGTAAACTATCGCAAGAACAAAAAACCAAACACCGCATATTCTCACTCATAGGTGAGAATTGAACAATGAGGTCACATGGACACAGGAAGGAGAATATCACACACTCTGGGGCCTGTGGTGGGGTGGGGGGAGGGGGGAGGGATAGCATTGGGAGATATACCTAATGCTAGATGACGAGTTAGTGGGTGCAGCGCACCAGCATGGCACATATATACATATGTAACTAACCTGCACATTGTGCACATGTACCCTAAAACTTAAAGTATAAAAAATAAATAAATAAATAAATAAAAAAGAAAACCCATTAAAAAAAAAAGAAAAAGACAAAAAAAATTTTTTAAACTTAATAAGAGAATGGTGTTTCATCACTTGTTATCAAAAGGATCTAAATTGAAAACGAATTGAAGTGGGGAAGTATCCCTCTATTGTGAACATAAAACTTAACACACAGTTTCTGGAGACAATTTGGCTACATATATAAAAATCCCTTGTAAATCTGGATACCATTTGACGCAACAATTTCATTTCTAGAAAATTTTGCAAAGGAAATAACTACAAATCTTTGTGGGGATATGGGAAAACAGAACCACTTATAATAGTGAAAATTTGAAAACAGACCTGCCGGTTGCGGTGGCTCAAGCCTGTAATCCCAGCACTTTGGGAGGCTGAGGCGGGCGGACCATGAGGTCAGGAGATCGAGACCATTCTGGCTAACACGATGAAACCC
This sequence comes from Homo sapiens, assembly GCF_000001405.40. Lineage (NCBI taxonomy): Eukaryota > Metazoa > Chordata > Mammalia > Primates > Hominidae > Homo > Homo sapiens. The sequence continues at coordinate 209,745,733 of NC_000002.12, read as the reverse complement.
CGTCTCTGCTAAAAATACTAAAAATTAGCCAGCCGTGGTGGCTGGCGCCTATAGTCCCAGCTACTTGGGAGGCTGAGGCAGGAGAATGGCGCGAACCCGGGAGGCGGAGCTTGCAGTGAGCGGAGATCGTGCCACTGCCCTCCAGCCTCGGGGACAGAGCAAGAGTAAGACTCTGTCTCAAAAACAAACAAACAAACAAACAAAAAAAACCAGACCAAAGGCTCAAACATAAATAATTAATTCAGCTATAATATATTCACAAAACGAAATGCAATAAAGTCATAAAAAATAATGCAAACCTATATTGAATTGAAAAGATGTTCATAATACAAGTTTAATGAACAGCATGGTACAAAAAATATGATAGTATATTCTTCTGATAAAATTTTATGCTGTGATATTTTATTAAACATAAAAATATAAAGAGTGGAACAGCAGAAAAATGTAGCACTTACAATTACGTACTTTATTAGACAACTCTACACATTATTTTATTTTAAATTCACAACAAGCCAGTTGCAGTGGCTCATGCCTGTAATTCCAGGGCTTTGGGAGGCCGAGGTGGGAGAATTGCTTGAGGCCAGGAGTTTGAGACCAGACTGGGCAACAAAATGAGACCTTATCTCTACAAAAAATAAAATTTTAAAAAATTAGCTGGGTGTGGTGGTGCATGCCTGTAATCTGAGCTGCTTGAGAGACTGAAGCAGGAGGATGACTTGAGTCTAGGAATTCGAGGCTGCAGTAAGTCATTATCGTGTCACTGTGCTCCAGTCTGGGTGACAGAGCAAGACTCTGTCTCTAAAAATAAAATAAAATAATAAAATAAAATTTCACAACAATCCTGTGAGCTATTCACTCACTTTTTAAAAAACAAAAATTAATTTAATTTAATTTTACTTTCTGGGATACATGTGCAGGACATGCAGGTTTGTTACATAGGTAAACATTTGCCATGGTGGTTTGCTGCACCTAACCACCCATCACCTACCTATTAAGTCCAGCATGCATTAGCTATTTATTCTGATACTCTCCTTCCCCCTACCCCCTCTGACAGGTCCCAGTGTGTGTTGTTGCCCTCCCTGTGTCCATGTGTTCTCATTGTTCAGCTGCCACTTATAAGTGAGAACATGTGGTGTTTGATTTTCTGTTCCTGCATTAGTTTGCTGAGGATAATGGCTTCTAACTCCACCCATGCCCCTGAAAAGGACATGATCTCGTTCCTTTTTATGGCTGCATAGTATTCCATGTTGTATATGTACCACACTTTCTTTATCCAGACTATCATTGATGGGCATTTGGGTTGATTCCATGTCTTTGCTATTGTGAATTTCACCCACTTTTTAATTGTATTTTGTGTGTGTGTGTGTGTGTGTGTGTACCTAGCAGTGTCACCATTTTTCAAGTATAGAAACTGAGGCACAGAAAAAAGTAAGTAAGCTGCCTAAAGTTACATAACCAAGAAACAGTAAGGTCAGGATTAGAAAGTTAATGTTCTTTGTATGCTACTACACAGTTTCTCCTTTCAGGATTAGGATGAGGGTTTTATTTTAATAAAAATATAACTGCAAATTTCAATAAATTCTCAAGTATAAGAAGCTAATGCCCTTTTTATAATTAGCATTTCTTTTTTTGATTTATTTAAAGTTCTACATATTCTTTTTTTTAAATTTTTTTAAATTCTTTTTTCTTTATATATATATATTATTATACTTTAAGTTCTAGGGCACATGTGCACAACGTGCAGGTTTGTTACATATGTATACATGTGCCATGTTGGTGTGCTGCACCCATCAACTCGTCATGTACATTAGGTAATGCTATCCCTCCCCCCTCCCCCCAGCCCACACGGACATGGATGAAGATGGGTTTTCAATCACAAGGATTCATGTACTTCTCAGTCATTTATTATCTGTGTGATAGTGGACAAGTTATTTAGCCTTATGGGTTCTCATTTCTTTAACATGAAATGAATATAAAAATATTTATCTCATAGAGTTATTGTGAAGTTTAAAAGAGGCAATGTATCAAAACATTTAAGGCATATTTGAAAAGCAATACATTTTGATTCCATTAAATACATTATAAGCAGTAAGAACCATAATTTACCATTATGTATCTGTATATAAATTGCTGAAAATACCAAACAAGTGACTGTTATTTAATTCTGCTTCTTAAAACTGATTATTCTCTGTTTATAACCTCTAATTTACATAAGTGATCATTCCCGGGTTTAATCTTTTTCCAAGGAATGATCCTAAAGATCATTTTTCCCAAAGGAAAAGACTGATTTATCACACTCATACCAACCAGTCCATAAGATCTTGCTGTAAAACTCATATAGTTATTGAATTACAGACGAGCACACTTACCCAACCTGTGTAAGAATCACATTTGTCTGCTGAAGAAAATATGTTAGCTGGCAAGAACAACATACATTTCTTCAAAAGGAGAATTTGGGAAGTTTCCTTTCTAGTAGTGTTAGGACCATAGCTTAGTGAGTTAGGAAAATTCCACCACGCAAGGAATAGGTGTTATGGGTTCCTCTTAGGTGTCATGTCTGGGGAATTGGAAATAGCTGAGCACGAGCTTTGCTATTGGTTCAAACACAAGAAAGAAGATTCGGCCAAGTGTCTTGCATAGAGAATAATGGCCCTGGTGATTGAAACACCTTTGCAACAATAAAGATATCTCATCTTGTTTCCAACTGCTGTATCATAGTTGGTAATTTGAATTTATTTTTCCAGTGTGTAGATTTTTTTGCTAATTTTTCTTCAATTTTTACTTTATTCACTTAGATTACAGATAGGCTCTTCCTCTCAAATTAATGTAATTAATTGTATTAAACTTTGATGGTTCTCTAGAGAAAATTGGTGAGAAATTTTGCTGTAAAAAGGGAAGGAATGACATTGGATGTGGATTTGATGATCTGGAAGAAGTATTCTACTTGCTTTCCTATATTTAAACTATGTTCTAAAAAGACTGGAAGTCACCAATTTATACGTTACTATTTAATGTGATTTTTGTTGTTATATTACTGCAAAATTTCCTTCCAAGACAAAGGTAAATGCCCCATCTCCTCTTGAAGTTTTCCTGCTTTGCACAGATTGTGTTGCTGTGAATGTGCTTCTCTAATCAAGCACGATTGATCCTCTGGCACCAGGAATGAAAGCACAGGTGATGTAACTGGGAGGAATTACAAGTTCTCTCTAAGAGCTAGCCTGCAAACCCAGTCTCCTCCTCTCCTTTTCATGCTGGAGTTGTCAGAAACACTTCCCACTAAGAAATTAAAAACTAACTTAATTTTAGAATGGGCACGTCATAAAATGTAGATTATTTAGAGTATGCTCACATGCATGTATATGAGAGCATAGGAATTGGATCAAAATAGAAAATAATTCAAAGGCAGTTTTATGACTGCATGATTGTATAATACATTCAAAGGTATCTGGAGAAGAAATCACAATAAATTATGTAACCAGATTTAATCTACTGTGGTTTTCCAGACTGGCCCTGAAGGTAGATTTTAAATTCATCAACTCATCATCCACTATTCTTGTAATGTATAAATGAGAAAACTCAATAATTGTCATTTGAAAATCACAGATCACGCTGGAAATCTAACTGGCTGAAATACAAGGACAAAAGCAAGGTTACCATCACCATTTTTTTGTGGTTGGAATGGTTGGTTAAAGGATTTAATCTAAGATAAATGGATGAATAAGTAATGAAACAGACTTTAATCACTTTATTTTAACCCAATATTCCATTGAGTTGAAGCTGCTTTATATACTTACCAAAGCCTGTTTACCCTTTTGAAAAATTGTATTTGTACTTTTCTCATTATACAAGCAAATAAATCAATTTATATTCATTTAGAAGCCAGTGTCAGTTAGCATCCATGGCCAGCAAGATAGCAAATCCAGGTGGTTGTGAACAAATAAAAGTAGAAGCTGGCTTTCAGAAACAGCTGTTGGAGTGACAGGGTGAGATGCCAAAGCACAGAGAGATGCCTTTTTATCATGGATGATGTTGACAAACATCGTGTGCCCCGGATGAAAGGCATTTCTAGAGGAAAATATTTGTATTCAAAGTTCCCCAAGCTATGAGTGGGGAAATTATTTTCAGATGGTCCTTCAGGAGCTGGAGAAGATATTGCAATTTGCCACTGTTATATAAAAGTGAAATGAAGAAGTACAGCACAAGAAACCTTGTTCTATCTTCAGCATCCACCATCATTCTGCAAAGTCACTGAGCGATCCATTGTAAAATGCTTCTCCTTTCTCATATTTGGCAGATGCAGATTTTAACCCTGTGCAACATCTACTCTTGTGGCTTCTGTAACATTTTCTCCTAGGAACATCCCTCCAATGACTAGTCCTTAGTTTTTCTGATCTCCCTTTTTCTCTACTTGTCACTTCAATATGAAAACTACACTAAGTCTCATTTTGGACTTTTTAATTCTCTCCATTGTGAGCTCAGCCTGAATGAGTTCATCTATTCCCTAGAACTGGCATCATTTATATGTTATAGGAATTTCGGAAATTCCTATAAGATATTATGAACTTTGGCAAATGAGAACATTAGAATAAATGTCAAATATTTTGGGATCACAGAAAATTAATAACTTTGTTCTGGCCACTGCTGACTTAGGATGTTATTCCTCGATGATCAGATGTTTTGTCCCTAAACAAAATAAATGGAGCTAAGGTAAATATATACCTGGTGTCTAATGAGTGAATATCAAGGACAAATAAAGCAATTAGAAGAAAAAGATGCTGTCTCAATTTCAGATGTAACTGTCTTGGGACAATAGACCAATTAATAGAGCCAACACTGATGATGACAGAGGAGGAGTTGAAGATAAAATAAGCCCACCGATGTGATGTAGCCTGCATCCTACTAGCTCAGATAATGTTTTGAAACTCAATTCCTCTTTCTCTAAAGCAAGCAACATCTACAGGGACCCAGAACAGACAAGTCATAGAACTGGGGTGGTCATCAACATTGCATCCATGGTCAACTGGACCCATCCTAAGGGATAACACCTGAATTTGGAGAGAATAATGCCCTGGGATGAAGGATAGGAGATGCAAGTTGTAGCTATTATTTCCTATTTTATGCATGGCATCTGATAAATAGGACTCTTTCTATTTCAAAAGCCAAGCTTTTGCAATGCTCATTACTGATCAATATGGTTGGGTTAGAGATGATCAGGGCAAGCCACTCCTCTTACTCTTATTTAATCCCCCCTGGCTTGGGACCATCCAGAATCTGGAGTGATAAGAATATAACCATCATTGGTCATGATCCCACTTCTAAGATCCAGATGGGAATTAATAATTTCCTGAGATTTCTTTCTTTCATTCTTTCTGGATAATCTACTGACACCTCATCTTCTTCACCTGCATACTGCATCTTAGTTAATTGCATTATCATCTACTTGATTATGCTAGTGAAAAGCCTCAGGTTTATTTCTTTCTCGACTAACCAACTCATATACCATGGTCACTAAGTTCTGTCACTTTTATTTCAAAAGTGTGTTAAGCCTGTTCCTTCCTCCATGCCACCACTGCTACTCCCTGGCCCAGACTCTAGTGATCTCTCCCTGGTTTCCCCAACTAACAACCCTTCTTTTAAGTACAATCTCAACATTGTTGCCAAAATTACTCTTTTAAAATTCAGATCTGATCATGTCATTTCTCCTCAAAACCTTTAATGACTCTGCGAGCTTACACAATAGAAATCAAGCGTTTGAATATGATAGAAGATCCAAAATCTGTCTCCAAGCTCCTTTTTTTTCCTGGCCTCCTTTCTTTGGACCTACCTCTACTCCAGATATACCAGGTGATTTTTATGTTCAGAATGTGTCCTTCACTCATGCCTTTATGCCTTTTCTTTCGAAGTCCCTTCTCATCCCCTTGTCCTTTCTGACTCCCCTTTTGTCCCCTGGATCTTTGTGTGACTTAAGCTTCCACCACTTATCACTGTTTATCTTGGGCTACGGTTAGTTGTGTATGATCTGCTTCCCTCAACTTGGCTCTTAATGCCTTGAGGGCACTAGAGCAGATGAAGATGTAGCATTCAATGAGTGTTTATGGTTTTTGTTTGTTTTCTGTTTAAAAGGGTCCAGACATTATGAGACCACTCTAGCCAAAAGTGTGGAAAAGACAACTGCAACAAGATGTTAAAACAAGATTCTTTTCATGTGAGAATCTACTGAGGGGCTGGCCTGATTAACATCAGGTCACAAAAAAGAGAGTGAAAAATTGCCCCTTCCCATGTGCAGATGGACACAGGAAATGATATCAAAGATTTGTTTCTATCAGATAAAAGACACAAAAATGGGATAGAGTGGGATTTGGTGAGAGGCGACTGATAAGGGATTCCCCACGTTGTCTGTGGGTCACACTTCTCTTTTGGGGGAGGCGTAGGGGGGTGCTACCTTCCTATCCTAAGTTTAATAAAGTGATTTAAAAGGACTACTTGGAAAGCATTGAAATGTGTTCCGTGGAGTTGGGGGACACGGATGTTGGTAGACACGAGATTTTTCAGGCTGGAGAAATCTAGTAGCTAGAGGAAGCTGATGGCTCTGACTGGCAGGTCTGAAGAGTGCTGCTGAGTTGGGATCTGCCTCCAATAGAATTATTAGGGTAGGTAACACATGCAGGTCAGGTGAGAGATAGGTGGGAGAGAGAGCTGGAGACAGACACCTTGGGTCCTGTCCAGTAGGACTGCCTAGATGGGCTAGATGCCTCAGTAGAAAGAGGCTGAAGGTCTATCACTGGATGCCCAATGAAAAAGAGAAAAGATCTGCTTAAGCCACCACAGTCATGGAGTGCACCACCCCCAATCAAGTAAGACCTCTCCTTACTTTTTCTTACTCCCCAAGTTTTATCTCTGAAGGGAGCAAACCCAGCACCTGTCAGCAGGGGAAAAAAGTGAGTCCATAGAGAAGGAAACAGATAACTATGCCCCAATCTCAATGCAGGCTTGCAGCCTGAAGGCAAATCCATGGTATAGATCTTACGCGTTTTCATTATTTCGTGCATTGGACATTTTAATGTCTGAAATGAGACACTTTATAATCGAGACTTCTTTTTATAACCAAATAATTTTATGATCTGAGAGTGCCTAAAAAGCCATAGGTTTGACCAAGTCTTCAGCTTGAGGCAGGGGAAAATTTCTTTCACCATTCAGTAGGATGTTTAAAGGAACTGTGAGAGACAGAAATAAATTTGTGTTTTGATCAAAATTCATATGAGTCATGCTTGTTCAACATTCTCATTACACAAGTAAAGATGAAATATTGTTACTCTGGTATTCACATAATGAGTGCTTTCTGCTTTTTGTGCTTTTGAAGCAGAAAAATGGCTGAGAAGTCCCCTTGGCTTGTGTCTTAGTTTTCTGATGCTAATGAATATCAGCATATTTTTGTTTACTAATATTACCAAAATTCAACAAGACTGTCTGACGTGTGCATTCCACATCTAAGGCTTAATCGGGTATTCTCATATTTTATGCTGTGAACTGCAGATCCTTGTTTTCATAAGGAAAATCTAAGTGACATGTCATGCTTATAATGAGGCTGGAAGCAAGGGTGATGTTAAAATATTTAGTGGCTGGTACACTATTATAAGTTAACACATATACCAGAAAACTTGCTTTTATTCTCTAAACAATATGAATTATAAGACTGCTTATTGAGTGATGTGTGTTGTAGTAAAAATAGCTTATACAATTTTCCTAGAAATTTCCAAATAAATTGTTGAATTTTAGAAATTTTTGGTTGATCTTTGCTTGACTTAGATGTCACTTGCTAGATTTTTTTTTTGTACAAGCCATGACGATGCAGAGAACCACATAAAATACTTCCAATGATTTCAAATTGATTGTCATTGGATGACTTGTATTTATTTATTTGAAAAAAAGCATTTCTCTTTATGTAAATGATATTTATTATTCATAAACCTGTTTAACCTTTGCTAAATAGCAAATATATGAACATTTTTCTAGCCCTTGTAATACTGAGATATAATAAGGTATTATACACCTTGTATTTGATATCATTACTGTCATAAAAATGGTTTATTAGAATATTTAATTAGGTTAAACCTAATCCACTACATGAAACATCTATTATTGGGCTGCTTGGGTTAAAATTCTAGCTCTGCCATTAAGTTTTAAATGACCTAAGCCCCAGTTTCCTCATCTGTAAAATGGTGATGCTGACAAATGCAGTACTATTAGGAGTTAATATATGTTTTTAAGGATGCCTGGCACAATCACTAAATAAGAATAAAATTAAAAGTGTTAATACCCACATCAGTTGGGCTTTGGGGGTTTAAAATGGAGGTGACTATTAACATGGACCATAAAAACTCCTTACCTTAGACATCTGTTAGCCCAAATCATCCCATAGGCTAGCCTATCTATGACAACATCCTTCTGTTTGTGGCCTCAGCAACCTGTATTACCCCCCTAGTTCCTGTTGTCCATTTTTTATACTATGCTAAGAATTCAAGCCCTGTGGTGACTAGTTTTCATAAGCAACTACATGAGAGAGGTTCTTAGGGGATTAGCGACTGACAACAGGTGACCATATTCAAGGTATAATTACATGTGCACCAGGTATTTACCTACCAGCATGTCACTAAAGGCACTATCTCCTCTGGGGGGGTTCCAATCTCCTTCTGACTTGGTTGGGGGTGTGTAATGCAGGGATGGGGTAGGCAAATAAGAGCTGTGGCAGGCTGTCTGGCAGGAAAGCAGGCTGCTAGGTGCCAGTGTAGACCTTCTGTGCTGCCCATCTGGGCTTCTTGCAACAGTTTGTAAGGCACGAGCTAGTTCTCAGGAGCCTTTGGGGGACAGTAGCCATTGGTGATGCCTGGAAGCCAGGACTTTTGAGGGGACTAGAGCAGGATTTTGAAGGCCTTCTGCTGTCCGTTTGTATATGCTGGAATCAGAGGACATCTGTGGAGCACAGAAGAATAGGTTTGGGTGGCCAATGTGGGCATTGGTAAGGCGGAGGAGGCTTGGGCAGCAAGTCTTTCAATATTGTAACAACTTATTCAATTAAATAACATGTATATTGCCTGAAGATCAGCCTTGGGTTCAAGAACATTGGCTTGTCTAGGCTAGAGCGTTTCCTAGCTATGCCTTTCTTTGTTCCTAAAAGGAATAGGCAAGTATCCTATATGTTCAGTCCTACAGAGTAAGACAATAGTTTTTGTCATTTCTCACTTGACAATGAGATCTTTATCATAGGTGGCACGACAAGGAAACAAACTCCACTGCAGTTTTTTTTCCCTTGATTTAGCAATAAGTATAAGGGGTGTGCAGAAACTTAAATATGTTTATCATGGACATTAACAGTTGCTGCTATGAAATAAATGTGCTTCTTAAAGGTCTTTTTCCCCCTGCTTTTTTTTTTTTTTGAGACAGGACAAAAGCTATAAATATTGGTGTTCCCAGTTCTCTGTCACCCTGAGGATTCTAATCTAACCTCCCTAACTCCCTGGCTCTAGGATTAGGGGCTCTAGGATTTTGGACTTTTGTTTTATAGGATGAGGAAAATATTGGCGAGAAAGACAAGTGTGCCTAGGTCAAGGGTTACAAACTCTAAATCTGTAGTTTAATGCTTATCGTAATGAGTGAAAGCAGAGGGGTGGGAGAAAATAATAAGCCTAGCTGGGCATGGTGGCCAAGTCAAGGGAATAAACCCCATCTCAGAGGTACCCATGGACAGCTCTGGTCAATGGTCACCAAGAGCGAAGATCCAAATCTGGGATGTGTGTGTGTGCATGTGAAGTTTCTGAAATTTGAAAACAGTTTGCAGGCCAAATAAAGCCTATCTGGAGGCCACAGGTTTATTACCTCAACTGAGGCCTGGGACAGAGATTGTCTTGGAATTTAAGGGAGTAGAAGTGGAAACAGCTGAGGCATATTTGTGAGGGAAAGGCATGAGAGGTGGAAAAAGGGCTTTAAAGAGTGTGTCCATGATGCTGCTTTATCATGCTCAAGAAAGTCGAGTGAAGGGCTTAATATTTTGAAACAATTTTAGGTTGCTAGACTGTATACTTTTGACAATTTTCTAGCCCTAAATTCTTGAAGTCTCAGGTCTACAAGGAAGTGCCACATCATAAACAAGAAGAGGAACATTTATCTTTCTGTAAGTTACACTGAATGTTATCCTGTCATCCTCCATTATTTACGGTTGTCTCTTGTCAAGGCAAATAAACCTTTCCTTGCCTTGTTAACAAATAAAAAAGAAAATCAACAATTTTATGGTGATTCATGCTACTGGACAAATTTAATCCTCATGGTTTGAAGACTCTGAAGGACAACATGTGTGCTGATTTTAAGGAATTATTAGAGATACACTAATAATTCTTGCTAGGTTCTACAAAATCTGCATTATTAGCAAAAGGAGACTGAATGAGAAGTGATGCCATTAATAAGAGAAGTAGGTTTTAGCCAAGTTAAAATAGTCTGAGGGCTGGAAAACCTCTAATACACACATAAGTATTTCTTTTACCAGTCACAGCTTTCTATGCCTTGGTTCCTAGTTTGACATCAGAGGTAGGGATGCTGTCTCAAATAGTCTTTGGGATAACTTTTATCCATTAGAGACCTGCAACGGAGCTCTTTCTCCTTAAACACATTAGCAGGGACTGAATGAGCTTAGTGTTTCTCAAATTTTTGAGTGCAGATGAATCACCTGGAGGAATGTTAGTTAGTTAGTCTGGGGTGGAGTCCAGAAATTTGTATTTCTATCAAGCTCCCTGGTGAAGCCTGAGCATAATCTGAGCTGTAAGGAGCTAAAAGATGAACAGGGGTGCAGCTATACCACGTATTTGTTTTTGTGGCCTGTACAGTATCAATTCCTCTCTTCTGGCAGGAGTAGCCTGAATTAACTTTGGGGGAAACGTTTCCTCTCCACGATTAGCTCAGGTAGTATGGAGGAGAATAAAGCCACTTCTCCCCTTATTCTCCTTCTACTCCAACCACCTGTGACAGAGTTGGGTACGTGAGCCAATCCTGGTCAATTAGCATAAGTAGGCAGGAGATCCAAGTATTAATCGTTCAGTGATTTTCAGACCCTGGATTTGAGCTACTGTAAAGGGGCTTTCTTTGATAGGTTGTGAAATCTGGAGCTTCTGGTGCCCATCACGGAAGGGGTGCCTGCCTGAGAAGGAAGCCAACACAGAGGATGCAAAACTAAAAGTTGGAAAAGGGAAGATTCCTGATGACGTCGTTTGAGGGCCTGGACCCAGCCATGCCTGAGGCAGATACACCTGAGTAGTCAGTTACTTGAGCCTACAAATTCACCTTTACGTTTAAGCCCGTTTAATTAGAATTTTTGTCACTTGCAAAAGATAGCATCCTGCTAATACAGTAGTGATAAAAATAAATTTCCTTATTAATTGAGCTAATATAAAATCATTTAGTATAGAGCCTGACACATAATAGAAACTCAGCCATAATAATAGCCTTGTTTTCACAATTTTTCTTTGGTTGTATTACACACATGCACACACACACGCACTATATCACTATATATATATATAAAATTTTTTTTCCAGAGGAGAAGCAATTAAACAGTCTGAAACCAAAACTAGCAGTTAGGTGACAAGCAATTTTATTTTGCAAAACAATCACTATACAGCAACAAATACATTTGCAAATTTGATTGAAAAACATGAACTAACTACAACCAGCCATTGAAGAAATGCCTTTCTATGGTAACAGGCTCTAGAATTATCAGAAGAAAGAAACCCCCCACAGATTTGTAACAGTGTGTTGGAACCTCGGAATCCCAGCATACAGAGTATACTTTTTGTTGATTTTTTTTTCTTTTTGCTAAAGTTGAAGTAGATTTTTATGATTGACATTTTATTTTCTGAGTTTGAAAATAAGCTTTTTCCTGCAGAGAGTCTTGGCCTTCACCTACACACCCAAGCTAAAAATCCTAGGTGTAAAAAAACTCAAAACATCAATGCTTATTTTAGCACGTCAATCTTTGAAGGAATGCTTAAAATTTCCTTACCAAGCCATGAATCTACTTTATCTCTAGTATTTAGACCATGAGTAGTTTATTTTCCTTATTGTGGCTTGAAAAATAGAAGAAAACTGTAATTGCAGCTATGTCAAAATCAACCACATTCAGGTTATTTCCTTAATAAAATACTGATGGAATGTTATATATTGGCTGATTATTCCACGCTTGCTGTATTACTGTAGGTGTGTGTGTGTGTGTGTGTGTGTGTGTGTGTGGAGAAGGTCACTACAATCAGTACATTCTTCCATTTAATGGCATTCTCTCTTCAGCCTTCTCCAGCCGTACCTAGCTGGTGTTACACAGGTGTCATACTTGTAGGTGGGATGTCAGCCCATCACGCTGCTGGAACTCAGCAGGTAAATCCAGAGAGAGTTGGTTCCTAAATGAACGTGGCCTTTGAAACTCATCATGAACTCGGGTCTTTCCTGCATCATTATGAGGTATCCAATTTCTGGTTGCAAGTGACCCAGAGGTTGAGTTCACTGGAGAAGTTGGCCTTTAAACTCTTCACAGCTCTGGATTACTTACGTATTCTTATACAGGTTCTCAAAGGCTAAAGCCAGAGAGAAACTGGCATAGTAGATCTAGAATTGAGACCACGAAGATTTCATTCCTAGATCAGCGTATGTGTGTCCCCACAAGAGTGGTGCTCAAAAAGCTTAATTTGAGTCGTTATCTTGAGAGTGAAGGCAAGATAGGTTCTACCCCTTAACCCCACAAGAAGATATTTAACCTGTGTGTTTCTCTCTTTTACTGGTACAAACGATCAGTTCCTTTCTGTTAACTTTAATAAAGAATTGTATTTCCATACAAAGCAAGAACATTTATTCATTATAATTTTGTTGTGATTAGAAATAAACATTTGTTTTAATGCCAAATCTAGTAGTTTGGTGCCTTGTATAATCTTTATTTTTGACATGTATTTGTAATAAACTGACTTCTAGTATGCAGAATGTTTACCTAGTGTTAACTTATATAAAAACTTTAAAGAATGTTGAGAAAAATACTTATTTCACAGGTTAAAACTTTTCTAATGAGCTGTTAACTTCTTTCTAGAGAAATTTAATCACTATTTAAGACTATGAAAACATGTAATAAAATACCCTAAGTCTCCACACACCTTTCTTCTATTTTCTGGTGCACTTCAAGGGAAGCTGATGAATAAATTGCCCAGATTGGTCAAATCAAACCTCACAGCAATTAATAGGCAGAAAATAGATATAATGATCCTAAGGTTTCTAAGGTTTTGACTGTCATATAAAATAACTGATTTATAGATGGTTTAAGACACGTTTGCCTGTGTAAAATCTCTTAGCTGAGAATGAGTGGTGTGGGTTTGCTCCTAGGGTTTCTTGTATGGCAGTTACACTGGTTGCCATATCCACTGGGTCACCAAAAAGCACCTGTGTCTCTGCCTTTGCATCCCTTGGCTTTTGTCTTGGATGTTTCTATACTTCCCCGTTGCCTCAGTACATCCTCATCATTTCCTCCTTTATATTCAGGAACTGATTTGGCTCAAAGAGATCATACGCCTAGTGGACCATTTGATTTTAATGGTTCAGATCCAACCTACCAGCCCTGAGCAAGAAAAAGAACAGATAAAATTTTTAAAAAGTGTCCATCTAGCCTGGTAGCTCTTTGCCTTAATCAGGCCATTGACTATTTCATTCCTTATTTGTAAGTCTAAGATGAATGATTTGTGAGAGGAACTAATTGATTTGTGAGTTCTAGACTGTATATACAGTCAGAACAGTATTATCTACTGATAAATAATACTAGATCACAGTGTGTTACTTTACAGAGTGCAATGTTGGAGTCTTGGAAAAAAACTGATTTAGATATCTGTGTCTCAAGTGTTTTATAGCTATAGCTTCCCAAAGTATTGTATTTTTTCTTTCTGATCAGGGGATCTTTACTTTGGGTAAGAAAGACAAACATCTTCTATTAGAGAATTTAATAAACAGATACTATTTGGAAAAATGAGAAAACATGTTTCAAACTATTATAGTTAGTTTCAACTTTCAACTTTAGCAAATGGAAAAAAAAAGAAAAATAAAGAAAAAATCTTAAGTCGGTTTCATGAATAATAATAGGAATAAACCCCAAACTATCCTGTGATTAAAAATGAGATAAATCCATAATCTTAAACCAACAATCTGTAAACCCTTTCATGTATAACTGGACCCACCCCCACAAACTCCATGTTGGTGAAAGCAAAGAAAAATAATTTTTTGTCTAGCATCACGGGAGAGACTTGTATCTGGCACTAAAACAGGGTTACGGCTTTGAGTTGTTACAGAAAGCAACTTCATGCTAAAATTTTTTGTCTTTTTTAATGTATTTTTTTTAAATAGGGAGAGAACCCTGCTAACATCTACTTTCACATATCTAAAATTGCAACACCAAAGGGTGCAGGAGACACAGATACTGTGAATAAAGAAGTATAATATTCAAGTATATGAGGAAGTATCACAAATGGCCACAGAGAAATATATATATATTTATATCTATAATACTGTATCAAACAGATGGAAAGGGGGTGTGAAACTGGTAGTGTGGACACAAATCTAGCTGATCAACTGACATTCTAATCAGACACGAGTCCATCCTAATGAAAGTGCATCATTCCTAATGGATGCACTTTTACACCACTTCCTCAACCACAGCTCAAATGCTTTGCAACTATTTTTTAATTAGTTAAATAATTTATTGGACTGACATACTCTGATATAATTATCCAGGTCCCAAATGTTAATAACTTAATTGAATCTTTCTTCCCATTTATACAAAATAACACTTTAAAAAAACTTATTTCTTACATGCTCTTCCCTTCCTGCAATCAGACTCCTTGGTTTAATTTAACCTGAAATAAGTTACAATGGGCAGTTTTTATCTTCTCACTCAGAAACAGAATAGTGAAATGAGCAGCTTGGATTTTAACAAGGCCTTCAGAATGTAGTGGATAGCCTTCAGGCACATGAAAGGTAAAAATGCAATTTTTAAAATAATAATACTCCATGCAAAACAGAGCAGAGCAAAAATAATTGTCCAATTGAACCCATGTAAAGCCAGTGTCTTCCTGTTGCAAATGGAAATCAGGTCAATTTCTGCATGTACTATTCATTTTTTAAATAGAAAATTGTAACAATTACTACAGTTTGGGGATGAGATTATTTATTTTATGGTTTATAAAGAATGAATATAACAACTGCTCAGAGCCCACTCCTGCCAAGAGCTCATGCCTAAATATTATTATTTCAATGCTAAATGAGAAATATTCACAAGCCCTGCTTAGCGAGTGCAGCAGTGACATCCTCAGCCAAAGTGGCAAGCTGAGGAGATTCGAGCAGGTTGATGCTTCCAGACGAGGAGACATTGCTGAGTCGTCGGGGTGATGCCACGCTGGATCTGCCTGGGGACTGTGTAATGATCTCAGCCCCATGGTCCACACGGGCTTTAGCATGCTCTCTGAAGTTCAACTTTTGGCTGTCAATCTGTTTAAGACAAGCATCAGTCCTCGTTAACTCATGCATCTTAACTGGCCCCTACCTCTTTCTCCATCTCCCAGGGCTGACATTAATGACTTCTATTCACCTCTGTTATCCCCACTTCTTATTTGTCCAGGTCTACAATCTGGGACCTATTTTGATGAAGAGTATTTCAGAAGAATTTTTTTTAAAAAGACAAGATTGGCTCATAACCTTGTTTCTTACCTTGACATTACCACCTCCAGGTACATGATGAGCATTATCAAGAGAACCAACTTTAGCTTGGGCCTTTTCTTTGAAATCTAGTTTTACACTCTCAATTTTCACACGTCCGCCACCTATGAGGGAAGAAATACCTTGATTTAACTATATCTTGCATTCGTGGTAACTATTTCCCAAAAATGACTGCAGTAGATAGACTACGGCAAACCACAAATTTATTAACTTTACCATCCCTCCAACCATATATGTAAAAAGAGTCTTTTAGAATTTCTAGCCCATATCATTTCCTCATATGATGCAAGACCATAACACCCTTCTTATACTATTATATGGATTGCTTCACGTATTAATACCTTTCTCCTTTACCCATGTCTAACCTAAGAAATCAGAGGGGCTTTTCTTTTTGGTATAACAAGAACTCTAAAAATTAGCAAAATGAAAATATCTTATTTGAATCCTTTCTAAAAGTTGGAACATTTAGTCTCTTATTTCTAAGGGACCAAATTAAATTTAAATGAAACTCTTCTTTATATTCATGGTAACAGGTTACTTATCCAAAGAAGATTTAGGCTGGAAGTGGTGCACATGTGGGCAATATATTCATTTATGAATGTTCAACATTGAAAGCTTCACTGATGAAATGAGTCGGGAGGTAAGTTGTTTATGACTAGTAAGCTTTAAAAGCCTCCCGTTTCATATATGGAGTGACAGATCATCATCTCTTTCTTGTATGGATGCCATAGGACCAATATGACGCTGACCTTGATCTGATAATATTGAGACAGAGTTTTGACCATGCCATTTTCCCTAATGCTAACCAGTCTAGAACTCTGATCTGCTGATTATAACAGTGCCATGCTGCACTCTTCAGTGTAGTCTTCCCCATCTCTACACGTCTTTCTCAAGCTCTCAAATATGGAAAGTTCTTCTACACTGGGCAAGTTACTCGTTGTCCTTGAGCCTGTCCTTGACCATTTCTGAGTGTCTGCTGATGTATTTGATCTAGATAAAAAGTGAAATTGGACTCCTTATTTGCTCATCACCACCTAAGAGATTTGCTTTCACTTTAACAGCAACTTGGTTTTGAGCACATGCGTTCTTCTGGAAAGAAGCGGTAACGTAGGTCTCACTTGTTGATTGTGATGTATCTTACAGACTACATATTTCAAAGCTGCTCCAATAAACATGTTGAGTACATAAAGTGCATCTTGCTTGGGAGTTTGATTTTGAAAAAATGCCTGATGGACCGTATGGAAATATGAAAGAGATTTTGCAATTTTGGATTCTTGTTGCTCATGTATCTCTGTAGACGAAAGAGGAAGGTTTGTTAAGGCTTCACGGTCTCTTAAGCCATGAGGTATTTTTCTCATGCAATATCTAGACATCTATGTTAATACCCAACTGCCTGGCCAGGGGCCTCTTGAAATTATATTACATAATTAGATTACATTTTGGAGAAACATCCATTCGTTCTTCTTTTAAGGCTTAGAAACTGTATGATGTTATTTAACTCATGCTTAGAGATGTAGTTATCCTTCCCTGAAAATATGCCTCATTTTATAGAGTGTTATTCTTCCCACATTTTACCTGGCCATATGGGTCTCACTTATTGATTGTGATGAGATGAACATGATTTGCAATGATTCATAAAAACAGACTTATCTTGGTTAGAGGTTAGAGGATACTGGACTTTCAACTAGATAAGAACAACTTCTTTGTGATCTTATTTTTGTATTTTTGGTAGCCTCTGATAGAAATCATTTACTTTTCTGATTATATGTTGTGTCAATATAATCGTGTTAAATTTTTGCTAAAATGTCCTTTTTATTTTTGGAGACAAGGTCTGCTCTGTTGCCCAGGATGGAGTGAAGTGACATGATCATAGCTCACTGCAACCTTGACTTCCTGGGCCCAGGTGATCCTCCCTCCTCAGCCCTCTGAGTAGCTAGGACTACAGGTGTGCACTACCACACTCAGCTTATTTTTATTCTTAATTTTTTTGTAGAGATGGACTCTCACTATGAACTGTCTTCTGAGAGGGAAAAATAATAATGTATTATTGACCCAAAACATATTCAGAAAAGGAAGCTTAAGAAGTCTATTTCTGATGAAGTCCCTCTAGAAATTCTTATGCAACTGTTAGAGAATCCAGATATCTTAAACTCAGAGATCCATGCCTTTGATTTTCGAAGAATTCTGGCACCCATCAGGAGCAGTAATTGTGAAAGACTATTATCTTTGTCAAGCTTTATAAATGAAGTTGAGAAGAACAGATATTTCAGTGTGTGCCTCCAGATGTTTATTTTCTTTATTTTCTCTTTAGATATTCCACATTCCAAAGTAACTTTGTGAAAAGGTTGCTGCTGTCAAGGATTATTATGCTTACACTTCTTTATGAATTTAGTCATTTGATTCAGTTATAATAGAAGCAAGAGCTAGATTTAGAAATAGGTGGGAGTCCATGACAACAGCCTTTTATGACCAACAAATCATACACAGAATAGTTCCTTATCTATATAAAATTTTTCCGTACATCTAGGTCACAGGTGAGTTTGACTAACTATATCCTTACTGTCTAGAATTGAAGAGTCCAGCATTTTCTTTTGCATTCTGAAAGAAAATAGGCAGTGTTGCCAAGTATTCCAGCCATGCTGTTGACACAGCAGTACAAAGTCAATTTAGTGTTTGTAGACTTCAGCTGTGGACAGGAGAATTTCAAAGATATGAAGTATGGGACAACCTTCCTGCTGCGTCATGAATAGTAGAGAAGCTAATTCCATGGCAGCAGTTCTGAAACTGTAAGTGAAGACATCATAAATGTAGTTTGTAACTCTTTGACTTGCTTTATAATGAATACTCATTGACAAAATGAATCCTGATTTCCAGATGTTTTCAATGCATTTATCCATTTTGAAATTTATTCTACCTATCTTTGTTTTTCAACCAATAATTTATTAATAATTTTCTCCTGACTAGCAGAATAATTGTCAGCTAACAGCTCAATTGTTATTATACCTTGTTTCATGGAAAAAAACCTATTACTTTGTTTTCATGTTAAGATGCCAAACACAGACAGTTAAAACCATTTGCTTTCCTTTTGTTCTCAAAGGGATAAATGAATTGTGTCAAAATATTCTCAAGAAAATTACAAATATGACAGTCATCTTTTATTACATATCTATGGAGGCAGAGTTTTTTCTTTGTGACAAGGTCTTGCTCTGTTGCCTAGGCTGGAGTGCAGTGGTGTGATCATAGCTTGCTGCAGCCTCTAACTCCTGAAACTAAGTGATCCTCTTGCCTCAGCCTCCAAAGTAGCTAGGACTACAAGCATGTACCACCATATCGGCTTATTTTTATTTTTTTATTTTTTATTGAGACAGGGGTTTCCCTATGTTGCTGAGTCTGTCTCAAGTTCCTGGCCTTAAGCAATCCTCCTGCCTTGGATTCCCAAAGTGCTGAGATTACAGGCATGAGCCAACATGCCCACTCTATGGAGGTAGAATTTAACAAAAACATGTAATACATGATATTCAGAAAAAGTGACTCATAATGTTAGATTCACACTTTAAAGGGAGAAAATCTCCCAGTAACTATGAATATAAATTCTACTTTAGGGCACTAGTCGTATGAGATATTTTGAAAAACCAAAAGGGGTTCATGGTCAAATAAGTTGAGGAAACATTGCATTCTGCTGGGTATTCATGGTGTTTACTGACCTAATAAAGAATCTGAGAAATTCACCAGATAAATACACTTCTTCAGCTTTGCAAAGCACAATCCTTATTTTACATAATGTAGAAAGCCAATTTTAGGAAAAAAAACCTTGGAAATGCTACCCCCAATGTTATTATATATGAATACATGATCTGATGTATTTTATAGACTACGTATTTCAAAGGAGCTCCAATAAGCGTGTTGAGTACATAAAGATAAATGCGTCTTATGTACCTTTTAATTTTTAATTAAAATGTGTCCTCTTCATTGTAATTGGGTTCACTTTTCCCCAATGAAGATGCCTTGAAATTTTCAATTTTAGTTTCTATTAATAAAAATGTGAAGTACCCATATTTTAAAACATCCTTCCAATTAGGTATTTTGCAACAACAAAAAATTTTCTCATCCCTTTCTTGATTCCAGTTAAATATTTCTCAAACTACTAAAAATTATTTATTTACCTGGCCTGTGGCGGATGTTCTTCAGAGAGCCACATTTGGATGTCACATGGCTTAGGTCTATTTTCTTGGTAACAATTTGTACCTATGTGAACCACATAAAACATGCTTAAAATAGTTCAAACATGGACAAAAACCCAAGCTCATACATAAGATCTAGAAACACACCCAAAGTCACAACATGCAACAACATAGCTAGAAACCCAAATTGAAGTACACACACAAACAGAGGAAGACATAATTTTCCATATATTCTCCCACATGTTTGGATTGGAAAGAAGAACCCAAGTGAAAGAAAACCCTAGAATAGAAGATTTTATTAGTTGAAAGCAGATTATGACACAGGAGGATAGAAACATATTAATAAGGCAAGCTTCCACTCAGAGAACTAAGCAACACTGTTTAACCTTTCCATAAGCAAAGAGCCAAGGGAAGAGCTGCATTATTCTTTATAAAGTGATTTTTACATAAAAGTGACCAATGTTGCTCATAGTTACAAGAAGACCAACGTTAAGATACAACAAGAAGTTCTGAATGTGCTTTCCTAAATTGTTATTACATTGTCATATCTTAGCTAGATGAAATTTTTCTTTCATACCAAATTATAAAATGATAGTAACAGGTTTTTTTCTTCTGTGTGGTTTACTGAAAATATTTCCTCTCCCAATATTTGAAGCAGTGCTTCTCCAAGTTTGGTCCATTGTCATCTGCACGAGAGTACTTGGGAATTACTGAATCAGATATCATGAGGACAGGGCCAGGATGTCTGCATATTTAAACAAGGGATTCTTTCCTAGAGGAAAATTTAAGACTATTGTTTTGGGAGATAAAGCTCCTCTACTTACTTTAAGATCTTTAATTATCCTAGTTTATCCTTTTCCACTTAGGTGTTTTGTCCAGCAGCACTTGTGTAAAGGATAGCTGGGTCCATCCTCTGATACCCTCAAGGTAATTACCAGGACTGGGGCTCCTTTTATGAGAGTACCACATGGTGTATACTTACAGTCTGGGGAATAAGGAAGAGTGGCAACCACATAAATGTAAAGTTTAACCCTGAGGCTTAGCCTAGCATACCTGAAGGGGGCCAGCAAACATTGCTATGAACTTTCAATGACAATGACAGTTTTATGCTCAGTGAAGCTACTTTGATTATCAGGCAACAGCTGCTTGTAGAAGGCACTTGCTTCTCTCTCTCTCTCTCTCTCTCTCTTCACTGCTTGATTCTACTTCTGCCCAGTTGGGAAGCAAGTAGCCAAAGAGTTAGTAGACAGGTGAAATTCTAGACTCGACACCCTGTAAATTACTTGAGTCATGGATGATCAGAAACTGAAGTTTAAAGAGATAGGATCTGTAGAATACAGTTAGCCTGATCACCTTTGAAAAACTATTCTTGTTTTATAAAGAACCATGCTTCCTTTAGCTTGAGATTGTCTGACCATTTCAATTCTGCCTCAATCACACTTAAAAAACATGGAATCATCTTTCCCTTCCTCTCACAGGACATTATTTACACTAAATGAAAGAGACAGGAAAAAAAATCCCATCAAGCTAAAGTGTACACTGGACTTGAATCCTTTCACTTTGAATTATAAATGAACCATGCTCCACCAGTTTTGTATTATTCTAAATGATATCCTTACTTTCATGAATAATGAACCACTGAAGATTGACATTACATACTTTGGGCATTTACAAGTATATCAGTCTTTGCCTCATGGGTAATTTAAATGGAGCTAGAAAAATATGTGCCCAGCTGACTTTTGTAGTGGAGTAGAAACAACGTGAGAAAATACATTGAAGACAAGAAGGCCAGCAACAAAGTTGGCAAGTGAAGTGGTTTTGCCATTCTCCAGAAAACCATGGTGCATCCCATCAAGGTTTTCTTTCCCAAATCAAAGCAGGAAATTCCCTGATGATCTTACAGGGAAGGATGGGAAGTCCATCACTGAAAATGCAAGGCTACAAGCTATCATACCAGGGAGACATGTGGAACAGCAGTGAGAAAGGAGCAGTGTGTTGGAAAGAGGTGGGAAAGAAGGCAGGGTGCTGGCTGTGCAGGTGGCTCCACGCAATCAGGACAGCTTTCTAAAAGGCGCTTCTACTTACATTTCCGCCCCCAGCCGAATGTTTGATGTTATCCTTGGAACCACATCTGGACTGAACTTTGCTAAAATCGATCTTCTTGTTTAAAATCCTAACCTAAAAGGAATTGGAGGTAACTTCACTGTGCATTTTTCTATCAAGATGCTGGATAAAGGGAACCAGAATGGGTAGCATCAAAGAGGCTTTAGATTCCCTTCCACCTACACATTTATTTAAGAGAAAATCTAACACTGGAACTGAAGAACTGTTCTATCATGTAAATCTGAGCCCCTATTCTTCTGCACCCACAAGGGTCAAATGCGAGAGAGGCTAAGAAATCCCACTGTACTTAGGTATGATCTGGAAACAGTTATATGGATTGAAAAATAAAACTTGAGTCATCTGTGATGGGGAGGCTACCAATGTTGTCAGCAACACTGGGACTCAGGCTCACTCTAGGTAAGGTTCAATAGTGGTTAATACTAAATCTTGTTCAGCACAGGACCCTAGAGGATATGCCATTCCCTCGCCCCATCAGAGTCAGCCATCACAATTATTAATCACCTCGTACACTTGACTGTTCTGTTGGTCCACACAGCACAAATGGGGCTCACACATGGTGAATGCTCTACATCAGAGTTCTCATTCATCTAGGGTAAGAACCCCCGGTTTCCCAGGAGGGTCAACGAAGAAACTTTGGGTTTCACAATTCCCTTGCAGGTGGTTCAGCGACATCCTGAAGGCCCCTTTCTGGCAATTGCTCAAGAGCAGCCATTTTCCATGGATGATCATATGGAAGCATTATTTCCATTTTTAGAGGAAAGAAAACCCATGCCCATTGGTTAGCTGACTTGTAACTAGGTCATACAGACATAGGTCAGGCCTTGATTGAGGCCAGCAGATTTGAGGTTAGGTGTTTTATTTCTATTTTTGGGAAGTCAAACATTCATCTTGAAGACAACAGCAGATCCAGATCTGGAAGGACATTACTCTGGTTTAAT
Organism: Homo sapiens; assembly: GCF_000001405.40. Classification (NCBI taxonomy): domain Eukaryota; kingdom Metazoa; phylum Chordata; class Mammalia; order Primates; family Hominidae; genus Homo; species Homo sapiens. The sequence goes on along the minus strand of NC_000002.12, from coordinate 209,722,710 downwards.
GTAAAATGTTACAACTTTCATGACTTCTTTCATATGTCTTTTGAACCTTGCATCTTTTGGAGGACACATAAGCAATATAAGCATGGAAAGAAAGCTTTATTTGTGTTATTGTCGTTATTTGTTCATTTTGTTTTACTTTGGCTACTTCTACTCTCTTCTCTTCCCCACCTCTGCAATAGCTAAAGAAAAAAAAACAACATTTTCAATGCTTTAGGGGACACTTTATCCTCTTATTAAAAAATTCTAAATAAATTTACCTTAGATACACAGCCATCTGCAAGAATATTACCACATCTTTTGGTATTTCCAAAAAAGAATAAATAATTCAAAAAGACATTGAATCCTGACTATTTTTAACTAGGCAAAGCTTAATTCACAGTGCCTGCCTAACATTGACAAGATAGCTTGTCCCTTGCAGGGAAATATCATTGATATCTCTCATCAGCAACCCACGGGGAGAGCCTCTTGTCAAAATTTGAATTCAGAAGACAGAATGATTGGGCTACTTTTTAGGGCATAATAAAAGTTGCAATTTAAACAGGCTTGAAGATATTCACAGAGTCTGTATCTAACAATAAGTGTAGTTGCACTATAAATGTTTCACATAAGACGGAGATAGTTTTAAACCAACAAAGACCATTACATGTAAAACCTCACAGAGAAATTATTTTCTAAAGGCAAATCATTTTATTTATGGCCATATCACCATAAATGTGCCCATTCCCATCTAATCTTGGAATTTAAGCAGGATCGGGCTTGATTAGTACTCGGATGGGAGAAAGCAAATAATTTTGACTTACTGTTTCTAATAATAATACTTTAAAGGATTCTCAATAAGTATCTAATTATTTTGGCAATGACATAGACATGATGTGAGCTATTTTACTAATCCTTGAGAATATACAGGATTTCATACTATGTTTAAAAAATTTAACTTAGAGATCATTAGAGTACCAATCTGGTGACTCATTGCCAAGTGATCACAAGCCAAACATGAAATCTGATTCACTTGTTACAAAAATGGAAATTCTAAAATCAGTTGCATAAATCTGTTTGACATTAACATTTAATCAACTGTTTGATCATTTTTATGATTTCCAAAACAAATGATTCAATCCTAAATGATCACATTGCCAGCATTATTAAGAGATTATTTAGAATCTTAAAGTCCTACAACTTAAAAGCTAACTTCTGTTGATTTTACCCAGATTTTCTAGAAAATCACAGATATTCTATCAAAAAAACCTGCTTGCCTCTCTTGCAGGTAGACTTTCTCCACCTATATCTGCTCAACTTGTAATATGAAGCAATCCTATCCTTTCACATGCATTAGTGGCACTTTCTTTACATATTTCCATATGCAATAGCTTTATATTATAATTTTTTCATCTAAAATGAGGTGAATTATGACAGAATAAATGTAACTGGCCTCTCTAGACCTTTGTTTTCCATCGCGCTTAATGGTAGGGTAGAAAGAAGCATAAACCTCTTTGGATAGTGGACACTTAGTGCTCATGAAGAGTTACACTCTAGCTTGACAACTTGCACCTGAATGTTCGCCTATTCCGCGTGACTCATATTTATGCCGTAGCAAAATTACAAATTACTTCACACCAAAGATCTCTAGGGTCAATTACAAATAATTAGCATCTTAGAGTTCATTCCACAAATAACAGCAGTCCTCAGAAGCCATTTCATAAAATAGAAAAATTTGTGGCTGCTGTGAAGGAGAAGGCCATATTCCAGATCAGTTTAAAAAAAAAAAAATCAAAGAGTTATAGTTTTAACTCTGGGTTCTATGGATAAATCTAAATAAATATTTATTTCTTTGGGAAGGGATTTTCAGTTTTAGAAAAACATTTGTTTTCCTAAAAACCTATGTCAAGAGAAAATTATTTTAACATCTTAGAGATTGTCTAGAAAAAAAATAACTACTATTTAACGAAAAAGCTAATTTTCCGTGCTCATGATATGAAGGAAAAAATCTGAATAATAATTGCGCAAAATTTTCTCTAAATCACATTTTAATCTCTGCCAATTTATTTCAAGTTTTTTTTTTTTTTTTTTTTTTTGAGACCAAGTATCGCTCTGTCACCCAGGCTGGAGTGCAGTGGCGCGATCTCGGCTCACTGCAAGCTCCGCCTCCCGGGTTCACGCCATTCTCCTGCCTCAGCTTCCTGAGTAGCTGGGACTACAGGCGCCCGCCACCATGTCCGGCTAATTTTTTGTATTTTTTAGTAGAGATGAAGTTTCACCGTGTTAGCCAGGATGGTCTGGATCTCCTGACCTCGTGATCTGCCCGCCTCGGCCTCCCAAAGCGCTGGGATTACAGGCGTGAGCCACCGTGCCCGGCCTATTTCAAGTAAAATTTTTACTTGCACTATTAATACAAAGTAGTGTAATTTGAAAGAGTGTGACAATCTTTTTTTCTACATAATTCATAGTAGAAGTGAAAAATATTATATTAATCAACCAGATCATCTTCCTATAGCTCTCCCCTATTCAAAATTCCCCCAAGCACCCTATTTCTTATTAAATACATCAAAACTTCTTAGTGAGGCAGCCAGAGGTCTCAGCAATTCTGATTCTTCAGACTTCTCTGTTACTTTACATTTTGGCCAGACTCTGCTATATTCTATACTTTAAGGCCTGTGTTTACATTTAAAGTTCATCCCTGTGTTTTATGTTATTATCTCTCCCTAGGGTGCTCTCATTCCAATTTGAGTCTGTAACAGATTATTCTTTAAGGTTTGGTGCAATCAATACCTCCAGTGGGAGCTTGCAAAAAAGGATTTTAGTCTCATGAATTTTATGCAAACATTGGTGATTTATTTGCACAAATAGTTGGCTTTCCATTCACATAAGGGTCATATAGCATGAAGAGTTGTATAAGCATAGGTTAATGACATTAAAAAATTCATTAGAATTGCTTTATTTTAATTTTACTAATTCTTTCTATTCTTCCACTATGATAGAGAAGAATATTGTAATTTCTTTCTGGATATTCCTTGTGTGACTTTAGTTGGATTTTATCACCACGGTTTAATTGAAGTGATCTGCCACGGTGCTCTCTCTCTCTGCATATATTTAATTGTTTCTTTCAATAAATTAACCTGTTCCCCTAAAACAGGGTTGCTCTAGGAAAGGATTGAAACAGAAAATGCAGGATATGCCTGCAGACAAGAAAAAAACATCTCTCTTACTAAGAAACGTAAAATGAAAGAAAATACATTCTTAATGTACAATTTTTAGTAAAACAATTTGTAAGTTGGAGGCATTCATCCCAATGTCAACTTGAATTTCTTGAGCAATGAGATTTTGATTTATTTTTAAATTGACTCTAACACTGCTCTCTTTAACAAAAGACCCACACGTCAGCTCAACGTGGTGAGATGTGGAGGGTGACTAGGAGTCAAATAATTTGGATTTGTCTAGACCCCCTCAGGCATCCATTAGGTACGAACCTAGGTTGCAACACCGTTTCTCTCTTCCTCCATCTGAGTTGTATCAGAAAGAATGCTTTTGAGAAGGGGGAGTGAACAGTGGCACTCAACTGACTTCCCTTTAACCTTGCAGGGGATTAAGTTTCTCCTTTGGGTTTCCCTCATTTCTCAAGATGGCATAAAATTAAGCCTTCCTTTGTTCTTGCATTATGAAAATACTTTCTCTCTCTTTCGAAAGTATTTTTTATTTCATAATATTCATTTTAAGGAAAACTATTTCGCCTCTATAAAATCCTCAAGTATCCTATAGTAAAACAAACTATGACTACATCAGATATTCCCGAAGATTGAAAGTTCTCTGGCACACATGATGTTCTTCAAAGATTCATCTGTTAAAAACTTTGCACTCTGGTTAAAATGTATGCAGACATTATAATCAGAATTTTAATCATCCCTGCCTACATTGAACAATAGTTTCTTTAAAATTTTTTATATCCAATATAAACAATATGTATATTTAAATACACATTTAGGAAGAAATAACAGTTTATGTCAAAATGCACAATTCCACAAAACTCTAAAAGAAAAGTTGGAGAGACCAATTTTCCTACGCAAGCTGAGTCGCATGGCACAGAAAGTAGAACCACACTGAAAAGCCCGGGGTGAATAGATAATGCTGAAGAATTTGGAAAGAACGTTTTAGTGGAATAGACATTAATGAGTTCAGTCACTGGACCCATTTTTACGTATTTGTAAATGGTCTCTCAGTGGGCGCTGGAAGAAACATTATGAGTACAACAGTCATTTTGATTCATGAAAATGAACAGCTAATGAACTTTTTCAAATTTGTATATTATAATTTTTTGACATTAAATTTTTTCTTGTTTAAATTTTTAAGAAATTCTAAGGAATAGTGGACGAAGTCATCAAAGAAAGTAATTGTTAAATAGTCTGCTCAGTTATCTGAAAATAACCTCATTAGTTCCTGTGTCTTTGTTTGGCTTGTGAATGAACAGTAGATAAAAAGGCTCAACAAGCCTCAACTTTGCAAACCCAAAGTGGTAATTTTCTCATAATTTTTAAAAATTAGTATTTACTCAACCTAGCTCAAAACCTTTTCATTACTCCACAAAAGACATTTGATTTATAGTTACAAAATTCTATTGCATAAAGACAGAGTCCTGATCTTAAGTAGCTTTCACTCTGATATAATGATGACTTTGATATCAAAAAACAAAACAAAACAAACAAAAGCCTTGTAATAAATTTCTTCATGCTGTGTTGACCAACAGTATTTTTACAAGTTCGTAGGGTATTTTATGAGTCCTCTTATTTAGCCCTTATTGTAGCTCTAAGAAGATGTGAAGAAATGGCTTGGAAAAAAACTTAAAATTAAATAAGGGGAAGACATTAGAGGAGGACAAGAAACAAAACAAAAAACAAAAAACCTCCTTTTTGCCTAGATTGCAGAGACCATGCCTCATTGTCTCCCATTGCCCTTTTGTCATTTAATGCCCAGCAATCTTAGTAAATGTTTGATGAAAGAATAAATATGTGAATGAGAAAAAGATTCATTGCAATCTTTCTCTCTTCATCTTATATGTTATAAATATGCTTACATGTTAATAGCACCCAGTAGACCTTCATAGTGGTAACCATTATAATTTCATATAATGAGGGAAAATTCTGTTTCACTATAATTTATTAGTTGCTTCCAGAATTAATCCATTTTCTTAAATATAAAATTGAAGGTAAACTATGTAATTAGCATTTAAAGGGCCTACAAATAATCCGAGGGTAACAATATGATTTGGATTTGTGTCCCTGCCCAAATCTCAGGTTGAATTGGAGGAGGGACCTGGTGGGAGGAGATTGGAACATGGGGGCAGATTTCCCCCTTGCTGTTCTCAAGACGGTGAGTTCTCATGAGATCTGATGATTTAAAAGTGTGTGGAACTGCTTTCCCTTAAAGCAGGCACCTTCTTCACATGGTGGCAGGAGAGAGAGTGAAAGTTCCTATTCTGCCATGATTTTAAGTTTCCTCAGGCCTCTCAGTCATGCGCCCTGTTAAGCCTGTGGAACTGTGAGTCAATTAAACCTCTTTTCTTCATAAATTTCCCAGTCTTGGGTAGCTCTTTATAGCAATGTGAGAACAGACTAATACAGATAATGCCTAAAACTTTATAAGAATATATTTAAAAAGATTCCACCCTACATTTCACTAATTTTATTCCCTTCTTCCTCCCTCTCTATGTCTCCTTCTTCCCTTATGACACCTTTCTTCTATTTCAGAAACCTGCTCTTTTACTCAATTTCAGCTGGCCCTTGTGGCACAAACATATATGGAATCTATTAGAATACCTAAATGAATGTTTTTTGATGAACTGTAATGCATAACTACTATCATGCTCCAAGTAGTACCATGCATGTGAGAATTTAAAATGATTTAAGAGTCTATTTAAATGAAATGGTGCTATATACAAAAACAAGCATGATTTTGTTGCTTCCATTCTACAAATAAGGACAAAAAAAAAATCAGTACCTAAGGTAATGCAATACTTTAATAGAAGAGCTGGACCACTAACTCAGCTCTTAAATCCTAGTTCAATATTCTTTTAGATCAGGGTGTCCAATCTTTTGGCTTCCCTGGGCCACATTGGAAGAAAAAGAATGGTCTTGAGCCACACATAAAATACACTAAAACTAATCATAGCTGATGAGCTAAAAAAAATCACAAAAAATCTCAAAATGTTTTTAAAAAGTTTATGAATTTGTGTTGGGCCACATTCAAAGTCATCCTGCACCACATGTGGCCCCAAGGGCCATGGGTTGGACAAGCTTGTTTTAGACAAACATGGAAAGTTTCTTTGGATAATAACTGTCATGACATAAAACATTCATAATCATTCAACGGTGTCACTAAAAGAATGCATCTCTCCATGAATATGGCATAATACATTCATTCAATTTTCACTGCATATTTATTGAGCACCTACTATGTATGGGACATTATGGACAAAATGCACCTCATCTCTGACTTTATGGACCTTATGGTCTAGTAAGTGAAACAAGATAGACATTAAATTACTAATTATATAATGGAATATTTAATGAAAAATGTGGTGAGAAAGTTTGGTTACAGTATAGAGAGTACATCAGATAGAGCAAACAACAGATGTAGGGAAACCAAAAATTAATAACAATTGCGACAATATCAGCAAGAGATCATGTATCCTGCGCTAAGGTAGTGCAGAGCAGACTGAGTGAAATGGCCAGATTTAAGAGCTATTCAGGGCACAAAATCAGATGGTTAGGATATGGGATGAGAGAAAGTGAGAGGAAAAGTCAACACTTAGATTTTTGGTTTAGCAATATGAAAGTCCTGTTATTTGAATAGATGTAATAATACTAAAAATAATAATGTAATAATAGCATAAACTTTCTATACTCAAAGATGTATGTGGCATCAGTCACACTGATGTACTTGCTGTTCCTAGAACATGTTAGGCCTGCTTCTACCTCAGGGTCTTTGGATGTGTGGTTCCCTTTGCCTGAAAGGCTCATTACCTAGTTATCCAAATGGCTTACTTCTTTACTTCCTTGGAGCTTCTATTCAAATATCACCTTCTCGGGACTTTCCTAGCCATCTTATCAGAAATGCAATTTCCTCTTAACATATCCTGAGCCTCTTTCTTATCTTTATTTTTCTCCATACTTAGCACTTTTTTACATATTTTTCTTATATCACTTTTTTTTTTGCTCACCTTTCCTCCTAGAATGTAAATTCCATGATGGCAAGAATTTAAGAAATCTATGTCTATTTTGTTTGTTGTTATATTTCAGTATGTAGAACATAGCATGGTGTAGTAGGTGCTCAATAAATATTTGTTGACTCAATGGTCAAGTAAAGAAAGGTAAAACTTTGTATTTCTGGAATTATCAAAGTAATAGGAGACAACTCCCCATGTTATTTTTAAGATGCCAAGATTGATGCTATAATATTTCATAATTGATTCTTTATATTATCCTTAGAAATTAAAAAGCTAACTAGCTTCTATTTTAAAACCTTAATTTTTAGAATTATTTAAAAAATAACTGTCAATTATAGGAGAAAACAAAAAATATGATAAAATGCAACATACCTTTCCAAATTTAATGTAGTATATTAATATAACATGTATTTTAATAGTGTATCAATATAACATGCTATTTGCATTAAATTATTTCATGAAAATATAATAAAAGTTTAGAAGCTTCAAATTTCAATCCTGACGTGGTAAAAAAAACTTTGGCATGGAAAACACTGCTAAATAAAATTACCATTTATTTTCATGTTATGAAATGAAAGGTAAGGCAAACAAAGAAGACTAAGGTATACAAAATTACATACTTGCAGATAAGTGACTAATTATTCATTAAAGACAAAGTATAGACTCTGACTTCACAGCTCAGCCATGGAAGGATGATATTTAATGTCCTATATGCAAGATGCAGGTAATGTGAGAACTTCTGTTTCTTACTCTGTGAAAATGTGAGGGTTGGATTAGAAGGAGATGGATATCTCTGACATCTAATATCCTTTAGTTTAATAGATCCATATAGAACTGAGATATAGAAACTAAGATTGCTTTATTTCTAGAATGTAATGATATGTTTTACAGGTTCTAGTTTAATAGATTTATCTAAATAAAAATTTTACAAAGATGACAGACCAATGCTGATTGGGAAAGCAATATGCTGACAAATTTTACAAAGTTCTTTATTTAAAAAGTGAGTACTGTTTTTTCTTCAAAAAGGAGTGACTTGCATGATGATGCCACCATCTGTAGCCTAGCTAACCTGAAAATGACTGACTGTAGTCATTAATGGAGCAAAAGCACATAATTCAGAGGCAATCAATCAGATCCACAGACATGGCCTTGCAGAGATTATGCTCTAACTGACTATCCTATCCAATGAGCAGTTAATGAAAACAACATCTGTGAAACCACTTCTTTAGTAACTTTCAATTATTACAAGCGCATATAACTTGTGCTTTTAAAATTTTATTTATTTATTTATTTATTGAGACAGAGTTTCATTCTTGTTGCCCAGGTTGGAGTGCAATGGCGTGGTCTTGGCTCACTGCAACCTCTGCCTCCTGGGTTCAAGCAATTCTCCTGCCTCAGCCTCCCAAGTAGCTGGGATTACTGGTGCCCACCACCACGCCTGGCTATTTTCTTTTTTTTTTGTACTTTTAGTAGGGACGGGGTTTCACCATGTTGGCCAGGCTGGTCTCGAACTCCTGACCTCAGGTGATCCACCCGCTGCCTTGGCCTCCCAAAGTGCTGGGATTACAGGCATGAGCCACCACACCTGGCCAACTTGTGCTTTTTATACTCATCTTCATAAAGCCAATGGAGAAAAACAAGATATCTGTCAAAACATATAGGAGCATTCCATATAAATCCAAGTAACTATTTTAAAACCTGATTATTAGATAGAAAAGGCAAAAAGCACTATTCCTTGAGTTGTTACCTAAATTTTTTTATGCTACGTGTTTAGAGAAATTGCTTGTTTCTCTACCTTTGTTTAACTGAAGCAGCTGTGTTCTTCAAAAGCTAACATTATTTATTCTAAAACTTAGATTTAATGTAGATTGAGAGGCTAGCTACATAGAGCAGTTTCAAATTAATACACTTAATAAGATAGTCTTCCCTATGCCTTGAGTTAAATCAATCAAGCTAATTATCTACACTGAATCTATGATTGCCCATATTCTTTCCAATAGAATGAATTTGTTTTAGCTGAAAAGATTAGCTTTATTGCCTTCTGTAAAGCTCCTTGTATCTTCAGCTAGCTTATCTATTCCATTAGGCATTGATGTGACTCACTGAGCTGAGCCCCTCTGCCAACAGAAATTGGACCTTAACAGAAGAGATAGCTGCTGTTAAGCACAAAACCTGTACATACAGAAGAGCAATTAATGTTCAAACTGCAGGCAAATAATTTGGAAAGCTGTTGAGTTCCTAAGATGCATATATCTTTATTATAGATTTCCTCTACCAATTTTTAGAGATTGCACAAATTTTAAAACCCCAATAATGAAGTTTTCACAATTAAATCATTTGTATACAACCTAATTGCTTCAAATTTTACCACAATAGACCCTGTGCAGAGGAATTAAAGTTACATCTTTAATTTTACTCCCATCTTCTTTAATAAGAATTACATGAATATTTTTCTGAATTCCTAGAGACCATATATCACTATTACAAAACCTGGCCCGTGAAGAAAGTATAGCTCTTGTTCTGTCTTTTTAAATGTTTCTGCGTTGGCCAACCCATTCAAGTGCCTTAGGAAAATCAATTTACAATTGAGAACAATGTGCTAGTGGCTTCAATTTCTTCAACGGTATGCATGTATAGATGCTCGATCATCTAATAAAGGTCTTTAACATGTCATTTTGATAATTTCTAAGAAGCCCTAAAATACTTTTCCTTCAGTCGTTCTATAAGATCTTCAGTTTTACAAGTATGGAAAAAACCTCTCCTCACTCCCTATATCTGAGATCACACACTGTAAGGAGGCTTTTAAGGGGAGAGTGCTGAAGTGTTGAATGATATGTTTTTCCTACAAAGACAGTTCAATTGCAATGCGCTATTATTTCCCAATTCATTTTACCCTTTAAGTGAATTTATACCATCTATCACAAAATAGAAGGCAAATATCTTTCATCTGTTTATCTTGGTGAGGAAATACCTCCTACTTCTGCAAAAAAGTTACCTCATAACTCCACTGTTGTGGATTTTTTCCAAAGTCATCATTGCTGAAGTAGGATAATTTTGTAGCAGGTTAACACTTGCCTGATGATAAAAACATATTTGCTTCAAATGACACTGTGATTTTGAAGCTATTTTTGTTCTTTCTGTAATTTTTGTGTCATATGTATTTACTAGTCCTTAACCACCATAATCTCTAAGGAAGTTTTAGTTCAGCTCAAAAGTATGAGATATTTTGTATCAATTTTATGAATTACCAAATATAGAAGTCAATTACAATAAGACATAAAAATACTCCAAACCAGATATGATAAAGAATCAGAAAAAGAAAACAGACGTCTTCACATTTTTTGGGTTGATTGAATCTTAGAGGTTCCTGCAAAGCTGGGGCTAAAACCATTCTTTTTGCCTTTCTTAAGGAGTCCTTCAAAGAAAATCATATATTATAAAATTTCTATGTCAACTTAAAATAATACTTTTCTCTTTTAATTACTTTTGTTAGTTTTAATACAATATCTTGGAGATAATTTGTATTTTCTTGTGATTCTAAGAGGAAACAAATTATTTTAAGTATTAATGTTTTCCAGAATATAATTAAGTAAACCCCATATCTAGTTGAGGAGAATAACAGGACATGGGAATATTTATTTTAAAAGAACTGATTTTTAAATATACATAATAGTTATTCTATTTTAGAGGATAGCTTGTCCAAGGCTAAAATGCAGAACTTTCCAAATGGTACTAAATTGATTTTATTCACCTTACACTTTTAAATTATTTATGTATAAATATAAAGATGATGCAACATTTGAATATTTCCAAAAAGCTCAAAATATTTCCTTCTCTTGCATGTGCAAAACTCTGATGAACGCAAGAATAGTTTGAGTTTTTTAGGAATTATAGGCTTATAATTCTACTTTTTGCTTAAAAATGTTTCTTGTAGCTTCTAGTTTTCATAGCATCTGTCTGTGAAAAAGTATCTTTCTATGACTCTATTATTATAGAATGTTATCATTGTTCTAAAAGGGCATATTGACCTCTCCCCTCCTGCCCCATTGGTTGATTTTTCTTAACTCTTTGGGCTTTCCCTTACAGAGCCATAAAGAGACAGCAAAGAAGTTTGTTGCTAAATGAAAGAGCAACACTGAATTGTTGCTTCATTGGTGAGTAGGAGTGCCTGATAGCTTTACATTTTGGCAAGATCTTTCTTCCTGAAAATAGATTTTCTTTGGCATGAAGGAGAGATACCAGAAAGCAGTGGCACAAAATACAAGAGACAAGAAAAAGAGTGGCAGAAAAAAATATTGACGTTAAAAAGGAAAGACTTTCTTGGAATACTGAAAGGGCATTATAAGTTCGTTTATGTACAAAGTTACTGTTTTTGTCCTTCTTTCTTTCAAAAAAGGATGTTGTTTTATATCTCTTCAATGACAAAAGTTAAACTATCCTGAATAGATCAATATTATGAGATAAACATTAAATAATATTTGTATTATTTCCTTCCAGGCTAATTGCTTTGTCCAAACATGTAGTGTATAAGCAAGGTTCAGGTCAAGACAGAACTCAAAACCCCCTGGTTTGAAAAGATATGAATGTTTGCTCTGGGGAGCTGAAGTTAAGAGTTAGTAAGTAAGCTTTACTAATAGCTCTATTTAATACAATTAATCTTGAATAGAAGTTCAAAGTCTACAATTTTATTCATCAGAACCATGTGTCTTTTATTATCAACACGAATACCTCCCCTTTGCAACATTTAGGCAATAGTAGCCAGAATTGAAACTCGGTGAAACATCCTTATTTTGGAGTAAACATGAGGAAATGGTAGAAAATGTCATAGGAAATCCTTGGGGAAGAAAGGAGATAAAATTGGAATCACTAAAAGATAGCCAAATGAGCTCATGGTCAGAAACTAAAATAGAAAACTCAATTTTATATCAGAAATATAACTTTAATCTCAAGTTAAAAAACACAAAGCAATAGAGATACATTCAGAAAAAAAAAAAGTTAGTCAATCAACTAAAAGTTGGTAAAAATTTTTACCCAGTAACAAACAGAAGGAATGGGCATGTCATGTGATTTTCGTTGTATTTCAGAGGCTATCTTCCTAATGTAAAGTCCAAACTCTTAGCAATAAATTGTAACCAAGCTCTTTAACACCTCTGCTTCCCTTTTAAGAACTGTTAGTTTTCAATATGAAGAAGGCAATGTAATAATTATTTCTGGCAGCAAATATGTGTTCATGCAATTCTTACCTGCCCCCCTTTAGGCTGGTATTTGATGTTGTCTGTTGATCCGATTTTGGATTTGACATTCTTCAGGTCTGGCAGTGGTTGGTTAATAAGCCGAAGCTGCTTGGGAGTCGCAGGAGATTTTGGAGGAGTACGTATGATGGCGACCTTCTTCTCACTCGGCACCAAGATGGCAGACTTGGGGGTTCCTGGTGTGTGAGGGGTCCTGGGATAGCTAGGGGTTCCAGGAGTGCCTGGTGTGCGTGAAGAATAACTTGGTGGGGTGCCAGGAGTGATGGCAGTAGACCCAGGGGTAGTGGGTGTTGAGGTACCACTCTTCCCTGCTCTGCGAATTGGCTCTGACCCTGTATTAACAAGCAAGACCAAAACCAAACCAGAGTCAGACAATTCTCCTCAAAACATCCCTCTTCCCATAGATTGTTAGAAGTCATAATACGTTTAATTTCTAAGGTATTTAGAAACAGTTATCACTATAGTACTCAAGAAGCTGAGAGTCTCGTTTCTGAAATCAGGTGCATAACCCGGTGGCATTCTTTTGAACATGCATTGCTATCAACACAAAGAAAAAAACCTGATTTTTTTTTTCTGATTTGTTCTCCGTAATTTTCATTATGAATGTGTCAAAAACTATTTTCTACTTGTGTGACTATTAAGGCAAATGGATCTGCCTTTAGTTGGAAAGAGTTTACACTTAGTGTCGTATGCAGACCCATATTTACTGAAGATTCCTTGAATGATATGTAGATCATTCATTCCTCTATGTAGTAAATTCATTCTGGGATCCAGGTGAACATACAATATAGAACCATGTATTTAGGACACATAGTTTTGGCCTGTATAGAAAGATCTGCATTTCAATATTATATCCTTATACTGAGGAACACTATGAGGTGTAAATGTGTTTATGGAAGCTGTCAGACACTGCTATACTATATCATGTATTCTTTTCATAAGGAAAATTATCTCAGTGCTTCAAACCAAAAAAAAAGTCTGTTTCTTGCCTTAGAAACTTGGGATGTCTCAACAATATATTCCCAGTGAGCCTCGTACCTGATTGTGTTTTCTCCTCTGTTTTCATCACTAGCTTGGCAGTTTAGAGTTAAATCCAAAACCACATTAATTATACAGGATCTGAGATGCATTTCTTTGCCTCAAGTTGAGCTCAGCCTCATATTATTATTATTCCCACCCCCCACTTTCCTATACTATGTTTCTTTCATCTTTTGAATGTGCTTTGAATGACATTTCAAATACTTTCCTGAAAGAATGATAGAAATAAGAATGCAACACCTTATAAATTTCAAAGCACTTATGTGAATACCAACCAACTGATAACCAAACAAACATGCACAATACAGTTGTTAGGGGCAGCTCTTATTATTCCTAAGAAATGAGAACATTGAGGCTCATTCACCCAGATGCTACTAACGTCTAAGCCAGATACAATATTTAGCCCCTGAGGATTTACATTTTTAAGCATGCAAATTTCATTTATAACATATTTTATAGAAAAGGGATAATTTTCATTTTTTACTGCTGCTTAAGTAAAAAAATCAATGAATCTTCTGAAATTTTGTAGAGAATAAATATATAACAATTTTAAAGCCACTGAAGTGAAAGGAATCTCAGAGGTCACCTAATGCAATTGATCATAAATATAGGAAGTTCTTTCTGAGAAGTGGACATGTAATCTTTGCTTAAATATTTACAAGATGTGAGCTCAGGAGAGCTTCTTGGACAATTGTAATCTATGGAAAATGTAAATCCACCCATCACCATAGGTTCTATCTCCTGGAGAAACACAGAAGAATTTTACTTCTTTCAGTGAACAGTTTTCAAGTATCAAATGAAAGTGCCCTGTGTCTTTTTGGTCTTCTAACACAGGGCACAAGATAGTTAGACTCTTCAATTGATAATATGAAATGGGATATGAGAAGTCTAAAGTGAGAAATTAGCATGTGTTCTGTGATTTTTATTGCTTTTCACAAGAATTTCAAGACTAGGATGACACAACCACATCCAACTTGGCATTTTGTAACTTCCATGTCCTGGTTTGTTATGGACTAAGTTTGTAACGTAGATGTCTGTCTCTATGTCTGTCTGAATACTTTCTCCAGAAACATTATTTCTTTCTTGAATGTTTTCTCTATTACTTCACCAGTTTTGAATAGCTCAGATATTCTGGGGAGAGGGATCATCCCTGTATTTTTTGCCATTGTACCTAGCCCTGGTGACTTTCATGTGAGCTGAAAACAGTAGGTAGACAACATATTTTTTTAATAATTCAGAATTCATCAAAGTGTGCTGAGGGGTTTTTTGACTTCATGGAGACTGAATTGAAGCAATATTCTGGATGTGAATAACAATTTTTACTATATGAAATAATTTTTTCTAAACTTCTAAGGAGTCATTTCCATACTTGTAGAAAACACGTTAAGCTTTATAAAAGAAGGTTTTATGTTACATCTGGAGAAAGAAGATAAACTACAAATATTAAGGCCTTCACACTGCTGTTCAATATATATGACCAATTTTTATTGTAATAAATATGTTCTTGTCATCAAAACAATAAATTTGAATGTTTCTTATTTGTTCTGAACTTGAAGAGGTTAAGCCTAAGATCTAAAACAACTTTTAAGATATTTCTTTACAAGTTAATTGATTAAACTGTGCTTTTATTTATCTTGTCAACTCCTCAATGACAATGGATTTCCTTCCTCTTGGGCGGATGAGCTTCCTGCACAACATTGTTTCCTTCAAATCTTTTCAATAGCTGCACAAAATGTTAGAACATCCCTGTGTACCATTAAGGGGATGGTGCACAAGTAGAAGTGGGCAGAGTGCTTGCTTTTCCAATCGTCTTTATGCCTTTCAGCTATTGGTATGCAGAGGTAAAACAGATCCTATGTTTTAAAATTATCAATGTGTTAGTTATGTTCACTATCAAATAATACAATGCAAAATGCCTGTAAACATCAGTAAATTTAAAAAGTCAAAATAGAATTGGTGCTGAACATTTAATGAATCAATTCATATATAGATACACTTTAAAAGGCAGAACACAGTGGTTTGAAGAAGTGGATTTATGGAGAAAGTGCCATTTTGCTTTTATAGCAACAAATACAAGTATAATTCAAGATGTTCCTTTCGAGAGTACTTGGTATCTTTGTCTTGTCTCATACATCCTTGGGGTTATTAATTATGTTCAATTTCAACTCTAGAGATTTAAAGTCTCTTCCCTGGAGAGTACTAAATCTTAAATGACCTTCCTGCTAATTCATTCAAATAATTTATTTTTGCTATGATAAAAGAGTTTTTGTGATTTCAGTGTTCTTAACACATATTTCAAAGGATGCTAATACTCTAGGAAACTAAATAATGTTGGACACAATTACTGTTATTATAATAAACACTTTTCTTGTAGGCAAAAACACTGTTTAAATGCCAATAGTCATATTTAAGTGGGCCAATTATTATCAAAATAAGTGTTGAAGTCAACTATAATGTGATAGTGGTAGCAATTTCCACCATTTTAAAATGGTTCTTAAATGACACAGATACTCTTCTCCAAATAATTCTACAGAGCAGTTCTCTAGTACTATTTCCTCCCAATAAATGTAGAAAAGACATTAAGACTTCAGGTTGTGAAGTTATCAGTAGGCTGAAAACCAAATTCAACCACTTGCGAACTGTGAAGCAGTTACCCTCTCTAGAGGGTAACTGGACAAGTTACCCTCTCTAGAGGGTCAGTTTTCTCATCAGTAGAATGAATTGAGTTTATTAATTATTATAATAGTCATTAGTCTTGCTAATTAAATTAGTGAAAAAATGTATCTTAAGAGTTTAGTATCTATATGTGCTCAATAAACGGTAGCTATTTTGGTTGCAACAGAAAAATATTTACGGAAGTAATTTGAATCCATGCTTTACTAGATAGTTTGCCACAATGCAACATATAAGTGTGTAATGATTGGAGCATTATATAAACTGTTACAATTGCCAATCAGTTCATGAATGGGCCATCAATCAAGATAATTTGAACCTATTGCATAGACTATGCTATATTTATAGCTCATTTGGAATGCAAATTCTTAAGAAGTTGAACAGGATCCTAAGTTTTGAATGTCGACTTTCTAGTTAGATTTTACAACTTGGAAATCTAATAAGTGTTAAGCTTTTATAGATGTATGTTTTTAAAATCCTTGACTTGGTTTCTACATTGATTACTTCTTTAGAATTTTCTTTTCTGCTCTAAATTTGAAGCAAAAAGAAAAATATATTCTTAGAGAAATAACTTTATATCAGTCTTAGATAATAGGGTAATATGTTACCATTTCCTCCATCAGTTGTTTTTACTCAAACAGCTATTTTGCAGCCATCTACATTCTGGATTTTCTGATCCTTATGGCAAATATAATCTAGTCTTAATGCATGTTTTATTTTTACAAATTAAAATATAAATATAAGTGCTATTCCACTTAAAGGATTTAAAAAGTGCTTAAAAAGGAATTCAAATCAAAATAAACCTACTGGTGGTCCGCCGTGCTGAAGAAGAGATAGAACTGTTGAGAGAGAAGGAATTCTCATCTCTGTCTCCTGACACACCTCGCCGAGGAGGGAGAATGGAGGAAGGTCTTGGGAGAGAAGAGCGCTTTTCTGGGCTCTTGGTTACTCCGTCCTGATTGGAGAAAACAAAAAGAACATTGGGTTCTTGTAACTCTTTAATTTATACGAAGTGATATTGATTTTGCTATTTTCCTCCTGTGCTAATAAATGAATTTCTTTTAATACAAACTACTGGATTTCATATATTTATAAACATTTCTACTTTATAACTTAGAAAGAGTGCATATTTGCCTAGATGTTTTGTAAAAATACATTATTTTGGAGTTCTAATAACTGAGTGTGAAGTTCAAGTTCTAAATGATAATATTGGTAAAATAAATGTACTCAATCTTCAGCAAATTACTAATTTTATTGAAAAATCTTCATTAGCATGATAATTTATTAATCAGAAAGGACTGAGAGTAGCTCACTGCATGCATAATATTTCTAACAATGACCATTACCATATCTTGTGCGTGTATGTGACAGGAACCCTTTATAGTTTATATCCTTTTATGATTTGATTCTCACCACAAAACATGATACACATTTTAAAGCTGAAGAAACAAGTTTAATGAGTTTATATAATTGTTTCAAGACAATTGAGTTGGTAGGTGTCAGAGATAGTATTAAACCCTGATGTATATGACGTTTAGTTTAAATTATCTATTATATTCTATACAATGTAATTTGTTATTATTGTACTGTACAATATTATTTCTTATATATTATATATAATAGAATATATTTTGTTTTGTTAGTTTGCATTTGATATTTTACCAGATAATCAAACCATAAATTAATAATGGGTAGCATATCTAGAAAAAGACATATTTTCTACATTTAAAAAATAGGTATACTGTTTATCAAAATTTTAAATTTGTATTTGTTTTTAAAAGGGCCTACTGTTTATGTGTCAAACACTTCAGAGTAAAGTATTTGCTTTCATACATTTCCTGAATTAGGTTCTATAACATAACCTTCTCCCAAATTCTATTTCTTTCTGCACCTTTTATTGACCTGCCGCCTTACCTTGTTCCCTGATTTTGAGTATGGCAAACGGTCTGTGGAGCCTGCTGAGGTGGGCTGTATTAATAAACTGTCAGAAAATGTAGCCCTTTTAGTCGTGCTAGGGCAGGCTGAGCTGTATCTTGGGGACTTTGTGCTACCCTGTAAAGCAGGAATCTTTGACAAGGTAGAATTCTAGCCATGAAAGAAAACAAACAAAAGCACAAAATAAACCAAACTATAAAGTAAAAGGAAGATAAAAAAGAAGTATAAACATATAAGAAACTCAAAGTCTTTTTAATAAGAACACATGATAAATGGTTATAATCAATGATAGAGATGTGTACTTAGATGAGAAGAGATTTTCACAGTTCTTTTTAGCCAAAACTAACTTAATAATAGTCATAGAAAAATGTCTAAGAAAACCAAATATCACATGTTCTCATTTATAAGTGGGAGCTAAACAATGGGTACACACGGACATAAAGATGGCAACAATAGACACTGGTGACTCCAAAAGTGGGGGAAGGATTGAAAAACTTCCTATTGGGAAGTTCCTATTGGGAACTATGTTCACTATTTGGATGATGGAATCAATATAAGCTCAAACCTCAGCATCACGTAATATACCCTTGTAACAAGCCTGCACATGGACACCCTGATTAAAAATAAAATAAAAAATCTGTTATACAAATAAAACACAAAAATAATGCTAAACCATTTTATTTTCTATTAACCAGGTCTAGAACAGGTATCCATGTTTATTACTTATTACTTGCTCTTCTTTACTTCCAAATGTGATTGTTTATGTTTGGTACGCAGTAGAGAACCAGCGGATAATTGCTGAATAAATGATGAGTGGGTGGATAGATAGAAGGACAGAAGAAAGAGTAATATTGCTTAGATATGAAGGAATTAGCTTTGTGAAATCCTGAGACCAAAGCAAGTCTCTCTTTCTCTTTAAAAATACAATAAGCCTTAATATAGAAAGAATGTTACAAGTGACTAGCAAAACTCTCTTTTTGCAGGTTTAAAAAATAATGCTGAGTGCTTAAATTTTGTTGTTTAAAAAATGATTCTATACATAGTTCTCTAATTTAAGGATAATGTATATAAAATATTCTTTTTGGATTCTACGTATATAGTCTCTAATTAATTCATAAGTTTTATAATGATAACACATTTGGAAATATCTTTCAATATCCTATCTGCTGGAATTATTCCTTTAATAAACACAGCCTTTAAGGTGTACATATAATCCATATCTTAATCATGTTTCAAGAACTTTGGAACAAGGTATATTTGAAGCCTAATAATGAAAAAAGTATTTTTAAAGATTGAGAAAATTTATTTTCACGTCATCTACATTGACTTCAACAGAATTTTTCAGAGTTTATATATAATTTGTTCATTTTATAAGTGAAACACATACTGTGGATTAAGTTATACCATAGAACTAATAACATTTTTATGCAAAGACTAGAGTCTGCATGATGTGTTATGAATTCTAAAAAGGAAAGTCAGGACTGAAAAGATGGCCAATAAAAATCACGACTTAATTTACAGGTGTTGATAACTCCTGGGGAGACTGTCTGCAAGTATAATTGGGAAGGATGTATGGCTTTTGGAGAAAGCTATGCCAGCGTGCCATATGTCTCATGGGTGACTGTTAAAAATATAGATAAGTATGACAAAGCCAAGGAGATTATTATCTTCAAATAATTAATTTGATTTAACTGTTACAGAAATGACAGATAAAACTGAGATTTTTATCTCAAGTTTTAACCTCTGTGGCTACAACAGGACATAAGTATTTACAGACTGTACAAATCACTTCTTGTTTTATAGACCCAGTATCTTGAGTGGGAAGTGTAATTGGGTCAGCACAAGTCATTCTTTTTTTATTGATCCTACCCACAAAAGAGTGAATTTCAAAAGCGTGATATAGAAGAGAAAAATAAATTGGATTGCTTGTAGTTAAGAAAGACAACTATTAATGCTAAACAAACAAACAACAGAAAAACCCACGTGAAATGCAGGATTATGGGTGGGTCTGTTTCCTAATAAAGAGCAATTTAAAAAATCATCACAGGCATCCCATAAATATATACAACTAATATGTACCCATAGAAAAAAAATTTTTAAGTTAAAAAAAGTGAATCTGAAAGAGCATACAACTACCAAAAAAAATCAGAGAACAGTACTGATGGATATACTGAACATTAGAGCTAAATCAAATAAAAGTTACTCGGGGTTTTAGAAAACTTATAGAACAAGGATATGGGATTAGGAAGAAAAAAAGACTAATAAATGAGAAAAAAAGAAAGAATGAAGGGCTAATTTTGCTTCAGAAAGACAAGACGGGCATTTACAAGGAAAAAAGGTTGTTTTGTGTCAGACGATGCCTATGGTTCTGTTCCAAGTGCTGATTCTATCGAGTTACTCAAAGACCAAGGGGCTTAAAAATTTCCTAAAAATGTTCCAAATAATGTCAACCTAAAGGAGGAAAGGTCAGACTTATTTTCTATATCTGCTCCTGAAAACTTCCACCATTCAGTTAACTAAAATAATAACTAACAACTATTACCATTTATTAAATGAATGCTATGTTCTAAACATTATACTGCATACTGTTTTATAACATCATTACATTTAATTTTTATAACTAACTCATGAGACAGGAATTTTGTCCTCCCCTTTATTTTTAGAAAATTAAGAAATAGGAAGAAAAGGATCATATAACTAATAGATGTTCAAGATTTGAACATGATTTGTTTCATAGCCCTACGGCCAACCACCATACATCATTAATTTGGAAACAGAAGGTAAAGAGATACAAATCTTGAAATCACAATGTGTTTATAATAAAGCCTAATATTCACCAAAGCAATAAATGAATTCTGTTGCTTGCCATATGTTCAGGAATATATCTGAAACATTTGTATAAAAATCAAGTATCATCTTTTATCAACATAAAACCCCTCAGGTTCAAGATCAAAGAAATGAATCACTCACTACTTTTCATAATAAATAAAAGTGGAAGTCTAAAATCTTATTGGTTTTTTAGAAGGGTAAGCTAAGAATTGTGATTTACATATTACATGTGTTTGCTCAGTCTCAGAATGTTGTTATAAGCTACTAATTAATATCATTCAAATTATTTGTTATAATTTTAGGATTTCATTAGTAGCCTTTTAATTTTTTTCTTTCAATCATAAAGGAGTGAAAATACTTCATGTTGGCTTTGGTCATTAAAATACAGTTAATAATATAAAAATAAAATTCACAGAAAAAATAGAAAAGATTTACAAACATATGAAGAAGTTAAACACCATTAATACAACCAAAATAAAATTTTAAAATAATAATATATGCCATCTCTATAATTTGGCAAATATACAACAACAATATAAAATATGTAGTAATAATAACAAATATGAACACTCTCCTTATACAGAATGTATAAGTGGGTAGAACCTTTCCAGAGGGCAATTTGACAATATGCAGCAAAAACTTTAAATATTAACATTTTTCTTGAAACAATAATTTCACTAGTAGAAAATGAAGGAAATAGCATACAAACTGAACTTAGCCAAAAAGTTCTCTACAGTAATATTGTTAAAATACCAACAAAAAATTCTAAAAGTCAAATAATAGGAAATTGATTAAGTATATCATTGCAAAGAAATAAAATGCAGTATTACGTAGTCATTAAAACTTACAAAATGTTCAACGACATGGAAGTACATTTACTGTTGAATTTAAAAAGTGATACACAGTGTTCTCATTTTTGTTGTTAAGCCTATAAATGTATAGAAAAAAATTAGGATTTTACATCAAAATGATAGCTGTGTTTATCTTTATGATAAGAGGATTATAATTGATTTCTACTTCTTTCTGCTTGTGTGCAGTGCTTCATTTGGTCATATTTCTATTTTGTAACAAAAACAATGAAAGTGTATTATAAAATACAGTTACTGTTGATTATATGGTTTAATTTGATTCTATGAAAAGTAACTAAACTGGACTTCCTTACTTTTGCCATATCATTGTGCTGCTTTCTATGTTTTTGTCTTACTAGTAAGGAAGCAGTCCAGCTGTGCCCTCACCAATTACCATCATACGCCATCCCAGAAGACGTTCATCCTTCCATGCCTGGATGCCACGGAGAATCTTCTGGGTGAGCGAACTATTTAAAGTGACTTTTAAGAGTAAATATCTAAACAATATCAAAAGTTATTCTGATGTTACAGCTAATACCAAAGGAACTTCAAATGAAGAACAAGGAAAAACTTATTTTACTCACAGAGACTTTGTCCTTTGCCTGTTTAAATACACTGGGAGCCAGAGCTGATTCCCCACCTGCTGCTGTTGAAAATAAAAGACAAACAACCCCAAACTTAGTTGCTAAAAAGTCATAAATGCAGTTTTAAATACCTGTAGGATATTCTGTTGTGTCAACAGACTAATGCAAAGCAAAAGTTTGCTTATTATGAGACTCAAATTCAATAACTCAAGTAACATGAATAACAATAACATAGCATGTGGCTCCAACAAATAGTGTGTGCTAATTAATATAACCCATTGTCTACCAAAGTGCAGGTAAGCACACCACGTAATTTTTCTATTGATTACCAATGTATCTTTGAATCACTAGTACGTAAGGAGATCCTTTAGAACAGAAGTTACAGAATAGCAATGTGAATGTTGCAAAATTTAAGAAAAAGAACACTGATTGGTTTCTGGGGTTCACATGATATATAGAAGAGGGTTCATAGAGATTTCCAAACCCTCTTCTTGTTCTGGAAGCCACTGGCATAACCATAGATATTTCGGTATTTTACATTTCAAACTGTCATGATCAGCTAACCCCTTTCCCTTTGTATCCCTTCATTTCACAATATGAATGACATACTTGTTTGATGTGAAAATGCCACATGAGAAGGGAAGAAAAATAGCTTGTCAAGAACAGAAAACACGAGAGAAAATTTAAGTTCAGTAAATACAGAACATGTTCTACACATGCACTTCCTGTATGAAATTATTACCACATCTGTTACTGTTGTTTCTCTTGCTGCTGTTTTATGCTTCTGGATTCAATTTTAAACTCCATTATCTCTAGCACATTTTGGTTGATGACTTACCTGAGGTAGCTTAGCTCTCATGATTTAAAACAATCCCTTGTGGTTTGGAAAACCATCTATGTTTGAAAATTGGGCTTAGAAGATAAAATAATCAAGCTTGTGTGTTTATTCCTCCTTAATTTTCATTCATAAAATAGAAACCCTCAGAAAAAAAATGTATCCTTATAAGCCCTCTGAATAAGTTCTAAAAAGGTATTTTTATGACAGGTACAGTTCTGACACAAACATAATAACTGTCTACAATATGCTTTATGCCATGTAGGACTAGCTAGTGAGATTTTTCAGATTCTAGGACTCATTGTTTTTAAGGAAGCAGTGAAAACGATGCCTTACTACTATCTCTGTAATATAACTCAAATTCTTGTGACATGTATAGCTTGCTTCAAACCAATGACACCTACATCTGATACATGCTTTCTCCTAAAGTATCTTAACATTAGACCAGAATAAAGGAAAATCTTCATTAGTTCAAAGATTTTAAATTTCTTTCAAAGAATGAATAAAAACACAATTTACTTTAAATGTGGCAAATTGAATACCAATGACATGTAAACACTTTACTAAACCATTTTACGTTTTCTCTAAAATTCCACAATCCTGATGACATCTTTCATCCTTTTAGGTAGGTTATAGAGTTTTTATGCTAAATCAAGAGATTCTGCTTGCCCAAGCAATTTTGCTACTAAGTTTAATGAAGCTATTAATTTGCTATTAAGTTTAATGAAGTTCTAAGTTTAATGAAGCTAAAAACCTGAGAAAATGAATTGAGGTATGTCACGTTAATTCCTAACTCCTAGCTTCAGATATATTCTTCATCCTGAAGCTTTATCAAGGTGTGCGTATATACAAGCCTTCTATTTTCAAATCCTGCCTTAGATTCTTGTTTTTGAAGGAAAGCACATGATATGATTTCTAGATGAAGAACACAAATACAAAATACTTGGAATTTTCAATGGCTAAAATAAAACCATCAGTTACCTTGATTTTCTCTTTCTCACAAAGGCTAATGTTCCTCTTAACCTTTAAAACCATCCGAAGATTTATATAGAGGCATTGATGATGTACAATGGAAAGAAAAACATTCTTTTCTGATTTAGCAATCTGTCATTTTGTAGACTACAAGCATGCCACTTAATAAATGCTAAAATAAAATATAGTGTAAGGTAAGATTATCCTAGTATAATTAAACATATAAAATAAATACTTTGCCCTGAAATTTAGAAAAAAGTTGGCATTACAGATATTTGTAGGGGTTTTTATGATGGTTTCCAACAAGTTTCATTCCTTTGTTTTACCAGTTTTATAAACTTAGGAAAAAATATGTATTTGAAGAAGAGTAATAAGTAGATAGCAGGCCGGGTGCAGTGGCTCATGCCTGTAATCCCAGCACTTTGGGAGGCTGAGGCAGGTGGATCACGAGGTCAGGAGTTCAAAACCAGCCTGGCCAAGATGGTGAAACCCCGTCTCTACTAAAAATACAAAAAAAAAAAAAATTAGCTGGGTGCACGCCTGTAATCCCAGCTACTCCGGAGGCTGAGGCAGAAGAACTGCTTGAACCCAGGAGGTGGAGGTTTCAGTGAGCCGAGGTCGTGCCACTGCACTCCAGCCTGGGCGACAGAGCGAGATTCCGTCTTGGGAAACAAAAAAAAAGTAGACAGCAAAGTAAAAATAAACCGAAGTTTATTTCTAACTGAAGTTCCTCCTAAAAGGAAGAGTTTTAGCTTCAAATTTGTGAAACTAAATTATATAGAAAAGTCGAGCAGTTTGGATCCAACATATTTAAGAAATCTCCATGACAAAATGTCAGCTAAGAGATGTAGTTCAGTAGAGTGAAAATCTTGTTAATTTTGGATATGAGGAATAAAATCTGATATAATTACCAGAAAATTTTGTTTTCTATCTTCTTTTTTTCAGCAAAAGCAAAGTAATAGTAATTTTGCAAACCACAATTTCACTTCCTGGCTTGCTTTTCATTTTCAGTATCTAAATCACTACACATTCTTGGTGGTTTTCAATAAATTCATCAACATCAGTAACAGATTTGGCAGTAACAATGTAGAAAATAGGACAAATATTTATGGGTTTAAGCATGAG
This sequence comes from Homo sapiens, assembly GCF_000001405.40. Classification (NCBI taxonomy): domain Eukaryota; kingdom Metazoa; phylum Chordata; class Mammalia; order Primates; family Hominidae; genus Homo; species Homo sapiens. The sequence continues at coordinate 209,697,406 of NC_000002.12, read as the reverse complement.
AGAGATAAATAAGCAAAATAATGAGAATGCATACCACAGTTAAATTCATCGCCATCGTCTAACCAAACACACAGAATGAAAATAGGAATCCCCAGAACGTGACACTAGAGCACAATGCCAAGATACAATCACGCACTGTTATGTCTGAGCATGACAAAGAAACAGATGGTCATGACCTTTTCTGTAAGGAGGGGGGAAAAAAGAATAATGATACAAGACACTTAATAGCAAAATTGTTCATGACTGCTGAGATTCTTGGAAGAAAAACAAAATGAAGAAGCTGCTACAGTAATGAGATTTAAAAAAAAAATACATGTCTATGTTTGCCAGTCACATTGCAGAATTGAACAGTCACCTGTGGTTTTCCGCTTAACACAGGAGAGATGAGTTGGTCTAGTATATTTGATAGCAGGTTTTAAAATGAATTTCCTGGAGGGAGAGTGGGCCTGAACTTCTGTTTTTTTAGCAAGTTCAGCCTTCTTATAAACTGCTATGAATAAGAAAACACAAAAAGCATACCATCAGGAAAAAATAAACACGTGGAGCAAAACCGAACGAAATTTTATAAATAATTAGTTACCACTGTTAGGCAGTTCTGCAAAAAAGTAATAATGAATTACTTCAAAAACATTTTTAAAGAAGTGATTGTTAAATGAACCTTTTTTCCTTCTCACTTCATCTCTGGAGACTGTGCTAGGTTCCTTTTTAGCTACTTTTCTTTCAGGAGTGGAAATTCTGCCTCTCCCGGTTTTAAAAGGCTTTTCTTTTCTATGTTTCTCAAGAGATGATCTCCGAGCTTCCTTTTCAGCTTTCTCCTCTTTAGGAATAGTTTCTAACTGTTCTGTCATGATGCTCCTATCATCATCTGTGGATCAAAGCAAATCATGACAACAACAACAACAGTGAAAACATTAGTAACAAGTGTACAAAATCCTTTGTATATTTAACAAAATACAAAATAAAGAGATAAAGAGGTATTTTAAAATGTTTAAGTGAAAAAAAATTCCCATAAGGTTATTGTGTTTGAGTTAAAATAATAATAATAATAATGCACACCTTGAGTGTCCACCCAGAGGCTGTCAGCGTCCATGATGGAGTCGTCAATGGTGGTCTCATCTTTGTAATCGTCATAGGTTTCTGTCTTATATTCAGAAAGTGCAACCTCTTCTCTCTCAGGGGAAGCTGGAGCCTCTGGGGAACCATCTTTGGGTTCTGCCTGGGCTTCAGCTGCCTCTTCTACTTCAAACTCTTCTTCATCATGAGGAGATGGTCTCCTTTCCACCTCAGGCTGCTCTAGGGCTGCAAAACGCACGCTGTGGGACCCTGACTCCCCTTCATCAGTTGTGGTTTGCACTACAGTGATGAAATCATCCTCGATGGTCACAACAGACTCAATCACTCCTTTGTGTTCACTTGGGCAGGTCTCCACAAATTCCTCCCTGGCACCTGAGACACCCAGGTCAGTTATCTGAAGGGTGTCTGAGCGGAAGAGCAGTTTATCATATTCTCCCTGGGCTTCTATCTCTTCTTCCTCACTCTGAATCTCTGCTGGTTCAGATACGATCGTTTCATGCAATGGCTCTGCAACATCAGAAGGCGTGATGGATATATCTGGGGTCTCTTTGCTTTCTTCTTTTGGCCCCTGAATAAATTCCATCTGGACATCAGCTCTCTCATCTGTGGCTAAATCAGCCTCTGAAACAGCAGGTGGGCAAGGTATTTCCACTGACAATTTGACGGCAATCTCATCTTGAATTAGAGATGATTCTGGAGATGTTTCCTTCTTGCCCTCATCAGCTTTCAAGGACTCCATGGTGAGACTTTCATGCTCACCACTAGATTCATAGGACTCCTCCTTGTCTACAGCCTCCTGGTGCACCAAGTCAGGCTTGGCCACCTTCTCTTTGACTTCTGTCTCACTAACTTTAGTGCCTTCTTTCATGTGGCCAGACTCAACACCCATAAATGCATCTGCCTCCTGCGGTGCTTTGGATGAGGGGGTCATGTCCTGTGTAGCCTCAAGTTTTAGCTCTGTTGCCCTTCTATCATCTATGTTTAGCCCTGAAGCCATCTGTCCAAAGTCACTAATTTTAACATCTAGTTGACCCTGGACAGCAAAATCCAGACCTTGTTCCACCTTTTTGGATGGTTCTACCTCAGCTATCTCTGGCACTGAACTAAGACCCTTCTCTGCTTTCTCAGAGGATGCATCTGTTGGTATTGACAAATCTTTGGCCAAAGCTTGCTCATAGGTTACTCCTAATCCGAATGTTTCTATTTCATCACCAGCCTCTTCAGTTTTCTTGGCATGTTCTTTTGAATCAGCATGTTCTTCACTCTTTTCTAGTACAGTATCCAACCTATCATTAGCTTTCTTCTCTTGGTCAAACTCCTTACTCAGTCCTGATTTGTCACCAGAGATATGCGCGGATGCTTCTTTGTCAACACTGAACTCATCTTTGACTCTTCCGGCTGCTGCCAGTTTCACTTCAATCAGTGAAAGGTCTGTGGCCAAATCTCTTCGAACTTTATCATCAGTGCCTTCGTAAAAGGTACCACTCTCCCCTGATAAATTCTCACTGTCTTGAACAGGTGATGGCAATGGGACTGTGTACTTATTGAACACACAGTAGCCCAGGTCTTCGAGCTGACTGTCCGTTTTTACAATGACATGGTTTTCATCAGTTACCGGGGGCAAGCCAGTACGACTATCCTCAACCACAGTCTCTGATGGGACTGATTTCCTCCTGGCAACCTCAGCATCTGCACTCACAGAAGCCAATCTTGACCTTGTGCCTGCCAGATCTAGCATTTCAGGAAGGTCAGGTGCCATGACAGTACCATTTTTGTAAAAATCTTTGGCTAGGAAAGGAGACTCACATGATATCTCCGCTTGAGTACTTTCTTCTCCAGTAGCTTTTACTTTCTCTATCTGTTCTTCCTCTTTGCTTTCTACAGGGAAGCAAGGGGCTTTCTCCAGTGCAGGTGTGGTGGCTGGAAGGTAATCATCCCCTTCATCCATACTTCCACTAGTGTTGGTTAGAATATCGGAAGCCAGAGGAGAAAGATCATGTCCCCGACCAAAGTTAAATCCAAGGGCTATGGAATCTAGGCAAGACATCGGCAAATTGATTGACATGCTTCTTTGTTCTATTGCAGACCTACCACCAAGTCCTAAACTCCTGCTAAGGGTCAAATCATCCTTATTCTTACTGTGGAGGTCCCTTTTCTCTCCATACACTTTTGGATCAATAGTGAACATTCTTTCTTGAGGAGAACTGGGTTCTTCAGGTAAATCTGATGGATAACTCTGTGCGAGAGTGCTGTACCCTGCTTCTTGTGCTGGAGGACTGGGCTGGGATTCTTTTCCTGTTTGAAACTCCTTGTCACCATTTTTATGCATGGGAGACATGGTATCAATAGACTCATGGACACTTTCTCTAGTGTCACTCAGTTCATAGTAATCACTGCCTGGCTCAATGCTTTTTGTTGCTTCTTCTTTCAAGGCAGATGTTTCAAAGTACTTGGACATTCCTGATTTATCTTCATAAAATGGCATATCAAGCTCAGCTGATGTTGCAGCTCCAACTCCTTCAATCTTATCTTTGTCATCAACTCTCATTTCAAAAAGTTCCTGAATTGAGCTCTTTTCAATTAATGCAGATGGTTCGGTCATGGCTTTCTCCAGTGTTTTAGAGGTCATGGCTGAATCTGTAACTGCTTGCTCCAAACTTACAGGGAACGAGTCCTGTTTCAACATATCTGTGGTAGGCTCTTGGTCTTTCTGTTCTGAGAAAGTGTGCTCTGTGGAGGTCTGAATTATGCCTATTTCTTCATCTGCAGGTTTTGGGGGTTTACTCTCTTTTGGCACAGCTTCTTTGTCAGAAATGGTGGTTTTTTCTTCAAGCTTCAGCTCAGTTTCCTTTTCAGTAAGTATAGGTTCCTGTCCACTGGGGGTGAAAGTATCCCTTTGCTGCACAGTCTCTTGATTTATGGCCTCCTTTTCTTCCTCTAAAACTTTCCCCATAACATGTTCTTCTACAACTGGAATGTGAGCATCTTTGGGTAAGGTCATTGCCTCTGAGGGTGGTGCTTCTGCCATTTTGTCAGGTTTAGCCTCATGGGGCTCTTCAATTTTAAAACTATCTTTGGCAGTAGCTGGGCCACTGGTTTGTTGCAGAGATTTTTTGTCATCTGGCTGTAAAAAGGCAGGGGCAAAGGGCGATGTTTCTGTAACTATTTCATTCTTCATGACATCTAAAGGAAGAGTGAAGCTTCCCCCTTGAAAGGGACTTGGCATGGGAGAATCAAACTGTTTCCCTTCCCATTTTGGGATATCATCAAATACATCTTTTTCCCTCATGGGAGTCAGAGGGCCAGGAGATATGGGGGCAACTAAACCCCACTCATCCTTTTTTGCTTCCGTTGGCATTTCGATGAACCAGTCCTTTTGTTCTTTTGGAGTTGGAGGCTCTTTAGGGAGGTCAATGCCAGGTACTACAAGGCTTGGTTCTGTCTTCTGTTTCATGTCTTCCAGGCTGGCAACAAGAGTGTGCCCAAACAAAGCTAGGGGTGCTTTTTCTTCTTCCGTGCCTTGCATGTCCTTTTTATCAGGGTAAGTTTTAGTTGTCTCTGGCTGAGAAACTAAGGCAGCATGTTTAAGGTCTTCACCAGGCTTACTTTGCTTCTCTGACTCCTTTTCCTTCTGGTCTGAAGGCTCAGCTGTAGAGGGAGTCAATTCCTGTTGATCGTGGAACTCCATCTTCGAGGCTGTAAGTAAATCTGAAGTAATCGGGTTGATTTTTAAACAAATAATAGGCAAGTGCGTTCAGGAAATAAGCTTAAAATTATATTTTGAAGTGATAAATGAATGGTAGAATAAAAACAAAAATTATGGAACATGCAAGCATGCTACCCATGTAAAAGTCAATATGAAAAGGTCAGGACTGAGATATATGTGTACTATTACTAAAATGAACTCTGGTTGTAAATTAATGTGCAAAGGAATTGTAAGAACAGTATATTTCTGGATATTCTTTTCTCTTTTTTTCTTTGTTTTTTTTTTTTTTGGTCTCTCCTAAACATTATGTGATGTGTATTACAGAAGAAACAAATTCATGTGCCTTCTATACATAAAAGTTATAAGCTAATGAATATTGAGTAAGCAGCTAATGTTAGGGTACAAAAGAATATATAGTAAGGACTAAATATAGATAAAGAATTGATTTATACTGAACATTTTCATTGGTTTTATCATTTAAAAATGAATTGGTAGGCTATGGGCAGAGGGCCAAGTAATGCACAATGATATAATGTTAATAGTTGCAGTTAACTTGATTAACAAATGTCAGGGCCAATTCTTTAGGCATCCACAGGTTACTGGCATAAATTTTTAGAATTCATCTGAGGATAAATTTCAGAAATATAAGTAAATATTTGCTATCAATTTTATATGATATGACTTAAGAATTTACAAGCCAGTTTCTATTACATATTTAAAAATTTAAATTCCTAATCATTACTTAGTCTGTACGGTAGATATAAGAAAATCTGAATTACACTGTTGATACTGGGAAGTCATGTGAGTAACAAACTTTTCAAAAGAGTCAACTATTGAAATAACTTTATTCCCATGGTCATGACCTCAATCCTTGGAGCATGACTAACTGGTGAAGCATTGGCCAGTATTGGCTTTAGAGGTGCTTCACAGAAATTAGATAACACATTTTTACTTTTATTTATTCAACAATCCAAAAGGCTTTATTGTCCCACTTGTGTTTTAAGGTCAAAGTAGTTCACTGTGGTCATTAGAGCTAAATGTAGTTATCTGGAAAAGATTTGGGGAAAAATAATAAAATTCAATCATCTCTAAAAGAGCAAGTGTATGGATCATCATTACCTTATATACTTATGTGTCCTGTTGTAACAATAGAAAAAAAAATACTTGATGAACTTCTAATAAAGGTTAGATGAATGAAAACTCAAGAGATATGGGGATGATCAGAAGGGCTGGCTGCCATGGGGAGAAAATGATATGAGAAGCATCAGCAGGAGGTCAAGAAAATCAAACCAGTATTCATTGAAGCATAAAAAATATAGCACATTTCGGTTGCAAACAAAAACGATTCCACCATTTAAGCCTCTATGTGCCAAAATCCAACTGTACGATTTGAAATAAAAGCATATGAATTGCTGTCCCCAAAATAAAAACAAAAATATACATGTATTAGCAATGTGACTGGCAAACATTTGAGATGAGGGGGGGCGGGTAAAAAAATAAAATAAAAAAAGAAGCTCACATAGCATCATCAGCCTGGCTGCAAAGCGTATTGTATCATGGCAAAGGAAAACCAGGAATCAGCTGCAGCACTGGAAAACCAGCTGCCACACAGCACTTGCGCAAGCCACACTCTCTGCACATTAAGCCTACAACAGTGGACTTGTTATCATAAGACCCAGCGATGAAATAGCGAAATAGCGTTGGAAAGGCATCAGGTTGGTAAGCCACTGGAGAGATCATTTGCAACAAAACACATGCAAATCCTGAGAAAGACACACCTTCCCCAGCAGAGGAAGGGGTTTTTACTTCTGGAGACACCTCCTTGACCTCTTTTACACTTTTCTCATGTGGGGCCCCTGCTGGGGCACTCTCTTCGGGAACTATTTGGGCCTCCGCACTAGACTCCATTTGGCCCTTACTGAGGCCCTTGGGTTGGTCTGAGGACTTAGCAGCCCCACACTCTTTCTCAGGAAGAGCAGCAGGTTTCTCTTCCTCAGCCATCCGACTCTCTAGCGTTTCTTCTTCTTAGGGATGAAAAAGATGTTGACATCATGACCACAGAACAATACATGAAACGACAGAAATATTGCTAAAGGAACACTTTCAGCTCCATTAGAATGACCTCATGAAGACCTCAGCTGTTTTTTTATTTTACCATTGGGATGAACAAATTAATATTCTAATGCAACATACATTAGGTACTGGTTGGAAAACTATGATGTATAATCTGCTAATAGTGATGACTTTTAAAGTCTCATTAAAAGGCAATTTATTTTAAAGTTTGAGAGCTGAAAGGGTTGTATTGATTGATTACCCTTATTGGAAACGGCAGTAAGTTGCACGCATGTGGAAAGCTTGCTGGAAATAAGAGATGGTACTGCCGGATAACAGATGGTTGTGAAAAGATGGATGTACTGATGTACTGAAAAAAAAAAGCCTTTAAATTTGTTAGACATGTGCTGTTTTCGCCAATGCAGGAAGCCCCTACATAAGAATTCCCGGCTGCTTTATTTAAAATGTGCAAATTTTGCTAAAGAAATCTTTGGGAATAAAAAAAGCCTTGCTTCAAAAGAATATCCAACCAACTACCTTAACAGCTTTATCACAAAGTCCACCAAATTTACTTAAAATATAATTTATTTAGCATTTCCAAGGTAAGGGACTACCTAAGTCAAGTTATGTTAGCTTCATTGCATTGTATGATGTTGGAGAAAATGAACATTTTCAAAAAGTAAGTAAAATAAAATGTGTTAAAAACAAGGTCAAGGTTAAATTTAAATCTGTTTACAAAAGTCTACCTCTGGGACACAACTATTATCATATTGTTAAACTCCCTGAAATATCAGTAATGTAGTTCATGTATAATTCTCTTTGACACTAAAGAAAAAATATGCACATTAGTAATAAAGTCTTATTTCTGTAATTCAAAACAAAATCACCAAGGAAAGATAATTGAGTGGCAATCAAACGGCCAAAATAACCACCCCCCAAACCATGTATATCACATAAAAAAGTTAACATTTAAGATGTAAAGATAAACTTTTCAAGTTCATGAGTTATTGCACTAATTTGTTTCTCATTTACACTTGAAATGTCAGTAAAAATAAGTAAATTCCATTTGGTCACTTAAGGAATTAGAGAGAAATATATGAGCTGTTTTATAGTTTTGTAAATGGAAGATTCTTACAAAATTCTTATGAAATAATTGTGCATTGTTTAAACGGCCCTGAGGGAAAGACTACAGATAAAAAGAAAAGGAATTTTCTTTTATTTTGTTTTTTAGAAATATTAATATCCTCAGAGAGAAACAGAGAGAGAAAAAAAAATCTACATTATCAATCTCTTCACATTTAGCACTCATTTTTAGTTTTGTAATTTAATTATGGCATTTTAAGTAGCATTTTAAAAATTTAAATTCTAACTTGTTATTTTAAGAAAATTTTTATAATGCCATAGATTTTGATTACAGTTAAAAGAATTTTAATATAACTGCATTATAATGTTACCTTTTTGGATAAAGTCTAATCAAGTTAATTTACATGTTTTCAAATCCATGTAGCTTTTTAGCTTTTCATTTTCTCATTTAGTATAAATCATATTTATTTCCACTACAATTGTTCCTAATTTAAAAACTCACATATTTTAGAAATTTAGTTTAGAAGAACTTAGTTTCACTTAATAGGGGTTATATTTCTTTATCAGAGAACCTGAGCTATTGGTGTTCTGTTTTCAAAAGGGTCCTTGAAGACGTTTATTATGATGACCATAGTTGGTGAGCTGTAAGCTTATTCCTTATTGCTTTAGAACTATCTGCTTTCATATTAAATATTGTCCCTTTTGGAAATAAACTCTTCGCCTAAGCAAAAATATATTTAGCTGTACCTTTTTTTTCTTTACCAAAACTACCTAGTTAGAATGAGACACATTGCAGCCCATCACCTACTTATTTTATCCTCACGATAACCAATTATACACTTGAGTCTCCCAGCTTTATAAGGCTAGAATGACAAAGGCTTTGAATCATTTCCTTCATTTTAGTCCAGCTCTACTGATGTGAGCCAAGATTTAGTCACCTGGGGAAGCCTCTGTAGTTTCTGTAGATGATTACATGATATGGGGAAATAAATTGTTTCCATAACATTTATTCTGCTCTAAACAGATTCTTCATTCTTTCTCTTTTAAAGATCTATCATATTAATATAGCACTAAAAAGAAAGCTAATGCTATTTAAAGATGCTATTTAAAGATGCTATTTAATAGTAATATTATGTGTCTAAGGAGGAAAAAAATTATATTCAGAGTCATCTTCTTTGGTTTGGGTAAAGAATATGTTCTTCCCCAGCTGATTATTGGCAGGGAGCAGAAAGAAGCCATACTTTAATGGAATATTTTTTTGCTTCTCTCTCTCTTTCTCTCTCTCTTTTTCTTCCTTCTCAGAAGCAATGATACAGAAAAAGGAAGTGCTCACATGCCTCTAGTAAGGCTTCTTTTATATAAATTGTTAAGGCATTTGGATAGATTCAACTTATATAGGAACTTCACTTTCATGCAGAGAAAACAGGCTCCTGCCCCTCCCACCCTGTATTAAGGCACACTTAACATGATGTAGGTGGTCAAAGCTGTAGGCCGGGGCGGAGGAGCAAAAGGGGACCATGCTTGGTTCACCTTTCTCCTGGCCTAAGTGGGCCTCTGCACTCTGCGCTGTGACACTGGGGAGCACACTAGAGGTGGTCCGTTCTGAGCTGAACAAAGGATGCTCATAGTACTCCTCATCGGAATTGTAAGGGTCATCATCAGGCACAGACACTGAGATGGAGGGGGCTAGGAGTCCACGCCTCTCCCCGCTGGTGGCAGGTTCATGGCTGGGGAACCTGTGTAGAGGACCCACTTGATCCTCAGCCCCTTCATCTACAAACAGACACACAGGAAGAAACTGCAGGGAGAACTGGACAACACAGACACAAGATCAGACGGACGAAACAAACACCTACACAAGGGCAGGAAGGGCCACAGAAGCAGCACAGCAGGATGAAGGGAAATTAGCAAGATCAAGCTGATGGAGGATGGGAGACAGTGAATGTTTCATGCCTCAGTAACTGCTGAATTCCACCTATCCCTTAAGCAAGTTTGCCATTGATCTAAGTGAACCAAAAGCATTGACAGCCCTGCGGCAAAATAAAAATCATCTGTACATTCCTCTCAAACAAGTCAGAATAACCAAGGAACGTTGGAATAGAAACAAAGCATTACAAAACAAATGCATTCTTTGGAGGAAATTATTTCATGAAGGTTAACTCTACTCATGCTTAGATCAATATGTTTATAAGTTTAAAAAGAAGAAAGTTATTAGGATTTAACGCCTGTAAGATTATGAAGAAAACAGTCCTGTTTAAAACATAGTCTTAATTATCTAGGATGCACAAGTAGTGTTTTGGTTAATTTAATTCTAGTTAATAACTTTAACCAGAAAGTCATTTTTAATTTCAATCCTGTTAAGAAAAATCTACAATGCATTATGCCTCTTTCCTGCCTTAATAAGAAATGCGCAGTCAGCATAGCTCTTTCTTTGGATGCTAAGGCTAATGTAGTACCTAGAGGCATCATTTTAAACCAGGTTCTGATTTGCAGGACACTAAAAGTATACTGTTTTAAGAAAGCCTCTAATATTATAAACTTGTTTTCTTATGTTTTGTTTTCCTTCTGAAAGCTTAGCAGAGATACAATTAGCTAAAAATTTCTGCAGAGTCGGCTGCAGATTCATCAAGACTTTATTCCATGTAGTTTCATTTGTACCACTGGCTCTTGGCTGTTTTTCATGTTTCAAACCTCTTATTGCATATTTCTTATTGAAATGCTAAAGTAACTACTCTCATTTCTGTTCTTTCCTGTATCTTGCCTAGGAAATTTGCATTATTTAAACATATCTCCTTAAATATACAACTGTAGATCAGTCTGCTTAGCATTTGGATTCTCGTATAACTCAGTGAGCACTTGGCTTCTGATGTGGTGCAGACGTTACATCTCAGGCCTATGTGGTGGTTGCTAAATTTGCTAATCACTATTTATTTACTTATATTGAGATATCAATTTAAAATTTCATGACTCTCAATAATAAGAACAAAATCTATAGTATCTATCTGTACAGTTTTTATTTATATCAGATTTTAAGAAGACAAAATTATAGCATTAATTTGCAAATATACTGTATTTTTAGGACAGTAACTTATTTTTGGCAACCAAGTGCTGACAACTAGAAATAAGTCTGAAATCATGAGGATACTAAAATAACATTTTGTAGAGAGAATACATTTAATCTTTCAAGCACATTATTTACTGATTGTTCCATGGAAGATGTTTCTGGATGGATGCTCAGAACTTTCTCAGCCACAATGCTTTTTATATCATGGGATAGCAGAAGCCTAAAATAACGTTTGATATTCTTAGTTCAACTCGGCACGATTTCGCAGCTGAGCAGATAATTGTCCAAGATCTGGCCTACAACACTGACTGAATCATAGCCCTGGCTTGTCACATGTCCTAGCCATTCATATTTCTCTCAGTGGATCTCTGGGGCTGTAAATTCCCCATGTATGCAAGTTACTTCTAAAATTCCTGATATGTTCAGTAGGGTACTTTCATGATCAATAAATGAAAATGGGATATGCTCCTCTCTGCTTTTCAACATTTATTTTCTGGGAGGTACAGCAGACTATAGTATAAAATTAAAGAATTTCAAGCTGAGAGTAAAGGCAATACTCATTGGATGTTTTAACCTTTTGCAGATTCTGGCCACCTCTTTCTTGTTGTCATTGTTCTTTGTGAAAGTGCCAACATTTAAAAACAGTCCAGAGCCTTGCTTCAGATCTATAGCATTTAAAAAAATGGTAAATGGTATTTTCTATTCTGAAAACTTTCACTCTAATCAGGAAACAACAAAAAGAACAACACAAATTTTGAAAGATCTAGTGGAAAAAGTAGCTTCTTTTTAGTATTCATCTGGCCTGGGACCAAGGCAACTTCAAAAAGAGTGTCTGGCAAAGTCCAATCTTCTCTTGGTACTGTAAGCTGTCTGTACTCCAAGTCTCTGTTTAAGACCTATCAGCCTAAAGTCCATCTACGTTACAAGCTCTAGAGATATGCCAGGGAAGCTATGCTTTATGGGGACCAGGGAGGGCTAAGCCAAACAGGGCACTTGATTTTAATGATAATGACAGAAGACATTAGATTCTCATTTCTTATTGTGTTGTGTATGGCAGGTGCATCTGGATCACTCCCAATGCAGATGGAAGACATAATAATTTTAAATAAATAAATAATAAATGGAATATTTATTTGTAAGATTTTTTTTCTTAAAGGAAATTAGTATAGTAGCTTGTAACAAATAACTCTCATTTGAAGATAATTTACTTCCATAGTCTCACAGTAAGAACCTTGATAAGAAACAGCTTTAGGGATGTAGTGCAACCGTGATTGCAGAATTTAGATTTGGATTTGCATTCTGGATAAGCCACTTCTCCAGACATAAACCATAACATTTTGGGCAAAGGAGTGGAAATGAATATTATCTATCTCTGTGGGTTGCTGGGAGGATTAAATGAGAAGATATCTGTGAAAATGCCAAGCACAATGTCTGACTCCATACATCTTAGCATCTGTGTCTTCAGTGTACTCAGACAAGTTGTCAGGTACCTCTGTTCTTTCCCCTCATTTAGCACATCAAAGTTGGAGTTGAGAGATATATTAAAAATTAAATTTATTTCACAACAGTTAGTTTGCTGTTTGAGGTCAGGATTGAATGCATGCATCCTTTTACTAGAAGTGGGCATGCTTCTGGGGACTCTGCTTTTGCCACAGAATATTCTATTTCATTTAATCACGTGTTATGCTAAAAACAGGGTAACCTTATACACCTTGGACTTTTGCATAGTTTTCTGCATAATTATAATCTTCAAAAATAAAGCTTACCTGGTTTCAATGGAGGAATAAAGTTTCCCTAGTTTGCTTTCATTGAAACTTTTTCTTTTAAATAAAGCATTTGAAAATTTACACTGGGCTAATGTAAGGTTTGCCATGTAAAACCCAGCCTTAGTATACCAGCCTCCTTTGGAGACTGCATCTTGTGGAATGTTAGTGATTCGGTACTTTTTGCTTGTTGTGGCATCACAGCATATGGTCGATGGCTGCTGGCCGCACTTACATTGTTCTCCACCATTTCCAAGCCCTTTCCATTCTGCCAGCTTTTGACTGAGGACTTCTCAGTCTGCTGACTGTTACTGCTGCCCCAGAATGACATAAAGAGAAAACTACTTTCAGATGCGCGATGATTAGGTCACCACATCCATGACACAGGAAAACACCACCCTAGAATTCTGGAGCAAACCTAAAAGGGCAGAAAGAATCCTGGTTCTGTGTTCAGATTATTCCATTCCTTCACAGCCTTCCAAATTCTAATAGCTCAGTCCAAATGACAACTATTATGATTAGGCCAAAAAGAAAAAGGAGGTTAATTTGAAAACATCATAATCAGTACAGGTTTGGTTTACTGTACCGTAGATCCTTTTCTAAGTGTGCAGCTTGTTTCCTTTTTTTTCATCAAAATCCCTTGTAAATGTTTTCTAGAATAAGCACATATCCTGGGAATTACTAATATTACATTAATTATAATAAATATTCATAAATTATAGTAATTAACATCTTAAATTTTTAGTGGAAGCTTTCATGCTTCCCCTTTGGGAAAGAACAGCTTTAAAAAGTTTGATAATTAACAAAAAGAAAATGTATCCTCAAAATCGCTGAATTAATCTAACAAAAGAGCTTTCTTCCATTTGTATAAAAGGATCAGACTGCAGCAGTCACTATACCCTCAGATTAAAGTTGCTTTGAGGGTATCAAGGAGGGTAAATAATCCCCTAGATAAGGCAAAAAAATCCACCTGCTCCCTTTCCACCTGACCTGCTATAAGCAATATATTGATGGAATTTGGGCTGAGTATTTACAAACTACTTGGTTTGAAAAATTGAACAGTTCAATCCTGTCTTGTGACTTGTCACTAATTTATTTTCTGACAAAACTAAACTTAAAAAATACTTGTATATTACTTAAGTGTGGCTTAACATAAAAGAGAAACAGTAGTTTGTCTAGACCACAAATCTTTTACATATTTAAGGTGAGAATATTATCTGGTCTTTATAGAGATAGAGTTTATAAAATATATACATCTGTTTTTCTTAAAACTCAAAAAATGGTTATACTTTTAAAATCAAATAATCAGAACTTCAGATAGTTCAATACTCAAAAAGTTAAAAACACAAGTTTGGCTTGAAAATAACTTTGAATTACTTTCAATAAGAGGTTAGGTGGTATTTTCCTTGAATATCTTGAAACAGCTTGAAGAAAGTAATTCCAAAATATTAGGGAACTCTGGAAAGTTGACACCTAAGTTACCAAAATGTGAAGGTGATTCTACATTTTATTTATTTATGTTTTCATTATATCCATCATATTACCCTACAGGAAGCAGGCTGGGTGAATTCCCAGATGGATGGGAGGACTCTGCTTCTTCCCTTTCTGTTCCAAATCCCATATAGAGTAAGAAGATTAAATGACTTGACCTCAAGCCGACTTTTGGAGTAAACCTGCTCTGTCAACATCATATCCCTCTCTGGGTTAAGAGGATTCTCTGATGCTTGAAAAGCTTTAAGTAGGAGCTTAGAAACATTTTCCATGGCCTGAAGGAGGTACAAGGGTCATGTCAGGCTTCCCGCTGCATTCAGAATGAAATCTAGGCCACTGACCCCAGCTGACCACTGCTTACTCTCACACTCCACTGCTCTACCCTTTCTCACTACCCATCAGCCACGGACCCCCTTCAGTTCCTGGGTCACTTCATCTTCTTGGGCACCTGAGCGCCCTTGTGCTTTTTTCTATCTTTATTTGGCCAACACTTCCTCCTCATGCTTCTGGTCTCAGCTACTTAGCCATCCCCTCACCACCCAATAAAATCAGGTTTCTCTTGTAATATTTTAAAGCTCCCTATTCTTTTCCTCTTCAATGCTAATCCAATTTGAAATTATTGGTAAGCTTATTTATTGGATTTCTGTTCTCCACTAGATAGTGTACTATTTATTTATTTATTTTGAGATGGAGTCTCGCTATGTCACCAGGCTACAGTGTAATGGTGCCATCTTGGCTCGCTGCAACCTCCGCCTTCTGGGTTCAAGTGATTCTCCTGCCTCAGCCTCCCGAGTAGCTGGGATTATAGGCGTACGCCACCATGCCTGGCTAATTTTTGTATTTTTAGTAGAGACGGGTTTTCACCATGTTGGCCAGGCTGATCTTGAACTCCTGACCTCAAGTGATCTGCCCGCCTCGGCCTCCCAAAGTGCTGGGATTACCGGCTATAGTGTACTCTTTAAAAGCAGGGATCATGTCTGTTTTGTTCACTAGTATATACTCAGAATTTGAAGAGTACCTGGAAGACTGTAGGGCTCAATAAATATGTGCCCAGTGAATGGATAAACATAAGGTCAAAAGGAACTTTTCAAACCTATAAATTAAAAGATTAAATCACATTAACTAATAATCAGTGGCTGCTATGCACTGATTATTATCCCCAAAGTTTCTTTTATTCCTCAGAAAAATTTAGTTTGTTTATTATTTCAGGCAGTAAATTGGAAAAAAAAAGCTTCAATTTAAGAAAGAAAAACCTTGCTAAAATAAATTTAGGTTTATAAATCTGTGACAAAATAAAATTATATTAGAGGTGATAATATATGGTTCACTAATTCAAATTTTTGTATTTACGAAATCAAAGAATATTTTAAATGAACCTAATTACAAATGATAAAAAGACAAGTCTTTTAAAATAAATGTTCTTCAGTCTTTAACACAGTAAAAAGGAAAAATAAATGAATAAATGAATAAAATAAACACTTTTAAAATTCTGGTTTTAATATATGAAAACTAAGTAATGTTGAAACAACAATGGAGCCCTAGTTCTTCTCTGCCTTTTCCTGTGACTCTCAAACAATAAACAAAGGTTAACTGGACTAAGTCGGAGAACCAGTAATGGTTTCCTTTTAAGTAGTGCCTTTCATCTCAGATTCTGAATGAAAATTCTTCAAAGGCATCTTTCTGTTGTATCAATGAGAATTGAAAAGCTAACATGACATTCCATGTTGAGTAAGTTCATAAAAAGATCCATGGACAATAACAGGTCTCAACAGGAAAGAGTCATGAGCTCAGCTTCCAGTTCAATGCTCTCAATATCAGATTCATTCATTAACTTCTTCATTTATTCATTAATATTTATTAAATTTGCTATGAGTCAGGCCCTGGGGAAGGTCTTGGCAATATAACAGTGAGCAAAACAGAGATAATTCCTGACACTTTCATAAGGAAGTGTTGATTTCATTGATAAATCTGACCCCTACTATTATGGAGATTACATTTATATTTATTTTAATTTTTGTTCAGTCACTTACAAGGTAGAATTGTATCTTCCCTGTTAAAGCATTCTAAAGTGAATGGGGTCTCTACAGTTATTTTAGCAACTGAACACAAAATTCTTTTCCTTAATCAAGCAGATTTCTTTTTTATTTACCAAATTCCTCTACTTTTGCTTTTATAAAAATAAGTGATTATTTATTTAAAGTCTTTGTTTCTTCTTCATTATTTGAAACAGATAGCTCCAAAGCTTGGTCACATACTAACCAATACCAAAGTCCAGAGCTTATTGATTGAAGTTTATTGTTCACACTTTAACAGAAGACAAACCCTGAAAAGTCCAATAGGCCTTACCTTCCTCCACTGTGACAGTCTGTTCTGAGGCAGGTGATGGGGGTGGAGAAGGAGGCAGATTAGCTGTTTCTTCAGCTGCTAAAGATCAAACAATAGAAAAATGAGATGCAATAATTAATCCTTTTAGGCTGGTAGATGTGTAGGAAGTTCTGCCATTTGTAAAAAGACCTCTCTATAAAATTCAGAAAAAGATTCAATAGTAAGCCGCATTTGGTTTATTTATAGGCCCATTACCTGATTCATGCATTTTTGAAAACCTAAAAAATAAGACAAGCATTTGATATTTTCAAAAAAAAATGATTTTATCATCTCTAGAAAAACAGATTAGAGATGCCTGCTAAAATTCCATCATTAATCTCATTAATGTGTCTACCTGTTCAATTAATAAAATATTTCATTTTGGCCCTAATTTACCATATGAAAACACACACAGGCAGGCAGGTGTTTTTAGTCTGGATTCAGCTACTGACTGAAAAAACTATTAGAACTCTCTATTGTTCAACTGCTCAATCTGGAAACATGTGTTATCTTGATCACTAATAGTTATTTTAGGGAATATATTTTTTAAACAACCTTTTGTTCACTGAGTCTAATTTCAAAACCCATCTTCTGTATGTATTCTCAGAAATGGAAAAATAAGCTTTCATAGCCTGAGTGAACTTTCAGACAAAAACCATATGCTGAGTAAACTTCTGGTCTTAGCAATCAATACACATGAAAAGGAACCAGAGAAAAAGGTTCTAAAAGATGTAATTCATTTACAGTTAATGTTAAGTTTTATTTTTCAAGACACTTACATGATTTGTGATCCCCCTCATATGACAGTAAGAAATTTCAAAAGGAAATATTTCTCATTTAAGGCCAGTGGTTAAATCTATTTTAAATATTAGGGGAATTTCAGCTTCATAAAGTAGTTATTAGAGGCAGATTTGGGATGACAGGTGACTTTTTTAGTTCCTTACCCTATGGGCTTCTGCATGGCGTATTTTAAGATTTCAAGTTTTAAAAAATTGAGTTTTCTTTTCTTTCAAGGAATAAAAGTGAACAATAAACTGAAGGTTAATGTTTTAGATTAGATAATTCTCTATGTGTTTTAAGAGAAAAATAGTCCTTAATAATTAAAAAAACCCACAGTACTGAAAATACTGAGTGTATTCTAAATTATTATTCTGGGAGGGCAGATTATTTTTATTACTTACTTTTTAATAGACAGTTAAAGGAATACTGATCAAAAAATCAAATATCATGGATATATTAGACTGTAAGAGAGGGAAATGGATATGTACTTTTTTAGGCCTTTAAAAACACACCTTTCTATGACTCACGTGTATATACCTGTGAAATAAATATATATATTGAATTTAAGAGAGTCTCCTTTCCTGTATCTCTTTGTGTATATACATCCATCTCTCTATCTATCTATCTGCCTATATACATCCATCTCTCTATCTATCTATCTGCCTATCTATCTATCTATCTATCTATCTATCTATCTATCTATCTATGAGTAGGGGCAGCAAGGCTTTGGCTGAGAGTGTTTCCTTTGGCAAGCATGCGTTAAATGACTTGCTTGGCATGGAGGGCATTTGTCTTGTTACTAAGGGAGAGAGCAGCACTCTCTCAGCGCCCTTAGATGAACCAAGTGAAGTTCAGTACTTCATATAAGATACAAAGTCACTCACGATTATAACAAAGCTCTGGCTATAGGTTTTGTGTAGTCATTTCAGGAAGACCCAAACAAGGCTACAGTATAATCATTCACCAAAACCTGTAAAGGGAAATAATCATCTCTTATGAAAGTTTTAGTATATTATCCTTATGGGTGGAGGTCATGAAATAAGGCATTGGCTTTATTTTAATAATAACTATTTCTAGTGGTCTGGAAAATGAAAAAATTAAGGGCCACTTAGGGAAAAGTCTAACTGTAAGCTCACCACCCTAACGAAAGACTATGCAAACACTACAACAAACCAGTGGAAAAAGATGAAAATAGGTCCTAGTGCATACCCAGTCAAGGTGTCTGATGAATGTTACATGTAAGGATGAAGTACAAGATATGGCCTATCTTTTGAACATGAAGACTTTATCCTGTGATCAGGGTGCAACAGACACAGTCCCTGACCTGAGAATCTTCTTATTTACCTAAAGGCAGAGCTGCAGTCTGGTCTTTATGTTGAGCTTCTTTCTCTTGTTCACCTTTCAGGACTGCTACAGCCTCAGCAGTGACTACTTGAACTATCCTTGCAGACACCTCCTCTGTAATAAACAGTAACAAAATAAAATATAACGATGAGAAGTCTGAGAAAGCAAAGAGGAAAAGTAACCAAACAGTATAGTGGATTATAATTTCATTTTCTTCCCCCTAAAAAGTACAACATAATTTTTTAATTGCAGAGAAAACATAAACACATATATACAAAAAAGAAGAAGAAAAGAAGTTGGTATTCTAGGAGCTAAGCTAAGCAAGCAAAATGAGCACAGAACTGAGAAAAAATACTTACATAGTATTTGAACATTTTTTTGGCTTCAACAACAGAAATTTATTTTCAACTCTGAAGTCTATGACATCTCTGTTATAGAATGAGTGTTTGTATCCCCTGCCCCCAAAGTCATATGTTGAACTCCTAACCTCCAATGTGAAGGTAATTGGTACTTTATTTTGTAAAAGCTGTTTACAAAAATAGAAACAATTTAATTTCTTTATACCTAGTAAAACAAATTCAAGGATAGAAGAGAGGGTTCATTTTGAATTTAACTTAAATTTGTTTTATAGTTTCCTTATACTATTCTAAAAATATAATTTATATAAGCTTGTGTGCTTGATTTGCAGAAATACCATTATTTAAAATCTGAAAATCTATTTATGGTTAAATAGCATTATCCAGGATCAGTGAAAATAAGATAAATTATAAGGAATCTGGAAA
This sequence comes from Homo sapiens, assembly GCF_000001405.40. Lineage (NCBI taxonomy): Eukaryota > Metazoa > Chordata > Mammalia > Primates > Hominidae > Homo > Homo sapiens. The sequence continues at coordinate 209,677,903 of NC_000002.12, read as the reverse complement.
GATGAAGTTTTAATGAAATACATGGCAATGATATGTCAGATGGTCTCTTTCTAAAGAACTAGTATTTTTCTAGAGAGTTGATATTTTAAAGATCTTTAAAGCCATATGACATCAAATCATCTTAGTTTCATTTTTTTTAAAAGGAGGGCTCAAAATTAAAATGATTGGTCTGTGAGATACCAAATAACTAGTTTTTAGCATTCCTGACTATTATAATATTCTTTCTCCTAAGCAGAACAATGGAAGAAATAACAAACACATAATCACAAAACTTTCTAACAGTCGTGAGTGAATGACTAACAGAAATATATCAACTCTTTTAGTGGTATGAATGAAGGAAACATACTCACTATCAGACCTGCTCAGCTATATGTCTATCTAAAATACATCATTGTAATTCCATTCCTGATTATAGCTGGAAGCTATGCAACAAGTGATGAGCCACAATTGAGCAACATCTATCTGTCTGTCTGTCTGTCTGTCTGTCTGTCTGTCTGTCTATCTATCTATCTATCTAATCTATCATCTATCTACCTACCTATCTGCCTGCCTACCTACCTATATATCTCATAGACCATGTTAGATATTGTGATAGTTTACCTTTAGAAGATGACTATTTTATTTCTAAGAGATAATACTATCTTATTAGCATATTTGTTTTAGTGTTGGAATAGAATTTTTCACAGTTACAGCAGTTAAATAAATAACATTAACAGTCACCAAAGCATTATGAGGAGGATTATCTGCTATGCTACTCAGTGAAGAGGGCAGTAGAGAAGGAAAGGCTGTTTGTTTTCATAAAGCCAGGCTGCTGGGTGGGGTTTCTCTGAACATTCTCTGAAAGGCTGGGCTCCTAAAGTGATGTTTTTTTAAATGGGAAAGAGTATACAAAAAGGGCTACAGAAAATTAAATTAGCTGTAAAGATCATGCTTAGACGTCTAAATTGTTTAATAATGTTACAAAAAGAATTATTTTAGGTTTTGAGAATTGCCGCTTACATATATTAATTTTTAATGCAATTAAAATATTTAAAAATCAGTAGAGTGAGGTAGCTTCTTCTAGCACCCCAGTGATTTATGGAAAAATTGAGTGTAATAAAGAGGTGGAACAATCATGGCAGAAATTGGGAGATATATATATATATATATATATATATATATATATATATATATATATATATATGACCTTTGTGTCTTCTGGATCATTCCTGCATCTTTCTATTAGCACGTATGCAAACTGTAGTGTCTTCCTATGGCATTTAGTACATCTCACATGGAATTGTGCTGGTTCACATGGCTTATCTCCCACACTATATAAGGTTTCCCAAGTCAGGGACTCTCTTCTGTCATTGTCACAATTCTAACTTTTAAGTTCAGGGGTACATGTGCAGCTTTGTTACAGAGATAAACTTGTGTCATGGGGGCTTGTTGTACAGATTATTTTATCACCCAGGTATTAAGCCTAGTGCCCATTAGTTATTTTTCCTGATCCTCTCCCTCTTCCAATCCTCCACCTTCCAATAGGCCCCAGTGTGTGTTGTTCCCCTTGATGTTGATGTGTCCATGTGTTCTCATCATTTAGCTCCCACTTATAATTGAGAACATGCAATATTTGGTTTTCTGTTCCTGTGTTAGTTGCTAAGAATAATGGTTCCATCCATGCCCTGGCAAAATACATGATCTTGTTCTTTATTATGGCTGCATAGTATTCCACAGTGTATATGTACCACATTTTCTTTATCCAATCTATCATTGATGGGCATTTAGGTTGATTCTATGTCTTTGCTATTGTGAATAGTGTTGCAATGCACAACTCTTGAAGCTTCTCTTATTGAGCTTTACTCAGATTGGATGCTTAACAGAATTTTTTTTGACAGAATAGAAAATTAATATGAAAGGTTTTGTTCATAATATTTACAAACATTCAGAAATAATTCATGCTTGTTACTACATTTAGTAACCTTAAAACCTAAAATTATCTTATTTACTCTATTATTAAGTATTTGATATATATATCAAAACAGTATTTCTTAAATGGGGGTCCTGCATTCTTGTTTAATTACTGATAAATATTTTTAGGGTCTGAGAGTGTTTTATATGTATTCTTTTTTTAGATTGGGAAGATAATCCAAAATAAATAAGTATCCATTGGTTATATGAGCAAATTATAACTGAGCAACTCTACATTATTTCAGTATTTTTCTTTGGGATTGTATCTTAGGATACAGTTTTGATATCCATGGAGAATTATTTAAGTGTTGAGAGCTAATAAAAAAGGAGAGGTGGATTTAATACATAAAGGATGTATTCATACAAGTGTAGCCCAAATAACATTGTGGTACACTGTATAAATAGACTTTGAAAATCATTGAAACAGAGAAAAAAGGAGAATAGAAGTATTACCTGTCTCCAGTTCAGTATAGAAATGTCCAACTTAAACAAAGGCACTGTATCAGCCAGTACTAATCGTGAGTGATAATTTAGTTTCAGCAAAGCAGTATCATTTATTGTAGATGGGAAGCAGCAGAGAGTTTGAATTTTACTGGTTTTGTTGTTTCAGAGAAAATGAATTTATAAGTGTGTTTATGTCCCATAATGGAATTAGAACTCATGAACAAGTTAATTTTATTTTTGTATATGTTTAACCAAAAGTTGTTAAAAAAAATAATCCAAGGGAGAATTGGTAAATTTTTTCTTCTTTGAAGTAATTTAAGAGGATTTGAGAAACATTATTTTAGCATAGTCAAAGTTATTGGCTTAATTGACATATTATCTTTAAGACTTTTTAGAGAATAATATTGTTAAACTTTTTCAAATAGGGCATGTCACATTTTATAATATAGAGTTCACAGTGAATTTAGGGAAACAGGAGCCTAAGATTGTTCTGGGAATTTCAACTGGTCCAATTAATTTAAAATCTTCCTCTAAGTAAGGGCTGTCATCAGCAGAGACAGAAGCATTCTTAAGGAAGGAAGAGATGGGCTTCTCTCATTGGAAGCCTCATCAGCAGATCTACTGGGTGAGCTTCATCCTTATAGCATGGCTTCTGGGACAGGAGCAAATTCAGTCAGAGTGTGTGTAAAGTTCAGGGCAGATTAATGGTAAATGTTCCAAACAAACTTAGAAGACAAGGAAAGACAGTCAAAAAATCAGACCTATAAAAATATAAATGTAATGATTATGATGTGTGTGATTATATATGTAATTTCTTCACTGATTCTACATTTGTCTATTAAATACCTCATCCATCCATCCATCCATCCATCCATCCATCCATCCATCTATCTATATATTTAGGGGATTACTGATTGCTGTTTTTTTACAGCACACATCAGAGGGAATCTCACAGACTTTAATTCAGGAAAATGTGGGTACAAATTCCAGCATTGCTACTTTCTAGTTATTTCATACTATGAAATGTATTCAGTCTCATTTTGCTTCGATGCCTTATCCATAAAATGGAAATAATTTTAGTATCTGTCTCAGAGGTTGTTGTGGGGACTCAATTACATAATTATATAACAGGCCTGGCAAATAATTATATAACAGGCCTGGAATACAAATAAAATAAAAACTTCTATATAGTCCTTCACCAGCACATCTTTATTTTCCCCTAGTCATGTATTTTTCTGAGTCTTCTACTTTAATATTTCTACTTTAAAGAAAGAGCAATAGTGATATGCACTAAAGGTCAGCCCAACTAGGCTATTGTTATTATAACCATCTGAAAATATAGTTAATCCAATATCACTGATGTTGATGGCTATGTTAATGGACAAGGGAAGTATTTTTTTTTCCAAGGCAAAGATATGAGAGAAGTAAATATTGTCTTTGTTATTTATTTTCTGGCTTCACACCCAGTTTCCTGGATGCATAGGTCCTGGGCTACCATCTGCTCAAGATTCCATCCAGCAAGTCCCAATTCAGGACTGTCTATTCTAGACAGGGCTCTAAAAGGTATGATAATCCTGTCTAATTCTGAAGACAATTGGTGACATGAAAAATTCTTTTTGAAGTCAGAGATTAGACTACATTTTAATTTTTCATTGCTTACTTTTCCTACCTTCTATTCCTTTTTATACTTTCTATTCTCTTTTTCTTGCTTTTTCTTCCAAACATAGGTGTAAAGTTATAACAACCAGGACTTAGTTGTTAGAAGATTAAAGATGAATCTAGATTACACATAAATTGGGGAATTATTATTCATTATATGTAATTGAAAGGTAACACTGATCTTCATAGCTGAAAATATTAAACAAACATAAAACTGCTTATTGTAATCTGATATTTTGAAAGGCTCAATTATCTTTCTTTTGAACTTATAAAATGTTCTGGCACTGGACATTTTTTAGTTTATGTTAGAAATTATCTTAGTTAATAAGTGTATACAATATGTTTTTCTATTCTTTCTCTTGTGAATGTTCCATTCTGTCTTTTGTGAATGAATGTCAGGGTTTTGATGTAATTAACCGTAGTTTTTGCATTGCAGTAAGACCCTTACATTGGTATTTGAATGTTAATTTGTTATTATTTTATCGGTAGTGTCAATATGATAATGAGACAATTTCTGTAAGTAATAAAAAATATTATAACATGCCTGTAAAGTCACGTCATGGCTATGCATGAGTGACAACTTGGATCTGCTCACAAATCAATTAGAGGGAAAACATTAAAAAGGAACCTTTCTAAATAAAATTCATCTCATAATTTCTAAAAATGTTATTGGTTAAAGGCTGATAAGAATAAAGGATTTAAATATTTAATCTAGGCAACAGAGCAATAGATGATAGCAGATCACCACTATCCAGGTAAACATCTGAAGATAAAAAGTGAAATCTGTCTTGAAAACTTTTCCTGGGAAACAAAGATGGGGTCAGTATTTAGAAAAGAGAATCAAAGCAGTCCTCTGGAAACAAATAATATCTTTTCTTGGTATTAAGGAAATATATTGGTGGAAACACATACAGGAGATTAATATGTATGAGAAACTAATTGAGAAATGCTGTCATCCACCAAAAACTACTTGAAGAAACCCAAACGGTATCATGCTAGGCTACTTACATCTCACCTAACTAATGAATAAACATCACACTGTTATACAACGTTATTAAGCAACCTTGTATAACAAGTTGTTACAGTAGGCACTTTCATTTCTTGTTGATGTTATTTAATACACATATTTACAGATAGTCCAGATGGGAAAACTAGCAAAATAATGGATAAAGATATGCTTGTCCCATTTAGACATTGTTATGATTTACATCAGTATTTTATATAAAAGTAGGTTCTAGTGTCAGAAAACCTGGGATCAAATTCCATCTCCATCTCTTACTAGCCAAAAGACCTTGTTAAGTAACAATCTCTCTAACCTTCAGATTCCACATCTGTAAAGTGGGAATAAGAGTAGTATTCATCTTTTGGTGTGTTGTGACAATTAAATAAAATAATATAAATCAAGTGCTTATTTAAATTAGGTACCACTGTTTTAATCACTCTTGATGTTCTCTTATCATGAAATCTATGAACATAATTTGATTGACAAAATGTAGGTAAGATCTGAAAGTTTTTGTCAGACACTGAGATTATTCTGTCATTTTTCCCAATGAGTACCTCCTTGCTGAAATGTTGGGTCACTGCTGGGACCCTAACAGACAATACATCAGGCTCCTGCCACTTATTATTTAAACTAAAAGGAACATAAGGTAAATTTTGCCCTACTGTCATATCATACTACTCAGCATTTGTAGCCATCATGACCCTCTGGTTTTTTCCCTAATGCTGATTCATGCTGCACCATTGCCATGCTCTTCTGATCACACTACTTGTCACAACAAAAATTTTAAGACAACCTCAGGCTTTGCTTTTAGCGCATTTTAAAGTTATTGTGTTACATTTATCTATCAATATTGCTTGGTTGATTAAAAATAACCAATGGAGATGAAACTTTTTCAATGATCCTGGAAGTTTCAACTTGTTTCTGAGTGATTCTGAGTGATATGTAACATTGTTGGTGGACCCATAAGTTTGATTTTGAATTCGTACCCTGTGGTTTTTCAGCAGGACCAGCTATGATTACTTGAACGTGCAAAGGTTCACCAATTAGACTGTGAATAAAAAAAATCCAAGCACCTTGGCATATGCTTGAGAACATATTTTTGTTGATTTCTTTCAGGTTGTTAGAGAAAAGTAAGAGACAGTGCCTGTAAATTCAACCATATGGAATATAAAAGCCTGTAAATGTTTTAAGAATCTTTGGTATAATAATGTTGTGTTCAAAGAAAACGACAAATAAGCTTACCGTACGCTTGTGGAAGAAGGAAAACAAAACAATTTTAGACAGAATGCTCCTGTCAAGAAAAGGTTTTTCTCAGTAGGGTACAGAATGGTTTCCTAGGAAACCGATGCTAATTGCTGCTGCTGATGGAAACTAATCAACAAGGAAAGCACTGTGTAGTTTGAAGCACTCTGCTAAACAAAGACCCTAGATGAATTCATAAAAATAGGGAAAGAAGAAAAGTTATTTGCTTCTACTCCTTGCTCAATTTGGAGAGTAAATGGTTCCTCTGAAACTATTTCCTGTAATCAACTGATGATGAAGGAAATTAAAAGAGCAAATTGTTGGGTTTTTATTTGTTTGTTTCCCTGGCACCTTTGCATTATTTAGAGGCCAGCATTGGCATGTCTCACCCTAGACAGACCTCTGTTAATCTCAGGGGTCACACTGGCCAACATTGCAGCTACAGATCTTTCCCCACCAGCTTTTTTTTTCCAGATATTTCTTCTAAAGATTTAGCGATTAAAACAAGGATCAATTTGGTTTATGGGGAAAAATGCATTTGAGGCGAAGTTAGTTAACGAAGACAAATGCATTTAAGATAAAAGAATTATGATGGCACAAAATTCAGCTCTGATGGGTACTTAAATTTAAGAGAATTTATTTTGCACCTGCTATAGACAATGGAGCTATTCTTAGTCACTAGTGGGGGATAGAAAGATGAGTAAGATATGGTATTCCTACATTTAAGTTGTGTTTAAAGGGGGGCACTCTTGTTCAAGGACATGTTTTATTTTTCTTCTTCAAGATTTACTAGTAGTGGCCACAAATTTTGACTGATCCCGCCACAGTCACTCATATGGTCCTCTTCTGAAACGGATTTACAAATTGGTAGACTAGGATTGTGAGTACAGTGTATAATCATAGGAGAATTCTCCCTCTCTTGCTCTTTTTTTTCCTCTACCTCCACGTACATGCTCAAACCCACAATCTTGTTTAGATTATACCTTAATGTACTCAAATGAAGTCTTTAGAGTTTAATAGAACTGGCCTAGCATTTAAATTTGGTCAAGGAGGAAAATGTAGTAAATTAATACTATTATCAGTGAAAGGACACCACAGGTTAAAAACACTACATTATGGAGTCAAAGGTAATTAGAAAAGCACAGATCAGAGATAGTACCTACTGGAAAATTTTGCTTCTAATTTTAAGTTCCCAGCTGAAAGTAGGAAACAGAAAACACATTTAAGCAGAAGAAATATGGTAAGCCAGTATCGTTACAATTTAGCTTTATATTTATCATGTTCTAGTTAAAGTGTTCTGCTGGTGGTGGTTTTGGGGGTGTCCAATGGAGTAATGTATTGCATGTTTATGTTGTTTGTAGCCCCTATATTACATATTTACTAATTAACTAAGGTTGTAATATTTTATCAATCTTAACTTGAGAAAGAGAAATTCCTAGAGAGGTTTGCTCCCCTGAAATTTTCAATAGTTTTAACACCAATAAATTGAATCCAATCATTAAGGCACTGAGGGAATTGACAGTACTTTTGGAACTTTGAAATGTTCTGTTTTGCATCTCGTCAAAACTGTTACAATTGTACTACTCTTTGTAGATGTGGGGAAATTGGATTATATTCTCTTCATTAAGTCTTAAAATACATCACATTGCTAAAGGAATGTAGCATGATACATTTTAAATATTAGTGGGAAAATAAAATATCAATAAAACAAAGAGACCTTGAATAAATCCACCCCTAGAAAGAGTAACTGTGAGATAAACAAAATATAAAATATAGTGGGTTTGTGGAAAAGCAATTTTGTGTGTGTGTGTGTGCGTGTGTGTGTGTGTATGCACATGTTAGGACTCATGCACATAGAGGTCTGTCCATGCTTTTAAAGTCTCATCTGTACATGGATACCTCACAGGTCTTAGGCACAAGGAGCAAGGCTAGGGTTTCTTATGGAGAAATCAATGCTTCTATAGCTGCAAAACATAGGAATGCCAATGCTGGCCTGAGACAGGATATGATGGAAAAAAATTCTACATTCTAAAAGGATGTCATTGGAATAAACTTTTGAAATTAAGTTCTCTATATACCAAGAATAGTCTTTACTAGTTACCTCTGTAAACACAGATCTTTCTTCTAGGAGAAACTATATTTGTTACAATAAAATGGTAAAGATCAGCAGCTTAGCTAACTTTTGTTTGATCCTTCTCTCTCATCCCCAACATAACTTAGAAATCTTTGGAAGCCTTGTGACCTAGATGCATATGGAATTTAGGAACCATGTGATGGGAAAAATCACTTTGTTCAAAATACATCAGAAGGTACACTCAATGTTCACATGGAAAAACCAACATGACTTCTGCGTAATCAGATTTCACTTAAACCTCCTTCCCGTCCTATAACGTTTCTAAGAATTCGCAAATAGCAGCAATCATCAACCTTATCTGCTTTCTTCTTAGCAAGTTTCTCATTAACTATTAATGTTGTAAATAAGTGACTGTTCATTTTCTATACCTGCATATTTTATATCATTATAGCTACAAAAGTATTGTCCGCAAAGATTCTCTTTACACCAGCACCTGAAATGACTTGACAGACTTTAAAAGTCAATGTTAAATAGACATGGTAGTTCTTTGTAATTTTCAAATCATAACTGAATATATAATCAGATAATCATGTTTCAGTAATCTTATGGGGGGAAGTACAGTGAAATCAATTACACTATGAACTTCTGAAAACTGAAATACCTACTTAAGAAAAAGCAAAAGAAAGTAAAGTAAATTTGAACCATCCTACTATTCTTTCTTTAATAATGCTGTAAAATAAAAGCTCAGCCACAACCCAAGAGAAGGGGAGCACCTTCACTGGAAAAATTCTAAATATGTAAAATTGATGATAGTTAAAATACTTTTTGCCAGACCTGTACGTAGCAAAATCAACAGACTTTGCAAATCTTCTTTTTACAGCAAGAAGGGTAAGGTCAATGTCATATTTGTATTTCGATGCCATTATGACAGTAAAAAGCAAAGACTTTAATAGAATTTTAAAATTTCTTCATGTCAAAAATATTCTAGAATAAAGACGATTTCTTTTAGACTCTGTATTGATAAATGCACCCCATGGAAAATATTATTAAATACATTTTTCAATTTTATTTCTTCATTATGTAAGACAAATAAAAAACAAATAATAATTTCAAATGCACCTTGAGAAATTTGCAAATAGCATACAAATCTTTAGAAAATATCTCTGGGGCGTTTGTTGAAATAAAATTTTACATTGATGATTTTGCTTCAATGTTGTTTATTCATGTCAATTTCTATAGCTGCATCTCTCCACTGTATTGCTTCTCATTGATACCAAGCACACCTCTAGAAATACCTTCAAAGCATGAATTCCATCTCTATTATACCTATACTTGCCAAAGAACTCACTCTTTACTTGAAGACAATGAAGTTTTATATCAGAATAGAAATGATATCTAGAAGCATAAAACTGTAACTTGTTATTGAAATAGCTCTGGTTGTCCTATTGTAGGAGCCCAGCAGAAAGAGAAAGGTAGATAAAATTTGATGGAGTGGTAGAGTTGAGAAAAATGTAAGAACAGGATGCTATCTAGGTAGGTAGCCTGATATAGGGCAAGGAGATTAAGCTTTGTAATGGGATTTATGCGGGATTTTAGGCATATGAGCATATGACTGCTGACTTGAAGAAAATGAAGAGAAGGGATTGGGGAAGCAGATAGAAAAGTGCTGAAGTCATGTTTCATTTACTTTCTAATTCTGCATAGGGCCGGTCCTAGGTAGGCAGATATTACTATACCCATACAACATACTTGGTCTACAAAGACAGAGCTTCATTTGGAATGAGAATCACAATCTTATGGAATAGACATTTGGGGCTTGTTGAGGATATGGAAAATCAGATTTCATTAAAAGGCCCTGAAATTTTCAGGAAAATATTACAATGAAAATTCAATTTACTATGATAATATATGAAAAATATATTATTTTCTTCCCAACATATAAGGAAAATTTCTAAATCAGGACTTGTACCTTTGTTTTTCAAAATGAAATTACAATGTCAGTATTTCATGTACAGGAGCCCTGATCATGAAGCAGTTGACCAATTCTCGGTTCTAAGAATATGCCTAAAAATAGCTTGGTTTCTCAGATTCCTTTCCTTTCCCTTTGCTAGTTTATCAGTCACTTTTCTCCCAACTTTTACAGAGACCACCCCTTCCAAAAATATTTTATGTGAGTTTGTAGTTTGGGTTTGTTTTCTTTAAAAAAAACTGTAAAAGTAAAAACTCTCATGAAACCAGAGAACTTTGTTGTTTTTGCTCTTTTTCTTGGACAGTTCTGAAATGCACACATGAAACAAAGAGGCAGGAATGACATGATCTGAAAACAACTAGAAGGTGATCAAAAGCTATAGGAAGAGAAGTATGGTTTTAATACAATCATTATGTTAATTAAAGTGTCTTACTGAAATTTTATAGCATAAAATACAAGAAATACCTCAACATTTTAAATAGAGTTTAGAGTGTCCAAAATACTCTTTAAAAAGCAAATATCGTATTTTCATTTTCCCACAGAACTGGTGAAGAAAACCACTTTCTATTTACATACTGTAGTTTTTCCACATTCAGTTGTATCAAAGAACACAGGCAAAAGTTGAAACTTGCCATTATTCAAGCCTCAGGAGATTCAAGCATTTCTAGTTAGAATTGAAAAAATGCTCGATATTATAAAATTTACTTTAAAAATAAGTATAATTTGGGGGAGTTTTTTTCTTCACATCAAAAAAAATTAAATTCAAACTTATCTAGTAATTCCATCATAAGATGATAAAATTTTTTTCTTCACATAAAAAAATTAAATTCAAACGTATCTAGTAATTCCATCATAAGATGATAGTCAGCTAGAGTAATTTAAGTTCACCCTTAAAGAGTGAAATCCAACTAGAAAGGAAACCTGTGTCACCAAAATAGCCAATTCCTTGAGCAGTATTTTTGATGTTGTATTAGGATCATATGAGCAAGATAAATGTGGTCTGCAGAGCATTTCATAACACATTTTTCTTCAGGATGGCAGATGAGAGAAGGGAACTACTGTTATTCCAACTGAATGAACTTCCTTTCTCGTTATCCTCTTGTTATTCCTCTACTGTTATTCCTCTACTGTTATCCTCTACTGTTATCCCAACTGAATGAACTTCCTCTCTTAAAATGTGACTTTTGTTAAGTGGCTACTATATTTGCATCAAACTCAATCATTTGCTTCTTTTCTTATAGCAATCAGGATTTATAAAGAATTAGATGAGAACTGGCCTGGAGAAAATAAATATCTTACATGCGTTGTGATCTACACCAAGTTAGTGCAATATTTGGAGAAAAAGCCACTTTCCCCAGGTCAGCATTTGTGTTCCAGTAAAGCTCGAAGGAAAGCAAGTTTATTCCAATTTTTTTAATGCTTTAGTCACAAATTCTATTTTTCAAGCTGATGAGAAAAACAACCAAAGCCAATTTTTAAAGAAAGACATAAATAAACATGAGCTGAAGATGCAAAATTCAACAAGGAGAAAAAGTATCCAGTGAATTGATTTTTTAAAAGTGGTTATAAAAGTAAGTCAATAATTATTATTACTACTATTAGTTTCCTCCTTGGAGAAGAATTTCACTAAACACTGAAATACTTAATGATTAGATTTAGAAAATGTAAATGGGAGCATTTTCATTCAAATATGTCAAAGGAAAAGAAAATTATGGATCACAGGAAGCTTTTTATTAAGTGAAAAATGAAAACTAAAATGAAACTAAGGAATTATATTTAACTGAAATCACAATATTTTCCTAAAGTTAATGTATAAATTCCTAATTTGATATGATAATGTTGTTTACTATCTAAGAACTCATTTGCAAATAATTTTATGCACTCAAAGATGAAATAGAGAAAATAAAGGGCATTGGTGACATTTGGTCTTCAAAAATAGGATACATAATATCTTTCCAAGACGATACTGGTATACTCCTTTAAAGGAGGCACATATTAAATCCATGACTTAGAATATCCAAATGCTTTAAGATTTAGATTGCCCATTTGTCAGAAATGAGATTTACTTGACCTAGAACAGTGCAGCAATCCTTATTTATAGTCAGAGGATCAAAAAAGACATGCATTATAGAGTTCCATTTACAGAATATTTCAGTGGCATTTTCAACCTAAGCCAATTATTACACTGGCCTCAATTCTGCAGAAATGAACATGAAAAATTTTTCTGTATCTATGTATTTCTTAACCACTAGATTATCTTTTAGAAAGTTCATTTATCTGGACTTTTCATATTATTTTCAGCTCAGTAATTTTCATCATCAAGAAAATATCTCCAATTTGATATCTTACTGCTATCTTCAGTCAAAGATATATTTTCTTTACTCCCAACTCTCACTCCCAATTTCAGAACAAGTCAAGTCTTCCACCATATACTTTCACTACAGTATTTTGGAGTTCCTACCTAATTTCTTTCTGTTCTAACCGACACTTTTAAAGTCCTTACTTTGAATCTAGACTGTTTTCAGTTTCTTGATTACCTCTTCATTCTCAGTTTTCCTTTCTTTTCTTCTTCTTCTTTTTTTTTTTTTTTTTTTTTTTTTGAGACGGAGTTTCGCTCTGTCACCAGGCTGGAGGGCAGGGGCGCGATCTCAGCTCACTGCATGCAACCTCCGCCTCCTGGGTTCAAGCGATTCTCCTGCCTCAGCCTCCTGAGTAACTGGGACTACAGGCATGCACCACCAAGCCTAGCTAATTTTTGTATTTTTAGTAGAGATGGGATTTCACAATGTTGGCCAGGATAGTCCCGATCTCCTGACCTCGTGATCTGCCTGCCTGCCTTGGCCTTCCAAAGTGCTGGGATAGAGGCATGAGCCACGGTTTTCCTTTCTAATACAGTCTTTCCTGCAAATTTATTGTTCACAATGTAGTATAAATTTTGTAGACCATTTTGTTTATGTGATTTCCATTCTCAGAACTATATATGGATACTCTCTCTTCTTTTTGTTTTTTTGTTTGAGACAGGGTCTCACTCTGTTGCCCAGGCTGGAGTGCAGTGGCGTGATCTGACTCACTGTAACCTCCACCTCCTGGATTTAAGCAATTCTTGGGCTTCAGCCTCCCAGGTAGCTGGTATTACAGGCATGTGCCACCATGCCCAGCTAATTTTTGTATTTTTAGTAGAGACAGGGTTTCACTATGTTGGCCAGGCTGGTCTTGAACTCCTGACCTCAAGTGATCTGCCCATCTTGGCCTCCCAAAGTGCTGGGATTACAGGCGCAAGCCACCATGCCCAGCCCTCTCTTCTTTATATTAATTCAAAAAATATGTATTAGCACATACATATTATAGAAAATAAGCACTGTGTTATATACAAAAAGGAAAAGAAAGATGAATGAAGCACAGGTTCTACCCCAAAGCATTTCCAACCTACTGACTGTAATAAAAACAAATAACAAGTAACCTCAGTAAAATGATTGCTATGATCAATTGTATTAGCAAGATATAAACATGGTACTTGGGGGTGTTCAGAAGAGGAAGACTCATTTGAGAGAATAAAATCAACAACAGCTCTTTATCTTTAATGGTAGATTTCCGAGAACCTTTGCTGTAGGGTGGTACCCTTCCAAAATGTTTTTCTTATGACTTCTTGCACAATACTGCATGGGAATGAAAACACCACAATGTAAACTTGCCCATTTACATTCGGCAAATGCAACGTGTCACAAAAGAGAACATTTTAGACCAATCGGAGGACTGATCATTCATGCTGGAGATGCTTTGCAAGAACCAGAGGTGCTCATATGCCAGCATCACTTTGACCTGTGTTTACAAATTAAAAATATGGATTTTCAGGATGCTTAAACTGAATCATATGTATTTAGGATGATTTTTCTCTGAATCTTGATTCCTCCTTTCTTATCTATTTTTGCCTAATGCCTTCTTGCGTATTCCTGAAATCAACTGTATTTTACTCTCATTTCTGTGTTCTAATAACCACCCAGCATTTGCAAAAATTGTTAAAAGCATTGTTAAAAGTTGCATGACAACCTATGACATATGTTTTCCCCTTCCTCTGCTCATCAGCTTGGCTGGTTTTTGAACTGTATTTTCTATGAGTGTTGCTGAATGGTGACTCATTCAGTGAGACGAGCTACACAGTGAGCCGGCAGGACACGGTTTAGTGTCCTTTTCCCCCAGGACTCACGATGCCAGGTCAGATAATGCTGAAGCTACCAGGTCTGCAATGCAGCACCAGTTGTTCTGTTCATCCTCTCCTGATATGATTTCCAGACTCCCCTGACAGTCAAAGCACGTGCTTTATGTAATGTACTGGGGAGCAGTGAAGTGTGAGGGAATGAGAGGAAGAGAAAAAGGCTTGACACACTGAAGTAGAAAGAGTCAGTTTATCTCAATAGCTTAGAGGGGAAAAAAGAGGAGTGATAACTGCTGGGTACTCTCCAGTCTACTTAATAACCTCCCAACCGCAATAAAATCAAACCCAATTCTAAACCGCAAGGCAGCATTTGGCATACAGTGGCAAACATTTTTCTCAGACCTACACAAGTAATATAATCAAAGAATATATATATGTGTGTATATATATATATATCTCACACTTAAAAACACATTATTGCTTGATAAGAAATATAGTCTCAAGATATTTGAGCAATTTATTTGTTCAAAAGTATTAGATTTTTTATCTTATCTTTTTTTTCTTTTTCTCTTTTGTGAGGAGAAAATACTCCGAAATATAACAAAGGACAGATAAAGGCCATGCATAATCCTAACCAAAACAAAGGCTTAGACAGTCCAAAAATGAGTCTAGAAGACTCACTCCCATTACTTATTACTTTCATCTGTTTGCTAAAAATAAAAAAAGAATTTAAGAATTGTTTTAAATTTTTATCTAAATGGAGGTTTTTTAAATCTCAAAAAAATTGAAAAACATTAAAAGAAAAATATGATGACAAAACATGACAGCATATTAGAGGAGAGAAAACTTAACAAGATCTTGGAAAAAATGGGATGAGAGAAAGGTCAAGTAAAAATTACAATGATAATTAAATTATATTTGCACTTAAAAACAAACTAGAAAGAATAATTTTCATAAATAGGTCTGAATTGTCATTGGCAAAAATCTGTTTCGTTAAGATTCAAATTCAACAAAATAATTTTTAAAATGTCAGTGGACCAAAACGTCTGAGGAAATACTTTTTGCGCTTGTGATGTAGTTCTGACATTTAGCACAAAGCGAGACAAGAAACGAGACTGATTTCCACAGTGCATGGGAGGAATTTTCTTGAGGAACACACATAGAAGTACATGTGAATGCAATTAACCTCAGTTTTTAAATATCCTATTATATTGTGTTAGATAGAGCCTTGCTCTTCACAACTTGAAGTGTTTGTAGGCAATTAAAATTCCAAGGAATAAAATCATACCTTAATTTGTTGAGTCATAGGGTTTAATGGAAACAAGTCTTGAGAAACCAAGTTTTCCTCATATATCGATTAAGAATTACCGTCTTAAGAAAATCTCATCCTACCTTAAGACTGGACTACAGAGCAAAGACAGATTTTTATGGGACAAACTACCTTATAGCTGTACAATGAAACAAAACTTTATCTGATGTTGGTTTTTTTCCTCTAATTTGTAAAATATCAAACGCTGTGGCTGGCAATACCTGCTATATACAACCTCATATTGTATCAAGAATAAAAGACACAATTCTTTATTATAATATCCATATAAGCTAGCCCTAAATTAGGTTCAAATCCTATTCATCAACAAGCCAAGCCAAATATTATGATTGAAGCTAATCCCCACAACCAGCTTCACCTAGTAGAGAGACCACATAGGACAAAGCAAACGTGACAATACAAACCTCGTGGAACTGCCTTTTCTATCAATCCTTGTCTTTCTCACTCTTTCTAGCCCCGGATGCCTAACCTTTAGAAGGAAAACACTGAAAAGATCCCCATTTTCTGTCCTCATCCATCGGTGCCACCAGGCCCAGATGCTTCGCAGTGAGGCTGTGTGATTTTCTGCAGATCCACCCTTGAATGCTAAATAACTCTGCTCTGCACACTCCTCTCTCTGCGGAGCTCAGGGAAATGGCAGCCAGAGCAATGAGTGGTTGGCATGGCAACTAGGAAAGGAAAATCTGCAACCTCTCGCATTGTTAGGCGAGCTTGTTTATTTGCTTGGGGGGTTGGTGTGGATGGCTTTAGTCATTTTGCAGGAGAAATGGCTCAGTGCTATTTTGCTCCGCATAAATTAATATATTACATAGAATAGGCCATATTTTAAATGGGATGCTGACTCCTATTAGTAAATCGCAAATCTAGAAACGGAGGCAGGGGAGAAAGGGCGAGGTGAGAAAAGATAGATTTGAATCTTCTGAGATTGAAAAGCAGAACAGAGAGAAAAGCTTTATTTAAAGGCATATGCAGCTTTTTGCATGTGAGAGCTGCCAAACTTTTCCTTCATGTGTTTTCAAACTTAATAATTGCAGCAACAGGCCGGGTGTGGTGGCTCACGCCTGTAATCCCAGCACTTTGGGATGCCGAGGCGGGCGGATCACGAGGTCAGGATATGAAGACCATCCTGGATAACACAGTGAAACCCTGTCTCTACTAAAAAAAAAAAAAAATACAAAAAATTAGCCGGGCGTGGTGGCGGGCACCTGTAGTCCCAGTTACTCGGGAGGCTGAGGCAGGAGAATGGGTGTGAATCCGGGAGGCGGAGCTTGCAGTGAGCCGAGATCGCGCCACTGCACTCCAGCCTGGGCGACAGAGCGAGACTCGGTCTCAAAATAATAATAATAATAATAATAATAATAATAATAATAATAATAATAATTGCAGCAGGCCGGGCACGGTGGCTCACGCCTGTAATCTCAGCACTTTGGGAGGCAGAGGCAGGCGGATCACGAGGTCAGGAGATAGAGACCATCCTGGCTAACACGGTGAAACCCCGTCTCTACTAAAAAATACAAAAAAAATTAGCCGGGCTTGGTGGCGGGCGCCTGTAGTCCCAGCTATTGGGAGGCTGAGGCGGGAGAATGGCGTGAACCCGGGAGGCGGAGCTTGCAGTGTGCCGAGATCGCGCCACTGCACTCCAGCCTGGGCGACAGAGCGAGACTCCATCTCAAAAAAAAAAAAAAAAAAAAAAAAAATTGCAGCAACAATAAATGTATATAACTGAGTGTTGGTCACTTGGCTGCTGGAGTTATGTGGATGTGATAGTATAGGGCCAGATTTTATAAGACATAGCTCCCATGGTGAGCTCCCTGAAAAAGTGACAACGCAAAGCCTGGAAAAGCTTTTCCATTCCTGCCTCTTTGGCAGTGGGTAGGTCTGGATAGCATGCCTGGAAATGATGGGGAGACAAAGGAATCCTGGTAAATTGTGGGGATTATAGTGAGGAATTGCCTTTTAATCTTTACATTTACCCAAGGGGATTGCTGATACTGGCCTTTGATCGTCACGTAGGCACTTTCTACTGTGACCAGCATTTTTTTTTTGAGACTGAGTCTCGCTCTGTCGCCCAGGCTGGAGTGCAGTGGCGCCATCTCGGCTCGCTGCAAGCTCCGCCTCCTGGGTTCACACCATTCTCCTACCTCAGCCTCCTAAGTAGCTGGGACTACACGCGCCCGCCACCACGCCCGGCTAATTTTTTCTATTTTCAGTAGAGACGGGGTTTCACAGTGTTAGCCAGGATGGTCCCAATCTCCTGACCTCGTGATCCACCCGCCTCGGCCTCCCAAAGTGCTGGGATTCCAGGCATGAGCCACCACGCCCGGTCTGTGATCAGCATTTTTTTTTTTTTACTAGTGTTCACAGCACTGTACTTCAAGATAGTCAAAAATCACTAAAGCCTGATTTTAAATACTTTAAAAATGTTTTAGTATCAATAAACATCTCAAAATTGCCTCCCCTTTTTGTCTACTCAGATTGAAAACTAGGAATAAAGTTATGATATCATATCACTTAAAATTACATGAATGTGGCAGTTCTGGAATAGAAGAATTGTCTGCTTTGCCTGTAATCGATAACTGCTGCAACTAACTGCTGTTCTGAATGTGGCAGATGGGGATAGTGGAAACAGCACTGGTCTGTAGGGCAAGAGACTTGCATTCTGGTAGTAGTCATATTATCTACTGTGAAAAGTCATCTCACTGGTCCCTTCCAGCTTTCAATCACATCATCCACAACTGTGATAGAAAAGTAGCTAATTTCACCACGATTTTCTAATAAAGAACAAATCCTGACATTTGCAAAATTAATCCTGAGAGCAAGAAAAAAAAATACACTCATCTAAAAGAGTCTTGAAAGCTTTCACAATGAGTAGCATATTTATAAAGCCAAGTAAATTATAAACTATAGAAAAAAAAATCCATACCACTTCTTGAGGTTAGGACAGTTGAGAAGAGAGTTGCATGAAATTCCTGAACACTGTGTTCACAATTCACCTCTCTCACTTTCTTACTGTGTAATAATGGGCAAGTTGCTCAGCCATTCTGTGCCTTAGTCTTCTTATTTGTAAAAAGAAGACACTAATGACAGATATCCTCATGGAAATTGCAAAAAGATGAAATGAGATAAAAGATATGACGGTGCTTTATAAACTGAAGAGCACTATGGCAGCTTGCAATTCTACACACATTTCTAAGCTGTAGTTTTATATATATTTCCATAATAGTTTTGTAAGCAATTCTTGAGGGATGAATAGAAATTAGAAAATTTTTTCCTCTCGGCCGGGCGCAGTGGCTCACGCCTGTAATCCCAGCACTTTGGGAGGTCGAGGTGGGTGGATCACCTGAGGTCAGGAGTTCAAGACCAGCCTGGCCAACATGGTGAAACCCCGTCTCTACTAAAAATACAAAAATTAGCCAGGCCTGGTGGCAGGCGCCTGTAATCTCAGCTACTCTGGAGGCTGAGGCAAGAGAATCGCTTGAACCCGGGAGGCAGACATTGCAATGAGCCAAGATCGTGCCATTGCACTCCAGCCTGGGAGACAAGAGCGAGACTTCATCTCAAAAAAAAAATAGTAATAATAATAATTTTTTTTTCCTCTCTTTAGATGAAAAGTGAGCAACAGCAAAATTATTACTTTTTTAGAGCAAGGTCAGAAACATAGAACCACCACTTTGTTTGCACATCCCTGTTTTTGCTGCTAGAAAGTACCATATTCAAAATGATTCTATAAACAGGCACAGTAAAGATAGGATTTGATATAATACTGTTAAGGGAATACTAGATGAAGTCAAAACCAATTACACTGTTAAGTCACATGCACAATGATTACAGAAATCAATTGCTTTTCTGTGCCCTTAAAATTTGAAAGGTCACTTTCCATTTTCTAAAATAATTTTCCACTCAATATTTTACAAATTTTACAAATAATCCCTTTTGCCCTTTTATAAGATCTTGATACAAGTTCTAATACGAGTTTGGGCCCCAACCCTGGAACTGAAACTTAAGGATGAGGCTCCCAGTTATCTTCAGAGCTGAAACTCTGTGGGGACCAAAATGCATTCCTCTTGCTTTCTTCAATAAAGATAACACAGAAAAGAGAGGAAAGAATTATTACAAGCCATTACTCTTATTATTTACGCTTTGGAAAACAATTTTAAAATGATGCTTTAACTTAAAAGTGAGACCTCAAGCTATAAAAATCCTAGAAAAAAAGCCCAGGAAAAACTTTTCTGAACATTGCCCTAGGCAAAGAATTATAATGACTAACACCCCAAAAGTAAATGCAACAAAAACAAAAATAGACTAATGGGACTTAATTAGATTAAAAAGCTTCTGCACAGGAAAAGAAATAACCAAAAGAGTAAACAGACAACCCACAGAATGGGAGAAAATATCTGCAAACTGTGCATCCAACGAAGGACTAAGGAATTCAAACAACTCAACAAGAAAAAAAAAATCCTCATTAAAAAGTGAGCAACGGACATGAATAGACACTTCTCAAAAGAAGATGCACAAATGGCCAAATAGGTATATGAAAAAAAATGCTCAACATCACTAATCATCACGGAAATGCAAATTAAAACCACAATGAGATATCATCTTATACCAGTTAGAATGGCCATTATTAAAAAGTCAAAAGACAACAGATGTTAACAATGCTATAGAGAAAAAGGAACTCTTAAACAATGTTGACGGGAATGTTAAATTACTACAGTCTTTATGGAAAACGGTATGGAGATTTCTCAAAGAACTGAAAATAAAACTACCATTCGATCCAGCAATCTCACTACTGGGTATCTACCCAATGGAAAATAAATCATTATATCAAAGACACCTGCACTCATATATTTATTGCAGCACCATTCACAATAGCAAAGGTATGGAATCAACCTAAGCATCCATCAGTGGATGACTGGATAAAGAAAATGTAGTGTAGATATACGATGGAATACTACACAGCCATAAAAAAGAATAAAATCATATCTTTTGCAGCAACATGGATGGAACGGGAGACCATTATCTTAAGTGAAATAACTCAGAAAGAGAAAATCAAATACCATACGTTCTCACTTACAAGTGTGAGTTAAACAATGAATACACAAGGACATAAATATGGAAATAATAGACATTGGAGACTCAAAAAGGCGGGAGGGTGGGAAAGAGGTGAGGGTTGAAAAATTACCTATTGAGTACAATGTTCACTATTCAGGTGACGGGTACACTCAAAGCCCAGACTTCACCCCTATGAGATATATTCATGTAACAAAACTGCACTTGTATCCCCTGAATCCATGAAAATAAAAATTAAAAACAAAAAACAAAGATAAAGATAAAAATTACGCTTTAGACTTATTATAACGACAGCTTTCCTAAGTGGCTAGATGCTTAATAGTTTCTCATTTCTTTTTTTCATGCTTCTGTGGCATGGCTTCCAAAAAGCACACTTTAGTGGTAAGAAAAAATCTTAAGGAATGAAAAATTATGCTACAGTTGAGCAAATAATTCTTTTTATGGATAGTTTTAAATCATAAAAAAGGGGACAAAATCTAGATTATTATTATTATTTTTTTTTTGAGACAGGGTCTTGCTCTGTCATCTAGGCAGAAGTGCAGTGGCCTGATCACAGCTCACTGCAGTCTTGACCTCCCTGGGCTCAGGTGATCCTCCCACCTTTGCCTCTTGAGTAGCTGGGACCACAGGTGTGTGACATCATACCCGGCTAATTTTTTTTTGGAGATGAGGTTTTGCCATGTTGCCCAGACTGGTCTCGAATTCCTGGGCTCAAGCAATCTACTCACCTCAGCCTCCCAAAGTGCTAGGATTACAGGTGTGAGCCACTGCACCCAGCCAATTTAAATTATTATTGCCTTCTAATATTCTCCACTCTCCCACCCTCTGGTGTCAGTGCATAAGATCAAGGATACACTGACTATGGGTTTGCATCTTTAAAAATTATTATTGCCCATAATAAAGATGAACATTGAAGGAGTGGATGAGGGGGAAAAAAGTAAGGATCTTGGTTGAAGTGAGCCCACTCTAATGAAGGAGAAAAGGGGGAAGAAGATGACGATTGCATTTTATTTATCATGTGATCTTATTTATATAAATGATTAAAAAGAAACAAACTTGGAGAAAATATTATTTTAAAATGCAAAGAGGGGACTATAGCAAAAACGGAAAGTAGAGGGAAGATTCTTTGATTTAATCAGTAATGTCCTGGATATTACAACATATAGCTGTGGACCTGATGTCACTGAGAAGTGCCTCACGCTAACAGTGTCCTGAGAAATATCCTTTATAGGGAAAAATGTAATACACTGGTAGATTGTATAAAAGAGTGAGCTGATGTATAGATCCCTGGTCCTTTTTAAAATAATCACATCAAAATATTACGCCAGCTCATATCTATAGTCTCCATCATCAAAGGATAGCATTTCTAAATACCATATTTGGGATTTAAGAGCATTTGTTTATGCTGGAGATGATTTTTATTACACAATTTGTGAAACAGCTGTCAATAAACCATGAATGATAAAAGTTGTTATTTGTTAAATTAGAGTTTGGAAATAAATTTAATTGCATATTAACTCATCACTGGAACATCCTCTGTAGACATGAAAAGATATTATTTTACATTTTCCTTTTTCTAAAGATTTCTACACATGCATATCTCATGGATTCAATACTTGGCTGCTTATTTCTAGAGGAAAGTTAATTTAAAAATCACACCATAGTTTAGTTTGGATTGACTATCACTCTGGTAGCCCATGGCTGACTGTTTACAATTTTTGTCACTCAGAACATACAGACAAAACCTTTGTAATCAATCTCCAAAAGCTAATACCAAATGTGTTTGATACACATTGAGCTGAATTTAAAATGAACTCTGGATGTTCCTAAACCCATCATTTAAAAGAAACGTCTATTAGCCTCTTTTAAATGTATATCATTTTCTCAGAGAAGCTGGTGATAATACACTGACTTGACAAATAGATTTTTCTGATGCTCTCAAATACTTAAGACCACTGAACAGATGAAATAGTGAATGGTGTTGGTTTTTACTGCATGACCAAGCACACTGCAGTGATTTTTTTTTGTGTATTACAAGCTTTCATAACAGGCACTGAGAGTCAACTGGCGAGAGCCCAAGGGACAAAGTAAGACTTTTCAATTGTTTTCATCATTAATGTGAAGAGGACTTTCTTCTTTTTGAATTTATTCATTTATTCCTTCATTCACTCGCTCACTCAACACACATTTATGGAATATTGAAGGTCTAATGCTGCAAGATACGATGATGAAAAAAACCTTGACATATCATACTAACTCTTTTCTTCCTCACAATCAATATGCTATAACATGCTCTCATCTCCTCATGCTGCAATCCCTTGAAAATCCTCTTAGTGCTCCTGACACCCAAGTTCCACCCTGTTAAAGTTGTGTATACTCAGCTATAGAAAAATATTACTTGATCAAGAGTGCTATGTCATCCATATTGATACCACCACTACCACCAATAATAATAAAATTAATTAACAGTTATTATTTCTTGAGCCATTCACTTTGTACACTTTACTATCTTAATTAATCCTCATTGTAACCATGAAATGTGCAAATAATATTTTTATTTTATTCTCAACCACAATTTCATACTAATTGAATGTATGTGCCTGTGGGGCACTGCACAGTATCTCAAACCCTGGAATCAGGTTGGACACTATCACTCTCTTCTTCCATTTCACATGGATTTCTGCAGGGTACTTGCTTTTATCAGAACAACTGCTGAAAACCTATTTTTGCAAAGATATGACATATTAAAGGAATATAGTGTAATGTAATGTTGAAACTGTAAACTATCTTGAGCTAATAGTTCAGGCAGTGTTTGACAGATATTATCACTGTTCCCCTTAAATATTTAAAATACCTTGTTGTATTCTTGTGAATTTGCTGCAGCACCCCAAGATGATAAGATGATTTTGTGCACAATTTGGGGACTTTGGCCCAAAGCAGAAATAATCTGCTTTAAACTTTGCCTTTCTATACTGCTCATGTGGCACTTACATGTTATGCTTTGTATCCAAATAAACATATGCACAAGTCTCATGTCTGCTCCAAGATCATCTGATTCATGAAGTTCTGGGACCATTTCTTGCACATGCACTGGCACAGAAGCTAACACAACACCTTGCATGTAGAAAAGCTAAACTGTAATTTGTTGAATGATGGATTAAAAAAATTACAGTATGTATTTACGTATTTTGCTTTTTTCTGCTCTAAAAAATATGCTTCTAATCAATCCATTGGATTTAGGTCCAAGGTCATTTAAGAGAATTAAAAAAAAACTATTTGTAAAGTTTTCTTTCAATGAGTTAAAATGCTGACAGTTTCTAGCAAAACATACATATACTCAGCCTGCAAAAATTCACGTGATAAAAATTAAATAGGGGAATGGGATTGAGAATACAGATAATGTGGGGAAATGTCAAGTTAGTTGCCATGATTTTTCTCTTCTTTTATTTCCTCTGACTGACTGGAATTTCAGTCCTAGCACTAGTGAAAGAGGATCAGTGCTGTATATTAATTCACTTTCAGACTAAACTGACTTCAAAGCACAAAGCAAGCACTTGGTGACAGTAGAGCCCTTAGTTACCTGCTGTTTCTCTGTCAGCTGAGGTCAGCTCTCCGTTGATCCCATTCTCTTTGGTATTTGAATAGGTGCCCTGTGACCCATGCTCTCCAAAGGCACCCTCTTCATCCTCCCTGTATGGGAATCCATTGGCGCTTCGGACAAGTCCTTCCCCTGCTCCGCCTTGATCCTTAATCTCAGGTGGATGTGAGTGTGCAGATGCCTCTGTTAGCGGTGCTGAGGTCCAGTGAGGTGCCTTTGCTTCATCTTTCCGTTCATCTGCCATTCTTCAATGCCTTGTTATTTCTCCTGCAACTGAAAGAGAAAAAATAGTAGCTATTACTTTGGGGAAATCTTCTGATCTGATATTGGTTGTACCAAGATAGGAAAAATTTGTAGCAAACCGTGTGGCTTTCTATGGTCAAAGAAAACATGTACAATAACCTATGTTTAATATCAAGAATGGGTCAATTAGTTCATCTTGAGTTTTACAGACCATTTCTGGAATATTAGTTCTTTTAAAATAAGATCAATGTCATTCTACACATATTCCTTTTTGTAAACAAACAAAAACAAAACAAAACAAAACAAAAAACCAAACAACAATGAAAAAAAACTAGTGTTTGGCATTTAGGTATACATCTTAATGAACTTTCATTTAATTATGGTCTTGAATGTTGACTGTATGGTAGAGTCAAGGAATCCTTCAGCATAGGGAAAATCTGCAGTATGAGAAAACGGGCTAGAAAAAGTGGGAGGAAGAATGACAGCAGGAATTCTATACCATGAAAAATTATCCCATGTACTCTCTTAAATCATGACTTTTAGTGAGATCTAGAAAAGACAATAACTAACATATTAGCCGTTTTGGTTTCAAGGGTGTTCAATTAAAGCCGAAGGTAGATACACTTTTCTGGATATGTAACAAACCTGCACGTTGTGCACATGTACCCTAAAACTTAAAGTATAATAAAAAAAAAGAAAGAAAGATAGCTTTAACTTAATTTTTTTGATAAACTTTCCTGGACCCTATCTATAGACTAAGAGGAAATGACATTTTCTATTAATGTAAATCTTACAGAGAGAAAGGAAATAAATATAGCATTAGGCCTACATCCTATCTTATGGCATTATTTCTCAGCTAAATCAAATAAGATCTGAAAAAGTTAAAACCATTGACATACAACAGGAAGTTGTAAATTATAGCAAAGGATGAATGAGTTGTGGAGGAGGTGTTCTATACATGTTAATTGGATGGAAGATACTGCATGACCTTCTCTTACAAGCTGATATTACCAAGTTTAGATATATAATTGAAAAGAGGTGATTCACCACTCAGTTTTGGAAAGCTGTTGCCCACCATGCAGCCTTATTGATGGCTTATCGTCTCCACAGTAAGGATGACAACACAGGCAACACTGTCTTTGATGGAAACTAAGAACATCTTCCTTTTTCCAAAAAAGTATCTCAAGCAAAGGCCTCCAAAAAAGTAAGCAAAAATTATATTAAGACAAATACACTTCTTACTACCAAGCTCTGTTTGGAGAAAGTATAAATAAAGTAAGTTTTCCCATCAGATTACTAACAAGCATTTGTCTGGGGGTTTTTTAACTGAATTTTGTTGCTATCCTCCGCTCTCTCTATTTTCTGTTCATAGCAGGAAGAGCTAGATGAGTTAATTCATTTAAGCCAATTTGACTGCAGCACCAAATCTCTCCCAAAACTGATTCTCAAAACAGCTCTATTTATTTTCCCTAAGAACATATTTAAACAGGATGTAAAAATTTAGGTTTTAAAACATTGATTGAAGGGCTTATGAGTAAATCAGGGAGTATCGCTACCTCACTAACTATGTGAAAAGAATTGTGTGCACAGGAGAGTTTTCTCATCTATTAAATGAGAACAATGCTTAGTTTATTGGTTTGTTACCAAGTTTAAACAGAATAAAATAAAGGGCTCAACACAGTTCCTGGCATGCTCAATAAACAGTAGTTATTACATTTGTTATTGTTTGTTAATTATATCATTATTCATTACATATACAACATTGGCATAGGAATAGGAGCCTGAAAACTTGGTGAGTACAATAATGAGAGTTACTTGCAAATCCGTCCCCAGATATTGTGTAGGGATGAATGGATATCCCAAGACAGGCATGGTAAATGTACCAGACATGGTAGCCTAATGAGAAGAGAGCATCCTTGGAATTAACCTCTCCCTGTGTACATTGAAAAATTAGCTACATCTTTTTATAAAAACCATTCTGCAGTGTTCTACACTCCATTCTGCCATTTTCTTCCAGTCACATATCAAAAGATCTAATTGGGTAGCCTAAGCATTGTGTTTCCGCTGAGTTGTGGCATCTTCATATATGTGAAGGATTGAGGAAATTATCTAGATTCCAATTGTGAACTTTTGGATCACAACATTTTACTGATAGATTCTTGCCTACATCAGTATCCTAATCTTTACATGCTTTTATTTCTTTTTTGTTTGTTTGTTTTACCAAAGAGCTTAATTAAGATTTCCATATTCTTATATGGCCCAATTTATTTTGTGTACACAGAGAACATTGTAAACAGAAAAAGTTTCACGTAAATAACATGCCTTGTTGATGTAGCTTTTTCTGAGTTAACAGGCTTTACATTTTTGAAAGTTTTAAATTTACAAAAATATTAAGCAGATACTATAGAGATTACCCATCTACCCCTTGCATACAGTTTTCCCTATTTGAAATATTTTGCATCAGTATGGTACATTTATATAATTAGTGAACATTACTTTTAACTACAGTCCATAGTTTATTTAGATTACTTTAGTTCTTACCTAATGTCTTTCGTTTTCGTTTCAGGATCTGATCCAGGGTACTATATTATATTTAGTCCTCATGTCTCCTTAGGTTCCTTTAAGACCTTGACCTTGAAAGTTTTGATGAGTACTAATCAGATAAATCATATACCCCTCTATTGAGATCTGTCTGTTTTTTGTAATGATTAGTTTAAAGTTATGTGTTTTGGGGAGGAAGACCACAGAAGTAAAGTGTTCAGATGAGATGCTAAGCTACGTGGGTAGGAACACTATGAGCCTTCTGAAAGCTTTTGATACGCTACTGGATATTTGAATCTCAGGCAAAGGCAGTGATGTGCAAAACATCCCAAACCAATTTGCCACAAAACTTTTTCTAACACCGTATTTATTAACATCCCCAAGAGGATCTGGGAAATATTTAGGTTTGTACTTTAGTCCATGTTTAACTCTAGGAGTTCTAGCCACCAAATATTAAAAGCAAATACAACAATATAAGCACCCACAACTCTCAGTTACATTTGACTTCTCTCATCCCCCTGCCATAGAGCTTTCTGGAACAGATTTCTCAGTGACCAAGAATCCTTATTTTAAACCTAGCAAACCAACACTTAAATAGAGAGAGTGCTACTTGGTAATCATCCATTTAAAAATATTATGATAATTTGTTTTCAAGAGGACAGACATTTAAAAAATGAATTCCTTAGTATTTAATGCTTTAGAGTTTTGAATTTTTAAAATTAGTTAATAAAAACTAATTTTGGAAGAAGAAAAGGCTGGCTAGCCATACTGATTTCGCTTAATACTAGAATCACAAACAAATCAAAACGATTACCTAAAAAGTATCACCCAACTTCCTGGTAAGACTATTCAGATAATATTCCTTAAAATGTATGCAGATTACTCAGGTATTGCTTTTTAATTTATTGAGCTTTTTGAAAGAAGATAGTCTAACCATTTAGTAAGTAATGATCATTTTAGGAGATTTCAAACTAAAATAGCATGGCTCTGACAAAACTACTTTTACAGAAAATATAACTTGAAAAGATTGCCTCTGTTTTAGGGAAAAGTTTATTGAACAAAAGGAGACACTATTTGGCCACACTCATTTATAATCACAACATAATATTATTAAAATACCACCCATAAATGATAAATTTCACTTATACTTCTAATCAAAATTTTGGGGTCATAGATTATCTCTGTTCTTCAAAATGGTATTTTCAACATAGTTAAAAGTACCATAGCCTTCTTTAATTTCTTCTTCCTGATGTAATATTATTTTTACCCAAATCTCTTTGAAAACCATGTGAATGTGCAATTAAAGAAGATAAAGACTGGGCATAGTTGCTCTTGCCTGTAATCCCAGCACTTTGGGAGGTCGAGGTGGGAGGATTGCTTGAGTCCAGGAGTTCAAGACCAGCCTGATCAACATAGTGAGACCCCCATCTCTACAAAAAAATTTTTTTTTAATTAGCTGGGTGCAGCTATTTAGGAGGCTGAGGTGGGAGGATCACTTCAACTGAGGACATTGAGGCTACAGTGAGCCATGATTATGCCACAGCACTCAACCTGGGTGACAGAGAAAGACTCTGTCTCTAAGCAAATAAAGATACAAATAAAAAAGTGAAGACAAAGACAAATTCTCTCCAAGTCTACTAAAAAATTTGTTGTGAGATACTAGGAATTTTTAACATTCCATTCCTACTGTACAATGGGAAACTCTCCAAATTGCAAAAGATCACAGATCTTAACTGCTCCTAACTGCCAAACAGCTGAGCATCTGCCACACAATCCCAGCTTTGATAGAGCAAGCTGAGATGCTACCTAAACAACTTTCTTTCTTTCTTTTTTTTTTTTTTTGAGACGGAGTCTTGCTCCGTCACCCAGGCTAGAGTGCAGTGGTGTGATCTCGGCTCACTGCAACCTCTACCTCCCAAGGTCAAGTGATTCTCCTGCCTCAGCCTCCTGAGTAGCTGGGATTACAGGTGCCCGCCAACATGCCTGGCTTTTTTTTTTTTTTTTTTTTTGTATTTTTAGTAGAGAAGGGGTTTCACCGTCTTGGCCGCCTTATTTCTCTTCCCTGAAAAGCCTAGCTTGATAATGTGAGCAAGGAAATCTAAGACTAAAACAATGATTTACAATTTATAATATATTGCAATGGGAATCTTACTTTTTAGGACAAAACACACGTCAATATATAATGGGAATACTGTTATGTGTGATAAGCATTTTTTAAAAATCCAAGACATGGCCAGGCACCGGTGGCTCACGCCTGTAATGCCAGCACTTTGGTAGGCCAAGTCGGGTGGATCATGAGGTCAGGAGTTCGAGACCAGCCTGACCAACATGGTGAAACCCTGTCCCAAGAAAAATACAAAAATTAGCTGGGTGTGGTGGTGTGTGCCTGTAGTTCCAGCTACTTGGGAGGCTGAGGCAGAAGAATTGCTTGAACCTGGGAGGCGGAGGTTGCAGTGAGCCGCGATCACACCATTGCACTCCAGCCTGGGCAACAGAGTGAGACTGCGTTAAAAAAAAAAAAAAAAATCCAAGACGTTTAAACATCTATTGATATCAGGGTGAGATATTACACTTGACTTTATTGTATTATGACTATTATACTATATATTAAAGGGCCCAAGTATTCTTTCTAGGTAAGGTATATTATTAAAAAAAAGAAAAAATATTGTGCCACCAGAAATGTTAGTTATGAATCTGAGTGGTGAGCTTTGATGTTTGCTACCTTAGTTGTTAAACAATTTTGTCTTGATATTTGAGAGTTTCTATGGACACATTTATTTCTACTTCATCAAAAGCTAAAACTTCGGTTTTTTAAAATTCCAGCTTTTTCCCTTGATAAACCTTAGATCTGTTTTTTTCATGCTAATGTTCTTGACAACAACATGAATGTTTTCATACCAACCTCTGACCACTGATCACTGCTGCACTCTGAATAATTTCACTGATGGAAAATTATGAAAAATCGAAGATTCTTTAGTGTTTGTTGATCTGACATTAACCTTTGATTCCAATGATGTGAGCCAAACTAAGAGACTTGGTATTGATCAGATTTCTAACATATTGATGATTTAAGCTGTATCATAGTATATCAGCATAATAAAACTGTTATATAACCAGAATAGAATGGTCTTTCTAGAGCTTAAATTTCAAGTTGAAATGGTATATGAATTAATTTCTCGTCTTTTTAACACATGTAACATTCTTCAATTTTGTTTTTAGGTAGACTTAATGCTTACATGTTTAATACTGTTGAGTAAAACAAGTACTTTGCCTCATTTTGATTAAAAGGTTTTGGTACCATGAATTATGAATTTTATAAGTGATATGGTCTGGATCTGTGTTCCTACCCAAATTTCATACTGAAATGTAATTGCCAGTGTTGGAGGTGGGGACTGATAGGAGGTGACTGGATCGTGGTGTGGTTTTCTCATGAATGGTTTAGCACCATCCCCCTTGGTACTGTCCTCATGATAGTGAGCTCTCATGATATCTGATTGTTTAAAAGTGTGTGGCTCCTCACTCTGTCTTACTCCTGCTCTGGTCATGTGAGGTGCTTGCTCCCCCTTTGCCTTCTACCATGACTGTAAGGTTTCTGAGGCCTCCCCGAAGCTGAGCAGATGCCAGCATCATGCTTCCTGTACAACCTGTGAACCATGAGGCAACTGAACCTCTTTTCTTTATAAATTACACAGTCTCAGATATTTCTTTATAGCAATGTGAGAATGGAATAATAAGTAACCAAATGTTCTATTAATTTAGAATTTATTAATTCTAAAGAAACAGAAGTGATAGAAGAGATTGAGAAGCAAGTAAAAAACAGGAAGAAACAACAACAACAACAACAACAAAAGAATGAAGAAAGAACAAAAGGAAATATCCAGCTCACTATAAAACATGGGTACTATGGCAAAACAATTTTGGGACAGACATATTCCAATTTTCAATCACTTAATAGAAACTATCTAATATGATAATTAATGTAGACTCTCGGAAACTCTTTTTGTAGCTGATGGGTAGGTCTTTTAGCCATCACTGCTGTTATTTATCAGATTTCTACAGTATTGACTGGAACATCAACAATTCAATTTCTACTGCATTAGGATTTTCTTATATTTAAATGTATCTGCTTTTAGCATTTTCCAGGCCTAAGATTGTAATGTTCTATGTTTAAAAATTCTAAAATCTTACTTGAGTATGTGTCTAGATACTTAAATGAGTTCCTCTTTTTCTGTGTTAAGAAAAAATTTGGACTTGCCCATAGGCAGCCAAAGTCTGCCTGCAAATCTGTAACACTACTGTTGAAACATTGTCTTTTGTGATGTGATTGCCTCGTGCAAAAAAAATGCATAATAAATTAATTTACATTGTAATTTAGAAATAAGATAACCTATATTTTGCTTATTTCTTTTATTTTCTTTATTTCATTTTATTTTTTGAGACAGGGTCTTACTCTGTTGCCCAGGCTTCAGTGCAATGATGCAATCACACTCACTGCAGCCTCAACCTCCCGGGCTCAAGTGATTCTCCCCGCTCAGCCTCTCAAGCAGCCTCTTAAGTAGCTGGGACTACAGCTATGTGCCACATGCCCAGCTAATTTTTGTATTTTTTAGAGAGTCAAGGTTTTGCCATATTGTCCAGGCTTGTCTTGAACTCCTAAGCTCAAGCATTCCATCCACCTTGACCTCTCAAAGTGCTGGGATTACAGGCATAAGCCACCATGCCCAGCTTATTTTGCATATTTCTGATAATTAGACTATCAGGAAATACATCTGTTCCCTTATTTTCTTTTATTCCCAAGAATTTTAATGCTTAATGCAGTATTTACTTTATTCTAAGTCCTGAGTACTATGTTCTGTTCCTTATTTATAATTGTGAAAGTTATCAAATCTTTTCTGAAATCCTGCAGAATATATATCATAAATACATAACTGTACATATTACCTTTTAACATTTTAGTTTGAGCATAGTTCTTACAATAGAATTATATAATATCATTTAGCACACAATAGCTTATTTTCATGTAAAGCGAATGAAGTACAAAATAGGCAACAATATTTTCCACACAAAATGTCTCATAAAAATGTAATATTTTAGACCTTTCAGATAGGTTACAGGTTAACAGACTGTAGCAGAAAAATCTGATTTGTTGGAATAAATTACTTAGTTTTTTTTTTAAAGTATTTCTCCTTTGTTCTTCTTCCTTGGAATACTTTTTAAATTATCATTCAAGCAAATGTGGCTAATAAGTGAATAATAACTTTAAAATGATAAATGACTTATTATATTGGAGACAGCCAAATAACATATTTTGGTTGGTTATCTAAGTGTTATAAAACTGTATGTACAAATTAAAACTTAATGCATTTAACAGCTGGCTTAAAAAGAGAAGCATTTTCACCTGGACCTCCATCTATTATTGCATTGCCTGAATATTGCACATGGAAAAAAATAATTTGATACACTCTGATGTTTCCTGCATTTTGTTTTTTAGAGCAAGTGGCAAATAGACATACTTATTTAAGTGTAACAAAAAGTAGTTCCTGAGCACATATGCCCTGAGGGCTTGCAGACACAAGAAAATAAAGTACAGCTGTCATATTTCCCAGACTATTTAAAGGAAAGAAATAAGAAGTAAGCAGAAACACACAGAAAAAAATGTCCCTGACAACTCTGCCATCAGTCTGAGCTATTGATGAATTTTGAATTTATTTTCTCTGGATAACTCCAGGACTAAGGATGCAAATCAGAAATACATTTTACTAAAAAAGAAACAATTTTCTCATTTCTACTCATTTAAAATTTTGAAGTTTTCCATACCTTTTCTTCGAAGTCTAAAAGGGGTTATTTGAAAGTATGGTGTGCATAACCAAACCATGATAGCAATATAAAAAACTATCAAAACAGCCTTTGGTCATACTTTGGCTTTCATTTTCATTGTCTTTTTTTTTTTTTTTTTTTTTGAGACAGGGTCCCACGTCGTTGCCCAGGCTAGAGTGCAGTGGTTCCATCTTGGCTCACTGCAACCTCCACCTCCCAGCTTTCAAATATGTATTCAATGTTGAATGAATATTAATTAATCAATTACCTACCTCAGGGTAAACACAGAAAGGTTCTGCCTGCTGTGGATGTTTGGCCAACACTATATAGCAAATTGGGTTAAGAGGGGAATAGTTTTGAATCTAATTTTCAGGGCTGTCATGGTAGAAGTATGGAATTCAAGTTCTAACTCCATTTCATATGCTCCGGTGCATATGAAAAATAACACCAAGTAAAACAAACTACTGGACACGAATAGGGTCTAGTAAAAACATTTCTAAATCTGTATAAATGGGGTGATAGAGGTCTAGTAATCATAATAGAAACCACATGATATAAAGGTTTAGAAATACTTTTAAGATAAACTACTTCAATCCATTGGAGAAAATGTTTTAAAATCATAAAACTGAAGTGATCTTTGGTGATCATCCATTCCAGTGTGTCTTACAGTGTTTTCAGTCAATTAGCTCCAACACAGGTTTAACAAATTAGAATTTCTCAATGTGGGACTTGCAAATTGATATTTTAACAAGCTCAATAGGGTGACTCTGATACATTGACATTTGAAGACTAGTGCTTTCAGCCAAGCTTGCTGCATAGGACCTCAGAAAAGAATGAGGAGTGATAAAAATACACACATGGAACATCCCTATAGACTAACTGAAGTGAAGGGTTAAGGCAACTATGTTGATAGGTCACATGACTATTCTCACAAATAGAAGTTGGGTCTTTCACTTCCTTTGTCCAGAACATTTATGATGAGTTGATGGAGTTAAATCACAAGATAGACTGCTCGTATTCTAGCTTATGGGGAATAA
This sequence comes from Homo sapiens, assembly GCF_000001405.40. Taxonomy (NCBI): domain Eukaryota; kingdom Metazoa; phylum Chordata; class Mammalia; order Primates; family Hominidae; genus Homo; species Homo sapiens. Next base: position 209,643,776 of record NC_000002.12, on the reverse strand, counting down.
GGCAGTGCTCTGTTGTGCCTAATCCTACTTGTAGTATCTTCCAAGAATGTTTAAAATTACCAATTGTCCATGGTTAAAAAAAATCTACTTCACATTATGAAAACAATGGGCAGTCCCTGGCATTTTCAAATCGTCTTTCGAACATTTACTTTAAACACCCCTTAGCATTCATTAATGGTTTGTGATAGAAGTACACTTGATTAAAATATCTCAAATTGAGTTACAATTTTCTTTACCATTAGATCATTTTGGAGGTGGATGTGGGGTAATAAGCAGGGTGCAAATGTGTGGTAGATAACTCTGAATTTGTAAAGCTCTCAAAGAAGTAATTGAATTATTTAGTATCTAGATCACTGAGACATGTGTGCTGAAAATATCATTAAGAAGAATAGAACTTTCCCTCCTGGGATTCCCACATAATCACAAACCTCACTGGTTTTCTTTGGATTACAATATTAGAAAGATCACAAAGCACAGGAATACTTACTGATGATAGTTATTACCAGGCAGCACTAACTACTCTCAAAAATTGGCAAAAGGAGAAACAATAAAGTCTTGGAAAATCTAAAGGAAAAATACACTATGTGCCAGATAGGCATGTCTCCATTTTAATAATGTGTTCGGCACAGACAGTTCTAGAATGTTTTCTATGTGTTCTGCCCTATCATCATGTAATGTGCCAGTTCAATCAAAAACATTGGTTTTATAATTTTGTGCTGCTACATATCCACAGATGAACAAAAGGCTAAAATGACCAGTTGTGTAATACAATTAAGCACATAAATATTGTTTCTCTTTTCCATGTAGGCTCAATTATGCTTTATACTGTTACTATGCATATCAGTATCACAAAATAGAAACTTTTGTTTTGGTCCTTAATGGTATTAGAAGTTTATGCAGAATCCATATTTTTGCTTATAAATGCTGAGAAGTTCTAAGCTTAAACATTTGTTAATAAGCTGCCTGCAACTCTATATTCTCCCTCTTTGTCTTCTAAGAAAAACAGAGGAAAAGGTTCTTGATAACATGAAAAAGATATGCTGAAAATCCAGATATTTGTTTCATATCTTCCCTGCTTTATTTCAGGCTGATTGTAAAATACCTATAAGGATGACTCATCATTCTTCATCACATACCATGACTAATAAACAATTAGAAAGAAGAGAGCTGGTGGGTGCATAACACGTAATTTCAAATGATCATAGGCACAGATAACATTAGGTTATTGCTAGAAATAGATAGTACAAATAAAGTATAAGTTCAGACAAGTTGGAAGGGCTTAAGAAATGTTACCTACTACTTGTTATTATTTTGTGTTTTCTTCTTTTTCTTTCTTTTTTTTTTTTTTCAAAGACAGGGTCTCACACTGTCACTCAGGCTGGAATGCGGAGACACAATCATAGCTCGCTGCAGTCTCAAACACCTGGGCTCAAGCAAGCCTCAGCCTCCTGAGTAGCTAAGATTATAAGTGCACATCACTATAGCCAGCTAATCCCCCCCATCCACCACCAAGAGATGGGTCTTGTTATGTTGCCTGGAATCCTGGCCTCAAGCAATTCCTCTGCCTCAGCCTTCCAAAACACTGGGATTACAGGCATGAGCCACTGTGCCCAGCCCATTTTATGGTTTTTATTTGAAAATTTTCAGCAATAGGATTCAGTACATGGTTTGACCCACACTGAAAAACCAAGAATAGATACAATTATTTAACCAAATTAGACACTTCCAGAGAGATCTGGAAGGAGAAGTCAAATCCCAACATCCGTTCCATTGCTTGCTGTTTCACAAAGCAGTGAGACTGGTGGAATAGGGTTAGAGCTAAAAAGAGAATCCACTCCAGATAACAACACTAACTTTGTAAACCTGCTCGATTGGTAACAACCTACCATATGAAACTGGGCAATTGTCTTTATGTGACCATGATATACAACTTATGCTTCACAGCTGTATACTATTTCTGAGCCTATTTTTTATTATATCAGAGGACTAATAAATAGCTCCTGTATATTAGATATAAACAATATTTAAAATGCTTTAGAGCTTTAGTCTCTACCAGTAATTTTTTTTTCTTTTTTTTAAGTCCCCCCACCCCTACCAGTGATATTTAATTAAGGAATTAAGGACTTGCATTTAGGTACTGGAGATATTGTGGAATAAGTAACAGATTTTCAATCAGAAAAATAGGGGTGAATCCTGGGTCTACCGCTTACTAGATACGTAAACTTGGACATGATGCTAAACCAGAGTGTTAGTTTCATAAGTATGTAACTAACTATGGAGCCATTGAACAAATAAACTTTGACCCCTACATTAGAATTTTTCTTTATAAGGAGAAAAAATTCTAATCATAATTTTAATAAAAATTTTTCTTACATAAGCATACATTTAAATATCAGGATAAAAAGCTTAAGAGGAAAATTATAATTTGGATTTGGATAAATAATGTATTTTGTTTTAAACTTTTTCCAGTGTGGAATCTGATTCAAGACCTGTCAGACTTGGTCCAGGTTCACTTAACAAAATACCATAAAAGTAAATCTTCTTTGGACACAACTCTGAAGAATATTGGCTAGAATTGCAGACATTACAAAGCAGAATTTAGGCCATAAGTATTTGCACCACCACAGAGTGAAGATCCTTGGGTTTGAGATACCTGAGAGCCACATTATGAAGAAGCCACTGGCTGGGATTAACAACAATCTAAAAATAACAATCAGTACTTGAGGACTAGATGCTTTAGAGATTTTCTGGTATTGTAACAGGGCCATGATCCAGGTAAACTTGGAGGCCATATTATACATCATGGAAGAAGATGCTAGAATTAAAATTAAGAGAAAACAAAACTCTAAAAGTTGGAGAAGAAATGGCAGTCATGAAAAGACAAAAAAAAAAAAAAGAATAGATAATTGAAACTGGAGAATGTATTAGAACATAAATTCAAAAATTAGATGCTTGATAGTTTTCTATGAGTGGGATCGGCTTTTTGGCTATTTAAGACAGAGGAAGAATAAAGTCCTGGAGAATTATAAGCAGGATACCATTTGTTGTGTGCCCTTCTCTTTATGGGATCTGCTCAGTCCCTTTATCTTCTGATGAACAATTGTTTCTCCACAAATGCAAGCCATCTGACTAAAGCTCTGTCTCTAACGTGTTCAAATTAAAATCACATTCCAAATATAAGTGTAAACAGATTTACAGCATAGTCATAGTATTTTTTTTTTTTTGCATTTCTTTGAACCTGATTGCATTCCTTATCAGTGAACGTGTTCAAGCAAGCAAAACCTGAATGACCATCCTGTTATGAACATTATAGAATCAATTCTGGTTTTGACTGATGGGAGGCTGGAATGTATGACTACTAAGATGTTGTCCAACTCTAAGATTACAAATTTTAATGCATTAAGCAATTAATTATTTTTTAACTGTATTTAAAAAATTAATGGACAGGCTTCTGTGTATCAAGTAGTAGGAACACACTGGGAATACTAGAAAAAAATATATAGCCCTCATGTTGAAGGAGGTGACAGACAAACCAATAACAATAATACAGTGTGGTACATGCTGTGATGGTGATAAGGACGGGAAGTTGTGGAGGTACGTCAACATCTCTTGCCACACTAGGAAGCCAATCAACACTGCCTGGAAGAGGGTTTAAAGGACAAGTAGGAGGTAGTCAAAGAAAGGACAAGAAGCTTTCTAGGAAGAAAGAGCCTAGATGACCAAATCCTACATTTTTGTTTTTGTTTTGTTTGTTTTTGAGACTTGGGCTAGGCAACACTTTCTAGAAAGATACCAAAATGAGCATCTTCTGGCATCTCCATAACTCCAGCCCTCACTCTGGGTCAGAGGTTCCTCTCTACTCTATGTCTCCCTCACAAGGCTGTGAGCTCCTGGAGGAAGGGCTGTGTTTAATTCATCTCTGACCTCCAGCACCAAGTACAGTGTGTGGCACAGAGTAGGCTCCACAACAAATGCTCGCTAAATAAATGAACAACATTAACAACCAAAAAAAAAAACCTCATGTAAGGCACAAAATTGTTCACTATGGAACAGAAGTGAAGTGGGAAGTGTGGAAATGAGGTCGATGGCCAGGCAATGGCAGAATTGTAAAGGGATGTGGTGAGCCATGCCTGCACTCTGTCCTGAAGGCCATGGATGCCCATGAAAGATGGAGAAAAGAAAATGGTACACTCGAGCTTGGTTTTTAGGATGATTGATCCAGCAGTGGTATGGAAAGTAAATTGGAAGAAGACATGGCTAAGGATAGAAACATTTCTCAGAGACAGTTGTTTGAAAGGAACTGGGCCTGAGCTATGGCAGTGTGAGTGGGACTGAAACAAGGGGCTAGATTCTATGTTCAAAAAAATTAATTAATTAAAACAAAACCTAATCCTCAAATTAATACAGTCTAATAAACTTAACAGACTGTTTCATGAATTACAGTATTTATCTATCATCTATTTACATGTATGTTTTGAAAAGAATGATAAAATATCATGTTTTATACAATTTTGATGGGTATTGACATTATTATGTTTTGAATTCAGTTTGTGGTCCAGTCACATATGATGTCCAGAAGAGTTCCTTTTCATTAAAATTTGTGCTGATGCCAGGCATGGTGGTTCATGCCTGTAATCTCAGCACTTTGAGAGGCTGAGGTGGGAGGATTGCTTAAGCAACAGAGAGCCTAAATGACCAAAGCACTGGGCCTGATATAAAGGTGGTAGTCAATAAATGATTACTGAATTATATACTAGAAAGCAAAATAAATAAGTTAATGGATTGATAATGATCTCTAATGAGCATGTATCAGGCCTTCATTTAATTTTAAGATCATTATCAATCCATCGATTAATTTATGTTGGTTTCTAGTATCTTATTCAATGATCATTGATTGAATACCAGGTTTATATCAGGAATGCTGTTAGGCATTAGGAAAATGATGATGATTAAGATATAGACTCTGACCATAAACTGCTTACACTGTATTCAGAAAGGCAGATGTGTTTGAAAAAACATACATTATAACACAGTAAATGCAATAATAGAGGATAAAATAGGTACTACATGAGTAAAAACCTTCTGAGTCATACATATTTAAAAAGAAAAATGGATGGATGCAAAACATTTGTATTACATGCATTTTAAAGTATACTAACCTACTACATCTGTGGAGCATCAACGATCTAGTTAATTATGTTAAATACTAGTTTTTCTCCAGGGAAAGGTAAATATTAGTCATATATAAGTAACGTATGAGTCATATAAAGCAGAGTCATTTCTCTTCTTTCTTTTTTTCTAGGGGTGGATTTGGGGCAGGCTGCTTGTGTTGTGCTGTGCCCACTGCAGCTGTAATTGTGATTCAGAGGAATTCTAAGTTGAAAGTAGCCTTATTCATGATATCAGTTGAGTTGGGCCAAAAGGAAGCATACAGAGAATCCTTGTCATCTGAAATTCCCTTGCAACCCAAGTTTGATCCAACTGGATCAGCCTTCATATACTGTTTGACTTCTCTCTTTGAGTAGATTTATCTTAGTGTGCCCCAGAGTGAATTCTAGGAATCAGGTTGATTTCCATGGCATGCTACTTGTATTCTGTCAAACTTCTGGAGGGGTATGATGGGACATACATTTGCTAAATCCTCCAGGCCTGAAATGTATACAATTCATTTACATTTATGAGACGTTAAAAAATTGAGCTAGAAAAAATATTCAAGTACTTAAATTGCCACAATAATTAATTTTTCTGCAAAGACAAATATTCCAATCTTATTTGGAAAAGTCTTAATAGATGTGGCAATATTATGTGGTGGGCCTGTAGGCAAAATACTTAGATATAAAAATAGACCCATCATATGCAAGTTAGGTAAATAGGACCTAGCCAAGAGTGAATTTAAAAAAATTATTAAGAACACAAAAAAGATTAAGTTAATATTAAAATAAAACAAATTTTAGAAAAATCACAAAAAGTTTAAGGAGACATTAATTTTTTAATGCACTGGTATTCAAAAATTAATCTTCTATTAAACCTAACATATGTTTAACATTTCATCATAACCATCACAATAACAAAGGATAGCAATTTTATATTTTAATCACTGTAGTAAGTGAGGAGAAAAAGGGACCAGTGAGGCTGATGGTTAGGTTAGAAGTATTACTGGTAACAGCATCCTTAAAAGGGCCACTGTGGACTGATCGCTCCCATTTTTCTTTTCTTTTCCTATCTTATCTTATGTCACCTCATCTTATCTTATCTCATCTCATCCTATCTTATCTCATCTTACCTTATTTTATTTTACCTTATCTCCTCTCACCTTATCTTGTCTTATCTCATCAAGACACAGTCTCAGTCTATTGCCCAGGCTGGAGTGCAGTGATGTGAACCTGGCTCACTGCAACCTCTGACTCCTGGGTTCAAACGATTCTTGTTCCTCAGCCTCCCAAGTAGCTGGTATTACAGGTGCCTGCCACCACGCCCAGCTAATTTTTGTATTTTTAATAGAGATAGGGTTTCACCATATTGGCTAGGGTGGTCTTGAATTCCTGACCTCAAGTGATCTGCCCACCTTGGCCTCCCAAAGTGATGGGATTACAGGTAAGAGCCACCACACCCGGCCAGAACTGCTCCTTTTCTTTCTGGGATTCCAGATGAGCTGAGAAAAGCAGAATACAGCAGCAGTACACTCGCTTGTAGAGAATACTATTCAGGTAGGTTCTGAGCTTTCATTTGGCATTCTGTGATTTTTAGACTTTTAATGTATAATTTCAAAAATTCACCTGACGAAGCTCTACAGGATCCTATACAAGCTGGGAAGTCTTTGTAGGCTCTTAAGCATGGTAGATCCTGGATGCCAGAAAGAATAATTGCAGGATAGGCTTGTCATTACTTAAACTATTGTGGAGAAAATAAAGTTAGAATGTTTTTCTGTGTGATTTCCATGTACAAATATTTTGAACTATGTAATACAGTTACTCAGCTCTGCCATGAGAAAATTACATTAAAAATATACATTGGTATGTTACTTCCCTATAGTATTTCAATGAAGAATTTCCCTGTCCTCATGTTTCAGTCAAATCTTACAGTGTATATTTAAATAATCCATAGATGTATGTATATGGATATTATATATCAGTGTGCATATGCAATGTATTACGCTGTTATATTTTCAATTCTGTTGCTTATAAGTGTGTGTGTGTGTATATATATATATATAATATATACGTATATAACATTATATTGTACTATAATTTTCAATCCCCCTTGCTTTTAAAATAAAGTTCTCTCTTGAATTCTCACACTCCAAAAACAGGACTCACTCCAATTGTAAACACATGCCAAAAAGGAACACACAGGCTCAAAACAAAAAGGCTTACACACTGCTTCCCAGTAGGCCAGTAGGAAGAACTTTCTAGTGCCACAGCAGTCTGTCTGTGTTAGAGAAAGGTCTTTTTTGATTGTGTTGGCCCTTTGCTTTTTATTCAGGATTGATTACTACTGGATCTTTCCTAGAGCTCTGTTCACAATGGTTGTAAATGACTCAAGCTTTGGCACTCCCTCACTGAAGTATTTGCTTTAGTGAATTCTAAATTTCTCTGACAGAGACTACAACTGTCTCAGAATCAAACTGCCTTCTGTAGTAATTACTGAGCACATGGTACAACTGGAGTCCTTGATATTCATTAGAAAAGTGCAGAGGGTGGGTGATAAAAGAAAAGAGTAAAAATCTCAAGAAATTACTAGGTTTAGGTAAAATCATCACACTTCTTAGGAAGAATGATTTGACAGAGATACTCAGAAGGAATCAGCCCCTGAGTTCAGCCACATTGGGGTCTTGCTGGCTACTTAATCTCACATAGAAGAAAACATCAAACTGTCTTTGCTTACATGCTTGTAGGAAAGGCCAGTTTTCTTCCCTTTGAAATGCTCTCTGATGTCATGAGAATTCTATTAAATGGCCGCCTACTCTCAAAGAGAAAATGCGTTTTAACTTTCAGGGAGAAAACAGTGATCACACACTTACTGCAATGCAGTATTTTTGCAAACACCCAAGCATTCTGCAGTCACAGGAAACAGAAACCCAATTATAGAATTTTTTTAGCAGATAAATTGATTTTGTAGAATATTTATCCAACAGAACAGCTTTCATGCAACACTGCAACACACTATATTCCTTTCATATAAACCAGGTGCACTGCTACCCTCCACGTAAATAGTAATGTTTATAAACATCCAAATAAACAGTATGGATGGAGCAAATACAAAATATCACGTCAGGACTATATACGGTTATTTGTAAGTTCATCAAAACATCACAGTTTTTTAAACATTTTTGCAAAAGCATCAACTCAGGGTTTTTTTCTATTATAATTTTACTCTTCATTTTTCCTTAAAAGGCCATATATCCTTCTTCAGTACAAAAATGAGTTTTTAACTGGCTATGCCAATTTGTCTTTTTATAATAAATTTTAGAAACTCATTAAAGTACAAATATTTATTTTTTCCATAATGAGGTTTTCTACATTAATTAATCAATTGATTCCTTTAATAAGAAGTTACTGAAGAAACCAAGAATGGCAATAGACACTATGCTTTTGAAGTCATTATCATTTTGGAAACAATGAGTATTTCTATAAGGAGAGTTATGTAAAATATCTGATTTATTATTTTCTTTTTCTTTTAGAGTCAGAGCTCTTGCTGTGTCACCCAGGCTGGAGTGTAGTGGCATGATCATAGCTCTCTCAAGCTTCTTCCAACTCCTGGGCTCAAGCAATCCTCCCATCTCAGCCTCCCAAGTAGCCGGGACTACAGGCAGGTGCAACCTTCCTAGCTAATTTTTATTTTTATTTTTTGTGAGATGACATGAGGTCTCGCTATGTTGCCCAAGCAAAATGCTTGCTTTCTCTATTATTATAAGAATTAAGTTCGATAAACTAGTGTATTTAATACATTTACTATTTTAACATGATATTGAAGTTACAATCCACACTCTTATCTCTGTGGTATAACTGACATCTATTTTTGCCACAGCTTGAGCTACTTGATCTGAGTATTCAAATATATTAATTTGTAGGCAGATTTTCCCTTGGTATAACAGAGACTGCTAACCATTTACCAAAATCTTTTTTGATTTTGAGCATATAGCTAGAGTACATTTCTTAACTTCCCTTGCGATTAGGTGTGTCCAAATGACTGAGTTCAAACCAATGGCAGGTGAACAGAAAGAAGTGCTGTGTACACTTCCAAGATCACCTCAGGTACAGCTGCCTTTTGCTCCTCCTTGGTCTTTTCCCTTCCACTCGCTGGATGAAGAAAATGACAAAGCAAAGCCACACATGGAAGAAGTCTGGACCCTGGCTGACTACGAAGAGGACAAACAACGTTTCAACTGGAACACTGAACCTGGACTGTTAGGTGAGCAAGAAACAAAGTTATAACACATTTCTAGATCTGTTTGTTATAGCAATAAGCTAATCCTTTTGGTTTGAAGAAAAGTATAATGAGATTTTCCAAAAAATCGATGAGACTAATAGAAGTAGCAGGATTAAATGAAACATTTAAGTCACTGTCCCCAGTTTATTGCCTGCACAGCAAATCTTGACAGCAACTAGAACACCCTGTGGGAGGTGGAGTGGGAGAAGTGAGAGAGCAAACTTGAGGAAAGAATTTCCTGCAGCTCTTCCTGAATTTCTCTCTTCATGCCCTTCTCCGGTGTGGCTGGAGCAAAGATGGCCCAGCTTCTGGGTTGGTCCTTTTGTAACATCTGCTTTCTGGCCAATGTGCAGACAGAATGTGCAAACACATTCAGGGAATCTTAGGACAGCTTGATGTTTGCCAAAAGCAGAGTGAAAGCCCTCCTTTTCCTGAGATGGTAAAAAACAGAAGCCCTGCAAAGGGTCTATGTCTTGTCTCTCTAGGCCCTCTTCATTTGCCCTCATTGTCGTCACCTTTCTTTAGAGGAATGGGTGGCCCTTATTTTGTTAATTTATTTGCTCTTTAACGTATCTTTTCCTGCCTCCTCCAAAATTTTGTCATATATCCCTTCATGGTCTCACAATTCCAGCTCATTCTTCCTCCTTTTCTTGCTTTCTGACTACAAACCTAGTCTTTTTTCCTACCCAAAACAAACCCCCTTCCCTACCACACGAAAGGATGACAAACAGTAACCATCACCATAAAATCTATTTTGTAAATCTATCTCAAGGCTACAGTTTATTTCTTTTCACCTCTTTAATCCATTTACTTATCACGTACTCATTATTTTACTCATAACTTAGTAACAACTATTAACAACAATTTATTAAGTATTGTTTTGTTTAAAATCGAATAACATGGTTTTGGAAGCGGTGAAACTTTTGCCTTTGAGACTTCACCAACTGGATGGGAATAATGACACGCCAAGATGATTTTTCTATAGTGCAGATACATTTAAAAGGCTACCAGATGCCCCTTATTGCCTAAAGGCACAATTAATACCACTTTTTTAGGACTGGAGAAAAAGCTTCATAGAAGGAATGGCATTTGAATTGAACAGACATAGGCTTTTGGAAGGCAGACAAGGGGAACACGGGTATTTAGACAGGAGTAACGGAAATAACAAAGGTGATTGTAACATGAGAGAAACGTGGCATACAAAAATAAATAATTAAATTGAGGAAGTACAAGTCACCTGCTGAGGTTAGAATGAAGAAAAGGCAATCGAGTAGAAAGGAAAGACTGGAGATTGTCCAGAAACAGCTGCTTTGACGTGTTCTAAATGGCATTTAATATGTTTGGAGCTTTAGACTGTAGGAAAATTTGAAGTAGGAAAAAGAAATGATCTGATATACACTGAAAATTACACAGTGACAGCATGGAGGAGAGTCAGTTTATAAAGAATTTCAGGAAGAGGGAAACTAATCAAAGGCCACTGAAAGGTTCTGGTAGACGCCCTGGGCTGAGAGAGTAAGAGTGAGGAAGAGGATGGCTCAGATTTCTGAGATACTTCAGAATCTGGTGCCTGGCCAGATTTAGGAATTAAAGCAAGAGGATTAAACAATAGATTCTTGGATTTCTACTTGGATATCTTGATGGATAGCAACGGAGATACATTAAAACTTTGGGTGCCAGGAAGAGCACAGAGGGACATGTGTGTTTGTGATGACTGACGACAGCATATCTGGATGGGCATGGCCAGAGCATGGTAGAAACTTTGTGTTTGGTGGTCTCAGGACTGGAGTTGAAGATAGAGACTTTGTAGTTACTGTTGTTTTCCTGTCTCTTAATAGTCACTGAGAATCTATTAAGCACGAAGTATGACACTTTTTTGTTGTTCGTTCTTTCTTCTTGACTTAAATGTCATTTTCTGTAATAACAACCTTGGTTCATGATAGGCATGATTCCTTCTTCTAAATATCCTTCTCATTTTTCTCTGTTTCTCCACTTCTCCCCACCAATGTGAATGTTCCCTAATGTTCTTTGCTCTTTTCTGGCATTATTCTCTTCTCCATGGCCCTTCACTCCAAATAGTTCAGATACTGGATATGTAGATGAGTACCTAGTCCATAATTCCAGTCCTGACTGTTATCCTCAGCTACAGGTTTCTTTTCCACTCACTTTCTTGTCCACTGCCACATATTGAAGGTGTAAATACATATTAGTGATGCAAACCTCCAATTTTCTTTTGCTTCAGAATCTACTGTCTAATTCATTCTACATATCTTTGCCAGTGTAATCAAACTTCCTAACTCAAGTTTGATCACATCATTGCTCTGCCAGAAACCGTGTTGCCCACGGAATCCCCACTATCTAATGAATAAAGTGCATGCCCCTAGGTTAGGTTTTATAGCATCTCCACAGTCCTATTTCAATTTACCCCTTTTGACTCAACTCAGTCTACTACCTTACATAATCCAATTAAAATGGACTTGCTGTTTCTTTTAACACATGTTGCAGTTTCATGCTTCTACACAATCCCTTACTTGGATTTCTCATGCTTTATAGAACAGAGACTTGAACAAGGTAGGATTAAAATATTTTTTAATGAGTAAATAGAAAGATCTTTGCTTCATCACATACTCTTTTCTCTCCTGTAAAATGATGATTGGCTCGAAAATAAGTTTATATATTTGGTTTCATATTTCAGTGAGAATTAGGCAGGTATTATGCTGCAGTTAGATTATGACCATTAAGAAAAATGTTTCCTTGTTAACTACTTTTTTTTTTTTTGCCAACAACAGAAGCCTGAGGGACAAAAGGGGAACCGGCCAAACATACCACTTGTGGGAAAATGGCCATTCACCTCCTCAGGAACAGCCAGGTCCACAGGACAGTAGCTGAAGGGTCTGCCTGCAAAGTTCCTCATATCACACTGTATCCTCAAATTAAAATTCGTTTCAATGACCATAGGACTGAGGTTTTAAAGCATCCCAAACTCATAATCACATTCATGCCAAGTTTTGTAGAAGAGTGGTCTTTGGAACTATGTGTACTGAAACGTTGGTTTAAGTTGTGCATGTAAACACACAGACACCCACATACCCGCACATCTCTTGCTAAGTTCACATTTTTCATATTGCATCAAAGGGACAGGACAGACAGATGAATGCATCTTATAAGCAGTTTTATTTTTACAGGAAAATGTGGCAAGCTAAAGGCTGAATGCTAACTTTGCACCTGAAATGCTTCCTTAAGCTGCTTGTTCTGTCTCTAGATTTGTCTATGACAGTCATTTTGCTTTCCATCTATTCTCGCTCTCTCTCTCTCTTTTTTTTTTTTTTTTTTTTTTTTTTTTTTGCTTGTAGCTCCCTTCAATCTTGAAAAATGCTACTTTCTAGCTCAAGGGACAAGGAGAGCTTGAATAAGACTTTTAAGGGCTTATAAACATCCTCAGTTTCTGAGCACCAACCAATATGGAAGACCCTTGATCAGTAATAGGGTTTTCATGAGTTGACAACCATAAAATATACCTAAGTATGTGAAGAAGAAGGAAAAAATAGTATGTAGTGAACACTCCCTAAAGTATCAATTACACAAAAACCACAGTCAAGAAGTCCTTTATCCATTTGTCTTTCCCTTGGAGGCTGGCTATACTCCCTGCTCTTCTAATCTCTTAACATCCTACTCTTTGGCTCTTTATACAACAATAAAATTCAATAAAGGGGAATTTTGTGGAAGGGAAGACTTAGGGTATAAATAAACTGTACCATGAGATTTTTAATAGCTTTTGAGACTCCATTTCACTGATTATTCTTCCCTCTTCCCACCCATAGGTATAGGATCCTGGCAACTATATATGCACCACCTGGTCTATTCCATTGATCACAGCTTATTAGCTAAGCAGCTCAGGTCATTAAAAATTAATATACTGCTTGAAGCTGGCATTCATGAGAAAGCACACTTGAGAGTTGTGCTTGTGTAATGGGCAGTAGGGAAATCCAGTCTCTACGTAAAGAGTTATCTATAGTCATCTTGAATTAAAGAGAGCTACAGAGGGATCGGGCTGAGGAGCCCCAGAGAGATTGGGAGAATGGTGGCCTTAGTTCCTGGCTGATGTTTAGTTCCTGATTCTAGACCCTCATAAGATCTGTTTCTGAGCCCTTGGATTATGAGGTCCCTCAGCAACCATAAAATAATCTTCCCTATTCTGCTTAAGCAAAGTGACTTATAGCCAGTAAAAGAACTAATTGCATAGTAACCATGCCTGGACCACCATTTTTAAAAATTCTAAGCATTAGAAAAAGTGCTCATCAGCACCGTTTTTGTTTTCTTTTCCTATCTCCATTTGGTCAAACAGTTAAAAGACAAGACTTAATAACAGCACCCTCCTAATAAGAACTAGAGCCTTTTGAAGCAGGTGGTGCCCACCTCTGCCTACAGAATTCCAGCCCAAACAATCTGCCCAGAATTACTGAGAAATCAGTAGAATGTGCTGATGACTCAGCCTGTTAAGTAGGAGGGCTGTTATTGTTATTTTAACTCCTGCCAGAGTATGTGGGCAATTCTGCCTCTTTCTGTCTCTAGTTAACCATGAGAGATCCCTCTTCAAAACCTCACTCCTGGAATAGGTTCTTGTTCAATAAGAGCCAGAGTAGCTTGAGATCTGGATATGACTGCCAGCTGAGAGTACAGAATAGGATAGGCTTTTATAATGGAAGCATCTGATATCCTAATTTACCAATAGAATTTATTTTTAGAATGCTTAATCTGCCTTTAAAATTATTCACACAGAGTGCCACGGAGCGGAGTTGAATGCTGATGAAGTAGTAATCAGTGCAAGTCAAAGTATTTATTTTCAGAGAGGATGGTGAAAATACCAGGTTTTCTTTCTCATTTCCTTAAATGTTGGGGTATTGTGGTTCTACTGTTTGTCTTTCTCTTGCCAAATGTTCTCAATGATATAAACACTCATCAAGTGCTTCTCCTAGGAATATTATAAAAATAAAACAACAACAACAACAAAAACCCAGCCTATTTTACAGAAAATTATCTTAAAGGATAAACTTTGCTCATCTATGAGTGATGAAGAGATATAAATCTATTCTGAAGATAAAGTAAAATCTAAACTATGTTGAATGTGGTAAATCTTAGTATTATTATTTAGTTAAAAGACTGCAAGGAATAATAAATATTTTCTGCTCTTCAACTGGCTTTCTCATCCAGCTAATTAGTTCCTGATTTGTCTATGTGCATTTTTCTTTCTTTTGGTATTATACATTATGGCTTGCAATTATAAATCAGCTAAGTAAAGTTTCTCATAATGCTATAAAATCATGAGTCAAAAACATGAAAGTGCTTTAGCATTGCAGATGTGATGGCCTCTGTTGAAACAAACCAAAGGAATCCTTAAAAGGGCAACGACTATCACTGTTCTGCATTAAAGGTACTCTGTGTGCAGAGCATCTACCTACATTGTTCCATGGTAACCCTTGCATACCTAGTCATCCCTTCAGCAAGTGAGGGTCCATCCACCAGGATAGGTGGTAGTTCTAGGGGCTGGTAATACAGCTCTGAACATCATAGTCTCTGCCCTCCATGAGAGGAGATCATGTCGAGATGATGTAGGTAGAAGATGCCAGTATATGTAGCATCTTGTTGGCCATTGTAGGAGTGTGGGCTTTATTTTTGACTATTACAGGCAGTCATTGGTGGATTCTGCATAGGAGAGTCATATCAATTGATTAAGATGTTTTTAAAAGATAATTCTGACTTCCATGTGAACAATAGACTGTAGAAGAACAAGACTGAGTACAGGGGATTATGATAGTAGTAAACATGAGAGACAGTGGATGTGAATGATATAGGTAGAGATGATAAGGCATGATAAGATCCTGGACAGGCATGAGCTTGGTACTGTAATTATCTACTCTGAGTCTTAAAGAGATTAAATCATGCCTTTAACAGGTGGTGGTTGTTAGAAACAAACAAACTTTCAGAGTTGCTAACCACTGCACTGTAATATTTAAGGTTTTTGTGTGAAAAATATCTCGGCTCACTGCAACCTCCGTCTCCCGGGTTCAAGCGATTCTCCTTCTTCAGCCTCCTGAGTAGCTGGGATTACAGGCACGTGCCACCATGCCCGGCTAATTTTTTATTTTTAGTAGAGACGGGGGTTTCACCATGTTGGTCAGGCTGGTCTCAAACTCCTGACCTTGTGATCTGTCTGCCTCGGCCTCCCAAAGTGCTGGGATTACAGGCGTGAGTCACCGTGCCCGGCCGAAAAATATGTGAATTCTACATAAGTTAGTAAGACTCAAACTTCAAACACATTTAGAAGTACATGTGTTAGGATAGAAGTATTCAACTCTAAATTCATGGAATATGAGAATTAGTAATATTAGCAAATGATTGCAAAGATTTTGTCATTTGCAAAACATTTTCACTCCTATTATCCTATCCAGTTTAATTGAATTGGCATGGCTAGGCAATTTCAAAGGTAATCACCTGGTAAGCAGTGTGAGGATATCACAGCAAAATAAAAATGTCTAATTAAATAGTCACATTTAGTGGTATCACTAAATTAATCTTCGTGGTTTTCAATAGACTGTTTCTCATTTTAGGTACTGTGTCTTCCTTGCTTTCCTAACACTGGACCTCAACTCACATAAAAGGATCCCAATAAATATTAGTGGCATGAATAAAATTTCTATATATGTGACAAACAGATTAGGTTTTTCCAATTTATTTTCTGGTAGGCAGAATAGCTTCAGAGCCTGAAAGGGATGAGTTTGAATGCAGGCTCTGCAATCATTATATGATCTTGAGTAAGTTACCTGAGGTATTTGGGCCTTATTTGCCTCCTATGCAAAATGGTAATGCATTTCTGACCTAAGAGACTTATATAAAATCTCAAATTTACTTACTCAAATTTGCCCAAAAAGGTTAGTCTTCTATTCCTCTTCCTCCCCCAACTTTGACGAAATAATTTACTTCTCTCAGAAAATAAAAGTTGGGAGAGAGTCTATGTCTACTATTTCACTACCATATACTAACATTTCTTTTACCTTAAACAAATTCTAAAATTAGCTATAGTGTTAGAAAACATTTTGAAAAAAAATTTCTTTTTTAGTTTCCTCCATTATTTTCTAGAATATGAGCAACTAACATAGGCCAGACCAAGATATTTCACTTTTAAGTATCTTAAATTCCAAAGGTAGTAATTTATACTATATTTGGGAATAGTAAGTGTTTCATGTATAGGGAAATAAAACAGATTCTAATTATTGTGTTATAGCAAAAGAATGAAAATCATGAGTCCCATTAGATTAGTAAGATCCTTACAAACCAAATAAAAAAATGTTTTTCTAGTTGAAAAAAATAAAACATAAGCAGGATTGGCATGATATTATATATTAAAAACTTTGAATTCCTTATACATAAATCTCAAATAAGTTTTGCAAGCCATGCTTAAACCATTTTAACATTAAACCTTTAAAATGCTGAAAGTTATTTAGAAATAATAATTAATAATACTAGGCACCAGAAGATTAAAACATTAAGATGAGTCAACTTTATAACAGAAGGTGTCAACCAGATCTTCATGCCTCGATATGAAAGAATCTCTACATATAATATTGGGTAAAGATGAGATGCAAAAGAATATCTACAGTGTGATGCCCTTCATGTAAACTTTTAAAATGTTAATAATTGTTCAACATTTGTTTCTTACACATGTCATAGCAGTGTTAGAACACACACAGGAAGGTTATATGATCTTTAGGGTTTTGACATCTCTGGAAGAATGGAAGAAACTAAAAAGGAAGCAAGAAGAGCTTTGATGACTTCTGTGATTATTTTTTTAGACAAGATTTTAATATAGCTGCATGTTAGCATTTGTTTAATCTGTGTGGTGGATGCTTAGGTATTTGCTGTAATATATATACTTTTTTGAGACAGAGTCTTGCACTGTCACCTGGGCTGGAGTGCAATGTTGTGATCTCAGCCACTGCAACCTCCACCTCCCAGGTTCAAGAGATACTCCTGCCTCAGCCTCCCCAGTAGCTGGGATTACAGGTGCCCACCACCATACCTGGCTAATTTTTTGTATTTTTGGTAGAGATGGGGTTTCACTATGTTGGCCAGGCTGATCTCAAACTCCTGACCTCATGATCTGCCCACCTTGGCCTCAAAGTGCTGGGATTACAGGTGTGAGCCACCACACCCGGCCTATAATATTTTTTTATATTTTGCTTTGAACATCTTATAAATTTTCTTGCTTAAAAACAAATAATAAAAACAAGAAAGTGAATACTGCTGTGGCCAATTTAAGATTATATATTCAGTACTTCTAATTTAAAAAAACTAAATTGAAATATATTTCCTAGAATAAGAAATCATTCATTTATAATCTTTCCATAATTTTATTATGCTTTTATCATAGGAATTTTGAGTTTAAAGAAAGATGTAAAATAAAGGAAAATATTATTTCTGCTTGTAACTGAGCTAAAGCATATATATTCCTTTATTTACTCATGCAAAAATTTTGTGAGGAACAAATGCAAACATAAAAGTTTATCTGCTATGCATTTATAGCGCGTTCAGTAAATGCACTGTTATTTTTATTCCATAAATTTTGATAAAAACTACTCAAAATGTAGGAAAGTCTGATTGCTAGACATTTCTACCACAACATGAAACTACTCTCCTAATAACAGCTGGGGCTGGTGTTCTGTCCAGTGCCTGCTTCCAAAGCCATGTATGCAATCTCAGGTGAATCCCTGCATCCACCTGCTTCTCTCTCTGCCTCATGCCCCTAATCTCTAAAATGGGGATGATCCCCATATCTACGTCATAGAACTGTTGTAAGAAGTAAATGAATTGATTTATGCAAATTAAGTCATGTAGGATCATGCTTGGCATGTAACAGGTACTGAAGAAATACCGTTGGCATTGTCAACCAAGGCAGGAGAGACAGGCTGAATTCAATCCTGATTTAAGAGAAAGAGCTTGTCATTTTCTTACTATTAAGTCAACTCAACACTATGAAGTGCTGTTTTAATAACACTGAATTTATTAGCTATAACTATTAAAATATTAGAAATAACTATTTATAAGTTATTTCTCCATTACTAAAATGAATTGTTACTTATTTAAAGATTTTAAAAAACAAAAGGTTAGCAAAGAGTTATTTTTCACACTTGTAGGTAACTCTTTCAGAGTAGAGAGAGTCTTACCTATTCAAGGAAGTGGTAAAATATAAAGTTCGTTGTGTCGTGTTCTCAAAGGGTTGATAATATTTTCTGGCTTCTTTCTGTTAAAAAAATAGAAAATTAATAGTTTAATCCCTGATCCATATACATTAATCACATCAAGTAGCTCAACAACAGAATTCATCTTGTGGCTTTCTCTTCTGGCAACTATAAGACTATGAGATGGATATCATCATGGTTCTTTATAGTGGTCATACACTGAGCATTTATCACTGGCTGGGAACTATCACAGATAGAATAGAAAAGTGAAAATGCTAACTGCTGCATGCTTTTTCTCACTTTGAAAACCACTCCAATGGCACTTTATAGGTATTACATCCAAGGGAGAATAAATTTTTAAATTGTCTTCAGCTAATAAATAGCAGACAATCATATTTTCTCCCAAGAGAATACATTCATTCTAGTAAATCATTAATTATATCCAGTAATCTTTAAAGGACTGGGCCTCCAGCCCAGTCTGCATTGATTCTCTCCAGCACAGGATGGAGAGGAATTTTTTAACAACTCATTAAATTTTCTCCATGGAGTACTAAACTTATTTTGACATTCAGAATCCTAAATGTCATTCTGGATTAGCAGTTCTGCTTAGGAACTCCACCTAGAACAATACAGAATACTTCTTACTGAAGTGGTATGTAGAAATAAACAGAATTACTAGAAAGCACGAGGCTTGTTTTCTACTTCATAAGCCATTCAGGTGTAACTATCTTCATCTATAGAGGACTACAAAGGACGCACAATACATAAGGGATTGCAGAGCTGAGGGCCATTTTATAGTCCAGCTCTCTTATACTAGGTATCTAAATCTATGTATCTCCATGCGTTTTGTCAGGACCTGTGTGATTTTACTCCTGGTAGAGTGGACCCCGTCATATCTTCTAGGAAGATGTTGCTCTACAGGTAAGGAACCCAGACTCAAACTCTGACACCTATTAACTCTTCTTTAAGACCCACTAGGAAATGCAAGTTGGAAAGACAAGATGCAGATGGCTCAATTCTTCTGTATGAACCTCTAAGGACCAATGTGTATATGGATATGAGCAGACATAAGTTTGATTCAAAAGCAAAAAATATGGTCTGGGCCAGAGCTGTGTATGAAGTGCTTTTACATGTGTTAGCTCATTTAATCTGTGAATATTTACACACAATGTGCAGCAGCAAACAAGTCCTATTAGTACATATTAAAGTTAGAATGTCTTAACATTTAAATAAACATTTAAAAATGTCTGCAGGCAAGAAGAAACATGGTAGAATTCTCCATTCCCTGTAATAATTTGATAACTATTTTAAAAAGAAAGGTCTGACCGTCCAAATCTTTGCATATAGCTTTTTTTTTCTTTAGTCCAGCTCAGTGGTTCTCACATTTGGAATATATATAACAGTATAATACAGAGTTCTATGCACAATAACTTCAGACTATTTAGAGAATTTTTAAGGACAATTTTGATTATTAGCAAATTAAACCTTCTAAGTTGGTTTTAGAACTAAAGTAGAATGGTAGGCCAGCTCTGGAGCTTATTTGGATAGAAAGAGTCTTTGTGTACTTAACAAATGAATGCTGGATAGAATATCTGTTTTATTTTCTCTTGAAATTATGTATTTTTCTTAAATTTCTTAAAGTGCTTGTTTTTTGTGCTTCATCTTCATGATTTTTAAGTAAGCACATATGCATATGGATAAGTGTGTGAGTACACATTCTATGTGTATGTCTTTTACCCTAGTAAAAATAAGAAAAAAAATGAATTTTATAAAATATGAATCAGTAAACTATGGTCCATGGGTCAGAACCATCCTGCTGCTGCCTTTTTTAAAAAATACAGTGCTTTTGGCACATAGCCACTCCCACGCACTTCCACGTTGTATATGGCTGCTTTCATGCCATAATGCCAGACTTGAATGATTCTGACAGACTATATGGCCTGCAAAGCTCAAAACATTTACTATCTGGCCATTTACAGAAAACATTTAACCTATCTGTTATCAAAGAGCATGTTCATTATTTGGGTAATATTAAAAACAACACTAAAAAAAATCCTGTCTTTTAGTCTTTCCAAAAATTAACTCAGTAGTTACATATGAATGAAAGTGAAATTCCAACCCTAAATACTTAAAAGCTTATTTCATCCCAAAAGAATTGGGAAATTATTGGCCAAAGGATGAGACGATTATTAAAAAATTCAGGGTACCCAATACCTATCAGTCATAAAAAGAATGGCCCATTTTCACATAAGCTTGACTTTTATGAGGTTTTGTTTATTATAAAAAATAGAAATAACTATAATTTTCTAGACTTTATGAGAAAGAGATACATACTCTCAGGGATTTATTTTTAAAGAGCAACTTATGGCCTATTCCACAAGGCATACGAAATTTTAAATTAACATAGGATAGTTAGAAGTGATCCTTTGTACCCATATAAATAGCATTAAATTACTTTAACACTAATTTTTTTACAACATTAACAACATAGTTTTAACATTAGATTCATTATATAAAGTGGCTGCAACATGCCTAAAATAATATTAGCAAACATTTATACATAATTTATTGTGTGCTAGACAATGATCCAAGCACTTCATATATATTAAGTAATTTATTCCTCACCATCATCCTCTATTATTGTCCCCACTTTACAAATGAGAAAACAGGCCAAGAGAGTTTAAGTGTCCTTCCCAGCATCACAAGGCTAGAAAGTGCCCAAATCTTTTAGCTACATACCAACTCCACAGACACTGAGAATTGGTTTTAGGTCTTCAACTCTGGCTAGAGACAATTTTGAGCCTAAGGGCTTGTGGCTTCTCTGAGGAATGATATTACACTGATGGCAACTTTTAATTTACTAGAATTACCTACAAAGTACTTTTTTTACTCAGCACATTCAGCTTCTTGAACAAATTGTAGTATACTCAGCCACAGTTCTGCCTCCCATTATATCATTCCATTATTTCTACCAGGTGTGCTTATGCTACCTTCCAGAACCTTTTAGAGCCAGATATGAACACTGTTGAGAATCATGACTTACAACACATGACAAAGTCAACTGCTTAACAATTATATTTAAGAGTTAGCCTACACAAGGCAGAGAATAGGATGTACACTGCACACTGGCATCACAAAGTAAGCTGAGTAAATCATTTAATGAGGAACCCAAAATACTTGTTCAGCTATAAACGAAGTCAGCTTTTATTAGCTGGTTACTCCGTAAAATAAGATATGCATGCAATGTGCTTAGGCTGCATATATGTTTGGCTGTTCTCATATTTATGTCCAAGTTATTTGCTACCTACAGCATTGAGGCTATAATGATAAATTCATGCAGATTTTCAGAGTCTCCTGGAGAAAATGTTGCCATGTTGTGGTTTCCTCAACGGCTGTAAGAACTCAGGTTTTATTAAACAACAAAGTCATCAAGATAAAATCTTCCCTGGATTGTTGAGCCAGGATATACTCTTTAGTTTCCTTCGAAACACATTGTAAGTATCATTTAGTTTTTAAATCTCATGTTTGATAGACTTTGCCAGATAAGCAAAACATCAGTCGGGCGTGGTGGCTCATGCCTGTAATCCTAGCACTTTGGGAGGCTGAGGAGGGTGGATCACCTGAGGTCAGAAGTTCAAGACCAGTCTGGCCAACATGGCAAAACCCCCTCTCTATTAAAAATACAAAAATTAGCTGGGCATGGTGGTGCATGCCTGTAATCCCAGCTACTCAGGAAGCTGAGGAAACAGAATCACTTGAACCCGGGAGATGGAGGTTGCAGTGAGCCGAGATCGTGCCATTGTACTCCAGCCTGGGTGACACAGCAAGACTCTCTCTCAAAAAAAAAAAAAAAAAAATCAAGATGCCTGAAGTTGCTGGAATCCTGTATTCTTTCTTTCTGTCTTTCTGTCTTTCTTTGGTTTCACCCTTGTTGCCCAGGCTGCCAGGCTAGAGTGCAATGGCGTGATCTCGGCTCACTGCAACCTCCGCCTCCAGGGTTCAAGTGATTCTTATGCCTCAGTCCCCAGAGTAGCTGGGATTACAGGTATGTGCCACCACGCCCAGCTAAGTTTTGTATTTCTAGTAGAGACAGAGTTTCACCATGTTGGTCAGGCAGGTCTTGAACTCCTGACCTCAGGTGATCCATCTACTTCGGCCTCCTAAGATGCTAGGATTACAGGTGTAAGCCACCAAGCCTGGCCTCCGAATAGTGTTTCTAAAGGCTAAGCTTAACCTCAATGACTAGCATTAAGCTATTCAGTCAATTCTCAAATAAACAACAATAACATTGTACTCCACCTCCACTATCAATCTGACCTACCAAGATTTTGAGCAATTCATGTAATTTAGTGCACTTGTCCAGGATAACAATATTTTAGCTATTGAAGACTGAATGTCCAAAACAGTTGGGAAAATATCTATTATTCAAGCAGTCTTTTAAATAGGAAAGCAGATGCCAACATAAAATCATTTAGTCTAACATGCTACTAAACCAGTTCTACTCCCTAATGTGCTTATTATAGAATTAGTTATCTACATATTTGTGAGTAGAAGGAAGTCATGGTGTCCCAAAGGCACTGATAATTGAAAATATCAGAGAATGATCTTTCTTTCTTGGAGCTTTTGTCAAAGTTCCTTTTAAGAGAAACTTATGTTTCTTGCAAAGGAAACTTATTTCAAAATATAATTTGAAAGGATTAAGAGCTGTTAGCAAATTCCTATGCAAATAACATATGGTCTTCAGTGGAGCAGAGAACTTGGGTAAGGTAGACAGTAAGAATTATCTCCTTTCATCTCTAAACCCAGAAGCTCCAGGCTATTGTAGAGGACTAACGGGCTGGGTTAAGCTGATTTAGTAGAAATGATCTAGTCTTGTCTGAAGCATCTCAACATAATTCAAGGCAGTAAAAATAGTATACAAGTAGGTGAAGGATAAACAATTAGATTAGTCAGAAAAGTAAGGCTTAAGTCTCAGAGGCTTTACACAATAAAGGTTATAACCTGTTTACACAAATCCTGATGTGAGTAGGAAGACTCTCCAGGCCACTTCTCTCTCATGCAGTGACAGAGCTCTCTAGGTACATCCTTCTTGTGGCTCAACTCACAGCCTTCAGGATTACAGCAGCAGCAAAAGAAGACATCTGGAGGGCTGAGCACAGGCTCTTAAATGCCTTAATGAGGAAGTGACACACATCACTTCCTCTTACAGCCCACTGTACTGAACATGTTGCTTAAATGCAAGGGGTGGAGAAACATGGGGGATAAATGGATATCTGATATCTGGTGAGCAATAAATATCTCCATCTCAAGGATGAATGGGTATGATGGGCTGGGTCCTGTAGCTATGTTAGGATTCTTCCTTGTTGACAAAGGTTGAAAATAAATAACAATGCCTGGTGATATCAGCTTAAAACTCACTTTGCTAAATTGGTAGCTTATGCTGACTCTGATTAAATATATATACATATAAACAAATATTTTATTTTATAAATAAAATATGAATTGGCACTGTAATATAGGGAACGTTGAGCAGCAATGGGGCACATGTATCAGTATTTTTGCTTATTTATATACTACACTGCTGTTTTCTGCTCAGCATCAGAATATAGCTGAAGAAATGTAACACTACTTGACAGAAAGCCATCTGTTCATTTGTCTCTAAGTTGCATACAAAACACCAAACTTTTATTATTTATTCAATTAGCAGATAAAATTATATATATTTATCATGTATAATATGATGTTTTGAAATATGTATACATTGTAGAATGGCTAAATCAAGCTTGATATCATATGTATTACTTCACATAGTTGTCATTTTTTGTGGTGAGAACATTTACAATCTATTCTGTTAACATTTTTCAGGAATACAATATATTGTTATTAACTACAGTCACCATATTGTATAATAGATCTCTTGAATTTACTTCCCCTACCAAACAGAAACTTCGTTATCTTTGAGCAACATCTCCCCAGCATACCCCCAACATCACTGCCACAGCTCCTGATAACCACCATTCTACTCTCTACTTCTATGAGATCAACATTTAAAGATTTCACATACAAGTAAGACCATGAGGAATATGTCTTTCTGAGTCTGTCTTATTTCATGTAACATAATGTCCTCCAGGTTTATCCAAGTAGTTGCAAATTTTTTTCTTTGTTATGGCTGAATGATATTTCATTATGTATATATCCCATATTTTATTGATCCATTCATCAGTTGATGGACACAGGTTGATTCCATATCTTGGCTATTGTGAATAATGTTGCAATCATCATAGGAGTGTAGATATCTCTTTGACATTTGGTTTCAGTTTCTTTGGATATATATCCAGTAGTGGGATTGCTGGATCATATGGTAGTTCTATTTTTAATTTTTTGAAGAACCACCAAACTGTTCTCCATAATGGCTGTACTAATTTATATTTCCATCAACAGTGGGCAAGTGTCTCCTTTTCTCCACATTCTCTCCAACACTTATATATTGTCTTTTTGATAACAGCCATTCAAACAGAACACCAATCTTTAAAAAATGGTAGAATAAATTAATGCAGGTACCCAGGTTCATGTGGTAGGAGAAAAAAATTGGAGAGAGGCTCAAAGGAAATTGAGCAGGTTCACATGTTGTCGTAAGACTTATCTTGCCGGGATACCACATAGTGATTTATTAGTAGCACTCATGGTCAAAATTATTTTTTCAAAATGACAAAATATAAATTTCTCAGCTTAGCCTCAAGGACTTTTGTATTGTGACTACAATGTATTCATCCTGAACTTTCTACTGTTACAAACCCTCACATTTTCTTAGACTAGTTCTTTTGCAGACCTATTAATTCCATCTTTGTATTTTTCTCCTCTCCTGCAAGGTCCTCTTCTTTCTCTTTCTTTCTGCCTGTCTCCTCTGCTCCTTTTGTCTCTTCCTTCCTCTTGATTTTTCAACTCCTTATTTAACTGAAGTGTTCTCCATGAACTCTTCGATTCCCCAACCACTCCAGGAATGTTTCTTTCACTGATGTATGGTTCTCGTTTCTTATATTTATTTGATATTCATGTAAACTACAATATATAGTTAATTAAGGCTTCATGAAATTGTAAGAAATTCATGTCCCTGACCTTTTTTTTTCTTTATTTCAATTCTAAAAGCCATTAGTATTTATTAAATATGTAAACTACTTTTTGATAGCATTTTGAATTTAAAATAAAAACATATGCAGGATAAAAAAATGTTAAACCATATACGTACACAATAGATTTCAAACAATGCTGCCAAAGTGTCTCTGAAGAGTTATTAATTTATACCCTTTGTGGACTGTATTATATCCTCCCCCACCCCCAACATTCATATATTGAAGTCCTTACTGCTAACGTGATTACATTTGGAGATAAGGCCTTTAGGGAGGTGATTAAGGTTAGATGAGGTCATAAAGATAGGGCTCTAATCCAACAGGACTGAGTCCTTATAAGAAGAGGAGGAGACACCAGATCTCCTTTTCTTTCCATGAGCACAAAGAAGCAAAGAGTCTCTCCTTGACCAAACTTTAGCCAGGCTTCTCTGAGCTCTCTTCTTAACTAGAAGACTTGACTTTGGCTCCTTTGGATTCTTGGAGCAAGAATCTAAAATCAGTTTAGAGAGAATCCCCCACCCTTGACATTTGATCACGCTGGGTATCTGATTGAGTTTCTTATCCTCCAGCTTTGATGTGTGTCTTTGGTCTGCCTTCAGCAAGAATCTGATTAGGTAGGTTTGGCAAGAATCAACCTACACTTGATGCCTCTTGGTAATTTTTCACCCATAACCCCCTCACTCTGCTCATTGGCTAATGTTGGGGCTCAGAAAACAATAACCCAAAATGAAGGCCTAGGAAGCAGTTTCTTTCTGATCTTCTCCTGTCCTTTTGTCTATCTCTAGGCCTCATTCTTCTCCAACACAAGTCATAGAAACTAGAATCCCTGTTCCTTAAGGTGGGTCATAGAAACCAGAGCCCTCTTTTCCCAAAGTCAGCCATAAAACCTAAAAATATCATTATGACTCCCCACACTGTATCCCCCATCCCGCCTTTCTGTGTAAGAATTTGCCATAAAGAAATGCTTTGATCTACCTTGTTTAATGGAAGGAAGGAATGTTGCACAGAGGCCATGAAGAATCTGAACAGACAGGTCTTGCTGGGTCCCCCCGCCTAGTCTATAATTATGAGATAATATCCTTTTTGTCCAACCATATTTCTACATGGCTGCCTATGCTTCACTGAACCTAAGCCCCCCAGCCTGTGGTGTTCTTTATGGCAGGCTGGGCAGACTAATACATACTCATCCCACTGTCTATTTTCAGACACTATCACTAACAATGCATATTGTGTATTTGTTTAATGTCTGCCCCACTCCACCCCAACTAATGTGTATACTCTAGAAAGACTGACTGTTTTCTTATTACACTACACCCCTTGTTTGGTAGCAAATACTTGTTCAGTAACTATTCAACCAATGAATGAACAGCTGAGAGACGTATTGCAAAAAATGGAAAGGTGTGCTCAGTACTGGTTAACTTTGTGTAGATGAGCTCCTCTGTTATAAGCAATGAAATCTTGCTATACCCTGCTTAATGCTTCCCTGATTTGTAAGTGGGTTAGTAAAGGTCTAATGAATGAGTTAATGAATGACGTAGTTTATTTTCCTAACCATTCTGACTAGGAATTAATCAAATTTGGTCTTTGAAGTAAAAAGAACTCAAACTTTAGATATAGAAGCTGAACTTGAACACTTACTGGCTGTGTAATATTGGTTAAGCCTTCTAACTTTTTGGATCATCACTGTTAGCAATAAAATTGATGTAGGATTTTTCTTCTTGATCACTTTGCAAGCTGGGGACCCCGGGCCAGTGATGCCCCACCTGGGCCTCACTAGGCCATGCTTGTGTGTGCCAAGGCCACAAGCTGGTTATAGCTGTGTTATAGCTGGTACCTCTGTTTGGTGGTTCCCGAGCTCTTGTACCATGCCCAAGAAGAATGAGGATACACAGCAGGACATTGAAGCGTGGAGAGGGAGAAGAATTTTATTGAGCAATGAAAATAGCTTTCAGTGGACAGGGGATGTGGGATAGGGGAGAAATGGTGCCCTCACCCGAAGGTGGGAAAGTTCTGCCTGTGTGGCTGGGTCTGGGCCTTTTATGAACTCAGAATGGGGAGTGTGTGCTGATTGGTTTGTGAGTATGCAGAAAAGCTTAAAGTGAAGATACCACTCAAAGGAGGGCATGATAGCATAGAAAAATCAATTAGGAAAGAGTAGGTATATGTAAAATAGGTGAAGGGTAGGCACAAATCAGAGGAAAGCGCACTAAACAGGAACACAAGTTCTCAATCCAGTCAGAGGATTTAACATGTAGCTTGGCTTTCAGGCTTTTTACTGTCTTCGGCTTGGAGGTGGCGTTTCACCGGGGACCTGCCTGTATCTGCCTAGGCATTTGGCTGCCTCCTGCCACTCTCAAAATGAAGACTATTAATGAGACTTCCCCTATAGAGTCATTGTAAGGATTACATAAAGTTATATGTTTGGAAAAATGCTTTGACAATTGTGGAAAATTGCAAAGTGTCAATATCAGTCTTTAAATGATATTTTCTTTTACCACTTAGCACTACTGTATTATCTCATGAAGAAACTAGGTATTAACTTGAGCAGAAACCCTATGGTTATTTTAATCTGTGGTTTCTTGGCTTCAACTCTTCTCTTGAGTTTTGCTTAACATCTAAAAGCCTTTTGTAAGGTTCTTAAGACATGAGGTTGTCTTTGAGAAGGATTGTGGCAGAGAAAGAACGCATTTCACTCACTAATAGCCTTGAGTTCACCTGCTGGGAGCCATCTGTCAACCTGCAGCCACATACAGAGATTTCACTGAAGAGGCATTCGGCTGAACACAGGGGACAGAGCACCAGGCTATTTTTGAGGTCAACGTGAGCATTCAGATTCCAGCTGTGGTCTATAGAAACTGGAATTCAGCTGACTGATGATGTTTTTTGCCTGAGCTCCACACCCTCTGACATTCCTGATCGTGGATAATTTGGAAAGGCATGCATTTAGGAAAGGGGACCACACCAGAGAGAGGGAAATACAGGCTGTGCTACAGTCATCTGAGCAGAAAAATGAAATTCTGACAAATCTACTTTTAGCATGAAAAGCTAAAAGCTCTAGAAGCAGAGGAAGTTCATCGACTCACTGGAGTCTTGCGGAAGAGTTTACAATTAAGGGTGATCTCCAGCTGATTTGAGTTCTTTATCTTCTGCTGCATGTTGTTCAAGAGGCAATGCATGATCACTTAATTAGCACAGTGGGGACTAAGCTGGCACCCTCCCCTCCCCCTTCTGTGATACTAATGTGAAATATCTTTTCTTCCTCCCCAAATTATTTTCTTAACAGTGGCAGCCAACATTTTATTACTAAAGCGATTGCTTGTAATAACGCATTTTAAAAAGTGAGTTTCTCTTAATTGAGTGAGAATATTACTTACTGGCTCAGAAAATATATCAACATAAAAGCAAGCCTTGAAATATATCTCGATCTATAATGTTATCACTCCCAAGTGTTCTGGAAATTCTATAACCATATTCCTGAGTGCATAATATGATAATTCTCAAATCAATAATCTTGGAAATATACATGATGATATATCATTAAGATTCTACCAAAGAAAGATGGGGGACTTGGCATAGAGATTGCTGGAAACAAAAACAAAGAAGAGGCTGCCTCCCTATAAATAGGAGGCAAAGGAAGAATAGATGAATCATCTATTGGGGGTTTCTTTTAAGATGTTTTCCTCGTTCTTCTGTTATTCAGTCAGTGGCCATGCAATTCCCCATCCTTTGTGCTCTTTTCAGAAAGATGTTCTATTATTATGTTGTATTTAATTGGCTTAGATTTAAGTAAACAGGCACCACTGAGATGAGGGGCAGTCGGAATGGAGGAAGGAGGAGTGCAGAAATCAACACAGGAGGAGGGGCACAAAGAGACAGAAACTGCAGAGTGGGGAGGACACCAGAGAACCCGGGCATTGCACGGTATTGAAAAGCTTTCATCTAAAGCTCCTAGTAGCCACTTAATGTCTATAATTAAGCCACATGAGTCTGATTTATACAAAAACATAAAAATAAGATTAAAGCCTGGGCTTAAAAACACAGCAAGTGAGCCAATGAGGTTGCAAATATTCCAGCTGCTCTAATTATTGTTGTTCCAAAGGAATGTGAGGGCTGTTGACTCCTTGCTTGGGTTACCCTGGGCTCGTCTGGGACTACATCAGCTACCTTTGGTATTTGCAGGCACAAAAGTTTGCTTCAGAGGTAGGTTTCAACCTCACACTGTTAGAATGTTTTTTAGAGCTATGTTAAGCCAATGAATAGTTGACAGACTTCAAAATGTTTTATCTTTTAAAATTGTGGCTCTGAATAACTATACTACAATAAAAAAGTCCCACTCTGAGTCTTTCAGTGGTCTAATTCCAAGACACCAAGTGTAGAGCTCTTCTCCGCTAGCCCCACTGAGCTCCTTGATCCATCCATCTGGGGCCTTCCCAAAACTGCAAAGCCAGCAACCTGCACTGTGTGCTCCCCACGGCAACTAGTGACTTGCATGATTTCACCTTTAGCAGGGGCTTTGGCTCTAAGGAAGATTTTGGAGGCACTTTCTTAACGAAGGACTACAGATCCTATAGTTTAGTGAGTTTTGTTTTCTTTTGTTTATGATTTTATTTTTGCCATTTCACATTCATTCTATTTCCTAATGTTAATTCCAAACAGAGAGCCATTCAGCTAAAAGAAAACTCATGCAGCTATAGAAAACAGATTAAAATAAATAAATAAATAAATAAATAAATAAAAATAGAAATAAAAAACACGTTAAGAGACTGGAAGCCATTTGTGGCTTTCTCTTTGCCTCATGTTTTGGGTGGTTCTGTCTAGTTAGCATAAACAGAATATGCTTTCCCTATGCACAGCAAGTCTACTTCAAGCTCTGAAAATACTCTCACTGATTGTCTGGAGATCAACTGATGCGCACGGCGGGGGTAAGAGAACCTGATCTAATAGAAGGTAATTTTAGCAATAGTCTCCAAGAATTTATTACAGTAGCAAGCAGCCATGAATGGGCCATGTTTCATTAGATCCTGATATAACTTTGAAATAACACTAAAACCAGGAATACAGATTCCTATTGTGTTAATAAGAAAACATAATGCCACTGCTAAACCAAAAGATAAGGATCCTTAACTATCCAAAGGAAGTTATAGCATTTTCTGCTCTTAAATAAGATTTCCTGTAAAACTTGTTCTAATACTATGTTTCCATGTCATAGAGAAGTTGACTCATGACCAAAAAAGACATTTGCCATTCATTTCCCAAAATATTCTCAAATATTGATCAGCTATAGCATCACCTAAAAGTCTTGAAATAATGTATTTAATAGTTCTCTCATTCATTTAATACATTACTTGCTATAGCTGCTGGCTGAATAGCACTTTTCAACAGCATCATAAGAAATATTATTTCTGCTGTTATATGGCAGCTGACAAACTCAGCTACAACAGGCCCAGAAAAAAATTCTGGCTCCCAATTTCCTGAAGAGTTGGTTTTTAGCATTACATAAAGGAACGATCTTTTCTCTTAAATAATTTGAATTAAAACCATTTTTTCATAAAGAAATAAACTGTGAAGATATTTTAGAAGAAATCAGTGTTCTTGTGATAAAGCCACCTTAAAGTCAAATTGAATGTTTTTAACCCCTGACTTCATTACTGAAATGCA
Source organism: Homo sapiens (assembly GCF_000001405.40). Classification (NCBI taxonomy): domain Eukaryota; kingdom Metazoa; phylum Chordata; class Mammalia; order Primates; family Hominidae; genus Homo; species Homo sapiens. The sequence goes on along the minus strand of NC_000002.12, from coordinate 209,612,329 downwards.
AACATTTCAAAATTATAACTAGAAACTAGAAATAAACAAATAACTAGAAAACTTCTATCTTTTCACTCTCGAAATATTTTATGAATAGACCACATTATATTGGCAAAGAGCTCTTTTCTAGTAAAGGTCTATAAAATAGAGTTGATTTCAGAATTTGTTTTTAAATTCAGCAGTTTTATTATTAATGCCCAATAAAGGCGCTGCATGAAATGAAACGCAATTCATGTGATACAGCACACACATATCACAGAGCCATCTCTCTTGGGTAAAATGCTTATTAAAGCTCATGTCTTAAAGCAACCTAACAGACCTGTCTTTTTCCAGCTGCTTTAAGGAGTTACATGGAGTTTTATTTATCCACTTATTTATTTTTGGTAGTGATACACGCTAATAGGTTTTAGGGTTACTTTACTGTAATATTTTGTTTTTTCTTTATACTCCCTGCTTGTTAAATTGTAACAACTTGGAGCAAATTTTTCTCATTTTCACACTTTTTCTGCCTGTAAAGTGTTACCTCTGAGAGCTTCTTTTAGAAAGTGTCAGACAGTTGTGCTTGGTGAGAGAGGCTCATGTATTATACTTTGTTCTTTATAAATCTTTAACTTTGTTGATGATCATGGGTTTCAGTGGATGTTGACTAACACTGTTATGGACTCATATAACTCCACTCTCTAAAAGAAGCTTTCTTTTCCTGAGTACTTCTTATAGTACGGAACTAGCAGTAGGTAACTTATAGCAGTTACAGCAAGAGGCTTTATGACAGAGTATTAACAAAGCCAGATCTCTATGTGGCCAATTATTTAATTTCATTGGTCCATAATTTCTTCATCTTTAAATTGTAAATTATATTATATATATATTTTTTCAGTGTGCATTACATGGTACTATTATAACTAATGAATTGTATAAATTTGTTTTTTCAAAACACTGAACAGAGAAAGAATGTTGTTATTTACTATGTTACCTTTCCAAACATGTGTTGACACCAAAATCACCTGGGATCCTGGTTAAAAATCCAGAGTTCTGAGTTCTATTCCAGGGATTCTGATTCCAAATGTCTGTAGTGGGTCCAGGAATCTACATTCCTCACAAGTGCTCAATATAATCCCTGAGTATGATCTAAGGTCTATAATTTTTAAAAAAGAGAATACTGCTTTCAAGATATTAGCTTATATAATAGCTGTTAGTTTAAATATTTGGCGTCATTTGTAACTGCATTGGTTTAAACTTCTCTAAGTAGTATAAAAAGTGACCAAATATTTTTTCCTAGTAACTTATAGATTATTTTCCACTCTCAAAAACCCTAGTTTTTAACTTTTTTGTGTGTATAATAGACTCTTTGTAGAATTTAATGAAAGCTTTGGATTCATGCCCATGCAGGCATGACCTTTATTTTTTACAAAAGCTTTATATTATTTCTACAAAAGCTTCCTGGGTCCCATTCATATAGTGCCTGAGAGGAATGGCTCTCAAGTCAAAAGCACTTAGGCTAAAGAATTAGGCATTAGCTAATTGGAATTTAGAGAATGGTTTCTGTACCTTTAGAATTTATAGGTCTAAAACATGTTTATTGTATAATGGAAACATATGGCCTTTATATATTTATTATAATACTTCTTAAGTAGCCATGATTGCTTATTCCGTAGGAGAACTGGAAAGAATAGTTCTTCACAAAATTGAATTGGAGAATTCTAATAAGGAGGCTGTTTATCCTGTGAAAATAATACAAGTTTTTACTTTTGATAACAAGTTATTTGGTAAACACATAAAAGAAAACTTGAAATGCCACAATTCTACCACAAGTTTTGGCAGAAAAGATAACGTATCATCCAGCAAATTTCGCCTTTCTTAACACAGCTAAGCCCTGGGAGAAAAAAAAAAAAGTAAAAACAATACACATTTTCTTTTTGCTTGCATTATCTCTAGGATTAAAATACTTCAGTGGTCCAATACTCCTCAGAAAATGAGTAAAACCCTTCCCTTGTCCTGGAAGATTTGGCATCATTTAACCTTACTTTCCAGCCTCATTCCACACATGCTTCCCCTACCCTCTCCTCTCCTGTTACCTTGCCTCTGTCATTTCTCCTATAAGCCATGCTCCTATAGCCAGGGCCTTTGCATGTGCTCTTGCTCTGCTTGGAATGCTCTTCTCTACCCTTTTTACTTAGGTAATTATTGCTTATCCATAGATCACAGCTAAAATATCCTCCTTGACAAGGTCAGTTCCCCAATGTCTTCTTTATAGCTCTTGCCATGGTTCTAATTTTGTGTTTATTTATATGATTATTTAATAAAAGCTTATTCCCAATTAAACTGTGAACCTCATGAGGACATGAACCATAATTATTTTTGTTTATTCAGATCATAAACACTTAGTGCTCCATAAGTATGTATTACGCATATGAAAGAATGAGTAGAAAAGTACATGAATGTATGTGTTGTACCAACCCAGCATCTAAAATAATAAGAAATACAATAACTATGTAAGTCTAGGAATACCACTTTGGGACACAATCTCACATGTATTAAAGGAGGATACTGGACTAAATAACCACAGGGTTTCCTTTCAGTTTAAAAAAGAATCAATGACTCAGCAACTTAAATGTCCGTCAACTGATTAATGAACTAATAAAATCTGGCATATCCATTCAATGGAATATTATTCTTCCATAAAAAGCAGTGAATGATGCATGAACACTGAAAATACGATGCTAAGTGAAAGAAGCCTTCTACAAAAGACCACCTATTGTATTACTTATATGAAATGTCCAGGAAAAGGGACAGATCCATAGAGAGTAGATTAGAGGTTGTCTAGGATAGAGGTGAGGCAGAAATTGAGTGACTGCTGATGGGTTTCCATTGGGGGTGATAAAAACCTTCTAAAATTAGATAATGGATATGCTTGCATAACTCTGTTAATACACTAAAAATCACTGAACTATTTAATTTAAAGGGGTGAATTTTTATATGTGAATTATATCTCACTCAATATAGCTATTATTTTCAAACAAAATTAATGACCCAATGACATATGTTAATTCATGATTTTGATAGAAAAATCAAAAATTAATTTAGTAAATATTAATTTTTTGAAATTTAAGATTTTTTTCAGAGTTTTAAGCCTGAGCAATGGGAAAATGTATATTCAGAATGAATATACATTTGTTACTATATATTAGGCATTAAATTATACCTCATCTACTTAGATCTTATTTAAAAATACATGAAACACCCTTCCTGATTTCAAGAAGCTTATATATAATCAAATCTGGGATGGTAATTAACACAAAGTATAGGGTGAGAGCACAGAAGAAAAAGTATGTGTCAGGGACTATGTGAATCAGAGAATATATTACATTCAATTTTAATTATTCTGGAGAGCATGGTATTTAAGATGAGCTTTGTAAAGTTACACATAATTTGGGCAAGCAGGGGATGAGGGGCAAAGATGAAACTGAAGAAAGAGCAGAAGCAAAGGGGCAATGAGAACTACAGGTTGTTGGCACACAACAGAGAACAGTGGGAGATAGAAATGGAAATGTAGGTAGGGGTCATATAACAGAGGGGATGGAATCCTAATTGGAGGAATGTATATTTATTTCAGCATACAGAAGAATTTCTTGGAGGTTTTAGGCTAAGATATAATTAGTTGTGTTTCACAAAGATTAATCTAGAATTGAAATGGATGGCCTCGTCAAATATATGGAACAAGAATCTTGGGATAGGCCAATAGTTTTGGGATGGACCAATGATAGAGTGGCAGGATGAAGAAAAGCCAGTAAAAACAATACAATTCAATATTGCAGAATCAAATAAAAATAGATTTCCCAGCCTGGACAACATAGCGAGATCCCATCTCTACAAAAAAATTAGAAATTAGCCAGGTGTGGTGGCACACCCCAGCAGCCCAGCTACTCAGGAGGCTGAGGTGGGAGGATACTTGAGCTTAGGAATTCAAGGTTGCAGTGAGCTATGATTGTGTCACTGCACACTAGCCTGGGTGACACAGCAAGATACTGTCTCCATTAAAAAAAAAAAGATTCCAAGGAGAAATGGGTAGCCACTAATAATATCCTCTTATATATGTGTACAGTATTTAATCTTTGTTTCAGGTTTTGGACAGTATTTAATCTTTGTATGATGTTTCATAACTTGCCTAAGGTCTCACAGTCAGTGGTGCACAGTAGAGTCAAGAGTGAAATCAAGTTTTCACATTCTTTCTACTGCATCATTACTGTGGCAAAGAGAGGTCATTCAACATAAAAAGTAAAAGGCAACTGTTCCATTTTAAAATAAGATGATCACAGGAGATCTCTCAGAAAACATTTCCAGCATATAATAGGGTGAAAATGAAATCTAGCAAAATGCTAAGAAAAGAGTGTGACAGAAAAGATATAAGACAATAAATTGAATGGACATGTTAGAGGAGTTTGACTAGCAAAAGGAATAAGAAAGTGGTAGTTAGAAATATTAGCAGAATTAAGACTGGGGCTTTCAGAATTAGGACTCTGGAGTAAAAGGGGTACCCCTCACTGGTGAGGATCCAGCAATAGTGCACACCAGTGGGGTAGGCAGCCACATGGTATTAATATTCAGGCCGGGCACAGTCGCTCATGCCTGTAATCCCAGCACTTTGGGAGGCCAAGGTGGGTGGATCACCTGAGGTCAGGAGTTCGAGATCAGCCTGGCCAACATGGTAAAACTTTGTCCTTATTAAAAACACAAAAATTAGCCGGGTGTGTTGGCAGGTGCCTGTAATCCCAGCTACCTGGGAGTCTGAGGCAGTAGGTTCACTTGAAACCAGGAGGCAGCGGTTGCAATGAGCTGAGATTGTGCCACTGCACTCCAGCCTGGGCAACAAAGTGAGCCTCTGTCTCAAACAAACAAATAAACAAACAAACAAATGAAACATTAATTTGAAGACATCTGAGAGGGAGGGAATAGTTTACCATCTTTCAAAATCTGTTTGGGATGAACTGACCCTTGGCTCAAGTTTTATATTATCTCTTGACTAATTCATCTTGGTCTGCAGTCAGTGAACCAGTTGTTTCTCCCAGTATTTCAGTCTATGTTTCTTTAAGTACTGAAATAAAGAAACTTTAAATATTCAAAACACCTTCAACTTTGGAAAATGTTTTAAATGTTAAATAGTATCCAATGGTTATATGGTTCCCAAGTGTATTTGAAAGTAGAATGCCATCTACTTGGAAATGTACCTGGGACATGTACATCATAACATAGAAACATGTTGGTGAGTAGATGAGTTTTGTGGTTATTACCTTATTATACTAACTGGTAGATGCTATTAGTTTTTCTCATCATTAACAATAAAATACTTTCAAAATATATTTAAAGTTAATAAATATTTCTGCTGAAGATTAACAGGAACACAACAGAAAATGATATATTTAATATCATTAATGCTATTCATTTACTGTGAAGTCACCTAAAATACAGATATCAAACATTTACCACCTGTTACTTGAGTTAGCTTTTGACTTTCTGCGGTTATTGTTCCTTTAAATGAAAATTTAATTATGCAGTTACTTAGCTCCAAGCAGGGCTCATATATGCAAAATCAAATGACTCATAAACATGATCTCAACTATCAAATGTGATAATTATTTATTACATTCAAAATAATGTCATCAAAACAAAAGAATGGATTGGTACAGATTTTTCTAAAGCTCTTTCATATGTCCAATTTAATAGAGAGATGTTAATTACCTAGGTTTTACTAGACTTTGCCCACAGAATGAATCTACTCTATTTTTTAACCCCAATTCCATGCCCCCTCCTTTTTTTGAGACAAGGTTTACTCTATTGCCAAGGCTGGAGTACAGTGGTGTGATCACAGCTCACTGCAAATTTTATCTCCAGGCTCAAGCTATCTTCCCACCTCAGCTACCCAAAGTGGTGGGATTACAGGTGCAAGCCACAAGACCTACTTTCTCTATTCTTTCTTCACATGTTAATACCAAGAGGAAACATCTTCCCTTTACAGTGCCTAAAAATTAAATAGTCTCACCTGGAAGTTTTTCTTTTATATTTTTAACCATAGACACATATTTAGAAACAGTCTTCAAGTAACTTTATGAAAGAGCCAGAAATAAAAAAAGACTGAACAATTTATTAAAGTCTTCTCTGGTGGTATCAATCAAATGGATGTTCTCTTAAAGAAAAGGCTTGATATACGATTTTGAGTGAGGAAGATTATTTTACACATTGGAGAAATTTTTTTCTACACCCCCCCCATCATAACGTGAACATAGTCACTAAAAAAACTGATCATTTATAAAATAAGTATTTACATGAACATGCATCTATCTATCCAGCGGTTAACACTAACTTTACCCTTTCTCAAAAGGTCAAGGTCTTTCCTCTTGAGTTGATTTCCAGATACTTGTCAGAAGATGCTAATATCTGACAACACAACACAAATGGGATACCACTCAACTGTTAATTTAAATTGCAAGTCTAAGGCAATGGAGGAGAGGTACTCAAGTAACAGGCAAATCATGAGAACATGAAGATCTGGCATGGTTAGGCCGGTTACCAGTGAAAAAGGGAAAACCACAAGGATAAGGGCACAATATTCACTTTAACAAATAATTATTTCTGTATCACAATAGTTTTTTAAAATCTAGGAAAAATTGAGTAAGTGCTTAAATATTTTTACCCAAACAGCCTTTTTAAGGAGCATGCTGAAAAAGCCAAAGGTGGCATAAAGGATGTTGAACTACCTTCTAATAAAACTTGTGGGGAAGTTACTCTCAATAAAACCAAACAAACTCAATTCATTCCTTTGTCTTAGAATGAGCATATAGTTGCAATTATAATACAAGCATTTCTATTCATAGTTATAATAACCTTATTTTTATAAGATCTAACTTTATTTTTTCAAACTAAACATTGCCTCCAACTTTCCTTCACTATGTTTTTAATAAAACTTGATCTGTGTTTGAGGAAGATTTACTTTAAATGTTTCCTTCTGTGACAACAATTATTAGTAGATAATGAGGTTCTCTTGTACATATTTTCTGCCAAAAATCTAATTTTGAATAAATCTATTTCCATAAGGGCTGTTTAAAAGTCACACAAAACTGTCTAAGATAGTGAAATGAGTCTCACTGAAATACGTTTGTTGAGAGGACTACTAATGAACAGTAGCTAGGAGAAACTGTATTTTTAAAATTGTTTTCTAAAACAGCCTAGTTACCTTTATATAAATATTTTTTTCAGATCTGATGTATTCACATTTGCATACACACGCATATACTCTTTTAGTATATTTCTGCTGCACTAACTAAAACACAGTGAGAAATTACTGACTATGTTTAAAATCTTCATCTCTGTGGTTACATATAATATACCATAACCATCAGGCTTTGTTCAACAGCCTCTAAAGTTTTTAGCATTTTTATGGGGAGGCCATTAGAATTGGGAGTTTATTTCGGTCTGCAGAAGTATTCTGTTTTGGGATTTGCCAACACTAACACTTTGTCTTTCCTGTCCGCTTATTCAACATGCTTGGCAAACTATAATTATCAGTATTTTCCTTTATGGCAGGATAATTATTTGTTATTCTTGCTTAAGCAATAAAAGAACTTAACAGCATTCTCTGCACAAACAAAAAGCATGTGCGCAGGGTTTGGGCCTGCCTATGTGTACAATTTGAAAAGACCTCCATAAAACAGACTGTTACTGTAGGGTTACTCGGTTAAAATACCAAAAACTGTTTTACAGAAATCCTTTTTAAAGGCTTCGAAGAGAAAGCAAGGTGGTTACATTTAAGAGGATATCCCTTTTCTTAGTTCTAATTACATTTGAACTGCTGATGGTCATATTAGAGAACAAATGTATCACCAAAATGAATATTGGTGAGTTTCTTTAGACCAGGAGCAAAAACCTTTTTGCTACAATTCATGATTATGCAGATAGGGCACTGTACACCCTGTGTTAAGGTCACTTTAGGGAACTAAAGAGCCAAACTACCAAATTAGCTCATCTGGATTAGTGCAGATTAAGACAAGGATTTATGTGGCATTCTTGTTTCAAGGGTACTGGGTACGGACTTAATGAACACCTCAGTAACTACTTGGAAAACTGAATTGAAGTTGTGATTAAATAAATGCAAACATTCTAAAAATCTGTTCATCTTTCTTGGGCCCTACCCTAAGCTATAGCCTTCTTGTTGGCACCAATCCTTCTTACTGCTATAGAGATCCAGTGAATCTCATGGATAAATTAATGGAAACTGGTACAAACTAGTGAATACACACAGGATGCAAAACAAAATCCTCCGGGAGATGATAAGACCTGCTGCGGGTCAGCAAGGCAGAATCCTCAGCTAACTAGAATTTGCAATGTCCCTCCACACAATTGCACATTCCTCCGATCAGCAAAAGTAGGACACTGTGGCTTTACCTTGGCATTACACAAACTTTTCTCATTTTTTCCCCCTACCAGAGCACATACAGCCCTTAGATAGTTAGATCAACTTTGAAACCACTAAGAGCAATTGTGGTTTCTTTCCTCTGATGAAAAGACTGAAACTGTTACTTAAAAAGATGTCTTTTATAGCATTGTATTCCAAAAATTGAGAGATATTCTGTCAAAAATGTGAAAAGTCATGGCTATTCTGTTATGTGGTCAAGAAAGGCGGGTATAAAAAGATGAGAAATCTCACACCTCACAGGGATTAAAGACTGGGAGTAACCCCTTCTTAGCTATTAACATCTATTGAGTAAAAGGAGCTGCCCACCAGCATGCAGAAAGCTTTGAAAATGCTTGCTTAAATGGTTACTCCGTGCCTGCTTTCCTCTTCTACATATAAAAGGTAAATGGAACATCACTGGGGGCAGATTGTTCATGCACAATCTGTTAATCCTTTGTGATAACCGCCCCCCATCCCACCGCCGAAGTTTCTACATCAAATGAAACAATGACTCTGAAGGCACACTGAAAATGGTAAAGCTTTATCTGTGATTATCAGTGAGTGTCATGGTTTTCTAAGGTATCTTTCGTGGGAAACATGGTAGGTAGAAAAAATAATAGCTGGGCCTACATATTTTTTTAGATTCCACAGTGTAATTTAGTTCTAAATAAACCAAGGGGTTTCTTTTCCCCCTAAATTTGTGGGCGTCAGGTCAGTTTGGACAGGCAATCCTATTCACCCAACTATTCTTCTCTCCAAGCTTAAGGGCAGTTTGACTCTGGACTGCAGCTAAATGAAAACATGGCTGTGCACAGCTGGCAATCCTCTTTCTTATGAATGCTTTATCTCTTTTTGATATTTGTGGTTAATTGGTTTCTATTCTAAATGGCTTCACTTCAAGCCACTGATTTATGAGCTTGAGATGCCTGCCTGAGAGTCATTAGCCTTCCTCCTAGGACTACCGGAGACCTGCAGTCACCAAAGTATCTCTTTGAAGCCTAGCTCTTATTTCCAGATAACAGTACAAGCTCTGAAACCATTTTAAGATTTGGTAGAGAATTATAATGTGTAATATTGACTTAGAGAAGTGCCGCAAGGCCCACAGGCAGCTCTTCATATTTTGATAAACTCTGTTGGAGAGTTGGTCCAGTTTTGGCATGCTCAGAATCCGCTAGCGTTCTCAGAAGAACTTGAGTCTTCTTGGTCTCTTTCAGTTGTCAGGAGAGCTGGCTCCTCTTCTTCTGAGTTCATCAAAATAGATTCACAGTGTGAATGTGTACTTTTTATTGGTAGTGGATATTAATGATCAAGATTAGTAACAGAAACTTAGAATATATTTCTGTATTCGTGTTCCTATTTACACCAGCTGTTCAAAGTGCTGGGATTCTAATCTATTGAGTTTACAAAAGGCTCAATCCTTCTGACAGCTAAAAGAGGCCAAGGTGACTGCCAGCCTGCCTGAGGAGAAGCATGTGAAATCAAATGCAATTCATGATCAGCAGCACTTATTTTATGACTGGATGGGTAGCCAAGTATACCTTTGCATCCTTTGTTAATTCTATCCAAATATATTTGAAGAGAAAAATCCTAATAGTTTTTACATTTGTCTTTTAAGCCAATTATATTTTTAACCCAAACAGTAAATGAACTCCCTCAACTGTTTTCTTTTTGACTGAGAATTGATTTGTTCCATTTGAGAGAAATATAAAAAGAATATGCATAGTTGAGTCTTGTTCGAACTAAAAAACTAAGGCATATTGGTCGATTTCCTTTCCAAACTAGATAAAATTCAAAAGGTGACAAGCAGTTTAGAAAAACAACAACAACAGTATTTGCTTGAGTCAGGTGTGCATAAATTAGTTTGGGAGACTTTTCACACATAATGTCTGTGCAAAGAGGGCTTTATTAAAACAGACCTTGAAGCTTGGAAGAGTTCATGCATATCACACAAGTAAACAGCCTCCTTTCTTAAATGTCATTAAGTGGAGTCTTTTTGGCAATTTACTTTTATTTTGTAGATACAAAGGGTGAGACTTTAAAAATCAAGATTAATTTAAAAAAATATAAGTAGTACTCCTTCAAGGGAGATTAGAATGCTGAATATCCTTTATCCTATCTGTATGTCGCATATCACAGAAAAATACACTGCCAACCCATGTGATTCAACCTCCCAAGAACTGATTTGTAGTAGACTCAAGAATCATTACTGATGAAACCCAGAATAAATTAGCATTTCTCTCATTTATGCATTTGGTAAGTTACTGGCAGCACAAGAGGAAAACACTAAAGAAATAAAAACACCCAGGACCACCCCTTTATAGCCTATTGATTTGCAAGCTCACTGCATTTCAGACATAATTTATAGAAGTTCTCTTTATAAACAATGAACCATTAAAGCTATGTTTTCCATGTCAAAGACTATTCAATATCTTTAAAACACAGTATTTTTCTCTCTAGTTAAAAAATTCACATGCCTAAAGTGTGAAATATGGTTGGAGTTAAGCCTAACAAGAGAATTTATTTTTATGTAAGATGTAGAAAGGAATGAGATACTTCTTCATGAAAATGTTCTAAAAATAAAATCCTACATTATTATAACTTGAAAAAAAGAAAAAAGAATAAAAACTGAAAGGATTGACTACGCATAACCATAATGTTTAAGTTACTAAATAAAAATAAAAATTTTAAATGTAAGTATAACCGTAAATAATTAGAATACCAGCCACCATTTATTGTCCATGTTGAAGTGCCTAGCACTTGACTAAGTATTTTACAGTCAATATGGCAACCATTCTTCACAAGTCTATGAGGTAAGTATTATTGAAATTTACTGGTGAGAAACCTGTGCCTACAGAGCAACTTGACAAGAGCCATACAGCTGTCATTGTGAGAAGTCTAATCCTGAACTGACCCAAGCTATTAGCCTCTCAACAGTGTGTCTTGCTTAGCCATAAAAAACTGAGCAAGAATCTGTGCATGTAAAGAAAGTGTAAGCTTAACCTACAGGAAAGGCTACATAGTCACAATCCTAGCTCAAATGATGGAATAGACATTACTCCTATAGAGAAGAAGAAGGGAAGCATTTGAAATCAGGTAGCCTAGCAGCGCTAACACCTGGGGAAGCCTGCAAATTCAAGGCCGCTGACTCCCAGCTCACTCACCGTGTCCTGGCTCTGTCAGCCCTACAAGGAGGTTTGCCCTTAATAGGGACTGACTGAGGACTCTTACAAAAGATAACATCTATGTATGTGGCTAGAGGCAGAAAGCACAAAAAATAATCCTTTCTTTGAGACAGGTGATAATGGATCTTTGCCATTTGGGGGATTGGTAGGGATTTTGACACTAGTTAGGGGGAAAAACTGTCTACCCGAATATGTGCTGATGGTAGACAGCCCCGGAAACAGGCTATAGAGAAGACAAATCCTATTAAGCCAGCTGGGGGGACTGACAGCAGCTGGTGGGTCTGGAGGCTGCAACAGCTAGGAAAGGCTTGGACAAATCTGCATTTCAGATAAACCTCAAGAGAAACAGCTGAACTCTTAACATTGCCCCTGCCAGCTTTTCTCCTGAGAGAAGAATGGCCTCAGGTGGTGTAATTTAGGTTGTATATAATTTCCAGGCCTTTCTGGTGACTTTGGATAATATACAGTTCCATCTATCATCTTGCTGCTTTTCACCTGTCGATGTGTGTGGGCTTTTTTTGTTTTGTTTGTTTTTATTTTGGGTAAGAGTGAAATGGGTAGAAAGAAGCAAAGGGGCAGAGTAAAGGAAACTGTGCAGTCCCTTCAATGCTCCTTTTATAGGTCTTAGCTTTTGTTTAATGATAGGCTTTGTCTTTATCAAACTTTACCATTCAGTTTCAAAACAACATCAAGAAAGAACTGAGCACCTACCTTGTTTGTTAAGAAGGGAGTAGAGTAATGTAATTTGGAAGATCATAGTAATTACTACTAATTATATAACTTTTTCTCTGTAAATTATCTTCATTAACCCCCTCAATATCCTAATAAGTTTTTTATTATCATTCCTGTTTTATACACCTGAGGCGTGGTAAATTTCCAATATTTCACAGTTGATGAGGATCTGAACCCAAGGGTATCCAATTTCAAAGTACGGACTTATTATTCCACTACATTATAACTCAATATTTGTTAAATGCCTGTTATATGCCAGACATTCTGCTTGCAAAAAAGGAATAATTTACCAGCCATAGACTCCAGAAATTTCTGTTCTGTTGACAAGAAGGCAATTGTAATAAATGGTTTTTTAAATACAGGCAGCTATTATAATAAAACTTTTCTAAAACACTTGAATTTTCTAGAATGTGTTCCCAATAGTAATTTAGAATTTTGTAAACAAAATAACTGTAATTAAAGTCTGATATATGATCACAAGAAAAATGAATGCCTAATTAAAAGGAGAAGGTGCAAACATGGTTTTGATGGTCCAGAGGATGGATGGGATTTTGATGAGTGGAACCTTGGTTGGGATGTCAGTTAGGTATGCTTTTTGGGTGAAGAGAAGAGAATAAATCTGACAAAGGGCTAATATCCAGAATCTACAATGAACTCAAACAAATTTACAAGAAAAAAACAAACAACCCCATCAAAAAGTGGGCGAAGGACATGAACAGACACTTCTCAAAAGAAGACATTTATGCAGCCAAAAAACACATGAAAAAATGCTCACCATCACTGGCCATCAGAGAAATGCAAATCAAAACCACAATGAGATATCATCTCACACCAGTTAGAATGGCAATCTTTAAAAAGTCAGGAAACAACAGGTGCTGGAGAGGATGTGGAGAAATAGGAACACTTTGACACTGTTGGTGGGACTGTAAACTAGTTCAACCATTGTGGAAGTCAGTGTGGAGATTCCTCAGGGATCTAGAACTAGAAATATCATTTGACCCAGCCATCCCATTACTGGGTATATACCCAAAGGACTATAAATCATGCTGCTATAAAGACACATGCACACGTATGTTTATTGCGGCATTATTCACAATAGCAAAGACTTGGAACCAACCCAAATGTCCACCAATGATAGACTGGATTAAGAAAATGTGGCACATATACACCATGGAATACTATGCAGCCATAAAAAATGATGAGTTCATGTCCTTTGTAGGGACATGGATGAAATTGGAAATCATCATTCTCAGTAAACTATTGCAAGAACAAAAAACCAAACACCACATATTCTCACTCATAGGTGGGAATTGAACAATGAGGTCACATGGACACAGGAAGGGGAACATCACACTCTGGGGACTGTTGTGGGGTGGGGGAGGGGGGAGGGATAGCATTGGGAGATATACCTAATGCTAGATGACGAGTTAGTGGGTGCAGCGCACCAGCATGGCACATGTATACATATGTAACTAACCTGCACATTGTGCACATGTACCCTAAAACTTAAAGTATAATAATAAAATAAAAATAAAATAAAAAATAAAATAAATAAATAAAATAAATAAATTTTAAAAAAAGTATCAGTTAGTCGACAACATTGTCTGAGCACCTATTCTGTACCAGTCTCTGCACTGGGTGCCGGGGTTCAAGTTAAGAATAGGACAGACACAAGGCTGGGTACGGTGGCTCATGCCTGTAATACCAATACTTTGGGAGGCCGAGGTGAGCAGATCACAAGATCAGGAGTTCGCGACCAGCCTGGCCAATATGGTGAAACCCCCATCTCTACTAAAAATACAAAAATTAGCCGGGCATGGTGGTGGGTGCCTACAGTCCCAGCTACGTGGGAGGCTGAGGCAGGAGAATCACTTGAACCTGGGAGGCAGAGGTTGCAGTGAGCCAAGGTTGCGCCACTACACTCCAGACTGGGCGACAGAGCAAGACTCAGTCTCAAAAAAAATAAATAAATAAATAAAAAAGAATAGGACAGACACTCATGGAGATTCTAGTCTTGTAGGAAGATGGGCATTAATCTGATAAATATAAGTGAGAGAAGTACAGGGGCTCTGAAAGTATATAATGGTCAAGCCTAAATCAGAACAGAGGATGAGAGGCTTAATCTGAGACCCAGCCAATAAGCAGGACTTCAGTAAGCAAAGGGGAGGAGGGTGGGAGTGGGGAGAGATGGGAGGGAGCATAGAGAGAGAGTACCAGGCCAAAAAACGAAAACAAAAAAAACAAAAAATGCAATAGCTGCAGGAAGATCAACTCAGGATGGACCTAGAGAGTCAGGCAGAGGCCAGATCATGGATGGCCTTATGGCACAGTTTATTCTGCACTTTAGGGTGAATGCTATGGGAAGCATTGAAAGGTTTAACCACAGAAATATCATGATTAGATTGTATTCTGAGAAACTAAGTCCAGCTACCATGTGTACAATGGTGCCTGTGAAGCAAGGGTTGATATAGGAAGCTGTTGCAGTCATTAGAGTTCAAGATGATGAGAGACGGAGCTAACATAGTTCACGTGAGCATAAAGAAATGAATGGATTTGAAGACTGGTTAGAAAGTGGAACTGAATAGAACTTGGTAACTGATTGGTATATTTTTGGTAACAATTTTAATATAAAAGTGATTTATATACAGAGAAATGATGATGAAATGATGGTTTGGAATCTTTGAAAATAAACATAAAGTTATAAAATTGTCAAACAGATGATTAAGTTTGGCTGTAAGTAATGGAAAAACCCCAATTAACAGTGGCTTAAACAAAATAGAAATATATTATAAGATTATCTCATATTCAAAATGGCTGCTGAAGCTCCAGTCACTAAGTCTGAATTCCCACTAGAAGAAAGGAGGAAGAAGTGGCAAAGAGCACACTTACTCCATTTAAGTAGCTGATACACATTTCACACAAAACTTCTTTTCTAGCTTACAGGCCAGAACTTAGTCATATGGTCACAGCTAGTTACAAAAGAGGCTGAAATTCTGGATCTTTTTCTGAATGGCCAACTACCCATGAATCTCCCAAAAGCAGGAGTCCTATTTTTACTGAGGAATAAAGAGATAATAGGTACTGGGGGCAAAAGTAATCTATACTACATTAATTATTGGCTTTAGGTATGAGTTAGAAAAAAGACTTGTAAATTGTGCCAGCTTTTTGCAACAACAGAATATTAAAACACATCAAAATGAACTCGCTTTGAGTTAGCGCTTCATGTTTTGCCTAAGTCTCCAAGTACATTTTAAAATTTCAATTACCATCCAGATGGGCTGGGTAGGTTAAACAGAGCTTCACCATCAATAAATATGATTTTCTACTGCAACAAAGCAGCCTCAGCTATGCCAATATTTGAGCATAGTTGTTTATGGTTTCATTTCCTTTACTTTTAATAGTGGCCATAAAAAGCCAAACAAATGCATTTTATTCACATTCCTTTGCATAAGGCCTTGAATTTAAAGTATGTCATGTCACTAGATCCATTAACATTTAACTAGGGCTGGCGACTTATCCTCTGCAAATAGTCAACGTTAGAATGTAATAACTGCATGCAGAAAATAAGAATGAATAGCAGTCATATATCTAATTGTAGATGCATCATGCTGCATACATTCACGTGGTGTGCTTTGTCTGTTTGATGTGTTTTCAGTTTATTCGTAAGAATAAAGGCTATCAATAAAGATGCTGTGTTTTAATAATTTAGGGAAAATACACATTTTATCATATCCGCAAATGGTTTCCAGTACGTTGAAGTAAAAGGCCACTGTGATCCTTAGCTTTCTCTCTACATTTAGTCTCCTCTTCAATTTTTACAATGAAGTCACTTTACTGTTATTTTTATTTTCTTTTTTTTCTTTCTCTTTTTAAAATTATACTTTAAGTTCTAGGGTACATGTGCACAACGTGTAGGTTTGTTACATAGGTATACATGTGCCGTGTTGGTTTGCTGCACCCATTAACTTGTCATTTACATTAGATATTTCTCCTAATGCTATCCCTCCCCCTGCCTCCTACCCCATGACAGGCCCTGAGGTGTGATGTTCCCTGCCCTGTGTCCAAGTGTTCTCATTGTTCAATTCCCACCTATGAGTGAGAACATGCAGTGTTTGGTTTTCTGTCTTTGTGATAGTTTGCTCAGAATGATGGTTTCCAGATGCATCCATGTCCCTGCAAAGGACATGAACTCATCCTTTTTTATGGCTGCATAGTATTCCATGGTATATATATGCCACATTTTCTTAATCCAGTCTATCACTGGTGGACATTTGGGTGTCCAAGGTTTTGCTATCGTGAATAGGGCCGCAATAAACATACATGTGCATGTGTCTTTATAGTAGCATGATTTATAATGCTTTGGGTATATACCCAGTAATGGGATCGCTGGATCCAATGGTATTTCTAGTTCTAGATCCTTGAGGAATCACCACACTGTCTTCCACAATGGTTGAACTAGTTTACACTCCCACCAACAATGTAAAAGTGTTCCTGTTTCTCCACCTCCTCTCCAGCATCTGTTGTTTCCTGACTTTTTAATGATCACCATTCTAACTGGTGTGAGATAGTATCTCCTTTTACTGGGTGCTTCATGTCTTAATCTCACTGAGAAAGCAGAAACTTTCAATTAACTGAAGCCAGATAAAATCAATAATAGTTTTGTGGCAGCTAATTAGCACCACTAAATTATACTCATTTTAACATAAATATTCATATTCTTAATATTGCCAAGACAAGGATCACACACATTAAGTCATATATTCTACGCCAAACCGCCAAACCTAAATTTCACATTTATTTTTACTTAGCTGAGAGTCTATTAACTACATTCTTGGTCTGCTTTCAACTTTGTCTTTCTGTGAGGTGAAAAATATACCAATGTGCAATTGCTTATTTTAATACTGCTACCACCATATAATTTCTAGTTCTTTAGAATTGTAGAAGGAGTTTTACTTCTTGCCTCTCCTTGGGATCACCTTGTAATTCCTATTCAGTAGGGAAGGGGTTATCCTGTAACTAGTTAATCTCAAGGTCTTCATTTACTTGTTACTCTGGATCCATGAGAAAGTCTTATATATAAAGACAGTTGACATTTATATTCTACATCTTACAATCTGTACTTGTATATTCCATCTCAACACTGAGAATTAGATCCTATCATTATTTTACAGAAAATAAAGGCCGAGGAAAGGAATTTTTCCAACCAGGTAGTAAATACTAGAGGTAAAACAATGAAATAATAAGTGGAAAAGATTGTAGTGCAAACATATACTGTTATTATGAATATTCAGAGTAAAAAATATGAAATATGATCAGTGATAGGAGAATTCTTACACACACTTCTCTCTATTAAGTATCAGTAAATAATAAAATTGTCAAAAATACAGTGTAACCCTAGGAGAAATTTTGAAGATATTCTAGACATCAAATGCAGACGGGCTGAGACAGAAAGAGAAAAAACACCAGGGAAACGTGTTTTGTTAATAGTAGGACCCTGAAGAAACCTGAGGAAACCCCAAGCTTAGCGTAATCAAATACAGAGTCCTAGAGGACTATGGGAGCAACATCATGGCAATTCATTAAGAAACTTATTCAGAACATTTGAGACCCTTCTTCTTCTCCCTTGCTACTACATTTGACCCTTGAAGCCTTCGTCTTCAAAATAAGAACTAGTCTTTAATGAAAGCATGTGATCAGTTTTGGAACCTGGTCTAATACAGATAAATCCAGGCAGAACTAAAACACATGGTGGATGTGCAAAGATCTTACCCTGCTCATTGCCAGCTTGCCAGCTGTTGCTCCATACTCCCTCTGGGATGCCTGCTTTTTTTTTTTTTTTTTTTTCATCTGTTACCGAGGCCGGAGTGCAGCGACACAATCATAGCTCACTGCAGCCTTGAACTCCTGGGCTCCAGTGATCCTCTCGTATCAGCCTGTCAAGTGGCTGGGACTACAGGCGAAAGCCACCATATCCAGCTAATTTGTGTGTGTGTGTATATATATAATTTTAAAATATGTGTGTGTATATATATATAAATATATATTTATATATTTTAATAATATAAATATATACTTATATATTTTAATAATATAAATATATTTTTATAATATAAATATATATTTTATAATATATATTATAATATAATATAAATATAATGTATTATATTATATTATATATTATATATAATATAATATAATGTATTATATTATATTATATATTATATATAATATAATATAATGTATTATATTATATATTTATATATAATATAAAATATAATATAATATATATTATTTTTTATAATACATATATATATATATATATATATATATATATATATATATATTTTTTTTTTTTTTTTGTAGAGACAGGGTCTTGGTGTGTTGCCCAGGCTGGTCTTGAACTCCTGGCTTCAAATGATCCTACTGCCTCAGCCTCCTAAAGTGCTGAGTTTACAGATGAGAGTTACCACACGCTGCTGATACCTGCATCTTGACAGATTCTGCCCTCTTACCTAGAACCATTAGTCAGCCTTCACAGTTAATGGGGATACACAGCTACACAACTGCAAAGGAACTTACAACAGCGACCTATGATCCTCAACTAGTTCTTCATTCATTTTTTTAATTAAAAAATACAAATTAATAAAATAAAAATTTCAAAATCAAGATATTTGAGAAAAATAAGCAGCACAAACAATAACAATACATTTTAAAAATCACTCTTGAGGAAATAGAGGTGATTCAGGAAAGAAGAGAGAACTTACAAGTATTTTTCTCAGAGAGATTTGAAAGAATGTTATTTACATACTTTAAAAATGAACATCCTTTTGAAAATGAATTATGGAAAAGTATCAATCAGAAAATAAGAAAGAATTCTTGGAAATTAATATATGAGTACCTAAATAATTTGAATTTAAATTGATTACATAATTTGAATTGATTTTTAAAAATAGAATTAGCAGGACTAAAGGTAAAGTTGATGATTCAGTTGACAAAAAGGAAAAAAAACCTAGAACGGAGAAAAAGTGAAAAAATGTCTTAAAATATTTGAAAAAGGAGACATTATAGGTTCTGGAAGTTCCATATTTATCATTAGGAATACCCTAAGCACAGAACAGAGGCGAGAATAGCAACAAATATCAAAGAAGAGCAAACCACAATTCCTTTGAATTAAAAAGATATCATTAAAAATAGTCTGATTGCCAAATAGGTTAAATGAAAAAAGACCTTCATCTGGACACATCATTTCCAAATCACACAAAATTCCTAAAGCCTACTAAAAAGAAAACCATCAAAGTATTTCACAAAAGAATGAGAACCTGACTTATTTCAGATTTCGTATCAATAACACTGGATGCTAAAATGTAATGTATCAATAACACTGGATGCTAAAATGTAATGGAGCAAAACTGCACACCTGATCAAATTATCAATCAAGTATAAGTACCATGTGAATATATAGTTTAAAACAAGTAAGGACTCAGATTTATTAGTGACTGGCCACATATGAATAAATGCCTTTCACAAGGAGCTCCAGTCAAACCAAAAGGAAATACAGAAAAGATAACATGAGATAGAAGACACTGGGAGACACGAATATAGCCTAAAATGAGGGTAAGTAAGTCATGACTTGTGGGCCAAATACAGCCACCATCTGTTTTTGTAAATAATGTTTTATTGAAACACAGCCGTGCCTATTCATTTACTTATTATCTATGGTTTCTTTTGTGCTACAATGACAGAGTACATTGTAGCTGCGACAGAAACTGTGTATGTAAGTTGCTGTGATGGTGATTAGATGACCCTCAAAGCCAAGAA
Source organism: Homo sapiens (assembly GCF_000001405.40). Lineage (NCBI taxonomy): Eukaryota > Metazoa > Chordata > Mammalia > Primates > Hominidae > Homo > Homo sapiens. The sequence goes on along the minus strand of NC_000002.12, from coordinate 209,592,160 downwards.
TATTTACTATCTGCCCCTTTAAAGAAAAAGTGTGCTGAACCCAGTTTAGAAGAAAGAAATTAGGTTGAAAAGGCATTAAAGCCTCTGGATCTCAACACTTAGAATATTTTCACTTGAAAAGCAGGAGTTGGGAAGAGACAAGATTACCTTTACTTTTCAGTGGTTCTGATTACAGTGTTTGATTCAACAGGGAAATATATTTTTGAATATATTCAAAATATTTTTGAATCAACATAAAATACAGATTGCTTAATTATAAATACAGAACAGAATACATTCATAATAAACCTTGACAATATAAAAATTATAATAACCTAACAAATAGAGGGGAGAGGGAGAAAGTGTTAGTGTGCTAAATTTCTCACTTTTTATTGTAGTAAATCAATAGATACTGTCCCAAGTTAAGAAATGGAAGTATAATATTTACAACTAAAATGGTAATCAGAAGAACTCTTGGGGAATAGCAATTATCAAAATGGTTTTCACTGGGATGTGAGATTGGGAATGGGAACAGAGAGGAAGACTTTCATTTTCTTTTGGTCCTCTTGTTTGGCTTGTTTTTAAACTTTTATTTGTTTACCATAAGTAGGTGTTACTTTAACTTAAAAACGATACATTCAACTCTCATTCAAATATATACCTATTCTATGATAAGTACTGTTTAAGGCAGTGGGAAAATTGTGGTGGGGAAACAAAAGTCCTCATTTTTATTTTTTTTAGACTGTAAATTCTTGTAGAAGGAGATAGAAAACGAACAACTTGGGCATTATTGTCATTGTGAGCCAGATAACTCTCTATTGCAGAAAGCTGTTCACTGTAGGAGGTTTAGCAGCATCCCTGGCCACCTCTAATCATTAGATGTCAGTAGCTCTTGCTCCAGTGGTGACAATCCAAAATGTCTCCAGACATTTCCAAATGACTTCCGGCAGAGGGGCCCACAGGTTAGGGGAAAAGCCTTGGCTTTGGGCCAGACAGACCTGGGTTTTATTTCAGGCCCCACAGACAATTAGCTCTTTGTCTTTGTAAAACAGACTTACCCTTGCTAAACCTCATTTTCCTCTACTGTGAAATTAAGCTTAAAAACAAAACAAAACAAAACAAAAACAAAAACAAACAAACAAAAAACAAAGAAACCAAATGGTCTTATGAGGCTTCTTTGTTTTGTTTTTTCATAATCTCATAAACATGGTATGTACTTGGCATATAATATGCATTAAATAAACAGGAGTCATTACTATTTTAATTCTAATTGTAATAATGACCATGAAGAGGAGGACAGTAGCAGGTGGAGTGAAGACTGTGTGCTAAGGGTAATGGGCAAGGAGGAGAGTAAGCCTAGGCCTAGGATGCCTGGGTGAAGGTTCTGGTTATGCTCCAGAGCAGCACTCTTCAATCAAACCCACTGTGATACTAGAAATGTAATATAATATATAATGTTCTGTAAAAAGAATGTGGCTATCAAGCGCTTGAAACATGGTATGACTAAGGAAGTCAACTTTCAATTTTTAAAATTTTTATTAATTTGAGGCCAGGGATGGTGGCTGACACCTGTAATCTCAGCACTTTAGGAGGCCAAGGTGGACGGATCACCTGAGGTTAGGAGTTCAAGACCAGCCTGACCAATGTGGAGAAACACCGTCTCTACTAAAAATACAAAATTAGCCAGGCGTGGTGGCGCTTGCCTGTAATCCCAGCTACTCTGGAGGCTGAGGCAAGAGAATCACTTGAATCCGGGAGGCAGAGGTTGCGGTGAGCCGAGATTGCACCATTGCACTCCAGCCTGGGCAACAAGAGTGAAATCTCATCTCAAAAAAAAAATTCTTAATTTGAATTTAAATAGCTGCATGTGGCTAGTGGCTACCGTATTTATTAGCCAACACTGTTTGAGATAGCAAATGAGAGCCACTAAAGGGGGAAAAAAATAATAGGAAGGGTGTTCTAGTTTGTCTGGAAGATTAAGGTAGTGATGTGTTTGGGGAAGGGAGACCAGATAAACACACTTCAGTATCCCTGGTGTGCTAATGAGAGCATGGATGGGGTGGTGGAAAGGAGAACTGAGGAAGAGGTGGGTCGCTGCACTGAGCATGGCCTTGGTGGACCCATTCCCATGGGTGTCTGCCTCAGGACACCTAACCTCCACCTTGACCCTAACTCAGCAGCTCCTGAGGTCATCATTTTCTTTATATATGTTCTTCCCCTTCCATGTCTACATCTGAGACCAGAACTGAGATCCAGTTTAAACTTTTTCTTTATAAGCTCTTTTAATTATCCTAACAACAGGCAAATCACAATGCCTATGTTTTAAAATGTTTCTCCATAGATGTGCTCTTTTGAAACATTAATAATTTTCTTTGCTATCCTGAATTCTTACTGCGTTATTTACCATTCGCTTAAAATTCTGTGGAACTCAGAACTGAACAATGAATTATTAATTTATCCTTCTTTCAAATGTGTTTTACATCAATAATATTTCATTATTTCATTTTCTGTGATATATTTAGCTTTATCTGCTTCTCATGTTGAAAAATTTTAAACCATTTCAGTAAAGACTGTGCTATTTTTACTAGTATTTACATAAATCCATGCCACACTAATCCAAGACTTGGAAGGGCAGGAGTCTTTTAAGGTAGGGCAATCCACTTAGTAGAGGTCGCCACTGCCTTAGATTCCTTATTTTAGCAATCAAGTCAGTGCATTATTAAAATATTGTAGATTTAGGGCAATACACTCATTTATCTGCTTTAGCTTCATAGTAGTAGGAAGTAAAGGCTTTGGAGTCAGAACAAGGATATGTGTCCCAGGTTTACCATTTTCTAGTGCATTGACTTGAGTAGGACACTTGCATTCTTCAAACTTCAGTATTTTCATCTATACCAAATATAATAACAATGTCTGCCTTTCCCATTCCAAAGACCGTTGTGAGCTTTGGAACACCACGTCTTAGAAAATGTTTCATATTACTTAAAAGTGGTACAGAAGTGATTATTTTTTTTTGTCCTTAAAATCTAAATGCAGCTTCTTAACTGGTTGCATTATTCTAACAACTTTGTAATTCACAGTCTATACCCTGGTTGTGTTTGTGAACATAACATAGGGAGCTTATTCCATTAAGCATGCAAACATTGCATGCTTAATGTAATATATTACATTTATTATTTCTCTTTTATCTCTTGGATTATCCACTTTCCTACAGAGGAAAAGTACAGCCAGAATTATGTGAATTTCTCAGGCTCATGAGTTCTTGTATGATTTTTAAAATGTTTCGATTGTTAGATCTCATATTTCCTCAAATGTCATCTTGGAAAGTCAATCATTTTAGGAATTTCTGCTCCCACTATTTAAAGTATAGGCAGTCTACTTAGGTTTTTTTTTAAGACTCTGAAATATCACAAATTTTCCTGAAGTTATGTTCAAAATTATGTTAATTGGTGGCTCTTGGGCACTATGTCAGAAGAATCCTTAACGCTTGCATGCTTCACCTTATTCTGTATATGTTAACATGAAATCTTACCATGAGAAAATCATATAAAAAGCAAGAAAATAGTTTTAAAGAAAACTAAGTACAACCATTGTTCACCTTGGAAATAAAATGTAAGATCTTCCCAAAAAGAGACATCATTTCTTAAGTTCCTACACGTGGTGAAGAAAGATATTTTGGTTATAATGCATTAAATGGAGTATCTTTTCCTTAATAATTGCCATAGGTGGATCAATGTACATCTGGCTTTTTAAAATGGTCATAATGTAGTCATTAACACCAGGAGAGAATCTGAAAAAAGGTTAATGCAAACCATCTGAGGCAGACTGAAATGGAACCTGCAGAACAAAACAAAAACAAAAACAAAAAACAAAACTTACTCAGACTTCTATTTTGAGAAAGAGAGACAATCTTGGAAGACCAGAGATGATTCTGTGCTACTCTGAGACTCTTAACAATTGAATGCATGGGCATGGTATTCAAATTCTGCAAATAGTCAATTCCAGCTTGATGATGCAAAGAAGACCAGTGCTGTCCATTATGGAAAGAGTAGACTGACACATACACACACCCATGTACAACACTCATTTTTCTTAGCTTCGACTTGAATGTGCATCTAGAGTATCTTCTATGTAGACAACATATACAGTGCAAAGGTGCCTGTTAACATGGCTTCTCTCCTCAAGGACCTTGCCTAAGTGTTCTTGAGGAAATGTGATTATCAATTTAACTTGACTTCACATAAAAACTAATTTGATACTTCATTGCAATTTTAAATTTCTAGTTTCTAAGGACATTGCTCATGCCTATTTGGCTGTTTAAGTATACAACAAATTACAAAATGATAACAAGGTCTGGAGACCTGGTCATGGCATGGTCCAGAGAGAGAACTAGCCCCTTAAGCAAAGGATAAATGCTAATAAGGATGAGGACACCACAGATATTTAACATGCACTTGAGCTACTCTGCCTTGAAGGATGGGTATGTTATATTTATTTGATTTTTTTCTTAGATATTTTATAGCTACAATGAGTGATGTGAGGGTAATCAAACAGGTCAGTGCTCCCACGTTCCCATAGCTAAAAGAGATGACTAGAGTTACATTCTAGCACTGGAGGCAGAAAGGTAACATTCCTCCTGACAGAGTCTGTCAAGGCTTCTTATGAATACTTGGCTCCTCTGAACACTCTGATTGTCTACACACCGATGCATTCTCCTATAGAGTTCTGACAAATCCCTCAGAGGGATGCAGGTTGCTGTCACCAACCAAAACAGTCCACCACAAAGAGATGATTTCAACGGAAAAAAAAATGCTTTCCTGAAGTCAGAGACTATCTTCTGTTCCCCTGTGGCTTTAAGCAGAGTCACCCGGGGCTTTTAGTAGGAGTGGGTGGCAAGAGGATGGAATGTGGAGACTCAGAAGCTTCCCACAGAGGAGTGTGATGGATGTCAAGAGCTAAGGGGACAGAGAATTTAGCAGCTCAGTACTGTACTGGAAATCCAGGCAGAGAGGACATTAAAGTCCAAAGAAATCATGAGGCAGGAAATAGAACTGGAATGAAGAAACGGACACAGGGTTATATAGAACCACGTCCCCAAACACAAGCCACCGAAATTCATTATATGGCATAATAAGCATTGAGAATGGGCAGAAAGAATGGAATGCCAGTAGCTCATTTGGGTTGATTTAATGGATTTTTCATAAAACTGGCTGGGATTTAAAAACTCGGGAGTAGACAGGCAATTTGCTCTTTCCATCAAAGAGGTTTAAAAGTATGCTATGTTGCTGAATAAGAAGAGCTCACTTCAGACTTGCTCACCAACCACTCCTCCAATCATTTCTCATTTTTCTTGCCTGGACATTTGCCTTCTAGCCTTTTACTAATCAAAGCATGGTCTCCATGGACCAGCAGCATCATTACTTGGGAGCTTGTCAAAATACAGAATCTCAGGCCCCTCTTTAGACCTACTGACTCTGAGTCTGCATTTTAGTAAGATCCCCAGTTGACTCTTCTCTGCTTTAAAGTTTAAGAAGCAAATCTCTTAGCATCTACTCTTACCCTTTTATAATTCATTCTCTGAACAGCTGCCTGAGTAATTTTAATTTTATTTGTTAGCCCACTGATTAGTTCCACTCTCTAGAAGGAAAGTTCCATAAGGGCAGGAAACGGGAATGGAATTAGGTATTCAATTAATATTCATTGAATGAATATCCTTCAGTCCAGGATAAAGTCCAGATGAGATATGCAAGGTTTCTCATATTTTTTCTTTACCACTTCAAAAGTCTCACCCTCTTTTCCCTTGCTCTTATTTATAAGGAAGCTACATTTTGCATGCCAAGCCCAAATTCTTGTCCACGTTCTTTATACCCTTTCCTTTAGAACATTTTCTATAAATTTGTCTTTTTTCTGATTACACATGTAGCACCCCTCTCTACCTGCCCCTGCCTTTGGCTTGTGATTTTCCATGTTAATAAGCAGCAAAAGCGCACTGAAGTCACTACCTTCTTGCTTTTCATATTTTATCTCTCTTTTCTTTGAGTTCCGGACTCCTTAAGTGTATTTTCCTATTGTTTTCATATCCTTATTTACTCATTCATTTCTCAAGATCTTGTTTGTGTCTCCACGATTTGACTAGTTAGAGTCAGACCCAGATTTAAAACTAGGCCTAAAAAACATGTGCAACTCTCTGAGTCTGTGTACCTTCATTAGTAAAGTGGGTATAATAGAATCGACATCAGAGATACTGTGATAATTAAAGTGCCTTTCACAGATGCTGGCACATGGCAGGTGCTAATGTAATCTCAGATCCTCCTTGGAGGAAAGCCGAGGCTCATTTTGAAACCACCAAATTTTATCTGTCCAGGAATTTGACAAAATAGAATACAGTGATTTTGTTTTAAGTAACTATCCATTGGAAATTATTTAAAATATTGTGTAAGAGTAATATACAAACTATTCCACTACAGCATTATGGTGATAGTGAAAAACTGGAAACAGTAGGGATTTAAAATGTCCAAACTTTAGGTGAGAGAATAATATGCAGGTGGCAAAATGTTGTGAGAAATCCTTAAGACACTGCTGAATGAAAAAAGGCAGAATTCAAAATTATATCCTTATGATTTTGATTATGAAATTTTAAAAGCAATAGGATAAAAAATACATCAAAATGTTTTAAAAGTGTTAACAATAATCTCTGGATTGTGTAATTATGAGTGACTATTATTTCCTTCCTTACACCCTTCTAAATTTTACAAATTTTACAAAATGTGGATTTATTGTTTTTATAACAAAATAATTATTGAAATAAATAATACTCCCAGCAACATTTTCTTTATTCTCATTCTTCAGTTTTTCTGGAAAATTTGAGTTTTAACTTTGTTTTCTATAACCTTCCCTGTCCTCTTCTTTCTTTGCTTTTTTTTTTTTAATTCTTCATTCAACTTTAATTCTTGTCCCTTATTTTGCATCTTAAATGCAGGTACTGCCAAGAGATTCCCTCTGGTCCTCTTCTTATCCTTCTTGTTAATAACACCCACGCCCTCCCTCCCTAAACTTCCCTTCTCAGCTTTGGATCTGCATGTTCTGCAATCTACGAGCCCAGTCCACCCACATATCCAGCCTCATGTCCTAAACATACCTCTTCATTTTTTATTCGTGTTCTCACTCATTCATTTAGCATTTATTGGCTGTCTGCTATGTACTAGGCATTTTGCTAGCGACTAGAGATACAATAAAAATAAAAGAAGGACTCTTTCCTCGTGTAGCTCTCAGCTACTTTCTCCCTTTGCTTTTTTCAGTTATCAGATTCAAATTTCAGAGTCACCTTTGAGTCCTTCTGCTGTTCATTCCTCCTACCAATCAAGCAATTGTTCTACTCTGTATATGAACTTGAGCTCAGAAGCATCTTTCATTATCATGACCTCTTTTTCATGCCCACAGTCAATACCCTCTTTGGACTTTTGTTTTTCCCCTGGGATTATTCTATGACAGCTTCTGAAGTGATGCTTTCTTCAACATGCTCTCACACACAGTTCTGATTTATCTCACACAGAGCTATAAAACAAATAATCTGAAAACACAGTTTGGTCATAGTAGTCTCCTGCTCAAACTAGTCAATAGCTTCCCACTGAATAAGAAACAAACCTCCTTGACTGGCATTCAAAGCCATCTCCCAATGTATTAAGTTGAACTGAATGAAATTTTCTAATTTTATAATTCAAAAAAGATGAATATTAGCCATTTCGTATGATACAACTTTATCTTCTAAGAGTCCTGTTTTTCTGCTTTATACTCTAGAATATGAATGAGATCAGTCTGTGCTTTCCCAGCATGTTCACTTCCTTTGATTCCTTTGCTAATGTTTGTTCTTTCTGGAGCTCCTCCATACGTTGTCTCCCCCTTGAATACTTCTATTCATCCCCAAGTTCCGCCTCAGAAAACTCATACTCTATGAAGTATTTCCTGTTGAGTCCCATTCCAATGATTAGAATTCATGCCCTGTAATGAAGTCCCTTAATAAATTATCCATAATATGTTATATATACACCATGGAATACTACACAGCCATAAAAAGAATGAAATCATGTCCTTTGCAGCAACATGGATACAGCTGGATCCATTATCTTAAGCAAATTAATGCAGGAACAGAAAACCAAATACCGCATATTCTCACTTATAAGTGGGAGCTAAACACTCGGTAATTGTGGACATAAAGATGGCAACAATAGACACTGGGGACTACTAAAGCGCAGAGGGAAGGAAGGAGGAGTTGAAAATGAACTATTGAGTACTATCCTCAGTACCTGGGTGACAGGATCATTCATACCCCAAACCTCAGCATCATACAATATACCCAGGTAACAAACCTTCATGTACTCTCTGAATCTAAAATAAAATCTGAAAAAAAAAAAATCATTTATGTCTCTCTTACGGTACCAGTGAGCCTTGGTACTACTTCCTCATCTTATTTTGCTGACTCCAACTGAGCTCCGGAAATGTTCTCCTGTAAATACTCCTTTGCAAGTAGAGAATCTTAATACATATTTGTGTAATTGTTAGTATCTTCAGTGATTTTTCCAAGTTAGTTGTCCTTGAGGTTGAATTGGTATTTTTACTCTGCCCATGGCCCTGTTGCCTGCTTGTTTCTTTATTTTGGTCACTTGAACATTCTTCTGCCATTATTTCACTTTAAAAAGAAAAAAAAAACCCAAACCTTGCAAGTTATAACATCAGTTATGCTATTTAGCACTTGGATTCTCTAATTTTCTTATATAGATTATGCAATTCAAAATAACATTTCACTATAATTACATGGAAAATGCTTTATGAATACATTTATTTTAAAACTTCCTAATTTATCTTTGACATTCATCCTTGAAGAATAAAGTCCTTCAAGTTAAATATAAAAATTAAAATACAATAGAGCTTGAATATTAGTTAAGTATTTGAGGACATATTCACTTCTACCATAGATAAATAGATAGATAGGATAGACAGATAGATAGATAGATAGATAGATAGATAGATAGATAGACAGACAGACAGATGGATAGATAGATAGATAGAGATATTTTGATTTATACTTGCAGATAAATCAAGATATTTGCAAGCATACTGTTTTAACCTTATTGCATGGAACATCAAGACAATGACTAGGTACCAAAAATCTGCTAGAAAAAAATGTGGTAAAATTTAGTGTTTAATATGAAGGACTTTGAGGCCAGACTTGGGTTTGCCCAACTGTAGTCTCAATTCATTTATCTGTAAAATGGAGACCACACTTATCTCCCAGGATTACAGGGAGAGCTAAAGGAGATAATATATGTTAAGGACTTAGGATACTGTCCGTCACATTGTTAATAACAAAAAATTATACTTTTAATAATGAAAATAAATGACAGCAAGAAAGAATAACATTCTCTAAAGCCATGTGATTCTAGAAGTTTCTTGATAGATTCCTTAAATATACAGAAAATATTCTATCTATCTATCTATCTATCTATCTATCTATCTATCTATCTATCATCTATCTATCTATCTATCCTTAAATGCTTTGTTGCTCATTATGGACTGGTAAGTATGACATCATTTCTCATATTACATTTATAGAAAGGGGATGGGGGGAAAGGCCTCCTCCCCTTTGCTGCAGCAAAATCTTGGCCAAAGACATGAAAAGCAATAAACAATGTCAAGCCTGGGAGTAGTATTTAGGAAGCGTCCATAAGCAAAGCTCAGGCTGCAGTTTGGCATATTTCCCCCAGCTGATGAAAGTGAAAGGGGACATTTCAAGAATTCTTTCCGTTTTAATCTAAAACCAGAAAAATCCTATTCCGTACAGCCTAAAGAAATTTCTATACATGGTTTGTCACTTTTATATCCAGTGTAATGATCTAATTATTATTTATTAGAAACATGTAATGAATATTTTGGGTAACTAAAAAAAAAATGACCAGATGTCTGTTTCACAGTGTATAATTTTAAGAAAGGCAAGAACAAAAAAGTAATAGGGGAAAATGCTGACAAATTCATTTATTTGTGAAATAATTAAATAAATATTTATTGAATTCCTACTGTGACCCAGGCACTATACTATGTGTTAAAAATGTAAGTGAAAAAAATGAGTGAAATCAGTAAAGGAATTAACTCACCACAATATTGACTAGAAAAACCATGATATAGGTCCCAGAATTTGACTCTAGTAGTCAAATTCTGTTCTGCTTTAATCACCCAACCTACTATTTTAATAAACTCATTTTTTATTATATGCATTTTGTCAGCATACCGCTAGATGAATTTTTAACTGGTCCTCCAAAATTTAGATGCCAGAGGCCTGTTGGTGAGATTGTATGCCCCTTCTCCAATATCCAGACAAATCATAACAGAACTTATTAGTTCCTATTGACAACGCATTGGAGTCATTTTTTAGCAGTTAAATAATTTCACCCTTTTCCAATTCATACACATATCCTAAAGTTCAAAATTAATATAATGAGTTGCTGAATGAGTCTGAAGATTAGGAAATAGATCTTCATGTGAAATATATGCTCTCTGGATTTAATCAGATGGGCAAATACCAAATAGATTTTTTTTCCACCAAACATAAATATTTTCACTTACTTTGAGTGAAATCTAAAAAGAGAGAATGGTCTCAAGAGTTTTACAATATCTAGGTGAAATAATCCTGTTTGGGGGATTTCATACACGATTCCACTGAGTAATTTCTGAAGAAGAAGTGCAATATAATTTTATGTGTCTCAAGACTAGTATTAGCTTTTGTTCAATATCTGAAATAATGCAATTTCCTTTCTCAGACCACACTAATTTATTTTAACGAATTCATTCTCCTGTTCAAAAATCTTTATGTGATGCTGCCTACACTCTAGAAGGCTGAGGACAGTGTCATCTACCCCTTCCCTCTCTCTCTCACAATAATTACCCACAGCAGCAAGGCTCTTAAGAAGTGCTTGTGGAATGAATAAATTAAGGTTCTCATGATTATACATTGCAGATATTAACAAAGGACAATGTATTACTCTCCTTCACCTGCTACAAATATTCACACTCACAGGTGTACACTCACATACTTATAATATTTCAGTGTCAGTAGTTGGACATTATTTTCAGGTATATTTTTCAAAAATTAAATTTATTGTGTAAAATGCTTCGGACTGACAGTCTTGAGAGGAAATATTATACATAGATCCCAAGGAAAGGCTTAAAAGGTATTACTGATTTTCTTCTCAGCAGGGCAGAAAATGTCTTCCATTTTTTAAAGGCAAATTACAAATATAGGTTTTATTGATATTAACAGGTATTAAAGTTAAAGACGGTCTTAAAGAAAAGGTAATATCCATAATTGCCATCTCAAATCAATATATATCCTGATGCTGAATTTCAAAATTAATGTTTTTCATGTAAGGCATGAGGCCCAGGATCAAGTGGATTCAAGTGCATTCATGGCAAGATGAAGGATTACTTTCTTATGCTGTCAATTCCAAATAAAGCAAATGTAAAATAACTTCTTTTAAGAACTAACAACCTCGGCCTTTAAATATGTCCATTTTAAAGACTGAAATGTCAATAAAGAAGTTACAATATTTTATTTGTAAAGCCAACAATACTGAGTCATTCCTGGGCTTTCGTCTCTAGCACCCATTCTACCTGGGAAGGGCAAGGCATTTCATTTAACCATTTTAATAAATCACTTAGCAGGATTTGTTCAGATAAAATCATTACTTAGCATATTTCTCTTAAATTCAAATTAATGAATTTTCATTTAGATGGAGAATTTTGGACTTTAAAAAAAACATTACAATGATAAAATCTCCAAATAAGCCAAACATGTTGATATTTGTTAATAACTTGCAACATAGGCAAAAGACACAATTCTTTAGTCATCCTCTAATCAAAACAACCTTAGATAATAGAAGTATCTGCATAGAAAATGGTATATGCAATAGACAATGATCAACTTAAGCTTAAGGATAAAAGACCAATCATAGATAAATTAATTTAAATAAAAACATTCCAATTCTCCCCTGATTTTCCCTCATTAAAACATCCAAACAAAACATGTGGTACCTTTTAATTTTCTGAATGAGTAGCTCCCAATCAATGCTTCCTCGGTTAGAGACAAGCTGAAGAATCTACCGAAACAAAACAAAAGAAACATATATATATATATATATGGATTTGTTAACTAAATATCAAAAATTATAACTCACCAGTAAGCAAATGCATTCTTTATACTCAAATAATAAATCTATGCCTGGAGGTCTGTAGCACAAAAAAAATGCAGTACTTGAATATTTAGGAAGCTCAATAATGAATTTTAAAAGATCTTTACTCTGAGATTACATAAAGCACATCCTATGAAAAACGAATTGAAAATGAAACGAAATAAAATTAAAAGCCCCAAACCATTACCAGCGCATATGCAGCAATACCACTCAAGTCTAGCCTTTGAGAACTGCTGCAGAATCCTTCTCCGGGAGCATTATCCCCACAGGCTGGCTCTCTGGCTCTCTAGCTCCAGACAGACGCAGTCTGCAAGCCACCAGCTCGTGTCTGTGTGTGCCGGGGAAAGGGAAGCTGCAAATTAGAAGTCCCCGCAGTGGCGAACAGGAAAATAAGGCGAGTGGGAGAGAGGGAGAGAGCTCACTAGTCTCAGAATTTTCGAGAATGATGACAAGCCACTCAGCTCCGCCATCATTCACTGACAATAGGATGCAGCCCTCACTTACGATTTAGCGGTTTGCCATAGGGGCTTCTGGTACCAAATGCCTGACAGGCATTTTAATTGCCTCCATCCAAGTGTGTCCCCAGGAGTCGAGTCTATCAGCCTATGAATGTCATCATCTGGTCTCCTTTGTGTTAATGCCAGACACACACACACACACGCACGCACGCACGCACACACACACACCGCTTAAATAGAGAAACAGTTTTCAGGCATATAGGATTACAAACAAGTTAAGCTACACAAACTGGACATGACTAAATACTAGTTTATGGGAATTTTTATTATCTGCATTAAGGACATCAGAGATTTGTTGATGTTTTGTCATTGGCAGATAATTACAATATTTTTAACTATCGCATATTGCTTATTTATATTCCAAAATAAATATCTTCATTAAAGAAATGCATATATTTATGTATATTTTCCTACAGAAAATTCAATACCCTTTTAACAGTTATAATTATGCACTTGGCCATGTTTTCCTTACAAGAGAAAAAGAAAAAAAAAAAACAGAGAATTAGAAAACCAGGGCCGATATGTGATTTCTGGGGGCAATCTATTTACATACAAAAGCAAAAGGAGGTGGCAACCAGCTTGGTCCTGGGGCTTTTCAGTCCCTGAGGGCCCAGGCAGAGAATTCAATCTTTGGCATAATCTGTATCCCCTCCATGTTAGCAACTGAAATTAGCAGTTGAATATCCCTATTTTACAGTGCCCTTGTGTAGGGAGGTTAAGTGTGGAATAATTTCCTGCATTTATTTCCTGGGGAAAAGGGAAGGAGAAAAATGTCAATAAATAAGTTAATTTTTACAGCATTGTTAGCAACCTGAACCAGTGAATGGAGCAAAATTCGATGAGAACCAAAAAGGCCAGCTGTGAAGAAGGTTGCTGGGAAGAAGCATCACCATGGTTACTGGAAACAGAAAGTCAAGAAAAAAAAAATATGATGGCAGAGAAGAGAGAATGAGACTACAGGGAAGGAAATTGAGAGACAGATGATATGTTTCTTTTTTTTTTTTTCCTTCTTGAAAGAATCGCCTCCATCAGTTTTATACTGTATTTTGAATTAAGATAAATTTGCATTCTCCTTGAGCCACCTTTCTGCCCCATTTTTTAATCACTAGCTAATTTTGCTTTCATAAATATTCAAACTACAGTTCTTTTGTATGAGATCAATTCTGCTACCCCTTGCCTCTATCCAAATACTGGCTTCATGGAACCACTTAGCCTAGTCCACATCCTTTGTTTCATAGGTGAGAAAGCTGAGGCCCAAAGAATATGACCAAGGTCACAAAACCCAGGCACCCGCAGCGTTTCCTGATTCAATCCTCTGCCTTTCTTCTCTCACCAAGTGACTTTCTTTCCCTGCTCTCTTTTGTTCTGTTTGCAAGCAATACAGATTCCAGAAACATCCTTTGTCTTTGATTTTTTAAACCTTCTTGTATTTGCTACAGCAGTGATGTATGTCCCTCTTTAAAATGCATTGCAATCATTCTGAAGACTTTTGCAAATATCTGTGCTGGATTGTATTTGAGGTCTGAGGAATCTGGGGTAATTATGTCACTGCTTTTCTTTCATTTCCAGTCTGGCAATCAGATAAATCAAGCATGATTGCCCTTTTGTGAACCTATCTTGTTGAGCCTGAACTTCATCATTACATACTAGGCACTCTTATCATTACTGGCCTCATTATTTCTGCAAGCATAAAACTGGGTAATCAAATTGAGTCGGTCTCCCAAGGCACCTTCTAGGTATAGACAAGTTAAACTTTCCTGGGTTACCAAAAACAATGAAGCTGGAAAATGGAAAGCCCAGGTAAAATTAAAAATTACAATAATAATGATAATAATTCATTCCAAAACAACCACTGGAGGGCGCAAAATTTCTTAAAATCTTTCTAAACTACTCAGTAAATGTGGCTAGAATTTTGACCTTCATATTTTACTGTTTTTATTTTCTTTCCAAACTGTTCTTTCAATATTCAGTTTATATGATTCAATGCTTTTGGATTAACTCATCTATAGATAGGGTCATACTGCTTTTTTTGATGTCTAAAAGACAGTTGCTGCCACCATCATCATCCTCTCTCCCCAGTATGTAGCTATAAAATGAATAAATCACATTTTGAAAATGTATGACTACCACAGGTAATAATCACAAGAGATTTCAGGTTTTAGTGAATCCTACATACTGGTTAGAATTCTTCCCCCGACCCGCAAAAAAAAAAATGCCCCTTTAAATATAATCTCCCTGTTAAATGTCTATTTTTCTTCAGTGATTTTGGATAATGAGGTGATTTTTCAAAGTGAATGCTTTATTTTAATGTATTGTCTTCTGTTCACTTCTGAACATAAAAAATGATGCCTAAGACTTATGTCTGGGAACATGAATCATATTCTATCATGAAAGCACATAACAGGGTCCTGGTCAGTCTAAAAAAATAGCACAGCTTCCAAAAACATTTAATACTCTCTGGAGGTCATTTAATATTTAGGGATACCTAGTTCAGTACATGAGAATGAGTTGGTACACTCTTTTTCTTTTCTTTTTTTCCCAATTGTTTCCAACATGGAGTAAGTACCATATGTGAAACATAATTACTGCCCTTAGGTATGTCATATTCTAAGAATACAAGACAACCGACAATTGAGATACTTCTGTGAATTTTTAGATTTTTCATATTTATGCCCAAAAGCCTAAACTGATGCTTGCCTTACCCTTCTTCTGTCTGACAGTATTTTAGACCTTGGATTACCACCATTCATCCATTCAATCAATTGTGATGGCACACATACATATTTTTCAGACTCTTTACAGGTTCTGGGAATGGAAAAAAAGTGGGAAACAGGATTTCCTTTTCAAGACACTTCATTTAATAAATTAGTTAACAGAAGGCCAGGCATGGTGGTTCATGCCTGTAATCTCAGCACTTTGGGAGGCTGAGGTGGGTGGATCACCTGAGGTCAGGAGTTTGAAACCAGCCTGGCCATAGTGAAACCCCATCTCTACTAAAAAAAAAAATACAAAAATTAGCTGGGTGTGGTGGTGCATGCCTGTAGTCCCAGCTACTTGGGAAGCTGAGGCAGGAGAATCTCTTGAACCCAAGAGGTGGAGGTTGCAGTGAGCCGAGATCGCACCACTGCACTCCAGCCTGGGCGACAGAGCAAGACTTCGTCTCTCAAAATAATAAATAAATAAATAAATTAGCAGAAACCTAACTTCACACTTCCTTTTCTCACTTTGATGAGATACTATGACTCCACCCCTCTGTCATATCTGCTTCATTGTAGATGCCTGATCTTTAAGAATCTGATTTAGCTATACTCCCAAATTTAGTTAATTCACCCCTGTGCCTCTTCTGAAATAACTTTGATTTCATTCCCTAAATATATTGGTCTGCGTATTTGTGTATGACTACCTAAACTCTCCAGGAATGAATAATGGAGACTTATCTTCCTTACCTCCTTAAAGCCTTTGCTCATAGATCATCTTCCAACCAGGGCTTTCCTAACTACCATAATGAAAGTTGCAACCATGCCCTTTCCATGGCTTTTCATTCCCTGCTGCATTTTACTTTTTTCCATAGCACTTATCATAGCATAAACTTTTCTTATTTACTTCTAACTTCACCCCGCTAGTTCCACGAGGGCAGTCATTTTTACATGTTTGGGACACTGGTATCCAAAGCACCTAAAACAGTGCCTGGAGCGTACTGGCACTCAAACATGTTTTTTAAATGACTGAATATGAAAAATCACACTAGTGGATGAATTGGAATGTCTAAACACAAGAGAAGTTTTTGTATTCCATATTGTCTTCCCTATTCTATATATTCAGTCTTTCTTAAAAATATTGCCTTTTATTTGTAAGCGACTCCTTGCCACATATATATGTATTTTTTTTTTTTTTTTTTTTTTTTTTGAGATGGAGTCTCACTGTTGCCCAGGCTGGAGTGCAGTGGCGCGATCTCGGCTCACTGCAAGCTCCACCTCCCGGGTTCACGCCATTCTCCTGCCTCAGCCTCCCGAGTAGCTGGGACTACAGGCACCCGCCATCACGCCCGGCTAGTTTTCTGAATTTTTAGTAGAGACGGGGTTTCACTGTGTTAGCCAGGATGGTCTCGATCTTCTGACCTCGTGATCCGCCCGCCTTGGCCTCCCAAAGTGCTGGGATTACATGCATGAGCCAGCGCACCCGGCCTTCCTTGCCATATATTTTGTAATCAATATGTTTTATAATTTCTATTATAGGATGTAAATTTATTTTAAATAGAGACTTGTCTCCTACTCTCTTTGAATTCTGCAAAGTACCTAGCATGGGGCTATCAGCTTTTAAATGCTCAGAAAGAGTTTGTTTGATAAATCATGCCTTCTCTTGGTATTAAAATGTGCTAAATTATAATTTTTAGATTTTTAAAATAAAATTTGACAAATTAATGCTGCCTCATGGCCAAAATATTTTGGAATGACCTTTGTAGAGATATGACTACACTTACTAAAATTTGTACTTTCAAAAATTTATAATAGAAATAATACTTATGCTTTCCCCTAGTATTCTTGAGTTTGTTATTCTAAATCAAATAGGCAGATGTGTAAGTATTTTACAAATTATCATGATATCCAAAATCACTGAACACTGTTTTGCCTTATTTACTATAGATGACATTTTCTCTTCCAACAAAGTTGGTCCACACAAAAATATATTTTGGTCAAAAAAGACAAAAAGTGTCATAATCAGCACATTAGTCTTAGATATACAAAATGATAAAATTATATTACTTTTTACCTACAAAATGCCAATTTCAAATGGTTCAACCTAATACCTAGAGAAGCTATACATGGATGCGGGATTGGGTAGCGTGAGTTGTACAAAATGACTCCCATGTTTATTGCAGCATTATTCACAATAGCTAAGATATGTAAACAATCTAAGTGTCTGTAGATGGATGAATGGATAAAGAAACCATAATCTCTGTGTCTGTGTGTGTGTGTGTGTGTGTGTGTGTGTATCTATACTATGCAGCTCTAAAAAAGAACAGGATCTTGCCATTTGCCACAATGTAGATTAGCCCGGAGGACATTATGCTAAGTGTAGTACATTAGACACAGAAAGAAAAACATTGCATGATCTCACTTATTTGTGAGATATAAATAACAATAATAATAAAAATTCAATGATACAGACAGTGAACAAAACTGTGGTTACCAGTGACAGGGCTGGGGGACAGTTTGGCAGTGGCAGGGAATGAGGAGATGTAGGTTAGAGTATACCAAATAGCATCATGTAGAATGAGCAAGTCTAGAGATCGAATGTACCATGAGAATCATAGGTAATAACATTGTACTGTACAAAAACCAAATAAACATCACATGGTACCCCATAAATGTATACAATTATGATTTGTCAGTCAAAAATATTAATAATAAAACTTTTAAAAAATGTGGTATATTCATAGAATATTGTTTGGCAATAAAAAAGTGAAGTGCTGACATGTCACAACACAAATGAACCTAAAAGCCATTATACTCAGTGAAAGAAGGTGGTTACAAAAGGCCATATATTTTATAATTCCATTTATATGAAATACCTAGGATAGTCAAATCCATAAAAATGGAAAGTATATTAATGGCTGCCAGAGGCTTGGGGCAGAGGGTAATGGAGAGTGACAACTAATGCGTAGGGCCTTCTTTCTGGGGTAATGAAAATGTTCTGAAATTAAGTAATGGTTATGAGTGCATAACTCTATGAATATATTAAAAACCACTGAATTGCTGAATTGTATACGAGTGAATTTCATGCCACATGAATTATATCTCAATAACTCAGTAAAAAATAAAGTAATAAGGGGCTGGGCACAGCGGCTCATGCCTGTAATCCTAGCACTTTGGGAGGCTGAGGTGGGTGGATCACCTGAGGTCAGGAGTTCGAAACCAGCCTGGCCAACATGGGGAAACCCTGTCTCTACTAAAAATACAAAAATTAGCTGGGTGTGGTGGCTCACACCTGTAATCCCAGCTACTCAGGAGGCTAAGGCAGGAGAATTGCTTGAACCCAGGAGGCGGAGGTTGTGGTGAGCCGAGATCGTGCCACTGCACTCCAGCCTGGGCAATAGAGTAAGACTCCTCAAAAAAAAAAAAAAAACAGAAAAAGAAAAATAAAGAAAAGAAAAAAAAAGAAAGATAAAAAAGTAATAAAAAGGTCCCAGTCTCTAGGCAGCAAGTCTTTGAATTCCATGGCCACTAATTAAAATATGACAAGTTTATAATTCAATCCATGGCACCTTCCAGATTATTACAAATTGTTAGAAGCATGGCTCCAAAAGCTATTCATTTTTTTGAGGCCATGAGACTCTGATTCATGTGGGAATCTGAAAATCTTCTAGAAGTGTTTCTTGAATTCTTTAACAAATTCAATTGCAGATCTGCAGATCTCCATTTTTAAAAATTTCTTTTACATGGACAAATGGATTAACATGGTATTATAAATGAAAGATATGTGCTCTAGTGGATCCCTGATTTATGTGATAAAGAACAACTGGTCAGGAGTTGAAAGACAATCACTAAGCATCTAAAGGATAAATATATGTAAATCACTCTCATGGCTGTCTTTTGTTTTTCATAGAAAACTATAAAAAGTATTAACTATACACCATCAACGAAGCTGAGTTACTAGTTATAAAAACATCTGTATGTTGAGAAACTCATGCAAATAATTCTGACAGCAAACAATGGACAAATTTATTACTGAGGAACAAAATTTCTCCTGAAAAAGTAGAATCCTTGAATCACTTGACTCCTGCCACAAGTTTTGTTATGATTAAAAAATGGACTAGATTTGTTAGCTTGTTGTCTATTTGATATTTCATTTAAGTTTACTAGGTATTCTATGCCACTGAGCTCTGGGCTATTAACTTACTTAAAATTTGAAAATAATATTGATATTATACAAGCCCAAAGTCCTATAACTATCTGCCTTACTTTATATGTATTTTAACTATGCCTTATACATAAAACCCAGTAAGAAATATTTAAACAAAATATTTAGTATCTCCACTGAACTTGGATGAAAAACAAATTACAAAATAAAGTATATTTATAAAAAGCAAAGAGCATATTGAGATACGCGTTGCATGTGGTCATCTTTGACATAGTCACTGTGATATTAATTAGAGTTGTACTGCAATGAGAAGGATGAATTTATTCCAACCAAGTAGGGTGAAGAGTAAGACAAGATAACTAGAAATCACTTTCCAATTGCTCTTGAATCAGGCTTTAATACTTCTGAGTTATGATGAACAGAGTTTAGCTTGACTATTTCATTTAGAATCTTAGTATGATGATTTTTTTAAAAAATCACTTATATTCTTATCCAAATGTATGTACATAATACATTTCAAATTATTTTTGGATTATGCACCATCTTGAACCTCCGAGATATTCATATTTCACTGACAAATTTTGCACAATTCTAAAAGTAATAAATTCTCGTTTTTCTTTATTCCATCAGTGCTTTTATTTCACTTATCAAGGTAAAGCCAATGGGATGGTATAAATGGAGAGAGAGAAAGAAAGACAGGTTATTCTTATTGTCAGCATTCAAAGTCTGACTGCAATTTAATAAAAACACTTGCTTAAAAGCCATATTTAGATTTCATATGACATTACCACCTAAGCTCATGAAATAACTATACTCAAAGTTCTAGTCTTCTCACATACTTTTACTAAAGTAAAATAAACCAAACTTCTTTTTAAAAACAATGTCACATGAACTATAATTATGAAAAATAATTGCTACTTCAATTCCTGAAGTCATAATCTCATTACACTTTAAGAACTATGTTGGGAATTAAAAGCTCTCAAGAGGTTGAAAGGAAAACTATAATAGTTGAACAACTAAGACTCTCATACATTGCTGGTGAGAGCTTAAATTAATACAACCACTTTGGAAAACTGTTTGGCAATATCTAGTGAAAGTAAATACTAAACTAAATATATGGAATAATATATGAACTTCCAGAGCAGATAAAACTAATATTCAGAGAAAGAAATCGGAATACTGTTTACCTCTGTAGAAAGTAGTATGAGAGACTGTATTGACTTGGAAGATGTACAATGTCTTCTTGACCTGAGTGGCAGTGACATGGGGTAGAGGGCACTCTATTAATGTAATGTACCTTCATAATAAAAATTGTAATAAATATTATGGTGCCATTGTTTTAGAAGTTCTTCATTCATAAGTTTTAGGATCTATAGTGAATATTATGCAAAAGGGTTCTTGTATAAGCATATATTTTACACACATACCATGTAACCATGGCTGTGTAAATAAAGACTATATGATTATGTGTATATTAAATAAACAAATTGTAAGGGCACATTCTCCTTAGTAGGGAGAGTATGTTTTACATTGGCTTTTAGTAAATAAATGGCAACTGTAAAGTAAAAGCACATGAAATGAGAAATGGAAGTAAAATTTGTATTTTAGGAATATGGCAACAAGTGAAAGTATTTGTGTGAAGCAGCCCTTACAGAACTACGCTATTATGACAAAAGAATGGACAGCTAAGATGCTTCCCGTATCATCCTTTTCACAAAAATCCATTACCCATTGAGGCCTATCGTAATCGTAAGTTTATTTCAGGAATCACTGATTTCTTCTCTTCCAACCCAAATCTTACATTTCCTTTTAGGTTCATTTAAAATTGTGCCTTTTTCATAATGGCTTCCAAAATTCCCACAAGCACATAATGTCATAAAGCTCTTTCCTTTCTCAGAATCGCCAACATATAAATCAAAAAACAAAAACCATCATTATACTATAATGCCTGTTATTAGATACGGGCTTGGTCCATTTTTCAGTAATTTACATTCAGTTATTTATTCTAATATTTGCGAATTTGAAAAGCATATGACATGATTCTGATAAAATGATTAAGAACCTATAAAGTGCCAGTCTTTTTGAGTACATTATTTTATTCAACAATTCTGAGAGTCATGTGCCTCCATTTTACAGTTGAGGAAATAGGCCTAATTAGGTTTAGTAAAGTGCCCAGGGGAACACAGCTGGTAAGTGGTAGAGCAGAAATTCAATCCCTGGACTTCTCAGCTAATTAGTTTGTAATTCAGCCTAACACTTAGAAGGTATCAGAAGAGGAAGAGATAAACATAGAACTAAGAATTTTCCATTTACACTTACAAGATAGCAGAAAGGGAAGAGATAAATTAAACACAGAATTAAGAATTTTCTATTTTTCCAGGAGAGGGAGTTTAGACAGACTACTTGTTATGTAAGTAGGCTGTGCATAAAACAGATAAGATTAAAAATATAGATTTTTACTGTCAGAATTATTTCAGATTCCATCAGTTCATATTTAAATAATATATATGTATAAACAAGCATTCCTGGAGGTGAGGAAAACATCTTAATTTTAATTACTATCTATCTGGTTTAATCTTGGCAGAGGATATAGAATATATGAGTGCAATATAGGCTCATGGGTTTTTAAAGAACTTTGCTGTTTGACAATTTGGGCTTATTATGATTGTTTTGAAACATCTTGTTGAAATTAACTCCTATCTTAGAAGTACAGATGATAATAGTAAAGTACGTATCTTAACACAATCACTACCCTTATTTTATTCTATCAAGTTAGAAATCATCAAACATCATGGTGAATCTTAAACGTTACATGAGAAAACACCATATCATGTTATGTAATCTATGTCCATTAAAAAAGTTAACACATTTTTAATAGTTAAATTTTGGTGTGGACACTTTTTCATTTCAGACAATTCTATTCTTTCCATGAAGTTTTCCCTCAGATATTGCCTTCTCAAGCAGGCTTCACCTGACCATCCTATTCAATACTGCAATCTGTAATTCCTACTCCCAATCCCCCTTACTCCATTTTGCTATCATCTTCTAATGTGCCACATAATTAATTTACTTGTTATGTTTATCCTTTATTGTCTTTCCCCATTCACTTGTAAGCTTCATGAAGGCAAGACTCTGCCTGTTTTGTTCATGAATGTATCCCAAATACCTAGAACTAGGTCTGGTATATAACTGGTGCACAATAAATATTCAATAAATATTCATTCATGCATGCATGAACACTGAAACACTGAAATTAAAACATTAAAGCTCATATAAGAAGCATAAATTACCTTCCTAAAAGTCTTAGGGCTAAAAGTTTCAGAAATCATGAGATAAAACATGTAGTGTAAGTGTTTCATTTATTTTGGGTCTTGGTTAGCTATTTGAATATACAAATTTTAGATTTTTCATCTTTGGCACATTTATAGGGAGTTTGAGTAACCCCTCTTCCTTTACTTCAAGTTTTAAAAAGTATTTACTTATTTTTTTATTTCTACAAAAATTATTCTAGCAGTTTTTCTTATCTACTTGTGAATCCTTAGTTATAACTAGTAAATTTATTTTTATCTTACATATAACCTAAGTGTTAAGACAAACCGTATTCACTGTAGGTACAACTACCCTATAGGCAAACAATATTTGCAAGAGAAATGGGCAAACCATGAAGGAAAATTAAGAGAATTAGTGCGGAAGATTTTTTACTAAATAAAATTTTTATTTAGCAGCCAACCAGTCAAGCAGAACCATCTTCTAGAGTCATTAATTTCTTGGCTGATCTTCTTGAAAGCAGGAAATGAACCTTCATTTAATCAAATTCTCCACAAGTGGGGCCATTACAATTTCATGAAAGACTGAAATCAAATCAAATGCTACAAAATCAAATGCTACATTTCATGACAGTAGATCTAAATACCTGATTTGTTTTTGAAAACTACTAAAAGGAGCTATTTTGTTGACTGCTTTCTAAGCACTGAAGATTAATATATCTCAATATTTTAAACCTCTCTTGTTCCTTCAGTCTTCAGCAACTTCACTGAATTGGAGAGCCAGCAGAACTTAAGAGGTCAGCTAGTGCCAATCCATTTAAATTTAGTAATCTTTAACCTTAACATGACCAGATTATTCTGAAGAAGCTTAAATTCTGCATGATCCTATAGCTTTTATTTTCAGTATCTAATATTCCCAGTTCAAATAATATGTCTACTTTGATGGTTTAATAAATACAATATCATAAGTGGAATGATTTCTGAAAATGCATATATTTATTTTGTGAATAACTGAAATCCATATTCCAAAAATTTATGAAATCCAGACTTATTCTCTTGGCTGTTGAGGGGACAGTGTACCCTAGGGTGATGGTCACCAGGAATTACATATGTAATTTCTTAGTCTCTCCTCTTCCTCTAGTCCTTGTACCAAGGTTACAATAGAGATGAGAAGAGAGAATTAATTATCTATGCAGGTATTTATTTATAGATATTTCAATAAAACAGAACTACAACACACTTTGAATATTTAGAATGTATTCAAGTACATCTACATGTGCATGAAAGTTCCAAATTCTCCTATTGATTGGAACCAAAGAATAAAGATGATGAATATCAAATCCCTAGTGTGAAAAGAAACAGGAACTTAGATGAAGAGTGGGCGTACTGTTTCTATTTCTACTAAAACTTCATGGCTCATTCTATCATCAGATTTCTCAGCTGCAAAGGATTTTAGGTAAAAGATATACTGGCTTTTAAATCAAAAGGAAATATTATACATAAGCAATGCCTATATATGTATATTCCTTCTCAACATTATCATTAAGTTGGCGAGAAAGAGTTCATGTTATGTTATATTTATACTCGTTTCATTTTCCATAGTTTTGTGGCTTTTTTTTTCCTTTTGCTACTAATAGCAAACATATAATTGAAGAAGTCAGTGTTTTATTTAATATTCTGTAAAACGGAACTCAATTTTTTTTCTAGGCATGGTCTATCTACTTTTTTATTTCAAATGGAATGCAAAAATAGCTATTGTAAGAATCTGGGCCAACAGATCTGTCTGGAAGAGAAATTTCCACACCCCCAGGACCACTGACCTTTTTCTTGAGCTACCACACTCTTGTGTTTTGCTTTTTTTGACTTTTCCATTATCTTTGTTTTGCCTTCCCCTTTTCAACTCTTTCTCCTCCATTTTACCCCAAAGTAATGGGGAACATAGTCAAGGAAAATAGTTACGGAATCATTTAAATAAACTTTCATCTATATAGGTCCTTGGTTTTATGTTAGTTAGGGGCAAACTTGATGTGTTTTACAAAACTTTCTCTAATATCTGGTAGGCTCCTTTTACACTGGGTACAATGAATAATGTTAATTTGTGTTGTGGACATTGACCTAAAAAAATGGAAGAAGTCGCTGATGGGGAGGAAGATATGTTGTCACTGAGATCATTGTATGTAGTGCTGCAGCATGGTATTTATTTATTTTTAAACCAGTGAAGCTAAAAAAAATAAAGAAAAGTGAATCAAATGTCCAGTTTATACATACTTTCTACTGTAATGCTTATACGCATATAGATGACATATTAGAAAAAAGCAGGTGATGCCTCAAAAACAGATTTTTCTAGTGGCACGGGGATGCTTCTAATTTTCTTATAATTTCTTATTTTATTTTGGAGCTGTTTAACAAAATGTATGATTGATTGATGGCGGATGAGAGAAAGGGATGTGAGGCCTGTGTTAAGAAATGCACAAAAGGAAACCTTGAGAAACTGACACTCATGAGTTAAAAGCCAAGTGTGATGAAAAAGAAACTTATCTTACAACAGAAAAAAGCTGAAGAAGAACAACAACAACAACAAAAAAACAAAGAAACAAACGGGGGTTGTGAAGATGATAAAATAGCACAGAAACGCCAAGACTGATTCAGCACTATTTGTACATCACTTGAAAAAAGAATTAAATGAAAACTGATGATGTGTGTTAGGAGAGTTAAGACACTCAAATCAGAAGAAGAAGCAAGAATATGCGACATGGATAGAGAAGAGTTGGAGGATGAAGAGCTTTGGAAACAAATAGAGTTTCATTTTTAAACCACTGAGCCAGTCTGACAGGTGAAGCAGGCTGAGGCACTTGAAAGATCTTACTCAATAGCTGGCATTGCTGAATGCCCAGCTGGGTCTGAATGAGAGTAGTTTTAAACAGGGACATTGTTCCAAGGAAGATTTTAGTTTCACGTGCCTTCCAATACAGCCTTATAAATCCTGAACAGCGTCAATATTCACCAGCCACCTGCAATCAGCATTATTCCAGAATTTGCTAGATACAGCAAGTCCGTGACAGAGGATATATTAATTAGGATGGTTGGTCCTCCACTCAGGACTTACGTGTATTGATGATATGCAAATCAATGCAGTTCAGTCTCATCAACAGGATAAATTAAGTGCATCCTATCATGAGGATTATCTTGGAAAGAGTGAATGTCACTCTCAATAGGCCTCTGGCCTGGAGGTGCATAGTCAGCAGTCGCTGAGTGAGGGAGAATGAAAAACAGACAAAAAAGTATTTCATCATTATTGACTGGCTGGTTGCATTCTTCCCTAGATTGAATGCTTGGCTACTTATATTAAAAAAATCTTTGCTTAGAAAAATTTCCTTCTTAAACATCTGTGCAGTCGGACAAGAAATCCAAAGGTAGCATTTTTGATTAAGAGACCCGATGAGCAAATAACAAGAGAAAACAATCCTACATTGTGACCTTTGTATTAAGAGTTAATATTTCACTGGGAAATGATGCCCACACAGGACAGATGTTTTGTACTAGAGAGGATGAATTTGTGATTTCTTGTTGGACTTTCTTAGGAACTTAGGTTAGTTAACAAAGAGCTAACGGCCTCAGAGAGAAAGATCACAAAATTGTATGACAAATGTGAGAAAAAGAAAAAAACTTTGGATAAGGATATACCTATGACTGACATTTTAAAGAAGCTATAAATCATGGATGGAAATAGTTAAGGAAATACAGATATAATTCAATCTGTAATGTATAGATATTTTCGGTCTGGGAATAGTGGCTAATGCCTATTATCCCAGCACTTTGGGAGACCGAAGTGGGAGGATCGCTTGAGCCCAGGAGTTCAAAACCAGCCTGGACAACATAGAGAGACCCTGTTTCTACAAAAATTAAAAAAAAAATTAGCTGGCATGGTAGTGTGTACCTGTAGTCCCAGCTACTAGAGAGGCTGAGGTGAAAGGATTGCTTAAACCCAAAAGGTTGAGGCTACAGTAAGCCATAATCATGTCACTGCACTCCAGCCTGGGAGATAGAGCAAGTTCCTGTCTCAAAAAAATAAAAACAAAAAGAAATTTTCCATTGAGTTTGCAATTCCTCCTAATACATGTTATCCAGGCAGCTTAAAACACAATCAATGAAAAAGAGTTGTTAAAGTCTAGATTTAATAGCAAATTAAATGTTATGAGTAATCTTGAAGCCTAATGAAAGTGAAGCAGCCAAGCGGTGAATCTGAGTTTAGTGCTTGAGCTCGGTATTTATGATGGTGGGAGTCAAGACAACTGAGGTGTTCACAGCAAGGGGCGGAGACACATCACAGGTGGCAGAAGGAATCTTGCTGTCCTGTGCAGCTGTTAGAAACTCTAAACTGTTGAGTGAAAAAAGGCAGAAACAGAACAGTATGGGCATCTCTACAACACATTGCAATGAGGGCATGTGGGGGCAGGAGAATGGAAGTGGAGCTCAGAAATGAAAGGAAAAAAAGTTAAAATAACGTAAAGCATGAAAAAAGATTTGCATGATCTGATGATAATGAGCCAAAGAAGTGAGGATTATGAGAAGGTTAATTCTTTGCATCTGTGGTTCAAAACAACCACCACCATAACAGGTTATGAAATAAGAACCTGCACTGCCCCCCAGCACCATCTATGGGGAAGGGGCTATGAAAGTAGACATGAAGGTTGTGGCTACCCCTGGCTTTTGGTTTTTTTTTTTTTTTTTTTTTTTTTTTACTCCACAGAGCTGTGCTAAAACACAGATTCTGGGCCTCACCTTTGTGTAATTCTACTCAGAAGTCTAGAGGTAAGCCATCAGTCCAACATGCATTCATTAGCATCCCAGGTGATGCTGGCGCTACTGGTTCATTAAATCCAGTTTGAAAAAACACTAGCATAAATGATTCAAAATAACTTGAGATAAATTATTTCCTCACCAGATGTAAAGGTATTTGCCTCTTGTACATACAAAACCAACAGGGAGTTCCAAAAATGAGGTACAGGGGTCAATCTATATGTGAATATGAATTTGCACTGAGAACAAAGCATACTGAATTATATCAATGTCTTCTACACTTACAGATATTACAAATTAAAATGTATTGTTTGAAGCAACTGAATTTCCCTTCATTTTTCTATTCATTTTCCTTTTCGTATTATCCCTTTTTCATTAGCTGCGATCGGTAATAACAGGTAAAAATCCAGAAAAAAATGCTCTGATCAAGGATATTTTAAGACTAACTGACCTTCATTTCACATTGACTGTTGAGAGATGAATGAAAGTACAAAGAGGATTCCAAGATGGTATTTATAACATATGCTTTAAATAAGATCTACAAACATTGCTTAAAGTTAGAAAGTTACCTTCAGCATTCTTGCCATATTTTTATCACCTAGTACGTGCAAGTTTTGCACTTGATGTTTGTGAACTGGTAACCATAGAAAAAAAAAGCTTATTTTTTCAACGCAAAGCAAAGTATAAAGTGAATAAGACACCTGTCTGTTTCAGATGAAAGTACATTACTTCAGCTTCCACAGTGTTCTATCTTGGTTGAGACCAAAACCTCTATGAGGAATTTGGGAACAGCACAGCCAGCGCCCACAAGGGGCTATGTTAATATCATCTTGGTCTTCAGAGCTTGGGACTGGATTCCAGAGCTTGGAAATTCCAGCCACACTGTTGCTTTAGTCTGAGAGAGGCCAAGGGATTTCACTATGAGCTAGAGAAGTATACGGGGGTGGGTTGGGAAGCTGGTGGCGATGCAGGTGTCCTTAATCTTGAACTAGATTCATATGGCCTCTGAAGGAGGGTTGTTCTCGTGGATCTCTATAGATAACAATGAAAATCTTTTATAAGGTGCTTACTAAGGACAGGGCATTTTTTGAGCATCAATTTGTATAGGTTGGTGCAAAAGTAATTGCATTTTTTGCCGTTACTTTTAATGACAAAAACCACAATCACTTTTGCACCAGCCATTAACTTGTTTAATCCTCATAGCAACTCTGTGAGGTGGTTACTTTCATTATACTCATGTTACAGATGATCAGACTAGGACACAGGAAGACTAAACCACTGGATATGAATTCAGGTCATATGCTTTTATACTACAGGTATGCTTTTAAAACTCCATTCTACTACTCTGTACTCTCTTATATTCTGTATATAATCAAAACTGATTCTACAGCAGAGACAAGGCTAAAGACCTGGCAGGAGTTAAGGTCTGGCATCTCAGTCCTCTAGCTGAAAATTTCAACAGCACATTCACATAAGTAATGTGCATAATGTGAATAATCAGGTACCCAGGAAGCAATGGAATATCCAAAAACAGTTCTGGTAATGTATTTCTTAGTCTTTTAATATCCTGAGATGTGTGGATAACTAACATTAATGATTCAATTTTTCAAAAATGAAACATGACCCCCAATTTTTAAAAACTGCTTTATATTCTAAGGCTAGTTGAGGAGTCAAGAAAGAGAAAAATTTCTGTTTTGGTATTTGAGCTGGTGTGCAATCACCGCTGGGCTTTTGAGGCATTGGTTTCAGTTTTTCTGGTGCTTCACTGGGATGCTGTTTGCATTCGCTTTTTGTTTTTTTTTTGACAGAGTCTCACCCTGTCATCCAGGCTGGGGTGTGGTGGCGCAATCTTGGCTCACTGCAACCTCCGCCTTCTGGGTTCAAGTGACTCTCCTGCCTCAGCCTCCCGAGTAGCTGGGACTACAGGTGCACATCACCACACCTGGCTAATTTTTGTATTTTTAGTAGAGAGGGGGTTTCACCATGTTGGACAGGCTGGTTTCAAACTCCTGACTTTAAGTGATCCACTCTCCTCGGCCTCCCAAATATCTGGAATTACAGACGTAAGCCAGCGTGCCTAACCTGCATTAGCTTTTTTTTTCAAGCTGGAGACACCCCCAGTGTGTAGCTACCTTTGTGACTCATATGCTCCAGTGAAAGGGGAAAATGATATCTTACCCTCTTAAATTACAAGATGCCCAGAGGAAATAAATAAATTAGTAATATTGTAGTGCCTTGGGCATTATGATAAATCCCAAAGTATAATATCCAGAATCACATATGTGTTCATGTTTGCTTTAGAGTTAAAGCACACTTTCTTAAAAATATTCTAGTCACTGAGCAAAATTATTTTATATTTATTTTCATTTTGAAGAATGAGTTTCAGCACTGTTAATTTGGGGAACATCAATATATCTTTCATGACCCTTAAGTATAAGGAATTCCTTAATTTTCCCAAATTTATAACTTCACTATATCTTGTAATAGTAATTATCAAACAAAATGACATTTCCTTGTTTATATAATGGTCAGTACTACCAGAGTTAGCTACTTGCGGAGAACTATATCATTATATTTTTGGATCCTTCACAACTACAAGAGTCCCTGGCCATGCTGAGTGCTTCATCAATGTGCCTTACATTAAGTTGGTGGTCTGGATAATACAGAGAGCTGTAAAAGCTTTAAAAATATTGCACCTCAAAAGAAGAAAGTTAAAGAAACCAATAACAAAATAAAATTAGACAACATAGTTTGAAGACTGAGTAATTCATTTGTTGATTGGATTGTTTTAAAATTTTCAAACATTGATAAGAAGTAATCATATTTTCTTAACATGTCCATTTATGTGTCTATAAGTAATAAAAATAAGAGCTAATATTTGATGTGTGCTTATAATTTGCCTACACTATATTAAGCACTTTACACATAATAATCAGACCTTATGAGGAATGTCCTCTTATTACCTCCATTTTATAGGTGAGCAGGTCGAGACTCAGAGAGGTTAAATAACTTCTCCAAGGACAAACTGCTAGAAACTGAAGAACCTTCATGAATCAGACAAATCTGGCCCCAGCTTCTTCATGAGCCTGAATTTTTCTACGTATGTAATGGATTCTTTATCAGAATGGCCTGTTCTGTTCAGTATTGAAAAGTGAGGAATTCTTGAAAAAGCTGGAATAAAGCCCTACCAAACCCAATCACCTTCTTTGCCAAGTTCAGATGCCAACACACACACAGGCATTTGACATTCTTTCACCTGAATTTGACACAAAACCAAAAATATAAGAATAAAAGACATTCCGACATAAATCATACAATACATGTCTTTGTTCTTCCCTATTTTTAGCCTAGCTTCTAATGAAAAGAGGACGTGTAAAATCATTGAGTCTCTGTGTGTGTTCTCCTTCCTCCAACCTCATGCCTGCTTTTGCCACCATAGTCAGAAGTAACAGTCCAGATGAAGATATAAAGAAAAGAATTATTGTTTTCTGGTCATCTGGGCTGTTTTGCTTTCCTTCCTTGCTATTAATGAGATGCTAAGCATCATCTATTTACTCATCTCCGTCCTCTGTCCAATTTATCATAATCTGTGGTCATGTAGGGGTAAGTTATTTTTAAGAGTTTTAATTTGAGAGTATAAAGTGATACGGCAAAAGCAAGAAAGTCTTGAAATTAAACCATATCATATTTATAGTATGTATTAAAAATGAAATCATAGTCAAATAGGTGTGCTTCTTACTTGAAATAGAATCATAGAAAGTAAAACCCACAACAATCCATTTGCCCACAAGAAATCTAAAGATAGCCTGAACAACACAGCAAGACCCTGTCTCTTCAAAAAATATAAACATTGGCAAGGTGCAGTGCCTCATGTTTGTAATCCCCGCACTTTGAGAGCCTGAGGGGTGGGGGATTGCTTGAGCTCAGGAGGTCAAGCCTGCAGAGGGCCATGAGCACACCACTGCACTCCACCCTGGGCAACAGAATGACACCCTATCTCAAAAAAAAAAAAAAAAGAATCTCAAAGTTGTCACCACACCAGTTCCTTAAATGTGACATAGGTACTGCATCCACTGGGAAAATAAAAGAAGTTATATGTTTGCAATTTTAAAAAATCTTATATTCCCTAAATTACACTGTTCTTTCAGACCTACTAAATAAATGTAAGAAAAGTAAAAACACAAGAAATCACAAATGTATGTTTTATCATTCTTCACATAAATGTTTCATTTTTTTGAAAAGATTTCAATGTATCACAAAATAAAATATGCTTTCCTATCTGAAGTATTAAATAACAAAGCAGCACAGGGAACAGGTGAGAATGCAATCCATAGCCTTTCATCTGTTCTGTTTAGTCTCAGAGTCAGAAGACAAGGACTCATGTTGTATCTAACCAAGCTAGCTTATTTATTTCCTTCACCCTCACATATATCCTACCTCCTACTTATTCCCTGCACACAGATTTATATTGGTGCTCCTATTTGGCATTGTTCCAAGTAAGCTGAATACTTGTTTCATAGCACTAATCATAGTCATGATAATATAGCATTTTATATTTCACCAAGTACTCTCAAAGCAATTACTTCATTTTGTCCTAGAAGCAATGACACCCCAGTCTTGGTTTATAAATGCCATTTACCACTAAAAGGAACAAGAAGTCCTTGAAAAAAAAATGTGGCTGACTCCAGGACTGGCACAGGGAAAATACAAAGAGTCTCTGGACATCTTGTTGCACCAGAAAGCAGAGAAGTGTTGAAGGACTGACTAATGAGACTTGATGAAAGGACACCACTACTGTCTTGGTGGGGCTCCCAGTGGCCAAATTTGGTTTTTCTCTTTATTTTTTTGAGACAGAGTCTTTCTCTATCATCCAGGCTGGAGTGCAGTGGCATGATCTTGGCTCACTACAACCTCTGCCTCCCGCGTTTAAGCGATTCTTCTGCCTCAGCCTCCTGAGTAGCTGGGATTACAGGCATGCTTCACCACACCCGGCTTTTTTTTTTTTTTTTTTTTTTTTTGTATTTTTGGCAGAGATGGAGTTTCACCATGTTGGCCAGGCTGGTCTTGAACTCCTGACCTAAAGTGATCTGCCTGCCTCGGCCTCCCAAAGTGCTGGGATTACAGGTGTGAGCCACCACGCCCAGTGGAATGGCCAAATTTGAAATAATTTGGGCACCAAATATAATAATGATGGTATTAGATTATAAGACATTTACTGAAGGAAAATCCATGAGGCTATAGAGATACTCTAACAGAGGGAGGGAGGGAAGGAGGCGTCGGCGGGGAGAGAGAAGGAGAAGCTTTAGAAAAGGAGAGGAGTTGGGGGAAAAGTCTTCTTTAGAGAAGAATGCCAGTTAGTAAGGGCAGAAAGAATGATAAACTTTAAAAACAAAAAATCACCATTTCATCCTCCAATATAGTAACAGACTCAGGTAAGAATCACTGATGTATGCTGAAACTGCTGGGTGAAAGAATGTGGGGAAACAGGATATTCCCATGGCCTTGAAGTATCCCCTACAGATTCCTTCTTCATTACAGAGGCAGAGAGGTACTTTTACAAGTAAATTGATAAAAAGTGTCCAATATCATCTATTTGGTTATTTCCCCAAAAAATATATACTCTGAACCTAATGATCAGTAAGCAAATAAGAACTTCCACGATGGGAGACAGTCTTCAAGACAACTGGCCTGGTATTTCCAGAAACATTAACGTCACAAAATTTTAAAAAAGCAGGTGCTGGTTACTAGATTAAAGGAGACTAAAGAAACATGGTAACCTTGCTTATTCTTGGATTATTATTATTATTATTAGAAAAAGAACATTTTGGGGACAAATGAAGGAATTTGAATACAGGTTACATACTAGATAATATTATTGAATGAGTGTTAAATTTCTTGGCTCTGATAACAGTATTGTAGTAATGAGAATGTCTGGGTCTTTAAAGATACAAGACGAAGTGTTTAGAGGTGAAGTGTCTTGCAAACAGTTCAGAAGAAAAATGAATGTGTGGCCGGGCGTGGTGGCTCACACCTGTAATCCCAGCACGCTGGGAGGCTGAGGCAGGCAGATCACCTGAGGTCAAGAGTTCAAGACCAGCCTGGCCGACATGGCGAAACCCTGTCTCTACTAAAACTACAAAAATTAGCTGGGCTTGGTGGTGCGTGCCTGTAATCCCAACTACTTGGGAGGCTGAGGCAGGAGAATTGCTTGAACCCAGGAGGCAGATGTTGCAGTGAGCCAAGATCACGCCACTGCACTCCAGCCTGGGTGACAGAGCAAGACCTACCTCAAAAAAATAAAGAAAGAAATAAAATAAGAATATGTGTGTGTGTTTATGTAGATATATGAATGTGTGTATGCACATGGTATATACATATATATCTTCCTGAAGAGATGAGAAAGATAACATTGTCATCATGTTAACAATTAGTGAATCTAGTGAAGTACACACAGATATTCATTGTACTATTCTTTCAATTGTTCTGTAGCTTTAAAATTATTCAAAATTAAAAGTTTGGAGAAGAAAATATTGTGTGTGTTCCAAATAGCTCATGATACAGTGGTGGAGAAAGGCACATAAAACTGTTTAGAGTTCAATGTGCTCAGCTCTGCGATGAGTTTTTCATAAGGCACCATGAGAGTACAGAGGAGGATAAGCCGAATTCTAACTCCCTCAGTGCACATCCTGTGCTTTTTCCACTCCCACACTGCTCATGGACTTGAGCCATTAAAGGCTCTCTCATCTTTCCTCCCTGCATCACTTCAACCTGTTACCTTTAGCTGCCTAGTAAAACAGGACCTAATCTAAGCTAAAGACAACCTGGCTCATTCTCACTCTTCAGAGCCCCTGGGATCCAGGGCCATTTCAGGATGCCAAGGACTCATTTTACAGACTATTCTGGTACTTGTAAACCCACTTGGAAGAATGCCTTGATGAGTCTTCCAGTGATGCCTGATGCTGGAGTTGGATAGTGGCTCTACTGGACAAGAGCCTCCACACGATTCACTCTGGTGTGAATGTGCATGCTTACACTCCATAACCAAGTTGGAATGTAGCAGCTTAAACAGGGAAAAAAAACCACATTTTTTTCCTGCTGTCTACCTCCATACCATTCTTGAAGAATTGGACAGGAGTCTTCTCTTCTTACCAGACAGGTAACGGAAACAACAATTTGTCATGAGACTCACATACTGGACTAAAGTTTAGTCTTCTCAGTACAGCCAAAATGCTCCCATTATGTGAGAGAACAAGATGGTGCCACAAGTCTGTTGTCTGGTCTCAGAATTAGAAACCGTAAGTCCAAGATTCAGATGAACCTGAATAGTATTTTATTCAGTGTATTTTGAATTAACAGTGAATGTGAGATCACAGATTTTCCAGAGCCTACTGAGTATTACTTAACTATGTTAAATTATTTTAAACAGTTCAAAAGAAAGGACAGTATCTTCTGTTAACATAGATATTCAAAATATATTTCCTTATCTGGTAGATGTCAACTTAATTCACCCAAATAATGTATAATTATAATAATACATATTTAATATATAGCACTTAACTCTGTATTTCCATTAGGAGAATGATAAGCATTATACTTGAATATTCTTATTTTGTTTTGTTTTGCATTGCTTAATAATTAAAAAAGAATCTCAGCAGTAAAGACATAATTTTATATATGTAGTTTAAATTTTTTTACAACGTAGGTTAGAACATTTTTGGGTTTAATATGCCATTGTCAGCTACAATGGTTTTATGTCAGATTACCTCTAGTTAAGATATTTCCTTCCATTTTGGTTGTTTCTTTCACTGTGTAATCCTTTTTTTTTTTTTTTTTTTAATAGGCCAGATTATGTTGCCAGTATGTGTGCGTGTATGCAAGGGTGGAGGTGTTTCAGGTTGAAATCTGGCACCCATGTTTAGGCCTCACATTTCTCTCTAAGCAGTAGAGGGCAGAGTTGTAGCACTTACTATGTGCCAGACACTGCTAAGAACTTTACAAGGTTCACGTAATACTTACAGATTTAGGATGCAGATCCTAGTATTGTCTCCACTTCAGAGATAATGAAACTGAGGTACAGAAAATGAAATAACTTGTCTAAGGCAACGGAGCAAATAAATGGTAGAACCACAAATCTTCAAAAGAAAGAAGGCCTGGGGCGGGATGCAGTGGCTCGCGCCTACAATCCCTGCACTTTGGGAGGCCAAGGCAGGACGATCGCTTGAGTTCAGGAGTTCAATACCAGCTTGGACAACGTGGCAAGACCCTGTCTCTACAAGAAATATTTAAAAAATTAGCTGGGCATGGTGGTATGTGCCTATAGTCCCAGCTACTTGGGAGGCTGAGGTAGGAGGATCACTTGAGCCCGGGAGTTGGAGGCTGCAGTAAACTATGATGGTGCACTGCACTCCAGCCTGGGCAACAGAGCAAGAGGCTGCCTCTAAAAAAAAAAAAAAAAGAAAAGAAAAAAAAAAAAGAAAGAATGCCTGAAAATGATTTTCTCTTTTCAATTTCTTTTCAAGCAGAAAATCCAGCTTTTCCAGAACTAATACCATTAAAAGGATAGTTAGAACACAACCACTAGGCTGTCTTTCTGGATGCCAGGCCTGTTACAAACTGCAGATGCTGAGAATGTGACTAGATTTTGTAATTCATCCTTGAAGGATGGGAGTAGAATATTGGCATTCTCCAGTTTATAAAGACAAATATTAA
Source organism: Homo sapiens (assembly GCF_000001405.40). NCBI lineage: Eukaryota > Metazoa > Chordata > Mammalia > Primates > Hominidae > Homo > Homo sapiens. Next base: position 209,555,788 of record NC_000002.12, on the reverse strand, counting down.
ATATCGCTTGGTTTTCCTGGCTAGACTTTTGATATGTTTGAATGATACTACAAATCTGAGCTAAAAATGCTTTTTGGTACCTCTATGCCTGGCACAATCCAACAATTTAACAAATGCTGAATGGATAAATAAAAGAAATAAACTTGAGTTGTGAAGTAAAGAAATAAAGCTGAATTTCAATTTTGACTCCTTCATATTGAAAATGTATAGATAAGCCCCTTTATTACTAAAAAACTAGAACTTTGCCTGTGGTTCTGTATGTTCTCAATGCTAATTTACCTTATCTCCAGTCCAGTCATAAGCCTTAATAAACAGTCCCATCCGGGTCTTTCCTTCTTCCCAGAATTCTCCATAACACAAAATTGTCCAACTCTCGGCCTCCATTAAAACAGCTTCCCCTATAGCAGATTCCACCGGGAATGTGGAAAATTTTTTAAAAATAACTGAACTGAGTGAATATTCGCTGGCATCTTAGCTTTCTCAGAATATGTGCATTTTTTAAGTGTAATAAATCCTTGTTTAGCAGATAAATTCTACCAAATAAACCTCCATAGTTGAATTCTAGGCAGTAAATAGAAGCAAACATACAAAACAAACAAATAAACCAAAAATCAGACCTAGGATTATAAAATGAAGGATAGGATTATGACGGGCACTGGGCACCCTTTTGCTATCTTCTGTATGAATCATCTGTTATTTTCCAGACATGAAGTTGGAAGCCCCAAGAACCAGGATTTATGATTATATTTGCCCATTCGATGCCTCCCCTAAAATTCTGACACTTTAAATCCCTTCTGAAACAAGGCAGAAAGTAAATTATATATATATATAAAAATAATATATATATTTATATATGATAGATACATAAAATGTGTATATATTATATTTAATGCATATATAAATTATATATATATAATATTTATCAGATAGTTACTGTGTATTTAAATTCTGTGGTAACAGTTTACCTGCTACCGAAATGAATCTAAAATTTTAGTCCCAAAACGAGCTTTTATTTTATTTTTTAATTTTAATTTTTTTTTGAGACAGTCTCTGTTGCCTAGGCTGGTGTGCAGTGGAATAATTCAGGCACAGCTCACTGCAGCCTCAACATCCCAGGCTCTATCAGTCCTCCCACCTCAGCCACCTGAGTAGCTTTGTATTTTTGTAGAGACAACGCTTCACCACGTTGTCCAGGCTGGTCTTAAACTCCTATGCTCAAACAATCCATCAGCCTCTGCCTCCCAAAGTACTAGGATTACAGGCATAAGCCACTGCACCCGACCCCAAACCAACCTATTAGACTTTCATTCTCCAGTCTGCATTCTTCACAGCAGCCTACTGTGGCAGCATCCATCTTAACTCACAATGGTACCATGCTTACATCTGTCTGAATCCTACACCCTCGGGTAGAAGAGAGTGGAGAAGACCAGTCCTAGAATATAGGACGCTGTGGCCAGAGTAGTGGGCTAAATTTGGAGCAGGCAGAATAAACAGGGGATTTCTTCTGGAGACCACCTAGCTGCCAAGGGTTACAGGCTGAGCCAAGCCAGGATCTGGTGGGGAGAGTTTAGATTTGAATACCCAAAAGACTGAATTTCAATGCTTTATTAAAAAGCAGAAGCAAGTATTAAGATGAGAGTCAAAGAGCTAAAAGGTCATCTCCTGAGATAGAACTGTATATTTCTGTCATGCCTTCATTCTCAGTAGTTTACACTGTGAAACAGGTATCTTGAACACACCCATTGGATCCCTTGTCCACGGTGTATATGCTGGACCCAGCTCCCACCCACTCTCGAGTCAGTTGTGAGCTTCTTTTCTCAACTCTGTGGTCAGTGACATCACGAGGACAGCTTGAAACTGGCCACAGGAGTAGTATTTACATACAGAAATCCGCTAACTCTACAAATTAGGGCATTTTACATCTTTCCCCACTCTCCTTGACAGCCACTTTACCAGCATACCACTAACTATCAAGAAATTAAGAGATGCTTCTTCTTTTCAATGTAATACATTTATTTAGGCAATGATAACATTCTCAAATACGCCACTTAGGGATGAGGACAAATTAAATAAGTGTAGAAGGGATAGCCCAAAAATAAGATAAATAGAGGCATAAAAATAGTTTAAATTACTTGAAATCACTTTTTGGACTTCAACTGAGAAGTTATGCCAATAACTACTATCATTTATTAAGTCTAGCACTACTATTAATTGGTGCTATTAATAACAGCAACAATAATCAGAGCAGTCATTTACATCAGGAAATCAATGTATTGTTTACCAAGCACTTTCCTGTATGTTATCTTATATGTTCTTGTAAAGGTGATGAGCCCAGGAATTTTTAAATTTCCATACATACATTCATAAACACAAGCATCTGGTTTATGAACCAGGCAACACCAGGATCTCTTTTAATGATGTACGGTACAGGGCTCTTCTCGCTGTACCATACTGCCTCTTAAAAATACATCCTTTTTAGGCTGGGCGCGGTGGCTCACACCTGTAATCCCAGCACTTTGGGAGGCCGAGGCTGGTGGACCACGAGGTCAAGAGATCGAGACCATCCTGGCCAACAGGGTGAAACCCCATCTCTACTAAATATACAAAAAATTAGCCGGGCGTGGTGGTGGGTGCCTGTAGTCCGAGCTACTCCGGAGGCTGAGGCAGGAGAATGGCATGAACCCGGGAGGCAGAGCTTGCAGTGAGCCGAGATCGTGCCACTGCACTCCAGCCTGGGCGACAGAGTGAGACTCCGTCTCAAAAAAAAAAACAACAACAAAACATTCTTTTTAATGTTTTAACTCTGTTTTGTGACAGTGCAGTGCTGTCAAACAGTGTTTGTTATAGTCTTAATATTTTTCCCAGCTAAATTAATTTCAATTTTAATTGATTTTCAAACTAAGTATTTTTCTTTTTTCTTTTCTTTTTGAGACAGAGTCATGCTCTGTTGCCCAAGCTGGAGTGCAGTGGCGCGATCTTGGCTCAGCACAACCCCTGCCTCCCGGGATCAAGCGATACTCCTGCCTCAGCCTCCCAAGTAGCTGGGACTACAGGTGCGTGCCACAACGCCCGGCTAATTTTTGTATTTTTAGTAGAGATGGGGTTTCACTATGTTGGCCAGACTGGTCTCAAACTCCTGACCTCGTGATCCACCCGCCTCGGCCTCCCAAAGTGCTGGGATTACAGGCATGAGCCACTCCACCCGGCCAGTAAGTATTTCTCAAAATAAGTCTTAGGCACACACATAATAGGACTTTTAAAAGAAGAGACTATATGGGAGATGATGGTAGTAACACACAAATGCAAAAAGGGTGACAGATTGAATTGCTTATTTCATTCTAAGCCCTGATGTTATTAAAAGCATAAATTCAATATTATTTAAATATATTATATTCCTGGCACTGTGCTAAATGTCTGTAAACCCCAATGTTTAAAAATAGAAGCAGATGGATGAATGCAGGAAGTCGTTACATGTAAAAGTTCCAAATGCCCTGTGAGACATTTTTGTTCATAACAGGTTAGGGATTGACAACTTTACAGTAAATAACAACAAAAAAAAAGTTTAAAAGGCTAAGTCTTTCTATAATTAATTCTTATTTTATTATAGACATTTTTGTTTATAGATGTTCTTATCCACATTTTACAGTAGAGAAAGAAATTAGAATATTTGCTGTCAATAAACACTTATGCAACCTTTTTGCTTTGGTAGAAACTTCATGCCCCATGATTCCAAAACAGAAATAATTTCTTACATCAAAAAGTATATTTATGCACTTTGAGCCATTTAATCTTACTAGCAGTATGGTAAGTATGGTATATTGAGTGGGGCATGGCTTTGGGATGAGTCTTCAGTTTAAAATGGAGTTCTGTTATTTGCTAGCTGTAAAGTTGAAGGGAAGGTAAATAACCTGGACTTTAGTAAGTCCCTACTTCACAAGATCATTATGTGGAATAAACAATTTGATGTGTACAAAGTAACAGCATATCACACACAGTCTCAATAGTTAGTCCCTTTTCTTTCTTAATTGGCCATACTATACTCTGGTTTCCCCAGAAAGGAAACCATTTATGACTTCCACAGAGAGAACATTTCGGTACATGCAAACTTGCTCAAATCATAGAAATTTTTTCTACCAGATTGCTAATCTTTAAAATGAAAATTCTTACTTAAACTGAAAAACCAAATCCTGAAAATAAATAGCATTATGCAGCTTGCCTACGTTAATTCTGCCTATAAAGGAAGTTATCACAATGTCCTCTAAAACAGAACTGAGCTCTTTGGGCTCTATGCAAGGACAAGTACATACAAAATGAAATCACTTTTTAAAAATTATGAAATGTATCTTATCAAGTGAATGCAATGAGCTTTCTAGGGTGAATAATGCACTATGAAATAATGTTTTATGTATGCTACCCTTAAAAGGAATTAAATGGAAATTGATAGATGAAGGTAGTAAAAAGTAACTGATGAAAATAAAAAGTGAGGAAGAAGTGCACCATCAAGACCACACTTTTTCTTACTGGGATGATGCTTTCTAACAGATACCATATGCAATCTATTTCTGTCTAACAATAACTAAACCCTTCAGTTTTGTAGGCTTAAATATAGCATTAATAAAAAAGGATAAGTTGTATGTTTTCTACCTAGCCCTATAACTTTGTACCCAATCCAATATTTTCTTCCTATGCCAACACAATTAATGGCATGGTAATATGGAATACTTTACAGATGGTGTTTGAGATCTGACAGCATTGGCATCATTTTTCTTCCTCTTATTAGATCTTGCTTTGAACAAAAATGAAATTGGGATGATATGAGAAGGTGTCAGGGTGACCTCCTCAATGTGACTGGGAGAACCTACCTATATTAAAATTCCCGATGCAAGTTATACACACGATTTAGTATTTCTATTTTGGAGAAACTGAGATCTGACCAAACTTTGAGAAGTTTTAATTACTTAATTATATTAAATCAAGTGAAAGTACATTATGAGAACTGTGACAAGTAGGAAGTGTTTCCAGAAATATTTAATCCATGACAAAACCATTATATTATTGGGACTTCTGAATATTGCAACTGTTTCAGCCCTTTGTTAACTACAAGAACTAATCTTGATTATTTATTAATCATCTAAAAATGATCTCTTGCAACATTTTTTACACATTCAGCTATATCTGGCTTACCCTGGCTTAGAAATTAAGAAATACTATCCAGGAGGTTGTTTCATATTCATTATCAATATTTCAGAAAAATTATTTCAGGTTTAGAGTAAATATCAAGTGTAGGAATTAGAGTTCAATTTTGTGAAAGAATATGCAATAAAGTCCTATTTCTTTGAGTCTTTTAATTAGCTTTCAAACTAGACCTAATAATATATTTTAAATACAAAACTCATGACTCTTTACTACTAAAATTTAGAGTAAACATTATACTACTTTATAAAGCTACATATACTTTATTTCTATAATCATAAGTATATAGATTCACTGCATATTCATTTTTCCATAAGATATATGTTGTGAACCGCTTCAATGTTTTGAGTGTGGTTTGATGGTCCCAGAGGAGAGGCCAGGATGTTGTTTTTAAATATGACATTTTATTAAGTGTCTTATACCAAGAGCAATCACATTAAAAATGTTTCTAATGTAAAATGCAAGGTTGACTAATTCACCACTATAGCTTCCCCCGGGATTGACAATAAGGAATTAACAAAATGTTTGCTTCCTTTCTCTAAACTATTAAAAATGCCTTTAAAAATTCTGAAATAATCTACAAACTATATTGTCACTTTGCCTTAAAATAAATCAGTACCTTTTCCATCATTTGAAGCAGCATAAAATCAAAAATTGTTCACCACCAACTGTAAAGACGAGTAAACTTATAGTTCCCAGAGGGTGAGAAAGAGAAGCTAAGTATGCTAGAGCTGGTTTTAAAGTGTTTAACAAGGCAGAAACCAGAACGGATGTGCCACAAACCAATATCCATTACCGCAAAGTGATTGCTAAATTTTCTTGTAAAATAGCTCTCAGCTGGCCTATTCAGTCTAGTCCTGTTATAGCTAAAAAGAGTGTCCAACTTGTGATTGTTGCCATGAAAATAGCAGGCAACAGACTACACAGTAGCTGCAGAGAAGAAAACAATATGCTTCAAGAAGTTTTCTGACATTTAAATCTATATCAGGTTCTGTAAAGGTTGAAAGAATAAACAAATATCTTTTACAAAGTATTTTTCCAGATATCTGGTATGCTGATTTATTAATTAATATACTTTGGATTTCTAATTATTCCTTATAGGTAACTAAGACTGACTTTTGGGAATAATAACACAGTTCTAGAGAGGATTTCAATAAACACTTAATTGATTAATGGAGGGAGTACAGTTTGGTAGAGTGGGAGCCACCAGAGCCAGAAATGATCATCTTTTTCTCTTCAGTTTACTCTGAAGCCTTGCACAAGTCTGTTCTGGTGAAGAGACCTTGGTTTTCTCATCTGTGAAAGAGAGGCATGGTAGACACTGTCCACTGTCTACTTCACAGCCATTTCCCTTGCCCAGTGATAGGTTTAGTGATAGCCAGCTCTAGTTAAGAAAATATTAGGGAAAAATCTCCTGGAGAGAGCCTTTCTTCCTAAATCAAAACAAAAATCCTCAGGAGAAAGCCTTTACCAATTATTTTTTCTTGCCTGGAATATAGATGTGACGGCTGAACATGTAGCAGCTATCTTGTGACTATAGGGCAAAGAGCCTTATGATTGAAAAAAGTCAACATTCTAGAAACACAGAAAGACCAAAATGTGTTAGGGCACTTTACTAGTTCATTCTTACACTGCTATAAAGAACTGTCTGAGACTGGGTAATTTAGAAAGGAAAGAGGTTTAATTGACTCACAGTTCTGCATGGCTGGGGAGGCCTCAGGAAACTTGCAAGCATGGTGGAAGGCAAAGGGGAAGCAAAGCACCTCTTCAACAAGACAGCAGGAGGGAGAATGAACACAGGAGGAACTACCAAACACTTATAAAGCCATCAGATCTCATGAAAACTCATTCAGTATTACAAGAAGAGCACGGGAGAAACCACCCCGTGATTCAATTACCTCCACCTGGTCTCTCCCATAACACATGGGGGTTGTGGGGATTATGGCTATTACAATTCAAGATGAGATTTTGGGTAGGGACACAGCCAAACTGTACCAGGCACTTAGTCTCTTATGGTATCATTGAACAATTGATTGCATTTCTGGCTAATATTTTTCTGACATTCTGTGTTTATGTCATTTCTATGACATCTGAAAATGATTCACAAGGTTATGTGTGGATCCAGCTAAGAGCATAAGCTCTGCTATTTGTTTAGCAAAGAAAATAATATTTAGAAAGAAGATAGAATATCTGGTGGGTATCAGGAACAGGACAAATAAACAAATGCAAAGCCCTTCTAGGCAGGCTGTCATCTTAATTGTCCCTCTGAATGTAAGCTAATTGTGCCTAGATAAAAATATGAAGTTTGTGGAACTCCCCATTTTCCTTACCAAATCAGAGTGATTTGTTTCCTTGTAGGACTGCCTTAGAAGTTCTTATTACAATCATGTACATTTGGTTAAGCTACTCAGGAAATATCTTCCTACTGATGCTTGGATCCTGAAGTCCAATTTAGTGTGGAATGCTGAATAATTTACATGCCTAGATGAACTGAAGCAATCAGGACACTTTGTGTCCAGCTAATAAACAGCATTCAATTTATTTCTGGTGCTTTATCGAGAAAAGCACCATATAAAGCTTCACTGTTTGAGTTAAAAAATGGGAAAAGGAGATGCCTTGTGTTTTATTTATTTTCTTTCTTCCATTTAAAGACTGTTGCACAATCACTATCATTTTTGTAAAAAGACTGACTGTATTGTAGCATCAAAAATGTGAAAGAATTCCAGCCTTCAAGCACATTCATGAGTTCTATGCAATGGAAACACATTTAATAAACATCATAATAATAGTGGAATTAAGGCAAAAATTAACCCTTATTTTAACTTAGCTGTGCTAAGTGTTTTACATGTATTTCTCATTTAATCCTCACTACATTACAACCACTATGAGGTCAGTGGTTTTATTTTCCCCATTTGAGACAGGGAACTAAGGCACAGAGAGGTTAAGTAACATGTTCAAAGATACACCACAAATAAGTAGTAGAGCAGGAATCTGAACCTGTGATGTGACTCCAGAACCTTCAATATTGATATTCATCAATACAGCATTTTTATTAGCAATGTCACTTTTTTCTTTGTTAGATCTTTCAAACTTTACAATCTGCCGGTATTTTACGTTTTGCTGTAACGTAAATGTCTGATTATTTGGCACTCATTTACCCTGAAGATTATGATGACTACAAAATTGCAACTTGTGAGGAACTTAAAAACTAAGTGGAAGGAGGTGGCCTGGGGACTTTTATTTGGCAAAGCAAACATATTTAAAAAAAAAAGAATTCAGGTGAATGTTTTGTAGGTCTTCTTTTTGTGGGGGGTAGTGGCTCTGTGTGAAGGGTGTCTGAGAAGTAGCATGTCAAAGCCCCTCAGGCTGTAGCACAGAGGCCACCCTCTCCTCAAGGGGCATGCTTCCAGGAGCATATCTCTTCACACATCCCCTGCAAGAGCCAACAAGAGTATTTTAGGGGACGCATCAATGCCAGTTTATGGTATCTATAATAAAAATAAAATTTAGGGTATATATATAATTGGAGCAATTTTTCCCAGTTGGACAGGTAAAGTGAGAATTCTATTTTCTTTCCAAATATGTATCAAATTAATTTTTAAAAATTTCTTCTATTTATTGGCTCATTGGAAAGTATGATAAAGTGTGCTCCATGCTTAAACCATTTTCCTAGCCACTGGCTAGGCTATTAAAATCTGTAATTTCATATTTTTGTTGATCTTCTTGTTTTACTCAAAGACAATACCAGTGGAAAATAAAAGAGAAATAGTTACAGTTATTTAATTCTTCTAAAATCTGGATTATTTGGAGAATAACCACATGGTTTTGGAAGCCATGCATATAGATTCTTTTTCTGATTTGTAACATAGTGTGGCCTTTTGAGAATCAAACAAATTTTGTACTGCTTTACTCCTAAGGGAAAGTGACCAACTTTGAGCCTTTAAAAGTCCCAGGATCTGTGCCTGAAACATCTCCTGTTGTCTCATCTACTTTCCATAGATATCCTTTTTGATATGCACTAGCTTATAGGTGAGGCAACTGGGACTCAAAGAGATGAAAAATCCTATAAGCAGTAAAGGGCAGACCCAATTAACATTTAGTTTAACTGACTCCACAGACACTGTCCAGACACTGACTCCACAGACATTATCTCTATGACAATATTGATAATACATAACTACATAATCATTACATATTACATAACTACATAATCATTTTATTTGTTATATGTAGCATTAAGATGCACAAACATACAATTTGTGTCATTGCATATAAATATAGGTATTTGTATATATGTCTGTACACAGTGGGAATCTACATGTATACAGAGATATACATACTTATATATGTGTATATATAAAAACATCCATACACATTTAAAATATATGTGACCATAAATTACAAAAAGTTGCGTGCATTTCTTTTTTTCTTTTTTCTTTTTATTTTTCTTTTTGAGACGGAGTCTCACGCTGTTGCCCAGGCTGGAGTGCAGTGGCGCGATCTCGGCTTACCGCAACCTCTGCCTCCCGGGTTCACGCCATTCTCCTGCCTCAGCCTCCCAAGTAGCTGGGACTACAGGTACCTGCCACCACGCCTGGCTAATTGTTTTGTATTTTTTTAGTAGAGACGGGGTTTCACCGTGTTAACCAGGATGGTCTCAATCTCCTGACCTCATGATCCGCCCGCCTCGGCCTCCCAAAGTGCTGGGATTACAGGCGTGAGCCACCATGCCCGGCCAAAAAGTTGCATTTCTTAAATTTGTTAAATACCATCTGGTGTTGTATGTGAATTTAATTCAGTACTATTAACTTTCTCACATTCAATCCATAATTTATAAAGCATAACTGTACAGATTTGATGTCACAAAAAGATCCTGAACTTCTTTTTTAAAAATAAGTAGTTAAAACTGTTAACAAAAAAATACTGCAGCAATTTTGTGCTAAAAACAAACAATAAGGTAGGTTTTATTTTGATTTGTTATCATCTTTTACTCTTGCAAGAGAAAAGCCAAACTGATTTATGTAGAAATCAAACTTTCAGGTTAATAAGACACTAGCCTTATGACTTGACTAATAATGTTACAATACTGTCAGCTGCATCGTTACCACAATATTGTTGCTACCAGGTCAACTAATTAATGTTTATTCAAAGCTCTACACTATGAAAATAAAATAAAACAAGGTAGCATTAAAAAATAAAAATTATTGAATTTTACTAACACTTGTATCTCTGGTTTAGAGACCCAATAGTGCAGGCTAGGTAGATTTACAAAAGTGGATGCTTTCCCACAGATGGATTTCATCTACAAGAGGATACTATAGGGCAAAATCTATTAAAATCTTAAGCACAGACAGATGGTAAAGTGTAAATTAAGATTCAGCACATTACAGGAAACTCACAACTACCTTCAGTAAGTGGTAGAGCATAAATAACCTAATTTAAATGTGTAAAACAATCTGATCACTGCCAGATTTCCTCCCCCACCCACCAAAAAAAGAAAACTCTTACTATTATCCCATAGCTAAAATTCCCTAAAAAATTAACAGTATTTTTTTTTCCTAACAGGCAAAAATAGTTTGAATTCCATTTTATCTGAATCTCTTCACACTGCTCATGTTCTGGTATATAGTTTAATGAACAGTGAAATGGCCAGAAGAAGAATATTCAGGTTTTACAAAGGCTGATGCAATCTAGACACTGGCTATTCAAGCCCAGAGTAATCAAGTACTTGCTGTAATTGTATTTCAATGTGCACATAATATCTATTCCAACCTCCATAAAAATATTGACGGTTTACAATGCTGACTACTTACAGATTTATATCACATTATTGGGTTAGCATATTTTGAAGAAATGGATGGGAAATCTAAGGTTGAGCAGTCCATGATTATTATTTTGCTCTTTTACTTTTACCGAATAATTCAATGACTTCTAAGGAAATAATAGCTATATACATTAGTGTTTACTGAGTGCCCTATTTTACAGAAGAGAGATGCGGCTTCATCGGTAAAATGACTTGCTCAAGGTTACATCCTTCTACGCTGGCCTAAGCAGCAATTTGGAAAGTTACGAGAGCTATGATGAAATGAAACCAGCTCCAAGAGATCATACATAAAATAATAACATCATTTTAAAGCCCTTAAGCTCATATAATAAAATTATATCATAGATAGATAGACCTCCCTTTCATAGTCAAAGTGAAGATTCCTTCCCCACTGCAAAAAGATTTCTCCCAATACCATTTTGTTATTCTTGTCATGTTTAAGATTCCCTCGATGTTGCTGGGCTAGAAGACAAAAAACAAAAAACAAAACAAAACAAAAACTAAAAAGGTTGTTTTCTTCCCCGTTTTTTTTTTCTTTTGAGACAGAGTCTCACTCTGTCACCCAGGCTGGAGTGCAGTGGTGTGATCTCAGCTCACTACAAGCTCCACCTCCCAGGTTCACGCCATTCTCCTGCCTCAGCCTCCCAAGTAGATGGGACTACAGGCACCCACCACCATGCCTGGCTAATTTTGTTTTTGTATTTTTAGTAGAGACAGGGTTTCATCATGTTAGCCAAGATGGTCTCGATCTCCTGACCTCGTGATCCGCCCACCTCGGCCTCCCAAAGTGCTGGGATTACAGGCGTGAGCCACCATGCCAGGCCTGTTTTTTTCCTTTTTAAAAAAAGATACAAACATTTAGAACGAAAACTTTTAGAGAGACAGACATCATGGATTTATGACACAATTGTTTAAACAAGTACAAAATAAAACTTGACCTCACATTTTCATACAGTACTAAAGCAAAATTTCAATGCTGGTTTTTACAGAGAAGTACATTGAAAGGAAAACATATCATCCTAAACTGCCCTTAAATCTTTAAAATACATGCGTGGTATCTAAAGAAACCTGACACAATCTTAAAATACAGAAACAGATACAAAATAGTTTTGAATGTTTTCCAAATGTTCTATTACCCAACATGTTGGTTTAAGACAGCAGTGATGAAGTAAAAGGAAGCGTTGTATTCTAAGGAGATTTATGAATACTATACAGCATTGCAAAATCAATATCTGAGTATGCCTCATTTTATTGCACTTTGCTTTACTGCACTTCATACATCCTGCACTTTTCACAAATTGAAGATTTGTGGTAACTCATTGACCAAGTCCATCGGTGCCATTTTTCCAACAGCATGTGCTCACTTACTGTTTCTGTGTCACATTTTGCCAATTCTCAAAGTAATTCAAGCTTTTCCATTATTTTTATATCTGTTATGGCAATTTATGATCAGTGATCTTTGACGTTACTGTTGTAATTGTTTTGGGATGCCACAAACTGCACCCACATCAGACAACGAACTTAATGGCTAAATGTCGCATGTTCTGACTGCTCCACTGACTGGCCTTTCCCCTATTTCTCTCTCTCTCTTCTTAGGTTTCCCTATTCCCTGAGATATAATAATATTTTAATTAAGCCAATTTATAACTCTACCATGACTTTTAAATGTTAAAGTGAAATAAAGAGTTACATATCTCTCACTTTAAATAAAAAACTAGGAATGACTAAGTTTAGTGAGGCAGGCATGTTAAAAACTGAAATAGGCCAACAGCTAGGCCTCTTTCACCAAGCAGCCAAATTGTGAACGCAAATGAAAAGTTCTCAGAGGAAATTAAAAGTACTACTCCAGAAAACATACAAATGATAAGAAACTTGAAAAGCCTTATTGTTGATATGGAAAAAGTTTCAGTGGTCTGCATAGAAGACCAAACTATCCACAACATTCCCTTAAGCCAAAGCCTAATCCAGAGAAAGGCCCTAGCTCTTTTCAATTCTATGAAGCCTGAGAGAGGTAAAGAAGCTGCAGAAGAAAGGCTGGAAGCTAGCAGAGGTTGGTTCATGAGGTTTAAGGAAAGAAGCCATCTTCATAACATAAAAGTTAAAGGTGAAGCAGCAGGTGCTAGTGGAGAAGATGCCACAAGTTCTCTAGAAGATCTAGCTAAAATCTTTGATGAAGACAGCTACACTACACAATAGATTGTTAATGTAGATAAAACAACCTTTTTATTGGAAGAAGATCCTATCTAGGACTTTCATAGCTAGAGAGGAAAGTCAATGCCTAGCTTCACAGCTTCAAAGGACAGGCTGACTCTCCTGTTAGAGGCTAGTGCAGTGGTGACTTGATATTGAAGTCAGCGCTCATTTACCATTCCAAAAATCCTAGGGCCCGTAAGAATGATGCTAAATCTACTCTGTCTTTGCTCTGCAAATGGAACCACCTGGATGATGTAAATGGAAAGCCTGGATGATAGCATATCTGTTTACAGGATTGTTTACTCAATATTTTATGCCTACTGTTGAGACCCACTGCTCAGAAAAAAAGATTTCTTTTAAAAGGTTACTGCTCATTGACAAAGCACCTGGTCACCCAAAAGCTCTAATGGAGATGTACAAGGAGATTGATGTTGGCTTTATGTCTGCTAATACAACATGCATTTTGCAGCCCATGGACCAAGGAGTAATTTTGACTTTCACGTCTTATTTAAGAAATGCATTTCATAAGGCTGTAGCTACCACAGATTGTGCATCCTCTGATGGATATGGGCAAAGTAAACTGAAAACTTTCTGGAAAAATTTCACTATCCTAGATGCCATTAAGAACATTTATGATTCATGGTAGGAGGTCAAAATACTAACACTAACAGGAGTTTAAAAGAAGTATTAACTTAATTCCAACTCTCACAGATGACTTTGAGGGGTTCAAGACTTCAGTGAAGAATTAATATTCTGTACATGTGGTGGAAATAGAAAAAGAACTAGCATTAAAAGTGAAGCCTGAAGATGTGACTGGATTGCTCTGATCTCATAAGAAAACCTTAACAAAAGAGTTGCGCCTTATGAATGAGCAAAAGAGTGGTCTCTTGAGATAAAATCTACTCCTGGTAAAGATGCTATGAACATTGTCAAGATAACAACAAAGGATTTAGAATATTACATAAACTAAGTTGATGAGCCAGAGGCAAGGTTTGAGTGGATTGACTCCAAATTTGACGTTCTGTGGTTGAAATGCTATCAAACAACATTGCATGTTACAGAGATATCTTTCATGAAGGGAAGACACAACCAATGTGGTAAACTTCATTGTTATCTTATTTTAAGAAACTGCCACAGTCAACCTAACCTTCAGAAACCACCACCCTGATCGGTCAGCAGTCATCAACATTGAAGCAAGACCCTTCATCAACAAGACTATGACTTGCAGAAAGCTTAAATGATCATTAGGGCCAGGCGCGGGTGGCTCATGACTGTAATCCCAGCACTTCGGGAGGCCGAGGCAGATGGATCACTTGAAGTTAGAAGTTCGAGACCAGCCTGTCCAACATGGTGAAACCCCATCTCTACAAAAATACAAAAATTAGTCAGGCATGATGGCAGGTGCCTGTAATCCCAGCTACTTGGGAGGCTGAGGCAGGAGAATTGCTTGAACCCGGGAGGCGGAAGTTGCAGTGAGCCGAGATCGTGCCATCGCACTCCAGCCTGGGTGACAGAATAAGACTCCGTCTCAAAAAACGAAAAAATCATTAGTATTTTTAGCAATAAAGTATTTTTTCATTAAGGTATGTACTTTTTAGACATACTATTGCACACTTAATAGACCACAGTATAGTGTAAACGTAACTATTGTATGCACTGGAAAACACAAAATTCATGTGACTTGCTTTATCGTGGCAGCTAGAACTAAACCTGCAGTAACTCCAGGGTACGTCTGTATAATGCATACAGTAGATTGAGGATCTCAAGAGCAAATATATTTTGAAAATCCTCAATGCATTTCTTAAGTGCATTAGATACTTTGGAGTATTTAGGACTATTACTTAACAACCCTATATATATTTAGTCAATGACATGAACATCAAAATAAAGTGCTGTGATTTTCTTTTCTTTTCTTCTTTTTTTTTTTTTTTTTTTTTTTTTTTTTTTTGAGACGGAGTCTCACTCAGTCACGCAGGCTGGAGTGCAATGGCGCGATCTCAGCTCACTGCAACCTCCGCCTCCTGGGTTCAAGTGATTCTTCCGCTTCAGCCTCCTGAGTAGCTGGGATTACAGACGCGTGCCACCACGCTCGGCAATTTTCGTATTTTTAGTAGAGACGGGGTTTCACCATGTTGGTCAGGCTAGTCTCGAACTTCTGACCTCATGGTCCGCCTGCCTGGGCCTTCCAAAGTGCTGGGATTACAGGTGTGAGCGACCGCGCCCGGCCAGTGCTGTGATTTTCATTAATTTTTTAATGGAGACAATATCCAGAAATGCATTATACAAATGCTAAAACATTAAATTTACCTTTTTTACTTTTCTTAAAATGTCATCTAACTATTCCTCAGACCTATAATTATGGAAAGAAAGTGGTCACTATATATTTCTATTTTATCTAAATTCAAGCTCACAATAACAGATTCTGGGCCAAATCCACTATTGTAAACTTTGTGGCTTTTTTTTTTTTTTTTTTTTTTTTTTACAACGTCTCCCTCTGTCACCCAGTCTCGAGTGTACTGGCATGATCACAGCTCACTGCAGCCTCGACCTCCCAGGCTCAAACAACCCTCCTGCCTTGGCCTCCTGAGTAGCTGGGACTACAGGCACATGCCACCAAGCCTGGCTATTTTTTTTTTTTTTTTTTCGTGAGATGGGGTCTCACTATGTTACCCAGGCTGTTCTTGAACTCCTAGCCTCAAGCAATCCTCCTGCCTTGGTCTCCCAAAGTGCTGGGATTATAGGCACGAGCCACTGCAGCCAGCACGAAAGTGACTTTTATGTGGTTTGAGCCAAAAAACAAATGAGTCTTACATGAGTTTGTCAACAACAAATTTGCACTATTCCATCATCACAGACATAAAAAAAAAGCAGATTGTTAATTTTAAAAATTCATATTTACTAGTAAGTGTAAATATAATTAGATTATAACATTAATTCAAGTGATAATTATAATAAAAGACAACCCATGAAGTCTTTGCTCCTAAAAATTAAGCACTAGTTTTCAGTTATTCTTTAGAGAATAGTCATTTAGGAACATACTCAAATGAGCATCTCAGTGAAATTGGCCAAATTGACTTTGTTTTCCTAGACTTTAGATAGATACTCAGCATAGAGATTATTCATTGTTTTCTTCAGAAAATACTAGTTGCGTTAAATGACTACTTCAGCTGTTCTGACTCATGTCATAAATTAGGTCAAAAGAGTGGCCAAATTGTGAAGGAGCAGAGGTAAATATATAATTAATTAGACCCAACAATTCACTACATACAGAATGCATTCACAACAATTACAGAAATGCAATTCCATTAATATTTAATAAGTTATTTACTTTGGTCTTTATACTTGGCATTTTATAAGAGCAGAAACAATCTGCATATTTTAAGGTAACTTTAAAAATAATCTCCAAAGTGATAATGATTCTGGACAATTGCAGGATCAGCAGGTCAAATAAACACAAGGTTTAAAGAAAAAATTAAAATGTTAGTCCAGCATATCATAAATTAAGGAAATGATATTGTGTTCTGCCTTAAATATCAAGATCACACAGAAAAGATGTGTATCATTCTAATATTTTTTGAAAAACCAGTTACTGTATTAGTGTTTAATTAAAAGTTAATAAAACTAGTAATCTGTACTAGATTCTAAAAGACAAGATGGAAACCACTGGTTATTTTTCCCTAACTTAAAAGCAACAATGATATTATTTGTTAGCTACTCTAATCTATATATATTTAAATTAATTAATTCACATCCTTCTCATTGAACAAACTTTAGGGTATTCAGCGACAGATTTTATTAAATCAGTGTCATCAATGTTAGGAAAGAAATGCTTGTTTTTTTCAGCATCTCGATTTCACGATGTGTTTTTATTAACTGCAGAGGCAGAAGGGGATAATATGGAAGTTTGATACGTATTTTAATCCAAAGTGTACCAGGCGCTAGCCTTCATCTTTTCCAATGTGTACCACATTTTTCCAAAACCAATTTATTACTGTTCTATTTATACCCAGAGTCATACACAGAGGAAAAAAAAAAAAAAAAAAGGACTCTTCTGTCCGTTTGCTCTGACCTGCTGATTTCTTGAGTTTTGTCTTGTTTCAACTTGATGAAAAAAAAATAGCAGACATTAACCTCACTTCATCATTATTATTTTGCTAAAAAACATTTGAGGAACTTGAACAAATGATATAAATATGGAATATGAACCAATGATATAAAATAGCAAAAATTCACTAACTCTTTTAACCTTAAAAGTCAGTCACCACAAAGTTCATGAATCTAAAATATTAACCTACTCTCCCATTTCTCTCTCTTCTCTAAATATTATTTTCAAGTTCCAGTTCATTTATTTCATTATATCATAAATTGTATTAACCATTTGTAAAGTATTTAACAGAGATAATATTCATAGGCACAAATCCAAAAATTCAAAGTCTCCTCAGCAAAAAATAACCAACAGATTTCTGCGTGAAGACACAGCCAAAGATGGTGTGCATGTATGATCAAAATATTCTACAGTGATGCTCAAGTGAGATAGACTGGGTTCAATCTGCCTGACTGTGACTCTGGGCAAGTTACTTAATCTTGGTGAGCTAGATACTATTACCTATCTGAAGATCAGCAATAGTCACATGCATTGTATTTGGTACAGGTGCCAAACATCAAATATTGTTGATATTATTATTATTTCTGTGCTTATTAATGCTTCTTATGAGCAACAGACTATAAAGGAAATTAACATAGCAATGCTGCTTCTTGATAAAATGAATTAAAGGCTGAATCTGAGGAGGATTAAGGAAATAATTACAAGAATATCAGTGAGAGAGTCTTCACTCTAAGTCCAGGATTTATTAGAATCACCCCATGACTATGTCAGACCTTTAAAATGACTTGACTTGATTACAAACCAAATATTAAAAGAATGGCTACTAGTTTCTCAATACTGTGCTAAATGATGATGAAGGCTGTAATACAATCATGTAAACAAAACTTGTGTATGTACAGAAAGAGTGTACAATATACACATATACCTGTAATTAGCTTCTAATTAATTGCATTATCCAGAAAATCATACAATTTATCTTTCATTAGGATTGGATGAAAGTTTCTGGTGCATTTAACCATTTTACCTAAATGTAGTCTCAGTACAGAAACTGAATTTTTAATTTTTTTCTTAATTATGCTAGTTGCCTTATTGATTTGCACATAAACCTATCCAGGTATAAATTAATTCAACTTATATGGAAAATTTATTGTGTGTTTCTTTCAGTGATTCTTGTAGTTTTGGGGGTCTCAAAATAATTACTATAGTAACATCAAAGATCACTGATCACAGATCACCATAACAGATACAAAAAATAATTTAAAAGTTTGAAATATCGTGAGAATTACCAAAATGTGACACAGAGACACAAAGTGAGCTTATGCTGTTGAAAAAATGGTGCTGACAGACTTGCTTAATATAAGTGTGCCACAGACCTTCAATGTCTAAAACATGCATTATCTGTGAAGCACAATAAAGCAAAAACAATAAAGCAAAGCACAACAAAATTAGGTATGCCTGTATACTCTTGGGCCACTTAGAAAAAAATCCTATAAAACACATGTCCCGCCACTGTGAGCTATCCTTACAGTATGTACACACATAATGAACATATTCAGTGAGGAAACACTGGTTCGATGCAACCCAATAGGATGGAAATTGAAACAAAGGGTGAAGATGAAAACTTCTGTCCTGGATAAACCTAAATTTATGTTCTGTCTGACCACTTAGTGCTTAGACATTTCACAGGTTTATGAAAAAAAATACTATCATATTTTAAAATTTCTTTAGATTAACAAGTAACTCAATTTAAGACACAAAGTGAGGCTCTGAAATAGCTTCATATTCTATTAGTTAAAATCATAGTTGGGGATCCACCATGTCTTGTCTCACCATCACCCAAGACACAGACAAGGCTTCTGTTCACCGGACTCTGGAACCATGTGAGAAGCTGCTGGATTCCACAGCACCCAATAAACAGCTCTCACTTGACTGACAAAGAGTTGCGTGGTGTGTGGAGGGCAGTTCCAAGGTCAACAAACAACATTTTGTTTGGAAGACTGCTGTGACTGAACAAGAGTCAAGAAAACTTTTTTTCTTTCAAGCTATTTGTAGTATAAAGAAGCTGGGTAACAGTATACATTTCTGAGCAAAATTTACCTTTCTCTCTACCTGGGCTCAAGCCCAAAATGAAGCATAGAGATAAATCTGTACAGTCTTTGGTAGGCACTATACTGATAGCTGGAACAATAATAATAATATGACAGTGTTACATCATTTTGCTTATTATTTTATATTTGCATATGTCATAAATAACTGAAATATACTTGAAAACACCTAGTCCAGCTTATGGCACAGATCAGGTTATTAAATGTTTAGGAGAATAAACATTTAACAAACATTTAAACAAATGCTGTCTCACTCTGAGATAGTGCTGAAATAAAAAGCATAATAGTTAAAATACCAATTTATTTTATTTTATTTGTATCCATAATCTGTCTCATTCTAAGAAAGTTTTGAAGAACCTAACTTTCTGTTTCTTAGTATAAAATTCATTCTAGGTTTACAACTGTATTATGAAATATTTGTATAATTATTCAGTAAGCTACAATGAATGGAGCAAAGACCTATTTAATACCAATTCAGTTACTATATTATATAAGAGGTCAGCTTATAGGAGAAGACAATGAGGAACAGCAAATGATAAATAAAATTTTATATTATATTGGCTTTTGTATTATTTTAATCAAATGATTATATTTAATTTGGTGTAACTGAAAAATAAACCTCGAAAAATACCTACAACATAGTATTATTTATTACAAGTTTAATTCTGGCTTTGTAATTTATTAATGGAGTCTAAAACTACAAACCTCCTCAAAATGGATTGACCCTACTGTTTTCTAATTGTTTGTTTTAAAGCTTACTTTTATTTCACAGCCATTGATCAGCTTTCTTCTGCAGAAAAAAAAAAAAAAGACACTTTGCCAGACTGCAAGGGAAGGCTTCACTGAACCATGCATTCATGGCTGAAAATATATTTATGAGAGACGAAAAGATGCTAAGGAGAACATGGACATCTCTGAAGTAGTGAAAAGTGTTCTTAAAGCTTTGCAGGGATCAAAGACCTGTCTACCACAATGTGCAAAATTTATAATTCTAAGTGATCCTTGGAAATGTTATGGTTATGCGGTGAAGTTGTCCAGGATAAGTAGGGAAGCACCTGTTATCGGCATCAAGGGTGTGAACCCTTAGAAAAAATAAAATACAAAGAACAAATTGAGCACATGACACAACTTGGATGAATCTTGAAAACACGTTAGCTGAAAGAATCCAGTCACCAATGTTCACATATTATATCATTCCATTTATATAAATATCCAGAATAGACAAATCTATAGAGACAGAAAGTAGATTACTAGTTGCTTCAGACTGGGGTGGGAGAGAGGAGAAGGGAGGACATGAAAGGGTGGGGAGGTAGTAGCCAGAGGACACTATGGGATTTCTTTCTGAAGTAATGAAAATATTCTAAAATTGACTGTGGCAATGGTGCACATATCTGTTAATATACTAAAAACCACTGGATTTTATAATTCAAATGAGTGAATTATATGGTATATGAATTATATCCCAATAAAGCTGTTAAAAAATGCACGTATTCCATTTTTGGGATGATGGCAGGCAGGGTACATGACCTTGAAATTTCATGTTTCATGAGTATTTCTTCATGTCCTTGCAGACTAACTTTAAAACTCCTGCTATTTCAGAGCAGTGATTCAGTTAAATTTTGAATTGTAACTCTTGTAGAAATTGTGACAATTGAGATATTCTGATTATATAATTCTATGTTCTATGTGAATAAAACTGAAGTCCAGCTTAATTAAAAGAAAAAATGTTGACAGACTCAAGAGCTTGGAATACTTCTAAGTCAGAAGTTAGTTTGAATATTTGACATATTTATAGACCAGGTTTACACAGAGCAATTTAGAAGGGGTAAGCAATGCTACCTTGGTACAATAATTTGAAAACCTCCAGAAATTACTGCCTCCCACCCACCCCCGTACACAACAGTTTCCTCCAGTAGGTTAGACTACTACCATAACCCCCTGGCAAATGACTAAATCACAGACCACATGGCAGCGAAGAGTAAGAACTAGAATGAGACAATCACTGAGCTGGAATTCCTATTTCTCTATTTATCCAAGTGGCCTTGGGCAAAACCATCAACTTCTCTTAACTCTGACTCTTTATCTGTAAAATGGATATCCCAACAGTAACCAACTTGTTGTAAGGGCTAAACAAGATAACACCAGGAGATAGATTAGCCAGTGCTGGACACATACTCAAGAAATGTTGGCTGTTATTAATGGCAAACTAACAAAAGGTCTCACATCAATTACTTGCAGGGCTCAGGAATAATCAAGTTGGTCTATGCTTGAAGGTGGAGGTTCTGAGCACTTTGGCAGGTCTTGGTATTTTGCATAGCCCTTTGGGGTAGCCAGGCTGCTGGACGGCCCTTTGAAGCCAGGTCTCTTGGGATGCCCTAGTTCCTTCAGCCAGCACTCAACTCCCATTCCCTCCAACTGGGTGTGGTCCCTGCTCTCACTCTCCTTGTGTTAATAAAATTCATGGAAAGACCTATCTTTTGCTTTGTCAACTCTCTTACCTAGACCGGCTCCCCTTACCCCTGTCTCAACCTAGTTCTCCCAGGAATGGTTTTGATCTTCAAGCACCTCTCCTGTCCTCTTTGAGGGTGGCATCACATCGATGTCCCTAACACAAACAGATTTAGATCCTCACTGAATCCCTAGAACGAGACAATTCTGTATATCTGAACCAGAAGCATAAGTATGCCTTGAGCATAAACATGGCTTTTGTTTCAAAGAGCTGTATCCTATTAAAAAATAAATCCTCATGTCTTAGAAATTTTTCATACAACAAAAGGCTGAAAGGAAATTTGCCAAAATGCATACTGTAGCTGCATCTGGATGTAGAATCACGGGATCTGTATTTCTTTCTGTTTCTTTACACTGTTCTGTACTTTCTAAAATGTTTGTACTGAAAACAGAGCAATTAGGAAACCAGAAAAAACAATATTTAAAAACATGGCTTGCCTGTAATCCCAGCATTTTGGGAGGCCAAGGCAGGCGGATCACCTGAGGTCAGGAATTCGAGACCAGCCTGGCCAACAGGGTGAAACCCCATCTTTACTAAAAATACAAAAATTAGCCAGATGTGGTGGTGGGTGCCTGTAATCCCAGCTACTTGGGAGGCTCAGGCAGGAGAATCGCTTGAACCTGGGAGGCGGAGGTTGCAGTGAGCTGAGACCATGCCATTGCACTCCAGCCTGGGTGATGAGCGAAACCCCATCTCAAAAATAAAAAATAAAAATAAATTATAAAATAAAAATAATAAAAACATACCTTGGCTTGGGAAATGGGGGCAGTAGAGAAGAATAATGAGAAAGTAAAATCGCACTTATTTTTCAAGGCTTGGTTTTGAAGTGGTACAAAGGGGAAATGCAGTGCGGACCACTTGAAGAAAAAAGAAAAGGTCTGAAAGGGAGAATGCTTCTGTCAGGGGAGCAGGGAGGAGTGGGCAAATCCCAGCTATTTCATGAGTTCACCAGAGAGCAGGCTAAGCCTAGTTTTTAAGATACATGAAAATCACCACTGAGTTCACTGGTGAAAAATTCATCAAATTTGTTGGCTAATTAAAATAATCAACCAATTAAATCAAAATGGGAAATGCAAATAGCCTGTACAACTAGTCCACATTGATTTCTGTGCAGAGGAACAGGAGGTTATTTTGTGGTCTTGAGTTCTAAGAGGCCAGCTTTAAAAGGAGAGAGAGACTTAGTGGGACAACACTAAAGGCAGGGTCATCGAAACACGGCCAGTTCCACATTTAGGAATCTGTGAGATTAGGCACATAGGCATCATAGTATACTTTAGAGGGCAGGCACTGGATTTCAGACTGTCTCAACTTGAATCCAGTCCCAGCCAGCTGTAAGCTATGAGACCCTGGGGAAATTGTTTAACTTGACTCAATCTCAGTTACATCATCTTTAAAATAGGGATAACAATATTACCTAGTTTTTGGAACTGCTAAAGGATTCAATGAAATAACACATGGTAAGGGCTTAACACTTAGCATTAGGCATGTGATAAAGAAAATGAGGATGATGAAGAAGAGTTTATGTGAAATAAATAGATCCTAGAACATATAAGAGCTGAAGTCCTCTTTTCATTTTCATTTTTTTCTTCCTCCTTCTCTTCTTTTTTTTTTTTTTTTTTCCTGAGACTGGCTCTCCCTCTGTCACCTAGGCTGGTGTGTAGTGATGCTATCACAGCTCACTGCAGCCTCCACCTCCCAGACTCAAGTGATCCTCCTGCTTCAGCCTCCTGAGTAGTTGGGACTACAAACACAGCTACCATGCCTAGCTAATTTTTTTAGTTTTTGTAGAGATGAGGTCTCACTATATTGCCCAAGCTGGTCTCAAAATCTTGGACTCACGCAATCCTGCCACCTCAGCCTCCCAGAGTGCTGGGATTTCAGGCGTGAGCCACCATGCCTAGCTGAAGTCCTATTTTCTAGTTAGTCAAAGTGAGGAAACAAATCAACATTTATATTATAGTATTTTAGAAAACATTATTTAAAGACACCTTTTCTCAATAAGATCCTTCCCTTAGGAGTCTAAGATTGGTTGCATAAGAGCACCCTAATTTGGTCAATGCCCAATACCATTTGTACCTGAATAATTAAGCTCACTTAAATTTCACATTAAAAATAGAAAGAGGAATTGCCTGTAAAAGTAGCTTATATCAGCAATCTATATATTACAAACATCATTATTTGAATTTCAAAATTCAATTAACATAACAGATTTCTAAAACTATTGTAAAGTACACAGACAAATAAGTCATATTAGCCAAAGATTAAATAACTCAAGGGTATTGAAGGTAAATTTTCCTCAACTTCTGACTCATTATTCTCAAAGTTGACATGCATAAATTTGGCAAACACACATTTAATTATTTTATAACTTGTTTTATGAAAGTCTGATTCAGGCTCATAAAAAAAGTGTTTGTATTTTCTCTACTCTAGCAATCAAATGTAATAACCACTAAATGGCATTACACATGCTTTCTCAAATTAAATGGCTTTAGAAGGCTATGCTATTAAATAATGAGGAAAAATTTCTGCATGATAAAGAGTAGATATTTGACGACATGGAATACAGACAAAACAAGCCCACAACATGAGGACAGTCAGGTGCAATAAGAACTTAGAAATAAAGAGAAGGACATTATCTTTTCTTTCCTCTTTCATTTCTTTTTCTCTTTCTTTTTTCTTATGAAGAAAAAATACTATTTGGAATATCCCATCTATCATGTCACTGAATTTGCTCAATAAAAATGTTGGCCACTAATCAGAAATTAAACATAGCAAAGGCATGAGATGGCTTTAAATAGTCTACAAATGATAAAAACATTTCACAGCATTGGCGAAAATAGTGGACTTTGTATTTGTATTTCATTCATTCAATCAGCAGCTAAATATACTGTTTGTAACATGGAGGATCTAAAGATGAATGAAACAAATTGAATACTGTGCTAATAAATACTGAGAAGCAACTAGGAAACAGAACAATATGGGAGAAAAGACACATTTTGCAACCCAACAGACATGGGTCAAAATTCAACCCTATTTGTTATTATCTATGTGACCTGGAGCAAATTAATCAATTCTAATTCTCAGACTCTTCAACCATAAAAAAGGTGAATACCTCTATTACTGGATGCTTATAAAGAAAAAAATGAAAATATATATCAAGAACCTTGTATGCTGCCAGGAACTTCATAAATATTTGTTCTCTTATAAATACAAATTACTAGAATTTATGATTTAATTCAAGCTGAGAAAAATACACATCCTCATGAATAGCAGACAACTTTAAAATCTCAAATTAAATAATCTGCAAGAGATTTTAATTTCCTGTCTATATTTGTCCTATAATCATGTAACTGAACAGTGAACATTCACTGCAACCCTAATAATCTGTACTTCCTCCTCTGATTAACAAAATAAATAGGGCTAATTCTCATGCAGCAGAAGCCAAAAACTGTCCTTCATTATCAATTCTCTCCTTCTTCTTAAGTAAAAGAATCCTCAAATGTTAGTTGGGCACATGTTTATTTTTAATAATGACTACATATCATCTATATAGCAAAGTACGATGAAATAACTAAGGTCTGGTGGGATGTGAGAACAAGAAGTATATGTGACTAGTCAGAAATGTGTGTAAAGGGAGAGGTCATGCCCATCTCTGCATTTCTCCCTCCTGCTATCTGGGATGCATATGTGATAAGACAGTGGGGGCAGAAGCAGCCATCTTGGAAACAAAATGGAAGTTGCATGTTGAGGACAGCAGGGCAAAAATACAGAGAGCATCTGGGTCCCTGATGATAATGGAGCACTATGTTAAACTTGAGTTGGCTTAAGTTACTGTTATTTTAAATTTTTTGTAATTCTTCCCCATGTGGTCAAAATTAAATATACCTAAGGAAAACTCTGCTCTCAATACTCATAGAATTATTGAGTTTGTTTCTCCTCTACAATCATTAATGGGCGGGCGGGTGGGGAAGAAGAAAGAAAAGAAAGAACAAAATGTTGGGCTATAACAAATGACTTCAGCAGTCAAGACGTGAGTAATTGGTCTAGGACAGATGGGAGTACAATTAAAGGTTATGGCTAAAATGAGAAATAAATAGCTTATAGGTACTTAGTGACATATGTATTTGCTCAAAGTATTTATTGCTTCTCTATGGACCATTTTTCATCTTGCTGATGCCCTTTAGTGAATGATGAATCTGCTTGCCTCCCACTTATTTTAGATTGAATTCTATTTTTAGAATAATTATAAAGGGATTTTAGGAGACCTGGTGTCATTATAAGACTGGATATGTTAATAAGTAACATTTGTGATAATCAGACCCATATATTTTTTCTTGAAGAGTTGCTTTAATGGACTAAACAGTAACATCGATGATTTCCATAGGAGATATATGCTTTTCTCACTTACACCCAGCAATGTTCCTCATCTGACAGGTTCAGTTACCATCTCTTCATCAAATCACACATACAGTTGTTTGTTAAGAAGTTTACTTATTCATGTTAATTGACGTACAATGCATTAACTATAAGTCGGTTTTGACTGAATGCCTTGCTAATTTATAATCTTGACAACAATAGAGTTTGTCTTCCTAAACTTGCTTACTTCCTTTCAAAATGGAATGCCCTTGTTGCTCTAACATTGCAAGCAAGGAAGCTTTAGTGTCCTCTCCACCACATTTGATAACTGTTGCTGCTTCATCCACACCACCATTTTTTTTCCTAACTAAAATCCTTGTCAGTTCTAATGTGTACTATAGCAAACTCCATTTGAGAGACAAATAGCACCTCCTTATTCTTAGTTCAGACTCAAAGTTCTTAAGGAACTATAATGAATTGGTCTTCCCCAGAGAAAAAGGCTAGATATGTGATTAGGCTTTTTAAAATGTGAAAAAATGATTGAGGATATATGTATATGTACATATGTATGTATATATATGTATGTGTGTATATATGTGTGTATATATATGTATATACACACATATATACATATACACACACATATACACACACACATATATATACATACATATGTACATATACATATATACATACATATGTACATGTACATATATACATACATATGTACATATACATATATACATACATATGTACATATATACATGTATATTTATGTACATATACATGTATATATATATAGTCCTAAGATGACATGGGCTCAGCTATTCTTCCAGGTCCTCTTTTGAGAAAGAACCCAAGTTCTGATGCTCTTTCAGCTACAGTGAAAGGTCTGGGGACTAGAAGTCAAGCATTCAAAAGGCTGAACTGTCAATATGTTAACCAAATTATAATCAAGTTAAGAATGAAATGTGGCAACTGAAATATTTTCCCATAAATGACAGAAGTGGTTTTAATAAAAAAGCAAATATAACATTATATTGCTATTTTATAAATTAAAGCAGATTTAGTACATAAAAATTTTAAAGTGAGGAACCATTCCTATCTTTCTCTAAAACAGAATTACATAGAATTTCCAAGAAAGAAGACTATATAATATCTACGTAATATTTCCCATTCTAAAGAAGTTTAATTTTTAGCTTTACATACAATTACTGATTTTGAGTATTTGTCCTGAAGAGCTGTGGCTCACCTACAACAGGTTCTAGGGTTGAATTTATACATATACCATGTGGGAAGTTTGGGGGGATGAAGGAGGTAGGTATACACTTAAAAATAAATGGGAATTACAGCCCAGTCTTCTAGAAACTTGAATTTGCATATTTTCTGGGGTGGGCAGGGGGGGAAGATGGCTTCTACCTTGCAAGATTCTACAGGGACATATAATCTATGCCTACCATGCCCATAATTTAATAAATAAATGTTAAGCCCCTGCATTAATTTAGAGAGAGAACTTCGTATAATATGAATCTTTTTGGATCTCCTGAAGAAATATGCCCAGAGAAATTACAGGGATTTTGAAAAGTTAAAAACAAAGCCAGGAGGCAATCTATGTCTTCTCACTGGTTCTCAAACTTCAGCATCAGAATTACTTGGAAGACTTGACAAAACGCAGGTTACCGAGCTGCAGCCACACATTTCTGATTCACTAGGTCTGGGGTGGAGCCCAAAGATTTACATTTCTAACAAGTACCCATGTGATGCTGATGGTGCTGGTTCAGGGGACACTCTGAGAACCACTGTCCTTCATGAAGGAAGGGCATAAAGAAGCCAAATCAGGAGCTCAGCTCTCACCTCTAAGAGGGCACAGCCACACATGGTGTCACACTAAGCACCTGAGAAAGATCCATAAGAGATGGTTCCTTAATCAAGTATGTAACCTCATTGTTGTGAAGAAAGCTGCTAGTGGGATGGGAATTGTGGGATGTGGTGAGAAAGAAGAGAGGCGGAGTACACGGCTGCGAGGGGAAGACCAGACAACAGTAGGCATCGGTGTATGCGTGAAAATAGTGACTAAATTCATATTCATTGAACAGATATTATTGAGCAACTATGATGTGCCAAAAACTTGGCTAGATGTTAGGGACTCATCAGTGATCAAAACAGAAAATGTTCCTGCTCTATGAACATTCTAGTTAGGTGAAACAATAATTAATTGTACAAAAAAATATATCAGATATATCAGTAATATAGAAATGCTATGGAGAAAAATACAGGGTAGAGTAAGTGAGGATTAAGTGTTCTTTTTTATTTCTACACAGGGTGATACAGGAACGATGTCCACCAGATATCACACTAAGAACTGCCACAAGAAAATGAGACAATTCTAATGTGTAACTTTGCAATCACTTTTCTCCCAGATGCCAGGATTAGTATAAAGAGCTCCAGATAGTGAGGGTGCAGAATTCATAAAAGTCCATCTGCCTGGAGCTCTGTCCTATTCATATATTCACAAGTCTCCTGGTTTAATTAAGTAAATCTGGGAGAGAAGAAAAAGTATTTGTTGGTTTTGTAGTCAGTCAGCTTTACAGATTCCCCACTATATTCCATCATAGATCTGCCATGGATGATCAAGCTTAGGAAAGACATTTGTACATCTTATATCTCAGGTATGAAATGAAACTTTTCTAACACATGACCATCATCAGAAAACAGGGATGCCGTTAGATTTAGTTACAGTTCTTATTATAGCAGCACTTCCTTCTTTCACTTTCAGGGTGGCAAAAAATAGGACTTAGGTCAGCTAATACTTCTGCAAGGATCTAGTATGAAGATAATCTAGTTAGAAGACACTGTTTGGTTAGTTTTCAATGATCCAAGGAAAGATTTGCCCCAGGGAGAATCCTTGCTCTTTTAAATTTATAAATGCATATATCCTAAGCAAATACTCACGTATTTTACCCAAATAAATCTAGAGTGCTCTTTAAAAAAAAAAGAAAGAAAAAAATAAAGAAACAAACCAAAAAACGAAAGCCTGAGAAAGGTCTCTCAGCCTCCCCCTTCTGTATTTCTCTCTATGTACTCACATGTGGATATTAATTTTATATTCTTTAAATTGGATTTCCCTCCACTTCCAGAATTCTCAGGCACTCAGACATTTAGTGAAATATGCTATTTGCTTTTGTATATTATTACTATTTAAACTCTTAATTTTCTGCATTTTCATGAGGTCACTTCCTAGACTCCTAGTTTCCTCTTTTAAACCACAGCTGCCTCAAGCTGACTATGCTCAAAAGAATAGGACTTATGAAAAAAGTAGGCATTGCTAATCCACTGCTAGTTGAAAATACTTTCTGAATTATCAGACCTTCTGTAAAAAGCCCATGATATGCTTCATTATGTAAACAAACCTCCTCTGTGTTGCTTTTTAAGCTTGAAAATATCAAAATCATGACATAACATGAGAAGAATTCCATTTTGACAAAATGAAAAACACAAAAATTCTTCTACCCAGAAAAAAAAGAAACAGAATGTAATGGGGGAAAATAAATGCAAAAATAGAATTGGCTAGAAACCAGCAACCACAAGAAAAGAAATATGACAGGAAATGGAACTAATCAGTTACTATAGTGAAGAGTTTTTTCCCCAGACTTTCTTAGGAGAAAAAGAGAAATTCTAAAGAAATGTAGAAACTAAGAGTTTGGACAAAGTTATTTATATAATCTTGAACTATACAAAATTCCCTGAGAATGTATATGTTTTTTGAAAGGACAATGGAGTTTTTATTTAGCGGAATTTTGAAAGTTTATCTTCTTTGGGATTCTTTTGGTAAAGCTTTAGTTAGAAGGGTTGGAACTTTTGAGGAGTAATTTCTATATAACTACACTATGATATCTTTTTCCAGAGGCAGAATTATCTTCCTTTCTAATTCAAGGCCACTCGAAGGCTTAGTCCATGCAGGAATGGGCTTGCTTTGTCAGAACCCTCTTCAGCTCAGCAACAGACATTGCCAACAGATTAGCCTTCCGTGAATAACAATTCTTCATACACTGGAAAATTTTTCACATGAAAATTGCTCCTTTGGGTTATTCTCCCATTACAACTTACTTTTATTATTGGGTTATTTTGGTATAGACTATATCAAGTTTTTTAGCTGTTTTATGCCTAGATAAAATTAGAAGACGTCATTTCTAAATATAGATATGAAAAATTAATCTCTATATTAAAAACAAATTTAGAAATAATTGTCATTTATTTGCTAGTTGTTTTGTGACTCTAAGTTTTAAAAAAATTAGTAGCTAATTCACTTAACAAAAGTCATTTCCAAAATGTTTGACAACCTCTGAGCAT
Source organism: Homo sapiens (assembly GCF_000001405.40). Taxonomy (NCBI): domain Eukaryota; kingdom Metazoa; phylum Chordata; class Mammalia; order Primates; family Hominidae; genus Homo; species Homo sapiens. The sequence continues at coordinate 209,525,153 of NC_000002.12, read as the reverse complement.
GTCTACAGAGATGGTAGATACAGAATAGTCTTTATTTAATTTCTAATATCCTACTGGAAAAATATGGATAAAAGCTAGAACGTATATTAAAAATAATACGGCTCATCTCCATTTAATTTATATACAAGAAAACCCAGGTCTCAAGATTTGAATTTCCTTATTCAAGGTAACACAGCTGCTTAGCAGACGAGACAAAAATTGAAACCAGGTCTCTGGATCCCAAGGGACACTGATGGTCCCTAATTATCATGGGGTAAGAGAGATCCACCAACAACCAAATAACAAACACAACAGGTAATGAATTGAAAAAAAAATTGATATTAACTTTTTTCACACCCTTTGTAATCCATAGAAGCTTATTCATAAATAAATTAGTGAATGTCTTGTGATTCAATTGAACCAACATTTCCCAGTGTTCAGGCAAGACAGAAAGACTGAAAAGAGGATGAATGATGAAAAGGTTCCTGAGTCAAAGTAATTTATTGAATTTTTCTTTTTCCAGCTCTATTATTTTACACATATAATAATGAAAGTTGATGAATGTATACTTTATGCAAGTGTGTTACATATATTACCTGGTAACATATTATATTGTATAGTGTATTGCATGTATTACCTTATTTATTTCCTTTTATTGCTATTATCTTAATGTTTAATCTCATGTTTCGAGGCTACTAACATAGCAATTATCATAAAGCTAACAGCCAGCATTTGAAACCAAATCTAAATGATTCCAATGTATATCTCTATCCAGTGAATTATATTGCTTAATTGTTGAAAACTCTCCCTGACTCTGGATTATGTGTGTTAAAAATAAAAAAAAGAAAAAAAAGAAAAAGACTAAAGAAACTACTTCTGCCTGTTGAAAAAAATCATATTTCTAAAATTAGATACAAATAACTATTAAAATTGATTCTAAATTGGGATAAATAAGATAAACAGGACTTTCAAAATGAATGCCTTTATGCATCACTGAGCATCTAAAATGCCTTCTCAAGGTTTCCATGCCAACCTTTCTAGAATGCTAAAATAAGCTGTGAAACAACATTTACTCATACCACAATATGTAGTTTTTGATGCACTAAATTGTTTCGCTGCATTTAATAAAAAAAAAAGCTCAAATAAATTTTGAGTATTTAGCAAATGGGGGAAGTAAAAATGGTACCAGTCATCAGTGAGCAGGCAAACAATGTAACTTTTGTTTGTCTAAATGAGACAAGCCTTAAGAAGGACTTAAACGGAACTTTTCATTTCTGCTAACATCCTTTTTATGTATATCCATAGTTAGTCATCGCTTTTCAAAATAGAGTTTTATAAAAGTTATGTTTAAATTATAAACAACACTAAGCACTTAACACTGAATATATAAAAGACAAATTTGGAAATCTAGGGCACTTCAATCTTTGATTCGGACCACCTGGCAAGAGAAAAATAAATGAATAAAAAGCCAAATGGAGCTGAATAGGTCTCATGCAGTTTGAAGAGATTTCTTTTTACCTGTCAAGCTCCTTAAAAGTAAATATTGCAGTTTGACTGCTGAATTACGACAGGAGCCTCCAGTGGAGAAGCAGCAGCTCCTGCAGGCTGGAAGAGATGGGCAAGAGAAGGGCCTAGCATTTGGGTCCAGCCTCCAGCATGCAGAAGACGTAGGCTGAGGAGCTCAGACAGGGTGGTTAGAAAGGGAATACTCAGGACAGCAATAGAGAAGGGCACACAGGGCGCTGGAATAGTAACAGCAATCCAACAACAGCAATGAGAGTAAGAGTGAATGTGGGCAACATCATAAACACTAAAATTATATCAAGCAACGCACTAAGTTCCAGAAAGACAGTAATGACAAGCCATGTGTGGTCTCTGACTTCAACAACTAGGAATCTAATTAATCTTTAAAACATGTTGATTAGGGAGGGAGAATAAAGCGAAATGCCATGAGAGATTGCATTCGGGGTGTTATGGGAGTGCACAGTGAGGGCATCTCGCCCACTGTAGGAAAGACGGCTCTGAGTAACTGAGGTCTAAGCATTCACTCCTAACAGAAAAAAACATGGAGAATAAAAGGAGGAGAGATGGCAGGAAATAAGGCTGAAGAACCATTTACTGACTTAACTAATTTAAGCTGAATGCAAATGTCAGATTTTAATTTGTCCCTTACCAGGTTTTTAAGTATGTAATACATCATATCTAAAGACCAATATTGGCAACCATAAACAGGAAAAGACAACTGTAAATTTATTAGAGTCACAACTACACTTACTCCACCACCAATAATTGTGGGCTTCAATGAGTTAGTTGACATCTCTTTGATTCAGTGCTCTGGGTTTTCTATGTAAGTTGTAACAGTTTGAATGCAACCGTTTTGTTACTGAGGGAGCAGCATCAACTGATACTTTCCCTGAATGAAGAAAATTTAAGATTTTACCAAAGGTAAATAAACAAAAACAAAAACAAAAACTTCCATATGGAGCTTTAAATAAATTTCCTGGATTGAGGTCTTAGGCCACGTCCTTACAACTGCAGAGACCTACAAGTGCAGGCCTCTTACATATATTAATTATTTTGAAACTTTTTTCATATATGGATTTGAACTCTCAATCAGAAATACAATGCTTGATTATACAGCACTTTCAAAAGTTATTTTTAAAAATTATTTGTCACAAACATTTCTTGAAACATCATATAAGAAGGGGCAATATTTTCCTCAACCTGAGGTTTATGACTTGTCAACTACTTCAATATGATTTAGGTCTCTCTTATCCCAACCTGCAAGACTTCTTCCAAATCATTTTATTTTCCTGCATCTATGATACTCTAGTTTTTAGAGTTCAAAATGCTGTTTTGTGACAGGTGCCATTGGTTTTGCATTAGCCATATTTACAGGGCTCTGCCTTGATTCAGAAGTGTATGGCCATGGCTTTCTAATCTGATTAGCTCCTTGGAATTTATATTACTGTCTTTACTGAATATATTTTTCTCATTTCACAGCTGAGATCTAGCTGGTGGAAAAAAAAAAGGAGGCCCATCAATCCTAATGGGGCACTGGTTTAAATGATGCTGACTCTTGTTCTATATCCAGTATGAGAAGCAGCTCGACACAGGTCTTTGATGCTTCTTTAAAAGTGAATGAACAAATTCTCCCTCATTTGAATTTTATTTATGAAAACAATACTTTCTGAACCAAAGCTCTAAAAATATGGCTTGTCAAAAGATTTTTCTGTGTAATTTATGATTTAATTAATATGAAGTCTTACAAAACTGAACTGAACTACACTGCTATGTATTTATAATTTTATTGAAAAAATAATACCATAGGAGCTTTAGTACCTATGAAAACAACAATTAAGGAATTTAGCAAACAGTTTCTCCTTTAAAACATGCTATAGAATGGACCATATAATGTGTTATTGATCACAAAATCCCAATCTCCTGGTATATCAGCTCAGATGGATCATGAATGTGCTTTTGATGTTATCTTTGAGAGGCATAGGGGCCCAGCTGACAGAGTTCCAATATTGCAAAGTCTCTTAACTGTTCTTTCTCTGAAAAGTTAGAAGAGAAAGATATCAGTCCTAACAACCTAAAAAATTTTTTTTTTTTAAATAAGATTAAAGAGTTTACAAGAAGCAAGGAAGGAAGCATAAACACAGATAAAAAGGAGAGAAAAGGGTTACAATCCAATCAAACTCCTTTATGCCTGAAGAATAAGTTGAATCATATCCTAGTAATGACAAAAGAGGGGGTGGGGGAGGAAGGATTGGACAGGTGCTGCCACAAAACGACTTTTAAAAACCATCAATTGATGTATTTTGAAATTATTAATAAATGAGGTCAAATCATTTAGGAAATGATACATTATATTTTGGTGCATCATATTAGTGTGTTGTAAAGTACATGTATGTACGTAGAAGGCTGCTGCCACCTGAATAAAAGTGAGCAAGACTGTGTCTTTCTTGTTCTTTTCTAGCACACTTCTTGGCACGATGTGGTGCTCAAGAAAGCATTTGTTTAGTGAATAAATTATTCATTTAGAGTCATTTTACACATACTGGAAATAAGCTTAGCCTGCCTCAATACTATAAAGGAAATTATAAGAAGCTCTAAACCATACTTTGGGGGCAAATTGGCAAAAGGAGAGATTTTCAAAAGAAGAAAGATACTATGCATAACCTTTAATGTCATTGTCATTAACCAACATGGGGAGACCAACCAATGGTATTGCAAAAATACTGCCACATCTCCTAACATGATATTTAGCACAGTGTGTCATTCAAAAATTACTGCATGAGATGGGAGAGGCTAAAAATAAGTCAAATTAATACACAATAGAATTTAAAACTGTAAGTGCTTTATAGTAAGCAAAATATAATAGGGAGCAAAGTAAACAATACTGTGAGAAAATATCCTATGAAACAACCACCTTTTAATAAGCAAATGACCTCATGAAAGGGAAAAGAATTCATCTTGCTAAGGAATGGGCCTCAGAAGGTCTTAAGCGGCCTGAAGAATCTTCCCTTAAACACACACCCTTTTCATTAGAAATTAGGTCTTCATCTCAAAATTAATAAAAACAAAACAAAATAAAATAATATGAAATAATATTTCTGCTGGAAAGATTAAGCCCTTGTGACATTCTTTTCTCCTTGCACAGAGAACTAAAATTTGTGTAGGTAAAGGCTGCTGCTTCATTATTAGTCATTATTAGAATATCTTCCCTATTCCCTCTTTAGAATTCTAATTACATTCGCACACAAAAAAATATGCATTTTATGCTGTTCCTACTAAATTTTAAAGAGGCATTTTAGGAAAAAGTGTGAGGAAAAGAATGCTTTTATTAGAGCATATGGATTTAGCTGTGCATATGTATATATATTAAGAAATTAATCACTGGATATCTTATAGGGAAGCCTGTCTTTAGTAATCTCCTGATCTATTTATCATCAGCAGATGCTCACTCTGGGTGCAACCTAAGTGATTACTCCCAGAAATCTCATAATTGCAGTAATTAGGGTCATGTGACCTTCAGCTTGTTCCTGCTATAAAAAAGGATGGGGATGGGGAGGCAGATGGCCCACATTAACATTTGAATGAGCACTGAATGAGTAGTTGAGCAGTTTAAGTTAAATGCACCAGAAAGCTAGGATGTCCAGTCTGAAACACATTTCAAGTAGAAATTTAAGACCTTTTTTATATGATCCATTCTGCTCTCCACAAGGTCTGCCTTCCCTTGCAAAAGCCAAATATGAGCAGAACTACCCTCCAATAATTTACCCAACAATCAAGTTACTATGAGTGTGAAGGAGTAGTGATCATCTTACTTCAATCTTTCCATTTTAAGGCCTATTTGTTATTTGTTTTAGAATATACTGACAATATACTCAGGTAACCCAAAATATCCACTGACTACTTTTCTTAAAAAACAATTATTTCCTTCATTTTACACTGTAAGGACAAATATACCTCTTATTCAAATCTCTCTGCTGAAAACAAGGGTAGATAGAGACTGCTTTCTACCCTCCCTTTTCTTTTAGAATTTCTTTCTTTGTTCTTTGAGAATTTATGTAAATCTTAATGATGGCTAACTAAGCCTCCCATTAGCCTCACAACTCAGAAATGCTTTCTCAAGAACCTTGAGGCTATCTTTTTGAAATGCAAACATCAAGGGAGAAAGCTCCCCTATCTCCCAGTTCCTATGGGAGGGTAGGAGCCTAACTTCAGGGTTACCCTTGCTCCAAGTTGCAAAACTTCTTCCTGTCATAAAGGGATGAGAAATTTGTTTCTCCTCAGAGAAAGCCAATTAGCTAACACAGATGATCACCCCAATTACCTGAAGAATTTAGGATGGGGCTGTCAAGTCCTTTTACTTGAGGACTGGTTGTTGTTTATCTTGAAAGCATGTGTGTAATCCCACTCTTGGCTACATCTACTTGGCAATATAGAAAAGTGAGATTTCTTTTGGTTTTTATAATCTTAGTGGATTGCCTGTAATGTTCATCACATTCTGGTTTAATGCTTAATAGTAAAAGTGTTTTCTTTTTCTATTACTTTGGTGGAGGGGATTTCTGGGTTGGTATAAGATTTTGTTTTTAATTATATTCCCTCAACAATTTTGATTTTAATTAATCCGTCTCCCTGTAGTAGAGCCCTTTTAGATATTTAACAAAGGACTTAAACAGTAAAATTCCAAATTTCCCATCTGAAATTTAAATAAGGAGATAAAGTAGTTAATTTTACTATTTCATTTATCTTTAATTATAAACAAGCTTGGTAATATTAGTGCCAAAATAAAATAATTACAGACATCAAGAGGGTGAGTTGGAACATCTAGTTCCCATGTGTTCAGATATCAATGTTTATTTTTTTCTTTTCATAAAACCTACGACAAAAACAGACTTTCATTAAAGTGAGCTTTTGAAACAGACATTCACAGCAGTATATATCTATGTAACTATTCTGTGTGCATGAAGAGAGAATGAAAAATCTCATGATGAACTGGGTTTCTGCTTACAGTTAAAGAACAGATACACATACAAGTAATTCAACAAATATTTGTAGGGAAAAAAAGTGGAAGACTAAGAAAGAAGGAAGAAAAGAAGAGGCAGAATACAGATCCAAAGTAAAACTGTCCCGCACCCTCTGTTCAGGTTTCTCAACTTCTGAGTCCTCATTCCCTTATGCGTGCTTTGGTTTCCATAGACCCCTTTCAAGAAATGTCCTTCTTTCTGTACCTCTAACTCTCTATTGTGGCTATATAAATTCTATTTACCTATAAACCCAGCTGAAGATCCCTTTTAAAAAATTCAGCCCTTCAAAATCAATTATATCTTCTCTAGGTCACTCTACAAAGTTATATCTGTGCTTAGTATTTGATTGTATCATCATGTATTAATATTTATATGCATTAGTTTTCCCCTCTCTTGACTGTAAGCCATTGCAGAGCAAAGTAACCACTGTTAATACATTTAAAGCATTCACAGAATCTTGCTCTCAAATGAACTACAACTGGATCTTCACTACTTGATTTAATAATAACCACTCAGTTGTATTGGAACTGCACCTTCTCATGTAGGCTTACTACATGTGTGCCAAGATTTAATTCTGAAAGTACAGAGAATGATTTAGAGTATGATTTAGAAATATTATCATGTACAAATTCTCTTTCCCTGGTAAAAATACATGCCCATGAAACTATGAGATGAAAGAATGTAATCTGGTTTCCCAAAGGCTGGACCAGGCAAAAATGTGTTATCATCTAGGCTGTTTTACTTTTTGTTTTTTCTCTTATTTAAAAAAAAAATCTGTTTGGTTATCATTCACCTCATGGCTTGTATTTCTTTGTATATACTTTTCTATTTTTTGAGCATACTTCTTCCCCCATCTGCTTCCCTTGCCCTTCCACTCCATAAAGTGGTGTATTTCCACGTGGGGTCATGTTAGCTAATGACTAGGATTTCTATGTCCTAGTTAATGGTACATTGTTTGAATATCTATGTGGGATACCATTTATGGCTATGTCAAAATGATGAAATAAAGAGATACGTATCAAAAACTACAATAATGTGGGCTTTACGAGATAGATAACGAACTTGTAAAAACTATCTAAGCAATCCATGACATGTACATGAAGAAGATACTATGCTCAATCCAAAGAGAAACTGTTTAGTTTTCTGAAAGCAAAACCAAATCACATCACGTTTCAAACACTTTTTATGCCATCTGCTGGCATTGTGCCACACATTGTGGTGACAAAACACATGATATTTCTAAAAGTTTTCTTGTTAATTAATGAAGTACTTGATGTTTGCATCCTCTTTATATTTATGTAAAAGTGAAGAGTGTCCTTATTTTCTAAGCACAAAGTTAAAATAACTTTTGCCACTAGGTCTCTAACAGAGAACTTCAGTGATCACCAAAAAGAAAATTTTCAAAAACTATCTAAATATAAGAAAATCCAAAAATTAATACATATCTACTTAGTCCCTACAGTGAAAGAGGAACACAGCAGTTCCAGGTATGGCGGAAGAGGGAGGATGATGCCTGATAGAGAAACTTGGTAAATACCCTGTGGGGTATACATTTCCAGTAAATGCATAATCATTCAATAGCATACAATATTTTAAGGTGACATTAGTAATTATTAACATGGAAGATTATGTAATTTTTGTGTTGTACAACACTTGTATGAAATAGAAGAAAAGGTAATTTCACTCCATTGAAGTGCCTATGTAATAGCCTAACCTGAATATGTAAGTACGATTTCTCTCTGAGCATTAATTTCACCTAAGGAAATTAACTGCCTGCCAGTACACCCCTCTAACATACTACAATACTAATTTACATCTTAATTTCCAAACAGGTAGAAAACCCCAAGGGATACCCTAAGTGCACAAATCATCCCCCTGTGATAGTGTAGCCAGACAGTCTAAATTAGGTCTTCGAGTCTCTAAGGGATAATGGAAAGTCGAAGTGAAATTTAAAATGGTTTGCAACTATAAAGTTGCCTGTCAAGTTAAACGTCCTGCTCACTGACTCATTTTTACCCCATATTTCCAAAATTTAAATAAATTTTAAAGGAAGAAATTCCTATACCTTTATTTTCGGTAAGTTCCTTAACCCTTCCCTTTTTTTATTCCTGTTGTTTAACTGATTCTCCTCTATTGGTCTAATACTCCTTATGGCTGACTTAAAACCCCTTAAAGATGCCACCGTAGCTGTTTTTTAAAAAGTAGATCAGCTTATACTTGCACCTTAGTATTGTACCAGAGAGCTACTTCTGACAGAACACTAATAGAAGGCAATAGTTTTGAGGAAAAGGTGGAAAAAGTATATTCATTCTAGGTGAAGCATCTTTAAGCAAATGACATCAAGCCCACTCTCTTTATCATTCTGAAGATCAATATCTTATAGTTTAAGCCATCACTAAATGATGTATATCATAGGCAAGTAGTTACATTTAGATAAATGTGTATTTTTCTACTTACTGTTATTCCATAAGAGACTTTTCTGTATTTCTAAGAACTAACATACTTCACAGAGGAATACTCTGTTTATAAACATTCTATCCGGGCCAGGTGCAGTGGCTCACGCCTGTAATCTCAGCACTTTGAGAGGCTGAGGTGGGAGGATTGCGTGAGCCCAGGAGCTTGAGACCAGCCTAGGCAACATAATGAGACCCCATCTTTGCAAAAAATAAAAGAAAAAAAATTTAGCTTGGCATAGTGGTGTGCACCTGTGGCCCCAGCTACTCAGGAGTCTAAGGCAAGAAGGATCACTTGAGCTGGGTAGGTTAAGGCTGCAGTGAGCCATGATCACACTACTGTACTTTAGCCTGGGTGACAGAATAAGACTCTGTCTCTACATAAATAAATGAAATAAAAATAAAAATTGTTTCTGGTTTAATGACTAAGTTTCTCGATTCATAAAATGAAGACAATAGTACTTAAAGTTCCAAATACCTACTGATATGGTTTGCCTCTGTGTCCCCACCCAAATCTTACCTCAAATTTTAATCTCCACATGTCAGGGGAGGGACCAGGTGGGAGGTCATTGAATCATGGGCGCGGTTTCTCCCATGCTGTTTTCATGATAGTGAGTGAGTTCTCATAAGAGCTGATGGTTTTAAAGTGAGGCACTTCATCGTGCTCGCACATACTCCCTCCTGCCACCTTGTGAAGAAGGTGAAGAAAGTGCCTGCTTCCGCTTGCACCATGATTGTGTTTCCTGGGGCCTCCCCAGCCATGCAGAACTGTAAGTCAATTAAACCTCTTTTCCTTATAAATTACCCAACTTCAGGAAAGTTCTTCATAGCAGTGTGAAAATGGACTAATACACTTATTAATATTCAAAAAGTAATGTACTAAGTGATCACTTGCTCTAGTTTTGAACTACAAACTTTGGCAGGTATAAAACTTTAGATAAATGAGAGAGAGAAAGAAGATAGACACAGATGTACTCATATAATGCATTCAGTGTTTTCTTTACTCAACTCTTCACTAATTAGATTTGAAATGGTCGAAAGAAAGAAAATGAAGACTGTAAAGCAACACAAAGTTGATAACCGTAAGACACTGAATAATATGGAATGAAACCTAATCCATGTCGGTTTGTTATGGCAAATGATTTTTCAACTAACATTTTTATATTATTAATAACTGGGAGAGTTTAGTTCAGAAAAGGCACATAATTTTACCCTCTTCAACATGAATGACTCAGAAGGCATTCCTAAAAGTAAAGCCCTTGTATTGTGCATTGGCAAAATTATTTGAAACCATCATGACTATCCATTTATCTATCTATCACATGTGTGTATTGTATGTCATATTCCTTTTTCTAATACACAATGGATACTTTTCTATTCTCAGGTGAATAACTGATGAAGCTTAACAAGTCTCACGTTGATTTATAGAGGAACAAGAGAGTTTATCCCTTGTACTACTATGCAGTTCTTATTCTGCAATAAGTAGAATATAAAGAATTTCTTACATAATAAAGAAATTCATTAATTTTATTTTTAAATCTTCCAAACTACCCTAATAAGATATAAGGCCTATATTTAGGTTATAATACTTTTTAATGACATAAATGGGCTGCAAAGAGATCAGCTGTGTTATTCTTTGGAATGGGATTCTTTTTTACAGATGAATTTAGGAAAAGAATAAAGATTAGCTGGTCAGTGAATTAAATCCACAGAACTGATTTCATAAGCATGGGGTTTGTATGAAAACATAGCCAGTGGTTGTCTTTTGCAGCCATTTGATACTACATTTAATTAAGGAATAAAGAATGAGCTAGAGCATTCTTTTCCCACATGAAAAAAAAAGGGAGGACTTTAAACAATAATCACCCCAAAGACATTTGAAGCTGCAATAATTATTAGGTTTAATTTGGGAAACTTAGAAAACTTATGAAAAAGGTGATTATTTTGTCATTTTATTTTATTCCTACATTTAGCATAGTATATTAATATCTTTGTATTAAAAAAACATATCCAGGATTCTAATGATTAGATTTACATATGATACAAAGTGACTTTGAGATTCTGGAAAGATTTATAGAATGGCCAATTATTTGTTTACTACTTTAAGGAGAAATACAAGGCTTCCAGAATCACATTTCAAACTGAAAAGACCATTTAATCCTTAGGATAATTTACTTTCTCTTGTGAAGCTTTCTGAAATTTGATGCATCATAAATATGTATTTTTTCCTTTTAATGGTAATCATTTCCTAGATTTTGGACAAAAACGTGACTATCAAAGAATTAGCTCATGACATAATTTAGAAGAGGAGAGGTGGGGAGGGGGTTGAAGTGAGGATGGCAGACAAACTTGCTATCCCTCCTCATTTGTTCACATGACCTAATGAAGAATCTTGGGGATACGTGCTTCCAGAATTGCTTTCATTTTGACAGCCTGACATCCTGAGGAAATAGGCTTGTTGATGCCATGAAAGATGAATACAAAAATACTACCCACTGGAAGAATCTTAAAGAACAAGTATTGGATCTGTGGTGTTTTTTTGTTTTTTGTTTTTTCAAGAGAGAAAGATAGGGGGCCGAGAGAGGATACAGTGATTAATGATTATTAAAACATACACACATATACGCACATATATGTAGCTCTATAGTCTTCATATGTAATACAATTGTTTATATTCTGTTTTGCAATTTTATAATTGTTTGTTATATAATGAATGTCTTTAAAATTCATTATATAAGCATTTCCTAAGTGTCCATTTCCTCCAAGGCCCTATTGAGACAGCACGCATAAGTGTAAAGGCCCCAGTTTCTCCTTAAAAAGCCTATGGGCTGCTAGGGGAGAATGGACCTATCCAGATACAATCATAACATGAAGCATAACAAGTCTATAAGAAATGTGTGAAGCAACATGAAGCAAGTTGGAAGAGAAATATAGCGTCTCCCTGAGAAGGTACTGGAAGTTGACCAAGAAGCTAATCAAAATTTTGTCTTGATTCTGGAAAGCTCAAAGCACTGAAGCTTACTGGTTAGACATTAAGAACATCCGCCTCTCCCCACTTCCTATTTCATTAGAGTATTAGCATTTTCTACACTTTTTTTAAGTGCAAGTCTGCTTAATTGTGCAATATGCTGTTTAGTTTAACAGCATCTTTAATGAACCATATAATACTACTCAACAGAGCATAGAGAAATTACTTTCTGGCCAGTTTAAAATACAGTATAAAATTCTATAAATTGGACTGCGTGCAGTGTCTCATGCCTGTAATCTCATCACTTTGGAAAGCCAAGGCAGGAGGGTCACTTCATGTCAGATCAAGACCAGCCTGGGCAACATAGAGAGACCCTGTCTGTATAAAAGGCATAAAATAAAAAATTAGCTGGGTGTGCTGGTGCATGCTACCACAGTCCTAGCTACTCAGGAGGCTGAGGCAGGAGAATCACTTGAGCTTAGAAGTCTGAGTTTATACTAAGCTATGATTGTACCACTCCATTCCAGTCCGGGCAACAGAGTGAGGCCCTATCTCTATAAAAGAAATATTTTTTAAATTTATATATATCATACATTTTATATATATATGTGTTTGTGTGTGTGTGTGTGTGTGTGTGTGTGTGTGTGTGTGTGTGTGTATAACTTCTGGCTTCTTTCATTAATATATTTTGAAGCTTTTATAACAATAATTTAAAGATCCTCATTCATTTTATTTTCTGTTTTAAGAGAAGCGTCAGAATTTATTACACATGTAAAATCTAGAAAAAAAGACTTTAATAGAGAATTTGTTTGTTTGTTTGTTTTCAAGGATCAATGGAACAAACACTCCTATTTATTTAGCAATCCCCATATGCCAGACATTGTTCTAAGAGTCTTTTTTTGCATTAAAATGTAATTTATTTATTATAATTTACATATTTATCAGACACAAGGTGGTGTTTTGATACAAGTATACAATATGTAATAATCAAAGTAATTAGCATATTTTGATAGAGGGCTTAAAAGTGGACTAAAAGTTACAATTTTTAAGACTCATAATAATATCTCATTTAATCTTGAAATGAAGTATAAGTTATTTTTGTTTCCATTTTACAGATAATAAAATCAGAGGGCTTGACCAAGGAATACCACAAGCAGCTTAGCAGTCTAGAAGTATAGAGGGCATCAGAGGTTAAGCCAGAGGAAAAGATTAGAATTAGGAGGAAGGACTAGATCCAGGTAGAAAAGAAGCACAACATCCACCCTGTTCTGGAGCACTGGATCAAAATCAGGGCTTGGGTAAATAATTTCAGATAAATATTAATGATTCAGTCATAGGTAATTGACCAGGCACAGTGACTCATGCCTGTAATCCTAGCACCTTCAGAGGCTGAAGCAGGAGGATCGCTTTAAGCCAGGAGTTTGAGACAAGCCTGGGCAACAAAGCGAGACTCAGTCTCTACAAAAAATAAAAAATATAGCCAGGAATGGTGGCACACACCTGTACTCCTAAGCTAATCAGGAGGCTGAGATGAGAGGACAACTTGAGCCCAAGGGTTGAGGCTGCAGTGAGCCATGATTGTGTCACTATACTCCAGCCTGGGTGACAGAGGGAGACTCCATCTCTTCAAAAAAAATCATAGGAAATCATCTGTTTAAGAATTCTAAGCACCAAGAAAGCATGAATTAATCTAATTTCAAACTCGGGTGCTTCAACCAATGCCACCAGAACACTTTAATATAGTCAAGTGCAATTGCAAAGGCAGGGGAAGTCTTATAGCACTGAGAGCCTTGTGTTAAGCAATGTATCCCTTAGAACTAGGTGTCAGTATGATGAACATGATCCCTCTTTGGGAGCAAGATAGGATAGGGTTGGAGGTAGGGTCTTCATGGAATATATATGCTAAGTACTGACTGCATTAGAGGAAGGATAAAAGGTTAGTGTATAGGATGAAGAAGAAACGGATACAAAATAGCAACAAGTTATATCCAATATTTTCTTTTTAACTTTTGATTTTGCAAAATGAGACTAAAAGACAGTATCAATATAGAAATGTATTTTTTAAATTTTGAGGAGAGAAATTTATAAAATATCTACACTAGCTAGCACACAATATGACATTTCACTTTTAGATTTGTAGAGTAATCTTAGTTCTTTTCTGCTCACAGCATTCCAAACACTTCCAGAAAAGCTACTGCACCTCATGTCACTTGTTGAGCAGTACCTCCACTGTAAGTAAACTTGAGAACTCTATTAAAGAATGTCTCCCTTGTCCCATTCCTTAGGGTCCTCAACCTCTTTCTCAAGAAAACTATAATTAATATAATTAACATGATCATCTATCTTTATAAGAATGAAAATCATTTAGCTTTTGATTCCGTCTTCAACAGCATAAGATCAAATAGCCTTCCCAGGCTGAGAGTGGCAGAGCCAATGAAATTAACATTACCTCGTCATTCTATCTAAAAACAAGTTATGCTGTTTAGATTGATATTTTTAATGATCCATGAGTATTCCTTTACAAGCATCTGTTTCCTATTTTATATTCTAAAATTGAGAATCCATCATTTGCTTATCAAACTGAGAGAAATTTTTAAAATCCTAATTCCAACATTGGCATGGGTATTGCAAATCTCAGACTGCTTCTGCTACCAGTGAAGTGTATATTGGTATATAATTTTGGGGAACATAATGTACACGTTACTCACCTCAAATATATTTATTTCTTTACACTACATAATCCCACTTCTACAAATTGATCCTAAGTACAATGTCAGCAGTGAACATAAACATTTTAGAAGCATATTTATTGCAGGGCTATTTATAATAGTGAGATATTAAAAATGGTCTGCATGTCCAACAATGAGTAAATGGTGAAATAAACTATGAAATATCCATAGGATAGTATATCACAGAGCCATTAAAAATCACCTTTTCAAGTAACTGCAATGTATAGAATAGAAAATTTAATTTAACTTTTGTGAAAACAAACCACAAAAAAAACTGGAGGAAAATATACCAAAATGCTGGTAGCAGTATTAATAATAAAGAAAAAGAAGTAGATCAGAAAAACCAATACACATTTTTTTAAAAAGGCAAAAATTGTGGCCTAAAATGTTGCTGAGAATCAATGCCAAATTTACCTTCCTTGTTTCTAGATTTCATTCTGACTTTTTTTTTTTTTGTAATAACTTTAGGAGATTAAAACACGTTTCCAGTCTAAATTCAGTAATATTGTGTTTCATAAAATCTAAGATGCTATTCATTACAAGACATACCTCATTTACCACTAGGAAAAAAAATGCTGTCAATTTAACTATAGCATCACTTAATTTTACATAACTTAATGTAAAATTACATGCATCACAGAATTGATAAAATATTGCAATGGCATTTCTGATGTCCTATTTTATATACCCCTATCGGTAGCTTTCTTTTATCTGGCAACACTAGTTATTTTGCTCAGCTAACAGTTTTACAGATAAACATGCTTTTTCTGTGAGGGAAACTCTTTTATTTTAAACCAAAAGTAACTTAGTTATAGTTGAAAAAAATGGTAATTTCCATTACATATATTCTGTTTTGATAACTTGGCTGTTTCTAGTGAGTTAATATAGTTTTAAGAGACTTACTACATCTAACTGCTTTTACAAAATGTGATTTAGATAACTGATTAACCAAATGTAATTTAATATTATTTTCATTTCCAGATAGAAGGGAAAACAATACTAATAAATACTAAACCACACATATCCAAGTGGGAAGACCTGGTAATAAGAGAGGCTTAAACATGTTTCCATTTATATGTACACGTTATTTTCACTGATATATTTATTTATTTATTTGAAAATAGGCAAGTCATCTTGACCAAACACACTCGATTTTCGTATTCCCACAACAGAAATCTCCATGTGGAAGATGGTTAGGGGATCAGATTATGAAAAATTTTTGTGCGTTACTGTTAGTTTTTTATAGTCTAACAAAAATCTTTTTTCTTTTCAGTTTTCTTTCATTCTGGTAAGTGGTCAGAGCAAGATGAGATTGCAAATTGTCATGTTTACCATATAAACTATAAAATAAAAAAATCAGGAAGGGAAGAGTTTATTTCTTATTAAAGAAGAGAAAGGAAAAGTTTACCTCTCATACAGATTTATTTATAATTAAAACTTAACTCTGTGCATTGAAAATATTACTGATTCAATGATGTATACTTTACAAAAATCTCATTCTACTTGTAATTTTGGTTTTGTAGGTGGATGGGATAGGGGCTAGTAGGGGATAAAAGTAGAAAAAAATTCAAAAAATCTTAAAAAATTGCACATTTAAATGTTCACAAATCTCCATAGCATATGCAGAAGTGAATAAAAAAGAGAAACTTTAATAAATTTGACCCCGAACTATATAAAAACACTTAATAAAATAATACAGTTTATAGACTTGAAACCAATACTTGTAGACATTTCACCTTTTTTCTTTATTAAGTTTCCAATTATCTATAGGCATAATTTTAATATATTCTATTTGCTTCATTCGATACAGATTTCGAAGATAGGAAAGCACAGTTTGAACCTGAAAAGAGAAATAATAGTAGTTTTTCATCTCTGTGTGTGTGTGTGTGTGTGTGTGTGTGGGACAGAGAGAGTGTGTCTGTGTGTCTGTGTGCTTATATGTATTTGGTTGTAGGAAAGTGAGGTCAGAAAAGGTACATATTTACAGTGTGCCTGTTATATGACAGACACTGCAATCTGAAGGGTTAAACATGGGCTTTAAAGGGAAAATTCCTGATTAGTGTAAGGGCAAATGAAAAGCCAATGTTTTCCTTTATGTTAATTATTAATCAAAAGCCTATACAAAAAGTTTAGCAACAACTGGCATGTTGTTCTTTCATAAGCAATAAAAGTCTTCATTTCATTCAGTGTTTAGTGTTTTTTTTTTCAATCTGAATACATGTTGAAAAAAAATAGAAGGCATAAATAAAATCCCAAGTTTATTGCTGTGAGGGCCTTCTGAGGTTCTGTTACTACTCTAAACTCAGTTAAGCTAGTTTCGAGTCTCAATTAAGGCCAATTAATGAAAGCACAGAACAAAAGGAATGACATCTTAACACTCTGCTAACTGAAATTTTTTATTGAAAAGTACGTTTTCAATTCTACCCTCTTTACGAAATATATTCTCTATGAGTATATAATTGTGGAATTCAAAGTGTTTTCCTGCAAATTCAGGAAGCTGACCATTCTTTGAAAGGTCAGCCTTCCAAGAAGTCACTCTTTTAATATTTCTGTTAATTAAACAAATGAATTCGAGTTGGATTTTTTTCATTATTCGAAACTCAGGTAGTAGTAAGATTAAATAAATTCAACATTCAAAAACCAAATAAATTATACTAATTAGAAAAACAGTACTTAGGGAACCATGTTTGCTAGTAGGCCAACTCCGAAATATATCCAGTTTTTACTAAATTTGAGCTTCTACTACACATTGCAAGCATATTTCTGACACAGCTATCTAAAGACCCATGATGCCTTTATTTTATTTCACAGTTTATTCATGATTGACACAAATATAGTACTGACCTTAATTCCAGCCAGAAGTTATAAGATACTTTGGATTAGATCAATAAAATCTAAAAGAAGAAAAGAAAAATACCCAGTAAGTTAAATCAGTTGAACAATCTGGCTTTTTCTTTCACTAAGGAGGAAGATAAAATCAGAAGTGACTTGTTCCTCACTCCATAAAATGCACTGACTGAAACACATCCATTTACAATACGTGACGGTTATGTATAATACAACTTTAAACTTAAAAATACGTTCTACATTTTATTGAAAAAAATATATATTAAATGCCAAAATTAGGTCCTATTTTTATTTTATACTTATTTAAAGTAGAAGTCCTATGTTTATATTCTAAAACAACCAACCAAAAAGAATTTTTAGCACATTCTGTTCTTAATATACTACCATTGCTCTTAAGAGATGTTTAATCAAAAATAATAAAACTCAGGCATTTTGATCCTGCCATAGACTGAATGCTAGTGTCCCCACCACCCCAAATTCATATGTTGAGATCCTAATCCCCCAATGTGATATTTGGAGGTGGGGCCTTTGGAAGGTGATTACTGCCCCTATAAAAGAGATCCCAGAAATATAAAAAGTGGACTGTGCCTTTATACAAGAGATCACAGAGAGCGCTCTTACACCTTCTGCCTGCCATATGAAGGCGGAGGAAAAAACAGGAAGCAGGACCTCAGCAAAACCAATCTGCTGCTGCCTTGATCTTGAACTTCACTGCTTCCAGAACTGGGAAAAATAAATTTCTGTTCTTTTATGTTTGTTAGAACAGTCTGCACAGACTGACACAGGTCTTTAATCTGATTTAATATGCACAGAGAATCTGAAGATTTTTAGTCCTGGGTCGACAATCAGTCCAAACCTTTGCTAAAGGTAGCAAAGTTCAAATAAGACAATTCCAGTGGTAAACGATCAATCTTTCCAGTGGTCTCTTGCACCTAAGCCTTGCTACTAAAATATGCTGAGAAGTAAATATGCAGAAAAGCATGTTGTCAAATGGAAGTATAAAGAAGGTAAACCAGGGACAAAAACAAACTTTTGTGCCAAAGTCAGCCTGTCTCTTGAACAGATAGTAAACAAAACCACTTCAAAATGACAAAAGAGACTCAACTCGCCACAGGGAGCATCTATGGCAGTCTCTAATTAAAAAGCAAGTTAGGTTCTAGAAGTATGTTTGTGAGTTAACTGGATAGAAAACAGCATATGTTCTTCTACATGTTAGAAATGTTTCATTATTAGACTCCTATGCTAAGCCCAAAAACTAAATTAGCCTAAAACTAGTTATTTACTGAAAAGAACAGTATAAAATAAGACAAAGAAAATACTAGTAAACCACAGAAAATACAACTGAATATGAAATAGTTGATTTTTAATCCTAAGGGCAGGTGTTTAAGAAAAGTAAACTTTGTCCTACAATAACGAAATGATAGGTTGATACATCTGTGGAGATTTTTTTTTAAGTATCTGAGGAAATTATGAAGGACATTTAAGATTAATGCCTTTAGTATATCTATCTTGACTTCCAACTAATGACATTATTTTACTTGGATACAAATATTATTTTTTGGCTATAAAGCCAACAACTCTCTAACTGTCATGGTGGTCCAGGGCACCACTGTAAACTCTCAGGGGAATGGTGAAATGTTTTCTTTTTCTTTTCTTTTCTTTTTTTTGAGACAGGGTCTCACTCTGTCACCTAGTCGGGAGTGCAGGGGTGTGATCATGGCTCACTACAGCCTCAACCTCCCAGGCTCAATCGGTCCTCCCACCTCAGCCTCCGTAGTAGCTGGAACTACAAGCGTGAACCACTATGCCTGACTAAGTTTTGTATTTTTTGTAGAGATGGAGTTTCACCATGTTCCCCAGGCTGGTCTCAAACTCCTGAACTCAAGCAATCCACCCACCTTGGCCTCTCAAAGTGCTGGGATTACAGGCATAAGCCACCGTGCCTGGCCAAAATGTTTTCAATATATGAAAACAAAAACAAAAACAAAAAACCCACAGCAGTATCCATTAGGCAGCACAAAAACTATTAAAGTGGTTTGCAGTTTCAATATTAGATCATGCTACATTCCTTTCAATGATGTTACAGCTTTGCAAAGTTGGGTTTTGATTTTGTTTGTGATATAAAAGCAAATACTGCATGAAAATCAACATGAAGTAAGAATGACAAAAACCTTGTTTCCATAAAAAAATTAAAGGAAATAAGAATGATAGCGTCCAGTGTGACTTCAAGGTTTGAGGGCTGGGCAGTATTCAACAGGCAAAAATCCCATTAGTAAGTGATTGTGGGTTTCTAAGCATAAAATAAAAATAGATTTGCTTTCAATTTATGTGTATCATTTTTTCAAAAGGCTACTAAGTTGTTAGGACTTAAACATATTATGTTAATTAAATGAAACTGTGAGGTACATCTTTTGGCCTAGAGGATCTTGAAAATAAAATTACTGAGATACTAAGGGTGCCATAAACTGAGAACATTTGGAACATTCCCGTTAAGCACAGTTTCTTGTTGTTTATTTTTTGTTTTGCTCCACAAATTTAAAGAGAAAGTATGAGAAATTTAAAATAAAAATACTAGGAGAGTAAAGGAAAAAAGAGAAGAAAAAATATGTCTCTAAAATATGAAGAAAAAATGCTAGGAGAGTGGGAAGGACAGTGATTCAACACACTCAGTGACTGTGTATGTGTGGCTGGGTTGCATGTGCACTACTGTGTGTGCAAGAGATGGCTAAAATAGAATGTACATAAGAACACTAGGCTATGAAAGACAGAGTGGATACACTGCCTATGTGTTCATTTTAATCATATTATCAATCATTATCCCCTAAGAAAAAAGGAGACACTGGAAAGGGATTGTGATTTATATCTAAATATTCACTAGGAAAAAAAAAATGATAGCTTGCACAGCAACGCGAATGTACTTAATGCCAGAAAGCTGAACCCTTTAAAATGGTTAAAATGTTAAATTTTACGTTACATGTTTTACTACAATATAAAATAAGTGATGCTGTTATCCTAGGATCTTGCATGGTGTCTCATACAAAAACCTGCTCTACAATTGATAAATGCATACTGAGCAATGAATACCAGGATGATATTGCCACTTAACAACTCTTTAAAGAGAAAGTGGTTCACTAGTTGCCTGGAGTCAGGGAAAGTCTAACCTGAAACTGCCCATTTGTTTGCTTGCAAGTTTTAGGCCTCAATTTATCATTTGACTATAGCTACTTCTTGCTAATTGCTCTTTAACACAAATCAGCATCCTGATATCTTTAATATTCTTTTAAATAGACTGGATTTCATTTCTTCTACGTGCACTCCCAAATATATACTTTCATAGCAAAAACAAAATGATACTGTGGGATTTTTTTTTTTAAAGTTCAGTTTTATGACACAGGAGCCTGACTTCTTTATGTATTCCATAATGTGTCTGGAAAGACATTCCAACTTACTTGTCCCTCTTCCAGTGTTCCTCCTCCCCACAACTGGAAGCCCCATCTCCAAGAAAAATCTTGCTTAGTCTCTCTCTTTTTTTTTTTTTTTCCAGAGACAGGGTCTTGCTCTGTCAACCAGGCTGGAGTGCAATGGCACCATCTCAGCTCACTGCAACCTCCACCTCCTGGGTTCAAGTGATTCTCCTGCCTCAGCCTCCTGAGTAGCTGGGATTACATGTGCGTTTCACCACACCCAACTAATTTTTGCATTTTTTAGTAGAGATGGGGTTTCAATACAGCATGATTCAAAAACAAACTGTATTCAAAATATTAATACTCTTTTAGGTATGTGAACTTTGTATTTGAACCCAACGTTTGCAGCACACAAAATATCAATAAATATTGTTAAATGAATAAAGGTGCTTACTGTCGTATTTTTTCCAATTCTATGTCAGATTTAAAGAAACAGTTGAAAATACCCTTCGTGGTGAGAATAAGAAAATAAAATCCCATCCTTGTCTTACATTACTTCCATTGAAAGGATAGTCTCTTCAATAAATGGTGTTAGGTAAACTGGGTACTACATGTAAAAGAATGAAAATAGACTTTTATCTTACATCATGCACAAAAATCAACCCAAAATGGAATGAAAACTTAAATGTAAGACCTGAAACCATAAAACTCCTAGAAGAAAACATAGGGAATAAGCTTCTTGACATTGACTTTGGCAATGATTTTTTGAATATGACACCAAGAGCTCAGACATCACAAGCAGAAACAAACAGGTGGGGCTACATCAAACTGTCCAAAAAAGGAAACAATCATCAAAATAAAAAGGTAACCTAGAGAATGGGAGAAAATATTTGCAAACCATATATCTGATAAGGGGTTAATATCCAAAATATAGGGCTGGGCGTGGGGGCTCATGCCTGTAATCCCAGCACTTTGGGAGGCCAAGGAGGGTGGAGTGCTTGAGTCCAGGAGTTTGAGACCAGTCTGGGAAACATGGAGAAACCCGAACTTTACAAAGAATACAAAAAATTAGCTGGGCATTGTGATGTGCACCTGTTGTCCCAGCTACCCAGGAGGCTGAGGTGGCAGGTTTGATTGAGCCCAGGAAATTGAGGCTGCAGTGAGCTGTGACTGTGCACTGAACTCCTGCCTGGGCAACAGAATGAGACCCTGTCTCAGAAAAAAAAAAAAAAAAAGAAAAAAAATCCGAAATATATAAGGAACACACATGAAACAATATCTCAAAGCAAATAAATAAAAATAACCTGATTTAAAAATGAGCAAAGGACCCTGAATAGACATTTTTCCAAAGAAGACATGACAATGGCTAACAAGTTTATGAAAAGGTGTTTAATATCAGAAATCATCAGAGAAATGAAAATCAAAACCACAATGAGATAGCTATCTCACACCTGTTAGTATGGCTATCATTAAGAAGATAAAAAATAAGTGTTGGATGTGGTGAAAAGGAAAGGGAACACTGTATACTGTTGATGGGAATGTAAATTGGTACAAGCGGTATGGAAAACAGTAAGGAGGTACCTCAAGAAATTAAAAAGGGAACTACAATTTGATCCAGCAATCCCACTACAGGGAAAATACACAAAGAAAATGAAGTCGGTACCTTGAAGAGATATCTGCACTCCTGTGTTCATTGCAGCATTATTTACAACAGTCAAAATATGAAAACAACCAGTGTCTATCAACAGATGAATGGATTAAAAAATTGTGAGTTACTATACACAATGGAACATTATTAAGACTTTAAAAGGGAGATCCTGCCATTTGCAACAACATGAAAAAACCTGAACGGCATTATGGTAAGTGAAATAAGCCAGACACAGAAAGAAAAATACTGCATAATCTCACTTATGTGGAATCTTAAAAAGCTGAACTCATAGAAGCGGAGTAGAATGGTGGTTATCTGGAGGTGGGGAGGTTGGCGAAATGAGGACATGTTAGCCAAAAGATATAAGGTCACAATTATACAGGATGACTAAACCTAGAGGTCTAATGTATAGCATGACGACTATAGTTAATAATATTGTAAGGTCTACTGAAAATTTGCTAAAATAATAGGTTTCAGGTGTTCTTATTTTTTAAAACAATAAGTGTGTGAGGAGACAGACATGTTAATTTGCTTCACTCTAGTAATCAATTCACTGTGTGTGTATATATATATATCAAAACATGTTGCACACTTAAATATATACAATTTTTATATAAAAATATTGGAAACACAGTTCTGAGGGAAAAGAGGTATTCATTTTTGACCTGGTGGGCTCAAGCTGTCCTGTGGCTTCTGTTTGTTTGCTTGCTTTTCTTATCTTAAGGAGAGCACTTTCATTTGCAGTGCCAGGAGCGGATGCTTTGTAAATAACTCCCTGGAACTTTTTTTTTTCCTTTTTTTCCAACCAAGCCAGTTATTGAGCAAATAGGTGCAGAATTGTGAAGATTGATGTTGCCCCAAGGCTCAGTCCTCACTGTGAACATCTGCCATTTCAAACACACAGGTCAAGACTTTTTGTGTAGTATTTTGCTAAACAATACCCTAAGCAAAACGCAAATAAAATTATTTTCAATAGGATTTAGCATCTGCTTCCAGGCAGCTTAATGTATCAGCATACTAAAAGCACCAATTCTCCATCCTCTGTCTCTTTCTCCTCACCTAAAAGGTAAGAGAAATGTCACCAAATAATCTTGAGTTAATTGGTAAAGCTCTTCTTCCCCCTTGCCACACTCCTGCCCCAATGAGAAATGACTTCATGCCTCCATATTATAAATCATATTGTGATGGTCAGATAACATTATAAAGCCTATGTCAAACTCAAATAGGCCTGATTATACCTCACAAGGAATACAAGATGAAAATAGCAGACATCTTTTAGCTATTGGATTATCAAAATTAATTGTGAGCTGAAAATTCACAATTTTTATATTTCTTATGCTTCTCCCTTGTTAAAGTTACACTTGAGTTTTCAAATTACAGAAATTGTTACTGCTTAAGTAACAGAAAAGTTACTACTGGAGTTACACCTTACAGAAACAAATGTTGGGAATACTGCAGTTATATTTAAAAAAATGGAAATGTTTTTTGTTTGTAATTCTTGTAATTCTCATATTTTTAAGGTATAGAGTAGGCTTTTTTTTTTTTTTTTGAGACAGGGTCTCACTCTATTGTCCCGGCTGGAGTGCATTGGAATGATCATGGCTCACTCCAGTCTCGACCTCCCCAGCCTCAGATGATCCTCCCGCCTCAGCCTCCTGAGTTGCTGGGACTAGAGGCATGCACCACCATGCCCAACTAATTTTTCTATTTTTTTGGTAGAGACAGAGTTTCCCTATGTTGTACAGGCTGGTCTCAAACTCCCGGGCTCAAGTGATCCACCCTCTGAAATTGCTGAGATTATAGGCATAAGCCACCATACCCAACTGGGTAGGGTTTTTTTGTTGTTGTTTGTTTGTTATGTTTTTTAGTATCATTTAGTATTTTAGGGATCCAATGTTCTTTAACCTTAAAGAGTTCACTTAGTTAGAATCTAGTGGGATAAGGGAGGTTGTGAAAAAGCCAAAAGACAAAAAGCCACGATGGAAAAAAAAAATTCCTATTGTCACAAGGAAATACTAACAGGGCTTTTGGGAGATCAGTGAAGGGGAGAAAAATCCTGTTATGAAGATAAAGATTCACAGAGGAAGTTGCATTTGAGTTAGCCCTTGAAGGAGGTAAGGGATTTTGATAGGTGGAGATGGAGTGGGAAGGAGAGCAATTCAGACAATGGACAGGACAACACAGAAACAAAGTAACAGAAGAATCAAAGCCCAGGGGGTGTTTGGAAAAATACCTAGCCTGGAGTATGACCCATAAGAAGAGCAATAATTGGGTGAAAAGCTAAGTTGGCTCTATATAGGAAGTAATGACCTTGAATGACAATCTGAGGAGGCTATTCAATTAAACATATTTAATTTTGTAGGTGAAAGTGGACCACTGAAGGTTTTAAATTCAAGAATGGCATAATTAGGAAATTTAATCTGGCAATATTATGTAGATTGGATCAGAGAGGGGAGTGCTTAAAGAAGTGTTCAAAAAAGTGGCTCCTTCAGAAGTCCAGGTGAATGGTAATGAAGACACAATTCAGGTGGAGACAGTGTCCATATAAAGGAGAGTGTTACAACTATTGCATGGATATGTGTATTAGTCTGCTGAGACTGTGATATAGTTCTGATGTTTGTCTCCACCCAAATCTCATGTTGAATTTTATTCCCTATTGTTGGAGGTGGGGCCTGGAGGGAGGTGACTGGATAATGGGGGCAGAGCTCTCATGGCTTGGTGCTGTCTTCATGATAGTGAGTTCTCACAAAATCCAGTCACTTAAAAGTGTGTGCCACCTCCTCCCGGCATTCTCCCTCTCCTTTTCCTCCCCACCCCCTGTCTCTCTTTCTGGCTTGCTCCTGCTTTCACCATGTGAAGTGCCTGCTCCTGTGTTGCTCTCCACCATGAGTAAAAGCCCCCTGAGGCCTCCCCAGAAGCTGATGCCGGCACTGTGTTTCCTGTATGGATTGCAGAACCATGAGCCTATTAAACTTATTTTTTTAATAAATTACCCAGTCTTGGGTATTTCTTTATAGCAATGTAAGAACAGCCTAATACATTGAACTGAAGAGTGGGGTGTTGCTATAAAGATACATGGAAATGTGAAAGCAGCTTTGGAACTGGGTAATGAGCTGAGGTTGGAAGAGTCTGGATGGCTCAGAAGAAGACAGAAAGATGAGGGAAAGTTTGGAATTTTTTAGAGACTAGTTAAATTGTTGTGACCAAAATGCTGATAGTGATATGGACAGCAAAATCCAGGCTGATGAGGTCTCTGATGGAAATGAGGAACTTACTGGGAACTGGGGCAAAGGTCACATGTTTTATGTGTTAGCAAAGAGCTTGGCTGGATTGTGTCCATACCCTAGGGGTCTTTGGAAGTTTGAGCTTCATGGTGACTATACAGCATATCTGGCAGATGAAATTTCTGAGCAGCAATACATTCAAGAGGAGGCCTGGCTGTTTCTAATAACCTACACTCAGAAGCAGGAGCAAATAAAAGATTAAGAATTGGAATTTATATTTAAAAGGGAAGCACAGCATAAAAGTTTAGAAAATTTTTCATCTAACCATGTGGCAGAGAAAGAAAAAGCTTTTTTTGAGAGAGGAATTCAAGCAGGCTGTGGAACAACCACTTGCTAGAGAAATTTGCATAATGAAACCCCACCAAACACTCACAGCCAAGATAATGGGAAAAAGGCCTTGAAGGCATTTCAGAGACCTTCATGGCAGCCCCTCCCATCATAGGCCCAGAGGCCTATGAGGGAAGAATGTTTTTGTGGGCCAGGTCCAGGGCCCCATTGCCTGGCACAGCCTTAGGATACTGTACTGCACTGGAAGCTCTGGCTGCAGCCTGTGCTCAAAGGACCCCAGACACTGTCATACCACTGCTCTGGAGAGCACAAACTGCTGTAAGTCTTGGCAGCCTCCATGTGTTGTTAAGCCTGCGGGTGCACAGAGTGCAAGAGTGAATGAGGCTTGGCACCTTCCACCTAGATTTCAAAGGATGTGTAGAAAAGCCTGGATGCCCAGGCAGAAGCCTGCTGCAGGGGCAGAGCCCCAACAGAGAACCTCTACTAGGGTAGTGCCAAGAGGAAATGTGAAGTTGGAACCCTCACATCTGGTCTCCACTGGGGCATTCCTTAGTGGAGTTGTGAGAAGGGGGTCACCACCCTCCAGACCTCAGACCAGCAGCTTGTATCCTGCACCTGGAAAAGCCACAGGCACTCAACAACCTGTGAGAGCATCTGAGGGGTATGGGGAGGATGCACCCTGCAAAGCTAAAAGGGCAGAGCTAACCAAGGCCTTAGGAGCCCCCTCATTGTACCAGTGTGCTGTGGATGTAAGACATGGAGTCAAAAGATATTATTTTGGAGCTTTAAAGTTTAATAACTGTCCCTGCTAGGTTTTGAACTTGCATGGGGCCTTTAGCCCCTTTCCTTTGGCCAATTTCTTCCTTTTGGAATATCAATGTTTACCCAGTGCCTATACCCCCATTGTATATTGGGAGTAAATAACTCTTTTTGATTTTACATGCTTGTAGATTGAAGGGATTTGCCTTGTTTCAAATGAGGCTTTGTACTTTTGAATTAATGCTGGAATGAGTTAAGACATTGGGGAACCATTGGGAAAGCATGACTGTATTTTGCAATGTGAGAAGGACATGAAATTTGGAAAGGACCAGATGCAGGATGATATAGTTTTCATATTTGTCGCCACCCAATTCTCATGTTGAATTGTAATCCCCAGTGCTGGAGGTGGGGCCTAGTAGGAGGGGTTTGGATCATGGAGGTGATCCCTTATGGCTTGGTGCTGTTTTGTGATAGTGAGTTTTCATGAGATCTGGTCATTTAAGAGAATGTGGAGCCTCCCATTCTACTCTCTCTTTCTCTCTTGTTCTCTCCATTGCTTGCTTCTGCTTTGACTACATGAAGTGCCCACTCCTGCTTTGCTTTCTGCCAGGAGAAAAAGCTCCCTGAGTCCTCCCCATGAGCTGATGCCAGCACTATGTTTCCTGTATAGCCCGCAGAACTGTGAGCCAATTAAACCTCTTTTCTTTGTAAATTCCAGTCCTATGTATTTCTTTATAGCAATGCAAGAGATGGCCTAATATAGTCTAACATAACAAAATGCCCTAGACATGTGGCTTACACAACAGATATTTACTTTTTCACAGTTCTGGAGGTTGGAGGGGTGAGATCACATGCCAACATGGTCAGGTTCTGGCGAGGGCTATATTCCTGGCTTGTAGACAGCCACATTCTCACTATATCCTCACATGGCGGAGAAAGAAAGACATGAAGATGGGTGGGGAAATTTAGAGAACTCTCTTTTCCTCTTCTTATGAGGCCACCAACCCTACTGGATTAGGGCCCCACTCTGATGACTTTGTTTAACCTTAATTACCTGCTACAAGCCCTATTTTTAAACAGTCACACGGGCACTTAGAACTTCAACATATGGATGGGGTGGGGCACAACTCAGTCCATAACAGTATTTACAGTCCATACAGAATTTAGGGATTAAAGCCAGTCATGGTGGCTCACACCTCTAATCCCAGCACTTTGGGAGACCAAGGCAGAAGACTGCTTGAGGCCAGGAGTTTGAAACCAGCATAAGCGACATAGAGAGACCACTACAAAAACAATTTTTTTTTTTAAATTAGCCAGGCATGGTAGTGCACACCTGTAGTCCTAGCTACTGGGGAGGCTGAAGCCAGAGGCATATGAGGTTACAGTGAGCTATGATTGCACCACTGAAATCCACCCTTGGCAACAGAGTCCCTGTCTCACACACACAAAAAAAGAATTTAAGGATTCATTGGCCAGGAAAGGCACAGGATGAAGAAAGGAGCCAAGAGAATTTTGAGAGTGTAAGAAAAACAGACTCCCAGTACATTCTTAGAAACAGGAAAGCCTGAAGGGAGATCAGGTTGCTGGGTAAAAGTAGAGGATAATGGGCTTTATTAGACACATTAAGTGTGAGTTTCTGGCAGGATAATAAAGGAAAGGTATTCATCAGGCAACTGACCTATTCATGGAGGGTATGATTTTACGTGATATGCAAAGGAATAAAAACTCAGTATCCAAACAAAACAATAAAGGAGTTAAATTTGTGGTGATATAATTAGGCAAAATATACCAATATAGGGCTATAGGGTCAGAGGTACATGTTCCAAAACATAGAATTAAGTTGTCTAGACAGCTCATATTATTGTATATTTAATCACACTTTGCCTTGACAGGTAGATATAACATTAATAGAGTGCTGGCTATGTGTAAGCCCATATTGTTCTTAATGAATGCCATACCCTGCCTGCCCAGACTGTGGGCTGCTCTGGGTCAATGACCCAGCAAATCTATGTTTGTATTCCAAGCACTTAGTGTGGTATACGGCACAAAGTCAGGAATCTATAAATGTGGAATGACTCACTCCCCAGAAAAAGAGGCTGAGTCATGAGCACTCCAACTAATTTCACCTCTAGACATTGTATTATTCATACAAAACATCATAGGAAGCGAGGCATGAGATAAGGCTCTTAATGGAATGTTCTGTACTCTGACATGTTTGCTGTAGCTGCCGTAACAATGCTGGAAAAGAAAGTTAAGGCTAAAAAGGCCAGTTACATGCTGGGAAATTGAAACTATTTCACCCATTTGCTGTCACAACACTGAACATAAAATGACTAGGTGATGCAGTAACTAGAAATAAATGTCAGTTGAAAATGAAGAACTTTCAAATGTCTAAATCATGGAATTTGTTTTATGAAGGCTAGAGTACCATTCTAATACAAAACAACAATTATAGGAAATGAGTAACAATTATAGGAAATGAGTATTAAGTGTTTAATACAACTCAATCATTCTACAAAGTTTGTCAGATGCATTATTGATTTAATCCTCACAAAGGCCAAACACAGCAGATACTATTTTTATTCCTAGGAGAAAACTAAGCTTATAAAGATTGAATATCCAGTACCTTTCTGTTTGTTAGTTTTCCTTCTGACAGTCAGGTCCCTCTTCTGCAGGTCTGCTGGAGTTTGCTGGAGGTCCACTCCAGACCCTCTTTGCCTGGGTATCACCAGCAGAGGCTGCAGGACAGTAAAGATTGCTGACTGCTCCTTCCTCTGGAAGCTTTGTCCCAGAGGGACACCCACCAGATGCCAGCCGGAGCTCTCCCGTATGAGATGTCTGTCATCCCCTACTGGGAGGTATCTCCCCGTTATGAGGCACGGGGGTCAGGGGCTCATTTGAGGAGGCAGTCTGTCCCTTAGCAGAGCTCGAGCACTGTGCTGGGAGATCTGCCGCTCTCTTCAGAGCTGGCAGGCAGGAACGTTTAAGTCGGCTGAAGCTGTACCCACATCCCCCTCTTCCCCCAGGTGCTCTGTCGCCGGGAGATGGGAGTTTTATCCACAAGCCCCTGACTAGGGCTGCTGCCTTTCTTTCAGAGATGCCCTGTCCAGAGAGGAGGAATCTACAGAGGCAGTCTGGCTACAGCAGCTTACGGCACTGTGCTGGGCTCCGCCCAGTCCAAACTTCGGGTGGCTTTGTTTACCGATGTCTTTTATTAAGGCAAAGAAATAACAAAAATCACAGATAAGGTGGAATATATACACATATATGGCCAGCATATATTATTTTTTCATCTTCTGTTTTTAAGTTTAGAGCACTGACAGATTTTCCTACCTATATAATTCTCTAAGGAGTTCTGGCATATTCAAATTCAGGCAGAAACAATAGGGGAAAACATGCTTTGAAGAAACCTGAAAACCAATGATAAATTTTTGAAATGAAAATATCTCAATCTCTTTTAGTTCTTTCTGTGTTTTCAGTGGGACAAAAACTTTGGAAGATGGCAATATTTATTTATTTGTTTTTTAAAGTGAAAGCAAGTCTATTAAGAAAGTAAAGGAATAAAGAATAGCTACTCCATAGGCATAGCAGCCCTGAGGGCTGTTGGTTGTCCATTTGTATGATTATTTCTCGATTATATCCTAACAAGGGGTAAATTATTCATGCCTCACCTTTTTAGACCATACAGGGTAACTTCATGATATTGCCATGGGATTTGTAAACTGTCATGGCGCTGGTAGGACTATAGCAGTGAGGATGACCAAAGGTCACTCTCATAACCATCTTGGTTTCAGTGGGATTTAGCTGGCTTTTTTTTTTTTTTAATTATACTTTAAGTTTTGGGATACCTGGGCAGAACATGCAGGTTTGTTACATAGGTATATATGGGCCACGGTGGTTTGCTGCACCCATCAAACAGTCATCTACATTAGGTATTTCTCCTAATGGTATCCCTCTCCTTGCCCCCAACCTCCCCAACAGGCCCCGGTGTGTGATGTTCCCTGCCCTGTGCCCATGTTCTCATTGTTCAACTCTCACTTATCAGTGAGAATGTGTGGTGTTTGGTTTTCTGTTCCTGTGTTAGTTTGCTGAGAATGATGGTTTCCAGCTTTATCCATGACCCTGCAAAGGACATGAACTCGTTCTTTTTTATAGCTGCATAATATTCCATGGTGTATGTATGCCAAATTTTCTTTATCCAGTCTAACATTGATGGGCATTTTGGTTGGTTCCAAGTCTTTGCTATTGTGAAGAGTGCTGCAATAAACATACAAGTGCATGTGTCTTTATGGTAGAATGATTTATAATCCTTTGGGTATATACCCAGTAATGGGATTGCTGGGCCAAATGGTATTCCTGGTTCTAGATCATTGAGGAATCGCCATACTGTCTTTCACAATGGTTGAACTAATTTACATTCCCACCAACAGTGTAAAAGCATTCCTATTTCTCTATGTCCTCTCCAGCATCTATTGTTTCCTGACTTTTTAATGATCACCATTCTAACTGGCATGAGATGGTATCTCATTGTGGTTTTGATTTGCTTTTCTCTAATGACCAGTGATGAGGAGCTTTTCTTCATATGTTTGTTGGCCACATAAATGTCTTACTTTGAGAAGTGTCTGTTCATATCCTTTGCCCACTTTTTGGTGGGATTGTTTTTTCTTGTGAATTTGTTTAAGTTCCTTGTAGACTCTGGATATTAGCCCTTTGTCAGATGGATAGATAGCAAAAATTTTCTCCCATTCTGTAGGTTGCCTGTTCACTCTGATGACAGTTTCTTTTGCTGTGCAGAAGCTCTTTAGTTTCATTAGATCACATTTGTCATTTGTCAATTTTGGCTTTTGTTGCCATTGCTTTTGGTGTTTTAGTCATGAAGTCTTTGCCCATGCCTATGTCCTGAATGGTATTGCCTAGGTTTTCTTCTAGGGTTTTTATGGTTTTAGGTATTATGTTTAAATCTTTAATCCATCTTGCATTAATTTTTGTATACAGTGTAACGAAGGGGTCCAGTTTCAGTTTTCTGCATATGGCTAGCGAGTTTTCCCAACACCATTTATTAAATAGGAAATCCTTTCCCCATTGCTTGTTTTTGTCACATTTGTCAAAGATCAGGTGGTTGTAGATGTGTGGCATTATTTCTGAGGCCTCTGTTCTGTTCCATTGGTCTATGTATCTGTTTTGGTACCAGTACCATAACATTTTGGTTAATGTAGCCTTGTAGTATAGTTTGAAATCAGGTAGCATGATGCCTCCAGCTTTGCTCTTTTTGCTTAGGCTATACAGGATCTTTTTTGGTTCTGTATGAAATTTAAAGTAGCTTTTTCCTAATTCTGTGAAGAAAGTCAGTGGTAGCTTGATGAGAGTAGCATTGAATCTATAAATTACATTGGGCAGTATGGCCATTTTCATGATATTGTTTCTTCCTATCCATCAGCATGGAATGTTTTTCCATTTGTGTGTGTCCTCTCCTATTTCCTTGAGCAGTGGTTTGTAGTTCTCCTTGAAGAGGTCCTTCACATCCTTGTAAGCTTTATTCCTAGGTATTTTATTCTCTTTATAGCAATTGTGAATGGGAGTTTGCTCAAGATTTGGCTCTGTGTCTGTCTATTATTGGTGTATAGGAATGCTTGTGATTTTTCCACATTAATTTTGTATCCTGAGACTTTGCTGAAGTTGCTTATCATCTTAAGGAGATTTTGGGCCTGACGATGGTGTTTTCTAAATATAGAATTATGTCATCTGCAAACAGAGATAATTTGACTTCCTCTATTCTTAAGTGAATACCCTTTATTTCTTTATCTTGCCTGACTGCTCTGGCCAGAACTTCTAATACTATGTTAAATAGGAGTGGTGAGAGAGGGCATCCTTTTCTTGTGCCAGTTTTCAAATGGAATACTTCCAGCTTTTGCCCATTCAGTGTGATACTGGCTGTGGGTTTGCCATAAATAGCTCTTATTATTTTGAGATATGTTTCATCAATACCTAGTTTATTGAGTGCTTTTAGCATGAAGGGGTTTTGAATTTTATCAAAGGCCTTTTCTGCATCCATTGAGATAATCATGTGTTTTTTGTCATTGGTTTTATGTGATGGATTACATTTATTGATTTGCATATGTTGAACCAGCCTTGCATCCAAAGGATGAAGCCAACTTGATCATAGTCGATAAGTTTTTGATGTGCTGCTGGATTTGGTTTGCCAGTATTTATTGAGGATTTTCGCATTGATGTTCATCAGGGATATTGGGCTGAAATGTTCTTGTTTAGTTGTGTCTCTGCCAGGTTTTGTTATCAGGATGATGCTGGCCTCATAAAATGAGTTAGTGAGGAGTCCCTCTTTTTTTATTGTTTGGAATAGTTTCAGAAGGAATAGTAACAGCTCCTCTTTGTACTTCTGGTATAAGTTGGCTATGAATCCATCTGATCCTGGGTTTTTTTTGGTTGGTAGCCTATTAATTACTGCCTCAATTTCAGAACTTGTTATTGATCTATTCAGGGATTCGACTTCTTCCTGATTTAGTCTTGGGAGGGTGTATGTTTCCAGAAATGTATCCATTTCTTCTAGATTGTCTAGTTTATTTGTGTAGAGGTGTTTTATAGTATTCTCTGATGGCAGTCTGTATTTCTGTGGGATCAGTGGTGATCTCCCTTTTATCAATTTTTATTGTGTCTATTTGATTCTTCTCTCTTCTTTATTGGTCTGGCTAGTGGTCTATGTATTTTGTTAATCTTTTCAAACAAACTAGCTCCTGGATTCACTGATTTTTTTGAAGGGTGTTTCATGTCTCTCTCTCCTTCATTTCTGCTCTGATCTTAGTTATTTCTTGTCTTCTGCTAGCTTTTGAATTTGTTTGCTCTTGCTTCTCTAGTTCTTTTAATTGTGATGTTAGGATGTCAATTTTAGATCTTTCCCACTTTGTCCTGTGGGCATTTAGTGCTATAAATTTCCCTCTAAACACTGCTTTAGCTGTGTCTCAGAGATTCTGGTACATTGTGTCTTTGTTCTCATTAGTTTCAAAGAACTTATTGATTTCTGCCTTAATTTTGTTATTTACCCAGTAGTCATTTAGGAGCAGGTTGTTTGGTTTCCCTGTAGTTATGCAGTTTTGAGTGAGTTTCTTAATCCTGAGTTCTAATCTGATTGCACTGTGGTCTGAGAGACTGTTATGATTTGTGTTCTTTTGCATTTGCTGAGGAGTGTTTTACTTCCGATTATGTGGTCAATTTTAGAATAAGTGCTATGTGGTGCTGAGAAGAATGTATATTCAGTTGATTTGGGGTGGAGAGTTCTATAGATGTATATTGGGTCTGCTTGGTCCAGAGCTGAGTTCAAGTCCTGAATATCCTTGTTAATTTTCTGTCTCCTTGATCGGTCTTATTTGACAATGGGGTGGTAAAGTCTCCCACTATTATTGTGTGGGAGTCTAAGTCTCTTTGTAGGTCTCTAAGAACCTGCTTTATAAATCTGAGTGCTCCTGTATTGGGTGCATATATATTTAGGATAGTTAGCTCTTCTTGTTGCATTGATCTCTTTACCATTACGTAATGTCCTTCTTTGTCTTTTTTGATCTTTGTTGGTTTAAAGTCTGTTTTATCAGAGACTAGGATTGCCATCCCTGCTTTTTTTTTTTTTTTTTTTTTTTTTTTTTTGCTTTCCATTTGCTTGGTAAATCTTCCTCCATCCCTTTATTTTGAGCCCATGTGTGTCTTTGCACACGAGATGGGTCTCCTGAATGCAGCACACCAGCGGGTCTTGACTCTTTTAACCAATTTGCCAGTCTGTGCCTTTTAATTGGGGCATTTAGCCCATTTACACTTAAGGTTCGTATTGTTACATGTGAATTTGATTTCCATCATTATGATGTTACCTGGTTATTTTGGCCATTAGTTGATGCAGTTTCTTCATAGTGTCGATGGTCTTTACATTTGGCTTGTTTTTGCAGTGTCTGGTACCGGTTTTTCCTTGCTACATTTAGCGCTTCCATCAGGAGCTCTTTAAGGCAGGCCTGGTGATGACAAAATCCCTCAGCATTTGCTTGTCTGCAAAGGATTTTATTTCTTCTTTGCTTATGAAGCTTAGTTTGGCTGGCTATGAAATTCTGGGTTGAAAATTCTTTCCTTTAAGAATGTTGAATATTTTCCCCCGCTCTCTTCTGGCTTGCAAGGTTTCTACAGAGAGATCTGCTGTGTCTGATGGGTTTCCCTTTGTGGGTAACCCAACCTTTATCTCTGGCTGCCCTTAACATTTTTTCCTTCATTTCAATCTTGGTGAATCTAACGATTATTGCTCTTCTTAAGGAGTATCTCTGCAGTGTTCTTTGTATTTCCTGAATTTGATGTTGGCCTGTCTTGCTAGGTTGGGGAAGTTCTCCTGGATAATATACTGAAGTGTGTTTTCCATCTTGGTTCCATTCTCCCCATCACTTTCAGATACACCAATCAATTGTAGGTTTGGCGTTTTCACATGGTCCCATATTTCTTGGAGGCTTTGTTCATTCTTTTTTATTATTTTTTCTCTAATCTTGTCTTCACGCTTTATTTCATTAAATTGATCTTCAATCTCTGATATCCTTTCTTCCACTTGATCAATTTGGCTACTGATACTTGTGTATGCTTCATGAAGTTCTCGTGCTGTGTTTTTCAGCTCCATCAGGTCATTTCTGTTCTTCTCTAAACTGGTTATTCTAGTTAGCAATTCCTCTAACCTTTTATCAAGGTTCTTAGCTTCCTTTCATTGGGTTAGAACATGCTCCCTTAGGTCGGAGGAGTTTGCTATTACCCACCTTCTGAAGCCTACTTCTGTCATTTCATCAAACTCATTCTCCGTCCAGTTTTGTTCCCTTGCTGGCGAGGAGTTATGATCCTTTGGTGGAGAAGAAGTGTTCTGGTATTTGGGACATTCAGCCTTTTTTCACTGTTGTTTTCCTCATCTTTGTGGATTATCTACCTTTGGTCTTTGCTGTTGGTGACCTTCAGATGGAGTTTTTGCTTGGTTGTCCTTTTTGTTGATGTTGAGGCTATTCCTTTCTGTTTGTTAGTTTTCCTTCTGACAGTCAGGTCCCTCTTCTGCAGGTCTGCTGGAGTTTGCTGGAGGTCTACTCCAGACCCTCTTTGCCTGGGTATCATCAGCGAAGGTTGCAGGACAGTAAAGATTGCTGACTGCTCCTTTCTCTGGAAGCTTTGTCCCAGATGGACACCCACCAGATGCCAGCCAGAGCTCTCCTGTATGAGGTGTGTGTCGTCCCCTGCTGGGAGGTATCTCCCTGTTAGGTGGCACGGGGGTCAGGGACCCACTTGAGGAGGCAGTCTGTCCCTTGGCAGAGCTCGAGCACTATGCTGGGAGATCTGCTGCCCTCCTCAGAGCTGGCAGGCAGGAACGTTTAAGTCGGCTGAAGCTGTACCCACATCCCCCCCTTTCCCCAGGTGCTCCGTTGCAGGGAGATGGGAGTTTTATTTATAAGCCCCTGACTGGGGCTGCTGCCTTTCTTTCAGAGATGCCCTGGCTAGAGAGGAGGAATCTAGAGAGGCAGTCTTGCTACAGTGGCTTTTTGGCACTGTGGTGGGCTCTGCCCAGTCCAAACTGCCTGGCAGCTTTGTTTACACTGTGAGGGGAAAGCCACCTACCCAAGCCTCAGTAATGGCAGACACCCCTCCCCCCACCAAGCTCGAGCATCCCAGGTTGATTTCAGACTGCTGTGCTGGCAGCAAGTGTTTCAAGCCAGCGGATCTTAGCTTGCTGGATTCTGTGGGGGTGGGATCCACTGAGCTAGACCACTTGGCTCCCTGGCTTCAGCCCCCCTTTCCAGGGGAGTGAATGGTTCTGTCTCACTGGCCTTCCAGGTGCCACTGGGGTATGAAAAAAAAAACTCCTGCAGCTAGTTCAGTGTCTGCCCAAACGACCATCCAGTTTTGTGCTTGAAACCCAGGGCCTTTGTGGTATAGGCACCCGAGGCAACCTCCTGGTCTACAGGTTGTGAAGACCATGGGAAAAGCGTAGTATGTGGGCCAGATAGCTCCGTCTCTCACGGCACAGTCCCTCAGGGCTTCCCTTGGCTAGGGGAAGGAGTTCCCTGACCCCTCGTGCTTCCTGGGTGAGGCGACACCCCACCCTGCTTCTGCTCGACCTCCATGGGCTGCGCCCACTGTCTAACTAGTCCCATTGAGATGAACCAAGTACCTCAGTTGCAGAAATCACACACCTTCTGCGCTGGTCTCTCTGAGAGCTGCAGACCGGAGCTGTTCCTGTTTGGCCGTCTTGCCCAGGAATCCAGCAGTATTTATTTTTTAAAGAAACTTGTTGTCATTACCTCAAAGATGTATGGCAAAAAGTTCTTACATATTCCCAACCAAGTTCCTTTTGTTTTTCCTTCTTTTTAATTTTTATTTTATCTATGTTAGGTATATAAATAGTTTAAGAGGCTACCTTACTCAAGGTTTATGATAAAAACAGCAATAAGAAGTATGAGTTATTTGAAGGTTAAAATGCATCTGAATAATGCTGTATTTATGTGGATAATGAAGTAAGAGAGTTGAGTGATGAATCTGCAAAAGCCCCTAAGCTTATTTTTATCCATTTATTCAAATCATTTGTCTTCAAAGTCTGAGTTTTTCCTTGAAATGCCTTTATGGTTAACTGAATGCATTATTAATTATTTGTTGAAAATCTTTCATGGAACATCTTCTCATTAATACTCAGATTTACAACTGAGCTTTGTAAACATGTAGGATAAACCTGAGGCACATGTCAGGCAGGCAGCTGTGTCTAACATTGGGGTGCTTTTAAGATTAATACCACAACCTAGATTTTCTCCAGTTTGGAAAGTACACATCCTCCTAGGCCTACCAAACCATCATTTTGTCATCTGAGTGAAACCTGAATTTCAAAGGAATGTACAGCTATAGGCAATCCTTGACAATAAAGCAAATCTGTTCCCCAAAGCTCTAATTTCCTGAAAGCTTTGGCAATGCACTACTAATAAGCGAAAACGGAGCATTCCACAGATTTCTGGACCCACTTCTCTGAGTCAGAGGCTTTCTCTCGGGTGAGTCCAGGTGTAGGTAACTCCTTCTGTGTTGCTGTTATAACTAAAGTTCTACATAATTTAATAAATAAAATTGCAAATCCCCAAAAGAGGTATATGAGAATTGACTTCAGACCTATTTATCATAAAGTATATTTTCATACATTTTAATATTATCATTGCATTTCATGTTACATAAAAGGGACCAAAAAACGGTCAGAATTCTAATGGAATCTATACACTACAAAAGGAAATCCCATGTCTGGAACAAATGTAGCTGCAGCAAAAGTTAGGGTTTCCCATAAGTCTGAAAATATTAATCTATGACACAGATCTGCTGTTAATCCATGTTACATATTAAGTACTTCCTCAGATTCCATTATATTTCAACTGTACTAGTCAAGAGTTAATGCTTTAATTTTCCCCTGAAGTAGCACTGGAGCAGAAAGTATTATATTGGAATGAAAATAGCTTAAATCAACTTACATTTTCCCCTATAATTCACCTATAAACAATCTTATATTTGTAATTTTTCAATAACGTATTTAAAACCACAAGCAAAACATTACAAATGATGGTTAAATTTCTGATCTGACCAATTTCATCTTTAGTATAATTGAAGTGGTGCTGAACACCTAAATAGAATGTTTACAGCCTGACTGTGAACCGAGACATATCTGCATCTTTATTCTACTGTAAGAAAGTTTTCCCTAGGCTGGGTGTGGCGGCTCATGCCCGTAATCCCAGCACTTTGGGAGGCTGAGGCGGGTGGATCATGAGGTCAGGAGATCAAGACAATCCTGGCCAATATGGAGAAACCCCACCTCTACTAAAATACAAAAAACTAGCTGGGCATGGTGGCGCACTCCGGTAGTCCCAGCTACTCAGCTGGGGCAGGGGAATCACTTGAATCTGGGAGGCAGGGGTTGCAGTGAGGTGAGATCGCACCACTGCACTCCAGCCTGGTGACAGAGTAAGACTCCATTAAAAAAAAAGAAAAGATTTCCCAAGCAAATAGAATATACAAGCAAGTTAGTTATTCATTCTTTTAACTAATGTTTTTTGAAGACGTGCTTCAGGGCAAGGCAGATACTTTTCTAGGAACTGGGATATAATGATGGTGAAGAAGTTGTCAACAAGGTTCCTGCACTTTTGAAGCTTATATTCCTATAGTGGAACACAAATACTTAAGAGAATGATGACTGCTATGAAGAAGATAAAGCAGGGTATGAGGTTAGACAATGAATGGTAGTTGGGAGCTTTCTCCATCCCCAATTTAAGCAACAAGAAAGAAGCAGAAGCTGAAAAGACATTTATCACAGCAAGAAAGCTAGGCCCTAACCTTCTGCCCTTTCAGAAGGGAACATTTCCAACTAACAGATCCCTGATCTACAACTATCCAGCCACAGATTAATCACAGGAGTGTTAAGTTAGAAAGTGCAAATGACAAATTCATGTGAATTTTGAATGTGCACAAAAATATTTGGAGACTAGTGTGGGATTATAGTAGCAGTGTTGGTGCCAACACTAAAACTAACAGCTTATATCTGTTGGTCTTCTAGTTCTTCCACATAGAAAGTCTTGCTTAGTTCTATAAGCAAACATACCTCTGTTGGCCTAGATTTATCTGGCTCTGATTCATCAGCGTGACACCTGCTTCCCAACGACAGGTAATCTTTGGTTATGGGCTATCCTCAATTGTTTGCTTGACAAAGTGTCAAATGTCATGCAGGAGAAAACAATCCAGAAATAAAGGAAAAGAAATGACCTAATTTTTGAAATCCTCATTCAATAAAGTGTTTTCAATAATAACATGTATTTTATTTCCAAACTTCTGACACAATAAAAAAAAAAGTTATAGGAGGTGGGGCTTATAATCCACCTCTAATGAATTGATTAACTCTTCTTGTTTGAGCCAAGCACAAAATTATTTAAAGTACAGCACTGATTAAATTCCTGTTGGTACATAAATCTTCAAACAGTTAACAGAGAGGGAAATAAGCTTTGACAGCAGTCTGGTACCACCAAAACGCTGCCCAATGTGACTCACATGAAGACAGTCAGAATCAGTCTGTACAGAAGGTCAGCCCGTCACCTCTAGGAGGACTCAGCATTTGATGAATCTAGTGCCACAGCAAAGAAACTATAGACACGCTCCAGCAGTTACAGAAAGTTAACAGGCCTCTCCCTGTCTGTAATGAGCAGCTCAATTACTAACTTCTGTTGTGTGTCTGCCACAGTTGCAGACATGGTGCACAACTGCTATCGCGTTTCTATCGGCCCGATTTCAATGTGCCTTTGGGACCAGAGATAGCACATTTAAGTTCTTTAAGAAGATTTCTTTTTTCACTATGGCTAATAGTTGACAATAGACAATAGTTTAAATAATTGAGGAGGCCTTATTTTCTAGCCAGTCTCAAATCAAGAAGGCCAGGTTATTTAAAAGGCAGAATAAAAGCACAAAATAAGTATTTGCTGACTTGCAGTAATTTGCCCCCAAGCAAATTCATTGAGAAAGATATGTTTTTTGTTTGTTTGTTTGTTTGTGATGGAATCTTGCTCTGTTGCCCACGTTAGACTGCAGTGGTGCAATCTCGGCTCACTGCAACCTCCACCTCCCGGGTTCAAGCGATTCTCCTGCCTCAGCCTCCCGAGTAGCTGGGAATACAGGCGCCTGCAACCACGCCAGACTAATGTTTGTATTTTTAGTAGAGACAGGGTTTCATCATCTTGGCTAGGCTGGTCTCGAACTGCTGACCTGGTGATTGACCCACCTCGGCCTCCCAAAGTGCTGGGATTACGGGCGTGAGCCACTGCGCCTCGCCATCAAATACATTTTCTTTGACTTCTTGGTAATGCCTCGGCCTCCCAAAGTGCTGGGATTACGGGCGTGAGCCACTGCGCCTCGCCATCAAATACATTTTCTTTGACTTCTTGATAATAAAATATAAACCACTGACCACCTACCACTAAACGTTCAGTGCTGTAAAAAGTCAGTCTGTGCCTTTCTACTGCACTCAGGGGGAAGTCAATTTACTAAGTCAACACAAATGGCCCTCACAAGTTAAAAATCATTTTTTTCAAATGCAAATGCATTTTCTTTATATTGTTCTTAGAAGAAATAGAGGAGGTAAAGATTTTTACCTCTATTTTTTTAACTAAGGAATCAAGCTTAAGGAAATTTAAGAATGTTCTAGAGTTGTCTAACATATCAGAAGTTCAATGAGATACAGCTCCCAGCTCCCTGCAGGGATGATAACCTGGGTAAAGCTAAAGGAACTGGCAGAAAATGGATTCAAATCAATCCTCTGGAAGTGCTCTGAGGCCTCTAAGAAAATTTCTCCCAGCTGTCACCCACCTTTCCTGGCTCCATGTGTCCCATTTAATCTTCCCCATGATGAAAGGATGGATGAAAGTAAATGGTGTGTGCTCTTTAAGGCAAAAGATGCTCATGTGACTTGAAAATTTTTCCAAAAACTAACACAAACTCTGGCATTGTCACAAGCAAAACTGAACAGTAAATTATTACACTTTTGCCTCCAATTTCAAAAATCATTTTTCTTGTAGATAAACAAGACCCATAATAGGTAGACTATATCGACAAAATACAATAAAGAATTTTAAAAACATCTTTTACAAAAATTAAATTAAAAATTTTTAAGAGATGGAGTCTCGCTCTATCAGCCAGGCTGGAGTGTGGTGGCAAAATCATAGCTTAGTGCAGCCTCAAACTAGTAGTCTCAAAGGATCCTCCAGCCTCAGCTTCTTGACTAGCTGGGTCTACAGGCACAGGCCACCATCACTGGCTAATTTGTTTTATTTTTCTAGAGACAAGGTCTTACTGTGTTGCCCAGGCTAAATACCTTTTTTTAAACAAAGGGTAATTGTACCATTGAATCTAGGTATCAGTAATAAAATAAACATTAAAACAAGGTACACTTTATAACACTCACATTCTTCTCTTCTTTCAGACATTTCATTTTTCTGTATTCACAAATTGTCTTTGATCAACATGTATTACAGCCAATAATAAAAGTATAAGCAAACATAATTTGTTTCTCTGTGGTGGCTGCACAAAATTCATGTTAAGAAAATATTTCTAAATGCAGAATTTCAGATCATGTTTACAGTCATTAGTGTTGTATGAATAATCTAGATTTAGCAAAGCCCTGAGGACAATTTCAGGACTTTAGTTCTAAACTCAGCGCTTTGTTAACATATAATGTCATGTTCTAAAAAAGATACTAAAATCTACTTTGCCCTAATCAATAGGACAGCTGTAGGAATGACAAGATAAAATGCAGTATAAGGCTGTAATATTTCATAAAAACAGACAATGATTCTGTAAAATGCAGAGAGTTCATTTAAACAGACCACTATCATGTAGTATATTAGTATTCAGATTTATTTACTACAAATATTGTTTAATCTTACAGAAACAGGCAAAAATTCAAGGTAGTTGGTAGAATGGAAGGAGCTGAGGCCATGTGTTTGAATCCTAAGACTTTTTTCTATCAGTTAGTGTTTAAATATGTCTGAGTCTCAGTTTTTTCATCATTAGAATGGGGGTAATAATTTCCCAGAGTTCTTTGAGATAATCAGATAATGTGTGTTAAAAGCCTATCAGAAAGTTTGGTATAAAATGGAGGTTTAATTCTTCAT
The DNA here is from genome assembly GCF_000001405.40 of Homo sapiens. Classification (NCBI taxonomy): domain Eukaryota; kingdom Metazoa; phylum Chordata; class Mammalia; order Primates; family Hominidae; genus Homo; species Homo sapiens. Next base: position 209,482,572 of record NC_000002.12, on the reverse strand, counting down.
TCAGTAATATGTTTGCAAAAATCTGCTCACTTCCTATGACCAACAATATATCAACCTGAACACATATTGCCACACGTGTCAAAGGGGAAAGAACTGACATAGCTTTTAGAGAGGCTGACTCTGACAGGTTAAAATTAACTGAATTAACTGAAGTCAATGCTGCTGACATTGGATTTCTGATGGTGACATTATTTCACTGAATTTTAACCTTAATTCTCATGATGACTGTGAGTTTTTTTTAAATCAGCACAGTTAACTTACTGACAGTCATTTATGCAAACATTTTTTCATGTCTATATTGTGTAATGTTGGATATCTATACTGTATGAGATAGAAAGCAAGCATAGCACTCTGCCCTCAGAGAGTTACTATTTAGTAAGAGAGCTAAGACACATGATCAGTCTCTACAACAGAACTACAAATAATACTTTTTAAGTAAGAATAGTGAAGTGTCAACACTGATTCTACTGCTGTCTTTGAGATTTTGGTCTAATCATCCCAGCTTTTCCTAGTGTGCATTCTCTTCTAAGATGTTCTACTTAAAAAAAAAGAAGTTCCACGGTAAAATCAATGTATACATACACATAGGAATACATTATTCTGAAATAAATGAAGAGAATGCTCGTGTATTTTAACTCACAAATAACTGTAACATCATCAACTCTATATGAACAGAAGTTTGTGGAAGCTGGCTGTCCTTTCATGTATGCTACGTGGTGAGCTAATACATGCTCAATAACACAGAAGAAGAGAGGTTTAGGGATAAAACATATCCAAATTCTATGTTCTGAATAAAAATGTATTCTACTATCATAATTCCCTTTATTCAGAAACCTAAAGACAAGCTGGCTTCATAGTTAAGTGACCTAAGGCAGAGGTTGTCATGTATATCTCAGTTCAGCATTTCCCTTCCTTCATCTGCAGTCAAATTCATCTTTTTTTGTGGGGAGCCAATTTTATGTGATTTAGATGTGGTTGACCACACACAGTCCAATCCTACCCCAGCCTCAGCCATAGGATAGTATAGGTCAATCCATGGACTCCATTTCTTGGGGACATTGATTGGTTGACAGCTAGGAATTCAGGCCATATTAGGATGGAGTGGCACTTTGGTGTACCGCCCAGTCCCCCATCAATGAAACAATGTCCTAGCCACAGGAAGTTACTGTCAGTAGAGAAAGCTCAGTAGTTGGGCCCCTTCAGAGATTGCCTTCCTTTACCTGGGTAGCCCACATCCAGTGATGGATCAATGCAGGAGTATGAAGGCTGAACCATCTTCACCCAATAGGAGGCAAGCTGAAAAGCATTCTTCTGTTGGGAGATGTTGTCACTGGGTTGCAAAGCAGCTCAAGTTCTCCCTCTGCCCATTCCTGTTTCCTTCTCCTTCCCTTCCATGGACATTTATCCCAGGAAACATTCAGTAAGCTACACTCTGTGTCAGAGTCAGTCTCACGGAAATTCAGTTTGTAACACAAGCCAAAAAGAGTCTTCCCTGATACGTGAAGGCTGTACAGGAGATGGTCTCTTTTCCTCTCAGTTAACTACATGTAACAATCTTGTAACCTCGAAGGTACTGGTACCTCTTTTCACCATGGAGTAAGAGCCTTATGATGAACCCAGCATTTCCAGATGAAGCAGAGCAGGGAAATGGAGAGAAAATGAGACGAAGAGTGGGAGGGAGGGAAACAATGGGATGGAGAGTGAGAAAGAGAAAGAGAAAGAAGGAAGAACAAGACTAAGCTAATGATTACAATGGTAAACCTGGTTCCTGCCATCCCTATACCAACAGGACTTCTGGACTTTTTATATCGTATATGCATTAATATTTTCGTCTAAACTCTTTAAAATTTTTTCTATTTACAGGTGAAAGAGCCTGATTATTATAGATAAATACTGATATCAAATCTTATTATTAACCTCAAACAACACAAAATGACTGATACATAAAGCAGCATCATGTTTGGCAAATCCTGCTCATGGACTAGAACATACAGTATGTAGTAAAGAAAACAAACAAACAAACAAACAAACAAACTTTAGATCATCTTAATTGCAAGTTACTAAGGAAAACAATGTGATTCCAACAACAAATAAAGTAATGCTAGCTTGTAATCATCTTTAAATATTTTTTCCACGTATCCACAGACTCAGCCAGAAATTCAACACTATTCAAAATTAAATGTGTAAGAACAAAAAGTGTACAATGGCCTTATTGTTCCTTGTGTAAACTAGAACCTAATAGTTTCCCTCCGAATGGAATAAAAAGTCCCAGTTAATAAAGCTAAAGGGTATAGTACTAAGTGGAGTCTACTAGTCTAGTAGACTACATTATTATATTCTAAAGTTCTATTTGTCACTCTCCTAAGAAAGACCCTCATCCTTGGCAGAACATTATCAAGCTCTCCCTCTTTGACACAGTGACAGTCTACTGATTTCATATTAACTACTCTTAGTCAATGTGCATATTTAGCTAGAAGCCTATCAGCTATTTGAGTATGTACATTATTAGGTAAGGAATGATGAGGAAAATTGTGAAAAATGTCAAATGCAGCTCAAACTGTCACATTTTAATTAAACAAATTGATGTGACTTATTTAAGTAAAACATGGGAAACAGCAGCAATAAAACACATTTATAGGCTCAGTTGTGCAAAACCATTTGAGCTTTCTACTAGCAACTCAATTTTATTTTGATGCATAATTTGAAAACAGTTGAAATGTTCGGCTATTATATCTGCTAAGGCTGAAGAAAGTTATAATTTACCAAGTCTTTTAAAATGTAATTTAAAAACTTTAAATTTTTATTTGACACTTTTATTTTTGGTAATAAACACAGGACTAAAAATATTGTTTTATGTAGTTCAAAATTGTGCTATTTTCTATCTCAAGCCAGGGGTCAGGTACACTGCATTTAATTACAGAATCTCTGAATTTTTCTATAATTTGTTGGCTTATTCATATATCTCGCCTTTGGTTCTGAGAATGCTGAAATCAACATTGTTACTATAAGATTTAGAAATTAATGAAGCAAATCTAACTACCATGTTATTGTGAATTTCCGATTTCCAGCTCATTCTTTACTTACTGCCTAGCCCTAGACAATTGATCAAAAATGTATCTTTATTATCATAGTTCCTATCTATTAAGCAAATAGTAATATGACAAAATATAATTGCATTAATAGACTAATGTAAATGTCAGTGAAGTTCTGGTAATGAAATTTTATATAAGTGATGCAGAGTATTAATATTTCAGCAGGTTCCTATGCCAATTTCAACAAAACCCCACAAAATCCCTTCTTTTGTTAATTTTAATTAAATACAGAACCTTATGAAAAGGAGAGATATATGTTTTTTGCACAACCATATAAGGAAAAAATTGATCAATCTTAAAAGAGAAACCAATGTATTTTCCATGGTAGAAAATACTCCATGTTTACTGAAGTCCAACTCTGGAAGAAAAAAAATCACTTGCTTTTGTAATTTGAAAATGAATACACATAGGCTAACACATTAGAAATGAATATTTACTTTATTCATTGTTTAAAACAGTTTCTTAATTGATTCTCAACAAATAAAACTACTTAAATGAAGGCAGGCCAATAAAACTGTGTGACTGGGTAAATGTTAGACACCTTTTAAAAAAGTTGTTTCAAACCCTGGAAGAATCTATACAGCCTATTTAATTCCATCCTATTTCATTAGAGGGAGAATGTCTGATGAAAATACGGGCAATTTCCTTCAAATTTAAAACAAATATCACAAGACATCAATTAAAACATTTCTATTTAGATAATTAAATCTAGAGTGGAAATGGGAGACATATCAACAAAATAAAAATGCGGAACCTTATAGTGAGTTGAAGATAGCAGTCACTAGAAGTTGGTATTTTAATAATGTATGATAAACATCAAAAACCTAAATTATTTATGTATGCCTGCCCTACATATATTTAGAAAGTGGACTCTGCAACAGGAGAGTCGCAGCAGCTGTGATGTGCTGGGTGTCCATGACACAACTATGTTATCTCTTACTGCTCCTGTTTCACGTTCTTCTATAGTGAGGTTTTGTAAATTGTATTTCAAATATCCAGATACATTTTCAACTTGGCAGTAGTAAACATTTGTCTTCAATTAGATAATTAAGCTAATAATCACTGAGTGCTGCTCTATGCTGGGAATTCTTTGGATGCGTTAACTCACATAGTTTTTAAAATAAATGTATGAGGTAGATAATATTATGGTTATCTCCATTTTAAAGATAAGGACATCAGGCACAGAGAGTCACTTGCTAAGGGTCACAGGAGATAGCATGATAGGGATTTTAAACTGGACTGCTTGATTTCAGAGGCTGGGTTCCTAACCACTAAAATTGATGTCATTCTCTTACAGGTAACTAGCAATAATGACGTGTTTACCAGAATTTTTTGTTTGTTTGTTTTTCATTCTATTTTCCCCACACCTAACTGATCCTAATCAGGTGCTACAAAACTTTAGCCCAAGTAGCACTTTCTTAATACAATAGAATAAGAGTAATCTACCAGTATTTTTAGTATCTTTATTTTATTTTTTGAGACAGAGTCTCGCTCTGTTCCCCAGGCTGGAGTGCAGTAGCCCTATCACAGCTCACTGCAGTCTCAATCTCCCAGGCTCAAGCCATCCTCACACCTCAGCCTCCGCAGTAGCTGGGACTACAGGCATGCACCACCACACCTGGCTTTTTTTTTTTTTTTAATATTTTGTATAGAGGAGGCCTCACTTGTGTTGCCCAGGCTGGTCTTGAACTTCTGGGCTCAAGTGATCCTCCCATTTTAACCTCCAGAGTAACCAGGATTATAGGCGTGAGCCACCATACCCAACCTTTAGTATTTTCAACATCAGAACTGTCAGAGTGGAGAGACAAAGAAGGAAAAATGTTAGAAGGGATGCAGAGAAGGGGAGAGAGAGGTAGGGGGAAGAGAAGAAAGCATAGGTAGAGATTAAGACAGACTTAAATATCCATTTAAAATTATTTCCCTTTGGTTAAAGAATAGCCTAATGTTCTTTATTGTGCCCTCCACTAAAGACAATTGTAAAGGGTTTTAGGAATAGCATGAACCTTTCACACATGTGGCTAAAGCAATGGAAAGAAAAAAAAATCATGATGTATTCTTTATTGTCATTATTTTTAATTTTTTTTAATAGAGCCATATTTATGTACTACAGTTTGACTTCTTCATATTTCATTTTTGTGGCTTTTTTTTCAATATAACATTTTCTTTTGAAATAGTTTAAGATTGACAAGCAGTTACAAAGTGGCCCAGGCTATGGCATACCCTTCACTCAGCTTCCCCAATTCCATCGTTAATTTTTTGTATATGAAAAAGTGAATGGATCACTTTCATTGTTTCCAAATCTTCTGAAAAGCACAGAAACTAACACTTGTGCAGTACGCACACCAATGGCCTGCAAGGTGGCTCTGTTGCAAGACTCTTGATGAAGCTTGGGGAAGACGTCATCAAACTCTGGACTTGAATGTTAAACCTGCTGGCAGCCTGCCCTCTCACAGTATGGTCTTCGTCATGGGTGCCAACAAAACTTGGCCTTGTTTAAAAAGAAAAATAGCTCAGCCAATCTTTGTGATGAAGGTTTTGAATGCTTAACTGAATTCAATTAGGACAGGAAAAAGGAATTGCCTTTACATGTGCAGAATAAAAAAATCTGTTTTTATTTTTTTTCCAAAGAGCTCACTTTTCTCAAATGAGAAAATGAAGTTTAATTTAGTATAAGAAAGATCAATTGTAATAAAGAAAACTTAAAAGGCTTTGTGTCAAGACGGATTATATTCAAAAGCAATATTTAGGTGATGGGTTAAGAGAACAGCTGGCACAATTAAGGCCTGAATGTGCACCCTGTGGTTGAGAAGAAAATGAAGAGCACTTAATCATATGGACGTCGTATATTTTTCAAGACATAAAACCTCTAATGTTGCTTTTCCCAGACCAAGGTTGGTGAAAAAGCTTGGAGACTGTTTTATTACATTGGGCTTTCTGCCCAGTTTTAATCACCATTAGGGAAATAGGGCTCTGACCAGGATACTATATTTCACTTTCAGGATGGCTAGTGGCAAGTAGCATTGTATTTCCTAAATTACAGCCTGAATTATACGTATAGCAGAATGATGAAAAAAAAAAAAAAACTAAGAAAAACAAATCGTGGGGAGGACTACTACAGGTTTGACTAATTTACCACTTTCTGTAAATGGATCTCTTTCTTCAGCGTCGGTTTACTGAGATGTTTAATTCCAAAGTATAGGAAACAATCTTATGTCAGAGGTCAATAGATCTTCTTTCCAAGTGACTGCTATCACTTTGAGATGGACAGAACTCTCATTTCCAAAACTAGGATCCACAATCATGGTCTCGAGAAGGCTTTGGCTTAAAATTCATACCCATTTTTAAAGTATTTTCTAAATGTTTATTCTAGATGCACCTTCCTCTATTCTGGATGATAAGAAACTTGTTTTGTTTTTTTTTAAGATGAGAAGTTCCCAGAATAGTAAAATACATTCAATCTAAAATTTAAAAAAGCATTTTGAGTTATATTAAAATTGTCTTCTCTGAAAGAGAGAAATGGAAAGCTTTGTCTAATAAACATTCAGCATGTACCAACTGACCTCTCATCAGTTTTTCCTAGAGAAAAGAAATTTACAGTTTTTCTAGAGACTCTTCATAGAAGGTTCTGGAATACTGCTAAACTGTGATCCACCGTGTTCATATTTCTTGTACTTAAGTACTATAAATATATTCCATACAAGTTGACATAATTACATAGTGTTAAAGTTAAATATGCATTAAAAACTAGAATACATAGATACAAAGATTGATGCTTATTTAAAATTGACACATTAATAGAACAGTAGTTCAAATAGGCTGAATTTTTTTATTGCCTGCTCTTCAAACAAAAAATGGTTGTTTCCTACTTGAACATAACAATATTGATTTGACCCCTAAGCTGTACTTCACTATTTTATATAATTTCTGATTTTACATTTTATGAGGCTTTTCCTCTCATATGTACCCTTAGATGAAATAGTAATATCTCTGCTAAACATTTATTTCTAAATGTTTTTATTTTTTCAAATACTATGTTTTTCCCTAATGTTATAAAGTAATGCAGTTTCAGGACAATTGCACTGAGCAGAGATGAAAGGGAGTATTTGGCCTTTCAGTTCAGAGTTGTATACAGTGGCTTAAATAAATAAAAACAAGAGGAGAACTCTATACACAGTTTATATATTTTTACCATGAGTAAAGACAAAATCTTACAAGTATGCATTTTTAAGAACTGATCAGAAGATGGTTTTACATTCACTGACTTGTGATTTGTGTACGTGTATAAACACACAGTAGGATGTTACCATTTTTATGTAAACTTCATGACGGGAGCAAATTACTTTACTGTAACAGATTGTGTTTAAAGATATCTAACTATAAATCAATTTTCCAGACTGCAGGATTAAGACAAGAAATGGAGCTAAAACTCATTCCTCTTCATACACATAGAAAATTATTAGGTAGGAAAAAAATGCTTTCACCCAATCAAGAATAATACTAGAGTGAAAACCCATTACTTGCAAAAAGTGAAAAAGATATTTGAAATTATCTCTGGCAGGAGGGAGAAGATAAATCCTGACCAAATTGGATTCAGAAATAATATTGTTGAATTGAGAAAAATATATATGTTTTCCTCATGCCTATTTATAGATTTAAATTGTTTGCATATATGTATGCATATAGTAACAATCTCCATGTATTTTACTCACTGTGTAGTAAAATACGGTTTTATTTTATTTGCCTGAAAATCACCCATTTCGAGCTTTAAGTAGCACCCATTTGTCCTAGTATTTGTGGTGTAATAAAGTTATACTTTGTTACTTATACGAACAGTTAATTTTTGTAATACATACACATACACACTCATATATAATATACTTCTCCCCTCTCTTTCTTTCTTATAACAATACTGATCTTCAAAGCAGGAGATTATGGAATATAATGGTCCATACTATTATATTAGAATGTAATGGAATACTATTTGTCAGAAACCAGCATTGAGAATCTGCTTTTATAGACTGTGCATTGTTCCTGGGCTGGTGGAATAAGCAATAAATAATTATTTTAACAGCGATATAACTGCCTTCCTATCATGCTGTAACATAAATTATACAAAGGACTCATAACTTTCACTATCTAAGAAAAAAAAATCCAACTGACAAAACACATGCAGTAAAGTCATTGTCTTTAGGCACTTACACATTTGGCTCCATTGAATTGCAGTGACTTCCTAAAACTTAGACCAAAGTTAAGTACATTTACAAAGATTAAACCACAAATCAGTTGTAGCCAAAATTGCTTTGGTTCAACACCTGGCAGTATGCCCATATCTCAAGCTCCCCTTGGTAAACCACTATAGAGAGCATCTAAGGTAATGAGTACTACTTCTAAAGTTTGCCTCCTCAGATCGGTTCAATGTTAGAAAACAACATGAATCAGGTTTGTGGAATGTGAGTAGAGCACTGCGGAGTAGATCCTTAAGTGGTGAAACCACACAGAAATAGACAAAGATTGCATAAGGCAAATAAATACAGTAAGCTAGAAATAATCACATTTTCTCCTAGTGAAACCTTAAGAAGTAATATGTGATAATTTTTTTAAAATATATGCTGTAAAATACAAGGATACAAATATGTATTTAGTCATTGTTTAATAAGGTGCTATTAAGACAGTGATAAATAATTTTAGTTCTATTTCCTAAGTTCTAATTTTTCATTAGTTACTTCATATCTAAGGTATTTATTAAATATATCACAAACTAGTCTCATAAACACTTCAGAGATCTCTATTAATAATTCCTGTAACTTTTTGCCTGGCAGGCCAAAACTGTAAGAGTAGATAACTATACATCTCTGTTTTATCTTTATCTGTTTCTATACCCCTAAGTATAAAATTTTAAATTAAAATTTAGACACTTGGGGGTGATAAATCATAATATAAAATTGTACAGGTCTCTTAATGAAAACATATGTGACAAAAGCAAACTTTTAAATATATAGGGTACTATACCTCCTTCTACCTCCTAGGTCCTGCTGTAGACTCTTCACCCTCAAGACCTTAACTCTTTAACAAATGGATTTTCATTATTTAATTAATCTATATTAAAATACTAAGAAGAATGAAGGAAAGCAACATTTCTACTCATCAGTAAAATCCTCTAAAAGTCACTGAGTAGAAAGGCACAGACCACTTTTTTACCACTTATTTTCTCACCAAAGTATAATTATTTGCCACCAATAACCTGACAATCACTGTAAAACGTGGGATTTATGGATGAACAAACTTGGTTCCAGGAATGCTAGTAAGTACTTGAGACAGACCAGACCAAAATACAGCACAACACTAAGCAGGAAGTGCAATAATAGTTGATGTGGGGAGGACAATTTGTGACATACTTTAAGAAGGGTATGAAGTCACCAAGGAGTAGCGTCCTGCTCCTGGAGCTCAGACTGCAATCCTAGCCATCAAAGATGTTGGTCTGATGTTGAAAGAATCAGAAGAATGTAAAACCAATAAATATATACATAACAGTAATCAGAAATCCCTATACATTGTTTGAAAATTGCTAATCCACTTATGTTCTTTCCTATAAGACAGACTTGACTAGAAGATCTCTCAACTTCCTTCTAATTCATTGCTAGCATTATATTAAATATGATAATGCTTTTGTACCAACTCACAGTTGACTGTTCTTGGATATAAAACAATGACTAAGCAATTTCAGTGACGGCAATAATTTTTTTTTTGAGTAGTTCTAACCACTCATCTCTGTGTTACACAATCCTGTTTTTTTTCCTCCTCCCTCAAGGTTTAAGGGGGCAAATGGTCTTTGGTAATTAGTGCTTAACTTCTCTTCTTTCATTCACAAAGAGGTATTTCAACACTCAAGCCTTTGTCAGTACTTTGATGAATTGTGCTCTTCAATCTTCTGGAAACGAATAGCAGACTGCAAGGTCTCGTTTTTCCTGAGATTCACCTGACCATGAGCTTTTAAGTGTCACTTTACAACTCCAACATAACCCAGGGCTGGCTATACCCTTCAGAACTCTGGTGGAAATGAAGCAGCAGGCCAAGTACCTTGGCCTTCAACAGCTTCCTGACTCTAGTTTTAAGCTTGGTGTTGATATACCTTGAACAATCCTAAGGGACCCATTTTCTCCTTAATAAACCTAGTCACCAACTTAAATCCTTGGCTAACAGCCCAGACACACACTTGCTCTGAAGGCCATCAGTAATAACATCCCAGAGGGGCTCCAAATGAAAATTAAAAATCTATAACTTCTATGTGAGATGACAGATATGTTAATCTGTTTCACTATTGTAACCATCTTTTATTTTTATGTATCCCATAGCATCACGTTGTAAACCTCATATATACAAAATAAAATTTATTATTAAAAAAATCAATAGTTACATGATATGTAATTGTCAGCTGTTCATAACATATCTAGCATATTAACCCTTATGGAAAATCATTGGGATGAAGTGGTGGTGGGGAGAATAGCAAAATTGGCTGTGAAACTCCTTTTAACCATAAAATTTGATTTATTTATCTTTTCAACACAGCAGCAAAAATACAATATCTCATTTTCATGTCCTTATGTTAGGACTTACTAAAGTTAGAAATTCCTACTAATAGAGACCAGGTTTACATATATTTGACCTTATCATTAAAATTTCTACTTATTTGGCATTTTAAAACCTAATTTAACCCTTCATTCTCAAGGAACTATATTTTTAAGGTAATAACATATATCAAATAAAAGAAAATTAATATAAATAAAGTATTTGTAGAACACGTTCCTTCCTCTTTATTCTTTTATTAAGTGCCGGGGGTGGGGGGTTGGGAACATGAGAAAAATCATTTAAGTACTAGGTTAAAAAGTTCCCACAGTTCTTAAAAACTTTTAGTAAATTAATTTTGAAATAATAGCTTTCTTTACCAAATTTACCTACAATTTTAGAACAGTTAATGGTCAAACCCCATTTAATATTCCTCCCTTACCCTAGCAGCACCTACTTTTATTTAACAATTCAATAGCTAAGGACATGTAAGGCACCATGCTAGGTACTGGGGATATCATTGGTGACCAAAACCAGACCCAGTTCCCATTCTCAAAAGGCTTACAATCTAGTAGAGAAGACAGGTATTAATAGGTTTAACATAATTAAAACCTGAAGTGAGTATTCTGAGGCAAAAGAACCTGAAGGAGTTTGAGTAAGGATTCCCTTCCTGTGTAGGATGAGTCAGAATTAACCAGAAAGAGGGAGAGTGGGTGAGAATGTGAACTAGAAGAAAATGCATGTTGCCTTAGAAAAGAGAAACATGGTGTATTTGAGGTAAAATGTGGCAATGTGGAGAATGGTAGAAGTGAGACTAGGAAAACAGGCAAGAGTCAGACCATGCAGAACCTTGTCAGTCATAGAAAGATTTGTCTTTGTACCAGAAGACAAACGGGAAGTTACTAAAGACCTTTAAACAGGGACATGAATACTGATAAGTTTGTATTTTTCCAAAATTAGTCTACTCCAATATGGAGGACAAGTTGAAGGGCATGTTCAGGAGATATGGGAAAATCAGTAAGTCATTGTCAAAAGCAAGACCGTGTTTGTGTTCATTAGAGAAGATGAATGGGGAAAGATAATGTGCAAGTGGTTTTTGCCCTCAAAAAGGTGTTCCCTTTCAGTATTTACTTTTGGAATCCAGGTATATTAGTGCAGAGAAGCTGGACTTGGGAGTTAGTATAGCCACACCAAGCGCCCCTAGCTGACCTCAGAATTGAAAGTACATGGTGCATGGGAGCTATGATGGAGACAGAACAGCCAGGGGCAGTGGCTGTTAATGCGGGTGAGGTTGAGAAACTTTTGGTGACAAAGACAAGACATCTTTCTGATGAGATTTTACCCTTACCCACTGCAGTTCAGTGACATCACTTATTTTACAGGAGAAAAATACAGGAAAAGGTAGAAAAAATATTTAATTATATACAATTATATATATAATATATATGTTTATATATATTTTTTACTTAATTTCCCCTCTAAGTAAGGCAGAAGAGAAGTCTGTGAGAGGGGAGATGTATGCGTAATTACAGTATAGCACAAATTCAAACTGCTAAAGAAGACACGTTAATAATACGCTTGGCTAGATAAATATACAAGATCCCTTGCCATATGTAAAACCACTTTTAAAACAGTGCCAAGGGGCACTGTGCATGTACATGACAAGCTGTTTCTAATGATCTTCTCCCGCATAGCATTTGCCTTGCCCAAAGCATTGTTTGGATTTTCACTTCTTTCAATCACAAGTGTTTAAATTCAAACATGCTATACTAATTTTGAACATTGAAGATTTGCTATATTAAAAAAATATGGATGACTAAGTTCTGAAAGCAAACATATGTGTTTGATGCAGCAAACCATAATAAAACTGGTAGGTGGGCTGTCGAGAATGTAGACCTACAGAACAGAAACCAGTAGTTCTTGAGTATTTATTGTGAGCCACACACTCTCACATTTACTATTTCACTTAACAGTCAATACTGGCCAGTGAGACAAGAATCATAACTTCAATTTTGTAGGTTGAAAAAATGGAGGTGCATCAAGTTGAAATAATTCTGTTAGAGAAACATAACTAGTGAGTGGCAATGCTAGAACTCAAATCCTAGTGTGTGTGGCTGAAAGACAAATTATTTTTATAACCCCTAATCTGCAAGAATGAACTACACTTGCTTAGGTAATTCTTAGCCTGAGTAGGAACCAAGGCACTGACATTCCTGTGGGTGTATGGAGGGATGTGTGTATGAGAGAGACAGAGACAGAAAGGCAGAGAGGTTGACTGGTTGTGAAGGGAGGCTGCAGCAGGTGCAGAGGGAGAGTAAGAAAGGATAAAGGATGGAATGAGCATATCATTGCTTCTCTTCCTAACAAGATGGAGATGGAAAGAAGATAGAGCCCATTAATCATTAACCAAAAAAAGTGTATTGTGCATATACTTACTTGAGTATGCCCCCCAAAATAAAATTTTTGTGTTTTTAAAAAGTAAAATATAAAAAAAAATTACATCAGAAATGTTTTAGAGAACTAAGCATATTTTGGCCCAGAGAAGAAGACTCAGCGGAAGGCACGGAATCTGTCTTTTCAACCAGGAACAAACATCTTATGGAAGACAATGGAACATATCGTATCTAGTTTAAGGGAACAACTTACACAAATGAGTGAAAACTGCAGGAAGACAAGTTATGGCCTGAGACTAAGAAGCTCTATCTAGCAATGAGAAAATGTGGTAAGCTGACTCAAGAGATAATGAGTTTCCTAATGGAGGAATTCAAATAAGGCCCAAATAAGCTCAGGTCATAAATCTGTTTAAAGAGGATTCACGCATTTAAAATTGAACAAGATGATTCCCCAAATCTCTTCTAACTCTCTGGTTCTTATTAGTAAGATTTCATGACCTGGTTCAGTTTCTGGCTCAGTCATAAACTTACAGTGTGGTCCTGATAGTATCATCTTGGATGTTATCCTGGAAGCTGGAAGTTAAGAGCCACAGAGAAATGTTCCCACATGTTGGTGGCCCCAGGCACTGGAGCAGTCCCATCAACATTACTTGGTTGCCCTGTGCCTCTGCCTCCTGTTTCCTCACCTACTAAGTAAGGGTAATATATACCCAGATCAAAGATATCCATATGGTTTAATTAGATGCAATCTGTAACACTCTTTCCAAAGGTACCATATCATTATCTATTGGTGCAGTTTGCAAAAAATATAAGAATCATGAAACTCATGTTGCTGAGTGTTAAAGGGACAAACTCTTGATAAACTCAACGTAAGACTTTGTGTGCTTAAAGAAACACTAAACTGAGGCCGGGCGCGGTGGCTCATGCCCGTAATCCCAGCACTTTGGGAGGCCGAGGCGGGTGGATGATGAGGTCAGGAGATTGAGACCATCCTGGCTAACATGGTGAAACCTCGTCTGTACTAAAAATACAAAAAATTAGCCGGGCGTGGTGGTGGGCGCCTGTAGTCCCAGCTACTCCGGGAGGCTGAGGCAGGAAAATGGCATGAACCTGGGAGGCAGAGCTTGCAGTGAGCGAGATCGCACCACTGCACTCCAGCCTGGGTGACAGAGCAAGACTCCGTCTCAAAAAAAAAAAAAAAAAAAAAGAAACACTAAACTGAAAAAATCCTCCATGAGACTTTTTAGTTTTCTAAAAACTGAAATTAGCCTACTAGGAGAGATGTGAAAAATTAATGATCAGATAAAACTGGCCCAAATTTTAGAATAATTCTATTGAGAATGGACTAGTCAACTACCGAGATGAAAGTTGAATTTTTCAAGAACCAAGTGCCAAACCCCACTATGGGAAATACAATGAAAAAAAAAAGCAAAAATCTCATTCTCAAATTAGGGCTGAGGGAGTGAGCAGGCTTAGGTAAGATATGCATGCAAATAATATGACGTAAAATGTGATCCCTGTCATAAGGTAAGTATAAACCAGTTGCTGCAGCCAATTCTTAATTATTTTATGTAACAACCTCTTGTAGCACTTCATATGAGCTAGGCATTGTTCCAAGTGCTTTATATTTAATATAATCGTCATACCAACCTATGAGACAGGTACCATTATTGTCCCTATTTTAAAAATGCAGAAACTGAGGCAAACGGATGTTAAGAAATTGCACATGGTCTTATGGCTAATAAGTGGTGGAGAAGAGAGATTGAGCCCTGGCAATCTGTCTGCAGAGTCCATGCTCTTATTCTCTTTATTATCTTGCCTCTTCAGTCTAGACAAGAAAGAGTAAATAATTCTTACTCCAAGGAGAAATGCAGAGAAATAAAATACTTTAGGAATAATACATATATGAGATTTTACCTGGTAGAACAGAATCAAAATGGTAATACAGAGAAAGAGTAGCATAACAAAGGGATGATGAGAAGAATGTAAAGAGAAAGAGTATGTGAGAAATGGTGAGATCATTCCAGGCTGGTCAGAGATTCAGGGCCATGAATGGGAGTAGTAGGAAGAGACAAATCTAAAAAAGTATATTTTAAGTAGTCCTCAATGGTATGTTGTTGGAAGCTGAAATTTATTTTTTTAAGAATTGGGTAGACGTTAGAAATGATTAATCAGGAGAGTGATAGGACAGAAGATGGAATTTGGAAAGCATCTTCTGGCGGTATATTATGTAGGACAAAATGACAGGGGTAGAAACTGAACAGAAATACCCCAGGAAAGAGGTCGTTGCAATTAATTTAATAAGGGACAGAAGGCCTGAATAAGTGAGGTGGAAATAAAGTCCAAAAAAGACATAGCAAAGGTAAGAAGTGACACAATTTGTACAAATTAAATGTGGGGGTGAGAGAAAGCTTTTGCTCTGTCAATTAGAGTCTGGGTGGCTGCATGGGCATGAAGTGTTCTCCTTAAAAATAAGGAAAATTTGGCAAGAAGGAGAATGTGTGGAAGAGGTGATGAGTTCTGACTGGGACATACTGAGCTTAATGTAGCAGTGGCACACTCAAGAGAAAATGCCACTGGGCAACTGGAAATGTTAGTAAGGAACACAGGAGAGGGGTTAGTGGGAAAAGAGAGAAATTCAAGTCTTCAGTCCCTCTCATCCAGTGAGAGCCAGGTAGCTCTTTTATTTTGAAAGTGGCAAGAATTTGATCTTCTGCTGTTTTCTTAGCTTTTTGCCATGTCATTAGAGAAACTCCACAAGTTCTTTTCAATTCTTCTATTTATGAAACAAATGCCTTCCCTATCTTTAAGGGTTTTCATGGAGAAAGAAATATGTAGCATTTAGATCATGGAATCACTCAGACCAAGCTAGCTTAAATCTTTGCTCCATTACCTCTTAATTAAGTTGCCATTCAAAGTTCTACTTTCTTTGTGTGAAAAATGGGTAGGTATTATTGCCATGATATGATTATGTAAAGTACTTGATACCTAGTAGGTCCTTGATAAATGTAGCTATTTATTGGACATTTAATGTGATCTGACCACTTCATTTGCTTAACCAACAACCTGATAAAGAAGATACTACTATTAGTCCTTTTTACAGATAAGGAAACCAAACCTTAGAGAGGTGAGGAAACTTCCCAAAATCTACTTCCAAATGTCATTTTAGGGAAAAATCAGTCTAGAAAAAGTATTCAGTATGGATTAGAGCTACTTTGAGAGAAGGAATATGGCAAGTGTATACATTTATTTGTAGGGGGTCTTTTAATCAAAAGCTAATACTAGAAATCCCATTTTCTTAGGTGACAAATGTAGGCATTAATAGCTGATAAAATCAAATTTTACTCTCAAATTTTACTCTGTAAGAAACTGAGACAAACCAATAGTTTATGATTCTTTGGACTAAATAACCATTTCTTTAGTAGTCTCATGGGACTTTAACACAAACCAGCCCGCTCAATGTTTGATCATACTTGAAGTCATACATTCAATGACAGCTTTGGGTCATTTGGTAAGGAAATATTCTTCATGGCCCAGGACAAATTCCAGCATTTCTGATTCTTTGGACTCCTTCTGCAACAGTCTTAACTAAAGTGAAACCTGAGGAAGATCTGGGCCTTGATCTTTCAGAGGCTTGGCTTCACCATCACAGTGCTTTTGGAAAATGAAGTACAGCCCATTGATATATCTATTTTAAAAAATTACACCTCTGCACAACTAGAACAGGAGAAGGGAAATCTCTCAAGAACCAACATGTGTTTTAGACCTAAGGGTGTTTGCTAACCAAATTATCATTTAGACTCCTATGGAGTCTACAAATTGTAGTGTAGTGAACAAATATAAGGAAATGAAAAATAAGTTAAATGCCAAGTGGTTACATCCTAGAATGGAGAAAGTATTATTGTCTTTGTAATAACTGAGACTACTGAATGGAAAGAATTTTAAAACCCAGGTTTGCTTTTCAACATGTTCTCACTCTATACAGTCATGAAATTAACTCAGAACTTTTAGAGAAAGTAGACTAGAAATTTATTTTCCAGTTTTCATGCAATACCATATTTTGTGTGTCCTCCTCTTACAATGATAGAAACTAGAAAAGTTATGTTATATGCAATTATTTTGCCTTTTAAAATGTGAAAAATATTTATAGCAAATGTTATATTACTCACTCCAATGATAGATTACTAATGCACATTTTTTATTCTATTTTGAATGTGCCTTGACTGATTTAGTTTATTTTTCTTTCACTTTTTTTTAGACAAAAGTATTTCTGGAACTATGTCATTTATATTATTTTCCTAAATAAAATAATCTCTCAGTCAATTAACTTTTTTAGACCTTAGTCCTAACCATAAAAATCTAATTATAAAAGAAAAGGGACTGGATTAAATCTTCCCTAAGTCTCCTTCCAGCTCTAAGATTTTATTAATTCACGACCTTTGGAAAAAAACTAAAATGCCCAACACTGGGGGAATGGTCATAGTCTATTCCTGTGATATGATGCGTGCAGCATTGAGAAGAAAGCTTATGATATTACATGAGAAGGGTGGGATAGATACAGAACAGTATATATTTACACACACAATTATAATTATCTGGATGTGTGAGTATACATATATACATGTACACATACACAGCAGTATAATTACACTAACAATAAAAAGAACACTTTTTTAAGAAAGATGTTACAAGATGATTTCAGTTTTGGGGGAACACAGGCAATTTTAATTAATGTCATTGTATTTTCAAAACTATATTAGTTGTCTTTAATGACCTTATAACTAGATAAACAGTTATTTTTAAAATCCATTCTTTGTAACCTTTAGTAGAAGTTGATTTTTTTCTAACCTAAGCAATTTTATTATTAATGTGTTACTGATAAATACAGTATAATTAATGAATGCTGGACTGGAATCAATCAATCATGTATAGTTTAATATCTGTAGAGTAATATCACTGTTTTCCAGCTTCATTCTTTCAGGAAAACAGAAACAATGTCACCTTCAAGCGTCCTCAAACTCTCCCACACCAAACAGCAAACATTGCCTAATAATGTTACAAAAATGGGCCTGACTGCAATAATTTATTCTTCATTAAGTAGTATAATTTGAATAAATCTAAATTACTTCATTGACATTACTTTAAATAATCACATGTAGAGATTTTTACCAAACTAATTCAAGAGTTGGAAATAGATGGTTGTGAGTTCCTAATATAAACTATATTATTTTCAATCGAAGTACCTGTGCTAATTCCTCAGAAAAAAAGACTAACATTGAAGCTATGTCAACAAGGGACAAGCTAATTTTTTCTTTATACTGAGATATAATCATCTATTTTAGTGAACCATTTCAATCATTCAAAGAATTTGGGATGGCATAGAGCACAGTCTCAAATTTTGGACTTGTTACTGTAGACAGACCTGTTCATGAAGAAAAATAATACAGTAATACAGCTAATTTTCCCCAGTCATCCATTAGTCATTCCTAAACTCTGTGATTTGAACACCTGTAATATTTGTCATGTTTATAATTAGATGTCTCAGAGTGAGGGAGATGTCTGTATGTCAAAAACTATATAAACCACTCTAAATCTAGCGACTGAGAGCTAGTTTAAAAGGCAATCCCTACACCAACAATTTTCTTTACTTCACTGAATCTACAGTCTCTCCTTTGACTCAGGCAAATAATAGTATTTTACCAACATTCAAACTTTCAATAAAGACGCATCTACAAAGATAAAAAAGAAAGTGGGACGAGACAACTACCATAGATTATTTCAATGATTTCTTTTAGCAACAGTTAAAATGTTATAACTCAGGTTTTACCCTTTTATCCTGGGCAGTTTAGGTTAGATTCCAGTTTCCTCATATGTGAAATATGGGCACTGATTTTCAGTACATACATTTTTATGATTTCTCTTTGTAAATGTATTATGATTATATCTCATTGGTATATATAAGAATTATAATTACTAACTAATAAGCATGCCTTGATTTCAACTTTTACAAATTCACAAGGAAAGAATATGTTGAAAGCTGCTTCCTCCCCAGAGAGAGGCCAAAAAAAGAAGAAAAACATTCTCAGGCCTCTAGTGGCAGAAGTCAGACCTTACCTAAAAGCAGACCAGAAAGCACGACAGGGACACTTCTCCAAAGGAACACTTTCATGAGACAAGTTAAGAAATGGTAAGAAGTTGACTTTTATTATTTTGTATGAAATAAAACAAATTAGAAATAGCATGACTTATCAGAACAAATTTTAAAAGACCATATTATTAAGAATAAATATGAGGTGATTAGAGCCAGCTTATAATTGTAGAATGACACTATAAGACTCAGTATAGAAACAATTTTTGCCATTTCTTCCTCCATCTCTTCCTGCCTTTTCTCATCTCAACATTTATCAATAACCACATGAGATAGATTCTGAGGATCCATAAATAAAAGACACACTCATGTGTGTCTTGAAGATGAAGACATCTTCAAGTTACTCGTGCATGTGTGTGTGCACGTATTTGTGTGCACGTGTGTGTGTGTGTGCATTATGCTGGGAGTTGACAGAAGAGCAGGCATACAAACAGATAATTACAGAAAAATCTCTTTTCATTTAAAGAGATTGGGCTCCCAAAAGCCTCTATTATAAGATTATTTACAATGGAAAATCTTAAAACTAAGTGGAGAATGTTAGAATTTAAATGATGTCTTTGCAATATATTTATTTACTAAACCCAAGCATCAAAGACATAACTCTAACCAAATACTAAACCAATTATATCCTTTGCATCTCAAACTAGTCATAATTAGACTAGTTTAATAGCTAATTAGATTAGTTTAATAGTTAATTATTGCTACCATAATAGCAAAAATTGGTAAAAGATTTGTGGAAGAGAACATCCAAAGTAAGAGCATGGTGCGGTCTCCTAATTGGTCAGTGGTTTTCAGTTTCATGACTAGAGACTGACTTTCTTTTTGTCTCTTGGATCCCAGCTCCTAGGTTCTACTGAGCTCTCAGAGATACAAAGTAGTGTACATGCCTGAAAAGGTTGCCTATAAATAACCTAATTGGAATAACTAAGTATTTTTCAAACCTCTGGTCCAATATTTTTAGTTCCATGGCATTAACTCTTCTTGTGTTAAATCCATGACAAAGTCACTGTCCTTTTTACACGTGGCTCACTTTTCAAGGATACCACTGGAGTGCAGTTCTGAAGCCTGTTTTTACCTCCTTTATTTTTTCTGATCTTGCCCGATAAGGTCTAATTGAAAAGTCCAACCATCTGCCATCTATTTTATTTCTCTTTTCTACATCCAAACACCAGTTTCCCCTTTTCTCACAACACTTATTCTCAAAATGAAAACTAGAACAAAACGTTTCATAGTTGTCAAAAATTGAATTGAATTAACATTCATATATTTTACCAGGATTTTTTATAAAGCAGCTCAAGGTAGGAGAGGAATTAAAATACAGTTTTGATAAGTGTGATGACTCATAAAATAAGCATGAGGTACTATTGGGCCCCTTAGATGCTAAAGGCATCTAAACCAGAGAGTAAAGGCCAGGGAAGGTTTTCTGCCAGATTATATCTGGATTAAATTCCATGGATTAGAAAAAAATCAGAAGAAAAAGGGAAATTCAGAGGAATAACATGTGTAAGAGTACTGAGATGAATGAGAATAAAACAGACCTGAAGAGTGGCAAAAGAAGAGGCTGAAATACTAGAAGATTAGAGACCAAAGAAACAAACAATAAAAACAATTAATTAAGAATCTATTAAGGCCAGGTGCAGTGGCTCACACCTGTCATCCCAGCACTTTGGGAGGCCCAGGGGGCGGATCACCTGAGGTTGGGAGTTCAAGACCAGCCTGACCAACATGGAGAAACCCCGTCTCCACTGAAAACACAAAAATTAGCCAGACATGGTGGCACATGCTCCCAGCTACTCAGGAGGCTGAGGCAGGAGAATAGCTTGAACCTGAGAGACAGAGGTTGCAGTGAGCCGAGATTGTGCCATTGCACTGCAGTCTGGGCAATAAGAGCAAAACTCCGTCTCGAAAAAAAAAAAATCTATTAAACTACGAATTTTAAACAGGGGAATTATTTAAAGCCATGCTATGCAGTCAAACTTTCTGCAATGATCCAATATAAACTTATGTGAATCCATACTGTCTGGCATGGTTGCCACTAGCCCCATGTGTCTCTGGAGCACTTGAAATGAGGGCAGTGCAACTGAGTAACTAAATTTCAAATTTTATTACATTTATTTAACTCAAATGTAAGTAGTCATGTAGTTCATTTTGGAGAGCACAGATTTTTAAACAAATGCTTTATTTTTAATTTGAACCATTGTGAATAGTTTTCTGGTAGTAATAATTAAGTTTACTTAATAATCACGTTTTCTGGAGTATTTAATGGGTTGTTTGTTTATTTTTACTTTCCAGTGAAACAAGTTTATATCTTCAAAGTTTCCATTTTTTGGCCGGGCACAGTGGCTCACTACTATAATCCCAGCACTTTGGGAGGCTGAGGTAGGTGGATCACTTGAGGCCAGGAGTTCAAGAGCAGCCTGGCCAACATGGTGAAAACCTGTCTCTACAAGAAATACAAAAATTAGCTGGGTGTGGTGGTGCGTGCCTGTAATCCCAGCTACTCGGGAGGCTGAGGCAGGAGAATCACTTGAACCCGGGAGGCAGAGGTTGCAGTGAGCCAAGATTATGCCACTGTACTCTGGCCTGGGAGACACAGTGAGACTCTGTCTCAAAAAAACAACAACCAAAAAGTTTCCATTTTTTAATTACCCACAAAGTAAGATTCTACTTACCACAAACAGAAGAAAGAGAAAATTTGTTATAAATTAGTTAAAAGATGAAAAAAGAGAGTGAAAAGAAAGAGAAAAAAATAAAGAGGAAGGAAAGAAGGAAGGAAGGAAGGAAGGAAAAGGAGAGAAGGGAAAGAGAAGGGAAGGAAGGAAAGAAAAGGAAAGGAAAGGGAAAGGGAAAGGGAAGATCATTTCTCCTAGTTCCCCCATATCCCAGTTACCAAGGGAATTTTTTTCTCTTTCAACTCTAAGGCACCTGAGTCACTAAATTTATTGCACTGCAGTGATTTTCTAGGGCCAGTGTCTACCTTATGAAACCAATATCCACGTCCCAAAGAACCAGTTTGTTCTTTTTAAAACCACCTATGTTGTTTTCCTCTGAATAGGCATAGCTGACATAGACCGTCATTGTAAACACGGTTAGTCAGATATTAGTAATCTTCATACATTACGATGGCCAATTTCTTCATCTATTTTATATACTTCTTACTTCATGAAAACGATAATTCCAGAATTTATTGAGGAAACTATGCACACATGCACACACACAGTGAAATATCACATTTGTACTCACAAATTAAAACAGGTTTGTAAAAACTGAATTATAATTTCTAAACAGAATAATTTATGTGCTGAGTTGAAAAATTTTACCCCACTTAGCTGAATCTCCAAGTATTTGTTTTGTAAAGGAGGTTGGACTCATAGAATATCAGTTAATCTAGCAACAGGCCTTATTTGCTCATCAGAGGTTGTGGCTGATGTGCAAGAAAGACAAGGAAAGGGGCTAAGAGTTGGAGAGACTCTCCATGGGCCTGAGAGGGTTTCAAGTACTAAGAATAGAAGCTCCATGGAATAGTCAAACATGATGGGTCCAAGACCTACAGGACATCCAGCACAGTCCTGCAGGCATGAAGACTAGGGCCTGCAAGTCCCAAACTGCTACTAATCAAAAAAATGCATGGTGGCCTGGTAGGCAGTGCACATCAGAGAGATTTACCAATGAACCTCAGTGATGTGATTGTTCTCTAAGGCAGTAGAAAAGCACCTCAGATGTAAGAGAGTCCAGGGAGTCTCATAGAGTGCTAGAATAGAAATCAGGACAAAAGAATTACAGTAGAAACCCATGTATGAGAGCTAGACACCAAGATCCGAATCTGCCTGGAGGGCAGAATGGGATGATGCACTGCTGAGACAGACTTAGAGTTGTTTTCCTGGATCTTTAACTTTAGGCCAGGCTTCGTCTTGAATATTAGGAAAGGGGTAGATTTTAAGGGGGTATCTAGTGGTCCCAGTTATGGAGAAAAAGTAAGTTCCAGAGGAAAATAATAATAATGATGATGACAGCTAGCATTGGACAAGCACTTAAGATGTGCCAGGCACTGTTCTAGGGCTTTCCATGTCTCACTTCACTGACTCACTATTCAACCTCAAAACTATATGAATGGCATTATCTCCATTTTACAGATGAGAAAACAGAGGCATGAGATGTTAAATAATTTACCCAAGATGAGAGCTAATAAAGAGTGGAGCCATAATTTAAACACAAGCAGTTGGACTACATAACTCATTCTCTTAATTAGTACACTATATATACTGGGCATGAAAGGGCCAGAATACTAGGGAAAAAATTAAAATGTCTTACAGAGGTAAAATGAATTTCACAAATAGCAATAGCTTGATCTATATTTCCTTATCATTCAACTTTGCTCAATGATTATTTGTCAGATAACATTACCTTTCTAAGCACTTTACATGTATTATAAATCATGCGATCTCCCCAACAGCCCTATAAGCTACATATAAGTATCATCTCTGCTTGACATATGAAAAGACTAAGGTATAGAGAGCTTAGAGCACTTACACAAAGTTACTCTAGACCATATGCTCTTAACCAGTATCCTTCACTGCTTCTCAGGCAGGTGGAGGGAGCATCGTATGCCTCAAACACCTCTATGGGACTTCTGATGGGCAGGAGGCAGCCTGTGTGATTCAGGTTTGGAAATACTGAGCTCTACCCATATGAATTATTATTGTGATTAGAGGTAAACAACACAGATGCTGGAGAAAATCCAAAATATCTTCACTTTCCCTAAACTCCCAGTTGCTTTATTATTCAAATACAGTGACCATCCCCTTTAGGCAGTCTCAACTATCTCTCAATAGGCAGCCTGACCTCTTACTGTGAATGAGTTCTAGTTACTTAATTACTTTGCATGGACCATATTTTGGTTGGTGTTAATCTTAATCTCAGTTTTCCTGTTTCCTTTGCTCTCGATATTATTTCTACCTCCATGTCCCTAACCCTAGAACAGTTCCTTTTTAAAAAGTTTTAGTTACAGAGGGTATAGTTGGAATGCATCCACTCATATAATAGTGGTATAACTATACAGTCTTTGAGTTGTTAGGGAGGAGGTAATTTCCCTCCAGACCCTCTGTGTTGCCTGCTCTGGATAATTTACATTCTTCTGTGACTCCAAACAGTGTAATGAAGACTTTACTAACAGGTGGTTTCTCACTGGGGAATCTCCTGTTCTGGGAGTATAGCCAAGCCTTTTACAATGATTCTACTTTATTAAATGGGATTTCTGGCATTTTAGCAGCAGAGAGTTCTGCCAAAGTAAAAAAAAAAATTACCTACTTATTTGTATTATCCCAATGCTCAGGACACACTAATAATCAATACTGGAAACATAGTGCAGCCTTTTAAAATTTAACAAAAAAAAGTTGGCAGTCCCAACAAAATCAAGATAAAAACACACTGTGGAGATATCTTCCTTTATAGCTGCAATTTATTTGAGTGGTTGAGAAGGGCAGTAGCATACTGTGGCCCATGGTTTGTGGTTCACTTTGGATCATCCTAACTTAAGAAGGAAAGGCAAAGATGGCAATGAAACTCAGGTATCTACACTAATAGGACACAACCTGGGCTATAATCCCCCATCTCCATGTCCCTATCTCTAGAACGCTTCTCATGTATCCTCCCATTTTCAGAGAACTTTCATGTGATGCATAGAGTTTAGTCATTCCAACAATCCTATGAAGTACATATGGTGGATATCCCTGTCCTCTTTTAATGGATGAGGAATTTGATGCTCAGAGAGAATAAGCTACATGTTCAGGTCACAGAACTCATAAGAGTTGCAGTTCAGAGCTTCATTATATGACCACCGGTTGAATATTCTTTCTACTATACCAAAGCATCCCATTCACACAAAAAATCTAAACTGAATAAACTTCCTTAGGCCTCCATTTTTGTACTGTATCATTCCTGCTTCCAAAAATGAGCAATAACGTAGGATGCACTTGTGCATGTATGCAGTCATTTTCTAGCAGCTGGTTCACTGCTCCCCAGATAAGATACATAGGTCAACAAGTACCTCTCCAGACTAGGTGGTGGGTAATTTAGGAAGATTTTGCCAGACCCAGTGAAAGTGCAGAAAAGATGAGCCAATATCTATGCAAAAGCTCATCTGGGTAGCTGCCATAGCCAAGCCATTCACGCCCTTCACGATTCTTAATATCTTCATCTGTAAAACCAAGAAAGAAATAACTACCACCTCAAAACAGGTTGTAATGTTGAATGAGATAATGTTATTGAAACACATTTTATACAGTAAAACACTAACTAAATATTAACTGTGATTAAAATTATTACCTATAAGTGGAATGGGGTTCTCCTTAAAGTGATCCACCTAATTTCTTTTGATCTGTGCATGTGTTTGTGTGTGTACATGTGTGTGTGTTGGAAGAAGTGGGCCACCAATTTACTTCCCTAAGATTCCTATAATGATGACAATTTATCTATAACAAAGACCATGACACAAAGATGAAGATTGTTCTTTATCCCAACTCCCAATTCTTGAATGTGATTTACATGGAGTTTGCAGTTTATAACATGCTGTTGTGAGCTAAGTGTTTCATATGAAGAAGGCACACTGTTTCATAGGCTAATGTCTGACCTAAGGAAGTAAACAGGTAACTTGTGGCCTCTACTTGTTAACATGTGATCACAGTGAACAACAATGACCACAACACTTCCTCTTTGAGGGATCAAGGACAAGTGCAATAAATGGAACAGAGAAAGTAGAGCTACTCTTAGTTTGTCATTGGCTCTTTTCTTCCTCCCTCCCACATGGTCTGTATGTCTTGGTATCTTTGCAGGCTTTCCCTAATCACAGATACAGACTCAGTTTGCAGCCTTTGTGCTTCCACCATTCTTTCTCATATCTAACATAGATTCACTAGGACCCACACTGCTTCAGAGCAAGAGGCCTGAGTAGTAAAATGATGGTTCTTCATTATACCACAAATGTGGTACATTACCTTAAACTGGCTCCTTCATTCACTGGGCCTCAGTTTCCCCATTAGTAAAATGAAGGTTTAGAACAGTGACATCTAAAGTCCCTCCCAGACCTGATATTTTTAATACTATAAGCAGAAAACCAATCTTCTTGGTTTGAGATTATAATTCCTAAGGATGCACTGGAAGATCTTATAAATCCTTTCCGATTCCTGAAAGTGACAGGATTCACCATTTAGCACCTCGGATGTACCTTACCACATGATAAGGTTCATTTAAAAAATTACTCAAAGGCACAAGTGTGACAAGATGCCAGGGAGTATGAGTGATAGTCACTTCTTTTTATGGCTGCTTTAGATCAAAGATGCAGAGGTTTTGACCTTGAGTCCTAAGGAGTTGTCAGTAAAACTGGGGTACATTGACCTAACAAGATCATTCTGAGGATTACAGGAAATAGTGTAGATATCATGTTTAATAATATGCCTGGCACTTAGAAAATCCAAAAAGCCATTCACAGTAATGGTGGTAGTAGTAGTAGAATGCTAGTACTCGCAAGGATAATGTGGGTCAGTCAGTAAGGTGTAGAGCCAAGTGAATAATTAATACCTTAAGAATGAGAATCCAGTTATTCTAAATCACCACAAGCAAGACATCCATTCCTCAGGACCAGGATTACAAGGTGGCTTTTTAAAACATTACTAGAAACCTTAAAAAATTTATTTATATATCAGAGTCATCCAGCTCTACATATATTAAGAACATGAAGCCGTGTTTTTTATTAATGCTCTGCATTTTATACAAGTAATTCATGCTAATAATTTTTGAAGTGTGTCAGGAAATCTTCCTAAAGATGCATCCATATTTTGAACATTTGAGGATCATTACAAGGGATGATAAATATGAAACAATAGTACACTTTCACCTTTCACTCTGGTTATCATGAGTAGAGGCCAGCTTTGACAATAACAGCACAGAGCTGGAGCAATTTCAGAGATAAAACTACTTGTTAATCTATTATATTTTAATGTGCCTTTAAAATGTGATTGTTCATAAAGACAAAATAAGATCAAAAAATAAAATTCTAACTTTATTACTTACTATCTGTGTGACCTTGGACAGATTATCTATCATCTCTTCATGTCAGTTTCTTCATTTGTAAAGTAAGGTTGATAATGGTACCTACTTAATAAGATTGTATAAGGAAAACATTAAGGACTAAATTATGTCCCCACAAGGTTTATATGTTGGAGACCTAACCTCCAATGTGATGGTATTTGGAGATGGGGCCTTTCGGAGGTAACTGGGTTTAGATGAGGTTAATCAGGGTGAGGTCCTCATGATGTGATTAGTGCCCTCATAAGAAGAGACGAGAGAGCTTGCTTTCCCCCTTTCTCCACCATGTGGGGACACAGCAAGAAGATGGCTGTCTACAGTCCAGGAAGACAGTCTTTACCAGGAACTGAATCTTCTGGCACCTTGTTATTGGACTGTCTAGCCTCCAGAACTGTGAGAAATAAATGTCTGCTGTTTAAGACACACAATCTATGGTATTTTGATACAGCAGCCAAAGTTGACTAAGACAGAGTAAATGATTACACACACACACACAATGAGTGCAATGCACCTGTTTAACCCTTAGTCTAGTACACAAATATTTGTTATTATCATATATTTACATAATAATGCAACTACATATGATTATGTATTCTATATTTTAAAAGACTCTTTTAGTTTGCTATGCAGTGGAATTTACTAAGATATTCAGTATTTAGGACAGGTGCAGTGGCTCATGCCTGTAATCCCAGCACTTTGAGAGGCCAAGGTGGATGGATCACTTGAGGTCAGGAGTTCATGACCAGCCTGGCCAACATGGTGAAACCCTATCTCTACTAAAAAATACAAAAACTAGCCGGGCATGGTGGTGGGTGCCTCTAATCCCAGCTACTCGGGAGGCTGAGGGAGGGAGAATTGCTTGAACTCGGGAGGCAGAGGTTGCAATGAGCAGAGATCGTGCCACTGCACTCCAGCCTGGGTGACAGAGCGAGACTCCATCTCTCTCTTTATATATTCAGTATTCAGTGAATATATTGATGATTTCCTAACATATTAGCTGTGGTTGAACAATCCTGCCTTACACCAGAAAGAAGAATGATTCCTTTTTTCTTATTTTAGAATTGAGCTTTTTCACTCTCTCCTGGGCTGAGCTAATTGCATTAAAATTTGTCCTCTACTTTTTTTTTTTTTTTTTTTTTTTTTTTGAGACAGAGTCTCGCTCTGTTGCCCGGGATGGAGTGCAGAGCGCGATCTAGGCTCACTGCAAGCTCCGCCTCCCAGGTTCACACCATTCTCCTGCCTCAGCCTCCGGAGTAGCTGGGACTACAGGCGCCCGCCACCACGCCTGGCTAATTTTTTGTATTTTTAGTAGAGATGGGGTTTCACTGTGTTAGCCAGGTTGGTCTTGATCTCCTGACCTTGTGATCCACCCGTCTGGGCCTCCCAAAGTTCTGGGATTACAGGCGTGAGCCACGACACCCGGCCTGTCCTCTATTTTTTTTAGTCCAGTAGAAAGGTTATCATATAGTGCCATCTGTGTACCCTAATCATGTCCACATTAAGATAGTGACTCATGTGAGAAATATCACTTTTCCTGACATGACACCCCATCTATGTAAAGAAAGAATAGGGAATCCTTTGGTTTAAAAAAATAATTTATTGATAAAAAAAATTTTAAACAAGAATTTTAGTTACTAACAGAATATTATGTAATCTTTTTATTTGGAAGGATAAAATGGGCACATATAAATGTTTGAGATGATTTAGGCTTTAATTTTTAGGAAAAAATATAAACAGTAACAGTCATAGGTATATATACATGTAATCCTAGTCCTCTTCCAGCCCTTTTAAGTCGTTATGTTGCATTGTTATGTATTAAAACTGTACATTCCAATCTTAAAGTACTTTGATATTAAGTGGGTAGAATCTGATATTTTATTTCTTAAGTGGGGAAAAAAACTTTCTTTTTAACACATGAAATTCAACTTATGCAGGAATGAATTTGCCAAGCAAAATGCCAAACCGTTACTATCATGGCCAGTTTGTCATTAATTTCTTAAACAAAGAAAATACGAGATAGATAATGGCTGATCATGCATCATTAAAGCAGAGAATATCCAGGGGTTCAGATAGCTCATCGAAGGAACAACAACATCGCTACACTTATTTTGTCATTCTGAGATGGAATAACAGGGTATTAATCACAAAGACCATAAGGCACACCATATGAATTGTGTTTTCGTATAAGCCACAGAAATCACTTTTTGGCTATCCTACACTTAAAATATAGACATGCAGGAGAAAACACAAACAGAAAGAAATAAAATTGCAGGATTGAAATATAAGAACTTTGAGCAAAAACAAAAGATTAAAGCTAAATATTTCCAATTTCTTTTACAATGAAGAAGAAAAAAATGGATAGGTATAAATTATTTATATATATAAAAGATCAATAGTGTTATAGAGACAACTGTGACCAACTAAGTGTATCCTTTTGATTGTTAAATAAAAGAATGCTATAAGATTGCAGCAAAGGAGTTAAGGTAAGATATTAAAAACAGTCCCCTCTACTTCTCTGCATGTTTCAGGTTGCATAAAGAACCG
The DNA here is from genome assembly GCF_000001405.40 of Homo sapiens. Classification (NCBI taxonomy): domain Eukaryota; kingdom Metazoa; phylum Chordata; class Mammalia; order Primates; family Hominidae; genus Homo; species Homo sapiens. Next base: position 209,452,750 of record NC_000002.12, on the reverse strand, counting down.
TTGGCTGGTACTGAGGTATGTATGCAGGCTAAAAACTGAAGGGAAGAGAAGCATTATAAGAGATAGGACTGTATGCTAGAAGTACCAAATATATTGCTATCCAGAATTCTAAAATGTGGATCCATCCTTTAATATGGTTTTATTCTAATCCAACTGATGAAGTTTCATTCGAAAGATGCACTTTGTTTGCCCTGTCATTATCAGAGGCAAAAAGAAAATGGGATGCCTAGGGATATGATATGCCTCAGGATACCATAAAGGGGTACTAACCATGATTTTTTTCTAGGTATGTGAAAAAATGCAAAATGTATTCAGAGGTGTTTAGATGAAAGGAAACTGATCTATGCTCAATAGGAAAGAGGAGAGTTCCTGACAGAATGCCTTTCTAGAGAGAAGGACCTGCCAGGGGATAGGATGAAAGTGGGTTTTACATCCTTGAAGAAGCTGCTGAAACCAAATAGCTCCTAGAAATAGGTCTTTAGTATTTGCATATAGGTCAACCCTCTCCCCTACTCTGTCTACTTGTAGAGATCACAGATCCATCTCTAAAGGAGAAAAATACCTAGACTGTCACTTCATACCCTTTCACACTCCTAACCTCAAAGAAATGATATGGTTTATTCTCAAGGCTAGACTTGCAAACAGCCTATTTTGATTTCAAGGTGTTCTTTTGGGTCCTCAATTAGTTCTACATGAACTTGGTGCTTTCTAAAATTGCATTAACAATCAATACAATCTTTTTATTGAAAAGAGAGAAAGATGAAAAACAGAGTTCTAGGCTGAGGTATGCCTCTCTAAAATTCATCGATTTTAAAATATTGTGTGGTCAGTAACAAGGGTAACTGGTGACTATTATCAGGTTCTTTGTGAGAGTAGAGAGAGGATTAGGTTGCAAGAGAAAAGCTGGCACCTAAAGATAAAGTCCTTACTGAGTCCCCCAAAATGGAGCTTAGAATTTCAAAAGAAAAAACAATGTTGCAGACAGAGCTATTTTTAGCCTCCTACAGCTGTGCCTACATACACCCAGCAGCAAGTTTGCTGAATGTCTGCATTAAACACTAAAGCCCTGTTTAGTATGTGTATGTGTCAGGCTCCAATTAGAAAAGTGGGCTTTTGATGAAGGGATCTCTCATAAAGAGCTACGGATAAGGTTACGGAAACCAAGGAGGGATGTTGCAACAGCCAGGGCTAGAAAAGTAGAAAACTGTTACCACCTCAGAGCCATGGGAGCAAGGGGAGGGAACAGTGTAAACAGACCCCACCACAGCTACTGCCAGGAAAGGGGGCCTGAACTACTTACCTGGGAGGCACAGACACTGTGGGAATCTTAGCAGCAGGGCATGGAGGGAAGGGGGAAATAAAGAGCTGGCCTTGCTCCTTTCTCACCTGCTGATCACCTATTCTTGCTCCCCATTGTCTGAATCCAACAGGAAGCCAGAGGAGCAGCAGCCTGATGGGCAGACGCCTAGGGTCACACTCACCCCCTCACCAGGGTAGAGAAAGGTGGAGAGTGGATGAGTGTGATGAGCAAATGAAGATTATCTTTTATACATTTTTTTCCCTAAACATAGTCCAACTTCATGTTATAGAACCTTCTGTATCTAGGTGTATCTTATATCAGTATCAGAGGATAAATAACTCAATTGTTCAGATTCAATGTATGTGGATTTGGATTACATTCTTCAGGTTACCAGGCCAGCAGATATTGTCTTTACATACCCAGCAGAAGAAATAAGGAACAAAACTCAAACTTGCTAATGGCTTGGGAAAAAAAATTATTTCATAACTTAGAAATCTAATGATTATAGAATTAGAAATTCTAATAATTATATAATTCTAATAATTACAATTCTGCAGTAGCTTCCAGTTTCTAATCTCATTCATTTTTCTGATATTATATACTATACTGCCCATTTTAATAAGCTACACTGAGGTGATTTCTATTTTTCTCTGATTTATTAAATATATGTAATGAATCAAAAAAGTCATAGAGAAGTCAGACTTTCCAATGAGCTACAGTCCTTAATCACATAGTATTTGTGAGCATTAACTTTTTACAAGATACTCTTGGATGATATAGAAGATACTGAAGAAGTGTAAGACATTACCCCTATCTTCATTACAGACATTCTGAGGAGCATATAAATATACTTGAACAAAAGCAAATAATGAAGAGTTTTAGATTCAAGTACTAAGTGATGCAGTAAAAATATGTGATTTATACTGAAGTGTAGGAAGTAGATATTAGAAATTATATTTATGATTCTTCCCTAAGACTAACTGAAATGAAATGTTACTAATCTGTAAATTGACATGGGAGACTTCACTTGGCCTATAAGTCAAAAGCCACTTGTTACTGAGGCCAAGCGATGACTGGATGGCTCTTAATAAAGGGAGTAAGAAAAGGTTCTTCTTGTTCATTGCTCTTGGCTTATTACATGTGTGACAGTTTATGTGTGCCTTGGCCAGTGGATGTGAGGTTTAATAATCTGTTAAAAAAAGGTAAGTTGGCTGTGCACGGTGGCTCACACCTATAATCCCAGCACTTTGGGAGGCCGAGGCAGGTGGATTACTTGAGGTCGGGAGTTCAAGACCAGCCTGGGCAACATGGTGAAACCCCATCTCTACTAAAAATACAAAAATTTGCTGGCCGTGGTGGTACATGTCTGTAGTCCCAGCTACTCGGGAGACTGAGGCAGGAGAATCACTTGAACCTGGGAGGCGGAGGTTGCAGTGACATGAGATTGCGCCACTGCACTCTAGCCTGGGCTACAAGAGTGAAACTTTGTCTCAAATAAATAAAATAAAATAGAATAAAAGAAAATAAAAAAGATAAGTGACTTAAAAAATTCCCTATGCATAAAGAACAAATGGAAGATAATACTGATAATACAAGTATACTCCTGCAACACACAGCAATAAAAAGTGTCACTAACCTTCAATACAAAATCTTTTCAGACATACACAATGAAAGCCTATTCAGATCTGATGAGAAGTCAGACAAAGAAACTGGAAATCATCAAGACTACTTGCAATATAGCTTTATATCCAATATCATTAATGATGAAACTCACTCAAATTACATTTTTCTTTGAGATATTAAGCCACTGTGATTTGCAAGATATTTGAAATTATTCTTTATTTTATGCTTAATTTGCTCTTTTTAATTTCAATTTCTATATTTTATATATATATAACAAGTTCTGAACTACATAACTATTAAAAGTATAATAAATTACTATGCATTTTAGACAGTATGTTCAATACTGTTTTAGCAATAGGTATGTCATGAAAAGGTTTTGAGATAATTGGTATAGACTATGGACATGGAAGGAGAGGGAAACGCATTCTCTAAACATCCAGTTTTCTTAAGCAGTCCCTCTCAAGTATTTTTGTAGTTCTGGAATAAGGAGCGTGACAGTTTGTTCTTTCCCTAACTGCCTGCGTCTGTTGGGCCTGAAAAAATTTTTTGATTCTATTGTTTCTTCTTTAATTTTTTAAAAAAAGTGCTAAGCACCTACTATGGTCCAGCCAGTGTGCTAGGTGATACAGTGCTAAATAAGACTGTGGAATGTATAACCTAATGGTTGAGTCTTCCTTTGCCTCTTTAGACCAAGGTGCTGAACTTGGAAGCTCCGTATTCTAATGCCTAGAAAAAAATCATGTGCGAAGTCAGGGAAGACCTAATGGAAGCACGTACAAGACTTACCCTGGTTAGTTATGGGACTCTAACAATGACATTATAAAAGCAGGCTTTAGTTACAGAGTCCCCCATATCTCTCTAGTCCAAAAACTGTGGCCATAAGTACCATAAGTATGCAGGTGGCTACCACATGGTATGGTGGTTAAATGGTGGCCCCCCAAAAGATATGTCCATGCTTTAATTCCCAGAACCCATGAACGTTACCTTATTTGGAAAAAGGTTTTTTATAGGTATAAATTAAAGATCTTGAGATGTAGAGACCCTGGATCTGATGGGCCTGAAACCCAGTGACAAGTAACCTTTTATAAGAGACACACACAGGAGATTTGAGAGACAAAAGAGAAGTCCATGTGAAAAAGGAGGCAAAGATTGGAGTGATGTAGCCACAAACCAAGAAGCATCAACAGCTAATAGAAATTAGAAGAGGCAAGGAATGGGATCTTCCCTGGAACCTCTATAGGGACCACCATCCTGCCAATACCTTAATTTCAGAGCCCTGGCCTCCAGAACTGTAAGAGAATACATTTCTATTGTTTTAAAGCACCAAGTTTGTGATAATTTCTTATGGCAGCTACAAGAAATTAACACAACCAAGTGAAGACTCTTTAGTCCTAGTATGTAGTCCAGGTATGTTGTTCTGTTAATCCTTGGGAAGCAGTTAATTATTAATAATTCTGGTTTGGGGAGCACGCAAGATTGGCTGCCAGCTTTAGGGTCAACAGGAGGGGAAAAACTACTGAAATGGTCTTTTCATGGTTATAACAGCTACCTACCTCCCAACCTCAAGTGATTATATGAGAGCAATTTTATGTTTTACATATTTATACATGTTGCCCAAATTTCAACAATAGACCTCTTTATTTGGATCATCTTTCAGGTTCAATACCTCATTGAATTACCCTGGAGCAATGCTGTTGTAGGACAGTAGATTTTTCTTCTACTTGTTGTATATTACATGGTGAAGGATGATACTGCACATTAAGGCCGTGCTTTCAAAACTTTTGTGTGCATCTGAATCACCAGACAGCTTGCTAAACATAGTAAATATGAAGTAGAATTTACATTTCTAACACGTTTTCAAGTGAGGCCGATACTCTTAGTCCAGGGACCATACTTTGGGAAGGGCTGCTTTAAAAGCAGAATTTTAAGTTATGAGTTAACCACTTATAATAGAGCTGGTGAGCCCTCTACTGAACTTTGCAGTCCTTGTTGTGTCTCTTTTAGCTAGGGCATGGAGTTATCTTCCACTATTCTCTGAGTAACTAGGACATAACTGATAGTCTCTTATTTGGAAGTACTGATAGTACAGGTCTCAAACTTAGAGAATTGGGAAACAACCTGACACTGGCTTGAATAATGATCTGCTAAGGGATCCTTGGGGTTAGCAACATCACTGAGGATAGTATCAAGAATTGATACCCTCATCATGACTACCCTCTCCATCAGCATGTGAGACTGTCCCTTAAGATCCTCTAAACAAAATGCTATCGTTTCTTTTGCTGGCTACTCAAATTTTTAGTAAGAATTTCTCCATATGAATGAGAGAGTTGCTACCAAGATGCTAGCAAAGGAGATTTCAGTAGCCTGGGGTTATATAACATATTACATTTTATCCCTAGCAAAACCTTAAAGGTGAAAGTCTGAGCCCAAACAGACCAATATGATCCACAACAGGTAGTTTAGAAGATATGGCTAGCAAAAGGGCAGCAGTTCAAGGTAGGATAATATTTGGTAGTTCTGTGAAAGTGGCCTCTTTCCTAAAATCAAGTCTGCAGACTTGTGAGCCACTAAAAAGCCACATTTTTATCAAATAGAAAGTTCATGATCAATTTAATGAAATGTCACTTGGGTCTGAACAAAAAGGATGTTTTAGTCCAGGCACCAAAGAAGGCCACAATTTCATGTCCATGTAGAACTTCTGTCTGGAAGAAGAAGGAGTTACTCTACTGCTTTACTGCTTTTAGTTATCTACTTATATATTAGCTCCAGAAAGAAAAATCAAGATGTGGGTTGTGGCAAGCTGCAGCTTTGCCAGAAAAAAAGGTTGGCCTTAGAGGTCCTAGGTAATCTTGAAGTACCTACATTACCTAGGTAAGTAGTATCTGAGAAAATATCTGCTATTGAAGTGACACTGTCAAACCTCTGAAGTTTTGGAAAACTAATACCACTCTTTAATTTTGAACTTGGATGAGTCAAGTAAATCTCAATAGAGGGCCAAAGGTACTCTATTTAAACACAGCAGTAGGATTCTTTCTCTCAAGCAGCCTTCTACTTTACACCGTCCTACTATTATTGGTTTCACAATTAAAATTTAAAGAAAACCTCCCGTGATTTGAGAAAACAAGATGTACTTATTCAAAATGGGGTGGGGAGAAAAGTCAGCTGGAACCTCATTTCCCTCCACCTATTTTAATAATGTAATTTTAAATGCTTTTGGTATTACCATAAATTTTTTTCCTTGGCTCATTCATGTCTAGGCAGTTCTAGGTTAAGCCTCTAAATAAAAAATTTTCTACATTTTAAAATGTACAGTCTGTTTCATTTTTAGTCATTAACTACCCAACTTTTCCAAAGTAATTTAATGCAGTGATTCTATTTTTTTCCAGAACTGAGATTGGTGATGTCGGGGTTTGGAGGGTGAAAAATACAAGCTACCCTTGGGATCTTTCTTTTTCAATGGAAAGGATGAAATATACAATGTAATATTAAAGCTAGGTCAAAGAAGGAAAAATTCCAAGGCAGAACTTTGGACATAACTACAGTCAAATTGTTAACTAAAGGTCTATATGACTCTAAAGAAACCAGGTATGATAAGCCAGAACCACATTTAGCAATGTATGTGTTTGAGGTTTACTAGTCAATAGAAATATGATTAATTTTAAAAAGTAAGAAACTATATGAAAACTGACACTTTTCTTAAATAATTTTACTTTTTTTTCTGAAAACACATCAAGCTTATGACCATATTACGGCATTAAATTGAACAATTTTAAACAACTACCCCCAAAACCCAAATATTTTCTTTTTAATATCTATTGTTTGGGTTCTTGCAGATAAATCTTGTGATGGATCATTGATTTTTTTATGGTATTCTATAATGGGCAGGAAGTGTAGGTACTTAGGTTTTGATTGTCAAAAAACATGTGGCTTTTTGTTCATTTAGGTTATGGTATGTTTTATGGTCTGTGGACAAAAAGAAAAGAGCTGCTATATTTTCTTGTTGAGTTTGAGTCCACATATTATTAAAACATGCTGCCTAATACCTCAATGCAAATTGCTATTATGAGTAATTTTCTTGGAAGATGTGGGTGTTGGAATGGTTTGCCAATGCTTCTGATTGTTATTCTCAAGTTCAGTCCTGTTGGTAGAACATGATTTTCTTGATCATATTTAATAAGTCACCGTAGTTAAGATGTTACATAAAAATGACATCTTACTCTTAATACAGATTAGTTACGTGCCCAGAGGATCTTGTGTTCTGAGTGATTTTTGCTTTTCCATAAGAAACAAGAGCACCAACTTTTCTTGTCTCCACCCACATTTCTGGCTATATGTTTTAAATGTGTTGCAACGTCTCTGCTGAAAAACCTGTGCCACATAGATTTAGGGTTTTAAGAAAACCCAAACACTGAAACCATACTCTTGTCAATCTATTCTGCATAATAATTATAATGTAGCTTTTGCTTTCAGTGATATTCACTTTCACCATTACCTCAGCAGAGAATGACATTGTGCATATCATGGAGTCAGTTTACAAAAATAAAGGTGAACGTAAACCTCTCTCTTGAGAGCATGAAGGCAAAATAACTGTAGTGTCCCTATTGCCCATTAGAAGTATTTGAATAGGATTAGGCTTTATTAGCAATTTTTAATATTACTTAAATGTGGAAGCCGCTTTGGAGCTAATTAGATACTTATGTGTTAAGGTATCACAATTGATTCTAAATCAAAATCTGAGTGATCCATATACATTATTTTTTAATTTCAAGAGAATTACAACTAAATAGTCCTTAGGAAATTTATTGATTACAGAATCAGGCAAAAACAATGTAGCATTCAAACAAACAAAAAAAACCATGTCTGTAAGAGTAGTGATGGTAACACATCATCACAAAAAAGCTTGACTTAAGCTTTTTTATATGTGACAATCAAACATTTCTTTTTGAAAGTGTGAGATTTTATAAAGTACTTTAAAATTTTAAAAATATACTATTTTTAAAAATTGCTCCCGATAAGAACTTTTAATCAAGAAACCAAGTGTCTTTCAAATTTCCTCAAAGAATACACGGTTGAATAGCAAACTAAGTTTCAACGATGACTCAGTTTGAAAAATAAAAATAGTTATTATAATTAAATTTCAAGTTAAACAATTAACTTACATACTCCTTTAGTAATTACTGTAATGAGGTTTGAATTTTACTTTAATTTTCATTTTCCCTCTGACAAAATATCTTAATTTTACTAAACTGCAACCAAAATTCACTTCAGATCTTGATTCAAAATATCAGCCCAGCCCAGGTTCTAATTTTAGACAAATAGGCTTCCTCCCCATAAATGATACTGACTTACTGAATCTAATTGGAATGTATGGTTATTTCAGCCGACAGTCTCACGTACTTGTCATACAAGACTTTTAATTACAAGATACTAATTAGTACAACAAAAATGTTCACCTATGTAATATTTAGGCATGAATTATTAATTTCCTTATTCATTGAGACTGAGTAATATAATTAATCCTTGAGCAAAGACAAGAAATACTGAACTAGAGAGACACATACATTTCAAATTTTAGTCCCCGAGAAAGAATTAAAGATGGGGGTTCTAATTTCCTGCATTAACTTGAGATAGATGTCTTAAACTTCTGACTACTTTGCTGGTGTTAATGGTTAATGTGCTTGGTAAATCATTTATTGCCATTAAATTAAATTAACCTGAGCAAAACAATATAGATTTCAAGCATACAGACATCTCTGCTGACCTTATGAAAATCTCTAAAATTGAAACAAAATACTTAACTATTATACAAAGGAAATGTTAAAATTCTTTCTCAGTACTTGAATAATATATTCCTAAAACTGGTTTTGCTTGGAGGTTTGCTGAATGTAAAGAATCCAAAGTGATGTCAAGTGTGGAAACAGCCCCATGGTAGCCTCCTCTGGTAGATTAAAGTTTTAGCTCACCTCTTTCCTATGAGCAGCTGTTCATCATCTTTATTTCCTAATGACGGTGTTGAAACATTTTAGAAAATGTTGAGTCTTCATGTTTTATGAAAATTCACTGAATATTTACTCAACTCCAATGATGTGTGCCTGACACCATGCTTCCATGTTCACATAAGCTCTCCATCAGTTAACTCTCACAAAACTTTGGGAAATAAACTATCCCCATGGCCGAAGTGAAGAAACTGAGGTTGAGTCTTTAGTTTATCCAGGATAGGGTGTAATAATGGAACAAGTGTTCTTTGGGAGTGGGTCGTTGAAGAGACTGGTAGCATACATCAAGAAGTATGATAAAAATATTTGTTATACTAAAGCATTTGACTAATGTTAGCTCTGTAGAGGGAAACAGTGCAGTAGACAAGCACCAATTTAATCAAATAATCACTAGCAAAAGCTAAACAGAACGGTGAACCTGCATTGTTGTTTGGTTAAACAAATAATTATTCAGTACATAGTATATGCCAGGCACTCTGCTAGAAACTGGATTTACAAAAATGAATATGATGGTTACTTCCTGCAAGAAGTATAAATAGACAGTGGGATAGAAATACAAAAACTGAGCTGGTTTTGAAAGATTAAAAGCAGCTAGCCAAGGAGAAAAAAAAAAAACCTATAATGGGAAGAACAGAGCAAGTAATGTGTGGAGACTATAGTAGATTGGTATTTCTGAGGCCAAAAATACAGGAAGGGAGTGGCTGAAAATAAGATTGAAGAGATAGCATGCTTCCAGATTTGCATGGTTTTATATGCTATATTAATACTGGAGGAAGGATTTTAAACAGAGGAGTGATTTGGTTAAATATGCAGATAAGAAAGATCAATCACTCTGGCTCATATAAATAGCGAATTTAATGGGAAAAGTTTGGAGGCAAGGAAATCAAATGCTATATTTCAGACGAAAGGTGAAAAACAAATTCAGTGACAGTAGAGATGAAAAGGAGAAAAATTTGAAAGAAATATATATTTAGGAGTCTAGGATGACTTTTTCATTTCTGACTTGGAATAGTTCCATGACCTAAAATGGGGACTCTAAGAGGAATGTAAGGGTGGATATTGAAATAAGTTTCATTATGAACATGTTGAGTTTCAAGTGCCTGCAGAACACCAGTGAAGCCACCTGGCAGGCAGTTGGATATATGAGCCTGACTCTCAGGGAAGATTCCCAAACTGGAGATACAGATTAGGAAGTAGTCAGAATACAAATGGTTGTTAAATATCGGACAATGGAAAAGATCATCCAGTGAAAGTGTAAACAGAAAGAAGAGTCAGGGACCTTAATAAAATACTGGAGGTAGAGGATGAGGAGATAATGCCAAAATTTAAGCTGATAATTAAACATTTACTTGCTAATAAAATCTCTTACTATTTCAATCATTAACTGCAATCTGATCTTTAGTCATTTGGACACTACAGAAATTGTTCACCAACCCATACAAAAAGGCAAAATCATTGATCAATGTCTTGGGGGCCCCTAGACCCCCCAATTTTTTGAGGTTAAAGTTCTTTTGCTCCCTCAACTTAGTGGTTTACTTGTGTAAAAACCAATTACAAATCAATATATCTACACTTTTTCCTTTCCTCATCAACATTTTATTTCCTCATCACATACTAGGACATCTGATTGACATTAAATATTAGGACTTAATAGAAATAGTTAAATGAGTATACTCTATGTATGTAGCCCTGGTTAGAACATCTGGGCCTTTCTGAAGCACTTACATTTGTAGAAAAACATAATAAAAACTAATTTATTTGTGAAAATCCTCAAATTTAAAAGCTTTTATGGGTGTTTGTCCAATAATTAATATAGACAATCCTGAGGAAACATGTATAATCTTTCTGTTTTGTTCCCATGTGGCACTGACTGACTACATTGTGCTAAAAGACCTCTGTTTTGATTCAAAAACCACATGAATTGAAATGCAACTCATGCCGGCACTGTAGTTCCATTTACAGTCCTGCTATAGTACTAATGTAGTAACTTCCTAAGTTCCATGCACAGTTATCTTGTGATTTGGATTCAGGCCCAGCAGAACTGAAGGCCTGTTCCTCGATTAATTCAACTTCTAAGTGTCCTAGACAATCAGTGGGTTGTGTTCACTTAGTTCCTTGCAAATCACTTCCCTCCCAGCCTTTCACTTCATCATTCGTGACTTGTGCATAGAAGGAAATCTCCCTAAATCCTTTTCTTACTCTGATTGCACTGGGCATTGTTTAAAAGGAATGGCTCTCATTATTTCCCTTTGATAATTTACATTTTAATTCTAGGTCCAAAAACAGCTGGCCTCCACTTCGAAAAGCAGTACAATAAATCCTTTGGGGATACCTCCTTTTTCCCTTCTTTTCCAAAGCATCATGTCCTCCAAAGGATTTACATTTGAAGTGGAAGACATTCTCAGAGAATTTAAATAGACATTGGTAGATCATCTGTATATAACAAAAAATTTAAAGGATTTATGAGTAATGTTTTATCCATACGCCTGATGAATTAAGACTTAACTGCCCAAAGAAATAAAACGTGGTATTATGTACATTAGTGAAGAAAAACAACCTTGTTGCCTTTCTATTGCAAATTATTTTTTTCAAGAAGATTTTTTATTCTTTTAAAAATCCACACCAGATACAGGAAGGGTGAATATAATCTACAAAGAATGTAAAGTTGTATCTGTCTTTTCCCAAAACTTTGTCTCAGTCTCATCTTTCCAACAGCTCTGATTACTTGTATCATTATTTACATGGTTATGCATTAGAATCATCATTTTTATACATGACCATAAATGATGATTTTAGCACACAACTATAATTATGACTGGGCTCTTATTTAAGTGTATCACATGTATGTTTCCTCCCCCAAAGACTTTTAAAAATGTAAATTAGTGATATGATAAGCACTTATTTATAGTCTGTTTAGTTGCCAAAAGGATGTGAGGTGGCTGACTTCAACTGGGTAACAGGCTTCAGGAGGGCAAGGATGTGGGATTGTCTTTTACTTTGTACTGCTAACATGGCTCATCACAGTAGGAAACTCATAACTGGTTCTTAATAAACACTTGCTGAATATAAAGTAAGTGTTCACTGTGGATAGATTTGTTTCCTCTGAAAGGTGCCTTATAATTCCAACCTTCCTTTATGACATTCAGATTTCCCTAATTAAAACAAACAAAAAAAACTTACCTGTCCAGCATTCCAACTATTGCAGTCTTTTTTGAGCAAACAGGTAGCTAAGATGACTGATTTGTGTAAAAGTGTGAATTAATGCAATGCTCTTCCAATTAACCATAAAACAAGCAGTCTTGGAGACAAATTTATCCCCTTATTTTATTAGAAAACTAAGGCCCAGAGGGTCAAATGACTTTCTCAAGGACTCAATAAGAGGGCGGTGTTATAAGAATTTCTGTGTCAAAGATAAAAATTGGATATTTTAGACAAATGAATGAGGTTTCTTTTTCTTTTTAAGAGAAACAGATAGTGTTGATTCTTTCAAATCTTGTTTTCTCCAAAAGTACTCACCATTTCCTTTTTGGTATAGGATGAAATAAGTTTTGTTAAACCTTTTGGGATTCTAAGCTTGTGTCTCTAAAACTATTCATTGATTTACTCAAAAATACTTATTGACCATTCCCTTCATAGACACAACTGGGATATCATGGTGAATAAGAGAATGAAATATTGCAAATACTGTACAAACAAGGAAACAAAAATTATGTAGTGACTATGGTGTCTTGTTCACAACTTCAAAACTGAAATTAGTGAATGTTTCAAGGATAAATATTTAAAAAGTGAACTATTCCATAAAAATTATGTGGCCTATAAAATGATATAGAGTGATAAATCTAAACACAGTGTAATAGAACAGTTTGTAACTTATCATGATTTTTTAAAGTTATTGTGTGGACAATAAAACCATAAAATAAATAGGGGTCAGTAAGATGTTATTTTATTTACATTCTCCTCCAGATAAATTCAGTGCTTTGTCTATATCTATTCATGTTGTATATCCCAGTACCAAGCACTGGGATAACATAACATCGACTTAAAATTGTATAAACTTTATACAATTTTATAAAGGGTGACAGTTGCTTACTTTCTAACGGTTCTCAAATGGCTAATGTGACCAATAAGTGATATGCATCTCTTATGTAGGGTAAAACTGTTGACATTGCCTTTTTCTATGGAGCTACAATTGTGGCATATATTTTGTTCACTCTCTCTCACTTCCTGAGAAACAATAAGTCTTTGCTCTAAAAGATAGCTTTAATTTGACTTCCAGATTCCTAGATGTGAAGCAAAAATAAAACAAAACAAAAAACTCAAGAGATCTTTGGTAATTATCCTCACCTTAAAAATACTGAAACAAGGGCCAAGAAAGTCATAGTTTAGTTTCAACTTAGATTTTTTTTCAGTACTTCCTTTATGAGTCTATGCAAAGTTGTCCTTTGTAAATTATATATATGTACACATTTATACACACATACATATTAGGCATCTTGTTCAAAGAAGTATAGGTATTAATAAATGTGGACCTTAGCAATCACATGTAGTCATGGAATTAGGTAATCAAATGTATAATCTTATAAATGACAAAACAGAGCAGCAATGTGGGTACACAGAAATAACAGCACTCAGTCAAACTGGAGTTATACAAAGCAATCACCATATGATACCCCTCTTTGTTCTCCATTTTATTCTCTCCAACCTCGGAATTAGAGAAGAAACTTTATTTATATACCATCAATGAGGAGGCATTACACTGTTCATGTATAACTTCAAATGTCTAACTTAAAAATTTTTATGCAGTTAAATGGCAACCGAATAAAAATCAGTATGTTATTTTTAAGAGCAAAATGAAATTTTTATTAGAGTTGGTATGGATTTTTCCAACAGGAGGTCTATTTTATTCTATTATTAGATTATATTATAAATAATAATATAATGTAGTTATCCAAAAATTTGAAATATTGTCTGTGTTTTGAATATATGTATACCTAGATTTTATGAAGATGATATGTAACAGCAAATCTGACCACCAGAGAGCCGTGTCATCGTAAGGTTACTTTTCATTCCATCCTGAGGATGCTGACATGAGTCCAGAAATGGCATGAATAAGTGGTGCCACTCTGTTTAAGCCAATAGTACTTTTCTAAGGAGAAGCATTTTCCAGATGTGCCTTGGCCTAAACCAGGGCTCCTCAGCTCAATGGTGAGAGGAGATTCTCCATAAACATATAGAATCTTCTCTGCAGGTTTAAGAAGGTGCATAATATTTTGAGAAAGGCAACTGCAATTGTTCAATGACTTTTCCTAATTATATTCCCAGAAAAAGGATGCTGAATAAAATCGGTGGAGTTATTTACACAATAAACTATGTTTTAATCACAAGATACAAAGTCATGAATACTTAATTCATCACAAAGTTTCCAGTGGCTGCTCTCATGTTTTTGAAATATTTTGTAATGCAAAAAATAACCCTGCATAATACAGGAACCCTAAGCAATTTACTGAAATAATTATTTTAAAATAATGAAAATAATATTCTCAAGGTTAAATATTCATACTCCATTTACATCCACATCCTTATCTACAGACTGTTTCCATAAGTATCTGATATGTATAATAAAATACGAATTTTTTTCTTTGCCATGGGAAAATAAAATTGAACTCACTTTAGCAAAGTACAACACCATCTTTTCATTTTGACTAACTTAGCTTAATGTAACCTCTTGCTAATATTCGAGATACTTTATATATTTCACTACCATAACAATAGTACAGTCTCATGCCTATTGTACTTTCCTTGCAATTGCACCTAGGCAATAATATTTGTTGAAATCTGGTTCTGACTATACCTATGGCTCATCACTCAAGGTGTTGTCTATGTTCCACATCTGGTTGAAATGCAACTTGTTACATTTCTAATTCTCTGTGACTCTAAACAATGCAAGATGATTACAGGGGAACGACTTATCTCAAATACAAGTCCTGATAAGGGGGAACAAACCACTAACTATCTGACAACCAAGAACTTTCTAACTTATGTATTTTTGTACAGTATTCTTCTATTTTTCTTAATTTTTAAAGAAGAATATTGCCATTTCCCTTGACACTCCCATTGATTATGTCTAAGAATCATTATCAAGTCACAGCTAATTAGTAAGTTTTTGTTTTCAGGCTAATGGTCACATGGGGGGCTCTCTTGTCCATCGTGTCATTTCTGGAAGAGTCAAACAATCTCACTATTGATTTAATAGGACAGTTAAAATTAGGCCAATTATTTAATTCTAATTCCAATGTATCCACAATATCTACCTATTATCGAAATTAGAAGGCAACAGTACAATTTCACATGAGAATATGTAAAACAAAACAAAAATCAAAATTCACAGTTATACTATAAGTCCCAGATTTCAGTTTGAATGAGAAAACCTCATGTGGCATTCTGGAGAGAGACAGAATAGTGCTTACATATCTAAATTCTAATTCTCAGAATATTTTCATGACCATGCACTTATAAGACAAAATACCTGGGTCTTAGCATCTTCCTACCAGGACCACTAAAGTTGAGAGGGTTGAAAAACTGTTTAAAAGACATTTGTGATAACGAACAGTGAAAGGTTCAGAAGCAACAAATCCACCCCATTTTTTTTAAGTGCAAGGGTAACAGATTTAACAAATGTCCTCCAACAGCATATTCACACACACATTATAATTTATTTTTGAGAAAATGATTTCAGTTGTGAAAACTGAACAAGAACAATGCAATCTGTCCTAATTTGATAGTACAATATGATTGAAAGGCCATGCCATCTTTTCCTTCTGAAAAGTGAATACTGTTCTGGTCACAGACTTTCATTAAAAGTAGATCTCTGATGAAAATACAGAATGTAGTTTGATTTACATTTTACCTTTTAATAAAAAGATTCAATAAAATTAGGATAAAGAGAAATCATAAGAAAACGATGCATGAAAATGTTAGTGTATGAAATGTCTACTAAAGATTCTACACAGTTACTTGAAGGGGGACACGATTTTATTCTGAGATTACTAGAAGCCAAGAAAAAAATGGAGACAAAATCAACGTCACAAACACTGATTCCAAAACCAAGCTAGTGGCTTAGGAAAGAGTCTCCAGTATCTAACATGCTCTGACTTGAGAGAAATCTAAAGATTCCATCCATGGGACTTCATAAAGGGAAATATATTAACTATTGTCTTCACATAGTCTTCATGTATTTGTTATCTTTTAACAGTATGGTTTTTATAATTTCAAAGCCATTTTCTGGATTCATGTTCAACCATGACAACATATGCCAGGGGTTGACAAAATACAGTCTGAAGGTCAAATGGGACTGTCACTTGTTTTTAGTAATAAAATTTTATTGGAACATGATAAGAACTGCTTATTGTTTGTGGCTGCTTTCTTGCTACAACAGCAGAGCTGAGTAATTGTAATAGAGACTACGCGTGGCCCACAAAGCCTAAAAATTTTCTGTCTGGCCCTTTGATAAAATAGCTTGCCAATCCCTACCACAGTACATTAACTATAAAAATATTAATACGTCTTAATGCAAACCTTTAAAATTAGAAATAAATATCTAACAAGAATGTGTTTGTAATCTTCTGAAAGACAATTTGTTAACATACATATACACACATATAACTGATTTTCAAAAACTGTTTACTAACTTAATCTGTGAAGTCATGAAGTCCATTTCCATTAAGACCTAGAAATTAGAAGGAATTAAATAGAAATTAATCTTTGTTCTTTTGCTTTATTTTCCAAGGCCAGTACATATATATATATTTTATATATAATATATACTGTATATATAGTATATAATATATACTGTATATATTATATATAATATATACTGTATATATAGTATATATTATATATATAATATATATATTTGGCATGCACGTGACATAACCCGAATAGAAGCCTATATTATTCACTGACTGACTACATTTCTGCATGGCTTCTAACTCTCACCCATCTCCACCAGCATCACACAATCCCATTCTTTAGTGTTGATATTTTCTTAATTGTATGTGAAAATGTCTGTAACCAAAATTTCCAAAGAAGTACCTTAGTTTCCCACTCTAAATAGTTTGATGTCTCTATGCTACACCATATGTAGAAATTCTAGGCAGGCCACTATCTTTCCCCAAATTTTTCTTGCTAATCTGAATATATCACATTCCTCATGCCATTTCCCAGGTCAAAAATCCTTCACTGATGCCAGTGGCCTTACAATGAAACCAAATCTCTTACTAAGGACATCTACAAATCCAGCACCACCCACACAGGCAACTGTTCTCCAAAAGGAACCCTCTATTACATGCAATCTGGTTTGCTTTGCTCACTGTCACCTCAGTGCCTTTGCTATTGCTATTGTCCTCAGTGCCTTTGATATTGCTATTGTCCTATCTAGGTGCTTTTCCAAACCTACACACACTCATGCCACTTCTGACATAATGTGTTTCACTTCTGCACATGGCAATGACACTCCCTCCTCTGAATTTGCTGGCACTTATAAGACATACTTTTTTTTTTACCATTAATATTGTTGTAAATTATATTATTTTTAATACTAGTTTTATGTCTTATATCTCTAGTGACTGTCAACTAGAGGAGAACAATATGCTGTATATTTGATATTCTATAGCACAAGCAGGGTTGTCTATATAGAAGAAATTAATTACTTTTCTGATTCTTTTTAAAGCTCTTTCATTAATCCTTTGAAATACATTTTAATTTATATTTGATGCTTAGTAATATCTCAATATTAAAAAGCCCATATTTTGGATATAATTCCAAGAATACTATTCAGAATTTAAAATATATTTGAATTATTTGTTGATTTGCTTTATATATATAAAACACATATATATAACATATATATATAACATATATATAACATATATATATAACATATATATAACATATATATAACATATATATAACATATATATATAACATATATATATATATAGAGAGAGAGAGAGAGAGAGGATCTGGCTCTGTCATGCAGGCTGGAGTACAGTGGCACAATCATAGCTCACTGTAGCCTTAAACTCTATGGTTCAAGCAATCCTTTCACTTCAGTCTCCTGAATAGCTAGGACTACAGACATGCACTATCACACCTGGCTAATTAAAAAAAAAATTATTTTGTAGATTTGGGGTCTATGTTGCTTAGGCTGGTCTTGAACTCTTGCCTCAGACTCCCAAAATGCTAGGATTATAGGCATGAGTAACCATGCTTGTCCCATATTTTTAACATTTCAGTAACTGCAAGTCTGGAAGATCCTTATATCAAATGGTTCCACATTAAAGTAATTTACATAATAAAAATAATCCTAAAAATAAAACAGAAGTCAAGGAAAGAGGCTTAAACAAAAATCAACAATAATTAAATACCCCATTATAAAATAAAAATATTAATTTCTCCTAAATTATGTGATATTTTGGAAATGTCCAGTAACTATCATAATATGACAAAATAAAAAAATAATAATTTTGTTTATTGAGGGCATGCTTAGGAAAAAAGTAAACAGCTCTGAACCATGCCGAAAGTACAATAAATCAAATGTCTGCAAAGTGTATTTAAAGCTAAACTCAACAGAGCATTACACTAAGTCCATAAATATCTGAAAAGTGCATTAAATATTTTAGTATAAGCAATATATGCATAAAGAGGTACACTGCTTATTAATCTCATACATGATTCAAGATTATCATGAAACTGGATCCGCTCATTTACCAAATTGTCAGGAGATTTAGACCATTGTCTCTAAGAAGCAAAATGTGTGTTACACTGTTATTTAATGTTGGTTGTTGTTTGGCACCTGACCTTGTTTACAACTAAATCTGCTGTGGGGAAATAGCCAAAGGACCCATTCATATTGAGAATGGAATTTTTTTTTTGACTACTTCCCTCAAACATGAATTTGTACTTTTCTGTTTAGATTGTTTTGAAAAGCTTGGTTTGGGGTACAAAGAGACTACAAGTGATTAAAATTAATTATGCATGTAACTCACCAACAGCCAAAAAAAAATGACACAGTTTGAGTTACGTTACAGCATTAGATAAGAACAGCTTACCAAAAGTCTACTCTTGTTTCCACCATTGATTTCTGATTTTCTAAATTATTTCTCTCTTGTGATTTAACACATTAGCAAATAAGATACAGATATATCTAGAGGGATTTAGAAGATATAATTAATCTTTGAAAGCTTTTATGAGATTCTAAAAAAATTCTGCTTTTAACAACCTGAAAAATTACAGTGCAGTGCAAGTTAAATAAAAGACAAACTCCTTATCAGGGTCAAAAGGACCAATGTGGCCTGGTACCTGCCTTCTGTTCTGACTTAAGTGTCCCAGTATCCTCTACCGTGTCTGTTGGACTCCAGTACCATTGGTCTTTCTGTTTTCCAAATATACCAAGCTTCTTCCTGCTTTGAGGCTACTCTCTCTCACTTGAAAGCTTTTCCTCCGGGTACTACTGTGGCTGGCTACTTCTCATCACTCATGCCTCCAAAGGCAGCCTATCCCATCACAGACAAGCTCTATTATATATGTTTATTGTATATTCCCTACAGCATTTATTTGTGTCTGAAATGTTCATTTATTATTTCACTTGTTAATGTCTGTCTCCTGCTGCTAGAATGTTAGCTCCATGAGGACAGGAATTTATGTGGTTTCTTCTGATATTTTCCACATTCAGAAAAGTGCCTACTAAATATTAGGAACCCAATAACCATGTGTTTAATAAATAAGTGAATGAACCATGGGCTATGATCTAAGAAAGGACACACTAGCCTGATATTCAAGTAGAAGAGACAGAGACAGTGAATCCCTCCCAAGTAAGAACATCATGTTCTAAAAGGCATTATCTTAATTCTTTACAGATTATTTAAATTTCAGACCACCAAATAAAATAAACTAAGAAGAGTATGAAATATCTTACTTTAAGAGATCTGCATTTATATGTGTTGACTCTTGATATACAATCCAGGTGGTTTTATTCCCTGTACCACATAAAGACACTTCAGAGGAAGACCAATATGCACAACCCATTTTTCATCAATGTATATGGAAATTATAAGAAACTCTGTACAATCTACTCAGTGATAAAACAGTCACTCTGACTCTGATGGATGATTAGACATGTTCATCGAGAGAATTAAGACATATTACACGGAATTTTCTAATAGAATGGTGGCATTAGAATTATTTCACTCTCCTGATAGTGGTATGGTTTCAGTTTTCAGTGACCAGGAATATGTTTCTCCTTAATATTTAAGCACAATTTCTACTTAATTTCTTTCCTTTAAGATGCCTTTCGTGGCTTTCAAGTATTTGTCAACTAAAGATTCCATAACGCTTAAGCAGCATGGGTGCAGATGAAGCTCTGCTGAACACAGGAACCACAGCAACACCCAATTCTTATTTAATATGCAGTCTTGGAAAAAGCAAAACAACAACAACAACCAAGAGGGATAGAGCACTGTAGGCAGAGAAACAGGAAGGCACATAAGAGTAGGAAGGTAAGTGGAAAATAGGCACAAACACAGAGGCCCACAGCCTTTCTAGCTTACTTCTTCTTAGCTAAAAATGTTAAATCTGGGAGAAACGCAAAAGGAAAGCAATTTGAAGGAAATTTAATGGCATTACAGATGAGAAAAAAGTTTCAACCTGCCTATTTTTGTTGGATTCCCCTTATATGTTGAGCCAAGTTTAAATACAGACTCAAATCAGTCTGGAGGCATCAGTATGGATAGTTCAAGCTCACAGAAAAGCTCATTGGCTTTCCAAGTCTGGGCACACATCCCCAGAGTTTAAACTACTATCCGGAGAGATCCAAACCACAGGAATGGCCCTGGAGCAGTAGCTTTGTAAGTGTTTCCTGGATCAGATTTAGTCTCAGTGCTTACAGTAGTGTAGCTGGCATGTAGCTGGTTGGAATAACCCTAGAATTCCGAGCCCCTCCCTCTTTTATATCCATGTGAAAGTCACAGTTGAGTCACGAAGTTGGGCAGGTATGACTGCCACCTCAATCCACCCTCAGCTCAGAGAACAGAAATATAATCAGAATTGGGAATGGCAGTCAGAATGAGATGAGTCTTCAGTGACACCTCTTACCAAGCACTGAGTTTGAGCCTGAATTATTGAGTCTCAGGCCTGCTTCCCCTACTAACTAGATAAGGAAAGTCACTTAAATGGTCACTGTCCCAGTTTACTTATATGTACTCCACAGGTTCACAACATTTGCCCTTGATAGTCTCTTTTCCCCATCAAACATTCTCTAATTCATATATAAATAGCAAGTCTTGAGAATTGATGCCTTTTCAGTGATGGGGCAGAGGCACAGAAATAAAGAATGTATTTGTAACTCTCATTTGTAAATGTAAAAAATAATTAACTAATTACAAAAAGAATGCATTTAATAGCATTTTAAATATTTCCAGATATGTAAACACACAGTCCTTCTAATCCAGTAATTAACAGGGCTACAAAAAGTTATTCCATTACATAAATCATAAATATGTTAGGAATAAAAAGATTTTATTAAAAATCAGTTTATCCATTTTAAATGCCATTTTTTTAATGGAGAACTTTGCATTCCTATTAATACCCTCATGATACCATTTGGGAAGCGACTAAATAAGGCAGTAAGAATGTCCAGGATTGTACAAAGCTTCATACTGCCAGTTTTGATATTGACCACTCTCAATATGGTGCTACTGAAGACAAAAGAAGAAAAAGCATGAAATTCGTGACTGAGTTTTAAAGCTATAAGAACTTAAACAAATGAAAAAAACTGTTAAGTTTCACCAAAGGCCACTCAGTGCTCTGAAATAATCTTCATCCCGAATAAGGCAAAACTTTAGTCTGAGATACAGTGGCCAAAGATCTTTTAAATAAGTCCTAGATCATAGTCACTTGGTTGTTTTATAAGAGATTCAGGTTTCAGTAGATGCTTAGTATTTTATGTTCTCCTAGCAGCAAAATTCTTAAAAGTTCCATCAGTCCTGGTTTCTGATGTTTAAGTGAAGATAAAGGGCATTTTCCATGTAAAAGCAGTGTCACCTGAACTTCTTAAAAGATACATTTAAGTAGCCAGTATTCCAACTTAGGACATTTTGATCAACATGGAGATGTTTTAATTTTGAGCACAAGATTTAGCTTTACCATTTGATTTCAATAATGAACAATGGAATCTGGACTATCTTAATCCAAACAGAAAAATACAGCAATACTTTAATATTAATCTAATTTGATTTCATTAATAAATACTTGGTCATTGTTTTCCCTATTAAATTGTATTTAATACCAACTGTTCTCATGTGGAATCAACTGATTGCATAATAATTGATTTCACCAATGAAAAAAGCAAATATATAAAAGTCTAACTCTATCTTAGAAAGTAATTATACACAAACACACAAATACCACCACTGCCACCATCATGTTAGCCCTTGTGAAACACCAGGTAGACAAAATTAGCAGGCTGAGAAGTTGTTACAAGTATTATAATTCCATGTTCTCATCCACTAAGTAAAGAAATTGTATGCTACAGATTGAAAATTTTGTTCAAACAATAAATAAGTTTTGTAGCAAATTAAAGAATCAAATATTTTCCTGGCTATACTAGATGACCTATTAAGATAAAAAGAATGAATAACTGAATCCTAAAAACTTTTTTGCTTGTTTTTCAAAGTGGGCCAAAAGGACGTAGTGAATCATATAAACAACAATAAAAAATAGGCAGCCTATTACTTAATACATTATTTTGCTCAAAAAGGTAGACTCTTAAGGGAAGAGAAAATTACCAATTTGAGAGGTACAATACCCAAATAAAATAGTAAAATGTCAAAGCCGAGCATTATTTAATTGCCTTAATACCAATCAAAATGATACCATATTATTCATTTTAAAATTGATGAACACTTTCTCATGCCAATTCATTATGTAATTTCAGCACCATGCATTAACAACACAATGTTGTACTTTTAAATTGTTGTAATGCAAAGGTAGTAGCCACCTAAAATCCATTACTACTTAAATAAATGTAAAGGGTTCATATTGAAATGATGGTTTTGTCTCAAATAGAGTCAGTTTGTATATTTACTTGTGAGTTTGCTTTAACTGTAAAGGACCTAGACAGTTAAGCGATGAAATATCTCATGATATTCAAGCACTGTATTTTATGGTCATTTTTGAGGTAGATTAAGATGGCTAATGATGATGCTATACAGAGAAATGTAATTAGGAATATTTTACTTAAAATTAAATTAATTTAGTTCAACATTTACTGATTGCTCATAGAGTAGTTCATACTTCACTTAATAGGTACACATTAGTGGAACTAGTTAACTAACATAAAGACAATGGACTGCCTGACACATAGTAACTTTACTAGTTGTTAAAAAAAAAAAACTAGTTGAACCATGTTTTATAGTGTCTGATGAACAAAATAATAAAAAGTCAGTTGGCTAGCCAAATTTTTTATTTAAAAAAATTCGTTGTATACATGTATTACTTTTGTCTGAAAATGTCTTTAAAGTAATTGCCGGGCACGGTGGCTCATGACTGTAATCCCAGCACTTTGGGAGGCTGAGGCGGGCGGATCACGAGGTCAGGAGATCGAGATCATCCTGGCTAACAAGGTGAAACCCTGTCTCTACTAAAAATACAAAAAATTAGCCGGGAGCGGTGGCGGGCGCCTGTAGTCCCAGCTACTCGGGAGGCTGAGGCAGGAGAATGGCGTGAACCCGGGGGGCGGAGCTTGCAGTGAGCCGAGATGGCGCCACTGTACTCCGGCCTGGGCGAAAGAGCGAGACTCCGTCTCAAAATAAATAAATAAATAAATAAATAAATAAATAAATAAATAAATAAAATAAAATAAAGTAATTCAAAGAAGGCTAATGAGGACACATTGAGGCGAGCAATTACCTATAACCTAAGGGAACCTGAATAAACTTGGATACAAACTAATCGGGAGAAATAGGGTAGTAACTTTTCTTCTGGTTTTTAAAGGCCTTTTTGAGGTACAAAGCGTTATGAAAGATTGGTATACAAGGAAAAAACTGTTGAAGCCTAGGGGATATAAAAGCCAAGTTCAAAGAAAGGACCAAGATAGGGATGGAGCCTTGAGAAGGAGGAGAGGTTAGCATAAAACTTCATGTTAAATGAGAAATATAAATATAATGAAAAATAAATTTCAATAAGAATATCAGGCTATAATTTCATTTTCTAAAGACCAATGTTTATTTTGCCAATACAAACTGAAAGAAAGGAGCAATCTAAGTAAAGAAGAAAAGAAAAGGGAAAGAGGAGAATGGAAAGAAGACAAAAAAGGAAAGAAAAAAGTCAAGGTATGTGATCTTAAAAGTAAATTATTTGCTCATTAACATAACAAAAAGCAAAAAAAAAAAAAAAGAAATTTGCCCCCTCTAGTGTGTGTTTTAACGGAAAACAAACTGTCTAAAACTTTCCCCAACTTCCACAATATAAACTTAACAGTAGACTGAAAGAGGATCCTGAGCTCTTTATTTTGTCTAACTTTCCATAGAATTTTACTGAAATGTTTAAGTAAAATGTATTACAGTTAAAGTACTACCATTCAAAGGAAAGCTTATGTCTTGAACAGGAAAGATCAAAGATTAGATTCAAAGTGTTTTTCATAAAAATTCATCTAATTGTGTTCACATCATTTTAAAATTCTGAATTCACCTAATTCACTGTAAAACTCCTTCCAATAAACATACTGTATAATTTTTATAAGGAAGCACCATGGCCTTAGTTCAAAGACATGACAGGGGAGGGATGGGGACAAAATATGTTGAAACAGAAAAACAAAACATTTATTCCTTCTTCACCCTCTTAGACAAAAAGGCTCATCTCTACCCTACATGGACAGCTTTTAATAGCTGAGAATTTGCTTTCATTCCACATCTTCCTCTACGCCCACCCACCTACCCACCCACCCAAACCTTCATACAGACTGTCTCCCTTGACTTTGGCCTTTTGTGTACTACATATTAATTTGCAGACTTTTAACTGCTTTTGGTGCCTAGAATCATTTTCTGCAATTGAAAACTGAGAATATCAAAAGTTGTTTCTCATAATGAATAAATAAATACATAAATGGTAATAAGTGCTCTCCTTAATGAAAAATAAAGGCCAAATTTGTATCAAGAGAGTAACATTACTGAAACCAAAATAGCTAGAGAACAGTAAGTCTAACATCCAAATGTCGAATTAAAAAGAATGATGTGAAGGGAGGGAAAATATGGTGAAATGATCAAAATACAGTCCTTACATGAAAAGGTCTAGATTGAGTAGATAAAGGTAATGGCAATAGTAAAGAGATAATTAAAGTAGCAAAAACACTTGATATATCTGAGAGAATCAGATATGACTCAAAGAGTTTATTAGCATCTTTAACTAATCTATAACAGAGACAAAAAAATTTGAGATTGTTTCAAAACTGTTATCTTCAGGTTCATGCATTTACTAATGACTTACCTAAAGTGACTACTTTTAGCATTAAGGAGGATAGTATTGATCTGGGGGTGGTGCTATCTTCTACTGTAACTATTATTTCAGATTCTTTATCTTAATCTGTTAAGAGGAAATTAAGTATTGAAAGGATTCAATAATCAGAGTTACCAACTTGAATACTAAAATCCCCATGTCAGTTTCATATGGTCAGTCTCAAAAGGACATCAATGAATCACTGAAGGATGCACCTATTGTCCTATAAGCAAATGTAATAATGATTTTTTAAAATGCCAACAGTGCAACTACATTTGTTAATAGCATGTCCAGTCTGTTGTCTAACTGCTAGTAAAATTCAATACAAAATATGTGTGTGTGATAAGAAAATACACAAAAATACACCAACATTTTTCTTCCTTTTCCCTTCTGATGTTTAGAAAATTTGCGAACTGGTTTAAACCAAAAGGGGTAAAGGAATGAAATTATTCCTTCAGGCTTAGAGGATTCTGTGCCAAGTTTCATTTCTGGCTACATATTTCTAACCAAGTTCAAGATCCCTGAAAAGGAATACATAAAAGAGAAAATATCCCTTTAACCTCAGTGGAATGACATTAGTAAAGGCTGCTATGGGAAGAGAAAGGCTTTTGCCCTGAGATGGGTGTGCTCCTGGTGTTTGGTTTCCACTGAGAGGATGCCTGCTCTCTCAATGAATCTGAAGTACCTACTAGGATGAGGTAATGGCTGTGCCAGTTTCACTGGGTCATGCTCTTTCAGCACATTCTTTCCCTGTCTCCTCCCTGAGAAGGTGCTGTAAACAAGTCATCCTGAGAGGTGCTGCAGAGAATGAACAATCCTAAATTCAAAATTCTTGAAAACACTGGCCCTCCTATGGCAGTATAGAAGACTAAAGCAGCCATAAAGAAACAGGTTATTTGATTAGAAAAGGGAAAAAAATAAGAGAGGAGATAAATAAAATAAAAATTAATATAACTAAAATATTATTTTATAAAAGGTAGCTCTATTTTTAAATTACTTAGATCTTCAGATGTGTGTTAAGCAATTTTCTACTTATGGTTTTAAAAAAGAAAACTTTGGACATTAAATAATATTGTAGCAAACTGTAAAATATGAAAAATTAAAATTAAATAAACCACAGATAAACAGCATGTACCACTGATCCTAAAGCCACAATGGCTCTGATAATATACAAATCATGAATGCAGATGTACACCTATGATAATCAGATGAAATTACCAGGAAATCAACATAAACATACACACACAAATATAATAATCCTTACTGAATGAGAAAAATGCCTTTTTTCTTGAAGGAAGGGTTCTTTGTGTGCATGGGGCTGGGGCTTTTGGAACATCCATGATTTGCAAATTCACAAGGATTTCTACCAAAATACACCTATTGCCCGGTTAAAGGGCTGCTTTGTGTTATATTCTGATGGAAGGCTGTAATCTTTTCCCTGGGCATAAAATTAAAAGCATTCTAAAGGGCTTCTATTTATTCAATCTATTTGACTGCCAAAAAAAATCATAATTGTCCACAGTGAAATGACATAGTGAAAGAACTATGCTTTTGAACTGGGCTGGTACCTGCAGCTCATGCATGGGACATTTTGCATAATGTGGCTCACATAGAAGGCTTTGTTCTCCATCGCCTCACTGTGGCTGCAAACCTCAATTTCAGTTTGCAATCATTTCCTTTTCTAGACTGATCATTTTAAAATAAATTATACCTTTAACATTTAAATTAGTTCCTTACCAACAGTCATCAATCCCTTTGCCTCACACCCAAAATTATATACCACCCAACAATATTTTTTTGTTTTGCACTACAGATTTTATTCACAACATAATTTCCAAACCCTCAAATACAATTTTAAAAAATCAGTCTCTTAAGTACCTATTTCCTTTTGTAACATGTATATAGTGTATTATACATTTGTGTGCATACTTGTGTGTTTAGGCATTTAAACAAAAACCCTTTACACCGGACTCAATTTTAAAGCGTCTATGTCCTGGAAGCATTGTGCTAAGAGCTTACGACAGATGGCACACAGCAATTGTCACAAACGGGCTTGTTGCTAATGAAAGCTTTTTATTTTCTGACAAAAATCCTGAAGTCCGGATGCCAGGCAGAATAACATTAATTTCCAGTTTTCAAGGATTTTTTTTCTGACTCCATCCATACCCCTCCCCCTATACACACCCAAATATACAGCTCCCCACTCCTAGCCCCCCACACACTCTTTCTTGAAATTTCCATCCTTAAACAAAAGACGAGGTGGGGGAAGGCAGGCAGCCAGCACTGCAGTCCTCCTCTCCCCACCAAAAAAGCCTTTTAAAAAGAAAAGGAAGAAAAGAATAGATGCACTGTAGATTCAGAGGTCCACCCCCAACGTTTAAAAAGAAAAACGACTGTGTGGAAGCCTAACCAGACTCATTTCTTCGTGCCCCGCCCTCCAACACCACCAGGCATTTATTTTTCATTTTCCTACAATTATAAATATCAGTCCTCCTCTCCCAGCTGTTTCTGAAGGAATTACAGAGAAACATGATTTGAAATGGACAAGGCTTCCCTCACTCACTCACTTCCCAGTGTGCAGTTCTCTGCAGCTGGATGAACAAAAAAATCCCCTACCTCGATTTCCTATTTTCCACTATCTTTGTAGAATCCACTCCCCTTCTTTCCACAGCGCAGGTAATACTGGCTTTCGATACACGTATTCTAACCTGGCGTAAGTTTTCAGTTGTTTCAAAGTGGTACCTAACAAGCTCACTCGCTCTTCTACGAAGCCAGGGCTCAGGTACCAGTAGCGTCCGGCCCCCTGCTCCGCAGTGACACCTGGAGAGGACAGGCCCGAATCTTCCGCCAGGTGCACGGCTGGCCACTCGACCAACTACCAGACTGCCTGCTGCGAGTCCCAGAGGACGAGACACAACCCCTCCCCATTCCTATCTCTTTCTACTCAGAGACCGAGGCAAAAGGAGAGGCGCCCTACATAGAGCCAGAGGTGGGGACGGTCTCTTACCTGGGCGCAGAAACTGGATGCACCCGCGGTCGCGACTGCCACCGCTCACGGACTTAGCGCCCTCCGGAGAAAAAGGAGAGGGGTAGAAGGGTTAGGGGAAGAAGGGGAGGGGGGGGAAAAAGAAGGAGAAGGAAGAGAAAGAAGCGGAAGGGAAGTAAAGGAAGAGAGGATGCTGCTGCTGCTGCTGCTGCTGCCCAGAGCCCGCGCAGCCCGAGCGCCCGCCCCAGACTGAGAGCGGCGCCCCCAGCCGGCTCCCAGCGCAGCAGCTCCGCCTCGGCCCCTCCTCCCCGCCCCGCGCAGGTCCCGCCCCGCGCAGGTCCCGCCAGACTCCGCGAGCCCGTGGGCGGCCGCGGCGGGGCTGGCGCTGCCACCGCCGCAGTGTCCGGGAGGGGGAGCACGACCGCTTCGCCTTCTGCCGCAGCCGCCGGCCGCCAGGCGGGGACCGCGAGGTGGGAGCCTCGGAGAGCCCCGCCCAGCCGCTGGCCCGGGCCTTCTCCAGAGCCCTGGTCCCCTCCCGCGACAAAGTGAGGCCAGTGCCCGGGCGGCGGGACAGGCGGGCCTTCCTCACTGGCGTCCTTGGAAAATCGGGGGCAACAGCTTTAGTCTCTCGGGAGCAACCTCCGCAGACCCCCTGCTTCCCTCCCCTGTGTCGCTATGAGGCGGGGTTGCCAGTGGCACCTCACCAGGAAAGCTCACTGGCCTCGCCTCACAAACCCAACCACAGGTGCATCCAGAAAAGACAAAGGAATGTGGGGCGCTTGAGAACATAGAACAACTCTTGTCAGCACTAAAGGAGCAATGGCTGAGGGAGTAGAGAATTCTAGACCCAGCTCTGTCACGAATTAGATTCATTCATTTATTGAGTCAACGAATGTTTATTGACACCTACTATGTGTCAGGCACTCTTCTAAGCATTAGAAACATCAGTGACAGACCTTTCCCACAACCCTAATAAGAAAGATCCCCTCCCTTTATAGTTATTACATTCTAGATAGCCAGACGTATGCTCTAGAGACAGTTCACTTAATCTAACTCTCAGTGTATTCATGTGTCATATGAGAACTAAAAATGACAGCCCAATTCTCTTATGCTTAAAAAGATAATGAATATGAAGGATCTTTGAAGAATGATACAAATACAATGAATTAGAAAGCACGGAAAGTGTTGACCTTGAAATATCACCCTTAAAAAAATTGCCTCTTAAATGCTTTTGAAAGTGAAATGACCACCTGAGAAAACAAATGATTCTTTACCATTCGTACTAAGGAGTATGAATCTTCATAATCAGAGAGCAGCATTTTATTGTAAGTAAGAAAAGTAAGATGCAACTTAGAATTACTTCGAGTGTCTATATCAAGTACTGACAAGGTGTTTTTAAGGTCAGCCAACATACTGAGGTGTGGCTTGTACAGTCTTCACAGTGCTGATGAAACAGCAGCCATAATGTGGTTCTGTCACTTAAATTAACCACAGAATCTTAGAACCTAGAACATTAGAGTTGATGTTTTAGGCAGCTGGTCTAATTTCCTCCATTTTCAGATGGAAAGAGACCCAATGGTGGGAGCCTGCAAGGATTAGAAACCATCACAGAGGAAGCTGTGAAAGCCTGCCCTCCCCAGTCACACCCAGTGCTCTGTGTCCTGCCTCCCCCGCTCTGCTTCATACCATGTGCCAGTGACGCTTGCAGTGAGTTTGGAAGTATCAAGGCACACCCAGGAGCTGGGAGGTTGGAGGAGTTGATGCTCCTCCTCGGAAGATGGCCTTACTGAGAAGGAGGTCTTAGGAGACTAGGAAATCATAGACAGTATGTGGATGGGAGGAAGGAGTAGGCATGCTACCAGAGTGTTAGCAGCTGACATTCATGACCAGGCATGCAGGCGCAGGTGCTCAATGAGAGTAATTTTCCAGGGCCAGGAGCGGTGGCTCACACCTGTAATCCCAGCAGCTCAGGAGGGAGTATCGCTTGAAGCCAGAAGTTTGAGGGTGCAGTGAGTTATGATTACACCACTGCACTCCAGCCTGGGTGACAGAGTGAGACCCTGTCTCTAAAAAACAGCAATAAAAAAGACATTATTTCTCTGATAGTTTAAAGTACAGTGTTCCTCAGCACTTTTTGTTTTTGTTTGTTTGTTTGTTTGTTTGTTTTTTCCTCCACTTTAAGATTAGCTGAGGCAGCCAAACTCTAATGGCTTTTCTCTTTGGGGAACCTGGTCCTTATATGGGAGATTGCCTCCTCTCGACACACATCTTAGAGTTCTTTCAGAAAAATAGCATCTATATGTTGTAATTCAATAGAGAGAATTTAATATGGGGAACAAATTACAAAGGATTCAAATGACTAAAAAGCCAACTAGGGGATGATGAGGCAACACGATGATAGTTACTAGCAGGAAAGTACTACCACTCTCAGGCTGGGGAGTGCTAGAGAGGAGGCTTTACCAGGAATGAGGAGCACAAGCTACATTAAAGGAACTGAGACCACAGTGGAGATGCTTACTGGGAGACAGATAATGCTGGAGGGTCCTCCAAAAGCTGAGAGTGAAAAGAAATATTGTGGCCCTCCTTTAACCTGTATTTCAAAACCCTGTCATTGGGTGAACCTAGAAGAAAGTCAGTTGACAAAGCAGCCTAAGAAATACAGTTTGCAGGAGTCAGTGCCCTGGGATGTCAAACAACTTTAGGAGGGGACTCCATATGTTTAGGCTTCTGGTTTAAGGAGGGATCTTTGTGTTGAAGTGAACTTTTTTTTTTCCCTCAGCAAAGCATCCCTTCCTTAGAGTAATGATCCTTTTCATATGATTCCCCATATGCTAGTAAAATGTGTGCCTCTCTTCTCTTTCTCAGAGGTGGACATGTGACCCTGGCTAACTCTATAGTAGAACCTGTTCTCCTAATGTATAGTGATTGATACAGGGTGGTCATATGTCCCAAATATTTCCAATCAGGCTTTTTTCCATGAGATGTGTCATATGAACAATAGTGAATCGGATGGTATAGGTATAGAGTTGTCAGTGACTGTATTTCCTTCCATGCAGAAAAGCAATGCTGAGAGATGGAGAAAGAACACTTGAAAGACTCCATGGATCCTGCTACGTCTCAAGGTAGAAATGCCATTTTTCAAGCCAATAGATTTTTGTTTCTTTTCTAAGCTTGCTGTAGTTGGATTCCTGTCATTTTCAACTGAAGAAGCCTTGACTAATACAGTGCTGGACTCCAAAAAGTAAACCACAGATAGAAAGAGCCTGCCAATATTGATTTCCACAATTACTTGTCTTGTCTTCAGGCTAAATTCTTGATTTGTATTTATTTGGCCCGGAGGATTACGTACATAAACAACCATACCCTTTTCTCAGGGACAGGACTTCTGATAGTTTCTCAGTCAGAAAACCATCAGAATAAATGTATTTCTACTGATTAGAGAAAGGTCTACTGGTATATAGGAAGTAATGAAACCTTCTCCCCAGAGAGTCAAGGAGTAGGTGAGCCTTTGAGGAGGTTGTACTGCATAGTGTTAAGAGCACCAGACTTCAAGTCAGATCTGAGGGCCCATATTTGCTGTTCCCTGCTTGTGTGACCTTGGGTACATCTCTCTACCATTTTGAACCTCAATATTTTTATTAGCAAATGAGGAGACTCAACCACATGCCACCTAAGGTCACTTTAGTTTTATAAAGCTATGAGAAATTATAGCTCAGCTGAGGATTTGCTTATTAAGTTGATGAACATTAATTAAGTGGCCCCTAGAGAAACAATGAGCAAGGTTCATACATACACAAACAATGCTGATACAATGTGCAGCCCATCATAGAAAAGATGTGGATGCAAGATGCAGGTATGACACTGAAGAGCAGACACACATAAGTCTTTTACCTTCTATGTGTGAAATGGGCTTTTTGTGTTTTGTTTTTAATTTCTTGACCTTTTCTCTATGGATGACTAGAGGCACATCTATCAAAATTTCTATCATGTTTCACAAGTTTTGACCATTGCAATGGCTTTAAAATTTAAAAATGAGCTTTGTAGTATGGTCTCCCATTTCCAATTCTATGCCTAGTTCATTGAACAGGTGGTGAAATTACCATTGACTTCTTCTGGACCATAAATGTATCATTCTGTTCAAAAATTTTGTTGAGGTATAATTTACATTCAGTTAAAAGCACAGATCAGAAATGTTCAATCTACACCTTCAGCCCCAACCCATAGAGGTAACTACACTTTTGATTATGTTTCTCTGTGGCTTCACTTTGCATATTCTTGGAATTCCTATAAAAGGATTCAGACAATATATATTATTCTACATCTGGCTTCTTTTGCACACATATTACTTTTGAGATGTATTCTTTATTTTGTAAGTTATCTGCAGTTTATTCCTTTTTATTGTTCAGTAGTATTTTATTGTATGGATATACCATATTTTGTATATCCATTTTCTAATTAGTGGACATTTGGGGTTATTTTCAGTTTCTGCTTGTTAGTAATAAGGTTGTTATGAACTTTTATATAAGATTTTTTGTGGATATGTTGTTGTTTCTTTTAGTCATATACCCAAGAGCGAAATTTCTGGGTCGAATGGTAGATATATGCTTGACATTTTTTTTTTTTTTTTTTTTGAGACGGAGTCTCGCTCTGTCGCCCAGGCCGGACTGCGGACTGCAGTGGCTCAATCTCGGCTCACTGCAAGCTCCGCTTCCCGGGTTCACGCCATTCTCCTGCCTCAGCCTCCCGAGTAGCTGGGACTACAGGCGCCCGCCACCGCGCCCGGCTAATTTTTTGTATTTTTAGTAGAGACGGGGTTTCACCTTGTTAGCCAGGATGGTCTCTATCTCCTGACCTCATGATCCACCCGCCTCGGCCTCCCAAAGTGCTGGGATTACAATGCTTAACATTTTAAGAAACTATTGAAGTATAAGTTTTCAGTACTGCTGAGTAGACTTTTACTAGACCTTACCATCCCCCAGATAACATCTCCTGTAGGGGTGAAACAACCAAAACCAGAAAGCACTGGAATGTAAACAAAACAGGCATATTTTAAAGGGGAATCAACGCTTGGAAGAAGGAATGGCACATTCAATGCCTTTTAACTTGAGAGAAGATTGCACACAGTATTGCCAGGGGCAAACAGTCATAGAAAAATTACAGTTTTCCTGAAATAGAGTATAGAGTTTGGGACAATGTCCTGAGATGGAAAGTGAAAATAGAAGACTGAAAAGAAGAGACACTGGAATAGTCCAAATTTCTAGGTATAATCTACGCACAAATCTCCACTTTATCCCTGAATCATGTGTATATGGAACAGATTCAATGCTTCCCAGTTAAAGATTAAAACAAACAAAAACAATAACCAAATACTGAGCTGAGGTTTGAGTTGCTACCCGAGTGACAAATGTTGCAATGTGAATCTAACCAAATTAAATGAGTAGTAAAACAAAAACTTCAACACTGGAGTGATATAATGAAATCCAGAGTCTTCACAACTTAACATCCAGGATACCACCGAAAGCTATTCAACATTCAAAGAACCAGGAAAATGTGGCCCAGTTTCAAGAAAAAAAGACAATCAACAGAAATTAATTTTTAGATGACCCAGATGTTGGAATTAATAGAAAAGTGTTAAAATCAGCTACTATAAATATACTCAATTAAGTAAAGGAAATATAAGTGAAAAAAATAGAGAATTTCAGTAGAAAAACTAAAATTATTGAGAAGAACCAAATTTCCTTGATGACCAATGATGCCAATATGTCTCTGTGTTCTTGTTGGTTATTCTTGCATCAGATTTTGTGTTGTGAAGTGTCTGTTCTAATATTTTGCTAATTTTTAATTGGGTTGTGTATCTTCCAATATACAAGGAATATATAAGGAATATATTTTGATAATATTTTCCTCCAATTTTTTGTTTGCATTTCATTTTCTAAATGTCATCTTTTGGAAGTGCGAACTCCTTTAATTTTGATAAAGCCCTATTTCCTCAATCAAATTTTCTTTTTATGCTTTGTGTTTTTTTTGGTCATATCTAAGAAATCTTTCATTTACTCCAGAGCTACTTTTTTTCTGTTCTCTTCTAGAAATTTGATAGTTTTAATTTCTATGATCTATTTCAAATTAGTAGATATGATATAAGGTATTACTGATTATTTTTTTCCGTATAGATATCAGTTGTTCCAGAATTATTTTGTGAAAAGACCATCCTTTCTTCATTGAATGACCATAACATCTTTGTCAGAAATCAATTGGTCATATATATATAGGTCTGTTCCTGAACTCTGCCATGTCATTGATTCTTATGACAATTTCACATTATTTTGATTACTCTAGCTTTATGGTAAATCTTATAATCAGACATGGCAAGTAATACAATCTTATTCTTCTTTTACAAATTTCTTTTGGCTCTTGTAGTCTTTTGCATTTCCATACAAATATTGATGTCAACTTGTCAATTTAAGTAAAAATTATGTTTTCTTTGGAATTTTCTCAGGTCTGTAGATCAATTTTGGCAGAATTGCTGTCTTAAAAATATTGAGTCTTCCAATCAATGA
This sequence comes from Homo sapiens, assembly GCF_000001405.40. Classification (NCBI taxonomy): domain Eukaryota; kingdom Metazoa; phylum Chordata; class Mammalia; order Primates; family Hominidae; genus Homo; species Homo sapiens. The sequence continues at coordinate 209,417,740 of NC_000002.12, read as the reverse complement.
ACATGGTATAGATCTCTATTTAATTAGATTTTTTGAAGTTTTTGAAAAATATATACATTATTAATAAGCTTTATTTCTTAAAGCAGTTTTACATTTAAAGAAAAACAGAACAGAAAGTACAGAGAGTTTCCATGCATTTCCTTTCCCCTGCCCATGGTTTCTCCTACTATTTGCATCTTGCATGGGTGACGTACCTTTGTTAAAATTGAGGAACCAATATTGAGGCATTATTATTAATTAAAGCTCACAATTTATATTATGGTTCACTCTTGGTATTGTACAGTTTTGTGGGTATTGCCAGATATATAGTGTCATGTGCCCATCATTGTGGTATTATACAAGATATTTTCACTGCCTTAAAAAATACACTGTACTCCATTTATTCCTCCCTACAGTCTTTCAATACCCCACAAATGTTATATAGTTGAAATTATGTGGTATATAGCTTTTCTTCTTTCATTTAACAGTAAATATTTAAGATTCCTCATACCCTTTCATGGCTTGATAGCTCATTTTATCACTAAATGTTATTCCATTGTATAAATGTCCCATAGTTTGTTTATCCATTCAGCTATTGAAGTACATTTTATTTGCTTCTAATTTTGGCAAGCACAAAGTTGCTGTAAACATTCATGTTCAGGTTTTTGTGCTGACATAAGTTTTCAACCCATTTGGGTAAATACCTGAAGCACAATTTCTGGATTGTAGGGTAGATTATGTTTAGCTTTGTAAGAAACTGCCAAACTGTCTTCCAAAGTGGCTGCACCTTTCCTCTGGTGATGAATTAAAATTCCTTTTGTTTCATGTCCTCAAGAGCATTTGCTGTTGTCAGTGTTTGAATTTTACCTGTTCTAGTAGGCATTAGTGGTATCTCGTTGTTTGAATTTGCAGTTTCCTAGTAACATATAATTTTGAGCATCACCTTATATGCTTATTTGCTGCCTGTATATGTTCCTTGGTATAGTAGTTATTCAAATATTTTACCCATTTTTTAAATTACATATTTTCTTATTGTTGAGTTTCAAGAGTTTCTTTATATTTTGTATTCAAGTCCTTTATCGAATATGTGTTTCACAAATGTTTTCTCCAAATCTGTGGCTTACCTTTTCATCTTCTTAATAGTGATATTCACAGAGAAGAGCTTTTTAATCTTAATGAAGTCCAATTTATTAATTTGTTTTTCATAGATTGTCTTTTAGTTTTGTATCTAAAAACTCATTACCAAGTACAAGGTCACAAGGATTTTCTCTTATGTTATCTATTAAAGTTTAATTGCTTTGTGTTTTACATTTAGGCCTATAATTAATTTTGAGTTAATTTTTGTGGAAGAGGTAAGATTAGCATCTAGATTCATTTTTTTGCTTTCACATGTCCAATTGTTTAAGCATCATTTGTTGAAAAAATTATCTTCTCTCCATTGTATTGCCTTTCTTTCTTTGTCAAAGATCAATTTACTATATTTGTGCAGGTCTATTTCTGCATTTTCTATTCTGTTCTATTGGTCTATTTGTCTGTTTTGGTTTGTTTGTTTTTGCCAGTACTGCACTGTCTTCATTACTATAGTTTTATAGTAAATATTAATATTGGATAGTGTCAGTCCTCTAACTTGTTCTTCTACTTACACATTGTGTTGGACATTCTGGTTCTCTTTTCCATATCACTGTAGGATAAGTTTGTAGATATCCACAAAGTAACTTGCTGAGATTTTGATTGAGATTGCATTTAATTTACATATCAAGTTGAGAAGAACTGAGATATTGACAATATTGAGCCTTCCCACATTCATTTATTTAGATCTTTGATTTCTTTCATCAGGGTTTTATAGTTATTCTCATATATATCTTGTACATAATTTGTTAATTTAAACCTAAATATTTCAGCTTTTTGGTGTTAATGTAAATGGTATTATGTTTTTAATTTTTAATTTCAATTGCCCATTGCTGGTGTATAATAATGCGATTGATTTTTGTATATTCACCTTGTTACCTGCAATCTTGCTATTATCTCTTAATAGTTCCAGAAGTTTTATTGTTGTTTGTTCATTCTTTGGAATTTTCTACATAGACGAACATGTTACCTGCAAATAAGGATAATTTTTTTCTACCTTTCTAATCTGTGAGTTTTAATTTACTTTTCTTGTCTTATTGCATTAGCTAGGACTTTTATTAAGATGTTAATAGGAGAGATGAGAAGGATATCCCTACCTTGTTTCCAGTCTTAGGGGGAAGTATCTAGTTTCTCTCTGTTAAATATAATGCTAGATGTAGGTTACTTGTAGTTGTTCTTTATCAGGTAGTGAAAATGTCTTTTTATTCCTAGTTTTCTAATGATAAAAATGAATGGAGGCTTGATTTTCTCAAATATTTTTCTACACTTATTGATGTGATCATATGATTTTAACTTTTTGACCTCTAGACCCTGCTTTTGCTGCATTCCACAAGTTTGATAGGTTATATTTTCATTTTATTTAGTTCAAAATATTACTTAATTTCTTCTCATACTTCTACTTTGGCTTATATATTAGGATAAATCATTGAGTTAGGTTTTCTCCTCATAATATAAGCATTAAAATGATACATTTTTCTGTAGGCACTGCATTATCTACATTTCCCAAATTTTGATATGCTGTGTTTTCATTATAATTTACTTCAAAATTTATTATTATTCCTTTGTGATTATTTAATTTGAATATACATGTACATTTGAAATACGCTAACTGTGATGGTTAATTTATGTGTCAACCTGACTGGGGTAAGGGATGCCCAGAATGCTAGAAAAAACATTTCTAATGTTTTTGATGTTTTAAATGTCTGTAAGAATATTTCCAAAAGAGACTACCATTTGAATTGATGAATTGAGTAAAGAAGATCACCTTCACCAAGGTGGATGGTCATTATCTAATACATTAAGGACCCGAATACACAAAAAGGTAGAGAAAGCACAAATTCACTTTCTCTTCTTCAGCAGGGACATTCACCTTGTTCTGCCTTCAAAGATACATGTTCTGGGACTTAAATCAGTGCCCCCTTTTGTGGTTCTTAAGCCTTTGTGCTCAACTGGAAATTACACCATCAGCTTTCCTGGTTTTCAGACCTTCAGACTGGGACTAAATTACAACACTTGCTTTCCTTGTTCTCCAGCTTGCAGATGACAGACCATGGGATTTTTTGGCCTCTGTGATCATATGAGCCAATTCCCATAATAAATAAATAAAATTTTATATATTTGTTTAGATTATATATTGGTTTAGAATATATATTCTATAATTTAAATTTAAATTATAAATTAAATTAAATTATAAATTTATATTATAATTATATATTTATATTATAAATTAAATATAAATTATAAATATATTTATTAAATTAAATTAAAATTTAAATTATAAATTTAATTCAATTGTAGCAGAAAGCATATTTCATATGATTTTTATTCTCTTATATGTATTGAGGCTTGTTTTATGGCCATAGGGTCTATCTTGACTAATATTCTATGTGATCCTAAAAATGTATATCAAAAGTTGACTTAAAATGGGTGAGATACCCAAATATAAGAGATAAAGTTTTAAAACTAGGAAAAAACATAGAAGAAAATATTTGTGATTCAAATTAGGCAAAAACTTCTTTGGTATGTCACCTAAAGGATTATCAAAAATGGAAAAAAATAGATATCTTTAATATTAAAAGCTTTTGCTCTCGAAAAGATTCCGTTCAGAAAAAAATTGGCAAGCCAAAAACTGGGAGTAAATACTTCCAAATCATTATGTCCTATAAAAGACTTGTATCCAGAAATTATAAAGAACTCTCAAACTTAATAATAAAGAGATAAACATCACATCCTACCCTTGCAAAAGGCAAAATATTTGAATAGACACTTTACCACAGAAGATATAGTAAAGGCTGTTAAGAACAAAAAAGGTGTTAATATCAGTAACCATTAGGAAAATGCAAATTCAAACCACAATGACATACCACAACATACACAATAGAAAGGCTACAAAAAAAAAAAAAAAGAGAGAGAGAGAGAGACAATATCAAGTACTGATATGGGTGGGAAGAAAACTGGAATTCTCATACATCACTGGTAAGAGTGTAAGATTGTACACCCACATCTTAGTCTGTTTTGTGCTACTGTAACAGAATTTCTGAGACTGGGTAATTTATAAAGAAGAAAGATTTATTGCTTACAGTTCCGGAGTCTGAGAAGTCCCAAGTGGAGAGGCTTGCATCTGGTGAGGGCCTTCCTGACACATCATTCTCTACCAGAAAGCAGAAGGGCAATATCACACATAGGGGTTGGGGTGGAGGGTGAGGTGCTGAACTCTTTTTTCATCAGGAACCCACCCTCTTGATAATTAACCCACTCCTGCAATAACAGCATTAATTCATTCATGAGGGCAAAACCTTCATGAGCTAATGACCTCTTAAAGGTCCGACCTCTCTGCACTGTTGCATTGGAGATTAAGTTCCCAACACATGAACTTAAGGGGCCATACTCAAGACATAGCGATCTACTCTAGGAAGCAGTTAGTAAGCTTCTTAAAAATTTAAACATGCACTTGCCATATGACCTAAGTATTCTACTCCCAGCCATCTACCCAAAATAAATGAAAACATATGTCTACATCAAGTTGTTCATCTCAATGTTCATAGCAGCACAATTCGTAATAGCTGAAAATAGGAATTTATCAAAATGCCCATGAAGTAGTGAATGAATAAATAATTTGTGATATATTTCTACACTAGAATAATGCACACAATTTAAGGGACAGAATACTGATACATGCAACAAGTGGGATAAAATTCCAAGAGATTTTACTAAGTTAGAGAAATCAGATGCAAAAGACTACTTACTACATGAATTCATTCGTATGAAATTTAAAGAGGCTAAACTGTTGAAACAAAATGGATATCACTGGTTGCCTGAGGCCTAAGAGTGTGAGCAACAATTCACTATAAGCCTCATAAGAGAACTTATTGTGGTCATCCTAGTGTTCTAAGACCATATTATTGTTATGGGGGCACAATCACCTAAACCTAGTAAAATGCGTCAAACTATACACTAACAATAGGTGAATTTTATGGTGTGTAAATTATATCCCAATAAATCTGTAAAGAAACAATATGTACCTACTGCTGTTGAGTGTTTAAAACTGCCAGTTGTATAAATTTGCTTAATATTGTTTGTATCAATATTCTTACATATTTTCTTTTTATTCCAGCCCAACCCCTGTGCTTTATTCCATTTATAAGTGGAGGCAAGAGTGTTGAAATATCCGACCAAAATTGTAGATTTGTCATTTTTCTTTTCCATTCTATTAGATTTTCCATCATGCATTTTGAACCTCCAAAATAATATATATATGCAAGTAGGATTTTCTGTCTTCTTGCTGAATTGTTCCCTGTAAAATGGTTACTATCCCTCCTTTCCAGGTAATATTGCTTTTCTGAAGTTTACTTTGTGTAATATTAATAAAATAATTTCAGATTTCTTTTGGTTAAGATTGACATAGCTTATCTTTTTCATGTTTTACTTTTTAAATTTTGTTATAATTCAGATATCACAAAATTCACTCTTATAAAGAGTACAATCCAGTGAGGTTTAGCATATTTACAGTGGTACAACCATTGCCACGAATTTCCACATTTTTATCACCACAAAATGAAACTCTACAACCATTAGCAGTCCACTTTCCATTCTTCCTTCTCCTCAGTCTCTATGGATTGGCTTATTTTGGACATGTCATATCAATGGAAGCATACACCATGCAGCGCTTTATGACTGACTTCTTTTACTTGGCATAATATTTTCAAGGCGCATTCATGTTGTAGCAAGCATAAGTACTTCATTCCTTTTTTATGACTCAGTCGTGTTCTTTTGCATGGCCATAACACTTCTGTTTATCTGTTGATAAAGAGTTGATGCACATTTGGGTGGTTTCCACTTTTGGGCTATTGTGAATTGTGCTGCTAAGCACAGTACTATACAAGTAGTTTTATGGACATTCTCAATTCTTTTGTGTGTATACCTAGGCATGATATTGCTGGGTTATATTTTAATTATATTTTTAACAATTTGAGTAATTGCTAAAACTTTTCCCAAAACAGATACACCATTTTACATTTCCATAAGCAATGCATGAAGGTGTCAATTTCTCCACATTCTCATCAACACTTGTTATTGTCTTGTTTGATCATAGCTATTCTAGTAAGTGGGAAGTGGTATATTATTGTGATTTGGGTTTGTATATTCCTAATGACTAATAATGACTAATAATGTTGAGCATGTCTTCATGTGCTTATTGGCCACTTATATATTTTATGTGAAAAATTGTCTATCCTTTGCCTATTTAAAAAATTAGATTATCTATAGTTTTATCGTTAGTGTTCTTTACACATTTTGGATACTAATCCTTTATCAGACATATGATTTGCAAATATTTTCTCTGATTCTATGAATTCCCTTTTTCACTTTCTTGATTCTCTCCGTTATAACAAAAGTTTTCAATTTTTATAAAGTCCAATTAATTCATTTTTTTCTTTGATTGCTTGTACTTTTGATGTTATTTCTAAAATAATATTGCTTAATTTAAGGTCATGAAGATGTATACCTTTTTTCTTCTAGGAGTTTTATAGTTTGTACATTTAGGTGCTTGGTCCGTTTTGAGTTACTTTTTATAAGATATGAGATACGAGTCCAACTTCATCTTTTGCATGTGGATAACCAGTTGTCCCACCAACATTTGTTGAAGACGACTCTTTCCCCTATTGATTTGTCATGGCATACTCTTTAAAATCAGTTGACCAAAACTGTGAGGGTTTATTTCTGGACTCTCATTTCTATTCCATTGAGCTATGTGTCTATTTTTATAGGAGCAGCACACTGTTTTAATTACTGTAATTTTGGAGCAACTTTTAGAATTAGGAAGTGTGAGTCCTCCAACTTTGTTCTTTTTCTAGGCTATTCTGGCCACTTTAAGTTCCTTGCATTTCCATATGAATTCTAGGATCAGCTAGTCAATTTCTGTGACAATAACACAAAAAGGAAGTTGCAACTTTGATAAAGATTGCATTGAATCTATAGATCGGTTTGGGGGCATTGCTATTTTAACAATTAAATCTTCTAATCCATAAACACATGGTGTCTTTCCATTTATTTAGGTTTTTATTAATTTTTTCCATGTTTTCAGTATACAAATCTTATACTTCTTTATGCTTCTTTTGTTAAATTTATTCCTAAGTATTTTATTCTTTTTGATGCTATAGTAAAAGGATCAGTTTTCTTAATTTTATTTCTGGATTGTTTTTTGATAATTTATAGAAATTATCAACTTGATTGATCTTGTATTCTGCAAACTGGCTGAACTCATTTATAAGCTTCGATAGGTTTTTAAAAATACTTAGTATTTTCTACATTCAAAATCATGTCAGCAACTGGATATAAGTTTACTTCTTCCTATTTAATATGGAAGTCTTTATTATTTTATTTCTTGCCTAATTGCCCTGACTACAAATTTTCAGTACAATGTTGAATAGAAGCAGTGAGAGCGTACATACTTTTCTTGTTCCTGATCTTAAAAGTAAATACTTCAGTTATTCATCAGTAAGAATGATGTTAGCTGTGGGTTTTTCAAGAATATTCCTTATCAGTTGAGGAAGCTTCCTTCTATCCTGGTTTGTTAAGCATTTTTATCATAAAAGGGTGTTGAATTTTGATGCAGAAAATGCCTTTTCTGCATCAATTGAGATGATTATATGGCTTCTGTCCTTATTTTATTAAATTAGTTTATTATAATTGATTGATCCTCATATTGAACCAACTTTGCATTCCTGATGATTAATAAAACTTAGTTATCTGTTATTGGATTTGGATTGTTTGTTGAGGATTTTAATTTTATATTTATATTTCTAGTTTTATTAATTTTGAAATACAAAGTTTCTCTCTTGGAAAATTTAAAAATTTTTAAATTTTAAATTGATAAGTAAAATGTATATATTTTTGGTGTATAACATAATATTCTGATATACATATACATTGTAGAATGGCTAAATCAAGCTGATTAATATATGCACTATCTCACATACTTACTATTTTTTGGTATTGAAAACAGCTATATGTACTGTTGTAGCAATTTTCTAGTACACAGTACATCGTTATCAAACAATTTTTATCATCAATTTTGCCAATATCTGCCTTTTGTTTGAAGTGTTTAATCCATTTACATGTATTATAATTACTGGTAAGGTAGGGTCTATATCTACATGGTGCTATTTTTTTCTATATATCACGTTTTTTTGTTACTCTATTGTTCTGTTACTGACTTCTTTTTTGTTAAGTAGATATTTTATAGTTTACTATTTCTTTTTAGTTTGTTTGTTTTCAGACAGAATCTTGCTCTGTCGCCCAGGCTGGAGTGTGTTGGTGCAATCATGGCTCACTGCATCCTCAAACACTGGGCTCAAGTTATCATCCTTCCTTAGCCTCCCAAGCAGCTGGGACTACAGGTGCCCACCACCATGCCTGGTTATTTATTATTATTTTTTTTAGAAATGAGGGTCTCTCTATGTTGTCCAGGCTGGTCTTCAACTCCTGGGTTCAAGTGTTCCTTCCACTTCAGCCTTCCAAAGTGTTGAGATTACAGGCATGTGCCACTGTCCTTGGCCTGTGTGACATTTTTTATAGTCATTTCTTTTAGTATATTTGTCCCTTAATTTTTACTGGGTGCCAGTACAATAGTATTATAATCAACATCTGAGTTTATAGAAGTATAGCTCATATTAATACCACTTTAAGTTCAACAGTATAGTAAAATTTTGTTTCCGTATAATACCATTTTGTACTCCCTCGTTTGTTCTATTAGTGCTGTTCAGATTACATCTTTATAGATTGTATTCCCATCAACATGATTTATAATTACTGCTTTTGAAGTTCTTTTCAAATTAGAAAGGAGAGCAAAGAGTTACAGACAAAAAAATACATTTGTACTGTCCTTTATATTTACCTACGTAGTTACCTAATCCAATATTCTTGTATTTCAGGTCTACAGGTAACAAATTTTCTCAGAAATTTATTGTCTACATTTTTACTTTGCCTTTTATTTTAAATTACAATTTCATTGGTAATAACTTTTAAGATGACAGTTTCCTTTTTCTTTCAGCACTTTAATGATATATTTCCATTGTCTTCAGGCCTACATATTTTCTGATGAGAAGACTGCAGTCACTATTGTTTCCTCAATGCAATGTGTAATTTTTTTAATGGCTGCTTTTATAATTTTTCTTTATCAGTTATTTAATTATGATATTTCTTAGTATGCAGTTTATGTGTTTGTGTGTTCTGTGATATTTATCCTCCTTTGGGGTTTATGATCTTGATTCTTTGCATTTGTAATTTTCAGTAAACTTCAAAAATTTCTATCCATTACTTCTTTAATATTTAATTAATGTTTATATGGTATATAAAATATTAAGATACATGGCTATTATACTGCTTATTCATTTATCGTATGTCACTGAATGTTTCATATGTCACTGAGATGCTATTCAATAATCTTTTCAATCTTTTCCTTTCTGTATTTATGTTTTGAAAAAGTCTATTATGTCATTAGATTCACAATTTTTTCTTATGATTTAATCTGCATTTAGTCTCCAACAGTTAAGTTTTCATTTTGCATATGTCAAGAAGTTTCATTGTTTTTGACTAATTTCTCTCTTCATTAAATACTTAAATATTCACATACTGGCTGTTTAAAGATCTTTTTGCTGGTTGTATTTTCTATGTCATTTCCACTTATTTTTTCTTTTGAGTAATACTTTTCTTGGTTATAAGTCATATTTTCTTGCTTCTTGGCCCAGCTTGTACTTTTTTATTGGATGGTAGACATTCGTTTCTTGTTTTTTTTTTTTTTTGTTGTTGTTGTTGTTGTTTTTCTTGAGACAGGGTCTCATTCTGTCACTTAGGCTGGAGTGTAGTGACCCAATCAAGGCTCATTGCAGCATTGACCTCCTGGGCTCAGGTGGTCCTCCTGCTTCAGCCTCCCAAGTAGCTGTGACCACGTGTGCATACCACCACATTCAGCTAATTTTAAAAATTATTTGTAGAGGCAGGGTCTCGCCATGTTTCCCAGGCTGGTCTCAAATTTCGGGGCTCAAGCGATCCTCCCACCTCAGCCTTCTAAAGTGCTGGGATTACAGGTGTGGGCCACCACGCCCAGACTGTATTTTAAAAAATTGATATATCACAGTTGTACATATTTTGGGAGTATGTATGATACTTTGATACATGTATACAACATGTACTGATCAAATCAGCACAATTGGGATACCCATCACCTCAAACATGTATTTTTTCTTCGTGTTGGGAGCATTACAATTCTCTTCTAGCTATTTTGAAATATTTAATATATTGCTGTTGACTATAATTTCCCCACAGTACTATCAAACACTAGAAGTTATTCCTTTTATCTAACTGTATTTTTGTATCCATTAACCAACTTCTTTTCATGCTCTCTCCACTTGCCTTCCCATCCTCTCGTGACATTTAGTTCCAATACAAGCAATTAAATAAAAATTCTCTCTAAATACTGCTTTGTTGCATCCCACAAATTTTATGTTTTATTTTTCTTATCTTTAAGTTTAAAATGTAATTTCTCTTATAATGATAACTGTGAAAAATTTAAAATAGTGTGTTGCTTACTAGCCTTGTGATCTTATTTTTATTGATTTCTCATTCACTGTGGTCAGAGACTATACTCTGAATGATATTATTCAACCTGGCTTCCATTTACACAAGCTTGTGAAGGCATTTTTCCAGAAGTTTTATTGATTAAGTTTTACACTTACATGCATCATATACCTGAAATTAATGTTTGATGATATAAGTTGAGCCAAGTTTTTTTAAATCATAGATTTCTAATTTACCCAGTATCATTTATTGAAAACACTGTCCCTTTTCCAATGATTGAAGTGTCATTTTTATCATAATTCAGGGGTCCAGTGTGTATGTTTCAATTTCTCTTATGCCCATCTTGTTATTCTGGCTTATTTTTCCATTCTTGTAACAATAGCATACTATCCTAATTACTCTAGCTGTACTATACATTTTGATAATCAGTACAGTACATGCTCAGTTGGTTCTTTTTTTTCCTGAGATGGAGTTTCACTCTTCTTGCCCAGGCTGGAGTGTAATGGCGCGATCTCGGCTCACCGCAACCTCCACCTCCTGGGTTTAAGCAATTCTCCTACCTCAGCCTCCCGAGTAGCTGGGATTACAGGCATGGGCCACCACGCCTGGCTAATTTTGTATTTTTTTTTTTTTAGTAGAGACGGTGTTTCACCATGTTGGCCAGGCTGGTCTTGAACTCCCGACCTCAGGTGATCCACCCGCCTTGACCTCCCAAAGTGCTGGGATTACAGGCGTGAGCCACCACACCTGGCTGGTTCTTTTTTAAGCTTGTATTTTTACCTTTGGACCTATACATATTTACATAAAATTTGAAATTAGTATATAAAATTGACTGTATAGGTAATTTTGGGAAAATCCAACGACTTCATTTAGGTCTTTTTCAATACACCTGAATAAATATTTATAGTTTTATGTGTAGATGTATTACGTATCTTACAAGGGATAATTCATAGGTATTGAAATTTTTGTTTCTTTCAAAAAGGTATCACTTTAAAAATGTTATTTTCTAACCTTTCTTGCTGATATGTGAAAATACAATTAATTTTATACTGACTTTATATCCAGTAAAATTTCTAACTTCAATTTTTAATTTTAGTAGTTTTCCTGAGATTCTTTTAAAATGTTGCATTCACAATAATTTTATCTATCTTATTCTTTCTCTCCAGTCCTTTATAAATTTTACTTCTCTTGCTTGGCTTTTGTTACTGACTAGAACCTCCAGAATGCTATTGGATATAAGTCATAATATTGCACTCCTTTGTCTCATTTCTCATCCCAGGGAGAATGCTTTCAGTATTTTACCATTAAGTGGGATGCTTATACAGTTTTTTTTTCAGTAGACATCTTATATCAGATTAAAGATTATCTTTCATATTATTATTTTGCAAGCAATTTTAAAAATTATGCATAGATATTAAAATTTATCAAATACCTTTTACATATTTGTAATAGTTTCTCATTTCTGACATAAAAATTGCCACAAACTTAGTCACTTAAAACAATACAAATTTATTACTTTACAGATTTATAGGTCATAAGTCTGGCACAGGTCTTACTGGGTTAAAATCAAGGTATCCTCAGAGCTGCCTTCATAATGGAAGGTTCTAAGGCAGAACCATTTTCCTTGCTTATTTCAGTTGTTGGCAGGATTCAGTTCCTTGTAGTTGTATGACTGAGGTCTCCATTTTCTTGCTGGCTATAAGCTGAGGGTGACTTCTAGCTTCTAAAGACTACTGCACTTCTCAGCCTACAGTCCCCTTTATCAATCTTTAAAACCAGTAAAGGTGGGCAATTTTTCTCACATTGCATCTCTCTGACCACAGCTGAAAAAGATTCTTTACCTTTAGGAATTCATGATACAAGAATGAACCCATCTGGGTAATCTGGGATTGTCTCCCCATCTCAAGCTCCATAACCTTGACCACATTTGCAATGTAATTTTGCTATATAAGGTAACACATTGACAGGTCCTGGAGATTGGATGTAGACATCACTGGGGGATGGGGATATTATTCGCCCTGCTGCAACATCTATTGAGATGATGATATAATTTTTCATTTTAATTCTGTTAATGTGGTGGAGATTTACTGACGTTTGAATGTTATACCAATTTTGCATTCTTGCAGTGAAATCAACTGGCTTATGTTGTATCACCTTTGTTATATATAGAACTTGGTTCACTAATAATTTATTTAGGTTCATGGTTCATGTTCTTTGTTCTACATCTTTCCTTATGAATGAGAGAAATTGATCTGTCTATATTTTTTAATTACAGTATTCTTACCAAGTATTGGCATCAAGTTTATTGACCCTATAAAATCAATCTAGAAATTTTCTTCTTTCCTTTTTTTTTTTTTGAGATGGAGTCTCGCTGTGTTGCCCAGGCTGGAGTGCAGTGGCGTGATCTCAGCTCACTGCAAGCTCCGCCTCCCGGGTTCACACCATTCTCCTGCCTCAGCCTCCTGAGTAGCTGGGACTACAGGCGTCCGCCACCATGCCCAGCTAATTTTTTTTTTTTTTTGTATTTTTAGTAGAGATGGGGTTTCACCAAGTTAGCCAGGATGGTCTCGATCTCCTGACCTCGTGATCCGCCCACCTCGGCCTCCCAAAGTGCTGGGATTACAGGCGTGAGCCACCGCACCCGGCCACAGTTTTCTTCTTTCTTATGTTGGATGACTGGCATATATTTGATATTCTTTCTCTCATAAATGATTGGAAGAATTTGCTAGTGATGTCATCTAAGCCTGGTATTTAGTTTGCAGTTTTTTTATTATGAATTCAAATTATTTAATAAATATATTTAGATTTTATTTCTACCTGGGTGGCTTATAACATGTTGTGTTTTTCCAGATTAACCTTCTTTTCTAAATTTCCAAATTTATTGATATGACATTTCCCACAATACATTTATTATTATAAACTTTATTTTGATTCATAATATTGGTAATTTGTACTCTTTTATATTTTGTTTTCATCAGCTTTGCCAAGCTGCCATCATTTTGAAAGTTATTTTGAGAAAACAACTTTTGTCTTTGTTAAAACAGAAAATAATTGTTCTTTAAATATTGATTTTTTATCTTTCTTACTTTTAATACTTCCTTTTAGTTTCATATGCTATTTTTTTTTTGCTTCTTGATATGCAAGTTGAGATTCTTTTGTAATATATGCACTTAAGACAATACTTTCTCTCCAAGCACTGCGTTAGCTACATCTCATAAATATGTCATATTTTAATTATTATTCAGTTACAATTATTTATTTTCTATTGTGATTTTCTCTTTGACTCATGGGTTATTTAGTATTGTTTCATTTCTGAGCATTTGAATATTTTTAAGCTATTAGTTTGTTATTGATTGATAACTTTAGAAGAAGATTCTCTACTATTGCCAGACACTATACTCTTAGGGTCCAGCATATGGTTAATTTTGCAAATATCTCATTTGTACTTAAAAATAACATGTCATCTTTAGTTGTTGAGGTCTGTCTTTCATATATCTACTAGATCAATTTTTAATTTTGTGTTTTTCCATCTTCTATTTCCTTACTAATTTTTTTGTTATCTTGTTCTGTTAGTTTCAGAGGGTTGAATGCTGAGATTTCACACTGTGATTACCTAATACATTTTCTAGTTCCATCACTCTTTTGCTTTACTTATTTGAGGCTATACTAAACACATTCAAAATGATGATCAATTCTTGATGAATTGACTATTTTATAAGATATTTCTCTTTTTTATGGTTATGTCTCAAAGCCTACTTTGTCTCATGTTAGTATACATCTCCACCAACGTTCTTTTGGCTAGTGCTCACATGGCCTATCCTTCTTTTTCCTTTCATTCTTTTTACATTCTTTTAAGCCATGAGTAATTTGTATACAACATTGAGTTAAGTTTAGTTCCTTACCAGGTCTGAAAATTTTGGTCTGTTTTGTCTGTTTCCATTTACTGTAATTAAAATTATTGTGGGGTATAAATGTACCATTTTATTACTTATTTTATGTATGTCCAAACTGCTTTCATTTCCTTTTTCTTTTCTTTCTTGCCTTTACTTGGATTAATCAACCATTTTTGTTATTTCATGTCACCTCTTTGTTAGCTGCATATTCTTTTATTGGTCTTTTGATGGTTATGCTAGTGATTATGACCTGCATGTATCGTTTTATCATTTCATGGAAGTAAAAGGATCTTAGGACACTTTAATTCTATTTATATTTCCTCCTGATTCATGGGAAATGTTCATATATTTTATTTACCTGTTATTTTAAACTACAAAAGATCTTCTTATTGTTGTTTTATATCATCAATATTCAACTGGAGCTACCTTCACGCAGATATATATTGTATTTTGTGCAGCTGTTCTCATTCTTCTTGAAGGGAGAATTAGTGTACAATAAACTATTCTACAACTACCAGAAGCTGTAGTCTTTAACATTCTTTATTTATCACTAATTTTCAGTCAAATCCAGAGAAAATAAGAATACTTTACTCTGAGTTACCTTGCAGTAAATAAAAACCACTAGAAATAATTGAAGCATACAGATTTAATACTATAAAACAAATACTAACACATTTTCTGAACAGGTGACTTACGGGACTCAGGCCTGGTATTCAAATTAGAACAAGGAAAACACTTCTAGGTTGGTCAGTCAGGAAAGCAGCTTCCTCCATCACAACCAGAAAGCTGCAAATCATGAAGCTACTATTGTAACTGAGTAGAACAACAGTGTCCTAAATGAGATCAGTGATCAGGAAACTGCTTTTGCTCAGACCACTACCGCCCTGACAATCACTAAACTAGTGACAGATGCAGAAAAATCTGACATCCCCTCAACTGCACTTGTCAGCAGCAATAGCCAAGTCACCAGCCTTATTTCTTTCTAAATTGCAGGAATAGAGAATATAATTTCCAGAATTCCATATATAAAAGCATGAGACGTGTATGTTTTGGTCTTCTAACCTCTGCAGTATGTAATGGAACAATGATGTTGGGATGAATCCTGTGTGCCAATTTACCGTATCCAAATTAATTAAATTACAATGTGTAAGCAAGTCGTTCTCCAAATATGAGTCATTATTATGTAGTTCTCCTCAACACCATGAACAACTCAGCACTCTAAAAGAAGTCATTTAAAAATGACACACTGCTATAGAGAATTAATAAATCTTCCCTTGTGGAAAATAGCACTTTTCCCTATTCTATCTGAATAATACCTTCTCACTGATCAAAGAGTTTTTTGGCTGCACCTCCAACTTTGTAAAGTAATGTACTAGTCAATGTAAAATGAGAGTAGTTATACTTGTGAAGTGACAATGCTCTAAAGCCTGCATAAAATAAAGCAGAGAAGAGCATAATGTCTAGTTGACAAGAGAAACAGTTTCCCCTCCATGTCTTGTCAGGTATTTAGAAGCCAACTATAAGGGTGATCATCAGCATCAAGTATCTCAGCTGGAAAACAAAGGAGCTGCTCTAACTATTAGAAAGGGAGGCAGAAATCTGAACATAATTGTGCTAGAAAAGGCACAGGATTGAAGTGCTCCAGACACAGAAGCCAGTTTTCCCCAAGGCCAATGGAAATAATTCAGACATTTTGTATTTTTCCATCAACAAAACAACAGAACTTTCATGCTGCATTAAATCAATCCTGAGTTATGGTCATCACAACTGAGCATGCTCAGACTGGGCAACCCAAATGCAAAAGATGCTTTCTAGCAACTGAGCTGGACCACATGCAGCAGCTGCCTACTCATTTTCTTTGTACAAAAGCAATATTGCTGATACTTGAAAGCAAAATAAATGATAAATACAAATACAATTTTTCTAACATATTGTATATCATTTGGACTCTCTTCCTAACTTCTCAAACTCTCTTCCTTGCAAACTTACCTAACCACACACCTCCCCCCACTCCAAAACACAAACATCTAAATGATAACCACATACTCCAAGTAGTCAATATAATTAAGAAAAATCTTTACACTTTGTCATTTTTCAAAAATTATAATGCTTGACAAAGTCATAAAATAAGGTCTTCTGATATCTAGAGGCCAAATAATTTGCAGTGATTTTTGTGGTACTCTGAATGAGTCTTTGTTTTTTAAATAATAGGATTGAGAAATGAGTGATAAATGTAGTTTGACATACAGAAGAGTACCAGAAGTTTTCTAGTCACATATACTGCTCCCACGAACCTATTGCCATTTTAACTATGCTATATTCCAAAACATATTGCACATTTAAAGGTATATTATTCTTTAAATTAAAGCAGTAAAGTATACCACAACACTAATACCTTTAGCAGTGATCAACATATTTGTATATCATGTTTTTATTTGACTCTTTTCATATGAAAAATTCAGAACATTTGCAAGCTTAAAAACTCAAGGAATTTGTTTTTAAGACTAATAGGATATATGCATATATTTTGTTTTATAAACTCATAAAAAATGAGATTTTAAAATTATTAAGATCAAACTAAAATTTCATTCGAGATCTTGACCAACCTGCATTAAAAAAACTGTATCGTAAGCCTTTTGTCGTTATTTATTACACACTCTTTAGAAAAGGTTTTCACAAAAAGTCAAAATAATATCCTCATACTGCTATAAATTGAGGTAATGAAGTAGGTGGACAATGGCTTCTAATCATCAATTTCATTCAAAATATACTTTTTAAGGCAAACCCAATCAATGCTATAAGGAAGAATTTACAAATGAATCTCCACAACAAGGCCATAAAAAAGGAGAAATGCATTATATGTAATAGCAGTTTTTGTTAATAAGTTGATCTGACAAAAAGCAGTGACTAATGTTTATGTTGATTGACATGTAATTTAATTCAAGTTTGTCCTCTTAAGGAACAAAGTAAACATTGTACTATTTAAGCAAAAATGTTGGTGGAAAAAAAGGACACCATTATTATAATCAATTAAGTGTGGCTCTTTTGCAGGGAATGCTTTTTGCTTCTGAAGATCTTAAAGATCTAGGGCTTGAACTTTTCATGAGGCATTTTGAGTACCAAGTTTAACAATGAATACCATGGCAGCTCCTAAAGATGGAAATAAACCAGCTGTAATACTATCTTCAGTGTGAGAATATAAATAACAATGGTATTTGGGGACCAAGTGTAAAGTTTGCAATTGTCAAAGTGTGAATTGGATATTATCAATAAATCATTTTCCTTTATGCATACTGATATCTTAATGTAAATCTCTTTTTTGATCAGTTGAATTTCTGCTTATTCTTTCAAAATTTAGATTCTTATGATTCTTTCTGAGAAATACAGCGTGTTCTATTGGAGTGCCTAGTCCCTTGTACATAATATTTTGCAAGATCTTCTAACATTTACCAGTATAGTCAAATCAAACAGAAAGAAAGCAATTTTTATGTTCACACAGGTTGATGAGATGTTAGCTTTGTGTCAAAGGCGATACCATCAAAAATATTTTCAGCTTAACTGTACCACATAAATTTTATCATTTTTTCAAGGAATTATTGAGCTGTGTAGATGCTGAAATATTCTCATTATCTGAAGAATAACTGAGAGGAATGATTAATCTTTGCTGCAGCAAAAATTGAGAAATTGTCACCAACATCAAATAAGTCATATATAAAAACCCCAACTGTTCTTCACAATTTTTATTTCTTTAAATCTTGTTCTGAAGGTGCCTACGCTTGATTGACATTCATAATGATTAATAATTTGTATTAATGCTTTGTTCAATGAAATTCCAAAAGCCATTAGTATATACAAGGTTCTAGGTGCTATGTAATATGCAAAGATAAACCAAATTCATAGTTAAGTTTCTATATAAAAATATGGGTTTTTTAGTATGGTGTGGTTTGCTCATATCTTCTCTTAACTGTTATGACAGTAATGTTAGTGATTGGGTCTTGCTTTATAAATACAACATCACCAATTGCCTCGTGGCTGACACCCAAACTGCATGTATAATGTGTTCAATGATAGGTAGAAATAAATTGATTCTGCAAATCTAGTCTTGCAAATCAAAAAGTAAATCACTCAGGACTTAAAGTAATTTTATTATGATCAAGTTGTATTTCTGAAAGCTGATCCTCAATGACACAAGCAAAGTCACTCTCTATTGTTTACTAGATAATTATTCCCCAGTGCCTTGTGGTGAAAATACATTTATTGTTCTCTGGTAGTCCTTTCTTTACACAGACAGTTCTTCAACTTTGGCATTCTTAAATATTTTTCTATTTTCCCTAACATTTCTTTGTTACCAAGCATTCAAAAATCAAATATTCTGGTATGTCTTCTTGTCCCATATGCTGTCTTAGAATGTAATTGTCCTTATAACTCTCTCAAACTCATTTTCTCTCTTATAAATATTTCTCCTAGCTAGGTCATGCACAAGATGGTTTGGTGTCTCCTTGGCAACCGCATGGTCTTAACATTTCTCAGTATCCCTTTTACTCCCACTCATCACACTTCACATTTTTGTTCTTATCATTAATCTTTAAAGTGTCTTCACCGAGTCCTTATCTTTGTTTTTATATATCCCATGTTAATTATTTGCATTTTCATATATGTTCTAGATCCTAGCTTTTTAATGGCATTAATTAATTTTGTTTGCGTAGCAGAGTACAGATCAATTTGAGCTACTAGTATCTAAGTCTCTCCTGTAGTTTCTTTAGCAGGGTTAGGAAGCCTTATAATCAAGTTGGAAATTCGGTAATGCAGATTCTCCTATATCAAGGCTATATTACCTATTTTGATATCAGATGTAAATATAAAATTTACACAGCAGGTTTAGGGAGCCAGGTTTTGTGATCCTTCCCTATGCTGGCATTGAGCTGCTATTGCCAGCCAAAAGTTCGATAGCAGAGTGTTCAAAATAACAGACTTTGGAATCATGCAGAATTCCTAAATTTGAATCTCAGCTCTTCCTCCTGCCAGCTGTGTGATGTTGAACGTGATACACAAGATTCCTTCTAAAGGAGGAATATAGTATCCTCAGAGAGTGGTTGAGAAGTTCGATTGAAATAATGTAATATACAGCAGATAGTTAAGAGGCTTTTAATGAACAATTCCTTCTAGCTACATGGGATAATTTGTGGCCTCTATTTTAGATCTAACCCACATTCACTTACCCATATCCACTTAGTTGATTTCCTAACTCCATCTTAGAGCATCTTATGGAAAAATCAAGGGAATACTTTGACTTATTTTCTTCCTCCATTTATTGGCTCAGTAAACCCTGAATTAGATGTTTTTCATTACCCTTCTTGTATCTTATAAACTAGCTTAACAGGGCGCTTCCTAAAATGTTGCAATATCTTTTACCTAAAGAAAAAAAACTGTATACAATATCTGAGAGTAAGGATGTAGAAATACATCTTTAATTGTACAGGTTTTTCATTAGTTTATCTTTGTTTTTAGTTTTTCTTGTGTTGAAAATTTTGCAATTTTTACCCAGATGTAGAGCAAAGGGAATCGTGCATTATGCTTCAAACCTTTGCGTAGATAATTTCATGCACTGCTATGCTTCTGAGCTAGTGAGTTTTCTATAGTTATAATTTCTTCCTTCTGTGGGCTTTGGAATTTTCCTTGGCAAGATTACTTTACAGTTTTGGGGTAGATACATTATGACATGGAGGAGTGTATGTGATTCAAGAGGATGTAGCCCCAATCCCTGGACTCTTTTCTGGCTACTGACTGTCCACAGCTCTTCACTAAGCCTCTGTACCTTCTCTTGCTGAGTCAAACACAGCTGACATGCTGCTAGATTTAGTTTTTATATTGGATTTATGCACAATTTTCTTTAGAAATAAACTGATCCATTATTTTTGAAGTCTCAGTCCTTTAAAAGATATGTTATAGTCTGTGTTATTTTTTTCTTCTAGTGACACTTAAGTGTGTAACGTTGTGTTCTATATGTAGATTTAACAAAATTCCTGGACACCCATCACTTTTGGTACTGACATTTTTAATGTTTATATTTTTTGTCTCTTCATTGCATAATGCCTGTCAGTATTCTCTTAAGAGAACTGGTGGCAGGATCAATTATTCCAGGATGCTATTGCAAGCCTGGAATGTTCCGAAATGCTTAGCCTTTGACCTATTATACGTGGCTTTTCTTAATCCAGTCACCTACATGCAATTTACATTGTTCATTTTAATTGAAGTTGCATCAGTTAAGGGCATGATTTTGTAATTTTAATTTTTTTCTCCTAACTCCCACCCTCACTGTGAAGTTACAGTTTTCTCAGGCACATATCTTTGTACCACTGAGGCACCTTTATTTTATCTTTTTTTTTCTTTCCTGAACCAGATGTAAATGACTAAAAGCTCTAAAATAGGCATGCATTTTAACTAGAAATTTCTTCTACTCTTAAGAGTACATAAGGAAGAAAAGAAATAATAAAGATTTTGAGATAAGAAACCTTGTTGTAGCATTGATAAGAGTGGAAAAATTTGGAAGCAACTTCAGGGGTGATAAATGTGGATTGGTTAAATAAATGTGAGTATAAACTTATAATGAAATATTGTATAATTTAATGACCAATTAGTATATGCTAAGCACTGTGCTAAGTATTTTATGTATAATCCCATTTAATTTGTACATTACTGCTATGAGGTAGGTATTTTTATTATCCTCACTAGATTTAAAGGCAATACAATCTTAGAAAAAATTGAGTAATTTAAGCCAAATTACACAAGTCTCTGTAGTAAATAACAGAATTTAAATTCCAGAATTTCTGTCTTCAGAACTAAATGCCTTAAACTTCAGGGTGTCTTGAATTTGTAATAGGGAAAAAATATTCATGATTTAAGTGAGAAGAGAGAATATTAGTTTGGTGCAAAAGTAATTGTGTTTTTTTTTCTTGTTATGTTTAATGGCAAAACCGCCATTAGTTTTGCACCAACTTATTTAATGTTTTCTATGCTTCATATATTTACTTTATAATAGGGTAATACATGTTGAAATAAAAGTGTGAAAAGAAATGCACAAAAGATTGTTTAATCCAAATTTATACATGAAGTACTTTCTCTAACTATTTTCTTTAGTTATAATGTTTTAAAATCCTTCTCAAAGCAGATATTCTTGGTAATATGGTCAAAGGGCTCAGTGCCATGAATGTAGTTTTCCACTCCACTCCTGTTCAATACCATAAATATTTATCATTCTTTTTGACTGTGTCCCCCATTTCATAATAACCAATTAGACACCTCTTTGGATGTACATCAAGTACACTTTCTACTTTAGAGCAAACAAAGTGAAATGCCTTCTCCAGTGTTACTTTCTGTTCACTTTAACTGGACTCAATGACCACTCTTCAAAATCCACTGCAATTATCCTTCAGGTTCATTTTATAGGTTAAATGCAATCAATTTTTAAGGGCTGGTGATATTCTTATTAAATAGTCCTATATGGATTTATTTCATTGAGATCTTTTTGACAAAAGTGATTAAGAATAACCTAAAACTATATTATTCTTCTTCCTTTGGTATGTTTAATGCTTTAACCACTCAAATAACTTTGGTGGTCCTCTTTTCTCTCACTCTTTGCCACTTAACATTTCTCTCTCTCTCTCTCTCTCTCACCCAAGAAATTAATGAAGTGGATTTCTAACATGAAAGGAAAGGAAAATGAGAAAATTGATGAATCAGCATCTTATTGGAGTATCTCCTGCTAAAGATGGCCATAAATTAACCAAAGCTTTCAACTTTCAGTGTGAAATATAAGAAAGTTTTAAAAAATAGGAAAGCATGTATTTCTTCGTCATTGTCACCATTCCATCAAAAACACATTTTTCTTTCTGCAATACATCATTGTATTTCTAATATTTGAAGTTTACAAAAATAGGGAAGAAAACACTGGACAAAAAATTGAATATTTGAATTCTATCTCTCTTATTTTTTCTGTGCCTTATTCTTGAATAACTCATTTGACTATGGAAATAATATCACTTACCTTAAAGAGTTGTTTTAATTTGCAAATAGATAATGGATGTGAGAATGAGCAGTAAAGTACTTTCTATCCTATATATACTAGTATATATACCTATTCATATTTTTCTCCTGAGTTCCAGATGCCTCTACCTGGCTGATCACTAGACATTACAGCTTGGGCTATAGGTATCTAACATAACACATCCAAATAGAATGTACATTTTCTTATGGCAGGTTCTGTTCATGTTATCTCTATACTGGGAAATGATACTTTTGTCAATCAGTCCCCAAGATCAGCAACCTAAGATTCATCCTGGATTCCTTCTTTTACTTTATCTTACAAATTAAATCTTTTCATCTCTCTCTTCAATATCATTCCCTATTCACAGAAATAAAACAGACTCTCTTTTTTCCTGGCATCCTGTGTGTACTTCTATCATGGAATCAAGTGTTATTTTCTGTTACTTTCCTTTTTCTCCTATTTGACTGGAAAACTCCTTGTAGATAAGAAATGTGAATTACCATTGTTGTTGGTATTGTTGTTTGTAGCCTCTCCTTCCATTCATTCAGCACCTGTTTGTTCAATGTCTACTATGTTCTGGCTGCTGATCATATACTGGTGAGTAAGACAGACAAAGATGCAATCTCACTTATAGACAAGGTGGTCTCTGGAAATTCCATTCTTGAGTAGGGAGAGAAATACCAGATACCAATGGGTGCTACATACAGAATTAAAAGCAGAGTAGAGTGATGAAGAGTAACAGGGTGACTACTTTAGATGGATGATCAGAAAGGGGGATGTTCAAGCTAATATCTGAATGCCAGGGGAAGAAGAAAGAAGGAAGGATGAAAGGTCTGAAGATTTGAAGGTAGTGGACAAGAGGTAGTATGTTATATGAGATCCAGGAAGAAGATGGGACCACCTAATGCATGGATTTGTAAGCCAGGATGTTTAGATTTTATTTTAAATGACATCAGAACCATTTGAGTATTTATGTAATTAAAGAAATCACTTTGGCTTCTGTGGAGAATGTATTATAGAGGGGAACAAGTTAAAATAAGAACAGGAGGCTGTTGTAGGAGTCCAGTCAAGCAGTATTGATGGCTAGGATCCTCGTGGCAGTGGTAAGATGGAAATAAATGCATGGGTTCTGGTATGGTTGGGGCTAGCACTGTACTGAGTATATGACAAATTTGTAATAAATAATTATTAAATGAGAGAATAATTAAATGATGTAAAGATTACTAAAATCAAATCTTTGCCTTCAAATAGCACATAATCTAATTATGGAGGTAAATATACATGAAGAATTATAATCAGAATTATTTTTTGATACAATTTTTATTGTTTGAATCCTGTGCTAAATAGGTAAAGGATTTCACTCACCCCATTCATCCTCATGTTCTTGTGGAAAGATTAACAAATCTTTTTTAATGTTGAAGAAAATCAAGATTAATATGCAGATTCTACAAAAGAGTTGCAATAGATATCCATAAGATCTGAGAGTAAAATGGATAGTAACCTTATTTTAACATTATTGCAATACAACTTGATATATATATTTGAACTTACAGTTGTTTTGCTGTTAAAAAATTTCTTTTTAAAAATTCACTAATTTTTAAATTAGACACAGTGGCTTCATGGCTGTAATCCCAGCTACTTGGGAGGCTGAAGCACGAGAATCTCTTGAACCCGGGAGGCGGAGGTTGCAGTGAACCAAGATCATGCCACTGCACTCCAGCCTGGGTGACACAGTGAGACTCCATCTCAAAAAATAAGTAAATAAAAATTAGTAATGGAACAAATAATCATGAGGAGAGCAGCATAAAATGTAAAATAAAAGGGAACATAAAATCAAGTCATGCTCTTTAGATTTACAAGAATGTCTTTTATCAGACTCTTACTATGTGTCAGATTCCTGGCAAAACACTCAATATGCATTGCATCACTTAATAATGATAGCTAATAAATAAATGACACATCATTTAATATGCATTCATTTGTAATTTGAAGTATTTTAAATATTCATTATGAATTCCAAGCTAAAATATGTACTTTAACAAATGCTAATTTGTTACATCTGTGAATTTGCCCAAGTGTATATTGATAGATAGTGATGAAGTTTCATTCCAGAATAATCAAGCTTTTGAATCATCAGGTAAACATACAAGCATGACTAAACATTTCATGAAAGTTTTCTCTAGGCACTAATTTTTATAACATTAATTTAAAGTGTTTATGTTTCTTTGCAAGTGCTGACAATGATACCAAAGAAAAATTTCAAAGTAACCATTAGGTCTAAGTAGGATAGTGTCACTCTTGATTTCCCGATATTTCCTAATATTTTTGGATTAAATGAGTAATAAGACTTAAGAGATGATCTATTTTGGTCATGCATAAAATGACTATAGGAGAAACACACTGAGGTAAGAATGTGCTGTTTTTCTACAAGATTCAGATTGCCATGCAACTGAATCACCAAAGGACAAATGCCATTATTAAAAACAAAAAACAAAAAAAAACCCCTGAAATTTGGGACTCAGGCATGGTCAGACTGTGAAACTGACTACTTATCAAAATTTGAAGAGAGCTGGGAAAAGTCTCTCCTCTTTCCCAGCTCTAAAACAATTTCCCCACCTGTTTTGCCACAGTCCCTGAAAAATTCCAATTAGACATATTTGTGGTTAATTTTTAGGGGTTATCAGACAATAGAGAAAAATGTAGCTTGTAGGAAAGAGCATTGAATTTGGAATCAGCTATTCTGCTTTGAACAAGCTTGTCACCTCTGACCCTCCTATTGCGAAGTTGGGAGAAGAATATCTTTCTCAAAGAGTTGTGCTGTGAGAACTAAATGTCATTCCATAAGTATTTGTGTACTAGAGAATGCTACATATAGTGATGCTAGTTCACTTAATTTTTCCCACAGTGGACAGACAGCTCATAAGTTTTGGAAGATGAGAGCACCAGTTGTTCTGTAAGGATTCAGGTAATATTATGAGTAACACTACATTGTAGAAAAAGGCAAGCAAAGCACATTTTGATTATTTCACTCTTTTGTAAGAGGCAGGCCATCAATGAAGGCAAAGTTTGATAAGCATGTGACATGGAACTGTATTAAATAATCTGGAAATTCCAGTCTGTCCTTCAGATTTCAGGATGGCAGTGTTCCCAGAGAAGTTACTCATCCTGTTCCTAAAAACTTCAGAGAAAGAATTTTCTGCCTTAGTAAAGCATCCTACAGTTTGCCAGTCACAACGATGTAGAAAGGCTTCCAAATATCTTGCTGCATTCCTGCTGCAGTTGGCCTGATTGTGCCCCTATTGGAGATGGAAAAGTCCGAATGGAATTTGCTTAAAAGAAATTCATTATGTATTGTAGAAAAAAAATTGATGACACTAACAATTCACTTTGCAAAAAGTTTTTTAAACTTTACATAGCAAATTTATTGTTAAATAAAATAGCACTTTTCATCTATTTATAAAATAGGTTCAAAATCAAACAGATAAATTTAAATACATAAATATACAAATATTCTTGTGGTAAGTGGCTTAATGGAAGAAAATTCTCCTTTGGGTTCCTAAAACTTTTAGTTACCAAAGGTCTAGATAGCTGAAGTCACCTTTGAACAATTTTAGTTAGTTTTGTTTATTGAAGAATTTAAAAAGGGTAAAACCACAAAGAATGAGGGAGAGAACGAAGAAAAAAGACGAGAATGTCTTGTAAAATTGAATGTACTTGAAAACTAACATAGAACGATCTAGATGTCTGAATTTTACTGAGATATATCAAAAAGCTGTTTGACTCTGTATAGACTAAAAAAAGTTTGTTTGAAAAAGCATAGGAAAGTTTTGTTTTTACTGCTTTTTAAAATAATAACTAACATAAATGTTAATAAGTTGAGCATATTTTCAAAGAAGTGAATTTAATAAGCTTTCCACATTCAATATATACATTAATTTTTTCTAATAACTTTTTAAATGATAAGAATAATGCCTTCTTATATGGTTTTATTATTAACCAAACAAATTAAAATATGTTAGAGTCCATTAGGCAATTAGGTAAACAATGAACTGCTTACTTTGGAGGCAAAACACATTTGGGCAACTCGACTATTATCAAGTAAATAAGCACTTTAGAGCACTAAATGGTACCCTAAGGAATAGGGTATAGTGAAATAGTGGTATAGTGAAATGATTAAGTGGTAATAGTTAATATTTATTGAGTGCTTATTGTAGTCAGGCACTACTGAATGCTTCATAAATATTAGTTTATTTATTTTTTACAACTCTATGATGGAAGTACTATTTTTATTTCTATGTCATATATGTGGAAACTGAGGTCAGAGAGAATATGGAAGCTGCCCAAGTTCTAAGAGTCCAGAAGGGACAGATTCAGGAATGGAAACCAGGTTGTCAGATCCCAGGAACACACCCTTTTATCTACTGGATAACATTACTCTATCATAGGGAGGCCCAAGGCAGAAGTCAGGGATGTTATGGAGAACAAATGAGCAGAGTTCAGATTTAATGTCATTTCCTGCTATGCAAAATTAGATGTGCTGGTGCTTTCTAACTTTCTTACATTTGCCAAAGGAAATGATGAATATACAGTGATCAGCACTAAAAAGAGTTACTTGTTTTTTGTTTTGTTTTGTTTTTGAGATGGAGTCTTGCTCTGTTGCCCAGGCTGGAGTGGACTGGTGCGATCTCGGCTCACTGCAAGCTCCTTCTCCCGGGTTCACGCCATTCTCCTGCCTCAGCCTCCTGAGTAGCTGGGACTACAGGCGCCCGCCACCAAGCCTGGCTAATTTTTTGTATTTTTAGTAGAGACAGGGTTTCACCGTGTTAGTCAGGATGGTCTCGATCTCCTGACCTTGTGATCCACTCGCCTCGCGGAGTTTCGCTCTTGTAGTTCAGGCTGGAGTGCAATGGCGCAATCTCAGCTCACTGCAACTTCCGCCTCCAGGGGTCAAATGATTCTCCTCAACCTCCCAAGGGACTACAGGCACCCGCCACCACACCCAGCTAATATTTTGTATTTTTAGTAGAGACAGGGTTTCACTATGTTGGCCAGGATGGTCTCCAACTCCTGACCTCAGGTGATCCACCTACCTCGGCCTCCCAAATTGCTGGGATTACAGGCATGAGCCACCACGCCCAGCCCAAGAATTACAGTTTTTTGTTTGTTTGTTTTTAATGTAGAATTAGAAAGCTAATCCTTCTAAATCCCAACAAAGTGGTCCATGCAGGATAAAAATATATCCTTAGGT
The DNA here is from genome assembly GCF_000001405.40 of Homo sapiens. Classification (NCBI taxonomy): domain Eukaryota; kingdom Metazoa; phylum Chordata; class Mammalia; order Primates; family Hominidae; genus Homo; species Homo sapiens. The sequence continues at coordinate 209,389,872 of NC_000002.12, read as the reverse complement.
TGTTTCAAAATGAAAATGTTATACAATGCACAGCAACCTGGTGCAGTGCTAACTAGATTCTTAGAACTTCAGCTTTGCTCTTGGTATCCTCTAAGGGATATCAGTTTATATAAAAAGTCTTATTGTCAGATAGAACATGGCATCATATTTTTCAGTTGGTAACTTGAAGATCCTTTGAGATAATCCTGTTCAATTCTGTTATTCTAAAAAGGAAGAACCCAAGACTCAAGTATTACTGTAAGCAGTAAGCAGGAGTGATTAAAACCTAAGCCTTCTGAATCTTTGTGTTTAATATTTCCAGACAGCTCACGTAAGTAAATAGAGGCACTATAGGCAGAATGCCTGCATCCTTCAGCCCTGATTTCCTCCTGCTTTGTACTCTGAATACTCTATTAGCTTCAAGAAAGAAAAATGAAGAGAAAGCTTCGGGATGGAATTTTATTGCTCTCAAGAGGTGTCAGAAAGTCATGAAACCAAAGGAAGGATTATCCCCTTCTGACGGGCAGGGGATAATCTTTGCTATTGTGGGTATAGCGGTCTGACAGGACTAGTGACTCCCTGGGGCTATTTGATATTTCTTAAATAAAGAGCCTTTGGAATACCTTGCCTGAGATAGGTTTCCATGGAAACAGTGGAGTCAGCTGCACTCGGTTAGTAAAAGATTTCACCAATTTGCTTACCTTCCAAAACATGGTTAGTGCAGACTCTCAGAACAGAAGCTCTACCTCTAAAGCATTTGACATTGACCGCTGACTGTTTCAGGAGGTCACCTTTTAAATGCTATTCTGCAATCAATGATGCTAAAGCAGTCTGAAAAAAATTCTGTTAAGGGTTGTCAAGCTGACAATAGTCTCACTATGGAGCTTGAAGTAAGAATGCCTGTGTTAAAAAGCCGTAAAAGCATCTCCAGCTCCTTCAAGCCCCCTGCCTCCACTCTTCACCCTAGAAAATTTATCTATAGACATCCTTCAGTTTCTACGTCAGTGATGAAGTGTAGAGGAAGAAGGAAAGAAGAGACAGAAAGGAGGGATGGGTGCAGGATGACTTGCAAAATTAAAATGCACAATACCAAGTGCAAGCAAAGAAGGAACCAGTATAAACTCTTATGTATTGTTGATGGTAAACCTTTTCAGGAAAAAAAATAGTTTTCCTAGTGGGTTTGAAAATGCACACAATCTGTGACCTAGGTGTTGCACTCCTTGGAGCAGTCTCAAGACACCCTGCGTATGTATACCAGAACAGATGGACAAGAACATTCCTGGCATCCCTGAGTGTAATAGCAAACATACTGGAGCCTTTACTGAATATTCTACATGTAGCAGTGTGGCTGATGCTCCCAAACTAATCTTGAGTGAAAAAGCAAGTCATAATGTGTCTGGAATTGGTGGGTTCTTGGTCTCACTGACTTCAAGAATGAGGCCACGGACCCTCGCGGTGAGTGTTACAGCTCTTAAAGGCAGCGTGTCTGGAGTTTGTTCCTTCTGATGTTCAGATGTGTTCGGAGTTTCTTCCTTCCAGTGTGTTCGTGGCCTTGCTGGCTCAGGAGTGAAGCTGCAGACCTTTGCGGTGAGTGTTACAGCTCATAAAGGCAGTGTGGACCCAAAGAGTGAGCAGCAACAAGATTTATTGCAAAGAGCTTAAGAACAAAGCTTCCACAGTGTGGAAGGGGGACCCCAGTGGGTTGCCACTGCAGGCTAGGGCAGCCTGCTTTTATTATCTTATCTGGCCACAGCCACATCCTGCTGATTGGTCCATTTTACAGAGCGCTGATTGGTCTGTTTTATAAAGAGCTGAGTGGTCCGTTTTGACAGGGTGCTGATTGGTGCCTTTACAATCCCTGAGCTAGACACAAAAGTTCTCCACGCCCCACTAGATTAGCTAGATACAGAGTGTTGATTGGTGTATTTACAAACCCTGAGCTAGATACAGAGTGCTGATTGGTGCATTCACAATCCCTTAGCTAGACACAAAGATTCTCCAAGTCCCCACCAGATTAGCTAGATACAGAGTGCTGATTGGTGCACTCACAATCCCTTAGCTAGACACAAAGTTTCTCCAAGTCCCCCTTAGACTCAGGAGCCCAGCTGGCCTCACCCAGTGGATCTCGCACTGGGGCTGCAGGTGGAGCTGCCCGCCAGTCCCAAGGCGTGTGTCCGCACTCCTCAGCCCATGGGCGGTGGATGGGACCCGGCGCTGTGGAGCAGGGGGCCACTCTCGTCGGGGAGGCTCAGGCCGCACAGGAGCCCAGGGCGGAGGGGGGAGACTTAGGCATTGCGGGCTGCAGGTCGCGAGCCCTGCCCCTTGGGGAGGCAGCTAAGGCCCAGTAAGAAATCGAGTGCATCGCCGATGGCCCAGGTGCTAAGCCCCTCACTGCCCGGGGCTTGCCGGCCGGCTGGCCGCTCAGAGTGCGGCGCCCGCCGAGCCCACGCCCACCCGGAACTCGCGCTGGCTCTCAAGCGCCGCGCGCAGCCCTGGTTCCCGCCCGCGCCTCTCCCTCTACACCTCCCTGCAAGCTGAGGGAGCCGGCTCCGGCCTTGGCCAGCCCAGAAAGGGGCTCCCACAGTGCAGCGGCGGGCTGAAGGGCTCCTCAAGCGCGGCCAGAGTGGGCGCCAAGGCGAAGGAGGCGCCCAGAGCGAGTGAGGGCTGTGAGGGCTGCCAGGATGCTGTCATCTCTCAATAACACGATAAACACAGTAAGAGTATAAAATGTTCAAAAGTAAATAGTATAGTATTTATAAAGAAGCATACAAAAAAGATACAATTATAAAGAAAAATAAGAGAATTATTAACACAAAATTTGGCGTTGTTTTTATTTTTATGTTTGGAGAAGAAAGAGAAACATTTTTATTGGAGAGAATAACGTGGGTATTGGTAATGCTCTACTTTTTTGCATTTTTAAAATTTAACCATGCATATCCTGATAGACACTCTTGAAATTACTTTTAAAATAAAAATATTACAAACTTAATAATAAAAATTGAAAATAGAAATTCACTTACAATGTTATATGACTTTAGTCATTACCTTTATCTTTCTTAACAAAGAATATTATAGCTAAATGGATATTCTTATTATCAGATATAACAACATTTGCATAGAATTGTATGATTTATTAAGATTATTAAGGATATTTGCAACACTTTAAAGTGGATTCGATTATTTCTGAATGGCAATAAAATAATAGAAGCTCAAATGTGACGCATCCAAGAAAACAGAGCTAAAAAATGAATACACTGGTGGCTCACTCATGCCTGTAATCCCAGCACTTTGGAGGGTGGAGGCAGGCAGATTGCCTGAGGTCAGGAGTTCGAGATCAGCCTGACCAACATAGTGAAACCCCATGTCTACTAAAAATACAAAAATTAGCTGGGCATGGTGGCAGACACCTGTAATCCCAGCTACTTGGGAGGCTGAGACAGGAGAATCGCTTGAACCCAGGAGGCAGAGGCTGCAGTCAGCAAAGACTGGGCCATTGCACTCCAGCCTGGGCAACAAAAGCAAAACTGTCTCAAAAAAAAAAAAGAAAGAAAAAAAATGAATACACTGAAACTCTGGTCTTGTGACTCAGCAACCCAATAGTCTTCTTACTTGACCATATTAAAATCTCACACCCATTCTTGCTGTGCTTCTTATATGTTACACTCGTTAATTATAATTACTTGGCAGTTCATCATTTTCATTTCATCTCTCAACAGTCCCCTCTTCAAACTCTTCACTGCATTTGCTCACAATTACCTTAAAATCTTCTGCTTTCTCACATGCCTGGGTCTTTGCACATCTTACTTCCTTTGCCTTTGGTGCGCTATCAAATTGTACCTTCTCTCTAGTCCTTTTAGTTTGCTCATTCTGCTTCATTCTTCAGGTCTGAGCTTAGATGACTCTTGATCCAGGACACCAGAGTCTGCAGGTTAGGTGTTTCATGGTATCCTTCACTGCATTTACTTTCAGGGTACTTATTGATATTATTTACTAAATTGTAAGTCCCTTGAGAGCAAGCATTTTGCATTGTTTACTCTCTTATTTCTAGTATCCAGATCAGCGTAGCTGTTAGCTGTTGCCTTAACGAGGCTGCAAAACAAAATATCATGAAACAGTGGCTTAAGGCAGCAATCATTTATTCTTGCTTATGCATTTGCAGATTTCCTGGGGTTTGGCTAGTCTGGATTTGGCTGCAAGATGTAGATTGAATTCACCTCTGCTCCACATGTCTCTCCTCTTCCCAGGACCTGTGAACTAGTTGGGTCATGCTTTAATCATAGAGCATGCATAGAGCATGCAGAAGGACAATAGAATATGCAAGCACATTTAAAGCTGCTAATTCACTTACATCATGTTGCTAGTATCCTTTTGAGATAGTCATATGGCCAATCCCAAAGTCGATGAGTAGGAAAGGGCACTCTGCCTTTAGTGAAAGGAACTTCAAAGACACATAGCAAAGAGAGTGGACACAAGGAGGGGTAATAACTTAAGACCAATATATATCACACCCAGTGCATGCCATACACAGGAGAGCTTCTAGATGCCAAATGTTGCTTTGTTGTTGCCTTGTCTTTCCTTTCTTGGGCTCCTTCATCAGTCACAGAGCTCTTTTCTTATGCTGCCTCTTCTCCAAACTTCACCTGCCCTAGGCTTTTACTCATAACCAGAATCTATTTCCCAACCGATTATATCTTTCTGTTCAGCTTTATGCATCATAACGGATGACTTTAGGCCACCAAAATGTCTCAATATCCAGGATAATGGATTGTTAATAGACTTACATAGGTGAGAATGATGATTTGGATAATCCAATAGCCTTACCTAAAACTCCTTAAATTCCTCATTAGTCTTCAGTGATATACTTTATGGATAGTAGGGCTGAGCCTCCAACATCTCCTGACCAGTGTGTCTTACGGCTACTGTTATCACTAATTATAAATGTGTCTTGCTTACTCCTTAATAGTAAAAAACCGAATTATTTTTCATCCTTCTATAAATCCCTTTTAATTTAAATTGATAAAAAGAAACTAGAGGGAAAAGGAATGAGTAATAAATATATTTTTTAAAATGCAATCTATATTTAGTCTCTGTCCCAAATACATTTTATTCAGGTAAAAAAAATCTTTTAAAGTTCTTTAGGAGCCAGTATATATAGTTTTATGACATTAATAAAAACTTATAGTGTATTCTATATGAATAGCGGGTGTTTTTAGAATTAGAAATAAGTTTAATTATGGAATTTTGGTGAGCATTTTAGAGATAAAGATAGTGGAAATAATTGTACCCTATATTCATCTTTATTCAGAGATATTTTTGTTAGCAAAGCTTTTTATATTATTGGAAAAAGTCATAAGTATGTATACTGTTTCCTTAGAAAAACTATATTTTAAATTGTGTAGCTATAAAGTTTTATTTGTGTCTGTTTAATAGTTAATAGAAAAGAAAATCAATAGTGATTTGATTTAAAACATTATCTTGTGAGAAATGTGTGAATGTATTATAAACGTAGGCCTGGTTATTTATTTTTAGTTTTCATTATTAATTATTATGGATACATAATAGTTGTACCTATTTGTGCTGTACATGTGATATTTTGATACAAGCATATAATGTATAATAATCAAATCAGGGTAATGGGATATTTATCACCTCAAGCATTTATTATTTCTTTGTATTACGAACACTCTAATTCTACACTTTCATTTTGATTATTTCATTTGTAGGGTCTGTGGTGATTTTAAAACATGGTCGTAGTTCCTGGTTTTCTTTCCGTCAAGATCAGTTGAGATATTTGCCACTTAAGAAAGGATAACTGTTTTTTTTCTGTTTCATATGTGCTTTTATTTTGATTGTGAACCCTTAAGTCTTTCATGCTATGAGGAAGTATACTCAATCTTGATAAATAGCTTCTTTTAAAGATGAAAGCCAATTCACCTTGTTTTGTGGATTCCAGTTAACTTGTAACCTTAAGGTTCTAATTATGTTTCAATTTATCATATCTAGACCACCATTTCTAGCATATCAGTAGACACTAGTTCACTTGTGAATATCTACATAGAAGGCTATGGCTTCCTTGCTGGTATTTTGCTTTTTTGGTATTGAGAACTTAAAGTTTAGGCTTCTGGCACTTACCTATATGTTTGTTTTGAGTCTACAGAAGCTTAATTAAATTATTCACATTACATCTTTGACTTTCTTCCATCATAATGTTTATTAAAAATGTGATTTGAGTTATAAGCTTCTAGTTCCCAGGTGGTTGAGCTCAGACAATAATGGCAGAACCTTGAAGAAAAGCAAACAATACAACCTTTCCTAAAGGGGAGCTTTTCTACCTCTACAGAATCATTTGCTAAAGAACTCTCCTGACTTCTTCATCTCAAAGCAAAGATGTTAGCTAATCTTAGACAAATTCTCTTACAGCATAGCACTCTCTGACTCAATGGATATGACTCAGCATGCTTGACAGCCAGATCTAACCTTGAAACATCAAATGCAATTTCCTGGAAACTGTTGTCAAATCTGTTTACAAAGCCAAGCAGAAAAGGTTTCATCAGGAACTCATTGTGCACCTGTCTTGAGTATCTATGGAAGCTCTTTTGTCTGTGGGGAGGCTATAGAAATTACAGAGAAGAAGGTGAGATGTAAAATGTTTACCTGTGGCAATGAACTGAAGACAGAGAGAGAGAGAGAATGAGTTTTATTTCCTTTCTCACTCCTTCACTCTCAACACACATGCACATATACAAAATCACAACACACACACACACACACACACAGGGGAAAAAGGGTAGGGAGGGGAGGAAATACAGAAAATTGCCATTTCAATGGAGACCTGATTAGGTGTCATATTAAAGTCTGTGGAGAAGAGATCATAAGAACTAGAAGAACAAGTTTTTCTCTCCATTGCTGAGGTGGAGCAAAGGGTGTGAAAATGAGAGGAGTGTCAGAGAGATTTGGAGAAAGGTGTATGAAAGGTATGCTATACCCCTCCAGTCCATCCTCCTCATTATGGTAGTCAAGTTAGTGGTATTTGACTCATCTTACCATGCAATTGGATGCTCCTATGGGACCTACCCTTGAAGTTTTTGGGTGAGTCTTTAATTAGGGAACACTTCATGTCCCATTTAGGAGTGACAGTCATTTCTAAATTTCTCATATAGGTCAAGGTCATGCCAGAAAATTAATTCAAATCAAATCATGAGCCAGATCAACAGTTTCTCTAGAAATTGCTCAGTAATGGAAGGGTATCCTTTCAACAGTTTGTCAGATGGGTGGTGTTAACTAGTTATCCAGAGATGATCAAGTGGTCCACAAATTGGTACTTTACCCTTCCACGGGGCTTCAACTACAACTGTCAACAGCTGGTCACTCTGAACACCTGGACAGAAAGGAGGCCGAACTGAGAGAATATGCATAGTTCCCCCTTTTCAACTCCCCTCTACCTTCTGCAATCCCTGCCTCTGCCAGCTCACTATATCAGAGTCCTTCATCCCCCTACCAGGAGTTAGGCATTTGTGACTCCTGTGAAATTAAAAGTAAGACCAAGAGGAAGGGAAAGAGTAAATAAATCAGAAAGAAGAAAGATTGAAAAGACGTATTAAATAATAACCTTAGTGTTAGACTGAAAGATATCATCCCCCAAATTTAGGTTTTCAAAAATCAAGCAGAAAAGGAGGCTCCTAATTGAGTTGTGATAGTTCAAAGTTTTGTACGCACATTTGATTGTGATTGATTGGACAATCAGTTACATCTGTTATGTGTGTTACTTCTGGCAGTGAGGCATCAGCTTTCTTTGGTAAGTTTGCTCCCACCTATGAAAAACACTAATGCATCAACATCTTTGGCCTAATTTCCTGGCCAAAAATTTTATTTTTGTTTAACTACATTCAATTTCTTTAAACTTAAGAGGAAAAAGGAAAGTCTTTTGGTTGGTCCTGATTTTATTACATTTATTATACTAGTCAGGGTAAATATATTTTATGCTCTAATAACAAATAAACTAAAATTTCAGTGACTTGCTTAATGCAACAAAAGATTCTCTTACTCAGACAGTGGAATGTAGAGCAGCCTTCTTTCATCTTGTAGCAAGACTTTCTAGAACTTTGTTACTTAACAGAGTAGCCACTAGTCCCGTGTGACTACTGAACACTTGAAATATGTGGAGTCTGAATCCAAATGTGCCATATGTGTAAAATACACATGGGATGTATTAGACATAGTAAGATAAAAAGAATATCAAGTATCTCAATAATTATTTTTATATTGATTGCATGTTGAAAGAATAATATCTTGGATATATTAGATTAAATATTATTGATTATTTAGTCTATTAATTTTAATGAGGCTGTTAGAAAATTTAAAATTACATATGTGGCTTGCATCATATTTCTATTGCACAGCAGCTTTAATCTAGGAACACATGGCTACTAAGAGACGGAGGGGTGCAACACTTCTTATCTTAGCTACATAGGACTGTAAATAACATGTCATTGCCATTCATATTTTACTCTCCAAAACTAGTCATGTTTGGATGGAGTCACAAATCATCCAAACGTAACTTGGATGATTTGTGAGTCCCCAGTGTCTGTGCCACACCATCCTTTTTCTCTGTTTGCAGTTACTCATTACTCTCTTACATCTATCCTTTCCTGTTCTCATTTTTTTTTTGGCTCATATTTCATTCTTTGTGGAGACACGGAGGTTTCCTTCTTCCAGATAATCTTATTGTCAATGTTTGTGACTCTTCCTTCTGTGCCCAGCCTCCTGGAAAAGTAACTCAATTGATCCTTCTCTTCTGCTAGACTCCCATATGGAATCATCATAGAAACCAATGTTCAGTACATCATTTGATATACTATTATTCATCCGATTACAATACCATTTATGGCTTAAGAGGTACATGCTGAACTGTGATATTTAACTTTTCACATTTAATCCATTTAAGATCATGACACAACTGCCCAGAACATCCGGCTTTAACATTTCACGTACGATTATTAGGTTAAAAAGAGATGAATACCAGTAGAAACTGCTGCAGAATTAAAAGAATTGAAAGGATTGGTAGAACCAAGGGGTGAAGGCAATAATTCTACTAGTATCATGCTACCGATATATATTCTAGAAATTGAAGAGTTTAGAGTAAGACATTAGTAGCAGAAGAAACTAAATTTCATATCATGAGCTTTATTTGTATTCACTCTACTTCCACTTTTTAATACCTCAAAGTTGTAAATCTTGTATGTCTCATTTAACAAGAAGGCCTCTGTTTTTTGTGGGTTTTTTTAAAATAAGGAACTTGAAACTAAGAAGTGATTCAGAAAAGGAAGCAAGAAAGCCATTGGGTACCACAGGAGGTCAGATTGTAGGTTGAATTGGCCTATTAAAAATGCTAGGAGCTATGGTACCTGCTCTAATACAGCTTCTAGGTTTTCTTTTTCAACTTCCTGCCTCACTGTTCTACTGCATAAGCTCCTATTACAGAGCCACAGGCCTTATTGACTCATTACTGGGGTCAGTCAGGTGTGGAATGGGTTAGGAATTGCTATAATATCTCATTACCTTGCTGTTCTGCTTCATTATCTGACCAGCCTCGGGCAGGGTGCTGGGTATAACGCCATTCTGCAGTGCAGGAAGAGACAGCTTAATTTTAACAATCTTAACAACCCATAAAGAGAATATTCTAGAAATTAAGGCACATAAACAAACAAGGATATCTCATCTGCTACACACTTACTTCCAAAGCTAAAATGCGGTTACAGTTTTCAAGTTAAATTGCCAAGAGTGTGGGAAGGGGATTCACTGTCACAGTGAGCATTTTGAAGTATAGTTGTTGGTTGAGATCAACCTGCAGATTTCTTTCACCTGTAGGCTCAGGAGAAGTTTTTTCTTGGTCGAAGTTGGCAGGGACCTAGCACCAGGGGACTGAACCATGCCACATTGCTGGGTCCATTGTCCTCTTATTCGCAATTCAATTTCTGGCATCTAGTTTAGTATTCCCTCATGGTAATTATACTCCCAACTCTATCTGCTGTCAATGCAGTCTCAAAATGCATTGGAAGCCCAGGGCACTAAAATCTAAGGGAAAGTTGCTTGCAATCCCATTTGGAATAGGGGGATATCAACTGATGTTATATCATGAGCTTTATTTTTATCCACTTTTACTTTCTTCTATGTCAATTGAAATTAGGTTTTTTACATTAAAAATAATATGACTACTATGACAAAAACTAACAGCTGATTTTATACATATTGGAGTTTATGGTAATTAAACTTTTAGATTTATTTTAGCACTATTTCACTTGTAATTTATTAACTGTTTAGGAGCTTATTTGTTTCATGACTGTCTCCTCCCAGACATGGTACAGTCTTTGAGGGTAAAGACCTAGTCTCTCTTAACATCGTAGATTCTTCCTAGATGATGGTTGTAAGAATGGACAATCCTCCATGGTGATTTGATATCAGTGCACATTTTAGCTTCTTTCCTCATCTTTCTGCTACTGCTGTTAGGTGCAATTTGAATCTACTATTACTATTTTTACTTTTCTATAAGTGGGGCATTAATGTGCCTGGGTGCATTGTTGTGACCAGGGGTGGATTCCATCAGGAAGTGGCACACTCATGTCCCAGAGGCCTCTTTGGACACTTAAATAATTATGACATCAGAGGGAGCCATTGGGTAGATCACTAGACTGGAAGCCAAAGGCCTCTTATGTTGCTACACTATCTTACAATGTCATATAAGTTCTCTGAACCTCTGTTTCTCGTTGAAAGGAAAAGAGATGAAATGCCTTTTGTACTTGTGTTCTTTTTGAAGCTAGAATGTGAAAACAACCATGGTTATACTTTGCATATAAATACAAATTCAGTTCATGCTGAATCTGATATCCATAAAAATAAATGGTTGTCAGATACAGTTCAGATATATCAGATAACAAGTGTTGTTCTTCAGGCCTGACCCCTACTGCAAGTTTTTGAGTCTTCCAACTGGGCCACCTATTCCTTTGCTCACTCATACACATCTCAAGCGCACTTTCGTATTTCTGAACTTAGACTATGGTAGCAACTTGTAACATTGAAAACACTCACATCATCTTGCAGAAGTCTTATGAGAAAGTGTAAAATGTGAAGTAATCTGCAATATGTGGGTGCCTAGGAATTCTGCAATCTTTGGATGGAAAAGGCTTTGGAATTCCCAGACTTTCCACTCAAACCATCTTTCCTGATCAAGAAATTTTATGGAAATCACCTCACGTGGCCAGATTGGCTAGTGAGGATTGAGGACCTGTCCTTCATGCTTCTCTAGGTGTAGCCAAAAAGTGAATCATGGGCAGAGGCCAGAAGGATATGGATGCAATGGTAGGAATCATAGGAAAATAACTACACTATTTTTTAAATGAGCCTTTTAAATGTTACCGAGGAACAATACCCTAACTCAATTATAAAGTAACAATTGAGGAAGATTCTGGAATTCTCTAATTTGGCCATATTCTGCAATTTCTGTATCTAAAAATAATAAAACAATGGTGTCGGGTAGGCTCACATGATGTCTTTTAAGTGATTGAGTCTTATTTTGATTATGCAGAGTGTAGCAATATTCCTGACAATTTGTTCACTCCACTAGTATTCAGAGTCATATTCAAAAATATTTTTTCTTCGTGAAATATTGCCACAGATAATTGAACTTTCTGGTGATTTTCAGTCATGGGATTTGCACTCCACCATCATTTCAGTGGACACCTGGTGACTGCAGCTCTGCTAGTGTGATGTTCTTCATGTTAAGTCCTTGGTTAATGCTTTATTTTTATCCACAGTTCTTCCTACTCACTGCCATTTGGCCTTCATTAAAAAGGCTGAAAACCTGCCTACCACTTCTGCTGCTGCATCTGGCCTCATGGCTAATCTATGAATAATAGTAATTAGCATCTGTGCAGGATGATTTTTATTCACAGAGTTTTGAGACATTAATTAGTGTTATAACATCCTTAAGAGGTAAGTAATTATAATTCTCACACTTTTTACAGAGGAAAAAACTGAGACACAGCTGGGTTAACTCACATGTCTAAACTCATGCCCAAGAAGGCAAAGAGTAGACAGGACCTGGGGTGCACACTGCTGCTCTCTGCCTGATGCCACTAAGCTGTCTGTCTGCCAATGTGCTTGCTGCCTCACACTCTCAGGCCTCCCGCATGGCCCCAAACCCTTATTTTAGTTTTCAGAGTGGGGGCCTTGAGTAGAATCTGATAAAAAAGGGCATATTTTCTGAGAAATCAGGCTGGGAAGTCAGCATGGGTTTTCCTCGTGGAGGGTTCTAGGGGAAGTGAGAAGTCCCCTTGTGAAATCATTTGAAATGAATTGAAGACATATAGGATGTTTGTCAGCCATTTATCTTCCTCTTACCATTATTAGTAAACATGACTCCATGATTTCTACCTTACACTCTAATATAGAAGTGAGTTAGTAAAAATAAGTGGCAACTAAACATGTCTACATTAGACCTCATACCTTAATGAACTATAATACAGCTAGTACTAAAATAGAATTTTTCAAAATTATTTGGCTTTTAATTTATGATGTCATAGCTTTCCACATGATGCATAGAGCCTGGGTACTATCCCATGAATAACCTTGGGTATCTCTTTAGCTAGGTATTATTTTTAAGTTAATGTTTATTGACAAATCTTAGATGTTTCCATTTTGTGTGTGTGCATTGCTCGTGTACTTATGTACGGATTAGAGACATAATTTCTTAAAACTATTCCATTTTTCATAATTTTGAAACTACTTTTTTAACATTTTACATTAGATGATAAAATGTAAATTATGTCTTCAAATTATTGCTTGAAAAGCAAGAGTTGTTTATTTTGAACAAAATTGGAAAGGTTTTTAGAAGGCACGAGGTACTTGATTGACCTCTGTAGTTACTTTTATGGAGCCACAAGATTAGGAGCAACTGAACACCCTCTGCTGATACTTCATGTCCTTCTTTTCTCTCTGAAGTGAGACAGAAGTGAGAACTCATGCTGCAGCTGACTGGTTCCCTCTGCAGACCTGTTGGTCAATTTGGTTTCATTTGGGAGAGAAGTAGAAATTGATCCTGTACATTTTATTTAAGTCTAGACTCCAGGTTAAGAAGAAGCAATGTTGTCACTTTAGACAAGAATATCTTCAGATGAAATATGGAATTATGTGATTTTTGAATCTATATGTACTCCATTTGGTCATGAAACAACCCAGGGAGCTAGGTTATGTACTACTATATTGCAAAACCAAATCAAGAAATGTCCTGAGGTGAAAAAATTGGCACATTTTAAAAAGCCAGTAGAGAAGGAAAGTTATCAATTACATTTAAAAGCATTGAATTTTGTTAATTATACCTGTAAAATGAGAGTTGAAACTGCTATTCTCTTCATTCTCAGTGCTGCAGCTTAATTTACGTCTTTCTTCCCTTCAACTTATTCCCTTTGTTGTTCAAGTTAATGAATTGAGCCAGTCCTTCTTTACAGAAAAAAATCTCCTGTAACACAAATAGGATCATGTCATTCGCTCTCCTCTGTCAACTCCTCCAGTGATTCCTGGGAGCCTAAAATAGATTTAAGATTTCATAGCATGGATTTATAGGTTCTTCACCATGTGGTTTCTATATATTCTAAAATTTCCTACTGAATATTTGGATTCATCCAGGCCTGCTGCATTGGTATAATTTTATTTGGCTGAGAAAGGCATTTCACACTTCTGTACCTTGGTATGTCACAGTGCTCTCATGGGAACATCGTTCTCTTCTCTGTCTGCTAAATAAAATCCTGCTCTTCAAGATGCTCCATCATGGTTATTTTAGAAGCACATTTTCTACCATTCCCCACAAATGGCAGTTAGTTGTTTCTGCCCCATGCTTCAACAGTGCCTCAAACAAATCTCTTCATACATATCAGATTCTATTGTAATTGCTTTAAGGGCAGAAACAATTCTTCTTTGTTTGCAAAGCACGTAATTATGCTCAATAATTATTTGGTGAGCTATTATTTCATCATTCCTATGTAGTTCTTCCTCTGCAAATAGTAGTGTTGAAATACAGTTCCTTACTGTCATGTGTTATTAGACATTTTAATGGAGTCTCAGTTGTCTCGCCTGAAAAAACTTGTGAAAATTGTAATTATTCACTTCACAAAGATAGTATGTAGATTAATCAGTAGATTCAAAGTGTTCTGAAAATGTAGGGCATATTGTTCAGGTGTCAAGTTCTATTACCTAAGATCAGCAGTGAGGCTTTCTAAATGTCAAGAGGAAAGTTTGAGAACCTGCTGCCACAGAAAATCTATAAGAAGGTGTGAGCTAGGTGTGAAGTTTCCTCTTAAGTAATTTCACTTCTGAATCTTCACATTGATGACTGAAAATTAAGTTTATAGGAATAAGATGTAAGAGTAAATGGAGTGTTCAGTGTTCCGTAGACATATATAACAGTGCATTTATAGGAACACGCATGGTGTATATGTATATTTTCATGTGTACTTAAGTACATATGGTATATATGTAAAAAATTATGGTGCACATACATAAAATTATTTTACACATCTACAGGTAGATGAAGAGAGAGAAAGAGAAGAGAGATAGTTACTTGTTTTTGGTAAACCTGCTGAAGTTTAGGAAGAGTTTGGGTCACACTTCCAATTGATGAGCACTGAAGTTTTTCTTTTATCATTTAGAAATATTTGGCTGTATGTTACAATGTCTGGTGGCTTTTTTTTTTTTTGTACTTTAAGTTCAGGGATATATGTGCAGAATGTGCAGATTTGTTACATAGGTATACACGTGCCATGGTGGTTTGCTGCAACCATCAACCCATCATCTACATTAGGTATTTCTCCTAATGCTACCCCTCCCCTAGTCCCCCACCCCCTGATAGACCCCAGTGTGTGATGTTCCCCTCCCTGTGTCCATTATGTTCTCATTGTTCAACTACCACTTATGAGTGGGAACATGTGGTGTTTGGTTTTCTGTACCTGTGTTACTTTGCTGAGAATGATGGTTTCCAGCTTCATCCATGTCCCTTCAAAGGACATGAACTCACATTTTTTATGGCTGCATAGTATTCCATGTGTATATGTGCCACATTTTCTTTAGGTAGTCTAACATTGCTGGGGATTTGGGTTGGTTCCAAGTCTTTGTCATTGTGAAGAGTGCTGCAATAAACATACGTGTGCAGGTGTCTTTATAGTAAGATAACTTATAATCCTTTGGGTAGATACCCAGTAATGAGATTGCTAGATCAAATGGTATTTCTGGTTCTAGACCCTTGAGGAATCGCCACACTGTCTTCACAATGGTTGAACTAATTTATACTCTCAGCAACAGTGTAAAAGCATTCCTATTTCTCTATATCCTTTCCAGCATCTGTTGTTTCCTGACTTTTTAATGATTGCCATTCTAATTGGCATGAGATGGTATCTCATTGTGGTTTTGATTTGCATTTTTCTAATGACCAGTGATGATGAACTTTTCTTCATATGTTTGTTGGCCACATAAATGTCTTCTTTTGAGAAGTGTCTGTTCATATCCTTCGCCCACTTTTTGGTGGGGTTGTTTGTTTTTCTCTTGTGAATTTGTTTAAGTTCCTTGTAGATTCTGGATGTTAGCCCTTTGTCAGATAGATAGATTGCAAAAATTTTCTCCCATTCTGTAGGTTGCCTGTTCACTCTGATGATAGTTTCTTTTGCTTTGCAGAAGCTCTTTAGTTTAATTAGATCCCATTTGTCAATTTTGGCTTTTGTTGCCATTGTTCTTGGTGTTTTAGTCATGAAATCTTTGCCCATGCCTATGTCCTGAATGGTATTGCCTAGGTTTTCTTCTAGGGTTTTTATGGTTTTAGGTCTTACGTTTAAGTCTTTAATCCATCTTTAATTAATTTTTGTATAAGGTATAAGGAAGGGATTCAGTTTCAGCTTTCTACATATGGCTAGCCGGTTTTCCCAACACCATTTATTAAATAGGGAATCCTTTCCCCATTGCTTGTTTTTGTCAGGTTTGTCAAAGACCAGATGGTTGTAGATGTGTGGCATTATTTCTGAGGCCTCTGTTCTGTTCCATTGGTCTATATGTCTGTTTTGGTAGCAGTACCATGCTGTTTTTGTTACTGTAGCTTTGTAGTACAGTTTGAAGTCAGGTAGCATGAAGCCTCCAGCTTTGTTCTTTTTGCTTAGGATTGTCTTGGCTATACAGGCTCTTTTTTGGTCCCATATGAAATTTAAATTAGTTTTTTCCAATTCTGTGAAGACAGTCAATGGTAGCTTGATGGGGATAGCATTGATTCTATAAATCACTTTGGGCAGTATGGCCATTTTGACGATATTGATTCTTCCTATCCATGAGCATGGAATGTCTTTCCATTTGTTTGTGTCCTCTTATTTCCTTGAACAGTGGTTTGTAGTCCTTGAAGAAGTTCTTCACATCCCTTGTAAGTGGTATTCCGAGGTATTTTATTCTCTTTGTAGCAATTGTGAATGGGAGTTCACTCATGATTTGGCTCTCTGTTTGTCTATTATTGGTGTATAGGAATGCTTGAGATTTTTGCACATTGATTTTGCATCCTGAGACTTTGCTGAAGTTACTTATCAGCTTAAGGAGATTTGAAGTTGAGACGGTGGGGTTTTCTAAATATACAATCATGTTATCTACAAACAGAGAAAATTTGACTTCCTCTCTTCCTGTATGAATACCCTTTATTTCTTTCTCTTGCCTGATTGCCCTGGCCAGAACTTCCAACACTACGTTGAATAGGAGTGGTGAGAGAGGACATCTTTGTCTTGTGTCAGTTTTCAAAGGGAATGCTTCCAGCTTTTGCCTACGCAGTATGATATTGGCTGTGGGTTTGTCATAAATAGCTTTTATTATTTTGAGATATGTTCCATCAATAGTTAGTTTATTGAGAGTTTTTAGCATGAAGGGTGTTGAATTTTATAGAAGGCCTTTTCTGCATCTATTGAGATAATCACGTGGTTTTTGTCATTGATTCTGTTTATGTGATGGATTATTTTTATTGATTTGCATATGTTGAAACAGCCTTGCATCCCAGAGATGAAGCCTACTTGATCGTGGTGGATAAGCTTTTTGATGTGCAGCTGGATTTGGTTTGCCAGTATTTTATTGAGGATTTTCACATCAATGATAATCAGGGATATTGGCCTAAATTTTTGTTGTTGTTGTTGTGTCTCTGCTGGTTTTGGTATCGGGATGATGCTGGCCTCATAAAATGAGTTAGGGAGGAGTTCCTCTTTTTCTATTGTTTGGAATAGTTTTAGGAGGAATAGTACCAGCTCCTCTTTGTACCTCTGGTAGAATTCGGCTGTGAATCCATCTGGTCCTGGGCTTTTTTTGATTGGTAGGCTTTTAAATACTGCCTCAATTTCAGAACTTGTTATTGGTCTATTCAGGGATTCGACTTCTTCCTGGTTTAGTCTTGGGAAGGTGTATGTGTCCAGGAATTTATCCATTTCTTCTTGACTTTATAGTTTATTTGCATAGAGGTGTTTATAGTATTCTCTGATGGTAGTTTGTATTTCTGTGGGATCAGTGGTGATATCCTGTTTATCATTTTTTATTGCGTCTATTTGATTCTTCTCTTTTTTCTTCTTTATTAGTCTGGCTAGTGATCTATTTTGTTAATCTTCAAAAGACCAGCTCCTGGATTCATTGATTTTTTTGAAGGATTTTTCATGTGTCTCTCTCCTTCAGTTCTGCTCTGATCTTAGTGATTTCTTGTCTTCTATTAGCTTTTGAATTTGTTTGCTCTTGCCTATCTGGTTCTTTTAATTATGATGTTAGGGAGTAGATTTTAGATCTTTCTCACTTTCTCCTGTGGGCATTTAGTGCTATACCTTTCCCTCTAAACACTGCTTTAGCTGTGTCCCAGATATTCTGATACATTGTGTCTTTGTTCTCATTGGTTTCAAAGAACTTGTTTATTTCTGCCTTAATTTCATTATTTACCTAGTAGTCATTCAGTAGCAGATTGTTCAGTTTCCAAGTAGTTGCGCGGTTTTGAGTGAGTTTCTTAGTCCTGAGTTCTAATTTGATTGCACTGTGGTCTGAGAGACTGTCTGTTATGATTTCTGTTCTTTTGCATTTGCTGAGGAGTGTTTTACTTCCAATTATGTGGTCAATTTTAGAATAAGTGCGATGTGGGAGCACTGAAGTTTTATGTCAACTCTTTTCAAGCCACAGTATATATCTTCTTGACTTCAGAATTAACTGTACATTAATCAGTTTTTCCTTGGTTCATGGTGACTTCTACATTTGCTGACTGTGAATTTTTGGTAATACAAATATAGGTGTATATACTTTAAATTTCTATAAGACTTTACAACCTTTAAAATTATTTAAAATACGTTTGAGATAAATCCCTGTTTTCTGACACTATCTGGACCAATGATGGGCTGGTTAGTTGAAAAAAGGATCATAAAAAGTCCTTTACATAGAAAACTTAAAAATGATGTATGCTTAATGTACTGCATTTTTATGTAAATTGATTATAAAAATCAGCATTAATTTCTAAATATTTTAATATTGTGCTAAGGCCTTTTTAAAAATTCTGAATGCCCTGCTTTTATTCCATCTTCTTGCCTAAACTTCATCTGAAATTCCTTATATATAACTTCCTCATTTAGTTTCTTTAAAGTAGAACAAGACTGTAAAGATACTTGTGGAGCCAATAAAGCACAAATTTCTTTTATATATTTTATGATCCCTCTCAATTTTTTAGTTTTCTCAAGATGACTGATTTGAAAATGAATTTAAATAGGTTCACATTTATGAAGTCTTTTCAAAGGATCCAGCTGAGTGTTCATAGAAACAACTCTTTTTTCTACATACCTATTTCCATAAATGTATATAATAATTAATTCAAATATATATTTACAATGCCAAGAGCCAGCACCATAATGTACTCATTAGTGGGCACCTGGTAAGCATGCAACTCAAGTGTTGGGAGCAGATTACCCAGGCTTCCTAGGGACCTACCATCATAGCATCAGTTGGTATATTCTGCAGAAAGACAGGAAGATACTGGTTATCTGATAATGCAGAGTTTCTTCTCTCATTACACATGAAAATAGTCTGTTAGGTAAACTTTGGGGAAGTACATTCTTTTGCCATCATAGTAAGTGGACATCCCCATTTATGCAGCTAACAATTGGATCTTTTGCAATTCAAGCCTGTATTCCTTGAGTTATGGTCCAGTTTCTCATTCACGAGTTTTTTTTTTTTTTTTTTTTGTTTTTTTTTTTTTTGAGATGGAGTCTTGCTCTGTCACCCAGGCTGGAGTGCAATGGCACAATCTCAGCTTACTGCAACCTCCACCTCCTGGGTTCAAGCGATTCTCCTGCCTCAGCCTCCCAAGTAGCTGGGACTACAGGCGCATGCCACCATACCCAGCTAATTTTTTTTTTTTTTTGTATTTTTAGTAGAGATAGGGTTTCACCATGTTAGCCAGGATGGTCATGATCCCCTGACCTCGTGATCCACCCACCTCGTCCTCCCAAAGTGCTGGGATTACAGGTGTGAGCCACCATGCCTAGCCAAATGTGTTTTTAAATACTTACCAGTGCCAGACATTGTGCATTGTTTGTGTTTCCATAACAATATGCCACTTTTCACTTTGCAGGTAATATTTTCTGTACAAATTAATTCAATATTGGCATCATTCTCACAGGTGTTGGAGCGTAGGCCTGGATAACTCCAAGACTCCCTCCCACTTGGTGTGTTATAGACTTATAAGTCTGAAAAGGTAGGCAATGGGGCAGATAAAGAATATCACAAGGGTAAAATAGAATATGTAGACATTAAATGTGAGGATTCTAATCATGTGTGTATAAGCAAAGGTGAGATAGATCTAAATCAAAGATCACTGCTGAGAGTACTTTGAGCTAATTATCATATGCCTAAACTCATTTTGCTCTCTCTTTTGAGTGAAAATCACCTCTACCCATGTCATCCTTTGGCAACCTCCAGCTTGACAGACATACTCTTACAACATCAAGAAAGACCATAAATCCTTTCATAGTAATGCATTCTGCCAGATAACTGCTTTTGGGCCATAAATCATATTGTACTTGTCATTATTGTATAGTTTTTATTACTAGTTAGATCATTTAAAATAAATTAGGTTCAAATGGTGATACTGAATTTTTATCATCTTCTTAATGTAGAAATGGATAAAGGAATACAATATGGAGATGCATCTTGCCCCAATTTTTAAACAAACAATAGGGCTGGTATGAGATGGTGTTAGATTATTCAGGGCTGCACTTGTTAAATGACTATGCCTTGAGGAGGAAGAAAAGAATCAGCAGCCTTCTCTGTTTGTGATACTTCTCAGCATGACTTCTTCCCTTCTTAAAACAGTTGGACAGGTCCATAGATTTTTGTTTTACTGTGTAGTTGCTTTGTCTTTACAACAGTCTAAGATAATTGATGTTTGTTTTTTAAAAAATAAAAGTTTACCATAATGGTCGCAATAACATGCCTGGAATACACAGCTATACTGTTTTCAATACCATGTTATACTCATAGTTGAGGCTAGAGAAACTGCAGAAATACATGCTTTAAATATGGGTCATTTCCCTGATTCAAGAAAGAAATGCATCAGCAATTTAAATGCAAGGAAAATGTTCCAGCTCCGACTTGTGATCAACGTGAAGCCATAGCTCTAGATCATGTGTCTGTGATGCCATTGTCCACAGGACCTGTAGTTTCAGTCCCAGTTGTTAGTTTCATTTCAATGCCGTGAGTCAATGAGCTGACGTGGCATCGCCTCAGTTGGCAGTTCTAAGAGGTGAGCATTCCTGACAAGGCTCCAATCAGATAAGGAGCAATATAACCAGCTAGTGATGCCAGGTCATCCTGAGAAGGAACAGAGAATGCTGCAGTGGTTAGAATTAAAACCACTT
This sequence comes from Homo sapiens, assembly GCF_000001405.40. NCBI lineage: Eukaryota > Metazoa > Chordata > Mammalia > Primates > Hominidae > Homo > Homo sapiens. The sequence continues at coordinate 209,368,957 of NC_000002.12, read as the reverse complement.
TATTATGATTAACAAGTAAAAATCATTTGTAACTTTGAAACTTCTTTTAGACACCAAAAAGAGAAAAAAAAACTTTACTATTAAATGCTTGCAAGGCAGTTTCAAATACATAAGAAGTCTTGTCAGGAAAAATAATGTTTTACATAATAGATTGAAATATTTCTTTTTTATAGGTATTCAAGATTCAGGTGCTGAATAGAGCTTTATTAAGTATTTTAAGCCATAGACCACTGAAGCATGGAAATACTGGTCCTAAGCAAAATTGCACAGGAGTAAAGCTTATATTTGGGCATTACTCTCTCTCTTTTTCTGCAGTCTTTTATTTGCACTTCTGTCTTGGTATGCAATAAATCACTGGTAGGGCAGGCTAGACCCGATGTCCAAACTCTTTACAGGCTGTGGTGCTAGTCCTCCTATGGAATGCTCCTTCAAAGGACGCATTGTCAAACAATTGATAGAGAGGGGAGTGATGATAATACTCAAGTTCTGTTTCCAGATTCTTTAAGAATGAGAACAATGCTGAAATTTGAAGAAAAGCAAGGCATTATAAATGCTGAACAAAAGCTCCTCATAGGTGTTAGAGGAGCCAAATTTGGATCTTGCTACTCAAAACGGCAATTAGACCTATCCTCACAGAACACACATGACAATAATAGCAAATACTAACATGAGCAGTCAGATACGGAGTCAGGTGATTTCATTTATTAGCTCATTTAATCTTTAAAAGCACTCATGATGTAGGTATTATTATTATCGCGCTTTGCAGATGGGGGAATTGAGATATGGAGTGGAAAAATATCTTGCCCAAGTTCAAATGACTGGTAACAGCTGGAGCTGGGATATAAATTCAGGCTAGAGCCTGAATTTAGCTCTGTTAAATTCAAATATGGCACAATGCACAATGCTCTTTAGGTTAAAAGACACCAAACATGTATTAAAATATTGAACATGCTGTGGCAGAGACTGTGAAATGCCTACCGGATACTCACTCAAACTTTCTTCCTTAGTATGACTTCTGATTTAATTTTGGGTTTTATAGTGCCTAGTTAAAAGACTGTATTTCCCAGCCACTCTTGGAGTTAGCGGAGAATAAAGAAATACTACCAGAATTTGTTAGGGAGGAAGTCTGAGATACCTTTCAGAGGGGTCGGGCAGAGAGTTGCCGTACATAGTTTCTGTCCATCACTGCTCCCTTTCTGCTTCCTTCCTGCATATAATAGCTGGATAACTCTAGCTGTTACCTGGGACCACAAAGAAGCCTTGAGGATATAAGTCATCTGCTAAGGGTAGGGAATCAGAAGGATAAGGCACTGGTTCCTTGATGACAAGTGGAGTCACCACTGCTACCATGGTTGTTTTACTTTAGCTTTTAAAATTAAATGCAGAGAAATGAAGTTCTGTCTTATTAAAGCTAGTTATTTATGGTTTCTTACTAGCAGCTGACATTAGTCATAAAGAATTAAGTTAAAAAATTTTATATTGAAGCACACAAAGGTTTTCAATGTGCTCTTAATGCTAACTACTGTGAGGAAGGTGGGAAGAGAGGTCATAAGAAATTATTATATATGATTCTGCTACTCAAGATGCACATGTTCTTGTGGTAGAGATAAAATAAACATACAAAACAAGATTGAATTCTTAATAGTGTTTTGTAAATTTGGTAGAATCTGAAAACTGAGAGAAGAGAGTGACTCATAATGGCTGAAATAGTTAGGTAATGCTTCCTGTAAATGGAGAGATGTGGACTGCATTTTGGGGAATGGGAAAAGTTTGACGAAGAAAGGCAAGAAGGTGGGTAGACCATTCTAGAAAAGGTGTAAGATACTAGTACAGTTACAGGAGTGTTTTTATGGGGCTGTGGAAAGTGTGGTGGGATTAGAACAGTGCTAAACAAAATAATGTAAAAGCTCTTTATTTATTTATCTATTTTTTTGAGATGGAGTCTCACTCTATCTCCCAGGCTGGAGTGCAGGTATGTGATCTCAGCTCACTGCAACCTCTGCTGCCTGGGTTCAAGCAATTTTCCTGCCTCAGCCTCCCAAGTAGCTGAGATTACATGCGCCTGCCACCACACGCTGCTAATCTTTGTATTTTTAGTAGAGACAGGGTTTCACCATTTTGGCCAGGCTGGTTTTGAACGCCTAACGTCATGATCCATCCGCCACAGCCTCCCAAAGTGCTAGGATTACAGGTGTGAGCCACCGCGCCTGGAACAACTTTTCTTGTTATATTTGGCTTAAAATATTTCAATAGCCATTTAATTTACATCCCAGTTTCTAACCTCTTCCATCTTCAAAGTAATTTTATATATTACTCCTAAAGTATTTTTTCTAAATTACAAATTAATTCACATTTCTCTCATGCTTAAAATTATTTATTAAATTTCTGTTGCATACAGAAAATAGTCCAAGCTCATTGTTTTGGTTTTTGTAAGATGACCTCTGTTTATCTCTGCAAATCACTCCTCACCCCGCCCATTTCTTCTAATAAAGAACGAACTACTTCAAAATATGCTCTGCCATATTCACAAAGTTATGCCTTTAAACATGCTATGACTTCTCCCTGGAATGTCCTCGTCCTCATGTCTACCAAGTAAACACCTTTGTCTTTCAATTCCCAGTTCAGATATCACCTATCACCTCTTTGCTTAAACTCAGTAAAGTTAACCTATTTGTGTGTGTGTGTGTGTGTGTGTGTGTGTGTGTATGTGTGTAATACGTATCTTTAATACAAAATGTATTAATTTTTAAAAATTTTTAATATTTTAAAATAAGCATTTATTGGTTTAATAAATGCATACAATAGGATAAAAAAATCAATGAGAAACTTTCTTCCAAAGATAAAAAAGAGGACGGGCGCCGCGGCTCACGCCTGTAATCCCAGCACTTTGGGAGGCAGAGGCAGGAGGTCGGGAGTTCAAGACCAGCCTGACCAACATGGAGAAACCTCGTCTCTACTAAAAATACAAAATTAGCCGGGCGTGGTGGCGCATGCCTGTAATCCCAGGTACTTGGGAGACTGAGGCAGGAAAATCACTTGAACCCAGGAGGCAGAGGCTGCAGTGAGCCAAGGTCGTGCCACTGCACTCCAGCCTGGGCAACAAGAGCGTAACTCCATCTCAATAAATAAATACATACATAAATAAATTAGAATAAAAATAAAATACAACCAAATCAGGAATACAAGGTATCTTCTTTTAAACTGTGTAATATAATAGCTGAAGTTGGATGAAAATATTGTTTTAAGCTTCTCATAGAAGACATTTTTGAGATTCAGTATATCCAAGGGATATGCCTGTATCAAAATATGCCATGCACCCCATAAATATATATACCCACTATGTACCCACAAAAATAAAAAATAAAATAGCAAGTGCAATTAGAAAAAAAGCCAGATGCTTAAGAACTATATAAATTTCCATTGTTCTGAAAGAAATTTTCCCCAACAATCTTCATAATAAGCTATTTCCTGATATAATGATCAATTGCATTCAGGATTGATATTCAGCTAGTATGCATTAGTACAGGCATCCTGGTTGTTAAAATGTTGAAATATCATACCTTCTTACTGATTGGTAAATAGCCACCGCTTTGAATGCTTTCTCTTTACCCATTTCTGCTGTGGACCCTCTCTCAGAAGTCTCTGCTAATCTTTATCCTCTCCCTCCAGGAGCCAGTGATGAAAACTGGTGCAGCAGGGGTGGGGGAATCTTCAATACCTGCTGCAATACTCTGGGGCTGTTTCTCCTGATTGGTCAGTACCAGTGCCTCCTTACTTGTTAAATACAGCATGTGGCCTATTATCCCTGATTATTATTTTTTTTTTAATAAGACATGGTCTCATTCTGTTGTGCAGGCTGGAGTGCAGTGGTGATCATAGCTCACTGCAGCCTTGAACTCCTGGGCTCAAGTCATCCTCCTGCTTCAGCCTCCCTAGTAGCTGGGACTACTGTTGCATACAGAAAATCGTCCAAGCTCATTGTTTTGGTTTTCGTAAGATGACCTTTGTTTATCGCTGCAAATCTTGTGCCACCACATCCAGCTAATTATTAAATTTTTTTTGTAGAGACAGGGTCTCTCTATGTTGCCCAGACTGCTCTTGAGCTCCTGGCTTCAAGTGATCCTTTCACCCTGTCCTCCCAAAGTGCTGGGATTATAGGTGTGAACCACTGTGCGCAGCCTCTTCCCCATTTAAAACAATATACTTCTTGGAACTTAACATACTTCATTCCTGGCTTTACATATCCACTTGGGTTTCTGACAGGAACCTCAAACTTCACATCATAAATGAAGTGTTTTAAAAAGCTGAATGAGTAGTTAAATGTTGAGTAGTTAAGTATTGAGTTTTATGTATTCTCCCTAGTAGCTTTCTCAACCCAAGCTGATGGTCTTATGTCGAAGTATTATATAATTTATTAAAAGCAAATTTAGGAAGACCAAAGAATTTATACTTCTAGATAAACAGAATAACCACTTATTATTCTGGCAATGTCCCAAATAAGATTATTTGTCACAGTAAAAATTTTAATGAGAATTAGCAACAAAATGTTTCAGATTTAAATTTGGCGACAAGAGCAGCTGTTTTGTGTTGCTAACTAAGGACAGAACAGGCGTTGATAATATGCAGGTTGAGGAGACAGATCAAAACTTTGAGTGAAATTGGAGATGCCAATCAGGACAGTTATCTGGACAGATGGCCACTTCCTCTCAGTACTGAGGTAGCAGAGGATTTTTCTTCAGAAAATAGTTCTGGGTCCATGCCAAATTTGAAAGAAAGAAAAAAAAGAGCACCCAAGTGCATTTGTACACCAGAAATCGTGACCGTGCTATGCCATTATGAGGAATTAACAAAGCATGTTTAACTAACTCTCTTGATGATCATATTTTTTGAATTTTAAATCAACTTTATTAAGACATCATCTAAATACAATAAAAAAGAGCTCATTTTAAGTGTACAGTTCAGAAAGTTCTGATAAATGTAGTTGCCCATGGAGTCCATCTACCGTCAAGGTATGTAATATATTCATCACATCCAAATAGTTACTCCATAGTCAATTTCTTTCTGGTCAATAACCGCACCCCCTCCCAGTACCATAAGCCCCAGGCAACCACTTATATGGTATCTATCATTATAGATTAGTTCTGCTTATTCTATAATTTCTTATTAATAGAATTGGTCAATAATTACTTTTTGGTGTTTGTCTCATTTTCTCAGCATAATATTTATGATATTCATCCATATTATAGTCTATTTTTTATTAGTGAATAGTATTCCATTGTATAACTGTAACAGTATATTTATTCTTTTTACTGTTAATAGGCAGTAGAGTGATTCATGGACATTAGAGTTTGATTCATGTTAGTAATGTTGCTATAGAAATTTATTTGTTTATAAAAATTTGTGTGAGCATACCTAAATTAAATGTTTTAGATTTTATTTTAACTTTTTTTAGACTTATAGAAAAACTGCAATAATTCCAATTTACTCCTTACCCAAATTCCCCTAGTGTTAGCATCTTACATAACTATGGTACATTTATCAAAACTAAGAATTTTATATGGATGTACTACTACTGATTATAGACTTTATTTGAAGTTCCCCAGTTTCGCCACTAATGTCTTTTTTGATCCAGAACTCAGTCCTGGGTACCACATTTCATTTAGTTGTCATGTCTCTTTAGTCTCCTCTGATCTATGACAGTTTCTTAGCCTTTTCTCACCTTTTATTACCTTGACACATTAAAGAATAGTGGTCAAGTATTTAGTAGAATGTCCCTCAATTGGGTTTACCTGATTTTTTAAATGGTTAGCATGAGGATATTAATTTTGTGAAAAAATATAATGGAAGTGATGTGTCCTTTTTAGTGATAACAAGCCAAGATGATAAATATCTGCAGTAAAGCTATGCACTAATTGTCAATCATAAAGCGTTTTGTGATATATATATCAGAGATACATGATATATAGCAGTATATCTTAGGACAGGTGATGTTAATCTTGATCCCTTGGTTAAGGTGGTGCCTGCCAGGTTTCTTAATAAAAATGAAGTAATTATTTTTAGCTTTTTAAACTCTAGTCATTAGCAATGAGCCACTAAGTCCCAAATAAGATTATTTGTCACAGTCAAAATTTTAATGAGAATTAGCAACAAAGTGTTTAAGATTTTAATTTAGTGACAGGAGCAGCTGTTTTGTGTTGCTAAAGACAGATCCGCAGGCATTGATAACATGCAGGTTGAGGAGAGGGATCAAAACTTTCAGTGAAACTAGAGGAGCCAATCACTTGGTTAAGGTGGCGCCTGCCAGGTTTCTTAATAAAAATGAAGTCATTATTTTTCTCTTTTTAAATGCAAGTCATTCGCAATGAGCTTTTTTGTTTTTAGCCTCCTAGTATCAAGTCAAAACCCTGTACCCCTCTTACTTTTGGCAGCTTCTTTCTTTCCTAATACCACCATTGCTAATCACAAGTCTACTGGTTACTAACTCTGTGGTATTGGACAAATTTCAATTACCATTGCACTTACTCCAAAACAAGGATGAATGTCTAGCAAGGATTAAAAGGTAAACATGAAATCATAATTCGTCTTTAGTGGGAAGATATAACATCCTCTTTCATAATGACAAATTTTGGTATTCTGGTAGTAATCTGTTCTGGTTATTGTGTTCGCTTTAATTCTCACAAGTATTTTGCATGAGAAACCATTAAAGAAATATGAGATACTTATATCCATCTTTATTTGGAATCTATAATTAGAAATTACTTTATGCTAGAGAAATACAGATATAATAAAAATATAATACATGACAAAAATTCCATATTCTTTTACTAAGTACCCAAGGAACTTGGAGAAATTATGTTTTAGGAAATCAGGAAGTAATCTGTATTAACCTAGATATAATAATTTGGAATTATAGAGCAAAATTAATATAACTATATATAAGATTTTTGGAACTAATAATATTTGTTCTTTAGCAATGGCACTTGACAATGTTTAAATAGCTAACAATTAAAAATGAAATTTAATTTGCCCAAGAAAATCTTATTTGCCCAAAAGGATTAGCATAATTTCTGGTATCTGAGAAATTTTCATAATGTAAAATTTTAAAAGATAAGATTATTAAATAATAAGAAACTGATTTTTCTCAATTTCCATAAAAATGTCATATGGCAAAATTTATGTGCATCAGTACAACTTTGTAGACTCTTAAATAGCACAAATTTATACCAGGTATAGAATATCGTATCTCTGAATTGAGGCAAAATTACTGCCTTCCACAAGAAAGAGATAACACATTTGTATTTTCACTAACATGTCGCAGTAACCAAAGCTTAGGTTTCTATGGAAGCAGGAACATTAATCTGCTAGGTACTGAATAGTAAACCAATTGCCTTATTGTGTTATAGCCGAGATGACAAATATCTGCAGTAAAGCTATGCATTAATTGTCAATCATAAAACATTTTGTGAATAAGCATTTTGGTCAATGTACTAATCTATATCCTAGGGAATACAAAAATCAATAAGACACTCCATTTGTCTACACATAGAATTGCAATACAAGCTTGAAATTGGTGGGGGCCTAATTAACATTTTTGAAAGGCTGCAAGTAAAAGGCAATTTTAAAACTGTATTACACTTCAGTGAAATTAGCAACAAACACAAGCTTAGTGGCCTATTAGGAAAAGGACTTACCCTTGATCTAAGATGCCATTTTTGAATCAAATCATAGACATTTCAATATCAGCACATTGGTGGGCGGGGATGCGACTTAGAAAACATTACAGTAAATACACACAAACACTTTGTTCTCTATCTAATAACAACATGATTTTTTCATATTATCCTAAACCATCTCCTTGTTTAACATCACAAAGTTTATATTTTCTTCATAGTTAAAGTATGTATAAAGATTTTTTTAAATTTACCTCGGCCACTGGGAAGTATGCATATTTAGCATCGCTGGCACATATTGCTTTTCATAACATGATTTTAACCACTAGTACCTTTAGGATTGTTCACAGAATATCCAAGCACAGCAAATAATACAGAGTATTTTTTTGCATTTCTTATTTAGCAGAATCTATCATTTTGTTTTTCCTCTAATTTACTTTAGCATTTCTTGAAGTTAAACAGCTTTTCTGAGAGTTAGCCAGAAGCTTTTGACAGGTACTTTTTAATAACTTAAAATGGTGAGAAAGTTTTTGATTTGTTCTGAGATAATTGTCAATTTTAACTGCCTCAGATTTCTCAGTGTCAAAACAAAGTTGAGTTTTGTCTATTTGTAGGCTTATTTCTGAGCTGTACTTCTGAATTGGTTCTGTAATACAATTGACTATTGCTTTACAAGACGTCTAAATATGGTAATTCTTCCAGTAATGAATATTTACTTCATTTATAGTCAATATATTTGATAAATCTAGGTTCATTTTTCTGCATATGGAAAACTTTTTATTTCAAAGATAGCATATGTGAGTTAATAAATGTCAGAAAAATAAAACAAGAAAGAGGAAGACTTTCTATTGTTCCCTTATACAAAGTCCATTACACACACATATTTTTAAGGAATGATGTGGCTAAGCTTATGCAAAGACAGGTAAATTTGTTGTTCCAGCCAAATGAGTGCATGCATCCAGATGGGGACCCTAAATTATATGAGCAGACTTGGCAACAGTGTTCTGAATAGCTACCTGCACTGGACTGGGGTGCTCATTCTCACAAAAAGAAACTCCATAGAATCTAAATCACTTCCACTAAATCTATAGCCAAAAACCTCAGAAGAAAGACTTGTTGCCTTTGAAGAGGCCATTTCTATTTTTAAGCCTTATTGCTTTTTAAATTATAAAAGCAATAATCTTCATTATAATAAATTCCTACAACACAGAATAAAACGTTAAAAACTCTCATTCCTTTCTTATCAGTCTCTTACCTCAAGGAGGATCACAGTTGGGCATCTTTTAAGGTATTAGTGTATGCAAACATTCTCAATGTGTACACATTCTCACATACATTATGGATTATATCATGTATGTCCATCAGGCTTATTACGTAAAGATCTACCTCATTTTTTGATATTGTTGCAGAATATTTAATTACACAGACATACCATTATTTATTTTACAATTCCCCTATTGTAGATTGTATAGACTGATTCATTTTCTATTTCCTATAACAAACCATGCTGTCATAAAGACTTCTATATAGAAATCTTTGCAAATATGTATTATATTACTATAGGATTCTTAGAGGTAAAGTTTGCTACAAAGAATTGCACATTTACTATTTTGATAAATAATGCCCAAATTGTTTACAAAAACAAGATCGTGTGTATTGATAATCCTTACCAATGTATGCATGATTTTGTATACCTTCACAGATTCCAGTTATTATTAATATATTTATTCTGATTGTATTTATGCATTTAGATATTTAATTACCTGAAATTTATTTCTTATATGGTGTAAGGTGGGACTCAGAATAGTTTTTATTTTCCCAAGTGAACGTCAAGGCCCAGAATTATTTATGCATTGTTAGTCCTTTTTCCAGCAATTGTATTCTCAAATATAGTTTATGTGTTATTAGTGTTCTTAAATGCAAACAGCAAAATCTGCTTCGGCTAGTCTCTACATTAAAGGAATTTGTTTGTGGATGTTAGATAGCTCACAGAATCATTGAGTTGCTGAAGAACAGATTAGAACCAAGCTTCCAGTACACTTTCTGAACCACCATGCACCACAAGCCCAAATAGCAGCCACAACCAACTCAGAACAATGCTGTATCAGCCACACTCAAGTCACCAAAAATAGAAACCTGTTTATTCACATAGGTCAGGTCTGACACAAAGTTTCATGTAGGTTTATTTTATTGTAGGACACTGGCTCATATGCTTGTCCTATAGCTACAATGAAGACTAAAAATACCATATTTCATTAAATCTAAGATGTTATCAATTGTAAGACGCACAATATCTTATGTACCACTAATAAAAATAAAACATTGATCATTTAACTCTGAGACAATGCTTTCAATTAGAATTTTTATTTTCTAATTATTGAAAAGGAGAATATTTGGGTTTATTCAGACAGATTTTTATTACATATTCTTCGGCATATCCAAAAAGGAAATTATAGGCAAAATGATCTGGCTAAGCTTTTCTAAAAGTGGATAGTCCTAGTTTCAAACACAGAAACAGAGGCAATGAAATATTCCCTAAGGAACTTTCTAGGAACATATATAGAAACTTTAAGAGTGACTAGGAGCACTTCATCCAAAGTCACACACTTGAAAATAGGATTCTATCCAAGTAGGGGAAAGAACAGAAAAGTTCCTGGCTGTCTATACCCACTTTTCCAGTCATTCTGTTAGAAATGGCTTATATTGTGTCAATATTCCGTTAAGGGGCAATAACAAAAATTGCTCTCTTCAGACTATGGAAAGAGCTTTATTCAGAATATGGAAAGAAATAATAATTTGGGGATACATCCAGGAGTCTAAATTAGGGCACCACTCATAAGAGGGCTGCCCCTTTTGACTCAGACAACCTTCTAATACAGAAAGTACAGAATTTCACATTTGTAAGCTCTTGGTGAAAAGATTGCGTGAGAAAAAAAGAGCCTTTTATAGATACTAAAAGGTCTACTGAATACAGCATGTGTATGAAAATGGAAAGAAAATGCTCAAGAAGGAAATTGATCAAGTAAATATCCATGAATACCTCTGGGCTGATACTGAGATGGGGGAAAGATGGAGAAGGTTTGATGAGAAACTTTCCTTTTTATTTATTTAATTTGTGTTTGGATTTTTTTTTTTTGCAATGAAAAAGAATCATAATCCGTTCTGTAGCTAAAATATTAATTAACCTTTCTTTAAGGATGTAGATTAGTATTATCAGTGTGTCAGCTGGGGCCTTCCTGCCCCATGAAATCTAGGTATGCTTACCATAAAATGCCAATTCCATGGCTTAAGGAATTGTAATGACTAGATTTCAGGAATATACGCTTCCATAATCTCATGTGCTTCTTTCTCTCCTTATGTGTGATCTGTATTACACTAGGGGGGCTGAGATGAATAGCTCAGTAACTCCTAGGTTCCCTCTGAAGATCCATTCATATAAAAACTGTGAGGACAACACAAAGCTTTATGAAGAGTTCATATGGGAAGTAAGGGAGGAGTGGACATCACCCAATCTAAAAATGCTTATGTATGGTTATGTTTTCCAGGATGCTTTTAGTTGCTCTTCTACTCCAATTTTCACTCTCTCCATATAGCTTCAAGGCTCCTTAAATTCTTTCTCCCTTTCAAATTCCCAATTACCATACTTCTATTGGCCTTTGTTATTTAGCTCCTACTGCCAATTTCCATACGTAAACATTTCAAGGTGTTTTGCAAAACGAAGCAATGAATTTACAGTGATGTTATTCTTAAAGGTGCCAATTATTATTATCTGTAAAGTTATTACTTCTTCCTTTGAAAGAATATATATATACAAATATATATATATTTGTATTTCTTAAACCTTTTCTGATTCAAGGCCCATTACCTCTAGTGTACTTGCAATTTTCTTGTTTGGTGCTTTCCACCTAACCCATAGAGTATCATTTATCCCCTTCCCCAAGGTTTTAACTACACTGGCCTCTACTCCAGCTGGTTCATGAAGGAGCTTTGCTCCTTGTATATTTCAGTATCCAGGCTGATTCATGCTTCCGTGAACTCTCATTCTCCAGTTGCCTCTACTCTTAAAGCGACTGTTCAGTTTTGTTCTGTGGGGAATGCCAAAGCCATTTTCCTCTCTTCTTTATCTCAAATTATCTTCATTTGCTATGATAATTTATGCAATCACCCAGGGCCCTTAGATATGGTGTGCATCCATAAAATATTCTGCACCAAATTGCCTCTGCAGTGACCTACCACAACCAAACCAAATTTTTCAAACTTAATTCAGTAACAACTGCTTGTATGGTTCATTGCAATTGTCTGTGATTTTAAAGTACATGCAGGGGACTATTCAGAAAAGCATAATCTACAATTATTTTAAAAATCCTGATATAAAACTGAATAAAACCAAATGTCAACCAATATAAACATCATCTGCAATTTAAAAAAACTGAAATTGAATAAAACCAAATGTCAATCAATACTGGAATGAATATATATATATATGATACAGTAGAATATTGTACAGTGGAATTTGTACAGTGGAATTTTTACAGTGGAGGAATAAATGATTGTGAACTATATGCAGAGAACTGAATGAATATTGAGTATAATATTGAGTGGAAAAATAAGATGTACATGGTTACTCATTGTATAATTTCATTTATATAAAGTTCAAAAGCATCCAAGTTCAGAAAAACCAAAAACTTAGTACAAATATATGTGGTAGTGTTGCAGGAAAGGGGTCCCAATCTAGACCCCAACAGAGGATTCTTGGATCTAATGCAAGAAAGAATTTAGGGCAACTCCACAGGGTCAAGTGAAAGCAAATTTATTAGAAAAGTAAAGGAATAAAAGAATGGCTACTCCCTAGGCAGAGCAGCCCCAAGGTCTGCTGGTTGCCCATTTTTATAGTTATTTCTTGTTGATGTGCTAAACAAGGGGTGGGTTATTCATGCCTCCCCTTTTTAGACCATATAGAGTAACTTCCTGACATTGCCTTGGCATTTGTAAACTGTCATGGTGCTGGTGGGAGTGTAGCAATGAGGATGACCAGAGGTCACTCTCATGGCCATCTTGGTTTTGGTGTTTTGGCCGGCTTCTTCACTGCAGCCTGTTTCATCAGCAAGGTCTTTATGACCTGTATTTTGTGTCAACCTCCTATGTCATCTTGTGACTTAGAATGCCTTAACCGTCTGGTAATGTAGCCCGGTAGGTCTTAGCCTCATTTTACCTAACTCTTATTCAAGATGGAGTTGCTCTGGTTCACATGCCTCTGACAGTAGGACTGTAAATAAAAATAGGGGGACAATAAATCCTCAATTGTTTATCTCTAAAGGGATGTAAGTGGATAGGATTGGGGGAGGAATACTCAGGGATAAGCTCAGCTGTCACCGGACATCAAAGGCATTCGTAATAATTTTCTTCTTAAACTTGTTGGTAGTCATGTTTTTGTATCTTCATTCTTTATGCCTTACATAAAGTTATACCTACTTCATATACATTCATATGTCTCAATATATACTACAATATGCTATGTTAATATAATTGTGAAATTGGTTTTAATGTTTGTATTAGTCAGTTCATACACTGCTAATAAAGACATATTAAAGACTCGGTAATTTATAAAGAAAAAGAGGTTTAATGAATTCACAGTTCCACGTGACTAGGGAGGCTTCTCAATCATGGCAGAAGGCAAAGGAGGAGAAAGACACGTCTTACATGGCAGCAGGCAAGAGGGTGTGTGCAGGGGAGCTCCCCTTTATAAAACCATCAGATCATCAGACTTATTCACTATCACGAGAACTCATGGGAAATACTTGCCTCCATGATTGAATTACCTCCCACTGGGTCCCTCCCACAATACTTGGGAATTATGGGAGCTACAGTTCAAGATGAGATTTGGGTGGGGACACAGCCAAACCATATCAATGTTTGAAACATTTTGTTTGGAATGTGTTTGGGGAATAGGTTCACTATGTCCCACGGATAAATAAAGTGACAGGAGAGAGGTACAAAATACTGGAGCAGGAAACCAATTTTACTGATATTTTCAGTGAAATAATCTGTTTTTTGTTTTGTAATTTTAGAAAGAGAAACTCTTGTTAGTTAACTATGCCAGTTGCAGACTAATACAAGAGACTAATGAGGTAAGGTATATTGATGCTGAGAAATTTCCAAGAGATTAGGCACACATAGATGAGAACACTGCATGAAAGGAGCCACTTGAAATACACTGGGGACTGGATTCCAGAAATAGGATGAATGGCACAAGATAAAGGCAGTGGAGTTTCATCCTGGACATTTCTGTGAAGCAGCAAGATTTTTACAATATCTTCCTCAATTTTCCAGGAGAGTCAAGTCTGACAATTAAGAACAAGTGTTTGAGGAGAAACTGGCAATCAATTAAAGAGGCTGAAAACAACTGTGCAACCTTCAAACAAGCTCTCAGATTGTATCTCTCAGGAGAGGCACCTTCACACCAACACATGTGTCCATGATTTTCCAGTGGGCTCAATCATTACCAACTAAATGCCAACCCCCAGAAAGGACACCTCACTTTTACACACTTCTGTTGGCCAAGGCAAGTCAAATAGCAATACCTAACATTAAGAGAGCAGGGCTGGGTGCAGCGGCTCACGCCTGTAATCCTAGTACTTTGGGAGGCCAAGGCGGGTGGATTGCCTGAGTTCAGGAGTTCGATATCAGCCTGGGGAACATGGTGAAACCTCATCTCTACTAAAAATACAAAAAATTAGCTGGGCGTAGCAGCGTGCACCTGTAATCCCAGTTACTTGGGAGGCTGAGAGAGGAGAATCGCTTGAATCCGGGAGGCAGAGGTTGCGGTGAGCTGAGATCGCACCATTGCATTCCAGCCTGGGTGACAAAGCCAGACTCCATCTCAAAACAAAACAAAACAAAACAAAAAAAACAGGTCAGCAAAATTCTTCAAAAGTAAAAAGTATTTGCACAGGCACACACAGCAGTAATGTCTACAACCCAGACCAGGTACCAAAAAGCACTTCATTGGCCGGGCGCGGTGGCTCACACCTGTAATCCCAGCACTTTGGGAGGCCAAGATGGGCAGATCACGAGGTCAGGAAATTGAGACCATCCTGGCTAACATGGTGAAACCCCATCTCTAATAAAAATACAAAAAAATTAGCTGGGCGTGGTGGCAGGCGCCTGTAGTCCCAGCTACTTGGGAGGCTGAGGGAGGAGAATGGTGTGAACCTGAGAGGCGGAGCTTGTAGTGAGCCAAGATCACGCCCCTGCACTCCAGCCTGGGTGACAGAGCAAGACTCCATCTCAAAAAAAAAAAAAAAAAAAAAAGCACTTCATTTTACATTGCAGTTTACCAACTTATAAATGTTTCTGCAAGAAAACAAAAACGATCAAAATATCCAAAAAACCAATCAGTTCCAAATTTTTTAAAAAATTATTATTATACTTTATGATTCAGGGTACATGTGCACAACGTGCAGGTTTGTTACATATGTATACATGTGCCATGTTGGTGTGCTGCACCCATTAACTCGTCATTTAGCATTAGGTATATCTCCTAATGCTATTCCTCCCCCCTCCCCCTACCCCACACCAGTCCCGGGTGTGTGATGTTCCCCTTCCTGTGTCCATGTGTTCTCATTGTTCAATTCCCACCTATGAGTGAGAACATGCGGTGTTTGGTTTTTTACTGGGTGTATACCCAAGGATTATAAATCATGCTGCTATAAAGACACATGCACACATGTTTATTGCGGCACTATTCACAATAGCAAAGACTTGGAACCAACCCAAATGTCCAACAATGATAGACTGGATTAAGAAAATGTGGCACATATATACCATGGAATACTATGCAGCCATAAAAAATTATGAGTTCATGTTCTTTGTAGGGACATGGATGAAGCTGGAAACCATCATTCTCAGCAAACTATCGCAAGTTCCAAATTTTAAAATAGCTATTGTAAACTCAGATAATGTTAAAAAAATCCTTTACATATGTATACATGTGCCATGCTGGTGTGCTGCACCCATTAATTCGTCATTTAGCATTAGGTATATCTCCTAATGCTATCCCTCCCCCCTCCCCCCACTCCACAACAGTCCCCAGAGTGTGATGTTCCCCTTCCTGTGTCCATGTGTTCTCATTGTTCAGTTCCCACCTATGAGTGAGAATATGTGGTGTTTGGTTTTTTGTTCTTGTGATAGTTTACTGAGAATGATGCTTTCCAATTTCATCCATGTCCTACAAAGGACATGAACTCATCATTTTTTATGGCTGCCTAGTATTCCATGGTGTATATGTGCCACATTTTCTTAATCCAGTCTATCATTGGTGAACACTTGGGTTGGTTCCAAGTCTTTGCTGTTGTGAATAGTGCCGCAATAAACATACGTGTGCATGTGTCTTTATAGCAGCATGATTTATAGTCCTTTGGGTATGTACCCAGTAATGGGATGGCTGGGTCAAATGGTATTTCTAGTTCTAGATCCCTGAGGAATCGCCACACTGACTTCCACAATGGTTGAACTAGTTTACAGTCCCACCAACAGTGTCAAAGTGTTCCTATTTCTCCACATCCTCTCCAGCACCTGTTGTTTCCTGACTTTTTAATGATTGCCATTCTAACTGGTGTGAGATGGTATCTCATTGTGGTTTTGATATGCATTTCTCTGATGGCCAGTGATGGTGAGCATTTTTTCATGTGTTGTTTGGCAGCACACCAGCATGGCACATGTATACATATGTAACTAACCTGCACATTGTGCTCATGTACCCTAAAACTTAAAGTATAATAATAATTAAAAAAAAAGAACTCCAATTGTACTAAATACTTTTGTGCATTTTTCTGTATCTGTCACTAATTTTTGGATCCTTTGTACCTGTTTATTTCTTATTTTACTTCAAATCATTTTCTTTCCTCTCTTTGATGTATTTTACAAAATATTTTAAGTCTAATTTATGTTTCTATTAATTTTCTCCATGGTAAATGATTTTCAGCATTTTCTCATGTAGTTATTGTTCTTTGTATATCTTCCTTTGTGACTTGTCTTTTGCCCTTTTTAAAAAAATGTGTTGTCTTTTTATTAAAGTTTAATAATCTTTAAAAAAATGTGTTGACTGGATCAACTACTAAATCAATGTACAGAATATACATTTCTGAAATGAAAGCTCCTCTATTATGGAAACCCCTGTGCACATTTCACAATGTAGAATATTTTAATTGTTCAATGATATAAAGAATTTAAGTGAATCATTTAAAATAATGAATAATAAAATGTGTTTGATTATTTTCTAAAAAAAAAATCCTTTATAATATGTCTGCCTCCATCCACTTATTAGAATAAACGAAATTAATCTAAGCCCAATTGGAAAAGAAAAAAAAATTACTCATTATATGAGCATTCATCACCCAGCTCCCAGGGAGTTTATGGTCTCACGCAGCATATAGCAAAACACAGCTTTTGGCCATTAGAGAGCTTCCCCAATGGAGGAAAAGATAAACCTCCCATATATCATTTCAACAGACTCTTTGTAGGTCACAGCCTGCTTGGTTAAAAAAATAAGGAAAATATGTTAGGAAAGAGAAAAATGTGTGGGAAATCGCAGAATATTATTTAAAGCAGAAGAGCAGCAGATTAATTTTGAACAGTTTTGACTGAATTATTTCTCCATTTATCTGTAGTTAGAAATGTTAATCAGCTTTTAAAAATTAAACAGCTGTCAATCTTGTAAAAGGAAAATTGTGGCTTTTCTACAGCTGTGAGAAAAAAATTACGGGAACATTTAGCTGAAAGAGATGTTAGCTTCCATTTTACACTTTTTCTTTAAAAATTCCACCTTAGACCGGGCTAGGTCAGATATATTTGCATAATTTTTCTCTATTTTTTACTAGCTATTTGATTTCTCTAACCCATAAATGCCCATGGCTATGTTGGTGAAAAAATCCCATTACCAGTGATTTTCAAAAGATTTATATATTTAAGCATAGTTGTAAAAAAATTATATTCCTGGATGTCATCTCTAAACATAGTGACTCATAGACTCTCATGTAGGATCTAGCAACTCCCATTTTAAACCAGAGCCCTGGTGGTTCTGCAGTCAGAGGTCTAACTATCACCCTTTGAGAAACACTATTACAAAGTGATCAACTGTCTAGATCGATCAATTCAAGTATTTTTTTTTTTTTGCAACCTCCTTTGGATTTTCTTTAAGCTATGTGCAAAGAAGGAAAGGCAATGATGGTTAAACAATGTAAAGTTAGGAACAGCTGCCCATTTAACACTGCTACTGATCATTTACATGCACTTTTTGAATTGAACCCTGCTTAAGGTTAATAGTCAAAGCACTTACAGAAAGACACACAAGGTTTGGAAGTAAAAACGGATCAAGTAGTTTTACAGACTCTTAAAACTGGAAGGGATCTGAAAAGGGGTGACCTAACTCTTTATTTTTTAGGTAAGAAAACCAACATCCTAAGATGTTAAATGACTTAGTTGGACCAGTTGACCTTGAGCTGGGATTGGTATCTGTGTTTTTTTCCCTCCAGTACTTCATTCTTTTTTCTGCAGGAAATGCTGGTCATCTCTAAAGCTCAAGTTTCAGTCTGATATACCGTCAGTATTGAACAATATCTATTGATGGCCTTCCCTCTGTGAAGTTGTTCACAGTTTTTAGTATGCATGCAGTCACAGTTCTCTGCCATATTGAGAAAAGCCATGCAAAACAGGCACTCTTTCTATTGATCACCTTTTTGATATTTGTCACCTTTTCCCAGAAGTTGTCCCCATCCAGGTAGTAAACAGCAAGTCACATAAACGTTGGTCTCTAGGTACCCATTTATTAATTTATTCAGCTCAATAATAAATGAATTTTTTAATTTACTCAGTTATAATTTATTGAGCAGTTACTATGTGCTAGTATCATATAGGCACCAGGAATACTATGGTTATCAAAGGAAAAAAGAAAAAAAATATTCACCCTCATGTAGTGGAATAGAGTTTTACGGAGAACATTTAAAAGCCTGCAAGAGTAGGTGCATGAGTCACCTGCATTTTTATTTTTGTTAACTTTATTTAACATTTTCAGGCTCAAATCCACCACATACCAAAGGAAATATAAGACTGAAGAAAAAGAAAGACTGCACCATGGGATTGAGGTTTAACCTATGTTGTCATGATTGCTCCGTTTCACTTCTATCCCGTCTGGACTTTGTAGTCTATAGTCTTAATTCAAATCCACAATATCTGCTAGTACAGCCTCAAATTTTGAGTTCCCAACCAAGGGGTTTCTGACTTCTGGAGGCTCCAGAATTATCATATGTAGTTTTTGAATCCATACGTGCACCAAGATTGGTCTGTAGCCCGAATACGTAATGTTTCTTGATTGTGTACCTATTGTTAATTATTATACGTACATAAGTGCCATTATCTTTGTTAAGGTATAGATTCATTAGGAAGTTTTACCTAATTTCAGAGGTTTTCATTGGTGAGGGTATGTATATTCCTAATCAATTGTCACACATACACATAAGCGCACAATAATTATATGGCAGGCAGCACAATTTCATGACTTTCAAATAGAATCCTTACAAAATGGTGTAACCATTGCGTTCAGTTAAAACCCTGAACTTGGTTCCTTCTATGCCTAAACCTATGCTATTAATGATGCTCTTCCTTCTTGCTTAGACTCCTAGACTTAACTGTATTCTACCATCTGATGTCACTTATGCCTTGGGATGCCTTCTATTAGCTTTGTCCTCATCTATGTAAGACATTTTCAGCAGAATCACACAGCACTTATAGCATCTGTAAGCAAATGGAACTCTGGTGCAAGAAAGTAGATGATCAGGAAACTGGCTGGTTACTATTTCTGGTGACACTCAAAGGAAGTTGTGACAGCCAACTGTGTTTCTATAGCACTGATTTTTTCCTGAAATTATTAACATTTGCTGTCCTGTGACCTTTATCAAACTAGCAGTGAGTTCCACCATGAATAAAACACAAATATAACTCCTGTGGAGAGACAAGATAAACAAGATATTGGAACTGATTTCAAAAAGCTTAGTCTTTGGGGGCACTAAAGTGGGAAAGACCAGTTACAAAGCAGAAATAGATGCAAAGAGATGGTAATTGGGCCTTGAAGGAGGGAGAGCATTTTGACAGGCACCTACATAGGTAAAACACATCCCTGCTAGTGGGGACAGTATGGACCTAGAGAAGTGCAATAGTATGTCAGGAAATGGCTATTGATCCAGGTTGATTAGAACATAATGATATGATAATTTTCTAAATGATTTGTTTGCATTCTAAAATCTGTAAAGTGATTAGTTTTTGTGTGTGTGGGATGAGGGCAGAGTGAAAGAGAGAAGGAGAAACAGCCGACATTATTCTTTTCCTCTGATAAGTAACCATAACAAACTGTAAAATTTAATCTTATTTATTCTCAGGTGAATCCTTTAGTGAAAAGACAAGAAAGTAAAATCATGTCAAAGCAGACAGCAGGAGGGAGGAAGGGGAAAGGAGAGAAACGGAATGGCGTGAGAGGGCTAGATGACTGTGATGTGCTTAAAAAGAACGACCCAACTGCTGGGGTTGGTGCGATCCTATTTGATTAACTTGGCATAAAACAGCTACTTAGGAATTGGCAAGCACACAAAGGAAGACAAAAGAGGAGAGGGACCTGGTTTTAAAATACAGTCAGCTCAGAAACTCCCAAGAAATCACTTAATGTATTCAAGCAAGTAGGATGTAATTTGCCTAAGAATACCACGTATAAACACCATGTCCGTTGGTGATAATATGTAACATATGTTCAGGAGAAATACATTGCTCCTAATTAGAATGACTATTAGAGAAATGAAAATCAGCTTGCCTGAGGAATTTATTCCATCCCATAGATGTTATTGCTTGGGACGCCTATCTCTGAAAAACACTTTAGTTATGACAGAGTATGGCCCTCTTATTTTTCAATTTATTTTTGACATTATTTTTAAAAGAATTTCTGAAATCAGAAAATGAATTGCCTTTTCTTTTTTTGCCAAGAACAAGCTGCATTGCAGTAGGTTCTAGAGAAATCTACTTAAAATGCACAAGTCAGAAGGAATGTTTCTCCAAATCAAGATAATGAGCTCTGAGAAATATAAAATAATAAATTTGAATGTATTATTCCCTTATGTAGGAAGATGTCTTTCAGTGGAGATAACATAATCTGTACAGATATATTAATAATGTGCTTACGGATCTGTGCCAGGTCATCGAGTTAGAGTTTGGGTTATTTTTGTTGATACACTTCATTAATTATCTAGTATTCCCTTGATTTAAGAGATTATGGTAAACAAAGCTGGGTGCAGTGGTGCACGCCTGTAGTCTCAGGTACTCAGGAGGCTGAGGTGGGAGGATCACCTGAGCCCAAGAGGTAAGCCTTGGCAACGTAGTGAAACCTCGTCTCTAAAAAATAAAATAAAAATGTTATGGTAAACAGGGGCCGGGCGCGGTGGCTCACGCCTGTAATCCCAGCACTTTGGGAGGCCGAGGCGGGCAGATCACGAGGTCAGGAGATCAAGACCATCCTGGCTAACACAGTGAAACTCTGTCTCTACTAAAAATACAAAAAAATTAACCGGGTGTGGTGGCAGGCGCCTGAAGTCCCAGCTACCCGGGAGGCTGAGGCAGGAGAATGGCGTGAACCCGGGAGGCGGAGCTTGTAGTGAGCCAAGATTGCGCCACTGCACTCCAGCCTGGGCGACAGAGCGAGACTCCGTCTCAAAAAACAAACAAACAAACAAATAAAACATGGTAAACAAAATCCCAACTTAGACATTTTTCAAAAAATTCTGTATATTTGAATGACAGAACTTATTACTCTCTACCCAAAAAACCAAGCCTTCTTTTGAAGCATTTAAATAATAATTTACTTGAAAAAATCCATTTTCACCTAATTTTCAGGAATCTATCTGGTAATCTTAAATATGGCAACAGAAACTAAGGGAGAAGTTTGGACTCTATAGTACATAAATTATAGCAGCATGAGGTTGTAGTTGTGCAGGAGCAGAATTTATATTGAATAGATATATGGATAGACTGAAATTCTCTAGCAATGGCTATATGCTCATTTTGAGCAATTTGTACAATAAACTGGAAAATGAACCAGAACAATTTGGAGATACTTTCTCTGTCCACATTGAACAAACTGCTTGGCATGGAGCCAATCACCTAACTTTTCTGCATCTCACTTTACTCACCTGCAAATAATGAGGTTTGAACAAATGCTTGCCATTAAAAGCTTTAAAAATGCAGATTAAGTCCCACCCAGACCTACTGAAATCGAATTCGTTTTTAACAAGACCTCTGGGTGAATTCCATGTGCATTCAAGTTTGCAAATCACCGACCTAGATTGTCTTTACATTACCCAGAGTTATACTTTTGAGGTTCATCCCCTGTTCTGTAAACTCTCCTTTCTGTAAAAAGTTTGAAGTCTGACAACTTGGGTTGAAATTTTGCCTCTAGCAGTTAGTTGCTTAGGGTCTCTGGATAACTGACTCATTTTCCTTAATCACAGTTTTTTAATTGATCAACATTGTCTATCAGTGTGGTCCTTGCACATTTACTGTGTTGATTAATGTATGTCAAGTTTCTGGAACATAGTTGATGCTTAATAATTGGTAGCTATAATTATTGTTACTATTCTTATCTTTACAACCCTGAATTTTCCTCCTTAACTCATGTGAGTTAAGTGGTAAATCTAGCTAATAGTGGCTTAAGGATTGATCTCTCCATCTCCTTCTGTGTTTTTCTTTCAAAAGAAGACTCAGGCTATTGTTCATGTGAGGGCATATTCAAAATAACCTTCTACTCAGTTGTCTCTGATTGTGACTGGAAACTGGATAAGCATCCACATCCTGCCATTAATACATTAGAATTATAGGTAAGAGCAGTGATGTGGTGGCTACCAAATGGGCAGACTCTAGACCCTTTCCCTGTATAACTCAAGAAGTAGAAAGTTTCGTGTTTCGGAAAGATTGCTGATTTCTGATTTAAGGTTTGAAAAATACCAACCATTAGATATTATATTCTAGGTGGGCTGAAAGAGGTGTCTACATATTAGTGCCTGTCACATACACAGCCATTTTTTATTTTTATTTATTTATTTATTGAGACGATGTCTTGCTCTGTTGCCCAGGTTGGAGTGCAGTGGTGCAATCTCGGTTCACTGCAACCTCCACCTCCTGGGTTCAAGCGATTCTCCTATCTCAGCCTCCCAAATAGCTGGGATTACAGGCAGGTGCCACCACGCCCAGCTACTTTTTTTTTGTGTGTGTATTTTTAGTAGAGATGGGGTTTCACCATGTTGGCCAGGCTGGTCTCAAACTCCTGACCTCAGGTGATCTGCCTGCCTCAGCCTCCCAAAGTGCTGGGGTTACAGGCGTGAGCCATCATGCCCACCCCACAGCCATTTTTTAAAGTACTTGGTCCAGTCTAATTTCCTTCTCCATCTTAGCAGGCATTGCTAGTGCCACATGTTTTGTTAGGGGAAGATACCAGGCCACTCATGTGGCCATAGCAAATTTTTCCTAGACTGTTGCCTGACCCCAGAACAGGCTGATTGTTTACACTTGGCATCTCACAGCAAGAAAACATATGGAGGCCTACGTACCACATCTCTTAATTACCAGAAGTTATAAATAAACAATATCAGAATTATTTAGATATCCAGAATTCTAAAGTTAATTTTAAAAATTTAATTACATTTATAAATTAATAAAACTATAACTATTTACAATTCTACTATTCAATATCTACCTGTGTATCCATGAAATAAATAGTATTACACTTCATTCTTTCTCTCTGTATATGTATATATTTTTGTTTGTTATTTAATACATATTTCTGAAGCTATTTAATACCAAAAAAATTCCTCAGTAGCCATTTGCAACTGTTGCAAATATCCTCCTAGTTAATCAGTTTCTACAAATTAAAATATAAAGGGAGACAATAAAATGAACCTTCATTATTCCTGGGAAACAATAATTAATTATGCAAGAATTAGTATCTGGGAAGAATGTTGAAACAACTTACTTGATTAATCTTTTCAGTTACTTAAGAGCTTTAACTCTTCAAATTTCTCCTATACTCTGAAGCAGTGTCTTTCCAAAACTGGCAGCATAGTAAAACCCATAACCTTTCATGATATTTTTTATTTGCTTTTCTTTTGAGAACTTAGAACAAAAGATGTTGACAAGATTTTTTATAAAACTTGAACATTGTTCACCAAAAGAAAGGATATGTCGGTTACAGTTTACCTATGCTAAGTAACAGAAAAGTCTGAATGCTCTTTAGTACATTTCTTAGTTTGTATATGTGTGATACGTGTAGTCCTTTAAATACATGGGTTTGGTGTAGAGGCCCTTCTTATTTGGCTAATGGGCAGGACCGAATAGGGTTCTTTAGCTGTTCATGCAGACATAGCTGACTAGAACTGCCCAGTAGAACTATAGCACATCAAATGATATTCAGACCATCTCAAGCAAACTCTTCCCTTTGGAAAATGGGTGGCTTATGTGGCTGGGATTTCTGACTTAAGGATTGGCAAGCATGTTTCTGTGTAGTTATGCAAACTCCTTTACATTATGGAATTTGAAGAATTGGACCTAGGTTGATGTGCAGCTGATAAACGGACTTCTGCTGCTACCTCATGCACTGTTATCCTTGCAATAGATATACGTTATTATGGATAACCTAGGTTTGTTTTTGTTTTTGTTTTAAGACACTAGGTGGCCTAAACAGCAGGTCTAAGGTCTAATACATAGTCTTTCACAAACGCCTTCAAGTCAAGCTGGGTTATTTTATACAAGCCACTGATATCCTAGAGCTTCAGTTATCTTTTAATATAAAATGAGGGAAAGTATCTGTCACTCAGTGTTGTTTCAAACATTATCAATGCTCATATGTTTAGAAGGTGCTTAGTTAATTAATATAAATGGAAATAAAAACAACAGAAACAGTTATTGTCTTGAGCTGCTGTTTACTCCAGTGCTGTTTTAAATTTATTGAGTCCAATCATTGGTAGATTCTATTACTTCTACCAAAACTTTTACACTAAGATTTTATTAAAGCTACTCTTGTATTGTAACTTGTTAGATTTTCTTGAAATATTTTGTAACAAATGTATAGTTCAGAGTTATTTTGCAGAGATGAAATTGAATATCAAATATGGATAACAATAAAAAATGCAGAAAAAACATTCAAATGTATTTTAATATGATTTTCTAATTTTTAAGTTGGTCTGTTTTCTAAAAGAATTCATGATAGCTAAATGGCATTGATACACACTTGAGATAAATATTTAAAAATCTGACTAAAATGCTTAGGAAATGAGAAAACTATTTCACAAAGTTAGGCTTAGTTAACCACTGCTACTGGATTCAATATTTAACCCTGAGTCTCAGAATCCAAAAGGGAGAAGTATTTACATTGACTGAAATAGATAGCATAACATTGTGTGAGAAAATAAGTGGTCCAAATTCACTTGAAGACACAGAACTGTATTAAATATGAATCCTGTCCTCTATTAGAATCAAAAGCTCCTCATGTCATTTATCTTTCTAAGCCTAACACTCAACACAAAGCCTGCTCCACAGTACGCATTCACCTGAGTTTGGAAAATAAATTAATTTACTGCATAGATCTTTGTATCACAGTAAATATAAAATATAATAAAATGTACTCAAAGTTTTTCAAAACATTCTAGTTATAAAATTGGAACACGATCCTTGTTTTAGAAATTTTTCTGTGGAAGGTCATTTGTTTAATTTTATTTTCAACTTTGTTCCTTTCTCTACTTCTACTACCCTGCTGCCATAGCATTATCTTGGGTACATACATGACCTTGCACAATATGCAGTGTTATTTTGTATATGTATGTTTTCAATATATAAAGTATATGTTGCTATAAATTTCATTATCCTTCTCAGCCTTTTTTACCTAACATTAACTATATTGCTGTACAAGCATTAATTGGCTCTAATTGTTGCAGAGTATTTCCTGGTGCTTAATCACCACAGTTTATGTATGCATTTTCTTATGGACACCAAGATTGCCTGTGACTCCCCATAGCCTCAAAAATACAACTGTGTCAACCTGTGCAATTTTTACTCTGGGGTATAATTCTTAAAGAGAGGTCATTGAGTTGTAGTCTATCAGTGGATTTGGCATCACTGATACTGCCAGACGGCTTTTTAATATCAGATATACTTCTACCTGCAGGGCATGATGGGTTACATTTCTCTACATACTTACCAACATTTTATAAGTTCTGATTTTAACTTTATGCTGATTTGATGTTTTTAGAGCATTTTCTTGTTTAAATAAATATGAATTCCTCTGATTACTGATGAAGATGGATATCACTTCACATGCTTCTTAGCAACCAAATTTCTCCTCTGGTATATTGTTTTTTCATATATTTTTCTATCAATCTATTTCTTTTTAAATTCCTTGTGTATTCTACATGATGATCCTCAATCAGCTTTAGGTATCACAAATATCTTTTCTCAGACTATCATTAGTCTCTTAACCTTCTCTGTGGTTCAGGTCAATGATCAGACATTCTTACTATTGATGTGTTAAAATCCAATTATTTTTGCTTTTTAGTTTGATGCAGTCTCGTTTGTATATTTTTGCTTTTGTTACCTGCGCCTTTGAGGTTATATGCAAGAAGTCATTGCCCACACCTATGCTGTGTAGATTTCCCTTTATGTTTTATTCTAGTAGTTTTACAATTTCATGTTTTATATTGAAGTCTTCAATCCATTTTGAATTAATTCTTGTAAAAAGTGTGAGACAAGGGTCCAGTTTCATTCTTCTGCATGTGGACAGCAAGTTTTTCCAGAATCATTTATTGAAGAGACTGCCTTTTTCTCCTGTATAGTCTTGGCCTCTTTGTAGAAAATCAGTTCACCATAATGCATGAGTTTAATTCTGAACTGTTTATCCTGTTTCATTGGTGGGTGCATCTGTTTTTATGCCCATACAATGCTCTTTTGATTATTATAACTTTGTAGTACATTTTGAAGTCGCATAGTGTCATGCCTTCAGATTTTTTTCCCTAGATTACTTTGACAATTTGACATCTTTTGTGCTTCAATACTTATTTTAGAATTTTTCTTTTCTATTTCTGTGAAGAATGACATTGGAATTTTGATAGAGATTGTATTGAATCTGTGTGTTGCTTTGGGCAGTAGTAGGATCTTCCAATCCATGAACATGAAATATTTTTCCATTTATTTGTTTCATCTCCAATTTATTCCACTGATGTTTTATAGTTTTTAGTATATAGATTTTCCACCTCTTTGATAAACAAGTGTTGGTGAGGATGTGGAGAATTAGAAATAAAATTTTCATATTCAATTTCCTTTGGTACATAACCAAAGGAATTGAAATCAGTATGTTGAAGAGATATCTGCACTCCTGTGTTCATTGTAATATTATTCACAATTGTCAAGATTTGGAAACAATCTTAAGTGCCCATCAACAAATAAATGGATTAAAACTGTGGTATATCCTAATAGTGGAATACTATTCATCCTTAAAAAAGAAATAAATTCTGTCACTTGTGACAATGTGTATGAATTCAGAGGACATTATGCTAAGTGAAATTAATCAGGTATGGAAAGAAAGGTATAGCACGATCTCACTTATATGTGGAATCTAAACATTTGAATTTATAGAAGTAGAGATTACAATGGTGATTACCAGGGTCTGAGGCAGGGGCTGTCAGGGGGATGTTGGTAAAAGAGTACAAAATTTCAATTAGGTGAGAAGAAAAAGTTCTAGTGATTTATTGCACAGCATGGTGAATACAGTTAATTATTATATGTTGCATATTTCAAAATTGCTTAAAAATGGATTTTAAATGTTTTCGCTATAAAAAATGATAAATATGTGAACTGATGGATATGTTATTAGCCTGATTTGCTCATTCCGTAATATATACATGTATTGAAGCATCACATTTTACCTCAAAGATATATACAATTATTGTTTGTTAATAAAACTAAAATTATGTAAAAATAGAGATGCTAGGACAGTTTCTTTCATATTAGGTTTGTGATTTGATCTGTCAAATTAAAGGAATTCTAGTTATATTAGGTATAAAAGCAATTAGAAAAAACCTAAGAGTCTTGGGTCTGTACACAGATTGTACATAAGTAAATCCTGAATCTGCAATTAAGATCTGATGAAAAATCGCATCAGGAAATGTTGAAGCTCCACTCTGATTCCTAATCCCTTTGTACATTTCTGTACCTTCCTTCCCTTCCCTGGCCCCTTTCTCCAAGCACTTTCTACTCCTTGTTTCTTGTTTCTCAGTGTATTTTCAATGGTCAGACCTAGGGCTCTTCTTCAGCAGACTGACCTAGACCTAGTTTATGTGACCCACCACCCTCATGTGGGAACCTTAAATTTCAGTTCTGTACTCTCAGATGTGGACAACTCTGAGGGGTACCTCATGCTTCAGAGTCTCCCCTGCAGAATCGAATTGGAGCTCCCCAAGCTGGAAATTTTCCAGAGACCACACCCTCACCTCTCTTATGACTCACACTTCTAGGAAACACTTCCTTAAAAACCATACGTGTACACAGGTTCTCTTCATAAGATCTGCTTCTGGGGAACCCAACCTAGCATAATAATCAAGAAACTCTAACAAAACTCTTAAGCCTTCTCTCATGTAGTGAAACAGTACAGAAAAGTTCAGTTCTATCTCAACTCTACTTGTTTTTCAGAGTTGGGGGACCCAGTCCTCCAATGTTAAAAAAAAAAAAAAAGAAATTTACTAATATTAAGGAATTTTATGGAATACAGCAAACTTATGTGTAATTATTATTTTTTTTTAAATTTTGAAGGTGGGATGAGTTCCCTTTTAAATTTATTGCAGGAGAAACATAACTGAGGAGCAGAGACATACATAGGAGAAATGAATATATCAGCAATTCTGCAATGGAAGAGACTTTCTTTTAGAACATTAATTTTGCTTTACAACTAATGGAATGTTTTAAAGTAGGTACTGAATCTGGAATTCACCCAGGAAATCAGTTAAATCTATAAATTTCAGGCAAATTATCATAAGGATGTGAACTCTTCTGAACTGACAGAGCAGGCATATGCATCTATGCTTTCTCTTACCAAAACTTTACCAGAGGCAAAAATATTTCCAAAATCTGCATTTTTATTGACCACAGTAGCTGTCATCGAGTTTCATTATATTCAATTTAGTTTTCTTCATTATACTGCTTGTTATTTATAATAACAGCATTTATTTAAATATTTTTGAACAGGCATGTTTGTAGGATTCCAAAAAGTCTCATACATTTCTGTTACACATTGTCTTAGTTCTCATCCCCAAAGAAATATGTGATTATTAGTATTTTGTGTAATCTTCTAGAGTTTCTTTATGTAAATATGAGCAGATATAAGGATAATTTCTTATCCCTTCCAGTGCCCTGATGCCCAGATATAGAGCAGTCAAACGAGGTTGCAGCCTCTGAGTAGTTGTTGCTGAGATATTATGGATATGGCTCTTTTAAGAATTCTGAGCAGGATAGCCAGGCATGGTGGCTCACGCCTGTAATCCCAGCACTTTGGGAGGCCTAGGTGGGCTGATTACTTGAGGTCAGGAGTTCGAGAACAGGCTGGCCAACATGGTGAAACTCCGTCTCTGCTAAAAAAAAAAAAAAAAAAAGAAAAAAAGAAAAATTAGCCAGGCGTCGTGGCAGGAGCCTGTAGTCCCAGCTGCTTGGGAGCCTGAGGCAGGAGAATCGTTTGAACCCAGGAGGCGGAGGCTGCAGGGAGCAGAGATCACACCCCTGCACTCCAGGCTGGGTGACAGAGTGAGACTCCATCTCAAAAAAAAAAAAAAAACCTAAGCACGATGCTGAGAATTATTCAGACCTCAACTTGATCTTCTTGATCAAGTTCCTCTTGCAGCAGAGTGAGAAGGGAAGCAGTTGAATGGGTATGTTTTGAATTTCCTAAGGAACATATATTGATACTATTTCCTAAGGAATATATTGGTGAGAAGTTAAAAGGCTTCTGGTTTAACTTTGATGGCAATGAATTAAGGTAGATCCTGTGAATAAACCTGTCCAGATTTCAGGTATGAGTGTGACCAGTATGTGAAATGTAAAGCTGACATGTTTAATTCCACATGTCACAGTTTTTACTTTGTATTTTGTAACATTAATTATTAAAGACTGGAGTATATTCTGTATATTAGCCAAAGTTTGTGTTCTAAATGAAAGATAGGAATACAAATGAATATGATGGGGAAAACACTGAAAGTCTCTTGTCCATAGTCCCTTTGTCTTTGGAGTTTACATAGAATGGAAAATTAAATTTTATTAAAGAAGGCAAATAGCCTTTATAATATTCCTCAAAAGTAATTTTTCCTTTTAAACTAGAAATTGTTATAATAGTAATGCATGAGCACATTCTTTTTGTTAAAAAATTCAATGCTATATAAAAAGCTAAGTTACATCTTGATGACTTTTCTGGCCCTGGGAAATTCCATTGCTAGAGGGAACCATTGCAATCAGTTTTGTCTTTACCCTTCCAGACATTTTCCCTGTTACTTCTATACCTATATACCTATCTGCACATCTAAAGACAATAGCTTTGCTTTTGTCTGTGTGTATGTGTTCATTTTCATAAATGGTGTCATACTCTATAAAGTGATTTCTCTGCTTTTCTCACAGAAAAAGGTCAAAAGAGAGTGAGCAAGAGGAAAGTAGAAGAAAATGAGATTGACTAGGTAGCCACTGATCAGAATATGCATAAACTAAAAGCTGTAGAGAAATTTGTGTTGTTTTTTTCTCTACATTAAAGAAGATTATTGGAATATTTTTAGCAGGGAAGTGACATGGTCAGTCTCTGAGAGTGGTAGTGGCAGATAGGAAGCTATTGCAGTCATGTGGGTGTGAGATAATAGTGACCTAGATTAGGGAGGTAGGTAGGAAATTGGTAAGAGACAGTTATATTTGCTTTAAAAGAAGAAATTTGTTAAAATTTACTAAGAAAATGATGGAGTAGAGAGAAAGAGAAGCCTCACAGATGATGTCAAAAGTTTGGCGTGAGCAACTGTGTGAATGGCAGTATTGTTTACTAAGATGTGGAAGAAAAAGTGAAGAATAGGTTTACAGGAGTGGATCAGGTTGTATTTGACATATTATATCTAAAATGACTATGAGACAGCCAAGTGGAGATGTCAAGTAGGCAACTGAATATGCAAACCAGGGGGAAAAGACAGAGCAGGACATACATTTGAGACTCTTTAGTGTATAGATGGTATTTAAGTCATGTTGCTGGTTGAGATCACTTAGACATTAAAGTTAATTAGAGATCCAGAAGACAAGGTAAATTGAACCAAAAAAAAAAATGAGCAAAATCAGCTTATAAGATAGGAGGAAAACCAGGATCATATCGTGCTCTGGAAACCAAGTACAAAAAATGTTTCTATCATGTACAATGCTCCTGAGATGTCCACTAACAAGAGGATTAAAAATGGCAAAGTGGGGCCAGGTGTGGTGGCTCATGCCTGTAATCTCAGCACTTTGGGAGGCTGACGAAGGCGGATCACGAGGTCAGGAGTTCAAGACCAGCCTGGCCAACATAGTGAAAACCCCTCTCTACTAAAAATACAAATATTAGCAGGGAGTGATGGCGGGTGCCTGTTGCCTGTAGTTCCAACTACTTGGGAGGCTGAGGCAGGAGAATCGCTTGAACCCAGGAGGCGGAGGTTTCAGTGAGCCGAGATCATGCCACTACACTCCAGCCTGGGCAACACAGCGACACTTTGCCAAAAAAAAAGAAAGAAAAAAGAAAGAAGAAGGAAGGAAGGAAGGAAAGAAAGAAAGGGAAAGAAAGAAAGAAGAAAGAAAGAAAGAGAAAGAAAGAAAGAAAAAGAAAGAAAGAAAGGCAAAGTGGATTTAGTAGTATGGAGGTTCTTGGGACCTTGAAAAGACGAATATTAGAGGCAATACTAGATTAAAGTAGGAAGAATAAATAACACAACATTACATAACATCCATGTAAAGCATCTGCCTTTCAAACCAAATTGCAAAAGGACTGCCTCATGCAAAGATTCTATAAATTCAGGATAAAAAGACATTGCAGTGAAATTTCTTTAGACTCAATTTTCTCCAAGGCATCAAAATGGTAGATGCACAGTCCATAGTGAGATGTGAGACTTAAAAGAGAAGGTAGCAGAATATTCGTTTCCATCATTGGCTGACCATCTACCTCTAATATCTAAACAGATCTTGGATAAGCTAAGAAAAAATGATTGGAAATCCAAAGAGGATTTGTGGGTAGAGTATTGGTATTCTATGATTCTTCCTGACAGCAAAAGTCAAGATGCTTTCTTTTTCTTTCTGACAAGAGAAAGGGTTTGGAGGAAGCCGAGCTGGTGAGCTTAATCTATTATCCTTACTACCACCATGTTTGAGTAACTCATGCCTGAGAAACTCAGAAGGCAAGGCCTGGGCTGGCTTTCTGGAGATGATAAGAAAGAGGCTGCTGTTGCCTCAGAACCATCCTACACTCTCAATGGAACAAGGCAAAATTGTGTAATTTTCTCCTCTACTGTACCTGTTGTGGGCCATGTCAAGAGAAAGCCAGCTTGAGCTTGTCTTGGCTCTTGCCTAAGAGGAAGTATCATAATTTGTGGTATAATAACCTGGCCAAAATCTCAGTGGCTTACAACAGCAAATATTTATTATTTTCTTGGGTCAGCTGCACGGTAATTCTGTGGTCAGCTGGCAGCTCATCTAGGCCTGGATTGTCAAGAATAGCTTCATAATCTATAGCTTTATCATTGACTAGATGTTAGCTGGGTGAAGGTGATGCTATGTCTTCATTCTCCAGAAAAGCTCTAGCCTGAGCTTTTCACAGCATAGTGCTGACAGAGACAACTGAAAATTTCAAAGTATATGTTTTCTTCAAGCCATTCAATTGTTTTTAAATTTTTCTTTTATGTAGGTCTTATATGTTAACTGCAAATTTTATTTCTAGGTTATAGTATTGTTACTATTATCAACAACAATAATAATGAACATAAAATTACTTTTTGACATTTATTAGCAATTTATTTTGCAGTGAATGTTCAATAAATAGGCCAGTTAATTTTCAAGGTATTGATTTGGATGTATCTCTCTAAGACCTACTTAGTTATTTTTTATTTATAGTCTGTATTTTTTGTATACTTCCGTGTCTGAGCTTATAGATGTGAGGATTCTACACATCTGAGGATTAATTTTATCCCTACACATGTGAGGATTAATTGTGTCCCTATCTATTTCCACTCATATTTCTTGCAGTTTTCTTTTATTATTTTAATGATCTGTAACTTGATGTATAAATACTATTGACAGGTATGATTTATCTTCATTTGTGATTATAGGATATCTTTCTTTTTCTCATTTCATGATTATTACTTTGAACTCAAGCCTAAATGCCTCTTGTTCCATATTCTTATTTTAATAATAGATTTCTTCAAACTTGATAAAAGTTTTGCAATTCATACTTTTGCCTAATTCAGACAAAAATTAAGCTGTTTATATTCAATTAATGAATTATCTTTATAGCCACCTAATTACTTATAACATTGCAAGAATTAAGCTTCCAAAATTTCAAGGGAACAAATTTCTATTTAATATCTAAAAATATGTTTGAAAATGCGTGTTTTAGTAGCTACCCTCTTCACTAGCCCTAAGAATATTTTCTTCTTTGACTAAAAGTGAATCTCCAAGACAAAAGTAAATGTGGCTGAGGATTTCCTAGAAACTGTATACATTAATTTAAATATTAGTGTATTGACATGTCAGAGAAATTATTTTCCTTGCAGCAAGCACTATACAAAAACTATTAATAAGCTAATAACAACTTAATAGTACCTATTCAGTAATGGAATCATTGTTTGCCAAGACTGTATGCACTTACATTGTGCTAAGCATTTTTACACATTGTCTAATTTAATTTTCACAATAATATAAAGCAAGTATTTTTATTTTTCTTATTTACAGATAAAGGAACTGAGGCTAAGAGAAGTGACCTCTGACACCCAGCTAACTAGTGACAGAGGTGAGATTTGGGCTAGGGGGGTTTGATAGCAAAGGCCATGCATTTGGTCTGTTTTGCTTTTAAACTTAATATACCTTTTTAAGGAAATAACTTGAATGAATCAAGGGATATTAACTTAATTAGGAAGAAATGTATTTACAGAAAAATTGGAACTTTTTTGCTAATTCAGGTGAACAGGTTTTTTGCTAGACTGAATAATGAAGCTTCACTATTCTGAGTGTTTTTCTATTATGACACTACAAATGATTTAATAATTTTTAGAATTTGGATTGTATCCTAATTTTCTAAAAACTGTTTATCTTTTATTAAGATAAAAAATAATCTTAATAATTTGCAAAGCTTTTAATAGAACTAAATTATATGAATTTGAGGCCCCATCTGAAACTCAGCCATGAGATGGCATGCTGAAATCTCCAGGGGAGTGTTAATGCTGGCTTTCACTGGCATCGACAATCCACAGCGAGTGTGCAGGGCAAGGAGAGTTTTTATTTCCAAGTCTAAACCGAATGAAATGCAATTAATTCTGCTGTCTGGGCCGCTGGTGCCCTCTACAGGTCAAATAGATGCTATACAGCTTTAGGTTTCACCTGTTAAAATGTCGTTTTAGCGCTAAAAGAACTCTGGGTCCCATTGCATAGTAGCTTCTTTACAGGGTACTGTCACTCTTATTGGCATAAATAATAGAAATATTGAGTAAAAATCACCTAAATAGCCTCATTCATGTGTCTAGCAGTTGGATAGGTGTTAGCTGGGATGATGGTGATGACGTGTCTCATTCTTCAGCAGCCTAGAGTGGTTATTCATATGGTAGCAGTCACAGGAACAATTGAAAATACCAAAGAGTATGTTTTATTTATGCCTTTCAGTTGCTTATTTAAATTTTTTATATAGTTGTTATATAATTGTAATGCAACACTCATATATCAATGTCTTAAGTTATTCAGTTACATCAAGATGATTATTTCTTTAAAAAAGTATGGGGAGACAGAAGTGGAGATGGCAGTAGTACAAGTTTTATTGTAAAGATCAAATGAAATAAACTATGTAAAGCTTATGGAACATAATAGGTCATCTGAAAGCAATTATTTTTACTTAATCAAATTTTAAAGTTTTATGTGAGAACAAAACAAGCTAGGGTGAGGGTGGAATGGTTGGGGGTGTGAAAAACGTAGGCAACACAGAGGAAGGGCTTACTCAGTCCTCATTTAAAATACCTCATTAAATATATCATGTGTACAAAATAGAAAAAAACACAAAATATAAGCATATTTCAAGTGTAATTAGGGAAAACGCATTTGTGGTCATTATTATGTATTATTTTTCTACATCAGAAATCTAAGTTTTCAGTCTTTGTTTAGAGTAATCCTTTATTGGTTTTTTACATTTTGTAACACAGATTAGTTTGGAGCTCCTAACTTTACCATGGTAAAGAGACAATCTGTAGTTCTGTTTTCTCATCTTTTACATGATAAGTAATAGTGAAGAGTCATAGTGTCCTAACTTCACTTGTTTTTTAAAAAAAATTTTTCTCCCATTTTGTAGGTTGCCTGTTCACTCTGACGGTAGTTTCTTTTGCGTGCAGAAGCTCTTTAGTTTAATTAGATCCCATTTGTCAATTTTGGCTTTTGTTGCCATTGCTTTTGGTGTTTTAGACATGAAGTCCTTGCCCATGCCTATGTCCTGAATGGTAATGCCTAGGTTTTCTTCTAGAGTTTTTATGGTTTTAGGTCTAACGTTTAAGTCTTTAATCCATCTTGAATTAATTTTTGTATAAGGTGTGAGGAAGGGATCCAGTTTCAGCTTTCTACATATGGCTAGCCAGTTTTCCCAGCACCATTTATTAAATAGGGAATCCTTTCCCCATTGCTTGTTTTTCTCAGGTTTGTCAAAGATCAGATAGTTGTAGATAGGCGGCGTTATTTCTGAGGGCTCTGTTCTGTTCCATTGATCTATATCTCTGTTTTGGTACCAGTACCATGCTGTTTTGGTTACTGTAGCCTTGTAGTATAGTTTGAAGTCAGGTAGCGTGATGCCTCCAGCTTTGTTCTTTTGGCTTAGGATTGACTTGGCGATGCGGGCTCTTTTTTGGTTCCATATGAACTTTAAAGTAGTTTTTTCCAATTCTGTGAAAATTTTCGCAACCTACTCATCTGACAAAGGGCTAATATCCAGAATCTACAATGAACTCAAACAAATTTACAAGAAGAAAACAAACAACCCCATCAAAAAGTGGGCGAAGGATATGAACAGACACTTCTCAAAAGAAGACATTTATGCAGCCAAAAGACACATGAAAAAATGCTCATCATCACTGGCCATCAGAGAAATGCAAATCAAAACCACAATGAGATACCATCTCACACCAGTTAGAATGGCAATCATTAAAAAGTCAGGAAACAACAGGTGCTGGAGAGGATGTGGAGAAATAGGAACACTTTGACACTGTTGGTGGGACTGTAAACTAGTTCAACCATTGTGGAAGTCAGTGTGGCGATTCCTCAGGGATCTAGAACTAGAAATACCATTTGACCCAGCCATCCCATTACTGGGTATATACCCAAAGGACTATAAATCATGCTGCTATAAAGACACATGCACACGTATGTTTATTGTGGCACTATTCACAATAGCAAAGACTTGGAACCAACCCAAATGTCCAACAATGATAGACTGGATTAAGAAAATGTGGCACATATACACCATGGAATACTATGCAGCCATAAAAAATGATGAGTTCATGTCCTTTGTAGGGATATGGATGAAATTGGAAATCATCATTCTCAGTAAACTATTGCAAGGACAAAAAACCAAACACCACATGTTCTCACTCATAGATGGGAATTGAACAATGAGAAGACATGGACACAGGAAGGGGAACATCACACTCTGGGGACTGTTGTGGGGTGGGGGGAGGGGGGAGGGATGGCATTAGGAGATATACCTAATGCTAAATGACAAGTTAATGGGTGCAGCACAACAGCATGGCACATGTATACATATGTAACTAACCTGCACATTGTGCACATGTACCCTAAAACTTAAAGTATAATAATAATTTAAAAAATAAAAAAAAACACACTTTAAATAAACCCCCCCAAAAAATTTTTTTTAAAGGCTAAATTAGAGATTCATATAAAAACACCTGACACTTTTCCTGGGCATGGTTCTAAGCTCTTCACATATGTTAACTTATGGACTTTTACAATAATAATTCAAGGTAAGGAGTAGTATTTTTTTCAATTTTCCAAAGAAGGAAACTGAGCTACAGAGAATTTTAATAAATTGCCAAAGATTATACATTTTGTAAGTTTTGAAGCCATCCATGTGGGGCAATCTGGTTCCAGGATATATATGTTTAACTGTTCAACTTTGAAAATTTGTAAAAACAAAAAGTATTATTTAAATCAAGATATTACCATTAGGATTAATATTAATCAGATCATTATTTCTCACATTCAGCTTTCTATGTTAACAAAGTTAATCTGAACAAAATAGGATCATTTAGCATGAGCAAGTCCTATGGTTTTAGGCTCTTGGGTAAGTGTTATTCTTAGATTTCTAGATATTGTAATTCGGGCACCATTCAAACTGAAGGCAAGTTACAGTATTTCTCTTCATTCAAATAGATTTGATTGTTTTGGTTACTTAAGGTTTTCTACAACTTAATGCCACTAAGGCACCACTTGATGGCAGTGGTAACCTGGGTTATGATGTCTATTTAGGTCTGGAGATAAGATGGAAATACAGTGATTTTTTAAAGCTGAATCCAACTAAACATCTATCTAAGATATGGTACTTAAAAGACAAAAAGACATGGTTCACATACATATTTGAATTACAGTTTTATCAAATATAAAACTCTGTGTCCTGCCTCTTTCCCACACCAGATTCATTATTTTAAAAAATCAAACCAAAGCAAAGCAAAAATCAATGTTAGGTTTCTTTGTGGTTGTTCTGATAGCTCTAAGGACTATACCTACGACACTTTTAAAACTATATCAACCTTAAATTTATTTAAATTTCAGCTTCTCCATCTATTACTCAGTTATCACCACTCTCTATGTCTTAGCTGATCACTTCTGCAACTCCAAACATGCAAAACCTCTAATTCTTTACTTCTCACTTATATAATGAGAATACTAATGTTCCCCTTCCCTTCATCATCTCGTCTTACCCTCACTATGCTCTCATTTCTGTCAGTTTTTTCAAAGTTGAGAAAAATTTGTATTCTATTTTATGATAATTAAGTACTGCAGATTTTGCTTATAATTTTAACCTAATAATTAAAAACCAAAGCCTGAGTTTATATCACTATGAGTATAAAAATACTGCTTATTTCAAAGAAGAGTCATGTGCCATGGTTGCATTACCTTTTCTACCAAGGCAATGACACATATCTGTGCCATTAGATGGAAAATATTCCTAGCATTAGGTACAAGTGGATTGTCCTATTTTATCCTGAGACCATTTTTAAATCTCATTGTCAAGGTCTTCTAATGTGCTTGATTGGTATTCTCCCGGTGTTTCCCATTCATTCTCATTTTTATGGTAATTTATTCCTTTAAAATGTATTTACCATCATTTTAATGGGTTCTCATGGGAGTAGGACTAAACAAATAAAATAATGATTAAATAGTATGAGCTACATAATGTTTAATCAAGAGTTGATGTAAAGAGAAACTTTTAAAGGAAACATAATGCCCATCATCATAGGACCAGTAAACTTTAGGGCTAGAAGTCTCTCTGTTATTTTACAAATCAAACCAAAGCAGAATAAATTAATTTTCTAAAATTGCACAAGTTAGTCTACAATGAATATCTTATCTGATGTGATTCTTTATTTCTTACCTAATGACAATTGATTTTAAGGATACCTGATAGCTAATATTTGCTTAAAGCATTTGAATTTGGTGTAATCTATACCCTTTAACCTAATAATGAAAACCTTTAGATCACTTAAGTCAATAGAGGCTTAATAAAGTATTTTATTTTTCATTGTTCTGACTCTTGGACTGTACTTGGTATACTTTAAACTTATACTTTTCTAGACAGAACAGGGAGAAGCTGAAGGCTTTTTACTATGCAAACCTTTAAATATCAGAGTAAGCTTACAGCTAATGTAGTTTTTATTTTCCAATCAGAGATTCCTATGAGAAAAAATATGTTTTTAAAATAAACTCCCTTTCAATGAATAATTTATTAAGCAACATTTCATTTCATTATATTGCAGTTAAATTTTAACCAGAGCTAATGATAAATCTGTGCTGTGGTTTTTCTTTTTTTAGAACATAAAGTATAATTTTGAACTAATTTATCAAAAAGGACAAGATAAACTAATTTATTATGAAACTATAACTTTCTATTCATGACAATGAAGTGGCAAAAAACACAATAAAATATATTTGGACACATTTTTTTCAACGTAGAAATGCAAAAGACATTACACAGTTAATGACTTCACTAATGCCCCTGAGTTATGTGACACTAATTATTTTGTTAGTCTGCCAACACTATGGGGTTTAAATTTTGAGAAGTAAAAACTGCAAATCCAGACTAACACTGCTTTTCAATTAATACTTTATAAGAAAATTAAAATTATATATCTATCATAAATTTTCTCCAATATTACTACTAATGAAATCTTCTTGAGATTGTATTTTCAGAGTTAATGCTCTGTTATTATAAATTCATTAAAAACCAAAAGCTGGAAGAGACCCAAACTCTGGCAACTAATTTCATAATCAAGTAAATGAAGGCATTGGGAGTTTAAATGGCTTCCTCAAATAGGCCAACAACTAATTACTGGTAAAAGTTGAAAGTATCTAACAACATTTTCTAATGTTGTAGTTTTATTTTCATTCTGTTCAAAATATTTAAAAATGCGTCTTTCAACTTCTTTGACATCAGTTTACTCAGAAATTTTAGAAAAATGTCTGAACTTTTTTTTTTTTTTTTGAGACTGAGCCTTGCTTTGTCACCCAGGCTGGAGTGCAGTGGCGCGATCTCGGCTCACTGCAAGCTCCTTCTCCCGGGTTCACGCCATTCTCCTGCCTCAGCCTCCCGAGTAGCTGGGACTACAGGCGCCCGCCACCACGCTCGGCTAATTTTTGTAGTTTTAGTAGAGACGGGGGTTTCACAATGTTAGCCAGGATGGTCTCGATCTCCTGACCTCGTGATCCGCCCGCCGCGGCCTCCTAAAGTGTTGTGATTACAGGCGTGAGCCACCGCGCCTGGCCGACGAAAAATGTCTGAACATTTGGGAATTTTGCAAATATCTTTCCTTTGTTGATTTGTGATTTAATTCCATTATGGTCAAATAATATGCTTTGTATAATTTCTATTTCCTTTCAATATACAGAGACTTTATGGCACAAAATATAGTTTGTTTTGGTAATATCTCTGTGCGCACTTGAAAAGGTCAAATATTTTGCTGTTGTTAGAAGTGAGTCACTGAAGGTGTTGTTGACCTTGACGGGAAGTGGCCACACTGCCTGCAGAACTTTCTGGGAAACTATCCATACATGTCTGGGTATCCCGCTTGCCAGGTAAACATTGCAGAAGTAAGGATTTTTAAAAAGCAGAAAGGGAAGCCCCCCCACTTTTTTTTCCTGCAGTGCAGGCTCCATCTAGTAGCAATCTTAATATCTTGCCAGCTGGAAGGGGAAAGGTTTACAAGATTTAGCTCCACTAGTGACAAAGCAAAGAAGAGGGAATTTGGAGCTGATAAGCAATACATTGATAACGGGAACACCTAAAACAGTATCATTTACATAACTCTTGCTAACATTTATGAAAATATATCTTATTGTCTCTATTGCATTGTAAATGAGTAGAGGGATCATATCATTAATAATAAGTTATATAGTATAATTTAGATTTTAGCACTTTATAAAAATATCCAAAGTTTAAATCAGATTTGGTAATCTAAGCAACTAGGAAAACACCAAAAAAAAAAAAATGCAATTGGATTAGAAGGTTCAGTACTCTGTGTGCCTACTGTTGGAACAAAACATAAAAGTAGAAGTTTGGAGAATATGGATAAATATATTCTAGAGCAGACAGTGACGTTTTAAGAGTAGTATACATTTTACCCTCTGTCTGGTAAATTAGTTCTTAATTTCAAGTACCTCATTTAATATAAAAAATAATGTAAAATTGATGGATAATACTAAAAAGCACTTAGTATACCTTTGTTGAATTGATTTTCACATGAGTGACTTCAGGTATATAATTCATTCTTCCAAATAGAAATTAATGGCATAGTCAAGTGGAGCACTTAAGACACGCTTTCCCACTTAATTTGCCTAATAAAAAGTTAGCTTTAATAGAATAGATACACTTAGGTTGTAGAAACAGATGACAGTGTTGCCCAGAATTCTGAAAAGTGGTAAGTAGTCAGTTGGTTGTGCTAAAGATGAGAGTTGGGCATATTTTACTATTGGGAGGAATTAAGAGTGGGATAGAGGAGTAAGGCCTATTTAGACCTTTAACAGCTTAAAAAATCAATAATTACAGCTTTATTAAATACTACTTTGCTATTTCACCCAAAATATATCATGCCTCATATTTAAAAAGGAATATGATTTTACTTAGAAGAATATATATGCTTTAGATGCTAAAAGTAGAGTCCAATATTTGACTTATAAAATTTTGTAGGAAGTGGGTAACTTCAGAATACTGCCATATATTACTCTTTCTGTTAACTGTCTTGTTATTCAGAGAGGATTGCCAATAGAATACAGTCTGTTGTTTGTTTGTCACATAGTTTACAAATGCACACCTTGTGTATAAATAATCTTTACATGTAAACATGTGCTTCTGCAACATTGCACTACCATTTGAGTCTTTGTCATCATTGCTGTGAGCATTGGGAAAACCAAAGTCAACTTTTTTTTTTTTTTTGAGACAGATTCTCGAACTGTCACCCAGACTGGAGTGCAATGGCGTGATCTCGGCTTACTGCAACCTCCGCCTCCCGAGTTCAAGCAATTATTCTGCCTCAGCCTCCTGAGTAGCTGAGACTACAGGCGCGTGCCACCATGCCTGGCTAATTTTTTTGTATTTGTTTTGGTAGAGACGGGGTTTCACCGTGTTAGCCAGGATGGTCTCAATCTCCTGACCTAGTGATTCACTCGCCTTGGCCTCCCAAAGTGCATGGATTGTAGGCGTGAGACACCGCGCCCTGCCCAGACTTTTTTTATATCGACTTTTCTCAGTGTGACCCATATTATTAGAATTGTGTGGTATACTTCTTAAAATAAAAGCTCTTTAGGGTGGAACATGGACATTTGACCTACAGTGAGTTCTCCTGAGCTGTCACTGTATTCTAAAACACCTTTGCTTTTCACATTTCTGAATCCGTAAGAACCATATATTTTTCTCTATGGTTCATACTGTACTGAAAAGGAAAGGAGAGAAAAACTATTAAAACATAATATGGGCCGGGTGTGGTGGCTCACGCCTGTAGTCCCAGCACTGAGGCCGAGGCGGGCGGCTCACGAGGTCAGGAGATCGAGACCATCCAGGCTAACACAGTGAAACCCTGTCTCTTCTAAAAATACAAAAAAAAAAAAAAAAAAAAAAATTAGCCTGGCGTGGTGGCGGGTCCTGTAGTCCCAGCTACTCGGGAGGCTGAGGCAGGAGAATGGCGTGAACCCAGGAGGCGGGGCTTGCAGTAAGCTGAGATCGCGCCACTGCACTCCAGCCTGGGCAACACAGCGAGACTCCATCTCAAAAAAAAAAAAAAAACCAAAAATACAAAAACATAGTATGATAACATAATCACGTTCATGCATCAATGTAAAATTATATTCGTGTACACATGTATTCTTTAAAAAAATCAGTAGTAGTTGGAAACCAATAACCAGTTACAACGGGGTTAATATAAGGACATCTTCTGGATTCTAAACAGTTGTCTCACAAACGAATTATTTTTGGTTACTAACTATTGAGGGTTTTATATTTATATTAAACATATATGTGGATTATATATATGTTATACACATATATTGAGGTTTTTGGGATATCACACACACACACACACACACGCACGCACACACACACACTCTATTGCCCAAACAGTAATCTATTATAATTTGAAAGACAATGATTTAAGTGGTTGCTTATAACAAAATGGCAATTTTTAAAACTTAATTTTTGTAAATTCTTTTTTAAGATTTTAAAATGATTTTTAAATAAAATTCATTCATAATTCGCAAAGAAGATCACTTACTTCTTCCCATATTTCTGGACTAGTTTGCATCTTCTTTATTTTCCATGAGCTCTCATTTCATTTTTGCTTTGTTATAGCAACATTGAGGAATGCCAAACCTATTTCAGGATTCCACCATTTATCTAATGTCAATTGATATACAATTAAGAAAATGATAGAAAAGCAGAGGAAGAAATGCACTTTCTAGAAAGGCTGAAATGTACTAGTGAAATACACCTAGAAATTATTGTGGTATGGTGTACAATAATTCAAGGGGTATGGTGACCATGGCGTGTGCTCCTTCTTTTACAGATTGTCACTGCCAACCTCAAACCAGAGCTTTCAGATTTTTAAATAAGATAAGTGGAATCAAATTA
Organism: Homo sapiens; assembly: GCF_000001405.40. Lineage (NCBI taxonomy): Eukaryota > Metazoa > Chordata > Mammalia > Primates > Hominidae > Homo > Homo sapiens. Next base: position 209,325,586 of record NC_000002.12, on the reverse strand, counting down.
GAAGCCAGACATATAAGGTTATGAGATATATTTAAAAATACATTCTAAGAATAACCATGTATTTTATCACGTTTTTCAATCCAGAGACTTTGTTTTTGGAAACAATTATCAAGCCTTAGTTTGCACTTCCTCCTCCTTTTCCTTTCTTTTCCATTTCCTTCTTTTTCCTTTTATTCCTGAACCATTCCAGAGCAATTTAATCCTGAAGCCCTAGTAAGGGCAGAGCAGTGTGGAAATGGGGAGAGGAGGGAGCTAAGTGAAGATGGGAGGGAATGAGCAGGGCATCTACGGAGAGGGGCTGCTTGGCCCCAGTGAGGACCAAAGGGGGCTCTCATGGAGTGCTGTCAGGAGGGAGGGGAGGGTATCCTTGCAAGGAGCCCATCGCAGGTGCAGAGGGAATCCATGGGGTGGGACAGGTGTCTCACAGTGTGGAAATCGGAGCTTGCTGAGGAGGGTGTCTATGCATGGGGAGGCCCAGTGTGGAGTTTAGGGCCAGAGTTCTGTGGGGTAGCACAACCCTGAACACCAGAGCCTGAGGAGAGTAAGGAGAGCATGCATGTGTGAGTGGGAGGTGACCTGAGAAGCACATTTCCCAGAGGCTGAGGCAGCCCCCTGAGGAGTGACAGGCATCCAAAATGAGACAGCCTATTTGGATTTAAAACTGTAGACTGAATGAGCTAAAAAAAATTAAAAAATTAAATTTGCATCCTAACATGACATCCTTGCTCTTTATGGTTATGATTCAAAGTTGTCCAACTTGTGACGTTTATGACTGTTTCAGTTCGTTGGATTTTATGAAGCTCCACTTTTCTTTTTTAACTTTTATTTGAAGTTCAGGGGTACCAGTGCAGGTTTGTTCCATGGGTAAACTTGTGTCTTGGGGGTTTGTTGTACAGATTATTTCATGCCCAGGTATTAAGCCTGGTAACTATTAGTAATTTTTCCTGATCCTCTCCCTCCTCCTACCCTCTACCCTCCTAAAGGCTCCAGTGTGTGTTGTTCCCCTCTGTGTGTCCATGTGTTCTCATAATTTAGCTCCCACTTATCAGTGAGAACATGTGGTATTTGGTTTTCTGTTCCTGTGTAAGTTGCTAAAGATAAAAGCTGCACATTTTACAGTTCTCTTAACCCAGGAGGCCTCAATGAGATCAAGGAAGGGAAGCTCCTGAAATTGGCTATCCTGATCTCCTTGGTTTCTTAGAGAAACACTGGCTGGCATTTCCTACCAGAGGGGTCTGGGACATCCTCATCAGGTGTGAGCATGTCTAAAAATGTTGGAATGTCCTACAAACTTCTTGTTGGCCCTTCCTGGTAAGTGAGGCACAATTGCCATTTGTCTAATTGACAGGACATATGGGAATGCACTTAAACCTTGAATGTGCATCCTGAAGCTGTTCATGGTTTGGGAATCCCCTACATCCCACCCACATTTCTACACCTCAAATATAAAAATTCAAATATAGAGACTTCAGGACTGACTTCCATCTCTCATCCAACTATTGAACGGCATCCTCTTTGAGGCAGGAGAATAGGCAATTAGGGTAACCAAGGGTTAAGCAAAAGCAAAAGAACAGCAGGTGCAGCCAGTTCTAGGCAAGATGAGGCAGCATACAGGCCAGATCTTCACTCCTGTGATAACAAGACAGAAGTTTCCACTTTAGCCTCTAACCACGGGCCAGATCTCCACTTCAGCCTCTGATTGGTCATAGGCCAATCCTTCATAGGGTGTAACCAATTGGAGGCCTCTAAAGGGCATCTAGGAGTGTTACCACATTCTTTTAGCTTAATAAAAACTGTAACTGGGGTAGGGGGGCTCTTGAGCCACTTGATTGATCCAGTTCTCACTCTGTGGAATGTACTTTCACTTCAATAAATCTGTGCTTTCGTTAGTCTGTTCTTCTGTTGACTTGTTTTTCGTTAATTTGTTCTTTTATTGCTTTGTTTGTGCATTTTGTTCAATTCTTTGTTCAACACGCCAAGAACCTGGATAACTCACAGTCAAGATCTTCCATCGGTAACATTCTTCTCACCAAACTTTCCAGGAGAGTTAAGCTTGTGATTCGAGATCTCTTGTGACAGAAAATTCGCCAGCTTGCTCATTCTGTTTTTGCTCAGTTAGAATGATGTCCTTTGCCTTGGAACAAAATCATCTCCCTATATTTTTGGCCCTTGGAAGTCATTCTATGCCTGAGGAAAACAAGAAACAGAGCATGACCCATCTTTCCCATGACAGCCATTCAGATACTTAAAGCAGCACTCTCTGTTCTGCTCAGTCATGCCTTCTATGCAAAAAACCCCAGTTGCTTCTGAAGCTCGTTAAATGAAATGGTTTTCTGAAGCATTGTCTCTCATCTCCCTGTTGCTAATTTGCCTTAACATGTTCCCATTTTTCAGTGTCCTGATATGATTTGGCTCTGTGTTCCCACCCAAATCTCATGTTGAATTGCAATTCTCAGTGTTGGAGGTGGAGCATGGTGGGAGATGATTAAATCATGGGGGTGGTTTCTAATGGTTTAGCACCATCCCCCTACCGCTGTCTCATGATAGATTTCTCACAGGATCCCGTTGTTTGAAAGTGTGTAGCCCCCTGCACTCGCTGTCTCTGTCTCCTGCCAGCCCTGTGAATATGTGCTTGCTTTCCCTTTGCCTTCTGCCATGATTGTAAGTTTTGTGAGGTCTCCCCAGAAGCAGAAGCTTGTACAGCCTACAGAGCTATGAACCGATTAAACCTCTTTTCTTTATGAATTACCCAGTCTAAGGAATGTCTTTGTAGCAGTGTGAGAACAGACTAATATAGGCCCTCTTGTACTTTCATGTTCAGAGCTAAACATGACACTGAATCATTTCATCTCCACTAATTTGGTATAAATCCAAGTTATTTAGTGCATACTTGCATGTATGAAAAATGACTCTTTACTATCTTTGCAATTTTTCTATAAATCTGAAATTGTTGTAAAGTTTAATTTAAAAATTAAGAATGTAGAAATTGAGATTCTAAATAAAAATCTTACTGTTGAAATATTTAACATTTAAATATGCACACACTCATTACATAAATACACATTTATAACTTTTTAATAAAAGCCTGAAATCTTACTTACTATGTAAGTTTAAGTAACTCAATTTCAGAAGACCAGTTTCCTTATCTAGATCATGATAGATTTGGATTAGATGGTATCTAATTGTATACATATATTTAAATTCATAAGGTAGAACTTTTTGCACACTATTTTTAGTAGAATTTAAAAGTTATAGCAGAGTATTCCTGATGCTCAGTAATTTAGTAGTACAGCAATAAACTTTTCTGACAGTTTCCATGATATTCCATGAGATGGTGCTATATTATTATCAGAAAATTTTCGTATTTCCAATTTCACAAAGCTTGGCATTAGTAGTCATCCCTATCAGTTAGGTTGTATCTATTGTGTCAAAAACTATTGGAAAAAATATAATCAATCAATCTACTTGATAAAGGAATTAATTTATGTTAAAATCCATTCTTTAGAGATTGGCAAATTCTCTTAAATGGCTAGATAATAAATGTATTATTAATATCATTTGTGGGTCATATGGTAGTCTCTGCTGCAACTACTCAAATCTGCCCTTGCTACCCAAAAGCAGCCATAGACAATACACACATGGGTGTGGTTGTGTGCAAATAAAACTTTATTTACAAAAACAGGTAGCTGGCCTATGGGCCATAATTTGACTACCTTTGATATAAATTACATATAAAATTGAGCCACCATGTTATCAGCGACTATGTTTACTGAGCCAAAATTGGTACTTACGGACAGACTTGAGGGTAGATTTCCATGATCTTTGCCTGGTGGTGTTCATGGCTTTCTGTGATCCCCTCTTCTTGAGTGTGGGCAGGTATGACGGTTAATATTGAGTGTGAACTTGACTGGATTGAAGGATGCAAAGTATTGATCCTGGGTGTGTCTGTGAGGGTGTTGCCAAAGGAGATTAACATTTGAGTAACTGGGCTGGGAAAGGCAGACCCACCCTTAATGTGGGCACCATCTAATTAGCTGCCAGCTTGGCTAGAATATAAAGTAGGCAGAAAAATGTGAAAAGACTAGACTGGCCTAGTCTCCCAGCTTACATCTTTCTCCCATGATGGATGCTTCCTGCCCTTGAACATTGGACTCAAAGTTCTTTAGTTTTGGGACTCGGACTGGCTCTCCTTGCTTCTCAGCTTGCAGAGAGCCTATTGTGGAATCTTGTGATCGTGTGAGTTAATACTTAATAGATTCCACTGTGTGTGTGTGTGTGTATATCTAGAGAACTCTGACTAATACAGCAGGGCCTGAAACCTGAGACTTCCTTTTAACCCACGCAATATATAAAATTGATGGAATATTGCTCTTGGGATTTTGTTTTGTTCTGTAAAACTCCCATTTGCTAGCTGACTTGCTCTGGAGACTCTCCTTACTGGCATGATAAATAAGAGGCTATATTGGGGAAGTCCACATGGAAAGGAACTGAGGGTCATTTCCAGCAGACATCCAGTAAGAACTTGGAGCCCTCAGTCTACAGCCACTTGCCAACAACCTGAGTGAGCTGAACACTGGACTTTTTCCTAGTTGAATCTATAGATGAGAATCTGCCCAGGCTGCCACCCTAATTGCAGGTTGACAGAGGACCCTGTTAAGCCATGCCTAGATGCCTGACCCACAAAACTGCAAGATAAACAATATATGTTGTTTTAAGCTGTATTTATTATGGAACAATAGAAAGCTAATATATCATAGTTTCATCTATAACTATAGCTTTATGTAGACATATATACACATGTAAATACACATATATACACATACATATATGTGTACACATGTATAGTTTTCTATGCACACACATTAATGTACATTATATTGACTAAAATATATATTTTCATGACATTCATGGAAAACACAGAACACTATAGGTGTACACAAGTTCTTATTTACTTTATTTGTGTGTGATTCAAGATCTGTAAATTTTTAACATTATGGTACTATCAGGTTGTTCTTTCTTCACTGTAATAAAAAAAGTAATAGAAAACACTTACTCATCTCTGAGATCCGCTAGAACTAGAACTCATTTACAGCACAATTTAGTAACTGGCTTTCCATCAGTTGAAAGGTTATTAATTTTGACAACTCTATTAGGACCTCTGATGTATGTAATGATTTCATCGAAGTATTGAAAGAAAGTTAAATAAATTTTAAAACACCAAAATCAATGAATAACTTGTGTCTCATAAATACTAAGACTACTTTAATTTTTGTAAATTACATAAAATTATTCGTCTGTGCAGAATATAGAGAGAAACTTAACTACAAATTTTCATTAGCTACAACAACCTTTTCTCAATAATGCTAGATAAAAGTGTATTCTGTTTGAAGGCCACTGTGTATATATTTTTTAGTTGTCACACAAATTGGTTAATCAGTAATCATCAGACACTATACATGGGTATTCCTAAATCATTTTATAATATTTTACTAGTGTTATTATTTCTTACTTTCCAAGTATTTCAGAATTTCAATCAAGGTGAGAAATCAACAATTTCCATTTTGTTTCCTCTCTTCTCATTCTGATTAAAATGATGTCAAGTAAAAAGGATGCAATAAAAGTAGATACCTGCTGTACAAAAAGGAGAAATACTCTCCTTCCCATATCTATACCCTAATATTTCCATTAGGTTATGAGGGTATTTCATGGTATTCTGAGGTCACAGTTGCTGCTAATTCAATGATGACTAAAACTCCCACAGAGTATATGAACAGAATGGAAATGCTGTCACCCTTACTACATTTGAGTTGCTTACAAGCTATTTTCTTGTCTTTATCTCTGTCTCTCCTGTCTCTTGGCCTTCTCTCTCTCATTCTCTGTCTCTGTCTCTCTCTCTCTCTCTCTCTCTCACACACACACACACACACACACACACACACACACACACACAGAGCTTTGTTGAAAGCAAATTTTCCTAAGTGTCTCTCATAGAGTTGCTATAGGAATAGAAAAGTGGGAATACGAATCTTGTCCATTTAACTTCGATTTTATTATTGAATAAATAGGAGTGAGATAACCAAGAGAGGCTGTACAAAGGACATAAATACTTACCAGCTGGTATTTTTTATTTTCTGAAGCCATCATTGAGAACAGGGCAATATCACATTGAGATAAAATATTGAACTATTGCAAAAGTTTTTCTCATATATTTGGCAAGACAATTTGGGAAGGTGTTTTCTAATGTGTACTGTAATGTTCTATCCTTAAAAACAATAGATAAATTAACTTTGTCTTTAAAAATAATCTGCACTTGTGTTCTTTGTGGTTTCTGAAATCCCATTGTATATCTTTAATAGTACTTGAGCAACTGTAATTATTCTGAGGATAAAGTAAAAACAGTGCATAATCCCTGATTTATAGGAAATGCTACTACAATAAGTCTCATCTGAACTTCTGTGTATCATTCATATGCTTATTTTCATCTTTAAACTGCTATTACAGAGTCAGTGATAAATGTGTTTTGTTTGGATTTTTGCAAAGATTAGAAAAGACAATAGATATTCAGATTTTTGGACCAATGCCATTCATTTAAAGACAACACTTGTTCATTTGTGCTGTGAAATGAAGATATTATCAATATTCTACATGTACTCAGTGAATATATTTTAAAATTCATTTTTCTCTTTGAGTGTTTTGCTTTTTGCTTTTAGTTTTCATATTTCTTCTTTGGTAAATATGAAGCAAATACTGTAGGATAAAAGCTAGGTATTTTAGAAAAAGTCTAATTCTAGACAAGGACATTTAAGAAAGGTGAGATTTATGCTCTTGCCTATAGAACTGTAAAGTCTTTATAGTTCCATGTGACAGAACGGATGATAGTCAATGGATCATTATACAGGAGTGGCATGGTACATTGTAATACTTTGGTCCAGGCTTTCTATGTTGAAAAATTTCCTTTTCTTCAGAAAACAGCATTGTAATAATCTCCTATCTGAAGGAAGTTATAGCATAAAATGAAACTACTTCTTCATTAAATTATAGGTAATAATATCATCTGATACTATGTCTCTCATCAACTAAATAAACTAGTTAGCAAGACGAGGTATACATGTATGTGTATATATTTTTTCTATTCTTATTCTTTTATTTTTATCCATAGAAAAAAACTTTGAAAGTTACTGGAATTATCTGCATTAGGCATTGTGATTTGAAATGTCACATGGTCACTATCTCTGAAAGATAGTTACATATTAGCGGATAATTGGAAAGTAGATACTTTTTCAAAAGAAGTAGCAACTGTTGAAATAGAGTCACTAGGCTGGTTTGCTTAAGGAACATAGAAAAACAAAGAACAATCAGTTTCAGAATTTGTTTGCATTAAATATGTCAAGTGTTTCAGTCTACCTCACAAGTGATAGTATTTATGCAAAACAATGAGTGGTTAAGTCAATCAGGATTCACCCTCAAATTAACTCTTCATCAGTTCTAAAGTTGATAAAACTATCCAGAACACATTCCCTGTGTGACTGTGCCCTTAAAGTCCTACAGTAACAGCAAGGAATACTTAGAAACTGCCATGGAATCTCAAGAGACAAGTTGCCCAGTGTCATCTTCCATGTTGCGAGTGTGACTTTTCAGGGCAATACTGACTTGGAGATAAAGACATTCACTGATACTTAAGTTACTTTAAAATTGCAACAACTTTAGTATCTCCTCCTAGCTTCTCCTTATTCCTCCCTAAGATCATAGTTCAACCAACTCTTTCCCTGTGACCACAGGGAGGGAGGGAAAGGAATCATTACCCAAAGAACTCACAATCTGTGGGATGGAGGGGATTAAAGTGTGATGTTCTGGAGACTCTGAAAGAATGTTTTCCAAAATTATAGAAATAATAGAAAAGTGTTCTAAGTATTTTACAGACATAATCATTTAAAGGATAGGCGGAATATACCCTGTTTTAGAAGTCATCCCCTTTTGCAAAATTTCTTGCTAAGGCCAGTAAGCAAGACACTGCAATTTGAACCTAGTGAGGCTTCAAAGTGTGTGTTCTTAACCACCAGTGTGTAGTGTGTCTTGTGGCACAAAAGAAAACAATGTTAAACTCATCCACTATCAGTCTGCGCAGGCTTGCCGGATCCATTGTGAACTGGACAATCCAGAGTCTCTTTTCAAACTCATAGATCTGTGATACAAAGGGTCCAGATTTTTGCTCTATTTCCTTCTCTATATCTAGAACTAGATAATAGCAAACAGATAATCCAGAGAATAACATACCCATTACTAAATAGAATGCTAAACAGCAATCAGTGCTATTCTCTGAATGCAACTTGGTTTGAATAATTGGAAGGTGGGAATAGAAATGGCAATGAAGAAATTCTTTTCTCCTTAAAGTCAGAGGGAAGTTGAAAGATTTAAGTTATTTCAATTTTAACTCTTGTTTCTTTTTTCCTCTTAATAGATAACACTGAAACATAAGGATAGATCTGAGGAACACAGCATTCTGTATACATTTACATTTGAGATAAAATGCTTCACTTATGCACATTGTGTATTGTATGCATGAAGATAAAAATGTAAGTTTCTTTCGTAGGTGTTAAAATTGCAGGACTTGTATATCAAAACCAGTAATGGTGCATGGATAATGGAGCTGTACCTGGAAACTGGCAGGACCAGAGACATCTCTCAGCACAGGTTTTCCCAATTTCTCCTCTGTGCTTTCTTTCCTGTACTTCCTCAATGAGTTTGCTTATTTTTTCTCTTCTTCCTTCTGACTGGCCTGTATACATGTATGCATGCATATGTAAGCATTTATTTATCTCTAAGCATTTCTGTTCTTAGTTTTGGGTACTTACTACTATCCACATGTATTAATTCTTAGAAACACTTTTTAAAATCCAAATTTTCAGAAAAATACATGCAAACTTTTCTTTTTATAAACAAATATTAAAGTTGTGGCAGATTTACTTATCAGTCTTCATTTGTTATTTCTTAGTAGCCAGATTTTGCATCCCCACCCTTGCGATAGCTTCATGGTGAACAGAATACCCTTTTCCATTCAATTATTGCAGAGTGTGGCCACAAGACTTGTTTTGGCCCATGGGCTGTTAGTGGGTCTGAAACAAGCAGAGTGTTGAAGAGTAGTTAGTCATATGGCTTGGTTTTCTCTCTTCTATTAATGTCACTGCCAAGAAAAGAACATATTCTGGGTAGCCTATGGATCTCAGACGAATGAGAGGCCCATGGAGCAAACCAAACATATTCCACAGTTTAAATACGAGCCTTCTTGAGCTTATCTGAAGTCAGCTGAGCCTCAGCAGATCTTGAGTCAGATGAATAATAAGTAATTGCTTCCTATTGGACACTACTGAGTTTTAGAGTTGTTTGATATGCATATTATTGTGAGAACAGTTGACTAATATATGCAAGTATATAAATAATTTGTTAGTATTTACTGGTTTTAAAATAATGGATCACAAAATAATTATTTCTTTATTTTTTATTATTAGTCATAACTCCCAGACTGAAGCTTAGGGCTAATGTGAATTATAAGTAAATTTCAAATCAATTCCTTTGGTTCATGTGTCCGTATTTCCTAATTTCTTTTTCTTGTTTTTTTCTCCTGCTGAACAGGACTTTCCCATATCATATTTTTCGTAGAAAAATTCTACAAAGTAATTTTCAATGCACTATCCTTGAATCTGAGAAGTAATATATTTAGCAGAATTCAAAGGAAAAATATTTTACCTTTTTAGACTAGTGACTCATCTGGCAGTTTCTTATTCTACTGCTGATTATTTTTCAAAATACGCTCTTACGAGTTTTAAAATAATTATTTCCAGTTCCATAGTAATCACACTAATTAGAATTTTCCAAGCAGGTATATTCTTAGAATTTATTTTAATGGTAATATAACAATCTGAAACTCATAATGTGCACTATTGCACCTTAAGTATATTTATTTTGAAAATGAACACTTCAGTGCATTATCTGCTGAGAAATAGTATCCTCATGATCTCAAGAACTATTAGCACATACCTAACTTAGTACCATGAAGTGGTTTCAGCACATAGACACGAAATCAAATTCTAAGATATAATAAGAGCAAGACCACAATGTTGAAGTAGTGTTTCACAAAATCAAATTCTAAGATATAATAATAGCGAGATCACAATGTTGAAGTAGTGTTTGCAAGGTAACTTTTTAGATGCCACAATTTGAGACCTAATTATTTTTGAAGACACATACAGATTCTTAATTATAAGCCTCTCATCACATTGAAATTTTATTATTTCTGGTCTTTAGGATTCCTCACTGTCCTCAGTCTCTTCAAACCAATCTGACTGCCATTAATTCATTTATTGTCCTATAATAATCCAGTGTTAATTTATTGGAGTAATAAAGCAACTAAGTTGGACTAGATGAAAACAAGAGATAAAAAACCATGGTAAATTGGGTTATTCTAAACAGAAAACATTGAAACAACATGTGAATGCTTCATTCTCTTATACTTAATTCATTTTACAGTTTGTTCCCTTTGCAGGAACACATACTCCGAGCTATACCTCAATACCTTGATAATGTAAGTCTTCTTTTCTCACAAGAAGTAGCGTAACTATTTTTTTGTGAATCCTTCTCTGACAGCCCTACATAGACATAAAACTTTGCTGCTCTGCTTCCCTTATTGTTAGCTATTTTATTGTTTGGTAACTGTCTTTCCATTAGATGGTGAACTCTTTGAGAACAGAGAGTATGACTCATTCTAATGTAATGTTGTGAACTTTTCTGATGCTCCAAATACATCTGTAGAGTTAAAAGACAATCACAGAGATTGAAAAACAGGAATCTAGTTTATCCCTTCTTTTACACTTAATATTGAGAAAATAAACATCTTAGTTAAAAATCTTTTGTCAAGCATATGTATTGCTAAATATATTTACTCCTAGTTTGATATTAAGTTGACATAAAAATAAAAATATGCCTTTGTTATTTGAGCACACAAATTTCTCACATATACTTAACAATTTTTCGAATTACCTTGAAAACATTACAGGTACGAGATTTTCCCCATGAACTGAGCTATGTAATGCAATCAAAATACTATCTTTGAATGCATGAAAATTATGTTGTCTTTAAAATAATTTCCAAATCCACAATAAGCAGTAGTACCATTTCCTCACTTACCTATCTCTTTATAGACATTTTAAACTACATATCTTGGGAATTTCTTCTTTTCGCTTGATTCTTCATGGTTTTTATGCTTTGCCAAAATCTTGTTACCTTCTACTCCTCTCAGCAGTTTAAATTATTTTGACTGACAGAAATTATTTATTACTCCTTTCTAAGGAAAATTTGAGTGTTATATGCCATTAAAAAGCAGTGAACTAAAGGTGGTAAAAGACAACAAATTTTCTACAACAATCCCTTTCTATGACAGACACCATTCAACTAATCCCACATTAAATAATTTCAGCATGCAACTACAAGAATTAAAAAGGGTAAAAATATATTGCACCAATCTTGTATCTCCACACATGTAACTGGAAATAGACTACTGAGGACATTAGCTGACAGGAGATGGAGTGATAGGATATGCCAAGTGCAAATACTTTCCAAACCTGCAGAACTAAGTTAATAAATGTAATTTAAATTGTATTAGGCAGTTGTAAAAGTTAAAGAAGCTTATTGGTTCTCTGTTCGGACTTTTTAAAAGGAAAACTAATATTTGCAAACTAACTCATGAGAAAGAACTGTCCATCCTCTTATAATCAAAAAGCTGCTAACAGATTTATATAAGGAATCACCGATCTTGCTGAAAAGTGAGCCATTTTACATACAGTGGGAACAGACATTTCAGGAACTTATTACATGCTTCTGAACCACTTTATATCATAGCATACAGAGTATGCTATCATCTCACACTAATCTGTGATATTTGACTTTTCAAATAATTTAATGCATTATATACAAATGATTTGAATTTCAAATGTGAGTACATGATAAAATCCAGGTGTTTAATCTTTTCAGAGAAAAAGAACAAATCAATAGTTCTCTCAGAAACTTAAATGAGAGAAATGAGTGTAACAAAAAGGATTTAAGTCACATGATTTTTGAAAATTGCTGATTTCTTTATCATTGTGTTTGAGAATGACATGAATCCTTTAGCAGCTAAAATTTCAAAGAAATAGTGGTGCTGATTTTATAATTTTGGGATTTATTTTCTTGTTCTATCAAATAATTTTATCATATGAAAAGGAGTGACAGTTACAGATTCTAAAGGCACAAATCAAAAATTTAACATCAGAGAAAAATACAAAGTTATTTTAAACCTGAGCACTCATTAAAAAAACCTTAAATTTAATCTTAGGAGATTTAGTAGCATTACATCATAACAATTTATTAAATAACCTTAGCTACCCAGGTATCTGGGAACTTTTTAAAAAATGGCTCTAACTTTTGATAACCACTTTATCATATTCAACATTGTTGAACTGCAATTTATGAGAAACTATAAGATGCCATTTTGGGTGCTCAGCTTACTGAAAGGACCAAGGTTATATGTGGGGTTTTTTTTTTTCAATATTATATTGAGCTGGTGTCTGCTTAAAGCTTACAAAATACTAGCCTATTAGAAATAGCCTACTAGAAATAAAATCACTCTTTTTTCTTTCTTTCTTTCTTTTCTTTTCTTTTCTTTTTTTTTTTTTTTGATGGAGTCTTGCTCTGTTGCCCAGGCTGGAGTGAACTGGCATGATCTTGGCTCACTGCAACCTCTGCCCCCCAGGTTCAAGTGATTCTCTTGCCTCAGCCTCCCAAGTAGCTAGGATTACAGGTACCAGCCACCACACCCTGCTAATTTTTGTGTTTTTAGTAGAGACAGTGTTTCACCATGTTGGCCAGGCTGGTCTCAAACTCCTGACCTCAGGTGATCCACCTGCCTCAGTCTCCCAGAGGGCTGGGATTACAGGCGTGAGCCACCACACCTGGCCAGAAATAAAATCACTTCTTAAAATAAATTGGTTTACTCTATTTTTGTTTAAAACTTGGTTAAATCTTTATGAACTCACTGATGGAGCTAGCCACCTGTCATGATCACTTTTATGAAACTGACATGAAAGTCTTGCTAACAGTAAGTCATAGCTCTAGAAGAAATATGTACTCCAATTAATTACCTTTTACAATTACTCTTCCATTTTCCTATTTGCCATAAAATTTTGAGGATAAGTTTTAAATTTACAGGGAATTTAGACTCCTAATTATGATTCTTCCAAATTCTTCTGTCATTCTCCTGCATTTATGAAGTGTATGGGAGTTGGCTTCTGGGGAATGCTAACTTTGGACTCACACATTACTCTTTGCTTACCTAGTCTCAACATCCCAGCCCTCTCCTGTCACTGCTGAGACCTTTAGGAAGCTGTGTTAGTCTTGTGGCCCTCACCATCAACCAGCTCTTTCACGCTTCCAGGAAACTGGCTAAAGCCCAGGAAGGGACTAGCTATCTTCTCTGGAATTGAAACACATGGACTACTTGCACATATGCCAGATCTTGAGATGCGTGTCCCAAGTCTTAAAAAATGTTTGTGTGATTCAAACCACATTCATTTCTACAAGGCTTGAAACAGAAATTTTAACTTAAACTATACAATTGGCTGTCAGCTTACTGAATCCCCTTCTGGTTGGCTGGGAAGTCATATGCATAAGCCTAGTACACATATCATTCCTGTTGCTTCCCTGGTGTGGGCTGAACTTGCCTGTGTCCTTACATTTGTCTGACATCTTGGTCTTGACTTTGTGTGATAGTGTCATATTCTATTTATAAAAGAATTATCCCTTGATTATAATAGCCCTTACATTGGATAAGATGTTTTACTTCCTTCTTGCCTTCTCCTATTCATAGATCTTCATAACTCCCTAAGTAACAGCAGTAACCACATGGCACAGATGTTTGGGAATCATTCTAATTTCCACTGTATGTCCTGTTATCAGGCAAGGTGATAAAAAACGTATGCCTACGTTTGATTTAGAAAATATAATGTCTAAATTTAGTTATAATCTACTATAATATTCCTTGTAGGAAATGAAAAGAACTTCATCCTAGCCCCAATCTGAATGTCACTTATCTCAAATTAGAGTATCTTAAGGAAATATTAAATATTTGCTAGTAAAGATGCACACATTCAAATATCCATGCATATAAAATATTTTCCAAAATCAAAATTAAATACTTTTTATCTTTCATAGGAATCTGTACATAGCATATTTAGTTTTCAAATTTTAGATCGGGTTTTTGAATGTGTAAGAGATAATTCAATGCTACATATAAGCTTCTTAAAGTTAAAACCAAGAAATAGACTATTATTTGGGTTATTCATAGGATAAATATGACTAGAAAGATCTAGGTACTTGCTTTCCTTATTTTCTGATTCCTATCAGTTCTTCTTCTCACTCAAATCTGTTTTCTGCTTCCATCACTTTACCGACGTTCCTTTTGTTAAAATCACCAGTGAATTAGTTTGCCAATGCTGCCGTAACAAAGTACCATAGACTGGGTGGCTTAAACAACATAAATTTATTTTCTCACGGAGGTTATAAGTCTGAGATCAAGATGCCAGCAGAGTTGACATTTTCTGAAGCCTCTTTTCCTGGCTGTAGGTGGCCATCTTCCTGTCTTCACATGGTCTTTCTTCTATGTGTGTTTGTGCCCTAATTTTCTCTTTCTGTAAGGACACCAGTCAAATTGGATTAGCCTAATGAGAGTGTTTTAACTTAATTGTCCATTTAAAGATCATTATCTCCAAATACAGTCACATTCTGAGATATTGTAAGTTAGGAGTTCAACATCGGAATTTTTTAGAGTGACACGGTTCAGCCCATTACAAGCAGCAACTTTCATTTTATAAGTCAAATATTTATATTGATATGTTTTAATAACCTTTGTTTTTATCTTCTGTGTTACCATATCATCAGACATTTTGAACATCTTCCATTTTATGTTTGATCTCTCATCTTGACTGCTTTCTGAGCAAAACTGCTGCACAGTTGAGAATCTCTTCCTTCTTAAAACACTATCTTCACTTGGTTCAATGAAATACAACAAGCCTTTCTTGATTCTCCTTCCATCCCCTTGACAGCTACTTCTGAGTCTTTGTTGGTAACTTCTCTTGTAATTGACAAATTTTGATTATTGTAAGGACTAAGTAGTAGGCCCTTCTTTTTTTTTTTTCTTTCTATACCAGGAAACCCAAACTCAACAACTTTCAGGTCCTAGGCATGTAGTATAAAAGTATGAAGCAACCAGGAGATTATAGATAAAGTTGTCTGGACCGTGGCATTGAGGAAGTCAAGCTCTGCTTAGAGGTATTGAAAGATGTAAAGTCTCCCAGGCAATCAATAAATATCTGTACTTTTGTTTCAAACTATTAGTCTGTTTTACATTCTCTCCCTAGACAAAGGTCCACCACACACAAGTAATTACTAAGCCCTAATCATCTGCCTCCTAATTTTCTTATTTCTCTCTACTTCTTCCAACCCTCTCTTGCCACTTTAATCTAAGCTGTGATCTTTTTTCTCATGGCTAGCTGAAATTCCCTATTAGCTGATCCTCTCAAACTTGCCCACATTTCCAAGATTCACAGTAATTAATCTTCTCAAAGTCTGAATGAGAACAAATCATATCCTTGTTTAAGATCTCCTGCCAGCTAGACATTAACCTTAAATGAACGAACAAGGTTTCATCATGTCTTATGTGGTTCAAACGGCCCATATATATGTATGTGGGCTCATATATATATATATATATATATGCCATATGTATTTTTTTTTTAACTAATCCACCTTCATCTTTAGCCACTACTCTCCTAGTTATCTTCCTCTTGTGATGGGCTTCTCTCAGTTCTGTGAAGAACCCGAGCTCTTTTTGACCTTAGGGTTTTCCCACATACTATTTCCTTTTCCTGGAACTTTCTCCTAGGAGGTAACATGACCAGTTTCTCATCCTTCAGGTCTAGAAAGAGCTCCCAAAACTGCATTATGGGAATTTTTGAGCTTTATGGAAAGGATTCTTTCTTTCATTCCTGGAATTATGCAAAATAAGATCAATGATCTTCAGTGGCAAAATCATGGACACAATGGATCCTATCTGGCAGTGAGATACTTAACAATGATATCAAATTTCTCTAGAAACTGACACTAGAACTTTCAGCCAGATTAGTCAATGCTCTTGCTTAAGCTAATTTGTATTTACTGTTACTTGTAACCGAAAGAGTCCTGAGTGATATACCTGTTTAAATAACAAACAGCTAATAGGAGCAAACAACTAACCTTTTGCAGAAACCATTTTAATTTTCTTATTTGCAAAAAACATTTAAGCATGGTGTTCCAGAAAGATTATGGACACAGATACTTCTGTAATGTTGAATGCTTGTACAAAATATGTGGCCTTAAGAAAATTGCTAGAACCTACTGGCTTTTAGATTTCTCACTTGAAAAATGGGAATAATGGGAATTATAAAATGTATTTCACATGATTCCCTGGGTATTTACATGAAAGACATGCTAGAAAATCGTAACTTTAGCTCTTTAAGGATGAATTACAAGGAAGAATTATTAGCCCTTGGATTAGTGAGCTTGAGAAAAGCCATACATAGTAAGGAATCTATGTTAGTGAAATCTTAGGCATTATCATATAACTCATATGTGATCTTATTCACCAATGATTTTATTCACCAGCACACACTTAGAGCAAGGTAGTTCATTTGCACTATATTGTTAGTGAAATCTTAGACATTGTCACATAACTGTGAGAAGCATATTATCAAATAAGGGGGCTAACCAAAACTTGTTCATCACCAAATGGTTTGTAGTGTAAAAAACAGTTCTTCACAGCTTCTAGAAACACTACAGCAACCTACATCCTGACTGGTTGAAGGACTGAGGCTTGATAAGGGGAAGTCTCATGGTTTCAGGTTAAAGGCAAAAATGCCCAGTCATCTTATCTAATAGCCTTATCTAATAGTTTAAAGCAAGGTAGCTCACTATGTTTGTAGTAGGGAGCAAGGGAGACACTCAAGATGCAAGAGAGATGGTGGTTATTTGAGAGAGCAAAATGCTAGAGCAGTGTTTTATATAATTATTTAGCTTTGAGACCTGTTGCTCAAATAGATAGAATGTAAGAAGCAGGGGAAGACCAAGTAGCTCCGGGTAAAGAGAGACTTAGAAGCAAGGGCCCAGTCATGAGTATTCAGGAGCACTATTGGAGCCCTTGGAGGGAATAGAAAGGGATGGCAATACTCCTAAGCAAGAAGAAAGAATATTTATTTTCCTGAGACAAGATGAAAGAAAAAGAGGTGTGTGAGAAGACAGAGCAAATTAACAGGTAAGGTTCAATATATTCCCGCTGATACAATTTGGCTCTGTGTCCCCACCCAAATATCATCTCTAATGGTAATCCCCACATGTCAGGGGAGGGGCCTGGTGGGACGTGACTGGATCATGGGGGTGGATTTCCCCCTTGCTGTTCTTATGATAGTGAGTTCTCATGTGATCTGATAATTTGAAAGTGTGTGGCACATCCCCCACCCTCTTGCTCCACCCTTGTTTCCTCTTCACCTTCTGCCATTGACAGCAGTGGGTGAGGGACATCAGCTGCAGTGGGCGAGGCAAGGCCGGGACTGCACACTCTGCAGAGCCAGCAGGAGCTGGGAACTGGCGGGAGCCCTGCCCCCTTCTGCACTCCCAGGGTGCAGCTGCAGCTGTGCAGCTGGGGCTGCAGAACCAGGGCAGCCCTGTGCTCTCAGGGGCCTGGGAAGTCCTCCTTCCTCTGCAGGCTCAGAAATGCCTGCTCCTGCTGCCTGGCCTCTCCCCATTCCTGGTGCCCACTCTGATTTGGGAGCAAAGTTGAAGCTGAGCCCAGGCACTGTTGCAACCCGGCCAGGTGTGTGCATGCTCGGGGCAATGCCAACACAGCAGTCCCCTGTCACCTTGGTCCCCTCTGGACTTTGGGCACCAACGAGCATGGGAGGGAGGCCTAAGGGGGTTGAGGGTGGCTTGGCGTAGCCTTACAGGCACCCTTTAGCACGAGCAGCCTGGGTGCCGTGGATGGCGTGTTGATGGTGGCAGGCAGGCTTCTGGGTGGGAAGGGGTGAGTCCCTGATGAAACCCCACTTCCAAGCCTGGGGGCCAGCCTCCAGTTCTGGGTGGAGTCCCTGGCCTGGAGTGAGAACTTATGGTGCTTTCTCCAGGCCCTCCCAAGGCTATCTATGGACCAATCAGCATGCACTTCCTCCCTTTGGAACCCATGAAAACCCCAGACTCAGCCAGACTTGGACAGACTTGGGACTACCAGCTGTGGGAAGGAGCTACCCACTGCAGTCTCCTCTATGCAGAGAAACTGGACACTTGTCAGGATGACCTGCATGTGGAACTGTAGGTTTCCTGAGAACTGTTCTGCAGCTCAGTGAAGCTCCACTTCACCTTGCTCACCCTCCAGTTGTCCACATACCTAATTTTTTTTCTGGATGCGGGACAAGAACTCAGGACCCACTGAATGGTGGGACTAAAAGAGCTGTAACACAAACAGTACTAAAACATGCCGCCCTACTTGCCATGTTGCAGGTAATGATGTTACCGGGGGTCCTTGCTCCCAGAGCTCCCAAGATGGTGGTAGGCCACTTCCAAGATGGTGGCAAGCCTCGTGTTTTCTGACCTGGGGTTCATTGGCCTCACGGATTCCAAGGAATGGAATCTTAGGCCATGCGGTGAGTGTTATAGCTCTATTAGAAGTCGTGGGTCATGGAAGACAACCGTGGAACCCAGTGACTAGTGTTCAGCTCGATTAGAACGAACCCAGGCACTTAGCCATGCAGGAACAATGGCAAGCCTTTAGCCCGATCAGGAGCGGCAATGGGCGCCTCGCTGGATCAGGAGCACAGCGGACACCCTGCTGGATCCGGAGGGATGGAAGTCAGCGGCCGGTCTCCGACCGCAACAAACCAGCAGTGGTGGATGGCAAGAGAAAGCTCAGTTTGAGCCGTAACAAACACGGACCAGAAGAGTGCAGTTGCAAGATTTAATAGAGTGAAATAGAGTGAAAACAGAGCTCCCATACAAGGGGAGGGGACCCAAAGGGGGTTGCCGTTGCTGGCTTGAATGCCTGGGTTTATATCCCGATCCTTGTCCTTCCCGCTGTGCTCTCAGGCAATAGATGATTGGCTATTTCTTTACCTCCTGTTTTTGCCTAATTAGCATTTTAGTGAGCTCTCCGATTGGTTGGGTGTGAGCTAAGTTGCAAGCCCTGTGTTTAAAGGTGGATGCCGTCACCTTCCCAGCTAGGCTTAGGGATTCTTAGTCGGCCTAGGAAATCCAGCTAGTCCTGTCTCTCAATGGGAAAGAGAGAAGAGCTGCAGTTCTTTCAGGAGCCCAGACCTAGGGGCCCTCTGAGCCAGGGCAGTGACACCCTCTTTGGGGGTCTGCGGTTCCTGGTGTCTCCAAGGGTCCAGGTGCCCCGAGTTCCATGGTGCTCACAGTGAAATCTACTTGTGGTATGCCTGGTCCAGCCACAGCCTCACAAAGAGCCGGCACCCGTGCTGGTGCCTGGAGCTCCCCACCTCTCCGCAGCTGGCATGCCTGGCTGTGGGCAGTGGCCAGATCCCACGCTTGCTCACACACTCCTCACTGCTCTATGCCTGACTCTCCCTTGGCAGGTGTGGGATCCAGGCCAGTGGCACAGCTGAGCACAGCCTGCCAGGCCGAGTGGGTGGAATGAGCCCAGCAGGCCTGAGCAATACTTAGGCAAAGGTGCCACTGGCCACAGAATTTCCAGCTGGAAAAGCAACACCCCAAAGATTCCTTGACACCATGATTTAAGTTTCCTGAAGGCTTCCCGTCGTGCTTCCTGTTAAGCCTGCAGAACTGTGAGTCAACTAAACCTCTTTTCTTCATAAATTTCACAGTCTCAGGTGGTTCTTTACAGCAGCATAAGAATGAACTATTACACCCACTAAGGGTTATGTGAAATAAGGAGCAATCCTTAAACCAGATACTACCATTTGAAAGATGAATTTTAGGTATTTCCTTAGATACTTCACAGAAATATGTTTAGATGTGGGTCTTAGAATATTCTACAAAGGTGTCTGATCTGTAAGAACAGCCTTGAAGCTCTGAGAAATATCCTTTAGAAGGGGCTACATTACGTATGTTTTACATTCATTTTGGAGTCAGAAAGATTTTATTTGAATTCTGATTCAGTTCTTAGAGAATTATATAGCTTTGAGGAGGTTAATTAACATCAAATTGTTCTCACCTATGGAATGTGAATGTATAGTGATGCCTACCTCATGGAGATTTTGTAAGAATTCAGTCAGCCCATGCATGTAAAGAAGACAGTATGTTTCCTGCTGTGATCGTTGGATGCTGATGTTAGCATAATTGGCTTGGTCACAGCTAGAGCAGTACACAGGATTCTTTTTCCCCTTCAAGCTAAAGATTTAAATTTAAATATATTTAATTCAGATGAATAATTAAAAGGAAAGTATTGGCTCTGAAGATGAGAACCAGTTCTTGAAAATTACCCAAGAATTATATATACTTCATGGTACATATTAGCTATTCATCATTTTATGAAATAGTCATTTTTTAAAAACACATGATTGACATATCTTTCATGCGCGTCCGTGTGAAGAGACCACCAAACAGGCTTTGTGTGAGCAATAAAGCTTTTAATCACCTGGTGCAGGCGGGCTGAGTCCGAAAAGAGTCAGCAAAGGGAGATAAGGGTGGGGCCGTTTTATAGGATTTGGGTAGGTAAAGGAAAATTACAGTCAAAGGGGGTTTGTTCTCTGGTGGGCAGGAGTGGGGGTCGCAAGGTGCTCAGTGGGGGAGCTTTTTGAGCCAGGATGAGCCAGGAAAAGGACTTTCACAAGGTAATGTCATCAGTTAAGGCAAGGACCGGCCATTTACACTTCTTTTGTGGTGGAATGTCATCAGTTAAGGTGGGGCAGGGCATATTCACTTCTTTTGTGATTCTTTAGTTACTTCAGGCCATCTGGGCGTATACGTGCAGGTCACAGGGGATGCGACGGCTTGGCTTGGACTCAGAGGCCTGACATTCCTGCCTTCTTATTAAGAAAAATAAAACAAAATAGTGTTGAAGTGTTGGGGCGGCGAAAATTTTTGGGGGGTGGTATGGAGAGAGAGTGGACGATGTTTCTCAGGGCTGCTTCAAGCGGGATTAGGGGTGGTGTGGGAACCTAGAGTGGGACAGATTAAGCTGAAGGCAGATCTTGTGGTAAGGGGTGATATTGTGGGGTTGTTAGAAGAAACATTTGTTGTATAGAATGATTGGTGATGGCCTGGATACGGTTTTGTATGAACTGAAAAACTAAATGGAATAAGGAGAAAAACAGGTATAAAAAGTCTAAGAATTGGGAGGACCTAGGACATCTGATTAGAGAGTGCCTAAGGAGATTCAGCATAGTCCTGCCACCAAAGATTATTTAGTTACTTCAAGAGTTAAGAGTGGCAGTTTGGGGATAGCACGAGGAGATATCAGCTGTGATGGCTTGGATAAACAGTGTAAACTGGCAGTGTAAACAAGAGCAGGGCATGTATGAGTAGTTGAGAACAGAGAATAGGAGTATGACTAGACAGAAAATAGTAGGGATGACAAGTTTTTTTTGGGGGCACAGTCTAAGTTGGTCTGGTGTCTGGAATGAGACTGGGGCCTAATAAAAAGGAGCATCTATACAGGAGCTTAAATGGGCTGTACCTTGTAGCATTCCAAGGACAGGCCTGAATTCTGAGAAGGGAAAGTGATAAAAGTATTGTCCAGTCCTTTTTGGTGGCTGAGCTTGGTGAGGTGAGTTTTTAAAAGACCTTCAGTCCATTCTACCTTTCTTGAAGATGGAGGACCGTAAGGGATATAAAGGTTTCACTGAATACTAAGAGCCTGAAAAACTGCTTGGCTGATTTGACTAATAAAGGCTTATCTGTTATCAGACTGTATTGAGGTGGGAAGGCTAAACTGAGGAATTATGTCTGACAGAATGGAAGAAATGACTGCGGAGGCCTTCTCAGACCCTGTAGGAAAGGCCTTTACTTATTCAGTGAAAGTGTCTATTTAGCCTAAGAGGTATTTTAGTTTCCTGACCCGGGCATGTTGAGTAAAGCTAATTTGCCAGTCCTGGGTAGGGGCAAATCTTCGAGCTTGATGTGTAGGGAAGGGAGGGGGCCTGAATAATCCTTGAGGAGTAGTAGAATAGCAGATGGAACACTGAGAAGTTATTTCCTTGAGGATAGATTTCCACGATGGAAAGGAAATGAGAGGTTCTGGGAGGCGGGCTAGTGGCTTGTACTATAGCATAGCCTGCCTTTGCTGGTATGTGGCGATTAGGCCTGGTGGAACTGCCATCAATAAATCAAGCGTGATCAGGGTGAGGAACAGGAAAGAAGGAAATATGGGGAAATGGGGTGAATGTCAGGTGGATCAGAGAGATACAGTCGTGGGGGTCAGGTGTGGTATCAGGAATAATGTGGGAGGCCAGCTTGAAGTCCGGGCCAGGAACGATGGTAATTGTGGGACTTAACAAAGAGTGAGTACAGCTGAAGGAGCCAGGAGCAGAAAGTATATGCGTCAGGTATGAGGAAGAAAATAGATTTTGGAAGTTATGAGAAATGTAGAGAGTGAGTTGAGCATAGTTTGCAATTTTGAGGGCCTCTAAAAGTATTAAAGCAGCGGCAGCCGCTGCTTGCAGACATGAGGGCTAGGCTAAAACAGTAAGGTCAAGTTGTTTGGACAGAAAGGCTACAGGGTGCGGTCCTGGCTCTTGTGTAAGAATTCTGACCACACTAACCATGCCTAGGAAGGAAAGGAGTTGTTGTTTTGTAAGGGATTGAGGTTTGGGAGATTAATCGGACACGATCAGCAGGGAAAGCACGTGTGTTTTGAGAATTATGCCGAGATAGGTAACAATTGAGGAAGAAATTTGGGCTTGATTGAAGTAACGGGGGCTGTCTGTGAGCTTTGTGGCAGTACAGCCTAGGTAATTTGCTGAGCTTGATGGGTGTCAGGGTCAGTCCAAGAGAAAGCAAAGAGAGGCTGGGATTAAGGGTGCAAAGGAATAGTAAAGAAAGCATGTTTGAGATCCAGAACAGAATAATGGATTGTGGAGGGAGGTATTGAGGATAGGAGAGTATATGGGTTTGGCACCATAGCAAAACAATTTGGTTGCTAAGGCGCAGATCCTGAACTAACTTGTAAGGCTTGTCTGGTTTTAGGACAGGTAAAACGGGGGAATTGTAAGGAGAGTTTATAGGCTTTAAAAGGCCATGCTGTAGCAGGCGAGTGATAACAGGCTTTAATCTTTTTAAAGTGTGCTGTGGGATGGGATATTGTTGAGTGGGGTAAGGGTGATTAGGTTTTAATGAGATGGGAAGGGGTGCATGATTGGTCGCCAAGGAGGGAGTAGAGGTATCTTATACTTGTGGGTTAAGGTTGGGGGGATACAAGAGGAGGACACAAAGGAGGCTTTGGATTGGGAAGGAAGGCAGCAATGAGATGTAGCTATAATCCAGGAATAGTCAGGGAAGCAGATAATTTAGTTAAAGTGTCTCAGCCTAATAAGGGAACTGGGCAGGTGGGGATAACTAAAAAGGAGCGCTTTAAAGAGTATTGTCTAAGTTGGCACCAGAGTTGGGGAGTTTTAAGAGGTTTAGAAGCCTGGCCGTCAATACCCACAACAGTTATGGAGGCAAGGGAAACAGGCCCTTGAAAAGAAGGTAATGTGAAATGAGTAGCCTCCGTATTGATTAAGAAGGGGACAGGCTTACCTTCCACTGTGAGAGTTACCCAAAGCTTGCCGTCCATGATGGTCTAGGGCGCTTCCGAGGTGATCGGGCAGTGTCAGTCTTCAGCCGGTAAGCCAAGAAGGAGTCAGTCAGAGAGCCTTGGGCCAGAGTTCCAGCAGCTCTGGGAGTGGCTGCCAGGTGAGTTGAATAGTCCGATTTTCAGTGGGGTCCCACACAGATGGGACGCGGCTTAGGAGGAATCCCGGGCTGCGGGCATTCCTTGGCCCAGTGGCCAGATTTCCGGCATGTGTAGCAAGTTCCTGGGGGAGGAGGTTCTGGAGGAACACTTGGCTGCTGCGGTTCAGGCATTTGGAAGTCTTGTGTGCTGGAGATGTAGCTGGGGTTTGTCTCACAGTGGAGGCAAGGAATTGCAACTTTTTTCTGTTATTGCACACCTTGAAGGTGAGGTTAATTAAGTCCTGTTGTGGGGTTTGAGGGCCAGATTTCAGTTTTTGGAGTTTTATTTAATGTCGGGAGCAGATTGGGTAATAAAATGTATATTGAGAATAAGACGGCCTTTTGACCTTTTAGGGTCTAGGGCTGTAAAGTGTCTCAGGGTTGCTGCCAAACAAGTCATGAACTGGGCTGGATTTTTATATTTGATGAAAAAGACCCTAAACGCCATCTGATTTGGGATAAAGAAAAAGGAGCATTAACCTTGACTATGCCTTTAGCTCCAGCCACCTTTTTAAGAGTAAATTGCTGGTCAGGAGGGGGAGGCCTAGTCACGGAACGAAACTGTAAGCCGGAGCAGGTGTGAGGAGGGGAGGCGATTAAAAGATTATAGGGTGGAGGAGCGGAGGCTGAGGAAGAATTGGGACCTAGCTCGGCCTGTTGAGGAGGGGAGAGGTCAGATGGGTCTGTAGAAAAGGAAGATTAGAAAGACTCAATGACACTTGGGGTTGGTACTGAAGGGACAGGCGGGAGGGAAAGAAGGAAGATTTGGGACGAGTTGCACTGGGCACAGAGACTAGGAAGGGACTGATGTGTAAAAGAATGCCTGGACGTCAGGCACCTCAGACCATTTGCCCATTTTACGACAAGAATTATTTAGATCTTGTAGGATGGAAAAATTGAAAGTGCCGTTTTCTGGCTATTTGGAACTACTGTTGAGTTTGTATTGGGGTCAAGTGGCATTGCAGAAGAAAATAAGATGCTTAGATTTTAGGTCAGGTGAGAATTGAAGAGGTTTTAAGTTCTTAAGAATACAGGCTAAGGGAGAAGAAAGAGGAATGGAAGGTGGAAGCCTGCCCATAGTGAAGGAGGCAAGCCCAGAGAAAAGAGTAGAGACACGGAGAAGGGGTGGGGGTTTCTTCCCCTCCAGAAAAGCAGAGAAAGGGTTGGGACATGGAAATAAGGGATTGTGGCACAGAGATAAGAGGTTGGGGTGCGGAAATAAGCGATTGGGGGGTTCTTGCCCCCTAGGAAAGCGGGACTTGCCACTAAGGGTGAAGGAGAAGGGGTTGAGGGGTACTTGCCCCTGTCCCAGGAAAGCGGGACTTGCCGCTAAGGGTGAAGGACCAAGGCAGGCATCCCTGCATGGTCTGACACCCTTGAAACGTGAGTGTATAATCAGAGAGGCGTCCCTGCAATGATTAAACACCAAGGGAAGGCTGCCTTCCCAGTCCGTGACCGGTGCCGGAGTTTTGGGTTCATGGATAAAACATGTCCCTTTTGTCTCTACCAGAAAATGAAAGGAATTGAAATTAAGAGAAGGGAGAGACTGAAGTGTGGCACCAAGACTGAAAGGAGAAAGAGGTTGAGGGATAGTGAGGGAGGTTGGAGAAGAGAGTAAAAAGAGGCCACTTACCGGATTTGAAATTGGTGAGATGTTTCTTGAGCTGATCGGTCCGAGGACCTGAGGTCGTAGGTGGATCTTTCTCACGGAGCAAAGAGCAGGAGGACAGGGGATTGATCTCCCAAGGGAGGTCCCCCGATCCGAGTCACGGCACCAAATTTTATGCGCGTCCGTGTGAAGAGACCACCAAACAGGCTTTGTGTGAGCAATAAAGCTTTTAATCACCTGCGTGCAGGTGGGCTGAGTCCGAAAAGAGTCAGTGAAGGGAGATAAGGGTGGGGCTGTTTTATAGGATTTGGGTAGGTAAAGGAAAATTACAGTCAAAGGGGGTTTGTTCTCTGGCGGGTAGGAGTGGGGGTTGCAAGTTGCTCAGTGGGCAGGAGTGGGGGTCGCAAGGTGCTCAGTGGGGGAGCTTTTTGAGCCAGGATGAGCCAGGAAAAGGACTTTCACAAGGTAATGTCATCAGTTAAGGCAAGGACTGGCCATTTACACTTCTTTTGTGGTGGAATGTCATCAGTTAAGGTGGGGCAGGGCATATTCACTTCTTTTGTGATTCTTTAGTTACTTCAGGCCATCTGGGCGTATATGTGCAGGTCACAGGGGATGCGATGGCTTGGCTTGGGCTCAGAGGACTGACAATATCCTCCTCCCTTAAAAAAGAAACTAGCAAACATTTTCAGAGAATATTTTGCATAATGTAGGAAATCTAGTTAGCCCTGAGTTCGGTATACTTCTAAACGCTTTAGTTCTGAAGATGTACTTTACAGAACATATCATAAAATTCTTCCTGTGCTTATCTCCTCTTAGTAGTATGAAGAAAAGGGAAACAGTGGCACCCTAAAGTTGTGGAGAATTCTTAGCAGAATATTTCTATGATCACATGCCCTTGGAAAAGAAGTTAAAACCCAGTATTGAATATATCCAAGGTTAGGCATTGAGTGTGGAATTTTTTAAATAGGGAGGCCACACTAGAAGGATAATATGATTTCCCATGTTACAGAAAGTGGTTGAGTCATTAGTTCTTCTCTGCCTGGTTGTTAAGAATAAAGGA
This sequence comes from Homo sapiens, assembly GCF_000001405.40. Taxonomy (NCBI): domain Eukaryota; kingdom Metazoa; phylum Chordata; class Mammalia; order Primates; family Hominidae; genus Homo; species Homo sapiens. The sequence goes on along the minus strand of NC_000002.12, from coordinate 209,298,899 downwards.
GGTTTAAAAGGCAAGCACCTACTTTTGCTGTAGCAACCTCAGGGCGTAGGAGCATTCAGAAAGCCTGCTTCTGGTAGGCATGACTGCAGTGGGAGCCATGTCAAGTAATGGAGTGAGGACCGAACACTCTCCAGGAGTAGGAGCTACTGTGGTGTAAAACCTTCTTATGCACAGTATAGTAAGGCTAAGTAAGGCCCATATGTGGTCCCCTAAAACAGCCTGTCAGAATCCAAGAAGTATCAGAAAAATCACAAATATCTGCAGCCATGTTCATTCTTACAGCTAAAGCAGTACACAGGATTTGATGTTAATTAACCTGCCCAAAATTTGATGTTAATTAACCTGCCCAAAGCTATATAATGCCCTTTTCTGGGGGGTGAAAATAGGGGAAAAGATCATTGGTGCCACATCTATAAGTTCCTTGTCCACAGAACGCCAGGCATTTCGTCCTCCTGTTTTCCTTTCTCTTTAAAAAACTGCTAGGTGTTTTTTAAACCAAGCTGAGGGTAGGAATTACTTGAATGAGGTAGTCTAGAGACTACTCTATATAATGTTTTGTTCAGCATAGTCAATAGATCTGAACCAGGAATTCTGAGTCATGGTCAAAGCTTGGAGTTCAGAAAATAAATTCTTATCTTTTGTCAGGAATATTTTCTAGAACCCCTGAGCTTCCAGTGAGATCATAGTTCCAAAGAACATACTAAATAAGAAAAATAGAAACATAAGATACAAAGCAGTGAAAACACCAAAGCCCATATTTATTTATTGAGCAGGAAACGTATCGTTCTAGAGTTGTCATTGTGTTACCTTTTACAAGCTTAATGTAATAATTTGACATACATGAAGTGTTTTTACTGAGATCCATTCATTATCCTTCCATTCTAGATGAGAAGGAAAGAAAAGTAAAAGAACTAAATTTCAAACTCACTGAAGTCTCTCTTAATTACAAAAGAAAGATTACATGAAAGCCAGGAGTATTTTTTTTTTTTCATTTTTGTCAAAGATGTGGTTACTGGATTGTTTGAACAGAGTATTACAAGATATTAAACCAAGTGAAATTCTGCCCATAGTGCACAAGCACTACAGGTTTTTGTTTGTTTGTTTGTTTTTGAGACAGAGTCTCACTCTGTTGCCCAGGCTGGGGTGCAGTGGCACCATCTTGGCTCACTGCAACCTCCACCTCCCAGGTTCAAGTGATTCTCCTGCCTCAGTCTCCCAAATAGCTGAGACTACAGGCATGTGCCACCACACCTGGAATTTTTTTCTTTCTTTCTTTTTTTTTTTTTTTTTTTTTGTATTTTTCTAGTAGAGACGGAGTTTCACCATGTGGGCCAGGCTGATCTCGAACTCCTGACCTCGGGTGATCCACCTGCTTCAGCCTCCCAAAGTGCTGGGATTACAGGTGTGAGCCATTGTCCCTGACCACTACAGGGTTTTTGTTGTTGTTGTTGTTTTGCTTGTTTGCTTGTTTTGCAATAAAGACACATTGAAAGTTGACATCAGATAAAAAGTATTTTTCAAAGTCATATTAGTTTGATGGGGATTCCTCTGCCATTCCTTCATCAGCATGTGCTATCCTGTTATTAAGAACCTCAACTTTAGTTTTGTAGAATTTATATTCATTGTATTCTTGTCCTAGATGATATGACTTCTGTCCAAATAAGAACTCTTATCTTTACTCAATTATCTAGACTATCTCAAAAGAATCAAGAGGTTTTTCCTTTTTAATGAGACCATTGAAGAAGTCAAGCCTTTGACATGCCTCCCACACGAATATATGTGTGTGTGTGTGTGTGTGTATGTATGTATGTTTTTCTCTCTAGTAATTTGATACTTTCATAAAAATTTTGAAAGACATTGAAAGATATTTCAAAATTCTATATATTTTACTGGGTTAACTGTTCATTTTCTAATTAGTAGAAAATCTTTAGTTTTAGCATACAGATTTAATTAAGAACCCATTAGGTCATTCATATTTAAATAGACTTGTTCCAATAACCCACATCTACTTTTTTTTTCCACTTACAGATTATGTTAATCAATTCTTTCATCTGATTGCCCCCTAAAAGGGAAAACAATTTTTTTACATGTTCAACCATATGGAGAGATTTTGAAAAGGATCTATATCTATTGATGGTTTTAAACTCATATTTTTGGCTGAAGTGAATAAAAAGAAACTAAAATGTTAATATAAATGTTTATCTTATAGTCATAACAAGTCCTTGAAAGATTCATTTGTTCTTTTCTTTCTGCCTTCTGTAGAACCAAAAAAGAAAAAAAAAACTAATACCTTTTCTTTACTCATCACAAGGTTCATGGCAGAAGCAGCTATAATGAAAATAGATGAACAAGAGAAAAACCTACAAATGTATTTAATGTAAATTTTACATGATACTGCAGCTTTCAGAAAAGGAGACCCTCCAAAATAGGGAAACCTGTGTATATTATGCTGAATTTGATGAATGGATAGTTGTGGAGAAAAATGATTAGAGGACAAAGGGTGTGATCTAATGGTAATAAACTAGGCAGAGGGGGAACTTAGCAAGGCATGTTTGCTCAGGTTCTTCTCAGCTTCTCTGTGTCTTTGATGATAAGGATATTTTATTTCCTTTGGGGAAAGGAAGAAGAACTCTGAAGTAAAGGCTTTACGGCCTGCTTTAGAGGAAGTTCAGAGAATTCTTTTATGGCTTGCTTCAGGAGAGAAGGGCAGGGTAAGGTGAGAGTGACGTTTCTGCTTCTGCTGCTTCCTCAAATGCCAAGGTGCCATACTTTGAGGTAGTGAGTCCTGAACCCTGTCACTTCATTATAGCCATGTTAATGTATTTTTATTTTATTCATTCATTAAAATGAATCTGATTTTACCTTCCTGACTTCTTTCAGTAACACATAAAACATATATAGTGAAGATGTTTCCAGGGATGTGGGTAGGGTTTGAGGAGAAAAGCTCAAGAAGCTTAGTGGATACAAAAGGGAAAGAAAGGAACAACTTTATTTTATTTTTTATTTTCATAAGTTTTTGGGGAACAGGTGGTATTTTGTTATGGAAGTTCTTTAGTGGTGATTTTGAGGCTTTGGTTCACCCAGCACCTGAGCAGTATACACTGAACCTAATTTATAGTCTTTTATCCCTCAACCCCATCCCACCTTTTCCCCCTGAGTCCCCAGTCCATTGTATCATTCTTATGCCTTTGAATCCTCATAGCTTAGCTCCCACTTATGAGTGAGAACCTATGATGTTTGGTTTTCCATTCCTGAGTTATTTCACTCAGCATAATAGTCTCCAAACCCATCCAGGTTTCTGCAAATGCCATTAATTCATTCATGTTTATGACTGAGTAGTATTCCGTGGTATATATATGGGGTATACATATATCACAGTTTCTTTATCCACTTGTTGATTGATGGACATTTGGGCTGGTTCCACATTTTTGCAATTGCGAATTGTGCTCCTGTAAACATGCATGTGCAAGTATCTTTTTCGTATAATGACCTCTTTTCCTCTGGATAGATACCCGGTAGTGGGATTGCTGGATCAAATAGTAGATCTACTTTTAGTTCTTTAAGTAATCTCCATAATTTTTCCGTGATGGTTGTACTGGTTTACATTCCCACCAGCAGTGTAGAAGTGTTCCCTTTTCACCACATCCACACCAACGTCTATTATTTTTTTGATTATGGCCATTCTTAGAGGGGTAAGTTGGTATCTCATTGTGGTTTTGATTTGCATTTCCCTGATCATTAGTGACGTTGAGGATTTTTTCATATGTTTGTTGGCTGTTTGTATATCTTCTTTTGAGAATTTTCTATTAATGCCCTTAGCCCACTATTTGATGGGATTGTATTTTTCTTGCTCATTTGTTTGAGTTTCTTGTAGATTCTGGGTATTAGTCCAGAAAGAAACAACTTTAAACAGTGCTGTGGTTTGACCGTCCCCTCCAAAACTCATGTTGAAATTTTATCTTAAATGTGGCCATATTGAGAGGTGGGGGCTTTAAGAGGTATTTACAACATGAGGTCTCTGTCCTTAAGAGTGGATTAATCCACTCATAGACCAATGTATTAATGGATCAATGGATTATTACAACAAGGGAATTTGTTGCTTTCTAGGAAGAGGAAGAGAGACCTGAGCTAGCATGCTAACATGCTCAGCCCCCTTGTCATGTGATGCCCTGTGCTGCCTCAGGAGTCTGCAGAGAGTCCCTACCAGCAAAAAGACTCTCACCAAATGTGGTCACTAGATCTTGGACTTCTCAGCCTCCATAAATTCCTTTTCTATATAAATTATCCAGTTTCAGGTATTCTGTTATAAGCAACAGAAAACAGACTAAGACAAGTAGTATTGCTGGGGACTGTGATTATGTTTCATGGAATTCAGGAGATAAAGATAATGAACTTGAATTATTGTGAGTTCATATTCAGTGCAATGGATCATATGTTTTTAACCAGAACTACACCATTCTTGGCTTTCTGCATAGGAAATGTGGTTACAGTTTTTCCACTACTGATAATGAAGTTGGATAGATACAGCCATACTCCTTTTTGATTTTCTGTTCACTAAGTAGTGTAAATAGTTTCCTAAAGCTAGAAATTAAAAACCAAGTCCATATGCTTCAATTAACATTTCAGATGATAAAAAATATATATAAATATAACTGAGCTTATGGATCTTAACTGATTTTAGGGGCTATTTGTTTTTTAAAAATCTCTGAAGCTCAAAGCTAACCTAATGTAGCTTATGAGAAGCATTTTCAAATCAATGGAAGCAGCTTCTTATCAATGGAAGTTATTTCTCTTGTAATGACACAAACTTGAATAGTTTTAGCTGTAGTTTATGTTTAGGAAGTGAAACAAAATAACAGGATTTTTTTTCAGCTTGGTTTTGTGTCCATCCAAGTTATCTTGATTTATATTCATATCTGTGAATTCTATAAATGCACAAACACATAGTCTTTCATAAATCACCACTCAATGTCTCTGAGTTGATACAATTGTAAAGGAAATATTGATTTAAGTATGATAATTAAGTTTAAAGAGCAATTTGATGATAGATATTTTTTCCTACTTTTATTTTAGGTTTAGGTACCTGTACAGTTTTATTACACGGGTAAATTGCATGCTGCTGAGGCTTGGTGTACAAATAATCCTGTCACCAAAGTAGGGAACATAGTACCCAGTAAGAGGCCTTCCAAGCCATGCATTCTCTCCCCTCCCCACTCAAGCAGTCCGCAGTGTCTATTGTTCCCATCTTTGTGTCCATGTGTATTCAGCGTTTAGTTCTCACTTATAAATGAGAACATGTGGTATTTGGTTTTCTGTTCCTGCATTAGTTCGCTTAGGATAATGGCCTCCAGCTGCGTTCATGTTGCTGCAAAGAACATTATTTCATTCTTTCTATGGCTGTGTAATATTCTATTGTGCATATGTGCCACATTTTCTTTATTCAATTCACCATTGATGGGCATCTTGGTTGATTCCAGGTCTTTGCTATTGTGAATAGCACTGCGATTAACATACATTTGTGTGTGTCTTTTTGGTGGAATGATTTATTTTCCACTGGGTATATACCCACTAGTGGGATTGCTGGGTAGAATGATAGTTCTGGTTTTCTGAGTTATCTTGACACTGCTTTCCAGTTTCTGAACTAATTTACATTCCCGCTAGCAGTGTATAAGTGTTCCTTTTCTCTTCAACCTCTCCAGCATCTGTTGTTTTTTGACTTTTTAATAATAGTCACTCTGACTGGTGTGAGATGGTATCTTATTGTGGCTTTGATTTGCATTTCTGTAATGATTAGTAATGATGAACATTTTTTCATATGTTTGTTGACCACATGTATGTCTTCTTTTGAGAAGTGTCTGTTCATGTCTTTTGTCCATTCAATAAAGGGTTTTATGTAGTGCATTTTTTAATTTTTATTTTCAAGACAGGGTCTCATTCTGTCACCCAGGCTGGAGTGCTGTGGCATGATTGCAGCTCACTGCAGCCTCGACCTCCCAGGATCAAGCAATCCTCCTGCCTCAGCCTCCCAAATAGCTGGGATATAAGTATGCATCACCATGCCTAATTTTTTTATTTTTATTTTCTGTGAGATGAGGTCTTGCGATGTTGCCCAATTTAGGGGTTTTATGTAGTTTTGAGCAATCCCAAATAACACCAGAAGCAAGCACATTGTATAGAGACAAAAAAATAAATAAAAGCACATTAAAAACCTAGTCGCATTATTCCCATGGATTTATATTTGTTGAAATATAAATAATACCAAGAGGAAGCTCTTAGATATAAAATGTTTCCAGAGTTTTTTTCTTTTACAAAATCAACTGGGTTCCTTTTTCTTACTTAAACTGCTAGCAAGAGCAAGTTTAAATGAAAGTCTTCTTCATATCAGTGTCACACTGATAACAAGCAATAACAGATATGAATATATATTTATTTTTTAAATTGACATATTATAATTGTACATATTTATGGAATACAATTTGATGTTTTGATACATATTTTTGTTGTGTAACAATCCAATGAGGGTAGTTAGTGTATCCATCACCTCATGCATTTATCATTTCTTTGGGGTGAGAACTTCCAAAAGCTTCTCTTCTAGCTATTTTGTAATACACAATATTTTAATGTTAACCATAGTCACCCTACTGTGCAATTGAACACCATAATGTATTCCTTCTATCTAATTGTAACTTTGTACCAGTTGACTAACTTTTTACCGTCCTTTCTTTTTCTAATATGGAATAGAATATTTGCTGAACTCTGTCTTTTATGTTACGCACTTTAATACTCAAAACAACACCTAGGATTGCTATTAGACCAATTTTAACTGATATCTAAGCAGGCTGGGACTTCAAACTAAAGCTTATCTCATTTCAATATCCTTGATTTTCCACATCACAAGGACAGAAGGTTTATGTGTGGCATGTCATATGATAGAGCTTTCTCCCTTTGATAGATATGGATACTTTTTTTAAAGAAACTAAACTTACATAGCAGTCCTGCATTTCTTATATTATTTTCCAGTGGATTTTTTAAAACACAAAAATATTGAGGTGACACACTGGGTAGAAGTGCCTGTCTTTCTACCTGCTACAACACGTACTTCAAAACAGAAGAAATTTTTATAAAGAATAAGTCTATAACCACATGGAAAGCAATACTCAATACCATCAATGGATCTGACATTGAGGAAGTTATACGGAATACATGTGTAGCACTCTTAGAGGTGGGAACTGTGTGGGAAATCTCCAGGGTAAGATGTTACATACATATGGAGGGGGAGGGAAGTCAAAGCACAGCTATCGCTTAATGTCAGGGGACCACCTTGGGATAGCTAAATGTATTGCCCCCACCTGTTTGCATATATGTGAAACAGTGGCAGGAGAACTGAGGATAATAATTGGGCTGAGAGATTGAGTAAATCACCAAGGTAGATGATGAAATCCAGGAAGAATTGGGAGTTTTTATGCACAGAAAGCAACAGTAGACAAACCTTGTCTATCAGCTTATTCCCTTCACTTCAATCTCGAATCATCAGATGGTGGTCAAAGAAAACTGAATCAGTATCCACTGTTGAATAAATAGAGAATTTCAAACAACACGATGAGTGAAGAATTAGGACGCAACAAACGTGAATGAAACTGATATCAAAGAGGAAGCAATACACTCAACATATAGAAGAATATATGTTGAAGGAGCAAACAGAATGAATCTTACATATACGTATCTATGTTGTATAATGATCCAATCAGAGTAAAATGTTAACATCTTTAAAAAGATAATATACAAGTGTAACCTTTAAACAAAACAGATTTGGTATTTTGGTATAGGGATCCTTAACACCCAGGCCACGGACCGGTACCAGTCCCTGGAACCGAGCCACACAGCAGGAGGTGAGGATGGCGAGTGAGCGTTACTGCCTGTGCTCCACTTCCTGTCAGATCAGCAGCAGCATTAGATTCTCATAGGAGTGCAAACCCTGTTGTGAACTGTGCATGTGAGGGATCTAGGTTGCCTCCTCCTCATGATAATCTAATGCCTGATGATCTGAGGTGGAACAGTTTCAGCCTGAAACAAACTCCCTAGCCCTTGTATGTGAAAAAAATTGTCTTCCATGAAACTGGTCCATCCCTGGTGCCAAAAAGGTTGGGGATCGCTGTTGGTACAGACATGACCAATGTAAAGAAAAAAAATCAGTAAATAGTATGAATACCTAAATAGACAGAACTTAAGAGTAATGTATGGAGATGAAATAATGAACCAAGTGAAAAAATTTTCAGGAATGTTATTCAAAAGTGTGAAAAGAATATATAAAAACAACAAAAATGAGGCATTGAGGGAAAACCAGGTCCCTAAGATGTGAAAATACAGAATGTGGAGAGAATGAAACAAAATACATACTAAAAGAAACTTTCTCAGAGTAGAAGAAATATACTTTTCTTTAAATTGACATCAAAGACTTAATGGGCAAAATGGAAAAGACCAGTAGCAAAACAGGTTAAAATGTTTGAAAATTAAGGAGAAAGTTGTAAAAGCATCTGGAAGTAAAACTTTACAAAATTGTAACAGATTGACCACAGAGTCATTTAGAATAAAGCTGTTACCACATATATCACCATCAGGATTGGAATCTGGTGGAGTATGGCAGCACGTCTTCAAAGTTCTAAGGAAAATGTACTTTGAACATATTCAAATATATCACGTTCAGAATAAATAAAATGTCAGAGGCTGAATCTGAAGTAGCTAGGGTAATATTAATTTCAAATAAAATAGAGTGCATGGTGACATGCTTTAAAAGCAGCAAGGAGAAATAGTACCTGGAAAATGTGATCATAGAGAAAATTTCAGCAGATATTCAAGAGTAGAAAACAGAAATAAACAACTACTTCTTGCAAAAGCAAACAGCAGATAATCCTTTAGTGGGTCAGATTAAGGAAAGCAAAAGAGGAATTAGGAGTGAAAAGAAGGCATATATCTTTCAGAGACTGATATTTTTTAAAAAAGAATATTATACAAGGATGAAAACGAAAGGCTTCAGATCAATATCCTTAAAGAATGTAGAGGTAACAATAAGAAGAAAACATGAGAAAATGAAATCTAGCATTATATAAAAGACGGTAATGTAACATAACCAAATGAGGTTTATCACAAAAATGCGTTTTAACAATCATGAATTACTCTAATTCTGCACCTAAAGAGAATAAAGGAGAAAACAATCATACAATCATTTCAATGACTTTAGAAAAATTAATTGATAAAATTCAATACTCATTTATTTTTAAAAATGCAGAAAACTGAGATTAGAAGAAAAATTTATCAATCTAGCAAAGATTAGGAATAAATATCTGCCATCTATATCATGTTTTTTGGTAAAATAATTGTCTTTCTCCTTAAGAAGGACAAGGCAAAAATCTCCACGTTTGCCACCACTATTGAAAATACTGCTAGTAAAACAGTATAGTAAATGAAATAAAATGCAGTTGGAAAGGAAAAAATCAATCTCTCATTATTTACAGATGATATAATTGTATATGTAGAAAATACAAAGCAATCTACAATTAAGACATGTTAATTTAGAAATATGACAAGATACACAGTCAAAATACAGATAATTGGAAATGTAATTTAAAAATACCTATTATAAGATTTTAACAAACATAAAATACATAAGAATTTAATGAAAGACATGTATAAACTCTGTACCTAACATATATGACCTCAGTGAAGGAAATAAATAAGACTTAAGTAAATGGAAATTGTGATGAATGTATTTTCTTACTGTCTTTATTCTTGATGTTCTAGCAATTGGGGTGTTTATCCTGCAAAGGCTGCACCTCCCAGGGCTAGCTAATTTCTACAGGTAGCAAAGACTCCCTTGCAAGTGTGCCTTTGTTATACATGCAAAGCACTCCAGAGCCTATATCTTCAACTATCTCCTTTATGAAACTTTCATATACCAAGTCAATATTCCCCTGCCCTAAATCATCCTAGGGCCAGGTATTGAACAACTAAGGATCACCCTTATAACCCAGAGCCTACCAAAATTATTCAATCCTAAACTTACTCAGTGTACCAATTCTAGCACACCAAGTTCTGGCTCAGCAAAATTGATTGGAAAAGTACAGAGAGTTCCCATATAACTCTTGTCCCTACACATGCCACAACCTTCCCTGCTATTAACATCTCACATCACAATAGTACTACATTTGTCACAATTGATGAACTTACATTGACACATCATTATCACCATAATTTACCTTAGCATTTACTTTTGCTATTGTACAATCTATGGGTTTTGACAAATATGTAATGACACACATCCACTATTGTAATATTATATAGAATAGTTTCACAGCCTTATAAATTCTCTGTGCTCAATCTGTTCATTCCTTCTTTCCTTCTAATTGATGGTAGCCACTAATATTTTCAGTCTCCGTGGTTTTGCCTTTTTCAAAATGTCATATAATTGGACAGGAAACAGCCATTTCATTTTGGCTTCTTTCACTTACTAACGTGCACTTAAGCCTTCTCCATGTCTTCTCATGAATTGGTAGCTCATTTCTTTTTAGTTATGAATAATATTCCATCGTCTGGATATACCACAGTCTATTCATTCACCTGAAGGACATCTTGGTAACTTCCAAGATTTGGCAATTATGAATAAAGCTGCTATAAATATTGTGTTTTTATATAGACATAGGTTTTCAATTCATTTGAGTAAATACCAAGAAGCACAATGGCTGGATTATAAAGTAAGAATATATTTAGTTTTCTAACAAACTGCCAAACTGTTTTCCCAAGTGGCTGTATCAATTTTGCATTACCACCAGCAATGAATGAGAGTTCCTGCTGCTCTACATTCCCTTCGGCTTTCGCTGTTGTTTGTGTTTTGGATTTTGGCCTTGTCGTTCTAATAGGTGCTTAGCGTATCTCATCATTGTCTTAATTTGCAAATTCCTAATGACTTATGATGTTAAGCATCTTTTCATATGCTCGCTCAATATCTGTATATCTTCTTTGGTTAGGTATTCAGATCTTTTGCCCATTTTTTTTCTTTTTTTTTTTTATTATACTTTAAGTTCTAGGATACATGTGCACAACGTGCAAAGGTTACATATGTATACGTCTGCCATGTTGGTGTGCTGCACCCATTAACTCGTCATTTACATTAGGTATATCTCCTAATGCTATCCCTCCCCCCTCCCCCAACCCCACAACAGGCCCCAGTGTGTGATGTTCCCCTTCCTGTGTCCAAGTGTTCTCATTGTTCAATTCCCACCTATGAGTGAGAATATGTGGTGTTTGGTTTTTTGTCCTTGCGATAGGTTGCTGAGAATAATGGTTTCCAGCTTCATCCATGTCCCTACAAAGGACATGAACTCATCCTTTTTTATGGCTGCATAGTAGTCTATGGTGGATATGTGCCACATTTTCTTAATCCAGTCTATCATTGATGGACATTTGGGTTGGTTCCAAGTCTTTGCTATTGTCAATAGTGCCGCAATAAACATATGTGTGCATCTGTCTTTATAGCAGCATGATTTATAATCCTTTGGGTATATACTCAGTAATGGGATGGCTGGGTCAAATGGTATTTCTAGTTCTAGATCCTTGAGGAATCGCCACATTGTCTTCCACAATGGTTGAACTAGTTTACAGTCCCACCAACAGTGAAAAAGTGTTCCTGTTTCTCCACATCCTCTCCAGCACCTGTTGTTTCCTGACTTTTTAATGATTGCCATTCTAACTGGTGTGAGATGGTATCTCATTGTGGTTTTGATTTGCATTTCTCTGATGGCCAGTGATGATGAGCATTTTTTCATGTGTCTTTTGGCTGCATAAATGACTTCTTTTGAGAAGTGTCTGTTCATATCCTTCGCCCACTTTTTGATGGGTTGTTTTTTTCTTGTAAATTTGTTTAAGTTCTTTGTAGATTCTGGATATTAGCCCTTTGTCAGATGAGTAGATTGCAAAAATTTTCTCCCATTCTGTAGGTTGCCTGTTCACTCTGATGGTAGTTTCTTTTGCTGTGCAGAAGCTCTTTAGTTTAATTAGATCCCTTTTGTCAGTTTTGGCTTTTGTCGCCATTGCTTTTGGTGTTTTAGACATGAAGTCCTTGCCCATGCCTATGTCCTGAATGGTATTGCCTAGGTTTTCTTCTACGGTTTTTATGGTTTTAGGTCTAACATTTAAGTCTTTAATCAATCTTGCATTAATTTTTATATAAGGTGTAAGGAAGGGATCCAGTTTCAGCTTTCTACATATGACTAGCCAGTTTTCCCAGCACCATTTATTAAATAGGGAATCCTTTCCCCATTTCTTGTTTTTCTCAGGTTTGTCAAAGATCAGATGGTTGTATATGTGTGGTATTATTTCTGAGGGCTCTGTTCTGTTCTGTTGGTCTATATCTCTGTTTTGGTACCAGTACCATGCTGTTTTGGTTACTGTAGCCTTGTAGTATAGTTTGAAGTCAGGTAGCGTGATGTCTCCAGCTTTGTTCTTTTGGCTTAGGATTGTCTTGGCAATGCAGGCTGTTTTTTGGTTCCAGATGAACTTTAAAGTAGTTTTTTCCAATTCTGTGAAGAAAGTTGTTGGTAGCTTGATGGGGGTGGCAATGAATCTATAAATTACCTTGGGCAGTATGGCCATTTTCACGATATTGATTCTTCCTATCCATGAGCATGGAATGTTGTTCCATTTGTTTGTGTCCTCTTTTATTTCATTGAGCAGCGGTTTGTAGTTCTCCTTGAAGAGATCCTTCACATCCCTTGTAAGTTGGATTCCTAGGTATTTTATTCTCTTTGCAGCAATTGTGAATGGGAGTTCACTCATTATTTGGCTGTTTGTCTGTTATTGGTGTATAGAATGCTTGTGATTTTTGCACATTGATTTTGTATCCTGAGACTTTGCTGAAGTTGCTTATTAGCTTAAGGAGATTTTGGGCTGAGATGATGGGGTTTTCTAAATATACAGTCATGTCATCTGCAAACAGGGACAATTTGACTTCCTCTTTTCCTAATTGAATACCCTTTATTTCTTTCTCCTGCCTGATTGCCCTGGCCAGAACTTCCAACACTATGTTGAATAGGAGTGGTGAGAGAGGGCATCCCTGTCTTGTGCCAGTTTTCAAAGGGAATGCTTCCAGTTTTTGCCCATTCAGTATGATATTGGCTGTGGGTTTGTCATAAATACCTCTTATTATTTTGAGATATGTCCCATCAATACCGAATTTATTGAGAGTTTTTAGCATGAAGAGTTGTTGAATTTTGTCAAAGGCCTTTTCTGCATCTATTGAGATAATCATGTGGCTTTTGTCTTTGATTCTGTTTATATGCTGGATTATGTTTATTGATTTGTGTATGTTAAACCACCCTTGCATCGCAGGAATGAAGCCCACTTGATCATGGTGGATCAGCTTTTTGATGTGCTGCTGGATTCGGTTTGCCAGTATTTCATTGAGGATTTTTGCATCGATGTTCATCAGGGATATTGGTCTAAAATTCTCTTTTTTTGTTGTGTCTCTGCCAGGCTTTGGCATCAGGATGATGTTGGCCTCATAAAATGAGTTAGGGAGGATTCCCTCTTTTTCTATTGATTGGAATAGTTTCAGAAGGAATGGTACCAGCTCCTCCTTATACCTCTGGTAGAATTTAGCTGTGAATCCGTCTGGTCCTGGACTTTTTTTGTTGGTAGCCTATTAATTATTGCCTCAGTTTCAAAGCTTGTTATTGATCTATTCAGGGATTCAACTTCTTCCTGGTTTAGTCTTGGGAGGGTGTATGTGTCCAGGAATTTATCCATTTCTTCCAGATTTTCTGGTTTATTTGCGTAGAGGTGTTTATAGTATTCTCTGATGGTAGTTTGTATTTCTGTGGGATTGGTTGTGAGATCCCCTTTATCACTTTTTATTATGTCTATTTGATTCTTCTCTCTTTTCTTCTTTATCAGTCTTCCTAGTGGTCTATCAGTTTTGTTGATCTTTTAAAAAAAACCCAGCTCCTGCATTCATTGATTTTTTTGAAGGGTTTTTTGTGTCTCTATCTCCTTCCGTTCTGCTCTGATCTTAGTTATTTCTTGCCTTCTGCTAGCTTTTGAATGTATTTGCTCTTGCTTCTCTAGTTCTTTTAATTGTGATTTTAGGGTGTCAGTTTTAGATCTTTCCTGCATTCTTTTGTACGTCTGCTTGGTGTACCTGAAAGTGATGGGGAGAATGGAACCAAGTTGGAAAACACGCTGCAGGATATTATCCAGGAGAACTTCTGCAGCCTAGGAAGACAGGCCAACATTGAAATTCAGGAAATACAGAGAATTCCACAAAGATACTCCTCGAGAAGGGCAACTCCAAGACACATAATTGCCAGATTCACCAAAGTTGAAATGAAGGAAAAAATCTTAAGGGCAGCCAGAGAGAAAGGTCGGGTTACCCACAAAGGGAAGCCCATCAGACTAACAGCTGATCTCTCGGCAGAAACTCTACAAGCCAGAAGAGAGTGGGGGCCAATATTCAATATTCTTGAAGGAAAGAATTTTCAACCCAGAATTTCATATCCAGCCAAACTAAGCTTCATAAGTGAAGGAGAAATAAAATTGTTTACAGACACGCAAATGCTGATAGATTTTGTCACCACCAGGCTTGCCCTACGGGCTCCTGAAGGAAGCACTAAACATGGAAAGGCACAACCAGTACCAGCCACTTCAAAAACATGCCAAATTGTAAAGACCATTGAGGCTAGGAAGAAACTGCATCAACTAATGAGCAAAATAACCAGCTAACATCATAATGACAAGATCAAATTCACACATAAAAATATTAACCTTAAATGTAAATTGGCTAAATGCTCCAATTAAGAGACACAAACTGGCAAATTGGATAAAAGTCAAGACCCATCAATGTACTATATTCAGGAGACCCATCTCCCATGCAGAGACACACATAGACTCAAAATAAAGGGATGGAGGAAGATCTACCAAGCAAATGGAAAACAAAAAAAAAGCAGGGGTTGCAATCCTAGCCTCTGATAAAACAGACTTTAAACCAACAAAGATCAAAAGAGGCAAAGAAGGGAATTACATAATGGTAAAGGGAACAATTCAACAAGAAGAGCTATCTATGCTAAATATATATACACCCAATACAGGAGCACCCAGATTCATAAAGCAAGTCCTTAGAGACCTACAAAGAGACTTAGACTCCCACACAATAATAATGGGACACTTTAACACCCTACTGCCAATATTAGATCAATGAGACAGAAAGTTAACAAGGATATCCAGGAATTGAACTCAGCTCTGCACCAAGCAGACCTAATAGGCATCTACAGAACTCTCCACCCCAAATCAACAGAATGTACATTCTTCTCAGCACCACATCGCACTTATTCCAAAATTGACCACGTAGTTGGAAGTAAAGCACTCCTCAGCAAGTGTAAAAGAACAGAAATTATAACAAACTGTCTCTCAGACCACAGTGCAATCAAACTAGAACTCAGGATTAAGAAACTCACTCAAAACCGCTCAACTACATGGAAACTGAACAACCTGCTCCTGAATGACTACTGGGTACATAACGAAATGAAGGCAGAAATAAAGACATTCTTTGAAACCAATGAGAACAAAGACACAACATACCGGAATATCTGGGATACATTTAAAGCAGTGTGTAGAGGGAAATTTATAGCTCTTTTGCCCATTTTTAATCGGGTTGTTAATTTTCTTATTGTTAAATTTTAGGAGTTCTTTGTATTTTGTATAACAGCCCTTTATCAGATGTATCTTTTGCAAATATTTTCTCCCAGTATATGGATTATCTTCCCATTCTTTTGACATTGTCTTTTGCAGAGCAGAAGTATTAAATTTTAATTCATTCCAATTTATCAGTTGTTTCTTTCACAAATTTTGCCTTTGGTGGTATATCTAAAATGTCATCACTATACCCAAGGTCATTTAGCTATTGTCCCATGTTATCTTCTAGGAGTTTTAGAGTTTTAAATTTTATGTTTAGGTCTATGATCCATTTCAAGCTAACTTTTGTGAAGAACATAAGGTGTGTGTCTAGGTTCATGTTTTTGTGTGTAGATGGATGTCCAGTTGTTCCAGTACCACTTACTGAAGAGACTATGTTTTCTACACTGTATTGCCTTCATTTCTTTGTCAAAAATTAACTGACTATATTTTTGTGGTCTATTTCTCAGCTTTCTATTCTGTTCCACTGATCTACTTGTCTGTTCTTTTGATAATAGCACACTGTTTTGATAACTGTAGCTTTATAGTACATTTTAAAGTCAAGTAGGCCAGTCTTCGAACTCTGTTCATCTTCTTCAATATTGAGCTGTCAACTATATGATTCTACTTATGCAAACCTTAGAATCAATTTGTAAAAATCCACAAAATACTTTCTGGGATTTTGATTAGAGCTGCATTGAATCTATAGATCAACTAAAGAACTGATGTTCTGGCAATATTGACTCTTCCTATCTATGAACATGGGATATTCCTCCATTTATTTAGTTTTTCTTTCATATATTTCATCAGAGTTTTGTGGGTTTTCTTTCATATAAGTTTTTATATATTTTGTTATATTTATACATAAGTATTTATTTTGGGGGTGCTTATATAAACAGTAATATGTTTTTATGTTAAATTTCATTTGTTGATTGCTGGTATGTAACATTAATATTTAATATTGATTGAATTTTGAATTTTAATCTTGTATTCTGCAACCTTTCTTTAATTACTTATTAATTCCAGGAGTTTTTTTGATCAATTTTTTCATATTTTTCTGTAGAAGATCATGACATCTATGAAGAAAGACAGTTTTATTTTTTCTTCCCAAATTGTATATCTTTTGTTTACTTTTTTTGTCTTTTTGCATTAGCTAGGATTTCCAGTATGATGTTGAAATAGAGTAGTAAGAGGGAACCTTTGTATGGTTCTTGAACTTAGCAAAAAGCTTTGAGTTTTTTATCAGGTATGATGTTAGCTGTAGGTTGTTTCTAGATGTTCTTTATCAAGTTAAGGAAGTTTCCCTCTATTCCTCATTTGCTGAGGTTTTTTAAAAATTATTAATATCATGAGTGGGTACTTGATTTTATCAAATGCCTTTCTGCATTCATTGATATAATCATGTGGTTTTTCTTTATCCTATTAATGTGATAGATTACATGAATTTATTTTCAAATGTTTATTGCTTTTAAGCCAGGACATAGTTTTGATTATCTTGATACTCAAGGAATGGTTCTAAATTTGAAATAGTTTTTCCTCACATACTACCATATTTATTTAGACATGGTATAAGATCTTAATTGGAAATTATTATAGAGTAAGAGTACTACAGTCAGACTCAAAGACATAAAAGACAAAAATTAAGATATTAAAAATGTCATTATCTGCAGATAAATAAAGATCTTTAATTTCATCACACCAGCAAAAGTCCCCATTTCTACCTAAGGTATCATGTTTACATGTATAGGGAATTAGGACATGGGGGGCATGTCCTAATTTAGGAATTTAGGATCGGGGGGCATTATTCTATTTACCACATTCCTATAAAGAGGTAGAATTGTCTTGATCATTTCCAGCTTTTTGCTTCTTTCAGTTGTAAAATATTGGGAAGAATTTCATTAAATTAAGATATAAATATAATACATAAAGTAACTGCTTTAAAAGCATAACTAAAGGCATCAAATGAAAAGTAACTCAGGAGAATAAAAACATAAAATGTCAGATTTTAAAATCCACATTAAAAGTAGAATTTATTTGACACAATCAGATTATTTATATGGAGAAATTCTAAGTACTGCAATTGAAAACAAAGTAAAAAAGGAAATTGTTAAAAAATTTGATAGATCGAGACCATCCTGGCTAACACGGTGAAACCCCGTCTCTACTAAAAATACAAAAAAATTAGCTGGGCGAGGTGGCGGGCGCCTGTAGTCCCAGCTACTCGCGAGGCTGAGGCAGGAGAATGGCGTGAACCCCGTGGGGCGGAGCCTGCAGTGAGCCGAGATCGCGCCACTGCACTCCAGCCTGGGCGACAGCAAGACTCATTCTCAAAAAAAAAAAAAAAAAAAAAAAAAAAATTTGATAGAGAAGATAGATTTAGAAATTGAGGAAGAGGCATCTAATTGTATGCTTTTCCTGTAGAAGTAAAATAGTCAACAGTGACAAAATTGATACAAGGTATCATTCCTTCCTCTTTAAAATATGTTGATTTTTTGAAATAGTATTTTGACTTCCAGGACAAGATTTTTCATGATTCTCATCCCACTTCACTGGCCACACCTTCTGAATCTCCTTTGCTGGTAGGTATACCTGCATTATCTAACCTCTAAATATTGGAGTTTCTTGGACATTAATCCTCTTTTTCTTCTTTTCTTTTTTTTCACCCTTGACACTCATTTTTCAGATGATTTTTATCACTTCCATCACTTTCATAGCTAATATAACACTGATATTCTAATGACCCTAAATTCACATCTCCAACCCAGAAATCTCTCCTGTATTCCAAAGACTTCACTTGATGTCTCAAAATTTCCCGGGATAAATTTTTTATTTCCCCCATGTCCCTTAAAATGGCCATCAATTAACCCAGTTTCTCGGGCCAAAAACTTTGAAGTCTTCCTTCACTCCTCTTTTTTTGTTTTCTACACCCCACATTCAGTCTATCAAAAAATCTTTCCAACTTTATATCTAAAACAGACCACATTTTACACTACCTCTACCACTACCACTCTGGTTTAAATCACTGTCAGCTCTCCCCTGTATAATTGTAGCAGCCTACTGGATGGTCTTCCTCTGTCCACACTTTATCCCATACACTCTATTCTACACAAGCAAAAGAGTGGTCCATTTAAAATATGTCTGATAATGTCTGTCCTCTGCTCAAAATCCTGCAGTGTCTCCTATTTTCTCTCAAATAAAAGGCAGGATCTCCAGGCCTTCCTTGGTCTGATTCCTAGTTCTCTCTCTGAGCTCCTTTCCTGCTAATCTTCTCACTATCTTGTAACCACCCAATGGGTTCACCTTGCCCTCTGCCTAGACAGAGTTGATTTATCAAGACAGGGGAATTGCAATGGAGAAAGAGTAATTCACGCAGAGGCAGCTGTGTGGGAGACGAGTTTTATTATCACTCAAATCAGTCTCCTCGAGCATTTGAGGACTGGAGTTTTTAAAGACAATTTGGTGGGTAGGGGCTCAGGAAGTGGGGAGTGCTGGTTGGTCAGGTTGGATATGGAATCATACTGGGGTTGAAGTGAGGTTTTCTTGCTGTCTTCTTTTCCTGGGTGTGATCACAGAACTAGTTGAGCCAGATTACCCATCTGGGTGGTGTCAGGTGATCCATCAAGTGCAGGGTCTGCACAATGTCTCAAGCACTGATCTTAAGTTTTACAATAATGATATTATCCCCAGGAACAATTTGGGGAGGTTCAGACACTTGTCGGGCTGCTTGATCCCTAACTGGAATTTCTAATCTTGTAGCTAATTTGATAGTTCTACAAAGGCAGACTGGTCTCCAGGCAAGAAGGGGGTCTTTTTGGGAAACAGCTATTATCAATTTTGTTTCAGAGTCAAACCATAAACTGAATTCTTTCCTAAGGTTAGTTTGGCCTACATCCAGTAATGAACAAGGACAGCTTAAAGTTTAGAAGCAAGATGGAGTCAGTTAGGGATGATCTCTCTCAGTGTCATAATTTCCTCAGCTATAATTTTTGCAAAGGCAGTTTCATTGTCAACTAAAACCATTCTGGCTTCCCTTTCCTTAAATGCTCTAAGTATTTGCTTCAGCTTCGAACTTGCTCATTCTACTTCACCCCCACCTTAGTTTTCTTAATAGTTATATAGTGGTGTTGTATCTTAATGAAACATGGGTTTGGTTTTAATTTCAACTTATAAAGTGATTGTTGAAAATGCCCTTTGAAGATAACGTAAGTCACTTTTGAAAGTACATTTTACTTATATGCTGTGTTACAATAAATCCTATTCAATTTTGTCTCCAGATTGCAGGATTTCTTTTTGAGCACCAAATGAAGATGTTGGCTAAAGTTTAGAGGCTGTGTAATTAGTGGACCCACACTCCTCAGGGTTTATGCTCACACTATGAGAGGCAGGACTGAGACAGATGAGAGAAACATCAAACACAAACCACCCATCTTTTGCTCTCCCTAGGTGTATGCTCAAAGAGTAGAATATTGTGGCCTATGCTGATTTAAATTTTTCTCCCTTTCCCTAAATGAATGCTTGAATTTGAATAAATGGAATGCGTAAATGATGCTTCTCCACTGTAACAGATCCACCTCTTTTCTGAGACCTGGCAGTACCCAAGCTTTCAACCTCTCTTGTATCCACCTTTGCCTGAATAAGTGTGAACCATATTATCCCGGGAGACTTGTCAAGAAGAAATTTGCCTTTAGATGTTATCAAGATCTCCTTTCTCTCTGTGTCCCATTCTATAGGTTTTATCTGCTTTGTCATTTTGCTGATTGACATACACTTTTATTTGCTTCTTCAGAGTTCTACAAACTGCACAATTTCTCCTCCTTATATCCTGTGCTGGTTACTAAGTATTGTCTTTCAGCTTCAAATCTCACACTTGTGTACTCAGCTTATATGGCTGGGCTGAAATTCTCGTTTCTTCTCTTTCAATTGGGTTGTCCATTAGGCTTTACTTGTAAGAGCAGCAAAGGTTGACCAAGAGGAGAGAAGAGGGACTTTTCTATTAGTGAAAGAGGGAATTTTCTATTAGCTGTTCTGGAGTAAACACTTCTAGTAGCAACAGTTGCTTCCAATTTGTCATTTTTCCAACACTCCCTGAAAGAGGCTCTTTCTTTCTTTTTTAAATTTTTAAAAAATTTCCATAGGTTTTTGGGGAATAGGCAGTGTTTGGTCACATGAATAAGTTCGTTAGTGGTGATTTCTGAGATTTTCATGCATCCATCACCTGGGCAGTATACATTCTACCCAATTTGTAGTCTTTTATCTCTCATCCCCCTCCCATCCTTTCCCCCGAGTTCCCCTAAAGTCCATTGCATCACTCTTACGCCTTTGCATCCTCATAGCTTAGGCCCCACTTATGAGTGAGAATATACGATATTTGGTTTTGCATTCCTGGGTTATTTAAATTAGAATAATGGTCTCCAATTCCATCCAGTGAACGAGGCTTTTTCTAATACTCAAAGACACCAGCACAAGTCTTGGCAGCTCCTCCTCAGATGTCTGGTCCTTGCTCCAGGGGCCTCACCTGCAAGCGTCTGAGTCACCAGTAGGAAGGAGCTGATTAGCATCCCTCCTTAGAGGTCAGAGTCCCAGCTATATGGTACCTCTCATCCAAGTGTGTGTGTTTTCAAATCACAAACTCTTTTGTTCCCCCCTCCACAGGTGTGGACCCTGCACTGACTACTTAGTGACAACACTGGGTTTCCCTTTTGTCTTTTCTGTTCTCTAGCAAAACTCAATTAACAATTTTTCGTATTAAATTCAATCTCTTAAAATAATGGCTATGTTTTTGGCATGCCGACTAGATCCTGATTGGTATGTAGTCTATTTCTATTAAGATAGGCAGTAGTAGTTTAGCCTTGAAAAAATTTAGCATAATTTCTGGGCTTGCTTTAAAATTATTTTTTGCTTCTTTTATTTTTGCTGGTACATTGTAAGCTCCAGATCATTAAGTGCATTTTATACACACGAAGGGAACTTTATCTGAAATACAAAAGAAAATGTGTTCATAAAGCTTCAGTGTAATTTCTAGCAATAGTTTATTGCCCTTCTTCACAGTCCATTACATCCAACAAATTTGGAAACAAAAGATCTCCCATAATTTTGGATCATGTAAAATTTGCAGCTTAACTGCTTGTTCTCCAATTGAGCAGAATAAACAAACTTAACCAGGGTAATTTCCAAAAAGAGGACCTCATAATTCATAAATAGAAGTTTTATTCCTCTAAAATTTTCAATTATTTACTTGGCTTGGGCTCTCCAAAGCCATTAATTGTATAGATAAATTATGAAAACTTATTTTTAACCCAATTAGAAGTCTGAGTTTATTATTCTTTGTTTGGAAAACACAAGTCTTATCTAAAAATGAGATAAAGATTGAAAACTTATTTAAAAACGAACTTTTCAAATAATCTTTTTTAAGAAAAGGTCTGGCTCTATTGCTCAGGCTGGAGTGTGGTGGCTTGATCTTGGCTCACTCCATCCTCCACCTCCCAGGCTCAAGCCATCCTTCCACCTCAGTCTTCTGAATAGCTGGGACTACAGACAGACACCGCCATGCCTGACTAATTTTTGTATTTTTTGTAGCAATGTGGTTTCTCCATATTGCCCAGGCTGGTCTCAAACTCGTGAGCGCAAGTGGTCTGCCTGCCTCAGGCTCCCAAAGTACTGGGATTATAGGTATGAGCCACTGTGCTCAGCCTAAAAATTTTAAAACATTAATGTATAGTTTTCTTCGACGTGCGATAGAAGCCTAGTCTTTAACTTGTTAATTTCATGGCCCAGTGGCTTGTTACCAGTGGTGAATCCACACAGGTTGGCAGCAAACTCAACCCTTGCCTCCTCAGAGGACAGAATTTGGCCAAGGAGCAGAAGTAGGTTTAAGGCTGAGGGAAAGATGGAGATAACTTTTAGAGCAGGAGTAAGAGTTTATTGAAAAGTTTTACAGCGGGAGCAAGGAAGCAAAGTAAACTTGGAAGAAGGCCCAACAGGTGACTTGAGAGATCCATGTGCCCTGTTAAATCCTTGACTTGGGGTTTTATACATTGGCATGGTTCCAGGATTTTCTTTTCTCCTCTCTTGATTCTTCCCTTGTGGTAGGCTGCTGCTGAACTGCTACATATGCGGTGTCGGTCAGCACTTTGGAGGGTGACTGCATGCATCTTGCATTTACTGAGGCTGTGTGCATGCTCTCTAGAGATGATTTTCCTTTACCAGTTGAATACCCACAGAGGAAGGTCATACATCTGCCATTTTGCCTCTTAGTGCACATGCTTGAGCCTGCTCATCCAACTCCTGAGATCTTATCAGGAAGCTGCTGATCATTAGCTCCAGGTGTTTTCTATGTATTGGGAGACTGTCTTCCCCAGGCACTGGCTGCAACCAGTTATCATTTCAGAGAGACAGTTTAACACCTGCCTGACCATCACCTGATGTTATTCCTTGGGGGGGCCCTCTCCCACCTGGCTCATGTCTGTCTAACTACCTACTCTAACATGCTGATATTAGCAACTCAGGGACATCCCACTTTATACCTCCTTTAACACTAAAGTCAATAGGCTACAATGTTACCCTTTAAGTCTTCTATGTCCTCTCATTGTCTAAACTCCCAAAGTTCGTTCATCCTGATGGTTAAGCTTCAACCTTCTTTAGACTTTTCCCAATGTCAAGCTTTCCAAAAACCAAAAACCAGCCTTGATTTGGTATACTCAAATTACCTCCAACTTACGTTTTGATTTTATAAAATAACTACTGAAATTATAATTTTAATCAGTAAATACAGTGGTTCTTTAAACATTATCATCTTATTTTACAATCCAAAAAAAACCCAAACCCTCTTTCTTGAAGCCTCCTTTGTTGACTCTCCTATCTCAAATGTCACCATTCTCCAACTTCTGATGGCTCATATTCTGCCTCATTTCCCTCCTTTAGAAGCTTAAGTGAAAGTTGTGGGATTTCTGTCAAAAATTCCTGAGATAGTGCTGTTATTCCAGCACTTTGGGAGGTCGAGGCGGGCAGATCACGTGGTCAGGAGATCGAGACCATCCTGGCCAACATGGTGAAACCCCGTCTCTACTAAAAATACAAAAATGAGCTGAGTGGTGGCACGTGCCTGTAATCCCAGCTACTTGGGAGGCTGAGGCAGGATAATCGCTTGAACCAGGGAGTCGGAGGTTGCAGTGAGCCGAGATTGCGCCACTGCACTCCAGCCTGGCCGACAGAGTGAGACTCCGTCAAAAAAAAAAAAAAAAAAATCCTGACGTAGAGCAGTCAGGATACAAACTTAGTCATTTTCCAAACATCTTAACACATTAATCCCCAAATAAAATATATTTATTACAGAGACTAACCTGCCATCAATCTGAATGCTGAAATCTTATTAATTAGATAATTATGGAAATTAAAGTGCCATTATATAGTAATCCTAAACTTTTAAGCATCTAGGAATATGGCATATAATATATGAAGTAAGTAGACTAAATTACTGGAAGAAATTGACAAATCCAAAAAATAGTGGATATTTTAGCACACATTTAACTGAAACTAACATATACATGTTATATTCTCTCACTATGCTAATTCTAATATAAGAAATTTCCTGTATTTGGAAATGAATAGTTACACACCTAAGGAGTCATAATAAAAATTACAGAATTACTAAAACTGAATAGTAACTAAAATACCATCTCTCAAATTTTGCCATGTTTAAACCCACTGAAATCCTCACAGGAGCACAGTGGGGTAGATCATATGTTCATCCTAGCTTTACAGGGAAGGAATTTGAGGAAATAGAGTAATTAACTTGTCCAAGCTGTTGCCAAAACTAGGATTCAATCCAAGTTTGAGCTCCTAACTACTAAGCTGTAACACGTCTCACTAGAAAACCATTATATTTTGACAAAGGGGTGATATATTAATGAAGTAATAATGATTATGAATCATTATGAGATAAATTATGTTGCAAATATTGTTATACATTTAACAAAAAGAAAATTATAAATAATAATGCAGAATTTGTTATTGGGAAGTGTGAAGGTCTTCAGTTCTTGTCTTACTCTGGTCTATGATGGCTAGTTTATTATAGTTTGTAGCCTTGAGCTTTTAAATTTTTTTATTAGACACAGGGGCATATGGTTCCTGGCCCCTATTTTTGTCTGTAGTACCAATTGGGGTCCTGCTGGGGAACAGCTGTAGCTCCCTTGGGGGTAGTTGACGTCTGCCAGGTGTAAGTCATCCCCACAGGACAGTGCTGCCTCATAGATGGTTTGTCTTTTTTCTCATGAGAGGCTTGTCCTATGAAGATACTTATATCCTTTGAAGATAGTCTAAGTATAAGAGTCAATTTTTGGAAGCCCTCGATGAGTCTTTTCGGGTCCTCCGAGAACTTTTTAAGATGTTTTCACAAGGTTGTGAAGGTTTGTAAATAGGGAACCTCTGACTATTTACCCTTATAGCAGCAGAAAAGGTCCAGCTGGAGGATGGTATTAAAATTCATACTTTAGTTCTTTGGCCAGGCCTCCTCTGGTTTTGTAAAGTAAAATTTGTTTTTTTATTTGTTTGTTGTTGTTTTTAGGGTTTGAGGGTCAAATTTATTCCAATTTTTAAGGATGCATCAGAAGGGGGAAATCCTGGGGTATGGAGATCTGGATTCCCAGTGATTCTGTTCTGTTAAAAGGCCCAGTAGTCATGCCCTCGCTAGAGTGTGCAGAGAAGGGACCTCAGTCGAGTGTCCTTTGGTCAGTCTACAAGTCCTGGTATTAGGAGTTTTGCTTATAATGTAGATTTGTCCTTGACATGACCTGAAAGACAGTGAAGAAATCAGAAAGATGCCAGGGGACCTGGATCCTGTAGGATGCCAGTCCTCCAGTCAAGCCAGGGATATCAAGGCATACCTGTCCTCCTAGGCTCTACAACCTGCACCTAGGCATCCTTGGGTACCCATCTGGACTAGTTTCCCCTGGATGGAGTGCCCGTGGTGCAGCTATATTCTCAATCAAGTGCTTATTGCCGAAGCATCTGCAGCCCTTGGGGCTTTGGAAAAGATAAGGCTTTCACAATCATATAGGACAAATAACAGGCCTGATTTTATGGTGATGGGAATGTTGGTCTATAATTGAATTGATTCTGTCTTTATTTTTTGTGGGGAGGTATGGGTGGCCACGCCCATTTGGCTTCTTAGGTTTCACAAAGGGAGTATTGCCAAAAGTATGTTTTATCCAGCAATTAAAGTCTTTTCTGTGTAAAGACAAAACTCCATCTGCCTTGGCCGGATGCAGGGGAGTCTTGACATACACAGTTGAAAGGATCTCTAAATTATCCTGGTAAGTCAGAGATGAAAGGGAGGAATGAACAAGAGTTTCTGAATACAAATGGACCAGAAAAGTAAGAATATAATTGGCATGTCCAAAGATTTCTGAAGGACAAAAGGCCCTAAAGGGTAAAGGGGTCTAGAAAGAGAGGTCCTCTGAGTTTATGATGGTATTTAGACAAAAGGTATAGATGATTAGAGGAGTGGAGAAGGATTTGAAACTTTTCCCCGTTTTAAGGAGGCTCTTTAGGGATCATGTAGAAAAGATGTTCGAGGGGTCGGGCGTGGTGGCTCACACCTGTAATCACAGCACTTTGGGAGGCCAAGGCAGGCAGATCATGAGGTCAGGAGATTGAGACCATCCTGGCCAACATGGTGAAACCCTGTCTCTAGTAAAATACAAAAAAATTAGCCAGGTGTGGTGGTGTGGTGGCACATGCTTGTAGTCGCAGCTACTCAGGAAGTGGAGGCAGGGGAGTTGCTTTAACCTCGGAGGTGGAGGTTGCAGTAAGCCGAGATCATACCACTGCACTCCAGCCTGGGCAACAGAGGGAGACTCTGTCTCAAAAAAAAAAAAAAAAAATTCCTGTCTTGACATATGCATGACTTAATTATTTTAGATTTCTGGTCTCTTTCTTTATTAAGCAATGTGCTACAAATTTTTTAATATAATTTAGAAATTTGTGTTTCGCATGTTGCCGTGTTATTTCTACTTTATATCTAAGGCACTTTATATCTAATCTAATCTAAGGGATAAATGAGCAAGTAATGCAAATAAAATTCAAAATTATTTATAATTTTTCCTAATGGATATATTATAACCTGGGCACCACTATGAAGTCTGAATCTGTAGACAGTTTGAAACTGTAAATAGTCTGAATGTTATGTACAGCTCACCATACTTGTGTTTTATATTTGTGTGTAATTTTAGGCTCATGGTCAACTAATATTCCCATAGTGACATCACATATACCAATGCTTTAAATTTATTTTCTTTAAATATAATTTTTCCCCTATCATGTTATCTTGGCAACTGATATTACTTGATCATTCAGTGTTTTTATAATCCATGCAGGATTAAGGCTATGAATGAAAGTTGAAAATACATTCTGTTTTTTGTAGGTGCAAAAGTCCTCAGCGAAAGACATTCAGAAAATAATTCACAATATTTTCTTCAACCAGCAGTCTTTGAAACAAGTTGATTTCACAAAAGGTGAGCATTTCCCCATGTTTTTAGTATTGTGCTTTTTCCTGTCCTATAATCAAATGCAACATTTTGTTAAGAAAGAACAACTTATGATTTAAATAAAATACCATACTTTATAATGATAAGGTTCTGGTTTAAAAAGGAAGAAAAAACATTTAACAGGTAATAACTCTCCATATAAACCCATTTAACCAAAACATGACTTAACCCAGCGTGAAGTGGCATGCTATGCTTATCCTTGCTGCTTCTCTTCATCACCTCCCTAGGAGGGTGAATAATTATCACTGGAAAAAATGAGCTGAAAATTATTGTAGGGAAAAATTAGATGTGAAGTTTTGTAAAAAAGCTCTTGAAGCCTCGAAGTGGTATGCTTCATTAAAGTGAACAAAGGAAACCAAAGAGCTTGTTGCTTTAAATAGTTCTATTATTTTTATAAAGCCATTTTTCCACCAGCTACTTTCGCCCTTTTACTGTTCAAAGGAATCCTACAAACAAGCAGAGCATTTTTATGCACTCAATTCAACAAATATTTTCCAAACAATCTTCACTTAAATAAAAGTTCCAAGGGCTGTTAGTTTTTGCTTTATAAAAATTAAAACAATGCCATGTACTATGATCAAGTAAGTTTAGGGAATGATGGATTAAAGAAAGCAACCCAAATACTTACAGCCAACTGATCTTCGACAAAGCAAACAAAAACATAAAGTGGGGAAAGGACACCCTTTTCAACAAATGGTGCTGAAATAAATGGCTAGCCACATGTAGGAGAATGAAACTGGATCCTCATCTCTCACCTTATACAAAAATCAATTCAAGATGGATTAAAGACTTGAATCTAAGACCTGAAACTATAAAAATTCTAGAAGATAACATTGGAAAAACCCTTCTAGACATTGGCTTAGGCAAGGATTTCATGACCAAGAACCCAAAAGCAAATGCAGTAAAAACAAAGATAAATAGTTGGGACTTAATTAAACTAAAGAGCTTTTGCACAGCAAAAGGAACAGTCAGCAGAGTAGTCAGACAACCCGTAGAGTGGGAGAAAATCTTCACAATGTATACATCTGACAAAGGACTAATATCCAGAATCTACAATGAACTCAAACAAATCAGTAAGAAAAAAAGAAACATTCCCTTCAAAAAGTGGGCTAAGGACATGAATAGACAATTCTCAAAAGAAAATATACAAATGACCAACAAACATGAAAAAATGCTCAGCATCACTAATGATCAGGGAAATGGAAATCAAAACCACAATGTGATACCACCTTACTCCTGCAAGAATGGCCATAATCAAAAAACAGTTGATGTTGATGTGGACGAGGTGAACAGGGAAAACTTCTACACTGCTGGTGGGAATGTAAACTAGCACAGCCACTAATGAAAACAGTATGGAGATTCCTTAAAGAATTAAAAGTAGAACTACCATTTGATCCAGCAATTCCACTACTGGGTATCTACCCAGAGGAAAAGACGTCATTATACGAAAAAGATACTTGCACACGTATGTTTATAGCATCACAATTTGCAACAGCAAAATCGTGGAACCAACCCAAATGCCCATCAATCAACGAGTGGATAAAGAAACTGTGGTATATTTATATGATGGAATACTACTCAGCCATAAAACAGAATGAATTAATGGCATTCACAACGACCTGGATGAGACTGGAGACTATTATTCTAAGTGAAGTAACTCAGTAATGGAAAACTGAACATCGTATGTTCTCAGTGATATGTGGGAGCTAAGCTATGAGGACACAAAGGTATAAGAATGACACGATGGACTTTGGGGACTGTGGGAAGGAGTGGGAAGGGGCCAAAGGATAAAAGACTATAAGCATGATGCTGTGTATACTGCTCGGGTGATGGGTTTACCAAAATCTCACAAATCACCAGTAAAGAACTTACTCATATAACCAAATACCACCTGTACCCCAATAATTATGGAAAAATAGAAAATGCATAAGAACATAATTTTTAAAAAAGAAAGTAAATTATCTATGTTCTGAATCCCATGGGTGAGGAATCTATATCTGTATTTCTGTACCACCTGACCATTCATCCCAAGTGACTAAGAACATCTCAAATTCTTATGATGATATTGCTAATGCAAAACTTTCATCTTTGTGCATTATAAATCTGCTGCTCAATCTTCACCAGGACAGACTGTTCTAAGAAACACATTTCTTTGAAAATGTCAGTTAACATTATATGTTGTAAAAGTAGTCAGTGAACTATGTCTTGACAGTTTGTTCTAATCTAAAAGTTGATGACATTACACAAGAAATTGGAAAAGATTTTAAAGTAAATATTTTGAGTAGAATAGTGGCATTCTTTAGAGAAGTATTTGTATGAGACAAGACTCCTCAAAAACAAATAGTTATGTTGGACTTTGTGGATACGACAATGACGTTATTTCCTTCTTGTGTTTGAGATCAGCTGTCCAGACAAATAAAATCTGGCCTGGCTCTGTGGCCACCCTCAATGACCTAATACTTCCCCTACCTCTGTTTTTAGGAAAATCCCATCCAAAACTGAATTACAGAGCAGATGTAGCAGAAAACCATGAAGGAAATAACTGCATTGCCTCCTATCTATTATGTCTTTACCCAGGACAGAGAATGACAGTCCTTTAGACCTGTCTGAGGAAGAAACACTTGGGTCCTCTCTCAGCTGTAATTGCTGGAGAGAAGGTGCAGCGACCACATGCTCTTGGAACAGATGGCTATAAAACAGTCTGAACCAGGCAAATCCACTTCCTTTTCTCAGCATCACTAAATTGGACAAGTCAAATGTTAATCTTCTAGAGGGAAATAGGTTGGGTGATGGGGGAAGAAGGCATAGGTTTGCTTCTTATTACTTTTCACTTGAAGAGTGTAACTATTTTTTTCAAAGAAAATGAGGAAAAGAAACAAACATTTCTCTTAATAGTCTGACAATTTGTGTATTCTTTCAAATGTTTAAAAATATCTAGATTGTTAATATCGAGTAGACAAAATGTTTAGATCTCTTTAATTTTGGATATTGAAGATAATATCCTTTTCTGGAAAAATTGAACAATCAGGTATTTTTGCTTAGGTCATGTCATAAATTGGGTGGGAGACTCTGAAATACTACAAATCTCTGACCTATGAAACAAGAGATATGGTTCACTTTGTTCAAATGAATAACACATGAAACTTTTACCTACAAAGTCATTTATGGAAAGTAACTATCATCCCCTCAAATTAGTAGATGTTAACAAAACCAACAACTATGGAAATATGCCTATACTTAATAGAGAATGTGTCTGCTTATGGATAATCAATATATGTGTTAATACATAAAACATAAGCAATTTGTATGTATTTGTAAGAAATCTTATTTTACTTTAAAGCATTGCTTAGTTTTCTTTAGAAAGTCCAAAGTTTGATTGGATAGCTGTAACTAATTCCTTTTTCATTCTCAGTAAACTATCGCAAGAACAAAAAAACCAAACACCGCATATTCTCACTCATAGGTGGGAACTGAACAATGAGAACACATGGACACAGGAAGGGGAACATCACACTCTGGGGACTTTTGTGGGATGGGGAGAGGGGGGAGGCATAGCTTTAGGAGATATACCTAATGCTAAATGACGAGTTAATGGGTGCAGCACACCAGCATGGCACATGTATACATATGTAACTAACCTGCACATTGTGCACATGTACCCTAAAACTTAAAGTATAATAATAATAAAATAAATAAATAAATTTTTAAAGAAAAGGAATATTTGCTATACAATGAGAATGTGTTTTCAGCATGATGACCTTGGTATGGCTTTTATACAAAAAAAATGCTTTGCTTCATACCTCGCAAAAATCTATACCTGAGTATTAGCTAATATTTTATTCATTTTACTGCAGAGAACAATATGTATTTATTATAATTGTTGTAGAATGAGCTTGGGACTAAGGATTTGTTTTCTTAATTTTTTTAAATTTTTTAATGTAGGTTTTATTAAGATATGGCAAAGCCAACAGATCAGGAGACAGCTACCACTGAAAACATAGTTTGTTACATTCAACAGACCCCAAGACAAAAGGGCATGCCACACCATAATGCGGGGCCACATGGGGATAAACCAGGGTCAGTCAGGGGCAGAGGAAGCAGGGAGAAGATTATTTTTTTTTAATATTTTAAGTTCTAGGGTACACGTGCACAACATGCAGGTTAGTTACATATGTATACATGTGCCATGTTGGTGTGCTGCACCCATTAAATCATCATTTACATTAGGTATATCTCCTAATGCTATTCCTCCTCCCTC
Source organism: Homo sapiens (assembly GCF_000001405.40). NCBI lineage: Eukaryota > Metazoa > Chordata > Mammalia > Primates > Hominidae > Homo > Homo sapiens. The sequence continues at coordinate 209,267,381 of NC_000002.12, read as the reverse complement.
CCCCCACCCCATGACAAGCCCCAGTGTGTGATGTTCCCCATCCTGTGTCCAAGTGTTCTCATTTTTCAATTCCCACCTATGAGTGAGAACATGAGGTGTTTGGTTTTCTGTCCTTGTGATAGTTTGCTCAGAATGATGGTTTCCAGCTTCATTCATGTCCCTACAAAGAATATGAACTCATCCATTTTTATGGCAGCATAGTATTCTATGGTGTATATGTGCCACATTTTCTTAATCCAGTCTATCATTGATGGACATTTGGGTTGGTTCCAAGTCTTTGCTGTTGTGAGTAGTGCCGCAATAAACATATGTGTGCATGTGTCTTTATAGCAGCATGATTTACAATCCTTTGGGTATACACCCAGTAATGGGATGGCTGGGTCAAATGGTATTTCTAGTTATAGATCCTTGAGGAATTGCCACGCTGTCTTCCACAATGGTTGAACTAGTTTACAGTCCCACCAACAGTGTAAAAGTGTTCCTATTTCTCCACATCCTCTCCAGCACCTGTTGTTTCCTGACTTTTTAATGATCACCATTCTAACTGGTGTGAGGTGGTATCTCATTGTGGTTTTGATTTGCAATTCTCTGATGGCCAGTGATGATGAGCATTTTTTCATGTGTCTATTGGCTGCATAAATGTCTTCTTTTGAGAAGTGTCTGTTCATATTCTTTGCCCAATTTTTGATGGGGTTGTTTGATTTTTTCTTGTAAATTTGTTTAAATTCTTTGTAGATTCTGGATGTTAGCCCTTTGTCAGATGAGTAGATTGCAAAAATTTTCTCCCATTCTGTAGGTTGCCTGTTCACTCTGATGGTAGTTTCTTTTGCTGTGCAGAAGCTCTGTAGTTTAATTAGATCACTTTTGTCAATTTTGGCTTTTGTTGCCATTGCTTTTGGTGTTTTAGTCATGAAGTCCTTGCCCATGCCCATGTCCTGAATGGTATTGCCTAGGTTTTCTTCTACAGTTTTTATGGTTTCAGGTTTAACATTTAAGTCTTTAATCAATCTTGAGTTAATTTCTGTATAAGGTGTAAGGAAGGGATCCAGTTTCAGCTTTCTACCTGTGGCTAGCCAGTTTTCCCAGCACCATTTATTAAATAGGGAATCCTGTCCCCATTTGTTGTTTTTGTCAGGTTTGTCAAAGATCAGGTGGTTGTAGATGTGTGGTATTATTTCCCGGGGCTCTATCTGTTCCATTGGTCTATATCTCTGTTTTGGTACCAGTACCATGCTGTTTTGGTTACTGTAGCCTTGTAGTATAATTTGAAGTCAGGTAGCATGATGCCTCCAGCTTTGTTCTTTTGGCTTAGGATCGTCTTGGCAATGTGGGCTCTTTTTTGGTTCCATATGAACTTTAAAGTAGTTTTTTCCAATTTTGTGAAGAAAGTCGTTGGTAGCTTGATGGGGATGGCATTGAATCTATAAATTACCTTGGGCAGTATGGCCATTTTCACGATATTGATTCTTCCTATCCATGAGCATGGAATGTTCTTCCATTTGTTTGTATCCTCTTTTATTTTATTGAGCAGCGGTTTGTAGTTCTCCTTGAAAAGGTCCTTCACATCCCTTGTAAGTTGGATTCCTAGGTATTTTATTTTTTTTGAAGCAATTGTGAATGGGAGTTCACCCATGATTTAGCTCTCTGTTTGTCTATTATTGGTGTATAAGAATGCTTGTGATTTTTTCACATTGATTTTGTATCCTGAGACTGCTGAAGTTGCTTATCATCTTAAGGAGATTTTGGGCTGAGATGATGGGGTTTTCTAAATATATAATCATGTCATCTGCAAACAGGGACAATTTGATTTCCTCTTTTCCTAATTGAATACCCTTTATTTCTTTCTCTTGCCTGATTTTCCTGGCCAGAACTTCCAACACTATGTTGAATAGGAGTGGTGAGAGACGGCATCCCTGTTTTGTGCCAGTTTTCAAAGGGAATGCTTTCAGTTTTTGCCCATTCGGTATGATATTGGCTGTGGGTTTGTCATAGATAGCTCTTATTATTTTGAGATACATCCCATCAATAACTAGTTTATTCAGAGTTTTTAGCATGAAAGGCTGTTGAATTTTGTCAAAGGCCTTTTCTGCATCTATTGAGATAATAATGTGGTTTTTGTCATTGGTTCTGGTTATATGATGGATTACATTTATTGATTTGCGTGTGTTGAGCCAGCCTTGCATCCCAGGGATGAAGCCAACTTGATCATGGTGGATCAGCTTTTTGATGTGCTGCTGGATTCGGTTTGCCAGTATTTTATTGAGGATTTTTGCATCGATGTTCATCAGGGATATTGGTCTAAAATTCTCTTTTTTTGTTGTGTCTCTGCCAGGCTTTGGCATCAGGATGATGTTGGCCTCATAAAATGAATTAGGGAGGATTCCCTCTTTTTCTATTGATTGGTATAGTTTCAGAAGGAATGGTACCAGCTCCTCTTTGTACCTCTGGTAGAACTCGGCTGTGAATCTGTCTGGTCCTGGACCTTTTTTTGGTTGGTAGACTATTAATTATTGCCTGGATTTCAGAACGTGTTATTGATCTATTCAGGGATTCAACTTCTTCCTGGTTTAGTCTTGGGAGGCTGTATGTGTCCAGGAATTTATCCATTTCTTCTAGATTTTCTAGTTTATTTGCATAGAGGTGTTTATAGTATTCTCTGATGGTAGTTTGTATTTCTGTGGGATTGGTGGTGATATCCCCTTTATCATTTTTTATTGCATCTATTTGATTCTTCTGTCTTTTCTTCTTTATCAGTCTTGCTAGAGGTTTATCAATTTTGTTGATCTTTTCAAAAAACTAGCTCCTGGATTCATTGATTTTTTGAAGGGTTTTTTGTGTCTCTATTTCCTTCAGTTCTGCTCTGATTTTAGTTATTTCTTGCCTTCTCCTAGCTTTTGAATGTGTTTGCTCTTGCTTCTCTAGTTCTTTTAATTGTGATGTTAGGGTGTCAATTTTAGATCTTTCCTGCTTTCTCTTGTGGGCATTTAGTGCCATAAATTTCCCGGTACACACTGCTTTAAATGTGTCGCAGAGGTTCTGATATGTTTTGTCTTTGTTCTCATTGGTTTCAAAGAACATCTTTATTTCTGCCTTCATTTCGTTATGTACCCGGTAGTCATTCAGGAGCAGGTTGTTCAGTTTACATGTAGTTGAGCGATTTGAGTGTGTTTCTTAATCCTGAATTTTAGTTTGATTGCACTGTGGTCTGAGAGACGGTTTGTTATAATTTCTGTTGTTTTACACTTGCTGAGGAGTGCTTTACTTCCAACTATGTGGTCAATTTTGGAATAAGTGCGATGTGGTGCTGAGAAGAATGTATATTCTGTTGATTTGGGGTGGAGAGTTCTGTGGATGCCTATTAGGTCTGCTTGGTGCAGAGCTGAGTTCAATTCCTGGATATCCTTGTTAACTTTCTGTCTCATTGATCTGTCTAATGTTGACAGTGGGGTGTTAAAATCTCCTATTATTATTGTGTGGGAGTCTAAGTCTCTTTGTAGGTCACTCAGGACTTGCTTTATGAATCTGGGTGCTCCTGTATCGGGTGTATATATATTTAGAATAGTTAGCTCTTCTTGTTGAATTGTTCCCTTTACCATTATGTAATTCCCTTCTTTGCCTCTTTTGATCTTTGTTGGTTTAAAGTCTGTTTTATCAGGGACTAGGATTGCAACCCCTGCTTTTTTTGTTTTCCATTTGCTTGGTAGATCTTCCTCCATCCCTTTATTTTGAGTCTATGTGTGTCTCTGCACGTGAGATGGGTGTCCTGAATATAGCGTACTGATGGGCCTTGACTCTTTATCCAGTTTTCCAGTCTGTGTCTTTTCATTGGGGCATTTAGCTCATTTACATTTAAGGTTAATATTTTTACAAGTGCATTTGATCCTGTCATTATGATGTTAGCTGTTTATTTTGCTTGTTAATTGATGCAGTTTCTTCCTAGCATTGATGGTCTTTACAATTTGGCATGTTTTTGAAGCGGTTGGTACTGGTTGTTCCTTTCCATGTCTAGTGCTTCCTTTAGTAGCTCTTGTAAGGCAGGCCTGCTGGTGACAAAAATCTCTCAGCGTTTGTTTGTCTGTAAAGGATTTTATTTCTCCTTCACTTATGAAGCTTAGTTTGGCTGGATATGAAATTCTGGGTTGAAAATTCTTTTCTTTAAGTATGTTGAATATTGGCCCCCACTCTCTTCTGGCTTGTAGAGTTTCTGCGGAGAGATCCGCTGTTAGTCTGATGGGCTTCCCTTTATGGGTAACCCGATCTTTCTCTCTTTCTGCCCTTAACATTTTTTCCCTAATTTCAACTTTGGTGAACCTGACAATTATGTGTCTTGGAGTTGCTCTTCTCGAGGAGTGTCTTTGTGGCATTGTCTGTATTTCCTGAATTTGAATGTTGGCCTGCATTGCTAGGTTGGGGAAGTTCTCCTGGATAATATTCTGAAGAGTGTTTTCCAACTTGGTACCATTCTCCCCGTCACTTTCAGGTACACCAATCAGATGTAGATTTGGTCTTTTCACATAGTCCCATATTTCTCGGAGGCTTTGTTTGTTTCTTTTTACTCTTTTTTCTCTACACTTCTCTTCTTGCTTCATTTCATTCATTTGATCTTCAATCACTGATACCCTTTCTTCCAGTTGTCAAATCGGCTACTGAAGCTTCTACATGCATCACGTAGTTCTCGTGCCATGGTTTTCAGCTCCATCAGGTCATTTAAGGACTTCTCTACACTGTTTATTCTAGTTAGCTATTCGTCTAATCTTTTTTCAAGGTTTTTAGCTTCTTTGTGATGGGTTCGTACATCCGCCTTTAGCTCAGAGAAGTTTGTTATTACTGATCGTCTGAAGCCTTCTCTGAACTCGTCAAAGTCATTCTCCCTCCAGCTTTGTTCCATTGCTGGCGAGGAGCTGCAATCCTTTGGAGAAGAAGAGGCATTCTGATTTTTAGAATTTTCAGCTTTTCTGCTCTGGTTTCTCCCCATCTTTGTGGTTTTATCTACCTTTGGTCTTTGATGATGGTGACGTACAGATGGGGTTTTGATGTGGATGTCCATTCTGTTTGTTAGTTTTCCTTCTAATAGTCAGGACCCTCAGCTGCAGGTTTGATGGAGGTCCACTCCAGACCCTGCCTGGATATCACCAGTGGAAGCTGCAGAACAGCAAATATTGCAGAACGGAAAATGTTGCTGTCTGATCCTTCTTCTGGAAGCTTCATCTCAGAGGGGCACCTGGCTGTATTAGGTGTCAGTAGGCCCCTACTGGGAGGTGTCTCCCAGTTAGGCTACTCGGGGGTCAGGGACCCACTTGAGGAGGCAGTCTGTTCCTTCTCAGATCTCAAACTCAGTGCTGGGAGAAGCACTACTGTCTTCAAAGCTGTCAGACAGGGACGTTTAAGTCTGCAGAAGTTTTTGCTGCATTTTGTTCAGCTATGCCCTGTCCCTAGAAGTGGAGTCTACAAAGGCAGGCAGGCCTCCATGAGCTGAGGTGGCCTCCACCTAGTTCGAGCTTCCTGGCTGCTTTGTTTACCTACTCAAGCCTCAGCAATGGCGGACGCCCCTCCCCCAGCCTCGCTGCTGCCTTGCAGTTTGATCTCAGACTGCTGTGCTAGCAGTGAGCGAGGTTCCGTGGGTATGGGACCCTCTGAGCCAGGCGTGGGATATAATCTCCTCATGTGTCATTTGCTAAGGCCATAGGAAAAGTGCAGTATTAGGGTGGGAGTGTCCCAATTTTCCAGGTACCATCTGTCACGGCTTCCCTTTGCTAGGAAAGGGAATTTCCCAACCCCTTGTGCTTCCCGGGTGAGGAGATGCCCCGCCCTGCTCCGTGGGCTGCACCCACTCTCTGACAAGCCCCAGTGAGATGAACCCGGTACCTCAGTTGGAAATGCAGAAATCACCCGTCTTCTGTGTCACACTGGGAGCTGCAGACTGGAGCTGTTCCTATTCGGCCATCTTCTGGACTAAGGATTTGGACACTTGGGATTTGATACAAACTGTCAGCTCCTTAAGCAATATCGTGTAGAAGTAAAATGTGTGAATTTGAAATCAGGCAGCCCTAGCAAGCTCCCAGTGAATATGCTTTGAATTAATTTAAATTGTTTTATTACAACAGTCAAATTTTGAAATTTGTAGGGTATTTTAAAAGACCTATTTGTTGTTCTTCAACAAACTTATTGACCATGTGAATAAAGCTACAATTTTTATTTTCCTTTTTTTTCCTATTTAAGACAGAAAATACTTTATTCAAAGACCCATCACAGAAATGGACAGATTGCATCTGTAGCATTCATGTTTTAAATCACAGGTCAGTAACTGTCCACAAGAGCATACAATGTGACATACAAAGTAACTGGTCAGGCAACAACTTTTCAATAAAATTTTTGAAAAAAAGAAAGTTTTAGTAAACAAGGAGATTTCAAAAATTATATATTTTACTGAAGTCTTTATAAAAAATAAGATGGGGGCCAGGCGTGGTGGCTCACACCTGTAATCTCAGCACTTTGGGAGGCTGAGGCGGGCGGATCACGAGGTCAGGAGATGGAGACCATCCTGGCTAATATGGTGAAACCCCGTCTCTACTAAAAAAATACAAAAAAATTAGCTGGGCGTGGTGGTGGGTGCCTGTAGTCCCAGCTACTCAGGAGGCTGAGGCAGGAGAATGGTGTGAACCTGGGAGGTGGAGCTTGCAGTGAGCCGAGATGGCGCCACTGCACTCCAGCCTGGGTGACAGAGCGAGACTCCATCTCAAAAATAAATAAATAAATAAATACATAAGTAAAATAAGATGGATATAGTTCATGTTCTGAATGGGGTTATATTCTTTGAAGAAATGCTTGTGGGGCAGGTATGTGGTATGAACAATTGGTTTGTATATGCATTTAAAAATTATTTTAATAATAAACATGATTAAATCACAAAAATATTTTAAAATTTAAAATACAGTTACTTAAATATCCTCTGAAAATTCAATAAACTTTTGTACTTTGGTTAAAAAGTAGAAAAAATAATAATGATTAAAAAAAGGTGGCCGGGCACTGTGGCTCGTGCGTGTAATCCCAGCACTTTGGGGAGGCCGAGGAGGGCAGATCACCTGAGGTCAGGATTTCAATACCAGCCTGGCCAATATGGTGAAACCCTGGCTCTACTAAAAATACAAAAATTAACCGGGTGTGGTGGCAGGCATCTGTAATCCCAGCTACTAGGGAGGCTGAGGTAGGAAAATTGCTTGAACCCGGGAGGCGGAGGTTTCAGTGAGTCGAGATTGCGCCACTGCACTCCAGCCTGGGCAATAAGAGCGAGACTCCGTCTCAAAAAAAAAAAAAAAGTTAGCATTCTAATGACCCATGGAACATGCGATTGTGTTGTTTGTTCAGTGGGTTGAAAGGCTGTACTGAAATGTGCTGCCCTTGCTTACACTTTATGACTAACACATATCTTAGTGAAATTCCTGGTTGAAGACAGAAGTGCTGCTTTCACAATGACCCCAACAACTGATGCCATATGTGGGGAGTGCATTCCTAATGTGCATCTTATACACTCAAAATTTGAAACCACCAATTCACTAGTACAGTAAAATATTCATGTAGTTTGTAACTCTGAGATGTTTGGGTTTAGTCTACCCTAATATCAGTGTCTTAGGGTAAGACATTAGTGTACCTTTAAGTCTTAGTCAACTTGGACTACTATAACAAAATAGTATATACTGGGTGGCTTGAACAATCGAAATTTATTTCTCACTGTTCTGGGAGCTGGAAATTCCAAAATCCGAGTGCCAGCATGGTTGGGTTCTGGTGAGAACCCTCTCCTGGTTTGCATAAGGCTATCTTCTTGCTTTATTCTCACATCACAGGAGAGCACTCTGGTGTCTCTTCCTTTATTATAAAGGCACCAGTTCTATCATAAGGGCTCTAGTCTCATGACCTCATCTAAAATTAATTACCTCCCCAAAAGCCCATATCTTAATACTATCTATCACGTTGGAGGGTAGGGCTGCAACATACAAATTCTGGGGAGACAAAAACATTCAGTCTATAACACCTATTTTTTTTTCTGGCTGGCTATGAAGACATTTAAAAGAGAGTTTCGAAATACTATGAAAAATTAAAGTCATATTAAAATTGAAACTTTCTTCAATTACTTTAAAATGGAAGTTAAGCAATCAACATATATGATTATGTCCATAAAATATCATAGGATGACAAAGAAAAGTAATGTAAGTGATATATAATACCTGAATTTAAAAAATTTCCCTTAACCCATTAAATGACAGCTAACAAAATTTGTTTTCACTATCAAACTAAATTTTTCCAACAGTTTTCTAAACTAGAGAAAATAATTATAGTAACAAAAACAGTCATAGGTAATATTTGTTAAGTGCTAATTGTACAGATTGGATGTTAATTAATCTGGTTACATGTATTCATTCATTTAGTTCTCACAACAAGCATAGGGTAGGTTCTCTCAACTTCCTGTTGTACAGAGGAAACTGAGGCACAGAGCTTAAATACTTACCCAAAGTCACACAACTATGAATTGGTGGAATAAGAACTAAATTCAGACAGCTGGGTTTCATATTCTCTATTATTCACCTTTATGCCATAATAAAATATAATGAGAAATGAAATATCAACATTGCTAGCCTTGCTTTCCTTTGTCAAGTTATTCTAACCAACTAAATAGCTTGTGTTTGAATGTGGGATATTCTAAGATATAGAATTAAAATCACTTTTTCAACATGCACTGAAAATGTATGCTTTACTTTTGTATTATAGTCCTGTCTTTAGTGACATTTTATTAAATTAAAAATATGACATGTCAAGTGACATTTTCTGACAGGTTAAAATTTCTAGAAAAAAATTCCCTTTAAATGTTTATTTGAGAGATTTTATCTATTTTCAGTAGTTTAATTTGTAGGTGTCATATGAGAGCATATGCCTGTACTTTTTTTTTTACCATGCTGTATTATTTATTTATTTATTTAATTTTTTATTATACTTTAAGTTCTGGGGTACATGTGTAGAACATGCAGTTTTGTTACATAGGTATACATGTGCCATGGTGGTTTGCTGCACCCATCAACTCGTCATCTATATTAGGTATTTCTCCTAATGCTATCCCTTCCCTAGCCCCTCACCCCTCAACAGGCCCCAGTATGTGATGTTCCCTTCCCTGTGTCCCTGTGTTCTCCTTGTTCAACTCCCACTTATGAGTGAGAACATGCGGTATATATTTTAAATTAACCATCAAGGCAATCTTTATATTCTAGAGAGAGCTTTATACCTATAGGTGAATTAAGAAGTGTATAGAATTAAGTAAAACTATAAAAGCATTTGGCCTCCAACTATAACAATACTATAAATCCCAGAAATGATTCATTTCAGTCTCATTCCTATGCATTTATATTTATGATCTCCCTACAGTACTTTTAACTACTAACATCCTAAAATTTAATAACAAATTCCAAATAACTAATAAATGAGCCAAAAGTTACCTTTTATAATAAAGATTAAAATGAAATCATCTGCATTAAAGTTCTTTTAAAATGTAGTGTTTAATTCACTACAGCCTAACATAATAAGTAAAACTTGCTACTTTTTAGGAATTCCAGTCTTAGAATAAACCCAGGCTGATTGGATTGGTTTAGCTCAGATAACAACCAACAAGTATGATGTAAATAAATTTTATGCCCTGTCAGCCTAAATAACACAGAGGGAGATTCTTTAAAAGAAAATGATGTTTATTCAGGAATAGGCATGACGATGAGAATATGCATGCCATAGTAAATAATATGCATGTTCAGGGAGATAAGGGAAAACAAAGGATTTTAAAAGAAAAGCAAGAAGGATTACATAATTGTTTTGAGATAATTATCCTTGGCTACAGAATCAATAGCAAAGGTGGCACCAGTTTGTGGTTAGACAGGCAATTGCTGGGCAGAGGTCCTCACAGAAGTATTTTTGTGTGTATGTAACATCATGGTGGCTTTTGTGCAAGATTGTGTTTTTTGCAGTCTTCTGAGATAATTCTTATTGTCAAGTATTTATGTATGAGAACCCTCCCTTCATTGCCTTCTGCAGCTCTGTTTGTCAGGGTTTTTAACACAAGTGACTCCATTTTGATTCTGACAACTTTGGCAGCCTCAAAGGAGATTTGTTGTGAACAGTAGATAGAGGAAATATTCTCTGAGTCTATTTACTAGGGTAGGACCCACTGCACCTCTTCTTGGTAGTACTGCTCACGGTGAGAGTTTATAGATTTTTGAACTTACTTATTTAAAATTTGCCTCCCTTCACTGGAGGCACTTGTGCCTGTGCCCAGCACATGCGTGTTTGAAAGATAGTAGCTGCTCAATAGGCATTTTTGAATAGTCAAAAGAAAAACTTACTTGATGAATTGATAAAAAGAAAAGATTAATGAATTAATTACTCTTCCCACCTTTTCTGCTAGGAAGAAAAGTTTCCAGGTTGGAAATGGTCACTAAATGATTAACAGAAAGGTCTGAAGAGATGAAAAATTAAGGAGATAACACACTACATGTGTTATCCTAGACACTACATCAAATGATTCCAAGTGTCTAGGAAGAGGTCTGTTTTATTCCATGGTGCTAAAATGAACTATTCCTTAAAGCAGGGGACCCCAGCTCCTGGGCTGTGAACGAGTAGTGGTCTGTGGCCTCTTAGGAACTGGGCAACACAGCAGGAGGTGAGGGGTGGGCAGGCCAGCATTACCTCTTGAGCTCTGCTTCTTGTCAGATCAGCTGCAGCATTGGATTCTCATAGAAGCACGGACCCTATTGTGAACTGTGTATGTGAGGGATGTAGACTGTGTGCTCCTTATGAGAATCTAATGCCTGATGATCTGAGGTGGAACAGTTTCATCCCAAAACCATTCCCACCCCCACCACCTGGTCCATGAAAACACTCTCTTCCACTAAACCACTCCCTGATGCCAAAAAGGTTGAAGACAGCTGCTCTAAAGTTTACTCATTCTTCCTACCGATGTGGCAACTTCATTGAAGAATGACATGGAAATTCTAAAAATATATAGAAATTTCTGCACCTTACTCTTCACATTTTGAATTTTATCTGGCATGGAGGTTCAGGAATCCTTATTTTGTAAAAAAAAAAACTTCCTAGCCTGGTTTGAGAATCACTGCATATGGTATGAAGCAGAGAGATGAAGATTCATTTTGCTCATGTGGAAATTCTACTGACCCCACATGATTTAAAGAACGCTGAAGCATTCTCACTTCTTCACATTTGTCACAAACTGACTTCATGTTTCTCATTTGTTGCATTATCCTACTGTTTAGAACAAACAGTCTGAAGCTTCCACATCCTGACTGCAATTTCTATTGTTAGTAAAAACTGAGGATTCTCAAGTTAAACCATCTTCATGGTAAGTGATGTCTGTGCCGCATTGTCTCTTTTTCCTAAGTCCTTGACATTGTGAAGATACCACTGCATGGGGCTGTCTGATGAATGGCATGGTGAGGAATTTCATACAGTATTATAGCCTTGATAGACAAATAGAAAGAAAGTTGAGATTTTAGAGTTTTATACCGTCAAATCTTTTATAGCAGATGAGAAAGAGATTTATGGATATTGTTCTTATGACTTTTAGTAAGAATAAAAATTGTGAGAGTTAAAGCTTCATAGAACTAACTTGTTGTGAATAATAGCACTTACCATCCATTCATCTCATACTCAGTATTCTATTTTAAAGTGTATTTTGCTCTTCACAACACAACTTTACTTCTTTCTAAGACACTTCACATGTATTGCTTAATTTCTCCATCTAGGATTTTAATAAATGCTATGTCTTATTCCTCTATAAAAATAAATCAATACAATAGGGAAAGAAGGAAATATAAGTAGGTCATAGCATAAGCCCAAAGCAATCTAGGTCATTAGTAGGGAAATGTTCTGATCACTTCCATTATGGCATGGATGTATTCATTTTTCTTTTCGGAATTATGAAGCAATTACAAATAAATGATGCTTTGATAAAAGAAAGTAAATATATGGTGGTTTTAATTGCATAAATACACATTTTGGTTTATCAGTTTGCACCAATATCACTAGGAATATTCTTATTTCTAGTAATCAGATGATCAAAGCCACTTTGAATTATAATGTTTGGTTGCACAGTTAATGATAATAGGCTTTCTGCATTTTTGACCGAATTGAGTAGATCATGTTTTCTGTGTCTATAGAAGACATTGAGATGTATCCTGGATGCATTTTGTGTCCTGCTTGGATATCATATATGAACTTCATTATTTATATTTAAAGTATATTATTTACATTAAATATTTTAATAAATATCATAAGAAATTTTATTTCTCAGTGTCTTAGTTCATTTCATGCTATTATAACAGACTACCTGAAACTGGATAATTTCTAAAAAATAGAAATTTATTGGTTCATGGTTCTGGAAGCTGGGAAATCCAAGACTGAATGACCACATCTGGTGAGGGTCATTTGCTGCATCATAACATGGTGGAAGGCATCACATGGTGAGAGAAGGAGAGAGTGAGAAATCAAACTCACAGCCTCTAGCCCTTTTATAATCCACATAATCCATTCATGAGGGTGGAGGCCTCAGGACCTAAACATCTCCCATTAGGCGTCATCCTCCAACCCCATTGCATTGAAGATTAAGTTTCCAACACATGAATTTTGGGGGACACGTTCAAGCCATTGCACTTAGTGTTTCTTAGGTAACAGGGCAAAGTATCCTGCTGCTAAATTGCCATTATCATCATCTCTGCCAACATTATCAAATAAAAAAGAATGGAATACTAGTAAGTAAAGTTTCCAATTTAATTTTGATTTCATTCTTTTCCACTAGCAAATGATATCATATTTGTGAATATTAAATGATAAGTAATAGCACTTTGGCAAATTAAAGGAGTATATTTTTCCCAGTAGCAGAAAACAGTGAATTAAATTTATGAATAATGAATAATTTTTTTGCTCTATAAATGATTAAAGTCAAACCAAAGATGTAACCTAGTTAGATGTATTGGAGTTGTGTCCAAGTCGTTTACTTATGTTAGATTTTAAAATTATTTTCTCTATCAAAATAAAAAGTAGTTTATCCATTCTTTCAAATGATTTTGAAAAATTCAGCAGCTTCCTTCTTAAAACTGAAGTTATATGAATTGCAACAAGTTAGAATAGATAACATGACTAGAGATAGACTTTCTAGATGTATTACTTAGTTCAGCATGCAAGATCCACGTTTTTGGGGGGCCACTGGTCATAGTGACACACATACTCATATGCAGTCCTATCTTCAGAACAGAACATGTTCCTGGGAGCAAACCACCTTCAACCACACTTCTGCAATTGCCATCATTTTTGCTTAGTAGCCTTTCAACTTGATGAATATGTTTTCAATATCTGCCTGTAATCTCAGGGTTGTTCAAGAATGACTCTTTGGTTATTGGATGCATAGCTGGATGTACCAGAGCCCAGCAACCTATGAGGCGCCATGGATTGAGACCTTTGCTAAGTAAGATATGCTCTGTGTTAGCGATCAGAGAATGAATTCTGATCTCTTTCTTGGAACATCTTGGTTTCTTGAGAGGGCAATAGAAACAGGAACTGAAAGTATAGGCACAAATAATGGAGGGAGAAACTGACATGGAACAGGTTTATAAGTAGAGTGGAGTCACTAGGCTGACCAACAAGAGAGAGCTGGCTTCTTAGGGGATGGTGCAATGCCCATCTGCAGCACTTTTTTGGGTTATTCAAGTTGCTATTGCATCTTTCATGGTTACAACTGATCTTCTATTTTTCCATAGGCTCAGAAAGCTTGCTGAGTTTTGTTACTTTCTGGCATACAGGTAATAAATTCCTTGGTGACCATGGCATGTCCTGTTCCTTGTAACATAAGGGATCCTATCGTAATGTTTATGGAGTAAGAAAAGTGAAAGAAATAAATGAATGCTCTGCTGTGATCACACACATTCTAACAGTAGGTTAACCTCACATCAGACTATTAATGTTTAGCCTATACTGTTCTAACATTATGCAGTCAGCAATGATTGCATGTTTTTGCCAAAATTAAATGAGCAGTATTGAATGCTACTGGTTGAAATATCAAGCTTCTTTATGATAGTTGATATTTAATTTTTTGAATATTAAAAAGTAACTGGGTAATCTGAAGAAAAGATTTTATTATATATTATATTAGAATAGGTATTATTGGAAATAAAATATATACTTTCAAATTATTTCTTGAAGATTTAAATAAACTTGAGGTAGACAAATATGTCATTTTCTTCATGGGCTCTTGCTAACTGGAGATGAAATACTTTTGTAAAATCCTCAATAAAATACTGGCTTGGTTTGGCTCTGTGTCTCTACCCCAAATATCATCTCAAACTGTAATTCCCATGTGTCAAAAAAGGGAGGGGATTGGATCATGGAGGTTATTTCCCCCATGCTCTTCTTGCCATAGTGAGTTCTCATGAGATCTGATGGTTTTATAAGCGTTTAGCAGTTCCTCCTACACACATGCCCTCTCTCTCCTGCCTCCACGTAAGACATGTCTGCTTCCCCTTACACTGTGATGGTAAGTTTTCTGAGGCCTCCCCAGGCATGCAGAACTGTGAGTCAATTAAACCTCTTTCCTTAATAAATTACCCAGTCTTGGGTATTTCTTTATAGCAGTGTGAGAATGGACTAATACACCTGTTGAAGAGCAATTCCCCATTTCCCCTTCCCCTCATCCACTGACACTTTAATTTTGCAACTACTGTTGCCATTATGCTCTGAGTTCCATGAGTTTGACTATTTTAGATACCTCATGTAAGTGGCATCATGAGTATTTGCCCTTCTGTGACTGGCTAATACTAGCATAATTTTAACATAATGCTTTCTTGATTCAGGCATGATGCAGATGAAGATTTTCTTCTTTTATAAGGCTGATAAATATTCAACTGTCTGTATGTACTACATTTTCTTTATTCATTCATCCATCAACGTGCATTAGGTTGTTTTCAAATCTTAGCTGTTATGAATAATGCTACAATGAACATGAGAGTGCAAATCTCTCTTCAGGGTCCTAGTTTCAATTCTTTTGGATATATACTCAGAAGTAAAACTGCTGGATCATATGGATCAAATTTCTATTTTAAATAGGCTCACAATTCAATTTTGTATTTTTAAAGAAACATTCATACTTTTTTCCATAGCTGCTGTACTATTTTATATTCCCACTAATAGTGTACAGGGTTCCAATTTTTCTTCATCCTTGTCAACATTTGTTATCTTTTTTTTTATAATAGCCATCTTAACAGGCGTGAGGTGATATCTCATTGTAGTTTTGCATTTCCTTGATGATTCTTCTTTAGAGAAATGTTTTATTCAAGTTTTGTGCCCATGTTGTAATCAAGTTATTTGTGTTTTTGTTACTGAGTTGTAGAAGTTCCCTATACATTTTAAACATTAACATTTTCTCAGATATGTGGTTTGCAAATATTTTCCCCCAGTATTTAGGTTGCCTTTTCATACTGTTAATTTTCTTTTGCTGTGCAGAAGCTTTCTGGTTTTATCTAGTACCATTTGTCTAATTTTGCTTGTGTTGCTTGTGCTTTCTGTGTCATATTAAAAAAAAAATCATTGCCAAGACCAATGTCATGAAACTTTTTCCTTTCTTATCCTAGGAGTTTTATAGTTTCGGGTATTATTAAATGTTTCATCTATTTGGAGTTGATTTTTGTGTATTTTGTAAAATATGAATCCAATTTTATTCTTGTGCACATGGATGTCCTGTGATCCAACACCATGTGTTAAAGAGATTATCCTTTCCCCATTGCATTTTTGAAATTCTTGGTGAAAATCAGTTGGCTGTATGTTTGTTGATTTATTTCTCGACTCTCTTTTTTATTCCATTTGTGTGTTTGTCCATTTTTATGCCATATCATACTGCTTAATTTGTAGCTCTACAAATATTTTGAAATCAGGAAATGTGAAATCTCCAGCTTTGTTCTACCTTCTCAAGATTGCTTTGGTTATTTGGAGTTTTTCCTGGTTCCATATGAATTTTTGGATAGAATTATCTATTTCTTTAAAAAAATCCATTGGAATTTTATTAGGGATTGTACTGAATATGTCGATTGCTTTTGGTAGTATGAACATTATAACAATATGAAATTTTACAATCCATGAACATAGATATTCTTTCATTTATTTATGTCTTCTTTTATTTCTTTCATCAATAATTTGCAGTTTTCATAATACAAGCCTTTCACCTCCTTGGTTACGTCTATTCCTAAAAATTTTATTTTTCTGGATATTACTGTAAATGCGATTTTTTATAGTTTCCTTTGAAATGATTCATTGTTAGTGAACAGAAGGCCAACTTATTTTTTGTAGGCTGGTTTTGTATTCTGCACCTTTACTGTATTTGTTTATTAGTTCTAACAGGGTTTTTTTGTGTGTGAGGAATATTTACAATTTTCTACATGTAAGGCCATGTTATTTGTAAACAGATAATTTTACTACTTCTTTACCCATTTGGATGCCTTCTTCTCTTTTTCTTTACTAAGTGCTTTGACTAGGACTTTCAGTACTGTATTAAATAGAAGTGTCAAGAATGGGCATCTGTGCTTTCTTTGTGACCTTAGAGAAGAAGCTTTCAGTTTTTCAGTTGAATGTGATGTTAGCTTTGAACTTCTCATATATGACCTTTGTTATGTTGTGGTACATTTTTTCTATACCTCGTTTGCTGAGAGTTTTTATTTTGAAGGAATGCTGAATTTTGTTGAATGCTTTTCCTGCATTAATTCAGATGATTATTTCTTCTTCATTCTGTTAATGTGGTGTATCATGTTGATTTACAATGTTAAATCATCCTTAAACCCCTAGTATAAATTCCACTTGCTGATGGTGTATGAGTCTTTAAATGTGCTATTGAATTTAGCTTGCTAGTATTTTATTGAGGGTTTTTGCATCCATGTTTCTGAGGGGATACCGACCTGTAATTTTTTTTCCCTGTAACATCTTTTTGTAGCTTTGGAATCAGGGTAATGCTGACCTCATAAAATGAGTTTAGAAGTGTCCCTTTTCTCCAATATTTTGAAGTAGTTCAAGAAACATTGGTATTAATTCTTCTTTAAATATTTGGTGAAATTCACGTGTGAAGTCATCTGGTCCAGGGCTTTTCTTTGATAGCAGGATTACTGTTTGAATCCTGACAGACTTTTTTTTTAACGTATGTATTAATCTTTATTATTCCTGTATTTCTGCCAACTTTAGCCTTCGTTTATTCTTCTTTTTACTTCCTTGAAGAGTGAAGTTAGGTCATTGATTTGGCATACTTTTTTCTTAAATATAGACATTTATCATTATAAGCTTCATCTAATTTCATTTTTAATTTATTCTTTAACCTAATGATGGTTCAAGAGTGTATTGTTTACTTTCATGTGTTTGTGAATTTTTCTATTTTCTTGTTGCTATTGGTTTCTAGTTTCATTCCATTTGATTCAGAAAAGGTACTCGGAATGATTCTGGTCTTTTAAAATTTGTTACGACTTGTTTTATCCTAACCTATAATCTTTCTGGGTTAATGTTATATGTATACTTGAAAAGAATATGCATTCTGCTACTTTTGGGTGGAATGTTCTGTGTATATCTGTTAGGTCAATTTGGTCTATAGTGTTGTTCAAGCCCACTGTTTTCTTATTGATTTTCTGTCTGAATGGTCTATCCATTATGAAAGTTGGGTATTAAAATCTCCTACTAGTATTGTATTGCTGTGCATTTCTTTCTCAGTTTTGTCAATGTTTGATTTATATATCTAAGTGCTCTGATGTTGGGTGTATGTATATTTATAATAATTGTATCTTCCTGACAAATTGACCCTTTTATCATTATATAATTACCTTCTTCATCCCTAGTGACAGTTTTTGACATAAAGTCTATTTTTTCTGATATTAGTATAGCCACCCCTTTTCTCTTTTGGTTACCATTTGCCTAGAGTATCTTTTCCATCCCTTCACTTTCAGTTTATGTGTGTCCTTAAATCTAAAGTATCTTATACATATAATGTAGTTGGATTTTGTTTTTTAATTCATTCAACCACTCTATGACTTTTTAATTTTTAAAAATTTTTATGGTATATAGTAGGTATATATATTTACGGTGTACATGAGATTTATGTATTTATTTATTTATTGAGAGAGAGTCTTGCTATATCACCCAGGCTGTAGTGCAGTGGCACAATCTCAGCTCACTGCAACCTCTGCCTCCCAGGCTCAAGCGATCCTCCCACCTCAGCCTCCCAAGTAGCTGGGACTACAGGTGCACACCACCACACCCAGCTAATTTTTGTATTTTTAGTAGAGATAGCTTTTGCCATGTTTTCTAGGCTAATCTGGAACCCCTGACCTCAGGTGATCTGTCCATCTCGGCCTCCCAAAGTGCTGGGATTACAGATGTGAGCTGACATATTTTGATACAGTCATACAGTGTGTAATAATGATATCAGAATAAATGGGGTATACATCACCTCAAGCATTCATTCTTTCTTTGTGTTAAAAACATTCCAGTTGTATTCCCTCAGTTATTGTAAAATGTACAACAAATTATTGTTGGCTGTAGTCACTGTGATGTGCTATCAAATACTAGATTTTTTCATTGTGTCTAACTATATTTTTGTACCTATTAACCATCCCTATTTTTCACCCGCTGCCACTACTCTTTCTAGCCTCTGGTAACCATCATTCTACTTTCTATCTCCATGAGTTCAATTGTTTTAATTTTTAACTTCCGCAAATGAGTGAGAACATGCAAAATTTGTCTTTCTGTGCCTGGGCTTATTTCACTTCACTCTGTGATTTTGATTGGAGATTTTAAACTATTTGCATTTAAAGTAAGTACTGATAGGTAAGAACTTATTACTGCCATGCTAAAACAATGTTTTCTGCCTGCTTTGTAATTTTCATGTTCCTGTCTTTTTTTTTTACTATCTTCCTTGGTGATTTATTGATTTTTTTGTAGTGATACACTTCAATTCCTTTCTCTTTTTCTTTTGTATATCTTCAATAAGTGTTTTCTTTGTGCTTGCCATGAGGCTTACATAAAATATCTTATAGTTATTACAGTATAGTTTAAGTGGAAAATAACTGTACTTCAATTGCATATAAAATGCCATACTTTTACTTGTTCCTTCTATACTTTACTATGGATGCCACCATTTACATCTGCATATATTGTGTATTTATTAATATATTTGTGTGGTTACAATTATTTTTAGTACTTTTGTCTTTTAACTTTTGTAGTAGAATTAAAATTGATTTATACATCATTGTTACAATATTACAGTATTCTGTGTTTTAAAACAACTCATTAGTAGGGACATGTATAGCTTTCCTGTTGCTTTTCTTTTTTTTTTTTTTTTTTTTTTTTTTTTTGAGACGGAGTCTCGCTCTGTCGCCCAGGCCGGACTGCGGACTGCAGTGGCGCAATCTCAGCTCACTGCAAGCTCCGCTTCCCGGGTTCACGCCATTCTCCTGCCTCAGCCTCCCGAGTAGCTGGGACTACAGGCGCCCGCCACCGCGCCCGGCTAATTTTTTGTATTTTTAGTAGAGACGGGGTTTCACCTTGTTAGCCAGGATGGTCTCGATCTCCTGACCTCATGATCCACCCGCCTCGGCCTCCCAAAGTGCTGGGATTACAGGCGTGAGCCACCGCGCCCGGCCTCCTGTTGCTTTTCTATTGCTGTTTAGTCTCTTTTCGTTTCAAATTGAAGAACTCCCTTTAGCATTTTGTATAAGGCAAGTCTAATGGTGAAGAATTTCCTCAGCTTTTGTTTGTCCAGGAAAGTCGTCATCACTCTTTCATTTCTGAAGGACAGTTTTGTTGGTTGGCAGGTTATTTTTTTTATTTATTAATTTATTTTGCTTTAAGTTCTGGGATACATGTGCAGAATGTGCAGGTTTGTTACATAGGTATACATGTGCCATGATGGTTTGCTGCACCCATCAACCTGTCATGTACATTAGGTATTTCTCCTAATGCTCTCCCTCCCCTAGCAACCCACCCCTCAACAGGCCCTGGTGCGTGATGTTCCCCTCCCTGTATCCATGTGTTCTCATTGTTCAATTCCCACTTATGAGTGAGAACCTGTACTGTTTGTTCTTCTGCTCCTGTGTTAGTTTGTTGAGAATGATGGTTTCCCAATTCATCTATGTCCTGCAAGGGATATGAACTCATCATTTTTTATGGCTGCATAGTATACACTGGCGTATATGTGCCCCATTTTCTTTATCCAAGCTATCATTTATGGGCATGTGGGCTGGTTCCAAGTCTTTGCTATGGTGAATAGTGCTGCAATAAACATACGTGTGCATATGTCTTTATAATAGAATGATTTATAATCCTTTGGGTATATACCCTGTAATGGGATCACTGGGTCAAATGGTATTTCTAGTTCTAGATCCCTGAGGAATCACCACACTGTCTTCCACAATGGTTGAACTAATTTGCACTCCCACCAACAGTGTAAAAGCATTCCTATTTCTCCACATCCTCTCTAATATCTGTTGTTAGGTGGCTTTTTAATGATCTCCATTCTAACTGGCATGAGATGGTATCTCATTATGGTTTTGATTTGCCTTTCTCTAATGACCAGTGATGAGCATTTTTTCATGTGTCTTTTGGCTGCATAAATGTCTTCTTTTGGGAAGTGTCTGTTCATATCCTTTGCCCACTTTTTGATGGGGTTGTTTGTTTTTTTCTTGTAAATTTGTTTAAGTTCCTTGTAGACTCTGGATATTAGCCCTTTGTCAGATGGATAGATTGCAAAAATTTTCTCCCATTCTGTAGGTTGCCCATTCACTCTGATGATAGGTTCTTTTGCTGTGCAGAAGCCCTTTAGTTTAATTAGATCCCATTTGTCAATTTTGGCTTTTGTTGCCATTGCTTTTGGTGTTTTAGTCATAAAGTCTTTGCCCATACTTATGTTCTGAATGGTATTGCCTAGATTTTCTTCTAGGGTTTTTATGGTTTTAGGTCTTACATTTAAGTCTTTAATCCATCTTGAGTTAATTTTTGTATAAGGTGTAAGGAAAGGGTCCAGTTTCAGTTTTCTGCATATGGCTAGCCAGTTTTCTCAACAACATTTATTAAATAGGGAATCCTTTCCCCATTTCTTGTTTTTGACAGGTTTGTCAAAGATCAGGTGGTGGTAGATGTGTGGCGTTATTTCTGAGGCCTCTGTTCTGTTCCTTTGGTCTATATATCTGTTTTGGTACCAGTACCATGCTGTTTTTGTTACTGTAGCTTTGTAGTATATAGTTTGAAGTCAAGTAGCCTGATGCCTCCAGCTTTGTTCTTTTTGCTTAGGATTGTCTTGGCTATGTGGGCTCTTTTTTGGTTCCATATGAAGTTTAAAGTAGTTTTTTCTAATTCTGTGAAGAAAGTCATTGGTAGCTTGATGGGGATAGCATTTAATCTATGAATTACTTTGGGCTGTATGGTCATTTTCAGGATATTGATTCTTCCTATCCATGAGCATGGAATCTTTCTCCAGTGGTTTGTGTCCTCTCTTATTTTCTTGAGCAGTAGTTTGTAGTCCTTCACATCCCTTGTAAGTGGTATTCCGAGGTATTTTATTCTCTTTGTAGCAGTTGTAAATGGGAGTTCACTCATGAATTGGCTCCCTATTATTGGTATATAGGAATGCTTGTGACTTTTGCACATTGATTTTGTATCCTGAGACTTTGCTGAAGTAGCTTATCGGCTTAAGAAGATTTGGGGCTGAGACGATGGGGTTTTCTAAATATACAACCATGTCATCTGCAAACAGAGACAACTGGACTTTCTCTCTTCCTATTTGAATACCCTTTATTTCTTTCTCTTGCCTAATTTCCTGGCCAGAACTTCCAATACTATGTTGAATAGGAGTGGTGAGAGAGGGCATCCTTGTCTTTTGCCGGTTTTCAAAGGAAATGCTTCCAGCTGTTTCCCATTCAATGTGATATTGGCTGTGGGGTTGTCATAAATAGCTCTTACTATTTTGAGATATGTTCCATCAATACCTAGTTTATTGAGAGTGATGAGCATTTTAGCATGAAGGGGTGTTGAATTTTGTTGAAGGCCTTTTCTGCATCTATTGAGATAATCTTGTGGTTTTTGTCACTGATTCTGTTTATGTGATGGATTACATTTATTGATTTGCATATGTTGAAGCAGCCTTGCATCCCAGGAATGAAGCTGACTTGATCATAGTGGATAAGCTTTTTGATATGCTGCTGGATTCAGTTTGCCAGTATTTTATTGAGGATTTTTGCATCAATGTTCATCAGGGATATTGGCCTGAAACCAGCTCCTCTTTGTACCTCTGGTAGAATTCGGCTGTGGTCTGGTCCTGGGCTTGGGCTTTTTTTTTTTTTTTTTTTTTTTTTGCTTGGTAGGCTGTTAATTACTGCCTCAATTTCAGAATTTGTTATTGGTCTATCAGGGATTTGACTTTTCTTGGTTTAGTCTTGGGAGGCTGTATGTGTCTGGGAATTTATCCATTTCTTCTATGTTTTCTAGTTTATTTGCATAGAGATGTTTATAGTATTATCTGATGGTAGTTCCTATTTCTGTGAGATCAGTGGTGATATCCCCTTTATCATTTTTTATTATGTCTATTTGATTCTTCTCTCTTTTCTTCTTCATTAGTCTGGCTAGCGGTCTATCTATTTTGTTAATCTTTTCAAAAAACCAGCTCCTGGATTCATTGATTTTTTGAAGGGTTTTTCATGTCTCTTTCTCCTTCAGTTCTGCTCTGATCTTAGTTATTTCTTGTCTTCTGCTAGCTTTTGAATTTGTTTGCTCTTGCTTCTCTAGTTCTTTTAAGTGTGATGTTAGGGTGTTGATTTTAGATGTTTCTTGCTTTCCTGCTGTGGGCATTTAGTGCCATAAATTTCCCTCTAAACACTGCTTTAGCTGTGTCCCAAAGATTCTGATATGATGTGTCTTTGTTCTCATTGGTTTTAAAGAACTTATTTATTTCTGCCTTAATTTCATTAATGTAGCCAGTAGTCATCCAGGAGCAGGGATGAATTGCAACAAGTTCAGTTCAAACAATGTTCAGTTTCCATGTAGTTGTGTGGTTCTGAGTGAGTTTCTTAATCCTGAGTTCTAATTTGATTGCACTGTGGTCTGAGATACTGTTTGTTATGATTTCTGTTCTTTTGCATTTGTTGAGGAGTGTTTTACTTCCAATTATGTGGTCAATTTTAGAATAAGTGTGATGTGGTGCTGACAAGAATGTGTATTTTGTTGGTTTGGGGTGGAGAGTTCTGTAGCTGTCTGCTAGGTCTGCTTGGTACAGGGCTGAGTTCAAGTCCTAAATATCCTTGTTAATTTTCTGTCTCGTTGATCTGTGTAACATTGACAGTGAGGCGTTAGTCTCCCACTATTATTGTGTGGGAGTCTAAGTGTCTTTGTAGGTCCCTAAGAACTTGCTTTATGAATCTGGGTGCTCCTGTATGGGGTGCATATATATTTAGAATAGTTAGCCCTTCTTGTTGCATTGATCCCTTTACTGTTATGTAATGCCCTTTGTCTTTTTTGATCTCTGTTGGTTTAAAGTCTGTTTTATCAGAGACTAAGATTGCAACTCCTGCCTTTTTTTTTTTTTTGCTTTCCATTTGCTTGGTAAATATTCCTCTATCCCTTTATTTTGAGCCTATACATGTCTTTGCACATGAGGGTCTCCTGAATACAGCACACCAATGGGTCTTGACTCTTTATCCAATTTGCCAGTCTGAGTCTTTTAATTGGGACATTTAGCCCATTTCCATTTAAGGTTAATATTTTTATGTGTGAATTTGATCCTGTCATTATGATGCTAGCTGGTTATTTTGGCCAGTAGTTGATGCAGTTTCTTTAGAGTGTTGATAGTCTTTACAATTTGTTATGTTTTTGCAGTAGATGGAACCGGTTTTTCTTTTCCATATTTAGTGCTTCCCTTAGGAGCTCTTGTAAGAAAGGCCTGGCGGAGAGAAAATTCCTCAGCATTTGCTTGTCTGTAAAGGATTTTATTTCTCCTTTGCTTATGGCTGGATATGAAATTCTAGGTTGAAAATTCTTTTCTTTAAGAACGTTGAATATTGGCCTCCACTCTCTTCTGGCCTGTAGCATTTCTGCAGAGAGATTAGATGTTAGTCTGATGGGCTTCCCTTTGTGGGTAACCCGACCTTTCTCTCTGGCTGCCTTTACCATTTTTTCCTTCATTTCAACCTTGGTGAATCTGACGATTATGTGACTTGGGGTTGCTCTTCTCGAGGAGTATCTTTGTGGTGTTCTCTCTATTTCCTGAATTTGAATGTTGGCCTGTCTTGCTAGGTTGGGGAAATTCTCCTTGATATTATCCTGAAGTGTGTTTTCCAACTTGGTTCCATTCTCCCCATCACTTTCAGGTACACTAATCAAACATAGGTTTGGTCTGTTCACATAGTCCCATATTTCTTGGAGGCTTTGTTGTTCCTTTTCATTCTTTTTTCTCTAATCTTGTCTTCATGCTTTATTTCATTAAGTTGATTTTCAATCACTGATATCCTTTATTCCACTTGATTGATTCGGCTATTGATACTTGTGTGTGCTCCACAAAGTTCTCGTGCTGTGTTTTTCAGCTCCATCAGGTCATTTATGTTATTCTCTAAACTGATTATTCTAGATAGCAATTCCTCTAACCTTTTATCAAAGTTCTTAGCTTCCTTGCATTGGGTTAGAACATGCTCCTTAGCTTGGAGGAGTTTGTTATTACCCACCTTCTGAAGCCTACTTCTGTCAATTTGTCAAACTGATTCTGCATCCGGTTTTGTTCCCTTGCTGGCAAGGAGTTGAGATCATTTGAAGGAGAAGAGGCATTCTGGTTTTTGGAATTTTCGGCATTTTTGTGCTGGTTTTTCCTCATCTTCATGGATTTATCTCCCTTTAGTGTTCGATGTTGGTGACCTTCGCATGGGGTTTTTGTGTAGATGTCCTTTTTGTTGTGTTGATGCTATTCATTTCTGTTTGTTAGTTTTCCTTTTAACAGTCAGGATGCTCTGCTGCAGGTCTGCTGGAGTTTGCTGGAGGTCCACTCCAGACCCTGTTTGCCTGGGTATCACCAGTGTAGGCTGCAGAACAGCAGAGATTGCTGCCTGTTTCTTCCTCCAGAAGCTTTGTCCCATAGGGGCACCTGCCAGATGCCAGCCAGAGCTCTCCTGTATGAGGTGTCTGTTGACCCCTGCTGGGAGGTATCTCCCAGTCAGAAGGCACAGGGGTCAGGGACCCACTTGAGGAGGCAGTCTGTCCCTTAGCAGAGTTTGAGCACTATACTGAGAGATCCACTGCTCTCTTCAGAGCTGGCAGGCAGGAAGGTTTACATCTGCTGAAGCTGCACCCACAGCCCCTCCTTCCTTCAGGTGCTCTGTCCCAGGGAGTTGGCAAGGTATTTTTTTATTTCAGCACTTTGAGTATATAATCTCTCTCCCTCCTGGCCTGCAAGGTTTCTGCTGAGAAATTGGCTGATAGTCTTATTTTGAGCTCTTTTGTATGTCACTAGTTTCCTCTTACTTATTGCTTTCCCAATTTGCTCTGTTATTGAGTTGTTACAACTTGATTATAGGGTGTCTTGGTATAGAGTTCTTTGAATTCATTTTATTTGGGGTAATTTGCACTTCTTGGATCCAGACATCAGTTTCTTTTTTCAGATTTGTAAGTTTTGGTCCATTGTTTCTATAAATAATCTTTCTGAAACTTTCACTTACTCTTCTCCTTCTGAGGTCCTCCTAATGCCTATATTGGTTCTCTTGATGATGTCCCATTGTCATTTAGACTTTCTTAACTCTTTTTATTTTTTACTTTTGTTTCTCTGACTGGGTAATTTTACATGACTTGTCTTTAAGTTCATTGATTCATTCTTCTTCTTGATCAAGTCTAATGCTGAACCCCTTGAATGAATTTTTTATTTCAGTTATTGTTTTCTTCAGCTCCAGAATTTGTTTCTTTTTATAGTCTCTATCTCTTTGCTGATATTTTCATTTTGCTTACATATCATTTTCCTGATTTTATTAATTTGTTTATTTGTGTTCTCTTATAACTTACTGAATTCCTTTAAGATGATTATTTTGAATTCTTCGTGAGGTAATAGATCTGCATTTCTTTAGTGTCAGATACTGAAGATTTATTTTATTCATTTTATTATGTCATATTTCCCTCAGTCTTTGTGTTTATTGGAATTTTGCATTGGTATTTGTGCATTTGAAGATACAGCCACTTCGCCTAGTCTTTATGAACTGGCTTCCACAGGGAAAGACCTTCAATGCCCAGCCTTACAAGAGATTTTGGAAGTATCTTAAACCTTTTCTTTGGACTCATGTGTGCACTTAATTAAAGAGATTTATTGGTCTCTCTCTCTCTCTTTCTTTTGCCCATAGTCTCTTGTTCTCACTGGTTTCTGACTGCTGTTCCATGTGCTAGGACACTGAAAGTATGCTATACTCCTCTCCCACTTTCACTCACTGTCTCCCAAATTCACAGAACCATACCAGCTTCAGCCAGCTACCTGCACCTTCCCTTTATTCTTAACTGCTCATAGGCATCCAAAATATGCAGGTTTCATCAGGGCTCTGGGTAAGGTAAAACATAAACTGGACTCTCAAATAGCACTCTGAAAGGCCAGGGACACTGGATGCATGTTCCTCCCTTTCATTTCCCTCTGAGGGGGAAGTCATACACTGAGGTTCTCTCTCTTGGCATTGAGCTGTGCTGGCTTGAGGGAGGGACTAATTCTGGTAAAGTAAGCTTGTTGCAATATAGGCTACTTAATATGAATATGTTAAAATATATTTTTATGTTTTTATTAACTTCCTCTTAAGTAATATTTTCATTGTAATTTCATTTTTTAAGAGAGATGCCATGATGTAATATAGTAGCAGATGTTGGAGTGAGGGAAAAGTACTTGAGGTCTAATCTCAGCTCTATTACTCATTAGCTCTGAGGCCTCGGACTACTCACTTAACTTCCTGAAGGTTTAGTTTAGTTGTTTATAACATGGGAATAAGAATAGCTAACTTGCAGTGTGGATGTGGAGGTTAGAGATAATATACATATCTGATCAGTGCCTAATACATCAATATGTAATTCTTTAAGTGATATAACTAAAGATGCAGCTGAAAACTGAAGATGATAAGTGAAATCCATCATTTCTCTACACATTATAGAATTCCGCTAGGGATTTCCCAAGTGTGACACTGTAATTTATACCATCACTTTTATGCATTTCTAATAACTCTGACACCAGGATGGATTAACTTAAATGGCAGTTAATTATTAAAGTTATTAAAGAGCCAAAATATATTATAAACAATAGTAATTAGTTTCATATTTTTATAGAGTCTAAGCTTTAAAAGTTATCAGTATTTAAAAATGTTTTAAAATGAATAGTTTAGAGATAGTTGGCATAGAATATTCCTTGCAGAAAATATCTATTCAAACACAATTTTAAAAAGTCACGGAATTATTCTAATTTAAGACTTCCATTGGCTTCTTTCCAGATTTTATGCACATTCTTAATATAAATTTAGGCACTTATGTAACTTTTGTGAGTCACAGATTTCTCTAATAGCTAACCAACTGGTTGGCCGTGAGTGAACAGCACATGTCAAATTTCCCTGGCACCAAGTAGGTTCCCCCTAAAATGTTAATTTCTTTCTATCTATGTTAGCACCAGCAATATTAATTTTTGATAGCCTCTGTTAAATTTTAAAAGAAGTCTCATTGAGCTTTGTGAAAAAGGATTATGCCAAATAGCATATAAACCTTCGATTCACAAACTGCTGTTTTGTAAGTAATAATAATTCCCAGCACTTATAAAGAAAATTTGTAAAGTTTGAAAGTGCTTTTGTTTTTTTAAAGTCTTATCACACTTGGGTTTTATCAAGACTTTCACAGGTGTAAATGACAGAAATGTTCCTTAGGATTTTGAGAGAAAAAATACACAGAGCTTCATTGGAAATAGAATCATTACATATGTTTCTGTGTGTGTACATTGATGTGTATAGGTACAATATTGTCCTGTCCTCTTTAGAATATCAATCCTCTTTTCATTTGAGGAAAGAATATTTTCCCTATCCTCTCCTCATTGCTTTGTAGGGAGAGAGACTGAGGTATTGATAATCTTTCACTTGCTACACGCTGGTCTTGGGGAGGCAGTCAGCTGGAGAAGTTGGTCTGCTATGTAGAGCTAAGTTCCTCTTGTGTGGACTAGACTGATTCAAAGTCTAGACTGATGGAGTAGTTAGCAGACTAAAACCATTTCTTTATTATAAACTATGTCAGTATTAGAGGTGATGGTTTGTTTTCCATATGCCACTCAATCCTCAGAACTACTACTACTACAAAAAAAGTTTCTGACTACCCAAGTTCCTACAGTAAACAGGGCATTCAAAATGTGAGTCTATGACTTCAGATACAAAGTCCAGAGCTCTTTCCAAAATATTATGTAATCTATATATAGTATCCTTTTTGTTCATAAATATACCATTTAGCCTGGAAACTTTATTTGTTGGGCCACTGTTTTACTCGGTTTGTGATTTATGGGGTTCTCTAAACCCCAATATCCTCATTTCTAAAGTAGAGATATAATACCTTCATCTCTAGGCTGTTGCAATGCCTGTATGTGTGTATGTGTGCGTGTATAACTTATAATATCAAATATATGACATTATTCTGTTCCTGAGATGGAGTAGATACTTCAGAAATGTTTCTTTCATTTTTATTTGTAATAATTGTACTGTAAAATAATGCATTTAAACCTTAAAATCAGCTATTAAAATATGTTTGTAGGGTTATTGCCACTGGAATAATACAGGTTGCCAATGTAAATCTTTGTAAAACAAAAAGACTTCTCTTCTCATGATTGATTATACAAGATCATGTAATTTACTTAATCACTTATCTTCCAATACAAAAGTACTGTATTCTACACTTAAATTTTCAATATATTACATTCAATAAACATTATGCTATCACCTTTAAATGTATAGGGTTAAACTCTCCTCTAGTAGTTACTATTTAAACAACAAATGGGAACTTGAAAAGAAAATATTTTAAAACTTACTTTCATAAAATGTTTTACTAACAGATGAAAATCTTTTTGATGAATATAGGAGGAGGGGTTTTAGAGAAGTTAGCTTAAGAGACAGATTGCCAATAAGAGACAGAAAAAGATACTAGAAATGAATTAAGCCCAATTGTTCACTCCTTTCTACCTCCATGCCATTTGCAGTTTTTCCTGTTGACAGAGCAGAGTATGTTTCCTTACCGCTTTTTCATAATTTTGGTTAAGTGATTTATTCTGATCAATCCAATGTGATTCAAGTGAAAATGTGTTAGTTCTGGGCCTGAATGTTAAGCATATTTCTGCTTGCCCTTTGTGCCTCTGCCATCCACTTGAGAAAAATACAGATCCCTGCTCAGTGGTTGAAGAAGAATGACAAAGACGTGGAACATGGTTACTCCAGCCTACACAGAGATACAGATGAAGCAGAGCCACCTAGCCCAGCACAGTCTGGATCCACCAAATGCTGCCTGACCTGTAGATCTGAAAGGATAAATGATTACTGTTTAAACCACGGAGTCTGGAGGTGTTTTATTACACAGCATTATTGTGACAATTGCTAAAAACAAAATGACATGTAACCAAAAAACATCAAAAGAAGATTTTAAATTTATGAAAAAATAGATTGAAAAAGAGGTTTCAGAGATAAGCAAGGTATAGTTAGTACAGGAGGAAATTTAATTTGTGATATGAAGCTATCAAATGGAAATGAAACGTTATATTTTACTCATTTATTTCCTGCTTGTGGTGCTGATTTTTAGCAGCGTAATTACTTATGTGATTTTTTTCAAACATGAATGGCTATTTCAGTTTTATAATAGAAAATAACAAAACCTTCACATTCTAAAAGTTACTGATGATGTAGACTTAGTTATAAATAATATAAATACTGATGAAAAGGTAAAAAATTAATCTATCAGTCTATTTTGTAATTTAATGATGTTAAAATGTTATTGTCACCTATACCCTCCTGCATTTCCAACAGCTGGGTTTAAAGAGCTACCAGTTAAAGTGCTCTACTTACCTAGGTATATTAAAGTTATTTAATATAGCTTTAGCATTTGTTGTAAATATAATTGTTATATTTGTTCAGATATTTTGACGATATATGCATGTCTGAAAATGCCTGGCAATAAGTATTCTCTCTAAATATTTATTGTTTATTATTATCATGTGTAAATCTATTATCTACCCTTCATTCAGAAAAAATAAGAAATAGGAGTTAAGGTGACAAGAAGACCTTAGGGATATTAAAGCAACACAGTATTCTAGATTTTTTCTCCATAGTTCTCTATAACAATAAAGTAAAACATATGAATTGCCAAGATAAGAATGCAATTTGTTCAAATTTTAAAATCTTGATTTTTAAAATTCAGAGTGTGGCTCAAAATGATCATATCAGTTGGTAATGGATTAGGTATCATTAAATGACCTAAAACCAAGATGGGTGACTTATGATTGTATCAGTCAAAGTCTCAGCAGGAATAATAACCGGATAGCTTAAATAAAAAGACTTTCAGGCTGAAACTAATTACTGAAGGTTACTGAAGGTCAAATGCAACTGAGTAAGTCATTGAGCTCCCCAGAGACTAGCAATAGCAGCAATCATCTGGTAGTTAAGAGATCAGCAGAGAAAATAGTCTTTCCAAAAACCAGGAAGAGCAGGAGCTGTCCAGCAGAGAAGTAGGATTAGAAGAATGCAGCTGTAGCCAGAGTAACTGCACCACAGAAGGGAGAGAAATGCTCTGAGCTCGCTCTTCTCCCACTCTCTTGCCTCTGGCTACTATCAGTGGAACCCATCTGGAAGCCAAGCTGGAAGAGAACCCAAGTGATGCAATCTGGAGGAGTCAGCTTCCCGTGTCACAGAAGAGGGTACAGAGAAGTGGGGAATTAATACTGGGGATGAAAGGGGTTATACAAATTGAGAAGAAGCAACATAATAAACTAGTTAGAATACCCATAAGAATCAGGAGTTAGTATTGGTTTTTGACTTAAATTAGAAAGAATTTTTCTTCATCTTTCTTCCTCCTTCCTTTCTTATTCATTTATTTATATTGTTTGTTTACTGCAGGCCTACTATGTGCAAGTTGCTAGACTTCTATCTCATGCCATTGGACACACTGCTTGAGCAGAGGAAGCTTTGGATTTGTTTAACATAGGCACGAAAACCGATCCTATTATAAGCAATATCTGTACACAGGGATTAATCAATCAACAAACATTTATTAGAATTTCATTGGGTCTTATGGGATTTATATATATATGTCTATGTGAAAACAATGTATATATTATGCCTATATAAAAACAATAAAGTTAAAAAGCCATGGTCCCTGGCATTATATTGCTTACAATCTACATAACATACTTTTAGTGTGTGTATAAATGCACTTTTATTAGAGAATAAGATAATATGATTTGAAAGAAAATTACATTTATGAGACTACAAAAACCATTCATTTATCTATTTTACCAAAATGTTGCAAGAAATTAGTCAGTATATTGTGGAGCCATTTCCAGGATTGAAGAACACCATGAATGGTTGTTTTGATATAAAGGCTACAAAAATTGTTCTTAAGATTTTGGTAAATTAGTCTGGGATATCATTTCTTAAGTGAGTTTTTCTCATTTTTAGTTGAACTAGACTTGCAAAATTAATATGATTAAGTCAAGGCCATTCATCTCTCAAACATTGTTAATTGTTAAAAATGGTGTAGTATTGGGTTGGAAGGCACAGAATTGCCATCTTCCACTCTGGGCATTTTAAACTTTAGGTTTTCTGAGATACTCATTTGGAGAATTTGTTTTTGTTTAGTCATGGTTGCCATCTGATCTGTTTTCTGGACATGTTGCCCACTTAATTTTAAGTTTATGTACTCATTTTACTAAGTGTCTGATTTGCTTTTGGAGGCTGGAACTCATGATCTTTATGTATATAATCACTGCATGGTGGTTGAATGTTAAAATCTTTGAAAAAAATCACACGGGTAAAATATTTATAAAAGCTGAAAAGTTTCTTGTTAACCACAGCATTTTTTCAAATGTTAACCCACCATGAACAAAACTTAAACACAGATAAAAATAATATATTAAAGTAGAACACTGCTGAATTTAAACTGGTTTGATTAAAAATCAAAGAATGTAAATGGTATGATGATGTTAGTATAATAAACATCTTACAGAATGTAAAATATTTTATTTTACACAATTCTAGATGTCATATAATTCAGACTACCTTGCAGTTACTATGGACATAAACTTCACATCATCAACTAAATACTTAAGAATAAATTTAAAATTTATATTTAATAATAATTTTAAAAAATCATCTTCATTAAAAAATCATCTTCATTTATATAATTTGTATTCTTTTCATCAGCTTTTCTTTTAGGAGGATATATCCCATAATGCCTAACACAGCACATTCTTTATGGTTTATACTGAACCTGTACAAGCTTGAACTTTAGAGTCATTTGACTTTGAGTGAAATGATTTTTCTTAGGCTCTCAGTCAGAGTCCATTTCTTACCTACTCCCATCAGGAAGCTATTTTAATTCCCTTTTAAAGTAAAGTAAGTGGAGTATAAATAACTTTGTCATTGCCTTACATGATTGCACAGATGCCCACACTAGATTAGAATAAAGGAAAACCTGAGCGCCTTCAAAATCCTGAGAAAACAAGGCTGCAGAATGACACAGATTTACTCTGTAGAGTGAGTTCTTGAGAATTCAGAAGAACTGTAAGCGTGATATAAACAGTTTGTTCAAATATCTCCAATGTTATTATATGTTATGGCTAAACTATTGAATAAATGTAAAGAAAAAAATGCCTGTCATTGTTGTAAATATTGCACTCCCCAAGAGCCATTAAATGCTTGTTGAATAATTAGATAACCTTTCTTAACTTCAAAGAAAAATCAGTAGGTGAATGAATACAACAAGAAAAGTACTAAAGTTTTCTTGAAATGATATTGCCTCAGTATTGATGTCTAGTATTTCTTTTCCTCTTTAGCATTTATCATTTCCTTCTCAAGATTAGCACTTGTATATGTAGGCATCTTTGGGTTCATACAGTGCTCAATAAGAAAATTTATCATTGGAAATTGGCCACAGAATCTCACAGAAATAAATTTTACCTTTTAATATAGTTTTGTTGTTGTATGAACTAAAGTCTTTTTGAACCTGAAATACATTTGGTCTTAATGGCCTCTTTCCTTTGATACTTGCGTATCGTTCCATTGTATAATTGCCTTAAATCCTTGATAAGATAGGGTGATGGTACTAATAATTCTGTTAAAGGAATAAAATGCTTTCCCAGTGACAAGAACAATAAAATATCCAACTCCTTTAATGGAGAATCAACATATACATTTTCACTTTACAAGTACAGGCTGCAATTCTGAAGTATTACTTTTTCAATTAGGTGAAACTTATCTGAATAGAGATCAAATGTTGTTTTCTGTGTTATACAAATCTAAAATGGTGTTCATTTTATTTATTAGAAAATTTGTATGTCAAATAAGTGTTTAGAATTTTTTATTGCTAATCTCCTAGGCAAAATGAATCTTGATGGTCCCTATAACATGGTGGAAACATCTATAATTTTGACATCTAACTCTTCTGTGTAGATATTCTTCCATGTTTTTTAGAGCTTTTATCTTCTAATTCATTTTTCTTAAACCACAATCAACACTGTCCCAACTGTGCTTGGAACTTGCACAAATTAACTAGGATTTCAAGTAAAGAGTTGTGAGATGTCTGCATTATTCATTGATCTCTACATGTAAAAATGGACATTATAACATTTTGACTGTAACAATGGAAAATTCAGTTTGCGAATTAAACTTTTAAGTGACATGTGGAAAGCAGCCATCTTTTCATATAGCAATACTCATTTTAAAGACCATTTTTGTAAGTAAATTGCATAAGTTCTTTTTACTAATAAGTCTTATTATCTTATAAGCCATTCCCTCTTTTTTTATTATATTTTAAGTTTTAGGGTACATAT
Source organism: Homo sapiens (assembly GCF_000001405.40). Classification (NCBI taxonomy): domain Eukaryota; kingdom Metazoa; phylum Chordata; class Mammalia; order Primates; family Hominidae; genus Homo; species Homo sapiens. Next base: position 209,233,270 of record NC_000002.12, on the reverse strand, counting down.
GCACAATGTACAGGTTTGTTACATATGTGTACATGTGCCATGTTGGTGTGCTGCACCCATTAACTCGTCATTTAATATTAGATATATCTCCTAATGCTATCCCTCCCCCCTTCCCCCACCCCACAACAGGCCCTGGTGTGTGATGTTCCCCTTCCTGTGTCCAAGTGTTCTCATTGTTCAATTCCCACCTATGAGTGAGAACATGTGGTGTTTGGTTTTTTGTCCTTGCAATAGTTTGCTGAGAATGATGGTTTCCAGCTTCATCCATGTCCCTACAAAGGACATGAACTCATCCTTTTTTATGGCTGCATAGTATTCCATGGTGTGTATGCGCCACATTTTCTTAATCCAGTCTATCATTGATGGACATTTGGGTTGGTTCCAAGTCTTTGCTATTGGGAATAGTGCTGCAGTAAACATATGTGTGCATGTGTCTTTATGGCAGCATGATTTATAATCCTTTGATTATATACCCAGTAATGGGATGGCTGGGTCAAATGGTATTTCTAGTTCTGGATCCTTGAGGAATTGCCACACTGACTTCCACAATGGTTGAACTAGTTTACAGTCCCTCCAACAGTGTAAAAGTGTTCCTATTTCTCCACATCCTCTCCAGCACCTGTTGTTTCCTGACTTTTTAATGATCTCCATTCTAACTGGTGTTAGGTGGTATCTCATTGTGGTTTTGATTTGCATTTCTCTGATGGCCAGTGATGATGAGCATTTTTTCATGTGTCTTTTGGCTGCATAAATGTCTTCTTTTGAGAAGTGTCTGTTCATATCCTTCGCCCACTTTTTGATGGGGTTGTTTGTTTTTTTCTTGTAAATGTGTTTGAGTTCATTGTAGATTCTGGATATTAGCCCTTTGCCAGATGAGCAGATTGCAAAAATTTTCTCCCATTCTGTAGGTTGCCTCCTCACTCTGATGGTAGTTTCTTTTGCTGTGCAGAAGCTCTTTAGTTTAATTAGATCCCATTTGTCAATTTTGGCTTTTGTTGCCATTGCTTTTGGTGTTTTAGACATGAAGTCCTTGCCCATGCCTATGTCCTGAATGGTACTGCCTAGGTTTTCTTCTAGGGTTTTTATGGTTTTAGGTCTAACGTTTAAGTCTTTAATCCATCTTGAGTTAATTTTTGTATAACGTGTAAGGAAGGGATCCAGTTTCAGCCATTCCCTCCTTTTTTTAAAAGGTCATTCTAGAAATGAAAAGCTAAATAAAGAGCAATTGAGTGCTTTTAAAGACTAGTAGTGCTTAATTTGCACATAACCACGGTGAGTAGTTATGGCTATTTTTCAAATTGCAAAGATTTGTAGATGGCACTTTTACCTGGTAGGAAAAACACAGTGATGTAAACAAGATGCTCCTGCATTGTCAGCAGATAAACTTAACTTAAAGGCTTTTTTTGTCTTTGCAATACATCACAGTAGGGTTCTTTTTGTGTGTTAGTTTTCCCCTGGATATTTAATTTTGGAGTAAAGTGATTTTTCCTTTATGGAGGAAAATTTACCAAGCAAATAGAAAGCAGAAAAAAGCAGGGGTCGCACTCCAAGTTTCTGACAAAATAGACTTTGAACCAACAAAGATAAAAAGACAAAGAGGGGCATTACATATTGGTAAAGGGATCAATTCAACAAGAAGAGCTAACAATCTTATGCACCCAATACAGGAGCAGCCAGATTCACAAAACAAGTTCTTAGAGACTACAAAGAGACTTGGACTCTCACACAATAATAGTGGGAGACTTTAACACTCCACTGTCAAGATTAGGCAGATCTTCGAGACAGCAAATTAACAAGGATATTCAGGACTTGAACTCATCTCTGCATGAAGTGGACCTGACAAATATCTACAGAACTCTCCACCTCAAAACAACAGAATATACATTCTTCTCAGTGCCACATGGCACTCACTCTAAAATCAATCACATAATTGGAGGTAAAACACTCCTTGGCAAATGCGAAAGAACTGAAATCATAATAGACAGTCTCATACAACAGTGCAATCAAATTAGAACTCAAGATTAAGAAACTCACTCAAAACCACAGAACTGCATGGAAATTGAATAACCTGTTCCTGAATGACTCCTGGGCAAATAATGAAATAAGGCAGAAATCAAGAAGTTCTTTGAAACCAATGAGAACAAAGAGACAATGTATCAGAATCTCTGGGATGCAGCTAAAGCATTGTTATGAGAGAAACTTATAGCACTAAATGCCCACATCAGAAAGCTAGACAGATGTCAAATTGATACCCTAATATCACAGCTAAAAGAACTAGAGAAGCATGAGCTAACAAATCCAAAAGCTAGCAGAAGACAATAAATAAGATCAGAGCAGAACTGAAGGAGATAGAGACATGAAAAACTCTTCAAAAAATCAATGAATCCAAGACCTGTTTTTTTTAAAAAAATAAAATAGACCACTAGCTAGACTAATAAAGAAGAAATGAGGAAAGAATCAAATAGATACAATAAAACATGATAAAGGGGATATCACCACTGACGTCACAGAAATACAAACAACCATCAGAGAATACTATAAATACCTCTACAAAAATAAACTAGAAAATCTAGAAAAAAATGATTAAATTCCAGGACACATACACCCTACTAAGACTAAGCCAGGAAGGAGCCGAATCCCTGAATAGATCAATAACAAGTTCTAAAATTGAAGCAGTAATAAAAGCCTACCAACCAAAAAAATCCCAGGACCAGATGAATTTACAGCCAAATTCTACCAGAGGTACAAAGAGGCAATGGTGGAATATTTCTTCTGAAAATATTCCAAACAATTAAAAAAGGGGGAATCCTCTCTAACTCATTTTATGAGGCTCACATCATCTTGATACCAAAACCTGGCAGAGATACAACAATAACAACAAGAAAACTTCAGGCCAATATCTCTGATGAACATCAATGCAAAAATCCTCAATAAAATACTGGCAAACCAAATCCAGCAGCATATCAAACAATATATCCACCATGATCAAGTCAGCTTTATCCCCGAGATGCAAGACTGGTTCAACATACACAAATAAATGTAATTCATCACATAAACAGAAATAAAGACAAAAACCACATGATTATCTCAATAGATGCAGAAAAGACCTTTGATAAAATCCAACAAGGCTTCATGTTAAAAACGCTCAATAAACTAGGTATTGATGGAACATATCTCAAAATAATAAGAGCCATTTATGACAAGCCCACAGCCAATATCATATTGAATGGGCAAAAACTGAAAGCATTTCCCTTGAAAACTGGCACAAGACAAGGATACCCTCTCTCACCACTGTTATTCAACATAGTATTAGAAGTTCTTGCCAGGGCAGTCAGGCAACAGAAAGAAATAAAGTGTATTCAAATAGGAAGAGAGAAAGTAAAATTGTCTGTTTGCAGATGACTTGATTCTATATTTTAAAAACCCCATTATCTCAGCCTGAAAACCCCTTAAGTTGATAAGTAAAAAGTCCCAGGATACAAAATCATTGTACAAAAATCACAAGCATTCCTATACACCAACAACAGACAAGCAAAGAGCAAAATCATGAATGAACTCCCATTCACAATTGCTACAAAGAGAATAAAATACCTAGGAATAGAGCTAACAAGGAATGTCTAGGACCTCTTCAAGGAGAACTAGAAACCACCGCTCAAGGAAATAAGAGAGGACACAACAAATTGAAAAACATTTTATCCTCATGGATAGGAAGAATAAATATCATGAAAATGACCATACTGCCCAAAGTAATTTATAGATTCAATGCTATTTCCATCAAAATACCATCAATGTCCTTCACAGAATTAGAAAAAACTACTGTAAATTTCATATGGAATCAAAGAAGACCCCATATAGCCAAGACAATCCTAAGCAAAAGAACAAAGCTGGAGGCATCACACTACCTGACTTCAAACAATACTGCAAGGCTACAGTAACCAAAACAGCATGGTTCTGGTACCAAAACAGACATATAGACCAATTCTATCAGAATATAAATTATTCTATCAGAACAGAGACCCCAGAAATAACATGACACATCTACAACCATCTGATCTTCAATAAACCTGACAAAAACAAGCAATGAAGAAAGGATCTCCTGTTCAATAAATGGTGCTGGGAAAACTGGCTAGCCATATGCAGAAAATTGAAACTGGATCCCTTCCTCACACCTTATACAAAAATTAACTAAAGATGGATTAAAGACTTAAATGTAAAACACAAAACCGTAAAAACCCTAAAAGAAAACCTAGGTAATACCATTCAGAATATAGGCATGGGCAAAGACTTCATGATGAAAATGCCAAAAGTAACTGCAACCACAGCCAAAATTGACAAGTGGGATCTAATTAAACTAAAGAGCTTCGGCATAACAAAAGAAACTATGATCAGAGTGAACAGGCAACCTATGGAAAGGGAGAAAATTTTCACTATCTATCCATCTGACAACGGTCTAATATCTAGAATCTATAAGGAACTTAAACAGATTTACAAGAAAAAAAAACCCATTTAAAAGTGAGCAAAGGACATGAACAGACACTTCTCAAAAGAAGACATCTGGCCAGGCACAGTGGCTTACACCTGTAATCCTAGCACTTTGGGAGGCTGAGGCGGGTGGATCACCTGAGGTCAGAAGTTTGAGACCAGCCTGGCCAACATGGCAAAACCCTGTCTCACTAAAAATACAAAAATTAGCTGGGTATGATGGTGGGCACCTGTAATCCCAGCTACTTGGGAGGCTGAGGCAGGAGAATCGCTTGAATCTGGGAGGCAGATGTTGCAGTGAGCCAAGATTGCACCACTACACTCCAGCCTGGGTGACAGAGTGAGACTCTGTCTGGAAAAATAATAATAATAATAGAAGAAGACATTTATGCAGCCAACAAACATGAAAAAGAGCTTAACATCACTGATCATTAGAGAAATGCAAATCAAAACCACAATGAGATACCATCTCATGCCAGTCAGAATGGCAATTATTAAAAAGTCAAGAAACAATACATCCTGGCAAGTCTGTGGAGAAATAGGAATGCTTTTACACTGTTGGTGGGAATGTAAATTAGTTCAACCATTGTGGAAGACAGTGTGGCAATTCCTCAAAGATCTAGAGCCAGAAATACCATTTGACCCAGCAATCTGATTACTGAGTATATACTCAAAGGAATATAAATTATTCTGTTATAGAGATACATGCATGCATATGCTCATTGAAGCATTATTTACAGTAGCAAAGACATGGAATCAACCCAAATGCCCATCAGTGATAGATAGATATAGAAAATGTGGTACATATACACCATGGAATACTATGCAACTGTAAAAAGCAATGAGATCATGTCTTTTGCAGTGACATGAATGGAGCTGGAAGCCATTATCCTCAGCAAACTAATACAGGAACAGAAAACCAAACACCACATATTCTGACTTATAAGTGGGAGCTGAACAATGAGAACACATGGACACAGGGAGGGGAACAACACACACTGGGACCTGTCAGTGGGGCAAGGAGAGGGAGAGCATGAGGATAAAGTTAATGCATGCAGGACTTAATACCTAGGTGACAGGTTGAGAGGTGCAGTAAACCACCATGGCACACCTTTACCTATGTAACAAACCTGCACATTCTGTACATGTATCCCACAACTTAAAATTAAATTTAATTAAATTGAAAAAGCCCTCCCAATCAGATGTGTCACATCTATTAACTCGAGTATGAATTATATGTGTTATATAGAGATTAAGCTAGTAGACAGGAAACAGCATTCAGTGATGACTCCAATCCATCCAACAATGTGTAACAGAGAAAAAAATATGTTTAGGTTCTTTACATATATTCTTTCAGGCTTATAAATGAACACAGGAAGTGATTTTGTGATATGAAATGCATCGAAGTAATGCTTGAGAAACCTAGATTGAGAATAGCTGCACTTCGACTTAATGTATGAGTCTAGAGGATTTGAAGGTACAGAGTGAAAAAGAAAATCACTTTCCTGATATACTCAGAACAGAAACTTATCCATATTGTACTTGGCTTCAAGTGGTGATCTGCTGCTTAAGTGAAAACATAAAGTCTATACCAAATGTGAATTTACCATAATGCAAATAATACATTCAATCTAATCTAGAACCAGATTTAGAACCACAATAATAAATCACTTTGTTAAATGTTCATTGAAAAACTTTGTACCCTTCCCAAAAGTACTCTATTAGCACTTGTTATAGAAAAAATAAGTTAGTAATAGTATTAAAATAAGTTAATACCACTCTCTATGCTTTCACTTCCTTTGAAATATAGCCATTGGAAATTGTCTTGTAGTAGGAGTAAACTTTGCTAATGTTTATCATCAACAGGGATTTTTTTAATGCTTTCTTTCCCCTCTTTTCCTTTTCATTCTCTACACCCCTCCCAGGGAAACTTCTGCAACATGAGGCATTCTTTCTTACCTCAGATTTCAGAGAGTTCTTATTATTTCTTTCATCTAATTACTGCAAAAATTTTATTTTATGTGGTAAGCTTGTGAATTGTCTTTAAAATAAATTATTAATGGGAGTTAAACCACAATTCTTCCCAACGATAATAAGATAAAGAAGAAGTTTCTAGGTTTTGAATGGAAGTTATCAGTGAAGTTTTTATAGAATATCTGAAATTGTCCAATTATAGCACATTGGTGACCAATATAGGACTGGTAGTCAGAAAAAAAAAACGTTAGATTTTTAATTACTTGATTCTATAAGTCAGGAAGCTCTTTCTGATGTTTTGTACAATACGTGGGTTGCAAAGAACTCAACATGCCTTCTTAGAAAAGAGGTTACTCTAATTTTAAATTGTTTTGGCTTCAAGGCAACTTCATAGGGTTGTTGTGGAAGATCAAATAAATTCATACATTAGAATCACAGTGTAAACTTTATAACACTTCACACAATTTAATGTTATTACTGTAAGTAATTATGTACTCACTGTATTTTGTTTTCTTGCTAGTTATACATTATGGTTTTAAAGTTCTACAAGATATTTATTCAATTATGTATATGAATTCCATAATACAATTGTATTTTCTTTTTCTTTTTCTTTTTTTTGTGATGGGGTGTTATTCTGTTCCCATGCTGGAGTGCAGTGGCACCATCAAAGCTCACTGCAGCCCCAAACTCCTCAAGTAATCCTCCTGCCTCAGTCTCTGGAGTAGCTCCAACAACAGGTGTTCACCACCACACTGGGCTAATTTTTAAATTTTTTATACAGATGGTTTCTCCCTATGTTGCCCAGGCTGGTTTCGATCTCATAGGCTCAAGTGATTCTCCTATCTTGGCCTCCAAAAGTGCTAAGATTACAGGAGTGAGCCACTGTGCCTGGCCTGCATTTTTAATAGTATAAATCTTAAGGTAATTTAACTCAGTGAACTTTCTTTTTTTGAATTTTAATTACATTGAAGGCATGTCAGTGTCATGCTTAGAGATGACAATGAGGAATGTATGATCTTGCTACTTAAATGTATGTTATAGAATTACATTTAGCTAAAGAATATATATTATATGGCATACACATATACATTTTATATACTTATTAGAAATATGTTTACACACCAGCCTAAAGTTATATAGACAATAAAGAGATAAATACTAATAATGGAATGTAGACTATGTGCTGAGGAAAAATTAATTCTGACTCTACATGTAGGCTGAATTTGAAAATGTGTAAATTCAATAAATAGATACAAAGAAAGATTTTTCTCAAGCTTAGAGGGTATTATGAGTAAGGCACCAAGTTCAAAAATGCAAGGATAGTCACAGAGCAGAATTTTTCTGGTATGACCAGAGTTGAATTTATGGAGATTAAAATGAGACAGAGATATGGTGGTATGGATTAGAATCATTTTATGAAGGATCATGAAAACCATTTAAAGTTTTAAAAACTTTTCATCCTTATATATTTTGAGAAAGGCGATGATATAATCAGATCTCGTTGTGGGTGGTGGGAGATAAAAACTCTGGCAGAAATGTTTAAGGTAGATTTGAGTTGATAGCTATAAGGGATATGGAGACAAATTATGAAGCTGTTTGAGTAATCCAGTGAGTCCTAATATCAAACAGAGGAATATTCAATACAATTTACATTTCTTTAACATTTTTGTATACCAAAAACTGTAGCAAGTACTTTACATGCATTTTTCTCATTTAACTTTTACAGAAGTTCAAAATGAGGTGGGCATTATTGTAAACATCCCCCATTTTATTGATGAAAAACCGAGGCTACATGTTTCTTAGGGTTCTAGGGAAACTCATAAATCTCATAAATTTTCATGACTCAATTTCAAAAACAAACTAGCGGTAAGCCTCCGAGTCAGGCAGATGGAAATACAGTGGAGGGGAGAAAGATTAAGACAGAGTGGGAGAGTGAGGGAGGGAGGGAGAGAGAAAGAGAAGCATTGCTTTTTGAGGTTCAGGTTATGTTGGTTTCTTATGAATGTTTGTGAGTTTGTACATTATGATTGGTTCATTTGTCTCTACTTATCTTATACTTCAATAAAAGTTACCGCATAAGAGAAGGAAAGAATGAAAAATAATGGCAGAAAGAGAAAAATCTGAACAAAAGAAACTGCAAAAAGAGAGATTCATTTTTTTTGTGAAAAATCAATTAATGCCTCACAAGGGTTAATACTGGCCCAAACCTCCTTTTACAAAACATTGCATAAATAAGAAAGACCCTTTGAAAACACTAAATTTATAAGTAGTGTTTTGGAATTTCATTTAAAGCCAAAGTTGTGCAGATATTTTCCAAGGGAGAGTGAAAATAAAATAAAAGCACTACCATTATCATTTCACCTGGAATCATGAAGTAATGACACTTAAAAGAATAGATTGTTATAATTTACTCTTTACTTTTTTCAAGATATTACTTGGGAATATCTGCTTTCTATATGTATTAGGCTGTTCTCACACTACTATAAAGAACCGCCCAAGACTGGGTAATTTACAAAGGAAAGAGGTTTAATTGACTTACGTTCCACATTGCTGGGGAGGCCTGAGGAAACTTATAATCATGGCAGAAGGCAAAGGAGTAACAGGCACCTTCTTCACAGGGCAGCAGGATAGAGAGAGAGCAAGCAGGGGGAATGCCAAAACACTTATAAAACCATCAGATATCTTGAGAAATCACTCACTAGCACAAGAACAGCATGGGGGAAACTGCCCCTATGATTCAGTTACCTCCATCTGGTCCTGACCTAGACATGTGGGGATTATTATAATTAAAGGTGAGATTTGGGTGGGGACATAAAGCCAAACCATACCATTATATTTTTAGTTTATGTAGTGTTGAACTTCATAATTGTGTTTACCCATATTCGCTCTCAATTTAACGAGAATTAGAGAACAACTTGATAAACTATAAAACAAACCTATTAATCAGTGTTTAATTTTGGTTCCTTTGTATTTACCACTTAAAATAGTGGTTACCATACCATATCATACCATTATTTTGTGTTCAGACTGGGATAAATGAAGTTCCATTAGGAAATATTCCCACGGCAATATTCTTAAATTGAGAATGTCTGCAGCAAACTGTGACATAAAATCATTCTATTTATAAATCATATGGTACTAAGTTTGTCCTTTAGCCTCCTTGAGTCCCAGTGTTCAGATCTGTCTAGAGGGAGAATAACTTTCCATGCCTGCCTCACAGAGTTGAAGTGAAGATTTACTGGGGAAGTCTATGTGAGGAAATCTACAAACTCCTGATCACTCAAATAATACTTACCATCATGATTAAATAATTTGATAACTTTTGTATAACTAGACCTGAATTATAAGTTTAAAATATATAGGATGCATTGCCTGCTTGAAAACAGCATAAATTCTAGTCATAGGGTCTAAGGAAAGTCTTCAAATACAATTTTGTTATCTGTTTGATTTCGGGATCATTTGAGAATATTGAGAATCAGTTAAGAAATATATAGATTAGGCCGGGCGTGTTGGCTCACGCCTGTAATCCTAGCACTTTGGGAGGCCGAGCGGGCAGATCACGAGGTGAGGAGTTCAAGACAAGTCTGGTCAACATGGTGAAACCCTATATCTAAAAATACAAAAAAGATTAGTGGGGCATGATGCCAGGTACCTGTAATCCCAGCTACTCAGGAGGCTGAGGCAGGAGAACCATTTGAACCCGGGAGGCAGAGGTTGCAGTGATGCAGTGAGCCAAGATCGCACCATTGCACTCCAGCCTGGGTGACAGTGTGAGACTCTGCCTCCAAAAAAAACAAAAAAAAAAAAAAAGAAAAAAAAGAAATACGTAGATTACAACCTCACCTTTAGTATAGAGAAAGCTATTATATAGGGGACAGTGGACAATGGACAGTTTAGGACTTGCCAGATGGCTTGTAAACACTTCCCTGAACCACAGAGGAATTACCCTCAAAAGTGTAGCCCTGCCCCACTATAATTGAGCAAATGAAAATGTGTTATTTTCTTTATAATGAGACAGAGATAAAGAGGAAGCAAAGAGTAGGTGGTTGAGTACATACATTCAGTTATGTTTTCCAACTCACTCATCAGCTAAGTCATTTCTTCCTGGAGAGGAGTGAGTTGGTTGGGTGCATGGTGGAGAGAATCTTGGATTATTTCTCCAGTGAAGACCAGCCATACTGAAATTGTAAATGAGAGATAAATTTTCCCTCCTACAGTTTAATTTTGCATAGAAGACATAGCACAAGAATATAAGTAAGCTCTGTACCAAGCAAACAGAATGATGAGCACAGATCCAATAGCAGTTTGCCAGTGGGAGCTTAGTTGGGGACTGGAACATTTAAGGGTAAGTTTGTGGTAAATATAGAAAATAATTTGAGCCTTCAATAGTACAGGTTGGTGGGGTGGATGGAACAACATCTTACATCAAGAAGAGATTGTATCTATAGACATTGAAATTTCACATCAGAAAAACTGTTGGTAGAAAAGACAAGGATATGAAGAATCATAATAACCAGTTCAAAGAAGTTTTATAAGAGACCATGGAAATTTGGAGACTGGGAGATAAATGGTGAAAGTTCTTTTCCAAAATCCTGATCTAACATTTTAAAAAATAGTAAATAATAAACCCAAACCATTATACCAATCTGTTATCTCCTCCAAAAAGAATCATTCCATTCATCATAATCTTATATAAAAAAGATTATTGATTTTTAGCTACATACTGTGCATTACATTCTTTGGAATCATTTTTTTTCTTTGGAGAAATATTCAATTAATAAAATGCAATTAAATATTGACACTCTTTAAATAATGACCAAATAATCATAGCTGTTGTTTATATGATAAATAGCAAACTGATTCTGCTTAAATACTTAAGAATTAGGTACAAAATGGAAACAGAAACAGCATGATTCATTTAAAAATACCACCACCAAACTGAGAAATAAAAGGTTTGTGCTTTGAAGAATTAAAGAGGAAAAAATAATTTGTACTTGTCAATCTCCAAGTTATGTTCTGCATTTGTTAGTGTTCCCATAATAGTGATAAAATTTGCTAAGAAGTGAAACTAACCTGCTGACCTCACTTCCTAAGAAACTCATTACATTTTATTTTTAAATGTAGAAAAATAAGCTTTTTAAAAAAATTTAAACGTAAATGTGTCAATAACTATTTTCACATAATTAAATAGTTCTTCCAAGCAAAGGAAATGGGGAGGTGATTCATAAAGAAAAAAATTGAAGTCGTCAGTCAACACATGAAAAAATGTTCAACCTCAGTGGTAATCCAACAAATAAATAATTCAAGTTAAAATAATGAGATAACACTTCACATGTCAATTTAAGATTTTTTAAAATAGGTATATGAACTGTGTTCTTTTTGGGAGAGTGAGCATTTCCATATACTGCTGGTAAAACACAAATCAGCAGAAGGCTGATTTCTGGAAAGGCAATTGATTAACACATAATAGACATTTTAAAATGTTCACTTTGATCCAGCAATTCCACTTCTAGAAATGCATCTTTAGAAAATAATGATAGATGTAGACAAGGATTTAGCTAATAGAATATCCTTCAATGATATGCTTTCAATAATAAAAAACTGAAAATAATATAAATGTCCACAAATCAGAGATGGCTTAATTAACTATGGTAATCTATTCCATAGAATGTTGTGAAACTATTAAGCATGAAATAATTTATGAAAATAATGTTGTAAAGTTATTAACTTTTCACTATTTCTATCATAATATTGGGATAATTCATATGTCATCAGATAAGCATCAAATCTTGTTATCTATACTTGTTGATAAGTGAGGTTGGTATTAGGGGTTCCACAGTCTTTTCCATGAAAAACTGAGGTTTATGTTGGTATATTAGTTTTCACAAACCGGGAGGCTTAAAACAACATGAGTTTATTCTCTCACAGTTCTGAGGGCTAGGTAACTGAAATTATTAATAGTATCACTGGATTGAAATCAAGGTGTCAACAGGACTGCACTCCCTCTTGAGGATCTAGAGGAGAATCCGTCTCTTTCCTTTTCAGCTGTGTGTGGCTGCTAGCATTCCATGGCTTGTGGCAGCATCACTCTAATGTCTGCTCCATGGTGACATTACCTCATCATCTTCTATGTTTGTGGCTGCTAGCATTCCATGGCTTGTGGCAGCATCACTCTAATGTCTGCTCCATGGTCACATTACCTCATCATCTTCTATATATGTCAAATATCCCTCTGACTTCCTCTTATAAAGACACTTGTGATTGTATTTAGGGCCCACTGGGATAATCGAGGATGATGTCTCCATCTGAAGATACTGTGTACATTTTTTTGCCATATAAGGCATAATTCAAAGTTTTCTGGGATTAAGGTATAGATATCTGTTGTTGCTGGTGGTAGGGAACTATGTGTCCTACCACAGTTGGCTATTGATGTTGTTTCACGAGTAGAATGTTTCCATCTGTGATTCTTTTTTTTTTTTTTTAATAGGTTTTTGGGAGACCACATGGTGTTTGGTTACATGAATAAGTTCTTCAGTGGTAATTTCTTAGATTTTGTAATTCTGGGCAGTGTACATTGTATCCAATGTGTAGTTGTTTATTGCTCACCCCCTCCCACCCTTTCCCCTGAGTCCCCAAAGTCCATTGTATCATTTTTATGTATTTGCATCCTCACAGCTTAGCTCCCACTTATGAGTGAGAACTTACGTTTGGTTTTCCATTTCTGAGTTACTTCATTTAGAATAATGGTCTCCAATTCCATCCAGGTTGTTGTGAATGCCATTATTTTGTTTCTTTTTATGGCTTAGTAGTATTCCATGGTATATATACACCACAATTTCTTTATTCTTTGATTGATGGACATTTGGACTGGTTCCATATTTTTGCAATTGTGAATTGTGCTGCTATAAACATACATGTGCAAGTATCTTTTTCATATAATGACTTATTTTCCTCTGGGTAGATACCCAGGAGTGGGGTTGATGGATCAATGGTAGATCTACTTTTAGCTCTTTAAGTAATCTCCACACTGCTTTCCATGGTGGTTGTACTAGTTTATGTTCCCACCAGCAGTGTAAAAGTGTTTCCTTTTCACCATATCCACGCCAACATCTGTTTTTTTTAATTTTTTGATTATGAGTAAGGTGGTATTGCATTGTGGTTTTGATTCACATTTCCCTGATAATTAGTGATACTGAGCATATTTTTATATGTTTGTTGGCCATTTGTATATGTTCTTCTGAGAATTGCCTGTTCATGTCCTTAGCCCACTTTTTGATGGGATTAATTGGTTTTTCTTGGTGATTTGTTTGAGTTTGTTGTAGATTCTGGATATTAATCCTTTGTCAGATGTATAGCTTGCAAAGATTTTCTCCCACTCTGTGGGTTGTCTGTTTACTCTGCTGATTATTTCTTTTGCTGTGCAGAAGCTTTATTGTTTAATTAGGTCCCATCTATTTATCTTTGTTTTTGTTGTGTTTTCTTTGGGTTCTTGTCATGAAGTATTGCCTAAGACAGTGTCTAGAAGGGTTTCTCCAATGATTTATGTCTCTGATCCATCTTAGGTTGATTTTTGTTTAAGGTGAGAGATGAGAATCCAGTTTCATTCTTCTACATGTAGCTTGCCAATTATCCCAGCTCCATTTGTTGAATAGGGTGTCCTTTCCCCACTTTATGTTTTTGTTTGCTTTGCTGAAGATCAGTTGGCTGTAAGTATTTGGCTATATTTCTGGATTCTCTATTCTGATCCATTGGTCTATGTGCCTGTTTTTATACCAGTCCCATGTTATTTTGGTGACTATGGCCTTATAGTATAGTTTGAAGATGGGTAACATAATGCCTCCAGATTTGTTCTTTTTGCTTAGTCTTGCTTTGCCTATGTGGGCTCTTTTTGGTTTCATATGGATTTTAGGTTGTTTTTACATTGTTTTTTCTAGTTCAGTGAAGAATGATGGTTGTGTTTTTATCGGAATTGCAATGTGTTTCCATTTGTTTGTGTCATCTCTGATTTCTTTCAGCAGTGTTTCATTGTTTTCCTTGTAGAGGCCTTTCACCTCCTTAGTTAGGTATACTCCTAAGTATTTTTTTTCAGCTATTGTGAAAGCAGTAGAATTCTTGATTTGATTCTCAGCTTGGTTGCTGTTCATGTATAGGAAGGCTACTGATTTGTGTGCATTACTTTTATATCCTAGAACTTTGCTGAATTTATTGACCAGGTCTAGGAGCTTTTTAGATGAGTCTTTAGGGTCTTCTAGGTATATGATCATGTCACAAAGAAACAATGACAGTTTGACTTCCTCTTTACCAATTTGGATGCTCTTGATTTCTTTCTCTTGTCTCATTGCTCTGGCTAGGACTTCCAGTACTATGTTGAATAGAGGTGGTGAGAGTGGGCATCCTTGTCTTATTCCAGTTCTCAGGGGAAATACTTTCAACTTTTCCCCATTCAGCATAATGCTGGCTGTGGGTTTGTCATAAATGGCTTTTATTACCTTAAGGTATTTCACTTGTACACCAATTTTGCTGAGGATTTTAATCACAAAGCGATGCTGGATTTTGTCAAATGCTTTTTCTGTTGCTATTGAGATGATAACGTGATTTTTGTTCTTAATTCTCTTTATGTGGTGTATCACATTTATTGGCTTGTGTATGTTAAACCATCCCTGCATCCCTGGTATGAAATCCACTTGATCATGGTGGATTATCTTTTTGATTTGCTGTTGGATTTGGGTGAGCTAGTATTTTGTTGTGGATTTTTGCATCTATGTTAATCAGGGATATTTGTCTGTAGTTTTTTTTTGTTGTTGTTGTTATGTCCTTTCCTGATTTTGGTATTAGGGTAACACTGGCTTCATAGAATAATTTGGAGAGGATTCCCTCTTTCTCTGTCTTTTGAAATAGTGTGAATAGGATTAGTAACAATTCTTTGAATGTCTGCTAGAATTCACCTATGAATGCATTTGGTCCTGGACTTTTTCATTGTTGTTGGCAATATTTTTATTACCATTTCAGTCTCACTGTTTGTTATTGGTCTGTTCAGAGTTTCTGTTTCTTCCTAGTTTAATCTAGGAGGGTTGTATATTTTCAGGGATTTATCCATCTCCTCTAGGTTTTTAGTTTATGTGCATAAAGGTGTTCATAGTAGCCTTGAATGATCTTTTGTATTTCTGTGGTACTGGTTTTGTATTTTTTTGTTTTATTTTTATTTAGTTCTGTTCTCATCTTGGTTATTATTATTTTTTTCTTTTGCTGGGTTTGTATTTGGTTTATTCTTGTTTCTGTAGCTCCTTGAGATGTGACCTTGGATTGTGTATTTGTGCTCTTTCAGACTTTTAAATGGAGGCATTTAATACTGTGAACTTTCCTGTTAGCACCACCTTTGCCATGTCGCAGAGGTTTTGATATGTTGTGTCACTATTATTGTTCAGTTCAAAGAGATTTTTAATTTCCATCTTGATTTCATTGTTGACCCAACGATCATTCAGGAGCAAGTTACTTAATTTCCATGTATTTGCATGGGTTCGAGGGTTCCTTTTGGAGTTGATTTCCTATTTTATTCCACTGTGATCTGAGAGAGTGCTTGCTATAATTTCGATTTTCTTAAATTTGTTGAGACTTTGTTTTGGGGCCTATTATATGGTCTATCTTGGAAAATGTTCCATGTGCTGGTGAATAGAATGTATATTCTGCATTTGTTGGATAGAATATTCTGTAAATATCTGTTAAGTCCATTTGTTGTAGGGTATAGTTTAAGTCCATTGTTTCTTTGTTGACTTTATATTTTGATGACCTGTCTAGGGCTGTCAGTGGAGTATTGAGATCTCCCACTATTATTGTGTTGCTATCTCATTTCTTAGGTCTAGTAATAATTTTTTTTATAAATTTGGGAGCTCCAATGTTAGATGCATACATATTTAAGATTGTGATATTCTGTTGGACTAGTCCTTTTATCATTATATAATGTCCCTCTTTGTCTTTTTTAACTGCTGTTGCTTTAAAGTTTGTTGTGTCTGATATAAGAATAGCTGCTCCTGTTCACTTTTGGTGTTCATTTTCATGGGATATCTTTTCTCACACCTTTACCTTAAGTTTATGTGAGTCCTTATGTGTCAGGTGAGTCTCTTGAAGACAGCAAATAGTTGGTTGGTGAATTCTTATCCGTTCTGACATTCTGTACCTTTTAAGTGGAGCATTTAGGTCATTTACATTCAACATTAGTATTGAGATGTGAGGTACTATTCTATTTATCATGCTCTTTGATGCCTGAATATCTTGGGATTTTTTTCATTGTGTTGTTGTTTTATAGGTCCTATGAAATTTATGCTTTAAGGATATTCTATTTTTGTGTATTTTGAGAATTTGTGTCAGATTTAGAGCTCCTTTGAGCAGTTCTTGTAGTGCTGGCTTGGTAGTGGCAAATTCTCTCGACATTTGTTTGTCTGAAAAAGACTGTATCTTTCTTTCAGTTGTGAAGCTCAGTTTCACTGAATGCAAAATTCTTGGCTAACTGTTTTGTTTAAGGAGGCTAAAGATAGGATCCCAATCCCTTCTAGCTTGTAGGGTTTCTGCTGAGAAATCTGCTGTTACTCTGGTAGGTTGCTTTATGGGTTACCTGATGCTTTTGCCTCACAGCTCTTAAGAGTCTTTCCTTTCTCTTAACTTTAGATAACCTGATGACCATATGCCTAGGTGATCTTTTTGCAATATATTTCCCAGGTGTTCTTTGAGCTTCTGGTATTTGGATGTCTAGATCTATATCAAGGCCAGGGAAGTTTTTCTCAATTATTCCCTAAAATATGTTTTCCAAACTTCTTCCTTGGGAGCACCAATTATTCTTAGGTTTGGACATTTAACATAATCCCAAACTTCTTGGAGGCTTTGTTCATTTTTTTAAATTATTTTTTTGTGTGTGTTTGTTGAATTGGGTTAATTCAAAAGCCTTGTCTTCAAGCTCTGAATTTCTTTCTTGTACTTATTTGAGTCTATTGCTGAGACTTTCCAGTGCATTTTGCAATTCTCTAAGTGTATCCTTCATTTCCAGAAGTTGTGATTTTTTAAAAATTTATGCTATTTATTTATTTCTCTGGAAATTTTTCTATTTACATCCTGTATCTTTTAAAAAATTTCTTTAAGTTGTCCTTCACTTTTCTCTGGTGCTTTCTTGGTTGGCTTAATAGTTGAGCTTCTGATTTATTTTTCTGGCAATTTAGAAATTTTGTCTTGGTTTGGATCCATTGCTGGTGAACTAGTATGATCTTTTGGGGTGTTATAAACCTTGTTTTGTCATATTACCACAATCATTTTTCTGGTTCTTTCTCATTTAAGTCAATGTAACTCCCATTGATTCAATTTGCCTCTATTGCAATAGATGTTAGCTCTTCCAAATTCTGGCAAATTTTATCCAGTAATATTTCTTATTCATTCCTATAAGATTAATATTCTCTAGATAAATAGTTCCCTCTTCTGCTGTCCTAGCCCATTCATATTAAGAAAACTGCACTGTGACCGTTATATCATCAATACCTGTGAGCACTCTGAATCTTCCTATTTTACATGAAGTTTGGTCTTCAGGTATCCCTAGTGAAATTTTTCCATTAGTAAATCATGATTTATTAACCAATATGAATCTTGGCTTGTCATGCAGAGCTCTAAGAGAACATCTAATTTCATCAACCTTACACACCAACATGTTTTAGAAAGTTTGATTTTTTTAATCAGAATAATTATCATAACATTTTGAGAGACGCTGAAATATAGATAGGATTACTTTTGTGATAGATTGTCAGAGCAAAACTCAAACACACCTTCCTTCTTAAATTCTAAGTTTTTCTTATAAGTCACTACCAAAAAATGGTGTTTAAATAAATTCAAGTTAAATTAATTGTTTTTAAATTAATTATTAAATGCTTTAATTAAAATCATCTAAGTAGTGGATTAACAAACCAATCTTCAACTTCTTTCTGCACAAACTTGATTATATTAATACATGAAGAATTTTAAACTCTTTCTTAGCTTTAGAATTAACAGTCATCGGTTTGAGTCAAATTCAATCCTCATCATTTCCCTAGATATCGCAAGGGTGTTTAAACAATTCAAGGTATGCACCCATTTCAGCGGGGATGGGGATGATTAAGATCTGGAACACAAATCAGTGTATGTACTAACTTGCCAAAAATAAATAAATAAATAAATAAAGCCATCTAGTTGATAACAATGAGATCATATCAGCAACAAAATTATATGTCAGATATATCCATCCTTCTATTGCCACAATGCCAATAGTTTAGAGAAACTTCCTCTAAGCAATAAATGTCTCCCAAGATCAACATAGATATTTTAGCTGTTTGTATTTATCCTTACTTACAATTATAGATGTGCAAAGAATCAGAAAAACAATCTTTTCAACACCATCTTTTTATCAAAAAGAGAAACTGAGGCCTAGTGTTGTTAAATAACCTGTCTGAAGGCAACTGTTAATTAGAAGTAAGTCTTGGATGAAAACTTCTATCTCCTAGGGCTGTTTAAGCTTTATATTACTCTGTCTGACTGTATTATATTTTATTTTCACTATTGTCACCACTCACCATTCATGTCGGAACAGTGTGGTTAAAATCTATCCTTCTTTCACCCTGCAATTTTGCCATAGTAAACTTATTATTTAAATTCATTTTTCAAAGAATTATAGCATAAACAAAGTGAATTAATATAAACTGTTTTTAGAAAACCAGATTAACTTTTGGTAATAAAACTTTCATCAATATTTTTTAGACATTCTCAAACTTCGATTAAATAAAACCTTCAATGAAATTGTAATGATTTATCTCTTCAACATACTGATTTTAATTCCTTTGGATATGTATACCCAGAAGTGAGATTGC
This sequence comes from Homo sapiens, assembly GCF_000001405.40. Taxonomy (NCBI): domain Eukaryota; kingdom Metazoa; phylum Chordata; class Mammalia; order Primates; family Hominidae; genus Homo; species Homo sapiens. The sequence continues at coordinate 209,213,939 of NC_000002.12, read as the reverse complement.
TGGATCATATGGTAATTCTATTTTTAGTTTTCCATAATGGCTGTACCAATTTACATTCCCACCAACAGTGTAAAAGGGTTCCCTTTTTTCCATATCCTCACCAGGATGAACCTGGAGGACATTATGCTAAGTGAAATAAGCATGGCACAGTAAGACAAATACTGCATGATCTCACTTACATGTGAAATTTTGGAAATTTGAACTTGCAGACGTCAAGAGTAGAAGGGCGTTTACTAGAATCTGGCAGGTGGGGGGCAGTGAGGGAATGGGGAAAGGATAGATATTGATTAAAGAGTACAAAGTTTCAGTTAGACAATTGGTTCTGAAAATCTATTGCACAGCACGATAACTATAGTTCAAAGTAATGTATCTCCAAAATTGCTAATAAAAATACATTTTAAATACTCCCACCACAAAAAATAAGTAGGTGAAGTGATAGGTATCTTAATTAGCTGATTTAATCATTCCACAATGTATACAGATATCAAAACTATATATAAATATAATATGCCCTATAAATATATACAATTAATATTTTTCAATAAGAAATCAAATATTAAAAATTATAATGATTTAACTGACAACACATTATTGAACTGTATCTGATAAAATACACAGGAGAAATTGGAGTAACTAGAAAATTACAGTGCTTAAGTGTCCTGATAAAATTGTCTTAGTAAGAGAAATAAGACAGATAATGATATAAACAATAAGTAAATAGACCATGAAGCATTATATACATTAAGAGATTTTGCTAATGAGTTTTAAATGATATTTTTCAGAAACTCAGAGCTATCAGCAAAATAAGATTACTGGGTAATTCTGCTAAGTAAAGCAATGCCCTCAATGCTGATAACATATTTATGGCATGTTTATGAAGATACATATTAAAATGTTAAAAATCATGATGCTGTAGCTGAAGTACACTTATATAAGTATTAAAAGCTGTAATTATGAAGGCCACAAGTGAAATAATAGATCTTGTTGATTTTCAAGGTAACATTTGCCAACATAACAATTTAGTTTTATTCCTTAAGGCACTTCTATACCGAGGTCTGCACTCTTTCTCCCTCTCTCTTTCCCTTTGGGCCTCTCAAATCACACAGGGAGCTACCAGGCCAAAAATGAGGACCACATTTTCAGCAGGCTTCCAATGGCTGGTGCTCTAACATTGTACACAATACACTGTTGAGAGTTCATGGCTGTTCCATACTTTATTCAACAGAAAGAAAAAAAAAGAAAGCCCATTAAATCCACATGTCCACATTACTCCCCTCTTTCCATTGCTATGTTCATCCAGGATATTAAGAAAGAATAAATCCATGTTAGCATTGTAAGAATCATGAAACTGTCTTGAGGCATCTGAGCAATATAAGATCAGGAAAATATTACACTTCCATCCCAGGCTTTACTCCTTTGTAATACTTATATCCCAGTTTCCAGCTACATATTCCAAGTCATTTTTTGAAAAATCACAATATACATCCAGGACAGCACATTCTCATGTTAAAAAACGGGAACATAGGCCAGGTGCAATGGTTCATGCCTATAATCTCAGCACTTTGGGAAGCTGAGACAGGAGGATTCCCAGGAGTTCAAGACCCCATCTCTACAAAAACTAAAGAAATTTAGCCAAGAGTGGCTGGGCGTGATGGCTCATGCCTGTAGTCCCAGCACTTTGGGAGGCCAAGGCAGGCGGATCACATGGTTAGGAGATCAAGACCATCCTAGCTAACATGGTGAAACCCCGTCTCTACTAAAAATACAAAAAATTAGCCAGGTGTGGTGGTGGGCGCCTGTAGTCCCAGCTACTCGGGAGGCTGAGGCAGGAGAATGGTGTGAACCTGGGAGGTGGAGCTTGCAGTGAGCCAAGATCGAGCCACTGCACTCCAGCCTGAGTGACAGAGCGAGACTCCATCTCAAAAAAAAAAAAAAAAAAAAAAAAAGAAATTTAGCTATGCGTGGTGGCCCTTGCCTGTAGGCCCAGCTACTTGTGAGGCTGAAGTGGGAAATTCAGCCTGAGGTTGAAGTGAGCTATGATTGCACAACTGCACACCAGCCTGGGTGACAGAGTGAGACTTTGTCTCTTGGAAAAAAAAATTGAGACATAATACACATTACTGAAGTGTTGTGATAATTAACATGGAATGGTCTCAGCTGAATAACATGTTGTAATTAATCAATAATTAATAGTATGTTGAGGGGTAGGAAGAGAAATGAGAGTGTGCTTAAGGTAATGGGCAAGATATTTTATTTGTAGAGGTATGAAAATCTCAGGACTTTATATTCTGTGCATGAGAGATCTTTAATATGTTGTAGAGCTTTAATTTTAAACCATAATTTCTATACACATGCCTTTAAATCTTTTACTACACAATTCTTGAACTCCCTATAGGTAGGGTAACAACCTGATTACATGTTTTCTGCCTCCTGAAGTCTGCATGGTTTTTTTAACTGTGATTTTCATGGTCAACATTTACAATCTGTGCTTGTGTAGAGAGCATTTTTTCCTGTCCAAACTATCTCACACACAGTATTTAATATGATTTTTCAAAAACTTTTGTAAAGTAGAAAAGACAGGTATTCCTATTTTAGACATAAGCTTTGGGAAGATTAGAGTGTAACTAAAATTTACTCAACAAATTCTGTCAAATAGAAATATAATTTGAGCCATATATGTAATTTAAAATGTAAAAAGAAACAAGTGAAGTTAATTTTAATACTTTTTATTTAACTCAATATATCAAAACATTAACAATATAAATTGTATTAATGAGATATTTTATACTTTTATATTCATATCATCTTTGCAATTCAGTATTTTATACTTATAGCATATCTCAATTTAGATATTACATTTGCATCAGAAATAAATTTTTTTCTGTGCAAATTAAGTAAATTCCCTAACTCTTGAGCCACACAGTATTAATATTGAATTCAAAACAGTATTCTATTAATCAAAAAGTAATGCTACATTTATACATATCAATGAAGTGTTCAAATTTTTCTTGTAGATTTTCACAGCAAATTTAATTAATGCTGCTGATCAAAATAAAAATATTTTGCAGGTTGATGTTAGAAAAGGTTTAAAATATTTTATTATGGAAAGTTTTGATGTCAACATAAATTCCGGCACCTAATAAGTCAAAAATAAGATGTCCCTTTTCATGGAGTTTCAGTTAGCTTATTCATCTGCAGTGTGATAGAGGGCAAAGACAAATTATATCACCAATTTTAGGGCCTTTGAATATTGAATATTTGTCAAGCATCTGTTTACTTTCAGGCAAATTTTGTAAAGCTCTTTTGATAATTAATCAGTATGGCAAAGAGTACAAGACCATTAAATAAATCATCTTCTATTTCTTTCAATAGCTTCATAAACTGGAGATGATTCATATCATTTGCACGTGTATACTGAACGATTTTAACAAGTGTATTTAAGACATTTTATATGGGTTGTTTCAGAAAACTGAGAACAAATATTTTGAATATGGATCACATTGTGAAATGTAGCATTAAGGGAGACATCAGTGTTTTGTTCTAAATTTCATTAAGTAGCTGGAACATTATCTGCTGGGATAAAACTCACTTTTTCATATATAGCTAAAATTCTTCTTTAATAATTGTAAGAGATTAAAAATTATCAATGATGCAGGATAATCAAGCCCCTAAATTGAGGCTTAGTCAGGGAGGGTTCTTGGCTTTGCCCAGGAAAGATTTCAAGGGCAGGCTAGTGGTGGTAAACAGCAACTTTTACTGAAGCTGCAGTGTAAAGCAGCAGCAGAGGTACTGCTCCTTGTGGCAGGGCTACCCCACAGGCAGTGTGCTCAGAGTCGCAGCTCAGAGGCAGTTCTGCACTCATAGTTATACGCACTTTTAATTATATGCAAATTAAGGGGCAGTTTATGCAGAAATTTCTATGATGAGGGTGGTAACTTTGGGTAATCCCACGGCAATAGTAAACTGACATGGCACACTGGTGAGCGTGTCTTATGGGATGCTGCTCCCCTCACCATGTGTTAGCTAGTTCTCAATTTGGTCTGCTGTCCGAGCCCCGCCTCTGGAGTCTAATACCGCCTCCTACCTCACCTACCATCATGAGTTCAATATTTTGGGCCACAGATTGACATTTCTCTATAAGTATGCAAGTCCAATCTGGTCAGGTCAGAGACAAAATTTCAGAGGGCTTCCTGGACCCGGCAGCCAACAGCCCAGAAGCAAGGCCCACCTAGCCTCGGGAGCCTTTGTCCTGGGGCAGATGGTCAGCGCGGGCACGACAGGAGGGGCCCTCTGGACCACTCCCCGAGGACCCAGGACTCTCCTAGAGACAGGGCCTTGGATCCTGGGACAGAGGGAAGCAGAGGCCTTGCGAGTTGGCGGTAGCGGCGTCCGTGACCTCCACCCCCTGAGCTGCGGGACCCGGTGACTCCCAGGAAGAGCACGAGCCTCTGCCGGCCGCTCCAGCAGCCACTCCCTTCCCGCCTCCCGCTAGCTGCCGCGGGCGGCAGGGGACTGAGGGTCAAACCCGAACTCCAGCGGTTCCCCTCAGATAGTGGGACCAACCCGGAGCTCCAGTGCGGCAGGACCCGGCCCGGGCTGCCCCAGCTGCGCCTCGCTTCCGGCTACAAGTTTGCCCCGTGCCCGCCAAATTGGTGAGTCTGGAAGCTTCTCTTGGGCTCCAGGAAGAGGGTCCCTGCTTCTGCTTCGGCTGTTCCCCACACGGCCAAGTCGGGGGCGTCACCCCCAGTCTGTAGGTGTCGCTGGATCTTGCGCCCCCTGCAACACCTGTTTCCCAGAGCGTCTGGCGAGGACTCTGCGTTAGCGAAGCGGCGCGCACACGAACACACACGCCCTGACCACACACACACACGGGCCAGGCGAATACACACGCCCTGACCACACACACACACACACACACACACACACACACACACACACACACACACACACACACGGGCCAGGAGAGAGGCGTAAGGCCCCGTTTCACAGACGTTTGGTGGAGCTGCAACGGTATCCTTTAGGTGAGTGAGGTCCTGGGGCTGGCACAGCCCAAAGGAACAATTTGGCATCCACAGTCGAGGGGATTGTTTATAAACAACCGGGTGGAGGATTGAGTGCGAGGCAGGGAGATGAAGGAAATATTGTTTTTATTTTTTTCCTTTTAGACTCCTTAGTCCCATTTAGCAGATCTCAGGCTTGCCTGCTGGAAATTAACCCTTAGTTTCTAACTGAAACTTATGGAGCTATTATGACGATTATTTTAAGGGAAAAGGCAATACATATCATTAAAGTGAAGAAGCACAAAGAGGGAAAACATTGTAGTTACTGATTGTTAATGTTCAGTGTAAAGGATGATAGTGAAGATTGTTTATTCCGTAGTAAAAATGTCAGTTTAGACACTGCGTGTGGGGTTGTTTCACAGTTGAGCGTCTCCAGTATGAAAATAACTGTTTACCACAGATCTGTTGAGCCAAATAAAATGTAAATTTTACCCTCAGCTTTTTGGGTGAGTGAAAAGGAAGTTTAGTTTGTGATAAGGAATGTTGTATGCTTACAAAGTAAACTTAAGTTTCGGTTTAGTTAGTTTTAATTTTCTCCCTAGTGGCCATAGGGGGCGCGCTAAGACCGACCAATGAAAGTCTTGAGATCATGTTATTGATCTACTAGTGAAATCTGTAATAATACTCTATACCGTGCTGTCGGATCACTAGATAAACATTCATTTACTCTAATAATACAATTAAATTTTAAATTACCTGTCAGCCATAACTTAGTAAGTTACTTCTACTAAAGAAAAGCATCTCTAAGTGCTTTGACAACCCAATGTGGTCAAAAGGTTTAAAATAGAGTGCTTGTGAAGCTTGTGTTGCATGTGTTGGCCAATTATATGAGCAACAAACTCTTGAATGTAAAGTGAACTTATCATCAATTTACTCTGAATTTTTCCAAGGAGTTAGTTTGAAGACTATGAGTGCAGGAAATCTGTCCATCTATCAAGAATTTGATAGATAAATGACACTGGTAGAAAACAGCAGAAACAATTTATCTCTAAATGCTTAAAAACATTTGCTGGCTATGTATGGCACAAATGAATTATAACAATGTACATTCTCTATCAAAAGTGTCCCAACTTGCTTTTTCTAAGATAATGGGCAATTGCTATATTGTTGAAAAAGAGAACAATTACTACAGGATTGTATGTAAACTATTTTATGTTAAAAAGCACAGTTTGCTTTTCTCTTCAAATATAGTGTGAACGTTATTATTTTTCCAAAGTAACTTCAAACTGATATACCTTTATGATTGCAGCTTGTCATATAAAATGATAATTTATATTGATATATGAAATGTGACCAAATGTTTGGCGATTCAAAAAATCTAACTGCTAAATGAAATTGATGTTTCTTTTTTTAAAAAAGAAACATATATATTTTGTATTTTACTTTAAGTTCTGGGATACGTGTGCAGAATGTGCAGGTTTGTTACATAGGTATCCATGTGCCATGGTGGTTTGCTGCACCCATCAACCTGTCATCTAGGTTTTAAGCCCGCATGCATTAGGTATTTTTCCTGATGCTCTCCCTCCCCTTTACCCCACCCCCCAAGAGGTCCCGGTGTGTGATGTTCCCCTATCTGTGTCCATGTGTTCTCATTGTTCAGCTCTCACTTATGAGTGAGAACATATGGTGTTTGGTTTTCTGTTCCTGTGTTAGTTTACTGAGGATGATAGCTTCCTGCTTCATCCAAGTCCCTGCAAAGGACATGAACTCATTCTTTTTTTAGTACTCCGCCGTGTGTATGTGCCACATTTTCTTTATCCAGTCTATCACTGATGGACATTTGTGTTAGTTCCAAGTCTTTGCTATTGTGAATAGTGCTGCAATAAACATGCGTGTGCATGTGTCTTTATAGTAGAACGATTTATAATCCTTTGGGTGTATACCCAGTAATGGGATTGATGGGTCAAATGGCATTTCTGGGTCTAGATCCTTGAGGAATCACCACACTGTTTTCCACAATGGTTGAACTAATTTACACTCCCACCATCAGAATAAAAGCATTCCTATTTCTCCAAATCCTCACCAGCATCTGTTGTTTTCTGACTTTTTAATAATTGCCATTCTAATTGGCGTGAGATGGTATCTCATTGTGGGTTTGATTTGCCTTTCTCTAATGACCAGTGATGATGAGCTCTTTTTCATGTGTTTGTTGGCTGCATAAATGTCTTCTTTTGAGAGGTGTCTGTTCATACCCTTTGCCCACTTTTTGGTGGATTTTTTTTCTTGTAAATTTGTTTAAGGTCCTCGTAGATTCTGGATATTAGACTTTGTCAGATGGGTAGCTTGCAAAAATTTTCTCCCACTAACACTTTTTCTAATATTCAGTGCCTTCATTTTAAAACATCGTTATTGTATTAGTCTTTATTCAACTCTAAAATTATTTGGCTACAATTTCAAGTTATGTTTATTCCCTGTTCTGAAATTTCATTTATTTATCTGGAGGTAATATCCCATTTGAATAGTACAGGAGTATGTCTTATATTCCAGGTTTACTTTCTATTTTTATTAGCACAACTATGGTAGTATTTTTTGTTTAAAAAAACTTAGCTTATTACAATGGATAATTAATTCTGGAATAAAGTAACCTCAAAGTTGATTGAACACATTAAGTTCCAAAAGGGAGTCATCCATAAGATATGAATTTGTAAAGAACAAAAGTTTAGTATACAATAAATAGTGAATAGTCTCACAAGGTACAGTAATTTAAGAAAGACTGAGGTGAGGATGGATGAAGGGAAAAATGGGGCATTCACTTTTAGATAAGATGTTTGAGTAGCGTAGTTGAAGAAATCTAAGTGTAGTTGGATATACTGATAAGAATTTTATAAATAAAACTGAATTCGAAACATGGATTTAAGTTTTAAATTCAATGGAAGTAGCTGAAACCACATATGTGAATGAGATTATTCAAGAAGAGTTTGAGCAGGGGAAGTTTGGTCAACTAAGTTGTGTTGGAGAAGCATGCAGACTTAAATTCTGTATAATTGCTGATAGATTAGAAATAAATTTGCATCCCCTGTGGCAATTAGCAGACTACATTTTGGGTAATTGATGCTCAGTAAATTTTTGAAGGAGAAAACTTGTAGTTTTTCTATGTAGAGAAAATTTCTCCTCAATCTCATTTAAGTCTCTAATCATTGCAGTCTTTATTTTAAACAGGTATTTATGTCCCAAGAGAAATGAACAGCTAAAGCTAAGTACAGATGATGGAGCTGGACTAGCATCTATAACATGAAGACACACAAACAGTAATAGTTGTGTGCCTCTGGAAGAGCATCTCTTCACATTTTAAAATACCACTCTTGTCTTTAAACTCACATGCAGAGCAAACTGATGAGGTTTTACCGGCCCAAACAAAGAAAATGAAAGATTTCAAGAAAAGAAATATAATAAACACAATGGCCCAGACTATGGGCTACACTGTTAGACAGTTGAATTTTAGTGTAGTTGTGCCACATACTAGTGATGAATCTCTATGTTACCTAACCCCTCCAAAAACTCAGTTCTTCTTCTGTAAGGTGCTAATGGCAAGAGAAAATTTCATTGGAATGCTGTGAGGATTACATGAAATGACCCATGAAAAGTATTTAGTCAGTGCCTGCTAGGTAATAATCATATAGAAAGTATTAGTCATTATTAATCACTATCATTATCATTTCTCTTTTATATATTAATTGGTTTTAACCAGTATGAAAGAATTCTCTGTATTATTTTATTAATATTGATCTAATATCCAGCACTGGTCTATAAAAAGAAGAAAAAAGAGATTTCTCTTTCTTCCTGATATATGTAGTATGTATATTGCTTATTTATATTTTTTCTAGTCTTATTGCTTTGCTTTGGTAGGACTACGGTACAATGTTGAAATGTGGTGGTTACCACGGGCATCTTGATCTCTTTTTTACTTTAGTATAGGATTTCTAAAATTATACCATTAAATATCTTTTAAATACTTTTGCATACTTTTTTGGTAGCCATAATATCATTTCTATACCTTATTTGGCTAAATGTAAGAGAAGTTTTGAATTACTGTAAGACATATAATTTTGAATTTAAAATTTATAAAATTTAAGTTGGAATTACAAAAATGCATCATGTTTTGAACATAAATGATTTCTATTACTTATGTAAATGATATTGTGCTCCTACTCCAGATTTTGAGCTAAGGGCAACAGTTGATTCTTAATAATTTGTTCACTGTGATTGGCATCTTCTAAATGCTCATCAAATATTAGATGAAGTCTGTATGACTGCAGCTCTAAAGCCTTCAGATTGGCAATTTTTGACTATATTTTTTAGTAAGCTCAGGCTGCCATAATATAATACCACAAACTGAGTGGCTTAAACAGAAATTAATTTTCTCATGGTTCTGGAGGCTTGCAAAGTTCAAGATCAATTGCTAGTAAATTCATTTCCGGTGAAGGCTCTATTTCTGAGTTGCAAATGGCTGGTTTTTATCTGTATTTTCATATGGTAGAGAAAGAGCTCTGGTGCCTCTTCATCTTATTATAAAGGCATCAGCCCTATCTGGTTAGTGTCCCACCATTATAACCTCATTTAACCCTTATCATCTCACAGTTCTTGTCTACAAATACACCCACATTGTGGTTTCAACATATACATTTTGATGGGACACAAACATTCAATCCATAACATTATCAAATAAATGGGTATGAAATTCTTGGTAATGATAAGATACAGATCAGTAGAAAATTAAAATACAGAAAACAAATCAACAAACAACTTTAAATACTTTTTGACTCTATAGTTAGCTGGTAAAATAGGTATAGATCTTAAGTGTAAAATGTCTTTCATGAGAGCCTGTTGCCTCTACTTGATTTACAGCAAATTTGTGCAACCCACAGCTTGCGGTCCGCATGTGGCCCAGGATGGCTTTGAATATGGCCCAACACAAATTTGTAATATTTCTTAAAACATTATGAGTTTTTGGCAATTTTTTTAGCTCATTAGGTTTTGTTAGTGTTAGTATGAGTGGCCCGAGACAATTTTTTTCCAGTGTGGTTCAGGGAAGCCAAAAGTTCGGACACCCCTGATTTACAGTAAATTATGAACTAATGAAAATTTCTTAATAATTGTCACTTGCATTACTTACCATTATACATGTCACTTGCCTTAAGTGGTTAGGTTGGCTCTGTTTTCTATTAGAGAGAGTTTTTGGGTCACTTTTATTTGGTTCATATTTGAACCAATTGAGTGGGCATGAGATATATGTGAGCTTGCACATTTTTCTGCCTACACTACAAAGAATGTAGTTTCTACAGTTTCACAAAGATGCTCACACATATAATGAGTTCCTTGTTGTGGGAAGTCAGGGACCCCGAATGGAGGGACCAGCTGAAGCCATGGCAGAAGAACGTGGATTGTGAAGATTTCATGGACATTTATTAGTTCCCCAAATTAATACTTTTATAATTTCTTATGCCTGTCTTTACTGCAATCTCTGAACATAAATTGTGAAGATTTCATGGACACTTATCACTTCCCTAGTCAATACCCTTGTGACTTCCTATGCCTGTCTTTAATCTCTTAATCCCATCATCTTCCTAAAATGAGGAGGATGTATGTCACCTCAGGACCCTGTGATGATTGCCTGCACAAATTTTTTGTAGAGCATGTGTGTTTGAACAATATGAAATCTGGGCACCTTGAAAAAAGAACAGGATAACAGCAATGTTCAGTGAACAAGAGAGATAACCTTAAACTCTGACTGCCGGTGAGCTGGGTGGAACAGAGCCATATTTCTCTTCTTTCAAAAGCAAATGGGAGAAATATCACTGAATTCTTTTTCTCAGCAAGGAACATCCCTGAGAAAGAGAATGCGTCCCTGAGGGTAGGCCTCTGAAATGGCTGCTTCGTGGGCGGCCATCTTTTATGGTTGCAGCTGTAGGGATGAAATAAGCCCCAGTCTCCCATAGCGCTCCCAGGCTTATTAGGACGAGGAAATTCCCACCTCATAAGTTTTGGTCAGATCGGTTGTCTGCTCTCAAACCCTGTCTCCTGATAAGATGTTATCAATGACAATGCATGCCCGAAACTTCATTAGCAATTCTAATTTTGCCCCGGTCCTGTGGTCCTGTCATCTCGCCCTGCCTCCATTTGCCTTGTGATATTCTATTACCTTGTGAAGCATGTGATCTCTGTGACCCACACCCTATTCGTACACTCCCTCCCCTTTTGAAAATCACTGATAAAAACTTGCTGGTTTTACGGCTCAGGGGGCATCACGGAACCTGCCGACATGTGATGTCTCCCCCGGACACCCAGCTTTTAAATTTCTCTCTTTTGTGCTCTGTCCCTTTATTTCTCAGACTGGCCAACACTTAGGGAAAATGGAAAAGAACTTACGTGAAATATCGGGGGCGAATTTCACCCGATATCTGGCTGAATTTCCCCTGATAGTTCCTAAATGTAACTTCTAGTCTCATCACATATTCTGGCAGTTCATTTCCTGGATGAGTAAAATCTGCAAGACAAATAAGTTTTTAATAGCCTGTGGTCATCATGTACACAAAACTTCAGTTCATTTTTTATATTGACTGATATGGCCTACAGATATCTGAAAGCCTGAAGAAATCTTAAATAGAAAGAATGTTCACAGAACTCTCTGGTACTTTTCCTGCAAGACAAAAAAAAAAGTCTAACAAATGAACTCCAAGTACTTTGTACAGCACCATTACGCACCAGATTGGTAATATTAGTAAAGGAATTAAGTTTATAGGCCTATTGCCTTTGGTACCACACACGGAAGTTGTCATATAACTACTTGTGTCACAAATCCTTGAAAATGTATTATATCTCTTAAGTTACCTGGTGGCTATAATCTTGGCTTTATCCATCTACCTTCTGCCATGGTGCCCATAGAGAGTGCTTTGCTATATGTATGTGGAATGAATGAACTCAATTGTCCTTGCCAATGCAGCAGTTTAATTTGGTCTAGGATGTAGGTAAACAACTGGCTAAAGGATTTTCCTCATGTAAAGTTCTTTTTTACCTATGTCTTCTAATTTTCAAAACAACAGATATCTATTAACTAATATTAAAATACTTATAATAGTTTTATAACATTGTTTTTATTATTAATTTATGCTTAAATGTACCTTCAAATAAAAATAAGCATTTATATTTGCTGTCCCATAAAATCAGTACCTTTCCTTTCATGAATGCTGGTTTATGAGGATTCCCTTCCTCCAAAAATTGCTAGTTGATGGGGTACTTTGATCTAAAATGAAAGCCTAAACCAGAGCATTTTAAAATCAGTCTTCTGAATTTCAACAAAGAAAATATTGTAAATTTAAAATAACAATTATTTTCAAAATTTCTGGGCATCGTAAAAAATAATTTTAAAATATTATTAAAAATTTGAATGGAAATTTGCTTTCTTCAAAAAAAGTTGTAAGTTTAAAAGCGGCAAAGCCTCAAGAATTTAAACATTACCTTCCAAAGCTCAAGACCATCTTCAGAATGCATATATAACACATTTTCAGTGAAAAATAGGTTGATAAAATCTCATTTTGAAGAAGATATTCTAAAGGCCATCTCGTCTGCCTTCTTATTCTGAGCTCCAAGAAGGTTGGGACCAAATCTGTTTTGTTCCAGATTATGTCTCCAATGCCTAGTATAACAACCTTCCACAACCGTTAATACTTATTAGAGTAACTACATTTCAAGCATTGTTCTGGGTGCTGAGGATAAAGTGGTTAGCCAAAGCAGACATAGCCTCTCTTCTCATGGAGTTTTAGGCTAGTGTGTGAGACTGACCTTAACCAAATGTTACCTGTACTGAGAATCTGTGTTTTTCCTGTCCAGCCATTATTACCCTAGGATGTCCCCCGATTTAGTTTTGGGCATCTACTCTGATTCCATGGATAGGGTCTTGGCGGATCTGTCAAACAAAGTGCCTTCTCTTTCCCTTCCCTGAAAATGAGAATATGACTCAAGGTAAGCCACTCAGAACCACTCTTCCTGGAATTTTCATTTTGAAAAAACATGGTAATATTGAAGCTTTAAAATAATAGGGTATTAACATAATAATAAAGTCCCGAAGGAGCTGCTTCCTAGAAGTGTTAATAAGCTAGGGAAGCGTAAGAATGAGCTGGAAGAGAGGGAAGTAGAACACTTCAGGCAGAAGCATGTACAAATATCCTATGGCAGTAGGGAGAATAGAGATAAAAAGATCTGTAAGGTGAGTGTTGTAGAAGCCCTAAGAGCCATAGGGAACCTGGTGCAAAATGAGGCTGAAGGGAAGGGTATGGGGCCAGAATTTGAGGCCCTGTAGGCCACTTAAACATGTTTGATTTTTTTATCTAAAAGCAACAAGACTTTGGAGTGTTTCAAACAAAGGAGGTGAGGGGAGCCAATGTACATATCCAAAAATGTTCTTCCAGTATATGGAGTGTAAATGTTCAGAAGGCAATAATATAAACTGGAGCCAACTTTATTGAGGGCAGGCTATGCTCCAGGCACTATTCAAAAAGATTTGCAAATAATAATTCACTTACGCCTCATAACAGCACTGTGAGGTAAGCAGTATTATCATCTACATTTTTAAATTCACTTATGCCTCATGACAGTACTATTAGGTAAGTAGTATTATCATCTACATTTTTAAATTCACTTACGCCTCGTAACAGCACTATGAGGTAAGTAGTATTATCATCTACATTTTACGGAGAAAGAATCTGAAGCCCAGAGGTTACTGAATTTGCCAAAATTCTCTACACCAATATGTAATAGAGCCAGTATTTGAACTCAAACAATCTGACTTCAGATCCTGACTTCATAATTATAAACACTAAAAAATATGTATAGTCTTATTTGAGGTTATTATTGCTATTATAATTGGCATTTTTATAACCTATGAAATTTTAAAAATTGTCATAAAATAAGCCTAGCATAATATTTAACATTTTAACCATTTTCAAGTGTATAGATTAGTGGGATAAGAACATACATATTGCTGTGCAACTATCACCATCATTCATCTCCAGAATATTTTTCTTCTTCCAAAATTGAGATTTTTTGCCCATTACATAACAACTCCTCATTCTCCTCTTCCTCCAGACCCTGGAAACCACCATTCTACTTTTTGGTTCTATGATTTTGACTATTCTAAGTACTAAGTAAGTAGAATCATGCAGTATTTGTCTTTTTGTGACTAGTTTGTTTCACTTAGCATAATACCTGGAAGGTTCATTCATGCTGTAGAATATGTCAGAGTATCCTTCCTTTTTAAGGCTGTATAGTATTCCATTTCATATCCATACTACATTTTGCTTATTCTTCCATCTACCCCTGAATACTTGGGTTGCTTCCACATTTTAGCTATTGTGAGTAATGCTAAACATGAACATGAGTGTGCAAATGTCTCTTTGAGACCCTGCTTTCAATTCTTTTGAGTATATACCCATAAGTTGAATTGCTAGATCAAATGGTGGTTCTATTTATAATTTATTGAGAAACTGCCATACTGTTTTCGACAGCAGCACCACCATTTACATTCCCACTATGGCGCATCAGGGTTTCAAGTCCTTTACATTTTGCCAACAGTTATCTTCTGTTTTTTGATAGTAGCCATCCTAATGAGTGTGAGGTAGTGTTTCATTGCAGTTTTTGTTTGCATTACCGTAATGATTAGTGATGTTAATCACCTTTACATGTACTTATTGGGCATGTGTATATCTTTTGCATCAGGTGGCTTTTGTTGTCACTGAGTTTTAGAAGTTCTTTATATATACGGCTATTAATTCCTTGTCATATATATGATTTGCAAATAGTTGATCCCATTCTTTCAGTTGCCTTTTCACTCTATTGATAATGCCCTTTGATGCATAAAAGTCTTTAATTTTCACAAAGTCCAATTTGTCTTATTTTTTCTTCTGTTGCCTGTGCCTTTAGTGTCATATTGAAGAAATCATTGCTGAATCCAATGTCATATAACTTTTGCCCTGTGTTTCTTTCTGAGTGTTTTATAGTTTTCATTCTTAGATTTAAGTCTATAATTCATTTTAAGTTAAATTTTGTATATGGTGTTAGGTAAACATCCACCTTCATTTTTTTGCATGTAGATATCCAGTTTTCCCAGCACCATCAGACTGTCCTTTTCTCATTGAAAGGTCTTGACACTCTTCTTGGCAATATATACAAGGGTTTATTTCTGGGCTCATTATTATATTCCAGTGTTCTGTATATCTGTCTTGATGCCAGTACTACATTGTTTTGATTACTGGAGCCTTGTAGTAAGTTTTGAAATCAGGAAGTGTGGGTTCTCCAAATTTGCTCTTTCTTTTTTCATGGTTGTTTTGGCTATTCATAGATCTTTCAGATTACATATAAATTTAAGGATGGATTTTTTATTTCTGTGAAAAACATCATTGGGATTTTCATAGGAATTGCATTGAATTTGTAGGTTTTTGGGGGGCTAGTATTGATATTTTAACAAGATTAAGTCCTCCATCCCATGAACATGAGGTGTCCTTTTATTTATGTCTTCTTCAACTTTTTTCAGCAATGTTTTTTAGTTTTTATTGTCCACGTCTTTACTTCTTTGGTTAATTCCTGACTTTTTATTCCTTTTGATGCTATTATAAATGGAATTGTTTTAATAATTTCCTTTTTAGATTGCTCATTGTTAGTATACAGAAATGAAACTAATTCTTGTGTTCACTTTGTATCCTGCTACTTTGCTAAATTTGCTTAGTAGTTCTAATAGTTTTTTGTAGAGTCTTTAGGGTTTTCTATGTATAAGATTATATAATTTGTGAACAAACACAATTTTAATTCTTCCATTCTAGTTTAGATGTGTTTTATTTCCTTTTGTTGCCTAATTGTTTTGGCTAGGACTTCTAGTAGTATTTTAAATAGAAGTGGTGTAAACAGGCATCGTTGCCTTCTTGATCTTACCAGAAAAGCTTTCATTCTTTCACCATTGAGTATGATGTTCTCTGTGAGTTTTTCATGTATGGTTTTTATTATGTTGATGTAGTTTGTTGTGTGTCTTTATCATAACAAGGTGTGGGATTTTATCAAATGTTATTTCTGCGTTAGTTGAGATGATGACATGTTTTCTTCCTCCATTCTGTTACCGTGGTGTATTATACTGATGGATTTTTGTATGGTAAATCATCCTTGCATATCAGGAATGGATTCTGTTTGGTCATGATATATAATTTTTTTAATATACTGATGGATTCAGATAGCTAATATTTTGTTGAGGATTTTTGCATCAATATTCACAAGGCATATTTGTCTGCAGTTTTATTTTCTTGTACTGTTTTTGTCTGGCTTTGGTGTCAGGGCAATGATGGACTCATAAAATGACTTATGAAGTGTTCTGTTCTCTCCAATGTTTTGGAAAAGTTTGAAAAGGATGGTGTTTGTACCTGTTTATATGTTTGATTGAATTTACTATTGAAGCCATCAGGTTCAGGGATTTTCTTTTTTGGGAGATTTTGATAACCAGTATAACAGGTCTATTCAGCTTTCTTATTTCATCATGATTTAGTCTTTGTAGGTTTTTTTTATTTCTAGGAATTTGCCCATTTTATTTAGGCTATCTACTTTGTTGGTATATGGTTGTTCATGGTACTTTTATAGTCTATCTCTTTCTTGAGAATCAGAAGTAATGTTTCCACTTTTATTTCTGATTTTTGTAATTTGAGTCTTTGTTTTATTAGTCTAGCTAAACGTTTGTCAATTTTGTTGATCTTTTTCAAAGATCCAACTTTTATTTTTCTTTATTTTCTCTATTGTCTTTTATTTCTCTATTTTGTTTGTCTCTGCTTTAATCTTGATTATTTATTTTCTTCTGCTAGCTTTGAGTTTAGTTTGTTCTTTTTTCCCCTAGATCCTTAATTTGTAAAATTAGGTTGCTGATTTGAGATATTTCTGTTTTTAAAATGTAAGCAGTTTTAGCTATAGATTTTCCTTATAGCACTGCTTTCGCTGTGTCTCATAGGTTTTGGTATATTGTGTTTTCATTTTCATTCACCTCTAAGTATTTTACAATATACTGTCTTAGTTTGTTTTGTGTTGCTATAACAGAAAGCCACAGACTGAGTAATTTATAATGAACAAAAATTTATTGGCTTAAAATTCTGGGGACTGAGAATTCCAGGATTGAGGAGCTGACATCTGGTGAGGTTCTTGCTGTGTCATAACATGGTTGAAGGCATCACATGGGCAAGACAGACACAGAGAAAAGTGGGCCAAATTCATTCTTTTTAAAATAACCCACTCTCACAATAAAGAAACCACTCCTGTAATAATAGCAATAACCACGTCTTAAAAGTCCCCCCTCTCAACACTGTTGCATTGGATTACGTTTTCAACATATGAACTTGGGGAGATACATTCAAACCATAGAATTTATGTTGTGTTTTGTTTGGTAATTTATTGGTGATTGATAGGGTGTTTTGTAGTTTAAAAGATTAGAATTTTCTATTTTTCCTTCTGTTAGCAATATCTAACCTCGTCTCCTTGTGGTCAGAGAAGATTCTTTGTATGACATGTATTTTCAAAAATATATAAAGACAACTTATGGCCTAACATATAGCCTATCCTGGAAAATGTTCCATATGCATTTGAGGAGAATGTTCTATTATTTTTTTGGGTAGAGTGTACTGTATATATCTGTACAGTCTGCCCAATAGTTGGTCTATTGTGTTGTTCAAGCCCTCTATTTCCTTACTTATCTTCTGTGTGGTTATTTTATCCTTTATTGAGAGTGAGGTATTGAAGCTTCTATTATTTAGACCTTTCTACTTCTTCTCTCAATTTTGTCCATTTTTACTTCATATATTTTGATGGTCTGTTATTAGGAGGATAAATATTTCTAATCTGTATATCTTTGCTGTATTTAACTTTTTACTAATATGTCTTGCGGGTTTGTTACATAGGTAAATATGTGCCATAATGGTTTGCTGCACCTATCAACCCATTACCTAGGTATTAAGCCCTGCATGCATTAGCTCTTTATCCTGCTGCTCTCCCTTCCCTCCTGCCCCCCTCCACAGACCCCACTGTGTGTTGTTCCCCTCCCTGTGTCCATGTGTTCTCATTGTTCAGCTCCCACTTATAAGTGAGAACATGCCATGTGATGTTTGGTTTTCTGTTCCCGTGTTAGTTTGCTGAGGATAATGGCTTCCAGCTCCATCCATGTCCCTGCAAAGGACATGATCTTGTTACTTTTTATGGGTGCATAGTATTCCATGGTGTATATGTACCACATTTTCTTTATCCAGTCTATCATTGACGGGGCATTTGGGTTGATTCCATGTCTTTGCTATTGTGAATAGTGCTGCAATGAACATATGAATGCATGTATCTTTATAATAGAATGATTTCTATTCCTTTGGGTATATAACCAGTAATGGGATTGCTAGGTTGAATGGTATTTCTGGTTCTCACTTTCTTAATCTGAAAATGGAAATAATAGTGTTCAGCAATAAAGCTGCTGAGGGTTTATTAGATTAAATGGTTTTGATTTTCTGCCCTTATCTTCAGGTATATAAAGCCAGAGTGAAATCTTAAAACTATCCCAAAGCAGGATCCTAGGGAGAGGGCAGTTACTGGGCTGTGGTAAGTCCAGTGTTGAGAGAAAAGCTAGGACAACTGAAGAACTAATGAAAAACAAGGATCGATAGCATTTCCTGGAATAATATCTGAATATCAGTTGCTCCTCTAATATCAAATATTTTCATGTATAACCAAATAGATAATGTCATGTTTTAAGATAAAACTGGGTTTGATCTACTTCTAAACACAACTGTGTTACAATGTTATTAATAGAATTGTATAATGGAATCTCAGTATTTTTAGAGACACTGTAGAGAGATAAATTGTATTTCCCATAAGGAAGAAGATTGCTGAGATAATCCCCAAACGTCAAAAACTGAGAAGGAAAGGTGGAATCTAATAGATTTATAGCCTGTGAATCATTGCCCAGTTTATATTCACTCAGTATGTGTCAATATGTTACCTTCCTTACAGCAGAGAGCCCTTCTAACAGAGAATATTACAGTTTCTGCAAGGACAATCAGTATCTTTTAAAGTTTTATTTTCGTACTTGTGTTGGGTGAAAAATAGGTATCTATATGTGACTCTAAAAAATATTAAATAATGCAATTTCTCACATCTCAAATTTATGGAAGCCAAAGTCAGTCACTCAAAAATATAAATTTTAACTTGCGTTGACAAGGTACTTTGTTATGAAGGATTCATTAATTAAACTACAGTTTATCCACCTAATGCGATCCTGGGTAGCTGAGTTATCTATGTATGGATGTGAGGAAAAAATAAAGAATAAAATGTTAAATAAAAAATCGTACTTTACTGATAATAATGTACTGTATCTTTTTAAATAAAGGTAATGGAAATTAAGAATATGTATTTTCATGTGAATGTGTACAACTAAAAGACAATAAGTGAATACATTTTTAAAACTAATAAAATAAGTTACCTATCTGAGACCGAGCTAAAGAGGTAGACAGGAACGCAAATGGAATAAAGCATTCTAAATTTACATATATATTTATATTTATATATTCTGATTTTTGAAATATTACCTATTACAAATCTTAACTTAAAAAAAGTAGTTATTCAATACCTTTTGGGTGTATTAACTAACTCAGTAAAACAATAAAAATATTGTTCTTGAATGTTTCATTAATACCATGTGATTTGCTTTAAAATTTTCATCTAGAATAAATGTCCACTGTAATTTATCCCTGATAATTGTCTTATAAGGTTTCTTTACTTTTGCCATTGTTATCACTGAAGTGGCTTATTGAAAGAAAAAAATAAAGACTCTTATTTATTTGTCTAAATTCCTCAAAAAGGCAAATTAATATTTTAGATATAGTTAGTGTTTACTTTGTGCATTTACTTTAGCTTAAAACCTAAGGCCATGTTGGATGGCAATGAGTCAAACTTATTTTGAATTCATTTCTATTTAATCTGAACAAATGTGTATTTAGCATGTAATATGCACTTATGAATCTTATACTTTGGTTGTGTGTGAGGGTGAGACGATTAACAAGAAAAACAATAAATAAGTCAATTATACAGTGTTAATATTAAGTAAGTCTCAGAGGAAAATGAAAAAATAGTATCAGAGTTCAAGTTAAATTATTCAGAGTGCCAGTCAGTGTGAGTGTGGGGGTGAGGGGTTGATTAGATTTTTAAATATGTTGGCCAGTGTAGACGTCATTGAGACAATAATATTTGAGCAAAAACTTAAAGGAGATGAAAGAAATCGCCAAATTGATATTTGGGGAAAGAATATACCAGACAGATAATATTAGTTATCTATAGCTTCAAATAAATCCACCTCATAAAGCAATTAATATGGTTCATTTTAGTTGTTTTACTGCATTTTCATGTCAATAAAAGAAAGCTTCTAAAACTCTCCCTTCCCTTTTTTCTTTCCTTTCTTTTTTCTCTTTCTCTTTCTTTTCCTCCTCCTTCTCATACTGTATGTGTGTTACATACTGCAACATGCTAAGCACCCAATAAGGAGGGATTTGGAAAGATAAGATGCAGGGAAATAGAAGAATATATGAAAATGGTATGATGAATTAATTCAAGTAGTTTATTTTTAAACAAGACAGATGTGAAGAAGTTAAGAAATTAATCAGACAGAAATTAGAATTAACACATCTTTTAAATCTCAAGATTCAGTGTAAAGATTCAGTGTAAAGCATTGCTCAGGATTCCATTTGATACATTTTTATTAAAGGGCTAAATGGATTTGTCACCAAGAGATATTCTGCAGAATCACTCTAATACATGTGTGGTTATAATAATAAAAAAAAAGACAAGAGTGACTTATATTTGCTGCATTGGACCTTATTTCCTTGTATTTTTAAATCATAAAGTGTGTCTGCAATTCAAAGGAAAATAAAAACTACATATATTTTCTGTCACCTGATTCTCAAAATATTTTCACTTGATTGTCCTTGATCATTCTCTGTTGTTTGAATAGAAAAATATACCAACTTTTGCATGCTTATGTCTCTTAAAATATTATCAACAGTTTGAGAACAAGACATTTCATACTATTAAATAATATAGTGTTCAGTATACTTGCACATTTTCATCTTAAATTAGTTTAGTTGGTAATCTCTTGGTTTTTTATTTTGCTTTTCTGATCTTTTCTTAGATTACGATGGCATCCAGTTTTAATTACTAGGATTTAGGCTTGCAGGATCCAGAAGGAAGGGCAGCTGTTGAAGTGCCGGTAGGATTAATCTGAAGACTAGAGAAAAATCCATCTTAAGTTATTTCTTAAAACAATCTAAGAGAAAATCAAAGTACACTGAAGAAGTTCTCATTTTAGAAGATAACTGGCTTCCATTCTTAAAAGTGAGAAATAAAATATGGAACAATTTTAGAGAAACTAGCTTGCATATTTGCTGAAGTACTCTCGTATCAAACTAGAACAGATTCATAGTAAGGGGCTCAAAAACAGATTCTGGATAAAGGTATAAATGTTAACATATTTTTATTTTTCAGTTTGAAATTGCAAAATAATATCACATCCCCTGACATCCAACTATATACCTGAACAGGCATCACTGATATTAAAGCACATTTGGATTATCTTCAAAATTTATTTAATGGAATTCATTTTATGTTTAACTGGATTTAATGCTAATGGTAATCTTATAGCACACATGTTTGTGAAGAATTTTATTTTTATTTATTTGAAGTTTGTGTACATAGTAAACAATTGTTTTAAGAAAGAATGAATCAGATATGTTTGGATACTGTAGAGGTATTGTTCTTGTGTTTATTCATGAATGACAACCTGATTGGCATAGAAGTATTGACTCATACTTCTTTGTCATCAAACTCTGAACTGGTGAATCCTTTGTCTTTTAAAATTTAGTGTTAAGAATCTAAAGCAGGCATGATTTTGGCTCTTTTGTGGCTATTTTTTTTCTAGCTTTTTTTTTTCCCTGTAGAATTCTATTTTTTCGTTCTAGTGTGAGGAGAACACTTAAAATTGAGATCTAACCTCTTAACATTTTTTGAAGTGCACAATACCATATTGTTAACTATAGGCACTATGTTGTATAGCAGATTTCTGGAACTTATTCGTCTAACATGACTAAAACTTTACACCTGTTAAAGAGCAATTTTCCATTTTTCCCTCCACCCAGCCCTTGGCAACTACCATTCTGCTCTCTGTTCATGAGTTTGACTATTTTAGATACCTCATGTAAAGGAATCGTGGTGATTTCCTTCTGTGATTGTTGGATCATATGATAATTCTGAAGTGAAACTGTAAGACTACTAGAAGGAAACATGGGAAAAGCTTCATGACATTGGGCTTGGCAATGATTTCTTGGATATGACAGCAAAAGCTCAAGTAACAAAAGCAAAAATAGACAAGTAGAACTACATCTGCTATGGTTTGGGTCTGATTTGTCCCTGCCAAAACTCACATGGAGATGTAATCCCCAAGAGGCAGTGTTGGGAGGTGAGGCCTACTGAGAGGTGATTGAGTCATGGGGGCAGAACCCTCATGAACAGATTCATGCCTGCCTGCCAGGGCAGTGACTGAGTTATCACTCTTGGGAATGGATTAGTTCCCAGGAGAGTGGGTTGGTAAAAAGAGTCCAGCTTCCTCTACTTCTTTCTTCTGCTTCCTCTCTTGCCACAACCACTACTGCAGGACAATTATAACTCCTTTCATGAATATAGTGGTTTAATTGATGCTGGTATGATGAATTAATTCAAGTAGTTTATTTTTAAACAAGACAGATGTGAAGAAGTTAAGAAATGAATCAGACAGAAATTAGAATTAACACGTCTTTTAAATCTCAAAAGTCAGTGTCTTTGTGAGGCAAGGCAATGGTAATTAGCAGGAGTGGATGAATATATGAAAGAAAACGCAAAATCCATCGGAAAAGAAAACTTACTGATTTTTTTTCAGTTTATTTAGATGTCGAGTGTTAAATGAGAAAACATGACTTTTTATTTATGTATTTGGTATAAATTCATCCTTTGTTTATTATATAATATTATAACAATGAGCAAATTTTAAAGCTGATTCTATCACTTATTTTTTGACTTTGGACAAGTAATTACCATCTTTCAGCCACTTTAATCATCTGAAATAGAATCTTCACATAGTTTTTGTCTGGATGAAACGAGACAAAGGCTGTAAAAGCTAAAATATAATTATCTAGTACCTGTGCTCAAAGGGCAGCAGATTCACTAATTGAGAACCTTCATTGTGACACATACTGTTCTAGATACTCAAGAGGAAAAGGTAAAAGGTGAGTAAGACATGTTTTTATTCATGTCTTTTAAAGATCCCACAATCTATCAGAAGAGACAGAGAACTACTCAGAACATTAGAGTAAATGAGGTATGTGCCAGGAAAGATACATGAACAAAGTGTTATGGGAATGTGGAAGGAAAGACTAATTCACCTCACGAGAAGTCAAAAAGAGGTTTTATAGGAGTGATGATTTCTGAGCAAAATTGAGCCTTGTAATTTTCCAGGTCAAAACATTTCAACAGAACAGTCTAAGGAGAGATTCACAGTATTATTGGTTAAACAAGTGCAAACGTGGAAAGACATGAAGCTAAAAGACTGCATTGAAGTATTACTTTTCTGGATTATATCTGGGGATAAAATCTTTTGCATTCTTTGCTTTCCTGGCTTTGCCCACAGTCACAGAGCAACCTCCATGTTTTCAGTTGAACCCAGAGGGCCACTTTCACTCAGTGCCCTGCTGAGTCATCTCATTAGGCAGCTGTGCCATTTCAGAGCTGGGTACAAAGATGTGGGTGGTTGTGTAAATGATGTGGAAGGGTGACCAGATGTATACCAACTAAGTTAGTGCCCAGGAGAGCCAAATGATGATGTCAGTTGGAAGATTTGTTTTAATGAATGAATAGACAGACAATAACCAATGCATGTATTTAAGAGCTTGACAGAACAAGCTATCATATCCAGCATTTGACATTGAACCAAATTGGCTCCACACTTGTACATCTGTGGTTATTTCACATCATATGACTCATATAGACCATAGCACTTCCTGATCAAAACACATAGAGTAGTTGAATGGATAAAAATGCCAGATGCAATTATATGTTGTCAAGAAGAGACTCACTTTTGATGTAAAGACACATATAGGCTGAAAGTGAAAGAGTGGAAAAGGATATTCAATGCAGATCATAACCAAAAGAAATCAGGATTAGCAATACGTACATCAAACCAAATAGACTTTAAGACAAAAACTATCGCAAGAGACAACAAAAGGACATTGTATAATAAAAGCGTCAATTCACTAAGAAAACACAGCAATTATAAAATGTATGCAACTAACTTTAGAGCACCCAAATATATGATGTAAATATTGGCAAAATTGAAGGGTAAAAAAGACTGTAACACAATAATAGTACATGTCAATACTCTTTTTTCAATAATGGATAGAATAACTAGTGAGATGATCAATAAGGAAATAGAAATCCTAAACAATAGTATAGACCAAATGGACCTATCATACACATATAGAACATTCCACTCAACAGCAGGAGAATATTTTTCTCAGATAACATTATGCTAAATTTAAAAAGCCAACCACAAAAGACAAATAATGCATGATTTCACATATATGAGTTATCTAATGTAATCAAACACACAGAAACAGAAGTAGAATGCTGGTTGCTAGGGCTTGGGGCAAGGGGTAATGAAGGATTGTACAATAGCTATAGCATTTCAGTCATACAATATGGAAAAGTTCTAGATATCTGTTGTACAACAATGTGCATATAGTTAACAATACTGTACTATAACTTAAGAGGGTAAATTTATGTTACGTGTTTTTTGATCAGAATAAAAAAAGAATTTGCTAGAGCATACTGATATATAGAAAGAAAGCCCAGAAAATTTCGTATTCTAGCTAATGCTTAAATCACATTCAATTAAAAATTTTGTCACATTGAAAATAATTATATCCTAAAACCTAGACATATTATTTCTAGATATTTATAGTGGATAGGTGGAATTTGATGAGATTGAGAAATAGAAATAAAAGAGAATAAACAAGTAAGGTAAGGAAACCTTGCATAGGCTGATGATGTAAATGGGCCATGAACCGAGGATGGAAGTGAACTTTGCAATGAAAGAGAGAGTGAGTGAGAGAGAGGGAATGAATTTGAAAGCAATGTAAAACACAATCAGTCCTGAGGCATACAATATAATAATTTTCCAAGTAAACACACTGTATCAAGCCCAAACTACTCCAAATATATATGGGTATTTTCCATTCCCTCAGTTTCAATAGCTCTCTTAGTACACTAATTTCTAGGGCTTCTCTAAGTACGTGAGTGAGAGCAGTGTTTACCAGGTCTTTGGTAATATTGCAAGGCAGTATCTGCTGGTCTCCACGGTAAATATTCCAACTAGATTATTTTTTCTAGATCTAGCCTAAAGCCAATAAGACTACTGATACTTTTTGGTAGCATTTAACAGAAGAGCTCGGTAAGTAGGTTTTCACTGTTACATGGAAGAGAAAAGAATACAGGCAAAACTAATATCCTATAATGTATTATACATAAGAAAAAATCATCCTCATTTTGTATAGCCTGGCCAAAAACTGACAGAATTAAAGTGAAAAATGTAAACATAAACATATGTTACAAATTAATTATAAAGATAAAATCAGAACATGGCTTATGTCTTTCTGGTTTGAGTAATGAACGATGCTTCTAGAATTATTTTTTTAAAGGTTGTCTAATCAATAGCCTCATTCATATGTTCTCTTTTAGCACTGATTTTTGAGTTGCCTAGTGTAAATGGAGAAGTCCTGATAATTTCCTATGTTTCTGGGTCAGTGACTTACTTTTTTCTGCAATGCACATTAGTTAAAATTATCCAAAGACATTTTTTATATAGTTCCAGATCAGTCAGACAGTTAAAGAAGTATGATGTGATTGGAAAGATTCCCCAATATACTGGTAAGTTTAAAAAGCAAATTCTTGAGGGATTTGCATCATATAGTTCCATTTTGGGGGTAAAAATATGTACTTATAGGTTCTTAAAATTCTTGGAAGTAAATAAAACAAAATACTAAAAATGGTTATATCTGAATTTTTTGGATTATATATAATTTGTAATCTTTTATGTAGTAACCTAGATTATTTATATAAAATATATTTCTTTTTAGAAAATAAAAGGCAAGACCTATGTTAGTCTAGCATTTTTGTATATATAGGATAGTATTGCTAAAAGGTTTTGTAATATATACCTTCAAGAATAACAATAGAGACTTCTGTAATTTCTTAAGACTAAAAATAATATGAGAAATAAACTATATATTTAAATGCATTATGTCCTTGTATGGGAAGTGGAGGTATCTGTCTTAAAGAATTTGCCCTGATATTCTGATCAGATATATAGTAACAAATTATTGCCTAGAAGGACATTATGTACATGAACAAAACTAGGGCTGACAGTTTGTTCAGTTTGTAGCAGTTTGGAGAGTTTTATTTCAAGAAAAATAAACTGGGTTTTTTTACATTTTTTAAAATTGTACTTTAAGTTCTGGGATACATGTACAGAATGTGCAGGTTTGTTACATAGGTATACATGCGCCATGGTGGTTTGCTGCACCCATCAACCTGTCATCTACATTAGGTATTTCTCCTAATGCTATCCCTCCCCTAGCCCCCCACCCCCTCTAACAGGTCCTGTTGTGTTATGTTCCCCTCCTCATGTCCATGTGTTCTCATTGTTCAACTCCCACTTATGAGTGAGAACAATGAGGTATTTGGTTTTCTGTTCCTGTGTTAGTTTGCTGAGAATGAAACTCAGATCCAATGTGGCTGAAGAAATAAACAAGCCCAAAGGTAGGGCAGACTTAGGGATTTATTGATAAAAAGGGACCAAGAAGGGCATCAAGAACCCAGATTCTTTCTATCCCTAGGCTATGCCATTCTTAATGGAAATTTTTTCCTCACATGGATTGGAGGATGGCTGCAGCAGCTCCAGGCATCATAGCCTGATACAACAGGGTCCAAAGGCATTATATTGTCCAGCCCTACTTGTGGCTCTTTCTTGGACGTGAAGGAAAACTTTCCAAGAAGTGGCCAGAAAATTTCTCCACATCTCATTTGCCCTTCTTAAACCACTCCAAGAGTGGGGGTGAGTACTGACAATATCTCTGAAATGTATTGCTTACATATGGGCCCTGTTTGAAAAATTTGGAAGCCACTGAGTTACAAGATGAGTTCTTCATGTTACTATTTTCAGTTAGGGGTATAGTCAACATTTCTGTACATATCTCCCTGGGTGCTTATGTTAGTAGTATTAAAACTGATAGGCAGATAGCTAATGCTGCTAATGCTAACAGAGCAATTGTAACAATTTACACTCCACTTACCATTGTATCAAGACTCTATTGCCTCCAATTTTTACAAACACTTGGTAAAACAAGACTTTTAAAATTTTAACCCACTTGCTGTATAATGATAACTATTGCAATTTTGTTTTCCTGGATACTAATGAATACAAGCATCTCATTTCCTTTATTAGCCATTTGTTTGTTTGGTCTTTCAGTTCTATGTTGTATTTCTTCAAAGCCTTTGACCATTTCTTTATTGAGATGATTTCTCCTTACTTATTTGTAAGTTCTTCTGTATTTTCTAGGTTCCATATGCCATATATATTCGTATATATGCATATTATCTTTGTATATTTTCTTTTTTTCTTTTTTTGAGACAGAGTCTTGCTCTGTCGACCAGGCTGGAGTGCAGTGGCGCGATCTCAGCTCACTGCCACCTCCACCTCCCGGGTTCAAGTAATTCTCCTGCCTTATCCACCCAAGTAACTGGGATTACAGGCATGCACCACCACACCCAGATAATGTTTGTGTTATTATTAGAGACGGGGTTTCATCATGTTGGCCAGGCTGGTCTTGAACTCCTGACCTCAAGTGACCCACCTGCCTAGGCCTCCCAAAGTGCTGGGATTGCAGGCATGAGCCACTGCACGTGGCCTATACATTTTCTTATACTATCTTATTTATTTTAATTTTAAAAATTCCAGTAAGTAAAATTCACTTTCTGAAATAGAGTTCTATGCATTTTTAAACATTTATAGTTTTTTGTAGCTACCACTACAGACACAACAGAGAACAATTCTAGTATCACAAAGAATTCCATCATGCTACCCTTTTGTGTTCAGACCCTTCTTCCACCTCTAACCCTGGTAAACTGCTGATATATTTCCTGTTTTTATATGTGTGCCTTTTCCAGAATGTCATATAAGTGGAATCATCTATAGACAACTTCTTTGGGTTTGGTTTCTTTCAGGCAACAGAATGTATTTGAGATTCATCCATGTTGTGTGTATCAATAATTCATTCTTTTAAATTGCTGAGTAGTATTCCATTGGATGGGTGTATCATGGTGGGTTGACCAATTCACTTGAAGGACATTTAGATTATTTTCAATATTGATGATTGCAAATAATGATCCTACAAATATTAATTTATAGGTTTGTGTGAACAATACCATATGTTTTCAATATTCTGGGATAAAGACCTAGAAGTGGAATTGCTGGATCATATAATAAGTGTATGTTTAACTTTTAAAGAAACTCTTATGATGTATTTTGACGAAAATAAGTTTATAAATGTGAATTTGAGAATCTTACCTATTGGTGTTATGTGTCTTGTTTAATAAATTATTTCATTCCCTTGAAAGAAGAGGGATATCATGGAGATATTCTGCTATATTATTATCTAAAATCTTTATAATTTTGCCCTTCTTGTATAGATAGTTAAGCCACCTGGAATTGAAGTACAAAACTTCAAGGCCACCATCTCTTTAAATGTTCTGGCAATACATTGGGCTAATGTTTTGGTTTTACTTTTTGGCTATTTTCCCTATAATAATAATGTTTCTGTCCAATGCAAAAACTATTTTAAAGGGAAAAGACAGAACAAATGGGACTGTGAATCTCACAATATTATTGTCATTGAATTGAATTGAGTTGAATTAGAAATTCTTACAAGTGATTTGTTTATTTCTTTGGTTTTGTGTAAATATAATGATAGCGGATACAGTTATATACCTTTCAAGATAGGCAACAGAAGCATGACATCTTCAATTTGTATCTTTCCCAAGAAAAAATAGCATTAAT
Organism: Homo sapiens; assembly: GCF_000001405.40. Taxonomy (NCBI): domain Eukaryota; kingdom Metazoa; phylum Chordata; class Mammalia; order Primates; family Hominidae; genus Homo; species Homo sapiens. Next base: position 209,184,695 of record NC_000002.12, on the reverse strand, counting down.
AAAATAGCACTAGAAAAATAAGAAAGTCAGCAGGAATAAAAAAGTATGAACTTGATTGAAATTTAACAAAATCTGAATTGAGATTTAACAACAGCATGGAAAGAAGTTACTTTATCATCACCCTTTAAAGAGTTATCCAGTGTGAGACTGGTTTACAGCAATAGAATCTTTCCTAGTATTTGTCATGGATTTTTTTTTCATGAAGCATTTTGCTGACTTTATACCTTAGTATACAAACAGGGAAATGTTAAATCTGCAGCTCTCTCCATGAAACATCTTGAGGGCCATTTCTGACATCTTTCCAATGGAATAAAATGCTTCTTATCTTGAACTTGTTTTTGGGATCTATACTGCTTTCTGAATACAGTCTTCATAGATTGAGTCTCTTCAATAAATGGTGTTGGGAAAATGGGGTATGCATATGCAGAAGAAAGAAATTAGACCCTTATCTCACACCATATTAAAAAATTAACTCAAAATTAATTAAAGCCTTAAATGTAAGGCTTTTACATAGGCAAGTATAGGGGAAATGCTTCAGGATATTTGTCTAGGAAATGACTTTTGGATATGTTCTCCAAAGCATAGGCAGCCCAAACAAAAATACACAAATAGGATTATAGCAAACTAAAATTCCGCAAAGCAAAGGAAGCAGTCAACAGAGTGAAAAGACAATCTATAGAATAGGAGAAAATGTTTGCAAGCTATACATCTGATAAGGGTTAATGTCTAAAGTATGTAAGGAGCTCAACTTAATATCAAGAAAAAAAATCACCTGATATTAAAATGGGCAAAAAACCTGAGTAGACATTTCTCAGAAGAAGACGTATAAATGACCAACAGATACATGCAAAAATATTCAGCATCACTAATCATCAGGGAAAACAAATCAAAACCACAAGATATCATCTGAGACCTGTTAGAATGGGCATTAAAAAAAGACAAAAGATAACAAATGTTGATGAAACTGTGGAATTAAGGGAACATTATTCGCCATTATGGAAAGCAGTGTGCAGGTTCCTCAAAAAATTAAAATAAAACTACTGTATAATCCAGTTCTCTCACTACGGGGTATGTATCCAAAGGAAATGAAATCAGTACGTTGAAGTGATATCTGCACTCCAATGTTTATTGCAGCACTATTCACAAAAGGATATGGAATCAGCCTGAAGTGTCCATCAGCAAATAAATAAAGTATGATATGTATACACAATGGAATACTATTAAGCCATAAATAAGAAGGAAATCCTGCTATTTAAAATAACATGGGTGAACCTAGAGGACATTATGTTAGGTGAAATAAGTCAGACATAGGAAGACAAACACCTCACAATTCACTCATATGTGGAATCTTAAAAAGTTGATCTCATAGAAATAGAGAGTAGGATGGTGGTTACCAGAGGCTGAGCTGTTGTGTGTTGGTGGGGAGAAGGGGCAGTTGGGGAGATGTTAGTCAACGGATACAAAATTATAGTTCAATAAAAGGAATAAGTTCACGGGATCTATTAAACAGCATGCGGACTAGAGTTAATTATGATATGGTGTATTCTTAAAATACATAATCACATCAGAGTGGATATTAAGTGTACTTACTACAAAAATGATTATTTGAGGTAATCCATATTTAATTAGCTAGATTTGGCTATTTCACTATGTATATATACTTCAAATCATTATGTTATATAAAACAAATACATAAAATTTTATCTAAATAAATAGATGAAATACATAAATAAGTTTGAAAAAAATTATTTCTCACTCTTCTAAAGGCTAGAAGTTCGAGGTCAATGTGCTAGCAGTTTCAGTGCTTGGTGAAGGTTTGGTCTTTGCTTTCTTTTTTTTTTCCAAAGTCTGTGAAATTTTATTTATACAAAAGAATAAAAATAGCTATTTAAAAATGATTGATTTAAACATATTTTTCCATTTTTCCTGTTCCTTGAACATGAATCTGCTTCCAACTCAGAAAGATTTAAGATAGGTAATTACTAAATACTTCCCTTGCAAAAAAACAAAGAGCCGAGTTTCCCATTTTACTTATGATAAACCAGATTATTTTCAGTTGTGAATATTGGGAACTGCATGAAAGAGATGATCAGATATGTCAGCAGGAAGGTATGAGCTGTACAAAGGCATTACAAAAAGACCCCAAAGAAAATAAGGTGATAAAACAAGAGAAAAATAAGAAAACACAAAGCAATATAAGAAAATGCCAGATATTTATAGCCTTCATCTGAAATGTAACTTGTGTTCTACTTTCAGCATAAAACAAAACCAGAGAACATTTCTTGATGCATATCACAGATGAAGCTGGTACCAGCCACTTTAGGGGGAGACATTCATCCTAAGAAGGGAGAAATGTACAGTTAGCAACTTCCTGGGATTATATATGTCTTGATCTTCCTGCAGTTCTGTTACTAAAAGTGACATAAAGTAAATGATCCAATGTATTATGGAAATGACTTGTTTGTCACCACATTTAGAACAAACTACTCAAAGTCACAGGCACTGGGTCTGGGAGAGCAGAGGTGGATGGCCACGAACTCAGGTGAAGGATGTTTATCTTTGTGAGGCCAGAGAAGGGAAGCAGGGCTCTACAGCCTGGAAACTTCTGCACTAATGTATCTTCTAATAGTCAGCTCATGGTTTTTTGTTTAACTTCAGATCAATCCTGTGTCGGTTTTTTATTCTTTCACTTTTTATGGCTGCTGTGGTGACTCCCTGAGGAAGTAGAGGAAGCAGCCTTCTGAGGTTTCATTCCCTGCACAGATCCACCCAGATCCTCAGGGTCCTCCTGGCTGGGCTCATTTTCCTGATTGTGGAAGTCTGGAGAATGTCACTTTCCATCCCACTTCTTGGCTCCCTCTTTCCTTCCTTCCTTCCTTTCTTTCTTTTTTTTGAAATTTCCACCTTTATTTTTCTTTCATGTGCATAGAAAATGGCAGCGAAGTGTCCTATGAACGAGGCAAGGAATGGGCATGGCACTGCAGTACCAGCCTGGACGTTGTGCTTCCAAAGTACACTATGCAAGGTGGAGACAAAGGGTGTCGCAGTTTGTTTTTAATCTCTCACAGTTCCTTGGGCTTCCCATTTGTTTTTGAAGTTGTCAGTTTCTTCAAATCTCTCTTCAAGTGACACACTGCATTACAAATGATGGCGCTTAACCAATGTGGCATTTCCATATTTACACCAACAAAAGAAATTTACAAGACATAATAGCATACAATCTTGACATTTAGTAATAGCAATAAAACATGGGCATCATTTTATTTTTTCTGTACAAACTATCAGAACATGACTTTATTTACATTAAAAAATCATCTTTAATTTGATTTGATCTACACATCCCCATTTCATTTCACCCATTTCTCAAACCTCTCATCACGTCACCCACACCTTCACCAGACTACAGAATCTACAAGTAATTAGATCTAACACCTAAATAGAGCTTAGAAAGTCCTCTCCCAAATGTTTCCTCACTTCCCTGATAATTCCTTAAAAAAGAAAAAAAATGCACTTCACTCTTTCCTTCCACGTCACTTTCACATTTCAATCACCAAATCAGCAAGATGGACTTTTCATCTCAATCCAAACAAGGTTAAAAAGAAAGAGTTCTTCTGTTGGGTGTCTTGATGCTGCAGCCATGAGTCTGGGGATCCTGGGTACTGTTCTGCTCTGTAAGAAGGTCGTTTAATGGAATAAAAGTCTACATAATTTGTGGTCGATTTCAGTCCATACTTGTTGACTAATCAGTAGAAGCTGGAAAGTGAACTCAGTCATCAAAATAAGGGTCTTCATAGCTATGAGGAGACTGCAAATACAATCTGTATGAATCAAAGTTATTTTGTTGGAGTTATCTTGACTATAATACAGCTGTTGATGCTGTAGCTGTCTATTTAGTTCTCTTGCTGGTGAGGAATATGAACTGATGTAAATTGGTGAAGGTTTGCTGGAGCCTGACTGAATGATGGGTGACATCTTTTGGTTGGTGGTAGACAAGGAAGGATGTGATTTGAATCAGTCTTGCTCCAATGTCGACACAGGTGTAATAAAATGGTTCTGATTACACCCATCCTTTTTATAAATGCTCCAGAGGTCCCGATATTGCCATAATGTATTCAAGACCTGGGCTACTGCCTTCACTACTTTCAGAGATGATCTGTCGCCCCTGCCTTTGGTTATGTTCACTAGTTTCTTTATGCCTCCCGAGTTGGCCAGGGCTTTGGCTTTCTCCATGTTTTTGCTGGTGACCTCGTGCAGAGCACAGCAGATGGCTGCATGGACTCATCAGACAAGATACTGGGGCCATTGCCACAGAGAAGCTGGTTGACCAGGTCTTGCATGGTGTATTTGCCTATGAGCTCCTTGTTGCGAACATCTAGTGTCATCTTCCTCAAGGCAGTTGCCATGGAAGAAACAACTCTATCGTTATCCATTCTCAGAAGTTCCACAAGGATGGGGAGCCCCTTTTATTTTCGGATGGCTGCCCAGATATATCCTGAAAACTTACAGTTGCCAGCAGAGAGGTTCTGGAGAGATCCGGCAGAGCCTTCCAAGGTGGCTGGGTTGGAACTTTCTGCTAAAAGAGTCAGATACAGCTTCACCACCGATGGGTGCTACAGCATCTCAGCCCCTTTGGGGGACTTCGACAGTGCTGGGATAGGACCGACTTCATCCTATTGATCTTCTTGTGGAGTCCTCTTTTTCTTTTTCTTTTTTCTTCCCCCAGCAGGTTGGCTCAGAGTCTTCGCTGGGAAACTTTTTCTAGTAAGTCATCCCATTCGTTCAGTCCCAGTAACTGGGCCTGGGGCACCTGCAGCTCCAGCCAATAGGACAGGTTCCTCAGGGTGCACACGCAATTCTCCATCTTGCTGTCGTAATCGGATGTGTTCATACACGTGTAGGTTACATGCAACAGCGAGTCCACCAGCCCCTCACAGGCCCGCATTTGCTTCCGAGCTTCTTACCCCACAGAGCTGAGGTTCCTCAGGCAACCTGTTGTACTACGCAGAACTAGTGAAGTCTGAAATTTAATTTTATGGCCATCATCAAAAGAAGAGTTATTCCATCCAGAATGTGGAACGATCACATTGTTTGTTAAAGTTGAGAGAACATCTCGAATAATTGTCATTTTTGCAGCATCACGTGAGGATAAATTCCAAAGAACTCCTGTAACAAGCTCCCTTATTTCTGCATCAATATTGATTTTCTCAACAGTCACAACAAGGCAGATATCTCACCAACATCCTTCATTGTTATTTTATTTTCACCTGTAGACTTGCCGAAAAAGAGATTTCGAAGGGCATCACAAGCATTCTTCTGAACTTCCAAAACTCTGTGGCCCAAAAGGTAAACCAGAAGCTTGATTCCCCATAACCTACACACCTTCATCTTCACGTTGTTGTCACCAAACCACAGGTGCTGCAGGTAGGCTGCTGCATTTGCCTGAACAGATGGGAACTGGTGCTGAAGGATGTGAATGACCTCAGGCAACTCAGGATCACGCCAGGCAAACTCGCTGGGGTCCTTCTGAATGCTGTCTATTGATGGGGATCTTGTGGTGCCATCATTAGCCGGCACTGCGTGCTGAAGCCTGTTATAATTACACTATTGCACTTGGTATTGTATGGGCCTGGAGGGCTCCGCATAGGTAGCTGTTGTATTCAGAGCATAATTATTTCTTTGGTATGTACGGGTACTTCATTGGCTGGACATCCTTTGTAGATTTCCAATACCTACTGCTGGCTCCCTCTTTTAAATGAGCTAGTCCTGAACTCCTGCCAATGCACTTAATGCAGCTGCTGAGGTAACTGAGGATTTACTGAAGAACCGCTTAGCTTCCTTAAACTTCTGGTTCCTTCTATCATTTTTGCTATAGGAGTTTTTTCGGTTGGTCAGATACCGATCCCAGTCAGGAGTAATATTGCCATACATCTGAGTGTCTTCCAGGTAGCTTCCCTCAAAAGCATAGATCTGTCACTCCAAGTTTGCCATTGTTTCCCATGAAGGCTATGCCCTTATGACTTACTCACCTCCTAAGGGCCACATCTCTTAATGCTTTCACATTGGCCACTGTATTTCAACACATGATTTTGGGGACACATTCAGACTATAGCATATCTATTCTTGCATTTCATATATCACTCTTGAGACTGAACATTCCACCATGCCTATAACTTAAGTGAAGGTTGAAATATGATGGCTGGTGGACTAGCTCTCTGAGAAACGTGCAGAGGATAAGAAATTACTCTATTTTTATCACTCTCTAGACCTAGGATCATTCTAAAATTGAATGGAAAATAGTTGGGTGACAACTATATTCCCCTTTCTAAAGAATTCTAAACATGTTTGAAGATAACTGGTTAGAAAACAAGACTAGAATGAAAGTGGATGAAACCATAACAGAGACATATAAAAACCATTAAAAGTTCTTAGAGAATTTATAACTAAGTCTTCAAAAGCAATTGCAACAAAAACAAAAATTGACAAGTGGGACCTTATTCAACTAAAAAGCTTCTGCACAGCAAAATAAACTACTGATAGAGTTAAACAGATACCCTTCAGAAGGAAAGAAAATATTCACAAACTGTGCATCTGACAAAGGTCTAATATCCATTATCTATAAGGAACTTAATTCAACAAGCAGAAAACACATAACCACATTAAAAAGTGGGCAAATTACATGAACAGACACTTCTCAAAAGAAGGCATAAAAGTGTCCAGCAAACATGAAAAAGCGTTTCACATCACTAGTGATCGGAGAAATGCAAATCAAAACCACAGTGAGATACCATCTCACACCAGTCAGAATGGCTATTAATCAAAAGGCAAAAAATAACATACTGGCCAGGCTGTAGAGAAAAGGGGACACTTATACACTATTGATGGGAATACAAATTAGTTCAGCCACTGTGGAAAGCAGTTTGGAGATTTCTCAAAGAACTTAAAACAGAACTACCATTTGACTCAGCAATCCCATTACTGGATATATAGCTAAATGAAAATAAATCATTCTCCCAAAAAGACACATGTACTTGTGTGTTCACTGCAGTACTATTGACAATAGCAGAAACAAGGAATCAACCCAGGTACCTATTAATGGTGGATTGGATAAAGAAAATATGGTACATATACACCATGGAATACTACACAGCTGTAAAAAAGAATGAAAGCGTGTCCTTTTCAGCCACGTGGATGCAGCTGGAGGCTATTATCCAAAGCGAACTAAAGCAGAAACAGAAAATCACATACTTCCTGTTCTTACTTATAAGTGGGAGCTACACAGTGAGTACACATGACATAAAGATGAGAACAGTAGACACTAGAGAATACTAGAGGGGAGGAGGGGGAGAAAGGGTTGAAAAACTACTTACTGGGTACTATAGTTACCACCTGGGTGATGGAATCATTCATATCCTGAGTCTCAGTGTCATGCAATATACCCAGGTAACAAACCTGCACATGTACCCCTGGATCTAATATAAAAGCTGAAATTCAAAAAAAATTCTTTAAATAAGTGTTTTTTTAACCCACTTTCCCCTCTCTTTCTTTCTTCTACTTGTTTTACTTTTCCCAAAGACTTAAATGAGTTCTTGTCTTTCATAATGAAACGTAATTTTTTCACTTTTTTATTATTTCAAAGTTAATAATTTTTAAATGTATTTAAACGTAAAATTGAAGGTTGTGTGATACTACTTATATTTGTTCAACTGAGGCCTCTATGCCTGAAATTCTGTGTGTGGGAAGAACACACTGTCAAAAGGGTAGAATAGCGAATCAATGTGGGAAGGCTGAAAATTCTCTGAATCTATCAAAATGTCACAACCAAATTAGGTTTAATTAAAAGCTAAAAAAAAAACCCAATGTTGAATCCCACAAAATTGTTTTAGAAGATTACTCTTTGCAATATTAGTACTCAGTATTTTAGCTTCTTTCTAATCCATGTTACAAACCTGAATTTCAACTATGATGGATGCTTGCCTTTTTGTGAGAATAGGATACTGGAAATATCTGGAATTTCATAACTAGAGATTTAGTATGTTATCCACCTCTGATGGGATGCTCTTGACTCAACTGGTCAATAAAAGTCAGAGAATGTTCTCTGGGTAAGATTGGGGGCACTTACAATATAGTAGCCTTGCCATCAATGCTTTTTTTTTCTCCTTCTGCCTCACTCGGTTCTCACATACTACAAAATAATAGGATGGATCAATGCAATGACCATAAGATCATTATTCACACTGCAGATTCCTCAATAGCAGGAAGCACACATCATCATATTTGTATCCCCTCAGCTTGCACCAATGAAGGAGTAAATAAAATGCTAAAAAAAATCCCAAGAAGAATATAAGTACTAAAAATACAAATAAGTATAATATTTAGCAATATCCCTCTTTACTTTTTCAATGGAACTGCATTTTAATAAGATCCGTAGTATCCTCATATGATTTGGGGAATATCTGATAAAACAACATTTGACACACTTTTGCAATGCCTCCTTCACTTGGCTTCTAAGATAATACTCTCTTCCTTCCCTCCTCCTCCCTCCATCTATTCTCAGTCTCCTCTGCTGACATTCCCTCATCTCCCTGCCTCTATACATTGGAGAAGCCAAAGAAGTAAATCCAAGATTTCTTTTATTTTCTATTTAGTCTCACTTTCTTGATGCTATGACTCTAAATACTATCTACATGCTGATGACTGTCAAACTTACATTTCTAACGTGAGCTTCCCTCTTGAACTCTTGATTCTTAGAGGGAAAATTGACTGCTTAACATCTTCATTTAGATGTCTAACACACATCTTGAACCTACCATTTCCTAACCAGAACAGTCTTCATCTTTCAATACAGGACAACAATGTTCTAGTTGCTAAGGCAAAAAACTTTGTCCTCCTTAATGTCACAATTTCTCTTTCTCCCTCCATTCAAACCCACAGCAAATTCTGTAGCATTACATACAACATATCATGCATTCATTTCCTGTGTTTGTGCAGTAGACTTTTGACCTCACCACTTGGATCTTGCAACACTAATGTCTTTTCTATAGATAGCAGCAGAGTAGTGCTGCTAAAATATGTTAATCCGTGACAATTCTCAAATCAAAACTCTCTAGAGCTTTTCCATAGCATGCAGAATGTAAACCAAAGTCCTCATAGTGGTTGAATTTTCCTACTGATATGGGCCCAGTCTTATCACTGATTTCCTACAACTTTCTTCTTTGCTCACTCCACTCCAACCATACTGGTCTCCTTTCTGTTGTTCTAGAATAATAGGTAAGCTTTTACCCAAAGCCTTTTTACTCGTTTCTTTGGCTAGAATCCCTCCCTCAAGTCTCCATTTAATTCACTATGTCTCTTTCATCAGGCATACTCAACATCCACCATCTCAAAGAAAATATCCCTAGACATCCTTAACTAAAAGTGCAACTCTTTCCCATGCCCTAAACAACTAAAAAAGTTACTATCCCATTTTCCTTCTTTATTTTATCTGAAAGAATTTACCAACATCTAAAATACCATATGGTTTACTCACTAATCTTGTTTGTTGCATTTTCCCCACTGCATCATAAGGTTCATGTCATATGGCTGTCCTAGGGTAAGGCCAGCAAGGCATCTAGGTTGCAAAATTTAAGGAGACAGTCACTCTCAGGTCATGCAAGTGCATTCATGCTTGTCACAGACCTGCTTTCATAAAGGCAAAGATTTTAACTTATTTATTAACTGATACTTTCAAAATGCCCATCATAGCGCCTGACATATAGTGGATGTTTACTAAATACTTACTAACTTAATGTATCTCAGATACTTAATAATAATTTTAGAAAACCCAGTATGTCCCAATTAGTATCTACTGATCAGTATTAGAATTTAATAAGAACTTAATCTGCAGTGACCCACTTTAGTTAAGTTCTTTCACATTAACAGGTCGTAAAATGCCTGGTAAAATACAGACGTTCACCTTTTTCTGCAGAGCATATGTTTCAAGACCACCAGTGGATGCCTGAAACCATGGATAGTACCTATATATACTATGTTTTTTTCTTATACATGCATACCTATGATAAAGTTTGATTTAAAAATTTGACACAGTGAGACATTAACAATAATTATTACTAAAATAGAACAATTATAACAATATACCTTAATAAAAGTTATAAAAATAAAAGTTTAATAAGTTATAAAAATAAAAGTTATTTGGTCTTTCTCTCTCTCAAAATACCCTTTTTTTTTTTTTCCTGAGTTGGGGTCTCGCCCTGTCACCCAGGCTGGAGTGCAATGGCGTGATCTCGACTCACTGCAAACTTCACCTCCTGGGTTCAAATGATTCTCCTGCCTCAACCTCCCCTCCCAAGTAGCTGAGATTACAGGTGCCCACAGTCATGCCCAGCTAATCAAAATATCTTACTGTAATGGACTAACCTGTTTCCAGACTGTGGTTGACCCCAGGTAACTGAAACCACAGAAAGAAACTGTGAATAAGGAGGGGCTGCTGTATTAAAAACTTACCTATGGTTGGGTGCAGTGGCTCATGCCTGTAATCCCAGCACTTTGGGAGGCCGAGGTGGGCAGATCATGAGATCAGGAGATCAAGGCCACCCTGGCTAACACAGTGAAACCCCGTCTCTACTAAAAATACAAAAAAATTAGCCAGGCATGGTGGCGGGCACCTGTAGTCCCAGCTACTTGGGAGGCTGAGGCAGGAGAATGGGGTGAACCCGGGAGGCGGAGCTTGCAGTGAGCGGAGATCACGCCACTGCACTCCAGCCTAGGTGACAGAGCAAGACTCCATCTCAAAACAAACAAACGAACAAAAAAAACTTACCTATGTAGGCATATGTTTACACTCAATTTAGAAATGGAGTTGATAACAAGTAATTCCTTACCCCCTAGATAGATACTTAAATCTCCCACATCCGAAGATTATACAACACATAACTGCATTGACCACAAGTAAAATTGAAGGTGTTTACATTTTGTTGAGACATAATATATGAGTAAAAAAGAATAATTTTCGCTAGTGTACTGAAAAAAACTAGGGTATGATATTACCAGAAGAGAAGTGCAGAATGTTTTTTAAGGACTTATCTAAACTGCAAAAATATAGATTTGCAGGGAAACTATGTGGACACAAGTTCTATTGTATCCTATTTACATATCTGGCATCCTACTCAGGTTCTGGTTGTGGGAGAATTATCAGGGTAATCCCTCTGAAGAGAGGGGAAGGTATTGATTAACTGATGGAGCCTCTGAGGACCTGTGGCCTCAGAGTTTTTTTCTGTGACTAGTATGAACCCTGAACACTGAAAGGACACATGCTTCCCAGGTAAGAGAGAAATCTGTAAGAAATACAGGTATATCGATCAGGCGCGGTGGCTCACGCCTGTAATCTCAGCACTTTGGGAGGCTGAGGCGGGCGGATCACCTGAGGTCAGGAATTCGAGACCAGCCTGCACAACATGGAGAAACCCCGTCGCCACTAAAAATACAAAATTAGCCAGGGGTGGTGGCACATGCCTGTCATCCTGGCTACTCAGAAGGCTGAGGCAGGAGCATCGAATCGCTTGAACCGGTGAGGCGGAGGTTGCGGTGAGCCGAGATCGCGCCATTGCACTCCAGCCTGGGCAGCAAGAGTGAGACTCCGTCTCAAAAAAAAAAAAAAAAAAAAAAAGAAAAAGGAAAAGAAAAAAAGAAATGCAGGCATATCTGAGAGTTATTGCAGGTCCAGTTACATACCACATGGTAAAGCAAATATTGCAATAAAGTGAGTGGCATTTTTTTTTTGTTTCTCAGTGCAAACAAAAGTTATGTTTGTACTATACTAACTAGTCTAAGTGTGCAATAGACTTACATCTAAAAAAAAATACATACCTCCATTTAAAAATACGTTATTGCTAAAAAATGCTAACAATCATCTGGCCTTCAGCAAGTCATAGTCTTTTTTGCTGGTGAGAATTTTGCCTCAGTGTCAATGCGTGCTGACTAATCAGGGTGGTGGTTGCTGAAGGCTGGGGTGGCTATGCCAATTTCTTAAAATAATACAGCAGTGAAATTTCCATTGTTCGACTCTTCCTTTCACAAAAGGTTTCTCTGCAGCATGTAATGTTGTTTAATACCATTTTGCCCGCAGTAGAAGTTCTTTTAGAATTGGAGTGAATCCTCTCAAACCCTGCCACTACTTTATCAACTGAATTTATGTAATATTCAAAATCCTTTTTTATCATTTCAACAATGTTCCTAGAATCTTTATCATGAGTAAATTCCATCTCAAAAAACCATTTTCTTTGCTCAGCCATAAGAAGTAACTCCACCCATTAAAGTTATATCATGAGGTTGCATCAATTCGGTCACATCTTCAGGCTCCATTTCTAATTCTAGTTCTCTTGCTATTTCCACCACATCTGCAGTGACTTCTTCTATTGAAACCCTGAATTCCTCAAAGTCATCCATGAGGGCTGGAATCAGCTTCTTCCAAATTCTTGATAATGTTGGTATTTTAACCTCCTCTCATGATCACACATATTCTTAAATGGCATCTAGAAATGGTAAATCTCTTTCAGAAGATTTTCAATTTAGTTTGTCTAGATACATCAGAGGAATCACAATCTATGGCAGCTATGGCATTGCAAAATGTATTTCTTAAATAACAAAACTTGAAAGCCAAAATTACTCCTTGATCCATCGGCTGCAGAATGCATGTGGCGTTAGCAGGCATAAAAATAATATAGCTTTCTTTGTATATCTCTGAGATCAGGGCTCTTGGGTGATCACGTTCATTGTCAATGAGCAGTAACCTTTTGAAAGAAATCTTTTGTTCTGAGCAGTAGGTCTCAAGAGTGTGCTTAAAATATTCAGTAAACCATGCTGTAAATAGATGTGCTGCCATTCAGACTTTGTTGTTCATTTAGAGGGCACAGGCAAACTAGATTTAGCACTGGCTTCATGTTAAAGTCACCAACTGCATTAGCCCTTAATAAGAGAGTCAGCCTGTCTTTTGAAGCTTTGAAGCCAGGCACTGACTTCTCCTCTTTAGCTATGAAAGTCCTAGATGGCATCTTCTTCTAATAAAAGGTTGTCTCATCTACACTGAAAATCTGTGATTTAGTATAGCCGCCTTCTTCAATGATCTTAGCTAGATCTTCTGCATAATTTGTTGTAGTTTCTACATCAGCACTTGCTTCTTCACTTTGAACTTTTATTTTATGGAAAAGACTAATTTCATTAAACCTAATGAACCAACCTCTGCTACCTTCCAACTTTTCTTATGCAGCTTCCTCACCTCTCGCAGCTTCATATAATTGAAGAGAATTAGGACCTTGGTCTAGGTTAGGCTTTGGCTTAAGGGGATATTGTGGCTGGTTTGGTCTTCTATCCAGGGCACTAAAACTTTCTCCATATCAGCAAGAAGACTGCATGGCTTTCTCATCACTTGTGTGTTCACTGGAGTAGCACTTTTAATTTCCTTCCAGAACTTTTCTTTTGCATTTACAACTTGGCTGTTTGTTGCAAGAGGCCTAGTTTTAGACCTATCAGGGCTTTTGACAGGCCTTTGTCACTAATCTTAATCATTTCTAGCTTTTGATTTAAAGTAAGAGCTATGGGACTCTTGCTTTCACTTGAATACTTAGAGGCTATTGTGCAGTTATTCTTTGGCATAATTTCAATATTGTTGTGTCTCAGCAAATAGGGAAGCTTGAGCAGAGGGAGAGAGATGAGGCTGGTCACTGGAGCACTCAGAATGTGCACAATATTTCTCAGTTAAGTTTGCCATTTTATATGGGTGCGCTTCATGGCATCTCATAAAAATTACAATAATATCAAAGATCACTTATCACAGATCACCGTAACTGACATAATTAATAATAATAATAGTAAAGTTTGAAATATGAGATTATCAAAATGTGACAGTGAGACATGAAGTGAGCACATGCTGTTGGAAAAATGGAGTCAGTACATTTGCTTCATGCAGGGTTGTCATGGACCTTCAATTTGTGAAAAAAACATAGTATGTGTGAAGTTCAATAAGGCAAGAACCATAAAACGAGGTATGCCTGTGGATGGAATCCATGAAAACATTTTTGAATAAACTTGAGAAAAAGTCAGGAGAAGAAAATGCATCTCCAAGGAGAATTAACTGACAGGGAAGATATTTGACCAGTAGTTCCACATGAACTATTGGAGGAACTATTCTCTATAGTTCCACATGAAATGTTGATCAAACAAAGCATCTATTAAAGTTCAACAAAAGTGTAGTGAAGTTCAAAGAAATGATTAGAAGATAACAAAAGAAATGAAAAGCAAACTGGATTATTTCTGTGGGGAGGGATAATATAATGTAAAGTATTCCAGAGGCAAAGCAATGTTACAAGCCATAGGGAAAATTATACTAAAGTGAAATTATAGTCAGGGTGGCAGTAGAAAGAATTGAGGAAATTTTGCAATCCAAACAGGTAAAGATCTAGTACAAAATATAAATGATAAACATTATATGTTTGAAAGATAAAGAGTATCCAGCATAAACCTAAATAATTTTCCTTATGTGCATAACCAAAACATAAATAATAATTATCATAACATATGTTGGAAGAAACCTTTCCCAAAATAATATGTGACTGTAGATGAAAAGAACTTTAGGTTTTGCAGTAAAAATATCGATACAAAATAATTAACACAAAGAAAATCCTGTAAAGCTCATTAAAATTCAATAATGAAGAAAAAAATCTTAAAATATCCAGGTAGGAAAACATAGTGATGTACAAAGGAGAAAAATTTCTCCAGTGAAAAACATATTGTAAGAAGATAGTGGAGCAATAAAAGATCTGAGTAACATGATGCCTTTATATACTCTTACCATAAAGGTGAAGGTGTACATTCTGAAACACCAATTCAGGAACACAGCACTTTTGCAATCCTACTTGATCATATCCAAATATTGAAGAAATAAATCAGAACAAATAACTCAGATATATTAGTTTTGTATTGCTGCTATAACAAATTACATAAACTTGGAGACTTAAAACAGTACAATTTTTAAAAAATCATCTAGTTTTGGAGTTCAGCAGTCCAAAACGAGTGTCACCATACTAAAATCAGGGTATCAGTGGGACTTCTAGAGGGTCTAGGGAAAAATCAGTTTCCTTGCCTTTTCCAGACCCTAGAGATTGACAACATTCCTTGGCTCATGGCCACTTCTTTCATTTTCAAATCAAACACGATAGTATTTTCAAATAAGTCTCTGACTTTTACATTATTAGCTTCCTCTGTCACATATAAAGACCCTGGTGATTTAAATTGGATCGACCCAGATAATCCAGGATAATCTCCCCATTGCAATATTCTTAATCACATCTGGAAAGTTCTGGAACATAATGTAACATATTCACAGGTTCTGGGGATTAGAATGTGAATATCTTCAGGAGTTATTCTGCCTACCACATCAGTTATAGGGAAACCATAGTAAAGGACTGGTGCAAATATTAAATCTGTCTAAAAACAGAAATAAGACATATATTGTATAATTTCAGCAATAAATTAGAATATGCATATTATAAATAGAATAGAATGTACATATAAATTTTGAACATATAAAATATAATTTTTTGATAAAATGAGTAATTAAAATATATATATTTTTTCCATTAGAAAAATTTTTTTTTCTTTTATTATTATACTTTAAGTTTTAGGGTACATGTGCACATTGTGCAGGTTAGTTACATATGTATACATGTGCCACGCTGGTGTGCTGCACCCACTAACTCGTCATCTAGCATTAGGTATATCTCCCAATGCTATCCCTCCCACCTCCCCCCACCCCACAACAGTCCCCAGAGTGTGATGTTCCCCTTCCTGTGTCCATGTGATCTCATTGTTCATTTTTCACCTATGAGTGAGAATATGCGGTGTTTGGTTTTTTGTTCTTGCGATAGTTTACTGAGAATGATGATTTCCAATTTCATCCATGTCCCTACAAAGGACATGAACTCATCATTTTTTATGGCTGCAAAGTATTCCATGGTGTATATGTGCCACATTTTCTTAATCCAGCCTATCATTGTTGGACATTTGGGTTGGTTCCAAGTCTTTGCTATTGTGAATAGTGCCACAATAAACATACGAGTGCATGTGTCTTTATAGCAGCATGATTTATAGTCCTTTGGGTATATACCCAGTAATGGGATGGCTGGGTCAAATGGTATTTCTAGTTCTAGATCCTTGAGGAATCGCCACACTGACTTCCACAATGGTTGAACTAGTTTACAGTCCCACCAACAGTGTAAAAGTGTTCCTATTTCTCCACATCCTCTCCAGCACCTGTTGTTTCCTGACTTTTTAATGATCGCCATTCTAACTGGTGTGAGATGGTATCTCATTGTGGTTTTGATTTGCATTTCTCTGATGGCCAGTGATGATGAGCATTTTTTCATGTGTCTTTTGGCTGCATAAATGTCTTCTTTTGAGAAGTGTCTGTTCATGTCCTTGCCCACTTTTTGATGGGGTTGTTTGTTTTTTTCTTGTAAATGTGTTTGAGTTCATTGTAGATTCTGGATATTAGCCCTTTGTCAGATGAGTAGGTTGTGAAAATTTTCTCCCATTTTGTAGGTTGCCTGTTCACTCTGATGGTAGTTTCTTTTGCTGTACAGAAGCTCTTTAGTTTAATTAGATCCCATTTGTCAATTTTGTCTTTTGTTGCCATTGCTTTTGGTGTTTTAGACATGAAGTCCTTGCCCATGCCTATGTCCTGAATGGTATTGCCTAGGTTTTCTTCTAGGGTTTTTATGGTTTTAGATCTAACGTTTAAGTCTTTAATCCATCTTGAATTGATTTTTGTATAAGGTGTAAGGAAGGGATCCAGTTTCAGCTTTCTATATATGGCTAGCCAGTTTTCCCAGCACCATTTATTAAATAGGGAATCCTTTCCCCATTGCTTGTTTTTCTCAGGTTTGTCAAAGATCAGATAGTTGTGGATAGTTGTAGATATGCAGCATTATTTCTGAGGGCTCTGTTCTGTTCCATTGATCTATATCTCTGTTTTGCTACCAGTACCATGCTGTTTTGGTTACTGTAGCCTTGTAGTATAGTTTGAAGTCAGGTAGTGTGATGCCTCCAGCTTTGTTCTTTTGGCTTAGGATTGACTTGGCAATGCGGGCTCTTTTTTGGTTCCATATGAACTTTAAAGTAGCTTTTTCCAATTCTGTGAAGAAAGGCATTGGTAGCTTGATGGGGATGGCATTGAATCTGTAAATTACCTTGGGCAGTATGGCCATTTTCACGATATTGATTCTTCCTACCCATGAGCATGGAATGTTCTTCCATTTGTTTGTATCCTCTTTTATTTCATTGAGCAGTGGTTTGTAGTTCTCCTTGAAGAGGTTCTTCACATCCCTTGTAAGTTGGATTCCTAGGTATTTTATTCTCTTTGAAGCAATTGTGAATGGGAGTTCACTCATGATTTGACTCTCTGTTTGTATGTTGTTGGTGTATAAGAATTCTTGTGATTTTTGTACATTGATTTTGTATCCTGAGACTTTGCTGAAGTTGCTTATCAGCTTAAGGAGATTTTGGGCTGAGACAGTGGGGTTTTCTAGATATACAATCATGTCGTCTGCAAACAGGGACAATTTGACTTCCTCTTTTCCTAATTGAATACCCTTTATTTCCTTCTCCTGCCTGATTGCCCTGGCCAGAACTTCCAACACTATGTTGAATAGGAGTGGTGAGAGAGGGCATCTCTGTCTTGTGCCAGTTTTCAAAGGGAATGCTTCCAGTTTTTGCCCATTCAGTATGATATTGGCTGTGGGTTTGTCATAGATAGCTCTTATTATTTTGAAATACGACCCATCAATACCTAATTTATTGAGAGTTTTTAGCAGGAAGGGTTGTTGAATTTTGTCAAAGGCCTTTTCTGCATCTATTGAGATAATCATGTGGTTTTTGTCTTTGGCTCTGTTTATATGCTGGATTACATTTATTGATTTGCATATATTGAACCAGCCTTGCATCCCAGGGATGAAGCCCACTTGATCATGGTGGATAAGCTTTTTGATGTGCTGCTGGATTCGTTTTGCCAGTATTTTATTGAGGATTTTTGCATCAATGTTCATCAAGGATATTGGTCTAAAATTCTCTTTTTTGGTTGTGTCTCTGCCCGGCTTTGGTATCAGAATGATGCTGGCCTCATAAAATGAGTTAGGGAGGATTCCCTCTTTTTCTATTGATTGGAATAGTTTCAGAAGGAATGGTACCAGTTCCTCCTTGTACCTTTGGTAGAATTCGGCTGAGAATCCATCTGGTCCTGGACTCTTTTTGGTTGGTAAGCTATTGATTATTGCCACAATTTCAGATCCTGTTATTGGTCTATTCAGAGATTCAACTTCTTCCTGGTTTAGTCTTGGGAGAGTGTATGTGTTGAGGAATTTATCCATTTCTTCTAGATTTTCTAGTTTATTTGCATAGAGGTGTTTGTAGTATTCTCTGATGGTAATTTGTATTTCTGTGGGATCGGTGGTGATATCCCCTTTATCATTTTTTATTGCGTCTATTTGATTCTTCTCTCTTTTTTTCTTTATTAGTCTTGCTAGTGGTCTATATATTTTGTTGATCCTTTCAAAAAACCAGCTCCTGGATTCATTAATTTTTTGAAGGGTTTTTTGTGTCTCTATTTCCTTCAGTTCTGCTCTGATTTTAGTTATTTCTTGCCTTCTGCTAGCTTTTGAATGTGTTTGCTCTTGCTTTTCTAGTTCTTTTAATTGTGATGTTAGGGTGTCAATTTTGGATCTTTCCTGCTTTCTCTTGTGGGCATTTAGTGCTATAAGTTTCCCTCTACACACTGCTTTGAATGCGTCCCAGAGATTCTGGTATGTTGTGTCTTTGTTCTCGTTGGTTTCAAAGAACATCTTTATTTCTGCCTTCATTTCGTTATGTACGCAGTAGTCATTCAGGAGCAGGTTGTTCAGTTTCCATGTAGTTGAGCGGTTTTGAGTGAGATTCTTAATCCTGAGTTCTAGTTTGATTGCACTGTGGTCTGAGAGATAGTTTGTTATAATTTCTGTTCTTTTACATTTGCTGAGGAGAGCTTTACTTCCAAGTATGTGGTCAATTTTGGAATAGGTGTGGTGTGGTGCTGAAAAAAATGTATATTCTGTTGATTTGGGGTGGAGAGTTCTTTAGATGTCTATTAGGTCCGCTTGGTGCAGAGCTGAGTTCAATTCCTGGGTATCCTTGTTGACTTTCTGTCGCGTTGATCTGTCTAATGTTGACAGTGGGGTGTTAAAGTCTCCCATTATTAATGTGTGGGAGTCTAAGTCTCTTTGTAGGTCACTCAGGACTTGCTTTATGAATCTGGGTGCTCCTGTATTGGGTGCATATATATTTAGGATAGTTAGCTCTTTTTGTTGAATTGATCCCTTTACCATTATGTAATGGCCTTCTTTGTCTCTTTTGATCTTTATTGGTTTAAAGTCTGTTTTATCAGAGACTAGGATTGCAACCCCTGCCTTTTTTTGTTTTCCATTTGCTTGGTAGATCTTCCTCCATCCTTTTATTTTGAGCCTATGTGTGTCTCTGCACGTCAGATGGGTTTCCTGAATACAGCACACTGATGGGTCTTGACTCTTTATCCAATTTGCCAGTCTGTGTCTTTTAATTGGAGCATTTAGTCCATTTACATTGAAAGTTAATATTGTTATGTGTGAATTTGATCCTGTCATGATGATGTTAGCTGGTGATTTTGCCGTTAGTTGATGCAGTTTCTTCCTAGTCTCGATGGTCTTTACATTTTGGCATGATTTTGCAGCGGCTGGTACCGGTTATTCCTTTCCATGTTTAGCGCTTCCTTCAGGAGCTCTTTTAGGGCAGGCCTGGTGGTGACAAAATCTCTCAGCATTTGCTTGTCTGTAAAGTATTTTATTTCTCCTTCACTTATGAAGCTTAGTTTGGCTGGATATGAAATTCTGGGTTGAAAATTCTTTTCTTTAAGAATGTTGAATATTGGCCCCCACTCTCTTCTGGCTTGTAGGGTTTCTGCCGAGAGATCCGCTGTTAGTCTGATGGGCTTCCCTTTGAGGGTAACCCGACCTTTCTCTCTGGCTGCCCTTAACATTTTTTCCTTCATTTCAACTTTGGTGAATCTGACAATTATGTGTCGTGGAGTTGCTCTTCTCGAGGAGTATCTTTGTGGTGTTCTCTGTATTTCCTGATTCTGAACGTTGGCCTGCCTTGCTAGATTGGGGAAGTTCTCCTGGATAATATCCTGCAGAGTGTTTTCCAACTTGGTTCCATTCTCCCCGTTAGTTTCAGGTACACCAATCAGACGTAGATTTGGTCTTTTCACATAGTCCCATATTTCTTGGAGGCTTTGCTCATTTCTTTTTATTCTTTTTTCTCTAAACTTCCCTTCTCACTTCATTTCATTCATTTCATCTTCCATCACTGACACCCTTTCTTCCAGTTGATCGCATCGGCTCCTGAGGCTTCTGCATTCTTCACGTAGTTCTCGAGCCTTGGTTTTCAGCTCCATCAGCTCCTTTAAGCACTTCTCTGTATTGGTTATTCTAGTTATACATTCTTCTAAATTTTTTTCAAAGTTTTCAACTTCTTTGCCTTTGGTTTGAATGTCCTCCCGTAGCTCAGAGTAATTTGATCCTCTGAAGCCTTCTTCTCTCAGCTGGTCAAAGTCGTTCTCCATCCAGCTTTGTTCCATTGCTGGTGAGGAGCTGCGTTCCTTTGGAGGAGGAGAGGCGCTCTGCTTTTTAGTTTCTAGTTTTTCTGTTCTGTTTTTTCCCCATCTTTGTGGTTTTATCTACTTTTGGTCTTTGATGATGGTGATGTACAGATGGGTTTTTGGTGTGGATGTCCTTTCTGTTTGTTAGTTTTCCTTCTAACAGACAGGACCGTCAGCTGCAGGTCTGTTGGAGTACCCTGCCGTGTGAGGTGTCAGTGTGCCCCTGCTGGGGGGTGCCTCCCAGTTAGGCTGCTCGGGGGTCAGGGGTCAGGGACCCACTTGAGGAGGCAGTCTGCCCGTTCTCAGATCTCCAGCTGCATACTGGGAGAACCACTGCTCTCTTCAAAGCACCCCTTGCGCTTCCCGAGTGAGGCAATGCCTCACCCTGCTTCAGCTCGCGTACAGTGCGCGCACCCACTGACCTGCCCCCACTGTCTGGCACTCCCTAGTGAGATGAACCCGATACCTCAGATGGAAATGCAGAAATCACCTGTCTTCTGCGTCGCTCACGCTGGGAGCTGTAGACCAGAGCTGTTCCTATTCGGCCATCTTGGCTCCTCCCCCGTAATTAAAATATTTTTAAACAATTGAGAGATATACAATAACAATGTAAACAATAATTGTCTCTCAATGGTGGGATTTTGTGGCTTTTATTTATACTTTTCTTTATTTTCCCAATTTCTATAACAGATACGATATTTGAAATCAAAATAAATATATACTAAAATGAAATAAGTTATCTTCAAACACACCCACTTATATATACAAACATACATAAATCCATCATATAAGTACTAGTCTAGACATTTAAAACATCCCTACATTGTAGATATAAACAAAAAAAGAATAATGTAGAATTATAGTAGAATTATTTATATTCCTTTGGGTATTATAAAGACACATGCTTGCATATGTTCATTGCAACACTATTCACAATAGTAAAGACATGGAATCAACCTAAATGCCCATCAATGATAGAATGGAAAAAGAAAATGTGGTACATGTACACCATGGAATACTAGCCATAAAAAAGAACGAGATCATGTGTTTTGCAGGCACGTGGATGGAGCTGGAGGCCATTATCCTTAGCAAACTAATGCAGGAACAGAAAACCAAATACGGCCTGTTCTCACTTATAAGTGGTAGCTAAATAATGAGAACACATGGACACATAGAGGGGAACAACACACACTAGGACCTGTTGGAGAGTGGAGGGTGGGAGGAGGGAGAGGATCAGGAAAAACAACTAATTGGGTACTAGGCTTAATACTTGGTAAGGAAATAATCTGTACAACAAACCCCTATGTCACAAGTTTAACTATGTGACAAACCTGCACATATAACCCTGAGCTTAAAATAAAAGTTAAAAAAATAAATAAATGTCAATAAATTAAAATAAAAATATAAAATAAAATAAAAAAGAATAATGTAAAATTAAGTATTTTATATAAAATGTAAACCAAAACATCAAATTTTTTGTTTTTTTCTGATTTGATTTTTTAAACATCTCTTCATTTTATTAAAATTATTTTATTAGTTTTAGTGAAGTTTGTATTAAAAGCAAAAGAAAGGGTAGAAATGGGGAAAGTATAACAAGTCAAATGACTCATGGAGTAGAAAGAGATCAGAGAGTGCAAAGGGACGTCTTTGCAGATAAGAAAATAAGAATAGATGACTCATGTAGTTTAATCATCCAATTCTCTTGCTTTGCATCAGGATTTGGTAAAGCGGGTGATAAACAATTGTCATGAGTTGGGTATTTTTATTTAAAATTCATTGATGTATAGATAAGTCTCTATTAGACAGTCTATTTGAGATACAGGAGATGGTAGATGTATGTGTCAACTAGCCAATATCCTACTATCAATATGGTTCCATGAAGAATACATATTCTAACACAACTGACTCTAACGAACTATCACAATTCAAGTCTCTATTCAGTACCACAGTACCTTAACAAATAGCTACATTCCTTAGTTCACTTATCATTCACTAGGCACTGCTCAATAAACAAGTGAATTATCAATGACCAAAACAGAAGCTTCTGTCCTTCCTGTGTCCATGTGTTCTCACTGAATAACAAACCTGCACATTGTGCACATGTACCCTAAAACTTAAAGTATAATAATAATAATAATAATAAAAAGCTTCTGTCCTTATAGACCTAATTTGTACTGGGTAGGAAAGGCTACAAACAATAAACACAGTAAGTACATAATTTAGAATATATTAGAAAGAGGGAATTGCTATGGGTTAAAGGAAAAGTAGGTTTGAGTAATGGTGACAAGGAGTGCTAGGGTGCAGGGGGGGACTGGAAATAGATTGCAGTATGAAATGGGGTAGTCAGAAGGTGATATTTGAGCAGATTTGAAGGTTATATTATTGCTAGACAAGAAGCTGTCTGGAGACCATAGCAAGCAGAGGATACAGATACAGAAAAAGATTCAAAGTAAAAATTGCTTGGGAAGTGATGTCAGCAAGATGGCAAACTGGGTGATCCCAACTCTCACCCCTAAACAAAAACAAGGATAAAATCAAATATTTGTGGAAAAGGATAGGTCTAGGAGAAGCCCTGAGGCAGTTAGGGGGCAGCAGCAATCCACACGAGTGCAGAGACCAGGAATGGCTAATAGAAAGGGGTAGGAAGCATTTTTTCTGTGTTGCCCCATCCCCCAGATTAGCATGGTGCCACAAGGAATCCCCTTGGTCACTGGTTCCCTCATGGGGGAACAGGGAGAGTGGGTGGACCTCAGCAGCCATTGACACCAAGAATTCCAGTGGCCCTAGCTACCGTTGCAGAGGACTTCTGCGGTCTTCTCTGACATGGACCCCAGCTGCTGCGTCACTGACGCCACAGATGCCAAATACCACCCCTTCCCACACTGGACTCAGAGCTGCTGGAGTTGCAGCCAAAGCCAGGCTGCACATGCCATGCCTGAGAATAGGAACCTGACATAAAGCACGTGCTTGTGCACAGTTCCTGGCACTTAATGGTGCCACCACATGTGTGCTCAGGTGCCTACTGGACCAGGTCTTCACTACAGCTGTGCACATATGACCAAGGAACCAGACACCTGCTGAAGCTAAGCATATGCACCCATTGGA
The DNA here is from genome assembly GCF_000001405.40 of Homo sapiens. NCBI lineage: Eukaryota > Metazoa > Chordata > Mammalia > Primates > Hominidae > Homo > Homo sapiens. The sequence goes on along the minus strand of NC_000002.12, from coordinate 209,160,880 downwards.
CCACGTGCCCATTGTAGCTTTGCCCAGTGCCCACCAGACCTGATTATTATGTGCCTGCCACCTCCATGGCACATGCTCCAGCATGTTCAGTAGACTAGGCATTCACTGTAGCTGTATGTATATGCACACACACCCACCAGACTTAACCTCTGTACCCCCACCCCCAAGACAGTTCCCTCATATGCCTTTAGAACTTGTGTCCCTGTGCATTACTAAATACATATCTGGATGTAGAACAGCCACACACTTCACCCCACCTGCCCACAAAAGAAAGTTTTTTTCCTACCAAGGCCACATTATAAACAAATTGTCAAAAGTCAAAGAGAGAGAGTTTTAAAAATTATTATTTTTATTATTAACATTATTTTTGACTAAGTTACAATTATATGCATGTATGGAGTAAAACATGAGGTTTTGATATATGTATACAATGTGGCATGGTTAAACCAAGCTAATTAACATATCCATCACCTTATCTTTTTTTATAACAAAACATTTGAAATTTACTTTATTAGTTATTTTGACATATACAACACATTATTATTCACAATAGTCACCTGAGACTGTACTTGAGATCTATTACCTGATAGGCAATAGATCTCAAAACCTATTTATCCTGTCTACCTAAAACTTTGTACCCTTTGATCAACAGTTTTCCACCCCTAGCTTAGACTGAGTGGAGGCATAATAATCTAAAACAGATAAAATCAGATTGTTGTTTTGATTGCTGTCCTGCAAATATAACAGCATAAATATATGTTTTTCATAAGCCTGAATACAGTATGTCTCTTCTGGGTGTGCAATATTATTGACATGTCAAATGCATTAAAATTTTCTGAGGTGGCATGGATTATAAATTTGCTATATTGATTAATTTAATAGCTACCAATTTTTTTATTTTTTAGTCTATATTGTTTTGAATTTTGTATGTGACTTTGAATGGATCTAAATTTAAAGGAATATAGAACCAAAATTTAGAAAAGGTTTTCCCTTCTATCTGAACTTGATTTTTACATGGTTTAAACTTTCTTAAGTTACAGATGACTCTCAAGTTCATCTATTCACCTATCTCATTGTAAAGATGAAGAAACTGCAACGGGAGGTCAAAAACTCCTGTGGGGTTACAAAGCACTTTTGTGATAGCAGACTTCTGGCTTCTGACCTTCACTCATTAAAATATGATCCTGTTTTATTCCTGTGTCTCCAGGTTATTCAGTTTTTGTTGTTGTTAAGATTCTTGAATGTATTATTATTATTATTATTTTTGCCTTTGATTTAGCCCCAACACACATTTTCTCCACAAGAATTTAACTCCGTTTCTTTGGGAATACAGCATCTTAATGCGGGTTAAGACCAGGTCCTTTGCCATAAAACAGATCTACATTTAAATCCTAGCTCTACCACTTACTCACTACGTAATTTGGGGCAAATTACGTTTCTTAGTTTCACTGTTTTCAAGATAAAAATAATGACATAGGGACTTTGTTTTTTCTGAAAAAAAAAATAGGAGGTGTTATATCAATTGATTAATGGTAAGAAAACAGTAAACTTTCTACAAAAATGGAGATGATGATCAGATATTATGTTAAAGAAGTTGAAGAAATTAAACATTTTACATAATGTTTTCAAGAAGAGTTTTTGTAAGTAAAACTTCTACAAAATTTAAACTAAAAAAATACTCTGTTTCTTGAAAAAGCAATAATTGAATCACATAGACATGAAAGGAATGTGAATTTGGAAGTCAAGAGTAGAATTTTTTTAAAACTAAGAAGGATTAGTTTGGAAAAGCTTTGTGAAGGATATGAGTTGAAAACCAGGTTTTGAAGTAAAGTGCAACAAGATTTGGCAGCTTATAGGGTGAAGGATATTTTAGATGCAATAATAAGGGAAATAGGTTAAAATGTTGACAAGGGTATGGATATAGCAGTTTTTTTTTTTAAGGAGCCATTGTCACTGTATGCTACCTCTTGCAAAATCTGTTTGTAAATTCATTTATACTCTCTTTCCAAAATTGCAGTGAAACTGTTAAGACTAAAAAAGTACAGACACTATAAAAACAAGAAAGACAAGAATTAAGTTTTTTTTTCAAAAAGTTAAGAGTGGAGAAAATTTAATTCCACATTTCCTGCCACAAAATATCTATTCTGTCCAAAGACTGCTGAGGTGAGAAGCTTTGTTACGTTATGATTAACACACTTTATTTTCTTCTCTAGCTTAGTTATTGGTTCCCCCTCTTATTTTCCTTCTTGCAACTAAACATTTTATGTTCCAAATTTTAACCCCTTACTACATGGTAGAGATTTGAGGTTGAAAAGGCAATGTATATAGCTTCCTTTTAATTCTAGTCACGAGAGGCCACCAGTGTTTAACCTGGACATTGTCAATTAGCTAAATTGTGAAGTAAGTGCACAGCAAAGACATAGCCAATTGAAATGTGTAAGCAAATATAATAAGAAGTTCAGTGTTCTTTTCTCATGTTCAAGTGGCTGGCCTTCCTATGGGCAGTCTTCTGTCTTCCATCATCAGTCACAACATGTGGGGTCAACAGCTACAAAGCAGTATCTGCATTTCTCTTTAGTTGACTTTAATAAAAGTCAAGCCATGGTCCAAAAAGAGGTGGGTCCTCACTGGTAGAAATATAATTCATTTTGTGAAGAGCAATGAGGAAGACAAAGATGTAAGTCTGGGAAAGTTGAGAATTTCCAGTGCCAACAGTATAAGAAGCAGGAGAATAAAACCTCACTGCACACTAGAAAAGACCAACATCTTCAGTAATAACATTCTTGAATCCTTACTATGCAGAGGAAGCTCTTCTCATTGCCAGAGATCAAAATCTAAAACATATCTCAGAGCCTTTATAGGGAGATAAGACAAGAGAAATGTGAACAGGAACAAGAAAACAAAAAATAAGTCAAACAAAGAAACACCAAACAGAGAAATCTTTTGGGAAAGTATTTGCCTTCTTTGTCTGTTCTCTAGCAGAGAACATTCCTTTTCCTCTGTAGAATTCATTTGATTTGATCTATTAAAAAGGACAGAGCTGATTGAAATGAGAGTTTAAATGTATCACTAGAAAGACCTTTCGATCTTTGGCTCCCCAACTCTGCTTCAGAGCACTCTGTTCTTTCTGTCCTCATTTCTCACCAGTATTTCTTTATCCCAAAGAGTCAAGTACCAAAAGTAATTTTAAAATAGATAAGTGCAAGTGTTCCGGAACCAAACTGAGGTTCGGGCTGCTGTTTCTCACGGCCCAATAACGAGATGTAGATGAAGAAGAGAGTTTTTATTTCTGTAACCGGTTGCAGGGAGAAGGCCTGAAAAATACCACCAGCCCAACTCAAAATTACAAATTCTCCCAGAGCTTATATACTTTTCAAGCTATATGACTATGTGTAAACGTGCATTCATCTAAAGACATAAGTTATTAACTTCTTTTAATCTATAGCTAAGATCTGAGTCCTGAAAACCTTCCTCTGGAGCCTCAGGTAAATTTACTTAATCTAAATGGGTTCAGGTGCCGGAGTGATTACCTTTCTCTTGTCTGCTGCTAAATCATGGAGGTCTGGGGAGTTCCTTCAAACCCCCAATAAACTTGTTTGTGGAGGCCTGGGGAGTTTCTTCAGATCCCTAATAAAACTTGTTTAATCCCAGATGGGTCTTGTTAAGAGTTTATTCATTATTTTGTCATGCTTTAAGGCCCAGGAAAGGCCTAGGCAAAATGCTTGGTGGGCTTTTGTTACATTCCAGCCTTTGCATAAGGACACTGGCTCTTTCAGCTTTTAATATTTAACTACTCAGTCAGTACTGAGACAGTTGTTATGGAGGCCTGTGTGAAACCTGGCCTGCCACACAAGGTTAGGGAAAAAAATGGATTCAACCAACAGATTGTTTCTTCTCCCTAAGAAATTACTTTTGCAATGAAGAACAAGAAAGAAGCCTTTTTAAAATCACAGTTTGAGGTGAGAAGAGATTCCATTTAACTTTGAATTGAATGAACTCTGACATGTTTGTACTGCATTTTCCAACAATTTGGGCTAAAATTTAATACTTTTAAAAAATCTTAATAGTGCATCCCTACTACTACATTTCCTTGCTTTTTAACACCAATTCCACTGCTTTAGATTGCTAAGAGATCAAGTTCTAGGTTAAAAATTAGAAAACCAGGCTTCTGTTTGCATGTCTGTTACTGACTTGGTAGAACTTCGTAGGACTTGGTAGAAATTCTGCACATCCATTTGTTCAGAAAAATCATTTTTTAAACAACCTCACTGCTAAAGAATCAAATATAAGGACCTATTGTCAAGCATGAAATTAAGGAAAATTACTAGTAAGAAAAGAAAAAAATGATTTGGAAAATTTTAAAATTATTTTATTTATAGAACTGTGAGCCATAGATCCCAAAGCCTTCCTCTGTGTTTTTGTTTAATAGTTTTGTCAAGATATAAGACATATATTACACCATCTCTCCATACAACCTAGCCCTAGGCAACTACAATATATGTTGTGTCTCTGTAGATTTGCCTTTTTGGGCATTTCATATTAGTAGAATTGAAAGGGGTGCCCATCCAGACCCCAAGAGAGAGTTCTCATGCAAGAAAAAAATCAGGGAAGTCCATACAGTAAAGTGAAAGCAAGCTTATTAAGAAAGTAAAGGAATAAAAGAATGGCTACTCCATAGAGCAGCCCCGAGAGCTACTGGATGCTCATTTTTATGGTTTTATGGTTATTTCTTAATTATATGTTAAACATATGTTAAATTATATGTTAAACAAGGGGTGAATTATTCATGCCTCCCCTTTTTAGACCATATAGGGTAACTTCCTGATGTTGCCAGGGCATTCGTAAACTGTCATGGTGCTGGTGGGAGTGAAGCAGTGAGGACAACCAGAAGTCACTCTTGTGGTCATCTTGGTTTTGGTGGGATTTGGCCAACTTTACTGCAACCTGTTTTATCAGCAAGGTCTTTATGACCTGTATCTTGTACCTCCTGTCTCATCCTGTGACTTAGAATGCCTTAACTGTTTGGAAATGCAGCCTAGTAGGTCTCAGCCTCATTTTACCCAGCCCCTATTCAAGATGAAGTTGCTCTGGTTCAAATGCCTCTGACAGAGTAATATAATATATAGTTCCTTGTGATTGGCTTCTTTTACATAGCATAATGTTTTCAAAGTTCATAAATGTTTTAGCATGTACCTACTTCTTTTTATCATTGAATAATATTCCATTCTGTTAATACTTATTGTCTATTCATCTATCAGTTGTCACACATCTGGGTTGTTTCCATCTTCAGCTATTATGAATAATGCCACTGTGAACATTGGTTTTCAAGCTTTTGTGTGAATATGTGTGTTAATTTTTCTTGGGCAAATACCCAGCAGTGGAATTTCTAGATAATGTGTAAATTTGTTTAAATATGTGAAGAACTGCCAGACTGTTTCTCAAAGTGGCTGTACCATTTTATACCCTCAGCACATTCTCTCCAACACTTGTTATATCTTTTTTTTTTTTTTTTTTTTTACTATAGGCATTCTGGTGGGTGTGAAGGACATTTGGGGTTTGCATTTCCCTAATGGTGAATAATGTTGAGCATTTTGTAATGTCTTTATTGGCCATTTGTATATCTTATTTGGAGAAATATCCATTCAGATTTAAATTCAGTTATTTGCCATTTTATTTTTGAGTTGTGACAGTTGCTCAGTTTTTTCCCAAGCTTCCAAGTCCTGTAACTCCTGGCACAGGGCTGATTTTACTTGATTATACAAAGTATCCACTTGTTCCCAGAAAGCCTTCTCCTGGCTATCCATTCTAGAACACAAGTTCCTTGATTTGTAAAAAAGGTCTTCATGGTAGATTTAAGCTGGGGATTCAGATAAAGCAAAGTTTAGTTCCAGAGATGGATGAACCCACTTTACATTGTCAGAAAATAAAAGCTATGCAGGTTTTCCTCATTTTCAGCAGATGCCAGAGAACTTGGAGATGATTAATTTACTGCCCCAAAGAGCTTTAAATATATTTAACTACAGGGCATTTTGTTAGTTTCAAATGGGATTTGGTTTATTGTCTATGTAAATGCCTCTTTTTCCATATATTTTAATCTCTGTGTCATCCCAGGTTTCTTTCAGAGACAAAAATAACAGATCTTTGGGGAAATAAATACAGGAAAAATGTGAACATGGTACTTACAAATTTTTATCTACCAAAAAATTTACTTTTTAATATTTTCATGCTAAAGAAAATGATCAGTGTCTCTGGGAATAAAGACTAAGGCTACATGTGGTATATCAAATTGTAAAGGTACCATTGTCTTCACCAACAAAAAGGAAGTCATAAAGTCTTTCTAGATGAAAGAAGGTAAAGAGTAGAATGAATTTTTGAGTTAATGAAAGTTATAGTAATTTCCATCATTTACAGTGACCTCTATAGAGCTGCATCTCTCCCCATTACCTGCCAGAGCCTTTTGTTGTGTGGTGGTATCATGTAGTATCCATTCTTCTCCTACACTGTAGGAAAGGCCTAGACAAGACTTTAGGTTAGATTCATATTTTTTGGGGGTGGAGGAATGGGTTAGATACAGCCTCTCCCTTTTAACAGTCACCTGTGTCATATTATCTCTTCCAGTTCCCATGTTCTTCACCAGGTTACTTTTAATCAAGTATTCATTTATCAAGTTACTCCTCAACCCTCTCACTCAGAAATATTTGCATTTTCACATAACATTATAGAAGAAAAAGCTTTCATAACCAAGAGAATGCATTTCTCATACTACATTAGCATTCTTCTAGGGAAATTTTTGTTGCTTTGTTGAACATTTTTTCCCATTTTTTTGAAGATGGTAGCAGGTATTCTTCATAGTCCCACTCAAAAGAAAAAAATATTCAAAATTGGCTTGCATACATAGTTTTTTCATAGCTTACCTTTATTATCTTTTTAATCAAAAACTGAGGCTCAATTTGACAACTCACCTAATTCATCCCCCTAATCATTAGTTTTGATGAAAAAGCCAGTTTTACATTCCATAGGAAATTTACCATCATGGATAAATTATGAAAAGAATATGTCAAATGCTTTAGGGATTTTTAAAAAGAGAATAATAAAAAAACTTTTTTTAACAATAAAAACATCACAGTAAAAATGCAAATAACCCCCTAGCACAATTACTTTGAAAAAAACCCACACAAATTTTAGTGTTTAATTATTTGTTTAAAATATGAGTCATGATACTGTACAAATAAATGTTTTGCAGGCAGTAACTTTGGTTATTTTTCTAATGTTTAATATGAACTGTATATTTCTGGCCCTCTCTGAGACAAGTGAAAACACATGATAGCAGCTGTGATTAAGATAATCTCTTACTTCTGCAGCTTGTCTCCTGGCCTCTGGGAAAACTCGGTAGGCAGCTGACCAATCTGCTACTCTCTGTGCATTAATTTTGTAAGAAAGGGACTCTAAGATAGATTCTCCATGGATTGTAAACTTTAAGAAGGAATTTCTTCACATTGGTTTAATTTCCCGGTTGGAGATTTATTATTTTTTTAATGGGTGGGTTTCTGGCCTTTTCAAATCCTGAAAATCATTTTGCCTGTAATTATAGTCATTAGAATGTTGATTACAGACACAAGAAATTAAAAATTCAACCAGAAATATAATCAAACTAGTATTTTTTTAGAGACAAATCTCATGTAATAAGCTTTTAGTTACAAGGAACAGAAAGTTCAACCCAGAATGGCATGAGAAAAAGGGGAATCATTGGTTTAGTGTAGACTCCAGAGCTATGTGCATCTTCATTTATATCAAGAGGGAACTCAAAAGAAAGTTCAGTTCCCTAAAAATTTCAATATATTGATTTGAAGCTCTTCAACGATGATGAGTCAGACCCAATCATGTGACCAAACCTGAACCACCTGGTATCTGAGGTTTGAAAAAATGTAATGGATTAATAAGCTTATGAGATCACTGTCAGAAGCTGGACATAGAATCAGACTTTATCTATGTCAGTTTCAACACTTTTGGCTACATGTAATAGAAACTCAACCTCATATTAGCTTAACATCTAAAGATACTTGGTTAACACTAAATATCTTATATATCTTTTTATCTTCCTTGTTATTATCTTGTTATTTATCTTCCTATTATCTTTAGATGTTATTATCTTAACATCTATCTACAGTTATCTTTAGATGTTGTTATCTTAACATCTATTACAGATAATCTGTAGATAGATGTTAAGATAACAACATCTAAAGATAATAGGAAGATTAGAGAGATTACAGTTTCCAAGCATAGTGAAATAGGATTCCAGCTTCTCTGCAATTTCCTTGGTCTTGGTTTCCTCCATGCATAGTAAAGTGTTCTACCATGAATCACCAGGTAAGTAGAGCAAACAATTTTAGTGAGAAAAATAAAAGACACTCACAGTTATTTAACACCCAGTCTTTACCTGGCTCTGTACAAGGCAAATGCATACAATACCTAACCCTCCCAATTATACCCACAGAGAAAGCAAGACATTGAGAGGTTTGGTAGTATGCCCATACTTGCATGTCTGTGCACCAAGAAGCAAGAAGCCAAAGACAGCTGTTTCTGACTACAAAGACCATTCTCGCTTTACCATACCATGCAACAACTTGGACTATCAGGTAGGTATATATATATATATATATATATTGAACCTAAGTTATTACTAATTGAGAATATCATTTTGCAAAAATACAAAGTACATAAGCCCAATTAAAGACAAGGATATGGGGAAGGCATGTCTTTTTATATAGACTGAGGAACATGTGACATCCTTCTCTCTTCTACTGGGTGTTCCAAGGGCAGTGTGCAGTCTGAGTTTCTAAGGAAGCAGTTTAGAAAATGCTCCACTGCTTTCATTTTCACAGAATAGACATATAAACTACAAAGTAGTAAATAAACTGTAGTCCTGCAGACAAATTCTGCTTTCTGCATTCTTCACTTTTTTCTCTAATTTGTTTGGCTAGTATCTGACATAAACTTGTGAGTGAACATAATATATATGTATCACACATGATCCTTTTGTGTGAAATGCACATTATTTGTAGGGTTGAGCTATTCATGTATATTTCTTATAAATCAAGTATGTCAGTGGTCTCATTCCATTTCATTAATAAGAGATTCAGCTCTTCTACTGACCAGGGCAAAGGGTTTTTCATAAAACTAATCTGTAGCTATAACCCAGTAACTTTTTTACCTCTCAAGTGCTGTAAACAATTTATCACTTCAGAGTCTCTTATCAAAATTCAAGAATTCTAGGTTTCTTGACTGTGGAGAATTCCCTCAGACAGTAAGCCTGACAACAAATACCTCTATGGCTACAATGTGTCAGGGTAAAAATAATTGCATGTTCAGAACAAGCATCCTGGAAGCTTTCCACAGGGCTCATCCTGTTAAAGAAACTACTTTGACTGAGTTTTGAAAACCAGCACCTGATTGAAACAAGAAAAAGAATGTTCCCTTTTGGAGGTGCCTTTTTCTTTGCCTTTGGTCTATGAGCATTTTGTTCACTAAGAGCAATATACAATATTCAGATTTTCTGCTGGACCTGTTAATACACAGTTCATAAATTTTCCCAGTTCTCCAGGTTTTGTTTTCAAATTTAGTAAAAAGCTACTCTCACCCAACCATTTGATATTTTCAAATGTTGCTGTGAAATATCAGGGCTTGCATCTTGAATGACAAATCTCTCCGTTTTAATTCCTCTGCAACTGACATGCAGGATTTTGTCTCATCACCTCATATTTAAATCCATTCTTTGGACCTAATAAAGACCTATGGATGGATCAGGGCCACTGATAGGTCAGGAAGCATCTGGGATTTCTCTTGTTAAATTATCCTATCAGACCGTATATGCCTCCTTTAAGTTTCAGGGTCTATCAAACTGGATTCTATCTTTTCTGATTCTTTTCAATAGTTGAAAAGGTAAAGTGAATAAATAGGAAGGATTAGGAGGAGAATGGGATGGAGATAAAACAGAAGGTGCTTACAGAAAAGATATCTGAAGTGTCTTCTCCTCTCAGGTGTGGATGTAAATTGCAGGCAGAACAAGGCCAGGTAAGTAATTGAGGCAGGATAGTGGCCCAGGTACTCTTTGATAAGTAGCCACTTCCTGCCTGCCTGCCTATAGCTCTTAGTAAAAGATGTTTTGCTTTCACCTTGAAGAATGTGCTTATATAACATCTCTATGAATAATGAGCTGGACATGTGAGAAATCATCCATAGTAAGGGATATTCCAGAGCCACCAGGCTGTGATGGATGTAAAGGACCGATTCCCAACGATTGTCCTTTATGAAAACCTCATAAGCCTGCTTGTTTTTTGTTTTATTTGTTTTTGTCGTTGTTTGCCTGAGGTGTTCATTTTTAGGGGAGATTTTATCTGCTCAGAGATAGCAAAAGAGAAGCCCTTAGGTTCAGCTAAATCACATTTTCCATGTGTTTTAAAATTGTTAAGTCACAATGCTTTTAGTTGGAACATGTGCTCTCAAGTTAGTTACAGAACCCCCCACCCCCAACACACACACACCATTTCCTACCAGTATATACCAGCCACTCCTCACATTCCCATTACCTTCTTGGCCACTGAAAGCATTTGGGTTTCCCCTTCCTGCCTCAGTTAGGTCAAGGCACTCTTTTTCCAGGATCTAATGTTTTATATGAAACTATCTTATCCTAAATCCTCCAAAACCATTGATTCACGAATGATTCCTCCTTTTATGAGTGCATTCATTCAACACCATTGGGCTTGCTTTGTGCCAGGCAGACTCCGCTACATCCTTGAGAAGATACCAGTGTGTCTGAGACATTATCCTTTTTTGTAGAAGTTTATAATTTAGTATGGGAAGCAAATCATTTGTCTCCAGAATGAACATTTCATAATTGAAGGGTCATCATTGGATAAGGAGAGGGAAAGTGGGTAGAATTCGCTAAGAAGTGACTGGTGCCTGAAGAACCCGTGTGTATTGTTGAAATTTTAATTTGTTGTAGCTAATGGAACAACCGCATAATGAGACATGGCTTGACCTCACTCCTTCCCCATAGCCTCAATCAGTGACAGGTGAAAATTATAATTTAATTGAACATCGCATAGGAGGGTAGATTTCAGGATTTTATTTAACTTAATTTTCAGGATAAAACACCTTGAACTAAAATGCTGAAGGCTGAGCTGTATCTGAATATAAATTGCAGGTATTTCTTTTTCGTCTAGGTATCTTGGTCAGCACTACCCAATAGAAATAGAGTCATAAATGTAATTTTCAATTTCCTGGTAGCTACATTAAAAAAGTTAAAAGCAGCTTGGCGGGGTGGCTCATGCCTGTAATCCCGACACTTTGGGAGGCTGAGGCGGGTGGATCACCTGAGGTCAGGAGTTCAAGACCAGCCTGGCCAATATAGTGAAACCCCATCTCTACTAAGAATACAAAAAATTAGCCAGACATGGTGGCAGGCACCTGTAATCTCAGCTACTTGGGAGGCTGAGGCAGGAGAATCGCTTGAACCCAGGAGGTGGAGATTGCAGTGAGCAGAGATTGAGCCATTGCACTCCAGCCTGGGCAACAAGAGCGAAACTCTGCCTCAAAAAAAAAAAGTTAAAAGCACAAGTAAAATTAACTTTAACAATATATTTAATTTAACCTAATATATTCCAAAATTTATTTCAACATTAAATTCTATGACATGGTAATAAGGAGATATTTGCACTCTTTTTTGTACAAATTCTTTGAAATCTAGTGGGTATGTTACATTTAAAACACATTTTCATTTGGACTAGGCCCATTTCTAGTGTTCAATGCTACATGTGGCTAGCAGAGTTGTTCTAAATGCTCTTAGAGCGTCTGCAAATATCTTGGAGCATGCATATGTGTGAGGTAAGTAAAATGTTAGACCTAAATAACGTAGCTACTTTATCCATTTAATGTTCGGAGTTTTGGAAGTAACGTATTTGGTAGCTGATTGATATTTTTACTCAAGCAGAAAATGGTTTCTAGTGGTTCCATCTTAATCATGGCCATTTAATTCATCATAAACTTATTTCAAGAAGAGGTTGCCATTTGCACAGTTATAGCAAACTCTTAAGCTGAGAAGAAATTTGATTTTTCTTGATTACATATAAGCATGTAAAATTTAGTATGTGGACTTAAAGAAAACCTTTTGGTATGACAGAATACTGAAATAGATTTCATTTGATGAACTCTACCTTTGTGCAAAGATATTGAACTCCATTATAAAATTAGTCCCCATAAATTTCCTTTTTCTTTCTTATTGTTATGATTATCAAATGCTGATTCATAAACTAGATGTCATAAAGATTTATTTAAGTTTGAGGACAATATCTTCACAGCCAATGATGTGCTTTTCATTATTGAATTTTATTTTCCTGGTCATGTACCTTCTGCCTTTACTACTGTATTGTGTGCTTGTTTTTACCACTGCACACTGCCTGAGTGTTCTGTAACTCCCTTAAGGAGAACTGTATTTTGAAGAGTTCCTTAAGGCTGTTTATTAAGATGGCACTTTGTTTCTTTATTTGTGCTCCAGACACATAAATATTAATAAATCTATTCAGTCAGTCACATATTTTTAGACCTCAGATGTGTCAGACATGGTATCTTAACAAATTTATCTCTATCCCTATCTCCCTCTGATGCAATTTCACTTAGCCAACCTACTTAATGCAATTGCCTAAAGGGATTTCTACTAAGAAAAGAGTACCAAGGAGGGTACCAGATGTTTCACAATCAAGCTTACAGAACAGTTTCCTAGAAATGAGCATATGCAAAGCTATAGGAAGTGATTTAAAAGTGTTAACTCATGTAATCCATTTAACCTCATTAATAAGGTTTAATCTCATCACAACCTTGTGAGAGGAAGAGTATTATTTCCCCCATTTTTACATATTAGGAAACTGAGGGACAGAGATGCTAAGTAACTTGCTCCACAACTATAACTAGTAAGTAGAGTTGGGCCCAGCATTCTGGCCCCAGAGGCTGTGCTCTTAACAGCTGCCTCACACCCCCTTTCCACTGATACATGCAAGAAAATCCACATGATTCCCAGCATGATTTTTGCTGAGCCCTTCCAAGGAGGCTGAAAGGAACAGAGGATACATTACTGCATAGAACGCACAGGAAATATTTTATTAGTTTCCAGATGGAGCAAAGGATAGAGTACAAATATTTCAGTAGAGCTCCACAGCTCTCCTTAGGGAGCCCACTCTAGCATCAGTAGCCCCCCAGTCGAGGTAATGCCTGTAGTCCCCCGGCCTCAGCAGGTACTGTCCCCCCAGTAGTTGGGCAGCTCATAGAGGACCCAGGAGCCCTCCAGTACATTGAAGGAGTGGATCTCACTGAGGTGGAAGCGGTCGTGAAGAGAGGAGCAGTCCTGAGTGATCTCCACCATCTGGCCCCTATAATCCTCTCGCTCATAGATCCTGAGCCTGTGGGAACTGGCCTGGGGGTTCAGCAAACAGCAGATGAGGGAAAATCAGAAAACCTGACCTCATTTCAGCAGGCACCCCTGGGGAATGGACTTTAAAAAAATCTTTGCTGTATCAAAGGTGACCAAACTAAAAGAAAGAGACTGCTAATACCAGGGGCGCTATGTATAGTTGGGCATGTTGTCCACTGTGAAATTCAAGAGGGCGTCATTCCCCATTCTTTTGGTATGAATGATGCTCCCTAGGGCTTTTGGTACAATCTACATGAACAGACACACTGGTTCTGCTCAGGACCACTTTCAGGTATTTTATGTATTTGTTTCATTTTCTCCTTTATAGATTGTGGTGGTTTGGGGCTCTCCCTGTAGGACATACAAAATAATCAGATTTTAAACAAAAAGATAAATGTGTCCCTGGCAACAGGTATTATTTTGAATCTCAATAACATCAGAAGCTAGAGGGAGAGGAGGTTGAATTTCTTTTACCCAAGCAAGGCACAGATTGGTGGCAATTCAGGAAGAGAGTCCAGCCTGGGCAATCCGTTCATCTGTGCCTTTCTGCTTTAAGCCCTGCTGCTCTAACATGCTAAAAAGCAAGAGTCATCACAAAGACTAGGTTTCAGTTCTCAGCTCCAACATGTGCTCCTGCAAATCAGTTTTAGGTAATAACCAAAAATGGAAGTTCAAGATCTTGAAAGAGGCCTGTACAGCATCAAAGAGTATAAAATCTTTAGAAAAATGGAAAGTTAGGCTGTTTCTCCTGAGCTATTCCTGCCTTTCTCTCTTGAGCTGTTCTTCCTTCATCTGCTTGTTTCTTTCCCTTGTCGCAATATGTTTCCTCTTCCACCACTAAAACCCTCTTTAGGAGAGATTCTCAAAAGCAGTTCCTCTTGTGGTATGCACAGCTGCTAATAAGGTATTTTACATTGGTCAGCATTCCGTGTTTGCAAAGGACTGACATATTGCTTCATTTGTTCTTCACAACACCCTGGAACATGTGGAGCAACGTTAAAGCCTTTTCCCCTTTTACTAGAAAACTAAAGACTGGATCTTACAGTCTGTAATTAGAAGAGTTGGAACTTGAAATTAGAAATCTAAGTTTTTGGGCTCCAATGCCAGACTGGGTCCTTATCAAGCTGTTAAACCCTGTGAGGGCATTTCAGACTTCACAAAAGTGGTTCATTTTCCGGGACTCTGTCACAGTCAACTTAGGGAATCCCTAACTGTGAAATTCCAGGCTGCTGGGGCTTCATTTAGGTAACAGTGGGCCCTGCAGGAGCTATTGGAATCTCATTGTTGGTTACTGGTTTGCCCAATCAGAAGGCAGGACTTGAGAGACCCTTGATGTTCATAATAGTTAATACTCGGGGGTGGGGATTGGCCTGTGCCAGGTGCCCTCCTTTCAACCTCATTGCAACCTTAGAAAGGAACTATTGTTATTAGTCCTAATTCATAGGCGAAGAGTACCGAGCATAGGTACTCTTCAAGAAATAGCCAAGTACCTAGTTTAGGACCACCTGAGAGCAAGGAATTCTGTTGCTCATTCATCACCTGTGGCATAGACGCTCTGAGCTAATGCCATGCACAACTTATTCCCAGTAGAGGTGAATTTGACTTTAGCAAAATAAAATGACCAGTTAAAAGCACTGCATCACATACTTTTTCAGTGGGAGGAAACCTTACGGATGTTAATAAAGGAAAAGAGAATATAGTTAGAGCCAGAAAAAAGAAGCCTGCCATCCCATCCCGTCGCCTGTCATGTGAATCATCCATGTGGATCACTGATGCGACTGGAGGGCACGGAAGGGCCCGGGTGGGACTGCACTCACGTGGGGGATGAGGCGGCAGGAGCGGACCGAGTCGCTGAGGCCCATCCACTGCTGGTGGTCGGCATAGTCGCAGCGGCGCAGGAACTACTGGAGGCCCGAGTAGTTGGGCTGCTCATAGAGCATCCAGCAGCCGCTGTCCACGCGCGCCGAGTTGCAGCGGCTCAAGTAGGGCTGCAGACCGGTGTGGTCACTGCTGCATTCGTAGTGGCGGCCCTGGAAGCCCCGGTCCTCGTAGAGGGTGATCTGCAAGGCAAGGCGAGGCAAGGCCAGGGCTCACAGGCCTGCCCCTGCCCTGGTCTCCGGCCCCACCATGCAGGAAGCTGCCGGGGCCCTGGGCGTGGGCTGGGCTCCCCTTCCCCATGGCTGGCTGGGGCTGAGCTGGTGGGGCGGCATTGTCGGGTGTTGTCATTGTTTGAAGATGAATTAAGGGATGATTGGTTTATTTTTAAAAATCATTGATGACTAATACAGTTATTCATGATGCTTTTTAAATTTCAACTTTACTTTTAATCTAATGTATATAGATTTGTGTGGAACGGATCCCTAAGTAAAACTTTCCATTAAGACTGAAAATAAATAGCATGTCTGTCTATATATGTATACATATAGACAGATATATATATATATATAAATATGTAATATATATTAGTTATGTATAATATATAATACATATATTAAGAAATCATGGAAAAGATTTTTTCTTTTTTTTGTATGAGCAAAAGAAGATAAATAGTATAAAATACATTAGGCACAAATCTTAGTAGGAATATTATTTTAAAATCTATATTTATCCTCTCCTCCCCAAAAGCTCTACTAAAGCACTTAAGCTTTTCCTCTAAGCTCTGGGGGTAGAGGGGTGGGACCCAAAAATAGTCATAGAAAATAATGCAAAGTAAGATGAGGAATTCAACTGCTGTCAAATAAAGAATGCATTGCTAAGTATGTTGGTGAAGAAAATGAAATACTTGAATCACCAGGGTCTCAAAAGTACTTTCTCCTAAAGGCTCGTAGCATGTTTACCCAAAGAGATTTGGAAAAACCTACTTCTTCCAGCTGCTTTATTATTTGAACCATTTGATCAATATTGAAACTATTCCCAAGACAAAATTCAAGTAATGAATTTCCTAATAAGTGGATTTCTTCCTGAAGTATGTTTTTAAGCCATTCTGAGGATAAAATATTTAAAGCCATTATCTTCCCCCTCTAAGTTATATGAACTCAGTAATTGAGTTTGTCTCAGTAAAAGGCAGTTGCAATTTCCTAACACTGATCATAGAAAAGTACCAAGGTTCTCAAAAGAGAACTAAAATTATAAAATTAAAAACATTGGTTTCTAAAAACACTGTAATAGAGTATTTGTAATATATTTAAAATATTTGGTCTGTGAGTTTTTAAATATAATGTATAATATGCATTTACGTATAACCTTATGATAATAATTCACAAAATTCTACTGGCATCCTTTTATACAAAGTGAAGATGTTCAGTTTAGAGATCTCAGAGATTTTAGAGGTCATCTTTATCATAAATTTCTATTTGTCACCAAAGAAAGAAAAACAGATATCAGATAGCAATTGCAAAAATAGACTGGCTTTATGTTTATTCTAATTTTAAAAACTGTAAATTAGGATACAAAAAAGTACGTCAGACTTGCTGTTGCATTCCCAAATTACCATTTAAAGGATAAAGCAACTGTTTGCTCAGATGTAAATTACCTTCACTATATTTGCTCCTTAGAGAAATTTCTTTCAAACGCCTATCTTAGGAAGTATTGAGATAATTAAACCACCTTTTCTTAGAAAGCAAGGATGTAACACAGCTGCTTTGAATAAAATAATTGAATATTTCTTTCCACAGTCTTACTCTAGTTAATATCTAATTTCTAAAATTCTTCTCAAACACTGTCTTCTTCTTATTGTTCTTTTTTAAAACAGCTTTATTGAAGTATTATTGACATATACAAAGAAATGTATATATTTAATGAGAATTTGATGAGTTTGGACATACACAAACACCCATAATACCATCACTACAATCAAGGTAACAGACATATCCAATACTTCCCAAAGTTTCCTCATGCCCCTCCTTTTTTATTTTGTTTTATTTTCATGTCAAGAACACTTAACACAGTATCTTTACTTTTTTTTTTCAATGCACAATACCATATTATTAACTACAGGCACTGTGTTGTACAGTGGATCCCAAAAACTTACTCATCTTGTGTAACTGAATCGTTATATTGATTGAACAACTCCTCACTTCCTTCACCTCCAAGCCCCTGGAAACTGCTATTGTATTCTGTTTCTGTGAGTTTGACTATTAAAGATACCTCATAAAAGTGGTTTCATGAAGTATTTGTTCAGAAACTGGCTTATTTCACTTAACATAATGTTCTCCAGCTTCATGCATGTTGTCACCAGTGGCAGGATTTTCTTTTCTTTCTTTCTTTTTTTTTTTTTTTGAGGCTGAATTATAGTCTGTTGTATGTATATATATATACCACATTTTCTTCATTCTTCATCTGTGGAATGACACAAATTGTTTCCATATCTTGGTTATTGTGAATAATGCTACAGTGAACCTGGGGGTGCATTTTCTTTTCAAGATCCTGATTTCAATTATTTGAGATAAATACCGTAAGAGAGATTGCTACATTATCTGGTAGTTCTATTTTTAATTTTGTGAGGAAACTCCATACTATTTTTCATATCTACTGCACCATTTCACATTCCCACCAACAGTGTATAATAATTCCAAATTTTCCACATCCTTACCAACACTTATCTTGTATTTTTTTGGTAACTACCGTCCCGTCCTAACAAATGTGAGATGATATCTCATTGTAGTTTTGATTTGCATTTCTCTGAGAATTAGTGATGTTTAACAAGTTTTCATTTACCTGTTGGTCATCTATATGCCTTCTGTAAAGAAGCATCTGTTCAAATCCTTTTCCCACTTTTCCCCTGTGTTATTTGAATGCCAGACATTGTGAATTTTACAGTTTGACGGGTGCAGGGTTTTTTTTTTTCTTCAGTCATTCTAAATAGTGACTTACTTAATTTTGTTGTACAGTTATGTTACATGATTCAGTTAGATCAGTTAGAACCTTTAAATGTTCTTTTATGCTTTTGGAATACTATACCCAATGCTGTGTGTGTTTGAGGCCTCTTTGCTCTGGCTGGTGGGAACAGGAATGATAGCGATAGCTAACCCTGTGTGAGCTCTGGGAATCTTGTTAGCCCCATCTTACAAAGTTCCTAAATAGAAATCTGAAGGATTAGTAGAAGTTGATGACAAAGAGAGTCACAGTAGGTCTAGATTATTAATGGGAACAGGGAGAGAACACAGCAAATGGAAGACATGCTCATGAGTGGATCACAATCACAGGCAAGATGCAATTGTGCTATTGCCATGTAAGCATCTCAGAGCACGAGTATGGTACCTAGCTGTCTCTCCCAGTTCTGACACTAACTAGCAGACAGTTTTGGAATAAACCTTCAGACCTGTTTCCTCTGGAGAATACATGTTGGACTCCTGCTAATTTATGAGCTTTACCTAAAGACTCTGCCTGAGTAACCTGGAGAAAGAAACTGCACAGAACCTATTGATGACTCATCTTATGGAGAGTCAGTAACAACTATCAGTTGATTTCCATTTTATAGATGATATTTGGCATTCTAGGTATTATTCAGATTACAGATTATTCTAGGTATTATTTCACAGGAAAGTACTGCCAACAATTCAGATGAAGGAAGAATGTTGAACAGCAGAGCTTCTGTACTCAGCCAAGTAGTAGATTTTCAAATATAAGATTAAATAAATTATTTTAAGCAAAAGGACAAAGACAAATTCCTCAGATTAGACTAAAAGGAATATTCATGGCTTACCTTCATATAAACTAGGGCATTGAAATTTAAAGAGATTATTTAAAATAAGAAGGAAATACAGATGAGGTCAAGTTCTCATCCTTGTCTTTCCTCCTTCACTTACACATCTAGGTTAATCCCTTCATGAGGAAATTTAAACCTTTTGTATGTAAGTTCATTCTGCCCTCTTTTAGCATCTCCTCCTTGCTTTTAGATCTGTCTGCTCAGATTTAATTTGAGGTGAGTTTCTAAATTATTATTCTAAGTTTAAGAGAACTAGAATTCTGAATCAACTGCTATTTCACCCAGAAGCCGCAGGTACAGTCAGTTTCCTGGAGGACTGTGATACCACAAGATGAATTGTTCATGTGTGACTACAGCAAAAGATCTGGAACGATTCTTAACAAATTAATAGTAAATTAGGAACAAGTTCAAACCTGAGGCATTCTGTTGCTTTGACTATTCCAGGGTGTTTCATTCGTTGAGTAATTACAAAGGCAGATTACTGAACCAATTCATAAAATGAAGACTAGCCTTCCAGAAACTATATTCTCTTCTCATGGAATTTTAAAATGAGGTTTCTTTCATTAATATTCTTCACCTCTTTTACCCCAAAAGATAATCAAGTAAAAAAACCTTACATAGTGTCAAAGGATATATTAGCCCAAAGAAAAGAAAATACATTAATGTCAAATATTTTCTTATGCGTAATTCCCTGTTACTACAAATAAAAAAGGCCCAAGAGACCAAACTATGTATTTCCAAACAAACAAAACAAACAAAAGCAGTGATCTAAGACTGGAGATGTTAAAACTGTATTCCCAAGACTATATAGATTGACTGTGAAATTATTTTTCCAAGAAATAAATCTGGGACAACTAAAGATCAATGGTTTTCTAACATGTAGGAGAGGAGAGGATATACATTATTCAGTACTGTTTTCATATATTTTATAAAAATTTTATATAGTGTTTTGATAACAAATTTTTGGGGTTTCTATTAAAGCATTTAGAGTATTCTAATACATCCTCTTCCTTTCCTGCATGGTGCTGGTGAACATCTGGTCCCATTCTTTTCTTCTGTATTTCCACACAGACTATAAACCTTTCATTATACATTCTTTCTGTCAATGTGTATTTATCTCACCAATTCTGTTCAGTACCTTTGCTCTTTTTGCTTGACCTGGGATATATTCCACTTTGTTTAGTGGACTTGTTACAAAACTCTAGTGAAGTAACATTCCTGCCCAGCTCACCAGCAGTAGTGGAGAAAATAAAAATCATTTATCTGCATTTCAATTTCATTCAACTCAGGTCAATTCAGTGGGCATATTTAAACACTTATCATGTGCTCATCATTATGTTAATATAGAGCAGTCACACATCAAAGATACTTATTAGGTACAGTGCTTTGTATTATTTCATTTATTCTCGCAAAACTTCACCATTTCTTTTCTCCCTTTTATAGGTGAGAAGACTAAGGCATCACTGTATCATGTTGCTTTATGTAGTTATGAGAATTAGATGAGCAAATAATGTAGCAAATTGCCTACCTTGTAAGTTTTTAATAAATATTTTCTCCCACTATGTTTTTTATAGATATCCAACTGAATGACCAGGCAGAAAATTCAGAGAACTGTCATCCATGATTTTAGTAAATAATAAATATAGACACTACTGCCTGAAGAGCATCAGGCAGAGGAGAGACAGAGGCTCCCATTATAAGTGGAGCTTGCTACACTAAGTGTCTTTACCCAGCAAACCCAGTGTTCTAGAGTATGATTTTCATTTGTTACTGTGGGAAGTTGCAAGTGAATTCAGAATCTTCTGGTTGGAGACATTGCAAGTTCCTTTAGTGCCTCAATCTCATGCTCCTTTGGAAGATTGCACATACCCTACTTTAGGGAGCTGATTTTTCCTTTTTTAAAAACTCTCTTGTGAAGAATTCTCTACCTCCCTTAGCAAAATATGTGGTGTCTTGTTATACTTTAGGTCAGGAAACACTTCCTTGAAACCCAAACTCATCTCTTCTGTGTTTAGTAGAAAAGCAGCATGATAATATATGGAATTTCTTTACTAGAAGGGACTTTGGAAATCATTTGGATGAACATTATGATTTTGCAGATGAGGTCAAACAATTGTGTCAGAATCCAGATTAGAACTTAATTTCCTTTATTTTTAGTTCAACATTCTTTCTACTCTGCCATTCTGTCTCCTTATGGCTAAACAGAGTGTCATAGCTTTCAATCCACTTCCATTCACTGTATGAAAGCTGGCACATTTGTATGTCTGCCATAGAAGTTTCAATAAGTTCCCATAATACTCAATATTACTACCACTCCACAATGTTATTGTTGTTTAGAAATCATAGGTAAATGAACCTCACTGACATAGGTTTGCATAAATTTACAAAACTAAAAATGGTTTCTTAAAGGAAAAGGAGCCCATTAGTAGCTTGATTAAGTCAGTCCATTAATCCTATAGATGTTCAGCTCCACACAAGAGACCACATGAAACTTCATGATTATCTCAGGAATTTTATTATTCATATTTCTGATCCAGAAAACAATTATTGAATCTTCAGTTGGTGCCCCAGAACCAAAAAAAAAGTTCACTGGAAGAAGAAAATAAACACAGCCTTATTGAGTATTATTAAAAAGAGGTGAAAGTCTCTCAGGCAGAAGAAAAAGACTGGTGGAATTGATCCATAACACGGAGAGATCAGAGGGCAAATGATTCACACCTGAATAGGCATGGAAAGCAAAATTCCAAAGGAGAAGAGAAATTTGAGCAATAGAAAAGAATATTTAAAGGCTATCGGGACAAGCCAATACTAGCTATACATCTGGATGAGGAGTAAATCACAGATTTCGATGTCTTCTTTATGCTTTTGTTTTCCAAATGAATCCATGTTAAATTTATAATTTTTAAAAACCTTGACCATATGCACACATGTGGTTTTGTCAGTTTTTTGTTGGATGAGAAATAAACAGAGATAGGAATACTCTCTAAAGATAATGTTCAGAACAAAAAACATACAATTAACTTATTAAATTGAAAAAAAGAGTTTCTAGAAAGCTGGCTGGAAATAGGGCTATCCCTGTGAGGTAAAGAAAAGGAGCCTATGGATGGTGCTTAACACTAACTTAAATTACTTCCAAACCACCATTTTCATTTAATTAATTGTTATTTCATTCAGGACCCAGTAGGTAGTTTCCAACTTTTTACTGCAGTGAACAATTCTACAGTGAGTATCCTTGTGAGCAGAACCTTCCTTCCAGGATGTTAACACCACTTCTACCATCTGCATTCCTGACCAGAAAAGTTCAGCTTATTTCTATCTTACTTTTCTTCCCTTAGACGTGTCTTTGGTTTGAGAATGTGACTTTGACATTTCCCAGGCTTTAGAGTTTCTACAGTAAAATCTTAAGGAGAGCAGCAGGAACATTGCTAATGGGATTTAAAGCATGAGAAAAACAATCACAAATTTCCGCTCCCTGAGGTGAACGCTTTGCATTTTAGGATGGGCTCTTTTAAAGGTATTCAATTAGGAAAAGAGGAAGTCAAATTGTTCCTGTTTGCAGATGACATGATTGTATATTTAGAAAACCCCATCCTCTCAGCCCCAAATCTCCTTAAGATGATAAGCAACTTCAGCAAAGTCTCAGGATACAAAATCAATGTACAAAAATCACAAGCATTCTTATACACCAATAACAGACAAACAGAGAGCCAAATCATGAGTGAACTCCCATTCACAATTGCTTCAAAGAGAATAAAATACCTAGGAATCCAACTTACAAGGGATGTGAAGGACCTCTTCAAGGAGAACTACAAACCGCTGCTCAATGAAGTAAAAGAGGACACAAACAAACGGAAGAACATTCCATGCTCATGGATAGGAAGAATCAATATCATGAAAATGGCCATACTGCCCAAGGTAATTTATAGATTCACTGCCATCCCCATAAAGCTACCAATGACTTCCTTCACAGAATTGGAAAAAACTACTTTAAAGTTCATATGGAACCAAAAAAGAGCCCGCATTGCCAAGACAATCCTAAGTCAAAAGAACAAAGCTGGAGGCATCATGCTACCTGACTTCAAACTATACTACAAGGCTACAGTAACCAAAACAGCATGGTACTGGTACCAAAACAGAGATATAGACCAATGGAACAGATAGAGCCCCCGGAAATAATACCACACATCTACAACCACCTGATCTTTGACAAACCCAACAAAAACAAGAAATGGGAAAGGATTCCCTATTTAATAAATGGTGCTGGGAAAACTGGCTAGCCACATGTACAAAGCTGAAACTGGATCCCTTCCTTACATCTTATATAAAAATTAATTCAAAATGGATTAAAGACTTAACTGTTAGACCTAAAACCATAAAAACCCTAGAAGAAAACCTAGGCAATACCATTCAGGACATGGGCATGGGCAAGGACTTCATGTCTAAAACACCAAAAGCAATGGCAACATAAGCCAAAATAGACAAATGGGATCTAATTAAACTAAAGAGCTTCTGCACAGCAAAAGAAACTACCATCAGAGTGAACAGGCAACCTACAGAATGGGAGAAAATTTTTGCAATCTACTCATCTGACAAAGGGCTAATATCCAGAATCTACAAAGAACTCAAACAAATTTACAAGAAAAAAAAATCCCATCAAAAAGTGGGCGAAGGATATGAACAGACACTTCTCAAAAGAAGACATTTATGCAGCCAAAAGACACATGAAAAAATGCTCATCATCACTGGCCATCAGAGAAATGCAAATCAAAACCACAATGAGATACCATCTCACACCAGTTAGAATGGCAATCATTAAAAAGTCAGGAAACAACAGGTGCTGGAGAGGATGTGGAGAAATAGGAACACTTTGACACTGTTGGTGGGACTGTAAACTAGTTCAACCATTGTGGAAGACAGTGTGGTGATTTCTCAAGGATCTAGAACTAGAAATACCATTTGACCCAGCCATCGCATTACTGGGTGTATACCCAAAGGATTATAAATCATGCTGCTATAAAGACACATGCACACATATGTTCATTGTGGCACTATTCACAATAGCAAAGACTTGGTACCAACCCAAATGTCCAACAATGATAGACTGGGTTAAGAAAATGTGGCACATATACACCATGGAATACTATGCAGCCATAAAAAATGATGAGTTCATGTCCTTTGTAGGGACATGGATGAAGCTGGAAACCATCATTCTCAGCAACCTATTGCAAGGACAAAAAAGCAAACATCGCATGTTCTCACTCACAGGTGGGAATTGCACAATGAGAACACTTGGACAGAGGAGGGGGAACATCACACACTGGGGACTGTCGTTGGGTGGGGTAATGGGGGAAGAATAGCATTAGGAGATATATCTAATGTAAATGATGAGTTAATGGGTGCAGCACACCAACATGGCACATGTATACATATGTAACACACCTGCACGTTGTGCACATGTATCCTAGAACTTAAAGTATAATAATAAAAAAAAGTGATAGAAATAAAAAAAATTATGTATAAAGAAGACAACAACAACAACAAAAAAAGAAAGAAAGAAAGCAGTACCATTGCATGTGTTCCTTTAGGAGATTATTGAGATTTTTGAGTGTGGCATTCTACAAATGTTGGATTGGGGTTTGATTCACTTCTTATATGGAAAGGCAGGGTCAAACCTTTCATTAAGAGTCTGTTAACAGGTTTATAAACCTGATTGGATAATTCCATTAGGTATGTAATACCAAATAATGTTACTATAATATATCACAGCATAATGGAAGAGCTGGAAATAGGACTTGACTGCACTCCTATGAGGATGATAAATGCATCAGTAGTCCTGTAGTCTACTTGTCACTCGTTTACTTTCTTAGAAACAGCAACTCATGTGATGCCAAAAAATCCACCAGAGAAAAAAGAATGGGGAGAACCCAGAAGGCACAGGGGTAGACCCTCCTAGCTATTTTCAACACCGACGTTAGGGCCGAGAGATAATGTAAGACACTGAAAAAGAGTGCTTTGAAGCAAAATCCATTCTTTTATACTTAGTCCATGTGTCTCTCCCTTAGTCTCTGACATCAGATACTTGTTATTGAGAAATAGAATACTATTTGTTGATGTTTGAAAGGAAGTTTGTGTAAACTGAAAAAAAAGTTGTCATATTTATTTCCATGTGTAAACTTGGTAAAATAATAGTTCACAACTACTGAAAAACCTACAGTATGCCAGGCCCTGTGCTAAGCCTCTTACAGGGATTGCCTGTATTAATACTCTGAGCAAGCTTATGTGGCAAGTGCTTTATTGCTCCCCATTTTACAGCTGAGAAAAGGAGGCACAGTCATATTAAATAACTTCCTCCAGATCACACAGCTAGCAAGCCATAGAATACAAACAAAATGGGGAATTGCAACTGTAACCCAAGGTTTTAGCTTGTTCACCACAGTAGCAAGTGGATACTTTACTCATAAATAAATGACTCAATCTATTAGTTTAAGTAAAAATTCTATAAAACACTATATATATCGTACAAAGTAAAAATATATTGCATTGATGTATTTTAACTATACAGTGATAAGGATAAAATATTTTCTGCTTTTAATAAAACAGACACTTCTAGAATTAAAGGCATCATCATAAAGCCTTTGAGTACTACAGTTTCATAAACTGTAAAACAGATTATAACAGTGTGTCAAAGAATTGTTAACAAAATAGATTATAGATAGGATGCATTTGAACACAAGTAGTACAAAGCTAAATATAACTTGTGTAAATAATAAGGACATTCATATTTAGATAAATACATGGCAGTCTAGAAAAAGGGTACCCTTGGGAAAATGCCATGCTCTGATTGGCATTAGCCTAGGCTTTGAGGCCTGGGGGAATGAAAGTACTATGGAATTGGTCTAGAGATGAGAATTACTTTCTTTTAAGTCATGTGAGCTTTATTAAAGACAGGTAGATACCTGAGCCCCATCATTGCTTTGTTAAGAAAGAGGGAGGTTGAATAGCTGCTGCCTTATGTCCATTACATGTTATTATGTCCATTAGAAGTCAAAAGAGATAACAACCATGCATGGATGTTTTAGAAAGCCTAGGTAAATTTTATTTTATTTTATTTTTTTCATGAATTAAATGATATTTATTTATTTATTTATTTTTTTAAATTTTTTTTTATTATACTTTAAGTTTTAGGGTACGTGTGCACATTGTGCAGGTTAGTTAGATATGTATACATGTGCCATGCTGGTGCGCTGCACCCACTAACTCGTCATCTAGCATTAGGTATATCTCCCAGTGCTATCCCTCCCCCCTCCCCACACCCCACCACAGTCCCCAGAGTGTGATATTCCCCTTCCTGTGTCCACGTGATCTCATTGTTCAATTCCCACCTATGAGTGAGAATATGCGGGGTTTGGTTTTTTGTTCTTGCGATAGTTTACTGAGAATGATGATTTCCAATTTCATCCATGTCCCTACAAAGGACATGAACTCATCATTTTTTATGGCTGCATAGTATTCCATGGTGTATATGTGCCACATTTTCTTAATTCAGTCTATCATTGTTGGACATTTGGGTTGGTTCCAAGTCTTTGCTATTGTGTATAATGCCGCAATAAACATACGTGTGCATGTATCTTTATAGCAGCAAGATATATAATCCTTTGGGTATATACCCAGTAATGGGATGGCTGGGTCAAATGGTATTTCTAGTTCTAGATCCTTGAGGAATCGCCACACTGACTTCCACAATGGTTGAACTAGTTTACAGTCCCACCAACAGTGTCAAAGTGTTCCTATTTCTCCACATCCTCTCCAGCACCTGTTGTTTCCTGACTTTTTAATGATTGCCATTCTAACTGGTTTGAGATAGTATCTCATTGTGGTTTTGATTTGCATTTCTCTGATGGCCAGTGATGATGAACATTTTTTCATGTGTTTTTTGGCTGCATAAATGTCTTCTTTTGAGAAGTGTCTGTTCATATCCTTCACCCACTTTTTGATGGGGTTGTTTGTTTTTTTCTTGTAAATGTGTTTGAGTTCATTGTAGATTCTGGATATTAGCCCTTTGTCAGATGAGTAGGTTGTGAAAATTTTCTCCCATTTTGTAGGTTGCCTGTTCACTCTGATGGTAGTTTCTTTTGCTGTGCAGAAGCTCTTTAGTTTAATTAGATCCCATTTGTCAATTTTGTCTTTTGTTGCCATTGCTTTTGGTGTTTTGGACATGAAGTCCTTGCCCATGCCTATGTCCTGAATGGTGATGCCTAGGTTTTCTTCTAGGGTTTTTATGGTTTTAGGTCTAACGTTTAAGTCTTTAATCCATCTTGAATTGATTTTTGTATAAGGTGTAAGGAAGGGATCCAGTTTCAGCTTTCTACATATGGCTAGCCAGTTTTCCCAGCACCATTTATTAAATAGGGAATCCTTTCCCCACTGCTTGTTTTTCTCAGGTTTGTCAAAGATCAGATAGTTGTAGATGTGCAGCGTTATTTCTGAGGGCTCTGTTCTGTTCCATTGATCTATATCTCTGTTTTGGTACCAGTACCATGCTGTTTTGGTGACTGTAGCCTTGTAGTATAGTTTGAAGTCACGTAGTGTGATGCCTCCAGCTTTGTTCTTTTGGCTTAGGGTTGCCTTGGCGATGCGGGCTCTTTTTTGGTTCCATATGAACTTTAAAGTAGTTTTTTCCAATTCTGTGAAGAAAGGCATTGGTAGCTTGATGGGGATGGCATTGAATCTGTAAATTACCTTGGGCAGTATGGCCATTTTCACGATATTGATTCTTCCTAGCCATGAGCATGGAATGTTCTTCCATTTGTTTGTATCCTCTTTTATTTCCTTGAGCAGTGGTTTGTAGTTCTCCTTGAAGAGGTCCTTCACATCCCTTGTAAGTTGGATTCCTAGGTATTTTATTCTCTTTGAAGCAATTGTGAATGGGAGTTCACTCATGATTTGGCTCTCTGTTTGTCTGTTATTGGTGTATAAGAATGCTTGTGATTTTTGTACATTGATTTTGTATCCTGAGACTTTGCTGAAGTTGCTTATCAGCTTAAGGAGATTTTGGGCTGAGACAATGGGGTTTTCTAGATATATAATCATGTCGTCTGCAAACAGGAACAATTTGACTTCCTCTTTTCCTAATTGAATACCCTTTATTTCCTTCTCCTGCCTAATTGCCCTGGCCAGAACTTCCAACACTATGTTGAATAGGAGTGGTGAGAGAGGGCATCCCTGCCTTGTGCCAGTTTTCAAAGGGAATGCTTCCAGTTTTTGCCCATTCAGTATGATATTGGCTGTGGGTTTGTCATAGATAGCTCTTATTATTTTGAAATACGTCCCATCCATACCTAATTTATTGAGAGTTTTTAGCATGAAGGGTTGTTGAATTTTGTCAAAGGCCTTTTCTGCATCTATTGAGATAATCATGTGGTTTTTGTCTTTGGCTCTGTTTATATGCTGGATTACATTTATTGATTTGCGTATATTGAACCAGCCTTGCATCCCAGGGATGAAGCCCACTTGATCATGGTGGATAAGCTTTTTGATGTGCTGCTGGATTCGTTTTGCCAGTATTTTATTGAGGATTTTTGCATCAATGTTCATCAAGGATATTGGTCTAAAATTCTCTTTTCTGGTTGTGTCTCTGCCCGGCTTTGGTATCAGAATGATGCTGGCCTCATAAAATGAGTTAGGGAGGATTCCCTCTTTTTCTATTGATTGGAATAGTTTCAGAAGGAATGGTACCAGTTCTTCCTTTTACCTCTGATAGAATTCGGCTGTGAATCCATCTGGTCCTGGACTCTTTTTGGTTGGTAAACTATTGATTATTGCCACAATTTCAGCTCCTGTTATTGGTCTAGTCAGAGATTCAACTTCTTCCTGGTTTAGTCTTGGGAGAGTGTATGTGTCGAGGAATTTATCCATTTCTTCTGGATTTTCTAGTTTATTTGCATAGAGGTGTTTGTAGTATTCTCTGATGGTAGTTTGTATTTCTGTGGGATCGGTGGTGATATCCCCTTTATCATTTTTTATAGTGTCTATTTGATTCTTCTCTCTTTTTTTCTTTATTAGTCTTGCTAGCGGTCTATCAATTTTGTTGATCCTTTCAAAAACCCAGCTCCTGGATTCATTAATTTTTTGAAGGGATTTTCGTGTCTCTATTTCCTTCAGTTCTGCTCTGATTTTAGTTATTTCTTGCCTTCTGCTAGCTTTTGAATGTGTTTGCTCTTGCTTTTCTAGTTCTTTTAATTGTGATGTTAGGGTGTCAATTTTGGATCTTTCCTGCTTTCTCTTGTGGGCATTTAGTGCTATAAATTTCCCTCTACACACTGCTTTGAATGCGTCCCAGAGATTCTGGTATGTTGTGTCTTTGTTCTCGTTGGTTTCAAAGAACATCTTTATTTCTGCCTTCATTTCGTTATGTACCCAGTAGTCATTCAGGAGCAGGTTGTTCAGTTTCCATGTAGTTGAGCAGTTTTGAGTGAGATTCTTAATCCTGAGTTCTAGTTTGATTGCACTGTGGTCCGAGAGATAGTTTGTTATAATTTCTGTTCTTTTACATTTGCTGAGGAGAGCTTTACTTCCAAGTATGTGGTCAATTTTGGAATAGGTGTGGTGTGGTGCTGAAAAAAATGTATATTCTGTTGATTTGGGGTGGAGAGTTCTTTAGATGTCTATTAGGTCCGCTTGGTGCAGAGCTGAGTTCAATTCCTGGGTATCCTTGTTGACTTTCTGTCGCGTTGATCTGTCTAATGTTGACAGTGGGGTGTTAAATTCTCCCATTATTAATGTGTGGGAGTCTAAGTCTCTTTGTAGGTCACTCAGGACTTGCTTTATGAATCTGGGTGCTCCTGTATTGGGTGCATATATATTTAGGATAGTTAGCTCTTCTTGTTGAATTGATCCCTTTACCATTATGTAATGGCCTTCTTTGTCTCTTTTGATCTTTATTGGTTTAAAGTCTGTTTTATCAGAGACTAGGATTGCAACCCCTGCCTTTTTTTGTTTTCCATTTGCTTGGTAGATCTTCCTCCATCCTTTTATTTTGAGCCTATGTGTGTCTCTGTACGTCAGATGGGTTTCCTGAATACAGCACACTGATGGGTCTTGACTCTTTATCCAATTTGCCAGTCTGTGTCTTTTAATTGGAGCATTTAGTCCATTTACATTGAAAGTTAATATTGTTATGTGTGAATTTGATCCTGTCATGATGATGTTAGCTGGTGATTTTGCCGTTAGTTGATGCAGTTTCTTCCTAGTCTCGATGGTCTTTACATTTTGGCATGATTTTGCAGCGGCTGGTACCGGTTATTCCTTTCCATGTTTAGCGCTTCCTTCAGGAGCTCTTTTAGGGCAGGCCTGGTGGTGACAAAATCTCTCAGCATTTGCTTGTCTGTAAAGTATTTTATTTCTCCTTCACTTATGAAGCTTAGTTTGGCTGGATATGAAATTCTGGGTTGACAATTCTTTTCTTTAAGAATGTTGAATATTGGCCCCCACTCTCTTCTGGCTTGTAGGGTTTCTGCCGAGAGATCCGCTGTTAGTCTGATGGGCTTCCCTTTGAGGGTAACCCGACCTTTCTCTCTGGCTGCCCTTAACATTTTTTCCTTCATTTCAACTTTGGTGAATCTGACAATTATGTGTCGTGGAGTTGCTCTTCTCGAGGAGTATCTTTGTGGTGTTCTCTGTATTTCCTGATTCTGAACGTTGGCCTGCCTTGCTAGATTGGGGAAGTTCTCCTGGATAATATCCTGCAGAGTGTTTTCCAACTTGGTTCCATTCTCCCCGTTAGTTTCAGGTACACCAATCAGACGTAGATTTGGTCTTTTCACATAGTCCCATATTTCTTGGAGGCTTTGCTCATTTCTTTTTATTCTTTTTTCTCTAAACTTCCCTTCTCACTTCATTTCATTCATTTCATCTTCCATCACTGACACCCTTTCTTCCAGTTGATCGCATCGGCTCCTGAGGCTTCTGCATTCTTCACATAGTTCTCAAGCCTTGGTTTTCAGCTCCATCAGCTCCTTTAAGCACTTCTCTGTATTGGTTATTCTAGTTATACATTCTTCTAAATTTTTTTCAAGGTTTTCAACTTCTTTGCCTTTGGTTTGAATGTCCTCCCGTAGCTCAGAGTAATTTGATCCTCTGAAGCCTTCTTCTCTCAGCTGGTCAAAGTCGTTCTCCATCCAGCTTTGTTCCATTGCTGGTGAGGAGCTGCGTTCCTTTGGAGGAGGAGAGGCGCTCTGCTTTTTAGTTTCTAGTTTTTCTGTTCTGTTTTTTCCCCATCTTTGTGGTTTTATCTACTTTTGGTCTTTGATGATGGTGATGTACAGATGGGTTTTTGGTGTGGATGTCCTTTCTGTTTGTTAGTTTTCCTTCTAACAGACAGGACCGTCAGCTGCAGGTCTGTTGGAGTACCCTGCCGTGTGAGGTGTCAGTGTGCCCCTGCTGGGGGGTGCCTCCCAGTTAGGCTGCTCGGGGGTCAGGGGTCAGGGACCCACTTGAGGAGGCAGTCTGCCCGTTCTCAGATCTCCAGCTGCGTGCTGGTAGAACCACTGCTCTCTTCAAAGCTGTCAGACAGGGACATTTAAGTCTGCAGAGGTTACTGCTGTCTTCTTGTTTGTCTGTGCCCTGCCCCCAGAGGTGGAGCCTACAGAGGCAGGCAGGCCTCCTTGAGCTGTGGTGGGCTCCACCGAGTTGGAGCTTCCAGGCTGCTTTGTTTACCTAAGCAAGCCTGGGCAATGGTGGGCGCCCCTCCCCCAGCCTCGCTGCCGCCTTGCAGTTTGATCTCAGACTGCTGTGCTAGCAATCAGCGAGACTCCGTGGGCGTAGGACCCTCCGAGCCAGGTGCGGGATATAATCTCGTGGTGCGCCGTTTTTTAACCCGGTCCGAAAAGCGCAATATTCTGGTGGGAGTGACCCGATTTTCCAGGTGCGTCCGTCACCCCTTTCTTTGACTCAGAAAGGGAACTCCCTGACCCCTTGCGCTTCCCAAGTGAGGCAATGCCTCGTCCTGCTTTGGCTCGTGCATGGTGCGTGCACCCACTGACCTGCGCCCACTGTCTGGCACTCCCTAGTGAGATGAACCCAGTACCTCAGATGGAAATGCAGAAAGCACCCGTCTTCTGGGTCGCTCACACTGGGAGCTGTAGACAGGAGCTGTTCCTATTCGGCCATCTGGGCTCCTCCCCCTAGAAAGCCTAGGTAAATTTTAATTTAACTCTTTCTTGAGCCATTTCTTGTTGATAGTTCAATTAATATATGAAATAATATCATTTTAAAAGCATACTTTTACATTTAAATCTTTTAAATGTCAACCTCCCATACTATGACAGTTACTTAATGTTTGGTTGCCTTTTCCATCCAGAATTGCTTTTTATTTATTTGGTTCATGTGAAAACATTGTACAAATTATAACCTATATTTATTAAATGGAAAGTACGAAAGTAGAAATTATGAATTTTTTTCTCCAAAGTTATTTATCCTTGTCAAGCTTTATTGAAAATCTAATAAGAATTAAGAATAGGGTAAAACAAAGTTATCTAAAAGACACATGGACCAAATACTATGAAGGTAAACCTTCGGATCTCCTAAAGCTGTACAAAATATTTCTGATTATGGTGCAGGAGAGATGAAATCAACTTAAATATATTATATTTTACTTTTGATTTAGTTCTTGGTTTTTCTTGAAAAACTAAGAAAATATTATCCATGAAAATTTCAAAAGTTATTTTTGCGAACTGTGAAAAGCAGAAAAGTACATCATAAGCAGCTGAAGAAGCTAATTCTGTTTTGCTAAATTTGACCTGATAGATTAGACCTTCCAGTTATTTTGGCCACCTAAAAATAGTAACCTTCCTAGGGTATGGGTGGCCTAGCAGCAGAATTGTAAAGAGGAGAGGTCTTAGGTGGGTAGTCTAGTACTTTAGGATTGTATGGGTCATCTAGGGCAGGGTCAGGTGTAGACAACTGCCTTCTTTTGTAAATGAAGTACTGTGAATAAGTTTTTGTGAATATAGTTTTACAGCCACTTTCATTTCTTTACATGTTATCTGTGGCTGCTTTCACCTTACAGCAGTAGAGTTGTAGGACGGTCACAGCGTGACTGTAAGGTGAGAAGATAAAGAAGAATCATAAGACACAAATAAAAGAAAAGATATCTATGTTCATGGGTTGGAACAATTAATATTGTCAAAATATCCATACTACCTAAAGCAATCAGCAGATTCAATGCAATGCCTATCAAAATTCCAATGACATTTCACAGAAACAGAAAAAAAAATCCAAAATTTGTATGGAGCCACAAAAGACGCAGAATAGCAATACAAATCTTGAGCAGAAACAACAAAGCTAAAGGCATCACACTACTTATTTTGAAAATCAACTAGAAAGCTATAGTAACCAAAACAGCATGATACAGACATAGAAACAGACACATAGACAAATAGGACACTATAGAGAGGCCAGAAATAAATCCACACATTTATAGCCCATTGATTTTTGACAAAGATGCCAAGAATACAAAATGGAAAAAGGATAGTCTCTTTAATAAATGGTTTGGGGGAAAATGGAATATTCACTGTAGAGGAAAGATATTAGACCCTCATCTTATACCACATATAAAAATAAACTAAAAAAGTATTAAAGACCTGAAACATGAAACTATTAGAAGAGAAAAAGTAGTAGAGAAAAAGCTCTATGACGTTGGTCTGAGCAATGATTTTTTGAATATAACCCCAGAAGCACAGGCAACAAAAGCAAAAACAAGTAAGTAGGATTATATCAAACTAAAAATTTTCTGCACAGCAAAAAAATAATAATAATAACAGAATGAAGAGACAACTTACAGAATAAGAAAAGAAATATTTTTTGAAGCACACATCTGGTAAGGGTTTAATATTCAAAATATACCAGGAACTCATATAATTTAACAGCAAAGAAACAATCTGATTTTAAAAATGGGTAAAGGACCTGAACAGACATTTTTCAGAAGAAAATATACAAATGACCAACAGGCATATGAAAAAATGCTCAACATCACTCATCATCAGAGAAATGCAAATTAAAACCATAATAACATAACACCTTACACCTGTTAGAATGGTTCCTAGAAAAAAGATGAAAGATGAGAAGTGTTGACTAGGATGTGGAGAAAGGAAATGTATGGATGGAATACTGTTGATGGAAATGTAAATTGATAAAATTATTATGGAAAACAGTAAGGAGATTCCTTGAAACCTTAAAAACCTACCATATGATCCAGTAATCCCACCTCTAATAATATATCCAAAGAATATGAAATCAGTATGTTGAGGAGATATCTGAACTCCCATGTTGATGGTAGCATTATGCACAATGTCCAAAATACAGAATCAATCTAAGTGCTGGATAGAGAAAATGTGGTATATATCCACAATAGAATACTATTCAACCATAAAAAGGAGGAAATCCTATCATTTACGACAAAATGGATAAACTTGGATGACATTATGTTAAGTGAAATAAACCCAGCACAGAAAGACAAATATCACATGATCTCACTTTTATGTGAAATTTTAAAAAGTCAAATTCATAGTAACAGAGTAGAATGGTGGTTAGCAGAGGCTGGAGGATGGGTGGGGGGTATGAGGAGATGTTGTTAAAAGGATACAAAATTTTAGTTAGATGATGGGAATAAATTTTAGAGATCTATTGTACATCATGATGACTACAGTTAATAATGTATTGTATACTTGAAAATTGCTAAGATAGTAGATTTGAAGTGTTCTCATCAAACACAAAAAATAATGAGTATATGAGGTAATGGGTATGTAAATTACCTTGATTTAGCTATTCCACAATGTAGAATCAGTAAATTGTCTTGAATGAATACATTTCTAATTTCTCCTTCTCATAGTTCTTTTCTTCAAAATTTTCATTTTTAACTTCCAGTTTGCCATATGATGCCACCTAAACCTGAACCTCTCCACACATCCTCCAATGTATACAAATTGGAAAAGACAGAACATGAAACAATCCACATACTATACCTCAGCCAGCCTAGGAGAGGAAGTATGCAATTTACTTCAAATTGCCTATAAGCAGTGAATTGAATATTCAGATCCTGTAGACCTAGTTCCAGACCTCATACCTGAATAGAAAGTCATCAGAAAATGTCATGAGTGTTTGGAAAAGAGGAATTGGGTGTGGGAAGCCTAAGGGATGGGGTAGTGATGAAACACAGATGTAATAAACTCCTCAAATAGAACAAGTCACATCCCCAGAGGGAAAATGCAGAAGAAAGGTTGGTATGTCTGAGCGATGACTGTGGGAGAAGCCAGAGCATTAAAGTTCATGAGGTATGGAACCTGAGGCAGTGGTCTTTCTTCTGGGAGAAAAGAGGGTGACTAGGACATTGAAGGAAGAGAATCTCTTGGAGAGCCTATGGTGAAGGTAAAGAAAAACATAAGATGGAAAAATTGAGGATCCTTAAGAAATGGAACACAATTGTAAAATTGCAAATAAATACCTAAACTCTTCCCTACCCACCTCACAACTAAAACAGCATGCAAAAGACATTGCTCCTGACCAAGAATCTAGCCTTTCAAAACATAGTTAGCTTTTAGATACAACTGTTTTGAGCTTGTTGGGATTGGGGAGATAACAGAAAATGAAAATGACATCATATAAAATCTTATAATAAGAGAACAGATAATGGTAATCAAAATATTTTAGCAGATAAAAATATTTTAAACTATATATACACAAGTGAAGAACACTAAACATACTGCTCAAATTTAAATGAAGTGCCAACAAGTAAGAATTTGCAGATGTAAAAAAAATTGAATCAAAAATCTTTCAACTTAGAACACAAATAAACCAAATTTCCATTTTGTTTTGTTAATGTAATCTTGCTCAGCTTTTAGGAGTTGGGAAACAAGGGTCCTTGAGCCACAGTGGCATGCAGTCCCCTGTACTGCCATGTGGTCTAAGGAAGGTTTGAGAAATATTATACCCACTGACATTTCAGCCCAGTTACTGGCAACCTCTGTCAATGTCTTCAATTCTGACTTCCAAACGTTTCTGAGTTCTCTTAGTCGAACACTATGCAGAGTCCATTTCCACATAAAATTTTCACTGGTATTACATTTATCTTAGCTATGTTATACATATCTTCATTTTCTAAATAAGTGATGGGTTTTATTACAGAAAAGGATTTTGATTAAACATGCTTTCTTTACTTCCATTATTAGTTGCAGAACCGCAAGATCTGTCTCTCCCTTAAAAAGCTTTTTGATTTATTGTATATGGGTCCATTTAAACTGAGATGTCTCGTCTTTTAATTCATAACAAACATGTTTTTAAAGTGCTATTGATGAGTATTAATTATGTTTTCCTACACCATACTAACGTAGTTATGAGATCTGTGTCTAAAAATTGTATGCACTATTGTCTCAAGTACATACATTTCTAAGAACAAAGGTTTTGACCTTATCTACTTAGTTTTTTTATATTTCTAGTAACTACTTTTTACTCATTAGTTCTCTTTTGAAGAATGTAATTACATTATGCTTATTTCTAAGGAGTAGACAGAAATAACACTAATCTCATATTGAGGAAAATCTGAGACATTTTTTAAAACCAAAACTGTAAATGTGTTTTAATTAGAGCCTACTAAATTTTTATTAAATTTCATGAATTTAAAAGGCTGCAGACCTTCAAATAAGATTTGGTGTGATTCTACAACAACTTCTTCACCCAGGAAAATTTCTTGACACCTGAAATCCTTCCATCACCACCTAAGTCAATGGAAGAAGATAGAACAGCTTTAGAACCAACCATACATATTAGATTCAAAATATATTAGGCACAGTCCTCAAGTGTGGGGAATATTTTTTAAAATGTCCTGTTAAAAACAACAAGAAAAATATTTTTCTACTAATAATTGGTCACTAATTTCCTATATTGAGAAAAATGATTTTTAGGAATAAAACTAACAAATCAAATATTGAAACATAACAGTCTGCACAAATTCAGCAAGGATTTTGGCAGGTGGTTCCTTGCTTTGCTACTTGCAGCAGGAACAGGATTAATTGAATGGAAAAATATTTCAAATATTTTCAGTAGCCTGTATTTCCAATTTCCCCTCTAAACACTACACAACCATGTGGCTTTCATGGATAATTATGTAACATGTTGCATTTCCTCCACATGCTTTTAAAAAATGTTTAGTGCTTCTCCAAATTATAAGTAAATTTAATATGTATATGAATTTGTTGAGCTCTTATTTGACATTCAAATGAACAGCATTTGAGACTTAATATTTTCTAGATGAAAGAGATCTCAAAGATAATCTAATCCAGCCCCAGCACTTAATGGAGGACAAACCCAAAACAGTGATGTGATTTTCCAATGTCTCAACATTAGTGTGTGACAGAATTGGGACTGCTGATCACTATTTATCCATTCCCTCTTTGGTGCGGTTTGTAACACATCCTGTGGACTCAGGCTTGGATGCTGCCATTTTGGAGATCACTATATGCTTAAGAAAAGAAAACCTAGAGAGTCCACTCTGTAGATACATTTGTGTCAATAGTGCCAAGCCTACACAATTTTGTGTTAATTTCTCCAGTGGAGTATTGCCAGGGACCTATTCCTCTTTCCCCATTCCTGAAAAATATTAGAAGTAGGTTGTTATCATAAAGTAATTTCAGAGGCACAATCCTCAAACAAATGCATCTTAAATACCAAATATGTGAACTTTACACGAATCCTGTGGCTATCATGAGAATGTGCCCTGCAGACCATCAACTACTGGAAGAGTCATTGTTCAAAGGCTAGCTGCTACACTCTGTAATCATTATATTTTGCAAAAACTGTGATTTGCAACTGATGGCTGAATGAAGCAGGGATACTCAGGCAGACCCATTCGTGGGAGAAAAAGCACTCCTTTGATGACTGAGTTTGACTTGAGGACTTTAGATGATCTTAGACTACATGACAGTGTCAGGGGCTGCATGCTAGCATAGAGTGCTTCCACTCATTATCCTCTCCATGTTTCCTTCAGTCTGGGTCAGACTTGCTTCACAGTGTGAGAGCTCTCTCAGTACATTTTTTGCTTCCTTGCCATCTTTTCTCTCACAGGAATTTCCGCTAATAAAATCTTTCATATTTAATTCTCCAGGCTAGAGAGCTAAAGAATCAATTCCTGGCTTGCAACCATTTAACCCCATTGCTATTGTTTAGCATCTTTTTTCTTCCTCTTCTTTCTACATTTTGCCTCTTTTGACCAGATAGCAACTTCCACTCCACTGGGCATACCAATGGTTTTTATGTCCACACCTAACATACCTCTGAGGTATATCACTAGATTTCAATTTTGCTACACAAATCTCTGTTCCTGCTGGAGCCTTGGTAGACTTTCCACCTGCCATGAAAATAGAATTAGAAGACTGTTCATGGAAGATGAAAGAAGCATTTGGGGGGCTATTCCAAACTAGCAGCTACCTTCAGCCATGATTTAGAAAAAGCAACCACATTTGTTAAGTAAGAGCCCATCTTCATAGGTAAGGTCTATCTTCATAGACATTTTGGATTTAAAATTATAAAAATCTTGAAATCCATATAATATTAACAGAGTACAGCATAAGGAACCCCAAAGCACTAAAATATATGAATATAAAGATCTATTATTGTCTAAATTACAGGAACATGAATGAGTCTCTGAAAGTAGGAAAGAAATGTGTTATTATTAGTATCAGCTTGGTGACTCTGTAGAGATGGGAACCTGACTAGTCAACAGGGAAGTAAAACCACTGAAGCCCAAAAGAAAAGAGAAGTGAGAGATAAGTGGCCAAGCAGTTAATACTGAGTGTCAACTTGATTGGATTGAAGGAGGCAAAGTATTGATCCTGGGTGTGTCTGTGAGGCTGTTACCAAAGGAGAGTAATATTTGAGTCAGAGGGCTGGGGAAGGCAGACCCGCCCTTAATCTGGGTTAGCACCATGTAATCAGCTACCAGTAAATATGAAGCAGACAGGAAAACGTGGAAAGGTTGGACTGGCTTAGCATCCCAGCCTACATCCTTCTCCTGTGCTGGATGCTTCCTGCCCTCAAACATCGGACTCCAAGTTCTTTAGTTTGGGGACTTGGACTGGCTCTATTTGCTCCTCAGCTTACAGACGGCCTATCATGGGATTTTGTGATCTTGAGTCAATATTTAATAAACTCATATATATATATATATATATATATATATATATATATATATATATATATGTATGTACACACACATATATATATATGTATCCTATTAGTTCCATCCTTCTAGAGAATCTTGAATAATACATATAGTTCCATCTTTCTAGAGAATCCTGACTAATACGTATAACAAACACAGTGGGAAAATAATGGTGTTCACATGGAATAGTAAGTTATTACTTAGAAAAAGAAAAAATAAAATGTTTGCCTGTGAGATTGAGGACGGTGTATACTGTTAACAGGCTGCTATGAAAACATGAGGAAAATTGCTTTCTTTTTTGTTTTAGCCACCAACTGATTGTATTTTTATTCTATTTTGTTTTATTTTGTTTTTATTTTTCCATAAGTTATTGGGATACAGGTGGTATTTGGTTACATGAGTAAGTTCTTTAGTGGTGATTTGTGAGATTTTGGTGCACCCATCACTTGAGCAGTATACGCTGCGCCATATTTGTAGTCTTTTAACCACAACCATCTGTGTCCTTCTGCTTACCAAACCTAGGGGATTTGTCCTTGTGTTATTCCTTTTAACTCCTTAGTTTGTCCATTTTCTGTTACTATAACAGAGTCCAGCATTATGCTCTTGGACTTCCCAGCCTCCAGAACCATGAGCCAAATAAATGCCTATCTTTATAAAGGTAATGTAGAAGTTACTTATAAAGTTGTATAATTTATAAATTACTTGTAAAAGTTATTTGTAAAGAACAGAGGCTTATTTGGCTCATGGTTTTGGAGCTGGGAAGTCCAAGAGCATAGTGTTGTTGTTGGTATCTGGTGAGGACCATCCATGGAGGAAGACCAGAGGTGGAAGCAAGCTCATGAGACAGAGAGAGAAATGGGGCCAAACCTATCCTATTATCAGGAGCCCACTCCCACAATAACAACATTAATTCATTCATGAGGCAAGAGACCTCATGACTTAGTCACCTCTTAAAGGTCCACCTGTTAGTACTGTTACAACAGCAATTAAATGTCAATATGAGTTTAGGAATGGACATTCAAACCATAGCAAGTCCCCAGCAGTGTTTGACACTATGCCCTCCTCATCACTCTCGATCCTTCATTCAGTGTTCTCATCATAAACTATCTCTTTTGCTTTTTCTTCCTTTCCTTCTGATTTTAGTTTTTCTGTTTCCTTTGCCACTCCCTCACTGTTGGTATTTCCAAATTCTCTTATCTTTGTTCTGGGCATTTTTCTCTATAGTTTCACTTTTTCTGCATGTTGTACTGAGCAGATCTACCCCAAATCTACATATCCACATGATGTAACTAAATCGATTTAAAAAAACTATATCAGAATCTTTGAGTAAGGCTTGGACATCATATATTTTAAAAGCTACCTAAGTGATTTTAATGTACAGACAGGATTGAGTAACCCTGACAAAGGTCTACATATTGAGATTATAAATAAATCTTATTATTAAGAAAAAAAGTCAGTACGCAATTTATAGTGTAATAATCTATTACAACCAGCAGTAGAGCATAAAGATATAGAGCTTCTGGGGGAGGGATGGCTCCCATTTCTAATGGTCCTTCCAAGTTACAAGACACGGCATTCGTTATTTTAGTTCAGTAAATGGATTATGTTGCCAGCCAATGAAAAGTTTCTCTCTTGTATACCATGTTCCCAATGATAGGGAAAATTGTCTCTTTACTTGATTTCCACAGGCAGAGACTCTTAGAATGCATGTATACGTATGCTTTCCTGAAAATTAAGAGTGATAGACATGGTTTGCAATGCCAATAAAAACAATTATAAGGACAATGTTAGATATAAATGTCATAAAATATCTTTCAGCCCATCTTTGCATCTTCCTTCCTTTAGCTTCATCAAAATACGATCCTTCCCACTCTATTTGACTGGGCAATTCAGCACTGAAACCTCTTCTTAGCTACAAGCCTACCTTTGCAAATGGTAGCCTATTTGCAAATGACTCTACCATACCCTGTACCCAGGTTTCCATCCTTTAACAGAACAACAAAACTGGAAGATGCTTAGTGATTCTTCCACCAGTGTCTATAGAAAACAGGCTTACCTCATTCACTAATGCAAAACATGTGATGTGCTTGAGATTATAAAAGGAGTCATGGCCGAGCACAGTGGCTTACACCTGTAATCCCAGCACTTTGGCAGGCCGAGGCCAGGGGATCACTTGAGGCCAGGAGTTCCAGACCAGCCTGGACAACATGTTGAAACCCCATCTCTACTAAAAATACAAAAATTAGCTGGGCATGATGGCGGGCGCCTGTAATCCCAGCTACTAGGCAGGCTGAGGCAGGAGAATCTCTTGAACCCAGGAGGCAGAGGTTGCAGTGAGCCAAGATTGCACCACTGCACTCCAGCTTGGGCAACAGAGTAAGACTCCATCTCAAAATAATAATAATAATAATAAAATAAAGGAGTCAAAATGAAATTTAGCTTAAAATACCAACTTTTCTTTGGGTTCCACATATGTTGTTATATGTGAGTATAGAATATGTTAACAATGTTTACCTCTAGGTTGGGGGAGTATGGATTTTTATGATTTATTACATTTTTATATGTATTTATGGATATTTTATTAAAAATACATATTAATTTTAGGGCCAGAAAAAACGTGTGAAAAACCCTGATGTCCTGGTTTTTTTTTACCTGCTGCCCTTCAGTTATCTATTTTCCAATTATGGCAAGATATTTCCAGTAAGCTTATCAGAATTCATAAATAACTCCTGACTTCTCAAATCAGCTCTCCTTTCATTTTCAACTTATTTCTTACTTTCATCTTCTTTTATCCATGCATTCATCCTTCCACTCATTCAATAGAGACTTATTGAACTTCATTACAACAGCACTGGACTTGGTGCTGTGTAATCAGTCTATGAAATCTTAATATTTTTCTTCTTTTTAAGTGTCTACCTACAATAAGAAACAAAAGAAGGATCATGACATAGTAAAAAGTACATAAGCTTTGGATTAAGAAATATGACTAAAATATTTTACTACTACTTAATATGTTATTGCATTTAACTACAAAAAACACTATAAGGCAGTTTTTGTTTTTTGTTTGTAAGAGATTTGAAAATGTTTAAAGCTTTCTGGAAGCTGGAGGGAATATATTCTCAATGAAAGAGTTTCCAGAAGGTTGTTAATAAAAAAGTTAGGTGTTACAAACAAAAAGCATTTTTGTGTTTTATAAAAAGTAAAATTCTAAAGAAAACTAATAGAAGTCTATTTGTAGTTCTATTAGCATATCATTGATATATACTTAGCCATTCTATATTTTGTATTTGATGTTTAACATTTTGTATACATATTTTCCTGTATCAATGTACTCCAAAGTAATTTTATTAAACATTTGTACATTTAATCATGATAATTCCCCATAATTTCCATCTCGATTGTGCTTGTGTGAGCTCTGTAACCAGTCTGTGTCAAATCTCAGCTTCTATGCTTTCTAGCCATGGAACCTGGGACAGGTTACTTAACTTATCTGCAAGATGAAAATAATAATTTTTAACTCACAAAGTGGTTGATTATAAGGATTAAATGAGGTAAAATACATTTAATGCTTGGAAAACCTAGTACATAGTAAAAGTTAAAAGAGTTTTGTTATTTAAAGATAATATTATAATAGTATATATTATTATAACTAATAATAATATATAATATATATTATTGTATTAGTCTTTTTGTTGCATTCAATGTTCTCATATCAGCTGATGGCACAGTTTTATGCCAATTGTTTTTTCAGGGATGGCTCTCCTGTTTCTATGCTTCTTCTGACTTTGTTGTTGAGAAACCCTGCCAAAGTACAGTAAACTCTCAACTCCAGTTGCTTCCTTAAATGGCAGCAGAATGGAAAGATCAGGTTAAGTCAAAAGAGATTTGGATTCAAATTTCAGCTCTGTTGATTATCAGCTTTATGTCCTTGAATAAGTTCCTTATCTTCTTAAGTGTCTCAGTTTCCTCACATACAAAATAGGGCTAATAATGCCTACTGCGAGGATTGCTGGAGTCATTGGATGTGGCAGGTATTCAATATATGGAGTTAGAATGGGCTATTTTTGCCCAAACCTTCTGGTGCTTTGTTTGTCCTCTAAAATAGGCTCCCTTTCCCAGGTCCCCAGCTGGGCTCATTTCATCTGGGATTCACATATTCACCTTCCCTAATATGTCTTCTTAAATTCAAAAGTAAATGATTGTTCTAAACTCCCTGATTTCTATCCATTCCAGATCCACATGATCTCGCATCTAAGAAAGTCTTTCTAAAACATCCTTTCATTTTATCAGTACACTATTCATTAACAAAACAACTCTGTTGCCTAGATACAGAAAAAAAGATTTTGAACTGTTTGTCTACTACAACATTTCACAAAAATGATTAGACAGATTTTCAGAAAATTTGGAAGGTGTATTGGGAATGATCTGATTTAAAATTTGTACATGTGGTTATACCCCAAATTCAATCAGGACACATTAAGACAGCCAATTTTAGGACATCTATCACTGAGGACAGAGTGTCCTAAAAATAGGAGGATATGCTTGGTGTGATATGACTGAACAACTGAAATTGGGGAACAGTTATATATCATTCAGAATTTACATTCTGTTGAGTGAAACCAAACCCAACCCAAGCAAATAACAGTTTTTTTAAAAATGACCCACAATCAAAAGTCACAAGGACAGACTTGTGTTTATTCCTAATTAAACAGCTGGTGTTTATTCCTAATTAAACAGCTCGATGTGGTACACTCCAAAATGAATAAAAGCAGGAGTGACTTTTGCATGTAAGGCTGGTTAATGACTTTTCCAAGTGTTGCTAGATAAGGCAGTTGGTTGGATTATGAAACAATGATCTTCCTGAAAGAATGCTAAAACCAGAATTTAAGTTCCTAAAGTAGTTCTTAACCAGGAATGCCCAGAAAAATCACATGTGGGTGTTTTGAAATAAAGACCCCAACATAAAAAATATTGATTTGGCAAATCAGGGATGACACCTGTAATAGAACTTTTCAAGAAACAAAGAAAGTAAGACATTTGGAAAAGATCTAATTACCAACCTCCTCAAAATAATCAAGACTGCCGCTACATTTGGACTCATTCTTGGCTGAGGCAGTATTTGAGGGAATTCATCCCTCTGCCTCAGAGTAAGTTTGAACAGGCAACACTAAAATAATTCTGG
The DNA here is from genome assembly GCF_000001405.40 of Homo sapiens. Taxonomy (NCBI): domain Eukaryota; kingdom Metazoa; phylum Chordata; class Mammalia; order Primates; family Hominidae; genus Homo; species Homo sapiens. Next base: position 209,116,320 of record NC_000002.12, on the reverse strand, counting down.
CATTTATTCCTTTTAAATGCAAGAATGTCTTTTAAAAATATATAGTTCACATTAGAATTTTTAAAAATCAAGTGTGTTAAGATATATTTTTAAAAAGAAAAATATCAGGAGAGAAAAAGAGCCTATAATGTCACACAAACTAGCAGAAACTCTAAAGACTAAGGAAGGAAGAAAAGGTTAGTTTTACTTTGAATTGTGTTGACTGGCTACATTCCCTAAGTTTAAACAAAGCCTCAGCTACTGGATAGGTAAAATCCTAAGGAAGGTAACCTGCTGGACGATGGGAAGAAAAGCCAGGCTCAACTCCTAGGTAGATGCCAACAGAAGCCTAGCGATCAGTTTTCAGAAAAATTTCTGTTAATAACTTAGCCAGAGGTTTGTTTCATTTGTTTGCTTATTTTTTTTTCTTCTAGATTTAGCTTTCCCCTTTGGAGAAAAATACGTAAGTTTCAGGACAGATTTTTTTTTTTTTTCTAAAAATTCAGATCCAGCAAATAAGTCTTAAGAAATAAAAACGACAAGGTCACAGGGTGCACCTGTTATTTGGGCTGAAGGTTGAGATTTCTCAAGTTGAAAAGTTGTCAACCTGCCTTTCTGTGAGCCAGTCCAGAGAAACACATAAACATCTGAATGTCCAAATGCTGAGGGGGTTTTCTATCTTACAACATTTTGATTCCTAGTATGCTTTCACAGATCATCCAAAGATCTACAAAAGGACAGTGGTCTTTTAATCCAACTAGCAAATTGGTTAGCTCTTTGAAGGAATATTTCAATACGAATGAGAAAATCATACTTTTTTGGTATAAATCAAGTGTAATTTCAAGCCACTTTCATCTTTTACTTTATTAAACCTGTTTGGATGATATCTCACTAGATATTTTTATTTGGCATTAGCCATCAATGGAAACAAAATGCATTCCAGTAAATATTTGTTCTCTATCCCCAGTGAAATAAATAATCAGTCTAAGCAATTTTGACTTTGGTATCTGGCTTGTATTCACATAAGGCCATTTGCCGCCTTTGTGGCTTCTGCTGGTCTATGGTTCTGCAACAAATAGAAATTATTTATCCTCACATGTAAATAGACCTAATTATTCCAGACATGTCTTCACATGTAGAATGCTATTTTTAAAACATGTCCATCAAAGTTTAGCATCAAAAGGTTAATTCAGAAAACATTCTTATTATTTAACTCATGTCAAAAAAATCAGAAGACAGTAAGATTTTTTTTAAAAAAAAAAGGGGAGAAAAGAGGAAGTAAACTTGAAAATGTGAAACAACAGTCCGTCACTTTAGTTACCAAGTTTTTTTTCTCTCTCTCTCTTCCTAGAGGCTCAATCAGTTTTTTATTCTCGCAAAGTGTCTTGGCATAAAATTGACAATATTTTCTGTTCAGAAGCCTCCTTAAAAATTCAATGATAGGAAAACATTTGTCAAAGAATCATTTTTTTTCTTTTCTTATCAAACCCCTTCTCATCTCATCACTGATGGGTGAGGAAAAAGGTGAGTAAAGGTCATGACAGCATCCATTGCTGGAACATAGGCGCCTGATTTATGGGAGTAGAGTTCATCTGAGGTTATCTGAGGCCCACATATTCTTCTCAAATATCAGTATGATCATGAAACCCCAGTCTTGTGACTAGCCTAAAAGAAACTTTAATACCCTGAGTGGATATGATATGTTTTCTGAAATTCATGGATTGCCTGAAAAGAAATAATTTATTGATTTTACTTTGCTCTTAAAGTATAACAGGCACAAAATAAAATGATGCAGAGAATAAAGTGATGCAAAGAGAAAAGCATTGGTCACTGTTTATTTCCAGCACTGTTTCATGAACTGTGATTTCAAAAGCTCTGACCTGGAAATCATGTTGTCTCAAGGCCCCTTTTTCAGCTTTCTTTCCATCCTGCCCTCTCTCTAACACACTAAACTCACGGGTCGATAATGGCTGCCTTATGGTTCTGTGATTTCCTAGAAGTGGGTTCTCTTTTGTTCTTTCAGCCTCTTAGTTATTCTCTGCTGGTCAGTCACTCATTTAAGAGATCATTTTATTTCTGTTTTCGTAATTATAATATCTGTCTTCCCGATCAGTGGAAAAAGAAGTCTTCTGGGTAAAAAAAGATCGATACAGTAAATGTTTTAAAATGTGTTTTGCTTATTTCAAGAATATATGGATCTATAATACTAAGGCCCTCATGGGTCTATAATGTTAAGCTCTCCAAGGTAACTCACACTCTTAATTCTCATCAACATAGGCTATGGCTTGACTATTAAAATATCAATATAAATATTTTGCCAAATCACTTATCTGTGTTCTAGATCCTTTGCCTACTTTGAAATAAACATGGTGTGAACTCCTTTTAAAGTAATATAAATCATATCAAATCTCTAAAAAAGAGAAACAGAATCACAAACACATATAACAGTTATACAGCTATTTCTTTGATTTATGTATTTGATAAGCCATTCTAAAAAATGTGTCTAAAGTTCTGAATAATATTGCTTTAAGCTCATGGAAGATTTATGTATTAAAGATTGTCACTTTTCCTACTTGAATGTAGGAACAAAGGTCAACAATTGAATTAAGATGCCATCAACTAAGTTATGGCATCACAGAGTAATGTCATTTTTCAGCATGAAAGAGGCAGTTCTAAAAAATTACTTAGTGTATCTCTTGACTGTTTTAGTTTTAGAAAGCCAAATATTTCTCTTATTTATTTTACCAGAATAAAATAAATGTTTATAAGTTCCCTTAAGGGAAACATATGGTTTTGTTTGTTAAAATTACAGTACTTGGGGGTTATTACAACCAGAAGTACTGGGTGGCTACTCACAGCCAAGCTCACACTCCCCTTGTTCATCACCTTTATTTCTTTCCATACATATTTTCCCTGAAATAGAAAAAAGAGTGATCACAGTTTTTTCAAGTCAGCTGGATCTGAGAAACTCAGACAAACAGATCAATGGACAACAGCAGACGCAACCACAGCAGCTCATGCTGCAAGGCTGCTGTTATACATAGTCATGCCTGGGCAGCTGCAGTAGACTCCCAACAGTTCTCTGTCATCCTCTCTTGATTCCCCTCATGGCTATTCCCAGCACAGCAGCTTAGAGGAGCTCATCAAAATGTAAAGCTGTTCACAGCAGTGCCTAATGTAAAGCTCTCCAATAGCGTCTCATTGCCTAAAGGATGAAAGTCAAGTTATTTTACAGAACCGCGAGGTCTCTGCAGAGTAAGCCGTCTCCCTTCTCCACTTTCGCAGCCCTTCTCAACCCTTTGGTTTCTGGGTTCCAGTCACATGCCCGTTTTAACAGGTAGATATCACAGCCCCTCCACCACAGGACTATTGTGCATGCATCTGTACAGGCCTTTGACATCCTCTATCTAGGATATTCCCCAATAAACGCTGTTTTTCGCTCTTCCTTTGTCCATCTTCCTGACCTACTTGGACACTTTCAGGAAAGCCCTCTGTGACATGCCAGTCTAGGTCAGAGTCTTCTGCAATATGCTGCCAGAGACTGACAGTTCTGTCCTTTACAGCACTAACTTCAGGTTTTATAAACCTATTCTTTGGCATTGTTTGATAAATTATCTCTCCCCTATGAGACGTATGAGTTCCATGAATTCTCATTAATAAGAGAGCGAATGACACATAAGTGGTACTAAATAAATATTTGCTAAAAGAAGATAGAAATTAATAATTGTCAAATATCATAGCAAGAGAGAGTTTTCTACATTTATTCTGAATTAACCAGTGCTGGTATTCCCTCCTGGTACAAAAGGCCTCTTGTCTGGGGGGAAGAAGACTTTCCTCAGGAAGTTTCCAGCAAGATCTCAGTTAGAAGAATAATGGAACTAACAGTTAAATGTCATACAGTCGTTAAATTATTAGCCCAGGCATCAGAGAAACTAAAAGAAAGATAAAACCTCTTATAATTTGTTCATACTCGCTATATGGGTAATATAAGTTCAAAAATTTTACACTTTCTCTACCCACAGAAGTTAACATTGCTTTTTAGATTATCTAGTTTAGAGTTAATCTAAACCAGATTTAGAAAGGTCTTAGTACGTTTGGGCTGCTGACAATTCTCTTTCTGAGTATTCTATTTTTTTAGTTTCCTGGGAAATTGTATAAGTGGATTTCAATCTCAACTATAAAATATCAAATGTCCTACACGTATTAACTGACACAGTCTAGTCAAATTTAGAAGTCTTGTTGGTTCCCATGAATTGATGGCAGAAGATGTACACAAAACTGACAGGAAACTTCCTTAGAATTCATGCAACATTCAGTATAGCATTTATAAAGCCTCACCTTTTACCTTAGATGAGAGAGAAATATAAGACAATCATCTTTTCTGCAAGTATGCAAATCTTTTATACTGAATAAATCTTTGAATTTCCATTTCAGTGGTGGCTATGATGCTGTTCAAGTACTGATGTTTACCTCAATGCTAGCTATTGTGTTGAAACATAACACAACTTGGAATTAAAATGGATGCAAATTGAAATGTTTACTGTTGTGCTCAAGGGTACAAAGACTACCAGTCTGTAAAAAAGAATATCATTTTCACTATTTTTGATCCAACTATTTGAACCGAGTTTCATTTAGAGGACACATTTTTCATATTAATATTGCACTCAGTGGGATTTGCATGCTGATGCTGAATCACCGTGTGAATCTTTAATTACTAGTTTGAAGTCTTGAAGGGAAACTAAAGCAGATATCTGAGCTCTTTGTATCATGTCAGAAGGGCATTCTCGTACTTCCCATCCACAATCTATCTGGTTGGGCTGCCCTGGGCTACAAGTACGTGGATTTAACATCTTTTTAGCTTCTCTTTGAGAAGGCAAAAAGTGAAAAGAGCACAAAATTTGCAATCAACTGACTGGAGTCAAACTTCAGTGCCCTTTGCCTGCCTTTTAGATGTAGAGGGATGAAAATAATAGTTTATTTCCATGGCTAAATGAGTATATAGTACTTGTAAAACTCTAGTAGAAAGGGGCTAAAGCAGCTGGCCTTGGTTCTCTGCAAGGGGGCAGATCCCTAGGAGAAAGTAAATAAAGCAGATAATCTCACCTACTACCCTTGTTAATTAGACCTATGTGTAAACAAAATAATGTCATTTGGTATAGCAGAATGCCCTGACAAAATGATGACTTAGGTAATAATCTCAGAATCTATGAAGCACGGCTCCCTAGAGAATGTGATGGAAATGGAAATGTTTCAGAACTTAAATATTCCTTCTGACCATGTAGGATAATCCCACAGACCTTATTTAGTGGTTTTATCTTTTATTTTGGGCCAAGATGTGATTATGATGGAGAAGAAAGGGAAGGACCCAGCAAACTCTTCTGTGTTCCAGACTTCTCTCTGCTCCATCTGAGCCTCTTCATTGCCTGATAGGGCACAAGTGGAAGGTTATAAAGCAAACACACACACGTGCACACACACACACACACACACACACACATATTTAATACAGGAATAATACAAACAATAACACATCATGACCTGGTGATGGCGACTGGAATAGAGTTCTACATTTTAAGATTTTCTGCTTTTGACATTTCAGAAATGGTGAACTGTCTTGTTTAAGATCAACTTCCCTCTCAAGAACAATTAGAAAATTTAAGGAAGAAAATGTAAAAAAAAATTGTTTGAAGTAAAAACAGGACTTGAGAGGCAAAGATCCTGGAACATAGGAAAGCCCAGATTGGTGAGAACACAATTCACCAGGATTGATGCAGGTCTTTAAAACAAATTTCATGTCTTTTTAAATTTTCTAAAATTTTTATTGGTACATGTAAGTGTATGTATCTATGGGGTACATGAGGTGTTTTGATACAGGCATGCAATGCGTAACAATCACATCATGGAGAATAGAGTATCCATCCCTAAGCATTTATCCTTTGTATTACAAATAATCAAATTATACTGCTTTGATTATTTTAAAATCTACAATTAAGTAATTATTGACTATAGTTATCCTGTTGTGCTATCAAATAGTAGGTCTTATTCATTTTTTCTATTTTTTGTACCCATTAACCATCCCCACCTCCCCACCACTGCCTTTCCCAGCCTGTGGTAATTATTCTTCTACCTCTATTTGACACAAGTCTTGTACCTAAAAAGAAATTGAATTGGTACTTAAAATCTTCCTGCAAAGAAAAGTTCACACAAAGATTTTTTTTTTTTTTTGGCGAATTCTCTAAAATTTTTAAAGTATAAATAATACTCAAATTACAACTCCTTCAGTATACAGAAGAGGAGAGGCATCCTCTGTTCATTTTATTCCTTTTTTTTTGGTTGTTTTTTTCAAGTTTTATGGACACATAATAGTTGTGCATATTTTTGGGGTACATATGATACTTTGATACAAGCATACAATGTGTAATGATTAAATCTGGGTAATTGGGATAATCACCTCATTTATCATTGTTTGTGCTGGGGACATTCTAAGTCTTCTCTTCTAGCTATTTTGAAATATACACTAAGTGATTGTTAACCATAGCTACCCTATTGTGATATGAAAAACTAGATGATAATCCTTCTAGCTGTATTTTCTTTTAATTTTTAATTTTTGTAGCTACGTAGTAAGTATGTATATTAATGGTGTATATGGAATATATTGATACAGGTATACAGTGTACAATAATTACATCAGGGTAAATGAGGTATCCATCACCTCAAGTATTTATCCTTTGTGTTACAAACAATCCAGTTATACTCTTTTAGTTATTTAAAAATGTATAATTAAAAATATTGACAAGAATCATGCTGTTGTGCTAATAAAATACTAGATTTTATTCATTCTTTCTATTTTTTATACCTATTAACCATTCTCCTTTCCCCTTGCACCCCCACCACTATCCGTCTTCGCTTCTGGTAACCATCATTCTACTCTCTATCTCTGTGAGTTCAATTGTTTTAATTTTTAGCTCCCACAAATAAGTGAGAGCATTCAAAGTTTGTCTTTATGTTCCTGGATTATTTCACTTAACCTAATGACCTCCTGTTTCATCCATGTTATTGCAAATAACAGGATCTTACTCTTTTTAGTGGCTGAATAGTACTCCATTGTGTATATGTACCACACTTTTCTTTATCTGCTTGCCTGTTGATAGGCATTTGGGTCAATTCCAAATCTTGGCTATTGTGAATAGTGCTGCAATAAACATAAACATGAGAGTATAGATTTTTTTGATATATTTATTTCTTTTATTTTGGGTATAAACCTAGCAGTGGGATTGCTGGATGATATAGTAGATCTATTTTTAGTTTTTTGAGGAACCTTCAAACTGTTCTCCATAGTTGTGCTAATTTACATTCCTAAGTGTATGAGGGTCCCCTTTTCTCCACATTCTCACTGGCATTTGTTACTGCCTATCTTTTAGATATGAGCCATTTTAAATAGGGTGAGATTATGTCTCATTATAGTTTTGATTTACATTTCTCTGATGATCAATGATGTTGAGCACCTTTTCATATACCTGTTTGCCACTTGTATGTCTTCTTTTGATAAATGTCTCTTCAGGTTTTTTGTCAATTTTTAAATTGGATTATTAGATATTTTTCTTATAGAATTGTTTCATTCCCTTATATATTCTGCTTATTAATCCCTTGTCAAATGGATAGTTTGCAAATATTTTTTCCTATTCTATGAGTTGTCTCTTCACTTTATGGATTGTTTCCTTTTCTGTGCAGAAGCTTTTAAACTTGATGTGATCCCATTTGTCCATTTTGGCTTTGGTTGCCTATGCTTGTGGGCAAAGAAATCTTTGTCCAGTCCAATGTCCTGGAGAGTTTCCCTAATGTTTTCTTTTGGAGATTTCAGTTTGAAGAATGAGATTTGTCGATACCCATTTTGATTTGACTTTTCTATATGGTTAGAGATAGGGTTCTAGTTTCATTCTTCTGCATATGGATATTCAGTTTCCCAGCACCATTTATTGAATAAGTTGTCCTTTCTCCAATGTATATTCTTGGCACCTTTGTTGAAAATGAATTCACTGTAGATGTATGGATTTATTTCTGGGTTATATGTTATCTGTTCTGTTCCACTGGTCTATGTGTCTGTTTTTCTGCTGGTACTATGCTGTTTTGGTTAATATAGCTCTGTAGTATAATTTGATGAAAGTTAATGTGATTCCTCCAGTTTTGTTCTTTTTGCTTGGGATATCTTTGGCTATTCTGGGTTCCATGTAAATTTTATAATTAAAAATCTATTTCTGTGAAGATTGTCATTGGCATTTTTATAGGAATTACACTGAATCTGTAGATTGCTTTGGATAGTATAAACATTTTAACTATATTGATTCTTCCAATCTATGAACACAGAATACCTTTGCATTTTTTGTGTCCTTTTCTATTTCTTTCATCAATGTTTCATAGTTTTTATTGGAGAGATCTTTCACTTCTTTAATTAGGTTAATTCCTAGGTATTTAATTTATTTCTAGCTATTGTCACTGGGATTACTTTCATGAACTCTTTTTCTGATTGTTTGCTGTTGGCCTAAATAAATATTACTGATTTTAGTCTGCTAATTTTGAAACTTTACAGAAATTTATTAATCAGTTCTAATAGTTGTCTTGTTGAATTTTATCAAATGCTTTCAACAGTTTTTTGTTGAATTTTATCAAATGCGTTTTAACAGTTTTTTGTTGATTTTTTTTCAAATGCTTTTTCAGCACTAGTTGAAATGACCACATGGTCTTTGTCCTTCATTTTGTTGATATAATGTATCACATTGATTGATTTGCTTATGTTGAGCTATCTTGCATCCCAGCAATAAATCCCACTAGGTCATGATAAATGATCTTTTTAATCTGTGGTTGAATTCAATTTGCTAGTATTTTGTTGAAAATTTTTGCATCAATGTTCATCAGAGGTATTATAATGCCTGTGGTTTTCTTTTTTGGATATGTCTTTGTCTGGTTTTGGTATCAGGGTAATACTGGCCTGATGAAATGAGTTTGGAAGTATTCCTCTTCTTCTGTTTTTCAGAATAGTTTGAGTAGGATTCATAATAGTTCTTGAAATGTTTGGTAAAATTCAGCAGTGAAGCCATTGAGTTCCAAGCTTTTCTTTACTAGGAAACTTTTTATTACAGCTTTGATCTCATTACTTGTTATCGGTATGTTCAGGTTTGGGATTTTGTCGTTCGATCTTGGTAGGTTGTATGTGTCTAGGAATTTATCTGCTTTTTCCTAAGTTTTCAAATTTATTGGCATAAAGTTGCTTATAGTACCCTCTAATCATCCTTTGAATTTCTATAGGATCAGTTGTAATATCTTCTTTTTTATCTGTGATTTAATTTATTTGAGACTTCTCTCTTTTTTTCTTAGTCTGGCTAAAAGTTTGCCAATTTTGCTTATCTTTTCAGAAAACCAACTTTTTAATTGTTTTCTTCATTTCAAGTTCATTTATTTATTGTGTCATCTTTATTATTTCTTTTCTACTACTAACTTTGGGTTTGGTTTGCTCTTGCTTTTCTAATTCTTTAAGATGCATTATTAGGTTGTTTATTTGAAGTTTTTCTTCTTTTTTGATGCAGGCACTTAAGCTTATAAACTTCCCTCTTAGTACTGCTTTTGCTGTATCCCATAGGCTTTGTTATGTTGGGTTTTCATTATCATTTATTTCAAGAAATTTTCTCAATTTCATTCTTAATCTCTTCATTGACCAACTGGTCATTCAGGAGTATATTGTTTAATTTCCATGTGTTTGTATAGTTTTGAAGATTCCTCATTATTGATTTCTAGTTTTATTCCATTGTTGTCAGAGAAGATGCTTGATATATTTAAAATTTCCTTGAATGTTTTAAGACTTGTTTTGTGATCTGACACATGTTCTATCCCTGAGAATAATCCATGTGCTGAGGAGAAGAATGTGTATTCCACAGCTGTTGGATAAAATATTCTGTAAATATTAGGTCTGTTAGGTGCATAGTGCAGATAATGTCCAGTGTTTCTTTGTTGATTTTTTGTCTGTTCAATGTTGAAAGTTGGTTCTTAAAGTCTCTAGCTATTATTATATGGAGATTTGTCTCTCTTGTTAGCTCTAATAATATTTGCTTTATATATCTGGGTGCTCCAGTGTTTGGTGCATATATATTTTCAATTGTTATATCGTCTTTCTGAATTGACTCCTTTATCATTATACAATAAACTTCTTGATCCCTTTTTATAGTTTTTGCCTTGAAATCTATTTTGTCTGCTAGAAGTATAGTGACTCCTGCTCTTTTTTGGTTTTCATTAGCGTGGAATGTCTTCTTCCATCCTGTTATTTTCAGCCTATGTGTATCTTTATAGGTGAAGTGTGTTCCTTGTAGGCAAGAAACTTTAGGTCTTTTTTTCCCCCATTTGGCCACTCTATGTATTCTGATTGGAGAGCTTAGTCAATTCATATTTAATGTTATTATTGATAAATAGGGACTTGTGCCATTCTGTTATTTGTTTTATGGTTGTTTTGTGGTTTCACTTTCTTCCATCTATTCCGACTTTTTTTTTTTTTTAATGTGAAGGTGTTTTTTTTCTGGTAGTATGTTTTAATTTCTTGCTTCTTATTTTTTGTGTATCTGTCATATGCTTTTGATTTGAAGTTACCATGAGGCTTGCAATAATATCTTATGACCCATTATTTTAAACTGATGACAACACTGGTTACATAAGCAAGCATACAGACAAGAAAAAAGAAAACTAATAAAAACTTTACACTTTAACTTCATCCCCTTACTTTGAAAGTTTTTGTTGTTTCTACCTTATTGTACTATGTCTTAAAAAGATTTTATTATTTTTGATTGGTTCATCTTTTTTCTTTCTATTTAATACCTAAGAATTTTATACACCACAATTACAGTGTTATAATATTCTGTGTTTTTTCTGTGTATTTACTATTACCATTGAGTTTTGTACCTTCAGAAAAAAAAATTTAATTAGTCTTTATTTACTTATTTTTTGAAAAATTTTCTTGTTTTTTAAAATTTATTATTTTTTACATGAATAAGTTCTTTAGTGGTGATTTCTGAGATTTTGGTGCACCCATCACCCAAGCAGTGTACACTGTACCCAATGTGTAGTCTTTTATCCCTCATCTTCTTCACTCCCTTTCCTCCAAGTCCCCGAAGTCCATTGTATCATTTTTATGCCTTTGTGTCCTCACAGCTTAGCTTCCACTTATGAATGAGAACATTCAGTGTCTGGTTTTCTATTCCTGAATTACTTCACTTAGAGTAATGGTCTCCAATTCCATCCAGATTGCTACAAATGCCATTATTTCAATCCTTTTTACAGCTGAGTAGTATTCCATGGTATATATAACATATTTTCTATATCCACTCATTGATTGATGGGCATTTGGGCTGGTTCCGTATTTTTACAATTACAAATTATGCTGCTATTTTATAAATATGCATGTGCAAGTATCTTTTTTGTATAATTACTTCTTTTCCTTGGGGTAGATACCCAGTAGTGGGATTGCTGGATCAAATGGTAGATCTACTTTTAGTTCTTTATGGAATCTCTACACTGTTTTCCATAGTGGCTGTACTAGTTTACATTCCTACCAGTAGTGTAAAAGTGTTCCTTTTTTACTACATCCATGTCAACATTTTTTTTTTTTTTTGATTATGGCCATTCTTGCAGTAGTGAGGTGGTATTGCATTGTGGTTTTGATTTGCATTTCCCTGATCATTAGTGACGTTGAGCATTTTTTCATGTTTGTTGGCCATTTGTATATCTTCTTTTGATAATTGTTTATTCATGTCCTTAGCCCACTTTTTGATGGGATTTTTTTTTCTTGCTGATTTGTTTGAGTTTTTTGTAGATTCTGGATATTAGTTTATTGTCAAATGTATAGATTGTGAAGATTTTTTCCCACTTTGTGGGTTGTCTGTTTACTCTGCTGATTGTTTCTTTTGCTGTGCAGTAGCTTTATAGTTTAATTAAGTCCCATTTATTTATCTTTGTTTTTGTTGTATTTGCGTTTGGGTTCTTGGTCATGAAGTCTTTGCCTAAGCGAATGTCTAGAAGGGTTTTTCCAATGTTATCTTCTAGAATTTTTATGGTTGCAGGTTTTAGATTTCAGTCCTTGATCCATGTTGAGTTGATGTAAGGTGAGAGATGAGGATCCAGTTTCATTCTTCTACATATGGCTTGCCAGTCATCCCAGCTCCATTTGTTAAATAGGGTGTCCTTTCCCGACTTTATGTTTTTGTTTGCCTTGTCAAAGATCGGCTGGCTGTAAGTATTTGACTTCATTTCCGGGTTCTCTATTCTGTTCCATTGGTCTATATGCCTATTTTGATACCAGTACCATGCTTTTTTGGTGACTATTGCCTTATAGTATAGTTTGAAGTCAGGTAATGTGATGTCTCCAGATTTGTTCTTTTTTGCTTAGTCTTGCTTTGAATATGCAGGCTCTTTTTTGGTTCCATCCGAATTTTAGGATTGCTTTTCCTAGTTCTGTGAAGAGTGATGGTGGTATTTGGATGGGAATTGCATTGAACTTTTAGATTGCTTAAAATTTTTAATTTTGTCATCCATCTCCCATTTCTCCCATTTCATTTGCTTTTGCTTTTTCCCCTTTGCACTTTAATCTGATTCACTTCCCTTCTATATCATTTTTCCCATTTACCTAGAGATTATCCTCCTCTTTATTTTTCTCCAAATCTGAAAAGTCATGTGCTCTTTCGAAGATGCTAAACAATTATGTGATCTGTCTTCCGGTTTTAAAATTTTCAGTTTTTTTTTCTTTTGGTCTAATTTCCTCCCCATTTCTTTATGTATTTCTCTCTCTCTTTTTTTTTTTTACACTTGTTTTTCTTCCTTGTTCTCATTCTCCAACATATTTGCTTGATCCTGGTATTGACAAAAAGATAAGGTAAACAAGTAGAACTCTATTTTTTTTTTTTTTTTGCATGAGGCTTAAATAGCTTTTTAGATATAAGAGAATGGAGGTTGTGATTCACAGCTTCCAGCAAAATTCTCAATTTTTAACAGTCTACTTAGGGTATTTCTCCCAACTTCGTTTTGTAATACTTGGGACTCTGTTCCTAAAATCTAATTCCTAGCTAAATTCATGTATGTTTTTCTTCTCAACAATATTGTAACATTGATATATTGTAATCAATCAACACTATTTCTTGATCTTTGAGGCATATAGAAATCAAAATATTCTTCACCTCTACTCTTCTTGAATTTTAGGGTTAGTTTGAATTCTGAGTCCAGTGCAAGTCAGTCCTTGTTAGTTCTAAATTGATTCACACATTTGTATTGCTTAAATTTTTTCTTTATTTCCCCATGGAGTTGCCCTTTATATAATTCTTCTTCTCAGAATAAATTCTGGAAAGTAATTGTCAGAGCACTGCACTTGAACCTGACAACACTCAGCAGAATTCAAAGAAAAGGTAATTTATTTTTATGGATAAATTATACAACTTATTTTTCTAACACTGTTATTTGTCTCATTTTTAATAGTTTTTTACATTTTAGAGTAGTTTTAGGTTTACAGAAAAGTTTTGAGGCTAGTACAGACTTCCCCTATACACCACACTCAGTTACTTTTACATTGTTAATATCTTACATTCATATAGCATGCTTGTCACAATTAATGAAATAATATTGATAAATTATTATTAACAAAAGCCCATGCTCTATTCAGGTTTCCTTAGTTTATACCTGTTCTTTTTCTATTTCAGGATCCCCTCCAGGATGCCACATTACAATTAGTCTTTACATCTTCTTGGATTCCTCTTAGCTGTGATAGCTTCATCAGATTTTCCTTGTTTTTGATGACCTTGACAATATTGACGAGTACTGGTCAGGTATTTTGTAGAATGTCCTTCAACTGGGTATTGTTTGTTGCTTTTTTCACAATTATGTTTGTTTTATAGTTTTGGAAAGAAAAATCACAGAGATAAGGTGCTATTTGCATGTCATATCAAGGGGACATAGTATCAACGTGACTTCTCACTGTTTATGTTAATCTTGATCCTCTGGCTAAGGCAGTGCTTGTGAGGATTCTCCACTGCAATTTTGCTTTTTTTATTTCTCCCTTTCCAGACTGTGGAAGTAACTATGTGCAGCTTACATTGAAGATGAAGGAAGTTATGCTTCACCTTCTTGAGGGTGGAGTGGCTCCATAAATTAAGAATCCCTGTGTATAGGAGATTTGTCTCTTCTCTTCCATTTATTTATTTATTTAATCATTTATTTATATCAGTCTAAACTCACAGATACTTATTTTATACTCTCAGTTATAATTCAATACAATTTTATTTTATTTATTTATTTTTTGCTTGAATCGTTCTAGCGTTGGCCACCTGAAGCTTTTTCAGTTGGCTCCTGAGTCTCTATGGCATACCACCAGTGATGTGTATGTGTGTGTGTGTGTCTGTGTGTGTCTTAAAGCACCTTGTTTTATTCTGGCTAGAAGATGTTTCAGGTTCATCTTTTATATTCCTTACCGTGCCCTAAATTCATCTGTTTCTACAAGGAGGGTTAGTTCATTTGATTGGAAAATGCTATTAAAAAACAGCATTTTCCAGTCTGTTTGGATACTAGGTGTGATCATTGTTACTTGAGTGTTGTTGTTTCTAGACCTCAAAGAAAGTTAGCAAAGAAAGTAAGTATATGTTTTTATACTAATCCATGTATAAGCGCACACACTCACACCCACCCCCACCCCCCACATATGTACACACACATATATATATCTCCATATCTGTATCTATATTAAACTGAACATTAATTCATACCCATTTCTCCAACCCTAATCCATAACAACATGTTTCATTCTAACCTTCTCCCCTTGCGTTTCTGTAGCTTTCCACTCCAACGATGAGAAACCTAGCTCCCAAAAAACCACCATTCATGTACTAGTTGTTCAGTTGCAGTATGCATGTTATAAATTATCAATATTATTAACCCGGATCCCATGTGAAACTTTTCTCAACTAGAGCCCAGTGCTTTTGTACAGCGTGTTTTGCTTTTTGTCTTATAGACTTCACTCATTTCTGAAGTTTCTTGGGTTAGTGTCTTTTTTCCTTCTTCTCTTCAGTAAAATTACTTTATACACTTTTTAATAAGATAGGTTCTTTGGTCACAATCTGCATTCAATGCTGGAATTCCCCCAACTTCCTAAACATTTTTTAAAATTAGCATATAGTAAGGCTTACTTGTGCTGTAAAGTTATATGGGATTTGACGTATGCATGCTGTTGTATATCCACTATTGCAGTATAATGCAGAATAGTTTCGCTGCCCTATACCACCCTCTTTGCTTCACCTGTTCAACCCTTACCCCTCTGAAAATCCTGGCAAACATTTGTCTCCTTCACATCTCTATAGTTTTGGCTTTTCTAAAATGTCATATAAATTGAATCATGTAGTATGTAAACTTTCCAGGCTGGCTTATTTCACGTAACAATATGCATTTAAGATTATTCTGTATCTTTGTATGGCTTGATACCTCATCCTGTTTTATAACTTAGTAGTATGCAATTGTATGACTGTACCACAGTTGTTTGTCCACTCCTCTATTTAAGGATAACTTGGTTGCTTACAGTTTTTGATCATTACAAATAAAGTTCCCATAAGTATTCACTTGTAGGTTTTTGTGCGAACATATGTTTTTTGAGCAGTTGGGTAAAGACCTAGGAGAGCAACTGCTGGATTGTATGGTGAAACTGGGTTTAGGTTTGTAAGAAACTTCCAATTGTCTTCTAAAGTGGCTGTATCACCTTGTATCCCACCCCCAGCAATTACTGATGGTTGTTGTACCTCCATATTCTCACTAGCAATTGGTGTTTTCTTTTTTGCTTGTTTTATAGCCATTCTGATAGGTTTGCAGTTATATGTAATTATTTTCTTTCTCTCCTTTTTAAAATTTTTTTTAATTTTAATTTTTATGTTTTTTGAGACAGGGTCTCACTTTGTTGCCAGGCTGGAGTGCAGTGGTGTGACCACAGCTCAGTGCAGCTTTGACCTTCCTGGCTCAAGTGATCCTCCCACCTCAGCCTCCCTAGTAGCTGGGACTAGGTATATGCTACCAAACCCGGCTAATTTTTGTATTTTTTTGTTGAAATAGGGTCTCATCATGTTGCCCGGGCTGGTCTTACACTCCTGTGCTCTAGCGATCTGCCCATTTCAGCCTTCCAAAGTGCTGGAATTACATGAGTGAGCCATCATGCTCTGCCTAATTATTTTCTTAAATTGCATTTCCCTAATGACAAATGATATTGAGTATCTCACAGTATACTTATATGTCATCTGTATATCTTCATTGATGAGTATCTGTCTAGAACTTTTGCCCATTTTAATGAGTTGTTTATTTTCTTATTGTTGGGTTTTGAGAGTTTTTTGTATTTTTTTAGATCAACTTCTTTATCAGAAGCGTGTTTAGCTAATATTGTCTCTCAATCCATAAGCTATCTTGATTCCCTTTATAGTATAATTTGCAGAAAACGTTTCAGTTTTTAAAAAAGTCCAACTATTCTATTTTTTTCTTTCATAGATCATGCTTTAGTGTTGTGTCAAAAAATGCATCACCAAACCTGTGATGGTTAATATTGAGTGTCAACTTGATTGGATTAAAGGATGCAAAGTATTGTTCCTGCGTGTGTCTGTGAGGATGTTGCCAAAGGATATTAACATTTGAGTCAGTGGATTGGCAAAGGCAGACCCACCCTCAATCTGGGTGGGTACCATCTAATCAGTTGCCAGTACAGCTAGGATAAAAGCAGGCAGAGGAACATGGAAGAGCTAGACTGGCCTAAGTCTTCTGGCCTTCATCTTTCTCCGATGCTGGATGCTTCCTGCCCTTGAACATCAGACTCCAAATTCGTCAGTTTTTGGACTCTTGGGCTTACACTAGTGATTTGCCACGGGTTCTCGGACCTTTGACCACAGACTAAAGGCTGCGCTGTTGGCTTCCCTACTTTTGGGGTTTTGGGAATCCTTGCTCCTCAGCTTGCAGATGGCCTATTGTGGGACTTCACCTTATGATTGTGTGAGCCAATACTCCTTAATAAACTTCCCTTTATATATACACCTATCCTATTAGTTCTGTCCCTCTAGAGAATCCTGACTAATACCAAAACTTCGAATGAATCTGTGTCATACAGATATTTCATCTGTAATCCACTGTTTTTATACTGGAGTTCTGTTGATGTGATGGTAAGGTGGGGGAAGAGGTAGTACTCTATAATGTTCTTAATAAATCTCAGTCTTTTAGTGGGCTTAGATGTTACAGTTGAACCCTTCGCAATTGTTTCTCCTTGATATAACTTCTTCCCCCACATGCTTCTTGGCTGCAGTTGATCCCTGTTGACTCTTTTTGTTTTCATTTAAGTGAGATAGAAGGGCTGCAGGTCAGAGTGGTAGGTATTTCTTTCCTCCAGCTGGGATAAGGCTCTGACAAAGTGATTTTCCCTGTAGAGTTGACCTTTGTTATAGAGAAGGCTCTGGATATATTTCTCAATAATTACTCTCCTCTCCTCATTGACTTTTCAATGAGGACTCTTCACTGTAAGAGCTGCATGTGGTTCCCAGATGTAAAGTCCACAAAGTGTTTGGTTCCTATTAGACTAGTCTTCAGGAGCTTCTAACACTAGTCCATACTCAGCCTCTGGCATATTGGCAGAATGATCACTTGTGTTCTTAAGTAGTTTATGTTTTTATTAGCTTTAGCTCCAGGTGAACAGGTATTCATTGTGTCTCTCTGGATGGCACCTGCTTCTCTAGAATTTCGATCAGTGATGTGCCCTGTGACCTTAACTTCTCTGTTATGTTCAAGGAAAGTCAATAATGTTCAGTTTGTCTAGCTTTCTTTTATTATAGGAATGGGAGGAATGTTGAAGCTGAAATCAAAATGCCTCATACTGTTAGTTTTTATTAATGAGTACTTAAGTATTTTTATTGTTTCCATCTTCATAACAATTATTTTATTTTATATCTTCCATAAAGATCACCTGTCAGAATTTATATTAACACTGATAAGATAACCTATACAATTTTAGTGTACATAGTTGTGCCTTAAGTATTTTGTACCTGAAAATGTAGCATTTAGTTTACAATTTCTACAAACGATAATAATCTGCTGATAAATATTATCCTGATTACCTACATATTTCATAGCATGTATCTAATGCTCTATGAAAGTCATTTTATTACCAAAGAAAAACATGATTCTAAATGTAATGAGAAGAGGATGACTATGGTACATAGTCCTAACTTTTTGGAGTCCTAACTCTTAAGGGATTTGAAATTTAATATTCCTCCAAATTATACATAGAGTGCATTCACATGCTTCTAGTCATAAGGTAATTATGCTGCAATCTCAGATTTTTATGATCCTTGTCATCCCTTAAACCCCATACACCCATCTGAGTGTTGAATATTTCTATATGTCTCGTGAGCATCAAATGTCCAATAAAAGGAGTAATCAAGTAATTAAGATGAAGTGGGACTGAAATAGAAGATGAGACAAACTTAGCATCATCCTGATAACAAAACCTGGCAGAGAGAGACCAAAAAAAGAAAACTTCAAGCCAATATTTTTGATGAATATCTGAGAAAAAATCCTCAAGAAAATCTAGCAAACTGAATCCAGCAGCACATCAATAAGCTTATCCACTATGATCAGGTAGGGTTTATCCCCAAGATGCAAGGTTGGTTCAACATGCAGATCAGAAGTGTGATTCATCACATAAACAGAACTAAAAACAAATCCACGTAACTATCTAAAT
This sequence comes from Homo sapiens, assembly GCF_000001405.40. NCBI lineage: Eukaryota > Metazoa > Chordata > Mammalia > Primates > Hominidae > Homo > Homo sapiens. The sequence continues at coordinate 209,097,569 of NC_000002.12, read as the reverse complement.
AGATGCAGAAAATGCTTTTGTTAAAATTCAACACCCATTCATGTTAAAAACTGTCAATAAACTAGGTATGAAGGAACTAAAAAGTAAAAAAATAACAGGTCCTGGTGAAACAGGAGAGTTCCCTCATCCTCCTTGCAGGACATGTGACAGGGGTGTGGCTCGCCTGTAATCGGTCACCACTGCTGCTGCTGCTGCTGCTCAAACCCCTGGCAGGAGGGGGAGCACAGAGACAGGCAGATGCAGGAGCCAGGGTGAGAGTTTTGGGCTCCAGGGCTGCAGTAGTGTCTAGGTGTGGGTGCTTGTGGCCCCAGTGTTGTAACACTGGGGCTAATGCTTTCTTAGCCTTGCCATCCTCAGACAGCTTAAGTGTTAACCAGCTCAATGGACCCTCTGCCTTTTCACAAGGGCAGAGGGCCAGTGTGACAGCTTTCTGTATCCCAAGCTCTTGCCCAGCCTCCTGGAAGAACTGGATCACACACGGGCTTGAAGGTTGAATGTGGGGTTTTATTGAGTGATGGAGGTGGCTCTCAGCAGGATGGATGGGGAGCCGGAAGAGGGAATGGAGTGGGAAGATGATCTTCCCCTGGAGCCTGGCTATCCAGCAGCTGAACTCCTCTCCTACCACCCCCAGCTGAACTCCTCTCAGCATTCAGACGTTCCTCCTCTTCTCTCTTTCTCTGCTGTGTTGTTCTTCCATTTGTCTGCTTGTCTTGTTTCCTTGCCTGCTTCTCTGTTTCTGGAGCGTGGGGTTTGGGATTTATATGGGTGCAGGATAGTGAGGCATGGCAGGCCAAAAGGTAATTTTTGGGGCATGAAAACAGAAATGCTGTCTCCACTTAGGGCTGTTGGTCTCCAGGCTTGAGGATGGGGCCTTTGCCGGGGAACTGCCTTCTTCTACCCAGTATTTCCCTGTCTCCTGTCCATATCAATTGTGAGGCTGTGGAGAAAAAGGAATGCTTATACACTGTTGGTAGGAGTGTAAATTAGTTAAACCATTGTGGAAAACAGTGTGGCGATTCCTCAAAGACCTAAAAATTGAAATGCTATTTGACTCAGAAATTCTGTTATTGGGTATATACCCAAATACCATAAAGACACATGTACATGTATGTTTATTGCAGTACTATTCACAATAGCAAATACATGGAATCAACGTAAATGTCCATCAGTGGTAGACTGCATAAAGAAAATGTGGTACATATACAACATGGAATACTATGTAGCCATAAAAAGAATGAGATCATGCTCTTTGCAGAACATGGATGGAGCTGGAGGCCATTATCCCTGGTAAACTAAGACAGGAACAGAAAATCAAATACCATATGTTCTAACTTATTAGTGGGAGCTAAATGATGAGAACACATGGACACATAGAGGGGAACAAGGGAACAACTGACATGGGCCTATTGGAGTGTAGAGCATTGAAAGAAAAAGAGGATCAGGAAAAATAACTAATGAGCACTAAGCTTAATACCTGAGTAATGAAATAATCTGTATGAGAGACCTCCATGACACAAGTTTACCTAAATAACAAACATGCACACATGCCGTGAACTTAAAATAAAAGTTAGAGAAACAGTTACTCTAATTGGGCTTGAGAACTTCTAGGTGAATAAAATTTGCTGACTTAAAAAAAAAGAAAATGTGGCAAAGTATTGTAAACTGGGTGAAATGAATTTTAAACTTTCCATGTTTAATACATCTGCATATGCTGTATTACCTCTGTAAAGAAGAATGTGCCCTGGGCCATCATCCTCATTCCCAGCTCCAATCTTGTAACAAAACAAAACAAAATGAAACAAAAACAAAAAGAAAGAAAAATAGAAAGAGGGGAAATATGCTTAAAAACTAGAGCACAAGCATTACTATTTTTGTGAGGCCATCTCTGATTGGCTTGTACAGGTGCAGATGTGTTCTGTTTTCCACGTTCCCAATGACTCACTTTCAACTTTACCATATTCTATGAAACCCACTGTTTGTGTTTGTCTTTCTGCTTATGAGGCACTGTTTGAGAGCAATGAACGTGTCTTTTCTCTGGGACCTGTGATTAATATGATGTTGACATTTAGTTAATATAAAAGGAATATCTTTGAGATAAAAGGATATACTCAGACCAAAAACTATCAAGGAATATGATTAAACTTTGATTATCTTTAATTTAGATAAATACATTTAAACTCAGCTTAAATTCTTTTCTTTATCTCCTAACATTGATTTTGACAGAATTAAATTGTATGTCAAGTTACTTCGACATTAAATTGGCATGGAGGGGTAAATGTTTGGCTTTGTTTTTGGAATACTCAGATTTCCAATATAGACTTAAGCTGTCAAAATGACTTGGGGAATTGCAAATTTGTTTTTATATCTCCCATCTCTTCAGCTATAAAATTGAACTAAATGTCCTGTCCTAACTTTGAATACAATAAAGTTACACAGTTTTGCTAAAAACCTTAGTAGCTCATAGCTTTTACATACTCATCTTTCTTTCTATGATGTCCTTTACCTATCTTGTCTATTCTCCATCTGGTCATACTCAGTATCCTCAAATCATATCATTTTCTGCTTCTCTTTGAAAGCTAATCCTTTGGTTCCATTTATTTTTATAGAATATGTAAAATATATGAGATGGGATCAAACTAAAGTGGCAGAAGAAAACAGATTTTTTCACAATACTTTATTTTACTGTAGACACTGAATTAATTCTACACTACGTAACTATAAGATCAACTACTCAAGGAAAGAGAGATAGAAACACTGCACTGAAACTGTGTTCCCAGCACACAGTAATTAAAGACAGGTTGTCATGGGTATGACAACTAGTGTCTAAACATTAGCTGGAAAGGGCCTAAGAAAGAAGAACTTAATGTGTTCGGAATTTTATTACTGGTAAATGTAAAAGAAAAAGAAAACTAGTGGTTTGGCTGATAGGATTAAAGATAGCAAAAAGAAGGCAGGACTAGCTTGTAGCTCTTGCTAGGACAGACAGAGCAGTGAGTGGAGACTCCTCATTGTGAACTTTTGCTCAAAGAACTACTGCAGGAACATACCAGGAAAGCTGAGAGAATCCACAGACCCTTTGAAGGAACTGGATCACCGCTGTTGGCTCCCTAAGATGCCGAAAACTGTGAGTCACTTGCTTTCTCAGGAGGGAGGCTAGTGGTCTGGGGCAAGTTCTCAGCCCTGGTCACTGGCTGCCTGGAAATAGACTTAGTGCTGTTGCAGGGAGCACAGTGGGAGTGAGACCAGCCTTTAGAACTGCAGGCTGCATGGGAATGGGGTGAGACCTGTGACTACTGGCTTTCCCCCACTTCTCTGGTGACCTGTATAACTCAGCAGAGGCAGCCATAATCCTAAGAACATAACTCCATTGGCCTGGGAACCACAACCCCATTACCCACAGCAGCCTCAGAAAGCCCCGTCCAAGGAGAGTCTGAGCTCAGACACACTTAACCCTGCCCCTGCCTTATGGGACAAAAGAATCTGAACAGTAACCCTTGAGTCCCAGATCTTCCCTCTGATCATAGTCTACCCAAATGGGAAGGAACCAGGAAAACAATTCTGGTAATATGACAAAACAGTGTTCTTTAACACCTTCAGAAGATCACATCACCTCACCAGCAATGTATGTAAACCAAGATGAAATCTCTGAATTGCCAGAAAAATAATTCAGAAGGTCCATTATTAAGCTAATCAAGGAGGCACCAGAGAAAGGTGAAGTCCAACTTGAAGAAATCAGAAACATGATACAGGATATGAAAGGAAAAATCCTCAGCAAAATAGATAGCATAAATAAAAAACTATCACAACTTCTGGAAATCAAGGAAACACTTAGAGAAATGCAAAATGTACTGGAAAGTCTCAGGAATAGAATCGAACAAACAGAAGAAAGAACTTCAGAGCTTGATGACAGGGCTTTAAAATTAACCCAATCCATCAAAGACAAAGAAAAAAGAATTTAAAAAATGAACAACACCTCCAAGAAGTTTGGGACAATGTTAACTGTCGAAACCTAAGAATAAGTGGTGTTCCAGAAGAAGAAGAGAAATCCAAATGTTTAGAAAACATATTTGAGAGAATAATGGATGAAAACATCCCCAGCCTTGCTACAGATCTAGACATCCAAATACAAGAAGATGAAAAAACATTTGGGAAATTTATCACAAAAAGATCATTGCCTAGGCACGTCGTCATCAGGATATCTAAAGTCAAGAGGAAGGAAAGAATCTGAGGACTTGTGAGGTAAAAGGATCAGGTAACCTATAATGGAAAACCTCATCAGAGTAATAGCAGACTTCTCAGCAGAAACCCTGCAAGCTAAAAGTGATTAGGGCCCTATCTTTAGCCTTCTTAAACAAAACAATTATCAGCCAAGAATTTTGTATCTAGTGAAATTAAGCTTCATAAATGAAGGAAAGATATAGTCTTTTCCAGACAAACAAATGCTAAGAGAATTCATCACTACCAAGCCAGCAATACAAGAACTGCTAAAAGGACCTCTAAATCTTGAAACAAATCCTCAAAATACACTAAAATAGAATCTCCTTAAAGCAGGACCTATGTAACAATAACACAATGAAAAAAAGGTATTCAGGGAACAAATAGCATGATGAGTAGAATAGTACCTCACATCTCAATACTAACATTAAATGTCAATGACCTAAATGCTTCACTTAAAAGATCCAGGATGGCAGAATGTCTAAGAATTCACCAACCAAATTTCTGCTCTATTCAGGAGATTCACCTAATACATAAAGACTCAAGTAAACTTAAGGTAAAGGAGAGGAAAAAGATATTCCATGCAAATGGACACCAAAAGCAAACAGGAGTAGCTATTCTTAGACAAAACAAACTTTAAAACAACAGCAGTTAGAAAAAGACTAAGAGGGACATTATATAATGATAAAAGGACTAGTCCAATAAGAAAATGTCAAAATCCTGTATATTAGGTCAGGGCAAAGGTAATTGTGGTTTTTGCCATTGAAAGTAATGGCAAACCGGCAATTACTTTTGCACACACCTCCTATATATGCACCTAACATTGGAGCTCCCAAATTTATAATTGCTACTAGACCTAAGAAACCAGAGAGAGAGAGAGCAACGCAATAATAGTGTGGGACTTTAATACTCTGCTGACAGCACTGAACAGGTCTTCAAGATAGAAAGTCAACAAAGAAACAATGGACTTAAACTATACCCTACAACAAATGGACTTAACAGATATTTACAGAACATTCTACACAACAACTGCAGAATGTACATTCTATTCATCAGCATGTGGAACATTCTCCAAGATAGACCATATAATAGGCCACAAAACAAGTCTCAGTAAATTTAAGAAAATTGAAATTTTATCAAGTACTGTCTCAGGCCACAGTGGACTAAAACTAGAAATAACTCCAAAAGGAACCCTCAAAACCATGCAAATACGTGGAAATTAAATAACCTAATCCTGAAGGTTCATTGGACCAACAAGGAAATCAAGATGGAAATTATGAGTGAGGACATACAATATTTAGTTTTCCATTTCTGAGTTACTTCACTTAGAATGATGGTCTCCAGTTCCATCCAGGTTACTGCAAATGCCATTATTGTATCCTTTTTTTATGGATGAGTAGTATTCATATTTTATATATATATATATATATATACACATATATATATATCTCACAACATTTTCTTGATTCACTTATTGATGGGCATTTGGGCTGGTTTCATATTTTTGCAATTGTGAGTTATATATATATGAATGGGAGCTAAGCTATGAGGATGCAAAGGCATAAGAATCATACAATGGACTTTGGGGACTCAAGGGGAAGGGTGGGTGGTGGTGAGGGATAAAAGACTACACATTGGATACAGTGTACACTGCTTGGGTGATGAATGCACCAACATTTAAGAAATCACCACTAAAGAACTTATTCATGTAACCAAACACCACCTGTTCTCCCAGAAGCTATTGAAATAAAAAGTAAATTTAAAAAAAAGACTAGTGGTTTTCTGATTATGGGATTTTGAGAAAAAGTTAAAGTTTGTGAAGTTAATAATTGGAAAACCTTGTTCATCCCCTTACATTTGAAAAATTCACTTATAAATTCCAACTAATTAAAAACTGAGTCACTTCTAATATGGTGGAAACAGATGTATCTGGAGTGAAAATAAATTCTGTACTTCCAAGTGACATTCATATCTGTGGCAGCACTGGCAACAGGAAATGTGTGAAGGATGATATTTGGAGGTAGAAAGTTAATATGACAAATCATGAGAAAGTATGTGGAGCAATAAATGTGGTTACACATTTTTTAGACAGCGATATGCTCTCCAGAAATCTGAGAATAAATTAACCATTAAGGCCAGGTTTATAAAGAGCTTCATACATAGATCCTAATGCTTTTGAGGTACTATGAATCATGAAATTCTTTTAACCTGACATAGACTTGTATCACTTGCTACTGAACTGCCTAATGGTATAAGCAGGTGGGGATTATGCTAATAAGTCACACTAAGAACTCTTGTGAACATTTCTTTGAAAAATATGTTAATGCTTCATTTTGGGGTAAATTGGATTTCTAAATGTGTGAGTAAAAGATAAAGTCTGGATGATTATTCTTTTCAGAGAAAAATAAGGATAAATTTATGGGTATTAGCCCAAAAACCTATTTAAGAGAAAAGAATCTGATTTAAGAAAAATAACTTAAGTAATTTATCTTCATAATTGCTTCTTTCTTTACCTTTGTGTTTGAGGGATGACCACTTTGTATTTCCCTAATTTATTTAGCAGCTGAAAAGCAAATTGAAAGCTGTTTTTAGTTTTTAATTGTTGGGATTAATTCTCTTAAAATAAACCTGTCTTTTTAAAGCTTAAACTTGTTATAGTGAAATAAGAAATGAATATATTTAGGAGAAATTGGAATTTGCAAATTTAAACACAAGTACTTGAGAATTTAATTTTAGAGATAAATGCAAAGTTCACTTAATCAGTAATTCAGTTAAATCTAACCATAGTATGTGGATAGTATGATATCACAGAAATTAAACAGATGACCTTAGTTATCTCATTTTGAGAACACCTGCAACTTGATATTATAGGTTAATAAATAACAAAATTTTTGTTACATTTATGATTGCTTAATTTCAATTTAAGAGGAAATATAAGATGAAATGTTTGATGCTCAGTACCTACAAAGGCTCTGTGAAATACTTTGGTGTCTTTTTGTAGTGATTTATTCAAGAAAATTTTGCTAAATGCCAATGAGGGTGGAAATAAAATTACCTCTTAAAATAAAATTGTTTGTTTTCATCTCACTGAGTGATTGCTTCTACAGCATTTTCATTAACTCAATAAAGGAGGACTGGACCATCTATGCTTATAACTATTATAAAACTAATTTGGCAAGTTCTCAAGAAACAAGAAAATCTGGCCTTTTAATTTGTGATTTTAGGTTGTATTTTTATGAAATTACAAAAAGATTTAGGAGTTAGAAGCTAGAAAGAAATAGCAGTGTTTCATCTTGAAAATGTTTTACTCTAAAGTAATAAATGTCCAATTGAGTTAATAGATTAAAATTTAGATACTTTGCAAAGTAACACAATTGATCATGAACAATAGTTATTAAAGTAGCAACAAAATTTATGTAGAGAAGAAAAAAGAAAAAAGACTCATGTTACCTGACAAAAAAAATGTACGTTATAAATGAAAGTCACAAAATACAAAATGGTGAAAGAACACCGTTTTATATTAGAATATTTTTTACCTCATAAATGTATCATATCCCATAAAATGGCAACAAGGAGATCAATTCTGGATCAAGTTCTGGAATGTAGCTGTCTTTTTTCGCTGATTCATTCATCAAATCTTTACTGCTTATCACGTGCCAGGCTGATGTAGATGACCAAGATGGTTTCTCCATTCGATGAGCTTACAGTGAAATTTGCAGCAACTCAGGAGGCCTGATGTGGATGTGAGAAATGTGTAGAGGGCCAAAGAGCAGTGCATTTTTTTGTTTGTTTGTTTGAAAGGATGTGTTTAGTATTGAAAGGATGAATCAAAGAAAGAACAGTAATTATAATAAAATGACCTTGAAATAATGGAGCTTGGGCTGGTTTATGTCTGAACCCTTGACACTTCTGGTTTAGCCCACCTCTTTATTTCTCTTAGCATACACCTCTATTAGACTTTCTTTAAACACCCCATTGTTACTCTTATTTTTTAATCGTATTTTATTTGTATGTGTGTGTGCATGTGTGTGTATGTACTTGTTTGTCTTCTGAATTTATATGTATATTTACATACACGGATTGTATATATATATATACACAAATATAAGATACACAAATATAAGAAACGGAAAGTATTCTTGCCACCTCTTTCTTTCAACCACCCAAGTCCCTTTCTGCCAGCAACCAGTTTTAATTTTTACTGGCAAATACACACACACACACACACACACACACACACACACAATGTTTTATTTCCATTTTTATATAACTGATAGAATACTAAATATACTCTCTTGAACCCAGCATTTTTCACATAATAGTGTATCCTACAGATTGTTGTATATTAGTATGTAAAAAAAATTCTTATTTATTTTTAAGCCTGCATTTTGTTCCAGTGTTGGAATGTACTATAATTTTTTTAACCGGATGAACATTGATTATTAGGCTATTGTTTTTACAAAAAGCTGCTCTAATTTGTTGACTAAACATAAATTTTAATTTGATTCAAACACAGTTTTTAAACTAAATTTGTTTTTAATCTAACTTTGAAAATACTAAATTCTCAAGATCAAAATTATAAAATCTCAGAGTTATTACTAAATACTAGGGTATAATTTTGATAGGATCTTTCTAGCATCATTTGTTTTAAAGTTTATCATAGAAGTGGATGTGACTATGTTCTCCTTGAAGACATTAGTAATTATACTAATTGCTAACATTGTATAATGTGTACTGTTCACTGTGTTTAAATGTTATATAGTTTTATTCTAACAATAATACTTTGAGATGGTTATTATTTTTAACTTTAATCTGTAAATGAAAAAAATTAATCCTAGTGATTTGAAGTAAGTTTCCTATGGTTACACCACTAATAAGTGATGAAGCAGCATTGGGAATCAGAGAGTCTAATTCTAGAGCCAACACTTTTAAATACCAAACTCCATTGTCTCACCAAATACGATACATAAAAAGAGTCAAGAAGAGTTAGAGTTGCATTCTTCTCTATGATGATGAAGATTCACATGCTATGACATACTGACTTAAAGTAATCACGAAGAAATAACTTGGTACATTTTTTGACAAGCTATTAGGAAGTCACATGTCAATAAAATAAAAAGAAAAAAGCAGCCTAGCCAACATGGTGAAACCCCGTCTCTGCTAAAAATAACAACAAGAACAACAAAAATTAGCCAAGCTTGATGGCACACACCTGTAATCCCAGCTACTCAGGATGCTGAGGCAGGAGAATCACTTGAACCCAGGAGGTGGAGGTTGCAGTGAGCCAGGATCACGCCACTGCACTCCAGCCTGGGCAACAGATTGAGACTCTGTCTCAAAAAAAAAAAAAAAAAAAAAATTATGTCAATATTTACTTATAAAAATCAGATCAGAGATAGAGTGTTAACATTTTTGTTGATTCTTTTCTAGCTATCTTTGGATGTAGCAATCATATTGCTACTGAACATTTCTAATATAAAAGGTCTCATATATTAATATGTGCTGCAGTTTATGTCTAACCATATGTTCAATAGACATGTTAGTGTATGAAAAATTTCCACTATATACTAATGACCATGTGTCCAGAAAATATTATATATACATCTCTCTCTCTCTCTCTATTTATCCAACCCCATTTTTACATGACCTAGTTTGAATGGGTAGTTTTACACTCCATCACACACACAAGTTGGCCTGAAACAGTAAGCATCAAGGATTACCTGCTGCTGAATCCCTGTATATAACCCCAACTCTCTGCAGAATTGTCAAGTAGGAGAAATGTGTCTTTTGAAGTTCTAGTCTCTATTTACACTATCATTGCTTCTCCAATGGACATGACTGCTCCCTGACCCTCCACATCCTAGTAATTTTACCTTATTTTTGTTAATGCAGTATTTGTTTTGAGAAATAATTTAATAAATTATATATTTCTCAGAATATACTGAATTTTATTAGTGCTAAGTCATTTTGCCATTTGTGGGCTTCGCTAATATGTAACTTCCACTTCTGTGTCAGGAAATTCCCAATTATGTGTTTTGACAGTTTGAAAGTGTGCCACATTGCCATTTGCACTCAAGTATACCTTCTTCCTCTTCTAGGGTCCCCCATTTATCACAAGGGCTGGAAATTTGGGAACTATATTTTCCAGAATCCTTTCCTAAATGATTTTTCCCTATAGTCAAACAATGAGACATTACACAAAATTGGGAAAGTTGAAAGCAATCAGAAGCTCTTTTCCTCTTCCAGCAATGGCAGGTCAATAACGGGCTTCAGCAGAGATTGCTTTAGGAACATCATGTAAGAATTCCGCCGCAAATTACCTATCCCAATACTACAGGCAACTGTAACTCCTGACTAATGTCAGGTACATCCTGAGAGCCTCAGGGATGGAAGTAAATCTGAAAGCTGGAGGCAGTTCCCCCATGACTTTGTCATTTCATGCTGTTCTGTGGTTTTCTAAGTGCCTAAATTCCTGTCTTAAATAGTATTTTATCTGAAATGTCTAGAGTCAATCCTCTTTTGCTCACTATTCACTGACTGATAAAAAGGAATTTCTACTTTTTGCTATCAGTGTAGACAAATCCCACTTCTCTCTTAGGTCTTAGAGATAGGAGCTTAAGTACATGAATTAGCCTTGTCTAATGCTTCTTTCTGGGAGGCCACGATAAAGACTAGTTAGAATCCACTGGTGGAGTCTCAATGGTAGTGTTCAGAAGCAGAAGCTACAACCATTGATGTGATATCCAGGCTAAAAAATTACTGATTTTTTTCCTAAATAAAAAGTTTTGTGCTCCTTAAACATTTTAAAACTACCTTAATGTTGGCCAATTTTCCATGTCTGGTTATCTCCTATATTATCAACTGTACATATTTCCAATAGATATTATCTTTCCTTTCTTAAGAAAATCAGAGACAGTTCTGTTGCTTGCACACAAGTTTTGTTGCTGATACGAAGGGAGACAGATAAGTCATGTCATCGGATCTATTGCTAATTATGGAATTTCATATAGCAATCTTTAATGTGGAAGTATTATGTTCGAGAAAACTGAAATATGAAGGTGAGTGGGCTCTAAAAATGACCTCCTGAAATTACACCATATGCATGTGGGCTTACTACCTATCCTGTTTTATATAAGAAGTGGTCTCTGTTTTAAGATATTAAGGTCATAGCATCAGTGTCACTTTTTCCCCTAGAGAGGTAGAAACTGCAGGTCCTTAGAATTTGGCCTGGGGGTATTCTTGAGGAATAATTGATAAGTGTATTTTGGACAGCAATAATAAAACTTGCGCGATTGACTTATTTTAAAGGAAGTTTTCAAAGCGCTAGAAGATAGACAATGAACTATGTCATTTAAAAATTTCTCTAATTTCAACTCTGTGATATGTTTGCCTTTGTCTTAATTCAAAACCCATCTACTATTTAATAATAAAATAATTGTCAAAATGATTTTTTAAAATTTTGTAATTTATTGGCTATATTTTCACTTGTTACTAAAACATGCTATTTATTTTTTCTGATGCTCCTTTAAAGAAAATAAATCGAATCAATTTATTTTCCATACTTATTTTAAACTACACAGTTGGAAAAAAATGTTGCATTTCTTTCAAAAGTTTCAAACTCTTGTTCCCAAACTGAATTCTCTGTAACTCTAATATAATGCCTTAGAAAATTTTGTCCTACTTCAGAGCAGGACAGTAGAATCCTTAATAAAGCCTACATTGTGCTAACATGTATTTTCCTTTAACTTTGTTAGACTTTTATTTTTCCAATTATCAATGTAATCATTTATTTTATTTTTATTGAGTTTCTTCTCAGGTTTTAACATTTTTTAGTTGTATTTTATCTTAATATCAGATTCATTTAGTATGCAACCTCAAAATCAGACATTTTTAATATTTGGCTACATACACACCATTAAGAATCTAGTAAATTTCCAGGATATTCTGCTCATCACAAAATGCTCATTAGTTGAAGCATTCAAATAGACATTTAAATATCATTAAAGTAGATCAACCTAGTAAAACAAATATAGCTGGCTCTATAGACTCCAGCTTAAAACTCTTGCTCTAAAATAATATCCTAATTGCAGATGTTATGCCAAGTGAAATAAGCCAGTTACATAAGGACAAATATTCTATGATTCTTCTTACGTAAGATTCCCTGAATGGTCAAAATCTCAGAGATGAAAAGCAGAATGGTGGTTGTCAGGAACTGGGCAGGGAGTGGGGAAGGTGGGATAGAGAGTTAGTATTTAAGGGGTAACAGAGTTTCAGTTAGGGAAGATGATAAATTTCTGGAGATGGATGGTAATAATGATTGTACAATAATGTAAATGCATACAGTCTTAGAACTGTGTACTTAAAAACTAATAAAATGGTAAAATTTTTAAAAATTGCTGGCTCTTTCACTATATATTTTATATCTATTAGGAAAGTTTCCTCTAAATTTAACAGTTCCAAAGTAGTTCTGAAAAATAATTTTTAAATGTCATACATATTTAATTTTGTTAGGTTTCCAATTAGTAGAAAATCTATAGTATGTGGATTTATTAAAACTCATTAATTCAGTCATATTTAACCAACTTGTTCCAATGACGACCTGTATTTTTTTCACTTTTATGCTTTGTTAGTCAATTTATTTCACTTAGTTGCCTGTCAATTTGGATACCAGAATTTCTCATAAATACTTAATTGCCACCTGGAAGATAAACATTTTCTTTTCATCCTTTTAACTACATTGACATAATGTGAAAGTGCTCTAGATTTATTAATATCTTTAAACTTATTTCTCTCCCTGACCACGTGATTATTATTCACAGCTTTCATTTGCATATTCAAGCAGTGACAATACTTGATATTTTATAGGTTTGCTCCTTATAGACAATCAGTAGGCCATGCATTTCACCTTATTTGTATTAATTCAGGTTAAAATGAATCTAGTGTTACTTCACTTATTTATCTTTAGTAATTAATAAGTTTCATGCACGTCCGTGTGAAGAGACCAAACAGGCTTTGTGTGAGCAACATGGCTGTTTATTTCACCTGGGTGCAAGCGGGCTGAGTCCGAAAAGAGAGTCAGAGAAGGGAGATAGGGGTGGGGCCGTTTTATAAGATTTGGGCAGGTAAAGGAAAATTACAGTCAAAGGGGGTTTGTTCTCTGGTGGGCAGGAGTGGGGGTCGCAAGGTGCTCAGTGGGGGAGCTTTTTGAGCCAGGATGAGCCAGGAAAAAGACTTTCACAAGGTAATGTCATCACTTAAGGCAAGGACCGGCCATTTACACTTCTTTTTTGGTGGAATGTCATCAGTTAAGGCGGGGCAGGGCATTTTCACTTCTTTTGTGATTCTTCAGTTACTTCAGGCCATCTGGGCATATACGTGCAAGTCACAGGGGATGCGATGGCTTGGCTTGGGCTCAGAGGCCTGACATTCCTGCCTTCTTATATTAATAAGAAAAATAAACAAAATAGTGTTGAAGTGTGGGGGCGGCGAAAATTTTCGGGGGGTGGTATGGAGAGAGAGAATGGGTGATGTTTCTCAGGGCTGCTTTGAGCGGGATTAGGGGCGGCGTGGGAACCTAGAGTGGGAGAGATTAAGCTGAAGGAAGATTTTGTGGTAAGGGGTGATATTGTGGGGTTGTTAGAAGAAACATTTGTCGTGTAGAATTATTGGTGATGGCCTGGATACGGTTTTGTATAAATTGAAAAACTAAATGGAATAAGAGAAGCAGAAAAACAGGTATAAAAGGTCTAAGAATTGGGAGGACCCAGGACATCTGATTAGAGAGTGCCTAAGGAGATTCAGCATAGTCCTGCCAGCAAAGATTATTTATTTACTTCAAGAGTTAAGAGTGGCGGTTTGGGGATAGCACCAGGAGATATCAGCTGTGATGGCTTGTAGAAACAGTGTAAACTGGCAGTGTAAACAAGAGTAGGGCATGTTTGAGTAGTTGAGAACGGTGAATAGGAGTATGACTAGACAGAAGATACTAGGGTTGACAAGTTTTTTGGGGCACAGTCTAAGTCGGTCTGGTGTCTGGAATGAGACTGGGGCCTAATAAAAAGGAGCGTCTATACAGGAGCTTAAATGGGCTGTACCTTGTAGCATTCTGAGGACAGGCCTGAATTCTGAGAAGCGAAAGTGGTAAAAGTATTGTCCAGTCCTTTTTAAGTTGGTGGCTGAGCTTGGTGAGGTGTGTTTTTAAAAGACCATTAGTCTGTTTTACTTTTCCTGAAGACTGAGGACTGTAAGGTATATAAAGGTTTCCCTGAATACTAAGAGCCTGAAAAAATGCTTGGCTGATTTGACTAATAAAGGCTGGTCTGTTATCAGACTGTATAGAGGTGGGAAGGCTAAACTGAGGAATTATGTCTGACAGAAGGGAAGAAATGACTGTGGTGGCCTTCTCAGACCCTGTAGGAAAGGCCTCTACCCATCCATTGAAAGTGTCTACCCAGACTAAGAGATATTTTAGTTTTCTGACTCGAGGCATGTGAGTAAAGTCAATTTGCCAGTCCTGGGCAGGGACAAATCCTCGAGCTTGATGTGTAGAAAGGGAGGAGGCCTGAACAATCCATGAGGGGTAGTAGAATAGCAGATGGAACACTGAGAAATGATCTCCTCGAGGATAGATTTCCATGATGGAAAGGAAATGAGAGGTTCTAAGAGACGGGCTAGCAGCTTGTAACCTACATGGAAGAGGTTATGAAATGACGACAGAATAGAATGGGCCTGTGAGGCTGGAAGGAGATATTTTCCTTGGTCTAAGAACCATTTGCCTTGTGTGGGAAGAGATTGATAGGTGGAAGTTTCAGCAGGGGAGTAGGTGGGAGTGACTGATGTGAAGGAGAAAAAACTGGATGTGAGGGACAGAAGTTGGAGAGCTAGCTGCTTGTCTTGCCACCTTATCAGCATAAGCGTTGCCTAGAGCAATGGGATCTGACGCCTTTTGATGCCCCTTGCAGTGAATGACCCCAGCTTCCTTTGGAAGTAAAGCGGCCTTGAGTAGAGTTTTTATTAAAGAGGCATTAATGATGGAGGACCCTTGTGCAGTGAGAAAACCTCTTTCAGCCCATATGACCGCATGGTGGTGCAGAATATGAAAGGCCTATTTAGAATCAGTATAGATATTGATGTGTAGTCCTTTTGCAAGAGTGAGGGCTTGAGTTAAGGCAACTAGTTCGGCTTGCTGAGAGGTAGTGGAGGGGGGCAGAGTGGTAGCCTCAATGATAGATGTGGAAGATACTATAGCATAGCCTGCCTTTGCTGGTGAGTGGCAATTAGGCCTGGTGGAACTGCCATCAATAAACCAAGTGTGATCAGGGTGAGAAACAGAGAAGAAGGAAATGTGGGGAAATGGGGTGAACGTCAGGTGGTTCACAGAGATGCAGTCATGAGGGTCAGGTGTGGTATCCGGAATAATGTGGGAGGCCGGATTGAAGTCCGGGCCAGGAAAAATGGTAATTGTGGGAGACTCAACAAAGAGTGAGTATAGCTGAAGGAGCCGGGAAGCAGAAAGCATATGCGTCAGGTATGAGGAAGAAAATAGATTTTGGAAGTTATGAGAACTATAGAGAGTGAGTTGAGTACAGTTTGTGATTTTGAGGGCCTCTAAAAGTATTAAAGCAGTGGCAGCTGCTGCACGCAGACATGAGGGCTAGGCTAAAACAGTAAGGTTAAGTTGTTTGGACAGAAAGGCTACAGGGTGTGGTCCTGGCTCTTGTGTAAGAATTCTGACCATGCTAACCATGCCTAGGAAGGAAAGGAGTTGTTTTGTAGAAGGTGCTGGGGTTTGAGAGATCGGTCGGACATGATTGGCAGGGAAAGCACGTGTGTTTTTATGAGAATTATGCCGAGATAGGTAACAGATGAGGAAGAAATTTGGGCTTGACTGAAGTAATGGGGGCTGTCTGTGAAGCTTTGCGGCAGTACAGCCTAGGTAATTTGCTGAGCTTGATGGGTGTCAGGGTCAGTCCAAGTGAAAGCGAAGAGAGGCTGGGATTAAGGGTGCAAAGGAATAGTAAAGAAAGCATGTTTGAGATCCAGAACAGAATAATGGGTTGTAGAGGCAGGTATTGAGGATAGGAGAGTATATGGGTTTGGCACCACAGGGTGGATAGGCAAAACAATTTGGTTGATAAGGCGCAGATCCTGAACTAACTTGTAAGGCTTGTCTGGTTTTAGGACAGGTAAAACGGGGGAATTGTAAGGAGAGTTGATAGGCTTTAAAAGGCCATGCTGTAGCAGGCAAGTGATAACAGGCTTTAATCTTTTTAAAGCGTGCTGCGGGATGGGATATTGACGTTGAGTGGGGTAAGGGTGATTAGGTTTTAATGAGATGGTAAGGGGTGCATGATCAGTGGCCAAGGAGGGAGTAGAGGTGTCCTATACTTGTGGGTTAAGGTGGGGGGGATACAAGAGGAGTATGTGAAGGAGGCTTTGAACTGGGGGAAAAGGTGGCAATGAGGTGTGGCTGTAGCCCAGGAATAGTCAGGGAAGCAGATAATTTAGTTAAAGTGTCTCAGCCTAATAAGGGAACTGGGCAGGTGGGGATAACTAAAAAGGAGTGCTTAAAAGAGTATTGTCTAAGTTGGCGCCAGAGTTGGGGAGTTTTAAGAGGTTTAGAAGCCTGGCTGTCAATACCTACAACAGTTATGGAGGCAAGGGAAACAGGCCCTTGAAAATAAGGTAATGTGGAGTGGGTGGCCTCCGCATTGATTAAGAAGGGGATGGACTTACCCTCCACTGTGAGAGTTACCCAGAGCATCTGTGATGGTCCTATAGGCTTCCGAGGCGATTGGGCAGTGTCAGTCTTCAGCTGCTAAGCAGAGAAGATTTGGGAAGGAGTCAGTCAGAGAGCCTTGGGCCAGAGTCCCTGGGGCTCTGGGAGTGCCTGCCAGGTGAGCTGAACAGTCCAATTTTCAATGGGGTCCCACACAGATGGGACGCGGCTTAGGAGGAATCCCGGGCTGCGGGCATTCCTTGGCCTGGTGACCAGATTTCTGGCACTTGTAGCAAGCTTCTGGGGGTGGCAGGCCTGGAGGAACACCTGGCTGCTGCAGTTCAGGTGTTTGGAAGTTCTTGTGTGCTGGAGATATGGCTAGGGTTTGTCTCACAGTGGAGGCAAGGAATTGCAACTTTTTTCTATTATTGTACACCTTGAAGGCGAGGTTAATGAAGTCCTGTTGTGGAGTTTGAGGGCCGGAATTTAATTTTTGGAGTTTTATTTAATGTCAGGAGCAGATTGGGTAATAAAATCTATATTGAGAATAAGATGGCCTTTTGACTTTTTAGGGTCTAGGGCTGTAAAGCCTCTCAGGGTTGCTGCCAAACTAGCCATGAACTCGGCTGGGTTTTTTATATTTGATGAAAAAGAGTCTAAATGCTAACTGATTTGGGAGAGGTCAGATAAAGAAAAAGGAGTATTAACCTTGACTATGCCTTTAGCTCCAGCCACCTTTTTAAGAGGAAATTGCTGGGCAGGTGGGGGAGGGCTAGTCACAGAATGAAACTGTAAGCTGGACCAGGTGTGAGGAGGGGAGGTGATAAAAGGATTATAGGGTGGAGGAGCGGAGGCTGAAGAAGAATTGGGACCTAGCTCGACCTGGTGAGGAGGGGAGAGGTCAGATGGGTCTGTAGAAAAGGAAGATTAGAAAGACTCAGCGACGCTTGGGGTTGGTACTGAGGGGACAGGCGGGAGGGAAAGGAGGAAGATTTGGGATTAGTTGCATTGGGCACAGAGACTAGGAAGGGACTGATGTGTAAAAGGATGCCTAGACGTCAGGCACCTCAGACCGTTTGCCTATTTTACGACAAGAATTATTTGGATCTTGCAGGATGGAAAAATTGAAAGTGCCATTTTCTGGCTATTTGGAACTACTGTCGAGTTTGTATTGGGGTCAAGCAGCATTGCAGAAGAAAATAAGACATTTAGGTTTTAGGTCAGGTGTGAGTTGAAGAGGTTTTAAGTTTTTGAGAACACAGGCTAAGGGAGAAGAAGGAGGAATGGAGGGTGGAAGGTTGCCTATAGCAAAGGAGGCAAGTTTAAAGAAAAGGGAGAGTAGAGACACAGAGGGAAGGGGTTCGGGGGTTCTTACCCTCCAGAAAAGCAGGAAAGGGGTCAGGGTGCAGAGATACAAGGTCGGGGTGTGGAAATAAGGGATTGGGGTACAGGGATATAAGAGGTTGGGGCACGGAAATAAGGGATCGGGGCACAGAGATATAAGAGGTCAGGGCATGGAAATAAGGGATTGGGGCACAGAGATATAAGGGGTTGGGGTACTTGCCCTTCCCCCAGAAAAGCGGGATTTGCCACTAAGGGTGAAGGAGAAGGGGTTGGGGGTTTCTTTCCCCCCAGAAAGGCAGAGAAGGGGTAGAGACATGGAGAGAAGGGGTTGGGGTACTTGCTCCTTCCCCAGAAAAGCGGGACTTGCTGCTAAGGGTGAAGGACCAAGGCAGGCGTCCCTGCGTGGTCTGACACCTCTGAAACGTAGATGAATAATCAGAGAGGTGTCCCTGCAATGATTAAACACCAAGGGAAGGCTGCCTTCCCTAGTCCATGACCGGCGCCGGAGTTTTGGGTCCACTGATAAAACGTGTCTCCTTTGTCTCTACCAGAAAATGAAAGGAATTGAAATTAAGAGAAGGGAGAGATTGAAATGTGGCGCCAAGATTGAAAGGAGAAAGTGGTTGAGGGATAGTGAGGGAGGTTGGAGAAGAGAGTAAAAATTAGGCCGCTTACTGGATTTGACATTGGTGAGATGTTTCTTGGGCTGGCTGGTCTGAGGACCTGAGGTTGTAGGTGGATCTTTCTCACGGAGCAAAGAGAAGGAGGACAGGGGATTAATCTCCCAAGGGAGGTCCCCTGATCTGAGTCACGGCACCAAATTTCATGCACATCCGTGTGAAGAGACCACCAAACAGGCTTTGTGTGAGCAACATGGCTGTTTATTTCACCTGGGTGCAGGCGGGCTGAGTCCGAAAAGAGAGTCAGAGAAGGGAGATAGGGGTGGGGCCGTTTTATAAGATTTGGGCAGGTAAAGCAAAATTACAGTCAAAGGGGGTTTGTTCTCTGGTGGGCAGGAGTGGGGGTCGCAAGGTGCTCAGTGGGGGAGTTTTTGAGCCAGGATGAGCCAGGAAAAAGACTTTCACAAGGTAATGTCATCACTTAAGGCAAGGACCGGCCATTTACACTTCTTTTTTGGTGGAATGTCATCAGTTAAGGCGGGGCAGGGCATTTTCACTTCTTTTGTGATTCTTCAGTTACTTCAGGCCATCTGGGCATATACCTGCAAGTCAGAGGGGATGCGATGGCTTGGCTTGGGCTCAGAGACCTGACAATAAGTATAGTTTATATCTTTAAAATTAATTATTTTATTATTATTACAATCAACTAACATATGTAGATGGTTAGTACATCATGGCTAATATCACAATACTCTGCTATGTGAGCTCTTTCACCTATAACTTCACAATGATATCACCATTAAAAACAAGGTGGACTGAATGTGCAATTGTGTGTGTATGTGTGTGTGTGTCTTGTGTAGTGTGTATATGTATTTGACCCGAGATCACTATTGCTTTATGGATTTCATAAAACAAGTGCAAATGTTGTAATTTTTTGTTCTTAACAGTGACAATGTAAGGTACATACATTTTTTCCCCCAGGAATATTCCATTCTTGGCATATTTTTATGAATTTTTTTTTGTAATTTGCCTCTAAGCTTAGATAATAAATGACACAGAAATTTAGCCTCTTTATTTTGAATCCACATCTCATTCTTTACCTACACCTATAATACCAGTGAGCTCACCTAGTTATTCCATAATCAACATCAGTAAAATTTCAGTCTTTTACAGAATCACACTCACCTTCAAGTGAATACACCTTGCCCTTTATGAAGTTACTTATGATGCTTTGAAGAATATTTTGGGAATGTGAAACTTTATGCAACTTTTGATTAGAAAGGAAGCCTCTCATAGAAGCTAAGAATACAAACCAGGGAGTCAGACAGACTTGAGTACTAGTCCCAGCTGCACCCTCAGACAAGTCAATAACTTCTGTGGCCCTCGGTTTCCTCATTTAAGATATGGAGATATTCCCAAGTTATAATGTTCTTATGAGAATTAAATGACCTCATCCCTTTACATAGGTCCCACTGAACTTAGGATGCAATAAGCCTTGAATACATTGCAGCACCTCTTTCTCATGCATATGCTTGATGGCATGAAAACACTGGCACAGGCATTACCTGAATGCCTTCCTCTCTCAGACACCACATAAGAATTTTGTACTTGATAGATCCATTCCTGTGCTTTTGTGATTGAACAAGAGGAGAAAAAGAAAACAGAAGCTCATAAAGAAGGAGATGGAGTGAAGAGGGCTGATAAGATTCTGGGGGTGAGGGTGGTGTTGAGAGAAACCCAAGACAAACAGCTGTGAAGGGCAATAGGTTTGAAAGAAGGAAAAGGGGAGAGTACAACAGTACTAATGAGGACATGTGTACATTGTGTGGAGTTTATGAGATGTATTTATATATTATTTAAAAAAATACTTTGTTGCTCCAAGTCTTTGCTATTGTGAGTAGTGCCTCAATAAACATACGTGTGCATGTGTCTTTATAGCAGCATGATTTATATTCCTTTGGGTACATACCCAGTAGTGGGATGGCTGGGTCAAATGGTATTTCTAGTTCTAGATCCCTGAGGAATTGCCACACTGTCTTCCACAATGGTTGAAGTAGTTTACAGTCCCACCAACAGTGTAAAAGTGTTCCTATTTCTCCACATCCTCTCCAGCACCATATGTAACAAATGTGCACATTATGCACCTGTACCCTAGAACTTAAAGTATAATAAAAAAAATTGAAAAATACTTTTGTTGTATCCTTTGATCAACATCTCCCTATCTACTGCCCCCAACCCCCCACACAGCCAGAACCACCATTCTACTCCTTGCTTCTATGTATTCAACATTTTTTAGATTCCACATAAGTGATATCATGTGGTATTTGTATTTCTGTGCCTGGCTTGTTTCACTTAACACAGTGTCCTGTAGGTTCATCTGTGTTGTCACAAAGGAACAGATTTCCTTCTTTTGTTAAAGCTGAAAAGTACTCCATTGTGTATAGACACTATATTTTTCTTTCTCCATTCGTTCTTTGATGGACATGTAGACTGATTCCATATCTTGTCTGCTGGGAATAATGCTGCAAGAACATGGGACTGCAGATGAGATTTTTCTTGTTTGAAAAGCAGTATTATGATGCTCATATAATATTTTAAGAACACCAGAGCATAAAATTGAGAGAACTCTGAAAAAACAAAAAGGCTTTTTGAAAATGTTTCTCTTCCGAAAAGGATAAAATACAAAAATGGAGTGAGCAGTGAGCACATAAATTATTTTTGGACTAGGTTTCAGAGGCAAATGGAAAGTATAAGCCAAGATGCAGAAAGAAAAAAGGAAAATAAAATTATTTGAAATAGGTTAAAGAAATGTTTCACTTACATCATGGCTAGAGGTAGACAGGTGTTTTTCAGGCCTCAATTTTACATGATTTAAAGTACCATCTTTAAGAAAAAAGAATCAAAGTTAGGAAAAACAAACAAAACAGAATATTTACTGTGAATGAGAAAAAAGTCACAATAAACTAAAACATGAGAAATGTCATAATTATAAAATATCTTTATGGCCGGGTATGATGGCTCATGCCTGTAATCCCAGTACTTTGGGAGACAGAGGTGGGCAGATTGCATGAACTCAGGAGTTTAAGACCAACACAGGCAACATGGTGAAACCCCACCTCTACAAAAATTACAAATATTAGCCAAGCCTGGTGGTGCACCTGTAGTCCCAGCTCCTTGGGGGGCTGAGGCAGAAGGATCGTGCCACTGCACTCCAACCTGGGTGACAAAGTCTCAAAAAAATAAAATAAAGTTACAATATATTTTCCCATATATTTTGGCTTGATACTATTGATCACTGTTTTAAATGAAAGAAAATTGTATCATAATTTTTAAAGATAGAAGAAAAAGGTCTAGCATGGTAGATTAAATTTGTTTAATTGATATCTGTGATTCATAAAACCTGCAACTTCAGATATATAGATATTTGCTGTTCTAATTTTGCAAGTTTATGTTCTACAAATGAATGAGTTATGTTAAATTTTGTTTTGGGAAATTCCCATTAACAATGGGAAAAAGAGGAGATTTTATATATAATTATGTAGGCTTCATTATCAAGTATATTGCTAACAGGAAATGTCATTGTGCATGGGTATTGACCAAAACGAAAAAAATCCTACACTTAAATTATTTTCATATTTGATTAGAAGAACTGTCCACAGACAGCTTTGTGACTTCATTCATGTCAAATTGTGTTTCTCCTCTAGTGCTAACTTCTCCTTAGCTAGATACTATATATATGCGCCCATGGACACTCTAACACTACCAAACCGCAAAGTGTCTTGGGAGGAAGGAGAAGTGGTTCTCTTAAACAATTGTTGTTGTATGCTCAATTTTGTTTCTCCCTGATCAGGACCATGGAAGAGACTCCTACAAGTAAGAGGCCTTGAAATTTAGAGTTTTGATACCTTAGGGACATGTCCACTCCAGAATGTAAATCTTGAATTATAGAAGGCAATGAAAAACAACTATTATTTTTAGAAATGCAGTTCCTAAACTAGCTCTAAGGCACCCTGGACACCGCAGTAAACTCACAAGGGTGCTGCCAAATAGTTTAAATTTTCTTTGGCCCTAGAAATACAATGAAAAAATTCCCAAGATATTAAAATCATTATGAACTGAGGAAGTTAGAGATATTTCTTTTTCTGAGACAGTGTACAGGGGCTTGATTGGTAGCTGAAGACCCTGGTGTTGTTAGATGTGTTTTGGGTGAGCTTTGCAGTTTGCTGTTGCCATTTTGGAGGTTCATGCCTGTCCACACTTTCCACTTCAACTGGATGCTGTGTTACAGTGGATTAAAGTACATTAAAGGTGATCTCATCTGAAATGAATCATCTTCAGCTGGGCCAGTTGCTCATGACCAGATAACTGAGAAAAATAGGAAGATCATTGAGGATGTCAAGCACCTGTCCAGAGTTTGCAAAAATGTTCATTAGCATTGCTCATGGCTGTAATGGCTTATCTAGATTTTCATCTATATAAGTGCTGAGTAGGTGATCTCTTAGAATAATGAAATTATTATTTCACCTTGGGAAGACTATTTCCAATGTTATGGTCATAGGGCCTAATGACTCTAATGTCAGGTTACCAAAGATCCTGGAACCATTGCTGGTCTCAATGTAGTTAGAATTATCAATGAGCCAACTGCTGCTTCTATTGCTTATGGCACAGACAAAAAGTTTGGAGCTGAAAGACATGTGCTCATCTATGACTTAAGAGATGAAATTTTTGATGTGTCTGTCCTTACTCTTGAGGATGAAATCTTTGAGATCAAATCTACAGCTGGAGACACCCACTTAGGTGAAGAAGATTTTGACAACCAAATGATCAACCATTTTATTGCTGAGTTCAAATACAAGCATAAGGACAGTAGTGAGAACAACAGGGCTGTCTGACGCTTCTGTACTGCTTGTGATGGGCTAATTGCACTCTCCCTTCCAGCACCCAGGCCAGTAGTGAGATTAATTCTCTCTGTGAAGGAGCAGATATTTATACCTCCATTACCCATGCCCAATTTGAAGAACTGAATGCTGTCCTGTTCCGTGGCACCCAGGACCCCATAGAGATAGCCCTTCAGGACACCAAACTAGACAAGTTGCAGATCCATGTTATTGTCCTGGTAGGTGGTTCTATCTCTATCTCCTAGATCCAAAAGCTCCCTCAATAATTATTTAGTGGAAAATAACTGAGCAAGAGCATTGACCCTGATAAAGCTGTTGCTTATGGTGCAGCAGTCCAGGCAGCCATCCTATCTTAAGACAGATCTTAAACTGTTCAAGATTTGCTACTTTTGGATTCACTTCTCTTCTCTTTGGTAATGATGCTGCTGTGGAGTCATGACTGTTCCCATGAAATGCAACACACTTTTCTTACCAAGCAGACCCAGACCTTCACTACCTACCCTGACAACCAACCTGATGTCCTCATTCAAGTTTATGAAGGTGAGAGTGCCATAACCAAGGATAACAATTTGCTTGTTATCCAGGGCAAGTTTGAGCTCACAGGCATACTTCCTGCTCCCTTTGCTGTTCCTCAAATTAAAGTCACTTGTGATATTGATGTCAATAGCAGCCTCAATATCTCTGCTGTAGGTAAGAGTACAGAAAAAGAGAACAAAATTATCATCACTAATGACCAGGGGCATTTGAGCAAGGAAGACATTGAGAATATGGTCCAGGAAGCTGAGTACAAAGCTGAAGATGAGAAGCAGAAGAACAAGGTGGCATCAAAGAATTCACTTGACTCTTATGCATTCAACATGAAAGCAACTGAGAAACTTCAAGGCAAGATCAACAATAAGGATAAACAGAAGATACTTGACAAGTGTAATAAAATCATCAACTGACTTGACAAGAATCAGACTATAATGAAGGAAGAATTTGAACATCAGCAGAAAGAGCTAGTTTGCAGTCCATCATTATCAAGCTGTACCAGGGTGCAGGGACATACTAGGAGGAATTATCAAGCTATACTAGGGTACAGGGACATGCTGGGAGGAATGCCTGAGGGCTTCCCTGGTGGAAGAGCTCCTTTCTCTGGTAGTGCTTCCTTAAGGCCCATCATTGAAGAGGTTGATTAAGCCAACTCAAATATAGATGTAACATTGTTCCACACAGTAAAATGTTGAGGGACCCAAATTTGTAGCAAACTATGTGGCAGTTTTAAAGTTGAGCTGCTGGAGAAAATTAATGGGCATTCTGTATACTTGAACATGTGTGCAGGGAAAGGAGTAGAATACAGTGCACTTCATGACTAATGTATTACAAGTGGAAAATGCATTATCTAAAATAAAACTGTATTTGGCAATCTCCCCAAAAGACTTAGAAATTCGTATGCAATCAAGATATAAAATTACACATACCTTTGTAGCTGTACATAAAAGAAAGGCTAGAATAAGGATATCAGTAAGTAATTAGCAGTTGTGTTTGAATGGTGAGAATATGGGTAACATATAGCCACTTCTTTTTCATTTCTTATTTTTCCAAATTGTTAATCTGTTTTACCTTATAAAGAAACCAGAAAAAGAGGAAGAAAGGCAAGAAAAAATGCATAATTTTCAGAATTCTGGTGGTGGAGATAGTATTATTGTTGAACCCAAGCAAAGTTTGCAGAAACAGACAAGTATAAGAGGTCAGATTATAAATAAGAAAGCAGGAATTAAAGGAAGAAAGATTTGGAGAAGTTGGAAATCTTTCCAAATTGACTATTGAATTAAGGCCACTAAATCAGGGCTATTTGCCCCAAAGTATAATTCCTGTCTATTTAGAAACTGTATCAGGACCCGAATGGGCCAGTGCCTAAGCTGGAGTGTGGCTGCACTGTTTTGCAGAAGGATAAAATTATGTTAAGAAAGTGAGTATTTTGAGTATTGTGACAGAGGATACATGATTGAACCTTAAAGTCTGAACTACAGAGGACAAAGGTGACCAAAATGCAGGAATAAGTCAGTACAAAGAGATCTTGTCTTCTGGAAAATTATATATAAGCATATACTGGGATCTCTGACAAAATGCCAAAAAGACTTAATTTGGGGTCATAGACTGTAATTTTACAAATGACATCTAAAACTTGTTTCCTTCAGGATTTTGCTCTGATAATACCTTTAAAAAATCTTTTTAACTCATCAGTTAATTCCTTATCTTTCTTTTACATTGCATATGCTGTTTGATTTTTCTCTTAATTTATTGTTATCTGAATCCTCCATATAACTGTCCAAACCTTGCTTCCCCATCCCCACTTGAGCAGGAACTCCTGCCTAACACCTCTGTTACCCTATATTTGCAGCCCTGTCTTTCTTCAGTCCAGTCTTTCCAGAAATTAGGGTCTGCCTTTGAATGCGTATCTAGTGGCTGGACAATGACCACCTCCCAGCAGATGTCCCTGATCTTGCCTGCCTGCTTGAATTTGGTTCTGGCCTTCTCCTCAATCCCCACCTACTGCCCACCTGTTTACCTAACCTATTATTGTTCCTGTTGTGGCCCTTCTCAGTCATCCATCCTTCCCTGTAAAGACTTTCATGCTGACTGGTCCCAAATTGTCCCAAACCAAGTTCTGTCACACCCCTTAGCATGTGAGGGCTGCAGAGAAGCTACATTACAAATCCCAACTATAGCCTGAAATTTAAATAATGCAGCAGGCAGCATGATATAGTGAGTATAGCATGAAAAATCTCTACTTCATTTCAGGTCCCAACCTAGACATCTCCCCTTCCAAAGGGCCCCTATAACTTTCTCCATTGAGTTAGGTGCCTCACCTAAATATTCTTATGCTAGTTAGTGCTGATGTTGATCCTAGTTCCTTATCATATAATTGTGTAATCTATTTGTCTGTTTCTCCACTATAATCTAAAATCCCTGAGGGAGGAAATTATGTCTGCTCACTGTTTTATTCCTAGTATCTAGCAACATGCCTGACACATGTTAGACAGAATAAACAGACTCTCTCTCTTTCTCTCTCTTCCTTTATTTCTTTCTTCCTTTCTTCTTTTTCTTTGCATATTAATTGTGGGAATCAGGGGAAATTGTTCTATCTTCCTAAGCCTTAGTTATCTTAGTTATAACATCCACCGCATGATGTTTTTGCCATTATTAAGTGAGATCAACAATAAAAGTGGCATACCTAGAGTGTCACAGTAGGCATTTAATAATATTTAATACATTTAATTAATACTAAATACATTTAATAAATACTAAACAATACATTTAATCATATTAAATAATACTAAATAATACAGTTAATGCTGATAATACTAAATACTAATAATACCAAATAATAATACATTTAACAATAACAAATACATTATTTAATACTAAATGTATTCTTTATAAAAGAAATAAATACTAGTTTATTTTATTTCTTTCAAATACTAGTTTATTTCTCTCATTAAGAATGGTGATGACCCTCCTTGGTAGGAGGGGCAATAATGCCACATTAACTACAAACTTCAGATATATTATTTAATTTATACCTTAGGAAATTTTGAGGTTAGGCATTAGAATAATCCCATTTAAAAAACAAGTAAATCAAGGCTCTTAGGTTAGGCAAACTCTATGGCCTCAGAGTCAGCCATAGGATCTAGGACTCATACAAAGGAGGTTTCAATCTAGTGCCTACACTAACCATCCCTCCTCCTGCCCATTTCCATTCTCTCTTCTGTTGGACCTTTTCCACTGTTTGAAGTGCCCAAATACTGCCACATCCGGAAAGCAACTTCTATCATAGTAAATGTTAAGGAGGCTCTGACGAAAACTTTTACAGCATCAGAATCCTATCTTTGTGATTGATGATGTCGCTGCTTAATTATCTCATTTTCCCAAGTCCTTGATATTGTCAGGCTCTCTCTAAAGGAATCTGCCAAAAGGCTTGGCAAAAATCTTGAGAGCTATGCATTAACATAAAACTGAAAAAGCATATGAAATTTTAGAGCTTTCACTTTTAAATCTTTATATTACCAGCTTGACATATAAAAGTTATAATTGGACATATTCCTAATAACTTTCAGTAAGAACAAATAATTACATTTTGAAAGATCAACCACATAATTTTGAAAGGACCAACTTGTCATGGTGAAAATCACTTCTTTCATTCTCTTGAAGTTATTTTTAAATATTATATAAATGCACTTAGCTCTTCCTGGTAATACTTTTACTTCCTTCTATGGTAATTCATATATATTACTTAATTTTCCACATGACATTTTTATGAGAGTTGCAGACCTTATTCCCATATAAAAATAAAGCATTATTATGTGAAAAAAAAGATATAAGCAGATCAAAAGAAAAACTATGTTTTTAAACTCAGTTTCTGAGAAGATGTACTAGGCATACTTTCTTTTTTAAATTAAAAAATTTTATTTGTAGATATTTATGGGATGTATGTGCAATTTTGTTACATGTTTAGGTTACATGGTGGTCATGTCAGGGCTTTTAGAGTATCCATCGCCTGAATAATGTACATGTACCCATTAAATAATTTTTCATTATCCTGCTAAGTACAGCTAAAAACCCTAGATGTTATCCATAAAATAAATAGGTTCTGACAGGTGAAGAGAAGACAGACTGGCTAGGGACCTCAGAACTCAAAGAATAACATGGTGGTGAATTTCATGGATACCCCAGTGTAAGTACTGGAGAAGCTGGCAACAAGGAATTTCTAATCGACTCAGACAAAAAAAAAAAAAAGAAAAGAAAAGAAAAAAGGAAAAAGACAGCTGTGACTAGTCAAAAAACCACTAAGAGGGCAGCCTAGAAAGACAGGAAGCTTTTAGATGATTTTATTGATACATAGTGTTTTTACATATTATGGGGTACAAGTGATATTTTGTTACATGCATAGAATATGCCATGATCAAGGCAGGGCATTTAGTATTTCCATCACATCAAACATTTATCATTTCAATATATTGAGAATATTTCACATCCTCTCTTCTAGCTATTTTGAAATATATGATACACTGTTGTTAACTACAGTCACCCTACTTTACTATCAAATATTAGGGCTTCTTTTTTTTTTCTTTTTCTTTCTTTTTGTGGGGGCAGTGGACAGGGTTTTACTCCTGTCTCCCAGGCTGGAGTGCAGTGGTGTGCTCTTGGCTCACTACAAACTACAACCTAGACCTCCCAGGCTCAAGTGATCCTCCCTCCTCAGCCTCCTGAGTAACTCAGACTACAAGCATGCACCACCATGCCTGGCTACTTTTTGTATTTTTAGTAGAGATGGGGTTTCGCCATGTTGGCCAGGCTGGTCTCAAACTCCTGACCTCAAGTGATCCACCCACCCGGCCTCCCAAAGAGCTGGGATTACAGGCATGAGCCAACATGCCTGGCCTGGACTTATTTTTTTCTATCTCACTGTATGTGAGTACTCATTTGCCAACCTCTCTTCATCCTCCCCTTCACACCTGCATCCTTCCCAGCCTCTGGTATCCAGAGTAGAATGATAATTCTGCTCTCCATGTCCATGAGATCAGCTTCCTTAGATCCCACATATAAGTAAGTACACGGGCTAATTGTCTTTTTGTGTCTGGATTATTTCACTTAACACAATGACCTCCAGTTCCATCCATGTTGTTGCAAGTGACATGATTTTATTCTTGATGATTGCTCTACTCTGCCTAATACAACAGTATGAACTATGGCCCCACCCCCACCTCCACCAGCAAAGGCTGAGGGGAAAGAGGCTCCCCTTGCCAGTCTATAATGAAGTGTCTCAATCCCCTACCAAAGTGGGGCCACAGAAGATCAAGTAAGAAGCCAGGATTTTTGGTCCCACCAGGTGGTAAGCAGGCCTCCCCAGTCAGTGAACTTACAACACACCTGCCCTGCACTGTCAGAGGAGGCCTCGTCGGGGGTTAAGACTTCCTCTGACACTCAGCTTGGTAACAAGGCCACCCCCCTGCAGTGTCAGTGGAGACTACCATGAGAGAGCAATGATGAGCTGGCCCTCCCCATCCCAGCCAGGGTGGCATCCGCAAAAGCCTAGTGGAAAGCCTCAACTTCCAACCCCACCCAGCAGTGACAAAGAGACTCTTCTACCCCCAGGTGTCAATGAAGGCCAAGAGGAAAACCTGGGAGTCTACACTTACCTGGCAACAACGAGAAGGTGTCTCTCTTTTCCCCACAGGCATGCTATCAGGGGAGGCTTTGGCTGTGAACCTTAAGATATAAATAAGGTTCAGATAATTATAATCCCCTAAATGTCTAATTTTCAATAAATAACTCATACAAACAACCAGAAAAAAATATATTGAATTTTATCAAAATTAAAAATTATGCATCATCTCAAGAGGAGGAAAAGACAAGCAACAAACTGAAAATATTTACAAACCATGTGTCTTACAAAATACTCATCTATAGAGTATGTAAATAACTTTCAAGATTCAACATTAAACACCAAACCATATAATTGCAAAATGGGAAAAATGTAAAGAGACCCTTCACCAAAGAAGACACATAGATGGTAAATTGCCATATGAAAAGATGTTCATGACTAGCCATTAGGGAAATGCAAATGAAGACCACAATGAGATATCAGTATACATCTGTTAGAAAAGTGAAAACAAACACGTGGTGATACTAAATGCTGCCATGAATGTGGAGAAACTGGATACACATGCATTGCTGATGAGAATAAGACAATTTAGCCACTCTAGAAAATAGTTTGGTAGTTTCCTTAAAAACTAAACATAAACTTACCTTGCAACCCAGAAATTTCAGTTCTCAGCATTTATCCCTCCAGAATAAAAACTTAGGTCCACACAAAAACCCATGCATGATTGCTTATGGCAACTTTATTTGCAATAAACCCCAAACTGGAAATAACCAAAACATTCCTCATAGGTAAATGGTTACATAAAATGCGACAGAAACAAACATACCCTGAAATGTTTACTCAGGATATATAATACTCAGCAATATAAAGGAATGAACTCTTCATAGATACACCAAATTGGATGGATCTTATATTAGTTTGCTAGGGCTGCCATGACAGAATACCAATCTGTGTGACTTAAACAACAGAAATTTATTTTCTCCCAGTTTTGGAGGCTAGATGTCCAAGATCAAGGTGTGGGCAGGTTTGGATTGTTTCACAGCCTCTCTCCTTGGCTTACTAATAGCTGCCCTTTCACTGTATCCTCACAAGATCTCTCCTGAGTGCCTACTGATCCCTGGTATCTCTTTAGATGTCCAAAGTTCTTCTTTAATGATACTAGTCAGATTGGGTCAGTGCCCACCCTAATAGCCACATTTTAACTTAATCACTTCTTTAAAAGCCCTATCTCCAAATACAGTCACACTCTGAAGTACTGAGACTTAGGGCTTCAACATATGAGTTTTGAGGGAGCACAATTCAGCCCATAAAAGATCTCACAGTGGTAAGCCAAGTGAGTAAAACCAATTTTAAAGGTCACATACTGTATGAATCCATATAACATTCTGCAAATGACAAAATTATAGAGATAGAAAACAGAATAGTGTGTGCCAGTGATTATGGATGGTGGATGCAGGTAGATAGGACTATAAAGGATTAGAATAAGATCTTTCTGATGATAATTCTGTATCTTGATTTTGATAGTAGATACACAAATCTACTGGAATAGAATGACATAAAACTATACACATGCCTTGTACTGATACCAAATTCCTAGCTTTGATATTCTTTTATCAAATAATTGGTCTCAGTTATTGAATGATGTAAGCAATGGTGGAAACTGGCTTAAAAGTACACAGGACCTCTGTACAACCTTTGTAACTTCCTGTATAATTATTTAAAACAAACAACAAAGAAACCTCGGTCGGGCGTAGTGGCTCACGCCTATAATCCCAGCACTTTGGAAGGCTGAGGCAGGTGGATCACCTGAGGTCAGGAGTTCGAGACCAGGCTGCCCAACGTGGCAAAACCCCATCTCTACTGAAAATATGAAAAATTAGCCGGGCGTGGTGGTGGGTGCCTGTAATCCCAGCTACTCGGGAGGCTGAGGCAGGAGAATTGCTTTAACCTGGGAGGTGGCGGTTGCAGTGAGCAGAGATCACGCCACTGCACTCCAGCCACTGCACTCCAGCCTGGGCAACAGAGCGAGACTCCATCTCAAAAAAAAGAAACGTCAAGTCTAGTCTTCAACTATCAAAAGAAATCTTGAAGTTACTGCCTTTACAGATGTTACCGTATTAACTTTGGTTTTGCAAGTGCAAAGAATTCTGGTATTTTGGTTTTAAAAAAGATCTCAATTTTAATTGAATATGATTTGGAATGATATTAGTGACTGTTAACACATGGACCTATTAACACATGGACCTTTTTGTTATTTTTTGAAAACTTCATACAGATATTTTTATTTCTAGCAGGCAGATATCAAAGCCCTCAGTGACATTACTTGACTTACTTCCTCCCTTAGCAAAGGTGGACATTTAGCACAAGGTGGATATTCAAACATTTTGTTTGTGCTAACAGAAGGTGATGAGCGCGCCCAAGGTTAGCTCTACCTTGTGTCTGCCATTTGGGCAACACTTACGATATTTTGGCATTTATCTTTAGTAGTTTGGTCAATATTTTCAATTAACAAAATAAGAAAGTTTGGTGTTTAATATTTCTTAAAGAATACCACATATTATTCCACTTTTCAATCACCATTAGCATCATCTTCACCAACATCGTTAAATAAAAAAATTAATGAAACAATGCTAATAATAAAAGTTCCCAATTCAGTCATAATTGTATAGTTATTCAGGGAGGTAGCATTGATATTTTCAATTACACATATTTTATAATCAGCAAATCCTAGGGCTGAGTAAAGTATTATCTCGTGTCTCCAGTGCAGTTCCTTCTGTGATGTTTTTTAAACACATAGTTTTGTTTAAGAAATGTTGCCAGATTTAGTCATTTTTATATAATAATTTTATTTATAAAAATAAATAATTTCATAACAAAGCAGCATCTCAATAAAAATTCCCTTTGTACAGATGAGTGCAGCTTCACTCATCCTCTTAGTATATGTCTCTTTACAAAATCAGAATAGGATGCAACTTTGCAGGAAATAAGATTAGAAAATAACTTTGGGACTCTTATGGGATTTTGATTTATGAGTTTTTTATTCTGATTATTCTGATTTGACTCTGATTTATGAGTTTTTTATTCTGATTTGATTTATGAGTTTATTTTATTCTATTAGGTACATAGTGTGCTAAGTCTCTAACCGCTGTTTAATATCACTCCTGCAACAGTTGAATTTATTGAAAAAATTGATATGTTAGATCATGCTTTTCTTCTAAATACTTCAATTTCTTCTAGCAAAACTCAGATTAAAATGTATTGTGCCCTATATTATTTAGGGGCAAATTAAAGAACTGGATTTATTTTATTTTGGCTTTTGCATGTAAATGTAAATTTGCTGCTATATATATGGCTATATTTCAAATTTTACTGATTTGATATCTCACAAAATTCAATCTTCTGTAGTTGGAAAGCTGTTGATAGCTTTCGTAGATGTAATCTGACTTACAGCTTTGCCTTATAAAAGCTAAGAGGGAGGGAGTTAGCATTCAGAATTTCTAAGTGATGATATTACCATATATGTCTTACAAGTAAACTCAGCTTCTTCTGACCTGAATTTCTGGTTAACATTAAGATTTTCTCTGTATCTTGGTGCTTTAGAAACAGGCAGGCTGGAACCAATTAGGGAAGATAATTTAAACCCTATTGAAAATACAAATGAAGTGCTTCCAACTCTCAAATCCTTTCAGGAATGTTATCTGATCACAGTAGGTTTACGTTAGATGAATAAGCTTCAAAAATTGGTAATTTTGGATTTTTTTCTTACAAAAGCAGAAGCATAAACTATCTTATTATCATCCCCCTACTGTCTTTTAAACAGGATCTATTATGGAGAATCTGATGAATGCAGGGGAGAAAAGCTCCATAAATTTTGCACTACCTTTTTTTTTTTTTCCAGCAAAAAGCAGGAATGACGAGCCTGCAGTTGTAGAAGAAAGTAATAAAAACTCAAGCTCTAAAATTCCTGGAGCATGTCTGCATGGAAGTCAGGGCCATGTCCTCCTCGTGTGCCACATACTTCTATCTGCCAGTGATTTGAGACAACATAGTGTGTTGTCTCCCTTGGAGAAGCTCCATGAGCCTGCTCGAAAAAATGCATCTTTTCTTCTGTCTTGTAGTGGGAACATCTGTGTACTAGTGAGACTGCTGTGCCATATGTCCACCACCATCCTGGTTTAAACCTTTATTGACATTCTGACTTTTTTTTTTTTTTGAGACGGTGTCTCACTCTGTTACCCAGGCTGGAGTGCGGTGGCATGATCTCAGCTCACTGCAACCTCCTCCTCCTGGGTTCAAGTGCTTCTCCTGCCTCAGCCTCCAGAGTAGCTGGGATCACAGGTGTCCACCACCAAGCCCGGCTAATTTTTTTGTATTTTTAGTAGAGACAGGGTTTTGCCATGTTGGCCAGGCTGGTTTCAAACTCCTCACCTCAAGTGATCCACCTACCTCGGCCTCCCAAAGTACTGGGATTACAGGCGTGAGCCACCATGCCTGACCATGACATTCACATTTGCACTTCTTATAGTGGATCAAATAGTCTTTTGGGGAAATGTGAATGCAGGTATATTCTGGGCTGCATTGTTAAATGCAGTGTTCGTCAAAATAGCTTCAGCCAGGGTGGTTGAAGAATTAAAGAAAAGCAAGAATCAATAGTGTTTTCTTAAAAACTCTAAAATCTTAATTGTCTCTCTTCTACCAAAGGAAAGTTTGAAACTTTGACAAGTAACACACAGAAAATCAATTTTCCCATGTTTAAAGGTATAGCTAGTTTTAACTCTCTTCTGAAAACAATTGTTTTGGAATGATAGAATTGTATAATTGAACCCCAGTAATTTTAAGGATACTGTTAGCATGTTAAAATGTCAATAGAGTAATTTTTACTTCGTTCTATTTCCCCTAAACAATGTAACCAAGATGGTACAAAAATTTCTAAAACTGAGACAGAAAAATATGAAAGCCAAGAGCTTTAATAACTAGAAGATCAATGTTCAATTTATAATCACCACAATGAAAGTCACCTTACTTAGAACAGAAACCTTCCCAGGAAAGTGTAATACATGTTTTGCATAGCTGTCACACTTATTTTACTTGTATAGTCTTGAATAATGCAAAAACTACATATAACTCGATACATAACCCTAGGAAAAAATGTACGATAATGAGTAAGTTTCTGATTTCCATGATTTTTGCTTTCGTGTTCATTGACTTGACAGTCAAAATCAGTCACTTAAAGGGTGAATGGTATTTTGCCTTGACAGGAACTGCACTTCAATATAGCAGACTGTTTAATATAACTGTGGTATAGTCTGCATGATATATTATGCAGTTAAGGTATTTTATGTACTAACATACAGAAATTCAGAATATATTGTTTAATGAGAAAAACATGTTGCAAAACACTATATGTAAAAAAGGAACAATTAAGAATCTATTTTTTATTTGCTTATAAATGGTATGAAGAAATATTAGAAGATATATAAGAAACAAATAAATTTATAAATAGTGTAAAATATATAGAGGTGACTGGAACATGAAGGGGTTGAGTTGAGACTTATCAAATTATGGCTTTGTTTATAGTTTTGATCTTTAAAACATGTAAAAGTATTACTGACTTAGAAATTAAAGTATATTTAGAAATAGTTATTAGTTATTTAAAATTCCCTTTTGTCATCATTAATGCCCATCATTCTTGATTTGATGACAGAGTGGCTGTAGGCTATGAGAGAAAAAGAAGTCGAGCATGATTTCATGTCTTTGGCCTCAGACACTGAATGAAGTTGTTGAAACCATCCTTATAAACTTCATAAAATTTATCAAGAAGAAGGGAGTGGGAGAAATGAAAATAAACCAAGCCTGAAGCACATGCAGCAGTAATCACGGGGTCAGCTTGCTCTCTGACCTGCCTACTCATAGTTGTTTGGCACCTATTGCCCCAGAATCATGCAGACCCTGTTAAAAGATTATAGTTCCCTGGCCGGGTGCAGTGGCTCACACCTGTAATCCCAGCACTTTGGGAGGCCCAGGAGGGCAGATGACGAGGTCAGGAGTTCGAGACCAGCCTGCCCAACAAGTGAAACCCCACCTCTACTAAAAATACAAAAATTAGCTGGGCATGGTGGTGTGTGCCTGCAATCCCAGCTACTCAAGAGGCTGAGGCAGGAGAATCACTTGAACCCAGGAGTCAGAGGTTGCAGTGAGCTGAGATCGCACCACTGCACTCCAGCCTGGGAGACAGAGTGATACTCCGTCACCAAAAAAAAAAAAAAAAAATTATAGTTCCCTTTAACTACTCTATAAATGACAACTTTAACATTATAAAATGTTTTCCATTTTAACTATTCTTTGTGGTCCTGTATACCAGTAAAACTGCTGGCATAAACTGATCTGAAGAAACTCATGAGAAGCTGAATGCAGTTTCCTCATCCTGATGATCTCTTCCTTACCCTGACTAATCAATGACCCCAATTTTCCGGCTGTCACCCTGCACCATCCCCTTAAAATCCCTATCCCAGAGCTCTTTAGGGAGATAGAT
Source organism: Homo sapiens (assembly GCF_000001405.40). Classification (NCBI taxonomy): domain Eukaryota; kingdom Metazoa; phylum Chordata; class Mammalia; order Primates; family Hominidae; genus Homo; species Homo sapiens. The sequence goes on along the minus strand of NC_000002.12, from coordinate 209,061,094 downwards.
TTAAGAATCCCTCCCATCTCCTTGCTCAGCTGCCCTGTGATCATTAAACTCTTTCTCTGCTTCAAACCCTGCTGCCTTGGTATGTTGGTATGTTACTGCACAGCAGGCATATGAACCTGGTGGTCCTATAACATTGCCTTCAACCAGGACTGGAAAGTATTGTACAAGATAGTCATTGGCAAGCATCAGTAGGACCACAAAGGAAGAAAAAACCTGGAGTGAACTAGGTAAGACTTCCTAGAAAAGAAATAGTAGGATACAGATCAGAGTAAATTGATTCTCCAACTATCTTGTGCAATACTATAAGCTATAAGTGACAATCTTGTTGCTTCCATGCCACTCACCAAATCTCTTGTGAGACAATGAATTCTGCCGCTGTTTACCTTGGAGACTGCGGATTCTAAGCACAGCTTTGTCCCAACCAGGAGTCAGGACTGTAGCACTATTCCACCAACCTAAAATTACATTAATAAATTCTAAGTATACCTGACTATAATGTAAGCTCATAATGCAGCTAATCCTCCAGTATTGATAATAAAGATGATAATAAAAGGTAATGAATGGCTCAAAAGTCTTGTATGCTGACTTTGTAGTACCATGTATAATTTTGTTAAGCAAATTTGCTTCCCTAGCTATTTTTGAAAATTAATGTTTAAATTAACCAATGTTTGGGATGAAAACTGAATTAACTCAACTAAATTAAATTCTGCTATTAGGTCTATAATTGTAAAACTTGAGAATAAAGTATTTTGAATACCAAAAGTAGTAAAGTACAAAAGACAGAGAAAATCTTGTTATGGAAGAAATAATCCAGAAACAAGCTATTTATTATGTTTTTCTTATTTTGGTAAAATACGTGTCTTAGTTGAGCATCTGTGATCAGTATACAAGTATAAGAATGAAGACACAATTTTAATTAAGCATGGCAATATAATAAGGAAATGTTAAGAAGGCATTTCAAATTTGTTTCATTAAAAGTAGTTTATTGATTTTTTCAAAAAGAGAGAAAAAAACTATCACATCCAAAAGAGTGCCATCTGGGTGTCTCCTGTGGTGTACTAGTGTTCATAACTAATTGTATGACATTGTCCCATTGGGATGGGTTAAGAATATGCTTTATCAACAAAAGGAAAACTCGTAAGACCAGGGTCAGCATAAGAGATGTGAAGGCATATGTTCCCATCTTCTCTCATTACTCCACAGAGACCCATGTGAGAGCCAGGCCACTGCTAGGTCCCATTTCAGCTTGAGGGACCCCTCCCCACTGTGGGTTTTCATCTATAAGAAACATCCACAGGAAAGCACCCTTGTCAGTGAGAGAATTTATAACCTATTTGTTGCCAGGCTGTTTTGATTTGGAGTGCTAGCTTTTTAACTGAGCTGTCTAGCTCCCCTGCTCCTAGAGATACTGAGGATATCTCTCCACGAGTCCCTAGTCTTTTATACCACTTACAGCTTCTCTCGGTTCAGGCTACTCAGAGTAAGCTCCTTACATCACTTCTAGACAACTCTGCCTGTTGCACCACAGATATTTCTCAGGTATGTCTATATGTGGGTTAAATAAAATATTTTGTATTACAAAATGTAGGACATTTTCATAAATTTCTGTGATGGAAGATATGGAAATAGTTTCAGGCTGATAATATAACTTTAATTTTATTCATGACTGGGTTTATGACATTTCATATAAGCTTCTGAGGAAACAAACTAAGCTTCTGAGTGTAGGAGTGTTTTTTTTTTTTTTTTAATTATACTTTAAGTTTTAGGGTACATGTGCACATTGTGCAGGTTAGTTACATATGTATACATAAGACTTGGAACCAACCCAAATGTCCAACAATGATAGACTGGATTAAGAAAATGTGGCACATATACACCATGGAATACTATGCAGCCATAAAAAATGATGAGTTCATGTCCTTTGTAGGGACATGGATGAAATTGGAAACCATCATTCTCAGTAAACTATCGCAAGAACAAAAAACCAAACACCGCATATTCTCACTCATAGGTGGGAATTGAACAATGAGATCACATGGACACAGGAAGAGTGTAGGAGTGTTTTCTGTTATCAAATTTTTTAAATGATACTGTTCTTTGCAGCAATTGTAGATAGCTTTGCAACCGCACTTGGTTTGGAAGACTCCATAATGTCCCTCGTGTCTCCAAAAACCTTCTTTTAACTCTTGTCAATATAAAAATCAGTCATAAATAATTAAAATAGAACATTTGTCCCCATGAGCTAACTAAAAGAATAAAAACTGGGCCTCATTACAACTTTTTAAATAGATGAAGTATTTTAAGCCAGTTTTTCCCATTATTTGTTTCTAAAGCACAATAAATTGTTTCCACCTCAGAGACTTTGCACAAGCTATCCTGGATTTCCATGGGACATGGCTACTGAGGGCTATTGAGGATTCTCATGGGCTACTGAGAATTCTAGTTATCCACTGCCTGGGGGAGGAATGAGACTCGTCACTGAACAGAGGGGCTAGGTTGTCAATAAATATTGTTCTAGGGAAGAGGTACTAGTAATATATCAAATGGAACATTCCAAACATGAATTCCAAATATTAACATTCCAAATTTAAGGACATCTTGAGATAGTATGCTTGAGGCAGCTTCCCCTCATCATCAACCAGCTAACTTCTCTTCTTTCAGGTTCAAGGAAACATTGCCAGGCAGACTATCCATGACTACCCTATCAACACAATACCACAGATCAGAGTACTATTTATTTTCTTTATATCACTTAAGCACAATCATTGTTTGAGTACTTTCTGTAGATAAAAACCTGTTTTCCTAGCTGAATTTTAACTAAACTTCATTCATAGATGTTGTTATTAAAGTCCTTTTGGTATCTTTACTTTGTGGTGATCATTGAATCATTAGGGATACATGGAGATTCCAGTGTAACAAAAATGTTTTGCATTGCTTCTGACAAAATATAATACAAAGTAAAATTTTAAAGTGCTACTCAAGATGAATGCTCAGAAGGAAATATTGCAATACTGTGGATAGAGAAGAAAACAGACAAAGCTAGAAAATAAAACAACTTTTTTTTTTCAGTGAACCTATTAACAATCTACTAGAGAAGTGTTTATAAGATTTTAATTTGTGGACCACTATTAGATGATAGCTCCTTCTCCACATTATCCACCTGGCTGACTTTCCTTCAGGATGAAGCTCGGGCAGCACCTTCTCCTGGGAAACTCCTCCCAGCACCTTCTCCCAGTACACGTGCAGAAGAGAAAAGACAAAATTTAACTCTTAAAAGCAGCCATAGAGGAAAAACTATAAGAAAGAAATGGCAGACTTAAAGCTGACTTCCCAACATTATGGAAGACAGGATACAGTGGAACAGCATCCTCTGAGTTAAGAGAGAAAATAATTGGCAACCTAAAATAGATTGCTCAGAAAAAATGTATCTTTCAATAATTGGAATAAAATTTTCTATCATTGAGATAAGCTATCATGGAGAAAGTTTACCTTCAACATATCTATGCATTTACCTTGCATCTATACATTTACTATCATTCAGGAAACTTTTTTTTTTTTTGCCAAGTTAAAGAAGACAAAATCTTTATCCGGGTTATCCAGGTCAACTCCTAAAAGCAACAGCAGAAATACAAATGTAATTTTAATAATTGTTACCATTTACAGTATCTATCAATAGACTTCTTGTAATATGTAAATATATGTATTCATATAAGAAGGATTAATAAAAATTGCTTTTGAAGCACAATTATTGTTTATTTAAATATTTGCCCAATAGCTTTCATCCCAACATTTGAAAAATTTTATTGTAAATGGCCAAATTTAAATATTAATTGAATTAGTATTATAAGCTAATTTGCATTACGACAAAACTAGCCTATGTTTTTCTGGAATTCTGTGAGGTATAGGCTATTGTGTTAAACAAGGAGCAAAGAATGAAAGCTGGACAAGTAAGAGATCTGGGCCATGATGCAAGTTGTCAGTAGTGCCAAAGGACAAATTAGCTATCTTCTAATAAAAATTTTATATTTGGGGATTTATTGAACTGACAATCTGAAGTACCTACTTCATGCTTCAGCACAAGTTGCTTTGAAAAGTGGAAGATTTCAAGTGGCCACTGCAGCTGCTCTATCTCACTTTTCATGGTGGGACATGGCTACTGAGGGTTACTGAGGATTCTCAGTTATCCACTACCTGGGGGAGGATTGAGACTCATCACTGAACAGAAGGGCTAGGTTGTCAATAAATATTTTTCTAGGGAAGAGGTACTAGTAATATACCAAATGAACATTCCAAACATGAATTCCAAATATTAATATTCCAAATTTAAGGACATCTTGAGATAGTATACTTCCATTGTACAACTGCACACAATTTATATCTATATACAATTTCATATAAGTTTGGGGCTATAAGTATTTTTGGTTACACGGATGAATTTTATAGCAGTGAAGCCTGAGATTTTAGTGCACCCATCAACTGAGTAGCGTACATTGTACCTAATATGTAGGGGTTTTTTTAATCCCTCACTAACCTCCCATCCTCCCCTTTTCTGAATCTCCAATATCTGTATATCATTTTGTATGCTTTTGAGTAACCATAGCTTAGCTCCCACTCAGAAATGAAAACATAGGGTATTTGGTTTTCAATTCCTGAGTAACATCATTTAGAATAATGGCCTCTGGCTCCGACCAAGTTGCTGCAAAAGTCATTATTTCATTCTTTCTTATGGCTGTGTAGCCTTCCAAAATGCACCACATTTTCTTTATCCACTCATTGGTTGATGGGCACTTAGGTGAGTCCCCTATGTTTGCACTGTGAATTTTGCTGTGACAAACATACGTGTGCAGATGTCTTTTTGATATAACGACTTCTTTTCCTTTGGGCAGATAACCAGTAGTAGGTTTGGCTGGATCAGATGGTAGGTCTACTTTTAGTTCTTTGAGAAATCTCCATACTGTTTTCCATAGAGGTTGTAGTAGTTTACATTCCCACCAGCAGTGTAAAAGTGTTCCGTTTTCACCACATCCGTGCCAAAATCTATTGATTTTTGATTTTTTAATAATGGCCATTGTGGCTGGGGTAAGCTGATATCTCATTGTGGTTTTAATTGGTATTTCCCTGATGATTAGTAATGTTGAGTAATGAGCAATATTGATTAGCATTTGTTCATATGTTTACTGGACATTTTTATATCTTCTTTTGAGAAGTCTCTATTTCTGGAATTTGCTCACTTTTGATGGGATGATTTTTTTTTTCTTGCTGATTTGTTTGAGTTTCTTGTAGACTCTGGATATTAGTCCTTCTTCAGATGCATAGTTTACAAATATTTTCTTTCATTCTGTGGGTTGTTTGTTTACTCTAATGATTTTTTTTTTGCTATGCAGAAGCATTTTAGTTTAATTGGGTCCCATTTATTTATTTTTGTTTTCTTTGCATTTGCTTTTGGAGTCTTAGTCATAAATTCTTTGCCTAGGCCAATGTCCATAAGAGTTTTTCCTGAGTTTTTATCTAGATTATTTATGGCTTCAAATTTAAGTCTTTAATCTATCTGGAGTTGATTTTTGTGTATATGATAAGAGAGAGATCAGTTTCACTCTCCTACATGTGGCTATTGTTTACCCAGCACCATTTATTGAATAAGGCGTCCTTTCCAAAATATTTTTTGTATGCTTTGTCAAAGATCAGTTGGTTGTAAATATTTGGCTTTATTTCTGGGTTCTCTATTCTGTTCCAGTGGTCTATGTATCTATTTTTCTCCCAGGACCATGCTGTTTTGGTTACTTATTTAATTATAATATAATTTGAAGTTATGTAATGTGATGTCTCCAGGTCTGTTCTTTTTTGGTTAGAATTGCTTTAGCTAGTCAGGCTCTTTTTTGGATCCTTATGAATTTTAGGATTTTTTTCTAATTCTGTGAAAAATGATATTGGTATTTTGATAGGAACTGCATTGAATCTGTAAATTACTTTGGGCAGTATGACTATTTTCATAATATTGAATTTTCCAATCCATGAGTATGGGATGTATTTCCATTATTTGATGTGATGTCACCTATGATTTTTTTTTTTTTAGCAGTGCTTTGTAGTTCTCTTTGTAGATATCTTTAACCTCCTTGGTTCTTGGTTAAGTATATTCCTAGGTTTGTTTATTTTTTGTTGTTGTTGTGTTTTTTTGTTTGTTTTGCAGCGTTTGTAAAAGGGATTGAATTCTTGATTTGTTTCTCAGCTTGGTCATTGTAGGTATATAGCAGTACTACTGGTTTGTGTACATTGATTTTGCAACCTAAGATTTTACTGAATTCATTTATCAAATCTAGGAGTCTTTTAAAGGAGTCTTTAGAGTTTTCTAGGCATATTATTATATTAGTGGCAAACAGAAAGAGTATGACTCCTTCTTTTCCAATTTGAATGCCCATTATTTCTTTCTCTTGCCTGATTGTTCTGGCTAGGACTTCCAATACTATGTTGAATAGAAGTGGTGAAAGTGGGCATCCTTGTCTTGTTCTAGTTATCAGCAGAGATGCTTTCAACTTTCCCCCATTCAGTATGATGTTACCTGTGGGCTTGTCATAAATGGCTTTTCTTATTTTAAGGTATGTTACTTCTATGCCTTGTTTGTTGAGAGTTTTTATCATAAGGGATGCTAGATTTTATCAAACGCTTTTGCTGTATCTATTGAGATGATCATATGGATTTTGTTTTTAATTCTGTTTATGTGGTGAATCACATTTATTGCCTTGCATATGTTGAACCATCCCTGAATCCCTGGGATAAAATCCACTTCATCATGGTGAATTCTCTTTTTCATATGCTGTTGGATTCAGTTTGATAGTATTTTGTTGAAATTTTGCATCTATGTTCATCAGGGATATTGGCCTGTGGTTTTTTTTGTTGTTGTTATATCTTTTTCTGGTTTTGGTATCAGGGTGATACTAGCTTCACATCATGAGTTAGAGAGGATTCCTCCTTTCTCAATCTTTTGGAAATGTTTCAGTAGGATTGGTACCAATTCTTTAAAAGTCTGGCAGAATTTTGCTATAAATTCATCTGACCCTGAGCTTTTCTCTTTGCTCACAATTTTTGTTATTACTGATTCAATCTCATTACTTGTTATTGCTCTGTTCAGGATTTCTATTTCTTGAGCTAGGAGGGATGTATGTTTCCAGGAATTTATCCATTTCCTCTGGATTTTCTAGTTCATGTGCATCTATGTGTCCATAGTAGTCCTATGAACTTTTGTATTTCTGTAGTGTCAGTTGTAATGTATCCATTTCCATTTCTAGTTGAGTTTATTTGAATCTTCTCTCCTTTCTTGGTTAATCTAGCTAATGGTCTATTGACTTTGTTTATCTTCTTAAGTAACAAACTTTTCATTTCATTGATCTTTTGCAATTATTTTGTTTAAATTTCACTTAGTTCTGCTCTGATCTTCTTTTGCGAACTTTGGGTTCTGTTTGTTCTTGTTTTCTAGTTCCTTGGGTTGTGATGTAAGGTTATCCATTTTTGATCTTCCAGACTTTTTGATGTAGGCATTTAGTGCCATAAACCTTCTTCTTGCCATTGCTCTATCTCTATCCCAGAATTTTTGATAACTTATGTTACTATTACTCATTTTGAAAAATTTTAAATTTCCATCTTAATTTCATTGTTAACCCAAAAATCATCTAGGAGCAGATTCTTTTATTTCCACGTATTTGTACAATTTTGAGGTTCCTTTTGGAGTTGATTAGTCTTGAAGTTGACAAGTTTTATTCCTCTGCAGTCTGAGAAGATACTTGATATGATTTCAATTTTTAAAAATGTATTGAGACTGTTTTGCAGCCTATGTATGATGTATCTTGAAGAATGTTCTGTGTACTAATGAGAAGAATGTACATTCTGCAGCTTTTGGGTAGAATGTTCTGTAAAACTCTGTTAGGTCCATTTGTCAGAGTGCAGTTTAAGTCCAATGTTTCTTTGTTGACTTTCTGCCTCGGGCTGTCAGTGGAGTGTTGAAGTTCCCCCCTATTGTGTTGCTATCTATTCTTTTAGGTATAGTAGTAATTGTTTTATGAATCTGGAAGCCCCAGAGTTAGTTGCATTTACACTAAGAATTATAAAATTTTCTTGTTGCATTGATTTTTTTATCATTGTATAATGATTTTTCTTTAAAACATGTATCTCTTTAGAAAATTTTTCATGTATATTCTGAATTATTTTTAAAATTCCTTTATGTTGGTTTTCACCTTTCTCTTGTATGTCCCTGGGATATTTAATAATCAACATTTTCAATTTTTATCTGATATTTCAAAGATTTCATTTTGATTTAGATATATTGTTGGAGAGCTAGTTAGACCTTTGAGTTTGTTATAGAATCCTGTTTTGTTACATTGCCAGAATTATTTTTCCAGTTTCTTCTCATTTGGATAAACTATTTCTTCTCATTATTTTTGAATTTAATTTTGTTTTCACTTTTTAAAAATTTATTTTATTTCCTTTGAGGATGCGACTTTACGATTATATTTTATTGTAACCTAATTGGGCTCTGGGTGCTTTCAGGTGTGAAGACTCTGTATGAGTTCCTTGGTTGGAGAGAGTCTTTGTAGGATGGCTTTCTCAGATGCTGGTTGCAGTAGCAATGTGCTCAGTGTGTGAGCAGGTTCACTCTCCTCTGGGGTTGGAATGGCAGAGTTCTCTTGAAACTTATCTCATTCCGCATTGATGTGCACTTACTTTTTTCCCCAGTATTTTATTTATTGGGTTGAATAGTTCAGGCTTTAGGCCAATAGAGGAGGTGTCCATGGATAAAAACTTGCTATGGCTAAAGCAGGTGAAAAATGCAATACCCAATGGTGATCATAGGTCCCAACCTTGACAGAGGCAGCAAGAGGACCTCTCAGTGAAAATCATCAAGGTCTTTTTAGGGTGAAGGTAGGAAGCCATCTTAGCTCCCCTGCCAGGCCAGAAGAAAGTAATCCACCTCCCATTCTGACTCTGTGTTCCAACTATTCAGATCAGACAGGCATCTCTTGCCATTGACAAGAGTACTGATTTTCCATGTAGAGAGCGTTTGTGACTCTACCTTTTATTTAAGCCTGAACCTGGAGGGCACTTTTCCTTTGGGAATGCATTTAGTCTGAAGTGTTCCAGAGAGGCTATCTACAGATGCAATCATGCTGAGCTCCTGTGGGAGAAGCCCCAGTTGTGTGTGCAGTGGTGGGTGAGGGAGAGAAGAGGTCCCCTTCTTCAAGACCCTTCATAAGCACCAGGGCTGCCTCACTATTGGGGTAGACCTGCAGACTTGCCCCTACTCCAGTGGGGCTCCAGTGCTGAGTAGGGTTAAGGCCTCTCCCATGGCCTGGATTGCTAGGTTCCCTGGTAGCAGTGTATATTCTGCAGATAATTTATCCCTCCTCGCACTCTGTCTAGCTCATGGTATAGGCTGTAGCCCACTGCTTCTTCCATAGGGTCTGTGGTTTCTTTCAGTATTCCTGTTACATTCCTGTGTTGCTTCTTGGAACAAAGTTCACAGCATGAATCTCTACACACTATTTTGTCTTTCCAAGTGGGAGAGTCATGCTAACAATGCCTCTGATTGGTCATCTTGTTTGACTGTCTCGTTCAAGGAACTTCTAACAGACGAATTTCAGGCCAAAGGAGGGAGACCCCAGAAGGAAGATCTTAGATGGAAGGAAGAATTATAAACCCTGAAATTGCTCAATGAATAAGTTAATAAAGCAAAACCTTTATAAACTGATACAAGTAGTAATGGCTAATCTGTGGAGTTTTTAAAAAGCAGAAGTAAAAATATTGAGCAAAAATAATTTGAAGACATCATTTATCTGAAAGAATGGCAGACGGACCTGGCAAAGATTCCCAGGAGCTGGCGAGCTTGCCTGAGTCCACCGTCTCTGCAGTCTTGTGAGTTCCTCAGGCTGACATGACAGGGGTTCTATAGGCTGTAACAGAAAGCTTTTATGATTGGTGAATATACTTCCCAAAATATTCACTCTATTTTGGTATCCATAAAGCTAAGTAGGCCATTTTTTTCTTTTCAGTATCACCAGTAGTTATTATATAATTATTATATAATTGTTATTATATATTTTTTAAATAATGAGACTGATGATTATCTTTCTGTTACTGTTAGTAACACATTCCAGTATTGTCTAGTTTTTTAAAAATTTAGAATATTTTACTTTACCATTAGAGAAAAAAACACATTTTTTTCCTTTTCTCGATGAATTTTTTTTCTCTAATGGTAAAGTAAAATATTCTAAATTTTTAGAATATTTTAATGGTCATTACTTAAATTCTCAGGCTTGCATTTTCTCATTTTGTAAAGTATGAACCATTATATATATTGAAGATAAAATAAATGAGTTAATATTATTTAGAAAGGTGCCTGGCCGATAGCAAGCCTTATAAATATCAGCTACTATTATTTGATTTTTCTTTGGTTAAAAATGTTTCATTTTATTTATCCTTTAAACCTACTGCCCATGCTAAGTATTTGTAACATAAACCTTATTTTTCTTGCATACAATTTTAAAAAGCAATCTTAAAATTATTGCATGTGTTATTTTTAATCAACAGAACAATACATTTATCATAGTTTGATGAAATGTAGTTTATCATTTAATTTGTTTCTGTCAAAACATACCCATGGTAACAAAAACTTTTTTTCTTATTTATTACATAGTCTTTTCATGTTTCAATCAATTTACTGTGGCCTTCTCTAGAGAGAATGTTTCAATTAATGGCTTTAGAGAAGTTGTTTCCAACTATTGATTAGCAGTCAAACTTGTCTCAGCAATTTTTAGAATACCAGACTAGGTCTGGGATGCAATTGACTCAGAATCTGAAAAGTAAAGTCTTTCTCTTATGGTAATGGTGCTTGACAGCAACTTTCTTTTAGGAGAAACTAAAATAAATTGTGTGATTTTAGAGATGATACAATTATTTTTTTCTTTCCTTTCTGCTAAATCATCAGAACCCTAAAGTAGAGTGTGATAGTTCAATTTTTTCCATTACTTTTCCCTCAAGCTACCAGATGTATATCTGATTTACAACTTTATGCAGTGATTTTCAGAAAAATTTATTGTGTTTTCTTCGAGGATTCAAAGCTATAGTCAGCTTTAGTATCATCCATGCCAAACACTCATTCTCTTGTACAGAGAGGCTGCAACTTGCCCATGCTGATGAGCCCAGAGATGAACCCAGAAGCTCCATGTCCACACTCCATGCTGGAAGCTCCTTCCTTAGGGTTGCATTACCCTGAGTCAGCAGCAGGAAGCCAGAGAGCAGTAATGGTAATGATGTTAACTTAAATCTTGCTTAACACGTGCCAGGCATAGTTCTAAGCCCTAAACTCATTTAATCTTTACAATAACTATGAGGTTAGTACTATTGTTATCCTCATTGTAATACTGAGGGAAAGAGAGTTTAAATACTTTGCCCAAGGCCCCGCAGCTAGGAAATGGTGGAGCAGGGATTCCAACCCAGGCAATTTGTCTCTAGAGTCCATGCCCTATTGCATTTATAATAGAATCTAAAATTCTTGATAATCCTCAGAAGATCGAATTCACTCCTATCACTCACCATCATCATTCACCATCATCAAGATGTACTGGCCATTTTATTTCTCTAGGTTTGCTAAATGGCTCAGGGTCATTTCACTTATTGCTTCCTCCTCCTGGAAGGCTGGGATACTCTCTTTTTTATTCCTCAAATTAAACATATACTGGGAAAAAAAGGAGAGATAAAAGCATAACCCAAGTGTAGTTATTTCTGTATTTGTTGCTGAAAGAGAACTTCTGAGTGCTGTTTCTTCTGTAGACATGGAAACTGAAGCCCACACAAATAAAGGTCATTCAGTTAGTGTGAAAAAGCAGACAATAATCTATCTTTTGATTTTTAGACTAGTGCTCCTTTTGCCTGCATTCTAAACATGTCAAATTGTTTCTTGAATATAAGGAAAAATTTATTGGACAACATTTATAGTTTTCATTACACTTTAGCCTTCAGATATGCAGAACTCTTTACTTATTTTCTTCCCCCCTTTTCCTCCTTGCCATTCTCCTCCAGTTTTTTCTCCTCTTTTTCTCCTCCTTCTCATTTTCCTCTTATTTTTTGTTCCCAATGCTGCATTGCACACGGAATAATTGGAATTCTCATGCATTGCTGGTGAGAATGTGAAATGCAGGTGGAGCCACTTTGGAAAATAATTTGACAGTTCCATGAAAAGTTTAACACACACTTACTGTGACTTAGATCTTCCACTCTTGGCTACATATGCAAGAAAATTAAAAGCCCATGTCCATACCAATTTTCTCTAAGAACATCCATCACAGCTTTATTGGTAATAACTAAAAACTGGAAACAACCCAAAAGTCCACTAATATGTGAGTAAATAGACAAATAGATCCATGCAATGAATTATTACTCAGTAATAAAAGGGAACAAACTATTGGTACACAATAGTTACATGAAAATCTAAATGCATTTTAGAATAATTATGTTAAATGAACAAAGCTAGATGCGAAAAAGTACATAGTTTAGGATTCCATTTATATAAAATGCTAGACAACGTAAATGCATCTATAACTAATTTATAGTGGTAGAAAGCAAATCAATGTGTGCATGGGGGTAAGAATTCGGCAGAGACAGGCAAAAATAATATAAAAATCTTGAAACTCTTTGGATGGTGAGTTTTTAAAAATTATTTTGCTTATAATAATTGTTTTGATGGTGTACATATATGCCAAAACTTATTAAATTGTGTAATTAAAATATGAGCAGTTTATTGTATAGCAATTATATCTCAACAAAACTGTCTTTTTAGAAAACATGTAGAAAAAGTAAAAGTTTATTCCACCTGCCTGCCTTAGCTATTCTTTTATGTGTAAAGTAATTTTTATCTAAATAAATTAATATTTGATTAAACATTCCTTTCTCAAAGTGCCAGGGGGAAATGTAATCACCAGAGGAAAATGATCAGCAAATTTACCCTTTTATTATTTCAACATAGTTTTTACTGTGGTAGACTTGACTACATGGGAAACTCCTGTGATTTATATTAGAATCAGTCTCAATCAGAAAGCCAAAATTCTAAAGTACCTACTTCTTTCACTTCACCTCCCTTTATTCAAAATTGGCTATGAAATGCAAAGAAAGACCATACTAGAGCCTTCTGGACAGGAAGAATGAGAAGAGAAAAAAATCTAGTGTAGAGTCTGGCTGTCCACCTTTCCAAGGTCTTTAAAGGATGAGATGATCAGGGTAATGAGCTTCCAAGTAGGAGCTTCCCCTCAATCCACCTGCGCTACCACAAGAAAGAGATTATTTGAAGACAGTGCAGAAAACAAAAGCAGGAGAAGCTTCAGATCTCTCCCAAGTACCAGTGATTTCTGGCTCTGTCCCACCTCTATAGATTTTGTTGTTGATGTTGATTGGTTGGCTTTTTGTTTTACATAAGATATATGTAAAAAGGGAAATTACCTCATTTGTTATGCATATTAAAGTCTCCTCTCCTGGAAATGTGTTCCAATAAGCAGTACCCACATTTAAGGGATCTATATAGAGAATGCCTCTTCCTTGAGTTGGACATATGTTGGGTGGGGGGTTATTGGAGAAAATGAACTTCTGTGCATCATTTGTAAAAGTTAATTTAGCAAGAACAAATTATAATAGTGCTTATTTTAGTAGGGTATAGCACACCCCAGTGAAACACAGGTTATCAGCGCTAACACTGGGAGTTGGTGGTCTTTATTTAATGGTAATTAGTTCCATGATAATTTTTTTTTCTGTTTCAATAATAGTATTATTTTAACTTGAAAAAGGTAAAAAGCTGCTGAAATGAAATTTTTAAAGAGTGGCTCAGTCCCACTTAATGTGATTTGTGATTTACCACATCTATTACTCAGGATCTAGCCCTTACCTAAGCTTTTAGGGGGAATAGAAACAACATTTCCAACCAGTATGTGAAAAGCAAAAGCCATGTGCTTAGACACAGGAACCAATAGAACTGTCCCAAGTGGTATTTGAGGCAAAGTAGATCACAAGGATAGTATTTTAAAACCCTAAGGGGGATCTGCAAAATTTGCTATTATCATGTTGAAAGGTACTTCATGTTGCTGAAACAGATAAATTTTTTGGTATTTTCTTTCACCAAGTAAGTTTTAGTCGAATAACAAAATAGCTGTACAAATTTCAATATATTTTCAGTAAGTAATTATCAAGGGTTCATTTGGCACCTGCTGTGTGCAGGGCATTTAGCTAAGCATGAACCATACATAGAAAAGTATATATGTGTTATTCAAAGAGCTGATACTCCTCTTGAAAAATGTAAGACTGATATATTTGATGTAACTAAAGAATAATAAGGACAAGTATAATCAAGTGTGTAATGGTTTCCAAACTTCAGGGTGCTTATGAATAATCTAAGTTTCTTAGGCCCCAATACCAGATATTCTAATTCAATGAGGCTCTGGCCCACATATGATCATGATAATGTTTTGAAACCGTAATTTTGTACAATAAAATAAGTAAGATTCAGTGTCATAATTAACAATATGTTTTTAACATCTAAATAACAAACTAGGAGATACATAGAAGATCAGTGAGGCATGGAATTGTAACTCAAGAAAGTAAATTAAAATATGCTTTTCTGAACTACTAGTTTCCATGCTAATCTCTCACATACCCTTCAGCGAGGGACAATATTTAAGACCAAGCATGTTACAAATCCCTTCCCGGACATAGTCTTGCATATGATAATTGAGTAGGAGTGAGTCAGAATGTACTCTAAGCCTCATCAAAAAGTAGAATCAAACTTTACACAGCATTGGAAGAAATTTGAAAATGAATAGGAATGTGTATATATATATATATGTTTATTTTACATTGGACTATAGGCATTCATATCCTAAAACTGGATGATAATTCAGAACTAGGAGGCTGTTTGATTGAGGGTCTATGGAGAATGTGAAAAAGCACAATTTTTAGTCTCCATGTCTAGTGAATTAGTGTTTTATATCAAACTGATATACTTATTCGTAACTGTATATTGTATAACTGTATATTGAGTAATATGAAAGGAATATATGTGACCATTATAATAGCAAAAAAGTCCTGAACTTGTAAGACACAATGTAAAAAGAATAAAATATTCTATAACATTTTCTATCATTTTACTTTTACTTATGTGTATATGCTTACGTGTATGCAATGAGAGTTAAATATCTGTCATTAAGAAAATAATGGCAAATTAGCAATATATTAAATTCAAAAATTGAGCAAGGAAAACTTTACAAACACATAGGCAAATTTGATTGCATTTATTCAACAAATACCACATCCAATCAGAATATAAATTAGCTTCTAAAATTAATTATTTTCTGAGGTACCGTATACATTTAAAATACCAAAATTATCAAAAGAGTTCATACAAATTATAGTACAAAGATATTATGTTGGAAAATGATATATCATTATTATGTACATGTATATTATATTAGAATAGTAACTTGTTCAGTAATGTTACTAAAGTAAGAAAAATAGGTGTTCTGTATTGGTATGTACCAAGACATGTACACTTAGATAGGTATATACACAAGACATGTATATTATGAATCTGTGGACAATTGGGCTATTATTCCTGATGAAGAAAGATGGAATTTTTATAAAGCCATTTTGAAATGATAAGAATCTCATGGACAGATCAGTTACTTTTTTTCATGCTGTCTCTTTAAGAAAATTTAAAAAATGGTGACAGAAAGAGTTAAGAATTGAATGAAGAAAATGTATTTTCAAATATAAAGAATGCAACTATTGCAATTTACTACCAAGTCTTGAGTCAGATAGGGTATTTATGATGTTTATATTGAGTGAGAAACAAAAGTAATGATGATATTTACAATTGAGGATTATTTTTATTGCCATAAATTAACCAGTCCTATTGAATTATTACAAGATAAAGTTTTGTGTCTTGCAAACAAATTCAAGTGTTAGGTGATTGCTGCAAAAATAAAAAAAATATTGCATGCTTTCAAATCAACTGGTATGAATACATTTCTAGTTTAAAAGTTAACATAATAGGCCAGGCGGGATGGCTCACGCATGTAATCTCAGCACTTTGGGAGGCCAAGGCTGGCAAATCACCTGAGGTCAGGAATTTGAGACCAGCCTAAGCAACATGGAGAAACCCCGCCTCTACTAAAAATGCAAAATTAGCCGGGCGTGGTGGCGCATGCCTGTAATCCCAGCTGCTTGGGAGGCTGAGGCAAGAGAATCGCTTGAACCCGGGAAGCAGAGGTTGTGGTGAGCCGAGATGGCACCATTGCACTCCAGCCTGGGCAGCAAGAGTGAAATTCCATCTTAAAAAAAAAAAAAAAAGAAAAGTTAACATAATAACTTTGCCTTTTAACCATGATGAAATAACAAGGATCATAACCTCCTCCCATAAATAACTATAAAATTGGAAAAAAACACATGAAATAATTATTTTTAGACATTGGAAACATGCAAAACAGGCACATAAGCCCTGTGACAAGGAGAACCAAGGGAATCCACAATCACCCCCAGCTGTCTGGCTGGAGGCACATTCTAAATGACTCTGTAACCAAGGAAGTGTCAAGCGGTCTCACTGAACTGAGAACATGGAGATTAGGTACCGGGAGAACTGAGGTGAGAGGAAATTGTGTAAAAGACAAAAACAAAACCAGCTTCAGAATTTGCCATTTGTGTCTTTGCTGAGAACTGTGCTACACTTCCATAGGGTGAGACTCCTTGAGGCAGGACTACAGAGTTTTAACTGAATAATTTTCTAAGCTCACATAAAGTAGGGAGATAGTCAAACCTTGGCCAGCATTGTGGCAAGGTCTCAGTCATCATCCAAAGCATTTAGTAATCTCAGAAGTGTCATACTTCAGTGGTGGATTAAAACATCTTTAGAATAAAAGACACTCCAGAATTATAGGGGAGAAAACCATACTGTTTAGTATCAAAAACATGAAGTAGCAAAATATACACAAAGCCTACACACTGAAAACTAAAAAACATTGCTAAGGAACGTTTTTAACATTTAAACAAATGGAAAAGAATATCTTGTACATAGTTCAGAAGACTCAATAGTTTTTAAAGGGCATATTTCCCAAGATCCATAAATTCAATGGAATCTCAGTGAAAATCTAGCCGGCTTTTTCATAGTAATTGACAAGTTTAGTCCAAAATGTACATGGAAATGCAAAAATTCTACAAGAATATTTTGAAAAAAGAACAGATGGAGCACTTAAATGACCTGATTTCAATATTACCATAATGCTACAATATGAAGAAATTATGAGTATTGGCTTTAGACCATAGAGATGAGAATGGAACAGACTGGAGAGTCCAGATGTAGACCTAAATAATATGATCAATGATTTTTTGACAATGTACCTATACTTAATAGAATAATGGCCAGCAAAAGGAACCTATAAATGTTGCCTTATAAAAAAAAAAAGGTCTTCACCAAATTGATTACATTAAGGATATTGAGAGTGGTGGATTATCCTGGATTCTGAGTGGGCCCTAACTTAGCACTCACATAGGAAGAGGAGGCAATGTAACCACAGAGGCAGAGATTGGAGTGATGGAAATCACAAGTCAAAGAATGGTAGCCACCAGAAACTGGAAGAATGTTCTTCCTGAATCTTCTAGAGGGATCAGGCCCCATCAGCACCTTGATTTTGGACTGGAGATACTGAATTTTTAGCCTCCAGAACTGTGAAAGTATAATTTTTTATGCTTCTAAGCCACTGATTTTGTGATAATTTGTTATAGTACCCATAGAAAACTAAGGCACTGCCTAAGCAATTAAAAGGGAAAAAGTACTTTTTAAATAAATGATGCCTGAATGACAATTATTTATATCCTAGAACTATAAATTTTCTATAGAATGCACAGCACAGCACAATGCATGCTTATTAAATTAAAGAGAAATCAATGAGTGAAGAAATTTACATTGCTATGTGACTTGTTAAATTAACTTTCAAATGAATAAATTGCTTGTACTTTATTTTTTTTCAGGTAACTTACATAACAAGACGTGTGGCTGAACTAGTTTTTTTTTTTTTTTTTTTTTCATTTCTTACCCTCCAGTTGTATTAAGAGTTTGGAGATTTTCTGGTTTTCCAAAATCAAGAGTTGAAGTTTATGAATTACAATTACTTCCTCTCATGTTTTCTCTTTCTCAATAGAGTATAGATTATTAGTACCTGTCCATTTATCTACAAATATCCCTATGAAATAATGTGTGACATAGCAGAGGTAGAAATAAAATAATTTTCTTTCACAAATTTTATCCCTTGTTGTTATGACATTGTTATGATGCCAAAGTAACTGATGATTTAATTAAGGATCAAGCTCCTCTTTGCCCTGATAGGTTAGTCAAGTTGGTTAAGTCTAGGATTCCCACAATAGCCCTCACTCTAAAAATTATCTATGCTTGAGCAATAAAGTTCTTTTTTTAAGAAAAAAAGATTTTTCACAAATATTCACCAAAATAATTGTTAATTAGCAATGACAAATAATTATTGTCTGAAACCAGCACATCTTTTATGTATAAAATCAGAATAGAAATAGAAATAAAATGGTTAAAAGCAAGAGCTATTTCTTAAGAGTTCATTAGAAGAAATAATTCAATGTTCTTAACTCTGCCCAGTGATAGATCATCTTAAATACTGAATAAAAGTAGAAAATGGCCTTTCCTCTGAAAATTTGTTAATTACTTATTAAAAAATCCCATGAAGACTCCACATTCAAAACAGAGAAGTAATATCCTGAAGGGCTCTGAAAAAGGCATAAAGCTCTGTAGCTTTATGTGCAAAAAAAAGAGAAAAACACTTCAGAACTAATAAGCATCCGGAGGCAGCATTCAATAAAGTCTATTAGTAACCTAATCATTATTAGCAATGTAGCTGATGAGAACATGCTGATGTAAAATCTGAACTTCAAGAAGTTGCATTAAAATAAACTGACCTTTTTTATCTTATTGAAATTTTTAAAAAATTAGTACATATTTCTGTTCACAGGTCCTGATGAGCAATTTGAAATTGCTGTTATTCTTAGCCATAGATACAGTCAATTTTTGTTGCTCACAGTAGTTATATTCTACAAAGTTGGTAAGAAAAATGGATTATCACATACTGAAATATTGCTCCTAGGGGAAATACAGGGTTAGGTTCCTTCAAACCTCTGGTCACATTTTTGTCAAATGATCAATAAATACCTTATTTTGTGTGTTTATTTGATAAGACATCCTATCTGATAAATATTATTTGCTAATATTCAACTTACGGTTGACAGCCCTATAACTTGCGCTCGAATAAAGCTTGTCTAACACACATTTTTCTTCTGTCAGGTGCAATCATAAACTTCTTGCACCTGAGAACACGTGACAGCATTTCACCACTGTCCTCAGGGGCCATTTTAAACAGTAAAATCACCAATGAAAATCCCAGAATTTTTTTTTTTTAAAGTAGCGATAAATACACCATAGAAAGGACACTTGCTTATAGCATTAGAGCTGAAATGAGGGCAGAGCGTTGTCTTATCTGGCCTCAGCAGGAACGTGCACACATCAGACAACTCAAATCTTTTGCTGCTCTGTGCATGTCCATGACTAACCACAGCAACACTGTGAGTATTGGATTTGGGGTTACAAATAAATTTTGACTATTAGGTGAATTCACAAATACATGAATAAGAGACTTGACTCTGCTATGGTATGAAAAGAGGCTGAGACAGATGGAAAAGCCAGTTGCAGACAAAGCAGCAAGTGGGAGTTACTAGCTGCTCTAAAATGCCACAGTGAAGAGGAGGCTGTTTCACAGAGGCAGGACTGCTGAAGTATGGTTAAGTATTGAATGGCTGCCACAGCTGACCAATACACACACTATTTAAGAAGGTATGGGTGCCTCACTTTATTTTCTATTTCTATATTGAATAAAAAATTAGGATTCCTTTTTCCCAGAAAAGTGATTTCATGAAGGAAATAAGACTACCTTCCAAAGATTTGTCCCAATTAATAGATCCCATCTTGATCTAGTGTTTATATACTGAGATTGCAGGCTTAGTGTTTACAGGGAATTAATTTACAACTGTTGGACATGATTTGCGAATAATTTTAGTAGAGTGATGTCACTATGTAGAGTGGTGTCAAAATGTTTGTCAATATTAATCATGTATCAATATTAGGCTTAATAATAATTGATTTGGCTATGTTATACTCAATACTCTCCTCCACCAAAAAAAAAAAAATGCTCTCTGAAAATGTGAGCTTAAATTTAGTTTCTGAGATGTATGTTAACCCTTGTGCCCTGATATTGATATCAGAATCATAAAAATGATTTACTAATTGAAATGAATCACTTTTCTTGTGTCAGCAAAGAAGAATTTGTTGTTTGCTTTTTAAAAAATCACCAATAGTCACACTTATTTGCTAGTAAAACTATACATTCCTAGTAAGAAAACAGAGAAAAGCTTCTTGACATTTTGGCCTTGGCAATGATTTTTTGGATATGACACCAAAAGCAAGGCAGCAAAAGCAAAAATAAACAAGTGGGATTACATTAAACTAAATAGCTTCTACACAGCAAAGGAAATAATCAATAAATGAAAAGATGACCCTACAGAATGGGAGAAAATATTTGCAAACCGCACATCTGAGACAGGGTTACTATCCAAAACACATAAGAAACTCCTAAAACTCAAAATCAAAAAACAACCCAATTTAAAAATGGGCAAAAGATCTGGATAGACAGTTTTCCAAAGACATACAAATGGCCAACATGTTTATATAAAGGTGCTCACAATCACTAATTATCAGGGAAATGCACATGAAAACCACAATGAGATATTACCTTACCCCTGATAAAATGCCTATTTTCATTTTTTAAAAGAAGATATATTGGCTAGAGTATAGAGAAAAGGGAACCTTTGAATACTACTCATGGGAGTGTAAATTTGAATAGCCTCTATGGAAAACAGTATGGAGGTTCCTCATAAAACTAAAAGTAGAACCACCATATTCTACTTCTGTGTATTTATTTAAAATTTAAGTCAAAATGGATTATAGTCCTAAATGAAAATTCCGAAAACTACAAAATGCCTAATAGAAAACATAGAAGACAAGGCTATTTTAGTGACCTTGGGTTTTGTTGATGTGTTTTTAGGTATAACATCGAAATCACAACCTATGAAAGAAAAAGAAAAGTGACAAGGTGGACTTAATTGAAATTTAAAAGTTCTGCTTTGTGAAAGACACTGTTAAGAGAAAGAAAAGACAAGCCATTGTGTGGCAGAAATATTTAAATACACATTAGATAAAGAGTTGTAGTCAAAACATACAAAAACACTCTTAAAACTCAACAATAAGAAAACAACCAACCTAATTTAACAGTGTCAAAATGATCTTTACAGAACCTCACCAAAGATATAGAGAAGGCAAGTTTTCATACGAAAATATGATTATCATCATATGTTATTAAGAAATTGCAAAATAAAACAAGATACCACTACATAACTGTTAGAATGGCCAAAATCCAAAACAAAACAAAACATAAAAAGGCAATATCAACTGGTAAGAATGGATAAGAATAGAAACTCTCATTTGCTGCTGATGAGAATGCAAAATATCTACTTTGGAAATCAGTTTGGCAGTTTTTTATAAAACAATATATTCTCACTGAATAATCTAGCAATCATGCTCCTAGGCATTTACCCAATTGAGTTAAAAATTGATTTCACAAAACATTCTCATGCTATTTTTAAATTTTAAGTAAGTTTTATTAGTAATTAGAATTCCAAAGCAATCTACTCCTTATTCAATTTTTTTAAGATATACTATATTCAAATACTATATTTATATCTTTTCCTGTCTACCATTGACTGTTGTTGCACATATGGTATGTCAATGTTTTAGAGGTTTTTTTTTTAATTAAATTGCAATTATGGGCTGGCATTAGTCACATGATCCTGACAACAATTTTTAAACCCTTCTTCTTTCTTTCATACTTTGTATTGACTATACTCAAATTTCTCATGTAAAACCAGGTAAGAACAAGGCTAGCTGGCCATGGTGTAGGCAGCTAGTGAAGCATGGTTGATGTAGATATCTGCCCTCGTCTATTTCCTTGTTGTCATTATTACCAATTATTTTAATTTTATGTGACTCCAAAATCTTATAAAGGTGAAAAGATGCAATTTATTGAATGTATTGAAAAAGCAGCAAAGAAAACTGTAACTTTCTTTTGATAAGCACTGTTTGGATAATATTAAAGCAGGAATCCCAAGTAGTGATCATTTAGTGATTATTATTGTATAAAGGAATAAGGCAAGTAGTATACCTCAAGGCCTTGATGTGCATCCTGATCCTTGAGTACTTGATACCTCCCAAAACGAAAGTTACAGTGAAAAACTGTTAACTTTCTTCAATGCACTATTTGTTTTACAGTTCCAAAGCAGCGTTGTTGTTGTTTTTTCTACTGGAAAAAAAAGGAGAAGAAAAAAGGAAAGGAAATTGGATTAATTCCTACAGTATTAAAAAAAGCTTTATACACTGTAATACAGTGGACTCAAATTCAAAATGTTTTCTCTATGTTTTTAATAACTCAGTAGCCCAAATCTTTTTATTCATTCTCTCAATATTTAAAACTAAAACATTAGTATACATTGTCACTGCCTTTAATGATATCAAGTATGCCTTATAAAATAGAGAATAAATTCCAAATTCTTTGACTTAGCACCCTAAACCCTCCTCATCAGCTCTTCCGTATTTCTACAGTCTGACCTTCCATTATTTTCTTCATCCCCTGTAAACAAGCCAAATTAGATTCTTTATTTAAGGCCTATCCACACATATTAGCTGATTGTAGATGTCACCCTATAATGCAGTTGAAAAATTGAGGCCCAGCAAGGTTAGGCACATTGTCCAGAGTCTCATAATGAGTAAGTGGCAGAGACTCTGAGTTGGTCTTTGTGTCCTTTCCAGGGCTTCTGTCATCTCATCGTACTGCCCTCCAGAGGAGCAGTTACATTTCAGCTGTTTTCAGTGATGTTTTAGCCTAAGGAAATCATAAGAGGTTTAGGCACCCTGGGTGTAAATATAAAGAAAAAAATTCTGATGTATGGAGATCTGTAGGCACCTTCCACGTAATGTCAGGAAGGCAACCATTAATTTTCCCAGTAACCGTCCTAATTTTGCCCTCATCTGCTATTCCTCCTTTGGTTTTTGTTTTTTTCATTTGGGTTGGAAAATTCAGTTCAGTCAAGTGAACCACTATATGTCAACATTTTGTTTTCCCTAAATACAACCATCCGTATACTACTTTTTTTTCAAATATCCAAATAAATGGTTTACGGTGGAAAAATATTATTTTATCCCTTTGCCATTCTGCACCAAATTTTATAGGAGCAAGGTCAAAACATTGAAAGAGAAGTCTGTGAACAAGTTTAAGAGGAGCTTTTCCCTTCGAGTTTATTCTTCATTTTCATGAAGGGACATTGCAGATAGCACCAGATTTCTATCCCTTACTATAATAAATTATCATCACAAAGGGTAATGTAGGTTGCAGTATGATATTTTCCCTCTTTCCTCTTCAGAAGAAAGGCAAAATAATTCTCATTAATCATTATGTAACAATTTCACGTCAAAGATCTTTTTGCCAAGTCTAAAATGCGTGTGTGTGTGTGTGTGTGTGTGTGTGTGTGTATGTGCGCATTTATGGGATGTTGCTCTTTTGTCATGTACTGTAGTTCTGTATCTCTCAAGGGCCCTTCATTAGTTATCTGCAAAAATATGAAATAGCCAAATCTTAAGTCAGTGGAGTTTTCTCTATATTATGTCCTCAATCATGAAAGAGAAATCTATTCTGAGAATCAAAAATAGTCCTGTGTTTTCCACTAAAATCAGGGAGTGCGAATGAGGAATGTGGATGACAGTATTAATGACCAAACAGTCTTTCACTGAGACCTCTTTGGCAGCATCACCAGAACTCCAAGCACCTGACCATTTTCTTCCTTTCATCATCAGAACCTCCGGAAGTGGCTCAAGTGGCTTTTTGGGGTGGCAAATTTGGTCTTCCTCGTCACCACCTATGAGTATCCCTGCTTTTTGTCATTTCCAGCAATCACTGAATGGCTAAAGTGGTCTCTATTTTTCTTCCTCTTCTTGGCTGCAGACATTCCTGACCTTGCTTCAGAAACTTTCCTCCCATTGCTATTGCTCTTCTGCTCCTCTTCACCACTAACTGCATAAGAGTGGGTGAGAAATACCCTCCCCCATCATCTGCATTGCACTCTTCACACTGTAACTGAGTTGGCTCTGGGGTCTCAGTTTCTGTATGTTTTTCATGA
The DNA here is from genome assembly GCF_000001405.40 of Homo sapiens. Taxonomy (NCBI): domain Eukaryota; kingdom Metazoa; phylum Chordata; class Mammalia; order Primates; family Hominidae; genus Homo; species Homo sapiens. The sequence goes on along the minus strand of NC_000002.12, from coordinate 209,036,719 downwards.
TGTTTCAAAGATAACTGACTCACCCAATTCACTATCACTTTGCCTTTATTATATTCCCCTTCCTCTCCCCTAGGAGCCAGTCATAAGATTTCCTAGTGGATCTGATACTAAGGTAAGGATCTAACAACTGATTTGAGTATCTATAAGCTGATGCTGCAATGAAAATCTTTACTCAGCTTCTTTTTTTTTGAGTTTTAAATAAAATTTATTGAGTTGCTTCTGTATATTTATACAAGAAAGGGTATACACACCATGATAAAATGTCATTATTCTTTGTAATTGTTTATTAGTTAAATATACTGCCCTTGCATCCATGGGAACAACGTGCATCACAAAAATGCCAGGCCATAGCAAAGGCAAACTAATTAAATTTATAGTCAACTTCAGATCACTAATGTATGGCAGAATGGTGCCTCTTGAGGTGGAAGATAAAACATATTAATCACCTTAAAATTCTTTCTCTTGGCCCTTAAGGAACATCAAGGTGACATTTAAGAAAATGACGAGTTAATGGGTGCAGCACACCAACATGGCACATGTATACATATGTAACAAACCTGCATATTGTGCACATGTACCCTAAAACTTAAAGTGTAATAATAATAAAATAAAATAAAAGAAATACAAGAACAAAAGTCACTAAGAGAAAAATCGATTTCCCATACCCAATTTCGTGTGCTCAAATGTTAAATGTTACCTCAAATTTCTGCCTTCCAATCAAGAAGGTTAAAAAAGCAAGAAGCAGAAAAATATGCATAACAGCATACTTTTATTAAAAAGAGAGTATGTATATTTTTATTGTATAGAAAATATATGGAAGGACATGAAGAAAACCAGTCAAAAAAAAAAAGGAAACAAAATTTGGATAGCTAATGTAGTGCTGACCCCCTAAGCCTGGCACAGACAATATGAAGCTGGAAGCTTTGTAAATATGCATAAAATCGACTCCAAAGTCCAGGCTGGTACCTACTGGAAGAGCAGTAAAAGAAGTATATTTGTACTGTGTTTTACTTTCTTATATTTAAAAGTCTGTATGTGAAGATATATTATTTCTTCTGTAACAGAGTCATTGCCCTAACCAGGAAAATCTGGATCTGTAAAGTTCAAAGTCAAGCTGTAGCAGCCTGCACCTTGAGGATTTCTTTCCATAAAGGCCCTCGGGATGGTAACTTTACTGAATTTTTCCAGGACTATGTATCTGTCTCCAGTGTAGACTAGCCAGTATGGCCAGCATTTTCCTCAAAATCTAAGCTCATTCCAACATAAAGTTAAATGTGTGCATCTGCTTTTTGGGCCACTTACTACAACCCTCCCCCAACTTGCCATCCCCTTATATAGCATGGGTGGGTAAAGATGAGTTAAGTTGACTGCTTACACAATCTCTAGGCAATTCTCAGCACAAATATCTTCAGTCATTCTGTCTTGTAGACTTACTATGTCCAGTGCAGCCCATCTCTCTTCTTAGCTGAGCCATCTCAAGCTATACATGCAAAAGACAACTTCAGTTGACTCATTTTAAGCCAACTCTGCAACTTATGGGAACCTTATACTCACTCTCCTAACCATGTTTATTTCTTGCTTTGTTCATCTTGTGGGTGGAGATGTAGATTACCCTGGTATTTCTGCATCTCAGGCTATCAACCCACTAATTCTGGCTTGTAGCTTGTCTTCTACTGGCTTAGTATTTTTTGGACTGCAAAACCAGTAACTATTTATGTATCTTGACTGAGTTCTTCCTCCTGTTGAAATGTCCTGACAGACACTTTTGACAAATGGGGTCAGTGTCCTGGATTCTGAAGTTGGAGTCACTGACAGGCTCTGGCCTCAGAAGGCTCTAGGTTCCATGCTCCTAAACTAGAAAGATATATCCAAGCATGATTAAATCGTCACTGTGGAGATCCTGCCCAAGTTGTTGGCTACTGAGGACAATAAAAAAAATATGATCCTGTATGCTACAATTCATATAAAAATGAATCAAAAGCTTTAGGTGATGTTTTATAGTATATATTAAGCTGTTATGACAGAGTCCTCAAAATACAGTGGCTCAAACAAGATAGAGGCCTATTCCTCTCACACATAATTGTCCAGAGTTGGTAAGTAACCCCAGTGGCTCTGCTCTAAGGACCCAGGTTCATTCTGTTATGTGGCTCTTAAATCTATTAAATCTTTCATAGTGATGTTCATGACAGCCTGATCAGAGATAACTCGCTATAATATCTGCATTCTAGTCCAACGAAAGAAAGAAAAGAGAATTGGAGCACAAGAAATTTTCTTTTTAAGGGATTTGACCTGAAAGATACTCCCATTACCTCTAATCATATCCCATAGCCTGAAGCTTAGTCGTATGAGTGACCTAAGCTGCAAAAGAGGCTGGAAATCTAGTCTCTGGCTAGGAAACCGTATATCCAACTAAAACCTGAGCAGAAGGTTCTAGAAATTCTAGAAATAAATTCTAAATTTACTTATTTAAAAAGAAGTAAATATAAGAATGGATACTGGGAGATATTAACCATGTATAACACAGATTATATATCTGAGCTATTTAAAAAGAGAAATGAATTAGTCCATCTAACCTGAGCATAATCTTGTATTATGGCAATCTGAGATTTTTGCAGTGGGTGGTAAAACTGAATACTTGAGATCAGAAAAAAAAACAGGTGCTTCTTAACTAAAAGTGGGGAGAATTTATGGCTACTATCATTTATCATGTTAGTTACCACACAATGAAAAAGCCAACTTTCAGAAGATTGATTAAATCTTGAATGTCTATACTTACTATACTAATGGCTATACTTCCTACTTCTTAATTCAATACCTCTGATAATGTTTTAAGTACGTAACAGTCAAATTTGGCAATAATACTATGAAATATAGGTAAGAAAAGGACATATGTTGAAGTCTTCGTGGAAAGTGTAGTTTTGAAACAGAGCAAGGGAAATGGTCCACTTATACACTTTACTTAAACACTTTTATTTGCCTTCCCCAACCCCACCACATACACAAATGTTCAAGATAACGAAGGTGGAAAACTTGGCTCTGAGCTTCCCGGAAGCTAACATTTTAATTATTGCATTTGTTGAATAACACATTTTTAAAAATTGATTGATTCAAATTAAATCAATACACTTATAGTTAAATTGAATGTTTATCAAAAAGAAACAAAAGTAAATAAATTATAAATCCATTTTTGTCTCTCTATATCAGCAGGTCCTTTACTGATTGGTAGGTGCCTTGCCCTCCTGAAATATCCTAGTTTTCACAGGAAAATATTAATATAAATATAATGGAATATTTTTGCTGAAAAAATGTGTTGGGAGAAAATAAGACATCTTAATCTACTGCAAGGTATTTATTATGAAGAACAAAGAACAAACAGAAAAGAAGGAATTTTTGACAGTAAATATGTGTTTGAGCTCTCCCTTCTGTCCGCTAGAAAGCCATGCTGAAGAATGGGTCTGATCATTTTCTCCAGCAGCTAATGATTTGTTGTGAAAACGTTGGTAGCACTTTCCTCATGATCAATCCCAGCACTTATGCTAAAAAATGGATTTTGGAATTCTTTCTGAAAGGAAGGTGCTAAGGCCAGAGCCAGTCCATCCTCCACAGGTGTGGATGAAGAATCAAAATTACAAAGCAATAACAAGGGGAGTAGAAGAACCAGAAGAACTGAATGGGAGGACCAGATAAAGGGGTCACCCATGAAAGGTTGTTGGCAGAGCTCCAGAGGCTGAAAGCTTTTTACTTGCTTCCCCCATGTTGGCTTGGCCAACCTAAGACATTTACGGGGCACGTACATATAGGACAGTGCTTCCCACAGTGTTCTCAAAAAGCATAAATCCCTCAAAATATACTGAGAAAGGGCTCAATGGCTAGAGTTGTTTGGAAACATTACATCTTATACATTTCCATGAGATAATTAAAATGAATGTCAGTACATTATAGACTTTGAAAAATCCTGCAGTAAACAAGTTGAGCTAGCACAGTGGATTAAAGGAAGATCTAGAAGATAAAAGGAAAGGCATATATGGAGTCAGATATAATCTGATACATTAAAAATATAACCCATACATTAAAATTGATTGTAAATACATCTTACTACAGCCTAAACAGGTTTTATGGATGGAAGCATCAATCAAAACTCTCTCAAGAGTAAACTAGACAAATCTAGAGAAAGAAACAAGAATTTTCTTCCTATACCTTTTGTATACCCAGAAGAGCTCATTACAAGCACTCCTAAGAAATGAAATAGGAGGCTGGAGCTCTTCCCTTGCAAGCAGACCTGTAAAATGGAATTAAGCACAGGCTTCGAAGGCAACAGAACCCAGAGCTCAAGCCCCACTTAATTAAACATTTAAAAGTTCTGTGACCTTGAGCAACAACAAAGTAACTTATTTTCTTTTGTTTTAAAGTCCATAGTTTATTCATATTTCCTTAGTTTTTACCTAATGTCCCTTTTCCATGCCGGGATCCCATCCAATTTAGTCTTCATATTCCCTAGGCTCCTCTTGACTGTGACAGTTTCTCAGATTTTCCAAGTTTTTGATGACCTTGAGAGTTTTGAGAAGTCCTGGTTAGATATTTTTGTCAGTCTCTGAAATAGGGTTTACCTAGGTTTTTATTCATGATTAGACCGGACTATGGTTTGGGGTAGGAACACTACAGATGTAAAATATCATTCTTATCACATGAAATCAAGGGTACAATCTATTAATATGACTTCTCTGTTGATGTTTACCTTGATAACCTGGCTGAGATAGTATTTGTCAGGTTTTTCCACTGTAAACTTATTCTTTTTTTTTTTAAACCTTCTTTCTACACTGTACTCTTTGAAAGGAAGTCACTATGCTCAGTCCATGTTTAATGTATTGAGAATTAAGTCCACTTCTTTGAGGGAAGAGAATCTATGTTCATGATTTTGAATTCTTCTGCATGGGAGATTTGCCTATTCTCTAATTTATTTATTTAATCATTTATTTATATAGCTATGGACTCATAGCTATTTATTTAAGTATGGACTCAGATATTTATATAACTATGGACTCATAGATATTTATTTATATAACTATGGGCTCATACATTTTATACTTTTGGTTTTAATCTAACACACTTTGTATACTTCGTTGCTCAAATTCTTCCAGCTTTGGCCCTTGGGAGCTCTTGAATGCTTTCATTTGGCTCCTGTGTCCCTTTGGCATACCCCCATTGATATTGATGTCTCTCTCTCTCTCTGTGTGTATGTGTATATGTGTGTGTGTGTATGTGTGTGTGTATGTGTATGTGTGTGTGTATGTGTATGTGTATGTGTTTTGTACTTATTTTCTGACACTATAGAGTGCTCCAGCCTCATTGTTTTATTCCTTCTGTGCCCTGGAATCAGCCATTTCTCAAAGGAGTCCTCGTTCGTTTCACTGGAGAATGACACTGGAAACATGTAGCCCCTTTGTTTTGGCCAATTTCTCCCATTTGAAATGGGTGTATTTACCAAATTCCAGTACCCCCATTGTAGCTAAGAAGTAGCTAACTTGCTTTTGATTTTACAGGCTCATAGGCAGAAGGGACTTTCCTTGCCTCAGATGAGACTTTGGACTTGGACTTTTGAGTTAATGCTGTAATGAGTTAAGACTTTGGGGAACTGTTGGAAGGGCATGATTGTGTTTTGAAATGTGAGGACATGGAATTTGGAAGGAGCCAGTGGCAGAATGATATGGTTTGTCAGTGTCTCCACCCAAATCTCATCTTGAATTGTAGTTCCCATAATCTCCACATGTCGTGGAAGGGATCTGGTGGGATGTAACTTAATCATAAGTTTGGTTACTCTCCTGCTATTCTTGTGATAGTGAGTGAGTTCTCATGAGATCTGATGGTTTTATAAGGACCTTTCCCCTATTTTCCTCATTTATGTATACAACTTCAATTTCCAAGTTGTAGCCTTATAAACTGAAATATCTTCACAATTATTTGCAGAATGTACTTAAGAAAACAAATTCTAATAAGATATTGAGTTAAAGTTTGCCAATACAGCAGCAATTTGCTGTGTGTGTGTGTGTGTATATATATATAGTGTGTGTTATAGACACATATCCTATTGATTCTCAGAGAGCTTTGACTAATACAGTGTTACACACTTATGAATATTCTCCTAATTTAGATACCATACTTTTCCTCTACCTTAGTTTACTTTTTATTGTTTCTCTCTTGGAACCATATTTTCTTCTAGCGTTCACTTCAAATTAAATCTTAATCCTATGTTGCCATGATTTTAACAATTGCCTGTTGAGTCCTTTTAAGACATCTAACTAGTATTTACTTATAGGTCTGACACAGTTAGATTTCCAAAAGTGATATTTCTTATTATAACTGTTGAAAAGGGTTTACATTTTCAGTGAATTAGTTAAACTTTTAGTTTTTAGCTATTTTGAAAAGTGGTTAAGTTGGAAAATGCCTAAATTGCAACATTACCTCCCCCAGTGGGATTGTTACCTGATGTTTCACTTCCTGATAAATGGCTTTATTTATCACAGAAATTCTCTGGACAGTAGAGATGTGACTTTAATCAATAAGTAATGGAGACTTCAGGAAAATAAGCTTAGCTTCTCATTATTTGGGTTTTATTATAGGAGTATCTTAAAACAAAGGTTGATCCTAGCCCAAAACACTTGACCCAGAGTTGCAAGTTCTTTTTTAATGAAGAAAGAGATGCATATTATATATGCTCACTTTCTGGTTGTATTTTGGTCTGTTTAATGCAGTTCTTCAGACATGGTTGAGAATGGGGTATTGCCTGACGTCGTTCTGCCAAACAAATACATGTGGTGAGTGATGATCTTAAAAAGATACAGAAAACAGGGCAGATGGGGAAAATGCCATCTTGCTTAATAAAGGACTTTAAAATATGGAAAGTTGTAACCTTGGAAACTGAAATATCTTTAATTTATTTGCAGAAAGTACTTAAGAAAATAAATTCTAAGAGTTTCTGGAGTTAAAGTTTGCCAAGACAGCAGCAATTTGCTGTGTCTCAATTTACTGTGGTCAGTCTGCATAAGCTCCATCTAGAAATTGTACCTTAATAAAATATATTATAAAAAATTAGATGTTGATTACACTGTTAATCTTCTTTGTTTTTTCATAACAGCCCCAGGAAGTAAAGGCCTTTATTTCCCTTCATATTTTGTACTTAATGCTCAAGACTTCCATCTACCATACCAAACCCATGCACACAGACACACATGTGCACACACATACACATTTAATTTGTTTCAGTCATCATGACTCAGCTATCTTAATTGTCTTTTCATTTGGGTTTTCTACACAGGTGCTGATTTTCCAACTCACTCACTGCTCCAAAACTCAGTTTAGGATATTTCATTTTCTAGCTCTAGGATGATTTCAGCGGAAGCACATTTAAAATCAGATCAAGGAAAAATTCCTTCTCAATCAATCTTAAAACTGCCTTAAAAATACATTAGGTTGATCATTGATTATTGATTATAAAGAATAAAGTTCACTTTTTGTCTACTGATAAGAAAAGCTAGCAGTCATATAGGAGCCTTTTCATAGGCAGGTCGTACAACTGTGTATGACATTTCTCATTCTCGATAGTACCTGTAACTTGTTTTGTTGAGGGATCCAGCTGAAAGTCCCTTATTCTTTCAAGATAAGAAAACAGGTTTGTGGCAGTTTAGTCATTTCCCCAGCTAAACAGAGCAAAAGCCAATTTTTTCCAACCACATTTTCTTTAAATATCTTATTCCTGTGTTCTTCTCCTATTACCCAGGAAAAGGAATAGGGTGATTGTTTTTCTCTAGGAAAATAATTAATGTCATTCTATGAATGGGGCTGCTTTTAGGTCTGCCCATCCCAGACATTAGCATGATGATTTTTGTTATCATTTGTACCGACCTTATCTTGACGTACTTCCTTCCTTTTCCTTTTCCCATTTTCTTCCTTACTATGTCCTATCCATCTGATTTTTCTTTCGTTTGCTTTCTTCCCTTTTTTCCTCCCTCCCTTCCTTCATCCCTTCTTGCCTTCCTCTCTCCTTCTCTTTCTCCCTCTCTCTCTCTCCCTTCCTCGTTTCTTTCCTTATTTTTTAGTATCCATAAATGGAGGGGTTAGTGTGTGTCTTCAAGATATACTGGAATGATTGCTTGAGAATAATTGAACTAATTTTATACAAAAATAATGCACCAAATACAACATAATTTATGTACTATATAAGTTAACTACATAAAGTCAATCCTCATTATTTGCAGATTTTCTAATTGCGAATTTGCCTACTTGTTAAAATTTATTTGTAATCCCCAAATGAATACTCGTGGCACTTAATGAACATGTGCAGAGCAGCAAAAAATTTCAGTCATCTGACGTACATATTCCCAGCTGAGATCCACCAGGAGATGCTCTGCCTTCTTCCAGCCCTCATACAAAGTTCTTTCCACAGTCTACTTACTGCTAAGTTTTTCACATTTTTGTTTTGTTTGTTAGCAGGTTTGCTGTAAAATGTCCTTGAAGCATAGTGCTAAATTGTTGTCTACTATTTTAAGCACAAGAAGTCTGTGATGTGCATTATGGAGAAAATATGTGTGTTAGATAAGCTTTGTTTGGGCATAAGTTAGAGTGCTGTTAGCCATGAGTTCAAGGGTAGTGAATCAATAACATATATTAAGTAAGGTGTCTTTAAACAGAAACACACATAAAACAAGGTTGTGAATTAACTGATTGACAAAAATATTGTGACCAGAGGCTTATAGGAACATAACCTTGTATTTTCCATAGGAACAATGGTTTGTATTCATTAATTCAGTGTTCAGAGTGACTGTGTCATGACCATGGCAAATGAGGATCAACTGTATCAAAATGCCTTCCCTTCTCAAAGGAGGTCTTCATTCATCTCCTGCTGCTAGATCCAGCCACTTACCTACTGCCTTTAAAGAGAATCACAGTATATTAACATAGACATAGGTTTTTCTTAATCTATTCCTTCAGTTTGGGGAGGCATTTTGATACTGTTTTCAAATGGGAAATACCACAAACATTATCATCATCATTATTATTATTGTTGGTAGTAGTAGTAGTAGTAGGCGACAATGTACAAGCAAGGTACCCATGACTGGTTTCTTCCATGGATTATTTTAAAGAAACTGTATGTAAGTTTCTTTATTATACAACTTTTTTTTTTGTGGCAATAGTTGACTTACAGAAGGCTTAACTAACTAATAATGGTTCACTTTTTTGAGTCTACTATATACAAAACATTATGAGTTCTTTACATTTATTAGATATGCAAAGATCAAAACAAGTCTATGTATTTGGCACTATTGTGATCATCTCATTTTTCAGAGAATGAAGGAATGTATGTCAGGAGCACCTGATTTCTTCCAGTTGAGGAGAACTTCTCTGAATGCACCCTTCACAAAAGAAAGCAGAGCCAAGATGTGCAGAATGACAGATTTCTGATAACATATTTAAATATAGATTTGATCATGCCTGAAGCCAATATTGGCCCTGGACTGCTCAATAGATTATTAACCTCTCTCTTTCTCTCTCCCTCATTCTCTCCTTCCTTTCCTTCTCTCACTCCCTTACCCTAACTTTTTTCCTCTCCCTTTTCTGCTCTGTCTTTTTTTATTCTTAAGTCAACTAAAGTTGGAGTTTTGGAACTCCCTTACTAGTAACCAAAGAATCTGATACCCTGGCTCTATCCTCAATGATTGTGATTTTGTTTGGTCTGGTGCAGACCTTGCATTGATATATTAACATATGCTCCTCTGGGGATTCTACATGCCGTCGAGAAGGTTGAAAAGTTGAGTACTGAGAAAAATTAGTCTCTTACACTCCATTCTTCATTTTATACATTTTTATTTATGCAGATAAAATTTGGATAACATCTGAATGGGCAAACAAATGTAGAAAATCAGACTGCAGCCAATAAAGATTAGCTGGTCTGGGCATGCATTTAATCTCATCAATAGTAAGGTCAGTTATCAGTTACAATTTTTAAACAGAGAAAGAAATCTAATTCATGTAGTCTGGCAAGCCTGCCATTTTGGTCTAACTTATTTCACCAGTCAAGAATCCTAATATGCATTGATCCATAGACAACCATAAAAAAAACTGAATTCATAGTCCTGGAATTACCTATTTCTTCTCTTCTATCTGTTTCAGAGGTATTGCAAAGATTTATTAGGTTACTCTTTTTTTTTTTTTTCAACTGCCAAGGACTTTATTTTTCCAAAATAACTGCTGTGCCATTACCACACCTTTTAAAATCAAGAATTTCTTAAGATCAAATAATACCCAATATATATTCAAATTTCTCTAAAATATCTTTTTATACATCATTTGTATGAATCAAGATCCTAACAAGATACACACATTTAATACTCTCTCAAGTCTCTTTTTATTTGTTAATAGTCTCTCCTCTCATTTTTTTTATTATACTTTAAGTTCTGGGTTGCTTGTGCAGATTGTGCAGTTTTGTGACATAGGTAAACACGTGCCCTGGTGGTTTGCTGCACCCATCAACCCATCAGCTACATTAGGTATTTCCCCTAATGTTATCCCTCCCCTAGCTCCCCACCCCCTGACAGGTCCCAGTGGGTGATGGTCCCCTCCCTGTATCCATGTGTCCTCATTGTTCAACTCCCACTTATGAGTGAGAATATGTGGTGTTCGGTTTTCTGATCTAGTGATAGTTTGCTGAGAATGATGGTTTCCAGCTTCATTCATGTCCCTGCAAAGGACATGAGCTCATCCTTTTTATGGCTACATAGTATTCCATGGTGTATATGTGCCAAATTTTCTTGATCCAGTCTATCATTGATGGACATTTGGGTTGCTTCCAAGTCTTTGCTATTGTAAATAGTGCCGCAATAAACATATGCATGCATGTATCTTTATCATAGAATGATTTATAATCCTTTGGGTATATGCCCAGTAATGGGATTGCTGGGTCAAATGGTATTTCCAGTTCTAGATCCTTGAGGAATTGCCACACTGTCTTCCACAATGGTTGAACTAATTTACACTCCCACCAACAGTGAAAAAGTGTTCTTCTTTTCTCACAACCTCTCTGCATCTGTTGCTCACTGCATCTCATTCTAACTGGCATGAGATGGTACCCCATTGTGGTTTTGATTTGCATTTCTCTAATGACCAGGGATGATGAGCATTTTTTCATATGTCTGTTGGCTGCATAAATGTCTGTTTTTGAGAAGAGTCTGTTCATATCCTTTGCCAATTTTTTGATGCAGTTTTTTTTTCTTGTAAATTTTTTTTGTAGATTCTGGATATTAGCCCTTTGTCAGATGGATAGATTGCAAAAATTTTCTCCCATTCTGTAGGTTGCCTGTTCACTCTGATGACAGTTTCTTTTGCTGTGCAGAAGCTCTTTAGTTTAATTAGGTCCCATTTGTCAATTTTGGCTTTTGTTGCCATTGCTTTTGGTGTTTTAGTCATGAAGTCTTTGCCCATGGCTATGTCCTGAATGGTATTGCCCAGGTTTTATTCTAGGATTTTTATGGTCCTAGGTCTTACATTTAAGTGTTTGATCCATCTTGAGTTGATTTTTGTAAAGGGTGTAAGGAAGGGGTCCAATTTCAGTTTGCTGCATTTGTCTAGCCAGTTTTCCCAATACAATTTATTAAATAGGGAATCTTTTCCCTATTGCTTGTGTGTGTCAGGTTTGTCAAAGATCAGATTGTTGTAGCCACTGTGTGGTGTTATTTCTGAGGCCTCCGTTCTGTTCCATTAGTCCATATATCTGTCTCGGTACCAGTGACATGCTGTTTCAGTTTCTGTAGCCTTGTAGTATAGTTTAAAGTCAGGTAGCGTGATGCCTCCAGCTTTGTTCTTCTAGACCAGATTGTCTTGGCTGTGCAGGCTCTTTTTTGGTTCCATATGAAGTTTAAAGTAGTTTTTCTAATTCTGTGAAGAAAGTCAGTGGTAGCTTGATTGGGATAGCATTGAATCTATAAGTTACTTTGAGCAGTATCGTCATTTTCATGATATTGATTCTTCCTATCCATGAGCATGGAATGTTTTTCCATTTGTTTGTGTCCTCTCTTATTTCCTTGAGCAGTGGTTTGTAGTTCTCCTTGAAGAGGTCCTTCACATCCCTTTTAAGTTGTATTCCTAGGTATTTTATTCTCTTAGTAGCAATTGTGAATGGGAGTTCACTCATGATTTGGCTCTCTGTCTGTTATTGGTGTAAAGAAATGCTTGTGATTTTTGCACATTAATTTTGTATCCTGAGACTTTGCTGAAGTTGCTTGTCACCTTAAGGAGGTTTTGGGCTGAGACCATGGGGTTTTCTAAATATAAAATCATGTCATCTGCAAACAGAGACAATTTGAGTTCCTCTCTTCCTATTTGAATACGCTTTATTGCTTTCTCTTGCCTGATTGCCCTGGCCAGAACTTCCAATACTGTGTTGAATAGGAGTGGTGAGAGAAGGCATCCTTCTCAAAGGGAATGCTTCCAGCTTTTCAAAGGGAATGCTTCCAGTTTTTGCCCACTCAGTATGATATTGGCTGTGGGTTTGCATAAATAGCTCTTATTATTTTGAGATATGTTCCATCAATACCTAATTTATTGAGAGTTTTTAGCATGAAGGGGTGTTGAATTTTATGGAAGGCCTTTTCTGCATCTATTGAGATAATCATATGGTTTTTGTCATTCGTTCTGTTTATGTGATGGATTACGTTTATTGATTTGCATATGTTGAACACCCTTGTATCCCAGGGATGAAGCCGACTTGATCCTCGTGGATAAGCTTTTTGATGTGCTGCTCAATTCGGTTTGCCAGTATTTTATTGAGGATTTTCGCATTGATGTTCTTCAGAGATATTGGCCTGAAATTTTCTTTTTTGTTGTGTCTCCGCCAGATTTTGGTATCAGGATGATGCTCACCTCATAAAATGAGTTAGGGGGATTCCTTCATTTTCCATTGTTTGGAATAGTTTCAGAAGGAATGATACCAGCTCTTCTTTGTACCTCTGGTAGAATTTGGATGTGAATCCATCTGGCCGTGGACTTTTTTTGGTTGGTAGGCTATTAATAACTGCCTCAATTTCAGAACTTGTTACTGGTCTATTCAGGGATTTGACTTCTTCCTGGCTTAGACTTAGGAGGGTGTATGTGTCCAGGAATTTATCCACTTCTTCTAGATTTTCTAGTTTATTTGCGTAGAGGTGTTTATAGTATTCTCTGATGGTAGTTTGTATTTCTGTGGGATCAGCGGTGATATCCCCTATATCATTTTTTATTGCATCTATTTGATTCTTCTCTCTTTTCTTTTTTATTATTCTGGCTAGCGATCTATCTATTTTGTTGATCCTTTTAAAAAACCAGCTCCTGGATTCATCGATTTTTTGACGGGTTTTTCTTGTCTCTATCTCCTTCAGTTCTGCTCTGAACTTAGTTATTTCATGTCTTCTGCTAGCTTTTGAATTTGTTTGCTTTTGCTTATCTAGTTCTTTTAATTGTGATGTTAGGGTGTTGATTTTAGATCTTTCCTGTTTTCGCTTATGGGCGTTTAGTGCATTATAAACATTGCTTTAAATGTGACCCAGAGATTCTGGTACATTGTGTCTTCATTCTCATTGGTTTCAAAGAGCATCTTTATTTCTGCATTCATTTCATTATTTACCCAGTAGTCGTTCAGGAGCAGATTGTTCAGTTTCCATGTAGTTGTGTGGTTTTGAGTGAATTTCTTAATCCTGAGTTCTAATTTGATTGCACTGTGGTCTGAGAGACTGTTTGTTATGATTTCCGTTCTTTCGCAGTTGCCGAGGGGTGTTTTACTTCCAATTATGTGGTCAATTTTAGAATAAGTGTGATGAGGTCCTGAGAAGAATGCATATTCTCTTGATTTAAGGTGGAGAGTTCTGTATAAGTCTATTAGGTCTGCTTGGTCCAGAGCTGAGTTCAAGTCCTGAATATCCTTGTTAATTATCTGTCTCGTTGATCTGTCTAATATTGACAGTGGGGTGTTAAAGTCTCCGACTATTATTGTGTGGGAGTCTAAGTCTCTTTGTAGGTCTCTAAGAACTTGCTTTATGAATCTGGTTGCTCCTGTATTGGGTGCATATATATTTAGGATAGTTAGCTCTTCTTGCTGCATTGTTATCTTTACCATTATGTAATGCCCTTCTTTGTCTCTTTTGATCCTTGTTGGTTTAAAGACTGTTTTATCAGAGATTAGGATTGCAACTCCTGTTTTGTTGTTGTTGTTGTTGTTGTTTTCCATTTGCTTGGTAAATATTTCTCCATCCCTTTATTTTGAGCCTATGTTTGTCTCTGCACAAGAGCTGGGTCTCCTGAATATAGCACACCGATGGGTTGTGACTCTTTATCAAATTTGCCAGTCTGTGTATTTTAATTGTGGCATTTAGCCCATTTACATTTAAGGCTAATATTGTTATGTGTCAATTTGATCCTGTCATTATGATGCTAGCTGATTGTTTTGCCAATTAGTTAATGCAGTTTCTTCATAGTGTCGATGTTCTTTACAATTTGGTATGTTTTGCAGTGGCTGGTACCGGTTGTTCCTTTCCATGATTAGTGCTTCTTTCAGGAGCTCTTGTAAGGCAGGTCTGGTGGTGACATAAATCCCTCAGCATTTGCTTGTCGGTAAAGGATTTTATTTCTCTTTCGCTTATGAAGCTTAGTTTGGCTGGATATGAAATTCTGGGTTGAAAATTCTTTCTTTATGAATGTCGAGTATTGACCGCCACTCTCTTCTGGCCCTTAGGGTTTCTGCTGAGAAATCTGCTGTTAGTCTGATGGGCTTCCCTTTGTGAGTTACCTGACCTTTCTCTCTGGCTGCCCTTGACATTTTTTCCCTCATTTCAACCTTGGTAAATCTGATGATTATGTGTTTTGGGGTTGCTTTTCTTGAAGAGTATCTTTACGGTGTTCTCTATATTTCCTGAATTTGAATGTTGGCCTGTCTTGCTAGGTTGGGGAAGTTCCCCTGGATAATATCCTGAAGAGTGTTTTCCAACTTGGTTGCATTCTCCCTGTCATTTTCAGGTACACCAATCAAAGGTGGATTTGTTCTTTTACATAGTCCCATACTTCTTGGAGGCTTTGTCTGTTCCTTTTTATTCTTTTTTCTCTAATCTTGTATTCTCTCTTTATTTCATTCAGTTGATCTTCAGTCACTGATATTCTTTCTTCTGCTTGATTAATTCAGCTATTGATACTTGTGTATTCTTAACGAAGTTCTCGTGCTGTGTTTTTCAGCTCCATCGGGTCATTTATCTTCTTCTCTACATTGGTTATTCTAGTTAGCAATTCGACTAACCTTTTTTCAGGGTTCTTAGGTTCCTTGCATAGGGTTAGAATGTGCTTCTTTAGTTCAGAGTTGTTTGTTATTACCCACTTTCTGAAGCCTACTTCTATCAGTTCGTCAAACTCATTCTCCGTCCAGTTTTGTTCCCTTGCTGGCAAGGAGTTGTGATCCTTTGAAGGAGAAGAGGCATTCTGGTTTTTGGAATTCTCAGCTGTTTTGCGCTGGTTTTTCCCCATCTTTACTTTTTATACCCTATAAAATCTGTAAAGATTTTAAGACTTTTAGAATGAATTCCATTTTACCTGCCTTTTTGTTATTGGCAATTTATATAGAAATTTGTTTACAGCTTATATGTTAAATATGGTATTTATCTATTTAATATTTTTGTTAGCTTCTGTAATCATAACTTTTATTAAAATACCATCAATTAAGAAAGACAAATTACTTTTTAAAAATACACTTAGTCAATGGTCAGAAAACAGAATTCCTTCACTACCTGATTGAAAGTTGAAATGACTTTTTGTGACAATAATAACTATACGGTCTTCTGAAACTTTGACAAAAAACATTAACTCTGTATGATGCTGTACTTACATTTTAATTTATTTGCTATTTCTTTTTTTAATTTTTGTAGGTATATAGTAGGTATGTATATTTATGAGATACATAAGATGTTCTGATTCAGGCATGCAATGTGAAATAATTATATCATGGAAAATGAGGTATCCATCCCCTCAAGAATTTATCCTTTGTGTTACAAACAATTCAATTACATACTTATTTTAAAATGTACAATTATTATTGACTATAGTAACCCTGATATGCTATTAAATTCTTACTCATTCTATTTTTTTTAACCAGTTCACATTTTGAAGTTTTAAATTACAAGTAAAACAAAACACTAATTCAATTCTAAAATACTCTTGAAAACAATTTTAAGTTGGTATTCTACTTAATAAAAATACATTAAGCATATAAGCTGTTTTACTGCCCAGTTCATATAAACACACATCACACATACATGTGGAAACATACCTGCATACACACACACTTAGTAATTTTTTGCACTATTTTATCCTAAACCACATTTTCTTTTCTTTTTTTTTTTGTTTTTGTTTGTTTGTTTTTTGAGATAGAGTCTTGCTCTATTGCCCAGGCTGAAGTGCAGTGGCATGATCTCGGCTCACTGCAACCTCCACCTCCTGGGATCAAGCGGTTCTCCTGCCTAAGCCTCCCTAGTAGCTGGGATTACAGGTGCGTGCCACCACACCTGGCTAATTTTTATATTTTTAGTAGAGACAGGGTTTTGCCATGTCAGGCTGTTCTCAAACTCCTGACCTCAGGTGATCCACCTGCCTCAGCCTCCCAGAGTGCTGGGATGGCAGGTGTGAGCCACCAGGCCTGGCCTAAACCACATTTTCAATTCACTTCAACATAAAACTTATAAAATTTAGAAGATTTTTTGAAATAAATTAATTGAAATATTTTATCAGTTAGTTATAGGCGAATGTTAAACCAAGTCAATAGCCAGTTGACTGCAATATTCAATTTCCCCTCACTCAGAATGTGACTGGAATACAATACCTGCTTTTCTCAGTTATTTTTGTCTGACTTGCCAAAAAGAAAAGACAGTAGAGAGTTTGTTTTAATGGAATGTAGAGCACAACCAGTGTAAAATAATCACATATTTTACTCTAAGAATTCTTTTCTAAAGTTTAGTTTTTGTTTTTAATATCAACATGCTGTTATAATACTTATAATTAAAATTCTATTTATTTTAATTTTTAAAGAAATGCATGCTCATTGCATGATCTAAATAGTATTACTATTTTCTATTTCTTTACTGTATTCAAACAAATAAACATATAAAAATGCAAGTTTACATACATAGCAATTATAAAACTGAAATAATAGAAAGTATTAAGATGTACACATAAACATTTATCATTTTTTCACTGTATTATAATCTAATATATATTAAATACTAAATACACATTAAATACTATTCAAAAGTACATAAAAATATGGTACTTCTTATAAATTATTTTAAAAGATAAAAAGTATAAAGGATATAAAAAGACATCCATGAAAAAGCATTTTGCTACATAGTAAGTGCTTTATTTAAAAAAATCACAAAGTTTAATTAGGAGTCAAAAAAATACTCCAACTTATTGGGGGACCCCACCCCCGATAATTCAATGTTATTTCACATAGGTTCTTTTCTATTTCCCTAAGTGTCGGCCAGTCTGAGAAATAAAGGGAAAGAGTATAAAAAAGAGAAATTTTAAAGCTGGGTGTCGGGGGAGACATCACATGCTGGCAGGTTCTGTGATGCCCCCGAGCAGTAAAACCAGCAAGTTTTTATTAGCAATTTTCAAAGGGGAGGGAGTGTACGAATAGGGTGTGGGTCACAGAGATCACATGCTTCGAGGGTGACAAAAGATAACAAGGCAGAAGGTCAGGTCGAAACTAGAATCACTAATGAACTTCCATGTCCCGCTTTACATGCATTGTCAGGGTTCAAGAGCAGAGAACCAGTCTGACTAGAATTCGCCAGGCTGGAATTTCCTAATCCTAGCAAGCCTAGAGGTGCTGCAGGAGACTAGGGCATGTTTCATCCCTATCTACATCTACATAAGGCAGACACTCCCAGGGTGGCCATTTTAAAGGCCCCACCCTGGGAATGCATTCTTTTCCCAGGGCTGTTAATTATTAATATTCCTTACTGGGGAAAGAATTCAGCGATATTTCTCTTACTTGTTTTTGGTAATAAGAGAAATATGGCTCTGTCCTGCCAGGCCCACAGGCAGCTAGACCTAATGGTTATCTCCCTTGTTCCCTGAACATCGCTGTTATCCTGTTCTTTTTTCAAGGTGCCCAGATTTCATATTGTTTAAACACACATGCTTACGAACAATTTGTGCAGTTAACGCAATCATCACAGGGTCCTGAGGCGACATACATCCTCAACTTACAAAGATGACGGGATTAAGAGATTAAAGTAAAGACAGGCATAGGAAATCACAAGAGTATTGATTGGGGAAGTGATAAATGTCCATGAAATCTTCACAATTTATGTTCAGAGATTGCAGTAAAGACAGGCATAAGAAATTATAAAAGTATTAATTTGGGGAACTAATAAATGTCCATGAAATCTTCACAATTTATGTTCTTCTGCCATGGCTTCAGCCGGTCCCTCTGTTTGGGGTCCCTGACTTCCCACAACACAACTAATTATAACATCTTTATTTTTGCTCAGAGCATAGTCATTTGACAGCCAGAAAATCAAAAGAAAGTAGAAAATTGCAGGATGGGAAGGTAATCAGATGTCTGTTCAGAACTTATAAACTCAGTTTATATAATTGTGGAAATGCTCCAGACTGTTCCTGCATTTTTGTTTCCTATGAGGAAAGCCACTTATTGTACAAAACTTGTAAATTCTACTCTAATCAGTGATGTGGTGATGAAGTCAAGGGTATTTTTAAAAGCAAAGAGTGGATCTATTATTTATTTAGATACCTCACAGAAGACCTATTAAGAGTTAGATTCTATACTTTTTTAAAAAAAACAAAAAATTATGTAAGAATCAGAGCAATTTCTTCCACTTGAGGACCATATATATATATGTATGACTTTGTATGACTTTGTGTGACAATAATAAATATATTGTCTTCTGAAGCTGTGACATACACATATGAGACATATATATATATATATATATATATATATATATATATATATATGCTTTTAATATGTGCCATGCAGAAAATATGCAATGAGTGTGTTTTTATCTAAATGGGTTTTAACCCATTTATTCCCAACATTTATGTACTAAACTAAGTTGACTTTGGGAAGGAGAGTGAGGTTTGCCAAACTACTAATAATGAATCAGAAGGGTAGCCTTGCTGACATTTTACAAAATGCTTTCACATAGGCAATCTCATTTGTTATAACATCTCTGTGGGGCAGATAGTGTAATCACAGTGGTTTTACAGGAAGCCGAGACTTAAAGAAGTTGACTGACTTACCCAAGGCTAATTAACTAGAGAGTAGTGAAATAGAAGCATGTAATCACACCTTGATGCAGCTTCACCATGCCAATCAAAGGTATTTTATTTGATGTTATAAATTGGATGCAATCTTGACAAAGTTTATAGGATATTATCCCTCCAGCCGTGGACTTAAAAAAAATTTCTAGGTACCATTATTCTAAACATCATGGTCTTTGGTTGACTTGATGCCGCCACTCTTCATTATGCTCAGTATCCCTATTCTTTCTATGTGACTTTGTCATATCATCCCATTCTGGGCAGGGCTAGTTTCCTACTCCTGAGCTCAGTGGTATGAGTTGTTTTGGTCAATCCGCTGTTAGCAGAGGTGACATTAGGAGTCTTGAAAAGTGCTTGTGTGATTTGGCTGGCTTGCTCTTTTGCTTATTCTGTTGTCAAGAGAAAGCTTCCCTTGGAAAGAGGATGAGAAACAAGTGGGGCAGAACTGTCCCAGCTAAGGTGCCCAGTCAAGCCACAGCTAGGGCAGAGCCTCCAGCTTACTGCAAACATGTGAGCAAACACATCTGACACCAGCAGAAACACATTATCTATAATCCAAAAGTATCATGTTTAAAGCAGTTGAGCTCAGAACAAATCACTAGAACTTCAGAAATATTTGAGGAATAAAATTGTATCGTTGTTTCCCATGAAGAGCTTGTGGTTGTATGTTATGTATATTAAATTAACTGGTAAACAATCCAGAAACATGGCAATATGATTCAACTACTAATTCCTTCATCTTGACCCAGTTGTATATTTTATTTGCCACCCCTTCCTTTCAAATTTTTAAGATATCAGAAGCTTCTCACAATGAATGATACAATATTCTGATTAAAAGATTGTTCAAACATGGAAAAATTAAACATGCATTTCATAATCCCCCAAAACTTTACTGAACTGAGTCAATGGGTATAGAGATATTTACTGATCATTCAGATATTGAGGGTGCACAAATGGGAAGAAGGATAAATTGCATTCCAGTGAGATTTAAAAAAAAAGCTCAATGACAGGGCGATCTTATCAGTTCAATTTCTGATAAAGAGAGCTCCCTGGAAAAGGGATATTTGTGTATGAAAGATCACAGTATGTACTGTGCTAACACAATCTAAAGTGACAGCTTATGGTCTCTAAAAATTATAATTTTTCAAGCTACTGCATGTGCTTGACATTTCAGACCCTAGTGCCTTTTATTATTAGGAAATGTCTCCAAAAAGAAATGAGCAAAATTTAGCAAAGAGTCAATTTAATGATCTCTCAGAGGGCAATTGAGTATTTGGTGTTGCTAGAACAGCAGCTGGAAGTAGCTCATACCATCTGCTGTAATTAATTTACAATTAAGATCCTGTAGCTGATCTTAATTCATAAGTTTTTAGATTCTTAAATACTAATATAAAGGGAAAAAAGCCTGAACAGATTGAAGCAGTTATATGGGCAAGGTTGAGAGGAAATGTGACTTGAGCTTTGCTCTGTAAAAGGAAGTGTCACCAGATCTAAGTATGTGTTTCTGCTGGGAGTCCTTGGACCTTTCATGGCACATACCTTTCTCTTTTTACATAAGTGTAGATATTCTCTCCCGACTGCCAACTTTGTATAACGTGACATCCATCACTTTCCTACTACATCACATTATTCCTGGGTATTTGACTGACATTGACAAAGACATTCTTTATAGGCCTAAAAAATAAATAAATATGATAGTAAAATTGCAGCAAGAAAAAACAAATAATTACAAAAACACACTTTATTCTTTGGTGTTTAGATCCTCAAATTAGTCTTCTAGAAAAAGGGTTTCTATATGCCTTTGTCCTACTGTAACAGACTATCACAGACTAGGTAATTTATATTATAAAGAACAAAATTTTATTTCCCACCATTCTAGAGGCTGGGAAGTCCAACATCAACATGCCAGCATCTAGTGAAATCCTTCTTGATGTGTTCTCACATAGTGGCAGGCAGAAGGGGAAGAGATAACCAACTCCCTGAGCCAAGCCACTTTATAATGGCACCTAATCACATTCAGAAGAGGGGCACCCTCATGGTCTATCACCTCTTAAGGGACCTACCTCTTAATATTATCATGTTGGCAACACCTGGATTTTGGAGGAAACACATTCAAACTATAGCATTATGCCTTTAAAAGAATTTTTTAAAACATGAAAAGTATTTTTAATTTGTTTTTAAATAAATTATTTTTTTCCAGGGGAACAAGTTATCTATAATCAGTATCTGTTGAAATATCTTGGGAATAGCATTGACTAATGCTTTGCATTTATTCTAATAGCTTTTTTTAAAAAAATTTCCCTCTCTAATGTTATGCTGTTTTAGAAAGAAAATATAGCTTTCTGACAAACAAAAAGGCCCACCAATTTTTATGCCATTGAAATAATTCAAATGCTGAAATATTTCCAAAAGTTATTTGTTCTTAACATGTAAGGAACTCTAATACATGAAAATGGAGATTTGACCTTTTTTAAAAAAATAGGCAACAAAAACATGGAGATGTTTATTTGAAGGTCTTCTCAGTAGCATATTGTATAGAAGAACAATGTGGATAATAAAAAATTAGAAAGAAGATATAGCAGAACACATAAGAAATATAATATTGCTTGAGGTAAAGCAAAATTATACAAAAGGAAAGTATTATTTTTGCCCTTCAAGGAATTACCCTAAAAAAACTAGGTTCAATAAAACAAGTTTTCCTGTTTTGTTCTTAACTGTTCATCCCCTAAAATCTCAATCCATTTTCATATTCTTAGACTCATTAGTTAGATTAAAATTGTGGTTACTCAACAAACCACAGCATTTCAGCCATGATTTATCAGTGCCCTGCCAAATAAATAAATAAATACCTATTGGTAAATATCAGTAGGTATTGTCTTACCTACTGGTAAAACCAAATCCCACATTACAAAGTCCTTTGATAAGGATTCTTGATTGCAATCCTTGATTGCAGGTATGCAAGTGGACAGTGATATCTAGTATCAATGGTACTTACTCTACTTTATAATGCAAATAAATTTGATTAAAATTCTATCCCATATGTAGTTGAAAAACTGAAATTCTGATATTTAAATTTCTCCCAGAATTTGCTTACAATCTTACATTTTTCCTGGTTTCACCATCCAATGCCTTATAAATTAATTCCATATAGTATTTTGTCTTTGCATTTTTTTACCATAACTATCAAAAATAAAAAATAAATATTCATTGCATAAGGTTTGTATGCATGTGTATATGCACGGAACAGGTTTTACACAAGACCTATGGAGATAAAAGATTTTGAATCCCTGTGTGATTCTACTTCAGAAACAAAATGACTGAGTAATTGTGTGAGTAGTTGCTGTTTTCTGAATGGTTCCAGAATCTAAAACATATTTTCAATTGATGAATTATGAAATGTGGTTTCCTCTGTGGAGTTGTGATGAAGAATCTGAAGATGTTGTAAACCAAAAGATAAAGCAATATTTTCCCTCTAACTGTTCTCTTTAACATGACCATCTTGTATTTGCTTCTCTCATTTATAAGGATTCTATTATGTCTTTACAATTTAGGCTGTGGCTCTTTACAATGAATTTTTGAGTTTCGTGAGAAGAATGTTCAGTCCAAAGTCATAAGGAAAGAATTATGGGCAATCAAATCAGTCAAAAACTGTCAGCTGGGGGTTCGGGTTATATACTATGAGAAAATATTGATTTTACAAGCATCAAAGGCCATATATCTATTCCAACCCAGTTACAGCTCTTGTATGAAAATGTATCTGTGGATTTAGGAGAAAGCATAGCGTAGTGTCTGTAGCCTGCAATTAAATTATGTAGGTCTTAATTAGCTATGAAATTGCAATATTGCAGTTGCAAAATGGAGGAAATAGTAGTTCATATATCATCACGTTGTGAAGATTAAAGGAAATAATGCATGGAAGTATTAAGAACAGATACATGATAAGTGCCAATAAACTATAGCAATTTTTACTTTTAAATATTTTAGTATGATTCAGGGAATGAAGACAAACCTACAAAATTAATATATATATTTGGTTTATTCTACTTGGGTATAATTATATTTACAAATGAGGAATTATAAAATGTGGTTTCTAAACTTACTTCCAAAACTCACAAGGTGCATGGCCTCAAGTGTGTAATTTACACCCCCACGCCCACACCAACATCAGTTTATTTACCTGTATGTTACAAGATGGTATCTCCACCGATCTGAAGTCTAAAATTACATAAATTAATTTTGTGCTCAGAATTCTTCTAAATACAGTCCCTGAGGTTATTTATAGTCTGTATTTGACACATTTAAATATAAATATATATATTCATACCGTTTTTTTCTGTGAAAAACAGCATATTTAATTACACAGTGCTGGAGTTATATATATAAGATATGCATCACATTACCTTCCTAAAACAACAAAAATACCTGAATATGAACAAAATGGACTCAAGGTTTTGGGATAAGGTAGTGTAGAATTCTGATAAGATATAGATAAGATAATGATTTAGTTTGCCCAAGAAAGTCCCAGTTTACGCCTGTTGCCTTAGTGTATTAGCATCCTATTAATACTCAAAAGTATCTAGTTTGAATAATAAAGTATATGGTCACCCTTCAAGAAAGAAATACAGTTCATGGTTCATACTTTCAAAAACATTACCAAATAAATGAAGAGAAAAAACAAAATATTATGTGACGCAGTTGGAATAACGGTTCTCAATGAAGAAGGTACTCTCCCAGGAGGTTTTTTTTGGAAATTTGTGGGTGTGTTGTGAATTATCACAATAATAATAAGACACATTGACTCTTAGTAAGCAGGAGTCAGTGTGATATTAGACACAGTGCAGTTTATAGGGCTGTCCCACACAAATAAGATTTCTCCCTGTTCCTTAGAACTTTCAAGTGCTCAACAGGATAAAATCCACTACCAATATAAAGTGGCTACACTTTGGTAAAAAGATAAAATTTCAAAGCTATCTTTATATGAAAACCAACTATGAACATAAACAGCAAATCAGGAAAGATTATAGCTGAGGAAAGGTTAAATAGATATTGTCTTCCAATTATTAAATTAAATACTCATGCTGCACATATTACATACCCAGGATATGTCTGTAGCAAGAGATCTGTAAGTTTAATTAAACTGGCCGGTGAAATTTTCATACTGATTTAAGAATTTTCACTTGCACTAGTATTATATTAGTTATGATTGGTGACTTGCAATGGTTAACCTGTATGTAGTAGTATTGACATGAAAAGTCTCCCAGAAAATAGATCCCCAAATCTGGCAATTCTGGAAAGTTTGCAAAACATGTCATGCTTTTTCATTGTCTCCACTTGGAAAACCTATCATTTGTTTTAGCAAGTTATCCTTTCTATAATTAAGGTAATGTTTCTTTGTTTCTTATATTCAAATAAGTCTCTTCTATAGCTAATTTTCCTAACATTAGTTTTTATTCTAGTATCCTCCTGTACTTATTCTCTTCATCTGTACTTCTTGTGTGGAATGGATTCTTATGTTCATAATTCCCTTAATTAACTGCTTGCACATTAATCATTTTGATGCAATCAACTATTTCATTATATCTATTTCATTCACGATATAAAAGGAAATGATTCATAATAAAATTACATACTTTTTAAATTTAAATTATCGAGCATGTTTATCTTACTTGTATATATATATTACATACCTTTTTTATTTAAATGACTGAGCATGTTGAACAAAGCAAAGTCCGGATGAAACCTTTGAGTTAATGAAAGTTGCCAGGTGCAGTGGCTCACGCCTGTAATCCCAGCACTTTGGGAGGCTGAGGCAGGTGGATCACCTGAGGTCAGGAGTTCGAGACCAGCCTGGCCAACAGGGTGAAACCCTGTCTCTACTAAAAATACAAAAATTTGCTGGGTGTGGTTGCACACGCCAGTAATCCCAGCTACTCAGGAGGCTGAGGCAGGAGAGTCTCTTGAACCCAGGAAGTGGAAGTTGCAGTGAGTCGAGATTGCTCCATAGCACTCCAGCCTTGGTGACAAGAGCGAAACTCCATCTAAAAACAAACAAACAAACAAACAAACAAACAGGAAAGTGAGATACAATCAACTCTGTTATTTACTGAGGCTTGAGCTGCCTCTCTCCCCATGTCAAAGCCAGAAGCTTTTGTTGTATAAAGACCCATTCAGTCTCTCAGCTGGAAAAGAAAGCTGAGTCAAAACCTCAAGTTAGATTTGATATCTGCCAGGTAGAGTCAACCCTCCGATCAACAACTCCCTCTTTAACCCTATTTCTTCTTTTTCATAGGTACATCTAAGTGCATCTCTAACAAAGTAGCAATTAAGCATATTCCCCTTCACAACCACTCACACAGAGATATTCCCATTTTTGCAGAATAGCTTTAAAGAACAAAAACTTAGAATATCAAAGAAATATTTACATAATTGTAAAGTAGGTTGTCATAGATAGTGAGAATATTTTGTCAGTGTGTTTTCTTGTCTATTTTGTGTGGTGGTGTGCAATACTCATTCTCTAATTCAAATCACAAGAGAAAACAACATGTTTACATGAACACAGTTTCTTCATCATTTAATTTCAGTGTTTGTTTTAGCATAATAAAATCTGCCATTACCAAATATAATTATCTACCATACCCACCAGAGTTGGCATTACAAAATTTGGCCTGGTTCCATAAATTGAATTCATTCTCAATTTTTAAAAACGCTACGGATAATGACCAAAAGAATATATAAGTCTATAAAGGCATTTTCCACAGGAAAGCATTTCTGAGTTATAAGAGAATCACTGGAAGAGTGTTAAGAGAATCACTGGAAGAATCACTGGAAGAATGTTTTAACATCCCAATAGGATTCGTTTGACTGAGGCTAAACTCACATTAGTTTTTAACTACTTTATTTAAAAAAAAAATGCATCATGAAATTTAAATTGAAGTTTCATGACTATTGATATGTGTTACATGTTCTAAAATTTGGCATGTCTATTCATGTCTGGCCATGAGAATAGTGAAAAACCCACCAAAACAGAAATCAAGATGATCTCTTACTTTTGGAGGTTTGTACCATGATCCTTGTAAAAGTCAGGGTGGGTCCATGACAGTCTAGGACCAATTTGTGCCTCCACGGGTGTGTGTTACCGCAACAATTTAGTTTTCTTCTCCATATATTTTGGTTTACAATGAATGTGAAATTTTACCTAACTAAACTATGGTAACTTAGGAGCCAATAAAAAAACTTACTGAAAAGGTAAGATGACTAAAAATTAAGATAATTTTTTTCTGAATGAAAAAATTCAGGAAAATCAACAAACTGTTAAACCAATAACTTTTTTCTCACTTTCTGCTTCATACCAGGAGCTGTTAGTTTATAGCTAAAAAGCTTGCAGGTGATTGTTTTTATGTAAGTCAAATACTAAATTGTGACTAGGGTCTTGAAAGCTTCTGCATAGCCACTCATGCAACTGAAAATCAAAGTTGTAATCGAAAGTTTCAAATCCAAGAAAATCCCAATGGAATCGTTTAAGATCTAACAGCCTGGATTAACACCTGCAGTACCACCATCTGTGAAAATTTCACCCAGAGTGATGAACTAGATCTGGGTGAAATTAATGGTTAAAACTTGTAGGCTTTGACCCTAATATTGACCAAGAGGAGAAAGACTGAAAGATTATATTTTCATGAAGTGTCTTAAATATTCCTGTTCTCCTAAGGTTTTTTCAGGTTCCATTCACCTCTCATGAAAGATTTCACTTGGCCATGAGTAAATACGTTTTGAGAAATAAACACCAATGCATTTCTCAAGGAAATCTGCAGGGTCTGTTTCTGCTGGTTCACAACAACCAATAACATGTTTTGATAAAAACTTGAATGCCAAAGTGCTGGAAACTTTGTTGTGGTTTGGTATTTCTGTTTTTCTTTAGAGTGGCCCCAACCCCCACTCCCTGTTAAAAAAAACCTTCTGTGCTTAATTAATTCAAAGTAGTACCTTGGAGGCTGTCTTACTTGCTAAGTAAATAAAGAAAATAAGAAAAACCTTTCAATCCTTGAGTTTCCTTGTTTATTTCATCACCTTCAAGTTCCATGGGGGAAATAGGTAATGCAATGGTCTGAATATTTGTGTCCCTACAAAATTTATATATGAAATCCTATCCTCAAGGTGATGGTATTAAAATGTGGGGCATTTAGGGAGGTGAGGTTGGGTCATGAGGACAAAGTCTTCAGGAATGGAATTTGTGCCCTTATAAAATGGGCTCAGAGAAGCTTGTTTGTTCCTTCCACCACATGAGAACATGGCTGTAAGGCGACACCTATGGACCAGTAAACAGGCCCAGATATCAAATCTGCTGGCACCTTGATCTTGGACTCTCTAGCCTCTGAATTATGATAAATAAATTTCTGTTGTTTATAAGCTACCCAAGTTATCATATTGTTTTATAGCAGTCTGAACAGACTAAGGCAAGCAGAGTTCTAGTATGGATAAAATTTTACAAATGAATGCTGCAATCCTAAAGTTATTGCACTATAAGCAAAATTTATAAATTACAAAGCAATTTGCTGATGAATTTAGAACAGGGATGGATTGGAAAAATTCTATTAATACTTCATAAAGTATTATTTGAACACAGAGTACCAGGAATGTCTATTAAATTATTTTGCTATTATTTTGTTACTTAGCGGTAGCAGATGATTTAAAGAAAGCAACAGTGGTAGTAGAAGTTTTAGTTTTTCAGTTTGTATTTTGAAACACAAACTTTAGCCACAGTAACTTTCAATGACAAAAAGAAAAAAATTAAAGTAGCATCTTTGTACTACCTACCTAGAGCCAGACCATGTGTTTTTGTATTTTTCATTCCATATTCTACAGATGAGAAAATTGAGGCTCAAATCCCTGTTTAAGTTTAAAGACATGTGTTTCCAAAGCCCTTGACTTTTTCACTACAGCCAGATGAGACAAATAACCAAATAACTTTATCACAGTAATAATTTCAGCCATTCAATGACAGACAGGACTACTAGAGGCAGGAAGATGGGAGGGGTGAATGGGTTGAAAAACTGTCTATTGTGTACTATGCTTACTACCTTGGTGACAGGATCATTCATACACCAAACCTCAGTGACATGCAATCTACCCACATAACAAACCTGCACACATACCTGTTGATTCTAAAATAAAAGTTGAAAAAAATATAATTGCAGCCATGAATTACTGAGTAAATAGGGCAATCATTTTTAGGAAAGGAAAATGTATCCATTACTATTGAACAGTTAGTTTGCCACAGGGGTTATAATGGGCAGCTTCGCATATAATAACTCACTATTATACAAATAAGAAAACTAAGCTGTGGAGAACTTAAATAATATGCCTGATATCACACGGCAGGGATTCAAACCTAGTTCTTTATAACTCCAAAAGCAATTCTGCACTTCCTACATCAAGTGAAAGCTCCAACAGCTTGAGTTAAAACAAGTATAATTTGTTTTAACTATGGTTAGCCACTGTTATTGAAGCTAACCTATTAACTTGGAAAATGTATACATTCTTTTATGCAAAAATCGCAAAATATATAACATGTAACTAACGATATGGATAAAGGACAGGAAAATGCTGGAGCACAGATTCAGTAATTTCTGGTGTCCCTCTCTCCCTCACTTATAAGCATGCCGAAAGAGTGTGGAGTCTAAGAATATTGGTCTACAGACTTTATTTCTGCAAAGATATAATTTAAAAAACTATTACTTCTATAGAAAATCCATTCTTCTTTCTGGTTTATTTTATCTTTCTTAGTTAATATTAAAATCAGATCAATTTTTAGTATGAAGGTCATATGTGCCTTATGTTGCCCTGTCTTCATTAGTTCTTCTGTGTAAATGACATATGAATGAGAGTGCCTTTAAACCTCAGAACTGTGCTTGAAGTGGTGATCTTGTTTTTTTATCACAAGCTCTAAAAATTGTGTAAACACTTTCCTATGGTTTCCAATTGTACTAAAGTGGAGAGCCTCAATTATGTTAAAATTGCCTTCCAGTTCACTTGATTTCAATTCATCTATTGACCATTATGGCTAGTGGTTGGAGATGCGTAGATGAAAAAGCATTGCCTTTCCAGCTGTCTTTCAAGAGGCTGGTGAGTAAAGGATGATTGCCATCTGACGTGATAAGAAATGAGATAGGAAGGTGTAGAGGAAATGAGGAAGGCACAGAAAACTGGAACCTACTAACACTTTCCAGGACAAAACTTGAACAGATGACCCAGATTCCTGAGTGTTGGGTTTTCTCATAGTTAGCATCTTAGCCATTACCTCTAGTAAATTTAGACACACAGATTGACTGAGTTTACTTACATAAATTTATCTGTCATTTCCATGATTGTTCCCTTTTTGGATAGCAAAGAAGAGAAGGAAGACTGTTTTCATTGGTTTGTATGATGATGACTCATGAATAGCTGACATCACTTTATGAATGAACAGTACTGGCATATTTGCATGACAACCTGTGTGTTTATGTGCAGTGCATATTGGTTTAAAATTAGTCTATATTTGTGGCTTTGTAGTGCTGCTGTTGCAGTCTTTCTGCTCCTTAAGTCAGCTAGGTCCAAGCTATTGTCTCACAACCAGGAAGAATTAGGCAGGTGTGCATGGGAGAATGAGTGGTGTAGAATTTATTAAGCAAAAGGGAAGCTCTCAACAAAGAGGGGAAGCAGGGTTGGGAGGTGTTTCCCCTACCCAAAGGCGGGAAAGCCCCCCATGTGACTGGGTCCAAGGCCCTTTATAGACTCAGAATGTGAAGTGCATGCTGATTGGTTTGTGAGTATGCACAAACATAGCAAAGCAAAGACAACACACAAAGCTGGGCATGATAGTGTAGAAAAACCATTTAGGAAAGGGTAGGTATTTGTAAAATAGGTGAAGGGTGGGAACCAATCAGAGAAAAGCACATCGAACAGGAAGACCAAGTTCTCAATCTTGTCCGAGGATTTAACTTGTAGCTTGGCTTTCAGGGTTTAAACTGTCTTTGGCTTGGAGGTTGGGTTTCACCAGGGACCTGCTCCTATCTGCCTAGGCATTTGGCTGCCTCCTGCCATTCTCATTTTCCCCCTCTGAAGAGGTACACCTAACTGCCATTAGAACAGGGACAAAGACAGATCTTAACTGTTTTCCTGCTGACAGGAGACACTGTTTTGGGACAACATCAGTCAGATCTCTCTCAGAGGCCTATCTAAGGGTCCCCAGTAAAACAGAGGCATTGTTTGAGGCTCTGGTTTCATGACTCTTTGGAGTTTGATGGCCTGAAGGTGAGAAAAGACAAACCAGGTTATTAGAAGACATGTATCAAAAGGAAACAAGGGGGTAAGCCAAGCATGGGGCTTGACTTTGGTTAGCTCCGTTGGTCTTATTTTCCCAAACAAAGAAACCTCTGGATTATGAGCACCCTACCTGGCAGGATTTGCAGGATAATTGGCCAGAATGAGAATATTGATCTAGATTTTTACATTACCCATCCCTTTTGTTTCTTCTGAACTACAGCCAGAGATCACTGGTTGGTTCACAGAAATAAGCAAGGTTAGTTTAAAAGGTAGGCAAAAACTTAAAAACAACTAATGAAACTAGAATTTAATTACAAGTATATGATAAGATTTGAAACATAATTTTTCTCCCTCCAGTCCTCATTTTTATCAAAACAATACCCTCAAATACCTATGAGTTGGGTAAATTCTTCTCATCTTGTGGTCTCAAGATAGCATGGGGCTGCTGGGCCTGTTAGAAAGTGACATTCCTTACTCACCACAGGTTAGGAACCCTGTACAGTGACTGTGTTGATAAGGTATGAAGCCAATTTTCCCAAGGGGTTTTTATTGGCTCTGCAAGTCAAGCTGGATTCCATAAAGGGAAGCACACTCTCATAGTCAAAGTCTTGGTAAAACAACCAGTTTCTTCAATTGTGTCCTGTTGCGAAAGAAAATAGATTCTTATGGCACTGATGCAAATAACCATATTGCCATAAGTTAAGAATACTCACAAATAGTTTCCAAATTCTGGAGAAGCCAGACAGAGAGAAACAAATATGCTCCAAATTTTATTCACAGGATTAAACCTTGTTAAAAGCTATAGATAGCTCAAAAAAGTTTCCTTGGCTCTGATAAACAAAAGAAAGATCAGCAGTGTTTTAAGCAAAAAATAAAAAATATTACTTCAGTATTCTGTTAGTTCAGTCCATTCAGTTAACTCATATTCTGCTTGATATTCATGAGCGTTTCAGCTCTTCAAGAGTACTATACATTTTTTCTTTGTTCCATTGTCACAATCTCCAAAGATATCAGAAATCTGTGTTTAAGAGCACCTGTCAAAGTCCTGTAGCTTATTATAAACCAACTTTTGGAAATAATCAAAGCAATACAACAATTGTCTATGAATGACAAAATATCAGGGTAGTTATAGTCAAAAAAATGATTGACAAAGAAGA
Source organism: Homo sapiens (assembly GCF_000001405.40). Taxonomy (NCBI): domain Eukaryota; kingdom Metazoa; phylum Chordata; class Mammalia; order Primates; family Hominidae; genus Homo; species Homo sapiens. The sequence continues at coordinate 209,004,917 of NC_000002.12, read as the reverse complement.
CTTTTACTCTTTTGCTGGTATGTCAGGCTTCTGGGTTCCCTTACCCCAAGCTCAGTTTTAAGCCAAGTAGTTTAAGGTGCGGAGAAAGTAACTTTTCCCAGTTTGGAGGATGCATCCAAGGAAAGGATTCTGTGCTATGGAGACACAATTACCCATCTGCAAAGAGAGGACAGAGGAGGAAAATGAGAAAGAAGGCTTTTTTTTGTTTGTTTTTTTAAAAGGAGTCTCAGTGATTCAAGAAGCTTTCAAGAGAGAAGTACAGACTGAAGATGATTGGTTACCCATTTAGAAAGTGGGGAACAAGGCACCCCTAGTTCTTTTCTCTTCCCAGCGAATACTCACAGTACATGAGGGACAGAAAGAAGAGGCATCCATGGGTGCCAGTGCAGCTTTCACCCATGTTAACAGGAGGCCTAGAGGGTGGGAATTATCTGCGTTTACCACATGCTGCCTTTCCTTCATGCTGTCAGTAACCTTTGAGTTCCTCAGACCTCATTTATGCCATGGATACTAGCATGACCTCTATCCATGAAATGAGGGATGCTAATTGGCAGGAATCACTTATGCTTACCCGCACCATGCCCCTTGACTTCTGTTGTTGTCTGCCTCTGGATCCCTCAATCCAGTTTTTCTTACTAGGGCTTCAACTCAAAGCTTGGAATTGAGTTTGGGGCAAGAAGGTTCCTCAGGAGGGCTCATGGGCTCATTAAGTTCCAGGTTGCCCTTGCCAGACTGCAGCCAGCAGCTGGCAGAGTCACTCCTCCACTGCTTCCTTATCATAAGTCAAATGCTAAGGTAAAGCTGTGGAGCTGGATCCTCCTCAAACAAGGGAGAGAAAAGGGCATCCCATGAATTGGGGTCCTGGCCTAGTAAAATGCCATTCAGAAAGAGAAAACCTCTCACATAGAAAAGCTCCCTGTATCTGTTAACTCCTGACATGGTGGAGAAAAGAAAAAAAAAAAAGCTTAAGTGCAGGGTGGGGAAGGTTCCTGGGAGGAAAAAAACTCTTGCTCTATGCAAATGGGTTCCTTCAACAAGGGAAAGTCTCTTAATTGCTGTACCCTCCTTGCCTCTAAGAACAGACAGAAATCACTTTGTTCTGAACTGCATATCTGGTGGCTGGGCCAAATGCTCAATCTACTTAGTAATATCTCTACAATTTGCAGCAACACGCTTAACGTTGTAAAAGAAGAAACTGGTGCCACGACAGCCTTGAAGAAGAAAAATGCCATAGAAAAGTCTGGATTGGAACAAGGCTGACATTCCCAACCCCTCAGAGCGATGTGGGTCAGGGGGTGTCGGGGTCCTCTCCAGCATCCTGCCCTCTGTAGCTGCATCATTCATTCTTAATTGGCTCACGAAAGGTTCAGTGTTTCATCTACCTTCAGAAAAATATCTGAGGACAAGAAGGCTCGGAAACAAATGTGAAAGAGGATTTGGGTCCACATTTACTCACCCTCCAGGTAGTCCCATACTGGCCACCAAAATGTCATGGTCTTTCTGCTCTTTAGCTCAGCTAGGTCCAAGTTCTTGTCTCACAACCAGGAGTAATTAGATGCACAGACATTGAAGAGTGAGTGGGGTGGAATCTATCAAGCGAAAGAAAACCTCTCAGCAAAGAGGGGACACAGTGGGGTGGTTCCCCTGTTCAAAGGTGGGAAAGTCCCCGATATGCCTGGATCCAGGGTTTTGTTTTTTTTTTTTTTGAGACGGAGTCTCACTTTGTCGCCCAGGCTGGAGTGCAGTGGCACGATCTCGGCTCACTGCAAGCTCCGCCTCCCAAGTTCACGCCATTCTCCTGTCTCAGCCTCCCAAGTAGCTGGAGATCTGGGGCCTTTTATGGACTCAGAATGTGGAGTGCATGCTGATTGGTTTGTGAGTATGCAGAAAAGGTTAAAGCAAAGAAACCACTCAAAGGTGGGCATGTCAGTATAAAAAACCAATTAGGAAAGGGTAGGTATGTATAAAAATAGGTGAAGGGTGGGGACCAATCAGAGGAAGGTGCACCAAAGGGAAAGACAAGTTCTCAATCGGTCTGAGGATTTAACCTGTAGCTTGGCTTTCAGGCTTTAAACTGTCTTTGGTTTGGAGGTGGGCTTTCACTGGGGACCTGCCCCTATCTGCCTAGGCATTTGGCTGCCTCCTGCTGCTCTTGCTGCTTTTTCATAAATTCTGTGAAGAGTCAAACATTTTAGTTCATCTAATTCCAATTATTAAATAACCATGTTATTTTGCTCCTGCATTACCAAGTGGAAATGGTTTTTCAGAAAACAAACCAGTATCCTAAATTTCTTACTGAAGCAATTATCTGGAAGGGCAGACTTAGGTAAAATTAAGTGACTAGAATAAATTAGGACAAACTGACCCCAAATTAGAATTTTAATTCTGATTTGCCCAGTTGCAGAGTTAAGCATCCTATATGCTAAAGACGGATACAGAAAGCATAGGTTTTGATAAAGTCAAGAATGGGGCCTAGTTAAATACATAAAATGTTGCTCAACTTCATTCATAATAATGTTAAATGACCCTAAAATGCCATTTCTGGCCTATCATATTGACAACATATGACACAGTGTAAACTCATGCATTTCTTTAAACAAAATATTTTCTATTACTCGTCACTGAAAGAAATCTAGAAACAAGGCTACTTGTTAAAATAGCTGACTCTGTAATAACTAGGTCAGAAATATACATGTTGATCCAGGAATATCTTGTTATAGCTAAAACCAAGAAGCATAGTGAAGATTGCTTTGGATAATATCAAAAGGGCTTGAGAGCCAACTTGAAGATGCTCCCATTGGACAATTTAAAAATAGAAAAGAATAATAACTACAACAGATTAAACACATCACATGTATTTAAACTCATGATTTACAAATGATACTGAATAAAGTACTAATTGGTCACTTTTTGAAGAAGCTAAGGAATTAACTCATTACCTTTGACTTCACTATTTTTCACAGTAGTGAATGTTCATCTTTCCTTTCCAATACACATAGTACTCAGGATATCTAAATAGTTAATGAAGCAAAGTTTTTTGTTTATTAATAAATTAGAAAGAAAAGATACAATTAGAAAAAAATTATTCTATCAAAACGTTAAAGAAAATAAACAACCTAGGAGACAACCTTCAATGACAGCAAAACAACCCTCAAGGATGGCTAAAGAATAATAGGTAAAAAATGATGAGAGAATTTATAATAAATGGGTCAGGCTGACTATGTTGGAACCAAGTAATAAATTGGTTCATTGTAAAAAAAAATAGAGTTATACCAGACATAACATAATAATACTGGATGGATGTATACAACATTGTCCATAAAATATTCATGGCCAAATAAATATACCAACACATGAGACTTGAATTTAATCAACTTTTTAGATGAGCACTTTCTAATAGAATTTTTTGTAATGATGGAAATGTTCTATATCAATGATGTCAATACAGTAGGCCATTAACCACATATATTATTGCACACTTGAAATATAGCTGATTAGTGAGAAATTGAATTTTTATTTTGATTTAATTCATTTGTGTTTAAATTTAAAAGTCACATGTTTAGTAGCTACTGCACAGGAGAGTGCAACTGGATCTAAATACAGTCAAAGGACAGAATGGCAAGGTAAATGACACCAGGGAAAATCAGTCAGCAAAATCCAGGCTATGAGAACTACTATAGGGTAAATAGTCAACTTTTTTCAACAAATTACCTAAAAAGGGGCAAAGGGCACAGGATGAGATTAGATACTAGCAAATGTATAGGAGATGCGGTAAGAAGAATAATAGTCCCCAAAGATATCTACATACTAATCCTCAGAACTCATGAATATGTTACATTGGCAAAAGAGCCTTTGTAGATATTAAACTACAGATCTTGAAATGAGAAGATCTGAAATGAGTATCCTGGATTATGCAGGTGAATTTAATGTAATTAAAAGTATCATTGTAAATGAAAGATGGAGGTAGGAGAGTCAGAGATGGAGACGTGATGAAGGAAGCAGAGGTGGAAGTGATGTGGTTGTTGAGATTGAAAGCAGCAGGGTGCTATAAGCCAAAAAATGCAGGCAGTTTCCAGAAGCTGGAAAAGCAAAAGAAATGAAATCTCCCCTCAAACTTCCAGAAGGGATGCAGCTCTGCCAATAGCTTGATTTTAGCCCAGTGAGACTCATTTCAGACTTCCAGTATTCAGAACTTAAGATAATACATTTGTGTTGTTTTAAGGCATTATGTTTGTGGTCATTTGTTACAGTAGCAATCAGAAATAATACAGGAGACACATGAATCAAATGCAATGTGTGGATTTCATTTGCATACTGATTTCAACAAAATGTGCTAAGGAATTTACAGAATAGTCAACAACTCCATCCTAAAGTAAATGACAGGAAAGGAATAGTTTGACAATTCACCTCAGTGTGCACAATTTTTTGAAACCAACCAATCAGCATCAGCCCCTTGCAAATTAGGAACAGGCTCACTCCAATAGCATGCCTATGAGTGTCAACCAACCCATGAGTGTCAGCCAACCCACGAGTCTCACCCAAGTAACATATTCCATAAATTATGTCAATCTACTTACCATTCTTAAAGTCTGCCAAACCATGCTTCCCATAACTCCACTCTTATCTGATATAATACTAGCAGTCTACCCTGCTAGGTGAAATGATCAGACAAGCATAATTATTCTTAACTGTAACAAGCAATAAATTCCTCCATTTCTTTTTATTTCAGGCATGGATGGGTGTTTACATCATTTTTTACAACAGTGGAGTTTGCACTATTGCTTTGAAAATCCTTGCTTGACAGCATTCCAGGCACACATTAGGAACAGACAGTCCACCCACCAGGCACATTTACTTCTTGTGCCAGAACTCCATCTGTATTTCGAAACTGCTGGTAAGTTAGCTGGTTTCAACAAAATTATGATCTTTGCCTAATTTATTTGAGTTCTCGTTACTGGATTTATTTTGTTTTCCTAGGATTTGTAATCAATTAGATATTTGTGTAAGACATTGCTTTAAGGTAATAGTGATGCAGGACAGGCAAGCCCCCAAACTGGGGCTTAGCCCAGGAGGGTTCTTGGCTTTGCCCAGGGAAGAATTCAAGGGCAAGGCAGTGTTGTTAAACAGCAACTTTCATTGATGCTGCAGTGCATGGCAGCAGCAGAGGTACTGCTCCTTGCAGAAAAAAGCTACCTCATAGGCAGCGTGCCCAGAGTAGCAGTTCAGAGGCAGTTCTGAACTCATATTTATACCCAATTATATCCACAATTATATGCACATTAAGGGTAAGTGTATGCAGAAATTTCTAGAAGGAGGGTGGTTAACTTCTGGGTTGTCAGGTCATTGCCATGGAAAGGGATGGAAACTTCCAGATGTTGCCATGGCAACGGTAAACTCACATGGCATACTCGTGGGCATGTCTTTTGGGGAGATGCTTTCACATTGGACCTCTTTTAGCTGGTACTCAATTTGGTCTGGTGTTCAAACCCTGCCTCTGGAGTCTAGCCTGCCTCCTACCTCAATAGGAACTAGCTCTTTCTATAATTAGACCTCTTTAGTAATGTACCACTGATAAGTAATTTTATCTAAATATTAATATATTAGCCTTTTTGTTTTGGAGATATAATATTTGTTAAATATCTTTAAAATTAACCTGATTATTATTCTGCTATTTGCTTTTCTTTTGCTGTTGCTCGTTTATATGGGCAAAGTCTTATTTCATGTTGTTTTTGTTTCTCCCGGATTGCTTATTTCCGTTGAGTATACAATGTAGTGATCCAGAGGGAATAGATAATGGCATAAAAACTCTTGGTCTCCAATCAAATCCACACTGGCCCTGTGGTTTAAGAATAGGAGGTCCATTAGATTGGTAACATTTTGTGGAAAATCTACTGGTCAAACTTTGCTTTGATCTCATACAAAACTTCATGAGGGCACTCCCCTGTTTTGCTGGTTTATGAAGGAACGTCACTCTGCTTAGTCTGCATTCCAAGATCCATAATTGTTGAGTTATTGATTTTATAGCCCCTTCCTAACCTTTGCTTGGTGAAGGAACCCACGACACTATTCATTAGCCCATCTATTGACTACCATAGTAACATGATTTTCTTATTCAGAAGGATTTATGTATCTCAGTCTCCACCTCCTCCAAGAAGAACTCTTGCTATGTAAACAAATTTGCACTAAAATTTAATTATTGAACTTTCTTTAGTACAGAACAAGACAAAATTGTCATAGAGTAACAATGATCATCATGGAAAACATTTTTTGACTTATAAAAATCAATAAATCAATACATTTAAGCAGGCCTTTATAAAAATGAGGCAATACAACATCTAACAGTCAATATCAGCTTCTTTAATTGGTGTGTTGAAGACTCAGACAAAATTTTAACTCCAAGAGAATTTCTTTCAAGTATTTTTTAATCTAGTAAAACCGATCCTCATTTTTTTCCCTTTCTCTTACCTGTGCTCTAAATGAGCTTCCTTCTCTTTAGCATTTTAAGAAAAATAAATAAATAAATAACATTCTAAAATTGTTAGACCAGAAACCTACAGGAATTCAGATATATAGAAATAGAGTTTAAAAACCTGGCGGGAAACAAATTAGGAGTTATAATTAAGAATTTTTCTAAACACAAGGAAGTTAGAAAGAAATGCGACACAGATCAATATTGAATGGATTTTGTTAAATGCTTGCGTATTGTCCTGAACTACAGATCTGTACCAACTGTTTTAAGTAATTGTAGCCCTTTAGACTGCAGAAATACTTAAAAGCAACAGAGTAGAAAAAATAAGGCTTGCATAACGTAGCTATGGAAAAGAAAAGACCAAAAAAAGATTTTAAAAGCCTTTATTTCAACGTTATATTAGCTATAATTAAAAATTAAAATAAGGATTAAAATAGAGTTCAGGAACTTTCAAACAGTATTCTGGGTACATCCAAAAGTGGAATTAAGGGAACCCATGTTCTCTCTTTCTTTCTTTCTTTTTTTGTAAATGTGATTAACCTTGAATTATTAAATTTAATAGGAAGAAATAAATTTATATGTGAAACTACCAATTTATAAAATGTTTACTGTGTTTCCAGGTATTTTCTGAGTGTGTTAAATATTAAACAAGCTAGAAATCAATATGATAATACCTCCCTAGATAAAAGTGACCACTGAACTGAAAACAAAACCAAAAAGTCTTTTAATAATTGGTAGCCTGGTCGGGCATGGCGGCTTATGCTGTAATCGCAGTACTTCGCGAGGCCAAAGCAGGAGGATTGCTTGAGGTCAGGAGTTCGATTCCAGCATGGGCAAAATGGTGAAATCCTGTCTCTAAAAAAATTATAAAAATTATCCAGGGATGGTGGCACAAGCCTGAGGTCCCAACTACTTGAGAGGTTGAAGTAGGAGGATGGCTACAGCCCAGGAGACAGAGGTTGCAGTGAGCTGAGATTCTGCCACTGCACTTCAGTCTGGGCAACACAGCAAGACTGTCTCAGGAAAAATAAATAAATAAATAAAAAGGATTGGCAGCGAAAATTGTCTTCTTTGGGTTCTCTCTTTGTCTAACTCTAGGTGTCAACTATGTAAATTAGGCTCATTCCACCTCCCTGCACATGGATTTTTTTCATTACATAGGGTGTGGATCATGGACACCCTCAAAACTGTGTCATGTCTGGCAGCAATCAGTTATCAACTTGATCGAGCCCATGAAGTGGTTCAAATTGACCCCATGTCAGTAATGTGTCTACTGTTAGCCTAATCATTGTAAATTAGAACAGAAAATATGATGGTAATATCTGTATCATATGATAAGAGATTGACAATTAAAGCTAAAGATTAGAGCAATTTGACAATTAAAGGAAAGATATTGGGAAAACCAACCCATATGTCTTCATGTAAACTCTTGGAGCCCTGTCCTTCCATTCATAACACAAGGATAATAATATCTGTTTATCTGTGTCACAGTTAGAGAAAATATATGTGAAACACGTGGAACATAATTTTACCTCAATAAGAGAGAGCCATATAAACTTTATTATTATCATTTTTTTGTTACTATAGTTACATGAGATTTCAAAACTCTATATTTCGTAGTTTGTGTTACTATTTTCCACACTAGAAACATAAACATGTGTTTATAGTAACACACACAGTTTTTAAACATAAACTCACAGCAACTTCGTGAGTATTAAAAAGTAAAATTAAATATTATATGGTGGAGATTTTAAAATGAAAAATTGCTTTCAAAATTTTTAATGGTATGTAAAGTTACTCTGAGGAGACATGGTCAGTAGCATAATAAATACTGCAACGCTGTCTTCCACAGTGGTTGAACTAAATTACATTCCCACCAACAGTGTAAAAGCATTCCTATTTCTCCACATCCTCTACAGCATCTGTTGTTTCCTGACTTTTTAATGATCGCCATTCTAACTGGTGTGAGATGGTATCTCATTGTGGTTTTGATTTGCATTTCTCTAATGACCAGTGATGATGAGCTGTTTTTCATATGTTTGTTGGCCACATAAATGTGTTCTTTTGAGAAGTGTCTGGTCATATCCTTTGCCCACTTTTTGATGGGGTTGTTTCTTTTTTTCTTTTACATTTGTTTAAGTTCTTTATAGATTCTGGATATTAGCCCTTTGTCAGATGGATAGATTGCAAAAATTTTCTCCCATTCTGTACATAGCCTGTTCACGCTGATGATAGTTTCTTTTGCTGTGCAGAAGCTCTTTAGTTTAATTAGATCCCATTTGTCAATTTTGGCTTTCGTTGCCATTGCTTTCGGTGTTTTAGTCATGAAGTCTTTGCCCATGCCTATGTCCTGAATGGTATTGCCCATGTTTTCTTCTAGGGTTTTTATGGTTTTAAGTCTTATGTTTAAGTCTTTAATCCATCTTGAGTTAATTTTTGTATAAAGTGTAAGGAAGGGGTCCAGTTTCAGTCTTCTGCATATGGCTAGCCAGTTTTCCCAGCACCATTTATTAAATAGGGAATCCTTTCCCCATTTCTTGTTTTTGTCAGGTGTGTCAAAGATCAGATGACTGTAGATGTGTGGCATTATTTCTGAGGCCTCTGTTCTGTTCCATTGGTCTATATATCTGTTTTGGTACCAGTACCATCCTGTTTTGGTCATTGTAGCCTTGTAGCATAGCTTGAAGTCAGGTAGTGTGATGCCTCCAGCTTTGCTCTTTTTGCTTAGGAGTTTGTTGACTATACGGGCTCTTTTTTGGTTCCGTATGAAATTTAAAGTAGTTTTTTTCTACTTCTGTGAAGAAAGTCAATGGTAGCTTGATGGGGATAGCATGGAATCTATAAATTACTTTGGGCAGTATTGCCATTTTCACAATATTGATTCTTTCTACCCATGAACATGGAATGTTTTTCCATTTGTGTGTGTCCTCTTTTATTTTGTTGAGCAGTGGTTTGTAGTTCTCCTTGAAGATGTCCTTCACATTCCTTGTAAGTTGTATTCCTAGGTATTTTATTCTCTTTGTAGCAATTGTGAATGGGAGTTCACTCATGATTTGGCTCTCCGTTTGTCTGTTATTGGTATATAGGAATGCTTGTGATTTTTGCACATTGATTTTGTATCCTGAGACTTTGGTGATTCCTCAAGGATCTAGAACCAGAAATACCATTTGGCCCAGCAATCTCATTACTGGGTATATACCCAAAGGATTATAAATCATTCTACTATGAAGACACATGCACACATATGTTTATTGCAGCATTGTTCACAATAGCAAAGACTTGGAACCAACCCAAATGCCCATCAATGATAGACTGGATAAAGAAAATGTGGCACATATACACCATGGAATACTATGCAGCCATAAAAAATGATGAGTTCATATCCTTCGCAGGGGCATAGATGAAGCAGGAAACCATCATTTTCAGCAAACTAACACAGGAACAGAAAACCAAACACTGCATGTTCTCACTCATAAGTGTGAGTTGAACAATAAGAACCCATGGACACAGGGAGGGGAACATCACATATTGGGGCATTTCAGGGAGTGGGAGCATAGGGGAGTGATAGCATTAGGAGAAATACCTAATGTAGATGATGGGTTAATAGGTGCAGCAAACCATCGTGGCACATGTATACCTATGTAACAAACCTGCACGTTCTGCACTTGTATCCCAGAACTTAAAGTATAATAATAATAGATAAATAAATACCCTTAAAAAAAAGAATACTGTAACGAAGTCAGAAAATTTCAAATTCTTTCTTTACATTTATCTGCTTTGATCTTGGGGAATTTATTTAACTTTCCACTCTTGAAGTTTTTATGAATTATAGTTCCTACTTACTTTGTGGGGTGGTTGAAAATATAAAAAGAGAAAATACATAAGAACTGAAAACTTGGAGATTCACAAAATGTCATCTAGTCCAATATGTGAAAAAGATATTAAAAAGAATATTTGTTGCTGAGCATGGTGGCTCACACCTGTAATTCCAGCACTTTGGGAGGCCAAAGCAGGCAGGTCACTTGAGGTTATGAGTTTGAAACCAGCCTGACCAACATGGTGAAAAACAACAACTAGCTGGGCATGGTGGCGGATGCCTGTAATCCCAGCTACTCAGGAGGCTGAGGCAGGAGAATTGCTTGAACTCAGGAGGCAGAGGTTGCAGTGAGCCAAGATCACGCCACTGCACTCCCACCTGGGTGACAAAGTGAGACTCTGTCTCCCCCCGCCCCCCCAAAAGAAAGAAAGAAAGAAAGGGAAAGAAAAAAAAGAATATTTGTAATGGACGTCTCAACAATGGATTGCATATTTCTCTCCACCAGCATAGTCTATAAAATAGTCTAAAAGTAGTCTATAAAATAGACTAAAAAAGAATGTATAAGGTGGTTTCTCTTGTTAACTCACTTGTTACAAGATGAGAGAACATTGATTTATGATATGGAGAGTAAAGTAGGCTTCTGAAATGATTCTTTGTACTCCCTCTCTATTCATCTCAATGTCTTTGTTATTGTTTTCTCTTCCTCCCATTCAACCTCCAATTACAAAATGGCTGTTTATGACCACTTTGGAAAATGATTATTTTTCTCATCTCCAGAGCCCCCGTAAGCAAGCTCACTAGTTTTAAGACGTAAGTCACAATTTTTATCAATTTATCTTTAACTGTAATCATAAATTGGCTCCTTAACTTTAGGTTCACAGGTTACCTGCCAAATATTTGAAGCATATCTTTAATGATGATGATGGTGGTGATAATGATGATAATGACAACGACGAATATTTAATGGATGGCAAATGTATACAAAATATACAATGTTACAAGCACTCTGTATGTATTATCTAATTCAACCCTGACATCTAGTGAGTAGTACATATTATTTTTTCCATTTCACAAGTGAAGAAATGTGATATTAGAAAAGTAAGATAATTTCCTAAAGTTATAAAGCTAGTAAGTTGTGGATCCACACTGTGAACAGATGTATTCAGCCTCTGGAACCTGAGCTTTTGGTCACTGTGCTACACTCAGATGTCCCATATGTTCATTGTTATTGTTATGTCTCCCTTGAGCAATTCTCTACATTTTATAGATTGTTGGACAATATTTACTAATTGTAATGTGTGTGTGTGTGTGTATGTGTCTATGTACAGGAGAGATATTTGTCTGTAATGTTTTCTTTCATTTTTCTGAATTAGGTTTCAGAATTAAGATAATACTAACCTTCTACAGAAAAGGGAAGAGTGTGCCATTCTCCTTCAATTTCTGAAAGAGTTTTTATAAGAATGGTATCTTTTTTTCATAATGATCTGGTAGAATACACCAGTGAAGCCATCTAATCCAGGACAATTCTTTGGGGGAAGGTGTTTCACTTAGAAAGCAGTTTTCTTAATTGAGACCAAGTTTTTCCACTTTTCTCTTTCTTCTTATGTTAATTTTGGTAAGCTATGTTTGTCCATTTTATCTATTTTTTCAAATTCAACATAAAAGTGTTTCTTATATGGGCTTATTACTTATTTATTGTTTGAAGACCTTTGGTGATGTGACTTTTTTCTTTCCTTATACTCATTCCTAAAAATGTTCGCAGTTTTTCCCCCTCTCTTTCCTGTATAGCTATAATCTTATCAATTTGTCTTTTTTGACTACTGATTTTTCCTATTGTCTCCTTTGACTGCTGATTTTTCCTATTGTTTGCCAATTTCTATTTCTTGATTTATATCATATTTATATATTTTTGTTCTTCTGTTTGCTTTGAGTTTATTTTGCTCTTTTATTTTCTTACATTGCAGCCACAGATCACTGTTAGGTTACTATCTGTTCTAATATAGGCATTTAGCGCTATAAATTTTCTTCTAAGCACTGCTTTAGCTACTCCTATGATTATTGATCTGCCATATTTTCATTATCATTTAGTTTAAAATATTTTCTGATTTATCTTCAGATTTCTTCTTTGACTCAATGATTACTTAGATTATTTGTCAGCATTTCTATTTCCTTAATCGTCCTGGAGCCAGATATGCCTTGTGCATCTTGGAAATAGCTTGGACCTCATAGAGGGCTCATGGTAAGTAGATAAATTAGGCCCTGGGAAAGCCTTTGAGTTCTAGTCTATGCTTACTACTGCATGAAAAATAGCCAGTCTGAGTCTTAATTATGGCTTCAGCAAGAATATTTCTAATGAACACTGTGTAAGTAAGATTCTCTTTTAATCTTATCTCCAATTTTCCAATTCTATCTATATGCACTCAACAGTGCAAGAAGACACTCTCCAAGAGAAAGTCAAGGCCATAAAAGAGCACATAAAATATCACAAGTAGCATGTGTTTTGGAGGCAGCTTCAATCGTAGCATTTCCTAAAGTAGAATTTTCTGTACTTGGCCCAAAGGATCAGTAATACATTCAGTTAATTACAAAGTAAGATGCATTAGACAACTAATATGAAAAAGAAGGAAAGTCACTATCTGTATCTATATATGTATATTTATGTAAGTAAATATGTGTATATATTTTACATATTTTAATGACATAATGTGTATCAAGATTGACTGTTCTACTATACTACTTATTTCTGATCTAGTCACAGGTACACTGTAGAGCCAAAGGGCCATTTCATCTTTTTCTTCATATTAGAGTCTTTCTAAAGGATAAGTGTTATGGACTGAATGTATTCTCCCAAAAATCAGATGCTGAAACTTAATCCCCGGTGTGATGGTATATGGATATAAGGCTCAGAGAGGTAATTAGGTCATAAGGTAGCACCCTCATAAATGGGATTAGTGCCCTTATAAGTTGAGATCAGAGAGTTAATTTGCTCTCTTCCTACCATGTGAGGATACAATGAGAAGTTGGCAGTCTGGAACCTGGAGGAGAGTCCTTATCAGAACCTAACCCTGCTGGCAACCTGATCTCAGAGTTCCGGTCTCCAGAAATGTGAGAAATAAATTTCTGTTGTTTATAAGCCACACAGTCCAAGGCATTTTGTTATAGCATCCCAACTAAGACAAGAAGAAATTGGACATTTACAGGAACCTTTTACAATACTTTGTTAGTAAAACTCCCTCAGTTGAAAATGAAAAAATCAGCCGGGCGTGGTGGCTCACGCCTGTAATCTCGGCACTTTGGGAGGCCGAGGTGGGCGGATCATGAGGTCAGGAGATCGAGACCATCCTGGCTAACACGGTGAAACCCCGTCTCTACTAAAAATACAAAAAAATTAGCCGGGCGTGGCGGCGTGCGCCTGTAGTTCAAGCTGCTGGGGAGGCTGAGCAGCAGAATGGCGTGAACCCAGGAGGAGGAGCTTGCAGTGGGCCGAGATCACGCCACTGCAGTCCAGCCTGGGTGAGAGAGCAAGACTCCGTCTCAAAAAAAAAAGAAAGAAAGAAAATGAAAAAATTCCCATGTAGCTTAAAATAAGAAGGTAATTGGTTGGCTTTTATAAGGGGAAAATCCAAAGGACTGAGCTAGCTTCAGAATTGGCTGAAACCTGAAGCCCAAATAAAATAAACAAGTATCTGGCTCTCTCCTTTCATCAGCTCTGCTGAACATATGGTGGCGTCGTTCTTAGGCAGGCTACCTCCTTAGGGAGGCAGAGGAGGCCCCAGCAGGCCTAGGCTCTTAAATAATTCACTTTTCATTTCCAGTGAAATTGAGTTCCTTCTCTAATAGTTTTGTCAGAAAATCCCAAATAAGATTTTGATTATCATATCTCTGGTTCTGTGAACACTTTATGGTGAGAACATACATGTAATGGGTTTCCCCCTAGCAAAAAAGAATTCATGTCAAAAGAATGAAGAATGAATTCTGGGCAGACAAAATAAACAGATGCCATCTAAAAATGCTTATCCTGTTTCCTTCAAAATTGTAATGCACAGCATGAAGGATTATTTCAATGACAAGGAGTCCAGCCTTATAGAAAGAGAGAAACAGCTACTGTGGCTGTCAGAATAATCAGTATTCCAGGGTTATTTTTCCTCGTAACTTCTGTTAACCTGTCTTCCTCGCTAGAATATAAATTTCGCCTACGTAAAGATTCTGAATATTAGTCCTCAGCCCAGTGAATAAGTTGACATTTTAATATTTAATTTTAATTAAATATTTAATACATGTCAATATTTGTTATCACTTGTAGATACAGACACTATCATATCATTCCAGAACTTAAGCTCCAAACATTTTGTGAAAATAATTATTCAGTTATTATTGTTGGGATTATTAACAGTGATAATCCATTAAATTTATTTTTACTTTACTGATTTCCAAATGGGTCCATATACTTGATCTCTTTTGGCCTCTTAGTAATCTTGTGTTTTTAAAGGGTCATGGGTAATGCACCTGCCAAAGGGTATATCATTACATGTCAGAATTGGTTCAAGGTTTACATCTTGATTTTCCCATATTTATTCCTCCTATCTGTGCTGATTCTTCTACATTATGTGTAGGATGTGGCAGCATGGGAGCCCAGGACATTTAAAAGTGAATAGGATTTGAAGCAGGGGGAAATGGGCAAAAGAGAAAAGCTAGTACAACAAAAGCAAATGTAATAAAGCCAACTCAATAACAACAATAAAACAAGCAATATAGCCGCAATAGCAATAAAAAAGAATTTTAGACAAAAGAAATGGGTTCACATTTCAATTTCACTGGGCCCTGGTACTTTCTGGACATGTGACCTTGGTAAGTTAACCTTGGAAATTTGGTTTCAAGCTCTGTTGCAGTCTGGTACAGCAAGAACATCTCACATTGTTCCGATCTAAAAATCCAATAGCCACAGACAGAAAGGGGAATAGAAAGATAAAAACAAATAAGATACCAGAGAATCAGCCTGGTCCAGATCACAGGTCATTTTGACTTACCTGTAACAATTTACAGAACCCATATGTAATTGACCAGCAATAAAGCCAAGATTCTTTAAACGTTAAATCTGTAAGAAAATTGTACACATAGCAGAAATGAAAATACAAGAGGCAGTTTCTTGCCTGTCAGGATATTCTCCTTAGCAGTTACTAAAATGTAAATAATCAATAAAAATTAGTGAAACAAACGATAGACCGGTTAGGACCTCCATAATGATAGTGTGAAAAGCTCAGTAAACTCTCTAGTGAAACAATTATTTGACTGGTGAAAATTATATTTAAACACACACACACACACCCAGACACACACACACACACACACACACACACACACACACAGCCATTTAAAGTTTCTGGATTTGCCCCAAAGGCATACGGCAAATGAAGAAACATTTATTCAAGAACATCTACTAAATCTCAGTGAAAACACAGTCAGTGACATTTGGGCTGTGATCTGCTCCCACATCCCTCTGCCAGCTTTATGGGATGGAAGCTCTGCTCCAGATGCTTTGTTCTCAGCAGGTACAGCCAAAAAAACAACAGCTCTTGCTAGCTCCTAATCTAGTGCTATGAATTTAGCCAGGAGGGAAGGTCATCACCATCTATTATCCTGCCTCAGTGCTATGTTGCAGAAGTCCTATCCCTGGCAGGTTTGACTGCATGAAGTAGGTCTCCCTTCCCTGACACTGAGCTCCCCTTTTCCCCAACTCCTGCTCACAGGGTTAGGGCTCCGTTTCAGGAATGAAAGACCAAGAATACTGGGGCCTGATTGTTTCCATCCTAGCTTGCTCATATGTTCAAAATCCTAATGGAAACCAAGTCTAAATAATTAAAGGAAGGCATGACATCAAGAACTCATCAACTATAATATAAGTAGATAGAAATTATTTTTTTAAGAATCATATAAAGATTCTGGAGTTTTTAAGTATAATAAAACAAACAGTAAATTTAGGTTGGCAGAACACAGTCAGCAGACTTGAAGACAGATCAATAGAGGTCAAACAATCTAAAAATATACATAAGAGAATGAAGAAAACAGAGTCTCAAAAAATGTAGGAAATCATTAAGCATACCCACATATATATAATGGGTATACCAGAATGAGAAGAGAGGGAGGAAGAGACTGAAACAATATTGAAAGAAATAATGATTGAAATTGTCCCAAATTTGCTGAAAAGCACACCTACACATCTAATCTACACATCTAAAAAGCTCAATGAACTCCCAGTTGGATGAACACAAAAGAAATACACCCAAGCATACCATAGCAAAAAATTTGAAACCAATGATAAAGAGAAAATCTTAAAGCAAAAAAAGAAAAATGACTCATAAGTCATCACAAGGGGATCACAATAAGATTAACAACTGACTTTTCAGCAGGAACAACTGAGGATGAAAACCAGGGAAATGACACATTCAAAGTCCTGAAAGAAAAATAGCTGTCAGCTGAGAATTGTATATGCAGTAAAGCCACTTTTCAAGAGTAAAGATGAAGAAAAGACAGTCCAGATAAATAAAACCTAATAGAATTTGTTCCTAGAGGACTGTCGTTAAAAATAAACACTAAAGAAATTCCCTTATACTGAAGGAAATGACACAAGAAAATAATGTGAATCCAAACAAAAAAAGACCAAAGAGCCCCAGTAATTATGTCAGTAATAATGAAATATTGTGTATCTATATAGTTCACTATTTTTCTAATCTTAATTAATTTAAAAAACAATTGCATGAAACAATGTCAAAAGATTTTATTGTCAGGCTATGAACTTTAGAAATATACTTAACAATAACACCACAAAGGAGAGAGGTGGTAATTATTTTGAAGTTAAAAAATAATACAGATGGTAATTATAATCTACAGGAAGAAATAAAGGAACCAAAATAATGGTACATAAAAAGGTTATTTTTAAAAAATTTATAGATTCATTTATGCTCTCTTTTAGTCTCTTAGTTTCTTTAAAAGACGTGAAACAATATAAAGTAATAATTATAATATTTAAAACATAAAAATGCATAAAACAATAATTATAACAATGTATTGTTGGGGTTGCAACACATAAAGATGTAATATGTAAACAAACAGCCCAAAAAGTTAGAGAAGGGCAATGGAACTACACAGGACTAAATTCTATATCTTAATAAAATTTAATTAATATACATTGGAAATAGATTCTGTAGAGTATATATGTCTATTGTAAGCCCTAAAACAACCACTAAAGAAATGATTTAAAAATATATATTCAAGAATCATTAAATAAATTAAATTGGTACCCTATGAAATATTTTAGTTAGAGAAAGAAGTAACATAGAAGGAAGAAAAATCCAAAATGGCCATTAGACATATAGAAAATAAAAGCAAGAGAGAAGATATAAATGCAACCATATCACTAAAAACATTACATGTGAACAGATTAAGCAATCCAATAAAAAGCTAGTCAGACTAAAGTAAAAAACAAGACCCAAGTATATGACATTTGGGGAAAACACACTTTATAATCAAAGATGCAAATAGGTTGAAAGTATAACAAAAAAAAAAAAAAAAAGAAAACAGATATACCATACAAGCAGCTGGAATGGCTTGTACTAGTATCAGACAAAATAGACTTTGAGCCAAAAATTGTTGTAAGAGATGGAGGGACATTTATAAAGAAAAAGGTTTAGTCCATCAGGAATATGTAAAAATTATAAACATATGTGTACCTAACAACCAAAAATATGTGAAGCAGAAACTTACAGAATTGATGGGAGAAACAGACATTTCAATAAAGCTGTGGACTTCAATAAAAAAATGGACAAATTTTGGCCACTATAAAGTGTGTTCAAGGGTGTCTGCTGGTTTTACCTGGCCAGCATTTCCCCCTTTCTAACTTTAATTAAATTATGCAAATTACACAACAATAAGGCCCTATACAATAAAAAGGTGAACATAGGGTCCAGCATCTTATCGTATCCCCACTTTTGTGGGGTAAGACTTCAGATTGGAGACACCCATGGGTGAAAATACAACTTGTAATACTGGGTAATTGGCTTAAAGCCTAATAATACATTTTATATTAAAATTTTATATTTAAATTAAAATTTTGTATCTAAATATGTTATAAATTTTTGTATAAAGCTAGGCTTTTAAGCCTAAATAGCCTAAATAGTTGTGTGGGCTTAAGGGGCACAAGGAACCCCAACAATGAATGAAAAATGCATACGTTTAACCATCATTTTTCTAAAGTAAGAGCTCATCTCTCAGACTCAAAGGTGTGCAGTTTAAGAATCACCAATGCAGTTTTATTTCTAGTAACATACTTCTCACAGAATGCTTCAATACCAAAACATTGTTTTTAATCAGCTAACTACACTTAGTAATCTTGTGTTGTGCCTAATACTAAAATATATTAATTTTAGTGTAACATGCAAGATTCCAAAATGTTTTTGTCTCCAGGTGAACAAGCTTCCATTTATCTGTGCTAAATTACATTTTAAAATTTCTTAGGCTACTCAAAAAAAATCTTTCAGTAACATTTTCACTTTCTTTCAACTTGTACTAAAATTGATAAATACCCCCAAATATCCCCTGCATCCTATTTAAACATTTCAGGCCCAGAGGCTTAACGTTAAATAAAACCAATCTCTATGGTAATTCTATCGGTTTCCTCTCACTGGGACATATTGCTAGTGTTGGCTGACAATCAGTTGCCATGTGTACCTGAGATAAAGCCTTCCCTGACCACCACAGTCTGAAAAGATCGTTTTCTTATCTGAACTCTTAAAAAACTTACAATTGGTGCCTCTCAATGGCAATTAATCATTTTCTGCTCTACTCCATGACATGTTTCCTACCAGCTGGTCTAATACTAACTCAAATTAAACCAAATTGGATAATATGTTACTATTTCTGTGGCATTCGTGTTCTACTAACAAAAACAAATGGACAAATTATGAAACGGCTTTTTTTAGTCTTTAACAGTTGATTGATTTTGTCTTACTCTAGAAAATTTACTTTTTTAATGGCATGGAATTTTTGTTTAGTAAATGAGGCTTGGGTCCTTCATACTTGGAAAGAGCTGTCCTTCAAGAGAGGAAATACAGCCATATGTAAAATCTGAAGAAAGGCAATGAGAAGTTTTTATTCTTTAATTAAAATGTGACTGAATCTTAAATGAATTTCACCAGTGTGCTCCATCCCTGTCATCCCTGACTTTTTTTTTCCCATTAAATTTGGCTTCAATCTCCTACTAGAAAATATGCTGAGATTAGCACTGGAATATCCAGTTTCAATTCATAGCTGGAATACCTCTTACCTCAGAAATGTTTTTCCTTCACCTATAAACATTAGTCCATCTCCAACCTCCTTATTTCAAAAGAATGCTATTTATTTAGTTATCACATAGAAAATATACAGGTCATTGCTTTGTAAACTGTTAAGTCTTTTTCATATGTAAAGTATTATTTAACTCGATTTTTATATTACCTGCTTGTCTAATATATTGGCACTGAAATTAATGCTGCATATTTTAGTGGCGAGAAATCTCGTGGACCAGGACTAAGAAAAACTGGTTATACACCAGGCAGTCATGAGTTACCCTTGGCCTCATACCCTCAAATCTCAAGATCTAAGGCAATGGAGAGAATTGAGTATTAAGTTCCCCCAGTTACTAGGTGCCGGGATAGCATTTCCAGCAATCTGTGCAGAGTTCATGCTTTGAACCATTCATGTTATACTGCTTCTTAGTACAGTCAGAATTCTGGAATGCTTCTTCAGCAGTTCTGCAGGGCCCATTTCCAAGCTGCTCATTAAAGCCTGTGTTAGCAAACTTCCTGCCTGGCGTTTGTTTTGTAAATTTCCAAAAATAGTGTAAAAACTGACAAATGTGTTAATTTATGTTTTGCCTTTCTTTGTCAATATGACAGTTATTACAAAGAAATGTTTATCTTTTAAAGCTCTGAAATAGATATCCTGCTATTGTTGTCCTAGTCCTGCCTTCCATGGAGCACATGTGTGCCCCACTGCATTCAGTGACGCCATATTGGTAGCTTGCAATAAGCCATGTTGGAAGTATTCACACTGGAAAAATGCTAGAAATCAGACTCCCTTATGATACGCCCATCCCTCAGAGCCAGTTGTTAATCATTTACCGCCACACCACTAGAATCCAGCAAATTTGGCTTTACATCCTAAAATTACAACCTTAGGTAAAGTTGTAATTTCCTCCTCTGTGAGATGGTGATAATAATACTATCCACCAAATAAGATAGTTCTGAGAACTAAATGAGATCATTATCATGTAGGTGTTCCTACCAGTTTTTGCCTCCAGCAGTTTCTGCATCTGATAAGCATACCCCAGTTGTGGTATCCCTCTGAGTGCTTCTTCATTTACAGACTTTTATGTGATGGTTTGCTTCTCAACCTCAATTTTCTGTTAGATCCAAAAAAGCCATTGATTTTCAGTTAGTCCAGCTTTTTCTTGTTATAAGGATGAGATTGATGAATTTCAAGCACTTTGCATATGAGAACATGGAAATTGATTTTTCTTTGTATCCTCGAGCATCAGTCTCACTTTGAAGTCTTAGCTTCTTGATTTGATTCAGAAAAATTCTAACCATTCAATTCCAAACTCAAGGCAAATTTACGCAAGTTCATGTCTTGCCTTAAAAAAAGTAATTTTATTGATTCTACTTTTCTTGCATATAAAGCATTACAGAAAAGTTAAAATGATATAGAAGGAAAACATCAGCCCCTGATTTTTATTGTTGTTGTTATTAATAGGATATACATGGATATATTTTGCCACAAAGATATTCGCATGGATTCTGGCTCAAAATTTCTTATCTAAAAATGCCTCAAGGTTTTTTTCTTGGTTTCTGTCCAGACATTCCTTTGTCTAACACTGATGTTACAGGCTGATAAGAGTTGCCTGTGGAGCCACTAGTTTTGTGATTTTTCAGAACAGGTTTCTCTAGAGGCCTCTCAGCTAGCGCCTACATGGTGCAATAAACCTAGACTAACCATTTGTTTCAGAGCTGGTATTTTATATAAGCTATACCAAAACATCCTGCTGTCTTTTCAGTGTGATAAGAATCTTTATGGAGGTAAAAGAAATTGAACGTATCAAATGCTATGGAGGATTGTTCACTCATCTTTTTTATTATTTTTTATTTTTAGACGGAGTCTTGCTCTGTCACCAGACTGGAGTGCAGTGGCGTGATCTTGGCTCACTGCAATCTCCAGCCTCCCAGGTTCAAGCCAGTCTCCTGCCTCAGCCTCCCGAATAGCTGGGATTACAGGCGCGTGCCACCACACCCAGCTAATTTTTGTACTTTTAGTAGAAACGGGGTTTCACCATGTTGGCCAGGGTGGTCTCGATCTCCTGACGTGGTGATCCGCCTGCCTCGGCCTCCCAAAGTGCTGTGATTACAGGCGTGAGCCACTGCACCCAGCCTGTTCACTCATTTTAAGAGAACAAGAGAAGAAAGTAAATTAAAAATCCACTTCCTTGTTAGTAATCCAGTTTCTGTCCATTCTTCTATGCAGGTAACAACTCAGTGAATCTTCTGTACTGCTGAGCCTCCATTCATGCATTCCATTATTTCAAATCTGAACATGCCCCAGGAACTGCCTGAGGAATATTCCTCACTCCCAGCCTTAGAATTTATGGCTTGACTCCAAATATTGCATGGTATGGTTTAAATTTTAGATCATATACTCAGAAACTTTTTACTAAATCAGCAATATGTTTTCTATTTGCTCCTTTGCGCTGTGAAATACACCTAGTAAAGAGCACAATCTTAACAAATCTTAAGAGGAAAAAAAGTCACAAATATTTAATAGTCACTTTATTATCTCTTGTTTTATGCATTTGGTAAGTTATTTTAAGAATGTTCCTGGGAATATACCAGATTTATTCACCTGTATTTCACAGCAAAGCTATGCATTTGGAATTGAGCCATTTTTCACCAGATTTTAGGAACAATGGTGGATCATTTAATTTGAACTGGCATTACTTGTATCGTGTCAAAAAATAGCATCATATTTTATCTTTAGTCTTTGACAAGAAAGTCTAAAAAAATTATTCGTTACCTCTCCTGACACTTTTAGTATTAAAAGGCAACTACCCCTGTTGTCACACTAAAATAAATGTTTATTAGCTTCTCTAAGGAAAGCTGGGTTTGGCTTAATAAATGATAGTACTTTCAACTACATATATTGCTTAACTATTCACTGCTAAGCTTATGATTCTTAACTTTTTTACAACTGTTATTTCTTCTCAATATGTATTTTTAACTGAGGAAGGCAAACAAACAGTAATAATTATTTTAATGGAAGCAGAGTTATGAGTAGATAAAATATATAAAATAAACAAGTATTACAATAAGTCATGCACTACTAATCATAATAATTTATCATATCACATCAAGTGATTATCATAATCACTTGCCAGGACTTCTGTAAGAGCTTCTTCTCATCCTCAAAGGTTCTCCCCAAATCTAGGATGCTCTTCTTAAAGGAAAATTAAATCAGGCCAATGCACAATTAGCTGTAAGAGTTCATTTAACATTAAATCTCTCCATTGCTGTATGTGATTGATAAATACTTGTTGAATTAGGAATTGAATGAATAAATGAATAACACAAGTCATAAAATGTCAATTTCTGCTTAAATTTTGTTCAGCCTGTATTATCAAGTTTCAGTTTTAACTCCTACTAAACAATGACCTTGTATCAGAGTATCAGTTTAATCAGGAATCTTAAGGCATATATCCTGAGTTAGAAAAATAATAGTTGTAGTTGCAGAGCTCATAAAATTATTAACAAAATCATAATATCACATTTGTTTAAAGTGTGAGTGAGATTAACCACAGTGCTGGGCAGAAACTCAAAAAAAATTCACTCTATTCTTCTAGAATGTCAACGCACTGCTTTTTATTGCACACAATATATGTGCTAATAAATGTAATAGTCCCCTAGCATTTAAAAAAATACTTATTTGATTGCAACAAATTCTTATTTCAGAAAAGCATACATTTAAAAATTTTAAAACTCCCTTTATTACATGACCTTCAACATTTAGAAATAAAGAATATATGTATTAATAGAATGACAAATCATAGAATTTTTAAGTTGGACATAACTTTTGAGATAACCTAGTTCTACTCCAAAGGGCCTCATGAAGGAAAAAATATTGCTCATTATGAAATATATAATTTGTGGTAAATCCTGTATTTGATCCCATATATTCATATACTTTGTTTTTCTTTAGGTTCCCATTCTGCTTTTTGAGCCTGGGAACACACACACACACACACACACACACACACACACACACACACACACTGTTAGAGAAGCGAGAACCAAGTTGGCAACATTTCTCAAATAATAATACTGATTATTACCTAGTCAAAACTTGGATAGGACTACCCTCTATATGTTCTCTTTACTTTGGGTTCTCTGAATAAAGCCAGAATTTTACTTCCATTTAGATATCATAAATACTTGGTATATTCAAGTCAGAGTTAAAGAATAGAAATGGACATGGATTCAATATATGCCTCAAGCACATAAATATTGTGCATACCCTACTTTGCTTATTAGTCAGCCATTGATGGTTATTTAGATTATTTTTTATTTTTATTCTTACAAACAATGAGTCTATGACAATTCACATAGCTGGTGCTCAAATGCAAGAGTGTATCTGGCTTATGTAATTAAGAGTAGAATTACACAGCCATAAAGTAGATACATCTTTAAACTTACTAGGTATTGGCAAGTTTTTTTTTTCCAAAGTGAAGAGTATATAAGAGCTCTAATGTTTGCTATTTGCCTTTTTTACTTAAAAATATCTCACGATCAGATTCTTACGTTAGTTATTTGTATTAGGACTTGTGTTCCATTTAGTCAAAACTCCACCTTTGAAGTCATTCACATATTTAAAAGCATATATTTTCTACTCTTTGCTGTGACAATTCAATTTTCAAAGAACATAACTATCTAGATCAATTACTATGTGTGAGTTTCAAAATGAGTCCCATGTCACCTAGGAAACCAGACTAGGATCACAAAGGAGAAATGATAGATCCAGGCTTTTAGCTGACATCTGTCTGATGACAAAGCCTGATTACCTTTCATTATACCACATTGATGGGGAAGATCTCAGCTACCTGTAAATAGGAGGTCCCTCTGCTGATCTCTGAAGTCCTCTCTCTATGCAACTGTCTCTTTTATGGTCCTCTGCACTATGAATCTGAGATGCCTTGGCACCCCAAAACTTCCAGTTCTGTTTCAACTCAGGGGGACCATAGGGCACAACCTAGTTGCCAATACCCTGTACTCTCTCTAGGCAGTGAGATGGAACATTCATAGGGCCCACCTCATTTGTTTCCCATCTGTATTAGTTTTTTGTTTGTTTGTTTATTTTTCACTAAAAGAAATACCTGAGGCTGGGTAATTTAGAAAGAAATGAGGTTTAATTGGCTCACAGTTCTGGAGGCTGTACTGGAAGCATGGTGCTGGCATTTGCCTCTGGTGGGGGCCTCAGAAAGCTTATATTCATTGTGGAAGGTGAAAGCAGGGCAAGCACCTCATATAACACGAGGTCCCAGACTCCTTTAAACAACCAGATCCCACATGAACTAACAACGAGAACTCACTTATCGCCAATGGGATGGTGCTAAGCCATTGATGAGAAATCTGCCCCCATGAGCCAATCACCTCCCGCCAGGCCCCACCTCCAACACTGGGAATCATATTTCAACATGAGATTTGTAGGGGACAAATATCCAAACAGTATCACCAAGTCTGAAGTTTCATCTTTTGTTGCCTGATGTCCAATGTCTTAAGGACCATTGTTGCATGCTTTCTGTCCATTCAGTTGGACAGAAAGTTGTTTCATGTTGGAGTGTAGATAACACTGTTAATACTCTTGGTCAGAAGTCCACAAAGCACTTCAAAGTACCAAGTACCAATATTTGAAAGGTCTCATGAAAGCCAATGTAGGATAGTTACAAAAAGAAGAACTCACAGACTGTTCTCAGAAAATTTAAATTTACATTCTGTATATATTAGTACATGTAATAGTGTTAATAACTGAACACTCAGACTCACCCTGGTTTAAATATATTGACTATTTTCCATTATAAAGTCCAAAGGTAGAGTAGGCTTCAGGGTGATTTGATCCAGTGACTCAGTGATGTCAGTAAGGAGGTGGGTTATGTTTTTACTTTTCCCCCCATTTCTCCAATCTGCTTCCCACAAAGTCAGCCTCATCCTATGGTTTCTTTTTCCCAGTCACATGATTGCTGCTGACAACTCCAAGGGCTATGTGCTTCACCATCCACATCCAGATAAACATATGTAGTATTTATCCCCAAACTGACTTTAGGTCCCATGCCCATGATTAAGTCAAACACTATGGCAGATGAGGTGGAATTACACCACTTCCTTTAAACTAATCTGGTTTCCTGCCAGAATGTGTAAATGAGAATAATCTAGTGAATGCTACACAAAGAGGGAGGAGTGGATCCCTAAAGGACATCTGGATGATATTAGGATATAGGAAAGAAAGACCAGTACTGAGGCTGGGTAGGCTTCCAAAAATTATTCACAGCATGTATGCAAATAACTATCATACAAGGCAAAGTGCAGTATTACACTAAGATCAGAAAAATGTGTAAAGAGTGAAATGTTATGTTATTATCTACAATGAGGCTGTTTGGTTTGACTTTCTTTAAAGCACTCATGCCTTTCATATTATTTGTGTGAATAGGATGTTAAGATCTAACAATGGCTGTAGCTACCTATGTATCAAGTACTCAGGTTTTGTGGTTCCCCTCAATACAATTTTGGTCCAAACATGAATGTAAATTTTAAAAATGAGTTTTATTATAACACCAATCTTCTTTCCAGCATAAAGATTACTTCATCTTAATGATATGAATTTTTAACAAGTTAACATGTTAGTTTGATTTCTTTGATCAGAGTTGCTCTCTTCCTTATAACCAGAGTTTTTAGCATACAGAGATATGAATCAGAAAAAGGGAAAAGAAGTATGTTGGTTATTTGGAAACAAGTAGATGACAATACAATAATTCCATGGCAATAACTCAGGAAACACCAATATTGGTAGAAGTATACGAGGATGGTATTTTCTGACCTTTGATCCTTTTGATGTTTACCAATAGGCTCAGAGCTAAGCAAATGAAGTACACATCCCCTAAGTGACTACACTGCACATTTCATAAGGTCTAAATGTAATGGGAAGAACTCACTTGACTCAGACTTTTGGAAAAAATGCATTTAAATAAAACAAAGAGTCGAAACACAAATTAGAAATGTAAGTAAAACTGGCCGGGTGCAATGGCTCACGCCTCTAAACCCAGCACTTTGGGAGGCTGAGGCGAGTGGATCACTTGAGGTCAGGAGTTCAAAACCAGACTGTCCAGCCTGGAGAAACCCTGTCTCTACTAAAGTACCAAAATTAGCCATGCGTGTTGGTGCATGCCTGTAATCCCAGCTACTCGGGAGGCTGAGACACAAAAATTACCTGAACCCAGTGGGTGGAGGTTGCAGTGAGCTGAGATTGTGCCACTGCACTCCGCCCTGGGCAACAGAGCAAGACTCCATCTCAAAAAAACAAAAAAAAAAAAAAACAAAAAAAAAAAGAAGAAGAGAAAGAAAGAGAGAAAGACAGAAAGGGGAGGGGAAGGGAGGGAAAGGGAGGGAAAGGGAGGGAAGGGGAGGGGAGGGGAGGGAAGGGAAGGGAAGGGAAGGGAAGAGAAGGAAAGGGAAAATGTAAGTAAAATTGTCTTGCAAGAGGATGGTTGGTTGGAACCCTAGGGAATTTTCGTTTGTGGAGGAGTCTCCTGAAAGAAATGCCATCCTCTAGAGCTCACTCTGAAGCCTCTCTCCTCACAGCTCTGTTACAAAGAGGGTTCCCGGATGACTTGCCTCTGCATGGGCTTTAAGTCTACAACAGAGTGGATATGCCTCCTTTGCTTCTATGTCTGCAGAAGACAAGAGGACAGAAAACTTTATGTTTAACAAACATGGGCAAGAAAACAAACCAATTATGCAAACAGAAGTAAAGAATATGAATAATTTTTGATCCAACAGAACACCACATTCACAAGTTTGGCTTTGGGAAATAGCAAGTCTCAATTAAATAATTCTTATTAATTCTTTCAATGTGTAACCAAAAGCAAGTCATATTGAAAGAAAAGTGGTGAAGTCTTTTCTGATATTAGACCTGGTAGCTAGAGGAAACTAAACACAACTCACAGAAATAAGAGATTCTGAGGAGACATCACCATTATGATCTGATTTATTTTTACAGGTTCTCAGATCTCATTTTATTTTGTTTTTATTATTGTATTAAACATTTCTCCATAGACAGTCTTTGCTCCCCCATCTGCCAAAGTTTTGATTCACAAGGACATTTCTGCTGCAGTTTGTATTTCCAAGACCCAAGGAAAGTTCTTGAAAACCTTAAAAGGACCAAAAGAATCTCTCTACAAGTTGAGATCTTTAGAATCATCTCTGAAGCATCAGGCTCTACTGTTGGAAATCAAAGAACCTCTGAATCTGCAGGGCTTCCCACAGCTTCAATCTTTTTTCTTTCTCTGCTGTAAAGTCCTCTGGGAAGAAGGTAGCCCCAGCATACACTTTTGCGTTGCTATAGGTTGTTCTAAGCATTTCTCCCTACCTGGTATCAGCTGTTCCACTGATGCACCTATACCATGATTCATTCTAGTTTTTCTGCAGGATGCTAAAAGGTGATGACAAGCAGATGATCTCAGAAGGCATTTATTTGCTCTTCAATTGACTTCTGAGTTGAAAACAACTGTTAGGTTAATTGGTATAAAACTAAATCAATGCATTGTATCCAGATTACTCCCCATAGTTTTGGCCTTTGTATCGGTAATTCAATTCAGTCTAGTTTTTTTTTTTTTTTAAAAACCTCATCACTGAGTTAAAGTAATTAAAATAAAGCATGATAGTACAAAATCCATCATATTTCTTATGTTTTGGGATGCTTGGTAGCTAATTTGAACACTTTATAAAATGTAATCAAAGTTTTCATGGTTGCATTCTTTTGACTGAGACTATATATTTTAAGAAATAAAAAAAATCTTCAAGAAATCAATTCATTGTTGCCCTTTTAATGAGCTCAATTGGTCATTTGGCTTTAAGAGATGCCAGAACTCTTATCAAATTCATACTAATGTAATCAGTAAATTTCTACTGAACAAGTGAGTTTTTTTAGGTTTGCAACTTTAAGAAACTTTTTTTCTATTTAACCAAAAATGTCAATGTATTTAAGTCTCATAAAAAAGAAGGAAGGTAATTTATTTACTTGTGCATATATTTTCTCTAATCCAAGCAAGTGTTTTCTATATGTGGCATTGGCAAACGGACTAATATCACCACAACCTGTAAATAATGAAAAATCTCTCCTATCTATTACACATCTATTTTCCAGCAATTTCCTTTTTTGAATTAAAAGGTTATTCAACCTAGATGACGAGTTGATAGGTGCAGCAAACCACCATGGCACAGGTATACCTATGTAACAAACCTGCACGTTCTGCACATGTATCCCAGAACTTAAAGTAAAATTTAAAAAAGAAAAAAAGAAAAAAGAATTATTCAAAATGTAAACGAAAAAGCAAATTCCTTAAATATTAGGTTTACCATGCTAATGAAAGAAATTAAAACTAAGAGTCATACCTAAAAAAGAAATTAAAACTGTAATAAAAAACTTTTTCAAAAAGAAAACACTTAGTCCAGAAGGCTTTACTGGGAATATTTTTCAAATAATTTAGTAAAAAAAACTAATTTTACACATATCCTTTCAAAGAAAAGAAAAAGTGACAGCAATTCTCAATATATTTTGTATGAGGTCAGGTCTTCTTTGATATCAACAATTAGAAATAATAGTACCTTTCTTAAATTATAGCCCATTTTTTCTCATAAATTTTGATGTAAAAGCCTAAACAAAATGTTGCTACAAAGAAACATAGTAAATTATGATGAAATAGGTTACTTTTTACTAGAAGAAAGCTATAAAATAGGAAATAATTTTCCAAGATTTCTCTTCTGAAACAAATATATAAGGTGATTTTGCATTTCTGATATTTATATGCTTTTAATTTTAGGGTGTTATTTTGCTTATTGATATCAGGAAAGGGTATATTTAGGACTTAGGAGAATTGCCAGACCTTTCAGGTATTTCCATGTTTAGTGACTATGAAAGTACAACTCCAGTAATTATGGTCTAACAGAAATACAGGGACCAGGAGACCACAACTTTAGGGATGACTCTCAAAGTTACTCAATGGAGTGAGCAACATAAACTAAAAGAAGTACTTTATTTGGTTGAGAGAATCTAAAATGGGTGGGAAAAAAGATAATCAATATCAATTATAGCCTCCAGATAAAGGACTATAGCACAGAATGAAGTGTATCCTAATAACTCCTCTGTCTTCTTACCATTATCATAATTGCTATTCTTTTTTTTTTTTTTTTTTTGAGTTGGAGTCCTTCTGTCGCCCAGGCTGGAGTGCAGTGGCATGATCTCGGTGCACTGCAAGCTCCACCTCCCGGGTTCACGCCATTTTCCTGCCTCAGCCTCCCAAGTAGCTGGGACTATAGGCGCCCACATTATTATTATTGCTATTCTTGTTACTATTATTATTTCTACTATCTTTTATTTTTCTTTTACAAATTGTGACTGGCTATCAGTGACAGGACAGCAAGTTTTAATGGATAAAGCAAGGCTTTGAGTGTGAAAAAATGGACTTTAGCAGATAGTGTTAATTCTATGTTCAAAACCATTTGTCACTTAAATACCATTGCCTTTCTAATATCAGTCCTTAAAATTTTTTTCTTGAGCATTCTCTAGCCACAAAAGTTTTCTTAGTCCATGACTGGGAAAGGCTGTAAGTTCTGGGTAGTGAATGCTCAAAGGAGAAGCCCTTAAACAATGATAAACCCAGTTGTTGAATAAATATCCCAGGTTTATAGGCTTAGATGGGGAATCTCTGTAGTAGATTCTATGTTGTGTCTCAGAGAAACCCAACAGGGTTGAACTCCTATTACTGACAGTAATATGCTGCCATTTAAAGCTCTTCTTTTGACACCATTTCCTTCCTTATCACTTACACAATTTCTTAGATTGATTCTTGTATTTGTATTATTATTTTTTAAAGACAGGGTTTCACACTGCTG
The DNA here is from genome assembly GCF_000001405.40 of Homo sapiens. NCBI lineage: Eukaryota > Metazoa > Chordata > Mammalia > Primates > Hominidae > Homo > Homo sapiens. The sequence continues at coordinate 208,974,394 of NC_000002.12, read as the reverse complement.
CCCAGGCTGTAGTGTAGTGACAAGATCACAGCTCGCTGCGTCCTCAACCTCCCAGGCTCAGGTGAATGTCTCACCTCGGCCTCCTCAGTAGCTGGTACTGCAGGTGTGCATCATCATGCCCAGCTAATTTTTGGTATTTTTTGCAGAGACAGGGTTTTTGCCCTGTGGCCCAGGCTGGTCTTGAACTCCTGAGCTCAAGTGATCCACCTGCCTCAGCCTCCTAAAGTGATAGGATTATAAGCATGAGCCACTGTGCCTGGCCCCAGATTGATTCTTAAACTTTAAAAATCTGAACATAATCACTTTCCACATTAACTTCTGGGACTCAAATATCTGTTTCGGGAACTGCTTCTTGCATAACCCAATCTAAATTAAGACCCTTATCATTTTCTCATGTGATCAATTCAATCTCAGTTAAAATTAATTTTGATATATTTCTTCAGTTAGTAATTTTGTTTGACAACTAGTAACAGAGAACCTGCTAGATGAATGCTAGAACCTACATGTTCTTCATGTAATGATTTAAAAGAATATGAGACAAATAACACATGCGTAAAATGATAGCTTCATAGTTATCAGAAAACCAGGCTTCTTTTGTCCTTCTCAGTCTTTACCACTTCTGTATTCAAGATTGCCTAATGAGCAACTTTCTAGAGTTCTGATAATCATGACAATTTCTCAGTTAGAAAGCAGCAAAAGGAAAATGGGAAATGTAAATGGGAGCCTAGCTCTTTGTATCCTATTAAAGAGTGTTCACAGAAATCCCTCCCAACAAATTCAATACATATATTAGGTTGGTGCAGAAGTAATTGTGGTTTTTGCAATGACTTTTAATTGCAAAAAGTAAATTAGACAATTTTTAAAAACTTAGTCATATGAACAAACCTATCTGCAAGGTAGGCTGAGAAATAAATCATTTTAGCTGAACACATTGCCACCCTAAATAATATCATGTGTGATAATAAATGATATCAAGTGTGATAACTGCAGAAGATGTAGATAATAAATATTATGTAGGAAGTCATCTTTTTCTGCTATACTTTCCTCCTAAATATATCATAAGACAAATTTTTGGAGAAGAGACAAACTATTCTTCAAGAGAACATTTAAAACTTCTGGAGGTCTACATGAAGTCTTTAAAAAATTAAATTTACATACAGGTCCTTACACAAGAAACATCTCGGGGAAGCTGATACAATCATGAAAGAGATGAACCTTTAAATCATAGATTCTAATAATCATGGATCATGGGCCCTTAGACAATACCTCTGAAACAGTACCTAAGAACAGTTATTTCTATAAAGAAGGTAAGATTAAGTGGATTGCCAGCACAAGAACGGGGAGATGTGATGTTCTGGAAAATAAGCAGGAATGGAGATTACTTTGTTTGTAGTCATGTAAATTTATGATGCACCTGCGGCTATTCATTATGACATCAGTCATATAGGTCCCTACAAATATAAGGTAGCATGTTGTACCTGGAAAAAATATTCAATAACAAATGTAAATAAATAAATTATAAATACAGTTAAAATACATAAAACTACTGCAGGTACAGGCATCAGGTCCAAATGTGGACACTAATTATATACTAGAAATTTGTCTTTTTATTAGGGGAAAGAGCAATCACAAATACATTGCAAATATAATCACTAATGAGATAAGAATTTGTAAATTGGATAATGTGGGCTAATTTGACATAGTAGGCAGAGCCCGCGGGAGGTGAAATCTGGCGATTGGTGGGATAGCTAGCTTCTTAGGAAGGCAGGGAATGTGTTTCTAGAGGTAGTGTAGGACTAGTTCCTACTTTACTTCAAGATGATAACTCTCTCTGCATGGTTGGTGATGTTCCAAAGAAAGAAAACAAAGCTTTTGAATACTTTCTAATATTGATTAGTGATAAGTTTTCCCTTTAAACGTTTTAAATTAAAAAAAGCCCTTAATTTTAAGTAGATTAGCTCTTGACAGAGAAATTAGATTTACCCAAATAAACATGTTTGCAAGTTATAATGTATGTGAACATCCGCATAACTATCTCATAGCAAAACAACTATCTCATTATCATGCTGAAAGCAAACTCAAGGTATCTAAATTCTGATCCTTTCTCAGCAAACCAAATAATGTTAATATTTCAGGACATTGGAAAGTGCCATTAAGATCACTACAAAAGCCGTTAAACTGACAGAGAAGAAAATGTTAGCTATTGGAGGAAAAGGAAGGGAAGTCAATCACTGAAAGGGTATTAAGCCAGTTCACAAGGTACCGTATAATGTAAATAATTATTAGTAATAATCCCAGTTATAAGCTAATGCTATAATAATGAGGTTTCTAAATTTCATTTTCTCTTGAAGTAGGACTGCTTTTCAGCCTACCAAGTAATTCTACAAAATGAAATAGAAAAAAATTATCAAGCTCTTCACGAAAACTGTAACCTAGGAAGCGGCAAGAGACAGACACCATAAATTAAAGAAAGCCAATGTCCAAAAACTGTTTCCTAAATTGACTTCAATACTGATGGAAAGAGATACAAGAATAGTTTTAATATATGCTTCCTTCATCATAATCAGAAATTTATATTACAGTATTCTAAAAGTCATAATCCAAATAAAGATTTTCTATTTATTTTTATTACAAATAACACTCATATTAATTCTCCATTATTAAAGACAGGCTCCTAATTTATTGAAGGGATGATGTGCAAGTGAACAACAATCACTGAAGTATCTTTGTTAGTCACTCTGGCACTGTTATTGGAGTTATTAAAGTGGAACATCATATACACAGATTCAATAGAAGGGTGAGTTTCTGTATGGGATGGTAGGAGCTGGATCAATTTAGGCAAAGGGACCAGGATTAAAAATCTCCAGTTGGCCAATTCCAGATTCTATGGATTTTTGTCATATTACACAGAGCCTTTGAAAATAATCCTTGATAAATTAACCCAGGTATGTTATCAATTAATTTCATGGTTTTCATCAAGCACTAAGAGTTTCTCAGGATGGGATAGTTACCCGTAATCACACAGTTCCTGCAATAGAAATAATCCCTTTGCCATACTGTAGCACTGGTTCAAGTAGTTATCCTCTATTATCAGTGGTCAATGTCTTAACTCCTGTTGCTGAACCCTTTTTATTATTCAGTTTTATCTAAGTATCTGCTAGGACAAAAATATTTAACTTAATAATAATGGTTATTTTTCTAAGTCTTCATTGCTAGATCTTTTGCTTAATATGAAGGAGGAGATGATAGTAAACCATAGACACTACAGTCATATGATTACTTGATTTTGACTGAATGAAAGTACATTAACATGGTATGATTATACTCATAATGAGGATTACAGTTGGACTCCACTATTAATATCATGCCATATTATCCCCCTTGAACTACACTAAACTACCATTCCTTGAACATATCCTATGAATCTGATACACAGACAAGGATGTTAAATACATTTCTTCACTTACTGTATGAGACACTGTATGAGGTAAAATATCACCATCTCCATTATTAAACGTGAGTTACTTATGCAAAGTCCCTAAAAGAGTTTACCTCAAAGCCATTAATTTTACTGCCCCTTATATATTAGGAATGTTAATATTTTGCTTCTTATATGTGTTTCATATATTGTCCGAATTTGTTATTTATCTTTCTTTTTTGCATATAATAATTTTATCATAAAATACTTCACAAATTTATGTAAATGAATGTATCAATCTTTTCTCTAGTAATTTCTGACCTTGAATCACAGCAAAGAAAAATTTCCTCATACCAGGTTATGGAGGAATTCACTTATTTTATTCTTGGTACTTGAATAATTTTTTACATTCAAATATCTTACTTAGAATTTATCCTGTTGTAGGATATTAAAAAGACAACAGGTTTTATTTTCTTACATAGGTACATTTCATGTCTAAAAATATTGACTACATCATCTATTTTAATGGCTACTCGTTATTAAATTGAATCACATAAAATTGTCAATATTCAACCATTCAAGTTTGAAATAAATAGGCATTCTTGAAATGAATTACTATAATTTGCTTTTCAGTTAACTTAACCTGATGTTATAACAAATTATTCTGAAGGAGGTCTACGCAATGAGACAGGTACTTCACTGCATTGTTGATATGACAGCAATCAAATCCCAGCCCCGTCTTGGCTCACTTCTCTGCCTTAAAGCTATTTGTGTTATCAAAAGAAATTGAGACCTTTTACAATATGGCATATTTTGAATACTGTATTTTCTTGATTTCTATGCACGATCTTTTTCTGTTAGTTATCTAGCTCAGGTTTCTTTGCTGATTCTTCCTTAATTTTTCCAACTTTCCTATTTAGGAGTTTCCCAACATTCGCTATTTAATTATCTTTTTTTCTTCTATTATTATCTTCTCAGGGAATTCATCTTGTTCCATGAATTAAACACTGACTGTATACTTATACAATTTGTGGTTCAATTGCCAAATTGCTAAATGCCAAAATCATCAACCCAGATGCTAGCTAACATCTATAATTGGATGTTTAATAAGCATCTAAAATATAATTATCTCCAAACAAAATTCTTGATTTCATTTCCAACCCAAACTGCTCCCCTAACATCCAGTATTTTAATCTCAGCAAATAGCTCAATGGAGTTGGTCAGCCATCCACACAACCTCTACTCATCTATTCCAATGTTAAAACATATTAGACTTAACAATAAAAAGAATTCTAATTTATTTATCCTCATCTTCACTTCTACCCTAGCCTAATCTACCTCTATTTCTTGCCTACATTGTATAAGTAGTAAATTCATGTAGAATGTTGTTCCTGTGTCATAGTGGACACTAGTACTTAAAAAACAAAACACAACAAAAAATTTAGACCATGTTATTACCCTTCTTGAAACTTTTTAGTGTTCTCATAAATAAAACTCAAGTCCTTAATATGGTTTAGAAGGATCTTTTACATGTGTTCCTATCCTTCTCCAGCTCTGTTTTTATTTCTTTTTCCCTTGATCACTCTGTTGTAATGACATAGACCTTTTTTTCCCTCAGATATGGCACCAGCTGATGACTCTGCTTTTCAGGGCTGACGTAGTGTCCTCCACAATACCATTTATACCCTGGAGAAGTAGCCTGTCTATGAAATTGCTTCTACCATAACCAGGATTTACAGATCCAGGAATCAAGCAGGAAGGAAAGAATAGAAGTGGCTTCTTTCACTATTACTCCCAAAGATCCACTAACAAAATATTTCATTCCTATCCCTAAAATATTTTGATTTACTGTGTTAGAGGTATTAGTTCCCAAGGGACTAATTTCTTATAGGGTTGTGGAAAAGAGAAAATTCAGGAAATACATCTACATTTCTTCTCTGAGGCAACTGGAACTTTACAGAGAACAGTGATGTAACCGAAATCATTTTCCTTGCCTACTCCTCCTCTTATAACCTTTATTTTCTCAGATTTGGCACCTACTGGTGACTGCATTGCATGGCTTGTGTAATGTCCTCCAGGATACTATGTACACTCAAGAAACCAGTCTATGATTAGGGTTAGGGTCAGGGTTTTGGTTTTTAAACATCTGCTATGGTAAGTTTGGAACACTTGTGAAGCACCCAGGGAAGGACAACCATAGGACATTAATTCTTCAGATTTGAGTTGGAGAGAATGATCATGAACTCATCACTCTCTAGAAGGTAAGTGAAGTCATGAAAGTAGAAGATATTCATAAACAGTGTGCAGACTGAGACAGAAAAATGCTGATTATAGCCCTAAAGAACATCAATATTTTTAAGAGAAATACAGCACATGCTGAAAAATAAATTCAAAAGGAGTAGCCAGAGAGTTTGGCAGAGGACAAGAAAAAAGCAGTACTATAGATACTAAAAAAGGATATATATTCTAAGAAAATGAAGGTATCTATAAAGAAGTCATTTATGACCTAATTGAGATTAATTTTAGTGAAATGGTGGAAACGAACTTAAGTCAGTGGGTGGTCAGTACATTTCTTGATATGTAACAATATTAAAATGTATCCATTTACTTTTTAAAATTTAAAAGAAATCTCAAAACAAACCAGAATTAAATCTTATACTGACAATATCCAGAAAATTAGCAATTTCAGTGAAATAGCATAGAGTAGAATCATTCTAATGACTCTGATCCTAGATTTTTACTAAATGTCTACTGCTTTGAAAGTAGTAGACATTTAATAAAAATAAGTAATCAGCATTACCTATTTTAATCATTATGGCTCCCATGAAACATGTGTATTATTTTCAGCATTTTAGTCATTGAAGAAATCAACATTCAGGCCTGTTGTCTGTCTGACTGCAAAAAAAGGCTCATAATTTTTCTAATGTTAAAGTGGTAAATAGGAACCATCATTATCATATCAGTAAAAGGAAGGGTGTGCTTCAAATAGAAAACCTCTTCACCTGCCCACCAAAGGCAGGTTCTCTTTCATCTAGTATTTTACAGTTTACGTATTTACTTAGAAACAGTATTTTTCTATGAGGTATAGGAGAAGCTGTCTCATTCTGAAGAAGAGATTAATAGATTCTGTCATTTTCTCAGTGCTGGTTTTCAAAAATATTCATTTGAAGCTAAAACACAAACCGAATATTTGACTTCCTTAGCAAAAATTATATATATTGAATATTTTGTTTGTATTAAAGTCTTCTGATGCCTCAGATTTCTTCTAAAAACATTTTGGAATAGAAGATGACAGCTTTTGCTGAACTATTTTGCTAACCAATGCAGTTAATTCTGTAAAATGCCATGGAACAATACAAATGACTTTTTGCTTGCTTTTAAGTGCATGGGAATTTTGCTTTAACTCCTGCTTAAATTACATTTTAGTAGCATTATATTTCTGCTTTCATAAGGGCCATTTTCAGAATGAGCCGTTGGAAGGCTAATGCATGCAAGGCTGAAGAAATGATGTGCAGCTGTGCTCTGCCCTGGTCTGCTCTGACTCCACTCATTTACCAACAGATCTGAGGCTAATCTCCATGTTGACTTGAAGAGGAAACTTCTGATAGTGGCTCTAAGATTAAATTTACCAAGTAGGGTATATGGGAAAAGCAATGAATTTTGAAATGTAACATCTTCTTTGAAGCATGTTTCTACTTCTTATTCCACTAATTTTAGTCATTTCTAAGGATTTCAGAAGACCAAAGTGCTGACCAATATTCATGATACTGCTACCTACTGTCAACCCCTCTTCATGGGTTAGAGTTCCTAGATTTAGAGAGGCAAAGTAACTATGATACTAAGGAGAGTTTTGGTTTTCAGTAGCTATCACTGAATTTAATGTAATAAAATAAATTTTGTGTGAGTAAAATAGACCAGAAATGTATTCCCACCAGATTGAGCAGAACATTATTTCAAATAATAAAGTATTCTCCTTGTATTCCCTTTTAAGCACAGAAACATTCAGAGAAATTGCTATCTGTCTTGGGAATAATGTATTAGGGACTTTACCTGTGGTATTACATATAAACTCACATTTCAGGTGCTCATAAGTTTCTGATTTTTATTTCAGCAAGGATTCTCAAACCATAGTTTTTAGTATTTGTTCTCTTCCTTTGCTATGGTTTTCTTCAAACACTCTAATTATCCATATGTTGTCATTTTTTCTTGAAGTCTTTTAACTTCATTTCTTTATAATTTTAAGACTTTTATCTTTTTTATTGAAACGGACCCAATTGTCCCATAGAGCTGAGGTTTTTTGAATAAGCATAGCAATTGATCCTGCTAGTATTAAAACTTGGGAAAGTTACATTTGTCTTATCTGAGTTCCTTTCTCAAAAAAACCAAAAGTCAGGCCTCCCAGATAGTATTAAGGAGCTGAAACTTACCAGCTCACTGCATCTGGACAATGAGACCTCAGACCCCTCACCCATCATGATTGCCTAACTGATCACCTGCTTCTTGTTGATCAACTTCTCTTCCTCACTGCTCCCTAATTCCTGTTTTCCCATACATGGTTATATTTCTTCCTTGCTATATAAACCCTTAATCTTAGTAGGTTGAGGAGATAGATGTGCAACTGATGTCCCATCTCCTCAGCTGCAGCACCTGATTAAAGCCTTATTCCCTAGCAACACTGATTGTCTCTCAGTGACTGATTTTCTGTGCCGTGAGCAGCAGGACCTAGACTGAACCCCTGGTGTTTCAGTATCCGATTTTGGTTTTCTAACCAGAAACATGTTGCCAGGGGCTCTGCTGCTGCAGGCCAGGAGAGTTTTGGAAGCCCTCCTAGGCAGCTGCCCAACCCTTTCCTAGCGGGAGGTGGATCTCAGTTTCTCTCTCTCAGGCCCCAACTGCATTCCTGATTGCCTAGGAAGAACGATCTATGAAATCTGACACCTCCATCAGGATACATGAGTGTCCTTTGTGGAACCAGACAGTGGGATCTGCTCCTCTCAATTGGGAAATTTTTTAAGGAATTTCCATTTGAAATTTGAACAACCCCAACAGACTGAGAGAGGGAAGCACTCTGTTTCAGTTTAGACACCCTTGGGGCTTGTTAGTAATTGTTTTATGTGTGTCCAAACAAGTAATTGTCTTTTGTGGGTGTCAGACAGCAGGACTGGCTCCTCTGAATTTGAGAAATTCCTAAGAAATTTTCATTTGCAGGTTGATCAGCCCCACCTGATGGAGAGGGAAAGCACCTTGACTGTTTCAGTTTGGACACTCTTGGGGCTTGTCTGTGGCCACAGCAGTTGGATTGTGTTTTGTGGATTGTGTGTGTGTCAGTGTAGTCATGGGAGGTTGGGATTTGATGCCAGAGTGCAGTCCTCTTGAGTGCATTCTTCAGGGTTAGGCTGAATGTAACTGTGGGTTGATGGCTATGGTCATACGACCGTGAATGCACTGATCTTGTCTGATGTCAGAAAGTCTTTAAATTGTAATGCTGTTGAATGAGAAAGTTGGATGGAGTTCCATGTATCCAGACTTTTATGCTGCTGTTCTAAGCAGGGTTGGGCCTCCTGTGGTGCTATTTGGCCCTAGTGTTCTTTGAAGTCTAGGGAGGTTTGGCCTTTAAAAATCAAACTGCCATGGAAACTACTTTACCCAAAATTTTTGTTCATAGACTTCATTGAATTATCTATTGGGGCAAACAAACTGTAGCCATATGGACATGTTCATACACCAGTGACTTTTTATTGAGATCTCATGGCTAGAGTGAGAAGGTAAGGGCTATTTGATTTGTGTGTGTGTGTGTATATATGTTTAGGTGTGTTTATGTGTATGTACATTTATTTTGTTGTTTTTGTGTGTGTTTGTGTTTTTTTTCTTTTAATTTAACTTTCATTTTAAGCTCAGGTGTATATGTGCAGTTTTGTTACATAGAAAAACTTATGTCACGGGGGCTTGTTGCACAGATTATTTTATCACCCAGGTATTAAGCCAAGTACCAAATGGTTATTTTTCCTTATCCTCTCTGTCCTCCTACCATCCACTCTCCACCCTCTGATAGGCCCAGGTGTCTGTTGTTCCCCTCTATGTGTCCATGTGTTCTCATAATTTAGCTCCTACTTATAAGAGAACATGCAGTATTTTGTTTGCTCTTCATGCATTAGTTTGCTAAGGATAATGGCCTCCAGCCCCATCCATATCCCTGCAAAGAACATGATCTCATTCCTTTTTATGGCTGCATAGTATTCCATGGTATATCTGTACCACATTTTTTTTAATCCAGTCTCCCACTGATGGGCATACAGGTTGATTCCATGTCTTTGCTATTATGAATAGTGCTGCAATAAACATATGCATGCATGTGACATGTGGCTTTATGATAAAATGATTTATATTCTTTTGGGTATATACCCAGTAATGGGACTGCTGGGTGGAATTGCAGTTCTATCTTTAGGTCTTTAAGGAATTGCTACATTGTTTTTCACAATGGTTGAACTAATTATATGCCCACCAATGGCGTATAAGCATTTCGTTTTCTTAGCAACCTTGCCAGCATCTGTTATATTTTGACTTTTTATAATAGTCATTCTGACTAGCGTGAGATCATATCTCATTATGGTTTTAATTTGCATTTCTTTTATGATCAGCGATGTTGAGCTTTGTTCATATGCTTGTTGGCCACATATATGTCTTCTGTTTGTTTGTTTTATTTTTTTTTTTTTGAGATGGAGTCTGGCTCTGTGGCTCAGGCTGGAGTGCAGTGGCATGATCTCAGGTCACTGCAACCTCCGCCTCCCAGGTTCAAGCGATTGTCCTGCCTCAGCCTCCCAAGTAGCTGGGATTACAGGTGTGTGCCACCTTGCCCAGCTAATTTTTGTATTTTTAGTGGAGACGGGGTTCACCATGTTGACCAGGATGGTCTCAAACTCCTGACCCCAGGTGATCCACCCACTTTGGCCTCCCAAAGTGCTAGGATTACAGGCATGAACCACCGCGCCTGGCCATATGTTCTCTTTTGAGAAGTGTCTGTTCATATCCTTTGCTCACTTTTTCATGGAGTTGTTTTTCTGTTTTAAATTGGTTTAAGTTCCTTATAGATGCTGAATATTTGACCTTTATCCGATGCATAGTGTGCAAAAATTTTCTCCCATCCTGTAGGTTGTTTATTCTGTTGATAGTTTCTTTTGCTGTGCAGAAGCTCTTTAGTTTAATTAGGTCCCATTTGTCTATTTTTGCTTCTGTTGCAATTGCTGCATTTTTATCATGAAATCTTTGTCCATTCCCATGTCCTGAATGGTATTACCTACGTTGTCTTCTAGGGATTTTACAGTTTTGGGTTTTACATTTTCTTTAATCCGTCTCGAGTTGATTTGTATATGTGGTATAAGGAAAAGGACCAGTTTAAATCTTCTGCGTATGGCTAGACAGTTATCCCAGCATCATTTATTGAATAGGAAGTCCTTTCCCCATTGCTTGTTTTTGTCAACTTTGTTGAAGATCAGATAGTTGTAGGTATCCAGTCTTATTTCTGGGCTCTCTATTCTGTCCCATTGGTCTATGTGTCAGTTTTTGTACCAGTACCATGCTGTTTTGGTTACTGTAGCCCTGCCATATTAGTTTGAAGCTGAGTAGCTTGATGCCTCCAGATTTGTTCTTTTTGCTTAGAATTGCCTTGGCTGTTCAGGCGTTTTTTTTGTTTCCATATGAATTTTAAAATAGTGTTATCTATTTCTGTGAAGAATCTCATTAGTAATTTAACAGGAATAGCACTGAGTCTATAAATTGCTTTGGGCAGTATGGCCATTTTAACTATATTGATTCTTCCTACTCATGAGCAAGGAATGTTTTTCCATTTGTTTGTATCATCTCTGATTTGTTTGAGCAATGTTTTATAGTTCTCCTTGTAGAGATCTGTCACCTCCCTGGTTAGCTATATTCCTAGGTATTTTATTCTTTTTGTGGTGATTGTGAATGGAGTTGTGTTCCTGATATGGCTCTGGGCTTGACGGTTGTTCATTTATAGGAATGCTAGTGATTTTTGTACATTGATGTTGTATCTTGAAACTTTGCTGAAGTTTATCAGGTGAAGGAGCTTTTGGGCCAAGACTATGGGCTTTTCTAGATATAGGATCATGTCGTCCGTAAGCAGGGATAGTCTGACTTCTTCTCTTGCTTTTTGGATGTCCCTCATTTCTTTCTCTTACCTGATTGCTCCGGCAAAGGTTTCCAATACCGTGTTGAACTGGAGTGGTAAGAGAGAGCATCCTTGTCTTGCTCTAGTTTTCAGTGAGAGGGCTTTTAGCTTTTGCCCACTCAGTATGATGTTGGCTGTGGGTTTGTCACAGATGGCTCTTATTATTTTGAGGTATGCTCCTTCAATATCTAGGTTGTTGAGAGTTTTTAACATGAAGGGATGTTGAATTTTATCAAAAGCCTTGTCTGCATCTATTTAGATAATCAAGTGGTTTCTGTCTTTATTTCTGTTTATGTGATGAATCACATTTATTGATTTGCGTATGTTGAACCAAACTTGCATCCTAGGGATAAAGCCTACTTGATCGTGGCGCGTAAGCTTTTGGATGTGCCGCTGGATTCAGTATGCCAGCATTTTGCTGAGGATATTGGCCTGAAGATTTCTTTTTTTGTTGTTGTGTCTCTGCCAGGTTTTGGTATCAGGATAATGCTGGCCTCATAGAATGAGTTAGAGAGGAGTCCCTCTTCCTCAATTTTTTGGGATAGTTTCCACAGAAATGGTACCAGATCTTTGTACATCTGTTAGAATTCAGCTGTGAATCCATCTGGCTCTGGGACTTTTTTTGAATGGTAAGCTATTTATTACTAACTCAATTTCAGAGTTCATTATTGATCTTCTCAGGAATTCAGTTTCCTCCTGGCTCAGTCTTGGGTGAGTGTATGTGTCCAGGAATTTATCCTTTTCTTCCAGATTATCTAGTTTATGTGCATAAAGGTGTTCATAATATCCTCTGATAGTTATTTGTATTTCTGTAGGGTCAGTGATAATATCCACTTGGTAATTTCTAATTGTGTTTATTTGGGTATTCTCTCTTCTTTATTAGTCTAGCCAGTGGTCTATGTATTTTACTAATTTTTTCAAAGAAACAAATTCTGGATTCATTGATTTTTCGAATAGCATTTTGTGTCTCAGTCTCCTTCAGTTCAGCTCCAATTTTGATTATTTCTTTTGTTCTGCTAGCACTGGGTTTGTTTTCTTCTTGGTTATCTAGTTATTTTAGTTGGGATGTTAGATTGGTAATTTTCAGATCTTTCTAACTTTTTGATGTGAGCATTTATCGCTATAAATTTTCCTTCTAACCATGCCTTAGCTGTGTCTTGGAGATTTTGGTAGGTTGTATCTTTGTACTCATTAGTTTGAAAGAACTTCTTGATTTCTGCCTTAATTTCATTATTTACCCAAAAGTCATTCAGGAGCAGGTTATTAAATTTCTATATAATTATATGGTTTTCACTGAGTATCTTAGTCTTGATTTCTAATTTGATTATGCTGTGGTCTGAGATACTGGTTGTTATGATTTCAGTTCTTTTGCATTTGAGGAGTGTTTTGTGTGTCATTATGTGATCAGTTCTTGAGTATGTGCCATGTGGTGATGAGAAGAATGTATATTCTCTTGTTTTGGGGTGCAGAGTTATGCAGATGTCTATCAGGTCCATTTGGTGTAGTGTTGAGTTCAGGTCCTGAATATCTTTGTTAATTTTCTGTCTTAATGATTTGTCTAATACCGTCCATAGGTATTAAAGTCTCTTAAAGATTGTGTGGGAATCTATATGTCTTTGTAGGTCTCTAAGAACTTGCTTTATGAATTTGGGTGCTCCTGTATTGGGTGCATATATGTTGAGGATAGTTAGGTCCTCTTGTTAAAATTAAACTCTTTACTATTATGTAATCCCCTTCTTTGTCTTTTTGAAATCTTCGTTGGTTTAATGTCTATTTGGCTGAAATTAGGATTGCAACTCCTGCTGTTATCTGTTTTCCATTTGCTTGGTAGATATTTAAAAATTTTGAGCCTATGGTGTTATTGCATGTGAGATGGGTCTCATGAAGACAGCATGCCAATAGGTCTTGGTTTTTTATCCAGCATGCCACTCTGTGCCTTTCAATTGGGGAATTTAGCCCATTTACATTCAAGATGAGTATTGATATGTGTGGATTTGATCCTGTCATCATAATGTTAGCTGGCTATGCTGCAAACTTGTTTATGTGATTGCTTTATAACGTCACTGGTCTGTGTACTTCGGTGTGTTTTTATAGTGGCTGGCAATGGTCTTTCCTTTGCATATTTAGTGCTTCCTTTAGGAGCTCTTGTAAGGCAGGTCTGGTGGTAACAAATTCCCTCAGCATTTACTTGTCTGAAAAGGATCTTATTTCTCTTTTGCTTACGAAGCTTAATTTGGCCAGATATGAAATTGTTTGGAATTTCTGTTCTTTAAGAATGTTGCATATTGGCCCCCAGTCTCTTCTGGCTTGTAATATTTCTGCTGAGAGGTCTGCTGTCAGGCCGATAGGTTTCCTTTTGTAAGTGACCTAACCTTTCTCTCTAGCTGCCTTTAACATTTTTTCTTTCATTTTGACCTTGGAGAATCTGATGATTATTGTCTTTGGGATAATCTTCTTGTGAAGTATCTTACTGGGATTCTCTGCATTTCCCGAATTTGAATATTGGCCTAACCAGGTTGGGGAGGTTCTCATGGATATCCTGAAATATGTTTTCCAGGTTGCTTACACTCTCCCCATCTCTTTCAGGGACACCAATGAGTTGTAGATTTACATAATGCCATATTTCCCAAAAGTTCTGTTCATCCCTTTTTATCCTCTATTCTTGTCTGACTGTCTTGTTTCAAAAAGCCAGTATTCAAGAACTGAGATTATTTCTTCTGATTGGTCTGTTCTACTACTAATACTTGTGATTGCATTATAAAATCCTTGTGTGTTTTTCAGTTCTATCCAGTTGGTTACATTCTTTTCTATACTGGCTATTTTATCTTAGTTTCCTTGGTTTGGGTTTCAACATATTCCTGCCTCTCAATGTTCTGTGTTCCTATCCATATTCTGAATTCTATTTCTGTCATTTCAGCCATCTCAGCCCAGTTCAGAGCTCTTGATGTAGAGATGGTGCAGTCATTTGGAGGAAAGAAGGCACTCTAACTTTCTGAGTTGTCAGGGTTCTTACACTGGTTCTTTCTCATCTTTGTGGCCTTATATTCCTCCAATCTTTGAAGGTGCTGAACTTTGGAATTTTTTTGGTTTCTTTTATCCTATTTGATGACCTTGAGGGTTTGATGGTGGTATAAGGTGGATTCAGCTGACTGGCTTAATTTCTGGAAGATTTTAGAGCGGCTGACACTCAGCTCTCAACTTCTGAACTGTGTGCTGTATCTGCACATTTTTAATATATTGTGTCTACCAAATTAGCTTATTAAAAAAAGAGTGCTCATAATTAAGTCCAAAGTATTTTTCAATTTCACGTGGCTTAGTAAATTTTTAATAAACAAGCTGGCTTTAAAACTATTGATAAAATAAAAATAGAAATGTCTACAGAATTGTCATCATTAATTTTTGTCTGGATTTCATATTTGTCTCTGTTAGATATTTTGAGGTGTCAGGGTTTGGCACAGAAGGTTATAAAACTATAAACCTAGCCAAAACACAATGCTTTTTGTTTGTGCAAATCTGTTTTGATAAGTAAGACTAATTTAATGTTGTTGATTTAATGAAAACAGCTGAATCTTCTGAGTTATTAGTAAAAATACTCAAATAATTAAAGGTTCTTACTTAGTTGAACATCTTATATTCACAGAATATAAGATGGTTAACAAGAAAATGGTATGTAAATAATCTAGATAAACTGCTAAAATAAATAGAATGTAAATGGCTAAGTGCTGTAGGTGAACTTTTTCCATAATTTAAACTCTTAAAATCATTTTGGATGCTCATCGGCTGTCTGGGTCGTTTACAATTAAGAAAAGGTTATGATATAGAGAAACATGTTTCTAAAAATTGCAGAATAATTCTCATCTATAAAATGCTAATATCTGATAGGCAGCTCAGGATTTCTCCTTAGTTGTCACTAAAATTTAAGGTTACTATGAATAATTACTCTAGTTAGTATATAATTCTGTATACAAAATGTGCCAGAGATGTGTTCTTGTTGAGTAAAAGAATAATGTTGTCTAATTCAGAAGTTATCTAAAGATTAATTCAAATTATGGACTTAAAAAGGTTATTTATGAAATAAGATAGAAAGGAACCAGTAAATAGCAGAGAGAAATGTGAAGAAAGTTATGTGTATGAAGATGAATTTTTGGTAAGGAAGGTTATAAAGAAAAGACAATAATTTTGTATGAGAAGGAATCTTGTATGGCAAATTTTTGTCCTAAAGTAAAATGATTGGTAATTTAAAAAAAAATTAAGAAAAAAGAA
Source organism: Homo sapiens (assembly GCF_000001405.40). Lineage (NCBI taxonomy): Eukaryota > Metazoa > Chordata > Mammalia > Primates > Hominidae > Homo > Homo sapiens. The sequence goes on along the minus strand of NC_000002.12, from coordinate 208,958,528 downwards.
AAGAAAATTTAGGACAAAACAGAATGTCCAAGCATGTCATAGGTGGCCTGAGTATATCATACGTAGTTTTCTCCTCTTTGTGTGTGTATCTTCATGCATATGAAAATAAAAGTTGAAAAAGTTTAAATAATAAAATATTCTTTAAAACCTGATAGAAAACTGGAAAAATCTGGCTAATTATCATTGCTCATAGTTAAAGCTCTTAGTCTTGATGAAGGTAAAATAAGAATTATAGTAAAAAACCAATTGACAGTTTGGCAGTTATTTTTTAACATAGTGAAGCATAAAGCTAGATTTAGCATGGAGTCAAATTTCACATATGTTATATAATATATATAAATATAAATATATTTAATATATATATTAAATATAGAAATAGACCCTTCTGATCATAAGGCTTAAAACTTGTGGTGGCTCACTCCTGTAATCCCAGCACTTTGGGAGACCAAGGCGGGCAGATCATGAGGTCAGGAGTGCGAGACCAGCCTGGTCAATATGGTGAAACCCTGTCTCTACTAAAAATACAAAAATTAGCAAGTCGTGGTGGCACACACCTGTAGTCCCAGCTATTTGGGAGGCTGAGGCAGAAGAATCGCTTGAACCTGGGAGGTGGAGGTTGCAGTAAGCCGAGATCGCACCACTGTACTCCAGCCTAGGCAACAGAGCAAGACACCATCTCAAAAAAATAAAATAAAATAAAATATTTGTTTTATCTGAGTTTCTTCCTCAAAAAACAACCTTCAGGCCTCTCAAAAAAAGCATCAATGAACTGAAACTCATCAGGTCACCACATCCAGACAATGACATCCTGGAGCCCTCATTTATCATGATTGCTTCTTTGCCTGTAGTAGTCTGTTTTCACACTGCTACAAAGATACTACTTGAGACTGGGTAATTTATAAAGGAAAGAGGTTTAATTGATTCAAAGTTTCACATGGCTGGGGAGGCCTCAGGATACTTATAATCATGGCAGAAGGTGAAGGGGAAACAGGCGTCTTCTTCACAAGTTGGCAGGAGACAGAGAACACAGGGGAAACTGCCACTTTTAAAGTATCAGATCTCATGTGAACTCCCTCACTATCATGAGAACAGTCTGGGTGAAACCTCCCCCATGATCCAGTCACTTCCTATTGGGTCCCTCCTCAACATGTGGGGATTACAATTCGAGATGATGGTTGGGTGGGGGCACAGAGCCAAACCATATCATTGCTCCTCCCTAGTTCCTATTTTCTTACACATTGTTACATTTCTTCCCTGTTACGTAAACCCCTAGTTTTAGTCCATTAGGGAGATGGATTTGAGACTGAGCTCCCATCTCCTTGGCTGCAGCACCAGATTAAAGCCTTCTTCCTCAGCAGTACTTGTCATCTCAATCACTGGCTTCCTGTGTGGTGAGCAGCAAGACCTAAACCAAACCCCTGGTGTTTAGTGAAAAGATTTTGGTTCCCTGACTGGGCACATGTTGCTCATGGCTTTGCTGTCATGGGCCATGTCTCAGAAGCCCTCGTAAGTAGCTGATCACCCATTTTGGCTGGAAGTGATTTTCTGTCTCTCTCTGGCTCTGCCATAGCCGACCCCAAATATGTTCCTGATTGCCAGGGAAGAACTGTCTTTGAAATTTGACATCTGTGTCTGGATAGGCGAGTGTCTTTGTGGGACCTGACAGCAGGATCTTAAAGGGAATTTCCATTTGCAGGTTGAGCAAGCCCAACTGACTGAGAGAAAGAAGCACCCTGACTCTTTCAGTATGGACACTGCTGGGGGCTTGTTTGGAGTTGTATGTGTGTCCAGGCAAGTGAGTGTCTTTTGTGGGTATCAGACAGCAGGATCAGCAACTCTTAATTTGGGAAATTCCTAAGGTATTTTCGTTTGCAGGTTGATCAAGCCCAACCAATGGAAAGAGGAAGCACCCCAATTGTTTTAGTTTGGACACTCTTGGGGCTTGTTTGTTGCTGCAACAGTTAGATTATGTTTTGATAATGGTATGTGTTTGATACAGTCATGGGAAATTAGAATTCAGAAAATTTGATATTTTTGTGTAATACTATTTGGCCCCGATATTGTTTGGAATCTGGAATTTGCTATTAAATGGTAAAGTGGAATGCAGGTGCATGTATCCAGGCTTTTGGGCTGCTGTTCTAGACAGGGTTGGGCTTGGTTAGTATGTGATGTTCTCCTTTGGTGGTTGGCCCCAGTGTTCTTTGGAGCCTGGGAAAGTTTAGCCTTTAAAAATCAAGCTGCCATGGAAACTGCTTTACCCAAAATTTTGGTTCACAGACTTCACTGGATTACCTACTGGGGCTAACAAAGTTCAGCCATGTGTACATGTTTATAGACCAAGGTAAAAGCTATTGAATTCCTATCTCATGGCTAGAATTCCAAGATAAAAGCTATTGGATCTTTGTGTGTCTATACATGTCTGGATGTATTTATGTATGTACATTTATTAAGTTATATGTTGTGGCTACCAAATTGGCTTATAGATAAAAGAGCACTCATTAATTAAGTAAATAAGTCCAAGCGATTTTCAAGTTCGTAAGACTTAAGTAAATCTTTAACAAACAAGCTGGCTTTTAAATCATTGATAAAATAAAAATAAAAATGTCTTCAGAATTGTCAGTATACATTTTTATCTGGATTTTCTATTTGTCCTTGCTACATATTTTGAGATATCAGGGTTTGGCACAGAAAGTTATAAAGCTACAAACCCAGCCCAAAAAATGATCTTTGTCCATTTTTTTTGATAAGTAAGACAAATTGAATGTATTCATTTAATAAAACTGGAATCTTCTGCATTATTGGCAAAAATACCCATGCATTTAACTTTGAGGTTCTTACTTGGTGAGAAATTCCTGATGTTCACTAGCTGTTTAAAAAATGGTTCACAAGGAAATCACCAACTTTAAATCATGGTGTCTAATATCTCAGTTTTCAGAAGTAATCTCAATAAACTGTTGAAAGAATTGAGTACATGTAAGTGTGATAAATGTTTTAGGTAAACTTTTATGTAATTTAAAATCTTAAAATTATTTTTGATGTTCATTGGATATCTGTGTCATTTCCGATTAAGAAACAGTTATGATATGGGGAAATATGTTTCCAAAAATTGTGGAATCATTCTCATCTATAAAATGATAATATCTGATAGTTCAGGATTTCTTGCTTCCTAGGTTTCACTAAAATTTAAGGTTTTTAAGTATAAAAATCGTAGCGAATATATAATTGTGTATATAAAATGTGCCAAAGAAGATGTGTTCTTATTGAGAAATAGATTAATTTTGTGTAATTCAGAAGTTGTCTAAAAGTTAATTTAAATTATGGGCTTGAAAAGGTTATTTATGAAACAAGGTAGTAAGGACCTAGTAAGCAGAGGAGAGTGATGTGAAGAAAGCTATGGATATGAAGATATATTTTTGGTTACAAGGTTATAAAGAAAAGATAATAAATTTGTATGAGAATGGATCTTCTATAGTAAATTTTTGACCTAAAGTAAAATGATGTTTTTGTTTGTTTGTTTGTTAGTTTGTTTAAAAAAGAAAATTTAGGACAAACCAGAAAGTCTAAGTATGTCATAGATGGTCTTATATAGTTTTTCCTGTTTCTTTGTATGTCAATCTTCATGCAACGCAGAGAATATGAAAAACTTTAGATAATAAAATTTTATTTAAAACATGATAGAAAATTGTAGACATTTGGCTATTTAACATTGTTCATAGTTAAAGCTCTTAGTCTTGATGAAAGTAAATTAAGAAATATTGTAATGAAATATATTGGCAGTTTGGGAATTCTTTTTTAATATAGTTAAGCATGAAGCCAGATTTAGCATGGAACTAAATTTCACATACATGCCTGTATTGCTTCACACACTATTTGCTATTTTGCATAGATAGTACTAGCACTAAAGTACTTGCTGGTCACGCCCCTAAGTGAATTTCTTAATTGTACAAAATACATAGTGGTATTGTGGACTTAAAGATGTTAAATTGTGTATCAGAAATAAAATATTCATCATATGGGTTTTTTTAGGCTCTGGGTAACACTGTACCTCCAAGGTAAATTGAATAGAGAAAAATTGATGGTTAGCATTCTGTTTATTTGTTTCTAATTCTAATTTTTATTTATTTGCTGTTTGTTCTCCTTTGGGTTTCACTTATATAATACCATTGGTTTTTTTTAGTTTCTAATGGAAGGCTTTTATTTGGTTCTACGATTTACTCTATCTAAAGTTCCTAAGCTATCTTTGTCAAGCCTCCAAAAATTGATATATGACACCAGCCATGTAAAACTCAATTGGTTTTGCTTACCTCTAATGATCTTGAGAGCTAAAAGAAATTTCAGGTTACTGGGGAAGAAAGACTTATTTTATAAGTTCTGAAGAGAAATAGTACATATTATATATTTTATTATTTGGAAAAAGTAGGTGAGAATAAAAATGTTTAAATGGTGCTTATTTGCAATTCAACCTTTATTTCTGAAATATTCTTTTTTAATTTTTAATTTTTTCCTGAACACTATCCTAATTTCTGAGTTTTCTAATTCTGACATTTTTTTTCAAGTATTGTGTCATTTTGTTACATTTCTTATTGTGTATCCAAATAGTGGATTACAGTTTCATCTGTTTAGAATAACATGTTTGTATAGTATTTGAGATTATCTTTTCTGTGTGTAAAATTATTTTGAGTTATTGGGAGAAGGTAGGTAGAGTTGGAATTTATAAAAGCTAACTTTAGAAAGCATCACCTTCTTGACTTTTGTGTAGTGTCAAAAATACACACATGTGCACATACATACACACCCCAGCTTGTTTTCTAATGTCTATTGACTCAGTTCTCTGTTTTACCTGGACCTCCTCTTTCCTTTATCTCTCTTGGCTCAGTATTGACCAGTTTGAATTCCATTCCCATCAGTGTCTCCTCATTTTTGGACCACATCATGAAAGGGAGCCTTGAGGGCCAGGCGCGGTGGCTCACGCCTGTAACCCCAGCACTTGGAGGCCGAGGCGGGTGGATCAGGAGATGGAAACCATCCTGGCCAACACAGTGAAACACTGTCTGTACTAAAAATACAAAAACAAAATTAGCCTGGTGTGGTGGCAGGTGCCTGTGGTCCCAGCTACTCAGGAGGCTGAGGTGGGAGAATAGTGTGAACCCAGAAGGTGGAGCTTGCAGTGAGCCGAGATCACGCCACTACACTCCAGCCTGGGCGACAGAGCGAGACTCCATCAAAAAAAGAAAAAAAAAAGAAAAAAGAAAGGGAGCCTTGGATGATCAGTTTTGGGGTTCATAAGATTCATACTGTTCTACTCTTTTTAAGTATAATTTCCTGCAGCACCTACTCTTGGAGTGGGTAGAACCCTTCCAGTTCTAGTTGTTGTTTTCAAATTGGCTTAGTATGCTCTCCCAGTGGGTATACATTGGCCATTTATTGTGTGTTTTACTGCCCTCAGGTTTATCAGACTCTCCACTGCTTCCCTCTGCTTTTTCTTGCTCAGACATTAACACCATGTACAATCATTTGGGTTTTTTTAGATTTATAGGGATGTTGCCTGTGGGGTTTTAGTTTTGCTACCCAATTGCTCTGGGTTTTTTTTTTTTTGTAGGAAAATCCATGAAGATTTAAAAGCTATCTTGCCATCATCATTGTCTTTCTATAATTGTTTCAACATTAAATTTTAATACATATATACACATATTTTCTGACATCACAGTAAATACTCCTATATTTGCCCCACAAACAAGATATAATCTTTTAGTAATTCTGCATCTTAAATGTCTGAGAATCTTTCCCTCCTTTGAATTCTAGTGTGATGTTTTTAAATACAATTATTATATAAAAATCACATTTCCCTAGGATTCTGCTCTCTCTACTGTCTATCAATATCCAAAACTGATGATAAAAAAATCTGATGTCAATAGAATTCTAAATTACTCTGTGTCAAACCTCCTCCTCTGTGATTCTTCTGAAACATCCATGTAGTAATCTAAGAATATTATTTATATCCCATCTGTCCCCAGCCATATTTCCAGAGAGGAACATCTCATATGGGTTGGAATAGCTTCCTTGGTTAGAATACAAAACAAATAAACATGAATGAGAGCACAGATTCAAGCTGCAAATAAAGTAATTTTGTTGTACTAAATTTTAAAGACAGATTAAATTATATCCAAATGTTGCCAACTACTATGAAAGTTTATGCCATAAGTAATACAATCATTTACAGTACACTAGAAATGTCAACTCAAATGAAGACACTATTGACACAATACATAGTCTTGATTTTTAGCACTTTCTGTGAACCTGATAATTTAGGGATGTTGTAGCACCTATAACCAGGTAAGCTTTGAAATGTGGTCAAGTTTATACATTTTTTAAGTAAATTTAAAAATATCCAGTAGAAATGCTTTGGGAAAGTTTTGAAACTCTAGCTTGAGAAAAATATACCAACTATAGTACAAACAAGAATTCAATAAGAAATGTGGCTGGGTCATCACTAATATCACTGATGGAAAGGCAAAAAAACAAAAAGTGTATTTATTATGGAATAAATCCATGTTGTTTTGTTTTGTTTATAAATACCACAATAACGAATTACAAAGTCATTGAGGACTTTAACATTTATCTCCTAAATTCTATGCAGGCCACACCTAGACTCAAACAAAAAATCTCAAAGCCTCCCACTTTTCCTCTTATTCACTTCCCTGCCCACCAATTGGTCTTACTCTTCTATGCTCTAATGATATCCATATGCCTCTAAACTCCTCGGACCTCATACCTTGAACTCCCTCTCTGTATTTATTCTCTGTTTTGCTCCTGATCAGCTATTATAAATAGTCTATCAGGCAAGACATAATTTTTTTTTAGATGAAAGGGGAGAGATATTATGGAGGTGTCTTTATTAGTGTTCTATGCCATCACGCAAGTGTATGAGGAAGACTAAACTGTCTTTTACGGGGTTTCTTTCCTATGGCACTGTGGTAGACATATGTCTATGTTAAATCTATTGCACCCTCATGGCAACTGTAAAGTGTTGGTAGAGGCTCCATTTTGCAGATGAGGAAACTGAGGCCAGGTGGAATTAGTTACTTGTCAAAGTGACAAAACCACATCTAGAATTTGGGCTTGACTTCTCAGTTCATATTCTTAACCATTATGCTTTGCTTCCTTTCTATTAAAAACAAAACAAAATAAATACACACCATCACACTTTCGAAACATGCTTCTCATCATAAGTACCTTTAATTGCCACAAAGTGTGTTCACTTGAAGGTGGATTCTCATTCTTATAAAAGCTAAACTTTATTTTGAATCAAAGGTCTAAAAAGAAAGTAGTTCATTAACTGGACACTACGGATTTGGGTAAACAGGATGTCAATTCAAAATAATAGAACAGCTTTGCCCGTGTAATTTATAAGGTGATTCTAAAGGCCAGTCACAAAAGATGTCACAAAAATATGCTAAGCAAAGGGATATTATTGGAATAATGAAATCTTACCATTAAAAAAAAATCACTTCCTATGCACTTTTAGAGTTCAAAGTCCAACTGGGGAAAAAAACAACAACATTAAACAACGATAGCATCTGGCACTTTGTCTCTGATCAGCTGGAAAACCTAACTAGCAAAAAAATGAGATTCCTAGAATTTACTTTAAATTGTGTTACTTAAATTTCTCTTCTGTCTATACACATCTGAAATTGTCTTCACTTTAGCACCCCTGAGTATAGAGATATCACACTTTCTTTTTTTGTGGAAAATGACTGCAAATAAATAGGCATTTGGATGGTGAACAGTTTTCATAAGCAGCACCATGAATTACAGAGAGTCTCAAAGTTGGGTTACTTTAAGGAATATAGGGAAAAATTCAATTTCAGAATTTGGTTATATGAGATATAAGCCCTGTCATCTACTTCATCTCACAAGGGATGTTTATAAAACTTCACAAATCAGTTACGACTGCTAAAATTCCCCTCAAACTAAATCCTAATCAGCCATCAGACTGACTGCTACAGCTCTCCAGGACCTGAAATTATGGTTGTTAAAGTCCCAGAGTAACAGAGATTAAGATGCAAGTGACTATTAGGACAGCAGCATCTGCAGAGCATTTTCTGGCCACATGTTGTTCTGCATGTTGTGGGAGTCAGACAATATTTTAGGTCAGGCCTGACTCAGCGACTGAGGCTTCTATTGAAATTCAACAGCTTCAACATTATAATAAGGTTATGCACCACCTTCCACTTACTCGTATTTCTCTCCCTATATCCTCATGAAATGAGATGGATTTCAAAAGCAGGGGATTAAGATGAGATGTCCTGAAGACTGCTACCAAATATCCACAAATTCAGTAATAATAGTAGACTGTCTTATATAGTTTATACACTTACTCATTTAGTACTTTGAATATCCTCATAAGGTAGATGGGTCAAAGAGTGGAGTTGGGGACCCAATCAGACTAAATTCAGATAATATGACTTTAGGTACTAAGCTACACTGACTCCCTGCAAAAAAAAAAAAAAAGTAAAATGATGAAAAAAACATACACAGCCTTACTGTTTGCCCAGAGCAGCTTTAGCAGGTCTAGTGGGGACTAGGAGCCCCTGAATCTCCTTTTAAAGACAGAGGCGTGTGATAAAAAGGGCCCTAATTTCTGATCTATGTTTCTCCCTCTAGATTAGAGCAGCAAATAGGTGAGCCTGAGAGTAGCATATACCCCCAGTGTGTACAAAGTTAAACTTCAATCAAGCATTTCTCTCAATGGAACACAATACAAATAGTTAAAAGATAAAGTAAAAAGACACATTCTTTCTGACAGACTAGAAATCTTTTCTCCATGGCAAGTTGAATATTTCAATTTGCTTTAGTAAAATTTCTAGTTCCTTTTAAAAGGGATTCAGCTGAAATAAACATCAATACTTATTTGTAAGAGCAACAGACTGTACCAAAGTTATAGCAACCACTGAGATGGAATATGTATACTAAAGGGAAAATACTTGCCTTAATTTACCTCCTATATATATGAAATCCAAGGTCTTGTGTACCCTCTGATGAATGGCTGCATGCTATTAATAAAACTTTTTGTCTGATCAGTCTGCTTCTTTTATACCCTATTGTGGCAACCAACAGGAGTTCTGTTAAATTGGTTTTAGTTTCTGTGATTAAGAGGTATTAGTGAAATCCATTTATATTCATCCAGGAAATCAGAAGTAGAGTATATTCTTTTGAAATTTTCAGTGTATATGCCACAGCATAGTTTATTCAAACATACAGAGAATTATTTCAACAAGTATACCTGCTTGATTGGAGACGAAACCTGTGACTTAAGACACTGCTTCTGTTTGGAAGAAGCATTATGAGAGAGAATAAGCCTGCTGAAAAGTTGACAAATGGGTTAAACATAAACATTGTCCCCTGATGCAAACACTACTGGCATAAATAACCAAGAGATTTGGTGTGTATCTGTATGCTGTGTGAGTGTTATTGTTTGGGATGTTAGCACTGGATCATTTTATGTAGAAAAATCCCATGGACTTGATAAAGTATATGTCTCTACATTGCAATTAATTGGGTATGCTTTCAGTAAAAAAGATTTGCAGGCTCAATGAAGGTGAGCTTAAAATTCTAGAGTCTATGCCACTGTTATCTATAAAGCTCACCCACTACCTGCCTTATTTAAGAAAAATTATTTGTTTTAAAGTATCTAAGTGACACAGTGATGAGTGATCCAACTTTACTTTGAGTATATTTAATGATAGACTATTTTTTAAAAAATTGGCAATCCAACAACTCAGAGAGAACAATCTAGGAGAAGAAAAAAATAAACTAAAAGTAAACAAAATGAAGTAAATATAAAGAGCAAAAGTCAATAAAATAGAAAACAAACAATAGAGAATAAGACAAAGATACTCAGTAAATGTTATATTTCTTAAGCCGTTATAATGAAGAGTAAATAGTAGCTATTGGACCTTCAATGCTGAGGAAATCTCTTCTTGTTAAGAAGTGACTGTTAGGAAAAATCTTAAAAATTGTTTTCAAATAATATAACAAATTTTGTTACGTAAATAGTTAAGTAGAGCAAGTATTAATTACCAGCCAATAGATAGGAATCACCCTGTAAACATTAGAAAATTATCTGAAAGGTTCAGAAAACAATATTGGAATCTGTGTCTTGATTAAAATCTCCCTGGAAGAAATGGGGCAAATATGGAAGACCCAGGGAGACCTATTACTGTCCGTTATCTAGGCTATCAGCATAAGGAACTGTCCAGACAACAAGTGCTGGCTGCTATGAAGAACTCCAAGTTTAGAACAAAATAACATTAGAGATACCTCAGTATGTTGGCAGTTGATAGGGGTTAGATCATAGAAAGGGAAATACTTAAAGGTCCAAAAGCTGAGAAAAAAAATATGCTATAGCAAAATTTTAATGCCTATTTTAGCTTAATATCTGTTATTCAAATGAAGATATTTGTGAGCCCATGTCTGAGCAGGTGAAGGCAGAGTTGCTCTGGATGAAGAGAGGCTGGGGCATCAGGGTCCTGTCTTCTCTGTGCCACTGTCCCTGCCAAGAGGTTCCAGGCAGCACAGTCTGAGAACTTCTGTTCTACAGAAAGGAGGAAATGATGAATGCAAAAGTACAGGTGGAAGTGTTACCTAGGTATAGAAAAGAAATACTTTTACAACTGAGAGGAGCAAAAGAAGAGAGAGGTGAGAATTGAAAATGCACTGAATACATTGCTTTTAAGTATTTTACATATGGTGGAATTTTAGTGTAACCATAGACCATGGGGGAGATATTTTTGGACAGGACACTATTTTAAGGGACATCACCTAAGATAACACTATGAAAGAAACTGCCTAAATTAGGAATATGTAGGATCTGCCATGTCAAATTAGCTCTGAGGTGTCCAGAAGAAGTTAATCACGCTATGTACTGTTTTATAAGCATCTATTTGGAATCAGGAAGATCTGAGTATAAATTGCTTAATAACTGTGTAACTGTGATTAATTTGCTCAAAGCTATTACTTGGCTCTGACCTAGTTAGAATAATATAGGACAGGAACCCAGCTTGCTAGAAGGGCAGAAATTATCAGTGTTTTAATCCCTTCAGGCAACTGTAACAAAATACCATGAACTGGATAGCTTGTAAACAACAGAGATTTATTTCTCACCATTCTGGAGGCTGGGAACTACAAGATCAAGGCACCAGAAGGTTTTGTGTCTGGTGCAGGCCCACTTACTATAGCTTTGTGAGTCTGAATGTTTAGTTGCATCTGGGAAGACTCTTCGGTGTTCATTGTTTGATTTCTTTGTCGCTGATGTCTTTACCTATCTATCATCTATCCACACAAACCTATACTTAAAATAAAAGCAAGTAAGAAATTTTACCTTGTTTCTACAGTTCTAGTTTTTATAAGTGGTTACAAAGCCACAGTTGATATTTATACATTTTTTCTTCCACAACATATTTCCTCTTTCTCTTATCTTTACCAGGTCCTTAGCAGGGTTGGAGTTACTTGTCTTCTAGAGTGACCCACACCTTTATTTGTTAGATCTGAATGGCTCTGTGTCTCTGTCTTTAGATGTTTGTGATCTGCCATTCACTTTTCCCATTGGACATGGAAGTACTAAAAGAGCCCTACAGAATCTTCTGTGTTTCAAACATAGTCTTCTCAGAGTCTCATATTTTAAAATCCTGATTGCAAGCATTACATCAGTAAGTGCCTAGTAAAGAAAAAAATATGGCTTCCAGCTTAGTACAGAGACATTCTTAAAAGAAATCGGTTAAACAGGTACAGAAGAACAGAAAAGCCAAGAGGTGACACTGAAGTAAACAGATGTTCCTTATACAATGCAGCTATCAGTCTTCAGGTTAGCAGACCAAAGGGGAGATGCTGGAGCATTTGAAGCTAGAAGCTTGGATAAGAGACCCTACAGAAAAACCTCCCTACCTCAGAGGAAGGGCTGTTCCCCAGCTTGGTGCTAATTCCTCAGGAGTTTAGAGAAAGGACCCCTGGAGTTGAGCCAGGATATCTGAGAGAAGGAGTTAACTGTCAGGGCTTGTGTCTCCTCCTAAAAGAACATACCTCTCCTAAAAGAACATACCTCTATGTTGGCTAGCTGTCAGTATTTTTGAAGGAGTACAACACAGCTGGTTTTGAGATTTCAGGGGGAAAAAAATGGAAACTTTCTGATAAAAAGCGTTGTTGTGGTGCTAATGACAGAACAGGAAGCAAAACAAGCAGAAACAAGTCCCTCCTCCCTACTCCACTCCTCCAATTTCCCTTTAGCATCTTCTATTGCCAGAGAGTAGCTAGAAAAGGAACAATATGTTTGCAGAGCTCCATCCTCAGCATCATAAAGCACAGAATAAAAGATTGACTTTGGATGGAAGAACCAATAACAAAACAGAGAGGTTGGGTGTGATCATGTGGCTTGCTTTGGCCAATGAAATGTGCACGGAAGTTTACAGTATGTCAGGTTTTTTTTGACGTTTCCTTTAGCTCTTTTGTACCTCTGCCATCCGAAATGGATTCTCCCGGGTTGTTCCTAAGCCAAGAAAAATCACACATCACATAGAGCAGAACAGAATGTATTTCAATTCTTGGAATCAAAATACAGGCATCAGCAATTTTTATTTTTTTTGAGATGGAGTCTCACTCTGTCATCTGTCACCAGGCTGGAGTGCAGCGGCATGATCTCGGCTCACTGCAACCTCCACCTCCTGGGTTCAAGCGATTCTCCTGCCTCAGACTCCCGAGTAGCTGGGATTACAGGCACCTGCCACCACATCCAGCTAATATATATATATATATAGTATTTTTAGTAGAGACAGGGTTTCACCATGTTGGCCAGGCTGGTGGCAAACTCCTGACATCAGATGATTCACCCACCTCGGCCCCCAAAGTGCTGGGATTACAGGCCTGGGCCACTGCGCTCGGCCTAGAGGTTAGAATTTTAATCAACTTGATAATTTTGACCAACTTGATAGTGTTTTGTGATAAGGAAGGGTACAGTACCCTGAAAATACAGTCTATAATCTGTGACTATGTTTTATGTTAAACGTTTTTAGAATCCTTTCTCAATAAACCTAAAAAAACTTACCTCATTTGTATGTTACTTAAAGTTTGTTTTAGAGTTTGCAGAGCTTTTTTTCCATCCATTTCTAATTTATTCTCATACCAGTGTTTTTAGAGTGAGAGGGCAAATATTATTACTTCTTTTTTACAGGTGTAGAAACTAAGTCTCTTAGACAAGAGAAGGTATCAAGAGAGATTAAGAAGTTTGTCAATGTTATATTTAAGAATGAGAAATCAAGCTTCCTGGTAGATGAATCTCTTCCTTTATTAAAAATATCAGTTGATGTTTATTTTTAAATTTAATTTCAGTCTCTTTTGCTTCACATGCTTGCTGAACTTGTCTCTCAGTCCAACAAGAACAAAATTAATTTCCCTTGTCATGTAAGAAAGTTCCCCTTCAAACCCACACTGGTTCTTGAAGATGCAATGTGCAATGGAAACATATCCAATCAGCAGGCAATGCACTGCTCTTAACTCTTCTGGAAGCAGAGGGATGTATTAGTCAGCTTGGCCTGCCGTTAAAAAAATACTGTAGACTGGTTGGCTTAAACTGCAGACATTTAATTTTGCACAGTTCCGGAAGCTGGGAATTCCAAGATCAAGGTGCTAGTTGATTCTCTTTCTGCTAGGAGCTCATTTCTTGGCTTGTATTTGGCTGCCTTCTCTCTGTGTCCTCACATGGCAGAGAGAGGACGTGAGTTTCTGATGTCTCTCCTTATAAGGACACTAATCCTATTGGATCTGTTTGTTTCAATTGCTCTACAAGTTTCCAAATTCTAAACAAGCACAGGTCAGAGACGGGCAGGGACTCTACTTGATCAGGAGGAGAGGGAAGTTTCATGAGGTGGCATTTTATTGTATACAGAACTGAGATTTAGGCCTGATATGAAAGGAAAGCCTTTGAAGAACTTGATGCATTTTATATTTTGTAGTTGGAGCCATGGTTTCACTTCTCTGTAAGATAAGCTTAGGTTTCCAAGTGGTTTCTTTGGGACAGGACATTTATTAACCTGCTCCACAGGAGCTGCTTTCCCATTATCAGCCACTCATCCACTTACATGAAATTGCACAAATCTTCTTCATCAGTATTAAATGTATTTCTAATTTTCACCTGTTTCTCATACTTGACAGTGTATAATGTTACCAACAAATCACCCAGAGCATTTTCAACTACTTAAAACATAATTTATAAGTATGAATTTTATCCTTCCACAGGTACCAGTGGATACTGGAACTGTTAGATAAATGAATCTTTGCTAGTCCATATTCATTTACCTATGCAGTTTACAGCTTGTATAACAAAGAATAATTTGTTAAGTTTATGGAAGAGGTATACTTCTGCTCTGCATCCACAAGAAATCATGGGTTGATTTAAACAGTTAGCTCAGGGCACTACGCAAAGCATTATAGAGATTTATGTCACAACAACAAAGGACCTTATGTGCCAGAGATCCTAACAATGGGATGGGGAAGAGAGACACATATTTGTTATGCATGAATAGAACTTTGTGCCATGTTTCCCACATATGTGAAGTGGAGATGATGATCATGAAGATGATGATAATACAAACAGTATGCTTGACTATCACTGAGTATCTTGTATGTGCCAGACATTGCTCTCAGTGTTTTACTTGTATTAAATTCATTTATATCTTACAACAACCTTATGAGGTAGTTACTATTACAATTAGCTCACTTTATAGATAAGACACAGAGAGATTAAGTAACTTAATACTCAAAATCACATACCTTGTAGGTACCATCATGGTTTTTGACCATACAAGTAACAGCTGGCTTGACCTCAGTTGGAAGGCTCCTTTGGATCAAGTTATTATCATTGCTTTACCATTCATATGGAATCATTCTACTGTTCCTCATGATGCATGGCCCTGAGATGCCATGGGAGTGTCTGGCCCATACAGAGCTGAAGAGAAATACCAGTAAGTGGAGAGTCTTAAAAGCAGTGCCAGGGGATTTTATTTAATTTGACAAGCAGTTGAGAGTCACCACGCAAAAGTGACACTATCAACATCATATTTAAAGGAGAAAGTGACTGCAATCATATAAAAAATAAAGGGAGTCCAGTGAAGAGGAGGCATTTGTTCAGGTGTTAAGGGATTAGAGCTGAGAAATGAAAAAAGAGGTAAATGCAACAGTACAATGCATAGTAATATCCGTATCGAAATATGAAAGATAAGGAAGCAAGAGGGAGAAAAGCCAAAGCTGCCTACAAGGTTATAAACTCTGTATGCAGGAAAATGTATGCTAGAGAAGGAAGACATTTTCATTTTAAAAACTTCCGAAATCTGAATTTCTTCACTATCACTTTTCTGATATATACGTGCGTTTTGTCCCTGACATGCCATTCACCAGTAATCTCTAAACAAGTAAAATATGATGAAACAGACTGCTCATAATGATGATTCTTAATTAGTGAGGAACCATCTGAATCATGACAAAATCAAATTATATCCTGCATAAAAGATATTAAGTATATCTTTTATATTTTATTTCTTCAAAATTGGTAATACAGATCTAGGCATTTTGGTTATTTTTAAAAAATAACTAAGAATATTTAATGAGTCAGAATATATCATTTTCCAGACATGCTAAATAATAAAAAATAGTTACTAAACAGTGTTAATATTTCCCAATTTATGGATCCAGATATTTGTGATCAAGCATACATACTTTTCTAACATAAGGAATACTATTCATTTAGTGGGTTATTTATATAAAATTGCATATTTTCCCTTTGAGAATGAATTAAACTTTCCTTAGTTCTCATTTCATATTTCAGGAAGGGTTGTTCTGGGAAGGAAGCCTGTGTTAGAGTAAGAGAAGTTTAGACTTATTCCCAACAGATGACACCGTTAATAGACGAACCACTGCAACTGGCGGTTCCCGTAGTAGAAATACTTCTGCTCTGACCTATTTCAAGCTGATAATATTTTAATAACCAGCTCATAAAATTCCCATAACTTTAATAATCCATCTTGTATGGCAGTACCGGTCAACTACAGCACATCAGTGTTACTTCTGATAACCTGCAGAACAACTGGAGTGGGCAGAGGCACAGAAGCAATAGAGGAATATTTGCCACAAGAAGAAACTATATTAGAACATAACTTGTAATACTACAAGTATATTCATTACTTCAGGAGTCTTTCGGCATTCCTTTACTCCCAGTAATAGAAATTTAGAGCAGAATGGAAAACAAAAAATAAAAAAAAAAAAACCCTCTCTGGGCATAAGGAGGTTCTTTGATGTGCAACATTGGAAGCTGACACAAAGTAGTTCTAAGGATTACAGTTTACAAAGAAGACTGAACCCTTGCTCTCTCCACACTCTTGATCCACCCTTGGGGCCAGTGAAGCTGAAAGCATATCAGAGGTGTCATGTGTATTGGAAATGTGGTTTTGGAGCCTCCTTTTAGGGAGGAAGTTAAAATGCACACAAACAAAAAGCCCAAGATCTAGAACATATTGTCTTCTCAAATACCCTTTGCCTATTAATTGTGTTCAGCCTCTCTTAGCTACTAGATCTGAGATAAAACAAGACTCTGGTTCCTTTTTTATCATTTCATTTAGTTTGATTTCATTTGGGCCTGTAAAGATGTTTGCACCTTTGGAATTAGTAAGGGAGCATTGAATTCAAACTTGTTTCTTCAGCAGAGCCAAATTAGAAATTCATTTATCTCTTTGGGATAAAATGATTCATATTCTCTAATAATTTTTGTTTACTTAATAATTATGTTTTGTTTTGTTTCATTTCAGTTCTTATTGAACACAGAGCACTTCCATCCCCTTTTCCACAGACCATGTAAATAGAAGCAAAGAAAGACATGTTCATCCTGGCCTTGAGTTACCCCTGTGCAGTGGCAAATAATCTGGAACCTTATTTGTAGCAAGCTGTGAGGACAAATGCTTCTAAATGTGACCAGGACATGGCCATGGTCCTAGGAGGCTCTGACTGAAGCAGAACTTTCTTAGGTTTCCTAATAACCATGCTCCTGTAGGGAAATCAGGCTTTTCTTTTTATTTGTTTTGTTTGATATAAACACTTTATTCTTCAAAGAGGTAGGGTGGAATGAGTGACCTCTGCTGCAAATAAGTCTAATGAAATTGGAAGAAAAGATATTTAGGGGATATATACTTTCATTTACTAGGCAGTGAGCATGTTCATTAATATTTAAGCTCAAAATACAAAAGTTGAGCACCTTTTGATTCCTATATTTAAATATTCAGAAAGCATCACCATTGTAATTTTATAACACTTCAAAACACTTCTGGAATCCTCTTTGTCTTGTTTTCTTTTACTTAATTTTCCAAATCAACAACTTGCCAATATCCTACTCATTGGCAGCTATAGCTAATTAGCTCAAAATAGCCCCTAATATAAAGTTTGGTGCTGTGATATTTGAGGTCGGAGGGAGTCAGCAAAGGGCTACAAAATCTGGCATGAGAAATGAAACAAATGTAGCAGCAACATTTTTTAAATTGTGTTGCAAGGGTCTCTGTCTTCTAAGGCAAAACCTCATATTATAATATTTACATAAATATTGACAATCATGGGAGGAAAAGACATGGATGGTGTAGCACACCCTTAGCAGGAAAATATATTGATTCCTTTTACCTGGGTATTGATATATAGTTCCAACCACAGTGCAATTTACAAAACTGAATGAAAATATGAAGGGCATAGAAGCTCTCTTTGAATAAAGGCAAACTAAATATTCCCATGGAGGTGGAAGAGATAGAGTTTACACTTTCAAAATTTCCCGTATACAGTTCACCCTTCTGATTGTAGTATACTTACTATTAAATAGCTGTGCTTTGAGTTGGAATTAGTTCTGTACATGATTGTTACTACTTATTAGGATGGTATAGTGAACATATTTTGTCTTGCCTACATAGCCCCAGCATCAATCTTTCCTTCTCCTTTCCTAATAATGCCCAGATTTTCCTGTGTGTTATCCCTACTGTTTGAGTGCTTGCATTCAGAAATTCAAAGTGAATCTTAATACACCTACACCAGTTAGCATAATCCTGTACCCTTTGTCTCAGTAATTAGCTCAAAGATAGACATGTTATCTATGCTAGTCCAATACTAGTGAAAACTAGGTCTTTTTTTCCATGGTTTGGGAAAGCATCCACTATTTCTGTTTGTAAACATGAATGAGGAAACAGGGAGCCCTGGAAACTATTGGCACTGGCATCGATGATATGTTGAGGAAAGGAGGTATCTTTATGAAGTTGACAATGGACAGGAAAAGTTAAAAGACAAAAAGAGAAACAAAAAACAGATTCTTAGTGAACCTGCTGTCTCTAGATCAAACCACCATGAAACCCATCTTAAGACTGCACATTCCAACTACATCAGGTAATAAATTACCTCACTGTGTAAAAGACACTGTGAGTCAGATTTACAGCTATCTGCACTGCAGTGAGTCCTCAGTAATCATAAGCTTTAATATTCTGAGATAAGAGACTAGGACTTCTTTTCTTATCCCCAGCCTTTATTGGGCCATGTAGAAGAACTTTCACAAGTAGTTCTTCAATATTTGAGCTTCTTGAATTGCATCATGCTGGTTTTTTTCTTTACCATTTTCAGAATACCTTTACTGCTTCAAAGTTTTATTCTCCAATCTAATCCACTCGTCTTTTTAAATTTTAAATCCCAGTTACTATCTAGCTTTTATCTGTGTTTCATTTTTCCATTATCTTTTCTACACTGTTTTCTTAATTGTTTCTAAAGCATGTTTTTATTTCTTTGCTCCCTCTCTTCGTTCTGTACTATTAAAAACATTAAAAAGCATATTCCCTTTCCAGTTAGAACATGAAGCTTTTTCCTAATAGCCAATTTGTTCCTGCAGTGTGGTACTTTGCATCTGAGGCAGAGTTCATTGAGAACATCAAATACAAATCAATCTATCAACTCCATAGCTCTTGTGATTTCCTTGCTTTCTTATTCATTGCTTCTTTAGATTCTGGCATTAGATTATAAACCAGCCTATAGAGGAAGTCTAGCTTGGTCTTCCACAGCTGAAACTCAATAAATGTCAAATAAGCTGCACTGTCTTTAGTTAAGACAGCCCTGGTAAAAAGCTGACTTTATGTCCAAGGACTCTTCCATCTAAAGAATGAGCTCACTTTGGAGCTCAATTAATTGCAAAGATAGAAGACATCTAAACTTTGGCTAAAGTCATTCCCCTCAGCTTTTTTAGGGACAAAGTGTCTTTCAAAGAGACCTATTAGAAGCAAATTATTACTATTATGTGTTAGTAAATTAGAACCATTTTGCATAGCAATTTGAAAACATCTGTTGAGATTAAAAATTAAAAATATATTTTTATTAAAAAATTTGGTCCTGAAATCCATCAAGCAAAAATAATTGCAAAATAATTGCAAAGCTATATTTCTTATGCATCAGTTTTATAGGAATGATGAAAGATTATTAAACATTTTTTCTTATTGCTTTTTCTCTCCTTAAGCATGTACTTTTGTTCCTTAGAGCTGAGCTGAAGACAGAGTCAAGTTAACTGTTACTACTTTACTCAGATACCCAGCATTTTGTTCCTGGGCCCATCTAGCCAAACCTTAGGATGTTCCTTTCTAGAAGACAAATAGATTTTGTTTAGGTCATCTTACGAGTCTCTCAGGCATACAGACACTCTGCTGTTAGCACTTAAGATTATTTTTGATTAGATATGTTACAGTGTGATAGACTGAATTGCATGTCCCACCGCCCCGCCACCCCCTCACTTATATGTTGAAGTCCTAACCCCCAGGACTTCAGAATGTCACTTTATTTAGAAATAAGGCCTTTAACTAAAATGAAGCCACTGGTAGAAGGGTCCTATTCCAATCTGACTAGTGTCCTTATAAGAAGAAAATATTAGGGCATACAGAGATAGATACATCAGGGATGCACCTACACAGAGAAAAAGGCCATGTGAAGACACAGCAAGAAGACAGCTATCTTTCAGCCAAAGAATGAAGCTTCAAAAGAAACCAAGCCTGCTGACATCTTGATCTCAGACTCCCAGATTTCAGAGCTGTGAGAAAATTAATTTCTGTTGTTTCAGCCACTCAGTCTCTGGTATTTTGTTATGGCTACCCTAGAAAACGAATACACAGAGAAACTCCAAATAACAGTTGATTGAACAAGGTTGAAATTTGATTTCTCTTTTACCTAAAAAAAAAAGTCCATAAGAGGACAGCCTAGACTGCTATGAAAGCTAAAAAAGTTGTCAGAGATCCAGTCTTCTTCTACACTATTGTGCCATCCTCCTGAGGGCATGGTTGTTTTCCTTATTACTGAAATGGATACCAGAGCACCAGATAGAAAATACAAGTCCCTGGAAGCAGGATAGAGAGAGGAAATACGAGCATTCCTTCATTTTAAGGAGACTTTCTGGACTTAATAGAACATTTCATCGAGTATCTCATTGACCAGAATATAATGCCAGGAGATTTAAGTTCAACAAGGATGATAAGACTTGTAGCATTTTTAAAGTAGCAATGTACTCAACTAAATATTGGGGTTATTTTTCAAAAGAATGAAAGACTGTGCTAGCTTGCTACTTGGAATTCTCTGCCATCTATTATCAAATGTGTATGAATCCCCAAATGATCTGTTTCTCAAAAGATTTTTCATCCCAGTGCAAATATATTTCTTGTTGGGTCGTTTCCCCCAGTGCCCCATATATACCCATATTTGCATAAACCACAGTGATGGGCAAAGTCTGTGGTTCAACTTGAGGTTTCAGCTACATGTGAGTACAAGGATTTTCTACTTTGTTGCACTATTTATAACAGCAAAATCCAACTGCCTGTCCCATAGCTAGCAAGTGACAAAGTAGAAGATATTGTGTTATTTTGAAGAAACACAATGTGAAAATCATGTTGAAGAATAGGAAACATGGAAAATATTCATGAGAACTTGCTAAGAGGAAAAACGTAAACTATAAAATCGTGTATACAGTAAAAACCCATTTTTATAAATAAATATGGAATAAATATATATTTTACATATATATAATTTTGTGTTTCCAATTCACTCATACAAGAATAGAAGTCCATATAAAGGAAGTATTAATAGCAGTTGGCTCTAAGCAGAGTCTCTGATGGTGACCACTAACATGGCTTCTCAACAGCAGTGTACTGGAGCAAGTCAGTTACTTTTCATTGTGAGTTCTTGTCCTCAGCATTGTGAGTGTTTTAGATTACTTCTCTACTCCCCATTGGTTGTCGTTGGCATGTCCCTGTCCTGTGCCAGCCCCAGATAGCCTTATACTGGTCTTTTTGCCACCTGGAATTGAGAATCAACAATGAGGAGAAAGATATCTTTCTCTTAATAAACTGAACCAAGTTAGCTCAGTGTTATTAATAAACATCAAATGACAATCTTCTATTTGGGGCCACTGGTTTGAATTTTTTATTAGCCTTTTTAAAATGTGTGTTAAATATATTTCTATATGCAAACACACAT
This sequence comes from Homo sapiens, assembly GCF_000001405.40. Taxonomy (NCBI): domain Eukaryota; kingdom Metazoa; phylum Chordata; class Mammalia; order Primates; family Hominidae; genus Homo; species Homo sapiens. Next base: position 208,936,964 of record NC_000002.12, on the reverse strand, counting down.
ATACATATGTATGTATGTGTGTATATACCTTCCAACCAAAGGACTCCTTACTGATACAGTTGCCTTCCTCAAAGAATTTTATTCCCAAACTTTGTAACTACAGGTGTCTGCCATTTCCACTGAGCACACTATATCCCAGAGTATTATGCAACATAGTATGTCCTGAAAAAAAATAACCTAACTATATTTGATTATAATCATTTCTTTTTATTTACACATTAGTATGCCTATACAATGTAGTTGTGTCTAAGGGTCTTTTGAAATTATGATTACATTTGAAGTGTAAAACTATTGTCTATTATGTCAGCTTGTGCTATGCTGTATTGAACTGGAATTTGATTATGGGAAACTTATTTTTATCCCTATCCTTTGCTCTGAAAAATTGTACCAAATTAAAAAACAAATTAATAAATGTACAAATCCCTCACGGTGCTTATCTAAGATTTATTGCAGTATTTGAACTGAATCTATGATTCACTTGGTAAAACACTTTGTTGTTGTGCCTAATTACAGTAGGGCCAAGTTTTACAAGTAATCAACTAATCCAAACCTCTCTAGTAATTTGAGTAGGTGGAAAGTAGGTGCAATTTAGTCCTATTTCACAAAATATCTACCCCAAGTTTTAACACTCCAAAATGCTGTGAAAGAAATTGTTGAAAATGCAATGTGTTACAGAAGTTCAATATTTTGTAAGGGAAATAGAAAAGGAATCTAAGTTCATGAAGAAAAGCAGACAATGCAAAATTTCCAATTGCTGAAGAAAATCATGCTCATGTATTTTTTATACAGTCAATTTTCTTTTCAAATTGCCAAAGTATTTGTCTCATCTCCAATTTTTAGGAAAATGTCTATATTAATAAGAAGCCAGAAATTATTCCCTTTTAAATTATTTATACTTACAATGAAAAAATAGACATTAATGTAAAATGTGCTTGGATATTTGATTTTTCAAAATTACTTCAGAGTTTATCAACTATCTAATGTAAGAAGCCACTTCAAATTATAGTGACATAAAACAATAATTTGATTATATTAATGGGTTCTATGGGTCAGGAATAAGAATAGCACAAGGCAAGAAAAAATTGTCTTTGAGGCCTTAGCTGAGAAGACTCAAAGGCTGAACTAACTTGATGGGGGATGAGTGGATAAATATGGTAGAGTCTTCTCTCATATGTCAGGCTATAAATGGCAGCTACATCTTGGACCTCAGGTGGCTTTCATATAGAATATCTACATATAACCTTTTTTGTGGTCTCTCTGAGTAACTCATTTGGACTTCTTCGCAGCATACAACTGAAAGCAAGACTTCTCAAAAAGCAAACCCTGAGTGCGTGACATTTTTATGATTTATCCTCAGAAATCACACAGTGTCACTTTTCCCCTATGCTATTGGCTAAGGAAGTCACAAAAATCCTGCAAGGGGTATAGACCCAGCCCTGCATAAGAGGAGTGACAAATAGTCCTATTGTAAGAATAACATATTGGGTGGAATAGAGATTGGCATGGCCATCTTTTGAAACTACACTCTGCTGTAATCCTCCCCATAGGCACACAACACAACTTACAAATCTCCAATATGAAAATACACTTATTTTCTCCCCCAATGTCCCCAGTACTCAGCTCATCATGGGATTGACTTGAAGCTCAATATCCCATTACCTAAATTTCTTCTACGTTGGAAGATATTTCTTAAGTGTGATTTCTCAGGTACAGCACCTTGAGCACTGTTCCCTGATCTGAACACCTGTGAACACCTGTGAACACAAAGAATCTACCCGCTGACACACCCACCCACCCAAAATGCAATGAAATGATATGACTTGCTTGGAAAAACCACTATAGACACTATTGTCAAAAAAGGAAAAAATGGGAGGCAGATAGCAGCTACTGATCCACAGATATTTTGAAATCCAGCCAGGAAGATGTTTCCAGTTTCTTTACTGGAGATCTCTTATTGCAGATCCCCCAATTGCAGATCTCCCAATTCTCGACTCAGTCCTCTGGGATCTTGTCTCTAACTTTTAAATCATTCTTTCTTTGTCAAAATTATAACCAAGTAATCTTCTCAGCTAGCTCTTTGGCTTAAGTTTGGGGATGCAAAGGTTTCTTAATTTGGTAGTATCTTTATCACTATCAATCCAAGATAATATGATTCTTTTTTCAATATCATGATTTCTTATGTGCCAAGTTATAATCAACTCCATTACAAACCAAAAACAATAATTAATTTCTTCTAGTTAAATTCATCTTCAGCTTAAGTTCCCTGTGGGACATGAACTTAAGATTCCTGTAAGTCCTATTATTTAACAAAGAGGATCTGTAAGCCATACTTCATGATCCATTAAAATTATTAAAAGGTCTTTAGGTTATCTGAAAATTTTTAGGGGTACCACTTTAGACTTTTTGGAGATCTCAATATAAGATCCTAGAGATCCCCTCTGAATTTGGTATTTGGCCTGGGGCCTTTTTTTTTTAATTTGAAAATGTGTGTTCATCTGGTTAGGCCAAGAACAAAAAGTGGTTCTATTTTTATACCAAATTACTCCTGGCTCATTGATTTATGTATTTATGTACATTAGTATATTAGTACAACTCCTATGGAGAACAGTTTGAAGGTACTTCAAAAATAACTTTTGGCTCATTGATTTATGTATTCCTTTATTTATAATTTCAACTTTTATTCTAGATTCAGGGAGTTCATGTGCAGGTTTGATATATAGGTTTATCGTATGATGCTGAGATTTGGTTACAAATGATCCTGTCACGCAGATAATGAGCATAGAGCCAATAGGTAGTTTGCAGAATTTACCCCTCAATATCATTGATCATCAAAGAAATCCAGATCAAAACTACAATGAGATATCTTCTCACCCCAGTTATAATACCTTATATTCAAAAGACAGGCAATAACAAATACTGGAGAGGATGTGGATAAAAGGGAACACTTGTACACTGTTGATGGGAATGTAAATTAGTACAGCCACTATGGAGAACAGTTTGAAGGTTCTTCAAAAAACTAAAAATAGATCTGCTATACTTTCCTGCAATCCCACTGCTAGGTATATGCCCAAAAGAAAGGAAATGAATATATAGAAGAGATATCTACTCTTCCATGTTTGTTGCCGCACTGTTCACAATAGCTAAGATCTGGAAGCAACCTAAGTGTGCATCAACAGGTGAATAAATAAATAAAATGTGGTACATATACACAGTACAGTACTATTCAGCCATAAAAAGAATGAGATCCTGTTATTTGCAACAACATGGGTTGAACTGGAGATCATGATGTTAAGTGTAATAAGCCAGACACAAAAAGACAAACATCATATGTTCCCACTTATTTGTGAGATCTAAAAATCAAAACAATTGAACTCATGGACATAGAGAGTAGAAGGATGGTTGCCAGAGGCTGGGAAGGGTAGTTGGGCAGGGAGGTAAACTGGAGTTGGGGGTGGTTAATGGGTAGAAAAAAAATAGTTCGAATGAATAAATAATACCTACTATTTGATACCACAACAGGTATATATATTGACTATAGTCAATAATAACAATTGGGTATTTTAAAATAGCTAAAAGGCTATGACTAGATTGTTTGTAATGCAAAGGACAAATGCTTGAAAGCATAGATATCTCATCTTCCATGATGTGATTATTATGCATTGCATGAGGGGGTAAATATCTCATGTACTCTATTAATATATATAACTACTATGTCCACACAAAAATTAAGAATAAAAAATTACAATAAAAAATAATAAAAACACTTGTGCCTACAAAAATTATTCAAGACATAAGAGATATAAAAATCTAAGCAAAAGCTAAGGAAAGCAAAATCTAAGCAAAACAAGAATTGTTATAGAAACCAATTCAAATTCTTATGTTTCTTCTTTGAGCTACTGATTCTGCCCTCTTAGGAGCAGCATCCTGATATCAGAGATATGGATAAGAAATTCCAGATATCTTGTGAATTAGAAAAACCACATTGTGTATTGGATGAATATACTTTTTATGATTCTTTTTATATTTTAATGTTAGGTTGATATGTACAAAGCAAGCCTCTTTATATATTATATCTGTATTTTAGAGAAAGAAATAGAAGTAAAGACTACAGTTTAATGTTTACTTAGCTATTTGGAGAAAGCACAAGCACAGAAATAAAAAAGCAAGAAATTTGTCATTAAGAAATGTGGAAAAAATAAACACTATAATTATTCCAAGAACACCATGACAGAGAACATTTTAAAGTAAGTTTTGACACATATTAGTTGGGAGTTCTGGCAGTAATTAGCAGTAAGACCTAAAATAAGTAACCTCTCTAGTTTTTGTCTCAACAAAATGAGGGAGTTGAACCAAATAATTTGAAAAACGTTTTCAAATCTTAACACTCTACTACTTTACTTTACATTAAGGTGAAAGAAAAGAAAAATACAGAGAAAAAAATTCCAAGTGGCTTTATGAGTCTCTTTTTTAAAAAATAGAAAATATGGTTTTAAAAATAACATTTATTTATTAGACTTGCTGGTAATCTTTAATTATTTCTAACTTTAACAGACAAAAACTTGCTGGCCACTCTGTGATAGACAATGTTAACAAGGAACTAATGTTTCTCAGAGAAAATTACACATAACTTTTATTATCTTAACAAATGGCATGACAATTGCATTGCTTAGTCTTAAATATCAAGACAATCAATCAGCAGTCATGATAAAAATGCTGCTTTTAAAAAATATTTTCCTCCAAAGTTCTGGCATAGTAAATAATTAACTTCTAAAACGATTCACAAATAGCATCTTGATCTTATTTTTAATTTTTATCATGGAAGAATGTACCCAATCTATTTGTGCTGGATTGAAATAATCATAGTTAGTAATTCTTAACATAATAAGTCAAAAAAGAAGTCAAAATGTTCTACTTTGTAGTATTACAGTTTATTTTAAAAGTGGCCTCGCTATGAGGAAGAAAGAAGATGGGAATGGATAGTATTCTATGATAGCTTTTTCTTTCAAGAGGGTCTGAGCCCCTGGTCACTATGCCCTTCTCAGACCCTAATGCTGCATTTATCCATCTACTATCAGAATTGAACAGATGAGTACCAAGAAGTGACCAAGAGGATCATCTGGGTGCTAAATATATTCCTCCTTACCTTCGTTGTGTAATAGCATCCCTGCTTCCTTCTGAGAGGAACACTCTGCTTCTTGCCTGCTGGTTCACAGACACAAGCATCCTGAAGTGTCCAGGCAATAGCTGTAAACTGACAGTTCAATGAGACATTTGTAATCCCTGGTGTAAGATTTTAACATTTAGCAACCAAAACATCTAATTTTTTATCTAACCCTGAAGTCTAGCACTGTGAGCACAATAAGCACAAATCCCCCAAGTGAGTCTTTGGGAGAGGTGGTGGTGTCACTCTTGCTTTCAGCCTGTGTTCCTGGACCCACGCATTCTCCTACTGGGGAATCAGCACAACATAAAGTTATTTGATTCTAGGCACCAACCACTTTCTGGAGGATGGCCTATCCTCCCCAAGTAACATCCTTGAGGTGATGCTTCAACTGCGCCTTCAGAAACTGTTCCAGTGGAACACAATCCATACCTGGGTTGTGATTTATGGAATATGACCAGTGGATCCATGGTCATAGGCTCTTTGCCACAACTTTTTTTTTGCACAAATTTAAGGATTACAAGTACATCTTTGTTACACAGACAAATTGTGTAGTGGTGAAGTCTAGGGTTTAGTGTAACTATCATCCCATAATAGTGGATTTGTACCCATGAAGTAATTTCTCATCTCTCACCCACCTCCCACTCTTCCTAGCCTTCAGTGACTATCATTCCACACTCTATGTTCATGTGGACACACTATTTAGCTCTCACTTATAAGTGAGAATATGTGGTATTTGACTTTATATTTCTGAGTTGTTTCGCTTAAGATAATGGCCTCCAGTTCCATCCATGTTGCTACAAAATACATTAATTCATTCTTTTTTTATGGCTGCATAGTATTTCTGTGTGTGTGTGTGTGTGTGTGTGTGTGTGTGTGTGTGTAACATTTTCATTGTCCAGTCATCCACTGATGGACCCTTAGGTTGATTCCAAATCTTTGCTACTGTGAATAGTGCTATGATAAACACATGAGTACAGGTATCTTTTTTAATATAATGGTTTATTTTCCTCTGGGAAGATATCTAATAATGAGGTTACTGAATCAAATTTTAGTTCTATTTTTAATTATTTGAGAAATCTCCATACTTTTTTCCATAGAGGTTTTACAAATTTACATTCCCACCTACAGTATATAAGCATTCTCTTTTCTTCATATCCTTGCCAAAATCTGCTGTTTTTTGACTTTTTAATAATACCCTTCTGACTGGTATGGTTATATCTCATAGTGGTTTTAATTTGCATTTCTCTGATGATTAGTGATTTGAGCATTTTTCATATCTTTGTTGACCATTTGTATATCTTCTTTTGAAAAATGTTTTCATATGTTTTGCCCACTTTTCAATGTGGTTATTCCCACAACTCCTTGTGCACAGTTGGTACTTTTCTCTGATATCATGTTGTATGAGATCCTGTGACAATGGATCACATGCTCCTTATACTCTTGGACAGTGACACTAGCTGAAGCCCTAATTACAGGAAGGAAACTCATATCTGTATCATTTGTCTATTCTTGTCATAATAAATCACTGGCTGAATGTAGTCAAGTTGCCATCAAGTGGAAGGCAGTCTTTTCTAGAAAAGTGTGCCATATTGAAGGCTTAGCGTTGGTCTTTGTTGTTTGGCCTGTTGGTATTTCTCAGTGGCACTGGCTAGATAACCTTTGTAAGGAGGGAGGGCCTGTGGTTGAACCCATGCATGGTCTTCATCTCTGCCATCGTGGCCACTTCATTTATGTGCCCTTCATGCCAGCACTGGGATGGCAGAGGATGTCTTATATCAACTGTACAATCATTTTATCTACGTGTTTATTTCATGCCTCTTTATTGAAATGCTCTCTAGTGGGCATTTATATGGGATATCAAGGTATTTACACTTTGCATTCAGTCCCACATGTTCAGTCCACATGCCTCTGCCCCAAATTTTCCAATCTTTTTCTTTTGTTGCTATTGACCATTCAGCCAGACCACTTGCTGCTTCCTATGGTTCCTGAATATTCTAAATTTTGGGCACTTTTCTGCCAACAGAAAATGGAAAAATGGGTACATTGTCCAAAGTTTTCAGTGGGAGAAATTCATCTGTCACTGTCTTTTCAGGCCATTCCTTAGTGAGGCTGTAATACAGCTGCCTGTGTCCATTTTCAGTTTGCAGCCACATATCACACTGACCTATCTATGACCGACAAAGCTTGGATTATTTCCTCTTGCATCAGCTGCTCATGAATGATTCCCGATGTAGCGATAAGTGTGTGCTGAGAAAGGTGCTGATGTAACAGTGCAGGCAGTTCTTCATGTCACGTGGTATGTACTTCCAAAGCAGTATTCCCAAGTTGGAGTATTCTGTCTCAAGGAAGCAAAGAGACCTACCAGGTATTGTGCTTTCATTTGTAGGATAATGTATGGATTTTAAACACCAAAATAAATTACCACAAAATCAATAACTTAAAACAACATATGTTTATTATCTCACTCCCCATGGGTCAGGAGTCAGGCAATGTTTGCAGGGTCTTCCCCTCAGGGTCTTACAAGGCTGAAATCAATGAGTTAGCCTGCTGTGTCTTCGACTTCAGGTTCTATTTTAAAAGATGTGCTTTCAAGCCCTTTCAGATTGTTGGCACAATTTATTTCCCTGTGATTGTGTGACTGAGGTCCCCATTCTCTTGCTAGTTTGTGGCTGGGATGTGCTGTCAACTCCTAGAGGTCACTGTCAGGTCTTTACCACGTGACTGGCCCCCCATAGACAGCTGACAAATTTACCATGTGAATTTTGTTTTCATGTGTATATAAATATACGGATTTTTAATTTTAATATTTTAGAGATGAAATCTCACTATATTGCCCACGCTGGCCTTGAACTCCTAGGCTCTAGTCATCCTCCTGCCTCAGCCTCCCGAGTAGCTGGGACTACAGGTGCACCCACTGTGCCTGGCCATGATGTGAACTTTTTTATTTTTCAAGGCCAGCAGGACAGTCTTTCTATTTTAAATCTCTTCCCAGAAAGCTTGGACCCTCTTTCCAAGCGTTCACCTGATTAGGTTAGGTCCACCTGGGATACTTTCCCTTTTAATTAACTCAAAGCCAGTTAATTTGGTGCCTTAATCACACCTGCAAAATCACTTCATCATTGTCATATAACGTAACCTAGTCAGGAGAGTGACTACCCTATTAGTTCACACTCCAGAGGATGGAATTACATACAGCATGTGGCTCAGGGAATGAAACTGTGGGGCCATCATGGAAATCTTCCTGCCACAGTTATCAGATCACATTCATTTTTTATTATCCTAATTACCAGTCTCTGATGTGCATCTTAATCAGCCCCATGAAACTAACTGCTGATTATTTTACTTTTCATTCTCAGTGTCATATTTGAGCAATTGTAGGTAGTGTTGAGAAGTTCTAGGAAATGTTTTGTTGCCAGTGGTATTTTACATTGACACTTTGAGGTCACTAAAATTATCCATTTTGTTAAGCTCATTAAAGCAAAACTATTACCAGTGAGAGGGTGATATGAGTAAGCCAGTTATTTCAATAAGAGATAATGCAACAGATTTGTACCAAAACAATAGAGTGCTTTGAAAAATTAGAGCACAGGGTAAATACATTTTGATGAAGATCACAGGGTCTCTAAATGTCTGGAACCCACAGGCCCTGGGATAAGTAGTGGAGTGAATAACAATGCAAAGCATACATAGATTTAAAATAATGTTTTCTTTTGTCTAGAAAAAACAGTATCAGCATAAAATTTTAGTTATAATTTATTTTAAAATAATTCAGCATTGACAGTGTGGCATGTATATATGTAGATTAATTTTAATCTACATTCAAGGAAAAGTCAGTTAAATGTTAAGTATCCTAATTAAAAAAACCACACTCTCAGGCCAGTCAGGGAACAACTGAAAGTCCCTAATTAGAGATGTGTAGTATGGAGGCTGCTGTGGCTTACATGTCAAATATCTATATCTGAATTCATACTAAGGAATTCATTAATCCATATGAGTAATATTAAACAAGTTATTCATGAATTGAGTTATTTTCAAAACACGTGAATTGGTGAGACATGTTGCCCAGGTAACTTCATCCTTGTGTGAGTGAAGCATACAAACCAAGCAAGTCTGGCAGCCAGATTTTATACCCTACCTTTGGAACAGCACTTGCCATCCAGAACTCCCTTTTTTATTATTGTCATTCATTATTTAATAGAAGGCTACATTGTCCAATCTAACTAGGATGTTAAGTGATGCTACCAAAAGAATATTATGACCCCATTATTACTTCAGAGTAAACCAGGAAGGTACTAGTTAGAACGTATAAAAGCAAAGAGAGAGAGTTCAAGTTTACAGTGATATTAAGAGTATTATTTTGGGGCTGGGCATGGTGGCTCACGTCTGTAATCCCAGCACTTTGGGAGGCTGAGGTGGTCGGATCACTTGGGGCCAGGAGTTCGAGACCAGCCTGACCACCATAGGAAAACCATCTCTACTAAAATTACAAAAATTAGCCAGGCATGGTGGCATGCCTATAATCCCAGCTACTCGGGAGGCTAAGGCATGAGAATTGCTTGAACTGGGGAGGCCAAGGTTACAGTGATCCCAGATCACACCACTGGACTCCAGCCTGGGTGACAGAGAGAGACTCTGTCTCAAAAAAATAAAAAATTAAGAAGGAGTATTATTTTTTAGCCTTTTTCCTTATAATTTTTTAGTGTGTCACAGACTTTGATTTATGACTTACTTTTACAGTACCCTAACACTAGGCAGAAGGTATTGATTTCTCACCCTCCTCTTATCTTGGAAGCTTTGGATATACATTGAATACACTCCGACAATTATGAAAGATAAAATCGGTGTCGTGAAACACACATGATATAAACAGCAAGCCATCACTTATACTCATTGTATTTCTATTAGTGTCTAAATTGAAATGATTGAGCATGCCAGGTAAATACTGATGGACATTTAGGTTGTTTCTGGTTTTTTCCTTTTGCAAATAAAGCTGATATGTATAAACATGTGCTTTCCATTTGTGGGGATGGATTAGAAGGGCTGGATAATATGGTAGGTGTATGGTTATGTTAAAAAACAAAACGGCTGACAAACTGTTTTCCAAGGTGGTTGTACAATGTCACATTCTCATCAGACGTATATATGTGAGTTCCAGCTTCTCTTCATACTCACCAATAGTTGGTGTGGTCAATCATGTAAGTGCAATTATGCAGCATTAGTCCTTCTGTGACTGGCTTACTTCACTTAGCATAATATTTTCAATGTTTAGCAATGTCGTTGTGTATAATGGAATTTCCTTCTTTTTAAGGCTAAATAATATTCCATTATCTTTGTCATTTTGGGCTGCTACTGCAAAATTCCATATATTTCTGTAGTGTGTAAACAACAGAAACTTATTTCTCACATTTCCAGAGATTGGAAAGTCCAGGATCAAGTGACTGGCAAATCTGATGTCTGGAGCCTGATTTCTAGCTTATAGGTGGTACCTTCCAGCTATGTCCTCACTTGGTAAAACAGGTAAGGGATCTCTCTGGGGCCCTTTTTATAAGTGCACTAATCTCATTCGTGAAGGATCTGCCCCATGACCTAATCATCTCTAAAAGCCCCCAACTTTTAGTAAAATCACTTTGTGGGTTAGGATTGCAACAGATAAATTTTGGAGGGACATAAACATTAATTTCAGGAAAAGAAAGAAGGGATAAACATCTTAAAAAGAAATCAATCAAAGCCTCTGAAAGTAAAAACTAACTTAAGAAATTTCAAATACAACTAAAAGCCTTTATCATAGACCAGATCATTCAGAAAGAATTTTAGAGCTTGAAGACTGGTCTTTTGAAATACCACAGTTAGAAAAAAAATAAAGAAAAAAAATTAAATGAAAAACTCTTCAAGAAATATGGAATAATGTGAAGTGACCAAACTTATGAATTGTTGGCATTCCTGAAAAAGGAGAAAAAGTAAACAACCTGGAAAAAAAATATTTCAGGAAATAATTCAAGAAAATTTCCCTAATATTGCTTTATCTCTAGACATAGAGATACAATAAATCCAGAAAACACCTGTGAGATACTACCCAAAATGAACATCTCCAAAGCATATATTCACCAGACTGTCCAAGGTCAGCACAAAAGCAAAAATCTTAAAGGCAGCTAGAAAAAAAGGTCAGATCATATATAAAAGGAACCCTGCAAGACCATCCACAGACTTCTCAGCAGATACCTTACAAGCCAGGAGAGATTGGGGGCCCATTTTGAACAATCTTAATGGAAAGAAAGTCTAACAATTTCATAACCACCAAACTAAACCTTATAAGTGAAAGAGAAAGAAAATATTTTCCAAATAAACAAGAACAAAAGAACAATACCTGTTCTTTTGTTTACGTAGCCCACAGACACTATAAAGCAACCACACAATAGAAACTACAAAGCAACCAGCTAAAAGCTTCATGGTAGGATAAAAACTTGACTTATCTATAATAACCTTGATTGCAAATGGTCTAAATGCCCAAGACCTATCCATGGGCTGTCTTCAGAAGACCCATCTCGAATGTAACAACACCCATAGGCTCAAAGTAACAGTCACAGAATGGTCTATCGCACAAACAGAAAACAAAAAAGAGAAGGGGTCACTATTCTCAAATCAGATAAAACAGGTTTTAAACCAACAACAGTAAAAAAGGACAAAGAAGGGCATTATATAATGATAAAGAGTTCAATTCAACAAGAAGTCTTAACTATCCTTAATTTATACACACCCTATTTTGGAGCACCCAGATTCATAAAACCAGTACTTATAGACCTACCAGAAGACTTAAACAGCCATGCAATAATAGCAGGGGACTCAAGCACTCCACTGACAGTGTTAGACACTCCACCAATAGTGTTAGACACATTAATGAAATCCTGGACTTAAAGTTGACACTTGAAGGATTGAACCTAATAAACATCTACAGAATACTCCATCAATCAACCACAGAATACACATTCTTCTCATCTGCACATGGAACATACTCTAAGATTGACCACATGCTCAGCCATTAAAGTAGGTCTCAATGAATTCAAAGGTATAGAAATCATACCAACCATACTCTCAGATCACAGTAAAATAAAAATAGAAATCAATACCAATAATATATCCCAAAACCACATGATTACATAGAAATCAAACAACTTGGTTCTGAATGACTTTGGGTAAACAATGAAATTAAGGCAAAAATTAAAAAATTCTTTGAAATAAATGAAAACAGAGAAACACCATACCAAAATCTCTGGGATATGGCAGAAGCAGTACCAAGAGGAAAGTTTATGGCTCTAAATGCCTATATCAAAAAGTTAGGGATATCTCAAATTAATGAGCTAACATCCCACCTAGAGTAACTAGAAAAACAAGAATAAGCTCACCTCAATGCTAGGAGAAGAAATAGAAAAGAAATAACTAAAATAAGAGCAGAACTGAATGAAATTGAGACCCAAAATCCATACAACCAATGAACAAACCCAAAAGCTGTTTACTTGAAAAGATAAACAAGATTGATAGATTGCTAGCTGGAATAACAAAGAAAAAAAAAAAGAAATATCCAAATGAGCACAGTCAGAATTGACAAAGGTGACATTATATCCCATCTCACAAAAATATAAAAGATGCTTCAAAACAATTATGAGCACCTCTATGCACACACACTACAAAATCTAGAGGAAATAAATTCCTGGCAACACTCAACCTCCTGAGATTGAATTAGGAAGAAAATGAAACCCTGAACCGACCAATATCACATTCCAAAATTGAATCAGTATTAAAAATCCTACCAAACAAAAAAAGCCCTAGACCACATAGATTCACAGCTGAATTCTACCAGATGTGCAAAGAAAAACTGATTCCAATTCTACTAAAACTATCTCAAAAAATTGAGGAGGAGGGACTCCTTGCTGTCTCATTCTGTGAAGCTAGCTTGAGCCTGATACCAAAACCTGACAAAGACACAACTAAAAATGAAGACTACAGGTCAATATCCTGATGAACAGAAAACTAACAAAGAAATTCTGGACTTAAATTTGACACTTGAAGAATTGAACCTAATAAACATCTACAGAATACTCCATCAATCAACCACAGAATATACATTCTTCTCATCTGCACATGGAACATACTGCAAGATCGACCATATGTGCAGCCATCAAAGTAGGTCTCAATGAATTCCTCAGTAAAATGCTAGCAAACCAAATCAAGCAGCACATCAAAAAATTAATTCACCATGATCATGTAGGCTTTATTGGGATGCGGTGTTGGTTTAACATACGCAAATTTAAAAAGCTGATTCACCACATAAACAGAGTTAAAAACAATAACCATTGGATCATTGCAATAGATGCTGAAAAAGCTTTTGATTAAATCCAACATGACTTCATGATAAAAATCCTCAACAAACTAAGCACTGAAGAAAAATATGTCTAAATAATAAGAGCTATCTATGACAAACCCACAGCCAACATCATACTGAATGGGCGTAAGCTGGAAGAATTCCCCTTAACAAGAGAAACAAAACAAGGATGCCTGCTCTTACCACTCCTGTTCAATATAGAATTGGAAGTCTTAGCCAGATCAATCAGGAAAGAGAAAGAAATAAAAGGCATCCAAATAGAAAAAGAAGTCAAACTATCTCTCTTCACTGATGACATGATTCTCTACCTAGAAAACCCTAAAGACTCCACAAGAAGGTTGCTGTAATTTCAATAAAATTTCAGGATACAAAATCTGTTTACAAAACTGAATAGCCTTTCTATATACCAATAATGTTCAAGCTGAGAGCCAAATCGAGAATGCAATTCCACTTACAATAGCCACAAAAACAGAACAAAATACCTAGAAATAAATCTAACCAAAGAGAACTATAAAACATTGCTGAAGTAAATTTTAGATGACACAAACAATTGAAAAAATATTCCATACTCATGGATTGAAAGAATCAATATTGTTAAAATGACCATACTGTCAAAAACAAACTATAGATTCAAAACTATTCCTATCAAACTGCCAATGTCATTTTTTCACAGAACTAGAAAAAACTGTTGTGAAATTAATATGAAGGTAAAACGAGAGCCTGAGTTGCCAAAAGAATCCTAAACAAAAAGGACAAAGCCAGTGATATCACATTACCTGACTTCAAGCTATACTACAATGTTACAGTAACCAAAACAGCATGGTACTGGTATAAAACAGAAACATAGACCAATGGAACAGAATAGAGAACCCAAAAATAAAACTACACACCTACAGCCATCTGATCTTTGACAAGGTTGACAAAAATAAGTAATGCAGAAAGGACTCCCTATTCAATAATGGTGCTGGGATAGCTGGCTAGCCATATTTGGAAGAATGAAAGTATACCCATACCTTTCACCATATACAAAAATTAACTCAAGATGAATTAAAGATTTAAATGTAGGACTTCAAATGGTAAGAATCCTAGAAGAAAGCAGGAAATACCATTCTGGACATCAGCCTTGGGAAATAACTGGTGACTAAATCCTCGAAAGCACTTGCAACAAAAACGAAAACTGACCAGTGGGAACTAAATGAGCTAAAGAACTTCTGTACAGCAAGAGAAACTATCAACAAAGTTAAACAGACAACCTACAGAATGGGAGAAAATATTTACAAACTATGCATCTAACAAGGTCTAATATCCAGAATCTACAAGGAACTTCAATCAACAAGCAAAAAACAATTAACCACATTAAAAATGGGCAAAAGATATGAACAGACTCTTCTGAAAAGAAGACATACCAGCAGCCAACAATCAAACGAAAAACTACTCAACATCACTGATTATCAGGTAAATACAAATCAAAACCACAATGAAATACGATCTCACATATAGTCAGAATGGCTATTATTAAAAAGTCAAAGGATAACAGATGCTGGTGAGGCTGTAAAGAAAAGGGGATGCTTAAACACTGTCAGTAGGAATGTAAATTAGTTCAGCTACCATGGAAAGCAGTTTGGAGATTTTCCAAAGAATTTAAACCAGAGCTACCACTTGACACAGCAGTTCCATTACTGGGTATACATCCAAAAAAGAATAGATCATTATACCAAACATGCACATACACTTATATGTGCATTGAAGCACCATTCACAATACCAAAGACATAGAATCAATCTAGGTGCTCATCAATGGTGGATTGGATAAAGAAAATGTGGTACATGTACACCATGGAATACTACACAGCCATGAAAAAGAATGAAATCATGTCCTTTGCAGCAAAATGAATGCAGCTGGATGCCATTATCCTAACCAAATTAACACAGGAATGCAGAAACAGAAAACCAAATACTTTCCACTGACTTATTAGTGAGATGTAAGCATTGGATACACATGGACATAAAGATGGGAACAATAGACACTGGGAACTACTAGCGGGAGAAGGGAAGGGGAGTGGCATGGACTGAAAAACTACCTATTAGGTACTGTGCTCGTTACCTGGGTGCAATATACTCATGTAACAAACCTGCCCATGTATCTAAAATAAATGTTAAAAAATTAATAAATAAAATAAAATATAGTACCCCCCAACTCAATCATAGCACTTAATATCATAGGGCTTTGAGTGGCAAAAATGGGTTTTATAACCGCTAAACTTCAATACCATGATTGTTTTCCAATCTGTCTATTATAGGTTAGCACAAAAAAAAAATTTAATTAAGATTTTCCTACTTCATGAAAGGATTAATGTTTATTTCAAATTTCATGAAACCTATACTTAGAATCTATTCAGCAAAAAGCTTTGTGTATTATGAGCTCGATGTTGTGGTCAAAAACAAAAAGTACCATGGATAGCTAAAAGAATCTCTAGTGGCAAAAACATCTAAGTATGTCCTCAAATATCACTAATATCATTAAGAAACTTTGAAGATAGAGCCAACTTAAAGTCATGATCTTCATCTGATTATGAATTTGTGGAAGCTCATTTTCAGAATATTCTTTCTCCAGCCCTTCAGAGTCTCTGGTCCTGATGTTCTGTGTCCTGGGTTCCAGGATCTTCAATAGGGATTTTTCACTAATTTTTGCTCTTTTTAGAATTGTGCCAAGAGCTAATTTTTTTTTTTTACTTCTGTACATCAAAAGCTCACAGTTGAGTCTATGGTCATATCACCCTGAACATGTCTGATCTCATCTATCTCAAAACCTAAGTAGAGTTGGGCCTAGTTAGTACTTGGATAAGAGACTGCCTGGGAATACTAAGTGCTGTAGGCTTTTAAAAAAATCTAAACTCAGCTTTATTTTTATTTTTAAATAGCAGTCTTTTGGTTTAGAAATGGTGTACCAACTAGATAACTTATTTAAACTGATTTTTAAAAAATAATTATTTATCTCTGTATTGTGATTTTAGGTAACATATTTGCATTTAAAAGAGATTAGTGTGTATGCAATGAACTTAATAATTTTCAATTTTTTAGAAAGATTTTTTATCACTTTCAAATAAAATTATGTTTTCTCTATTATATAAAACATATAAAAATGAAAATGCTCCAGTGAGTAGAGGACGGTGATGACTCCCCTTTCTTACTCTCACCTTTGAGTCACTTTTGAAAAGCACTAAGATCTCCTTAATCCAATGAATTTTAGAAATAGGGTTACGGCAGCCTTGTGGAAGTACACACTGAGCATAAGCCCTAACTAGAAAGCAGAATATGATGAACATATACATAATTTATTTCATAAAGAGCCTGAACCTAAGTGATTACAAATATTTACTTCTTAGAATGATTGTGTTGTTTAAATCTTCAAAAAGTTTGTAAATTATAGAATTCATAGAGTTAAAATTTGGTTAAATTGCAGTAATAGAGTGCTTTATTCTTATATCTTGAAAAATTATAAAAATGTCTTCTTATTTTTGTCTTTCTACACTGCTTCTCATTGTCTATTACAATGCTGTAAATCTTATGAATAACTGATCAAACATTTAAAAACAACTTAATGTGGATTAATATTATGCCATTTATTACTTTGAGTGTAAAAGAAAGTGAAATATAAAAGGAGGTAGAAGATTTAATAAAATCAGGGTATTATTAGAAACTCCAAAATCTCCTCAGGTATTCACAGCAGAATATATGTTTTTTTGATTTGTTTGTTTTTGCTTTCGGCATCTATTGCTGAATATCATCCTTGGGTTAACCCAGCTGCCAGCTATTTTTCAGAAGGGAAAGAGAAATCAGGATGCATTAGAGAGGAGCATGGATGTTGCTCTGAGGCAACAGAGCTGGTGTGTGCATAAGCCCACATTATTATAAAAAGTACCGGATGTTAATAATTTCCACTAACCCTGCAAGAGTTCTCTAGTTTCTCTTCCATACTGATTCTCCAAAATTTTCTCACAGATAGCTGTTATCTTATGAGACCTGGTTCTGTTTTAATTTTGCATATATGGCTTCTAAAAAACTAGTCTGTAAGCTTGCTCTAAAATATGTCAGTCATCCTTATAAATGTAAGAATCCACAACTGATTAGAATTTTGGTAGTATGGAAAAATATGGAAAAATTCTTAATCTCAACAATTACTTTAAAAGTGATATGAAAACTCCCACTACATTAGAATGAAATCCTATACATGTAAGTAATATGGAAGGCCTGATGCAAACTACTGTATAATGCTTGAAAAAAAATCACAACATGAATACAATGTTATATAAGCTATGCCTACATTGTGTTTGTCAGTGGTTTATTACTAAAGAGGGTCTCAGAAATAAGAATTTTCACTGCCTTTGCAAGGAGACATTGAGAATTCTGTAGTATATTTTAAGCAATGGTACATGAGTTTAATAGGTAGTATTTCTAGTTATTTTTTTATGTATTTTAAAGTATGTTGAATCTATGAAAAATTGAAATGTATTTCTAACAGACAGGTAAGTTTAATTTTTTATAGCTGTTTAATAGTTCTGTGTTTATTAAGCCATTGAACAATGAGTTTGTTAATCACTGGAATTTTTCTTAATCACTTGATGTTGTGTGTTCTAGATATCTTCACCCATTTTATACAGTCCACATTTTATTCTTATGGGAAAAATTATTTTTCATAAAATGTTTACTTTATTTGCTAATAAAGAGTTGATGTCAAAAAGGTCAGTCTTTATGAATCTTCTGTTTAAATATTTGGTGTTAATTTTTAGTAGACTTACTTTTGAAAATTATATTAATGGCATTCCCAAGTGAAATTGAGTCAAAAGAAAATAGAGTTAATGATAGCAATTGGCTTAGGATACAGTACCTGAAAATATCTGTTAACTGACTGTAAATTATATGTATACATTATACGTATATGTATATTAACTGTATGTTAACATATGTCTTACAAAGGTTAGGCCTATAAGCATAGCACAGAGGGTCATTCCAATATTTTTCCAGCTGAGAGTTACATAGCAGTCAGGTACCATATATGGATTAAAATAAAAATAATTATTAAGAAAAAGACATATGCTAAGTGATAATATGGTAATGAAAAGCCAGTAGGCTTATTGTTGGAAGTGCCAACATTATTCCTCACTGGGACAAAAACTAACAACTCTTCTCACAGGCAAGTGCATGTAATCAATATTTGATGAAGATCACAATACAGCAGAAGAAAATACATGGAATAGATGATTATTTGAATTTAACATCTCTTTGCAGGAAGATGAAATAAGGACTTGGTGAACAGAGTTGTCATGGTGCAGCAGAATGATTGTAAACCAGTTGTTCTCTTTAATATTGATTGGATGGCAGAAACAATTGCTTAAAAATTACAAACCTTAAAACATTAAAGAAACCAGATTATTACGCTTACAAGTCCCTCCTCATAACACATACACACACACACACACACATCTTCCACACACATCTTCCACACACATGCCACATTTTGAAGTGGCTCTGAATATATTTTAGGTTGGTTGGAAGTTGAATATAAATTCATATTTCAGGTGCATTGAAGCCTGGTTTCAAATGCTTCAGTCTGAAAAGTGACTCATATCAGACCCTGAAAATTAGGGACTAGGAACATACTCTAGTAGCCTTTACATAGTTATGCTTGTACTTATTCAATTTTCATTTCTGCTATTCATTTCCATCTCTCCTTCCTTCAAATTTTTGTTTTAAACAACATAACAAGACCATATAATTGCAGCTTGGACCTTGAGAAAGACTTAATTAAATGGGCACATTCTCTAGACACCACTGTTGCAGTGGAGGAGGATTGAGTGCCTAGCCTTGCCTCATATATGTTTGCTCACATAACTATACTGATTTGAAGACCCTTCATGCAGCAGGCATGAGTTCCAGCTTCAGGTATTCCTCTTTCCACCCAATGACTATCCTTCTATTATAGCGAACTATTCATTCTGAAAACGTGTATAGGTGTTCACATGGTTGTCTCTTCTAATATTTTTAACTCCTTGATGTGGAGCTCATGTCCCAAACACATCTGTATCCTCTGAAGTAATTAGCAGATTGTGCCTGGTCACAGGCACAAAGTCCACCCAATGAAAGTGTGATGAATGATAGTGAATAAAAGTGGTGAATGAATTGTGAATGAATGAGGAAGGAAGAGAATAAGTGAGTTCAGCAGGAGAGTTACACTTAGAATATTTTTTTCTGCAGATACTGAGTTGATCTAATTAGGATCGTGGTGGAGGCATATGCCTTCTGAGCCCAGGAAGATAATTGGAATGTGTAAAATTGCTGGTAATAAACCAATAGGGAGAAGTGGGACCTGTGCCATGTACCACCTAAGGGCATTCTGATTCAAAAAATGTAACATATAAATTATCTGTATAACCTCTAAAAGGGAGCTGCTTTGTCATGTTAAGGATTAACCCTAATGATAGACATCCTGAGCAAAGGGATGGCTTGTGGGATTTACGTTTCTGGAAGGAAGCCTTTTAGGGTCCATCTGTGTTGTTTTGACTATGGAATGCTCATTACCGCTGCTTATCTAAAGTAGTAGGGCTTATTTTTGCATTTCACTTTTTTTCTTCATCTTGTGTAGAATGAGGAAGGGAAGAAAAACCAGGCCCACACTTCAAAACATTTTGTTATTGAAAATATCAAACATGTACAAAAGAGAAATGTATAAAAACTTCCAATGTCTCCATAACCCAACTTCAAAAGTTTTCAACACATAGCTACCTAGACCTCACTGAGATAGTTATATTTATAAATACATTGATATACACATGTATGTATATTTATATACAAACATAAGCCACAATGCTATTATATTATTACATATTTTGGTTGGCGTAAAAGTAATGGCAGTTTTTGCATTGTTTAAATTTGCCATTTGATATTGGAATACATTCTTAAATAAATGTAATTACGTGATACATCATTTTAATGCACATGCCTCACTTTATGTTTTTTTTGCTAATGACTTACTATTTGCACTTCATTTTATATTTATTTTAGACCATGAAAATGATGTTAGACAAAAAGCAAATTCAAGTGATTTTCTTATTCAAGTTCGAAATGAGTCGTAAAGGCAGCGGCGACAACTTGCGACATCAACAATACATTTGTCCCAGGAACTGCTAACGAACATACAGTGAAGTGGTGGGTTCAAGAAGTTTTGCAAAGGAGATGAAAGCCTTAAAGATGAGGAGCATAGTGGCCAGCCATCGGAAGTTGACAACGAGTAATTGAGAGCAATCATTGAAGCTGATCCTCTTACAAATAAAAGAGAAGTTGCCGAAGAACTCAACGTTGGCCAATCTATGATCCGTCTGCATTTAAAGCAAATTGGAAAGCTGAAAAAGCTCTATAAGTAGATGTCTCATGAGCTGAGCGAAAAAAAACAAAAAACAGAAAACAAAAAACTGTCATTTTGAAGTGTCATCTCTTATTCCACACAACAACAATGAATCATTTCTCAATCAGATTGTGACATATGATGAAAAGTGGATTTTATATGACAACCAGCAATGACTAGCTCAGTGATTGGACCTAGAAGAAGCTCCAAAGCACTTCCCAAAGCAAAACTTGCACCATAAAAAGGTCATGGTCACTGTTTAGTAGTCTGCTGCCAGTCTGATCCACTATAGCATTCTGAATCCTGGTGAAACTATTACGTCTGAGAAGTACGCTCAGCACATCAATAAGCTGCACTGAAAACTGCAACACCTGCAGCCAGCATTGGTCAACAGAAAGGGCCAAATTCTTCTCCATGACAACCCTCGACCACACGTTGCACAACCAACACTTCAAAAGTTAAAAGAATTGGGCTACAAAGTTTTTCCTCATCCTCCATGTTCACCTGACCTCTCACCAACTGACTACTACTTCTTCAAGCATCTCAACATCTTTTTGCATAAAAGCCTTCCACAACCAGCAAGATGCAGAAAATGCTTTCCAAGACTTCATCAAATTCCAAAGCATGGATTTTTATGCTACAGGAATAAACAAACTTATTTCTCATTGGCAAAAATGTGTTGATTTTATTGGTTCCTACATTTATTAATAAAGATATATTTGAGCCTAGTTATAATAATTTAAAATTCACGATCCAAAACTGCAATTACTTTTGCACTAAACTAAATTTAACAGTAATTTCTTAATATCATCAAATATCTAGTTTCTACTTGAATTTTCCTGATAGTTTTATAGATGCTTTCTGTAGTTTTTGAATTAGAATGCAAATAGGGTTCACACATTACATTTGTTTGAATTGCCTCTTAAATATGGTTTTCTCTGTAGATTTCCCCTCTAGCTTTTTGTCCTGATGTATTTGTTGAAGATATTAAGTAATTTGTTTGGAAAATTTTGTTTGAATGTTGCTTTTTGAATCCACATAGTGTCATTTAACATTTTTCTTTGCCATTTCATGTCCTGTAACCTGACAATTAAATTATAATTGATGAGACCAGGTGCAGTGGCTCATGCCTGTAATCCCAGCACTTTGGGAGGCCAAGGCAGATGAATCACACGAGGCCAGGAGTTGGAGACCAGCCTGGCCAAAATGGCGAAACTCCATTTCTACTAAAAATACAAAAATTAGCTGGACATGGTGTTGCACATCTGTAGTCCCAGCTACTCAGGAGGCTAAGGCAGGAGAATTGCTTGAAACCAGGAGGCAGAGGTTGCAGTGAGCCAAGATTGGGCCACTGCACTCCAACATGGGCAACAGAGGAAGACTAAAAATGTATATAATTGATGAGTTTCAGATTCAATTTTTTTTGGTTTTCTTTCTTCTTTTCAATTTCTTTTCTCTTGTATTTTTATTAACACATAATAATTGTACATATTTGTGGGATACAGAGTGATATTTTGATACCTATAAACAATGTATAATGATCAAATCAGGGGTAATTAGCATATTCATCACCTCAAACATTTATCATTGTGTTGGGAACATTCAAAATCCTCTCTTTTAGCGATTTGAAATATACAATAAATTATTTTTAACTATATTCACTCTCCAATGCTGTAGAACAGTAGAACTTATTCCTCCTATCTAGCTATAATTTTGTATCAGATGTGTTCAACTTCTGCAGATAGAACATGCCTGCCTCTGACTACCATTGCTATCACCAGCCATGTTCTAACAGCTCTCTCCACGATTCCAGACCTGGTGGCTGATGGCATTCTAGTAGTGAGGCAGGAGAATAGGATCTGGAGACAAGGAACCTAAAGATTTCCTACAACTAAATCAAATGGAAAAACCTCAGCTTTCTACACCCAAGTAAATAGCTTTCTAACTTCACTTCAGCAATGTCAGGAAACATCCTCTTCATTTGCATAGAGTGTACACAAGTCAATAACTTTGTAACTTCACTTCAGCTTCTTCAGTTACATAGGGTGAAAACCAAGTAACCAATGGAAAACCTCTAGAAAATTGTGTGAGCAGAGCTTTTGAGCTGCTTGCTTGAGCCTGCTCCCATTCTGTGGTGTGTACTTTCATTTCAATAAGTCTGTGCTTTTCTTTCATTGCTTTGATTGTGCATTTTGTTCAATTCTTTGTTCAAAACGCCAAGAATGTGGACACCCTCCACCTGTAACAGCAGGATTCTAATTGAGATGCAGCCAGGCTCAGCATTCTCATAATTGTCACCATAAAACTGTGAAATGAGTTGGGAGCAGGGTGAGATGAAAATCCAGTCTTGAATAGACCACTTTATCCTGGACAAGTAAGGGAGATAAAACAAGTAGTTTCATAACCAGCTCTGAAATCTGCTGTTCTACCCACTTCAGTTGGAGCAATTGAAGAAAATAAGAGGTGAATGGTCTCATTCCAGCTTTCCCCACAGCAACCAAGAATCCACCAAGCACCTTCAAATATCCTTACCACTTGCCTAGTTTCAAAAATCAGTGCCTTTTACTTTTAGTTTGTTGTTTTAATTTTTATTTTTTATTTCAACAAGTTTTTGGTAAACAGGTGGTGTTTGGTTACATGAATGAGTTCTCTAGTGGTGATTTCTGAGATTTTGGTGCACCTATCACTCAAGCAGTGTACACTGTACCCAGTGTGTAGTCTGTTATCCCTCTCCCACCTCTCATCCTTTCCCCAAAGCCCCCAAAGTTCATTATAGTATTCTTATGCCTTTGCATCCTCATAGCTTAGCTCCCACTTATGAGTGAGAACATAAGATATTGGGGTTTCCATTCCTGAGTTACTTCACTGAGAATGATAGTCTCCAATTCTATCCAGATTGCTGCAAGTGCCATTATTTCATTCCTTTTCATGGTTGAATAGTATGCCATGTGATTTGTGTGTGTGTGTGTGTGTGTGTGTGTGTACACACACAAGTATCTTTTTCACATAATGACATTTTTTCCTCTGGGTAGATGATGGGATTGCTGGATCAAATTGTAGATCTACTTTTAGTTCTTTAAGGAAACTTCACACTTTTTTCCATAGTGGTTGTACTAGTTAACATTCCCACAAGCAGTTTAAAAGTGTTCCTTTTGTACCACATCAATTCCAACATCTATTTTTTTTTTTTTATTTTTTGATTATGGCCATTCTTGCAGGATTAAGGTGGTATTGCATTGCAGTTTTAATTTCCATTTCCCTCTTAGTTAGTGATGATGAGCATTTTTCATATGTTTATGGGCCATTTGTGTATCTTCTTTTGAGAACTGTCTATTCATATCCTTAGCCCAATTTTGATGGGATTATTTGTTTTTTTCTTGCTAAAACTTATTTACATTCTGAACATTAGTCCTTTTTTGGATGCACAGTTTGCAAAGATTTTCTCCCACTCTGTAGGTTGTCTGTTTACTCTGCGGATTATTTCTTTTGCTATGCAGAAGCTTTTTAGTTTAATTAAGTCCCATCTATTTCTCTTTGTTTTTATTGCATTTGCTTTTAGGTTCTTGGTCATGAAGTCTTTGCCTATTCCAATGTTTAAGAGGGTTTTTCCAATGTTATCTTCTATAATTTTTATGGTTTCAGGTCTTAGATTTAAGTCATTGATCGATCTTGAATTGATTTTTGTATAAAGTGAGAGATGAGGATCCAATTTCATTCCTCTGCATGTGGCTTGACAATTATCCCAGCACCATTTGTTGAGTAGGATGTCCTTTCCCCACTTTATGCTTTTCTTTGCTTTGTCAAAGATCAGTTGGCTATAAGTATTTGGCTTTATTTCTGGGTTCTCTATTCTGTTTCATTGGTCTATGTGTCTATTTTTATACCAATACAATGCTGTTTTGGTGACTATAGCCTTATGGTATAGTTTGACATCAGGTAATGTGATGCCTCCCCGATTTGTTCTTTCTGCTTAGTCTCACTTTGGCTGTGCAGGCTCTTTTTTGATTCCATATAAATTTTTCAATTGTTTTTTCTAGCTCTGTGAAAGATGATGGCAGTACTTTGATGGGAATTGCATTAAATTTGTAGATTGCCTTGGGCAGTACAGCCATTTTCACAATATTGATTCTACTCATCCATGAGCATGGGATGTATTTCCATTAGTTTGTGTCATCTATAATTTCTTTCAAAAGTGTTTTGTGGTTTCCCTTGTAGAGGTCTTTCACCTTCTTGGTTAGGTATATTCCTAAGGTTTTATTGTTGTTGTTGTTTTGTTTTGTTTCACAGCTATTGTAAAAGTGGTCAAGTTCTTGATTTGATTCTCAGCTTGGTCACTGTTAGTGTATAGTGGTGCTATTAATTTGTGCATATTAAGTTGTTATTCTGAAACTTTGATGAATTTATATATCAGTTCTAAGGAGCTTTTTTGATGAAACTTTAGGGTTATCTAGGTATACAATCATATCATCAGCAAACAGCAACAGTTTGACTTTCTCTTTACTGATTTGGATGTCTTTTATTTCTTTCTCTTGTCTGATTTCTCTGGCCAGAACTTCCAGTACTATGTTTAACAGAAGTGGTGAAAGTGGGCATCCTTGTCTTGTTTCAGTTCTCAGGGAGAATGCTTTCAACTTTTCCGTGTTCAGTATAATGTTGTGCAGGGGTCTGTCCTGCAGACCCCAGCTTGCATGATGGATGAATAATGTACCCAGACACCGATATTCAGTGAAAGAGCAGCTAGGGGTCTGAGCCCCTCACAGTCACCAAGGAAGGTGCTGTAAAGAGTCAGCAGCCATGGCCATGAACTAGCTGGCCCTGCTGGCATTTATTCAGCATACATTAAATGACAAAGCCTTTGAGGCAACAAACCTGTGGGTCATTAACCTGGTCACCCCCACTCTGGAGAGGGCCATCTGGCCCGCGAATGATTAAAGGTTAGTCTTAAGACCACATGATTCACAAGCTATTTAGATAAACTACATTCCTTGGTATCTGCACCCTAAGCTCTCTGGCTCCTGAAAAGAGAATCTGGTGGCCTTCAGCCAAACTATCTGAAGCTATGCAAAACTCCCCGGCCTTCCAAGAAGGTTTGCTTTTTTCTATTCCTATAATTTCTTCTGCCATCCTGACTGAACCCCACAATGTTGGCTGTGGGTTTGTTATAGATGGCTTTTATTACTTAAGGTATGTCCCTTCTACACGAGTTTTGGTGAGGATTTTAATCTTAAAGGATGCTGGATTTTGTCGAATTTTTTTCGCATGTGTTGAGATGATCGTGTGATTTTTGTTTTTATTTCTGTTTATGTGGTATATCACATTTATTGAATTGTGTATGTTAAATCATCCCTGCATCCCTAGTATTCATCCCACTTGATCACAGTGGATTATCTTCTTAATATCCTGTTGGATTCAGTTAGCTACTATTTTGTTGAGGATTTTTGCATCTATGTTGACCAGGTATATTGGCCTGTAGTTTCCTTTTTTTGATGTCCTTTTCTGGTTTTGGTGTTAGGGTGATACTGGCTTCATAGAATGATTTAGGGAGGACTCCCTCTTTTGCTATCTTTTGGAATAGTGTAAATAGGATTGGTACCAATTTTATTTGAATGATAGAATTCAGCTGTGAATCTGTCTCGTTCCGGACTTTTTTGTTGTTGATAATTTTTTTATTACCATTTCATTCTTGCTGTTTGTTATCAGTCAGTTCAGAGTTTCTATTTCTTCCTGGTTTAATCTAGGAGGGTTGTATATTTCCAGGAATTTATCCATCTCCTCTACATTTTCTAGTTTGTGCACAGAAAGGTGTTCATGTTAGCTTTGAATGGTCTTTTGTATTTCTGTGATATCAGGTGTAATATCTTCCATTTCATTTATAATTGAACTTATTTGGGTCTTCTCTCTTCTTGGTTAATCTTGCTAATGATCTATCAATTGTGTTTATCTTTTCAAAGAGCAAGGTTTTGTTTCATTTATCTTTTGTATTTTTTTGTTTCAGTTTTATTTAGTTCTGCTCTGACATTTGTTATTTGTTTTCTTCTATTGGTTTGGGTTTGGTTTGTTCTGGTTTCTCTAGTTCCTTGAAGTGTGACCTTAGATTGTTTATTTGTGCCTTTTTAGACTTTTTGACGTAGGCATTCAATGCTCTGAACTTTCCTCTTAGTACCGCTTTTGCTGTATCCCAGAGGTTTTGATAGGTTGTGTCACTATTATTGTTCAGTTCAAAGAATTTTTAAATTTCCATCTTGATTTAATTGTTGACCCAGTGATCAATCAGTAGCAGGTAATTTAATTTCCATGTATTTGCGTGGTTTTGAGGGTTCTTCTTGGAGTTAATTTCCAGTTTTATTCCACTATGTTCTGAGAGAGTATTTGATATAATTTTGATTTTGTTAAATTTATTGAGACTTTTTTTGTGGCCTATCATCTGGTCTGTCTTGGAGAGTGTTCCATGTGCTGATGAAAAGAATGTATATTCCACAGTTGTTGGGTAGAATGTCCAGTAAATAGCTGTTATATCCATTTGTTCTAGGGTATAGTTTAAGTCCATCGTTTCTTTGTTGACTTTCTGTCTTGGTGACCTGTCTAGTGCTGTCAGTGGAGTATTGAAGTTTCCCATTATTATTATATTGCTGTCTATCTCATTTCTTAGGTCCAGTAGTAATTGTTTTATAAATTTGGGAGCTACAGTGTTAGGTGCTTATGTGTTTAGAATTGCAATATTATCCTGTTGGACTAGTTCTTTTATCCTTGTATAATGTCCCTCTTTGTTAACTGCTATTGCTTTAACATAAGAATAGCCACTCCTGCTCACTTTTGGTGTCCATTTGCATGGAATATCTTTTTCTACCCCTTTAAGTTTATGTGAGTCCTTATTTCTTAGGTTTATCTTAATATTTTATTAATATTAATATAATATTAATATAGGTTTATCCTTATATCTTAAGTTTATGTGAGTCCTTATATCTGAAGACAGTAGATACTTGGTTGGTGAATTCTTATCCCTTCTGCCATTCTGTATCTTTTAACTGGAGCATTTAGGCCATTTACATTCAACATTAGTATTGAAATGTGAGGTACTATTCCATAATTGTGCTGTTTGTTGCCTGTACATTTTTTTAATTATATTTTTGTTGTATAGGTCCTGTGAGATTTAAGCTTTAAAGAGGTTCTGTTTTGATGTGTTTCCAGGGTTTGTTTCAAGATTTAGAACTCCTTTAGCAGTTTTTGTAGTGCTGGTTTGGTAGTGGCAAATTATCTCAGCGTTTGTGTCTCTGAAAAAGAATAGACTGTATCTTTCCTTCATTTATGAAGCTTAGTTTCACTGGATACAAGATTTTGGGCTGATAATTGTTTTGTTTAAGGAGGCTAAAGATAAGACCTTAATACCTTCTACCTTTTAGGTGTTCTGCTGAGAAATCTGCTGCTAATTTGATAGGTTTTCGTTTATAGGTTGCCTGATGCTTTGCATCCCAGCTGTTAAGATTCTTTACTTCACCTTGTTTTTAAGTAACCTGAACACTATGTGCCTAGGTGATGGTCTTTTTGCGATAAATTTCCCAGGTGTTCTTTGAGCCTCTGTATTTAATGTCTAGATATTTAGCAAGGCCAGAAAAGTTTTAATCAATTATTTCTTCAAATATGTTTTCCAAACTTTCACTTGTGTCCATGTGAGGAGACCACCAAACAGGCTTTGTGTGAGCAACAAGGCTGTTTATTTCACCTGGGTGCAGGAGGGCTGAGTCCGAAAAGAGAGTCAGCAAAGGGAGATAGGGGTGGGGCCGTTTTATAAGATTTGGGTAGGTAAAGGAAAATTACAATCAAAGGGGGGTTGTTCTCTGGTGAGCAGTAGTGGGGGTCACAAGGTGCTCAGTGGGGAAGCTTTTTGAGCCAGGATGAGGCAGGAGAAGGAATTTCACAAGGTAATGTCATCAGTTAAGGCAAGGACCTGCCATGCCATTTTCACTTCTTTTGTGGTGGAATGTCATCAGTTAAGGCAGGAACAGGCCATTTAAATATCACTTATTTTGTGATTCTTCAGTTACTTCAGGCCATCTGGATGTATATGTGCAGGTCACAGGGGATATGATGGCTTAGCTTGGGCTCAGAGGCCTGACACAAACTTTTAGATTTCTCTTCTTCCTTGGGAACATCAACTATTCTTAGATTTGGTCGTTTAACATAATCCCAAACTTCTTGGAGGCTTTCTTCATTTTTTAAATTTTTTCTTTGTCTTTGTGGAATTTGGGTTAATTCAAACGCCTTGTCTTCGAGGTCTGAAGTTTTTTCTTTTACTTGTTCAGTTCTATTGTTGAGACTTTCCAGTATATTTTGCATTTCTCTAAGTGTGTCCTTCATTTTCACAATTTGTGATTTTTTTAAATTTATGCTATCTATTTCTCTGGAGATTTTTCCATTCATATCCTGTGTCTTTTTTTGGATTTCCTTATGTTGATATTTACCTTTCTCTGGTGCCTCCTTGAGTAGCTTAATAATCGACCTTCTGAATTCTTTTTCTAGCAATTCAGAGATTTCTTCTTGGTTTGGATCCGTTGCTGGTGAGCTAGTGTGATCTTTTGGGGATGTTAAAGAACCCTGTTTCATCATATTACCAGAATTGTTTTTCTAGTTCCTTCTCATTTGGGCAGACTATGTTAGAGGGAAGATCTGGGGCCCAAAGGCTGTTGTTCAGATTCTTTTGTCCCACAGAGTGTTTCCTTGATATGAAGCTCTCCCCCTTTTCCTAAGGATGGGGCTTCCTGAGAGCCAAACTGCAGTGACTGTTTTTTTTCCCCTGGGTCTAGCCACCCAGCACAGCTAGCGGGGTCCAAGCTGGTAGTAAGTAGTGTCTGCAAAAAGTCCTGTGATGTGATCCATCTTCTTGTCTCTCAGCCATGGATACCAACAACTCCAGTAGAGGTAGCAGGGGAGTGAAGTAGACTCTGTGAGGGTCCTTGGTTGTATATTTGTTAGGTGTGCTGGTTTTGTGTCGGTTGGCCTCCAGCCAGGAGGTGGCACTTTCAACACAGCATCCATTGCAGTAGTATAGGGAGGATACCAGCTTGCTCTAGGGTCACCTGGATAAGTATTTGGCTTTCTCAGGTGGTGGTCTGGGCCATAAAGCTCCCAAGAGATTATGTCCTTTGTCTTTGGCTACCAGGGCAGGTAGAGAATGACCATCAGGTGGAGGTAGGTTAGGTGTGTCTGAGCTCAGACTCTCCTTGGGTGGGGCATGCTGTGGCTGCTGTAGGGGATGGGGTGTATTTCTCAGGCCAATGGAGTTACATTTCTAGAGGCATTATGGCTGCATCATAAGGGTCACCAGGGAAGTGGGGGAAAGCTGGCAATGATAGGCCTCACCTAGCTCCCAAGCAGCCTGAAAGGCAAGTCTCACTCCCACAGCGCCCACCCCCAGTAGCACTGAGTTTATTTCTAGCTAGCCTGTGAGCAGGACTGAGAACTTGCCCCAGGCTACATGCCTCCCCACTGAGAAAGCAAGCAGGGCTTTCAGATTTCATGCATCCCCACCTGCATTCCTGCATCAGGAATAGCTTCCCTGGGGACCCATAGTGCCCCCAGGGCTCTTCCAACTGCTTCCTCTACCCCTATAGTTCCTTGGGCTCTCTAAAATTTATCTCAGCTCCAGGTAAGGTCACATCCTTCTCCCATGATCTGGACCTCCAGGTTTCCCAGTGAAGATGTGTGTTCAGAAACAGACATTCCCCTTCCCACACTTTGGGCACTCACAGTTTTTTGGCTGTCTCACAGAGTCTAACGTGGCAAACCACTTCCTTCAAAGGGTGTGTGGATTCTCTCAGCTTTCCTAGTATGTTCCTGTGGTAGTTCTTCGAGCAAAAGTTCACGATGTGAGTCTCCATATGCTGCTCTGTCTATCTAAGTGGGAGCTGCAAGTTAGTCCTGCCTCCCATCCACCATTTTTACCAAATATTGTTTTAGATTCAATTATTTTTAAATGAACCCTCTATTAGATGCTCATTTCTACTGCTTTGAACATGATTTATTCAACCTTTTAGTGGATACAACTTGGATATGTTAATTTGAATATATATAATATATTAAATACACACACACACACACACACACATCATGAATTCATATTGATGTTTCCAGTTTAGAATTTAGAACTTAGAACTACAAGATTTTTCTTAACTTCCTTGACTTTATATTTATACTCACTCATGATGAAAATCTAGGTTTCTAATGACATTAACATAATTGTTTATTTGCTTTATTTTAACTAAAAACAGCTAAAGAGTTCATGCAGCTCTTTTAGTCCCTAAAATATATCACTGTAAAACTATTACAACCCAATGGTTGTCACTTAGAAGCATACTGAAACAATTATTCTGGGTGTTATTAGCCACCAGTTTGTTATGCAGATAGGTTAATTTGTTTCATTTTGCTTTGCAAATTCAGGGAGTGGTTTTATTTTTTGTATTTTGATGTAATTTTGCTTAATAAATATGCAAAATGTTGGCATAGCTCGTTATAGGCTAAATTGTGTGCTGCCCAACCAAAAGATATTATGAAGTCCCTTTCATGTGCGTCCATGTGAAGAGACCACCAAACAGGCTTTGTGTGAGCAATAAAGCTTTTAATCACCTGGGTGCAGGCTGGCTGAGTCCAAAAAGAGAGCGAAGGGAGATAGGGGTGGGGCCGTTTTATAGGATTTGGGTAGGTAAAGGAAAAAGTGGGGTTGTGGTCTGATGGGCAGAAGTGGGGGTCACAAGTGTTCAGTAGGGGAGCTTTTGAGCCAGAATGAGCCAGGAGAAGAAATTTCACAAGATAATGTCATCAGTTAAGGCAGGAACAGGCCATTTTCACTTCTTTTGTGGTGGAATGTCATCAGTTAAGGCAAGAACCAGCCATCTGGATGTGTATGTGCAGGTCACAGGGGATATGATGGCTTAGCTTGGGCCCAGAGGCCTGACATTCCTGTCCTCTTATATTAATAAGAAAAATAAAATGAAATAGTGGTAAAGCATTGGGGCGGTGAAAATTTTTGGGGGTGGTATGGAGAGAGAATGGGCGATGTTTCTCAGGGCTGCTTCAAGCGGGATTAGGGGCGGCGTGGGAACCTAGAGTGGGACAGATTAAGCTGAAGGAAGATTCTGTGGTAAGGGGTGATATTGTGGGGTCGTTAGAAGAAGCATTTCTCATTTAGAATTATTGGTGATGGCCTGGATACAGTTTTGTATGAATTGAAAAACTAAACAAAATAAGAGAAGGAGAAAAACAGGTATTAAAGGACTAAGAATTGGGAGGACCTAGGACATCTAATTAGAGAGTGCCTAAGGAGGTTCAGCATAGCCTTGCCAGCAAAGATTATTGATTTAAGAGTTAAGAGTGGCGGTTTGGGATAGCACCAGGAGATATCAGCTGTGATGACTTGGAGAAACAGTGTAAACTGGCAGTGTAAACAAGAGCAGGGCATGTATGAGTAGTTGAGAACGGTGAATAGGAGTATGACTAGACAGAATATAGTAGGGATGACAAGTTTTTTGGGGCACAGTCCAAGTTGGTCTGGTGTCTGGAATGAGACTGGAGCCTAATAAAAAGCAGCGTCTATACGGGAGCTCAAATGGGCTATACCTTGTAGCATTCCGAGGACAGGCCTGAATTCTGAGACGGGAAAGTGGTAAAAGTATTGTCTAGTCCTCTTTAAGTTGGTGGCTGAGTTTGGTGAGGTGTGTTTTTAAAAGACCATTAGTCTGTTCTACTTTTCCTGAAGACTGAGGACTGTAAGGGATATAAAGGTTTCACTGAATACTAAGAGCCTGAAAAAATGCTTGGCTGATTTGACTAATAAAGGCTGGTCCGTTATCAGACTATATAGAGGTGGGAAGGCGAAACCAAGGAATTATGTCTGACAGAAGGGACGAAATGACCACGGTGGCCTTCTCAGACCTTGTGGGAAAGGCCTCTACCCATCCAGTGAAAGTGTCTACTTAGACTAAGAGATATTTTAGTTTTCCGACTTGGGGCATGTGAGTAAAGTCAATTTGCCAGTCCTGGGCAGGGACAAATCCTCGAGCTTGATGTGTAGAAAGGGAGGAGGCCTGAACAATCCATGAGGGGTAGTAGAATAGCAGATGGAACACTGAGAAGTGATCTCCTTGAGGATAGATTTCCATGATGGAAAGGAAATGAGAGGTTCTAAGAGATGGGCTAGCGGCTTGTAACCTACGTGGAAGAGGTTATGAAATGACGACAGAATAGAATGGGCCTGTGAGGCTGGAAGGAGATATTTTCCTTGGTCTAAGAACTATTTGCCTTGTGTGGGAAGAGATTGGTAGGTGGAAGTTTCAGCAGGGGAGTAGGTGGGAGTGACCGATGTGAAGGAGAAAAACGCATGAGGGACAGAAGTTGGAAAGCTAGCTGCTTGTCTAGCCACCTTATCAGCATAAGCGTTGTCTAGAGCAATGGGATCTGATGCTTTTTGATGGCCTTTGCAGTGAATGACTCCAGCTTCCTTTGGAAGTAAAGCAGCCTTGAGCAGAGTTTTTATTAAAGAGCATTAATGATGCAGGACCCTTACATAGTGAGGAAACCTCTTTCAGCCTATATAACAGCATGGTGGTGCAGAATATGAAAGGCATATTTAGAGTCACTATAAATATTGACACGTAGTCCTTTTGCAAGAGTGAGGGCTTGAGTTAAGGCAACTAGTTCGGCTTGCTGAGAGGTAGTGGAGGAGGGCAGAGCGGTAGCCTCAACAATAGATGTGGAAGATACTATAGCATAGCCTGCCTTTGCTGGTGTGTGGCGATTAGGCCTGGCGGAACTGCCATCAATAAACTACATGTGATCAGGGTGAGGAACAGGAAAGAAGGAAATAAGGGGAAATGGGGTGAATGTCAGGTGGATCAGAGAGATACAGTCATGAGGGTCAGGTGTGGTATCCAGAATAATGTGGGAGGCCAGATTGAAGTCCGGGCCAGGAACAATGGTAACTGTGGGAGACTCAACAAAGAGTGAGTACAGCTGAAGGAGCCAGGAGCAGAAACTATATGTGTCAGGTGTGAGGAAGAAAATAGATTTTGGAAGTTATGAGAATTGTAGAGAGTGAGTTGAGCATAGTTTGTGATTTTAAGGGCCTCTAAAAGTATTAGGGCTGCAGCAGCTGCTGCACGGAGACATGATGGCCAGCCTAAAACAGTAAGGTCAAGTTGTTTGGACAAAAAGGCTACAGGGTGTGGTCCTGGCTCTTGTGTAACAATTCTGACCAGCCTAACCATGCCTAGGAAGGAAAGGAGTTGTTGTTTTGTAGAAGGGATTGGGGTTTGGGAGATTAGCCAGACACGATCAGCAGGGAGAGCACATGTGTTTTTATGAGAATTATGCCGAGATAGGTAACAGATGAGGAAGAAATTTGGGCTTGACGGAAATAATAGGAGCTGTCTGTGATGCTTTGTGGCAGTACAGCCCAGGTAATTTGCTGAGCTTAATGGGTGTCAGGGTCAGTCCAAGTGAAAGCAAAGAGAGGCTGGGATGAAGGGTGCAAAGGAATAGTAAAGAAAGCATGTTTGAGATCTAGAACAGAATAATGGGTTGTAGAGGGAGGTATTGAGGATAGGAGAGTATATGGGTTTGGCACCATGGGAAAACAATTTGGTTGATAAGGCTCAGATCCTGAACTAACCTGTAAGGCTTGTCTGGTTTTAGGACAGGTAAAATGGGGGAATTGTAAGGAGAGTTTATAGGTTTTAGAAGCCTATGCTGTAGCAGGTGAGTGATAACAGGCTTTAATCCTTTCAAAGCGTGCTGTGGGATGGGATATTGGCATTGAGTGAGGTAAGAGTGAGTAGGTTTTAATGGGATGGTAAGGGGTGCATGATCGGTCACTAAGGAGGGAGTAGAGGTGTCTTATACTTGTGGGTTAAGGTGGGGAGATATAAGGGGAGGATGTGAAGGAGGCTTTGAACTGGGGGAAAAGGTGGTAATGAGGTGCAGCTGTAGCCTAGGAATAGTCAGGGAAGCAGATAATTTAGTTAAAGTGTCTCGGCCTAATAAGGGAACTGGGCAGGTGGGGATAACTAAAAAGGAGCGCTTAAAAGAGTATTGTCTAAGTTGGCACCAGAGTTGGGGAGTTTTAAGAGTTTTAGAAGCCTGACTGTCAATACCTATGACAGTGATGGAGGCAAGGGAAACAGGCCCTTGAAAAGAAGGTAATGTGGAGTGGGTAGCCTCCGTATTGATTAAGTAACTCTCACACCCTCCACTGTGAGAGTTACTTAAAGCTCAGCATCTGTGATGGTCTGCGGGGCTTCTGAGGTGATTGGGCAGTGTCAGTCTTCAGCTGCTAAGCCGAGAAGATCTGGGAAGGAGTCAGAGAGCCTTGGGCCGGAGTTCCAGGGACTCTGGGAGTGGCTGCCAGGTGAGTTGAACAGTACAATTTTCAGTGGGGTCCTGCACAGACGGGACGCAGCTTAGGAGGAATCCTGGGCTGTGGGCATTCCTTGGCCTGGTGGCCAGATTTCTGGCACTTGTAGGAAGCTCCTGGGGGAGGCGGTTCTGGAGGAATGCCTGGCTGCTGCGGTTCAGGTGTTGGGAAGTTCTTCTGTGCTGGAGATATGGCTGGGGTTTGTTTCACAGTGGAGGCAAGGAATTGCAACTCAGATACATTGTTATTTGGCTGCCTCTACTCTATTATTGTACACCTTGAAGGCGAGGTTAATTAAGTCCCGTTGTGGGGTTTGAGGGCTGGAATTTAATTTTTGGAGTTTTATTTAATGTGGGAGCAGATTGGGTAATGTATATTGAGAATAAGACGGGCTTTTGACCTTTTAGGGTCTAGGGCTGTAAACTGTCTCAGGGTTGCTGCCAAACGAGCCATGAACTGGGCTGGATTTTTATATTTGATGAAAAAGAGCCTAAATGCTATCTGATTTGGGATAAAGAAAAAGGAGTATTAACCTTGACTGTGCCTTTAGCTCTAGCCACCTTTTTAAGAGTAAATTGCTGGGCAGGTAGGGGAGGGCTATTCGGGGGAACGAAACTGTAAGCCGGACCGGGTGTGAGGAGCGGAGGTGATAAAAGGATTATAGGGTGGAGGAGCAGAGGCTGAGGAAGAATTGGGACCTAGCTCAGCCTGGCGAGGAGGGGAGAGGTCAGATGGGTCTGTAGAAAAGGAAGATTAGAAAGACTCAGTGACGCTTGGGGTTGGGACTGAGGGGACAGGCAGGAGGGAAAGAAGGAAGATTTGGGATGAGTCATATTGGGAACAGAGATGAGGGAGGGAACAATGTGTAAAAGAATGCCTGGATGTCAGGCACCTCAGACCGTTTGCCCATTTTATGAAAAATGGCAAACGAAAAATCGAAGGTGTTTCGTAGGATGGAAAAATCGAAAGTGCCATTTTCTGGCTATTTGGAACTACTGTCGAGTTTGTATTGGGGTCACACAGCATTGTAGAAGAAAATAAGGCACTTAAGTCTTAGATCAGGTGTGAGTTGAAGAAGTTTTAAGTCTTGAGAGCACAGACTAAGGGAGAAGAGGGAGGAATGGAGGGTGGAAGGTTGCCCATAGTGAAGGTGGCAAGCTGAGAGAAAAGAAAAAGTAGAGACACAGAGGGAAGGGGTTCAGGGGTTCTTACCCTCCAGAAAAGTGGGAAAGGGGTCGGAGCATGGAAATAAGGGGTTGGGGCACAGAGATAAGAGGTTGGGGCATGGAAATAAGGGATCAGGGCACAGAGATAAGGGGTCCAGGGATTCTTGCCTCCCAGAAAAGTGGTGAAGGGGTAGAGACACGGACAGAAGGAGTTGAGGGCTTCTTGCCCCCCCAGAAAAGCAGTACGTGCCACTAAGGGTGAAGGACCAAGGCAGGTGTCCTTGCGTGGTCAGACACCTCTGAAATGTGGGTGAATAATCAGACAGGTTTCCCTGCAATGACTTTTTTTTTCATTGTGACTTTTCTTTTTTCTTGTTTTTTTATTTTTTATTATACTTTAAGTTTTAGGGTACATGTGCACATTGTGCAGGTTAGTTACATATTTATACATGTGTCATGCTGGTGCACTGCACCCACTAACTCATCATCTAGCATTAGGTATATCTCCCAATGCTATCCCTCCCCCCTCCCCCCACCCCACAACACTCCCCAGTGTGATATTCCCCTTCCTGTGTCCATGTGTTCTCATTGTTCAATTCCCACCTATGAGTGAGAATATGTGGTGTTTGGTTTTTTGTTCTTGCGATAGTTTACTGAGAATGATGTTTTCCAATTTCATCCATGTCCCTACAAAGGACATGAACTCATCATTTTTTATGGCTGCATAGTATTCCATGGTGTATATGTGCCACATTTTCTTAATCCAGTCTATCATTGTTGGACATTTGGGTTGGTTCCAAGTCTGTGCTATTGTGAATAATGCCGCAATAAATATACGTGTGCATGTGTCTTTATAGCAGCATGATTTATAGTCCTTTGGGTATATACCCAGTAATGGGATGGCTGGGTCAAACGGTATTTCCAGTTCTAGATCCCTGAGGAATTGCCACACTGACTTCCACAATGGTTGAACTAGTTTACAGTCCCACCAACAGTGTAAAAGTGTTCCTATTTCTCCACATCCTCTCCAGCACCTGTTGTTTCCTGACTTTTTAATGATTGCCATTCTAACTGGTGTGAGATGGTATCTCATTGTGGTTTTGATTTGCATTTCTCTGATGGCCAGTGATGATGAGCATTTTTTCATGTGTTTTTTTAGCTGCATAAATGTCTTCTTTTGAGAAGTGTCTGTTCATGTCCTTCGCCCACTTTTTGATGGGGTTGTTTGTTTTATTCTTGTAAATTTCTTTGAGTTCATTGTAGATTCTGGATATTAGCCCTTTGTCAGATGAGTAGGTTGTGAAAATTTTCTCCCATTTTGTAGGTTGCCTGTTCACTCTGATGGTAGTTTCTTTTGCTGTGCAGAAGCTCTTTAGTTTAATTAGATTCCATTTGTCAATTTTGGCTTTTGTTGCCATTGCTTTTGGTGTTTTAGACATGAAGTCCTTGCCCATGCCTATCTCCTCAATGGTACTGCCTACGTTTTCTTCTAGGGTTTTTATGGTTTTAGGTCTAACGTTTAAGTCTTTAATCCATCTTGAATTGATTTTTGTATAAGGTGTAAGGAAGGGATCCAGTTTCAGCTTTCTACATATGGCTAGCCAGTTTTCCCAGCACCATTTATTAAATAGAGAAACCTTTCCCCATTGCTTGTTTTTCTCAGGTTTGTCAAAGATCAGATAGTTGTAGATATGCGGCATTATTTCTGAGGGCTCTGTTCTGTTCCATTGATCTATATCTCTGTTTTGGTACCAGTACCATGCTGTTTTGGTGACTGTAGCCTTGTAGTATAGTTTGAAGTCAGGTAGTGTGATGCCTCCAGCTTTGTTCTTTTGGCTTAGGATTGCCTTGGCGATGCGGGCTCTTCTTTGGTTCCCTATGAACTTTAAAGTAGTTTTTTCCAATTCTGTGAAGAAAGTCATTGGTAGCTTGATGGGGATGGCATTGAATCTGTAAATTACCTTGGGCAGTATGGCCATTTTCATGATATTGATTCTTCCTAGCCATGAGCATGGAATGTTCTTCCATTTGTTTGTATCCTCTTTTATTTCCTTGAGCAGTGGTTTGTAGTTCTCCTTGAAGAGGTCCTTCACATCCCTTGTAAGTTGGATTCCTAGGTATTTTATTCTCTTTGAAGCAATTGTGAATGGGAGTTCACTCATGATTTGACTCTCTGTTTGTCTGTTGTTGGTGTATAAGAATTCTTGTGATTTTTGTACATTGATTTTGTATCCTGAGACTTTGCTGAAGTTGCTTATCAGCTTAAGGAGATTTTGGGCTGAGACAATGGGGTTTTCTAGATATACAATCATGTCATCTGCAAACAGGGACAATTTGACTTCCTCTTTTCCTAATTGGATACCCTTTATTTCCTTCTCCTGCCTAATTGCCCTGGCCAGAACTTCCAACACTATGTTGAATAGGAGTGGTGAGAGAGGGCATCCCTGTCTTGTGCCAGTTTTCAAAGGGAATGCTTCCAGTTTTTGCCCATTCAGTATGATATTGGCTGTGGGTTTGTCATAGATAGCTCTTATTATTTTGAGATACATCCCATCAATACCTAATTTATTGAGAGTTTTTAGCATGAAGGGTTGTTGGATTTTGTCAAAGGCTTTTTCTGCATCTATTGAGATTATCATGTGGTTTTTGTCTTTGGCTCTGTTTATATGCTGGATTACATTTATTGATTTGCGTATATTGAACCAGCCTTGCATCCCAGGGATGAAGCCCACTTGATCATGGTGGATTAGCTTTTTGATGTGCTGCTGGATTTGGTTTGCCAGTATTTTATTGAGGATTTTTGCATCAATGTTCATCAAGGATATTGGTCTAAAATTCTCTTTTTTGGTTGTGTCTCTGCCCGGCTTTGGTATCAGAATGATGCTGGCCTCATAAAACGAGTTAGGGAGGATTCCCTCTTTTTCTATTGATTGGAATAGTTTCAGAAGGAATGGTACCAGTTCCTCCTTGTACCTCTGGTAGAATTCAGCTGTGAATCCATCTGGTCCTGGACTCTTTTTGGTTGGTAAGCTATTGATTATTGCCACAATTTCAGATCCTGTTATTGGTCTATTCAGAGATTCAACTTCTTCCTGGTTTAGTCTTGGGAGAGTGTATGTGTCGAGGAATGTATCCATTTCTTCTAGATTTTCTAGTTTATTTGTGTAGAGGTGTTTGTAGTATTCTCTGATGGTAGTTTGTATTTCTGTGGGATCGGTGGTGATATCCCCTTTATCATTTTTTATTGCGTCTATTTGATTCTTCTCTCTTTTTTTCTTTATTAGTCTTGCTAGTGGTCTATATATTTTGTTGATCCTTTCAAAAAACCAGCTCCTGGATTCATTGATTTTTTGAAGGGTTTTTTGTGTCTCTATTTCCTTCAGTTCTGCTCTGATCTTAGTTATTTCTTGCCTTCTGCTAGCTTTTGAATGTATTTGCTCTTGCTTTTCTAGTTCTTTTAATTGTGATGTTAGGGTGTCAATTTTGGATCTTTCCTGTATT
Organism: Homo sapiens; assembly: GCF_000001405.40. NCBI lineage: Eukaryota > Metazoa > Chordata > Mammalia > Primates > Hominidae > Homo > Homo sapiens. The sequence continues at coordinate 208,896,954 of NC_000002.12, read as the reverse complement.
TTGTTGTGGGCATTTAGTGCTATAAATTTCCCTCTACACAGTGCTTTGAATGTGTCCCAGAGATTCCAGTATGTTGTATCTTTGTTCTCATTGGTTTCAAAGAACATCTTTATTTCTGCCTTCATATCGTTATGTACCCAGTAGTCATTCAGGAGCAGGTTGTTCAGTTTCCATGCAGTTGAGCAGTTTTGAGTGAGATTCTTAATCCTGAGTTCTAGTTTGATTGCACTGTGGTCTGAGAGATAGTTTGTTATAATTTCTGTTCTTTTACATTTGCTGAGGAGAGCTTTACTTCCAAGTATGTGGTCAATTTTGGAATAGGTGTGGTGTGGCGCTGAAAAAGATGTATATTCTGTTGATTTGGGGTGGAGAGTTCTGTAGATGTCTATTAGGTCCGCTTGGTGCAGAGCTGAGTTCAATTCCTGGGTATCCTTGTTGACTTTCTGTCTCATTGATCTGTCTAATGTTGACAGTGGGGTGTTAAATTCTCCCATTATTAATGTGTGGGAGTCCAAATCTCTTTGTAGGTCACTCAGGACTTGCTTTATGAATCTGGGTGCTCCTGTATTGGGTGCATATATATTTAGGATAGTTAGCTCTTCTTGTTGAATTGATCCCTTTACCATTATGTATGGCCTTCTTTGTCTCGTTTGATCTTTGTTGGTTTAAAGTCTGTTTTATCAGAGACTAGGATTGCAACCCCTGCCTTTTTTTGTTTTCCATTTGCTTGGTAGATCTTCCTCCATCCTTTTATTTTGAGCCTATGTGTGTCTCTGCACGTCAGATGGGTTTCCTGAATACAGCACACTGATGGGTCTTGACTCTTTATCCAATTTGCCAGTCTGTGTCTTTTAATTGGAGCATTTAGTCCATTTACACTTAAAGTTAATATTGTTATGTGTGAATTTGATCCTGTCATTATGATGTTAGCTGGTGATTTTGCTCGTTAGTTGATGCAGTTTCTTCCTAGTCTTGATGGTCTTTACATTTTGGCATGATTTTGCAGCGGCTGGTAGTGGTTGTTCCTTTCCATATTTAGCGCTTCCTTCAGGAGCTCTTTTCGGGCAGGCCTGGTGGTTACAAAATCTCTCAGCATTTGCTTGTCTGTAAAGTATTTTATTTCTCCTTCACTTATGAAGCTTAGTTTGGCTGGATATGAAATTCTGGGTTGAAAATTCTTTTCTTTAAGAATGTTGAATATTGGCCCCCACTCTCTTCTGGCTTGTAGGGTTTCTGCCAAGAGATCTGCTGTTAGTCTGATGGGCTTCCCTTTGAGGGTAACCCGACCTTTCTCTCTGGCTGCCCTTAACATTTTTTCCTTCATTTCAACTTTGGTGAATCTGACAATTATGTGTCTTGGAGTTGCTCTTCTCGAGGAGTATCTTTGTGGTGTTCTCTGTATTTCCTGAATCTGAACGTTGGCCTGCCTTGCTAGATTAGGGAAGTTCTCCTGGATAATATCCTGCAGAGTGTTTTCCAACTTGGTTCCATTCTCCCCATCACTTTCAGGTACACCAATCAGACGTAGATTTGGTCTTTTCACATAGTCCCATATTTCTTGGAGGCTTTGCTCGTTTCTTTTTATTCTTTTTTCTCTAAACTTTCCTACTTCATTTCATTCATTTCATCTTCCATCACTGATACCCTTTCTTCCAGTTGATCGCATCAGCTCCTGAGGCTTCTGCATTCTTCACGTAGTTCTTGAGCCTTGGTTTTCAGCTCCATCAGCTCCTTTAAGCACTTGTCTGTATTGGTTATTCTAGTTATACATTCTTCTAAATTTTTTTCAAAGTTTTCAACTTCTTTGCCTTTGGTTTGAATGTCCTCCTGTAGCTCAGAGTAATTTGATCGTCTGAAGCCTTCTTTCAGCTCTTCAAAGTCATTCTCCATCCAGCTTTGTTCCGTTGCTGGTGAGAAACTGCGTTCCTTTGGAGGAGGAGAGGCGCTCTGTGTTTTAGAGTTTCCAGTTTTTCTGTTCTGTTTTTTCCCCATCTTTGTGGTTTTATCTACTTTTGGTCTTTTATGATGGTGATGTACAGATGGGTTTTTGGTGTGGATGTCCTTTCTGTTTATTAGTTTTCCTTCTAACAGACAGGACCCTCAGCTGCAGGTCTGTTGGAATACCCTGCCGTGTGAGGTGTCAGTGTGCCCTTGCTGGGGGGTGCCTCCCAGTTAGGCTGCTCGGGGGTCAGGGGTCAGGGACCCACTTGAGGAGGCAGTCTGCCAGTTCTCAGATCTCCAGCTGCGTGCTGGGAGAACCACTGCTCTCTTCAAAGCTGTGCCCACTGTCTGGCACTCCCTAGTGAGATGAACCCAGTACCTCAGATGGAAATGCAGAAATCACCATCTTCTGTGTCGCTCACGCTGGGAGGTGTAGACCGGAGCTGTTCCTATTCGGCCATCTTGGCTCCTCCCCTGCAATGATTAAATGCCAAGCGAAGGCTGCCTTCCTGAGTCCATGACTGGTGCTGGAGTTTTGGTTCCACGGATAAAACATGTCTCCTTTGTCTCTACCAGAAAATGAAAGGAATTGAAATTAAGAGAAGGGAGAGATTGAAGGGTGGTGCCAAGATTGAAAGGAGAAAGTGGTTGAGGGATAGTGAGAGAGGTTGGAGAAGAGAATAAGAAGAGGCCGTTTACCCGATTTAAAATTGGTGAGATGTTCCTTGGGCTGGTGGGTCTGAGGACCTGAGGTCGTAGGTGGATCTTTCTCACGGAGCAAAGAGCAGGAGGACAGGGCATTGATCCCCCAGGGAGGTCCCCCGATCCGAGTCATGGCACCAAATTTCATGCGCGTCTGTGTGAAGAGACCACCAAACAGGTTTTGTGTGAGCAATAAAGCTTTTAATCACCTGGGTGCAGGCTGGCTGAGTCTGAAAAGAGAGTCAGTGAAGGGAGATAGGGGTGGGGCCGTTTTATAGGATTTGGGTATGTAAAGGAAAAAGGGGGGTTGTGGTCTGGCGGGCAGGAGTAGGGGTCCCAAGGTGTTCAGTAGGGGAGCTTTTGAGCCAGGATGAGCCAGGAGAAGAAATTTCGCAAGATAATGTCATCAGTTAAGGTAGGAACAAGCCATTTTCACTTCTTTTGTGTTGGAATGTCATCAGTTAAGGCAGGAACCAGCCATCTGGATGTGTACGTGCAGGTCACAGGGGATATTATGGCTTAGCTTAGGCTCAGAGGCCTGACAGTCCCAACTCCTAGGACCTCAGAAATGACCTTATTTGGAAACAAGGTTGTTGAAAATATTAGTTAAGATGAGGTCATGCTGGAGTATTCTGGGCCCTTAATCTAATCTGACTGCTGTTTTTAGAAGAAGAGAAGAGACACAGGGAGATGATGGCTATGTGAATAGAGGCAGAAATTGCAGACAAACAACAAAAGTAGAATAGGAAAGGAAGGATTCTCCCCTACAGGTTTTAGAGGGAGGATGGTCCCAGCAACACCTTGATTTTGAAATTCTGGCATGCAGAACTATGAGACAATAAATTGCTGTAGTTCAAAGGCACTAATTTTTTATAGCAGCCCTAAGAAACTAATACAGTTCCAAATTAAAATCTATAAAATGTTATATCCACAGAAATCTGATTTTCATCCCTATATTCTCATTCCTGTCCCCTCCTCTTCTTAAAGATTACTATTTTAAAAATACCTTGGAATTTAATATTTTATTTTTATTATATAAGGAGATACATAAATATATATATAATTATTTAAGGAAATACATAAGTGCATTTACCTCTTCCGTTTATTACATAAAAGATGATATTACAATTTCTCTTTCTTTTTTTGTTGCTTAACAATATATCCTTGAGCTCATATTATCAGTCTATAAATACATTCTTTTACCTCTTATGCAACTGCATAATATTTCATTATATGTGTCATACCACAGTTCATTCAGTCAGCTCAGATAGACATTTGGATTGCTTTCATTCTTTTGTTATTACATGTAGTGTTATAATAAAACATTTTATGTATGGTTATTTTTTGTTTTGTTTTGTTTTTTTCCAATGCATTTGTGGGATAGAATTTGAGATGTGGGGTTGCTGTGTCAAATGGGAAGTAAGTGTGTAATTTTTCTAGGGATGATGGAAGCAGAGATTGAAGTGCTGAGAGGAAAAGGGTCATGAGCAAAGGAATGTAGTTGGCCTCTATAGAAGCTGGAAAAGGAAAATAAATCAATTCTCTCCAGGAGCCTTCAGATGAAATGCAGCCCTGCAGGCACCTTAACTTTAGCCTCTGACCTCCAGATTATAAGAGAATAAATTTCCATTGTGTTAATCAACTAAATTTGTGATAATATGTTGCAGTAGCAACATAGGAAACTAATATAGTTAGGCTGCTTAAAGCAGGACTAATTAACACAGTTTAAGAAAACAAAACCTGGGAAGTTCTTTTAAAATTAATCTTATGCTAAAAAAAGACCTGATTTTGTGAAAAATTAACAGGTGGAGAAGAATGCTGAGAAGAGAATGGATTCATCAGCAGGGTACTACTTTAATGGATTACATCTGTGCTGATGAAAGCAGTGGGACATTTCTAAGCTCAGGAGTCCCTAGGATTCACACTGCTCTCTGAGCACTTATTAGTAGAGAAGGAAGCAACCCCAAAGCTCCCCAGGCTACATACTTACATGTGCTTGTCTCTTGTCTTTCTCATTAATTGTTTTGATGGGCTTTGCAGTTTATGCATAAATAATATAAAGCCTTACCAAGTTGCTAGTATTTGAGGTCCAACAGCAATCTCTGAATTGCAGTTTTGGTTCTTTTAACTTAAGTATTTGCAGTTTTCTCCAGTTTATTGAAAATTTAAGTCATGAAAAGGTGGATTTAAAGCCTGTCTTTTCCATAAACAACTATATATCGTGGCCATATTGCTTGACTTCCCCAAATCTTAGTTTCCTTATCTGTAATATGGAGAGAAACAGCTATTGCATGCTTGATAGAAACTAGTTCAAAATGCATGTTCAACAATATAGGGGAATTCTTTTCCTTTCATTATTGAAGTCAATTGCCCTATTAACCTAGTAATTGAAGGCTGTACACCTTACTATAGTAAAGAGCTTTACAAATTTTTGTTTGGCATGCTGTAGTGTAAAAAGCACTGGTTATGAAAACATCTGTTTGACCCTGAGGAATTTCCTTAAGCTCTTTGAGTGTCAGTTCTCTCATCACTGATATATAGTATATTAGTCCATTTTCATACTGCTATGAAGAGATACCCAAGACTAGATAATTTATAAAGAAAAAGAGGTTTAATGGACTCACAGTTCCACATGGCTGGGGAGACCTCACAATCATGACAGAAGGCAAAGCAGGAACAAAGGCACATCTTACATGGTAGCAGGCAAGACGAGGGCACCACCCTTTATAAAACCATCATATCTTTTGAGACTCATTTAATATCACAAGAGCAGCATGGGAAAAAACCCACCCCCATGATTCAATTACCACCCACTGGGTCCCTCCCATGATATGTGGGGATTATAGGAGCTACAATTCAAGATGAAATTTGGGTGGGGACACAGCCAAACCATACCATGAAGATAATGAGAAATGTGAAAACACCATGAGTATGTTCTGGCATATCATAAGTGTTCAATAAATGTTATTTTGTCTTATTCTTATTTAAAATATTTTACTTGAAAATTATGGCAGGATATATAATTTTGAAAGGACAAATTTAAAACAAAATACCATGTTTGTCTTTACTTAATGAACAGCCACCACTATCTAACAAAATAAAAAAATTCTTAGAACTGAAAATTTCGGTTCTTTGAATTCTGATAATGGCTATGGCAGATAGATAGAATTTTTTGTTTTGCAGACCCACTTTAAATTCATTATTAAATTATTTTACAGTTTATAAAATACACTCACACGAAAATATTTTTAGGGTTTTAGCATTCACTTACAAAATGTAATCTATGCTAGCACTATGTATTTTTCCTCCCAGAAACATAATGAGCTGATCAGGGAAGGGAATGAAGAGAAATAAAGTCTGCCAAGGGCCTCCAGGAAAAGGAGGGTGAGCAGCTGAACTGGAACCTGGTCTGATCTGAAAAACAAATTTCTGGCCTGGCTTATTTCTTGTGGCAAGTTGTGCCTAATTCCATAAGATTCCCACACTGAAACCAATCTTTAATACTTGAGCCCAGACATCCAAACCTCATAAATACCTATTCTGAATGCCCCCCACCTGAGACTCTGCCTGGACTCTGTCATGGTGGTGGTCTCAGTGCAGTCGTAATAATCCCTCATTTGCTTGATCAGCAGTTTATTCTCTTCTTTTGGAGTAGGTGCAATCACATTCATAATGCAAATGTCTCTGAGTGAAGGATGGTGAGAAGTGAGCTCCTGACTAAAAGATTGCAGAGTGAAGGAGAGGTCGGTGGTGGAAGGAAGGTTAGGAAAGAGAAGGTTGTCAAAAGGAGGGGGAGAAAATGCATTTGACAAAAATTCTATCTTTAGATGTTTTTGAAACTTCATCTGTGGTATAGGAAATAGTAGATACTGCATGCTCCACCTTAAGCCAGCAGCTTCAAATTGTTTTATTACTTTATCATGAGTTAAATGATAGAAACAGAGACTACTGTTCCACAGTGAATCTCTAGGAAATTTATTATAGCAGAAATTCTGTTGAAAACAGGAACAGTTAGAGCAGTGGATTCTAACAGAAGTGAAAGAAGTAACTTTTTAAAATGCAATTAACAAAACATAAATGAATTAATAAAGAAAAGTATTTTTTTAAATGGCATTGGACTTCTGTACTGGTAAAATATTCCTAAGAGAATCATGGACCAAGAAGCCAAACACAAAATGTGGAGACACCAAGGAAGACTCAGCATTAAGTTAATGAAATTAATGAAGTGATCATGTGGTCATACATTTCTGTAAACATTTTTAACATGTTTTTTTTTTTTCTGCAATTGGTTAAAACCTTAGGTTGGTTGGTTGGAGTAGTCACAGGCTTTCTGACATTCAGTTAAAGGAAAAGGAGACGTGATTACATTTTGTTTGGATTAAGTGGAATATGCTTATGTGGTTTGTTCCTTCCACAACAGTGAAGTTAATGCTAGCAGTGTCAAAGCAGAAAAGGCTTCCAGGAAAATGCCTACACCATCTATGCCAACTCTCCTGGGGCATGAAGGTACAGGGCCCCAGGTCATCTTGCAATATGAGTGTGTCCTCTGGCACCCAGGCCTGGGAGTGTGTGGATGATTGAAAAGAAACAAAGTTGGAAATAAACAAGGATCAAGACAGAACTGCCATGTTAAAGACAGAATTAACTTTCTCTCTGGAAAATGAAAACATGGAATCATTGACATATTACAATAGCATAAAAAATATGCAACCAAAAGATGAAGAGTAAAAAGATGTTATAGATTGAGTTAGGAAGTTAATTAATAAGGATATATTATTTATTCAAATGTTATATTTGTGATATATGTCAGTTTTGAAATATTTAATTTTTATTGATTCATTTTATTATGAATAAGTGTTCATTTTGTATCTGATTCTGTGCTTCTGATTTTAGATCCTCTTTCATTAGGGAGTGTCCCTAGAGTGCATAAGCTTCTATAGCCATAAAACCTGGATCTATCCCTCAATCGAGTGCATTAATGTCCCTTTTGGGGCCCTGCATTGCCAGTTGATGTTAGGCAGGGTGCATGAGTTGGAGAAAAGACCCATTCTCTACATCCTAACATTTCCCAATACCACATTTTGCAGCACTAATGCACACTGGGCACATCAGTGGCACCTTTCCACAGACCTGTTGATGTTGCCACAGTATTTCACTGGTAGAGTTCCCTTGCTGTAGATGATAGATTTTTCAGTTTTGCAGAATCTCTAGTGTTCTAGGAATTCATTGTGAGAAAACAATGCATTCTTGTTCAAACATAAAAGGATTCTTAGAGAAAAAACAAGCTAGTCTATGCTGTCTGATTTTTCCATAACATACTAAACTACTAAAAACCACAAATCTATTTTGCAATATACTACCGTACAACTTTCCCTTTCTGTATTAGTCTTTTGGGATATTGTTGCATTTTCTTTACTAGAGGGCCAAGTTCTGCTATAATTGAGACTACTCTCTTTCTTAACCTACAAAGTCCTCTGAACCTTGAGGTCAGAGCACGGGAGTTTAAGAAATTGCCTGCTATTTTCTATATTCATTCCAAAATTTTAGCATATCAAGGGAGCAAACGTAGCTGACCTTGGATGAAACATTTAAGAAGTATGCATGCTAAGAGTATCCTTGCTTAATTGTTAGGCATATTTTCATAGACAATGATCGGGATAAATTAACATATATTAATCTTGTAAGAGATCATTTCTGAATGGTATTATGGGGCTTTGGAAGAGTTAGTTCATCTCACATGGTTTATCATTTCCTAATAAGAGAATAAAATACATTTATTAATATTCTGACACTTTGGAGACAAATTTCTGGTTCATACAATTAGTGCCCAGTAGCAAATGTGTGCTGGAATCAAGTTAGTTAGGGTTAATTTTGATTTCATAGAGTAGGATGGATATCTTTATTTGATCCTTCTTCAAAAAAAAGATAAAGGCAGGAACCAATTAGTGAAAAAAAAATAGCTCATGCCTCAACACCATCTTGATGATTCAAATACTAAAGTGTGCATAGCATCTGTTTGTGTCAAAGTGCCCATGTATGGTTATCTTTACAGTTGACAGGAGTTTTCATTTTACTAATAAGCTGTTTCTCAAAACAGATGCCATTAGTCTGGCTTTCTGAACTGTAAGTCAAAGGAAAAAACAAACCAAAAATAAGTTCAGCAGAGCACATTTATTTTCTATTTTATTTTAGTTTTCCTATGGTATAAACTTTCTCTTCAAGCTTGAATATCCTGCTGCAATTATTCGAATTTTTTTAAATGTCTGCGTTCTTTTATGCCAGTATCATGCAAGCAGCATATCTAATGAAGCCAGGGCTCCAGATTGCAGAGAAAACAAGGCTGGGTCCCTGTCTTTCATTAGTTAGTGTGGGTGAGTGAAACCTACAACCTTTCTGGTTTAAAACCCTATCAAATATCAGAATATGACCCAGGAAAATGTTAGACCCATCCATATGTTGTGGCAGTAACAAAGTTATACAGAAATGTGGTTTATTAGTCCATTTTCATGCTGCTGATAAAGACATACCCCAGACTGGGCAATTTACAAAAGAAAGAGGTTTAACTGGAATCACAGTTCCATGTGGCTGGGGAGGCCTCACAATCATGACAGAAGGCAAGTAGGAGCAAATCACATCTTACATGGATGGCAGCAGGCAGAGAGCTTGTGCAGAGAAATTCCTGTTTTTAAAACCAATGGATCTGATGAGACTGATTCGCTATCAGGAGAACAGCACAGGAAAGACCTGCCCCCATAATTCAATCATCTCCCACTAGATTCTTCCCACAACATGTAGGAATTGTGGGAGTTACAATTCAAGATGTGATTTGGGTGGGGACGCAGGAAAACCATATCATTTCACCCCGGCCCCTCCAAATCTCATGCCCTCACATTTCAAAACCAATCATGCCTTCCCAACAGTCCCTCAAAGTCTTAACTTAATTCAGCATTAATGCAAAAGTCCTCAGTCCAACATCTCATCTGAGAAAAGCCAAGTCTCTTCCACCTATGGGCCTGTAAAATCAAAAGCAAGTTAGTTTCTTCCCAGATACGGTGGAGGTACAGGCATTGGGTAAATACAGCCATTCCAAATGGGAGAAATTGGCCAGAATGAAGGGGCTACAGGCCTCATGCAAGTCTGAAATCCAGTGGGGCAGTCAAATCTTACATCCCCAAAATGATCTCCTTTGATTCCACGTCTCACATCCAGGTCATGCTGATGCAAGAGGTGGGTTTCCATGGTCTTGGGCAGCTCTGCCCCTGTGGCTTTGCAGGGTGCAGCCTCCCTCCTGGCTGCTTTCATGGGCTGGCATAAAGTGTGTGTGACTTTTCCAGGTACACGGTGAAAGCTGTCAGTGGATCTACCATTCTGGGGTCTGGAGAATGGTGGTCCTCTTCTCACAGCTCCACTAGGCAATGCCCCAGTAGGGGCTCTGTGTGGCAGCTCCGACCCCACATTTCCCTTCCTCACTGCCCTAGCAGAGGTTCTCCATGAGAGCCCTGCCCTTGAAGCAAATTTCTGCCTAGACATCCAGGCATTTCCATACATCCTCTGAAATCTAGGCAGAGAGTCCCAAACCCCAATTCTTGAATTCTGTGTACGGCAGGCTCAACACCACATGGAGGCTGCCAAGGCTTGAGGTTTGCACCCTCTGAAGCCATGGCCTGGGCTTTACATTGGCCCCTTTCAGCCATGGCTGGAGTGGCTGGGACGCAGGGCACCAAGTCCCTAGGCTGCACACAGCACAGGGACACTGGGCCCAGCCCACAAAACAACTTTTTCCTCCTAGGCCTCCAGGAGGCCTCCAGGCCTATGATGGGATGGGCTGCTGTGAAGACCTCTGACATGCCCTGGACACATTTTCCCCATTGTCTTGGGGATTAACATTTGGCTCCTTGTTACTTGTGAAAATTTGTGCAGCCAGCTTGAATTTCTCCTCAGAAAATAGGATTTTCTTTTCTATCACATTGTCCAGCTATAAATTTTATCAACTTTTATGCTCTGCTTCCCTTATAAAACTGAATGCCCTTAACAGCACCCAAGTCACCACTTGAATGCTTTGCTACTTCAAAATTTCTTCTGCTAGATACCCTAAATCATCTCCCTCAAGTTCAAAGTTCCACAAATCTCTAGGACAGCGGCAAAATGCCACCAGTCTCTTTGCTAAAACATAACAAGAGTCACTTTTGCTCCAGTTCCCAACAAGTTCCTCATTTCCATCTGAGGCCACCTTAGCCTGGACTTTATTGTTCATATTGCTATCAGCACTTTGGGCAAAGCAGTTCAACAAGTCTCTAGGAATTTCCAAACTTTTCCACATTTTCCTATCTTCTTCTGAGCCCTCTAAACTGTTTCAACCTCTGCCTGTTACCCAGTTCCAAAGTCGCTTCCACATTTACAGGTATCTTTTCAGCAGTGCCCCACTCTACTGGTACCAAATTACTGTATTAGTCCATTTTCACACTACTGATAAAGTCATACCCAAGACTGGGCAATTTATAAAAGAAAGAGGTAAAGGACTCACAGTTCCACATGGGTAGGGAGGCCTCACAATCCTGGTGGAAGGCAAGTAGGAACAAGTCACATCTTATGTGAATGGCGGCAGGCAAAGAGAGAGCTTGTGCGGAGAAACTCCAGTTTTTAAAACTGTCAGATCTCGTCAGACTCATTCACTATCGTGAGAACACCGCAGAAAAGACTTGCCCCAATAATTCAATCACCTCCCACCAGATTCCTCCCACAATGTGTGGGAACTGTGGGAGTTACAAATCAAGATAAGAGACTCTCATATGGAGACTTCCCCTTGCTTTTCATTGCATGTGGGGGCTTCGCACTTATGGTGCCAATGGAAGAAAGCAATGAGAGTGACGGATCTCTTAACTCTGTGAGAGATTTCATAGCAATATCTGCATTTTTATCAAATCTGTTAGGTCTGAAAGTGTTATAATCTAATGCCAGTGCAGCACCTGAAGGCTTACCAACTTTGCCTTTGAACTAAAACACCAAAATGGTATTTACTTAAAATATCAAAGAATATGCATTTATTAGACTTTTGTGATTTGTTACACTTTATATATATGTACAATTTATGGGTCTATAAGACATAGTTTAGCTCAGGCTAAAGTAGAAAAGTTCCTTCTTGGGGTCTTAATATTAACTGGTATCAAAACAGAGACCGTCTTGAGAAAAAAACAAAATAAATACTAGTTGGACTCCTGAAACAAACTGAATTGCCTTTTTATGTCCTGAGCAGCTCATAAGCTTGTCTCTAAAATAAATTCTTATTGATTTTCCATAAAGTAGTGGTGATCAAAGATACCTGTTCTGCTACTCAGTGGTTCAGAGTTTTCTTATCCATAAGGAATTTGAGTGTGTATGTGTGACTGTGGTGGTGGTGTGTGGAAAACGAGTAATTGATAACTACTGTTGAAGCCCTAAATAATTGTTTTTTAATTTTTTTTAACTTTTAAGTTTGGGGTACATATGCAGGTTTGTTATTTAGGTAAACTTGTATCATGGGGACATGTTGTACAGATTATTTCATCACCCAGGTATTCAGCCTAGAACCCATTAGTTATTTTTCCTGATTCTTTCCCTCCTCCCACCCTGCACCTTTCTATAGCCCCCAGTGTGTGTTGTTCCCCTCTATGTGTCCATGTGCTCTCATCTTTTAGCTCTCACTTGTGTTCTGAATGGTATTGCCTAGGTTGTCTTCCAGGGTTTTTATAATTTTGGGTTTTACATTTAAGTCTTTAATCTATCTTGAGTTAATTTTTATATATGGTATAAAGAAGGGGTCCAGTTTTAATCTTCTGCATATGGCTAGCCAATTATCCTAGCACCATTTACTGAATAGGGAATCCTTTTCCCATTGCTTGTTTCTGTCAGGTTTGTTGAAGATCAGATAGTTGTAGGTGGGTGGTCTTATTTTGGGGTTCTCTATTCTGTTCCATTGGCCTATGTGTCTATTTTTGTACCAGCACCATGCTGTACATGTAAACTGTAGCCCTGTAGTACAGTTTGAAGTTAAGTGGATGCCTCCAGTTTTGTTCTTTTTGCTTAGGATTGCCTTGGCTATTTGGGCTCTTTTTGGTTCCATATGAATTTTAAAATAGTATTTTCTCGTTCTGTGAAGAATGTTATTGGTGGTTTAAAAGGAATATCACTGAATCTATACGTTGCTTTGGGCAGTATGGCCATTTTAATAATATTGATTTTTCCTATCCATGAGCATGGAATGTTTTTCCATTTATTTGTATCATCTCTGATTTATTTGAGGAGTGGTTTGTAGTTTTTCTTGTAGTGGTATTTTACCTCCTGATAGCTGTATTCTTAGGTATTTTATTCTTTTTATGGCAATTGTGAATGCGAGTTTGTTCCTGATTTTGCCCTCAGCTTGACTGTTATTGATGTACAGGAATGCTAGTGATTTTTGCTCATTGATGTTGTATCCTGAGACTTTGTTGAAGTTGTTTATCAGCTTAAGAAGCTTTTGGAAGCCCTAAATAATTCTGTCACCATATTTTAAACATTAAGTAAGAAAATGGGAGTGATTGATCCAATTTTTGCAAGGGTATTACAGTACTCTAAAGTGCAAATGTTTGCTGCCAGCTGAAATTCCCGGTAAAGTAAATGTTTGTGTCATCTCACATTTTTTCCTTAACTATCCCCCACCTCCTTTTCCCCTCTCCCACCTCTAATGTCAACAAGAAAATACATCTCTAGCCTGAATTGTCTTGAAGCTTGGATAGTTATATTGTGTTGCAATGCCACAATTCATGAGCAGAACTTCCCTGTTTTATTTTTGAACTTTCATCTACACCCAAAAAAAGTAGTTGTAACATGAAACTGATAACAGAGACATTGAGTCTATGAGTTTATCTGGAACGGGAGAAATAGCCATCAGAGATGGAACACATTCAGAAAAAACAAACAAACAAACAAACAAAAACATGAGGTTAAATGTTTTCCTCTCCCTTTCCGAAACCTAAAAGGGGCATCTATTTCCAGTAAACATTGGGAATGGGGTAGCTATGTATCACTAGCTCAAGAACTGTTTTTATCCAACCAAACTCACAGAACATTTCCTTATTGAGAAGGTTGAAGAGGATGTCTCCACTCTGATCATTAAAAGTACACACAGGAGCTGCAAAATATACTGAGCTTGTGAGTTTTTCACTGAGGACCACTGAGACCAACAGAATGGAAGATCGAAGTGAGAAATTAGGAGTCTCAGTCTTGAGGGTTATAAGGGATATAAGGCAGGTCACTTGAACTTGGATTCAAGATAAGACCACATACAGAAAAGCAAATTGCTTTGATAGAAGAACATGGATCAGCACTTCCCTGTGTGTGACAGGGAGAGAGCCCAGTGATGTGACTCAGAAGGAAAAAGGTCTGTAATCAGTACTTCGGATGAACCTTATATCCTAAGTCCCACTCTTATAGAGTCAAAATGCACTTAAAAAGTTTGAGAACCCTTCTCAGTAAAGGAATTTTTATATTATCACAGATAAAACTTCTTTTTCCCCAAAAGCACCTTACAACCATTCTGTATAATTAGGATTTTATGAAATATTTTGGGAAATGCTGTTGTAGATAATTAAGAGTGTAATGTGAGGCCATGCTTGAACTAAGTGAAAATCTCTAAGAGTACTTAAATTTTTCATTTCCATTGCTACACACATCTCCCTTGTCCCAGATGTTCAGTACCACTCAGACATACCTCTAAGAAATGTGGAGTTCAAGGATCAAAATACGTTAATACTACTTTAAAAGAGACTCTGTTGACATGAATTCCATGTACAGTTTTATTTTGTGGTTAAGCTATTTCCAAGATGAGAGACTGGATGGGTAACACATTTTCATTTATTTGCCTAAAATTTCTTAAACAACTAAAATTATGTGCTATGTTTATGAACTAATTTGGCTACTGAAGATTTTTTTATTTTTTATTTTGCCAAGGGTCCTTAAAAGAAATCACTAACCTCTCTTTGAAGTATTCAGGACACTAAAGAGAATGAGTTTATAGTCATAATAAAAAATATCAAAATTGGAGAAATGTGGAGGGTGCATGCTATGAGATGAGAGAGAGATCATGGTAGACTGCAGCTGCTTTCTAACCATGAACTTAGGCAAGGTGCCTAATCCCTCTGTGCAATACCACAAATGTTATTTCTCACTCACTCTAAACTGTACCACTCAGAGAACCAGGCTAATGAAATCCCCATCACCTTTTAGTGATCTCATCAAGTGAAAGGGGCAAAAGAAGAGATAAAAAGAGTTTTTTAAATTTTTCTCTGTGTTAGTCTGGGAATGATACAAATAAGTTCTGTTCATATTTCATTATCCAGAATTGGTCATGTGCCCCTGCATGTGGTTCTGGAAGGTGGAAAAGCAGATAGAATGATTAGCGAGCTCCGTGTCTCTGCTACAGACACTTTCTCAGGTATCCAAATATTCTTCTATGAACATGCTTTGTAACTGCTGCATAGTGTTTCATTATATATGTATAACAGTTAAGGTAAATTTAAATTATTCATCTTTAAGCAACATAGTCTGGATAGACTCCCATGCCTTTTGTGAAGGTTTAACTATTTGATTATTAACTGAATGAAAGTTAAATCTTTCATGATAATTCGTATGTTTGTGTGTGTGTTTGTGGTAAAGGGACAGTATCCAAACATGTACTAAACAAAAAATGGTATGCCTCATGTTTGCTTACAACAGGAATAAGTATTTAGATGTGGTGTGGTGGCTCTTTTCCTTCTACAGAATCCAACTCAAAACATGTTTCCTCTAATACCTTGCCCATTTGAACATGTCAGTCTGTTCATCCTGTTCCCTGAACTAAATTGGTAATTAAGAAACTGAGAAACCTATGCAAACATCAGTTTTAGCATGTACTGTCTTCCAGCAACTTTTGTAGCAACCAGTAATTCAATTGAGCTTTGAAAGATCTTTGTATAACCTGTAAGTTAATTTTTGTTCATTTATAGCTGGACACATAACTAGAAAGAGAACTGTGTTTGGAAAATGAAGTGCACATAGAAGCTTAAAAGTTGTAATTTTTGAAGATTGTAGGTTTATATCTCATCCAAGTTGCATGTTGTACATCATATTTCTCATCCAAGTGTATCTCTGCCAGGGAGATGACTTCTTTTCTGTCAGAAATAGGGTGGAACAACCATCTTGCATTTAGGACTTCTTTTTATTTATTCTGAGGACAGTCTGAGTTCTTCCTTTTCATGTGGCCTCATTATCTAAAAGGTCAGTAAACATCTCTGTGAAATTCCCTTTCAGGATCCTAAAAAGTGCTTAAATTTTACCATGTTTAAGTGGAATTTTGGATCATTAGAAAATGTCATTCTCTCTGGTTAGCCAAAAATCAGAGAGGAAGAATTTGCAAAACATAAAATGTAAAAGAAAGATAGATTTAATAGTTGAATCGTAATTTCTTGTTACTGTACCTTGATGGCCTGGGAGGGTGACCAATATAACTTCTCAGGATTACTTCTAGTCTAGTCCAGCCAAAATAATAACTTTGTTAGCTGGACCTCATTTGCTGTCTGAGAAGAATTACTTAACAGCCTATAGTTCCAATCTCTCTGCTGACATTCCCCAGACTCATGGATCATCGTGCTAAAGGATATTTTCATCTTTGGTAGTCGATTTTCTCTTTTGATATCCATTGCCCTCTCCCTTCCTTCACTAGACACACCAACACTGTATATGGTGGAGCCTCACTTCCAGTAGTCCAGGTGCTAAACAAGAAAACCAGCGTGGTAAACTGAGAGGGAAATGAAATTCATGCTTTGAGTTTGTGGAAATACAAATGAAATTATGACCCAATTATCTTAGTCAGTTTACACTGCCATAACAAAAATGCCATAGTTTGGGTGACTAAAACGACAGAAATTTCTTTTCTTACAATTCTGGAACCTGAAAGTCAGGGTAATCCAGGTGCCAACATGTCCAGGTTCTGGTGAGGGATCCCTTCCTAAATTGCAGCCAGCCATTTTCTATTTCCTCGTGCCAAGGAGAAAGAGATAAAGCTTTCTGGTGTCTCTGTTATAAGGGCACCAATCCCATCATGAAGACCGCACCCTCATGACCTTACCTTAATCTAATTATTCCTGAAAGGCCATATGTTCAAATATCATCACATTGGGGGCTGGGGCTTCCAAATATGGACTTCGGGGGAATACAATTCAATCCATAATACCAATCATAGTTTTTTTTTTTTTTTTCCAAGTCAGGTGTTTTAAAATTAGGATGAAGCTCTCACGAGAAGAATGCACATATCTGTTAGGCTAGTCACACTGCAAAATAGTACAGCTGCCTCAAAAATGTCAGAAGTATCAGAAATATGTAAAGACATAGCTTGATGTACTTTCTGTGAAAGTGTGCCCTCATGGCCACAGGAATGCTCTCCAATTCCTGAGCTTGTTGGGCTACACTGAGCATCTGGGATTAACTCCTACCAAATCTCTATGGACTCCTTGATCGTAATATGCAGCAGGAAACAGTACACCTAGACACACAGTTGATATAGCCCCATGAAATTTCAATGGAGCAGTGTGTGTCCAATATTTCTCGCTGTGCTTGTGGGTTATGGGGCCCACAAACATCCTGTCAGATGTTGGTCTTCTCAGGCCAAGAAAGCTTGGATAATGCCTCTCACAGCCAGAGCTGAGGGAGGTCCAGAATCCTGGCTACCTTAGAGTTGGGAAGATGGGGCTGGGTAAGTATAAGATAAGCCTGATTTTTCCCTTTTCATAATATCCTTGTATACTTTAGTGTTAAGGTTATAACACTCAAGAAATAATTTAGTATGTGTTTCAATTCTCTATTGCTGCATAAAAGAAAATAAGCCAAAGTCCCTTTGTTTAAAATAACAGTAAAAGGAAGCCAAAGATAAAGTAGACATCCCTTTTCCTATTCCTCCCACGAAGTAAATTAAAATAAGAAGTCTCTGAAAGGTGAAAAGAAGGCAGACAAGCTCAAGAACGTGGGTTCCAAAGAACAACATGGTGAGGAGTTGGCTAAATTTTTAGTGTTTGGTTTTTGTTTTTGTTTTTTGCCTCATATATTTCACACTTAGAGCTGAAGAATCCAGCAACATGGAAACAACCAACAAGCACAGACAAAAATGCCCCAATCAAAGCCTGTTCTTTCTAGCCAAAGAATCAGGAAAACGGAAGCCTAGTATACAAAAATCTTTTACATAATTACTCTGCTACAGCAAAATACCACAGATAAAACTATGACCTCACCAACACCTATACCAGTAAAGGAGGCTGAGTGAGAAGCTCAGACTCTTACAAGTCTGTAACAAGGTACTCCAACATCCCTATATAGATGGTGTCCAAGAATGCCAAGTAGGGAGTTGGAACTTTCATCCCAACTGTCCAGTAACAACGTTCTGCCCACCCCACCATGGAATCAGTGGAGATCACATGGGGAAACTGGAATTCCCATCCTTACTCACCTGTAACAAGAAGCCTCATGTCTCCAGGGGGGTCAACAGAAGCTGAGTGGGAACCTGAATATCTTCCTCCATAGAACAGTAATAAGTGATGCTGCATCTCTTCCCCTGCCAGAGTCATGTCAGAGAAAGCCAACTAAACTAGAATATTATAATAACAATCAATCAGAAGTTTAAAACGTAATACAAACCTGTTCAAGTTTCTGTTAAAATTTATTTGGCATTCTAAGCCAACATAGAGATAATAGAGATCTTAGAAATTATATGAGACATATTTTAAAGAAACTATAGTAAACAACAACAAAAAGAAATGTTCCACGCAGCAATAATTAATATACTCAAAACAAATAAAAATTAGAAATCCTCAAAAAATAAATAGGAATAATCAGAAAACATGAAAGGCTTATACAATCTGAAAAGAAACCTAAGATCTGGAACAAGACAAGGATGTCCACCCTTGCCACCTCTATTCAACACAGTTTTAGAAGTCCTAGACAGATAAATTAGGCAAGATAAATAAATAAAAGTGATCCCAATTGGAAAGAAGGAAGTCAAATTATCCGTTTGCAGACCACATATTACATATAGAAAACCCTAAAGATTTCATCAAAATATGTTAGCACTAATAAACGGATTCAGTAAAGTTGCCGGATAAAAAATCAACAAAGATCAGTAGCATTTCTATACACTAATAGTAAACTATTTGAAAAAGAAATTAAGAAAACAATCCCAATTATAATAATTACCAAAAAGGGTATGTAGGAATAAATTTTACCTATGAGGTGAAAGATTTCTACACTGAAAACTATGAAATATTGACAAAAGAAATTGAAGAAAACACAAAGCTATCCCACGTTCATGGATGGGAATAATTAATATTGTTAAAATGTCCATACTACTGAAAGCAATCTACAGATTTAATGTAATCCCTATCAAAATACCAATGACATTCTATATGGAAACTGAAAAAACATCCTGAAATTTATATGGAACCACAGAATACCTCAAATAGCTAAGGCAATCTTGAGCAAAATGAACAAAACTGGATGCATCATATTGCCTAACCTCAAAATCTACTACAAAGCTATAATAACCAAAACAGCATGGTACTGTCATAAAAACAGACACGTAGGCCAATGGAAGAGAATGGAGAGCCCAGAATTAAATGCATGTATCCACAGCTGATTTTTGACAAAAGTGCCCAGAACAAACACTGGGGAAAGGACAGTCTCTCCAATAAATGGTGCTGAAAAAATTGGATATCCATGAGCAGAAAAATAAAACTACATCCATATCTCTAACCAAATTCAGAAATCAACTCAAAATGGATTAAAGCCTTAAATGTAAGAACCAAGGCTATGAAACTACTAGAAGAAAACATAGGTAAAATGCCTCATCACATTGGTCTAGTCAATGATTATTTTAGATAAGATTTCAAAAACACAGGCAACAAAAGCAAAAATAGACAAAGGAGATTACATCAAACTAAAAAGCTTCTTTACAGCAGAAGAAACAATTGAGTGAAGAGACAACCTACAGAAAAAGAGAAAATGTTTACAAACAATAAATGTGACAATAAGTTAATATTCAGAATGTCCAAGAAACTCAAACATCTAAATGGCAAAGAAGCAAACAGTCCAAATTAAAAATGGGCAAAAAACATTAAGAGACAGTCCAAATTAAAAATGGGCAAAAAACATTCAGAGACATTTCTCAAAAGAAGACATATGAGTACCAAACAGGTACATTGAAAAATGTTCAGAAGCATCAATCACCAAGGGAATGCAAACGAAAACACAATGCGTTATCATCTCACTTTACTTAGAATGGCTACTATGAAAAGAAAAAAGATAGCAAGTGTTGACAAGGATATAGAGGAAAGGGAACACTTACACAGTGTTGATGGGGATGTAAACTACTACAGCCACTAAGAAAAGCAGCATGGGTGTTCCTCAAAAAACTAAAAATATAACTATCATATAATTCAGCAATTCCAATACTGGCTATATATCCAAAGGAAATGCATGGTGGCTCATGCCTTTAATCCCAGCACTTTCAGAGGCCAGGATCAGAGAACTGCTTAAGGTCAGGAGTTCAAGGTCAGCCTGGGCAATGTAGTGAGACCTTATCTCTATTAAAAAAGAAAAGGAAAGAAAAATTCAGGTGTGGTGGTGCATGCCTGTAGTCATAGCTACTTGGGAGGCTGAGGTGGGAGGATCACTTGAGCTCAGGAGCTCGAGGCTGCAGTGAACTATGATCCAGCCGCCGCACTTCAGCTTAAGCAATGGCAAATTCCTGTCTAAAAAAAAAAATGAAATCAGTATGTTGAAAACTTATCTGCATTCCCAAGTTTATTGCAGCACTATTCACAATAGTCAAGATTTCAAGTAACCTAAGTGTCCATCAATAGACAAATGGATAAAGAAAATGTGGTATATATACACAGTGGAGTACTATTCAGCTATTAAAAAAATTGAAATCCTGTCATTTCCAACAACATGAATGGAACTAAAGGTCATTATGTTAAGTGAAATAAGCCAGACACAGAAAGACAAACTTTGCATGTTCCCACTTATTTATGGGAGCTAAAAATTACAATTGAACTCATAGAGATAGTAGAATGATGGTTATCAGAGGCTGGGAAGGGTAGTGGATAGGGGTGGGGAGTGGGATGTTCAATGGGTACAAAAATATAGCTAGATAGAATGAATAATATCTAGTATTTGATAGCATAACAGGGTTACTACAGTCATCAATAATTTATTGTACATTTAAAAACAACCAAAAGCATATAATGGAAATGTTTGTAACATTGAAATGATAAATGCTTGAGATGATGGATCCCCAATTTACTCTGATGTGATTATTACATATGGTATGTCTGTATCAAAATATCTCATGTACCCCACAAATATATATATATATATATATGTGCCCATAAAAATTAAAAATAAAAGAATTTTAAAGAATGGGGAACTTCTTCAACTTGACAAACAGCAACCAGAAAAAGCTATAACTAACACTTAGTGATGAAAGGCTGAATTGGAATGCTTGCCTCCTGCAATTGTTAAGGATGTCCACCCTCACCAGTCTTATTCAACAGGGCTAGATATTTTTGCCAGTGAAGTAAGACTTAAGAAAAGAAAACAAATGACATACATATTATACAGAAAAAATTAAACTGTCCATATTGAATGCACAGTTTCTACCAGGGAAACATACATGGGAGATAAATAAGTTATGATAACTCATAATTGGATTGAACTTGGATTGAACTTTCAATTTTGAGCTCTTGCCTCTTTCTATGTGAAAAATTCTCATCTATATTCAGTTTTTGCTTCTCCAAGATTTGTTTTATTCTTTTCTTCTTTACTTCCTATTTTTTAAATCTTGGAGTTTCTAAATCTCTTTTAAATGTTTGAAAATAAATCAGACATTTAATCTCATTGCTTGCCAGGATGCATTCTAATAGATTCAATTATTTTCCTATTTATTATTTTCATTTTGTATGAATCTATAGTTAATCTTAGTAATGGCTTATTTTTATTTCAGTGACTAAATTTTCACTGTCAAATTTTCTATTTTAGTATGTTTATATCTACTAGTACTTATTCAATTTCAGCCCACTGTCTTTTTTATTATTATTATTTCTTGCATACAGTAGTTGAGAACTCAGTTCTGGAGTCAGATTGCATAGGTTCAAATGTGGACTCTTTCACTTATTATATAAGGTTGGACAAATAACTTAAACTCCCCTTGTCTCAGTGTCATCGTTTGCAAAATGAGTGTTTTTCTCTTACTATTGTCATAAGAATTATTGAGTTGTTATATGTAAAGCTCTTGGAACAATGTCTGGCATATGATGGTCTACACATAAATGCTGAGAATATTACTCTATCTTAATAATGTTATTTTCTCATATGTCTCTTGTAGAATCTGAAAAATATTTAATTTTTCAGACATTCCTCAGATTTTATTTTCAGCCAAAGCAAATACATATTCAATACATTAATTTCTTTTTTATTATTATTACCAAGGCATTTATTTATTTATATGGTTTGTAATTTTCATTTGAAAGCTTATTTTGAGTAGGAAGTTTCTATTGAAATTTTCCCCTCTTCTTCCTTCTGTTCCTTCCATTTCATGTATATCACTATCCTAAAATCAGGTCGCATCCCAGAGCTTCTTTTTCTATATTACAAATATCGTAGCTCACAAAAATAATCAAACTTGAGTGACAATTTGCTATAGCTTTGTTCCTTCCTTTCCTGTCTTAGCTACATATTTCAAGTTAAGAAAATCAATTCTGTTGATCATGCTTTCCGCCACATTCCCCATCCCCATCGCCCCATGCACAGATCCAAAGATTTCCAGCTCCTGGAAGAAAATTCTTGGTTATAGATTCAGCTGTCATTCTATGCTTCTATCAGATGTTCAGAAGGAAATTTAGTATATCATGTTTTACTGCAGTTTGGCTTTTAAGAAAATTTATTCCTTCTATCAGAGGAATATAGGAGTAGAAGAACTATAGGCAAGGCCCTCCCCCAGTATCAGGCAAAGAATGTGGTACTCTGTCCTCATTCACCAGGTACCTCTCAGCAAAGAACTTCCCTAAATAAGTCAGAAACTGCACAGAAAACCAAAGTAGAATAACTGAATGCAGAAAAGCAGAGTAAGGAGAAAACATTTTCAAACTGTAAAGTAAACATTTTTTTAAAAGATTCTCTATGGAAGTCAAGCCATGGTAAAACAATTAATTACTATATCAATATAAGTGTAGCTTTTATTATTATTTTACCAAAATATTCTTTTCTATCCTGTTAAAAAGCTACTTATTGATAGCACATCATTGCTTGAAAATAGAAGCCACATATTCTGAATTTTAGTTCAGTTAATTCTGGCATTGAGACAACATCCACCTCTTGAAGTTAAGCAAAATGTTTCCTTAGCCATTTTGCAAACATATTTTAATCATGAATAAAATATGAATCATTAAAAGTAAATTATTTTGCATAATTTTTATCCTGTTTATACAAATCTAGAACCACCTGTTTTGCATTAAAGGTTTTTAACCCTATTAAAAAGAACAAAAATTAATTTTATTATCATAACCGCTAAAAGGCACACATAATCTTCCATTAAGACATGGAAGCAGCACGAGCAGTTCCATTTTTAGATGCTCTTCATCTCTAATTCTCAACAGCTCTGAACATTAGCTTAATACAGTAATTGACTTCCAGTGCACCTGGCCTGGCAGGCCTTGTTGAATGAGATCTGAAAGTGCTCAATTTTACAGGTCATTTAAAAAGTATTGTGGTCTTGCTGATTTCTTCTGGACACAAGCTGCAGCGGCTCCCTTTCCCTGCAGTCACTGCTTTGCTTAGAGAATGACTTCCTTGAGAACCCTGCAGGAAAGAGGCTGGCTTTAGAGCTATGGCTCCTGCAGATTCTGAGAGGGGTCTACGTATTCTTGGATTGCTCTGTAAAATATTCATATAATATATTATGAGCATCTTAAAAATGAGCCTACGGTATTCAGTGTAATGGTTTCTTGCCAGAGAAATGGCTTGGGTGAAAAAGAGATAAAGACTCTTAGTGCTGGGAAATAATGAGATTTACAATCCTTTCTATTGATTTCTGCTGATAAGGTATGTGATAGGTTTCTCAGCCATTCTATAAGGATTAAAAATTAATCTACTTTGATTATTGTCATTATCAATATGCTTCTTAATTAGTAACACTTTTCTCTGAAAGAATCTATATACTTTAAGATAAGAAGGGCACACAGCGAAGTGATTTTTTTTTCTAAATCAGTTTTGTAAAACCTGAAAAGTTTTATGATCTGACTTTTTGTCTTCTCCCAGAATTATAGGTCAGAAGCAAGAATTTAGAGACAAAAGCAGTTTTCTTTGTGTAATTCAACCATTTTATAGCCTTTTCTTGCCATCCACGTGGGCAAGGGCAAGAACAAGGATGAAACAAGCTCATGCTTAATTCCCCTACACCCAAAATGACACATTATTCTTACTCATATTCTATGTTGAAATGAGTCACAGAAACCCACATAGACTCAGATTGACTGACAATTTTATATAGGCATATGACACACGCAGGCGTTGTAAACAATAATATCCTTTGACATATTCACAGACACTTTTTGTTTACTCATTATTTTTTCTCTCTCATGAAATGAAGGAAAGAACATTTCAAACACTTAGTAATAGCTGGTCAGCTGAAGTGGCCAGTGAAACAATCAAACATTTGCAGTCTCAGCCATATGATCACTTAGCTTAAGTATGTCGTGCAGCCACCACTGGGAAGAGCAACCTGTTTCTATTCTCCTGTTCTCTTTTTAAGCGTAAAATTTACCTTTTCAATGTGCAGTCCTGTGAATATTAACAAATGCGTATAGTGTTGTAACCATTGCCACAATCAAGATTCAGATCACTTCCATCCCCATTTCCTCTGGACTCCCTGGCTCTCCTATGGTTTCTTGATTTCTTGGTCTTCATGCAAAACATAGATCTGGGGAGAAAACTAGTCTAAAATGAGAATGAATTTCTTTTTGTTCTTAAAGCACAATTTGGACTGCTGGTGCAGCCTTTTGGTCTCCAGTTTCCCTTCTGCTCTGTTCCCCTTTCCCTTAGTCTTATATAAATTATTCCCGTATGGATCTGGTTTGGTTGTACACTTTTTCCGTATAGCCTGAGTGTGCTTGTTGAAAATAGCAATCAACAGAGTGAAAATGGGAAGTGCCAAACAAAAGGAACCAGGATCCTGAAATTTTTCATTTTATCTCATTGATGATATTTGCTCAATGAGGAAGTAATACTAGAGAAGAGAGAACTCCTCCTAAGGAATAAGAAAAATCTCCATTCTGTGTGTGTTTTTTTTTCTTTTGAATAGTTTAACTCATCCTTCTTCTCTTTTAATCTCTAACATGTTTCCGTCTTCCTTTTCCCTTTTATCTCTTCTACTTTTCTTCCCAAATAAATACATATATAAATTTGCTGATAAAATATGTTTCCTCAAGTGGCAAGAGAAGAGCAACAAACAAATTAGAAGTCATAAGATTTGGGTAAAATTGAGAATTTTGGAAAGATTCTCATTGACAACCAACATATGTAATTAAATGACTCAATTTTAAAGCTATACCAAACATTTTACATTTATTAATTCTTAATCCTTATGGCCCAGAATTGGATTCAACAAAGTACATTCCAGTACCGAGAAGTAACTTTTAAAATTTAGTTCAAGCTCGTGTCTATTGACATGCATTAATGGTGATCCAATGAATAAGTTGTCACAATACTTGTAAAAATTTCCTTTTCTTTACACCTCATTCTCTTTTTTAAAAAAATTATACTTTAAGTTCTGGGATATACGTGCAGAACGTGCAGGTTTGTTACGTAGGTATACACATGCCATGGTGGTTTGCTGCACCCATCAACCCGTCATCTACATTAGGTATTTCTCCTAATGCACTCTCATTCTCTTACAGTTCTATGGTTGCCCCAGGTATCTCACCTGCTAAACCTCGCCTCCTCCACACTTTCTATTGAGTTTTTTTTGTTGTTGTTTTTCTGAGACATGGCCTCACTCTGTCACCCCGACTGGAGTGCAGTGGCGCCAACACAGCTCACTGCATCCTTGGCTCCCTGTTCTCAAACCATCCTCCCACTTCAGCCTCCCAAGTAGCTGGAACTACAGGTGCAAGCCACAATGCCCAGCTATTTTTTTTTCTTTTGTAGAGACTGGGTCTTGCCATGTCGCCCAGGCTGGTCTCAAACTTTTGGGCTCAAGGAATCCTCCCACCTCAGCCTCCCAAAGAGCTGAAATTACAGGGGGGAGCCACCATGCCTGGCCCATATTTTCTTAAAGGTCATAAACACAATAATTTATTCTCATTATTCTATTTCCTTCCACCTTTTCAGTTGTATCTCTTTACTTCATTTTCTTGAGGCAAACAATCCTTACCATAATGTCTAGGAATCATATTGAAAAGACAGAATTTCATTTAGAATAGGGTAAGAGAGAGAAGCTTAAGAAGCCCCACCCCCACCCCCAAAAACAGATCTTTGCACGGACAGAGAGGCTAGGGATAAATACGGTGTCCCTGTCACTAAAAAGTGCACGCCATGAAGGCAGAGCATGCTTTCAGTTTGTTTACTGCTGCATTTCCATTGCATATAACAGTGCCTAGCCCAAAATAGGTACTCAACAAATATTTGCTCAAAAAATCTATGAGCTTAATCATCCACTCTTTCTTGTACTCATTTAATTAATGTCTTTTGCTCCTGACAGCTATTCTATTATTTAGGTCATGTAGTTTCTTTGATTTCATAGGCTAATTTCGTGTTGTAATGTCTTATCCTTAATGATGTAGAAAGCATATCCTGAGAAGGAGCTTATATAATGACACTCGAATGAAAAAAGCAATCCACGATGCAAAGGTGGGAGGAAAGGAGGAATGAGACAAGGAAAGCACACATAAGAGCTATTAAGTAAGCTGGTTACAGCTTTGTAACAAGTGCATTTGGTTTCTCAGTGTCACAAGACATCTTCCCAGAGGTATGTGAACTATTAAGGAACAGAAAAACCCAGGAGCTTTGGGGAAAAGAGAGACAAATTCGTCCACTGGCTTTCTTCTACCCCTATCTCCCACTAGTTCAAATTAAATTTTCCACACTTTCTGGTTGAGTTACCTGGCTTCTACAAGGAGCTGTTGGAAAAGCAATAGTTCCATAAACCCCAGCCAGCCAATGCACAGTTATAGTGGTTGCTCTTTGCCAGTAGGACATTACATTGGTAGCAGGAGTGACAACCTGGCTCCAGATCTCTGGCAAAATGCAAACTGCTCCTCAGACCTCTCTAGCCGGAATACTGGGCAAGTGTGCAACTTAGTATGAGCATAAACTAAGTCTGCTACTACTAGCAATTCAAGTCTAGGAGAGGTTAAATGCCCTGCAAGGTGTAAATGGCTGAACTAAGACTTGAACCCTAGGAATCTTTATAACACAACTATCTTGTTCCATATAAAGTTTTCTTTTAATCTCTTCCTAGTTCTAGGTTTATAAACTTAAATCAAGAAGAAACTATATAAAAAATTTAAAAAGGAAAAAGTAGATTTGAAGTCCTATTAAATACACAAGTACACACACACACATGCATACACACACAATCACCTAGAGAGAACGGTGTTTTTGGAGCTCTGCTTTTTCTTGGAAAAAGTTTCATTAATCAGCAATGCATTTTTAGCCAAATAATTAAAAGTTAATCTGAGGAATCATGTTTAATTGTTTTATCTGTTTAATACAATACCATGCTTTATCAGTTCCAATGCTAAAAAGTACATATTTGGGAAAGGATGAAAGAAAAGACACCATCAACACTAAATCGGTTATTTACTAACTGAAATCGTGTGTGCAGATAATTGGCCCTTTGGAATAAATACAAATTTTCTCTGTTCATTATATTATAGGGGTTCTGAGGAACCAGAAGACATCCAGAGCTTATAGCTAACTTATTGTCCCTTAATTTCTGATTATAGTATTTACATAGTGGTAGGATCCAATTTAAGTATGAATCATAATGCCCCTGAGGATTGTGTGAAAGCATTCATAGCACTCTGCTACCATGAATGGGATCAGGGATGACACAATGTTTATTACATTTTCCCCAGGAAACTGCCAAGATAGGAATTAACATAAGACTTAAAAAGGGAGTGATAAAGACCCATTTTGAAATAACTACTTCAGGGTTCATTTCCTAAAGACCAAAGGTGTGTGCTGGGAAAGTAACTTATATTCATTTATGTGAGAGCAGTTTATAATAGATTAATAACTAATTGAGAACTAGAGTCTCTATATATGGCACAGGACTCCCATCAGCTGCCAAGAGGAAATGCTCCTTAACTTCTGCTGTGTTGGAACTATAATCTGGAGCTACTGTTTCATTTCTGATACTGGATTATGCTTATTCCAATAATCTGGCAGCATATGAGAGTGCCCCAACATTTTTCTCTCCCAGGCTCTTTCTTCTCACCATCCAAAAGACTTTGTCTTTATCTGCTAATTTTTTTTATATCCTTAGACTCTTTCCTTAGTTACCTCAATTCGTGATTGCATTTTCTAATGGCTTTTAATTTCAAAACTGCATTTTCCAGGTCTATAATTTATCTTTGGTTCTCCTTTATGTCTTCTATTTCGTTGCTAAGATTTTCTGTTTTGTATTTGTTTCTAGAATATATTGACAATGAGATACTTTTTATCATATTACATTAAAATTTTATCCAAAAATTCCATCATTCATGTTATCTCAGTCTTGGTTAGGCATCAAGTCTATCAAATGTCTTTCCTCATTCAAGCTGAGATTTTCCTTTCTCTCGCTATGTGAAGTTAATTTTGATTGTATCCTGAACATTATGCATGTTGCTTTACAAGACTCTGATTCTTACTTAGATATTATTATTTGTGACTGCTACACTGGGATAGTAATCAGATTCCACTCATAGACATGCATCTTCAGACACACTCCAGCTAGGAGGAGGAGATGCCTCTTTACTGCCAGTGTGAGATGGTAGATAGACTCAGTTCTCAGGTACAACTTCTAAACTACTAGTTAATGAGTTAAGAGGTCAGCAAAGAGATGGGGCTGCTTTGTTGCTTGGTTGGGATGACAGAAAAACTCAGCTCCCACTCACAGCCCTCGTGGACGGTGGTATGCTGAAAGAGCAAGCTGATTCATTTTTAAGGTGGAATGATAGACAGATTTATCTCTCAGGTACAGCTTCTGTAGATATCTATGGCTGAAAAATAGAGCTGCCTCATTACTGGAACAGAATGATGAATAGACTCAGCTCTCAGGCAATGCCCACCCTTGTAGGTGGAGTTGCTTCATTGCCTAGGCAGGAGAGAGTTAGGCTCTGCTCATACACATAGCCCTTACAGATGCCCAACAACCATTAGGTGAAGCTAGCCGTCATATCCAGGGTTGAATGGAGCACACACAACCTCTGAGACTTCCTCTAACCAGGAAATAGGGCTTTGCCCATGCAGCTCCAGTGTCCACTATTAATTAGAAATCTAAATAATATTTATAAATCATAATAATCATATTGTAAATAGGGTGATGGTGGAGGGCAGTTTTTTATGTGGTGTTCAGAAGTAAAGCCCATGTTGTCAAAATGTCTGTCCTACAGGGCCTCCTTCTCTCCCCTAGCCAAAGACAGCAGGCTTATCCTGTTTTGCTTTGTTTGTTCAGTTTTGTTTGTTTTCTGTATGTGTCTGTTGGTATTTTGAGGTTGCAACTTTCTCCTATGCCCAGACCACAGCAAGAAAAAAAGAAGACAAAAACAAACAAACAAAACCAAGGTACTAGCCACTAAGTAGCTCCTTTGGCCCCTGACATTTCTTGGCAGACTACCTTCTTATCTGCCCCTTTTAGAGTCTTCTACAGTTTGTTTCCTTTATCTTTTCCAGGATTTTAGACAGGAGGACTAAGATGGAAATGTGCTTACTCCAATTTTATAAAACCAGATGTCTCCACACTTACTTTCTAATAATTCAACCAAATAAATCTGATTTGAGATACTTTATGTACAGAACCACAGCCTTTTCCTGATTATAATTAATATGGTTTGGCTGTGTCCCCACTGAAATCTCATCTTGCACTGTAGTTCCCATAATCCCTACATGTCATGGAAGGAACCAGACGGGAGGTAATTGAATCATGGAGGCAGTTACCTTCATGCTGTTCTCATGAGAGTGAGTTCTCATGAGATCTGATGGTTTTATAAGGGATTTTCCCCCAATTTTTTCTGCACTTCTTGCTGCTGCCATGTGAAGAAGGATATGTTTGCTTCCCTTTCTGTCATGATTGTAAATTTCCTGAGGCCTCCCCAGCCATGCTCAACTGTGAGTCAATTAACCTTTTTCCCTTATAAATTACCCAGCCTCGGGTATGTCTTTATTAGCAGCATGAGAACAAACTAATACAATAATAACAATTTATATTTAAATATTCTAATTGAAAGCTTGACATCATGAAAATGACCTTTGTTATTATAAGGACAGGAACTTTTATATAACAACCATAAATATGGTATTTTCCCCGACAGTAGAAAATTGCACATGGCTTCTGACATAAAGATAAAATGCCGTTTTTAATAAGAATAAATACATGAGTCTGAAGCCTATTATTAAAAAATGTGTAAATGAAGGAAAAAGTGGAACCAGGAATTAAAGTTGCCCTATTAATTGGTGTAATGATCCAGGAACAGGAAAAAAAATAAGTTTGTCGTTTTTTGTGAAC
This sequence comes from Homo sapiens, assembly GCF_000001405.40. Lineage (NCBI taxonomy): Eukaryota > Metazoa > Chordata > Mammalia > Primates > Hominidae > Homo > Homo sapiens. The sequence goes on along the minus strand of NC_000002.12, from coordinate 208,866,512 downwards.
GTAATCTATTCATTGTTCTTCTTTGGTCTTTCTCCTGTTTGAAATTTATCAAAAAATTAAAAATAAGAAAAAACAAACATTTTTAATATTTTACTTTAATTTAGTAGTCACACCCAAAATAAGACATAGTATACGTTTGTTTTGTTTTGTTCAAGACAGAGTCTCACTCTGTTGCTCAGACTGAAGTGCAGTAGTGTGATTTCGGCTCACTGCAGCCTCTGCCTCCCAGGTTCAAATGATTCCTATGCCTCAGCCTCCCGAGTACTTTGACTACAGGCATGCACCACAATGCCTGGCTAATTTTTGTATTTTTACTAGAGACAGGGTTTTGCCATGTTGGCCAGGCTGGTCTCAAACTCCTGGCCTCAAGTGATCCGCCCACCTTGGCTTCCCAAAGTGCTGGGATTACAGGCATGAGCCACTATGCCCAGACTGTATATGTTCTTTAATTGCATAATTTTCTTTATATTCAATTTTATTGTTAAGAATGAGCAAACATGATTTTTTTGCTATGAGTAACAGAATTCTGAATTGGAAATGAAGCAAATAAATCCAAGCAATGTCTATTCTATATTGAAGTCAGTAAATCATATTCTTGGGGAAAAAAGAAGGTAAAACTAGTTTCACCATAAATTTGTTAGACAATGTCCTTACAAGCAATTGTAATGAGATTAATCATTATATTTTCTTTTTTTTTTGATAGAAAGGCTATATGTACATTTTTAGCTTAAAAGTGTGCATTAATTAACTTATTTTGGTTTAATATTGGGAAATTTATTATTATTATTATTTTTTAATTTTATTATTATACTTTAAGTTTTAGGGTACATGTGCACAACGTGCAGGTTTGTTACTTATGTATATATGTGCCATGTTGGTGTGCTGCACCCATTAACTCATCATTTAGCATTAGGTGTATCTCCTAATGCTATCGCTCCCCCCTCACCCCACCCCACAACAGTCCCCAGAGTGTGATGTTCCCCTTCCTGTGTCCATGTGTTCTCATTGTTCAATTCCCACCTATGAGTGAGAACATGAGGTGTTTGGTTTTTTGTCCTTGCGAGAGTTTGCTCAGAATGATGGTTTCTAGTTTCATCCATGTCCCTACAAAGGACATGAACTCATCAATTTTTATGGCTGCATAGTATTCCATGGTGTATATGTGCCACATTTTCTTAATCCAGTCTGTTGTTGTTGGACATTTAGGTTGGTTCCAAGTCTTTGCTATTGTGAATAGTGCTGCAATAAACATACGTGTGCATGTGTCTTTATAGCAGCATGATTTATAATCCTTTGGGTATATACCCAGTAATGGGATGGCTGGGTCAAATGGTATTTCTAGTTCTAGATCCTTGAGGAATCGCCACACCGTCTTCCACAATGGTTGAACTTGTTTACAGTCCCACCAACAGTGTAAAAGTGTTCCTATTTCTCCACATCCTCTCCAGCACCTGTTGTTTCCTGACTTTTTAATGATCGCCGTTCTAACTGGTGTGAAATGGTATCTCATTGTGGTTTTGATTTGCATTTCTCTGATGGCCAGTGATGATGAGCATTTTCTCATGTGTCTTTTGGCTGCATAAATGTCTTCTTTTGACAAGTGTCTGTTCAAATCCTTCACTCACTTTTTGATGGGGTTGTTTGTTTTTTTCTTGTAAATGTGTTTGAGTTCATTGTAGATTCTGGATATTAGCCCCTTGTCAGATGAGTAGGTTGCAAAAATTTTCTCCCATTCTGTAGGTTGCCTGTTCACTCTGATGGTAGTTTCTTTTGCTGTGCAGAAGTTCTTTAGTTTAATTAGATCCCATTTGTCAATTTTGTCTTTTGTTGCCATTGCTTTTGGTGTTTTAGACATGGAATTTGGGAAAATAATTTAGAAGTAAAAATAATATCTTTTAAACTCAGAGGGAGAAAAACGTGGCAGACCCTTAGTATTAAGGTTAAAAAAGCTATACATATTACTAAAATATATTAAGATATTTATTCAATTAAATATTATCTGTGTTTAGGGGCAGAGTGATATATTTGACAAAACTGAAGTTGAAATCATATTTTCTGATTTAAAGCACTTTTAAAGAATGGGGGTAAAGTAAAATAAAAAATAAGATGTAAATCCCAAATTATTGATTGTTACTGATTTGGATATTAGCTTGTTAATTGAACTTAATTGAACTTAATATTTTAAATAACCACCCAACAACAAAAATAATTGCTTATGTTTTTACATCTTATTATAAACTTTTCTGTGAAATTAAAATTTCAAATAACTATAATTATGCAATTTAGCTTCTACTTCCTGTGACAATTTTTTTTTATTATACTTTAAGTTTTAGGGTACATGTACACAACGTGCAGGTTAGTTACATATGTATACATGTGCCATGTTGGTGTGCTGCACCCACTAACTTGTCATTTAACATTAGGTATATCTCCTAATAATGGTTTCCAGCTTCATCCATGTTCCTACAAAGGACCTGAACTCATCTTTTTTATGGCTGCATAGTATTCCATGGTGTATATGTGCCACATTTTCTTAATCCAGTCTATCACTGTTGGACATTTGGGTTGGCTCCAAGTCTTTGTTATTGTGAATAGTGCCTCAATAAACACACGTGTGCATGTGTCTTTATAGCAGCATGATTTATATATAATCCTTTGGGTATATACCCAGTAATGGGATGGCTGGGTCAAATGGTATTTCTAGTTCTAGATCCTTGAGGAATCGCCACACCGTCTTCCACAATGGTTGAACTAGTTTACAGTCCCACCAACAGTGTCAAAGTGTTCCTGTTTCTCCACATCCTCTCCAGCACCTGTTGTTTCCTGACTTTTTAATGATTGCCATTCTAACTGGTGTGAGATGGTATCTCATTGTGGTTTTGATTTGCATTTCTCTGATGGCCAGTGATGATGAGCATTTTTTCATGTTGTCTTTTGGCTGCATAAATGTCTTCTTTTGAGAAGTGTCCTGTGAGAATATTTTTAATGGCTAAATGAATAAAGGTATAAAGTTGTTAAGAGGCCCAAATTTGTATGTTTGGCAACTTCCACCCACTAGTATATTGCCTTGTGCAAAGACTATAGTTATGTAAAAGGTAGTATTTTAGATGTTTATTCCACAGGGAACAAAAAAATAATGTTATCCTCCTAGAAAATAAATAAAGCCAACATGGTAGCATAGAAAATACTAGGAACTTTTTACATGGAAAATTGTTGTCTTTATTTTTACAATCTTCCTTAAAACACATTCAAATGGGATTGACCCCGTTAAATCTAAATTCTACTCAAATATCATTTAGCTTCTAAATGTGAACTACTGTTTACAACTATTGAATAGTTTGGCATTCTTTCAAGAACAGTCTATCTCTTATTTCTAAATCATAATAATAATATTGTAAAGAGGCAGAATATGTGTACCTTATTACAATTTATGTATACCTTATTACAATTTATGTCTACCTAATTTTGTTCAAATAAGTAATGTTATATTAATTTAATATAACCACTATTAAAACTCACTCTGTGTGGATTCAGGATAGTCACTTTGATACTATTGTGAAGTGAATGAGCTACACAATTGATAAATATTGATTATAATATGTTCAAACTATTTTTAAGAAGTAGGGCACCATAATATGGATATCATTGTAAAGTAATATAGGTAATTTTTAAGTGTATCTCTCTAAAATCAATCAAGAGACAGAAACCACAAAGTAATTTAAACATGGGAACTTTAATATAAGGAATTATTAAACTATGACAGAACATTAACTATGGAGATATAAAGAGAACTCCAAGGAATATAAAAATAGAAGGGACAACTCTCCAAGGATGAGTTTCAAACCTTAGTGGAGAAGATAATGGCTGCAGCCTATAGGGTGGCAGTTTTCTGGATTGCAGAGGCCAGAGCTGGTTCACAGTACTAGGCATCAGAAAACAACTCGTCCTGGTGCAGGTGACCTAATACTAGTGAACAGGTAGGTAGAGAGAACATGAACACTATTGTGAGATGTGCCATGTTTGTGTCAGGAGTGACATAACAAGGTAGTCGCTGGTCCCCAGGCAGGCCTCAGTTACTAAGAAACTGCCTTTGGCCAGGCGTGGTGGTTCACACCTGTAATCCCAGCACTTTGGGAGGCTGAGATGGGTGGATCATGAGGTCAGGAGATCGAGACCATGGTGAAACTCCGTCTCTACTAAAAATACAAAAAATTAGCTGGGTGCAGTGGCGGGCACCTGTAGTCCCAGCTACTCAGGAGGCTGAGGCAGGAGAATAGTGTGAACCTGGGAGGCGGAGCTTGCAGTGAGCCGAGATCGCGCCAGTGTACTCCAGCCTGGGCGACAGAGCGAGACTCCGTCAAAAAAAAAAAAAGGAAACTGCCTTTATCTGGAGCACCACCAGATGCCTCCATGCATATGCACTGCTAATAGACCATGCAACAGGAGCAAGAAATAACAAAATAGAGGTCACAGTAACTAAAAGAGAAGCAGTCTTCCTTCTGTTACGTCCCTCTACTGCCCACCTGATTGTGTTTACTCTAAAGGAGAAATACATGATGAGTCCAGTCCATTACCACTGATCAGGTACTGCTAAGTGAATTTCCAGCTGAGAGGCATTAAATTAGTACCTGGAAAAGAGAGAAATGCTGAAACAGAGTTTAAACATAAAAACTCCTGATAAAAGTTTTATTATTAATTAACTTCTTAAAAGTTTGTGTTTGGCTTCATCTCTAAATTAATTAAAACTCATTTCTTTTCACTGCGTTCTTTCAGGTCATATATATCAGAGGTCCCCTGATTTTATATATATGAAATACATATAAATATATATATTCAAAACAAAACATTCAGACTTGAGCACCTTACTTGTCAAAATTTTTGATGCCTAAATTAAAATCAGATTCAAGAGGGATACTGGATAAATGTCTTACACATTCATGATAGTGAAATGTAATATCTTCCAAACCCAGTGCTTTAATGTCAGTTGCCCAAGTGTATTAGTCCATTTTCATAATGCTATAAAGAACTGCCAGAGCCTGGGTAATTTATAAAGAAAAGAGGTTTAGTTGACTCAAAGTTCAGCATGGCTGGGAAGACCTCAGTTCCCATGGCTGGGAAGACCTCAGGAAAACAATCATGGCAGAAGGCAAAGGGGAAGCAAGGCACCTTCTTCACAAGGTGGCAGGAAGGAGAAGTGCCCAGCAAAAGGGGAAGAGCCCCTTATAAAACCATCAGATCTTGTGAGAACTCACTATCATGTGAACAGCATGGGGGATGCCACCCCCATGATCCAATTATCTCCATCTGGTCTCTCCCTTGACATGAGGGGATTATAAGGATTATGGGGATTATAAGTCAAGATGAGATTTGTGTGGGGACACAAAGCCGTATCATTCTGCCCCTGGCCCCTCCCCAATCTCATGTCCCTTTCACATTTCAAAACTAATCATGCCTTCTCAACAGTCACCCAAAGTCTTAATTCATTCCAGTATTAACTCAAAAGTATGAGTCCAAGATCTCATCTGAGACAAGGCAAGTCCCTTCCACCTGTAAGCCTATAAAATCAAAAGCAATTTAATTACTTCCTAGATACAATGAGGTTACAGGCATTGGGTAAATACAGCCATTCTAAATGGGAGAAACTGGCCAAAATGAAGGGGCTGCAGACCCCATGCAAATCTGAAATCCAGCACGGCAGTCAAATCTTAAAGCTCCAAAATTCTCTCCTTTGACTCCATGTCTCACATCTAGGTCACACTGATGTAAGAGGTAGGCTTTGATGGTCTTGGGCAGCTCCACCTCTGTGCCTTTGCAGGGTACAACCCCCTAATCCAGCTGCTTTCACAGGCTGGCATTCAGTGGCTTTTCCAGGCATAAAGTGCAAGCTGTTGGTGGATCTACCACTTTGGGGTCTGGATTGGTGGCCCTCTTCTCATGGCTCCACTAGGCAGTGCCCCAGTGGGGACTCTGTGTGGGGGCTCTGACCCCAAGCTTCCCTTCCACACTGTCCTAGCAGAGGTCCTCCATGAGGGCTCTGCTACTGCAGCACACCTCTGCCTGGACATTTAGGTGTTTCTATAGGTCCTCCGAAATCTAGTCAGAGGTTCCCAAACCTCAATTCTTGACTTCTGTGCACCCACAGCCCCAACACCACATGAAAGCTGCCAAGGCTTGGGGCTTGCACCCTCTGAAGCTCTTCACATTGGCTAAAAGGGGCCAATGTACAGCTCAGGCTCCCATGATCCAATTACCTCCACCTGGTCTCTCCCTTGACATGTAAGGGTTATATCACCAAGCAATGCTTTCATCAGACAGTCAGTAGTTCTACAAGATCTTTGGTGTTTCCTGACAGTGATATTACTCATATCACTGAAATAATAAAAGTTCATTGTGATTACATTTTCATGTATTTATAATATTTTTATTTGAAGTAAGAAAAATTGGGCACTAATAGGAAAATTAGGGAACTTGTATCTATCATCTCTATTTCTCATTTCTGGAGAATAATTCACTAGTTGCTTGGGTTTATCTGGAACAAACTCTTGGTTTTCAGAAGGGTCAGACCAAGTGACACAGGTCAAAGAATGATGTGATAGCCTAGTCCTAACCCAGTTAGCTAGCAGTCTAAATAAGTGAATAGAGGAAAAAAACATTAAAAATACATCCAATAAATGTAAAAATATCAATGAACTAAATACACATTAGACAGACAAATGTCTACATTCATTATTGATTTTTGTGATTCATGCAGGGCACCAAGTCATGAGACTGCCCAAGGCACTGGGCCTGTCCCATGAAACCATTTTTCCTCCTAGGCCTCTGGGCTTGTGATGGGAAGGTCTGCTGTGAAGTCCTCTGACATTCCCTGGAGACATTTTTTGCATTGTCTTGGTGATTAACATTTGGCTCCTTGTTACTTATGCAAATTTCTGTAGCTGCCTTGACTTTCTCCTCAGAAAATGGGTTTTTCTTTTCTACCACATCATCAAGCTGCAAATTTTCCAAACTTCTATGCTCTGCTTCCCATTTAAACATAAGTTTCAATTCCAAACCATCTCTTTATGAATGCATAAAAATGAATGCTTTTAAGAGCACCAAAGTCACATCTTGAACATTTTGCTGCTTAGAAATTTCTTCCACCAGGTACCCTAAATCATCTCTCTCAAGTTCAAAGTTTCACAGATCTCTAGGGCAGGGGCAAAATGCTGCTAGTCTCTTTGCTAAAGCATAGCAAGGAAAACCTTTATTCCAGTTCCCAACAAGTACCTCATCTCCATCTGAGACCAGTTCAGCCTAGATTTCATTGTCCACATCATTATCAGCATTTTGGTCAAAGCCATTCAACAAGTCTCTAGGAAGTTCCAAACTTTCCCATATCTTCCTGTCTTCCTCTGAGCCCCCCAAACCATTTCAACCTGTACCTGTTAGCCAGTCCCAAAGTCTCTTCCACATTTTCAGATATCTTTATAGCAGCACCCCAGTCTCTGCAGTACCAATTTACTGTATGTGTCCATTTTCATACTGCTATAAAGAACTGCCCAAGGCTGGGTAACTGGAAAGAGGTTTAATTGATGCACAATTCAGCATGGCTGAAAAGCCCTCAGGAAACTTACAATCATGGCAGAAGGTAAAGGGGAAGCAAGCAAATGTCTACATTCATTATTGATTTTTTAATTAAAGCTTATAAATTGCATGGATATACATAATTTTTAAAGGCTGTCTCATATGGACACTTAATCATGTAAAAAAGTTATTACCATAAGCAGCAGGGGTGTCTTCTAAATAAAATGTTTTTAATGAATTCTGTAATGCTTCCAATTTGCAAATACAGTTGTAATTATCCTAGGGTGAATTCTAATTTAGAAGTCTTTCCTGGAACTAAGACTCAAAATTAAGTCATTAAATAAAACTTCACACCTTATACTCACCATTTTGATACTAGAAATTAATGATTAAAAATTTAGTACACTTAATTCATTAGGTTGTAATAAAGCACCCCATCTAACAGTGCCAAGCCACTTACACGGTCTTGCAGTAGTCACATAATTTAGAGATCTATTTAGCAGTTGAGAGGTTTAAATATTTCAATTAATAACAAGTGTGGAAAGATAGTACAGGTTTGATTTTTATTTGGAGATGAAATATCAGAAACAATTAATGTAATTTCTGATGTGTCCACAAACTGACACCTCTTTTGCATCATAAATCACAAGTCAAAAATATGAGAAAACCAGGTTCTGGGGCCAAGATGGCTGACTAGAAGCAGCTAGTGTGTGCTGCTCTCGTGGAAAGAAGGAAAAGTAACAAGTAACACTAGCTCTTCAACTAGAACATCCAGGTGGACACATTGGGATTCATCAAGGAAACAATGTTACCCACAGAGAACAGAGAAGAGCAAGATAGGACGACTGCCTACCTGGAACTGGCATGGAGATAGAGGAGACCCCTATACTGTGGGGAAATGATGAGTGACTGAGTGATAGTCTGCAGGGACTCATACTTCTGCTACAGCCTTTGCATCCCTGGGCTCAGGACATTCCCTGTGATTTCCCAACACAGGAGCCTCCACACCCACATGAAGTGCTGTGGGGAGTCTGAGCAGACCAAGCCACACAGGCACAAGCAGAGTCGCAGGAGCCTTGGATTCTCCAGCACCCCAACACCAGTAGCTGCAGTTCTGGCAATGGGGGAGGCCAGGCTCCTTTGCAGACTCCCAGGAAAGGGCCTGAATCTACAAGGCTGAGCAATGAGGGACTGCAGGCCTCACCTCCACTGCAACTCGTAGGGCAGGATACAGCTCACTGGCCTGGGATGCTAATGAGGTCACCCCAACCCTGTTTGAGTTCTTGGGCTGGGAGCAGCTCTCCACTTCCCTGAGATGGAGGTCCCAGAGGAAGGGGCAGGCTGACATTTTTGCTGCTCTACAACCCTCGGCCCTGTTGCCCTTAGGCTTGGGAGGGTACACAGTGATTGGAGACTAACAAGGACCCCCAGCGATGTAACTCCACCTGACAGAAAAGCAGCCAGTTTTCCACGTGGGTCCCTGAACCCACTATTCCTCACAGGGCAGGGCCTCCTAACCCGGGACGCCAGCCATACTGGGCCTGGGCTCTTGAGCTGGTTAGCAGCTCTGAACTTTCCTGGGACAGAGCTCTCAGAGGGAAAGGTAGGCCACCATTTTTGCTGCTCTGCAGCCCTCACTCCTATTGCCCTCAGGTTCAGGAGGAAATGCAATAATAATTAGGAAGTAACATTGGCCCCCAGCACAGCACAGCAGTCTTACAGAAAAGCAGCCAGACTGTTTTACACACAGGTCCTATCTCCACTAATCTTCACTGGGCAGTGCCTCTCAACCTGGGCTCCCAGCACAAACACCCTAACCATGCCTGAACACTGCAGTTGGTGGTGGCTCTGCCTTTCTCTATGGAGGAAATCCCAGAGACAACCCACAGCTCTCTACCATTGCAACTGCTGTGGTACCATCCTTACTACCCCTTGAGCTGGGGAAAGCACAAAGGGCCTGGTTGCTATGCCAGGATATCTAGCATGCTGCAGCCACCATATGGAGAGGAATTCAGTCTCTATCCCCTGTGAGTCCCTACCCAGTCTTCAGCAGGTAGGAGCCTCAGCTTGGGACTACAGAACAGCTACCTCACCCACAGCTGACCGTTCCACTGCTAGTGGCTCCGTGTTTCCCTAGGGGAGGGGCACCCAGAAGCAACTAAAAGCCCCTCTGCTACTGCTGCTGCAGTGGTACTGCCCTTGCTGCCCTCGGACTGGGGAAGGAACAAAGACTCTAAGTGCTTTACCCAAAAGTTGTAGTTGCAGTTGCCCTAAGGAGAAGAAGAAGCCAGTCTGCCTCCTCCAAGAGCCTGCCCCATTTCCTTGGTACCGTGGATCCCCAGGATCAGGCCCACAACTCAGCCTCCCCATCCCAGGCTAATTGCACCCATTGGTAGTGGTTCTGCATTTCTCTGGAGTGGAGATCCAAGAAACAAGTGAAAGGCCCTCTGCCTCAGCTGCTGCCAAGGTAGCTTCTCCTCTTGCTTACAAGCTGGGGAAGGAAAATAAAGCCTAAAAAGCTGAGTTCACCCCAGGACAGTGGTGTACAGTTCGGGATTGCCAAGACAAGATCTGCAGCCAGCACTCGAGTGGGAGAGGAGCCCACACTTTCCAGGCCCTGAGAGAAAGCAGGCTGCAATTGTGAGGAAATACAGAGGAGTCACATGGCTGAGCAAGAGACTATGTACAGTTCATTATGCTTAAGAACCATCTACTAGATCACAGCCCAAACTTCAACATCAAAATATTTTGCTAATATACCCCCTTGTGAAACCAAGAAGAAGAACTCAGCAACAACTAAAGACTTTGCACAAAGTCTCAGCCTTCTGAAAACATCAAGAAAAGAAGTCACCTCACTGTACACTGCAGTTAAAGGACCATCAGCCCACACGATAAGAAAGAACCCACACAGAAACTCTGCAATTCAAAAAGCCACAGTGTTTTCTTTCCCCCAAATGACTACACTAATTCCCCAGAAAGGCTTCTTAACCAGGCTGAAATGGCTGAAATGACAAAAATATATTTCAGAATGTGGATAAGAATGAAGATCATCAAGATTCAGCAGAAAGTTGAAACCCAATCCAAGGAATCTAAAGATTACAATAAAATGATACAGGAACTAAAAGATAAAATGGTTGGTATAAGAAAGAACCAAACTGACCTGATAGAGCTGAAAAACACACAACAAGAATTTCATAATGCAATTGCTAGTATTAACAACAGAATAGACCAAGCTGAGGAAAGAATCTCAGCACTTGAAGACGGGTTCTCCAAACTAACACAGTCAGATAAAAATAAAAAAGAATAAAAAAGAATGAACAAAACCTCCAAGAAATACGGGATTATGTAAAGAGAACAAATCTATGTCTCATTTGAATCCTTGAAAGAGAGGGAGAGAAAGTAAGCAACTTGTAAAACATATTTAAGGATATCATCCACGAAAATTCTCCCAACCTAGAGGCCAACATTCAAATCAGAGAATGTTCAAATCTTGCGGAGAACCCCAGCAAGATACTACAAAAGAAAACCATCAGGCACAAAATCATCAGATTCTCCAAGGTCGAAATGTACTGGGGGAACCAGCCCCCAATATTTCAACATAGGTTCTTTTCTATTTTCCCTAAGTGTCAGCTGGTCTGAGAAATAAAGGGAAAGAGTACAAAAGAGATAAATTTTACAGCTAGGTGTCTAGGGGAGACATCACATGTCGGCAGGTTCCGTGATGCCCCTTGAGCCACAAAACCAGCAAGTTTTTATTATGGATTTCAAAAGGAGAGGGGTGTACTAATAGGGTGTGGGTCACAGAGATCACATGCTTCAAGGGCAATAAAATATCACAAGGCAGATGGGGGCAGAGTGAGATCACAGGATCAGGGCAAAATTAGAATTGCTGAGGAAGTCTCATGTCCCACCGGGCACACATTGTCATTGATAACATCTTTTCAGAAGATAGGGTTTGAGAGCAAACAACCAGTCTGACTAAAATTCACCAGGCTGGATATCCTAATCCTAGCAAGCCTGGGGGCGCTGCAGGAGACCAGGGCATGTTTCATCCCTATCTACAACTGCATAAAGCAGACATTCCCAGAGCGGCCATTTTAGAGGCCGCCCCCCGGGAATGCATTCTTTTCCCAGGGTTGTTAGTTATTAATATTCCTTACTGGGGAAAGAATTCAGCAATATTTCTCTTACCCGTTTTTGACAATAAGAGAAATATGACTTGGTCCTGCCTGGCTTCCAGGCAGTCAGACCTAATGGTTATCTCCCTTGTTCCCTGAAAGTCGTTGTTATCCTGTTCCTTTTCTAGATGCCCAGATTTCATACTGTTCAAACACACATGCTTTACAAACAATTTGTGCAGATAGCACAATCATCACAGGGTCCTGAGGGACATACATGTTCAGCTTACAAAGATGATGGGATTAAGATATTAAAGTACAGACAGGCATAGGAAATTATAAGAGTGTTGATTGGGGAAGTGATAAATGTCCATGAAATCTTCACAATTTATGTTCAGAGAGTGCAGTAAAGACAGGTGTAAGAAATTATAAAAGTATTAATTTGGGGAACTAATAAATGTCCATGAAATCTTCATAATTTTTTCTTCTGCCACAGCTTCATTAAGTCCCTCTGTTCCGGGTCCCTGACTTCCTGCAACAGAAATGAAAGAAAAAAAAAGTTAAAAGCAGCTAGAGAAAAGGGGCAGGTTACCTACAAAGGAAACCTCCTCAGGCTAACATTGGAAATTTCAGCAGAAACTCTACAAAACAGAAGACATTTAGGGCCTGTATTCAGCATTCTTAAAGAAAAGAATTTTCCACCAAGAATTTTATATCTAGCCAAACTAAGTTTCAGTAGTGAACGAGAAATAAAATCTCTTTTAGATATAAAAATACTAAGGGAATATGTTACCAATGTATCTGCATTGTAAGAGGTCCTGAAAATAATGCAAAAAATGGAAAGGAAAGATTATTAGCAGCCACTACAAAAACACACATAAGTACATAGACTATTGACACTATAAGGCAACGAAACAAACAAGTCTGCATAATAACCAGCTAACAATAGGATGACAGGAACAAGTCTGAACATATCAATGTTAACATTGAGCGTAAATAGGCTAAATGCCCCAATTAAAAGGCATAGAATGGCAAGCTAAATAAATATGCAAGAACCAAAGGTATGCTATATTCAAGAGACCCATCTCACATGCAATGACACCCATAGGCTCAAAGTAAAGGGAAGGAGAAAAATCAACCAAGCAAATAGAAAACAGAAAACAGCAGGGGTTGTATTCTAATTTAAGACAAGACAGACTTCAAATCAAAACAAAGAAAGAAAGACAAAGAAGGGCATTACATAATGGTAAAGAGTTCAATTCAATAAGAAGAGCTAACTGTCCTAAATATATATGCACCCAATACAGGAGCACCAAGATTTATAAAGCAAGTTCTTAGAGAACTACAAAGAGACTTCAATTTTCACACAATAATAGTGGAAGACTTCAAAACCCCACTGACAGTATTAGACAGATCATCGAGGAACAAAAATAACAAAGATATTCAGGACCTGAACTCTACACTTGACCAAATGGACCTATTAGACATCTACAGAACTCTCCACTCAAAACAATGAAATATACCTTCTTATCTGCACATGGAACATGATCTAAAAGTGACCACAAAATCACACATAAAACAATTCTCAGCAAAATCATAAAAAGAGGAAATCATACCAACCACACTCTTGTACCACAGCACACTCAAAATAGAAATCAATACGAAGTAACTTGCTCAAAACCATAGAACTACATGTAAATTAAACAACCTGTTCTTGAATGACCTTTGGGTAAACAATGAAATTGAAGCAGAAATCAAGAAATTCTTTGAAACTAATGAGAGCAAAGATAAAACATAACAGAATCTTTGGGACATAGCTAAAGCTATATTAAAAGGAAAGTTTATAGTGCTAAATACCCACATCAGAAAGTCAGAAAGATCTCAAATTAACAACCAAACATCACACCAAGAGGAACTAGTGAAACAAGAGGAAACCGACCTGAAAGCCAATGGAAGACAAGAAATAACCACAATCAGAGCTGAACTGAAGGAAATTGAGACATGAAATCTGTACAAAACATTAACAGATCCAAGAGTTGGTTTTTGAAAAGAATAAATAAGATAGCTGGACTAATAATGACATGGAGAAGATCCAAATAAACACAAACAGAAATGGCAGTACCACTGACCCCACAGAAATATAAAAAACCCTCAGAGACTGCTATAAACATCACTATGTGGCTGAGCATGGTGGCTCACCTGTAATCCCAGCAATTTGGGAGGTCAAGGTGGGTGGATCACCTGAGGTCAGGAGTTCAAGACCAGCCTGGCCAATGTGGGGAAACCCCGTCTCTACAAAAAATACAAAAAAATGAGCAGGGCTGAGGCAGGAGAATTACTTGAACCCAGGAGGCAGAGGTTGCAGTGAGCCGAGATTATTGCACCATGGCACTCCAGCCTGGGAGACAAGAGCTTCACTCCGTTTCAAAAAAAAAAGAAAAAGCTAGGAAACCTAGAAGAAATGGATAAATTCCTGGAAACACACAAGCTGCCAAGATTGAACCAGGAAGAAATTAAATCCCTGATCAGACCCAGAATGAGATCTGAAATTGAATCAGTAATAAAAGTCTACCAGTCAGAAAAAACCCAGACCAGATATATTCACAGCTGAATTCTACAGATATACAAAGAAAAGCCAGTACCATTCCTATAGAAACTATTTTTTTAAATTGAGGAGAAGGGGCTCCACCTTAACTCATTCTATGACACCAGTATCATCCTGATACAAACCTGGTAGAGACACAACAAAAAAAGAAAACTTAAGGCCAATATCTATGATTAACATGAATTTAAAAATCTTCAACAATACATTAATAAACCAAATTCAGCAGCACATCAAAAAGCTAATCCATGATAAAGTAGGCTTTATCACGGATTGGGATGCAAGTTTGGTTCAACATAAGCAAATCAATAAATGTGATTCATCACACAAACAGAACTAAAAACAAAAACCATGATTATCTCCACAGATTCAAAAAAGGCTTTCAATAAAATTCAGCATCCATTTATGTTAAAAACCCTCGACAAACTAGGCATTGAAGAAACATACTTCAAAATAATAAGAGCCATCCATGACTAACCCACAGCCAACATCATAGTGAATGCGCAAAAGCTGGAAGCACTCTCCTTGAAAACCAGAACAGGAAAAGCATGCTCTCTCTCACCACTCCTATTCAACATAGTATTGGAAACCCTGGCCAGAGCAATCAGGTGAGAGAAAGAAATAAAAGGCATTCAAATAGGAAGAGAGGAAGTCAAACTATCCCTGTTTGCAGACAATACGATTTTATACCTAGACAACCTCATAGTCTCTTCCCAAAAACTCCTAGGTCTGATAAACAACTTCACCAAAGTCTTAGGATACAAAATTAATGTAGAAAAATCAGTAGCATTCCTATATATCAATAACATCCAAGCTGAGAGCCAAATTAGTAGCCCAATCAAATTCACAATAGCCACAAAAAGAAAAAAATTACCTAAGAATATAGCTAACCAGAGAGGTAAAAGATCTCTACAGTAAGAATAACAAAACATGCTAAAAAAATCAGAGATGATACAAACAAAAAACATTCCATGCTCATGGACAGGAAGAATCAATACTGTTAAAGTTGCCATACTGCCTAAAGCAATTTAGAGATTCAATGTTATTCCTATCAAACTACCAATGA
Organism: Homo sapiens; assembly: GCF_000001405.40. NCBI lineage: Eukaryota > Metazoa > Chordata > Mammalia > Primates > Hominidae > Homo > Homo sapiens. The sequence goes on along the minus strand of NC_000002.12, from coordinate 208,851,163 downwards.
CATTCTTCACAGAACTAGAAAAAAAATCTATTTAAAAATATATATGGAATCATAAAGGAGCTCAAATAGCTAAGGCAATCCTAACTAAGCAAAAAGAATAAAGCTGGAGGCATCATGTTACCCAACTTCTAACTACACTACAGGCTACAGTAACCAAAACAGCATGATATGGGTACAAAAACAGACCCACAGACCAATGTAACAAAATACAGCACCCAAAAATAATGCCACACACCTACAACTGTCTGATCTTTGACAAAGTCAACAAAAACAAGCAATAGAGAAATAATTCCCTATTCAATAAATGGTGTTGGAATAATTGGCTAGCCATATGCAGAAGATTGAAACTGGATCTCTTCTTTACATCATCTACAAAAATCAACTCAAGATGGATTAAATACTTAAATATACAATCTAAAACTATAAAAAGTCTGGAAGATAACCTAAGAAATACCATTATGGAGATAGGAATGGGCAAAGATACCCATGAAGATGCCAAAAGCCATTTCAACATAGCAAAAATTGACAAGTGGTACCTAATTTAATGGAGCTTCTGCAAAGCAAAAGAAACTATCAATAGAGTAAACAGGCAACCTACAGAAGGGGAGAATGTATTTCCAGGTATGCATCTGACAAAGTTCTAATATCCAGAATCTATACAGAACTTAAACAAATTTACAAGAAAAAAACAAATAACCTCATTAAAAATTGGACAAAGGACATGAACATACCCTTTTCAAAGGAAGACATACACATAGCCAACAAACATATGAAAAAATGTTTAACGTCACTTATCATTAGAGAATTGCAAATCAAAACCACAATGAGATACCATTTCACACCAGTTATAATGGGTATTATTAAAAAGTCAAAAAAACAGATGCTGGTGAAGTTGCAGAGAAAAGGGAATGCTTACACACTACTGGTGGGAATGTAAATTAGTTCAGCCATTGTGGAAAGCAGCATGGTGATTTTTCTTAGAATTCAAAGCATAGTTACCACTCGACTCAGCAATCTCATTATTGGGTATATACCCAAAGGAAAATAGATTATACCAAAAAGACACACACACTCGTATGTTCATTGTAGCACTATTCACAATAGCAAAGACATGGAATCAACCTAAATGCCCAGTAGTGGTAGACTAGATAAGTGGTACATATACATCATGGAATACTATGCAGTCATAAAAAAGAATGAGATTATGTCATTTGCAAGAACATGTATTGGGCTGGAGGGCATTATCTTCTTTTTTTTTTCTTTTTCTGAGACGGAGTCTTGCTCTGTCACCCAGGCTAGAGTGCAGTGGCACGATCTCAGCTCACTGCAAGCTCCACATCCCAGGTTCACGCCATTCTTCTGCCTCAGCCTCCTGAGTAGCTGGGACTACAGGCGCCCGCCACCACACCCGGCTAATTTTTTTATATTTTTTTAGTAGAGTTGGGGTTTTAACATGTTAGCCAGGGTGGTCTCCATCTCCTGACCTTGGGATCCGCCCGCCTTGGCCTCCCAAAGTGCTGAAGGGCGGTTATCTTAAGTCAGCTAACACAGAAACAGACAACCACATACCACATGTTCTCAGAAGTTGGAGCTCAACTTTGAAGCTAAACACATGAACACAAAGAAGGAAACAACAGATACCAGGGCCTACTTGAGGGAGGGAGTAGAAAGAGGAACAAAAAACTACCTATCAGATACTATACTTGTTACCTAGATGGCGGAAAAAATCTGGAAAAAACACCAACCCCTCATGAGATGTAATTTACCTGCATAACAAACCTGCACTTGTACCCATTAACCTAAAATAAAGGTTAAAAAAATGGGAAAACCGGCCGGGCGCGGTAGCTCACACCTGTAATCCCAGCACTTTGGGACGCCGAGGCAGGCGGATCAAGAGGTCAGGAGATCAAGACCATCCTGGCTAACACGGTGAAACCCCGTCTCTACTAAAAAATACAAAAAATTAGCCGGGCGTGGAGGCGGGCGCCTGTAGTCCCACAGGAGGCTGAGGCAGGAGAATGGCGTGAATCCGGGAGGCGGAGCTTGCAGTGAGCCAAGGCTGTGCCACTGCACTCCAGCCTGGGCGACAGAGCGAGACTCCCTCTCAAAAAATAAGAAAAAATAAAAAAAATTAAAAAATGGAAAAACATTAGAAAAATATATGCTGTCCTCCATTATAAAACCTAATTCATAGGTTTTATAAATTATCGTGTCATGACAATGAAGTATTGTAGAAAATTTTCCCTATTTCTTCTTAGGAGTTTTTAAACAACTAAAAGAAAATCAATGTTACTAACCATCACAGTTTAAAATTATTATACAATATATAAGATAAAGCAGGCAAAGCTAACTCTTTTTTTAAAAAAGACCCTTAAATGGTTTATTGGTTCTTGAAATTTAGCCTACCCTCATTTAACAGATATTTTTTCTTTGCTATCTAATACTTTTTGAATATTAAAATATTACTTAACATTTATGAAGCAATAATTTACTCATTGGATTTGCCTCAATTTTAACCACATATTAGTAAAGCTGACAATAAAACAAGTGTTGCTTTTTACCTGATTTTTAAAAATTTGCCCTTGTAATTTCATTACAAGAAGATCAGATTAACATAACGGAGGCAATAACTACTCTGGTCTGGGATACATTTGATTGTTTCAGTGGTAAGGAGTGTTCAAACATTATAGAACTGCACTTCTACATTTGTAGAGATTTTTCTGTCTCTAAATCTCAGGGATAAATTATTTTTCAAGTTTTTGAAGTTCTTATGACTCATCAATAGCAAGAGTGATTGTCCCCTAGGTAAAATATAAATTTTTAAAAGTACTTACTACATATAAAATAAGTAATTTAGATAATTTTATTTTTAACTTTTGTTACTTTGTCTATTGACTCAGCTATGAAAAATTAAAATTCACAGTAACTACTGAGGAATAATATAGTCTTGCTTTAAGGACAATTCTTATTTTGTAAGTCAGTCTCACATGATTATTGTTTTTGTTTTGTTTAAATTCTTTTCCTGCATTTGTTATTGTATTATAATAATTTGCCTTAACAATGAGACCATACTCATGTCTACATATTTTCACAGGTAGAAAATCTGTGTAAAATGTCTGTGTACTTTTTATCATGATGACTTATTTTTTTACAATCATTAATATTTAGCCTGTAATTGATCACAACTAAACTATACATAAGAATATATTTACTGTGGAGCATTCCCCTTCAAAAATAAATATCACGTGTTTCAATTTCTTGGTGGTGTAGCCCATTAAAGCATGTGATTCTTAATTCTTTATTGTATTCAACAATAGAGCATTTATGCTAGATAAGCTTTCTTTATGTCACAGACCATCTTGTGAGATTGTTACTTCACCCCATAGGACAATGTCATGCAAAAAAATGTTAAAACTATGTAAATAGTTATTAGTGAGAAAGATCAGCTGCAGTATTTTAAAGGGTTGAAGTGATATCTTTGCTTATAGGAAAACATTACAAATAATTTTGGATTTACAAATAAATTATTATGGTGCCACTTTCTCTGTACTAATCACAATACATAAACCATTTTCATCATTGAATCCTCATCATTGGTAGGCTTAACACTAAACACAATTAAAGACAAACATCTCACTAAGTATGGGTTAACATTGCTTGGTTCTTTTGGACTTCAATAATAACCTCTCTGTGCCAAACTGAAAAAAAAAGCCAAGTTATTTCTTATCTAACCTTAGTTATTGACATTGCCGGGACTCACCAGAAAAACTCTAGGATGAAAGTGCACTAAGGTGTTGGAATAGAATATAACTTGGAAACATGCTCTTTTAGGTGTGGAGCTGAGCAATTGTCATGATTAACCATATGCAAAAGCAGAACATCTGCAAAATCAGAGGCTTGAACTTTATAAATCCATGGGAGTCTGGTTTCCTTATTGTAGATTCCAGACCAGTCTTTAGAATTAAGATTGTGTGGTTTGGGATTCTGTTCTTGAATGTCCTAGCATCATTTTCCAGTGATTATAGTATGATATGGTCACTTATGAATTTAGTCAATTAAGTCATATGTATTTTCCAATATTGACCAAAGGAATAACTTGTACTTGACAGCTCTTCTAAGTCTCCATTTGTCTCATTGATCTCCATCCATATAATAAAAATAACGCAGTACAATTGCAGTTGAGTTTACTGTTATCAACAGCACTCTCCTTATGGTTTGTGCAGATCAAATAAGTTGTATTTACTAAGATTTAATTTATGTCTCTTCTCCAAATCTGCCACTCTCTGGTCTTGTCCTCACCCAATTTTATGGAAGAAGCATTCCCCAGGCATTAAGTGATGTCATTGAAAAAAACACAGCCACCAGCAGTACCCAGTACGTGTAATGCAGGCCATCACCTCGTGGGATTGCCCTGAGGCCCCAACTGCTCCTTCTCCTTTCTAATGCCATTGGTCATTATCAGGACTCCAGGTGATCCACATGATCCCATGTGATCATGGGCCACTTTTGCAACATGAAAGCAACAAATAAGAGCATGCAGACATGGTTTTTATTGTAATGCAGGTTAAAAGAACAGATTAAATTCATAGTTTCAGATAAAAATGAGTAAAAGGAAGAGAAAAGGCATAAGTGAAACACCTATCCCCACAAAAAAAGAGCAGAAATTTTATATACCTGATAAAATGGGAAATAAAAACCTCATTCTGTGTTTGCAATGAAAATAACTTGGCTGAAAAAGTACAGTGTGATCATTTGCAGCCTAATTTCAAGTTCATTCTACTGTTTTCATTTCAACCAGATTTCATAGTAAAATAATATAAAATTTCTCAGAATTGTTCAGTTTAAACTAATAAATGGTCAAAAAAGAACCATTATGAAAAGAAGCTGGACATCATTAAAATTGAATCCTTTAACATTTCATATTCATTCTGCTTTAAAAAGCAGAAGTTTTCTTTTTTCTTTTTTGTATATTTTTAATAGATTGTTGAAATATGTTTTCTGAGAGTATTCAAGAGCAAACAGAATCAGGAAAAAAAGGTTAGAGGTAACATAAACTTTAGAATTTAAGTATATTTACAGAAGTTAAGCATTAGGAAAGTCAAGAGTTGGTTAAGGGCCACTAATTTCTAGCATAGAGATTTAAGTCTGTCAAGAAAAGAAAATTTGTGAAGAGTGGTTTTAAAGGAAACAAATACGATTGAAGATCTTTAATAATCTAGAAAATGAGCCCAACTCTACCAGTGCTTAACTGTGAGAAAACAGAGCTTACATGCATTACTTTTCATTCAATGAACTCACTATCACAACTTTCCATTCCTAGTATGAAAAAGATAAATTAGTGAAGTGTTAAGATAAAATTTTAATATAGTTTATTTTTTATATGTAAATAAAGGAGACCTGCCATAGTCATAATCATTCATTCACACGTTTCCCAGATTGTCTGTCTTCTGCATTATTTAATATAAAAGAACTGAAGTATTAAACACTAAAATTGACACTGTATTACTGACATTCAGGTTTCTTACTTTTTTTTTTTTTGCATGTCAAGTCAAATTTCTGTCAAATTTTAAGTCAAATTTTCCAATGGTACCAATCTTCGCTGGGAAAGAAAATCCCATCTTCCAGAAATCACTGTCCTTCATTGGCTCATGTCCAGTGTCTTGAAAACCGTTGTTTCATATTTCTTTGCTAGTTTTATGGTTGCTTCAGGTAGAAGGAGTGAATATGGTTTCTATCACACCACTTGGCCAAAAGTAAAAGTCTATGCAAAAAGCTTTGTGTTTTACAAAGTGAAATAACAGAATAACAATAGGCTGAATGTAAAAACAGTGATTTAGTAAAATATCTTGTTGCACAGCAAGTTCTGAGAACTTTTAATCTTCTAACAATAAAAAAGCCAAACCCATTGTCGAAGGAAATTGATTGGCAATTGCTCACCCGAAATACTGATGATAGATACATCCATAACCTCTGAACTGAAAGACAGGTGCCTCCAACAGCATACATGATAGATAGACATTCAGTGAATTCCTGCTGGAGAGAAAGAAATAGACTGAGGTGTTAAAAAACTGCTTTATGCCAATTTCTCCATTTTGCTGAGAAAAGAAAAAGTTTAGATATATGGGTTACATCTGGAATGTCATTTTCATTTATTTTATTAAACACATATTTTTAGATATAGTTTTGAATTTTTTAATATAAAATTCATTATAAAACATACTTTAATATGCAAAATGCAAGGTAAAGATTAAGCAATTTCCTAAATTCTCAGAAACAAAAAACTGTCAATGTTTTATTTCCTTCTAACCTTTTTCAATGCATACTTTTTTTTATTTTTAGTAATTGGGCTTACAAATTATACTTAAATTTGTATGCTGTTTTTCCCCAGTTATCCATATAAGAATACTACGTGCTACTATAAATACTTTCAACTTCTATTGCTAATAGCCACATTTATTGTACTGAGTATATTCTCTTTTAGCATTTCTTTTCTTAGAAATTTAAATATCTTTGCATATGTTTCTTTTTTAAAGTTCTCATCTATTTAAATATTTTTTTCGGCTTGATTAATAGGAGTAAAATTAAAGTGGTGTGTTACTTCAGTAATACACTGCTATAAAGAACTACCTGAAACTAGGTTATTTATAAGAAAAGAGGTTTAATTAGTTCACAGTTCTGCAGGCTATGCAGAAAGCATGGCTGGGGAGGCTTCAGGAAACTTACAATCATGGTGGAAGCTGAAGGAAGCAGGCACATCTTACATGGCCAGACAAGGAGGAAGAGAGTGAAGGTGGAGGTGCTATACACTTTTAAACAAGCAGATCTTGTGAAAACTCATTCACTATTATGAGAACAGCAAAGGGGAAGTCTACCCCCATGATCCAGTCACCTCCCACCAGGGCCCTCCCCCAAGATTACAATTCAACATGAGATTTGGATGGAGACACAAATCTAAACTATATTATTCCACTTCTGGCCCCTCCAAAATCTCATGTCCTTCTCACATTTCAAAACACAATCATGCCTTCCCAAAAGTCCCTCAAATTCTTAACTCATTCCGACATTAACTCAAAAGTCCCAAGCCAAACTCTTATCTGAGACAAGGAAAGTCCCTTGCACCTATGAGTCTGTAAAACAAAAAACAAGTTAGTTACTTCCAAGATACAATGGAGGTATAGGCATTTAGTAAATACTCCCATTCCAAATGGGAGAAATCAGCCAAAACAAAGGGGCTACAGGTCCCATTCAAGTCCAAAACGCAGCAGGGCCATCATTAAATCTTAAAGCTCCAAAATAATCTCCTTTGACTCTAGGTCTCATATCTAGGCAACATTGATGCAAGGGGTGTGCTCCAAAGGCCTTGGCCATCTCTTCCCCTGTGGCTCTGCAGGGCATAGCCCCTACTACTGTTTTCACAGGCTGGTGTCGAGTACTTGCAGCTTTTCCAGGTGCATTGTGTAAGCTGTTGATAGATCTACCATTCTGGGGTCAGGAGGACGATGGCCCTCTTCTCATAATTCTACTAGGCAGTGCCCCAGTGGGGACTCTGTGGGGGCTCAAACCCCACATTTCCCCTCCACCTGCACTAGTAGAGGTTCTCCACAGGGCTCCACCCCTGCAACAGACTTCAGCCTGGACATCCTGGCATTTCCATACATCCTCTGACATCTAGGCAGAGGTTCCTAAACCTCCACTCTTGCCTTCTTTGCACCCATAGGCCCAACACCACATGGAAGCCACTAAGGCTTATGTCTTGTACCATCTGGAGCAGCAGCCTGAGACACATCTGGGGCCCTTTTAGCTATGGCTGGAGCTCGAGAGGCTAGGACACAGGGAACAGTATCTTGAGGTTGCACAGGGCAGCAGAGCCCTCAGTGTGGCCCATAAAACCATTCTTCCCACATAAGCCTTCAGACCTGTGATAGGAAGGGCGGCCACAAAGGTCTCTGACATGCCCTGAAGGTATTTTCCACATTGTCTCAGCTACTAACATTTGGCTTCTCTTTACTTATGCAAATTTCTGCAGCAGGCTTGAGTTTTTTCCCCAGGAAATGGGTTTTTCTTTCCTATCACATGGTCAGGCTGCAAATTTTCTAAACTTTTATGCTGTGCTTCCCTTTTAAATATAAGGTCCAGTTTCAGATCATCTCTTTGCTCAAGTGTATGACCATAAACTATTAGAAGCAGCCAGGTAACATCTTGAATACTTGGCTGCTTACAAATTTCTTCCATCAGAGACCCTAAATCATTACTCTTATGTTCAAAGTTTCACAGATTTCTAGGGCAGGGGCAAAATGCTGCCAGTCTCTGCTAAAGCATAGCAAGAGTGATATTTACTCTAGTTCCCAATAAGTTCCTCATGTTCATCTGAGACCACCTCAGCGTGGACTTCGCTATCCATAACAGTGTCAGCATTTTGATCACAACAATTTAACAATTCTCCAGGAAATTTCAAATTCTTTCTCATCTTCCTGTCTTCTTCTGAGTCCTCCAAACTGTTCCAACCTCTGCCCATTACCCAGTTCCAAAGTTGCTTCTACATTTTTAGGTACCTTTATAGCAATGCCCCACTTCCCAGTACCAATTTTCTGTATTAGTCCATTCTTTTACTGGTATAAATAACTACCTGAAATTGGGTAATTTATAACCAAAGAGGTTTAATTGACACATAGTTCTGCAGGCTGTACAGAAAGCATGGCTGGGGAAACCTCAGGAAACTTACAATCATGGCAGAAGGTGAAGGCGAAGCAGGTATGTCTTACACAGCTGGAGAAAAAGGAAGAGAGTGAAGGGAGAGGTGCTACACACTTTTAAACAACCACATCCCATAAAAACTCACTCACTGTCATGAGAACAGCAAAGGGAAGTCCACCCTGATGATCCAATCACCTCCCACCAGTCTCCTTCCCCAACACTGGGAATTACAATTCAACGTAAGATTTGGGCAGGGACAAAAATTCAAACCACATCAAGTAGGAAAAAATATAAGTCCTTTGAGGGCTTTTGGCATATTTTGTCAAAATGGTTTCTGGAGAGAAATCTATTATTTGGAATTTAAATATATTTTATTATAAGGTATGCTTTTTTCTGGTTACATTTTCATTGGATAAGTAATTTTGATCAACCATATTTTACTTCTTTTTTAAAATGATTACTTTAAAAATGATTCAGATCATAATGTAGTTAATGCTCAAAATTTCCAAATCTTCTTTTCCTAATGAAAAACTTCATTTTATTCTTACATATACATATTCATATCACCTTCTCAAATTTTTGTTTATAAGATTTTTATAACAAAAATTATAAATAATTAAAAAACTCAGTGAAATATTTTATGTGAGTAATATCATTTTGCCTCTAGGACATAGCAATAATTTCACCTGCCATCCTTAGAACTGCCATTCTTCATCACTTCTGTTAGTCTGTTTCCTCTTCTGTTTTAATTACACATCTTTATTGAGAGTATTACTTGATGTTTGATTGCTACATAGAAACAAATAATAGTTAAACAAAAGCCATATCATAGATATTTCATAAAAATTAATCATTTAAATGAATAAAACTATGGGGTTTAAAACATCAACCAAATTTTTAAAATTAAACACAGTGGCTGACACACATTATATTCTGTATTTTTTATATTATTTGACACTAACAAAGATTCTCTCCCTGATGAAACTTTAGTCAAGCTCCTCAGCCTACTCCTAAGCCCAACTGTGCATTTCCTTATGAAATCCAGTTTTGACAAGAACCCTGCTAAGTTAGTTTAGCAAAAACCCCACACCCTCAGTATCTAGTTACCCTCAATGTCTGATCGGGTTCCTCATTCTTCACCATCCCCCACGTGATGGTCGTCTGACTACCCTGGTTGTGATATGGTTTGGCTCTGTGGTCCCCACCCACATCTCACCTTGAATTGTAATAATCCCCATGTGTCATGGGAGGGACCCGGTGGGAGGTAATTGAATCATGGGGGTGGGCTTTTCCCATTATGTTCTCATGATAGTGAATAAGTTTCATGAGATCTGATGGTTTGATACATGGCAGTCCTCCTGCACATGCTATCTCTTGGCTGCCACCATGTAAGATGTGACTTTGCTACTCATTCACTTTCAGCCATGATTGTGAGACCTCCCCAGCCATGTGGAACTGTGAGTCAATTAAATCTCTTCCTTTTATAAATTATCCAGTCTCAGGTATGTCTTTATTAGCAGATTGAGAACAGACTAATACACCCTCGATGTCTGATCTTGTTTCTCATTCATAACCATCTCCCAGGTGATGGTTGTCTGATCACCCTGGTTGTGTTCAGCAAGAAGCTTGCTAAATCAGTTTAGCCAGAATCCCCCATACTCCTGATGCTTCCTCTTAGTAATTTTCTTTTCAATGACTTCCATCCTGCTCCCTGGCTATAAATTCCCACTTGATCGTGCTGTATTTGAAGTCGAGCCCAAGTGAGTTCCACTGCTGCAAAATCCCATTGCAGTGGTTTCTATATGTTGTGATGGTCTTGAATAAAATCTTCCTTACTCTGCTTTAACAATTGTGTCATTGAATTTTTTAACAATATTCCATGTTAATATTTTAATATGATGATGATTTTGAGAATTTAGATTAATTTCCAAAATTTATAGGCTTTGAAAAATGATATGACAAATTCTCATTATATTAAAAAAGTTAAATAACCAAATATAGTTCAGAATTTAAAGATTCAAGTTCTTATACTATGTATGAAGCAGAGTTCCTTTAGTCATCAAAAAATTAATCTCTCTTAATTTATGAATGAATGTTGTTTATCTCTCTGAGAAATTAATTATAACACAAAGTAGAATTCAAAAGTTAAACATATAAAAAATCAAGTGAAGAACTAGGTATGGGAAAACAGTTTGTAGACTATACAACCTTAAAATCAAAAGCTTATCTTTATCCTTTGTAGTTTTTCTTTAGTAGAAAAAAGAAAAATGTTTTAAAGTTATGTAATAAGTACCTCTGAAATTGTGTCTCCTAACAACTCAGAATCAAGAATTTAAGAGTACTGCTGCAAACATGGAAAAACTGAGCTCTCTTGCCTTGAATTGGGTCACTGAAATTACAAGTGTCATCAAGTGGTGAGATGGTTGAGGCAATTTCCATTCCACAACTCACAGAATGCTTTACTTTTTCAGCTTGATTCGTGATCTGATGTGAAAGCAAAATAAATAAAGATTGTACATTTTCTCTTACCTTGTATGTTTGAACATCTTTAAGGCATAATTGGAAAACATTTGCTTTGTACTAAAATGCATCTCCCTAAAATTCATATATTGAAGCCTTAACCCCCAATGTGATGGCATTTGGAGATGGGGACTTTGGGAGGTAATTAAGGTTAAATGAGATCATTAGAGTGTGATGTTCATGATGCGATTAGTGCCCTTATAAGTAGAGACACTAGACAGCATGCTCTCTGTCTCTCTCTTTCTCTGTCTCTCTCTCTTTCTCTGCCATGTGAGGACAAAATGAGGAGGTGGCCACCTAAAAGCTAACAGAGAGCCCTTTTCAGAACCTAACCATGTTGGCATCCTGATTGTGCACTTCTAGCTTCTGAAGTGTGAGGAAATATATTTCTATTGTTTTAACCCACCAGTCTATGGTATTTTGCTACTGTAGCTGGAACTAAGACATTGAAAAAAATGACTTGGCCCATATTAATTTCATCAGGTGGGTAGGTTGAATGAACAGTATTGGCTAAGGCTTACTTCCAGGTTCCCTCTGCTCTCTACCTTGAAACCTCTATGTACTTTTTCCCTCTCTGGCCTCCCTATGACATTCTCCAGTCAGTACTGAATTTCTTCTACTTCCCAACTTCCTCCACCTTAAAAAAAAAACAAAACTCTTTGATAATTTCTGAATTTGTCAAGATTTCAGTCAATTACAGATTTGATTGCTCTCTTTCTGCTAGAAAGCCATCTGCCTAAATTGCACAGTAGGTGAAGTAGGTGACAGATGGGACTAAGGAGAGACTGATAAATGAATAACCAAAAGACAAATGAGAGAAGTAGTGGAAGAAAAAAGAGGAGGAGGAAGAAAACGAAAAGGAGGAGGAGGAGTAAAGGAAGAGAAGGAAACTGAAAAGAATATGAAATAGTTTTAACTCTTAATCCCAAGAGCAAAAGAAGCCAAAAATTTGCTCGGTGAAGGTAAGGTTGAATGTCTGAGTCAAAGCTGCCCCGTGCATTCTCTATTCCCAGTTAACTCCTATGAAGAATGAATTCCTAAATTACATAAAGAAAAAAATACATGCACAGGAAATAGTAATTAGAGAAAGGACCACAGCTGATATCAGAACTCAAGCTTGGGGAAAAATCTGAGAAGGGGTTTTGGAGGTGTTTGTTCCTGCCAGCAAAATGGCATTACAAAGAGAAACAGTATGGCTAATGTATAGTAAGGGTAACTTGAGTTTGGGTGCTTCAGAGAGCTTCTATGTTTTCTTTCATGGACTACATTCGGAGTCAGTGTCAAATAATGGGCAGTTACGGAACCTCCTTGTCTCAATTGCTGTTCTCCAGCATCATTACTGAAAAGAAAGCCCTTGAAAGCAAAATTCCTAGAGTAGGAAGAGTCAGATTCTCACTCCCCCAGCACCTTGGGTAGGATGCAGAGCAACCCAGTACACCTTCTGCTTATAGTGCCTTTCTTGCCTGAGTATTGGACTCACCCTGGGCTTGGGAAGGGGCACAGAGAAAAAAGTAAACAATTTGTAACTAGGTAAATACCTTTGTTCTGAATGCATCAAAGTTCTGTAGGATGGTGTTTTGATTTTTCAGTATTACGTTGTTTTCTCATTCTACCAGGTTACTGATTCCCAGTGATTGCAGAATTTTTGCGAGGCCCAGTGTATATAACATTTACTCCTGCTAGTCTCATGTGCCGCTTCCTAAAGAAACGAGTCACAAATGTTTGTTGTATGCCATCTGTTCTATAGATAGGTAACACCACACATACATAATCTCTCAAAAAAGCACATTACTATATTATTTTAGATATGGCTTAATTCTACCCAGAGATTTTGGAATTTATTTATTATTCCATTCCTTTCTCTGATTTTCTTATTACCCTGAAAGAATGGAGTGGCAAGCTACTTTGCTCTTCTAATTTGTTACTTGGAGGTTTTTCTCATCAGAAAGATGAGGTTATCAGGAAACTTTACTCAGAAGCACTGAGCAACTTAGTAAACTACTGCTGAACTATAGCCACTGAGATTTAATTGCCCTGCTGTTAACATTGAGGCAGTTTCTTATAGTGGCCATAGCAGTGTGCAGAGATTATTTAGAATACACTAATATCTGTCTAGATTATTCATAGTACTACATTATCATTTAGAGATAAGAACATTCTATGTGCTCATCAAGTCATTTGGCCACCTGCATCCAGGCCTTTCTTTTTTTTTTTAATTTTATTATTATTCTACTTTAAGTTTTAGGGTACATGTGCACAATGTGCAGGTTTGTAACATATGTATACATGTGCCATGTTGGTGTGCTGCACACATTAACTCGTCATTTAGTATTAGGTATATCTCCTAATGCTATCCGTCCCCACTCCCCCCTCACTCCTCCTCCCACCCCACAACAGTCCCCGAAGTGTGATGTTCCCCTTCCTGTGTCCATCTGTTCTCATTGTTCAATTCCCACCTATGAGTGAGAACATGCGGTGTTTGGTTTTTTGTCCTTGCGATAGTTTGCTGAGAATGATGTTTTCCAGTTTCATCCATGTTCCTACAAAGGACATGAACTCATCTTTTATGGCTGCATAGTATTCCATGGTGTATATGTGCCACATTTTCTTAATCCAGTCTATCGTTGTTGGACATTTGGGTTGGTTCCAAGTCTTTGCTATTGTGAATAGTGCTGCAATAAACATAAGTGTGCATGTGTCTTTAGAGCAGCACGATTTATAATCCTTTGGGTATATACCCAGTAATGGGATGGCTGGGTTAAATGGTATTTCTAGTTCTAGATCCCTGAGGAATCACCACAATGACTTCCACAATGGTTGAACTAGTTTACAGTCCCACCAACAGTGTCAAAGTGTTCCTATTTCTCCACATCCTCTCCAGCACATGTTGTTTCCTGACTTTTTAGTGATTGCCATTCTAACTGGTGTGAGATGGTATCTCATTGTGGTTTTGATTTGCATTTCTCTGATGGCCAGTGATGATGAGCATTTTTTCATGTGTTTTTTGGCTGCATAAATGTCTTCTTTTGAGAAGTGTCTGTTCATATCCTTTGCCCACTTTTTGTTGGGGTTGTTTGCTTTTTCTTGTAAATGTGTTTGAGTTCATTGTAGATTCTGGATATTAGCCCTTTGTCAGATGAGTAGGTTGTGAAAATTTTCTCCCATTTTGTAGGTTGCCTGTTCACTCTGATGGTAGTTTCTTTTGCTGTGCAGAAGCTCTTTAGTTTAATTAGATCCCATTTGTCAATTTTGGCTGTTGTTGCCATTGCTTTTGGTGTTTTAGACATGAAGTCCTTGCCCATGCCTATCTCCTCAATGGTAATGCCTAGGTTTTCTTCTAGGGTTTTAGATCTAACATGTAAGTCTTTAATCCACCTTGAATTAATTTTTGTATAAGGTGTAAGGAAGGGATCCAGTTTCAGCTTTCTACATATGGATAGCCAATTTTCCCAGCACCATTTATTAAAAAGGGAATCCTTTCCCCATTTGCTTGTTTTTGTCAGGTTTGTCAAACATCAGATGGTTGTAGATATGTGGCATTATTTCTGAGGGCTCTGTTCTGTTCCATTGATCTATATCTCTGTTTTGGTACCAGTACCATGCTGTTTTGGTGACTGTAGCCTTGTAGTATAGTTTGAAGTCAGGTAGCGTGATGCCTCCAGCTTTGTTCTTTTGGCTTAGGATTGACTTGGCAATACGGGCTCTTTTTTGGTTCCATATGAACTTTAGAGTAGTTTTTTCCAATTCTGTGAAGGAAGTCATTGGTAGCTTGATGGGGATGGCATTGAATCTATAAATTACCTTGGGCAGTGTGGCCATTTTCATGATATTGATTCTTCCTACCCATGAGCATGGAATGTTCTTCCATTTGTTTGTGTCCTCTTTTATTTCATTGAGCAGTGGTTTATAGTTCTCCTTGAAGAGGTCCTTCACATCCCTTGTAAGTTGGATTCCTAGGTATTTTATTCTCTTTGAAGCAATTGTGAATGGGAGTTCACTCATCATTTGGCTCTCTGTTTGTCTGTTGTTGGTGTATAAGAATGCTTGTGATTTTTGTACATTGATTTTATATCCTGAGACTTTGCTGAAGTTGCTTATCAGCTTAAGGAGATTTTGGGCTGAGACAATGGGGTTTTCTAGATATACAATCATGTCATCTGCAAACAGGGACAATTTGACTTCCTCTTTTCCTAATTGAATACCCTTTATTTCCTTCTCCTGCCTGATTGCCCTGGCCAGAACTTCCAACACTATGTTGAATAGGAGTGGTGAGAGAGGGCATCCCTGTCTTGTGCCAGTTTTCAAAGGGAATGCTTCCAGTTTTTGCCCATTCAGTATGATATTGGCTGTGGGTTTGTCATAGATAGCTCTTATTATTTTGAGATACATCCCATCAATACCTAATTTATTGAGAGTTTTTAGCATGAAGGGTTGTTGAATTTTGTCAAAGGCTTTTTCTGCATCTATTGAGATTATCATGTGGTTTTTGTCTTTGGTTCTGTTTATATACTGGATTACATTTATTGATTTGAGCATGTTGAACCAGCCTTGCATCCCAGGGATGAAGCCACTTGATCATGGTGGATAAGCTTTTTGATGTGCTGCTGGATTTGGTTTGCCAGTATTTTATTGAGGATTTTTGCATCAATGTTCATCAAGGATATTGGTCTAAAATTCTCTTTTTTGGTTGCGTCTTTGCCAGGCTTTGGTAACAGAATGATGCTGGCCTCATAAAATGAGTTAGGAAGGATTCCGTCTTTTTCTATTGATTGGAATAGTTTCAGAAGGAATGGTACCAGCTCCTCCTTGTACCTCTGGTAGGATTCGGCTGTGAATCCATCTGGTCTTGGACTCTTTTTCGTTGGTAAGCTATTGATTCTTGCCACAATTTCAGAGCCTGTTATTGGTCTATTCAGAGATTCAGCTTCTCCTGGTTTAGTCTTGGGAGGGTGTATGTGTCGAGGAATTTATCCATTTCTTCTAGCTTTTCTAGTTTATTTGCATAGAGGTGTTTGTAGTATTCTCTGATGGTAGTTTGTATTTCTGTGGGATTGGTGGTGATATCCCCTTTATCATTTTTTATTGCGTCTATTTGATTCTTCTCTCTTTTCTTCTTATTAGTCTTGCTAGCAGTCTATTGATTTTGTTGATCTTTTCAAAAAACCAGCTCCTGGATTCATTAATTTTTTGAAGGGTTTTTTGTGTCTCTATTTCCTTCAGTTCTGCTCTGATCTTAGTTATTTCTTGCCTTCTGCTAGCTTTTGAATGTGTTTGCTCTTGCTTTTCTAGTTCTTTTACTTGTGATGTTAGGGTGTCAATTTTGGATCTTTCTGGCTTTCTCTTGTGGGCATTTAATGCTATAAATTTCCCTCTACACACTGCTTTGAATGTGTCCCAGAGATTCTGGTATGTTTTGTCTTTTTTCTCATTGGTTTCAAAGAACAACTTTATTTCTGCCTTAATTTCATTATGTACCCAGTAGTCATTCAGGAGCAGATTGTTCAGTTTCCATGTAGTTGAGTGGTTTTGAGTGAGTTTCTTAATCCTGAGTTCTAGTTTGATTGCACTGTGGTCTGAGAGACAGTTTGTTATAATTTCTGTTCTTTTACATTTGCTGAGGAGAGCTTTACTTCCAACTATGTGGTCAATTTTGGAATAGGTGTGGTGTGGTGCTGAAAAAAATGTATATTCTGTTGATTTGGGGTGGAGAGTTCTGTAGATGTCTATTAAGTCTGCTTGGTGCAGAGCTGAGATCAATTCCTGGGTATCCTCATTAACTTTCTGTCTTGTTGATCTGTGTAATGTTGACAGTGGGGTTTTAAAGTCTCCCATTATGATTGTGTGGGAGTCCAAGTCTCTTTGTAGGTCACTCAGGACTTGCTTTATGAATCTGGGTGCTCCTGTATTGGGTGCATATATATTTAGGATAGTTAGCTCTTCTTGTTGAATTGATCCCTTTACCATCATGTAATGGCCTTCTTTGTCTCTTTTGATCTTTGTTGGTTTAAAGTCTGTTTTATCAGAGACTAGGATTGCAACCCCTGTCTTTTTTTGTTTTCCATTGCTTGGTAGATCTTCCTCTATCCCTTTATTTTGAGCCTATGTGTGTCTCTGCAGGTGAGATGGGTTTCCTGAATACAGCACACTGATGGGTCTTGACTCTTTATCCAATTTGCCAGTCTGTGTCTTTTAATTGGAGCATTTAGTCCCTTTACATTTAAAGTTAATATTGTTATGTGTGAATTTGATCCTGTCATTATGATGTTAGCTGGTTATTTTGCTCATTAGTTGATGCAGTTTCTTCCTAGTCTCGATGGTCTTTACATTTTGGCATGATTTTGCAGCGGCTGGTACTGGTTGTGCCTTTCCATGTTTAGCACTTCTTTCAGGAGCTCTTTTAGGGCAGGCCTGGTGGTGACAAAATCTCTCAGCATTTGCTTGTCTGTGAAGTATTTTATTTCTCCTTCACTTATGAAGCTTAGTTTGGCTGGATATGAAATTCTGGGTTTAAAATTCTTTCCTTAAGAATGTTGAATATTGGCCCCCACTCTCTTCTGGCTTGTAGAGTTTCTGCCGAGAGATCCGCTGTTAGTCTGATGCGCTTCCCTTTGTGGGTAACCTGACCTTTCTCTCTGACTGCCCTTAACATTTTTTTCCTTCATTTCAACTTTGGTGAATCTGACAATTATATGTCTTGGAGTTGCTCTTCTCGAGGATTATCTTTGTGGCATTCTCTGTATTTCCTGAATCTGAATGTTGGCCTACCTTGCTAGATTGGGGAAGTTCTCCTGGATAATATCCTGCAGAGTGTTTTCCAACTTGGTTCCATTCTCCCCATCACTTTCTGGTACACCAATCAGATGTAGATTTGGTCTTTTCACATAGTCCCATGTTTCTTGGAGGCTTTGTTTGTTTCTTTTTATTCTTTTTTCTCTAAACTTCCCTTCGCCCTTCATTTCATTCATTTCATCTTCCATCACTGATACCCTTTCTTCCAGTTGATCGCATCGGCTCCTGAGGCTTCTGCATTCTTCACGTAGTTCTCGAGCCTTGGCTTTCAGCTCCATCAGCTCCTTTAAGGACTTCTCTGCATTGGTTATTCTAGTTATCCATTTTTCTAATTTTTTTCAAAGTTTTTAACTTCTTTGCCATTGGTTTGAATTTCCTCCTGTAGCTCAGAGTAGTTTGATCATCTGAAGTCTTCTTCTCTCAATTCGTCAAAGTCATTCTCCGTCCAGCTTTGTTCCATTGGTGGTGAGGAGCTGCGTTCCTTTGGAGGAGGAGAGGCGCTCTGCTTTTTAGAGTTTCCAGTTTTTCTGTTCTGTTTTTTCCCCATCTTTGTGGTTTTATCTACTTTTGGCCTTTGATGATGGTGACGTACAGAAGAGTTTTTGGTGTGGATGTCCTTTCTGTTTGTTAGTTTTCCTTCTAACAGACAGGACCCTCAGCTGCAGGTCTGTTGGAGTTTGCTAGAGGTCCACTCCAGACCCTGCTTGCCTGGGTATCAGCAGTGGTGGCTGCAGTACAGCGGTGGCTGTAGAACAGTGGCTCTTGGTGAACAGCAAATGCTACTGCCTGATTGTTCCTCTGGAAGTTTTGTCTCAGAGGAGTATCCGGCCGTGTGAGGTGTCAGTCTGCCCCTACTGGGGGGTGCCTCCCAGTTAGGCTGCTTTGGGGTCAGGGACCCACTTGAGGAGGCAGTCTGCCCATTCTCAGATCTCCAGCTGTGTGCTGGGAGAACCACTACTCTCTTCAAAGCTGCCAGATAGGGACACTTAAGTCTGCAGAGGTTACTGCTGTCTTTTTGTTTGTCTCTGCCCTGCCCCTAGAGGTGGAGCCTACAGAGGCAGGCAGGCCTCCTTGAGCTGTGGTGGGCTCCACGCAGTTCGAGCTTCCTGGCTGCTTTGTTTACCGAATCAAGCCTGGGCAATGGCAGGCGCCCCTCCCCCAGCCTCACTGCCACCTTGCAGTTTGATCTCAGACTGCTGTGCCATCAATCAGCAAGCCTCCGTGGGCGTAGGACCCTCTGAGCCACGTGCGGGATATAATCTCCTGGTGTGCCATTTTTTAATCCTGTTTGAAAAGCGCAGTATTAGGCTGGGAGTGACCCGATTTTCCAGGTGCCATCTGTCACCCCTTTCTTTGACTAGGAAAGGGAACTCCCTGACCCCTTGCCCTTCCTGAGTGAGGCAATGCCTCGCCCTGCTTCGGCTGGCGCATGGTGCGCTGCACCCCCTGTCCTGCACCCACTGTCTGGCACTCCCTAATGAGATGAACCCGGTACCTCAGATGGAAATGCAGAAATCACCCGTCTTCTGTGTCGCTCACGCTGGGAGCTGTAGACTGGAGCTGTTCCTATTCGGCCATCTTGGCTCCACCCCCGCATCCAGGCCTTTCTATCTTTTTTTTTTTTTTAACGATGTCTTCTTTAACAATATTCCTGATACTTATTTGGAATTCAACCCAATCTTACTGATTCATGACCCTTTTTTAAGAAAAGGCCCACTGTTGCAAACCACAAAATTACCAGTTAATTCTACAGTTAACTATCTCATTTTTTGTCATCCCTCATTTCATTGTCAACTTTTACACATACACTGTTATTTAGCTAAGTAAACTTCAGAGCTTTATCTTCCAAACTTTCCTGAGAAGGGTGGGAAGGTAAGTGACATAATTCTATTTCCACACCTTAAGAGGAGCACATCAAATACTCTCTGCTTTCTGCCTGGACTGTGATGGCCATCATCTGTAGCTGAAGTCACAACATCTTTTAATCATCACACATCCAGTTGTCACACTTCTTACCTTTTCATTTGTATTTTCACTGAAATTCATGTATTTCCCCCTTTGTGTGACACACCTGAATTTTTAACATCTTAAAAGCAAACTGGATAAAACTAATGAAATGCCAAAATAAAAATTAGGATGCAAAATATTTCATGAATTTCAATTTTTCCAAAAGGCCATTACTCAACCCCCATATATAGAGAGTGCTAATTTATTTAATCATAGGTTTGTGATACATTGCCATAGAAATAGTTGCTTAGAAACATGAATGATATGATGAAACATTTTGAGGCCCTTTACTGAAGTACTGTTGAACTATAACCACTGAGATTTAATCGCTGAGCTGTTAAGACATCTTCCAGTAGTGGCTGCAGCAACATTAGGAAATTATTGAGAATACACTAATATCTGCCTAGATTATTCACAGTACTACATTATCATCATTTAGAGGAAAGAGCATTCTATGTGCTCATCAAGAACCATTCAGCCACCTGGACCCAAGCCTTTCTACCTTTTTCTCTCTACTCTGTTTGTTGCTTTTTAATAATTTTTCATGTAACATTTATGTGAGTCCTAATTAGGGAAAAGAAGTCAGGCTGATGGGACCAGGAGAAAACAAAGAGATAAAGCAAATAATGTATAAATACGCTTTTCTTCATGGCTCAGGACATATAAACAAAAAGAGGAAGCAGATGAATTTCTTTATGGCCCAGGACTTATTGACCTCCTGAATAAATAACATACATAACTCATTAAACATTATGGCTCCCAAATTCCACTCTATAAAATCTCCGGCAAGCCTTTGTTTCCTTGCAGTCAGCTTCTCTCATGCTGATCTGTCTGTTACCTTCTTGCAACATATTTTCATACCTTCTCTAATAAATCTACCTTTCTTTACTTGCGACTGTCTTGGTAAATTCTTTTACTTCTGTGCCACTGGCCCAGGTAGTCATTGCTTCCCTGCAACAATTTACTCAAGATATAAATAAGCAAGTATTGTTGAATAGTAGGGGCCATGGGAACCTTGGGCCTCTGAAGGTTCACTGAAAAATCATCTTGCAAAAGACAGATTAATAGGAGGAAAGGTATACAAATTTATTCAGTGTGTATGCACAGGAGGCTTCAGAATGAAGACCCAAAGATACAGAGGAAACTGTCCATTTTTATGCTTAGGTTCAACAAAGTATGGGCAGCGTGTAAAAATATAATTGAACAAAAAGGTTATAATCTAATGCTAACAGGTTGAGTGGGGAAGCCCCACAAAGTTTGTCTGTCTAGATTCTTCTTGGCCTCTCTGAGCATTTATTCTTTCCCTCTGGGTATGAGCAGGACCATCTCTGGAATGGAGCTCTTATATCCTGCAGTCAAACAAGGTAGGTCAGATAATTTCTTTATGGCCAGTTTTTACTCAGAAATGTGGAGGGAAAGTTAGAGTAATAATTTTAGGTTTTATGACTAGCTTTGGGGAAAAGGGGTTCTAGTTTCTATGACCCCCTTCTTGGGGAAGAGGGATTCCAGTTTCTATGGCTAGCCTCAGGGGAGAATGAGACTGAGAGACAGGAGGGCAGAAGATCGGGGAGAAGTTTCTCCTTCTGAAGCCTGCATTTTGGGGAATTGTTTTCTGAGCCCCAGCAGAACAAAGGCAACAGCTGCCTAAATGTTCTTCCCTCAACCAGCGATGTTTAATAGGAATCTTCTATGTATAGTTCAGGAACCACCCTGTGTTCCAAAAAAAAAAGTCTCCAGATGCTCATAGAAACTTGTGTTTCCTTATGTTAATACTCACACTAGGACAGCAGCTATCATTTTTATTTCTAGCTTACATATGTAATTTACATATAAACTCACTAATTAGAAGAGTTACTTTGAATTAACATATCTAAAGACAGTGTGTGTGTGTTCAATAGCAATGGTTGGTCCGTATGTAACCATTTCAGTGGTAAAAACACCTCTTAGCTGTCAAAAGGCTTTCCCACCACTGATTCTCAAGGTTTCATTCACTGCTGCTTTGTAAGGAATTACAGTGCTGTCCAGCAAGGGTTACTGTGAGTTCTGGAAAAGTTCCTTCTGCATATTTTCCATCATCTCCTTTTCCAAATGGGGATTTCACACACTTAGACTGTTCCTTTGCCACAAGTATGTGGATACACATAAACTGACTTTCAGTTAGGGCGATGGCAGAGATTGTTGTCTTTTTTTTTTTTTTTTTTTTTGGTCTCTAATATACCCTGAGAACCAGAACAGTGCTTGACATATAGCAGTTGGTGCTCAATAAATATTTGTTAAATGAATTAATGAATGATGAAAAAGAGTACCTCACCAATAGAGTCAAGACTTCAAGGTGGATGAGGTACCTGGATGAGAATTTGGGGTAGCTTCCCTGATGGAAGAGATGCATGTTATGGAAGAAGCGTGTATTCTGAGTCACCTTCCCACCTTCCAACCTCACTTCTTTTTGCCGAGAGAATTCTGATTTTGCTTGGAGCAACAAAGTGCCTAGCTAAGCACACACTGCCCCAGCTTCTCCTGGAGCTGGAAGTCAGATAAAAAGAGAAATAAGTGGCCACTTCCTTCTACCTTCGAATGCTATCACGGGGAAAACTACACAGATTTCAACCTTGTATCTGTTTTGCTTCTGATTCAACATTGGTGGCTGCCTAAAACTATACTTCTTATACAGGAAAAATAAGTACTTATTTTACCAATAAAGTTGAAAGAATGTTTTTATTCATACATAAATATATTTCTAAAACATATCAGCATACTCTTATTTTCTACTCCTTCACTTTTAAACTTCTCTTGACATACTCTAATTTGGACCTTGACTTTAGGCATCATTAATACTGCACTTTTTTTTTTTTTAACTCAGGCTCACTCTACCAGAAAACAATTTGATTTTTACTCTTTTCTTATAATTTTCACCATGTGGGTTTTATTAACATCATTGTTTGGTCTTCCTGCTAATCTGCATCTTCCTGTTAATCTTCATGAGTGTGTTAGTCCTAATTAGGGGAAAGGAATCAGGCTGCTGGAACAAAGGAAAAGCAAAAGGAGAGAGCAGATAAGCTGCAAGTCAGCCTTTCCTCATGGTCCAGGACACATAGCCTTCCTGCTGAAATAAGTCACAATCTTCCTGCACCCAGCTATCATCAGACACCTGCAAGTTTGCTCACTGCAGCCTTGGCATTATCAGTACTTCATGTAGCACTCTTTAGTGTAAGCACTGTTTTATAAAATCCCTCGCAAGCCTTTGTTTCCTTGCGCAGTCAGCTCTTCTCATGCTTATTTGTTTGTTGCTTTCTGGCCATGTATTTTCATACTTCCTGTAATAAATCTGCCTTTCTTAGCCTACAGCTGTCTTGGTAAATTCTTCTTACACCCACACCACCGGCCCAGATAGTTGCCACTCACCTGCTGAAGCAGCCTTGTCTGGGGTGACACCTGATGTTCTTGGTTTCATGGCCACAGAGATAAGGAGATAGACACACACACACAAAGGGTGAGGTTTAGAGCAGAATTTTAACAGGTGAAAGAAAGAGAATAGCTCTCTGTTACAGAGAGGGGTCCCAGAAAAATGGGTTGCCGATCCACAGTGAAATGCAAGGGTTTTTATAGACAAGCTAGTGGGGAGACAGTATTTGATCTACATAGGGTGTAAAAAAGTGGTTAGGACCAGGTGTGCCATCTGCATAGGGCATGAATCTCTGGAAGCGCTCACACAAATCTTTTATTATAGAGGTGAGTCCTCTACCTGAGCTACTCCATGTTGCTTATTTTTTTCTTACTGTGCATGTGCTAACAAAAAAAAGGAAGGTGGAGCCCCCGTGGTGGACATGTCTGGCCCCAGGTAGCCCTTTCTGTCTGTGCAGCTGTGAGCATTCCCCTGTGCAAGCTTCCAGCTTCCTTATCTATGTTTGCAGCCCGATCTTCCAGGCTGCTATTTGTTAGAAAAGAAGTGATTACTTGGGCTGCTTTTTGTTAGAAGGGAAGTTCTGCCAGGGAATGTTTTGCCCTCACTATCTGCCTAAAATAAATTTTTTCTATCTCCTGTATCACTGCAGGAATGAGCCTCATCAATGTTGTTATTCTCTATGATACCATTTCACTTCCTCTATTTCTCACTTTACTATTGCCTCTTGAAATACACTAGCTAGGCTTCCAGTGTCAGCTACATGCTAATAACTTTTATTTTTAACTAAAATATAACAGATCATACCCATACAGAAAATTACATAAACCCTAAATTTAACAAGTTGTCAGAAAGTGAAAACTATGCAACTGCCACTCAGATCAAATAATTGAGTATTACAGCACTTCAGATTTTTATTCTTTTAATTCAAAATGTGTTCTATATTTCCTTTTGATTTCTGTTTTTGATCTATGAATTATTTAGAAGTTTTTTGTTTGTTTGATTTCCAAGTATTTGTGAGTTCACTAAGTATCCTATTGACATTGAATTTTATTTAATTCTGTGAAGTTAGTGAATATTCTGTGTATGGTTTCAATCTTTTTAAATTCCTTGAGACATTTTTATGGACCAGCATATGGTCCTTCTTGATGAATGCACCATGTACACTTGAAAAGAATTTCAAATACGCTGGTCTACAAATGCCAATTAAATCAAGGTGGTTAACAGTGTGAGTCATATCTTCAAATATAATTTTGATTTTTGATATAGTTGCTTGATCAATTGCTAAGATAGAGTTTTGAAACTTTCATACTATAATTAAAGATTTGCCAATTTATCGATTTAATTCCTCTGTTTGATAATTAATCCTCTGTTTAAGGAAATACACATTTAAAATATACGCTCCTGATGAAATGTCTCTTGTATCATTATGTAATGTCTCTCAGTATCTCTAGTAATACATTGGTTTGAAATCTATTTTATTTGACATTCATATAACCCTCCAGGTTTATTTTGCTTATTTTATTGTATATCTTTTTCTATTCATTTACTTTCAACCTATTTCTTTATATCTAAACTTTCTTTTGCAGAAAGCATAGAGCTGAGTCTTGCTTTTTATCCATTCTATTAATTTCTATCACCTAAAAGGTATTGTTGGATTTATGTCTACTATTTTATTATTTGTTTTTTCTTCTTCTTTTCGCTCCCTTTTCGGCCTTTATTTGGATTATTTAAACATTTTTAGTAGTCTACTTTATTTTGCCTATTCCACTTTTATCTATATTGGTTGCTGTAGTTACATATATATGTATTCTTTCATAGTTCACTTAGAGTTAATATTACATTGCTTCTTGTAAAACTTAGATACTTTGCATCTATATAAGTTTCTTATATTTCTGTTCCATTTACTGATGTTTTTTATGTTAAAGTAGTCTTACAATATGCATTTATATACATTGAAATTCACACTGGCCATATTATAATTTTTGTTTTAAATAGTCATACATTTTTAAAGATGATAGAATAAAAAATTTATTTTCTTTTTACCCAGATAATATCAATTTCTTATATTCCTCATTCATTTTCAAGGTCAAGTCTTCCCTTTGATATAATTCCCTGTAGGCTGACAAACTTCTTTTGGCTGTTCTGATACAATAGGACTGCTGGTGAAGAATTCTCATAGTTGTCTTTTATTGGAAAACATCTTTATTTTGCCGTCATTTCTGAAGGGTAACTTCACTAAATAAAGAATTCAAGGTTGGCTTTTTGTTTCTTTTAGACATCAAAGATGTTGCATTCTTATCTAGCTTCATTGGTTCCTGATGTGAAATCTGCTATCATTCAAATTACCGCTCTCTATATCAGAAACAAAGGCAAAATAAAGACATTTTTAGATAAAGTTAATATGTTAGAAAACTGTATTCAGCAACGTATTAACATATGTCATAATTCTATTGATCAAAATTGAATTTTTAGGTAACTGAAATCATTATGGCTAACTTAACCAAGAAATACTTTATTAGCGTTCTGCCATACAATCAAGCCACAAGGAGCTACCTCCTCTTCTGTGATGAAGAGGCTTTCATATCAGGAAGCCACTAAAGAAGAACCAGACATTTTCAATGGTGTAGCAAAAGTTATAGGTAAATAAATTTTTGAACCATGGCTTCCACTTTTATTTTTACTTCTTTTCTGCAACTGCATTTAATTAGGTGGAAGTAAACTATACAAAGGACCCCAACTAAAGGTGAGCTTCAGAAATGTAGCTTTAAGTTTTCTAGCCGCTACACTAAAAGAAAACTGATGGAATACAGTGATGCATAGTTCTCAACCTTTTCCTACACTAAAAGTTACCAAAGAGTAATAACAACTACACAACCATCCCATATACAAATGCAAACTTCTTACTGTCTATCAAAGAGGAAGAAATAAAGTCCCAACAATTTGTACATCAATTTCTGGATGATTGCTCTTCCTTTTCTAATTCAGTCATAATTACACATTGATAATGTGAAATATATGTGCTATGTTATAAAGATAAGCAGTACCAACACTAGCTATATGTTACATAAAACATCAGGGGAAAGAAAAATATAAAATAATTTAACAAATAATAATGTATAAAGTTTTATTAGATAGCATATACTAAGAATATAAATTAATTTTAATATAAACATTATAACAAGAAAAAATATGGGTAACTATCATAATTCTAGTTGTATTATGCTCTGTATATCGACTTCTCAATGTTCTTTAACTTTTATCATTGGCCAAAACAGTAACAGAAGATGCTCAAGGGGATACCTTGAATGTTACATGAATCTCTCTCTGACCTCATTTTGTGGCAGCTATATTTCCCCTTGATTTTTCAGGATTAAACAACTAATCCAACACGGTAACCCACCTCTTCTTTTCCTGTTCGCCTTTTAGCTGCAGACTGTGACAAATTCAAAATAACCAGATATTCTCAGTGGCCAATGCAACAGAAACACTGTTCCATCTCCTTTTGCAAGCATTCTTCCTTGGGCACTAAGATCTCCAACCAGCAGATCTCAATGTCCTGGGTTTAGAAACAAAAATCCTGTTAGAGTTCATTAAATTAAATATAGTGACATGTGCCAGTCCTACTTCTAACTCTTATTTTTAGACTTAAACATGGTTGTAAGATCACAAAGCTAAAACACGGCAGACTCAGGAGAGAAACAGGTACAATGCCCATTCCCATAGCTCTAGGTCATGGAGAATGCCAAAGGTAAAAGAGCTTTCAGAGGCTTAACCAGAAATCACACACTATCACTTAAGAAGATACATTTTAAACTCTCTTTCTTTCACTTTCAAGGATTTTCTTTTATGTAATATGGCATTATTAATGAAATAAATGACAGGAGTCACTTTGATTTCTGTGAGTGTACAGAGATTTTGCAATTAAAAACAAAAGGGATACACTGAAGACTATAATTTGATATGCAGTAATTATTTGGGGAATGGAGTAATAAGTGGGAGACAAATCCGAGCCTTTTTATCATTGTCATATGCTTTTTTTTTTTTTTTTTGAGACGGAGTCTCTCTGTCGCCCAGGCTGGAGTGCAGTGGCGAGATCTCAGCTCACTGCAAACTCCGCCTCCCGGGTTCACGCCGTTCTCCTGCCTCAGCCTTCTGAGTACCTGGGACTACAGGCGCCCGCCACCACGCCTGGCTAATTATTTGTAGTTTTAGTGGAGACAGGGTTTCACCGTGTTAGCTAGGATGGTCTCGATCTCCTGACCTCGTGATCCGCCCGCCTCCGCCTCCCAAAGTGCTGGGATTACAGGCGTGGGCCACCGCGCCTGGCTGTCATATGCTTATTAAAGTGAAAAATTATTTCTGAAACTTAACAAAATCTCCTTTATTAAAAATTACTTTTTCGTATTAGAAATTTAATTTTTATTGTTGATGTTAGTTTTTTCTTGACTGAGAAAATCTAAAGCGATACCAAAAGAAGACCCATCTAACCATAACTGAAAATCCACAATAAGTTAAATCAGCCAATTCTGGCATAAGAGTCTTGTTTTGTTTCTAGGAACATTCAGTTATTTTACATCTTTCAGAGATATTTATTAGTGATGAGTGTCATAGATTGTATTCATATATTATAATTGGGTAAATATCACAACGATCATTCAGAACAATGACAGAGTTAGAAAACAGCTTTCTAAGTCACAAAAATAAGTTAATAATTCTGAAGTAAATGTTTGGAATAATAGATTTGAAAATTAAACATCATACTTTTGTGTAATTAATGATCAAAGATCAATCATAATGAAATTTTAATATATTTTAAACTAAGCAGCAATAAAAATATGGCATAGACATATTTGTAAAATGCAGCTGAACAGTGAAACTCTAAAGAGTTTTGTTGTTGTTATTTTTACTTTTTAATGCATGTGTTAGAAAAGAAGAAAAAATGGAAAAGTTAATGATTCAAGCTTCCATCTCAAAATCTAGGAAAAGAACAGTAAATTAAACACAAAGAATATATTGGAGGGAGAAAATGTTTTTTAAAGTGAGCAGACACCAATAAAATATAAAGCACATATACATTAGAAAAAGTCCAAATGTACAATAGAGAAATGAACTAAGTCAAAATTTGGTTCTTTGGGAAAATTAATAAAATTAATAAGTGATAGCAAGACCAAAAAAATGAGAAAAACACAAATTACCAATATCAGAAATGAAGCTGTGGTTGGGGTGACCATCATTATAGACCCAACAGATATGAAAAAGTCTATAAGAGGATATTAAGAAAACCTTATATATTAATACATTTAATTATTTACATGAAAAAGATAATCTTAAAAAACAACACACCAAAACTGATAAAAACACATCAAAAATCTGAATATTATTAATCTATTAGAGGAATTAAATCTATACTTTTAAAACCTTCCCACAAGGAAATCTTCTGGCCCAGAGAGCTTCACAATCACAGATATATTTGTTCAAATACTTAAGGGAGAAATAATTTCACACAGTCTTACACAAATTCTTACAGAGAATAGAAAGAAGGGGAATACTTCCCACCTTGTTCTATGGGATTATCATAATTCTGATATTTCAAAATCTGAAAGCCTTCCTATGGATTTGGGAGGTAGAGTGATGAGTTACATAAATATGTGTAATTAAGAGGAGGGTTTTAAATAGCCTCATTTTACCAAAAATTGAGAGTCGATTGCTAGAGAAAACCAGTACATGTCCAGACTTCAAACCTCACTTTTGGCCTGGTGATTTTCCTTGTGGTTTGGAAGGATTCTAGTATAAAAGGAAATGACAGAAGAGTTTAATGGCATAGTGCTAGTGTAGGATGGTACTCGAGACGTCAAACATTGTCCTGTGAATTGATGACATTTATCTATTTTGAATATCCAGTTTATAATTACAGCTTCTGACACTGTATAGAGTTAAACCTGAATATTCATAAATGTGCTTTAAATAGCGTGTCCTATGTTACGGTTGTATGTGACTAATCCTATTAATTTCATAGCCTTATTTTGCTGATTGCAATGATTACTTGTAGAATCTATCATTTTAAACTCGGCAAAGCATCAATAATTTTATAATCCATCACAACCTATTTTTTATTATTCTATTTCCAACTGATTTTATATTTTAAGACATCTCTCATAGTATACATAACTTTCTAGTTATTACTTAACATACAAAAATATTGTCTCAGATAAACAGTTTGATGGCTGAATAATTGTAATTTGATTAGACAGTTTGTGGGGTCTAAGAAAATCTTGGTGAAAAGCTGTGGTTATAAACAGAAATTTATTTGTATAAAAACAATGCTCACATTAAATAATTTTGTCCATGGCATTTGAGAAGAAGGAATTAAGCATTGACCTATAATCCATTTCTATTTTAATTGCTGAGGGATCTCCTGGGAAACAAAAGAGGACAGAAGACCTAGTCTACTTTCTTTGTAAATGTGCTGACAATTGACATCATAGTAATTTGTCTAAAAGTATTAGTATCATTCACATAAATAGGATAATTAGAAGAGCCTGATAAAATATGTCTTAGTAGCATGTCCCAGCTTTAGGACCATTAAACTGAGATACTTCAGATAGCTTACTTTTATGACATTGTCTAAGATGCCATGCCTGTAAGTTGATATCAACTTATAGGAAACCATGCATTTTATAAAATACCGAAGGTAGACATACATAACCTAATTTACCAAGAACTTATCAGTTGTTTAATGTGACTACTTTTGTGTTTATAAAGTACCACAATATACTCTTACTTTGAGAAGGTATTTTGATACATTTCTATTGTTTTATTTCTTTTAAAATATGATATCAAAATTCCACTCAAAGCTATGATAAAGTAACCTGTGGTAAAGTAAATTGATATCAATTTATAGACATGGCATCTTAGAAAATGTCATAAAAGTAAGCTATCTGAAGTATGAAAAAGGTATGTTTCAAAATCTAAATGATCCCCACTGTATGAGATAAGAAACCTTGTACCTTACATTGAAACATCACTTATTGCAAGCCAGTGAGTGTGTGTTTGATAAAATAACATCTGGAGAGCTGCTAGAGACCAAGAATAATCCTATCAATATTATCACTTACTTTCTCATAGAATGAGAAGCCTAAGTCCATTGTCAGTAAATCATCAAACAACTTGAAACTTGTAGTATGTAAGGTGATGATTAACTGTTCACAGAGTTCTTTGGCTGAGCATCTGTGATTTAGTGACTATTTATAGCATGCTTTCTAGCAGAATACTGACATCTAGGGGCCTTAATTTACATTAACTGAAAGGGCTTAAGAGTGCTCACACTAATTAAAGTCATATCTATTCCAGCTAAGACTGTCTCAGGAAAGGTGCAAAAAGGAAGGAACTCTAGCTTACTACTAACCTGAAAATATTAATTTCATATTGATTGGTGAGGGTACATTCTGCAGACATAAAACTTTGCACAATTGTAAAGAGTCAGCATTCTTTATATTGAGAGCAGATAATGAAAAAAGCAGAGGCTAGTTGATTCAAAATGGTCAAAGGAATGTATTACATTGATGGAAAAGCAATGCGAGCTAGTAACTGGTGTCTTTGTCCCAAAGCACACATTTAGAATGTGCATTGTCTTATTTTTTTTAAAAGTGTTACTATGTAATTGATACTTGACATTGAAATAGAGGATAGTCAAGGTATAAATAGCTTGGAAACCAATGAAACACTGAACAATTAAGCTTCCACCAACACACAGACACTTTTACAAAGCTTCTTCCTGAATAGCTAGCAGCAGCTGTGAGAAGAGGCAACCATCAACCCACAACACTAACCAAGAAAAATAACACGGATTTAATCTATTGCATAAGCATGCCCAGGAGCAATGGAAACTTTATTAAAAGAAGTGCAATCTTGTGGAGACCTAATTCATGGAGACAATAATACCTTTTAAAAATACATTTATGCTTTTACAGCTTTGAGGAAACCATGCATTTTATAAAATACTGGAGATAGACATGTATAATCTAATTTACCAAGAACTTACCAGTTTTTAATGTGACTACTTTTGTGTTTATAAAATACCATAATATATTCTTACCTTGAGAAGATATTTTAATACATTTCTATTGTTTTCTTTCTTTTAAAATATGATATTAAAATGCCACTCAAAGCTATGATAAAGTAACTTGTGGTAAATCTTCCCTGGAAGACAATTAGAAGAAGAACAAAACAAAATAAAATTAAAAAACAGAAAAAATTATGTTTGAAGACAGGGGAGATTAGCCGATATAACCAGAATTTCAAATGGCAAAACCATGCAGGTGACTGAACAGCACAGAGCGGTAAGCCAACATTCTGAACTGGCTAACTTCCTTTGAGTATTTGCTGATTCTGGGTTGAGGTCAAGAGGCTGAGGATGTGGCAAATAACCCAGGTAAATAGTGCTACTAAGAAAAAAAATCAGTAGAAATTATGGAAGAGTCTTGAGCCCAAAATTTAAAAAACTGGAGACTTGAAAGACTAGGAGTGTGGAGTGTGATAAGTGAGAAACAGATATCAGAGAATCATTCTCTCTGCTAGTTTGACTGTGACAATACGACGAATTCTAAAGCTGTGCAAAAGGAACAGGTTAAAGATAGGCCAAGCAAAAATTTCACAGGATAAAGTTTTAAGCAGTCTCATAGTAACTGGGAGACAAGAGCAAGAATTCAGGAAACACAGGAAGATGGGAGAGGAGCCACTATGACTTCTCTAGCACCTGGAACCCCTGGAAGACTACACCTTGGAGCAGGGAAGGTTGGGGACAAATGACAAATGAACAAATTATTCTCAAAACTGTGACTCAAGATGAAGTCTAGTAGGCCCTTTATTAGATTAAGTGGGTTCACCTACATTCTATCTTCCTAGCAAAGAGGGACAGTAAATTATCCAGCAGCTCTAAATTACTTATTAAATATACAGGTTTTAACTCACAAGTATATCAAGGGATTTAAGAAATAATCAAACATCAGAAAATAGAGTAGAAAAAATATAATCCTAAGTTTATCTATCTCCAAAACTAAATCTGATACTTAGTGTAAATAAATTTCTAGAGCTACAATGAAGGGGACAAAATGTGCAGAAAACACTTCAAACCACTGTTAAAAAAAAAAAAAAAGCAGTAAAATAGCTAAACAGAAAACAAATGTCCCACATGAAAACCTGGGGTAAATTAAATAAATATTATTTATTTAATACAGTCAGAGTATTAAGTGATCTGAAGATACAGCACCATGCCATGAGGTCTGATGTTTCCAAGCCACTCTTAACCATAAATGCAGTGTTTCCCAGGTGGTTGACCTGAAATTAGTCATTGATCATATTCTTTTCAATATTGCAAAAACAGAAATTGAGGAGACATTTGTATCTCTTTACAGATGTTGATTAGCTTGAAAAATACAAAAGTGTGTCCAGCTAGAATAAAGATGAAAAAATATTAAGAATAAGACTTAGCTTGATCTGTTATCTACCAATATATTCTGAACGATT
Organism: Homo sapiens; assembly: GCF_000001405.40. NCBI lineage: Eukaryota > Metazoa > Chordata > Mammalia > Primates > Hominidae > Homo > Homo sapiens. Next base: position 208,818,225 of record NC_000002.12, on the reverse strand, counting down.
ATTTATAACCACATCCATGGATTATTCAGTCCTTTAAATACACTAACGTGTTTTTTGTAGCTGTTCTGTGGAAATTATGCAAAAAAATACTATTGTATCATTTTAGAGTAAAAGTGTCAATAAATGGTGGGGAACACAGCATGTTGAGGGAAGAATACATAGGAAAAGTAGATGCTATAGTTAAATTTTTAATTAGGCATATTTTCATAAAACCATCTAATTAAATTTATTAATTCAATGAAAATTCCAGTAAGCCAAATAATGTTTTTAATTTTAACACTTCCTTATTTTAATCATTTTCTGATCTGACCGTACAATCAAATGTTTCCATTGGTGCCATCAATTTCAATTTCGAAAAAACCTTCTCCTATCTAGAAGTATACATTGTATCTGTCTCTAAAATTTATTTTCCTTTCCATTTTTCAGGCATAAAAATTCTTCCTTCAAGTTTTAAAAAATATAATTGTTAAATAAAATATAAAATTTTTAAATATTATGATTATATAAAATATAATTTATTTTCTCTCCTATTTGTTCAGTTTTCTCCTGTCATCTTTGTCTATTTCTTTTTTTCTTCTTCTTTTTTTTTTATTATACTTTAAGTTTTAGGGTACATGTACACATTGTGCAGGTTAGTTACATATGTATACATGTGCCATGCTGGTGTGCTGCACCCACTAACTCGTCATCTAGCATTAGGTATATCTCTCAATGCTATCCCTCCCCCCTCCCCCGACCCCGCCACAGTCCCCATAGTGTGATAGTCCCCTTCCTGTGTCCATGTGATCTCATCGTTCAATTCCCACCTATGAGTGAGAATATGCGGTGTTTGGTTTTTTGTTCTTGCGATAGTTTACTGAGAATGATGATTTCCAATTTCATCCATGTCCCTACAAAGGACATGAACTCATCATTTTTTATGGCTGCATAGTATTCCATGGTGTATATGTGCCACATTTTCTTAATCCAGTCTATCATTGTTGGACATTTGGATTGGTTCCAAGTCTTTGCTATTGTGAATAGTGCCGCAATAAACATACGTGTGCATGTGTCTTTATAGCAGCATGATTTATAGTCCTTTGGGTATATACCCAGTAATGGGATGGCTGGGTCAAATGGTATTTCTAGTTCTAGATCCCTGAGGAATCGCCACACTGACTTCCACAATGGTTGAACTAGTTTACAGTCCCACCAACAGTGTCAAAGTGTTCCTATTTCTCCACATCCTCTCCAGCACCTGTTGTTTCCTGACATTTTAATGATCGCCATTCTAACTGGTGTGAGATGGTATCTCATTGTGGTTTTGATTTGCATTTCTCTGATGGCCAGTGATGATGAGCATTTTTTCATGTGTTTATTGGCTGCATAAATGTCTTCTTTTGAGAAGTGTCTGTTCATATCCTTCGCTCACTTTTTGATGGGGTTGTTTGTTTTTTTCCTGTAAATTTGTTTGAGTTCATTGTAGATTCTGCATATTAGCACTTTGTCAGATGAGTAGGTTGTGAAAATTTTCTCCCATTTTGTAGGTTGCCTGTTCACTCTGATGGTAGTTTCTTTTGCTGTGCAGAAGCTCTTTAGTTTAATTAGATCCCATTTGTCACTTTTGGCTTTTGTTGCCATTGCTTTTGGTGTTTTGGACATGAAGTCCTTCCCTATGCCTATGTCCTGAATGGTAATGCCTAGGTTTTCTTCTAGGGTTTTTATGGTTTTAGGTCTAACGTTTAAGTCTTTAATCCATCTTGAATTGATTTTTGTATAAGGTGTAAGGAAGGGATCCAGTTTCAGCTTTCTACATATGGCTAGCCAGTTTTCCCAGCACCATTTATTAAATAGGGAATCCTTTCCCCATTTCTTGTTTTTGTCAGGTTTGTCAAAGATCAGATAGTTGTAGATATGTGGCGTTATTTCTGAGGCCTCTGTTCTGTTCCATTGATCTATGTCTCTGTTTTGGTACCAGTACCATGCTGTTTTGGTGACTGTAGCCTTGTAGTATAGTTTGAAGTCAGGTAGCATGATGCCTCCAGCTTTGTTCTTTTGGCTTAGGATTGCCTTGGCGATGCGGGCTCTTTTTTGGTTCCATATGAACTTTAAAGTAGTTTTTTCCAGTTCTGTGAAGAAAGTCATTGGTAGCTTGATGGGGATGGCATTGAATCTGTAAATTACCTTGGGCAGTATGGCCATTTTCACGATATTGATTCTTCCTACCCATGAGCATGGAATGTTCTTCCATTTGTTTGTATCCTCTTTTATTTCCTTGAGCAGTGGTTTGTAGTTCTCCTTGAAGAGGTCCTTCACATCCCTTGTAAGTTGGATTCCTAGGTATTTTATTCTCTTTGAAGCAATTGTGAATGGGAGTTCACTCATGATTTGGCTCTCTGTTTGTCTTTTGTTGGTGTATAAGAATGCTTGTGATTTTTGTACATTGATTTTGTATCCTGAGACTTTGCTGAAGTTGCTTATCAGCTTAAGGAGATTTTGGGCTGAGACAGTGGGGTTTTCTAGATATACAATCATGTCATCTGCAAACACGGACAATTTGACTTCCTCTTTTCCTAATTGAATACCCTTTATTTCCTTCTCCTGCCTAATTGCCCTGGCCAGAACTTCCAACACTATGTTGAATAGGAGTGGTGAGAGAGGGCATCCCTGTCTTGTGCCAGTTTTCAAAGGGAATGCTTCCAGTTTTTGCCCATTCAGTATAATATTGGCTGTGGGTTTGTCATAGATAACTCTTATTATTTTGAAATACGACCCATCAATACCTAATTTATTGAGAGTTTTTAGCATGAAGGGTTGTTGAATTTTGTCAAAGGCTTTTTCTGCATCTATTGAGATAATCATGTGGTTTCTGTCTTTGGCTCTGTTTATATGCTGGATTACATTTATTGATTTGCGTATATTGAACCAGCCTTGCATCCCAGGGATGAAGCCCACTTGATCATGGTGGATAAGCTTTTTGATGTGCTGCTGGATTCGTTTTGCCAGTATTTTATTGAGGATTTTTGCATCAATGTTCATCAAGGATATTGGTCTAAAATTCTCTTTTTTGGTTGTGTCTCTGCCCGGCTTTGGTATCAGAATGATGCTGGCCTCATAAAATGAGTTAGGGAGGATTCCCTTTTTTTCTATTGATTGGAATAGTTTCAGAAGGAATGGTACCAGTTCCTCTTTGTACCTCTGGTAGAATTCGGCTGTGAATCCATCTGGTCCTGGACTCTTTTTGGTTGGTAAACTATTGATTATTGCCACAATTTCAGCTCCCGTTATTGGTCTATTCAGAAATTCAACTTCTTCCTGGTTTAGTCTTGGGAGAGTGTATGTGTCGAGGAATTTATCCATTTCTTCTAGCTTTTCTAGTTTATTTGCGTAGAGGTGTTTGTAGTATTCTCTGATGGTAGTTTGTATTTCTGTGGGATCGGTGGTGATATCCCCTTTATCATTTTTTATTGTGTCTATTTGATTCTTCTCTCTTTTTTTCTTTATTAGTCTTGCTAGCAGTCTATGAATTTTGTTGATCCTTTCAAAAAACCAGCTCCTGGATTCATTAGTTTTTTGAAGGGTTTTTTGTGTCTCTATTTCCTTCAGTTCTGCTCTGATTTTAGTTATTTCTTACCTTCTGCTAGCTTTTGAATGTGTTTGCTCTTGCTTTTCTAGTTCTTTTAATTGTGATGTTAGGGTGTCAATTTTGGATCTTTCCTGCTTTCTCTTGTGGGCATTTAGTGCTATAAATTTCCCTCTACACACTGCTTTGAATGCGTCCCAGAGATTCTGGTATGTTGTGTCTTTGTTCTCGTTGGTTTCAAAGAACATCTTTATTTCTGCCTTCATTTCGTTATGTATCCAGTAGTCATTCAGGAGCAGGTTGTTCAGTTTCCATGTAGTTGAGCGGTTTTGAGTGTGATTCTTAATCCTGAGTTCTAGTTTGATTGCACTGTGGTCTGAGAGATAGTTTGTTATAATCTCTGTTCTTTTACATTTGCTGAGGAGAGCTTTACTTCCAAGTATGTGGTCAATTTTGGAATAGGTGTGGTGTGGCGCTGAAAAAAATGTATATTCTGTTGATTTGGGGTGGAGAGTTCTGTAGATGTCTATTAGGTCTGCTTGGTGCAGAGCTGAGTTCAATTCCTGGGTATCCTCGTTGACTTTCTGTCTCATTGATCTGTCTAATGTTGACAGTGGGGTGTTAAAATCTCCCATTATTAATGTGTGGGAGTCTAAGTCTCTTTGTAGGTCACTCAGGACTTGCTTTATGAATCTGGGTGCTCCTGTATTAGGTGCATATATATTTAGGATAGTTAGCTCCTCTTGTTGAATTGATCCCTTTACCATTATGTAATGGCCTTCTTTGTCTCTTTTGATCTTTGTTGGTTTAAAGTGTGTTTCATCAGAGACTAGGATTGCAACCCCTGTCTTTTTTTGTTTTCCATTTGCTTGGTAGATCTTCCTCCATCCTTTTATTTTGAGCCTATGTGTGTCTCTAACGTGAGATGGGTTTCCTGAATACAGCACACTGATGGGTCTTGACTCTTTATCCAATTTGCCAGTCTGTGTCTTTTAATTGGAGCATTTATTCCATATCCATTTAAAGTTAATATTGTTATGTGTGAATTTGATCCTGTCATTATGATGTTAGCTGGTGATTTTGCCGTTAGTTGATGCAGTTTCTTCCTAGTCTCAATGGTCTTTACATTTTGGCATGATTTTGCAGCGGCTGGTACCAGTTTTTCCTTTCCATGTTTAGCGCTTCCTTCAGGAGCGCTTTTAGGGCAGGCCTGGTGACAAAATCTCTCAGCATTTGCTTGTCTGTAAAGTGTTTTATTTCTCCTTCACTTATGAAGCTTAGTTTGGCTGGATATGAAATTCTGGGTTGAAAATTCTTTTCTTTAAGAATGTTGAATATTGGCCCCCACTCTCTTCTGGCTTGTAGGGTTTCTGCCGAGAGATCCGCTGTTAGTCTGATGGGCTTCCCTTTGAGGGTAACCCGACCTTTCTCTCTGGCTGCCCTTAACATTTTTTCCTTCATTTCAACTTTGGTGAATCTGACAATTATGTGTCTTGGAGTTGCTCTTCTCGAGGAGTATCTTTGTGGCATTCTCTGTATTTCCTGAATCTGAACGTTGGCCTGCCTTGCTAGATTGGGGAAGTTCTCCTGGATAATATCCTGAAGAGTGTTTTCCAACTTGGTTCCATTCTCCCCATCACTTTCAGGTACACCAATCAGATGTAGATTTGGTCTTTTCACATAGTCCCATATTTCTTGGAGGCTTTGCTCGTTTCTTTTTATTCTTTTTTCTCTAAACTTCCCTTCTCGCTTCATTTCATTCATTTCATCTTCCATCGCTGATACCCTTTCTTCCAGTTGATCGCATTGGCTCCTGAGGCTTCTGCATTCTTCACGTAGTTCTCGAGCCTTGGTTTTCAGCTCCATCAGCTCCTTTAAGCACTTCTCTGTATTGGTTATTCTAGTTATACATTCTTCTAAATTTTTTTCAAGTTTTTCAACTTCTTTGCCTTTGGTTTGAATGTCCTCCTGTAGCTCAGAGTAATTTGATTGTCTGAAGCCTTCTTTTCTCAGCTCGTCAAAGTCATTCTCTATCCATCTTTGTTCTGTTGCTGGTGAGGAACTGCGTTCCTTTGGAGGAGGAGAGGCGCTCTGCGTTTTAGAGTTTCCAGTTTTTCTGTTCTGTTTTTTCCCCATCTTTGTGGTTTTATCTACTTTTGGTCTTTGATGATGGTGATGTACAGATGGGTTTTTGGTGTGGATGTCCTTTCTGTTTGTTAGTTTTCCTGCTAACAGACAGGACCCTAAGCTGCAGGTCTGTTGGAATACCCTGCCGTGTGAGGTGTCAGTGTGCCCCTGCTGGGGGGTGCCTCCCAGTTAGGCTGCTCAGGGGTCAGGGGTCAGCGACCCACTTGAGGAGGCAGTCTGCCCATTCTCAGATCTCCAGCTGCGTGCTGGGAGAACCACTGCTCTCTTCAAAGCTGTCAGACAGGGACATTTAAGTCTGCAGAGGTTACTGCTGTCTTTTTGTTTGTCTGTGCCCTGCCCCCAGAGGTGGAGCCTACAGGGGCAGGCAGTCCTCCTTGAGCTGTGGTGGGCTCCACCCAGTTCGAGCTTCCTGGCTGCTGTGTTTACCTAAGCAAGCCTGGGCAATGGCGGGCGCCCCTCCCCCAGCCTTGCTGCTGCCTTGCAGTTTGATCTCAGACTGCTGTGCTAGCAATCAGCGAGACTCCGTGGGCACAGGACCCTCTGAGCTAGGTGCAGGACATAATCTCGTGGTGTGCCATTTTTTAAGCTGGTCCGAAAAGTGCAATATTCGGGTGGGAGTGACCCGATTTTCCAGGTGCGTCCGTCACCCCTTTCTTTGACTCAGAAAGGGAACTCCCTGACCCCTTGCACTTCCCAAGCGAGGCAATGCCTCGCCCTGCTTCGGCTCGCGCACGGTGTGTGCACCCACTGACCTGAGCCCACTGTCTGGCACTCCCTAGTGAGATGAACCCGGTACCTCAGATGGAAATGCAGAAATCACCCGTCTTCTGCGTCACTCACACTGGGAACTGTAGACTGGAGCTGTTCCTATTCGGCCATCTTGGCTCCTCCCCCTGGACTCCATCTTTGTCTATTTCTTTTGCTGAATTTTCTTCTCTTTTTACCTCAATTATATTTTATGATTTTTTGAGGCTACAATGTCAGAAATGCTTTTTGTAACAGTTACTCAACAAGTATTTTTTATGTAACAATTTCTAAGTCATACTGTTCTTTTAAGAATGGTAGTATAAGACCACTTAAGGTGTTTTACTTAAATTTCAAGTGCAGGATTATAGTTTGGAATTATAAAAAAATGTAACTGAAAAACTGATGAAAGAAATGATATCTTCTACTAATAACAGTCATAAAGGAAAATGTCAGTTTTCCTAATAAGAGTTAGTGGTGAGAATAAAGTCAGCGAATGTCATGTGGAAACGTATTTCAATAAACCGATTAAAAAGTTCACACTGAAATTTTTCCCTTTGGTGTTAATATGAATGAAGGAAGAAAGAAGAAAATATAAGCATGACTTCTGAAGTGCCTACTAGAAGATGTGTTTCATGTACATTATTTTGTTAATCCTTACAATAGCCCAGTGAGGTATTACATTTCCACTTTAGAGATGAATAAACAAGGCTCAGAGAGTTTGAGTAACTTTTGCATATTGCAGAGCTTCTAAGTGCTTGCCCAACCAATGAAAGTTCCAGGATTGGAAAAAAAATTGTAAAAGAAAAGTGAGATGATAAATAGAGTGGTAAATTGGAAGGGACTCCAGACTTGGTGTTTAGAAATGTGGATTTGTATCTTGGATCTCCCATTTACTAACTCTGTATTCTTGGGTTAGTCATTCAAACTCTTTTAATCTTGATTTTATTTTTTCTTTAGTTATATTGGAGTTTGAAGAGAACAGAAATAGCTCAACTTTCTTCACCAATGTTCAGAACAAACAAGGGGTAAGGCAGATGGAGAGGATGATGTTATCTTTATTAATAAAACTAAAATTGGAGAATATATCTTCAGTAGACTGGCTAGAAGACCTACCCCATCATGTAGACTTCAAGACAGTGCTCCACCAAGAAGGAGAGAGCAGATAGAGGCTAAATAGTCTCTGTTTTTATAAAATTCAGACAAATGGCTTCATTCACTAATCAGACAACTCATTGCATCTCCGGGGAAAGGTGTGAGGTGTATGGAGTATGGAAAGAGGTCAGGAGTTTTTAGAAGAAGTTCTACCTGAGAAGTCAAGAGGTATGATATTTTACAGGGAAGTTTAAGACATGAGTAGCATGTATGGAATCTATTGATTCCACTCCCAATGAAACACAAATATTTTTTAAGATACATATGGGTATTTTAACAATGTTATAATACATATATCAGAGAAAATTCTTGAGGCCCAAGTAAGATATAAGATAAAAGCACTTTGGAAACTGTAATGTTATTTACAAATGTAAGACACTATTATAATTTACATAAAATATCTTGTCAATTAAACCTCTCTTTCCTTTGACTTTCAGCTGCATCCTTCAAGAACATCCTCCAAGATGTTCTTTAATACAGGTTTTTGACTGAATTGTCAATTGTTTTAAGGAATTAACATTTACTAGGAAACTCTTGTGTGTCAATAACACTGGTTTGCATATGCTTTTAATTTAACATGCAGAAATGTCCTGATAATTTGCAAATAAATCTGTGGCTCAGAGGAGTTATGCAACATGCCCAAATTTACATAGCTAGTATAGGTGTTATCTGGAAAAGCCAGTGGGATGGGGAAATTGGTTGAAGATCATTATTACCCTCTGAATTTTCACTGTGCTGGCGACAGTTGACTAAAAATGTAGTGTTAAGAATAATCTTTAACCAACATTTCCTATCATAAAATTTTAAATTAATATCTATATATTAAAATGCATTTCTAAATGTTAAAATATATTTTAAATATCAAACCAAATGTTTGCTCTTTTCTGGTACAAAAGCTTGATTTTATTGTTTTGCCTCCTTAATGATTTTCAGTGTAACAAATATCCCAATGAGCAAAGGGTAATGCCATTTTTAGTCTTGATTCCTTAAGTTTATTGGCCAGAGAAAGCCATCAGCTGAAGACTGGATTAATTATAATTATTTCTCTTACTTGAGGATGTCTTGGATCATTTGAAATCTGCCAGTGACCCTTTGTGTCTCCACTGTACAGGTTTCCCTTGCCTTTGATTCTTCCATTTTCTCTACACATTATGTGACAATCATTCTAGGGGAAAAACAAATACATTAATGCCATCTTTTGTATCATTTGAATTTAATTATCATTAAAGGTCTCAGAAGGAAGCAGCCAATTTCAACAAATCATGTCAGACACATGTATAAAATTTCCAATGATAATGATGGTATTGAGCCACAGTGGTCACACTGGAGACCTTTCAGAGAATTTTGTGATGTGTAGAAAGATTTAATGTGTTTTACTAGTTTTTAGTTGAAGTCATATTTGCTAAAGGCACAAAAACAGTGAAAATTTAAGAAAGAGTTTATATCATCTTACAGGCTGAAAAAGCTCTGTCTAGGAACAATAAAATGCTAGTACCTGGGCTAGGTTAATTATCAAATTCAAGAATCTAAAATGATGATGTAGTATATATTATGTTAGAGCTCTAGTCAATCATTAACACCACAAATAGGTATCAGCTCTATGAAATCAAATATATAAGTAATTGAGTAGATTTTGTTCATTTTAATTTAAATTTCTGATGTTACTGTATATATAATGATTATCATATGTTTCTGGAGTGCCAGTAGGTGTTAAATCAAAATCTACAATGTATGCCTTAACAAATTGAAAGATGCATTTTTTTCAGTAAGGGATATTGGTAAAGACTGATAGTGGTTACAGGAGTACATAATATGGAAAAGTCGGAAGATAACCTAAAATAATTCAAAGCATCTACATTCATTAGACATTAATATAATCAAAGCACTGTGATAGGTAACATGAGATACCAAAATTGCATGATCTATCACAAAGTGGAACATCAATTTAAAGAGATGATTCAGATAAAGATTTCCATTTTATATTCATACTGTTTAATTGCCTTTGTGGCTTAGGGAACAAGTGAAAAAGATATAGCTAAAACCTCACGGGTCCCCAAAATAAATTTACATATTGTACATTTGCTGATTAATTCATATGACAACAAAAAATTTTAAATGTGCATAAACAAATTTTTGCAAAAATATTTAATCTCCAATTATCCACCCTCCATCTAATGGAAATTACATGTTTACCTCCATAATTTTATTTAAATGTATAAGAAATGCATTAAAAATAAAAGCAGATATTTTCATTTAAATTATAACTGTTCTCAGAGAATGTGTACTATAAAAATTCTTCTAAACAGAACTGGTTAGTTTTCTTTTAAACACATTTTTACATCACCAGCATACATGAAGAAACCCAGAATTTCAAGCAATAGCACACAACACTGTTCACATTATTTACCAACAAATATAATTATTGCTGATGGAAAAATACTAGAAAAAGCATATATATTATTAGCATGTGCTAATCACATAATGTAAAGTTGGCCAGCTTTTCAAATGCATAATACAGCATTAGAGCATTTATTCATTTCTAAATAAAGCTGAAATAGTACATTAGGCATTTTGAGTCATAAGGAACAGACAATGGCTAAGTAACCTGTTAGGCATTTATTATATAAACACAAAAACCCAAACATTTGGGCTTTGGAGGACTGAAACAATAGTTGGAACTGTTCCAGTTACTACGGAGGACTCTTGTGATCCAGAAGAAGTACCGGACACTGATATGCCATCCTATAGCAGCTAGTTTTTGCTTCTGCCCCCCATCTATTGATTTCACCATAATGACAACTGAGCTCTTTACTATTTTTAATCCCACTGTCTGTACCTCTAAAACAGTCTCTGATTCTCCTCCTCGCTCCTGAAATCGACATGTAACAAAAATGAGAGTATGAATGAATATCATTAGTCATTACCCCATAAGGAGCAGTTCTCAAGCCAAGTCACTTCATATCTAGCTACATAGAGAATGTTGGCTGTAGGGTTGGGTTAATGAATGTCTTGCATGAAAACCAAAGTATATGATAAAATTATAGGTGAATTATAAAGAAGAAGCTGCTGTGGTCACATTATTCAGATGGAAGCATAGTCCCCTAGGGTACTTCGTGTGTCATGAACTTATCTCCTGTAAAATCGTACAAAGGTTATATATTAGACAGATTGTAAAAATGACTAAAGAAAATGCAACTTTTTAATGGGGTTTCAGTCTCAAGCCATTATTCATATGTATTTAAGTAGGATCTTATTTAAACTATCCTCATAAGGGTTTGGGTTATTCTTCCTAGTTAGGTTTATAAGATTTCCCCTGCTAAAACATTCAGCCTTTGATCTATCATGGGTCATAAAAAAAAACTCTTGAAAATATGTAGTCAGCTTAACTCACTACTTCTCCTTAAAGGGTCATGTACCATTTTACCAAGGAGAGTTTATTTGTCTATCTATCTATCTATCACATATCAACTATATCTATATATAAGCATATATATACATTTAATATTACAGAAATCTAGATCATGTGTCATAGATATTTAAATAGTGGGAAAAAATCAAGTTTTTACAAAAGATGGGAAAATTCTAGAAGGCATGACCTAGGCACTTCATAGCACAAAAAAGCAATTGTTTGGATAATTCAATCAGTTGTCTTAACCTTTTTTTTAAATGTGAGATTCTTTATTTGTTTATGTTAAATCCTATTATTGAATTGAAAATTCATGTTTTACATCTAAGAAACCAAACATTTTTGTAAGCAACATTTTTCTCCCAGTTAAAAAATAATCCCTTTTTAAGGTATAATATATTGTAAAATTCTTTTTATTATTATTATTATTATACTTTAAGTTTTAGGGTACATGTGCACAATGTGCGGGTTAGTTACATATGTATACATGTGCCATGCTGGTGTGCTGCACCCATTAACTCATCATTTAGCATTAGGTATATCTCCTAATGCTATCCCTCCCCACTACCCCCAGCCCACAACAGTCCCCAGAGTGTGATGTTCCCCTTCCTGTGTCCATGTGTTCTCATTGTTCATTTCCCATCTATGAGTGAGAACATGCGGTGTTTGCTTTTTTGTCCTTGCAATAGTTTACTGAGAATGATGATTTCCAATTTCATCCATGTCCCTACAAAGGACATGAACCCATCATTTTTTATGGCTGCATAGTATTCCATGGTGTATATGTGCCACATTTTCTTAATCCAGTCTATCATTGTTAGACATTTGGGTTAGTTCCAAGTCTTTGCTATTGTGAATAGTGCTGCAATAAACATAAGTATGCATGTGTCCTTATTGCAGCATGATTTATAGTCCTTTGGGTATATACCCAGTAATGGGATGGCTGGGTCAAATGGTATTTCTAGTTCTAGATCCCTGAGGAATCGCCACACTGACTTCCACAATGGTTGAACTAGTTTACAGTCCCACCAACAGTGTCAAAGTGTTCCTATTTCTCCACATCCTCTCCAGCACCTGTCGTTTCCTGACTTTTTAATGATTGCCATTCTAACTGGTGTGAGATGGTATCACATTGTGGTTTTGATTTGCATTTCTCTGATGGCCAGTGATGATGAGCATTTTCTCATGTGTCTTTTGGCTGCATAAATGTCTTCTTTTGAGAAGTGTCTGTTCATATCCTTTGCCCACTTTTTGATGGGGCTGCTTTTTCCTTGTAAATGTGTTTGAGTTCATTGCAGATTCTGGATATTAGCCCTTTGTCAGATGAGTAGGTTGCGAAAATTTTCTCCCATTTTGTAGGTTGCCTGTTCACTCTGATGGTAGTTTCTTTTGCTGTGCAGAAGCTCTTTAGTTTAATTAGATCCCATTTGTCAATTTTGGCTTTTGTTGCCATTGCTTTTGGTGTTTTAGACATGAAGTCCTTGCCCATGCCTATGTCCTGAATGGTAATGCCTAGGTTTTCTTCTAGGGTTTTTATGGTTTTAGGTCTAACGTTTAAGTCTTTAATCCATCTTGAATTGATTTTTGTATAAGGTGTAAGGAAGGGATCCAGTTTCAGCTTTCTACATATGGCTAGCCAGTTTTCCCAGCACCATTTATTAAATAGGGAATCCTTTCCCCATTGCTTGTTTTTGTCAGGTTTGTCAAAGATCAGATAGCTGTAGATATGTAGAGTTATTTCTGAGGGCTCTGTTCTGTTCCATTGATCTATATCTCTGTTTTGGTACCAGTACCATGCTGTTTTGGTGACTGTAGCCTTGTAGCATAATTGGAAGTCAGGTAGCATGATGCCTCCAGCTTTGTTCTTTTGGCTTAGGATTGACTTGGCGATGTGGGCTCTTTTTTGGTTCCATATGAACTTTAAAGTAGTTTTTTCCAATTCTGTGAAGAAAGTCATTGGTAGCTCGATGGCGATGGCATTGAATCTATAAATTACCTTGGGCAGTATGGCCATTTTCACGATATTGATTCTTCCTACCCATGAGCATGGAATGTTCTTCCATTTGTTTGTATCCTCTTTTATTTCCTTGAGCAGTGGTTTGTAGTTCTCCTTGAAGAGGTCCTTCACATCCCTTGTAAGTTGGATTCCTAAGTATTTTATTCTCTTTGAAGCAATTGTGAATGGGAGTTCACTCATGATTTGGCTCTCTGTTTGTCTGTTATTGGTGCATAAGAATGCTTGTGATTTTTGTACATTGATTTTGTATCCTGAGACTTTGCTGAAGTTGCTTATCAGCTTAAGGAGATTTTGGGCTGAGACAGTGGGGTTTTCTAGATATACAATCATGTCGTCTGCAAACAGGGACAATTTGACTTCCTCTTTTCCTAATTGAATACCCTTTATTTCCTTCTCCTGCCTAATTGCCCTGGCCAGAACTTCCAACACTATGTTGAATAGGAGCGGTGAGAGAGGACATCCCTGTCTTGTGCCAGTTTTCAAAGGGAATGCTTTCAGTTTTTGCCCATTCAGTATGATATCGGCTGTGGGTTTGTCATAGATAGCTCTTATTATTTTGAGATACATCCCATCAATACCTGATTTATTGAGAGTTTTTAGCATGAAGGGTTGTTGAATTTTGTCAAAGGCCTTTTCTGCATCTATTGAGATAATCATGTGGTTTTTGTCTTTGGTTCTGTTTCTATGCTGTATTACATTTATTGATTTGCGTATATTGAACCAGCCTTGCATCCCAGGGATGAAGCCCACTTGATCATGGTGGATAAGCTTTTTGATGTGCTGCTGGATTCGGTTTGCCAGTATTTTATTGAGGATTTTTGCATTGATGTTCATCAAGGATATTGGTCTAAAATTCTCTTTTTTGGTTGTGTCTCTGCCAGGCTTTGGTCTCAGGATGATGCTGGCCTCAAAATGAATTAGGGAGGATTCCCTCTTTTTCTACTGATTGGAATAGTTTCAGAAGGAATGGTACCAGCTCCTCCTTGTATCTCTGGTAGAATTCGGCTGTGAATCCATCTGGTCCTGGACTCTTTTTGGTTGGTAAGCTATTGATTATTGCCACAATTTCAGAGCCTGTTATTGGTCTATTCAGAGATTCAACTTCTTCCTGGTTTAGTCTTGGGAGAGTGTATGTGTCGAGGAATTTATCCATTTCTTCTGGATTTTCTAGTTTATTTGCGTAGAGGTGTTTGTAGTATTCTCTGATGGTAGTTTGTATTTCTGTGGGATCAGTGTTGATATCCCCTTTATCATTTTTTATTGCACCTATTTGATTCTTCTCTCTCTTTTTCTTTATTAGTCTTGCTAGCGGTCTATCAATTTTGCTGATCCTTTCAAAAAACCAGCTCCTGGATTCATTAATTTTTTGAAGGGTTTTTTTTGTCTCTATTTCCTTCAGTTCTGCTCTGATTTTAGTTATTTCTTGCCTTCTGCTAGCTTTTGAATGTGTTTGCTCTTGCTTTTCTAGTTCTTTTAATTGTGATGTTAGGATGTCAATTTTGGATCTTTCCTGCTTTCTCTTGTGGACACTTAGTGCTATAAATTTCCCTCTACACACTGCTTTGGATGTGTCCCAGAGATTCTGGTATGTTGTGTTTTTGTTCTCGTTGGTTTCAAAGAACATCTTTATTTCTGCCTTCATTTCGTTATGTACCCAGTAGTCATTCAGGAGCAGGTTGTTCAGTTTCCACGTAGTTGAGCAGTTTGAGTGAGTTTCTTAATCCTGCATTCTAGTTTGATTGCACTGTAGTCTGAGAGACAGTTTGTTATCATTTCTGTTCTTTTACATTTGCTGAGGAGAGCTTTACTTCCAAGTATGTGGTCAATTTTGGAATAGGTGTGGTGTGGTGCTGAAAAAAATGTATATTCTGTTGATTTGGGGTGGAGAGTTCTGTAGATGACTATTAGGTCTGCTTGGTGCAGAGCTGAATTCAATTCCTGGATATCCTTGTTAACTTTCTGTCTCATTGATCTGTCTAATGTTGACAGTGGGGTGTTAAAGTCTCCCATTATTATTGTGTGGGAGTCTAAGTCTCTTTGTAGGACACTCAGGACTTGCTTTATGAATCTGGGTGCTCCTGTATTGGGTGCATATATATTTAGGATAGTTAGCTCTTCTTGTTGAATTGATCCCTTTATCATTATGTAATGGCCTTCTTTGTCTCTTTTGATCTTTGTTGGTTTAAAGTCTGTTTTATCAGAGACTAGGATTGCAACCCCTGCCTTTTTTTGTTTTCCATTTGCTTGGTAGATCTTCCTCCATCCTTTTATTTTGAGCCTGTGTGTGTCTCTGCACGTGAGAAGGGTTTCCTGAATACAGCACACTGATGGGTCTTGACTCTTTATCCAATTTGCCAGTCTGTGTCTTTTAATTGGAGCATTTATTCCATATCCATTTAAAGTTAATATTGTTATGTGTGAATTTGATCCTGTCATTATGATGTTAGCTGGTGATTTTGCTCATTAGTTGATGCAGTTTCTTCCTAGCATTGATGGTCTTTACATTTTGGCATGTTTTTGCAGTGGCTGGTACCGGTTTTTCCTTTCCATGTTTAGTGCTTCCTTCCTGAGCTCTTTTAGGGCAGGCCTGGTGGTTACAAAATATCTCAGCATTTGCTTCTCTGTAAAGAATTTTATTTCTCGTTCACTTATGAAGCTTAGTTTGACTGGATATGAAATTCTGGGTTAAAAATTCTTTTCTTTAAGAATGTTGAATATTGGCCCCCACTCTCTTCTGGCTTGTAGAGTTTCTGCCAAGAGATCTGCTGTTAGTCTGATGGGCTTCCCTTTTTGGGTTACCCGATCTTTCTCTCTGGCTGCCCTTAACATTTTTTCCTTCATTTCAACTTTGGTGAATCTGACAATTATGTGTCTTGGAGTTGCTCTTCTCGAGGAGTATCTTTGTGGCGTTCTCTGTATTTCCTGAATGTGAATGTTGGCCTGCCTTGCTAGATTGGGGAAGTTCTCCTGGATAATATCCTGCAGAGTGTTTTCCAACTTGGTTCCATTCTCCCTGTCACTTTCAGGTATGCCAATCAGACGTAAATTTGGTCTTTTCACATAGTCCCATATTTCTTGGAGGCTTTGTTCGTTTCTTTTTATTCTTTTTTCTCTAAACTTCCCTTCTCGCTTCATTTCATTCAGTTCATCTTCCATCACTGATACCGTTTCTTCCAGTTGATAGCATTGGCTCCTGAGGCTTCTGTATTCTTCACGTAGTTCTCGAGCCTTGGCTTTCAGCTCCATCAGCTCCTTTAAGCACTTCTCTGCATTGGTTATTCTAGTTATACATTCGTCTAAAGTTGTTTCATAGTTTTCAACTTCTTTGCCTTTGGTTTGAATTTCCTCCTGTAGGTCGGAGTAGTTTGATCGTCTGAAGCCTTCTTCTCTCTACTCGTCAAAGTCATTCTCCATCCAGCTTTGTTCCGTTGCTGGTGAGGAGCTGCATTCCTTTGGAGGAGGAGAGGTGCTCTGCTTTTTAGAGTTTCCAGTTTTTCTGTTCTGTTTTTTCCCCATCTTTGTGGTTTTATCTACTTTTGGTCTTTGATGATGGTGATGTACAGATGGGTTTTTGGTGTGGAAGTCCTTTCTGTTTGTTAGTTTTCCTTCTAACAGACAGGACCCTCAGCTGCAGGTCTGTTGGAGCTCGCTAGAGGTCCACTCCAGACCCTGTTTGCCTGGGTATCAGCAACGTTGTCTGTAGAACCGCGGATTTTCGTGAACTGCGAATGCTGCTATCTGATCACTCCTCTGGAAGTTTTGTCTCAGAGGAGTACCTGGCCGTGTGAGGTGTCAGTCTGCCCCTACTAGGGGGGTGCCTCCCAGTTAGGCTGCTCGGGGGTCAGGGGTCAGGGACCCACTTGAGGAGGCAGTCTGTCTGTTCTCAGATCTCCAGCTGCGTGCTGGGAGAACCACTGCTCTCTTCAAAGCTGTCAGACAGGGACATTTAGGTCCACAGAGCTTACTGCTGTCTTTTTGTTTGTCTGTGCCCTGCCCCTAGAGGTGGAGCCTACAGAGGCAGGCAGGTCTCCTTGAGCTGTGGTGGGCTCCACCCAGTTCGAGATTCCTGGCTGCTTTGTTTATCTAAGCAAGCCTGGGCAATGGCGGGCGCCCCTCCCCCAGCCTTGCTGCTGCCTTGTAGTTTGATCTCAGACTGCTGTGCCAGCAATCAGCAAGACTCCATGGGCGTAGGACCCTCCAAGCCACGTGCGGAATATAATTTCCTTGTGCGCCAGTTTCCTAAGCCCGTCGGAAAAGCGCAGTATTCGGGTGGGAGTGACCTGATTTTCCAGGTGCCGTCTGTCACCCCTTTCCTTGACCAGGAAAGGGAACTCCCTGACCCCTTGCGCTTCCCGAGTGAGGCAATGCCTCGCCCTTCTTTGGCTTGCACACGGTACGCTGCACCCACTATCCTTCGCCCACTGTCTGGCACTCCATAGTGAGATGAATCCGGTACCTCAGATGGAAATGCAGAAATCACCCGTCTTCTGCGTCGCTCATGCTGGGAGCTGTAGACCGGAGCTCTTCCTATTCAGCCATCTTGGCTCCTCCTCACATCGTAAAATTCTTTAAATTAAGTAAATTTTCATGTTCCTAGATAAACATTCTTGGTTAGCAAGTAACAAATGTCATGTTTCTATAAGAAAATATACCTTTATGAGTTGTTGCCTTCCATTGTATGATGTTTATTTCATGTCCATTGCCCTCACTAAACTGTAAGTTTTTGAGACTCTGAGTAATATCTTTAATCTCTATACTGCCAGTGCCTATATTTAATACATGCTACTTTCTTAATTTAGTTGTTATGAAAAATAAATGACTTCAATAATAAGCAGAATTACACACATTTAGATTATTAGATTTCATCTTTGCATTAAGTCAAAGACTACAGGTGACCTTTAAAAAAGCAATTGGTGGGTGAAGAGAAGTTGCTGAAAGTAACATGGACCTTCATGAAATTCTTCATGAAGGGAAGAATGAAGAGATAGTTGAGTTAGTGCAAGATTGACAAGAAGACTTTAATTGTTTGAGGATAATGAAAATGCAATCTGTGTTTATAGAGCAGAATGAGCAGGTAAAGCAGGAGAATTTGAAGAGTTGAGAAAAATAGGAGCTATCCTTTTCAGAAAAGATAAATCTAGCAGGAGGCAAAAGAGAAAGGATCAAGAGGAAAAGAGGACACAAGAAGGAATTCTTCCTTCTTTAAGATGAAATTGATGGTAATAAGAACATACTTTGAATAAATGAATTCAGTTACATCACTGAATACAATATTATGTTATTATTCTATCTTATTTCATTGATTAATAGGAAAAAGAATTAAAACATTATTTTAAAATCATTTATTGTCTCTGACAGCCACCAAATTCTTAGTTCATTTGTGTTTATACACACACACACACACACACACACACACACACACACACACACATATATATATTCTCTTTTCTGGAAAAACGTTACATAAATGGTGAGCTTTCATATGCAATTTTAAAAATCAGTGAACATGGCAGCTAATATAGTTAAAATTAGATATTATGAGCCTTTTCTGTAAGGTCATTTAAACATGAAGGCTTCTGTGTCAGCAGCTTACTCATGCTGTTACATAAATGAATAAGCTCGAAAACAGAAATAGCTTCCTTCATACACAATTTTAGTTTCCCTTTTTTCTTAATAGATCTTGGTTTAGACAAGACAACCAAGCAAATAAAAAGCATTTCAGCATAAATTATCCAGAAATATATTTATAAATACACAAAGATACATAAACACACAGACACACATACACACACATCATTACAATTTTGAAGATTCTGTTTTCCAAAAACAAGAAAGCCTCTGACACTAAGCAAATAGGCCATGGTTGATTCACTGTAGCAAAACTCTATATTCACTCAGTGGCTTTCACTGGGAAGCTAATGCAAAAAAGCTGTCTCTGAAATATTACAGTGAAAAGCCCATACCACGCTGAAGAGAAGCAGTAAAAACCCTACTCCAATGTTGGAGACAAAGCATCCCACCAAAACAGCATTTAGTCCTAATTACCTTTGAAACCTCTGAGCGGGTCCACCACAGCTACCAGGCTCAGATTTTTCAGAGATATTTTATCCAGCTCTTTTTTGTCACCTACACTTGCATTCAAAGCTAAATGCACAAATAGTAAGAATAACCCTGAGTTCCTACTCATACTGCATAGCCAGCCATTAGCATCACAAGGTCTGATGCAATTTCTGCCTCCTGAACTTAGACATGAAAACAGAAGACATACAGCAGGGCTCCTGCACAATGGTGCTATGAGCTGTCAGTGTGGGATGTGAACAAGAGTTACCAAGGGACTACCAAGGCATGCCCTTCCTTCTGCCACATGTCATAGAGACTCTTGGGAAGGATTCCTTTAGCAGAAGCCAGCTGTTGCCTTTTGGCATTGGGAGTGATGTTGTTGGAGGCGATAATGATTGTCAGACTGTATGGGGCTAAAAGCCAACATGTACTGATGTACATGAAGGGGCCCACATGATCTTCTGTACAAGGTTGGATGCTAGGACCAGTCTCTGTGCTGAAGAATCTGAAAGGACTTATATGTCCTGCAGCCAATATCAGACAAGCAATTAATTTTAGCTGGATCTAACTGTGAACAACTCTCTGCATTTACAGACATATGTTCAACAGCACTATAATCAATTTGTGAAATTAATAACTAAGCTGATAACTAAATCCAGGGGTTTGGCTCAGAGTTCTTAACACCCAAGAAAGCTTCCTATGCTAGAAGATGATACTTCTTATGGGTCTAGAGTGTCACTAACTACTTGCAAAGCCCTCAAGCATATTTATGCATAGTGAACTTGCTAAAATGTAGGAAACTTGTATCTTGTCATATTATTATTTATTCTGTCTATGGCAGTTAATGGAACTTCAGTTTAGAATGGAAATTATTGCTATTTGTTTTAAATCTTTTAAATAAAAAATAAAGACTGCCTTTTTATTTTTAAAGAGAAACCTTCTGGTCATATATGTAACATACATATGCAGCTATAATCATTATACAATTTCATCTAATTTGGTTACAAATGCAATTCAACTAAAGAGTGATATAAGTTATATGACTTTACTTTTTAAGAAAAAAATGGAACTAGAGCGGCTAATCATAGATTATGTAGACCTTATTAGTTGCATTCTGCTATATCTTATAACATTTTTATTTAACCCCAGAACTTGTTCATTTTATAATATTTAGGCAGAGATATTATTTGCTATATCTGTGGATAACTGTGAAATTATAATTAATTTGAGAGTTTTTATTATTATTCCATTCACTTTCTTATTTGATAGTGTTGACTAAAATGATGATGATAGTGATTCTATAATGTCTCCAGGACAATATAATGTTATAGCAGGGATTCAGAAAAATGAATTTTCTTAAATAGTTTATGCAAAATATGAATGATAATGATAAATAATAAATACCATCAATGGTATCCAGAATGGCAAGACAGGAAAGGCTTGATCCAGGGTGCAAGTGTCTTCAACTGGCACAAAATGATTTCTCTAATTTTGTTGGAGATACAGAATATGTAGCATTATAAGCTGAGAAACAAAGCCCAGTTATCTCACACAGGGGCTTTTACATCTGTCTGCTTTAAACAAGTATCTGTGAAATTTGTGAAATTTATACAAAGCGATCAGCCAATAACTCATGATATTCATTAAAACTGTACAGGATTCTACATAATGAAAAGCGATAATTTTTAAATAAAAACATTATTATTGTTTTGTACTTGCAAAATGATAAAGGAATCCTTTCATAGCCATAATAGAAATTACTAGGATGGCTAATTTTTTAAAAATTATAAAAGATTTATTTATTCCACTTAAATTTCCTTCTCTGCACATTATAATGCTTTATTTTTTTGAGACAGATCTGTATCTTCCTGAAATCTTGAGTGAAGAAAGTATGTAATATTTGTGAAGAATATTACTAGAAAGAAGTAAAGGGATGTTTTAATGCTCTATGCCATGCAAATATCACATCTTAAAGAACCTGTGACGCTCTCCTCGAGCACTCACGCTCTGGACAGGGTTTGGAGATAAACCCATTTATAATGGCATATTTGGTCAAAAGTAAAGTAAGAAGCAAATAAAATATTCTAATACAATGTCAGAACAAACATATGAATGCATAGAAAAGAAAGTATCAAATGAGTCGTGGGATAAAGAAAATTTCACAACAATATTACCTAAATGAGATCTTGAGAACTTACTTTCCAGATCTCTTCTAGGAAACTGGAGTCAATGAGCCAAAATTCAATCTCCTTAGTAATGTGCTTTCAAAAATAGCAAAACTGGCCTGCTATTACTAGGGCATTAGGTTCGCATACATGTTCTAGGAATGGCAATTTTTTGCACCAACTTATTCACTATTTTTGTCCCTATTATAGTCTGTAATTTCACACTCTTAAGACTCCAGTTTGCAGCTTATAGCAATGGGTAACAATAGAAAAACTCTGTCTTTTTTAATTGCAATTTTTCTCAGCACACTGAAGCCCATCTCCAGCCAAACAAGGACAATCTTTGTGTTAAGCTTTTACACTGACAGGAATATTAGAAGGCCTAAACCTTGACAGACTCCTATGACCCAATTTTTGAGCCTGATCTAACGATCTGCTTGTAGATATTTCTGATGACTAACTTTCCCAAATCATACACATTTAATTGCCTATTTCCAGGCTCTTCTTTTTCTGTGAAGTTTTTTTGTAATTTAAAATAATTTTAAATGGAAAAGTTACAGAGATTGACACAGAACGTTCTCTATACTTGTATTGGCTTCCTAGCCAAGATTAGTGCCTTTCAACAACAAAAACTTATTATTTTACAATATCTTAGGCTTCTGGAGGCCAGAAGTCTAAAATGGGTCCATAGGCCTGCGTTTCTTCTGGAGTTCTGTATTTCCTGGTTCAGGACTTCATCGTCCACCCGCAAAGCCAGCAACGTAGCATGTTCTCTCCTCTCTAGTGCCTGCTTCTGTCCCTACATCTTTTCTGCCTGACTCTGACCCTCCTACCTCCCTCTTACTAGGATCCTTGTGATTACATTGGGCCCACTGGATAATCCAGGATAATCTCCATCTATAGCTCAAAATCTTTAGCTAAATTACAATTGTAACTTTTTTCTTTTTTGCCATGAAAACGACATATTAACAGATTCTGAGAATTAGGATATGGACATTTTGAAGGGAGTCATTATTTTTCCCACCACAATCCTGTACCAAGATTCACTAATTTTTCACCTTTTGCCCTATTTTCTTTATAAGCCTCATTCTCACTCGATCTTGCCTCACCCTCTCTCTCTCGAGTGATATACATTAACAGCTATCAGATCATTTACCAAATTTACCTTATAATAATCCAGTGTGTTTCATAAGAACTAGGATATGGCCGGGTGTAGTGGCTCACACCTGTAATCCCAGCACTTTGGGAGGCCAAGGCAGGTGGATCACAAGGTCAGGAGATCGAGACCAGCCTAAGCCAACAGGTGAAACCCTGTCTGTACTAAAAATACAAAAATTAGCCAGGTGTGGTGGCATGTGCTTGTAATCCCAGCTACTTGAGAGGCTGAGGCAGGAGAATTTCTTGAACCTGGGAGGCAGCGGTTGCAGTGACCTGAGATCACACCACTGCGCTCTAGCCTGGGCAACAGAGCAAGACTCCATCTCAAAAAGAAAAGAAAAAAAAAAAAGAACTGGAATACATAACCACAGTACAATTAAAATATTCAGAAAATGTAACATTGACATAAGACTTTAATCTATAGTCCATATTCCAGTTTGTTCAATTATTCTCATAATGATTTGTTATGGAACTTGTCTCCTTCTGGCATAGGATTATGAATTGTATTTTGTTGTCTTGTCTCTTTAGTATCCTTTAATTGGGAATGAATTCTCAGCTAATCTTTGTCTCTTACACTATTGAGGAACAGAGATCATTTATTTAATGGACCATGCATCGCTTTGAATTTTTTCTGAGGTTTCTGAGGTTAGGCATCCATAGACAGAAAACTACAAAACTGATCTCTCCTCAAAGTGTCATATACAGAGGAACAAAACGTTTTCGTGCCCTTCATTCATGACATTATCACTGTTAGCAGAATTTTTAGCATATTATTTATACACAATCATATTCACAACTTTCAAATGTGAAATCTGATCAGTTTTGGCAAATGTATACAACTGTTTAAACCATCACCAGAATCAAGAAATAGAATGCCTCCAGCACCCTCCAAAATGGTCTCCTACCCCTTCTTCAGCAGACAATTACCTCCCCCATCCCTTGCCCCTGACAAACTTAAAACCATTCATTTGCTTTCTCTCACTATAGTTTGTCTTTTCTAGAATGTCACAGAAATGAAATCATGTAGTACATGAGCATTTGTTCCTGGCTTCTATCACTTAGCATAATGTTCTTGAGATCTATTCATATTTCTTCACCTAGTAGTGGTTTTGTTGTCATTGTTTTGCTGAGCAGTATCCTGTCTTATTGATATGCCACTATTTATTTATTCATTAGCCAGTTAAACATCAAATTTCTTACATATTTTGGTTATTTTAAATAAAGCTGCTATGAACATTCAAGTGCGAATCTTTGTGTGGCAATGTTTGCTCACTTCTGTAAGGCAAATACCTAACAGTGGAATTTCTGGTAAATGAATATTTGCCTTTATCAGAAAACGCCAAATGGCTTCCCGAACCAAATATAGCAGTTTGCATTTCTACTAACTAGGTATATGTGTATGAGAGTGCTAGTTGTTCTAATCTTCAGCAGCAATTGATATTGATAATGTCAACCTTCTTAAATTTTAACGAAGCAAATGAGTGCACAATGATATCTCATTGTGGTTTTCACTTTCATTTCCCTTATGATTAAAAATGTTGAACATCTTTTTATGTGATTATTTAATATCCATTCATCTATCTTCTCTGATTATATGATTGTTCAAATATATTACGTGTTATTTTAAATAGAGCTGTTTGTCTTTTTAAAATTAAGCTGAAAAAATTTTTTATTCAATCTGGATATACCTCCTGTATCAGACACATTTTGCAAATACTTTCATACTGACATATGCTAAAATATGTCAAATACTAAGGTCTGGGGTCTGTCTTAATTTTTTAATGGTATGTTTTGAAGAGCAAAGTCGTTCACTTTGATGAAGTCTGATTATCCAAATGTTTTCATTAAAGGTATTTGTATCTGTGTGCATGCCCATTTGCAATGGTTGATTTTGCGTGTCAACTGGGCTGGGCAGAATCCCCAGATATTTGGTCAAGCATTATCTGGGGTGGATCTGTGAAGGTGTTTGGGATCATATTCAAGGTTGACCTTTCTGATGTAGGTAGGCCTCATCCAGTCAGCTGAGACCTGAATTAAACAAAATGCCTGAATAAGAGGGAATTTCCTCCTGCGTGACTGCCTTGAGGTGGAACATCAGTGTTTTTGCTGCCATCAGACTCATACTGAAACGCTGGTCTTTCTGGATCCCAAGCCTCTAGGCCTTTGGACTGGAACTGCACCATCAGCATTTCTGTGTCTCCAGCTTGTCAACTGCAGATCTGGGGACTTGTCAGCCTTCATGATGACGTGAGCTAATTCCTTACTCTCTCTCTATATATATACATACATATATATATATATACACACACACACATCTATTCTATTGGAACCCTAGCAAATACACCATTTAAAAAAATGTTTCTTCCTAAAATTGTAAATAATGTTTCATA
Source organism: Homo sapiens (assembly GCF_000001405.40). Lineage (NCBI taxonomy): Eukaryota > Metazoa > Chordata > Mammalia > Primates > Hominidae > Homo > Homo sapiens. The sequence continues at coordinate 208,793,420 of NC_000002.12, read as the reverse complement.
CATGTTCTTCAGGAAGTTTTATAATTTTAGTTATTACACAAAAATCTAAAATCCATTTCAAGTCACTTTTCACATATGGTATGAGGTAAGAATCAAGGTTCATTTTCTTGCTTATGAATATCTCTAATAATTATAGCAGCATTTGTTAAAAGTCTATTCTTTTCCCATTCAATTACTTTGGAAAACTGTCAAATGTCACTTTCACATATATGGACTGATTTGTTTCTGGACTCTTGATTCTATTTACTAATCCATGAATCTATTCTTACACTACTCTTCTGATTACTATAGTTTCATAGCTAGTATTAAAATCATGTAGAGAAAGTCCTCCATTTTTTTCTCTCCAAATAGAAGAGAAAGCAACATTTTCCAACATATCATACGAGGTCAACATTACTCTGATTTTAAAAACCAAACAGGCTGGGCATGTTCGTGCACGCCTGTAAACCCAGCACTCTGGAAAGCCAAGCGGGTAGATCACCTGAGGTCAGGAGTTCATGACCAGCCTGACTAACACGGTGAAACCCTGTCTCTACAAAATACAAAAAAATTAGCTGGGCCTGGTGGCGCATGCCTGTAATCTAAGCTACTTGGGAGGCTGAGACAGGAGAATAGCTTGTACCTGGGAGGCGGAGGTTACAGTGAGCCGTTATTGCACCATTGCACTCCAGCCTGGGCAACAAGAGCGAAACTCCATCTCAAAACAAACAAACAAAAAAAGAATACAAAGAAATAATATTACAAACAAATAACCCACGTGATATAGACACAAAAATATTCAGTATTAACACATAAAATCCACCAATATATAAAATAAATAGTACATCTTAGCCAAGTGGAGTTTGTTTTCTGGTAAGTTCAAATGTATTGTGGTAATTCTAGGTACTTTGCATTTCCATATAAAACGTAGAATCAATTTCTTAATTTCAACAAAAAGTCTACCAGGATTTTGACTTGGATTACATTAAATACAGAGATCAAATTGAGGAAAATTGTCACCTTAACAATAATGAGCCTGCCAATCCATGAAGAAAGTGTATCTCTTCATTCATTATTCATTAACAACTACTTCTTTAACTTCTCCCAGCAATGCTTTAAACTTAAAAGTTGTGCATGTTTTAAAATTTTAACTTTAGATATTTCATATTTGATAATATTATAAATAATATCATATTTAAAATGTATTTGCACATTTTCTTTGCCTATGTAAAGTACAATGGAAGTACAAGAGGACAAACAACCCAATCATAAAAATGGGCAAATGATTTTAACAGTTAAAAGTAGTCACTAAAGGCCAGGCGTGGTGGCTCAAGCCTGTAATCCCAGGACTTTGGGAGGCTGAGGCGGGCAGATCATGGGGTCAGGAGATCAAGACCATCCTGGCTAACACAGTGAAACTCTGTCTCTACTAAAAATACAAAAAATTAGCTGGGCATGGTGGCAGGTGCCTGTAGTCCCAGCTACTCGGGAGGCTGAAGCAGGAGAATGGTGTAAACCCGGGAGGCAGAGCTTGCAGTGAGCCAAGGTCATGCCACTGCACTTCAGCCTGGGTAACAGATTGAGACTCCATCTCAAAAAAAAAAAAAAAATAAGTGGTCACTAAAGAAGATATCCAGTTGGTAAATATGCACATGAAAAGATGCTCAACATGATTAGTCAGTAGGAAAATGCAAATTAAAACCACAGTGTGATTCCACTTCTCACCCATTACTATGGGTAATGTTTGGGAAAAAACTGACAATACCAAGTGCCAATGATGACGCAGAATAACTAAGTGTTAGAAGGAATGCAAAATTGTACAACAGTCACCCTGGAGAATGGTTTGCCAGTTTCTTATATATTTCAACACATACCGTATGACCTATCAATCTCACGGCTAGGTATTTACTTAAGTAAAAGAAAAATTTACATTTATATAAAAATCAGTACATGATATCTGTGACAGCTCTATTAGTAATTGCCAAGAATGGCATGCATACAAGGGAATATTTTAGCAATGGGAATAGCGCGTATCTTCATTATGCTGGTATTACCTGAGTGTATACGTTTGTCAAATCTCATCAAAACGTACATTTAAAATTGGTGAGTTTTCTCATAACCACACCTCAATAAAACTCACTTTAAAAAATTCTCTAATCAGTTTAAAGATTGTATAGAAGGAGATTTTAAGAGGAGCTGAAAAAACAGTGGCTTGGTAAGCAAAATAGAATTATTAAAAGCCCCAAGTACTTTGATTTCCTAATGTTCAGTATTTAGTGTTGCCACATTGATAGGAGCTTCTAGAGCATTTATATTACTTTGACTCTCATTTTTTCTTACTATAATTTTCTAAAAAATAGAAAATCTGCCTCCTGGAGAGATAAAACAGAGGTCCAGTGCAAATAGGAATAATGCATAACTTCATACTGGGTTGATTCATGTCTTCTATGAAAGAAATTATTTTTTCAAGTTGCACGTAGTTTTATTTGGAAAGTCAGTACCTGTTGAATTATTTTTGTTACCCTTATTATCATGAAGTTTTGTGTTTTACTTCTCACAAGCATTTATTTCCTTTAAGCACAACACTGACTTTGACTGAAAGACAAAGGAAGTCATAGCACCTCAAAGCTTGGTAAGAACTGGTTCCTTTTAAAAATAAACATTTTAAGGACAGTAGCTGAAGAAGCAACTGTAAATGGTCCATTGAATGCCTTTCACTAGCCTGTATGTACCTTCAAAAGATTATTTTCAATTTTAATCATTTCCATAATTCAGTCATATAAAAACAATATTATCTTCAAATACTATTCATTGTAAAGATGACAAATTCAGGGAAAATATATTTAAGGAATAACATTTAAAAAACCATTGGTGAAAATTCTTGCTACAATTACATTTGTATTTGTGTTCTATGTCTATGTGATCAAATAGCATGTAACCATAGGACATAAATATAAATGCAATTATCTATTTACAGCATCTAACAAAAATATTTCCTACCCCTGAGTTTATTTTTATTTTATTATTATTATACTTTAAGTTTTAGGGTACATGTGCACAATGTGCAGGTTTGTTACATATGTATACATGTGCCATGTTGGTGTGCTACACCCATTAACTCCTCATTTAGAATTAGATATATCTCCTAATGCAATCCCTCCCCCCACCCCAACGCACAACAGTCTCCGGAGTGTGATGTTCCCCTTCCTGTGTCCATGTGTTCTCATTGTTCAATTCCCACCTATGAGTGAGAACATGAGGTGTTTGGTTTTTGTCCTTGCGATAGTTTGCTCAGAATGATGGTTTCCAGTTTCATCCATGTCCCTACAAAGGACACAAACTCTTCATTTTTTATGACTGCATAGTATTCCATGGTGTATATGTGCCACATTTTCTTAATCCAGTCTATCGTTGTTGGACATTTGGCTTGGTTCCAAGTCTTTGCTATTGTGAATAGTGCCACAATAAACATACATGGCATGTGTCTTTATAGCAGCATGATTTATACTCCTTTGGGTATATACCCAGTAATGGGATGGCTGGGTCTAATGGTATTTCTAGTTCTAGATCCCTGAGGAATCGCCACACTGACTTCCACAATGGTTGAACTAGTTCACAATCCCACCAACAGTGTCAAAGTGTTCCTATTTCTCCACATCCTCTCCAGCACCTGTTGTTTCCTGACTTTTTAATGATTGCCATTCTAACTGGTGTGAAATGGTATCTCATTGTGGTTTTGATTTGCATTTCTCTGATGGCCATTGATGGTGAGCATTTTTTCATGTGTCTTTTGGCTGCATAAACGTCTTCTTTTGTGACGTGTCTGTTCATGTCCTTCGCCCACTTTTTGATGGGGTTGTTTTTTTCTTGTAAATGTGTTTGAGTTCATTGCAGATTCTGGATATTAGCCCTTTGTCAGATGAGTAGGTTGTGAAAATTTTCTCCCATTTTGTAGGTTGCCTGTTCACTCTGATGGTAGTTTCTTTTGCTGTGCAGAAGCTCTTTAATTTAATTAGATCCCATTTGTCACTTTTGGCTTTTGTTGCCATTGCTTTTGGTGTTTTAGACATGAAGTCCTTGCCCATGCCTATGTCCTGAATGGTATTGCCTAGGTTTTCTTCTACGGTTTTTATAGTTTTAGGTCTAACATGTAAGTCTTTAATCCATCTTGAATTACTTTTTGTATAAGGTGTAAGGAAGGGATCCAGTTTCAGCTTTCTACATATGGATAGCCAGTTTTCCCAGCACCATTTATTAAATAGGGAATCCTTTCCCCATTGCTTGTTTTTGTCAGGTTTGTCAAAGATCAGATGGTTGTAGATATGCGGCATTATTTCTGAGGGCTCTGTTCTGTTCCACAGATCTATATCTCTGTTTTGGTACCAGTACCATGTTGTTTTGGTGACTGTAGCCTTGTAGTATAGTTTGAAGTCAGGTAGCGTGATGCCTCCAGCTTTGTTCTTTTGGCTTAGGATTGACTTGGTGATGCGGGCTCTTTTTTGGTTCCATATGAGCTTTAAAGTAGTTTTTTCCAATTCTGTGAAGAAAGTCATTGATAGCTTGATGGGGATGGCATTCAATCTGTAAATTACCTTGGGCAGTGTGGCCATTTTCATGATATTGATTCTTCCTACCCATGAGCATGGAATGTTCTTCCATTTGTCTGTATCCTCTTTTATTTCGTTGAGCAGTGGTTTGTAGTTCTCCTTGAAGAGGTCTTTCACATCCCTTGTAGGTTGGATTCCTAGGTATTTTATTCTCTTTGAAGCAATTGTGAATGGGAGTTCACTCATGATTTGGCTCTCTGTTTGTCTGTTATTGGTGTATAAGAATGCTTGTGAGTTTTGTACATTGATTTTGTATCCTGAGACTTTGCTGAAGTTGCTTATCAGCTTAAGGAGATTTTGAGCTGAGACAGTGGGGTTTTCTAGATATACAATCATGTCATCTGCAAACAGGGACAATTTGACTTCCTCTTTTCCTAATTGAATACTTTTTATTTCTTTCTCCTGCCTAATTGCCCTGGATAGAACTTCCAACACTATGTTGAATAGGAGTGGTGAGAGAGGACATCCCTGTCTTGTGCCAGTTTTCAAAGGGAATCCTTCCAATTTTTGCCCATTCAGTATGATATTGGCTGTGGGTTTGTTATAGATAGCTCTTATTATTTTGAGATACGTCCCATCAATACCTAATTTATTGAGAGTTTTTAGCATGAAGCGTTGTTGAATTTTGTCAAAGGCCTTTTCTGCATCTATTGAGATAATCATGTGGTTTTTGTCTTTGGTTCTGTTTCTGTGCTGGATTACATTTATTGATTTGCGTATGTTGAACCAGCCTTGCATCCCAGGGATGAAGCCCACTTGATCATGGTGGATAAGCTTTTTGATGTGCTGCTGGATTCGTTTTGCCAGTATTTTATTGAGGATTTTTGCATCAATGTTCATCAAGGATATTGGTCTAAAATTCTCTTTTTTGGTTGTGTCTCTGCCTGGCTTTGGTATCAGGATGATGCTGGCCTCATGAAATGAGTTAGGGAGGATTCCCTCTTTTTCTATTGATTGGAATAGTTTCAGAAGGAATAGTAGGTACCAGCTCATCCTTGTACCTCTGGTAGAATTCAGCTGTGAATCCATCTGGTTCTGGACTTTTTTTGGTTGGTAAGCTAGTGATTCTTGCCACAATTTCAGAGCCTGTTATTGGTCTATTCAGAGATTCAATTTCTCCTGATTTAGTCTTGGGAGGGTGTATGTGTCGAGGAATTTATCCATTTCTTTTAGATTTTCTAGTTTATTTGCGTAGAGGTGTTTGTAGTATTCTCTGATGGTAGTTTGTATTTCTATGGGATCAGTGGTGATATCCCCTTTATCATTTTTTATTGTGTCTATTTGATTCTTCTCTCTTTTCTTCTTTAATAGTCTTGCTAGCGGTCTATCGATTTTGTTGATCTTTTCAAAGAACCAGCTCCTGGATTCATTAATTTTTTGAAGGGTTTTTTGTGTCTCTATTTCCTTCAGTTCTGCTCTGATTTTAGTTATTTCTTGCCTTCTGCTAGCTTTTGAATGTGTTTGCTCTTGTTTTTCTAGTTATTTTAATTGTGACGTTAGGGTGTCAAATTTTGGATGTTTCCTGCTTTCTCTTGTGGGCATTTAGTGCTATAAATTTCCCTCTACACACTGCTTTGAATGCGTCCCAGAGATTCTGATATGTTGTGTCTTTGTTCTCGTTGGTTTCAAAGAACATCTTTATTTCTGCCTTCATTTCGTTATGTATCCAGTAGTCATTCAGGAGCAGGTTGTTCAGTTTCCATGTAGTTGAGTGGTTTGGAGTGAATTTCTTAGTCCTGAGTTCTAGTTTGATTGCACTGTGGTCTGAGAGACAGTTTGTTATAATTTCTGTTCTTTTACATTTGCTGAGGAGAGCTTTACTTCCAACTATGTGGTCAATTTTGGAATAGGTGTGGTGTGGTGCTGAAAAAAATGTATATTCTGTTGATTTGGGGTGGAGAGTTCTGTAGATGTCTATTAGGTCTGCTTGGTGCAGAGCTGAGTTCAATTCCTGGGTATCCTTGTTAACTTTCAGTCTCGTTGATCTGTCTAATGTTGACAGTGGGGTGTTAAAGTCTCCCATTATTATTATGTAGGAGTCTAAGTCTCTTTGTAGGTCACTAAGGACTTGCTTTATGAATCTGGGTGCTCCTGTATTGGGTGCATATATATTTAGGATAGTTATCTCTTCTTGTTGAATTGATCCCTTTACCATTATGTAGTGGCCTTCTTTGTCTCTTTTGATCTTTGTTGGTTTAAAGTCTGTTTTATCAGAGACCAGGATTGCAACCCCTGCCTTTTTTTGTTTTCCATTTGCTTGGTAGATCTTCCTCTATCCCTTTATTTTGAGCCTATGTGTGTCTCTGCATTTGAGATGGGTTTCCTGAATACAGCACACTGATGGGTCTTGACTCTTTATCCAATTTGCCAGTCTGTGTCTTTTAATTGGAGCACTTAGCCCATTTACATTTAAAGTTAATATTGTTATGTGTGAATTTGATCCTGTCATTATGATGTTAGCTGGTGATTTTGCTCATTAGTTGATGCAGTTTCTTCCTAGCATTGATGGTCTTTACTTTTTGGCATGTTTTTGCAGTGGCTGGTACCGGTTTTTCCTTTCCATGTTTAGTGCTTCCTTCAGGAGCTCTTTTAGGACAGGCCTGGTGGTGACAAAATCTCTCAGCATTTGCTTCTCTGTAAAGTATTTTATTTCTCGTTCACTTATGAAGCTTAGTTTGACTGGATGTGAAATTCTGGGTTGAAAATTCTTTTCTTTAAGAATGTTGAATATTGGCCCCCACTCTCTTCTGGCTTGTAGAGTTTCTGCCGAGAGATCTGCTGTTAGTCTGATGGGCTTCCCTTTGTGGGTAACCCGACCTTTCTCTCTGGCTGTCCTTAACATTTTTTCCTTCATTTCAACTTTGGTGAATCTGACAATTATGTGTCTTGGAGTTGCTCTTCTCGAGGAGTATCTTTGTGGCGTTCTCTGTATTTCCTGAATGTGAATGTTGGCCTGCCTTGCTAGATTGGGGAAGTTCTCCTGGATAATATCCTGCAGAGTGTTTTCCAACTTGGTTCCATTCTCCCCATCACTTTCAGGTATGCCAATCAGACGTAAATTTGGTCTTTTCACATAGTCCCATATTTCTTGGAGGCTTTGTTCATTTCTTTTTATTCTTTTTTCTCTAAACTTTCCTTCTCACTTCATTTCATTCATTTCATCTTCCATCACTGATACCCTTTCTTCCAGTTGATCACATTGGCTCCCGAGGCTTCTGCATTCTTCACGTATTTCTCGAGCCTTGGCTTTCAGCTCCGTCATCTCCTTTAAGGACTTCTCTGCATTGGTTATTCTAGTTATCCATTCGTCTAATTTTTTCTCACAGTTTTTAACTTCTTTGCCTTTGGTTTGAATTTCCTCCTGTAGCTCAGAGTAGTTTGATCGTCTGAAGCCTTCTTCTCTCAACTCGTCAAAGTCGTTCTCCGTGCAGCTTTGTTCCATTGCTGGTGAGGAGCTGCATTCCTTTGGAGGAGGAGAGACGCTCTGCTTTTTAGAGTTTCCAGCTTTTCTGCTCTGTTTTTTCCCCATCTTTGTGGTTTTATCTACTTTTGGCCTTTGATGATGGTGACGTACAGAAGGGTTTTTGGTGTGGATGTCCTTTCTGTTTGTTACTTTTCCTTCTAACAGACAGGACCCTCAGCTGCAGGTCTGTTGGAGTTTGCTAGAGGTCCACTCCGGACCCTGTTTTCCTGGGTATCAGCAGTGGTGGCTGCAGAACAGCGGTGGCTGTAGAACAGCAGATCTTGGTGAACCACAAATGCTGCTGCCTGATCGTTCCTCTGGAAGTTTTGTCCCAGAGGAGTGCCCGGCCGTGTGAGGTGTCAGTCTGCCCCTACTAGGGGGTGCCTCCCAGTTAGGCTGCTCGGGGGTCAAGGACCCACTTGAGGTGGCAGTCTGCCCGTTCCCAGATCTCCGGCTGCGTGCTGGGAGAACCACTACTCTCTTCAAAGCTGTCAGTCAGACAGGGTCATTTAATTCTGCAGAGGTTACTGCTGTCTTTTTGTTTGTCTGTGCCCTGCTCCCAGAGGTGGAGCCTATGGAGGCAGGCACACCTCCTTGAGCTGTGGTGGGCTCCACTCAGTTCGAGGTTCCTTACTGCTTTGTTTACCTAAGCAAGCCTGGGCAATGGCACACGCCCCTCCCCCAGCGTCTCTGCCACCTTGCAGTTTGATCTCAGACTGCTGTGCCAGCAATCAGCAAGACTCCATGGGTGTAGGACCCTCCGAGCCAGGTGCAGGATATAATCTCCTGGTGTGCCATTTTTTAAGCCCCTTGGAAAAGCGCAGTATTAGGGTGGGAGTGACCTGATTTTCCAGGTGCTGTCTGTCACTCCTTTCTTTGACTAGGAAAGGGAACTCCCTGACTCTTTGTACTTCCCAAGTGAGGCAATGCCTCGCCCTGCTTCGGCTCACACACAGTGCACTGCACCCACTGTCCTGCACCCACTCTCTGGCACTCCCTAGTGAGATGAACCGGGTACCTCAGATGGAAATGCAGAAATCACCCATCTTCTGTGTCTCTCATGCTGGGAGCTGTAGATGGGAGCTGTTCCTATTCGGCCATCTTGGCCCCACCCCTCTTACCCCTGAGTTTCAATCCACATCAAATTGTCTTCAGAGTGCATTATGATCAAAAAGAAAAATTCTAAATTATTATTCTTATCTTTATTTGTTGGTAATTCTTTTTATTAGATACACATTAGGAATCAGCAGGCAAAGAAAGAAGTACAAATTTGAAAAGCACAGAATAGTGTTTGGGAGCATAGTGATAATTAAGAAATCAGATCTAGTAAATACTATATATATCAAGTTAGGAAACATTCTTCCTTTGAATGGCTAACCAGAAAAGAGGAAAATGCTATTCATCACAATCTGGTAACTACAGCTGACCACAGAATTCTGCCAAAACTATTTTCCAATTAGATAGATAGACATAGATATAAATGACTTAGATCAGCTACATGTAGATGATTATACAGAGACAGGTTGAGACAGAAATATAGGAAGACATATACAAAAAATTTCTGAAAAATATTCTAACTTCAAGAGGAAATACTGTGAATTTAAAATAAAACAACTAGGTTTATTAGGCTTCATACTAAGCAATAAAAATAGAAATTAAAAACAAGTAATTATAACATAATTTTATCACTTTACTGGTATGGGAGATAAAACTTTTAATTTTAAAGATTTTAAATCTGGAGCCCATTTTTTAGTGAAATTAAAAGAAAAATCTGTAGAACCTATTCCAAAGGACTTGTCTTGGAATTAAAATAATCTTGAGAAGAGTTTAGGGAAAATTATATGATGTGGTAAAACAAAATACAACAGGAGCAATAAATGCAAATGCCTACAAGAGCCAGGTGATTAAAGGAGTGAAGTAAACAAGGCATACAAAATAATCCTAAGTGGCTGAAAGTGGTGCAAACAGGAGCTGGACTGTCTCACCTCAAGGGGGTGGTAGTCATTTAGTTACACAACCCCAGCTAATGTGTTGTGGAAATACAGGCTCAAAGTTTTTCAGTCTTTATTAGAAACTAGAAATTCAGATTTATGCATGAGACCTCTTAGCTTTTTAAATGTTAGCAATTGTTGCCTACCCAGAATCCATTTTACCTCTGTTCTTCTCAACAAAATAAAGATTTGAGCCCAAAAAGCATGTAGAATTCTCCTAGTTATAATTATTGGTCCATGCCTAGGCATATAACCTAAATTGCCTAATGCAGGTAGATAGAACATTAAATACATGTTTATGCCACTTAATTCTAGACCTGAAGTTTGCCCTTCTTCTTGCCTTTTATTTGTATGAGATAAAATACATCTCTTATGGTCCATACCAGTTTAAAATGGTCATTTAAAATCATTAAAAAGATACAGCCACATACATCTAAAAAAAGTCAGAAAACCAGAAATTAGTGTAGAAGTCATCCCAAAGGACTTAAGCCTTGAAATAAAGAATCCATTCCAAAGAATTTAAGTCTTGGAATAAAATACTTCATACTGAATTTTTTCAGGTTAAAAATTGATCCCATTACTTTACACTTCAAACTACTTAACCTGAAATGCTTTGGTTAAAGGAAAAATATATTCAGCATATTATTCGAAAATATAATTTAATTACTCTTTAAAAATAAGTTTTCCTGGCTGGGCACGGTGGTTCACGCCTATAATCCCAGCATTTTGGGAGGCTGAGTTGGGCGGATCATCAGGTCAGGAGTTCGAGACCAGCCTGACCAACATGGTGAAACCCCGTCTCTACTAAAAATACAAAAAAATAGCCTGGGATGGTCGCACATGCCTGTAATCCCAGCTACTCGGAGGCTGAGGCAGGAGAATCACTTGAACCCAAGAGGCAGAGGTTGCAGTGAGCCGAGATTGCGCCACTGTATTCCAGCCTGGGGGACAGAGCAAGACTCCGTCTCAGAAATACATAAATAAATTTTCCACTGTTTCCTAACTCTTCAGACACCGTGTGTGTGTGTGTGTGTGTGTGTGTGTGTGTGATCACTTTTCAGGCCAAACAAATGCTTACATAGCAAAAAATAATAGCCCAGCACCTCTAAGGGTCTGAAATATCGATTACATAACATAAATTTTCTGACACATGGTTATATGAATAATTACAATTATGTTTTTTAATCCCTTCATGAACCATATGTAACAGGTAAAAATATGCTTGAATTTCTAATGATAAATCGGAAAATTATTCCTCACAATTTCCAGTAATATTAAAGCTTGTTTAGTCCAAGTATTAGGAGATTCTGCATACATTCATGAAAATAATCAAGATTTCCCTTGAAAAGGAGAAAACGAATGAATATCCATCTGGCTAGCACAGGTTCGGTACCATCTACTCTAAATAGCAACTCATGCATCATCTGAATTGCTTGTGTGTGCTTTATAAATTGTTTATAAAAAAAATTTGCAGGCTTCAACTTCAATAAGTTACCATAATAGAAACCCTTAATTCAGTTTCTTACAAATTCTCCTAAAAGTAAAAAATAAAAATAAAACACAAAATGATAACTCTTAACAGTGAAAAAGAAACTTCTGAATGTACATAGACCTTTATTCCAGAATCTGGAAAGAACTGACATTAATTGCAACATAGCTGGAAGACGATGGAGAAAGAAAATCTATCCACGTTTCAGTGAACAGAGTAGTCTGGCTTCATATCATGGAACAGTCAATCTATAAAAGTAGAAAATATTCTATATCTCTTCTACTATTAAAAATTGTGTGTTGTTACTTTTACCACTGTAAAGCTCTTTCATAAAGCATCATAAAGTGTCCTCAATCTCTAGCCTGCTAAATCTGTCACCAGTTTTAATGAGAAATTGGAAATCAGGGAAAAAAGCACATGCAACAAAGTATCTATTCTGCTGCAGTACATTTTAAGAGGTATTATCTTCCATTACTAAACACTACAGGATGATGTAAGTTAGGAAAAATCCTCAGTGCAGTACCCACCCCTGCCAACACACCCCGGGCCTGCCAAAACCAGCTTCCTTCATATTTGTTGCAAAGTGCAGGAAAGGGAGCTCTGAGAATTTTAGGATTTCATATATTGTATTGACTAAGAATGACTGATGATCTGAAACTCAGGGCTTTTAGAAGTACAACTGTAAGAAAAAAAAAATACAGGCAGCCAGAGATTGGAAATTGCACTAATTGGAAAAGATGTAACATCATTCATGCAGACACAAAATGGAAGCAAGGATAATCCATCCATATTGTCAAAATAATGTATTTGCAGACCCAAGTTCTTTGAAACTAAGTTTAAAAATAAGTAATACGTGCCTATAAAAAAATCATAATAACAGAACAGCATCTGGAAGATATCCTGTGGAATCAAACAAGCTGAGATAAAAAAGGACAAAACTGAAATAAGAGAGGAGCAAGAGAAACTTGAAATGCAAGAGTAGAAATATAAAATAAAGTACCCAAAATAAATAAGCAGGAGACTTGGAGTACAAAATCAAATCAGTGACAGGAAGAACAAAAAACAGATTTCTAAGAAAATAAAAGCAATAAAAACCACTAGAGAAAAAATTAGCAGTATGAAGTGCATATGCAGATATTTTGAAAAGAAAAAATAGAATGAATAGAAGATTTAAATTTTTCAAATAATCTTCAGAGTCAAAGCAAGACCTGTATGTACAAGCTGAGTTGGTTCATAGATTTTAGCAGGAAAATATTGATGAAATAAACCCACACCTAGACAAAATTTTTGACAAAATATTTGAGCTACAAAGAATAAAAGCAAAAATAAGCAAAAAGTCAGCATTATAAAAAGAAATTAACTACAAAAATGCAAATATTATGATGCCCTTTAGTATTTTCTCTGCAATACTGGATGCCAAAATACAATGAGAAAATAGTTACAAAACTTTGAATTTAAAAAGTTGCAACTAAAGAATTTTATAATCAATATCAGTTGTAACAAAATATTGGATTATTCATAGGTTTACACAAGATAATATTTATTTTTTAAAAAGTAAAGTACTTGAAGATGGTGTTCAACGGTACAAATAGAGAACCTTAGCAGCACAGTAAGTATTATAAAATAAAAACAACATGGAGAGAACAACAACCATTGGATGACTGGAAAAATTGAATAATTATATGATTATATGAGGGTAGAAGAGACAAAAAGATGAGGAGAAAAGATGTATTTCATAGAACCCCTACTAGTTAACAAATTTGGAGTTCATATACAAGTCAAGCAAAGACCATAAGTTAATGTCTCAGGAAAATAAAATGTGGAATGACCCTAAGTTATGTAACCCCTTAAAGGGAGTTGATATTAAAATAAATAAATTATATTTGCAAGATACTTGGAGACCTTCCCAAACACGATGTGATATGTAAAATACTGCAGAACTGGCTCAAAATCACATGTGGAGTATACCTATCTACCTCTCTTCTATATGCGTTTCCTTGAAAATAAAGAAAAAATTATAGTGTTTCTGTACTTATATGCCATATAATTATATTTATAGCATAATTTTTATCAAATTTTATATTACATATTTATAGATATAACTATATAATTATATAACACATGAAGTAAAATATTAAATAATTCTAACAACCCAAATGTACTTCAACAGGTGAATAATGAAACAAATGATGATACATCCACACCACAGAATCCTACTCAGCAAGAAAAATAAACTATTACTGCCTGCACAAATTGGATAAACCTCAAGGGAGTTACTCTGAGTGGAAAAAGCCAATATCAAAAGGTTATATTGCTATATCATCCCACCTCTAATACAGTTTTGAAATGGAAAAATTAATGAGATGGAGAAACAAATTTGTGGTTTCCAGGTTTCGGGAATAAAGGAGCAAGGAAGTTGGCAGCATCTACAAAATGATAGCACAAAGGAGCCCTGTGATGGAAGTGACCTGTACTTTGAGTGCAGTGGTGAGTCTACACATGCGATGATATTACACAGAATGAAGTACACACACCGCACACACGAATGTATGTAAAACTGGCAAAATCTGAATAAGGTCAGTGGATTTTATCTGTGTCAGTTTTTAAATTGTGATATTTTACTACAGTTGTATAAAATATGACCATTGGGAGAAACTAGATGAAGCTTTCATGGGAGCTTACGTGGCTTTGCATTTTTTCTTATAACTGCATGGGAATCTATAATTACGTCAAAATAAGAAGCTTATAAAGCAAATGAACATTAAATATTTTAAAAACAGGAATGCTGGCTTGTATCATAGTGTAAGTACTTTATCAGAGATACTCCTAAATATTTTACTTCATGTATTTAATTAGAATAGATCTTTGCATTAAGAAAGCAAGATTCACTTTAATGCTGCTTCTGAAAGTTGCTTCGTAGAGAGAGAGAATGGAATGAAACACATGGTACAGTCCTGTTTCATAATAGATTTCAAGGTACATTCTTTAAAGGTTATGTTAAAAGTTGATTGTCTTAAATCTTTATTTTATAAAGAGACTTTAAAATTTAAGTGATCATGACTTTTGCATATTTTATGTATATTACGGGAACATTTAACTAAAAACTTATGAAAGAATAAGAGATGTTCTAAATCACCAAGGCAGTTTTACGTGCTTTAGATTTTGCATTAATAGAGACACTTTAACCAAAGAGCATTTCATGTTTGTCTTTCCCTCACCTCCAGTTCTTCAATTTAATATGTGGTTACCCTCTTTTCAAGAGTTACAGTACCATTTTAAATTCCCATTAGCGTTGTAAAATGATCCAGTTTTTCCATATCCCGGTCAGCATTTAGGGTTATCACTGTCGTTTTATTTTAGTCATTTTGATAGGTGTATTAGTGACATCTCATTGTGGTTTTAATTTTCATTCCTTTAATAACTAATGATATTGAGTTTCTTTCATGTGCTTATTTGCCAGATCCTTGGTGAAATGTCTCTTCAAGTCTTTTTCCCATTTTCTGGTTAAATTGTTTCCTTGTTTTATTGTTGATTTTTGAAAATTCTTCATATATTCTAGATACTAGTTCTGATATGACATTGTAGCAATATCTATAACATGTCTTCTGCCATGCTACAAAAAGCATGTTATTACTTATCTTTATTGGTTAGAAATGAGAGGCTACATCAAATGATATTTCTGGTTCTAGATCTTTGAGGAATAGGCACACTGTCTTCCACAATGGTTGAACTAATTTACACTCTCACCGACAGTGTAAAAGCATTCCTATTTCTCCACATCCTTTCCAGCATCTGTTGTTTCCTGATTTTTTAATGATTGCCATTCTAACTGGTGTGAGATGGTACCTTATTATGGTTTTGATTTGCATTTTTCTAATGACTAGTGATGATGAGCTTTTTTTCATATGTTTATTATACCCAAAGGATTATAAATCACTCTACTATAAAGACACATGCACACATATGTTTATTGCAGCACTATTCACAATAGCAAAGACTTGGAACCAACCCAAATGCCCATCAATGATAGACTGGATAAAGAAAATGTGGTACATATACACCGTGGAATACTGCACAGCCATAAAAAAGGATGAGTTCATGTCCTTTGCAGGGACATGAATGAAGCTGGAAACCATTATTTTCAGCAAACTAACACAGGAACAGAAAACCAAACACCACATGTTCTCATTCATAAGTGAGAGCTGAACAATGAGAACACATGGACACAGAGAGGGGAACATCACACATCAGGGCCTGACCATGGGTCGGGGGCTAGGGGAAGGATAGCATTAGGAGAAATACCTAATGTAGATGGCGGGTTGATGGGTGCAGCAACCCACCATGGCACGTGTATACCTATGTAACCAACCTGGATGTTCTGCACATGTATCCCATAACTTAAAGTATAATTAAAAAAAGCAAAAATAAAACAAGAAATGAGAGGCTAGAAAAGGAGGCTCCAAAACTTAGATAATGGCTTTCATTCATAATGCTCTTTAAATGGCTTTGGTTTGGCAAAATAAAATGTAACTTATTTTATTTTATTTTTGTCTTCTGATTGCTACCAGGCACTCTTCGGTGCTGAAGGACATAGCAGCAAACAAGTTAAATTTTTTGTTTTTATGAAACTTATGTTCTAGAGAGAGAAGATATCAAAACAAATCAACAAATAAGTGCATAATGTTAGATGGAGATGTGCTATAAATAAAAACAAAGTGAGATGATGTGAACACAGAGTGAAAGTGACACTGTTTTATAGAGGGTGGCCAGGAGTGATGTTTCTGATAAGGTGATAATTGAGTGGTCCTGAAGGAGTGAGAGAATGAGTCATGTGGGCTTGGGAAGGAAGGACAGGACCTTGTTGCCAGGACCTTCTCTGTGCTGCTATCCTGCTTGAATTTGAGAAACAGCAAGGAGGTAAGCACTCGTACTTGTTATAATTCAGGGGAGAGTGGATGGTATTCTCAACTAGGACAGTGGTAGAGATGGAGTGAGAGGTAGCTAGCTTCTAAATATACATGGAAGGTGGATGGGACTTGCTGGTAGTTTGAGTACGTGGCATAAGTGAAGTTAGCAAGATGGAGACTATTGATGGACCTTGACAAGGGCAACTTCATTGGAGTGGAGGAGAGAAATTGGGGCTGTGAGGATAAACAGCTCTTGTAAGAAATTTAGCTATAAATAAGATCTTTTTACAAATGTAAGTCAATTTTTATTGCCATTTATGCAATTATCTATGTTGTTTTTCTTTGATGTCCAGTGATTTTTTAGTATATGCCAAATTCCCCTATTAAACATGCTAGAATTTAATTATTTCTATTTTAAAACATTAATCTATTTACAGATTCTTGGCTAGAACTACAGTTTTAATGGTTGTTTTATAATGTATTTTAATATGTGGTAAAGCAAGTTTCTTATCCTTTTCTTGTTACAAAGTTTCCTTTTATATTCTTTTACCCACTTATTCTTCCAGATGAAGTTTAGAAACATCAAGAGTATTTTTAAAAAGAAATTATTTTAAAATTTTGATTAAAAAATATTTCCATCCCAAACTCATTTTTAGAAAAAAAAAATCTTTGAAATATTCTTTTTTTAAATTTTATTATTATTATACTTTAAGTTTTAGGGTACATGTGCACAATGTGCAGGTTAGCTACGTATGTATACATGTGCCATGCTGGTGTGCTGCACCCATTAACTCGTCATTTAGCATTAGGTGTATCTCCTAATGCTATACCTCCCCCTTCCCCCCACCCCACAACAGTCCTCAGAGTGTGATGTTCCCCTTCCTGTGTCCATGTGTTCTCATTGTTCAATTCCCACCTATGAATGAGAATATGCGGTGTTTGGTTTTTTGTTCTTGCGATAGTTTACTAAGAATGATGATTTCCAATTTTATCCATGTCCCTACAAAGGTCATGAACTCATCATTTTTTATGGCTGCATAGCATTCCATGGTGTATATGTGCCACATTTTCTTAATCCAGTCTATCATTGTTGGACATTTGGGTTGGTTCCAAGTCTTTGCTATTGTGAATAGTGCTGCAATAAACATACGTGTGCATGTGTCTTTATAGCAGCATGATTTATAGTCCTTTGGGTATATACCCAGTAATGGGATGGCTGGGTCAAATGGTATTTCTAGTTCTAGATCCCTGAGGAATCGCCACACTGACTTCCAAAATGGTTGAACTAGTTTACAGTACCACCAACAGTGTCAAAGTGTTCCTATTTCTCCACATCCTCTCCAGCACCTGTTGTTTCCTGACTTTTTAATGATTGCCATTCTAACTGGTGTGAGATGGTATCTCATTGTGGTTTTGATTTGCATTTCTCTGATGGCCAGTGATGGTGAGCATTTTTTCATGTGTTTTTTAGCTGCATTAATGTCTTCTTTTGAGAAGTGTCTGTTCATGTCCTTCGCCCACTTTTTGATGGGGTTGTTTGTTTTCTTCTTGTAAATTTGTTTGAGTTCATTGTAGATTCTGGATATTAGCCCTTTGTCAGATGAGTAGGTTGTGAAAATTTTCTCCCATTTTGTAGGTTGCCTGTTCACTCTGATGGTAGTTTCTTTTGCTGTGCAGAAGCTCTTTAGTTTAATTAGATCCCATTTGTCAATTTTGGCTTTTGTTGACATTGCTTTTGGTGTTTTGGACATGAAGTCCTTGCCCATGCCTATGTCCTGAATGGTAATGCTAGGTTTTCTTCTAGGGTTTTTATGGTTTTAGGTCTAAGGTTTAAGTGTTTAATCCATCTTGAATTAATTTTTGTATAAGGTGTAAGGAAGGGATCCAGTTTCAGCTTTCTACATATGGCTAGCCAGTTTTCCTAGCACCATTTATTAAATAGAGAATCCTTTCCCCATTGCTTGTTTTTCTCAGGTTTGTCAAAGATCAGATATTTGTAGATATGCGGAGTTATTTCTGAGGGCTCTGTTCTGTTCCATTGATCTATATCTCTGTTTTGGTACCAGTACCATGCTTTTTTGGTTACTGTAGCCTTGTAGTATAGTTTGAAGTCAGGTAGCGTGATGCCTCCAGCTTTGTTCTTTTGGCTTAGGATTGACTTGGTGATGTGGGCTCTTTTTTGGTTCCATTCCACTTCTGTGAAGAAAGTCATTGGTAGCTTGATGGGGATGGCATTGAATCTATAAATTACCTTGGGCAGTATGGCCATTTTCACGATGTTGATTCTTCCTACCCATGAGCATGGAATGTTCTTCCATTTGTTTCTATCCTTTTTATTTCCTTGAGCAGTCATTTGTAGTTCTCCTTCAAGAGGTCCTTCACGTCCCTTGTAAGTTGGATTCCTAAGTATTTTATTCTCTTTGAAGCAATTGTGAATGGGAGTTCACTCATGATTTGGCTCTCTGTCTGTTCTTGGTGTATAAGAATGCTTGTGATTTTTGTACATTGATTTTGTATCCTAAGGCTTTGCTGAAGTTGCTTATCGGCTTAAGGAGATTTTGGGCTGAGACAATGGGGTTTTCTAGATATACAATCATGTCATCTGCAAACAGGGACAATTTGACTTCCTCTTTTCCTAATTGAATACCCTTTATTTCCTTCTCCTGCCTAATTGCCCTGGCCAGAACTTCCAACACTATGTTGAATAGGAGTGGTGAGAGAGGACATCCCTGTCTTGTGCCAGTTTTCAAAGGGAATGCTTCCAGTTTTTACCCATTCAGTATAATATTGGCTGTGGGTTTGTCATAGATAGCTCTTATTATTTTGAGATACATCCCATCAATACCTAATTTATTGAGAGTTTTTAGCATGAAGCGTTGTTGAATTTTGTCAAAGGCCTTTTCTGCATCTATTGAGATAATCATGTGGTTTTTGTCTTTGGTTCTGTTTCTATGCCGCATTCCATTTATTGATTTGTGTATATTGAACCAGCCTTGCATCCAGGGATGAAGCCCACTTGATCATGGTGGATAAGCTTTTTGATGTGCTGCTGGATTTGGTTTGCCAGTATTTTTTTGAGTATTTTATTTGAACATTTTTGCATCAATGTTCATCAAGGATATTGATCTAAAATTCTCTTTTTTGGTTGTGTCTCTGCCAGGCTTTGGTCTCAGGATGATGCTGGTCTCATGAAATGAGTTAGGGAGGATTCCCTGTTTTTCTATTGATTGGAATAGTTTCAGAAGGAATGGTACCAGTTCTTCCTTGTACCTCTGGTAGAATTCGGCTGTGAATCCATCTGGTCCTGGACTCTTTTTGATTGGTAAGCTATTGATTATTGCCACAATTTCAGAGCCTGTTATTGGTCTATTCAGAGATTCAACTTCTTCCTGGTTTAGTCTTGGGAGGGTGTATGTGTCGAGGAATTTATCCATTTCTTCTAGATTTTCTAGTTTATTTGCGTAGAGGTGTTTGTAGTATTCTCTGATGGTAGTTTGTATTTCTGTGAGATCGGTGGTGATATCCCCAGCTGTGCACTCTGTATATGAAAAACCGTGAAAATGTACTTACTAAATGACCAAAGAGGTCTTAATGAGTAGAAATAGAAAGCACAAATTTGAATATAAGAATTGAATATTTTTATTTTAATAAAAAATAAAAATATTTTTAATAAATTTAAATAATTTTTAAAAAATTTAATAAAAAATAAAAATATTTTTAATAAATTTAAAAATTTAATAAAAAATAAAAATATTTTTAATAAATTTAAAAATTTAATAAAAAATAAAAATATTTTTAATAAATTTAAAATTTTAAAAAATTTTTAATAAATAATATTCAATTCTTATATTCAAATTTGTGCTTTCTATTTCTACTTATTATGACCTCTTTGGTCACTTAGTAAGTACACTTTCACAGTCTTTCATATACAGAGTGCACAGCTGTTTTAAATTTTTTGCTGTGTTTGTTTCTTTTGTTAATAGTATTTTAGAGTATATGTTCTAACTGGTAACTGCCTAAACTCAGAAAGGTTATTGATGTTTGCTACTGATTTTTAATCTGGCCAAATTATTGAATTCTTTTGTTTTAATATTCTTATAGGAGATTCTATTGGCTACCCTATGTGGACAACATTACCTGCAAACAGCAATATTTTTCTTTGTCCCTTGAAGTAGTTTTACCACTTAATTTTATTTTCTTCCTAATTACATTGCCTATAAATTATTGTTGTTGTCATATAAATCTGTTTTAGAAACATATAGTTTTCAATGTCCACATCTATACACTCGATTGATTTCATGGCTCAACTCTAATTCTTGAAAACTATATTTTTAAAGATTTTGGTTTTGATCCAGAAGTACCTCAGGTAAATATTTGACTTTTGACTATTTCTGTATATTTGTTGTTTTTTAAAGAAAAAGATAAATTTTGGAGATCTACATATCTGAGATTGACTGACGTTTTTATTTGCTCTCACAGATGAATGGCTACTAGGCTAATTATAAAATTCTTACTGTGGTTAATTCTACATTATATATGTATGCAGGATTATCAAATGTAGAGTTGTAATGTAACTAAAAATATTATGTTTCCCACGGGCATTTTTTTCTGTCTGGTAGGAATACTGGGGGAAATACAAATTAAAGAACCAGATCACTGATTTCTAGGAATAAGTCCCAGGAAGTGGTGTTCAAACTTTGCAGGCAGTTTTAAAATATATGAGCCCAAATGCATGGTGGTGCATGCCTGTAATCCCAGCTACTCAGGAAGCTGAGGCAGAAGAATTGCTTGAACCCGGGAGACGGGTGTTGCGGTGAGCCGAAATTGCACCATTGCACTCCAGTCTGAGCAACAAGAGCCAAACTCTGTCTCAAAAAAAAAAAAAAAAAAAGGCCCATTTTACAACATTTATCTCTCATTCATTTTGAGTTAATTTTTAAATTGCATATAAAATACCCATCCAGATTTATTTTTTCATTTGGATGTTCAGTTGTTCTTTTATTATTTGCTGAAAAGACTAACCGCTCTCCTTTGAATTGTCCTTGTCCTATGCATTTTATAGATTGTTTTGAATGGAATTTCCCTTCTATTTTTAAGTTGTTTTTTATTAATATGTAGAAAAGTATATATTTTGTATTAGACCATTTTGATGAACTTCCTTATTAGTCCTAAAATATTTTTACCTGTTTCTTTTAAATTTTTGAGGAAAATGGTAATGTGGTATTTAAATTATAGTAGTCTTTTTCTTTTCAATATTGACGCCTCCTATTTTATTCCTTCACTTATTGCGTTGGCTAGCTAAATCAAAATGGTGATTTCAGGAATCACTAACTTAGGGAATTTGATGAACTACTTCACATAGTTCACATTTACTGGTTTGTCCGATTCCTGTTGAATATAATTTATAAGGTTATTGAAGTGTTCTTCTAATCCTGGTTTGCTTAGAGTTTTAATTGGGGTTTTTTTCATTTATCTATTTATTGAATAATAAACTTATGTTGAACTTTTTAAGTTTTGAATAAACATAACTCATTCAAAATAATCTTTTAATATACTACTTAATTTAATGTTTAATATTTTATTTTTAGTTTTTACATCTATATTCATAGGTGATATAGATATTTGATTTTTGTATTGGTTATCCTAACTTCCTGAAATGTGTTGGGAAATTTTCCTCTATTTTTGCTTTTGCTGGTTTTATTTTTTCACCTAAATTTATTCTGTCTTGCACTATTTATTGAAGTGATTTTGCAGGAGGATCTCTAGGTCAGCATTTTTATTAGAAGCATTCATGTTGTTGTATATAACTGTGCTAAATTTGTTTTCATCACTGCATAAAATTTGATTGTGTGAATACACAGCAATTTGTAGACATCTTCTCCTCTTGATAGACATTCAGATTAATTTCAATTCGGAACTGTGATAGTTCAGAGCTATTTCTGTTCTGGGCTATTGCAAATAATGTTTCCATAACATTCTTTTGCATGTATTGTGGTTTACATACGCAAGAGTTCCTCCAAGGTACACACACATACTCTACAAGTGAAGTAGCTGGTTTGCAGAATATGCAAACCTTCCAGCTTTCCAGATAACTCCAAAATGTTTTCAAAACGACTCTACTAATTTATATTATCACCAGCAGATATGAGTTTCTGTTGTCAACATTCTTGTCCCAACTTATTTTGTTGAGACTTTCCTTTTTACCAATCTACTAGGTAAGTGGTAATATCTGATTTTAATTTTCTTAATAGGATTATCAGTGCTATTGAGAATTTTTTGGTATGTTTTGTTATCCTTATTTCTTAAAGGATCATAGATTTGCCATGCATTAGCTTTTCATCCCTGTAGAAAGGATAAAAAGAGCATAAATTTAGAAAATTGACAAGTTTGGTTTCAGATCCTGACACTGATTTTTATTAAAAAGAACGACTTACTGTTTTCTATGAGGTTATGAGAGCAAAATTATTCAGAGTGAAAAAAAAGACACAAAGGAGTACAATCTGTGTAGTCTCATTTACATTATGCTGTAGGAAAGCTGAATTTAGCTTTGGGGATTTTTTGGAGGATTAATGTGTATAATGTATATAATGACATCAAGCACAAAACCTGATCCATATTAGAAGCTGAATACATGTCCCTCTACCTCCTTTGCTTTCTTTTTCTTTGGTTGCTGTGTATGACAAATATCAGACACCTGTATAGTTAATATCTGACATCTGTGCAGTTAATATCTGTTATCTGTGTAGTTAATATCTATCACTGCTTGCTATCTGCGTGACACAAAAAAAAGTAGACTTAATTTACATGTGCTATTGTTTTATGTGGATTTTAAAAACTTTAGGTTGATTTTGAACAAGGAAACATCTTTGGAAACAGGATGTCTCTTATTACTAATTACATATCTGGAGAAATACGATTTCACATTAAATATATAGTCCTGATTTTTAAATAATTTATTTACATTGTGGTTCCTTGGGATTAATTATACAAAGCTGGGCCAACCCAGTCATTCAACTACTTTCTACTTATAATGAGACAAAAATTCCTATCAACTTTCCAATTTTTCTGATTTTTAGGGACAGGGTACTATGATTTATGAATATCCCTAGTCATGCCTATGTCAGTTAAACACACATACCCATATGACACAGAAAGCTTAGGTTGTTTGTTAGAGAACAAAATTAATAAATCCAAAAGCTGGAAATATCCTCTTGCTTGTTTTCATTTCTTATGCATAAATTACAAACAAAACCTAACACCTTTGGAATGTTATACCACTAATGGAAATATCTTTGGGGAACAAGAAACATCAAATCATATAAAGGTGCTTCTGAGAAACATCAAATCATATAAAGGTGCTTCTGAAAATCAGCATTCATTTTGAGATTTAAGGCACATTTTTTAAAGCTAAATAATACTTATAATTATTAAGTTAAGTTTGGTCAGATATATAAATCATGCTGTTTATTAAATTATAAATATAGAGAGCTTATTTTGAATTTCTCACTTCAGGAAATCATTTTCACTGTGTTATAAATAAGAACTCAGAAATTGGGGTGTGTCCACACACCTCTGTCATTACTAAAGGAAAACTGAAACTACATTCCCTATCTATTAAGAAAAATGTTGGTCTGATAGAGGAAAATAGTCCATGTTACTAAAACTAATTTCAAAATAACTCAAGGTCTTTACTGTTATTTCCTGGAGAAGACAGGACCCAGCAACACTAATTCAAGTACCCACTCTTCTCTACCTGTCCAATGCCCTACTTGATCTTCTCCATTCAGATTCTGTCTCCAGCTCTAAGACTCCTCAGTCCTCATTCCTCTACCTTCTTTGTTTTATGCACTTCTGTTCACACTTTCATGTACTTCCCTTCACACATTTGTGATCTTTTATTCCAAAAGTCAAAGAACATGTCTGGAAAGGCAGAATGATTTTGGAAGTATGAGAGGATAGGACAATCTAATCGAGTTATATTAAATTCTCATGCTAAGAATGTAATACAACACACTATACACATACACACACACACACACACACTCACAAGAAATCTGCCATTTATTGAGTACTTGCTGTTTGCCAGATGCTGTGGGGACCTGTTAGCATCTTCTGTGTCATCTCATCCTCATGGCAACCTTGTAAGGTAGGTGTATTAGTCTGTTTTCACACTGCTGATAAAGACATACCCTGAGACTGGGTAATTTATAAAGAAAAGAGGTCTAATTGACTCACAGTTCCACATGGCTGGGGAGGCCTCGCAATCATGGTGGAAGGCAAGGAGGGGCAAGTCACAGATTACCTGGTGGCAGGTAAGAGAGAACTTGGCAGGGAAACTCCTCTTTATAAAACCATCAGATCTCATGAGACTTATTCATTATCTGGAGAACAGCATGGGAAAGACCTGCCCCTATGATTCAATTACCTCCCACTGGGTTCCTCCCACAACATGTGGGAATTGTGGGAGCTACAATTCAAGATGAGATTTGGGTGGAGACACAGCCAAACCATAAGAATAGGTAATATTTCCATTTCATGGAGGAAGAAACACCCACAGAGATGTTTCTGAATTGCTGTGGAACAGAAAAAACTAGTTAGTACTCAAGCTGTGTGACTCTCAAGTCCATATTCTGAGCCACTCTGCTCTGCTTCTTTTCTAATGAAATGCTATGTAAATATGAACCTTTACATTTTGAAAGCATTCTCACCTTAGTACAAATAATTGTAAGAAAGGTAAGATACATTCCTTTAAAGGTTAATCTGATTCTTGAAAAGAGTCAAACCTTGTTGGAGCCAAGATTATGTAATTAGGTAGTCACCACACTGGGTGCTATAGTTTGGGGTAAGAAGGAAGATATGGATTCAAAATAATGAGACAGAATTTCCATGTATTTATAAAATTGAGTCAGTAAGTACTCTAAGTCATGGTGCAGTTGATCCCTTTCTTGGGAGTCATTAAAACAATAGTTCAAATCTAGATTCGAGAGTACACATATCAATAGCACATACAGTTGTTTTTTTATAGGTAATGAAAAATTATGACATTAAAGGTGATTATTCTTGCAATGTTCTTAGCAGAGTATTAAAGTACTAAGAATATAGTGAACACTCCACACATGCTATCTGCTGATATTAATGCTAATTATGACAAATTAATTCATCTGCAGTCATCAATTATGTGTGCTGTATTTGCTACTGAAAAATAATTGGAAGGCAACATTGACTATTTTTAACAAGAAAACTAACGGTAAAAATAAATTAAAATGAATAAAGTAAATGGCTGTAATGAACCCAAAATGTGAAAGCCAGTGAACTTCTCAAATTACAATTACAGGAGAAAATAATAGTGTAGAAACTAGAACTACTCAGTCATATATGAGCGTACAACTATGAATAGACCTAGAGCAACTTCTTTTTGTGTCTGAAAATGGAAGGAGGTTTATCTTCCAGACAGCAACTGGGTATCATTGGCTAAAAAACAAAACAAACAAACAAACAAACAACCTTTTTTCTAAAGTGATAGGTGATTAAGAAGGATAAAAGGATTAATAAATTTTAAAGGGGAGAGAAAATATTAAATAGATATGGTTATTAGAGTTGGATAGGTTAAATATAGATGAGCTAATAGGGTCTTAATGAATCCATATTTTCCCTTAATTGGAAAATTAACAATGTTGGCCAAATGAAATGGGTGATGTTTAGAAATAATCTTTCAGAATTGCTTCAGAAGTGTTAAATCACTGGGGAAAATTTTTCCTGAGATATGTGTACACACATAGACGCACACATACACACACACACACCCCTCTATGGCAGGCCTGGAAGGTATTTTCTTCTGCCCTTGGCTCATACTCTTTTGTGGTGATAGTGTCTAGGTCAGGCATTCTCACCCTTCAGGGTGCATTAGAATCCCCTAGAGAGTTAGATGAAACAGATTTCTGAAACTTACCCTCAGAGATCCTGATTCAGTGGGGCTGGGATAGGGCCTAAGAATTGCATTTCTAACTAGTTCCCTCATGATGGTGATGCCACTGGTCTTGGGATTAAGCATTGGAACCTACTGATTTGGAGTCCTAAATGCGTTGGCTCTGGTACATCAACACTTCTGCAGAATTTAACTGGGTTTGCTATCTTGCTCCAACAGTCTATAATAGCATAGTTTTGGAACATCCCATAACGTTTGTGCTGTAATTTAATATTCCTATTGTGTATGACAGACAAGTGAATTGGGGATATTTTTGCATTTATTTTACCTCTCAATTTGAGCACAAAGAAGTAAGATGGTGTCAGTCAAAACACTTCTACTTGTCAAATTATTTTTTAAGAGCTCACAAGTCTATAAAAGAAAAATAACAACCTTGGAAAGGTAAGCTTTTTGCTCAATAAATAAACATTGAGTTTTTCCACTATATTTTTATAGTGTATTTACATTTTGATTCTTTGGAGTTATCTCAATGACAGCTCAGGAGTGAAGACAGTATGAATGCCCCTTTGAAGCAAAATATTCGCTGTTATTAACAGAAGACAAGAGTTACCATATTAAAAACAGAGATTGGGATGCAAAGACTAAAGCAATGCATCTAACAAAATAGATGCATGTTACACAGAATAGCTTCTGGCTACCTAATCAGCATCCTCCTCTGTTTCAGCTTATTTCTTTTCTATACATATATATATATATAGAAATATATATATGTATATTTTATTATCCTTTAAGTTCTAGGGTACATGTGCACAACGTGCAGGTTTGTTACATATGTATACATCTGCCATGTTTGTGTGCTGCACACATTAATGCATCATTCATATTAGGTATACCTCCTAATGCTATCCCTCCCCCTCCCCCCACCCCATGACAGGCCCCGGTGTGTGATGTTCCCCTTCCTGTGTCCAAGTGTTCTCAGTGTTCAATTCCCACCTATGAGTGAGAACATGCGGTGTTTGGTTTTTTGTCCTTGCGATAGTTTGCTCAGAATGATGGTTTCCAGCTTCATCCATGTCCCTGCAAAGGACACTAACTCACCATTTTTTATGGCTGCATAGTATTCCATGGTACATATGTGCCACATTTTCTTAATCCAGCCCATCATTGATGGACATTTGGGTTGCTTCCAAGCGTTTGCTATTGTGAATAGGGCCTAAATAAACATACGTGTGCATGTGTCTTTATAGAAGCATGATTTATAATCCTTTGGGTATATACCCACTAATGGGTTGGCTGGGTCAAATGGTATTTCTAGTTCTAGATCCTTGAGGAATCGCCACACTGACTTCCACAATGGTTGAACTAGTTTACAGTCCCACCAACAGTATCAAAGTGTTCCTATTTCTCCACATCCTCTCCAGCACCTGTTGTTTCCTGACTTTTTAATGATCGCCATTCTAACTGGTGTGAGATGATATTTTATTGTGGTTTTGATTTGCACTTCTCTGATAGCCAGTGATGATGAGCATTTTTTCATGTGTCTGTTGGCTGCACAAATGTCCTCTTTTGAGAAGTGTCTGTTCATATACTTTGCCCACTTTTTGATGGGGTTGTTTTTTTCTTGTAAATTTGTTTGAGTTCTTTTTAGATTCTGGATATTAGCCCTTTGTCAGATGAGTAGATTGCAAAAATTTTCTCCCATTCTGTAGGTTGCCTGTTCACTCTGATGGTAGTTTCTTTTACTGTGCAGAAGCTCTTTAGTTTAATTAGATACCATTTGTCAGTTTTGGCTTTTGTTGCCATTGCTTTTGGTGTTTTAGACATGAAGTCCTTGCCCATGCCTATGTCCTGAACGGTGTTGCCTAGGTTTTCTTCTAGGATTTTTATGGTTTTAGGTCTAACATGTACGTCTTTAATTCATCTTGAATTAATTTTTGTATAAGGTGTAAGGAAGGGATCCAGTTTCAGCTTTCTACTTATGGCTAGCCAGTTTTCCCAGCACCATTTATTTATTAAATAGAGAATGCTTTCCCCATTTCTTGTTTTTGTCAGGTTTGTCAAAGATTAGATAGTTGTAGATGTGTGGTATTATTTCTGAGGGCTCTGTTCTGTTCCATTGGTCTATATCTGTGTTGTGGCACCAGTACCATGCTGTTTTGTTTACTGTAGCCTTGTAGTATAGTTTGAAGTCAGGTAGTGTGATGCCTCCAGCTTTGTTCTTTTGGCTTAGCATTGACTTGGCGATGTGGGCTCTTTTTTGGTTTCATATGAACTTTAAAGTAGTTGTTTCCAATTCTGTGAAGAAAGTCATTGGTAGCTTGATGGGGATGGCATTGAATCTATAAATTACCTTGGGCAGTATGGCCATTTTCATGATATTGATTCTTCCTATCCATGAGCATGGAATGTTCTTCCATTTGTTTGTGTCCTCTTTTATTTCATTAAGCAGTGGTTTGTAGTTCTGCTTGAAGAGGTCCTTCACATGCCTTGTAAGTAAGTTGGTAGTTTATTCTCTTAGGTATTTTATTCTCTTTGAAGCAATGGTGAATGGGAGTTCACTCATGATTTGGCTCTCTGTTTGTCTGTTATTGGTGTATAAGAATGCTTGTGATTTTTGCACATTGATTTTGTATCCTGAGGCTTTGCTGAAGTTGCTTATCAGCTTAAGGAGATCTAGGGCTGACATGATGGGGTTTTCTAAATATACAATCATCAAGTCATCTGCAAACAGGGACAATTTTACTTCCTCTTTTCCTAATTGAATACCCTTTATTTCTTTCTCCTGCCTGATTGCCCTGGCCAGAACTTCCAACACTATGTTGAATTGGAGTGGTGAAAGAGGGCATCCCTGTCTTGTGCCAGTTTTCAAAGGGAGTGCTTCCCGTTTTTGCCCATTCAGTATGATATTGGCCATGGGTTTGTAATAAATAGTTCTTATTATTTTTTGATATGTCCCATCAATACCTAATTTATTGAGAGTTTTTAGCATGAAGGGCTGTTGAATTTTGTGGAAGGCCTTTTCTGCATCTATTGAGATAATCATGTGGTTTTTGTCTTTGGTTCTGTTTCTGTGCTGGATTACATTTATTGATTTGTGTATGTTGAACCAGCCTTGCATCCCAGGGATGAAGCCCACTTGATCATGGTGGATAAGCTTTTTGATGTGCTGCTGGATTCGGTTTGCCAGTATTTTATTGAGGATTTTTGCATTGATGTTCATCAGGGATATTGGTTTAAAATTCTCTTTTTTGGTTGTGTATCTGCCAGACTTTGATGCTGGCCTCATAAAATTAGTTAGGGAGGATTCCCTCTTTTTCTATTGATTAGAATAGTTTCAGAAGGAATGGTACCAGCTCCTCCTTGTACCTCTGGTAGAATTCGGCTGTGAATCCATCTGGTCCTGGACTTTTTTTGGTTGGTAAGCTATTAATTATCGCCTCAATTTCAGAGCCTGTTATTGGTCTATTAAGAGATTCAACTTCTTCCTGGTTTAGTCTTGGGAGAGTGTATGTGTCCAGGAATTTATCCATTTCTTCTGGATTTTCTAGTTTATTTGCATAGAGGTGTTTATAGTATTCTCTGATGGTAGTTTGTATTTCTGTAGGATCAGTGGTGATATCCCCTTTATCATTTTTTTATTGCATCTATTTGATCCTTCTCTCTTTTCTTCTTTATTAGTCTTGCTAGCAGTCTATCAATTTTGTTGATCTTTTCAAAAAACTAGCTCCTGGATTCATTGATTTTTTGAAGGGTTTTTTGTGTCTCTATCTATCTCCTTCAGTTCTGCTCTGATCTGTTATTTCTTGCCTTCTGCTAGCTTTTGAATGTGTTTGCTCTTGCTTCTGTAGTTCTTTTAATTGTGATGTTAGGGTGTCAACTTTAGATCTTTCCTGCTTTCTCTTGTGGGCATTTAGTGCTATAAATTTCCCTCTACACACTGCTTTGAATGTGTCCCAGAGATTCTGGTATGTTTTGTCTTTTTTCTCGTTGGTTTCAAAGAACAACTTCATTTCTGCCTTCATTTCGTTGTGTACCCAGTAGTCATTCAGGAGCAGGTTGTTCAGTTGCCATGTAGTTGAGAGGTTTTGAGTGAGTTTCTTAATCCCGAGTTCTAGTTTGATTGCACTGTTGTCTGAGAGACTGTTGTAATTTCTGTTCTACATTTGCTGAGGAGTGCTTTATTTCCAACTATGTGGTCAGTTTTGGAATAGGTGCGGTGTGGTGCTGAGAAGAATGTATATTCTGTTGATTTGGGGTGGAGAGTTCTGTAGATGACTATTAGGTCTGCTTGGTGCAGAGCTGAATTCAATTCCTGGATATCCTTGTTAACTTTCTGTCTCATTGATCTGTCTAATGTTGACAGTGGGGTGTTAAAGTCTCCCATTATTATTGTGTGGGAGTCTAAGTCTCTTTGTAGGTCTCTAAGGACTTGCTTTATGAATCTGGGTGCTCCTGTATTGGGTGCATATATATTTAGGATAGTTAGTTCTTCTTGTTGAATTGATCCCTTTACCATTATGTAATGGCCTTCTTTGTCTCTTTTGATCTTTGTTGGTTGAAAGTCTGTTATATCACAGACTAGTATTGCAACCCCTGCCTTTTTTTGCTTTCCATTTGCTTGGTAGATCTTCATCCATCCCTTTATTTTGAGCCTATGTGTGTCTCTGCACATGAGATGGGTCTCCTGAATATAGCACACTGATGGGTCTTGACTCTTTATCCAATTTGCCAGTCTGTGTCTTTTAATTGGAGTATTTAGCCCATTTACATTTAAGATTAATATTGTTATGTGTGAATTTGATCCTGTCATTATGATGTTAGCTGGTTATTTTGCTCGTTAGTTGATGCAGTTTCTTCCTAGCATCGATGGTCTTTACAATTTGGCATGTTTTTGCAGGGGCTGGTACTGGTTGTGCCTTTCCATGTTTAGTGCTTCCTTCAGTAGCTCTTGTAGGGCAGGTCTAGTGGTGACAAAATCTCTCAGCATTTGCTTGTCTGTAAAGGATTTTATTTCTCCTTCACTTATGAAGCTTACGTTGGCTGGATATGAAATTCTGGGTTGAAAATTCTTTTCTTTAAGAATGTTGAATATTGGCCCCCACTCTCTTCTGGCTTGTAGAGTTTCTGCTGAGAGATCCATTGTTAGTCTGATGGGCTTCCCTTTGTGGGTAACCCGACCTTTCTCTCTGGCTGCCCTTAACATTTTTTCCTTCATTTCAACTTTGGTGAATCTGACAATTATGTGTCTTGGAGTTGCTCTTCTCGAGGAGTATCTTTGTGGCATTCTCTTCTCTGTATTTCCTGAATTTGAATTTTGGCCTGCCTTGCTAGGTTGGGGAAGTTCTCCTGGATAATATCCTACAGAGTGTTTTCCAACTTGGTTCCATTCTCCCCATGACTTTCAGGTATGGCAATCAGACGTAGATTTGGTCTTTTCACATAGTCCCATATTTCTTGGAAGCTTTGTTCATTTCTTTTTACTCTTTTTTCTCTAAACTTCTCTTCTCACTTCATTTCATTCATTTGATCTTCAATCACTGATACCCTCTCTGTCTTCTAGTTGATCAAATCGGCTACTGAAGTTTGTGCATTCATCACGTGGTTCTCGTGCCATGGTTTTCAGCTCCATCCGTTCATTTAAGGACTTCTCTACACTGCTTATTCTAGTTAGCCATTCGTCTAATCTTTTTTCAAGGTTTTTAGCTTCTTTGCAAAGGGTTCGTACTTCCTCCTTTAGCTCAGAGAACTTTGATCATCTGAAGCCTTCTTCTCTCAACTCGTCAAAGTCATTCTCCATCCAGCTTTGTTCCATTGCTGGCAAGGAGCTGTGTTCCTTTGGAGGGGAAGAGGTGCTCTGATTTTTAGAATTTTCAGCTTTTCTGCTCTGTTTTTTCCCCATCTTTGAGGTTTTATCTACCTTTGGACGTCGATGATGGTGATGTACAGATGGGGTTTTGGTGTGGATGTCCTTTCTGTTTGTTAGTTTTCCTACTAACAGTCAGGACCCTCAGCTGCAGGTCTGTTGGAGTATGCTGGAAGTCCACTCCAGTCGCTGTTTGCCTGGGTATCAGCAGCAGAGGCCATTCCTTCTGAAACTATTCCAAACAATAGAAGAGGAGGGAATCCTCCCTAACTCATTTTATGAAGCCAGCATCATCCTGATACCAAAGTCTGGCAGAAACACAACCAAAAAAGAGAATTTTAGACCAATATCCCTGATGAACATCAATGCAAAAATCCTCAATAAAATACTGGCAAACCGAATCCAGCAGCACATCAAAAATCTTATCCACCATGATCAAGTGGGCTTCATCCCTGGCATACAAGTCTGGTTCAACATACACAAATCAATAAACGTAATCCAGCACAGAAACAGAACCAAAGACAAAAACCACATGATTATCTCAATAGATGCAGAAAAGGCCTTCCACAAAATTCAACAGCCCTTCATGCTAAAAACTCTCAATAAATTAGGTATTGATGGGACATATCAAAAAATAACAAGAGCTATTTATTACAAACCCACGGCCAATATCATACTGAATGGGCAAAAACTGGAAGCATTCCCTTTGAAAACTGGCACAAGACAGGGATGTCCTCTCGCACCACTCCAGTTCAACATAGTGTTGGAAGTTCTGGCCAGGGCAATCAGGCAGGAGAAAGAAATAAAGGGTATTCAATTAGGAAAAGAGGAAGTAAAATTGTCCCTGTTTGCAGATGACATGATGATTGTATATTTAGAAAACCCCATTGTGTCAGCCCTAGATCTCCTTAAGCTGATAAGCAACTTCAGCAAAGCCTCAGGATACAAAATCAATGTGCAAAAATCACAAGCATTCTTATACACCAATAACAGACAAACAGAGAGCCAAATCATGAGTGAACTCCCATTCACAATTGCTTCAAAGAGAATAAAATACCTAGGAATCCAACTTACAAGGCATGTGAAGGACCTCTTCAAGCAGAACTACAAACCACTGCTTAATGAAATAAAAAAGGACACAAACAAATGGAAGAACATTCCATGCTCATGGATAGGAAGAATCAATATTGTGAAAATGGCCATACTGCCCAAGGTAATTTATAGATTCAATGCCATCCCCATCAAGCTACCAATGACTTTCTTCACAGAATTGGAAAAAACTACTTTAAAGTTCATATGGAACCAAAAAAGAGCCCGCATCACCAAGTCAATGCTAAGCCAAAAGAACAAAGCTGGAGGCATCACACTACCTGACTTCAAACTATACTACAAGGCTACAGTAACCAAAACAGCATGGTACTGGTGCCACAACACAGATATAGACCAATGGAACAGAACAGAGCCCTCAGAAATAATACCACACATCTACAACTATCTGATCTTTGACAAACCTGACAAAAACAAGAAATGGGGAAAGCATTCCCTATTTAATAAATGATGCTGGGAAACTGGCTAGCCATATGTAGAAAGCTGAAACTGGATCCCTTCCTTACACCTTATACAAAAATTAATTCAAGATGGATTAAAGACTTAAATGTTAGAACTAAAACCATAAAAATCCTAGAAGAAAATCTAGGCAATACCATTCAGGACATAGGCATGGGCAAGGACTTCATGTCTAAAACACCAAAAGCAATGGCAACAAAAGCCAAAACTGACAAATGGTATCTAATTAAACTAAAGAGCTTCTGCACAGTAAAAGAAACTACCATCAGAGTGAACAGGCAACCTACAGAATGGGAGAAAATTTTTGCAATCTACTCATCTGACAAAGGGCTAATATCCAGAATCTAAAAAGAACTCAAATTTACAAGAAAAAAAACAACCCCATCAAAAAGTGGGCAAAGTATATGAAGAGATACTTCTCAAAAGAAGACATTTATGGGGAGTGGGTGCAGTGGCTCATGCCCGTAATCCCAGCACTTTGGGAGGCTGAGGCGGGTGGATCACGAGGTCAGGAGATCGAGACCATCCTGGCTAACATGGTGAAACCCCGTCTCTAATAAAAAATACAAAAAAATCAGCTGGGTGTGGTAGCAGGTACCTGTAGTCCCACCTGCTTGGGAGGCTGAGGTGGGAGAATGGCGTGAACCCAGGAAGTGGAAATTGCAGTGAGTCAAGATCACACCACTGCACTCCAGCCTGGGCGACAGAGCGAGACTGTCTCAAAAAACAAAAAAAAACATTTATGCAGCCAACAGACACATGAAAAAATGCTCATCATCACTGGCCATCAGAGAAATGCAAATAAAAACCACAATGAGATACCATCTCACACCAGTTAGAACGGCAATCATTAAAAAGTCAGGAAACAACAGGTGCTGGAGAGGATGTGGAGAAATAGGAACACTTTTACACTGTTAGTGGGACCGTAAACTAGTTCAACCATTGTGGAAGACAGTGTGGCAATTCCTCAAGGATCTAGAACTAGAAATACCATTTGACCCAGCCATCCCATTACTGGGTATATACCCAAAGGATTATAAATCATGCTGCTATAAAGACACATGCACACGTATGTTTATTGCGGCACTATTCACAATAGCAAAGACTTGAAACCAAGCCAAATGTCCAACAATGATAGATTGGATCAAGAAAATGTGGCACATATACACCATGGAATACTATGCAGCCATAAAAAATGATGAGTTCATGTCCTTTGTAGGGACATGGATGAAGCTGGAAACCATCAATTTCAGCAACCTATCGCAAGGAAAAAAAACCAAACACCGCATGTTCTCACTCATAGATGGGAATTGAACAATGAGAACACATGGGCACAGGAAGGGGAACATCACACTCTGGGGCCTGTTGTGGGGTGAGGGGAGGGTGGAGGGATAGCATTAGGAGATATACCTAAGGTAAATGACGAGTTAATGGGTGCAGCTCACCAACATGGCACATGTATATGTATGTAACAAACCTGAATGTTGTGCACATGTACCCTAGAACTTAAAGTATAATAAAAAAAATAAAGAAAAGCAAGTGAAATACTAGGTGGTATGGAAGCATCAAATATCAAAGCCAATCTCTTTTATCAGAAAAAGAGAAAAATGTCTGACATCACAGTCATCACTGGCCCTTGATGCTTCTGCCACTGGACGCATGTCTGCTGCTATCACCAGCGCATTATAATTACTCATTTGCCTCGCCACCCAGGAAGAAGCCAACTTCAGGACATTAAGCTACCATAAGAAAAGAAACAGGAGGATTCTCTTCTTTTGGATCGTATGGTACAGGTAGGACATTTCCTCTGTATCAGTCAAAATTTGATCAGAAAAAGAGACCTCATTCTAAGTGTTTCACCAGGAAGAGATTTAATAAAAAGAACTAGGGGCTTATGAAACAACTGAAAGAGCTTCTAGCATGCAGATTTTTGCTAGTGTTCAAATACTCTGGATGTAACTAATGCTGCTTTAGTCAAACATGTTAGAAGGATATTTATTACCAATGACAACATTTGCCTGTCAGCACCTAAGTAGGTGATTTGTATGAGAATTCCCAGCTACTGCTGCAAATCTTCATGTTGGGCAAATGCTTTGAGTTCACTTGCCAATGCTGAATGCTTCCTGTCCACTTTCCAGATGCCGTGTGAATGCCTAATGAGTGGGATCTGAACACAACTCTGCTAATAAGGAAGTCTCCAAAATGTAGTTCCTAGCTGTCCAGTTCCTGTGATTCTTGAACAGTTGTTGAAGAGGATGAGTATATTGTTGAATGCCAACACATAGTTCTGTTTTCCTTCACAGAGACAATATACATGGGGAATCATCCCCAAATAGAAAGATGAGTTGCATGCTGAACCAAAAGATTACAGCAGTGTACATAACAATGTAACACTCAAAAGTTCTTTATATAATATGTGTTTCTAAACAGATGAAAGCATCCAATAAAAATTGATTTTTAAACCACCAGTAAATCTCTCTAAGTCATTTTCAAACATGATCTTACGGTCTATGTACCATGACTTTATATATGTAATGTTTTCTTCTAATATGATTGCTATGTGCTAGTGTAATTAGGGAAAAACAATAGCAAAACTAGGTGATAGATAGATAGGTAGATAGAGATGATTGATAGATACATAGAGGGTCTCTCCTCTTCTATCCACTACATACAAAAAATCGCCCTTGGATCTTTGACTAGATCATCAAATGGTCTTCTATATTCACTATATTTTACCAGAAAGAAGCTATTCATTTCATGGTTTTTTTTTTAAATCCAGTATAGTTGTATTATTTTAAACTCACTTTAGAGTGTATTCGAGTTCACCTTTCTGTGCAAGAAAGACCACTCAAGACAACCACAGCTTTTCATTGATCCATTCAGAAAACACAGCCAATCTGAGGAATCCAAATTGCCTTAATCTTACTTCACTGTAAGCAACTTGTGAGGTTTGAAAGCCACCTTAATCATCCTTCTTTCACCAACATAGATCCGAGCATATAGTAGGCACTTGATATTTGGTGAATGAATGAGTGATAGAAGACTAGCTATAACCAGGACTTTATCCTTGATTGATCTGATTTTATCATGTGATATAATTTCAGCTATGAAAACATGTGACAAGTGACATAAATCCAGATTTTTTAAAATATTAATGTCATTTCAAATGTTTGTTTCAGTAACTTTCTATTATATGTTAATTTTTCTTAATTTTTAAACAATGTAAATCATTCCTTTTATCTCTATTCTTTGCAAATGTTCTGCTACTTTGGCAATCACCCTATATGATGAATTGCCAGAACTCAGACTCAAATTACTTCTCAAACTATCTAGTATTTAATCTGAACATCCAAGAAGACATTTATTACTTTGGAGTGAGTCATTTTCAAGATGAAACTCTTTGGTTTCTTACCAGCTTCTATGACATAAGCAAGTCATTATCAATTTAATAAAATGTAAAATAAAACTAAAAATTAAAAGAATATTTTTCTTTAATTCCTCCAAAGTCAGTTTTATAATACAGATGACTGATGGTCTGACTCTTTTGCTTAACAATTATCAATTGTTACATGATATTAACTTTTAAGAAGTAATTTTATTTCCAAACTGGCTAACATTTAGTAAGACTTAACAAGTACCAGCTAGCCTTAACATGAAAAATCAAAACTATATATTCCATAGATCCTTTGGTTGAACTGGTTAACTACAATATTATTTTATAAATTTCCCAGCAATAGAACTTGAAAAGTGATGAAAACAACCAAGTAGTAATTAGCAAATGAAGCCAATTTGAAAAAGCCCCAAATAAATGGGCACCAAAATCTATCTAATAAATTGCTGAGATATAATGATACACATTATACCAAGTTTAAATTCAAGTGACATTTTTTTGGTTAGGTAAATTTAAATTTAATTTAACTCTGATGTTGAACCCTTGCGGTTTTTCTCCTTTAAAATATCTACTTCCTATTCCTTCTAGATATGAATGTGTATTATTTAAATATAATTTAAATAATAAATTTTAAAAATTTAATAAAATTAAATATCAATAACTTCTATCTTTGCAATTTTTGCAGTTTAAATTGTAAGAGAAATGCTACCACCCAAAAATAAAGAAGCCACTATAAAAAGCCATTTATATTATAAAAATATATATAACTTAAACACCTTTTATTAAACATTCCTTTCACTTGTGTTTTTCTAATATTAAAAACTATAAATTATTCTTATTTTTTGAATGATTATATTAAGCGTTATTGAGGTATAACTGATAAACAAAAAAACCCACACATATTAAATTTATACCTTTTCATGAGTTTGGACACACATGCAAACAACCATGATGCCATCACTACAATCAAGGTACCAAACATATTCATCACCTCCAAAAATTTCCTTATGTTCTTCGTGGGATTTGGCAGGGGGTTGTTTGACATAACACTTAATATGAGATCTATCCTCTTAAGGTAATTTAAAGTACATAATACCATAGTTAATTACAGGTATTGTTAACTATAGGTACCTAACTATAGGTACTATCTTGTATATAGGTACCAGGTGGCAGTCTTTAATGGCAGTGCCAGCCAGTCCAATTAAGCAAGAAAAAGATATAAAAGACATGCAAAGCAGAAAGAAGTAAAATTGTCTTTTTGCAGATGATATAATTTTATATCTAGGAAACTCTAAAGATGCCACATACAAAAAAACCCTGATAAAACAAAAACTAATAAATCAATTTAGCAAAATTGCAGTATACAACATCAACATATAAATATCAGTTGAACATATAAATATCAAGGAAGTATTTGAAAAAAATAAGAAAACAATATCATTAACAATAGCATCAGAAGAATCAAATGCTAAGGAATAAATCAAGTATTTATTTAAATATTTAAAACTGTTACTAAAATATTTAAACCAATAAAACCAAGGAGGTCAAAGACTTGTATACTAACAATCATAAAACACTGATGAAGTTAAACAAGAAACAAATAAATGGAAAGAGATCTTGTGTTCATGGAGTGGAAGAATTAACGTTTCTAAAATGCCCATACTACATGAAGTGATCTACAGATTCGATGAAATCCCTATCAAAATTCCAAAGGCATTTCCTCACAAATAGAAAATACAATTCTACAATTCATATGGAAACACAAAAGACTCCAAATCACCAGAGCAATCTTGAGAAAGAAGAACAAAGCTAGAGGGATCATATTCCCTGGTTTCAAAATATATTACAAAGCCACAGTAATCAAAACAATATGGTACTGGCATAAAAACAGACACATAGACCAATCTAACAAAGTAGAGAGCCCAGAAATAAAACCGTGCATATTCAGTCAACTGATCTTTAGCAAGGATGTTAAGAACACACAGTGGGAAAAGACAGCCTCTTCAATAAATGGTGTTAGAAAAACTGAATATCCTCATGAAAAAGAATGGAATTAGACTCCTAATTTACACCATATACAAAAGTTGCTCGAAATGGATTAAAGACTTAAACATAAGACCTGAAACTGTAAACTCCAAAAGAAACACAGGGGAAAATCTTTTGGGCAATGGTCTTGTCAATTATTTCATGAATTTGACGCAAGCAGCAAAATAAAAAAATAGATGGAACTACGTCAAATTAAAATGCTCTGCACAGCAATGAAAAAAATCAAAGTAAAGAGGCAACCTATGGAACAAGAGAAAATATTTGCAAACCATCTATCTCATAAGGGATTAATACCCAAAATGTATTAGAATTTGTCCTACAACTGAATAGCAAAAAAACAAACTGATGAAAAATGGGCAAAGGATTTCAACAGCACTTGTAAATAAAAAGGTCTTTCATTTTTCCAAAGACATACAAATAGCCAACAGGTATATGAAAAGCTGCTCAGCATCACCAGTCATCAGGGAAATGCTGACCAAAACCATAATGAGATATTACCTCATACCTGTTAGAATAACTAGTGTTAAAAAAATAAAAAAAAAAAGCCTAGGCACAGTGGGTCACACATCTAATTCCAGTACTTTCTGAGGCCAAGGTGGGGAAATCACTGAGCCCAGGAGTTCAAAATTAGCCTGGGCAACATAGCAAATCCCAGCCTCTATTTTTATAAAATAAATAAACATTAAAAAAAGTGTTATCCAGGACGTGAAGAAATTGGAACTCTTGCACATTGTTGGTGGCAATGAAAAATGGTGAAGCCAAATGGAAAACAACATGTAGTTTCTTCCAAAAAGTAAAAGTAGAACTACCATATGATCCAGCTATTACACTTAAGAGTATGTATTCAAAAGAGTTAGAATCAGGGTCTCAAAGAAATATCTGCATTTCCACATTTGTTGCAGCATTATTCACAACAGCCATAATGTGAAAACAAACCAAATGATTATCAACCGATGAATAAGAAAAATGTGGTATATTCATACAGTGAAATATTATTTAGCTTTTAAAAAAATAAAAATATTACCTTTTGTGACAACCTCGAATACAGTATGCTAAGTTAAATAAGCCAGTCACAGAAGGACAAATACTGTATGATTCCATTAATATAAATAGTCAAACTCATAGAAGTAGAGCATAGAATGGTGGTTGCGAGAGGATTAGGAGGAGGTGGAAATGGGGAATCGCTGTTGAATGAAACACAGTTCCATTGCAGTTATACCTTTCTTTCCTGAAACTCTTGATCATCTGGATGTTATCATAAATGTATTCAATTATAAAGCCAGTCTACTTAAAACTTATGCATTAACATATTTGCAAAAGAAATGTTTCTTCTGTGATTCGTGTGAGGAATTATCATAATCTACCTGCATACGACTTGAAGCTGTTTAGAGAAGTGTAATGTTATATGTGGTTAATATAAATGCGTAACACTTAAGTAATAATTTACCAATATTGGAATGAATTTTATGCTTTGGATTATCTGTGTCAATGTCTAATGTATTCTCTGGTTCCTAGAGAATATACCAATGTTTAAAATTGTTGTCTTTTGAAGGAGGAGCCAAGATGGCCGAATAGGAACAGCTCCAGTCTACAGCTCCCAGCGTGAGCGATGCAGAAGACGGGTGATTTCTGCATTTCCATCTGAGGTACCGGGTTCATCTCACTAGGGAGTGCCAGACAGTGGGCGCAGGACAGTGGGTGCAGCGCACCGTGTGCGAGCCGAAGCAGGGCGAGGCATTGCCTCACTCAGGAAGCACAAGGGATCAGGGAGTTCCCTTTCCTGGTCAAGGAAAGGGCTGAGAGACAGCACCTGGAAAATCGGGCCACTCCCACCCGAATTCTGCGCTTTTCTGACGGGCTTAGGAAACCCGGCACAACAGGAGACTATATCCCACACCTGGCTTGGAGGGTCCTACGCTCACAGAATCTCACTGATTGCTAGCACAGCAGTCTGAGATCAAACTGCAAGGCCACAGTGAGGCTGGGGGAGGGGCGCCCGCCATTGCCCAGCCTCGCTTAGGTAAACAAAGCAGCCTGGAAGCTCCAACTGGGTGGAGCCCACCGCAGCTCAAGGAGGCCTGCCTGCCTCTGTAGGCTCCACCTCTGGGGGCAGGGCACAGACAAACAAAAAGACAGCAGTAACCTCTGCAGACTTAAATGTCCCTGTGTGACAGCTTTGAGGACAGCAGTGGTTCTCCCAGCACGCAGCTGGAGATCTGAGAACAGGCAGACTGCCTCCTCAAGTGGGTCCCTGACCCCCGACCCCCGAGCAGCCTAACTGTGAGGCACCCCCCAGTAGGGGCAGACTGAAACCTCACACGGCCGGGTACTCCTCTGGGACAAAACTTCCAGAGGAACAATCAGACAGCAGCATTCGCCGATCACGAAAATCCGCGGTTCTGCAGACACCGCTGCTGATACCCAGGAAAACAGGGTCTGGAGTGGACCTCTAGCAAACTCCAACAGACCTGCAGCTGAGGGTCCTGTCTGTTAGAAGGAAAACTAACAAACAGAAAGGACATCCACACCAAAAACCCATCTGTACATCACCATCATCAAAGACCAAAAGTAGATAAAACCACAAAGATGGGGAAAAAACAGAACAGAAAAACTGGAAACTCTAAAAAGCACAGCACCTCTCCTCCTCCAAAGGAACGCAGTTCCTCACCAGCAACGGAACAAAGCTGGACAGAGAATGACTTTGACAAGTTGAGAGAAGAAGGCTTCAGACGATCAAACTACTCTGAGCTACAGGAGGAAATTCAAACCAAAGGCAAAGAAGTTGAAAACCTTGAAAAAAATTTAGATGAATGTATAACTAGAATAACCAATACAGAGAAGTCCTTAAAGGAGCTGATGGAACTGAAAGTCAAGGCTCGAGAAATACGTGAAGAATGCAGAAGCCTCAGGAGCTGATACAATCAACTGAAAGAAAGGGTATCAGTGATGGAAGATGAAATGAATGAAATGAAGCCAGAAGGGAAGTTTAGAGAAAAAAGAATAAAAAGAAATGAGCAAAGCCTCCAAAAATATGGGACTATGTGAAAAGACCAAATCTGCATCTGATTGGTGTACCTGAAAGTGACAGGGAGAATGGAACCAAGTTGGAAAACACTCTGCAGGATATTATCCAGGAGAACTTCCCCAATCTAGCAAGGCAGGCCAACATTCACATTCAGGAAATACAGAGAATGCCACAAAGATACTCCTCGAGAAGAGCAACTCCAAGACACATAATTGTCAGATTCACCAAAGTTGAAATGAAGTAAAAAATGTTAAGGGCAGAAAGAGAGAATGGTCGAGTTACACTCAAAGGGAAGCCCATCAGACTAACAGCAGATGTCTCAGCAGAAACTCTACAAGACAGAAGAGAGTGGGGGCCAATATTCAACATTCTTAAAGAAAAGAATTTTCAACCCAGAATTTCATATCCAGCCAAACTAAGCTTCATAAGTGAAGGAGAAATAAAATACAGACAAGCAAATGCTGAGAGATTTTGTCACCACCAGGCCTGCCCTAAAAGAGCTCCTGAAGGAAGCGCTAAACATGGAAAGGCACAACCAGTACCAGCCGCTGCAAAATCATGCCAAAATGTAAAGACCATCAAGACTAGGAAGAAACTGCATCAACTAACGAGCAAAATAACCTGCTAACATCATAATGACAGGATCAAATTCACACATAACAATATTAACTGTAAATGTAAAGGGACTAAATGCTCCAATTAAAAGACACAGACTGGCAAATTGGATAAAGAGTCAAGACCCATCAGTGTGCTGTATTCAGGAAACCCATCTCATGTGCAGAGACAAACATAGGCTCAAAATAAAAGGATGGAGGAAGATCTGCCAAGCTAATGGAAAACAAAAAAAGGCAGGGGTTGCAATCCTAGTCTCTGATAAAACAGACCTTAAACCAACAAAGATCAAAAGAGACAAAGAAGGCCATTACATAATGGTAAAGGTACCAGTTCAACAAGAAGAGCTAACTATCCTAAATATATATGCACCCAATACAGGAGCACCCAGATTCATAAAGCAAGTCCTGAGTGACCTACAAAAAGACTTAGAATCCCACACAATAATAATGGGAGACTTTAACACCCCACTGTCAACATTAGACAGATCAACGAGACAGAAAGTTAACAAGGATACTCAGGAATTGAACTCAGCTCTGCACCAAGCAGACCTAATAGACATCTACAGAACTCTCCACCCCAAATCAACAGAATATACATTTTTTTCAGCACCACACCACACCTATTCCAAAATTGACCACATAGTTGGAAGTAAAGCTCTCCTCGGCAAATGTAAAAGAACAGAAATTATAACACTGTCTCTCAGACCACAGTGCAATCAAACTAGAACTCAGGATTAAGAAACTCACTCAAAACCGCTCAACTACATGGAAACTGAACAACCTGCTCC
Organism: Homo sapiens; assembly: GCF_000001405.40. Lineage (NCBI taxonomy): Eukaryota > Metazoa > Chordata > Mammalia > Primates > Hominidae > Homo > Homo sapiens. The sequence continues at coordinate 208,749,766 of NC_000002.12, read as the reverse complement.
TGAATGACTACTGGGTACGTAACAAAATGAAGGCAGAAATAAAGATGTTCTTTGAAACCAATGAGAACAAACACACAACGTACCAGAATCTCTGGGACACATTCAAAGCAGTGTGTAGAGAGAAATTTATAGCACTGAACGCCCACAAGAGAAAGCAAGAAAGATCCAAAATTGACACCCTAACATCACAATTCAAAGAACTACAGAAGCAAGAGCAAACACATTCAAAAGCTAGCAGAAGGCAAGAAATAACTAAAATCAGAGCAGAACTGAAGGAAATAGAGACACAAAAAACCCTTCAAAAAATTAGTGAATCCAGGAGCTGATTTTTTGAAAGGATCAGCAAAACTGATAGACCGCTAGCAAGACTAATAAAGAAAAAAAGAGAGAAGAATCAAATAGTCGCAATAAAAAATGATAAAGGGGATATCACCACCGATCCCACAGAAATACAAACTACCATCAGAGAGTACTACAAACAACTCTATGCAAAAAAACTAGAAAATCTAGAAGAAATGGAAAAATTCCTCGACACATACACTCTCCCAAGACTAAACCAGGAAGAAGTTGAATCTCTGAATAGACCAATAACAGGCTCTGAAATTGTGGCAATAATCAATAGCTTACCAACCAAAAAGAGTCCAGGACCAGATGGATTCACAGCCGAATTCTACCAGAGGTACAAGGAGCAACTGGTACCATTCCTTCTGAAACTATTCCAAACAATAGAAAAAGAGTGAATCCTCCCTAACTCATTTTATGAGGCCAGCATCATCCTGATACCAAAGCCGGGCAGACACACAACCAAAAAAGAGAATTTTAGACCAATATCCTTGATGAACATTGATGCAAAAATCCTCAATAAAATACTGGCAAACCAAATCCAGCAGCACATCAAAAAGCTTATCCACCATGATCAAGTGGGCTTCATCCCTATGATGCAAGGCTGGTTCAATATATGCAAATCAATAAATGTAATCCAGCATGGAAACAGAACCAAAGACAAAAACCACATGATTATCTCAATAGATGCAGAAAAGGCCTTTGACAAAATTCAACAACACTTTATGCTAAAAATTCTCAATAAATTAGGTATTGATGGGACATATCTCAAAATAATAAGAGCTATCTATGACAAACCCACAGCCAATATCATACTGAATGGGCAAAAACTGGAAGCATTCCCTTTGAAAACTGGCACAAGACAGGGATGCCCTCTCTCACCACTCCTATTCAACATAGTGTTGGAAGTTCTGGCCAGGGCAATCAGGCAGGAGAAGGAAATAAACGGTATTAAATTAGGAAAAGAGGAAGTCAAATTGTCCGTGTTTGCAGATGACATGACTGTATATCTAGAAAACCCCATTGTCTCAGCCCAAAATCTCCTTAAGCTGATAAGCAACTTCAGCAAAGTCTCAGGATACAAAATCAATGTACAAAAATCACAAGCATTCTTATACACCAATAACAGACAAACAGAGAGCCAAATCATGAGTGAACTCCCATTCACAATTGCTTCAAAGAGAATAAAATACTTAGGAATCCAACTTACAAGGGACGTGAAGGACCCCTTCAAGGAGAACTACAAACCACTGCTCAATGAAATAAAAGAGGATACAAACAAATGGAAGAACATTCCATGCTCATGGGTAGGAAGAATCAACATCGTGAAAATGGCCATACTGCCCAAGGTAATTTATAGATTCAATGCCATCCCCATCAAGCTACCAATGACTTTCTTCACAGAATTGGAAAAAACTACTTTAAAGTTCATATGGAACCAAAAAAGAGCCCACAACGCCAAGTCAATCCTAAGCCAAAAGAACAAAGCTGGAGGCATCACGCTACCTGACTTCAAACTATACTACAAGGCTACAGTAACCAAAACAGCATGGTACTGGTACCAAAACAGATATATATAGATCAATGGAACAGAACAGAGCCCTCAGAAATAACGCCACATATCTACAACTATTTGATCTTTGACAAACCTGAGAAAAACAAGCAATGGGGAAAGGATTCCCTATTTAATAAATGGTGCTGGGAAAACTGGCTAGCCATATGTAGAAAGCTGAAACTGGATCCCTTCCTTACACCTTATACAACAATTAATTCAAGATGGATTAAAGACTTAAACGTTAGACCTAAAACCATAAAAACCCTAGAAGAAAACCTAGGCATTACCATTCAGGACATAGGCATGGGCAAGGACTTCATGTCTAAAACACCAAAAGCAATGGCAACAAAAGCCAAAATTGACAAATGGGATCTAATTAAACTAAAGAGCTTCTGCACAGCAAAAGAAACTACCATCAGAGTGAACAGGCAACCTACAAAATGGGAGAAAATATTCGCAACCTACTCATCTGACAAAGGGCTAATATCCAGAGTCTACAATGAACTCAATGAAATTTACAAGAAAAAAACAAACAACCCCATCAAAAAGTGGGCAAAGAATATGAACAGACACTTCTCAAAGGAAGACCTTTATGCAGCCAAAAGACACATGAAAAAATGCTCATCATCACTGGCCATCAGAGAAATGCAAATCAAAACCACAATGAGATACCATCTCACACCAGTTAGAATGGCAATCATTAAAAAGTCAGGAAACAACAGGTGCTGGAGAGGATGTGGAGAAATAGGAACACTTTTACACTGTTGGTGGGACTGTAAACTAGTTCAACCATTGTGGAAGTCAGTGTGGCGATTCCTCAGGGATCTAGAACTAGAAATACCATTTGACCCAGCCATCCCATTACTGGGTATATACCCAAAGGACTATAAATCATGCTGCTATAAAGACACATGCACACGTATGTTTATTGTGGCACTATACACAATAGCAAAGGCTTGGAACCATGCCAAATGTCCAACAATGATAGACTGGATTAAGAAAATGTGGCACATATACACCATGGAATACTATGCAGCCATAAAAAATGATGAGTTCATGTCCTTTGTAGGGACATGGATGAAACTGGAAATCATCATTCTCAGTAAACTATTGCAAGGACAAAAAACCAAACACCGCATGTTCTCACTCATAGATGGGAATTGAACAATGAGAACCCATGGACACAGGAAGGGGAACATCACACTCTGGGGACTGTTGTGGGGGGGGGAAGGGGGAGGGATAGCATTAAGGGATATACCTAATGCTAAATGACGAGTTAATGGGTGCAGCACACCAGCATGGCACATGTATACATATGTAACTAACCTGCACATTGTGCACATGTACCCTAAAACTTAAAGTATAATAATAATAAAAAATAATAATAAATAAAAACATAAAACTGTCGTCTTTTTACACAAAATCTCTTTCCTTGATCTGCCATATTAAACTTGTTTTCTAATATTATCCAACAAATAATTCCTGTAAAGAAACATAACAGTACTATCATAGATGTTGAATACTATTATTTTTATTGGAGTATGATTGACATACAGTAAGCTTCATATATTGAATGCTTACAATTTAAGAAGTTTTGACATATGTATATATTTGTGATACAGTCAACACAATCAATATCTAACACTCCAAATCTCCCCTCAGTCCCCTTTATGATCCACGCCCCCACCATTCCTGCTGCCAATCCCTAGGCTTTCCATTGATTTACTTTCCTTCACTATAGATTAGCCTTTACTTTCTGGAATGTTATATAAATGGAAAATACAATATACATTCTTTTTTTGTATAAGTTTTTTCACTCAGCGTTCAGCTAACTCAGTTATTTTGAGATCCAGACCTGTTGTTGTTTGTATCAAAATTTTATTTGTTTTTATTGTTGAGTAACATTTTATTTATGTATATACCATAATTTGTTTATCTTTTCATCTGTTTGGGGTAATTGGGAGTTTTGACTAAATCAAATAAGGTTGATATGAACATATATATACACAAGTATTTGAATGGATATATGCTTTTGTTTCTCTCATCTAAAATCCTAGGGGTGAAATGGCTCATATAGTGAGGATAGGTTTCACTTTTTAAGAAACTGTCAAACTGTTTTTCAGCTGTATCACAAACATTCTCACCAGCATGTATGAGAGTTCCAGTCACTCTATCATCTCACCTACAGCAGGTCTTCTTAGTCTTTTTTAAATTTTAGCCACTCTAATAGATGTGTAGTGATATCTCGTTATGGTTTTAATCTGCATTCCCCTAATGACTAATGATAAGCATCTTCTTGTGTGCTTATTTACCATTCATATAATCTTAATTGATGAAGTATCTGTTCATATGTTTAGCCCATTTTTAATTGGATTGTTTTCTTATTATAAATTCTCAGAGGTCATCATATAGATGGATATAAGCCCATTGTATAATAAATGATCTGTAAACATTTTCTCCCAAGTTGTGAAATGTCTCTTCATTCTCTTAACTGTGTCTTTGATGAAGTACAATTCATTAGTATTTTTCTATTATGATCCATGATATTGGTTTTGCATTTAAGAAATCTTTGCCTAACTCAGTGTTTCTCAAATTTTATTTTTGCCTAAAAGAATCTAAGATCATTTTTTCATGATTACTTCCTCTTCATGAAATTTTACTACCACAGATATACACAAACCATTCAATAACTACATTTTTTTTCATCCTCCAAGAACCGATAATTACCCACTTAGGGGCAATATTGACCCTGTTGAGAATTTAAGGTCTAACCCAGGTTCACAAAATTTTTCTCTTATGTGTTCTTCTAAAAGTTTATATTTTACATTTTCATTAAGGTCTATAAATCATTTTGAGTTCCTTTTTGTAGATTTTGAGGTGTGGGTTGGAGTTTCATTTTTATGTTTATGAATATCTAATTATTCCACACCATTTGTTGAAAAGACTGTCTTTTTTGTTTTCACTGAATTATTGCCTTCGCACATTTCTTAAATATCAGGTGACCATATATGTGGAAATCTATTTCTTGACTCTCTATTGTGTGACATTGATCTATTTTTCTCTCCTATGCCAATACAACATTATCCTGATTATATTTAAAGTAACTCTGAAGACAGGTAGTATAAGTCCACCAATTGTGTTCTTCTTTTTGAAAGTTGCTGTAGTGTGTATATTTCCTTGGCATTACCATATGAATTTTTAATTGCTTTATTTATTTAAAAAGTTCTTCTGGGATTTTTATTGGTATTACATTATATATATAGATATAGTTGGAGAGAACTGATGTCTTAATAATATTACTAACTTCTGATCCATAAACATGGTATACCTCTGATTATGTATGTCTCTCATTTCAACGATTTTTGATAGTTTTCAGTGTGTTAGTATTAAACATATTTTGTCACATATATCATTAAATATTTTATGTTTACTGATGCTGTTGTAAATGGTATTGTAATTTTCATTTCTAATTCCAAACGCTTTGTTCTAATACATAATTATAAAATTCATTTTTGAGAATGAGATCACATCTTTTGCAGGAACACAGATGGAACTGGAAACCATTGTCTTTAGGAAACTAATTCAGGACCAGAAAACCAAATACTGCATGTTCTCACCTATAAGTGGGAGCTAAGTAATGAGAATACAGGGACAAAAAGAGAGGAGCAACAGACATTGGAGCCTACTTGAGGTGTGAAGGGTGAGAAAAAGGAAAAAATTCAGAAAAAAAGAAAACTGTTAGGTAATATGCTTAGTACCCAGGTGACAAAATTACCTGTAAACCAAACCTCCAAGTCACAAGTTTACTATATAACAAACCTGCACATATACTCCTGAACCTAAAATAAAAGTTAAAATATTTTTAAAAATAAAAATAAAATTAGTTTTTGTACTTGATTTTATATCCCACAGGCTTGTTAAAATTCCTTATAAGTTCTAGGAGCTTTCTTGTAGCTTCCATAGGATTCTACATAAATGATCGTGTCCCCTTTGAACACAGTTTTATTCACATTCTTTTTTTCACGTGTCTTATTGCACTGGGTATAACCACCTATAGAGTGTTAAATAGGCATGGGTGGGAGTAGATAGCCTTGTCTTGTTTCTGATCTTAGGGGGAAAGCATTTAATCTTTCACGATTAAATATGATGTTAGCTTTAAATTTTCTACAGATACCTCTATAGGTTGTGGAAGTTCTCTATTTGCTGAGTTATTGTTTCGGGTTTCATTACTGAGAGAGGGTGAGATGGGTTTTATTGGTGAGAGAGGAGGGAGAGTTGCTCCCCGCTCCATCCTTCCCCACCAATAAAACTCAAACAGATATGGTATTTGGATAAATAGTATATCTGCATCTATTGAGATACCGTATTCTCTTTTTAGGCTTTTTTTAGTCTATTAATATGATAAATTATATTGATTAATTTTCAAATGCTAAAACAACCTGTGTTCCAGGGTCAGATGTCATTTGGTCATAATGTATTGTACTTATATATTACTGGGTTCATTTTGTCAAAAATTAAAAAACTAATTTTGCATCTATAACATAATAGATACTAGCCTTTAGTTTTCCTATCTTGTAATATATTTGTTTGATTTCTCTATCAGAGTAATGCTACTCTCAAAGTGAATTGGGGGGTAGTTCTTCCTTGTCAGTTTTCTCAAAGCATTTGTATAGAATTGGTATTATTTCTTCCTTAAATGTTAGGTACAATAGACTAGCGAAGCTTTCAGGGCCTAAAAGTTTCTTTGTGGAAATGTTTTTAATTAAACTTTTCATTCCTATAATAGATACAAGACTACTCAGGCTATCTATTTTTTCTTAAGTTTTATTAGTTTGTGTGTATCAAGGAATTTGCTGAATTCATCAAAATTTTCCACTTTATTGACATAATGTTGTTTTTTAATATTCTCTATTATCATTTTAATATCTATAGAAGCCATAATAACAATCTCTCTCATTACTGGATTCGTAATGTGTGTATTTTTTCTTTCTTTCTGATTTGTTAGAGATCATTCCATTTCTATCTTTTTTACACAACAGTTTGTTATATTATTAACTTTTTCTATTGCTTGCATGTTTTCCATTACTTTAATTATCTTTATTATTCCCTCTCTTCTATTTGGACTTTATTTGCTTTTCTTTGTTTCTTTTTTAAGGTGTACATTGAGGTTATTTGTTGTCTCAAAACTTTTCTCTTTTTCTAATGCAAGTATTTGAATTTTCCTCTAAGTATTGTATTAGCTGCAAACCACAAAATTTTGATATGTTATATTTTCATTTTCATTTAATTCAAAATAACCTCTATTTCCCTTTTGATTTATTCTTTCATTGATAGTTATTTAGAAGTGTATTACTTAGTCCAAATATTTGTGCATTTTTCCACAATTTCTTTTTCATAAAATTTTATGGAAGGAGAAATTTAGGAGTGGTACCTAAAGAGGAAAATAAGGAGGCAATGCACATTATCTACTAAAATTGTGTAAGCAGTCAGTAAAACTATGTTCCAAAGTGGCATTTAAAAATTAATTTTATAGTTCTAGGTATAGAGGAGGGATGGGAGCTACCTGCAATACATCAAGTCATTCTGAGTATTGCAAGTGTGTTTCAGGAATTCATGTGCTCAAATAGCAATAAGAGACTTTGCTGGAAGCCAATGAATATCATATAAATCTGATACAATACAATCAAATTTAACTGTTTCACAACAAAAGATATAAAGTTGAGAGTTGCAATTAATTTGAGTGGTTCTATTTCTAGGCCTGATCAGAGTCATAAGTAGTCTAAATGGATTCTCATTGGTGATTTTTCAACATAAGGTCTTTATTTACACACATTTATTTGATAGGAACCAAACAGCCAACACTCTGCTTATATTAGAAAAGCCATGATCTTTTCTCTTAAAGTGATTACAGTCCAGTGAGTGGAAAAACAAATTTTGTGTAAATTGCCACAATGAAAAGTGTTGATATGAGTATAGGTAATGAAAGAATGGGGAGAAGACAAAGCATTATGTCTGTACAGGGCAGTCAGGGAGAGCATTGCAAAGGGAAAAGTGTTTGAACTACCCTTAAGGAAGGAGATATTTGACAAGATTAGAGTGGAAGATTAGTCCAAGGTGAATAATTTTGTAATCTATAGCAGTTTCTGTCAATACATTAAAACTAGGAAAGTATACCATTCAAGAACTACTTGGACATTTAAATTTTCAGTCTTATTAAGGTTGGTACAAATCTAAATAATAATAGTATTGTCTGTTGTATTTTAGTCTTATTTAATACTATTGTGCTATTACTCTTGTAAGTGAGCATTGCTTTGTCTTAAGAAAACCAGATTCACTAGCAAAATCAGATGTATGGAGAATGAGTAATGGTGAGGGACTCTAAAGACTTAAGATCATAATATAATACTTATGTGATTAAAAGTGATTATATAAATGGAATTCTGTGTATATCAAAAAAGTTTAAACTTTAAACTCTTTAGGAGTAAGAATTCAAATATCATATTTAATGTTCCAAAAAATCACCTCACAAACTCTATTTATAACATCTATTATTACTATTATTATTACAAGTATTTAGAATTCAGTGTTGAAACCAGTCTGCGATAGCAAGTTAGATGTGTGCTTTCAATTTGCACAGTTACTAGGTTATCGTATTTATCAGTTGTTATTCATTATTTGTTTAACAAGGTACAAAACAATATATTTTCAGGTATAGAGCACTTAAGATATAGACACTTAAACTGACATGTGGATTCCACATTATCATAAAATAAATTCTGAGAAATCACCTGCTTAGGTTTCAAAACAAGGTGATTATTTTGCAACTGAAAACAATAAAGAGTACTTATGGATTCAGTTAAAGAAAATGATCAGTGTTGGAATAAGAAATTATGTATGAGTCATTAACTAAAATCAATTGTCTTTCCCTTGGATTCTGTTGGGTATGCATGTCATTATTCAGATTCAAGAGAAGTACTCTTTCTAAAGTTGTTTCTAAGATCAAAATAATATGAACCAGAGGAAAATTAAATATCTAGGAAATACAAGTGAATGAACCAATTTAGAACCAACAAATGCTGATTTAAATGTTAGCCACTAACCTAGCCCTGAGTTTTAGTCTTGAAGATGGGTAAAATGGAGACTTTTACTGGATCAGTGACCATCCACTTGCCTTGTGACATCTATGAAAGGAATTCAAAATCCAAATAAGGAGTAATAAACAATCTATTTTCCTTGCTAAATTAGTTCATTTTCACACTACTATAAAGAACTACCTGAAATTGGGTAATTTATAAAGAAAAGAGGTTTAATTGACTCACAGTTCCAGATGGCTTGGGAGGCCTAGGAAACTTACAATCATGGTGAAAGCTAATGGGGAAGCAAGGCACTTCTTACAGGGTGGGAGGAGAGAGAGAGTTGGGGGGGGAAGCGTCACACTTCTAAATCATCAGATCTCATGAGAACTCACTCACTATCACAAGAACAGCATAAGAGAAATCTGCTCCCATGATCCAGTCACCTCCCACTAGGTCTCTCCCCTGACACATGTTGATTACAATTCGACATGAGATTTGGATGTCGACACAGGGCCAAACCATATCACTTGTCTTTGAGCAAACAAATTTGATCCTTTAACACTAAATAAATTATGAAAAGAAAACACAAAAACAAAACACGCGTTCTAAGAAATGCAGGAAAGACAAAGCATTAAAAACAATAAGGGAAAATTTTTCTCTCTGACAACACTGACACCAAAAAAAATAACCTATTTAAAATTCGTATTACTTCAAAGAAATGCTATGGCACTGTAACAATGGTCATTCAACAGCTTTATACCATGGTGAATACAACCCAGCTCCTTTTCTACCACATCTACTTTAGGTTTACCAAAGAAGATGAATGAAAATTAAAAGCAAAACAGAAAACTTTCAAAGTTAAAATTAACTTTAAAGTTTTTTTCCAGAGGGTGGATTCGAGTCTTTTAGCAAGACTTAGCTATGTAGAAATAACAAGAAAGTACATAAAGATAAATTCTGTGTGTGTTAATTTGAGAAAGAAATAAGAATCCACCAGAATTGTGAAAGACACCCCAACTTGGTGAGGAGAATGTGGGCAAACAGCCCCTGCGATAGCAAACAGCTGATAAAAGTGATTGAAGCCCCAGTACATGGGAGAAGCAGAGAGTCTCCTCCAAATAATAGCACTTTGTTTCTCCCAAGTCCTGGAGCTAACCTGGAGAGAAGCATGGAGGCACTGAGAGGAAAAAACACTGGGGAAAGCTTCAGGCATCTTCGCAGACCTTGGACTGAGAGGAGGACACTATTTATAATCCAGGTGAATACAAAGTCAGCCATTCTTTGTCAACCCAACAGCATAGCCACACAAGCATTTTAATCTTGATCCAAAGACTGGAGAGCTTGCTCTGGATTGGGGCATGGGCCTCTACAGCTAGAACTGTGGCAAATGTATCAGCAGTAGGCATTACAATTGTGCTCCTATGGTTTTCCTGCATAATGAGACTTGTAGCCAGGTCCAGCTTGGCAAGCTGAAACCAGTCTGTGTGTGTCACTGCTGAGTGCCCTAGCCTGCACCCCTGAGATTATGGTGCCACAGGGGCCTCACTACTCCATCCCCAGGCAGAAATCCAGGCATTCAGAAGCACCTACTTGCCTGGAACAGCAGCCAGAATCACCCCACCCTTCAAGGACATAGACAATGGTGAAGCAAGGCTTTTTCTGGTCCATTCTCAGGCAAAAATCTGGGTATTTAGAGCACCCACTAGCCTGGTTCAGCAGACTGAGCCTCTTCATCCTTTTTATGCAGAGATTATTGTGAAATAGGGACCACTCTGATCCATGCTGAGGCAGATCTCCTGGCATTCAGAGTGCCCACTTACCTGGTTCAGAAGCCTGAACCATCCCACTCTTTCTGTGCAGAGATTGTGGTGCAGCAGGACCCTCTCAACTCCGTATGTCATACTTAAGAGCATTTCGTGGCTGTTCATTGAATTCTTTCTTGGCACTGGTGTTTGTGCCTGCTATCTGGGGACCTCCAGGTGAGCCTGCCCAGTCTAGCCCCACCCATCTTGGATCTCCTTCCCTGTGTGGCAGGGCATAGAGCTGAGACCTCTGAGAACTCCATGGATCAGCCCATTGCCTGAGGCAAAGGATAGCTTCTCCCAGTAAACAAAGATTAAGTAATATTTCCAGCTCTGTTAGCTGCCAGCAGCTCTTACCCATAAGTGCTATCTACTGGCTTATAGGTTAAACTGCATAGCCCAATAAAAAACCTGCCAACAGAAGTGCACAGGACTATAGAGGTAAAGCCAAAAGATCCTACTCAGCATTCTCTACAGTCACATCCATCAGGAGGGGGAGAAAAGGAAAGAAAAATTCTTAAAAACCCAAATAATATTGTAGACAAAGAAAGAAAAACATATCCTACCTGCACAAAAATAATAATGAAAATTAGAAGTGCCAACATATCCAGATAAGAAGGAACTAGTGAAAGATTTCTGGAATCATGAAAAATCTGCATGTAGTGACACCACCAAAGGATCACACTAGCACCCCAGTAATGCTCCCTAACGGTAATGGAAACTCTGAAATGACAGATGAATAATTCAAAGAATAGATTGTGGGGTAGCTCAATGAAATCCAAGACAAAGTTGAAAATCAACACAAAGAAATTTCTAATAAGCAATCTAGGAAGTGAAGACACATCTTTAAAAAAATCAATCAGAGCTTCTTGAATTAAAAAACTCACTTAAAAAATTTCAAAATACAATTTGAAGCTTCATCAATACACAGGAACATGCAAAAGAAAGGATTTCAGAGCTTAAGACAATCTTTCAAACTAACCCAGCCAGACAAATATAAAGAAAAAAGAATTTTAAAAAATGAACAAAGTATTTGAGAAATATGAAATTATGTAAAGTGACCAAACCTACAAATTATCGGAATTCCTGGGAGAGAAGGAGAAAAAGTAAACAATTTGAAAAGCATATGGGAGGGAATTATTCAAGATTTTCCTAATATTGCAGTAGAGGTAAACTTTCAGATACAATAAATCCAGAAAACATCTGCAAGATACTATGCAAAACGAACATCACCAAAGGATATAGTCATCAGACTGCCCAAGGTCAATGCTAAAGAAAAAGTCTTAAAGTAAGCTAAAGAAAAGGGCCAGATCATGAACAAAGAGAACCCTTTCAGGCTAACTGCAGAATTCTCAGCAGAAATCCCATGATCCAGGAAAGATTGGAGGCATATTTTTGGCATTCTTAAAGAAAAGAAATTCCAACTAAAAATCTTATATCCTGACAAATTAAACTTTATAAGCAAAGGAGAAATAAAAACTTTTTTAGACAAGCAAGTGCTAAGGGAATTTGTTACCTCTAGACTAGCTTTATAAGTTACTAGAACTTAAGGGAGTTCTAAACATGGAAACAAAAGAATGATACCTGCTACCACAAAAACACACTTAACTACATAGCCCATGGACCCTATAAAGCAACCACACAATGGAGACTACAAAGCAGCCAGCTAACAACTGTACAACAGGATCAAAACCTTATGTAACAATATTAACCTTGAATGTAGATGGTCTAAATGCCCCCACTTAAAAGGCACAGAGTGGCAAGTTGGATAAAAGAACGCAATCCATTGATCTGCTGTCTTCAAGAGACACATCTCATAGGTAATGACACACAGGCTCAAAGTAAAGGGTTAAAGAAAGATATATCATGCAAATGGAAAACAAAAAGGGTCAAGGGTAGCTATTCTTAGATAACACAAAAATTAAACCAACAATGTAAAAAAAAGAACAAAAAGGGGCATTACATAAAGCATTCATAGACAAAAAAGGGCATTACATAAAGTGTTCATATCAACACGAAGACTTAAATATCCTAAATTTACAGGTGCTCAACATTGGCACACCCAGATTCATAAAATAACTACTTCGAGACCAGAAAAAGACTTAGACAGCCAGACATTAATAGTAAGGAGCTTAATTGACAGTGCTAGACAGATCATCAAGGCAGAAAACCAACAAAGAAATCCTGGAATTGAATTCAACGTTTGACCAACTGGACCTAATAAACATCTACATGCTACTCCACCCATCAACCACAGAATACACATTGTTTTCTTCAGCACACAAAAAATACTCCAACATAGATCACATGATTTGCTATAAAACAAGTCTTAATAAGTTTTAAAGGCTCCGAATCATACCAACCATACTCTTGGACCATACTAGAATAAAAATGGAAATCAGTACCAAGAAGATCTCCAAAACCATCCAATTACATGGAAGTTAAACAACTTTCTTCTGGATGACTTTTGGATAAACAACAAAATTAAGGCAGAAATTTTAAAAACATTCAAAATAAATGAAAACAGAGACAAAACAAACCAAAATCTCTTGGATATAGCAAAGCAGTGTAAAAGACAGGTTTTTAGTGCAAATTCATGCCTTAAGAAGTTAAAAGGATCTCAAAAAATGATTTAACATCACACATAAAGGAAGAAAAAAAAATGAATTAATCCCAAACCCAACAAAAAAAGAAACAACTAAAATCAGACCAGAAGTGAGCAAAATTGAGCCCCCAAAATCCATACAAAGAATGAAGGAAAACAAAAATTTGTTTTTTGAAAGGATAAACAAGATCAATAGACCACTAGCAAGATTAGCAAAGAATAAAAGAGAGAAAATCTAATTAAGCACCATCATAAACACCAAAGGTAACATTACATCCGATCCCACAGAAATATAAAAAATTCACAGAGACTGCTATAAGTATCTGTATGCACACAGCCTAGAAAGTCTAGAAGAAATGGATGAATTCCTGAAAATAGACTACCTCCCAAGATTGAACAAGGAAGAAGCTGAAATCCTGAACAGACCAATACTAACATCCAAGATTGAATCAGTAATTTAAAAAACAACAAACTGAAAAAGGCACCAGACCAGATAGATTCATAGGCAAATTCCACCAAACATACAAAGAAGAAGTGAAATTAATCCTAATGAAACTATTCCCAAAATTGAGGAGAGGCAACTACTCCCTAAATCATTCTATAAAGCCAGCATTACCTTGATAAAAAACTTGGCAGAGACACAACGATAAAAAATTCAGGCCAATATTCCTGAAAAATATAGATGCAAAAATCCTTAACAAAATGCTGGAAAAACAAATCCAGCAGCACATTAAAAGTTAATTCACCACAATCAAGTAAGCTTCATTCTTGGAATGCAACATTGGGTCAACAATTAATACATGTGATTCACCACACAGAATTAAAAACAAAAATCATATGATCATCTCAATAGAAGAGAAAAAAGCCTTCAATACAATCTAACATCTTTCCCGTTAAAAACCCTCAACAAACTAGACATCAAAGGAATATGCCACAAAATAATAAGAGCCATCTATGACAAACCCACAGCCAATGTCACACTAAATGGATAAAAACTGGAAGCATTCCACTTGAGAAAAGAAACAAGACAAGGATACTCACCTTCACCGTTCCTATTCAACATAGTACTGGAAGTCCTAGCCAGAGTAATATGGCAAAATAAATAAATAAAAAATATTCATATAGAAAAAGAAGTCAGTCTATCTCTCTTCACTGATAATATGATTCTATAACTAAAAACTCTAAAGCCTCTACCAAAAAGCTCCTGAAACTGACAAAAAGCCTCAGTAAATTTACAGGATAGAAAATCAATGTGCAAATGATTAGCATTTCTATACACTGATAACATTCTAGATAAGAGCCATATGAAGAAGGCAATACCATTTACAATAGCCACAAAAATATACATATATACAAACGAATACATGTAACCAAGGAGGTGAAAGATCTCTACAAGGAGAACTACAAAATACTGCTATAAGAAATCAAAGATGATACAAATATTAGAAGAATTAATATCATTAAAATGGCCATATTGCACAAAGCAATCTACAGATTCAATGCTATTTCTATCAAACTATCGATATCACCTTTTACAGAATTAGAAAATACTATTCTAAAATTCATATGGAACCAAAAAAGAGCCCAAATACCTAACACAATACTGAGCAAGAAGAAAAAAGCTGGAGGTTATCACATTACTCAACTTCAAAATATACAATGAAGCTGCAGTAAATACAACAACATGGTACTGGTACAAAACCATACACATAGACCAATGAAACAGAATAGAGAACCCAGAAATAAAGTTGCATACCTACAGCCATCTGATCTTTGACAAAATCTACAAAAATAAGCAAAGGGGAAAAGACTCCCTATTCAATAAATGGTGCTGGGACAGCTGGCTAGCCATTTACAGAAGAAAGAAATTGGATCCAGACATTTCACCATATACAAAAATTCACTCGAGATCAATTGAGATCTTAAATGTAAAACCTCAAACTATAAGAATCTTAGAAGAAAATCTAGAAAACACCATTCTGGACATTGGCCTTGGGAAAGAATTATGCTCAAAAGCAACAATAACAAAAATTGGCCAGTGGGACCTAGTTAAACTAAAGAGCTTCTGCACAGCAAAAGAAACTATCAACAGAGTAAACAGACATCCTAAAGAATGAGAGTAAATATTTGCAAACAATGCATCCAACAAAGGTCTAATATCCAGAATCTATCAGGAAATTAAACAATTCAATGAGCACAAACAGGTAACCCTTTAAAAAATGGGCAAAGAACGTGAATGCACACTTCTAAAAAGAAGACATACAAGCAGCCAACAAAAATATGAAAAAATGTTATCATCACTAATTATCAGAGAAATACAAGGCAAAACCACAATAAGATACCATCTCGTAACAGTCACAATGGGTACTATTAAAAAATCAAAATCAGCAGATGCTGGCAAGGCTGTGGAAAAAAGGGAAAACTTATACACTGTTGGTGAGAATGTAAATTAGTTCAGCCACTGTAGAAAGCACTATGGAGATTTCTTAGAGAACTCAAAATGGAGGTACCATTTGACCCAGCAATTCCCTTAATGGGTATATAGCCAAAGGAAAATAGATAAGTGTACCAAAAAGATACATGCACTCATATGTTCATCACCACGCTATTCACAATAGCAAAGTCATGTGATATGGTTTGGCTGTGCCCTCACCGAACCTCATCTTGAATTGTAGCTCCCATAATTCCCATGTGTTGTGGGAAGGACCCAGTGGGAGATAATTGAATCACAGGGGTGGTTTTTCCCATACTGTTCTCGTGGTAGTGAATAAGTTTCACAAGATCTGATGATTTTATAAGAGGTTTCCCTTTTTATTTGGCTTTCATTCTCTCTTGTCTACCACCACGTAAGATGTGGCTTTCACCTTCCGTCATGATTGTGAGGCCTCCCTAACCACATGGAACTGTGAATCCATTAAACCTGTTTTTCTTTATAAATTACCCAATCTCAGATATGTCCTTATTAGCAGCATGATAACGGACTAATACAGTATGGAATCAACCTACGTGCCCATAAATGGTAGACTGGATAAACAAAATCTGGTACATATACACTATGGAACACTTTGCAGCCATAAAAAATATGAAATTATGTCTTTTGCAGCAACATGGGTAGATCTGGAGGATATTATCCTAAGTAAATTAATGCAGGAACAGAAAACCAAATATTGTATGTTCTTACTTATAAATGATAGCTAAATATTAGGTACTCATGAACATTAAAGTGGCAACAACAGACACTGGGAACTACTAGATGGCAGAGGTAAAGAGGAGGGCAAAGGCTTAAAACTAACTATCGAGTACTAAGCTTACTACCTGGGTGACAGGATCATTCATACCCCAAAATTCAGCATCACACAGTATTCCCATATAACCAACCTCCACATGTACTCCTTAATCTAAAATAGAAGTTGAAATTATTAAAAAATAAAATAAAATAGATGCGTTTCCCATATGTTTGTGCGAGGTTGATAATGACCTATTTACTTAAAATATAAACGGACAACATATTTTCTTCAAACGGAAATACTTGATTAAAGAATCCAAATACCTAGGATAACCTTTTCTTTCCACTGGGGAATAAAAAAGAAAATCACATCTTTCCCTTCCTGTCTCTGAGTAAAATCCCTTGTAGAAATAAAAACCAGAATACATGCCACATACAGAAGCATGTAAGAAAGGTTCATCATTCCACCTAAGAATAACATAAGTCCAGTTGTCACTGGAGCCAGTGTCCAGGCTGGTGATGAGGTTAATTCCCTTTTGTCAGACTATTACTTGCACCCACCCATCCCCACCATCACCCCACTATGCTGCACTCCACCCACTTCCTCCTTCTCTTCAGCAATCTGGTGAACCATCAACATATCCTCAAGATTATCCAGTCTTTGGATAATCGTAAGAGATTTTTCTCAATTTTCTGCAGTCCTGGAAGCAGATCACATTGTGTGAAGGTGACACCATTGACCAGCCAAGATGGCTGACTAGATGCAGCCAAAAAGAACATCTGCTACCAAGAGACCAGACCATCAAGGGGCTCAGCAAACTCCCAGCAGATCTCTGTAATAAAGGCCTTGAGAATAAAGAGAGGAAGGACACTGATCCTGGGCTGAATGGGACAGGGTCAGGAGGACACTAGGAATGCTGCATGGGGCTGCTAAGCACCAGGACTCATTCCTGGCCTCCAGGGCTCCTGGGGAAGGGGTAATTTAATAGGCAAGGAGTGACCAACTCTCACCATGGACCTCTAAACTCCTAGCTGCAGGAAACCCCACGACGCCCAAGGACATGTGAACTGATAGGGAGAGCTGCTTGGAGAGGAGGCAGCCTCTCCAGAGCCCAGAGTGTTTGGCACAGGAATGGCAGAAGTGGAGCACTGCCAGGGATGCCTGCTCTCCAAGGCTTACCATGATCTTCTAGGTGGATTTGGTCTTTGTTGACTGTTGGACCTGGACAGAGCAAGGCAGTTTTGCCCATGGAACATGGCCAGTCTGATCTGAGCACCCACCTGCCTGCTGTCCTCTCCCGCGGTCCCTGCCTGGCCATGCCACTTGCAGCATAGCTTTGTATGCCCAACCAAGGTGCTTCCTACTGGCTGCCATCATAGCTCCTTTGCCTATTGTCACAGACAATAGACCCTGCCTATTGTCACAGAGCTTCAGTAAACTGGCCTTTGCCAACATACAACCATCTTCAACTTCCTCCCATCACTCCACTGGCACACATGCATGTATGGACCTCACTGCCCTGTTTCCACAGCCACATGCATAAACAGAACTCACCACCACCACCCTGCCCCTGCCACCACCAGGACACATGTGTGTGAACATTGCCATCATGTTGTTACTGGTGCAAGTGTGTGCATGCAGACACCTGGCCTCACTGGCACAAGTGCATACACCCAGACCCAGCCACCACAAGTCTACATGGACAGCACCATTATCACTACCACTAGTGTGAGGTCACATGTTCCCTGCCACCCATCTGTCACCAGCATACATGGGCACACACAACCCTGTTGCTGCTTTGGCAAGGGCAGACCCCACTGCCACCACTGTAATGAAGCATTTTTGCTGGCACTATGCATCATCAGAGTGTTGTCGCCAGCAGACCAGAAACACCTAGGCCCCTCCAGTGAAGCAGGTGCTTAATTTTGAGAGGCCAGACAACAAAGCTGTGAGCCTCATACCAGACCCCCAGGGTTGGAGCCTACAGCTCAGGAGTGCCAAGCTAATCCTGGGCTTCTTGAAGTCATCTGGATTTGAAGACAGTTGGCTAAACCCAACTTACATAACAGTCAAACTCTCAAGGGCATCAAGGAAAATAAAAGCAAAAAAAAAAAAAATCCATTGAAAAGGCAGCAGCTTCAAAGATTAAAGAAACATCAGCCCACCAGATGAGAAAGAAACAGTGCAAGAATTCTGACAACTCAAAAATCAAGAGTGTCTTTTTTCCTCCAAATGATCACTCTAGCTCCCAGCAATGGTTCTTAACCAGGCTGAAATGGCTGAAATGACAGACATAAAATTCAGAATCTCAATAGCAATGAAGATCATCAAGATTCAGAAGAATGTTGAAGACCAATCCAAGGAATTTAAGAAATCCAATAAAATGATATGAGCTGGAAGATAAAAATCACCATTTTAAGAAAGAACCATACTGATCCGATAAAGCTGAAAAACTTACTACAAGAATTTGTTAATACAATCTGAAGTATTAACAGCAGAATCGACCAAGCTGAGAACAGACTCTGAGCTCAAAGACCACTCAGAAGATAACAAAGAAAAGAGAATTAAAAAGAATAAACAAAACCTATAAGAAATATGAGATTATGTAAAGACTCCAAACCTACAACTCAATGGTGTCTCTGAAAGAGAGGGAGAGAGCACAAGCAACTCAGAAAACATATTTGAGAATATTGTCCAGGGAAATTTTCCCAACCTTGCTAGAAAGGTAGACATTCAAACCTGGGAAACACAGAGAACCCCTGTGAGATGCTATATAAGACAACCATTCCCAAGACACTTAGCTATCAGATTCTCCAAAGTCAACATGAAAGAGAAAATATTAAAGGCAGCTAGAGAGAAGGGGCAGGTCATCTACAAAAAGAACCCCATTAGGCTAACAGCAGAAATTTTTAAAAAGCAGAGGTTGCTATTCTAATTTCAGATAAAACAGATTTTAAATCAACAATAATAAAAAAGGACAAAGAAGGGTAATACATAATGATACAGGGTTTAATTCAACAAGAAGACTTAACTCTCCTAAAAATATCTGCACCCAACATTGGAGCACCCAAATTCATAAGTTCTTAAATACCTACCTACAAAGAGACTTAGATACCTAAACAATAATAGTGGGAGACTTCAAGACTCCATTGACAGAATTACTCAAATATTTTAAGGTAAAAAACTAACAAAGATATTCAAGACCTCAACTTGACACTTGACCAAACAGACCTAACAGACAGCTACAGAACGCTTCATCCAATAACAACAGAATATGCAGTCTTCTCATCTGACCATGGCACGTACTCTAAAATTGACCACATGCTTGGCTGAAAAATAATTCTACACAAATTCAAAAGACTTGAAATCATACCAACCATACACTGGGACAATAGCAAAATAAAAATAAAAATAAATACCAAGATATCTCAAAACCATACAATTAAACAACCTTCTGAATAACTTTTTGGTAAATGATAAAATTAAGGCAGAAATCAAGAAATTCCTTTACACTAAAGAAAACAAAGATACAACATACCAGAATCTGTGGGACATAGCTAAAGTAGTGTTAGAGAAAAGTTTACAGCATCAAATGCCCATATCAAGTTAGAAAGATCTCAAATTAACAACCTAACATCGTACCTGTTTTCTAGAGGAACTAGAAAAACAAGAGCAAACCAACCCCAAAGCTAGAAGAATACAAGAAATAACCAAGATCAGAGCTGACTAAATGATATTGTGATGTAAAAAATGATACTAAAGATCAACAAAACCAAAGTTTTCTTTGAAAGAATAAATAAGATTGATAGATGCCTAGCTAGACTAATAAAGAAAAAATGAGAGTAGATCCAAATAAATCCAATCAGAAATGACAAAGAAGACATTACCACTGACTCCACAATAATACAAAAAAGCCTTCAGATACTGTTATGAACACCTCTATGCACACAAACTAAAAAAGCTAAAAAAAAATTTAAAAAATGGATGAATTCCTGGAAACATACAACCACCCAAGATTGAATCAGGAAGAAGCTGAAACCTTGAACAGACCGATAACAAGTTCCAAAATTGAATCAGTAATAAAAATCCCTGGATCAGAAGGGTTCACACCCAAATTCTCTAAGATGCATAAAGAACTGGTCCCATTCCTACTGAAACGACTGCAAAAAATATTGAGGAAGATGGACTCCCCACTAACTCATTCCATGAGGCCAGCATTACCCTGATTCCAAAATCTGGCAGGCAGAAACACACACACACACACACACACACACACACACACACACACACACACACAACTTCTAACTAACTAATATCTCTGATAAGCATAGATGCAAAAATCATCAACAAAATATCAGCAAACTGAATCCAGTAGCACATCAAAAAGCTAATCCACCATGATCAATTAGGCTTTATTCCTAGACACAAGGTTGTTTTAATACACATAAATCAACAAATATGATTCATCACATAAACAAAACTAAAAACAAAAACCACATGCATATCTCAATAGATGAAGAAAGGGATTTTGATAAAACTCAACATCGCTTCAGGTTAAAAATCCTCAACAATTTAGACATTGAAGGAATATACATCAAAATATTGAGTCATCTATGACAAACCCACAGCCAACATCACACTGAATGGGCAAAAGCTGGAAGTTTCCCCATGAGACCCAGAACAAGACAAGGATGCCCACTCTCACCATTCCTATTCAACATAGTACTGGAAGTCCTAGCCAGAGCAATCAGACAAGAGAAGGAAATAAAAGACACCTAAACAGGAACAGAGGATGTCAAACTGTCTCTCTTCACAGATGATATAATTTTATACCTAGAAAACCTCATAGTCTCTGCCCAAAAGCTCCTATATCTGATGAACAACTTCAGAAAAGTACAGGATACAAAATTAATACACAAAAATCGTAGCATTTCTATTCATCAACAACATCCAAGCTGAGTGCTAGATCAAGAATGCAATCCCATTCACAATAGATACAAAAATAAAATATCTAGGAATACAGCTAAAATGATCTCCACCGTGAGAATTACAAAGCACTGCAGAAAGAGAACAGAGATGACACAAATGCTCATGGACAGGGAGAATCAATATTATTAAAATGCCCATACTGCCCAAAGCAACGGACAGATTCAATGCTATTCCTGTCAAACTACTAATCATCATTTTTTCACAGAATTAGAGAAAACTATTCTAAATTTCATATAGACCTAAAAAAAGGCCAAATAGCTGAAGCAATCCTAAGCAGAAAGAACAAAACCAGAAGCATCATACTACCTAACTTTAAACTATACTATGAGGCAAAAGTAACAAAAACAGAATTACTGGTACATAGACAGACCCATATACATTGGTTAGAAGCAGGTTAGAGAACCCGGAAATAAAGCTGCACACCTATAACTTTAACAAAGTCTACAAAAATAAGCAATGGGGAAAGGACTCCCCATTCAATAAATGGTGCTAGGATAAATGGGTAGCTACATGCAAAAAGATTAAGACTAGACTCCTGCCTTTCGCCATATCCAAAAATCAACTCAGAATAGATTAAAGACATAAATATAAAACCTAAAGCTTTAGAAATCTTAGAAGAAAACCTAAGAAATACCATTTTGGACATAGGCCCTGGCAAAGATTTCACGACAAAGACAACAAAAGCAATCGCAACAAAAACAAAAACTGAAAAATGGGACTTAATTAAAGAGCTTCTGCACAGCAAAACAATCAACAAAGTAAAGAGACAACCAACAGAATGAGAGAAAATATTTGCAAACTATGCGTCCTATGAAAGTCTAATACCCAGAATCTAGAAACAACTTAAACATATTAAGGAGTAGAAAACAACCCCATTTAAACACAGGCAAAGGACATGAACAGGCACTTCTCAAAAGAAGACATACATGTGGCCAAAAGCATATGAAAAAAATGCTCAACATCACTAATCATTAGAGAAATGTAAATCAAAACCACAATGAGATATCACCTCACACCAGTCAGAATGGCTATTATTAAAAAGTCAGACTATAACAGATGCTGACGAGATTGAAGAGAAAAGGGAATGCTTATATACTACCAGTGGAAATGTAGATTAATTTAACTGCCACGGAAAGCAGTTTGAAGATTTCTCTAAGAACTTAAAACAGAACTACCATTTGATCCCTCAGTTCCATTACTGGGTTTATTACCTAAAAGAATATAAATCGTTCTACCATAAAGACACATGTATTCGTATGTTCATTTTAGCACTATTCACAATAGCAAAGACATGGAATTAACATGAATGTCCACCAATGGTGGACTGAATAAAGAAAATATGGTACATATACACTGTGGACTACTAAACAGCCACAGAAAGGAAGGAAATTATGTCATTTGCAGCAATATGGATGGAACTGGATGCCATTATTCTAAGAAAATTAATACAGGAACAGAAAACAAATACCATATGCTCTCACTTATAAGTGGGAGTTAAACACTGAGTACATATGGACACAAGGAGGCAAACAATAGACACTGAGGCCTACTTGAGACTGGAGGGTAGGAGAAGGGTGAGGGTCGAAAAACTAACTATCGGGTACCATGCTTATTACCTGGGTGATGAAATAATTTTTACACTAAACCGCACAATACACAATTTACCCATGTAACTGTATCCCCTGAATCCAAAATAAGAGTTGGAAAGATGGATAGATAGGTAGATAGATAGATAGATAGATAGATAGATAGATAGATAATAGATAACAAGAATAACATAAGTCAAGGATTATGCAACATTCTACTTCTGTTATAGAACCTCCAATTCAGGCTTGTGTGCTGAATGCACAGTTGATGCCAAACATGGACACACAAGTGCTTGGAGGTAGAGAAAGGCTTATTCAGTTTGGCCAAAGCAAGAAATCAAGAGAATAAGATCTCTCAAATCTATCTTAACAACAACAACAACAAAAAGATGTGGGTTTTTTTTTTTTTAATTTAGGGTTAGCGAGTAAGGAAGGAGGAGTTTCAGGGAACCAAGGGAAAGAGCCTGTGTTTCTTCAGTCTCAGATAACACCTTGAACAAGCAGACTTCTGGGTGTCAACAGGTGGTCTCAATAACTTAAAGGCATTCATTCCTTCTGCAAAATTTTTTCATGACCTTCAAATTAACTTCTCCTGTTTGACATAGAAACAGTACCTCAGCAGTTTGTAATATTGTGGGAACAAGGGATGTTGGCTTTTCCACAAGCAAGCAAGTGCCTAATCAGAATTTTCATTAATTCAGCCACTAAAAATGCTAGTGTGCTGAAATCTCAAGGAACCCAGTTACACTTTTAACCCCCAAATAATTACAACTTAGAAAATACTGATCTAGCTTTTATACAAGCCGTATCTATAGAGAACTAGATGTTTTAAAGTTGAAAACAATTCCCATCTGAATCGTAGGAAAAGAAAGCAGACAACTTTTTTTGTTGGAAAGAATATAACAGAAAAAAAAATAGATGATACCTACACAAATTGTCTTATCAAGGTTGTGAAAGAAGCCTTTATAATTGCTCAAGTTTATCTTCTCTGCTTCCCCATTCCTTCCCCTGACTACTTTTCCTTAAAATGGAAGGGTGCTCTCAGCTAGTTATATAAACCAGCATCTGGTCCTGCACGCTATTCAATTGAGAAAACTTCACCAAACCACGTGGCACTAAACGGCAACGTTAAGCAGACAGAACTCTCTTCCCACTCCATTTCTTCAGCAGCCTCTGGGGATCCAATTAATAAAAACCACTTTCAGGAAGGCTATGACTGAATATGCTTATTAGAAGGAGAAAGAGGAGTAGGTGAGAAGAAAATGGTTTGTAACTGAAATGTGGTGATAAGATTTCTATTCTGTTCACATTTTCTATATGAGGACTGATCAAGCTGAATCAGCAGCCTAGGTGCATAAAATCACCCCATACTGAAGGAGGAATTTCTGAGGAGAGGTGGGAGTGTAGACTGGAGTTAAAAAGAGAAGAAAATCTGCTCATTCGAGAAAGTGGTCTCTGCTGATTGTCTTTCCCTTTTCTGGACTCAGAAGTAAACTGTTTACTTTGCCTTTTATTTGGTGCTGGTACTATCCTAACAAGAAAACAGTAATCAAACGTCAACATGATTCCATGTATTTGGGGTAGAAAAAAAAGTGGCAGTAAGGTTACTGTGTGAACAGTATATCCACTTATGGGCCCCAAAGCAATCATTTTATTTAAAAATAGAAAAGTTACCTGAAAAAAATTTTATCTTCTTTACAAGTGTAGGAGAGTGAAATAAAATTTGAGCAGCTTGAGTTTGATTCATATATATCTGAGTTTGCTGAGTCAGTTGGTAAAGGATGCTAGACAATGATGCATTTGTAGGGAGGCCTGAGGAGTTTTCTTAGAATCCATATGGTAGAAAGTAGCTTGTCCAAGAAGAAGACTATGTTATTTGTCAGAGGGGAGACTCAGTTATAAAAGTCATGCCTGGCTATGGCTCTAGGAGTTGTCTCATGTGAACCCAGGGACCTATGTCTAAATGCAGTGGAGAGCCAAGATGCTGTGAATGAGAAGGAAACAGATGTTCATTAAAAACTCTCTTAGATATTGTATTGCTGGCAGCCATGCTGGAGTTAGCCCACTGACAGAATGTAACCCACCAGTCCAATGGAATGAGGGCCAGCATGATGAAACCATGGAGGTGCCTGGTTCCAATGGCTGAGAAACGCAGAAAACCAGGGTCCCCACAAGGATTCTCAGAAATGACTGGTAGAGGAATACTATGCAGCCATAAAAAATGATGAGTTCATGTCCTTTGTAGGGACATGGATGAAACTGGAAACCATCATTCTCAGCAAACTATCGCAAGGACAAAAAACCAAACACCGCATGTTCTCATTCATAGGTGGGAATTGAACAATGAGAACACATGGACACAGGAAGGGGAACATCACACACCGGGGACTGTTGTGGGATGGGGGGAAGGGGGAGGGATAGCATTAGGCGATATACCTAATGCTAAATGACGAGTTAATGGGTGCAGCACACCAACATGGCACATGTATACATATGTAACTAACCTGCACGTTGTGCACATGTACCCTAAAACTTAAAGTATAATAATAATAAAATTTAAAAAAAAAGAAATGACTAGTAGAGGTGGGAAACTTTAAGGAGGGTCAGTTCTTAGCAGGATGAATTGAATTATTATTTAAATTCATTTATTATAATAGGCCAAAGGGCAGAGTATCTGTGTATAGGTGCAGGTGCATAGATGTGATGGTGAGAGCCTATGGAAGTTATCTTCCACTTGCTTCCATTTCCTCAGGAAGATAGAAAATTAATTCATCATCTGAGATGGAATTGCAGGGCTGGCAGAATGAGAACAGAGGAGAAAGTGTAAAATAATCACTTCGAGTAGAAGGAGACTGAGTAGATAAGGATATTACAGTCTGATTCCTGGGTACTAAAGACTCACTTGAAGTTAGTAATCAGGAATAAGAAGTGAACTTAACAGCAGCTTTCAAGTCTCTTTCCACCAACCCTAAACTCCTCTGTACCCCTGCTGATGGAAAGTAGAAGAGAAAAGTGGTAGTCCTGAGAAGCACATGGAATTCTGGAATTTCTCTTCATGCCTAACAAGATTCCATAGAAGGGAATTCTATTTGCAGGCATTGACTCAGTGTCTCAAAAATATCATGGCCAGAGTCTGCAATTCTTTTGATTGGTCTCAGTATGGTTGTTATTCCTACAGCCCTTACATCCAAGTTCTAGGTATAAGGAAGGAAAAAGCAAAGGGAATAAAATGCCCATCCTACAATAAAAGTAAAAGGAAGTAATTAATGGAAAAAATGGCATGAGAATCCCCAGATGCAGTAAGTGGACTGAAGGGAATGTGTGAGCAACCTTGGGGAAAGCCTTTCAAACACCATGAATTAGAAGAGTTTCACCAAGGGCAGGAAAGTCTCCTAGCACTCGCCGTCTTATTAGTACCTGCCTCTAAGAGGTAAGAGAAAATAATGACACAGAGCTAATGGTCTCCAACAATAGAGAGTTACTGTGATTATCAGGATAGATAAAGAAATAACCAACTATAAGGACAGTTAGACTGGGAAGAAAGGCATAAGAGAGAAACTGTGATGTTCTCCCTCTGCCTCCTTTCAATGTGGATTACTAATGCTGTGGACACAGGACATAAGTTAGGTCTAGATTTTCTCTCATGCACCAGGGAGCAAAGGTGAAGATGACTTCCAGGAAGCTGGTGAAGTGTGTGATAAAGGGAGAATAAACACTGAATGCTTATTGTTTTTTTTCATGAAGTAAAGGTCCACACAAAATTCAGAGCCAATTGAAAATCTGCTATCAACCTCATGAGAATAGGACAGATTCTAGAGCAGAAAAAATAAACCCTGTTAAGTAGCTTTAAACGAAATTATGGAAGAAAACATAGAAGAAGCCAAACCTGTCAAATATGATTGTGTGCAACCCCAGCTGAATATAGAGGAGGAAATGATAGAAATACAACACAAAAAGACAAATGCAGAATACACTCTAAAAGAACCAATACACTATGCATTAAGGAGGGAAAGTTGCCATAAATGGCATCATTTGGAGAAAATTAGACAGAATATTAAAGCTAGGAAAAAATAGATCACAGATAATTAGATAACAGATTGAGATGAGAGGTGAGAATGTAGACACAATGAAAGAAAAGCAAATACAGGTATTTTAAAAGGATTGAGTCAAAAGGTAAAACTTAACTACTTACTGCATACAAGTGCTGCATTTAAAGACTTAGAAAGATGAAACTTTAAAAAAAGTACAAAATATGCCAGGTACACACTAATGAAAATAAAGCCCAAATCATCATGAGAATGTCAGGTAAGTTTGAACTCAACTTTAACAAAAAGTATTTAATAAGAAAAGTTAAATGAGTGAAAAACAAAGTAATTGAAGATGATAAAAAAAGAGCAATTCACAATCACAATGTACCAGTCAGAGATACTAGTGGATAAAAGAAAAAAGTGTCATAGTAATGTCAAAATAAATCTCAGAAATAGTAGGAGACTATGTCTCCTTTATTAATCTGTGGCAGATAAAGTAGGAAAAGATTTATATAAAGGATGTAGAAAACCTGAATAATATGATTTTTCTGGCTAATATAACCTACACACAAAGAATGGATCCTTTGAAGGATCCATGCAGCATTTAGAAAAAATGATTATATACTAGGTCAAAGGAGAAAAAAAGTAATTGAATTCAAAAGGCAGAATTATGACAAATTGCATTCTCATATACCAATGCAATAATATGATCAGAATATTTTAAGAAACACTAGAAACAAGTTGGAGTTTGAAAATAATCTCTGAAAATTTGGTTAAATAATAAAGAAAACAATGTTCAGAATGCCTAGAACATACACTTAAAACTAATTGATGATCTTAAGCCCTTGATTGATATATGAGTGAAAATATATGAACTAACTATTCATCTCAAAATCTTAAGAATAAAATAAATCTATGGAAAGTGAAGGCAAACTATTAAGGATATATAAAAATAAATAATTCTGAAATAAAAAAGAACTGGAACTGACATGTAAAGCCAATATCTTGTTTCTGAAAAAAAAGAAAGAAAAAAAAATGTATGAGCTTCAGCCAGCCTCAGGAAGTAAAAAGAGTGAAAGCACAAATATACAAAATCAAAAATGAGAAAAGGGAAATAAGCACATACATCAAGAATATTAAAACAATTAATAAAAGTAACTTGCAAATTGCAATGCAAATTAATATCACCATTTGGATAATGGAAATGATTTCTAAGAATCAATACTGGTAGAAATCAAGAAAATGACTAGAGTTGGCTAAACTTTCCCTACCAAAAACAAAAAAATCTAAAGCTACAAATTATTTCAAAGGTAAACTTTTCCAAAGCTTTCTAAACTTTTCCAAACCTTCATAGTGTGGGAACAAGTTACACTCATACTTTTAAACATTTTAGGTAGTAGAAAGAAAAGGAAACGTTCCAATATTTTACTAAGCCAGAATAACACAGACACCCAAGTCAGAAGACAGCACAAACATAAAACCCTGGAAGTCAATCATATGTATGAATGTGGATATAACAAATATGCATAAAATATTGAGAGATGGCCCTCCATAATATATTAAAATTAGAATATAGAATATAAAATCATAAAAGTAAATTAATTCCAGGAATACATATATGGTTCATTTATTAAGAAATTTTTAAATTTAACATAATTGTGAATTGTTTGCCTACCTAGGAAGTTAAATATAATAACATGAAAAGATTAGAAATAATAAAATATTTCATATCTCTTAATTACAAAAATAATGCATAAATATTAATAGTTTTCTTTAACACAAGTTGTGTTACAGTTGCTGAAGAAAATATTCCATTAAATTTCTATAGCAACATAACATAAAAATTCTTGGTAATAAAACCTTTAAAAAGTACAAAATATACACAAAGTTTGATGAAGGTAATTGATATGGTTTGGCTGTGTTCCCACCCAAATCTCATCTTGAATCGTAGGTCCCATAATCCCCACATGTCATGGGAAGGACCCAGTGGGAGGTAATTGAATCATGGGGGCAGTTACCTCCATGCTGCTGTTCTTGTGATCGTGAGTGAGTCCTCGTGAGATCTGATTGTTTCATAAGGGGCTTTTCCCTTTTGCTCAGCACCTCTCTTTGCTGTCGCCATGTGAAGAGGGGTGTGTTTGCTTCCCCTTCCACAATGATTGTAAATTTCCTGAGGCCTCCCCAGCCATGCTGATCTGTGAGTCAATTAAACCTCTTTCCTTTATAAATTACCCAGTCTTGGGTATGTCTTTATTAGCAGTGTGAGAATGGACTAATACAATAATTAAACAAATATTTTAGTAAATAAAAGGATATATGTTTTTCTTGAATAGAAAAACAATATTTTTATGCAGCATATAGTCAAACTGATCTGTAACATTATTTTATTTCCATTAACTATAATAATGAGTTTGACCCTGTCAGGGGTGCTTTTTTGTTCAAAGAAAAATAAAAATCTCACCATCAACAATCAATTTGATTTGAACAATCAAATGAGAATATTTAGTAAAATTCTGATTAGGAAGTGTAAAGAAGTAGAAAATTGATAAGAAGGGAAAAGAGACTCCAAATATTAAAATTCATTGTGAGGTCTCAATGAGTAAAGTCATACTTCATTTTATTGTGCTTCACCTTATTTCATTTTTTTTTACAAATTGAAGGTTTTTGGGAACTGTGCATCAAGGAAGTCTATTATCAAACTAAAACTCTTTTGTGCAGTAAAGGAAACAACTAACATAATGAAAAAGCAACCTATGGTATGAAAGAAAATCTTTGCAAACCATCTATTTGTTAAGAAATAAATATTTAAAATATATAAGGAACTCCTATAACTCAATGGTAAGGGGTGGGTGAAAACCTAATAGCCTGATTTTAAAATGGGCTGAAGACTGGGAGAGATATTTTTCCAAAAAAAGTGCAAATTGACAACATGCTTATGAAAAATTGCTCAATATGACTAGTTACCAGAGGAATGCAGATAAAAATTACAATGAGACATCCAAAATAAGTGAAAACAGGATCTTGAAGACACATTAGCACTCCCATATTCAATGCTGCAGTATTTGTAACAGCCAAGATGTGGAAACAACCTAAATGTCTATCAAATGATGAGTAGATAAAGAAAATTTGGTATATACATAAAATGGAATATTATCCAGCCATAAAAACAAGGAAATTCTACCATTTGTAATATGAATGAACTTTGAGGACATCATTACTAAGTGAATATAAGCCAGTCACAGAAAGAAAAATATTGCATGATTTCACTTGTCAGCTATCTAAAATGGATAAATTCATAGAATCCAAGAGCAGAATAGTGTTTATCAGGGGCTGGGGATAGGGGAAAATGGAATATTATAAATAAACATGCATAAAGTTTTACTTAAGATGAATAAGCTCTAGAGATCTGCTTGTACCTATAGTCAGCAATAGTGTATGGTACACTTTAAAAATTTATGACAGAATATCTCATGTCAAGTATTCCTACCATAATAAAAATACAGGCACACCTCATTTTATTGTGCTTTGCTTTATTGCCTTTCACAGATGCTGTGCTTTTTCCAACTTGAAGGTTAATGGCAGTGCTGGATCAAGCAAGCCTATACTGCCATTTGTGCAACAACATGTGCTCACTTTGCGTCTCTGTGTCACATTTTGGTAATTGCAATATTTAAAACATTTTCATCATTATTATATCTGTTACGGTGATATGTTATCAGTGATCTTAGATGTTACTATTATAATTGTTTTGAGGGTGCCATGAACTGTGCCCATATAAGATTGCAAACCTAGTTAAGTGTTGTGTTTGGTCAGACTATTGTACCAACTAGCCATTCCCCATTGCTCTCTCTCTCTCTTTAGGCCTCTCTATTCCCTGAGAAAAACAATATTGAAATCAGGCTAATTAATAACCCTACAATGGCCTCTAAGTGTTCAAGTGAAAGTAAGAATCCCACATCTCTCAGTTTAAGTCAGGAGCTAAAAATTATTAAACTTAATGAGAAAGGCATGTCAAAAGCCAAAATAGGCCGAAAGCTAGGCCTCTTTCACCAAACAGTTATCTAAGTCATGAATGCAAAGTAAAAACTTTTTTTTTTCACTAGTGAAACAGCCTTATTGCTGATATGGAGAAAGTTTTAGTGGTCTGGATAGGAGATCAAACCAGCCGCAACATTCCCTTAAGCCAAAGCCTAATGCAGAGCAAACCCCTAACTCTCTTCAATTCTATGAAAGCTTTGAGAGGTAAGGAAGCTGCAGAAGGTAAGTTTGAAGCTAGCAGAAGCTGGTTCATGAGGTTTAAGGAAAGAAGCTGTCTCCAAAGCATAAAGTGCAAGGTGAAGCAGCAAGTGCTGATGGAGAAACTGCAAGTTATCCAGAAGATCTAAGATAATGGATGAAGGTGGCTACATAACAGATTTTCAATGAAGATAAAACAGTCTGATGTTGGAAGAAGATGCAATCTAGGACTTTCATAGCTAGGGAGAAGAAATCAACGCCTAGCTTCAATGCTTCAAACAACAGGCTTACTCTCTTGTTAGGGACTAATGCAGTAGCTGACTAGAAGTTCAAGTCAATGCACGTTTACCATTACAAAAATGGTAGGGCCAGCCAGTCATGGTCTCATGCCTGTAATCCCAGCACTTTGGGAGGCTGGGGTGGGTGGATCACTTGAGGTAAGGAGTTAGAGACCAGCCTGGCCAACATAGTGAAATCCCATCTCTACTAAAAATACAAAAAAAAATAGCTGGGCATGGTGGTGTGCGCCTGTAGTCCCAGGTACTTGGGAGGCTGAGGAAGGACAGTTGCTTGAACCTGGGAGGTAGAGGCTGCAGTGAGCCAAGATCACGCCACTGCACTCCAGCCTGGGCAACAGTGCGAGATTCCATCTCAAAAAGAAAAAAAAGAAAATGGTAGGGCCATTAAGAATGATGCTAACTCTATTCTGCCTGTGCTTTATAAATGAGACAACAAAGCCTGGATGACAGCACATCTGTTTACATCACGGTTTAGTGAATGATTTAAGCCCACTCTTGAGATCTACTCCTCAGGAAAAAAAAAAGAAGAAGAAGAAGAAGAATAAAAAGAAAAGATTCCTTACAAAATGCTGCTGCTTATTGACAATGCACCTGGCCACCCAAGAGTTCCGATAGAGATGCACAGGAAGATGAATGCTGTTTTCATGCCTGCTAATACAACAGTGATTCTGCAGCCTATGGATCAAGGAGTAATTTTAACTTTCAAGTCTTGTTACTTAAGAAATACGTTTTGTAAAGCTATAGTTGCCATAGACAGTGATTCTTACAATGGATCTGGGCATAGTAAATTTAAGAACTTTTAGAAAGAATTCACTATTCTAAATATTATTAACAACTGTAGTTCATGGGAGGAGGTCAAAATAGCAATATTAACAGGAATTTGGAAGAAGTTTATTCCAACTCTCATAGATGACTTTGAGGGGTTCATGATGTCAGTGGAGGAAGTAACTGCAGATGTGGTGGAAATAGCAAAAGAACTAGAATTAAAAGTAGAGCCTAAAGATGACTGAATTGCTGCAACCTCATGATTGAACTTGAATGGATGAGTTACTTCTTATGAATGAGCAAAGAAAGTGGTTTCTTGAGATGGAATCTACTCCTTGTGAAGATGCTTTGAATATTGCTGAAATGACAACAAAGTATTTAGAATATTACTTAAGTTTGGTTGATAAGGAAGCAGCAGAGTTTGAAAGGATTGACTCCAATTTTGAAAGAAATTCTGCTGAGGATAAAATTATATAAAACAGCATTGCATGTTACAGAGAAATCTTTCATAAAAGGAAGAGGCTGTCAATGTGGCAAACTTCACTGCTGTCTTCTTTTTAAAAATTGCCGCCCTAAGCTTCAGCAACCACCACCCGGATTAGTCAGCAGCCATCAACATCAAGGCAAGACTCTCCACCAGCAAAAAGATCAGGACTTGCTGAGGGCTCAGAGGATTATTAGCATTAAAATAAAGTATATACATTATTTTTAGATATAATACCTTTACACACATAATAGGCTTTAGTATGGTGTAAAGTTTGGTATAGTTACATGCACTGGAAAACCAAAAATTTTATGTGACTCACTTGATTGTGATATTTGCTTTATTGCCGTGGTCTAGAACAAAACCTGCAATATCTCCAAGTTATGCCTGTACATACATACATACATACATACATAAATGCAGTTCAAAGTATTAGAAAATGCACCTGAGTAAAAGTTGGGTGTTTTATCCTTGCTCTACCTTGAGTAAGTTATGAAATCTTTCCCAAGGTCTCCATTGAGACATTTTCTCAGGGGTTTATTTTCCCAATCTGCAATTAGTATATAGATGTACAAAGCTTTACGACATCAAAACAACACACATGAAAAGCTTTATTTTATTTTACATTACTTCAAGATGTAGACTTCATAATAGAAAGAAAATATTTGAAGAAAGATTCATGTGTTATTTTTAGCAAATGAAGTTGTGGTTCTCATTCTGTTTAAAACTGCTTTCCAAGGTCGTTTTCTGCATAGATGAATTATTCTTCTTCAGGGAAAGTATGTTCAATAACTTGTTACTTAGCATCTGCCTCCTCACTTCCAATATTGACAGCACATTTGTATTCTTTTCTATACCATTTGGTAGAGAGAACAGTGTCTCCTTTTCGTGCACTTAATTTCAAATTGTTAATATTACAAACAAATTTCAGTTGTTAGTATTACAAAACAAAGCCTTGAAGTAACAACAGAATACTTTATATATGAGATTGAATATACTTTCACCTCTTGCTCAAACTTAACACTAAATAATATTATCCACAAATGAAATATTTTAGCAGCTTAAAGGATGTTTTATGAATATAAATTATGTTCTTCCACTGTTAACATGGATACTGGTTACTTTGGCCAAATAAACAACTTGATTTTGTATAATTATCCTATATTTAGAGCTTATATTCATATCTCCCAAAATACAGAGGAGTTGATCAGATTTTACAGACATGCATACAGCTTTGTTCTGCATCAACTGGAGCATAATTTCAAGAAGCAAACTCTGCCAACAGCATTATGAGAGGTATAGACACTGTATTTTATATAAAAATCAGCCAAAAAGGGAACTTAAGTGTCAGGGGATCTCTAATGTTGTGGGAAAGAGAAATTAAGACAATCCAAATGTGCATATCTCTGTGCTTCATTTCCTTCATCAGTAAAAGTGGATACAAATGTTAAATAACCACTACTAGTGCATCCTATGCAACAGGCATGGTTCTCAGTGTTTTACTGCATTATTCCATCTAATTCTCCAGCAACCCAGGAGGGTTTAGTAACTTCCCTAAGATCACAGCATCATCTCTCACTGCTACCTCCTCTGGGCAGCATCATGTCTGCATCTATCCTTTTGTCCACACAGGTCACATCTTATTGATTCTATTTCTGTTAAAATAAAAAGCCTCTTTGCATAAAGTTATTCTCATTGCTACATCCATGCACCTGGAATCATAATCACCCTAGCATAAGACCCTGAGATGTCAGAAGGGTATCTCAGTCACAAACCCACATAAGAACAATAAGGCCAGATAAGTGTACAATCCTCAAAGCAGTGCCAAGAATTTTATTTTATTTGACAGGGAGAAGGAGATTGCAACAGAATACCGGAGGAGAACAAGTAGGGAAGCTACTTTTACTATAATTTTATAGATAAATTATTTCAGGTGTGAAGGGATTATTGTAGTGAGATAAGGAAGAAAGTTTAATCCAAGAGATATTACAGATAAAGAGTCATGACATACTGGCAGACTGGAAGCAAAAGTAAAAGTAAAAGAAAAATCAAAGTTAAGTGCAAGTTCCTGAGTCTAGGGCCCTGGAAAAGCAATTTTGGAGAAGAGAGACAATTTGAGAAGACAAACTTTGGTGTTGACAGGCTTCATTTTCTATATAGTCTGTGTTCACTTTCTACAAACAAGAATATTTGATTAATCAAATATCTCATTCCCCAACTACACTAAATACCAAAACAAATATAACACTGTTATCAGAGATAAATCCTAGAGGCTACCAGGTTTCTTATAAGCTATATATAGTGCTCTAAAATAAGAAATTATTTCAACTTTGTAAAAATTTAAATATATAATTGAGGTGTGTGTGTGTGTGTGTGTGTGTGTGCCTGTGTATATGAGAGATGCAGAGAGAGAGAGAGAGGAAGAAAGAAGAAAAATAGAAATAAAATTAGTTAATCTTGCAATAGTATTGGTTAGAAGAAATACTTTTATTTCAGAGAAGACTTCCCATGGGAGAATATAGATTTTAGGACAGAAGATTGGGCTTCATTCCTAATAGTGATTAGATAAGTAAACCTTACTTACTTTATTAAATAAATAGAAAGAATAATTCAAATTAATTATTCACTTGCTTCTTGATCCAATGATAATCTGCCAAAAGTGAAACATAAGGATTTCTCTTAATTAAATTGAAAATAAATAAAAACATTTGTTTAGCTTGACTTTTGTGAAAACTTCGAGTATATTGGCCTAACATAATTAATTTATTCTCCCTTCTGGTAAGCCAAATGTTATAATCATAAACTAATTGAGAAAAATTTTATCTAATTAAGGCACAACATTTATAATTTTTGAAATAACTAATGCTTGTTGATGTTCATTCATTGTTTTGGAAAAATTATATCTCCTGTTTAGGCTCACCATCAAACATGAAAATGTTTATAAAAACATAAAGAATATCACTAAAACATTTATTCAAGCAAGTCAAAAAATAAAATAAATTTTTGTATTGAAAAAATATGTAACATACTTAATCATCCTTCTCTTTTACTTATTTTACTACTTTAGTAATAATGTACTTTAAAAATGTGAGCTGAAAGGAATTACAGGTGCAAAAGTACTTGTCTCTGTTAAAATGTAAAGAGCAACTCTAGGTAATATACGTTGATTTATTCTGTGCTTAAGTCAAGGTAGCAGCTGTTTCCAATTCAGGAGGCAAATGAACAACAAAGACCTTGTGGGCTCATCCACTCTTTAGTCTTTGGCTCCCTGCAGAATAATTGAATTGAGTTTGGCACAGAAGCATCTGCAACATATTTGCCACAAGAAAGAAGTTTGGAACATCAACTGTATCAATGTAAAAGTATATTTTGTGGTGGCTTTCCAATCAGTTTGAAATTTTTACAGAAACAAATGGGGGTTAGGGGGAAGCTCACATAATTGTAGACATAAGCTTACTTCTGCTTTCCCACAGTGTCAGCTGGCACTTTAGGGAAATTTCTTTGATAGTGGCTCACAGAGGGAACTGAGAGCTGGTCCTCTTCCCATTTCCCCAGACTTTCTTGGTATTAGTTAGGAACAAAGTACAACAGAGATTCCACTTGAACTGAAATTGTAGTTGGGAGGACACAAAAGCTTAATTTAGAAGGAAATATTAACATTCACAAGAAAAAAAAATCTATGTCTGGAAAAAGATAAAATACTGTAATTAGAGTGTCTGTTCAGAATCCTCTTTAGCTGTGAGCTGTGTTTGGGTTGCCTAAGTTACTGGGTCTAGGTTCAAACAGGCATTCAGGCCCTTTCTGACATTTCTCTTTAAATTTGAATTCTTTGGGGTATGTTTTATGCCTTGAAAAATGGAATAGAAGTATTTACACTTATTTCTTCAGCAAAGGAAGATTTTAAAGAGCAGCGTTCTTTTTGGAAGAGAATTATTTCATTTGTTCAATTAATTTTATTTGTTCAATTAAATTTTATTTGTTCAATTTTATTTGTTCAATTAAAGAGCCCTGTTTTTTCCCCCATTCATGAGAAATACAACACATTTCTGTTCTTTTTCTTCTCCATACGTCATGGAGATGGGAGCATAGAAAACGACACCTACTCTGGTTGAGTCTCTCTCTAGTACTAGCAAATAATCTGGGAACTTCTTTGTAGACAAGTATGAAGAAGGATGGAGTGGGTGGAATGGAATTTCACCCACAGGGCTCCTCTAGAGACAGAACCTCCTTAAGGTCTCTAATAACCATCTTTCTGCAGTACAGTTAGCTAACATTTCTGAAATCTGTTTGGACTCTATTTCTTTTGCTTCAATTCAACACTTTTATTTCAAAGCTACAGACAAACCTAATGACCTCTATACAGAAGTGATTTATTCGTTACATTCCATTGATTTAGCGCTAAGCTTGTGGGGATTTCTTTAAACTTTTATTATAAATATATTTGTTACTTTCCTTTTTTTTGTATTTAATTTTCAAAAAAATACTCTGGTAATTGTGCTAGTAATGATTGTTCTCATTAATTCTGGCCCCTGTGTTGTCTTGTTGCCTTTTAAATTCTGTTCCAAATGCCTTTTAAGTGGTATATACCACTCTGCCCTTCACTTGGATGTATAACTAATAAACTAATAAGATGCACAGAAGAACTAATGCTAAACTATTTGCTGCAAGTTCTGAAGTAAAAGGAATCAGCAAAAGGATAGAAAATTGACTTTTAAAATGAAATCAAAATAGTATCATTTATTATTATGTCATGAAAATAAAGGAATGTGTCTTCTGTTGAAAAAAATTAAAAACCTCATGCTATAATATTTACATTAGAATTTTCATCCATAATGGGGGGGAAAAGGCCTATTGAGTGTACTCCCCATCCTTTCAAGAAGGTGATAGATATTTTTGTTTGTTTAACTTGGATATGTGAGATGTAGTTAGTCATAATATAGTGTAAGAAAACTATGTTTCAGCAGAAAACTATGCATTGTCTATAGCTCACCTTTCTCTTTTATCTGGCTATGAGTCTATGGGTGCTATTTTGCAACTCTTGTAAGCTGTCAATAACTGATAGCAATAGAAAATAATTATTGTCTATAGACATGCAAATTTCACCTTCAGGTAGAGGTCCAACTGACTTCCTAATCTAGTTTTGCCTGCCTTTGCACATTCATGTCAACATTCCTTTACTCTAAATAGTAAGTTTCTGCTCTTTGGATTTTTTCTTTGAACTGATTGTAACACCTCAGTGGTTTCCTCATTAATAAGTTAAATACAATCTTTAACTTGTGTTTGTTTTTATATCTGTAGAGTCATGATTTTACTCTCTTTTGAAAATTGTCTTTTAACAATGGTGAAACAGTAAGTAAATCACACAAAGGGCATAGGAGCTTTCTTTGATGAAATTCAAGCAATGGCATTTTGGACTGGAATTCTATATAAAGAAAGAAATTCAAGCTCAAACAGCCTCATTTAAATGTGCACCCCTTCTATACATATTTTTTTATTTGATAGCATTTACTACATTCTCCCTTATGTTGGAGTTTTGTGCATACTTGACTACTGCTCTCAACCAGATTTGTATGGTGGACATTTCTTAGTTGCTAACCCAGCCTGAGTTAATCCTCCCTTCCTCTTCTTTGATAGCATCCAGATTTTTCTTTAAAAGCACACCCTCCCTCATTGTGGAACAACCATGATATCTAGCTGGGATTGTTCTTACTCAAGAACTTCAGATGTGAGCCCTAATTGGTCTAGACAAGTAATACATTCCCATCACCTTTGCCAGAGTCATTGGTTTACAGATGGACATATGAACCAAAGTTCCTCCATAAAGGTGAAACTCAAGTCTCTATTCAAGCACTTCTGGGAGCTATTGGCAGAAACAGAAGCTGATCCTGGAAAGAAGGCAACCTTACGATGAATCTGACACGACAAATGGTGAAGTGAAGAGAAAACAAAAAACAAAACCAAAAACAGTTCACAGGTTGTTGGCTTTGCTGAACCACTGTGTCAAACCACCCTGAAGCATACATGTCCTATAGGCTTTGCAATCACATGAGAGAACAAATTTTCTTATTTTTTAATCCAGTTTGAGTCGGTTTTCATTTACTTGCATCAAAATATTTCCTGTATGATACATATTGTAGGTTTTCTGAGATTCGAACCTCTAACACGCTATTTTCTTAATACCTCCCAGAGCAAAAAGTACACACTCAAAGATGTTTTTAAATTGTATCACACTTAAAAAAAAAACTTTCACTCTTTCCAATTTTTACACTCCATTCCATTCCAGTTTATTTATTTTTATTTTTTTTAAAGCCCCTTTATCTCTGGCTTCTATCTTGTTTCTCATTTCCTCCAATACTTATTCCCTTAATTGTGACTAAAGTATCTGTTTATTCCTCTACCTCTTACTTCAGGTATTTCATTTTGTACTATTAGCAAAAAATATTTATATTGTTTCTAACTGGATTATGAAGCCTTCTTAACTACCAAAGCTCTTCCATAGTGAGATAAGACAGAAGAGACGGCCCATGAAATACAACCTAACTGGTATAATCTTTTCATCAGCTTTATGGCTGCTCTGTGTGCCCTCAACTTTCTTCTTCAATTATAAATTGTCCTACTAGATATTAATAAATCATTAGAATAAGTTGAGCTTTGTCTTCATCAATTGCTATTTTAGAAGAAAAGAACAATCTCAAACACCTATCTAAAATGAAGTTGCACAATTGCACAATTAGGTAAGTAGAATGACAGTTTTGAGGGCACATTAAAAATATCTGTTGGTTCAACCTCGTTAATTGTCAAAGAAATGGAGATTAAGCAAAACATATTAATTTCCTCTCCCTTTCTATCAGAAAACATTTTTAAAGTGACAATAAATGCCAAAGAGGGTTTGGTGAAATATACATCTTATCCATTTACCAGTGGGAGAATAATACTGAAAAGTACTTTGGCAATGTGTATGAGGAGTCTTTATGCCTGTAGACAGTGCTTTGATTAAATGAACTGAGAAAGACTTCTTTATGCATATAAATATGCATTTCAGTGATATTTATAATGGTGAAATTTGGGAGCAGTCTAAATGCTCAGTAGTAAGTGATTAGTTATGACATATCTTCACAGTGAAACAGTATATGTTGCAAAGAAATGGTGTTTATAGAGAATTTTTTAAAACATAAGTGCTTACGTTTTATAAATGACGAACACATAATGAAAATTAGAAAGATTAATAAAATGCAAGAATATTTTAAGAGATGTGTGAACAGCAATCCTGAAAGGACTATTCTTTAAAAGTTATGTTAACCACGCTTGTCTTTAGGTGATGGGAATATAGATAAAATTTCTCTTTTCTCTTTTTTGTAGGCAGAAAAGGCTTTTTTAAAAAAAATGTGCATTTAGAGACGAGCATGGCTTCTCCAACGATCCTTCTTTGCTCTTATCTAAATAACTTCATCTATTTAACTGTTCATTATAGGGTTTTGGTTCCCCTCTTAGCCTTGTGTACATGTGATACAAACAACTGAATGCAACATTTCCTGCCTGAGGTAAAAAGCACACAAACAAACAAACAGAAAAACAACAAAAATCTGGTGAAACCAAAAAATGCGTATCTGTTGATTTAGATATTTATTTTATCAAGTTGAAATACTTGCATTGCTTTTAATAGCAAAAACATGAAAAAATACTTAAATGTCCTTGAACGGGAAAATGGTTTAATATGTTGTATGAGATGCTGACTATACAAACAGACAATTTCCAGACCATACATGACAATAGAACTCTGAGCTACAACGTCTGCAGCAACCATTCAGGAAGACAAATGCCAACCTCTCCAAAAATCAACTGAGAATGGTCAGAACTTGGTAAATGGTTGCCACCTTCCCTATGTTTTGTTTCTTCTTCCACCTCAGTACGAAAGAGGGAAAGTAAAATATGCTCCCCAAACCAGCCATATCACACTTCCAGTTAACTGTTTCCAGTTTCTCCATGCCTACAATTTCCAGAGCATACAGGATTTCTTCCCTTTTGTTCACTATAAAGTTTTCTCACTTCCCTGCTTGCCCTTGAGTTATTGCCAGATGCGAGATGGTGGCTGACTCCGTTGCTATAGCAAGCTCTGAATAAATAGTGTCTGTTTATTCTAATATGAGTGGTCTTTGTTTATTCCCATATATGGTATCTTCACTTAATGGAATGTTTTATAGCCTTTAGAAGGAATCAAAAGACCTATATGATATATTTTAAGAAAAAAAGCAGGTTACATGCAATAGGAACTCCTCTATACTTTGGAATATAAATTAGATCAATATGTAGTAAAATTGAAGAAGTGCCTACCTTATGACACAGTTAGTTCACTCAGATATAAGCTTTAGAGATTTTTCTTGCATATGAACACTATGTATAAAATATCAATAGCCTCATTTTTATAAAGGAAAAAATTAAGAAATAATTCAAATGATCACCATCAAATGATTAGATCAACAAATTGTGTAATATTCACATGGTGAGGTTCTATGATACTTAAAGAATCAATAAGCAAAAGCTGTATGTATTAATAGTAATGGATCTCTAAACCAAAATGTAGAATAAACAAAGAAACTTAGAAAAATATGTGTAGGATGATATAATTTACATGTAGATCAAACCAGACAAAATTAAAATATGCATAATTTTGTTGTGCTGTTAAATAGTAAAGATATAAGGAAAAGCAAAAGAACATTTCAACTACAATTTAAAAGTATTGGAGGAGAAGTATAATTGAGGAGGGCATACAATTTGAAGAGTACTTATAATATACCATTTCTTAAACAGGTGATTTGAGTTTTTTCATCATTCTTCAACTCTTACATTTATGCATTATCTATACTACTGTATGCTTGACATATGTCATGATAAAATATTTTTAAAAGAAAGTTGCATATTCTAAAATCTATATGGAAAGGCATAGAACCTAGAACAGCTAAAACAGTTTTGAAAAAGAAGAATAAAATGGGAGAAATAACTCTACCTGCTGTCAAGACATATTATTATTAAAATAACAGTAATTATGACAGTGTGGGATTGGCCATCTATAGACAAAAAATTAACTCCCACCTACATACCAAATCTTTTACAAATACTAACTCAAATGGATCATAAACTTTGATGTAAAACATAAAATTATAAAACTGTTAGAAAAAAATTATAGAGAAGATCTTTTAGATCTAATGCTAGGCAATCAGTCCTTAGACTTGAAACCAAAATTGTGAGTCTCAAAAGAAAAAAATTGATAAATTGGACCTCATCAAAATTAAAAGCTTTTGCTTTGAGAAAACCTCAGTGAAAAGAATGAAAAGACAAGGCAGACTCAGAAAAAATATTTGAAAACCACGTATCTGACAAAGGACTGATATTTAGAACACAAAAAGAACTCTCGGAATTCAACGGGAAAAAAAATCTAATTAGTAAAAGACAAAGACATGAAGAGACATTTCACCAAAGAGAATATGCAGATGGCAAAAAAGCACAGGAAAGAATTTTATTATTAGCCATTAGAAAAATGCAAATTAAAATCACAAGGAGCTATTACTACACACCTAGAATGGCTGAATGCTAATAACACCAAATGCTGGACAGGATGCAGAGAAACTGAATCTCTCATACACTGCTAGTAGGAATGTAAAATGGCATATTTTTTGAAACTTTTGAAAAACTTAAAAGTAGTATGTTAGTATCTTATAAAGTTAAATAGACTTACAATATGACCTAGCAATCCCACTGCTATATGGTTCATTCAGAAATAAAAACATAGTCCATACGAAGATTCCTATGTAAGGGTTCATAGTAGCCTTATTTACAAAAGCCAAAATCTTGAAGCAACTCAAATACTGATCAATCATGAATGCATAAACAAATTATGGTATAATTATGATATAGAATACTACTTAGCAATAAAAAGGAATAAAATATTAATGCATATAACAACATAAGTGAGTCTCAAAAACATACAAAGTGAAAAAAATCAAACACAAAAGACTACATAATATTTAATTTAATATATATAGAACATCTATAAAGGCAAAACTATAGTGACAGAAAGCAGATTGGTGGTTGCCTGGGTTGGGAATCACGAGAGGAGATTCATTGCAGAAGGGCAGAGAAAACTTGCTAGGGTGATAGAACTGTTCTATATGTTTGTGGTAGTAGTTTTTACATGATTGCATACGTTATAGGCTGAATTGTGTCCCTGTATTAGTATGTTCTCATATTGCTATAAGGAACTACCTGAGACTGGGTAATTTATGAAGAAAAAAGTTTTAATTCACTCAAAGTTTCACAGGCTGTGCAGGAATCATGGCTGGGATGGCCTCAGGAAACTTACAATCATGGTGAAAAGTGAAGGGGAAGCAAGCACATCTTTACATGGCAGAGCAAGAGACAGAGAGTGAACAATGAAGTGCTACACACATTTAAACAACCAGATCTCGTGAGAACTCACTCACTATCATGAGAACGGCAAGGGGGAAGTCGACCACCATCATCCAATCACTTCCTATCAGGCCCCTCCTCCAACATTCAGGATTACAATTTAACATGAGATTTGGGTGGGGACATGGAGCCAAACCATATCAGTCCCCATTAAAATTTATATGTTGAAGTTCTAACCCCCAGTACCTTAAAATGTGACCATATTTAGAGAAACGGTCTTGAAAGTGGTAACTAAGGTTATTAGGAGGAACTAAGGTAATTAAGTTAAAATTATTTCATTAGGGTGGACTTTAATCCAAAATGATTAGTGTCCTTATAAGAAGAGGAAACTTAGACATAGACATAGACAGAGGGAAGACAGTGTGAAGACACAAGGAGAAAAAGGTCATCTAAAAAACCAAGAAGAGGAGATCCTTCCCCCACAACCTTCAGAAAACCAACCTGCTTATCCTTGGTCTTAAACTTCTAACCTCCAGAACTCTAAGACAATAGATTTCTGTTGTTTAAGCTTCCTAGCCTGTGGTAATTTGTTATGGCAACCCTAGCAAACTAATTCTGCATGCAATTATGAAACTGTGCCCTTATGGTTGGCAAATTTAACTATATGTGAGTTATACCCAATAAAGCTTGTGGGGGAGGGGGGCATAAAACAGTCCCACTATCATTAAAAATAATAATAATAATCGTTTTATTCCTGAAGGCTTTGTTATTACTCATTTGACTCAACTTCTCACTTCCAACTGCCTTGAAAGCAGTGATTACTGTTTTTCTACCTCTCAGGGAGTAGAAAAGTAAGACCCTTTTCTACTGAATAGCTAAGAAAGACCCTTCTGTCCTGCAGGTTCAAAGTACTGTCAATTTAACAAATCAAATAGTGATTTATCCCAGGGTACCTGTACACATTTATCTTATTGTGATAACAGAGGTAGTTTGCTCTCTAAAACTGAAAAAGTAAGAATATATAATAGGCAAGTTTCTTAGGATAAGCTTTTTCAAAACTGGAAGATGAAAAATGAATAATTTTTCAATACATACCAGGCAATGTCATTTTAAATTAAATTTTTGCCCTTGTGCCTACCTTTCAGTGAAAACAAACAAACAAAGCTTTATTTGTGAGAGGCAAGGCAATATACCAGGAAGGCTCTCAGGAGATTTCTCAAAACAGCATGTCAAATGCACAAAACAAAATAGTACAGAGCAACTGTTCTATGGGAGTTTGTGGTCTTATTTGATTTTCTTTGAAATTTACTTATAATTATGATCTTTCTTTTAGAAAGTAGAATCATGTCATTTTTTATGTCATGATGAACAGAGTAGAAAACAGATAATTAATTTCAATAAATATTCCCTAGCATATTTTCTGCGTGAAAACAATAAGATGGTACAAA
Organism: Homo sapiens; assembly: GCF_000001405.40. NCBI lineage: Eukaryota > Metazoa > Chordata > Mammalia > Primates > Hominidae > Homo > Homo sapiens. Next base: position 208,704,920 of record NC_000002.12, on the reverse strand, counting down.
TTTGAAGATAATGTATGATCTTTGTGGCTGGGAGTTCCAATTAAGTGTAATCATATGCAATTGCCATTGTCGGCTCAAGAAGATTTAACAATTATTGTTGCAGACAGGGTGGGGGATGATAGTAACCCAGGTGATTTTACTTGATTTTATTCTGCTATCCTTTTGAAAGGACTGATGATCTTCCAGGACACCTACAATATCCAGCTCCTCTGAAATTCAAGAAAACACATCACTGCAGTGATCAGGAAAAGGGACAATACTTTGTGTGAGTCAGGATGAAAAATTACTTAAACAGATGCCTAAAGCTATGCTATAGATATTGATGAAGAATGACCAGGAAACTAGAGGAAATCTAGAAATCTTGATCTGAACATTACAGAACTGGAGGCCAGGGCAGCTGACATTGGTCTATAAGGTTAGTGGGTTAGAGAAAAGGAAGACTGTACAGACAAATGAGAGAAAGATCTGGAAGCAAAATGTTCCAAGTCAGGATTTTTTAAACCCAATTTATGGATTTATCTATGGCAGAAAGTTCCAAGGCATTTCATACAATTCAAAATCAAAAGTGACAAATGTTTTTCTCTCTGCATCATTTTATTTTCTGCTTGCACATAGAAGTGTAAGCAAAGAGGAATCAATAAAGTGATTTTTTTTAGGCAAGACATGACCTTGAGAAAAGTTGTCACATGCCAGCCTGATTGTTGGAGTACATTTTAGACATGGCAGATAGATCAGAACCTCAGAGCCAAAAGGATGTGGAGATCTCAGAAAACCAGAAGCCAAATCTCATCCCACAATCCAGTGTTTGAGGCAACAAATCACCATATGCCTTTTACCTCATCTATAGTTCCGAAAATGTGTCATCTTCACCTGAGGTGAGAATTAATAAGGAACATAGCAAGATTACTCTTTGGAGAATGCTATTATTATACCAGTGGGTCTTAAAATGTTCTGAAGGAATTGTCAGGTTTGGGGAGAGTTTTTTGGTACTTACTGCACAGTTTTTTGGTACTTACTGGATATTGCTCTCACATAGCAGTATTCATACAATAATTTTGGAAGGCTTCAGAACTTCAAAACAGTTTGTGAACTTTGTTTTCTATCATTTGGGTCTTTATTAAAGAAAAGTAAGATACTGCTCTTTATAAGTTTGTTTGTATTCCGATCTTTAGACCATAGTGCTATTAGAGTATGAGAGGGTAAGGGAAAATTAGATAAATGAGGGAAAGAGGGACAAATTTTGGGGGGTAAAGCATAGAAGAGTTGTCCTACATTTTCACATGATGGAAGTCTTCCCGTTTTTCCTTATTCTGCATTTCTTCTCATTTTGAACAGTGACATTTTTAAAAATCTTGGCCAGGTGTGGTGGCTCACATCTGTAATCCCAGCACTTTGGGAAGCCGAGACGGGCAGATCATAAGGTCAGGAGATCAAGACCATCCTGGCTAACATGGTGAAACCCCGTCTCTACTAAAAATACAAAAAAAAAACAACAAAATTAGCCGGGCATAGTGGTGGGCGCCTGTAGTCACAGCTACTTGGGAGGCTGAGGCAGGAGAATGGTGTGAACCGGGGAGGCAGAGTTTGCAGTGAGCCGAGATCGCACCACTGCACTCTAGCCTGGGGGACAGAGCGAGACTCCGTCAAAAAAAATAATAATAATAAACTTTATTTCTTTTCTGAATTAACCTATTGAAGATAAAATTTGTTTCCTTTAAAAACTGCCTCTAGTGAGAAAATACAAATTAACCTTTCAGTGGTTTGGAACAATTGACTCCCCATTTGAAAAATAAATCAGATGTCAGCCTGACTCAAAAAAAGAAATTGCTTCTTCACCTGAGAAGAGAGATCTGTAAAGTTTGGATCTGCCTAAATATGTTGACAAGTGGGTTTCATCTTAGGAAAAAGCATGTGTAAGTAGTGTTATCCAAGACTGCAAATGCATATAAAAGAAAAACAAGTGCAGAAATAAAAATCTACTTGGAATATTTTCCCCTCCACTCAAAGTGGAGAGCAAATTACATTAACAGCTATTTATTGAAATACCTTCTGTTCTCCCTGACAGTTAATAAAACTGTCACAGGGACAAATAAAACTAACCACAGGGAGAAAATTAGAAAAGTTTAATAACGTGAAAATATAACAATACCATGGGTTACAATAATACATGTATTCGTCTCTTAGGGGCTGCCATAAACTGGGTATCTTAAACAACAAAAATTCATTGTCCCATCTTAAACAACAAAAATTCATTGTCCCACATTCTGTAGGCTACAAGTCCAACATCAGTGTGTCTGCAGGGTTAGCTCCTTCTGAAAGTGATGAAAGAATCTTCCCCGTGTCTCTCTCCTAGCTTCTGGTGGTTTCCTGGTAATCTTTGGCATTCTTTGGTTTGTGGATGGATCACCCCGATTTCTGCCTTTATCTCTACATGAGGTTCTCCTTATGTAATTGTCTATGTCTGTGTCCAAATTTCTTTTTTTATAAGGACATCAGTCATATTGGATTAGCATCCACCCCAGTGAACTCATCCTAACTTGATTATCTGCAAGACTCTATTTCTAAATGAGGTCACAGTCACAGGTACCAGAGGTTAGGACTTCAATATGTTTGCAGAGGACATAATTTAACCCATAACAAATATTGTTGCTTATTTGTAGTAAACACTCACTCTATGAGCTAATTTGCTAACTAGATTAAAATACAACTATTCCAATGACATCCTTCACAGAACTAGAAAAAAATTTTTTTTAATTCATATGAAACCAAAAAAGAGCCTGAATAGCCAAGTCAATCCTAAGCAAAAAGAACAAAGCTGGAGGCATCATGTTACCTGACTTCAAACTATACTATAGGGCTACAGTAACCAAAACAGCATCGTACTGGTACAAAAGCAGACACACAGACCAATGGAGCAGAATAGAGAGCCCAGAGATAATGGTGCATAACTACAACCATCTGATCATCAACAAAGCTGACAAAAACAAGCAATAGGGAAAGGACTCCTGTGATGGTTAATATTGAGTGTCAACTTGATTGGATTGAAGGATGCCAAATATTGTTCCTGGGTGTGTCTGTGAGGGTGTTGCCAAAGGAGATTAACATTTGAGTCAGTGGACTGGCAAAGGCAGACCCACCCTCAATCTGGGTGGGCACAGTCTAATCAGCCACCAGCACAGCTAGAATAAAAGCGAGCAGAAGAACATGGAGACTAGACTGGCTAATTCTTCTGGCTTCCAGCTTTCTCCCATCCTGGATGCTTCTTGCCCTCGAACACCAGACTCCAAGTCCTTCAACTTTTGGACTCTTGGACTTACACCAGTGATTTGCCAGGGGTTCTTAGGTTTTGGCCACAGACTGAAGCCTGCACTATCGGCTTCCCTACTTTTGAGGTTTTGGGACTAGGACTGGCTTCCTGGATCCTCAGCTTACAGATGGCCTATTATGGGGCTTCACCTTGTGGTCATGTGAGTCAATTCTCCTAATAAAATCCCCTTCATATATACATCTATCCTATTAGTTCTATCTGTCTAGAGAACCCTGACCAATACAACCCCCTATTCAATAAATGTTACTGGAATAACTAGCTAAACTTATGCAGAAGATTGAAACTGGACCCCTTCCTTACACCATATATAAAAATCAACTCCAGATGGATTCTAGACTTAAATGGAAATCCTAAAATTATAAAAACCTTGGAAGATAACCTAAGAAATATCATTCTGGACATAGGAATGGGCAAAGATTTCATGAGGAAGACACAAGCAATTAAAATAAAAGCAAAAATTGACAAATGGGATCTAATTAAATTAAAGAGCTTCTGCACAGCAAAAAGAAACGAAAACTATCAACAGAATAAACAGAAACCTAAAGAATGGGAGAAAATTTTTGCAAAATATGCATCTGATAAAGGTCTACTATCCAGAATCTATAAGGAACTTAAACAAATTAACAAGCAAAAAACAAACAACCCCATTAAACAATGGGCAAAGGACATGAACAGACACTTTTCAAAAGAAGACATACACACAGCCAACCAGCGTATGAACAAAATACTCAACATTACTAATCATTAGAGAAATGCAAATCAAAACCACAATGAGATACCACCTCACACCAATTAGAATGACTATTAATAAAAAGTCAAAAAAATAACAGATGCTGGTGAGGTTGTGGGGAATGCTTATTTACTGCTTGTGGGAGTATAAATTAATTCAGCCATTGCAGAAAGCAGTGTGACAAATCCTAAAATAATAAAAACAGAATTACCATTTGACCCGGCAATCCCCTTATTGAGTATATACCCAAAGGAATATAAGTCATTCTGCTATAAAGACACAGGCACGTGTATGTTCATTGCAGCACCATTCCCAGTAGCAAAGTCATGGGATCAACCTAAATGCCCATCAACTGTAGACTGATAAAGAAAATGTGGTGCCTATACACCATGAAATACTTTGTGGTCATAAAACAGAATGATATCATGTCCTTTGCAGCAACATGGTTAGAGCTGGAGGCCATTATCCTAAGCACACTAACACAGGAACAAAAAAACCAATATCGCATGTTCTTACTTGTAAGTGGGAGCTAAATGATGAGAACACATGGACACATAAAGAGGAACAACAGACAGTGGGGCCTATAGGAGGGTGAGAGGAGGGAGAGGATCTGAAAAAGTACCTATCGGGTACTATGCTTAGTACCTGGGGGACAAAATAATCTGTACACCAAACCTCCATGACATAAGTTTACCTACATAATAAAGCAGCACATGTACTCCTGAACCTTAAAGGAAAGTTAAAAGAGAAAAAAAAAAGATGACTATCTTTCAGCAGACTTCACATGGTCAAGGAGAGAGTCTGGGGTAATAAGGTTTGACAATAGAAAAGCCCCTCAGCATTTGGATGCTGAGGTCCATGTCTGTTTCTTTGGGCTACCTTACAGACATGCAAGACAACAGTTATTCTCTTCAGGAAGCAGCATCAAAGAGGATTCTGAACTCTTAGAAACCACAAGCCCAACACAGCAGAGAGACATGCGATGGAGCCTCATGTGTTCAACAGCATAGAAGGAAACCAATAAAATTTGGAAAATGGTTGAGTTTATTTGTTATCTGTACTGCGTAATAAAAGCTGCTAGAAAAGGCACAAAAACATGTATTATTGGGGGGTTTTATCTATCTTTTTAGATTTTTTTGTTTTAGAAAAAGACTTTGTTCTTCATTTGTCTTAGTTCTTTCTCCAGGAAGGCAATACTGAACATGTCACAAAATACAGATGAGCAAAAAAGAGACTTCTTTTCTGAAGACTGTCAGTAGGCCTCTCTTGATGTCTTCCTGACAGGTGATACAGACTTTCGTCATCATCCTCCAAGAGGAAACTATTATCAGGTTTTGTCTGTGGCAGTGGTTCTCAAAGTGTGGTCCACAGACCATCAGCATCAGCATCACCTGGGAATTTTTCAGAAGTGCAAATTCACTGTTCCCATCCCCAGACCTCCCAAACCAGACACTTGGAGGGTGAGTTCAGGCCATCTGTGCTTTAGTAAGCCCTCAAAGAAGTTCTGAAGTTCCCTCAAGTTTAAGAATCACTGATCTCCACTAAAGTAAAATATTGCTTTCCAAAACAATTTAAACAAAAACTATCAGACTTCTTCATAATCAGTGTTTATGGTTCGCTTTAAGTAGTATGTTTAATATTAAAGGCAATAGTGCTCCCTTGAATATTTGTTAATCAAATTTTAGAATTATTTTTAGAAAGCTATACATGTCATGATGTTTTAGTGATGCATGTTCAAACTTACTCTGAGAAGAGAATTATTCTTATAAAAGCAGCCATTGCCAAAAAGATTTCAGACACAGCAGTTTTGTCCCTCTCATTCAGATTAGAAAAGCCTTCTTGTAGGAGCTCTGAAAACTTTGTTTACTTTGAGTATCTTGCTTTAGACAGTTTTTAAAACACAAATGTCATCTTAGACCTGCTGAATCAGAATCTGTGTCGCTAGAGACTCAAGTATTTTCAAAAACATGCACAGATGAAGCAAGGCATACCTTGTTATGAACTATAGAACAGACTTTACAAATTCTATTCTTCCCTTCCTCTGAAGAGTGATTATTTTTAAAATGAAAACCATCTGGCCTGCTAAAGTCACTTGAGAGGGTAATTAACTATCTTTAAATAAATAAATCCCTTTAGCTACTTCTTTTGAAGAATACCGCATGGAGAAAAAGGCAAGCCTAGCTGAAGGCAGTGGGAAGGAGCCTAATATAGAGGAAAAGATGCAGTATCCAAAGGGCTTAGCCACATTTTGCAGTAACAGTTTTTATTTATTGAGTACCTACCATATGCCAGAGATTTAACTTACATTATTTTAATATATATTACCTCTAATACTTTCAACAACCTTAAAAGATAGTTACTGTTAGTTGTATTTTATAGTCTAGAAAACTTAGACACTATAAAGGAAAGTGACTTGACCAAGGGCTCAAGGGTGGAAAATTGAATTTGAAGTCAGATCTCTCTAGAGTTCTTCTATTCTTTCTGTAGTGCAGTCATTCAAGGAAGTGTCAGACATAGAGGCTTTGTTTCAAAGAAATAGGCTGACAAAACCTAACAGCAGGATATCCAGAGGCAAGTATGCAGCTAGGATTAGTGGCATAGGCTAGAAGGTAGCAGAAATCAGATCCCACTAAAACATCCCACAATGGGAGAATGGTGAAAAATAGATTATTTTTGAAAGTTAACATTTGTTGAAGTTTTATGGTATGCTAGGCTCTATTCCACTTTCCTTGTTTGAACTGATCCTTGTAAAAAAAAATTGTGAAGTAAACATTATTATTCTCTCAGTTTTACAGAGAAGTTAAGCAATTTGCCTAAGGTCACTGGGGTTTGACTTAGACCTAGTCTAGTCTCAGAGAATGAGCTCTTACTCATTATGGAAACTACTATGTGTTATTACGATGATATTACCATACAGTCCATAAAATGATAAACATGTAGACTATATCATCACAAATTTGTATAACAAATATGATATACAATTTGAAAATATTGAATAATTAACTTGTTCAGTTCCATGATATAAGTAAAAAATTCTTATATACTTTCTGTATTATGGTTAAGGGGTAGTTTTTTTAGGGGTTATAGTTGCTATTTCTTGCTGTGTAACAAACCAACTGAAATTTAGTGGCTTAAAACAACAAACACATATCATTTCACAGTTCCTGTGGATTTTGAATCTTGACGTGGTTTGGGCTGTGAAGAAGCTGTTGGTGGATGCTGCAGTCTCCAGTCTGAGGAGGGTCTGATTGCAAGCTCAAAACATGGCAGCTGCTTTCTCCAGAGCAAAAGGTTCGGAGAGAAAGAGAGAGAAGGAAAGGAAGAGGAAAGCCACAGGGTTTTTGGTGATGTAATGAGAGAAGTGATATCCTATCACTTTTGCCATAGTCTGTTTGCCAGAAGTGAGTCCCCAGGTCCAGCCCACACTCACTGGCAGAGGATCACCCAGGCAGAGGCTGAATACCAGGAGGTGGGATCACTGTGGCTGCCTACCATGGTGCAGATGTGTTTTATTATTACTATACTGTTATGAACACCTTTCTTCAAGCTATTTTGGGGCACATTTCCCAAAATTAAATACTTTATGCACAGCTTTTGAAGAGCTTCAAAGCTCTTAAAAACGAATGTAGTAGGCCCTTTGTATCTGCAAGTTCCACATTTCTGGTTTTGGCATCTGTGGATTCAACTAACTATGGATCAAAAATATTTTAAAAAATAAAAATACAAAAATAAAAATTATAAAATTAAAAATACAGTATAACAATTATTTACATAGCATCCACATTGTATCAGGTATTATAAGTAATCTAGAGATGATTTAAAGTATATGGGAGGATGTGTATGTTATATGCAAATACATCAGTTTACATGAGAGACTTGCATCCATGGATGTTGGTATCCACAGGGTTCCTGGAACCAATCACTCGCAGATATTGAGAGGTAACTTTATAGCTACATATAGTCGAAAGACACTTTACATATGTTATCCAACTTGGTGCTTCAAAGTCTTTTTTTGCTTCAAGTCTCAAACTGTTTTTTTGTAAATGTCATAATGCTTCTCTTATTATGGAAACACATATAAAAAGAAGGAAAATAATTGTGGAAGTCAGTGTGGCGATTCCTCAGGGATCTAGAACTAGAAATACCATTTGACCCAGCAATCCCATTACTGGGTATATACCCAAAGGACTATAAATCATGCTGCTATAAAGACACATGCACATGTATGTTTATTGTGGCACTATTCACAATAGCAAAGACTTGGAACCAACCCAAATGTCCAACAATGATAGACTGGATTAAGAAAATGTGGCACATACACACCATGGAATACTATGCAGCCATAAAAAATGAAGAGTTCATGTCCTTTGTAGGGACATGGATGAAACTGGAAACCATCATTCTCAGCAAACTATCGCAAGGACAAAAAACCAAACACCACATGTTCTCACTCACAGGTGGGAATTGAACAATGAGAACACATGGACACAGGAAGGGGAACATCACACTTCAGGGACTGTTGTGGGGTGGGGGGAGGGGGGAGGGATAGCATTAAGAGATATACCTAATGCTAAATGACGAGTTAATGGGTGCAGCACACCAGCATGGCACATGTATACATATGTAACTAACCTGCACGTTGTGCACATGTACCCTAAAACTTAAAGTATAATAATAATAAAATTTAAAAAAAGAAAGTAGTATAGCAGTGTGTTATGCATTTAATTTATAAAGAGTTTTTTAGGTTTTGTGATGCTTGTGGTATTATGATTCCTTTTCTCTTTCTAAATAAATGTTTACTTATATACTTACTTTAAAAAAAAAAAAAAGATTTTACAGATTGGCCACAGCACTGAGCCCAGGACCTAATGCAATAGCACAAATAAATTAAAGATGAAAGGAGGCTTAATGGAATAGGTGGGAAAGGGAGCCAGTTTGAAAGTACAGACATATTTATGAATTCCTATAAGCCTGGTGGATAGTCTAATGAAAATACAGAACTGAAGGCCAGATGAGAGGTTAGGATTGGAGAGCTTTTTCTTACCTTTTATTTTTTATTACAATAGTAACATGCATTCATTGCAAAATATTCAAACTTGTAAATGCCTAAAAACATAAAAATCTTATGGTCACAAAACCAACAGATGTATGCTATTAATATTTTATAAGGTACTTCATAGAAATACATATTTGTGCATACAAAAAAAATTGGTATGCAAAGACTGTGACTCTGTCTTCTAAAGGATGTCACATGATTAAGTGGTGAGTGTGGGTGGGTTAATCCCTTTAATCTCAGAGACTGGTGAGGGTGGGAGTGGGAAAAGAGGAAAATGTCTCTGCCTCTGCCAGTTCTCCTGTCCCACTAAAGGATAGGCCCTGGGCTGAAGGAAATGTTGTTCAGCAGAGCGTTTTAGAGTCTTTGCATGGGCAAAGGTAGTTCCTGGACCTGAGAAAAGGCTAGGGAGTTAAACTGCTTTGTATCATAAAGCAAGAGGAATTGCTATTGACCATGGAGCCAAAGAAGAGTTCTTCAAAATAGAGAAGCAGAGGAGACTGGGAGAAGCCTAAAGGACTTTCAAAGACACATATACCTAATATCCATCTTTTGCTTTATTCTGTGATAGTCTCTTTCCTCTAATTTTCAATAGAAAATATGTGTAATTATATATTTGTGATTGAAAGGGGCTTTCTTCTATATCTTGGGTGACCTGGTACAGAACAGGGATACAATAAAGAAGTCAAAGAACTAAGGCTTTGAGCATTTAAATAAAATAGCCAAGACTACAGAGCTAGTACTTTGAAAAAATGGATTCAAAAGCAGGAAATCTCTCCCCAAAGACTCTTTTTCAGCAACAATATTGCTTTTCCTAATTCTATAGTACTACTCAATAAATAGGAGATTATTTTTTAACATTCTTTTTATTTATTTATTTATTTATTTTAATTCTGGGATACATGTGCAGGACTTGCAGGTTTGTTACATAGGTAAACGTGTGCCATGTTGGTTTGCTGCATCTAACATCCCATCACCTAGGTATTAAGCCCCGCATGCATTAGTTATTTATCCTGATGCTCTCCCTTCTCCTGCCCCTTGTTACTCTTTAAATATAATTTTGTGTCCTGGATTTTCACTTTACAATACATTCTGAATATGTTTAAATGACAACCAATGTGAATTTGTATTACTAGTTATGAAGCCCAACTGTAAACTAAAATCATCTGGTTTACATGTGACGCTTTTTTTTTTAATTTGACGTCCAAGCCACACCTACAAATTCTGATTTAATTAATTTGAATTAATCACTGGTCCACACAGAGATTTAAATCTGGATGAGTTTAAACAGAACATTCAGAGAAGGTAAAACTATAGAGAGAATATATCACACTAAAGAGTTTGGAAATACTCACATTGAGAAAGTGGTCAAATAAATGAAAAAATATATATTTAAAAAGAAAAAAATGCATTACTCTTTTTGTAAGAGATGTAAGAGATTCAGAAATAATTGCAAAGTCAATAATGTCAAGAATTCTCAGGAGTTTTACACAAATTAAGATAAAAACAAAGGCCATGGATTCAGCAAAAAGGGGGTTACACACTGGTGGTGTAAATTAATTCAACCATTGTTGAAGACAGTGTGGTGATTCCTCAAGGATCTAGAACCAGAAATACCATTTGACCCAGCAATCCCATTACTGGATATATACCCAAAGGATGATAAATCATTCTACTGTAAAGACACATGCACACATATGTTTATTGCAGCACTGTTCACAATAGCAAAGACTTAGAACCAACTCAAATGCCCATCACTGATAGACTGGATAAAGAAAATGTGGCACATATACACCATGGAGTGCCATGCAGCCATAAAAAAGGATGAGTTCATGTCCTTTGCAGGGACATGGATAAAGCTGGAAACCATCATTCTCATCAAACTAACACAGGAATAGAAAACCAAAACACCACACGTTCTCATTTGTAAGTGGCAGTTGAACAATGAGAACACATGGACACAGGGAGGGGAACTTCACACACCAGGGCCTGTCAGGGGGTGGGGGGCTAGGGGAAGGATAGCATTAGGATAAATACCTGATGTAGACGACGGGTTGGTGGGTGCAGCAAACCACCATGGCATGTGTATACCTATGTAACGAACCTGCATGTTCTGCACATGTATTCCAGAACTTAAAGTATTAAAAAAAAAAAACTTTGTAAAATACAAAAAGGAAAAATGAGGGGTGACAGATAATCTTAGAATAATAGCAATGTGGTGGGCAGGCTGACATACCAGCTGGGGGTAGGTGGGACCCACACTGCAAGAAGTTAAGTAAAAAGACAAATGAATAAGGAATGGAGGTAATAAGAAAATGAGAATAACTCCCCAAAAATTAATTAGTAATTATAGAGGAGGGAAAGTAGTAACTTCGCTACAAAGAATCTAGAAGGCATCACCAAGTGATCAAAGTTAACCTCACTTTGGAGGTGAGGATAATGGAACAACCTGACATGTGCCTCCTGATGTGATGCATAGAGAAAGACACATTATGTGATATGTCCTCTGAAAATGCTTGAGCTGAATCCAACCATGAGGAAATACCAGACAAGCCAGGGTTGACCAACATAATCCAAAATTACTTGACAAAACTGTCAAGCTCAAGAAAAAAAAAAAGGCTAAAGAACTGTTCCAGTTTAAAATAAACTCAAAAGGGATTATACCTAAATGTAACTCATGATTGAGACTGGGCCAGAATTCCAAAGATGTCCCCCCCAGATTCCCTTTATAATATTCAATCAAACACTAAATTATGTCTGCTAAGAAGGTTCTTCCATGATGACAGATTTGTACAGGGATGTACCATAGAGGAGTGTAGAGTGTTCACAGAGGCCATTGTGAGCCCAGTGGCATAGAAGATGCTATTCAGTCAAAAGTAATACAGGAAAGCAAAAGGACAGATGATGAACACTAAGAGAAGAAAAAAAGGTTGCTTTTGTATTCTAGTGTAGGAGAGGACTCTTAGACCTCTTCAATCTTTTCTAGAGAAGTAGAACCATTTTCAGTTTTGAGACTTGACTGAGGAAGTGTTGAAAAGAAAGCCCTGTATAGGGGACACCAAGAAAATCCTTGTACACTAATAGCAAACATGAGAGCTCCCTAAGGACTCCTGGACCTACTTACAAGAAGCATCAAATGTCAGTGTTTCTAGAGTTGGGAAGGGGATTTACAGACTGGAGTTGTCCCAAAATTGTCATGGTCCAAATGCTATCAACCCATTTAATGTTTTATTTGTTTTCTGTTACCTAAGAATTAAGTCTCTCAATATAGGTTTCAGCTTCCAGTTTAATTAGACCCATTTAACACCAGCTCACTCAACTAGATAACAATCAACCTGAACACTTTGCTGAATGTGTCAAGGCCACATTACTTTCAATCTTAATGAAAATTTTTTCCTTGTATTTTATAGGTTTTATTACTTAATAACACCTGTCTCAACCAAAGAAACAAAATACTGAACAAAATAATTAGTAAGTAGTGTGAAGAAGTGTTCTCAAACTTTGGTTCACAGAGCACCAAGATTCCCAAGACTCCTTCAGAAAGTTCATGAGGCCAAAAATATTTTTATTACAATACTAAGGTGTTATTTTTGTTCTGCTGTGTCAACATCTGCACTGCTGGTGCAAAAGCAATGATGAGTAAAATTGTGGTGCTTTGGCATGAGTCAAGGCAGTACATAAAGAAAAAGAAGAAGGGAAAGAGAAAGAAGAGGCAGCCACTATACTTACAGAATATCTTGGATAAAGTTGTGAAAATTATCAATTTTATTAAATTTCAATCCTTTTGTCTCCGTATTTGTAATAATTTGTGTGATAAAATGGGAAATAGGCATGATGTTCTTCCACTGCATATTGGAAGACAGTGGTCACTGTGGTAGGCAGAATTGCAGTGATGTTCCCCCAAGATTCTCCTTCTTGTAATATTCCATCAAACACTAATGAAGATATGACTGTGAAGAGAGTTTATAGACAATAACTCTACCTGGCATTAAAAAAGGGAGATTGTCCCACGTTATTCAGCTGATTCCAATGTAATCACATGAGCCCTTAAAAGGGAGACAGAAGAGCCAGTCAGAGGTGAGGCAGAAGCGAGGTCAGAGATCGGAGGCATGAGGAGGACTCAACCTGCTGTTATTGGATTTGAAGACAAAGAGAATCACAAGACAAAAAATGTAGGAAGTAACTGAGAATTACTCCCAGCCCCAGCTAGCAAATCTCATTCCTACAGCTAGCTGCATGTCACTGAATTCTGCCAACAATCTGGGTGAATCTGGAAGTGGATTCTCCCCTGGAGCCTCCAGATAAGAGCCGAAGACATCAAAATTCTAGCCTGATGGGATCTATGGCAGAGTAGTCAGCCAAGCCCACTGGATTTCTGATCACAAAATTGTAAGATAATAAATGGGTATTACTTTAAGCTGCTAAATTTGTGGTAATTGTTACAGTAGCAATAGGAAACTAACACTGTTGTCCTGATAAAAAGCATCTGTGGGATTGAGTTGTTAGCTGAAATGGCTGATTTTTCCTGGAACACTTCTTTTCCAAAGAATAAATGACTTACCAACTATGAGTATTAGAATTTTTATATTTGGTAGTTGTTTTCTTAAAAATGAATGAAATTACACTATTGCTTCCAAGAAAACAAATGACAATATCTGTTGCCAATAAAAAATTATAGCTTTAAAGCAAAAAATAAGAAATTTGGAAAAATTTCATCTACCATCATAAGTTTGATAACTTCCCAGTCCTGAAAGACTTTTGTATGAGATTGGTGTTAATATTTTTAAAATGTATTTTTGGTATTATAATGAAGTTTGACATTTAGAAGATCTTTATAACTCAGAAAACCAATATTTTCCAAATGACCAATACCTAATGTTTCAAAATCTTGCATGGCTAAAAGATCCAATCAAAGCGCAAGATAAATCAATATACTTTAATGTAACAGAGTTCAGTAATATGGTTTCTGAATTTACAATGAAACTAATCTTTAGAAACTACCACTTGCCAAAATATAGTGTAGTAACAAAGAAGAATACCAAAAATTATCTGAAAAGCTATTGAAATACAACTCCTTTTTCCAACTATAAATATCTGTGCAAAGTGAGATTTTCTTCATATTCTTTAATAAAACAATATGTCACAAAAGATTAAATGTAGACGCAACTAGATGAATTCAGCTGTCTTCTATTAGTTCATTAAGACGTTAGAAAGACGAGGGGCAAGATGGCCAATTGGAAGCAGCTGCAGTTCACTGCACTCACAGAGAGGGAACAAAAACAGGCAAGTGAATTCAACACCTTCAACTGAGATATCCAGGTTCTCACATTGGAACTAAATAGGCAAGCAACTTGGATCACTGAGACAGAAACTTAACAAAGATATTCAGGACCTGAACTCAGCTCTGAATCAACTGGACCTGATAGATATGTATAGAACTCTCCAGCCAAAACCAACAGAATATACATTCTTCTCATTGCCACACAATACTTACTCTAAAATTGACTACATAATAGGAAGACACTCCTCAGCAAATGCAAAAGAACTAAAATAATAACAAACAGTTTCTCAGACCACAGTGCAATAAAATTAGAACTCAAGATTAAGAAATCCACTCAAAACCACACAACTACACGGAAACTGAAGAACCTGCTCCTGAATGACTCTTGGGTAAATAATGAAATTAAGGCAGAAATCAAGAAGTTCTCTGAAACTAATGAGAACAAAGAGAAAACATACCCAAATCTCTAGGATGCAGCTAAAACAGTGTTAAGAGGGCACTAAATGCCCACATCAAAAAGCTAGAAAGATCTCAAGTTAATAACCTAACATCCCAACCAAAAGAACTAGAGAACCAAGAGCAAACAAACCCCAAAGCTAGCAGAAGATAAGAAATAACCAAGATCAGAGCCGAACTGAAGGAGATAGAAACATGAGGAACCCTTCAAAAAAAATCAATGAATCTGGGATCTGATTTATTAAAAATAATAATAAAATAGACCATAAGCAAGACTAATAAAGAAGATAGAAGAATTAAACACAATCGGAAATGATAACAGGGATATCACCACTGACCCCACAGAAATACAAACAAGCATCAGAGAATACTATAAACACTTCTATGCACATAAACTAGAAAATCTAGAAGAAATGGATAATTTCCTGGACAAATACACCCTTTCAAGACTGAAACAGTAGGAAATTGAATCTCTGAATCGACCAATAATGTGTTCTGAAATTGAGGGAGTAATACCAATAGCCTACCAACCAAAAAAAAAAAAAAACAAATCCCAAGACCAGATGGATTTACAGCTTAATTCTACCAGAGGTACAAAGAGGAGCTGGTACCATTTCTACTGAACCCATTTCCAAAATATTAAAAAGGAGGGACTCCTCCCTAATTCATTCTATGAGGCCAACATCATCCTGATACCAAAACCTGGCAGAGATACACCAAAAAAATAACACTCCAGGCCAATATCCTTGATGAACTTCAATGTAAAAATCCTTAATAAAATACTGGCAAACTGAACTCAGCAGCATACCACAAAGCTTACCCACCATGATCAAGTTGGCTTCATCCCCGGGATTGCAAGGTTGCAAACTTACAAATCAATAAATGTGATTCATATGCAAATCAATAAATGTGATTCATCACATAAACAGAATTAAAGACCAAAAACCACATGATTATCTCAATAGACACAGAAAAGACCTTCCATAAAATTCAATGTCCCTTGGTGTTAAAAACACTCAAAAACTAGGTATTGAAGGAACATACCTCAAAATCATAAGAGCCATATATGACCAACCCACAGCCACTATCATACTGAATGGGCAAAAGCTGGAAGCATTCCCCTTGAAAACTGGCACAAAACAAGGATGCCCTCTCTCACCACTCCTATTCAACATAGTATTGGAAGTCCTGGCCAGGGGAAGGAATAAAGGGTATTCAAATTGGAAGAGAAGAAGTCAAATTGTCTTTGTTTGCAGGTGACATGATCCTATATCTAGGAAACCCCATCATCTCAGCCCAAAAACTTCTTAAGCTGATAAGTAACTTCAGCAAAATCTCAGGATATAAAATCAATGTGCAAAAATCACTAGCATAATTTATAGGTACCATGTTATTCCCATTAAAGTACCACTGACATTCTTCACAGAATTATAAAAAAATCTATTTTAAAATTCATACAGAACCAAAAAAGAGCCCAGATAGCCAAGTCAATCCTCAGCAAAAAGAACAAAGCTGGAAGCATCACACTACCTGACTTCAAACTATACTGCAGGGCTGCAGTAACCAAAACAGCATGGTACTGGTACAACAACAGGCATATAAACCAATGCAACAGAATAGAGAACTCAGAAATAAGACTGGACACCTATAGCCATCTGATCTTTGGCAAGCCTCACAAAAGCAAATAATGGCAGAAGGATTTCCCATTTAATAAATGATGCTGGGAGAACTGGCCAGCCACATGCAGATAATTGGAACGGAACCCTTTCCTTACATCATACACAAAAATTAAGATGGATTAAAGACTTAAAGGTAAATCCCAAAACCATAAAAACCCTAAACGAAAATCTAGGCAGTACCATTCAGTATATAGGCATGGGCAAAGATTTCAGGATGAAAACATCAAAAGCTATTGCAATAAAAGCAATAGTGGACAAATGGGATCTAATTAAACTAAAGAGCTTCTGCACAGCAAAGAAAACAATCACCAGAGTGAACAGACCACCTACAGAATGGGAGAAAATTTTTGCAACCTGACAAAGGTTTAATAACCTTAATCTACAAGGAACTTAATCAAATTTACAAGAAAAAAAACAGCTTCATTAAAACATGGGCAAAGGACATGAACAGACACTTCTCAAATGAAGACATACATGCAGCCAATGAATGTATGAAAGAAGCTCAACATCACTGACCATTAGAGAAATGCAAATCAAAACCGTGATGAGATATCTTCTCACTCCAGTCAGAATGGCTACTATTAAAATGTCAAAAAACAACAGATGCTGGTGAGGTTGTGGAGAAAAAGGAACACTTTTACACTGTTTGTGGGAGTATAAATTAGTTCAACCATTGTGGAAGAGTATGGCAATTTCTCAAAGGAACCTAGAGGCAGAAATACCATTTGACCCAGCAATCCCATTACTAGGTATATACCCAAAGGAATATTAATAATTCTATTATAAAAATATGTGTATGCTCATTGCAGCACTAATTACAATTGCAAAGTCACAGAATCAACTTAAATTCCCATCAGTAGTAGACTGGATAAAGAAAAATGGTATATATACACCATGGAATACTATGCAGCCATAAAAAGGAATGAGATCATGCCCTTTGCAGGGACATGGATGGAGTTGTCTATCCTCAGCCAACCAATGCAGGAACAGAAAACCAAACACCATATGTTCTCACTTATGAGTAGGAACTGATTGATGAGAACACATGGACACATGGGCAGGGAACAGCACATACTGGGTACTTGTAGGGGTGGGTAGGGGAAGGGAGAACATTAGGAAGAATCACTAATGGATGCTAGACTTAATAGCTGGATGATGGAATGATGTGTTCACTAAACACCATGGCACATGTTTACCTATGTAACAAACCTGGACATCCTACACATTACCCCCAATCTTAAAATAAAAGTTGGGGGAAAAAAGTAAAAAAAAAAAAAAGAGACATTAGAAATTTGCAAACAGTAAATCAATTTCCCTCTTCTCCCTAATTTATTTTATTTGGAAAATAATTTGTTTACTTAATATTAACATGTAATTAGCTTACCATGTTATTTAAATAAAATAATAATTTTTAACTTCTCAGTTTCCATTTCAAATACAGTAAACAGTGAAAGAGGTACATAAGCAAAAGCTCTTTGGCATCCTCATTAATGTTTAAAAGTATAAAGCCATCCTGAAACTGAAAAAGACATGTTGATTTTATAGGTGTGGTTACATGACTCAACTTTGAGGAGACGTTCTGAGAAATTTTTAATCTAAATTGACATAGTTGTTTCTGAAGCTGTCTTCTTCCATTAACTGGCTAGTAACAAAAAGGTGGCTCTATTCATGGGGTTTCTTGAATTATGAGTTGTAAAAATATATAATTACATCCTGAATTTATGCTTGAAAATCTGCAGCTTTTGAAATTCATCAAATTTGACCGGAATCTAGTATGCCAATAGTAATTGAATTGAAACATATTATAATTTTTGTCTTTCAGATTTTCTTAAAAGAAGCTATTTAACATTGGTTAAAATGTCATTTCTAAATTTCTAGTCAGGGGCAGTTCCAAGATGGCCAAATAGGAACAGCTCCAGTCCACAGCTCCCAGCGTGAGAAATGCAGAAGATGGGTGATTTCTACATTTCCAACTGAGGTACCGGGTTCATCTCACTGGGACTTGTCAGACAGTGGGGGCAGGACAGTGGGTGCAGCCCACCAAGTGTGAGCCTAAGCAGGGTGAGGCATCGCCTCACCCGGGAAGTCCAAGGGGTCAGGGAATTCCCTTTCCCAGCCAAGGGAAGCATTGACGACGGCACCTGAAAAATCAGGTCACTCCCACCCTAATACTGCGCTTTTCCAATGGTCTCAGTAAAAGACACACCAGGAGATTATATCCCATGCCTAGCTCGGAGGGTCCCACGCCCACAGAGCCTCACTCATTGCTAGCACAGCAGTCTGAGATTCAACTGCAAGGCGGCAGCGAGGCTGGGGGAGGGGCGCCCACCATTGCCGAGGCTTGAGTGGGTAAACAAAGCGGCCAAAAAAGTCGAACTGGGTGGACACCACTGCAGCTCAAGGAGGCCTGCCTGCCTCTGTAGACTCCACCTCTGGGGGCAGGGCATAGCTGAACAAAAGGCAGCAGAAACCTCTGCAGACTTAAATGTCCCTGTCTGACAGCTTTGAAGAGAGTAGTGGTTCTCACAGCACGGAGTTTGAGATCTGAGAACGGACAGACTACCTCCTCAAATGGGTCCCTGACCCCTGAGTAGCCTAACTGGGAGGCACCCTCCAGTAGGGGAAGACTGACACCTCACATGGCCGGGTACCCCTCTGAGATGAAGCTTCCAGAGGAACCATCAAGCAGCAACATTTGTTGTTCAGCAATATTCGCTGTACTGCAGCCTCTGCTGCTGATACCCAGGCAAACAGGGTCTGGAGTGGACCTCCAGCAAACTCCAACAGACCTGCAGCTGAGGGTCCTGATGTTAGTAGGAAAACTAACAAACAGAAAGGACAACCACACCAAAACCCCATCTGTACATCACCATCATCAAAGAACAAAGGTAGATAAAACCACAAAGATGGGGACAAAATGGAACAGAAAAGCTGAAAATTCTAAAAATCAGAACGCCATTCTCCCTCCAAAGGAACACAGCTCCTCACCAACAACAGAACACCAAAAACAGAGCAAAGCTGGATGGAGAATGACTTTGATGAGTTGAGAGAAGAAGGCTTCAGATGATCAAACTTCTCTGAGCTAAAGAAAGAAGTTCGAACCCATCTCAAAGAAGCTAAAAATTGAAAAAAGATTAGATGAATGGCTAACTAGAATAACCAGTGTAGAGAAGCCCTTAAATGACCTTATGGAGCTGAAAACCAGACACGAGAACTATGTGACAAATGCACAAGCTTCAGTAGCCAATTCGATCAAGTGGAAGAAAGAGCATCAGTGATGGAAGATCAAATGAACGAAACAAAGCGAGAAGAGAAGTTTAGAGAAAAAAGAGTAAAAAGAAATGAATAAATCCTCCAAGAAATATGGGACTATGTGAAAAGACCAAATCTACATCTGATTGGTGTACCTGAAAGTGACGGGGAAAATGGAACCAAGTTAGAAAACAATCTGCAGGATATTATCCAGGAGAACTTCCCCAACCTAGCAAGGCAGGCCAACATTCACATTCAGGAAATACAGAGAACGCCACAGAGATACTCCTCAAGAAGAGCAACTCCAAGACACATAATTCTCAGATTCACCAAAGTTGAAATGAAGGAAAAAATGTTAAGGGCAGCCAGAGAGAAAGGTCGCATTACCCACAAAGGGAAGCCCATCAGACTAACAGCTGATCTCTCGGCAGAAACTCCACAAGCCAGAAGAGTGGGGGCCGATATTCAACATGCTTAAAGAAAGAATTTTCAACCTAGAATTTCATATCTAGCCAAAGTAAGCTTCATAAGTGAAGGAGAAATAAAATCCTTTACAGACAAGCAAATGCTGAGAGATTTTGTCACCACCAGGCCTGCCCTACAAGAGCTACTGAAGGAAGCACTAAACATGGAAAGGAACAACCGGTACCAGCCACTGCAAAAACATGCCAAATTGTAAAGACCATCGATGCTAGGAAGAAACTGCATCAACTAACAAGCAAAATAACCAGCTAACATCATAATGAATCAAATTCACACATAAAAATATTAACCTTAAATGTAAATGGGCTAAATGTTCCAATTAAAACACACAGACTGGCAAATTGGATAAAGATTCAAGACCCATCAGTGGGCTGAATTCAGGAGACCCATCTCACATGCAGAGACACACATAGGCTCAAAATAAAGGGATGGGTGAAGATCTACCAAGCAAATGGAAAACAAAAAAAGGCAGGGGTTGCAATCCTAGTCTCTGATAAAACAGGCTTTAAACCAACAAAGATCAAAAGAGACAAAGAAGGCCATTACATAATGGTAAAGGGATCAATTCAACAAGAAGAGATAACTATCCTAAATATATATGCACCCAATACAGTTGCACCCAGATTCATAAAGCAAGTCCTTAGAGACCTACAAAGAGACTTAGACTCCCACACAATCATAATGGGAGACTTTAACACCCCACTGTCAACATTAGACAGATCAACGAAACAGAAAGTTAACAAGGATATCTAGGAATTGAACTCAGCTCTGCACCAAGCGGACCTAATAGACATCTACAGAACTCTCCACCCCAAATCAACAGAATATACATTCTTCTCAGAACCACATCGGACTTATTCCAAAATTGACCACATAGTTGGAAGTAAAGCACTACTCAGCAAGTGTAAAAGAAAAGAAATTATAACAAACTGTCTCTCAGACCACAGTGCAATCAAACTAGAATTCAAGATTAAGAAACTCACTCAAAACCGCTCAACTACATGGAAACTGAACAACCTGCTCCTGAATGACTATGGAGTACATAATGAAATGAAAGCAGAAATAAAGATGTAATTTGAAACAAATGAGAACAAAGACACAACACACCAGAATCTCTGGAACACATTTAAAGCAGTGTGTAGAGGGAAATTTATAGCACTAAATGCCCACAAGAGAAAGCAGGAAAGATCTAAAATTGACACCCTAACATCACAATTAAAAGAACTAGTGAAGCAAAAGCAAACACATTCAAAAGCTAGCAGAAGGCAAGGAATGACTAAGATCAGAGCAGAACTGAAAGAGATAGAGACACCAAAAAATGCTTCAAAAAATCACTGAATCCAGGAGCTGGTTTTTTGAAAAGATCAACAAAATTGATAGACCACTAGCAAGGCTAATAAAGAAGAAAACAGAGAAGACTCGAAAGACGCAATAAAAGATGATAAAGGGGATATCATCACCGATCCCACAGAAATACAAACCACCATCAGAGAATACTGTAAATACCTCCATGCAAATAAACTAGAAAATCTAGAAGAAATGGATAAATTCCTGGACACATACACCCTCCCAAGACTAAACCAGGAAGAAGTTGAATCCCTGAATAGACCAATAACAGGCTCTGAAATTGTGGCAATAATTAATAGCCACATATTAATTAAATAATTAAAAAGTCCTGGACCAGATGGATTCACAGCCGAATTCTACCAGAGGTACAAGGAGGAGCTGGTACCATTCCTTCTGAAACTATTCCAATCAACAGAAAAAGAGGGAATCCTCCCTAACTCATTTTATGAGGCCAGCATCATCCTGATACCAAAGCCTGGCAGAAACACAACAAAAAAAGAGAATTTTAGACCAATATCCCTGATGAACATCAATGTAAAAATCCTCAATAAAATACTGGCAAACCGAATCCAGCAGCACATCAAAAAGCTTATCCACCATGATCAAGTGGGCTTCATCCGTAGGATTCAAGGCTGGTTCAACATACACAAATCAATAAACGTAACCCAGCATATAAACAGAACCAAAGACAAAAACCACATGATTATCTCAATAGATGCAGAAAAGGCCTTTGACAAAATTCAACAACTTTCATGCTAAAAACTCTCAATAAATTATGTATTGATGGGATGTATCTTAAAATAATAAGAGCTATTTATGACAAACCCACAGCCAATATCATACTGAATGGGCAAATACTGGAAGCATTCCCTTTGAAAACTGGCACAAGACAGGGATGCCCTCTCTCGCCACTCCTATTCAACATAGTGTTGGAAGTTCTGGCCAGGGCAATCAGGCAGGAGAAAGAAATAAAGGGCATCCAATTAGGAAAAGAGGAAGTCAAATTGTCCCTGTTTGCAGATGACTTGATGATTGTATATTTAGAAAAACCCATCATCTCAGCCCAAAATCTCCTTAAGCTGATAAGCAACTTCAGCAGAGTCTCAGGATACAAAATCAATATGCAAAAATCACATGCATTCTTATACACCAATAACAGACAAACAGAGAGCCAAATCATGAGTTAACTCCCATTCATAATTGCTTCAAAGAGAATAAAATACCTAGGAATACAACTTACAAGGCATGTGAAGGACCTCTTCAAGGAGAACTACAAACCACTGCTTATTGAAATAAAAGAGGACACAAACAAATGGAAGAACATTCCATGCTCATGGATAGGAAGAATCAATATTGTTAAAATGGCCATATTGCCTTAGGTAATTTATAGATTTGTGCCATCCCCATCAAGCTACCAATGACTTTCTTCACAGAATTGGAAAAAAACTATTTTAAAGTTCATATAGAACCAAAAAAGAGCCCGCATCACCAAGTTAATCCTAAGCCAAAAGAACAAAGCTGGTGGCATCATGCTACCTGACTTCAAACTATACTACAAGGCTACAGTAACCAAAACAGCATGGTACTGGTACCGATGCAGAGATATAGACCAATGGAACAGAACAGAGCCCTCAGAAATAATACCACACATCTACAACTATCTGATCTTTGACAAACCTGACAAAAACAAGAAATGGGGAAAGGATTCCCAATTTAATAAATGGTGCTGGGAAAACTGCCTAGCCATATGTAGAAAGCTGAAACTGGATCCCTTCCTTACACCTTGTACAAAAATTAATTCAAGGTGGATTAAAGACTTACATGTTAGACCTAAAACCATAAAAACCCTAGAAGAAAACCTAGGCAATACCATTCAGGACATAGGCATGGGCAAGGACTTCATGTCTAAAACACCAAAAGCAATGGCAACAAAAGCCAAAATTGACAAATGGGATCTAATTAAACTAAAGAGCTTCTGCACAGAAGACACTACCATCAGAGTGAACAGGCAGCCTACAAAATGGGACAAAATTTTTGCAATCTACTCATCTGACAAAGGGCTAATATCCAGAATCTACAACGAACTCAAACAAATTTACAACAAAAAAACAAACAACCCCATCAAAAAGTGGGTGAAGGATATGAACAGACACTTCTCAAAAGAAGACATTTATGCAGCCAACAGACACATGAAAAAATGCTCATCATTACTGGCCATCAGAGAAAAGCAAATCAAAACCACAGTGAGATATCGTCTCACACCAGTTAGAATGGCAATCATTAAAAAGTCAGGAAACAACAGGTGCTGGAGAGGATGTGGAGAAATAGCAACACTTTTACACTGTTGGTGGGACTGTAAACTAGTTCAACCATTGTGGAAGACAGTGTGGTGATTCCTCAAGGATCTAGAACTAGAAATACCATTTGACTCAGCCATCCCATCACTGGGTATATACCCAAAGGATTATAAATCATGCTGCTATAAAGACACATGCACACATATGTTTACTGTGGCACTATTCACAATAGCAAAGACTTGGAACCAACCCAAATGTCCATCAATGATAGACTGGATCAAGAAAATGTGGCACATATACACCATGGAATACTATGCAGCCATAAAAAAGGATGTGTTCATGTCCTTTGTAGGGACATGGATGAAGCTGGAAACCATCATTCTCAGCAAACTATCACAAGGACAAAAAACAAACACCTCATGTTCTCACTCATAGGTGGGAATTGAACAATGAGAACACTTGGACACAGGAAGGGGAACATCACACACCGGGGCGTGTCATGGGGTGGGGGGAGGGGGAGGGATAGCATTAGGAGATATACCTAATGTAAATGATGAGTTAATGGGTGCATCACACTAACATGACACATGTATACATATGTAACTAACCTGCACATTGTGCACATGTACCCTAGAACTTAAAGTATAATGAAGAAAAAAGAAAAAAAAAATTCTAGTCATTAGAAAGTATCATAATGTAATTAATTGTCTCAGTGAACTCACTTCCTCAGAGAGAAGATAATGGGGATGAGTAGCTATTAGCAATAGCAAAGCAAAGTGATGGTAAGAATTTTGTTTTTTGAAAAAACTATTCCATAATATTTATAAGGTTTATAGGCACCAGCTTCACAGTGCAACTCACTAGTATAGAAAACTCCTATCAATATATATTAGTCACCCATAAGCTCAAAATAAAGGGATGGAGAAAAATCTACCGAGCAAACAGAAAAAGAAAAAAAAAAAGTAGCAGAGGTTGCCATTCTGTTTGCAGACAAAACAGATTTTAAACTAACCATGATTTAAAAAAAAAAGGCAAAGAAGACCATTATGTAATGGTAAAGGGTTCAATTCAACAAGAAGACTGAACTATCCTAAATATATATGTACTCAACACAAGAGCACCCAGGTTCATAAAACAACTTCTTAGAGACCTACAAAGAGACTTAGATAACTGTTACACAATAATAGTTGGGGACGTCAACACCCCCACTGATAGTATTAGACAGAACATTGAGGCAGAAAACTTACAAAGATATTAGGGACCTGTACTCAACACTTGACCAAATGCACCTATTAGACATCTACTGAAATCTTCACTCAACAAAAAAAGAATATGCATTCTCATCTTCACACACATGGCACACACTCTAAAACTGACCACACAATCAGCCATAAAACAATTCTCAGAAAATTCAAAAAAAAATCCAAATTCATACCACACACTCTTGGAACAGAGCAATAAGAATAAAACTCAATAGTAGTGACATCACTCAAAACCATTCAATTACATGGAAATTAAACAAGCTGAATTTACGCTTGAAATGACTTTTGGGGAAACAACGAAATTAATGTAGAAATCAATATATTATTTGAAATGAATGAGAACAAAGATATAGCATACCAGAATCTCTGGGACACGGCTAAAGCCATGTTAAGAGGAAAGTTTATAGCACTAAACACACACCTCAAAAACTCAGAGAGATCTCAGATTAACCTAACAAATCTAGAGGAACTAGCAAAACAAGAGCAAATTAACCCTAAAGTTAGCAAAAGACAAGAAATAACCAAAATCACAGCTGAACTGAATGATACTGAAACATGAAAATGATACAAAATGATGAATTCAAGAGTTGGTTCTCTGAAAGAATAAATAAGATTGATAGACTGCTAACTAGACTAATAAACAAAAAAGAGAAGATCAAAATAAGCATAATTAGAAATTACAATGGGGACATTACCACCAGTCCCACAGAAATAGAAAAAAACCCTCGAGACTGCTGTGAACACCTGTATACACACAAACTAGAAAACTTGGAAAAAAATGAATTCCTGAAAATATACAACTCCTAAGATTGAATCAGAAAGAAGTCAAAACCCTGAACAGTCCAATAATGAGCTCCAAATTTCAATTGGTAATAAAAACCCTACCAACCAGAAAAAGTCCAGGACCAGATAGACTCATAGCCAAATTCTACCATATTTATAAAGAAGAGCTAGTACCATTCCCTCTGAAACTATTTCACAAATTTGAAGGGGAGGGACTCCTCCCAAAGTCATTCTGTGAGGCCAGCATCATTTCGATACCAAAACCTGTCAGAGACACAATAAAAGCAGAAAACTTCAGGCAATATCCTTGATGAACACAGATGGAAAAATCCGCAACAAAATACCAACAAACTGAATCCAGCAGCACATCAAAAACTTAATCCACCACAATCAAGTAGGCTTTATTCCTGGAATGCAAGGTTGTTTCAACATATGCAAACCAACAAATATGATTCATCACATAAACAAAACTAAAGACAAAAACCGCAAGATTATCTTAATAGATGCAGAAAAGGTTTTTGATAAAATACAATATCCTTTCATGTTTAAAACCTTCAATAAACTAGGTACAGAATGAACATAATTCAAAATAATAAGAGCCAACAATGAAAAACTTAAAACCAAAATTATATTGAATGGGCAATCCCCTTTAAAACCTGCACAAGACAAAGATGCCCTCTCTCACCCCTCATATGCAATGTAATATTGGAAGTTCTGGACAGAACAATTAAGAAAGAGAAAGAAATAAAAGGCATCCAAATAGGAAGAGAGGAAGTCAGACTATCCTTGTTTGCAGACAACATGATTGTTTGCAGACAACATGATTCTTTAGCTAGAAAACGTCACAGTCTCTACCCAAAAGCTCCTTGAGCTGATAAACAACTTCAGCAAAGTTTCAGGATACAAAATCAACATATAAAAATCAGTAGCATTCCCTACACCAACAATATTGAAGCCGGAAGCCAAATCAGGAATGCAATTCACTTCACAATTGCTACTAAAAGAATAAAATAGCTAGGAATACAACTAATCAGGGAAGTGAAAGATCTCTGTAATGAAAATTGCAAAACTGCTGAAAGAAATCAGAGATGACCCAAACAAATGGAAAAACATTTCAGACTCAGGAATAGAAAAAAATAATATGGTTAAAATTGCCATACTTCCCAAAGCAATTTACAGATTCAATACTATTTCTATGAAACTACCAATGACATTCATCACAGAATTAGAAAAAAAAAGTTCTAAAATTCATATGGAAACAAAAAAGAGCCCGAACGGCTAAAACAGTCCTAAGCAAAAAGAACGAAGTCAGAGGCATCACGTTATCCAACTTCGAACTATACAACAAGGCTACAATAACCCGAGCAGCACGATGGTGATACAATAACAAACACATAGACCAATGGAACATAATAGAGAGCCCAGAAATAAAGCCACACATTCAAAACCATCTGATCTTTGACAAAGTCAACAAAAGCTAGCAATGAGGAAAGGACCCCCTATTCGATAAATGGTGCCGGGATAACTGGCTACCCATATGCAGAAAATTGGAATCAGACCTCTACCTTTCACAATATGCAAAAATCAACTCAAGATGGATTAACAACTTAAATGGAAAATTTAAAACTATAAAAACTTAGGAAATGCTATTCTAGACATAGGCCCTGGCAAAGATTTCATGATGAAGATGACAAAAGCAATTGCAACAAAAAAAAAACTGACAAATGGGACCTAATTAAATTAAAGAGCTTCTGCACAGCAAAAGAGACAACCAACAGAGTAAACAGATAACCCACAGAATGGGAGAAAATATACATCTGACAAAGGTCTAATATCCCAGAATCTATCAGAAACTTAAATTTACAAGCAAAAAACCACCCCTTTTAAAAGTGGGCAAAGGACTCAGACACTTCTCCAAAAAAGACATACATACAGCCAACAAGCATATGAAAAAAAGCTCAACATCACTGTTCATTAGAGAAGTGTAAATTAAACAACGCGATACCATCTCACATCAGTCAGAATGGCTATTAATAAAAGGTCAAAAAATAACAGATGCTAGCGAGGTTGCAGAGAAAAGGGAACACTTAGACACTGCTCATGGAAATGTAAGTTAGTTCACCCACTGTGGAAAGCAGTGTGGCGATTTCTCAAAGAACTTAAAACAGAATTACCATTTGACTCAGCAATCAGATTATTGGGTATATACCCAAAAGAATGCAAATTGTTCTATCATAAAGACACATGCATGCCTATGTTCATTATTGAGAAAGACACGTGCATGCATATGTTCATTCACAATATCAAAGACATGGAATTGATCTAAAAGGCCACCAACTGTAGACTGGACAAAAAATGTGGTACGTATGCACCATGAAATACCATGCAGCCATAAAAAAGAACGAGATTATGTCCTTTGCAGCAACATGGATGGAGCTGGAGACTATTATCCTAAGCGAACTAACACAGGAATAGAAAACCAAATACCACATGTTCTCATTTATAAGTGGGAGCTAAACGTTGAGTATACATGGGCACAAAGAAGGGAACAATAGACATCAGGGCCTACTTGAGGGTGGAGGCGGGGAGGATGGTGAGGATAGAAAAACTACCTACTAGGTACCATGCAACATGGTGCAACCGTGTCTCTACAAAAAAAAATACAAAAATGCAAAAATTAGATGGGCGTGGTGGTGCTCACCTGTAGTCCCAGCTACTCAGAAGGCTGAGATGAGAGGATTGCTAAAGCCTGGGAGGCAGAGGTTGCAGTGAGCCAAAATCATGCCACTGCATTCCAGCCTTGGCAATAGAGTGAGACTCTGTCTCAAAAAAAAATTTTTAAGGACATGTAATTTACTTAACATACCTGTACATGTACCCCTGAATCTAAAATAAAAGTTAAAAAAATAGTTGTCATTGTAAGTTTTTAAAAATACAAAAAATCTTCACTAATAGAAGGAATTAAGATTGAAGCAGGGGGCTAAGGATTTTTTAAGGCTCTTTATTTTTCTAATCATGAAATTCTATAAATTAGAATGGAAGTATAAAAGACCTGATTTACCAAGATAAGTGTATCTATCTTTTTAAGAAATAAGGAGGTATGGAATAGAATTGAGAGGAACCTAACACTTTTGAAGATATTACCATGCAATGTACTGAATGTTTGGTAGTCAGGCTAAAAGGGTATTATCAGAGGTTAACTGGACATGACTAAGAATAAATACATTTCTTTTCCTCTCATATTATTGTACCAAGGTAAGTGTTTCTCGATGGTGGACCACCACTGTCTCTGGCAGTCTTTTAAGATTTATTTTCATTTTGTCATCACTTGGTGCACAAAAATTTCCTGCTTCAGTTGAAATAGCTCACCAGTTCTCACCACTGAGCTTTTTATTCTGTAGCAACCATTGATAGAAGTATGCCGTGTGCCTGGTAGAGCATACCAACACCAGTTGGCGTCATTCTGTTCATTATTCTATAAATGGTTTCTTTATCCAAGTCCTAAACTATTATCTTTTTATGTTTTCTTAATCCTCCTAAAGTTATTCAAACCACCACATTTTAACTTTAGTACAGTCTTTTTTATCAAATAGTTAAAGGACATAAATCTATTTTATACATGAAAATTATCCTTATTTGGTTTAATTTCACTTCTCAAGATCACCCAAGTCAGCATAATAAAAGAATTTGGGGGCTAGTTCTTTTTGGAAAATAGGTGGAAAACCAGGCCAAGGCGCAACTGGACTTTTTAAGAATAAGCTGGTAAACAAAATCTTTGCACACATTTATTTCCTCTCTCTGATTTTTTGGAACGCTCCCAACCCATTGTCCCAGTGCTAGATTGAACAATGTCCACAAGTTCTTTTTCCAAAGTTAATAGCATTTCCTGTGACCTGCAGGAGTTAGGAAAATAAACAGCAGCAATAGCAGCATCTCATAAGCAGCTAAAATTCATTGTAACATCAACAAAGAGAAAAGCAAAGGCAATGAGTGATCTCAGATAATAAAAATTAATTGATTTTTAGAGGGACTAAATCAAGATTGGGGACAAAATAGAATGGTGCAGTTGTAGGTCTTAGAAGCTGGCTGGCTAGAATCCCAGGAAGTAGGAGAGCTCATTCGTGTTCACATATCCAGGTATTCTGTTCTTCCCAGGCACATCACGAGATGTGCACTCCTCTAAATGTGGTCTTCAGACTGGTCCTGGTCTATGAACTGTTATTAATTTGTGACTCTATAAGGAATCTAGACTAGAATATAAATCAACAACAGTACTAAGCACAGAGTTAATTTCAACTGACATTTTCTTCCTCAGGAAGACTTTGATGAAGGAAGTCATGTTGTTATTTACCTTCTCATTTAAGCAACAAGGATTTATTTTCTCATTTAAGCATCAAGCTATTTTGAGCAGCACTGCACTAGACAACATCTCTCAAACTCCTTAGATGTTGTTGGGAGCATGTGACTAGATCTGCTTAATGTAATGTTGTTGCAAGTAGGTAGCTAGTCCGACATAGTCAGTGCCAGGGAAAGGCAGTCTCCCAATAGATAGAAAAACCTGAAACTGGTGATCAGCGTACCAATAAGATCTCAGGAGCTGGGTGAGTGGGCTCAAGCATGTGCATTAAGAGGCAAAATGGCAGAGTTTAACTTGTATATGACTTTATAGGAACACTCGACTGGTAAGGGAAGGATGCCTCAAGTGATCATGTGCACAGTTTCAGTAAATACACTTCGCATGTGGCCCCTCCCAAGTGCTAGCAGGCCACTGTGCATGTGGACAGCCTACCCCATAGGAAGAATCAGGGGAGAAGTAATGCAACCTCAGAAGCATGCCAATGTATAAGACCCCAAGTCAAAGGTCAAACTGTGCACTTGATCTCTCAAGTTGCCTGCAGGGCTCTCTTCCAAGTATACTTCACTTCCTTTTGTTCCTGCTTTAAAGCTT
Source organism: Homo sapiens (assembly GCF_000001405.40). Taxonomy (NCBI): domain Eukaryota; kingdom Metazoa; phylum Chordata; class Mammalia; order Primates; family Hominidae; genus Homo; species Homo sapiens. Next base: position 208,674,021 of record NC_000002.12, on the reverse strand, counting down.
TTTAATAAATTTTCACTCCCACTCTAAAACTTGCCTCATTCTGTCACTCTAGCTTATGCCTCTGGGTCAAATTTTTTCTTCTGAGGAGGCAAGAATTGAGTATTGCTGCAGACCTGTGCAGATTTGCCACCACTAACATACTTTGATACTGCGTGACTCAGATACATACTGCTGCTAACGATGTAAGCAGAAGTAATGTGGATCAACTCCCAGCCAGAATATTTGTAGTGGACACTCTGTCATAGCACCCAGATCTTCCTCCTTAGGACTGAAGCACTCATTCCTCTAGCTGTTGTCAATGTTGATAGCTTACAGATCACAGCTGAATCTCCCCTTCCAGTGATTGCTTTTGTTTGAAGAGAGTGGCCCCTCGCCACATGGGTTATATGTACTTCTTGGAAATAGCTCACATTCAATGATCTATTCATGTATGGGTCCTAGCTCCTTGCCCTAAATTTTGTACAACATGAGGAGATCATCTCAACTCCAGAGTTTCCTGTAGTTTGACTGAAGCTTTCTTTTTTACTTTGTCTCAGCTTAACTTCTCTCTCTGTCCAGTCATGCTTCCTTCATTTCTCCATAGATTTTTGATTCCAAGAGACTTGATTCCAAAAAACTTCCTAAGCACAAATCTTAGAGCATCTTCCCAAGGAACCCATTCTGCCACAATGGTAAAAAGCAGATATTACCTCTTCTAGCTGTTTCTCTTCTCTGGGCTCACAGTCTTATGTAGAAGATTCACTGGAGATCTAGGAAGATGGAGGAGTCACATGACAAATCCTGGGCTGCAAAAGATTCCTTGGAGCCTGAGCTTACCCATCAGCCAATATTGAACCAGGATACCTTTGCTCTGTTTATTTGTTAAGCATCTGAGATTTATGATCATTTGCTGAAATAGTTAATCTACACAAACTAACAGAACATATATTACAGATTAGTAACTAAATATTAAGTAGACATTTTTATCCTATTCCAAAGCTGGGGTGTTTTTCCTCCGTTCTTTCTCACAGTCACTTGGGATTGCTGTGCTTAGTTTGTCAAGTGATCTCACCTCTTCATCATTACTTTTAGCTTTTCACGTGTGATAATGGTAATTCTTGAAGATGCTATCCAAATTTTATTTGGAAAATTATGAGCAGGTAAAAAGACCCCTCTTTCTGTGGAAATTCTAAGTTACTAAATAAATTTTTAATTGAACAGCTGATATACTGATCAGGTGCAAAAGTGATATTTACAGTCCCAACCTTAGATTTGAAAGTAGCTATAAACTGATTATAGTCTAGATTGATGAGACAAATTGAAATACAATGAAACTGCACTAATATTCCAAACTAATGTTTTTGGGGGAGAAAATGGTGGCTTAAATAAATGACTCTGCCATGAAGAAGGAACCAAAGATACAGTACATTGCAAATTACAAAAGGCAAATAAGAATAGACTACAATTTAAAAAAAAAAAAAAAAGCCATATGCTTTAGACCCAAAGTACAGAGCTATGCACTGTGAATATGTGCATTTAGTTGACTCATTAAAATAAGGTGTTAAGATACACTCAGGAGTAAATAAACTTTACAAGAACTGTGAACAGTCTGAAATTTACAATTTTATGAATATTCATAGAAGTCATGAGACTCCTGGGTCAGAGGCAAATAACAGCTTATTACAGCAACAGCAGAAGCCAAATTATCAGCATTTTTGCACGGATTTCTTGATCCACTTTCCACATAGCAAAGTGAAGAGGGGCAGATGGCATGTGCATGCACAATAGATTGTATTACAGGAAAGGAACCCAGAGCTTAGGGAACCCAAATTATTTATAACGGGCGGTTAGCATGCACATCCTTGGTTCCACAAGGTGATACTAATGTTATTTTCCAAGACTGTAATGAAATCTTCCTCTGGTTCTTGGGGGAGACACTATCTTCATAATCTGAGGCTGTTTATTATACAAACATCCTTGAAACAACAGTCTAGGACAAAAGGCAGTTAGCCCTCCCACTGACAAGCTATACAGAACCATGAGAGATCCTGAAAGAATTGTCTCTCAAAAGTCCTTAAAGAGAGACTTTTCTATGTTTTCACGTCACACAACAATGTAAAAATATAAAACTCATGTTTTATGTAATTGGTGCTTTTACATACTTACATAAAACACAGAAAAGTATAAAGAAGATAAACAACAGTGTTTTACTTTTCATACCATTTTTAACATCAGCTAGACTCATCTTTTAATTTTATGTCTTGAGTCTTTGGAGGACAGAATATATTCCTGGAGCTATGAAGATTTGCAGGGTTTTCCAAACATGCTAAATTTTCCTTTGTTTTATGCCAATTCTGTCTCCCTTGGAATTTTACTCTCATCTCCCAGCTACAGGGAGAGCATTTGCCCTTCTGTTTTTCTCCCTTTGTTACTGATTGGTTCGACCAAGTCTTTGTGTTTTGTTCCCTGGGGGGAGGCTCTCATCTGTCATGATGAACACCCAATTAGTCCCTAGTTATTGTCTTCCTGCTATTAATTTTCCCCCTAATGCAACCCTGAAGTCACAGTAATTGTTTAATGGACCAAAAAACATCTGATGATAACACAAGACCTCTGGACTTCTAGATTGCTGTGCATATCTATGAAGATTCTTTCATTTGGCTTCTGCTGTGGAGCTGACACTAGGAGATAAATAGGCTGACCTAATTGAGGCCACTAATGACCTATTCTTCCCTTTTAAAAGAATATTTTGTCCAATTTCTTACATATACGTAGTACAGCATTGGAGAGGTTCATTTTTCTAGCATTTTGTTTTATGATAGCATTGAGTGTCCTGGGAATTATTAAAAGCTTCATCATTGATACACAGACATGTCACCCACCTGGCCTCTGCAGGCATGTGAATTGGAGACCCACTATTTAAAGATAGTAATGAGAAAGAGATAGAAAATTACTAACCTATAATTTTTCATTTACTGATCATGGTAGATATGAAACAAAATCCTGGTTAATAGCAGATATTCCTCTTAGGAAGATTTAGAGTAGAAACTTAATGGATGAAAAGATTGTAGGGCATGAGAAAAAATATATTTCACTGGATTAGTTAAATAAAACTGATTATCTGGTATCATTATATTATGAATTAGGAAAGATAACAAAATAGGATGAGTTATTATTCTTTCATTTTAATAGTTTGTAACCTACGAGGAGAGATAAGATGTGAAGTTACACAGCAAATAAGACAAAAAATAGACAGCAACAATAAAGCATATATCATAAAGAATAACAGAAAGTGACAAGTTACCAAATGGCATAGATTTAAAAGTGTTTTTTGTGTTCACAAGAGGTGGTGGGTGCTTCAGGCTGGGGATTACCAGAGAAAGCCCTGTCTCAACTATGCATGAGAGCTGGTTGTCTCTCAGTGTTGAGAATGTATCCCAAGTGAGAAGATAGTGAAAGCGAGAAAAAACACAGTGATTATCTTCATTTTATACTTCTTTCCTGGATACCTGGAACATTTAAATGAGCCTGAATATATTTGGGAGTTACTGCCAATTTTAGCCGAGAAATAGAGAAAGTAATTATGTGAAAACTAGACATTATTCAAGCAGTCTCAATAATATTAGAATGTATGTCATACTATATAAATGCAAACTCAATCACATAATAAAGAATACATTTAGACATCCAATGTTTAATGCTGAAATTAATATAGGAAAGATTAAGCACAGCACTGGAGAAATAGGAAACCAGAGATTATTAATGGTAATAATCATGGAGTTAAACATCCAAGACAAACTAACTTTGAAGCAAGAGGCGTGTTACTTAGGTTTATTAGTGAGACTCTACAACAGTGTTCTTAATTTTTTTTTTTAGAAAGATGTATGTGATAATCTAAAGAAAGCTTTTGTTTCTTCTCCCTTTTTCAGTATTTCCAAGTTCAGGCACACAACATTTTCATTTAATTTCAGGTGTTCATGTGTCCCCTGAAGCTCAAGCACATATTCAAATATAAGGAACCCTACTTATAAAGAACTGTAAGGCTGCCACAGAGTAGCATTGACTATTATATGTCAGCAGTCCTGAGTCCTGCTTTACAAAGTCAGAGATGGGGCATGGGAATAGGTACTTAACACCTTGGTCCTAAACAAGGTACTAAACACCAGATTCCACTTATAAAGGAATTTATTGTTAAGCCATTTACAGACTTGTTCTCTATTCTAAAGAAAATAAATGCTTGTCAGGGAGCACCATTAAAAAATGCCACGTTTGGTTATGCCTTCATTTCTTATGCTCAAAATTTGCCTATTGTACTTTGCATTAATTTCTATAGTCATTTAAATCTTCAGTTACCATTGAAGAGAATACCTTGAGATAAGCAGCAGTTGACCTTTACATTTTTACTACTGATATGAGTGCTACACTCATATCAAGACATTCTATTTGAATAATCTTGATTTCAGTGCTGGCCAAACCCAAACTGATTCTTTACATTGTTAACAACATCTCTACTTGGCATGTGTTCTGGAGCCAATAGGGTCTCTGCATCCTGTTAATAATTCTCTTTGTGATCCCCTTTCTATGTTAAGGCCACATGATTTTCAGACCATAGCAATATGAAAAGATCTCAATGTACTTCGTCATAGGAGATCTTGAAAACAGGTTTCTGTGATTGATTTGTCCGTGGTCACGTGGATAGCAATAGCAGCCTGTTAAACCTTGTCTTCAGTCTAGGGAATCTGTATGTTTTCTCCCTTAATATACAGCTTAAGTTGATGGCATTGTGACTTTGCTGTCCCCACCTGCCCTCTTTTTCAGATCTGCCTCTCTTTCAGGATGTTCTTTATCTTTAGGTGTCCTGAGATTTCATGCCGCCATACAGTACTCTAAATAAAGAACAACCATGGGGGAAAACCCATGTACTACTCATAATAAAGAACCATGGGCAGGGGGGAACTCACCCCACTATAGAATAAGACTTTCTTTTTTTTTTGTTTGTTTGGTTGTTTTTTTTGAGACAGAGTCTCACTCTGTTGCCCATGCTGGAGTGCAATGGTGCAATCTCGGCTCGCTGAAACCTCTACCTTCTGGATTCAAGCAATTTTCCTGCCTCAGCTTCCCAAGCAGCTGGAGTTACAGGCACCTGCCACCATGCCTAAGTTTTGTATTTTTAGTACAGACAGGGTTTCACTATGTTGGACAGGCTGGTCTCGAACTCCTGACCTCAAGTTATGCGCCCATCACAGCCTCCCAAAATGCTGGAATTACAGTCATGAGTCACCATGCCCAGCTAGTAGAACAAAACTAACTTTCTGTACTAGCTTGAACACTTACTAGCTGCACATCCCTAGGAATCTGTCCTAAACACACGATACCATACCTGCAGTATAGGGATTATAATAACTACTCTGAGAGGCTTACATGATTGTTGTAAGGTCAAAGTGATAACGAAAATGGCAAAGTATTATACAAATTTAAGGGCTTTCTATGGTTATTTACAACAACAACAATAATAATGAAAGCATTTATACTAAAATATTTGAGTCACAAATTCTGGAACAAGACTAACAGGGCCTCTTCCTCTGATTTTGGTTACGGTACTGATGCTAATAAACTCTGCATCTTAAAATCATTTAGTTTGCCATCTGTATATTTATTCAACAGACATGTAAGTACCTACACAGTGTCAGACACTGGGCTAAACACTCACAATACAGAGATGAATCTCCAAATTCCCTACTTTGAAGAAGTTCTTGGCCTAGGGAGGAAGACACATTGTTAGCAGAAATTATAATGCAATGGGACAGAAGTCTATACAGTTACACCTGCACAGAGAATGGCAAGGATGCTCCAGCCTTGTTTTCATTCCACCAAGCACAGCAACTCTATCTCTACTGTTCTTTAAGGCTGGAGCTGGTTTCTGTGGCATCAGTTGTTCAAGTTGTGTATTCCCAATGTGGAAACAACAAAGTAAAATTTCATCCACCAAAAAAAAAAAAATAGGCATAGTTCAAAGTAGTAGAGCTGGGCATTTGTAGAGCTATCCATTGGCTTTTCCAGGCCAACATTCCTTTTCCATTATTTTGGTAACAGACTCCCCCTTTTTGTGGGCATTGTAAGCAGTCAGAATGGGCTAACCCTGTCCTCCCACCATGGGTGTGGGTACAACCCAATCCAGACCAAATAGAACAGACTCTCGCTTTGTGTTTTCTGCCAGACCTATCAGAGTGGGATCTCTATTATCCCTGAAGTTGCTAAACAATTAATGTGTGGGCCTAGAGCTAAAGGTGGTCTCCTTTGCCTCTGTGGAGGGAGCCTGCTTGAGAATGACATAAACACAGATGTGGCAGAGTTGGAAGCTGAAAGATGAAGACATATAGCCTTAATAGCATTGAACCCTAAGATCCAGTCATTCCTGAATTGCTGCATCCTTTGAACTTTTCACTTATATATGTTAATAAATTTCTTTCTTTGCTTAAGCTGATGTAAATCAGGCTTTGGCTACTTGCAAACGAGAGGGTTGCCAATACATTCTTAATAGTAGCTACGAACCTTCTATTACATTTTTTCCCCATTAGACTAGAAAGGAAGCTGAAATGGTCTTGTTCAGCAGTGTATCTTTGATAAAACAGAAATTACCAATCCAATGGAAAAGTCATTACTAGTTTTACAATATGGCTTTCTTCCTTAATTTAGCCATTTTCTTCTCCTTCATTTTATCTACCTAATATATGTACCTAAACGTGTTATTGATTATGCAGGCAGCACACGGAGAATCCTGCTCTAGTCAATGTTGACAAGATTGAATCTGCCTCCAGCACACAGTCCACATATTCAACGTGATTTTTTATTTTACGTCTTTGACTTGGTGGCTTGGAAGAAGGTATGATTTTGTGCTGCTGGGTGTACAGGCACGGATTTGGAAAGTTGAAGACTGAATTGGAAGAGAATTTGGCTTCTACAGAGTTAAGTAGAAATAGTCTGTTTTGGCCAGACACGGTGGCTCACACCTGTAATCCCACCACTTCGGGAGGCCGAGGTGGGCAGATCATTTGAGGTCAGGAGTTTGAGACCAGCCTGACCAACATGGTGAAACCCTGTCTCTACTAAAATACAAAAATTAGCTGGGCATGGTGGCAGGAGCCTGTAATCTCAGCTACTTGAGAGGCTGAGGCAGGAGAATCATTTGAAGCCAGGAGGCGGAGGTTGCAGTGAGCCAAGATCGCGCCAATGCACTCCAGCCTGGGTGACAGAGTGAGACTCCCTCTCTAAAAACAATAAAATAAAAATAAAAATAAAAACAGTCTGTTTTAAATGCCATGGCTTCTTTAGCATCAAAACTGCTTTATGTTGATGATTACTCTTAAATGCAAATACTGTCTGCACTGGGGGAAAGTAAATATATTGAGATAAATATCCTGGTGTGTTTTAAAGATGAAATATTATAAAAGGAAATCTCCTGTCCCTCTAGAATGGTATTGAAAGGAGGTTTAATAATTTTGCTTTGAAGACACAATTAAGTGTTAGAAAAAAATAGAAATTTTTTGAACAGTAAAGTCAATGAATTTAAAAATAAATATATAAACATTATTGTCCAAGGCCATAAGCCAAACTTATTTAAGACTGACAAGGCAAAAGTACCTGAGTACCATAGCAAATAAGGTAGGATGAAGGAGATACAAAGGAGAAAATCATTGTTGTTACTGTCTTGCCATCACAGAGATTTTGAAAAGTGGAGTGCCATGATTTGAACGTGTCCTTTTCAAAATTCAAGTTTCCAATATGGTGATATTAAGAGGTAGAACATTTAAGAGGTGATTAGACCACAAGGGCTCCTTCCTCATTAATGGGATTAAGGCCCTTATAAAACAGACTTCACACAGCATTTAGTTAGCTTGCTCTTTTGCTCTTTGGCTGTGTAAAAACACAGCATTTATCTCTTTTGCCTTCTCTTTGTGAGGATACAGCAAAAAGGCTCTCACTGGACACTGAATGCCAGCATCTTGAACTTGAACTTCCCAGCCTCCAGAACTACGAGCAAATTCCTGTTGTGTATAAATTACCCCATCCATAGTATTATGTTATAACAGCATAAATGAATGAAGACATCCAATTACGTAAAATAAAAAGAAATCCTTAGCTGGGACACAACCATTCTTGCTATCTTGGCATAGAGTATTATAGTTGTCTTCATAATAAATGAATATAAACGAGTGAGACAGGCAGTGATAAGAGTCATGCATCAGCTCACAGGCAGACTTGGAAATGTCCATGACCATTGCATTTCCAGTGGAAGATGGGAGCCAAAACCAAATCTCACCAGATATGCAATTACAGATTTACAATCTGTATTTGCATATGTTCTAAATACAATGAAAATTTAAAATAATGAGTATCAGAGCTCTAAGAATTAAGGACTTGAAAACATAATTTCACAGAAAAAAATGGAGTACATTGTTATTAAGTCTTACTATGCTTAAGAGCTGACTGACTGATGAGATTGGGAAAGTCTGGAGGAATAAAAGCACAGACTTCTAATAAAATGTCATAAGGAGGCTGCTCGCAATGCTCTTGGTAATGTTACAAAAGTATACAAGGGACATGTTGTAAGTACATCGATTAATACCCTTAACTTCAACTTCTCCACTAATCGTAACCTTATAGGTAGTCAGAAGCACTCATAGCAGCCCACAATGCCATGTCCTCAGGAATTAACTTTCTGCTTGAGGATTAGCACATGGTAACTTACAATATTTACTTCTGTCATAAGATTCCCTTCTGACCTTGTGATAAGATATGTCTAAATGCTGCGAACCTGTCATATTATCTGTTCTTAGTTTTTCCTAGCAGCTGATTGATAGCCCATCATGTCCTTCAATGTTTAATATCTATAAGATTATTACACATTTTCTTGTATACAGGAAGGTAGAGAATAAGAAATATATACCAAGAAATAAAATAGTGTTCTAAGTGGGGAGAAATGTTGTCAATTTTGCCATTTATTACTATTTTGTAACAAGATTTTTATCAAAGTAATAAGAGATATTTGAGGTTATTTGAAAAGAATTATTAAAACAGCCTAATAAAACTATGACACCAGTGTTAGACACTTGATGTAACAGACACTTTTTTCAATATTGTAGTAAATAGAATCAAAGATGTTCTCAGAACATGGTATTTTTATTAACTAAGGAGAGCTGGGTAAGACCCTAAGCTATTTCTAAGGTACAGTGTGCATACCTGGCTCAATGAGAAATGGGGAAAATATAGACAGGAGGTAGTGAGGCTTTCTAGACTCACTGGAATTTGAATTCTGAGTGCTTAATTGTTAGTGGAGAGCCAATTTTAGAGACTCCTAAACCATAACCTACTCCTCAGATTCCTTATGGAATTTATCAACAGAAAACAGGAATAAGAAATAAGTATAATTAGCATGTTTTACTATTTTTGGGAAAAGATGAGGATCACACAGTATACACATCATGGTGTTGTGAGACCCTTTGTCCTGGGGACCAACCAACCTCTTTCTCAACTGATTCCAGGCTGAAAACTGACAAAAATATTGTAATTTTTAAAATAAGAGCAACTGCCCTCACCCATCTGTTCATCTATTCTGATTTTCTTTTGATTACATAAGTTAAGCAGTACCCTTATTGGCTTCCCATCTGTTTCTTCTATGGAGGCTGTGTTCTATTAACCATTTCCACATTTCTCTGAAGGTCAAGCTTCCTTGTGTGCCACACTGATCTTACTGGTTATTACAATGATGCATACACCCCAAATTAGGGCAGTTGAGAGCCACTACCCCTCCTGTCCTGGTGTGGGGTCTCATTGTACCCATTGTCAGTAATAAGCCAAGCTCTGTGTATTTTCTCATATCATCAGTCCTGACCTGAAAAGCCACCACTGATGTTGCTGATGCTTCTCTTGCCAGTGCTTTCTTGATGGCTTTGGTTAATGGTATGTCTTCTGGGTCTTTCTGTGTAATATAACACTGGAGTGTGTCTTTGGTTCTCATGTAATATATCCACTTCAGCATGCTCCCTTACCTGACCCTTTTATTCTTTCCATCACTTTCTGCTATAGCAATTGAAGCAATTGCAACACCACTCTGAAGGAGTCCTCACTTTATGCAGCCTTCCAGGAACCACCCTAGCAGTAAGGTGGAACCATCTACTGAGATATTTGCAAGATATTCAATATTACATCCTGGGAAAATGCCTTCAAGCCCATAAAGTCTCCCTTTATCAGTCTTTTCTTTTCTTTTTTTTCTTATTTTTCATTTTTTAAATTTTATTATTATTATACTTTAAGTTTTAGGGTACATGTGCACAATGTGCAGGTTAGTTACATATGTACACATGTGCCATGCTTGTGTGCTGCACCCATTAACTCGCCATTTAGCATTCGGTATATCTCCTAAAGCTATCCCTCCCCCCTCTCCCCACCTCACAACAGGCCCCAGAGTGTGATGTTCCCCTTCCTGTGTCCATGTGTTCTCATTGTTCAATTCCCACCTATGAGTGAGAATATGTGGTGTTTGGTTTTTTGTTCTTGCAATAGTTTACTAAGAATGATGATTTCCAATTTCATCCATGTCCCTACAAAGGACATGAACTCATCATTTTTTATGGCTGCATAGTATTCCATGGTGTATATGTGCCACATTTTCTTAATCCAGTCTATCATTGTTGGACATTTGTCATGGTTCCAAGTCTTTGCTATTGTGAATAGTGCCACAATAAACATACGTGTGCATGTGTCTTTATAGCAGCATGATTTATAGTCCTTTGAGTATATACCCAGTAATGGGATGGCTGGGTCAAATGGTATTTCTAGTTCTAGATCCCTGAGGAATTGCCATACTGACTTCCACAAGGGTTGAACTAGTTTACAGTCCCACCAACAGTGTCAAAGTGTTCCTATTTCTCCACATCCTCTCCAGCACCTGTTGTTTCCTGACTTTTTAATGATTGCCATTCTAACTGGTGTGAGATGGTATCTCATTGTGGTTTTGATTTGCATTTCTCTGATGGCCAGTGATGGTGAGCATTTTTTCACGTGTTTTTTGGCTGCATAAATGTCTTCTTTTTAGAAGTGTCTGTTCATGTCCTTCGCCCACTTTCTGATGGGGTTGTTTATTTTTTTCTTGTAAATGTGTTTGAGTTCAGTAGATTCTGGATATTAGCCCTTTGTCAGATGAGTAGGTTGTGAAAATTTTCTCCCATTTTGTAGGTTGCCTGTTCACTCTGATGGTAGTTTCTTTTGCTGTGCAGAAGCTCTTTAGTTTAATTAGATCCCATTTGTCAATTTTGGCTTTTGTTGCCATTGCTTTTGGTGTTTTAGACATGAAGTCCTTGCCCATGCCTATGTCCTGAATGGTAATGCCTAGGTTTTCTTCTAGGGATTTTATGGTTTTAGGTCTAATGTTTAAGTCTTTAATCCATCTTGAATTAATTTTTGTATAAGGTGTAAGGAAGGGATCCAGTTTCAGCTTTCTACATATGCCTAGCCAGTTTTCCCAGCACCATTTATTAAATAGGGAATCCTTTCCCCATTGCTTGTTTTTCTCAGGTTTGTCAAAGATCAGATAGTTATAGATATGTGGTGTTATTTCTGAGGGTTCTGTTCTATTCCATTGATCTATATCTCTGTTTTGGTACCAGTACCATGCTGTTTTGGTGACTGTAGCCTTGTAGCATAGTTTGAAGTCAGGTAGCTTGATGCCTCCAGCTTTGTTCTTTTGGCTTAGGATTGACTTGGCGATGCAGGCTCTTTTTTGGTTCCACATGAACTTTAAAGTAGTTTTTTCCAATTCTGTGAAGAAAGTCATTGGTAGCTTGATGGGGATGGCATTGAATCTATAAATTACCTTGGGCAGTATGGCCATTTTCATGATATTGATTCTTCCTACCAGTGAGCATGGAATGTTCTTCCATTTGTTTGTATCCTCTTTTATTTCACTGAGCAGTGGTTTGTAGTTCTCCTTGAAGAGGTCCTTCACATCCCTTGTAAGTTGTATTCCTAGGTATTTTATTCTCTTTGAAGCAATTGTGAATGGGAGTTCACTCATGATTTGGCTCTCTGTCTGTTATCCTTTATCAGTCCTATGTTTCAGCTTCCTTAATTAATCAACAAAAATATCCAATCCTACAGGTACTCCCTTAGCTTGTGCTAGTATATACTGGCTAACATTTATTTGTTAGTTCATTTGTATTTTCATTCCTCTCTTCCTTTATGGGGGCAGCTAAGTCTGGGCAGATCCTGAAGGGGCCTCCTAATGCTTTACAATGAAAAGGCCACACAAGGGAAATGCTAGCTCTTAATAGGAAAGGTCAACCACATCAGTAGGTTCTCATACCACACCTTACAGAAAATTACAAATATAGAGAAAGAAGAAGGAAGCATCACTGTAGAGTCCACAAATAGTAAAGGGATAATAAAGGAATATTATAAACAAATTTATGCTAATACATTTAACAACTGGAAGAAAATGAACAAGGTCTTTGATAGACACAAGTTATGTTTTTTTAAAAAAGGAAAATATAAATAGCTCTTTGTCTTTAGGAAATTGAATTCATAACCAAAATTTTCACACAAGGAGAACTCCAAACCAAGATGATTTTACTAGTGAATTCTATCAAAAATTTAGGGAATAAATAATCAATTCTATACAAATACTCCTTATGAAAGTAGTGAAATTACATTTATCAATCTGTTTAATGAGGCCACTATAACCTAGTGGCACAATAAACCTCAGGAATGCAATCTTACTCAATCAACCATCAGCAAATTAAACCCAGTAATATATAAAAAGAATAATACGTCATTACCACGTAGCGTTTATCCCTGCAATGCAAGGTTAGTTTAACATTTGAAATAAAATAAATGCAACTCACCATGATAAGAAATTTTTCAAAAATCATCTCAAGAAATGTGGAAAAGGCACTTGAAACAATCCAACTTATTCACGAAAAAATTCTCAGCAAACTAGGGATAGAAAAATCTTCCTCATTCCAATAAGTATCATCTACAAAGACCTATTGCTAACATCATTATTATTCATAATGGTGAATTAATGAATGCTTCCCCCTAAGAGTACAAGACAAGAATATTCTTTCTGCCCATTTCTATACAATATTTTATCAGTCAGTGAAATATGATTTTTAAAAAAAGAACAAAAAAGAAAAAGAAGAAAAGATATAAGATTTGAAAAGGATACAGTAAAAACAGTATATTTGTAGACAATATGGTCATGCAACATTGTCCTGTGCATACAAAATCCTAAGACACATACTAAAACCAAAATTGACTTAACAAAGTTGTAGGAAACAAGATTAATATACAAAAAGTATCTTCCCATATACTACTAGAAACAATTATAAAATAAAATTAAAATAAAAACATTTTCATTAACAAGCACAAATATATAATAAATTTAAAGAAAATATGAAAGATATTGTTGAGAGAAAGTATGGATATAATTAAATAGAGTGCTATGCCATGTTCTTAGATTTGAAGACTTCATATTGTTAAGATAATAATTCTCCCCAAATTGATCTATACATGCATCGCCGTCTTATGCAGCCAACAAACATGAAAAAAAGCTCATCATCTTTGGTCATTAGAGAAATGCAAATCAAAACCACAATGAGATATCATCTTATGCCAGTTAGAATGGTAATCATTAAAAAGTCAGGAAATAACAGATGCTGGAGAGGATGTGGAGAAATAGGAACACTTTTACACTGTTGGGAGTGTAAATTAGTTCAACCATTGTGGAAGACAGTGTGGTGATTCCTCAAGGATCTAGAACCAGAAATACCATTTGACCTAGCAATCCCATTACTGGGTATATACCCAAATGATTATAAATCATTCTACTATAAAGACACATACACACGTATGTTTATTGTGGCACTGTTCACAATAGCAAAGACTTGGAACCAACATAAATGCCCATCAATGGTAGACTGGATAAAGAAAATGTGGCACATATACACCATTGAATACTATGCAGCCATAAAAAAGGATGAGTTCATGTCCTTTGCAGGGACATATATAAAGCTGGAAACCATCATTCTCAGCAAACTAACACAAGGACAGAAAACCAAACACCTCATGTTCTCACTCATAAGTGGGAGTTTAACAATGAAAACACATGGACACAGGGAGGGGAACATCACACACTGGGGCCTGTCGGGGAATGGAGAGCTATGGGAGGGATAGCATTAGGAGAAATACCTAATGTAGATAATGGGTTGACGGGTGCAGCAAACCACCATGGCACGTGTGTACCTATGTAACAAACCTGCATGTTCTGCACATGTACCCCAGTACTTAAAGTATAATTAAAAAAAAGAAAAAGAGAGAAAATCCCAACAGATTTTTTAATAGAAGTTGAAAAGCTGATTATAAATTTTATGTTGAAATTGAAATGACCTCGAATAGCCAAAACTATCTTTAAGAGGGAACAAAGTTGGAATACTTATGTTTCCAGAGATTCAGACTTACCATAAGGTTAAATCAGTGAGGTATCAATATAAAGATAGACAGACAGATCGATGGAACCAATAGACACAGTCATATTTGATCAAAATATTTTCAGCAATGTACAACATATTTTCAACAATATTACCATGAAATACAACAGCAAAGAAAGTATTTTTAACGAATGGTATTGGGATAACTTTATATTCTTATTTTTAAAATAATAAAAAGTAATTGAACCTCCCATGATACACAAAAATTAATTTGATGTGTATTAAAAACATTAAACATAAGGAAATCTATAAATCATACAGAAGAAAACATAAGAGAATGTCTTTGTAACCTTGAAGTGGGCAGATTTTTCAGGCCACAAAAAGCATAGCCATAAATAAAAATAAATAAAGTAGACTTCACCAAAATTAAGAACTTTAACAACTCTGCTTATAAAGTGAATAAAAATATTAAACATACATTTCACAAAAGAAGATAGTCAGATTGGCTATTAGCACATAAACAGTTGCTTAATAAACTTAGTCTTCTAAATTATAATGCAAAATAAAACCACAGTGAGATACCACTACATACCCACTAGAATTGATTATACTAAAAAGACTGAAAATACCAAATGGTGAGTCTTTAGAGTGAACAGACCTCATATATCACTTGTAAGAATACCAGTGGCAATTCACTTTTGAAAACTACTTGAGTTTCTTGTAAAAGAAAACATACACTTATGTTGAAAATGAATTATACAAAGATATTCATTGCCACTGCACTCACCATAGCCAAAACTGGAAACAATCTAAAATATCCAACAACAGGAAAATAAATAAATTGTGATATATTCACCTATACCACATATATTGTTAGAATACTTCTCAGCAATAAAAAGAAATGTATTACTAAAATAAACATATGGTTGAATCTCTAAAACATTATGTTAACCTAAAAAAGGACCCAAAATAATGCATACTATATGACTTCATTATCTGACATTTTAGAATACACAAAACTGATCCATGGTAATAGAAATCAGAGAGATGATTCCTGAGGGTGGAAGGAGGAGATTAACTAGAAAAAGGCATGGGGGAACTTTCTATGACGGTGGAAACGTTCTATATCTTGGTCGTTGTTTTAGATGAGTGTATGCATTTGTAAAATCCATCAATCAGTACACTTATATTTTGCGCATTTTATGCTATGTACATTAAATGTCAACAAAATTGAGAAAAAGATGATTTTTCTTTATGCTGATATAATCCAGAATCTTTAACCTCATTATGTTCATCTAAAATATGTCTGAGATATGAAGGTGAGCATAAATTTGTAATTTCAAACATAATTCTTGTGTTTATTTTGGATTTAAAGAGTCATAGTGTCTTTAAAATGCCATGGTCTCTATTTTAATAGTCTATTATAAAGAACTGATAAAATTCACCTTGGGTCACTCTGGTTTTGGCATCACCCTCAGCATCTCACTCAGCACTAGATATGACTGCTTCTGATTTATGACTATCAAATTGGTTTCCTTTCTAGTATTTGAAATTTGTATTTTTAAAATTACTTATTTAATGATAGCTGCTGCATTAATGGAACCCACTTCCTGCGTACCAATTCTCTCACACACTTACACACAACAAATATGTCTTCTCTGTTGCATCACTATTTGCCAAATTAGCAGATGAATCAACTTTAAAAATGAAAATGTTCCTTTTAGCCAAAAATGTAAGTTTCTTCCCCAAATGGAAAATACAATGTAGTTTTCCCTGATGACTGAAGAGCTGATTGTGTAGGAAAAATATAAACAGTAATGTGCTGAACCCATGTCCATTGTCACGCCCTCACTTGAGACAGTGTAAAGCCTTATGTGGCATTGTGCCCTACACTGCCCTCTAAGGGGATCTCTGGCATACACTCCTAGAATCATTCCTGCTGCCTTGGTGTCCTTATCCTATTGTCTTATCCATTCTGTGTCTGCAAGGTCTGTGCCTTTTCCATTCCTTTGGGAGGTACTCACAAACAATGAATACATCTAATTCCATTTGGATTTCTTTTCTAATGTCTGCTGGCCCAGTGGTCCACAACTTGTTATTCAAAATGCATGACGTACAAAAATCTACTTAAAATGAGAAGCACTTGTGCATCTATTACCAAACCAACCTCAGATTTGTTTAGTTCCTTTCACACTGCATTTATCTTTTTAAATGAAGGATTTTTAAAATATATTTTGTACAAGAAACGAAAAGTAGAATTTCACATGAATTCCAATTGAAGGATTGAGTCCCAAAATCATTGGAGATCACCTCTAAAAAATACCAGGTATACCACTAAACTCTTGAATATAATTTATAGGAAGCCAAATATTACATTTTATTATAGTCAATGTCTACACTATTTGTAGAAGTGATCTAATAATAAGCATCTATGTCAAAGCCTGACAGTTTAAGAGAGATGCTTTGGGGGAATAAAAGTACTATCTTCCTTGGATCAATTGAAACTCTTTGCCACTCCAAATTTTTCTGAAAACAGAGCTTTTCAGTTTAAAAAAAAAAAAATGACTCACCTCATTCACTATAGGTCTGTTGAGACTGAATTTGTTATTTCCGTACTTGAAAGACTCAAATCAAGTGCCTCTGATATTTTCCTGCAATTAGGAGAGCTTCATGGCATCTTTGGAGATGGTTTACTTGCTGTTGGCATCCATTTAATTAAATCCTAATAGCATAGCTAGCAAAAGAAACAAAAATAACATGTGTTAGCTTTAAATATCTGGGGAAAGTGACAAAGACAAAGAAATGCTTTATTAATAAAAGATTAATTATTTTTAATTATAAATATGTATTTTCTAATTTGCCTTTATTTTCTATGAGAAAAGAGTAACGACAGACTGCTGTAATTACTTTCAAAGTAAAATAATAATTAGTATTTTGGCATGAACTTCATCTTTGAAGATTATCTTTTCAAATACTATATTACATCTCTTTAAATGCATTTTTTCTTCTGAAAGATTTAGTCACCCAGGTGGGGTATTATTGATATGGAATACTCAGAAGCCAGTGAATAAGCTGGTATCCTAGAAAAGTTTTCCTAACGAGCTTATAAGCACATGTAGCACGCAGGCATTTTAATCATAATAATTTTTTAACTTTTCTTAATCGTGAAATATATCCAGAAAGAGATACATAAATGGATAAATGGATGAATTGGTGGATAGATGAACTGACGGATGGAGGGATGGAGGGATGGAGGGATGCAAGAATGGAAGGACATAATGGATGGCTGGATCGATAGATTCACACAATAACAATCATTAACATAATTCCCTGCCATCCTTACCTAAGTTAAGAAACAGGACATCACCAATACTTAGAAGTCACCCCCAACTTCACATCTCTCCTAGGTCACATCCCATTTCCTATCCTACGCAAGTAACCACTATCCTAACTTCTACTAATTCCTTTGCTTTTCTTGATAGTTTTACCATCACTAAATTCATCACTAAACAACACAGTTTAATTCTTCCTGATTTTGAAATTTGTTTATAAATTCTGACTACACGTTTTCCTTTGTAACTTGCTACCTTTGACCAACATTTGTTCGTGAGATTAATCTATGTTAATGTGCAGCTGTAGTTTTATTTCCATTGCCATATAGTATTCTATTGTATGAATGTACCACAAATTATTTATCTGGTGTATAGTTGATAGATAAGTTGGTTGTTTTCAGCTTGGGACTATTATAAACACTTCAATATATTTTTCTTGGTGCACTTGTACAGAACTTTCTCTAGGATTAAAATTGGTTATAGATTATACACATTTTCAACTTTTCTGGAGAAAGCAAACTCTTTCACGTTGTGGTTGTACCAAGTTCATTCATACCAACACTGTGTGAGAGGTACCTTTGCCGCACATCCCCACCAACACACGGTATTATCAGAATTTACAATTTTTCTATAACTGGTACATGATTTTAATTTACATTTTTCTAATCATTAGTAAAATGAGCAACCTTCTCTTATGTTTATGAGCCATTTGGATTTTCTCTTTCTTGAAAGATTCACTCAAATCTTTGCTTATTCTTATGATAGGTTGCCTGTCTTTTTCTTATCATTTTGTATTGAGTGTATTCTGGATATTAGTTACCTTGCACATCTGCTCTTAGATTTGTTTTTTATTTAAACCATTATGTTTAATTGAAAATAATAACTGTATACATTTATGGAGCACAATGTGATGTTTTGATATTTGTATACATTGTAGAAAAATTATATCAAGTAATTAACATATTCATCACCTCTCATATTTACCATTTTTTTGTAGTGGGAATATTTCAAGTCTGTTCTTACAGCACTTTTGAAATATGCAATACCATAGGTACCATTTTTAATGTTATCTTTTTTAAAAATGTGTTTTTTAACTCTCTGTTGCTGGTACATAAAAATATACCATATGCAACAAATTTTTATAAGTGGATTTTGTACCCAGTTGCTTTGTAAAACTGTCTTATAGAATCCAATATTCTATTTTCACATTCTTTTGTATTTTGTTTTAGGTACAAAATCATGTTAAATATTTTGTATTTTGTTTTATGTACAAAAATCATGTTATCTGGAAATAATGATGGGCTTGTACCTTTCTAATTCTTACACTTTTTATTTCTTTTTTAAAAATCTTAATGTATGGCCAAGATTGCTCGCACGAGATTGAACAGAAGTGGAAAGTCGAGGTAGCTGACTTCCTTGTCTTGTCCTGATTTCAGAGAAAAAGCTTTCAATGTTTTACATTAACACACTGAATTTTGATTTTTTTAGATTCTTTTCATCATATTAATGAATTTCCTTCTATTTCTAGTTTGCTAAGAGTTTTCATCATAAATGAATATTAGTTTTGTCAAAAACTTTTTACATCTTGCAAAATGATCATGTGGTTTACTCCACTTATTGGTACCTATGGAAATTGCATGGTTTATACAATCTATAAATCTATACAACAATCTATACAATCTATACAAGCCTACTTTTTGTTTTTAGAATAAACTTTACTTCATGAAGTCATGTGATTTTTTTATTCAGTGCTGAATCCAGTTCTTTATTCTAGGGTTTTTGAATCTCTATTCTTGGATGATATTGAATTATAGCATTACTTTCTCATTCTTATTTTCAGGTTTTGGTATCAAGGTTTTGCAGGCTAATAAATATATTAGGGAGTATTTCCTCTTCTTCTATTCTCTGGAAGATATTGTGTAAGATTAAAATGGGTATTTCTTCAATGTTTGGAGAATTCTTGACCTCTATTTGGAGAGAAGTGAAACTATTCTAAGTGTGTGGGCTTTATCTAGCATCTAGCAGATTTCTGGCAAGCTCATGAATGTATTTAAAATGGCAGTTTAAAAAATATTTTTATTAAGCATGTTTTGATGTTATGTAACAGGAACCTTTCATAACCTTTAGTGTGCCAAATTGCTAATGACAAAAATCCCTAAAATTAGTTTAAAATATGTTTTGAATAATTTTGAGACCTCCAACTGGAACATCAATAGGTAGATGGAAGCTGTTAGATAACATGGACTATGCCCCCATTGACGTAGAAGTAATTCTTGTGGAGCAACTGGACGAAGCCACAGAGTAACCAGGTTTTTCTGGATTAATAGTACATGCAGAGAACAGACGATGGTTATTAACTGTCTTCATAGGTAAGGAATTAGCTAAGGGTCTAATGAAGAGTTTGGAGAAGAAATGAACTTAGAGTATAATTTTAAAAAGATGGGAGGAACTGGTCTCCATCTGCAGCTACAAAAAAAAGAAAAAAAAAGAAAAGAAATGATGACAGGTATTCAAAGGCAGCCATAGACTGTAACATGACATTTCATTACAAAAGAAATAATAGCATTCACATATACTTTTATAGTACTTACTATTATGTAGAAAGTTCCAAGTTATTCAGATATGTAAATTTCTTTATTGCTGACAATGCTATAAGATAGGGTTAATAAAGTAAATAAGATAAACTAGTTACGTAGCAGCACGGAGATTTGCAACTGTCATGTCCGTCTCTAGAAGCCACTTCATTCATTGATCTTTTACACTGACTCTAAATGTTATAGTAAACAAACCATTTTGATAATTATGTTTTTGAAGACTATAACAGACTTCCTTCACCAAAGGAACTTTTGATTTCATGAAATACACATTTCTTATTATGATAAAGAACATCCATCAACAGGATGCAAAATGAAGCCCACATATTTGGAACAAATTCTTCCCATCCTTAATGAGGGTCAAACATGAGCCCACACTGAACTAAGATGGCTACCCTAGGCATTCTCTCTTCATCATTGGAAAAGGTGAGGAGGCTCAAGCACTCAGAATTTCAACTATATCAACAGAATTCAATTCACAACCAAGACGCTTGTTATAAGCTCAACCCTTCCCAGGAAGCAAACACAACCATCCTTTGGTTCTACTTTCAAAGCATGTTTAAAATCTGACTATTTCTCACCACTTCTATGCCACCATAATGGTCTAAGCCACCATCACTTTGTCCCTGAATTATTGCAATTGCCTTCTAACTGCTCTCCCTGGTTCTGCTCGTGCCTTCCCATTCAGTCTATTATGAATATGACCAACAGAGTGATCCCTTTCAAATATAAGTCGAATCTTATTCACTCTCTGCTCAAAATTTTTCAAAGGCTCCATATTTCACTCGGAATAAACACCAAGGTCTTTACGGTAGACTGCAAAGCTGTCACTCCCTGTTCTCTCTCTGGCCCTTTCTCATACAACTCTCCACCTTGCTTTGCTCTGCTCCAGCCCCAATGTCCCTCTTGCTGTTCCTCCAACAAACTAGGCACTCCTGCTATAGGGCCATTGCAAGAACTGCTCTCCCCACTGGGCATGCATCTCCCTGCGATGCCCTCATGACTAGTTCTCTGACCTCTGAAATGTTTGCTCAGATGTCTCCTCAATGAAGCCCTCCTTGACCACCCCATTTAAATCTGCAATGGACTTCCTCATTCTGTCCCCCAGCACTCCCGAACACACTGTTTGCTGTGCACTTTCTTTTTTCTAATCATCTTAACATGCTATGTAATACACCCATAAATTCTGTTAGTTATTTATTGCTTGTCTCCTTCTACTAGAAAATAATATCCTCAAGCACAGTAATCCTCCTTGTGCCCCAGGTATGTAGATCAGTGCCCCACCCATGGTAGACACTCTAAATATTGGTTCACAATGGACTGACTGATTTATTGAATAAAGTAGCTACTACTGAATATTTTTGTATTTTCCTACTGAATATTTTTGTATTTTCATATATTCATAGTCCTTATGAAGGACTATGAGTTTTAATAATACAAGGACAATATTTTAAGTTCTCTTTTGAGTTTTAATAATACAAGGACAATATGTTAACTTCTGAGTTTTAAAAATACAAGGAAAATATTTTAACTTCTCTTTTGACCTTTGCTATTAAGGAATTTGTAATCACGGTGATTTAATTCTGATACAGATAAATAAGGCACACGTTTTCAGTGAAATTATTTAAGAAGGACTGCAAGGCAATGTTTGAAAAAATTTTAGACATTAGATATTAACTGTGGTAGAACTTGGGAAGGAAATATTCACAAAGAATAAAATATTAGTCATGGAGCTATCTCATATCCTTGACAGAATAGGTAGGTTAATTTGAGACCCATTAAAATGATACAAAGCTTTTCAAACACATTTTTGTAAGGAACAATTGTTTTCTATTAATGTGATTTTCATCTTGATGAGTGACCAGTTAGTCTGTTAAAATGACAGGAAATCTGAGAAACATCAACAAGCCTAATATATTTGATTTTTGCCCTATTCCATTTTAAAAGACAGCTCATAAAACCACTCTGCATATTCATATTGATGCCTGATTTTAAATTTTCCCTGTGATAAAATAAAAAAATAAAATATTTATATCATGAAGATGTTGTTTAACTTTAAATAGCTAAAACTCCTCATTTTGTGGAGAGGGAAACCAGAGAGTTTATGTGAGCTACCTAGAGTCATACAGCAAATTAACAGCAGAAGTCCCACCCAAGTGTATTAAAATCTATTTTAAAATATTCTCTTCCACCACATCCTTGGTACAATAATACTAATGTTTTATATGATTAAATTTTTGTGCTTTATTTAGATGCTAAGTTAACTTTAACCTAAGTTCTGTATTTTTATTTCCCTTCTTTAAAAAGGAGGCTTCTATTTTTGAGAAGCTTGCTTTATGTAATTATTTAACTTATTAAATTTAACATATGAGAGAATCACAGATAAAAACAAGTTAATTAATTGGCATACATTTTCCCTAGGCCTCAAAAATATTTTAACATTCTCACTGACGCCTGTATCATGGAGATGACTCTTCTAAGAACATAAATGCCAATAATTCAAAGAAGTAGAGTGTTGTATAACAATTTGACTTCCACTGAAATTCTTGCTTTCTCACATTTTTATTTCTCTTGGACCTAACTAACTTTATTAAGGATAAAGCCTGTTATAATTAGTTTGTTTGTTTATAGCAAAAAAAAAAAAAAATCCAAAATCTACAATTATTAATCTTGTTCCCTGGATTGAGATTAGATTTTATCTTAATTCTGTAAAATGATATGAAATCAGAGAGTTGATTTTTGTTACATTTTGATACTTTGGTAAAAATAGCTCAGTAAGTATGAAACAGAATGAAAACTCATATACTTATCTTTTAAAAATTGCTCTCAGCTGGGCACAGTAGCTCAAGCCTATAATCCCAGCACTTTGAGAGGCCGAGGCAGGCAGATCACTTGAGGTCAGGAGTTTGGGACCAGCCCGGCCAACATGGTGAAACCCCGTCAGTACTAAAAAAAAAAATACAAAAATTAGCTGGGCTTGGTGGCAGGTTCCTGTAATCCCAGCTACCTGGGAGGCTGAGAAAGGAGAATCGCTTGAACCAAGGAGGGCAGTGAGTTGAGATGGAGCCCCTGCACTCCAGCCTGGGTGACAGAGCGAGTCTCAAAAAAAAAAAAATTGTTCTCCCCTTACCCTACTCTGTCTTAATGTCAGAACTTCTTTTTTAAATTTTTATTGATACATAATATGTGTACATATTTATGGGATACATGTGATATTTTGTTACATGCATAGAATATGCAGTGATCAACTCAGGGTATTTAAGGATATTCACCACCCATCACATAGGACATTTATCATTTCTACCTTTTGGGACCATTCCAAGTCCTCTCTTCTAGCTATTTTGAAATACATAATACACAATGTTGTTAGCTATAATCACCCTACTCTGCTATCAAACGTTAAACTTTTTCCATTTTATCTAACTGTATGTTCACGCCCATCAGCTAGACTCTCTTCATTCTTCCCTCTCCACACACACACCCTTCCCAGCCTCAAAACTATCATTCTATTCTCTACCTCCATGAGATAGACTTTTTTTTTTTTTTTTTTTTTTTTAGTTTCCACATATGAGTGAGAACATGTGATATTTGTCATTCCATGTCTGGCTTATATCACTTAACATAACCACCTGCAGTTCCATTCATGTTGCTGCAAATGTGATGCCAGGACTTTTTTTGGTGAATGTATTTTCATCACAGCTGCAATTTGTGTTTTCAAAGATTAGAGATCCATATTATCCAGTGCCCTCATTCTGACATGTATTTTTCAATGCCTTGCAAATAGAAACTTTATTTTTTATTTATTTATTTTTAAGCAAAGTTTAAAAATAAATGCTTTGTTGCCCAGGCTGGAGCGCAGTGACAGGATCGCAGCTCACTGCAGCCTTGAACTCCTGGGCTCATGGTATCCTCCTGCCTCAGCCTCCCTAGTAGCTGGGACTACAGGCACAGATACTACCCAGTTAAATTCTTTAAATTTTTATAGAGATGGGGTTTCACTTTGTTGCCCAGGCTGGTCTTGAACTCCTGGGCTCAAGTGATCCACCTGCCTTCGAAACTTGATTTTTATTTTCATTATCTTTGTCAGTAGATTGATGTGAAGAGCAGATGTTTTATATATTTTTGGATACTATACACTTTATAATGTCTATATAAATAAACTCCAACATGTCTATGTAAATAAACTCCAACATGAGTTAGACAGAAGGAAAAAGTTTAATGTTTGATAGCAGAGTAGGGTGAGTATAGCTAACAACAATGTATTGTGTGTTCCAAAATAGACAGAAGAGGCAAATTGGAATGGTCCCAACAGATACAAATGACAAATGTCCTAGGTGATGGGTGATGGGTATCCTTTAAGTGTTTTTCTGCTAGATGCATGAATGCCACAAACAATACTATCAAAAAAGTAGTACTCTATGTATATGTGCAGGTGGTTCATATAGTCTATACTGAAGAGTTTTATCCATTGGTGATAATAGAAATATTATTTTTGTATCATCAAATTAATATTCATGCTAATGATAACACTACATTTATATATGATTAACAACCTAAGCACTTTTCTGTAATCATTGTCTGAGAATTGCTACC
This sequence comes from Homo sapiens, assembly GCF_000001405.40. Taxonomy (NCBI): domain Eukaryota; kingdom Metazoa; phylum Chordata; class Mammalia; order Primates; family Hominidae; genus Homo; species Homo sapiens. Next base: position 208,649,040 of record NC_000002.12, on the reverse strand, counting down.
TCCTCTTAATAAAATGATCCCACTCACAGAATTATATAGCACAGATTTTGATTTAGTATAAGCTTTAAATGGGATTTGTTGTCCATTTTTGGTGCTTATGGCTAAGCAAAATTCTAAAATCTTGTTGTATGCCATAGCAGTGTTAATACAGAAGTTGAAATTCTGTAATATACCTCTAATTGACACCTCTTTGAATCTGGGTTGGCTTGCAACTGCTTCAGCCAACCTAAAATGGCAAATAATAATAATAATGCTTTGTGACTTTTGCAGATAGATGATAAAAGGCCGCAAAGCCTCCACTTTGTTCTCTGGAACACTTGCTCTTGGACTGCCATGTAAGCCTTGAAACGACAATGCTGAAGATGTCACATGTAGGTCTTTGGTTTGACTGTCCCAGCTGAGCCCAGTCTTTCATCTGTCCTGCCAAGTTTCCACACCCTCCAAGCCAGTACATTTGCCAGTTGAATATTAACATGTGACAACTGTTGATGCCATGTGGAACAGAATAATCACCCAAGCAAGACTGCCCAAATTCCTACCCACAAAACAGTGAGCTATAGTAAAACAGATGTTGTTTAAAGCTACCGTGTTTGAGATGGTTTGTTATCAAGCTAGCGATTAAGTAGAGAAAGAGTACTAGAATGGAATTTGACACCTGGAAGTGGGACACTGCCATAACACAAAATTAAAACAACATGGCATTGACTATGTGACCACCAGCCGTCAGAAGTTAGAAAGCTCTTGAGAAGACTGATAGTAAGAGCTTAAAGGCAGTGAGGAATTTGTCTGAAAAAAAAAAGGCTGAAAAAAAAAAGATGACCCATGTTACATAATGACAAAAGGCTTAGAAAAACTATAACCTGCAGAGTGTGGACAATATAAAATATATCTGATGAACTTATGGATCTAGTTGAGGAATTTCCCAGGCAGAATGTCAAACATGCCAAATGGTGTAGCTTCTAACTGGTGGGTGTCCCCTGTTTTCTTCTTGAGTGCAGCTCCTAGAAAATAACAACATATGACAACTATGTATAAGAAGTTACTTAAAAAAAGAAAAGAAGAAGAAAAACTATTTAGTTTGCTTTCAATCGGAATTTATAGGAAATAGATAGAAACCAGGATGTTTTGGGTTCTAAAATAACGAAACTGTTTTTCATCCACAGTCTCTCCAGGAAATAAAATGTTCAAAATAAAGAGTGGCCTCAGGTCAAAAAGGCCACTAACACCATAAGAGTGTGGCAAATTGTGTTCTAACAACTGATAAACATCAGGAACTATTTTATGACTTGAACTTATTTGATAAGCATTGAAGCTATTTCAGAGAAAAATAAATAATAAATTTTCTAACAATAATGTTTTATCTTGAAACATTCTCAAGGCATCCTGGGGAAAAGAAATTTAATCTTGTGTTTTTGATGATCAAAGACAAAGAAAGAAAGAAAATGGTGGTGTAAAATCTTTGTTTGAGTTTACTGTATCTTTGAGAGAAGAAGGATTACACCAAATAAATGTTGAAATAAAATGGAATATAAGTATTCAAATTACATATAATCAAGAGTAGCTAAAATGTGCTCCCTAGCTTAGATGAAGGAGCAAGGCTGATAAGTTAGAATAAGATAAAACAACAGATAACAGTTACATTCTGTTCTGTCCTTTTCTGAAGACTGTTTTACTTAACCTAAGTCAAACAGTTCAAATGCCTTCAGGGATTAGAAAGGCAATAGAAATCGTGAAATCAATAGGTGAAATGTGTGAAATTAATAGGGAGAAATATTACTTGTGGCTAACTGAAGAATGCATATCCCAATTTAAAATTCTAATTGAAAATTCTTAACTATGTAAGTCATTTTTATCTAAATATGAGAGTTGCTAATTGGTCATCTGTGTGTTAAAGAATTCACCATAATCAAGAAAGATGCCTCAGTCACACAGGCAAGCTTGTGAAGGAGAAAGTGGATATAGAATCCTTATGATTGTTTGTTTAAATCATTAAGCAAAGGAGTTTCTCTTGGACCAAATATGAGCATAGACTTCAAATTTAGAGAGAAACTTGTTATTTTCTAGGAGCTGTACTCAAGAAAAAAACAGGGGACACCCACCAGTCAGAAGCTACACCACTATTTTATTTTAGTTCTTATTAGGACTTGCTAGGCCTGCAATTTATGTCTGAGAAAGAATGGAATCGAAAGCAGTGGATATTCTTTGGGTAACTCCTTTCTGCCCAGTTATTGCACTTCTCCACCCTGTCTTCCTCCAATCTTGCAGCTCTTGCTTTCTGCAAAGAAAGCTAATGTGGCTTTCTTTTTCTAAGTCTTATTTCCTTTCTGTGATATGCAGGAGAAGAGGGAAATTGTTACTTCATGCTGTGTTCTTACCTAACTTTCATTTTACTAACCAAAAAATTGGGTGAGTACCCCACAAGATTACAAAAAGACTCATTTCAGCAGAGAGATTCACTCTTGGGAGGCTCCAGATAAGAACTACTGGTCCTATGGATGTAGATATCCCCTCCATGGAGGTAAAGGCTAAGCCATAGACATGCCTGAGACATCCATAGAGGGTGTGGGATGAGCAATGGGAGTAGAGGGAGTTTATAAACAAATAAAGGAAGTTCCTGGTGATCTAATAATGACAAATTGATTTAAAAAGTAATATTTAAATGACAACTCAGCTGAAAAGAAACACTGAGAAGAAGCTATACAGTCTGATAATCATTAAAAGTTTCAATAGCATAGTAAGTCAAGAAATCAGTTGCAAATGGTTAAGAAAGCTCCATGTCACCTTAATATGAGCCTTCTTGCTGTCTGCTCATTGTACTCCTTCATAACTACAAAAACAAGTTAAATAATGTAGACTATGATTAGAGACTCCCCAGAAATGATAATTTTCAGCATTTCGGGTCCAGAAGGATAATTTGGCAAACGCTATTGATTGGTCTAACACATCTACAGGCCCTTACCCAGTCCTCAGAATAAATTCCCATTCCAAATGTAGGATGACAGCAGAGTTCCGCTCCTCAACCCAAACACAGAAGAACTCAAAGAGGAAATGTTTTTCCCCTTAAATAAATGGCACCTTTGATGTTTTCCAGCAACTTCTGTGGTTGGAACTATTTTTCAAATAGTTGGATGACAGCAGCTCTTTATGAAACTTAAGGTATGACAATCAGGTTTATTTTGGGAAAATCTATGGGCAATTTACTAACATGTTCAGAATAAAACCTGAACTTTTGGGTACTTGGGTTCTTAAATAGTTTATTTTTTGAACAAAGTGCTAATATTGCAAAGGCAAAGAAAAAAATGTCAAAAGGAGAACTATATTTTTTAGATCAGCTTCTGTTTCTAAAACGTCATTCAAGTAGTTTATTTAACAAGATGCAGGCTGTAGAAAGTTGGAGAGTATTTACTCTGAACATGCAATTATTTCTTCCCTATAACATTTGTACCCCTAGGGAGGTGCTTTCAGCCTTGCTGACTAAAAGAACTTTCCCTTAGCCAAGAAAACTAGAATTTTGATGAGTATTTTTTGAATGCTGCTAAATTGTTTACAGTGCTGGAGATGTAAATAGCTTACCTCTTACCTCTCGGAGACATGGCATTACTCTCTGACACAAACTAAGTAGTGGGCTTCATTTTCTATTTCATTTCATTTTCTAGTTTTGTTTCTATTTGGTCATGGAAAAAAATAAATTAGGTTCTTTTACTTTTCCTTTCATTATGAAAAACTTCATACATATATGAAAGTAGAGAGAAAAACATAATGAATAGCTTCAACAATATTCATCTCCTGGGCACTTCTGTTTCAGATATACCCCTATTCAGTATGCCATTGTGTGGATGCAGCATAGTTTATGGAATCAATTCACTGTTAATGGACTACTGGGCGGCTTCCTCTTTTGCTAGAAGGCAATAAATAGTGTTCCAATGAATACTTTTATACATATAATTTTTTTCATATGTCTTCTGTGGGTTAGATGCCTAGACTTAGGATTTCTTTGTCAAAAGTAAAAGTACTTGCCCTTTTGATAATGTGTAATAGATTATTTGCCAATATGACTGCAACTATTCTTCTCACTATATTTATATGTCCTTGCTTTGTAACTTTCCAACTCCTCCCATCAACAAATACAGTCCATTTCCCCACTTGTTGAATTAGCCCTGGCCTTGTGACTTGTTTTGGTTAATAGAATATGGCGAAAGTGATCATGTACAATTCTGATACCAGGCCAATTGGAGGTCATTGGGAGGTCATTGAATCATGGGTGCCAGTGTTTCTCATGCTATTTTTATGATGATGAGTAAATCTCATGAGATCTGATGGTTTTAAAAATGGGAGTTTCCCTGCACAAGCTCTCTCCTCTTGTCTGCCACCATGTGAGATGCTTTTACCTTCTGCCATGATTGTGAGGCCTCCCCAGCCACGTGGAACTGTAAGTCCATTAAAACCTCTTCTTCTCAGTCTTGGGTATGTCTTTGTCAGCAGCGTGAAAACAGACTAATACACCAAGTTACCCAGGAAAGACATAAACATGGAAATAATGTGTGCAAGGAAGTACAGTCTATCATACATGTGTCCTCTTTTGCTAAGAGGTAATGGCCACAGAGAGGCTGAGCCATGAGCAAATCCATAAATTGGAAATCTGTGTCATCTGCTCCAGAGAAGTCTGGCACATATACATTCCTATCTCTCTGTGCCCTCCTCCATCTTACCTCTTATCCTAGCAAGTGGGAGCCATCTGTTTATCCACCCACCACCTGAAGAGCAGGTGAACAAGCACTGCTCTGCTCATCTAGACATCTCCAGCCTTTAGTCCATTAGCCCAGTACCTGAGATACAATAGATGTCCAATAAATATTTGTTGAACTGAAATAAACTGAAAGGAAATTGTTAGCATCATTAAAACTACCCATCTTAATGAGAGTTATTAATATAGAAAGATATTAACACAACTTTCAGACCTTGCTAAAAAATGAGTAACAATTGAAATATACCTAAGACATTCTTATTAATGTGTCATTTACACAGTAATGCTAAACAAGGCCAGATAGCTTAATACAGTGTAAGGAAGATTCTAGTTATTTTATAATTGTTATTTCACACTGAAAATGCCCTGACATTGACATCATATAAGAGAGGGCAAGGAATATGCAGGGAGAAAAATAGATTATTCAGCAGGATTAATACTTAACTATCTTGGCTTTATGAACACAAGGATGTGGAGCATTTTCTAAACCACTTTTCCCAAACCCACTCTCCCAGTCTATTTACAAGTGGGGAAAGAAGGACCCAATAAGTTTCTCAGTCTATGAATTTATATATGTCTGTCCCATGTTCTTGTCATTAATTGCACCTAGGTGCTTTACTGTTTTGCAAAATGATATGCAAGGTTCTAATAACTCAGTCCTAATAGCCATGGCATATTGTAGTCCTATACACTTTAACCCAAAGTGATTAAGCTTTTGCATGGTGTAGAGAAATGGGGCACAGGTACCTGGCTTGAATGTCTTGCTCCTCCACTCAGCCATGTGATCTTGGGCTTATTACCTATCTTCTCAAACTCTAGCTTCCTCATCTAGAAAAATGGGAATTGTGAGATGCTGAATATGAAACTGTATGTGCTATCCAGCACAGCACCTAGTAAAAACTAGGTATTCAATAACTAGATAACTTGTCCTGTCCTCTCTGAAAATGATTACCCTATTAACCTGGGGATTCACCGTGAAACACATTTTACTGTGGCAAAGGTGTTGGAAAATTTAGCTCAGCAGGTTGTAGGGGGAAAATCACAGGCTTAGAAGATTGACCCTGGTTTGAAACTGGGCAGGCTGCTTCACTTTTTTGAGCCTCTGTTTCCACATTGGTAAAATAAGGATATTGAGAGAAATAAAATCATTTAGCACAGTGTCTGGCACATAGTAAGTGCCTAATAAATGTTAGGTTAATTTCTTTTCTTCATTTAAAATTATTGTTCTTGAAATTTATAGCTGACTATATTTGCTTGATAGGATACTTAAAAACTAAAAACTAACTGATTTAGTTGGTTTTTCCTGTGCTGTCATCACTGTCTGATAAAATTTTAAAAAGTAGCTTAAAGCAGAAATTCTTGGTTCCCTGAACCCTGATAATACTTCATACCATATTGATAGGATTTCATGCAATGCATTTCTACTTTGTATTCATTAGTAAATTATTTCACAGCTCAGGAAATACTCTCGTAATACAATAACCTCAAGATTTAATATCCACTTACAAAATCTCACTTATACTAGCTCTGTTATTTTTTGCCAGAAACAAGATGGGTTAATCAGGAAAATAAAAAGAAGGAAGTTAGCCTAAGGCGTTCTCCAGGAGGACAGTGAGCATTTGAACTGAAACCTGGTCTGATCTGAGAAACCAGATTCTGGGTTATTTTGTCTTCTAGCCATAGAGACTATTGCCAGTCAGTATGGTGCAATATGAAGCAACTGCTGAAATCTAATGGAAATCTCCTTTTTGAGATCAGGGAATAAACACTGGAGCAATGACTGTGCATTCAGCAGGAGGAAATGAAATTTTTTAGGAAAATAGGTGTGACTGGACACAGATGAGCTGGTGATTACTTAGGATTCATCCTGAAAAATTCACTTCATTACATAAGACACTGTCAAATTCTGTACCACTGACCTGTCTTAGGAATCACCAAGGTCAAGGGGAAGAAGCAGCAAGTTGAGGACTAGATGAAAAGTATAAGTAGATAAGGCCCTGTCTTCTCTTCAAGGTGTGAAGTATATGCCTTTTGCCTGACGTGTGTGTGCTGGCTCCATAAAGGATCTAAGCCTAAAATGATGATTAATTGAGAGAAAATGATTTAGTCATCATAAAATCAAATAATAATGGCAATAATACACAATTTTAAAGAACATACACAGCTTAATACGTTTGTAGTTTATTTAATTTGTTTAAATCCTAGTTACATTTCTCTTTTCTTTCACAAATGATCAATGTGTCAAATTAGTCTTTGAATCATGTGTCAAATGTGTCAAAACACTAAGACTGTGTATTTGCATGCCCTAGGACTCAAAAAAAATAGATAAATTAGTGTATCCATTTTTAATTGTTTTGATATTGAAATCTATATGGTCTTTTTTAAGATCAGCAAGTCTTAAGTTACCAGAATTTACTAAGGTAAATGTTTAAGCATATTATCAACCAGAAACGGACAGTGAAAAATCTAAATTGTTGTAGGGCTATTTGTTGTCATCCTTCCCATCAGCTGTTCTACCTTCCTCTCTGAATTAATTGGCTGACTGTGGTATTACAATAGTGTAATGAGTGCTACCATTGATGACCTTGCATTCATTTCTTCCTTTCTACTCATAGGACTCAAAATCTGTTGAAGAATTCAATCATCCTCCATGTGGCCTGTATTAGTGAGGGTTCTCTAGGGGAACAGAACCAATAGGAGATATCTTCAGAGAGAGAGAGAGAGAGAGAGAGATTAATTTTCAGGAATTTGCTCATGTGATTGTGGGGGCTGGCCAGTCTGAAATATGTAGGGCAAATTGGCAAGCTGGAAATTCAGGTAAGAGTTGATGCAGTATTGAGTCGGAAATCTGCAAGGCAAGCCAGCAAGATGGAAGCCCAGGCAATATTTTATGTTGTAGTTTTGAGGTAGAATTGTTTCTTCTTAGGTATATTCGTTAGGGTTCTCCAAAGAGAGGGAACCAGTGGGATGAACAGATGATTGATGATAGATAAATAGATGATAGATAGAGATAGATAATAGATAGCTTAGATAAATAGATGATAGATAGACAGACAGACAGACAGACAGATAGATAGATGATAGATAACAGATACAGATACATAAGAATTTATTAGGGGAATTGTCTCACATGATTATGGAGCTGAGAAGTCTCACAACAGGTCATCAGCAAGCTGGAGACCCTGGCATGATTGTAGCATGGCTCAGCCCAAGTACACAAGCCTCAGTAACCCTCAGAATCAGGGAAGCCAATGGCACAATTGTCAGCCTAAAGCCAAAAGCCTGAGAACCAAACACAGGAGGGATGGGTGCTGGTGTAAACCCTGAAGTTTCAAGGCCAGAGAGTCTATGTTCTTATGTCCAGGGACAGAAGACAAATCTGTACCAGAAAAGAATTTTCTCTCTGCTTTTATGTTCCATTTGAGCCTTCAGCCAATTGGATGGTGCCTGCATTCATTGAGGGTAGATCTTCCCCCACTTAATCTACTCAACTTCACATGCCAATCTCCTCTGGAAACACCTCCACATCCAGACCCCAAAATAATGCTTTACCAGTTCTCCAGGTATTCCTTAATCCAATTAACGTGACATCTACAATTAACCATCACATTGAGGAAACTGCAGTCTTTGCTCTAAGGCCTGCAACTGATTGGCTAAGGCCCATCTGCATTGTGGAGGGTCATCTGCTTTACACAAACTCTATTGGCTCTAAATGTGAATCACATCTAAAAACTGTCTTTGCAGCAAACCTTAACTGGTGCTTGACCAAACAACTGGGTACCATAGCCTAGTCAAGTTTACACATAAAATTAATACTCACATGGCCCATGAAGCTGATCTCATCATCAGCTCAAGGTTGTAAACTGATTATTCTAACCCAGGCATAGTTATCCCATCTCTTTCCTCAGTGGTTGCTTTAGAAGCCAGGTATAAGCCAAACAGAACATGTCATTCCTCTGCTGGCTCTTGTTTGTTCAGGAATAGTTATGTAAGTGAGCATATGCCCCCACTTAGGGGTGCTAAGGTTTGAATGTTTGCTTCCTCCATAACTCATGTTGAAATTTAATTGCTATTTTAACAGTATTGGGATGTAAGACTGAGATGGAAGAACTCCTTTGACCCTTTCACAGCACTCCTCATGAAGGGGGTGGCTTGATTACTCAGTCACTGCATACTTAAACCCCTTATGGAAGAGGGAGCACGTAGGTGAGCCGGGGCAAGTGCTTTTGGGCTCCAGCCGCACGGCAGTGTCTAGAGATGTTACAATGCTCTTTTAGCTTTGCCTTCTTCAGACAGCTAACTGTTACCCAGCTCAGTGAAGAGTCAGGGTGACAGCCTTTTACATCCTGCCCTCTTGGTACCCAGGTCCTTGACCAGCATCCAGGAAGAATAGGTCACACAGACTTGAAGAATGGTGAATACAGGGATTTTATTGAGTGATAGAGGTGGCTCTCAGGAGGCGGTGGATGGGGAGCTGGAGTGGGAAGATGATCTTCCCCTGGAGTTTGACCACCCTGTGGCTGATCTCCCCTCGACCTTCAGATGCTCCTTCTCTTCTCTCCTTCTGTGCTGTGCTGCTCTGCCACTCTGCCAGTGGAGCTTGGGGTTTATATGGTCACATGATAGGGGTGTAGTGGGCCAGGGAGGTCTTGGAAAAGGCAACATTTTGGTGCGAAAACAGGAATACCTGTTCCCATTTAGGGCCACGGGTTTCCAGGCTTGAGGGTGGGGCCTTTGCCAGGGAACCACCTTCTTCTACCCAGTATTTACCTTCCTCCTGGTCCATATCAGGACCTTTAAGAGGTGTTTAGATCATGAGGGCTCTATCTCATTCATAGACTAATGCCATCATCATGAAATTGGATTTTTATTATGAAAGTGAGTTTGTTATCATGGGAGTGGGTTTGCCCCCTCTTGCTCTCTCTCTTTATGCCCTGCCACTATGTGATGCCTGCCTCGTATTATGATGCAGCAAGAAGGCCCTCACCTAATGCCAGCCTCTTAATCTTGGACTGCCCAGCCTCCAGAACTGTGAGCTAATAAATTTCTGTTCATTATAAATTACCCAGTCTGTGGTATTACATTATAGCAGCACAAACCAAACAGGCTGAAAGGAACATCTTTCCTTCCACAATTAGTGGAGAAGTTTTCTGTTTCTAATGCTTGGTTTGAACAAGCGGAGCATTTTTGCCTCAGTTGTTGCTATTAGTCATCTTGAAATTTCACGGGAAGTTAGCCTAATAATAAACGTAACATCGGCAGAATGTCAGAGATATGGATCCAATATTTTATTTGAATCATGTCTGAAATCCACCCATACCTGACTTTCTATTATATAAGATAAACATCTTTATTGTTAAAGCTAATTTGCGTTGAAGTCTCTCTCACATGCAGTCAAAAGCAACTTAACAGGTAAAAGGAAAGACTTTCAGTTCTAGGGGACGCCCTCTTGACCTTAAGCCAGTAATTTTATTGAAACCCCCGCCACAGTGAGTAGGTCAATATTAGGTACATTAACAGGTATTTAATATGGTTAATGAGATCCAAATCTAAATCTTGAACATTTGAGGAAGTAGACTTTCTTTTTATTTCCCAATAAATATTAATGACAATGTACCCAGTTCCAATCTCTATTGTCAATCATCTTGGTGTGCCACAAAAGAATCTGCCTAGGTTAGCCATGAGAATGCTCTTGCATTCTCAGGAACACACCTGAGAGACAGCCTCAGGTGTTCACTTTGAGATTCATTTGTGGCAACATCTTGGGAGGCCAACATCTTGCCTCCCAAGGACAGCTTCCCATCAATGACTGAGTTCCTAAGAGATATAAAACTCTTTTGTTAGTTAACTTTAGTTTAAAAACTTCCAAAAAACTTAGTTGAGCCTTCTTTCACTTGCACAGCTGCTAGGACACCTTTACTCACCCCCACTCTGTTTGCAGTACTGGGGTTTAATGGCTTTTTGGACACTCCCAGCTGACTCACTATTTGCTTTCACACAGGCACTTTTCACTTTTCACCTCTCCTTGCATGTTTAATCTTATCTTGGTGTCAGCTTCTAAGAACATCTGGACTCTGCCTGAACAAAGTCAGGAAATAGAGAGAGGAAAAAAACTGGAACTGATTACATTGTTCAAATACTGAATTGGCCTGGCATGGTGGCTAACACCTATAATCCCAGCACTTTGGGAGGCTGAGGCAGGCAGATCATGAGGTCAGGAGTTCAAGGCCAGCCTGGCCAAGATGGTGAAACCCCATCTTTACTAAAAATACAAAAATTAGCCAAGCATGGTGGCAGGTGCCTGTAATCCCAGCTACTCAGGAGGCTGAGGCAGGAGAATCGCTTGAATGCAGGAGGCAAAGGTTGCAGTGAGCCGAGATCGCACCACTGCACTCTAGCCTGGGTGACAGAGCGAGACTCCTTCTCAAAAAAAAAAAATAAATAAAATTAAAATAAATTAAAAAAAAAACTGAATAAATACTTGGCTAAAGTCCTATCTCCCCCAGGACTGTTGAATTACATGAGACAGTAAGTTCAATCGAAAGCTAATTTGAGTTTTCAGTATCTTGCAACAGGAAGTGTTCTAAATGATACTTATGTCTCTAAACAACACTAGATCTAGTATATTTCAGAGTGAGTTTTCACTGTATGTGAGATCAACATCCTGATGACAACTAGATTTTTAGTTTTACAGGTCATGAAAGCCCAGAAACAACCACTTTTTGTTTTGTTTTGTTTTTCAGATGGAGTCTTGTTCATATATATGTATGCACACATATATACACATATATATGTATGCACACATATATACACATATATATGTATGCACACAGATATACACATATATATGTATGCACACAGATATACACATATATATGTATGCACACAGATATACACATATATATGTATGCACACAGATATACACATATATATGTATGCACACAGATATACACATATATATGTATGCACACATATATACACATATATATGTATGCACACATATATACACATATATATGTATGCACACATATATACACATATATATGTATGCACACATATATACACATATATATGTATGCACACATATATACACATATATATGTATGCACACATATATACACATATGTATACACACATATATACACATATATATGTATACACACATATATACACATATATATGTATACACATATATATGTATACACACATATATGTATACACATATATATGTATACACACATATATACACATATATATGTATACACATATATATGTATACACACATGTATACACATATATATGTATACACACATATATATATACACACCATATATATATGTTTGTAAAATTCAATGTTGATAGTTTCTTTTGCTGTGCAAAAGCTATTTTGTTTAATTAGGTCCCACTTATCATATACACACATATATATGGTATATACACATATATTTATATATGTATATATGTATATACATATATATTTATATATGTATATACATATATATTTATATATGTATATATGTATATACATATATATGTGTATATATACGTATATATGTATATACACGTATATACATATATATTTCCATAATTTGACTCAAATAATTAGTAGAGAACTTGAAATAATTCAGAGAAAAAAAACTAGCAAATTATATGAGAGTCCAGATCCCACAGATCGAGAGAATTTGCACCATACTAAGTATTTTCTTTTCATATATGACAAAATATTAATAAGTATATAGAATGTCTATCTCTAAAAAAAGTGCTTAAAACATATTGCTAATCATTTTCTAACATCCTCCATACAAGTCTTCAATATCATATTTCAGAACCTTTGCATTCTTTTCCTTGTTTCTGATATCTAACTATTCAGCAGGAGTCTCCATTCTTATGAAGAAATGCCCAGAGACCTTTATTAGGTCATCTTAATTTAAATTAACTGGTAAGAGGCAAGCTCTCAAATCTTGTCATTATCTCTGTTGGAAAGCCACTGAAGAAAATTTATTTTGCAATCTATGAACCAAGCTTATTTCCAAATCCCAGCTGTAATTTTCACTGGCTCATGGGAAATTCATTCAAGAAGACAGAGCTATATTTCTATTTATTTGTTCATTTTCCAGTTAATTAACGCACTTGATCATCAATCCGCAAGTACAGTACTAGCTGTATTTCCACTGTGTGCCTTCCACAGAGTTAAATGAGACGGCCCATATCTTCCCTTTTATAATAATATAGCAGCTCTCATTAACTTCTCTTTTATTTTTAATTCTGGTAAAATATACATAAGATAAAATGTATCATCTTAACCATTTTTAAGTGTACAGTTCAGTCATGTTAAGTACATTCTTTCATATTGCTGTGCAGCCAATCTCCAGAATTCATTTCATCTTGCAAAACTCAAACTCGATACCTATTAAACAACTCTCTATTCCCTCCTCCCTGCAGTCCCTGGCTACCACCATTCTACTTTTTAATCTCAATTATTTTGACTGCTCTAGGTACTTTGTAGAAGGAGAATCATACATTATTGCCCTTTTTGTGACTGGCTTATTTCACTTAGCAATGTCCTCAAGATTCATATATGCTGTTACTTGTGTCAGAATTTCCTTCCTTTTTAAGGTTAAGATTTCATTGTATGTGCATATGCTTTATTTTGTTTATCCATTCATCCTTGAGTTGCTTTCACTTTTGTCTATTGTGAATAATGCTGCTCTGAACATGGTGCATAAATATCTTATTAGCTTCTTAGCTGATATTATGAATAGCTGTTTATGTCCTGTCTCACATGTTGTGATTTCCTTTGACATCTTGTTTAGTGTGTATTTCCAGGTTTTAACCCAGCACCTGTTCAATAAACATTTGTTGAAAAAATAAACATCAATTGTTATTGTAGGCAATGGGAACTAGGATATAAAAGAGAAGTTCATTTGCCTTCAAATAGTTCAGTCTCCAAGAACACACAATGCAAGAAGTACATTATTACACGTGTGAGAGTGTAACTACAAACAGGATGTATAAAGGGGCACCTAACAATCAAGGAAATAATCAGAAATGGTGAACAGAGGCTGACCAGGTAAAGGAAAGGAACATAAGCGTTCTAAGAAGAGGAGACAGCAGGAACAAGTGAGGGGAATCAAGACATAACTGAAACATCCATAGAAATATATATAGTTCACTATGTCAGGATGGTGGATTGAGGAATTTACAGTGAGGGATGAAGGTAGAGAGATATGTAGAAGGCAGGTCATAAAAGTTTTAGCAGGCAATGTTGAGGAGCTTGGACCTTGTTCTTAGGACCTTGTTCTTAGGGGAGCCAGTGAGAAACTTTTAGTTGGATATCCACATGAGAATGTTGTCTGGTATCCACAGTGCCAGGCTGCTCAAGTGACTGATGGTTGTGAATGCTGGCAAGAAAGAAGAGAGGCTAATCTGGCAGAAGGACAACTACCATAAGTCAAGGCCAGGAAATATACAGAGACCCAGGCTACATGGCAGGGAAGGTCCAGGGTCTGATAGTTCAGCTCTATTCAACACTGGGACTACCTCAAGGTCAAGACTATTTCTTAGGAACACTTCAGAAAGCAAAGAAAGATCCCAGTTTGTTCAGAATGAGGCAGGGACTCAGGCTCAAAAGAAGATAAACTCCTATCAACCAATCAACATCATTTTCAACAGACATAGAAAGAACTCTTCTAAAATTCATATGGAACCAAAAAAACAGCCCAAATAGCCAATGCAATCCTAAGCAAAAAGAACAAAGCCAGAGGTATAACATTGCCAACTTCAAATTATACTGTGAGGCTACAGGAATTAAGACAGCATGGTACTGGTACAAAAACAGATATGTAGGTCAGTGCAATAGAATAAAGAACCCAAAAATAAAGCCACAGACCTACAGTAATCTAATCTTAAACTTAGTCAACAAAAATAAACGATGGAAACATGACTCTATTTAATAAACGGTGCTAGAATAACTGGCCAGCCATATGTAGAAGAATAAAACTGGACCCTTACATTTCAACATATACAAAAATTAACTGCAGCTGGATTAAAGATTTAAATGTAAGAACTCAAACTGTAAAAATACTAGAAGAAAATCTAGGAAATACTCTTCTCAACAACAGTCTTGGCAAAGAATTATGGCTAAGTCCTCAAACGCCAGCAACAAAAACAAAAATTGAAAAGTGGGACCTAATTAAACAAAACAGCTTTTGCACAGCAAAAGAAACTATCAATAGAGTAAAGAGGCAACCTAAGGAATTGGAGAAAATATTCACAAACTATGCACTCAACAAAGGTCTAATATCCAGAATCTATAAGAAACAAATGAACAAGCAAAAATCAAACAACCTCACTTTTAAAATGTGCAAAAGAACAGACACTTTCCAAAAGAAGATATACAAGTGGCCAAGAAACATGAAAAAAATGCTAATCATTGCTAATCATTAGAGAAATGCAAGTCAAAACTACAATGAGATACCATCTCACACCAGACTATTATTAAAAGGTCAAAAAAATTACAGATGTTGATGAGGCTGCAGACAAAAGGAAATGCTATACGCCACTGATGGGAATGTAAATTAGGCCAACCTCTGTGGAAAGCAGTTTGGAGATTTCTCAAAGAACTTAAAGCACAACTACCATTCAACCCAGCAATCCCATTACTGGGTCTATATACCCAAAAGAAAATGAATTATTCTACCAAAAAGATAGATGCACTGATATGTTCATTGTAGCAGTATTCACAATAGCAAAGACATGAAATCAACCTAGATGCCCATCATTGGCAGATTGGATAAAGAAAATGTTGTACATATACAGCATGGAATACTACACAGCCATAGAAAAGAACAAACTCATGTTGTCTGCAGCAATGTGGATGGTGCTGGAAGCCATTATCCTAATGAATTAATGCAGAAACATAAAATCAAATACTGTAGGTTCTCACTTACAAGTGGGAGCTAAACATTGAGAACACATAGACATAAATATAAGAGTAATGGACACTGGGGACTTCTGGAGGTGGCAGGGGGGTGTGGGTGAGGTCTGAGGTACTATCTATTGAGTACTGTGCTCACTGCCTGTGTGACGGGATTATCCATATCCCAAACCTGAGCATCATGTAGTGTGCCCATGTGACAGACCTGCACATAAACCCCCAAATCTAAAATATAAGTTCAAATTCTTTTTAAAAAAGATTAAATTACTGCTGTTATTGGAACTGAAAGGAGTACAATGTGGATAGGGGTGATTTTTCACAGAAACAAAATAGAACTCATTCACCAGAACATGGTCAGAACTGAACTCCTATCAAAGCTAGGAAATTTAGGAAACCCTGAATCAGGGTTATGTAAATCCTCTCTAAATGTATTAGTGAGTTTCTGCTAGGTAACAAAGCATCTCAAAAGTTAGTGTCTTAAAACAACAACCATTTATTTAATTCTGAAGGTCAACAGCATGTGTTCTCCTGCTGGTCTCACTATGTTCACTCCTGAGTGTGTGTCAGTTGCCAGTCTGAAAGCTATGCCTCTCAGGTTTGGTTGGCTTTTGGTAGGACCATGTGCCTCTCATCATCCAAAAGGCTAGCTCATGCCTATTCTAATGGCAGCTCAGAATTTCAAGAGAGCCAGAAGAAGCATAAAGAGTCTCTTGACACCCAGGCTCAGAACTCACACAATTTGTTACCACCTTACAATGTCTAAAGAACTTAAACAAATAGACTAGTCAAAAGACTGGTCCAAATTCAAGGCATCAAGAAACAGACAACACCCTCTTGATAGAAGATGCTGCAAAGTTTTATTGCAAGGGCATGAAAGCAGGAAAGAGAATTTGTGGCCATTAAAAAAATCTTCCGCATTAACTAAGATAAGAATTAATCCCAGATGTGCAAAGGAGAGTAGTTTTTAGGTGAGTATAGATGAAGACCAGAGAATCCGATGGTCTAGTCCAGACAATCCTTGCCTGCATCTTGGGCTAGACTAATCCAGAAATGCAGTAAGTAGCCAGCCATACAGTACTAACCGAAGGGGCATTTAGAGTCCTGTCTAGACCTAAGAATAGTCTTCTTGGGCAACATTAAAGAAGATTTATGGGCTATAAATAGAGAGGACTTTTTAATTATCACCCTAAAAAAAGAGCCTGGAAGAAATGTGATACAGAAAGAAAAAGTTTGAAGTAGGGGAAAGAAGAACAGGGATGTGGGAAAAATGTTATTCTAACCTTGATCCTCAAAGTGTAGTCTACCAGAACAGAAGCATCACAATACCTGGAAGTATATTAGAAATGCAGAAGCTCAGGCCCACCCCAGACCTCTTGAGACGGAATCTGTATTATAAACTGATCCCCAGATAATTCATATGTATATTAAAGTTTGAAATGCACAGATCTTATGGGATAGCTGACTAGATATTTTCAGTATCCACAATGTACCAAAAGGGCTCTGAGATTTTATTTAGTGTGAGTACGTGCATTAGAGAGAGGACAGAGAGAGATGGAAATGTGGTTATAAAGCTACCAAAAGGAAAGCCAGCTGAATAGCAATGCCAAATCCCTCATTTTACTTAGCAATTTGCACTGATTCTTGATCAGACCACATATTAGTTTACATATTGATTCAAATATTTGGTAGAGTAAAAAGGGCACTGGTTTTGAAGTTAAAAGATTGTATATAAGACCATTCTTGCATTGCTATAAAGAAATACCTGAGGCTGGGTAATTCATAAGGAAACATGATTTCATTGGCTCACAGTTCTGCAGCCTGGGAGCATGGTTGTGGCATCTGCTTAGCTTCTAGAGAGGCCTTGGGAGGCATACAATCATGGTGGAAGGTGAAGGGGAAGCTGGAATTTCACATGGTGAGAGGGAGCAAGAGAAAGAGGGGGTGTGTGGAAGGTGCCACATACTTTTAAACAACCAGATCTCATGAGAACTCACTATCTTGAAGACAGAATCAAGGGGATGGTGCCAAACCATTCATGAGAAATCCACCTCCACCATCCAGTGACCTCCTATCAGGCCCCACCTCCAACACTAGGGATTACATTTCAACATGTGATTTAGGGGGACAAATAACTAAACTATGTCAAAGACCTTATTCCAAATTCCAATTATATTGCTTACCAATTAGATTTTAATTTTCAAAGTCTTCACTTACACATTGAGCTTTATCCATCAGGGTTCACTGCAAAGAAATAGGAACCCCCTCTATGCTCTCAAATATAACTGGACTTGTGGGAAATATAATGATTGGCTCTTCACACCTTTAACATGATCTCCTCATTAGCAGATCATATAGGTTGCAACCTTGTGCTTTTCTCCAGGGATTCCTGGATCCATGGTGCTGACCCTTAACCAAACCTAAAAACAATACACAAACAAATGATTAACATTGCTCTGTGCTAGAGTCCAAAATACACCAGAAGGAAGCCTGTGCAAACTTGTCAGGATTATTTATAGGAAATATTTGATTTGGTGGTTTACATCTGATTTTGATTATATTATCTGAGATTCTCTTATTCAGCATGATGAGACAGGTTTTAGCTATTGACCAATGGGGTATTAAAATTCTTCTTCAGATGAAACTGGCTTCTTCGAAATTAAGGTCACTCACATGTACCTTGGTGCATTACGATCCAAAGGCCAAGTTTATCCTGTGCAACTTGGCCCTCTCATATTTACTTACGCATTCTTTCTCTTGCTTCACTATACCGTTCACCATTGTTAAAGGCTTGCATCACTATATTCTGTAGAGGCTTATAAGTCTTCAATAATTTGAACAGCTGTGATGAACACCATTATCATAACCTCTCCACAAATTATGCTTAGCTCTTGAGCTTGGCCATATGAGTTGCACTGTCCAATGAATGGTACGAAGATAAAAGTAACAATGTACCAGTTCTGAAACAAGAGTTTAAGAGCCCTTGCATATTTCTGCCTGTCCTTTTGTACTTCTGCCACTGTCTTGAGAAGAATTCCTCTTCAGGTTGCTAGCTGCTGCCTCTTCCACAGAGACCCAAGGTTGAACATACATGGAGTGGAATTGCCCAAGCCAAGCCTAGCTGGATCAACAGCTTGAAGCAGAACCACATTGCCAAATCCAGCCTAGGTCAGTCAACTCCTGACAATTTGGAGATCTACAAGAATAGGTGACTGTTGTTTTAAGCCCATGAATCTGTGGGCAGGATGGCTTGTTGTGCAGCATTTGTGAAGCAATGGCTAATTAGTACAAGTTTGATTAAAGAAATTAAATGTTTACAAATTTGTTGGAAGAGCTGAGAAGTCTCTGAGCACTAAGGAATGTTCAAAGAAGATGCAAGCCAAAGATTAGGAAGCTGATGAATATCTAGATGTCAGAAAGCTTCAGGAAATTTCTCTATAGCTCAAAATCAGTCACTGATAGGAAAATAAGGAGATTTATTGCTAAATAAAATTCAGTTCTGCTAAAGCTCACGAATGTTGGAGGAAAAACAGCTGCTGCCTCTCTTCCAACTTCCACATCTTCTTTAACTGCAACTAATTGTCAAACCCTCCCGACAAGAGTTGGGAAAATGTAGTTCGTGGACTTCTAGTCCCTACACAATAGACACTAGAAGGTTAGGGGAATAAATGTGGAGTGTGTGCCTTTTAATGAAGAAGTGCTGTAATTATCTTCTCTACGCTGTTCTTGTAAGAATTTAATGGACTATATATACATACATATATAAACTGTTTATAATTATGTAAATATAATAGAAGGTAAAAACAAAATGGCACCTATCTTTAAATAGAACCTATCTTAAAACTGATATTCTCATTTTGCTAAATATTGCTTTTAGTTTGGAAAGACCGGTTTTGGAGTCTTTGTTTGAGAGTAAAATCCCTGGACAAATAAGGACATAAGAACTAGAATAAAAAGAGAGTTAAATTGCTTGATTTGAGTGAAATAAAGCATATTTGTAATTTGATCCATATGAACTCAAAAAGAAGAAAGTTTTGCTTGTTTTTGTTTGCTTCAGAGTTTGGAGAAAAGAAATACGTAAGAAATGTTCAGTGAGTGGTGGGTGGAGAGAAAGAGAACAAGAGAGAGAGAGGCTGAGTCCCGGTAGCCAGGCCCTTAAAAAGGAAACAACTAACTTTCTGGGAAGAAACTGAATGATGAAATTCAGAATGTCTGATATTGTTTTT
This sequence comes from Homo sapiens, assembly GCF_000001405.40. Lineage (NCBI taxonomy): Eukaryota > Metazoa > Chordata > Mammalia > Primates > Hominidae > Homo > Homo sapiens. Next base: position 208,629,137 of record NC_000002.12, on the reverse strand, counting down.
GTTTCTTTTCTGTGCTTAAGTTCCTCCATTATCTACAAACTTTCAGCAAAAGATTTTTACACAATAGTCTTGTGTATGTGCTACTTTAAGGCATAAAGGTGAAGAGGCACTTGAAGAGCAAAACAAAGTGGGACTGCAGCCCTGAGAGGTAGGTGACAGGCAGCAATCACCAACTGAGTTAGGAAGACGTATTTAAGACAAGTAATAGAAAACTACCAAGAAAAAGTAAGTGCTATCCTTAGAATCCTAAAGAGAGAGAGAGAGGAGTTTGAGCTTTCCATTTTTGCGTGACATGAAGCCTGAGTTATTTCATTTGGACATAAAAGAAAAGGAAGGCCCCAGGATACTGGAAGACTTGGGGATTATTAGACTACATAAGCTACTAGTCCATTTATGAATAATTAAAGAGAATAGATTTCAACAGATCAGAAGTGCTTGAGGATGAGCAGACTGTGTTTTATCCTTTATTTCCTATTATCAAATTACATAGAAAAGAAATAGGCAATAATTAATATTCAAGTAATATTTATCTTATTAACAATTTAGGCATAAAAAGTGCCCCAAATATCAGAAAATATTTTAAATTTGTCCCATATAGTATCCAGGAGTAACATTAGAGATCTTGTCTCTTATAGATATTACCTTAAAAATAAAAAAAAAAGCCCTAATTGCCTTAGAAACAGCTTAAACTGGGAATTGTGGATCTTATAAGATTTCAGATCTTCAAGAACTGAAAAATGTATTTTTGTATAGGGAACAAGGGGAAGAAAGAAGGGCATTTTTAGCCTTCATTAAAAATCTAGGAAATATAGCCAGAGGGATGTGCTATAAGAATAATGACACATTGTGTTGTGACCCTAGATCTTTAGATAATAGACTATAAAAGTCACAACTCATTCAACCCAAAGTGAAAAAGAATAATTCTTCACCCCAGTTTTGAATTTAAAAAATGTCTCGCTTGCTCTTTCCTGAACCAAGGGTAATTTCTTGGAAGCAGATAAAGCAGTTGGGTGATAGCCAGTTTTTCTCTGGCTTCCACTCATTGATATTAAAATTATATTTGGGTTTTGAGTGCACCTTGGGGTTCAAGAAATACTGGTTAGAAATAAAAGGACGAGAAGCCAGAGTGTTCTCAAAATGGATAATAGGCATTCAAGGTAGAAAGGATCTTTCTGGAGAGATCTTTGTCCCATTTATAGTCTTACTTCAATTCATCTTTGTACTTTTTAATAGCTCAATTCCAAATAAGTTTCTTAATGTCATTTCTTTTTTGCAGAGGAAATGAAACTTTCTCTGTTAAAAAACAAAGAAAAGGAAAATGCCCTGTTCAGTCTTCATCTAAGAGTTCCCACACACTGATTTCTCATCTTAGACATCCTCATTGTCTTCTACTTGTAGTTGTGTTATTATTGCCCCTTAAAGGCATGAAGCTCTATTTTATCTTTCTTCTTTGCCAGTGTCCAATATGCAGTAAGAACTCAAACAAATTCTGTTGCTCAAGATAAGGGACTTTGTTCTATTGTATCATGACTTTCTGTCTTTTCTTACTCTCATCCTTCTGCCTACTAAAATGTCAAAATTTTCTAAGTCCAGCATCTTGATCTTCTCTATTTCTCTTAATATATCTTAAGGTACCTCTGTACTAAAGAAGATGCCTTTCTATTTTAGGACCATAGTTTTATCAAAATATGCTAAAGAGAAGTATATGGAACAGTTTTTTCATCGTTGACCTCAATGTTTTGAGCAATTATGAGAGAAGGCAAAAAAAAAAAAAAGGTTATCAAAAAAGAAGCCAGACACTCAGATTTTAGGAGGAAAAAATACTGAATGTCAGCATTTTTTTCAAATATTGTTTTATTTAGCTGTCTATTGTGCACCTATCTCAGCCAACTTGACAGTTTGTAATACGAAGTACTTCAGGGCAAATATCAGTGGCTTCTGGTGATTAGAAGAAAGAGGAATCTATGCATCTCCTTTCTCAGTAATCTCTTTGGCATATTATACTGAAAGGAAGTGTTAGAGCAAAGTCTGACACACTTACAGACATTTATTAGCAAACGGACACAAAACAACTATGTAACCTGTTCTCTTCTCCTCAGGCACTAAAAAATCTCTATCCATATGCACTCCAACAAGCCCACTGCATGAGATCCTCATTCTAAAGCTTATACAATAATAACCTAACAGGCCATCCAACTTCTTTTGTGTCAGGCAACAGGCAAAATGCAGGGTACACAATATCAAATGAATCTCTAGATCTATAACACTACACCATAGGTGCTATGCACCTAGGTTTAATGAACTCTTATACCTACACCACAGAAGATGATGGTGCCTATACAATTGTTTTCGCCAATCATGTATCTTGGACTTCACTCATTTAGCCAATGGAAAATTATTTCTAGCATTCCTATGCTAACCAGTGACTCCTGTAGAGAAGATTACTGTAATATTTAAAGAATATATGAAATCATAACTGGAATAAGAATTACTGATTAAAGTCTTTCAAATCCTACTAGTATACTATAGTATATGCTATAATATGTGATGTTATATATTAAAGTTAATATACTAAACAATTTATATCACACAATTTAAATGAGGTATTATGAAGTAAATTACCACATAAGCAATATAATAGTCTTGAATCTTAATCTGCCTTTGATCACCTTGAGATAGTAGCTATATTTTTTATTTGTTTCGTATTCTCTCTGTTGAAGCACTGTTATTCATATATGGATTACAAACTATTTCTGTCTCAAAACACTTTTTTGGTAGTGGACATACAACAAAGTAACAAGACATGACGAATAAGGATGTAACAATTGGGCTGAGAAAGAACCAGAGCCTCTCAAGGGCCTACAACAAAAGTTCTCTTAACAGTAATTTTAGTTCAATTAACAAGCTTTTCTTGGCAGTGAATATGGTCAACCTTCTCTTGACTCTCTTATATTACTTTATTTTTATGTTTTCATATTGCTTTATTATATCTGTTTTTTTGCATTTACTGTTTTAAGTAACTTTTGGAAAAGAGGAATTAATTATTTTAAAAATTGATTTTCTGTGAAGTGTCCTATAGGCAGAAACTGTGTATCTGGTTTCCCTGATGAAAACTTTGAGCTATTTCACGTGTTGTTATTAATACTCAGAATGTCCTTCTCTATGCTGACAAATTGTGTACTTGTCATCTTTCGGTATACATCCTCTGTGATCTCTTTCCAAATTAATACTTCTCAAATGTTTTCTTTTCCTACTCTTGAATCCCAAAGCCAAACTTCTATCTCCTATATTCATTTAGCTGTCTTCCTCAATAAATAATAAATGCCTCAAGGAAGGTGCGTATTTATTATTTTTTGTTTTAATTTTACTATAGCAACAATATATACAAAAATGATACTGAAAGACATTATCTAAAAGTAATTCGTATTATTTTCTGGCTTTTTAAACAAAGGGTTTGAAATTCATGTTCATATTTATGAAAGGTTCACACTATGCATACTTATTGAGTGATGTAATAATAACTCATATTATTTTATATTTTATCTTAAAAATAAGGCAATTAGTTTGGCATTACCACCTTTGGAGAAGATAAAGCTTAAAAAGGATAAATAGTTTTCCCCATGTCACAAAGATAGTAAGTGATGGGTCCTTCATTCTAACTCAGGGCTATTTTACTCCAATGCTCATACGCTTATAATGGACACTACATAGAAACAGAGTTTAATACCTGGACAAGTATAATTTGTTTCTTACATGACAGAAATTCAAAAGCACCAAATATAGTTCAAAGAAAACTTACAAAGGACAAAATTAAATATACTGGAGACAAAGAGTTAAGACATGATCAAGAATAACAAAAATGGAGGTAAAAAGCCCATGATCCTGCTATCTAAACAGTTATGTAACCATCAGTAAGATACCTAATCTTTGTGTTTCAATAATTTCACCTGTTCAATAAGGTAGCTGAACTAGATGAACTCTAAAACTCAAAACTTTTTATAACTCTGAAAGTCCACAGACTTTTTAAGAACCCAGCTCAAGTACAGAAAATGAAAATATTTCCTCAATGATTATTGTCAGTAACCATATAGATTTAGCAAAATTATAATCAAGCTATCTTGGGATTTTTGTATTTATTTGTGTGATGGCAAACCTTGATGTTATTATCCAACTTATATTTATGATTTTTATGGTTTATTTCCTTACTCTGCACTCCTGCTGCGGGACAAACAAAATAAAGCTGAAGTTAAAAACACATAAATATTTGTCTTTGGTAACAATGATTTTCAAAAATAAGATAATGTTCCTTGGAATTGCTGTGACTTGATAAGTTATCAAAAATATCCTCTTGCAATGCTTTATCACACTCACTTAGGCTTTGAAATCTTAAAATAAATTTACACATACATAAATATTATATCAGAAAAGATTTAAAACAACTCTATTTCTCTTTCTGTGGAGTAAGTGATTCATATTCTGAAAAAAGACATTTTATTCAGATTTAAAGAAAAAATACATGTTATTTTAAAGTTTAAAACCACTACAACAACTAAAATAATATCTTATGCTATAAATAATTATAGCTACAATCACAATAAATTGGTTTTATAAAAAGTAAACCCAAGTTTTAGTCAGTAAGATCTCCAAAAATAATGTGTCTATCTTTTAAGTGGATTATTATTTTAAATCTTTAACTCTACCTGATATTCCTGGTTAAATAATTATTTCCCAATGAACAAGGATGTGTCAATAATATTTTTAAAATAATACCTACTTTCTTCTTGAATTTAAGAAAATTTATGTAGAGTTTTTAGTTTATTTCAAAAAACATATATTTAATGACCTGAGATGTATATTGTCGAAATGATAACACCATTTAAAGTGGAACTGAATAATACCTGAATTCAACATACAGGTGACATTTTATGCCTCATTAATATCATTGAGGACTGGTTTTTAACAAAGATCTAGACGATGGCATTCTGAGTATGCTCATTACATTTTCACAACCATAACAAACTAGAAATAGGGTAAGAGAAGGCAAGCAGTACATTTTGAAGATATGACCAAGAAGTAAAAATGATATTCTTCAATTAAAGAAACACACAGATAAGTCTTGTTTTAAGGAGCTAAAGGTAATAGCAAGAACTGCGTATGTTAGCAAAATGTCTTTAAGATTATTGAAACTTTTTATATAGACATATATTGCCACTGATTCTTTCCCTTTCTCCTTCCTCCCTCTGATTAAAAAAAAATCAGTCTCAACTAAAACATTAAAAGCTAAAGAAAAATATCAAGACTAGAAAACTGATATCATCAAAATAAGTGCTCAAATCCCCTTTTTGATGGGTGGTAAAAGTAGTATGAATGTTGAAGAACACTTTGACCAATGTTATCAATTAGAATTTGGGTTTTATTTTTAATGAAGCTAGTTTAATGCATACCATAAAACACCATCTCCGGCGAATGTTTTCAATCGAGTTTTCTTCTGTTAAGCCACTCAAACCAAGTGACCTATCATGAACATATTTTTTTAAGCCATTTCTGTTTCAGGTTTGAAACTTTCAGAAGTTCTTTTATTTAATTTATGCTTGGTGTAAATTCTACAATAGATATCTGGAGTCTGATTCACAGATGACTGCTGAAGAGAGTGGAGGAGCTCTGGAAGAGAAAGGGGTAGAAAAGGTATCCCCAAATTTTATCTACCCACATCTCTCACTGACCCCCTGAACCACATACATGCAGGGTAAAGTCAATTCAATTTCACTAAAGGAAATGTTTTAAAAACAATATTGTAGTTGCTTGTCAAAAAAAATTCAGTTCAATTCAATCAAGATAATTACTTAAAGAATCTATATTCATCAGAGAAAAATAACAGAAATCAGGAATTCTACAATGTAGCATTCATAATATTCAGAACACAGTCTAAAGTGGGGATGGTTAATGGGTACAAAAAGAATAGAAAGAATGAATAAGACCTCGTATTTGACAGCACAACAGAGTGACTACAGTCAACAATAATTTAATTGTACATTTTACAATAATTAAAAGAATACAATTGGATTGTTTGTAACACAAAAGATAAATACTTGAGGGGATGGATATCCCATTTACCATGATGTGATTATTACACATTGCATGCCAATATCAAAGTATCTCATGTACCACATAAAAATATACACATACTATGTACCTACAAAAATTAAAAATTAGAAAAGATTATATTTAAATAAAGATACAAAAGGCCTGTACATTAAGAACTACAAAATATTGCAAAGGGTAATTAAGACTTAAATAAATGGAGAGATACACCATGTTCATTGACTAAAGACTCACTATTAAGATGGCTTTTCTCTCCCATAATTTTTTCATAGATACAATGCAATCATAATCCTAGCAGGATTTTTTTATTTTTATTTTTTAAAACTTTAATTTTTTAATTTTTAAATGAATTGATAAAATATTGCTAAAATGTCTATGAAAAAGCAAAAATGCTAGAGTAGCCAAAACAATTCTGAAAAAAAAAAAAGAATGAGTTTCAAGGACTTACTCTGCCTCACATCAAGGCTTATCTTATCTTCAAAGATCTAGAGGTAGAAATACCATTTGACCCAGCAATCCCATTACTGGGTATATACCCAAAGGAATATAAATCACTCTATTATAAAGATATGTGCACACATATGTTCATTGCAGCACTATTCACAATAGCAAAGACATGGAATCAACCCAAATGCCCATCAATGATAGACTGGATATAGAAAATTTGGTACCTATACACCATGGAATACTATGCAGCCATAAAAAGAAATGAGATCATGTCCTTTGCAGGAACATGGATGAAGCTGGAAGCTATAATCCTCAGCAAACAAACGCAGGAACAGAAAAACAAAACCCACATGTTCTCACTTATATGTGGGAGCTGCATGATGAGAACACATGGATACATGGCAGTGAAAAACACATGCTGGGGCCTGTAAGGAGGGTCGGGGGAGGGAGAGTATCAGAAAGACTAGCTAACAGATGCTGGGCTTAATACCTAGGTGATGGGTTGATCTGTGCAGCAAACCACCACAGCACACGTTTACCTATGTAACAAGTCTGTACATCCTGCACATGTGCCCCAGAACTTAAAAGTTGATGATAAAAAGAATCATGATATATCCATATTGTGGAATATCTAACCACAAGACAAATAAAATATTAATATAATCAACACTATGAATAAACCTCAAATAAAAGCTAAGTCAAAAAAACATAAAATATTACATAATGCATGAATCTAAATTTATATGAAATCATAGCAGACACAAACAGTAGGTGACAGAAAGCAGATCAACAGTTGCCTGAGGCCCAGTGCTGGTGGACAGGATCAACTACAAAGGAGCGGAAGGAGGGTTTCTAAAGAGACAGAAATGTTCTGTATATTGTATATAATGCAAAGCATAGACAAATAATTTCAGAAGAGAAATAAAACTATTAAAAAAGCAAATGAAAATGTTAGAAATGAAAAGTACAATTTTCAAATTGAAAAGTGAACTCATCTGAAGGCATATCAAAAGACTAAATACAGCAGAAAAAAAGTGAAATTAAAGAGGGGTCAACAGAAATTACACACAAAATTTCTTTTAAATAAATGAAAAAAATGAAAGTGTCAAGATTTGGAGGACAGTATCAAATGGTGTAACAGATGAACAATTGGAGGCACAGAAGGAGAAGAGACAAAGAATGGGAAAAAATTAATATTTTTAAACACAATAGCCAAGAATTTGCCAAGATACAAAAGACATCAACCAACAGACTAGAAGATAGGCAAAACCAAAGCAGAATATATATATATATATATATATATATATATATATATATATATAAAATTTTAATACATATTCAATATATATTTCAACTAAACATACATATATATTTAAAAGGCTATTATCTAATTTAAAATAAATGTAATAACACTATATTGTGGGGTTTATTACATGTAAGTAAATTATTTATTACATTTTATTAAACATAAGTAAATATATGACAAGAACACAAAGATCAGGAAGGGAGGAAATGAAATCATAAAGGTGTAAAGTTCTGACATTGTGAAGCACCTTAAATATTAGTTGAAAATACATGATAAGTTAAAGAACTATATTTTATTGTCATAACCACAAAAAATAATTCAAGATTTAGGATCCATCTTTCATAATGTATACTTTGGAAATATGACAAATCCCAGGCAAAACAAACCCAAATCCAAATATCAATTAACATTCTAAATCAGCCTTGGTTCACTGAATTTTATTAAAGCATATGAAAAAAATCTAATTACTTTTTAAAAATTGACCATCTGCCAGGTACTAACTGAATGTCTAAATGCATTCTTTCATTTAATTTCCATGATTTCATAATGGAAAAAAAAACTGAAGTACTGAAGTCACATAGCTAATTACTTGGGGATCCAGAATTCAGACGTAGGTAGTTTAATCTCAGCCCATGTGCTTTTAGTCACTGGTATGCAGCTTCCTAAGTCTATGTAACATTTTATTCCAAGAGAGAAAACTGGGTTAGCACAAGCATATTGCCTGGGCAAAACCATATTGTATTGGATAACTTTCATTATTTGTCTAATCAGGAACTAACCAAAGTTTGTTTACCATTTTAAAACTTGTATTTGAGTATATAACCCATATATCAATGAGCCCCTTCAGCCTGGGGGAAAATGTAATCATATTAGCCATGATAAACAGTATTTCTGCTTTTTGTTCCTGCTCATTATTTCAAGCCCTCTAGCTCTTTCTAAGGCATGTTTTGGTATCTCCAGGGCATTTTTTACATGTGTTCACAGATGTGACATTTGTCCCTTTATCCCTCCCCTAATGGGGATCCCCTTGACTATGTGTGCAGCAGAGGATCCTGCTGTCTAGGGTGCTGTGTGAGCCATCTCACTGCGGCCACTGCTCCTGGCACTTGCTGATGGCTATAGCCCAGATGGCCATATCAAGGGCACAGTCCTTTAACATTCCTAAAGCCATGTGGGGGCCTGCTGTTCCTGGAACTGTCTATCTCTGCTGTATACTGGAAAGCTGGATGCCTGTTTCCCCCAAGGTCTAGAGGGTCCCTCTATTTAAGCTCAACTGAGCACTGGAGTCAGGCCCTGTTATCCCAGCTCATAGTGCACTTTGCCTACAGTCTAACAGTAGTGATTCTACGTATTATGGTATTAGTATATCACAAGCACAATAGACCTAGTTCCCACAGGCCCCTTGGTAGTGCTGAGGTATGTTATTGCCAGCACACATGCACACACACACACACACACACACACCAGGTTATAGAACCTTGATGTGGGCCGACCTCCTGGGCCCAGGAGCTGTTTGTAGGTAAAATAAATGCAAATGCAATCAATGCAAACAAAAAAAAAAAAGAAGGAATGGAGTCTTTGGAAAAAGCAGTTGTTTCACGAAAATGCATTTCCTCACAGAAGAATCAAAAAGCATTTGACATGTTTGATCTGTAGATAAGAATATTTGGCTAGCTCTTTAAATGCCTTGTTTGTCTACCTCTGCTAGAATCAAGTTTTATAAAATTCATTTTAGCTTTAATATAATTAGAATGATGTCTTTATAGTGCTCCTGTTTAACAACAACATTAATTCAGTGACCAATTAGTGAAAAAAAATAGCTTGGACTATGTTCTCCACTCCATTTCAGCTACTGAAATATTGAACTGAGGAGAGCAAACTCTTGTATCAGAATTCCCATCAATTGTCTTTCCAGCTGCCAGTGGGTATCATTAACTAAAATGCTTATCTAGGATGTAAATTTAAAAATTCATTTAAGTTCAGCTGAACACTTCCATTTTCATTTATTTCTACAATAATAGGCCCTCTGTTCAATATTGGGTAGTCTTTAGTAAAAATTGAACAATAAGGAAAGTGACTTGGTTTTTTCATGACAGTATCACATAAGTGAAGTCAGAATTCTAGGTTGGAGAGAAAAGAAGCCTAAGTAAACTGTGTCTTTCATTAGGGTAATCCTAAATTAGGGCTAGCATTAGACCATATATCAAAGAAAACACACTTAGAACCCTGCAAAGGGAAAAAAAATCCCAGGTGCTATGATAGTCATCAGACAATAAAGTCAGAAATTATTTTCTGGGCTAATTAGCATTGCATGAAGGGTCACAGCAATGGAAGAATGCAGTAAGAGTGCCTGATTTCTTTACTCCATAAGAGGTGCCAATTAGGGATTTCCTTAAACCAAGTTCAGTTAGGCTAAGAGGGTTACAAGGTCATGCCAACTCAACATTTGATGCCTTGATAACTTGGAACATTAACTGTGCCAATGGAATCAAAGAATGTGCTGTGACTTGTGACACTTTATGGTTTGTTTCATTAATCAGAGTTTAGTTCCAGAAAAAGTAGAAATCCTCTTTCTAGAATTGAAATGCTAACTGGCATTGAAGGAGAGAATGTCTTAAAACACCAGCAAGGCTGCTTGGAGATAAACTAGGCACTGTTAGTGGGACACGGCAGGAGCAAGACTAGCCTCACCAGCTGCATGGGAGCTGGGTGAGGCCTATTGCTAGCAGGTTTCCCCCAGTTCCCTGGTGACAGAGACAGCCATAATCTCCTCTGGAACATAACCCCATTGGCCCAAAAACCATCCCACCGCCCATCCTCCACAGTAGCTGCGGCAAGCCCTGCCCAGGGAGAGTCTGAGCTCAGACCTGCCTAATCTGCCCCTCCCTGATACCTGGTATTTCTCTACCTGCCCTGGTAGCCAATCACAAAAGACATAAACTGTTGGGAGCTTTATGGCCCCACCTATCGGCTGAGAAACCTGAATACTTACCCTGGCCAACTTAGGGCAAGCTTATATCCCCTTCTACTGTCATACCTTGCACTCTCTTAAAAATGTCACCTCAGGACATTACAAACTCAGGACATTACAGCAACTCATAACACAATAATCCTGCTCCAAGGAAGGAGAAAACAACAGCTAATTCCACTGCCTGCAACATCCTGGCTAACCAGAGGTCCTGAATCTATCTACATGACAACTTCACTGCTAGCATAACCAGCATTCAAGAAAGCCAGCACACTAAAAATATCTACAACCAAGGACAGGAATCTCAGTCTACTTCACTCCCCTGCCACCTCTACCAGAGCAGGTGCTAATATCCATACCTGGGAGACCTGAAGACGGATCACATCACAGGATGTGATGCAGACATGGGTGATGTCTTTGCAGACATTGCCCAGCACCAACCTAGAGCATGGTACCCCTGCTGGGTGTCTAGACCCAGAATAGCAATAGTAATCACTGCACTCCAGCTCTCACAAAGCCCCCTCCCTAGGGGAAGGGGGAGCACATCACATCAAGGGATCACCCCATGGGATAATAAAATCTGAACAGCAGATTTCCTAATGAAATGGTCTACCCAAACGAGAAGGAATCAGAAATGTAATTCTGGTAATAAAACAAAACAAGTTTCTATGACTCCACTAAAAGATCACACTAGCTCCCCAGCAATGGATCCAAACCAAGAAGAATGGCTCTCAATGGATCCAAACCAAGAAGAAATCTCTGAATTGCCAGATAAATAATTCAGAAGGTTGATTATTGAGCTGCTCAAGGAGAAACCACACAAAGGTGAAAAGGAGAAACCATAGAAAGGTGAAAACCAACTTTGAAAAAAAAATTTTAAATACAAGATATGGATGAAAAATGCTCCAGAGAAATAGATATTATACAGAAAAAACAACCATAACTTCTGGAAATAAAAGACACACTTAGAAAAATTAAAAATGCACTGCAAAATGTCAACAATTGACTAGAACAAGTAGAAGAAAGAACTTCAGAACCTGAAGACAAGGCTTTTGAATTAACCCAATCAGACCAAGACAAAGAAAAAAGAATCAGAAAAATGAACAAAGCAGGGCTGGGCGTTGCAGCTCATGCCTGTAATCCCAGCACTTTGGGAGGCCAAGGCAGGTGGATCACCTGAGGTCATGAGTTTGAGACCAGCCTAGCGAACATGGTGAAATCCCCCTCTCAACTAAAACTTCAAAAAAAATAGCTGGGTGTGGTGGTGCATGCCTGTAGTCCCAGCTATTCCAGAGGCTGAGGCAGAAGAATCACTTGAACCTGGGAGGCAGAGGTTGTAGTGAGCTGAGATCACACCACTGCACTCCAGCCTGGCCAACAGAGCAAGACTCCATCTCAACAACAACAAAAAAGAGCAAAGCCTCCAAGAAAATTTGGGGTTAAGAGGCCAAACCTAAGAATAATTGCTATTCCTGAGAAAGAAGAGAAATCTAAAAGTTTAGAAAACTTATTTGAGGAAATACTCGAGGAAAGCTTCTTTAGCCTTGCTAGAGATCTAGACATCCAAATACAAAAAGCTCAAAGAACACCTGGGACATTTATCACAAAAAAAGATCATCACACAGGCATGTAATCATCAGGTTGTCTAAAGGTAAGATGAAGGAAAGAATCTTAAGAGCTGTGAGGCAAAAGCATCAGGTAACCTATAAAGGAAAACCTAGCAGATTAACAGCAGATTTCTCAGCAGAAATCCTACAAGCTAGAAGGGATTGGGGTCCTATCTTTAGCCTCCTCAAACAAAATAATTGCCAGTCAAGAATTTGTATCCAGCAAAACTAAGCTTCAGAAATGAATGAAAAATACTTTCACACAAACATGCTGAGAGAATTTGCCACTACCAAACCAGCACTTTAAGAACTGCTAAAAGGAGTTCTAAATCTTGAAACAAAACCTCAAAATACACCAAAATAGAACCTCCTTAAAGCATAAACCCCATAGGGCCTATAAAAAAAACAACACACTGGAAAAAAACCAAGGTATTCAGGCAGCTACTAGCACGATGAATAAAACAATACCTCACATCTCCATACTACCATTGAATGTAAATGGCCTAAATGCTCCACTTAAAAGATACAGAATAGCAGAATGTATAAAAATCCACCGAACAGGTATCTTATGTCTTAAAGAGACTTACTTTGCAGTGGGAAATTAAGAAAATCACAGAATAATAGCATAAGTAATAATAGTAAGAGAAATAACAATAGCTCATAGAATACATTACTGTATTAACCAAGGCTGAAAAGAATTTAAGTAGCCCCCTCTAAGTTAAACTTAGAAGAGAATATTAACTGCCTGTCCCAAGAAACATTAACCATATCTATCCTCCACATATTTTGTAGGCTCTGTAAACTCCTGTTTCTTTCTTCCCTGCATAGCTGCAAGGTCACAAGACAGATAAGCATAAGCTGCAAACCAAGTTCTCACAGAGATGTAAGACATGTTGCCAAAGTGTCACAGCAGCCTTTTGTTCTCGCTTCTGTAAGCCTGCTTCATATAGTTCCCACCTCAAAATGGTTAAAAGGGACTCATTTTCTTTGTTCTGGGCTCAACCTTTAGGACACATGTCTGCTGGGCCAGTGTACACCTTAAAATAAACACCCTCCTGCACTCTGTCTAGTCTCTCTGGTTCCTTATATCCCCCTTCAACCTAATGCATAAGGACTCACATAAACTTAAGGTAAAGGGGTAGAAAAGATATTCCATGCAAATGGAAACCAAATGTGAACAGGAATAGCTATTCTATCAGACAAAACAGATTTTAAAGCAGCAACAGTACATTAATCCATTTTCACACTGCTAATAAAGACACACCCAAGCTGGGTAATCTATAAAGAAAAAGAGATTTAATGGACTCACAGTTCCACATGACTGGGGAGGCCTCACAATCATGGCAGAAGGTGAAAGGCACTTCTTTCATGGCAATGGCAAGAGAGAAGGAGAGCCAAGTGAAAGGAGAAACCTCTTATAAAAACATCAGATCTTGTGAAACTTATTCACTACCATGAGAACAGTATGGGGGAAACCGCCCCCACGATTCAATTATCTCCCACCAGGTCCCTCCCACAACATGTGGGAACTATGGGAGCTACAATTCAAGATGAGATTTAGGTGAGGACACAGAGCCAAACCATATCAAACTGTTAAAAAAGACAAAGAGGGACATTATATAATGATAAAAGGATCAGTCCAATAGGAAAATATCACAAACCTAAATATATATGCACCTAATACTGGACCTCCCACATTTATAAAACAATTCTTATTAAACCTAAGGAATTAGATAGATGGCAACACAATAATAGTGGGGAATTTCAATACTCTACTGACAATACTAGACAGGTCCTCAAGACAGAAAGTCCTGGCAGGGCGCGGTAGCTCATGCCTGTAATCCCAGCACTTTGGGAGGCTGAGGCAGGCATATCACAAGGTCAGAGTTCAAGACTAGCCTGGTCAACATAGTGAAACCCCATCTCTACTAAAAATACAAAAATTAGCCGGACATGGTGGCATGCGCCTGTAGTCCCAGCTACTCGGGAAACTGAGGCTGGAGAGTCGCTTGAACCCGGGAGGAAGAGGTTGCAGTTAGCTGAGATTGTGCCACTGCACTCCAGCCTGGGCAACAGAGCAAGAATCCATCTCTTAAAAAAAACAAAAAGAAAAAAGAAAAAAAGTCAACAAAGAAACAATGGACTTAAACTATACCCTAGAGCAAATGGACATAACAGATATTTACAGGACATTCTACCCAACAACTGTAGAATATACATTATTTTTATCAGCACATGGAACACTCTCCAAGACAGACCATATGATAGGCCACAAAAAAAGTCTCAATAAATTTAAGAAAATCAAAATTATATCAAGTACCCTCTCAGAATACAGTGGAATAAAACTGGAAATTAACTCCAAAAGGAACCCTCAAAACTTTACAAATACATGGAAATTAAGTAATCTGATCCTGAGTGATCACTGGATCAACAATGAAATCAAGATGGAAATTTAAAAATTTCTTGAATTGAACAATAATAGTGACACAACTTATCAAAACCTCTGGGATACAACAAAAGCAGTGCTAAGAAAAAAGTTCATAGCATTAAATGCCTACATCAAAAGTCTGAAAGAGCACAAACAATCTAAGGTCACAACTCAAGGAACTAGAGAAACAAGAACAAACAAAACCAAACCCAGCAGAAGAGAAATAACAAAGATCAGAGGAGAACTAAATGAAATTGAAACAAACAAACAAAAAATATGAATGATAAATGTAACAAAAGCTAGTTATTTGAAAAGATAAAATTGATAGACAATTAGTGATATTAAACAAGAAAAGAAGAGAGAAGATCCAAATAAGCTCAATTAGAAATGAAACTGGAGATATTACAACCAATACCACTGAAATACAAAAGATCATTCAAGGCTACTATGAACACCTTTCCACACACAAACTAAAAAATCTGGAGGAGATGGATGAATTCCTGGAAATATATAACCCAACTAGATTAAATCAGAAAGAAATAAAAACTCTAAACAGACCAATAACAAGTAGCAAGATTGAAACAGTAATTTTTTAAAATGCCAACCAAAAAAAGTCCAGGATCAGATGGATTCACAGCTGAATTCTGACAAGCATTCAAAGAAGAATTAGTACAATGTTACTGAAACTATTCCAAAAGAGAAAGAAAGAGGGACTCCTCCCTAAATCATTCTATGAAGTCAGTATCACCCTAATACCAAAAACAGGAAAGGGCATTTAAAAAAAAAAAAAAGAAAGAAAGAAAGAAAACTGGCTGGGCGCAGTGGCTCACACCTGTAATCTCAGCACTTTGGGAGGTGGAGGCGGGCGGATCACGAGGTCAGGAGATTGAGACCATCCTGGCTAACATGGTGAAACCCCATCTCTACTAAAAATACAAAAAATTAACCGGGCACAGTGGCGGGCACCTGTAGTCCCAGCTACTCGGGAGGCTGAGGCAGGAGAATGGCGTGAACCCAGGAGGCGGAGCTTGCAGTGAGCCGAGATTGAGCCACTGCACCCCAGCCTGGGTGACAGAGTGAGACGCCGTCTCAAAAAAAAAAGAAAGAAAAAAAACTAACGACCAATATCCCTGATAAACATAGATGAAAAATCCTCAACAAACCTCAACAAAATACTAGCTAACCGAATCTGACAGTATATTAAAAAGATGATAATCCACCATGATCAAGTAGGTTTCATACCAGGGATTCAGGGATGGTTTAACATACTCAAGTCAATGAATGAAATATATCACATAAACAGAATTAAAAACAAAAATTACACGATCATCTCAATAGATGCAAAAAAGCATTTGACAAAATCCAGCATCCATTTTTGATTAAAACCCTCAGCAAAATTGGCATAGAAGGGACATACTCAAGGTACTAAAAGCCATCTATGACAAACCCACAGCCAACATTATACTAAACGAAAAGTTGAAAGCATTCTCCCTGAGAACTGGAACAAGCAAATATCCCCATTTTCACCACTGCCATTCAACATTGTACTGGAAGTTCTAGCCAGAGCAATCAACAAGAGAAGGAAATAAATGGTATCTAAATTGGTAAAGAAGAAGTCAAACTGTCACTTTTCACCAATGACATAATTGTATACCTAGAAAACCCTAAAGACTCAGCCATAAAGCTCCTAGATATGACAAATGAATTTAGTAAAGTGTCAGGATACAAAATCAACGTACACAAATCAGTAGCACTGCTATACACCAACAATGACCAAGCTACAATAAAATCAAGTACTCAACCTCTTTTACAACAGCTGCAAAAAATAGTAAAAAAATACTTAGGAATATACCTAAACAAGGAGGTGAAATATCTCTACAAGGAAAACTACAAAACACTGCTGAAAGAAATTACAGATGACACAAACAAATGGAAACACATCCCATGCTCATTGATGGATAGAATCAATATTGTGAAAATGACCATACTGCCAAAAGCAATCTACAAATTCAATGCAATTCCCATCAAAATACCATCATCACTCTTCACAGAACTTCAATTCCAAAATTTATACGGAACCAAAAAAGACCTCACATAGCCAAAGCAAGACTAAGCAAAAAGAACAAATCTGGAGGCATCACATTACCCGACTTCAAACTATACTACAAGGCTACAGTAACCAAAACAGCATGGTACTAGTATAAAAGTAGGCACGTAGACCAAGGAACATAATAGATAACCCAGAAATAAAGCCAAATACTTATAGCCAACTGATCTTTGACAAAGCAAACAAAAACATGAAGTGGGGAAAGGATACCCTATTAAACAAATGGTGCTGGGATAATTTGCAAGGCACATGTGGAAGAATGAAGCTGGATCCTCATATCTCACTTTAAACAAAAGTCAACTCAAGATAGATCAAACACTTAAATCTAAGACCTGAAACCATAAAAATTCTAGAAGATAACACTGGAAAAACTCTTCCAGATATTATCTTAGACCAAGAGTTTATAACCAAAATCCCAAAAGCAAATGCAACAAAAACGAAGATAAATAGATGGGACCTAACTAAACTAAAATGCTTCCACACAGCAAAAGAAATAATCAGCAGAGTAAACAGACATCCCACAGAGTGGGAGAAAATATTCACAAACTATGCATCCAACAAAGGACTAATATCCAGAATCCATAAGGAACTCAAACAAATCAGCAAGAAAAAAAAAACAAATAATCCCATCAAAAAGTGGGCTAAGGACATGAATAGATAATTCTCAAAAGAAGATACACAAATGGCCAACAAACATATGAAAAAATGCTCAACATCACTAAGGCTCAGGGAAATGCAAATTAAAACCACAATGAGATACTACCCTATTCCTCCAAGAATGGCCATAAATTAAAAAAAAAAAAAAAAAAAAAAAAAAAAAAACAGATGTTGGTGTGGATGTGATAAAAAGGGAACACTTTTACATTGTTGGTAAGAATGCAAACTAGTTCAACCACTAGGGAAAACAGTGTGGAGATTCCTTAAAGAACTAAAAGTAGAACTACCATTTGATCCAGCAATGCCACTACTGGGTATCTACCCAGAAGAAAAGAAGTCATTATATGAAAAAGACACTTACACATGCATGTTTATAGCAGCACAATTCGCAATTGCAAAAATAGGGAACCAGCCTAAATGCCCATCAACCAACAATAAAGAAAATGTGGTGTATATATACCATGGAATACTACTCAGCCATAAAAAGAAATGAAATAATGGCATTCACAGCAACCTGGATGAAGCTGGAGACCATTATTCTAAGTGAGGTATCTCAGGAATAGAAAAATCAAACATCTTATATTCTCACTTATAAGTGAGCACTAAGCTATGAGGACACAAAGGCATAAGAATGATATAATGAACTTTGGGGACTTGGGGGAAGGACAGGAAGGGGTAAGGAATAAAACACTACACATTGGGTACAGTGTACACTTCTCAAGTGATGGGTGTGCTGATATCTCAGAAATCACCACTAAAGAATTTTTCATGCAACCAAACACCACCTGTTCCCCCAAAAACTATTGAAAAATAAATAAATACATAAATATTTTAAAAGACAGAGTTTCTATTAAAAAATAAAATAAAATTTATCCAATTCAATGTTAGAACAGGGACTGTCTTCATGAAATGGCAAAAAAAAATCTATAATTAAGAATGACAGCTTGATAGATGAAATACTGCCCATGGTCAGGATCCATCACCCCATGTTCTCTGCCTCCCTCTCCCTATGATCAAGTCCTTTAATTGCAGAGAATTTGAATAGGAAACATTAAATATATCTAGGATGAACCAAATTTAGCTATTTCAAATACCTTAAAAGGTGACTTTCAGACTTTATCCATCTGTAGTGAAATCTGAATACTTCAGATTTTTGGGAAAATTGTCTAAGATTGCACCTCTAATTAGTTGCTACATTATTTAATTTGGTGTTTTAGGGTTTTGCATTAAAAAAAGAAAGCAATGGCTTGCAGTTTTGCTTTCATGAGTAAGACAATTATATCATACCCCTCTCCTCTCCTATAATTCCCCTTCAAAGAAACCTAGGTCTTCTTTATTTTGTATTTCTGAAAGCCTCAAAAATAGACAAATAGTTTAACATTAATAGTAACATCACACAGTTTCCTTTTATTTCAATGTGAAATAGCATGTTGTCTTAATGGTTGGTAGAACTTCATACCTACAGAGTCTTAGACATAAGAAGAAAACTTTAACTAAATATTAAAGTATCTTATTGGCAATTCCAATTTAAAAATGTTTTAA
Organism: Homo sapiens; assembly: GCF_000001405.40. Classification (NCBI taxonomy): domain Eukaryota; kingdom Metazoa; phylum Chordata; class Mammalia; order Primates; family Hominidae; genus Homo; species Homo sapiens. The sequence continues at coordinate 208,609,973 of NC_000002.12, read as the reverse complement.
TTTTTAATTATAATTTATGTCTGTATATACACTTGTGCACCACAGAAATTTTGGAAAATTTGTCATATGACAAACTAGCAATTGCTTGCAATCTCACTATCCAGCTCACCATCCAGAAATAACCACTATTGACATTTTGGTACATATCCTACCCTATTTTTCTTCATTTTATTTATTTTCTCTGTATAGAACAAGTTTCATCCTCTGTGTTGAGGTTACTATAATAACATTTAAAGTAATAAGAATAGCTATATTATGTTGCAGAAACAAAACCCCCAAATCCTAGTGATTGAGGATATTGAATCTTTACTTCTCTAGCATGCTAGAGGAACCATAGAAAACAGCAAGGGGTTGCCTCCTCCGAAAGGCTCTCCAGGAACACAGGCTGGAGAAAGCTTCATCACCCTTAGCTGTGTTGTCTGAACATGTGGCCACAGCAGTTGTCATTGTAGGAGAAGGAAGAATTGCTGTCATGCATAAGCTTTTCACTGCCTCAGTCTGGAAGTGAAATATTGTTTCTGCTCTTGTATATAGTCACATGGCCCCTGGGAGGCTGTTGGGAAAACCCATGTGGAAAAGCACATGGAATACTTGGGGAGCAGCACTATTTTTTGCCACAGACATTTTTCACATCAGTGAACATTCCTCAAATATATGATGTCTATTGTTAGGGAATGTGACGTTGTTTGTCCAATGTAAGTTTAAATTTACAATGTAACAGCTATCATTCCTATCTGTAAGCAAAACCAAAAATAACCAACCAGGAATGACTCAGTGCCTCTTGTGAATGACAAACTAGTGGATATTTATTTAAGTCAATCAAGTATTTCATGATAATACAAGAATTTGGGGAGAAAGGGGCTTGGTTTTTGCTTGATGTGTAACAAATTACCAAAAACTTAATAGCGTAAAACAACACACATTTATTACATCACAGTTTCCTTGGGTTGGGAGTCTTGGTACACTTAACTAGATTCTGTGCTTCTCAGTCTCACTAACAGCAATCACGGTGTTAGCTGAGGCTGTGTTCTCATCTGGGATCTACTGGGACAGATCCACTTCCAGTCTGCTGACAGATAGAACTGAGGTCCCTGTGTTATTGCTGGATGGTGTCCAGGGACCATCTCAACTCCTGGTGGGCACCAGCAGTTCCTTGCCATGTGGGTCTCTCTAAAGGCCCTCAGAACACGGAAGCTCACTTCTCCAGAGCCAGCAAGTGGTGTCTCTAGTCAGTCTGCTAAGAGGAAGCCTTATATAATGTAACCTAATCCTGGGAGTGACATCCCATCACCTTTGCTGTATTCTGTTGGTTAAAAGGAGGTCAGAAAAAAAAAAAAAGAAAAAAAAGCAAACAAATCAGAGGTCCTGCCCACACTCCAGCAGCAGAAAGGATTATACAAATATATGACTCACTAGGGGTCACCTTAATGTATGTCCACTACAAGAAGCTATAGATACATTCATATAACCAAAAAAAAAAAAAATATGCATCATACTCCCTTGGAAAGTCAAGGAAATGCCAACCTGAATGGATACATAGACATGGTAACTCTTTACTCTTTTGGAGAAACATCACAGGTTATGTTTCCTCTAATACTGTACCCATCTGAATGTGTGTACAGCCTCTCTCCTGCTCTAAATTGCAAGCAGCAACTTGGAAGCTTAACTGTAAATTAATTGTACCAGATGGCAGGTGCTGTCTGCCAGCTGCTGTTGTAGTAAAACTAAATACCCAATTTCAGTCTGAGAAATTTCAGTCTGAGAAATTATTTAATTGTTTCTATGTTAAATATGGTTCATTTATAGTTTGAGACATTTCCCAAACCCCAACCTCACCAAAAAAAAAAAAAAAAAAAAAAAAAACACTAAGAATTGAGAAATCTAGCGCACATAGAAGCCTAAAAGTTGTAACTTTTAAGAGGATAAAAAGTCTTACTTTATCGTATGTATCCAAACATGTTATTGATCTCTCAAAGGAGATATAAGCTCTCTTTGTTAGGGAAACTGTTGAAGAGGACATCCTATGTTGAGAAATCACTTGGTTTCATCAGAAAACCATCTGTTCTATCTATGACCATTGTAGCCTCGTTATCTGAAAGGTCAATAAGCATTTTTATGACCCTATCAACACAGTGTAGAAAAGCCTTCTTTCAGATTCCGAAATGTAGCTTTAATTATACCATGTTTAAATGCAATTTTGGATAATCAGAAGTATTCATTCATTTTTTAGGATCTTAAAATAATTTGAAAATTAAAGAGAAGGACTTGGAGAAATAATCTTCAAATTATATGAAAGGGAAATTAATATTTGAATCTTCTGTCAAATTACTGGGCTATGACAGCTTGTATACAGTATTGCCTAAGGCTGTGGGAGTAGCTATATAACTGTTCAGAATTGCTTCTAATCCACACCTTCACAGAATTGAAAAGACTTCATTGATGTTTTGATAAGGAATATTACAAGCCAAAAAACAAGTTTTCCGCTGTCTTGCATCTATAGTATGACTTTGTTTTTGCTTTAATGTTCTTAACTTTTTACTTTGAAAAAATTTCACACTCACATGTAAGTTGTAAAAATAGTATAAAGAATTCCTGCATACCCTTCATAAAGATTCCTCAAATATTAGCATCTTATATAACCATAGTATAATTATCAAATGAGAAAACTAATATTAATGCAATAATAATAGCTAATCTAACACAAAGACTTCATTCAAAGTTTTTCATTTGTCCCACTAATGCCCTCTTCTGTTCCAGGATCTAATCCAGATCCACCTTTACACTATGTGTCATGTCTCCTGTCCCTCCTCCAATATGAAACAAGTCCTCAGTTTTTCTTTGTCTTTCATGACTTTCACACTTACGAATGATACTGGCCAGTTATTTTATAGAATATCCCTCAATATGAACTTGCCTGCCATTTCATTATTATTACATTTAGGTTATTCATTTTGGGTAAAGTCTCGCAAATGTGATGTTACATCTTTCTTGGTGCACTGTCAGTAGATAATGTTCTATTATTGGTGATGGTGACTTTGATCACTCATTTAAGGTTTTGTATTAGTTTTCAAAGGCTGATATAACAAAGTACCCCAGAGTGAGTGGCCTAAACAATAGAAATGTATTATCTTAGAGCTCTGGAAGCTAGATGTCCAAGATCAAGGTGTTGGCAGGGTTGGCTCCTTCTGAGGGCTATCAAAAAGAACCTGTCCCATGCCTCTCCCCTAAGTTCCAATGGTTTGCTGGCTATCTTTAGTGCTCCTTGGCCTATGGAAGCATCACTCCAATCTTGCCTTCATTTTCTCATGCATTCTCCCTGTACATGCCTGCATCCATGTCTAAACTTCCCTGTTTTTTAAGGACACCAATCAGATTAGATTAGGGGCCCATCCTACTCCAGTATGACTTCATCTCAACTAATTACATCTGCAATGACTCTATTTTCAAATAAGGTCACATTGTGAGATTCTGGGAGTTAAAAATTTAATGTATGAATTTAAGAAGGGGGAACACAATTCAACCTATTCCAGGTGGAGTCTGTCTGGTTTCTCCATCATAAAATTACTACGTTTACCTTTGTAATTAATACATATGTTACAGGGAGAAAAATTGGGACTACATGGTCTCGATATTCTGTGTTCTGTCACATTTTCAGCCACTAATTTTAGCATCCATTGATGACTCTTGCTGAAGCAATTATTAATGTGGTATTTGCCAAATGAAAATTTCCTCTTCCCACTATTCTTTTATACTTATTATTTGGGATGTTACTATAAAGAAAAGCTTTCTCTTCTCTCCCTTGACTTTTGAAAATTATTTATATCACTCTTGACTCGGATTCACATTTTATTCAATGGGTTATAATCCATTATTATCACTATTTATTTTGTTGCTGATTTGGCCATTGAGATTGACTTCAAGTTGGCTCCTATATCCTTTAACACAGGGGTCCCAACCTCCATGCCATGTACTGGTACCCACCCGTGGTCTCTTAGGAACTGGGCTGCACGCAGGCAGGAGGCTAGTGGCTAGCAAGCGGGCGAAGCTTCATCTGTATTTACAACTGCTCCCCATTGCTCGCATTACTACCTATGCTCCACCTCCTGTCAGATCAGTGACGGCATTAGATTCTCATAGGAGCACAAATCCTGTTGTAAACTGCATACACAAGGGATCTAGGTTGTGACCTCCTTAAGAGAATCTAATGCCTGATGATCTATTACTATCTTCCCTCACCCCCAGATGGGACCATCTAGTTGCAGGAAAAAAAGCTCAGGGCTCCCACTGATTCTACATTATAATGAGTTGTATAATTATTTCATTATATATTACAATGTAATAATAATAGAAATAAAGTGCACAATGAATGTAATGCACTTGAATCATCCCAAAACCTACACACACACCTTGTCCATGGAAAAATTCTCTTCCACAAAACTGGTCCCTGGTGCGAAAAAGTTTGGGGATCTCCACTTTAACATGTCTCCACCATTTTTTAGCACTTTTTTATTTTTTGGCACCAGAATATGTTCCAGATCAATCTTGTTCTTTCCTTATTCAAGCCCTAAAATCCACCATTTGTCCAAGGAGTTCTGGTTCCTTTCATTAGAGAGTGGTATTTAGAACCAAGAGCTGGGTGGTAACTGCTCATTTGTACTCGGGCTTTATCGCGTTAAGTCCTGCTCAGCCCATAGGCTAGGATATATATAAATGCATATACACAGATACCCAGATACATTCCTGTATCTATCTGCTTTAACATTTATCTTTATATCCAACTGTTTGAAAAGCCATCAGAGCACACTGATACCTCAACTTCAAATCCAACACCACAGAGTTTATTTTAGATCTACCCTGCTTCCTTAATTTGTAACCCTTTTTCTGACAGTGAGAAACCCGAGTGAAAGGCAGCTCCGCTGAAACCTGGGAGAAATTTTCCCTTAAGTCAATCCTGTGCTCTTAATGCAATCTGTTGTGGTACTTCGCAAAGGTTTTTATTTCAAGACATATATAGCAAATGACAAAATTCAATATTATGCTGGTATAAACTGGTGGTGATTTAGGGGAATATTTAGATGGTTTGATGCAAATGTATTCTATTTCTTTACATTATATAATTATAAGAAAAAAGACTATTAGGGAAGATGTATAATATTAAATATGTTTAAAACATTCAAGCAAATACTTCAAAAACTTTAGTAACTTTGAGCTTGATTCTGCAAACACAAGTTTGGGGTTTTAAATGGCTATACACAGTCCATTATTTAGAATATTCTCTTCACATTCCAAATACTGTCTATAGATGAGAAATATTGTTTTGTAAGACAGAGACAAAAATAAAACTCTTTCAACCTTCAATTCAACATTAAGAAGTTACAACTGAATTTTTTAAATCTAATAGTTCTTCTTTTCATCCACTGACAAATATGGTGAAAATTATTGTGATAATGTGAATGGACATAGAATTCAAACTTTTTTAAAATCGGGTATTTTAAAATATGAGGAAGCTGTAACTTGCAAAATGTGTACTCATTGTCAGACTAGCCACTCCAGAACTCAGTTGGTTTAACATCTCCAGAATGAGGCAGAAGACTAAAGAGTCTTGGAGGGCAAAGAAAAGTATCAAATACAATATTCTTAATGAATAAGAGGTAATTTTTCTTCCCAGGGACTCTCTAACTTATTCCACTTCTCCATATTGAAAAGAATCATCTAATAGTGATTATAGATGGATTTACCCTTTTCCTTCTACTGAAGGCTATCCTCAATGAGGCCAGTGTGGATTATGGCAATCTACATGGTGTTTCTTGCCTTGACAAGTGTGGGATACACCATCTCTTGCTGGTTTCCCTAAACCCTGACCATTTATTTCTTGATATTCTTTTTTTTTTTTTTTTGAGACAGAGTCTTGCTCTGTCGCTCAGGCTGGAGTGCAGTGGCACAATCTTGGCTCACTGCAAGCTCCCCCTCCTGAGTTCATGCCATTCTCCTGCCTCAGCCTCCTGAGTAGCTGGGATTACAGGTGCCCGCCAGGGCGCCCAGCTAATTTTTTGTATTTTTTAGTAGAGATGGGGTTTCACCATGGTCTCGATCTCCTGACCTCGTGATCCACCCGCCTCGGCCTCCCGAAGTGCTGGGATTACAGGCGTGAGCCACCACGCCCGGCCGATATTCTCTTTATTTTTTAAAATAATTTTTATTTTTAATTTTTGTGGATACACAGTAGGTGTTTATATTGATGGGGTGCATGAGATATGAGATGTTTTATATAGGCATGCAATGTGTAATAATCACATAATGGAAAATGAGACATCCATCCCCTCAAGCATTTATCTTTGTGTTACAAACAATCCAATTATACTCTTAGTTATTTTAAAATGTAGTTAAACTATTATTGGCTGTAGTCAGCCTGTTGTGCTATCAAATAGTAGGCCTTATTCATTCAATTTTTTGTACCCATTAACCATCCCCACATCCTTCACCCCAACACCCACCTTCCTCCCACTACCCTTCCCAGCCTCTGGTAATCATCCTTCTACTCTCTATGTCCATGAGTTCAAGTGTTCTGATTTTTAGATCCCACAAATAAGTGAGGACATGTGATGTTTGTCTTTCTGTTTCTGGCTTATTTCACTTAACACAATGACTTCCAGTTCCATCTATGTTGTTGCAAATGATAGCATCTCATTCTTTTTCATGGCTGAATAGTAACTCCATTGTGTATAGTACATTTTCTTTATTCATTTATCTGTTTGTGGACTCAGGTTGCTTCCAAATCTTGACTATTGTGAACATTGCTACAACAAATATGAAAGTGCAAATATTTCTTTGATACATGGATTTATTTTCTTTTGGGTATATACCCAGGCGTGAAATTGCTGGATTATATAGTAGCTCCATTTTTAGTTTTTTGAGGAAACTCCAAACTGTTCTCCATAGTGGTTTTACTAGTTTATATTCCCACCAACAGTGCATGAGGATTCTTTTTTTCTTCCCATTCTCACCAGCATTAGTTATTGCCTCTCTTTTGGAAAAAGAAGCCATTTTAATTGAGATGAGATGATATCTCATTGTAGTTTTTGATCTGCATTTCTCTGATGATCAGTGATGTTGAGTACTTCGCAATATGTTTGTTTACCATTTGCATGTCTTCTTTTGAGGAATGTCTACTCAAATCTTTTGCCCATTTTTTGATCAGATTATTATATTTTTTTCTATAGAGTTGTTTGAGCTCCTCATATATTCTGATTATTAATCCCATTCAAATGGGTAGTTTGCAAATATTTTCTCCCATTCTGTGGGTTGTCTCTTCACTTTGATTGTTTTCTTTGTTGTGTGGAAGCTTTTTAACTTGATGTGATCCCATTTGTTCATTTTTTGCTTTGGTTGCCTGTACTTATGGAGTATTACTCAAAAAATCTTTGCCCAGGTCAATGTCCTGAAGATTTTTCCCAAAGTTTTCTTGTAGTAGCTTCATAGCTCAGGGTCTTAGATTTAATTCTTTAATTTTCATTTGATTTTTGTATATTGTTAGAAGTGGGCAGTCTTCTTCTATTCTTCTGCATATAGATATTGTTTTTCCAGAACCATTTATTGAAGAGAATTTATTAAACTACAATTACTCTGAGTGTGCCATCTATCATAATGTATTGAAGGTTCAGGAGAAATATTGGTCTGGTGAGCCTCTAGAGAGGGTTTCCACACGTGTGATGTCACTAAAGCTGCAGCCTGTGTGGCTGAAGTATAGGACCACAAGGGTATGATTGGACTCCCTAGCAGGATTAGAGACATATACAAAACTCTGGACCCACAATAATTCATCTCCATGATGAAAAGGACTATCTATTAGATGATATAGGGCCAGTCATCTATACTAATAAAAGACATAAAACACATTCTACTCTACAAATGTAAGGAAGTATCATCTGCTAAGATTTTTCCCAGTAAAGCAATATGCAGGTAAGTAGTTTATAGTTTGTTTGTAGGAATCAGAATCCAAATAAGGTACACATTTCAAATCATTTTGTTTCTTAATTTTCTTTTAATCTATAACTTACTCTTTTTTTTTCATTGAAATTAGTTTGTTGAAGAAACTGGGTTACTTCTACAGTTTCCCAGAGTCTGAATCTTGATGATTAGACACTGCATAAGACAGTCCCATATCATGTGTTTCCCACAAATCAGTAGCTAGATCTAGAGGAGTAATCATATTCAGGGTTGAACTTTGGCAAAAATATTTCACAGGTTATGTTGAGCACAACCATAAGGCATAAAATATCTGGTTGTTTCTCATTTTGCATGTTAACCTCTGCTGATAATCCTTGATTACATTCATTACTTCATTAAGGTTTCCAAAATGGTGATGCTCTGAATCTATTGCTCCTTCTTCAGTTGTTAGCTGGAAATTCTATATAGAGAAATGTTCTCACATCAACTATTTGATTGCCCTGGTGTATGGATTTATAAATGAAAGGCAAGAGAAACGCTCAATTATTTCCCTTTATTTACCATTTTTGAAAATAATATATCATCTCTCTAGTATCTTCCAAATGTGACCAATGATTTTAGTATAATAAAAAACTCATGGTATTAGTCTTAGTGATGCTCAATCTATTTCATCTTTTGCCAGTGGAAGTCTCTTAATAATGGCTTCTGAGTCCTCTGATCGTTTCCTCAGTTTTGTTTAGCAAGACATTCAAGGCTCATTTTATATACTAGCCATTTCTCCAAACACCCCTGATTTCTTTCATAGGTGATGAAAGAACTCATGCAATAGGAGTGTGATATGTTTTGGCTCTGTGTTCCCACCCAAATCTCATCTCAAATTGTAATTCCCATGTCTTGAGAGAGAGACCTGATGGGAGGTGATTGGATCATGGGGGCAGTTTCCCCCATGCTGTTCTCATGACAGTGAGTGAGTTCTCAAGAGACCTGATGGTTTAAAAGTGTTTGGCAGTCCCCACCACCAACCCCACCACCTCCTGCCACCATGTAGAAAAGGTCCTTGCTTCCCCTTTATCTTCTACCATGACTGTAAGTTTCCTGGGGCTTCCCCAGCCATGCAGAACTGTGAGTCAATTAAACCTTTTTTCTTCATAAATTACCTAGTCTTGGATAGTTCTTTATAGCAGTGTGAAAATAGACAAAATACAGAAAATTGGTACCAGGAGTAAGATACTGATATAAAGATAACCTGAAAAATGTGAAGTAAATTTAGAACAAGGTAATGGGAAGAAGTTAGAATAGTTTGAAGGGCCAGAAGAAGACATAAAGATGTGGGAAAGTTTGGCACTTCCTAGAGACTTAATAAATGATTGTGACCAAATGTTGATAGTGATATGGACAATCAGGCCAGGCTGAGGTAGTCTCAAATGGAGATGAGGAACTTACTAAAAACTGGAGCAAAGGTCACTCTTGTTATGCTTTAGCAAAGAGACTGGTGGCATTTTGCCCCTGCCCTACAGATCTGTGGAACTTTGAACTTGAGAGAGATAATTTAGGGTATCTGGCAGAAGATATTTCTAAGCAGCAAAGCTTTCAAGATGTGACCTGGCTCTTTCTGAAAGCACACAGTCATATGTGTTCACAAAGAGATGATTCGAAATTGCAACTTATGTTTACAAGGGAAGCAGAGTGTACACATTTGGAAAATTTGCAGCTGTACCATGTGGTAGAAAAGATAAACCCATTTTCTGGAAAGAAATTCAAGCCTGCTACAGAAATTTGCCTAAGTAATAAGAAGCAGAATGTTAACAGCCAAGATAATGGAAAAAAATGTTTCCAGGACATTTCAGGGATCTTCACAGAAGCTCCTCCCTAACAGGCCCAGAGGCCTATGAGGGAAAAATTGTTTCATGGGCCAGGCTCAAGGCCCCCTGCTCTGTGCAGCCTTGGGATATGGCACCCTGCATTCCAGCCACTCCAGCTCCAACTGTGGCTAAAAGGATCTCATGTACAGCACAGGCCATTGTTTTAAAGGGTGAAAATCCCAAGTCTTGGCAGCTTCCAGGTTGCGCTGGGGCTGTGGGTGCACAGAAAACAAGATTTGAGGTTTGAGAGCCTCTGCCTAGATTTCAGAAGATGTACAAAAATGCCTGCATGTCCAGGCAAAAGTCACTGTAGAGGCCAAGCCCTCATGGAGAATGCCTGCTAGGGCAATGCAGAAGGGAAATGTGGGGTTGGACCCTCCACACAAAGTCCCTGCTGGGACACTCCCTAGTGAAACTATGAGAGGAAGGGCACAGTTGTCCAGACCCTGGAATGGTAGATCAATTGACAGCTTGCACCGTGCATCTGGAAAAGCCACAGGCATTCAATATCAGCCTGTGAAAGGAGGTTTGGGGGCTGTAACCTGCAGAGCCACAGAGGCAGAACTGCCCAACACCTTGGGAACCCATCTTTTGCATCAGTGTCCCCTGGATGTGAGACATGGAGTCAAAGGAAATTATTTGGGAACTTTAAGATTTAATGAGTGCCTTGCCTGGTTTCGGACTTGCATGGGGCCTCTGACCACTTTGTTTTGGCCAATTTCTCCAGTTTGGAATGGGAACATTTACCCAATACCTGTATCCCATTGTATCTTGCAAGTAATTAACTTGTCTTTTATTTTACAGGCTTATAGGTGAAAAGGGCTTGCCTTGTCTCAGGTGAGACTTTGGACTTAGACTTTTGAGTTAATGCTGGAATGAGTTAAGACTTTGAGGGACTGTTGGAAGGCATGATTGGTTTTGAAATGTAAAAAGGATATGAGATTTGGGAGGGGCTAGGGGTGGAATGATATGTTTTGGCTCTGTGTCCTCACCCAAATCTCATGTTGAATTGTAATCCCCATGTGGCAAGGAAGGGACATGGTGGGAGGTGATTGGATCATGGGTGCAGCTTCCCTCATGCTGTTCTCATGACAGTGGGTGAGTTCTTGTGAAATCTGATGGTTTAAAAGTATTTGGCAGTTCCCCCTGACCCTCTCTTGCCACCATGTGAAGAAGGTCCTTGCTTCCCCAACCTTCCATGATTTAAGTTTCCTGAGGCCTCCCTGGCCATGCAGAACTGTGAATCAATTAAATCTTTTTTCTTCATAAATTACCCAGTCTCAGGTAGTTCTTTATAGCAGTGTGAAAACTGAATAATACAGAGTGATCTCTGCTACTCTGTTGGCCATTGTTTTGGGGCCTTTTCATTAGATGAATTACCTCTAATTTATCCACTTAGAGGTAAGTGGATGTTTGACTTTTGCTTTGTTTAGTTCAGTTTTTAAGATGAAATGTATTCTGAGTTCATACTAATACTTACAATTCAAATTCAGGACTACAGGGTTTAGTTAAATGCTGATATTATACCTGGATAGCTGATATGTTTTGGCTGTGTCCCCACCCAAATCTCATCTTGAATTATAACTCCCATAATTTCCACATGTTGTGAGAGAGACACACTGAGAGATAACTGAATCATGAGGGTGGTTTCCCCCATACTGTTCTCATGGTAGCGAATAAGTGTCATGAGATCTTATTATTTTATAAGGGATTTACCCTTTCACTTGGGTCTCATTCTCTCTTATCTGCCACCATGTAAGGCATGCCTTTCACCTTCCATCATGATTGTGAGGCCACATGGAACTGTGAGTCCATTAAACCCCTTTTTCTTTATAAATTACCCAGTCTCAGTTATGTCTTTATCAGCAGCATGAAAATAGACTAATACAACAGTCTTTCTCCCAAACTGAAATTTATAGTTCTCCTAATTATTCATGTGGTTTATCCTACAGTTTATATACAATGGCCTCAGAATAACGAAATCAAAACTATGCTAAATAGTGTGATTATAGAAAACAGTTTCTGATGTTTTACAGTTCTTTGTCCCTGAGATGAACAATCAAATTATCATGTTTTAAGCAACTTGAAGTAATTAGTCCATATGGTTTTACCATTAACTCAACATTAAAATTATAATTTAAAAAAATAGTGATAAAAGTCAAGGTATAATTTTGTAACTGCGTAATTGAATTACAGTAAATCCTCACAACGTTGACAATAGGTTCTTGGAAATTGCAACTTTAAGCAAAATGACATATAACACAACCAATTTTACAATAGGCTAATTGATATAAACAAAAGTTCCTATGGCATACTTCTGGTCACAAAAAACATCATCAAACTTCTAAATGAAGACCTAAAACACTTTTAATATTAAGCACTGCAATAAATGTGAGCTATACATTCATTGAAGATCAATAAAAACAAGTTAGATAATTATTTACTCAATTTTTGTTGACCCAGTAGTGATGGCAGTTGTAGTGGTAGTGGGTTTCTTAAATCAAAGAATAAATGTTTGCCAAGTGAAAATTGTAAGGAGCACCTCCTATCACCACACAGCACAAAAACAATCACAAATATGGAGGGATTGATGAGCACTTTCATACCACATCATTTATTGTCATGTATTTGTGTGATTACTCTAGACTTTATGAATTTTTATTTTACAATCATTTATATTCATTCATTCATTGATTTCCCAACCCACTTCATCCAGTTCAGGGTCTTAGGTGGCCAAACCTATCCCAACACCTTAGGGTGCAAGATAGGAACCCACCCTGGACAGGATTCCATCCCATTGCAGAGCACTCACACACACCCATACTCATTCAGTCTGGACCATTTAGACAGGCTAGTTAACTGAATGGTCACATCTTTGGAATGTGGGAAGTAACAAGAGTACCTGGAGAAAACCCACGCATATGTGAATAGAACATGAAAACTCCACATAGACAGTGGCCTCAGCAGAGAAACAATTTTTCTCATTGATATTAAAACAAACTGATGTTGAAGGAAACAATGTTATTCAAGGACCTTCTATAGAGTGATATAATTTAAAATTTTTAAATATCACTTTATAATTCAAAATAATGATACAATTAAAATTATACTTTATTAAAATAACCATAAAATACAAAAGTATAATTTTATTTTAGAATTACTTCCTTTCATTTTGTCTTGCCTAAAACTAATACTCCTTTTTCCAAACTCCCAGATTTTATAAGAAGTAGACTCTGTTCATGTATTCAATCAGCTCTACCATCAGGATGAACCCAAAAATAGTTCAGCTAAGTAGGATGCAGAAAATAATAATTTTAACAAACTTGAATCAGTTGTTCATGTTCACATTCCTAAAACTCAGCCTTTCTTCTATTTAAGATATTTAAATGGGATTTAATTTATATGCTGAGGCAAATTATAAGAACATACACTAATAATGAAGGGTACCTAGTGTCTCAAACATCCCAGTAAAGAATCTATTCTGAATGGTATGAGATATCTCCCTATATCCCCCAGAGAGCAGAATTTGTTCAATAAAGTCTACATTAGGAGGTTGGAGTACTGTTCAGCAATTTAAATTTTCTGACTTCACCAGAATAATAGAATCAAATGACTGACAATTATTCAAATTATGTTAGCCACAAGGTATTTTCATTTTCAAGCCTTCAGTGGAAACTGGTAGAAATTCATCCTTCTATAGATAGAACCAAGCATTTCTGTCTTTTTATTCAGTTAATTGGGCTTTTGTTGTCAAGACAGAAACCTAAATAATTTGGCTTTCATCATCTTTAGAACAGTAAAATTCAGCTATTGAGAGTGATTATGCTTTGAGAAAAAGTTAGGGATGAGGCAAATTATTTCTGAGGAAAATATACTCAAGAGGAATTTTGCCAAAGACAGGATTCTACATCTCCATCTCCTACAAACACATTATTCAAAACTTTGGGCAATTTATTTTATCATTTTCAGTAACTGTAAAATGGGGAGAAGCATTTTGTTGGCAACCTTAATACATTTTTGAGATGCAAAATTGAGATCAAGAGACTGAGTTTAATAATACCTGTCAGTGTCTCAGTGTTACTGAGATGCAGAATTCTCAATTCCTATTCCTGTCTAACTTGGGGGAAAGAATTCAGCCAAGAGACAATTAGTAATGTAAGCAAAAGAGTCATTAAGAAGATAAGAGTAGGCTCCTAGAGAGGAGCAGGTTGACTAGGCTGGGAGCAGCAGCAGTAGCAGTAGCAGTGTTTATTTACAAGGGCAGTATACTCTGAAAGATGAGACAGAGTAGGCTGTTGAAAGAGAATGAGTCAGCAGCCCTGAGAGTTCTGCACTGGGCTTTTATGATGTCTGATTTTTTCCTTGAAGTTCCTACCTCTGTCCTAAGTACCCACCTTTTTTCTTTGTCTGGTTTTCCCACTCCTGCCCTAAATCCCTGCTGCCTTCGTCCTTGCCTAGTTCCCACCCAGGCTTTGTGGGACTCTTTCTCGCTTATAAGGGGGTGTGCATACATGGGCACAGTGTTGGATATGAATTCTACCTCATGGCTGCCTTGCTCATTACCCCCACCCACAGGAAGTTTGAACAGCAGTCAAACCTGTACTTACTGCACCTGCATATCTCTTAAGAATTTCTCCTTTGCCCTCTTTCCATCCTTAGCATCATGGAGCTATCTACATTCTGACAGGTTAATTGCAGAGCAAGTGACTACTGGGCATCTTAAAGGGCATTCCTTTCTGCATAGGTATTTTCCCTCCTCCCTGTTCATACGTAGCAAGAATGTTTTGGGTGGTCTCTGGGGTGAGAGATTTTCCAGACCTCCTTTTTGTCAGGTGCTCCCCAACCCTGCTCATGTCTAGCTATCTGCCTACTCTTAACATCAGGATTATGGACAATTAGATTGTCTCTTAATTCTGTCACATGGTTGTGTCAAAGACAAACAAAGCCAAACACTAGTTAAAGTGGGAAGGGCAGATTTTAACTGGTAATATACCATTGCATAGGGAAGAAGTCTAGGTGTGAACTAAACTCAACTTTGATTTGTACAGAGATGTTTTAAAGAGAGAATGAGGGACTAGAGAAGGTAGTAAACAGGAGCTCAGTAAACTTGGAGAATTGACAAAATTGCAAGGGCTGGTCAGTGTAAATGCTGATGAGCCCAGCTATGTCTATTAAGTGGCAATTATGGAAGTTAGGGTTCTGTCCTCCCACAGAGACTGGGAGACAGAGGCTTTATCCTTCCTGATGATTACATTTTAAAGGAATAGCTAGCAAGTCTTTCAGAAAGACAATCATGAGTTGTAGGAGATACATAAACATCTCAAAGGGACAAAGGAAAGATTTGCAGTTGTAAGCCCTTTTGGGTAAATGCTCTAAGAAAAGATGGTCAGAGAGCCATCTTCAGCTGTCAGCTAGAACAAAGAGCAAACTCTTTTGGTAGCCTTAAGCTTCCTCAGGGAGTCATTTTAAGGAAGGATAGGATAAATCATTCTTGAGATGTAGACTTGAGCCACTAGAAACAATGTTAGTTTTTTAAGTCTTGCAATGTGGTGGCAGGGGAGTGTATGAAATCATTTGTGCTGAGACTCTATGGTTCTTATAGAGAAAAATATAACAAATAAATGTGTACAAAATAAAAGGATTAATATTGTGAATATATAAAAAGTTCCCACAAGGTAATAAAAAAAGTCAAAAGTCTAAGAAAAAAATGGGCAAAAGGAATGAACAGAAAATTCATAAAAGAAGAAATTGAGAAGAGGAAAGTCCCCTCAAAAGAGTTCAGAATTGTACACATGGAGTAAAATAACCTTTTTTATCTATTATATTGGCAAAAATGGAAAAAACAAAAACATCCAGAGCAGGTAAATGAGAGAAGGAATGGATACTATTGTGTGTTCATTGTTGGTAGCAATTTCAAATGTTCTATTTCAGGATATATTTTCTCAACTTGAAATATGTATGTAAGTTTTAACACAGCAGTTTCAATTCTGGGAATTCATCTAGAAATAAAAATACTGTGATGGAAATAGAATGAGTATTGAACAACGACTGTCATTGCAAACCCTTTAGAATAATTTAAATGTCCAAAACTAAAGAAAGCATTCAATAAAATAAAAGAATAAAACAATGCTACAGTTATTAGCCTGGAAGGACTGTTAAAGTTAAAATGTTAAGTTATAGAATATTTGCAGCATGAATCCATTTTTATTTTTAAAATTCTCAGTACTGTCCAGCCGCAGTGGCTCATGCCTATAATCCCAACACTTTGGAGGCTGAGGTGGATGGGTCACCTGAGGTCGGGAGTTTGAGACCAGCCTGACCAACATGGAGAAACCCGTCTCTACTAAAAATACAAAATTAGCTGGGCATGGTGGCACATGCCTGTAATCCCAGCTACTTGGGAGGCTGAGGCAGGAGAATGACTTGAACCCAGGAGGCAGGGTTGTGGTGAGCTGAGATCACGCCATTGCACTCCATCCTGGGCAACAAGAGCAAAACTCCGTCTCAAAAATAAAAATAAAAATAAAATAAAATTGTCAGTGCTGTAACATGAATATATGATGATATGTGTGACTATGATAAGGAAATAGTAGCAATGTAAATAGTTGGGGGGGGGGTTTATGTTCACTTGATTTTTGATACTTTATGTTTTATTAATTATGCAACAAGCATATATTAGTTTAGTAATTCAAATGGCTAATTTTTTAAATATAAATGGTATTTCAGAAATTGTAAAAATAAAACTTAAAATTAAATAAAAAGCTAAAGGTAAATAGTGCAAAATTTTATACTTGTAAGATAAATGACTTTATAAATATCATACTAAAAATGTGAATTTTCTTCCCCCTCTAACTATTTTTATTTTTTCTCTTTGACTTATCACTCTCTGTTTATCTAAAGGCATACATTTCTTCTTTTTTTAATTTGTATATTTATTTCAATAAAGAAGGGTAGGCGGTTTGCCATGTAAAACTTGGTTTATAGTTTTTAAACATGAAAAGCATATGTTGTGTTTTCTCTGATTTTATAAAGTTTGTATTTTAGGGATATAGCTACAGCTTTTATTTTAGTAGGATAAGTAGCATTGCCGGTGGTTATTTTGAATAAATATTTAAAATAAGAAAAGAATAGCATGTAGATCACCTTCCAGAAACAGGCTGGACCTTCCACCACCCCACACAAAATTGATTCAACGGATCTACAATCAGTTGACTTTAAACAAAAAAGATCATCTTTGATATCTAGGTGGGCTTTATTTAATCAGTTGAAGCCCTTAAGAACAAAAACTGAGGCTTCCTGAAGCAGAAATTCTGCCTCAAAATTGATGACACCACACACACACACCAGGAGTGCGTGAAGAGATTTATTACTCACATAATGAGGATTTCTAGAAAGAACGAGGCAGACCACCAAGCAGGTCTTACTGGGGATATAGCTGAGAGGGACCTCTGCACAAGGATCTCTGCACAGGAAAGATGGGGCCATTCAGGATGCTAGTTTGTTTTAGCAGGTGCTCTGAATGCCTGAAGATCTGCCTGAGGTTGGAGTGTAGAGGGCCTCCTTGCACCACAATCTATGCCCAGGAAGGGTACGGTGGCTCAGGCTACCCCAGAAAAGTGGGTGCCCTGAATGCCTGCATTTCTGCCTGGGGGTGGAGCAAAGTGGGCCCCATTGCACCATGATCTCAGGGGAACAAGCTGGGGCACCCAACAATAGCACACATAGACCAATTCCAGGTCACCAAGATGGCCTTGAGTGCAAGTCTCATTGCCCAGGAGAAACTGCAGCTGTACCAGCTCTCTTCCTGCCTCGGGCCTGTGACCAGGAAAAGCATAATTCTAGAGCCTACTGCTGAGGCACTTTTCACAATTCTGGCTATGGAGGCCCTTACCCCACTCCAGAGCAAGCATTCCAATCTCCAACCCAAGACAAAAATACCTGCCCACCCATGCTGCCAATTCAAAGAACAACTGTATTTTTATGCACCTGGATTAAAAATGGCATCCTGCTCTTGGTCCTGGGCCTGGGAAAATGTCTGCAGCTTTCCCAGTGTCTTTCTCTCTTAGCACCTCCAAGCCTCTCCCCACGTTAGCTCCAGGGCTTGGTAAAAACAAAGTGCTCTTCCTTGGCCTAGCTTGCTTGGATCCCCAGTGGAAAGGTGAGTTGCAGAGGGAGGCCATTTACCTCTCTCATGTACTGGGGCTTCTTCACTCACTTTTCTCAGCCAGATGCCGTCACAGGGGCTGTTTACCTGTGTTCTCCCCTCCAGGATCTAGGATGCCCTTCATAATTGCAGTGGATTCCTGTTTCCCTACTTGAATTAATAACTTGTAGAGTTGATCTTTACGCATTATCTTGCTATTTCCAAGTGGCAAAGACATGCTACAAAAGCCTCTAGTTTGCCATCTTGGGGGAAAAAGAAAAGAAAAAAAAACCCGATGGCATTTTGGCAACTGTTAATAGAAAACTGAAATTTAAATTTAAAACTAAATGTAAATATTGCAAAATTTTATCATTGTAAGATGAAGGACTTTATAAATATCATACCAAAAATGTGATTTTTCTTCAACTTCTAAATATTCTGTTTTCACTTTTTCCCCGTTAGCTAATTACCACCTTTGTTCATTTAAAGGTATGTATTTCTTTTCTTTTTTCATTTTTATTTCTATTTCACTAACAAAGGAGGGTGGGGATTTTTGCCTTGAGAAACTTCGCTTATAATTTTTAAACATAAAAAAGATATGCTGCGTTTCATTCAGTAGGATAAGCAGCATTACCAGTGATTATTTTCAGAATGAATTTTTAAGAAGCAAACATGTCATGTAGGTCACCTTACGGAAGCAGGCTGGACCCCCTCCCACTCACCCAAAATTGGTTCAGATGTCAAAATTAATGACACCACACACCCACCAGGAGGGTATGAAAAGACTGATTACTCACATAGTGAGAATTTCTGGGAAGAACAGTGCAGACCATCAAGCAGGTCTGAAAATGACGTGAGGGAGCAAGGAGTGACAACTGGCTTTGGCTTTTATTGTGGTCAAGGGGTAGGGCTATAAATGAGGGTTCCTAGGCATGGATGACAGCTTATGTGATTTGAACGTCCAACCTGCACCAAAGAAGAAAGCATCTGGGCGTTCTTATGAGCTTGCCCACATCTGAGGCAAAAGAGGAAGAGAGACGGGTGGGCTTGAAAGTTGTTAGTAATCAAACATCAAAATGGAGTCAGACTTCTTATTACAGACATAAAATCCAGTTGCCCACGGACATGAGATTTAGAAAGCAGACTGAAGTGGCACCAGTGGAACACGTTTTCTTCTGACCTAATGGTTTTAGCGGTTGTAGTAATTGAAAAATGAAAAATATATGCTTTTTATAATATATAAAAATACATAAATATAAATATCTGTATATATAAATACATAGTTATATATACATATAGAATAATTATACATATGTATACAGAGATTACTAAACAATGTGTTTTGTTAGGTATCCCATTTAGATACATTGGCATTTCTTGGAGCCTAAAAAGATGTGCTAATGATAAAAAAAAAATTGATTTGTTTAATTGAAATAAGCATAAGGTTAGATGGTTCTGCTCTTTAACGTTACATAGTACTAGCTTAGAAGATGACAGAAACAAATGAAAAGACCTGAAGGATATCTGTTATGTTTTATGTGTCAGTTTGGCTAGGCTGCTTGTTACACAGTGATTTCATCAAACACTAATCTCTCGGTGTTGCTATGAAGATATTTTGTAGATGTAGTTAACACCTACAAACAGTTGACTTTAAGTAAAGAAGATTGTCCTTTTTTACCATAATGTGAGTGGGTTGCATCTTATCAGTTAAAGGCCTTGAGAACAAAAACAGAGGTTTCTGCCTCAACACTGCAACATCAACTCCTGCCCGAGTTTCCAGCCTGCCAGCCTGCCCTACAGATTTCAGATTTCCAGTTCCCTACAATCCTGTGAGACAATCCTTAAAATACTTCTCTTCATAGGTAGGTAGGTAGGTAGGTAGATAGATGATAAATACATACACATATAATACATAGATCCTAGATATGCATCACTATCCATCTATCCATCCATATATCCTATCGGATCTCTTTCTCTGGAAAGCCCTGACTGATATATCATTATCATAATCTGGCTTCTTCTCAGGTCTACTCCCAGAAAGTTATTTCTTAACAGTCTATGTCTATTCTGCTTAGCATCTAATTTGGAAAAAAAAGAATTAACAACATACTGTCATTTAAGTTATTTTTGTCCCATTTCTGGGAGCCATAACACTTATCCAACGTACTCACAACCGTCCTCTTTTCTCTTATCCAAGAAAAGAAAAGTCAACTAATAAAACATATATATTTTGGGGGGTTTCTGATTTCAAATTTTATTTCAATTTTTAATTCTATAATTAAAATATAGATATTATAGGTAGAGCATCCCAAATCAAAAAAATCTGAAATGCTTTACAATCTGAAACTTTTTGAGTGTCAACAGGACTTAAAAGAAATGTTCATTGGAGCATTTCAGATTTCATATTTTCAGATTTGGAATGCTCAATGCAAATATTCCAAAATCCAACATCCACTTCTAGTCCCAAGCATTCTGGGTAAGGGATGCTCAAGCTGTAATAAACATAATCATACCCAGAGAATTATGTGATAAACATCTATGTTTTCATCAAGTGGTCTTAACAAATGTTAACATTTTGCCGTACTCTTTTCAGATATTTTCATTTTCGTTTTTATACATCATAGATAGAGCTGAAACCGGCCACGTTCACTCCCCTAATTCCACTGTGAAGCTCTTCCTCAGAGAAAACCACTATAACAAGTCGATGTTATTTATTTGCATATTTTAAACATGTATTACATAGCTATTGATCCATAAAAACTCCATTATCTTTGTTTTGCATGTTTTTAAAATGATAATATACATTATGTTTTATGGAAGCCAGAATGCCAAAATGGCCTTGTGACCCCTGACCTTGCGCAATCCTCTCTTGAGTAAGGACAGGGGCTGTGAATATGATAGGATACCATTTCCACGATTATGTTACATTATATGGGAAGATAAAGGGATTTAGCAGACACAATTAATGTTCCTAATCAGTTAACTTTGAGTAAATAAAAAGGGAAATTATCCTGGGTGGCCTTTCAGAACTTCTCCCTTCTGTTGTCCTTGAAGAAGCAATATGCCATGAGTTCCACAGAAAGCTGCAAGGAAATGAATTCTGCCAACAATTATGTCAGCTTGAATGAGGACCCTGAGGTTCAGATGAGACTCCAGACCCACCTGATATTCTGCACACAGCCTGTAAGACCTGAGCAGAGGGCCCGACTAAACCATGCCCGGATTCCCGAGCTCATGGAAATTGTGAGACAATAAATATGGTATGCAGCAATATTGTATCAGTTTCCTAGTGCTACTATAACTAAGTACCACACACTGGGTGGCTTAACCAACATTAATATATTGTCTCACAGTTGCTTGATATCAAGGTGCCAGCAGGGCCATGCTCCCTCTGAAACCTCTAGGCAAATCCTTCCTTGCTTCCTCCCGCTTCTGGTGGTTTGTCCCCAGTCTTTGGTCTCTTCTCGGCTCCAATTCTTCATCTTCATGTAATATTCTCCCTGTGTCTCTGTCTTCACATGGCCGTCTTCTTATAAGGACACCAACCATATTGGATGTGGGGCCCACCCTATGCCAGTCTGACTTCATCTTAGCTAACTACATGTGCGGCAACCCTATTTTTAAATGAAGTCACATTCTGAGGTACTGGAGATTAGGATTTCAACTTCTCTTTTCTGAGGGAGAAGGAGGGGGACACAGTCCAGTTTATAGTAAATATAAAATCAATACATGTGTTATTGCATTATTTGCATTTTTTTAGTCAACATGTGTTTTGGAGACTCAGCAATGAAGACACATGTAGTTCTCTTCCATTTATACAGAATTCCCTTAAAGGAATACCCAGGTTGAAGCATTAGAGAGACAACAAGAAATATCATGCACTGTTGGTGTGTAGCCATTTCAAAAGCAATTTAGCAATTCCATACAGTTGAGGTGGCTGTTTGGATATATAGTTTGTATCCTTAATCTTTGGCCTGCTTGATCTAACACTGTTAATACATCTGATTATGCTCTCCGATTATGATTACAATTTTGTCAATCTCTCTTTTTAATTCAGTTGGTTTTCATTTTAGAGTCTTCAAGGAAATGTTGATGGGTACATTAAAATTTATTCCCTTTTCTTGGTGGCTTTACCTTATATTTTTAACTAATGTTCTTTTTATTCCTATTAATTTTTTTAACCTCGAAATTTATTTTGTCAGTTATTTATATGAAACTTAGTTTTCTTTTGGATAGTATTGTCCTGGCATATTTTCTTCTTGTTCTATTCTATTAATTTGTTTTTAATTACATTTTCATAGTATCTTTTCAAAATAAAATATTAGATGCATACAATAATATATTTATGCCAGTTATAAATAAAGCACAATAATGTAGTTTACATCTAGGGACCCAGCAACCAAACCAAAAATTGGAACACCACTAAAACATGCATCAATCCATGAGTTTCTTCACTATTCCAGATCCCTGCTAACCCCAGAAGTAATCATATTAGTGATGTTATTGATAAATCATATGACTTATTAGATTATATATACACATTATATATTAGGAATATTTGATATATACTATGTAACATATTGGCCTGTATATTACAAAAACTGTATGTATAAACTATTATATATGTATAACTAAATACTTATATTTCAAATATATCATGTTTAGTTTTGCTTGCTTTTTTGCTTTATAAAAATCAACAAACGGCCGGGCGCGGTGGCTCACGCCTGTAATCCCAGCACTTTGGGAGGCCGAGGCGGGTGGATCATGAGGTCAGGAGATCGAGACCATCCTGGCTAACAAGGTGAAACCCCGTCTCTACTAAAAATACAAAAAATTAGCCGGGCGCGGTGGCGGGCGCCTGTAGTCCCAGCTACTGGGGAGGCTGAGGCAGGAGAATGGCGTTGAACCCGGGAAGCGGAGCTTGCAGTGAGCCGAGATTGCGCCACTGCAGTCCGCAGTCCAGCCTGGGCGACAGAGCGAGACTCCGTCTCAAAAAAAAAAAAAAAAAAAAAAAAAAAAATCAACAAACATGTTTCTAATGTTTGTTTTTGGTGTTAAATACAGCTGTAATTCAAACATTTTAGTCTGTGTTTCATAATATTGCAGTTCATGAACACATGACTTTATTCACCATTCTTTTATCAATATTTTTGTTTCCACTTTAATTATAAACCAGGCTGTTACGGCTATTCCTTCCTTCCTTCCTTCCTTCCTTAATTGCCAAGCTCATTTGATATAATATTATGGCTATTCTTACAATGCACAAGAAGTTTCTAGAATGTACACTCAGAAATGAAATTGCTGAGTCATAGGCCATGTGACTATTCAAACTTACATGATTAATGCCAACAACAAATTTTTACGCCTATCAAAAGCATATAAGCATTTTCATTGGCTCACAACTTCTCCATCACTTGGCCTTGTCATTTCCTAATTGTAGTCAACTAGATAGGTAGAAAAAATGTCATTACATTTTTATTCTCTGATTATTAATGATAATTGGCAGCTTTTCTTATATTTATTAACCATTTGTTAAAATCTTCTGTGAAATGCTTATTCATGTCTTTCTATATTTTTCTATTAGATTACTTATTTTTTTCTTAAGAAATTTTTGGAATTCTACGTTTACATATTCTTTATAAGACACTATTATATATTTTGCAAGTTTCTTTTTAAAGTTTGTGGCTCATCTTATTTTTCACTTTTTTTAACTTAAAGGTATTTGGTTTAGTTTTAAAAATTCTTTCCTGTCTTAGAATAATAAAGATTATCTCTTATTTCATTCTAAAATATTAATATTTTGTTATCACATGTGTTATTATATCTGGAATTGATTTTTGTACATGGTGTGAAATTCAATGTTATTAATTTCTATATAATCAATTATGCTAGCAACTTTTATTGAATATTTCCTCCTTTCTCCACTGGACTACAATGGCAGCTCTGTTACCTATCCAAGTTGCATATAAGTCTGAGTCTCTTTCTAAGTTCTTTGTCTTTTTCACTTGGTCTATTTGTCTATTTCTGTGCCACTATCTTAATCATTATGACTTTAAAATGGGGCTTGATATTTGATAAGGCAAGTCTTCTCCATCTTACTCTTTTAATTCTCGAGTATATTATTGGCCCTACGCTCTTTTAAATACATTTTAGAATCAGCTTTTTAATTTTCACACACATAGAGAATTTGCTTGATTGTATAAAACCCACAGATTTAGGGGAAATTAGCATCCTTACAATATTGAGTTTTCCTATTCGTGAATATAGTACATTATCTCTTTCAACTCAGTAATGCCAATTTTTTTAAATTTCCTTATACTCTTCTACATACATACTATACACAGTGTTCATTAAAATTATCCCTATATAGCATATATAATTATGTCTATATAGAGAGTTTCCTTAATAAATTTTGAATTTATAAATTACATGTTCAACCTGATTGTTGCTGGCAGGAATTCTGGGGGCCATCTTAAAATTCTGCCTCCACAAGTTCTCTGTTCTCACCCCATTCATAGCTTTTCTAAACAGATCTATGCACAACTGATAACTAAAGAGAGCAAATGCAAACATTTTCAGACCATAAAGTGAACTTTTTTAAAAAAAATAACCATTGAAGTTTAGCTATAATGAAATAATCACTCACTAGATCACAATGTCTGTAGCTTTCTTAACTATTTGATCAGTCTTTGCTATTCCTCTGCTAAGCCACTTACTCTTCCCAGAAGAGTAGCTTCTGTTCTTGCACAACAATGAAAGTCTTCTATTCTGAATTTCAATTAAGTAAATATTATAAAATACGTGACATTAGGCCAATGCCTCTGTCTTTAAAATAATAACAATATTTACTCATCTCTTTGGCAAGCATGCATATTGTGATCATGAATAAAGTATGAAAGAGTAAAGTGGGAATTAATTGATCTTTACCCTGTTTATGTAACTGCAGATATATCTGTTTTACATCAAAAATAGAATCATAAGTAAAATACAAAAGGAGAAAAATTGATTTGATTGTCACAGATACTAAAAAGCAAATGGATAATATTCTATCAGGATTCAAGAACAGTGTTAGCCACTCAATTTTTAGAAGTTCTTCATCCCCTCTAATTCTCAATAGCTAGTAAGTGTCAGCATTAGATCTTAATTGGCAATCAGGACTTTAGTCCAGCAGGCACTGTTGAATTTAATCTGCAAGTGCTGACCTAATTTCCCAGACGTTTGGCAAGTATCATTGTCTTGCTGCTTTCTAGCATACATGGGCTATAACGAATGCCCCTTTAATTGCTGTCCTACAGCTTTGACTAACAGATTGCTCCTGCAAGAGCCCTGCAGGAGAAAAGCCAGCTTGAGAACTTAAGCTTCTACAATTTATAATAAAAGCTTATTATTCCACCATTAATCACAAGTGATTTCTGGTTTTGAATCTAAAATAGAACAGACATGTCCATTTATTCTGTGGTTGCCATGCAGAATTGCAGTACAAATTATCCCGCATATCCTGCTCATGTGGTATCATCGAAGTCCTAATACTCATTACAAAGTTCTTTTGCCAGAGAAATTGTGAGAGTCAAAGACAATATCTTCTTGCCAGTTGTAGAAACTAATGACGTTTACACTCCATTCTTTTCTGCTGGGAAAGCAATGTGATGTAATTCTTTTTCTCCATATCCTTGCTACTCACAGTGTGTTATGTTATGGTCAGGGGACTCAGCCTCATTGGCATCAACATGGGTCCCAATCCAGATGTACTGAATCTGCATTGTAACAAGATCCCAGGTACTTCTCATGCACATATGAGATTGAAAAGCATTGCTCAATGGACCTCAGGAGGCTATTAACCATCTCTGATTATAATTACAATTACTGCTGTAAAATAATTATAACTATTAGATGTAATTGTTAATAATATGGCACTTTTTCTGAGGATCTATATCCTTTAAGATAAGGGCACACAGAGAGGGTGATTTCTTTAATGGCTCAAACCTGGAGATTTTCAAGCGCTATTCAGCTTTGTTCTCTTTTCCCAGGGTTGGAGATAAGGAGCACTCCATCACCCAAGGCACATAAAGGAGTGAATTTTCTGTAGATTCTACTATAGTCATCTTTCTCCATATAATATTTTGCCTTGGTGTTGACCCTACAGCATCAGAGTAGATTCCTATAACACCAAGGTTTCATGGACATTTGCAGAGACTGCTTGGGGAAGAAAAGCAATCTTGAGCCAGTTTAGCCGGGCTGGGTCTAGAGAGTCTAGAAAGGATTGAGCGACTCACAGATCTTCCTGCCTTAGAAGGGGTGGATGTCACAGAGCCCGATGCCTGAATGCATACATGTTAACTAACATTCCCTTCCCAGAATCTGTAGTCCCTCCCCATCTCATTTTTCACTGCCTGCCTAGCAAAGGACCATTTTAAATTCACTATAGTATCAGATGTTTCTAGGCTTGACTGCTTTCACTGAAGTACATAAAATAAACCAATACGTAAAACAAAGTCTACTCTTTCCTAGCTCATTAGGGCCTTCCCACTTCAGGATAAGATCCCTTCTGTTACTTCCCTCCATCTCCCATGAAACCTACTCTGAATTTGCACATTCACATTAATGAATACATGTATAATAAATATCAGTGCCCTAAGCCAGTGGTTCTCAAACTTTAGCATCAGAGTCCCCTATATGGCTTCTTAACACACAGATTACTGGGCCTCATCCACAGAAATTCTCATTCAGCAATGGGGCTACAAATTTTGTACTTCCAGAAAGTTTCCTGGTGATGCTGATACTGCCGGTCCTGGCACCACACTCCAAGAATCAGTGTTATCAAAATGAAATTCCAGGCATTGGGAATAGAATTAGAAGTTATAGACTGGCCAGGTGCTGCATAAATGTCATTTCTGTACATTAGGTTCACCTGGGCCTACTCATGCCCACTAGGTTAGCCAAGGTTCGCCAAGCCCAGGATTTACATAGCTAAAGCAGTGATGTGCAGAAATATCCTTCCTACAGCTAGTTTCCTCAACCAGGCATCCCTTTGTCCAGCCACTTCATGCAAAGACAATAAGTCACTTATACAAACACATTTCACAGATATGGAACCTAACAACCATTCTACTAAGTGTTTATGTTTGAAAGTGACATACAGATAATATGGCTTTCTGCTTCGGATTTTTAATGGGGAAGGCTGGCATACTAATGGCAGAAAATGGTTAGAGTTGAAATTGCACCACTGGTATATTGTCTGCTTGGTCTCTGACACCCACACATTAAGCAACTATCAAAGAAAAGTGGAGGTTTTTTTCCTTTACTAAAATGGGTAAGAAAACCATTTCTCCCTTTAGCAAAGAGAATGAAGAGGGATGATCTATTTTGC
Organism: Homo sapiens; assembly: GCF_000001405.40. Lineage (NCBI taxonomy): Eukaryota > Metazoa > Chordata > Mammalia > Primates > Hominidae > Homo > Homo sapiens. The sequence continues at coordinate 208,582,654 of NC_000002.12, read as the reverse complement.
CATCTAAGATACGTATTTTGAACTATTATATATCCATTAAGTATGTGTTGTTTTCTGTAATAACATAAGAAATTACTGCACTTACTATTGAGTAAAAATATACAAAGTTAAATGTTTTATATGAGCATGATAAGTGCAATATTTTCTGCATTCACTCAAAATAAACTCATTTAACAATTATTTACTGAGTCTGGTATGTGCCAGGAAATGTGCACAGTTCAGAGACTACAGAGGTACTATGGTAATATTTTCTCATTTCTCAGTACTAGGATATTTCTTTTGCCAGAAATGCAGGAATGCCTGAATTCACCCCTGCAAATTTTTCCTCCTTTACTAGGAAATCTAAGCAGTATGTTATTAATGGCAGTACAAATGCTTCAGAGACTGACTCTCAGTTAAAATTGCATTAGAATGTATGGGTTTATCCTAAAAGCATAAGCTAACTTCATTACTTTATCAACCATAGTCCTAGCAGGAAGCTAGTATAAATACAAAAGGTTGAACTATGTTGAATTAAGGGACTATCTACATAGGTATGGACAAAGTTAAGGAAACAAGGGAAAGTGAAACACCCAGGGACTAGCAACCATAGGAAGCTCCTGCCACACATAGGCCTGATAGGCCAAGGGAAAGAATGGGTATTACCAGAATTTAATGAGAACTAGAACTTTTTAAAAAGAGACTGTCTGACTGCAGTTGGAGGAAATTCAGCCAGTGCCCAAACTATGGCCAATCTGGCCAAATTGTCTTTGTTCCTACGAAGGCTGGAAGCAACCTCCTATCAGTGCTTCCCATTGACTAAACCCAACCAGAAGCCCAAGTGGTAGGATTTGTAGATTTGGCCTCCTGAAGCCTGTAGCAGGGCTGAGAATAGAAAATTTACACACTCAAGTCATCCTTCCTCCCCAGCTGTAAATTATGGGAATGGAAATGGAGTTCACGTGGTATTTCCATAAATACCCATGAGGACAGAGAGAGAAAGATACCCTGGCCTCCAAAACACGGGGGCCAACTCCCTTTAACAATTCTGCTGCAATAAATGGGAGATATGTCACAACCAAATGGGCATCCTTCCCTGAGGAATCAGGTGCTGTCTAAAACAGGAATGCACCATGCAGATGTGTAACACAGAGACCATGCTCACTGTAAACCAAGGCTAATCGGTGGCTCGACTCCAACTAGAAATCCCTTCTCTTTTGCTGGAGAGTATGTGAGCATAGGGCTACTGGCATGATTAAGGTGAATTTGCTCCTTTTTGGGGGGATAAATGTAATTAGTAAGTGGGGCTTATTTATGTAAAATATATCAGTCTTTTAAAATCCAGGAAAAAAGTATGGCTATTTTTTTAAAAGCACATAGGTCAACATATGTGGTTTTTAAATTCTGCCTCAAAATATTCCTGTCCTAAGCTTCTTTGGGAAATAAAACAAGAATCTGAGTTATAAAGTAGTTTTTTAAATGGTTTATGCAATATGATCACAAATTAGGCAAACATCTGCAGCAAGGATTCAGTGAACCAATTTTCAAAAATAAAATATTTTGAAAACAGCAGAACTAAGCTGGTCTGTAAACAGAATAACCAGGGGAAAATGTTCTTTTTCACAATGGGTTTTGATACACCGAAAGCTATCGGTTATGTATCACAACCAGTAAATGTAGCAATCAAGTATTGATGCAGCAGATCTGTCTGGCTCCAAAAGCTCCCATCACACACTGTGGCCAGGGCCTCTCCCGCCAGAAAGCTGGGCAAGTGCACGCTCCAGGGTGCTTTGCATGAGCGCAGCCTTGCCCAGAGTTGTTAAATGAACCTCCAAAGTCAGACAACAAGTATGTGGCAGACGTGGGACTGGGACCTCAGGTTTTTAACTACATATCTGCTATGACTAAAACTGAAAATTTTCTTGTGCCTTTCTTATCATCTGTTGTATAAATTTAAGGACTGTGCAAAAAGAAATGTAGAAAATAAGTTCAGGTCATAAAAATATTACGGACATACATACTTACAAAGCAAACAGGGTTTCAAAGTGTGTTTCTTCTCTTTTAAGGTTATTTAAACAGTGATTATTTTCACCCAAATAGGATTAATTAAACTATGGAATCATATTCATTTGCTCTTACCTGTTTTATACTCTGGGGTTCCTACTAATTTTTATTTTGAAAGGAGTTTGATTGCTAAAACAAGAATTTAGAGAGAAATGGAAGAGATAATGGCACAATCAAATCTGTTATTTACAATCTGGAATCATGTGTGTAAATGATTAGTAGTTTGAAATAAATACAAAACACCCTATGATTATGCAACTGTAGGGGGTATCCCAGGAATCTGAAAATACCAAGAATTTACAGCTAATTTATTCTTTTTAACTTTCTATTACAGCATTTACCTAGCAAGTGGTATTCAGTTAAAGTGTGAATCATGATGCACCTGCGGACAGTTGTCTAAATGCCCAGAGTTCTCTGCTACACATGGGATTTTACAAGCATTCAGGTTACTGCCAAGAGAGGAACCAACAAAAACCTCAAAACCTAATAAGCAAGACTCATAAACACTTCAATGTTCTTTTCCCTAAGACCAAAGACCTGTTTGGGGAGTGCTGTTTGCTGATTAATATTATTATGAGCTGTCAAGAGCTCTTCTCACCAGACTAATAATACCTCAGGTCCAGCATCTCTTTGTAAACTGCCAGGAAAAAGGGCTCCTCAAATTCTTCTGTCAGAGAGCCACCCTCTGGAGCTCTGATTTCATTTCTGACACTGATTTATGCTTAATCTAGGCTGAGATTCTGCATTCTACTTGATGAAGACGCTGGCAATTATCTGTGCAAAAGGCAATAATTGTGAGAATTTTATCTTTGTGCAGTTTCTCACATCCCTGACTGTGCAAAGAGAATCCTACAGTTCTTCCCTGGTTCTGACATTTGTAATGCAGAATATGGGAAAGAGGAAGAAAGAGATAGAACTGTGGAGTGCAGAGAGCCGAGAGAGGGAGGAAAAAGGCTAAATGTCATGGCTGAGCTCCCAAGCATGGGGGAAGAGAATTAACAGAAAGTATTCTGAAAGAGAGGCATCTTTCACAGCAGCCTCAGGAGGTGAGAGGCTATGATGAGGAAAAGGGATTTCAGGAGGGACTGCTGAAGATGGGACACCTTTAATATTCTTTTTGTTTTGTTTTAACTTTTACTTTAAATTCAGGGGTACATGTGCCCCGGAACATGTGCAGGTTTGTTACAAAAGTCAACTTGCACCATGAGGGGTTTGTTGCACAGATTATTTCATCCCAGGTATTAAGTCTAGCACCCATTCGTTATTTTTCCTGATCCTCTTCCTCCTCCCATCCTCTACCCTCCAAAAGGCCCCATTGTGTGTTGTTCTCCTCTATGTGTCTATGTGTTCTCAATATTTAGCTCCCACTTATAAGTGAGGACAGGCAGTATTTGTTTTTTTTCCTGTGTTACTTTGCTAAGGATAATGGCCTCCAGTTCAATCCATGTCCCTCCAAAGAGTATTATCTCATTTTTTCTTTTTTTTTTTTTCTGAGATGGGGTTTCACTTCTTTTTGCCCAGGGTGGAATGCAGTGGCGCGATCTCAGCTCACTGCAACCTCCGCCTCCTGGGTTCAAGTGATTTTCCTGCCTCACCTCCCAAGTAGCTGGGATTACAGGTGCCCGCCACCACACCCAGCTAATTTTGTGTTTTTAGTAGAGACTGGGTTTCACCATGTTGGCCAGGCTGGTCTCAAACTCCTGACATCAGGTGATCTGCCTGCCTCAGCCTCCCAAAGTGCTGGGATCACAGGTGTGAGCCACCAAGCCTGGACGATCTCATTCTTTTTATGGCTGTATAGTATTCCATGGTATATATGTACCACATTTTCTTTATTCAGTCTATCATTGATGGGCATTCAGGTTGATTCCACGTCTTTGCTATTGTGAACAGTGCTGCAAAGAACATATGTGTGCATGTGTCTTTATAATAGAATGACTTATATTCTTTTGGGTATATACCCAGTAATGGGATTGCTGGGTCAAATGATAGTTCTGTCTTTAGGTCTTTGAGGAATCACCATACTGCCACAATGGTTGAACTAATTTACACTCCCACAAATAGTATATCAGCATTCCTTTTTCTCCACAACCTCACCTTTTTTTTTTTTTTTTTTTTAGACAGAGTCTCGCTCTGTCACTCATGCTGCAGTGCAGTGGTGCAATCTCAGCTCACTGCAACCTCCGCCTCCTGGGTTCAAGTGATTCTCCTGTTACAGCCTCCCAAGTATCTGGGACTACAGGCATGCACAACCATGCCTGGCTAATTTTCGTATTTTTAATAGATATGGGGTTTCATCAAGTTGGCCAAGCTGGTTTCGAACTCCTGAGCTCAAGCAATCTACCCACCTCGGCCTCCTGAAGTGCTGGGATTACAGGTGTGAGCTACCGCGCCTGGCCTGGACTTTTTAGTAATAGCCATTTTGACTGGTGTTAGACATGGTGGAGGAAGGGGATTAAAACTGGAACCCTTCCTTAGACCACATACAAAAATAAAGTCAAGATGGATTAAAGACTTAAATGTAAAACCCAAAACTATAAAAATCCTGGAAGACAACCTAGGCAATACCATTTAAGACATTGGCACAGGCAAAGATTTCATGAGAAAGACACCAAAAGCAATTGCAACAAAAGCAAAAATTAACAAATGGTATCTAATTAAAGTTAAGAGTTTCTGTACACAGCAAAGAAACTATCCACAGAGTAAACTGACAACCTACAGAATGGGAGAAAAATTTTGTAAACTATGCATCCAACAAAGGTCTAATATCCAGCATCTATAAGGAACTTAAACAAATTTACAAGAAAAAAAAAAACATAAAAAAGTGGGCAAAGGACAGGAACACTTTTCAAAAGATGATATACATGCAGCCAATAATCATATTTTTAAAAAGCTCAACATCACTGGTCATTAGAGCAATGCAAACCTTTAATGTTCTTCAAGAGATGTGAGTAACGATGCATTTCCTTAAATGCAACACTGAAGCCAGGGCATAATTCTGATCAAAGATGATTTACTTTCTCATTGTGCAGAATATAAGGTGATGATCACTGTGCTTATACTAAACACTTCATTAGATTGTGTCTATGGAATGGCAAGCAGCAGACCTTAATCTTCTTATTAATTTATTCCCAGTACAGCTGCAAAGATGGCAGGTAAAAAAGTGGGAAAGAAAAGAAGGAAGAAAGGAAGGAAGGAAGTTTTCCCAGCACCATTTACTAAACAGACTGTCTTTTCCCCACTGTATGTTTTTGACAACTTTGTCAAAAATGAGTTCACTGTAGGTGTGTGGATTTACCTCTGGGGTCTCTATTCTGTTCCACTGATCTATGTGTCTGTTTTTATTCCAGTACCATGCTGTTTTGATTACTATAGCTCTGTAGTATAATTTGAAGTCAGGTAACGTAATTCCTCCAGTTTTGTTCTTTTTGCTTATGATAGCTTTGGCTATTCTGGGTCTTTTGTGGTTCTATATAAGTTTTAGGATTTTTTTTCTATTTATGCAAAGAATGCTATCGGTATTTTGATAGGGATTGCATTGAATCTGTAGACCGCTTTGGGTAGTATGAACATTTTAACAATATCCTTCCAATCCATGAACATAGAATATCTTTCCATTTTGTGGTGTTCTCTTCAATCTCTTTCATTAGTGTTTTATAGTTTTAATTGTAAACATCTGTCACTTCTTTGGTTAATTCCTAGGTATTTAATTTTATTTGTGGCATTGTAAATGCAATTAATTTTTATTTCTTTTTCATTTTGTTCACTGTTGGCATATAGAAATGCTACTGATTTTTGTATGTTGAGTTTGTTATCTTCAAATTTACTGAATTCGTTTATCAGTTCTAATAATTTTTTGTAGAGTGTTTAGGTTTTTCCAAATATAAGATCATATCATCTGCAAACAAGGATAATTTGACTTCTTCCTTTTGTATCTGGATTCCCTTTATTTCTTTCTCTTGTCAGATTGCTCTAGCTAGGACTTCCAGTACTGTGTTGAATAACAGTGGTGAAATTGGGTATCCTTGTCATGTTCCAGATCTTAGAAGAAATTTTTTTAATTTTTCCCCATTCAGTATGATACTAGCTGTGGGTCTGTCATATATAGCTTGTATTATGTTGCAGTATGGTTCCTTCTGTGTCCAGTGTTTTGAGGTTTTCACCATGAAAGGATGTTGAATTTTATCAAATGCTTTTTCAGCATCAATTGATGAAACCAATCATATGGTTTCTGTGATCATATGGTTTTTGTCCTTCTTTCTATTAATATAATGTATCACATTGATTGATTTGCATATACTGAACCATCTTTGCATCCCTGGGATAAATCCCACTTGGTAATAATAAATTATCTTTTTAATGTATTATTGAATTCAGTTTGCTAATATTTTATTGAGGATTTTTGCATCAATATTCATCAGATATATTGGCCTGCAGTTTTCTTTTTTGGATGTGTCATCATCTGGTTTTGGTATCAGGGTAATACTGGCCTCATAGAATGAGTTTGAAAGTATTCCCTCCTCCTATATTTTTCAGAATAGTTTGAGTAGAATTGGTATTAGTTCTTCTTTGAATGTTTGGTAGAATTCAGTAGTGAAGCCATCAGGTCCTGAGCTTTACTTTACTGGGGCACATTTTATTACAGCTTTGGTGTCATGCTTGTCATTGTTTTTTTCAGGTTTTGGATTTCTTCATGTTTCAATCTTGGTAGATTGTGTAAGTCTAGGAATTTGTCCATTTCTTCTAGATTTTCCAATTTATTGGCATATAGTTGCTCATAGTAGCCACTAATGATCTTTGAGTTTCTGCAGTATCAGTTGTATTGTCTCATTTTTCATCTCTGATTTTATTTACTTGGGTCTTCTCTCTTTTTTTCTTAGTCTAGAGAAAGTTTCTCTATTTTGTTTATCTTTTTTTAAAAAAACAACTTTTTATTTTGTTGATCTTTTGTATTGTTTTTATCATTTCAGTTCCATTTATTTCTACTGTGATCTTTGTTATTTCTTTTCTTCTGCTAATTTTGGGTTTGGTTTGCTCTTGCTATTCTAATTCTTTAAGATGCATCATTAGGTTGTTTATTTGAAGTTTTTCTCTTTTTTTGATGTAGGCACTAATAGCTATAAACTTCCCTCTTAGTGGTGCTTTTGCTGTATCCTGTAGGTTTGGGTATGTTGTGTTTTCATTTCATTTCTTTGAAGAAAATTTTTAATTTCCTCTTCAATTTCTTCATTGACCCATGAGTCACTTAGGAGTATATTCTTTAATTTCCATGTGTTTGTAGATTTTGCCCGTTATTGATTTCTAGTTTTATTCCAGATGCTTTATATTATTTCAATTTTTTGAATGTTTTAAGACTTCTTTTGTGATCTAACACATGGTCTATCCTTGAGAATCATCCATGTGCTAAGGGAAAGAATACGTATTCTGCAGCTGTTGGATGAAGTGTTCTGTAAATATCTATTGGGTCCATTTGGTCTATAGTGCAGATTAAGTCTGTTGTTTCTCTGTTGGTTTTCCATCTGAATGCTCTGTCTAATGATGGAAACGGGGTATTGAAGTCTCCAGCTCTTATTGTTTGGGCTCTATCTATCCCTTTAACTCTAATATGTTTTATACATCTGGGTGCTCCAGTGTTAAGCACATATATATTTACAATTGTTATATCCTCTTGCAGAATTGACCCCTTTATCACTATATAATGACCTTGTTTGTCTCTTTTCATAGTTTTTGTCCTGAAATCTATTTTGTCTGATAAAAATATAGCTACTCCTGTTTTTTTTTCATTCCCATTTGCATGGGATATCTTTTTCCATCTCTTTACTTTCAGTCTATGTGTGTCTTTATAGGTGAACTGTGTTTCTTGCAGGCAACAAACAGACATTAGGTCTTGTTTTCTTATGCATTTTGCCAGTCTGTCTTTTAATTGGAGAGTTTAGTCCACTTACATTCAATGTTATTATTGATAAGTAAGAACTTACTCCAGCCATTTTATTATTTGTTTTCTGGTTGTTTTGTAATCTTCTCTTTCTTCTTTCCTTCCTTCCTATCTTCATTTTAATGAAGGTGATTTTGTCTGGTGGTATGTTTTCATTTCTTGCTTTTTATTTATTGTATATTTGTTATTTTTTTATTTGAGGTTACCATGAGGCTTGCATATAATATCTTATAAGCCATTATTTTAAACTGATAACAACTTAATACAGATTGCATAAACAAGAAAGCAGAGGAAAAACTAATAAAAACTCTACACTTTAAATTCGTCCTGTCACTTTTTAACTTTTTGTTGTTTCTATTTTTGTACTACGTCTTGAAAAGTTGTTGTAGATATTATTTTTTATTGGTTTATCTTTTAGCCTTTCTACTTAAGATATGAGTGGTTTACACAGCACAATTACAGTGTTATAATATTCTGTGTTTTTCTGTGTACTTACTATTACCAGTGAGTTTTGTACTTTCAGATGATTTCTTATTGCTCGTAAATGTCCTTTTCTTTCTAATTGAAGAATTCTCTTCAGCATTTCTTGCAGGACAGGTGTCGATGAAATCCATCAGCTTTTGTTTGTCTGAGAAAGTCTATTTCTCCTTCGTGTTTGAAATAAAATTTTGCCGTATATGCTACTGCAGCATAAAAGTATTTTCCTTCAGCACTTTAAATACGTCATGCACTCTTTCCTGGACTGTGAAGTTTCCACTGAGAAGTCTACTGCCAGATGTATTAGAGCTCCATTTTATGTTGTTTCTTTTCTCTTGCTGCTTTTAGAAGTGGGTGACACAAAACACTTCCTTGACTACTCTGGTTGATATGTTACTAGGTCACATGCCCCCCCAAGACTACTGGCTCCAAGCTCAGCAGAGCACAAGTTCTTGCCCAGGAATTGCAGTCCTTGTGGCTCAGGCTACCTTTCAAGTTTATTTAGAATCCTAGAGCACTTTGGACTGCAGTGGTGAGACTTGCCAGAACTCAGCTTCCAACCACTGGGATGGGCAATTTCCCTCTGGCTAGGTTTAGTTTAAATGCTCCCTCTGTGGGCAATGGCTGAGTTCAGCCTGGTGTTGCTTTCCACTGTGACAGGGCAACACTGAGTTCCAACACCAAGTCCCACAATCACTTCACTCTACCTCCCCCAAGCACACAGATTCTCTCTTCATACCAGCTGGTTGCTCTCAGGGAATTGGGGAGGGGGTGGTATAGGCAATTCAAAACTGTCTTTCCTCTCCTCTCAGTGCCTCTTTCAGGGATATGAAATTAAAACCAGGTACTGTGATCACTCACCTGATTTTTTATTCTTATGATGGTGCTTTTCTATAAGGATAGTTGTTTAATTTGGTGTTTCTACAAGGAGAATGATTGGTGGAGGTTTCTATTTGGCTATCTTGCTCTGCTCTGCCTCCCTTCCAAAAGTTAATTTTTAAAGTTTAGAAGTTGACATAAATGTTGATGTTATTTTAAAATTTATTATACCATAAGACACACTTATATTTACACTTTATTGAAATTAGCAGACTATCATCTCTGAAAAATATAATTTTTATAAGTGTGCTATTGTTTTTTGCCATCTTCACTATATATGTGCATGTATATGTGTATACACAGGAAATATGTGACTGTCGTGCATTTTCCAAAGATCAGCATTATAGTTGCTAATAGTTTTGCTTTTCTGGTATTCACTGGGCAAATGTAGTTTTGCCTGGAAAATGCCCAGGTCCTAGGCTAGGTGCTGCTTTTGCTGCCCAGGAGCAAATTCTCCCTCCCTACTCTCTTCATTTATCATAATTTAAATATGCATGAGCCCAATTTTTACAAAATGAAGGTGAAGTACAATGTTTAAAATTGTTTAACTTCTTTATTTTTATTCACTTTTTTTTTTCAGACATAATCTCACTCTGTTGCCCAGGCTGGAGTGCAGTGGCACAATCTAGGCTCACTGCAACCTCCCGGGGTTCAAAGGATCCTCCCACCTCCACCTCCTAAGTAGCTAGGACTACAGGTGCACACCACCAAGCCTGGATAATTTTTGTATTTTTTGTAGAGACTGGGTTCCACCATATCGCCCAGGCTGTCCTCAAACTCCTGGGCTTAGCAATCTGCCTGACTTGGCCTCCCAAACTGCTGGCATTACAGGCCAACTGTGCCTGGGCTGCTTCCTTATTTAAAAAAAATAAAAATAGCAATGTGTCCTAAATATCTTCCATGTTAGTATATAGAATTGTCTAATTCTGGTGAATGACTAAGTAGAATAGTTAACCAGTTCCCTATTGTTGACTATTTTGCTTCTTTATATTTTCTTGTTATTACAAATAATGCTACAGTGAACATCTTTGCACCTATATTGTTTGCAAAGATTCCCATATAATAAATTATTGGTGTTGGGATACCAAGATCAGTTGGGATACTTTCAGTCACAACTAAACATGTTACACACAAAACAATATTAATTACTTACCTCTCTTTATAAGAAATTTGAAGGTGGTTCTAGATTATTTCAGTGCCTCAACTGGATCAGAATCCTGGATATGTGTCTCTGCAATTCTCTTGTCCTTCTCATGGTGTCAAGCTGGCTGTAGCAGGTATCTTATCCATACACAGCAGCCTCCCAATCTGGAAGCAAGTAGGAGATGAGAGTGACAAAATGAGCTCTTTTTGTTGTGACATATGCTTTTTACCAGTAAAGAAGTCCCCAGCAGACACTCTCTTATCTCTCTTTGGGCAGAACTGGGTCTTGTGTCTAATTCTACCTATAGAGAAGCTGGAAGAGATATGAGAGGCAGTTACAAGATTAGAGTTGAGAGTATTGGGAGTGACCAACCAGCAGCTCAAGCTTACTGCCTGTGGTTGTGCAGTATACAATTCTAGGGGCACTGTTCATACCATGAGTATCATAAATTTCTGGTAAAGGCCATAAAATATCTTGAAGAAGGACCATTTTTCTTGTCCACATAAAGTTCTCACATTGTTAGAGTACGCAGTTAACTATACATGAACAGGAGGGGGAGCCTCTGAGAAAAAGGGAGATCTGGAAAATCTCACACCCCAGAGACCACCCAAAACATGCGCGGAAGATAGGAGCAGAGAGGAAGGGAAATACCTATGCAAGAAGGAGCGCCCCTGAAGATACCCAGTATTGCTCACTCTGCAGTTAACGTGTCAGAAGGTAGCTAGCTGCGTGCTGCTAAGGAGGGAAAGAAGGCAAAGGAGAAATTCCTAAGTGATACACAGGCCAGGCGCAGTGAGTATGGATGTGACCACTATACAACCTTCCTGGGGTGGTGGGAATGCACAACACAGACGTTAAGTAGAATTCACACCTAACACCAGGCCGGCACATCAACTGACAGTAAGGGAGAATCCCACTACCCTGGAGCGGGAACCAGGTAGGGAAAAGCAGGGATGCAAGGCAGAAGCAGAAGAACTAGACAAAGAGAAAAGTAGGAGACTTAAGACAGAGGTGGGAACTTCAAGAAAGAGTCCATTATAATGAAATCCTCAACACAGAACTCGTGGGTCTGCTGGCATTCTCTTTCAGCAGCCCGCTCTACCTCGTCTTTCAGAGTGTACTGTCCCTTTAAATGAACACCGCTACGGCTGGGAGGCTCTTTCCCTGCAGTGTCAGCCGCTCCTCTTCTGCAGTACACTCATTTTTTTTCCACAATAAACTCTTTGCTTCCTATTTCTCTTCAACAAAGCCCTCTGCTATCTCTGAACTGTCTCTTGGCTGAAATCTTTCTCTCAAAACGACTAAGAACCCAGGATTACCAAACTTCTCAGTAACAATATGAGTTAGCAGTGGTCTCAGAGCAGCCTCTGCCACAAACTTTATGGATAATTCCAGACTGCCATCCTAAAATCTGAAAACCCTACCCACTACCACCAACAGCATATGAGACTATGAGCTGTCTTCTCCATACAGTTGTCAGCATTGTTATCAATCTGTGAAACAAAATTTTAAATTACATACTTTTATTATTCACGAGGCACATATGTTCTTACATTAATTGGCTATGGGTGTTTCTTCTATGGTTTGCCAATTTATATATTCTGATCCTCTACTCTTTGGGTTTCTATTTCAGCATTCCAGGGGACATCATTTATCCTGATTCCTGTCTCCAGCCTCTTTGTTCAAGGTTACATGACAATTATTTATTTATTTAAACTTCAAGTTGCTTTGAAAGGTAAACTGTTAAGTTTCTGAGAATAGTAAACTATTTGGCCATTTGTGGAATGAAATAGAGTTCCTAGAAAAGAGGTGAAGTTAGGAGGAGAAAATAAATATGCGGGGGAGGAAGCTTGAATATGTCCAACCTCCCCGCCGCCCCCATTCATCACCCCACAGTATCTGTCCCTCCTGAGCTAAGCAGAAATTGCTACTAACAGCAGCCAGATATGGGTGGAGCCTCCGGTTCAGGTGGAGCTCGACAGACAGTAGATGCAAGAAGTTCTCCCCTCTGGACTTGGTGAATCCTAGAGACAAGCATGGGAAAACCCAGAAAAGAAGACCAAAAGGCCAGGAATGCTGAGAAGAGCTTGTGTAGGCTTGATGCATGGACAAAGTGGTGGGGAAAGTTGGTTTCATCCTACATCACATGCCTGCTCTCCACAGTACCCGCAGAAGTGAGAAGAACAGATAAGTTGAAACTTTCCTTCTCCAGCTGACTCCAACAGGGAAAACCAAAGCCTTTTATCCAGCCCTCTATGCTTCTTCTGCCCTCTGGAACTCAAGTCTTTCACCAGCAAAGTATCTTAATTAGATCCGTTTCTCCCAACGTTTGTCTTCCTTGCTTTGCCTGAAACCTGCCATGTCCTTAATAATAATATATACCCTGCAGCTCTCACAAAGGAAGCCTGCTTTCCTCTCACACCTCAGCTCCTGTGAGCTGGAATGGGAAATCTTTCTGAAGGCTCAGTGATGCTTCTGGATCATTTTTCTTTCCTTCTTCCTCAAACATCCAGCTCAATTCAAGCACATGCACCAGACTATGCTATTCCCTACCCCTCTTTTTGTCAACTACTGATTTTGTCTATTTTGGTTTTTGCCCTTGTCTCAATGGCTTCTTTTTTACCATCCTCCTGTTGTTATTCTTATGCCTTGAGCATCCCCATGGAGGTTGTACAGAATCTCAAGCCTCTACCTATTGTTTTTAAGCTTAATCATCCATTTGCGGTCATACCTAGACCTCATCTTCACAAATAACTACACTTCCTCTCAAATCTTGATGTGGGCATCCCGTGAATGAGACATCAGCCCCTCTGTCTTGACAGCACTACTCTTACAAAGTTATTGAAGGAAAGTTAGAGGCTCAACAAATGTTTCACAGGACAAACACCCTGACTTTTCTCTTTTTTTTTTTTTTTTTTTTTGAGGTGGAGTCTCGCTCTCTTTGCTTACGCTGGATTGCAATGGCATGATCTCGGCTCACCTCAACCTCCGCCTCCCAGGTTCAAGCAATTCTCCTGCCTCAGCCTTCTGAGTAGCTGGGATTATAGGCATGCGCCACCACGCCCAGCTAATTTTGTATTTTTAGTAGAGATGGGGTTTCTCCATGTTGGTCAGGCTGGTCTCAAACTCCTGACCTCAGGTGATCTGCCCGCCTCGGCCTCCCAAAGTGCTGGGATTACAGGCATGAGCCACCACGCCAGGCAGGCCCTTGACTTCTTTTAAATGTAATTTATTAGCACTTTTTTAAAAGAGCTGTTTTGCACTTCAAGAATTTATAACCCCACATTCCACCTCCCCTCTCCTGATGAGAATCACTAGATTTCCTATACTTCTTTTCCGAACACAAGCCAGTTCTCAGAGAATATCAAGGTTATAATGGCACATATGGGAAAGTCAGGTGTGGTGGTTATGATCTGCAGGTGATGAGCATGCCCCTGCTTTGTTGCTGCAAAGAAGTTCTTTAAAGTCCTATTCTGAAATTTTGAAATTCTTCAAATTTTTAATATTATTTTCTCTAGTGACCACTATTTCTGCAATTTTTAACTCCATTTTTACGCAAAGCCCTAGCACTAAAGCCACTCTTTTGTTTTTGTTTATGCATTCTTCCTTACCCAGCTGAGATTTTACGGTTTGTTGCTATACTCTCTTCTTCACATTCACTCCTAACTTTCTCTCTCTTCTCTATCATATTTGGACTTTAAAAATCCACCCTGGTGAAATCTCAGTAGCTGTGTGGTTCACCATAGCTGTACCCAAGCAACTGAACATGGCTGGAGAAAAAGATTTTCTCGTCTTTTAGTGCATGACCACAAACCTCAAACAGACACGTAGCACTGATTTAGCAAGCCTAGTATATAATCCAAATGAGCTGAGTTTCTTTCTGAGATGATAATTTGAAAGTTTCTATCTCACCCTTCCTTTTTGTCTTACTCTTACTGATGCCTTGCTTCTAATTTCACTGAAAAAAATAGTACTTACCAGACAACAACTACATCATCTTCCCAAACCAAATTCAGCAACCTTCTTATACATATTCCTGCCTTCCTTTTGGTTATAATGGAAGAAAGACCCCTCATAAATTGGGGGAATAAATGCCAGGTGGGTGGCTTCAGGAACTCTCTTAGTGCTGACAGTGATTTCAGCTGTCTGCAGCACTAAAGGGGTGATTCCTGTAAGTATACTAGAAGAACCTGGAGGACAACTTTCAACTCCGTATCCCTTATAGATTATCAAAGGCTCAATTAGGAAAGAATTTAAAATGTAGGGGGGATTGCCTGGAGAATTTGCACCTGTGCATGTATTCATCCAGCTACATGAAAATCTATTCCTGAGTTAACCAGACCTGTGCAAAGTTTTGTGGCTAGCTGCACAATTACATCTATCCACTTTCATAAAAACGAGTTTTGGTGCTTTACTACCAACATAAACCGAGTGATGTGACAAGAACATCTTCATAAAATTTTCTGCTATATTTACTCAAAGGAGGAGTGAGGAGGCAGCATTTACTTCCTGAAATTGTTTTAATGTGTTCTTTCATTTCTTCCATTATTTTTTCATTTCCACTGCATGATTGCTTTCAGTACAAATGGTATAAAATCTCTTATTTTGAAAAGGAAAACCTTTCTTTGTCCACCCATTCCCCCACCAAATACTCCTTCATTTTTCTGCTCTATGTAAAGCAAAAATCTTTAAAACAATTTTTTCTACTTGCTGTTTCTATTTCCTCTCCATCTGTTCTCTTAAACTCACCCCAATCAAAATTGTATCCACGTACTTCCAATGCAAGTGTTCTTGTCAATGTCACCAGTGACTATAACCTCCACTTGACCAATACAATGGTCAATTCTGAAGGAAATCAAAACATTTTACCCCAACATATATTTCTGTGACATATATTGAAATGGCTGCCACAGGGCCAGCAGACTCAGGTGGGGGAAATTTGCATCTATAGTGAATCCCTCTTAGGGCAGCCAGGCCTTCCTCTTCTAGGCCATTTCTGGATCTAGAAAAGATTAACTGAGAATCTGGAAAGAAGCATTTACCATCTATTCTCTCTGAGGACTACTACCTATGAGGCTTCATCTATATAACAAGGCCACCTATGCTAGCCAAGCCTCTTCCTTTCTCCCTCCCATGAAATGTCTTGCCATTGAAACCTGTTTGGGCCATGCTCTAATTCCCCATTCTTTCCAGAACCTTGAGATTCTATATGAGCTTCTTCACCTCCCCACAGAAGTGGGTCTTCATTCTGAAGTCTCCTGTGCATACAAATAAATTTGTATGCCTTTTCTCCTGTTAATCTATCTGCCTCATATCAACAATTTTCAAATAACTTTGAGGGGGCCCAAGTGTCTTAGTTCTTAGTTTTCAACTTGCTCTATGGTTGCCCACTTCCTCCAAATTTTAAGTTGCCACAGGATCTCAGTCATAGGGCCTCTTCCCTTAACTATCCACATGCACTAATTTCCTTTGGCCCCATACTTTAAAGAGAATGTACTTATTGATGATTTCCAAGTATATATCTCTAGCTTTGATCTCCCTCCTGACCTTCAAACTTAGGTAATCATCTGTCTCCATCAAATGTCCACTTAGACGTCTAATCGGCATTTCAAACTTACTATCTCAAACCTTTAAGAAGTTTCTTCCTTCCCAATTTTCCCCCATCTCCCCATCAATGGCATCTCTGTCTTCCAGAGGCTCAAGCCAAAATCTTTAGGTCATCCCCGACACTTCTCTTTCTCATCTATGCCACACCCAATTTCTTGGCTCTATATACAAAGAATATTCAGAATCCAACCACCTTGCCTGCTACCTCTTTGATCTAAGCCAACATGTCCTCTTGTCCGATTATTTTTCTAGAACCATAACTGATCTGCCTGTTTGCACTTACTCCCTTAAGTATAATCTCAACACAGCAGCCAAGGTGATCCTTTTAGATTATAAGTTAGATCATATCATTTCCTTATCTAACCCTTCCAAATGGCTTTTTATGTAATTCAGAACAAAGTCTTTCACTCTCCTTCTCTACATCCTCACTGGTCTTATTACTGTTCAAAGTACACACCAGGCATGCTCTTACCTCAAGGCCTTTGTACTTGCTTTTTCCTTGGACTGGAAAGATTTTTGCCTTAAAAACCACATAACTTAATCCCTCGTGTTTTTCAGCATGGGTTGAAAACCTGTTATATCATCAGAGAAACCTTTGCTAACTACCAGTTTCTTATCTACCCATCCTCCTCTCTCCCATTTCTCTGCCTTTCTTTTTTTTTTATTTATTTATTTATTTATTTATTTATTTATTTATTTATTTATGACAGAGTATTGTTCTGTTGCCCAGGCTGCAGTGCAGTGGTGCAATCGCGGCTCACTGCAACCTCCGCCTCCTGGGTTCAAGCAATTCTCCCGCCTCAGCCTCCCTAGTAGCTGGAATTACCAGCACGCGTCACTAAGTTTGGCTAATTTTTGTATTTTTAGTAGAGACAGGGTTTCACCATGTTGGCCAGGCTGGTCTTGAACTCCTGACCTCAAGTGATCCACCCACCCTCGCCTCCCAAAGTGCTGGGATTACAGGCGTGAGCCACCGCGTCCAGTCCCTTTCTTTTTTCTTCATAGGCTTATCACCATTTGACACACACAAACTTTTTTAATCTGCTGCTTTGTGATAGAATATAAACTTCATGAGAGCAGAAACTCCTTGCTTTTGTTCACTGTCATATCCCTAACATGCAAAACAGTGCTTGACATATAGTAGTCACTTAAATATATTTTTGGAATGAATGAATCACATAGTATCCCTTTATAAGCATCCAAGAGAGAAATTTTTCTGTGTATACACATTAGCATCACTCTTTCCATTGGCTTCTAGCATTGGAAAGTCAAATTTGGGGTCTCCCTTCAATCTCAATCCCAATTTCATCCCTCCTTTTTATTTTCTTTTATGTCATGACTTTTCTATTAACTTTTTAATTAACTTTCTTTTTACTTTATAATTTTGTAATATTAATTTTTGTTACCTCCCTTTATTCCATCCATTAGGTTTATAAAAGATCAGCAAGCATGTAACATGTTTTATGGTTAATGAATGAGAGAACCATTAAAATCTGTCCATTTTTATTTTGTGATATGCAGAAATTCCAAGAGAACTCTTCAAATCACTCA
Organism: Homo sapiens; assembly: GCF_000001405.40. NCBI lineage: Eukaryota > Metazoa > Chordata > Mammalia > Primates > Hominidae > Homo > Homo sapiens. The sequence continues at coordinate 208,565,018 of NC_000002.12, read as the reverse complement.
TAAGATCCCTTTAAAAACCTTCCAAAAAATTTTTAAAATAATGAAATTAGAGTTAACTTATGTAATTTGGTTTATTTCTGCAAATATCATGGAAAGACCACTTTTAGGGCAGTGTATCTAAACCCTACAGAAATATCAAATTCCATAAATGATCATTTTTCATTAGCTGGAATAATTGCTAATGGTCTCCTATTAGTATTTTCTGTTAATATATTTTAATAATAATGTCAGAGATAAGAGAAAGGTTTTTTCATGAAGAGACACATACACATTTACATTCCAATATTTAAAAAATTATTTCTAATTAGGCTTTACTTATTATCTGGTATGTTTTGTTTTTATTTCTTGCAGGATAGAGGGTTTTTGGTGGTCGGAGGAGAACATATTTGCAAATATGTTGTTTTGTTATTTTTGAGTGAAAAGAACATTGTATTCATCAAACAACTGGTTATTGACTTGATTCAATATTCCTGCCACATTTCAATCAGTTGATAAATAAACTTCTTTGTAAGTCCTTGAAAATTAGACTTTAATGTGAAATGTATTGAAAATGTGGCTGAAGAACAAACAGTCAAAAGAAGAATTATTCTAGAAGTGGAAGGTAAGTGATCATATAAAACAAGCAAAACAAAAGAGGAAATAAAGAATAATTTTTAAAAAATAAGAATTATTCATCAAACAAGCTCCATGAATGATCACGGACCACACTGTAGTATAAAATTATACTCCTGAGTGTATATGTATGTATATGTGTACACAAAGCAAAATACAATAAATAAATTAGATACATGTTGTATTAGTCAGCTCAGGCTGCCAAAACAAAATACCACAGACTGGGTGCCTTAAGCAATGGAAACTTATTTTCTCACAGTTCTGGAGGCTGAAATTTCAAGATCAGGTTGCCAGCCTGGTTGGGTGCTGGTGAGGGCTCTCTCCCTGGCTGCAGATGGCTGCCTTCTGTCTGTGTCTTCACACAGTGGAGAGAGAGCAAGAATTAGTACCAAGGTAACGGGGCACTGCTGTAAAGATACCCAAAAATGTGGAAGCAACTTTGGAACTAGGCAACAGAAAGAGGTTGGAACCGTTTGGAAGGCTCAGAAGAAGATAGAAAAATGTGGGAAAGTTTGGGACTTCCTAGAGACTTGGAGGGCTCAGGAAACAGTAAGATGTAGGAAAGTTTGGAATTTCCTAGAGACATGTTGAATGGCTTTGACCAAAATGCTGAGAGTGATATGCACAATGAGGTCCAGGCTGAGGTGGTCTCAGATGGAGATGAGAAACTTGTTGGGAACTGGAGTAAATGTCACTCTTGCTATGCTTTAGCAAAGAGACTGATTGCATTTTGCCCCTGTCCTAGAGATCTGTAGGACTTTGAACATGAGAGATGATTTAGGGTATCTGGCAGAATAAATTTCTAAGCAACCAAGCATTCAAGAGGAAGCAGAGCATAAAGTTTGGAAAATTTGCAGCCTGATGATGTGATAGAAAAAAAAAAAAAAAAAAAAAAAAAAACATTTTCTGGGGAGAAATTCAAGTCAACTGCAGAAATTTGCATAAATACTGAGGAGCCAAATGTTAATACCAAGACAAGGGGGACAATGTCTCCAGGGCATGTCAGAGACATTCACAGCTGCCCCTCCCATCACAGGCCCAGAGGCCTAAGAGGGAAAAGTTGTTTCCTGGGCCGGGCCTAGGGGCTTCCTGCTCTATGCAGTCTCAGGACATGGTGCCCTGCATCCTAGCTGCTTCAGCACCAGCCATGGTTAAAAGGGGCCAAGATACATTTCAGGCCATGGCTTCAGAGGGTGCAAGCCATAAGCCTTGGCATCTCCCATGTGGTGTTGAGCCTATGGGTATACAGAAGTCACAAACTGAGGTTTGGGAACCTCTACCTAGATTTCAGAGGATGTATAAAAATGCCTGGATGTCTAGGCAGAAGTTTGCTGCAGGGGCAGAGCCCTCATGGAGAACCTCTGCTAGGGCAGTGTGGAAGGAAAATGTGAAGTTCGAACCCCCACACAGAGTCCCCACTAGGGCACTGCCTAGTAGAGATATGAGAAGAGGGCCACCATCCTCCAGAACACAGAATGGTAGATCCACCAACAGCTTGCACTATGTGCCTGGAAAAGCCACAGGCACCAAACAACAGCCCATGAAAGCAGCTAGGAGGGGACCTGTACCCTGCAAAGCCACAGGGGTGGAGCTGCCCAAGGCCATGGGAACCCACCTCTTGCATCAGCATAACCTGGATGCTGGAGACATGTAGTCAAAGGAGATCATTTTGGAATATTAAGGTTTAATGAATGCCCTATTGGATTTTGGACTTGCATAGGTCCTGTAGCCCCTTTGTTTTGGCCAATTTCTCCCATTTGGAATGAGTGTATTTACCCAATGTCTGTGTTCTCATTGTATCTAAGACGTAACTAACTTGCTTTTGATTTTACAGGCTCATAGGCAGAAGGTACTTGCTTTGTCTCAGCTGAGACTTTGGACTTGGACTTTCGGGTTTATGCCAGAATGAGTTAAGTCTTTGGAGGACTGTTGAAAAGGCATAAATGTGTTTTGAAATGTGAGGACACGAGACTTGGGAGGGGCCAGGGGTGGAATGATATGGTTTGGCTGTGTCCCCACCCAAAATCTCATCTTGAATTATAACCCCTATAATCCCCATAATCTCCACAGCTCAAGGGCAGGTCCAGGTGGAGGTAATTAGATCATGGAAGCAGTTTCCCCCATGCTGTCCTCATGATAGTGAGTCTCATGAGATCTGATGGTTTCCTAAGCATCTGGCATTTCCCCTGCTTGCACTCACTGTGTCCTGCTGCCCTGTGAAGGTGCCTGATTCCCCTTTCCCTTCTGCCATGATTGTAAGTTTCCTTAGGCCTCCCCAGCCATTTGGAACTGTGAGTCAATTAAACCTCTTTCCTTTATAAATTACCCAGTTTCAGGTATTTCTCCATAGCAGTGTGAGAATGGACTAATACAGTAAATATAAACCAATTCTTTTAAGTGAATATAAAGTAAATATAAACCAATACTTATAAGGGCACTAATTCCATTATGGGGGCCCCACACTTATCATCATTTCATCTAACTTTAATAACTGCCCAAAGGCCCCATCTCCAAATACCATCACATTGGGGGTTAGGGTTTCAACATACGAATTTGGGGGTACACATTTAGTTCACAACACATGTTAACTGTGAATTTCTTATTTTATAAATAAAATGTCAAAATTTAACATGTTTATTTCAAAGGTCTTTTAGAACTGTGTTACACTGAGTTTCACTTTGTGATAGCCAGAATTTTAAGAAGGCCCCCATGATGGTTAATACTGAGTGTCAACTTGATTGGATTGAAGGATGCAAAATATTATTCCTGGGTGTGTCTGTGAGGGTATTGCCAAAGGAGATTAACATTTAAGTCAGTGGACTGGGAGAGGTAGACCCACCCTCAATCTGGGTGGGCACATTCTAATCAGCTGCCAGCATGGCTAGAATGAAAGCAGGCAGAAGAACGTGGAAGGACAAGACTGACTGTGTCTTCCGGCCTACATCTTTCTCCTACATCCAGGAAGCTGGATGTTTCCTGCCTTCAACATCAGACTCCAAGTTCTTCAGCTTTTGGACTCTTGGACCTACACCAATGGTTTGCCAAGTGCTCTTGGGTCTTTGGCTACAGACTAAAGGCTGCACTGTCAGTTTCCCTACTTCTGAGGTTTTGGGACTCCGACTGGCTTCCTTGCTCCTCAGCTTGCAGATGGCCTATTGTGGGACTTCACCTTGTAGTTGTGTGAGTCAATGCTCTTCAATAAACTCCCCTTCATATATACATCTATCCTATTTGTCCTGTTCCTCTAGAAAACCCTGACTAATTCAGCCCCCAAGATTCCCACCTACTGTTGTCCTCACCCAGTATAATCCCCTCCCTTTGAGTGTAGGTAGAACCTCTGAACATGGGATTTCACTCCCATGACTAGGTTAGTAATCAGTTGATTTTCAAGTAATAAAAGGCAGATTATCCTGGGTGGGTATGATCTAATCAGAAAAGCCTTTCAAAGAAGGTGAAGTGTCAGAAAGATGCTCTCCTTCTGACCTCTAAAAAGACGTAAACTTCACTGAGTTTTAAAGCTGCAAGGAAATATATACTTTCACATGAACATGGAAGAGGGCTCAGTCTCCAGATAAGAATCCAGGCCCTCCTGCAACACCTTGATTGCAGCCTTGTGAGATGCCCTGAGGCAGAGAACCCAGTGAAGCCATAACTGGATTCCTGATTCTCAGAAACTACGAGATAATGAATGTGTATTTTTTTGTGTGGTTTGGTTTTTGAGATGGAGTCTCGCTCTGTCGCCCAGTCTGGAGTGCAGTGGCACAATCTCAGCTCACTGCAAGCTCCGCCTCCCAGGTTCATGCCATTCTCCTGCCTCAGCCTCCTGAGTAGTTGGCACTACAGTCACCTGACACCATGCCCAGCTAATTTTTTTGTATTTTTAGTAGAGATGGGGTTTACCATGTTAGCGAGGATGGTCTCAATCTCCTGACCTCGTGATCTGCCTGCCTCGGCCTCCCAAAGTGTTGGGATTACAGGCGTAAGCCTCTGCGCCCGGCCATGAATGTGTATTGTTTTAATTCCCTAGATATGTGATAATTTGCTATGAAACAATAGAAATATAATACCTGTGTTGAATTTGAATGTTAATTTGATAAGTGCAGCAGCCTAAAGATGAAGTTAAAATTTTTAACAGGTTATGGTTAGATAAGGGAAAAATAATTAGTATTGTGATAAAAAGTAATTTAAAGTTTAGATCAGCTATTGAATGGCATTCTATATATTTTCTGACTGTTGATTAGGCAAAATAAAAATCATTGGCATATTTCCATTTTAAATTTTTAAATAATTTTTAAATGCTCACAGCAGGTAAAATATTTTAAAAGCCAATTAATAAATCACAATGTCTCTAATGAATTAGTATACCAATAAACTCATTTCTAAATGAATTCAAATTTATCATAGATTTTATTGAATATTGAGAAACAATAAAATAATTATAATAATTTTGTAAAATAGGGTGTCAGGGTAGATACATTTTTCCAGAACTAAAAAAAAAAAAAGAAAAGAAAAAAATAGCTATTTTTGCTAGTAGGAATTCTCTTTTGGTGGACTCTATATTCGGATTCTTACCTGGTGGAGGGTCAACCCAAAATGGCAGGCTTGCCAGACTGAATGAATTACAATCCTAGCTCTGATTTAAAGATTATAACTTTTAACAGGTCTCTCTTCCAACAGAGTTAGTTTTAGAATTAGGTAATTATGCATAATTCCGTGCACGTGACAGACATTACACCATATAAAAGCTTTTACTCTCTAGAGGGCTAGAGTCAGTTAGGATCAACAAGGAAGTTAAATTTGACAGGCTTCCTAGATTCCAGCTGTGAGCTAATCACAGGTATTTTTAAGGGTCCAGCTCTCACATTTGTTAAAATAGTTCTAAGAAATGTCTCCTGCTGAATACATTCATTTTAAGACAGGCTAAGAACCAACGACACACAAAGAAAATTCTAGAGAAGAGACTAGTTATAAAATAGAACTATGACTCTGACTTTCCCATTTTACATTTCCCTTCTTACCTTTGCTCCTTTCCTATCTTCATCGTGGATATTTCTGGTTTGCATGTGAAAATAGTTCTTTATCATTCATTCCCAAGTATATACAGGTACGTGTGTTCCGCAACACTTCATATACTTGTGATTATTTAATTAATCACTTGTAAATATTTACTTATCATCCATCTTCTCCAGGACTCAGCCAGGTCTGCATCTGTAGTATCTGCCACAGTTTCTCCAGTGCCAAGCACAACACCCAGCACAGAGGAGATACTGTATAAAGACTGGTTTATGGACTAGTCTTTTTTGTTTGTTTGTTTTGTTTTAGAGGCAGAGTTTTTGCTCTTGTTGCCCAGGCTGGAGTGCAATGGCGCGATCTCAGCTCACCGCAACTCCGCCTCCCGGGTTCAAGCGATTCTCCTGCCTCAGCCTCCTGAATAGCTGGGGTTACAGGCACGCGCCACCACGCCCGGCTAATTTTGCATTTTTAGTAGAGACGGCGTTTCTCCATGTTGGCCAGGCTGGCCTCAAACTCCCGACCTCAGGTGATCCCCCTGCCTTGGCCTCCCAAAGTGTAGACTAGTCTTTAAGTACTGCTTTTATAAGGTTTGGTTTTCCATTCAGCCTTTCCTCTGATTTCATCTCCATAAAAAATATCGGTTTGGGCGCAGTGGCTCACGCCTGTAATCCCAGCACTTTGAGAGGCCGAGGCGGGCGGAGCACGAGGTCAGGAGATGGAGACCATCCTGGCTAACACGGTGAAACCCTTTCTCTACTAAAAATACAAAAATTAGCCGGGCGAGGTGGCGGGCGCCTGTAGTCCCAGCTACTCCGGAGGCTGAGGCAGGAGAACGGCTTAAACCCGGGAGGCGGAGCTTGCAGTGAGCCGAGATTGCGCCACTGCTCTCCAGCCTGGGCGACAGAGCGAGACTCCGTCTCAAAAAAAAAAAAAAAAAAAAGAAAGAAAGAAAGAAAGAAAGAAAAATATCAGCAAATAAGAAGCATAACAGTGATTTCCACTGGAACTCAAATTTTTCTAGGAGAGTAGTTCTTAACTAGGACCATTTTCTTTAAAATACTAATTCCCAGGTCCTATTAATCAAAATATCTTTGAGAGAGGTGGAGATTGGGATATAAGCAACAGAATGTTTTAAGCCCCAGATGATTTAGCTAGCATTGAGGACTACAGCTCTAAGCTGTGTTTCCCAAACTTTAACGTGCCTAGAATCACCTGGGGTGACGATTAAAAAGTCACATTTCCTAGTCTCATTGTTTAGCGCTAGATTAGATAAATATTTCGGTTCTCCTCTTCCTCCACACCTTTGCCATGTAAGTATGCGGCACCTTTCCACTGTAAATGGGGCATACTCCCCCACTCCCTGATTTCTTTTGAGCCACATGACCTGGCCTGCTTTGGCTCATAGGATGTTACCAGATGCGGCAGAGGCACAGGCTTGAAAAGCACTTGTGTGATCAAGTCTGCACGCTGGCACCTCTGCTATTACTGAAACTGCCTTTGCAAAAAATTATAACAGTGGGAAAATTATGACAGTGAAAGAGATCTGATCTAACCAATCTTCATCTTGCCTTTAAACTCCAAACTGCCCTTGGTCATTCCTGGGCTTGGGCCAAGCTAACTGTAAGAGAAATTTAATTTATAGTTTAAATGATAACAGCTCTACCCCAAAATTAAACCACCTTTGTAAAACTAATGAAAGATCACCAGTTTAGGAGAATGAGAGGAGCCGGAATTCTGCTAAGATGTAGACGCAAATGATTACCAGGCATTACCCCAGATGTCACAAGATTCGCAACTTACTCCCAATTACTCCTGCAGATAACATCACTATTGTAGAACCCAAGATTGGCCTTTTGAAATGTCTTTTCAAGTTTTTGCATTTCTGATGACTGACTAGCCCCATTCAGGCCCAAGACTTGACTCAACTAGTTCTGTGGCCCCCATCCAGAAGTGGACTCAGTTCACAAGGACCGTTCTCCACGCCCCTGTGATTGCATTCCCTAACATCAGCAACACCCATTTCTTTGCTTGCCAAACTATCCCTGAAAAACCCTGGCCTCTTAATTTCCAGAGAGATTGATTTGAGTAATAAACTCCAGTCCCCCGTTCAGCCAGCTGTGTGAATTAAACTCTTTCTCTATTGCAATTATCCTGTCTTGATAAATCAGCTCTATCCAGGAAGCAGGCAAGATGAACCCATTGGGCAGTTATATTATCATAAGAACAACATGCCTGGTTTAGCAAGCAGGCCTCAGGAGAAGAATGGGACACTGGAGCAGAGCCAAGTTAGTCCAGCCAAACCCAACCTTAATCAGCCACATCTCCTCCACCCCCAACCCCAGTGGGTGATAAAGCCCAGCCAAATCATCAGAGCTGCCAGCCAGTTAGCTTAGATCAGATGGTCCCTGTCAACCTGCAGATATGTAAGCAAAATGCTGCCTGAAATTTATTGTTCATTTGTAATGTAAGTAATAGATAATCAATATAATCTACACAAGAAACTCTGATTTGGTGACTACTTTCGACTGGTTTCCTTTGTTTACGATTGATAGAAAGCTAACCCAAACTCCCTTAAAAATAAAAGAAAATGTTCCGAATTACAAAATGAATAAAAAAGGGAGTCAACACAGCTCCAGGAATGACAGATTCCAAGTATTTAGATGGTACTGTAGGTAATTTGACTCTCCAACAGAGATGCAGCTGGAGGCTGTCATCCTAAGTGAATTAACACAAACAGAAAACCAAATACCACATGTTCTCACTTATAAGTGGGAGCTAAACATTGGGTGCTTGTGGACACAAAGATGAAAACAATAGAAACTGAGGACTACTATGGGGGGAGGAAAGAAGGAAAACAAGGGTTGAAAAGCTAACTATTTGAGTACTATGCTCAGTATCTGGGTGATGGGATAAATCATAACCCAAACTTCAGCATCATGCAATATACTCAGGTAACAAGTCAGCACAGATACCCCCTGAATCTAAAATAAAGGTTGAAATTATTAAAAAGAAAAAGAAAGAAAGAAAGAAAGAGGAACGAAGAAAGAAAGAATCTCTCTGCACCTCTCTGTGTTGGCTTTCTTCTTATGGAGGATCTCTATAAGTGACGAAAAAGATGGCCACCAGGAGCTCCAGGTTTGAATTCTACCAAATATGCCATGCTAGGGAAAAGAAAATACTACTTTCAAGAGAGCTTTAAGAGAAGTCCAAATGCTATAATTTTCATTGGTTCTGAATCACCTAACAATTTCAGAACCGATTATTACAACTCTGATTAACCAGGCTAGTGTATTATGCCCATTCCTTAAGCTGGTGTGGCATTATTCAAAACAAGCCACATGGACTGAGTGTAGGAGGGCTGGTTCTGAAAAAAAAAAAAAAAAAATCTAGGTGCTGTTACCGAAAGGAGAAACAAATGCTGAGCAGTCAAAGTTAAGGGGTCCACAGCAGTAAGTCTTGAAGTCTTGGTTGGGGATAGCACACCAGGTGGTTCTACTTTGTGGAACTCCAGGAGCGTATTTTTAAAGATCATTATATAATGGATAGGATACTCCTACTTTTAGGAATACTCAGAAGAGGCATAATGTAGCCAGTTTAAAACAAAATCACAAACTGTTTTATATGCCAAATTCATTAAGAAATCCTGGGAGTAATGATTAAAGATTTTATGATTTTATGGGATTTTATGATTCAGGTGTTGGGATGCTCTAAATTCTTATTTCTTGGTCATGTCTTAGGCTTTAGAGAGTTTATGTTTGTTTGTTGTTTTGTTTTTGTTTTGTCTTATTTTTTATTTGTTCTTGATTAGTTTTCGTGGACAGAGAGAGGATGGTGAGCCTCTTTATTATCCTGACCACTAACATGTAGTTTTGCTACATTTGGTAGGGCAGCTTGTTTCTCTCTCCTTGACTCAGAATAACCACAAGTTGAAAATCAAGCACTAATGCCATTCAGAATGGAATTTCTATTGAAAGACCCATGGGTTGAAATCCTGGAGTCACAAGCCTAACATACTAGTTCATTTCTTCATTCACTGGAGAGACTAGTTCTTCTGTTTCAATAAAAGGGTAAAACAAAAAAGAAGCAAAGAATAAACAACTCTCAGGTTAGATTAAATTCAATTAATAAATGGCTTCTCCACAGCAAACCCACGTTGCCCAGCAACAGCATTCACTTCCCTCCAGTTCTATTTTCTTCATTTCAAACCTAGACACCAACCTAACTTTCTTCCTATCAAATGTCACTCAATCAAACCTTCTCTTGAATTGTACTTTTAAGTAAATGATGTCTCATTTAAGATTAAATAAAACAGAAAATTTTGAAACAATTTTTACGATGCTTTTTAAAACAAAAAATAAATGAGACAATATAAATATCAGTGATTCACCTAAAATTATTATTCTCTAGAGCAATGACACAATGTTTCATCAAAAGTCCTTTTAACAGTTGAGTGGAACTAAACAGTGCTATATTCATTGTCATAACTGATAGGCAGCTGGGGCTATGGGACAGGTACAAGCTGCCAGATTCATGATTTATCTCTACTGTTGCATATTATTGATCAAAAGAGAATCATGGAGTCGACTCAGGTTTGAGGGAAAGGGATTACACAAGGCTCAATTAACAGGAGTCAATACATAGTCATTTTCAAAAATATGGAACAGTAGACATATAGCAGATACTATTCCATAGCAATTCTGAAACCTAAATGGACATATGTCACTAATTCCTCTAATGGACCCCTGTTCTGCTGCCTAAGAGTGGTTTTTCATGGTTCTTTGCTTGACCCTTGGCTCCTGGCTTTGAACTCTGAGTTATTCTTCCTTTTCCATAAAAGATGGCCCACACTTCCAACTAAGTAACTGTCTGTCTACATTTCTTCCTGACAGTTGAGGTTCCAGAGGCCTCTGTTACTTTGCACCCATTAAGGTGATTGCTTGTGTTATAAAGTTCTAAGGATTCTGACAAATGGATAGTGTTATTTGTCCACCATTAAAATACCATACAGAATAGTTTCACCATCTCAACAAATCTCCTATGCCTCACCTATTTAATCCCGCCTACTCCACACACCCCTGGCAACCATGGATTTGCTTATTTTGTCTCCATAATTTTGTCTTTTCTAGAATGCCATATATATGGAATCCTTTTCAAACTGTTTTTTTACTTAGCAATATGTACTTTTTTACTTAGCAACATGCACTTAATATGCATTTAAGTATTTATCATAATTTTACATGACTTGATAGCTCATTCATTTTTGGAATGACTAGTATTCCATTATAGGATATACCACAGTTTGGTTATCCACTCATCTACTGAATGAGATCTTGATTGATTCCAGTTTTTGGTGATTATCATAAAGCTTCTATAAACATCCACATGCAGGTTTTTGTGTGAATGTAGGTTTTTCAGATCATTAGGGTAAATAGCTAGGAGCACAATTGATAAATCATATGGCAACACAAAGTTTAGCTTTGTAAAAACTGCCAACTCTCTTGCAAAGCAGCTATAACGTTTTGCACTCCCACCAGCAATGAAAGACAGTTCCCATTGCTCTGCATCCTCACATGCAATTGATATTATCATGTTTCTTAGATTTTAGCCATTCTAATAGGTGTAGAATTGTATATCATTGTGGTTTTAATTTTTATTTCCCTATTAACAAGTAATGTTGAACATCTTTTCATATGCTTACTTGCCATCTATATATCTTCTTCAGAGAGGTGTCTTTTCAGAACATTTTCCTATTTAAAAAATTGGGTTTTTTATTTTTATGTTGTCAAGTTTAAGAGTTTGTTGTACATTTCGGATACAAGTCCTTCAGCAGATATGAGTTTTAGAAGTATTTTTTTTCCTGTCTGAGTTAAAAGACAACTACATGAATGTCAGCAAAAATGATGAAATAGGAAGCCCTGGAGTCCTCTTTCCCCCATGAACACACCATGGAATGTGTGTTCAATAATGAAACACAGATTTCTTTGGTGAAAAATCCAGAAACTGGTTGAGTGGCTCCCATGCCCTAAACAAGTGTGAAACCAGCCACATTGAATCCAGTAGGGAAATTTGAGATAGCTGCTCACCATAATTCCTATGCTCTCCTGAGCAAAATATGATCAGGAAAAAAACTCCCAAAATCCCTGCTTCACTCTGAGAAGGGAAAGAGACCATACATCAAACACTGCAACTTCCCTGCATAGTCTTCAGAAGACTGGCTTTGGCTTGTGTTTCTTGGAGTGCTGACAGGAACTGACATACTCTAGCTGCCTGGTGACTGGTGATATCAGAGATAGTAGTTTGAGAGGACAATCACCATAGCCTATATCCTCAGGCACATAGAGCAAGCAAACAAAAAGGTACACCTCCCAGCTTTCCGCTGAAGGGAGAAAGAGTTGGATCACACATCCATTGCTCCAACTTTTCCAGCAGGTGCACAAAGGGCTTACTTCTGTATTACCTATTTTGGAGTACTGATGTATCCAGCATACTCTAGCCACCTAGGGTCCAGTGAGATTAGAGATGGTGGCTCAAGCTAGCAGTAATAATATTCCCTCCCCATGGCTCAGCACATAGTAAGTGGATTAAAAATCTCAGCTCTCAACTTTTTCCCGGAGAGAGAAGGAGATGGTCTACGTACCCAACATCCCAAATTTTCCAGGAGCTGTCTGAGGAACTGACTTCAGTCTCACTTGGCTGGACACACTGATGGGACCCAACATACCTTTGACTCCTGGGAGATGCTAAGAACAAAGAGCAAGTTGAACTAACATGAAGATACAAACATCCCCAGGATCTCTGGTTGGGTTGATTGGTGACTTCTCCTATACAAGTCCAGTTCATAAAGACTGGGAGAAGTCATAAAGAGTATGTATTAGAGATATATCTAATGTGCAGATAACAACACAAAGTGTCAAAGAAAATGAAGAAATAGAAAAATATTTCCCCAAAAAAGGAACAAAATAAATCTTCTGAAACCAACCCCAATGAAATGGAAATATACAATTCATCATATAGAGAATTCAAAACAATGGCCATAAAGGTGCTCAAAGAGATCATGAGAGCAATGCATGAACAAAGTAAAAATCTTAATAAAGAGAAAATAGTTTTAAATATCAAAAATCTTGGAACTAAAGTATACAATAACTTAATAAAAAAATTTACTAGAGGGGGTTCAACAGCAGACTAGAACGAGCAGAAGAAAAAAATCAGTGAGACTGAAGACAGCTTATTGGAAATTATCCAGTCAGAGAAGCAAAAAGAAAAAAAGGATTTGAAAGTATAAATAAATCTCAATGGGCTTATGGGACACCATTAGTGGATCAATATTTGCATTTAGGGACACCCAGAAGTAAAAGGTATGGGGGAAAGATTATGTTTAAATAAATAACAGCTGAAAATTCCCCAAATGTGCGGGAGGTGGGGAATGTACATCCAGATCCAGGAGGCCCAATATATCTTATATAAGAAGAAGCCAAAGAAATCCACACCAAGACACATTATATCAAATTGTCGAAAGTCAGACAAAGAGAGAATTCTGAAACCAGCAAATAAAAAATGATTTGTCACATATAAGGAAATATCAGTAAGACTATTAGTGGATTTCTTGCAAAACTTTGCAAGCCAGAAAAGAGTGAAATGATATTTTTCAAATGCTGAAAGAAAAAACTGCCAACCAACTGTCCTTCAAAATGAAAGAGATACTTTCCCAAACAAAATCTGGGGGAGGTCATCACCACTAGACATAAATGGATAAAGAAAAGATGATCTGGATGGCTGGGTATGGTGGCTCATGCCTGTAATCCTAGCACTTTGGGAGGCCAAGGCAGGCAGATCATGAGGTCAGGAGTTCAAGACCAGCCTGGCCAATGTGGTGAAACCCTGTCTCTACTAAAAAATACAAAAATTAGCTGGGTGTGGTGGTGGGCACCTGTAATCCCAGCTACTCGGGAGGCTGAGACAGGAGAATTGCTTGTACCTGGGAGGTGGAGGTTGCGCTGAGCTGAGATCTCACCACTGCACTCCAGCCTGGGCAACAGAGCAAGACTTCGTCTTTAAAAAAAAAAAAAAAAAACATGATCTGGGCTGGGCACGGTGGCTCACACCTGTAATCCCAGCACTTTGAGAGGCCAAGACATGTGGATCACGAGGTCAGGAGATCAAGACCATCTCCTGGCCAACATGGTGAAACCCTGTCTCTACTAAAAATACAAAAATTAGTTGGGTGTGGTGGTGGGTGCCTGTAATTCCAGCTACTCGGGAGGCTGAGCCAGGAGAATCACTTGAACCCGGGAGGTGGAGAATGCAGTGAGCCGAGATTGCGCTACTGTACTCCAGCCTGGTGACAGAGCAAGACTGTATCTAGGAAAGAAGAAAGGAAAGAAAGAGAGGAGAGGAGAGGAGGAAAGGCAGAAAAAGAAAGAAAGAAGGAAAGAAAGAAAGAAAGAGAGAGAGAGGGAGGGAGGGAGGGAAGGAAGGAAGGAAGGAAAGAATCTGTACATACAATGAAATATTACTCAGCCTTAAAAAATAGAGAAATCCTGCATTATGTGACAACATGGTTGGACCTAGAGGACATTATGCTAAGGGAAATAAGCCATTTACAGAAAGATAAATACTGTATGATCTCACATATGTGAAACCTAAAATAGTTAAACTTGTAGAAGCAGAGAGTAGAATGGTGGTTGCCAGTGGCTGGCGGGGAGGGAAAATTGGAAGTTGCTATTTAAAGATATAAGGTTTCATTTATGCATAATGAATGAGTTTTAGAGATTTGCTGTACAATATTATACATATAGTTAACATTACTGTATTGTACATTTAAAATTTGTTAAATATAAAAATATGTTAAATTTAAAACACAACAGAAGAAGGCAATTATAAACACTAGTTTATAAGCCTAAATGTTAAAGATATAGCGGGTATAAAATTAGTAGCACAAGTGAGGAGGAAATTGAGCTATATTTGAGCAAACATTTTATATATTATTGAAATAAAGTTGATGTTAAACTGAGCTAGATTGTTTTAAGTTGGGATTTTAATTATAACCACCATAGCAATCACCTAGAAAATAACTAAAAATATATATAGTAAAAGAAACAAGGGGACTCAATGAAATATAAATCCTCTGTATAATACCAAAAAAGGCAAAAATAGAGAAACATTGGAACAACGAAGATATAAGACATATAGAAAACAAATAGCACAATGGCAGACATGAATCCTGCCTACTGCATGTATGATGGTGGTCCCATAAGATTATAATATATTTTTACTGTGCCATTTCTATGTTTATGTTTAGATAGACAAATACCTATCATTGTGTTATAATTGCCTACAGTATTCAGTAGAGGAACAGGCTGTACAGGTTTATAGCCTAGGAGCAATAGGCTATACCATACAACCTAGGTGTGCAGTACACTATACCATCTAGTTTTGTGTGAGTATGCTCTATGATATTCACACAAGGACGATTGCCTAACAATGCATTTCTCAGAATATATTGTTGTCAGTTGATGCATAACTGCATGTTACCTTGTGTTGAAAGACAGTATGGTATAGTGTTTAACAGCACATTTTATGAATTTAGACTGGTTTGTATTCTTCTGGCTGTGTGTTATAGAGAAGGATTACTGACCTCTCTGTTCCTCATTTTTTCTAATCAGTAAGACAAAAATAATGATGATACCTATTTCATGGGGTTGTTGGTGAATTTAGAAAGTTAAATTTGAAAACTTTGAACAGAGACTGACATACAGTATGCCCTTAATAAAAGTTTTCTACTCCTAGTTACCTATTATTAAGCCCTGAATTAGGGTTCTCCAGAGAAATACACACACACACACACACACACACACACACACACACACACTCCACACATCTGAAGAGACTTATTATAAGGAATTATAAGGAATTATGGAGGTTAAGTCCCAAGATCTACAGGGTGAGTTAATAAGTAGGAAATGCAGGAAAGCCAGTGATGTAGCTCCAGTCTGAAGGTTAGGAGGCTTGAAATTGAGGAAGCGCCAATGTTTCAGTTCATCTGAAGGAAGGAAGAATTATCTCTTACTCTGTGGAAAGGTCAGCTTCTTTGCGCTATTCGAGACTTCAGTTGATTGGATGAGACCCACTCACATTAGAGAGGACAATCAGCTTTACTCCAATCTCTCTGATTAAAATATTAATCTCACCCAAAACACCCTCACAGAAACACCTAGAATAATGTTTGACCAAATATATGGGCACCCCATAGCCAGTCAAGTTGAAATATACAATTAACCATCACAAGACCTTGGACTGACCTTTACTTTGAGCAAAAATAGAACTACTCCTCCATTTATCAGAGAGACTTCTCCCCAGTCACTCTGCTGAGGTTTCTTTCCTGTTAGTAGACAACTTTTTTATAGGATCTCTTCGGTTTCTGCACAGCTTACAAGCAGAGGCACTGACATTTTGTTCTAGGATATCTTTTCAAAGATTCTGCATGGCAAACAGCCTTGGAAGATAAGATAATGTCTCCATCTGGACCACAGGGCTGATATGCCTACTGTTTGTTATAAAAGATTTGAGCTGGGCCAGGCTCAATGGTGCACGCCTGTAATCCCAGCACTTTGGGAGGCTGAGGTGGGTGGATCACCTGGGGCTGGGAGTTCGAGACCAGACTGACTTACATGGTAAGACCCCATCTTTACTAAATACAAAAAAAAAAAAAATTAGCCGAGTGTGGTGGCACATGCCTGTGATCCCAGCTACTCGGGAGGCTGAGGCAGGAGAATCTCTTGAATCCGAGAGGCAGAGGTTGCAGTGAGCCAAGATCACCCCATTGCACTCCAGCTTGGGCAACAAGAGTGAAACTCCATCTCAAAGAAAAAAAAAAGATGTGAGCTTAGGCTCAGGGTTCTCCTCCTGTGATGCAACCTCCTGGTATGCAGGCTTTCATCTGGGCTCATACACATCACCCCTCTGGGGCTTGGGGCTTGGGGCTTGGGGCTTGGAGGCAAGGGGAACTGATGCAAATATTTTGATATCATAATAATAAAGTCCTTTGTCTCTGCCTCAAGAGGCTCCTGTTTATGATAGCAGCCATGAAACTGGCAGGCCACCTTGTCAGCTTGCAAGTAGGATAAAATCTCATCTTTCACAGTTTTTTAAATTCTCTTTTTAAAAATTTACATTCTCACTCTTTTTTCCCAGCCTCTACAACCATGGAATATGACTACCCACATTAGTGAATCACCCCTTCTGAAGTAGATTTTCCTTTTCTTAATCTATGTACTTTTACAGGCACCATCTTATCCCTCTGGGGTCACTGATGATCTACGTCTACAAACTTAGTGTTATGTAGGTTCTGAGCCAATTCCAGACTTGAATAGAAGGATGTAGCAGCTTCAGGCCATTATATAAACATTTATTTAAATGATATTTTAACCATTTAAATATTCAGAGGAAAAGAACTTTGCTCCTTTTAGAAACGACTAACCCTTCCAAAAACTAGCTAGATATTATAAAAAAGATGTTTTTATCATACATGAAAGATAAAAAGGAATAAAAATATAATTATTTACTTTGTAAGTATAAATCATAAGTGCTGAATAAGAGAAAATCATCATGAGGACACTGGTATATTGCAATGATGACCCCAACTCTTCATACCCACTATCTTTCATATTCACTCCAGTTGCCATATGACTTTGTAGTTCCTCTTGCCAAATAGGCTAAACATACTCCTTGAGTGCGTTCTGTCCTTATGCCTTTCTATGACCTTGTCTATTCATGATTATAAATATTGGGTCAATAAATCATTAGTCTAGATTTGAACTATTTATGTTACTCAAAAACACAAAGATTCCGAAGCCCTTGTCTTCAAGAATCTATGTTACACAGTGTGAAACTTTCCCTGGGCTCTTAGAATGATTCATTTCCCTTTCTTTTTTTTCTTCCCTGAAGGAAACAAAGCACAGAGAACTTTGACTCAAATTTTGAATCATATAGTGAATTGATTAATGAGAAATCATTGCCTTTGGCATAGAAACTCACTGGTCACGTAGGTATCAAACACTTAAGAGGTAAAATGGATATCAATGTCTTGGGATATGCAGCCTGGCTTACTTTCCTAGATAAGAAGTAATACCTGCATCTCTGTTTTGTAAGGAAGTATAAATGATAAAAGAAAATCAAATGTATCCAAAAAAGTAATTTCTAAAAATCCACTGATGGGGATAATAGCATTGTTGATTTCAAAATTGGCCCGTAAGTATTTCCTCTCTGCTCTATCCAAACTCCAGTGTAAATGAATAACCTTGACCAACCCCTTTTATAAAAAGCTTATGATGTTTACTAGTAGAAAGTCCCAATCTATAAAATGTCTCTTAGACACCTAGATTGTTTCATGTACATAAACCTACAATTTTTTGGATTCGTGGAGTCTGTCTGGCTGGAGAATGTGGTAGCCATGTAAGCTGTGTGATTAGTGAAGTATAGAATGGAGGTGCTCCAAAGCAGAATATCTCTTTCTGGGAACAATGTTTCTGTATACATTTCTCAAGGGTTCTAAAATCAAAACAGGTAAAGCAGAAAAAAGAGGACACTGGGGACACTGAGTCTTATGGTTTCAGGATCCTCTAGGAAATGAACATTTCATCAATGCCCAACCAGTTAATTATTATAAAATGTGATATTGGGTAAGCTGACATTTCATATGACTTTTCTTTGACAATTAACATGTCATATTGACATGCAAAACAATTTAAGAAATACAAAATAATGAAATATAAGTTTCAGCACTACTCAAAGTATCATGTAAACATGTCTCAAGGTCCACCAGGAAAAAGGTACACTTTTCCTGTCTCTTTGGGGGATGCAGCCAGTTAAAACTTTCCTTTTCCAATTTTATAAATTTTGATTGCACATAACATGAAAATAATTAGTGACAAAAACAGCAACATAAATCAAGGAAAAACATTCTACATCACATTTGGTAGTGGTCTAACAGAAATTGTGTTTGATCAACACAAAATTAACTAACAAGGTTTTTAAATTATCATCATTGTAAAGCATGTAATTAATGTCAGTGAGTAATTGCAATTTTATCTAATGTAAACAACATGTAAGATAGTGAGGTACTTTATGAGTAACAGAGGTCAATGGTAGAGAGAAAGATTTATATTTAAAGTCTTTGAGATGATAAAAACATAAGAGTAAATTAAATCCCAAAAAGGTCCAGCATTTTGGTATTTTAATTACTGGTAAATACTTATGTTTGTAAAAAGCAGCGGTGTCTTAGTTTTTCAAAATATATTTTGTTTGGGAGAAAAACTAAAGGTAATACAAAAAAACTCCCTCTAGATTGGTAATCAAGAGACCTGGAGATTTTACTCCTGCCTTAGCTGCACACAAAATGTATGTTCTTAGATGGGTTTTTGCCTTAAATTGGGTTCCCCCAGAATCAAACCCTGAGAAAAGTATTTGCAGGCAAATTGTTTATTAGAGGGGATCCCAGGAAGCACTTCTAGGGGCGTGGGGAAGTGTGATAGGGAAGGGAAGGAAGACAACAGAGGGGGCGTTATTAAGCAGGTTACTCCCCTGTGCAAATGGGGTCAATCCTGCTGAGGAATTTTGGTAGACTGTGTAGAACACACCTTGGAGTTTATTCTACCAGGCAGGCAAAGAAGCTGGGGTATGTATTCACCAGCTTCTGTCTTTGCTTAAGTCCTGCTCCTGGGGTGAGTTTACTCCCCAGCGCTCCCAGCAGTCAGAAAAAGCCTGCAAGCAAACAATCGCAGGTGCCTCCAGCTGGAAGCCATGTGATTACTGTACACAGGAAAGGGTACTCCAGAGGAGACATAGGCAGGCAACTGACAGCCTCTGCTACAGGTTTTTTACTTCTGTGGTCAGTTTCCTCACCTGTAATGTAGTAGTGGTATTGCTGAGTGTACCTACTTTTCAGTTAATGTGAGGATAAATATGATGCATGTAAAAGATGTTTATAAAGTTTTGACTTGAAATTCACATTAAATAGCACATGCAATATTAATAAAAAACAGCTAGATAATTCCTAGATCTCTTTCATGTTTGCATTATATGATTCATTGCTTTTCCCATAAACTCCAGACAGCTAGGACTGGTATAACCTGAAGAATAATACAAACTAAATTGAAAAGGTATGTATATGATTCTTACTGATAGGGTTTTAAATTTTATATTAGTAATCCATCTTTTACATGTGACATCTGGAAACATTTAACTGCTACATCCTGGTCAAATGGAAGCTATCTATATGTTTGTGATTTATTCCCATCATTTTAAACAAAAAAAAATTTTTTTAATCTGTATCAAAGAGATTGGTATCTTGAGTTGCCTTTCTGTTGCTTATGTGACATTTAATAATTGTCTGGAAATACATTATTTATTCCTAATCAGAACACTTTCATCTCTACCACAGATATTTGCAGTCTCCCTGAATTTTGACACATAGTTTTTTGGTAAGTAATCTACCTTATAATATACCTATGGTGTCAGCAACTGACGGGTTTTAGGATTCTGAATCTCTAGGCAAACACGCTGAAAATTAGGGTTTAGTCATGGCAGTTTTAGCTTCTTTTCTATCAAAATAGACTATTTTTATTTATTTAAACAAACAAGAAGACAAAATATATATTACTGTTGCATGTATTTGTTTTTACCTCTAACTTTAAGTAGAAATGATGGCTCCTTTGCCATTTTCCTATTACATTTTTATTTTTTACTTGATTCTTTCTTGAAGTGCTTTGGATTTTTTTGTATATTCAGAAATATATAAAATTAATTATAAGAATTACTTGTCTTTAGTATGAGTTGCCAATATTCACTTTCTGCTTCATCATCGATCATGCAGTACAGATTACTTTTGTAATAGAGAAAATTAGCCTTTACTTTGAGTCGTTCTGGCCTTTATATCAGTTAGAAAGACCTTTTTTACTTTGAATAATAAAAAAATTCCCCACATGCTTTAACTTTTTAAATAATTATTTGATCAATTTTGACTTTATTCTAGTATAACATATGACACAGGAATCCTATATTTGCATTGTTACCCAGAGTCATAGTTTTAAAGTTTGTTCCTTTTTATCTGATGGTTGAATACACAATTATTCATGTAAAAGTAACACAGTAAAAGGGATGCTGTTTTCACAGCCTTCATGTCTCCCATCTTTGCTTCAACAGTGTTATGATTATGAAACCTATGCAATTAATCATTAGTATTAACACAGCCATCTTTTACCATTTTCTAGTCATTCATTTTCACTGAATACTAAGGTGAAATGAACTAAAACATTCAAAACCATTGCTTCAGCAGTAGTATTATAATGCCGGCACTCTTAATTATTCTCAGGCAGATGCAACTCTAATTCTAAAAGTACACAGGAAAGTGTTTCAAATGAACTATAAGTGCAATAAAACAAAACTCTGGGATTCTGTTAAATATAAGTAATTCCTCCACATCAGAGAGAAATGAGTTTCCCACATTTCTTTGAAGTTGACACATCTCGGGCAAATCTAATGATTGAATAAAGATACTTCTTACACTGCCCAAAGTATCTGTGTGTTGGGAATTTCTTGCTTCCTACCAAGCTTGCTTTGTTTCTACTTCCCTCTGTGTTACTTCCCAGTTCTTATATCTAGATAGCAACTCTACCAATGCCTCTGAACATTGTTTTTGTGATATACAATCTCCATATTAAATGTAGGATTTGAAGTTCTGAGATGACTCACACATCTTTAATTCCACATTGAGATGGGCTTCACCATTTCTCCCCAACCCTATAAAAGAAGCTTTTCTGGGGAATTTAAACTTTAGCCTAGATGATAACAGATAAAATCCGGAAATAGTCCTACCAAACCAGAGAGAGAAAAGGGAGAGGCAGAGACGGTCTCGGCCACCATTTTGTCTTCCAGTCAGAAATAGAGTCAGAGTTTTTGACTGAGCTCCTTCTCATATTGGTTCCACAGTCTCTAAAACACTCATCTTTTTCCAAGTTTTCTTCTGAACAATCACCTCTACTTGAATTGAACTAGTGAGTTTGTATTAAATTTAGTCTTTCTCTTCAAAAAATTAATGAATGGAAAAATAAACATAAAGAAATAAACTGTCACTACATGTGGGCATTGTAAGAAACTGCCCATGGAGATGTATTGCAATATCTTGGTGAGACAGTTTTCATAAAAGAATAGTCATAGAAATACAGCCAAATTTCTAATACAACATGTTTTTGAAAATCTGATCATCAGTGTGATGGCTAATATTAGGTGTCAACTTGATTGGATTGAAGGATGCCTAGATAGCTGGTATTGTTTCTAGGTATGTCTGTGAGGGTGTTGCCAGAGGAGATCAACATTTGAGTCAGTGGACTGGGAGAGGAAGACTCACCCTCAATGTGAGTGTGCACCATCCAACTGGCTGCCAGCTCAGCTACAACAAAGTAGGCAGAAGAAAGTGAGATGAGCTGGCTTGCTGAGTCTTCTGGCTTTCTTCTTTGTCCCGTGCTGGATGCTTCCTGCCCTTGGTCATCAGACTCCAGGTTCTTCAGCTTCTGGACTCTTGGACTTACACCAGTGGTTTTCCAGGGGCTCTCAGGCCTTCAGCCACAGACTGAAGGCTATACTATCAGCTTCCCTGCTTTTGAGGCTTCTGAACTCTGACTGAGCCACTATTGGCTTCCTTCTTCCTCAGCTTGCAGACAGCATATCATGGGACTTCACCTTGTAATCATGTGAGTCAGCTCTCCTCAAGAAACTCCCCTTCATATATACATATGCCCTATTAGTTTTATCCCTCTGGAGAACTCTGACTAATAATCCAGAAATAATTAATAGTGTTAAACATTTACATGGAGGAATAAGCTGTCCAAAATGTTTTCCATTAGTTTTCCATTAATTGCAGAGTTAACAGACTGGAAAATTTACCTCTGCTTCTTACGTGAGGTCATTGAATGTAGTAAGTTGGTGCAAAGGTAATTGCAGTTTTTGTAGTTAAAAGTAAGGCAAAAACCACAGTTACTTTTGCATCAACCTAATATTTAGGAATAGTGTTGAAACTATGCCCCAAAGAGTTAAACACACCAACGACTAACAGAAATTCTTGAGTTTGCAGGATGATAGATAAGAAAAGAAAGAACTTGCAAAACCACTGAAACTGTGTCTGCTTGCAAGATAACACAACTAGCTAAAATTGGTTGCAATCAATATGGCCAACTAGATTCTGCACAGAACCAGCTTGCTGATGTCACAACCCGAATTTGCACTGCATGTTTCATACTAACTCCTCCCCAAATTTGCACATGTTATCCATGAGGTAGTGTGAAGAGATAACTGAGCATGCCCAAGGATTTTCCAGACCTCCCTTTCCTTCCACCAATCACCTATTAATCCCAGATTCCACCACCTAAATCTTGTCTAATCAAATTACTGCCTTAAAGACAGCACAGGGAATAAATTTGAGCTGGATTCCTGTCTCCTTGTTGGCCAGATTTCAATAGAAGGCTTTATTTTTCCCAAAAATCCTGGTGTCATAGTATTGGCTTCTAGCGCGTGTGGCAGCAAGCTGGTTAGGCTCTGTAACAGTGTAGGGATAGAAGTTTGTTCCTAGCTGATAAGAAAACATTACCTCAACTACTTACATTTTCTTTGACACAGAATGTTGATGAGTTTCATAAGAAATGACTCTCGCATGGGGAAGGATGAATTCTTCTGTTACTAAGGAGATTGAAACCAAATCTCAGAGATCACATCCAGATCTCAGCTGGCAAAGAACATTTAGAAACACACCCAACCCAACACTTCACAAGCATAGCTTTAAAAATTTTGAGAATCACATCCTCCAGAGCAGATTTTCAATGTGAATTTTACTGTGGACCAGCAATGTTTCTACATCAGACCTCAAGAATGAGGAAAAGATGGAAGGAGAAAAACTGAGAAGAGTCACAACATCTATTTCTAAAAGGGAGTTGCAAAAGGAAGCACAACAAAAAATATGACTTTAAGACACATGCACATGTATGTTTATTGCCACATTTATTCGTAATAGCAAAGACATGGAATCAACCTAAATGCCCATCGATGGTAGACTGAATAAAGAAAATGTGGCACATATACACCTTGGAATACGATGCAGCCAATTAAAAAAAATGAGATTATGTCTTTTGCAGATACATGGATGGATTTGGTGGCCATTATCCTCAGCTAACACAGGAACAGAAAACCAAATACTGCATGTTCTACAAATGGGAGATAAATGATGAGAACACATGGACACATACAGGGGAACAACACGACTGGGACCTATCAGAGGGTAGAAGGTGAGAGAAGGGAGAAAATCGGAAAAAATTACTAAGGGTATGAGGCTTAATACCTGGGTGATGAAATAATCTGTACAAACCCCCATGACACAAGTTTACCTATGTAGCAAACCTGCACATGCACCCCTGAACTTAAAATAAAAGGTTTTTAAAAAGGAACAATGCAATGCTAGAACTAAGGAAATCCAAATAAAGTATGGACTTCAGTTAATTAGGAAAAAGTAAAAGAAGCTACAAGACCTAAAAAAAGGGCTGACTACAAATGTGTGTTAAAATACATGGTCTGTGAAAGTCTTGAAGAACCTCCAACCTCCCATGTAAACATCTCTAAAATCAAAATTTGTGCTATCTGGCTTCACATCTCAAATGATCCCTTGGATTTTAGTTCCTGGTATTTATTCTGTTCCCAGTCTAGACAATGTACCTTCAATACTTCTCTCTTGGAATGTTTGTGGACTCCTCCTAGCCCCCAACATTATGGGAAGAGGCCCACTTCCCTGTCACTGGGTTTTCTTCCAGACATACCTACACGTGGCTCAGCTCCCATCAAAAAGGAGAGAGATCAGGCAATTAACCCCACTTAACAAAGGATAAATAGGTTTGTAAAAGGTAAGTAATTTTCCCACTGAGGTTCTTTTTTTTTTTTTTTTTGAGACGGAGTCTCGCTCTGTCACCCAGGCTGGAGCGCAGTGATGCAGTCTCGGTTCACTGCAAGCTCCACCTCCCGGGTTCACGCCATTCTCCTGCCTCAGCTTCCCGAGTAGCTGGGACTACAGGTGACCGCCACCACACCCGGCAAATTCTGTTTTTGTCTTTTTAGTAGAGATGGGGTTTCACCATGTTAGTTAGGATGGTCTCGATCTCCTGACCTCGTGATTCGCCTGCCTCGGCCTCCCAAAATGCTGGGATTACAGGCGTGAGCCACCGCGCCCGGCCAATGTTCTCATTTTTTTTACCTGTAATTGGAAAGATTTTGAAATGGTTGATATTAAAAAATGAGAAAAATTGAATTCAAATAGAACGTGCCTTCTCAACTACAGCAATATTGCCCCCCAAGGAAGTAAGATCAGTTCTTTTGGTGGAGACAGGGCAGCAAATCTTGCTGGGTTTGTAACTTACCCAGCAAAATATTATTCTTTAGTATTCAATTATCTCATTAGGTAAAAGGTAAATTTAAATTAAATTTTTTCTTTATATGGGGCTGATAATTTAAAAAAAAAAACAGGCTGAGAAACACTGATACCAGATAACAATTTCCTAAATACAATATTTAATTTGTGTACAATATAGTTAACTAGATACCAATACTTACAAATGATATTGACTTTAAATCCTGTATCATTAAGGATTACCTGGCTGAAGAATTTGTCTTAATACTCTTTTTCATGATTATATAATTTTGCTGGTCTTCTTCTATAATCTTTGGTGTTCTTTGATAATCTGAACAGTTGATCATTGCAGTTTCTATTAGGGAATTTATTAATGACAGAAAAATCTCAGTTTTTGCTTATGACACTGCTTTAAGTTCTAATTTGCATAATACGAATGACATTTTTCTTTGTGCATTCCTGAAGCTTATTCTCTCTCTCTCTCTCACTCGCTCACTCACTCTTGCTCTCACTCTCTCACTCTCTCGCTCTTTCCCTCTCTGCCCCTTCTGACTGCTGGCTTTGTTTTTTGAAACATATACTTTGGTATATGTGGCAGTTTTCAGCTTTAATTCAGTTTTCAAAATCCTCTTCCATTAGGCAGAGCTGTAGATGCCATAATAGCCTCTCTGTCAGATTGTTAGACCAGCTTTCCCTACTGTTGCTGATTCATTCCTGACCATTTTACACTTACTGCTTTGTAGGCTACACCTACTGTTGAATTGGTTTTGAATTTTAAACTTTTAGATTTAAAATTTTTAATAAACAGTTTTTTTTGGAAGTGACTTCTGAAAGGGACAAAAAAACCCCAGCTGTTCTTAAACCTGAAATAAGTTTCGCCCAAACTCACTAAAATCACTTTAAAGTGGCTTTAAAGTGGGGATGAATTTGGAGGTCTAGATGTGGCTGATTTTACTGACATTTTAAGCAAAGAACCATTTTTCTAACTCTCTGATTTAAATGTGTCATCCATCTCTTTGTATCATAGCAATTTTATTTAAAGTTCATGAAATAAATATTTCACAAAGATATTGTGCATTTTTCTATTTCTTGAGAAAGTGGGAACACAGTAAGCAAAACACACAAAAAGATGTTTAAATTGTAACCTTTGATTTGGGGAAAACAATTTTTAAAAACTCAATTCTGAGAAGACATATTTTCATTAAGTATAAAGAGTAAGAGGACTACAGAAACAATTTAGTCCCATAAGTCTTATCATTGTTTTTGCAACTTCACCCAAAAGAAACAATTAGATTTATTAGATGTAATATTAATTGTACCAACTAAGTTTTATAACACCTTCTAATTCATTTCTAATAAGGATGGTTTTGTACCTACTATACCATATTTTGTATTTTAGGGACCATTTTTTTTTCCTTTTCAACTTTTATTTTAGAATCAGGGGTACATGTGCAGGTTTGTTGCAAAAGTATTTCTCACGATGCTGAGGTTTGGGTTATGGCTGAACTTGTCACCCAGGTAGTGAGCATAGTACCCAATAGGTAATTTTTCAACCCTTGCCCTCCTTCCTCTCTCCCTCCTCTTTTTTTTTTTTTTTTTTTTTTTTTGAGACAGAGTCTTGCTCTGTCGCCCAGGCTGGAGTGCTGTGGCACGATCTTGGCTCACTGCAACCTCTGCCTCCTGGGTTCATGCCATTCTCCTGCCTCAACCTCCTGAGTAGCTGGGACTGCAGGCGCCCGCCACCACACCCAGCTAATTTTTTGTATTTTTTAGTAGAGACGAGGTTCACCTTGTTAGCCAGGATGGTCTCGATCTCCTGACTTCGTGATCCACCCGCCTCAGCCTCCCAAAGTGCTGGGATTACAGGCCTGAGCCACCGCGCCCGGCCTCCTCTCTCTCTCCTTTAGTAGACCCCAGTATCTATTGTTTCCATCTTTATGTCCATGTGGACCTAATGTTTAGCTCCCACTTACATGCGAGAACATATGGTATTTGGTTTTTTGTTCCTGCATTAATTTGTTTAGGATAATTGCCTCCAGCTGCATCCATGATGCTGCAAAGGACATGATTTCATTCATTTTTATGGATACATACTATTCCACAGTGATATGGTTTGGCTGTGTCCCTACCAAAATCTCATCGTGAATTGTAGTTTGCATAATTCCCACGTGTTGTGAGAGGGACCCAGTGGGAGGTAATTAAATCATGGGGGTAGATTTTTCCCTTGCTGTTCTCATGATAGTGTATAAGTCTCATGAGATCTGATGGTTTTATAAAGGGTAGTTCCCCTGCACACAGTCTCTTGCCGGCTGCCGTGTAAGACAAATACCTTTGCTCTTCCTTTGCCTTCTGCCATGACTGTAAGCCCTCCCCAGCCATGCTTAGCAGTGAGTCAATTAAACCTCTTTCCTTTACAAATTAGCTGGTGTTGGTTATGTCTATATTAGCAGCATAAGAATAGACTAATACAGTACATTGGTACCAGTAAAGTGGGGTGCTGCTATAACGATAACTGAAATTATGGAAGCAACTTTGGAACTGGGGAACAGAAGTTGGAACAGTTTAGAGGACTCAGAAGAAGATACGAAAATGTGGTAAAGTTTAGAACTTCCTAAAGACTTGTTGAATGAATTGACCAAAATGCTGATAGTGACATGGACAATAAGATCCAGGCTGAGGTGGTCTCAGATGGAGATGAGGAACTTGTTGGGAACTGGAGAAAGGTCACTCTTGCTATGCAAATAGACTGGCAGCATTTTTCCCCTGCCCTAGAGATCTGTGGAACTTTGAACTTGAGAGAGAGAATGTGAAATTGGAACTTACGTTTAAAAGGGAAGCAGAGCATAAAAGTTTGGAAAATTTGCAGCCTGACAATGTTATGGAAAAGAAAAACCCATTTTATGGGGAGAAATTCAAGCCAGCTGCATAAAATTTGTATAAATAACAAGGTGCCAAATGCTAATCACCCAGACAATGGGGAAAACATCTCCAGGGCATGTCAGAGAACTTTGAGGCAGCCCCTGCAATCACTGGCCTGCCTGCCCATAGTCCTAGGAGGAAAAAATGCTTTCATGGGCTTGGCCCAGGGCCCCCCTGCTGTGCAAAGCCTATGGCCTTGGTGCTCTGCATCCCAGCCACTCCAGCTGTAGCTAAAAGGGGCCAAGGTACAGCTCCAGCCATGGCTTCAGAGGGTGCAAGCCCCAGCCTTTTGCAGCTTCCACATGGTGTTGGGCCTGCAGGTGCACAGAAGTCAAAAACTGAAGTTTTGGAACCTCTGCCTAGATTTCAAAGGATGTATGGAAACACCTGGATGTCTAGGCAGATGTGTGCTGTGGAGGTGGAGCCCTCGTGGAGAATCTCTGCTAGGGCAGTATGGAAGGGAAATGTGGGGTCAGAGCCCCCACACAGAATCCCCACTGGGGACTGCCTAGTGGACCTGTGAGAAGAGGGCCACCATCTTCCACACCCCAGAATGATAGATCCACCAACGGCTTGCACAGTGCACCTGGAAAAGGTGCAGAAACTCAACACCAACCCATGAAAGTAGCTGGGAAGGAGGCCTTACCCTGCAAAGCCACAGGGGTGGAGCTGCCCAAGACCATGGGAACCCACCTCTTGCATCAGTGTGACCTGTATGTGAGACCTGGAGTTAAAGGAGATTATTTTGGAGCTTTAAAATTTGACTGCCCCGCTGGATTTCAGACTTGCATGGGCTCTGTAGCCCCCTTTGTTTTGGCCAATTTCTCCCATTGGGAATGGCTGTATTTACCCAAAGCCTGTACCCCCACTGTAGGTAGGAAGTAATTAACTTGCTTTTGATTTTACAGGCTCATAGACAGAAGGGACTTGCCTTGTCTCACATGAGACTTTGGACTGTGGACTTTTGAATTAATGCTGAAGTGAGTTAAGACTTTGGAGGACTGTTGGGAAGGTATGCTTTGTTTTGAAGTATGAGGACATGAGATTTAGGAGGGGCCAGGAGTGAAATGCTGTGGTTTGGCTTTGTCCCCACCCAAATCTCATCTTGAATTGTAGCTCCCATAATCCCCGTGTGTCATGGGAGGGACCTGTCATGAGGTAATTAAATCATGGGTGTGGGTTTTTCCCATGCTGTTCTTGTGATAGTGAATAATTCTCACAAGATCTGATGGTTTTATAAAGGGTAGTTCCCCTACACATGCTCTCTTGCCTGCCACCATGTAAGATGTGCCTTTGCTCCTTCTTTGTCTTCTGTCATGACTGTGAGGCATTCTCAGCCATGCTTAACTGTGAGTCAATTAAATCTCTTTCCTTTACAAGTTACCCAGTCTCAGCCATGTCTTTATTAGCAGTGTGAGAACAAACTAATACACACAGTGTATATGTACTGCTTGTCCTTTATTCAATCCACCATTGATGGGCCCTTGTGTTTATTCCATGGTTTTGCTATTGTGAATAGGGATGCATGTGTTCTTTTGGTAGAATGATTTATTTTCCACTGGGTGTATACCTAGTGATGAGATTGCAGGGTCAAGTGTTAGTTCAACTTTTAGTTCTTTAAGAAATCTCCAAACCACTCTCTATAGTGGATGGGCTAATTTACATTCTCACCAACAGTATATAAGTGAGGGGCAACAAATTTAAACATAACTCTTTCTATAGGGTATTTATAATTTTTGGAAGAAAATAATCCAGACTAGCATGAAATAAATAAAAGGAAGATAACTTGATTCAAAAAAGAATTTGGATGCCTAAATGCAGTAAATAAATAACAAATAGCAACTGCAAATGGGGAACAAAGGTGGTATAAAAATGAAAGCAAGTATCAAAATAATTTTTGGTCATAATTTAGAATACAAGCATACCTTGGAGATATTGCAGATTTGATTCCAGACCACCAAAATAAAGTGAATATTGCAACAAGTGAGTCACATGAATTTTCTGGTTTCCCAGTGCATATAAAAGTTACATTTACACTATACTGTAATCTATTAGGTATACAATACTATGTATAAAAAATGTACATGCCTTATTTTAAAAATACTTCATTGCTAAAAAATGCTAACAATTATCTGAGCCCTCAATGATTCATAATCTTTTTGCTGGTGGAGGGTCTTGCCTCAATGTTAATGGTTGCTGATCAATTGGGTATAGTTGCTAAAGACTGGGGAGGCTGTGGCAATTTCTTAAAATCAGACAACAATGAAATCTGCTGCATGCATTGAATCTTCCTTTCACAAAAGATTTCTCTGGAGCAGGCAATGTTGTTTGATAGAATTTTACTCACTCACAGTAGAATCTCTTTCAAAATTAGAATCAACCCTTTCAAACCTTGCCATTGTTTTGACAACTAAGTTTATGTAATATTCTAAATCTTTTGCTGTCACTTTAACAACGTTCACAACATCTTTACCAGCAGTTAGTTTCTCAAGAAATCACTTTCTTTGCTGATCCACAAGAAGTAACTCCTTATACGTTCAAGTTTTTTATCATGAGATTGCTGCAATTCAGTCACGTATTTAGGCTCCCCTTCTAATATTAGTTCTCTTGCTATTTTCATTCCATCTGCAATTACATCCTCCACTGAAGTCTTGAACCCCTCAAGGTCATCCATGAGGGTAGGAATAAATTTCTTCCAAACTCCTGTTAATGTTGATATTTGACCTCCTCCTATGAATCATTAAAGTTCTTAATACATCTAGAATGGTGAGTCCTTTCTAGAAGGTTTTGAATTTACCCAGATCTATCAAAATAATCTCCGTTTATGGCATCTATAGCCTTACTATATATATATATATATATATATATATATATATATCTGAATATAAGATATATATATATATATATATATCTGAATATAAGATATATATATATATATATATATCTGAATATAAGATATATACATATATATATATATATCTGAATTAAGACTTGAAAGTCAAAAATTACTCCTTGATTCTTGGGCTACAGAATGGATGTAGCAGGCATGAAAACAACATTCATCTTCTTGTACGTCTCCATCAGATGTACTCTTGAGTGACTAGGTGCATTGTCAATGAGCAGTAATATTTAAAAAGACATCTTTTGGGCAGGAGGTTTCAACGGTGGGCTGAAAATATTCAGTAAACCATACGGCCAAAAGACGTAGTGTCATCCAGGCTTTGTTGCTCCATTTATAGAGCACAGACAGAGTAGATTCAGCATAATTCTTTAGGGTCCTAGGATATTTGGAATAGCAAATGTCCACTGGCTTCAACTTAAAGTCACCAGCTATGTTAGCCCCTATCAAGAGACTCAGCCTGTTTTTTGAAGCTTTGAAATCACTCATTAATTTCTCTGTATCTGTGAAATCCTCGATGGCATCTTCTTACAACACAAGACTGTTTCATCTACACTGAAAATTTGTTATTTAATGTAGCCACCTTCATCAATGATCTTAGCTAGTTCTTCCAGATAATTTGCTGCAGCTTCTCCATCAGCACTTGCTGCTTCACCTTTCACTTTTATGTTATGGATGTGGCTTCTTTCCTTTAACCTCACGAACCAACCTCCCTGCTGGCTTCAAACTTTTTTTCGGCAGCTTCTTCACCGCTCTTAGCCTTCGTTGAATTAAAGAGAGTTAGGGCCTCGTTCTGGATTAGGCTTTGGCTTAAGCGAATACTGTGGCTGGTTTTATCTTTTATCCAGACCACTAAAACTTTCCCAATATCAGCAATAAAACTGTTTCACTTTCTTATCATTTGGGTGTTCACTGGAGTAGCAATTTAATTTCCTTTAAGAACTTTTCTTTTGCATTTACAACTTGGCTAACTGGTACAAGAGGCCTAGCTTTCATCCTGTCTTGACTTTCAACATGCTTTTTTCACTAAGCTTACTTGTTTCTAGCTTTTGATTTAAAGTGAGAGATGTGCAACCCTTCCTTTTACTTGAACACTTTAGAGGCCATTGTAGGGTTATTGATTGACCTATTGTCAATATTGTCATGCCTCAGGAAAGGGGGAGGCCAGAGAAGAAGAAGAGAGATAGGAGAATGGCTAGTCAGTGGAGCAGTGAGAACATGCATATTTGTTGATTAAGTTGACTGTCTTCTAAGCATGCAGTTCATAGCACCCCAAAACAATTACAATGGTAACATCAAAGATAACTGATTGCAAATTATTATGAAAGATGTAATAATGATGAAAAAGTTTGAAATATTGGGAGAATTACCAAAATATGACAAGAGACATGAATTGAGCACATACTGTTGGAAAAATGGTGCTGATAGACTTGCTCAATGCAGGATTACCACAAATCTTCGATTTGTAAGAAAATCACAATATATGTGAAGCATAATAAAGTGAAGAGCAATAAAATGAGGTGTGCCTGTACTCATGACCTTTCACTCTCTAATTCACATAACACCAAGGGAACTATTTATTTGGAAATTTCATTGTTAATTTAATTCATATAGAAACTTGAGTCACACAACTAGAAAAAAATATAAATACCTGACATTCTAAATATTTTCATTTGTTTTTTAGCAATGATATTCTTAGACTTTCACACCAATGCCATGAAAACTACCCTAAAATATATGCTTGAGACAATAAACCCAAAAATATATTTCCTCAAATTCTTATTTTAAGGAAAAAAATTAGTTTTCTTCTGCTTTAGTAGGTAGATGGCATGTTCTAAAACATTAAATCTGAAACTTTTTCGTTTCAGATTTTACACTCTGATTTTACCTTTTACACTCTTAAAAATCAGGAACCCAAAGGAATGTTTACGCTGTCAGTTATATCCATCAATACTCACCAGATTTGAAATTAATACTGTGGCATCTAGAAATATTTACTTATAAATCATTATACAATAAAATAGTATTTATTTATAAATCTATACAATAAAAATAGTATATATTATGTACAATATACATAATACAAACATTGTATTAAAATGACTATATTTTTAAAAGAAAACTAGTTGTCTTACATTTTGGAAAAAGCTATTTCATGTTGTGCTTAACAAAAGACAGTTGGATTCTTATAACTTTGGTATCCAATTTGTTGTGATGTGTTGTTTTTGGTGGAAGTACATGAAGAAAATCTGGCCTCGTCCAGATATATAGTTGGTTAAAAGAGAACCTTGTAAACTGTGTGAAAGTGCCTTAGGGACACCCTAGTGGTCCTAGGAACACCCTAAGAACAGCCTGAGGCAGGCCAGCTGAAATGGAGGAATTACCCTAGTTATACAAAATAAAAGAATGTTTTCTACACCTGTAGTTCTGAGTCACCGTTAAAAATTCTTGTTAGCAGGACAAATTGTGTTTCTAACAGCAAAACTGAAGGACTTGTATTTGCTCACTTTGTGGTGTTAGTTGGGGGCAAATTTTGCATAATTCCTTCCCTTTGCATAAAGTGTCTGCTTGAAAGAGTGAAATGACTGACTGCAACATGTGCTTTCAAGTTTCACTAACTTTCACAGAAATGGAAAGCAGTGTGTTGCATCTGTGTAAAGAGATATTGAAGAGGAGAAAAGTGCACAGAAACAAAATAACCCATGGGAAAAAAAATGTAACCTATAAATGGAGTTACGGAACAATTTCGCTTGTTAGGGAAAGTGCATTTAGCAACATGATAAAATATTGCAGTAGATTTATACTAAAACTTAGATATTTTCAGTCTTCATAATATCACAATTTCCTCTTTGTAATGTGATTTCTGCTGAGAGTGATATAATGAACAGAATCATCCCTAAGAGTTCTATACCTAGTTCAGAGGAAGAAAAAAATCAAAATCTTGACATATGCTTAGAAAAAGGAGCATTAAAAGCCTTCATCCATGTGCACTATTTTCCTGAGAGGCTTTCCACTTTTTTCCTACTTTAAAATCTCTTCCTTCCTCGATTTAGCAAACATTTTCTAATAAATATCTACTTCATTTTAAAATGTGAGGCTTTTGAGAGATGAAAGATACATTTAGACTTCCTTCATTTTTATAATAAAATAGTACTTAAAAGAGTAACATCAAAATCAATATGGTTTATTGATAATACATACAGAACACTTTTATTAACATGTACACACAAGCATACATGCAAACACCTCTACCTCGATCTTATTAATCCATCTACAAAATACTATTATATTCAAATTGACAACAGTCAAAGACAAAGGGAAACCAAGCTTATCCTCACTCCCTTGAACCTAATATCGAACATTATCCCTTGGCTTCAAAATGGAATTTTGATGGCCCCATGTTCTATGAAGTGGTGTCAGAGGGTTTGTCAGTAAATTTTCAAAAGGAAATTGTTTTTTCTACATATTGATATCAAAAGAAGAGATTCATTGCTTCAACAGAAAAAGTATTCGTTATACGTGCTAATAACATGACATTCATACTCTAAAGCTTATTGATGGCAGCAGTAGCCAGTCTGGAGTGGCTGCTGCCATCATACCAGCTGCAGCAGGGAGGCACAGCCAGGGCTGCACACTCTGTGGAGCCGGTGACAAGTGGGAGGCCTGCCCCTTATGAGTTGCTGGGGCGGGAGTTCCCCGGGTGTAGCCACAGCTGCCTAAGTCATGGCTGCAGACCCGGGTCTCCTGTTCCGTGGCATCCCTGAACTCTTGGGGCCTGGGAAGGCCCTCCCTGCCCTCACCGGCTCAGAAATGTCATGCCACTGCACTCCAGCCTGGGTGACAGAGCGAGACTCTGTCTCAAATAAAAAAAAGAAAGAAAGAAAGAAAAGAAAAGAAATGCCTGCTCCCACTGCCTTGCTTTTCCCTGATGTCAGCACCTGCTCAGACCTTGGAGCAAAGTTGGGACTGAGCCCAAGTGCTGTCACAGACCGGCAGGGTATGCACACACTCAGGGCAGTGCTGACACACCAGCCCTCTGTCACCTCAGCTCCCTCCAGACTTTGGCCGTGGAAGAGCATGGGCGGGAAGCCAAGGGGGATGGAGGGCAACTCAGCACTGGCCTGCAGGTGCTCCTTGGCACAAACAGCCTGGGTGCCATGAATGGCAGCCAGAGGCAGACAGACTCCTGGGCAGAAAAGGGCAGGTCTCCGGTGAGGCCCCACCTTTAGGCCAGGCACCATCAACCTCGTGATGCCTTTTCTGGCCTGCCCACAGTTGCCCATGAACCAATCAGCATGCACTTCCTCCCATAAAAGTCCTGGACTCAGCCAGAGCTCAGCAGATGTGGGGATGAACAGCTGCAGAAAAGAGGTACCCACTCCAGGGCCTTCTCTCTGCTGAGAGCAGCAGATGTCAGGATGACTAGCTTCAAAGAGGAGCTACCCACTCCAGAGCCTCCTCTCTGCTGAGAGCTGCAGACATTGGAATGACCAGCTACAGAGAGGAGCTACTCTCTCTGCTGGGAGGTGAACTTATGATGGGACACTCTGGCTGAGGAAAGGAGCTGACCCCTGTGGGTTTCCACTGAGCTGTTCTAATGCCACTGCACTCCAGCCTGGGCGACAGACCGAGACTCCATCTCAAAAAAAAAAAAAAAAAAAAAACCACAAGTTTTTTTATTGTACACTTTCAAATCACTTTTACTTTTCTAAAGTAAAATTCTGTATGTCATAAATCTCACAATGTATTACTGTTTGCTTTAAACAGTGAAATATCTTTTAAAGGAATCTCATATGTACATTTTTTTTTTGAGACAGTCTCGCTCTGTTGCCCGGGCTGGAGTGCAGTGGTGCTGTCTCAGCTCACGGCAACCTCTGCCTCCTGGGATCAAGTGATTTTGTGCCTCAGCCTCCTGAGTAACTGGAACTACAGGCATGTGCCACCATGCCTGGCTAATTTTTTTGTATTTTTATAGAGACAGGGTTTCAACATGTTGCCCAGGCTGGTCTTGAACTCTTGAGCTCAAGAAATCCACACACCTCAGCCTCCCAATGTAATAGGATTACAGGTGTGAGCTACCGTGCCAGGCCTTGTATGTACAATTTTAACAAATGTATGCTACTGTGTAGCCTATACCTTTATGATGAAATAAAACATTTCCATGTCCTCAGAAAATTCTCTCATATCAGTTTCAATCTCCCCTCTCCCAGAATTTGGTTCTAGATTTGTTTTAATTTTTTCTGTGGTTTATATTAGTGTATGTACCACCTGAGGTGGTTTCTCCTGTGGATACCTAAGATAAAGGCCACTCCAACTCTTTCTAAGCATATGACCATGGCTTTTCTCTGGCTGAAAGGAAAAGCTATTTTCATTCAAAATCAAATTTTAATTAAGAACTAAACCATTCTCAGCAGATGTGTTGGATTTGGGTGCAAATTGAGTGTGACTTACTGCCTTTCAAAAAATTTTACTAAACCTGCTTCCTTAATCATTTCCAGCTGATAATTACATGGATTATTGAATAAGGGATGCGTGTATCTTAAGGTTAAAAGCATCTTATGTAAGATACACAAAACTCCCACTGACAGTGCTAATAATGGGTGCTTCAATGACTAATATTACAATATTGTAGCGCTAACCATACAAATGCTAATATAACTCTATATTAACTATAACTAACTCTTTAACAACAGCAGAATATACATTCTCTTCAAGTGGATGTGGAATATGAGCAAAGATATACCATATAATAATGTTCCATAAAACAAGTTTCAATAAATTTAAAACAATGGAAGTAGTTCAAAATATGTTCACCGATCACAATAAAATTAAATTGGAAACAAACAACAGAAACATATCTGAAAAGTCCCCCAAGTATTTGGAAATTAAACAGTACACTTTTAAAAGATATATTTAGGGGATACAAGTCCGGGTCTTTTACATGCATATATTACATAGTAGTGAAGACTGGGCTTTTATCATACCCGTGACCTGCATAGTGAACATTGTTGAACAGTACACTTTTGTCCAAGAGAAATCACAAGGGAAATTAGAAAATATTTTGAAAGCAATAAAAATGAAATATGATGTATCAAAATATCTGCAATGCTAATAAGCAGTGCTTTAAAACTTTGTAATTTTAAATGCTTATCTTTAAAAAATTTATTTTTATAATTATTGTGGATATAATAGTTGTACATATTTACAGGGGCATGTGATATTTTGATATAAGTATACAATATGTAATGATCAAATCAGGGCAACTGGGATATCCATGACCTCAAGCATTTATCATTTCTTTTTGTTAGGAACATTACAATTCCACTGTGTTAGTTATTTTGAAATATACAATAAATTATTGTTAAATATAGTCACCCTATTGTGATACCAAACCCTAGATCTTATTCCTTCAATCTAACTATATTTTTGTACCCATTAACCAACTTCTCTAATTAAACTCATAAAGATAGAAAGAAGAATAATGATTACCAAAGGCTGGCAAAGGTAGTGGTGAAGGGGTAGATGCTTAATTTAAATGCTTAATTTTGAAAAAGAGAAAGTTCTAAAATGAATGATTTAAGTTTCCACTTTATAAAGCTATAAAAATAAGAGCAAATAAGCACAAAATAGAAAGAATAAAATAACAAAGATAAGAATAGAAATCAATGAAATGAAAAATGGTCAAACAATAAGAAAATCAAGGAAATTAAAAGCTGATTCTTTGAAAGGGTTGAAAATTTTCATAAACCTTTAGTTGGACTGAATAAAAAATAAAAAATTAGCAATATAAAGAATGAAAAAAAGAACATAACTACAGACATTAAAAAGATAATTAGGGGCAGTGTGTGTTGGCTCATGCCTGTAATCCCAGCAACTTTGGGAGGCTGAGGCCTGTGGATCACCTGAGGCCAGAAGTTCGAGGCCAGCCTGGCCAACATAGTGAAACCCTGTCTCTACTAAAAATACAACAATTAGCCAGGCATGGTGGTGCATGTCTGTAGTCTCAGCTACTTGAAGGCTGAGGCAGGAGAATCACTTGAACCCGGGAGGTAGAGGTTGCAGTGAACTGAGATTGTGCCAATGCACTCCAGTCTGAGTGAAAGAGAGAGACTCCATCTCAAACAAACAAAAAAAATAAGATAACTAAGAAAATATTGTGAATAACATTACACTAGTAAATTTGCCATCTTAGATTAAGAAACACTTTGACAGACACAAATAATCAAAACTGAATCAAAAAGAAGTAAAAAAGCCAAATAAACCCATATCAAATTTTTAAATAACTGACTTCAAAATTTAAAGCATTTTCACTAAGAGAA
Source organism: Homo sapiens (assembly GCF_000001405.40). Taxonomy (NCBI): domain Eukaryota; kingdom Metazoa; phylum Chordata; class Mammalia; order Primates; family Hominidae; genus Homo; species Homo sapiens. The sequence goes on along the minus strand of NC_000002.12, from coordinate 208,526,818 downwards.
CTCTATATACAGAGGCTAAACATGGAAGGAAGAAACACCAAACCTACACAAATTACATCAAAAGCAGAGAAAAAAGACAGACTTCCTAACTCGTTTTATGAGACCAATATTGCCATGATACCAAAACTAGACAAAGATATCACAAGAGATGAATGGATAAAGAAAATATTTTATATATATATATATATGTATATATATACACACACACACACAATGGAATACTATTCAGCCACAAAACTCCTGTCATTTGTAGCAATATGGATGGAACTGGAGGACATTGTTAAGTGAAATCAGCCAGGAATAGAAAGTTAAACACCACATGTTCTGTTATATATGGAAGCCAAAAAAAGTTAATCTTGTAGAAGCAAAAAGTAGAACAGAGGCTACTAGAGGCAAGGAAGAGTAGCAGAAAGGCAGGGACGGTCAGAGATTTGCTGAAGGACACAAAATTACAGCTAGATAGGAGGAATAAGTTCTAGTGTTCCACAGCACTGTAGGATGACTATAGTTAACAATAGTATGTATTTTCAAATAGCTAGAAGAAGGATATTGAATATTTCCAACACAAAGAAATAATAAATGTTTGAGATGACAGATACGTTAATTACCCCAATCTGATCACTGTACATTATATGTATTGCAACATCCCTATGTACCCTATAAGTGTGTACAAATATGTGTCAAAAAATGTTTTTAAAAAGAAATGAAAGTTGGATGAAAAAATAAAATAAGCAATTCAAAAAAAGACTTTATAAGAAGACAAGACTCTAATCCTCAAGAATTTAGATGCAAACATCCTTAAGAGCAAGATATAAAAATGATAATATACCAGGGGCTGGCAAGATGGCCAAATAGGAACAGCTCTGGTCTGCAACTCCCAGCGAGATCAGTGCAGAAGGCAGGTAATTTCTGCATTTCCAACTGAGGTACCTGGCTCATCTCATTGGGACTGGTTAGACAGGGGGTGCAGCCCAAAGAAGGTGAGCCAAAGCAGGGTGGGGCATCGCCTCACCCGGGAAGCACAAGGGGTCAGGGAACTCCCTCCCCTAGCCAAAGGAAGCCATGAGAAACTGTGCCGTGAGGAACGGTGCATTCCAGCCCAGAAACTATGCTTTTCCCATGGTCTTTGCAACCCGCAGACCAGGAGATTCCCTCAGGTGCCTACACCAGCAGGGTTTCAAGCACAAAAACTGGGTGGCTATTTGGGCAGACACCAAGCTAGCTGCAGGAGTTTTTTTTTTCATACTCCAGTGGTGCTTGGAATACCAACAAGACAGAACCATTCGCTCCCCTGGAAAGGGGGCTGAAGCCAAGGAGCCAAGTGGTCTAGCTCAGCAGATGCCTCCCCCACAAAGCCCAATAAGCTAAGATCCACTGGCTTGAAATTCTCAATGCCAGCACAGCAGTCTGAAGTCAACTTGGGACACTCGAGCGTGGTCGGGGGAGGGGCATTTGCCATTACTGAGGCTTGAGTAGGCGGTTTTACCCTCACAGTGTAAACAAAGCCACCAGGAAGTTCAAACTGGGCAGAGCCCACCACAGCTCAGCAAAGCCACTGTAGCCAGACTGCCTCTCTAGATTCCTCCTCTCTGGGCAGGGCACCTCTGAAAGAAAGGCAGCAGCCCCCGTCAGGGGGTTATAGATAAAATTCCCATCTCCCTGGGACAGAGCACCTGAAGGAAGGTACAGCTGTGGGCAAAGCTTCAGCAAACTTAAATGTTCCTGCCTGCCAGCTCTGAAGAGAGCAGCATATCTCCTAGCACAGCGCTCAAGCTCTGCTAAGGGACAGACTGCCTCTTCAAGTGGGTCCCTGACCTCCATGCCTCCTGACTGGGAGACACTCCCTAGCAGGGGTCAACAGACACTTCATACAGGAGAGCTCCAGCTGGCATCTGGCAGGTGCCCTCTGGGACAAAGCTTCCAGAGGAAGGAACAAGCAGCAATCTTTGCTGTTCTGCAGCCTCGGCTGGTGATACCCAGGCAAACAGGGTCTGAAGTGGACCTCCAGCCAACTTCAGCAGACCTGCAGCAGAGGGGCCTGACTGTTAGAAGGAAAACTAACAAACAGAAAGGAATAACATCAACATCAACAAAAAAGAAGTCCACACAAAAAGCCCATCCAAAGGTCACCAACATCAAAGAACAAAGGTAGATAAATCCACAAAGATGAGGAAAAACCAGCGCAAAAAGGCTAAAAATTCCTAAAACCAGAACAACTCTTCTCCTGCAAAGGATCACCAGAAGGGAACAAAACTGGATGGAGAATGAGTTTGACGAATTGAAAGAAGGCTTCAGAAGGTAGGTAATAACAAACTCCTCCGAGCTAAAGAAGCAAGTTCTAACCCAATGCAAGGAAGATAAGAACCTTGAAAAAAGTGAGACGAATTGCTAACTAGAATAACCAGTTTAGAGAAAAACATAAATGACCTGATGGAGCTGAAAAACACAGCACGAGAACTTCGTGAAGCATACACAAGTATCAATAGCTGAATTGATCAAGAAGAAGAAAGGATATAAGTGATTGAAGATCAAATGAATGAAATGAAGCAAGAAGAGAAGTTTAGAGAAAAAAGAGTAAAAAGAAATGAACAAAGCCTCCAAGAAATATGGGACTATGTGAAAAGACCAAACATAGGTTTGATTGGTGTACCTGAAAGTGACAGGGAGAATGGAACCAAGTTGGAAAACACTCTTCAGGATATAATCCAGGAGAAGTTCCCCAACCTAGAAACACAGGCCAACATTCAAACTCAGCAAATACAGAGAACACCTTTAAGATATTCCTAAGAAGAGCAACCCCAGGACACATACTCATCAGATTTGCCAAGGTTAAAATGAAGCAAAAAATGTTAAGGGCAGCCAGAGAGAAAGATCAGGTTACCCACAAATGGAAACCCATCAGACCAACGGTGGATCTCTCTGCAGAAACCCTACAAACCAGAAGAGAGTGGGGGCCAATATTCAACATTCTTAAAGAAAAGAATTTCCAACCCAGAATTTCATATCCAGCCAAACTAAGCTTCATAAGCGAAGGAGAAATAAAATCCTTTACAGACAAGCAAATGCTGAGAGATTTTGTCACCTCCAGGCCTGCCTTACAAGAGCTCCTGAAGGAAGCACTAAATACGGAAAGGGAAAACCAGTACCAGCTACTGAAATAACACACCAAATTGTAAAGACCACCAACACTATGAAAAAACTGCATCAACTCACAGGCAAAATAACCAGCTGGCATCATAACGACAGGATCAAATTCACACATAACAATATTAACCTTAAATGTAAAAGACACAGACTCGCCAATTGGATAAAGAGCCAAGACCCATTGGTGTGCTGTATTCAGGAGACCCATCACACATGCAAAGACACACATAGGCTCAAAATAAAGGAATGGAGAAATATTCACCAAGCAAATGGAAAGTAAAAAAAGAAAAAAAAAAGCAGGGGTTGCAATCCTAGTATCTGATCAAACAGACTTTAAACCAACAAAGATCAAAAAAGACAAAGAAAGGCATGGCATAATGGTAAAGGGATCAATGCAACAAGAAGAGCTGACTATGCTAAATATATATGTGCCCAATACAGGAGCACCCAGATTCATAAAGCAAGTTCTTAGAGACCTACAAAGAAACTTAGACTCCCACACAATAATAGTGGGAGACTTTAACACCCCACTGTCAATATTACACAAATCAATGAGACAGAAAATTAACAAGGATATTCAGGATTTGAACTCAGCTATGGATCAAGCAGACCTAATAGACATCTACAGAACTCTCCACCCCAAATCAACAGAATACACATTCTTCTCAACACTACATTACACTTATTCTAAAATTGACCACATGATTGGAAGTAAATCACTCCTCAGCAAATGGAAAAGAACTGAAATAATAACAGTATCTCAGAACACAGTGCAATCAAATTAAAACTCAGGATTAAGAAACTCACTCAAAACTGCACAACTATGTGGAAACTGAACATCCTGCACCTGAATGACTACTGGGTAAATAACAAAATTAAGACAGAATTAAATAAGTTCTTTGAAGCCAGTGAGAATAAAGACACAACGTACCAGAATCTCTGGGACACAGCTAAAGCAGTGTTTAGAGGGAAATTTATAGCGCTAAATGCCCACAAGAGAATGCAGAAAAGATCTAAAATTGACATCCTAACATCACAATTAAAAGAACTAGAGAAGCAAAAGCAAACAAATTCAAAAGCTAGCAGAAGACAAGAAATAGCTAAGATCAGAGCAGAACTGAAGGAGATAGACACACACAAAAAACCCTTCAAGAAATGAATGAATCCAGGAGGTGGTTTTTGAAAAGATTAACAAAAGAGATAGACCACAAGCCAGACTAATAAAGAAGAAAAGAGCAAAGAGTCAAATAGACACAATAAAAAATGATAAAGTGGATGTCACCACCGATCCCACAGAAATACAAACTACCATCAGAGGATGCTAAAAACATCACTATGCAAATAAACTAGAAAATCTAGAAGAAATGGATAAATTCCTGTACACATATGCCCTCCCAAGACTAAACCAGGACGAGGTTGAATCCCTTAATGGACCAATAACAAGTTGTGAAATTGAGGCAGTAGTAAATAGCCTACCAACCAAAAAAAGCCCAGGACCAGATGGATTCACAGCCAAATTCTCCCAGAGGTACAAAGAGGAGCTGGTACCATTCTTTCTGAAACTATTCCAAACAATAGAAAAAGAGGAACTCCTCCCAAACTCATTTTATGAGGCCAGCATCACCCTGATACCAAAACCTGGCAGAGACCCAACAAAAAAAGACAATTTCAGGCCAATATCCCTGATGAACACCGACATGAAAATCCTCAATAAAATACTGGCAAACCAAATCCAGCAGCATATCAAAAAGCTTATCCACCACGATCATGTTGGCTTCATCCCTGGGATGCAAGGCTGGTTCAACATATGCAAATCAACAAATGTAATTCATAACATAAATAGAACCAATGAAAAAAACCATATGATTGTCTCAATAAATGCAGAAAAGGCCTTTGACAAAATTCAATAGCCCTTCATGCTAAAAACTCTCAATAAACTAGGTATTGATGGAACGTATCTCAAAATAGCAAGAGCTATTTATGACAAACCCACAGCCAGTATCATACTGAATGGGCAGAACCTGGAAGCATTCCTTTTGAAAACCGGCACAAAACAAGAATGCCATCTCTCATCATTCCTATTCAACATAGTACTGGAAGTTCTGGCCAGGGCAATCAGGCAAGAGAAAGAAATAAAGGGTATTCAAATAGGAAGAGAGGAAGTCAAATTGTCTCTGTTTGCAGATAACATGATTGTATATTTAGAAACCCCATCGTCTCAGCCCAAAAACTCCTTAAGCTGATAAGCAACTTTAGCAAAGGCTCAGGATACAAAATCAATGCGCAAAAATCACAAGCATTACTATACATCAATAATAGACAAACGGAGAGCCAAATCATGAGTGAACTCCCATTCACAGTTGCTATAAAGAGAATAAAATACCTAGGAATAAAACTTACAAGGGATGTGAAGAAACTCTTCAAAGAGAACTACAAACCACTGCTCAACAAAATAAGAGAGGACACAAACAAATGGAAAAACATCCCATGTTCATAGATAGGGAGAACCAATATCATGAAAATGGCCATACTGCCCAAAGTAATTTATAGATTCAGTGCTATCCCCATCAAGCTACCACTGACTTTCTTCACAGAGTTAGAAAAAAACTACTTTAAATCTCATATGGAACCAAAAAAGAGCACGTATAGACAAGACAATCCTAAGTGAAAAGAACAAAGCTGGAGGCATCACACTACCTGACTTCAAAATATACTACAAAGCTACAGCAACCAAAACAGCATGGTACTGGTACCAAAACAGATATATAGACCAATGGAACAGAACAGAGGTATCAGAAGTGGTGCCACATATCTACAATCATCTGATCTTTGATAAACTTGACAAAAACAAACAATGGGGAAAGGATTCCCTATTTAATGAAAGTTTTTGGGAAAACTGGCTAGCCATATGCAGAAAACTGAAACTGGACCTCTTCCTTCCACCTTATACAAAAATTAACTCAAGATGGAAGAATGACTTAAACAGCCAACCTAAAACCATAAAAACCCTAGAAGAAAACCTAGGCAATACCATTCAGGACATAGGCATGGGTAAAGACTTCATGACTAAAACATCAAAAGCAAAGGCAACAAAAGCCAAACTTGACAAACGGGATCTGATTAAATAAAGAGCTTCTGCACAGCAAAAGAAACTATCATCAGAGTGAACAGGCAACCTACAGAATGGGAGAAAACTTTTGCAATCTATCCATCTGACAAAGGGCTAATATCCAGAATCTGCAAAGAACTTAAACAAATTTACAAGAAAAAAAAAACCATCAAAAAGTGGGCAAAGGATATGAACAGACACTTCTCAAAAGAAGACATTTATGTGGCCAAGAAACATATGAAAAAAAAGTTCATCATCACTGGTTATTAGAGAAATGCAAATCAAAACCACAATGAGATACCATCTCATGCCAGTTAGAATGGGAATCATTAAAAAGTCAGGAAACAACAGATGATGGAGAGGATATGGAAAAATAAGAAAGCTTTTACACTGTTGGTGGGAGTGTAAATTAGTTCAACCATTGTAGAAGACAGTGTGGCAATTCCTCAAGGATCTAGAATCAGAAATACAATTTGACCCAGCAATCCCATTACTAGGTATATACTCAAAGCATTGTAAATCATTCTACTATAAAGACATATGCACACGTATGTTTATTGTGGCACTGTTTACAATAGCAAAGACTTGGAACCAACCCAAATGCCCATCAATGATAGACTGGATAAAGAAAATTTGGCACATATACACCACGGAATACTATGCAGCCATTAAAAAAGGATGAGTTCGGCCAGGCGTGGTGGCTCATGCCTGTAATCCCAGCACTTTGGGAGGCCAAGGTGGGTGGATCACAAGGTCAGGAGATCGAGACCATCCTGGCTAACACGGTGAAACCCCGTCTCTACTAAAAAAAGTACAAAAAATTAGCTGGGCGTGGTGGCGGGTGCCTGTAGTCCCAGCTACCTGGGAGGCTGAGGCAGGAGAATGGCGTGAACCTGGGAGGTGGAGCTTGCAGTGAGCCAAGATTGCGCCACTGCACTCCAGCTTGGGCAACAGGGGGAGACTCCATCTCAAAAAAAAAAAAAAAGGATGAGTCCATGTCCTTTGCAGGGACATGGATGAAGCTGGAAACCATCATTCTCGGCAAACTAACACTGGAACAGAAAACCAAACACCACATGTTCTCACTCATAAGTGAGAGTTGAACAATGAGAACACATAGACACAGGCAGAGGAACATCACACAGTGGGGCCTGTCAGGGAGTGGGGGCCCAGGGGAGGGATAGCATTAGGACAAATACTTAATGTAGATGACAGATTGGTGGGTGCTGCAAACCACCAGGGCACATGTATACCTATGTAACAAACCTACACATTTGGTACATGTATCCCAGGACTTAAAGTATAATAAAAAAATCATAACAATAATAATAAAAATGATAATATACCATGACCAAAAAAAGTTTTCTTAGTGATTTAACATCATGGAACCAATTAATATAGTTCACCAATTCACCATTTTGTTGAATAAAATATATGTCTATATATGATCTGCATCTCAATAGATGCAGAAAAAAGTATATTTGACAAAATGTAATATCTATTCCTGATAAAAACTCTCAGCAAACTAGAAGAAAATTTTCTAATTCTGACAAAGGAAATCTATAAAAAACCCACAGCTCACACCATGTTCAATGGTGAAGGAATGATTGCTTTCTCTCTAAGATTGAGAAAAAGGCAAAGATGTCTACTCTCACCACATCTACTCAACATTGTTCTTGAAGTCCTAGCTATGGCAATGAGGCAAGAAAAGGGAAGAAAATACATACATATTAGAAAGAACAAAGCCAAACAGCTGACATGACTCTGTAGAAAGACTCCTTTATTTGTTAATGATATCTCAATAAAGCTGGAAAAAAATTATGTAAAAATTATAACTCTCAGTGTGTATAGTAAGGTTGCAGGATACTAGGTTAATATTCCAAAATCAAAATATTTCTACAAACTAGCAATAAACACTTGGAAATTCAAATTTTTAAATGTCACTTACAATAGCATCAAAAAGCATGTAATTGGCCAGGTGCAGTGGCTCACACCTGTAATCCTAGCACTTTGGGAGGCTGAGGTGAGTGGATCACCTGAGATCAGGAGTTTGAGACCAGCCTGGTCAACATGGTAAAACCCCATCTCTACCAAAAATACAAAAAATTAGCCAGGCGTGGTGGCAGGCAGCTGTAATCCCTGCTACTCAGGAGGCTGAGGCAGGAGAATAACTCGAATCTGGGAGGCAGAGGTTGCAGTGAGCCAAGATTGCACCACTGCATTTCAGCCTGGGTGGCAGAGTGAGACTCTGTCAAAAAAAAAAAAAAAATGTCATACTTAGGGATTAATTTCACAAAATGTATGTGAGATCCATGCACAGAAAACTACAAAATATTGCTGAGTGAAATCAAAGAAGATGTAAATACATGGAGAGATATAATACACTGGTGGAGCAGAAGACTTAATATTGTTAAGACACCAGTTTTACCCAAATTAATCTATAGATTTAATACTATTCCAATCAAAATCTTAGCAGTCTTTCTTGCAGAGGTTGAAAGTTGATCCTAAAACTTATAGAGAAATGCAAAGGACTAAGAATAGCCAAAGTAATTTTGAAAAAAGACAAAACTGGAGGAAAAAAACTCTTGCCTGGTTTTTAAAATGTATTATAAAGCTTAAAATAAAACTTATTTTTGGCATAAAGGTAGATATATAGATTCATGGAACAGAATAGAGAGTACATAAATAAACCCACAACAACATAGTCAATTAATTTTAGACAATGCCGCCCAGGTAATTTCAATGGACAAAAGAATAGTCTTTTTCAGTAAATAGTGCTGTAACAACTGAATATCTACATAGGAAAAAATAAGCACTGAACAATTCCTCATATATATGTATATATATATATACAAATTTATACATATACACATATGTGTATATATACAAATATAAACTCAAAATGAATCATAATTCTTAACATAAACCCTAACATTCTTAGAAGAAAGCATAAGAGAAAATCCTTGACCTTGAGATGGAAAAAGATCTTAGGCCATAAAAACAATTAATCAAAAAAAATTGACAAATTGTACTTCATCAAAATTTTGAAGTTCAGCTCTTAAAAAGGCATCATTTAGAAAATAAGAAGACTAGTACAGAGAAAATACAAAACCACAAAACGTATTTCTAAAAATGAATTGTATCCAGAAATATTAAGAATTTATACAACTCAACAATTAAAGGACAAATAACCTAATAAGATGCAAAAATAAATATATCTTTTGTATATCTTCATAGAAGAAGATATATGAATGGCCAATAAGCACAAAAAAGGATAAAATCATTAGTCATCATAGAAATTCTAATTAAAACTACATTGATAGATCACTATGTTGCAACTCAAACCAACATCTCTTGATTTTGAAAATGCCAAGGTAGCCATTTCCACTGTAGAAAGTAGGGCAACAGTCTTAGCCACAAGTTCCCCTTCAGGAAGATATTGAACATGGGGAGGGAAGGCAGCTTTGAGGTTGTAGCTGGCTATCAGCAGCAGCTTCTCAGCTGGATACAGAGCCATGTCTTCAATGTACTCCTCATGCTACCTCATATCCATTAAGAGGCCCTCCTTCCACTGGTCCTAGAGATGGATACCATCTGTGTCATCACCAGTGACCAGAACATGCCCATCCACCAGCAGAGAGTTGTTGATGGGGGCACTGGAGACACAAATGCAGAACTTCTTGAAGCATCTTTCTCCCAGTGGGGACTTCCCATTCCTTATCCCTCACCTCTACACACATACACATAACTGGCTCCCCTTACCCATAAGAAAAAGAAAAAAAAATTAAAATCACATGTTAATTTAATAGACAATCAATTGTTGACAAAGATGTGGAACAACTTAATTTTCATGTATTGCTAATGTGAGTGTAATATAACACAACCAACACTACTAAGTAGTTCTTTATATAGTTAAACATACACTTAGTTAAACATACCACCTAGCAATTCCACTCCTAAGTGTTCACTCAAGAGAAATAAAAACACACGTTCACACAAAGACTTGCTCGTAAGTGTTTTTAGTGGCATTAGTTATAATGACTGAAAGCTGGAAACAACCCATGTCAGTCAACAGGAAATTAATTTTGAAAAAATTATTGTATATCCATGCAACAGAATGGAATACTATACAACAATAAATGTAATATGGTGTGGATCCATATCCCTGCCCAAATCTCATGTTGAATTTTAATCCCCAATGCTGAAGGTAGGGCCTGGTGGGAGGTGATTGGATCAAGGGGGCAGAGTTCTCATGAATGGTTTAGCACCATCCCCTTGGTACTGTCCCCACCATCACGAGTGAGTTCCCATGAGATCTGGTTGTTTAAAAGTGTGTGGCACCTCCTCCTTTTCTCCCTCTTGCTGCTCTGGCCATGTGATGTGCTGGCTCCCCCTTTGCCTTCCACCATGATTGTAAGTTTGCTAAGGCCTCCCGCAAGCTGAGCAAATGCCAGCATCATGCTTCCTGATAGCCTGCAGAACCATGAGCCAATTAAATCTCTTTTCTTTATAAATTACCCAGCTCAGGTAATTTTTATAGCAATGCAAGAATGGCCTAATATAGAAAATTGGTACTGGGAGTGGGGCATTGCTATAACGACACCTGAAAATGTAGAAGCAACTTTGAAACTGGGTAATGGGCAGACATTGGAAGAGTTTGAAGGGATCAGAAGAAGACAGGAAGATGAAGGAAAAGTTGAAACTTCTTAGAGACTTGTTGAATAGTTGTGAGACAAATGTTGAGAATGATAGAGACAGATAGCCAGACTGATGAGGTCTCAGGTGGAGATAAGGAACTCATTGGGCACAGCAGCAAAGGTCATGTGTGTTATGCCTTAGTAAATAACGTGGCTGCATGTGTCCCTGCCCTACAAATCTGTAGGACTTTGAACTTGAGAGTGATGTTTTCGGGTATCTGGCAGAAGAAATTTCTAAGCAGCAAAGTGCTCAAGAAGCAGCCTGGTTGTTTCTAACAACCTATGCACATATGTATGAACAAAGAAATGACCTAAAGTTGGAATTTATATTTAAAGGGGAAGCAAAACATAAAAGTTTGAAAAATTTGCAGCCTGGCCATGTGATAAAAAAGAAAAGTTCATTTTCAGGGTAGGAATTCAAGCAGGCTGCAGAAATTCACATAAGTAAAAAGATGCCAAGTGCTAATATTTAAATCAATGGAGAAAAGGCCTAAAAGACATTACAGAGACCTTTGTGGCAGCCCCTCCCATCACAGGCTTGGAGGCCTAGGAGGGAAGAATGGTTTCATTGGCGAGGCCCATGGCCTGCTGCCCTGCAGAGCCTTGAAACACTGCTTCCTGTATCTATGCCACTCCAGCACCAGCCATGGCTCAAAAGGACTTAGGTACAGCTCAGGCAGCTGCTCTGGAGGGTGCAAGCCATGAGCCTTGGCAGCTTTCCCATGACATTAGACCTGCAGGTGCACAGAGTACAAGAGTTATGGCTTAGGAGCCTCCACCTAGATTTCAGAGGATGTATGGAAAAGCCTGGAGGTCCAGGCAGAAGCCTACTGTAGGGGTGGACTTGCCCAAGGCCTTGGGAGCCCACCCCTCACCTCAGAGTGCCCTGGATGTGGGACATGGAGTCAAAGAAGATTATTTTGAAGCTTTAAGATTTGATGATCACCCTACTGGGTTTCAAACTTGCTTGTGGCCTGTAGGCCCTTTCTTTTGGCCAATTTCTCCCTTTTGGAACAAGAATATTTAATGCCTATACCTTCCTGTATCTTGGAAGTAACTAACTTGTTTTTAATTTTACAGGCCCATGTGCAGAAGGGACTAGCTTTGTCTCACATGAGACTTTGGACTTTTGAGTTAATGCTGGAAGGAGTTAAGACTTTGGGGATTATTGGGAAGGCATAATTGGATTTTCAGATGTGAGAAGGACATGAGATTTGGGAGGGGCCAGAAGCAGAATAATATGGTTTGAATCTGTGTCTTTTACCAAAGCTCATGTTGAATGAGGTGGGGCCTGGTGGGAGGTGATTTGATCATGGGGGCAGGGTTCTCATTAATGGGTTAGCACCATCCCCTCAGTGCTGTTCTCATGATTGTAAGTGAGTAGGTTATCATGAGATCTGGTTGCTTAAAAGTGTATAGCACCTCCCCATTCTCTCACTCTTGCTGCTGTGGCCACGTAATGTGCTGGGTCCTCCTTCGCCTTCCACCACTATTGTAAGTTTCCTGAGGCCTCCCCAGAACGCAGGCAGATGTCACATCATGCTTTCTGTACAGTCTGTGGAACCATGGGCCAATTAAACCTCTTTTCTTTATAAATTACCCAGTCTCAGGCATTTCTTTATAGCAATGTGAGAACATCCTAATACAAAATGGAACAAAGTACTGATACCTTAACAATGTGGATGATTTTCAAATACTTTATGCTGAACAAAAGAAATAAGCATGACATAGAATTATATTCATGTGATGAACTCAATGATTACCCAGTTGCAGTGAGGAGGGAGTATTGACTGTAAATAAGCTTTTGGGGATGATAAATCTTAATAATTGTGACCATGGTACATAGGAATATGCTTTCATCAAAACTCACTGTACTTGAAAATAGGTACATTTTTACTGTACGTTAGCATTTTTTAATGGAATCACTAGGAAACCTAGCATGAAAATGTGAATTTTCAGATTTCTTCTCAGTTTTGTTTACAATAGTATAAAGACAAACCATTTTAAGTTAAATTATGTTAGAATCACAATGGAATCATTTGGAGACAGTAACAAGTTAATCACAAAGAAAATAGATTGCATTGGTTCAGCAGTGGCTTAGGAGGGAGGTTTACATCACCCAGTCCTTTCTCCTCCTGTTAGCATTTCTCCCAACTATGTCACAGGTAGAGGCATTTGATTATAGAGGCAAAGTTCATGTTTAAAGTGGTATTGATAAGTTATGCAACAAAATGGCACATATAGTTTATCTTTTTTGTCTTCCTATTTAGACATAGTTTTTCATATTTACACAAATTCAGTACACAGTGAATTTTAGCTTATGTTTCATAATTTACATTACTGAATGTATATGTTATATTTCATGCATAATTGCCTTTTGGAAACTTACATACTATTTATTTCTTTTGAACATCATGGCTTTTTATTGTGATCCCTATGTTCATTACATGCTCCTCATTTCTTATGCTATTCTATTAGAATAAAGAATAAAGGAGGCAGCATTTAATTGAAAGAACTATTTATTAAATACATTTAGATGCATCAATATAAAATTCATACTTGGATATCTATATATGGATTGCTACATGATAACATTAGAAATCTAGGAAAAATAAATAATAAATGAGGGAAAGTAAGGTGAAGTTAATTAAATTTGTATTCATTTTCCTGCTTGGGCAATGGTTAGGATTGATGTGCAATACTTGTCTCAGCATTCTGAATGACAAAATAAAATGAATTTTGATATATCCAAGCTTTCAAACATTTTCACTATTTGGAACTGTTCCACAATTGCTCATTTTGCTTTCAAACACTATTTTCATAATTATAAAATTATGCATGTTGATAGTACGGTGTCAATCTTGCTTCAGTGACTTGCATAAAATAATTATTAATAAATATTTGCCAGTGGAAGATAGAAAATTATCTTGTTTATCTCTCCCATTGATTTTCTAGTATTCTGTCTGATATTAATATAAGAGGTTTCTTCTAACAGACTGATAAAAATTTAAGGCTATTTCTCCTGGATTTCCTAACTGAGAAGGCAGATTTGTGTGCATGTGCAAATTTCTCTAACTGTTTCTTACCATCTATCTGCTAGCCTGGCTTTAAGTTTCTTTAAAAAATTTATAGAGAATCTCAAACATATAATCTTCATTAACATCGTTAGAATAGTCTTTAGATTCTCTATAGAATTCCCAAATTTATTGTTGCAAACTTGAGACTATCCTAAAATATGTATATATAAAAAGTTATATTGATGAGCATGCATGTGCTAAGACCACCAGCAACTATGACAACGAATAATATATCAAATTTGATGACATTTCTGCTATTTGGTAGCAAACAAAGATTAGCAATTAAAAAAACTACTTACAACCCAGCGAGTGGGAGCTCAATTTTAAGGAGAGAGGTTTAGGTCTGAGAAGGTCCCATGAAAAATGTAATGGGTTGTGCAGTGGGAGTGATAGTCCTTGGTGGAATTGGTGAGGAATGTGAGGAGATGAACTTCAAGTTTAGAACACTAAGAAGACATCACAGAACTGAGAAGTTCATGAGATTATAGAAGTTGTAAATGAGAAGAACTTCAAATACTATGAGATCTTCTAGAATAAGAATTCTGAGTTATACACCCCTTTATTTGCTGTACCTATTACAGAACCTGGCACATAAACAGCATAACTTTTAGTTGAATGATTACTATGTGAATGAAGTAGGAATCCTTCCTCATCACCAACCCATAATTGGGTTAAAAGAGAGGGTAGGATTTGTTCACAAGAGAGGCATATGAAGCTCACCTCTCCAGTCATATCTTTTATCTTTCTTGCTCATTATCTTCATATAATACTGATTTTCATTATGTTTTTAGAATATCCAAAGCTCGTTTATGCAGAAGAATTTTCCACTTACTGTGCCATCTGCCTCAAATATATTTCCATAGCTAGTTTTTTTTTCCATTTTTTGTGTCTCAACTCAGAAGCAACATCCTCAGGAAGAAGCCTTCCCTGAATTATGGTATCTTAAGCATTTCTTCCAGCATTACCCTCAATCATGTCACCCTATTAATTCTCTTCACAGCAGTCAATGCAATCTGAAATTATTAGTTCTATATGATAACAGATTCAGGCACATGTCTTAACACTCAGCCCAGCAGGGAAAATGTCTCTTCCCCAGAAGCCCAATCTATTTCCCCTTGATTATGGCCTCATTGCCAACATTTTATTTCTTTACTGTTAGTACCGTCTTTTCCCAAAGAATACAACCATCTTGAGAATAAAGATCCTATCTATCTTGTTCACTGCTTTAATCCCAGCTTCTTGAACACAGCCTGGCACATGCTACATACTTGTTGAATAAAATAAACTTCTAAATAAAATGTGACATATTTATATATCAAAATCCTTTCAGTTGAAAATGACAGAAAAACTTTGGCAAAAAAAAAAAAAAACTTTATTGGTTTCATCATTGAAAAGTTTGTATGTGAGAAGGAGGAATTCGTACCTCACACAATGTCACCAGGATGCACACATCAGCTTTTCCTAGCTAGGGCTGGCTCTACTGCCAAGCTCTGTATGATGACAGATTCAGCCACATGTCTTAACACTCAGTCCTCTAGGGAACAGATCTCTTCCCCAGGAGCCCAATCAATCTCCTCTTGATTATGGCCTCATTGCCAACCCAATAATTGGCCAGAGGGAAGGGATAAGCTGCTTGACTAAAGCCTAACAGGTCCCACCTGGGACTTAAACGTGGAGCCGATCTCACCTAATTCATCTGCCTGAACATAAGGGAAAAGTGGTTTCCCAAAATAAATTAGTTGCATTAATACTAGGAGAAGGAACTGATGCTGGGAAGCAAACAAAAACATCCTCTACAGTATGTCTTCTAATCCTTTAATTGCCATCAGTCACAATTTGAATAAGACCTATGTTTTATTTAAATGTTATTTAGCCTTACACAGTTGTTATATTTTTATCAGAGTTAAAAAAAAACAGAAAGGAGTGCAGAGGGTCTGTTATTTAATATCCTTTTACTGTTATGGATGTTCCTACAGCTCCTAATGGCTGGTTACTGCTCTGCCTGAATGCCTCCAAACACAGGAGAGCAGCACCTCTATCAAGGCTTATTCCTCCCTTTAACAGCCTTAAATTAGTAAACTGTGACTCTTTTCTTTGAGCCTGTTAGATAATGCTTAGGAAAGTCTCAGTGGTGTAGCCAGCAGAGCTCTAGAGAAATAGGCTGCTCAGCAGACAGGGTGGTTCACTGCTGGGGCTAGGGATTTGCTGGAGCCATGATATAGAATCTCCCTTCAGAGGTAATGTCCTTGCCTTTCCTTCAGCTCTCATCCTCGGCTACTTTAACTTAAAGAGCTCTAATAGCCCAGTTTTCATTAAAAAGTGGAGTTTTTCTTTATTGATTAAGAAAGTATTTTCTGCAAAAGCTACTTTATTGCTCTCTGCCTCAATTACCTCATCTGTCAAACAGGGATAATAGTATTTATCTCATAAAGCTGTCATAAGAATTGTGTATGTATGTATATGTATGTATACTTATATATACTCAAGAAATACATATAATTAGAATATTCTCTGTATGTGTTAACTAGTATTACAAACTGATTTACCCAGACAGTTGCAGTCACAGATATTTTGTGGAAAAGGAAGAATTGTGTTGTTTCAAAAGTAAGCAATATTTCCAAATAGATCACACACGGTGAGTGCTAGTAATTCCAAATGTTGTTTTAGTAGAGCTATTTCTTCTAAAATTAATAAATCAATTGACTTTCTGAATCACAGTTTTTGTACTAAATAGGCCTACTATCTGATAAGACCAGATAGCAGAACCTCAACTGGCAAATTTGTCTGATAATAGATAATCAGGCTAGGCTAGGAATTTAGTCATAAATGGCATCATACAAATGTATGATTAAATTCTAAAAAACCATCTGGAGAAGGTGAGCAGAGCCTAGTAAAGGCACAGTTCTTGTTAGTGTTGCAGCTGTTCTCTTTACTTGAGTGGTCTACTGGCAAGAAGCAGCACAGGTGCAGTTTGGCCACAATTCACATGCATTATGTGTGTGACAGGAATGTTGGAATTATTAGACAGGGAATGTAAAACAAAAATGATTAATATGCTTTGGGCTCTAATGGAAAAAGTAAACAGCATGGAAGAACAGGTGGACCATGTAAGCACAGAGATGGATATCCTAAGAAAGAACCAAAAGAAATGCTAGAGATCAAAAACACTGTAATAGAAATAAAGAATGTCTTTGATGGGCTCATGTGTACACTGGATAAAGAAGGAATCTCTGAGCTTGAGGATATAGTGATAGGAAACTTTAAAACTGAAAAGGAAAGAGAACAAAATGTGGGGGAAAAAGAGAACACAATGTTCAAGAACTGTGGGATAACTACAAAATCTGTAAAATACACATAATGGGGATACCAGAAGGAGGAGAAAAACAGAAAGAGAAGAAATATTTGAAACAATAATTACTGGGAATTTTTCCAATATTAAAATCAGACACCAAACCACAGATCCAGGAAGTTCATAAAACACAAAGCAAGATAAATTCTAAGAAAAAAAGAAACCTCTACACCTAGGCATGACATTTTCAAACTATAGAAAATCAAAGATAAAAGAAAAGTCCTGAAAGAAGCTGGTGGGGAGAAACCATTTTACCTGTAGTGGAGCAAAGATAAGAATTAGGTCCAACATTTCCTCAGAAGCCATGAAAGCAAGAGGAGAATGCAGTAAAATATTTAGTGTTAAGAAGAAAAAACCCACCAACCTAGAATTCTGCATTAATCAAAAGAAAGTGGGAGTGGCTATATTAATTTCAAACAAAGCAAACTTCTAAGCAAAAAAGTGATCAGGGATAAAAAGGGACCATTACATAATAATAAAGAGGTCAATTCTCCAAGAACACAAAACAATCCTTAACGTGTATGTGCCTAACGACTGAGCACTAAAATATGTGAAGCAAAAACTAATAAACTTGCAAGAAGAAATAGACTAATTCACTATTATGGCTGACAACACCAACACCCCTCCATTACAAATGAACAGATCCAGCAGGCAGAAAATCAGTAAAGATGTGGTTGAATTCCACAACACCATCAATCAACTAGATATAATTGACAAGTGTAGATTACTTCATCCAACCATAGCAGAATATACATTCTTCTCAACCTCACATGGAATATTCCACAAGAGAGACCAACATTTTGGGTCATAAAATACACCTTCACGAATGTAAAATAACAGAAATCATGCAATGTCTGCTCTCAGACCATAATAAAATTAAACTAAAAATAAATGGCAGAAGTATAACTAGAAAATCCCCAGATACGTGAAGATTAAAAGCAATACACTTCTAAATAACACATGGGTTAAGAAGAAATCTCAAAAGAAATTAAAAAGTATTTTGAACTAAATAAGAACGAAAGCACAATTTATCAAAATTTGTGAAATGCAGCAAGAGCAGCACATAGAAGGAGACTTATAGCATCAAGTGCATATATTAGGAAAGAATAAAGATCTATAATCTACCGTCTAAGCTTCCATTTCAGGAAACTACAAAAAGAAGAGTGAATTAAATCCAAAACAACCAGAAGAAAAGAAATAAGATTGGTAGTTTGATAAGAATAGCATTGAATATATAAATTGCTTTGGGCAATTATGGCCATTTTAACAATATTGATTCCTCCTATCCATGAGCATGGAATGTTTTTACATTTGTTTGTGTAGTCTCTGATTTCTTTCAGCAGTGTTTTATAATTCCTGTTGTAGAGACCTTTCACCTTCTTGCTTAGCTGTATTCCTAGGTGTTTTATCCTTTATGTGGCTATCATAAATTGGATTGTGATCTTGATTTGGCTCTCAGCTTAGATGTCATTGGTGCATAAAAATGCTACTTATCTTTGTGCATTGATTGTGGATTATCACCAAAGCAATCCTAAGCAAAAAGAACAAAGTGAGAAGCATCATACTACCTGATTTCAAAATATGCTACAAGGC
The DNA here is from genome assembly GCF_000001405.40 of Homo sapiens. Taxonomy (NCBI): domain Eukaryota; kingdom Metazoa; phylum Chordata; class Mammalia; order Primates; family Hominidae; genus Homo; species Homo sapiens. Next base: position 208,507,849 of record NC_000002.12, on the reverse strand, counting down.
TGCAGTAATCAAAACAGCATGGTACTGGAACAAAAACAGACACATAGACCAAGGGAACAAGATGGAGAACCCAGAAATAAAGCTGCATACCTAAAACGACCTGATCTTCAACAAAGTTGACAAAAACAAGCAATGAGGAAAGGTGTCCCTATTCAATAAATGGTTCTGGGATAACTATCTAGCCATATGCAGAAAATTAAAACTGAACCCCTACTTTTCACCATATTAAAAAAAAACTCGAGATGGATTAAATGTAAGACCTCAAACTATAAAAACCCCAGAAGAATACCTAGGAGATACCAGTCTGGATGTTGGCTTTAGCAAAGATTTTATTACTAACTCCCCAAAAAAAATTGCAACAACAACAAAAAAACTGACAAGTGGAGTCTAATTAAACTAAAGACCTTCTGCACAGCAAAAGAAGCTATCAACAGAGTAAACAGACAACCTACAGAATGGGAGAAAATATTCAAACGATGCATCCAACAAAGGTCTAATATCCAGAATCTACAAGGAACTTAAACAATTCAACAAGCAAAAACAAATAACCCTATTTTAAAATGAGCAAAGGACATGAACAGACATTTTTCAAAAGAAGACATACACGCACCCAACAAACATAAGAAAAAAACACTCACCACCACTAATTATTAAAGAAATGCAAATCAAACCCACAGTTATATACCATTTCATGCCAATCAGAATGGCTACTATGAAAAAGTCAAAAAACAACGGATGTTGGCAAGATTGTGGAAAAAGGAAACAATTTTACACTGTTGGTGGGAATGTAAATTACTTCAGCTTCTGTGGAAAACAGTGTAGAGATTTCCCAAATAACTTAAAACAGAACTACCATTCAAACCTGCAATCCCACTACTGGATATATATCCAAAGAAAAATAAATTGTTCTACCAAAAAGACACATGCACTCATATGTTCATCACAACAGTATTCATAATAGCAAAGATATGGACTCAACCTAGATGTCCATCAATGTTGGACTGGATTTTTAAAATGTGGTAAATATGTGCCATGGAATACTATGTAGGCATAAAAAGGAATGAAATAATGTCCTTTGCAGCAACATGGATGCAGCTACAGGCCATTATCATAAGGGAATTAATGCAGAAACAGAAAACCAAATACCACACGTTCTCACTTACAAGTGAGAGAGAAAGAGCTAAGCACTGAATACACGTGGACACAAAGATGGGAATAATACACACTGGGACTCCTTGATGAGGGAGAGAGGGAGTGGAAAACGGGCTGAAAAACTACCTATCAGGTACCATGCTCACTACCTGGGTGACTGGATCATTTGCACAGCAAACCTCAGCAAAAACAATTTACATATGTAACAAACTTGCACATGTACCCACCCCTGAGTCTAAAATAAAAGGTAAAAGAAAAAATAAATTTTAACATCTATTTAATGTAAAAAAAGAAAATAAATAATAAAAATTAGAGCAGAAATCAAAGCAATTGAAAATAGGAAATCAATCTGATGAAAACAAGCAATGGGGAAAATATTCCCTGTTTAATAAATGGTGCTGGGAGAACTGGCTAGCCATATGCAGAAAATTGAAACTGGACCCCTTCCTTACACCTTATACAAAAATTAATTTGAGGTGGATTAAAGACTTAAATGCAAAACCCAAAGCTATAAAAACTAAAAGAAAATCTAAGCAATATCATTGAGGACACAGTCAAGGACAAAGATATTATTTAAAAAAAAAAACATCAAAAGCAAGTGCAACAAAAGCAAAAATTGACAAATGGAATCTAATTAAACTAAAGAGCTTCTGCACAGCAAAGAAACTATCATCAGAGCAAACAGGCAACCTATAGAATTGGAGAAAATTTTTGCAATCTATCCATCTGGTGGTGGCTCATGCCTATAATCCCAACACTTTGGGAGGCCAAGGCAGGTGGATCTCCTGAGGTCAGGAGTTCAAGACCAGCCTGGCCAACATGGTGAAATCCTGTCTCTACTAAAACTACAAAAATTAGCCGGGTATGGTGACGGGTGCCTGTAATCCCAGCCACTCGGGAGGCTGTGGCAGGAGAATTGCTTGAACCCGGGAAGCAGAGGTTGCAGTGAGCTGAGATCGCACCACTGCACTCCAGACTGGGTGACAGAGCAAGACCCCAGCTCAAAAAAAAAAAAAAAAAAAAAAAAAAGTCTAATATCCAAAATATACAAGGAACTTAAACAAATTTACAAGAAAAAAACAACCCCATTAAAAAATGGGCAAAGGACATGAATAGGCACTTCTCAAAAGAAGACATTTATGTGGCTAACAAACATGAAAAAAAAAAAAAAGCTCAACATCACTGGTCATTAGAGAAATGCAAATCCAAACCACAATGAGGTACCATTTCATCCCAGTCAGAATGGCGATTATTAAAAAGTCAAGAAACAACAATTGCTGGTGAGGCTGTAGAGAAATAGGAATGCTTTTACACTATTGGTGGGAACGTAAATTAGTTCAAACATTGTGGAGGATATTGTGGCAATTCCTCAAAGGCCTAGAACCAGAAATACCATTTGACCCAGCAATTCCATTACTGGGTATATGTTGAAAGGAATATAAATCAACCTGAGATAAAGATACATGCACGCGTATGTTCATTGCAGCACTATTCACAATAGCAAAGATGTGGAATCAACTCAAATGCCCATCAGTGACAGACTGGATAAATAAAATGTGGTACATATACCTCATGGAATACTATGCAGCCATAAAAATGAATGAGATCACATCCTTTGCAGAGACCTGGATGGAGCTGGAAGCCATTATCCTCAGCAAACTAATGCAGCAACAGAAAACCAAATACCTCATGTTCTTACTTATAAGTGGGAGCTGAACAATGTGAACACATAGACACAGGGAGGGAACAACACACACTGGGGTCTGTCAGGGGTGTGAGGGAGAGGGAGAGCATCAGGAAAAATAGCTAATGCATGCGGGGCTTACTACCTAGGTAATGGGCTGATCTGTGCAGCAAATGACTATGGCACACGTTTACCTATGTAACAAACCTGAACATCCTGCACATGTACGCCGAAACTTAAAATAAATAAATAAATAAAAGTTTTAAAAAAGAAAATAGGAACTCAATAGAGAAAATCAGTGAAACCAAAAGCTAATTCTTTAAAAAGATCAATAAAGTCTATGAGCCTCTAGCCAGGCTAAGAAAACAAATTACCAATATCAGAAATGAAAGAGGGAACATCAGTATAGGTCTCGTGCACATTAAAAAGATAATAAAGTAACAACTCTATGCCCACAAATTTGATAACCTAGATAAAATACACCAATTCCTTGACAGACACAACCTGCCCAAACTCACACAAGAAGAAATAGACTATTTGAATAGGCCTATAATCTATTTAAAAAATTGAATCAATAATGAATAACTTTCCAAAACAGAAAGGACACAGCCCAGACGGGTTCACTGGTGAATTATACCAAACAGTTAAGGAAGAAATTATGCCAGTTCTATACAATCTCTTTCAGTAGATAAAAGCAGAGGAAATACTTCCCAACTCATTTTATGAGGCTGTCATAACCCAAATACCAAAACCAGACAAAGACATTATAAGAAAAGAAAACTACAGATCAGTATGTCTCATGAACATTTATGCAAAAATTCCCAACAAAATAGTGGCAAATCAAATCCAACAATATATAAAAAGAATTGTAAGTCACAACTGAATGAGATTTATCCCAGGTATTTAAGGCTGGTTTAATATTCAAAAATCAGTTAATGTAATCCATCACATCGACAGGCTAAAAAAGAAAAAGCATATGATTATATCAATAGATGCAGAAAATCCAAACACAAAATTCAATACCAATTTCAAAATAAGGAACTCTCAGTAAAGTAGAAATAGAGAAGAACTTCCTTAACTTGATTTTTTAAAAATATACCAAAAAAACCTATAGTAATATTGTACTTAGTGGTCAGAAACTTGAAGTTTTCCCACTAAGATTGGTCAAGCTAAGGAATGATGACCCTCTCACTGCTGCTTTTCAACAGCTTATTGGAAGTCCTAAGTAATGAATTAAGACATTAAAAAGAAATAAAATGTATACCAATTGGAAAGAATTAATAAAACTATCTTTGTCCACAGATAACATGATTGTCTATGTAGAAAATCTTAAAGAATTGACCAAAAAACCCTGCAACTAATAAGTGGTTATAGTAAGGTTGTGGGGTACAAGGTAAAAGTCAATTGCATTTCTATATGCCTACAATAAATCAGTGGAATTTGAAATTTAAAACACAATAACATTTACATAAGCATCCCCCCAAAAATAAAATACTTAGGCATAAATCTAACAAAATATGTGCAAAATCTCTATGAGAAAAACTACAAAATCTGATGAAGGAATTCAAAGAAACACTAAATAAGTAGAGAGATACTCCTTTGTCAGGATAGGAAAGCTCAATATTGTCAACATGTCAGTTCTTCCAAAATTGATCTATAGATTCAATGAATTCCCTATTAAAATTCAAGCAAGTTTTTTATAGATATTGACAAATTCATTCCAAAGGGTATAAAAAGAAGCAAAAGACCCATAATAGTCAACATGACATTGAGGGAGAAGAACAAAGCTGGAAACCCGCAGTATCCTACTTCAAGACTTACTATAAAACTATAGTAATCAGGACAGTGTGGTATTTGTGAAAAAATAAATAGATCAATAGAACAGGAAGCAGAACCCAGAAATAGACTGACATAAATAAAGTCAACTGATTTTTGACAAATAAGCAAAGGCAATACAGTGGAGAAAATAGAGCCTTTTCAACAAATGGTGCTGGAAAAACTGGACATTCACATGCAAGAAAAAACAAAAAGAATCAGACATAGATGTTAACCCTTCATATAAATTGACTCAAAATAAATCACAGGCCTAAATGTAAAATGCAGAACTGTAAAGCTCCCAGAACATAACATAAAAGAAAACCTTGACAACCTTGGGTATGGTGATGACTTTTTAGATATGGAACCAAACACATGGTCAATAAAATAAATAACTGATAAGCTGGACTTCATTAAAATTGAAAATTTTTACTCTATGAAAGACATTATCCACAGAATGAAAAGCTAAATCATAGACTGAGAGAAAATATTTGCAAAAGACGCATCTGATAAAGGGCTTTTATCCAACATATACCAAGAACTCTTAAAACACAACAATAAGAAAGTAAACACCCCAATTAAATAATGGGCCAAAGACCTTAACAGAAACCTCACCAAAAAGTATACAAATGGCAAATAAGCATGTGAAAAGATGCTCCACATCATATGTTGCTAGGGAAATGCAAATTAAAATAACAGTGAGATACCAATAAACCATGCTCTGCATGATACTGCAGTGGTGGAATATATCATTACACATTTGTCCAACCCCATAGAATGTACAATAACAAGACTGAACCCTAATGTAAACTGTGGACTTTGGGTGATAATGATGGCTTAATGTAAGAACATCTATTTTTAAAAATGTACCATCTGGTGGAGGATATTGATAATGAGAGACCATGCATCTGTGCGGACAGGGATATATGGGCTATCTCTATACCTTCCTCTCAAAGCTGCTGCAAACCTGAAACTGTTCTAAACAAATGAAGTCTTTAAAATTTTTTTTAAAAAACTGTTACTTAGACCTGTCAGGGATTCCTCACCACCTTTACTGGCATAGTAGGGGATAAAAGCCCTTCCCGATCTTCTTCTCCCCTGCCTCTCCAGCCTTGTTGCTTATGTCTCCTCCTTCCCAGATCACACTTCGTCATGAAACTTTGCAGTTCCCCAAATGTACTAAATTCTCCCACACTTTTGTAGCTTCCCGTCTAAATTTCAACTGCCTGGAACGTCTTCCTCACTTCTCTGCCTGCTCATTTCTTATCTCTTTTAGGGATTCCACTTTACCTCCATATCTAAACGAAGTTCCCCTCCTTTGCACCCTCATAACTGTCTTCTCTCATAACAATTTTTAAATTCAACTGTGAGCATTGCAAAGGTATGGAATCAACCTAAAAGACCATCGACCTATGAATGGTTAAAAAGTGTGGTATATATACCCACCATGGAATACACTCAGCCATAAAAAAGAACGAAATAATGTCTTTTGCAGCAACTTGAATGAACTGGAGGCTATTGTCCTGAATGAAATAACTCAGGAATGGAAAACCAAATAATGTTCTCACTTATAAGTGGGAGCTAAGCTATGTGTATGCAAAGGCATACAGAGTGATATAATGAACACTAGAGACTCAGAAAGGGGGAGGGAAGGAGGGGCTTGGGAGAGGATAAACTACCTATTGGGTACAATGTACACTGGGGGTCCCCAACCCCCAAGCGGACTAGTACCGGTTCATGGCCTGTTAGGAACTGGGCCTCACAGCAGGAGATGAGCAGCTGGCAAGCGAGCAAAGTTTCATCCGTATTTACAGCCACTCCCCATGGCTCACGTTACTGCCTGAGCTCCACCTCCTGTCAGAGCAGCGGCAGCATTAGAGTTCATGGGAGTGCAAACCCTACTGTGAACTGTGCATTTGAGGGATCTAGGTTGTATGCTCGTTATGAAAATTGAATGCCTGATAATCTGTCACTGTTTCCCATCAACCCCAGATGGGACTGTCTAGTTGCAGGGAAAAAAGCTCAGGGCTTCCCTGATTCTACATTATGGTGAGTTGTATAATTATTTCACTCTATATTATGATGTAATAATAATAGACTGAAGTGAATAAATGTAATGTGCTTGAATCATCCTGAGGCCATCCCCCCACCCCTGACTCCAGTCAGTGGAAAAAAATGTCTTCCACAAAACCGTTCCCTGGTGCCAAAAATGTTGGGGACCACTGATGTACACTATATGGATAATGGGTACACTAAAAGCCCAGATTTCACCATTACACAATGCATCCATGTAACCAAAAACCACTTGTATCCCTAAAGCTACTGAATTTTTTTTAATTTAAATAAATAAATAAATTCAACTGTGAGCTTCTTGAGAGCAGCTGAATTTATAAATCAGAGAGCAGTCTGTTATTTCTGTGTCTTAAACTTACAATTTTTAGTCAGAGTTCAATAGGTGTTGATTAAATGAAAGAATAAATTGACATACCCCTGTTGCTCAGTTGGCAGTTTCAAAAATTATAAACATACAGCCTAACACTCTACAAAGAATAAATTCTCCTCCTTACTTATCTCCAGCTCTAATCAATAAATGTGTATGTGTATGAAAATTATAATGAGAGGACAATGGGATTATTGTAACTTTTATTTACAAAGAAAATCATGTAAAATAGATTGCATGATAGAAACTGATAACTTCACAAAAGAGCAATTGTCAAACAGGAAATCTGCAGAGAGGTGCTTGTGATATGCTTGATGATATTACAAATATTACAACCAATACAATAAAATTACAGGAGTTGAACTCTAAATATGACATTTTACCAACTACTTTTCAGTGTAATAGAAATTCAGCTAAAATAAAAATGGCATTCAAAGATCTGGAAGGTGGGAGGTGGCAACGAAGCTTTACCAAAAATAACTGTGATGAAGGGAAGATTCCTAAAGCTAAGGCCACCGACTACACTTTCAGAGTTTATCATTTTTCCTCAAGGGCCTCAAAACGCTTACATTTAAATAAAACATTGCTAAATTCATCTAAGATATAACATCATGCAGACAAATTAAAACTGGAAAATTTATAGTGTAGTTACTGAATTTGAAAGAGGCAGAAGGCTTGATATGGGAACAGCTAAAAATAAGTATTTAACCCTTTCAGACAAAAACATTCAGTAATTTTTAGTTATTCTCAAATGTAGAATAGATATTGTATATATTTATAAACTAAAGAATCTTGGTGAGTGATTTTTGTGATATGTCAGCCCAATCATATCAAATATTTGATATGGAAAAACTCAAGTGGAGTTGGACTATAGTATTCATGATTATTTACCAAATTTATTCCTAAACTGCTAAAGTGAGATTTTTAAAAATAAACTTATTTTGGAATAGTTTTAGATTCATAGAAAAGTTGCAAAAATAGTACAGATGTTTTATATACCTGACCTCTAGTTTCCTTCATGGTTAACATTTTACATTACCATTATACATTTGGCACATTGCTAACAATTAAACTCCAGGCTTTATTTGGATATACCAGTTTTAATATTAATCTCTGCTTTCTGTCCCATCACCCACCTAAAGTAACAAATGTACTAAATCTAACATTTAGTTGTCATGTGTCGCCAGTCTCCTCTGACCTATGACAGCTTCTGAATCCATCCTTTTCTTTTTTTTTTTTTTTTGAGACGGAGTCTCGCTCTGTCGCCCAGGCTGGAGTGCAGTGGTGAGATCTCGGCTCACTGCAACCTCCACCTCCCGGGTTCAAGCGATTCTCCTGCCTCAGCCTCCTGAGTAGCTGGGATTACAGGCGCCCACTACCATGCCCAGCTAATTTTTGTATTTTCAGTAGAGATGGAGTTTCACTATGTTGGTCAGGCTGGTCTTGAACTCCTAACCTCATGATCTGCCCACCTTGGCGTCCCAAAGTGCTGGGATTACAGCTGTGAGCCACCATGCCTGGCCATCTATCCCCTTTTTTCCTGACCCTGACAGTCTTCGGGAGTACTAATCAAGCATCCTCAATATAAGTATGACCAGCTGTCCCTCAATCTAAGTTTGTCTGAGTTTTTTGTTTTGTGTGTGTGTGTTTTTCATTATTAAACCAGAATAAAATAAGACTTTTTTTTAAGGGAAATATCACTTGTTTAAATAGTCCTATGTTAAGAAGTCATTTTACGTGGGCAAAAAAAAAAAGCTGTGAAAACCTTCTTGCTTTATTCTGCTCGTAATCAGACCCCAAAACTAGATCCAACAAGGTTAAATCAGGCATTGCAGTTTTTGAGGTACGTGCAGATTTTAAGGACTTCTTGCGATTTAGTAAGGCATTCTTTCCAAGTTACTCTGCCTTTGAAAATGTTAGATGCCCTGCCAGCCAATTGGAATGGAGCTGGAAAAGAGTGCCTCCAGTGCCCCTGAAATTAAGCTGAACTGGGGATGCCTGGCTTTTGCCTGCTCAGGTTGGCGTTTTTCTGACACACAGATTTCTGTTGCCATGCTCTGGGGAGGTCAAGCAGGGTACATGCTGGAAATATCTTCGGTCAACAAGAATCTACTGTATGTCCTAGAGATGAGAAAAAATGTGTGCAAATGACATCTTTATGTACTAATCTTGTTTTTGTATTTCATCATTTAAATCATTAATCAAATAAACCATATAAGCTCCCAAAATAAAATGTAGTTTTAATAGAGATTAGGTGTCTAAACAGGAATGGAATTTAAATGTTAATGGTATTAAAATAAGAGTCAGTAAGGGATAAGAATGTTAGCCCATTTTCCCTGGCTTCTGCACCATTTATAGATATTCCATTGCCTTGGGTAGTTATTATAATAGTGAATAAATGGAAACCTACATAAAAGCTGTCTTTAAATGTGATACAGATGAGTAATTTAAAGATAAAGTTGTTCAAAGTTATTTTTACAACAATACGTGGGCAAATTTCCATGGTCTTATGACGCAGTTTAAGAACAGAATTTAGATTTTTATATCTAGTTATACATTTTGGATGGGGTTGAAAGGAGAATTTAGATTTAATGGTTACTTTTTATTCTTGTAGTCACAAAATACTGGGAGATAAGAATGTTTATATCTAAAACTATAATTTTGTAATTATTGATTTTCACATTCCCATAATTATTAGTATATCATCAAAATAGTTTAAATGAATACTTACTTATTTTCTTAATGATTTGGCTTATTATTACACTTGTCATAAAGAAAGTAAAGACCACATAGGTGGGAGAATGATCAGGGGCCTTGGAGTCAATCAGAACTGAGTTCAAATCCCGACTCAGACACTTTAATCTGCAACAAGTCATCTAGCCTCTCTAATTGTTTCTACATTTTTGAAATGGGGATAATGACACCATTGTGTGTTACAATCATTATATGATAAAATATACCCAAAGTACTATGCTCAGTTTCTAAAATAAAGCAAGTTACATTAATTGCTTTTCTATTTTATTCCTAAACAACCATAGGGAAGCCAATTTTTTAGCCTAGCACTTCTCTGGATGCACAGGTAAGAGATTTACTGAACAATTGATTCCCTGTGTGTCTTAGGGAGAGGGCCTGAGACTTGAATAGGCAGAGCAAGTCTAAAGAGAGAAGAAAACTGCTATCCAACCCATAAAATAAGATGCTTTAAACTCTTTAGAAAAGATGACAATGTCTTCCACAGATAAGTACCTCAGAGTGATGATTTAGAAAGTGAATCTTTTTTTTTATTATTATACTTTAAGTTTTAGGGTACATGTGCACAACGTGCAGGTTTGTTACATATGTATACATGTGCCATGTTGGTGTGCTGCACCCATTAACTTGTCATTTACATTAGGTATATCTCCTAAAGCTATCCCTCCCCCCTTCCCCCACCCCACAACAGGCCCCGGTGCGTGATGTTCCCCTTTCTGTGTCCAAGTGTTCTCATTGTTCATTTCCCACCTATGAGTGAGAACATGCGGTGTTTGGTTTTTTATCCTTGTGATAGTTTGCTGAGAATGATGGTTTCCAGCTTCATCCATATAAAAAAAAATACAATTGACAAGAAAATAAAAAGCTAAAGTATTGAATCTAGGGATAAACAAAAGAATCTTTGAATAGTGTGGTTGGTATCTACATTATGAATACAGAAATTATAATGGGTTTCCCTCTTAATAGGCTCATTTAAACAGAGTAACTGTTGATATGTCAAGCTACAATTAAATTCCATTATACCTAAGGATATTTGGTTGCTTGATTTCATTAGTAAAAATGAGAAACTGTATAGATATCATTCCTCAACAATATTTTAGAAAATGATTGCTTTGTTGTATATAAGTGCATTATCTAGCCAGAAGACACAGAACAAATGTTTCCAGAGCCCAGGCAGCTGGAGTTACATTTTATTCTGACAGTCACAAAATACTGCCCAGTGCCCACCTGGCCACAGTGGAGCTCTTGACCTGTCTGAATAGCTAGGCATCAGTCAATACCAGCTCATGGTTGTCTCATTAAATCCTCGGGTATTTTTATAAGTCAGGAAGTGTAATTTATGAGAAATAGCTGAAATTTTAAATGTTGGCAAGTAAATAATATATTTTCAAACCCCTTGGCAGAGCAAATAAAATATAAGTATGAACCAAATTTAGCTCATGAGCCAGTAGTTTGCACCTTTGGATCTAGATCAGCCAATCCTCAATAACTGCCCAATATTTTACAAGAAAAATCAACAGACTGGCATAACTTATTGTCTGTGGTCTAATTGGATGCAGACATTATCAAAACCTAGAAGGAAAAATACGTGTGCACAAACTAAGATTAAGCCAGGCACAGTGTAGTGTGCCTGTAGTCCCAGCTACACAGGAGGCTGAGGCGGAAATCCCTTGAGCTCAGGAGTTTGAAACCAGCCTGGGCAGCATAACAAAACCTCATCTTTGAGAGAGAGATTAAGAGCCCTAGCAACTAAGTTCCTTGTTCCTTGAGAAAACAGATTGTTCCTTGAGAAAATAGATTATGCCTTGTTCTTTTTTGTGGGCCAGCACTTAACATAGTATCTGTTCCATAATAGGCTCTAAGTAAATGTTTGTTGAATTAACAAATAAATAAGCTTTAAGAAAAATCTTGGTAACTCTGAGGGCTTTGTTATACTTGTTAATGTAAAGAAATATTCTGTCTTCAAAGGCAGCAAGAAAATAGAAGAAAAGGAATAGTGGTGTAGCGTTAGAATTTGGAGTTGGCTTGAAAAGTAAGAACTCTGTATTTTCTATATTATCAGAATATATCTATTCTAGTAATTCTGTAATACTGCAGTGACTAATGAGAGCTTTTGTAATATAAAGGGGTAAAATGAGATTTAACTTAAAACAAGAACCTAAACCAAGTATTTGTATGGAAATTTTATATTACAAAGTGCTTTCAACATGTTATTTTGCCTTAACACAGAACATCGCTCTGAGCTAGACATATATTGTATTCATTTTAAAGATGGAAAAATTGAACTATACGGGAAGGTAAGTGATTTTATAAAGCCTTGCATAAAATTAGCAATAGAACTTAATCTCTGACTCAGCTCATGATGGTTCTCTCCTAACAGGGAGGTACCCTGGGGAATTAACAATATAGAATTGAATCAGGTGAATTACATATGCACAATGGCACCTTCGTAAACAGGAAGGGTGGAAATGGCCTCTGCTATGGCACAGAAGAGGAAGGAAAGAAAAAGCATGGAAGGAAAGTGTAATGTTTTTCAAGAGGGTTTATCGATATTGGAGCACCTTATTCATCATGAAACTACTTGCCTATTGGTTAAGTCATTCAGCAAAATGACATAGATCAGCCTGATCCATATCATTTTATCTGGAAACATATTGTTCTGTGATTTTTTTTATTTCCTAGGTGTATGTCTTCTCCACTTGAGTGGAAATGTTATAAGGATCAGAGGCTAAAACATACTACAGTGCAAGACTCCAAAGCACTCTCTATTCAGAATTCATTGAATTTTTTTTTTTGAGACAGAGTCTCGCTCTGTTGCCCAGGCTGGAGTGCAGTGGCACAATCTCAGCTTACTGCAACCTCTGCCTCCCGGGTTCAAGTGATTCTCCTGCCTCAGCCTCCCAAGGAGCTGGGACTATAGGCGTGTGCCACCACACCTGGCTAATTTTTTGTATTTTTAGTAGAGACAGGGTTTCACCGTGTTAGCCAGGATGATCTTGATCTCCTGACCTGGTGATCCACCCACCTCGGCCTCCCGAAGTGCTGGGATTACAGGCATGAGCCACCGCGCCCAGCCTTATTGAATTTTTGATGGGTTAATAGGCTACATATATACTGGTGACAATACAACATAATGATTAAGAACATGGGACTTAAAGTCAATAGAGCTGTCGATGACCAGCTGTGTGACTTTGGGCAAGTTAACTCCACCTCCACGAGTCACATTGTCATCTGTAAAAGGGGTGACAGTAATAAGACTTAATCCATAAACTATAGTGAGAATTAAATAAATGAATGCTTGTAAGAACCTAGCAGCATGCCTGCTGATACATAATATGCCCTCAATACATGTTTTCAAAACTGCAACATACTGAAATTTCAAGTTAAGTAAAGTACATAAGCTAAATGTTGATATGTATACATTTGGAGAAGGGAAGTTTGGTGTTTCTCAAACATAAAGTGAGACGTTGAAAGAAAAATTTTAAAAAGTGATCCAAAATGTATTTTTAAAACAAATTTTTAATTGATCCCACATGCCATGTACAATGTAGTAACAGCTCAAACAAGAAAAAGATATAGATGCAGCATGATTTGCTATCAAAATACATTACAAACAAAATCAATTTGCAGACACAAGCTCACTAACTGAGGAAATCTTTCCACATGACATAGTTTACAAAGAAGAAAGAGTGAAGACCTGAGGTCTGGCTGGTCACAAAGAGGCCATTCAAAAGAAGGGATGTGTGAAATATTCTTTTTTGAGAAATTTTCCTTGTTCCCAGAAACACATGTAATTGTTATAAATGCATTATTTTATCAATGTCCAGCCAACTAATTTTCCAGCAAGTACTTGTTCTTAGATCTTTTATCTTCCCATATATTTTTTTAGATCCTAATTGCTCCTATGCACAGGCAAAATAAATGCAGTGATAGAAGTACATTAAAGTAAGAAATAAGAGAATACTAGTTTCTAAAAGGAAAATGATACACACTAAAAGATCTTCATTATATTTAGGGTGATATATATGAGAGAAAGCTACAGCCAAGCAATTGAATCTTTTTTCTACCCAAAAGTAGCAGAAAAAAATGAACAATCACAGAGCAAATACCATACATTAATTTAGAGGAAAACTTGATGCCAATAGAAGGTAATAAACTACTCCATTGACACTTGCATTTTCATGTCGTTAGTATTTACAGGAGCCAATTCATGGAGCCTAAAAACTATTATTAAGTAACACCTTAACTGAATTTTCAGCCTTTGAACTCAAGCATAGGAGTATCAGCCAAGCCCTCTCACACAACCAGCCATTGGACCAGCCCATGAAAGTCAGCCACAAATGTCCATTCAGAGAACATCCTCAGTTTCTCCTTGGCATCCTTCAGTGTCTGGGTTAGATTCCATAGGCCTGGAAGGCTTCTCCATTAGAATATCATCTCCCTGCCTCCCACTATCTTCCTTGGTCTCCTCGTGGAAAGAGTGTGGCAGGCAGTCCTGCTCTGAGTTACTCCAGACATAGCCAGGTAAAGTGATGTGGCTGTCAGGCTGTCTGCTGGCGATCTTGGCAGCTTTGCCAGAGATAAGCACCATGCGTGTGCTGGCCGCCACCTGTGACTGGCTGCTGGTGCTGTGCGTCACGGTGGTGAGCACTGAGCCGCATCTGCGGCTGCCACATGGCGGTGTCCTTTTCCAGTCCACGGAGAGGTTCCACCGACTCCACATCTTCTTCACCTCTGCCTGAACCTAAGCCACGAGAAACATGCTGTGCATGAGAAATCCTAAAGGAGACCCTGCAGCCTTGTTACAAAGATGTTTGCCTTGATTTCAATGACAGCAATAATCATTGATTGAGGTTCCTCTACGTGCCAGGGACTTTATCTATGACTTTCTCTCAACCTCAAAAAACCTTCAAGACAGGTGTTAGTTTTGGAGGTGAGCAAATTGAAGCTTAGAGAGAGGTGAAGGGACTTGTCCAAGATCAGACTTTAAACAGAAGTTTAAATGCAGCCCATAGAAATACCTGACATATGGGAGAGGAAAAAAAGGAGATTCTGGGTTGGAAGAGAAACTCAAGATAAACATTGCCAGTGAGAACTTCAGAACTCTCGCGTGGCACATGACAAGCCCACTGGAACCCCTGCACTGAGACCTGCCCAAACTCAAGCATGGTTCTAGCAGCACAAGGTGGCATCCCTAGGATGATCTCAGCCATTGATAGTGCCTGCCTGAGAAAGCTCAGTGCTGCCAGGAGAATTTACTATTTGCTCTAGCCAGCACACACCTGATGATAGGCCCATGACTCCCCTTTCTTAGGGCATTTACTAAAAAGGTTCACAATTGTAAATATGTAGCTCTTCTAACTCAGAAGCATCTCTCTCAAGGACCTGAGAGCCATCCCTTCAAAATATAAAAATCAAGAGGGATAAGGCCTCTTGTCTCCCAGTCTCTGTGGGAAGATAGAATTCTATCTTAAATAACTGCCTGATTGCTAGCACAGCTGGCCTAAACGTGTTTATACTGACCAAATATTTTTTCACTTCTTTGACTCTACTGAGCCCTTACACTCCACCTCCCTCATTCTCCCTTTAAAATGCCCAAATCACTTCTGTGTGAAGTGGAATTGGGCTCAGCTCTTTCCCCTGCTGTCAGTAGTTACTGAATAAAATCTGTTTTCACCACTTAAATTGCTGATGTCTTTGGCACCAGCTGAGGCTGAGGAATGGCGTAGAAGGTACTCAATTTGAAATGTAACTGTCATGCTATCAATCTGCATCGGCAGCCTAAAGGAGTCAGAGTGAGAAAAGAAGGCTCGTGGATAGAAAAGCAGGCACTGCAAATGCATTCTTAATAGGGTGGGGCTCTTATTTCCATTCCTACTACTGAAGATTCATTTCTACTTCAATTGCCACTTTTCAGAAGAGAGTTTATTTGGAAGTTCCATGGGAAGCAGTGGAAATCCAGTATGCTGATGTCACCTGAAACAACAAACTTCTATCTGTTCATCTTGGCAAAAACAAATCAACACCTGACTGACAGAGCAGAAGCACCATCATCTTGGATAAACACCACCACTTTAAGTCCAGCTCCCTTTCTAACCTCATGCATTTTGAGGAAATCACTTCCCTTCTAACAACAAGCAGCCAGAAAGAGCAGACAGTATAAAACACTGATAAGACAGCTCGGGCACAGAGGAAGTGGAGAAAGTCTCTTGGGTAACCACAAAACTTCACAGTCTACAATGGACCCCAGTAAAACAGTGGGTCCTAATAAATACATTCCTTTCCCTTTAGGTGCACCAAGATATGGAAGCTAAAAGCAGACTTGGGGGGCGGGGGGTAGGAGGGGCTGTGCCTGCAGCTGCAGGAAGATGTATGGATAAAACACAAAAATTCTCCCTCCCAGATAAGCAAGACAAAGAGATACAGAAGCAGTCCAAGCCTGTGATAAGCTCTCCCACCCTGAACCCTTAAAAACTCTTAGTCTGTAAGAGAGAAGGCTCTCTGACCTAACTTGGCCAGAAGCCCCTCCCAGGTTTATTCTCCTAAATAAACCCATCTTTGACTGTTGAGTGCTTTTTGGGTTTCTTTCCTCTTTCTTTAACTCTTAAACTGACCTACTTACCCCTCCTGCAAAATAAGGTAAGAACAATACACAAGTAAGTCAGGAAATTAATTTAAGCTCTTTCTGCAAGCACTGGACTAGCATGCCACAATGTCCAAACCCTAAACATGGTCAGAAGCATCAGCTGGTGTACCGCAATAAAAGTATCTGTGCACTTCTGGGGCCTGCAGCAAGCTTAAAATTTGAGAGAAGAAACATGGCAGCTCATCCAACAGCAGGGCATATTAAAAGTTACAAGGTAAAATGTATTATTATCTAGTGTAGTTACTTCTCTCCAGCCAACTCCTAAATGAACTAAAATTGTCCCATCATCATCTTATAGTTCAAAAAACATCAAAATATTTGAATGAATTTGTCCCAGGGAAACTAATAAGTTTTGTACAGAACTTAAAATGGAATAGAAGTTTAAGTATTAACCAGAATATGATGTTCACTGTCCATCCAAGTGTCTGTTTGTATTCCAACAAGTTGCTTTTTAATGTCAGAGTGTACAGATGAGTTCACATTTAAAAGTGCTAGAAGAGGAAGACTTTAGGTTATTTGCACTAATTCTTTCTTTTCCAAAATAATTTATGATTAAAATAGCTTCCTTCTCCTCACCCATTCCATCCTGGAAATCCTGGAAATTCTAAAGAGATTCAGGATACATTGTGATGGCCATTTACAAGCTGAAGCGAGACCTGTCCAAGGTTCCTACAAACCTACCTCTCCATTGCAGTAGCAGTAGATGATAGACACAAAGAAACCCTGCAGACAAAAGAGAAAGTCAGCCCACTGCCAACTCAGAAACTCACAGCACTTAAGCATCTTGTGCCAAAATGTGTACGTCCAAAAATTGTTTTTTATGATTCCTTCAGAGAATTATATACAAATTATTCTCTCCTAGTGTTTCCAAATCCTTATGTTTACATTAAATTTGTTTGACGTCTTTCCTTGGTGTCAGCTGAACCAAATAAGTCACTAAATAAAGCATTCCAAGATACACAAGGAATAGGTTTCTATCCTATTAGTTTCATTTATGTTGTGACCCATGGATCACATAATACCTATCCTCTGCTTGGTAAGAGGAAGTTATAAGCTGTAAATGCTGAAAACTACAAACATAAAGTATTGTATGGTAAGAATACAAAGAAACCTTTTATTTCGTTCATTCAAAAATATTTACTGAGCTTATGCAGTGTGGTAGCTGTTCAGCATGACAGGGGCAGGGATAAACAATGTAAACAAAACAGACAAGTTCCCTGTTCTAGAAAGGAAGAGACATGGATAAAATATAAACAAATAGCACATGAGAAAAATGCAAAATGAGAAGGGTTATGCAAGAAAAGAAATGAGTGATTTTAAAAAGAGTAATGTAGTGGATGTATTAGATGAGGAACTCAACAAAGTATCTCTGAGAGTGATACTCAAGTGTGTTTGAGTGACAAGAACAAGTAGCCAGCTGTGTAAATATTTGGGGAAAAAGCAGTCCAGGCAAAAGGAATACAAGTGTGAGCCCTAGAGGCAGAGGTGAACTTAAGCAACAGAACGTATGGAAGCAATATTGTGCCCTAACTTAATGAGCTACATGGAGGCTGGTGTGATACAGGGTGAGAGGCAGACAGGCTCCACGACATGCAGGGCTGTGTATGCCAAACAATGGTATGTGAGTTTTAGTTTGACTGCAACTGGAAATCTTTGAGTATTTCTGGCAAGTATATGACATGATCAAATGTATATTCTTAAGATTCTCCAGACTATCATATGTGGACTAGCAAATGAGTAAGCAGGACAAAGAGTAATCCATGTGCGAGATGATGGTAATTACAGCTTCAAATGAGATAAAATGTGTGCCAGCAACCTCTTCCTCAGTTTTGTCTCCCCTCCCCACTCCTTTTTGCTCTTTCCTGCCTTCACCTTCTTTTACTTTTGTTTATCTTCCATACACACAAGCAGAGGTCCTCATTCTTATAGGTGTTACATATTTTACAACAAGATGTTCCTTATCTCTCTGTCCAGGCTTTTTTTGTGTGACGAACAGCTCCAGAACTGCTCCTGCTGTGAGCAGAGGATTAACCTGACCTCTATAGGACAGAAAAGCACAGGCACTATAGAAATATTGACCTTTCTGCACCCCCCAACTCCCCAGACAGGTGCATCAAAGCCAGAGAGAGTGCAGAGAAAAAGGTTGTAAGTGACCAAAAGGAAAAAAAACTGCAAATTACAAGAATCAGATGACTAGGCAGCACCCTTTACCTGAAAGGAGTTGAAGAAGAGCTCACAGTGCATGCGGATCTCCCACCCGAGCCCAGTGAAGGAGTGAGGCAGGCATACGAACACGATGTAATGCACTCCAAAGACTAGGACCAGGACCAGTGTCGATTTGGCCAGTTTCCTAAAGGAGAACAGCAAGTCTTTTCATTCATTAACTAGAGTGCCTTTCAGTAAAGACAGCGTGCTGGAGGAAAAAAAAAACTTAGCAGAGCTAATGGGGGTGGGGCTGACACTTTCTTTTTATCTTTTCTTGAGACAGGGTTTCACTCTATCTGTCTCCCAGGCTGGCGTACAGTGGCGTGATCACAGCTTACTGCAGTGTCGACCTCCTGAGCTCAAGCAATCCTCCTGTCTCAGCATCCCAAGTAGCTGTGACTACAGGTGCTTGCCACCATGCCTGAATATTTTTTTAATTTTTTTGTAGAGACGGGGTCTCGCCATGTTGCCCAGGCTTGGGCTGACCTTTCTCTATCTCTTTGGATCCCACTGCTTCTGCTAGTTTTTTCCCTTCCCTCCTCTTTCTGTCACTTACATACTAAACCAGGTAGTTTATTCTCACTCCCTGTAATTGCTAGCCCCTAAATCTCTCCAGTCTTATTTCCACTCCTCTTGCTTAAAGGAGTCTATTTACATAAAGTTGTAAAATGCCTTTTTTCTGTCCTAAGTTTCCTTTAACTTCTATATTTGAGACTTAAAGAAGTGTTACTTCTATCCAGATTAACTGCCTTTACTTTCATAGAAGTAGTTTAGCTTATTTTGTTCATTTTAAAATCAATTACTCCCTTGTTTCTTCTTACATTTGTATCTCCATTTTTCACTGATGATGCTTATTTTGGGAGACATTTTATATTTTTCTATGAGCCATATGTGGTCAGTTCATCTTGACTTCTCTGAATATTCTCTGCCAAATACTCTGTCTCAAGGTGCCTTTAGGTCTATTTTGTCTGTCTTTTTGGCAAACTAAGTAGTTTGATATAGTTTCATCATTCTCCTTAACTGCCTCTTTCTACAAGTTTTCTTAAGTATTTGGAAGAATTCCAGGCTTTCCAATATGATGGTTATTCTAAGTGGGCTTCCATGATCCCCCCTCCTGCTATTTTTGCCCCTGTTTTATCCTTTCCCTCTAAGTGTAGGCAAGACCTGGGACTTGTGTCTAACCAGTAGATTATGGCAAAGATGACAGCATCCCACTTCTGAGATTACATTGCATAAGGCTGTAACTTTCATCTCACTAGCAGACTGGCTCTCTTGCTTGGTTCGATGAAGCAAGCCACCATGTTGTGAGCTGCTATACTGAGAGGCCCATGTAGCAAGGAAAGGTGGCATCTGGACAACAGCCAGCAAGTAACTGAATCCTACCAACAATCACATGAACTTAGAAGTAGATTCTTCCCCAGTCCAACCTTAGGATAAGACCACAGCCCCAGCTGACAAATCAATTGCAGCCTGGTAAGAGATCCTGAAGCAGGGGATCCATACCCAGATTCCTGACCTACAGAAACTGGGAAATAGCAAGGGAGTTGTTTTAAGCCGCTAGGTTTGTGGTCATTCCTTTTGCAGCAATAGATAGCTAGCACCCTCAAGCATACTATTTTCTGGGAGGTTTTCCTGGAGTGGGTGAGGTTATACTTTTTATCCAAGAAATTGCCAAATCTGGCTTCTTCTTTCATAATTATTGCAAATATCTCCCTTTCTCTGTGAATTATTTACACTCTAATAATCTCAAACAATTGACCCTCTTCCTTTCTCACTAGTCTTTCCTCCTGCTGCTTTATTTATCTGTTTTTCTTCTTGGAAATAAGCTGTATGAGTGAGTACAGATCACACTAGACTAAGGCTACAGAGATCTTGATTCAGGTTCCATACTTGATATTAACTACCTGTGTGAGTGTGATTTAGTTTTATCTCCAAAATGAGGAAATAGGGCCTAGAAGTCCATATGAGCTATAATATTCTCAGGCTTTACTGGGAATCATCTTCCATGTACATACACTTTCCTATCATAACCCTCTTGACAATAGGAGCTAGAATGTCCCATAAAATCATGTTGAAATCATATTGAAATGCCTAATGTAGAAGTAGGTAGAGTTGTACATTTCCTACACCTCATTGTCCTCTGCCTGTCTTATCTCTCACTAGTACCTGAACCATCTGCTCCACCCACTCATCCTCACATTCAGAGCTTCCCTGCAGCCTACGGGCTTTCTCCTATGCTGCTCCTGGTACTCACACCTCCTACTTTGAGTTACCTACAGCCTATTCAATATGAAGATTCTACCTTAAATCTATTCCATCCAAGGCAAGATCCTTGATAAACAGTGGGTTCCTCTGACCTAACTGGTCCTTTCAACCGTCAGGGCTCCCTGGGATGTGCTTGTTCTCCTGAATCCTGATGGTGAGTGCCCCCTTCCCACCACTGCCTATGTGGGCAGGACACTGAGTGCCTTCATGGCATTTTAGTTCAGCCTAATCAGATAAAAGGGGACAGAATTAACTCACTTGCAAAACCTTGAAAGTCTTGTCTAACATCACTCTTAAACAAAAATTATATTTCCTCCTTTAAGATGAAAGGGTAAATCCTCCCAGAGACCGTTCTCAAAATCAAGCTACTGATTTTTCCTACTGTGTATGACTAGGAGCCCAAAATTAAGTTAAAACAAAAAATACACCAGTGTAGCACATTGTGAAATTATCACAAATGTAAACATTGGGGACAGTTTGGTTCAATGCAGAATAAGGAAAATTTGCTTTAGGCAACCAAAATGTAGTGGGTATCCTCCAGGCTCAGCCATCTGGGTTTTTCTCCCTTTTTTTCTAGGACTAAGCTCTTCTATAACTCCATGGAGATAGAAGTTTGTTTATTAAAAACAGGTAGTAATTATATTCATTTTCTATTGTATAACAAACTAGTATGAATTTAGTGGTTTAAAACAATACTCATTTGTTCTCTCTCAGTTTCTATAGGCTAGGAGTCCAGGCACATACCCTGGGCCCCTGGCCCACAGTCTCTCAAGGCTGAAATTAAAGTGTTGGCTGCATTCTTATCTGGGCCTCAGGGTTCACTTCTAAGTTCATTCAGGTTGCTTGAAAAATCTCAGATTCTTGCAGTTGCGGGGCTGTTTTTTGGCTGTCAACCAGTGGTCACACAATACCTGCAGGCTTTTCTCAGGTTCTAGCTATAGGCCCTCACAACATGTCAGATTGCTTCCTCAAAGCCAGCAGGAGAATCTCGCTCCAAGCTCACAGGATGGAATCTTATATAACACATCATAATCACAGGAATGACTATCCTAACATCTTTGTCATATAAAGTAAACTAACCAATGGAAAGGCTACCCCATCATAGGTCTTAACCACACTCAAGGCGAAGGGTATTGGGGGAGCAGGATTTTACAAGGCTTATACACCCATGGGCAGGAATCTTGGGGGCCAATATAGAAATATGCCTACCACAGTAATGCAAATAATTCCTGCCCATAGAAATACAAATTCTGTCCAGTGGAATGTAACTAATTATAGCCCTGTGAATACTGATGAGCTTTGCTAGTTTGCATATGCCAGGCAAATGTGTACATGGGTCATGGGTCTGGCTGTTCACTTAAAATGGACTTTTACTCTCTATTCAAATCATGTAGCAATCCTGGGCACTGATTTTTTTCAGCGTCCATATGGCCACCCATGCACATTGTACGTTTTTATACCCTGGCTCTCTGAAAATGCACAGCTGTCCAATAAGATGATTCAGGGATGTACCAACTGATAGCAGTCTTCTGGTTTGCTGGAAACATGGTGTGGTCTGTGTCCAAGGGCAAAGCCACGAGAGGAATGCAAAGAAGTCAGGTGGTTTTGGGACTCAGTGTCCTGTTTAGAAAATAGATTCCTAATTCTGTGCTCTCTCTCCCTAGGTGATGTCTCTCCAGGTGAGCAGCTCTAGAAAATCTCTGATTTTCTTTTAAGAATCAATTTAGCTTTAAAAAATTACTATTGCTCTTAAGCCTTTCTTGATCAATTCCCGTGGCCTTGAATTAATCCTTCACTCTTTTCTGTATACATAGCACTTTGTATGGGCATCTCTGTTGGTACTTTCCCCATTTTATTTAATTAAATCAATCATAGTATCTATCTCTCCCACTCTCTCTGTCTCTACCCATCCCCACCTAAATTGGGGGTTCAAGGAGGGCACTCAGCATGACACTACTGGCCATTAAGCACCATGCTCCTGTTACATCCCATGCTGTTTGCTTCATTTTATTCTAACAACCATGGGAGAGAGCTATTATTATCCCATTGCCAAGAGAGGATAGAGGCTCACAGAGAGAAAGTATCCATTCAGTGTGATGCAGTAAGTGATGGATGCGGCCTTAAAACCTCTCCTCTTTACTCTCATGCTACGTAATAAATACCGGTTGGATTTATTTTAAAAAAATAAACATTAAATATGAGTTTTGTCTAACATTAAATGGGAAGTGAAATTAGTCAAAACATTCAAGTATTCTTTTTCACTGAATCTTGCATTTTTTCATATCTGTTTTTCCAGACCTGGCAACCTCTTCCTACTTTATGAAGTAATTGAGTTTGAGTTGTAATTTAAAAGGAAAAAAATGTATTATCCATCTTATTAAATCTAATAGATGACTGAATTTTATTCACACAATTTTGTTTTAGGGTAAATGATTGTAAACTGTAGTTATACACTATGCCACCATTGAGGGAAACTGGTTAAAGGATATATGGGATCTCTCTGTATTATTTTTGCAACTGTATGTGAATCTACAATTATCTCAAGATAAAAAGTTGTTTTAAGAACTGATTGATTCACTCATTTCCATTTTAAACCACCATGCCAACTAAGGGATTTTATGTACTTTTCAGAAGTCTTTCTTATTTGTGTGTGAGCACACATTCACCTGGAGAGATTATCTCAGCTCCGAAAGGTGTTTTCTGTTTTTCATAGTAGTATGCATGGAAACATGCTCTGTAACTGTTTTAGATGCCACCATTTGGAAATTTTGTATTGTTTTATTTTAGCAAGAATATTTGAACATTTGTTAGACAAAGGTAATAACAGAATGGAAGATAAGTTTAAAGGTACAAAATTAGCTGATATAAATTTAAATACTTAATTAACCCTTATCGTAGGAACGTCACTGAGACAGGGACACAGATTTAATTTTCCTAAGCCTATTTAAAAAGTGAGATGCTATTTAAACTTGGAAATCTAAGGCCTCAGAAACAGAATATGGAATTGAATTCTCAAATTGGTGTCAAGTAGGTTCCCACATTTTTCTCTGAAAAAAGAATCACTCTTCACTACATTTTTATCTGTGACTTAACTTTGGACATAATTAAGGATATTAAATATGTTTCAGCCATTAAAAAATGTATTTAGCTGAAAAATACTTTTTCTGACTTCTATTAGTCTAAACTGTTCTCATTAACAATTTCATACTTGAAA
Source organism: Homo sapiens (assembly GCF_000001405.40). Taxonomy (NCBI): domain Eukaryota; kingdom Metazoa; phylum Chordata; class Mammalia; order Primates; family Hominidae; genus Homo; species Homo sapiens. The sequence goes on along the minus strand of NC_000002.12, from coordinate 208,483,677 downwards.
TCTTTGGGGCACCAGATTATTTCAAAGTTATTCTGAATTCTGAGTAGTTGATTATTTCAATCCTTGATAAATTATTCTCTTCAATTGTTCTTGGAAATAATCCTCCATGAATTAATTCAAAATATTGTCTATTCTATCCATTTTTAAAGATAGGCCACCCTTTGTTCCCTCCAAAATTTCTCATGTCTTTTGAGCAACACTTTACTAAAAGTATTAGTTCACGTCATTCAGAATTAAAGAAATAAGCAGCTTTGTTCAGAACTAAAGAAATAAGTAGCTTCTAAACACCACTACACTCTTCCACTTTATGAAGAAGAGTGAAAAGTTATTTACATTTTTTATTATTCTATCCTTTGGCCTATGTCTTCTCAGATGGGATGTGACATGAGAGACAAGCTATATTAGTATAGCATAGACCTTTCACCATAAACTCATGCACAATGTATAATACTACCACTGACAGCATATTAAAAATAACTGGCACTAGCAGCTGCTGATTTATTAATACTGTGCATTCTATGGGCATAGGATACTGTGAATCCTGCAGGTCATACCTGTAGTCTTTGCAGCTCAACAGTAAATACTACCTGCAGGGACCCCCCCTGAAACTATTGCTAAGGAATAAAAGTTGAAATGCTCCTGATTATTGTAAATACAAAGTTGCATGCAGGATTATGTAAAGACAATGCCAGGTTGGACTGCCAGAATGAGCCAACAGCACGTGATGTGCTTCCCCCTGCAGAGAGCCTATGAATGGACGTGCAGTCAGGGAGGCTTCACATCACCAAGATTCCTATCCCAGAAAAGCAGATGTTCGTGGCTCTGGGAATGGAAAGCGACCCTTGTGGAGAGCCTATAAACGGACGCATGGGGGGTGCCTGTCCATATGGATAAGATAGGGCTATAAACGCCCTCATCTTGGACAGCTCTTCAAGGCCTCTTTAGGGTTAAGGCATACTCCCTTCTGAGAATTTCTGGTCTAACCGGTTGTCTAGCTTCACTTCCTCTTTCTGTGGATTGTTTGTAATCAGCTTTTGCTGCAACTGTTACTGCTGATTAATATCTTGCTAATAATAGGTTATGGAAAGAATGTGTTTCTGTTTTAAGGCTCTGTTAGAAATTACTAATGCACACACTATATTGTAAATTCTTATCTCTGTATACTGTACTTCTGCATACAAATGTTATGTTAAAGAATTACTTCATCCCCATGTGACCATCTCACCTCATAATCAAACGACCCTAAATCTCTCACTAACCTACCCCACCCTCACTAAACTTAATAATAAATGCTGGTATATCCAGTGCATTGTTGGCACTGTGGGACCAGAAGGCGGTGACCCCCTGGACCCAGCTTTCACTATCTTGTGTGTGTCTATTATTTCTCAACCTGCCGATCCGCCTGGGAACAAAGAGAGAGCCCCGTTGCATTGTGGGCTGCTGGCCAGATCCCACAATAACTACCTAAATGGTGGAGAGGACTAAATCAACGAGGACTTATGGAAGATTTGTGAGAGAAGATCAAAATGCTGACTATGATGTTTTTCCTCTCTGTGTCTGAGATAGCATTTCATAACAATCTGAGACAGAAATAAATAGTTAACTGGAGATTATAAAGCCAAATCCACATCTACCTGATTACTAGATGTATGTGTCCAGTTGGATAGATGCCACTAATATTCAGAATTTCCAAAATGATAATTATGCAAAATGCACACAACCTTAAGATAGTTTGATAATAATCACAAACATTCGATTTGTCCTTTTCTTCATGAAAGGCTGAAGAATGGACCTCTCTCAGTCAATATATTTGCATATTTAGTGAGAGACAATTTGATGTAAAGATTAAAAACAATACAGCAAATCCACTTGATCTTTTCAGTTATGACATATTTGTAGAATGCAAATAAAATTGTCTGCCAAGATCATCAAGATATTTTCTGGGAGTTCATATATAGTTGATGAGAACATCCCAATCTGCTAAAAACAGATCTTAAAATATATTTAGAATTTAAGCACAAGGGGTAGCTTTTGGGGTTACTTATGTTTTCTTAATATATATATGCTTTTCTGATAAATCACACAATAAATATACATTCATAAATTTAATCTCTTAAAGATATTTCAAATCAATTTATATCTGTTCTTTACTTAAATAGTAACCAAAGGCCGGGTATGGTGGCTCATACCTGTAACCCCAGGACTTTGGGAGGCCAAGGCAGGCAGATCACCTGAGGTCAGGAGTTTGAGACCAGCCTGGCCAACAGGGCAAAACCTCATCTCTACTAAAAATACAAAAATTAACTGGATATGATGGCGCACACCTGTAATCCCAGCTACTCGGGAGGCTGAGGCATGAGAATTGCTTGAACCCGGGAGGCGAGTGAGCCGAGATTGTGCCATTGCACTCCAGCCTGGGCAACAGAGCGAGACCCTGTCTCAAAAAAAAAAAAAAAAAGGAAAGAAATAGTAACCAAAATATTTCCTCTGATGGATGCCTCTCCTGAAATTACCTGTATTGCTTCCTTGTGTCATGCCCAACTGCATTGGTCTCCCAGATTTTGGTAGCTAGAACTCTAACCGTATTCAGAAACAGAATAAAATTCAGCTGAAAAAGAAGGTAAGATTACAAAGAATTATTGTTAGTCTTCAAGATTTTTATAAACATTTACATAAATTGAAATTTTTTCCATTCAAATAAGAAAAATTGCCCATTTCATAAATGTGAACAGGGGAACCTGAGATCAGATATTGGAAGGCTAGTGATTCTTGATTCACCCTCATGAAAACACAAAGAAATACAAAGTTTCAACAACACTGAAAATACCAGAGGATGATCTGCTGGGATCCACAGGAGCTTTCTAAACTGAAGTTTAGATGAAGCCCTTTGGCAAAGTGGCAGGACAAAGGGTAATAGTTATTATATAAATGTAATCAACTGTCCTCTTTAAAATGAATTCTCAGCTACTTCTCTACTTTAGAGAGAGGAATAATAGAGCTATTTTGGGGATTCACTCTGTCTATGATGTATGAAAAGTATTGGGTGAAGGTGATATGAAGTGTGTGTTTTTTTTTAAAGGGAAGTAAGATGTTACATAAGAAAAGGCTCCCAGTGTAGTCAATGAGATTGATTTTTTGAATGTTATAAGTGTGAATACCATTAGAGATAATCAAGTTCTGGCTTTTAAAAGGGGAGGGAGGGGAGTGTTGAAGGAATAAGCCCCTTTCTGTCTGAGGACCTCAAGGATCAGTGAAGACATTCCAGATGAAGATGAAGAACATGTCTCCAGGTCTGGGGTCATAAGGGGATGGAGGCCTGAAACTCTGGGTCCCTCCATTCAGGGAGATGTCTGCTTTCCAGAAAGTGCTAGTGCTTAGGAATAATGGAAATGTAGATTGCCAACAGTAGGCACTTGTCCCTGCCAGAGCAGGGGCAGAAGAGAAAGCCATCAAGTCCTGCAGTCCTGGGGATAACTTGTCTGGCAGAATCCTCAATCATTTCTAGAAGTTAGAGAATTTTGGTTATCAGAGGATTTGTGCACCTCAGTCCCAAATTCAGCTGACTGACTGTATCAGCCCTGAACACCCCACCAAACTCACTGCTATCCGACCACTGACAACCCTGTGAGCACCTCTCAACAATCACAACTTTCTACAAGAACTGAGGGCTAGGTCTTGAGCCCCACACATGGGGGAAAATCAAAGTTGTGCTGTGAGCTGATGAAAGGAAAGGGATGTTTCCAGGCCGATAATAGCTGCCATTTATTAAACATTTTCTAATTTAAAACCTTACATGAACATGGAGGAGACACTTTTATTTTTTTACATCCATTTGTTATGGATGAAGAAACTTTAGCTCAAAGAGATTAACTGCTTTAACCTGGAATATCCACCAATCGGCTAGAATTTGAACCAGGTCTATGTGAGTCTGTATTGTGAATCCTTAACCACCATCTGATACCTTCTGTTCAGGAGGACAAAAAGATGCAAAACATGAGAGTTGAGGATTTCCATCTTCACCCACTACAACTCGCAGCTCACAGATAGATTTTGTTTTAATAAGAAGGTGAAAAGCTACTTGAGTACTGCTCAGGTCACTGAGAAAGAAGCACGTGAGTGCTACTTTCTGAATGACAAGATTTATTTCATGCCCCATTAATTCCTGTCTCTCTAAGACAACAGTCACCGGCAATACGATGTAGCTGAGGTGAAGATATTGGGGAGTGATGCATGGAACTGCTGGGTGAAGGACTAAGTGCTAGGAGCTGAAGCTGGAAGAGCTGTGGGGCAATACCAGCTGGATTGCCATTTGTCACACCTTATCCCGGAAAAGGAAGAAGTATAGATGGCTTCTGATGGGCCAACCTTAAGCTTCACCTTATTAAAAGACCCAGGACCAAGCACTCTGTCCTTTAGTAGACTACACTAAATAAATCTGCACCCCCCACCCCCAGAAAAATTGGTTAAAGGAAATACATGCCGATGAGTCCACCCATTTAATAACTGAGAAGATACGTTCAAGGCCAACCAAATTGACTATGGAAAGAATTAAGAATTTTAAAATATTAAGACCAAGTAAAACTTGATGCCTTAAAAGATAAGTAACAAAATACACACATGACATATATACACACATATTGATACATGCGAGAACAGCTGGATGAAATTCTAAATAATTATTCTGAATAATTTAGAAAAATATAGACTATGGGTTAATCAGAAACTAAGTTATTGACTACTAACTATGGTAAATGAATTGACTCTTAGTCTCACAGCAGCTCTATGAGACAGGCATTTTCTTGTCCCCATTTCACAGATGAGGAACCTGAGGCACAGATTCCACATATTTTGCCCAGCCACACAGCTAGCAAGCGGCAGGGCCTTAATGCAGCCCATGCGGCCTGGATCCACACTGTACACCCTTAACCACTGCACTATGGTGTCCATAAAATAGAGTTGAGTTAATAGTAGACTGAGATGGAGACAGAAATTTAAGAGCAGGATTGATTAACAAAAGATTATAAGGAATCTAAAATATAACCAAATTTTAAAATCACTATTAGAACAAAAAACAGTAGATCTGACAAAGCAAGAAAATGAATTCAGCAATTTAGGAGACACCTGAAGAATCCTCCGAAAGGGAGGGAAAAAGAACAAAGACTTGAGAGTTTGAGAAAGGGTGTTCGAGTGAGGATGTGGCCAGGGATATAAGAGTGGAAATCGCTACACTTTTGGCTTTGATGATGGAGGAAGGGACCAAGAGTCATGCAATGCCAGTGGCCTCTAGAAGCTGAAAAGGATAAGGACTCCCCCCAGCACCTCCAGAAGGAAGGCAGCCCTGCTGACACATTGATTTTAGGACTTCTGACTTCCAGAACTGTAAGAGAACAAACGCATGTTCTTTTAAGCCACTAAAAAAAGAAAAGAAGAAGAACAAAGACAGCTGTGAGGAGGTATATGAGGTATAAGATGCCTATCTGGAGGATGTGGCAGATTACTTCTTTTTCTGAAGAAAAGATAACAATAGAATAAATCAATAAAAACATAACAGAAGAAAAATCTTGCACTAAAGGAAGACTTGAGTCTGCAAATGGGAAGGTGACATTTTATACCAGGCAAAAGAAATAAAAGAGAATAAGACAAAGAGGAAGTTTCTGGTGAGATTTTAGTAGTAGTAGTACTAGTACTAGTAGTAGTGCTAGTAGTACTAGTACTAGTAGTAGTGCTAGTACTACTAGTAGTAGTGCTAGTACTAGTAGTAGTGCTAGTACTAGTAGTAGTGCTAGTACTAGTAGTAATTTTTTTAAATTAAGACATAATTCTAAGAAAAAAATCATTAAAAGGTTCTTGTGTATTTCATGTAAACTTCATGTAGGAAAAATTTTGCTTGAAGCAAACTACAGACAAAACAAAGCAAAGAAATTTAAAAAAAGAGAGATGGCTTAGAATAACATGACCTTTAATAAACATTAAAGCCAATAACACATAGAATGAATTTTTTGTAAATATGGTTTTAAAATAATGCAAATATAGAAATCAAATTATTTTGCAATTAAAGATTCATTTTTTTAATTCCAATAGTTTTGGGGTAGAGGGGTTTTTTTTTGTTACATGCTAAGTTCTTTAGTGGTGATTCCTGAGATTTTAGTGTACACATCACCTGAGCAGTGTACACTGTACCCAATATGTAGTCTGCAATTAATGATTTAAATAAAAGTAAAGATTTGTTCAGAGTGAACCACAGATGAACTAAAACAAAGAAAACATTTCAGCCATGGAAGTGCCGGCTGCTCAGGCTGTCCTGTCTCTGAGACTTGGTTCCTGGAGTTTTCTTTGCCTGGATCGTTTACTCTCTCCACTCATTCGCCCTTCCTAGCCAAGTTCTCAGGGTTCAGGCTGAATGTCACTTATTCTCAGAAGCATTTTTCATGTTTAAATGTTAGTCTCACTCACTAAACTTTAGCTGTGGGAGAAGAAATTCATGTCTATCTTCTCCTCTACTCTCTCCTCTCCATTGCCTCACACAGGGCCTGCAATGTTCTTGGTGTTTAATCAAGATTTGTCCAATGAGAGTGAATAAATAGGCAAATGAGATATGCGTGCTCTAAACACTACTTATACTGAGGTAAATCAGCACATCCCCCTTCAATGTAGAATTTTCACTTCTAGGCATAACTCGCAAAAGATGTAATCATTTAAAGAAGTCAAAATTTAGGCATAGAAAAGGTAACTTGCAGTGAGCAGACTTTCTCTGCAGCGTCTCCAGGGATAGGAGCCTACCCTTCAGCATCCTGTGCCCAGGTGGGAAGATCCTGACTAATTATGGGGTTCTTCAGTGGATCCACTTGTCTAACTGAGCTAGGGTCACATCATCCACCCCAGCCTCCCGCAGCAATAAGGTTCTCCCTCACTCCCTTACTTTATATCTTAACATGTTTAGAATCAGGGCAGCCAAGAGAGATGCTATGTGTTAGTTTCCCTCAGAGACACTCTAAATACATCATATCTGCTCACCCCATGTATTGGCTTATTTTTCAATATCACAAACATAAGAACTTTTTTGCTTTGTTTATTTGCATATTGGTACTAAATGCTGAACTTTTACATAACAGGTAATAAACTCCCTGATCTCTATCAAATACTATAATTTGATTATCTGTATCACAAATATAAAGACAAAATATATAGTTCATTTCTAATCAGTTGGAATTCAATTTATAACTTGGAGACAGTTTCTATGGCAAATGTTAGAGCTTTAATTTCATTTAAAGTTATATTTCTAACTGACTTAGAAAAGAAAAGGAGTTCTGAAGGGGAGATTTTTCTCTGGGGGAAAAATCAATTTGGTATTTATAATTGTGTCAATGATCAGAGATTAAATTTTATCCATTTTTCTTAAAATTCCTTCCTTCCTAGTCAACCCTTGTTTTTGGTGACTGCACCTCTCCCTGCAACTGGGAGAAAATGAATCACTCACCCAAGAGCAGCTGAGAAGCATGTACCTTGTTTGTCCCTTTCTTTTCATATTTTGAAAAGTGCACTAGATATAATATTTTTTAAACTTATCACCTAAAATATTTCCTAAAGGCCTTTACTAGAAATACCATCTTATTCCTTCTGCCAGAGCTCCCTAAGATACCTTGGGACAGGTATGCAAAACAAAACATTTATTTAAAAAAAATTTAGCTCAGTATTTAATGCACTCTATGTAGTATGCAGCTTCCTCAGGAGTCACCTACTTGCTTAGTCATTCAATGTCATTCAATATTCAAATTTGATCATTACTGATACAATGAGCAAACCCATGATAAACACCACAAACTGTTTATTGACCAGAAAGATTAGTTCTTAGCTTGGATACACAATGATGATGTGAGGCATGATGAAACAAACATCTAAAAGTAAGTAAATATATGCCAATAAAAAGTGACCTGAAAAAGAAAGAATCTCCACTGCCCCATATATTCCTAATACCCATCAACATCTCTAATGCAAACCACAAGGTGTCAGTTACGTTAGTTCTCTGGAGGGTTATTTAAAGGTCAAAATCTCTGCAATAATGTTGTCAGATAAACATTGGACAAGATATCCCCAAAATGCTTCCCAACTTGAACATTCTTTGATTCTATGAATTATTTTTATGGAGTTGCCAGAAAAGGAACTACTGCCTGAACTACTGCAAAAAATAAGCATATGAATTCTAAAGTCTCAATGAGTGCCAGACCCTAATTCCCTAATAGGTTTTATGGTGTGTTTGTTTTTTTAATGCCAGTTAAGGGTTGCTTTAAACACTGAGTTTAGGATTTTCTCTTTTATTACTCCTATTCTGTAAGCATAGCTTAGATGTATGTACTATAAGAAAGGTGACCCTGGAAGAAATTTCTATTATTCAAATATAAAAGATATGTCATTAAATTAGTTATACATTTACATTTTATGACAATATTTACCTTTTCTTGGTTCTTTAAAAAAAAGTTCTCCTTGTTGCATTTTCACATTTTAATTCAGCTAAGATGAATCAACTCATTATAAAGGAAAATATTTTGAGACTTTACAGCATCTCCAAAGAAATGGATTTAAATGAATGGAATATGTGGGACTAACTCTCATCAAATAGCAAAAACCATGGATTGCCATCACGCTTGCTGCCCAAGCTCACCAGCTGCTGCAGCACTGATCTCCTTCCATTACTCACATCAGCAGCTGACAGTTATTTACAGTTGTTACCATTTTAATAAAACTCTTTAATTCCTGTCTCTTTCTTAGAAGGTTGCATCAAGAGTACAGTCTCTCATACAGATGTCAGAATCAATCAAACAGGACTATGCACTTAAAGGTGAATAGTACCTCTCTTAGACATTTGCGTCTCCAAGCTAGTTCATCTTCTCCATCCATCATAACACCTCTAGAGTTTTCTTTTTAAAACCCAAATCTGACCCACTTACTAACCTGCTTAAAATATTTTGATGTCTCATCACAATTTTAAGGAAAATTCCAATGTGCTTTAGCATGACATGTGAGTCCACTCCCATCAAACTCCACAGTCTGATCTCCTGCATATTCTGCAGATGCATTGTTCCTTCCAGCCATAGAAAACATAACATGCCCACTTGGCATGGGCTAATCTCTATGCCGGGAAAACCCTTCTCTGCGCTTTACCTATTAAGTGATTTAGGTAAGTGATTTCTAGTCTTCCTTTATAATTTTAGTTCAAATCTCACCTTCTTGGTGTTTCCTTTATTAAGCCCTCCAGACAGAGTTTGGTGTTGTCTCTTCCCTATTCTGAACTTCATGATGGCGTCAGAAAGACTTGGATAAGCTTATATCACTACTACATGAACCACCATTTCTGTTACTACACCTCTACTATTACCACGCTACCACTAGTAGTAGTATTACTGCCGTATTATAGGCTACTATTTACTGAATGCTTTTCATAGGTTATATTAAGCCCTTTAATAATCTTACATAGTCCTCCTAATAACCCTATGAAGTAGATATTACAATATCCAATTTCCTTTTTAGAAAACTTCATTTTAAAAGGGGCTAAATCATAGTACAGTCAGCAACTGGTTAAGAGTTCACACAGGATTCATACACTTGTTCACACAACTACCAACCCTATAATAAAAACTATTATGAGTTGCACCTCCTCTGCTAATGACCTGTATGACCTTGGATATGAGTTTGACTGCTTGTAGACTAGTAAAGTTAGTAAGACTCAACAAAATCTAAGATACCCCCAGCTCCAAAACCCTATAATTCTAAGTCACATACTTCTCTGTGTGCCGGTATTGTCAGTTATAAAATTGAAACAATAATATGGATATATTTATGCCAGTTAACTATGAAGAAAACTATATTTTAAATGATTGTAAGGTACCTACATGTGGCATGCTTATCATATAATCTTATGATCCACTATAAGTAATATCATTAAATATATATTTATATTTTCATTCAGCCAATATTTCCTAGGCACCAATAAAGGTCAGGCATTCTAGGAAAATAAAAGAATAGATCATCCCTCCCCATGAGGAGCACACAGGGAAGACAGAGCTAGTAAGTAAAATGCAATACGGTACACTTCTAAAGTGTCTGATCACATGAAACACAACTAGCCTCCCACAACCATGTGAACACCCACTGCTTACACTGGCCAGGACTTTTGTGTAATTTCAGGTTTCATTGTTAAAGGAATTTGTCCAGTCCAGTGTTCTCCAAATAAGTCATTTAGGGTGCCATCATCATGATTTTGCCATATTGATATTATTTACCTACTATTGCCTACTTCATATCTTTCTTCAATCAACTTTCATTAAATTATTAAAATTCATATTTCATACCATTAAACATAAATAAAGAACCAGTAGAAGCTTTTATAAATAAAAGACAACTGTGAAATACATATGATGGAAACAAAAAGCCTTATGAAATGTTATCTAGATTGGGTTGCCTGTCTTACCTCCCCCTACCCCCAAAGAAAGACACCACACATGTGAGTGTTGTTCAAGACCAGGACCAAAATAAAACTTTCTCCTTGATGTGTTCAGAAGGGTTGGAAATGGACCAATATTCATATATGATTCAATAATGCTTAATGACCTTGCATATACCACCTAAGTCCTCTCATGCACCAGGGTATGTGCCCCTACATAAGGAAACACTGCTCTAGCTTAAATCCTATGGCAAGAAAGAGCAAAAACTGTGGGCTCTGGCATGGCATTACCTGGGTTTGACCTTGGCTTCAGCATTTTCTAAATGTATAACCTCAGGCAAGTTACATAACCTTTCTTGAACCCAAACTGGGAATAATAAAAATACCTACTTAAAAGTTATTTGAGGATTAATGCAAAAAAAGACTCTGAAATATGCTTGAAACAAAAACAGACTCAAACATTTATTCATCAGATGATTAATAAAATATAGGAGATTAACTTTGTTAAGAGACAAAGGAAGACTGTATTAGTCCATTTACATGCTGCTGATAAAGACATACCTGAGACTGAAAACAAAAAAAAGGTTTAATGGACTTACAGTTCCATGTGGCTAGGGATGCCTCACAATCATAACAGAAGGTAAAAGGCACATCTCACGTGGTGGAAGACAAGAGAAGAGAGCTTGTGCAGGGAAACTTCCCCTTATATAATCATCAGATCTCATGAGACTTATTCACTATCATGAGAATGGCACAGGAAAGTGACCCCATGATTCAGTTACCTCCCACTGGGTCCCTCCCACAACATGTGGGAATTCAAGATGAGATTTGGAGGTGAGGAACTTGTTGCGAACTGGAGCAAAGGTGACTTGTTATCTATTATCAAAGAGACTGGTGGCATTTTGTCCCTGCCCTAGAGACTTTTGGAACTTTGAACTGGAGGGAAATGATTTAGGTATCATTCCACCCCTGGACTCTCCCAAATCTCATGTCCTCACATTTCAAAAGCAATCACACCTTCCCAACAGGCCCCCAAAGCCTTAACTCATTTCAGCAACAGCTCAAAGTCCACATTCCAAAGCCTTATCCAAGACAAGGCAAGTCCCTTCTGCCTATGAGTCTGTAAAATCAAAATCAAGTTAGTTACTTCCTAGATAAAATGGGGGTACAGGCATTGGGTAAATACAGCCATTCCAAATGGGATAAATTGGCCAAAACAAAGGGGCTACAGGGCCCATGCAAGTCTGAAATCTACTGAAGTAATCAAATTTTAAAGCTCCAAAATGACATCCTTTGACTCCATGTCTCACATCCAGGTCATGCTGATGAAAGAGGAAAGCTCCAATGGCCTTGGGCAGCTCTGCCCTTTTGGCTTTGCAGGGTATAGCCCCCCTCCTGCTTCTTTCACAAGCTGGCATTGAGTGTCTGCAGCTTTTCCAGGCACATGGTGCAAGTTGTTGGTGGAGCTACCATTCTGGGGTCTGGAGGACAGTGGCCCTCTTCTCACAGCTCCACTAGGCAGTGCCCCATTAGGGACTCTGTGTGGCAGCTCCAACCCCCATTTCCCTTCTGCACTGCCCTGGCAGAGGTTCTCCATGAGGGCCTTGCCCTTGCAGCAAACTTCTGCCTGGACATCCAAGCATTTCCATACATTTTCTGAAATTTAGGCAGAGGTTTCCAAACCTCAATTTTTGACTTCTGTATACTTACAGGCTCAACACCACATGGAAGCTGCCAAGGCTTGGGGCTTGCACCCTCTGAAGCCATGGCCCAAGCTCTACATTGGCCCCTTTCAGCCATGGCTGGAGCAGCTGGGACACAAGGCACCAAGTCCCTAGGCTGCACACAGCACAGGGACCTTGGGCCTAGCCCACAAAACCACTTTTTCCTCCTAAACCTCCAGGCCTGTGATGGAAGGGGTTGCTGTGAAGACCTCTGATATGCCCTGGAGACATTTTCTCCATTGTCTTGGGGATTAACATTTGACTCCTTGTTACTAATACAAATTTCTGCAACCAGCTTCAATTTCTCCTCAGAAAATGGGATTCTCTTTTTTATTGCATTGTCAGGCTGCAAATTTTCCAAACTTTTATGCTCTGTTTCCCTTTTAAAACTAAATGCCTTTAACAGCACCCAAGTCACCTCTTGAATGCTTTGCTGCTTAGAAATTTCTTCTGCCAGATACCTAAATCATTTCCCTCCAATTCAAAGTTCCAAAAATCTCTAGGGCAGGAACAAAATGCCACCAGTCTCTTTGATAAAAGATAACAAGAGTCACCTTTGCTCCAGTTCCCAAAAAGTTCCTCACCTCTATCCGAGACCACCTTAGCCTGGATTTCATTGTCCACACCATTATCAGCATTTTGGTCAAAGCCATTCAACAAGTTTCTAGGGAGTTCCAAACTTGCCCACATTTTCCTGTCTGTGAACCCTTTGAACTGTTCCAACCTCTGCCTGTTACCCAGTTCCAAAGTCACTTAAACATTTTCAGGTATCTTCTCAGCAGTGCCCCACTCTACTGATACCAATTTACTTTATTAGTCTGTTTTCATGCTGCTGATAAAGGCATACCTGAGAATAGGAAGAAAAAAAAGGTTTAATGGACTTACAGTTCCATGCGGCTGGGGATGCCTCAAATCATGACAGAAGATGAAAGGGCACTTCTCACATGGCGGCAGATAAGAGAAGAGAGCTTGTGCAGGGAAACTCCCCCTTATATAATCATCAGATCTCATAACAAATTCACTATCACGAGAACAGCACAAGAAAGACCTGCCCCTATGATTCAATTACCTCCCACAGATCTCTCCCACAACATGTGGAAATTCAAGATGAGATCTGGATGGGGACACAGCCAAACCATATCAAAACATTTTGGTAAAGATAAAATTTGAGCAGGGCCTAGAAAGACAGTTTGATCACCTATCACTGGATGCTGGATGAAAGGATGGGTGAATGGGGAGAGTAACACAGCATGAAGGAAATATTTACATAAAGACAAATACCACAGTTCCTCCTTTTCTTTTCCCTAACCGGTAAATTCAAGATCTCAGGTTTCTGCTAGTACCATATAACTCTCCACACCATAATACTGGCATTCTCAAGGCCCTTTCATAAGTACCCAAGAGTAAGTCTGCTCAATTTCCCAATCTGTATTTTTGTGTCTCTGGTTTTATTTTGTTTCAGCTGTTATAGTGCCTCTTGGTTGACATCAGTGCAAATGCAGGTGCTTATGTCTCAGTCAGTGCCCCAGCTTGGTCAAAATGTATTGACTCAACCAATCTCACCTTTCCCACTTCTTTCAGGCCAGCTGTCCTGCCTGCAGCATCTCCTGCTCTTCAGGCTGAGCATCCCTATGCCTTCTCATGATGCTCCAGGAGGCCCAGAACCAAAACAAAGCATCACGTTCTTTTGTTAATTAGGAAATATTTCTCTTATATTTTGATCTTACAGGGAAGAATTAAAAAATCATCCTCAAATCAACATCAAGATGACACAGGTGTCTGATAAATGATTACATTTGGGGACATTTATTTTCAGAACAAAATTTAGTATTTTCCAATGACTCTAGTTCTCTTAAACATAATTTTAACACACTTTAACAAAACAGAAAACAACAATGCTATAATTATAGACCCTACAATTCCAAAATTAAGTGATTCCTTCCAAACTTATACTGCAGTCTATGGTTATCTCTAAAAATCAGTTATCTTGACATGACTTCTCCTGACTGCTCATACTTAACAAATTCCTTTACTCTCTTAAATTTAGTTTACCTCATATATTGCTTAGAAATTCTGACCATAATTTATCTAATTTTACTCCTAGATATACAAACATCAAATTAATAGAATCTACAGTATTATAATAGCCAAAGACAGAATTAAGTAAGGGATCTAATTTGGATTTCAAATTCTGGGCAAATAGTTTCTTTGTTAGCATATATGATGCATATATTTACTTAAAACCATGCCACATGTAATGCATGACTAAAAAACAACTTTATATCCTAAAATTAACCTATTTTTAAAACTATGCACATAGCTATATAAATGGAAAGATTTTTCCCATAAATTCAAGACACAGTTTGACAGGTTTTAGAAAGCAAGTGAAAAGAACATGGCCACAAAACACATGTTAAAGTCTGTTTCATCATACTAGTCGTGTGACCTATATCTGCGTGAGCTGTAGTTTTCTCCTCTAGAAATTGAAAAGATTGCATAAAATGAACTCACAAGTTCTTTAATTTTACTTGCTTTGTGCTCTTACTTTGCCTCTTTCCTCTTCCCAGTTCCCCATGATATCTATTTTATATGCATGTTTTGTTTTTCCAACAAGTATTTATTGAGTGGTCATTCTGTGCCAGGAAACTAGCTAAGCTCTAGGTATCATAAGTTTAGAAAAAAAATGGTTCTTGTTTACATAAACCTTGCAGTTCGGTGAAAAAGATGGACATTCAACAATGAAAGACATGATATACTGTGATGTTGAAAAGAAAAAGCCTTTCTGTGCCCTGTAGATTACAATTGGTAATCTAATTTAGATTGGACGGCATCAAGGTCACAAAGAAAAAGTAGTATTTCAAATGAGGCACAGAAGGAAGCACATTCCAACCTTCTAAAAGTACAGTGGGGCATGTAGAACAGCCCTGAGAAAAACACAGGCAGACAAGGTCAAGCAACTGACTGGAAAGCAACATAGCCAGGGTGTGGCATGTAAAGAGGCACAAGCATCAGTGAGCCATCTTTGCTGGATTATCAGAGATGTTAGATTTTATTATAAGTGCATGGAGTTCATTGGGTAGGGACATTGATGCTGAAGTCAGAACCCGGCTCCATCACTTAATATTGGGTATTCTTGGGCAGTTTCCTTATTTAGAGTTATTGGTCGGATTAGATACATTGATGTACATAAAACACTTAAAACACTGCTCAGTATATTGTAAGAACTATGTCGTGTTTGTTGTTGTTATTATTATCTTCATCCTTCCTGGCTTCACCACACAGAACAACTCAGAAGAAGGAGCACCACCCTCTGCACACATGGTGGTTAAGTTCTGGGCTTATTTCTCCCTTTACAGACAGGTTCTAAAGTAATATGAGGTATGTAGGCTTCATGGTCCCTAATAATGTGGCCTGAAATCCCAGGAGGAAAATATATAGGAGAGTTTTGCTGGAAATCACTGCAAGACCATTTCATTATCAGATTAGCCTAGAGATGTCAGCTGCTGCATAGGAGACGGTGTGAGGCCAAATACAAATTTAAAAATAAGAGTCTTCATTCTCCCTGTTGAAAATGGGGGAAGAGATTTCACTTTCCTCCTTTTTCTTAGAGCATTTACCTTAGAAAACTTGTATGTACTTTCTCATCTCTTTGAAATGTTTATAAATCCTTTTGAAGATTAGATAGGCCTTTGGTCAGCTTTATGGCCCAGGAATGTCTTTCGCAAGGACCTAGGAACCATCTTTTTGAAATGCTAACATCAAGAGAGATAGCATCCCTGTCTCTCAGTTTTTGTAGGATAGAAGCTTAACTTCTGTAGGCACCTATCTTGAAGTTGCAAAACTTCCTCCTGACATAAAGAAATGACAAGCTTGTTTTTCCTCCAATAAAGCTACTTAGCCACAACAGGTGGTCACCCCAATTACCAGGTAAAGTTAGGATGAATCATGTGTAGCATATAGTATTGTCAAGTCCCTTTTACTTGAGAACTAGTTATTGTGTCTCTTGAAAACGTGTATATAATGAGTTGTAACTGCTTGGCTATAAAAAGGAGTGAGATTTCTTTCTCTTTGCAATCTCTTAGCAGATTGCGTGTAGTGCACACCACATTCTGGTTGAGTAACTTAATACTAAAAGTGTTTTTCTTCTGTATTACCTTTGTGGAGAAGATTTTTAGGTTAGGAGAAGATTTTTGTATTAAATTATATTTCCCCAATAGTAGAAAGCTAGGGGGAAAAAAAAGAAAAGAAAAGAAAACTTGCTCCCACCATTTGTTTGCTATTATAACAAACAAATGCTGGATAATCTGACAAAAATTTTTTTAACTTTTTAAAATGCATCAGAGAACAAAGTTACAGGATGACCAATTAACCCGAAATTTAAGGAAAGTCTGACATCTCCAAGGAGGATGGAATGTAAGCACTTTCTTCCCTGGGACAGATGCCAAAAGCTAGCTGATAAGAAGAATTTGGCTGAAATGTTGAACAAATTGTACAAACAATGAACTATCCAAAAAAAATAAGAACAAAATCAATTTACAATAACAACAAAAAGAATAAAATACTTAGAAATAGGTACCAAAAGCACAGGCAAGAAAAACAAAAATTAACAAGCAGGATTGCATTAAACTAAAATGCCTCTGCACAGCAAAGGAAACAATCAATAGAGTGAAAAGGCAACCTGTGAAATGGTAGAAAATATTTGCAATATTTATGTATTTAATGTATTCAATAAAAATTAATGTATTCAATGAGGGGCTAATATCCAAATTATATAAGGAACTCAGACAACTGAATACCAAGAAACAACCCAATTTAAAAATGGGCAAAGGAGCTGAATAGACGTTTCTCAAAAGAAGACATACAGCTCTAGCTCACCAAGCCCAAGTGGAATGAGTTAGGAGGTCTCTATGCCATGCAGATTGCCCTCAAAGCAACCTGCAAAAAAACTACAAAGGCCAGTGTGCCATCTACTGGAGGGGTGAAGAAACTTCACCGTTAACAGGCTGGATACCAAGGCGCTTGGTGAAATTAGATGTTATCAGAAGTCCACTGAATGCCTAATCCATAAACTTTTCTCCTAGCATCTGGTGCAAGAAACTGCTAAGGACTTCAAAACAGATCAACACATCCAGAGCACAGCTGCTGGTGCTTTGCAGGAGAAAAGTGACGTCTATCAGGTTGGCCTCTCTGGAGACACCGAGCTGTGTGCAATCCAGGCCAAATGTGTAACAATTATGCCAAAAGACATCCATGCTGCATTCATGGAGAACTTGCTTGACAATCCACTATGATGGGAAACATTTCATTCTCAAAGAAAAAAAAATGAAAAGCTCTTCTTCCTTTTATTGGTATTTCTGAGCGTTAGATTCCCCCTGCCGCTGCCCCCATGGAGTCAAAAGGCACCTAAGTAAATGACTGTGAGTGAAAAAATAGGGAATAGAAATCACGTATTGGCAGTTTTTCCATTTTTGTTTTTGTGTGAATTTGTAATATAAATGCATGGAAACAAAGTATTAATGCACACCAAATGTTTCAGCTGAACAAGTTTCAGCAGTTCACCTTTATAGCAGTTATAAATAGACCTGTTAAATTTTTCTGAACAATGCCAGCATTTGGATTTTTAAAAAAAAAAAATTTCTTGACAGCAACTAACTGGTGTTTGTAGCACTTTTATCATACAGTAAATTCCATCCACTCACTATACTTTTCTCAGAAATCCTACATGCAAGTACATGTTTTTAATGTTGTTTTTGCACTGTTCCTGTCAGTTTGCTACCAAAATGCATTAAAATATTTTTTTAAAAAAAAAGGAGTTGGCCCTGCGGTGGCTCATGCCTATAATTCCAGCACTTTGGGAGGCCGAGGCGGGCGGATCACTGAGGTCGGGAGTTTGAGTCCAGCCTGGCCAACGTGGCGAAATCCCATCTCTACTAAAAATAAAAAAAATTAGCTGGGCATGGTGGCACGTGCCTGTAATATCAGCTACTCGGGAGTCTGAGACAGGAGAATCGCTTGAACCCAGGAGGCAGAGGTTGCAGTGAGCTGAGATCGCACCACTGCACTCCAGCCTGGGTGACAGAGTGAGACTCCATCACAAAAAAAAAAAAAAAAAAAAAAAAAAAAAAAAGACTTACAAATAGCCAACAAGTATGTGAAAAGTGATCATCATCACTAATTATCAGGGAAATCCAAATCAAAACCACAAGCTAACACCTCATACCTGTTAGAATGGCTTCATATGGCTGGGCATGGTGGCTCCCACCTGTAATACCAGCACTATGGGAGGCAGAGGCGAGTGGATTGCTTGAGCCCAGGAGTTTGAGACCAGCCTGGACAACATGGCAAAATCACATCTCTACAAAAAATACAAAAATTAGCCGGGCATGGTGGCACATGCCTATAGTCCTAGTTACTCAGGAGGCTGAGGCAGGAGGATCACTTGAGCCCAGGAGATCAAGGCTACAGTGAGCCATGATTGCACCACTGCACTCCAGCCTGGGTGACAGAGTGAGATCCTGTCTCAAAAAAACAAACAAACAAAGAATGGCTTAATGGCCGTTGGTAGTTCAAAAAGACAAAAGATAAATGTTAGCTAGGATGTGGAGAGAAAAAAAAATGTGTACCCTGTTAGTATGAGTGTGAGTAGGCACAGTCATTATGGGAAAAAGAATAAGGGGTTTTGTTTTGTTGCCCAGGCTGGTCTTGAACCCCTGGCCTCAAGCGAGCCTCCTGCCTATGTCTACCAAAGCACTGGGATTACAGGCATGAGCCACCATGCCCAGTCTATTCCCATTTTATAGATGGCAAAAGTGGACCCTGACTTTTTAAAACTTGCCCAAGCCTAGCCTGCCCAGTAAAATTTCAGCCTGCACATTCAACAGAAGGGCAGGCCTGGGATGCTAACAAAGACAGCCTGGCCCAAAATCTATGCTGTAACTACTGCGACACATTTGGCATCATTCCCAAGAAAGGGCAGACCTCCTTGGTCCTTCATACTGTGTCCATGTGCATCTCAAATGGGCTGGACAGACAAATCATGTACTGGTGTGGCAGAGCTTTCCCTGTCTTTACATCTTCACGCAGACCTGGAGAGAAGAGACCTCGGGCGCCCGTCAGGTTCACCACAGGGGTGCTAACTTACTGTCTGCCTGGTTTGCCAGCAAGTCACGGGGAAGATCATAGAATGTACTTAGGAAGACGTTTCTTTTTAATCAAATATTTATTGCATTTAATAACAGGACCTCACATAGGAAGAAAAAGTGAAAATAACATTATGTTATACTTTTCTCACCTCGTGTTTTATTGTGTTTGAATAGAAGGTGAATCATGGAATGGTTTACCTGGAAAATTACAAAAGTGAGAGCTTAATAACTTTTTCAAAATGTAAATATCGATTTCTCGATTATGAAGTAAAGCCTTCTGATACACCTAAAATGGAGAATACTAAAATGTTTAACAAAAGGGTAAAAATAAGCTCTACTCCTACCAACAAGAGTTAATAATTATACCATTTTGGGTAGATAACGTTATAGCCTTTTAAAAAATAGTCACACCAATGGTATGCCAGGTTTTATGGGATACAAGGAGAGTGGACATTCTGTAATCAGAAGTGCCTATGCACAAACAGAGAAGCAATCATGGTGTCATCCTAGGGGATCGTGGAGTCTGGGAAGCCAGATCATCCCTGGGAGTCCCCTCAGGTCTGAACAGCCACTTCCTGATATACAAGGTAGAATGTGTTAGCTTTATTGCTGTCCAGAAACCAACATTATTTTTATGACTTTATGGAGACATTTTTTAAGTTAATGTGTTGCAGGGAGTAGGAGAAATCTACCTGGAGTGTGGGCAAGTTATTAACACGTGAAAAGTAAAAATGATAATAGCTAATGCTTACAGCGCTGTGTGGCAGCCACTGTTCCTAATGCAGCCCAGTGATTAACTCTCGTAATCTACACTATTATTCCCATCTTTTAGATGGCAAAAGGGGATTGTGAGTTTAAATAACTTGCCCAAGGCCAGCCTGTACCATAAAATTTCAGCCTGCACGCTCAACAACAGGGCAGACCTGGGATGCTAACGAAGGCAGTCTCGCCCAGAGCCTATGCTGTAACCACTGTGACACTGTCAAGTGGTCAGAAAAGGGATGTCTGAAGAGGTTGTCCGTAAGCTGGGACCTGAAGGAAGAATGGACAAGCAGGGGGAACAGTATGGCAGGCATACAGAACAGCACAGGCAAAGGCCCTGAGGTGGGAACAGTGTAGCATGTTCAGGAAACTAAAGAAAGCCATTGTGTGGAGCTGAGGCAGCAGGAGGGAGAAGATGAGATGACATGAGATGGGGGAGGAAGAAGGGACCAGGTCATGGAAATGAGGAAAATGTGTATGCCAAGTGTGAAGGGACAGTGCTCAGAATTCCAAGCCCTAACTCTCTCAGCCCCATGTCCTTTCCACTTCATATCACTGTGGCTTAAACCCCCACCCAGCAGACACCCACAGTGGTTACCCACTGCCAGCTTCAACGAAGCCCTGAGATCTTTCCAAATGAAAAACCTGATTCCTTCACTTTCCAATGTCTAAACCTTTGGTTGTCATCCCTTGCAAGATTAGGTGTCAATTCTTTAGTGAGGCTTAGAAGCCCCTTCAGGGTCTGGCCCGGCCTCCTTTGCAGCCTCAGCTCTTGACATTATTCCACACCCACGCTCAACCTTGGCACAGACCATTGGAATGCTCTCGTACCACTTGCCAACCTGTGATGAATAAATTTCCCCCATTAATCACTACCACCTTTGCTCATGATTTTGTGTTTATTATTTACTTCCAATGCAGATATTAAATTAGTTTTTTTCCTGAATGTTAATCATGCTTACAGAGCTCTGGTCTTTGGCATTCTAAGTGAAATAATCACTGTCCTTGGAATCCAGGTTTTAAAACATATCAACTTGGGTTCACTGTGTATAATCCAAGCTCCTGGATTTCCAGGATTTCTGTGTGTGCTTCAAGTTGATCCTCTGAACCGGTGCCACTGGCAATCTAACTACCTGGTGTTACACATCACACAATTATCCACACAGGCCTTCCACATTCTTATTCCCAGGAGGGCCAAATCTCTCTCCTAGGAGCTCTATATTCTTGAGGTGTATCTTCTTGTCTCTTGAGATATTCCCCTCTTCTGAATTGAAAACTATACCTTGGAGCTTTTCATTATAATTCTATTTTTTCTTTCCTTTAGTTTTCCACTTGCTTTTTTAGTTTTTCTCCTTCTTAACTCAGCCTTCTCTAAATTATTGATTAAAATAAGTAAATTATTTATTTCAAATCCAATTCTTGACATTTTATGAAAACTTTCAGATACACTAGTAGATTGTGAGTAAGTTAAGAGCCTTCAAGGGAATTGTGATAACACTAAATTATAATAATGAAACAAAAAGGTAACTCTTAGTGAACAGAAAGATATTCTTGAGTCTCAGCTGTGATTTTTGAGATTAAATCAACTTCATAATATAGGAAAAGTACTTCAGAATTCTTAGCTTAGAACTGTCATAATTTTAGCTCAAGAAGATGAAAATGGCCTTCTACATTAATTTTCTTCAAAGTTTATTGAGTGTGCCATCACTTCTATTTCTCCTTCGCCAACAGCGAATCTTCAAAAGCCCTTTAATCACCTAGCTTTACTGTTTCACATTACAAGTTACAAATCTCAGAAAATAAATTTTTCATCCATGGTGATGATGTGAGTGACTTAGATCTGTAAACAAACTATAAAGCTTTGGATAAAAATCAGTCATTTCCATGGAAAATGCCCTAGGATTTCCTTTTCTCCACTGTCCTTTGCTTCAATTCCTGATAATTTTACAAGGATCTCTTGCATTTCAATAGGTCCTTCCTTTTCATCAAATGTAAAATCATATTTAATCATTATATAATCATTATATTAAAATGTGGGTAAAATTAAGAGCATTAATTAACTCTTATTGGTCAGTTTCAGTACAAGACACTGAAGGCAAAGAAAAAGTAACAAGATAAAGATTGTTCCCTTAAAAAGATAATAGTAAGATATGGAGAAGCAAACACACAGAGGAGGAACTAGAAAGGAGGAAAATAAAAGGCTTAAAAGTATAAATAAGGATTAAATACCAATGAGTGAAAGGGAAATCTGAGCAGTTAATTTTTATCTTTAAGTTCACTGATGTCTCTCAGGGATATAGTTACAGATCTAGGATTTTTTTCACTAAATTAATGTAGCAGCATTTGATTTACATTAAAAATTAAAATTACAGGTGTTTATACATTTAAGCCATGCATTCATCCATAATCGATTTTTGAGCTTCTCCTAGGATATATGGAATTGGGACCAATTTGTTAATAGGATGGTTTAGCAAGGATACAAAATAGCTTCTCTAAACGTGTTCTGTATTTTATTTCCGTCTCTAAACATTTATTTCAATGGGCTTCTAAACTGAAGATTCCTTTTGATCTCTCCTATTTTCTTTATGCATTTTTCCTATGAGGTAAATAAGCTTTTATCTGATTCTTTGGATGAGGTTACAATACCTCAACTACATTAATAGCTGCCCTTCTGACAAAGTAGGTGACACATTGTCCAAAAGAAAACAAGAAGAATATGAAACTGGGAAACAAAGAAAAACATCAAAATTAGTTAATAATCAAGTTGCTACATTGTTTTCTAATTTAACATTTATTATCAAGATAGTAATTATTTTTTTAAAATGCTTGTAATATGTATTACATACATGAACACCAGGAAAACACAAGGTGGTGTAATTTCTTCAACAACCCAAAAGAAGCTGATGCCTTAAAGTCTTCAAAGAAGATCAAGAGTAAACATTTTGATAAGTTTTATTAGATACAAAGAAGTGTGTGGTTTTGTTTTCCTTTGCAACACAGATGCAATGTGCATTGGAAATATTATAGGCAGATAAGGTCCAGTGCAACATGCATTGTGGTCTTTCTCCCTATTATTAGGTTAGTGAAAAAGTAATTGTGTTTTTTGCCATTACTTTCAATTCTATCTAATACCTATTAGATAGAATTATGTGGGATACTTCTTGGTATAAGATGTACTTAACTCCTTGGGGAAAGTATGCCAAATAAAAGATTTAGGGAATACTTTATACATCATATTACCATTCTTCTCTCTCAGTAATTTCTCTGTTTTCCTGCTATTCCACCTTTTCCTCCCTGTCACACTGACCTACTACCAGGTGATCAGAATGTTAAAGTGGTAAAATAATATCGTGGATGAAAAGGAGACATAGGGCCTTCCAACTCCCTAAACATATAAATGCTCATAGATATTTTGAAGTCTCGGAATTGACCCCAAGTGCTAGCTGATTAAAGGAAGGCTTTCTGCATGGATCTCAGTGTCAGTCACAATAAGGGTCTGATCTCTGTCCCAGACTCTCCCAATAGATGTTGCTGTACTTGTCAGTTTCTCAGATCTGTTGTAGAATGCAGTGACAGACACACTTTCTCTGGGTTTTAGCAGCAGGTTAATTTTTCATCCCTTTTTTAACTATACAAACTTTTAAACTTACCCCAATAGCTGCTAAGATCGGTGCTTGATAAATCCACTTGATGTCTCCAGCACTAAGTTCCCAGCACCTGAGACATTGAAAAAAAGCTGTCATGAATAAATTGGCAAAGCAAATGGGTAGTATTAAGTAGAATTTTAAGTTTTACCAAAAACTCCAACCCCACACTTCCAATTAAGAAACAAATAGACAAAGAAATCTTATCTTAAAACACCCAAGCCAGTGGGGGGAAAAAGTGTAACGGGTATTGATTTTCATATTATTAGCTACCCCTTGAAGATGAGTAGAGAATTATAAATATTAGTGAATTACTTTTATTGTGACGAGAGTCAACCATGTTTCCAGAGCCACAAAAGGTAATAGTCTTCTAAATGTCATACAACTGATACTTCACTTTTACTATTATTGGAATGAGCCATGATAATTTAAATTCACTGATAAAGAAAGTTCTCTCTCACAGACATTACAGCAATTCTATTTTACTTCAAAAATTGTAGAATCCTTACAATAATGCAAGTTATTCTTATTCATAGAAATGCAATAGAAAATGAACGCAAACTATTCCTGTCCATAGAAATGAAAATTAGCTATGATGTTCAGTGGAATGTAATTGATTAGTATCCTGTAAATATTGAGTAGTTTTTGCATTTATTTGTAAATTTTTGGTATTTATTGTACTGAATGTAAATGTGGTTCTTTAGATTTCTCCTTGGAACCAATCATAACACCTTAGTAGTTCCCTCATTAACTAATGAGGTTAAAATATCTAGAGAAATGCAAATCAAAACCACAATGAGATATCATCTCACACCAGTTAGAATGGCTACTACTAAAAAGTCAAGAAATAACAGATGCTGGTGAGGTTAGAGAGAAAAGGGAACCCTTATATGCTGTTGGTGGGAGTGTAAATTAGTTCAACCACTGTGGAAAGCAGTATGGCGATTCCTCAAAGAGCTAAAAGAAGAACTACCATTCAACCCAGCAATCCCATTACTGGGCATATTCCCAGAGGAATATAAAGCATTCTACCGTAAAGACACACGTATGCAAATATTCATCGCAGCACTGTTCACAATAGCAAAGAAAGACATGGAATCAATCTCAATCCCCATCAATGACAGACAGAATAAAGAAAACGTGGTACATGTATACCATGGAATATTATGCAACCACAAAAAAAACACAAGATCATGTCTTTTGCAGGAACATGGATGGAGCTGGAGGCTATCATCCTTAGCAAACTAACACAGGAACAGAAAACCAAATACCACGTGTTCTCACTTATAAGTGGAAGCTAAATGATAAGAATTTGTGAAGACAAAGAAGGAAACAACAGACACTGGGGTGTACTTGAGGGGGGAAGGTAGGAGGAGGGAGAGGAGCAGAAAAGATAACTATTGGGTACTGGGCTTAATACTTGGGTGATGTAATATTATGTACAACAAACCTCTGTGACACATGTTTATCTACGGAACAAACTTTCACATGTACCCCCAAACCTAAAATAAAAATTTTTTTAAAAATCTTTGACAGCTGTCCATTTTCTATTTGTATAAGATCCACGACCTTATCCTAATTTTAAAAAGTTTGTTTTTAACAGTACTTAATTTAAAAATTATATAATTTGCCTATTTTTTATATTTGGTGCTTCCCTTCCACCCTAACTTGAGTTTAAGTTCTACATGGGCAGAGATCACTGTTGTTTTTGTGTTCTGATGTATTGCAAGTCCTAGAACAGTATGTAGGTAGTCAATAAATATCTATTGGATTGAACTGACATCAATTGAATTCAAATTAAGTTTTACTCATGCTCACCCAATCTGGTTTGTACTAGTAAAGATCTTACACTGGAATAAATAGCACAGAAATGATAAGAAACTAGTACGACTTGGCACTTTAATATAACACTTGAAACAAAAGACGCACAAATAAAAGTCTTAAGTTTCTTTCTCTTTTCACAAAACCCAGTATTGATTGTGGCAATGGCAAATAATATAAAGAAATTTGTGGGATATAATGATAGTTTTTTAATTCTAGATAATGAACTTATCACGAACTTACTTTTTATTAATGAGCAAGCTATAGATAATAAAATACCATTTTGACTTTTCCTTAAGGGTAAAACATTTTCAGTACACACTAAGAACTACATATTTTTAAGTTTAACTTTTACATAGAGGCAATATGTTCTCATTTTTAAAATCAAACTATATAAAAAGACAGCCATTGAGATGTCTCAGTCCTCCCCATGTTCCTGTCTGCCTCTGCCCCCATCCCTCTCCTTACAGATAACACCTTTTATTACCATATTGTGTATGCTTCCCATGTTTATGCATATGCAAACAAATACAAAGGTTATATTCTTACTTTCCTCTATCATACAAAAATGTCATGTATGCACTATTCTGCAATTTGCTTTTTCCTTTTAAAAGTGTATGTTTTATTTCTTTGCATATCTGTACCAATAGAGCTCAGCAGCTCCACATTCCAGTGGGAGAATATACCACAGCCAAATCAACCAGAACCTACACTAAAGTGTAATTCTGGTCCAGCCAAAATGAAATGCACATATTCAATTGTCTTGAAGTTTGAATAACATGGAAATTTAAGACACAAAAATCTTACACTTGCATATTATTGAACATTTTCTGGCATTGTTTACATGTATCTGTTTTTCACATTATTTAACCAGACAAGAAAGATAAAAGACAATGTTACTGAGTTATGCAGAATCACATTACCCTAAAAAAGCTTTCTACCATAAGGAAGGTGGCATATATCATGTGACTGTAAATTGAACATTGATTCACTTAGCCAAGATCTAAGCTACAAGGCTTTCGGATTCCCTAAATTTTCTTTTCAGTTTTTGACATTTGGTAATATCTTCACAGTCTTCTTTCTTTGCTTTAATGGCATTTCATCATGGTGTCTCCTAACACATTGGGATTCAATTATACAATTCAGGCTCTATAAAATGCTTGCATTTGGAAGTAGGTCAAAACCAGCTACCTCTAAAAACATGAAAAACTTGTCTTTGATGGTTTTCAGTGTCAAAGTTTCAAATTTCCCCTGTGATATAGGAAAGAAAATTGAGATTTCAAACTTTTTAAAGAAAATGTTATTAATGCTTGTTTTTAGTTAATTCTTCAATGTTCCCACTCACACTGTCTTTGTTAACATGTCCCAGAAATTACTCTCTGTTCAAATTTTTTTAATAAACTTTAACCTTCTAGGAAATGCAGTTCTGGATGGTGAAGCATGAGATACAAAGGTCTGACTAGAAAGTGGAACTTCCTACAGCCAGGGTTGAAAACAGGTGTGTTGTTCTGCCCAAGGGATCCAGAGAATTGAATTGGCTGAGCACTACCTTCTCTCCACAACTTACAATCAGTAAGAGTAGAAGAAGCGAAAGAAGCTGACCCCAAAAGCCTGTGCAGATGTTCTAGAAATGTCAGATGGCTTCTTGGTCCTTTGCAGCCCCCACCTTTGCTGCTGGATGGTGAAACAAAAATACAGCAAAGAAGTTATGGGTTTCTTCTCTCATTGGCATCTCTTATCTCCTTCGAATGAGGCAAAGAGAAGATAATCAGATTACCGTGTAAGGTGTTTTTGCTTTTGTAAGTAAAAAGAAAGAGAACAAAATTGCTCACTTTTTAATTTAATTTGCCCAACCTACTTGATTATCTTAGCTGACCTTAGTAAAATAACACTCTTTTTTTTTTTGAGACAGAGTCTCCCTCTGTTGCCCAGGCTGGAGTGCAGTGGCGTGATCTCGGCTCACTGTAGCCTCTGCTTCCCCAGTTCAGGCGATTCTCCTGCCTCAATCTCCCAAGTATTTGGAATTACAGGCACGCACCACCACGCCCAGCTAATTTTTTTTGCATTTTTAGTAGAGACGGAGTTTCACCATGTTGGCCATGCTGGTCTTGAACCCCTGGCCTCAAGGGATCAGCCTGCTTTGGCCTCCCAAAGCACTGGGATTACAGGCATGAGCCACCTTGCCCAGCCCAAATAACACCTAATAGAATTTTAAATCTGAAAGAGACTTCTTTTGTATATCAATAGAGTTTAAGGTATCTTTTAAAACTGGGTCTGACATGCTTATCTCCAAATAGCCAAGATGCAGAGAAAATCAGAGGTTTCACTTTGAAAGGCCAGATTAGAAAACATTGAGTCTCAAATATAAGACATGAATATGAACCCCATTCATCCTTTGAAGATATTTAAAATCTGTTCTCTCCCCAGAGTGTTGTCATATGGCGCTATATAGGTCAGATAACACCCAAGAAAACCCACAAAAACTTTATCTATAGAAAAGCTGAATTTTATGTGAAGTTGAATCAGGCAATTTTGAAATCATCTCAGAGAAGTGGCAACACAGTTTATGTTTACAGGCAAAATTAAATATAAAATGACCCTTCATCCAATTATCCCAGATCTGGGCACTGTAGAATTCAAGATTTTATTCTGATAAGTTAGGAAGAAAGTGGAATATTTTGCAAGGTGGTCACATGATATAACTAATTGAATGAATGAGTCAAAATTCTGCTTCAGTCTAGCGGTAAGCTTTGAGAATGTGTCCTGATGTCTCTGGATCACATTTTACTTATCTCTAATATGGGATGATTGAACCAGAAAATGCCTTAAGTCCTATCATCTCTAAAATTCTGAATCTAGGTCATACAGTTACACATCTCAGAATATGATCATGATAGCATTAATTAGTACCTCTTTACTGATGCAACTTCCCTCCCATGTAAATCAAGTAACAGGTATTGCAAGTTTTCTTTGAGATTTGCAATCTCACTGTGTGTATATAGCAATAATGATGTCAATTAGATAACATCAACCCTCAATTGTTAACAAATTCAAATAGCATAAAGGGATCAAAGTAAGGAAAAATGCAAAGCCAGCAAGTTTTAGAACTGAGGGAAGCTGATGAATGGGGAGCTTTGAAGCAAGTAGGAGGAAGGCTGCACCTAAAGACAATGACTCTGTACAGTTCTAATTTTCAGGAACAGTGAGTGACAGGTTCTTTATAGAGTTTAGGTATTCACAGTATGTGATTTTTTTTTCAGTGCATAGCAGACAAAATAATTCCTGAAGGAAATATCTAGTAACTCAAAACAATATATTGGCTTAAATAAAGTTCCCAGGAGATAACAAAAAGGGAACTGCTGTCACAAAGCGTACACAATCTGTGGATATTAAATTGTTCTCTATTAACATAAAAGAATGCTTGGCATTACTGCATATATAGGTTAAAGCTGCCTCTCTTTAAATTACCTTTTCTTTATCATAAGTGTGTTAATCTGCTTGACGTGTGATAGCAAAATACCACAGGCTGGGTGGCTTAAACAATAGACATTTATTTTCTCAGTCTGGAGACTAGAAGTTCAAGATCAGGGTGCCAGCATGGTCCTGTTCTGGTGAGACCTCTCTTCTTGGCTTGTAAGTAGCCTCCATCTCACTGTGTGCTCACATGACCTCTTCTTTGTGTGCACAGAGAGAGAGGGAGAGCCAGCCTCTCTGGCATCTCTTCTTATAAGGACACTAATCCTTTCATAACAGGGCCCCACTCTCATGACCTCCTTAACCCTAATTAGGTCCTTATAGACCCTATCTCCAAATAGAGTCACATTGGGGGTTAGGGCTTTAACATGTGAATTTTGGGAGACATAATTCAGTCCATAGCAATAAGCTTGACCATGAGAGCAAAGCGCAGTTACCTGAATGCTTTTCTACTTTTTCCTATTCTTTCTCATCATTATTTAAATAGAAATAATACCAAAAAAAAAAGAATTTTTTCATGTTCATTCATCATGTAGCCCCTCAAGAGAAACACAGACAACTGGGGGGCTCTGGCCAAAGTCCATTTGAGCCAACTGAAAGCCTTTACCAGGCAGCCTCCCTGCAGTCAGCCCCGGAGGCACTTGGGTCAGACAGAAGTAAAGGGCGACTTACAAGCTATCAGACACTTATAAGGAATGATAGGAGATGGGCGGTCAAGATTTTTTTCTGTTTATATATAATGATCGGGCCTTAAAAGTTACTGTTTCTTTACGCACAATGAAGGTAACATTTATTGTTTGTCTAAAATTTGGAGTTTACAAAGCCCTTTCATAATGGCCTCTCATCTAATTCTCAGATCTGTCCCCTGCAAACTCACAGCATTAGTCATGGCCAAGAATATTATTCTCATCTCACAGATGGAAGACTGAGGCTGAGAATGACTGCTGCAAGTCATGAATGGAAGAAAAACCACACCTCCTTATAACTCACAACTTGCATTAACTCAAACTTTATCATTGCTTAATAGATATGGAGCAAAGAGAGAAAAAATGGTCAGCCGAATCCAGAAGAATTGATCAGCATGCACTGAAGAGTTATCTACTGTAAAACAGGGAATTTCATTTATGCCCATTTGGAATTCATGGTTTGTTGGAAAAATGAGACAGTTACACTTGCACATTTAGAGAAATAAGATGATAGATAAGAAAGGAATAATTATATAATATGCATACTAAATGCTGCAGGAATTTGATAAGGAAGATTTATATGGTAGAATAGTAGATTTCAAACGCACTAACAAGGTAGAGCATTTGTAGTTATGGTTTTCACCATGAAATGCAGATATATTTAATTTTATCATGTGAATGAGAAAAACATATGCCAGGAGACAACACTGCATGTATACATGCAATACAAATACACAGGCATGAGCTTATATGTCAACAAAAAATGGGAATTGTTGAAAAGTTAATGGTAGGTGATAACCTATTTCTGATTTAGAGAACAGAAAGAACTAGAAGTTTTACCTCTCTGAGGTAAAAAGACAAAAGGCTAGACATAGTGAAGATAAGAGAAAAACTGTCTAGTGTATGCTGGACATTTTCCACTGTGTACTCTTGATTACCAGATGTGTTAAATCAACTGAAGAGTGAGAAGCTATCAGTGATACTGTAGAAAGAATCCCTCTTCAACTCTACTCCTTCACATATAATAAAAATTCCACTTATCTCAATAGAAACACCTCATCCGCCTGTAAGTGTTTTCTGAATGCCTCTAGAGCCTGAATATCTGAGATCAAAGTACTTTTCTACCATTCGTGGCTGTGCAACCTTGAGCACAACTTCTCTGACCTCAGTTTCATAGAGTTAATAATGAGTTTTAACTTACTTAATATTTGCAAAATTATGAAGTACCTGGAATGTGATCAGCACTCAGAAATGCCAGAAAATGTTTTCATTATTACTTTCCTCCAACATCACGTATTATTACCCAATGTTCTGGTAATTATCTTCACAAAATGCAAATTTGCTGTCGTTATCACTGAACGAAGACCAAACATCCTAATCTGGCCTATGAGGGTCTATAAGGCCTCCACCCCTCATCTTTTCTACAGCCTAATTTATAAGCTCTAGCTTCAGCAGAACCAGGGTTCCATCAACTTGACGGGATAAAAATCAAAATATTATAAGCTAGGATTAATGGAAGGATGAGTTTGGCTTTCTAATGAAATAACAATATACAAAAATGCTATTTTTTAATTCTTTAGACATTACTTGTGAATACAAATTAATGAAGCCAAAGAATAATACTTGCTAACAAGTATTTAGCACTTACTATCAGTACATTCCAAACTTTGCATTAGTTATTTTACATACATTATCTCATTTATTCTTACAACAACAACTCTGTAAAGAGTAGTATTCATTTTAACTGCATTTGACAGCTGAGAAAACTGAGGCTCAGAGAGGTTAGGTTGTACATCTGCTGTTCCAGAACCAAGAAGTAGCAGAACAAGCCTATAAGACACCTGTACCTGAGCTCCTTCTCAGCACACTCCCATTTAGTGCCAGGTACTATGCTAAGTGTTCATAATAATGTATTAATGTCATCTATACATTATTATCTCTGCTTTATACATGAGAAACTGATACACAAAGAGATCATGTGTTTTGGGTCCGTTGGTCCCTAACCTAACAAAGCAGTTAAATCAAGATTTGAACTCAGGTCTGTCAAAATATAAAGAAAGGATTCTTTACTATTTAATGCAAATGTACCCTTTACACTTAAATGGTTATTTAAATGTATTAGGTGTACCATGATACATTAAAATGTATCCTTAAAAATGATACATTTTAAATGATTTATAGCATTGTTTTCTTGTACTTTAAAATGACACATTAAATTAGCTCCATGCTACCTGGAAGAACTTAATGACTCACAGTTAGAGATAAATTCCACTTCTAATATGTGTTTATTATTTTAAAATATTTAATTCTGCTATAGAAGATATGGTAACAAATGGGATGCA
Organism: Homo sapiens; assembly: GCF_000001405.40. Classification (NCBI taxonomy): domain Eukaryota; kingdom Metazoa; phylum Chordata; class Mammalia; order Primates; family Hominidae; genus Homo; species Homo sapiens. Next base: position 208,451,644 of record NC_000002.12, on the reverse strand, counting down.
TGAAACCCACAGTTTGCATTAAATATAGATAAGGATGAGTTAGTAGACCACACGTGTGTTAAACCCAGGTACTAAAGACACATGAGGCAACTGAGCTCTAAACATTCATAATATACTAAATATACAAGAGCCATGAACAATCCCTGATACAAAGGAAGTTCTTAATATTTTTGAGGGCATTATCAGCCTCAAAAATATTTTGATTTTGAGGATTCATGGATTGATGGAACTCCTTCCCACATGTCCTTTTCCCAAGGGCCACAAATAAAACCCAGAACTTCTCTGCAGGCTAATTCAGAAGCTACAAATGTAGCCAGTGTACTTGCCTCTCCATCTCTATGAGGAAGTATGTGTCACTGGCCCAGGGCACCAGATTCTGTCTGTAGTTCCCCTTCGTGCTACCTTATCGCAGGTCCTCATAACCACACCATCCTCAGGAAAAGTTGATGTGGCAGAGAGAGAGAGAGAGAGTATGAACACTGCCTATCCTAGGAATCAGGTAGTGTAGTTCTTCAACCTGCTTTCACTAAATCCTAAGTGGATTCTCTTACCCATCTCTTTCCACTTGCTTCTCACATTATATTTTACATTTGTTTCTTAATCTATGGAGGTCAGGCACCTTCATCTAGTCTGCGAGTGTTTCTGCTCTATGACCTCTGGAATAGACAGCTTGCTGGTAATGTGTTGGAAGCTACCATCGCATCAAGGTAATTTTCCTTGTGGCATCCCTAAAAAGCAATGGCATCAAGAACAGAAGCGAGTGTGAATTCTGAGCAGGAAGCCTGAGTCTTGAGAACATCTGAGGTTCTCTCGTTTCCCCTGCCTTTTCACTCACCTCGCATCAGCCAGAGTTGCTCGTGCCACAGCCCATGCTGCAACAAATGCTGCTGGAAACCCTGAAATCAGAAAATGATTCAGAGACTAGATTTATTTTAAGATTAAGGAGGTTTTTTCCTCAAATTCACCATATATAAGAATATACTATTAGCTGTTCAGAGATAAAAATAGACATGAAAATTTCTGATATGTGAACAAGAAAAGTCCACTTAATTTTTAATCATGTCAGTTTGAGAAATTAGCAAGAATATTGATGTTATTTGTTCCTCTAGTCTGAAGATAAAAACTGGCCTAATTTTCATCTGAGGGGTGTAGGGAAAAGCCATATTTGGAGAAGAGTGAAGTTCCTAGGGTTGGAAGTAAGCAATGGTTGGCATTTGACTTTGACTCTTGTCACGCTGACCATCATATGCTCTCAAGGAGTGAAGCAACACAGGGACTCCTGAAAAGCTGAGGGATGCTGTTGTTTTAAAAACTTAGAATTTTTTCATCCTAAAAATGGAAGGCATACTGAGGCAAGTTATAAAAATCAGGAAGTTTTAACCAGTTTAGTCTCTTCTTTTAGTTCACGTTGGCACAAGACAGAAGCATTTTCATGCATTAATAGAAAAGGGTGACCACTATATTTGTCTGATGATTTGAGCGCGAGATATTTGTCCTTCATAAGTGCTAAACACCTTCTGGGCTTGTAACATCAAATCCATTATACCGACTTTCGTTTGCCCCCCAGTAAAAGTTCACTGTCCAGCTCATGTTGTATTTGATTAAACTCTGACATCACACACAAAAAAATCATGAACCATAACTTATATGGAATACTGCAGTAGGGGACTGAAAGACTTAAGAGATGACTTTTCATTATGTGGCCTTTATGAAAGTGGTTTAAATAAAGGATATACAGAAACCATAAGGAAAACATTTTAGAATCTAGGAAGCACCTTACAAAAGGGGAAAACAAAATTTTGGTCTAGCCAAGAACATTTTTTATCAAGCATAACTTTAAATTCTTAACCTTTAAAAAAATTGTAATTTTTTTATATTCTTTCTTAGCAACAAAGTGAACAAAGAAATAGGCTTAGAAAAAGAAAATTTTCAGAAAAAGATGAAAATGATGATATGCACAATAATGTCTTTGGTCTCCTTAGTGACCATCTAACTTAAGTTCAGCCTGCCTATATCACTACTGAATTTTATGATTCTATATTCCAATTTTATTTCTTGTTTCTATAGTATTCTTTCTTTAATCTGCTCAAATTCTGTGTTCTAGGAATTTTTTGTCAAAATAGACCTACCTAATTCTGGTTATTTCTTAGGTTCAGTTTGCATATTCTATCTATCTATCTATCTATCTATTTATCTATCTATCTATCACATTTCTCCATTAATCATTTATTGTCTATTTATGTGTCAAAGATTGTTCTAAATGATATAAATAATGAACAAATAAACAATATCCCTGTTTTCTAAAACTTATATTCTGGTGAAGCAGTCAAAATTAACAAAGCAACTTCAGTTGCTTTTGGTTATGAATTGGTGCTATGAAGAATAAATAAAAGTGATACTATGTAATGGGGAGGGGACAGCTGCTTCTGGTAGGATGATTAGATATAAATCCACCATACAGTCTGGCATAGATTCTACCACATGGCCTGACATAGATCCCTCAGCTGTTCTATCTTGGTTGTCTTCAAAAAGTGTCTGCCTGTCTTTCATCAATTTTCACATCTTATCATTCTTATATCTGCATCTTCTGCTTCCTTTACATTCTTCTGATCAGGTACTTCCTGAATGCTGTTCTATACAGTATTTATTAATGGTGGTTGAGTTGGCATTATGTTTTAGATGATAATTATGTCAAATATCGTACACAGGCATTATGTCTTCATAGAATTGCTTTTCTCACCTTCTTAGAGAATCTTATGCATAAGACTAGCATAGAGACTACCATGGAAGAATGAAGAACAGAAAACTACTTTGGGATCCTTTAAGGATTTTTTATCACGAGTCTTAATATGAATTGTTACATAATTTAGAACACAGAAATAAAGGCAAAAATACTTGACATGTAAATGTTGTTTTAAATTTAAATGTTAAATTAAGTAAATTTAATATAAATTTAAATGTTATCTAGTATGTGCATTTACTGAAAGTTGAGTTATTTTCTTTTTTTTTTTGAGACGGATTCTTGCTCTGTCACCCAGGCTGGAGTGCAGTGGCATGATCCCGGCTCACTGCAAGCTCCGCCTCCCGGGTTCACACCATACTCTTGCCTCAGCCTCCCCAGCAGCTGGGACTGCAGGCGCACGCTGCCACGCCCGGCTAGTAGAGACGGGGTTTCACCATGTTAGCCAGGATTGTCTCGATCTCCTGACCTCATGATCCGCCCACCTCAGCCTCCCAAAGTGGAGTTATTTTCATAAGACACGTCAATACAAAATAAATAAGTTTTGTGAAGACAAAACTTTAAATTAACTTTAAAATAACTACAAATTAAAAATGTTGAATATGATACATATGATCACAACAAGAAAACAAACAAAATAACCTAAAGGGTCAGAGTGCATGCATCTTGTGTGGGAGACTTTAACACCTGTCTCTGTGTTTAAACACTTACTGCCAAGTGGATGATCAAAAAATGTTTGCTGGATTAAGATATTTTACAAAGGGAATAAAATGGGAGTGTGGGACTGTTTCCTGATTATTTTCAGGGAACATATTATGTGAAAATATTCTATGTAAGATGGTATTACTAGGATAGGTGGTTTTATATGATGATATGTACATACTGGTGTTTCATCTGACAGTTGAAAATTAAGGATGGCTACTAATATAGAAGCAAATTACCATATTTAGTAACAATAAAAAAAAGAGATACCTTTTACATACAGAATTAAAATAGAGGAAAATGTGTAGTTGAAATAAAATGGAACTAAGAATAAAGCACCTTATTTATGGGAAAACTGAGACAAGGATGGGGAAAATAATAATGTGCTTGGTTGAATGAAAAGAAACAGTTATCATTAGTATTCACCTTTATTCTCTATGCATCTTGTTTTATAATAATAAAATGTAAAAACAGTTATTTTAAATATTTGTCCTTAATTTAGTAAAGGTCAGATATGACACCTATTCTTCTTCAGATTGTCATTTCCTTTCCTTCCTATTATTTATTTATTTATTTATTTATTTATTTATTTATTTTTCTTTTTGTTTTTTTTTTGAGATGGAGTCTCGCTCTGTCACCCAGGCTAGAATGCAGTGGCGCGATCTCAGCTCACTGCAAGCTCCACCTCCTGGGTTCACGCCATTCTCCTGCTTCAGCCTCCTGAGTAGCTGGGACTACAGGCGCCTGCCAGCACGTCTGGCTAATTTTTTGTATTTTTAGTAGAGGCAGGGATTCACCGTGTTAGCCAGGATGGTCTCAATCTCCTGACCTCATGATCCGCCCGCCTCGGCCTCCCAAAGTCCTGGGATTACAGGCGTGAGCCACTGCGCCCAGCCTCCTTCCAATTTATTTTTAAGAATCATCATAATCAGATTGCACATGGTCGCTCACATCTGTAATCCCAGCACTTTGAGAGGCCGAGGCAGGAGGATTGCTTGAGGCCAGGGGTTCAAGACCAGCCTGGGCAACATAATAAGACCACATCTCTAACAAATAATAAGAAATAAAATAATAAAACATTTAAAAAGAAAAGGATCATCACAATCAATATAAGTGTAACTCCACACATTACTACAATGTGACTAACAGAGTTCTGAGTATTTATCTAGCTGAAAAGAGCTTAAAGTTATAAACATTTGGGTCCAAATGAGTAACAAAGGAATTTAAGCAAGTTCTCTGCTCTAATGAAGCCAGTAAATGGCATCATTGGAAGTAAGTATAAAATTGGACTCGCTCTCAGTTATTCTAGCAAAGTATCCTGCAAGGCATATATAATGTTTTTGATCATTTAGAAAATGAATTTAGAAAAATGAGTCAGATATATAAATAATGTTTTTAAATCAGTCTCTCAGTGTTGAGATAAGAGAAAGACAATCCATAAATCAAACAGATTTTGATATGTACTTCATTCAGTGATAGCTGTGTTTTAGGAGCAGAGAATCTTAAAAGAATACTACTATTATTTTCATTATATATGCCCTAGACTAGAGTATATTTTTAAAGAATGGAAATGCAAAGAGAAAGTCAGAAGACAGACTAGCTGTAGAACCATAATTCCATGAAGAATAGTTATTACTCTTTTGACTTGTGGCTAATTAAGTGAGCAAAATGTGGCATGTAAAATGCGTTCACAGACAGTTTCCATGAAAAGTCAACCGGTTTTCATGTGTGTTCTCAAACTATTTCACGAAATGAAGATTTCTATTGTAGTTGTCATTTCTATGCCTAAACTTTTGTGGGCAAATTAATAAAAGCTGTAAAGGAAGGTAAGAAACCATACTTGCATAGAAGCTCACTAGCACCTTAGCTTTTCTTCACATTCTCTTTTTCATAGAAAGATTTGTGTTTTCTGAGATTCGGTGGGACAAACTCCTAACTGTAAGGAGAGACAGACTGAGTGATAAAGCCCAAATAAAGAGTTAATAAGGAGGCTTGCACCAGGTAGCTATCAAGGCATAAATAAAGAGAAAAAAAGAATTTATTAAAAATGTAAGCAATGATGAAGAAATTTGAAAAATAAAATATAACCCAAATAAACAAATGTCTACATTCATTATTGAATTTTCTATCAACACCTTTTCCAACTCCTAATAATTATGTGGGTTCACAGATATAATTTTGATTTGAAGGAAGGCAAACTACCACAAATTGTCAAGAAAATTTCCAAAGGATCCTAAAAAAGCAAAATATTATCTTTTTTATTTTCAGTAACTGCTAGTCAAAGATAAGAAAGAGCCTTAAAACAGACGAGCTGTCTACAAAAATACAACTTTAATTGTGATGATTATTTCATAATAAATAAGTTTAACAGTAAATTGATTTTCTTTGTCTTCTTAAAGGTTATTAATTAGCTAGCAGAAAGTTCAGCATTCTTTACTTCACATTTCAGTTGTTAAGAAAAAAAGTTAAGGCAAAATAGGCAAAGGCATATTCTTATTTTGGAGAGGAAAAAAACCTTCAAATTTAGTCGTGAGCTACTTAGTGAATTTTTTTCCTATGCTGAGCACCTCCTAATTTAAATATTAAAATAGCAATTGAGATCTGCAACTGTTAATCTCCAACCTCTTCTCAATTTTCACCACATATGAGTTTTAATTTCCCTTAATTTTTAACAAGCAAACAATTTCTTTTCTCCATGTCATGTTGAGTCAGTGTCTAATCCAGTAATCCCCCTTGTACTGCTAAATCATTTTTGAAATGAGAACTGAATACTTTTTTAATTACTTATGCCAGAAGTAATTTGAATAATTTCCTTCTAAAACACATGGTAAGTCCACATAATTAGTTTGTAATTTGTATTTGTTAAATACAGTCAGGATGGTCCTACAAATTCATTTCTGGCATTCTCATCATATGACCTAGAAATACAAACCAAAAATATATCATTATAGCTTAGAAATTCAAAAATAAAAAATTTTAAGATGAAATTATTGATAAAGCAGAACACTGACATTTAGTTGTACATGTGTATGGCTTACAATGAGTTCTCTTATATTTCCTCCAAAGAATCCTCTCAAGAATCTGGCCTAAGAACACTATCCACAAATAACTTTAAAAGTTTGTCACCACTGGGAGAATTATAGACTTGATCTTAATTATTTTTGTCTAAGAATAGAACAATAAAAGGGAGATAAAAAATAAGAATGGGAGGGATTGTTTCAGGAAAATGGCTGTAGGGATGCTAATGATGGGCATGACAGAATGTCATCAAATGCATCATCCAGTTTGAAAGGAACAGAGATATAAATGTCTTACCCCAGCCTATCAAGATGAAGCCCCACAGGTATTTGGTGTCCGAAAAGAAAGCCACAAAGATGAGATTATGCAGGTAGAGACCTTCCACCAGGATCCAATAATAATTTGTAGCCAGGAAGTAAATAAACATCACAACAGCAATCTTGCACCCGATCTATTACAAATAAACCAGAATTTCATCATATTAGAACACTTTGTTGTACTGGATGCCAACATTAGACCACTAAAAAACAAGTCTTCAGTTTCTTTTTCAGGCTAATATGTCTCCTTTACACAGTAAAGTCAAAACTGTTGAGAGGCCAAAACAGTTATTTTAATGCATCATTTTTCAAGACTATGAACTTGATTCTATTTTTAAAATAAGTTTTTTCTTTAAGAAGTTACCAAAAAAATCACCTTTTCTCAATTTTTTCACTTTATAAAAATAATACACGACCATCACAGAAAATTAGGAACATATAGAAAAGTATAAAGAAGAAAATGTTACCCATATTTTTAGCTTGAATTTATTTTATTTTGGTCTTTTATGCAGCTATTGCTGCAAAACAAGCTGCCCCCAAAGTTAGTGACTTATAACAATAAACATTTAACATATCTTAGAAATCTGTGGATGGGCTGGGTAGTTCGGCTGATCTGGGCTAGGCTTGTCTCGGCTAGGCTCACTGAGTAGAGGTCTACTCTCAACTGCTACACTATTGCGTCCACTTCCTTCTGTTGGGGAAAGCAAGTCTCAGTGCCAGCCCAGAATCAGAATCAGCAGGGACTATAAAGTTACAGGGCAAAGGCACAGATCCAGACAGGGTATTAATTCACACCATCAAGACAATCAATCTACTATACCTAATTTCAGATATATTGCTTCAATGATCTAATTGAGTGAATTATTGGATCAATCTATTTACTACCACCAGGACATTCAAGAGCAGAATCAAGTAACATAAAATTTTATATTGGAACAAGTCTTCGAGTACTCAATAAAGGGACTAAATATCATGGGCTTTTAAATTGCAAGCTTCTGGTTTTGCTGATGGGATTTTTACTTTCGAAAGTGGTGAGCCCCATGACAGTTGCTGTGGTGCCTATGCCAAATACCATTCCAATCTTGTGCATTTTGCAGTTTCCATTCCAGAATATTCTTGAGGAAAAAACCCAAGAACTTTTAATAAAATGATTGATTAGACATGAAAGGACAGAATTGAGGGAGAAAACATCACTATACAAATTGATAATCCATTTTAGTTAGTTCAGAGATAAGTAAAAGCAAGTTAACATGTTTAGTGGACTGTAAAATTGTACTTATTTGTAGTGTTATACAAATTAGTAATGAGAGAAAATGGTGAAAACACTTACATATTGTGATTTGTCCACAGAAGTTGCCTCAATGGAATTTTGTGGGTCATCCTGCATTATTAGGGACTCCAGCTCCTTTACTCCTATGTGAGCATGGACTACTCTGTCTTTGACAAAGATGCTTGTAGCTCTCAGCATGAAAGACACAAATAAGTGCATGTGGATATAGTTCCTAGTGCAATGCAATCGTCTACGGAGAGAAATATTCAGTATTTAAATTTGGATAAAATTAAAAATGGGGGAAACACCCAGTGCGACTGCTGCCACCACCAACCAGCCTGCTCCCCTCCAGCAGGGACTGGTTCGAGACTCCACACAAATTCCAAAATCTGCAGATACTCAAGTCCTTTATATGATATAGTGCAGTATTTGCACATAACCTATGTACATCATCTTGTTACTTTAAATCATCCCTAGATTACTTATAATACCAAATACAATGTGAATGCTATGTAAATAGATGTTATACTGTATTGTTTAGAGAAAAATGACCCAAAAAATAAGTATGTAAATGTTCAGTATGAACACAACCAAACTTTTTTTTCTGAGTATTTTCCATCCACAGTCTGTTGAATCTGGGGATGTGAAATCCCAGTATATGAAGGGTGACTGAATTGGTGCTCAAAATTTTGTAATGATTTCGATTAAGTTGAATGGAATTGGACACATGTTAAAGTGGATAAAAAATAAACCATAACAAAAGCAATAAATACTATTTCTTTATGTGCTGGTATCCAATAATTTGGGAGATTATTTAAGATGAATTTTTGTCCAATAGCACCAAAATCTCTCGGGAACTCATTCAATTCGATGCTGTCTTACTTTGCAACAAATATACTTCAGTACATACTTATTGGGTTAAAGGTTTCATACTACTTTGATACTTTAAGTTTTTAAACAAAGAACCCTGAATTTGTCATGAAAAATTAATTGTCAAATAACATAATAACATTAGGCTGAATTCAAAAACTTGCATTTGAGGAAAACATTTGGAAAATATTGTGAGACCGCTATGTCTTCTCTGGATAGGAAAGACAATGTGCCCCTTCATGGAAAAAGTGATGGGCATCACTCACCTGAAGTAACCAATGATGAGAATAGCCACAGCCAAGGAACCAAAAGAGATGGAGTAGCCAACGGTATACATTACATAGAGGCGTTCAAAGAATTCTTGCTGCAAGGGAAGAGATGCTCATGTATGATATGGGACTATTTTACCAATAAACTGGCAAAGAAATAGTATGTCATTTTTGGAATCTTATTTCTAATTCTCTTTAACTTTTTTAAGCTGTAATTTGCATGCAATAAAATGTAGAGATCTGGAGTGAGCATTTTGATAGGTTTTGACAAACCAAGTTCATTTGTGCCCCTTGCTAGTCAAAAAAACACCCACTATCCACCCCCAGGAAATCACTGTTCCAATATCTGTCACCACAAATTAGCTTTCTCTGTTCACATACTTCATATACCTCTTGACTATTCTTAGACTTCTTAGGATTACATGTTACAGTATATACTTTTTTATCAACATACTGTTTTTTATATTCATCGATATCGTTACATGTATAAATAGTTCATTCCTTTTCAATTATTTTGTTTTAAAATAATTATAGATTCAAAAGAAGTAGAAAATAGTGTAAGAAAAGCCCCAGGTTCCCTTCACCCAGTATTCTCCAAAGCTTACATCTTATGTAATTTTACTAAAATATCAAAACCAGAAATTTAATATTGATGCGACACGCATATTTATAGTTCTATGTCATTTGATCATATGTACATTTTTGTAACCATTACTGTAATCAAGTACAGAACTATTTCACCAACACAAAGTTCTCCTTGTTCTGTCCCTTACGGTGACACCTCCTCCTCTCCACCATGCCAAACACCTGGCAACCATTAATCTGTTTTCTGTCTCTATAATTTTGTCATTTCATAAATGTCATATAAGTAGAATTATACAGTATGGGATCTTTTAAGATTGGACAATGGTGTAGAAATGTGATTGGACAAAAAGGATGTAATCTAATACTAATAGACTAAATGGGGAAACTCAACAAGCGTTTTCCATGTTTCAATCAGGCTAATCCAATGAAGCCTCCATAAAAGGGCCAAGAAAATGGGATATAAAGAGCTGCTAGACAGCTGAATTTACGGAGGCTTGCAGGAAGGTGAACCAGAACTCATCCATTTACCAGAAGGGTGGTGCACCCCAACTCCACCGGAACAGAAGCTCCTGCACTTCAGACTCTTCCAGACTTCGCCCTATATGTCTCTTCACCTGGCTGTTTATTTGTATCCTTTAAAATATCCTTTATAATAATATATAGGAAACGTAAGTGTTTCTCTGAGTTATGTGAGCTGTTCTAGCAATTAATCAAGCCTAAAGAGGGGTTCGTGGGAACCCCAACTTGAAGGTGGTTACTCAGAAGTTCAGGGGCCTGGTCTTGCAATTGGCTGCTGCCTTGTGCTCACTGGGAACTATGCATCTCTAGGGGATTTGTCTCAGCTTCCCTGCCCTTCTCCTGGCCTGTGGGCTGCATCAGTCATGCAGTTAGTGAGGGCCCCCTGTGCCTCAAGGGATGCCTCTCAGCTCCTCTGTCCTGATCCATGCCTTCAGCCAACTGCTGCCTTTCACTCTGTGAGAGCCCTGTGCACATCTCAAGGAATTTCTCTGAGCCCTCTGCCTGCCCCAGCCTTTGGCATACTTCCCCCATGCACTCGGTGAAGACCTCACGGCAAAGAATTGCCTGGTGGATTATAGCTTACTAAGACTAGGGCTTACTCCTTGGGATTCTAACTCTTTATGCTAGCCCTTGTCTGCTATTGGTATAAAAGCTTGTCTCTTTTCTCTTTGTCCCCTTCAATAGCCTGTTTTCTCCCCTTCTACTGTGGTCCTAGGGATACACGCAGCCATGGGTCTCTTCTCTCATAGGAAGGGCTTGCCCATTTCTGGAATTTAGTTCATTTAGATTTCTTGGCATCCTCAACTCATGTTTACAAATTATTAATTTTGCATCTAAGCCAACTTATTGTTGCGACTGCCTACAATCTGACTGGAAGCAGGAAGACTTTGCCTCTTGTTTCTTTTAAAAAAAATATTAATTACTTATTATTTTCTCTTAATAAAATAGTAAAACTTTTCATAGAAAATATTTGAATAATGTGTAAAACATAAAAGAGAGGAGAAAAAAAATCTTACAAATTCTAACCAATCAGAAAGAAACACTGTTAGTACTTCATGTACTTCACATATTTCTTGAAGTTGTTATTGTTATGACTTTAAGAGATGGCATCTCCCTATGTTGCCCAGGCTGATCTTGAACTCCCACCCCAGCCTCCCAAGTAGCTGCAACTACAGACACAGGCCACTATGCCCAGCTAGTACTTCATCTATTTCATTTCATTCTATTTCTGTGAAGCATTGCCTATTATTTTAAGCATCTGCATTCTCAATTTATATACAAGTTTATTCCTGAATTTTTTGTGTGACAAAATAATTGCCCAAGGCTGCAAACTCTTTATAAAATTTATATGCATATATTTGCGCTTATTTAACCAGTTCTTCATTAGAAATTTAAACTCGTTGAAACATTCATTATAATTATTTGTTCAATGAACATTTTTTCCATTCAGTTCCCCCATTCTAAATCCTTATGCTTGATTTTAGAAGTAAATTTATAAGATCAAAAAATATTATTCCTTTGAAGTTTTTAAATATATACTGCTAAATGGCTTTCCAAAAGTACATCTAGCCTTTGGATAGGAGATGTATTATATGGTAGTTTCTACAGTATGCTACTGTTTTAAATATCACACTCTAAAAAATTTAATAATCTTGTGACATCATTAGAATTCCTTCCCTTTTTTTAACTAAAATAATTACCTCATTTTGCCAAGCCAATTATATAAAAATTTAGAGAAAAAAATAGTGCTCAAAAATATCTTATTTTCCTGATAAAAATGTGGCATTTATTCTAAATTTACACTTTTTTAGTTTTTTGCCTTTCCTTCCTTATAAAAAAATTTTATTAACTATTAATAATTTATATCTCACAAATAAGTAATATCATTTTGCCCTACTGTGTGTCAAACCTTCAGGAGATATCTAGTTTTCTTATTAGACATATTTTGTTTTCTTGGGTTTTTCCAAATTATTACTTAAAGGTTGCAAACAATAGAAAACATTTTTTGTGTTTTTAATTAAGGAGATTAAATTATACTAACACAATTCTTCAAATTTTCTATTAACTTTTAAATCATTTTACATAAACTAGTATATATATTGAGTACATCAACCATCTTTAGTTATTTTTATTCTTAAAATACACAGTAATCACAGAAAATGGTTATAAGATTAGAGTTCAATATAAATAAAACCATGATTTAATTTAATGGCCATTAACAGCTCTGAAAGGTTTGCATTTTTCATCATGTAATGCAAAAATGAAGATAATCACAGAGTACACTAAGTATCAGTGAATGTTTGTTTCTATCAATGAGACTGAAATTCTTTTGAAGCATTTTAGCTTAACTGAATGTTGATGTTACTTATGTTAGTTCCATTGTAGAGTACCTAACAATCTCCTCATATTGACTTATTTTATCTAAGAAGCTTTTCAACAATTAAACAGATAACTGAAAGTCTTTCTGCCAATTCCTAAAGAACTCATTAAGGAAGAAAGTTAAGACAGGAAGTTCTATTAATGCAAAATCAAAGAAACCTTCAACTCACTACTTCTCTTGCTGCTGTTCTCCCCCCACCTCCCCAAAACATCACCAGACATAAAGAAATATGTCAAAAATTCGAAGAGTTTATGTGTGATGGACTATTCTCAGGGTTTTCATAAAGCTAATTTATCACATTAACTCTTAGCATCATATGCATATATCATCATGCATTTTTACTCACGAGGTCTAAGTGATATAAATTTAAACATGACTTTTAAACCAACTTTTATAACTTAAAAGCAACTCTCTAGAATATCCCAAAGTTTATATATGATTTCTATATTGGAAACAGCACTGATGTGAAATTGGGACATAAGGGCTCTACATTAAACCCTCTTGCCACTGAGCTATGTCACTTTGACCAACACCTAATCTCGGGTTCTCAGTTGACTCACATCTCTGAAATTAATATATTGTGCTGGAAGATTTATATGATGCCCCTTGCTCCCCTTTAATCCTAAAACTCTAATCTTTTATACGCTAATGAGATCATCTATTGGTAAATCTTATGAGGTGGAAAATACACCTCTAAAATGCAAAGGTCCTTCTGGAATATACAGATGAGATGTAGCCATTCATAGGTAACTAAGAAGAAATCATGAATCATGTTACTAACCACCTATTGGGATTTTTATTCATAATATAGCATAATATAATGCAAGTAAACAATGTAATCTAACATAATAAACATAACACACACACAGGTATAAGTATGGATGTATGTATCTCAGCCAGGTAGCTCTAGGCTATAGAAAATACCAGAATGATTGATATGCATCTGAAAAGATTGCAACATTGCTTTTATCTTTTATGATCCTTGTGTCGTGGAATAAGAGGGTTTTTATACATAATGGCTGGCAATTGAGAATTGCATTAAAATATTATTCTGCTTTCCCTTAGGAATTCACAAATAGAGAAATTCCATTACCTTTCCTATGCTGATATCTGGCTGCAGAAAGCGAAGGCAGTCTGAATAATTGGCCCATGTTTTATTTAAGCTGTGCATAAAATCCCATGTTCCATTGGGGTTACAGTGTCGGAAAGCAACTCCTGTAAAGACATGAAAGATGCTGAGATCGCTCAGTTCCCTTAGAATCTATTATCAAGAAAATGGACAAGTAAATGTTTGTTTTAAATTAATCATTTTAGAAAAATTCAATACCTTTATGGTTGAAGTCATAAATATAAGGAGGGCATGGAACAGCCGATATTTTCCCCACTGTTCCTCTGGGCCAACAAATGAGTCCATCCCATTCAGGGAAACAATTACCTTCTAATGAGAAAAAAAAATTAAAGCAAATAAACAAAGAAAAATGTAGTTAGAACCAGAGAACAAATGCATTCAAAAAACAAAATTTTAGGTCATTGTCTGTAGCAAAATTAAAACAAATTGGTAGTTTTTGAAACTAGATAGAATAGATATGATGCAAATGTCCCAAAATTCATCTGTGTGCTTCATCAAAGGCTCATTCATAGGAACATTTGCTTTGCATACATCAAAAATATTCAAATTATTCCAGCATACTAGTTATGGTAGCTATAGCAATTAATTTATAAGAAACATTGGAAATCATTGTGAACCACTTCTGTGACAAAGTTTTTCTGACCACCAAAGTTGTAACTACATTTTTACACTAGATTCTTGAAAACTGTTTTTAAAGATCATAACACCTGAAGCAGCGCACTTCACTGGCAAGCCGCAAGACTCAGGTTTATCTTTTTACCAGTACTTCTCCTTGAGTCTAACATTCATCTCAAACAACATTCTCATGAACTCTACTCTTCTCAAGATGAATCCAGAACTTCATCACTTCTCACAACATCTACTGTCACCACGATAGTCCAAGTCACTTCATCTCCAACCTGAATGAGTGCAACAGTCTATGACTGGCGCTCCTGATTCCAACATTTCTTTCTGCAGGACAGTTCTCTGGGTGGCATTGGATGAACCCAATTCTCTCTGTCCCTTTTTTTTGTAGTTCTCAAGAATAACTATAGAATGTGCTGGGAATGCAACATACTGAGATAAGGGGTGAGGAACTGCCTGGAACAGTCCAGACTCAGTTCCAAGCCCTCCCAGAAACAGGATGTCTCCAGACATTAGCCCAGTGCACTCTGTGTTCCCTGAGGTATGTAATCAGGGTTGGGCTGTTTTATGGGGTCCCTCTGCTGTGGTGCACGCAGGTCATGAGCAGTTGAGATTCTATCCAGCCCAGGCAGCTTTCCCGAACCGTGGGGCACCAGTTCCCAATGACTCCTAGGCTTCTGTTGTTCCTTGCTGCCTACCTGTGAGTAATAAACCCGTTTCATGTAACTCATGTGCTGGGTATTCTGCCTCACTGGACTCAGACAAGTTGGTAACTAGTGCACAGTAAACCTGCTTCACACTTTCTTTCCTTTATTTTTGACACAATAGCCCCAAATCCTCCAACAGCTCCAACAGGCATTATCAAAACATAAGTTTTTATAATGCCTGAAGTGCCCATAGGGTCTGCCCTCTCACTCAGACAGACTTATTCCCTTACCTCCTTCATATTTTCACTCAAATGTCAACTTCTGAGTAAACACGCTTATCTAAAATTGCATCCCAAAATCTTCCTTATACCTTTTCCTGCTGTATTTTTCACCTGAGTTCTCATCACCTTCCAATATTGGGTGTTATTTTATTATTATATTCCTAAGTCACAGGATTTAAGAAACTTGAGATTTTTGCCTGTTTTGTCTCAAGCTTTAGCCACATTCCGGGAATGCACCTGGCACTTGGTGGAGGATTAACAAATATTCAGTGTCAACTCTCTGTGCTCTTGCAGGACTCCTTTCGATTAGTGATGAACTGAACTTCCAAGAAGACAGCCTGTCAGCCAAATTATACCCCAACTTCTCAAAAATAGATACCTTCAGTGACTGCTGTATTAGTTTTCCATTGCTACTGTAACAGATTACCACAAACTTCACAGCTTAAAATAACAGAAATTTGTTTTTTCTCTATTTCTGTAGGTCAACAGTCTGCTGGACTCAGCTGTTTCTCTCCTTGTAGACCCGTGAGGCCAAAATCAAGGGCTGGGCAGGGCTGCATTCCTCTCTGGAGGCTCTGAGGGAGGATCTGTCTCCTTGTTCACTTGGGTGGTTGGGAGAATTCAGCTCCTTGCAGACATAGAACCAAGGTCCCCATTTCTTTGCTGACAGCTGTCAGCTGAGAGCTGTTCCCAACTTCCAGAAGCTGCTTGGCCCCCTTCTTCCATCTTCGAAGTCAGCAAGGCAGGTTGAGTCCTTCTCACATGTTTAATCTCTCCTCCTCTCTCATTTTCTGCTTCAACTCTGATTCTTTTGCCTTCCTCTTCCACTTTAAAGGGCCCGTATGATCACATGGAACCCACTCAGACAATCCAGAATAAGCTCCCTCATTTTAAGGTCCATAACCTTAATTCCATCTGCAAAGTCCCTTCTGCCATGTGACACAGCATACACAGGCACAACAGCAGGTATTAGGGCATGGACATCCTTGGAGGGCCATCATTCTGCCACCACAAGTACTACCCATTATAGCTCTCTCAATTTTTTAGTTACCAGTTACACTAACTGTGCTGAGGATTTTTGTTCTGGCTAATGTTCATTTTGTCAAGTTGTTTGCTTAGTTTTGAACAGTCAGCATAACAGAACCTTACAGAGACACTGATCTCTACAGAAAAATAAATTCAGTTATGAACCTGAAATTAACTTCTTAGCATCCACCATATCACACAGAAACAAATACTTGATTTGCTTTGTGCATTGCCGAAGCAATAAGAAAAGAAAATGTCTTTCCAAAAACATTTTTCTTAGAAAAAGCCTTGCTTTGCTCACATAATAAAAGCCCGAGCTTTACATATCACAGGCAAGGCAGGAGCCCATCCCACTGGCTCCTGCTTCTGGTGCACAGCTCCACCTGCCTCTCTTTCCACCATTATCTGCTTTGTTGTTTGTATGTTTTCCTTTTCATTTATACAGAATGTAATGACTCCACCTCTCCCAACAACTTTGCCCTCAACAGTATATCTTGATATCTTTCAATTCACCTTTTCATTAACAAGCCACATGTCTTTATATATCTGAACTGTCCAGTCGATATGTGCCCAGTATCTATTGTGTAATTACATAAATTGGACCTGGACACACATTCTTATTTCTCGGTAATTAGATATCCCTCCAAAATGTATGCTGCAATGTCATATGCTATTTTCTAGCAAAAGCCAATGGCCAGTTTATTCTATAATTATATAGTTTTAAAACTGCTATGGAAATTTTTTTTCCTCATGCTCTAAAAGGGACAGCTTTCTCGTTCCCTGCAAGATACTGCTTCACACATGCTGCCCAATTTTTAGAAAACTGACACTCTCCCAAAATATTTCTGTAGATCATGCTTATTTTTTTGGTTGCTCTTTGACAAAGAGAATAGTAAATGTTCACAAAAGGTTGAAAAAATTGAAGAAGCCATGAATCTCACATAGAAAATAGAGATTTTTTTTTTTTTGAGACAGAGTCTCACTCTGGAGTTAGTGGCACCATCTCAGCTCACTGCAACCTCCGCCTCCCGAGTTCAAGCAGTTTTCCTGTTCATCCTCCCAAGTAGCTGGGACTACAGGCACCCGCCACCACACCCAGCTAATTTTTGTATTTTTAGTAGAGATAGGGTTTCACCATATTGGTCAGGCTGGTCTTGAACTCCTGACCTCAGGTGATCCACCCGCCTCAGCCTCCCAAAGTGTTGGGATTACAGGCACGAGCCACTGCGCCTGGCCAAAAATAGAGGTCTTAACTAGCATTCTCTCCTTGATCAGATTGCCATCCAATGTGAGTAAATACTTTCATTATTTGGCAAGGACCTAATTAATTGACTAATGGCTCCCCATCTCTCTTTATAAATTAGCACCATTAATTATAACTCTGTAATTATTTTTGTGTGCCAGGACAAACTAATTATGAGTGAAGCTTGTCAAACCATGACATTTACACAGAACAATCTAAAATTTGGAGAACGTTTTTCTCTTTTCAAACGAAATGTGACCACACTTGAAATAATAATATTTTGGATCAATAATATTTTGGTCTGTGTTTTTTAAGTACTTGAATAGTTTTAGAGCTGAATATTTGCATTTATATATCCTTTTCTCTCTTTCATAAACATTAGGAAAACTTTTATGTTCTTATGTTCTTTTATTTAAAAAATCTTTCTTAAATAAAACAGAAAATCATATACTCACAAACTAGAATTGACAGCTGCTAATATTTTGCAATAGTTAATCTAATTTATTTTTTGCTACAGATTTCTAAAGTATAGACAGTCTGACAGCTCACTCCTAAATATTTTGATATGCATCTCTTGATTTTAGAAGAATGTAAAAATGGAAATTCCTTAAATTAGCTAGTGAATTCAAAATGTCATTCCAGTGTTTTACAATTTTAAAGTAAAGAGCACTTGAGTCAATTTATATATAATTAGACATTTTAATTGAAAGGTAAACCAAAGTTTGACCACATTTAATTCTGTCTTATTTGCATAGAAAAAGATCTCCATGCAAATAACGATCTCGAAGGAAGTGTTTTTTCTCTTTCAGTATTTATTTATCTACATGCTTCACATCATCCACATCTTCACAAATTTTAGATGTGACCTAAGTTTACTACCAGTTAATTTATTCTTTTATGTATAATTCATATGGTGTGTGACTGGTGCACACTTGCTTATCTTGACCCATCCTATTTCCTCTTTTGAAATGTCTTTGTGATGATTAATATTAGGGTCAACTTGATTGGATTGAAAGATGCCTAGATAGTTGGCAAAGTACTGTTTCTGGGTGTCTCTGTGAGGGTGGTGCCAGAGGAGACTGACATTTGAGTTAGTGGACTGGGAGAGAAAGTTAGTGGACCCTCATTGAGGGTGGGCACCCTCCAGTTGGCTAGAACAAAGCAGGGGGAAGAAGGTGGGATAAGCTGGCTTGCTGAGTTTTCATCTTTCCCCTGTGCTGGATGCTTCCATCCATTTATCCTATCCTTGGACATCAGACTCCAGGTTCTTCGGCCTTTGGACTCTTGGACTTACACCAGTGGTTTGCTGGGGGCTCTCAGGTATTTGGCCATGGACTGAAGGCTTCCCTGTTTTTGAGGCTCTTGGACTTAACTGAGCCACTATTGTCTTCTTTCTTCCCCAGCTTGCAGATGGCCTATCATGGGACTTCACCCTGTGATCATGTGAGCCAATTCTTTCTAATAAACTCCCTTTCACATATACTTATATCCTATTAGTTCTGTTCCTCTGGAGAACTTTGACTAATACAGTCTTACTTTCCTCTCATCACATCTAATTCCTACTTCTTTACTTTTAAGATGAGATAATTATTCTTCCAGGAAGCCTTCCCTGATTAATTAAGATTCATCTTCAGTGGTTCTATAGTTGTTAAAACACCTCTGTTGTTAAAATTATACACCATCCTGAAAGATGCCTGCCGTCCCTATTAAGCCATTAACCCCACAGGGAAAAGGCAGAAACTTATTCATACTTTTTAGAGCTTACTCTGGGCACATAATAATATTTGTTGAACTGTTAAAGGGACACTGACGATGATAATGTTGGCCTAGGTGATCTCTGAAATACCTTCTAGCTCAACAGTTTATAAGATTTCACAGAAAACAGCTTATCAGCCATCACAGATAATAATGCTTTCAAATTTTTTCATGATGATGTATCTCTTTGTTAGTAGATTTCCATATCTAAGATATTAGGATCAGCATTCTTTAGAAGTTGCACGAGTGATTCCCTTTTCAGACACTATTAGACTAGCCATTCAGAAAGCTTCCTCTTAGTACAAGATACCTACAAAGGCTATATTAATGTAAAAGCCTTCTTTCTTTAAATATGGCTTAGCTGGCTGTAAAGTAAAGGAATAAATTGTAGGCCAGAAATATAGGAGCAGCAAGCTCTACATTTGGGGTTTACCTTAGAGGCTTCTATTGACCTGTTTACTTAGAGTTTTGGTGGTGTTCAGGTAACAAAAGAAGAGCCTGAGGCCTGATGGGGTGGAGAAATTGAACAGGAAACCCCTCTAGAAAGTCAGTATCCCCAAAAGATGATACTTCTCCCACTAAGTGGGTGGGCAAGAAATAAAACCATCCTTCAGAAAGAGATTGGTTTGTGTCATTCTTGGCTACATTTGGAGTTGGAATAGAAAACAGTGGAGGGGAAATTCTTCTCTAAACATTTCTAACCACAAGCCTATATTTATGTGTGATCTAAATTTAGTTTAAATTGGACTTAGGTCAATAATTCATCTAGGCACCTTGCAGTTGCAAACACAAATTTTCTCTAAAGAAATGTTCTTTAAACAAGAACCTCATGAGTTGCTCATCACAAATCATTAGACACACAAGGAAATAAGCCACCATGTGTGGTGGTCAGCATTGACCAGCAGTCTATAGATATTACAATTATCATATGCAGCATATAAAGCATGTCTAGGAAAAAAAGAAGAGATTTGAAAGAATATTGAAGGAGCAAGAGACTATCAAAATTGAATACGAAGACTTCAGAAAATAAAAATATAATCAAAATTTACTAATGGATGGATTGAACAGTTGTTAGACAAAGCTGAACAAAGAGCTGGCAAACTGGAAAATATATATGAAGAAATTACCAAAATAGCAGTAAAGAAACAAAGAAAAGGAAAATACATAAGACATCGACACACAAAGAGTAGTATGAGTAGGTCCCATATTTGTCTTCTTAAAGTTCCAGAAGGAGATGAGAGAATAAAGGGGAGCAAAATTTCAGAGGCAAAATAACTAAAACATTCCAATCACCGAATAAAGATACAGATGTACAGATTCAGGAAATCCAATGAATCTATACCTAGATACAGAGTGAAACTGCAGAATATCAATGTTAAAGAGTTCTTAAAGAGAGCCAGACAGAGGCCGGGCATGCTGGCTCACACCTGCAATCCCAGCACTTTGGGAGGCAGAGGCAGGCAGATCACGAGGTCGGGAGATTGAGACCATCCTGGCTAACATGGTGAAACCCCGTCTCTACTAAAAAAATACAAAAAACAAAAAATACAAAAAAATTAGCCGGATGTGGTGGCAGGCACCTGTAGTCCCAGCTACTCGGAAGGCTGAGGCAGGAGAATGGTGTGAACCCGGGAGGCGGAGCTTGCAGTGAGCCAAGATCATGCCACTGCACTCCAGCCTGGGTGACAGAGCGAGACTCCGTCTCAAAAAAAAAAAAAAAAAAGAAGCCAGACAGAAAAAGCTAATCACCAACAAAGGCTGAGAATTGATTTGTCAGTAATAACAATGGAAGCTAGAAAAAAAAAAAATGGTATCTTTAGGTGATAGAAGTAAATAATTTTTAGCCAAGGATCATATGTCCAGAAAAAGTATCTTTCAAGGTTGACACCAAAATAAAGACATTTTCCAACAGACAAAAACTGAGATCACTATAAACATATTCTAACATAAAGATTCAAAAATATATAAATAAAGGACATTTTATTCAAAGAAGAAAAATTATAATAACATAAAATTAAGGTAGAACTAAAGAGCATATAATTTGGAAGCAATTAAAGTATCTCAAATTGTGTTTATTATTTGGAAAAAGGAAGAGAATGATAAACTTTAAACTTTCTGAAATTAAATATATGTGAAAAATTTCTAGGATAACCACTAAAGGAATTAAATATAATACATATCTTCCATACTAGTTGGCGGTGGCAGGGGATGGAATAAAATGAGAAAAATGTCTCAATCAATCCAAAAGAGAGTTGGAACTGGGGAAGTGGAAGGGCAGAGGAAGAGCTGGTGAAACAGACAGCCCACATGAGATTTTAGAATTAAACTCAAATACTGTATATTAGTAACTACAATTAATGTAGTTGAGCTAAATTCTTCAGTTAATAGACAAAGATTATCAGAATGGATAATGAGAAAAACTCTATGTGTGTCCTGTTTGTAAAAGATACTCCTGAAATGTAAATATACAGAAAAGTTTAATAAAAGAATGAGGAAATATGAGTTGTTATTTAATGGGTACAGAGTGTCAATTTAGATGGAAAATTTCTGGAGACTGATTGCACAACAATGCGAATATACTTAACACTATTGAGCAGTACAATGAAAAAAATTTTAATGGTAAATTTAATGCTATGTATATTTTATCACAATTAAAACATTTTTAAAGGATTGGAAAAGATATACAAGGCAGATACTAACCAAGAAAGAAGGAAACTAGTGTTTTAAATTTTTTTAAATATAGTAATTTTAAATTGTACATATTTTTTAAATATGAAGGACAAGTATCCTAGAGATAAAGAGGGCTACTGTATATCTACAAAAGGTTTAATTCACCAGGAAATCTAATATTTCTAAACTTAAATAACCTCCTAACATATTTTCAAAATATATGAAGTAAAAATATCCAGTGAATTTTTCAATGAAAAGTTGAAATATTCATCATCATAGTAGCATATTTTAAGATATATATATCTCAGAAAATAATAGGTCAAGCACATTTTAAAAATCATTATGGATGCAGAATATATGAACCACACAACTAACAAGCTTAATCTAGTGGACACTATAAAACATTGTACTCAGAAACTAGAGGGCATACATACCTTTGAAGACCACATGGAAAATTATCAAAATTGACAAAACTATAAGACATTAAGTCTCAACACTTTTTTTTTTTTTTTTTTGAGACAGAGAGTCGCTCTGTCACCCAGGCTGGAGTTCAATGGTGCGATCTCAGCTCACCGCAACCTCCACCTCCCGGGTTCAAGCGATTCTCCTGCCTCAGCCTCCTGAGTAGCTGGGATTACAGGCATGCGCCACCACGCCCAGCTAATTTTTGCATTTTTAGTAGAGATAGGGTTTCACCATGTTGGCCACGCTGGTCTGGAGCTCCCGACCTCAGGTGATCCGCCCACCTCGGCCTCCCAAAGTGCTGGGATTACAGGCGTGAGCCACCGTGCCCGGCTGTCCCAACACATTTTTAAAACTCAGTATCATGCAGACCACATTCTCTGATCATAAACAATTGAGAAATCAATCACAATTATTTGCTGGCATTTAGAGAAGTATGAAGTAGATTTTGAACTGCATATTTTATAATAGAGGCAATGTCCACAGGGACAGAGCCTACTCCTCCAAGCTTACTGCATGGTCGAGGGCAAATCAGTATGCATGCTCTCTACAGGCAGACAAACCCTGAAGAAAGGACTAAGGGATAGGCTGATGTGCACATGCCCAGTTGCTATTCTCAAACTCACTATCAGGCAAGTCACTTTTTCCACAGGGAAGGAAAAGCATGTAGGGTAGAGATGAAAAGAGTGTTGTTGTTCTGCTGCACACCCCTCCACATGGAAATGTGGATTGACTGATAAGGATCTCCCTAACACTAAAGAAGGAGGGAAATGTGCAATCTTTATAAGAACAGATAGGAGGCACAAGGAGAGCCAATTTTCTTGGCATCTTTACCTCCCTCCTGGAGTTGAGCTGTGATGTTGAGTTCACATTGTACTTTCGCTTTCAGCACAAGGACAATCTGCTCCTCTATAGTAATGGTGCCATCAGAATCCAGCTGTAGAAGTGAACAAAATACAAACATTTTCATCATGTTTTTTCAAGCCAGGATACAAGCTTTCATTATTTCACCTTCTAATCTAATTGAAAATGAGTTTGATATCAAGCTATTTGAAATAGTCCTTTATCTGAATCAAAATTCAAAATCCATCAATGTGTAAGGTTTTAGAACAATTTTACTTTTACCTGATTAGCCTTTTAAAAAATCTCATACCAGAAAAAGTGAGAAAATTTTAATATAGTTAGGTAATTATATTAGAGATAATAGACTACAAAAAAAAGAGATATTATACTAAGAAAAAATATTTAAAATAAAATAATTATATTAGAGATAATATACTACAAAAAATAAAAATAATATACAAAAATATATATAATTTCCTGCAATATTATAATTCCATCTAACATGATACAATTTATTTAGTACCAAGAGTGGTTGGTTCCAGAGGAACAGAACCTTAAAGAAGAAACCATCTGTATTTATCACCTATAGCTGTGTAACAAAACATCCCAAAATATTGTTGTGATTTAAAATAACAAACATTAATTTGTTTCACAGTTTGGGAGATGCGTAGCTGGGTATTATTTTCTAAGATATTTACAGCACAAAGAGAATCTCAGTGAATAGTCAGATATATAGTTTTGGAGATTTCTGGATTATATTCATAGCTCAATGCCCATATTTACTTTAACGATTTTTTTTTTAGAAAATGAGAGAATAAGCAAAAACTAATTTTGGGGGTTGAAATACATACCAGAATTTATCTATCAATATAATACAACATGGATTCTGAGTTATAAGTAGATACACTGAAAGTGAGCCTAAAATCTCACATATCAAAAAGAGCAAATGAACTGGATATACATGAGTCTCTGAGTGGGCATGGCAGGAAAAATTGACTCCTTCCCATTCGTTCTCTAGAAACAGTCAGGCACACCTGAAGTTTTTTGTTTTGTTTTGTTTTGGTTTTTTCCTGGCTGTTTTTTTCAGTTAAACCGTTACTTCCTTTTACTTCAATCCTAGAAAACATTGTATAAATTGTGACCAAATTTCAGAACTATACATTTGATTCAGAGAAATTTGACTTCAATTATCAAACGTGAATATTTCAAATCACCCCTTGTGCCATTTTTACTCGAAAATATTCTTTTTTATTTCTTCCTGTGTACACGCAGCCTTTTTATAGGGATAACCTTTTCAGGAAACCATGCATCTTATAAACTACAGCTTCTAAAGATATTTTGTTCTAAAACATCTGGTCAGTTTAGCCGGGAGCAAGTATGATCAGAATGTGCTAAATCACAATCTGTTAAATTGATCTTTAGTCATTGTATTAGTCCATTCTCACACTGCTATGAAGAAATACCCAAGACTGGGTAAGGAAAGAGACTTGATTGACTCACAGTTCCACATTGCTGGGGAAGACTCAAGAAACTTACAATCATGGCAGAGGGCAAAGGAGAAGGAGGCACCTTCTTCACTGGGCAGCAGGACGAAGCGAGTGCAAGCAGATGAAATGCCAGACATTTACAAAACCACAAGATCTCATGAGACTAACTCACTATCAGAACAGCATGGGGGAAACCGCCCCCATGATCTCATTACCTCCCCTGCTTCCACCCTTGACATGTGGGGATTATGGGGATTACAATTCAGGATGAGATTTTGGGTGGGGACACAGCCAAACCAAATCAGTCATTTCCAGTAAAAGCAAATAAGTACTTGTTTTTTATATTGCTTTCTTTTTATTCCTTTGTTGTAGATACAAGCACTGTTTAACATAGAATGACATTAAAATGATAGTGTACTTCAAACAGAAGAGCAGTTTACATTTTCAATGTCTAGTTCTCCAAAAGCAACAATTGCACCCAAAACAAAATGTTACATTTAGAAAAATAGATGTTAGTAATTTTTCCTGGACAAGTGATCATTTATGATTTGAAATAAAATGTTAAATTCCAATCTGTCACATATTTGATAGCTAAGAGAAGCCCTACTTTGGTAATTTGTACTTTATTAAAAGCCCCTAAAGTTATAAATATAGATACCAATTTTAATGTCAAGACATGAAAATCTTCATAATTAACCCAATATTCACATTTATTCAATTTTTAAGTAACCATAAATCCATAAGTTAGCTTAATTTAAGAGGTATTCTGGAACTTCCAGCATGATGGAGTTGATGTGCTTTCCCCAATTCCTCTCAGTAAATATAAACAAAAGCCCTACACATTACATATAAAATGAATATAACAATATTCTAAAAGGCAGAGAGAAGATAGCAGAGCAGGCTACAGATCCTGGAAGACAACATGGTGGTAAATTCCCTGGGTTTTCTTTCTCCCTCATACATCCCCAACTTGGAGTAAAAGAAGCTGGAAACTCTGGAATATCAATAGGCACAGGCAGAAAAATTTAAAAGTCTCAAGAGAAGCCTGCTCTCTAGCCAAGGAAGAAAAAAGACAGCCTGGAAAAACACCACAGAACAAGCTGCAGCCCACAACTGGGGCTTAGCCTGGGAGGGTTTCTGGCTCTGCCCAGGGAAGAATTCAAAGACAAGCTGGTGGTGTTTGACAGCAACTTTTATAGAAGTGACAGTATACAGCAGCAGCAGAGGTACTATTCCTTGCAGAGCAGGGCCAGGCAGTCTGCCCAGAGTAGCAGCTCAAAGGCAGTTCTGCAGTCATATTTATACCCACTTATATGCAAATTAAGAGGTAGATTATATAGCAATTTCTTTTAAAAGGGTGGTAACTTCTGGGTCATTGGGTCATTGCTGTGGAAAGGGGTGGTAACTTTCAGTGTTGCCATGGCAATGGTAAACTGGCATGGAACACTGGAGGATGTGTCTTATGGAAAGCTGCTTCCACCATGT
Source organism: Homo sapiens (assembly GCF_000001405.40). Classification (NCBI taxonomy): domain Eukaryota; kingdom Metazoa; phylum Chordata; class Mammalia; order Primates; family Hominidae; genus Homo; species Homo sapiens. The sequence goes on along the minus strand of NC_000002.12, from coordinate 208,425,322 downwards.
CCCTCTTTTAGCTAGTCCTCAATTTGGTCCAGTCTCTGAGCCCCACCTCCTACCTCAATATCTCAAGGGTTCAGCTTTTTACTCCATCTCATTACATGTGATTTGCAAGTCATAAATCATTGCCTTCACAATGATTATGACCTCCTTAAGGTCATAAAAATTATAATTTTTAAGAAGTATTCAATCTTATGTAATTATTTTGTTCTGCTTGATTTTGATTTGCAGCTTCATGAACCCATTAGTTTTTTCATTAGAGTTTTAGAAATTTTTATTTAGTCCATTGATCTCAATGGCTACAACAGGTCTCACCCGGTTTCCCAGTGGTCTTTTGATTTGCTTAGTTTCTTGGCCTCAGGCTTGGCCTCTTGGTTCAAAATCATTGTACAAAATAAATTCGTTATGCTCCTGTTGGTTTTACTTTGTATTATTTCCTTTAAACTTTGGACCTAACTGTGTCCTGCCCCAATTCTATAGAAACAACACTCCTGATAGAATAATGCTGGGCCAGTGTTTCAAATGATAACCAATACTTATGGAACCAACAAAATTGAACTTAACTGTGGACCCCAGGAAGATTTAGCCTGAGAGCCACTTTCTCCAGGTCAGGCTTGTTGCTCAAATGTGGCTGAAAGTGATTTGATACTGACTCCCAGTCGCCAATCACTTCTTCCCAATGTGAGACCATACCAACAATCCAGGACAGGTGCATCTCAGCACCAAGGGACAATTAAAACCAACCCACAGGAGAGTCGATCAGTGATGCTTTCAGAGAAATGTGGAAGTTGTAAGATCCAAACTAGAGTAACTTATGTCAAGCCTTGGCAAGTGGAGCAGGGCAGACCCATGAAGGCAGGGCTCTCACACATGATTTGCTGGATAATGGGAACTATCGCAAGAAATTTTTCCAAACCACAGTTTACTACATGGACAGCTTACACAAGGACAGCTAGCAACACAAGGACAGCTAACCACTTATACAAGAACACTTGCCTGACATGCTGTCTCACAAACCCAACCCAAAATGACAAGGGACCCCTGCAAACTCCCAGAATGGTTTAAGAGCAAAGTAAAGAACTAAAACATTCCCTCTCACTGGCCTGAAACAAGGCTTCTGGACACCCCCACCTTTTCTTCACAACCTGCATATAAGAAGCCTGGACTTCCACCCCTCCTGACAGTAACACAGTGTCCCTCTACTCCTCTGCTGGAGCGGGGGTCAGAGAAGACCTAGTGGAGAGTCAGCCTAGCAGTAACAAGGCTACTCCCATTGTGGTGACAGTGGAGGCCACATGAGGAGCAGCACTCATACCCCCACACATCAGGACCACGGAGCAGCCCACCATAGGTGTCAGTGATAGCTGACGGAGGAACCAAAACTTCTACTTCTATGAGCAGTAATAAGGTGATAATCCCACTTCCCCAGTTATATTAGTACCAGACCAAGTAGAGCAAACAAAATTACCAGAGACTAAAAGAGGGACATTATATCATAATACAAGGGTCACTCCATCAAGAAAACATGGCCCTCAAAAATGCGTATGCATCAAAAAAACAGAGCTGCAAAATATGTGAAGCAAAAACTGATAGAATGAAAGAAGAGATAAACAAATCCACTACTACAACTGGAAACTTCAACCCCCTTTCTCAGCAATTGATAGAACAACTAGACAGAAAATCAGCAAGGATATAGAACTCAACAATGCCATCAACCAACAGGATCTAATAGACATTTACTGAACGCTTCACCCAGCAATGGAGAATACACTTTCTTTCCAAATACATACAGAACAAATACCAAGGTAGACCATATCCTGAATCATAAAACAAATCTCAACAATTTTAAAAGAATTGCAAGCATACAGAGTTCTCAGACTGCAATGTTCTCAGACCACAATGGAATCAAACTGGAAATCAATAACAAAAAGATAACAAAACTCTCCAAACACTTAGAAACTAAACACACTTCTAAACAATCCATGGGTCAAAAAGAAAGTCTCAAGGGAAATCAAAAGTACATTGAACTGAATGAAAATACAAAACAACATATCAAAATTTGTGGGACAGACCTAAAGCAGTGCTAAGAGAAATGCATAGCACTAAATACATCCATTAGAAAAGAAGAAAAGTTTTGCATCAGTAATATAATCTCCCACCCCGAGAACCTACAAAAAGAAGAGTAAAATAAAACCAAAGCAAGTAGAAAGAAGGACATCATAAAGTTAAGAGGATAAATCAATGAAATTGACACAGAAAAACAATGCAGACTGTCAGTGAAACAAAGAGCTGGTGATTTAAAATTACCAATAATATTGACAAGCTTCTAGAAAGCCAACCAAGAAAAAAAAGGAAGAATACACAAATTAAACTATAGAAATGAAAAGGAGATAGTGGTTGCCAGGAGTTGAGGAGTGGGAAGTGCAAAGGAAGGGGGTTTGGCTACAAAGAACATCAGAAGGGATCCTTCTGGGAAGAAAGTGTTCTGTATCTTGACAGTTATCAATATTATTATCTTGGTTGTGATATTTTACTGTAGTTTTATAAGATGTTATCTTACAAGTGATAAGGGGGGAACTGGGTAAACGATACACATGTTCACTCTCGTTAGTTCTTCCAACTGCATGTGAATTTACAATTATCACCAAAAAAATCATTTTTTAAAAAAAGAAGCATTCTTCTCTCACTTAAAAAAACCACAAAATATTACCTCATTCTAGTAAATGAGAATCTACCACAGGTGATCATAAAAAAGGTATATAAAAATGTTTTAGATATGATTATTTTATAGCTTTACAAAAATATATCTTTCCTAAAGTGAAGTCTACTTAACGAATATAATATTCTCTTGGAAAGATATTATAACATTTATATATTAAGTTTTACTTGAATTTCAAAAGGATCACAAGGATATGTTTTTTAAAAATGAATTCCCCTCTAGGCAAGTGTGGTGGTTAATTTCATGTAGCAACTTCGATGGGCCATGGGTGCCCAGATTACATTTGTTTCCGGTGTGTCTATGTGTCTGTCTTCATCCAAGATTAACCTTTGAATCAGTAGACTCAGCAAAGCCGATTGCCCTCCCGCAATGTAACTGGGCCTCATCTAATTTGTTGAAGGTTTCAATTGAATAAAAGGCAGAGGAAGAAGGAATTTGCACCCTTTTTTTCCCTTCCTGGCAACATTTCATCTCATCTTCTCTAGCCCTCAAAATGAGATTTATGCCATCAGCTCCCCTGGTTCTCCGACCTTCAGACTTGGACTGAATTATACCACTAGCTTTCTTGGATCTTCAGTTTGCTTATAGCAAATCCTAGTACTTCTCAGCCTCCATATTGTGTAAATCACTTCCTCACAATAAATCTGTTTGTATGTATATCCCACTGGTTCTGTTTCCTGAAGAACTCTAATACAGCTAGCCATTCTATTTTCCGTAGTCTGAGAGAAAACTGAGCTGGTCTATAAGAAGGAATTTTGCTTGGAATTCAGGGTTTCTCATATACTCCAGTGTGAATGGGCCAAGTAACAAATCAGTTTTATGAACTTTCTACTCCATGTTTTCCCACAGGCCTCAAAAAAGTTCACATGAACTTATAATTATTTTATTTTCCTTTTCTTAAATGCCAATGTCACTCTCACGAGTGTGATTCCCTTGAGAGTAGCTGAAGCTTTTATGTTCTAAAGGAGGTTTAACAATGAAAACATGTTTTTAATTATTTAGAATGTATTGTCTGTAATACTGCTTTAAAATAAAGGAATCTTATAATAAACATTATAGTTTTGAGAAAAATATTATTGAATCATCTACCTTTATGAACCATGAAACTATTTTTGTTTAGTCCTTTTTTAATTCAACATAAAAAAAGAAAAACAGGTAAGATATACATCATAAATATATATACAAACACACACAAGGAAGCATGCATACTCACACAGACACTACACACACACACACACACACACCCCCAATATGAAAATGTCTTGGCTTCTTAAGTTTTTAATCCTTTCATATAATGAACTCTAATTCAAACTAAATCTGAAGATCAGTTGATTTTGCACATTTGGCTACAAATTCTAAAAATCCCCACGACCCTATTCATGCAAGAAGCAAACTGAAAATGATTTAAGAAAAACTTGTATCTATCTGTGGTATGGCTCATACACAGTTAAATGAAAACATTAAGAATGCGATCACATTGAGCTGTCATCCTTCAAAGCTATTACTCATCCTTTTCTCTTATATTTTAATTAACTACATGTGAATTTATTATAGATATTTATAGAGCTCCAATTATACTTAGAAACAAAGCACGGTTAAATTTTTAAGAGTCATATAATGATTACAGAGACAAAAAACCAATTAGTAGTTGCCAGGTGTTGCAGGGAAGGGAGAAGTAAGTGGTTGTGGCTATGAAAGGATTCCTGTGCTGGAACTATTGTATATCTTCACTGTGGTGGTGATCACATGCAACTTTACATGTGATAAAACTGCATAAACTAAATACATGTGCACACACACAAGTATGTATAAAACCAATGGAATCTGCATAAGACAGAGGGATTATATCAATGTCAATTTCCTGATTGTAATATTGTACTACAGTAATGAAAGATGTTACCATTGAAAGAAACTACGTGAAAGGTATTTAGTGTCTGTATTACTTCTTACACTGCATGTGAATCTATAATTCTCTCAAAATACAGATTTTTAAAAATTCATCTGCTAAAGTTTTTAAGGAATTGTTTAGTTTAATGACTATAACCATGAAAAACACCAATTAAATTTTAAGTTAATTATAAATTAAGTGCAATATAGTATTTTGAGCTAAAGTAAGGTCAAATATATTAAGACTACTTCATTAGCAAAAAAAAATTGAGAGCAACATTCTGCTGGCAAATATGTGTGGAAAAAATAGCCTCATACAATGCTCATGGGAATGTAAAATGTTTCCACTGCTATGGAGAAGAAATAGGCAAAATTGAAAAAGTCCTAAATGTACATTTATCTTTTGACTTCACTTTTTTTTTCTTTTTTTTTTAATTATTATACTTTAAGTTTTAGGGTACATGTGCACAATGTGCAGGTTTGTTACATATGTATACATGTGCCATGTTGCTGTGCTGCACCCATTAACTCGTCATTTAGCATTAAGTATATCTCCTAATGCTATCCCTCCCCACTCCCCCCACCCCACAACAGTCCCCGGTGTGTGATGTTCCCCTTCCTGTGTCCATGTGTTCTCATTGTTCAATTCCCACCTATAAGTGAGAACATGCGGTGTTTGGTTTTTTGTCCTTGCAATAGTTTGCTGAGAATGATGGTTTCCAGCTTCATCCATGTCCCTACAAAGGACAGGAACTCATCATTTTTTATGGCTGCATAGTATTCCACAGTGTATATGTGCCACATTTTCTTAATCCAGTCTATCATTGTTGGACATTTGGGTTGGTTCCAAGTCTTTGCTATTGTGAATAGTGCCGCAATAAACATACGTGAGCATGTGTCTTTATAGCAGCATGATTTAAAAAACAAGCAATGGAGAAAGGATTCCCTGTTTAATAAATGGTGCTGGGAAAACTGGCTAGCCATATGTAGAAAGCTGAACTGGATCCCTTCCTTACACCTTATACAAAAATTAATTCAAGATGGATTAAAGACTTAAATGTTAGACCTAAAACCATAAAAACCCTAGAAGAAAACCTAGGGAATACCATTCAGGACATAGGCACGGGCAAGGACTTCATGTCTAAAACACCAAAAGCAATGGCAACAAAAGCCAAAATTGACAAATGGGATCTAATTAAACTAAACAGCTTCTGCACAGCAAAAGAAACCACCACCAGAGTAAACAGGCAACCTACAGAATGGGAGAAAATTTTTGCAACCTACTCATCTGACAAAGGGCTAATATCCAGAATCTACAATGAACTCAAACAAATTTACAAGAAAAAAACAAACAACCCCATCAAAAAGTGGGCGAAGCACATGAACAGACACTTCTCAAAAGAAGACATTTACACAGCAAATAAAAACACATGAAAAAATGCTCAGCATCACTGGCCATCAGAGAAATGCAAATCAAAACCACAATGAGATACCATCTCACACCAGTTAGAATGGCAATCATTAAAAAGTCAGGAAACAACAGGTGCTGGAGAGGATGTGGAGAAATAGGAACACCTTTACACTGTTGGTGGGACTGTAAACTAGTTCAACCATTGTGGAAGTTGGTATGGCGATTGCTCAGGAATCTAGAACTAGAAATACCATTTGACCCAGCCATCCCATTACTGGGTATATACCCAAAGGATTGACTTCACTTTTAGGGATTTACATTTAAGTTATAGCTTCAACAATATGAAAATACATAAAGACTATACAGTGTAGTATTATTTATACATGTAAAATATTAGATAGAAAAAACTAAATGCCCACACATTTGGTACTTCTACAAAATAGGCTATTATGAAGCTATAAAAAAGAGTGAGAAAACTCTATGACCTAACATGATTTCCAGGATGTATTGTGAAGTAAGAAAAACAAAATGCAGAGAGTATAAATTGAATGCTACCTTTTGTGCAAAAAAAGAGGGAAAATATACAGATACATTTTTGTAAAACAAAACTCAAAGATAAACCAGAAAACTATGAAATTTTTTATCTTATTTCTCCCTTTAAGTGGAATATTTCTAACTACCTCATTTAGTATAATTTTTATGATAATATTTTCTAAGTACCTTTTTTCAAAGTAAATGTTCCCTTTTATGCTTATTTTATTAAGAATTTCTTTCATGGATGGGTGTTAAACTTTATCACTTTTTTTCTGTATTTGCTGGAATGATATTTGTGGTGTATTATCATTCTCATACATTGTTGGAGTTGGTTTGCTATTATTTTGCTTTTGATTTTTTCATTTATACTCACTAATAAAATTTGCTAAAATTCTTCCTCCTTAAAAAAAAAAATTGAGTGCAAAAGAAATCATGCATTAGGTAGTCCCTCACAACTTATATAGGCTCCTGAAAATATGAGACATTCCCTTTATCGTCCTTTGATAAGTATATGGTATATTTCTTCATTTATTTAATGTTTATATTTTTAAGCCTTAGTAAAGCTTTCTTTTTTGTCATATAGGTTCAGCATAATTCTTCTATTCATTTCTAGTTATTTTATTTTTGATAGCTATTACTAATAGGATATTTTTATTATGCTAAGTGGTAGTTTTTTTACACATAAGGAAGCTATTTTACTTCCTATTTTTAATGTCATTCTTGGTGACATTACTGAACTCTTTTTAGTTTTAATAGTTTCTAGTAAATTCTCATGGCTTTCTTATAAAAGTATTGCTAACATCTGCAAATAGCAGAATCAACAGAATAAAGCCAAAATTGCTCATAAGGTATTTGTATTTTAACATAGTTAAAATTGATTTTTCATGTTTTGCAATGATAAGCAAGACTGATCTACTTCTGTGATATTTTGCCTTTCTTTCTCCCCTCAAGATATGGCTGACTTGCACAGTTACTCCTGGATTTTCTATGTAGCTTTTCTTATTTTATCCAGCTTATTCTAATGATGTTCTCCTCCTGTTAGACCATAGATTCCCACGTTTGTAGCCGGGCATGGTGGCATGTGCCCATAATCCCAGCTACTCGGGAGGCTGAGGCAGGAGAATCGCTTTAATCCGGGAGGAGGTTGCAGTGAGCTGATATTGTGCCATTGCACTCCAGCCTGGGCGAGAGGGTGAGACACCATCACAAAAAAAAAAAAAAAAAAAAAAAAAAAAAGATTCCCACCTTTGAACAGTACTTCTCTCTTAACAAGTACTTGTGTTTTTATGACCAGCTTTATTGTAACAAACAGACCTGGAATTTTTCAAATAAATAAATCCATGTATTTTCAACACCATTTCTTGCAAATGAACTAGATTGCCTCCAAGAGAAAAAACATCTAGCTACACCCCAGTTACAATTTTTGGCATAGGAATTTTCTCTCTCTTCTTTCTTTATACACATGCCTAGTTACTCGGCTTCCAGGATTATAGCAAAAAAGACTAATTTTACAATGTATGTAAAATGGATCCTTAATGCATTTCGAGAGATAAATAATGAAATCTCGGAAGGACATTTTGGCAGCTTTAACAAATTTCCTGAAACTAATATGAGATTCATCCATCACTACTGAATTATAAACCCCTTCTAAAAAAGAAAAACAAAAGTACCAAAGATCAAGAGACTCTTGTTACCTAAAACTAAACTCTTTTTTTCTTCATCCCTTCTTTCTTTTCCAATCTTCATTGAGAGGTACATTGCATTAGTCAAGGATCTCTAGAGGGACAGAACTAATGGAATAGATATATATATAAAGGGGAGTTTATTAAGTATTAACTCACCAATCACAAGGTTCCACAATAGCCATCTGCAGGCTGAAGAGCAAGGAGAGCCAGTCTGAGTTCCAAAACTGAAGAACTTGGAGTCCAGTGTTCAAGGGCAGGAAGCAACCAGCACGGGAGAAAGATGTAGGCTGGGAGGCTAGGCCAGTCTCTCTTTTCACATTTTTCTACCTGTTTATATTCTAGCCATGCTGGCAGCTGATTGTGACCACCCAGCTTAAGGGTGGGTCTGCCTTTCCCAGCCCACTGACTCAAATGTTAATCTCCTTGGGAAACACCCTCACAGACACACACAGGATCAATACTTTGTATACTTCAATCCAATCAAGTTGACCCTCAGTATTAACCATCACATACAGAACGGCAGATAGCTTGAAAAAGTAGTTCACCTAATTTCAACATTTTAACCCTGAGCTCAGAAAAATCATAGTAAGCTTTATCATGGCTAAGCCATAGTAGGGCAAGTCAAAGTATGCGGCTTCTATTTCTGACAAAAATTTAAAGAACTGATGATAATTAAGTTCGTAAGGGTGAACAAAGTTGGCCATTGACATTATTGGTTCAATAACACATGATATATTCAAATATTTCCTACAAAGTGCTTGCAGATAAATAATACAATAAATAACCATTGATTTTAAATGCTTTATATTTTCATGAGCTTTTGATTGGTCTTCCACACAAAGGTTTAACACCATCATTTTTAACACGTCTTAGCACACTCCACTTCAGGTTGAACTAAATTAGTCATTTTCTCAAATTCTTTGAAAATGTTCTCCCACACAGACTATTTTTCAAGGCAAACGCTTCAGTAAACCAAACTCAGCATTGACTCCTCAGATAAACAACTGATTAATATCAGTAACAAATGTTACTGATATTACTCATCAAGGGCCAAGGAAAACCCCTTAAAATCATTTGCTTTGTTTTTTAATTGATTATTGATGTTGCTACAACATCCTCAACTCTATTCTTTTCAAAAGGTAAGTAGTTTTAAACTAGCTATTTTCTCTAGACACATTTCATGCCTGCTACAATCAAACATGATTTAACCCATTTATTAATTCACCATTGGTAAATGGCTTTCCTCGCTTAGCTAACAAATGAGAACCTTACTTTGAACTTTACTTTTATTGCAGCCTCATTTTTTAAAAGAAGTTATGTGATATCTCATCTTAAATTTTCTAATTTTTTCTGACTGAATGCTGTGCTATCAGCTGGGAATACTGTAATGATTGCTTAATCTGGGAATGACAACATATATTGTATTATATTAGCACAGCTGTAGTATCACTGAATAATAAACACAATGCTTTTCCATTTTATTTGATAGCAAAAAAATCCACATACACTATGCCTTTAGAAGCAGAATATTTAGTCCATTTTTCTCTTCTTATTTTGACATGATGGGTTCTCCCTGGTAGCGAAAAAAGTAAAGTGAAAATGTAGAGCAATACATGTAGCACTTGAAATATGTCAAGTTATGACTGAGTCACTGCAATTCAGAACGCACCAAACAGCCATGCGAAGCGGTAGTAGGTGAATGAATGTGGCTGTGTTCAAATAAAATTTTATGAACACTGAAATTTTAATTTTATTTAATCTTCACACTTACAAAATATTGTCCTTTTAAAATACAATAAAATCCCCTTTTAAATGTTTTAAATCTTAGAATAGTTTTAGATTTACAGAAAAAAAATTTATTTATATAAGATAGTACAGAGTTCCCATAAACACTCAGTTTCCCCTTATTAAAATCTTAGATTAGTAGGTATATTTGTCATAATTAATGAATCAATATTGATCTATTGTTATTCACTAAGCTGATACTTTATTCAGATTTTCTTAGTTTTTACCTAACGTCCTTTGTCTGTTCTGGGGTCTCATCAAGACACCATATCATGTTTAGTTGTCATGTCTCCTTAGGTTCTTCTAGGTTGTGATAGTTTCTCAGGCTTTCCTCATTTTTATTTATCTTAATAGTTTTGAGAAACACTAGTCAGACATTTTGTTCCACAGCTGGGTTTTTTTTTATGGTTTTCTCATTATGGAACTGGGCCAATATGTTTTGAAAGGGAAGACCACAGAGGTAAAGTGCCACTCACCTATCAAGAGTGCAAGCTATCAACATGACTTCACTCTTAATGTTAACCTCGATCCTTCTTCTGATTTTTATTCAATGACTTAAAAATGTGAAAATCATTCTTAGCTTATGAGGCATAGAAAAACAGATGATGGAATGAATTTGGTTAGCAGACCATAGTTTGTCCATTTTTGTTCTAGTGGATAAAAATTTTGGAATAAAGTTTGAGAACTGAGGATGTATCAACCCAAAATTACTTATTCTAATAGATATTCTAATAGAAAAAAAAAACTGAAAAAAAATTCACTATCCTCATTAGCTGACAAAGGACTCAAAAGATAAACAGAAAAAGAAATAGTACAATGGTTATTGCTTTTATTGAACTTGGGGGAATACTATGAGGAATGTAACCATGCAGGATATATTATATCTACACATGCACAAGACTGAATACAAAAATATCATTAACTACTATTGTCACCAGATATATTAAATGGGCTCCACTTTTATTAAATTATATTTTTATATTAAACTTTTATTATATTAAACTCCACTTTTAGTTGCTTTTGACAGAGCAGGAGCACTGTCATCTTGGACAAACACCACCATTTTAAGTTCTAGCTCCCTTTCTAACCTCAAGCATTTCAAGGAAATCACTTCTCTTCTAAACAAGCAACCAGAAAGAGCAGACAGTAAAACAAAGATAAGACAGCTTGGGCACAGAAGGAGGGGGAAAGTCTCTTGAGTAACCACCAAACTTCACACTCATACAATGAGCCCCAGTAAAACAGTGGGCCCTAGTAAGCATATTCCTTTCCCATTAGGTGCACTAAGATAGGGAAGCTAAAAGCAGACGTGGGGGATATGCCTGCAGCTACAGGAAGATGTACGGGAACAAACACAAAAACTCTCCCTCCCAGATAAGCAAGACAAAGAGGCACAGAAGCAGTCCAAGCCTGTGATAAGCTCTCCCACCCTGAACCCTTAAATACTCTTAGTCTGCAAGAGAGCATGCTCCTGACCAAAACTGGCCAGAAGCCCGTCTCAGGTTTATTCTGTCTTTGACTGTTGAGCCACTTTTTGTGTTTCTTTCTTCCTTCTTCAACCCTTACACTTTTAGTTGTAACATTATTCAAGGTGGCTAATTAGGTAATACAAATAAATAAATGGTTTTCAGCAACACATAGAAAACTTCAAGAATGTAAAAATAATACATGTTCCATTTAGTCAATATTTTACATTCCATATGTTAAAAATGTTCAAAAATATAAAAATAATGGTTAATGCAGGAATAATTAAGTGTAGTTCTTGCACTATTGAAATCATAACAGAGCTCAAATTCCATTTTGAAGTAACTCACTTTATAGTTCCTGAGCACTGAATCATTTTTACACTTTCATTCCTTAAAGCCCAATTTTTCTTTCTGTACATCAGTGACACTTGATAGTGTCAAATGCTGTCTCTGGTAAGGTTGGCTCTTGGAGTTTCTGTAATCATGACTTCTATGTAGCTGTGTCTGAAATTGCTAGAGTGGCATCACATGGGGAGCACATACCATGATAATAACACTCCAAGATGAAAGGAGGATCACTTTCTCAAGATTCAAGTGGTGGCTCTCTGTCATTTGTAATATAATTTAATGAGTTCAAATTGCCAGTCTTCTACATTGTTTATAAACATTCTGTGTGTGTGTGTGTGTGTGTGTGTGTGTGGTCACTTTTTAAACAAATAAAGATGAAATAACTACATCTGTGTTTATATTTTATATGAGCAAATAAATTATGGAGAAAGAGGTGGAAGATACACAGTATTATCTGAGTGGGATTGAGAGGAGATGGGACAGTAGTGAGAGAGAAAGAGAATGAGTACATAAGACAGGAAAATAGTCATAGGAAAATGGAAAAAAGTGGATTGTATAATGTCAAGTGAAAATATATATAAAATTTCATTTATGACATAATTGAAAGTATATATTAATTGAATAGGCACATAGACAAAGACTAAATAGAAATGTGGGTAGTTTCTGCTTTTGATCCCTGTTATATGTATATAGTAAAAACACTCTTTAAAGCTAGCTCTGTTGATAACCTGAAAAAATATGAATCTCTGGTATGCTGGAACTCTAAACCTTATACTCTTGACATGATAAAATGAGACCCATAATTTTGCCACTTATCTGTGGCCACCCAGCTAATTTATAGTAAAACGTGGACTACAGCCAGGTGTCCTATCTCCCAGTACAGTGTCCTCACACAGCACTACCTCTGCCTTTCAAGGCTATTCTATGGCAGCTCTACTCAGTGATGGAGTTCATTTCATGGGGAAATGAAATCAGCCAATGATTATCACTCTAGAAATAGTGTTGACCTGTTTTTGGACATGACAAGTCATCAAGAAGACTGTTTCCTGCCAGCAATTGGCAATGAGAATCTGAGATTACAGAAAATCAGGCTGAAGGCCAAATTATAGATCTACACATAATAGCAGCAGTGGCCAATGTTCTATTCATTTCTAACTAGTGTCACTCCCTCTAGGCAACACATCTGTCATGCAGCACAGCTGTGCGATCCTGGGAGACAATAACAACTGGGAAAAGTAAAGTGGTAATATCCATCAGCAAGAAGGAAACAAATTTTGAGCAAAAGCAATGAGGAAGTTAGATATTGATCAAGTACTTATATTAATAAATGTAATATTATAACAGCTATCAGTGTTATGAAGAAAATGTCCAATTGCTATCAGAAAAAATGTGGGTTCTGAAGAAGAAGCCGTAAGAAATAAAAGGAAGAGAAAATGGCCTCGCAAAATTCTCACATACATACACACCCCATTTAAAAGCCTTCAGGAGTTCTCACTAATGCTTAGAAATAATCTTAATCTAGTAATCATTCCATTAAAAATAACTTAACTCATCTGCTAATAAAAGAAGAGGAAAGAGCTGACATCTTTTGTTATCAGGCACCTTTAAGCTTTTTGTTTGTATATGTTTAATTCAAGACTCACATTCTATGAGTAGATGTCACTATAATGCTTATTCTATGAGTAAGTCCTATTTTACAGTGGAGCCAGTGGAGACAACCAAGAGATGAAATTAACGACTAAAGTCACACGGCTGTTTAAAAATTTAATGAATAACCCAGAGAAAAGAAAAAAACAAAACAGAGGGGAAAGAAAGGACAAGATGGGTTCCAGTAGATGACAAAACCAATTGAAGTTCAAGACAGGAAAATAAGTGAGATGCATGAATGCCTGCTGAAAATATTTTATTTTGTCACAAAGAATTGAGGAAGTTCTGGGAATATGAAACCTACTCTCTGTGCATTGGCAAGGAAGAGCCACACCTGGGACCCTTCCATCTCACTGCCTCTGGTCTACCAGGGCTGAAGAGACTACTCACAATTAATGCAGCCACCAGGAAGCCCATTCCTCAGGGATTTAAGGCTTCCTTATAACTAGAAGACAAATGGAAATAGTCCTCGTTGTCAAGAGAAAAGAATGAGAACAAACCAACTCTCTTATCTTTAACTACAATAGTGTTTGTGGCAATAAACACAGTATAGAGATAATCAAATGTTGAGTTTCCATTTCATTCTGCCAAAGACAGTCCCTAGTTTCCACTTTGGAGAAGCTGCCTATATTCTAGGACTTGGTATGATCTCAGCTCACTGCAACCTCTGCCTCCAGGGTTCAAGCGATCCTCCCACCTGAGCCTCCCAAGTAGCTGGAACTACAGACGTGTGCCACCATGCCCAGCTAATTTTTGTATTTTTAGTAGAGACGGTGTTTCACCATGTCGGCCAGGCTGGTCTCGAACTCCTGACCTCAAGTGATCTGCCCGCCTTGGCCTCCCAAAGTGCTGGGATTACAGGCATGAGCCATTGTGCCCGGCTGTCCTCATTCTTAACTCCATCAGTAATAGTTTTGACAGTTCTGTTTATTATCACCACAATTTGTAATTAACACATGCGTTGAGATGCAGAGTGCAGGCCTACTTGATTTATTGATTTATCCCATTTTATGTCTATACCCCACTCCTACTTCTCTACCTCCCATATACAAGCATTTATGTAAGACACACACACACACACACAATCTTTTATCTGAATATGTTCATAAAACATATATTACTGTTTTATGTGCATGTATTTTAATGTATGTAAATGATATCATACCATATATCCTATTGTTTCTGTCACATGTTATCCTGTTTTTACGATCTTGTCCATGCTGATTTGTGCACATTTAAGCCATTGCTTTTTATTGCTACACAATACCCCATTATAAACACCCAGATTGCCCCTAATTCTCTAACACCACAGAATTACTGCAAGAATCATTATAGACCTGGGTGAGAAATTCCCTGGGATAGAGACTCGGGGCGGAGATTGCTGGGACAGAGGACATGTGTATACATAATGTCACTAAGCAGTGCCCAGCTGATCTCCACAATGAGGGTACCAGTAGGAGGGGTGGGCCCCAGAGGTAAAAGTCAGAGTATAAATCATGGCTGCTTGTGTGAGTTGAGTATATTATCTAACATCTCATAGCCCCATTTTCTCATTTATAAAAATGTGAACAATTACAGTGCCCATCTCATAAAGTTACTGTGATAATTAAATGAGAGAATCAAGTACTTAGCACAGTATTTGGTACTTGGCAAGTAGCATTACTGATTACCATTTTTCCACACCTAGAAAGAGATTTCTGATTTTCTAGTAGGCTCTGAATCTTCATGCTGGAAGGTCAACAGTAGGAATTCTAAGACCTGGCCATTTTTTCGCAGCATGGGACTCCTCTGATGGGCACCTTTCCCCCAAGGTTCTCCTTTGAGTTGGAAAAAATTTTGTCAGATTTGCTTGCCGGTCTGAGGTTACCCCTGTCCAATCCTTCTCCCTCTCCCTTTCAACTTTCACAAGCATTACCTCCTCCCCTAATAAACCTCTAGCACCCCAATTCCATCCTACAGTCTGTTACCAGGAGGATCCACTAACACAGTAAAGAAAATACTGAACATGTTTATATAGTGGTCCTCATTACCATGTGATAATCTGACTATAGAAAATGCATTGCTGGGCTCTGTAATGATGTATGAATGCACGGGTTTTGAACTGTGCTTTGAGACAAAAGTATATCTTTACCAACCAGAAACCACAGAGACCCTTAAAACAATTGATGAGCACTGGTCTATATCATCTATTTTATGGTGTGATCCAGTGTTTACTGAATACTAAATATTTACTCTACACAAGCTCATTCTGCCTGGGTGAGTTCCCTTTGGTTTTCTATCAATATGTTATAATTTTTTTGAAATATCTGTGTTAGCTAGCAATATATTCATCATTAACTGGGTATGCTAAAAAAATTAATAAAGCCAGCCTCATTTTTCATAAATACCTTGTCTCTCATACTTAAGCTAATAATATCAGCAATTGATATTTGAAGTAAATAATACCCAGAATGTATTTAGTCTCTATTATACTCCAGGTTAACTAATGGAATTTCAGAGTAGAGAATGACTGTAACCTAAAAGTAATAAACCAAGACTTATAGAATTAAAAGAATCTTAGCCCAATATGACTCTTTTGAAGATGAAGAAACTGAAGGTCATAAAATGTATCAGTTTGTCAATGTAAATCACTTGAATTTAACCTCCAGACTTTAAAATGTCAAAAATTCGGCAAATGTAATATAATACCACAAACTGTCATTTTATGCAATTCATAATCTATAGATATAAATGGAAATCCGTGTAAAGCAATGATTTTCAACCAGGAGTGATTTTGCCTTCCAAACTATGTACAGCAACATCTAGAGACATTTTTGGTTGTCTCAGTTAGGGGGAGGGGGGCTACTGGCATCTAGTGGATAGAGGAGACAGGGTGGCGCTAAATACTCTGCAATATACAGGACAACACACCCACCCCCAACAAAACAAAGAATTATTATATATGTCCCAAAATGTCAACAATGCCAAGGTTGGGAAATCCTGGTTTAAAGTTATAGAAGTATTCAATGTCCTGATTGTTTTATTGAAAGCAAAAGAAAATATTCTGCCCACAATCCCATGGTGATTTATTTATTATTTATTTCTCTCTCTCTCTCTCTCTCTCTCTTTCTCTCTCTCTCTCTCTTTCCTTTCTTCTCTTTCTTTTCTTTCTTTCCTTCCTTCAAGACAGGGTCTCACTTTGTTGCCAGGCTGGAGTGCAGTGGCATGATCATAGCTCAGAGCAGCCCCGAACTCCTGGGCTCAAGAGATCCTCCCGTCTCCCAAAGTTCTGGGATTACAGGCGTGAGCCACCACACCAAGCCTTTTTTTTTTCTTATTGTACTAAATAATACCTCCCCATTTCCTTACAAAAAGTAATCTAGAACACTAAATAAAATAAACGGTTAGAGTTCAGTTGCCTCTTGTATATAAGATGCCATTTTTAAGCATATTATCCAAATATCTTATGAGATAAAAATGTAGGAAGTATAGTAGAGATTACCAGAGTTCTATAACGATCATGGAAATTTATCACCAAATTTTTTTCCATGCATTCATATTCCTTCTGGTAACTTGATGAATTTTTTCAGGTTTAAGTGTATCTTACTTTCAGCTATCCATTGCTAATATTATTAGTCAATGTATGACACACAAATTGTTTAGTTTATTAACAAAATTTATTTATTAACAAAATAAATCTACATGAAACATCTTGGTCATGTTAAGTAAAGCCCACTTTTAGCGTGGCACCTAGCCTAGAAATCCCCTTTAAGTTTTAATGTCTCTGGTTATGACTTTAACAGATAGGTTTTTTAAACTGCACTTTTAGAATAATTGAAATTTAAACTAGTCATCTGAAAGCCGAGAACATAGTATTAAGTTTAGACAGTATCAACACATAAATCACTGCTTTGAATTCTCACGGTGAAATAATTTTTTATTGGGCCTTCATTTGACGGTCTAGGTGCACCCCCTACCGAACCGGAGAGAAATACCTTGATTCGGTTTAAATTCACAGGGCTCTTGAACTGCATAACATCCACCACTACACGCATCTCTCTAGCTCATCTGAAAAGCTGACTGTAAACCCTACATTTGATTTGACTCAAAAAAAAAAGTGCGTATGAATTGTGCCTTGCACATTAAAGAGGCTTCATTGTGAAAGATCGCCCAGAAAATCTCTAAATGATATTAGCAGTACAAAAGTGACAGCCACCGCTTAACATTAACAAATGAGCTGTATTTTGGTATTTTTATTCTGTCTCCTAACTTGAATGTATGTGATTCTGTATCACAGACAGCCAATTATTCTTTCAGATAGTGGTCACAATCGATCCTGTAAATTTAAATTCTCAAAAGCGATGGTAAATTACCAGCAGACAAAAGTCATTTCGATTAATTAAATGGGGACCACGGAGTTTAAGAGTAAGAAAAGTTCCTTCACCTTCCCAGCCTCACACTCTTGATCCACGACTCCGCTGTTCGGAAATATCCCCTTACTTTGCGGATGCCAGGATGCTGGTCTAAACAGTGCCGGCCCCAGGACATCACTCCACTAAAGCAGATCTTTGAAGCTCCCTCCACTAATTGCCTGCCAGCACCTGCCGGGTACGCCTCGGTGCGTGCCGGGGCGTTTGTGGACGTGTGAACATGAATGAGCTCTCGCGCGCACCTGGCCTCCGTGTCGCTAAAGCTGAGTCCCCGCCGGAGGCTCCGCGAAAACAGGTGTCGCGGAGCACTGGCTCTTACCTGGGCTCTGGCCAGGAGGCAGCTGCCGAGCATTAGCCAACCCCAGACGTGGAGCGACGCCCCCAGCCCGGCCATGCCCGGAACGGCTGTAGGAAGAAGCAGGGACCCTCCTCCAGAGCCCGGGAGAAGCTTCCAAGTTGCCAACTTGGCTGGCCCAGAGCAAACTTGTGGCCAGTAACGACGCGCAGCTGGGGTGGTCGGGCCCGGGCCACCGGCCGAGGGTGCTTGGGGTCTTGTCGCCGGAGCCACGCGCTTCTCAGAACCCGCGTGCTGCTGCGCCGCGGCGCGAGGTTGGTCTTGTCTTCCGGAGAGACTGGCCCGAGTCCTGGACTTGACTCGCAGCCCCGCGCCGCCTGCGGCGGGAAGGGGGCGGCTCCCGCCCCAGGCGGATCCGGGTGCGCCCCGCGCGGCTGCGCTCGCGCTCCTCCTCGAAGTCACTGGGTCCCGCAGCCCAGGGGGCGGAGGGCAAAGGATCTCATGTCGCTGCTGCCGCCACCCCCGATTCGCAATGTTTCTGCTTCCCTCCACTCTGTCCCGGGTTCCAGGGCCCTGTCTCTAGGGGCGCCCTGGGTCTTCCAGGAGTGATCCAGAAGTTTCTTCCTGTCCTGCGTGCGCTGACCATCGGCCCCGAGGACAGCGATAAGATGGCTAAAGGCTCCCGAGGCCAGGTAGGCCCTGCGTCTGGGCTGTTCGCTGGACAGTCCTAAAGCTCTCTAAAATGCTCTGATTCATTTTCTCCTAACCATTATAATAATACTCGGTGTGTGTTAAGTAGAAATAATGTATATATTTCTTGTGGGTCAAAAGTTCTTTGTGTGGTATTGTGCTTTGAATCCTGGCATTAAAAAAAGACAACTAATATTCTTTTTTTTTAGTTTATTTTTAAGTTTGACTATTTTAGACATTCATTGGCCAATTGTATTACAACCTTTTAAAATCTCTTGTTCTTGCCTCTTGAAGGAAGAAAGCCTTTGAATTCTGGCTCTGCCATGTGCTAGCTGCATAACCCTGAGCAAATTACATACTGGCCTCTCTTTGTCTTAATCTCCTCAATTGTAAGATGGGAGAAATGCGAGAACCTCCTTTAATCAGCTCTGGATGCTATAACAAAATACCATAAACTGGGTGGCTTATAAACATCAGAGATTTATTTCTCACAGTCTGGAGGCTGGGAAGTCCAAGATCAAAGTGCTGGCAGATTCAGTGTCTGATAAAAGCCCGCTTCCTCATTGACCACTGCTGTCTTCTCATTGCAACCTCACATGGCAGAAGGGATGAGGGATTTTTCTGAGGTCTCTTTTATAAGGGCACTGATCTCAGAGCCCTCATGACCAAATCACCTCTCAAAGTCCATGCCTAATAAGCCATCACCTTAAGGACTAGAACTTCAACATATGTATTTTGGGGGAACATAAACATTCAGCCCACTGCTGTCCCTCAAAATTTTGTTGGAAAAGTTAAGTGAGTAAACAAACATAAAGTCCAAGGAAATGCTCAATAAGTATTAGCTAGTATCGTTAGCATTGTTTGGTGATGATGAATATTATTATTATTATTGTGATCATAGTCTGTGAATGGGCAAAGGGCTGTGGTAAGTTTGAGTATTCCCTATTTATGTAGAAAAGCACTGTCTATGTTTACAATATAAAATATTTTTCTGACATAAATACCAAAATGTTTTTCAACTTTGTTTTTGGCCTAATTTATAATATCTTGATCAGTGCGGAGGGTTTTTTAAATTTATGTATCTAAATCTAGCAGTCTTTTCTTTTATAATTTCTTCCTTAGCTTTTATGCGAGAAAGGAATTGCATACTAAAAATTAGAAAATCTTTTCATCAGATCTTTTTTCTAGTTCTTTTCTACCGTTTCATAATTTTACTGTTTCAAACATTAAATAAATAATTTAATGTTTTAAAGTATCAATTTTTTAGGTAATGTAACAATTTCTCCAAGTACCTAACCAGTTAATGCAACATCACTTATTAAAGAATCCATCTTTTTAATGGGAAAGATATTTTGAAGGGAGGTGGAGGACAAAAGTTTGCTAATGCCTCTGAAATCACAACTTTAGCTCCATGTAAGGCTGCTCTGATAGAAGAGGCTTAGAAATCAAAGTAGGGTTTGCAATCAATTAAATAGAGCATCTCTCCAGTTTATCCAGGGTGGAATACCATTCATCAAACTCAGATGTGAAACACCTCCATCAAATGGTTGGCAGTCTTTTCTCTGAGTGCCTGACTGTTAAATTTGGAAAGAACTTAGCCCTCTGAAGCTCAGTCCTGAGGGCTTTCTCACTGGAACTCAGGAAGTAGGCAGATAACAACAGGGAAGTCTGGCCATTCAAACACGGGTACTTCTCGGGGTACATCTGAAGAGAAAAGGTACTCCCCAAGGCGAGGGTTTTTGTCTTGACTCCAAACTGATGTGCAGTGGCTCGTGTGCAAGTGTCTTTCTCTCTGTTTAATTAGGAAAGGTTGTTATTACTAATAACAAGTTGCCTCATAAGGCCCGTGTAACAATTAAATGAGATAATGACAATGTCGAGGAAACTTTTATCAGCTGTACAGTTATACAAATGACAGTAAGCTTGGTATTTGCAAAATACTTTCATATACACTATTACATTCCATTTATAATTATTAATATGCAAAGCCTATTATGGAAATACTCAGTAATTAATTTGTAGCTTAAGGGAAAATAATGAAAAGGAAGCAATCGCCAATCTTAAAGTTTCCCTACTGAGGATTAAAGAAAATTGTTAAATTCAAGGCCCACCTCAGTCAAGATAAAGCCTGAAGAAAATTAAGAAGTTGGACTTATGTGCTTGGTACCATGCCATTTCCTCTCTCTTAAATCTACACTGCCCTACTTGTTAAATTACCAATGTTCTGTCTTTGTTTCTCAAATAATTAGATGAGAACTTTCTTCTCAGTAGCCAACTAACAGCCCCAACTCAAGCTTGTCCTCCTAAGACTTAATGTTCTTCTTCTCTCTGTTCTCCCCTTACACTCTCTGACTGTAGAGGTTTTAAAATATGCCCCCAAAACTCTTGGACACACACTTTTCATTGAGAGGTGAGGGCCTATGTCTCCTTCCCATGATTATGGGCTCTATGACTGCTTGACCTATAGAATATAGTGGAAATAAACTCTGGCCTTAAGAAACTGGCAGCTTCTACTTCTAGGCTCTAGGACTTCCTTTCAGTCTTGGAATTTAGCCACCATGCTGTGAGGAAGTCTGAGACGCCCATAGAGAAGCCCAGTGCAGGCAACTGAAGATCTCAGGTCTCAATCCTAACCACTGTTCCAGGCAACAACCAGTGGCAACTCATCAGCCCTATGAATGAGCCATGTTGGAACTGAATCCTCTAACCCAAGCTCAGCTGCCTCAGTTGATACCAACTTAAGCAGAGAAGAGCCTGTCCAAATTACAGATTTCTGAGCTATGTAAGTGGTTGTACTTACTTTAAGTCATTAAGATTGGGGGTAGCTTGCTACACACCAATAATAACTGAACACCATCCTGTCATTGAACTCCCGTGCTTGCAGTGTGAAATCTAGCTGCTAGCATCTGATGTGAGAGCAATGTGATTTCATTAATTGTTAGATCAGTTAGCACCAGGATTTAATCCTGTCCAAATGCTAACTGGACAAATAGCCCCTTCTGCTTTTTGTACCTCCATTTTGTCTTTCTAAAATTAAATGGCTTTCTCAGAGTTGACACACTCTTCTGTCAAGAATTTAGGAGAGCTGCAAGTCTTCTCTAGAAATCCCATAGGATTTTAGTATGTGAAAAAATCATTTAACTTCTTCCCAATACTTAAATCATCCCTACATATGTATAGCATATTTCCTCAATAAAAAAATTCTAATCATGAAAATCTTACTGCCTCCATGGAAAACGTCTGACTGAACTAGCCAATATCATGGATTAAATGGCTATAATTTGCTGGCTATAACAATAGCTCATATTTTTAACATATTTTAACCAATTTCTTTCATAAATCTACATTCTGCAAAATATTTGCATCCAGCAAAATATCCTGATTCCCCAAACAAGCCTTAGAGATACATAAACTAAAATATCCATTTTAGGGGTAGTACCTATTTAGATGAGGAAACTATAACTCAGAAAGAAGCTAAATGATGTGCAGAAGGACACACGGCAGCCAGTGAAGACTTCAGCTTAGGTCTTCTGTTTCCACATTTATCACTTTTTCTACTATTCTACCGTGCCCCTATAGAATGCGCTTTAGCATTTCCATAGAACTTCACAGATGTACTAAGCACCTTCTCATTCATTTTCTCATTTCCCCACAGAGATAAGTTCCCAATAGAATTACATTTTTAATCCTTGTTAAACCAAAGGATCACTCAACATTACAGGCAGTATGACATATCTATGAGCAATTTATGTTGAGTCTTTCAGCACACGAAGGCATATGCTCCCAAGAATGTACCAAATACCACAAGAAAGAGAAATTTCACCTAGATAAGTAACAACCCTTTAATTTGGAGATGGATTAGGAAGGAACATTGAAAATGTCAATCTAGTTGTTTCTTTATCACTTAAAATAAGTACAAGAAACCTTGAAAAATAAAATTTGATTGAGGACTTTTTAAGATGTAGGGAGCTATGACATTTTGTTAGCAATTTATACTAGGTACTTTCTAGACAAGAAAGACCACTGTAAAAAGTAAATATTGATAAAAACAACAAAAAATGGAACATACTGGTTTTCTCCTAAAGAATTTATATGACAAAGCAAAATATCAACATGGACAAAATAACATAATATAAAAATAGCTACAGGCTGCAGAGGGAGGGACTGATTACTTTGAGGCTAAGGTTACTTGAAGAAGTCTTCCAGGATAGTGAGAAAATCTGCAAAGCTTCTCAGAAGCTATGACAAAGGGAAAGGGCATTTTTAAGTGTTTTGAATGGCAAAAGCACACCAAGAAACTGGGTGACTTATATAATGTGCAAAAACAGGAAGAAAACTGCCTTGTTGGTAAAAATAGGAAAGTGAGGAGTAGCAGGAACTGGGGTCCCTCAAAGCCTGGCTAAGACATGGCATTGCAATGAATGGTATGGTAGCCAGTCATGTGCCACCAAATGGCTGTGATACAAAAATGTTTTTGTAGGAAAAAGTGTTCTGTTGGCTCTTGTAGAACAGGTGCAGTGGAGAGGAACCAGGGAGCTGTGTAAGGGGACAACCTCTAATAACAACAACACACTGTGGCTAGCGTCTCTTAGGCACCAGAGCTTCAAGGATAATGATCCTGTCCTGTTCCCAGTGCACTCCCAGAGCCTTGAAGACAGCAGAAGTCCTCTAAGCCCTGTGTGGTGAGAGAGGATTTCCAGAGGAGTCATCAGAACTGAGCGTGAAGAAGGGCTGTGTGTGACCCAATGGAGGATGCTGAAGAGGGCATTCGAAGCAGAGAAGAACATGTGCAAAGCAGGAGACGGGCAGAACAGGAGGGATTCTAAAACAGCAGGTGTGCTGCAGAGGAAGAAGGGTGGCTGCAAACCCTGAGGAGGAAAAGGATTAAGTTTAAAAAAAATACACAGGAAGGAATAAGAAGGAGAGATACCATAAAGAAAATATTAACAGGACCTGATCACTGAGCGGTTTGGAAGGTAAAAGGAATGACGGGGCAAAAAAAAAAAACCTTTTTGCAAGTCTTGGAGGACAAAAGAACAAGACTAGTGTTGATAGTAGTGGGAAGGCAGAAGGAAAGGCCACTGTTTTTACAGGGGACAGATGCTAATCCTAACTCTCCTCATGTTCCATTTCAGGTAACATTGGAACATACAGGTGGCAGGTAGGGGAGAATTTGGAGACTTTTGAAAAGAATGTGAAATTGGAGAGTGGGGCTCAGGTAAGTGCTGAAAACAGATTTGGGAATAGTTCCCATACAGATGGAAGAAGAGACTGCGAAGAAACTCAATGTTTATGGGAATATGAATGATTTCTTCATAGGATTCATACACAGACATCCAATATTTCTGAGCATGGCATAATCCTATTGTATACCTCCTTCTGATATCTGGAATACAACCAATGTATTCACATAATGATCATAAGCTATGTCTACTAACTCTCATGTATCATACCCAGTTGGTTTCTATTCTAGAACTATGAGGTCAGTACTTGTGAAATGTATATTGAGGTCTACTATGAAATTTGCTTTTATTCTCTCCACAAACAGAGCTTTTATGTTTGTGCAATAAAAGTTCAAGAGATACATATACATCTGGTTAAATACTTACTGAGACATCAAATATAATGTTTATTAGTTGAATATAATGCACATAAATCACATTTCCAATAAAATATACATATGCTTTGGAAATTAAAGAGACTATTTTAGCAATTATATAGTGAACTCTTGCTGACCTAACTTGCAAAATATTTAGATAAAATTAAGTTATTGTCTGATTCATCCATGTCTAAAATGATTTTACCCACATTAAAATAAATCAATGAGATCTTTATAAAAGGTTATAGATAGTACCACAAACCTAATACCAAAATAACCACTAATATAATCTACTCTGAACCATCCCTTAGTGATCCGGATGTTGCTATTTTTACTAGGATACCAGGTTAAACTAGACATCTGAAAAAGACATTCTAATGAGAAATTCAAATAGCTCTTGCTACCCCTGGAAATATAAGAATACTCCACCGAAGGACATATCCTTTCATTTTAGGCAGTCCCCAAAGAGAGGTGCTGGTGACTAACTTAATGACTGGGAAGATATTTATGCTGAGTATGTCTCAGGATATTATAACAATATATTACAGGAGAAAAGGTCTATCAAAGTCAATTCTACCACTTACATTTTGAAGAATTTAGACATTACTATTTAGAATTCATATTTTATTTTGTTTTCAATAAACAAGTACTCTACTAGCCTCTGGACATATAACCACTACAATATAATATTTTAGTAAGGTATAAACAGAAGTGTTTTCTGAAAAACAAAATAGGTCAAATCGCTGAAAGAACTAACTTGGGTTTTAAGAAGAGTTTAATTTTCCAGGTGCTATAACTGGAGACCTATTGAAATACAGTTTTACTTTCCATAGGGTTATTAATGAAGGGGTAAGGCCCCAGAGACAGGGTGAGTATCAGTAAAAAGGGCTGAAAGGACATCAGCATAGAGGTTCATAGCTCCACACTACATGCTGGGAAGGAAAAGGTGAACAGCAGGTATGAACTTTTCTCTATCAGAAAGGAAAGAAAAACCTCAAATAAATCTCTTGGTAAACATGCTATGTTGGGAGTCCTCAAAACCACCACCATCATGCTTAATGATTTGCTAGAAGGACTCATAGGACTCAGAAGATGTTGTCTCATGGTTATGATTCCTCAGAGTGAAAGGATACAGATTAAATTCAACATAGGGAAAAGTCACATAAGATGATGTTCAGGCAGAACCAGGAACAAGCTTCCAGGGGTCTTCTCCCAGTGGAGTCACACAGATGCACTTAATTCTCCCAGCAATGATGTATGACACCTTGTGCAAAGTGTTGCCAACTAGGGAAGCTTATCTGAGTCCTGGTGTCTAGGGTTTTTAATCACCTACTTGGAACCCAGCCCCACCATAACCCTGCCACAAGCAAAAATAGGCATTCACAGATGACATTGTTAGCATAAACTACCTGGTCAAACTGGTACAGCATAGCCCAAGGCTGCAGATATACAAACCACTCTTATCCAGCAGATTATGCCGAGGACTTAGAGCTCATCTCCCAGAAACCAGCCAAGGGCCAGTCCTGAGGACTGGCCTTTCTTGGGAATGTGCAGGGTTTGAGCAACCCAGACCTACTGAGTTAACCCTTCCCTGAACACATGTGAATAACCAAATTTTCCAGTAAACTCACTAAGTATTTACTAGGAATGGAAAGATAATGGAGAGTATAAAATGTTTTTAGGAGCACACATCTTGATTGTGTGTATAAATAAACTTAGAATTCACAGGTTTCTGGGTGATAGGGGAAACTAAGAGATGATTATGTAAACAATAAGGTATGAAGAAGAGACATTGCATAACTGGAATTATTCCCTTTGTTTGAACGATGTCTCTGCACATATTGCTTATAAAGAAGCTTGTCTATTAAATCTAAAACTTATCCTACTGCATGAGAATAGGGTTATTTTGGAAATCTGTGCCAAATGGTCTCAGACTTCTCCAAGAAAAGACTGTTTTATTTGTGCCTGGTGTTTGCCTGGTCCTTTGAATTCTGAGTCAAGTTTGGGACTGGTTAAGAGCTAGAATTCAAGAGAGTCTAATTTTATAATTCCAGTATATGTGTTATCACAAGAGATACAGACAACTCTTTTCTGCCTTAAGATTCAAACAGCACAAAATCGAGATAGTAAATAAATTAATTAGTAATACAATAACTTATGGAAAGAGAGAAATCACTTTAAACAGTTTTAAGGGAATTGATCTAATTACATTCCCCAAACCACATCCAGACACCTCATATAAAGCTCTAAAATGATTATCTAAGTAGAATACAATGCCCCTAAAGAAGCTTTTCATTTTGAACACAAGAGCGTGATTGTCTTTCTTCTATGCCTTTGCAGTTTCTTGGTCTGAGGACACATGTCTAATTATCCACCAAATCACCAAGATCATCAGAAATGATTGGAACATTGACAGTAGCTGCTACAAAAAGTAACACTTCCAACCAACCATTACCATAAACTCATAGAAACTTTTTATTCCATTTCTTGCATGAGACATGTTTGACTTCCACGGCCATTCTGGCATCAGATCCTTAAAGAAAATGCCAAGGAGTGATAAATGTGACTCTATTTATATGTTAAAAATTAAGTAAACCACCATTTCACTAATTATAATGAGGATATATCTGCTCTGGAACTTAAGACTACTTCATTCTGAGACAAAAGAAACTAACTTTTTTTAATGAAATGCCTAGGGTGACAAATTCAGTCTTTTCTATGACTTCTGTGGCTTAAAGAATATTAATATCAAAGACCCAATGAATTAATTTTCAATTATTTGATTTTAGTTTTAAGTTTCATGAATAAATTGCTTTCTAGTAATCATTGTTACAGGAGTTATTAAAAAATTATTTTAGGCAGATAAAGAAGAAAAGGGGTCCTTGGGAAGTTTATTTTTCTTTTAAATCAGCTCCAGAAATGTTTCTTGCCTAGCAGAAAAACCCTGGCAGGCAAGCTTTGATATGCAAATGCAGGCCATTAGAAACTAGGTCCACCAAACATGGCGATTCCTGCCATCTTCTTGTGCCCACATGTGCCTGGCAACATGGCCACCCCACATATCCCCACATGTGTAGAACATCATGGTGCCCTTCATTTGCATATTAAAAGGCTAGGGTGGGAGGGCCAGTTTTTTCACCGGCTACTTGAATGACATACCTGGTCAAACCAATCCTCTGGGCACTATGCCAGTAAGACACCGCCTCCTCCAGCCTCCTCATATAAATGGCTGTTTTTCACCGCACTCAGGGTTCCCTCTTTCAGCTTAGAGCCCCCCCACCTCTATCTCTGTACAGAGGGAGCCTCTTCCTTCTTTCTTGCCTATTACAATTCTCCACTCCCTAAAGCCACTCCACATGTGTCTGTGTCGTTTTATTCAAACCGGTGCAAGACCAAGGACCCTGGTGTTCCTCCAGTCATCAAAGCCATATGATTTTGGTGCATTGGCCAGGAATCCAAGGTACAGCATTCATCAGAGTGGTAAGTATGGGAGTAAGCTTAAAATCTGTTCTGTCATTCCAAGGTGCTCTTGGCCTCTTTTTTTTTTTAATTATACTTTAAATTCTAGGGTACATGTGCACAACATGCAGGTTTGTTACATATTTATACATGTGCCATGTTGGTTTGCTGCACCCATCAACTCATGATTTACATTAGGTATTTCTCCTAATGCTATCCCTCCCCCAGCCTCCCACCCCACAACAGGCGCCAGCATGTGATATTCCCTTCCCTGTGTCCAAGTGTTCTCATTGTTCAATTCCCACCTATGAGTGAGAACATGCAGGTTTGGTTTTCTGTCCTTGGGTCAGTCTGCTGAGAATGATGGTTTCCAGCTTCATCCATGTCCCGGCAAAGGACATAAACTCATCCTTTTTTATGGCTGCATAGTATTCCATGGTATATATGTGCCACATTTTCTTAATCCAGTCTATCATTGATGGACATTTGGGTTGGTTCCGAGTCTTTGCTGTTGTGAATAGTGCCGCAATAAACATACATATGCATGTGTCATTATAGTAGCATGATTTATAATCCTTTGGGTATATACCCTGTAATGGGATCGCTGGGTCAAATGGTATTTCTAGTTCTAGATCCCTGAGGAATCACCGCACTGTCTTCCACAATGGTTGAACTCATTTACACTCCCACCAACAGCGTAAAAGCGTTCCTATTTCTCCACATCCTCTCCAGCATCTGTTGTTTCCTGACTTTTTAATGATCGCCATTCTAACTGGCATGAGATGGTATCTCATTGTGGTTTTGATTTG
The DNA here is from genome assembly GCF_000001405.40 of Homo sapiens. NCBI lineage: Eukaryota > Metazoa > Chordata > Mammalia > Primates > Hominidae > Homo > Homo sapiens. The sequence continues at coordinate 208,396,585 of NC_000002.12, read as the reverse complement.
CATTTCTCTGATGGCCAGTGATGATGAGCATTTTTTCATGTGTCTGTTGGGTGCATAAATGTCTTATTTTGAGAAGTGTCTGTTCATATACTTCCCACTTTTTGATGGGGTTGTTTTTTTCTTGTAAATTTGTTTAAGTTCTTTGTAGATTCTGGATATTAGCCCTTTGTCAGATGGGCAGATTGCAAAAATTTTCTCCCATTCTGTAGGTTGCCTGTTCACTCTGATGGTAGTTTCTTTTACTGTGCAGAAGCTCTTTAGTTTAATTAGATCCCATTTGTCAATTTTGGCTTTTGTTGCCATTACTTTTGGTGTTTTAGTCATGAAGTCCTTGCCTGTGCCTATGTCCTGAATGGTATTGCCTAGGTTTTCTTCTAGGGTTTTTATGGTTTTAGGTCTAACATTTAAGTCTTCAATCCATCTTGAATTAATTTTTATATAAGGTGTAAGGAAGGGATCCAGTTTCAGCTTTCTACTTATGGCCAGCCAGTTTTCCCAGCACCATTTATTAAACAGGGAATCCTTTCCCTATTTCTTGTTTTTGTCAGGTTTGTCAAAGATCAGATGGTTGTAGATGTGTGGTGTTATTTCTGAGGCCTCTGTTCTGTTCCACTGGTCTATATCTCTGTTTTGGTACCAGTACCATGCTGTTTTGGTTACAGTAGCCTTGTAGTATAGTTTGAAGTCAGGTAGCATGATGCCTCCAGCGTTGTTCTTTTTGCTTAGGATTGTCTTGCCTATATGGGCTCTTTTTTGGTTCCATATGAACTTTAAAGTAGTTTTTTCCAGTTCTGTGAAGAAAGTCATTGGTAGCTTGATGGGGATGGCATTGAATCTATAAATTACCTTGGGCAGTATGGCCATTTTCATGAGGGACCCAGCCTCCGACAGTCCATTCTGGGTGTTGGCAGAGAATCCTCAGCTATCCTGTTGCAAAACTCTCCTTCCTTTTCTATCCTCGGTCTCATACTCTTTCTCTGTGTGAAATGTGCAGGGATTTGTAGAGCCTAGAAAAGTAATCCTGTTAGGCAAGATCAGGAAAATGTCGTTGCAATCTTCTAGGAACAGAGTTCTTCCCTTTCCTCTGTGGTGAGGTTTCTTGCTACCACACCGCTGGTGAGCACACAATATTTCTAAGCCAACACCACCACCTAGTGGAAATAGACATCCTCTACATGAGGCACATTTTTTTTTCACAGCAATACCGCAGCTTCCTTTTGCACCATTAGAAATCAGACTCGGCCGGGCGTGGTGGTTCATGCCTGTAATCCAGCACTTTGGGAGGCTGAGGCGGGTGGATCATGAGGTCAGGAGATCGAGACCATCCTGGTTAACATGGTGAAACCCCGTCTCTACTAAAAATACAAAAAATTAGCCAGGCATGGTGGCGGGCGCATGTAGTCCCAGCTACTGCGGAGGCTGAGGCAGGAGAATGGCTTGAACCTGGGAGGTGGAGCTTGCAGTGAGCTGAGATCGCGCCACTGCACTCCAGCCTGGGCAACAGAGCAAGACTCCATCTCAAAAAAAAAAATAAAAAAGAAAAGAAATCAGACTCTAGGCCTCTTCTGGGAACAGGGAAGTTCTGCCTTTAGCAGTTAGGAGTAAGATGTCTTCCGCAGCCAGATTTTAGTCTCGTTATTGTCCCATCAGCAGCAAAATGGCCATTCAGTTCCTGCGTTCCTTTAAGCCACCTATTCTGTCTCTGATTAAGACAGTACTTAATAAGTACTTAATAATAGTATTAATTTTAATTACTTAAATAATTTAATTCCTTAAATAAAATTAATAATTTTAAGTCCAGAAGTTAACGGGAACCATTTTTCTAAGGGTAAATGCTTTAGCATGGGCCATAATAACAGGATATAGAGTTCAATCTAGCACGCCCCCTCCCTTAAAGGGGCCTTGCTCAATTACGTAGTTTTTCTTGAGATCCATTTTTTTAGGGAGGCACACAGGTCACACAAGTCTAGGAGGTCAAAAGGAAATAAAAGGCAGAGGACTAAGGCTGCTTAGGGAAGCGTGACTAGGGCCAAAAGTCTAGTTTCTCTGGTGCCATGGCTTAGAGGGTCATGCCTGCAGTCATGGGTGTCCCATTCAAATGGGTGCCAGGATCCAGGAACCAGGGAGAGAAAATAATTGGTGGGGGGGACACCCCCTACTGTTTTCTTCTCTATCCTGGATCACATACTGAAAGGAAGCAGACTAAAAGAACACTTTTATTCTCACTTCTCTTTCTAGATGAGTAACAGATTGTCTTCAACATGCACCCCCCTGGGGTATATTTTAAAGCACTGGGACTCCTTCGGCCCTGAGACTTTGAAGAAAAAGCACTTCATATTCTATTGCACAAGGGCATGCCCTTCTTACTATCTTCGGGACAGGCAAACCTGGCCTGCTAGTGGGGAGCCTTGATTTTAGTATTATCCAAAAGTTAAAACTTTTCTGCAAACAGAAGGGCAAATGGACTGAGGCTGCCTATGTACAGGCTTTCTTTGCCCCTCAAGACAACTCAGACCTTTACAAGTTCTGTACAATCAACCCAGTTCTTTTAGCAGCCACAACAGGCAAGCCCACAGGGAATAGTTCCCCAGAGCTAAAGCAGGTTCCAGAGGAGTAATCCGAGACAGCTATTGAATGTCCCAACCCTTCCAGTCCCCTTCCAATCATACCATCCACTCCTCCAGCTCTACCAGCTCCAGTATATCCTACTCTCCCCCCTTCACTCTTACCTCTGCAGGAAATGCCTGATGGGAGTGGTGCCATAAGGGTTCAAGTTCCCTTCTCATTACAGGATCTTAAGCAAATAAAGGGAGACTTAGGCCAATTTTCTGATGACCCCTGTAGGTATATAGAAATTTTCCAAAATTTAACTCAGGTGTTTGATCTCACACGGAGGGATGTTATGTTGCTGCTAAGTCAGACCCTCACTGCAGCTGAAAAGCAGACAGTTCTGCAGGCAGCAGAAAAATACGGAGATGAGCAACATGTCTCCTATAGCAGACCCAGGAGAAAAAGAGGAGAGAGGGAAGGTGAGGAAGAGGTGGAAACTCCATTCCACTAGGAAGGGAAGCAGTTCCAGTAGACAACCCTGATTGGAATCCCAATAACTCAGGAGATGAATGGAAAAGGAAGCCCTTTTTCTAATATAGAAGGCCTATGGAAGACCAGGGCCAACCCTTTCAATTACTCTAAACTGTCCATGCTAGACCAAAGATGAGATGAGAATTCCACAGCCTTTATGGAAAGGCTGAAAAAGGCACTAATAAAACACACCTCTTTATCCCCTGATTCAGTTGAGGGACAGCTCATCCTGAAGGACAAGTTTATCACACAGGCATCTCCCCACATTAGAAGGAAGCTACAGAAGCAAGTTGTAGGACCAGAGAGCACCCTAGAAAACCTCCTGAGAATAGCCACTTTAGTCTTTTACAATAGGGATCAGGAGGAGGCCTGAGAAAAGGAGAGGAAATACAAGAGAACAGAGGCTCTAGTAGCAGCGTTGCAAGCTTGTAAAGTCCAGAATCCCCAAGGTGCATCCACTAGGTGTTATCAATGTGGCCAGCCAGGGCATTTTAAGAAGGAATGCCCAGACAGCAATACGAACCTTCCTTGACCCTGTCCAGCCTGTGGTGGAAACTGCTGAAGACAGGTCTTTCCCTGGAGGCAGAGGTCACTGGGTTCAGAACCAGTCTCAGAGATGGTCCAGCAGGATTGACAGGTCCCGGGGCTCAAACCCCCATTCCAGCGGCTCAGTCTGCCATTACAGCACAAGAGCCCCGGGTGATTCTGAAAATTGAAGGAAGGAAGGTAGATCTTCTGGGTACTGGAGCCAGTCTCTCTTCTCCTCTGTAATCCAGGCCTTCCCTCTTCCTTTAGTATGACTGTAAGAGGCGTCTCAGGAAAAACTCTAACCTGATATTTACCTTTAACCCGTAGCTGCAGGTTGGGGGCTTACTATTTACATATGCCTTTCTAATCAGGCCTAAAAGTCCCACTCCTTTATTAGGTAGAGATATTCTAGCTCGCATGGGAGCCAGTATCCTTATAGCCCCAGGACAAACTCTTTGTCTCCCCCTGATGGAAGTTAACATTAATCCAGAAGTGTGAGCAACTCAAGGAAGAATAGGTTGAGCTATAACTGCTAGGCCCATCCAAATCTATCTTAAGGATCCCACTTCTTTTCCTAACCAGAGAGAGTATCCCTTAAGGCCAGAGGCTAGGAAAGGGCTAGAAGCCATTATTAATAACCTAAAGATTAGAGGCCTCCTCAAACCCTGTAATAGCCCCTGCAACACCCCAATATTAGGAGTGCAGAAACCCAATGGGGAATGAAGAATAGTTCAGGACCTTCACCTCATTAATAAAGCTGTAGTTCCAATCCATCCAGTGGTCCCTAATCCCTATATCCTGTTAACTCAAATACCTGAGGGAACTAAATGGTTTGCAGTCCTAGATTTGAAAGATGTCTTTTTCTGCATACTGTTACATCCCGACTCTCAATACCTGTTTGCATTTGAAGATCCCTCCGGCCAGACCACCCAGTTAACATGGATGGTTTTCCCTTAGGGATTTTGAGATAGTCTTCGTCTGTTTGGACAGGCACTGTCACCAGACCTCTCTGAGTTCTCTCATACTCAAGTTAGGGTCTTGCAGTATGTGGATTATATACTGCTCTGTGCCCCAACTGAGGAAGCTTCTCAGGAAGGTACTGAAGCTCTTCTCAACTTCTTATCTAGCAGAGGATATAAGGTTTCAAAACCCAAGGCCCAGCTCTGCAGAACCTTAGTGAAGTACCTAGGCTTAGTGTTGTCTGAGGGGACCAGAGCATTAGGGAAAGAGCGGATTAAGCCTATCTCCACCTTCTCCCTCCCCAAAACTCTCAAGCAACTAAGAGTATTTGGGGGCATTACAGGATTTTGTAAACTGTGGATACCTGGATATGGTGAAATAGCCCATCCATTACATAACGTCATAAAAAAACTCAGGGAGCTAAAACTCATCTTTTAACCTGGAAACCTGAAGTTCAAAAGGCCTTTGACAAGCTAAAGCAAGCTTTGCTCAAAGCAGCAGCTCTCAGCCTTCCTGTAGGGGAGTCCTTCAATCTGTATGTATCAGAAAGAAAGGGGATGGCCCTGGAAGTTTTAACACAGGCCCAAGGACCAGCTCAACAGCCAGTGGGTTATCTATCAAGAGACACCTCAGAAAATTATCCCAAGAAACTCACCTTCCTTGGGTCACTTTTCTTCCTATGGCCTTACTAGAAATAAAAAATACACCTTCAAAATTAGGTCTTAGCCCTTTTAAGATGCTGTATGGATGGCCTTTCCTTACCAATGATTTTCTATTAAATCGAGAAACGTCTAAGCTAGTTAAGCATGTAACTTCTCTGGCTCACTTCCAATTAGCACAATTCATGAAAGCCCAACCCCAGGAAATTGGACCACTCTATTTAACCCAGGAGATTTGGTACAGGTGAAGGCTCTGCTTTCCCTGCCTCCCTCCCTAAGCCCAAGCTGGGAAGGGCCTTACACCGTTCTTCTTTCAACTCCCTCAGGAATAAAAGTCATAGGAATCAAATTCTGGATACATCACACTCGAGTCAAAGCCTTGGAGAGCTAAGGGACCAAAGCCCAAAGGAATGACCTGAATATCTGTGAAAAAATAGATCTTAAGCTGAAAATCACAAAAGATAAGTAACTGAGTAAGAACTACTCATCGTACTCAGTCTCACCCCTACCTCATCAAATACTTTTTGTCATTTCTACCTCTCCCTTTGAGCCAAATATTAAAACTTCTTTTTGATGGAAATTATTTACTATGCCACCCTTGCAGAAATTGTTATACTCACTCTACTATTTGCAATAGAACTATATACTGTAGCACCCTCAGGGTGGAAAATCAGACAGAGAATCTCAATTACTGTAGCATTTTGCTTAATTATTATCCTGATAGCAGGAATAATGGTTACTAACAGAAAATAAACATGAGTGTTTTACTATCACTAAGTCTATTAGGACTTTTTATCGGACTTAGTAATACATCACACCCTTTAGCTCCTACAATATCCACCATGGCCCATTTGTACAAGACTAATTGTTGGGTCTGTCCTAAGTAGTTCACTCAATTCAACGACACTGAGGAATCTTACAGTGACCCGGAACTCATCGTCTTGGGGTTCCCTTTATTGGCTTTACCTTTAACCTTTCAAGACATATCAGGCATAAATGGGACATGGTATGGGAGCACTTTCAACTGGGTGACTAACTCCTCTCAGGAGAACATTCCACCCCCAGTGGCAAAGAACACTCTCTCCAAACATAAGCTTCACACCCTCAGGCTGGGAAAAATTGACCAAGTAATAGCAAATGTCTCCCTCTGCTTTAAAAGTAGCGGGAAAGGACCACACTTGGGAGATCTCAGATATTGTAACATCACACTTGTAATTGCTGACAGTTCAAAAATTTGAGGAGAAGGGTGCAACAAGGGTCATCTAAAAGGATCAGAAGCTCTAGTGGGGGGCTTTCAGAATCGCCTCTCCTGGTTGGAAGTCCCAATGGGAGTGGCATGCTCTAAATAACCATCTTGACTATAATGTAAAAAATCACACATGGGCCTCTCCAAACATGCTCCCTCATGGAACTCGAGACCCTTCTATAACGTTTGCTAATAGTAGCAGCTTACTTTCCAACAAACATCCATTAAACACCTACTATGTGCCAGATGTTTGTCTAGGTTGTAGTAAAACAGTAGTTTAGAAAACAAACAACCCCCCCACCCCCGCAAAAAAAGAAAAAGCGGAAAAGAAATCTATCTTCAAAGATCTTTAGTTTTTGCTCATTAATTTGTGATAAAAATTAAACATTTGTGAGAAAACATCACAAATGTGTGATAAAACATCAATGTTTGGCACACTATGTTAAAGGTAATGAAAGTATCAGCTTGATCATGATTCATTACTTCCCCTCATGGGTCATACATAGCCTAGACATAGGGAAGGTACTATTCCAGTGTCTACCCATTGAAAACAACTGGCAAACTAACGTGCGCTAACTTCCATTTATAGGCTAGAAATTAAAAGATTCATTTAATGATTTGTCCTCCAGTGCTTCTGTTATCTTTTGGTGTTTATGAGTTAATAAGCTGCTATGGTGTCTGCAAATATAACTGGCAGTAATCCACAATTGATCGAGTTAATTAAGCATAACAATTGTGACGAGCTAAGACTAATAAGAAGGAAAAATTTTAATGAAATGATATATAAAGCCATAGAGCTGCACCAAGGAGTATAGACAATCTGGAAAGTTTTCCTCAATAGATTGTGTGTGTGTGTGTGTGTGTGTGTGTGTGTGTGTGTGTGTATGCATTTCCTTTTAATGTATCATCATTCTGTAAAATATGGCATATTCCTAATGTTCAGAGTAATGGAAAATATGTTGTTAGAAACTTAGTTTTTTCCTGTAGCTTGACTGTGTAATACTCTCTGATGCTTAAATTCAGATATAATGAAAACATCTTCACAATATGAACACCCTCTTATTTCTAATTAGAATCTCTTGATAATAAGAAGGGGCACTGATGCTGATGCTAAGGTTACATTGTTTTCTACGTATGTGCTATGCTTCGATGAGTCCTGCTACAGGATATTTGCTGCTTACATCCATAAGTGCTTACTGAGTGCCAGACCCTGGATTAGTATTCTCTCCCCTGCTGTAAGCGCTAGCTAAAAATAGCCTTTAAACTTCCTAGGGATAGAATTATAATCAAACATCAGGAGAAGCAGAAGTTCAAGGATATGGGCAGTGAATTTGCATGTCTCATATCCTAGTAGTTTGGCCATAGTCTTTGACAGTTTTCTTTCTAAAGTTGTATTTATTTCCCCAGTTCCACTCAACCTTACAGTGATTCTTATCTCAACATGTCTATTCTAGAGTAATCACTATTACACTGTGTTTCAAACCACACAACTCATAAAGACATATTTTATGCAAAGATAGAAGGCTTCAGGGGTTACAATATCTCTTTACCAACACAGAGTATAAGGATAGGGAGATAAATATTACCTAATAGGTTATTCTCACACAGGTATGATGGAATGGGACACAGGTATGAACATGACAGAAGAAAAAGATGTCATTGTAGTGTTGAAGGATAGTGTGGAACGTCACCGAAGGTTAGACCTTTTTGGAAGTATCTGTGTAATTATAGCTTTGTTGGTGTTGGGATCGATGCCATTGAAGCGTGAAGTTTTTTTTTGTTTGTTTTTGTTTTTGAGAAGGAGTCTCGCTCTGTCACCCAGGCTGGAGTGCAGTGGCGCGATCTCAACTCACTGCAAGCTCCACCTCCCGGATTCATTCCATTCTCCTGCCTCAGCCTCCCGAGTAGCTGGGGGCTACAGGTGACCGCCACCACGCCCGGCTAATTTTTTGTATTTTTAGTAGAGACGGGGGGGGGGGTTTCACCATGTTAGCCAGAATGGTCTTGATCTCCTGACCTCGTGATCCGCCCACCTCGGCCTCCCAAAGTGCTGGGATTACAGGTGTGAGCCACCGCGCCCGGCTGAAGTGTGAAGTTTTAAGCCATGCTAGTTAATTTATTATTCCATCCACAACTGTTTAGCCTACCTCCTCAAGGAAGAATGGTCCAATGTTTACAGACTAGCACTGAGAGGGGGCCCTGCACCCAAATCTAGGTTCTGCCACTGGCAGCATCATCTGTGATCCTGGAATAAGATATTTAACATGAGAGCATCCGTTTCCTGATCTTTGTATAAAAAGGGGTTGTTGTAATGATGTGATCAGTGAGTGAGACATACAGGTCTCTGCACTTCAAAGAATAATCACCTAAAGATTACAACATTGTGACATCCTCTAGCTATACTAGTATGATGGTATAATAGAGAAGCAAAATCACCTGAATGTTATTTTGCCTCAATTATTTTCATAATGGAAAATGATCATCTAATTGGAAAAAACAGAGTCACATTTTTAAAGGAGGGTTAACTTCTAATGTAGTTAAATGGCTCTTTTTTTCTGAAACACCAGGAATTTTTCCTAAGGGAATCAAAGCAACAAAGTCTGAAGCTTCAGTGATTAGGCATTTGGGGACAAAAAGTATAGTATGATGGAGACATTTAGGAGAGTGTGTCTTTTGTGAGTGCAAAGTTCTAAGTCAGTAACTGCCTGTTCAATTCATGTGATGTGATTTCATTTGATGTGGATGCCTGTATGTGCATTTAGGGAAATAAGACTGTTTATTTATGATTTAAATAAACCATGTTTTACCCATACAATCTAAGGTACCCTAGACTCTCCCTGGAGCTTATCTGTAAAACAAAATATATGTTCTTTCTATCTCATGGATTGTTTATTGAAAAATAAAATTTAATACTGTATATAAAATTGTTTTAAAAATGTATAAAGCACTATCTCTGCACACATACAATTATGGGGTGATCGTAACAATGATCCAGAGCTCAAAAAGAAGAGAACATTTAGCCAAATATTATCCCTTTGTATATGAAAGTTTAAAAATTAAAAAGTAAAAAAGAATCGTAGAAAAGATAAAAATAGATTAAAATTGGCATTAAACTTAAAATTCTGCTCATTAATGATCTTTCATATACAAAATATAAATTCTTGAGATTTTCTACCTTACCTGTTATGAGCTGAATGTTTGTCTTCTCCACCCCAAATGATTCACATGTTAAAGACCTAATTCCCAGTGTGATAGTATTTGGAGATGGTGGCATTAGGAGGTAATTAGGTCATGGTGGATAGAACTCTCATCATGGGATTAGTGTCCTTAGGCACTTCCTCCCTTCCCTCCCTCTGTTCCTCCTACACTATGTGAGAATACAGCGAGAAATCTGTGATTTGCAAACCATGGGGAGCTGCAAAAGAGGAAGACTGCTCTCACCAGAAACTAATCTTGACCTTGGATTTCCCAGACTCCAGAACTGTGAGAAACAAATGTCTGCCGTTTAAGCCACACAGTCTATAGTATTTTGTTATAACAACCCAACCTGACTATTATGCATATTAGCAGGTTCTGTCTGTATCACACACACACACACGCACACACACAAACACATACATCGACTGATTGCAGTGTGCCAGGTATTGTGCTAAGAGCTCCACATATTTATGCCTTATAACTCAATTAGGTATTGACACAGATACAGTCAAGATACAGTACACAAGATATGTGAAACACAGATGCAATTATACAGCTGTACTGAATCTACATCAATACCATATATATAGCTATCTGCTTCATCATCTATGCATATCTACATCCAAGTCCATCCATCACAGCACAAACACAGAGTGACAGATGTATACACGTATCAATGAGAGTTATGTGAGATGTCTCCTCAGAGCTTAAAATGATGTCAAGAACATGAGTATGATGATGAGCACAAGTCTAAATCTGACTTTCTCTAGAATAAGGTTATTGGGACACTGTCTTGAGCCAGATATATGGAATGAATTAAAGATTTGATTATTTGAATATATTCTAGAACTTTCTGTATCTGAAGAGATGGAGGAAACTCAAGAGTAGAGAACAGTAATTTAGCTGCTTAAAACTATTGCCAGCAGAATATGGTGATGATGAATGCCCAGATTTGTGGATCTCTGAGTCAGGATAGGGGTGAACAATATCTTTATATGTTTCAATTGAGGAGGGATGCTTTGGTTAATATGAAAACGCTCTTTGAAGTTTTTGCTCAATTGACCCAGTACAATTTTGACAATAAATTTTCTTTCAAAGTTGGTTTTCTTATCTTCTGTGTTTTATTCTGTGTCTAAGTCTTCACAGGTCCTTTACAAGTTGGGAGTGGCCACATCAAGGCTGAAAGCCAGATTGAATTTCAAATCCAGAGCCCTACAAATACATTTGACTTAAGAGACTGTCTGGTACTACGTCATTGAAAAATTAGAGAATGGACCACTACAAAAAAGATGACAGTCCAGGATAGAATTGCAGCATTTTCATGACTTTGCATTGCTCTGATACCTCTGAACCAGGTCAAGCCTTCTCCTAGATGACCACAGATCTTTGTGCAGCAAAGTCTAGAAGTGGAAATGCTTGGTCAAGCCTAAGAACATTTTTAGAATTTCTATTATGTACACCAGTGGCCAGGAAAGGTGTGTTGATTTGCAATCCTATCCATAAAATTTACATAATAATTGTTAAAGTATTAATTTGACAAGCAACAAGGGTATTATTATTCTAATTTGCATTTCTTTGAATATTAGTGAAGGGAACTTTTTGATGTGTTTACTGACCACACTTACTGCTCACTTTTTAAATAACTTGTTCGTGTCCTTTACTCAAAAGGCCATTTTTTAAATCATCATAGCACACTATAATTAAATTTAAAAACACAGTTTCTTGGAACAGATCATTTCCCTGTATATTTTAAAGAAAGGTACTACAAAAAGGTATTAACACTATCAGGTAGTAAATGTAACTTGGAGAATAAGAAGTACAAAGAAAATTCTTCCATCCATTTTCTTAAAGTACAGGGCTTTTATTTCTGTTCTAAGAAGGGAGTGGTAGAAAAAAGGAGTGTTTTTCAAATGTTTGTGCTATTTTTGCTTAGGCTTTTTTATTCTAATTCTAAGCATTGAAACAGAATCAGTTTGTTGTGTATGACTTAAGAGATTGTCTGGTAATATGTGGTTGAAAATTAGAGAATGGACCGCTGCAAAAAGATGAGAGCCCAGAATAGAACTGCAGCACTTCCGTGACTTTACATTGCTCTGACACCTCTGAACCAGGTCAGGCATTCCCTAGATGACCACAGATGTTTATGCAGCAAAGTCTGGAAGTGGAAATGCTTGCTCAAAACATAAGAACATTTTAATTTCTCCTTTTGAAGTTATCACCCGAATGTGTAATTGTTTTATGGGACTATGTGCCTTTTTCATTTAAATAACAGTTCGTCTATCTAATAGAAAAAAAATTCTCAAAAGAAAACTGTGTGTGTTTAAAGAAACTAGCACTCAGCAGCAGCACTGAATTGACAATCTTTTTTACACTAAATTCTTATCAAGGGACCCATTCCTTGAGGGAGAGGTAATAGAATGGTAAGGTGTTTGGGGTTTACCAGTCCTGCATACCAAGATCAGGCTGAGAACACCTTTCATTATGTTTCTTCTCAAATCTTCAGAGCCTCTAGTTAGCACTCCTCAAACTGGATATCACGATCCTTCATACTTTCATGCATTTCTCCACACTGTCATGCCCTATTCTTACAGGCTTTTCAGACACAAACACTCAATTCTCCTGAAATCCACTGGCATAACTTCTTGATGTGAGATGTCCTCCCCGTCTCTTTCTACCAATCCAAACCCTCACCAATCCTCACCTTCACCCGGAAACCTGCTCTAACCAGTTCAGCCTACACTGAACTCACTTTGCTAAACTGCTATTGCACTTGTTTTCTGTGCCACACATGGTATTGCTTAGTCACATGCTCTCTTGTTTCAGTATTTAGCAGTTTTTCACATGGACATCTTCTCTTCCAAGTTAAATATTAGGCAGAAACATTTATCCCCTACTCCTAACTTCTACACAAAGGGTCATAACTAGAGAAAGCCTCATCTTTCCTCATGCCCCCATCCTCCATTCACTCCTCCCGGACTGTTCTCTACATCATGGCAAACACTCCTGTTGACTGTTCTCTTCATCATGGCAAACAGACACTCAGCATGGAGATCTGTCTTGACCAGAGCATGCAGATCCCCACTGATGCTCACTGTGGTTTTGCGATGATACCCGAGTCTCAGCAGGGAAGTGATATTCAACTGTGTTCATTGTGAATCATCAATGCCAGCCCTCACACCCATGCATTATGTTTAAGTTCAACTATTGGCTGGTAATCGATATGTACCTCATGCATTACTTTAATAAAATGTATTTCTAGATTATTTTCTAGGATCATTTACAAGACAGAAGAGATTTAGATAAATAGCCAAGTGTTTCTTTGCTGCATAATATGGCCAGAATAAATCAAATTTTGGAGAACTGTTGGAGTTGTGATTGAATGTTCCATGAGTTTTCAAGAAGCTTATTTAAACATTTAAGCATGTCTGCCTTTTGCAACAATTCTACAAGAAAATTTAAGAAATTCTTTATATCTTCCAAAGTGCCTTGGAGTCCCTGACAATATTGTTATTTCTCAGTTGGCCGTATATGCCACTCCCCTAAATCTCTGCCTTGTAGCTACATGTGAGCTCTTGAGCAGAGACACGAGATACACTGTTATTTCACATCCAGGCCCCTTAACAAACTTCTGCCCACAGGACCAGCTGGTATATTCTGAACAAATAATAAAAGGAAATTCGTCCTTACTTTAGATCCAAGTTACATTTAAAAAGAAAGAAAGAAAAATATTTAGCACCTTGCAGCCTCTAACTACCTCCCTTGAAGTAGTTTTCCCACTGATGAATTTCTAGATAACATAACAGTTTTACTAATATAAAAGGCTTAGTATAGAAATTGAGGGATTGGGCTATGGCTAGATCTGCCGACTAAGACAGAAAAAGTGAACTGATTAGTGCACAGGTGCATTTCTTGGAATAGACTAATAATGCAAATGATGTCAGACCCCCCACATCCCCCAAGGGGACAGCTGTGGGAAGACAGAGCAAGGAACTTGGAGTGGGATCAATGCTGAAGGCCCAGCTTTATGAACCAGGGCACACTAGCAGCATGCAGTGTGCCTCAGAGAATATCACAGTGTGCTGGTCAATGCCAGGCTAATAAACTCTAAGTTGAGTTGGCAGCTGGGGTGACAGAGACAGACACGCAGGAGTCCGTAAGTACAGAGTAACACCAAAACTTCCCTGGAATAGCTTAGCTTAAGCTCTTCCTGAAGTCTCTGATAGTTCAGTAACTAGAGCAGAAAAGGGTCCAAAAACAGATGAATCTACCAATTTATTTGTGAGGAGTAGGGAGGATCAGACTCAGAAATGACGTGGGATAGGAAAAGCAAAACTTTCTGACGCACATTTTCTGTGTACCTGCTCCCTCCACACCTTCCATGTATTACCTAGGCAATTCCTACACTGACAGACCAGGACGCTATTATTAGATTCTCTTAGGTTGTAGACATACAGCATCAAAATTGCTAGTGTTTTTCCTCTTTTCTAAAACATCAAGTATGGTAGAGCCATTATGGAAAATAGTTTGACAGTTTCTCTTCATTTTAAGTATACAGAGTATTTACCATATGATCTAGCAATTCCACTCCCGTATATTTACCCAAGAGATATGAAAACCTATTTCCACACAAAGACATGTATGTGAATGCTCATAGAATAGCTAAAAACTAGCAACTCCCAAATATCCATAAATGTGTATGGATAAACACACAGGATATATCTACACAATGTAATATACTACTCAACAATTTAGAAACTACTGATAAAATAAATAAATAAAAACTACTGGTAATGCAACAATATGGATGAACCTCAAAAGCATTATGCTAATTGGAAGAAGCCAGACTCAAACACTATGTATTAATTCTTCTTGACTGTGGATACCACTCCCCTAAATCTCTGCCTTGTAGCTACATGTGAGCTTTTGAGCAGAGACACCAGATACACCTTTATTTCCCACCTTTATTCACATCCTTGCTCTCTAACAAATTCCTACCCAGGGTCCAAGAATCAAATGTGCAGATATGATTCCCTTTATATGATATCTGTTTGCAAGACTGAAGTCCCTGTTATCTTGCTGGGATTAGTTTAGTTCAGCCCAAGATAATCTCTCTTTTGATTAACTGAAAGCCAACTGATTAGAGCAAGTCACTGTCACTCAAGGGACAGGGTATTGATTGTACAAGGGTGTGGGTCATTTGGGAGTCATTTTAGGAGTCTACCTGCCACAAATAATTACTATAAAAGGCTTCTATTGTTGTATTACTCTTTCAGATGCAGCAGTGTAAGTGTAATTAGTAAGTGCAACTTATTCAAAATTTAAGTCATGCTGGACACCATGGCTCAGGTCTATAATCCCAGCTACTCCAGAGTGTGAGGCAGGAGGATCACTTAAGCCCAAGAGTTTGAGGCTGCAGTGAGCTATGATTGTGCCACTGCACTCCAGCCTGGGTTCGAGAGAGCAGGACCCTGTGTCTAGAAATAAAAATTTAAGTAAAGAATAGTTATTTGTATTTTAAAAATGATAAGCTTAATGAAAGAGGTTACATATTGTATTATATCAATTCTGACAATATGCTAATTTCCAATAAATGTTAAAAATGAGAAGTAATAAACACTGAAGATACCTGCAAAGTTCAAGTAGATTTTTTTTTAACTGGATATGATACATCTAGAGGAAAAAGGAAAACAGAATTCACATGCTGAAATAGGTTCTTTACATATATTTTATTACTTTAGAGATGAAGAGACTGGGGTTCTGAGGGTCTGAAAAGCTTTCCTAAAATCACAGAGCCAGTAAGTGGTGGCCCCAAAAACAAAAGTTTTAAAATATATAACATATGCGAAAAGAAAGTGAGACAGATTGTGTGATATATCTCAAAGAGTGCAGGACTCTATCCAAAGATTTGGGTGTACTAAGAAAATTTGCATTAGGACCTCAATTTTTTTACCTTCATTCTCTTGGGGTTCAAGAGGAATCAGAGCATCCATTTTCTCACCAATATGCAGAACTAATGAAGACATATACACAATGATGTAGCAGATGGAGGTCAGCATGTCACCTTCCTTACTGACAGTCAGTACTGGAGTGGTGGCTTAGGTCTACCAGCTAACAGTCCCTACCTGATGAATGCAGGCCTTGAGGCAGCCCACACAGGGGAAAGCTAGTGCTCAAGGACAGACACACTCCACAACACCTGGGTGAAGACAGCAGAAAGAGACCTACATCTGAGGCCTTTTATCCGGTGAGTTCCATACACTAGAGAAATGTGGCCAATGGCTGCACCCACCAGGCAGGAAACTCACTCCATTACCAAGGAGAACAGTATGGATCAGGGCAAGAGGCCAGGGGTACTTAGAGAAAGTCTTTGTTGAAATAGGAAGGGGGGTGATAATTTAAGTAGGCAAGACATTGTATGATATACAGAGAATCTACTGATCTTATTTCCAATAAAATATGGAGTATTTTTCTCTCAATTATGAGGATAAAATTCCTGACATACATGACTTACAGGGTTTTTATAAAGCCCAAGACAAGGGAAGAAAAATGTATTACTAAACTGTAAATATCACTGTTAATTCAGATACCATCATAATTCACATACAAGCATCTTGTGAATTTAAAGTTTATGTCCTGTCACTTGGGGCTGCTTCCTCTGCTACACAGCTTTCCTTAGCAAGTTCCTATTCAATATGACAAATTATATAAACTCTCATATTGAATGGAAACTCACTAAGAATAATTGACATGTTAAATGGGAAATAGCTAAGGAAAATAACATTTACTGGGAAGCTCCTCTGTGCCAGGGAAACCTGACACATGTTATTCATTGACCTCATGGCTGTCCTTAGGCATTAGAGAATTCCTTGGCTCCTGGGGTCATGCCCATGTTCACACGGCTAGTGAGAATGAAATCGGAAAATGCAGATGCCACTGGATAATTGATTTGGGATGATTCTGAGCCTTTGAATTTTTCTATTCTGGAGATTAGGAATCAGGAATTCTCTGTGTAACACACCTTCACAAACGGTCTCTCTCTCTTTTTTTTTTTTTCAAGACAGAGTCTCACTGTGTCACCCAGGCTGGAATGCAGTGGCACAATCTTGGCTCACTGCAACCTCCATCTCCCAGGTTCAAGTGATTCTCGTGCCTCAGCCTCCCAAGTAGCTGGGATTACAGGCGCACACCACCACACCCAGCTAATTTTTGTATTTTTAGTAGAGATGGGGTTTCACCATGTTAACCAGGCTGGTCTCAAACTCCTGACCTCAAGTGATCCGCCCACCTGGGCCTCCGAAAGTGCTAGGATTACAAGAATGAGCCACCGTGCCAGAGCCCAAGGTTCTCTTTAAGATGGATTTTTAATTATTAAAACCCAAAAGTCTTAAGTTTCATTGCTTCGCCTTTTTGATGACTTTGAATGCAGCAAATATCTTTCCAATGAGCAAAAGACAGTTCCATTTTTATTTTTTTATCACTGCAGTTGATTACCTGCAGAAATACAGGCTGAATTAATTATTAAGTATTTCACTTGTTCCAGGAATTCTTTCTTTGTAAATCATTAGAGAACTATGACACTCTGACGCTCAATTCTGTAAATGTACATTTACCCTGACTCTTTTGTGTCCCACAATATCCAACATTTCAACAAAGAACATTACCTGCTAACTTTATTAATATACATTTTCTTCCCATGAACACTTCCAGAAACCAGCTGCTGCCCAAATAAAATTATTAAGTCCCAGCCAAATGTGTCAAATATGATTATTTGTTAGAGACTAAGTGATAATGGTGGTATGAACTGCAGAGTCACACTTTGAAAACTGCCCAAGAAACTGTATGATGTGCAGAGAACATGTGTTTCACTAGCTATCTTTAGTTTTCAACTGTGTCTTCAGTTAACACTGTGTCTTCAGTTAACACTGTGTACTGAAGTACCATGCACTGTGCTGATCAGAGTATATGCACTTTCTCTAATCTTCACAACCACCCTGCAGTGTAACTATCATTATTCCCATATCTAACACAAGTAAACCGAGGCTCCAATGAAGGTAAATGACTTGCCCAATGTATAACTCAGGTGCACTGTCCTCCTCTTGCCTACCGCCTGAGTCCATTCAGGCTGCTATAACAAAAATACCTTAGACTGGGTGACTTAAACAGCAAACATTTATATCTCGCAGTTCAGGAGACTGGGAAGTCTGAGATCAAGTTGCTTGTAGATTCGGTATGTAGTGAGGGCCTGCTTCCTGGTTCACAGACAGCTGTCTTCTCGCTGTGTCCTCATAGGGTAGAAAAGGGTGAAAGGGCTCTCTGGGGTCTTGCTTATAAAGGCATTAAATTTATTCGGGAGGGCTCCACCCTCCTGAGCTAATTATCTCCCAAAGGCTCCATACTTCCTAATACCACCACTCTGAGGGCTAAGATTTCAACCTATGAATTTTGGGAGGAACTACGGAAGGCAATCATCTATCAATCTTACCTTACATATTGAAAGAGGCATTTTTCTCTCCCTCTCCCTCTCCCCACAGTCTCCCTCTCCCTCTCTTTCCACGGTATCCCTCTGATGCCGAGCCAAAGCTGGACTGTACTGCTGCCATCGCGGCTCACTGCAACCTCCCTGCCTGATTCTCCTGCCTCAGCCTGCCGAGTGCCTGGGATTGCAGGTGCGCGCCGCCACGCCTGACTGGTTTTCGTATTTTTTTGGTGGAGACAGGGTTTCGCTGTGTTGGCCGGGCTGGTCTCCAGCTCCTAACCGCGAGTGATCCGCCAGCCTCGGCCTCCCGAGGTGCCGGGATTGCAGACGGAGTCTGGTTCACTCAGTGCTCAATGTTGCCCAGGCTGGAGTGCAGTGGCGTGATCTCGGCTAGCTACAACCTCCACCTCCCAGCAGCCTGCCTTGGCCTCCCAAAGTGCCGAGATTGCAGCCTCTGCCTGGCCGCCACCCCGTCTGGGAAGTGAGGAGCGTCTCTGCCTGGCCGCCCATCGTCTGGGATGTGAGGAGCCCCTCTGCCTGGCTGCCCAGTCTGGGAAGTGAGGAGCGCCTCTTCCCGGCCACCATCACGTCTAGGAAGTGAGGAGCGTCTCTGCCCGGCCGCCCATCGTCTGAGATGCGGGAAGCGCCTCTGCCCCGCCGCCCCGTCTGGGATGTGAGGAGCGCCTCTGCCCAGCCGCGACCCCGTCTGGGAGGTGAGGAGCGTCTCTGCCCGGCCACCCCGTCTGAGAAGTGAGGAGCCCCTCCGCCCGGCAGCTGCCCCGTCTGAGAAGTGAGGAGCCCCTCTGCCCAGCAGCCACCCTGTCCCGGAGGCAGGTGGGGGGTCAGCCCCCGCCCGGCCAGCCGCCCCGTCCCAGAGGCAGGTGGGGGGTCAGCCCCCGCCCGGCCAGCCGCCCCGTCTGGGAGGGAGGTGGGGGCCCGCCTCCACCCAGCCGCCGCCCCATCCGGGAGGTGGGGGGCACCTCTGCCCGGCCGCCCCTTCTGGGAAGTGAGGAGCCCCTCTGCCCGGCCACCACCCCGTCTGGGAGGTGTACCCAACAGCTCATTGAGAACGGGCCATGATGACGATGGCGGTTTTTGTGGAATAGGAAAGGGGGAAAGGTGGGGAAAGGATAGAGAAATCAGATTGTTGCTGTGTCTGTGTAGAAAGAAGTAGACATGGGAGACTTCATTTTGTTCTGTACTAAGAAAAATTCCTGTGCCTTGGGATGCTGTTGATCTATGACCTTACCCCCAACCCTGTGCTCTCTGAAACATGTGCTGTGTCCACTCAGGGTTAAATGGATTAAGGGCCATGCAAGATGTGCTTTGTTAAACAGATGCTTGAAGGCAGCAGACTCGTTAAGAGTCATCACCACTCCCTAATCTCAAGTACCCAGGGACACAAATACTGTGGAAGCCCGCAGGGTCCTCTGCCTAGGAAAACCAGAGACCTTTGTTCACTTGTTTATCTGCTGACCTTCCCTCCACTATTATCCTATGACCCTGCCAAATCCCCCTCTGCGAGAAACACCCAAGAATGATCAATAAAAAAAAATTAATTAATTAATTAACTTAAAAAAAAAAGAAAGAGGCATTTTTAATTGAAGAGGATAGGAGTGGGAGCACATAAGAGGGGCGGATAAAAGAGGGAGTGACGTGCTGCAGAGAATAGAGCCCACATATAGGAATATGTCCAAGGCATGTGCTCAACATTACAAGATCAAGAAATAAAATGATGTGTCATTGGGTAGAAGCTGGGTTTTGATAGATGATTTGGATGTGTGCTTTCTTTTTTCTTACTCTTATTACTTAATTGTGTGGGCTAGGAAGCAAGTTCAAAAATAATAGCTAAAACCTTGTGGATACTCTTAAAAATCAATTTACATAATGTAAATAAATTTCTGCTGATCAATTCATGTGGTAACATAAAATTTTAACTTTAAAAAAGGACTAGTTTTACAAAAATATTTCATCTTCAATCAAAGCCTATTTGACGAAAATCACATATTTGCCAACCCAGATGTTATTTATATATAAAAACACACATAAAAGTGCAACAGTAGGTATTTTAATTTAAATAGGAACTATTTTATAACCTATAACAATGTGGATAAGAAAGTTCCTTCTCAAGTTTCCCTGGTTCGTTTCCTTTGTAATACTTTGTAAAGTGCTAGTTTACATTTAAAAAGCCTAGGATTTCAACCAATACAGTTTAACACTATATTATCTTGGCAAAAATGCCATCATTACTGACTGAAAAAACACAGAAATACCACGAGGCTAAATGTTAATGGTATGGTAAACTGGCATGCTGTTACACTGTGAAATGGCAGTGAAGCATTTATTAATTCCTTTTAGAATTGTTAGTGCCTAAATAAAAGGCCATGCCCAGGTTACCTGATGGGTATTTATTATGTGTGTGGGAAAGAAAGGAAAGTCTGAAACCTATTTCGGCTTCATGGAGAGCTAGAAAACTCTTCCTATTCATGATAGGATGGGAACTCAGAATGCTAAAGAAGTGCTGGAGACATGGGCATTTTGTCATCCTCTCTGGAGCCAGCTCTCTCTTACTCCCTACTCTGCTGAGCACACCACTCTCATGACCCAGCTTCCCTGTCAGTTCCTCCCTCTAGTCTCTGGTTATACACACAGAACCTGCTTCTACTGCCTTCTCTGGAAATCAAAATGACCAAGAAAGAGAATCTGATTAGATTCATAGGCATCATCCAACATGGAGCCTTTCTGTTCACATCACATCACATCACATCACCTCACAGGCTGCTGGGCTCTGGTACATCTAGACTATGCAGAGTTGCTCTGGGGATAAGAAAGTGTTGGATCACACAGAAGAAACTGCTTCTGGCCACTTTATTCTAAAGGGAAAACAAGCATGTCAAGTTCCTTGCCTTGCCTCTAGTTCAACTATAAAAAGAAATGTTAGCAGAGTCAAAAATGAGTAAAGATAGGTCGTTGCCTTCACAGAGCAGACAGTTTCAAATTATTAATAATGGGCTTTGAGTGGAATGACATTTAGGTGTCTTCACAAGAGTTTTACATTGTCCTTCTACCTTAGCTAATAGAGCCTTCTTCTCTGAGCAATACAGCCTGTTCCCTTCTCAAGGTACTTGAAATTAAGTGTTCAAGCTAAACTTTCTTCTCCTTGAGGTTCACGGGGGGATTCATTACTTTACAAAGAGACTGCATCAAGTTTACATGTTAAAAAGAAAACATCCTGGTCTCAGATGGCTTATAAAATAGATACTAGAAAACAAAGATTTTTGCAACCAACATAACTCTCTGAAATTAAAAAAGTAAAAACAAATCTCATCTCTAAATTCACTTAAATATCCTTCAAATAAATCAACTAATTTTTGTCATGTTGCTAATTAAATATTCTCTGAGAATGTTTACCTGTGTCAACAAAATAGACCTCATCAGTCTTCACCTCACATCTTATGATTATTTTACATCCAGTGCCACCACTAAACTGCAAGCTCCTTGAGGCTAGGAGTGGCGTCTTTCATCTTTGCAGCACCGGATCTAGCCAAGAATACGTGTTCAATGCATGTTTTTTGATTGAATGAGTGAAGGTCTTTCCTGGTTTAGTTGCTTTTAAAAATAAATGTCATTTGGGCCGGGCGTGGTGGCTCACGCTTGTAATCCCAGCACTTTGTGGGGCTGAGGCAGGCAGATCACCTGAGGTCAGGAGTTCGAGACCAGCCTGGCCAAGATGGCGAAACCCCATCTCTACTAAAAAAAATACAAAACTTAGCCAGGCGTGGTTGAGGGTGCCTGTAATCCCAGCTACTCAGGAGGCTGAGGCAGGAGAATCGCTTGAACCTGGGAGGTGGAGGTTGCAGTGAGCCAAGATCATGCCATTGTACTCCAGCTGGGCGACAAGAATGAAACTCCATCTCAAAGTAAATAAATAAATGTCGTTTGAATTCTAAACAGTAATCGATGTGCATTTAGGCTATTAGATTTCAAACAAGTGCTAAACCAAAGATGACCTTCACAGGAGCAATCATTGAGGAGCAGAAGGCAGACTGCAATGAGTAAGCAGAGTTAATGTGAGGTAGCAGTGAATGTGGTGTACAACTTCTCAAAGTTCTACAATAGAGTAAGTAAAACAGAAGTTAAAGGCATAGGAAAAATAAGGGGTACTTTTTGGAGAAAGAGTCAGCCAAAGACAGGAGAGTGATGGATCAAGAGTAAAAAAGAACCATCGGAAATGGCAGCATATTCTCTTTCACTTGTCTGTCTTCTAAATTTAGAACAGTTGTTCTTTGAATTGAAGAAATGTGAAAGTATTTTGATAGTCAAAAAAAAAAAGGCA
Source organism: Homo sapiens (assembly GCF_000001405.40). Classification (NCBI taxonomy): domain Eukaryota; kingdom Metazoa; phylum Chordata; class Mammalia; order Primates; family Hominidae; genus Homo; species Homo sapiens. Next base: position 208,374,101 of record NC_000002.12, on the reverse strand, counting down.
AAAAAGACCCTCCCACTTAATGTCCTTAAAATCAAAGTCTTTAAGGTGGGGCTATTCCTATATGCAGTATAGTCACTTATTTTTACAAACAGCCTTGAATCTACTATTTCAATGATATAGGGACAAAAATACATAAAGCATATGAAGTGTATTTGCTTTCAAGTAAAAAGCTTTTAGTGCCAGTTTCATTTGGAAAAAAGCGAATTATATTCTGGAATAGAATATATTAAACTATTTCTAACTTAAACCTCCACCTCAAAACTACAAATTCTGAGATGTAACAAAGTATTGTCAAAGAATAACGTAGAAGACATTTAGGGCTCAGATAAAGATGTTTGGGATTGAGCTCCCTTAGTCCCAGTGGTCCTTCCAGAGTTTCCTCTGCTCCAGATTAAAATGTGGAAATTTTAGAATTAAGTACTTCACAGCCCTCTAGTGGCCACTGCTCACCACTGCAATTTAAATTTGGATCATCTTGACTCCAGCAATCTCCCTGCAAATACCCTCTTCCTCCAACAGTATGAGCAGGGACAATTGTTGCAGCATCTTGCTAAGTGCCATATAAGAGCAGACAGTGTCCTAAAGGTGAGAATTCATCAAGTTAAAAATTTCCTCCACCCTGGCACACATATTTTTGTAAATCTGAAATTTTTTCAATGCAGCAAACAGCAAATGACAATCAGAGCAGGCCAAATTCAAGACAACTAACTCCAAGGATGCACTAAGGGACATTACTACAGCAATATTATCTCTTCATTGCTTTTATTTTTCAGTTTAACAAACCAAAAAAAAGATTTACAAAAAGAAAAAAATTCTTTCAATAGGTGAAAACATCAGAAACAATTCCTAGGCCAGCAACTACTCATTTACTCATATATCTCACTTTATGGCTTATCTGTTTCAAGACACTTCACTTCACTTAGCTCTCTACTTATTTTTCTTCTCTTTTGTTTTAGCCAAAGACATAAGAATACATGTTATAGAATATAAGTTTTCATTTATTTATTTATTTATTTGAGACGGGGTCTCACTCTGTCACCCATGCTAGAGTGCAGTGGTGTGAGCTTTGCTCACTGCAGCCTCCACATCCCGAGCTCAAGCGATCCTCCCACCTCGGCCTCCCAAGTAGCTGGACCTACAGGCATGTGCCATCACGCCTGGCTAATTTTTTGTATTTTTGGTGGAGACGGGGTTTTGCCATGTTGCCCAGACTGGTTTTGAACTCCTGAGCTCAGGCGATCCACCTGTCTCAGCCTCCCAAACTGCTAGGATTACAGGCATGAGCCACCGCGCCCAGCCAGAACATATTTTCTTTTGGGTATAAATTGGGGATGGGAACATTGTTCCTAATTTCATCATTAATAGAATTCTTTGTGTACTCTTTTCCTTTATGTACCTATAATGGACAAAAGTTGTAACTATTGCCTAGAGTAAGCATTTTCCCTGCATTTCAAATATGTTTTTTAGTTGACATGCCCTAGTTTATTCAACCACTCCCTCTTATTATATTAGGTATTTGTTTGTAGTGTTTTGCTACTACAAATAGTATATTACTTAACAATTCTAAAAATGTACCTACTTGTGAACATTTTAATTAAGTGAATGCCAAAAAGCTGATCAAACTTAGGGTATATTATTACAAAGTATTCTGGACAAGAAAACTACTTATATGTCCTAACACACACTTCCATGACCTAGAATAGTCTTAAATTGTAATAAACTTGCCCAAAACCAAGGTCCCATCCATCCCAGGATGATGAGGCTTGACCAAGCATCCTTTCTGGGAAATATTCTTTAATCTTTCAAATGACAATCTCTTAAATCAATCAAGTGATGTATTACATGGGATAATCTAACAGTGCTTATCACATATAAACACTTAATAAATGTCAACTACTCATGCCTGTAATCCCAGCACCTTGGGAGGCCGAGGCGGGCGAATCACAAGGTTAGGAATTCGAGACTAGTCTGGCCAACATGGTGAAACCCCATCTCTACTAAAAATACAAAAAATTAGCTGAGAGTAGTGGCGGGCACCTGTAATCCCAGCTGTTCGGGAGGCTGAGGCAGGAGAACTGCTTGAACCTGGGAGGTGGAGGTTGCAGTGAGCCGATATCACGCCACTGCACTCCAGCCCAGGTGACAGAGTGAGACTCCATCTCAATCAATCAATCAGTGTCAACTATTGAGATTTTCCATCTTGCATTTCTTCAACATTAGTGGTGAACCAAAAAGGAAACAAGTAAGGAAAGTTTGGAAGCAAAACTGACATCTTGTCCTACCCCATTATGAGTATGTCATATCACAACACACAGTGAGTGGCAAAAAACTAATACTTTGCAACCTATGATGACTCAGAGAGGCATCTCATCCAGTGAAAGTCCCCTAAATCAATTAAACTTTGAGCATTTCCTGAAAGGTACTGCAACCCTAACAAACAATGTTATGCCTGACCGCAATCTCTACAGATATACCATAAAAGCACTATAAGCTTGGTCATGTTGGGAGGAAAACATTTCATCTGTCAACTTAGATCTGAGTGGTCTAGGGCCTGCGAATTAGTTGAAAATACATTAACAGGAGAAAAGTTTATTCTCCATGCCTGAGGGAGCACTCTGTAAGGAGTCACTTCCCAAACAGCCAGTGGTAAGGGTTTATATACCAACTGAGGCTTCAGTGAGAAAGTATAAAAGGTTCTGATAAGACTCATTTACACAACTTTATTTTTTAACGTCACGTTTGTAAACATCTGTCACCTCGCTGTCTGGAAAGTCCCTCAGAAGGAGTTGATGATAGCAGAACTCTTGGACAGGTCTGCTTTCGGTCAGATAAGGCTGCTTTCCGCAGCGATTGTTTGTTCCAATATTTTCAGTTTAAAGTAATCTTTATGCCTTTCTGGTGGTGATATGGTTTGAATATTGGATATCTGTCCCCTCAAAATGTCATGTTGAAATACAATCCCCAAGTTGGAGGTGGGGCCTACTGGGAAGTGTTTGGGTGATGAGGCAGATCCCTCATGAATGGCTTAGTGCCATCCCCATGGTGATGAGTGAGTTCTGGCTCTGGTATTTCACATGAGAGCTGGTTGTTTAAAGAGCCTGGCACCCCCCGACCCTCTCTCTTGCTCCCTCTATCACCATGTAAGATGCATGCTCCCCCTTCACCTTCAGCTATGATTGTAAGCTCCCTGAAGCCCTCACCAGGAGCTGAGCACATACTGATGCCATGCCTATACACCCTGCAGAACTGTGAGCCAATTAAGCCTCTTTTCTTTATAAATTTCCCAGCCTCCAGGTATCTCTTCATAGCAATACAAATGAACTAACACAGGTGGGTATAAATTGGGGTTAGGAGGTGGGTTGTTCGTTCCTTCACTTCCCCCATTTGAAACTTCACATGAAGTTTCACAAATATTTGGATTATTTCCTATGTAGAAAAGACTCATATTAGGTGCTGGGAGGTAAGAGATCTGCAAAATGAAAGAAGAACATAGATTACAACAGAGAAAAATCTGAACACACTGGTCCATATTCTGTTGAACCAGTCTCCCAGTCGTGGGAATAGGTCAGTTCAGTTCAGTTAATTGGACTATGCCTTATTTACCTAACGTAGAATGTTGACCTTTCTTTTTTTTTTTTTTTTTTTTTTTTTTTTTTTTTGAGACGGAGTCTCGTTCTGTCGCCCAGGCTGGGGTGCAGTGGTGTGATCTCTGCTCACTGCAAGCTCCGCCTCCCATGTTCACGCCATTCTCCTGCCTCAGCCTCCCAAGTAGCTGGGACTACAGGTGCCCGCCACCATGCCTGGCTAATTTTTTGTATTTTTAGTAGAGACAGGGTTTCACCATGTTAGCTAGGATGGTCTCGATCCCCTGACCTCATGATCCGCCCGCTTCGGCCTCCCGAAGTGCTGTGATTACAGGCGTGAGCCACCGTGCCCGGCCAACCTTTCTTTTTAAATGATATAGATTAGACACAATTTTTCCTTTCTAATTTATATAGAAGTAGCATTGTTGCCAGTGATTGTACAAGCTCCTCTCTGTTGGGCAGTCAGCATATCTAGGACACAATTTTGGAGTGCAACAGAGGCTACACTGCTAACTTGTAAATGGCAGGCTTCCCAGTCTGTATAGTGGCACCAGATGCTTGTTCATTACTTTGGAATGCTTAGGATTGTTCTTTCTACATCGTACATTGCCAGGCTTTGGAAAAGCATTCTCATTACTGAGAACTTAGGGTTGCAATACATAAGTGCGTTGTCTATGATGTCTCATCAGGTGCATCTACATGGCATTAATTTATATATAAAAGAACCCCAGTTGTAATGTGGCTAGCATTCAAAGTGGGATATCTGGTAAGGGAAGGCACCAGATATCCAACTTCACATTTCTCTGACCACTTAGGTGGGAACCTTTTATATATCTTATTGCTACATAAAAATGAGACCAGGCCAGGCACAGTGGCTCACGCTTGTAATCCCAGCACTTTGGGAGGCCGAGGCTGGCGGATCACTTGAGGTGAAGACCAGCCTGGCCAACATGGAGAAATCCTGTCTCTACTAAAACTACAAAAATAAGCCGGGCATGGTGGTGGGCACCTGTACTCCCAGCTACTCGGGAGACTGAGGCAGGAGAATCGCTTGAACCGGAAGGTGGAGGGTGCAGTGAGCTGAGATTGTGCCACTGCCCTCCAGCCTGGGTAACAGAGTGAGATTCCTTCTAAAAAAAAAAAAAAAGAGAGAGAGACCAGTGTTGTTTACAGACAAGGTCATAGTGGTGGAACCTGTGAACAACCAAGTTGGAATTCTGTGTCTTTCACAACCCTTATCATCAATCATGTTGGCATCTGCACATCTTCACTTCCAATGTGCTTCTGTTAGGCTATGAGGGTAAAACAGGTTGTGAAACACCTGGCAGAGAAACCCTTTAATTTAGCCTTGGTTACTATAGAAATGTATTTTATTTATTGACCAAGTTAAGGTCCATCCATCCAACTATAGTCATGGGTGCTGGTCAAGCCAACTAGGGGAACACTTGAGCTATTCCATATCCCACTACTTTTTCCTACAAACCAGGAATATTATCCTGTAATCTGACATTCACTCACATTGAAATACTTAGTTATAATCCAAGTAACAATGACAGTGGAGGGTTGTTTAGTGCCATCTGTGAAGCCAAATCACAGAATTTGATTGCAATACATTTTTGAAATGTTACCCAGAAAAGGTCCAGTACTGTATTTATTTTCAATGTAGAGAGATTTCCTTCCAATAGTCTTACTTGGGTAAAGCACTGACCTTGAGCTTCCATGGAGGCTTCCCAGTGCCAAATTAATCTACCAGAGGAGGAGACAGAGTGACTTTGTCTTCCTGCTTATGGATACCATATGCTTTTATATATCCATTGTCCAGAATGGGTTCACCAGGTATATTTACATTGGTAGGAACAAAAACTCTTCTGCATTATGTAGATGTTAACCTAACCAGTAACCAGATTAACTATTTAAGGTGGCCAGGCTTTGAAAGATTGGAACAAGCAGGTGTTGGGGTAGTGCCAGAATTGTCAAAAAACAAAAAACAAAAACAAAAAAAAAACAGTTAAGGGTTAGTTGAGGCAAGATCCACTTTGAAAGGGATACCAATGTAGAGGAACAGCATGGAGAACAGAGAGGTGAATGGTGGGGCAGTATAAGAATACTTGCTTTGTCAATTAGGATGGCAGCTAAGTCTATTGCATATAAGCATGGAGGAATGCCTGATGCTACTTAACATGAGAAAGGTACTGTGGGACATATCTAGGTTGACATGAGAAATATGTTATGGGACAAAAAGATTGTCCTAAGATACCCACAACAATCCCATCATTTTCACAGTAATATAGGTAAAAAAGATTGTCAAAGTTGGGTAGTCGAAGGGCTGGGGTGTGGACAATGCTTCCAAGGAGGCTGGTGCCTCAGAGTACCAGGTAAAGTGCTCTGTGGTTGTATCTAAGAGGACAGCATATAAAGGTTAGACATGGGCAGCAAAATTGGGAATCCATTGGCAATATCCAGTTGCTCCTAAAAATTCACGTAATTGTTTGTCTTTGAGAGATAATGAATAAAATTGATTCAAGGCATTTTGGGACGAGTTTTTGAGTACCCTAAAATATTTTATGGCCTAAGTAGGTAAGAATTTTTTGTACCTGTTGGCATTTGGACCTGGAAGATTTATAACCTTAGTCAGTCAGTGCCTTAAGGTGAGTAAGGGAGTCCAGAAGAGCACCCTGTTTGCTTTGGTTGCAAAGTAGCAGGTCATCAACATATTGGAAACAAAGGGAACCTTGAGTGATTGTCATAGAGTCTAATTTGACTTTGAGAACTTAGAAAAATATTGAGAGGTATTCACAATATCCTGGAGGTATGCAAGTCCATGTTAACTGTTTCTTCTTAAATTTGAGGCTGGGCACAGTGGCTCATGCCTGTAATCCTAGCACTTTGGGAGGCCAAGGCAGGCAGATCACCTGAGGTCAGGAGTTCAAGATCAGCCTGGCCAATATGGTGAAAACCCATCTCTACTAAAAACACAAAAATTAGCCAGAAATCGCTTGAGTCTGGGAGGCGGAGGTTGCAGTGAGCCGAGATTGTGCCACTGCACTTCAGCCTGGGTGACAGTGACTCTGTCTCAAAAAAAAAAAAAAAAAAGAAAGAGAAAAAAATAAAAACTTTAGCTGAATTAAATTTGAAGGAGTGAAGCCAGGTGCAGTGGCTCACATCTGTAATCTCAGCACTTTGGGAGGCTGAGGTCAGGAGTTCGAGACCAGCCTGGCCAACATGGCGAAACCCTGTCTCTACTAAAAATAGAAAAATTAGCTGGGCATGGTGGCATGTGCCTGTAATCTCAGCTACTCAGGAGGCTGAGGCAGGAGAATCGCTTGAACCCAGGAGGCAGAGGCTGCAGTGAGCAGAGACTGCACCATTGCACTCCAACTTGGGCAACAAGGGTGAAACTCAATCTCAAAAAAAAAAAAAATTAAAGAAGTTTAATTGAGCCATGAATGATTCAAAATCAGGCAGCCTCCTGAGCCAGAATAGACTCTGAGACTCCAGCACACCTACGCCATGGAAGATGATTTATGGACAGAAAAAGGAAAGTGACATACAGAAAACAGAAGTGAGGTACAGAAACAGTTGGCTTGGTTACAGCTGAGCATTTCCCTTATTTGAATACAGTTCAAACAGTTGGCTACATTTGATTGGCCAAAACTTGGTAAATGGCACAAGTGTAAGCTACGGTCTGGTTATATTCCACTTGTTACAGTTCACGATGTACAGAAAAACCTTTAAGCCGAACTTAAAATATGTAAGAAAGCAGCTTCATGCTAAACTTTATTTCACAAGAGGAAGTGTGAATCAAGGTACAATGGTATCAAGAAGAAAGCTGAGCAGAAGTCCTTACCTCAATGCAGTACAGCACATTAACAGAATAAACCAGGCTGCACCAGCAGGGATTGAGGTAAGGATGATGGCTGGGCTAAGAATTATGGGATGGTGAGGAATGACATAGGAGTTCATGGCTATTAGATCTTGTACAAATTGAAAAGTATGATTACCTCCTGAATCAAATTTCCCTTCTTTCTTTACTAGCAAGACAAGGGTATTGCAAGGTGAGAAGGTAAAAATAAGGACACCCCATTATAAAAGGGGGGCCTATTATAGTTTCAATTCCTAATTCTGCATCTCCAGATAGGAGGTACTGAGCTACAGATAAGAAAGGATTATAAGAGAAGACTATGAACTATACCAACAAACTGGATGACCTATAAGAAATGGATAAATTTCTAGAAACACCAAACCTGCCAAGACTGAATCATGAAGAAATAGAAGATATAAATAGACCAATAACTAGTAAGGAAATTGAGTTGGTAATTAAAAACCTCCCAACAAAGAAAAGCCCAGGACTAGAAGACTTCACTGAAGAATTCTACCAAATATTGAAGAATTAACACTGGCCAGACGTGGTGGCTCATGCCTGTAATCCCAGAACTTTGGGAGACTGAGGTGAGAGGTTCACTTGAGCCTAGGAGTCTGAGACCAGCCTGGGCAACATAGCAAGACCTACCTTGTCTCTGCAAAAAAAAAAAAAAAAAAAAAAAAAAAAAAAAAAAATATATATATATATATATATATATATATATATTTATCTATTATATTATATATATATAAATTAGCTGTGCATGGTGGCACATGCTTATAGTCCCAGCTACTCAGGAGGCTGAAGCAGAATTGCTTGAGCCCAGGAGTTAGAGGCTGCAGTGAGCTATGATTGTGCCGCTGCACTCCAGCCTGGGTGACAGTGAGACCCTGTCTCCAAAAAAAAAAAAAAAAGAATTTACATCAATCCCCCAAAAACTGAAGAGAAAGGAATACTTCCAAGGTCATTCTTTGAGGGGCAGCATTAGTGTGATATCAAAGCTAGGCAAAAATACTACAAGAAAAAATAAATAATTACCCAATATGTCTGATGAACGTAGTCAAAAAAATACTAGCAAAATAAATTCAACAGCACACTCAAAAGATCATTCACCATGATCAAGTGGGATTTATCCCTGGGATGCAAGGATGGTTCAACATATGAAAATCAATGTAGTACACCACATTTACAGAATAAAGGACAAAACCCACATGACCATCTCCACTGATGCAGGAAAAGCATTTGGCAAAATTCAATATCCTTTCACACACAAAAAAAGAAAAGAAAAGAAAAAAAACACTCAAAAGTGGAAAGAGAAGGAAATTACCTGCACATAATAAAGGTTGTTTAGGAAAAGTCCACAGCTAACGGCATACTCAGTGAAAAACTGGAAGCTTTTCCTCTAAGATTAAGAACAAGGCAAAAATGTCTGTTCTGGACACTTCTATTCAACAGAGTATTGGAACTCCAGTCCAAAGCAATTAGACAAGAAAAAGCAATAAAAGGCATCCAAATTGGGAAGAAAGAAGTAAAAATTTCTGTTTGTAGATGGCATGATCTTATATGCAGAAAATCCTAAAGATTCCACCAAAAAAAAAAAACAGGTTAGAACAAATTTAAAAATTCAGTAAAGTTACCAGATACAAAATCAACACACATACAAAAAATCAGTTACATTTCTATACACAAATAGTGAAAGCATCTGAAAAAATTAAGAAAATGATTCCCGTTGCAATGGCATCAAAAAGAAAACAATTCTTAGAAATTGACTAAGGAAGTAAAAACTTATATAATGAAAACTATAAAACATTACTGAAAGAAATCAAAGAAGAGATAAATAAATAGAAACATCTCACATTCATGGATTAGACTTAATATTATTAAGATGTTAATATCACTCAAAACAGTCTACAGATTCAATTCAATCCTTATCAAAATTCCAATAGCATTTGTTGCAGAAATAGAAGAATTCATCCTAAAATTGATATGGAATCTCAAAGGGCCCTAAGAGTCAAACAATTTTGAAAAAGAAGAATAAAACAGTGTGGTACTGGAATAAAGACAGATATACAAATCAATAGAACAGAATAAAGAGCCCAGAAATAAACTTGTGTACACATGGCCAACTGACCTCCAAGAAGAGCTCCAACAGCACTAAATGGGAAAAGGACAGTCTGGTCAACAAATGATGCTGGGAAAACTGGATATTTACATGCAAAACAATGCAGTTGGACCTGTTTCTTACACCACATACAAAAATTAACTCAAAATGGACTAAAGACTTAAACCAAAGACCCAAAGCAATAAAACTTCTGGAAGAAAACATAGAAAAAAATCGTCAGGACATTGAATGTGGATATGACACATTCCACATTCTTGGATATGACACCAAAATCACAGGCAACCAAAAAAAATGGACAAATGGGACTGCATCAAACATAAAAACTTTTGTTCATTGAAGGACACAATAGTGAAAAGGCAACCTACAGAATGAGGGAAAATGTTTTGCAAATCATATTTGATAAGATGTTAGCATCCATAATATATAAAGAATTCCTACAATTCAACAACAAAATAATCAAATTACTCTATTTTTTAAAATGGACAAAGCAACAAAAACAAAAATTGACAAGTAGTACCTAACTAAACTAAAGAGCTTCTGCATAGCAAAAGAAACTATCAACAGAGTAAACAACCTATGGAATGGGAGAAAATATTCACAAACTATGCATTTGACAAAGGTCTAATATCCAGAATCTACATGAAACTTAAATTAACAAGCAAAAAACAAACAAGCCCATTAAAAAGTGGGCAAATGACAGGAGCAGACACTTCTCAAAAGAAGACACATGCGGCCAACAAGCATTTGAAAAAATGCTCTACATCACTAATCATCAGAGAAATGCAAGTCAAAACCACAGAGAGATACGATCTCATATGAGTCAGAATGGCTATCATTAAAAAGTCAAAAAATAACAGATGTTAGTAAGGTTGTGCAGAAAAGGAAACACTTGGACACTGCTGGTGGGAATGTAAGTTAGTTCAGCCACTGGGGAAAGAGGTTTAGAGATTTCTTAAAGAACTTAAAAGTGAATTAATCATTCCACCTAGCAACCCCATTACTGGATATATACCCAAAGAAATGTAAATTGTTCTGCCACAAAGACACATGCACACATATGTTCATCATAGCACTATTCACAATATCAAAGACATGGAATCAACCTAGATGCCCATCAGCAGTGGACTGGGTAAAGAAAATGTGGTACATATACACCACAGCTATAAGAAGAACGAAATCATGTCCTTTGCAGCAACATGGATGCTGCTGGAGGCCATCATTCTAAGCAAGTTAATGTAAGAACAGAAAACCAAATACCACATTTTCTCACTTATAAGTGGGAGCTAAACATTGACTACACACAGATGCTAAGAAGGGAACAATAAACACTGGGGCCTACTTCAGGGTGGAGGGTGGGAGAAGGGGGAGGGTCAAAAAACTACCTATCAGGTACTATGCTCATTTACCTAGGCGACCAAATAATCTGTACACCAAACCCCCATGACACACAATTTATCCATGTAACAAACCTGCACATGTACCCCCAGACCTAAAATAAAAGTTGGAAGGAAAAAAAATAGACAAAAGACTTGAATAGACATTTTTTCCAAAGATGATATATAAATGACCAACAAGCATATGGAAGGATGCTCAACACCAGCAATTATCAGAGATGTGCAAATCAGAACCACAGTGAAATGTCACCTCACACCCATTAGGACAGCCATTAAACACACACACACACACACACACACACTAATAAGTGTTGGTATGGATGTAGAGAAATTGAAACCCTGTGCACTCTTGGTGAGATTATAAAATGGTGCAACCATTATGGAAAACAGTATGGCATTTCCTCAAAAAATTAAAAGTAGAACCACCAAATCATCCAGCAATCCACTTCTGGGTATTTACCCAAAAGAACTCAGAGCAGGGTCTCAAAGAAGTATTTGCATACCCATGGTTACAGCGGCATTACTCATGATAGCCAAAAGGCGGAAGCAACCTGTATCAGTCAGAATTCTCCAAAGAAACAGACATATATATGATATCTCTGCATCTATGATATAGATATATCTATATAGATATCATGAGACATCTATATTAGATGATTAGATATATAGAGATGATACAGATACATAGATACCATATATGAGACATCTACATATAGAGACATTGATATATATATGAGACATCTATTTATCTATGGGATTGATATATAGATATCATATCTATATGAATTATAGATACATAAGAGGAGATTTATTATGGGAATTAGCTCACATGATTATGGAGGTCAAGAAGTCCCACAATATGCCATATGCAAGCTAGAGAACTAGGAAAGTTCATGCTGTAATTCAATTCAAGTCCAAAGGCCTGAGAATCAGGGAAACATACAGTGAAACCCCAGTCTGAGTCCAAAAGCCAGGGAAGCCACTGGTATAACTTCTGGAGTCTGAAGGCCTGAGAACCAGAAGCTCTGATGTCTGATGGCAGAAGATGGATGTCCCAGCTAAAGGGCACAGGGGTGGTGGGGAGATAACTGGTCCTTTCTCCACCTTTTTGGTTTGTTCTGGCCCATCCACATTGATGAGGGCAGATCTTCATTATTCAGCCTGCCAATTCAAATGCTAATCTCTTCTGGAAACAGCCTCACTAACATACCCAGAAATAATGTTTTACCAGCTGTCTGGGCAACCCTTTGCCCCGTCAAGGTGACACATAATTAAACATCACACAACTCAAACATTTGAAGAAAAATGGATGGATAAACAAAATGTGGCATATACATACAAACGAATAGTCTTCATCCTTTTTTTTAAAAAAAAAAAAGGAAATCTTGACATGTGCTACAACATGAATGAAACTTAAGAAATCATGCTAAGTGATGTAACCAAGCAAGAAAAGACAAATACTTATGAACCCCTTTATATGAGGTAATATAAGTAGTCAAATTCATAGAAACAGAAATGGTAGCTGCCTGGAGCTTGGGAGTAGGGGGAAAGAGGAGTTATTTAGTTTTGCAAAATGAAAAAGTTGTGGAGATCTGTTTCACAACAACACAATTATACTTAACACTACCGGATTTCATAATTAAAAAATGGTTAAGATGGTAAAATTGCATTATGCATTTTTTACTTCAAAAAACCAGAGCACTGGTTGGGTGCGTCCTGCCCAGAGTCTGCAGCTGGGGTACTCTGAAAAGGAGAGCAACTACAGCCTCCCACAGCTGACTGCAGGAACCCATTGCTGCCAAACCTGGAGCAAGGGCCGCACCCAGATGGCCACCATCTGCCTCAACAACCACGAAGCTGTAAGAGTGGGGCCAAGTGGGCCAAGGTGCCCGAGCTCAAGGAGCACAACGGGCAGGTAAAAGGCATCAACTGGGCCTCCAAGAGTAACCTCATCGTGACCTATGGCACAGGCCACAAGGCCTCTGTGTGGACGCTGACGGGCCAGGAGGGTAAGCCCGCACCCACTGCCTGCTGTGTGTGCTGGGCCCACAGGACAAGTTTGCTGTGGGCGGCAGCTGTGTGTCATCGCCATCTGTTATTTCCAGCGGGAGAATAACTGGTGGGTGTGCAAGTACATCAAGAAGCCCATTGGCTCCACCATCCTCAGCCTGGACTGGCATCCCAGCAACGTGCTCCTGGCTAATGCCCCCTGCGACGTCAAGCATGGGATCCTCGGTATACATCAAGTGCGTGGAGGAGCGGCCGGCACCTCCACCATGGGACTCCAACATACCCTTTGGGGTGCTGATGTCTGAGGCCAGCGGTAGGTGCGGCTGGGTGCTCAGGTTGGCTTCTCAGTCAGCGGGTGCCTCACGGCCTGGGTCAGCCACGACAGCACTGCGTGCCTGGCTGATGCCAACAAGAGGAGGGCCTTGCAACCCTGGCCCCCACCTTCACCACAGAAGGCAGCCTGGTGGCAGCAGGCGACGACTGCTTCCGGGTGCTGTTTTACCCTGGCGCTTGGTGGGTGGCTGGATGGACAAAGCCAGGTAGAGCCGGCAGCGCGGCTTGCGGCCCGCCAGACTCCAGAGCCCCGAGCGAGCGAGAGGGCGGCAGGGCCCCGGGAGCGGCCTCCACTCGCCGCACAAGCACAGTCTCAGCCGGGTCTGGCCCAGAGCTGCGGTTCTGCGCCCCAGGCATGCCCAGCGCCTGAGGGAGGACCTCAGGACCAAGTAACCTGCGAGGAGCACGCTGCCCTCATCCCAGCTGCCAGGGAAGGGGCCCCGAGGGGCTCGGGGAGGCCGCCGCTCCGGGTGTGGCGAAAGTTCCTAGGGACCAGTAGGAGACCCCGTAGGGGCTGCTCACGCAGAAGGCGGGAGAACAAGTGGGGCGCTCTTCTTACCTGTTCAAGGAACCTGTGCCTTTTTCTTGAAGAAATGCTTTCATTTATCGTAGAAAAAGAAGAGAAAAGAAAAAGCACTATGCTGGTGACAAACTGCTTCGAAGCATAAAAAGGTCATTTTCGAGGGAAAAAAATCATTTTTAAAAACTCTCCGTTTTTAAAAATATTAACCCAGGAATTTTATCAGATAATTCCTCTCCGACCCAAAAAACCTGTGGGTGGATAGGGACTGGAGAGCAGGCTGCCTCCCAAGCCCCATCCGCTCCTCCCGCCCAGCACGAGAACGTGGAGGAAGTGACTGGGCGCCCCGCAGATCTGCCACCTCCCGGTCTCCCTGCGCAGCTGGCCACCAGCCCAGCCTCCTGCCCAACCACCTCTCAGGGTACGCTCTATCCAGCCACCCTCGCCTTCCCCTGCAGGAACCCAGGCAGGGGGCGGGCCTCCCGGCTTCCTGCCCACAGGTGTGAGTTCCTGTGGGAGGGAAGCCTCCCCTCACGTAGTGGACCTGTGGTCCCTCGGAGCACGGAGGCACTGGCAGCGGAGAGCCCTGCCCACCCACAAATTCAGCCAATCGCAAATGGAAGAGGGCAGGACTTCCTTTAGTGCCCTATCAGAAGAAAGAAGGGGAATGCTGCTTGCCCAGTATTGGCTGAAATGAACTGTGGGTTTACCTTAAGTTACGGATTCTCCAGTGGTTAAACAACCAGGAAGAGAATGAACAGAATGAACAGAAAGCGACACTGCTAGGCCAGGTGAGGCAGAATAGTCTGGAGGCAGGGAACCTAAGGCCGATTCACACTGACTTTCTAGAACTAAATCAAAAGGAAAACCCCAACTTTCTACATCTAAGTAACAAAAGGACTGGAATACTCCGTTTGCAAGCACCCTCTTCCCTTTTCTGCATGGCAGACGGAAAATTGAAAGCATCTCTGATTGGCTGCTTTCTGCAACCAGACATTGGCATAGGAGTGTAACTTTGTAACTTCACTTCAGCCTCTGATTGGTTGCTTTCCACAACCAATGAGATGCTTGCATAGGGTGTAACCTTTGTAACTTCGGCCTCTGACTGGTTGTTTTCCACAACGACACTTGCATAGGGTTTAACCTTTGTAACTTCACTTCAGCCTGATGGGTTGCTTTCTGCAACCAATCACACTGATTGCAGGCCACTAATTAATTTACACAGGGTGTACACCAACTAACCAATGGTAAATCCCTAGAGGGTATTTAAACCCCAGAAAGTTCTGTAACGGGAGCTGTTGTGCCCCAGTGCTCCTGGGCTCCTACTCTGTGGAATGTACTTTCGTTTTCAATAAATCTCTGCTTTTGTTGCTTCATTCTTTCCTTGCTTTTTGTGTTTTGTCCAATTCTTTGTTCAAAACGCCAAGAACCTGGACACCCTCCACCAGTAACACAAAGACTAGGCTTGCAGGACAAACTCCATTTCCTTTTGTTGTCAATTTCTTCAAGCAGATTCAAAACTAAGTGGAGTAAGTAGATTCTGAGTTTATTGTTAAGATTTCTTTATTTACAGTACAAGTCTCCAAAAGTTCAAGGCAGTTATCTTTTAAATAACATGTCAATCATATAAAATAGCTAGAACCAAAGTAGAGAAATATATACAATACATTAAGTACTTTCAATATAGTGGCATTTTTCATATTAAATTAAAAGAGGCTACTATGATTTACAATGTCATTTCCCTAGTTTAAAATTCAACATGTCAAAAGACATAATGTACATTTTTTACAAAACTGACACAGCAGTATTAAAACTGCTAATGATTGTAGTTTTTATTTTTTCTATAATACACTGCACCTGTGTTACCAAAAAAAAAACAAAAACAAAAACATTGCACTAGATGGTTTGAATACTGCATAAGTCAGTATATTAACACTTGAGGAATAATGAATGGCCTGGTCCGTTTTATGATCAGGCTCATTCACAACAGTTTTCACTCTTCAAGCTCAGCAAACTCCTACAGGTAATTACTTTCCTTGGCAGTTTTACACAGGATCACTGCAAATGGGTAAAATGTCATGAAGCTGATGACCACAATGCCATCACAAAAGCTGATATCGATATAACCCTACTATTTACAATACCTAATAAGAGCCAAAGCTAGAAAATCACTCACTGCTAAATCATGGAAAAAATTATAGTTTGTAGGAAATTTTGAATATCTATAAAATATTCAATAGACTACAAAAGAGCTTGCAACAGCTTGTTCTCATTATTTTTCTTAGGTCAGAATTAGAAAAAAGTAAATCCTATTTTTTAATAAGTTTTGATGGCATCAAAAAGCTTCACATTTATAAATAAGATTTTTATACAAAGCAACATGTTACTGACATAGTTTTCTCTTGCTACTATCAATTATTCTCGGGACTCATGTTGTATGTTAAGGAAGGAAGTATTAAGATTTCTTCCTCATTCCTAAATTTTCAGAATATACTCTAGGCCTTGAAGGAAAGGGAAACAGTCATTCAATACTTAACACTGAGTAGTACAATATTTGAAATATATCTATGATAGTGGCCTAAACAAGAGCAGCAAGGGACCAGACATATAGTTCTACCACTCAATAGAAATAAATTGTATATTTCCCCTTCATTAATACTGTCCAATTTTAAAATGAGAGATTACCTTTGCAAGGCAGCAACTATTGTTTCAGAATGTATTATATTGAAAATTTTTGCCACAAAGTTACCTACTAGACTACAGTACTTTAAAACACAGTTGTTCAAGTCATGGGCAAGGAAAACAAAATCAACAGGACAGATTATTGTCAGAAGCCATTCCTGTGGAGCATTCCTGCTATGCACATAGAATTGAAACTAAAAACAAAGAAACAACCTAATTGCACCTAGGGGGAGACACCTTGTACTTCAAGTGCTCATGACTAGGGGAGTACAGGAAACAGACAGGAATAATAACCTTAAGTATCCTCACAGAAAAAATGAACAGAGACAAAACAGTGTTGGCATTTTAAATCAGATACAAAATCCATTGTTCCTAGACACAAAGTAAGTTAATAATGTTCCACATTTATTTTTTTACCTCTGTACAGCTCCTTTAATAGTCTTTGATTTCAAAACTAAAATCCTCAGTGTTTTGTGTATCTTCAAAAGGCACATACACGTTTTTAAAAGGGGCCAAGTGGAACTTAGCATCACATTAGTCATAAGTCCTTGGTCAACTTGCTTCCAGTTCAAAACAAACCACATTTTTAATAAGCACCAAATACCAAACTACTGCCTTGATTCTCTAAAGCAAATTTTCCACAATGTTCCTAATTCAAGTATTCATCATACTGTGTAACTGAACTTGTCCAGATTTCTTATTATGTGAAGGTTAATGTGCTATTATTATAGGCAGTCCAAAAACAGTGAAATCCTTACAACTTTATAAATCCCTAAATTATCCTTGTTACAAAAAGAAGTCAAGAGGAAATATTCTGGGGTTACAGTATTTCCTCAAAGATAGTTTACTACTTCTGATCACTTTTTAAAATAAACAAAAATGCTATTAAACAAGAAGTTCCTTACTAAGAATAACTTTCTTTTTTTGTTTCGTTTTGTTTTTTGAGACAGTCTTGCTCTGTTGCCCAGGCTGGAATGCAATGGTGTAATCCCAGCTCACTGCAGCCTCCGCCTCCCAGGTTCAAACAATTCTCCTGCCTCAGCCACCCAAGTAGTTGGGGTTACAGGTATATGCCACCATGCCCAGCTAATTTTTTGTCTTTTTAGTAGAGATGGGGTTTCGTCATGTTGGCCAGGCTGGTCTTGAACTCCTGACCTCAGGTGATCTGCCTGCCTAGGCCTCCCAAAGTGATAGGATTATAGGCGTGAGCCACCGCACTTGGCCTATTTCTTAACATTTCTTAGTAGTCAGAACTAGCCATTATGTAGAAAGTTGGAAAAGGGGATGTCCACAGTAGAAATTTTTTATTTTATAGATGCCACCTAAATTGCTGGTTATATTGAAAAGACACTTTACCTCTGTGAATAAAACAAGTGTTTCCTTCTCACTCAATTTCTTGGATTGGGCCTAATTTATTTTTTATATTTCAAAAATCTTTCATTAATAATTATTCCATTAGGGTTTAGTAACTACAGACTCATTTACTAATGATTTACTATGATACCCTAAAAATAGAGAAAAAACCCTAGAATATGAGCGTATGCAAGTAAGTGCAATTTAATATATGAATTGCACAAAAATTTTAAACAAGTTTTAAAAATATCTCTAAAAGGAGGCTTAAAGTTAATTGCTGTAGCCTCCTGTCTTCCACAGAGAAGACAAAATTTTAAAAACATCAAACATACTCAAAAACAGGCAAGCTGGAAAGATAAACAACATGACAGGATTCCCAGTTTAAGTCAAATTCCTCAATAAAACAATAAATGCCCACGTGTTTAACCGGCCATTAATGGAATAAATCAGAATTTTTGTAAAGGTTTCAGAAATTCTGATAATAAGTAACATTAAATTATTACAGAAAAACACAAAACAAATTCAGCAGCTCTACAAATGCTTTCTAAGTAGATAACATGTTAAATGTGATGCCAGGATAGTCAATTTATGAGACACTGTTTTCTTCTTAAAACAATTAAGCTAGCAAATTTAACCCATTTTTCACCCTATCTACTCATCTCCAACTTTAGCCCTTTGAAACATGTCTGTATTTTAGCTTAAGAAAATTTTCATGCCACTTCCCAACCTACAGACAGCTCCACAGGTATCAAAAACCAAAGTGCAAATTCATGGAGTTTTACCATTCCATTACGGACAGTCTAAACAGCCACAGAACTGAAAAGCCTTGGCATACAGTGGTGAACACGATGAAGAAATAAAACATGTAGCTTATTTTTGGTCCTTTGTTCCTGTCCCCTTTTCCTTCACAGTCCATTTCAAAATATGTGCTTGATTTCAGCAATTCAGACCCAAGCCTGTCCAGTGGTCTGGTACCATTAGGAAATACTTGTCCATTGCCTCACAAAACCTAGTCCTGTACAACTCCGGAGACACCACTGTTGGCATTTTACCTGAGATTATGAAAGAGAAAAGGGGGAAAAAGCTGTTATATAATTGATTGGGCAACTGAAGTCAACTGACCATGTTCTTTCATATAAACTGCCATAAAGATACACATGCAGAAGCAGTCTGAGTGGGCAGGAAAGGTTATCTGTTGTGCCACATGCCATGGGACAAAGTCCTACCTGGTACGAGTTTCTGTTTAAAAAGACTAGCTCCTGCCTAGAGATGAGCGATGTCTAAGAGCACAAATGAGGCTAACAGTGCTTAGAGAACTTGGAAGTCTCAAGTGTTAATTAAAGACAATCTCTTATTCAGAACATCTGGCTTTTTAAAAAATCTTTTTGAGAACCTCTGACATTTTAACACATATTTACACCCAATATTTCCCCACCTATATAATTCTCATTATTGTTTGGTCACTTTAGAAATGACAATGAAATCAATGATAACCACTTATTTTTTACAACTAAAAAAAAGAATCAGTATCCACTTTTAAAATTTTAACTGATAAGAAATACATGTGAACAATTTAAACAAAACAAAAATTCTCACCTTGTCCACCTAAAATTCCTGTTGATTTCACAACCATCTCAAGCTTTTTGTCCCATGTAAATGTTCGAATATAATCTGGGGGGTAGAAGGAGTGAAATTAGCAATAAAGCTATGTTAATAAATATAATCAAATGACAACAGCAATGACTATTACTACTACTTCTATGACAGTTAACTTTTATTGAGTGCTAACAATGTGCCAAGTGCTGTTCTCAGGGTTTCTCCACACTAATTTGTTTAATCCTCACAACAATCACAAAAGTCCTCATTTATAAGTGACTTTTTTAATTCACATATTTTTGGTAGAGATAATGAAAATGAGGAAACTGAGTAGAAGAGACTAGAATAAAAAACTTATTTTTGAAATTTCAAATGAAAGTTTGTGAAAATATTCAATAAGCTATTATTAGACCAGGTTCAATAGAATCTTTAAAATTTGACTCTGACTTCAATCATGAAATATAAGCAGGGTACTCATTGACTTACCTATAATTCCAACTACTAGCTCATTGCTAGTATCATCTCGCCCAACCAGCAAAGAATAATCTATAATGAGGTGGCTAGAAAGGAAATGGGAGTCACTATGGATCGAGGTTCTCAGCACAGCTTTGGAATGAGAACGAATATATAGAGGGTTGTCTCGAACCATCTTTAGGAGATTTTCATCTAGCAGGACCACATCACAACTCTCTTTTCCAGTGTCAGTTTTTACATTCCGATTCCTAAGAGAGCCCTTCAAATCAAAAACCTAGTAAAAAGAAAATGCTTTGTCATTTATGTACAGGTTGCCACAAATGATTAGTTAATGTAAGTAAATAAAAAAGGCAGAAAGACTCCTTATAGTCACTACCATTACACACACTCCAAAGTTTAACTGAAAATTGAATCATAATTTTTAAGTTTTTAAACGCATGGTGATATCATTGTACAGTACATAAAATACACAGTAACATAATTCTATCATTTAAAATTAACACCTAGGTACTCAATTACTGAAACGTTTCCGAAATACACTGGCCAATTTAATCAACTTCAAGATACATTAACAAGTAACTCCAGAAATACATCATTGGATCACAAAACAGTGTTAAAAAAAAAAAGAGAGAGATGCAAATAGTCTTAAGAAACATAGTTTTGATACCAAACTCTGGACAATTACTTACAGCAATGTAGAAGAGCATAACACAGGAATATTTGGGTGGTAGGAAAAGCAATGCACTCAAAGGACAGGGGACTTGAGTACCAGGACCAGTACAACCTGTAGTATATTCTACAGACCAATGCTGGTCAGTTGCTCCTGGCTCACTACAACATTAGGGAACTAGTGCCAGAATATAAATCAATTACATTATTAAGTATATTGTTTAGTTCAGCTGACATTTTTCTCATAGAAGGTGTTCTCAATGAAGAAAGCAGTGAACTGAATTACATTCTAGCACACGTTCCTTATCTTATCATAGACTGGAAACAGTTCAAGGACTAGCTCTTTGAACAGTACTGTTTTAGAATCTAGACTAACCTGAGTCTAGGAATAACTGAGTGATTTTAATGAAGTACTTAATTTCTGTATGCCTCAGCTTCTTAATCTTCAAAAAAGATGCGGGAAGTAGATCTGCCTTCTTATTCTACCAATTCTGTGATTCTAGAATATTGGATATGCTGTATTTTAAGACCACTCCACAAGAATAATTCCTCTTCATTCTTTCTCCAAGGCTGAGCAAGTCAAAAGTTAAATATGGCCTAGTAACCAAAGTTAAATATTTACTATAAAATAAGATGTTACTCTCTGATTCACTATATTTAAGAACCAAAGGTACAAAAGGTTCCAGTAGCTAAATGCTTCACATAGTCCAATACCCTTACCTGTGCCATCTTTCTCCCGTAGAAAAGATTTTCCATGACAAGGAGATCTAACTTCTTCTCAGTGTTGTTCTGAGAGTTCTTATAACCAATTCTGTAAACTCCAAGAATTTTGGCCAACGCCGTGGGCCTCTAATCAAGAGAAGGTCAAAATAAATTCTTATCAAAAAGGGTTATTTATAATTTAATACCAATATAAGGATTATCCATGTAATAACTGAACATAATTTTCTATTAATATGACCAAAGGACTTTGAAAAAAACTCAAACTCTTGAATCTCAGAAGTGAGTACAGCAGCAATGCCAATAAAAATATTAGATCCTTAACATTCTCCCAAGGAATAATCCTTCAGTTGATTAAATTCAAAAACTTCATTATGACATGTAATTTCCCCCAATACTACGTAATAAACCATGATAACTTCAAAAAAAAAACCCAAAACTATGTAACTCTTTCATGATTCTAAGATGGCAGTTGGGATGGGGTGGGGGGCACTGGTGGCTGCTCAATGACAAGTGGGCAAACCTGGGCCATTGGCTGCCTCTCTTTCTAGCTAAAGGAAGCATCCCCTTGTTTCTCAATACACGTTTCAAATTTCAGTCTCAGCAAAATTACCAACTACTGAATGTGCACCTAATTTCATCCAGTCTTAATGTCTTAAGTGATTTTTTATATAAACTAATTAAAGGCAACTTGCTCAAGATCACTTGGTTCCTCACTAACAAACGCAGGAAATATATAGTTTAAGATCTCTGAATCCTATAATACCTCAATAGCATAACAGAGATCAATTTGTGTCCTGCATATATCTTACCACAGAGAAAACTGCCATTAGGACTGTTACAGTTTGGATGTTTGCCCCTGCAAATCTCATGTTGAAATGTTATCTGCAATGTTGGAGGTGCGGCCTGGTGAGAGGTATTTGGGTCATGGGAGCAGAACCCTCATACATGGCTTGGTGCCGTCCTTGCAGTAATAAGTTCTTGCTCTGAGTTCACGCAAGATCTGGTTAGTTAAAAGAATGCAGCACTTTCCCCCACCCCCAACCCCGCTCTCTTGCTCCGTCTCTCACCATGTGACATGCTGGCTCCCCTTGCCTTCCACCATGACTGTAAGCTTCCTGAGGCCCTCACCAGAAACAGACGCCGCCAGCACTATGCTTTGTATACACAGCCTGCAGAACTATGAGCCAAATAAACCTCTTTTCTTTACAAATTACCCAGCCTCAGGTATTTCTTTATAGCAACACAAGAATAGACTAACAGAAAGATTCAGGATGTGAAAAAAGCCACCAAACTTTGATTACAGACCATGGTTTTAGATTTCTACCTTTTGTTGAACAGCATTTGTAATATAATTGAAGTAATGTGGTGCAAAGTCGAGGAAGGACTGGACTTCCAGACGAGGCATTTGCTTCAAAATAAATCTATCATCTAAAAGGCAGAAATTTTATGTGTTTACTCAATCACAATATATACTGTAATCTATAACACATCATTCCAAAGATCCTAAATGATTAGGTTGTTTTATGATTTTAAGGGGAATTTTCTAATGTCACAGTGAAAATTTTGATCAGAACACAATTCTCAATTAACTGAAGGGATCCTGTGGATTTATATAGTCAAAAACCCTCTACTTTTGTCAATAACACATCTAAGTTCAGTTCTAGAAGATCTACTTTTTAAAACTACTAAATAAAACTTTATAAACACCTCTGTTAAAACTAGTAAGTCATAGTTATGAAAGTTCTTATTAAGCAATATCCTTCCTGCTGCATTTTCTGAGGTAAAGAGATGAAGACTACTGAACCAATCAATAAACGATGAGAAAGGCTCACCCTCAGTTGCATAGAAGGCAGCTCCTGATTTGCCTCCCCGGGCCTGCCAGGGTGATGAGTGGGAGAGGGAACGAATGAAATCTTCTTCACTGCTGTCCAGAATCACTTCACGCATCTTATGAAACTCTCCCGCATAGTAGAGCCGACAGTAAAACTTGGCATTAGCATCTGAAAATTCTATAAACAACAGAAGTTTTTTTAAAAAGCTTTATGACTCAGAAAATATCTTTCCTCCTCCGCTCCCTCACTCCCTACCCTGGCCAAATGCAACCACTTAAGTTTCTTCATGATGGCATTTTGCATGTTAGATCCAAATCCCTATTTATCACAATTTTGTTAAACTGATCTTCAGGGGGAATTAAAGAACATCGTATGACCATCCTTACATACTTTCCAAAAAAAGAGAAAAAAATAAAAATCACATAAAAAAAAGACTCAGTTCTAATTTTACACTTGTTACCTACCATATTAACATCATTGTACTTTTATAGTAATTCTTAATAAATATCTTAAAATGTACTGTACATATTATTCTGGATAATACGTTTCTGGCACACATATACACAATTCTAAATGCAACTGTCAAAATTCTGTGGCTCTAGATTACATAATAAGTAAATGTTTAACTATTAGAAATAAGAGCATAATTTACAAATAAATTATACTTTTGATTAAATTTCTTTATAAATTAAATTTATATTTTATAAACTGTTGATTAAATATACCTCATGTCAGCATAAAGACTTAATATTCATTTCAAGAACTGGGACATTTATTTAGTATGAAGCTAGAATTCTCAAATAATAGAGATGGCTCAACTGTAGTCCCTCTCCCCAAACCAATGATATAATATCTCATACTTACGAAGTTCCACATGAGGATTTATGAGTTGCTTCTTTTGTGTATCTCCTCCATCTACTTCATCTAAAAGGTTTAATATCATTAGTAAAGCCAAGGTTTTGAGTAATTATCAGTTCATTTTGTCCTTTCCTTTTTCCTTGATGTAACAAAAAAACTTAGCAAATTAAAAGTAAAAATATCCTACTCAAGTCACTATCAAGCAAGCATAAGATATACAATTAAACTGTCTAAATGATCACAATAAAAATGTATGTTTTTTGGAATTTCAGTTTTTAAATTAGAAAAATAGAGAATTTAGGTTGAATACTTTTTCTTACAACTGAATGATTCCTACAGTGGCAATATAGTAACTCAGTTCTTATACCAAGAACTTCCATGGCTTCTTTATTATGACTATTTTCCCCATGTGTGTAGAATAATGTTTCCCCAATAGTTTGCAATGCTTTATCATGTACTAAGCTATATAAAATATGCATAAAATATTATTTTATAAAACATAATTTTAAAACATAAAATTATATACTAGTTACATAATATATAACTTTATTAGCCTATAACATATATAATTATATAACATACATAATTAACATATAATACAATTATATATTAATATACTTAAAACATATTTTTATACATAAAATATACTAGAATCTATGTCAGAGCTATTTTTTTATATGTGACTGACTTGCTTTGCAAGCCTACTACTTTCTGTTTAATTATTAGAGATTTAAAATACATCTTAATATCTAGAAGAACAAATAGTCCCCTAAGTTTCACATTTCAAAATAATTTTTGAAGCATCTATGCCTTCCAAGGATCCCATTATAAACAGCTACAGCCCAATAGCAAGCAGCCTATAGAATACTAAACAGATATCTTAATTACTAGTCAAAATTTATTACAGCAGTTGGTTTTTTTGTTTGTTTGAGATAGAGTCTTGCTGTCACCCAGGCAGGAGTGCAATGGCGCAATCTCGGCTCACTGCAACCTATACCTCCTGGGTTCATGCAGTTCTCGTGCCTCAGCCTCCCAAGTAGTTGAGATTACAGGCATGCGCCACCAGGCCCGGCTAATTTTTTTATTTTCAGTAGAGATGGGGTTTCTCTATGTCGGCCAGGCTCATCTCCAACTCCTAGTCTCAAGTGATCCGCCCGCCTCAGCCTCCCAAAGTGCTGGGATTACCATACTGGGCCCAGCAGTTGCTATTTTTTAAAACTACTAATTCACGGACTAACCCAGAGGTCACCAAACTATTTCTATATAGAGACAGAGCAAATATTTCACTCTGAAAAAGTTCCAACTACTCAACTTGCCAATATAAAGTGAAAGCAACCAGATGATAAGTAAATGAATGGGTCTGTTTCCCAATAAACGTTAATTTACAAAAACAGGTCATCAGAGTCTGCCTATTCCTGATCTAAACCCATACCCAAACACAATGAGGTAGATACACACACACACACACACACACACACACACACACACACTTTTTTTTTTTTGGTAGAGACAGAGGTCTCATTTTATTGCCCAGGCTGGTCTCAAACTGCTGGCTTCAAGTGATCCTGCCGTCTCAGCCTCCCAAAGTGATGGGATTATAGACATGGGCCATCTCACCCAGCATTAGACATAATTTTTAAATGTCAAAATGAAAGGGGACATAAATAGCTGCAACTTTACAGGGACTTGAAAAGAAAGAAAACATTTGAGGGAGTAGTGGAATGAAAACATTTGAGTATATAATATGAGTTACATATTAAGACAAATGTTTTTACATGTGGAATGTCACATCAACCTTGGAAGACATTGTTTTTGCCACTTTACACGTTATGGAAACTAAAGATTTCTGATTCTACCACACAGTACACGATGGCAGTGAAATCTGAAAGTAGTTGGACTCTCCCAGTGCCATGCTTTTTCCACTCTACCACACTGACAAGTGAGAACAGAGGGAATGCCCCAGTTTCAGCACTAAGAATTATCTATTTAAGGCTATAAGAAATATATGCAACTAAAATAAATAAATCAAAGCATAGAATAAGCACATTTACTCTTCTTTAACACACCTTGAGGCTCAACGCCTTGATTCTCGGTCCCCTCCTTGCCCGTCTGCCCAACCTGGTAGTAAGCACTATCTGCTCCACGTAAGGTCTCTCTCTTCTGGGAAGAGAGATCGGGGCTTTTCCCTGCTGTCCCTCTGAAGAAGGACAACATTCCAGAAGCCTTTTTGGCTAAAAATAAGAAGTAACATATTAATTTTAAGTACAGGTCACTACAGATGAAAAATAAAAATTTTCAGCTCATTTCTTTGTTAGTTGTAACCACTATATGAAGCTAATCAATCTGAGTAATGCAAATACTTTTGTTTGCACATTGTCCTTCATGTTGTTACTTATTGTTTCACATGTTGTTTTTGCGTAATCAAGCACCCTTTTTAACAAAAACCCCTATTAATAAAAACATAAAAAAAGATAGAAGGTTAACACTCAGCTAGATTAATATAAAAATATAGGGAATTATCTAGAAAGCCTTTCAAAAATATCTTTCAAAGGCAGTCACAGCTTAAGCAACAAGATTATATTAGGGCTGAGTTCTTACAGTATTGCAATATAGTTAACTAAATGAACACAAAACAATTTCACAAGCTACAAGAATTCAGTTAAAGGTAACATCTTTGTGTCATTTGTGTTCCTACAGTTTAACACAGGAAAATATAAGATTTCCTTTTTAGCATCTTTCAAAAAATAAAAAAGGCCATCAAACAGCCAAGAATTTACTAAAGCTTGCTCTATACTTTTACTCCTAGTTTTGAGCTTCATTCATCATACTATTAATATGATTCTAATTCTTGCAAATTTACCATTTACAAAACTCACAGAAAATGTCAATCATAAATGTGCTTACTTGGGTAACAGACACTAGTATTGCCTCTTTAATATCCACTCCTACCTGGTTCCCCACCAACAGAATGCCAACTTAGGGGAAGAGGGGAGCGGGGTGGGGTGTGTAACTATGTGTACAGCACCAGGAAAGGATCATGATTTGTATAACCCAACCGGGACAATGCTGCTCCCTACTTTCTCTGTCTCTTTCAGTCAGGAGTGGCCATGAGCCTCAGTTCTGACCAATGAGACTGACTAAAGGAGGAGCCTCTGCTTTCCTAATGAAAGAGAACAGCGGCAGCTTGCAACACCCTTGTTTCTACCTCAAATGCAAACAAAAATGAAACACTTTTAACCATGAGGAAAACGTAAAGGAATCATAGAGAAACTATTCCCCTAATGTTATAACAATGCTGAGCAGCTAAACAAATGCCAGCAACTGCCAACCTCCAGGTTTGGTTATTTTAGAAAAATAAGCTGTCATTTGTTTAAATCCTTACAGTTGAATTTTGTGTTACTTGTAGCTGAATGTGTTCCTGACAAAGTCAGAGAAACACAAATTCAAATCCCAGCTCCAGCACTGTCAAATCTTGAACAAGTTACTAAATCTAAATTTTAAGTTCCTTCTTGAAAAATAAGGATATGTCAAATAATTCTTATGTGGTTACTAGGGGGATTAAAGGAGGGAATGTATGAAAATTTATTTTCATAGTGCCAGTAATACTGTAAAACTAGAAAGGAAAAAAACGTATCTTGCATCTTAGGTTGTATATTTTAAACTGAAAGCTCTTCTAGGAAGCAGATTCTCCTTTTTGCATAGACCAAAGAGCTTCTAAAAGTTTCTAATTCAATACCTTGAACTTACACTTGAGACAAGAATCAACGAAGAAAAGCAAAACACGTATAAAGAGGGCATACAAAAATATCTAAATTTGTATTTCAGAGATCATAAGTAGTAAATCATTGCCAGATAGTACTTATTTGTTTTTATGTATTTTCTTTTTCAAACCATAATTATAGGTAAATCTAATTATAAATATTCCTCCATGTGTAATCTTACTTGGTTGTGGTTCTGTTTCTGTTGTACGATTTGTCTGTCCTCCACTCATTTCAGGTAATCTGATAGGGCTGCTACTCTTTGGTCTGCTATCTGAAGTACTAAAATGAAAAGAAAAAAAAAGAAAAATTTAGTTTTATACAAGTCAAACAGAAAATAGTAAGTACTCTACACTAATTACGCTGTACACTGATTTACTTCCTACCTAAGCCCACCTACAATATCAAAAGTCTGATTCATAATTTACATAAACACAGGCTAGAACACAGAAAAAAAAGTCTGAAATATCTACTGGACTTAAAGTGAAATGCTGTAACTATAAAAATGTATGGAGGAATACATTATGTTTCCCAAGTCCATTAACACTATATCAGCACCCATAAATCAAACAACTACAGAAAATATCAATTCCTTTCTCTCACACTAGTTATCACAATGACAATTCAGATAAAACTATAATGTTAGTAGAGATGGAAACTCTATTTCAGTAAGAATCACAATAATGAGCATGTGACAATTTCTGTCTAAAAGTCTAAAATACTGAACTTGCCAAAATAACTGGTTTGGGTTTGGTTTTTGAAGTATTAGGACCTTTATTTATTATAAACAATTCACAGATACTTTGAATTGCCAAGTCAAGCAGGAGCTTACCAATTTTACAAGTTATTATTTTTTAAATAAAAACACCTTTTCATTTTTTTCAAAAATGTCCTTAAATCTGCAATATACATTTAACTGCTATTGCAATTATCATAAAACTGCATCCTGAGGGACTGTTTAAGTTCTTTTGCTATATTTGAGCTTTGTTGTCTCAATTATTGGCTGAAATATGAGTGCCACTATCTGAATCCTAGAAATTTTTATGATGATAAATGCTGTAATAAAACTGAAGTACAAGCATATAGAAAATGATAACATAACTAAATTAAAATAGTTTCTACTCAATCATGAATCACCTATTTGTTGGAAGCCCTTCTTCGGCACTGTTCCACTGAGTCGCTTTAGACAATTCCTCTAAGGCATTTCGGTATTCTTTACAACTTAGGGCAGAAATAGGTTGAAAAACGTTAAACATTAACTTCTTCTTTAAAAGTAAATCATAAGCTTTAGAGTAAGTTTTGCATTATAGAAGCACAATCATTATACGTTTCCATAATTAAATAATTTTGGTTAACTGACAAAAGCAATCAAGTAGAAGCTTCATGAGGAAGGTCAATGTCTTCATAGAAGGTAATACAAAATATGACCCACTGACTCATCAACCAGTATCAATACCCTCAACAAAGATTTTAAAAGCCTACTTACTAATATTTAGATCAAATGACTTCAGGGATTGAACAGGTAAAAGTTTGAAGCCTCAGTGTTGAGTACAATAGAGAAAAAAAGAACTTGAGAGTGCTTTTCTACTTAACATACTAAACTTTAAGGGGAAAAAAATGTTTAATGTTCTATTAACCAAAAAGAAAAAAAAAAAACCTGACTCTTAGGTTAGCAGTTTAGGAACCCTGCTTTAGATAAATGTCATGCAACAAGAGAGGCATGTTAGGATGTATTGTTTTTCTAAGACATTGAAAAAAGATGATCTCAGCTAGAATCCTTACTTCCTAATAGTACAAAAAATACTTTTGATTTGGTTGACTCTCTTACCTTTCTTACCTATTAATATATTATGACTATTAAATAAAGTGAGAAGCTTATATTATGTTCACAAAGGCCAAAGGCAAAGGCTAAAAATGTTATCATATGGAATCTTATAAAGGAAAAAAATTCCTCATTATCTACACAGTAAACTCTAAACTGCATAAAGGCAGAGGCATGTAAATCTATCTTATTTACTCCTGTACATCCAATATCTAGTATATCACATTTTGTAAACATTCAAATATTTGTTGAATAAATGGACTCCCTGGAACCACCATCTAACAAGAAAAATTAAAAACTGTAATGCCTTCCAGTGGGAAAAAATTGCTTTAAACATCTTAGATTCTATTTAAACTAAGTTCAGCTACCACCAAGATGTTCTTAAGATTTAAGGCTGGGTGCGGTGGCTCACGCCTGTAAGCCCGGCACTTTGGGAGGCCGAGGCGGGTGGATCACGAGGTCAGGAGATGGAGACCATCCCGGCCAACATGGTGAAATCCTGTCTCTACTTAAAATACAAAAAAAATTAGCCGGGCATGGTGGCGGGCTACTTGGGAGGCTGAGGCAGGAGAACGGCGTGAAACCCGGAGGCGGAGCTTGCAGTGAGCCGAGATCACACCACTGCACTCCAGCCTGGGCAACTGAGAAAGACTCTGTCTCAAAAAAAAAAAAAAAAGTTTAAAAGCTTTGCCCTTTTAGACATACTATATATTTTTACAGTGGATATAGCTTTAAGATATATGATAACTGTATAAACTAAAAAGTCAGAAATGTCTACGGAATAAGGCATAAGAACAGCATTGCAGTAGTCCCTCCTCATCCATAGTTTCACTTTCCATGGTTTCAATTACCCACAGTCAACTGCAGTCCAAAAACATTAACATATTTAGAAAGAGAGACAGCACATTCACATAACTTTTGTTGTAGTATATTATTATAAAACTGTCCTATCTTATTGTTGTTGTTCATCTCTTACTGTGGCTAGGCTAATTTATAAATTTAACTTTATCATAGGTATGTATGTACAGGAAAAAACATAGCATTTATAGGGTTCAGTACTATCTGTAGGTTCGGACATCCACAGGGGTTCTTAGAACATATCCTCAATGGGTAAGAGGTGACTGCTGTTTTCTAAGTAGAAAAATTTTACCTCGTATGTAGGGTAGTAGAAAATGAGTGAATGGTACAAAAAAGATATTCAGATTGTACAAGGCAGGATGCTCCAAGTACTATGTCAACAAGTAAACTGAGAGAAGGGATACAAGGGAAAACATATTTTAACAGAATGGATAGAGGATTCAAGGCTCAGTAAATAACTTGCCAAGTCAATTTAGTTATTAGGAGCTTACTTAGGAATCATCCTATACTTCATTATTTGGGTTCAGAGAAGATTTTTATGCACAAAAAGAACAAGCTGCCAGGCATGGTGGCTCACGCCTGTAATTCCAGCACTTTGGGAGGCCGAGGTGGGTGGATCACCTGAGGTCAGGAGTTCAAGACCAGCCCAACCATTATGGTGAAACCCCATCTCTACTAAAAATACAAAAATTAGCTGGGCATGGTGGTGTGTGTCTGTAGTCCCAGCTACTCGGGAGGCTGAGGCAGGAGAACTGCTTGAACCCAGGAGGCAGAGGTTGCAGTGAGCCGAGATTGCACCACTGCACTCCAGCCTGGGCAACAGAGTGACATTCTGTCTCAAAAAAAAAAAAAAAAAAGAACAAGCTATCACGACTAAAGAACATATATTTTTGCTTATATTTAATCATTTTGCTTTATGTGAAAGATTCCAAAAATAAGGGATTAATAGACATACATAAAATACATAGATATCATCATAAGTCAAAGTCCCATGAATAATACCTGAGAGCAAAAGCAATGATGGAGCTGGGTTCCTTCTCGCAGACTGCAATGGGCACTCGTTCATGTTCATACATTAAGTAGTGTTTATCTGGATCACTATGCAAATTTTTAAAATACATAAGTTAACTAAGTACTCTAGAGTTAAGAATATAATTAAGAAAGCCAAAATGTATGCAGATATGATAACCTGAATCATTAGGAAAGAAAAAGATTTCAAGAGAAAGTTTTTGAAGGCAATTAGAAAATTATCAGAATTAATTAGGTTTCAAATCAGAGAGTTCTGCAATAGTCACTCCAAACAAACCTTTCCATACTGCCAAGACTCTGGCCACACTAATCTCAAAAAGAATTTAAAATGAACAGCAGAAGTCTAAAATATTTTGTTCCATTACAAGCTAGAGAGAAAAAGTCTTCTAGAAATTGTGGAGAAGACATACTACTAGTTCAATAATAAACAATGCAACACAACCACTTTACTATTATCACACAAAAAAACCCAGTGTAGCTCCATTTCAACTTAAATTTTGCTCCCCTGACTCCGACCCTAACTCACCTAGGCACTGTTAGGCACAGTCATTTTTAATTTAGGTGCTACTTACTGAACACCAAACATGCCAAGGATACAATATGAAGAAAAACTATTTTTAAGGATCTTACATGTGTAAGATGTTAACAATACAATGGCGAAAAAAAAAATTGGCACCATAGGGTTTATAGTGTAGTGGGGGTAAAGAAACAGATAATCCAATAAATAAATAAATATAATCTCTGTGGTAAGTGCTATGAGGGAATTGCTACAGAATGAATGTTTACCCTCCCAGCTCCCACAAAATTCATATGTTAAAATCCTAACCCCCAATGTTATGGTATAAGGAGGTAGGGCCTTTAGGGGGTAATTTAGGTCATGAGAGTGGAATACTCTTGAATGGGATTAGTGTCCTCATAAAAAAGACTGGACACAGCTCTCTCAGCCTCCTTCCACCACATGAGAATACAAAGAGACAACAGCAATCTACAACCCAAAAGAGGACCCTTGCCAGAACCCAACCATGCTGGCACCCTCATCTCAGACTTCTAGCCTCCAGGACTGTAAGAATTAAATTTCTGCTGTCTACAAGCAACTCAGTCTATGGTAATTCATCAGAGCAGCATGAACGGACCAAGACAGGAATCATAAGAGCATATAATAGAAACCTACTCTGACTGGAGCAGGAGGTAAGGGGGAAGGTCTAGTAAATTCTTCTTAGAAAGAACAGGACTGAATGATTAAAAAAGACTGTGTTTCACAAAAAGTGGTTTAGAGAGAAGAGAAACAAACAAAAAGAAAAAAACTATATTAAAAAAAAAAGTTTAAAGGGCCGGGTCCAGTAGCTCAGTACTTTGGGAGACAGAGGTGGGCAGATCACCTGAGGTCAGGAGTTCGAGAGCAGCCTGGCCAATATGGTGAAACCTCGTCTCTACTAAAAATACGAAAATTAGCCAGGTGTGGTGGCGCACACCTGCAGTCCCAGTTACTTGGGAAGCTGAGGCAGGAGAATCACTTGAATCTAGGAGGCAGAGGTTGCAATGAGCCAAGATCACACCACTACATTCCAGCCTGGGTGACAGAGGGAGACTCTGTCTCAAAAATAATAAAAATTAAAAAAATAAAAATAAATGTGAGAGCATGAACAAAGACCATAACATAAGAGGGATCCAAGCCCAATCAAGAAACTGATATAATCAGGTCTAAAGTAGAGAAAAAAGGGACCTTTTATATTTTACTGTCATGTAACATATCACATACTGTACTGTGAGCCCTAACTGTATCTTCCCAAAGATTATGAGCTCCTAAGAGTGATGACAGTTCCTTACAAATCTTATTCTACATCACAGGACACTTAAACAGGCACTAAATAAAAGTTTAAATACTGATTGAATAAATATGTAAGTCAGTTAATAAAATAAAAGGCCTTATTAACAAAAATGTCCACTTTTTGGATATACTTGTTCCATAACAAGGGCAGCATTTGATAGCCACATGGGTCAACCAGTGGAAGAAAAATAAACTTTCACAGCCAGCCTATATTCTTTCCAAATTTGAGTGCACCCCATAAAAAAAAGATCACATGAAAACTTGTACAAGTCACTGTAGTTCATCATCAGTGCTAGGACAATGCCATGTCCCAGCAAATCAACTACCAACCTCATATATAACCAGCAATATGTTTTTATAATTATTAAATCAGTGGATATAGCCACATATCTTTGAAAAAAGATAAACAAACAAGTGTTTCCAGAACAAGTAATTCAAACATTTATAAGTAACACTGGCTAGTGCTTTATCCACTCATCTACTATATCATAATGATTATATATTCTACAAATTACATTGTATCAAAAGACATCTCTTTTACTAAAATGAAATAAAATTTAGGATTGAAAAATCATGCATCAGATAAATATATTTAAATATGAAGCGAGCAACTAAGGAAAAATAACCCCCCTGCTAAGAGCCACTGGTTTTAATAATACTTACAAAGGAAATGGAATAGGATTATAGCTATTTCCTGGAAGCAAATTTGCAAAGATGGCTTTCATGGTTGACTTTTCCTTCACTTGGCTGTCTGTGGATCCCAGCAAATGCCCATCAAACACATCTAAAATGAAAAATAGTCTACTTATATATTAATATTCACAGAGAATAAGAAGTATAAACTGCTGACTTTGGTTCTTTTCCTTTCGGAATATGGACATATGTATACTATACCAATAACAGTTTAAAATTTCTGATCAAGGGAAAAGACCACTATGGGATAAAACAGGAAACAACAGTGAAGCATACACAGCATGGACTCCAAGGGACACTTGTTTTTTTTAAACATCTCTGAAGCACTGTGGCTATTACACCCGAGTTAAATAGCAATTTTAAAGTTAATTTCAAAGTTTATACTATAATTTAAGTAGTTACCACCTAAACAGAAAGCAAGGCATGAATCTGTTATTATGAAGCAAATATCTGTCCTTAGAGAAATGGCTGTAATTCATGTAAATCAATGATATATCTTTCAGTCTTAGATACAATGAAATATGGTAAAAGTGACTTAACCTCTACCTTCGGAACTGCTGGCTGTATCTAGCTCAGGGGGCCCTCCCACTGACTGTTCAGACATGACTTCAGGTGGCGTAGGCAATTGGAGATGAGTAGAACTGGTGGAGCTCTGGCTGGACAAAGTTGTTAAGAAGCGATCCTCTAAAGAAAAACACAATCTTAAATGAGTCATTTACATACATTAAGTCCATGTCTACCTAATATTTTTTAAATGCTCATTCATATGCCTACTTCCTAAAAGGTAGAATTTTTACTTTTTAAAAATCATCTAGGTCATATAGCTCATGTCATAGAAATGGACACAAAAATCCAGAAAGATTATATATGACTTGACTACAATCAAATCCTGGTAGCAGTACCGCAACTGTCAACCAAGACTGACTCCTATCCAACACGCTATCCATTATACCACAATGCCTACCTAAATATTAGTTTTTAGTTTAATAGAGAATGAAATTAGGACACTCTGAGAAAGACGGCATGCTTATTCTGGGAGAGAAAAAGCAATTATAATAGAAAAATGCCAAGAATTGTAAGTTGAGCTCCTGGTTCTACAGTCTATGTAAATTTCCCCACAAAGTTTCTATGATGACACCAAGTTATTCAATGAAATACTGTGAAAGACATCTTAGGTCTAGACAATATTTTAGTGACATTAAAAATGTAAATTAAACTTTATAAGATTTTTGCAATGAAACCTGGGGATTGACTTTGTAATAAGCAAAAAAAATTCAATTTACTTTTTTCTGTTTTTTCTTCCCCTAATAGCAGCCTTCTTTATATTTCATGTATTTCTATAACCTGATTTATCTTATTGCAATACACTATATGATAATCTTAATCTGATAGGATTACAAGTGCTCTACAGGAAGGAAAAGAAGTCTATGAACAACAGCATCGGAAAAACTGCTCAAACAGTTTAAAACAACTTATACAATAAGAAATTTCTTTAAATCCTACGGCAAGTGATCACCAGACTCAAGAACCAACCTTTTTCTCCATTCTGAAGTCCTGGAGAAATATTCCGTGGAGATGCATCCATCGCACTTATCTGTAGAGAAGTAAATACTTTGTTCTTATGGAAAACATGAAAATCACATTCAAAAAATTTTTTAATCCAGTGAATCTTAAACTTTTTGGTCTCAGGACCCATTTATACCGTTAAAAAATTACTAAAAACCCCCTTAATATTTTTAATTAGCTTTTGTTTACCTTAGAAATTTTTACCTTATTAGAAATTAAAACAGAGAAAGTTATTAAATGTGCATGAACTCATTTATAAATAATAAACCCATTAATATAAGTAACATTTAAACACGTAACATACCGATTTTCTAAAATTTAAAAAAAAAATTGGTGAAAGAGTAGCACTGCTTTACATTTTGAAAAATATCTTTAATGTCTAGCTAAATAGAAAATAGCTAGATTCATATTTGGCTTCTGCATGTAATCTGTTGAGATACACCATTATGATTGAAGTATATGAAGAAAATCTAGCTTCATACAGATATGCAATCGAAAAAAAAAATAAAAATGAGCCAGGTGTGGTGGCTTACGCCTGTAATCCCAAAACTTCGGGAGGCCAAGGTGGATGGATCACCTGAGGTCAGGAGTTTAAGATCAGTCTGGCCAACATGGAGAAACCCCATCTCTACTAAAAATACAAAAAATTACCTGGGTGTGGTGGCACACGCCTGTAATCCCAGCTACTCGAGAGGCTGAGGAAGGAGAATTGCTTGAACTCGGAAGGCAGAGGTTGCAGTGAGCCGCGATCGCACCACTGCACTCCAGCATGCACGACAGAGTGAGACTCCATCTCTCAAAAAAAAAAATTTTTGCAGAGTCCCTGAAAAGGTCTTGGACTATCAGGAGTCCTTGAACCACACTTTGAGAATTGCATTCTAAATAGTAGCTCGCTTCCTGGAATTAAGCATCTAGGTATAGATATATCTATCTATCTAGATAGATAGATCGATAGACAGATAGATATATCTAGATAGATTGATATATATCTAGATAGATCTATAGATAGATATAGATCTATACAAGATTATTAGGTGTAAGGGATAATCCTAAGTATTATATCTATATATATCTATATAGATGTATCTGTCTATAAATATCTATATAGATATATCTATCTATAAATTTGTGGTTTTGGCCACTATGTTTGGGATAATCTGTCACTGAGCAAGAGAAAACTAACACAGTTGAAAAAGAACTTACGCAGTTCAAATACCTTAAGAAAAACCTCTTATTTAAGCACGGAGATTTTAAAAACAACCAAAACTGCGGAGTATAAAATAAATGAGCACCCTATTATACTCAGAGCATCCACTGACTTTCCTCTGTAGCACTTGCTGTCACCATGATGCTACCCTCAGTGATGCAGCAAACTGTAGCTTTTATAAACATTTCAAATAAATAAATTATAAGTGATCATTTTATTTCAGGTTATAACATAAAAGTAATCCAGGTCATAGTTCCTTGAAACCTCACAAATTCAAAATGGAAAACCCTACTGGATATCATTACTAAAGTACATATTAAACTATCCCTGCTAAGTATTATAAATGAAACTAACTATATTTCTATTGATTAAGGACCAAAGACAAGACTACATTTCATACCTTGCTTTCTTCCCCTTGTCTCAGTCTTCCAGGACTTGGAGGAACTGAAGGTCTCTTTCTACCCTTTTCCTGTTGGAAAAGGTCCTGCAACCTGTGGCCAAAAGCAAAAAATATATATATATATGGTTTGTTTCTAGCCCCTTGAGTGCTGTTTATAAATTTTCTCTTTACAACTTTGAAATCACAAAGTTTTCCTATTTGGATTACCATAGTCTTTAAAGTTATATATAAATAAGAGTAAGTTTTTGTCATATCTAATTAACCAGGAGCATTTGTTGATCTCACTATAGTTGTAAAAAAAAAATAGCAAATTATTATAAAGAAAAATACTTCTAAAAAATAAATGTTTAAATAAAGGCATAAGATAAACATATCAATATACAATATATTTGAAATTGCTGGCCAAAAACCAATAGTGACTTATGGCATACTAATTCAGTTAAAAACAATTCAACAGCACACACATCTGAACAACATTGTTTCAAATTATATTAGAAACAGCATCAAAGGCTGTTCTCCTCTTTGGTTTTTACATCTTCACAAGCTACCTAAAATATACCACATATATTTTAAAATATAAAGAGGAAAGGAGAGTGACAGGAAACAAAAGGCTCTTTAACTTGAGCACAAAATGAAACATCCATAATTAAAAATTTTTAAGTTTTAAGATATCACATTAGAACAAATGTGGCAATAATATTAAAGAAAACCAGACTGCAAAATCACACCTGTTATTCCAAGCTTGCAGCACTTCACAGAGACTTTGTTTCTTGGCAATGAGTGACTCAAAGACCGACTGCAGTTGCTGAGGGGTATCTACAGAGGAAGACATGAGCCTTGCTTGCATCTTCTCAATCCAGTTCTTGAACTCACCTTCTTCCATCTACAAGGAACAGAAACAACTTCAGGAGACAGACACTATACAGACATACCCCAAAAGAAACTGCTATTATTAATTTTTGATTTTTAATCAATAATTTTTAATCAATAATTAACTTTTGAATTTTCTACCAAAGAAATAAATTACCTCTTTCTGTGCAAAAATATCTTCCATTTTTTCCTCTCTTGTTTTACTAAATGTATCAGTTTTCAAAGATGCAAGTCTTTCATCAATGGCAACATATACCTGTGAAACTCTAACAATAGCGAGAGCATTAAACACTTTAGAAAGGGTGAATCAAATTTTCTATCTCACATAAATAGAAAAAAAAGCTACATGCAAAATGTAATTGAAATTATGTTTTACCTAATTAAGAATTACATACAGTTTTGCAGAGTAAATAAGACCTAAAAGGATGTACTTCAAAATTTTAAGTTGTTATGTCTAAAAGAGTTTGGCTTCTTTTTTATTATCTTTCCATAGCGTCTACAATTTTCTTTTTGTACACCAAGCATGCATAGCATACAATTAGAAAATTTACATTTTCAAAGAAAATAAAATGAATAAATCTGATACTTTAAAATAGCTGTAAATAAACAAAAAAAGATGATAAAAGAAACTGAACTTACTTTTGAAAGAAGTCCTTCAGATCCTGAAGAAGGGACACTTTTAATGGGGCCTGACGCTTAATGAATATTTTGGGGAGTGGAACACATACTTCAAGAAGCCGAATGGGAGAATAACTGAGAAGAAAATACAAGGACCAATAGAAAATGAAAAATAGCTTAATATCTTGAATAGAGCTGTATCATGATGTTCAACTATATTCTATGAGGCATAAGAGGAAAAGTTTCTATAAAATCGTATTTTAAAACAATCACAAAAATAATTTTTAGCTGTTACAATAAATATCCTCCCCAATTCTGGAGGGATTTTGTTTTATCTTTCATTATGCTGTAGTACCATCATTTATCCCTTGAAGTTATCCTTACCTGCTGTAAAACCAAAAACGATTGTTATAAACCATCCCTATTAATAAGGAAACTAAAATACCTACACCTAATTGTAGGTATTCATTACTTTCCACCTCCTGAAGATTCTTCATGAGTCTTTGGTTTCCTTTCCACCTGAGGGTTTATATCGACTAATAAATGCTACAACCCAACTCCCCCGCAAGGCCCTACATGCACGGTTAAAAACTCTTGCTTAAAAAAGGAAATAAGCTCTAATTAGCAAATATCCCCTGAGGGTCTATTATGTGCCAGACACTGTTTTAGGTGCTGAGGATATAACACTAACAATTCCTGTTCTCATAATTTAGGAAAAACAAGATTCAGGTAACAAACAAAACAAATACATATCAGATGTTCAGTACTATGGAGAAAAATATAGCAAGAGAAGCAGAGTGCTAGGATGGGGGAGTGTCAGGGCAGGTGAAATGTGAGCAAAGACTTGTAAGACACAAGGAAGCAACAAGCAGATATCTGGGGAATGAGCAATTCAGAGAGGGAAGAACAAGTACAAGGCTCCCAGGCAGCAACCTACCTGACATACCTGAGGCCCAGTCAGGAGGCCAGTGGGGCAGCAGCAGGATGAGTGAAGAGAGAGCAGTAGGAGGTAAGAGCAGAGAGGTCCTGGGCAGCCAGTGCAGGTAGATTAAAGGCCAGTAAATGGACTTTGGCTTTCACTCCAGGTGAAACAGACACCCTTTGGAGTGTCTAGAGCAGAGGAGTGGCCTTAGCTGATTGCCCCTTAACAGAACCACTCTGACTGCTGT
Organism: Homo sapiens; assembly: GCF_000001405.40. Classification (NCBI taxonomy): domain Eukaryota; kingdom Metazoa; phylum Chordata; class Mammalia; order Primates; family Hominidae; genus Homo; species Homo sapiens. The sequence continues at coordinate 208,334,271 of NC_000002.12, read as the reverse complement.
GTTGAGAAGAGGCTAAAGGGACAAGGCCAAAGGGAGACTGCTAAGGCTACTACAATAATCCAGGTGAAAGATAACAGAGGCTCAGCCCAAAGTGGTAGTGGTAGAGTTGGTAAAAAGTGCTCAGACTCTTGATATATTTTGAAGGCAGAACCTGAAGGCTGTCTCAAATTATTTAATACCACAATGGCAACTATCAATTCTTTGAACACAGACTTTTAGCTCTATCAGAATTATGTGATTATCCTTCTGATGGTTAATATCTTGGCAAAAATTCTGACAGACTTTCAGATGCCATCAGATGCCAAAACAATGGTTAAGAGTTAGGCCAGGGCCCGACATGATGGCTCACACTTCTAATCCCCACACTTTGAAAGGCCGAGGCAGGAGAATCACTTGAGCACACTTCAAGACCAGCCTGGGTAACAGTGAGATCCTGTCTCATATTTTTCTAAAATTTCTATATTAAAACTTTTTTTAAAAAAAGAGTGAGGCTGGTAGTAGATCGACCAAGGTTCAAATCATTACTCCACCACTTGAGAGCTCTGTAAGTGAATGATCGTAAGCTCTGTAAGTGAGGATAATAAGAACTATTTTGTAGGGTAAAGAGTAAATAAAATAATACTGAAAGTTCTTAATACAGTCTGGTCCTCTGCATTTATAAGGGTATAAATGGGGAATCCCACAAATTAATTCAATCTAGTAATGGTGAAAATGTTAAAAAAATTCTTAAGGGATTATGAGATCTGAGATCATGCACAAGATTCCTAGGATTTCTTACCTGAAAGACGCCACCATCTGGTTATAGGAGAAATACTGGTGATAATCATGATGGATGGAGTGACCACAGGGCTCAGCGTTGGCTCTGCGAGTATACTGGTGCCCATAAAACCTAAGTTCAAGGTATTTTGCAAATGACATAGACCAGGACTCATTGGAAAGAGCAACAACTGGTGTTACCTGGAATTCAGCAAAAATAGTTTACCTAATCACATATTGAGAATCTCTTTTTCAAAAAATAACATTTTCTTTTTTTTTTTTGAGATGGAGTCTCGCTCTGTCACCCAGGCTGGAGTGCAGTGGCTCGATCTCAGCTCACTGCAAGCTCCGCCTCTCAGGTTCAGGCCATTCTCCTGCCTCAGCCTCCTGAGTAGCTGGGACTACAGGCACGCGCCACCACGCCCGGCTAATTTTTTGTATTTTTAGTAGAGACAGGGTTTCACGATGTTAGCCAGGGTGGTCTCGATCTTCTGACCTCGTGATCCACCTGCCTCAGCCTCCCAAAGTGCTGGGATTACAGGTGTGAGCCACCACACCCGGCCAACATTTTCTTTTCTAATACAAACGTAATATATACTGACTGCAGAAAACTGGGAAAAGAATGAGAAAGTTCAAAGGTGGGTGGACTTGGGGGTGGTGGAGGAGAGCAGCATTACCAATAAATCCACCAACAACATCAATATACTAGTATATGTTTATTTTTGATGTATTTATATATATATATACACACACACACATATACATATATACATACATACATGGACACACACACAGCCAGTATATTTGTAAATAAAAACTCCTATAGTTTCATAATCTTTTACTTAGCAATATATCGTGAATATTTTCCCACATAAAATATTCTTGCACAACTTTTCAAATGGCTTCAGAGTATCTGGACATGTATTGAACCAATCCTTACTGATGTGCCTTTAAGACATTACAAGTTTTTCCACACTGAGATGATGTTCTGATGAACATCCTTGTATATACATATTTACAAATATCCACAATTATTCCCGTGGGATAAATTAATAAAGGTGGGAATTGGTAAGTCAAAGGGCATAAACATTTATATGATCTTTGATAATTTTTGCCACATTATCTTCCAAAACAAGTGCACCAGTGTATACAGTCTCCAACAATATTTAAGAATATCAATTTCCCCCACTTTCTTACCCAATCCTAGGAATCAGAATTGAAATTTTTGAAATGTAACCTCCTAAAGAAAAAATTTTAAAGAGATTTTACTGATTTATGCTTACCTGACTACTAATGAATAACATTTATTTATTTGTTTAGTAGCCATTTGCATTAAATTGCATTGTCATGTCCTCTGCCCATTTTTCTATTATCATGGCTCATAGAAATTTGATATTATATATATTTATGTTTAGTCATATATGTTGTATTTTTCCTTGACACTGGAAGTTTTTCATTTTAGTGTAACAAAACTTACCTTTTCCTTTCTAGCATAAAAAAGCAGAAGTTTTTGTTTCAAAATAAAGTGCATATAGCAAAGCATGTAAGTCATAAAGATCAAATTTAAGTTATTCATTTAGTACCATGGTCAGTCTACCCAGTTAACATATTCTACAACAAACTATTACCAGCTAACTAATAGGAACTAAAGTCGGTAAGAACAATTATGAAACTAAGACTGAGAATTGCTAGAAATAATTTTATGTCTGTATGTTTGCTGCTGCAGGTGCAACTTTGATTTTGCCCTTCTCTACCACTGATTAATGTAGGTCGTGCTATTATTTTATATATAATTCCCATATGTGCCTTCCAAAAGCACACTTTGAAATAACCCAATTAAGGCCAGGCGCTGTGGCTCAGGCCTGTAATCCCAACACTTTGGGAGGCCAAGGTGGGCGATCACCCGAGGTCAGGAGTTTGAGACCAGCCTGGCTAACGTAGTGAAACCTTGTCTCTATTAAAAATACAAAAATTAGCTGGGCATAGTGGCGCATGCCTGTAGTCCCAGCTACTCCAGAGGCTGAGGCAGAGAACAGCTTGAACTCAGGAGACAGAGGTTGCAGTGAGCAGAGATCACACGACTGCACTCCAGACCGGGCGATAGAGCAAGACTCTGTCTCAAAAAAGAAAGAAAGAACCTAATTAAGGTAGTAAGTTAAATTTGGAATATTTTATCCAGATTGCAAGCAGTCTGGATAAAAATCATATATTTAAAAAAAACACAATATTGGCACCAAATTTTTGCCCCAGAGTTAGAAAAGTAAAGAAAGGCACAAAGAAGAAACAAAACACATGTCCTTTTCTCAAGAACATGCATAAAAACCAATAGAGATCAATTTCAACATGGTCTCATCTGTATGTGAATAGAAATGCTCACATAGGCTCGAATTTATTATACAAATATCCTAATATACTGCAGTTATTGCTTTACAAGTCTGTCTCCTCCCCTAGAGAACAGAAGTCATTCCTTATTCTTTTTTTCATTCCTAGGGCCTAGCACAGTATCTGGCACATAAATGGTGCTAAATGTTTGTTGAATGAATAAACAAAATTGAGATATGTCATGATACAACCTCAAGATACTTTACTGTATAGGGCACTTGTATTTTATTTAATGACTGATACATTCCTAAGATGGGATCTTCAAAAAACGAATACTAGATTGAACATACAGCACTGGAAGGTAAAATAACAATGACAAATAGAGCTCTATAACAAATAACGAATCCAGTACCATATAGGAAACCTCCTCAGGAAAAAAAAAAAACATACAAATAAAGAAATAAATGGCAAACAAAATATAGTAATAGGGTCTATTTACCTGTTTGCAGATTCTACACCAGGAATATGTAAGAATTGTATGCTGATATCCAGGTACTGGAGAATCCAACTCCTTCAGGATTATCTGCACACAGCCTTGGCCATGAACAAAGCGCCGAATATGATGTACCATGGGGGTATCACAGAACATGCTTGGACACTGATAAGAAGGCCTTTGACAAACAAAAGAGCCCTTCTCACATTAAGCATGAAACAGAAATCAGAACCACTGTCAAAGTGCAGCATGACTAGTGAACAATCTGCACAAGGTACTCATGCTGCTCTGAGCCTGCAGCTGAACATCGTCTTCAGCTACAGCACGGTGATAGTTTCCATTTGTTAAGCACCTTCTATTTGCCAAACAATTTTAAAACATTTCCTTTTACCTTCTGATAATTCTAGGGATTGTTATTCCCTATAAAGGGGACTAGTAAAGTGCTTTGTCATATAAGTGGCGAGTGATGATGCTAAGACTTAAACTGAGGTCTAGATGATTCCAACATTTTACCTCTCATTTGAATCACTGTAAAAAAACAGGTATCCGAAAAATGTTGATGGTAGGGTAATTAGATGGGCAGAGATATGAGGGATGTTCTGGATAAGAGATCTCAGTTTAAATATGAAATAGATTATTACTTCTTTGAATGATATACTCTGATATGCACTATGAAAGTGAGGATCATGTAACAGTCACTTAACATCCGACTCATGTTTACGTTTTAGCTTGAAATTTTGAGCATCAAAAATGTGTAATGGAACAGAAGGAAGAAATATGTTCTTACCTGAAACAGTATCTCTCTAAAAATATTCCTAATGTAAGATCATTCTTTCCATAAAATTCCATTGTTACAATCCTAAAGAAGAGACCACCTCTTAGAAACATAAGAATTACCATGCCCCAGAGACATTTCATGAGACCACAAATTATGATTACCTATTAAATGTATGGTACTTACAATGAAGTATGAAAGGAGGTAATGTTCTTTGTTGTTATGAAACAGGTTTTAATAAAACAAGTTTAGACTTGCCACACTAAAGCATCTTTTTCACTCCCAATCCACTAGTGTCTTATGAAACTAATGAGGATGCATAAACTATAATATTAATTTAGTAAAACTGATCTGAGTTAAGAAGAGGTAAAGGTTTCCTTTACAAAGGCTTAAGCCCTGTCAGCACAAGGTGGGACTCTGGTCTCCTACTCTCTTGTCCATGCCTTTACTGAGCATGGAAAACAGCAGTTCTTGCTAAAGTGCCAGTTTCTAACTTTTTATCTAACCTATAAATGCTCACAAGACAGTTTGGCTATATAACTGTTGAAATCCACATCTTATTCAAGCCTTGACCTATATATAAACTCCCAGAGATAATTCCCATGGGTTCTGCCACTCCCAAGTCTTCCTGCTGAAGCTATACTACTAGAAGAACCCATGAGCTCACTGCTGGAAATAAGTGTTTCAGTTATCCAAAATTAAAACACAGAATATGTTCTGGCATGGAGACAGTGCCCCCAAACAAGAAGTTATGTTCCATAGTACTTTTAAAACTAAAGGTGAACATGTAATGTAAGGCTATGTATGTCTGTGTGAGGTTTTTGTGACAATAATTTGAAAAAAATAATTTAAAACATAAAATGTATTTCAGTTTCTATCAATCTACTTAAGTTTTAGACTAAAACCCATTAATAAAGCAAAAGGTTGACTGCTTTTATAAAAATTATGCCTGAAGGAAAACCTGCCTAAATTGTACATGCTATCATCAAAATGCTTATAAACAAGCTTTTTGTGTGTCAACTTTCTCACATTTTTAAGTACAGGTTGGGCATCCCTAATCTGAAAATCCAAAATCCAAAATGCTCCAAAATCTGAAACTTTTGAGTCCTGATATGGTACCACAAGAGGGAAATTCCACAACTGAAACCTTTGCTTTCTGGTGGTTCAATGTATACAAACTTTGTTTTATACATAAAATTATTACAAATCTTATATAAAATTAACTTCAGGCTACGTGTACAAGGTGTATATGAAACACAAATGAATTTCATGTTTAGACTTGGGTCCCATCCCCAAGATAACTCATTAAGTATATGCAAGTATTTCCAAATTTGAAAAAATATTAAATCCAAAACACTTCTGGTCCCAAGCATTTCAGATAAGGGAAAGTCAACCAATACAAATTCCTCTTCTATCCCTCACACTTTTTTCACTCTTAATATACTCTCATTTACTTCTACTCATGAACAAACATGTATTTTCATATTTACTTCACAAGTTTAAAAGTTCTATCAATTCATATATGACCAGCAGTGTGCTGTGTACCTAAATACAGGTCCTAATGACTGTTTTTTTGTTTTTGTTTTTTTTTAATTGCTGGAATTCTGTTCTTATGTGGAATAGTGTAGGGGGAAAAGAATCCTACCAAGGACTGACACAGGCACTAGGAGCATTGCTGGACTGGGCAGAAGAGCTGCTGAAGAGCACACAAAGTCTCTGGTGATTAATGGGATTCAGACAGTCCACCTGAAATAGAAGGAATGAATGGATGAGCAAGTGACTGCAACCGCATTCAACCCCAATGCACCAAACACACTCCACTCTATTTGTAAAGCCTCCAATTATCACTGTGGGGGCTCTGGTCAAGATTTAAAACTACAGAAAACTAAATATAAGGAAGGGCAGTTGGTTTTTGAGAAAAGACAACCCAAAAAGTTTCAATTAAACTTAAAAATACAAAACAATGTCTAGATAGCTTGTTTTCTTAACTTACTCTTTATTTTACACAACTGCACTAAATTATTTTGGAAAAAAATTAATTAAATATACCCATATTTAACAGTCTGAACTGATGGGATATAACATCAATCTGAGACACCCAGAAATCTAAATTCTAAAGTGTTTATTTATCTATGCTTATGGCTGTTTTTGATCATTACAAAGGTAAAACCAGCTCTCTGTTAAAATTGAAACAGTATAGAAGCATATGAAGAAGTTCATAAAATACACAAAACTGCTCCTCCTGATTCTACTCCACCTCCTAAGCTGCGGAGTTTGACTCTGTGGTTTTAAAATATCTATTCTTTTTGCTAGTTTACATACCTGTCCCACATACACACATCACTTCCTAAGTACAAACAGGGGGTTTTGTTTTTATAAATATGGAATAATGCAACACATATTAAAACATAATTTGCTTTTTAACACTTCAAATATATCATGGGCTTTATCCAAGTCATTAAATGACTTGAGATCCTGCTCATCCTTAAACTGTTTCAATAAACATCTTTGTACATATATTCTTAAAAAATGCAAGCACCCTTATATAAGCATACTTAATTATTTCTGCAGGATAGATTATAAAAAGTTGGAGTCCTGGGTCAAAGGTATATACATGTATGTGTAAATTAATGGAGACTTTCCTATCACTTTCTATAAATTTATACAAATGTACATATACCTACATTTGTATAAACTTACATAAAATTTATGAAAGGTGTTTTTCCATGCCATCATTAACCATGGGTCTTTTACGACTTTCCTTTTTGTCAATCTGACAAATAAAAAATTATTTAGCACCACTATTATTTAGCACTTCCTTGACTACTAGTGAAATTGAACATACATTATTTAGCACTTCCTTGACTACTGGCGAAATTGGACATCTTCTCGTTTTATTAAACAATTGCATTTCCTCATCTAGCAATGGATTTGTTAATTAGTTTTATTGCTACCATTATCAATAATGGATCTATAAACCTTCCTTAATTTGCTCTCAATTTATGCCTAAAAAGAAAAAGATCACTGTCATAGTTAAATAACAAGGTAAAATGTTTTATGTTAAAAAAAGAGCTAACTTTTTTTGAGAAAACAAATATATTTGCTGCTAACTTTTTTAAAAAAACACATCTATTTCCTACAATAAGCTTCCATCTCTCACTCCCTGACACAAGGATCCAGGATTATCATACCACATCCAAGTCATGTTGTCAGAAATTTTAAGCAGCTCCACATTTCCCCTTACTTCAGGGATCTTCCTAGCTTATTATAAGCTCACCTTAAAACCCTGAAACCCAGTTTCATTACAATTCTGCTTCATACATATTAAAGTAACACATAAGCCAGCAGACTCAAGACAAAAACAAAAATAGCATAGGAGAAGAAATATTTCACAAATCTGCATGCAGTCTGCCAAACTGATTTTTTTAGCCTGCCTTTGAGGAGTCATTCAACACATCCTAAATGCACAGGAGCATCAGAAAGTGGTCTGGCTCACCTTTGTTGACCACACAGCATCACTCAGAATAAGCCCTCTCTCTTCATCACCCTCATTTTTGCTTCCTGATTGGCCACTTGAAGTACTTGATGCATCCTTTGAATGAGCAAAAGGGTCTGAATTTTTGGGCTGAATTCTTCCTCCTCTGGCTCGATAATCGGCCAGCATTCTACCCAAGCTCTGGCTATCGCCCAGATGCTCAGCAATTCTAGTGCTCACTAGCTCATGTGAGGGTAAGACTTGAATAGACTTGGCCTGAATACTTCCATTCATGCCCTGAAGTCCAGAGAGATCCCTGAGCAGCTGTTTCTTCCTCCTGTTCTCCATTTCTTTGAATTCTTTATTGAGGAGAGGAGACCAGTAAACCTGCTCTGCAAAATAATCTCGGGTAGAGCATCTCATCCCCTTTTCAGTTAAAAGAAAGGGTTCTCGGAATGTGATTACTGGGGAGATACAGAGGATCACATCTTTTAATTCCTGCTTAAAGGCCAAAGAATAAGTCTTTCGTTTATCTTCAGAGGAGGTGACTTCCTCAGTAACATATAATCCAGTGTCATCCTGTAGAGGGTCTCTAAAGGCTCTTATCTGGCTTTTGGGATCCTGCAGCACAACTGTTTGCTGCAAAGTCTCTGGCTGCTCGCTGCCTAAAGCATCTTGTTGGTCATCCACAGGGAGTGGCAACAATGATTCCGGTACAGGTGCAAAGAAAGCACAAGGGAGACCCGCCGGGCAAGCTGTTGTGCTATGTTCTTGATGCTTCACAGAGGCAACAGCCTGCGGAAGATTTTTATTTTCCTGCTCACCCTTCTCAAACACAATCCTCAATTCCAGCAAACTGCTATCATCACAGGGCAGAGACTCAGGAGGGATGTCAGGATCCCAGGGGATGGAACCTCCACCGTACTGCTCTTGGACAGCCCCCTCATGCCCTCGTCCCTCAATCAGGGAATGGAATGAAGGGTTTTGCATTAATGTGGGAGGCATAGCAAATTCATCCATGAGAAAGGATATTTCTAGTTGAGAATGATAAGCAACACAGATCATAAATATTAGGATCTCCTTAACTCGAGCCAGCTCATAATCAGAGCCTCCTCTTAGCTTGATTGTACAGCCTAGGTGCTGTGGACAACCTTCAAAAAACATCAGTGTCTTGGTTTGTTCTACAAACAAAAACAAACAGAAAGTTAAGATGGTGGAGGTGGCAATCCAGAAGTACAAATAGAATTAATTCACTCTCTTAATATCTGTAAAAGAAAAACTCTTACATGAATAAGATCACAGTTGCCTATCCTCACTTACCCACTATTAATAGGTATTTCCTAGTAAGTAAACATTGTAGTAGTGATAAGTTAACTCTTTTCCTCAGGTCAATCTATGCTAAAGATCACTCACCATTAGGCAACTGAAATATCTGCATATAAAATTTGTGACAAGTGCCCAGGTGTGGTTTCGTAAGCAGCTGGTCCATTGACATCACTAAATCACCTTGGGTCATTCGACTGATTCGTTCCAAAACTTGCTACAAAACAGAAAAACATTGTATTACAAAACTAGAGAAGAATAAAAATCTTTGTAAATTTAATCTGGAAAAGTAATGGAAAAATTAAAAAATAACATTCACAAATTTCCTTTTTAATAAATATATGATGAATTTTTTTATTCTGGATTCTTCTACACTTAGTTGCTTAGTAATCAATATATGCCCACTGAAACCTTACTCATATTAATAACATTATAAAAATGCACTTAAGCATCATGGATTACCACAAGATAATGTGGGGAGAAAAACAACTTCCTAGAATTGGCCCCTGTTCTGCACAGGGTAAACTTTTCAAGGGAGAGAACGTCTTCTGCTTGAGCAATTCTCCAACAAAAATGAAGGATCAACAAATACCTAGTGATTAACTAATGTCCATTTCACTTTTGGTCTTGTAGACACCAATAAGTATTACATAATCAATTATACTTTCTTCCAGTTCCAGTCTGAAATTCTGAATCTTAATGAAATAGGTGCCATATCTTCTGTCCCACTTTCAATACAAATAGAACAGCAAAGAAAAAAAGATTCTTGTATACCTACCATACGTGCATATAAATTTAAAAGCTGTGATTTTTTTAAAATACAATAGAAAATTAAAAACACTCACTGACTTTACATTAATGACCAAAGTAATGCCATGTTCCAATAACATGTCCTGGGCAATCCGAGACACTGTTTTCTCAACAAGAACCAAGGTGGGTCGAACATCAACTATTCGCTGGACATAATTCTTCAAGAATTCCCTTTCCTAAGTAAGATAAATCAGAAATATTACACCTGGTAAAATGCAGTATCTGGACATATTAAAATATCATCAGAGTGAACAGGCAACCTACAGAATGGGAGAAAATTTTTGCAATCTACTCATCTGACAAAGGGCTAATATCCAGAATCTACAAAAAACTCAAACAAATTTACAAGAAAAAAACAAACAACCCCATCAAAAAGTGGGCGAAGCACATGAACAGACACTTCTCAAAAGAAGACATTTATGCACCCAACAGACACATGAAAAAATGCTCATCATCACTGGCCATCAGAGAAATGCAAATCAAAACCACAATGAGATACCATCTCACACCAGATAGAATGGCAATCATTAAAAAGTCAGGAAACAACATGTGCTGGAGAGGATGTGGAGAAATAGGAACACTTTTACACTGTTGGTGGGACTGTAAACTAGTTCAACATTGTGGAAGACAGTGTGGTGATTCCTCAGGGATCTAGAACTAGAAATACCATTTGACCCAGCCATCCCATTACTGGGTATATACCCAAAGGATTATAAATCATGCTGCTATAAAGACACATGCACAAGTATGTTTATTGCGGCACTATTCACAATAGCAAAGACTTGGAACCAACCCAAATGTCCAACAATGATAGACTGGATTAAGAAAATGTGGCACATACACACCATGGAATACTCTGCAGCCAGAGAAAAGGATGAGTTCATGTCCTTTGTAGGGACGTGGATGAAATTGTAAATCATCATTCTCAGTAAACTATCGCAAGGACAAAAAACCAAACACCACATGTTCTCACTCATACATGGGAATTGAACAATGAGAACACATGGACACAGGAAGGGGAACATCACACTCTGGGGACTGTTGTGGGGTGGGGGGAGGGGGGAGGAATAGCATTAGGAGATATACCTAATGCTAAATGACGAGTTAATGGGTACAGCACACCAGCACGGCACATGTATACATATGTAACTAACCTGCACATTGTGCACATGTACCCTAAAACTTAAAGTATACTACTACTAATAATAATAAAATAAAAAATAAAATAAAAATAAAAAAGAAAATGTGGCACATACACACCATGGAATACTCTGCAGCCATAAAAAAGGATGAGTTCATGTCCTTTGTAGGGACATGGATGAAGCTGGAAACCAACATTCTCAGCAAACTATCACAAGGACAAAAAACCAAACACCGCATGTTCTCACTCATAGGTGGGAATTCAACATTGAGAACACCTGGACACAGGAAGGGGAACATCATACACGGGGGCCTGTCATGGGGTGGGGGAGGGGGGAGGGATAGCATTAGGAGATATACCTAATGTAAATGACAAGTTAATGGGTGCAACACATGAACATGGCATATGTATACATATGTAACAAACCTGCACATTGTGCACATGTACCCTAGAACTTAAAGTGTAATAAAAAAAATATATATATATATATCAAGATAGCTTGACTATTATCAATCTTAGACTAAATTTTCTTCATCCACAAATAAGTCTGTAAGCAAATTAATGCAAACACAGTAAGAATCTCATTCATCATTCTAAACTTGATTATGCTGACAAGAGTTTCAGGAGAAATTCCATTCTCCAACTAACTTTCCTTGAAAGATTTTCAATTCTTAATTTAAAAGCCAAGAATCCAATTAGCTAGTTCAGAGGTTAAAAAAAAACAAGAACAACAAAAAAACCTAACCTCACAACTCCCAAAATAAAAGCAATTTCTAAGTTTTTTTTTTTTTTTTTTTTTTTTAAGAGACAGGGTCTCATTCTGTTACCCAGGCTGGAGTGCAGAGGTGCCGTCATAGCTCACTGTGACCTCAAAGTCCTGGGCTCAAGCAATCCTCCTGCTTCACCCTTCTAGGACTACAGGCACACATCACCATGCCTGCCTAATTTTTTCTATTTTTTGTAGGAACAGAGTCTCACTATGTTACCCAGGCTGGTCTTGAACTCCTGGCCTCAAGCAATCCTCCTGCCTTCAGCTCCAAAAGTGTAATCACAAGTGTCAGCCACTATGCCCATCCCTAAGTTGTTTTAGTATGGTTATGAATTCTCTCCTCTACATTCTGAAACCAACATGAGTTATCCCTTTTTCTGGATCTCTGAATAAATAACTCTAACAGATGCTATTTCAGCTACTTCCTAATTCCAATTTCCCAACAGATCATATAATACCTAGAACAGCTACAGTTAAAGATCTCAAACATAATGCTAATAGAATTTTATCACAAAGGCTTAATTTCAAAAGAAATGAATATTGTGGCTCACGCCTGTAATCCCAGCATTTTGGGACGCCTCGGGCGGATCACCTGACATCTGGAGCTCAAGACCAGCCTGGCCAACATGATGAAACCCCGTCTCTACTAAAAAAATACAAAAATTAGCCAGGCATGGTGGCAGGCACCTGTAATCCCAGCTACTCGAGAGGCTGAGGCAGGAGAATAGCTTGAACCTGGGAGGCAGGGGTTTCAGTGAGCCAAGATTGCACCATTGCGCTCCAGCCTGGGGGACAAGAGCGAGACTTCGTCTCAAAAAAAAAAAAAAAAAAACAAAAGAAAAGAAAAAGAAAAAAGAAGTATTTCCCTTTATTTCTTTAGAGTTCTCTACTAAAATGTCTAGTCAAAACCCATCATTTTTACTGATAGCACAGCTGAATTCCAAAGAGAAAACAGCCCCAGGTCACAGAGTTCTTAAGTAATAACAGCAGAGTTTTATAAAGCACTGTTTCTTTTACTACAACTCATTTTCTCTTATTGTTATCTAGGAAATCAGTACAAAAGTGATTGCTCCTACCACTCTTGAAAAAAATGTATTTACCTAGGAATTTTCAAGTAATGCTTTTCCTAAATGTTTCTGGAACCCAGCATAAGTGTTTCCACTATAATATAATATACACATTCCCTAAAAGCTTCCACTTTGAATGACCACAAAGTAAAATTAACAGTATTTATGGGAGAAAAGGAGTTGGAGCAGAAAACTTAAAACCTATGCAACTTTATACCTTCAGCACTAATAAAAATAATAATTGGTACCTTAAGAGGAATCATGGAGAGCCCAGGCAGAGAGCTTCATATGGCATGAGGCTGCCTCAAGTAAAATTAAATGCACAAAAACTATTGCAACGCTACAACTAGAAATGGAGCTCTGAGCAGCAAAGCTACCAAGAACCACACAGAGATGCGGGTGTGCCTCCCTGGGGAGAGAGCCCTGCAAGCAAAAGCTCACTTTTACTTTCTTAAAATAGAGCTGGAAGGGTTTCTGCCTGTGTAGCAGCTGAGCTGAGACTGTTTTCCTTTCCAGCTGAGGGTTATAACCTAATGCAGCTATTCTGGGCCTCCTTGCTTAGGAAAAACCACTGAGAAACCAACACAACTTTCATCTGACATTATTCTGTTTGCCAACTACATATAAGCTAATTGATGTTCTAGAAATATGTTTTAGTAGCATAGACTGTATTACAAACCAGAGATTCCATTAGAAATCTGGTAAGTTCGAGAAATTCCCACAGTAAATCAGTGGATTAAGTGGGAAAGGGAAATTAGTATTTGGATTTTCACTTTTTCTTCCTTATATCCTTGAACAGTCACATGTTACCTTTAATACTATGAAACTTTAAAAATAATGAGTGACAGAGGTTTTGGTAAGCTATCAAGTTTGCCTATCCAATTTAATTAGCTAGAATTAAGTCAAAATCATTAAGAGTTTATAAGCATCATGGTACACAAACATCCCTCTAAATTATTATTTTCAGTAGTAAATTCTTACCTGAAGCACAATAGGATCAATGCAAGTAAACTTAGTTTCTTCTCTGTAGAGATACTCAATGGAACACTTCAACAGAAGAATTTTGGGGTTTTTAATACAAGAACTCATCTACAAAAAATGAACAGTTTGTTAAAGTGTTTAAAGGTTTGCATTTTACAGCCCTCCTTTAATTATAACTTTAAATCTATATTGTTCATAATTCCTACTAACTTAATGTATCTCATATTAGTATTAATATATTCTCATTTAGTTCTTTTACGGTATTAAATTTTTTCAAAGCAAATAATATGTTCAGAACAATGCAAAATTCTTCAAAAAATGGCTTTTCTTTCTTAATACTACTTTGATCTTCTATACTCTTTAACTTTTTTTTTTATTTCTGATGTTGTAAGAAGAGACATCATGCCCTGAGTGTGCACGGAGGGAGCAGTATTTAATGACAGGTTACTTCACAAACTCCAAGAAATAAGCAACTTTAAAAGCATATTTTAGTCTGTCTAAAATTGAAGAGGAGAAGAGGGAGAAAAGAATTAAAATGCCTCCTGAACATATTGCTAATAGAATAAATTTCCAAACAATCATTAAGGTGGCAAGCTGAAATAGGAAACATGAAGTTCAAAAAGAAAATCTGAAAGCATCTCAAGAAGCAGAGACCCAAATAATATACCCTAATCGTGTGCTTAAAGCCACAGGCAGAATAGCAATTGAGGTTTCAGGCTGACCAAGTTTATGGACCCCAAACTGGCAAACAGTTCCGAAAACAGTGACTCACCAGCTGGGAAACTCAATTCAGGACTCTTTTTAGCAACTACAAATCAAGGACTATCTCTAATCAGTGGGGCAAGACAGTCATTCATGCATATGTTTCCACCACACCCACATACAAATTTTCCTCACTTTCTGAGAAGGCACAACATATTTACCTCTTAATTCAACAAATATCATTTAATTTGGTTTAAAGTTCTCCTTTAAAGGGTAATGTGTGGTTTTAGTAAGACTCTGTGTAGAAATATTGACTGATGTCGAATTATTGCAATAAAATACGCGATAAGTACAAAACTCAAGCCAAGTATATTTTTATTTATCTATGGTCACTAATAATTTTCAGGAATCTTAATGCCTTAGAAAAAACTATATTAAGCTCAACTTAGAAAAAAAGTGAAAACAAGACTAGAGTTCATCCATCTGGTTGCTCAGGCTAGAAATCTGCCTCAGCTCTTGCTGTAACAAAATCAGTATCCCCAGAAGTGGGGCCAGGGTATCTCTGTTTTGAATGTTTCCGCTGGTGATTCTGAAGCACAGCAAGGTTTGAGAACACTACTATAGATAAATGGTATCTCAAAATGCAAGGACCAACAAATGACACTGGAAACACCTGAAGTGCCTACTTTTTTTTTTTTTTTTTTTTTGAGACGGAGTCTCGCTCTGTTGCCCAGACTGCACTGCAGTGGCGTGATCTCAGCTCACTGCAACCTTCGCCTCCAAGGTTCAAGAGATTCTTCTGCCTCAGCCTCCCGAGTAGCTGAGACTACAGGCACACGCCACCACGCCGGCTAACTTTTGTATTTTTAGTACAGATGTGGTTTCACCATATGGCCAGGCTGCTCTCAAAATCCTGACATCGTGATCTGCCAGCCTCGGCCTCCCAAAGTGCTGGTATTACACACTCAGCCTAGTGCCTACTTTAAATACAGTACCACCATTTCCCTAACATCCATACACTCCCATTGCCCTTAACCTACTGAATGAGAATTTCTAGGGGTTAGGTTAAGAACAGACATTTTTAAAAGGTCCACATGTGATCTCAATGTATGTACACTACACTGAGAATCAAAAGATTTCAGAATAAAGTTCAAGACCTTTAATGACATACAAAGCCCTTGCCTGCTTCCTCCAGCTTCATCTACATTGCCCATATTACACCTTAGGAACTCAGAGTCTCCTTAATACCCCAGGTTATCTCACTCCACTCCTTTGTGCTAGTGCTACAAAGATATAAGGTGAGAAGGATAACAGAAGAAGACTGACAGTTCTGTAGCCGAGCACTAGAAGAGCTATCAGTTTTAGAATGCTAAGCCTCTGGAAGGACTCCAGCCTACTAGAGAAACCCTGTCTCCCTAAGACGTAACAGGATCAGGAGATAAATAATGCCAGTATCTTATCATTCTGTTAATCTAGAAGCCTGATCCTCTCCCCTTCCTCCTTCTGTCTGGTGAATTCCCATTATTCAAATTCCAATCCATTCATCCTCAGCTCTGGGAAATCTTCCCTGAACCAACCAAATTTCACCCCTATGGCAGACACAGCTGCCTTTCATTGTCCATTGTCCATTTCTTCCATAACTAAGGTGCCCCAACTTGTTACCTAAGCACACAGCCATGGTTTGCTGAACTTCACTGCTGAACTGAATCACATTACCTTTTTATGTGCAATGTTCTTGGTACAAACAAAGCCATTGACAACCACAGAATCAAACTTCTTTCCACCTGGGATCTAATGGAACAATTAAGAAAACAATAAAATTCAATGATAACATGCTTAGAATCTAGTTAGATGTACGCTATTATTTCTTTCCATTTTTTTTAAACTATTATGTAATCAAATAAGAACAAAAAATTTCAGGAAATAATACTTCCTTTCAACCAACGATCAATGGCATCTCTGCATGACTCTGTTTTCCCATCCCCTGTTCTCTAATGTACTACCCTAGGACTCTAAAGTACTCACTGACTGAATAAACTAGTGCCATGTGGCAGTTAACACTATTGTTTAAGTTAAATATCATAGGGAAAAAGCACACACAGGACTCCATTACTATCTAAATCAGGGGTGTCCAATCTTTTGACTTCCCTGGGCCTCACTGGAAGAAGAATTGTATTGGGCCACACATAAAATCCACTAATAACAGCTGATGAGCTTAAAAAAAAAATCGCATTGTGGTTTTGATTTGCATTTCTCTGATGGCCAGTGATGATGAGCATTTTTTCATGTGTCTTTTGGCTGCATAAATGTCTTCTTTTGAGAAGTGTCTGTTCATATCCTTTGCCCACTTTTTGATGGGGTTGTTTTTTTCTTGTAAATTTGTTTGAGTTCATTGTAGATTGTGGATATTAGCCCTTTGTCAGATGAGTAGGTTGCGAAAATTTTCTCCCATTTTGTAGGTTGCCTGTTCACTCTGATGGTAGTTTCTTTTGCTGTGCAGAAGCTCTTTAGTTTAATTAGATCCCATTTGTCAATTTTGGCTTTTGTTGCCGTTGCTTTTGGTGTTTTAGACATGAAGTCCTTGCCCATGCCTATGTCCTGAATGGTAATGCCTACGTTTTCTTCTAGGGTTTTTATGGTTTTAGGTCTAACGTTTAAGTCTTTAATCCATCTTGAATTAATTTTTGTATAAGATGTAAGGAAGGAATCCAGTTTCAGCTTTCTACATATGGTTAGGCAGTTTTCCCAGCACCATTTATTAAATAGGGAATCCTTTCCCCATTGCTTGTTTTTCTCAGGTTTGTCAAAGATCGGATAGTTGTAGATATGCAGTGTTATTTCTGAGGGTTCTGTTCTGTTCCATTGATCTATATCTCTATTTTGGTACCAGTACCACGCTGTTTTGGTTACTGTAGCCTTGTAGTATAGTTTGAAGTCAGGTAGCGTGATGCCTCCAGCTTTGTTCTTTTGGCTTAGGATTGACTTGGCGATGCGGGCTCTTTTTTGGTTCCATACGAACTTTAAAGTGGTTTTTTCATCAGAGAAATGCAAATCAAAACCACAATGAGATACCATCTCACACCAGTTAGAATGGCAATCATTAAAAAGTCAGGAAACAACAGGTGCTGGAGAGGATGTGGAGAAATAGGAACACTTTTACACTGTTGGTGGGACTGTAAACTAGTTCAACCATTGTGGAAGTCAGTGTGGTGATTCCTCAGGGATCTAGAACTAGAAATACCATTTGACCCAGCCATCCCATTACTGGGTATATACCCAAAGGACTATAAATCATGCTGCTATAAAGACACATGCACACATTATGTTTATTGCGGCACTATTCACAATAGCAAAGACTTGGAACCAACCCAAATGTCCAATAATGATAGACTGGATTAAGAAAATGTGACACATACACACCATGGAATGCTATGCAACCATAAAAAAGGGTGAGTTCATGTCCTTTGTAGGGACGTGGATGAAATTGGAAATCATCATTCTCAGTAAACTATCGCAAGGACAAAAAACCAAACACCACATGTTCTCACTCATAGATGGGAATTGAACAATGAGAACACATGGACACAGGAAGGGGAACATCACACTCTGGGGACTGTTGTGGGGTGGGGGGAGGGGTGAGGGATAGCATTAGGTGATATACCTAATGCTAAATGACGAGTTAATGGGTGCAGCACACCAGCATGGCACATGTATACATATGTAACTAACCCGCACATTGTGCACATGTACCCTAAAACTTAAAGTATAATAATAATTAAAAAAAAAGAAAGAGACATAAAAAAGTTAAAAAAAAAAATCGCAAAAAATGTCATAATGTTTTAAGAAGTTTATGAATTGGTGTTGGGCCAGATTCAAAGCAGTCTTGGGCTGCATGCAGCCCACAGGCCACGAGTGGGACAAGCTTGATCTAAATAAAGCAAATTACCCACTGCTTTTCCTCCAAACAGTGATCACAATCTGTGAGAACAGGCTTTCTCATAGCTGACTTGTCAAGAAGAGGAAGCAAGAAAGGAAGAACCTATCTCTGTTTGGGTTCCCAACTCATCTCCGATATAACTCATCCTTTCCATTGACCTTTCACTTCCTATGCGTGGCTTCCATGACTCCTAAGTGCGCTGCTAACAAAGCAGACAGCAAAACCTCCTACTCCTCACCTAGCACCCCTCAGGGTAATGACTCTTTTCAGATTACCATTAAGACAAAAATTACAATCAGTCCTGCCTCATCAGTTCCTAGCATTAGTAAAACATTAGCAGAGCTCACTTTTTTGATGTGGACAAACTGACGGATATCCATGTCATCATCCTGGTTCTTGACATCAGGTCGGACTGTCTGAACAACCTGGCAGACCAATGACACGATGATGTCCCTCCAAGATGATGACAGTGAGTCACTATGGAGCAACTGCTGGAGTAGTGCCATCATGTGGTTATGATTAGCTGAACTACAAAAATATTATAAGAAAGAAGTTTGCATAGTTAATACTGCCAGAGACAATAATTCTGATGATAAAACAAACAGCCTACAAAGAAATAAACATTTCAATTACGGCTCACAGATAAGATTTTCTAGGTCAATATCATTCTTTCATTATATCTGTACCTTAAGGATTTTGCATATAAATGAAATCTGAATATCTTCCACTAAGAAGTCCCCTGCAATTGACTGAAATGAAATTTTAACACGTAAAATGGGGACAGACAAGCACAGTTTGGGGCTTTTGTTTTTGTTTTTTTTCTCTGAGACGAAGTCTTGCTCTGTTGCCTAGGTTGGAGTGCAGTGGCGCGATCTCAGCTCACTGCAACCTCCGCCTCTTGAGTTCAAGCAATCCTCCTGTCTCAGCCTCTGAGTAGTTGGGATTACAGGCCAGCGCCACCACGCCTGGCTAATTTTTGTATTATTAGTAGAGACGGGGTTTTACCATGTTGGCCAGGCTGGTCTCAACCTTCTGAGCTTGTGATCCTCCCGCCTCAGCCTCCCAAAGTGCTGGGATTACAGGCGTGAGCCACTGCACCCAGCCGGGGCTCTTGGTTTTATAAGAAATTTAATCACAAGTCAAAATAGACTGTATTTCCTAAGTAACCTTAGTATTTTTTTACTTTCTAAGGAAAAAGAAAAAGACCTCCCTTTTTAAGAGGAATGATGCATATGCTTATCAAGTCACTGAAGATAATAAAAGTGAAAAATTAAAATTAAAAATTTCATTGCCTTACAGCAACCTCTCCATGGCTTGTTTCTCCCCATTCTCCTCCCTCAGGAGCTCCAGGTTGTTATGATGCCAGCCCAAAGGTGTGAAAGGCAGCTCTTTGGATTTTTCCTCTACTCGGCGATTAAATAAGGATTCTAAGTACAATATAAAATAAGAAGTTATTACTTCATTGTCCTGTTTTATACCATCTACTCATATATTTAGAAATTGCCCTTTGTCTTTATAAATGTTTTAAGTTAGCCAACATAAATTATTGGTGTAAAAAGGCAAGAACATGTAATAAACATATAAATAAAATGCATAAGAAAATACTTACAAATACATAAAATACACTAAAAATACAGAAATGCAAGAATTAAGAAGAGCAGTAATTGGCAACAGCCAAAATCAGAAACAGAACTGTGAAAATCAAATGTACGTAACTAAGACTCTCAAGCCAATAATTATAAGCACAGCTTCTGAAAAGCAAATAAAATGAAACTTTTGCTTCTCCTTTTAATTTTTAAAAACGAGGGTGTTAATTTCCCCTTTAAAATCACAAACTGGGCCGCGCGTGGTAGCTCACGCCTGTAATTCCAACACTTTGGGAGGCCGAGGTGGGCAGATCACCTGAGGTCAGGAGTTCGAGACCAGCCTGGCCAACATGGCGAAACTCCATCTCTGCTAAAAACACAAAAATTAGCTGGGCGTGTTGGCACACGCCTGTAATCCCAGCTACAAGGGAGGCTGAGGCAGGAGAATCACTTGAACCTAGGAGGCAGAGATTGCAGTGAGCCAAGATCGCACCACTGCACTCCAACCTGAGTGACAGAGCGAGACTCCATCTCAAAAAAAAAAAAAAAAAAATCACAAACTGAAAACTGCATTCAACAGAAATCTGAATGCTGGCAAAAGAACACATGATAGCGAGAGTGATGAATTTTCAAGAAAGAAGCTCAGCTCAGATATCACAAAACAACAGATGACAGTGTAGAAAGTCTATTCAGACAATCCTCAATAGTGTTTCTCTTTCAATATTGGCACAGGGGTTTTTTAACAAAATTTTAGCAAGACAGACTCAAAAACATAAATATTAAAACATAATAAATAGCATTTATGTAGAATTTGTGTAAAATCTTTAAATTTTTTAAAGGATGAATGAAAATAGATAAGACAAAAAATAAATAATAAATGCTTAACAAAAAAATATGTTCACTAAATAACTGTTGAATAATCTGACCAAATAAGTGGAAAGAAAAGAAGTGGGAAATGCTTACAAAAATTCTCTAACCTGTCCCCTCTTAAAAGCAAAACAAACAAACAAAAAAACTTCCACCAAACAGCCCAGCAGATTACACAGTAAAGTATATGTCCATGACATGTGAAGTACAAGAATTGCACATTTCAATTACATAAAGGGCCACTCTGTAAACTTCTAGCCGAACCAGATGCTTGGAGATGAATTTAGAAGCACTGCCAAGCTATCAGATAAGCTGCAGTGGCTCCTTGTACCCGCTTGCCTTCTCTCTTTGATCTGAAACCGTGGGAGCCAAGAAGGAAGAGAAATTTTCTCCCATTATCTGAGGCCTAACCAGTGGAGTACTATGGACTAAGAATGTCTTTACTCTAGGAAGCTAAGCTAAGCTAAGTAGGGAAGGAATAGGAGAAGGCTAATCTCCTTTTGTGTCCAAAAGAAATTTATCATCAGAGTTAGTTCTTTAACCTCTACTGCCTGCTTCTCTTCCTCACTCCACAGGGCAAGCAGCATCCTTAACTGGAGATCTGCCTGTGGGCTTTTTGACAAATTTGACAATCCTTGATGATATTTATATCAATACTTAATATTATATTCACAATACAGTTAAGTGTAAACTATGTCTTTAAAAGAATTAAGTTCAAATTCTACTTAAAAGTTTTTAAACAATTACTTTTCACATCAGAGACCTCCTTCTCGCAAACCAAGTCCAAGTTTACATTCTTGGTTCTCAACATTCTCTAAATCATTATATATATTAAAAACTGTGTTCCCATGATACCACCATAATCAAATATATTTTCAGCACCTTCTCTGTGCTAATCAATGTGCTAAGCCCTAAGTATATCCTCATGAAAAAAAGAGACACCATTCCACATACAGCTTTTTATAAAATTACCTTTGATGAAAGCGTCACTTATTGAGAGCTGTTGTCCTCCAGTGTCAGAAATCAAATACTCTGCATACCAGGGAGACAACAGAGAGGAGGAACAAAAGTAGAGACATATGACTATAACATGTCAGCATAATTATATAGAGAATACGCCCACACACAAAATATTACTCATACTAAACCCATCACTGCCCGGCAAATTCAAGAAAGCTTTGGGTAAAAATGCCTCTTTATACTTGTTCTATGCACTTCATACTAAACTTAAGCAGACTTGCATTAATAACACAATAGAGCCGTGAAAACAATTCTCCTTAATTCAAATGTCAGATAGAGAAATGTTTTTCTCTTACCAAAACCAACCGGTTTATGAAAATTAAATCTTCAGATACTTGTACGACCATCCTAAAAGATTACAGTTCTTTTCACATGTAACTTGATGATTTAACAAATAATCACTTTGCCTATGCACAAAGCAGTTCATACAGAACCCACCTGATAAAACAATATAAACTTTTTTCAAATTTCAGAATATAAGCTATAAAACAAATTAATACAGAAGTGACATTGGCAGGAATAAAGATAAAACTCATCAGTATTTGTATTAGTTCCAAATAAGTGTTTTTGTTTTTCAAAAATTATATCAAACACTGCCAAATTTTTGCTAGACATTAACTGAACACACTCTGAATGCTTTTAATATATTAAATACTTTTCTTACAAGTGAAACTTACTCTTTACTTCCCCGTGAACTTTCTCTAGGTCTGTGACCAAGCATAGCTCAAATGAGGTTCTTTCCACTATGCAAATTAAAACATGATGCATGTAAACTCCTTTACGGTAAAGGATCTCCACAAAATTTTCTCCAAGTACATTTATAAACAACTGGGCTTTAAAAGTTACTATGTTTATAAGCCAATATGCTCATCCTTCCAACCAGGAAACAAAGAAAATATTTTATTTAGAAAGTTCAAGTGCACTATGCCAAATACAATAAAATCGAGTATGTGGGCAAGATAGATGTTACACTTTATTTCTACTCTTCCCTCACAGGAATGAGTAACACCAAATCCTATTAGTTCAATTAATGTATTGTTCTTTACCAGCCTTCTCACACTAAAGCTTAATTGTATCTATATGAGACTCCAGAAATGGTGGATTTTCCCCATTTAGTTATGAAAAAAATTCAAACCTACAGAAAATGCTGTATACCATCCACCTGAGTTCAACAATTGTTAAGGATTTGCCATATATGTGTATGTTTCTTCCCCCCGATCATTCAAAGTTACACACATCATGACACTTTACCACTAGGACATCAGCACAACTCTCATAAAAATAAAGGTATTCTTCTCTATAGCCACAAAATTATTTACATATTTGAGAAAATTAACAATGTCTTAATAGCACAGAATTAGCCCATACTCAAGTTTATCCAACTGTCTCCAAAATGTTTTTAATCCACAGTTTTTCTTCTTAAGCCTCGATGCAATCAAGTTCACACATGGCATTTGGTTCCTGTATCTCTTCATTCTCTTTTAATCTAGAACAGATCTCCTGTCTTTTTTTCTTTTCATAACATGAATTTAAAAGAACCCAGGTCAAATGTTCTGTGCAATGTCCCACATTCGGAGTACAATCCATTGTTTTCTCATGGTGTGTTTAACTTGCTCCTCTATCCCATGTTTTCCTATACACGGAAAACTACATCTAGAGATTTACGGAAGCCGTGATTTTCACCTTCTTCTCTAGGTTTTACTTGCTAACTTTCCAAGAATAGTTCAGAATCCTGCTTGTAATACATAATAAAATATATTTTAACTGTACAATTCTCCAAGACCAATAATGAAAAATTAAGCCAGTTTTACGAGCTTCTGAAAATAGGGTTTTCTCACTTCAGACAGAAAGCATAAGTAGTATTTTTTAAAGTACAGATATTTCAACCAATTTTATAAATCCAATTTTCCTCAGCCTGAAACAATATAGGACAATCCATAAGAAAATATTTAATAAGTACTACCTTTAATTTCAATGTAAAGATAAAAACCATTCCCATTTGTATTTATACAAAGGGAATGAAAACCAGAGGCAAAAGAATTCTATTATTTTTTCACGTAACTACCAGTCTCCCTGGAAATCTTTATTTTCTGATAATCAGTGTTCATCTTGACTATAACACTCAGCAAACTATTACGCTTCAACTTCACAAGAAAAAATGTAAAAAGAATAACTCGTTAGTATGTTAAAAACTAAGAGAGAACTGTGAAAGCCAGTAATATTTATTAAGAGACTTTTAAAGTCTTCAAATTATAAGACTGCAAATGACCTAAGAGGTCAATTTAATAATTATCTTCTTCCTAATGCTGGAACCTCCTCTGTAATATTCTCACTGAGTAGGCTAAAGGATTATAATTTCTTTTTAATTCTAGATCTAGATTTTTCAGTTCACAGATTTAGAATTAAAAGAAAACTTAGAAGTCCCCAAGTCTATATAACGCATCACCCAATGCAGGCATCTGTCCTCAATAACCATGACAGGTGGACATTCAGACACAACCTGGACACTTACCATGCACAGTGGCAAAAGTTCACTACTCCCAACTACTGAATCTAGTTCTTCCTTCAGCCATATGCAAAATAAATATAATTTCTTTCAGGTACTCTTCAGATACCTAAAGGAAACACCACGTCTTTTTTCCATTTTAAATAGTCCAGCTTTCCTTAGCATGGTTTTCAGATGTCTTAGGATCCTGGCAACCTCGTTCTATTCATAAATGAGAACTGAACACAAAACAGTAAATTGGATCCTCATTCTAGACATTATATGGCCACTAATGAAATCTATTATTGCCCTAGGGAGTGCCAGGGAGTGCGGGGTTGGCACATCACACTATTAAGTTTGCAAATAACTAAAACTTAGATCTTTATCACACAAATTATTAAGAGTGACTTTCTCCAAAGTACTAATAGTAAACATGTTAAGCCTTATTCTTTTATGTTTAACTGTGTTAACTTTCATCTTGTTAGTCTCAATCTATTGCTTGAGAAAATAAAGATCTTTAAATGTCAATTCTGCTATCCAACACGCTAGCCATTCTTTCCAGATTTTAATTATTTGTGGACCTAAAAAAACATTAAAAGTGCTGACCAAAAAAAAAAGTGAACAACTCTAAATATAGAGTCAAGTCCCTATAACATAACCTAGGAGCATCCACTTCCTGTTGACATCAAATTATTAATTATCCTTTCAATATTTTGTACAACAAGCTACAAATCCACGTGTTAATACTAGTAGTGGGCCGGGTGCGGTGGCTCACGCCTGTAATCCCAGCACTTTGGGAGGCCTAGGTTGGCGGACTGCCTGAGATCAGGAGTTAGAGACCAGCCTGACCAACAGGGTGAAACCCTGTCTCTACTAAAAATACAAAAATTAGCCGGGCATGGTGGCAGGAGCCTGTAATCCCAGCTACTTGGGAGGCTAAGACAGGAGAATCACTTTAACCCGGAAGGCGGAGGTTGCAGTGAGCCAAGACCAGGCCATTGCACTCCAGCCTGGACAATAAGAGCAAAATTTCGTCTCAAAAAAAAAAAAAAACCAACTACTAGTGTTATCATAAGCTCTTACATTCACCAGATACACTACACTCTTTGTGTTTTTCATATTAAAAGCTCATACTAAGTAGAATGGTGGTTACCAGAGGTTGAGGGAGTGAAGGGAATGGGGAGATGCTAGTCAAAGGGTAAAAAGTTTCATTCAGACAGGAGGAATAAGTTTTTGAGATATACTGTACAGCATGATGACTACAGTTAATAATAGTGTATTGTATATTTCAAAATTGCTAAGAGTAAATTTCAAAGGTTCTCACCACTAAGAATAATATGGAATTTTTTTTCTTTTTTTTTTTAGATAAAGTCTCACTCTGTCACCGAGGCTGGACTGCAGTGGCAAAATCATCGCTCACTGCAGCCTCAACCTGCCAAGCTCAAGCAATCCTCCCACCTCAGCCTCCCAAATAGCTGGGACCACAGGCGCACACCACCACACCCGGCTAATTTTTTTGTATTTTTTGTAGAGACGGGGTTTTGCCACATTGCCTAAACTGGTCTTGAACTCCTAGACTCAAGCAATCCGCCTGCCTCAGCCACCCAACTTGCTGGGATTACAGGCATGAGCCACTGCACCCTGCCCCAACAAAAAGGATTTGAAATGATGAATATGTTCATTAGTTTGGTTTAATAAACATATCTATCATTTCAAATCCTTATTCCTTAATCATTCCATATTTTATACATACTTTGTAACATCTTTTTATATCCCATAAATACATACAATTATAATTTGTCAATTTACAATTTTAAAAATAAAGCTCATACAGACTCCAAAGCCTGTGCTTTAAACAAGTATGACCATTGCCTTTGCCTCTTTTAACATATTTCAAGTACGAAATTGTCCTCTTTGTCTACAAAATTATTGAGAGATCATTAAATGTCTTATTAACATCAACAAAGATAGTATCTATTATAGTCTTCTGATTTATCAATCTTGTATCACCATAAAAAATGGAAATGGGGTTGTTTTGGAACGACTTAGTTTGCTTAACCAATGCTGGTGGCCCAGTCACCACCAATCCCTTTTCTAAATACCACAATACATTCTGCTTACTACACTTCTCTACATTTTGCCAGCTTCCAAAGTCAAATCAAGAACCCATCTTTAAAAAAAAAAAAAAAATGTATCTATCACTATAGTCATCTAGACTCTCTCCTACTCTTCGAAACTCTTCAAAGATAACAAACTCTGGCTCCATGATCCCAGATCCAAAGTCTTTCAACAACCTGGCATACAGTTTGCCTAAACCTGGCAACAGACTTATTTAAAAAACCATTAATTCTCTATCTCTTCAATATCCTGAACTTCACTTTCCTCTTAACCATGTGTATTCTTTCCTGATAAAGTTAGTCTAAAGAGCGGGGAGGAAAAAGAAGCCTTCTTTTAGTCATCAATCAATATTACATAAACTTTCCCAAATAACTGGCCTAGTTTTTCTTTCTACCAAACTTTAAATCTTTCTCAGATATCCTTGGCATTTTCTCCAACCTTCAGGGCAAGCTGGACTTCCATTAGACTGTCATTTTTCTTAAAAGTGCTGCCCCCTCTTTCAGATTCATTCTCCTACGAAAGTTGCCACTTACAACTTTGATAGATAATCTTTTTAAAGGATTGAGGGCCAGGCACAGTGGCTTATGCCTGTAATCCCAGCACTTAGGAAAGCTAAGGCAGGTGAATCACTTGGGGCCAGGAGTTCAAGACCAGCCTGGCCAACATGGCAAAACCCCACCTTTACTAAAAATACAAAAAATTAGCCAGGCATGGTGGTGCGCACTGGTAATCCCAGCTACTCAGGAGGCTGAGGTGGGAGAATCACTTGAACCCACGAGGCGGAGGTTGCAGTGAGCCAAGATCGCGCCACTGCACTCCAGCCTGGGCAACAGAGTCAGACCCTGTCTCTTAGAAAAAAAAAAAAAAAGGATTGAAATCAGGGAGGTTCAAAAGGGGTCATATTTTTGTCAACTGCAGGTGCTTCTCCTGTCAATTTCCTTGGAGATACAATCTGGGGTTGCACCATAACAATGTCATTTTTGGAGCCTCCTGTTCCATTCCACTCCGAATGTTCTCAAGTTAGGTTTTCAAAAGTAAGTATCTGACTGTGCTCAGCAGTCTATCCTTCCCTATTACAAATTCTATGATGACAGGTCACTTTCTTCAAGATTTTCAAAACTTCTTTAACATTCCAAGAGATGAAATCATCACCAAGTCAAAAGTATACTTCACATTCTGCTTACAGCAAAATGTGATTGCCAACAGATGTGTCCAGAGAACAGATGTTCATCATCTGTGTGCCCCTGACCCACATCTGTAAGTTTATATTCAAAACCTTCATAATATCCTCCAAGTGACCACCATCTATAGTTAATTCTCACACAAGTGTCATATCTGCTTTTCCCTCCTTTCATACTCACCCAAATATTCTCCATCATTTTTCCAATTTCTGTTTTGAGGATTTCCATAAAGATGTCTATCTTACTCATGTTCAATGCTAGTCAAGTCTCATTAACACACCTTCTCTACTTATTTTTAAATAACATATTCCTTTTTATTACTATAACTCTTCAGTACCATTTTACCACATCTTGATAATAGCTAATACTGACAACTATGAGAAATTTGTTGGAGAAATATAAACTTGTATCAAATCATTTTAGTATAAATGTTTGGTTCAAAAGCTTCTGTTTTCTGATCATATTCTTAGGCTCGAAATAGAGTGCGCAAAACTTAGGCAAGCATTTCAGATCTAAGTAAGGAGACAATTCCACTTTAGACAGTTATATGTTTAAAATACAAACTCCAGGTAAAATCATGGAATAAAGTGCTTCATCTTTATAATAATGATTTTTCAGTTATTACAACATAACAAAATCCCACATTTATTTATTTACTCATGTATTTTTTATTTATTCACTTTTACACAATCCCATGATAGGACTATAATTTAAATTGGCTTTTAATTATACCCAATAAAGTAAACCTCATCATCCATTTTAAAAACAGGCATTTCTTATGTGCTGCTATGTTAGATTTTAGTAATGTTTACCTCTTTCTCCTTTTACACCAAATATCTTTTGAATATGGTCACTATTATTTTTCAGCCAGTAGACTAAAGCATCAAATAAGATAGCTAAAAATAATGAATTCATTTTACATTAGAGAAGAAATTGTTTTAATAAATATAGAATATACATAATAAGCATTATGAATTATTATGGAGATATTTTGGAATGTGTGAATGATTTTCCCCCAATCTAGTTCAAGCATCTTAATGGGTTTAGTGAAATATTATGTTACTGGGTAACGGCAAAGGCAAATAGGCTTTAAAATGTTAAATGAAGAAAGAGAAAAGAATAGAGCAGAACATCCATGTTATAAATGCAAAGAAATGCCACCTTGGAAGTTGCACATTATGGGAAGAGCAGTCAGATGTAGTTCCTTTTAAAGACTACAAGCTTTACACTGGGCATGGTGGTGCTGAGGGAGAAAACAAGAAATAAAAGGAATCAACCAAAAAAGGTATGGGGAGGAGGTGTGGGAGAAATGAGAAAGGGTAGAACAAAACCCACACCAAATACCCTCAGCCACGTGGGACAGAGGAAGCCAGAAGGACAGGCTGGCATGAGATCCTATGGCCCAGCTGTCCAGCCTGTGTTTGGATTCCAGATGGTGACTACCTCCTACCTTTTTGGTCAGCAGGGTGAGGGGGCACATGTGGGTACTTGGAGGGCTTCTTGATATGGAAGTTCACGTTGTCCAGCTCCACGTTCAGGCTGATAGAAGCGGCTGAGTCACTGTCCACTGTGGACTGGAAACTGCTGACTGATGTGCGCTTGCTAGGACTGGCAGAATCTTTTAGTGTTGGGAAGGGGAAAGAAATATAGGGAGAGGAGGGGAGTAAAAATGGGTTTTATCAGGGTATTGGAGGAAAGGAGAAAAATGTTTTTTTAATATACAAGCCCAATGTGCAATACCAAAATGGATACAGTATTTTCATGTACTTCTGTGTAGACTTAATAAAATTTGAACAAGTTAAATATAAAATCAATTTTTAAAATGAAGAAATATATTGGAGGTTCTGCAGAGAGAAAGTCTGATATTATAGTGAAGAGATGAGAAAGTTGTCTGCTGCCATATTATTAGTTCAGTTATTTTTAAGCTGCTACAAACTATAGACTATGGTAAAATCTAGAAATGTCAACCTAACAAGTTGGTTTAAGAAAATACTGTATCTAAGACAAAGACTGCTATCAGATGTTTCCATTTAGTTGGAGCCATAAATTATAAAGCTGAATTATTTCAACAAACAAGATAATCATTTTATCATACATACACAGCAATGACCCATCAAAACTAAAATGTTAGAAAGTTAAACTCACTAGCCAAATTATCGTCACCTTCTTCAGCTATCTGTTCTGTGTCACTGTCATCAAACTTTATGTCTTTAAACCAGGATGGCTCAGAGTGTCCTTCCACGGAGTTCACTGAGTCACTGTCGGGAGAAGGCGTCTCAGAAAATTCTGTACTCTGAAAGGATGAAGACAGGATCCAAGCAATTGGCCTTCAATGGCAACAATGTTGAGGCTGTCACACTATAAATAAATTGTAGTCCAATATTTCTATGAACCTAACAATTGAATTTTATAAAAATAAACAAATTAACAAAAACCAAGTTATAAACCAGAATCATACTGACAATTCCACTCTTTAAAATTGTGATTTTCGTTAACTAGAAGACTTAAGTAGTATATTAAGAACAAAACATTTTTTTGATACAGATTTTATAGTGTTTCATTTCATGCCTTAGTCCTGAGAGTGAAGATAGCTTAGAATTTATTTTAGCTCTGGGGCAATTCTCTCCAGAACACATCTTGCAAAATAACTTTTAATCAATCATGCCACACCAATATTTGGAGTCATTTGTCTCTTCTAACCATTGACTTTCGAATTTTAGTTCACAAAGGTGTTACTAAACATTACACAGCTGACCTTTGAACAAGGGTTTAAACTGCATTGGTCTACTTATATGTGGATTTTCTTCTGCCTCTGCTACCCCTGAGACAGCAAAAGCAATCTCTTCTTTTCCTCACTCTTCCTCAGCCCACTCAACACGAAACGAGGATGAAGACGTTTGTGATGATCCATTTCCACTTAATGAATAGTAAGTATAGTTTCTCTTCCTTATGATTTTCTTCATGTTTCTCTAGCTTTATTGTAAGAATATGGTATATAATACACACAACATACAAAATATGTATTAATTGTCTGTTATCAATAAAGATTCCAGTCAACACTAAGCTATTAGTAGTTAAGTTTTGGGGAAGTCAAACATCCGTGAATTTTCAACTATACAGGGGGTCAGTATCCCTAATTCTTAACGGTCAGCTATATATATATGTGTGTGTGTGTGTGCCTGTGTGTGTATATGTATATATATGTTTATATATGTGTGTGTGTGTATATATATAACCTATATATTGTATCAAATTACATAAACCAAGAGTGAAAGTATATCTTTTTTTGAAGTTAAATCTTCAAATAATTTCCACTTCCCTAAAGTAAAAAAACATATATTCATCAGTATACCATTGTTTTTCGTTTGTTTGTGTTTGTTTTGAGACGGAGCCTTGCTTTGTCGCCCAGGCTGGAGTGCAGTGGCGCAATCTCGGCTCACTGCAAGCTCCACCTCCCAGGTTCACGTCATTCTCCTGTCTCAGCCTCCCAAGTAGCTGGAACCACAGGTGTCCACCACCATGCCTGGCTAATTTTTTTGTATTTTTAGTAGAGACGGGATTTCACCATGTTAGCCAGGATGGTCTCGATCTCCTGACCTCAGGTGATGCACCCACCTCAGCCTCCCAAAGTGCTGGGATTACAAGCGTGAGCCACCGTACCCAGCCATCATCACTAGTTATACAATAGTTCTAGAGTCAAAATGATTTCAATAGATGCCATAAAATTTTTCATTTTATTATTTATACTCTCAGTTCTAAAAGCATAGGCCTAATAAAACCAAAAACCATTAAAGTTAAATGATAAGCAACTATAAAGACCATAAACCCAAATTTAAGAACTACCACACCAACTGAAAAAAGTGTTTGATTATCTTTTTCCTTTTTTATTGTCTGATCAAATTTAAAGTAAACAATAAAATGTTTGATTCTAATGGCAGCTTTTTCATCACTGCTGCCTACCAAGTAAAAAAAGTTTTAACTTTCCTCAAACAGCAGGAAAAAATGTTAGAAAAATCATCTTCTAATAAACTACTTTTTATTCCCACTGATGAAGAAAGACTATAAAATAAGCTTGCTACATTCTAATTGGCAGTAAACACTGAAAAGTACCTGCAGTGGTCTATACAGCGCATACTCATCTCTGAAAAGCTGGTCGTGATGACTAACACAATCCAGCCAACGTCCATCAACCATTGCTTGTCCAATTGCTATAGCTTGTGCCCTGAATCAAGACCCACAAAAATGAAAAGTTTTAAAAGTCAGTCAGAATAGTTAAGTACCAGATAAGACACAACCTTAAAATATTTTTTTTCAGTTCTAATCAGAGTTAGAATTTCAAATGGCCCTTGGATAAGTAAAGGACGAAACGAGAGAGTTAAAGCAAACTAAAAGATTCTTCCAGGTACTATAGTAAAGGAGAAGAAACTACTGGTAAGGCAGTCCCAACAAAACCTAATTTTAATAACAGCAAGCATTGACTGAGTATTCAATGCACGCACAACCCTATACTTAACAGATTTTAAAATGTTGAGAAAAGCTCCTACCTTCAAGGAGCTTAGTTTTAATAAGACAATACCAAATATTACAGATACAGCCATAAAATGTGTGTGTGTGTATATATATATATGAAATAGACACTTAATGACACCATACATTATATGGCATTTCACAATTTATAAAGCACTTCAGCCACTATTATTTCATCCCCCACAGTTTATTCACAGGACCACACAATTTTCCTCATGGTGAAGAAGTCTCAGAGATTGAATAATGTGACTAAAAGCACAAAGCTAAAAAATATATACAGCCAAAATTGCAACCAGGGCTTTACTGCTTAAAGCTATTTCTCTCTTTACTTCATTACGTACCTTTTTCTTCCCATGAGAGGAGGAGTAGCTAATCTGAGAAAATAGTAAAAGCTAGGGGATACATGTATTTGAAAAGCAGGACCTGTCTGTTACTCTTTTTTATAAATGATTTGTGAGGCAAGCTAGGACCCGACAGGCATAGCTTATGGATCAAATACTCAACACAGGTTACAACCTGTCTAGATTAGTGAACAGTAGCTGGGGAATTCTTTGGCCTTAGGTTCCAGCTACCTTCTCTAATCCTCCTTTGCTAGAGAGTTCTTCTGCTTTTAATAAGGTAAATTAAGATCCTATTTGGCTCCTTGTACTCCTTGCATCTGTTCTCTGCTGGTTAAAACTCAGATTGGAGGAGGGTTAAGTAATTAGCACCCTAAACCATCAATTACATAAAACAAAGAGCACCCTAACTCTACAAAGAAATCTGTAACTCTTACTATCTTCAAATATGTTTTCTCATTCAAAATAAACAAATAATATTGAAACCTTCTAAGATCAGAATACCTTGTGGCAATATGCCCATTTCGGATTAGCCAGTTGACTAATTCCTTTCCTACAATGCAGTTGGGATGCGTTCTCAACCAGTAGCGGTGATCCTGAAACTCCATTCCACTGCTGTGATGGCAGATTTTTTTCCACAGGTCTTTTAACTGCACACTGTCCTGCAATCACATTAACAGCAAGTAGTTACCCTTGAGAAAAATGCTATATACCTTTTCAGATGTTTTCCTGTGATTTTTAGACTCATAAAAGGAAACCTAACTTGGATTTCTTTATGGTAGCTAACTCACACAATTTAATACAAATGTCATATACGTGGGAACAGCTTGAACTCTGCTCATCTAATTCCAAACATAACTTTTTCTCTTGAAAACCAACTATTCCAAATACTTCTTTTTTCAGTCAATGGCACATATTATCAATCTCCTATTTATGTATTCTTCTTTGGAGATGGGGCAAGGCAGAGGGAGACAACAGTTAATCACACTAACCTAAGGTAACTGTTCCTAGAGGCTTTCACTCCACCAGATTCTCACTGTGTACCCAACTGACAGATGAGTTTTTTAAAAAGAAGAGCTTCAGTAAATTACTCCCTGCTCAAAAAAATTCTGAATGTTCCTCAGCAACTAAAGTTTCAAATCTACACCTGTAAGTACAGAATTCATTGCCTTCCACCAGGTAGTCCCAAATAACTTTCCTTTCTCATTGCCCCCAGACTCCTACTTAAACTCTCTCCCAATTAAAAAATCCTACTTCTGGCCATGGAAAATGTCATGCTTATTCTTACCTCTGTATCTTTCTTCACACCTTTAAATAAGATTCACCTTCCTCACTGCCTATCCAAAATGATTCCATCTCTCAAGGTCCAGTTCAAGTCCTTCAGTTTAAGCCTTTTTCTGATTCCCTCATTAGTAATGAGCTTTCTGTTTTTTTGAATTCTTACATGACATATAGTCATTTATTTATTTGACACTTTTTTATTATTAAAGTATTACTACTTCCACTATTAAGGATCTTCCCACTGATCTTATTTCTACCTTTTGTGGGTTTGCTGGTTTGTTTGTTGTCTTAGAGACAAGGTCTTGCTATGTTGCCCAGGCTGGAGTGCAGTGGCTATTCACAGCCATGATCACAGCACCCTACAGCCTCAAACCCCTGGCCTCAAGAGTCCTCTCACCCTAGCCTCCCAAGTAGCTGGGACTACACGTGCATGCCACCACACCTGGCTCTTATTTCTACTTTTGAATTATAAGCTTGAGGACACAGCCATACCTTCCATTTCTCTGAGTCACTCTTAGAATTGAACACAGTATTTTATGCACAGATAAATTCAATAAGCAACTGATTATTTCATATAAACATATAGTATTAAATGTCTGAAAAGTGTTACATGTGTATAACAAACATGCTTCAAAGCTTAAATAGCAATATGGGATCTAAGAGTTAAGCTCTCTTATTACATAGGTAACTGAATTCTGATTTTACCAGATAAAAGGGTAAAGAAAATACTGGCCAGGCGCGGTGGCTCACGCCTGTAATCCCAGCACTTTGTGAGGCCAAGGCAGGGAGATCACGAGGTCAGGAGATTGAGACCATCCTGACCAACACTGTGAAACCCCGTCTCTACTAAAAATACAAAAATTAGCTCAGTGTGGTGGCACATGCCTGTAGTCCCAGCTACTCAGGAGGCTGAGGCAGGAGAATCGCTGGAACCTGGGAGGCGGAGGTTGCAGTGAGCCGAGATTGCGCCACTGCACTCCAGCCTGGTGACAGAGCGAGACTCCATCTCCAAAAAAAATAATAATAATAAAGAAAGAAAGAAAAGAAAATATTAATGCAATGAGTATAGAATACTTGACCCATCTCTCAGGTGATCCTAGTAAAACTGAAGCTAAGCACTTCTGTTTAACTGATATGCTATTTCACTTATATATTTCTTATTAAAAAGACTCAGTGACAGGCTGGGTGCAGTGGCTCACACCTGTAATCCCAGCACTCTGGGAGCCAAGGCGGGCAGATCACTTGAGGTCAGGAGTTTGAGACCAGCCTAGCCAACAGGGCGAAACCATGTCTCTACTAAAAATACAAAAAATTAGGTGTAGTGGCATGCGCCTGTAATCCCAGCTACTCAGGAGACTAAGGCACCAGAATCGCTTGAATCTGAGAGGCAGAGGTTGCAGGGAGCCAAGATCACACCACTGCACCCCAGCCTGGGCAGCACACCAAGACCGTGTCTCAAAAAGAAAAAAAAAGACTCAGTCACAT
Source organism: Homo sapiens (assembly GCF_000001405.40). Classification (NCBI taxonomy): domain Eukaryota; kingdom Metazoa; phylum Chordata; class Mammalia; order Primates; family Hominidae; genus Homo; species Homo sapiens. The sequence goes on along the minus strand of NC_000002.12, from coordinate 208,298,832 downwards.
GAACATTCTCTATGCTCAAAACTAGCAATGGGTCAAAGATACTGGACCAGTACCAGAAGAATTTTGCGTTCATCCTCAGTGGTCTCTGTCCTAACATATGTTCGGTTAGCCTGGGGACTGACAGATGTCTCATATGAAGGTACCATAGGAGAACCAGATCTATCCAGTGACAGGTTAGTAATGCTGGCTGATCTGGAAATAAAAACAAGAAGTGAAATCACAGGTGTAAATTCTTCTTCAATAAACAGAATTACAGAGAAAATTCATTTTTAAATAAATGCTTATTTACCAATGTTAAGGGTACTTTTAAAAGTACTTATGATGGTTATGCATGATATTATCATTGGGAGAAATTTGGTAAAGGATACCCAGAAACTCTCTGTACGATATTTGCAACCCTATGTAAGTCTATATTTTGCAATTCTATGTGTGTCTAAAATTACTTGGAAATAAGTTTAAAAGAAAGTAGTTATGGAAAGATTACAGGAAAACAATTACATAGTTCATATATCAGTAATATTTCAAAGGGAATAGATACAAAGTCTTCTTGTTAAAATGCTGTAAGTTAGTGGATTTTTTTTTTAATAACAAATATAAAGAATGAAATTAAATGCAGAAATAATCTTGCAGATCAGAGTCAGGAAACTATGGCCCACAGGCCAAATCTAGCCTTCTTCCTCTTTCTGTATAGCCCATGAACTAAGAAGGTTTTATAGTTAAATATCTGCAATGCAATCAATCTGATGAAGGGAACACCAATTTTGACGCCCAAATAAGCAAAATGTTATGACCAAAAAAAGAATTCCTTTCTTCTCACTAGTAGACCTATATTTAAAATATTGTCCTCAAATATTATTACATTATGCTATTTTGTCAGTAGAAAAATTACAAGAAATTTGTTTCTTCTCATAATATCAGTATTCATACATATCCTTAATTTTGACTCTTGGTAAAGTTACCAAACAAATGACTTAGAAGTGGAATACCAATAGCATCAAGGAAACTTTAATTTATTTAAAAGAAAGGGTAACTAGAAATTTAGTTGGCTTCTATCTAGAAAAAAATTAAACCCAATTTTAGCCTCCACATAAAGGATAAAAGGCAAAAGCACCTATGATATGTTAGACTACATATATGTAACTCATTCATTAGGGCAGTATCTGTATCTTCCCACATTTAATCTTCACAGCATCCTATGGAATATGTATTACTAGCTCTATTTTACAGATAAAGAAATCAAGAATAAGGGATTAAGTAATCTGCCTAAAGTAGCTCGCCTAATATGTATCAGGGCTGCCACCTAGAATTAGGTGTCAATTGAAAAACCAATATTTCCCCAGTATAAAGATAAAAATATTTTTTAAATAATTTAAGAAAGTATTCACAGGTTTAGCAAAGTGTCAGTTAACAGGAAATCACTGATATCAAATAGCCGATAAGCAATTTTTAAAAATAATTGGTTATTTATTTCTTGGCATAGTCTTTCAGTGAAAGCTTGCTATTATTTCTTAATTTAATCTCTTTTCCAATGGGTGCATTATCCATACATTCTACTTCTCTATCATTTTAACCATCCTTGCACATATTCTAATATAGTGGCAACAAGAATAAAAGAAAATTAGTCAATTTTAATGTCAAAAGCTGTAATAAATAGCCTAGTAGCAAGAATACTGATTAAAATTATATTTAGAGACAGCATTCATTGACTAAATTACGTCTTTCCTAAAGACTTACATCAGTCTTAGCATTAATTCAAAACACATGGAGATAGACTGTAAATTAGCACAGGTATCCCTACACTTCTACACATGCCAACAGGAATACTGTAATTTTCCCCATCTTTTTAAAAAGCCATCTCCTGACTCCACATCCCTCGGCTGCATTTCCCTCTACTTTACAGCAAAACTCTCATCTCCAGTAATTCTTCCATTATCTCTTAAACCCCAAACAACCCACTGAGACTGCCTATCAAGATTACCAATGTTGTTGTTAAATCCAATAGTCAGTTTTCACTCCTCATCTTACTTAACATATCAGCAGCATAACTCCCTTTCCTTGAAAAACTTTCTCCACTTGACTAATAAGATAAATACCCTCCTGGTTTCCCTGTCCCCTCACTGGCCTCTCCCCGTCTCCTTTTCTGGTTTCTCTTGATTTCTCCAATCTCAGTCCTTAGTCCTTATTTCCTCCCTTTTCACACTCATTCTCTTGATGATCTCCATCCAAGTTCATAAATACCATACACATGATGACAACATCCAAGTTTACATCTCTAGCCTGTAGCCCTCCCCTAAATTCTGGACTCATATATCCAACTATTTGACATCTCACTTGGATGTCTAGAAGATATCTCAAATTCAACACATCTAAAACCAAACTGTTCCTCCCAGTTGGTAATTCCACCCCTCCAACTGCTCAGGTCAAAGACCTGAGTCACCTTTGATGTCTTTCTGTTGAAGCCTACATCCAGTTGATTAGCAAATCCTATTAGCTCTACAATCAAAATATATTTAGAATTTGTCTGTTTCGTCCAGGCGTGGTGGCTCACACCTATAATCCCAGCACTTTGGGAGGCCGAGGCAGGTGGATCACCTGAGGTCAGGAGTTTGAGACCAGCCTGGCCAACATGGTGAGACTCTGTCTCTATTAAAAATACAAAAATTAGCCAGGCATGCTAGCAGGTGCCTGTAATCCCAGGCTAGCGGGAGACTGAGGCACAAGAATTGCTTGAACCTAGGAGGCAGAGGTTGCAATGAGGTGAAATTGCGCCACTGCACTCCAGCCTGGGCAACAAAGCGAGACTGTCTAAAAAAAAAAAATGTCATGTCATCCTTCCACACTCCACCCAAAACTCTCCAACAACGGAAAGCTTTTCAGAGTAGAATGTCAACTAATAAGTGTAAAAGCAATGATAGACTTAGAAAAATCACCATTTTGCAAACATAATAACATTGCATTTCAACAAGTATCATAAATGAATGCTGAAACTATTGACTGAAAGATTAGTAAGATATAGGGTATTCATGCAGTTTCAAAGTATCTCCCCCACATATTACTTACCAATTACAAAGGATAAAATAGTAACTTTACAGTGGAGAAACCTAACATGTGAGAGATCAACTCAACAACACCAATGGGATAAACTTGTATTGTGTCCTTTATAACATAACAGATTGAGAAGGATGTAGCACTCATGGAGTATTACTGCCCCAAAACTCCACAGCCCAAATCTAATCATAGGAAGCTTTTGATAAACTTAAATTGAAGGGCATTTTACTAAACAACTGGTCTATCCTCTTCACAAAGAAAGACTAAGATACTGTTACAGAGTAAAGAAAACCAAGACATATGACAAATAAGTTCAATATGATTCTGAACTGCATCACAGATTGGGGGGAAAATCAGTACAAAAAAACATTATTAGGACAATTGGCAAAATCAGAATACCTACAGTATATTACATAATAGAAATGTACCACTGTTACAATTTCCTAAATTTGTTATGTAAGAGAACATGATTGTTCTGAGGAAAAACACTTAAGTATTCAAAAGTAAAAAATAGAACTTTCTACTTCTGGTCTAGCACGTGAGCATCTTCACTCCATCTCAACAACTAAAACCTGAACAAAGAGAAAAATCATCAACTGTTCTTAGGTCCATCAGAGAAGTCAGGTCACAAGCCAAATCCTGCTCCAAATACTGCAGACAGACAAGCAGATACAGAGGATCACAACTCACTGGAGCAGAAACCTCCATGGGAACCAGTAATAGGGTAGGAAAACCTAAAATCAAATTGACAAATTCCTTGAAGCTCAGTGTAGACAAACCAGAGATACAAATTCTAGGTGAACCCAGTCATGGGGGTAGTGGGGATGCTTTTGGGAGTTTCACTTCCAGATCTACCACGTCCTCACAGTGAATGTCAGAAAAATTCCCTCCGGCTTCTGGCTTCCAGCAGAGGGAGAGAATAAAGAACTTAAAAATACGTCAGAGCATTCTGTTCTTCATAACAAGTCCTGCCCTGAGGAGAAACTATTTTACCAGAGCCTAACCTGCTGGAGTTATATCAGAGCTTAACCTACCCAGGGAGAAGGAAATCCCCAACCACAGCCCCTTCTAGCCTTCCACATGGGGGAAGAAAAATCCCCAACTCCAGCCCCCTCCAGCCATTCTGTCTCACCTAAGGGGAAAAAAACGAAAAGCCCTGATAAAGTTTACAGTTCAGGGGCACAGGCTCACCTGTGACAGTGATTCACAGGACTAGAGACCACTTAACCTCCCCCTACATCCTATCACTACATCACTAAAGGCCTATTTACCATAGTTCCTTTTACCCAGTACAGCATGTCCACCTTTCAACAAAAAATCACAAGGCATAATGAAAGCCAAAAAACACAGTTCAAAGACACTGAACAAGCATCCGAAACAGGCTCAACATGAATGTGGGAATTATCAGTCTAGGAATTGTTTTTAAACTATAATTAATATGCTAAGGGTGTTAATGCGAAAAGTAAACAACAGGCAAGAACAGATAATATAAGCAGAGAGATGGATATTCTAAGAAAGAAGCAAAAAGGAAATGCAAGAGATCAAAAACACCATAACATTAAAGAAGAGTGCCTTTGATGGACTCTTAGTAGACTAGACAGAGGTAAGGAAAGAATCTTTGAACTTGAGGCTATCTCAACGGAAACTGCCAAAACTGAAAAGCAAATAGAAAAAAGACTGAACAAACAATATCCAAGAAATGTGGGACAACTACAAAAGGTATAATATAAATGTAATGGGAATACCGAAAAAAGAAGAAAGAGAGAAAGGAACACAAGCAATATTTGAAGCCATAATCACTGAGAATTTCCCACAAATTAATGTCAGATGCCAAGCCACAGGTCCAGGAAGCTCAGAGAACACAAGCGTGGATAAATGTCAAAAAAACTACACATAGGCAAAACTAAGTGTATTCAAATGGCAGAAAGTCAAAAATAAAGAAAAAGATCTTGAAAAAGACCACCTTAAAGACCAAGCATGGTGGCTCACACCTGTAATCCCTGCACTTTGGGAAGCCAAAGCAAGAGGATCGCTTGAGGCCAGGAGTTTGAGACCAGCCTGGGCAACACAGCAAGACCCCATCTCTATTTAAAGAAAAAAAAAAAAAAACCTTACCTGTAGAGTATCAAAGATAATAAATACATCTGACTTCTCCTCAGAAGCCACGCAAGCAAAAAGAATGAAATGAAATATTTAAGATGTTGAGAGAAAAAAGCCATCAACCTACAATTCTGTACCCTGATGATACCCTTCAAAAGTGAAGGAGAAGTAAAGCCTTTCTTAGACAAATGAAAACTGAGGGAATTTTTTGCCAGTAGACCTGCCTTGCAAAAAATGCTGAAAAGGCAGAGAGAAGGAATATGATATAGGTCAGAAACTTACATCTATTAATACACAAAGAAAAGCATCAAAGAAGGAATAAGTTAAAGTAAAAACTTTTCTTTTTCTTACTCTTAGTTGATGTAACAGATAACTATTTCTTCAAAATAATAGCAACAATATATTCAATTATGTATGTACGCATGCTTATATGTAAGTGAAATGAATGCCAGTAATACAACAGATGGGAGGGAAAAATTGGGAGTATTTTGTTATAAGGTATTTGCATTACCTGTGAAGTAGTATAGTATTATTTGAAAGTAAATGTGGATTAGTTGTAAGTTACATTGCAAACTCTAGGGCAATCATTAAAAAAAAAAAAAGAATGTAACTCGTATCCTTTAAAAAGGAGAGAAAATGGAATAACATAAAATGCTCAATTAAATACATAAAGGTGGAAAAGGTACAGAAGACAAAAACAGGAAGAACAAGGGCAACAAGTAGAAAACAGTAACAAATACGGCAGGGATTACTCTAACTACATCAGTAATCACCTTAAATGTCAATAGTCTAAATACACCAACTAAAAGACAGAGATGGTTAGAATGGATCAAAACCAAGACCCAAAAATACATTGTCTACAAGAAACCTAATTTAAATACAAAGACACATACAGATTAAAAAATAAGTGAAGGGTCAAAATGTCACTATTTACCCCATAAATATGCACAATTATTATGTGTCAATTTTAAAAATTAATTTTTAAATTTTTAAATGAAATCAAAACAGGATACATGAACAAAAGGAAATAGATGGAGAAAGATAAACCATGTTAACGCTAATAAAAAAAAGAGCAGGAGTAACTATATTAATTTTCAGGCAGAACAGACTTCAGAGCAATCAAAGATAAAAAGGGAAATTACATAATGATAAAGAAATCAATATTCCAAAAGACAGAACAATCCTTAATATGTATGCTCGCTCCTAACAACAGAGTACCAAAATATATGAGGCAAAAACTGATAGAACTACAGGAGAAATGGACGAATTCATTATTATAGCTGGAGACTTTAACCCCTCTATCAGAGATGGATACATCCAGCAGAGAGAAAATCAATAACAACATAGCTGAACTCAACAACACCATTAATCAGGTGGATATAATGAATATCTTATAGACTGTTTAATTCAACAACAGAATGCACATTCCTCTCAAGTAACATGGAACATTCACCAAAACACACCACATTCTGGGCCATAAAACACACCATAAAAAATTTAAGAGTAGAAATCATACAATGTCTGCCTTCAACAACCAACATGGAATCAAACTAGAAATCATTAACAGAAAGACAGCTACAAAATCCCAAAATCCTTGGAGATGAAACAACACACTTGTAAAAAAAAATACATGAGTCAAAGAAGAATATAAAGAAACATTTTTAAATATTTGTAACTAAATGAAAATGAAAACACAACCTAACTAAATTCGTGGAATGCAACAGAAAGCAGTGCTTAGCAGGAAATTCATAGCACGAAGCGCATACATTTAAAAAGAAGATCTAAAATCAATCATCTAAGCTTCCACCTTAGGGAACAAAGTGTTTGTCAAAAAGCATATTAAATCCAAAGTGAGCACAGGAAAAATAATAATAAAGATTAGAGAAGAAGTCAATAGAGAAAATCAACAAAGCCAAAGCTGGTTCTTTGAAAAGATCAATAAAATCAGTAAGTATCCAGCCAGGCTGAGAAAAAAAAGGGAGAAAACACAAAGTACTAATATCAGAAATGAAAATCGAAACAGACCTATTTCTCTTAAAGAAATTGAATCAATAACTGGTAACTTTCCAAAACAGAAAGCACCAGGCCCAGATGCATTCACTGGTGAATTCTACCAAACATTTAAGAAATAAATTATGTCAATTCTCCACAAAATTTTCCTGAAGATAGAATCAGAGGAAATACTTTCTAACTCAGTCTGTGAGGCCAGGATTTCCCTAATACCAAAACCAGACAAAGACATGACAAGAAAAGGAAACCATACACTATTATCCTCAACAAAACAGTAACAAATCCAATCCAACAATGTATAAAAAACTATATAAACCACGACCAAATGGAATTTATCCCAGGCATGCAAGGCTGGTTCAACATTCAAAAATCAATTAATATAACCCATCACATCAAGTTACAGAAGAATAATTATGTAATCATGTCATTGATACAGAAAAAGCATTTGACAAAATCCAACACTCCTTCATTATAAAAACTCTCAGTAAACTAGGAATAGAGGAAACTTCCCCAACATGATAAAGAGTATCTACGAAAAACAACATACAGCTAACATCATACTTAATGGTGAGAAACTCAAAGCTTTCCCACTAAGATCAGGAACAAGGAAAGGATGTCCCCTCTCACTACTCCTTTTCAACATTGGACTAGAAGTTTTAGCTAATGAAATAAGACAGGAAAAGGAAATAAAAAGTACACTGATTGGGAAGGAAGAAACAAAACTTTGTTCGATGACAAGACTGTTTATATAGAAAATCCAAAAGAACTAACGAACTCCTGAAATTAGTAAGTGATTATAGCAAGGTGGCAGGATACAAGATTAATATACAAAAGTCAATCACATGAGATAATACTACACACCCATTAAAACTGCCAAAATCCAAAACTGACAACACCAAATGTGATGAGGATGTGAAACAACAGGAACTCTCATTCATTGCTGGTAGGAATGCAAAATGGTAAAACCACTTTGGAAAAAAGTCTAGCAGTGCCTCACAAAATTAAACATAATCTTACCATAGGACTCAGCAATCATGCTCCTTGGTATTTATCCATATGAATTGAAAATTACACCCACAAAAAAACCTATACTCAGATGTTATAACAGCCTTGCTCGTAACTGATAAAACTTAGAAGCAATCAAGATGTCCTTCAGTAGGTGAGTAGATAAACTATAGTGTATCCAGCCAATGGGATATTATTCATCACTTAGAAATGAGCTATCAAGCTATGGAAAGACATAGAGAAAACTTAAATGCGTATTAGTAGGTGAAAGAAGCCTATCCGAAAAGTCTACACACTGTATAATTCCAACTATATGGCATTCTGGGAAAAGTAAAACTATGGAGACAGTAAAAAAGATTAATGATTGTCATGGGTTGGGGAGAGGAAGGGATAAATAGGAGAAGCCCAGTAGACTTTTTGGGCAGAGGAACTATTCCGTAGGATACAACAATGACAGACGCACGTCATTATACATTTGTCCAAATCCATAGAATATTCAACACCAAGAGTGAATTCTAATGTTAACTATTAACTTTTAGACGATGATCATGTGTCAAAGTAGGTCCACTGAATACAATATGCCACTCTAGTGCAGGACACCGATAGTCATGAAGATTGTGCATGTGTGGGGACAGGGGCTATAGGGGAACTCTCTGTACTTTCTGCTCATTTTTTGTATGAACCTTAAAACTGCTATAAAAAATAAACTTAATAAAAATATATAAAGGATAATGATGTCTGCAACTTACTCTCAGATGGTTCAGAAAATATGCATACATGTATATACAATATAAAAAACGATGGCCAGATGCAGTGGCTCACACCTGTAATCTCAGCACTTTAGGAGTCCGAGGTGGGAAGATCGCTTGAGGTCAGAAGTTCAAGACCATCCTGAACAACAAAGTGAAACCCCATCTCTGTATTTTACTAAAAAATAACAGGCTGGGCTCGGTGGCTCATGCCTGTAATCCCAACACTTTGGGAGGCCGAGGTGGGTGGATCATGAGGTCAGGAGATCAAGACCATCCTGGCTAACACGGTGAAACCCCGTCTCTACTAAAAATACAAAAAAATTAGCTGGGCATGGTGATGGGCGCCTGTAGTCCCAGCTACTCAGGAAGCTGAGGCAGGAGAATGGCATGAACCCAGGAGGCAGAGCTTGCAGTGAGCTGAGATCACACCACCGCACTCCAGCCTGGCGAGAGAGTGAGACTCCGTCTCAAAAATAATAATAAGATAAATAAAAATTAAAAAAAGAAAAAATGAGAAAGCAAAGGGACAAAATATAAATTAGTAAATCTTAATGAAAAATACATGAAGATATATTTTTCTATTCTCGCAACTTTTCTGCATGTTTGACATTTTTTCAAAGCAATTAAAAATTAACGACAAAAAATGTAAAACTCTCCAACAGCTTCCCATCTCACTCAGAGTAAATGACAGAGTCCTTATAATTAACTCTAAGACTGCTCTACTCCATTATCATAGGATTCCTTGTTATTCCTTGCCAAGTGTATTTCCTCTCAGGAATTTGTTATTCCTGTTTTCTTGGGACACTCCTCCACAAAATGTCCACATGGCTCCTTCCCTCACATCCTTCACGTCTTATTTAACCAGAAGAGAAAGGATGGTGTAGGTTCCAAACCCGGAAGCCACTGGAGAATACTGGAAAGTCACTGAGAGAATGGAAACAAGGGCTGAATAGCAAAAAGAAAATGATAGTTTAATTCAGCTTTTAGAGCTACGGAAGTATATGACAATCAATCCCACCCTTTTTATCCGTTTGTTCTTCTTATTAGCATGAAAAGAAATAAACATCAGAGAGCACAGTGTTTTCATTTGTCAGTTTACCTATTTCGAGCAGGAGATTTCCCAGCATCCTCTTGCACAGATACAAGTCTTGTTGAAAGAGGAGTATTTGAGGAATCTGGATGAATCAAACTATAAAGAAAATAGGAAAATACTGAAATAATTCAGGACAGTAAAAGGGAATTTCAATGAGGCGCTTTAACATTAAAAGCAGATTTAATCTTTTTCCTTGCAATAATGAGATTATGTGTCATTTTTGTTCTTCCTTTAATTAGGGTGTAAATGGTATGAATGATAGTTTTTGCAGTGCATGGCTTTTAAGAATATAAAATGCCGAAATGACAATTTTAAAAAGTTTTTAAGTATATGGAATGTAAATAAAGTTAGTTGGATGGGTGCCTTTGAAACGTCTAACATTATTAATACAAGATGAAATTGATTTTGGAGGGAAATCTTGAGTTCAAATATTTTATTCTCAGTCCCCATAACCCACTAGAATAGCACCATAGAGTCAGACAAACCTAGGTCCAAGTGCAGGCTCGACCTCTTACTAGCTACATGACCTTGGGTTCATTACTTAATCTCGCTAAACCTCAGCATCCACATCTGTCAAAAGGAGAAAATAGTGCCTACCACAGAGATATGCTGACTAAAAGAGAATGAACATTAAGCAATTAGCACAGAACCTAAAATTTAACAATCATTCTACCTTTGACATCTATTGTACATCTCTCAGGGAGCTTTCTTACCTGATTTGTTTTGTTAAATCACATCTGCCCATTACGACAGGGCCTGTCACAACTAAAAAGCATTACTAACTAAAGTAAGCAAAAACTAAAAAAACTCTATACTTCATATTGTTTAATTAAACATAGAATCAATTTTTAAAATTTATAAAATATATGTAAGGTATAAAAAAATCATAATGCCATAAACACCAAAGTATTCATGAAGCAATGTAAGAAAAGGCTGGGCATGGTGGCTCATGCCTATAATGCCACCACTTTGGGAGGCGGGCAAATCACTGGAGCCTAGGAATTCGAGACCAGCCTGGCCAACATGGCAAAACCCATCTCTACTGAAAATACAAAACTTAGCCGGGCATGGTGGCACACACCTGTAATCCCAGCTAATTGGGAGGCTAAGACACAAGAATCACTTGAACCTGGGAGGCGGAGGTTGCAGTGAGTCAAGATCACGCCACTGCACTCCAGCCTGGGTGACAGAGCGAGACTCCATCTCAAAATAAATAAATAAATAAAAACTAATGTAAGAAAAAGAAACTCTGGCCAGGCGCGGTGGCTCACACCTGTAATCCCAGCCCTTTGGGAGGCCGAGGCGGGTAGATCACCTGAGGTCAGGAGTTCAAGACCAGCCTGGCCAACATGATGAAACCCCGTCCCTACTAAAAACAGAAAAATTAGCCAGGCATGGTGGTGGGCACCTGTAAGTCCAGCTACTCAGGAGGTTGAGGCAGGAGAATCGCTTGAACCCAGGAAAAGAAGGTTGCAGTGAGCCGAGATCGTGCCATTGCACTCCAACCTGGGCAACAAGAGCAAAAAAAACTCTGTCTCAAAAAAAAAAAAAAAAGAAAAAGAAAAAGTACACTACCACTGACTGTGAAATTCCCCTACCCAGTCCTAATCCCTTCCCTTCCCTCAGTGAAACCACTGTTATAACTTTCATATCTATCGTCTTTAAGTGTTACCACATTTCAGTCCCTAGACAGTGTAGTAGTTTTGTGTATTTTTAAATTTTTAAATTTTATATTAATTAAATTTTCCCGGTGACATGATTAGATGATTTTCTTTTCTACTCCACTTTATGTCCCTGAGATTCATACATATTGAATGTAGCTGTAATTAATTCATTTTTTACTTCTATTTAAATTCATTACATACTAATTTCTCAATTCCTTAAGGGTTAACTGAGAAATTAACTTATCAGAGAGATGTTACTTAAAACTATAGGCTCTTTGTAACGGCCAGATTTGGTATTATGCTTAACAAAATAATTCAGCTAAAGAAAATAATCAGAGGCCAGGTGCAGTGAGTGGCTCATGCCTGTAATCTCAGCACTTTGGGAAGCTGAGGTGGGAGGATCGCTTGAAGCCAGGAGTTCAAGACAGCCTGGTCAACATGGCAAGACCCCATCTCTTAAAAAAAAAAAAAAATCAGCCAAGCACAGTGGTGTGCGCCTGTTGTCCCAGCTACTCAGGAGGCTAAGGCAGAGGGGATTCGAGGCTGCCCTGAGCTATGATCACGCCACTACACTCCAGCCTGGGTGACAGAGCAAGGCCGTCTCAAAAATAATAACTAATAATTTTTAAAAATCAGAAACTGATGAAACTAAGACTCTAATTCAAACAATTCCAGGTAACTTCCAAGAGTTAGCACCCTCTACTACCAAGCAGTGCAGTATACTTACAAAAAAACATGAAGTAGCAGTGCAGTATACTTACAGAAAAACATGACATATACCTTCAGAAGGAAAAAAAATCTAATTTCACTTGGAAATATGAATACATATTGTACAGGCATTCTTCTTCTCACAGAAGGCTACATTAGAAATTAATAATCTCAATGACTTCTGTTCATTAATTAAATTAAAAATCTCAATTTGTTGCCTGTTCAACAAATATTATCAAGATTATATACATGCCATGCGCTGTTCTTGGTGCCTGGGGTAGAACAGTGACAAGAAAGATGTAAAGTCTCCTCTCATGGAGCTTACATTCTAATTAGCCAATATCATCACTATCCATAAACATCTGCAAACATTCTGGAGGCAAGCCAAAGAAAAAGGAGAACACAGTGAACTGACAGGAAATAATTCTAAGAGGGTAAGTGTTAACTGAAAGCACTCAAAGGTCAGACAACTATCGATATTTTTCAACTCTAAATAAAATTATATTTAAGGGACAATACCTTTGCCAGGCCAAATCATCCTCTAAAAATATGTTACGGCTGGCTTTCCTACTCCCAACAGGTGTTCGGGGTTCACTTGGATCAAGCACAGACACAGAGCAAGCAGAATCTGAAAGAGCATTCAAGTCTTCCCCAATAGAATTACTGTCTGTGGAATGAGCATAACTTAAGGCTATTTTTCTACAATATGTGCAAGCTCGGAGGTCTCCTAGGAGAAAAAAACAAAAACAAAAACAAGGAAATTGAAGGAAAAGATAGCAGTAACATATTGCTTAACGTAACTTTTTTAACTCCTTGGGTCAACAGTTCATCTAATAACGGAAATGTCTTCAAGTACAGACTCTCAAAAAAAGACATTTTAAAAAGTGAAATAATTTTGTTAGCTCTATTATATATATTTAAGGGCCATTTTGAATTCTGGCACTAAAAATCAAAAGTTAGAAGTTAAAAGAAAAAAAAAGAGCCATCATTATGATAAATTCATCCAGGTGTCCAAACTACCATAAACATTTATAATGAGTTTAAAATGTAACATACCAGGCCAGACGTGGTGGCTCACGCCTATAATCCCAACACTTTGGGAGGCCGAGGCGGCAGATCACCTGAGGTCAGGAGTTCAAGACTAGCCTGGCCAACATGGTGAAACCCCATCTCTACTAAAAATACAAAAATTAGCCGGGCATGGTAACGCATACCTGTAATCCCAGCTACTCAGGAGGGTGAGGCAGGAGAATTGCTTGAACCCGGGAGGCGGAGGTTGCAGTGAGCCAAGACTGTGCCATTGCACTCCAGCCTGGGCAACAAGAACGAAACTCCGTCTCAAAATAAATAAATAAATAAAATAAAACAAAACAAAACAAAACAAAATGTATATCCCAATGATACCAGAAAATTTTGCTTAAAAGAGTATTTTTTTCCAGGTTTTAAAAGTGAAATAAGGGATCTAGGACAGGCACACTGGCTCACACCTGTAATCCCAGCACTTTGGGGGGCCAAGGCAGAAGGACTGCTTGAGGGCGGGAGGACTGTTTGAGGGCAGGAGCTCAAGAACAACCTGGCCAACATACCGAGACCCTGTCTCTATACAAATATAAACATATATAAAATAAAATCTTAAAAAAGAAATCTAACAGAGACATGAGTTTCAAGGAATAACATTTTTTAATAGAATAAATAAACCAACACAAATGGAAACAACATATTTTCCATAGGCAAATTAATTAAGGAGGAAAATATTATTAAGGTCTTTATTGTGAAGCCCTGAAGAGTACCCTCCAAAGAATTTCAAAAGCAAACTAACAGAAAATGGGCTTACATGCAGTATAATATATGAGAGTAAAAACTATAAAAGAATTATTATAAAAAAAAGTTAAGGCCGGGCACGGTGGCTCACGCCTGTAATCCCAGCACTTTGGGAGACTGAGACGGATAAATCACCTGAGGTCAGTAGTCCAAGACCAGCCTGGCCAACATGGTGAAACCCTGTCTCTACTAAAAATACAAAAATTAGCCAGGCATGGCGGCGGGTGCCTGTAATCCCAGCTACTCGGGAGGCTGCGGTGGGAGAATCGCTTGAACCTGGGAGGCAGAGGTTGCAGTGAGCCAAGACTGTGCCACTGCACTCCAGCCTGGGCAATAAAAGCGAAACTGTCTGGGAAAAAAAAAAAAAAAAGGATAGAAATGAAATATTCTTGAGAGGACAAACAAGGTTAATATTTCTAAATATGTATTTTTTGAGGGTGCAGTCCTGTCCAAATAGAAGTTTTCATTTCTACTCTATTTTTCTATAACATTGTTTTGAGTGATTCTGTAACATTTTAGGTATTAAAAAAGGAGGTAAAATAATTAAACCTTACTAATAACATGTTGTTTAATAATTCCACCTAAAATTTTCCCACTAATATTAGAAAACTGAAGTGATACAAAATAAAAGACTTCTAAAAGTTAACTGTATTATGTTTTTACCATAATCACTACCAAAATGGCCTTTTACTTTTTCATTTTAAGACTACTATTACACAGTACTCAGTTTTATTAAATTATGCATGTAGGCCAGGCATGGTGGTGCACACCCGTAATCCCAACACTTTGGGAGGCCAAGGCAGGCGGACTGCTTGAGCACAGGAGTTTGAGACCAGCCTAGGCTACATGGTGAGACCCCACATCAATAAAAAATACAAAACTAGCCAGGGCATGGTGGCATGCACCCTGTAGTCCAAGCTACTTGGGAGGCGGAGAGGTAGGAGGATTGCTTGAGCCCAGGAAGCTGAGGCTGCAGTGAGCTGAGCTGTGGTCGTGCCACTGCACTCCAGCCTGGGCAACAGAGCAAGACTCAGTCTCCAAAAAAAAAAACAAAAGAAGTGAAATTACTCCCTGCAGAAAGACTTTCAATTTACTACAACAAAGACTTCATTTGTTTCTTACACTATAAAGGAAATCTCGCCTAACCAGTCAGCTATTAGAACTAAAATTGTAAAATCAATAAACAGAGCCAAGCCTAATCATAAAAGTTTTCATTTCATGAAGAAAGTTCATCAGCAAGAGCCTATTAAGCGCATGCCTATATGGTGTGATGGGAATACAAAGATTGATGAGATACAGCCCTGCCATCAAAAAACTCATAGGCCACTGGAGGCAACACACATATAACCAAAAAGCTGCATGACAGATGCAGATACTATTGCTATTACCATCAATAACAATAGTTTACTGTTCATTGATCCCTTTCCATGTACTAGACATTTTTCTAGTTATTTGTATTTATTCAGGGTCACAATGTATAACTGTGCCTAGCATATATTACCCCAGGGGTCCCCAATCCCAGGGACATGTACTACTCCCCGTCCGTAGCCTGTTAGGAACCGAGCCGCACAGCAGGAGGTGAGTGGCGAGCAAGCAGCACACAAGCCATACACAAACGGGCATTACCTCCTGAGCTCCACCTCCTGTCAGATCAGCGGTGGCATTAGATTCTTATAGAAGCGTGAACCCTATGGTGAACTGCGCATGTGAGGGATCTAGATTGCACGTTCCTTACGAGAATCTAATGCCTGATTACCTAAGGTGGAATAGTTTCGTCCTAAAACCATCCCCCGTCCCCCACACCAGTCCATGGAAAAACTGTCTGCCACAAAACCGGTCCCTGGTGCCAAAAAGGTTGGAGACCACTATATTATCCCATTTGTGATTAACCTTATGCGTCAACTTGGCTAGATTAGTTATTTGGTCAAGCTGAGATGCTGTGAAGGTTATTTTTTTTGGATGTGATTAATATTTACAATCAGCTGACTTTAAGTAAAGCAGATTGTCCTCTAGAATGTGAGTGGGTCTCATCTAATCAGTTGAAGTCCTTAAGGACAAAGACTAAAGTTTTCTGAAGAAAAAGAAATTCTGTCTCAACACTGCAAGACAGAAATCCTGTAGGAGTTTCCAGCCTACTGGCCTGCCCTGAGAATTTCAGACTTGCCAGTCCTCAAAATAACTTGACCAATTGTTAAACATAAATTTCTCTCTATATAAATGTGTGTTTGTGTATCCTACTGGTTCTGTTTCTCTGGAGAACCTTAATACATATTTTGGTACCAAGAATGGCTTTAGAGCAACAGAATCTTAAGGGTAAGTTTTCTGAATTGGTTCTTACATTTCTGGAATTGGTTCTCTAAGCTGATTAGATTTAAAGGCACTAATGACTCTATTTCCAGTAGTAAAGAGAACACTGATAGTCCATTGTGTAATGTGGCAACAAAGACATGCAAAATATCACCTACAGATACTCCTAATCAAATATTAATACTTATAAAAGGCAAAGTTCTGAGTGACCAAGTATTTAATATCTTAGAATGGTTTTGTCAAGCTAACAACTATAATGACATGGGCTGGTTCCTCCTAATTGCATTAGACAAAAGTAAAAAAAGAAATGGATAACCTTAGGGATTCAAATTCCCAGCTCAAGAACTGTATAAATTATCTGAAAGTTTCTAGGTCTTCCTTGAAAGAAATCCTTATCTCCTGCAGGTTCAGTGCTAAGATTGTTAAAAATCAGAACAACACTCTCATCCTGCAAGTGACTGAACTGAAACACAAACTGAATCACCAACCTTGAAGTTTGTCTGCTATTAAAGTGAGGGTGTTGATTGGGAAGGAATGGAAATATGTAAGAAGATCCTGATGGAGCTGGGGATGTTAAACACCAAAATTCTGAGTCTTCTTTGCCAGCAGCAGCAGTCTTTCCACCTCATTTGAGGAGATTAACCTGGCTTTGATCAGACAGGCTGTAATGACCTCCCCTGAGTTAGCTGCCTTGCAAGACACTGCTAATTTTACTCAGGATCTACTCCTACTACTCCTCTTTGCTACCAGACCTATAAAGGAACTCAAGCTCAGGTAGGCCCTGAAAGGTGAGATACAAACTGTGACCCATGAGAAGGTGCACTACACTCCAGAAGAACTACATGATTTTTCCAATTTATACAGATAAAAACCAAGGAAATACATGTGGGAATGGATAATGAAGGTATGGGATAATAGTGGAAAGAATATAAAGTTGGATCAAGCTGAATTTACTGACATGGGCCCACTAAGCAGATTCTATATTTATTGTTGCAGCTCAAGGGGTTAAAAGGGTCTCCAACAGTCTGTTTAGATGACTGGCTGAAACATAGACCAAAAGGTGGCTTACACTAAATGGGGTTGAAATATCAGAAATGCCCTATTATATTATAGAAGAAGGCATCCAAAGGTTAGGGGAGATTGAAATGTTAAAAGTAGTTTTACCATGTAAGACTTGCTGACTCACCCAAGAAGGACATAACCTTTCAACCACGACTATGAGAAATAAATTTGTGAGGGGAGGCCCCGAATCCTTAAAGAGCTTTGTGGTTGCTCTTCTTTGTAGATCAGAAATTACAGCAGGAACTACTGCTACTGGGTCAGGAAACCTAAATGCAATGGGGATCACTGGATCCCAGGGTGGCAGGGGCCAATAGGCAGCACTTTAGTCGCCAAAGACAAGGTGGGCATGGTTACTATAATAGACATCAGAATCAAAGCAATAATCAGAATAGCCTAAGAGATGTATGGCATTGGCTAGTTGATCATAATGTCTCCACAAGTGAAGTAGATGGGCAGTCAACAAAATTCTTACTTGATTTGTATAAGGGAAACAACTCCATATCAAGTAGCTGTAAGTCCAACTTGAATCATGAAAACAGAGTCATACGATCCTTCACTCAATTCCCAGACTTGAGCCACTTACAGATGATCCAGAACTCCTTGAATGAAGAGGGGATTGGTCATTCTGAAGAAGAACCCCACTACACTGCCAGAAATGTACACCGTTAATCTTTCTACCAGCCATCCCCAAAGAGACCTATGCTTTTACCAAGGCGACTGGACACTGAGGAGAAGGAAATGATCATATTTGTCAGGGGTTATTAGACACCTACTCTCAACTGACACTAATTCCAGGAGACCCAAAACATCACTCTGGTCTGCCTGTCAGAGTAGGGACTTACAGAGGTCAGGTGATCAGTGAAGCTTTAGCTCAGGTCCATCTCACTGTGAGTTTAGTGAGTCCCCAAACTCACTCTATGGTTATTTCCCCAGTTCTAGAACATACAGTTAGAATAGACAACCAGCAGAATCCCTATATTTGTTCCCTGATCTGTATTTTGGTACTTCTGGCCTCCAGAACTATGAGACATACATTTCTGTTGTTCCAAGACACACAGCCTGTGGTACTGTGTTATGGCAGACCTAGGAAGCTAACATACCGACCATATTAACAAGAAAGGTTTTATCCTGAGGGTAATGGGAGCTCTGAAAGAGTATTATGCAGGAAAATACCCTGACATGATCAAATTATCATTTTACAAAGAATGCTGACTAGGATATGAAATATGAATTAGAGGTAGGGAGAAACTAAAGGTAAAAAAAATGTATTTTAAAAGCTGTAATCTTGTCACTGTAGCCTTAGATTACAATTTGAAGTCAGGAAATGTGATGCCTCCTGCCTTGTTCTTTTTGCTTAGGATTGTTTTGGCTATTCAGGCTCTTTTTTGGTTCTATATGAATTTTTGAATAGTTTTTTCTAATTCTATGAAAAACGACATTGGTAGTTTCATAGGAATAGGCTACAGTAACAAAAACAGCAGTGGTACTGGTACAAAAACAGGCACATAAGCCAATGGAACAGAACAAAGAAACCAGAAATAAAATCACACACTTACAGACATTTGATCTTCAACAAAGTCAACAAAAATGAACAACAGGGAAAGGACTCTCTATTCAATAAATGGCACTGGAATAGCTGGCTAGCCATATGCAAAAGAATAAAACTGGCCCCTATGTTTCATCATATACGAAAATTAATTCAAGATGGATTAAAGATTTAAATATAAGACCTCAAACTATGAAAGTCCTAGAAGAAAACCTATGAAGCATGATTCTGGACATCAGCCTTGGGAAACAATTTATGACTAAGTCCTCAAAAGCAACTGCAACAAAAACAAAAATTGACATGTGGGACCTAATTAAACTAAAGTGCTTCTGCATGGCAAAAGATACTATCAACAGAGTAAACAAACAAGCCACAGAATAGGAGAAAATACTTGCAAACTATGCATCTGACAAAGATCTAATATCCACAATATATAAGAAACGTAATTCAACAAGTAAAAAACAAATGACCCCATTAAAAATTGGGCAAAAGACATGAACAGACACTTCTCAAAAAAAGACCTACAAGTGGCCAACAAACATGAAAAAATGTTCCACATCAATGATCATTAGTGAAATGCAAATCAAAACCACAATAAGATACCATCTCACACCAATCAGAATGGCTGTTATTAAAAAGCCAAAAAACGAATGCTGGTAAAGCTGCAGAGAAAAGAGAATGCTTATACACTGCTGATGGGAATGTAAATTAGTTCAGCCACTGTGGAAGACGGTTTGAAGATTTCTCAAAGAGCTTAAAACAGAACTGCTACCATTTGATTCAGGAATCCCACTACTGGGTATATATCCAAAGGAAAATAAATCATTCTATCAAAAGGCACATGTACTCGTATGTTCATTGTAACACTTTTTATAATAGCAAATACAGAATCAACCTGGGTGCCACCAATGGTGAAATGGATAAAGAAAATGTGGTACATATACACCATGGAATACTATGCAGCCATAAAAAAAGAACAAAATTATGTCCTTTGCAGCAATATGGATGCAGCTGGAGGCCATTATCCTAAGTAAATTAACACAGAACAGAAAACCAAATGCCGCAAGCTCTCACTTACAAGTGGGAGCTAAACACTGAGTACATGAGGACATAAAGATGGCAACAATAGACAAGGGGACTACTAGAGCAGGGAGGGAGGAAGAGGAGCAAGGTTTGAAAAACTAACTACTGGATACCATACTCACTACCTGGGTGACAGGATCAGTCATATGCAAAATCTCAGCATCACTAAATATACCCCTGTAACAAACATGAATCTAAAATAAAAGTTGAAATTATTACCAAAAAAAAAAAGAAATACAAGTAATTTTCAAACAAAAAAGCTGTTGTAAAAGCTAATGGGGTTCTGGGTGACAGATAATGGGATTCTGAACTCTGTAGTAGTTTAGGTGGAAAAAAAAATGAGCAGACAGAAAGATCTTCACAATAACAAAAATAACATGAGAGAGATGTTAGGAGTTTTGTTTTTCAGGTAATTTCTGACTATCTTCTACTCCCAAATCACTGTATAAATCAACATACCATTGTTCAGTTTTTTCTGTTTCAAGAAATAACTTAAATTTTCTGTACTGCTGAAATTTGACTATGTTCCTTATGGAGGAATCTGAGTAAGACACAATTCACTGCCAAAGCACAGTGTCATGTAATTACGTCAAGGAAGATCTGTCCTTTTAAAATGAAAACTCTCATAGTGATTTAAATTAGTAATCTACTCTAACGATCTTGTCTAATAAATTTTAATGTTCCTATAGTTTTTTGCTAGCATCTACAATAAATACACTTTTACTCTAGTTATTTATGATAAGTCCCATCTACTGTATTATTCAATAGGAAAGTTCTTAAAAGCAAAGCTGTCTCCCTCACCTTTGTGTCCCCATGTCTTACACATAAAACCCAAAATGAAAATTGGCTTAACACTATCCTGTATTATAAGTGTCTTATAGTTATGACCTTTAAAAATTGTAAACTGGCAATAAAATGCATTTACCTGTATAGCCCATAAATTTTCCAGGGATTTCTTGATTACAGCAACGACTGCAGAAAATCTGCCCACATAGTCGGCAATGGTGTCTGCGCCTAAAGGTTGTAAATTTCTCACTACAGTCATAGCACTCTTTACATTGGCTATCTGGCATCCAGTATTGTTTCAGGTCACTATCCTATAACAATAAAAATGTGTGAAGGCTTCTTGAAAATACTGATTATTAATATGCAATGGCAAATGAAATCCTCAAAGGTTTCTTTTGCAGAAAACAAACTAATTCAAAAATTCATATGGGAATACGAAAGGTCAAAATAACCAAGACAATCTTGAAGAAGAACAAATTGAAGGACTTAATATTACCAGCCATCAAGACTTATTCTTAATGCTACAATAATTTTAGACAGGGTACTGGTACAAGGATAGAAAAAAATAAAGGTATGGAACAGAAAAAGAGAGCCCTGACACACCCTCACACATATATGGACTTACGGTGGAATTTATAATGCAATCAGTGAAAGATGGTCTTTTCAAAAACAATGGTACTATATCCAACTGGACATCCATGAGGAAAAATGGAAGCCTGACCCCTATACTTGACAGAAATAATAAAGCTTCTTGAAGAAACCATAGGAGAATATCTACTGCCCTGAACTAGATAAACACTTCTTAAACAGAACGCGAAAAGCACTAAGGATAACGGGAAAAAAACTGATAAATTAGACTACAATAAAATTAAGAACTTATGTATAAAAATAGGGTGCTCACAGCTGGAGGAAGCGCTAATTAAGCTTTCTTTCAGTGGCATTAAGCCATTTTCATTAGGTATGGCATGATCCCCATAAGCGCTTAATAAGTAATCTTCCAAAGCCTCTAGACAGTACCTGGCTTTTCCCCTCCATGATTTCCTTGAGGCGTTTTAATACTGTGCTGAGGCTTCGAAGCTGAACAGCTGTACGAGGGTCATGACCTCCAAAGGTAGGTTCTGCTTTCCTTCTTGTGTCTGAGTTGGATTAAAAAAAAAGCAACCTTGTTAACAGTCCCTAGTATCTATATACAACAAGGTATATATGTGATGGAAACTGCCTCTTATTGTTGGCATATAATTATGTTCTCCCACCCGGTTATATGAATTGAGAGTTAAAACAAGTCTTTATAAGGGTAAGAGGCTACTGAAAGTATTTCTTCTCATGTAAAATGCTGTTTTACAAGCGAGTCAAGGCTGCCTAAGACAAGCATTGTCTGAGACCATTGATGGTTTTCAGGCCTGGAATGGGAACATCACTTAAATGGTCCAAAATTCATTAATGACTCCTTAAGCCCTTTGGTCCAACCTATAATAAATGCATGCTAGAAATTTAGCAGAAGAAAAAGCAATCAAGGAGGGTTAACTTAGCTTGGTCTCTAAAGTCAAACAGGTAAGCAATAGGATCAAACAGTTCAGTTCTGTCTATATCTGTAGACCATATATCCAAAGTCTCATACAGAAGATGATCAGAAAGAAGTTTAATAGCCCAGCCTTCAAAGATTCTGACAGACTTCACAACATCCAGGATGGCAAATTTTGCCATGGTAAAACCTGACCTATGTCCAAGCAAATTAAAACTGCCAGAAAATTGCTAAAACTCCAATCCTATCCTTCCCTGTCACTTCCCCAACCCCACAGCTCCAAATAGGAAAGGATCATTTATACCTGACATAGCAATACTGAAGCCAAATCTATCACTAATAAGCCCAAATTCCAGCCTCATGGCCAAAATAGGGTATGCCCACCAAAGTTGTCACTTATTATTTCCTTAATTTAGACCAAAATTACAACTGAAGTTTCTGCCTATTTCTGGCAGTTACAAAACCTAAGCATGAAGCAAAGACGTTTTGACAAAAAGGATGAACATCCTATTAGCTTAAACCCATCAAACTGATAACCTATGGCAAAGTAAACTGGAAAATACCCCACTCTGAATCTTCCTCAAACTCACCATTTGCTAGATAGGTGCTGTTTTGGCTGGGAGGGAAAAAAAAGAATTACAAAGAAATGAGAGGTTGGGATCTAAAGTTTACAAAGAATTTCCCAAGATAATGTAATCACTGAAGTAACTACCAAAATTGTACCTATTTTAGAAAACTTTGGCAACTTTTATCTTTCTATAAAGTTATATCTTAATTTTAGCACATACCTCAGATGTGTTGCTACTGTATTAGAATAACTAAACTTGAGTCTCAAAACAAAAAACAACTCCCCATGATCTACAAATTGAAAAAGAAGACAGATGAAGCTACTGGAAACATAATGGCTGTGCTTCCGTGCAGCAGGCAAAAACTTGTGAAGTCCCTGGCATTTAGCCAATTAGGAATATAAGAAAGTAGTAATAGCATCATCCGCTGAAAAAGGATGAGTGAGACCCTTCTTGGAACCAAGAGAATCACAGATGTTGGCTGAAGATGAAAGAAACCCAGAGAGAAAATCTGGTCTAGCTCTATGCCCTTAGGCAAATAGCCTTAGCTGCTTCTCTTGCAAAATGAACATTAGAAAATTAAATAACTTTCCTAAGGTCGGAAAGCTAGTAAATTATAGAATTACAGCCCTTTTAATAGGGAAAAGAACTTGACTGGCCAAATAACACCAGGCTTCTGAAGCTCAAATGCCTTCAAGATAGAATCAAATAATCAAGCAGACTTGAGAAGGACAGTAAGGAAACTAGACAGTAAAGGCTCCACCTGGAGATATTAAAGTTCAAGTTGATCATAATACCAATGGCAAGGTTTGGCAGGCTGCCAATTTGTAACTCCTAAAATATTACATTTTAGTCTAACTTGATTTTAGAAATAAAAAAATCCTACACTCAATTCAGCATGGGATTTAGTCAAAACAGCTCCCTCAACAAAAAGAGTGTTGTTGTGAGTCAGATTCAAGAGCTAAGGAGAGTTTATTGAGGTTAAAAGTTAAAATAGAGATTATCTGGAATAAAAGGAGAGCTCCTTTCTTTCTCCCTCTCCCACTCCCCATCTTCTGATTCTTCCCTCCAAATGGCTGATGTAACCCTGGCTGAGGCTCACTGCCCTAGAAAACCTGTGCAGGTGATGCAGCCAGCTCTGTGCCAGTCCTCGGGTAGAAACTCTACTTTTGCTCAGTTTCTCTTTGTTCTGGCTGACCAAGTCTGAACTCACAATAAAATATCCTTCTGCCAACCACCACTATCTGGGGGAAGATCAGCCACACCAGACGAGATCTGGTGTTCTGGGGCATCTAATTCCCAATGCTGCATCCCTTCCCCTCTATCATGCCACCTCCCACTTCCTTTGTCACCTTGACTTAGGCAAACCACTCCAAGTTGAAAAATCTGACAGAAATAAAACATAAACCACCTCTCTTTTTCTAATCTCTCAATTCTGACACCAATCCCCAGCCCATACTCATCAGAAGAGCATGAAAATGAAGGAGATGACTGTGTAGTAGACCAGAATGGAAAACAGACAGATGAGAGGAGCTCAGCTTATTCAGCCACACTGACAGTTTGCACCCCAACAAGGACAGAAGGCCAAGAGCAAGTGGCAGCCCAATAATGGAGTTGACAGAGTTCTGCAGCCAGAGGCATGCATATCACATTTCACTAGCACCCCAAGAACAGATGCAGAATTCATTCACAAAGTGGAAACTAACCTGTGTTCTCCTGGGGATGTTGCAAACTGTTGTCTGCTGAAACCCAAGCAAGTAATTAATCAAAAAATAGTCAAGAAATCTGTGCCTTGCCTAAATTAAAGTTTAATGAGACGTTTAAGAATTTTTTCAGGTGTCAATAAATTCTTTCACTACCGAGGTAAGAGTTTTATTTACTCTAAACAGTACCTGACTATTTCAAATAGTATCTTACTATTCCAAATAGCAGGAAAGTTAAGTCCTGCTATAAACAACCTAGGAAACACAATGACTGTGGAAAAATCTAGCATATAGAAGGGAATGAAATAAGAACACTGTTTTACCTAATGCTGAAGAGCGCCGCTGGAGTTCCTCATTAAGCTGCTTTTTATAAGGTGTGGGTGACCTAACAGACTGTGTCCTCGAAGGGAGCTGAGGGCTGGTCCAACTTCCACTCAAAGGCTGCTGTTCTCCCTGGCCTCCTTCTGCTCTCTCTGTAGCAAGGGAACGCTTGGCATTATTTAAAGACTGAGAGTTCAGCAATGAGAAGGAAGTAGATGAAAATTTTCAGGCAACAATGTATGCATGTATTATATGCGTAACTAAAAATTTTTTTTTTCCTTTTTCATTTATTTAATTTTAAATACAAGCAGGTTCTCCCTATGTTGCCCAGGCTGGTACTGAACTCCTGGCCTCAAGCAATCCTCCCACCTCAGCCTTCCAAAGTGCTGAAATTACAGGCACAGGCCACTGTGCCCAGCCTAGATTTTAAAAAAAGAAAATTCAAAGAAGGAGGCAAAATTACAGGCCAATAATCACACCCTTGGTATATATGATCTCCTATTTGTTTCACTTTTCATTAGAAATTTCTTGAGCATACTAAAGGAAACAAAATGCAAGCTTCATATGAAGGCAGGGATTTTTTGGGTCTGTTTACTGGACAGATCCCTTACACTATCAAAACAGTTCCCAGTACAAAGGAGGTACCCAATAAACATTTGCTAAATAGAAATTTTATTGTCTTATGACAACTAAGTGTAATGTGGTATGACAAATGGGATCCTAGAATATAAAAAGAACAACTGGTAAAAACTCAAGAAATCTAAATAAAATACGTAATTTAGTTAATAATCTATCAATAACAGTTCATTAATTGTAACAAATGTACCAGACTAATGTAAAATGTTAATATGAGGAAAACTGGGTATGGGAGTATACGGAAATTCTATCTTCCCAATTTTTCTGTAAATCTAAAACTCTTCTAAAAAATAGTTTTTTTTTTTAAGTATCATTGTCTTAAAAATGTACTAAAGGGTTTTCATAGCACTTTAAACATGATCATAAATAAAATTCAGTTAATATTATTAAAGGTTCTACTGAGTTAATTAACACTATTAACCTCTCCAAATTCTATACAACAACAAGAATTACTTTCTAACATACTTCAAGTAATACAGACAAACAAAAGACAAAAGATATAGGCCATGTTTTTTAATTCTTGTCCCAAGTAAAAGACATATTACTTAAAAAGAGCTCATTTTAAAAATATCTTTCCATTTGATGTCATTACATGTACACCTTAGTCTAACAGTTTTAAGTCAACAAGAAGCCTACTGACAGCTTCCAATTTTTGAAAAATATAAACCTTTCCTCCCATGTACTGTTCCTTTCAGTTTCATTGCTTTAAATATTTTAGCTATTAACCCCCAAAAGAACAAAGTCCATTCTATGGACTAACTTAAAGCATATTAAGAAAAAAAGAATAACAAAAAAAGACGACTACTTTCTCTATTAAAAGAAATCTCCTTTTAACATTTAGTTTTTTATTTTATTTTTATTTTTTGAGATGGAGTCACGCTCTGTCACCCAGGCTGGAGTACAGTCGCGCAATCTCGGCTCACTGCAAGCCCCGCCTCCTGGGTTCACGCCATTCTCCTGCCTCAGCCTCCTGAGTAGCTGGGACTACAGGCGCCTGCCACCATGCCCGGCTAATTTTTTTGTATTTTTAGTAGAGACGGGATTTCACCGTGTTAGCCAGGATGGTCTTGATCTCCTGACCTCGTGATCCACCCGCCTCAGCCTCCCAAAGTGCTGGGATTACAGGTGTGAGGCATCACGCCTGGCCTAACATTTAGCTTTTAATCCAGACCTTTAGTTACCAATAATTAATGATATTACAGTGAAAATTCTAGCTTTCTCTTCAGCAGTAAACCCTGGAGACCTACGATTAAAGCTATCGCTTGTTAATATTTCACTTTCTTACAGACCCAGCATTAAAGCTGAACAGAGTACTAACCACTATATGATCATGGTGAGCCACTGGAGACAAAGGAGCATTTCAAACAATCAGACCTGAATCAAACCTCTTATCTTTAATAAGTCTTACCTTTGTTAAAACGAAAGAGATTTACAAAAGAACTATAAGCTGATTTAAAAGGGGGCTCATCTTGATCAGGAGTCAAAGGTTTAAAGTGTGTGAGATGAGAAGGACTAGTAGGAGATCGAGGCAAATCATTAGCAGAGTCCAGTGTTGGGGACGTCTTATCATCTGTGGCCATTTCATGAGTCTGAAAAACAAAAGAAACAAGCAAAAATCTAAATTCCTCAGGAAGCTCAAAAGTTGATTCCAAACAGCATCGAAATATCCAGAAAATCCTATTCTGTGAAAAGTCAGACTATGAAAACAAACAGTAAATAAATCTAGCTTCATATATTCCAAAGGACTGAAAACACTGCTATCTAAATCATAAGAGCCCCAATCATCTACAACTATGATCTGATAGCCAACTCAATTTTAAACATTACTATTCAAATTATAGAAAAGATTTAAATTAATAAAAATTTGGAGGTAAAGCATTAATGTGAGCAGGCAGAAGAAAAATAAGCATTTTCACATCATTTCTAGCTCTTTCATTTTAAGATGTTTCGGAAGAAGGGATACACAACAGCTTTTTAAAGTTATGGGGGGAAGCTAGTTATACAACACACACATAAATTCTTCAGTCTTATTTTCCTTATTTCAACTTTTTTTTTTTTTTTTTGGAGATGGAGTCTTGCTCTGTCGCCCAGACTGGAGTGCAGTGGCGTGATCCTGGCTCACTGCAACCTCCACCTCCCAGGTTCAAGTGATCCTCCTGCCTCAGCCTCCTGAGTAGCTGGGACTATAGGTGCGCAGTCACCACGCCCAGTTAATTTTTTGTATTTTCAGTAGAGATGGGGTTTCACCATGTTGGCCAGGCTGGTCTCCAACTCCTGACTTCAGGTAATCCACCCGCCTCAGCCTCCCAAAGTGCTGGGATTACAGGCATGAGCCACCATGCCTGGCCTCAACTTTTATATTTTAAAAAGTAATATAAAAATCATTATATTTCTAAGACGAGGACATGAAAGTCATTCTCTAATGACATGTCTACAAAACTTTAACAATTACCTCAAGCTACACTTCATGACCTATGACAACTACTCAAATCAACAAGTTGTTCCCCACTATCTTTGCTCCTAAACACATGAACCTGGTTTTTCCTCCCTTTAAGCCTCAATTCATAGACATTAAGATGAAGATCTTCTTAAAGGGCTTTGTTTCTAAATAACCAAAAAATCATATTTCAACCAAAGCAATAAAGCTAACCACATCACCAGATGGAAGTTACAGAAAAGTACTATTTTCTGCCATATTGATTTATATTTCAAAGAGAAGAACCATGGATAACTCTAATCATTAAAATAATGTAGACTGGTCCAGGCACGGTGGCTCACACCTATAATCCCAGCACTTTGGGAGGCCGAAGTGGACGGATCACCTGAAGTCAGGAGTTCGAGACCAGCCTGGCCAACATGGTGAAACCCCATCTCTACCAAAAATACAAAAATTAGCTGGACATGGTGGCGGGTACCTGTAATCCCAGCTACTCAGGAGGCTGAGGCAGGAGAATCGCTGGAACCCAGGAGGCGGAGGTTACAGCGAGCCGATCACGCCACTGCACTCCAGCCTGGGCAATAAGAGCAAAACTCCATCCACAAAAAAAAAAAAAAAAAAAAAATACTGTAGTCTGGCCCAGACACGGACCCTGCAAGAGATGGGTGCCCCCATCCGCACACTGTCCTTTGGCCACCAGACATCATGCCTCCCAAGGATATTCTGGGAGGAACCAGCAGGGCCCTCCATCTCCAAAGGTGCTGCCAAGCCAGCAGCAGCATGGGCCCCTCCAGCCAAGACCAAAGCTGAGCCAGCTATCCCATCCCCCAGGCCCCTGAGAAAACCAAGGAGCCCCCAGTTGATCTCTCCAAAGTGGTGATCAAGTTTAACAAGGATCAGCTGGAGGAGTTCAAGGTGGCCTTCAAGCTGTTTAACTGAGTGGGGGATGGCAAGATCCCATACAGCCAGTTTGGGGACATGATGGGGGCCCTGGACCAGAACCTCACCAGTGCCAAGGTGATGAAGGTCCTGGGGAACCCCAAGAGTGATGACCTGAAGTCCCGGCATGTGGACTTCAAGACTTTCCTGCCCATGCTCCAGGCAGCAGCCAAGAAGCAGAACCAAGGCACATATGAGGACTACCTGGAGGGGCTTCATGTGTTAGTCAAGGAGGGGAACAGCAAAGTCACGGGAGCAGAGCTCAGACAAGTCCTCACCACCCTGGGAGGGAAGATGGCTGAGGAGGAGATGGAGACTGTTCTGGCAGGACATGAGGACAGCATCAACTAGGAGGCCTTCCTGAAACACTTCCTAAGCCTACTGAGCTCTGTAGATCCCTAGGGCCCAGACAATGGGCCCCCTGCAGGCAGAAGCATGTTCCAGCCACCAGGAGGCTACCTACTGTTTCAAAATAAAGACAAGGTTCCTCCCTTGGAGAAAACAATATATATACTATAGTTTATAATCTAGTCTCCACTTTACAAAGAGGACATTACAGTCTCGGTAAAATGCTTTTCACATTCAAAATCATAGCTACCATCTCATTTTACTCTTACAATCCTGGAAGGCACACACAGCTGGCTTTATGACATTTTACCTTTGAGGCAACCAAGGTACTCTGAACCTAAAACAACTTTCTTGGGGGTCACACAGACATTAGTAGAACTGTCACTATACCCCAAGTCTCACCCCAAAAGTATTACCTAAATCAAAATTACTTTTGTAGCTCTTCACACTTCCCTTTTAGCCTATCCGCGTTCTCTAACTACTTAAGGCTTTGTCTGATCAATAATTTAATTAATAAATTAAGGCAGAAATGAAACCACTGACTTAAACAGAATTTTGGCAATACATGTTTATTGGGGGGGGAAGAAAAAGAGGAAGAGGAAGGGGAAGGAAAGAGGAAGGAGAAAAGGAAGAAGAAGGGGAAGGAAGGTTTCTAATATCTTCCACTGAGAATAATCATCAACAATCCTTCTGAAGTGTCATGACAATTCAGCAAAAAGTGTTGGGAAGTAAGCTGATAACTGAATAAGTATACACTCAAAAAAAAGTTTGTGTTTTTTTTATATTAAAAAAAAAAAGAGGCCAGGCACTGTGGCCTCATGTCTGTAATCCCAGCACTTTAGGAGGCTGAGACGGGAGGATCGCTTGAGGCCAGGAGTTCCAGACCAGCCTAGTCAACATAGCGAGACTTCATCTCTATTTTATTTAGGGAAAAAAAAAAAAAAAAAAAAAAGAGCTCTGGAGAGAAACGATAATGTGATGGCCGTAACAACCACCCCTGGAAAACAGCCTACATTCTACTTTGACACAAGTAATGTCAGAGGCAGAGATGACATTCTGCCTAAAGAGTCTTAGAATTACTTCTAAAGGTTATCTACACAAAAATTATACTCGGCTTTGGAAATAAGAAGATAAAAATTCCCATGAAAACACTTAGCAAGTGTAGTCTCTGAAATATAAACCCAATCATATAGTTAACCCTAATAATTACATAATGACACTAGGGCCCTGAAAAAATTATCTTATAACTCTCACTCTTTAGCAGCTTAACAACGCTTTAAAATATAAATTAGGACTCTTTCCTGAGTGGTAATCAGTCCTATTAACCTACCTACCCAAAGCCTTCTGATATATCACCAATACTTCACCATTTCTAATTAAGGCTACTAATATATGCAGACCTACTACAAACTATCAGAAGCCAGTCAGTAAAGGCCGGACGTGGCTGCTCACACCTGTGATCCCAGCACTTTGGGAGGCCGAGGCAGGAGAATCCCTTGAGCCTGGGAGGCGGAGACTGCAGTAAGCCGAGATCACACCACTTCACTCCAGCCTGGGCGAGGGAGGGAGACCCCCGCCCGGTGGCTCACGCCTGTAATCCCAGCACCTTGGGAGGCCGAGGCGGGTGAATCGCCTGAGGTCAGGAATTCAAAACCAGCTTCGCTAACATGGTGAAACCCCGTCTCCCCTAAAAATACAAAAATTAGCCGAGTGTGGTGTCGCGCGCCTGCAATCTAGCTACTCAGGAGGCTGAGGCAGGAGAATCGCCTGAACCCTGGGAGGCGGAGGTTGCAGTCGGAGGAGATCGCGCCACTGCACTCCAACCTGGGGGACAGAGCGAGACTCTGTCTCTCAAAAAAAAAAAAAAAAAAAACTGGCAATGTAATAATTTAGGAAAGCTGAATATTGGAAATGTTAGCTTCTATCAACAAAGATTTCTTGTTCAATTTTTGACCAACACGCTTAAAGGAAAACCAGAGCAGGATCCAGAAAGCAGAAAAAGGGAGAACACAGGAAATTAGCCTTGCTCCACAGAAGAGATTTAACCTACACAATCTTTGTCACAAACACAAAAGAAAGAACATTTTTTGTAAGAAAACTGACAGAGTGGGAGTTTTGGAGTGCCAAAAAAGGGGCTCAAATAAATCAGAAATAAGTACATTATACCAAGCGACTACCTCTATTGTCAACACTGGACATATTTTACAACACAGGATGCACTGCGTCAATAGTAGATAATGAATCATGTATACACATCAGATACACACGAATAACTTGCTTTATACAGAATTCTAGCACTTCTTATATTTCTTGACTGTCTTAGGAATAACCTCTGATTGGGCAGAAAACCCCTAAGTCCTAAAAGTTTCCAACACATTCCATTCTCATCCTTTTGTTGGGAACATTCTAAGCAAAGGGTAAACACTAATTGGGAAATAATGCTCCTCCTCAAGAAACTCCAAAACCTAAGTTGAAATGGAATCGTCTCAAATAGCAGAGGCAAGCATTTAAAAAGACAAACACTTATTTGAACCCCCACGGTTGGTATCGTTTCTGCAGCTCATGAACTTTCTTTTCCAGCCTACGGATGCGCCTCTGACAAACTCAGAACTCATGCACTCAGAGGGAAAAGTAACTGTACTCTTCCCCTCCTAATTAAGTTCAGGCGTAAGGGTCGAGAGAGAGGCAAAGGAACTTCAAATGTTTCCAAGGAAATCTCAAGGGCCCCACCCGGCTTCCGTCCCCACTCGCCAGACAAGGCAGCCGGGGAATAGGGAGGACAAGCTAATTCTAAAGCCAGATTCTCTGCCCTTCCTTGCTCAGCCGGCAGCCAGGCCCTAGCCCCCGACTGCGGAGCCCTGGTTCTCACTTTCACCTCAGCTCTGGCCCTGGAGCTCCCCATACCGGCCTCCTTCCCATGCTGAGCCCCAGCCGGCCAAGCTCCAGGCCCCCTCCCTTACCTGCGCCTCCTGCCCCGGCCGCGCCGGCTGCCCCCCGCCCCAGCCTCCGCTTCAACGGCTCAGCCCCCGGAAGTCGGCCCCCGAGAGCGGCGGTGGGCTCCTCAGGCCGCGGACGGTTGCGGCAGGAAGCGAAGCTGCTTACATGGTTGATGCGGCTTCTCGCTTCCCCCCCCCAAGACTCCGCCCTCTGTTTTCCTGTCCCCCAGTCCGAAATCTTTCCCGGGGGCCGGCTCCTCCCAGCCCGGCCGACGCTCGGATCAGATGCTCAGGCAGAAGGAGTCCAGCCCAGATCGAGTCGTCCTGATCTTTTGGCCGAGATTAGGCCGCTTCAGCCTTCCTGGAAGAAGCCAGGGGGACTGCGCGCGTGAGCGTCACGCATGCGGGGTCAACGGATGGGTGCTTGGTGCTCTGGGCACTGCAGGGGTGCTGGCTGGACTGCGGTTACCGTATGTGTTCGATACTGTGGGCACTCATAATATGTTATTGCTTTGTTGTAGACAGTTCACTCGTGTAGCACTGAACCGGAGTTAGCGATGACTCTGTTTCCAGACTTGCATGACTCCACCAATAACCAGCCATATGATCTTAAGCAAATTGCTCATTTATTTAGGCCTTAGACCTCTGGTGTGTAAAGTCGGATTAATAAAAGGACTCACTTCTTAATACTTTTTTGAGATTAAGTAAATGCACTTAAAGCGAATGGCACAGTTCCCTGACCCAGAGTAAGTGATGTCGGCTTTATAGTTAATTTTTTCATTTAGGTGTTGTGTTGCAAATGCTGATGCAAATAAAGTTACCAAGCCCAAGCCCTATCTTGTTCAGCTTGGCTAGAGTTATTCGTCATTTCTGTCCTGCTGAGAGCGCAGTGCAGTTAACTGCAGAAAACATGCTCGCCGCAGTTGTGGGGCTTGGTAGGGGAGGATGGAAAGCAGACGAAACCTAAAGGGAAATGCAGTTTTAAATTCTGTGAGTCCTTTTCCTCAAGAGTTTTGTCAAATCCCAGCCCAGTTTTCCTGGAGTTGGAAAGCACCATCGAAACCTGCAGGTTGAGTCCAGTGCAAATCCCAGTCACCATCCTCAGCTGGGCCCTTCAGCAATCTTTCTGGGAGTCTGTAGTCAGCTTCTCCCATTCCTTATTACTGCTGCGTCAGACCACCACCACGACCCCCACATTACCTTGACCATCATTCTCATCAGAGAATCATATTTTATACCCACGTGAAAAATCCCAAGGTATCTGGGCGTGACCCTTAACAAGCTAATTCCCCACACACCACAACATTTACCTACATCCACATCTGCCCTGGTCTGCCTTTCTCCCTCATCTCTCTGAGGAAGGGGCCTCTTCTTCCCCAGCTCAATCCTTTTGGCCCCCAATTCACCCTCTCCTGTCTGGGAGCTTGCACCGTATCTGCAACCTCCCCTTTTCCAATGACTCTGCCTCCTCAGCCCATAAAGATGCTCAAGTCTCTGCCTTCCTTTAAAAAAATTTTTTTTAAAAATTTAAGATAAGCAAAAAAGGCCCTCGTAATTATCACCCTATGTTAATATTTCATAAACCTACAATAAAGTATGAAATAGGTACAGAGATCATATGAAAAGAATAAATTGCCCAGCCACGACGACTGCAGTGTATGTAGAAACTCCATCTATGGTTTAAAAAAAAAAAAAAAAAGTGCACTCCGCAAATATTTTTGAGTCCCTAATTTAACCTGCAGTGTGTTAGTTATAGAAGCACTACACTAAGGATAGAATTATGAACGTATCCCACTGCTTCACTTGACTAGCCTAAAAAATAAAAATATATGTGAACATTACACAGTCCATGTCCTCAAGAAGCTTACCGTCTAATATCTATATTAGCTTACAGTTTAATTTCTGTGGAAAAGAGATTGAAAACTGGGCTACTGTTTTTGCAAAAGAAATCATTTTAGATTCTCACTTCACACTAGACATCCAAAATTAATTCCAGATGAATTTTATCTGTAGAGAGATTATTTGTCTGTGTATATATCCTCCTCAAAAACTTTCATTCAAGCACAGATTTAGGATTCTTGCTGAATCAATTATTGTTCGATGATATTATACTTCTATTCCTCTGTATGTATTAGTTGAATTTTACTGCAACTAATAGCGTTCCATCTTTTTCTTTCTTTCTTTATATTGGTTAGTATGACTTTGGACTCATTTTTTTCCAACATGTTATAGTTCATTACTGCCACTATTCATTTCTGTGCTCCAGGTGTCCCCGCCTTGGCTGGTGTGAGCCCCTTCCAGCAGACTCCTGAGTCCATTTGACATGCCTCCATTACCTTTTGAGCACATCTTACTTTTTGTTCTTTTTCTCTCTCCGCCACCCCTTACCCCTGGCAACCACCATTCTACCCACTACTTCTATGAGTTCAACATTTTTAAATTCCATATATATGAGATCTTGTGGTATATTTCTGTGTCTGGTTTATTTCACTTAACATAATGTCCCCAGGTTCATCCATGTTGTCACAAAAGACAGAATTTCCTTATTTTTTAAGGCTGAATAATGTTCCACCGTATATATATACCACATTTTATTTTATTTTTTTGACATGGAGTCTGTCACCAAGGCTGGAGTACAGTGGTGCAATCTGGGCTTACTGCAATCTCCACCCTCTGCCCCAACCCCCCCGACCTCCACCCCACCCCTATTCTCCTGCCTCAGCCTCCCGAGTAGCTGGGATTACAGGCGCCTGTCACTGCACCTGGCTAATTTTTGTATTTTTAGTAGAGACGGGGTTTCACTGTCTTGGCCAGGCTGGTCTTGAACCCCTGACCTCGTGATCCACCTGCCTCAGCCTCCCAAAGTGCTGGGATTACCGGCGTGAGCCACAGTGCCCAGCCCCACATTTTCTTTATTCAGTTGTTCATTGATGGACACTTAGGTTGATTTCATATCTTGGCTATTGTGAATAATGCTGCAATAAAGATGGGAGTGCAGATACCTCTTAAAAATAGTGATTTTGGCTGGACACGGTGGCTCGCGCCTGTAATCCTAGCACTTTGGGAGGCCAAGATGGAAGGATTGCTTGAAGCCAGGAGTTCAACACCAGCCTGGTCAACATAGCAAGACCCCATCTCTATAAAAAGATTTTTTTTAATTTCAATAAAAGAAAAAATAGTGATTTTATTTCCTTTGGATATATACCCTGTAGTGGGATGGCTGGATCACATGATAGTTTTATTTTTAAATTTTTTGGCAACTTCCATACTGTTTTCCATAATGGCTGTACTAATTTGCATTCCTACCAACAGTGTGCAAGGGTTTCCTTTTCTCTATTTTCTCTCCAATCTTGTTATCTTTTGTCTTTTTGATATAGCCATTGTAATAGGTGTGAAGTGATATCTCTCATTGTGGTTTTAATTTGCATTTGTCTGATGATTAATTACGTTGAACTTTTTTTCATATACCTGTTGGCCATTTGTATGTCCTCTTTTGAGAAATGTCTATTCACATCCTTTGCCCATTTTATAATCAGATTATTTGCTTTCTTACTATTGAGTTGTTTGAGTTCCTTATATATTTTGGATATTATCCCTTTATCAGATGTATGGCTGGCAAATATTTGCTCCTGTTCTCTGTTGTCTCTTCAGTCTGTCTATTGTAACCCTTGCTCTGTAGAAACTTCTCAGTTTTATGTAATCCCATTTGTCTATTTGGCTTTTGTAGCCTGTGCTTTTGGGGTCATATCTAAAAAATCACTACTCAGACCAATGTCATGGAGCTTTTCCCTCTCGTTTTTTACAGTTTCAGGGGGTACACATAACGTCTTCAATTTATTTGAGTTGATTATTATATATGGTATGAGATAAGCCTCTAATTTCATTCTCCTGCATATGGATATCCCATTTACCCATTACTACTTATTGAAGAGAATATCCTTTCCCTATAGTGTATTCTTGTCCCCTTATTGAACAATTGACTGTAAATGGGTAAATTTACTTCTGGACTCTTTATTCTTTTTTTCACTTTTTATTTTTTTTTAAAAATGAGCATCCTATTAACTGATAGACTCTTTATTCTGTTCAGTTGGTTTGTCTGTTTCTCTGCCAGTACCATGCTGTTCTGATTACTGTAGCTTTGTAGTGTATTTTGAGATCAAGCAGTATGATGCTTCTAGCTTTGTTCTTTTTGCTCAAGAATTCTTTAGCTATTCAGCCTCTTTTGTCATTCCATAGGAATTTTAGACTTTTTTTTCTAGCTGTGCGAAAAAGTCATTGGAATTTTTATAGGGATTGCATTGAATCTGTGGATCACTTTGGACATTTTAACAATATTAATTCTTTCAACCCATAAACATGAGATGTCTTTTTATTTATTTCTGTCTTCTTCAGTTTCTTTCATCAATGTTTTATAGGTTTCAGTGTGCGGGTCTTTTACTTCTGTTAAATTTCTTTCTTTTTTTTTTTTTTTTTTTTGAGATGGAGTCTCACTGTGTCACCCGGGCTGGAGTGCAGTGGGGCCATCTCGGCTCACTGCAACCTCCGCCTCCCAGGTTCAAGCAATTCTCCTGCCTCAGCCTCCTGAGTAGCTGGGATTACAGGTGCCCACCACTACGCCCAGCTAATTTTTTTGTATTTTTAGTAGAGACGGGGTTTCACCATGTTGGCCAGGCTGGTCTCAAACCCCTGACCTCGTGCTTCGCCTGCCTTGGCCTCCCAAAGTGCTGGGATTACAGGTGTGAGCCACCACACCTGGCCCGTATTTATTTCTAAGTATTTTAATATATTTTTGTAGCTATTGCAAATAGGATTGTTTTATTGATTTCTCTTTCAGATAGTTCACTGTTAATATTTGGAAACAGTACTCATTTTTGTATACTGATTTTATATCCTACAACATTACTAAATTTGTTTATTCTAATAGTTTTTTGGTGCAGTCTTTAGGGTTTTTTATGTATAAGATCATGTAACCTGCCAGGTGTGGTGGCTCACGCCTGTAATC
This sequence comes from Homo sapiens, assembly GCF_000001405.40. Classification (NCBI taxonomy): domain Eukaryota; kingdom Metazoa; phylum Chordata; class Mammalia; order Primates; family Hominidae; genus Homo; species Homo sapiens. The sequence continues at coordinate 208,261,437 of NC_000002.12, read as the reverse complement.
CCAGCACTTTGGGAGGCAGAGGTGGGCAGATCATGAGGTCAGGAGTTCGAGACCAGCCTGGCCAACATGCTGAAACCCCATCTCTACTAAAAATAGAAAAATTAGCCAGGCATGGTGGCGCATGCCTGTAGTCCCAGCTACTCAGGAGGCTGAGGCAGGAGAATTTCTTGAACCCAGGAGGCAGAGGTTGCAGTGAGCCGAGATCTCACTGCTGCACTCCAGCCTGGGTGACAGAGTAACACTCTGTCTCCAAAAAAAACAAAAAAATCATGTCATCTGCAAACAGGTACAATTTAATTTCTTCCTTTTCAATTTGGATGCCTTTTATTTCATTCTTTTGCCTAATTGCCCTGACTAGGACTTCTAGTACTATGTTAAATAGAAGTGGCAAGAGTGCATGTCTTGGTCGTGTTCCTGACCTTAGAGGAAAAGCTCTTTTTTACTGTTGAAATGATGTTAACTGTTGGTTTGTCATATATAACCTTTATTGTGTTGAGGCATATTCTTGCTATACCTAATTTGTTGAGAGCACTTCCTTACTTTTTGACCCAGCAGGCTCATCTTGAACTTTCCCTGCCCCGGGCCTAGAATCAATCAGCTCTCAAAGGAGCACCAATTCCTTTTAGTAGGGATGCAGACATGTTTGTAAAAATTATGAAACTAAGTTCCAGCTAGGATGCAATAAAATTAGCACTCTCTTACACTGCATGTGAAAATATAAATTGGTATATTCCCCCCTAGAAAATGATTTGGTGGATTTAACAAGCACCTTAAATATATTTATACTTCATGATCTAATAATTCCCATTCTAGCAATGTAGCCCAAAGAATTGATCTGTGTTTTAAAAAAGGAAGATAAAGACATTTGTCACAGCCATTTAAACATTAAAGAAACAAAAAGGAAACATCCAATACAAACCAACACAAATGACATGAAAGCAATATAATCAAATCCATTCTAACCAACACAACCAACATGGAAGTAATACAAATAATTTTTTAAAATATGTAGACATCAATAGTATGTTGACTAAGACTTTTAAAAGCATTTTTCCGCCAGGCGTGGTGGCTCACGCCAGTAATCCCAACACTTGGGGATGCCAAGGCGGGCAGATCACTTGAGGTCAGGAGTTCAAGACCAGCCTGGCCAATATGGTGAAACCCCATCTCTGCTAAAAATACAAAAATTAGCCAGGCGTGGTGGCCCGCGCCTGTAATCCCAGCTGCTCAGGAGACTGAGGCAGGAGAATCACTTGAACCGTAGAGGTGGAGGTTGCAGTAAGCCAAGATCGTGCCACTGCACTCCAGCCTGGGTGACAGAGCCAGACTCCGTATCAAAAATAAAAAAGTGTTTTTCTTCACTTTACAATCAACCTTCTTGAAAAGGTTTTCTTGTCTCCCTTTCCATACCCCCCATTCATGCTTCAGTCCCCTGTAGTATGGCTTCTATCTTCTGATCCTCGTAGAACCATTCCACTTCTATCTTCTTCATCCTCATAGAGCCTTTTTACTAAAAGTGCATTCAAGAGGTTTTCCTTTTGCCAAAATTATTTTCAGACCCTGTCTTTTTCTTTTAATCTCTCTGTAGTACTCCCTCTTTTTTGAAAACTTTCTTGTCTGTTGGCTTCTATGACATCAGGCTCTGCTGATTCTTTGTTAACCCCCAGACTCTCCTTCTCATTCTCTTTGTGGGGGCTCCTTTTCCTCTACCTGACCTTTAAGACGTAAGTGTCCCTCAGAGTTCTCACTGAGATTGACTTTTCTCCTTACTTTGAAGTCCTAGATAATATATACTCTGTCTTCAACTGTTATCAAGACATGCTAAAGATTCCCAAATTTCTTTCTCCAGCCCACCCTTTCTGAACTGCAGATGAGGCCAACTGCCTCCTGGACATCATCTTGCTGTCCCATGGCATCGCAAAGTTAAGAAACCTTAAACTTAACCCATGATCTTGGCCATCAGATCTGTGACTCTATGTATATTCCTTCTTTGTTGAACTGCACCTTGTCTCCCAAACTCCAAATTCAGAATTCCCTTTTGCCGTTCTCTCTCTCATAATCTTCATGGACAATCAATGACCAAGCTCTATTCATTCTACCTCAGTTTTTTTTCGATAATCAAAATGAAAATACAACCACATTAGAATATTTATGAGAATCCCATTATCTGGATGAGTGTGTCAAAACCAAATGCTTACAGAAATTTCATGGCCTGTGTTTCCATTTGTGTTTATAACAGTATTTGGGGCCAGACTATTAAAATACTCAGATTCTTTTACTGGCTAAATGAAAGACAAATGATGTCAACACATGAAATATTAACCAAATAGAGAGGGGTGCTGGGCTAAATGAACCATCATATGTCATCCAGTAAAATAGGCCGGCTATGTAAAAAAGAACGTGCACATGGCCAGGTGCGGTGGCTCACGCCTGTAATCCCAGCACTTTGGTAGGCCAACACTGGTGGATCACGAGGTCAGGAGATCGAGACCATCCTGGCTCACATGGTGAAACCCCATCTCTACTAAAAATACAAAAACAAAATTAGCCAGGCGTGGTGGTGGGTGCCTGTAGTCCCAGCTACTCGGGAGGCTGAGGCGGGAGAATGGCGTGAACCCGAGAGGTGGAGCTTGCAGTGAGCTGAGATTGCGCCACTGCACTCCAGCCTGGGTGACAGAGCGAGACTCTGTCTCAAAAAAAAAAAAAAAAAGAACCTGCACATAACCAGTGAACTTCATCTTCCCATTTCAAGAAGTAATTTAATTTCAGCTAAATGTTATTTGTTGTATTTAAGTGATATTAATGGTGATGTATTGTTTTCTACTTTTCTTTCTAGTCATTTTATCTATAAATTTTTTTATTTTACAGTTGTATGAGCTGTCAGCCTAAGGAGCATATATCTAGTTTTATGCATATTTATAGCAATATTTTAATGTCAATCCTAGGGATCTGAAAAATAATTTTTTTAAGAGATAGGATCTCGCTTGGTTGCCCCAGTTAGAGTGCAGTGGTGCAATTATAGCTCACTGGAGCCTGCAGCCTCGAATTCTTGGGCTCAAGTGATCCTCCCACTTAAGCCTCCCAGGTAGGTAGAACTATAGGCGCAAGCTTGCCTGTCTAATTTTTGTTTGTTTGTTTGTTTGTTTGTTTTGTATAAAGAGGGTCTCCCTATGTTGCCCAGGCTGGTTGCAAACTCCTAGCCTCAAGCAATCCTCCTGCCTTGGCCTCCCGAAGTGCTGAGATCACAGACTTGAGCCACTGCACCCAGCCAGATTTTTCAGTGGAAAATCAACTCCTCCATTACTGGCTTAGGAAACACTGTTTTAGATGCTGAGACTCCAATAACTGCCACCTTTACTAGTACATTGGCTTAAAGCCAAATTTGCAGCCATCTCTAGCAAGTGTTTAGGATTTGATATAACATGTTTGATGATTGAATTTGCCTTGGTTCTATATAACATCCTATAGCTATTCATTTTTTAACCTTATTTTTCTCAATTATAGTCAATGTTTTTATTGTGCTATATTTGATGTGTTTTTATGGCTGCCCTACATTATTTTGGGAACAAGAAAGGATATGAATGCTTACTTTCGGTAGGGAGAAAGGGGTAATAAGCAATGTGAACCTGATATAATATAAAGTAATTACAGTCTCAGGTGTCTTAGGGCATCAGATTCAAGATGAAAATTAAGAGTGGAGAAAAGAAAGGGAGATCAGATTGTTACTGTGTCTATGTAGAAATGGAAGACATAAGAAAGTCCATTGTGATCTGTACTAAGAACAATTATTCTGCTTTGAGATGCTGTTAATCTGTAACTTTAGCCCCAACCCTGTGCTCACAGAAACATGTGCTGTATTGAATCAAGGTTTAATGGATTTGGGGCTGTGCAGGATGTGCCTTATTAACAGTATGTTTGCAGGCAGTATGCCTAGTAAAAGTCATCACCATTCTCCATTCTCTGTTAACCAGGGACACAATGCACTGTGGAAAGCCGCAGGGACCTCTGCCCAAGAAAGCCTGGGTATTGTCCAAGCTTTCCCGCAACTGAGACAGCCTGAGATATGGCCTTGTGGGAAAGGAAAGGCCTTACATCCCCCAGCCTGACACCCGTGAAGGGTCTGTGCTGAGGAGGAGTAGTGAAAGAGGGAGGCCTCTTTGCAGTTAAGAGGAAGGTTTCTGTCTCCTGCTCGTCCCTGGGAATGGAATGTCTCAGTGTAAAGCTGACCATTCGTTCTATTCTGAGATAGGAGAAAACCGCCCTGTGGCTGGAGGCGAGATATGCTGGCAGCAATACTGCTCTGTTACTCTTTGCTACACTGAGATGTTTGTGTAAAGTGAAACATAAATCTAGCCTATGTGTACATCCAGGCGTAGTACCTTTCCTTGAACTTATTCATGATACAGATTCCTTTGCTCACATGTTTCCTGCTGACCTTCTCCCCACCATCACCCTGTTGCCCTGCCACACTCCCCTCGCCAAGATAGTAAAAATAGTGATCAATAAATACTGAGGGAACTCAGAGACCAGCGCTGGTGCGGGTCCTTGCACATTGAGCGCCAGTCTCCTGGGCCCACTGTTCTTTCTATATACTTTGTCTCTGTGTCTTATTTCTTTTCTCAGTCTCTCGGCTCCACCTGATGAGAAATACCCACAGGTGTGGAGGGTCAGACCCCCTTCAAAAAGCTCATATACCTCTCTAAACAGTTCTACAGGAATAAATGGAGGTGGCTGCCAATATCCCTTAAGCCACCTCAAAAACCAAGTTGACAAGGTGTATGCTTTTTTCTTTTCTCTCGGGAAAAATACCAGTGCCCTCTGGTGTCCAAAGTGCACCTTGAGTAGTACCACGTAGATCAGTTTATCTTCAAAGAATAATGTACTAATTCAATGTTAGAGATAATTTTTTAAAATAAATTTTGGAGGCTGGGCACGGTGGCTCACGCCTGTAATTCCAGCACTTTGGGAGGCCGAGGCAGGCGGATCACTTGAGGTCAGGAGTTCGAGACCAACCTGGCCAACATGGTGCAACACCGTCTCTACTAAATACAAAAATTAGCTTAGCATGGTGGCACACCTGTAGTCCCAGTTACTTGGGAAGCTGAAAGAGGAGAATCACTTGAACCCAGGAGGCGGAAGTTGCAGTGAGCCGAGACTGCACCAGCCTGTCAGGGCAAGACTCTGTCTCATAAATAAATAAATAAATAAATAAATATTGGAGCATTAAATTCTGGGCAGCAATATACAAGCATGCTATTGTCCTACAAATCACAATATAAAATACTCTTTATTTTCATGTTTTTGAGAGCAATGAACACACAAAATATAATCTCTGGAGGAGACTAAAATTCTTTTTTCAATCCACCGTTTTCTAAGGCTTCACATCTCTAGTCCAACTTCATTGGATCACAGATAATCCCCCGCCAACTGAGCATGGTGGCTCACGCTTGTAATCCCAGGACTTTGGGAGGCCGAGGAGGGCCAATCACTTGAGTCCAGGAGTTCGAGACCAGCCTGGGCTGCTGAAACCCATCTCTACCAAAGGAAAAAGAAAAGAAAAGAAAGAAAGAAAAATTAGTTGAGTGTGATTGTGTGCACCTGTAATCCCAGCTACTCGGAAGGCTGAGGTGGGAGGATCTCTTGAGCCCAGGAAGTCAAGGCTGCAGTGAGCGGTGATCGCTCCACTGCACTCCAGCCAGGGCAACAGAGCAAGGCCCTGTCTTAAAAAAGAAAATAATAAGAATCCCATTCATTATCTTCTAATGCAAACAATCAATGGAGTTTCTAAAGACCTAGACATAGGTGGTGTCAGGACCTGCTTCTGTAACTTTTCCATCCTTTGCATTAGGCAGCGCGGAACCCCCTAGGCGACCCCGCGCTGGCCGGGAGCACTCTTTCTTCAGCCAAAGGTACGTTCCATTACCGCCCCTCGGGGGCGCGCTAGGCAGCGGGCCGGCCAAGCTGCCGCCGCCCAGGGCGCCCTGTCCCGTTCGCTTTTGTGCCGACCTGGAAACACTCTGTGGTGCTCTAGATTGTTACAAAGTTCGGGGTGGTGCAGCCCCAGCGCGCCCCGCTCCCCGGCCTGCAGGTGGCATACAAGTCTCTTCGCTGTCGGGATTCGGGACTGAATCTCTGCCGGGCGGCAACCCCTTCCCCCACCGGGATCACCGGGAAAGTGGCACCATGGATTCTCCATCTTTGACTGTGGCCACGCCCCTCTCGCTGACTCCGCCCATCCCACGGGAATTGGCGTGTGGCGATTGGAGGCGTGTCGGGGGCGGGGCTGGGGGAGGTGGGCTGAGGAGGCGGGGCCTGGGAGGGGACAAAGCCGGGAAGAGGAAAAGCTCGGACCTACCCTGTGGTCCCGGGTTTCTGCAGAGTCTACTTCAGAAGCGGAGGCACTGGGAGTCCGGTTTGGGATTGCCAGGCTGTGGTTGTGAGTCTGAGCTTGTGAGCGGCTGTGGCGCCCCAACTCTTCGCCAGCATATCATCCCGGCAGGTAACCTCAGGCTCCAAGGGGCGGCCCCGGTCCCTGGCTGTGGAGGGGTGGCTCTAATTCCGCAGAAGGCAGGAATGGGGTAAAGGAAAAAAGCGCAGATCTTGGGTGTGGAGGGAGTCAAGGCCTGCGTGCAAAGAAGGGAACAAATCCAGGTATTGAGAATGGGAAAAGAAAAGGGAAGGAGGGGATGCTGGATGCTTGGATATGCAGAAGGTCTGCTTTTGGGCCTGGGAGGGAGAAACTGGGCGGTGAGGAAGTTGGATGCAACGACAAGGGGAAAATCAGGTCTGCACTTGGGTTGGAAAATCGAGGGGTGGAAGTTGCAAGAATGCATGTAGAAGACTAAGCCTGGAGTGTAGGAGGAAGAAAACGTGCAGCAGCTGGGGGCTGGATGCAAAGAAGGCTGTAAGCCGCAGACGGGCGTCTGCAGGCAACTCAGGCGGCGAGGAATAGCCTTGAAGCCGATCCCTCGCGTCCGCCAGGGGGCGTGGAGGGGCGGAGCTCCAGCGGCCTTCAGAGGGGTCGCTAGGCCACACGGGGCGAGAGGGGGCTGGGGGAAACACCCCCGCCAGTTCCGGGTGCCTGGAGTTTAAAAGGTCCCAGCACCAGCGAGGGGAGGGGAGGGGAGGGGCGGGCGTGGAGACCTGGAAGGAGGTACCGATCCAGCCTTGATTGCAGCCCTCTTGCACAACGGCCATAAGGACGGGTGCAGGCCAAGAGCAAGGACATGCAAACCCCAAGACCTGCTAACGGGCGGCGAAGCGGGGGCACGCCCTCGCACACGCAGAGATAAATTGTGCTCCCATGACCTTTATTTGGAAAGTGCCTGCGGGCCTAAAATTGGCCTTTGTCCCACCGAGTACACTCAGCACTGTACTTTAAACCGGATAAACTGGGCTGTCTGGCAGGTACTAAAAACAGCTAAATTCTCCTGTGAGTGTTCTGTATGTTAACACTTTTATTCCTTGTTTTGTTTTAGGCGATAAACTACATTCAGTTGAGTCTGCAAGACTGGGAGGAACTGGGGTGATAAGAAATCTATTCACTGTCAAGGTGAGAATTAGCAAATTTTCCCCCTTCTTCTGTACTTTCTTTGATGTGGCAGTACAGTGTTTAACTGGTCTTGGGGGCAGGCCGAGGCACTGCAAGGGAATGAGTGAGGAATATTTCCAACAACGAATTCCAACAGCTTCCTTGTTTCTTTTAATACAGTGTCTTATCTGCAAGAGATCCTTTTTGCCCAGAAATTATTGTAGTTCATGAACTCGGCAAAAAACAATCTGGCCAAAAACTTGAGGTTGATGAAAATAATATTAAATGGCTCTTTTTTTTCATTAAACTACTCTGTATTGTTATTCCAGGTTTATTTTCTGGAATTGCACAATTATGTTAGGAGATAGGATTCAGCTACTTCATATGAGCTGGTGCCTGCTGGTCTTGGAACAGCCCTTCCTTCTGAAGTTGGGATTGGGTTGGAGACAAAATCTGAGGGGCAACAAAGGTGGAGAAGTCAGTCCAGTGGGGCCTCAAGCCCATCCCATGGAAATCAGATCCAGAAGAAATACAATTATGTTCCACATGGTAGTAACAATAAAGCTTCACTGTTTTAGTTAAAAGATGGTAAAAATTTCATGGCTAAGTAATGTGAGGAAAACCTGAAGCGTCTGAAGTATGCATTATGAGATAAAGAAAGATTACTGCAGAGAGTACAGTTGCTTTAACTGAGAAGGAAATAGTGAACTAAAAAGATATCAGTCTTCACATTTTAGGTACAATATTTGACCTCTATTAACTGTATTTGCCATCAAGAATAAATTGCCATGTCATGACTGTTGCATCATACTATATAGGGACATGGCCATGGAAGTGTATTATCAGGAACCAGATAAGTTCACTGCCTCCTTTTTTGCTTTGTTTTAAAACAAGGATAGGTGTGACAGTGGAATCAAACATGAACTGAATCATATGCTTTCAGCTGTACTACAAATTATACTTGACATTACAAATGGGAAGTAATTGACTCATCCACACCATTCTGTTCATTTCTTTTAGTCTAGTTCAGTTCCAGAAGGTTCCCCCAAAGGAATCTCCTAAACACTAGTAAGAAGAATTCTAGAATTGCGAATTTGGGAAGTGAAAATGGGCCTGGGGATTGGAAATACATCCAGGCTTGTCAAGAAACAGACGCTTACTGTCTACTAATCATTACATTTTTATTTAAAGACCAAATTACTTTAGCTCAATTTTTCAAGAAAGACTATTTTAGGCTTCTTATCTAATAATTCTTTAAAGTCAATTCTCTTGACTTTTTTAGTCCTTAAGAGAATAAAAGCAATTTGCAGCTGTGTTGTTGGATTAAAAAAGAGTTTCGATTAGAGCATCATTAGAAGGAATAGATAACTTTTAGCAGGCTCAGAGCTTCTTCTGCCTCTAGGGACAAGCTGGGACAGTTTCATTTCTTCCAAAGCGTCCAACCTTGCACTTTCTGAGAATCAGATTGATTTGTATATGCTACCCCCACACCCTATCCTTAAAGTGCTGTCTTCCTAGGACAATGCACAGTTTGTCCTATCCCACTCACTAGCAGCTTACCCTTGCCTGTGAACAGCCAGAAGAAGATGACAGGGACATGCTTGGGTCCTGGGCAGTGGCCCTACTGTATAGAGATTCTTCTAATTGAGAAATCACTTTGTTGTATTTAGCCCCACATCTCCAATGTCTGTGTTATCTCTAGGAAAACAGTTCCACCAGGAATTCTTCGTCTCGCTTTTAGACTTAAAGTTTCCCTGAATATGGGTCACAGGAACCAGCTGAATCTCCTCATGGCTAGTTATTTTTATTAAATAACAAAAACAGCCTCTTAAAGGAGGAGAAATGCTAGCACTCACCATTCTGGACATCTTGAGAGCCCAGTAAAATGATGAGTTGGACTGAAGTGTTCAATAAACATGAGATTGTGGAAATAATCTCATTTCTTAAGACAAACCAGTAGTTGAGAATAATGATTGCATTATGAAGGGCACGTTATAGGGTCAGGCTCTGCCACGCTCTAGCTAGGTGGCCTTGGGAAAGCTCTTTTTTTTTTAACAAAGTAAAATGGGGAAATGATGGCCATTTTTTTGGATTGTTATGAGGGCTAGCTCAGAAACCGCGTGTGAAACATAACACAATACTTTGTTCAGAGAAGATACTCAATTCTAATGGTAAATAGAATTGCTGTTACTAGCTTTTTATTCAACTACACATAAATTGAATTGCATGAATTGTTCTTTTAGTAGTCACTACGTTGTTTATATAAACACTACGTTGTTTATATATTTCACTTTATAATGAAATAAATGACAAGGCATGTATTTTTTTTTTCTTTTTAGGTTTATTGAAGTCAAAATGTCCAAAAAAATCAGTGGCGGTTCTGTGGTAGAGATGCAAGGAGATGAAATGACACGAATCATTTGGGAATTGATTAAAGAGAAACTCATTTTTCCCTACGTGGAATTGGATCTACATAGGTAAATGAGTTACCCCTCCGTGTAGCAAACTCAGAAAGGATAATCTGGCTGGGCATGGTGGTGCACACGTGAAGTCCCAGCTACTTAGGAGGCAGAGGCAGGAGGATCCCTCAAGACCAGGAATTCAAGTCCAGCCTGGGCAACAGAGTGAGACCCCATCACTTTAAAAAAAAAAGGAAAAAAAAGGGAAGGAGAAACAGGAAAAAAAAAAAGAATATAATCTGAATTATTTTGAGGTGAAGTTAGCTTTTTTTATATAGATATAGCTGTGTTTTGTGAATAAAGTTTGTTTTAAGCCTAAATATATTCAGATGAATCTTCTAATTTTAACATACTGCTAGAAAAACTGGATTTATCATCTAAAAGTCAAGAATTATAAGGGAAAGAATGATTTTCAGATTCTTCTAACCTTCTGTTTCCTGTGAAGGTTTTATTTGTAATAAAACAGTGGCTAAGAATAGTACAATGTATTGAGAAAAGGGAAATAAGAGAGGATGTAAGAAACAGTAAACTAAATGCAGTTAACACAATTTTGTCATTTCAAACTCAATTTTCTATCACTTTACTTAGTCAATGGACCTGTTTCCTTTTCATGCCTCACCTTTTGCCCTTTTCATACAATTGTAGTGCAGAAAGAATTCATGATGTTTCTTAGTTGAACCCCTCCTTTCCAGCAAAATTCCCTTAAATCCTGTGTCCCTTTGCCCTGTGTGTAAAGTGCCTGGGGACAGATGCAAAAGTCTATGTAATTCTCTCATTTTTTTCGCTGTGTTTTTCATAAACTTGCTTCTGTTCTTTGTACCTTTAGGTAGAGATAGAATTTTTAAAAGGGTAAAGTGGCTGAAGACTGGCATAGAAAAATATTGAGCAACACGTTTCAGCCAAACTATTGGCAACTCTAAGTGTGTTTGCCTCAGCCCAGAATTAGTCATCAAAATTTGTCCTAAGGACCTGTTTGAGTGGAGACATTTAATTCACATAATGTCATTAAACATACTTTTTAATTGTTCTAAACCTAAGCTGCTGATGTCTATATTGAAATCATGATAAGATATAAATACTTGCAGAAGTCAACCAAACATAAGAAATTAGGCATAAAAACATCTTCCAACTAGGTTAAAAAAAAAAAGCATCTTAGGAACTCCTGTTTCAGGACTTTACATGACAGTAGGTGAACTGGCAGGGTTCTTTTCCTTATAATGGCTGCAACTAAAGATGCTTTGAGCCTCTTTAGTGTGGAATCATGAGGAGTTTTAAAGGGGAGTCACTATGACTAGGAGGAAAAAATTTGGTGGCTGCAGACTAGATAATTTTTGGAGGCTCAAACAAGTTTTAAATTTTTCCAAAATTCCTATTATTATCACTGACTGGTTCTTTTTCAGGAGAATGGAGCAGGTAGTTTGTTTTATGTAGGCTGGACAGTGGTCTGGGCAATTTGTTCCTTCCTTTCTTATCTTCTTAGAAATGTTAAGAAGACAAGCAAAAAATCTAATAATTTGCTGATAGATTCTCCTTATGAGAAATGGTTCCTAGGAACTTGAAAACTACTGATCATACTTCCTGTTGGAGTTGGGATTGGATCAACATTTCCTATGCAAGAAGATAACAAAGGACATGACTTTGTTAGATTTATATGAATTATCTAAAGTCGAAGCAGTTGGAAGTTATTTTTATTTGGAAATATGTCAAGATTACTATCTCTTTGTTTGCATCATGAGTTGGGTAGGAGATCTAAGAAAGGAAGATAAGGGAACCAAAAAGAAATCTAGAGGCAGGTTTTAAGAGCTGAAAAACCTTTTAAATCCTTGGAGAACAGAATAAACAAAACATTATTTTGTTTTCTTGCTTTTTAACAAACTATTGCATGCTTCAAATAAAGCTTTGCAGTCATTTTCTATGCTCCCTGGACAACTAACATTCTTTCAGCTCTGAATGACCTGCAATCTTTGTGTTGGTGTATATTAAGCTATTACTCTCTGGTATGTAGAAAACCATTGATGGATTCCTTTACTTACCCAATAAATTGTAGGCTTGTTTCCAGAGCAAACACTTGCTCAAGAATTACAGAAGGAATTAGCTGGGCATGGTGGTGCATGCCTGTAGTCCCCGCTACTGGGGAGGCTGAGGCGGGGGAATCACTTGAACCCAGGAAGGCAGAGGTTGAGTGAGCCAAGATCGTGCCACTGCACTCCAGCCTGGGCAACAAAACGAGACTCATCTAAAAAAAAAAAAAAAAGGGAAAGGCTCATTTTATGACTAACTGGCATTAATGAAGTAGTCATTCGCATTTTTGGCATCAACTGTCACATCTTTACCTCCCACCACTTCAACGTCAAAATACAAAAAATCCTTTAACCCCTCCCACCCCCTTTTATTTTTAAAGAGCAATATTTACTAAGGGAAAAAGGTGGTCCTTAGACTTACACTTATTATACTAATTATATGGAGAGAAACCAGGCCATTATTGCCTCTATCTGGTGAAAAACAGGAGGCAAAGGGCAGAGTTTGATGGTTTCCATTCATTTTCCTGATAGACAGCTTCCCATTACAAGAGGAGGGGCAGCCCAGCAGTCTAGCCTCTCTTAGTTCTCTTTGTAGTTGGCACCCATCTTCTGTGTTTAGGGTGTGCCAGTGCTAAAACTTGGCAGATTTTGGTGTACTCAGAGCCTTCGCTTTCTGCATAATGAGCTCTATATGCCATCACTGCAGTTGTAGGTTATAACTATCCATTTGTCTGAAAAACTTTGCTTCTAATTTTTCTCTTTCAAGCTATGATTTAGGCATAGAGAATCGTGATGCCACCAACGACCAAGTCACCAAGGATGCTGCAGAAGCTATAAAGAAGCATAATGTTGGCGTCAAATGTGCCACTATCACTCCTGATGAGAAGAGGGTTGAGGAGTTCAAGTTGAAACAAATGTGGAAATCACCAAATGGCACCATACGAAATATTCTGGGTGGCACGGTCTTCAGAGAAGCCATTATCTGCAAAAATATCCCCCGGCTTGTGAGTGGATGGGTAAAACCTATCATCATAGGTCGTCATGCTTATGGGGATCAAGTAAGTCATGTTGGCAATAATGTGATTTTGCATGTTTTTTTTTTCATGGCCCAGAAATTTCCAACTTGTATGTGTTTTATTCTTATCTTTTGGTATCTACACCCATTAAGCAAGGTATGAAATTGAGAAATGCATATATGTATAACTGTATATTTACACACATTTAGCTAAAGGCAAATACAAATAAACTTACAAATAGGCGTCCATCTCAACACATTTTTTTTCAAACATGCTGTTTTTTTTCCTTTATCCTTTTATTCAGTTATACCATATGATATTGCCATTTTTATGTTGGTAATTTCATATGGTTCAACCAGATCTGTGGTTTTCAACACTGGCTGCACAATAGGATCCCCTTACAAGTTTTTTTGGTGGTTTTGTTTTGCTTTGCTTGATTTGTTTCTTTGTTTTAGTTTCAATGCTTGAGTACCACCCTACACAAATTAAAATCTGAATTCCATGGGGTTCAGGCATTTTAAAGCTCCCCAGGTGAATCTAATGTGCAAACTTGAGAACCACCAAAGATTGTATTAAACATGATCCCATCATGCATAAAAGAAAAAACTGGCTGGGTACTATGGTTCACACCTGTAATCCTAGCACTTTGGAGGCCAATTTGGAAGCACTGCTTGAGGCCAGGAGTTTGAGACTAGCCTGGACAACATAGCAGAACCCTGTCTCTACAAAAATGAAAAGTATTTCAATAATTATGTCAATTGTTCATGGAAGAGCCAGTTTTGTTTATTCATATACAAAGTGAGTAGGCGAAGCTGAGTGGGGTGGCATGTGCCTATAGTCCCAGCTACTTGGAAGGCTGAGGCCTGAGGATCCCTTAAGCCTAGGAGTTCAAGGTTACAGCTATGAGCTATGATCACACCACTGCCTACGCAACAGAGCAAGACCCTGTCTCGAAAAAGAAAAAGAAAAAAAAAACTGACTCGGTAGTTGAAAGCAGCCTTACTAAAGCATTCCTTCCTGCCTGGAAAAAAAGTATTGCTTCTTTACTTCTGTACCAGTACACTTGTTGCCAAATTAAGCAAAAAAACTGCCAAGTAAACAAAATCAAAGTTCAGTGTTGAAACTGAGGTTTCAGACTTTCACAGAAAGTAGTTTATGTCTTAAAAGGACCTTAAAAACAGGAATCTCTCATGCTGAAATCCAGAGGTTTTAATGTAGCCATCATTGAAAACAGTGTGTTGAGGGTAAACAGTTTAGTCCTTGAGGGGTCAGTTAACTTTGTTCCACTCTGTGGCTAAAACTATCCTTTCATCCTGGCCAAAGCCTTCAGAAATAGCTCCCAGGGGCCCAAGCAAGGGAAGGTAGATGGCAGTGGTGCAAACTCGCTAATCTTGTAAAAATCACCCTAGATTCTTTCCAGTTCAGTCGTGCCTTTTTTCTGCGTATATCCTTTTTGTTTTTTGTTTTTGAGACAGAGTCTCGCTCTGTCGCCCAGGCTGGAGTGCAGTGGTGTGATCTTGGCTCACTGCAACCTCTGCCTCCCGGGTTCAAGCAATTCTCCTGCCTCAGCCTCTTGAGTAGCTGGGATTACAGGCACATGCTACCATGCCCGGCTAATTTTTGTGTTTTTAGTAGAGACGGGGTTTCACCATGTTGGTCAGGCTGGTCTCAAACTCCTGACCTTGTGATCCGCCCGCCTCCGCCTCCGCCTCCCAAAGTGCTGGGATTACAGGCATGCCACCATGCCCGGCCTTCCTCTTTTTTTTTTTTTTTTTAATTATTTTGGCATCAGTCATTTGTAAAAATGGCCATTCTATTTATTAAAGTCCAGAAAGAGAATTTCAAACCTCAGGTTGATTCATGGACTGTTTAAATATACATAAACCTATACAAAGCATTTATGGTGCTTTGGTACCTCAGTTTCTCCCTTTTCAGAAATAGTAATAAATTACCACCCATATTTACTTTATGGATTTTATATGTCAAAAATGTTCTGTGTAAAGTAGGTGTTTAATCTTTATTGTTACTTACTGCTCTTTTACCAGTTGTTATTAGTATTTCTCTACACTTATAGATGTGGCCGGCACCTGCTGGTACCTAACTCTGCAAGTATCTGATTCAATTCATTGAAGAAGATACAATGCAGCAAAGACTTATGGATGTCTAGTATATGCCAGGCATATTATTCCACTGAGTAGCTGAGGCCCATGAGGGAGGTGCCTGTCCTTGAACAGCCCTTTCCTAAAAATCATCATCATCCCATTGTAGCTGCTCCCAGAATGATTTGATTGCTCCATATGAACAAGTCCTATAACACTAGTAACAATGATACCATGAGAGACCGAGCCCCGATGGCCTAAGTAAGGACGAGACCTCAAGTCCTTTGACCCTGGATGCATTATTTCTACTATATCATAGTTCCCTCCTTGTAAGACTGATGTAAGAATCAAATGAGATTATGCAAGTTAAGCATTTAAAGCATCTGGCATAGAGTAAGGACAAAGCATTAGCTACCTCAGTACTACAATTAGTATTGTTATCATCACCCTCTAGGGAGACTTCCCTGACTTCCTTCCATGGTCACCTCTTTTCCTCTGTCATCCTATAGTTTTTTTTTTTTTGGGGGGGGGGTCTAATACCCTCTTTTGGCATTTGAAAGCTCTTATATTGCTTTTCACTTATATATGTCTTTATAGGGTTGTAAACTTCCTAAAGGAAAGTGGCTTATGTTATTCTCTGTCCTCTTCAAATCAGTGCTCAGAAAACTTTCCTATACCTCGTATAGGCACCTAATAAATATTTACTGATTTAGGGGAATGTCTGGACCTCTTCATCCCCATCTCCTAAAAAAAAAAAAAAAAAAAGAAGTTTGACATACTGCCCTATTTGTCTAGGTGTCTTCTAGGTCTATATTATATGAATATTCTCCTTACAATTCCTGCTAGGGTATTTTTTTTTTCTTTATACCTTTTTCCCCTCTACACAGTACAGAGCAACTGATTTTGTTGTTCCTGGGCCTGGAAAAGTAGAGATAACCTACACACCAAGTGACGGAACCCAAAAGGTGACATACCTGGTACATAACTTTGAAGGTATGTATGACTGTAGCATAAGCTTCTTTTTTTTTTAAACAAATGATTTAGATAATATTTTTATTGCTTTTTTTGTTAGTTATGTGACTGCCTAAAAATATAATCTGAATCTACAGTGTTTTTGCAAAACCCGAAACTTGACATAAAGAAGTAATTTGCTTCCATACCTTCCTGTGGCATGAATAAAGGCACAAAAGGGTTACCCACTTAATTGGAAATGCCTTTAGGCAAAGACAAGGAGATGATTATGCATTTATCTTAAAGCACAGAGAGAAGGTTGGCAGAAATCTGCTGTGCATGAATTATATACATTAAATATTAATATTCTCAAATCACCCAGCATATAATCCTGCCCTTTGCTCTGGTAGGGCTCTTGTATCTGGAAGAGGTTTCCTTATATATTTGCTGAAGTTTTCTTCTTGCCCTTCTGGGTATTTATCCTGTGAAAAAGTAGAACATTTGCTTTTTGCCTTTTCTTTCCCAGCTACCCTGCTACCTTTGATGGCAAATCCCACCCAAAAGTTGTTGAAATAATTAGTGGGCCCTTTTCCTTCACTATTGAAGTTGTTGAAAGCACTCACACAAACAAAAATACCCAACACTCACCTACCTTTTGTTTTTCTTGCCTCTTCCAAATAATATCTGTTGGAATCTGGTTCTGCAGGCTTCAGCACCTTTCACCCTGAACCCAAGTTAACCCTGAGCATTGGCATGGATTCAAGTTCTATCTTTAAGTAATAACAAAGTTCAATAATAGTTGTAAAACACAGTGATTACATGTAGCATAATTATTTCTACTTATTTCTACCAACTACAGTAGGAGTGCTCAGTATCCTCCAGGAGATTATAAGAATTTTCATTCAGTATTTGAAATTTAAGTTTTTCTCAATAACTGAGGATTGAGTACACCCCTAAAGTTTAAAATAGATGTTGGGAATTGTAAAGGTAGGGTGTTTGTCCATTCTTGCGTTGCTATAAAGAAATACCTGAGGCTGCGTAAGTTATAAAGAAAAGAGGTTTAATTGGCTCATGGTTCTGCAGGCTGTACAAGCCTGGCTCCAACACCTGTTCCTGGTGAGGGCCTCAGGAAGCTTCCAATCTTGGCAGAAGGCAAACAGACAATAGGTGTATCACATGGCAAGAGCGGGAACAAGAGAAAGAGAAGGGGGAGGTCCCAGACTCTTAAACAACCAGATTTCAAGTGAATTAACTGAGCGAGAACTCACGTAATCACCAAAGGGGATGGTCCTAAGCCATTCATAAGGGATCCAACCCCATGTTCCAATCTCCTCCCACTGGGCCCCACCTCCAACACTGGGAATCACATTTCAACATGAGATTTGGAAGGGACAAATATCCAAACCATATCAGTATGTAAAAGAAGTTTCAAAATTATTTGCCTTTTCTTAAATGTATTTCTGGTTCATATCAGTTTTTGGCATTTCTGCATCTTCAGGATTTTAAAGACTGTATGTTTTTTCATTTCTGCTGTCCTTCCAAAACAAGTTAGAATGTCCTTATCTAGAACTGGCTTTTCTCTCATTATGTGCCTCAGAAATTTGTTGGAAACCTGTCTGGGACTTCTGAAATCTAGTCTCAGATGTGAGAGCTGAGAAGTAGGTCATTTGGTTGTGGTGGGTGATTTTAGCCTTATTACAACTACATTACATTTATTCTTCTCCCTTTTTTCCTCTCACTGGCTTCTCCTCTACAGAAGGTGGTGGTGTTGCCATGGGGATGTATAATCAAGATAAGTCAATTGAAGATTTTGCACACAGTTCCTTCCAAATGGCTCTGTCTAAGGGTTGGCCTTTGTATCTGAGCACCAAAAACACTATTCTGAAGAAATATGATGGGCGTTTTAAAGACATCTTTCAGGAGATATATGACAAGTAACTATAGTTCTTTTTTAACTTTTTCTTTATTCTCAAGTAAGCTGACATTTGCATATAGAGTATGTATCTCCCTATCCCTATGATTCTGGGTAAATTGAGTGAAAATCATCACTGTCTCTTAAAGATAAGGGCAAAACTGAGGTTTAGCAGGAGTGAAACAAAACCACTCTGACTTGCTTTTATAAGATAAACATGTTCTTAAATAAGGTCCCCACATGAATTGTTTTCAGAGCCAGGTTCTTTAATGTTTAAATAAACGTACGCTGTTAGTGATAAGTTCTAATTTTTCATGTGTGAGTTTCTAAGTCAGACCCATTTCCATTCTTTCTGAAGCCCATTGTTAGAATTTAAAATTCTGTTGGCCAGGCACGGTGGCTCATGCCTGTAATCCCAGCACTTTGGGAGGCCGAGGCGGGCGGATCACGAGGTCAGGAGATCGAGACCATCCTGGCTAACACGGTGAAACCCTGACTCTACTAAAAATACCAAAAATTAGCCGGGCGTGGTGGCGGGCGCCTCTAGTCCCAGTTACTGGGGAGGCTGAGGCAGGAGAATGGCGTGAACCCGGGAGGCGGAGGTTGCAGTGAGCCGAAATCACGCCACTGCACTGCAGCCTGGGCGACAGAGCGAGACTCCGTCTCAAAAAAAAAAAAAGAAAAGAAAAGAAAAAAAAGAATTTAAAATTCTGTTTTAGTGGAGTCATTTGAACTTAAGTCTAAGTTTATAACAACACTGGCTTCCACAGCACAGGAGGTGAGCATGTGTTAATATTTAAGATTGGCATAACTCCCTTTAGGTGCAAGTGTTCAGGCCAAAATGTTCCTGAGGCATTTTGATTCCTCCTCCTGCTGCCCATCTATACCAAGCCCAGAAACTGTCTGGAATATATTTTAGTTTCCTGAATGACACCAAGAAGTAGAACAGTCTTTTCAAAAATGTATTTTAAAAATAAGCTGAATCTCAAGAATCTGATCTATAGTATAATGAAAACTGAAAAGTGAAGTAGTCATTGGGATACTCTACTGTCTCACTTAATTCTCACGGCTTCCCTGCAAGGTGGGTAAAATTGTTCCTACAGATAGTCAAATTGAGTTTTACAGTTAGAAAATGATTGGGCTAGGATTTGAGCCAATGTCTGTCAGATTCCTGAGTTTCTGCTACTTCTACTAAAATATGCTGCTTCTTGTGTGTCCGGTCTTCTGTTTGGGACAAGCAGATGATATCCCTAACAAAATCAATTTTCTTTATTATTATTCTCTTTTACCTTTTGTTTCCCAGGCAGTACAAGTCCCAGTTTGAAGCTCAAAAGATCTGGTATGAGCATAGGCTCATCGACGACATGGTGGCCCAAGCTATGAAATCAGAGGGAGGCTTCATCTGGGCCTGTAAAAACTATGATGGTGACGTGCAGTCGGACTCTGTGGCCCAAGGTACAGAGGTGGAGCCTGGCCTGTAGGAACAGGGTCATTCCAGGGTAGTTCTCTAATTTGGGAAGGGGAGTTTTGTAGTCCTTTGTTGTAAAATCTTGGAATGTTAAACCTCCAGGTCCACCGTCTTACCTGACAGCTAAGGAAATTAAGCTCAGACTAGAGAAATGATTTACTCAAGACCACATGGGAAGTAAATTAGTGGATTGACACTCCTGGCTCCAGTGTCACTCCTTGAAGTTTTAAAGCCTACCTGATCTGAAAATCACTCCCTTTCCCTGCCCTCCTTGTCCTTTGGTGAAAATGTAAAAAACCAGGGCACTCAGGCAAGGAGGGATAAAGTGAGGAGCTTGATCATGTCATAACCAAGCTTTGGTGCCTGCAAAGCTCATTTATTGGGCAGCAGGACCTACTCATGTCCCTCTGCCAGCTGCTGTTCTGGTAGAATATAAAACAAATGTGTTTGGCTGGGCACAGTGGCTCACGCCTGTAATCCTAGCACTTTGAGAGGCCAAGGCAGTGGATCACTTGAGGCCAGGAGTTCAAGACCAGCCTGGCCAACATAGCAAAACCCCATCTCTACTTCAAAAAAAAAAAAAAAAAAAAATTAGCCAGGTGTGGTCGCATGCCTATAGTCCCTGGCACTCAGGAGGCTAAAGCATGAGAATTTCTTGAGCCTGGGAAGCGGAGGTTGCAGTGAGCTGAGATCACGCCACTATACTCCAGCCTGGGCAACAGAGCAAGACTCTTGTCTCAACAACAACAAAGAAAAAGTGTTTTTGTTTACTGCTTAGCTTACACACAAATCAATTGAGCAAAGAACCCTAGGGGCTGTTTACAGAAATTCCAGGAGAAGTTTCATGCATGGGGTAAGGGCCAAATCAACAGAAACACAGCGCCTGGTTTCCTCAGCACCAAGTTGCCCTTCAGTTTCAGTTGCCCTTGGTAGCTGTATGAACTTGAATCTCCCCAGATGAATGTTTGTTAACTTTAATTATGTTTGTTTTTCCCAAGAAGTACTACTTTTTCTGTCTCTTATCAGTGTTAAACATCTCCTCTCAGTTTGAAAATCAGTAGATCAACCTGGTTAAAGATAACTTTTTGCCAGATAAATGAGTTACACAACTCTCCTTACCATCCTTCTGTTTCTCTACATCCTCACAATCATTTGTACTGAATGCAACAGAGGAAGGAGTGTTATTGCTTTGTGATGACTCCGTGGTTGATTATTAACTTCACAGGTGATGTTGGGAGGTAGCAAAAATGGAGAAAAGAAGAAAATCAATTATATAGATATAAGAGTTGTAATGTGGTTCTTTCAATAAGAAACCACAGAAGAGAACTGTTGTACTGAGGGTATGAAAGAGAGCGAGGAAGGGCAACTGGGATGTTCTTAGATCCAACCGATCCTGTGTTTACCTGCCTTCTCTTCCCAGTCCCAGCAAGTGTATGAGCAGCTTGAGGGTTCTTAAGAGACAGCTCTCGTCCATCTTTATTTCCCCAGAACAGCAGAGCATTGCACATAAGAATAACAATAATAGATTGAGCTCTGTGTCCAGTACTATTCTAAGGAATATAAATATATATTCATATATATTTATGAATATATGTATATTTATCTAATCCCACAGCAACCTAGTGAAGTAGGTGCTGTTATTACTCCCATTTTACAGATAAGAAAACTGAGCCGCAGTAGCTATGAAGTCATAGAACTAGAGTGGAATGTAGGCAGTTGGACCCTGAACCCTCCATCAAGGAGTAGGTATCCCTGAAATAAGTGAGGGGAAAATGCAGCCTTTCCAGACCCATTGGCTCTGATATCTGGAGCGGGGATCCTGCCTTCTGAAAGGCAGAATTATTGGTGATTCCATGTGCTCTTGTTTACTTTGCTTACCAAGACCTATCAAGATTGAGTCATTTATGCTCTCATCTCTGAGAGACTCAGTGCTCTTCATGCAGTTGGACCCAACGCTTCATGCTCCACTACTTACAGGGTATGGCTCTCTCGGCATGATGACCAGCGTGCTGGTTTGTCCAGATGGCAAGACAGTAGAAGCAGAGGCTGCCCACGGGACTGTAACCCGTCACTACCGCATGTACCAGAAAGGACAGGAGACGTCCACCAATCCCATTGGTAAGATGGTGTTTACATTGATTTCTCACCAGAGAGTGCTCTCCAAAGCAGCCCAGATGTGTTCCCTTGGCTGCTCAGTGTTTTGTGTGCAAAGTCATCACCAAGTAGCTGATTTGTTCTACTAGTAAGATCTATTTGAATATGCTTCTTAAAATATACAATATTTGCTTTTCTGTTTTGTGGGAGAACATAGGTTACAGAGAGGAATGTTATCAACAAGCATTTTCCTTTACCTCTGGTGCAGTGAAATGTCACATAAGGCTACAAATCTAAAAGTCACATGGATAGATCCTTTTAACAAGTTTCAAAGATAGCACTTCAAAAAGAGATTACAGCCTGGAAAAAGGAGACCAATATAGACAAGAGATAGAAGAGATTGTGACCTTTTTCAAATTAGAAAATGCCTTAAGTTTCAAACACTAGTACCATGCCATGAAAATGTGTTTTTTTAAAGTTTCTGTTTGGTAAAATATTTCTAACTCTCCTAAAACTTCTAGCCCATGTGGTTAGTATCTAAAGAAGTCTGTCACCTAAACAAAAAACTATTCTGTTTTGGGGAACTATGAGACATTTGGAAACCTCTATAACTAGGATGATTGGAGTGTTGTGTTTTTTTTCCCCTCTTTTAGCTTCCATTTTTGCCTGGACCAGAGGGTTAGCCCACAGAGCAAAGCTTGATAACAATAAAGAGCTTGCCTTCTTTGCAAATGCTTTGGAAGAAGTCTCTATTGAGACAATTGAGGCTGGCTTCATGACCAAGGACTTGGCTGCTTGCATTAAAGGTTTACCCAAGTAAGTATAAGATGCCCTAGTTTCTATGGTCAAATTAACACTTATCCTCACTGGGCTCAGAGCATCGGTGCTTTCTGGAATTATATAAATTGTTATTCATCATCTAGTTCAGGAGTCAGCAGATATCTGTAAATTGTCAGATAGTGAACATTTTAGGCTTTGTGGAACATATAGTCTTTTTGCAACTACACAACTATTCAACTTTGCCTCTGCCATTGTAGCAGGAAAGCAGTCATAGACAATACAGAATCAAATGGTGTGGCTGGTACCAATCAAACTTTTATGTTCAAAACCAGCCTCGATTTGGTTCATGTGCTGGGCTGTAATTTGCTGACATCCCATCTAGTTGATAATCATTGAACGAAAAGGTTCTATTTAATTTTAAGAAGCAGATTATAGACAAATAGAAACAAAGATACTTCAGAGGCTATTTTATTCTACTCCTTTATTTTCTTTAACTTACTGATGAGAAAAGTGAGCAGCACAAGTTTAAGGTGTGCAATTGATTACAGTCCCTTAAGTATCTGTAACCAATATTTGGGCAAATATTTGACAGCCCATATGTTTACTGAGAATTTTTCTGAGAACATAGTAGCCAGTATCCTGGGGGGATTGTCTCCATATCTCAACCAGTGCATCTGCAGAGGTCCCAGGTAGGGTCAGTATACCCCATAATGGGGATATACTTGGTCACTGCATGTTTCTTAATTTAAATTTCCAACAAGATTGCAGTGTTCGCTGGGTGCTGTGGCTCATGCCTGTAATCCTAGCACTTTGGGAGGCCGAGGTGGGTGGATCACGAGGTCAGGAGATCAAGACCATCCTGGCTAACACAGTGAAACCCCATCTCCACTAAAAATACAAAAAATTAACCAGGCGTGGTGGCGGGCACCTGTAGTCCCAGCTACTCGGGAGGCTGAGGCAGGAGAATGGCGTGAACCTGGGAGGCGGAGCTTGCAGTGAGCCGAGATGGTGCCACTGCACTCCAGCCTGCGTGACAGAGCGAGACTCCATCTCAAAAAAAAAAAAAAGATTGCAGTGTTCAAAATGGTCTTATCAGTGGAATACCTTTGTAGCCTATTTAACAGGCACCTGTCAGCAGGATTATGTTATCCTGTCTTTTGTTTTTCTTTTTTTTTCTTTTTATTGAGACAGAGTCTCGCTTTGCCCAGGCTGGAGTGCAGTGGCGTGATCTTCGCTCACTGCAACCTCCGCCTCCTGGGTTCAAGTGATTCTTCTGCCTCAGCCTCCCAAGTAGCTGGGACTTGTGCCACAACACCCGGCTAATTTTTTTTTTTTTTTTTTTGTATTTTTAGTAGAGACGGGGTTTCACTTTGTTAGCCAGGATGGTCTCCATCTCCTGACCTCATGATCCACCCGCCTTGGCCCCCCAAAGTGCTGGGATTATAGGCGTGAGCCACCAGGCCCGGCCTGTCTTTTGTTTTTCTTAAGACACTGATAGAAATAACAACATTATAACTTTTTTTAAGGACATGTAACGGTTTGTGGGAAGGTGGGTAAAGGTTTGGCTATGCCCTGAATAAGTTTTGTTATGTTTAAGAATGAGGAAGAAGTGTGATGATTTTGGTCTCAGCAGCATTAGTCTGAACCGAAACTCAATGATAATTTCACCCCCAAAGCTACATAGCAAGAAACCTAACTGAGTATGTATGGCTGTCTCTACTGCCGGTTGCCTAGAGAGCCTGAGTACTGAGCCTGGGTCAGCCCCAGGAACCCTGAACATAGTCATTGTCTATAGATTTTGTAGCTTACTAACATGAATGCGTTTTCTTCCAGAAACAAATAGAATACTATTTTAAGTAGCATTTCTAGGACTTTACCACTACCTGCTACCATATCAGAGACCAACTAAATTTTCTTTTTTTTTTCCTTCCCGTTAGTGTGCAACGTTCTGACTACTTGAATACATTTGAGTTCATGGATAAACTTGGAGAAAACTTGAAGATCAAACTAGCTCAGGCCAAACTTTAAGTTCATACCTGAGCTAAGAAGGATAATTGTCTTTTGGTAACTAGGTCTACAGGTTTACATTTTTCTGTGTTACACTCAAGGATAAAGGCAAAATCAATTTTGTAATTTGTTTAGAAGCCAGAGTTTATCTTTTCTATAAGTTTACAGCCTTTTTCTTATATATACAGTTATTGCCACCTTTGTGAACATGGCAAGGGACTTTTTTACAATTTTTATTTTATTTTCTAGTACCAGCCTAGGAATTCGGTTAGTACTCATTTGTATTCACTGTCACTTTTTCTCATGTTCTAATTATAAATGACCAAAATCAAGATTGCTCAAAAGGGTAAATGATAGCCACAGTATTGCTCCCTAAAATATGCATAAAGTAGAAATTCACTGCCTTCCCCTCCTGTCCATGACCTTGGGCACAGGGAAGTTCTGGTGTCATAGATATCCCGTTTTGTGAGGTAGAGCTGTGCATTAAACTTGCACATGACTGGAACGAAGTAGGAGTGCAACTCAAATGTGTTGAAGATACTGCAGTCATTTTTGTAAAGACCTTGCTGAATGTTTCCAATAGACTAAATACTGTTTAGGCCGCAGGAGAGTTTGGAATCCGGAATAAATACTACCTGGAGGTTTGTCCTCTCCATTTTTCTCTTTCTCCTCCTGGCCTGGCCTGAATATTATACTACTCTAAATAGCATATTTCATCCAAGTGCAATAATGTAAGCTGAATCTTTTTTGGACTTCTGCTGGCCTGTTTTATTTCTTTTATATAAATGTGATTTCTCAGAAATTGATATTAAACACTATCTTATCTTCTCCTGAACTGTTGATTTTAATTAAAATTAAGTGCTAATTACCATTCTTCTGCGTTTCTGTTTATTGGATGCCAAGCACCACGCTACATCCTAGCCATAGGAGTGTAATCTGAAAAAATTCTCTGCTCTTAAAAAGTTTACCATGGTGGAAATAGATAAGTAAATAGTAAGATGTAGATCCTGCAGTGAAAGGAAAGAGGACCAAAGAGGGAACTACAGGAAGAATTAAGGAATATTAGAGAATAGATTATGTCTATGCACATGCTAAGGAGTTTAGTCATTATCTTATAAATGATTAGGGAGCCAATGAAGACTTTTAAGAAATAAGGGACTTGATCATATTTTTATTTTTAAAAATAGCACTCTGGGAAACTTTGATAAAAAATGGATAGTGGCTTTGAGAGGCCAAGGCAGGCAGATCACAAGGTCAGGAGTTCGAGACCAGCCTGGCCAATACGGTGAAACCCCATCTCTACTGAAAATACAAAAATTAGCCAGGTGTGGTGGCGCACACCTGTAGTCCCAGCTACTTGGGAGGCTGAGGCAGAAGAATCGCTTGAACCTGAGAGGTGGAGGTTGTAGTGAGCTGAGATCGTACCACCGCACTCCAGCCTGGATGACAAAGTGAGACTCCGTCTCAAAAAAACGAAAAAAGAATGGATGGTTTGGGGTGGGGAGGAGACTGTTGGGTGCAGTTGAGGAAGGAGGACCAGTTAGGAGGCTGTTGCGATACTTTAGTGGGAAATGATGAAGATCTGACTGGAACAGTGGCACCAGGAAGAGAACGGGATAATCCCTGGGATAAGGAAGTTGAATGGATGGGTCTTGGCAAGACCAAGGATATGTGGGGATGGAGGGACAGCAGCAAGTCAAAGATGCTTCCCACTTTCTGGCTTCACACCTGGGGAAAGGCTGCTCCACATCCTAGCATCTCTGGGAGGGAGGCCCTGGTGAGCTTTTGCGCTCTCACACGTCAGAAGTCAGTGAGTTGGGGTGGGGACCCTTGGTAATTTCTAGTCTACCTTCCTGGCAAGCTTGGAGTTGGGCCCCAGACACTGCTCTACACAAATCCCCTTGAAGGCCCAATGAAACATGGAGCCTTTCAGAATCCGATGGCATGGAGCTTATTCAGAATGAGCTTTTGACCAATTTCCCTCAGTGCTACCCCCAAAATACATCCAAATCCAAGCCCACAGTCCTAGAACACCCTGTTGAGAGGAGATTCTCATGAAGTAGGGGAGGCCCATGTGGCTTGGGCAATTTATTCCTGGCCAAATTGAAGTTAGAATCCAAACCACATGAGCTCTCCTGGCAAGGGAAATAAAAATCAATTTTCACATGAGATCAACCAGTGTCAGGTCACTCAGGTGGTAGGAAAAAAAAAAAAGCATTGCTTCTAGTTAACATCAAGAAAGAGGCAATAAATATTTTCATCTCATGTAAGATTTTTAAGATTTTTCAGTAAAAGATTTTATAACCTATATTATCTGTAGTTTTGTAAAAAGAATAGAGATCTACGTAAATTAGAATACAAGACACATAATCGTTGTTTCTCTGGTGGCTTTTTGCTGATAAATTCAACTAGTCTTTGCCTCAATATAACGACATGCCAATGACTCATTTTAACATTAATACCTGTAAGTTTTTTTAATAGGATAGATTGGGATTATAAGGAAAAGGAATGTAAATTCTTTTTATGTGCCTTCATACTATCTCATTTAATTCTCACCAAAGTCTTAAGAAGTTGACTCTATAGCACTGATTTTTTTATGAGAAAGCAAAAAATTAGAGATGTTATTAATAATTAACTTAAAGGTGGAGCTGATATTTTCTTCCAAAAGGCCACAGGTCTTTCTCTCTTTGGAAAATAGATTTTTTTTTTTTTTTCTGAGATGGAGTCTTGCTCTTTTGCCCAGGCTAGAGTGCAACGGTGTGATCTTGCCTCACTGCAGCCTCCGCCTCCTGGGTCCAAGCAATTCACCTGCCTCAGCCTCCCAAGTAGCTGGGATTACAGGTGCCGGCCACCAAGCCTGGCTAATTTTTGTATTTTTAATAGAGATGGGGTTTCACCATGTTGGCCAGGCTGGTCTTGAACTCCCAACCTTCCACCTTGGCCTCCCAAGGTGCTGGGATTACAGGCGTGAGCCACCGCACCCAGCCAAAAACATATTTAAAGCCCTTTGATGTCCAATATACTGGTTAAATGTAGTGTTCTTCAGATTATTACATATTTGGCTTTTTATAAAATTCAAATTGTTTTAACATTTTAAACTTTACATCCAAAAAAAATTGTCAAATAAAATGTGTTTTGCACTCTCCTCCTCTCATCTAAACTTATTACTCAGCTGAGCACAGTGGTTCATGCTTGTAATCCCAGCATTTTAGGAGGCTTGAGGTCAGGAGTTCGAGACCAGCCTGGCCAACATGGTGAAACCCCATCTCTACTAAAAATACAAAAATTAGCCAGGCGTGGTGGTTGTAGTTACTCAGGAGGCAGAAGCAAGAGAAACACTTGAACCTGGGAGGCAGAGGTTGCAGTGAGCCAAGATTATGCCACCGCAGTCCAGCCTGGGCAACGGAATGAGACTCCATCTCAAAAAAATAATAAAAATTTTAAAAAATAAACTTATTACTCTTTTTTCAGATTTTTGCCTGGTAAACTCTTCATAACTGTTAGAGCATCCATTTCCTCTTTCATTAACAAGATTTTAATAAATTTTAAAAGAGTTTTGGGCCGGGCATGGTGGCTCACACCTGTAATCCCAGCACTTTGGGAGGCTGAGGCAGGCGGATCTCTTGAGGTCAAGACCAGCCTAGCCAACATGGCGAAACCCCGTCTCTACTAAAAATACAAAAATTAGCCAGGCATGGTGGTGGTCACCTGTAGTCCCAGCTACTCAGGGGGCTGAGGCAGGAGAATCCCTTGAACCGGGGAGGCGGAGGTTGCAGTGAGCTGAGATTGTACCACTGCACTCCATCCTGGGCAACAGAGTGAGATTCCGTCTCCAAAAAAAAAAAAAAAAAAGTGTTTTGTTTCTACTACTTTTACCAAAGTTGCAAAATACATCAGTGGCCATTTTGGACCAGAACTTGGGACTCACATTTCAGGTTTGGGTAGGAGATGAAAGCATCACATACAACAAAATGATGGCATTGGACTGGGTGATTTTAAATAGTTCCTCCAGCACTCACAAGCATCCTCAGAGTTGATCTGGTGAGTGCAGATCAACATTTGGCCTAATGTCTATCAGGATCAGCATTTGGCCAAGAACCAGTTAATGTTCTAAAATAATTAGCAAATGAACAGATGCTGACCAATACATTCAGAGGCTGATGGTTTATTATGTAACAACTAGAGGGTCAGAATTGTTGACCTAGAAAATGACTGCTCTTTAGCACAACATTGAAGGCAGCAGGATCCAGGGACAGGGAACATATGAGTTCCAGACTTCAAAACTCTAAATTGTAGGTACTGTTTCTTAGGAAGAATTTCTAACTGAAAATATTTAAAATTTAATCTTAGCAGTCAGAATCACAGCTCCCTTGTGTTCTTGCTTGATACATAAAATCCTTCTACAATATTAACAAGTGACCCATCATCTACTTCAATATTACATAATAAATATTTCCCCCAAATTAAGGGTCTTGGCTCTTCTTATTAAGAAGGAAATTAGAAACTAATATAAAGAATGATAATAATGATAATGAAGACTTTGAATATTTATATCAATACTGATAAAAGTTTTGCACTCACCTCTCTAGTATTAGAGATTTTCACAACCCCTATTTTTAATATTAGGGAGAATGTAGCTTCCAAACTGTAAATTCCTCTGGAACAAGAAACTCAAAGAACTCTGAATTTGAATGATATCTCAGACTCTGCAGGAGGTGAATTTTGCAGATATTGTAGCATTGTTTATGAAACTGGCCCAATTGTCCCATAGAACTAATGTTTATGGTTTTTCTGAATAAACATAGAAATTGGCCCTCCTAGTCTTAAAACGAAAAAGTTACATTTGTCTTATCTGAGTTCCTTTCTCAAGAAATAAACCATCAGGGCTCTCAGATAGCATCAAGGAATTGGAATTTACCAGATGACTGCATCTGAACAAGGAAACATCAGACCCCTCACCCATCATGATTGTGAAGCAATTACCTGCTTCCTGTTGACCAACTCCTCTTCCTTACTCCTCCCTAATTCCTGTTTCCCTGAATGTTGTTACATTCCTTCCCTACTTTATAAACTCTTAATTTTAGTCAGTCAGGTAGATGGATTTGAGACTGATCTCAAATCAGTGGGTGAGACAGATTGGGTTCAACTCTGAATACAGCATGGGCAAGTGGGAATTTATAGCCAAGGAGCAGGGTGGGGTCAATGGATGGAAAATTACCAAGAGTAAACATCAGGGGTGAGGGGGATTCTGGCTAAAGCAACCAATAGGATTCTTGCTGAAGAGAGACCAGAATGATCAGACATCACCCAGGAGATGGTGGAAGATGAGGAATATGATCACACACTGAAGATGATCAGATATCAATAATGTGGGGGTTCCTTGCTAAAGTGACTTGGCAGGGTCCTTTGCTAAAACTGGATTTTACGAGAAAATACACAGATGGACCTAGCAGAAGATTCAGAAGCCTGACTAAAGTTCGACCAAGCAAAACTGTATCTTTGTCAAGTGATACAGCATCCTTCTCAGTGTATGACAATACGGGAAGAGGGGGAAGGATGCATAATGTTGGTTTGTCCTCACGTTGGTGAAATTAGCTTTGCTTATTTGGTGAAGGTGGTAGCTGCCTTGTGAATTTACTGTTCTCTCCTTTGTAAATGTAAGTAACGTGTAGGGAGATGCTGTGTATGCACACTGCTCATCATCAAGCTTCACCCATTGTTTCAACGTCCATTGATGATTTTATAACTCCATCACACCTTCTATAATTATCACACATTAGCATAAAAAGAGTATATATTTATATTACCATAAAGAACAGCTTTCTCTTCCTTCCATTCATCTATATTGGTATTATTGGTATAGACTCACAGATCCCTTTTTTTTTTTGAGACAGGGTCTTGCCCTGTCACTCAGGCTTGACTGCAATGGCATGCTCACAGCTCACCACAGCTTCAACCTCCCAGGCTCAAGTGATCTTCCCTCCTCAGCCTCCCTAGTAGCTGGGACAACAGGCATGCACCACCATGCCCAGCTAATTTTTGTGTTTTTTTGTTGAGATGGGGTTTCGCCACGTTGTCCATGCTGGTCTCGAACTCCTGGACTCAAGGGATCCACCTGCCTCAGCCTCCCAAAGTGCTGGGATTACAGGCGTGAGCCACTGTGCCCAGCCTGGACTCACAGATTCTTATTTTATTCAATGGACTGTAATTTACAGCCATCTTCATGTATTTTGATGCTTAGATTGTCTCAGATTTGGCCAGTGGGAATCCTATCAAGCTGGGTTGTCTCAGGATTGTAACATATTTTGCAAACAGTTAATTTGGGTATACTGTCTTGTATATTAAGCCACCTAGTAGTATGATTCACTTTTCTTAAGTGAGGCTTCCTCCGAGAAGAGCTTTCATGTGCGATGCTCCTTTTCTACCAATAGAATGTATTGGTCCACGCGTTCCTTTCCAGATCTAACCAGACAATGTCTCAGCAGAAAGTATTGTTGAAAGACCGCCTGTTTCAAGATGGATCTCCAGAGACTGGAGACTTACTTAACTTAAAAAACAAGTCTGGGGTAGAAGCAAAGGAAGGTACTAGGGTGCTAGGGTTGTCACCAGTTACTGACCTTTTGGAAAGATGGGGATATCGACTTTCAAATTCTATTATTGAGACTAAATTATGGAGTCCACACGATGGACTTTCAGGTAATAATGGGAACAGGGACAGAGTATGACTGGGATAGGCACATGAGGACTTCTAGGGCAGCTGGCTGTGTTCCATTTCTTTATACGGGTAATGATTACAAGAGTACCTTGTAATGGTTTACTACATTATACACTTGTTTTGTGTGGTTTACTGCATTCTTTTTTTTTTTTTTTTTTTTTTTTTTTTTGAGACGGAGTCTCGCTCTTTCACCTAGGCTGGAGTGCAGTGGCGTGATCTTGGCTCACTGCAAGCTCCGCCCCCCGGGGTTCATGCCATTCTCCTGCCTCAGCCTCCCGAGTAGCTGGGACGACAGGCGCCCGCCACCTCGCCCAGCTAATTTTTTGTATTTTCACTAGAGACGGGGTTTCACCGTGTTAGCCAGGATGGTCTCGATCTCCTGACCTCGTGATCCACCCACCTCGGCCTCCCAAAGTGCTGGGATTACAGGCGTGAGCCACCGCCCCCAGCCTGCATCCTTTTTTAATAATAAAAAGTTTTTAAAAGTGTATTAGGAAACCTGTTCTTAATCCCTTGGACTAATTGCATAGGACAACATTCTTCTGGAACAAATTCAAAAACTTTCTCTGCAGTGTAGGCTCACCCTCTTGACAAAGCCTCTTGGTTTGCCTTTGATAGATGACACAATTTCAAATCATCTTTAACCTTTCCAAATATAAGCTTATAAAGCCTCTCTCCAGGAAGGCGCTCTGCCCTGGAATTTTAACTGGACTATATACTAAGTATTATGAGTAAAGACATTTGAGGGTCTTTAGTGGGCTTTTTGGACCTACATTCCTTTACCTGGATGACTTCACGACACTTTCTTGTTAGGAGTATTTGGTTTTAAAGCTTTCATTTGATTTCTACATGAGAATTATCCTTTTCCTAGTTGGTCTTGCTTTGTTTTATTTGGAAAATAATGCTTTGCACATTATTTATATGCTCAGAGACTAACGTTCAAGACAGTCTAACTGAATCACATTTTCCTATGTTCTAGTCACTAAATTTTTACCAATTTCAAAATTTTCTCCTTTTTTTTTTTCCACTTCAGAAGCTTTTCAGTCATTTCCTACAGGGTTTAACTCTGAATTTTTTGAGTAAACTCCAAAATGTTTAAAATACGTGATTAAAAACTAACAACTTGCTGGGCGCGGTGGCTCATGCCTATAATCCCAGCAGTCTGGGAGGCTAAGGCGGGCGAATCACAAGGTCAGGAGTTCAAAACCAGCCTGGCCAATATGGTGAAACCTCGTCCCTACTAAATATACAAAAATTAGCTGGGCGTGGTGGCAGGCACCTGTAGTCCCAGCTACTTGGGAAGCTGAGGCAGAAGAATCGCTTGAACGTGGGAGGCAGAGGTTGCAGTGAGCCCAGATCACGCCACTTCACTCCAGCCTGGGTGACATAGCGAGACTCCATCTCAAAAAAAAAAAAAACAAAAAACAAAAAGCTAACAACTTAACTTTGACCCTGAAATATTATTCTAATATTCTAGAGCTATTCTTACCTATTTAAAATGTTCCATATTTCCTGGCTGCAGTAACTCCCTTTGTTAGAATTACTCAGCAAGTTTACTTTTCTTTTGATCATGTTTGTATTTTTATTGTTTGAAATACCCTGCTTGTTGGTGACTTATTTTTTACTGCAAATTAATTACCATGCTCTTGTTCTATTCCATGAAAACTTACAACTTGGAGCTCAGCCAGTGTTTTTAATCTGGCCTTTCCATCTGCATCTACTTCCTTACAGAAGGGTTTTTTTTCCTTTCTTTGATTTTTGAACCTAATTCATCCAACAAGTAGATTGGAGTATGTCTGCTAATCCTGACACTATCTTGGTAAATCAGTGTCCCATAGGACCCACAACCTCTAGGTGAGGGTACTTTTATAGGTCAGGCTACTGCAATTGTACCATTGCTGAGCGTCAGACAGCTTGGGTTTTGAGTCACTGGTTTTGTGACAGTGTTTCAGTATGATTCTTTACTATTATAATGGGAATGCTTTTCAGAACTTATTTGGAGTTAACTTGGGTCTCATTTTCTATGAACACATTCTTCAAATATCCTAAAGCTATGGCAAGATAAGCAACATCTTGATCTGTACAATTAGTACTTTAATTCTTGCCCTTTTCCACAGTTGTGATTACCTCATGTAGTTCAGCGGTATTGAAAGGTGACAGCGTGCTGGCAGCCCTTGCTTGCTCTCAGTGCCTCTTCGGCCTCAGCGTCCACTGGCCGCACTTGAGGAGCCCTTCAGCCCGCCGCTGCACTGTGGGACTCCCTCTCTGGGCTGGCCAAGGCCAGAGCCAGCTCCCTCTGCTTGCAGAGAGGTGTGGAGGGAGAGGCGCTGGCGGGAATCGGGGCTGCGTGTGGCGCTCATGGGCCAGTGCGAGTTCCGGGTGGGCGCAGGCTCCGTGGGCCCTACACTTGGAGCAGCCGGCCGGAGCCACTGGCCGAGGGCAGTGAGGGGCTTAGCACCCAGGCCAGCAGCTGCTGGGTGCCCCAGCACTGCCGGCCCGCCCGCACCATGCCCAAATTCTCGCCGGGCCTCAGCCGCCTCCCACTGGGGCAGGGCTCGGGACCTGCAGCCCACCATGCCTGAGCTCCCCCCTATGCCATGTGAGCTCCCGTGCGGGCAGAGCCTCCCTGAGGGGCACCGCGCCCTGCCGTCCCATTGACTGCCCAAGGGCTGAGGAGTGCAGGCATGCGGCGTGGGACTTGCAGCAGCTCTGCCCCTGCCCCGCTGGCTGGATCCACTAAGCAAAGCCAGCTGGGCTCCTGAGTTGGTGGGGTCTTGAAGAAGTTTTATGTCAAGCTGGAGGATTGTAAATGCACCAATCAGCACTCTGTGTCTAGCAAAAGGTTTTTAAATGCACCAATCAGTGCTCTGTGTCTAATTAATCTAGTGGGGACTTGGAGAACTTTTATGTCTAGCTAGAGGATTGTAAATACACCAGTCAGCACTCTGTGTCTAGCTCAGGGATTGTAAACACACCAATCAGCACCCTGTCAAAATGGACCAATCAGCTCTCTGTAAAATGGACCAATCAGCAGGATGTGGGTGGGGCCAGATAAGGGAATAAAAGCAGACTGCCCCAGCCAGCAGCAGCAATCCACTCGGGTCCCCTCCCCTGCCGTGGAAGCTTTGTCTCTAACTCTTCACAATAAATTTTTCTGCTGCTCACTCTTTGGGTCTGTGCCACGTTTATGAGCTGTAACACTCACTGCAAAGGCCTGCAGCTTCACTCCTGAAGCCAGCGAGACCATGAACCCATGGGAAGAAACGAACAACTCCAGATGCGCTGCCTTTAAGAGTTGTAACACTCACTGTGAAGGTCTGCAGGTTCACTCCTGAAGTCAGCGAGACCACGAACCCACCAGAAGGAAGAAACTCCAGACACATCTGAACATCTGAAGGAACAAACTCCAGATACACCATCTTCAACTGTAGCACTCACTGCAAGGGTCCGCGGCTTCATTGTTGAAGTCAGCGAGACCAAGAACCCACCAATTCCGGACACAGTATGACTGCCACATCGCTCGCATATGCCATTTCCTCTGGCAGTTACTGGAAAAGTATCAGGCCTGATGTGACTGCCTCACAAACTCCCTCTGACACAGGGGAGAATTTTAGGCACATGGCTTCTCTGGAATGACAGTATATTAGTGTCCACATTATCCATTCAGTGGTCAGAGATTTCACTGATAATCTCCAAAATAAAATGAAGGAAGTGCATTTTAAAGATCACTCTTTTTGAGTCTGGATGAATGAATCAAGGGACCCCTGTCAAAAGTACAGAAGTTCCAAGAAGATTGCTGCTTCCAAAGCAATGAGCTCAGTTATGAACCCAATGAGTGTGAAATAGGCAGAACCCCCAAATTGGAGGATTTCAAGCAGTATTTGAAGATGAAGGAGTGAAGCCAGGACCAGGTATATAGACAGCTATTGAAATCTTGAAAATAGACACTCTCTGACAGGAATAGCAAAACAAGAACAACAGATGGTCAATGATTGGCTACACTTAAATAAAAAGAATCAGTGAAGGATACAGAAAGAACAACCCGAAAGACAACCAGAGGAGATCAGTGTCAAACGAAGTCAGAGGGAAAGCCAATTCATGTAGGAAAGAGTAAACATCCAGCTCAAATATTAGAAGAAGGCTGAAGATGAAGGCAAACTGAAAAATTATCACCAGCAACTCTGGAGAATCATACTCTAAAAAGCATCTGAAGATTTTTAAAGAAATGAGGTTTATCACATTCCCATCTTCTGAACTGATTTTCTTTGTTGTTGCTATTGTTCTTTTTTTTTTTTTTTTTTGAGATGGAGTTTTGCTGTTGTCACCCAGGCTGGAGTGCAGAGGTGTGATCTCGGCTCACTGCAACCTCCGCCTCCCAGGTTCAAGTGATTGTCCTGCCTCCACCTCCTGAGTAGCTGGGATTACAGACCCTCACCACCACGCCCAGCTAATTTTTGTATTTTTAATAGAGACAGGGTTTCACCATGTTAGTCAGGCTGGTCTCGAGCTCCTGACCTTGTGATCCACCCGCCTCGGCCTTCCAAGATGCTGGGATTAGAGGCGTGAGCCACCTCACCCAGCCAGCTTTTTCTCTTTTTTTAAGATGAGGTCTCGCTCTGTCACCCAGGTTGGAGTGTAGTGGCGCAATCTCGGCTCACTGCAACCTCTGCCTCCTGGGTTAAAACAACCCTCCTGCCTCAGCCTCCCGAGTAGCTGGGATTTCAAGCATGTGCCACCACACCCGGCTAATTTTTTTTTTTTTTCTTGTTTAGACAGAGTTTCACTCTTGTCATCCAGGCTGGAGTGCAGTGGCACCATCTTGGCTCACTGCAACCTCCGCCTCCCAGGTTCAAGTGATTCTCCTGCCTCAAACTCCCTAAGTAGCTGGGATTCAAGGTGCCCACCACCACATCCAGCTAATTTTTTTTTTTTGTATTTTTAGTTGAGACGGGGTTTCACCATGTTGGCCAGCCTGGTCTTGAACTCCTGACCTCAGGTGATCCCCCCACCTTGGCCTCCCAAAGTGCTAGGATTACAGGTGTGAGCCACTGTGCCCGGCCATACACCCGGCTACGTTTTGTACTTAGTAGAGATTGGGTTTCACCATGTTGGTGAACAAGCTGGTCTCAAGCTCCTGACCTCAAATGATCTGCCCACATTGTCCACTGAAAGGGCTGGGATTATAGGCATGAGCCACCACACCTGGTCTTCTGAACTGATTTTCTTTGCCATCTGATCAGGAATCATTTTGAACAAAGGTAGTAAAATAATCAACAGGTAACAAAATATAGAGTATCACATAAACAACTGAATAAGCTTCTAAGAGAAATTCAACTCCCACTGAAATTCCAAACCTATGCATTCATTCAACAAATATTTTTTTGAGGGTGCACTGTGTGCCAGGGACTGGCCTGGCCAATGGGCACACACAATGGGCACAGTGTGGTAAGTTAGACTTGAAACTTAATACTACACCATTTATATACTACCAAAAAGAGACGGGAACCTATGCATCGTTCTACATTGGTATTTGAGGACCATGTGTACAAATTACACAGGCAACTTTTTGAAAACAAATGTAAATCTATTTATTATTTCAATAATTATGTGAATTGCTCATGGAAGATTCAGATTTGTTGTTTATTCAGATACAAAGTGGGTAGGCAAAGGTATGTGCAGTGGCGCATGCCTAGAGTTCCAGCTACTCTGGAGGCTAAGGTGGAAGTATCACTTGAGCCCAGGAATTTGAGTCCAACCTGGGCAACATACTGAGATGCCCTCTCCAAAAAAAAAAAAAGCAAACAAAACACTCAAAAGTAGGCACTTTTGAAGTTTTAGTCGCAATGGACAATGTCTTAAACATTGTTTTCTTAATCTAATCTATATAAATCTTATGAAATCATCAATTCCTTAAACACTGTTTTCTTAATCTTTTGTGCATAAACCTTATGGAAAATTATTAAATTAAAATTATTAAAATTATTAAATTAATGGGGATTGAGTAGACTAGGAAAGCAATACAAAGGGAAAAAAAGAAGACAGCTTGGCCAACATGATGAAACCATCTCTATTAAAAATACAAAAATTAGCCAGGTGATGGCCGTTCACACCTGTAATGCCAGCTACTTGGGAGGCTGAGACAGGAGAATCACTTAAGCCTGGGAGGCGGAGGTTGCAGTGAGCTGAGATCGCACCACTACACTCCAGCCTGGGTGACAAAGTGAGACCCTGTCTCAAAAAAAAAAAAAAAAAAGAAAAAAGAAGAATGAATTCCTGCAGAGCCCTGAGATTGTAAGAGCATGACAAACCTTAGGCCTATGTCACAGTGTGTAGGATTTATAAGGGGAATTATCCCATGTAAACTAGAGTTATGGGAAAGCAGTGTACAGACTAAGTTCTATGCAAAATTAATGACCTTAACATTTACGCTGACAGTCTGTAGCATTAGAAAGTAAATTGCGGCTGGCGCGGTGGCTCACACCTATAATCCCAGCACTTTGGGAGGCCAAGGCAGGCAGATCACAAGGTCAGGAGATGGAGACCATCCTGGCTAACACGGTGAAACCCTGTCTCTACTAAAAATACAAAAAATTAGCCGGGTGTGGTGGCGGTTGCATGTAGTCCCAGCTACTCAGGAGGCTGAGGCAGGAGAATGGCATGAACCCGGGAGGTGGAGCTTGCAGTGAGCCGAGATGGCGCCACTGCACTCCAGCCTAGGCAACAGAGCGAGACTCCATCTCAAAAAAAAATGAAAGTAAATTGCTTTCTGGACACATGGTATTTGGTAAATAAGTTCAACCTTATACCAGGTTCAAGACGCAAGGATACAAATAGACTGCATTTCAAAAGTTTGGATAATTCAGTTTGGTGTTAGAACACAACTTATTGGGGAAGCAATCTAGTAAGTCCTCAGTATTTAACTAGAATAACAGTTGAGGGAATTTACATTTATGTATATGGTCCCTTATAGGTATTTTCATTTCATTCTTACCATCATCTACCACTGCATTTTACACAAGAGGAAACTGAGGCCCAGAGAATAAAAGTGACTTGCTCAGGGTCAGCCAGTAAGTAGCAGAACAGAGGTCAAACTATCATTTTCTCAGTGCATCTAGACAAAATGTTTCTCAAAATGTGAACCAAGGGTCACCTATATGAGACTCAACAGTGATAGGTAAAACACACAATGGATAATTAATTTGGAAACACCCAAATGAATATTCAAATGCAGATTCTTGGGCTCCATCTACTGAATCAGACTCTGAAGGCAGGACTCCAGGAATTTCCAATTTTACAAGCTCTCCAGGTGATTTCTATGAATGCCAAAGTTTGAGAACCATGAAAGGAGGTTAGGGAAAAGTTGCCATATGTAAGAAATTTACAAAAAGTTTTCATTGGTTTAGTCAGCCATTTTAAAAACAGGATGATGATAATTAATTGCGAGTAATCTCTAACGAGTACAATTTAAGATAGTATATAAGGTGTATTATTTAATTCTTACCCCTTGCTGGCTTCAGCAATTTTTGCAGGAAACTTTCTCTGAGGTCCACTATTCCAAGCTGTTATTCCCAATTTCCATTCTCCTACTCCTGAACCCACAAACTCTCTCAAATGAGTAACTGGGTTTTCTGTCATTGTTATGCCTTTCAGAACTCCTATTAGGGCTTTTCCACTGGCTCCCCTCACCCCCAGCACTGCACTGCTCAAGCTCAGGGCTCCTGCTAAGCTAGCCCCGCTGCCTCTCCCTTCAGCCGCAATTATGATTATTCACCAGGACCTCATCAGCCACGATGAGATGTTCTGCAACATTTACAAGATCCAGGAGATGGCTGTGCCTGGAGGTGGAGGAGAAGATGGTCACTAGGACAGAGAGTAGCATTGATGACTCCCTCATTGGTGGAAATGCCTCCACTGAAGGCCCAAAGGGCAAATGTACAGAAAGCACTGTAATCACTGGTGTTAAGATTGTCAAGAACCATCCCTTGAAAGAAAGCAGCTTTACAAAGGAAGCATAAAGAAGTACATCCAAGATTACATGCAATCAATCAAAGGCAAACTTGAAGAACAGAGACCAGGAAAGACTAAAACCTGTTACGACAGAGGCTGCAGAACAAATCAAGCACACCCTTGCTAATTTCAAAAACAATACCAGTTTTTATTAGTGAAAACCTGAACCTAGATGGCATGGTTGCTCTATTGGACTACCATGAGACTGGTGTTACTACAGGAGGTAGCTAGTTAGGCATGAGCAGGGAAGAAGAGGGCTCCACCCACCCCCACCAGGAATGTCAGGCAACCATCAGGTGATGGTCAGGCGGTTGTTAACTGTCTCTCTAAGATAATAATTGGTCATGGCCAGGCGTGGTGGCTCATGGCTGTAATTCCAGCACTTTGGGAGGCCGAGGCAGGAAGATCACCTGAGGTCAGGAGTTTGAGACCAGCCTTGTCAGGCCTCTGAGCCCAAGCTAAGCCATCATATCCCCTGTGACCTGCATGTACACATCCAGATGGCCGGTTCCTGCCTTAACTGATGACATTCCACCATAAAAGAAGTGAAAATGGCCTGTTCCTGCCTTAACTGATGACATTGTCTTGTGAAATTCCTTCTCCTGGCTCATCCTGGCTCAAAAGCTCCCCTACTGAGCATGTTGTGACCCCCACTCTGCCTGCCAGAGAACAACCCCCTTTGACTGTAATTTTCCTTTATCTACCCAAATCCTATAAAACGGCACCACCCTTATCTCCCTTCGCTGACTCTCTTTTTGGACTCAGCCCGCCTGCACCCAGGTGAAATAAACAGCCATGTTGCTCACACAAAGCCTGTTTGGTGGTCTCTTCACACCAACACAAGTGAAATTTGGTGCCGTGACTCGGATCGGGGGACCTCCCTTCAGAGATCAATCCCTTGTCCTCCTGCTCTTTGCTCCGTGAAAAAGATCCACCTACGACCTCAGGTCCTCAGACCCACCAGCCCAAGGAACATCTCACCAATTTTAAATCGGGTAAGCGGCCTCTTCTTACTCTCTTCTCCAACCTCTCTCATTATCCCTCAACCACTTTCTCCTTTCCACTCTTCAATCTCTCCCTTCTCTTAATTTCAATTCCTTTCATTTTCTGGTAGAGACAAAGGAGACACATTTTATCCATGGACCCAAAAACTCCAGCGCCGGTCACGGACTGGGAAGGCAGCCTTCCCTTGGTGTTTAATCATTGCAGGGACTCCTCTCTGATTATTCATCCACGTTTCAGAGGTATCAGACCACGCAGGGATGCCTGCCATGGTCCTTCACCCCTAGCGTCAAGTCCCGCTTTTCTAGGGGAGGGGCGAGTACCCCAACCCCTTCTCTCTGTGTCTCTACCCCTTCTCCACATTTCTGGGGGGCAAGAAACCCCCAACCCCTTCTCCTTCACCCTTAGCAGCAAGTCCTGCTTTTCTGGGGGAGGGGCAAGTACCCAACCTCGTATCTCTGCACCCCAATCCCTTATTTCCACACCCCAACCTCTTACATCTCTGTGCCCTGATCCCTTATTTCCATGCCCCGACCCCTTTCCTGCTTTTCTGGAGGGTAAGAACCCCTGAACCGCTTCCCTCCATGTCTCTACTCTCCCTTTTCTTTAAACTTGCCTCCTTCACTATAGGCAAACTTCCACCCTCCATTCCTCCTCCTTCTCCCTTAGCCTGTGTTCTTAAGAACATAAAACCTCTTCAACTCTCACCTGACCTAAAACCTAAATGCCTTATTTTCTTCTACAATGCCGCTTGACCCCAATACAAACCGGACAGTGGTTGTAAATGGCCAGAAAACGGCATTTTCGATTTCTCCATCCTATAAGACCTAAATAATTTTTGTCAAAAAATAGGTAAGTGGTCTGAGGTGCCTGATGTCCAGGCATTCTTTTACACATCGGTCCCTCCCTAGTCTCTGTGCCCAATGCAACTCGTCCCAAATCTTCCTTCTTTCCCTCCTACCTGTCCCCTCAGTACCAACCCCAAGTGTCGCTGAGTCTTTCTAATCTTCCTTTTCTACAGACCCATCTGTCCTCTCCGCCTCCTCCCCAGGCTGCTCTTCGCCAGGCCAAGCTAGGTCCCAATTCTTCCTCAGCCTCTGCTCCTCCACCCTGTAATATTTTTATCACCTCCCCTCCTCACACCCAGTCCAGTTTACAGTTTCATTCCGTGAGTAGCCCTCCCCCACCTGCCCAGCAATTTCCTCTTAAAAAGGTAGCTGAAGCTAAAGGCATAGTCAAGGTTAATGCTTCTTTTTCTTTATCAGACCTCTCCCAAATCAGTGAGCATTTAGGCTCTTTCACCAAATATGAAAAACCCAGCCCAGTTCATGGCTCATTTGGCAGCAACCCTGAGACACTTTACAGCCCTAGACCCTAAAAGGTCAAAAGCCCGTCTTATTCTCAATATACATTTTATTACCCAATCTGCTCCCAACGTTAAATAAATCTCCAAAAATTAAATTCCAGCCCTCAAACCCCACAATAGGACTTAATTAACCTCAACTTCAAGGTGTACAATAATACACTAGAGTCAGCCAAGTAGCAACATGTTTCTGAGTTGCAATTCTTTGCCTCCACTGTGAGACAAACCCCAGCCACATCTCCAGCACACAAGAACTCCAGACGCCTGAACCGCAGCTGCCAGGGGTTCCTCCAGAACCTCCTCCCCCAGGAGCTTGCTACAAGTGCCGGAAATCTGGCCCCTGGGCCAAGGAATGCCCACAGCCCGGGATTCCTCCTAAGCCATGTCCCATCTGTGCAGGACCCCACTGAAAACTGGACTGTTCAACTCATCTGGCAGCCACTTCCAGAGCCCCTAGAACTCTGGCCCAAGGCTCTCTGACTGACTCCTTCCCAGATCTTCTCAGCTTAGCAGCTGAAGACTGACACTGCCCAATAGCCTCAGAAGCCTACAGGACCATCACAGATGCTCTAGGTAACTCTCACAGCGGAGGGTAAGTCCATCCCCTTCTTAATCAATATGGAGGCTACTCACTCCACAATTGCCTTATTTTCAAGGGCCTGTTTCCCTTGCTTCCATAACTGCTGTGTGTATTGAGGGCTAGGCTTCTAAACCTCTTAAAACTCCCCAACTCTAGTGCCAACTTAGACAATACTCTTTTAAGCACTCCTTTTTAGTTATCCCCACCTGCCTAGTTCCCTTATTAGGTCGAGATATTTTAACCAAATTATCTGCTCCCCTGACTATTCCTGGAGTACAGCTGCATCTCATTGCTGCCCTTCTCCCCAACCCAATGCCTCCTTTGCGTCTTCCTCTCATACCCCCCTACCTTAACCCACAAGTATGGGACATCGCTACTCCTTCCCTGGCAACCGGTCACATGCCCATTACCATCCCATTAAAACCTAACCACCCTTACCCCACTCAACGCCAATATCCCATCCCACAGCACAATTTAAAAGGCTTGAAGCCTGTTATCACTCACCTGCTATAGCATGGGCTTCTAAAACCTATAAACTCTCCTTACAATTCCCCCATTTTACCTGTCCTAAAACCAGACAAGCCTTACAAGTTAGTTCAGGATCTGCACCTTATCAACCAAATTGTTTTGCCTATCCACCCTGTAGTGCCCAACCCGTACACTCTTTTGTCCTCAATACCTTCCTCCACAACTAACTGTTCCGTTCTTGATCTTAAAGATGCTTTTTTCACTATTCCCCTGCACCTCTCATCCCAGCCTCTCTTTGCTTTCACCTGGACTGACCCTGACACACATCAGTCCCAGCAGCTTACCTGGGCTGTGCTGCCACAAGGTTTCAGGGACAGCCCTCATTACTTCAGCCAAGCTCTTTCTCATGATTTACTTTCTTTCCACTCCTCCGCTTCTCACCTTATTCAATATATTAATGACCTTCTTCTTTGTAGCCCCTCCTTTGAATCTTCTCAACAACACACCCTCCTGCTCCTTCAGCATTTATCCTCCAAAGGATATCGGGTTCCCCCTCCAAAGCTCAAATTTCTTCTCCATTTGTTACCTACCTCGGCATAATTCTTCATAAAAACACACATGGTCTCCCTGCCGATCGTGTCCCACTAAACTCTCAAACCCCAACCCCTTCTACAAAACAATAACTCCTTTCCTCCCTGGGCGTGGTTAGATACTTTCGCCTTTGGATCCCTGGTTTTGCCATCCTAACAAGACCATTATATAAACTCACAAAAGGAAACCTAGCTGACCCCATAGATCCTAAATCCTTTCCCCACTCCTCTTTCCATTCCTTGAAGACAGCTTTAGAGACTGCCCCCACTCTAGCTCTCCCTGACTCATCCCAACCCTTTTCATTACACACAGCTGAAGTGCAGGGCTGTGCAGTCAGAATTCTTACACAAGGACCAGGATCGCATCCTGTAGCCTTTTTGTCCAAACAACTTGACCTTCCTGTTTTAAGCTGGCCATTATGTCTCTGTGCCGTGGCTGCTGCCGCCGTAATACTTTTAGAGGCCCTTAAAATCACAAACTATGCTCAACTCACTCTCTACAGCTCTTATAATTTCCAAAATTTATTTTCTTCCTCACACCTGACACATATACTTTCTGCTCCCCGGCTCCTTCAGCTGTACTCACTCTTCGTTGAGTCTCCCACAATTACCATCGTTCCTGGCCCGACTTCAATCCAGCCTCCCACATTATTCCTGATACCACACCTGACCCCCATGACTGTCTTTCTCTGATCCATCTGACATTCACCCCATTTCCCCATATTTCCTTATTTCCTGTTCCTCACCCTGATCACGCTTGATTTATTGGTGGCGGTTCCACCAGACCTAATCGCCACACACCAGCAAAGGCAGGCTATGCTATAGTACAAGCCACTAGCCCGCCTCTCAGAACCTCTCATTTCCTTTCCATCGTGGAAATCTATCCTCAAGGAAATAACTTCTCAGTGTTCCATCTGCTAT
The DNA here is from genome assembly GCF_000001405.40 of Homo sapiens. Classification (NCBI taxonomy): domain Eukaryota; kingdom Metazoa; phylum Chordata; class Mammalia; order Primates; family Hominidae; genus Homo; species Homo sapiens. The sequence continues at coordinate 208,217,453 of NC_000002.12, read as the reverse complement.
TCTACTATTCCTCAGGGATTATTCAGGCCCCCTCCCTTCCCTACACTTCAAGCTCGAGGATTTGCCCCCACCCAGGACTGGCAAATTAGCTTTACTCAACATGCCCCAAGTCGGATAACTAAAATACCTCTTAGTCTAGGTAGACACTTTCACTAGATAAGTAGAGGCCTTTCCTACAGGGTCTGAGAAGGCCACCGCAGTCATTTCTTCCCTTCTGTCAGATATAATTCCTCAGTTTAGCCTTCCCACCTCTATACAGTCTGATAACAGACCAGCCTTTATTGGTCAAATCAGCCAAGCATTTTTTCAGGCTCTTAGTATTCAGTGACAGACTAATGGTCTATTAAAAACACACCTCATCAAGCTCAGCCACCAACTTAAAAAGGACTGGACAATACTTTTACCACTTTCGCTTCTCAGAATTCAGGCCTGTCCTCGGAATGCTACAAGGTACAGCCCATTTAAGCTCCTGTATAGATGCTCCTTTTTATTAGGCCCCAGTCTCATTCTAAACACCAGACCAACTTAGACTGTGCCCCAAAAAACTTGTCATCCCTACTATCTTCTGTCTAGTCATACTCCTATTCACCGTTCTCAACTACTCATACATGCCCTGCTCTTGTTTACACTGCCAGTTTACACTGTTTCTCCAAGCCATCACAGCTGATATCTCCTGGTGCTATCCCTAGACTGCCACTCTTAACTCTTGAAGTAAATAAATAATCTTTGCTGACAGGACTATGCTGAATCTCCTTAGGCACTCTAATCAGATGTCCTAGGTCCTCCCAATTCTTACACCTTTAATACCTGTTTTTCTCCTTCTCTTATTCCATTTAGTTTTTCAATTCATACAAAACCGTATCCAGGCCATCACCAATAATTCTAAATGACAAATGTTTCTTCTAACAGTCCCATGATATCACCCCTTACCACAAAATCTTCCTTCAGCTTAATCTGTCCCACTCTAGGTTCCCACGCCGCCCCTAATCCCGCTTGAAGCAGCCCTGAGAAACATCGTCCATTATCTCTCCATACCACCCCCCAAAATTTTCACCATCCCAACACTTTACCACTATTTCGTTTTATTTTTCTTATTAATATAAGAAGACAGGAATGTCAGGCCTCTGAGCCCAAGCTAAGCCATCATATCCCCTGTGACCGCCACGTACATATCCAGATGGCCAGTTCCTGCCTTAACTGATGACATTCCACCATAAAAGAAGTGAAAATGGCCTGTTCCTGCCTTAACTGATGACATTGTCTTGTGAAATTCCTTCTCCTGGCTCATCCTGGCTCAAAAGCTCTCCTACTGAGCACCTTGTGACCCCCACTCTGCCCGCCAGAGAACAACCCCGTTTGACTGTAGTTTTCCTTTATCTACCCAAATCCTATAAAACGGCCCCACCCTTATCTCCCTTCCCTTCGCTGACTCTCTTTTTGGACTCAGCCCTCCTGCACCCAGGTGAAATAAACAGCCATGTTGCTCACACAAAGCCTTTTTGGTGGTCTCTTCACACGGACGCGCATGAAAAGCCTACAAGGTGAAACCCTGTCTCTACTAAAAATACAAAAAAATTAACCAGCTGTGGTTATTTAAACTAAGGTAAGAGAATCACTTGAAACCAGGAGGCGGAAGTTGCAGTGAGCCTAGATTGCGCCAGTACACTCCAACCTGGGAGACAGAGCGGGACCCTGTCTCAAAATAATAATAATAATAATAATAATAATAATAATAATAATAATAATAATTGGTCGCAGCCAGCTCCAGGGAAAGGCAGTCTCCCAATAGATAGAAAAAAACCTGAAACTGATGATAAGGAGCTTCCCAATAAGATCTCAGGAATTGAGTGAGTGGGTTCAAGCTTGCACACTAAGAGGCAAAATGGCGGAATTTAACTGGTATATAACCACCTAGGAAGATTCAGCTGGTAAGGGAAGAATGCCTCAAGTGAGCATGCGTACAAGTCCAGTAAACACACTACACATGCTCCCCTCCCAAGATCCAGCAGGCCACCGTGCATGCGGACAGCCCACCCAAGGGAAGAATCCAGGGAGAAGGGATGCAAGACCCCAGAAGCATGCCAACATATAAAACCCCAAGTCAAAGGTCAAACAGTGCAGTTGATCTCTCAAGTTGCCCACTTAGCCCTCTTCCAAGTGTACTTTACTTCCTTTCATTCCTGCTCTAAAGCTTTTTAATAGACTTTCACTCCTGCTCTAACTCTTGCCTCGGCCTCCTTGATCAAATTCTTTCTTCTGAGAAGGCGAGAATTGAGGTTGCTGCAAACACGTTCGGATTTGCCACTGGTAACAGTGTGACCCCAGATATAATTTTCTTTCTTTTTTTTTTTTTATACTTTTCAAAACCTTTTGACTCAATTGTTATTTTGTTTAGTCTACTTATGTATTTTTTTTGAGACAGGGTCTCCCTCTGCCACCCAGGCTGGAATGCAGTGGCAATCTCAGCTCACTGCAACCTCCACCTTCCAGGCTCAAGTGATCCTCTTTCCTCAGCCTCCCAAGTAGCTGGAACTACAGGCACATGCCACCAAGCCCGACTAATTTTTGTATTTTTTGTGGAGATGAGGTTTTGCTGTGTTACCCAGACTGGTCTCGAATTCCTGAGCTTAAGCGATCTGTCTGCCTTGGCCTGTCTGCTGGGATTATAGGTGTGAGCCACCGTGCCCAGTGATTGCTTTTAAGGTTGGTTTAGAAGTGGAAAAATGTTAACAAATTTGGCAATTACTTTGGATCTCTCACCTGTTGTCATAACTGGCTTCTGCTTGTCATCCACCTAACACCAGGACTTCACACAAGTGGGATTGATATCATCTTGAGCTCTTCATTTATTTTGACCATAATTTATTTGGAGTGGAGACATTGTCTTTAAGAAAAATATGTCAGGTAGGTTGTCTAAAAATTAAATGCATTTAAACTCATTTGAGAGAATGCCTTTTAGTTTAAAACATATTTAAACTAAGTCCATCTTGTAATGTTCCTGGAGAAGCTAAGCCTGATTGTAAGCCACTACTAGAAAGAATAAGACTGTCATCAGATAACTTCTACAGTGGAAACTACTTCTGAGACTGGAATATAAAAAGCAAGAATCAGGCTGGACCTGCTGGCTCATGCCTGTAATCCTGGCACTTTGGCAGGCTGAGGCAGGAGGATTGCTTCAGCTTAGGAGTTTGAGACCAACCTGGGCAACATAGTGAGACCTCATCTCTAAAAACAGATATATATAATTTAAAAACCCCCAAGAATCAAAAGTGTTAACTCTGAATTGCAGTAAAGGGAAAGACCATGCTCGTAGCAATGCCAGCATCTGAAGTGGAGCCTTATACATTTCATCACTTATAATGGAAGTAGTTAACTCTGAAAGAGACTACCAAGAGAGTAAAAAGAGACTAACTTAGCTGGGACAGAAAGAAAACAAACCTTCAGTAGGGGGATCAGGAGAGTGGCAAGGTCACCTGTGGCTCTTTGTAAAACACAGTTATTTGTTAAGTCAGGAGTTCTTGGTTCCGTAGCTGCCAGAACATTTGCCCTACTTCTCAGGCATTTCTACAATATTTTCCCCACAATCTCCTGGCTGAAATGCACATTTGCATTCCAAGTCACTTTGAATGGGAAAACCTTAATGAAAAAGGCCATTAATCACAGATACATCATGAAATATACTACAACAACATTGTCACAGCTGCAGCAGGAAGTTGTGGTGAGCCTTCCTGGTTATTGTTTAATTTTTTTGTGATAAATAAACAGAGTTCAAATTGATAACGAAGAAACTGTTTGATCATCTCTGTGTGTGTGTGTGTGTGTGTGTGTGTGTGTGTGTCTAGACCTCTTCTTTCCCCAGCATCCCTCTCTAATTCCCCTCCCATTCAACACATCAGTTTTCTCTCTCATTCATTTTGTTTATTTATTTATTAATTTGTATTGTTAGCAGACACGGAGTTTCACCATGTTGGTCAGGCTGGTCTTGAACTCCTGACCTCAAGTGATCTGCCTGCCTCGGCCTCCCAAAGTGCTGAGATTACAGGCGTGAGCCACCGTGCCCGGCCTCTCTCATTTATTTCTGTCCAGGGATTAAATATTACTGACAAGATGAACTAGGCTGAGTCAGCTATAGTGAATCCAGATTCTAAGGTAACCTCAAAAAACAAGCAGATCAGGGCAAGGACTGGAATCTAAGGTTTAATGATTTGGTATTTTCCAAAGTCTGAAGTTCTAGGTACCTAGATGCTACCTAAGGATTTCTGTTGCAACTATGCATTGCTGCCCTGCCAGACAGCTGCAGTCAGCATCTTTGGGCTGACTTGGTTTCTGACCGCCCCCCTTGGTTTCAGGCCAGGCACTAACCCTTGAGGAAAATTCAGACTCCCTGAAGGTGGTCTCACAACCCCGCACTCCTAATCAATTCTGCCTCCCCTTCTGCCTAATCTTTCTTCCAAATTGTCTGCTGCCCTTATCCATTAGGACATTGACAGTAACCATGCTTTCAGGAGGCAAGAGTATGGTGGGAATTTCTTTCTTTCTTTTTTCTTTCTTTCTCTTTTTTTTTTTTTTTTTTTTTTTTGAGATGGAGTCTCCCTCTTGTTTCCCAAGCTGGAGTGCAATGGCGCAATCTCAGCTAACCACAACCTCTGGCTCCCAGGTTCAAGTGATTCTCCTGCCTCAGCCTCCCGAGTAGCTGGGATTACAGGGATGCACCACCACGCCCAGCTAATTTTGTATTTTTAGTAGAGATGGGGTTTCTCTATATTGGTCAGGCTGGTCTCGAACTCCGACCTCAGGTGATCCACCTGCCTCAGCCTCCCAAAGTGCTAGGATTACAGGTGTGAGCCACCGCACCCGGCCGTTGGGAATTATAGGGTATTATTATTATAGAGTATAGGGTAATTATTGTTTTTATAACCTGCTTCACATAATTTTTTTCAATAAATGATGTAGTGAAAGGGGGTCCTTAAAGATACTTTGATTTAGCATACTTTGTGCTCAAATTGGAAAAAAACAAAGCAGCAAGGCCTTTTATAAAGCTGTGTATTATAATAATGTACTTCCAAAATAGCTCAAGTGTTGTTCACACAATAGATATTTTCCATGAAAGAATGTTTTTTGACCCATGGGGGCAGATTAGCACCCACAAATACCTTTGGGTCTGAAGGCTTTTATCCATATAGAAGAAAAAAGTTACTTTCTCTGGAGTCGAAGTTTCAGTGGGGGGACAACTTAACAGAACCATCACTTACTTCTATTTAGAATGTATGTTTACGCCACAGGCAAATCAGAGAATAGAAGTAATCTCAGGACGTGCCCAAGATAGAAGCCATTCTATTGCCAAGTTCCAGTGGCTTAGGCTCAGTCTCTGGGGATAAGAGGCAAAAAGTCATTCAGTGTCGTTTTGGAATCGATCCCATCTATGTGCGCTAGTTCATATCTTTTTTCTCTCTTTTTTTTTTTTTTTTTTTTTTTTTTTTGACGCGGAGTCTCGCTCTGTCGCCTAGGCTAGAGTGCAGTGGCGAGATCTCACTGCAAGCTCTGCCTCCTGGGTTCACGCCATTCTCCTGCCTCAGCCTCCCAAGTAGCTGGGACTACAGGTGCCCGCCACCACACCCGGCTAAATTTTGTATTTTTAGTAGAGACGGGGTTTCACCATGTTAGCCGGGATGGTCTGGATCTCCTGACCTCGTGATCTGACTGCCTAGGCCTCCCAAAGTGCTGGGATTACAGGCGTGAGCCACTGCACCCAGCCTCTTTTTTGCCCTTTTATTATAGTTTGGATGCACAATAATGATAATTGTAGCTAACATTTGTTTACCTCATATAAGCACTGTCCTAGATTTTTTACTTGATTACTTGTTCTATGCTTGCAATAACCTTGTGGTGTAGGTACTCTGTTTCATAAAAAAAGAAACTGAGGCACAGACTGGCCCAGGTCACATTGATGGTATTCTGGTCATCTTTGGTAGCATAATAAATTATCTCAAAACTTAGTGGCTTAAGTTACTTCTTACGGTTCTGGAAGCTGACTGGGCTCACCTAGGCGATTCTCGCTTAGTGAGGCTCACTTGGGGGCTTCCACGGAGTTATGGTGGATGGTGGCTGTGGCTGGCATCATTTGAATGTTTCCTCCCACATGTGTCTATTGGCTGGGACTCCAGATAGCGCTGTCATCCAGAGTCCTGCACATGGCCTCTCCATGTGACCTGGACTTCCCTATAGCATCGAAGCTGGGCTTCAAAAGCAAGCATTTCAGGTAAAAGTGGTATTGCCTTTTGTTAAAAAAGAAAAAAACTTTCTTATTTTGAATTAATTACAAACTAACAGGAAGCTGCAAATAGAGTAAGAGAGTCTAATGAATGTTTTATTCAGCTTCCTCCAATGGTGAGATCTTCTATAACTGTAGAACAGTATCAGGACCAGGAAATGGACATTTGCACAAAACTGTTAACTAGGCTACAGAACTTATTCTGTTTTGCCAGTTTTTACACGCACTCATTTGTATGTGCATGTGTGGAGCCCACAGTGCTCTCTCTTTGTAGTCACATTCGCTCCTTCCCACCCTCACACCTGTCCCCTGGCAACCATCTGTCTCATTTTGTCATTTCCAGAATGTTACATAATGAAACCATACAGTATGCGATCTTTTGAGATTGGCTTTTTTCACTAAGCACATTGAGATCCATCCAACTATACATGTATCAATAGTTTGTTCCTTTTATTGTTGACTAATATTTTATATATTGCCTTTTAAGACCTAGCCTGGAAAGTCACACACTTTCACTTCTACTATAATTACTGGCTTGTCCAGATTCAAGGAGAGGGGACGAACCCCCTGCCCAACCTTGATGAGAGTAGTGCCAATGTCACTTTTTAAGAAGAGCCTGAGGAGAACTGTTGTGTCATCTCAGAAAATATAATCTGCCACAGATGGAAAGTGGTAAAGATGAGATTCTATTGTCTCTACTAAAAATACAAAAAATTAGCTGGGCATGGTGGTGGGTGCCTGTAATCCCAGCTACTTGGGAGGCTGAGGCAGGAGAATTGCTTGAACCCAGGAGGCGGAAGTTGCAGTGAGCCGAGGTCGCACCATTGCTCTCCAGCCTGGGCGACAGAGTGAGACTCTGTCTCTAAATAAATAAATAAATAAATTGAAAAACAACACCTGAAATTGGAGGTTGCATGGAGAAATAAAAATTGCATATTTAAATGATTTTGAAATTACATACATTTTATGTTTATGCTTGCAAAAGAACATATGGAAAACATAATGAGAATAAGTAACAGACCACCTTTTTCAACGCCAACATAGATAATGTATTTTCTATATCACACCTATACATTTTCTACATTAGAATAGTTCCAAAGGTCTATAGCGTGCTCGTCGAAGTAAAATTACACTCATAATGAAAACTGTTTTGTTGATAATCATTTATCTGTTGATCCAAATAAAGAATTTCATATTAATAAAAAGAACCAGAAAATTAATATTGCTCATCATTATTATTGAAACTCTATTATAAACTCTGTCCCCAGCCTTCTGTGGCAGAGGTAACACTTAAATATGAAGCCTAACTCAGAAGTCTTAGTATGTTTCTGAAACCTTCTATCTAGTCTACTTACAGCTAACAGTTAAACTAGATCCTGAGCAGGAAGGGGAGAGGGAAGTGCCTAGTGACTAATGATCTAACTGAAGTGACAAAATAAGACTCTTCTTTCTGACACCATGATTCTGAGATTAATTTCATGAAATGTTCCATGGAGTTGGTGAAGGAGGTGTGTGCTCTGCTTGCAGGGCTCCGTACACAACTATTAATAAGATTGTGCTGGGCGCAGTGGCTCACGCCTGTAATCCCAGCACTTTGGGAAGCAGAGACGGGCAGATCACGAGGTCAAGAGATAGAGACCATCCTGGCCAACATGGTGAAACCGTGTCTCTACCAAAAATACAAAAATTAGCCTGGCATGGTGGTGGGCACCTGTAGTCCCAGCTACTTGGGAGGCTGAGGCAGGAGAATGGCGTGAACCCGGGAGGTGGAGGTTGCAGTGAGCCAAGATCGCGCGACTGCACTCCAGCCTGGCGACAGAGCGAGACTATCTCGAAAAAAAAAAAAAGATTGTGATTCTCAACTAAAAGTACAGAGTAAAGAGAGCATGGCAGCAGTGAAAGAGAGGTGAGATGTATTGTTTGATAACAACATATTCTATGTTATATTGTAATTTTATTTGGGGGAGCACTGTAAAAACCTTATTTCCATAATGTAAATATTTTTTAAAAATAAGATGGTTGAGTTTACCAAGATGGAAGATGTTATAAAAAGTTATGAGAGCACTGAGGTCAACCTAATTTATTTCACTGCTCAGATCCTTTTAGAGCCTTTCTTCAACTTTTTTTTTTTAAGAAATTGATGTTTATTTTCCATCAGCCTTATTTCCATGTTGCTTAAGAGCCTGTGGAAGAACAGTTTAAGATCACTCAGTGGTTGTTCCTACCCGTTCACTGGCCTGAGCACGGGAGCTGCAGACCAGTTTCAGCGGCAGGCTGAGTGCTCCAGTCTTCAGTGGGGACCTGCTGAATAGGCCCAGAGGGCACCTGCGCAACTTCAGGCCAGTCTGCAACCTCAGGCTCAGTAGCAGCGAACTCAGGAGTTGGAGCAGTCCATTCACCCTGAAATTCCTCCTGGGTCTCAGCTTTTCCAGCTGTGGCCTGCTCTTCTTTTTCAATCTCTCCAGGATCTCTAGAAAGAGAGATCAGGCATGACCTCCTATGGGTGTTCATGGGAGAAAGTGCTACGTGTGCAAAGAAATTCCCAGGCCAGCGTCCACCACTTTGGAACCACTAGCAAGCTCTCTTGTTGTTGTATGGGATGGCCATGTCCACACAGTGCAGAGGACACAAGGCAATGGTGGGCAGGTTAACACAAGATGCCTTTGCGAGAGGCTGGTGGTCAGCCCTGGAATCAGTAACCATCAGCAGACACTCCCAAAAGGCTGACCGGATCTGGTGAGTGAAGGTTCTAGGAGTGAAGCTACCAGCAATAAGAGTGGCTCCCATGACAGCAGCAACCTTCAGCACAGCCCCCTGGCCAGTGTTCCTAGAGGACATGACATTGACCTCAGAGGGGTTTTCAATGGCACGAGCTGCCAGCAGAAACTTCTCCCGGGTCCTCTTCAGATTGATGATGGTCACTTTTCCTTTTGTAATGTACTGTTCCATTTGGAAGTCAAGGTTGGTGCCACCTTAGTGGGTTCCTGCTGCAAGAAATTTGAGGACATCCTTCTCTTTCATTTGCAGGACATAAAGGGCTCTGGACATTGTGAAAGTTTCCCTTTAAGTTATGACGAGAATAAGGAACAGCACCATATAGATCCCTCTTAGGTAGCATGGAAAAACTTCTATGTTATTTTTTATCAAGTACCGAGAACAGTGTGTTAAAGGGAATTATGGACACTTTCTCTCATTTGAGTCAAGCTGTATTGGGAAATATTGTTCTGAGTTTATGAAACGGGGCTGGCACTATTTCCTGGTTTCAAGGCTCATAAAACCTACCCTATTTTTATTTATTTTTTAGTTTTTTTTTTTTTTTTATCAATACTTGGAAGAAGTTAACAAGCTTGTACATATTCCACCTTCTTTCCCTGAATTCCAAGATATCTGTTTAAAGAGGGGGCAATAAGGGATTGGCAGATTCGTTGTGGAAGCTTTACACAGTGAAACGCTTGTCAGGCTTTAATTGTAATGGGATAGGAGTGTATTTGCAGACATGGAAAGATATTCATGATGTGTGGTTGACTGAAGAAAAGGTGGAGAAGGGGCTACAGAACAGCATAGTATTATTTTGGTTAAAATATTATGAATAACATCCATTGGCCGGGTGTGGTGGTTAATGCCTGTAATCCCAGCACTTTGGGAGGCTGAGGCAAGAGGATTGCTTGAGTCCAGGAGTTCAAGACCAGCCTGGCCAACATAGTGAGACCTTGCCTCTACAAAAAATAAATAAAATTAGCCGGGCGTGGTGGGACTTGCCTATAATCCCAGCTACTCAGGAGGGCTGAGGTGAGAGGATCGCTTGAGCCAAGGAAGTCGAAGGTGCAGTGAGCTGAGATTGCACCACTGCACTTCAACGTGGGTGACAGAGTCTTGCTGTGTCTCAAAAAAAAGTCATTTAATGAGTACTTTTGATGTGCCATGTATTTTTTTGTTTGCTTGTTTGTTTGTTTTGAGACGGAGTTTGGCTCTGTCGCCCAGGCTGGAGTGCAGTGGTGCCATCTCGGCTCACTGCAAGCTCCGCCTCCCAGGTTCACGCCATTCTTCTGCCTCAGCCTCCCGAGTAGCTGGGACTACAGGCGCCCGCCGCTACGCCCGGCTAATTTTTTGTATTTTTAGTAGAGACGGGGTTTCACCGTGTTAGCCAGGATGGTCTCATCTCCTGACCTTGTGATCCGGCCACCTCGGCCTCCCAAAGTGCTGGGATTACAGGCGTGAGCCACCGCGCCCGGCCTTTTTTTGGTCTTTCAAATGAGCTAGTTTATTTCCAGATGATACAGAATTCAGTCAGACTAAGACCAAAGAGCAAGCTCTGGCAGGATGCTGGGCTGGGCTGACTTTAAATTCACAGCTAAGGCTGAGGAAAAACAAAGATCCAATGAGGCACAGTATTTTTTATTTTTGTTTTTTATGAAAGATTATTTCTAAATGTACAACAAGCTTCAAGACAACACCTCATTCCAGCTATAGGTGGCAAAATGTGCTATGGCAGGGAATCCAAGTGTTTAACTAGGAATGGATCAAGGGCCACCCTTGCCTCAGGCACAAGGAGCAGCTTGCTTTGTGTCAGGATTCCTAACTCCACTGCGTCCAGAGGCCCTTCGCCACGGCCTCGCTTTCAGCATCTCCAGTTTCTGCTGCCCTCCTTGTGTGTCTGCTAGAGAGCCCCATCTTCCTCGTCCATCTCCTTGGCCTGCTTCTTGAGCTGTTTCAGGGGCTTCCATTTGCCACCTTCATGGCTGGATGTGGCACCTGCCACCCCTTTTCCAGACCCTGCCGCTGCAAACCTACGTACTGTTTTAAGTTGTACACATGAATAAACCCACGTAGTTTTTGTAACAGTTTCATGAGGCTGATACTATTAAGATTCTCCTTTTGCAAATGGGAAATTGACGCACAAAAAGGTTAAACAACTCGGGTCGCAAAGCCATTAGTAGCCAAGACAGGATTCCATAAGCCCTACTCTCCACCATCCATATAAATTTGGGATTGTAGGGGGCTAAGAGATAAAATCTACTTTTTCTTTTTGCTCAAATTTGGAGCCACTGAGAGCTAGACACAGAAACCAGGCAAAGAAAATGTCAATTTAATTACTGATGAAGCTGATATTGAAGGAATGGCTTGGATCTAGCGAAGCTCCCTTATTAATACCTGCTAATGCCCTTATTGGGGCTGTCTCACCCCTCAAGTCACTGCATTGCTATATACCACAGGCCTACCTCCCCCATAGGGCCTGATCCTGTCACAGAGGAGTAAACTGAAGGTACTTCCAAATTTATGAGCCAGGTAAGTCAGCAGGGGATGTGTCCTTCCAAGCTTCATGAATATGTATAGAAAGATGTCTGTAAAAATGAATAAATGGCCGTATGGATGAACACATGAAATAGGAGTGACAACCAACCAAGAAGAATTGTAATTATTTTGTATTACAACCCAAAAACAGTAATGTTTCCCAAGAAGATGACTTTGAATGATAATCAATTTTTGAAAGAAGAAAATGAGCTTAAATTAAATGAGCTTTAATCAAAGAGCTTAAATCAAATAATTTTCTGATACTTGTCATCAAGAATATAGCAATTAGGGGACTGGCATGGTGGCTCATGCCTGTAATTCCAACACTTTGGGAGGCCGAGGCTGGTGGATCACTTGAGATGAGGAGATTGGGACCAGCATGACCAACATGGTGAAACCCCGTCTCTACTAAAAATAAAAAAATTAGCTGGGCGTGGTGGCATGCGCCTGTCATCCCAGCTACTTGGGAGGCTGAGGCAGGAGAATTGCTTGAACCTGGGAGGCAGAGGTTGCAGTGAGCTGAGATCACGCCATTGCACTCCAGCCTGGGTGACAAGAGCAAAACTCCGTCTCAAAAAAAAAAAAAAAGAATATACCAATTAGGTATATTATGCCCAGAGTAGAGTGGACACAAAGGAATTTCACCATAGAGATTCTGCAAGTTATTTTTACTCACTGTTTCTGAGAATCCAGCCTTGCTGTCTTCATCTCTTCTGGTATGAACCCTTTTTTGCAGATTATCATGGAATAACTGATGAAATGAATGTTCATATCTCACAAAACACAGGATTTTGGAGGCAGCAAGGGCAATTAAAACTACCTCTCGGCCAGGCACAGTGGCTCACGCCTGTAATCCCAGCACTTTGGGAGGCCGAGGTGGGTGGATCACAAGATCAGAAGTTCGAGACCAGCCTGGCCAACATGGTGAAACCCTGTCTCTACTAAAAATATAAAAATTAGCCAGACATGGCGGTGCACACCTGTAATCCCAGCTACCTAGGAGGCTGAGGCAGGAGAATCGTTTGAACCTGGGAGGCGGAGGTTGCAGTGAGCTGAGATCGCACCATTGCACTCCAGCCTGGGCGACAGGGTGAGACTCCATCTTAAAAAAACAAATAAACAAACAAACAACTACCTCTCTCTAACAGCAATACAAAGATAACTTTTTCTGAGCTGGCACCAAATTTAAAAAGAACTATTTTATTCTTGCAGAAAAGCTCAGTAAAATTCAACTTCATGCTTCTAGATGTGGCTCTAGAGATGGGATCTAATCTAACAGAACAGATTATAAATAACTCTGTTTCTAAATTTTGCTCATCCCAGGCACATTAAGATGGACCCATGACAATTACTAATTCTTCTGTCCATTTGTAGAATTTTTAATTGAAATACAATAAATATATAGAAAACAGCACATATCATGAGTATACAGCTCGGTGAATTTTTACAAGTTGAACATTCCCTTGTTAGCCCCAGATCAAGACCCAGAATGTTAGAGAACACAGGAAGTCCCCAGATGTGCCCCTTCCACATCCTGGCAACAAAGATTTAGTAACCGTTCCCCTGGCTTCCAAAAGCCTAGAGTCGTTTTACCATTTTTTGTACTTTATATACATGAATCAGATCATGTGTGTTCTGCGACTGCCTTCTTTCATTCTACTGTGTTAGTGAGACGAGTCTTTAGTTGAGTATAGTTTACACAGTTTTTTGAGGCAAGTTTGCTTTTGAGAATTTAAGGAATGGAATGAAACAAGGTTTCATGTGATTAACACAGGCAATTCACTTCTTCACTTTAGGATCAACAAGGCATGGCTTATCACAGTATCAAATATCCTAGGACAAATGGGAAAGCTAACTATAATTTATTTCAACAAGGAGGGAGATGGATAAAGGAGCGCTGTTTTGAACAACCTGAAGCTTCTGTTTCATGTTTGAAGCCTTCTAAAGTGTGTTTGTAACAACAAGGTCACTTGGGCTCTCAATTATGAGGCCTGGCTTCTGGCCTCAGCTTATCTGTGGCCTTAGGGATATTTCTTGTCCTCTGAGGCAGAAAATTTTACTCAATATTACCCTTCTAGTTCTTACAGCCTGTGATTCCATGTTTCCAACTCAAATCCCTTGACCATCTATCCAAACAGCGATCCCGCCTGCATCCAAACCAGCTGGTACAGAGAAAAGCCACAGTTTTAAGTTAGAAGTAATAAAATCAGTCTAATTTTACAAGTTAACTTTCCTTTTTTTCTTTTCTGTTCTTTCTTTTTTTTTTTTTTTTGACAGAGTCTTTCTCTTTCACCCAGGCTGGAGTGCATTGGCACAATCTGGGCTCACTGCAGCCTCCCCAGGTTCAGGTGATTCTCATGCCTCAGCCACCCGAGTAGCTGGGATTACAGGCATGTACCACCAAGCCTGGGTAATTTTTGTGTTCTTAGTAGAGATGGGGTTTCTCCATGTTGGCCAGGCTGGTCTCGAACTCCTGATCTCAAGTGATCTGCCTGCCTTGTTCTTCTAAAGTGCTGGGATTACAGGCATGAGCCACCACGCCTGGCCTAATAGGTAATATTTTAAACATACAAGTTCTGTAACATACAGTTTCTATCTTAAGATATCTTTAACAGCTTGTGTATCTAATAAGGAGACTTTTTTTTTTTTTGAAGCAGTCTTACTCTGTTGCCCAGACTGGAATGCAGTGGCGTGACCATGGTTCACTGCAGTCTCGACCTCCCTGGACTTAGGTGATCCTCCTGCCTCAGCTTCCCAAGTAGCTTGGACTACAGGCACGTGACACTATAGCCAGCTTTTTTTTTTTTTTTTTTTTTTTTTAAATTCTGTAGAGACGGGGTGTGGCCAAGTTGCCCAGGCTGGTCTGGAACTCCTGGGCTCAAGCAATTCACCCACTTGGCTTCCCAAAGTGCTGGGATTACAGGCATGAGCCACCACATCTGGACCTAATAAGTAGACTTATCTTAGAGTGTGGATGAGGATGAAGTGACAGGCCAGGGGGTCTATTATGTCTCCACCTCATATTCACCCCACTCTTGACATCACTCTAATTGTATCTACACTTGGAGTTGAAGAAAACAAACACAAAAATCTTCATGGGTCAACTTTAAACTTATATCTTATTTCTAGATCACGATGGATTCATATCCTTTTCTTCCGATTATTTTCTAAACAGCACATTTATATTACATTATAATTCAAATATTTTTATATTTAATTCACCATTTAAAACATATGACAGTTTTTACAAACAAATTTTGACTTTTTATTTTCATTTTTCCTATTATACTGCAATTCTATAAAGATAGAAATGCTGCTCAGCCTCAATGTGAGAGGCGTTGCTGGCAGGAAGCTAGGAGAATCTCTTCTATTCACTGCCCTCATAAAGGACAAATACCAATAGGACAAAGACTCTGCCTTCAAGAAGAACACAGTGAAGAAAAGACAGTTAATATGGCCACCTTAATTTTTTTCCAAGAGATGTTTTGGAAACATGACATGATTGGCCTTACCCAGACCTTTTATTTCTCAACAAACTCAAGGAGACAAATCATCCTGAAGTGCTACCCTTGGAAATATCTTCCTTAAAAACAACGATAATAGTAACAAAACAACTAAGAAAATTATTTGCTAACCCGATTGGAGAGAATAAAAGGTCATGCTTCAAAAGTTACCATTTTTTTTTTTGTCTAAGAACAAGTTTTACTTTAAAAATAAAAGGACAGGCCAGGCACGGAGCCTCATGCCTATAATCCCAGCACTTTGGGAGGCCAAGGCAAGTGGATCGCTTGAGGTCAGGAGTTTAAGACCAGCCTGGCCAACATGGCAAAACCCTGTCTCTACTAAAAATACAAAAATTAGCTGGATGTGGTGGCATACACCTGTAATCCCAGCTACTTGAGAGGCTGAGGCATGAGAATCACTTAAATCCAGGAGATGGAAGTTGCTATAAGCTGAGATTGCACAACCACACTCCAGCCTGGGCGACGGAGGGAGACTCAGTCTAAAAATACATAAATAAATAAATAATAATTAATTTTTTAAAAAGGACAATCCTGCTTTCAAGAACTTAGGATAAGCATTGAGGGGGAAAGTCACCCCTAATTAAGATATTTCAATGGCAGTCTGTTTCCCAATGGCTCACCAGGACCCTCTGTGAGTGAGGGAGGCAGAGTCTTCTTAGTGCAAATACTGGAAGCTTTGCATCAGAGCACTCTAGGAAATTAAAGATTTTATCTTTATCTTCAGTACACATTCTTTGTTCTGGAAGCTCTTTCCCACAGGAAACACCTTTTCACACATTAATATTAGCTGAACTGCCTGAATTAAAGTTATTGAATAAAGATTTTGTTGCAAGCACGGGGCTACCTTTCCTACCCATTGTCTAAGTTGATCTGCATCCTTCACAAACCTGTTATTAATATTACACACAATGTGTAGATTACCTTAGAAATGTTTAGCACATTGCTTTGATACCCCACGGCTAGCAAATGGCTAGTTACATGTTGCCAAGCGTCTTACAATAATGTGTTTTGTTGCAGCCTGAGCCACAAATGGTGAGTCAGGGAAGACGGCACTGACATCCACCAAGAGAAGATCACAAAGAGAGCTCCTACTGGCACCTCTCAGGGTCTGCTTGTTATAACACCTATTGGTGATGCCAGGTGCCAAGCTGCTGATGTCTGCCTTCCTCTTCTGCCTCCACAGCTGGTGGCATTGTCTACCATCATGGCAGAAACTGTGGTACCCCTACTGCTGCCAAATTGTCCACCCAGAGGCCGGGCACAGTGGCTCACGCCTGTAATCCCAGCACTTTGGGAGGCCAAGGCGGGTGGATCACGAGGTCGGGAGATCGAGACCATCCTGGCTAACACGGTGAAACCCCGTCTCTACTAAAAATACAAAAAAATAGCCGGGTGTGGTGGCGGGTGCCTGTAGTCCCAGCTACTCAGGAGGCTGAGGCAGGAGAATAGCATGAACCCGGGAGGTGGAGCTTGCAGTGAGCCGAGATCTCTCCACTGCACTCCAGCCTGGGTGACAGAGCAAGACTCTGTGGACAAATTGTCCACCCAGAGTCCCTTGGTGATTACTTTTTGTTTTTATTCACTCTTCTATTGCAGTTCCTTCTACCAAGAATCCTGGGATGAGTTTTGAGGTTGGATTTAGAAGAGTGTATCACTTAGGGTGTCTTTGGCTAAAGTTACCATCCATCTGCAGCTACAACTGGCTTTAAAAATAAATATATATATATATATTTTAAAGTAATCAAATTTATAAAAACACATATCTGAGCTGGGCATGGTGGCTCATGCCTGTAATCCCAGCACTTCGGGAGGCTGAGGCAGGAGGATCACCTGAGGTCAGGAGTTGGAGACCGCTGGCCAACATGGCAAAACCCCGTCTCTACTAAAAGTACAAAAATTAGCCGGGTGTGGTGGTGGGCATCTATAATCCCAGCTACTCGGGAAGCTGAGACAGGAGAATTGCTTGAACCCAGGAGGCAGAGGTTGCAGTGAGCCGAGATCGTGCCACTGCACTCCAGCCTGGGTGACAAGAGCGAGACTCCATCTAAAAAAAAAAAAACACATATCTGGAATTCCTTGGACTCTGCTCTCATCTATATAGTAGCTTCATCTTCAGATTGATAATAAGTTGGCTATCACAGTGCTGGGCATCATATTTAGTGTGACAATGGCCAGCCAATGGACAGGTGGGCACAGGTTGCTGCCTACCTGTCCCACCTCCAGCCCTAAGGTGGTTTTCCCCTATCTCAGTAGATGGAACATATAATCGGGTTTTATACCGAGACATTCCATTGCCCAGGGACGGGCAGGAGACAGATGCCTTCCTCTTGTCTCAACTGCAAAGAGGCGTTCCTTCCTCTTATACTAATCCTCCTCAGCACAGACCCTTTACGGGTGGTGTCGGGCTGGGGGACGGTCAGGTCTTTCCCTTCCCACGAGGCCATATTTCAGACTATCACATGGGGAGAAACCTTGGATAATACCTGGCTTTCCTAGGCAGAGGTCCCTGAGGTCTTCCGCAGTGTTTGTGTCCCTGGGTACTTGAGATTAGGGAATGGTGATGACTCTTAATGAGCATGCTGCCTTCAAGCGTCTGTTTAACAAAGCACATCTTGCACCGCCCTTAATCCATTTAACCCTGAGTTGACACAGCACATGTTTCAGAGAGCATGGAGTTGGGGGTAAGGTTACAGATTAACAGCATCTCAAGGCAGAAGAATTTTTCTTAGTACAGAACAAAATGGAGTCTCCTATGTCTACTTCTTTCTACACAGACACAGTAACAATCGGATCTCTCTTTCTTTTCCCCACAGCCATCTCTACTAAAAATACAAAAAATTAGCCAGGCATGGTGGCACGTACCTGTAATCCCAGCTACTCAGGAGGCTGAGGCAGGAGAACCCAGGAGGCAGAGGTTGCAGTGAGCCAAGATCGCGCCATTGTACTCCAGGCTGGGCAACAGGGCAAGACTCCATTCCAAAAGAAAGGAAGGAGGAAGGGAGGGAAGGAAGGAAGGGAGGAAGGAAGGAAAGGGCTGGTGCTGTGGCTCACACTTTGGGAAGCCCAGGTGGGAGGATTGCTTGAGACCAGAAATTCAAGACCAGCCTGGGCAGCATAGCAAGACCCTGTCTTTACAAAAAAATAATATAAATATTAGCCAGGCATGGTGGTGCACACCTGTAGTTCCAGCTACTTAGGAGGCTGAGGTGGGAGGATCCCTTGAGCCAGAGGTCAAGGCTACAGTGAGCCATGATCGCACCACTGCACTCCAGTCTGAGCTACAGAGCAAGACCTGACTCAAAGAAAAACAAAAAGTGAAGAAAACTTTTCCCCAAGCTAGAGGTCAGTGCAACTGCAATAATGGAGCACCACCTGGGATGCCTTCAGCTTTTCACATGTGTCCGTGGTTATCAACCTTATCTGCGTATTAGAGCACCTGGAGAAATTTAAAGGCTATGGCTGCCTGGGTCCTGCTTCCAGATATTCTGAGTTAATTGTTCCAGGGAGTTTTTAACGTTTCTCCAGTGATTCTAAAGTACAGCCAATGTTGACAACCACGGATGCAAATAGAATTCTGATAATCTCACAACCCCTGGTCCTGCAGACTTCCCCAAAGGTGCCCAGACATACTTAAATCCTAGCTTGAGCACAGCCATAACCTCATTACCCTAGAATGTCTGGTCTCTGGTGTTCACAGAGAAATTTACTAAATCACATCTTTTTTTCATGCAAAAATGCTATATTTATATATGCCGGTTTACTGTACACTATATGTGCATAAAGTTTCATCCCCCCACAACAAATGCAAATGCTAAAGATACTACCATCCAGTTACAGAAGAGAAGAGCTATCTTTTTTTTTTTCTTTTGCCCAACATAGGTTCATGGCTGAGGCCCCTCTAACAAAAAGCAGATTAACAAGAGAAAAGCATTCAAATGTATTTAATACAAGTTTTACGTGACATGGGAGTCTTAATAAGGAAATGAAGACCCCAAAAAAGAGTTAAATTTGTATATTTTTATGGTATGTTTGATGAATAGACAGTCATGGAGAAATATAATTGGGCAAAGGGGGTACAACCTAATGGCAAAAAATGGGGGAATTTAGCAAGGCCTGTTTGTTCAGATTCTTTTCTGTGACCCATTGTCTTCAGAGAAAAGGATGTTCCTTTCCTCCGTGTATAGAGAGGGCACCTCTCACTCGAGGGCCTTTTGACCTGCTTCAGAAGTAAGTCAGAAAAATCTTTCCTAGGTTTTATGACCTGCTTCAGGGGAGGAGAGATGGCGGGAAGATGAGAGTGACCTTCCTGCTTCCGCTATTTTCTCAAATTCCTTTGTCTTAAAATATTCAATATGTCAAGGTACCATGTTTTGGGGTAGAGAATTCTAAACCCCATTGTGATAAACTCCTGCAGACTCCAATTATTCAACCAATAAGGGCTAGAAAGTTTCTACAAATGAGAAGGCAGAAATGTTGTCTGTTGACGCTCAGGACATGACATGCTCACCCAAAATATGGAACTACGGAATCTGAGAAAACAGCAGAAGCAGGAAGTTCTCTCTGGCCTTCTCCTACCCTTCTCCCCTGAAGCAGGTCATGAAACCTAGGAAGGTCACTCAATGACCTTCTCCCTGGAGGAAAGGGATAAAGGCACAAAGAAGCCAAGAAGAATCAGAACAAACAGGCTTTCCTAAAGTACCCCCAGTTTTTTACCATTAGATCATACCCTTTTGTCCTCAAATCATACTTCTGCACAACTATCCATAAAAATACACAGATTTTTTCCATTTCTTTGGGTCTTCATTTATCAAAACTCCCATGTCACATAAAACTTATATTAAATAAATTTGTTTGCTTTTTTTTGTTGTTAATATGTCATTGTTAGAGAGGTCTCGGCCATCAGCCTTGCTATGGATGAGGAAAATATAGTATTTCTTTTTCTCCTTTACAGTATGCAATGTGTTCAGAGTTCTTATTACATTCAGGACATAAAAAAATTTTCCATGTCAGATCATGTTTAGCGAATGCATGATATGTATAAAACATTTTAATACTTCTTATTTGGGGGTCACAAAGAAATAGAAAATTTGAGCCAGGCACAGTGGCTCACACCTGTAATCCCAGTACTTTGGAAGGCCAAGGTGGTTGCATCACTTGAGCCCAGAAGTTTGAGGCCAGCCTGGACAACATAGTGGGACCTTGTCTCTAGAAAAAAAAATATTAAAATAATAAAAAAAAAGAAAATATGATGTTTATACTTCAGGAGCTTACTATCAAAATAGGAGATTCCAAAGAAATTCACTAGTAGAACACTTTAAAAGGGCTGGATAAATACAATGAAGAAAGAGGCAAACACTACTTTATAATAGTAATAACTACCATTTGCAAAAGACTTATTATAATGTTCCAAGCCAACATTATATATATGATATTTCTAATATTTAGGAGAACCCATAAGGTAGATTTTCATTAACAACACTTTACAGAAGAGAGAAATAAAGTGCAGAAGTAACTTACCCAAAATCACATAGTTATCATTCTATTAACTTACCATGTACTACTGCTACTTTTCAGTAATTTAAATATAAATTTTGGTGAAGATGAAAAATTCCTGGCCGGGCGCGGTGGCTCACGCCTGTAATCCCAGCACTTTGGGAGGCCGAGGCGGGCGGATCACGAGGTCAGGAGATCGAGACCATCCCGGCTAAAACGGTGAAACCCCGTCTCTACTAAAAATACAAAAAATTAGCCGGGCGTAGTGGCGGGCGCCTGTAGTCCCAGCTACTTGGGAGGCTGAGGCAGGAGAATGGCGTGAACCCGGGAGGCGGAGCTTGCAGTGAGCCGAGATCCCGCCACTGCACTCCAGCCTGGGCGACAGAGCGAGACTCCGTCTCAAAAAAAAAAAAAAAAAAAAAAAAAAAAGAAAAATTCCTATCAATATTCTGTGGAAGTGGCAATGTTCTGTGACATTTCCACAATATCAAGGTAATATATATGTAGATATAATATTGTAAGAATTTTAAAGACTTTGAAAGGGACATTGAAGTCTGATGAAGATGCAGTACTTGGGAAGTCAGAATTGCAGAAATGGTCTTTCTCTGGCTAGGTATTCCTCCTCTGTCCCATCTGTATAAAACATGGATATTATTTTTATATCTGCCTCAAGGATACGCTATGAGAACTGAGAATTTCCTAACTATGGCATAAAAGTGTTCTTTGCTGTTGTGTTATTTGTTTTGATTTTAATGTCTTGAGAATAAAAGGTATAAGAAGACGTGAATTTCCCCCAAAGCTAAAGCAGCCTAGCTGGAGGGCCCTCGTTTTCCTGGGCTCTTCCAACCCTTGACGTGTCCTCCATGGGGAATGCGAAGAGAAAGCAGCATGGCCCCAGCCTGAGGGCCATTCTCCATGTCCTGATGGTGGTCCTGGTTCAGCCTGTGAGGCCACGTAGGTCCTTGGTTTTGCATAGGAAGGAATTCAAGAGTGAGCGAAGAGTAAAACAAAAGCAAGTTTATGAAGACAGCAAAGTAATAAAGGGGTGGCTACTCCATAGGCAGAGCAGCCCTGATGGCTATTTTTATAGTTATTTCTTGATCATATGCTAAACAAGGGATGGATTATTCATGAGTTTTCCAGGAATGGGGTGAGCAATTTCTGGAACTGAGGGCTCCTCCCACGTTCAGACCATATAGGATGACTTCCAGATGTTGCCATGGCATTTGTTAACTGTCATGGCACTGGTGGGAGTGTCTTTTAGCATGCTAATGTATTATAATTAGGGTATAAGGAGAAGTGAGGATGACCAGAGATCATTTTTGCAGTTTTGATTGTTTTTTTTTTTTTTTTTTTTGAGATGGAGTCTTGTTCTGTTATCCAGGCTGGAGTACAGTGGCATGATGTCGGCTCTCTGCAAACTCTGCCTCCCGGGTTCAAGCAATTCTCCTGCCTCAGCCTCCCGAGTAGGTGGGACTACAGGCCACCACACTCGGCTAATAATTTTTGTACGGTTTTACCACATCTCATTTCATAAGTGGAGTCTTTGTGACCTGTGCTTTGCAAAACCAGTCCTGCCAAACTCCTATCTCCTCCCCCATTCAGAGATCTTATACTCCTTTTTAATGTTAAAGGGTTGCAGGAAGATAAAGGTCTCATCTTCCATAACTGCTTCATGCTGAACAGGGGCCATCGTCCCTACCTGCCCTCCTTCTGGAGGCATAGAAAGCTCTCACCATCCGATCTAATGATATATAGGAACTCAATATTTTCTGCAGTGGCACAGGCTGGAACCCTCAGGCCAGCTATTTTTGTCTGGAACTGTTATAACTTGGAAGACATAAACTTTAACAGGATGAACCCCTGTTGAATATAACAAATAATAATTATTTCTAAAAATCAAATAAAAACAAACAGATTTTTAGTAAGAGGCATTTTTATGAGAACAGAAGAAAAACAAAGGTTAATTTTGGGCACAGTCTATCCAGGGGTTAGACTCAAAGCATCTTTAGTTATAGAGCAGGAAGGCAGCGGCAACCTCACACATTTTTCTCATCTATATCACAAGGAATAAGCTTTAGCTTGCAGGGCCTCAGGAGGAAGGTAGTAGTGATTTTGAATTTACTCAGAAAAATGGAAGAAAAATTTGAAAACAGTTTGGGGACTTGTAACCCAGAAAGAATTTAGGAGTCAGTCCAAATTTTGAACAATAATAAAAACCCAAAAAACAATGGTCAAGACTAGAATCTAACAACACGTGTACTATAGTTTTTTGTAGTATAATTTTTTCTCTCTGAAGTCTCTCATTTTTATAAAAGATAAATCGTGGTAGGACCAATTTGTTTGCAAAATAAGTTTTAGTCTTATTATATTTTGCCTGATTTTTGCATAAAGGGCAGCAAGAATAATTATCTGCCATATAGGCTCTTTGTAAATAGGCTTTGATGGAACTTTGTTACATAAATAATCTCAGATTAGGTTTTTTAAGGTCTTGAGCCCAGCCACAGATTTATCTGTGCCAACAAACGCCTTTATGAGTTGGGTGAATTCCTCTCCTCTCGAGGTCCCAAGGTAACTTGGGGCTCCTGGGCCTGTCAGAAAGTGACATTTTTACTTACCACAAGTCAAGAACCCTGTACAGGGACTGCATAGACAAGGTGTGAGGCCAGTTTTCCCAAGGGGCTTTTATTGGCTCTATAAGTCAACTTTGACTCCTTAAAGCAGTCTGTTTATATTTGAAAGCATGCCACAGACTCCGTTTTGGGAAAAAATTCTGTTTTCCTCATGGAACCCCAGGAATTTTTTTTTTTTTTTTCTTGAGACAGAGTCTTGCTCTGTCGCCCAGGCTGGAGTGCAGTGGCACAATTTTGGCGGAATCTCGGCTCACTGCAAGCTCCGCCTCCCGGGTTCACGCCATTCTCCTGCCCCAGCCTCCTGAGTAGCTGGGACTACAGGCACCCGCCACCATGCCTGGCTAATTTTTTGTATTTTTAGTAGAGACGGGGTTTCACCGTGTTCGCCAGGATGGTCACGATCTCCTGACCTCGTGATCCGCCCGCCAAAGTGCTGGGATTACAGGCGTGAGGCACGGCGCTGGGCCGGAACCCCAGGAATTCTAAGTAGATAGATTCCTCTCAAAATCTAAGGCTTTGCTCTGTTTTGCATTGCATTATCTGATCTCTTTGACTTTTGGGTTCAAGAGAAGGGATGACAAGGTGGGTTACAAAGGACATGACTTGCCAGGCATGCTGCATGTCTGGGGCACCCACACAACAGAAGACTGCAATCAGGCTACCAAGCCAGAGGTCTCACAGCCACTTCCCCACCTGTCTAAAATAACGAACATAGGAAAGGACAGAGGAGCCAAAATCAAAGGGGAAAAAAAAGTAGCAAGTTGAAATTGGACAAAGGGAGACTCACCCACCCATCAGGTCTGAATGGTGCCAATTGGTTTTAGTCTGGGTTTCAGGGGGAGGTCTCCATTGTCCCTTCATTTGTTGTCAGAAAGGATGTCACAGGCTGAACACCAAAGGCCCTGTGATATTTGCCTTCGCACATTAAGGAATTCAAGAGCAAGCCAACAGAGTAAAGTGAAAGTAAAGGAATAAAAGGGTGGCTACTCCATAGGCAGAGCTGCTGGTTGGCTATTTTTATGTTTTTTTATGTTTTATGTTTTTGTGGGTTTTTTATGTTTATTTTTATGTTTTTTAAAAATCATATGCTAAACAAGGGATGGATTATTCATTAGTTTTTTGGGAAAGGGGTGGGCAATTCCTGGAACTGAGGGAATTCCTCCTGCTTTCAGACCATATAGGGTAACTTCCAGGCGTTGCCATGACATTTGTAAACTTTCACGGTGCTGGTGGGAGTATCTTTTAGCATATTAATATATTATAATGAGCATATAATGAGCAGTGAGGACAACTAGAGGTCATTTTCATCGCCATCTGGTTTTGGCGGGTTTTGACTGGCTTCTTTACTACATATCATTTTATCAGCCGGGTCTTTGTGATCTGTACCTTGTAAAACCAGTCCTGCCCAACTCCTGACTCACTGGCATGGCATCGGGATAGGCACACTGCCATCACTACCTCCATCAATGTGAGTCTTAGCAATGACCAGCCCCTGATAGACCACTGCACACGTGGACCTTCTATTTGCCTTCAAGGACTGAAGCTGGGAAGGTGACTATTGGGATCGATGAACACTTGGCTGAGTTGGACCAGCTGCAGCAGCCTCAGCTGGGGGCAGGGGTAAGGGAGTTAACAGGGATGAACAAGCCTAGCAAGGTCAAGGTTGAAGTTCTCCAAGGTTGCCTTTGGGTGAAAAGCTCTCTTGATCAAGAAATTGTGGAACACCTTATAATGAGGTATCAACAATAGGGAGTCAAAAAGAAAAATAACTCAGTTTATTTTCTGTTTTTTTGGTTTGTTTGTTTGTTTGTTTGTTTGTTTGTTTGTTTTTGAGACAGGGCCTCACTCTTTCACCCAGGCTGGAGTGGAGGGGTGTAATCACAGCTTACTACAGCCTCAGCCTCCTGGGTTCAAGCAATCCCCCCACCTCAGCCTGCTGAGTAGCTTGGACTGTAGGGACACACCACAATGCCCAGCTAGTTTTTATCATTTTTTGTAGAGACAGGATTTTGCCATGTTGCTCAGTCTGATCTTGAACTCTTAGGCTCAGGCAATCTACCCACCTCAGCTTCCTAAAGTGCTGGGATGACAGGCATGAGCTACCACACCCAGCCTACAGTTTAGTTTTAATTATAAACAAAATATTAGAATAAATTGAAAATGGCTGGGCGTGGTGGCTTATGCCTGTCATCCCAGCACTTTGGGAGGCCAAGGCAGATGGATCATTTGAGCCCAGGAGTTTGAGACCAGCCAGGGCAACATAGTGAGACCTCATTGCTACAAAAAAAAAAATTAATTAAAAAATAAAAAATTGTCTGGGTGCGGTGGCTCACGCCTGTAATCCCAGCACTTTGGGAGGCCGAGGCGGGCAGATCACCTGAGGTCGGGAGTTCAAGACCAGCCTCATCAACATGGAGAAACCCTGTCTCTACTAAAAATACAAAGTTAGCCGGGCGTGGTGGCGCATGCCTGTAATCCCAGCTACTCCAGAGGCTGAGGCAGGAGAATCGCTTGAATCCGGGAGGCGGAGGTTGTGGTGAGCCAAGATCACACCATTGCACTCCAGCCTGGGCAACAAGAGCAAAACTCCATCTCAAAAAAATGAATAAATAAATAAATAAATAAAAGTAAACAGTCATAGTAGAGGAGAGACTGAATTATTTTTTAATTCTCTCTATAGAAAATACTATGAAACCTTGGTCCTATTAACAGATAATCAAAGAGTATGTAAGAAAAAAAGGAATTTTAGTGTATGTTAGGCAGTTAGTAATCATGAAAATATTAATACTGATTTTTTGTTTGTGGTATTTTTCAGCTCTTTAAAATTTGTAACTTGTAATTAATAGTTCTAAATAAACATACAATTTTGTATTAGTTTCATATTTACAATTCTGCATTCTTTTTATTAAAGACGGTCCCCATAATGTATAAACTTCAGGCTCACCAAACCCGGAAGTGTCTAGGTACAATATAAACTCAATATGGAGTGAACAACTAGTTTAGAAAATTCTATATCTAGGGTTTTGTTAGTGTCTTTCATAATATGACCTCAGGTAATCAAGTGACTTACTTGGCCAGTGGAAAGGAGTGGAAATAAAGATTAAGAGGTGTCAATAACAGACACCCAGCCGTAGATGGGCCAGAAGAACAAACTCTGCCCCTAGTCTAGTGGTATAGAGGAGACACAGACAGAAACCATTAACAAGCTTTAAGCAAGGGAGCAAGTGTTTAAGACTAGGAGGCAGGCGTGTGGGCAGGGATTGTCAGGCCTCTGAGCCCAAGCCAAGCCATCACATCCCCTGTGACTTGCACATATACATCCAGATGGCCTAAAGTAACTGAAGATCCACAAAAGAAGTAAAAATAGTCTTAAGTGATGACATTCCACCATTGTGATTTGTTTCTTCCCCACCCTAACTGATCAATGTGCTTTGTAATCTCCCCCCGCTTAAGCAGGTACTTTGTAATCTCCCCCACCTTTAAGAAGGTTCTTTGTAATTCTCCCCACCCTTGAGCATGTAGTTTGTGAGATCCACCCCCTGCCCACAAAACATTGCTCCTAACTCCACCGCCTATCCCAAAACCTATAAGAACTAATGATAATCCACCACCCTTTGCTGACTCTCTTTTCGGACTCAGCCCGCCTGCACCCAGTTGAAATAAACAGCCATGTTGCTCACACAAAGCCTGTTTGGTGGTCTCTTCACACAGACGCACATGAAAGGGATCTCATCTATAATTAGAAAGATGGTGCTAGCTTGAACCCAGGTGATGTTTCTTCAGGATTGCCACTGTTTTGTATTGACATTCATCGAGTAGAATGATCTTTGGGTCATTGGGTACTTTGGGGCACCCTAACTATGTAGGAGCCAGAGTTTCACTAGCTTCCCCAGCAATCCTTGCTTAGTCAATTGATTCCTATGTCTGCAGCCAAATGCTATAAAAAACTCTGGGGAAGGTAAACTCCTCCCATCCTCTTGGTTTTTCAATTAATCATTTAGATGGGAAACATAAGCCTACTCAGGTAAAAAGACACGTGAACTTCAGGCCAGGATCACAATCCTGTCCCAAATATATGACTTTCCACCCTCCCTCAACCCTTAATGGGGGTGGGCGTAGGGGAGTGTATTTTTAAAACAAATGATTTTAATTCATTCACTGTTTCCTAGCAACCAGGAAAAAGCATGTGTTCCTGATGTCTGTGAGCACCAGTCTGAGATGCGCGGATGCTTCAGCATGCCTCCAGAAGCAGAGAAAGAACAAAAGCACTGGAACCGGTCTCCGGTTGGTGAGCGATTCTCAAAGGGGAATTTGTTAAGAGCAGGCACTTAATAGAACAGCCCGAGAGACCTGTACCACGATTGCAGGTGTGCAGCAGGGAACCTGCATGGAATGTGCAGATATTCTCCAGGAAATGATATTCCTATAGAATTTGGGGGCTCTGACTTCTAGGGAATTGTTTCTATGAAACAGCTAAAGCCTGAGACAGCTGACATCTTTCCAGTACCTCTTTTGTGTGTGCTTTCAGCCACACACAAAACACACAGCGGTCTTGTTTTCTTTAGAGCTCTATAGACAGAGAAGAGGGATAACTGGCAGAATTCAAATCTAGCTGAATTAGAATCCATGCAAATGGCCTTCTTTAGACCAGGCGTAGCTACTAAATGCATATAAATCACTGACTTCCACAGCTGTAAGGGACCTCTCCAATCATTCAACGCTTGTTTTACAGAGGAAGAAATGAAAAAACATAGGCAAATTAATTTGTTCAAGGTGCACAGCTAGTTGGTGGCCTCACAGGGTCTTCTGACCTACAGTTTAGTGGTTTGGGAGTGGGACATACTCATATTTTAAAGACTGAAACCTTTGCATATTATACCATATTGAATGGTGGTGGTGGGGGCAGGGGATGGGGAGGATGAGGGATGATCTAAGACGAAGCTGTCATAACAACGAAGCAATGCAAATATTATAACTTGTAAATCTGAAACTCAAAGGGCTTTCTCAGAATTACAAGACAAGAATGGATTAAAGCACATGCTAACTGTGCCTTACTCCCTGCCAAGGAATTGAGATAGGCCAAATAGTCTAGCAACAAATGTTTTTCCAAACTATTGAATCAGAAGAATTTTAATGCATGCCAGACTTTATAGAGTTACAGAATGTTAGGGTAAGAAGTGCTCTTGGCAATGTTAACCAGGCCCATCTTTTTCGGATAACACCTGAGGCTGGGAAGCAGAAGACGCACAGCCACATCAATGAGTGTGGCTTTCCTGGGTCCAGTGCTCTCTCTTCTCTAGGCAATAGGGCCACCTCTATGGCTTGCTGCATCCTCTCCCCATTGACTCTGTAGGGAGCAATATTATTGTCTTGATACTTAATCAATTTCCTGTGAAATGCTCTTACTTTCTTCCCCACTTTCATCTTATCCACATCCCGTCCACTCCCCAAAAACTAAAGCAGATGTAGCAGCAGCAAGAATGATCCAAAATGGCTGGGCACGGTGGCTCACGCCTGTAATCCCAGCACTTTGGGAGGCTGAGGCAGGTGGATTACAAGGTCAGGAGATGGAGACCATCCTGGCCAATATGATGACACCACCCGGTCTCTACTAAAAGTACAAAACAATTAGCTGGGCTTGGTGGCGTGCACCTGTAGTCCCAGCTACTTGGGAGGCTGAGGCAGGAGAATCACTTGAACCCAGGAGGCAGAGGTTGCAGTGAACCGAAATTGTGCCACTGCACTCCAGCCTGGTGACAGACCGAGACTCCGTCTCAAAAAAAAAAAAAAAATCCAAAATAATGAAGGTGGCCTAGGGAAGCATTCATTTAGATCAGCGCCATCCTGTTGGCTCTCTGCTTACTGTTGGTAGAGCTGAATCAAGTGAAGCTTAGTGTTTATATGGTACCATTTTCAAAAAACCGTTTCTAAAGTTTGTTTTCCAATCATCTTTAGAGTAGTGATTTAAATATACGTACAATTTTAAAAGTACAAAGGGTAGTATAATGAACATCCATGGACTTAGAATTCCAGAGTCAACAACTATTAACATTTTGTTATATTTGAGTATTAGGGTTCCTCAGAGAAATTGAACTGACAGGATGTGTGTGGATACACACACACACACACACACACACACACACACACACACACACGGTGCAGTATAGGCTTAACCATCTCTTTCAAATATTTTGATTTTACAGAATTGGCTCACATGATTGTGGAGTCTTGGCCAGTCCAAAATCTGATAGAGGAGGCCAGCTGCCAGCAGACTCAGGGAAGAGTTGCAGTTTGAATCCAAAGGCTGCCTACTGGCAGATTCCTTCTTGCATGGGGGAGGTCAGTCTTTTGTTCTATCAAGGCTTTCGACTGATTGGAAAAGGCTCACTCAGATAGAGGGCAATCTGCTTTCAAAGTCCACTGATTTAAATGATAATCTCATTAAAAAAAAAACACCAGAAACATCCGGGATAAAGTTTGAACAACTATTTGATCATAGAGGCCCAACCATAAAATAAATTTAAAAATAAATAAAACATCACAAATAGAGTTGATACCCTATTTATACCTCTCCCTGTGTACCCCATTCAATAGTGATGATTTTCTATAGACTCCTTTTTGGTGACTTCAGACTCCTTTTGACCCCATCACCTGATCTTCAATTTCTGGTTCAATGTGGGGGTGGGAATTGAAGACATATTTCCCATAACCATATTTTCTTTCAAGGATCTCCTGGCAATAGGAGAGTGTAGATGGATTCTATGGAAAACTCCATTATGAGCCACTGAGCCAGGGTGAACTCACTGGGAGTTGAATGCTCACAGAAAAACCCAAACACATTCAGATCTAGATGGATCACATCCATCTAGTTTGGATGGTTCTGCCCGAATAGTCTCATCAGCTATTACACAAACCATTTTGGTTTTACTTGCTAGATTATTGCAAGGAAGAGTAAATTAAGTAAATAAGTGTTGGAAAAATTTGGAAGGAATAAAAGGTGTCAAATAAACACAAAAGTACAGTGCATGAGCCTCCAGGTGGCTTTTTGACCCTGAACCTGCCGAGTAAGAGGCCTGAATGAGGTGCTCCCTCAGATCCCTTCCAGAGCCTAGGACTCCATGACTGGTATTTGGAGTGATAGCATCCCTAACTCATATTCTCTCTGATTTGCTGCTGTAGCCTCTAGACTCAGAGAAGCTGGGTCTAAGTGTAGTGTTAGCTGCAGATACCTGCTCAGCTGGCTAAGCCTTTAACATGGAAAGAAGGCTCATAAAGAAGGAAATGAAAAAGCTCTTGTAAGTATGACTGAGAATAACTTTCATTTATGACACTTGGCATTCGGTGGATTTCATGTCATAGATGGCTTGGGTATTGGCAGTGGGTAAAAATCTAAGAATCTATTTCTGCATGGTAGGAGAAAACCAGAGGATGATCTGGCCTCTCTCGGTTTCCTGCCAGGGAGGCCTCACCTGTGGTGCGAGGCAGGATGCTGAAACACTTGGGAGGATGTTTCTGCTGGCAGCCTGCACATCCGAGGCATCCACATTCTAGAGCCTGAGAGCTGAGCCTATGTCCCAGTCAGCCTGTGTAGGCAAGATACACCGTTGAAAGGGGCTGGCCCTGCTGGTAAAAGGTATAAGAGAGATTCCTGAAAGGGCCCAGAATCTAAATTGCAGCCTCTGCTCTGCCTCTTTTATTGTCAGCCTTATCAACTAAGAAATTCATCTCCTTTTTCTTTACATCTGAACATTTTTAAAACGAACACAGAAAACATCAAGTTTCCTGTGAAAGAAATGTTTTCCTCCCATGGCAGTGTTTCTTTGACTTGTACTTAACAAATGTTGGTGAAAGATCACAAACCATATAAAAAGAAAAAAGAAAGATTATGTTCTATGTCATATGTGTTATAGACAAAACAGTAATAGCCTTTTCATCAAAGAGCTTATCACCATCCCCATCAAATATCTTTTCTCGGCCTCCTAAGATAATTTTATTTTAACAAGCCTTTAAGAAATACTAGAAGAAACTATGAATATACATATATGTACATATATACATGTATACACATATATGTGAATTCATATATAGTACACGTGTACACATATATGTGTATGCACATATATGTGAATTCATATTCATCTCTTGCTTTTAAGCAGAGATTATATTGGCATCAGACTTCAGGAAAATGAATTTGACCCAAAAGGAAGAAGGGAACTTACCTTTCTAGATGATATGGTAAAGAAAGACATGCTGATGCGAGTCATATTTGTGTTATATGTTAGAGGCCAATAGAATAGTAAAGAACAAACCATGATCAGGAATGCCAACTCTTCCACATATCTCATCCAAATAATTGGAATTTCAAAAGTGATATAAATACAAGTTTATATCCAAAGAATACATTTAGGCTACTTTAAAGTATCCTGAAATTTCGGCAGAAATTTAAGAATTTTTATCAATCTAGTTAAGCTTAATGACTCAGAAGAAAAGCTTTCAGAAGCCAGAAATAAACTTATTCTCCACCTTATGTAAAATTGAGATGTGCCAAAATCAACCTGGGAGATGCCATAGTCCTTCTTTTCCTGCACCTATTTTTTCTCTGTCACATTCCCGGGGTAGCACCTTTCTCTCTTCTCTCCTCATGGTGCTTATTTTACCTTCTTTTATTAAAAGTCACTGTTAGGAAAGGATCCACTAAGGATAAACTAAAGTGGAATCACTAATAAGTTTTTATGCATTCCTCCTCCTAAGGGTATTTGCATTCTAAAGAGAAAAAGCCTTACGGCAAAAGAATACTTACCTACAGAATTTTATATATCTGGAATGTATCAACTTTGGACATGCTGCTTGAATTTAACACGGGAAGCAAATGATTATTTTAAACAGTGTGTCTCAATCCTTTTGGTCTTGTAAAACCATTTCTGTGTGTGGGTATTTAGCATATTCCTTGCTTTCCTGTAAATTCTGTTCCAATTGAGTTTAATTTTTAGATAAATGTTATTTCAGTTAATTATGGTTAGACATTTTAAACTGCAGCATTGTAGAATTGTCGTGTAAACCAAAACCGAATATTAACTCAGCTACCAGAGCATCTGCAAATTCTCTTGTATTTTGGTGGGGGAGGGAGGGATGGGAAAAAAAAAAGCCTTTTTCTGCAGACTGAGCCCGTGTCACTCCAATGGTTCAATGCTGCTCTCTTGCTTTTAAGGGGAGATTATATTGGCATCAGACTTCGGGAAAATGAATTTGACCCAAAAGGAAGACGGCAACTCACCTTTCTAGATGATATGGTAAAGAAAGGCACGCTGATGCGAGTCATATTTGTGTTATATGTGTATTAAAGAGACAGAAAAAGGATCTTATTTATACAATAAACAAGGCTAATATTGACACCCATCCCCCAAATGTCCTCTTCCTCATCTTCCCCTCACCCTGAGATTGTTCATATGGTCATTTCAACCCACTAACCAGAAAGCAAAGAGAATGAGAAAATAAAAATCATGAGAGTTATTTGCTATTAGGAAAGAAGATTAAAAATCAAAATTAATGCCAGGCAAAATGTTACGTCTGTGGAGTTAAGAGTTTGACAAAATTAGCTATCATGTAGTTCTCAAAATAATTTCTTTACCATTTGCATTAGTGAGAGAAAACCAAATAAATTAAGTAACCCTAAAAATCCTTGGTGTTATTTATTTCGAAGCCCAGACTCAGGATCTGAAAGTTCACGTCACAGAAATTGAGGAAGAAACCATATAAAGATCTAACTCAAAAGAAATTAGCAAACCCTCAGTTTTTTCACTGCCCATTTACTATCCTTACACTAATAAAAAAGACTCTCTCCCTCCACTCCCCTCTCCTCTTCTTCTCCGACTAAAGTAGAGCCAGGCTCACTGGCTTTCAAAACTACCCTGGAGCTAAGGAAATAGTTAAGCCTTATTCTCTGTGTACACATATTAAACAGAGAAATTAAGTAGATTAGAGCAGTGCTTCTCAAACTTTAATGAGGTCGTATTACAAGGCTGTTTTGATTCAGGAGGTGAAGGGGGGCGGGGGTGAGGGGGGCGCCCCCGCGGCCTAGGAATTTGCATTTCAAATGACCAAACAAGTGATGCCAAGGCATCAAACTTTGGATCCGGTTGCAACATTTGGTCATGGTCCCATTCTTCCTGTTTATTTATTCATTTAGGTTCACTGTTCAGTTTGGTTCAGTCCCTGGAAGAAATAATTCCACCGTTTAAAAATGTTAAAACTTCAGAACGCCTCTACAAAAATTAAAAACAAAACCAATCTTCCGTTTTCTGTGTGTGGGGACTGAAAGGAGAGAAGGAATATTTTGATAGACAAATGGTAAATATGCTTACTGAACAAGAACTCTTAGGAATTACTAGGAAAAGGTGGTCACCATGATAAAAATAAGCCTCCGCATTGGTTCTCAGCTTTTTACTATACGTGCGTGTGAAACTCTCAGCAAGTCACTTACTCAGGTCTGCCCCCTTCCCCGCCCGCTCCGTCCTTGCCTCATGCTAGTTCCTCTACCTGTGATTTCCTTCCCCATCTGTAGACATTCTCATCCCACAAGCCCCAGCTCCAATGCAGCTTCCCTCTCTGAAGCTTCTTGGGATTCTAGCTATCTCCCCAGGTAGACATAAAACGGCCCATCCCTCCAAATTCCCACCACACTGCCCCTGTACCCCTGGAAGCACATTTCTGACATTCTACTCACAGAATCAGAAATTGTTCCCTGCAGCCCTGTTCCCCCACCCTTACCTTTTACTATGTTAAAATTTAGGGAAACTGAGGCCCAGAAAGCATCAGTTACTCACCTAAGAATATTCCGTGAGTTGTTGGCAATACCTAGATTTGAGCCCAGATTTTCTGATTCCAAGTTTATTATTCTTCACTGATCTCTCCTTTCTTTTCCAAATCACAGAAATCAGATAACTGCTCTAGTGGAAATAAATTTAATGTCTCAAGATCCCAAAATATTTCTGGCTGATTCATCCCTGTGAGGCGAGGTCTCAGAAAAAAAAAAAAAAATCTGGCCGAGCATCAGGTTATTAAAGCTAATGATCCTTCCCATTTTGGACATGACAGACTAGAATAGGCTTAGCAGTCCCATTGTCATTGGGTCCAGGGAGTACTTCGGCCAATGTCTAAGCCTGTTTCTTTGCTCTCTGTGCTTCCTGCTCCCAGGCACACTATGACTTGGCCATCAGTGTTGCTTTGCAATGGCTGGATCCCTCAGAAGACTTAACTTGGCTGGAGTGGGAGGAACTGTAAGTTGAAGTAGGTTTGTTGCTTTCCTCTTTAATTTGTGCCTATGATTAATGATAGAGGAAGTTCCAGCCCTAACATCTTCCATCATGAGGCACTTTGATTTGAAAACACTACTGGGTGAATATCCCTCTTCAACGAGACACCTGAGGAACCTGAACAGTTGCCAACTTGAAGAAGTTACATGTTTCCATGTTTTGCATCTCTATACTAATTGACTTCAGTGAGATGAAAGACTTTCTTGCACAGAATGTTGTGTCTTAAGGGGCCGGGCGCGGTGGCTCAGGCCTGTAATCCCAGCACTCTGGGAGGCTGAGGCAGACTCATTACTTGAAGCCAGGAGTTCAAGACCAACCTGGACAATATGGTAAAACCTCGCCTCTATTAAAAATACAAAAATTCGCCTAGCGTGGTGGCGCACACCTGTACTCAGGAGGCTGAGGCAGGAGAGGAGAATCACTTGAACCCAGGAGGCAGAGGTTGCAGTGAGCCAAGATTGTGCCACTTCACTCCAGCCTGGGCAACAGAGTGAGACTCCATCTCAAAAATAAAGAATGCTCTGTCTTAGAAACATGACTGCTTTACTATGTACATGCCATGATTTAAAACAGTCAGTTCTATGGGTAAAGACTGTAACCTTTTCCTAAGGACTACCAAACAAATTCTTAAGCATTTAGGCAGACATGTATCTGAGCTGAGCTGTTTGAAGCGCAGAATAATTTTCTTTCTGGGATTACCAGCATTTTCTGTCATGTATAGGGAGTGTTCAGGCAGACTCACTCAATTGGTAAGAACACAGAACTAATGAGGACAGGATCAAATAGCTTATTCTGGAGGCCTGTTATTTTTTTTCTACTCAATGGCTCTGGACTACACACCTGATCCTAGAGAGTTGTAACAGTTAGGGTTTAGCTGTAATGACCAATTTGAAAATCCAATTGAAAATCCAATTTGAACAGCCTTAAGCAAAAAAGCTGGGGAGTAGATTTTATTGCCCTTGTATCTGAAAAGTCCATGGGTAGGACTGTGTTAGGCATGGTTTAATTCAAAACTCAAACAATGTCATCTGGATCTACCTCCTGACTCCATTTCCTCAGGGTGAACACCATTCCTAGTTTCAGCCCATTTCATTATCGGGGAAGGGT
This sequence comes from Homo sapiens, assembly GCF_000001405.40. NCBI lineage: Eukaryota > Metazoa > Chordata > Mammalia > Primates > Hominidae > Homo > Homo sapiens. The sequence goes on along the minus strand of NC_000002.12, from coordinate 208,181,821 downwards.
GGATATATTTTTTTTTAATCACCCAATTGTGTCTCAGTGGCTGTTACCTGGCTTGTCTAGGGTTGGACAGTGGCAGCGCAGGGGAGGTGGAATACGCTGACAGCTCAGTCCACAGTGTGTTTTTCATCTTTGGAATCTAGGGGTGTAGTCAGCTTCCCTAGAAGCATATAGGCTTACAGTGGGGTTAGGTAGTTCCCCCAAAGCAAATTGTCACAAGAAAGGGAAAGGATAATGGTTTGCAAAACCATCAACATCCACCACAGTGGCCAGTCTGCCAATCTTTGATTGCTGTGAAAACATGGATAGATGAGGCCAAATTCATCACCATTATTGGAAGATTAAAAATTCAAAGTGTGGATTTCACCGATGGAGGAACAATCATACCAATTTTATTAATATAAATAAGCAGATAGCACACAGCCATTGCAGATTACTTATCGATTATCATCACAACCTTAGCAGGCATCAAAAAGAACAAGAATAAATCTTCCACTTGTATTTCCTATTCCCCATTAGGAAAATACCACTCCATGGCAGACCCATATATCCAAATCGTAGAGAACGAGAAGCTATGATTTTATCATCTTATGCTGGAATCTTAATGGTAAGGAAAAGAATACTATCTGCCTATATGAATATTTCATATCTACTCTGAGCATTTTTACAGTAATGAATATTTACATTATTTTTCAACCAATGTTTCTAAATGTTTAGGAGTTATTGATAGTAAATGTTTCGTTTTTTAAAGTAATAAAAAGACTAACTTCTACACTGTATGTGAAAACATTTATTTAAGAGGCAAAGAAAAAAGAAAAGAATGAGAGACACAACTAATTGGTATCTGGAAAACTGATTTATCCATTGATCAGAAGTTATTTACTGTATTTAATACTTATGATACCCAAGCACAGTTTTAGACATACTGGAGCTATATTAGCTTTGTTTTATAATAAAAGAAAAGCCATGGTATGATCATACTTTGTTATTGCTGTTGTTGTTTAACAGAACAGTATCCCGATTGAGGAAGTCTTTAAAATTTATGGGGCTGATTCTTCTGCCGATTCTGGTACCATCAAGGTAAGGGTGACCTGGGATTGTCAATAGAAGGGATTTTTAGAGATAATTTATTTAGTGTATAAATGTATAATGTTGTATTTTCAGACATCAATTATGAAATAACAGTTTTACATCAAAATGTACAAAACCAGACATAACCATTTCTTACTTGAATAACGTGTGTGAAATGCCTTTCATATGTAAAAGACCATGCAGTAATAACAAATGTATCTTGTGTACGGCTGAGAAGGGGCAGCAATGAGTACCAGGCTTGGGGGCAAAACTTTACTCTGTTGTGGTTTTGTTTTTTTTTTTTGAGACAGAGTCTCACTCTGTCACCCTGGCTGGAGTATAGTGGTGCGATCTCGGCTCACTGCACTTCTGCCTCCTGGGTTCAAGGAATTCTCGTGCGTCAGCCTCCTGAGTAGCTGGGACTACAGGCATGCACCACCACACCCGGCTAATTTTTGTATTTTTTGGTAGAGATGGGGTTTTGCCATGTTGACCAGGCTGGTCTCAAACTCTTGGCCTCAAGTGATCTGCTTGCCTTGGCCTCCTAAAATACTGGAGTACAGGTATGAGCCACCATGCCAACCTCTGCTCTGTTTCTAATAAATGTAATTTTTCACGTACACTTTTTGTAATGTAGATCTGGTAGGTCCACACAGTTCCCTTCTATGATGTACTATATCTTCTAGAACTAGGACAAGATCCACAAGGCTCATTCTCATGACAAATTCCCTAGTTTACTGCTGATACATCTTCCTTTCCCACAACACTACTACATTTTTTAAAGACGGGTCTCACTGCTGGTCTCAAATTCCTGGTAATCCAGTAATCCTCGAAATCCTGGCCTCAGCCTCCTAAGTAGCTGGACTATAGGTGTGAGCTCCACTCTCAGCTCCTCCCATGAAACTACTTTGAAATCATTAACAGTAGAAGCAGCAATGACCTGGGAGTTCAGAGACCTGGGTTTGAGTTCTGACTCCACTACTATGAAACCCTAGATGCGTCCCTTTCCCCTTTCGGGCCTCCATATGACTGATCTTAAAAAAAAAAAAAGGGTGTTCTGAATAATTTTTAAGACCACTTCCATTTTTGCCACTTGTAAATGTATGAACATTAAGTAAACATTTAAATATGAACTGCTATTTAGAGGTGAACTACTGATCCCTTCACCTTTGGATACCTCCAGAAGAGGCAAGAGGAAAGGGAAGGTGAGGTGGCGAGGGCCATGCAGTGGGAGGGGGGAAGGGGGGCACCAACGTCCTCACGCCCAGGTCTTCTGCTCACACTGTGGCTTTCCCTGCCCCCACCTGGATTCAGAAGGGAGGGCAGGGCAGGGGCAAGGCTGTGGCCACAGGAATGCCTGCCTCCCTTATTCTTTTACTGCAGGTCATTGTGCAAGCAGTGGGGTCATGTAGAGTTCAAGAGCCCACCAGGTCCACCTTAGAAGTCAAGTGTTTACATTGAAACCAACTTTCCTATCACTTTAATCCATATGTAACCTGACTGTAGTCCTGAGACTCAAATGCCCTTGATCATTGTGAAAATCAGAACTTTCTCTCTGATCCCTCTAGTTTCAACTCACTTCATTCATTCACTCACTCATTCATTCACTCATCTGTTCATTCAGTATAATTGTAGGTGCAGGGGATACAGTGGTGAGCAAGTCAGACAAGATAACTTTTTAAAAACTTTTTTGCAGGCCGTTTGCAGTGGTTCATGCCTGTAATCCCAGAACTTTGGGAGGCCAAGGTGGGTGGATCACCTGAGGTCGGGAGTTTGAGACTAGCCTGGCCAACATGGTGAAACCCCAACTCTACTAAAAATACAAAAAATTTGCCAGGTGTGGTGGCGGTCGCCTGTAATCCCAACTACCAGGGAGGCTGAGGCAGGATAATCTCTTGAACCCGGAAGACGGACGTTGCAGTGAGCTGAGATCATGCCACTGCACTCCAGCCTGGACAACAAGAGCAGAAACTCCATCTCAAAAAACAATTAAAAAAAAATTTTAGGGATGGGGGTCTCCCTATGTTCCACAGGCTGGTCTTGAACTCCTGGGCTCAAGCGATCCTCCCACCTTGGCCTCCCCTAATGCTGGGATTACAGGCATGCATCACCACACCCAGCCAAGATTACTTTTCTTATAGATCTTATATCCTATATTGGAGCTTACCTTGTTTGAGATATAAGCCACCCCAGGCCTGACGCTCCTCAGAGATCAAGCTGTTCTTGGTTTTCAAAGAAAGCTCAGCTCTCTGTGTTCCTTGGATAGCCAAGCAAATCATACTGCTTTATTCCTGCTTGTCTTTTTCTGCAGCTTTCTCCCTTCTAGGCTGCCCTTTCTCCTTTTCCCCTACCCCTCAGCACATATACACACAAGCCTGAGCCCCAAACCCTTCTGTTTCAGTCACTGTTTTCTCCCTGTCACCTTCTGGTACCTGGGAGAGGTCTAGAAAGGCATCAGCACATCTGACTAGTTGGTCCCAACTCACATGGCTAAAAGACTAATATGGAAAAACACATCCTAGAGAGGATGGCACTGTGGACCCCTCCAGGTTTGGCTGGGTTATCAGTCAAGAAGGTTTGCAAACATGGGTGTCTGAGTAGCTCAGATAAATCAGGTTCATTTAAAGTTGCTAGAAGGCTGGGCGCGGTAGCTCATGCCTGTAATACCAGCACCTTAGGAGGCAGAGGTGGGTGGATCACCTGAGGTCAGGAGTTTGAGACCAGCCTGGCCAACACGGTGAAATCCTATCTCTACTAAAAACACAAAAAATTAGCGGGGCGTGGTGGTGCATGCCTGTAATCTCAGCTACTTGGGAGGCTGAGGCAGGATATCCTGGGAGGCAGAGGTTGCAGTGAGCCCAGATTGTGCCACTGCACTCCAGCCTGAGCAACAGAGCAAAACTCTGTCTCAAAAAAAATAAAAAATAAATAAATAAATAAATAAATAAATAAAGGTGCTAGAAGGGGAAGACAGGCCATGTAGAAGTGGACCAACCAATCTCTACCTATCCATCTGATCACTCATTTATTCATTAAAGAGCCTTTGTTCAGCACCTTCTCTGTTCAGTGACACATAGTCCCCATTCTCACAATCAGTGACAATAACCAGCTCTAAACAGAAAGAGATAATATTATCACAGAGGCTGACTTTTTTTTAAAGGCTTGTATTTGTTTTGTGTTTTAGTTTTTGTTTGTTTGTTTGTTTTTTTCTTGAGATGGAATTTCCCTATTGTTGCCCAGGCTGGAGTGCAGTGGTGCAATCTCGGCTCACTGCAACCTACGCCTCCCGGGTTCAAGTGATTCTCCTGCCTCAGCCTCCTGAGTAGCTGGAATTACAGGCATGCGTTACCACGCCTGGCTAATTTTGTATTTTTAGTAGAGATGGGGTTTCGCCATGTTGGTCAGGCTGTTCTCGAACTCCTGATCTCAGGTGATCCACCCACCTCAGCCTCCCAAAGTGCTGGGATTACAGGCGTGAGCCACCACGTCTGGCCGCTTGTATTTTGTTTATTGCTATGTGATGTGAATGATGGCTCGATTATATATATTATAATATATAATATAATGTATATTACATATACACATATATATGCACACACTATATATAATATATATGTATGTATATATATAAAATCGAGCCATTGATTACTATACTACTATATATGTATACATTATCTATATACGTATATGTATACATATGTATATAGTATATATGTGTACTATATCTGTATATATGTATCTGTATATATGTATATATGTATACATATACATTTCTGTATATATGTATACATATGTATACAGATATGTATACAGATATGTATACATATGTATACAGATATGTATACACAGATATGTATATATATACACCTATGTATACATATGTATATATAGTATATATATAGATATATTATCTGAGAGGCAGGTTGTGTAATGTTAAGCACTAGGATTCCAAAGCCTGGCCTCCTGGGTTTGAATCCCAGCTCCACACTTACAAGCAGAATAATTCTGGGCAAATGTTCTAACCTCTGTAATTCTCAATTTCATTTGTAAAAACAGGGACGCAAAGATGGGGTTGTCGTGGGAATGAAGTAAGTTAGAATCAGTGAAGCCCTTAGTGTTTGGCCCATGGTAACCTCCAAATAATAGCTTTAATTAAAGTTCTGCTACTCAGGGAATGGAGTTCTGGGGCTGTCCTGTGCATTGTGGGATGTTTCACAGCATCCTTGGCCTCTGCCCATTAGATGCAAGGAGCTTCTCGCCAGTTGTGACAAAAATGTCGGCCAGGTGCCGTGGCTCACGCCAGTAATCCCAGCACTTTGGGAGGCCGAGGCGGGCGGATCACTTGAGGTCAGGAGTTCGAGGCCAGCCTGGCCAACATGGTGAAACCCCATCTCTACTAAAAATACAAAAATTAGCCGGGTGTGGTGGTGGGCTCCTGTAATCCCAGCTACTCAGGAGGCTGAGGCAGGGGAATTGCTGGAACCCAGGAGGCAGAGGTGGCAGTGAGTGGAGATAGTGCCACTGAACTCCAGCTTGGGCAACAGAGGGAGACTCCGTCTCAAAAAAAAAAATGTCTCTAGACTTTGCCAAATGTCCCCAGGGAGGCAAAATCACATGAGATTGAGAACCACTGCTCTAAATATTCAAAAATTAAATAGCTAATCAAGCATCCACGTGTATTATTAACACAATGTAAACTTTGCCTCTTTTGGACAACCAGTGATCACAGAGGGCGTAATTTGAATTACCAATACAAGAGTCTAAGAGCCTGAGGATCTGCCCCGTGAGCCTCACAAGCTCCCCGCCTCCAGAACGCCAGTTCAGGCCTTACTCTTGGAGCTACACATCAGCTGCACACAGGGACTTTTGCCACATTTTGAATTAGGCATTAGCAGGACCTCTCGATAGCAATGTAGCATTTCAAAGACTGAACGGTAAACCTATTTTAAAAGAGTCTTTTGGAATTTAACATAATTTCAAAAAATGGTTTTAACTAGAGTTTTTTAAAAAAAAAAACGATATTGCAAGAGATTCTTCTTTAATTGCTACATATATCTGAATGATTCCTTCCGATAAAATGTCTCCTAAGCAACAGCTAAAATCCTTCCCAAGCAAAAGCTTAAAACTCTGTTGAATACTAATCAGATTATGAAGAATTTCCTGCAACTGGAATTGGCCGCATGACACAATATGGGTACTGTGCTAGGCTGGATGGCTTTCTCCGGGATTATGTGCTGCCACCTGATGGTAGAAAGGAGTCATAGGCGCGGGATTGCTCACCTACTCTGTTAGCCTCGGGTTCTCCCTCCTGAGAGGGAACTGCTTTTTGCTGATTGGGAGCTTTTTTCTGCTGAGGATTCTGGACTCATAGAAAAAATTCAACTAAAGACCTTACGCAAGTGAGAGTTATTGACAACTAGCCCCGGATAAATATAAAATGTCTTACTCATTTTTTTTTTAAGACAGAGTCTCACTCTGTCACGCAGGCTTGAGTGCAGTGGTGTGATCTTGGCTCACTGCAACCTCCGCCCCCCCCCCCCCCGGGGTTCAAGTGATTCTCTCGCCTCAGCCTCCCGAGTAGCTGGAATTACAGGTGCGCGCCACTGCGCACGGCTACTTTTTTTGAATTTTTAATAGAGACGAGGTTTTGCCACGTTGGCAGGGCTGGTTTTGAACTCCTGACCTCAACTGATCCACCCACCCCCCTCGGCCTCCAAAAGAGCTGGGATTACAGGCTGAGCCACCGCGCCCGACCATGTCTTATTCGATTTTAACCTGAAGAAAAGAGAACATAAATCTTCCTTCAACAAATCGAACAAAAATAAAAATATTCTTCAGCTCCATTTGATGGAGAAAGAGGGAGACAGAGAGAGTGGAAATGAGCACATCAGAAAGAGGAAAGAGACAAAGGCAGGTGGTCAGACAGCACTAGAACCTCTGCTTTCCTTCTTTCTTCATGCAGCCGGACCCCGGCGTCTGACTGGCTATCATTCGAGTCCATCCTAACTGACATCCAAGTCCAGGGCATGTCACAGGCAAACAGACTGATGTCCAGTCCCAGCTTTGTCACTTGCTAGCTGTGTGTCTTCGGATAAGTTATTTCTCTCTGATTCCCAATTTCCCCATATGTAAATAGGCATGTCTAAACAGGCATGATTACACTTACCCAAACACACCTGATCACTCTGAGGACTCAGTGAGACTGCACGTATCGAGCACACGATGGTGGCACCAGGGGACCTTCCATATTAGTGCTGTTATTTCCAAGTTCGCCCCCACTCGGGATGACCACCCTCCTTCCTCCTGATAGCAACCTGGTCCCTTCGTGATAGGCCTGGCTTCCACCCTCTCACACTTACTCCAGTAATTTGCCAAGCATCTTCTCTTTTTGGAGGATGCTGACTCAGACCGAATTGTGCAGAAATTTTAAAATGTTTTCATGATAAGGGGAGGGACCTATGTTTTAAACAAAAGTTCAATATTGACAGATCTTAATCATGAGGAATTGGCCAGGCGCAGTATCTGTAGTCCCAGCCCTTTAAGAGGCTGAGGCAGGAGAATCACTTGAGCCCAGGAGTTCGAGACCAACCTAGGCAACGTGGCAAAAACCTGTCTATACCAAAAAATACAAAAATTCGCCAGGCATGGTGTTGTGTGTCTACAGTCCCTGCTTCTTGGGAGGTCGAGATGGGAGGATCATTTGAGCCTGGGAGGTGGAGGCTGCTGGGAGCCAAGATCTCGCCACTGCACTCCAGCCTGGGTGACAGGGTGAGGCCCTGTCTCAAAAATTAATAATAATAATAGTAAATGAGGGATTAAAAACACACTTTCAATATTAATTGTGTCCAAATGAACACTTACCAATATATATTTAAAAGACAAAGACCAAGCAAACAAACAAATCCAAGTGTGTAAAATGGAACAGTATTAACAGCTTTAAAGCTCTCTGCATACCCTCTCCTGTCTCATACCCTTCCTTTCGCCCTAGGTTACCACTAGTTTGAATTATGTGTTGATTACTATCTTTTACTTCTTTATAGTTTTACCACATATGCATTTCTAATCTATATATTGTTTAATTTTGCACATTTTTTGAGTTTTGGTGTTTTGTTTTTGTTTTTGTTTTTTTGAGATGGAGTCTCGCTCTCTCGCCCAGGCTGGAGTGCAGTGGCACGATCTCGGCTCACGGCAAGCTCCGCCTCCCGGGTTCACACCATTCTCCTGCCTCAGCCTCCCAAGTAGCTGGTACAACAGGTGCCCACCACCACGCCTGGCTAATTTTTTTGTATTTTTAGTAGACACGGGTTTTCACAGTGTTATCCAGGATAGTTTCGATCTCCTGACCTTGTGATCTGCCCGCCTTGGCCTCCCAAAGTGCTGAGATTACACGCTTGAGCCTCCACACCCAGCCTTGAGTTTTTATAAATAGGATATTAGCAAATGTGTCATTTAATGTCTTTCTTTTTTCATTCAACATTATGTTTCAGAAACTTATTAATACTGCTGCACATAGCTAACATAGCTATAGTTTCTTTTCACTACATACAGTATTCCACTCTAGGAATATACCACAATGTTGTCATCTATTTTTCCATTTCAGGCACTTGAGTTTTTTTTTTTTTTTTTTTTTTTTGAGATGAGGTTTTAACTCTTGTTGCCCAGGCTGGAGTGCAGTGACGCAATCTCGGCTCACTGCAACCTCTGCCTCCTGGGTTCAAGCAATTCCCCTGCCTCAGCCTCCCGAGTAGCTGGGATTACAGGCATCCACTACCACACTCGCTTAATTTTTTTGTATTTTTAGTAGAGGCGGGGTTTTGCCATGTTGGCCAGGCTGGTCTTGAACTCCTGACCTCAGATGATTCACCCGCCTCAGCCTCCCAAAGAGCTGGGATTGCAGGCATGACCCACTGCGCCTGGCCAAGTTATCTCTTGCAAAAGCAAGAAGCATTGCACGGCAAAAGAGTTTCTGTATGGTATATGCCTAGGAATGAAATTGCTAAGCCATGGGTATAAGCATCTTCAACTCTCTACATAAAGCTAAACTGCTTTCCAAAATGGTTGTACCAATTCTATTTCTACCAGCAATGCAGGTTATCTATACTGGCTTTTTCAGTTTTGTCAGTCTGTTAAGTGTATTATGGTATTTCACTGTGGTTTAAATTTGCATTCCCCCTGATTACCAATGGACAACTATTCATATATTTCTTCCTCTGTAAAGTGCCTGTTAAAGACTTTGGGCCAGATGAGTGAACCAACAATTCTGCATTGGGTAGGCAGGGGGAACTGTGCCAGCAAGGGAGAGTGGGTGTGGGAGGACATCAGGATACATTTCTCGGAAGGGGTCATATTTGAGCTACATGATAAAAGAGAGGTAGGTGCCTCTAGGCAGAAAAGGAGGAAATGGCTATAAAGGGAACTATGTGAAGAGTGTCTGTGCATGACAGGGCATTCTAGGAAATGGGAACCAAGTACAGGAACAAAAGGCCATGTGTGCAAGTTCACGTTCATATACTTCACGTGCCCCATCAATGGACTGTGGACAGTGTGTCCGTTGGACAGTACTCAACAATTGGACTCAAGGATTCTGAGTTGATTAAATAGGCCAAATGCTGTGACTAGCAGGTGTTCATGCCGCAGATGATGGACAGATTTTAAAAGTAGGACTGTTTTCCTTTCAGGTTCCCCGAGTTTCATCTCTCTGCCTCTCCTTGCACCCCTTTGCCATGTTAACAGCACCCAAAGCAGCAGCATACGCCCGCAAACAGAGTAAGCCTGGTTACTTTCACCTGCTTAGAGGAATGTAAGTCAAACTAGGAAATTAGGAAGTAGGCTCACCAGGTAAGGTCAAAATTGTAATGGGAATTAGATTTCTATGTCTGGTTGAATTTAAAAGAACCAGGGGCTCTTAGGGCTTGATTTCCCTCCATTACTGAAATCAAGGAAGTCTTGTTTCTCAGATGCTTTGGTGATGGGAGCAAAGCACTCCAAAAGCAAAGGATCTAAAACTGTGAGTGGGCTGGCTCACACTGGTAATCCCAGCACTTTGGGAGGCTGGGCTGGAAGGATCTCTTGTGTGCCCAGAAGTTTGAGACCAGCCTGGGAAACTTAGTGAAACTTCATCCCTACAAAAATAAGCCGGGCACAGTGGCTCATGCCTGTAATCCCAGCACTTTGGGAGGCCGAGGCGGGCAGATCACCTGAGTTCAGGAGTTTGAGACCAGCCTGGCCAACACGGTGAAACCCTATCTCTACTAAAAATACAAAAATTAGCTGGGTGTGGTGGTAGGCGCCTGTAATCCCAGCTACTCAGGAGGCTGAGGCGAGATAATCGCTTGAATCTGGGAGGCAGAGGTTGCAGTGAGCTGAGATTGCGCCACTGCACTCCAGCCTGGGCAACAAGAGTGAAACTCCATCTCAAAAATAAATAAATAAATAAATAAAATAGCTGGCCATGGTGGCACCCTCCTCTAGTCCCACCTACTCAGGAGGCTGAGTTGGGAGGATTGTTAGAGCCCAGGAAGTGGAGGCTGCAATGAGCCGTGATGGAACCACTGCACTCCAGCCTGAGTGACAAAGTGAGACCCTGTCTCAAAAATAATTAATTAGTGAAATGAAATTAAATGAAACTTTGGATGGACACATTTTTAAAAAAGTTTTATATACAGATATGGTTACTGCATCTGTCTGTAGGTGTCAAGTCAAGAAAGGTAACAACAAATAAAAATGCCACCAGCATCTCTGCAAAGGAAGCAAATGCCACAGAATGGAAATCATCACAAAGGTTTTCAGACACACAGCCAAAGCACAAAGTAGGTGTGAGATTGTAAATTGGACCAAACTGATACCAGCTATTTTGGGAGTACTTTCCTGATACCGTGGTTAAAAGTCTAGCCTTTGGAGTCAGGTGCTCTGGGTTTGAATCTAGAGCCGACTGCTTACCAGCTATGGGACATCAGGCAAGATACTTAAACTCTCTGTGCCTTAGTTTCCTCATCTGCAAAATGGAAGAATAATGATATCTACCTCTTAAGCTTGTTGGGGTGATTAACTGAGATTATTCATGTTAAAAGGTTAGAACAGTGCTTAGCATGGAGTAAACCCCAAATAAATACTAGCTATTATTATCTTTTCAGCATTTGAAAAATACTATCCACAAGTTAATTGGCTGTTACTCTGTTGATGCAAATAAGCATGTTGAGGAGAAAGTTTGTATTAATTTCTGTATCCCAAATGTTTCTATCCTTGATCCCTCTCTCAGCAATAATAATTTTCTTTTTTCCTGCTTAAAGTCTCCCCTGCTCCTCCCCTGTCCATCTGATTCCTGATTTATTTGTGGTGGAATTCAGAGAATGGTCGGAGATGGACAGGGTTGGAAAGAAAGGAGAAAGGGAGGAGGGCTCTTTGTTCTTCCAGCTCTGGGCTCTCAGCTGTAATGTGCAAAGTGAAGAGAAAATTTAAGAAGTCAGAGAGACTTCTCTGATCAACAGAATAAAAGCTGAGCGGGGAGAGAATCAGAAAAGTGGTACAGGGTGGGTGTCTGGGATTCTGGGATATTTTAGAGTTTTGTTGAATGAGAGATGTTAGATATGCTGGAAGGCTGTAAGGTAGAAAACGGGGAAGGGAACTTTGAGAACTGATATACTGACTTATGATTGGGTTTGCATCAGGAAACAAGTGACAATTTAAATTTTATTTTTATTTAGTTTGGCTGTTGTACCATGCATTTTTAAATTGAATCTCTGAATAGACTGGACTACATGAGGCTTAGGATTTATTCAGATTTCAGAGGCAAACTGTCTTCTCTGTCCCTTATATCTGATTAATTAGAAATGTAACCTTATCATAGCAACTGCTTTAGGAACTGATTGAATTCTTTGGTCATATCAGGGTTTTAATAAATGTTATTCTGATAACAGAACAACTGCACTATTTGGGGAAATTATCACCATATTCAATTTTCCTTCAAACATATTTGCTATAATAAGATTTGAAGGTATTAGATTTTCTTTTCTTTTTTTCTTTTCCTTTTTTTTTTTTTTTTGAGACAGAGTCTCACTCTGTCACCCACACTCGAGTGCAATGGCACAATCTCAGCTTACTGCAACCTCCACTTCCCGAGTTCAAGCGATTCTCCTGCCTCAGCCTCCCGAGTAGCTGGGATTACAGGTATGCACCACCACACCCGGCTAATTTTTGTATTTTCAGTAGAGGTGGGGTTTCACCATGTTGTCCAGGCTGGTCTCAAACTCCTGCCTCAGCCCCCCAAAGTGCTGGGATTACAGGCGTGAGCCACTGTGCCCGGCCGAAGGTATTAGACTTTCTAGAACCATATCTTTGTTTCTGAAGAATTTTTTGAAGAATTTGAAAAATGAGGTCATTTTTTATACGTGTTTGGAAGCAGCAAGTTTTAGAGAGCAAAACAAAACAACAATGAAAAAACAGTAACAACTCCAAAAATCACACACACACACACACACACACACAATCTAGACTTTAAACTTAATCACACACACACACAAAAAGATCTCTGAAACAGGGGTTTATAGACACCCCCCGCAAGCCTCATCAATGGACCCTATGTAAGGAAAACCTACCTCTAAAGATTACTCATTGGTATCTTATTTTTAAATATAATTTTGTTCCATATATATTTTCTTCCACAACCAATGAAGATTTTTTGATTCTTGATGGAAGCATATCTTTTATTTCCTTAGTATTTCTCACATGTATATAAAGTACTTCGCAGGCAGCAGAGATTCAGTAACAATTTTTATTTAGTGAATTGGCAGTAGGTAGTAAGCGAATAGTCCTTAGGTGACGGTTCTCAAATCTCTGTGCCCTGTCTATAGTGATCAAAGGCTCAGTTCTGGGGACCAGACCTTTCTATAGGCTGATTGATGCTTGCGAGCCCAGGAGTGTCGAAAGAACAAATGCCCATGTTTTAGTAGGGCCCCAGGTCCTGAGATGAATCCCTTCCAGAAAAGCCCTTTCTTAATAATCAAGCGACAGAAAACTCGTTTGTGTTTTTTCTTTCACACTTTATTATTTGTGCACTTTAGGCATTTTTTCCAACTCTTTTTTTTTTTTTTTTTTGAGACGGAGTCTTGCTCTGTCGCCCAGGCTGGAGTGCAGTGGCGCAATCTTGGCTCACTGCAAGCTCCGCCTCCCGGGTTCACGCCATTCTCCTGCCTCAGCCTCCCGAGTAGCTGGGACTACAGGCGCCCGCCACCACGCCCGGCTAATTTTTTGTATTTTTAGTAGAGACGGGGTTTCACCGTGGTCTCGATCTCCTGACCTCGCGATCTGCCCGCCTTGGCCTCCCAAAGCGCTGGGATTACAGGCTTGAGCCACCGCGCCCGGCCCAACTCTTGGGTAATGTATCTTTTAAACTAGTTTTAAAAATTTTAATAGTGTACACACTTATAAGTAAAATTTTCAAGCCAGACAAAAAATATAAAATGAAAAGCAAAAGAACTCCCTCTTCTTCACACCCCTGTCCCACTTTTCAGAAATAACCACTGTTAATATTTCTTATGGTATTTAATTATTTGCTACACATATACATATAAACATACATATATGTATGTCTCACTGGTTTGTTAGAATTCTTTCTATATTAAAGGAATAAGTATTTTATTAAATGGATGAAAAACATGCTTTCACAGCTTGGTATTTGAAGAAGATTTTCATTTTAAATATTTGAGCTTACTGTTTTTCCTTTTTGGCTTGCAGATATTATATGTCTTTTAGCTGAAGAACAATTTTTTTAACCTCAAGATAAAACAATGCCTTATTCAGAATTTTTTATTTATTTCCAGCCACCGAATTTCTTCATAGAGTAAGAGAAAAGAGGAAATTATTAAAAAAAAAAAAATCACAGCCAGGCACGATGGCTCATGCCTATAATTCCAGCACTTTGGGAGGCCAAGGAGAGCAGATTACTTGAGGTCAGGCATTCAAGACCAGCCTGAACAACATGGCAAACCCCATCTCTACTAAAAATACAAAAATTAGCTGGGTGTGGTGGTGCACGCCTATAATCCCAGCTACTAGGGAGACTGAGGCATGAGAATTGCTTGAACCCAGGAGGCAGAGGTTGTACTAAGCCGAGATTGCACCAGCGCACTCCAGCCTGGGCAACAGAGCGAGACTCTGTCTCAGAACAAACAAACAAACAAAACCCTCAGTGTTCTGGGAAACAGTTTTTTGTTTGTTTGTTTTTTGTTTTTTTTGAGACAGAGTCTTGCTTTGTTGCCCAGGCTGGAGTGCAGTGGTGTTATCTCGGCTCACTGCAACCTCTGCTTCCCGGGTTTAAGCGATTCTCCTGTCTCAGTCTCCTGAGTAGCTGGGATTACAGGTGTGCACCACCACACCTGGCTAATTTTTGTATTTTTAGTAAAGATGAGGTTTCACCATGTTGGTCAGCCTGGTCTTGAACTCCTGACCTCGTGATCCACCCACCTCAGCCTCCCAAAGTGCTGGAATTACAGGCATGAGCCACCGCGCCCGGCTAGGAAACAGTTTTAAAGATTTTTTTTTTAAATTGCATTGTCCTAGGAAAGCGTCAGTAGTGGGCACATTACTAGGAAGTAAATTTGGAATGAACACGACCATACTAAAGAGCTAGAATACAGCATACTTCTTGAATCCAGGCTACCCACTTAATAACTTGAGTGAGTTACCTAATCTCTCTGTGCTTTTAGTTTTTCATCTCTTTAAAAAGTCATAATAGTACCTACCTCATAGGGTTGTTATAAGCATTAAATAAGTTATATGTGTAAAGGCTTAGAAAAGTGTCAGGACAGGCCAGGCATGGTGGCTCACGCCTGTAATCCCAGCACTTTGGGAAGCCGAGGCGGGCGGATCACGAGGTCAGGAGATCAAGACCATCCTGGCTAACATGGTGAAACCCCATCTCTACTAAAAAATAGAAAAAATTAGTTGGGCGTGGTGGCGCCTGTAGTCCCAGCTACTTGGAGGCTGAGGCAGGAGAATGGCATGAACCCAGGAGGCGGAGCTTGCAGTGAGCCGAGATCCCGCCACTGCATGCACTCCAGCCTGGGTGACAGAGTGAGACACCGTCTCAAAAAAAAAAAGTGTCAGGACAGTGGCAAGCAATAATATAATCGCTCTCTTCATCACCACTCATGAGAAATTCATGCTATCATGAAAGGAAATGAGACATAGAGAGAGGACAATTTAAATTTAAATCCAAAGCAATACATCAGAAATTCAAAATAATATCCTACAAGCATAATACATAACTGCTAAAAGGCCAAAAACTGATTTGCTTTGGGTAGGATTGGTTAAGAGAAGTATAACTTTTTAATGTAAAAATAATTTCAAACTTAGAGAAAATTTGCAAGAATAATATACAAAGAACCCACGTATTCCTTTTATACAGTCACGAATGGTTAATGTTTTGTTCTGTTAGCTTTATTATATTCTGTCTTTGTCTCTCTGTATATAGATAAAGATATATAATTTTTTTCTGAGCCATTAGAAGTTATGTATATATACTCTACCACTTTACTCTATGTACCTCTGTGTGTATTTCTTAAGAACAAAGTAATTCTCTTAAATAACCATAGAATAGTTATCAACTTCAGAATATCTATTATTGGTACTTTTATTTAATGTACTCTCTATACACCAATTTTGTCAATTGACCCAATAATGTTCTTTTTAAGCATTTTTTTCCTTCTGTATAAGATCCAGTATGGGATCACATATTGCATTTAGTTGGGAAATATAACTCAATTTCCAAATATATCAGAATAATTCCATGAAAATTCCTTTGTAATTACATTAATCTAATCTATCTTTGTCAGTAAGTTAGTATCTGATATTTGACCTTAACTTCCTATAGACTTAAAGTAATGTCTGTGTCCATGTTAAATTGATGTGCTTGATACCAAAATCATCTTTTATTCTGCAGGTCACTTAGAAAATTGGAATTGTACCATGGAACTTCATAATAGATTCTCTGGGAGCAGACGAGAAGCATCATCTTAAAACCACAGCTCTTGCCAGTACATTTTTCTTTACAACTGTTTTTGGTACAACTGCACTGAAGTGTTATTTTTGATGTTGAGCTTTCTTCTTTTAGAAGCATATTGCATGGCTACATTTTCTTAAAAAAAAAAACTGTGACCTTATGCTACTTCATTGTGACTGGAAGACTGCTGGAGAATTCAGAAAGTATATAGTATTTCTGTGTTAGAGCAAGCTGGCTTTGTAGCACATTTTACAAATGTGTGGCATTGAATATTGCACAGTGATGGAGTGGGAGGCAGATTTCCAAAGAGTTAATCCAAAATAAAATTAATCTGTCATTGATTGCCTTTACTGTGTTCTCATATGAAAAGAATGTTTAAATCATTTCAATAAAGCATTAAAAAAATGAATACAGGCTTTCTCTCAGTAGACTATAATGACTACTAGGAGGGAAGATGTTCTGGTCTTTTAGTACCTTTCCAAAATGCTGATTAGGCACATGGCTTAGCCTATCAATGTATGTAATAACAACTTGATCACATGAATGTCAGTACACATAATACATTTCTTAAGGTTTTGGTGTGCCATCTGTCTACAGAACAGTTTTCATCAGCATGTACAAAAACACAGATGGAGATTGTAGACTTTTTCTGAAAATGGTGGTATATTCTCATGTGGGGCTGGGAGACCAATGCAGCGTTTTCCACACTGGGTTTGATTATGGTTCTAAGATTTACCAGTAAGCCTGCAGCTAATTAGGGGGAGGCAAAGGAGGGAATCAGCAACTTGCGGTCCCTGCATGCACTGCTAGGTGTTTAGCTTCATAGGACTTCACCCAGTTTTCTTTTGCCTAGCTCTGCTAGTTATGAGGAAACATTTTTTTCTCGGTAGCTACTGCTGTCTCTCCTTTTACCACCTGCGCGTTTGCCTTACATGCTGCCTGAGGATTTTCACAAATGACATTGTGAATGTGTTGCTAGCTGTGGTCAAATACTCTTTTAGAATCCCTCGGTGGGTCTAAAGCACAAAGGTGTTTGATTTCATCTTCCTACATACATGTGGAATGACAAAAGACAGTCTGGGGTTTGGAGTCTTCCTCCACACTTGCACATCTGAGGAGTACTTCTAAATCAATAAGTTGGCAGCAATGGAGAAGGCTGTTAGGCAGTCACTTGGGTTCAATGAAACAGTGATACTATTGAAAGGAAAAACACAGGCAAATCATCACGCTAATTTTAAAAAATAAAAGCAATGCTAGAAGGAGGGTGGCAGGGGGAGGGGAGTGAAATGTTCCTGTGTATTTTTCTGCTCTTCGAGCCTCTCACAGATTCTCAGGGTTTCTTTTTATTTTTAGCTCAAGAAGTGTTTAATCTCTTGATTAAATATACCTGCTTCCAGTATTTACTGCTTTTCACCAGCACCTCAAAGTCATACATTTAAAGATTGATTTTATTATTTTTTCATCTCATGAAATTGTTATATTTATAATCGAATTTTTTTTTCTGTCTGGCTGAAGATGGCAGATATAATAGAAAATTAAGAAAACAGCAGCAAAAAACAAAATATAACAACATAAAGCTAAGATCTATAATCTTGCCATTCATTGATTACCATGATTGATATGTTGGTATAGTACACACTTCTAATCTTATGTTTTCCCTACATAAATATAGGCAAAATATTTTTATCAAAACCCTATCATACTGATGAAGTCACTTAAGAAATATAATTGTCTTTCAATTAGAGGATTTTCTGTCTGGGATTTTTTTTGTTGCCTCTTCACACTTCAAGTCCTTCTGGAACGCATGTGTTCTCATAAGTGACCTCAGATGGAACCACCAACCTCCATCTCAGCAGTTTCCATAGGCAAACATTGCAGAATGCTGGGCATGTAATGCATTTCTAGTGAGCTGCATAGGATGAGAAGTGTGCCCTTTGTCTCCAAGGTCATAATGGCTCTGCTGACTTTAATACCTTTCACTGGAGCTAGTGAGGACAACTCGAAAATGCCAGAAAGAGAGAGAGCCCACTGCCCCATGATCTCAAATGAAAAAAAAAAGAGAATACAGAAATCCCCCTACGCACCACCCCCAGGTCCCTTTTGTGTTGTTTTTGCCAACACAGCAGCTTCCCTGCTATATATACCAGTTGCCCCTTTGTCCCTATCATACTAGATGCTAATCACCCTCTGTCAACAACCATGGGGAAGGTGAGCCTGTGGAGGTGCTGTGCCATGTCTATTGGGGGTCTGTGGTGTGTGGGGATGTTCCTTCCAGCTGACTGTCTACTGTCACCTTATTTCTACCTCAGATCACCTTCTACGAGGACCGAGACTTTCAGGGTCGCTGCTACAATTGCATCAGTGACTGCCCCAACCTGCGGGTCTACTTCAGCCGCTGCAACTCCATCCGAGTAGACAGCGGCTGCTGGATGCTCTATGAGCGTCCCAATTACCAGGGCCACCAGTACTTCCTGCGCCGAGGCAAGTACCCCGACTATCAGCACTGGATGGGCCTCAGCGACTCGGTCCAATCCTGCCGTATAATTCCTCATGTGAGTCTTGCTTCAACTTGACTGATGTGAAAGCATCAATGATCCATGGCCATCAATTCCTGTTTATAAAAGTCAGTTTGTTCCAACACAGGATGAGTGTTCACAGTAAGAATAGCAAGGCCTGACCCTCAAACATATATAAAAAAAAAAAGTAACAATAATCTCTATTTTTCTTACTTAAGGACATCATTTTAGGGCATGGGAAATCACAACATAGCCTTTAAATTAAACTTGGTAACATCTAGGTGATCCCTAATTTCTACATAAAAGTCACCTTATTCAGTAGTAAAAAAAAAAAAAAAGAAAGAAAGAAAAAAAAGAAAAGTCTATCTAGTTTATCTAGATAATTTTTTTTTTTGAGACAGAACTTCGCTTTCGCTCTTGTTGCCTAGGCTGGAGTGCAATGGCACAATCTCAGCTCACCACAACCCCTGCCTCCCAGGTTCAAGCGATTCTCCCGCCTCAGCCTCCCTTGTAGCTGGGATTACAGGCATGTGCCACCATGCCCAGCTAATTTTGTATTTTTAGTAGAGACAGAGTTTCTCCATGTTGGTCAGGCTGGTCTCGAACTCCCGACCTCGGCCTCCCAAAGTGCTAGGATTATAGGAATGAGCCACTGCGCCCGGCCATGATAATTATTTTTTAATGATGAAAAGTTAACAGACTATGAGATAACAATATAGGTATAATGTATTCTGACTGCATTGGAAATTTTTTTCACTACATTCTAGGACTTACTAGAACCTAGGAAAATATGTTTCAACTTGTGTGGATTTATAATTTCCAGGAGTCATTATCAACTAGTTTCTTATAAATATCAGAGACACACAATTGATTAGGATTTCATAGAACATGGTCCTCATCAAAATGCTGCTTAATCTTTTTTAATCACGTGCAGCATGTATTTACACTTTCTGTTGGCACCAAATTATGTAGTGTGACAAGGAGATTCAAGAATTGAAATCACGGCCAGGCTCAGTGGCTCACGCCCGTAATCCTAGCACTTTGGGAGGCTGAGCTGGGCAGATCACTTGAGGTCAGGAGTTCAAGACCAGCTTGGCCAACATGGTGAAACCCTGTCTCTACCAAAATACAAAACATTAGCCAGGCATGGTGGTGCATGCCTGTAGTCCTAGCTAAGCAGGAGGCTAAGACAGGAGAATTGCTTGAACCCAGGAGTCGGAGGTTGCAGTGAGCCGAGATCATGCCACTGCACTCCAGCCTGGTGACAGAGCGAGACTTCGTCTAAAAAAAAATAAAAAAATAAAAAAACAAATTTAGGCCAGAAAAATTTGCAGATGCGCAAAGAGGTATAAATAAAATAGGCATTTCTCTGGGGCAAGAAACCCAAATGGCACAAGTGACTTGGCAAAATGTCACTTGAAAATACATGTGGACTCAGTGTAAATATAAATCACTGTAAATTATAAGTGCAAAAAGTGACTCAAAAACAAGCTTGATAAGACTCAATTATATGGAGTCAAAATGGAAATGAGAGTTGAAATCCTCACTACAGACTCACTGACTACAATTGTATTGATGATTGCTTACAAAGAACACACTTTTATTCCCTGTATTTTAATGTTTGTTTCTTCCACAACATCTCCAGTTCATTGATCAGGTCAGATTCGTTTTAATATTTTCCCTAATTTGTTAGAATAACAACATTGAAAGTGGGTTCAGGGGAGAAACACTTTATCAACTGGTTTAAAAAACCATGTTTCAAACCAGGTGCAATCCCAACATTTGTAATCCCAACATTTTGGGAGGCCAAGGTGAGAGAATCACTTGAACCCAGGGATTCAAGACCAGCCTGGGCAATATAGTGAGACTCCCTCTCTACAAAAAAATTTTTAAAAATAAATTAGCCGGGTGTCACAGTGCACACCTGTGATCCCAGCTACTTGGGGGGCTGAGGTGGGAGGATTACTTAAGCCCAGGAGGTGAAAGTTGCAGTGAGCAGTGATCCTGCCACTGTACTCCAGCCTGGGCAACACAGCAAGACCTTTATCTCAAAAATAAAATAAAAGCCATGCTTCATGAAGATGCAGACTGATTGTGTCACTTTCGTTGACACCCAAGGATGCATGCTGTTTATTTTTGTTCTTTTGTTTATTGCCATGACAGACCAGCTCGCACAAGTTAAGGCTGTACGAGAGAGATGACTACCGAGGCCTTATGTCTGAGCTCACTGATGACTGCGCCTGTGTTCCAGAACTGTTCCGTCTCCCTGAGATCTATTCCCTCCACGTACTGGAGGGCTGCTGGGTCCTCTATGAAATGCCCAACTACCGGGGGCGGCAGTATCTGCTGAGGCCTGGGGACTACAGAAGGTACCACGACTGGGGGGGTGCAGATGCCAAAGTCGGCTCTTTGAGACGGGTCACCGATTTGTACTAAGCTGTGCCTGCCTTGTTGTGATCCCCATAGAAACATAATAAATATACAAGTTGTGTTCCCTGCACTAAGTGGCTCTTGTTTATCTTTATTTATTTATTTTATAATTTGTTTTGTTATGGAGTCTTGCTCTGTCACCAGGCCAGAGTGCAATGGCGCTATCTCGGCTCACTGCAACCTCCGCCTCCCAGGTTCAATCAATCCTCCTGCCTCAGCCTCCCAAGTAACTGGGATTACAGGCATGCACCACCACACCCGGCTAAGTTTGTAGTTTTAGTAGAGACGGGGTTTCACCGTGTTGGTCGGGCTGGTCTCAAACTCCCGACCTCAGGTGATCCGCCCGCCTCGGCCTCCCAAAGTGCTGGGATTACAGGCGTGAGCCACTGCGCCCAGCTGAAGAGAGGAGCTCTAAAGAGAACTTCCACGTGGAGAAGGGCAAGCCTGCTTCACTAGGCAATCTGGTAGCAAAAGTGTTAAACCAAGAGTTAAACAGCCTACCTCTGCTACTTACTAGTAGAGTAACCAACCCAGCCCAATTTTCCAGGGACTCTCCCAATTTTAGCACTTGAAGTCTTCTATCCCAGAAAGCCCCTCAGTGTCAGGTGAACCCAAATGGTTGGTTACCCCACTTCCTAGCTTATCTCTTTGAGCACGTCACTTTGTACCATCTCTGTGCCTAAATTACCTTACTGAAAACTGTAAGTAATAATAAATTCTTGCTTCACTAAATCCCAGGATAATCACAATGAAATGATGGGAAAAGATTGTGAGCAAATTTTGTTACCTTTAAATTATTATACAAATGTAAGAATTTAATATATCCACAGTGTCTTCTAAAATTCAGTATCACAATGTGGTCACCTTCTGTTGGACTCCAATATGAATTTTTATCAAGACTAAATTACTGAAGACTCTGGCTGGGCACAGTGGCTCACGCCTATAATCCCAGCATTTTGGGAGGCCACAGTGGATGGATTGCTTTAGCCCAGGAGATCAACACTACCAGCCTGGGCGACAACGTGAGACCGTGTCTCTTTTAAAAAAATAATAATAATAAAAATAAAAATAAAGGACTCAACTATATGCAGAGTGAGTGATTAATGTTTGCTATCCTACATATCTCTGTGATTTTTTTCCACTATAATAGAGCTGCACGTTCTTTGTATATGAATTTTACGTTAGTGGAGTTCTTTATGAAACAAAAAGCAAGATGAGATACTACTTCACATTTACTAGGATGGCCATAATCAAAAAGAAAGCTAATAATGTGTTGGTGAGGATGTGAGAAAATTGAAAGTCCCATACATTGTTGGTGGGAAAAAATGTAACAAAAAACAAAGTAAAATGATGTGCTGCTTTGGAAAATAGTCTGGCAGTTCCTCAGAAGGTTAAACATAGCTGGGCGCAGTGGCTTGTGCCTGTAATCCCAGCACTTTGGGAGACCAAGGCAGGCGGATCGCAAGGTCAGAAGATCGAGACCATCCTGGGTAAGACGGTGAAACCCTGTCTCTACTAAAAATACAAAAAAATTAGCCGAGCGTGGTGGTGGGTGCCTGTAGTCCCAGCTACTCAGGAGGCTGAGGCAGGAGAGTTGCTTGAACCCGGGAGGCGGAGCTTGCAGTGAGCCAAGATTGCACCACTGCACTCCAGCCTGGGCGACAGAGCGAGACTCCATCTCAAAAAAAAAAAAAAAAAAAAAAAAAAGGGGGAATTAAGTATCTGTCGGTGCGGTGGCTCATGCCTGTAATCCCAACACTTTGAGAGGCTGAGGAGGGGGAATCATGAGGTCAGGAGTTCAAGACCAGCCATGGCCAACATGGTGAAACCCCGTCTCTACTAAAAATACAAAAAATTAGCCGGGCGTAGTGGCGGGCGCCTGTAATCCCAGCTACTCGGGAAGCTGAGGCAGGAGAGTTGCTTGAACCTGGGAGGTGGAGGTGGCAGTGAGCCAAGATCGTGCCACTGCACTCCAGCCTAGGAGACAGTGTGAGACTCTGTTTCAAAAAAAAAAAAAGGGATTAAGTATCAACTCATGTTACAATATGGTGAACTTTTGAAACATGCTATCTGAAAAAAACCCATTGGAGATTGCATGTTTTAAAATTCCATTTTTATGAAATTTCCAAAATAAGCAAATAGACAATGAAGATTAGTGGTTGCCTAGCGCTAGGGTGGAAAAAGGGAGCGGTAACTGGGGAGAAATAGGGAATGACTGCTAACGGGTAAAGGATTTTTTTTGGGGGGTGATGATAATGTTCTGAAATTGATTCTGGCATTGGTTGAACAACTCTGTAAATACACAAATAGCCACTAAATTGTACACTTTTAATTGGTGATTTGTATGGTATGTAAATTTTATCTCAAATAAAAAATATTGAGCTGCAATTCCGGAATGTTAGTTTTTTTCCCAAATTTATATAAGCAAAAATAATGCTCTGTCCCAGTTGACTTTTTTGTAAAAATTGATAAGCTGATTTTAAAATCCATATGGAGTTGCAAGGGACCCAGAATAGCCAAAACAGCCTTGAGAAAGAACAAAAAGCAGGAACATTCACACTTCCGAATTTCAAAATTTACCACAAAACAATGGTAATCACAATAGTGGGGTGCTAGCATAAGGACAGACATATAGACAGAATAGAATTGCAAATTTAGAAGTAAACCTATATGTCTATGTTCAACTGATTTTTTTTTTATTTTACATACCCCTGGGTGGAGATTTATCAACTGATCTTTGACAAAGATGCTAAGACCATTCAATAGGGAATAAATAATCTTTTTAATAAACAGTGCTGGGACTACTGGATATCCACATGCAAAATGAAGCTGGACCCCAATCTCACACCATACATAAAAATTAACTCAGGGCCAGATGCAGTGGCTGATGCCTGTAATCCTAACACTTTGGGAGCCTGAGGCTGGTAGATTGCTTGAGCCCAGGAATTTGAGACCAGCCTGGGGAACATGGCAAAACCCTGTCTCTAACAAAAAATACAAAAAATTAGTCGAGTGTGGTGGCACACACCTGTAGTCCCAGCTACACAGGAGGCTGTGGTGGGAGGACCGCTTGAGCCCAGGAAGTAGAGGTTGCAGTGAGCTGTGGTCATGCCACTATACTCTAGCCTGAATGACAGAGCAAGACCCTGTCTCAAAAAACAAAATAAAACAAAACAAAAAACAAAAGAAAAGGAAGAGAAAAGAAATCAGCCTTCCACCAATTAATAAATTGGCCAATCCACTAGAATATATTGGAATTCCTGTTAAAGCCCAAGATGCACAGAATTCATAGGGATTGAACAGGTTATTTGGGTGCAGACTTTGTGGAAATTCAAAAAAAAAAAGCATGACAAAGGAACTACTATGACAAGTGTATAATTTAGAGAAGATATAAGATATGCACACCTGAAGAGATAACATCTAAAACAAACCATCAGTGTATGAAGAGACAATTAGCTTAGGCCTTGAGGTAGATGGACTTGAGTTCTATTCCCAGTTCTTTCACTCACTAGCTATGTGTAACTTTCGGATTCTTTTCTCCCTAGTGATCAGTACTGTGATTAGCGTTGGTGGACCAGGACCCCCAGACTGGACTGGGTGCTTCAGAGAACTTCCCTCTGGTTTCCTGTAGCTGAACTCTTCCCAGTGGGGCAGGAATTTGTGGGGCCATGGGACATCCCCACACCTCTCCTTCTAGACCACACTCTTTATACCTGGATCTTCAAAATTCCCTCCACTTAGACCCAGGATCACTTCCAAGACTTAAGAGGGAGTCTTCCCCAGACCTATCCTCCCGGGCACGCTGATAGCCACAGGCTGCTGTTTGAGGAGGGGTCATATGGATAGAACTTGGACATGTGAGAGAGTGAGGAGAAAGGAGGGTACTTCATGGAGTAGGGAGGGGCTCTATTTATGCTCTAGGCATAATATCTTTCAAATATTAGGGGTAGTCCTGGTGTTAATTGGACTGAGTTGGCTACATGTTGCAGCTTGTATAAGATTCCTGGTACAACGTCTGGAACATACTAGACACTCATGACACAGTAGGCTATTATTAAGTATTATTATTTTTATCATTGTGACCCAAATGAGTGCTCCAAAGTTTGCTGCAGGTTCAGTCCTACCCACTTAAGCAAAGGCAGACGTGGCATAGTTCAGCAGGGTCATGTCAATGATGCAATGATGTACTGATGAACTCAGGAGGCTTCATGTGGAAGACATGTAGCTGGTTATCAGAGAGCCAGGAAAAGAAGTCTGCAAAAGCTACAGGAAAAATCAGATTATAAGCTATAATATTTGTGTGTGGGGAGGGGAGAGAGGGTAATGAAGTTTCCCACTGAGGCCTCTAAAAGACCTCAGTTAACTTTAATGGCTTCTAAATGAATGACTGTTTTTGGAAAAAGTCAGGGTTTTGTTAGATCCATTCAAATATTTTGATATACAAGCTTGTATTAACCATTCTAGAGGACCTTAAATGGGTGAATTTTTCTGATTTAAATAAGGCCTGTATTTTTTAAGGAAAAGTTTTGCACTTATTTTTAAAGGAAAAAAGCTTGTGTATAACTTTAGAGTTAAACTCAGTATTCAAATCCTCGGATAAAAGGCTCCGGCATTGTCTTCACTCCCCATTCTGATGACACAAAGAGATATTATCAGCCAACAAAGCACATTTTGCTGCATTCAAGACCCAATGTCTCTTTCCATGGACCCATCCATCTTCCAAAATACAAGGAAGTGGCTGGGAATCTCTTTCATCATTTCCCTTCACAAAAATGCTGCTTATCACCTTTTCTTTTTCATTTTCACACTCTTGGTCAGCCCACCTCTCCTGTCCCTCTACATTAGCCATGCGAGGTAAGTTCTGAGGCCTTACTCTGACGGCCCTGGTTGTGTGCTTACCCATCCAAGGTACCTCCTTCCACCTCCCAGGGACGTCGCCCCATGATCTATCTACACCAGCTAGCCAGGCTTCTGTGTCATTTTTATTTACCTTCAGGCTTCCCAGGTCACCAGAGACTGGAAAGAACTGAAGGGAGGGTATCAGAAGCAGTGGATGTGGTAGAGGAGTGAGCAGGAGAAAGCCTATATCTGAACACATGTGGCTTCTGTGTCTTTGAACTTGACATGGGGTGACCTCATATGAGAGAGTAATTGTTTTCCAGAATAGAATAGGAATCACCAGGGCTCTATTTATCTGTCCAATTAATTAATAAGTCATTATCGGGAATAGAGAAGTGTGGCATGATCCTTATCCTTGAGCTTAAAAACCTTTTGAAGAGAATAAACCTGGAAAAGGAGAAACTGCATGAGGAAGACAATATTTAAAAGAAGCTGAGCAATAATGAGGTGATGTTGATGTTCAGAGAAGGGAGAGAGGAGTAAGGGCTGGATCTGAGAAGCGATTTCCTAAGAAGAGGACCCTGGACGGCCTTGAATATTGGGCAGGATCTGGCAAGCTTTAGGGGAAGGGAAGGTGTTCTAGGCTTAGGGAACAACTCCCATCCGTAGGCCCAAATTTTCATGGACACTCTGAATCTAGAAGGCAAAATAAGAAAAACGTTCTCCCTGGTTTGCCCTTCTTGGCTGCCAAAATTTAAATCGATATACCCACAGTTTCCAGAGTGAATTTTGTCTACTCTCACTGCTTCTGTACTTAACCATAAGAATTCAATAAAACAGTGAGGATGAGGACATTTTTTTCTAACTTCTTCTTTATATATTGACCTTCCTTTTCCAATGCTTCAAAGACCTCCAAAGCGCTATTATAGAAAGGATACACAGCTATAACACAATGAAGGATAAAAGTTAAAATATGCTCAAGCTCTCTCTCTCTCTGTCTCTCTCTCTCTCTCTCTCCCAAGTCTCTGTTACAGCTGATGAACAACCCTGGCTTTTGCATCCTCAGTCCTCTGGCCACAGTGAGATGAGTTTAGAACAGGGGCTTGTCATGAACTCATGGTAACATATTCTGGGGAGGATTTCCCTGCTATTGGCATATTCCATTGCAAATGACCACTGTGAGTGCAACAGTGACCACTGTGATCTGCAGTCCTGCTTCAGCTGCGGCAACCTGGTGTATACAGGTGGACAGCAAGGGCTGGATGCTCTGCTGGAGCGGATACATCAACCACCAGCACATCAACAACTCCATCTGCTCAGACTGCACAGTCCCCACTTAGGTTACTCTTCCTCATAGTCATCATTGACTGTGATATCAAAATTACCAAACAGCAGTTCTTTGCTAAATTAAACAAAAGTGTTCCAATATACGAAATTATCCGGCCAGGAGTTGTGACTCACAGCTGTAATCTCGACACTTTGGGAGGCCAAGGAGGGCGAGACCCAGGAGTTTGAGATCAGCCTAGGCAAATGGTAAAACCCCATCTCAACAAAAAATAAAAATAAAAATTAGCTGGGTGTGGTGGTGGTGCATGCCTGTATTCCCAGGTACTCGGGAGGCTAGATGGAAGGACCGTTTGAGCTCAGGAGGTCAAGGCTGAGCTTTGATTGTGCCACTGCACTCCAGCATGGACAACAGAGTGAGACCCTCTCTCAAAAGAAAAAAAAATAAAATTATCCATTGATCACATTTAGTCTCTATACCATAAACAAAAGTGTAGGCAGTATGACAGAGCCCAGAAACAGGCCAGCCATAGTGGCTCACGCCTATAATACTAGCACTTTGGGAGGCCGAGGCAGGTAAGTCACTTAAGGCCAGGAGTTTGATCCCAGCCCAACACAGAGAGACACTGTCTCTACTTAAAAAAAAAAAAAAAATGCACAGAAACATATATTTTAAAAATTTTTTTAAAATTTCAACTTTTATTTTAGATACAGGGGGTATATGTACAGCTTTGTTACATAGGTATATTGCACCCAGGTAGTGAGCATAATACCCAACAGGTGGTTTTTCAGTCCACGCACCCCTTCCTCCCTACCCCCTCTAGTAGTCCACAGTGTCTATTGTTCCCATGTTTATGTCCATGTGTGCTCAAGGTTTAGCTCCCACTTATAAGTAAGAGCATGTGGGATATGGTTTTCTGTTCCCTTGAGATTATGGCCTCCAGTCCCATCCATGTTGCTGCAATGGAAAGAATTTTATTCTTTTTATGGCTGTGTAGTATTGCATAGTGTATATGTACCACATATTTTATCCAATACACCATTTATGGGCACCTAGGTTGATTCCATGTCTTTGCTATCATGAATAGCAAGGTGATGAACATATGACTGTGCAAGTGTGTCTTTTTGGTATGATGGTCTATTTTCCTTTGGGAACATACCCAGTAATGGGATTGCTGGGTTGAATGGTAGCTCTGTTTTAGGTTCCTTGAGAAGTGTCTAAACTGCTTTCCACAGTGGCTGAGCTAGTTTACATCCCACCAACAGTATATAAGTGTTCCCTTTTCTCCACAGCCTTACCAGCATCTGTTGTTTCTTGGCTTTTTGATAAGAGCCATTCTGACTAGTGTGAGATTGTATCTCACTGTGGTTTTGATTTGCATTTTTCTGAAGAGTAGTAATGAGCATTTGTTGGACACTTGTATGTCTTCTTTTGAGAAATGTCTGTTCATGTCCTTTGCCCATTTTTTAATGGGATTATTTTTTTTTCTGCTTGTTGAACTGTTTAAGTTCCTTATAGATTGTGGATATTAGACATTTGTCAGATGCATAATTTGCAAATAATTTCTCCCATTCTGTAGGTTTTCTGTTTACTTTGTTAATAGTTGCTTTTGCTGTGCAGAAGCTCTTTAGTTTAATTAGGTCCCACTTGTCAATATTTGTTTTTGTTGCAATTGCTTTTGGGGACTTAGCCAAAATTCTTTGCCAAAGCCAATGTTGAAAAAGGTATTTCCTAGATTTTCTTCTAGAATTTTATATTTTGGGGTCTTACATTTAAATCTTTAATCCTTCTTGAGTTACTTTTTTATATGGTAAAAGGTAAGGGTCCAGTTTCAATCTTCTGCATATGGCTAGCCAGTTATCCTAGAACCATTTGTTGACTAGGGAGTGCTTTTCCCATTGCTTGTTTTTGTCAGTCTTGTTGGAGATCAGATGATTGTAGGTGTGCAACTTTATTTCTGAGTTTTTTGTACTGTTCCACTGGTCTATGTGTCTGTTTTCCTACCTGTACCATGATATTTTGGTTACTGTAGCCTAATAGTATATATGGTTTGAAATTGAGTAGTGTGATGCTTCTGGCTTTGTTCTTTTTGCTTAGGATTGCTTTGGCTATTTGGGCTTTTTTTTTTTTTTTGGTTCCATATGAATTTTAGAATACTTTTTTTCTAATTCTGTAAAGAATGACATTGGTAGCTTGATAGGAATAGCATTGAATCTGTAAATTGTTTTGGGCAGTATGGCCATTTTAACAATATTGTTTCTTCTAATCCATGATCATAGAATATTTTTCCATTTATTTGTGTCATCTCTGATTTCTTTCAGTAGTGTTTTGTAGTTTCCCTTATAAAGATATTTTACCTCCTTGGTTAGCTGTATTCACAGGTATTTCATTTTCTTTGTGGCTATTGTAAATGGGGTCATGTTCTTGATTTTACTCTCAGCCTGGACATTATTGGTGTACAGAAATGCTACTGTTTTTTGTATATTGATTTTCTATCCTGAAACCCTGCTGAAATCATGCATCAATTCTAGTAGCCTTTGGAGGAGTCTTCAGGGTTTGGTAAGTATAGAATTGTATCATCAGTGAAGAGAAATAGTTTGACTTCTTTTCCTAATTGGATGCTAATATCGTTTGGCTGCATCCCCACTCAAATCTCACCTTGAGTTGTAATAATCCCCATGTGTCAAGGGTGGGGCCAGGTAGAGATAATTGAATCATGGGGCCAGTTTGTGCCATACTGCTCTCATAGTAGTGAATAAGTCTCATGAGATCTGATGGTTTTATAAATGGGAGTTCCCCTGCACAAGCTCTCTCTTGCTTGCCGCCCTGTAAGATGTGACTTTGCTCCTTATTTGCCTTCAGCCATCATTGTGAAGCCTCCCCAGCCATATGGAACTGTGGCTTTATAAAGGAACGTCTTTCCTTTATAAATTACTCAGGCTCAGGTATGTCTTTATTAGCAGCATGAGAACAGACTAATACAGATGCCTTTTATTTCTTTATCTTGCCTGATTGCTTTGGTTAGGACTTCCAATACTATGTTGAATAGGAGTGGCAAGAGAGAGCATCCTTGTCTTGTTTCAGTTCTCAAGGGGAATAGTTCCAGCTTTTGCCCATTCAGTATGATATTGGCTATGGGTTTGTCATAGATAGCTTTTATTATTTTGACATATGTTCCTTTGATGCCCAGTCTGTTGAGAGTTTTTATCATGAAGGGATGTTGGATTTTGTCAAAAGCTTTTTCTGCCTGTATTGAGATGATCATATGATTTTTGCTTTCAATTCTAGAAACATATTATTAATTGGTGTACCAAGGCTATTAATCTTATCATCTTTAGCATTTATTAAAATATTGACAAAGACTGATATGGTTTGGCTCTGTGTCCCCATCCAAATCTCATCTCAAATTGTAATCCCCATGTGTCAGGGGAAGGGCCTGGTAGGAAGTGATGGAATCATGGGGTTGAACTTCCCCCTTACTGTTCTTGGGATAATGAGTGAGATCTGGTTATTTGAAAGTGTATGGCACTTCCCCCTTCACTCTCTCTCTTGCTCCACAATGGTAAGATGTGCTTGCTTCCCCTTTGCCTTCCGCCATGGTTGTAAGTTTCCTGAGACCTACTAGCCATGCTTCCTGTACAGTCTGTGGAAGTGTGAGTCAATTAAACCTCTTTTCTTCATAAATTACCCAGTCTCAGGTAATTCTGTATAGCAGTGTGAGAACAAACTAATACACTCTCCCCTTTTACCAAAATTATAGTCAGTCTTCTCTGAGTCTTTTGTTTTACTAGGTCCAACCTCGGGCTTCCCTTTTTGTCCTTATAGAATCCAGTTTGATCAAGAATCCTCCTGAGTCACTTTAGTGAATATCTCCCACCCTTGGTATCTGAACACCTTGGTCATCCTTCCGCGATAACTCTACCAAGTCAGTTTAGCCAGAAACCTCTTATCCTTGGTGTTTCCTCTTAGTAATTTTCCATCCACTGCCCCTGACCCCACTCCTAGGTTGTAAATCCCCATTCATCCTTTTTGGAGTCAGAGTTGAGTACAATCTCTCTTCCCCACTGCAAAACCCCATTGCAATGATCCCTATTCCTATCACCATGGCCCTCTCTGAACAGTCTTCCTTACCACTTTAACAAGTGTGATAATTTTTTCTTTAACAATATATATGACACTATTTTCTAAATCATTGGCAATATTTTACAATTTGTCATATGCTTTCAAATCCATTGTCTCATCTGGTTTTCATTGTTATTCCTATTTAATAAATGGGGAAACTGAGGCTTAGGGAAGTTAAATGACTTTTCACAAGCAGTTACAGAAACTGTAAAAGTTAGTAGATGTGTGTAGCTATTGCTCCCCTGAGTGTATTCTCCACAAATAGTGCCTAGTCAACAATTTCCCAGTGGTTGTTAGTATTGTGATGAAAAACAAAATTTTTTTAGAGGAAGCAGTGTGAAATCCAGACCATGGGACAAGCAGGATAGGTTGTCATAGGTGGTATTGTTTTCAAGTGTTGGTTTCTCCACCAAGCAATGGTGCAGGCCCTGAAACTATCACTCTCCCCTCCTACAACTCTAACCAGCCTAGGTGCCTGATACTCCAATAGCAGAAGCTGACTATGCAACTGAGAGGACTTGAATTCAAGGCCCAGACATTCCCATGACTTTGGAAACAGCAGATGAAGCTCTTTCACCAACCTCTTGAACCAATATTTTCTTTCTAAGTATTTAATTTGATTCCCCAATAGTCTCAATATAACAATTTGCCTCAAGGCTTGTTTAGGGCTGTCACTAGTTGTGCAAGAGGTTGGAACAAATTCTTCAATGTCACATGAGATAGGTTAAGGAATGGGCCTGAGCCAGCCTATAAGCACTCCATACTGTTTATCTGGCTATGGAGAGTCATGCTAGGGCCTGGGTATCTACTGGATACTGTGTAGGTTCTGTTCCAATAGAGGGACCCCTGCCCCCTACAGATTTCCCTTTTTGGAGTGTAGCATAAGTCAGTGGGAGAAATACACAAGCTGCCTGGATTGACAGTATCAGCTATTTACAGCTCTCTGGGAACACCAGCTTCCCTGCACCTAGAAACTTTGGGACAAATGGGATCTTTGGGGCCCATAGGATATTAGGGGCCCTGCCCCCTGCCAGAAGAGGAAGCCACCAGTCTCGTGAGAAGTAGGGAGAAAGTAGCTATCTCCTTGTACAAACTATGGTGAAAACCCAGGTTAATTACAGGTAATTCTGCTCTTTGAATTATAATGCTCATTAATGTGCCTGAATTATAATGCTCATTAACGTGCCAAGTCAAAGGCAGACTCTCCGATTTGTGTAATCTAAGCACTGAACAAATTTTATCTTCAGTTAGGCTTTTATACATTATATAAGATCTTATAAAGCCATAATAACAAGATCATGCACTAATTTCTTCTTCTTTCTTCTATTTTTCATCTTCTTTCTTCTCTTTTATTTTTCAAAAGTGACCAGCTCCCAGTACCAGGTAAGGAGGCCTCATGTTGGGGCTCCCTGAAGACTATTCCCACATACATGATTAGTTCCTTTCAAGGATATCTTCTCCCAATCCCTAGACTTATAAAAGACCCTGAATCTTCTGCGAGATGCCCAACTGTAGGGGAGAAAATTCCTACTGAGGCTCCAAAGAAAACAGGAATTTCACCACTAGGGGAAGACAAATGTCAAAGTGAGCCCTTCAAGAAGAGTCACAACTGATGCTGAAATATGTTTAATCCTTCAATTTCTTCTATTAGAATCAATGAGATTTTGATTTTGTGTTCCTAATACTTAGTTTATCTTTCTTTCATAGGATTACTGATTCTTCTACGTATCAGAACCAGAGACTGGTTGAATTTGTATGACTTAAAGGAAGTTACTCTAGGGTCCTCAATCACTTAAACATCATCCTGCAGATAAAAATCTGGGTAATTTTAAATCAGATCAATGCTCACTACATGATAGTTCATCATGATCCTCAAACACCCACCTATGCATCACACTGAGTATGTTAGGTCTTACATCAAACAGGGTTGTTAATTTAGTCTCTTTAAGAGTTAGAACTTTCAGCACATAAAGACTGTTTACATTGTTTTAGTGAGTCCACTGGGTGAATGATATTCTCCTGAATACTGCCTAGACCTCAAGCATGGGTATAGCTAACCAATAGAGAGTCTAGAACGATTTTTCATTCAGTTTCTCTTCACAAAAAAAATATATATATATGTATTAAAAGGCTAAATGTGATCACCTTAATCAGTATTACTAATCACTTTATTTGAAAGGTGACTTAGAAGAAAACAAGAGAATGCTACACAGTATAAATAACACTGTACAACCACACATGGGTTTGACATATAAAAAAGCTGGGATGATGAAACACCAAAATGTTAACTGCAGTTATCTCAGCTTTATTTTCTTCTTGTAGTGGACGCTCTGGTGCTGCCTGGACTTCCACTGTGGACTGAAGCACTCCTTCTCCCAGATGCTGACAGCTTAAAGCTGAGTTTGTCTCCAAGAATTTTCTTCTGCTGGAGGAAGCTGCCTTGCCCAAAGTTACACTTCTCCATGGCAGCAGCCCACATCAAATTACGGGGCAATGCAGAGGCACAGATTCCCGGTCCACTTGCCTAAGTTCCTGACAACTCTAGCCCTAGCCTTCCCTGCGGGATGGGATGAAGTCACCATTATTGCAATAGCTCTCTCTCAGCTCACACTTACAACTGCCTGCAGGGGTCCCTTCTGACCAGCTGATAGAGTGGGGGAAGGCTGAGCTTGATACACTAATAAATTGGCATGGCATTTGGGTACAAGCCCAAAATAGAATGCTGCTGCAGAATAGCTCACTCAGGAGTCACCCTAAAGACAGCAGTGAGGGAAATCCTCCCAAAAGGCAACCTTGAGGTAGTGCACCTGGCTGCTCACTCGGTGCAGAAAGAAAAGTAGCCCAAGGTCAAGCATATATGGAATTATTGAGCAGTAATGTGTGGCTTGGCTGGCTGGTCCAGGGCCTGGAAGGAGAAAGATTGGAAGATTAGGGACAAGAAGGTCTGGGGTAGAGGAATGTGCAGGGAGATATGGGATTGGGCACAAAGGGCGAAGATAGTTGTATCCCATGTGAAGGCCCAGTGTAGGGCATCCACCATTGAAGAGGCACTAAACAACCAAGTAGAAAAAATGATTTGGTCATTTGATTCCAGTCAGCGTCTGCCATCAGCCACCCTACTGCTGGCAGTGAGCTCACTAAGAGAGCGTTCATAGTGGTATGGATGAAGGCTATGCATTAACTTCTACTTATTAAGGCTAATCCAGCTATTTCCACTGTAGAATGTCCAATCTGCCAGCAATAGGGACCAACTCTGAGCCCTTTTGGTCCCATGCCTTGAGAAGACCAATCAGCCACTTAGTGGTAACATTTGAGGCAGAGCAGGAACACCAAACAGCAGGCAGGACTCTGGACAGCCACCAGCAGAAGGAGGGATTTAGGCCCTTAGGAAGATCTGAAAGGGGGAAGAAAGCCACAACTATCTGTTTTTGCTCAGGTCAGAGCCAATTATTGAGGACCTGCAATGTGCCAACCCTCTGCTCTAGGGCTCAGGGATAGACATGAACAAGAAATAATACCCAGCCCCCAGAAGCCTACAAAATTCCAGGCAAGTATCAGTTTTATTCAAGACAAGCCCCCAAACACCAACAATGATGATCACAGAATTTTTTTTTTTTTTTTTTTGCGACAGGGTCTTGCTCTGTTGCCCAGGCTGGAGTGCAGTGGTGCAATCATGGCTCACTGCAACCTCGACCTCCTGAGCTTAAGCAATCCTCTCACCTCAGCCTCCCAAATAGCTGGGACTACAGGTATGCGCCACCATGCAGGGCTAATTTTTGTATTTGTTGTAGAGATGGGGTCTCACCATGTTACCTAGGCTGGTCTCTAACTCCTGAGCTCAAGCAATCCACCTGCCTCAGCCTCCCAAAGTCCTGGGATTATAGGTGTGCACCACCTCGCCTGGCTGATCACAGAATTTTGAATTTGAACTAAGCTTTATGGGTTTTAACACACTTTCACAGATTACTTCACTTGATTCCCTCTTCTTTAAGATTCCTTACTATTTAAATTCTGGCTTTTAGAACTAAAACACACACACACACACACACAAAAACACCACCAGTCCCTGAGCAGAATTCATTACTTAGTTTAATGACTTTTGAGAAGTCAATTAAGCAGAGTAAACTATAAAATAAAAGCACAGAGACAGAATTTCGCCCATCCTTTTGCTCAACTAAAAGTGTACTCTATTCATTTTGATGGCAACAACAGCTTTAGTGAATTAGAACAACCCGAACCTACCAGAAAGAATGAGAGTAAACCATTCAGCCAACCCCAGTGACCTGGGCACGGAGAGCAGCGAGCTTGCAAATCCCCTTACTCACCAAAATGGGCCCTTTTGTGTGATTTCCTGTGGAGGCAGCAGTCAGGGCTGCTATACATACAGTGACGTTCCCGCAGTCCCACACAGCAACCAGAAAACATCTGCTCACTTCCTTCAAAATGGGAAAGGTAAGTCCTGGGTACCGGATGCTCAGCCTTGGCCCTAATGCAGTGGCCTCAGTGGGGGCCAATCACTCCATGCTCCCACATCTTCCATTTTTCAGATCACCTTCTACGAGGACAGGGCCTTCCAGGGCCGCAGCTACGAATGCACCACTGACTGCCCCAACCTACAACCCTATTTCAGCCGCTGCAACTCCATCAGGGTGGAGAGCGGCTGCTGGATGATCTATGAGCGCCCCAACTACCAGGGCCACCAGTACTTCCTGCGGCGTGGGGAGTACCCTGACTACCAGCAATGGATGGGCCTCAGCGACTCCATCCGCTCCTGCTGCCTCATCCCCCCGGTGAGTGTGGCTCTGTCTTTGCCTTCCATCTTTTTGGAAATAAAAGCTATTTCATGATATTCTTTTTTTTTTTTTTTTTTTTTTTGAGGCGGAGTCTCGCTCTGTCCCCCAGGGTGGAGTGCAGTGGCATGATCTCGGCTCACTGCAACTTCCGCCTCCCGGGTTCAAGCAATTCCCCTGCCTCAGCCTCCTGAGTAGTTGGGATTACAGGCATGCACCACCATGCCCAGCCAATTTTTGTATTCATAGTAGAGACGAGGTTGCACCATGTTGCCCAGGCTGATCTCGAACTCCTGGCCTCAAGTGATCCGCCCGCCTCGGCCTCCCAAAGTGCTGGGATTACAGGTGTGAACCACGGCATCCGGCCTATTTAATCACATTATTCTTAAATCCCAGCTACTCGGGCGGCTGGGGCAGGAGAATTGCTTGCTTGAAGCCGGGAGATGGAGGTTGCAGTGAGCCGAGATCGTGCCACTGCACTCCAGCCTGGTGACAGAGTGAGACTCCATCTCAAAACGACAATAACAACAACAACAACAACAACAACAAACTTTTGCTTGCTTTGTCTTACTTTTCTATTTGATTATTCCTCCTGAGAAGATAGGATCCTGTCTTCTGATTTCTATTCTAATTTAATGGTCAGTACCTATTAGCTCACTTAGAGGTATAAATTAGAGAAAAGGCCAAATCTGAAACTAAAGTTTGAGATTCCATATTTTCTGGGCAGTGACTGCAGAATTCTTAGAATTGTGGTGTGTGGGAGGCATGGGATACAGTGTCATAAAAACAGAAGTTAATGAAGGTGATACTTGCTGCTGAGGGAAATAAATAAGTTGAGAGCAGGAGGCTAGAAAGGAAGCTTAAAAGTCAGATAGGTTGAAATTTGAACTGAAGGCTGGGTGCGGTGGCTCACGCCTGTAATCCCAGCACTTTGGGAGGCCGAGGTCAGGAGGTCAGGAGTTCAAGACCACCCTGGCCAATATGGTGAAACCCCCTCTCTACTAAAAATACAAAAATTAGCTGGGCTTGGTGGCACGCGCCTGTAGTCTCAGCTACTTGGGAGGCTGAGGCAGGAGAATCGCTTGAACCCGGGAAGGGTAGGTTGCAATGAGCTGAGATCATGCCACTGCACTCCAGTCTGGGTGACAGAGCAAGATTCCGTCTCAAAAAAAAAAAAAAAAGAAAAGAAATTTGAACTGAAAATTAGCCAGATGTGGTGGTGCATGCCTGTAGTTCCAGCTACTCAGGAGGCTGAGGTGGGAGGGTCACTTGAGCCCAGAAGGTTGAGGGGGCTGTGACCCATGATCATGCCATTGCACTCCAGCCTAGGTGACAGAGGGAGACCCTGTCTCAAGAAACAAATACATATATGTGTGTGTGTGTGTGCGTGCGCATATAATAGTGAACCCCAAATATCTGAGACAGGTCTCAGTCAATTTAGAAAGTTTATTTTGCCAAGGCTGGGCACAGTGGCTCATGCCTGTAATCCCAGCACTTTTGGGAGGCCAAAGCAGGCAGATCACCTGAGGTCCGGAGTTTGAGACCAGCCTGACCAACATGGAGAAACCTCTACTAAAAATACAAAATTAGCTGGGCGTGGTGGCGCGTGCCTGTAATCCCAGCTACTTGGGAGGCTGAGGCAGGAGAATTGCTTGAACTTGGGTGGCAGAGGTTGTGGTGAGCCGAGATCACGCCATTGCACTCCAGCCTGGGCAACAAGAGTGAAACTCCATCTCAAAAAAAAAAAAAAACCCAGAAAGAAGGTTTATTTTGCCAAGGTTGAGGATGCACCCATGACACAGCCTCAGAAAGTCCTGAGACATGTGCCCAAAGTGGTCAGGGGTACAGTTTGCTTTTATACATTTTAGGGAGACATGAGACATCAATCAATATGTATAAGTTGTAAATTGGTTCAGTCTGGTAAGACAGGAAGTAGGGGCTTCCTGGTTAGACATGGATAAGAAACAGAGCTGGGCGCGTGGCTCACCCCTGTGATCCCAGCACTTTGGGAGGCTGAGGTGGGTGGATCGCCTGAACTCCTGACGGAGTTTAAGACCAGCCTGGCCAACATAGTCAAAGCCCGTCTCTACTAAAAATACAAAATATTAGCTAATCGTGGTGGTGGGCGCCTGTAATCCCGCTACCCGGGAGGCTCAGGCAGGAGAATCACTTGAACCCAGAAGGTGGAGGTTGCAGTGAGCTGAGATTGCGCCATTGTACTACAGCCTGGACAACAACAGCGAAACTCTGTCTCAAAAAAAAAAACAGTAGATAAGAGACAAAAGGTTCTTTGAGCCCTTGATCAGCTTTCCACTGAATACACAATTTAGTCTGGCTCGATGACTCTGCATCTTTACATAAACAATAGGGGAGAGGAAGCAATCAGAGATGCATTTGTCTCAGGTGAGCCTCAGAGGGATGACTTTGAATAGAATGGGAGACAGGTTTGCCCTAAGCAGTTCCTGGCTTGACTTTTCCCTTTAGCTTAGTGATTTTGAGGTCCCAAGATTTATTTTCCTTTCACTGTATATACATAATATGACATTTAACTTTCCAATGACTCTCAGTTTTCTCCTTTGAGAAAGGCTTTCTCAAATAACAGGCACTAAAGTGATGTGATATTTTATTGTAAGCAAATCTTAATTCCCAAAGCCCTAGCTCTGCCCATGAATCATTAGACTCAGCGGTGGGTGACTGGGGAGTGTGACAGCTCCTTAACTTTGCAACAGGGTTGTTCTAGAAGCAAACTTGGCCTGGGAGAACTTCTGGGCAGGTGTGGCCAGGGAGGTGTAGGGACTGGAGCTTTAATTTCCATCTGTTTTTGTTTGTTTACTCTTGCGTTTTCTGTCTGCCACTCCAGCACTCTGGCGCTTACAGAATGAAGATCTACGACAGAGATGAATTGAGGGGACAAATGTCAGAGCTCACAGACGACTGTATCTCTGTTCAGGACCGCTTCCACCTCACTGAAATTCACTCCCTCAATGTGCTGGAGGGCAGCTGGATCCTCTATGAGATGCCCAACTACAGGGGGAGGCAGTATCTGCTGAGGCCGGGGGAGTACAGGAGGTTTCTTGATTGGGGGGCTCCAAATGCCAAAGTTGGCTCTCTTAGACGAGTCATGGATTTGTACTGAAGTATTTACGTTTTCCACTTTTCTCCTTTAAAATCTAATAAAATATTTAGCTTGTGTTTCTGGCACTAGTAGAGCCCTGTCTTTCTTTCAATCTATTAAGCATTTATAAGTGATAATGGCACTCAGCCAAACATAATAACATGTTTTCATGATGGGAAGCAATCTTTTATAAGGGGAATAATGCAGAGATATTATTTCCAGCACTCTTGTAATGACTAAAACATGTAGGCTCAAATAAAAGCTCAGTTCACTTGGACTCAGGCCAATTGTAGTTAGTCTCACCAGGCTAGATTTGCAGCTACGGTGGTGAATTGGTACTTTTTGAAACACCTCCAAGTTATCCCTCCAGGTTATCCCTATTGTCTTCCCTAATAGTCCAGGCCTTAGCTGATGAGGAAAGTTGTTCTCAGCCTCTAGACTCCTACCTCAGCTCCATAAACAAACAAATAAATGAACTGGTCCACTCTTACCTATTGCACTCCTGTCCTCCTAACAGTCACCATCCCTTTCCTCTCACTTCCACTGCCAATATCTCATTCCACTATGAGATTTCCAGTCCAAATAGAATTCACTGTGTTTTCGCTATATGTGCTTTGTGGAATAATTTCAGGACATTTACAAAAACCACATGCGCACGGGAAGCTCAGCCTCATGTCATTTCAGTAGAGAGTAAAATATTATGATTACACATAATAATACTAAGTGGCCGGGCGTGGTGGCTCACACCTGTAATCCCAGCCCTGTAAACCTGCGTCTCCAGGGCTCAAGCGATCCTCCCACCTCAGCCTCCCAAATAGCTGGGATTACAGGCGCACACCACCATGCTCAGCTAATTTTTTTTATTTCTAGTAGAGACAGGGTCTTGCCATGTTGCCCAGGCTGGTCTCAAACTCCTGAGCTCAAGCGATCCTCTTGTCTGGGCCTCCCAAAGTGCCAGAATTACAGGTGTGAGCCACCACACCCAGTCATAAACTCGGTCATTTGTTTTGATTTTGGGTTTTTTTTTTTTTTTTTTTTGAGATGGAGTCTCACTCTGTCACCCAGGCGGGAGTTCAGTGGTGCAATCTCAGCTCACTGCAACCTCTGCCTCCCAGTTCAAGCAGTTCTCCTGCTTCAGCCTCCCAAGTAGCCAGAACTACAGGCGTGTGCCACCACGCCCGGCTAATGTTTGTATTTTTAGTAGAGACAGAGTTTCACCATGTTGGCCAGGCTGGTCTCAAACTCCTGACCTCAGGTGATCCACCCACCTCGGCCTCCCAAAGTGCTGGGATTACAGGAGTGAGCCACCACGCCTGGCCTACACTGGGTCATTTTTGAGAGTGAAAGTATATACTATTAATAATTACACTGGGACAAGAGACATGAACCAGGACTGTTCTAGGCAAACTTGGATGCAAGTTTACCCTACTGTGTGTGTGTGTGTGTGTGTGCTAAATATTACTACAAAAGTGTCAAAAAGGTTTAAAATGTTAAAAAGTTTATGTTACAAAGTTACAGTATGCTAATGTTAGTTTATTATTGAAGAAAGCAAGCATTTTAAAAAAATGTGTAGCCTAAGTTTAGCCTACTGTATGTATATGTATATTAGCCTACTGTATGTGTGTATATATAGAGAACACAAATACATATAAAGATTTATTTCCTGAAAAACAGTCAGAATCTAGGATTATTTAGTGTTAACTCTTCCTAAATCTTGGGTCTTTAACCTTTAAACTCGCAACAATAGTGATGGCTTCCTGGAGCTATTAATCAGAGTCCTCTGTTTGTCAACAATAACATGTCAAACATAATTCAGAAAACCAAAAGCTTCTTAACGTGCTGAATTTTACACTATTTTCCTAGAAGACATAAAATCACATATTTTGGCTGGGTGCAGTGGCTCACGCCTGTAATCCCAACATTTTGGAAGGCCAAGACAGGCGGATCACTTGAGGCCAGGAGTTTGAGACCAGCCTGACCAACATGCCGAAACCCCGTCTCTACTAAATTTAAATACAAAAATTAGCTGCACGTGGTGACACATGCCTGTAATCCCAGCTACTACAGAAGCTGAAGCACGAGAATCGCTTGAACCTGGGAGGCGGAGGTTGCAGTGAGGTGAGATCACGTCACTGCACTCCAGCCTGGGCAACAGAGAGAGACTCTATCTCTAAAAATAAAAATAAAAGTAAATCACCGTCTTTAGGCATGAAAATTATTCTAAAACATCTGAACTGAAAGGGATTAGAGTCCCCGAATCTCTTTGATCAAGTCATTATTCTTAGAAATTTTTTGCTCCTATCCCTGGGATACAGGCAAAGAAAAAGATGTCCTGTCCTCCTCCTAAATCCAACATAAAGAGAAAGTCAATACTCAGGTGGTCCGCCTGCCTCGGCCTCCCAAAGTGCTGGGATTATAGGTGTGAGCCACCGTGCCCAGCTTGCTATACTATACTTTTTATCATCACTTTAGAGTATTCTCCTTCTACTTATACTTTTTTTTAAAAAAAAAAGTTAACTGTAAACAGCTTCAGGCAGAGCCTTCAGGAGGTACTACAGAAGGAAGCATCATCATCATAGGTGACAGTTCCATGTGTGTTTTTGCCCGTGAAGATCTTCCAGTGGTACAACATGTGGAAGTGGTAGACAGTGATATTGATGATCCTGACCCCGTGTAGGCCTAAACTAATGTGTGTGTTTGTGTCTTAGTTTTTCACAAAATTTTAAAAAGTAAAAGAATAGGCCAGGCGTGGTGGCTCACGCCTGTAATCCCAACACGTTGGGAGGCCGAGGCAGGCAGATCACTTGAGCCCAGCAGTGTAAGGTTCTTGTATCGGTTCCAACCCCAAGAGCGCGTCCACAGACAACACGAGGAGGTGTGGAGCAATAAGCTGTTTTAAGGAGCGC
Source organism: Homo sapiens (assembly GCF_000001405.40). Taxonomy (NCBI): domain Eukaryota; kingdom Metazoa; phylum Chordata; class Mammalia; order Primates; family Hominidae; genus Homo; species Homo sapiens. The sequence goes on along the minus strand of NC_000002.12, from coordinate 208,139,752 downwards.
CTGGGTGCGCCTGAGTGCAGGAAGGCCGAGGCTTAAAATGGCGTCAGCACCAAGTGAGGACGGGGCAAAGGTTTTACAGTCTCCTGTAAACAGGAAGTGTCCTAGTCTGACGTAACTGCTACGTTGTACCCGGATGGCCTCTTTCTCGATCTTCGGGGGTACGTGTCTTCCAGCCGGCTCTCTTCCTGCTTCTGCTATCCTGCTGGCGCACACTGCTGACACAAGTGACCTTGCGCCTTGGGACTGGGCCTGGGAAGGGAGGGGTTACTCATCCCCTTAAGCTTTCAGACCCTGGGGAGAATCATACAAGGAGTTTGAGACCACCCTGGGCAACATAGCAAAACGCCATCTCTATTAAAAAAAAAAAAAAGAAAAAAGTTTATATAGTAAGGATAAAAAGAAAATATTTTTGTACAGCTATACAATGTTTGTGTTTTAAGCTACCACAAAGGTGTCAAAAAGGCTTAAAATGTTAAAAAGTTTATAAAGTTACAAAGTTACAGTATGCTAATGTTAGTTTATTATTGAAGAAAGAAAAGCATTTTAAAAAAATGTTGTGTACCCTAAGTGCACAGTGTGTATAAAGTCTACAGTGGTGTACAGTAATGTCCTAGGCCTTCACATTCATTCACCCTCCTCACTGACTCACCCAGAGCAACTTCCAGTCCTGCAAGCTCCATTCATGGTAAGTGTCCTATACAGGTGTACAATCTTTTTTTTTTTTTTTTTGAGACAGAGTATCACTCTGTCACCCAGGCTGGAGTGCAGTGGTGTGATCGCGGCTAACCGCAAGCTCTGCCTCCTGGGTTCATGCCATTCTCCTGCCTCAGCCTCCCGAGTGGCTGGGACTACAGGCACCCACCACCACGCCCAGCTAATTTTTTTGTATTTTTAGTAGAGACGGGGTTTCACCGTGTTAGCCAGAATGGTCTCTATCTCCTGACCTCGTGATCCGCCTTGCCTTGGCCTCCCAAAGTGCTGAGATTACAGGCGTCAGCCACTGTGCCTGGCCAGGTGTACAGTTTTTTAATCATTTATACCATATTTCTTGTTGGGAACAGGCCCCCCCAAATCTGGCCATAAACTGGCCCCAAAACTAGCCATAAACAAAATCTCTGCAGCACTGTGTCATGTTCATGAGGGCCATAACGCCCACGCTGGAAGGTTGTGGGTTTACTGGAATGAGGACAAGGAACACCTGGCCCACCCAGGTCGGAAAACCGCTTAAAGGCGTTCTTAAACCATGAACAATAGCATGAGCAATCTGTGCCTTAAGGGCATGTTCCTGCTGCAGATAACTAGCCAGACCCACCCCTTCATTTCGGCCCATCCCTTCTTTTCCCATAAGGGATACTTTTAGTTAATCGAGTATCTATAGAAACAATGCTAATGACTGGCTTGCTGTTAATAAATACATGGGTAATCTCTGTTTGGGGCTCTCAGCTCTGAAGGCTGTGAGGCCCCTGATTTCCCACTTTACACCTCTATATTTCTGTGTGTGTGTCTTTAATTCCTCTAGTGCCACTGGGTTAGGCTGTCCCCAGTCGAGCTGGTCTCGCATTTCTACTGTACCTTTTCTATGTTTAGATTTGTTTAGATACACAAATACTAGTGTAGTAGGCTGATCCATCTAGGTTTGTGTTAGTACACTCTATGATGTTCACACAACAATGAAATTTCTCAAAATGTATCCCATTGATAAGAGATGCATGGGGGAAGAGGAGGCTAGAGAATGTAGGCATGGGCCGGGCGTAGTGGCTTACTCCTGTAATCCCAGCAATTTGGGAGCCCGAGGTGGGAGGATTGCTTGAGCCCAGGAGCTCGAGACCAGCCTGGGCAACATAGTGAGACCTCATCTCTACAAAAAATAAACAAAATTAGCCGGGCATGGTAGCAGGCACCTGTGGTCCCAAATTCTTGGGAAGCTGAAGTGGGAGAATCCCCTGAGCCAGAGAGATAGAGGCTGCAGTGATCCAAGATCACGCCACTGTGCTCCAGCCTGGGCAACAGAGCGAGACCTTATCTCAAAAAAATAAAAATAAAAAGAGCTAGAGAATGGAGGTGCAAGTGAGTAGCGGTGGTGCAGGCGAGCTTGCAGCCCAAGACCCTGCCTCTGCCCTCAGCAAGGCCCCTGGCAGGGCCAACAACTGCAAGCTGCATGGTGAGGGCCCAGGTCATAAGGAATGGGCACATCTGGATGTGAGAGTGGGGTTGAAAAATATAGGCCAGTAAAGCTGAATGAAAATGACAGGAATGAATACACTGTGGGCAGGCTGGAGATCTTTGCAAGAGAAGGGAATATGCCTCACATCATCTTTGCTGGCCCCCTGGGAACTGACAAAGTTATAAGCATCCTGGGCCCAGCACTGAAGGATGCCATGCTGGAACTCAGTGCTTCAAATGGCAAGGGCATTGACGTTGCGAGGAATAAAATCAAAATGTTTGCTTGACAAAAAGTCATCCTTCCCAAAGGTCAACATAAGATCATCTTCCTGGATGAAGCAGACAGCATAACTGATGGAGTCCAGCAAGCCTTCAGGGGAACCATTGAAATCTGCTCTAAAACGACTCACTGTGTTCTTGCTTTTAATGCTTCAGATAAGATCACCGGAAGGCCCATGTGACAGCAGCATAGATGAAGGATCAGAGAGAGGCCAAATTGGGGTTTGGACATCATGAAGAAGCTGTTGTAGTAGTCTAAGGAGAAGAAAAAGGAGAGTTTTAGAATTCTACATTTGTCTGACTGGTGGTTCTTAGCTCCAGCTGCAGGTCAGCATCTCCAGTGGAGCTTTAAAGAAACTGTGAGTGTCCTGTTCCTACCCCCAGCCAGACCGAATTGTCATCTGCCCAGAAGGGCCCAACGCCCAGCATACATTGTGATTCCAGAGTCTTCCTGGGCCTGAATTGACTCATCTGAGGGCTTGTGGCACATGGATGTCTGCCTTGGAGGATCATTTCTCCATCTGAAAGCCCTGGCCAGCCAAGGCCATTGCTGGGGCAGTGCTGGCTGAGGCCTCTGTCTGATTTGCACTTCAATTGGGTGATTTGGGGAAGGATCTTAAAAAGCTGGAGTTCACTCTAGATTAGATGTTAGCAGAAAGCAGGGTTAATTTTGTGATTAGTTATCTCAAGGAATCTTACCCATGGGGAGGGGAGACTAGAACACGGATAAACCTGTAATCCATAAAGAAGTAGCAGTTAATCATTTTGGCTGAGAGAGAGAGGGCTTGGAATTTTGAGAGTGGAGCATTGACTTTGTTTTTGTCTGCGCTTAGACAAAGTTAAGAAGTGGCTTTATTTTATCTCATTTCATCCTGGTCTCGGAGTAGCCTTGTCTGAAGTTGTTATTCTGTGAGATTGTTTATGTCTAATAGGGGAGTAACATGTCCTCACTGTGAGTGCCAGGCCAGCATCTGAATGTCAGAGCCTGCTCTTTTTTCTCACTTTTTTTCTCATTAATCAGACTACAGTCCATAGAGATAACTCATGCTCTGTGTGGTTATGTAATTTGCCATGGAGCTAATCAGTGGGCCTTCTGAGTGTAGGCGGCCTGAGTCCAAAGCTCACACTCTTGCCCGTGAAGCTTTATAGCCTCCCTCATGCTTGGAAAAGGAAAAGCAATTTATAAAGCAATACTTTATACTTTGGTTAATACTTTGACATTTAGCCTTGTTTTTACTGCATTTCTCTTAAGCACCTGCTGCCAAAGAGGAGTCGCACCACCAGCATGGCTGGGCTGTGTGGATTATGCAGCTGCATCCTCGTAATCAAAGCACTAATAGGGTGATGCCAGCCTCTGAGGGAAACCTCACTGCCTTCCCGTCTCTGTTCAGAGGCCACTGGATCCCAGTGCATAGTCCTCCGCTACACAAAGCTGACCGATGCCCGGACCAGTGTGAGGCCAATGAATGCTAGAGAGAAGGGTACAGTTCTGTACACTGACTTTGGCCTAGAAGCCATCATCCTCATGGGTCAGGGAGACATGAGACAGGCCCTGAACAACTTGCAGTCCATCTTCCCAGGATCTGGCTTCAGTTACAGCGAGAAGTATGTTCAGGGTCTGCGACGAGCCCCACCCCCTGCTCATGAAGGAGATGATCCAGCACTGTGTGAATGCCCATGTCAAGGAAACCTACAAGATTCCTGCTCACCTATGGCATCTGGGCTACTCACCAGAAGATGTCATTGGCAACATCTTCCAAGTGTGTAAAACTTTCCAAATGGCAGAATAACTGATAAAGTGGAGTTTGTCAAGGAAATTGGATACACTGGTATGAAAGCAGAGGAGGAGTGAACTCCCTTCTGCCGACAACGGGGCTCCTGGCCAGGCTACGTCAGAAGACAATGGCCCCAGTGGCCATAGAGCAGAGGCTTTATTGATTGAGTTACAAGAGCCCTAATCCCTGTAATACAGGAGGTGCAGCCTTCTGAAGTGGAGGGGGAAGCGTGGGTGGGGAATGCCACCTTAAGCTGGTGCCAGCATACACCATACTTTAAACCCTCGTGGTTTTCACGTTGCTTCTAGCTGATCTCTGCTCCATGAGTGTTTGCATTCAACCTCAGACTCACTGACGAGTGATGGAGCGGGGCAGAAAGGCTCAGAGAAGCTCAGGGCAGGCACCTGATCTGTGTGTGAGTTGACATTTAGCTCATAAAGCCTTGCAGTGTTTGTTGTAAGGTGACCACATGAGGCCTCAAGGAAAACCAGCTTCCTGTCTCTGCCCTTGCTTGTTCCTCCCCTTTCTACTTGTGGCCCCTAGCAGCCTGCAAGTAGGAAGATGACTAGAGAGTAGATTGGACAAGCTAATCTCAATTCTTCTAGAAGCATGAAGGGACCAGTTCCCTGGGGTGAGGGCAGAGTTTGCTGTATTTTATTTAGATAGACTTCTCAAAACCAGGGCAATAAGCCCTTCAGGAAGGGCTTGCTGAGGGGGTGCCGACTGGCAAAGCACCACACAAAAACCCCAGCATGATGCCTTTCCCATGTCCTCGAGGGAACTCTTGGCCTTCGCTTTAGAATTCCCCAGTGAATTTTATATTAATTTGTAGAATTGCCTTTTTATTTGCAAGGGTACTATTTTTTCCCATTTTTTAAAATTAAAATTGCAATCATATAAAAAAGAGATGCATGACTGCATAGGATACCACCGTATATTAATTGCTAAGAAGCAGGAAGGTGGGTGGTAAAATCAACTGCTGGCTGGACCTCAGACACCAGCAAAACTCTAGAATTGGCTACCGCTGTTGTAACATTAATTTCTCATCTCAGAAGAAATAAAAATTAGAATTACTAAGGAGTGGGAGGACTTAGGGCACAACACAGCATTCCTGGTTTTTCCCTTTTGCTTATTATCTCCACTGTTATAAAGGCCCATTATGGCTGGGTGTGGTGGCTAACACCTGTAATTCCAGCACTTTGGGAGGCCGAGGTGGGCAGATCCCCTGAGGTCAGGAGTTCAAGACCAGCCTGGCCAACATGGTGAAACCCTGACTCTACTAAAGGTACAAAAATTAGCTGGGCGTGGTGGCAGGCGCCTGTAATCCCAGCTACTCGGGAGGCTGAGGCAGGAGAATCTCTTGAACCCAGGAGGCAGAGGTTGCAGTGAGCCAAGATCGCACCACTGCACTCCAGCCTGGGTGACAAGAGCAAGATTTCATCTCAAAAAAAAAAAAAGAAGGCCTGGCACAGTGGCTCACTCTTGTAATCCCAGCACTTTGGGAGGCCGAGGCGGGCGGATCACAAGGTCAGGAGATCGAGACCATGGTGAAACCTCGTCTCTACTAAAAATACAAAAAATTAGCCGGGCGTGGTGGCGGGCGCCTGTAGTCCCAGCTACTCGGAGAGGCTGAGGCAGGAGAATGGCGTGAACCCTGGAGGCGGAGCTTGCAGTGAACTGAGATTGCGCCACTGCACTCCAGCCTGGGCGACACAGCGAGACTCCGCCTCAAAAAAAAAAAAAAAAGCCCCATTAAATCGATCAAGTGCAGGGTGCCTGTGTCATCCTACACACCGAAAGTTGCACATCCTGAACTTCAATGTGAGTGTGTTATGCCTGTGTATATTGAACATTTGAAACAGGCTCCATAGACCATTATAATAATAAATTTCAGACAAGGAATAACATTCACACATCCCCCCTCCCGGGCATTTATTGAGTAACCTTTATGTGCCAGTCCTCTAAGCCAATTAGTGAGAACACAAAAATAAAGATGGAATAGACTCTGCCTTTATGGGGCTCTCCCATCTATTTTGAGGGACTGATGTCTAAACAAAATAATTAGATAAGTGATAGTTACCCTTATAGTGGTATGAACATGAGGAGCCACGGAGGCAGTATTTAATTCAGCCCAGAAGATTAGGAAGGGTTCAGGAAAATCTTTTACAGACAAACTGACGCTTGAGCTGAGACTTGAAGAAAGGGTAAAATTTCTCTGGTTGAAAAATAAACTGGTGTCTCATTGAGAAGGATCAATATGTTGAAAAACAAGAACAACATGAAATAACATTGTGCATTTGGGAAATGACAAGCGGTTCGGCGTGATCAATCAGAAAGCGTGGGGACAGACAGCGGAGGCCAGGTCTAGGATGCCGCGCTAAGGGATCAATATTGGATCCTGGAGACAATGGGAGTCCATGAAATTTTTCAAGCAAATGAACAGCATGATTTGATGTGTTTTGATTCTCATCACTCCAGCATCTGTCTGAGTGCAGCTTGGAGGAAGACAACACTGGGCAGAGTCAGGAGGCTGTTGAAAGTCCAGCTGAGATATGATAAGACCCTATGTAAGGCAGCTACAATGGCAGGGGTTTGGGGGTGGGAGGTGGTTGGGGCAGAGGAGAGAAGGAGAAAGATTTGAAAAAAGGTTAGAGAAATACAAGACTACGCCATTATGGAACAAGAGCGATGTTCTGTAATATGCACTTTCTGGCCCCTTTATTGCTTTTCCTGTCTTCTTACCAGTGCTCTAATTTAAGTGCTGGTATCTCTGCTCCGATTCTCTCACTGTGTACATATGAAACTTTATAGAACAAGAAAGAGTGCTGGCCAGGCGCGGTGACTCATGCCTGTAATCCTAGCACTTTGGGAGGCCGAGGTGGGCAGATCACGAGGTCAGGAGATCGAGACCATCCTGGCTAACACGGTGAAACCCTGTCCCTACTAAAAATACAAAAAAAAAAAAAAAATTAACCAGGCGTGGTGGTGGGCGCCTGCAGTCCCAGCTACTCAGGAGGCTGAGGCAGGAGAACTGCTTGAACCCAGGAGGCGGAGGTTGCAGTGAGCTGAGATCACGCCATGGCACTCCAGCCTGGGCGACAGAGCGAGACTCCGTCTCAAAAAAAAAAAAAAAGAGTGCTACAAAACAGAGAGCACATCTGCCTTTAAGTCTAACGAGAATGTTAGGCAGGGCACAGTGACTCACGCCTGTCATCCCAGCACTTTGGGAGGCAGAGGAAAATGGATTGCTTGAGGAGATCAAGACCAGACTGGGCGACATAGTGAGACCCTGTCTCTACATAAAGAAAATACAAAACATTAGCTGGGCATGGTGGCATGCACCTGCAGTCCCAGCTACTCAAGAGACTGAGGTGGGAGCTTGAGCTTGAGCGTGGGAGGCAGAAACTGCAGTGAGCTGAGATTGTGTCCCTGCACTCTAGCCTGGACAACAGAGCAGAACTCTATCTCAAAAAATAAATAAATAGAATTAAGAGAATGCTAGTACAATTCCTAATAAGGCATTGCCTAGGGATGGCTAAAATACATGATTTCCTTGTCAAAACATGAAGGGATAAACCACAGCAGTGTTTTGGCCCAAGAACTATTTGGTGCTTATTAAAAATGTAGGTTCTGGGCTGGGCGTGGTGGCTCATGCCTGTAATCCCAGCACTTTGGGAGACCGAGGTGAGTGGATCACCTGAGGTCAGAAATTCGAGACCATCATGGCCAACATAGCAAAACCCTGTCTCCAATAAAAATACAAAAATTAGCCGGGCATGGTGACCCGCGCCTATAATCTCAGCTACTCAGGAAGCTGAGACAGAAGAATCACTTGAACCCGGGAGGCAGAGGTTGCAGTGAGCTGAGATCGCACCACTGCACTCCAGCCTGGGTAACAGAGCAAGGCTCCATCTCAAAAAATAAAATAAAATAAATAAAATAAAAAATAAAAATGTAGGTTCTGAGGTCTTCTCCTGATCTAATGATGCAGGATTTAGCCAAAAGATCAAGATGGTAATTTGCATTTTTAATAAGCAAGGTGATTCTTAGGCACACTGGAGTTTGAAAACCACCCGATGGTTTCGAAAGTCCCTTCCAAGCCTAATTTTTCTTTAATCACAAAATGGCTTCATAGAGGATAAATTTTTTCAGGAATCTTTGAGAGGATTAAATATCTTTGAGAGGGATAAACAGGATGAAGTCAGCCTTAACAATGTCACTCTATTACTAATAACAACATTTATTCAGTGTTCATTTGTGCCAAGTATGTGCCAAATGCCTTATACACATAATCCCACTTATTCATGTCAATGTCCTTTAGCTAAAGACCACCAGGGACACACCTGTCTTTAAACAAGTTGAGCTTATTACTTGTTGCAGCAAGGGAGGACATGCTCCTTGGGGAAGCATGGAGTGTCTCAGTAAGAGAGCTTAGAAAGAAATTGTTATAGGATTTGCACTTCAGTTGTGCGATTTGGGGAAGGAGCTAAAAAAGTTGGAGTTCACTCCAGATTAGATGTTAGCAGAAAGCAGGGTTAATTTTGTGATTAGTTATCTCAAGAAATCTTACCCGTAGGGAGGGGAGACTAGAACACGGATAAACCTGTAATCCATAAAGAAGTGGCAGTTAATCATTTTGGCTGAGAGAGTGAGGGCTTGGGATTTTGAGAGTGGAGCATTGACTTTGTTTTTGTCTGCGCTTAGGCAAAGTTAAGAAGTGGATTTATTTTATCTCATTTCATCCTGGTCTCGGAGTAGCCTTGTCTGAAGTTGTTATTCTGTGAGACTGTTTATGTCTAATAGCGGAGTAACATGTCCTCACTGCGAGTGCCACGCCAGCATCTGAATGTCAGAGGCTACTCTTTTTTCTCACTTTTTTTCTCATTAATCAGACTATAGTCCATGAGATAACTCCTGCTCTGAGTGGTTATATAATTTGCCATGGAGCTAATCAGTGGGCCTTCTGAGTACAGGCGGCCTGAGTCCAAAGCTCACACTCTTGCCCGTGAAGCTTTATGGCCTCCCTCACGCTTGAAAAAGGGAAAGCAATCTATAAAGTAGTATACGGTACTTCTCAGTCTTGGGCCCAGTGACCATAGAAACCTTTCCCTTGCTTGTTATCGTAAGTTCACTACCAGGGACTGATCTCTAGTTAGACGACGTGCCCACGAAAGGCATAGTTAAAAGCTGTCTTAAAGCATTGGGTTAACGAAGTCAAAACTAGCCAAGATAAGAATCTAGATTTGTGTCCGGCCCTGGACTGGAAAATTGTGTAAAGACAAAAATGTAAGGTAGAGCAGTCTCTGCCATCCAGGGAAATGAGTCAGTGCTTGTGGCATTCTACCTCAGCAACCTCTCTGGAATCCTGGAGCAATTCTATAATGGCATAGATCTTTCCCAGAAAATTCACAGGGAATAATTCAATCATATAGACAGAGCCACGAATTTCAGGTCAAAAGTTCAGACTGATGCACAGATAAATTTAGAAAACACTAACAATCCAAATAAAAGCAACACAGAGCAGTATGTACAGGACAGCGTTAGAATATACCAGAGAACAAGGACACAATCTACAATCATTTCCAGTGAATGCAGGATGTTAAAGAGATGCATAAAATCCCCTTACCGCTGAGGGCCCCTTTTGTGTTGTTCTTGCCAACGCAGCAGCCATCCTGCTATATAGACTGGCTGTGCAGCCGCAGGCCCCATCACACTGAACTCGCATCATCCGTGTCAACCAGCCATGGGGAAGGTGAGCAGAACACAAATTAAATAAAATGAAAAAAAAGTTGCCTTTATATAATGCCTGTTAGGAGCAAATAATGTAATTCGGAACGATTCTTCCTTTGCAGATCACCTTCTATGAGGACAGGGCCTTCCAGGGCCGCAGCTACGAAACCACCACTGACTGCCCCAACCTGCAGCCGTATTTCAGCCGCTGCAACTCCATCCGGGTGGAGAGCGGCTGCTGGATGCTCTATGAGCGTCCCAACTACCAAGGTCAACAATACTTGCTGCGGCGAGGGGAGTACCCCGACTACCAGCAATGGATGGGCCTCAGCGACTCCATCCGCTCCTGTTGTCTCATCCCCCAAGTGAGTTTTCTAGATTTCCATCATGCCGCCAGAGTCCCCACTGTATTGTCAATGTGGGTTACAGGGAGGGAGGTTTGCATTTAAAAACACCTAAGGGTTAGATGGACATCAGAGACCTGAATAAGCCAGATAGATAACATGCACAAAAACAGCAGAGAATGTAAGGAAGAACCCACTTAGAGGAAGAATCCGTTTTACTTGAAATTTTTGCTACCAATAAGTCAATTAAAAGAGGTCTGTAACAAATGTAATATCATAATGGGATATAAAACAAAACTTGCAAATGGGAAGCTGGTTGGGCATAAAAAGACGGTATTTTTAACAAATTATTTTGTCTATAGTAAAAGAATTTCTAATGAATGAATTAGATAGATTCCACCATGGACTAGTAAACCTTCAAAGCTGTATTGTTAATATAGGCTATTCAAAGGTTGTGTCCAACTTTGGAAAAGGTAATTTTTCTTAATTTGGAAAATCAGTTAAATTCTCATTCCAAATGACTATTTAACTTTACACTGAAGTACAAGATTTTTTAAATCTTACTTTAGTGGTAAATTTATATGTTTGTAAATTTGGGAGATAATACCCTTACTAAAAGAATACTAGTGAAAATAAATTATTTCTATTTTTCCCCCCAAATGTAGTTTGAATTAACACAGGTAATTAGGAATCAAGATATCTCAGTTCTTGATGGATTCTAACTCAGAGTTTGAACCTCTTAAAAATTCCATCTCCTAAATAAGAATGAATTTCAGGTCAAATAGAAAATGAGCGTGCCAGTATTTAGGTGCTAGTGGAAGACAGATCCATGCGCAGCAACCACAGTAATCTACATTTTACACTGTCTAAATTTTACAATGACAATTCCATGCCACAACCTACCAAGTTCATCTGTTCTTTGGTTGGACAAATTCTGGAAGAGACTCATTTGCTTTTTTCCATCCTTCTTTCTGTGGACCGAGTAGACAGTCTCCCACAGGCTGCGGCTGTACGAGAGGGAAGACCACAAAGGCCTCATGATGGAGCTGAGTGAAGACTGCCCCAGCATCCAGGACCGCTTCCACCTCAGCGAGATCCGTTCCCTCCACGTGCTGGAGGGCTGCTGGGTCCTCTACGAGCTGCCCAACTACCGGGGGCGGCAATACCTGCTGAGGCCCCAAGAGTACAGGCGGTGCCAGGACTGGGGGGCCATGGATGCTAAGGCAGGCTCTTTGCGGAGAGTGGTGGATTTGTATTAAAATAGCTTAACACTACCAATTTCCCATTTTGGAACCTAATAAATATTTAGTCTGCATTGCTGGCAATTGCTGACTTCTGTCATTCTTTCATTGTGCAAATCAGTTCACCTTTAAATGCTCCTTGTCAAAAGTTAAGAAGTGAATGGGGTGGGGGACGGGGTCTATTGGAGAAGAGCTTCAAGGTAGAGTGAGTTTGAACAAGCCTCAGACGTTGGGGTGGAGGCAGGGTGTAGCCTGCCCGAGAAAGAAAACGCAGGGCAATGCCAGAGACCTGGGAGAGGCTGACTGGTGAGAAGGGAGGCATTCAACTAAGCACCTTGAGGAACAATAGTTGGGAAGTTTCCTTCTAACCAAAAATGGGTTAGACAAAAGGCAAAGTCAGATGAGTGGAGAGGGCAAACTTAACTTGGCCAACAGCCTGATTAGACTATATAAAGGATTGTAGTTTTGTTTACTTTCAGACACAGTATTATATAACTAATGCCAGGGCCACCGCAGCCATTGCCGTACCTTTGAACAAAGTTAAAGACTATTCATCTTCTTTTGAAAATGACTCCTGTCCAGAAGTGTAGCTCTTGGTCGGTACTACCCCTGGCCCAAATGCTGTGTCAATTATAGAAACTGCACATCAGTTTCATGGTGACCAGCTATTGCAAATAAATTAATATTAAGAGATACACATCAATCTTTTAAATAGATTTTCATGGTATAGTGTACCCCAAACATAAAAAATAACTACAAAAAACATCGTTCTGGCATAAGGACGCATGTATGCATATGTTTATCACAGCACTATTCATGACAGCAAAGACATGGAATCAACCTAAATGCCCATCAATGGTAGGCTGGATTTTACAAAGTGGTACATATATACAATGGAATACTATGCAGCCATAAAAAAGAATGAGACCCTGTCCTTTGCAGCAACATAGATGGAGCTGGAGGCCATTATCCTAAGCAAACTAACACAGGAACAGAAAACAAAATACCTCATGTTCTCGCTTCTAAGTGGGAGCTAAACTTTGAGTACATGTGGACAAGAAGAAAACAAGAGACACTGGGGCCTGCTTGAGGTTGCAGGGTGGGCGGTTGGAGAGGATCAAAAAACTACCTGTCAGGTACTATACTTATCACCTGGGTGATAAAATAATCTGTACACCAAACCTTCACAACATGCAATTTACCTGTATTACAAACCTGGATACGTGCCCCTAAATCTAAAATAAAAGTTTAAATAAACAAATACGTAAGTCCTGTAATTACAAAATGGGCTCAAATTTAAAGGTGCTTTAAAGAAGCCATAATTTCTGGAGCCTTTTATTAAACTAAAATCTGCTTGCTCATAAGCAAAGCCCTAAAAAGTAAAAATAAAAAAAAAAAAAGAAAGCAATTACGAGTCTTTTCATCAGCAGAGAATTTATTTATTTTAACTTAAAAATTTCCCTTCAAAGTAAAAGGCCTCCCATAATCTTACTACTGTACAAATTCTATAAAGAAGTTGAGGGGAGTCCTTCTGACGCCCCTCATTGCTAACTCTTGTTTATAGTTGGTGGGCACCCTTCTGGGATTTTCTCCTTGTTTATATAGCTCTCTTATAAAACACATGCTTCTTTTCTTTACAAAAATGGAATCATGCTATACATATTAGTCTGCAACTTGCTTTTAAAATGTATTATAATATGGACATATATCTAGGTCAGTATCTTATTCTGTTTGATGGTTGAATTGCATCCCATTGTTTGGAGGTCCCTTAGACCATTTCACCATTTGTCCACTTAAGTGACTGGGCTTTTCCAATGTTGCTTTTACCAACAATGCTGCAAAGAATAACATTGTACATATACGCTAATCCTGACATGCCATAATTTTAAAAAGATAGCGACCTAGAAGTGAGACTACCGGCTCATAGTGCAAGTTTATTTTATTTTATTTATTTATTTTTTGAGACATGGTCACACTCTGTTGTCCAGGATGGAGTGCAGTGGCACAAACCCAGCTCACTGCAGCCTCGACCTCACAGGCTCAAGCGATCCTCCCATCTCAGCCTCCTAAGTAGCTGGGGCTACAGGCGCGCACCACCATGCCTGACTAATTTTTTCACTTTTTTGTAGAGAAGGGGTCTCACTATGTTGCCAGGGCTGGTCTCGAACTCCTGGGCTCAAGTGACCCTCCCACCTTGGCCTCCGAAAGTGCTGGGATTACAGGTGTGAGCCACCACACCCAGCCACAAGTTTATTTTCCATTTCAATAGCCTCCAATTATTAGCCACTAGAGACTCTTAACTTCCTTGAGTTAGGATCCTTACCAATTTTTGAGCACCTACCATACGCCTGCTATATGTAGCAATGGGGATGAAGAAAACAATCAAAACAAAACAAAAGAAAAAGGTATTTCCCTACCACCGTAGAGCTCTATATAGAAAGAATACAAAAAAAAAAAAGCAGCCAGAAAATAAGAATTAAAATAATTTGTATTGCACATAGTTGGTGTTTAATTCATAAATACCACTTACAAAGATTTATGACTCAAAGACAAGACAAAGTACTTCCATGGGTTGACACAGGGCTGTAAGCAATTCTTTGAACATGAAAGAAGCTGGACACATAGGTCATATTCCACTCCAGTACTCTTCCCAGTCCATCAAACTGCTCTCTTCCAGGCCAATAAGTACTTTCTGAAGTCTTCCTCGAGTCCAACTTCTAGATTTTTATTCCTTCCTCTCCCTGCATCATTCCAGCCATAGCTCCCCTTTGTGTTCATGCAATTAATTTCGTCTGAGTCAAAGGCCTTGTGTACTCTCGCTCGTTCAGAGGGCAAAGGTGTATTCTAGATCCTACCAGAAATAAGTTTCTTAGGAATTTGGTTTTATTTTATAACAAGCTAAGAGATCATGTTTTTGTGTTTCAAACATATTACTTTTTCTAATTTCCTCAAACTTAGATATTTCCCTTTTTAGTTCTTTCTGAGATTAAGCATCTTAGAACTATTCTCTCTTTTGAATCACGGCACCACCTTTAGCTAAGAGAAAAACATCTAATTCTCAGCTACTTCCAGGCATAATTGCAACAAAATCAGACCCAATATTGAAGATTCACGTTTGCTGTGTGTTTTACCATAATAAAAGTTCGAAATTCTGTGAACTCTCTTAATAAAATGTTCCAATTTCTTACACCCTTTCATGATGACGTTCTCTTAAAGGACTAACTTGAAATTTTCAACATTCAGTTAAGCCCATTTCCTTCCTATTAACAATCAGTATTCAATATTGTGGCACGTAAGTAATACTGTAGTTCTGACAGATTAATTTATATTTGCCTTATTAAGAGTCGTTGCTTTTTTTGCTCCCCGACTTAAATTTTTTTTGTTTTTCCCCAATCTATACGAATAAAAGCGTGAACTATATGTGAAATAGCTGAAGCTCCACTTCCATTATAAATAGACAATGTCCCAAATTGCCGTTTTACAAACATTCTCAATAGCATCAGCCAGTGATAGCAATCCGAATACTCCAGAGAGAATGCGACCAAAACCCACAACAAGCCCCGTGGTCTAGCACAGCAAAGAGAAAAAAAGAGAACACGAAAATGCCCTTGCTCCCCTCCGGGGGCCCCTTTTGTGCGGTTCTTGCCAACGCAGCAGCCCTCCTGCTATATAGCCCGCCGCGCCGCAGCCCCACCCGCTCAGCGCCGCCGCCCCACCAGCTCAGCACCGCCGTGCGCCCAGCCAGCCATGGGGAAGGTGAGCCCAGCCTGCGCCCCGGGACCCCGGAGCTTCCTCCATCGCGGGGGCCAGAGACTGGGGCAGGAGCAGGCCTGTGAGACCTCGCCTTGTCCCGCCTTGCCTTGCAGATCACCCTCTACGAGGACCGGGGCTTCCAGGGCCGCCACTATGAATGCAGCAGCGACCACCCCAACCTGCAGCCCTACTTGAGCCGCTGCAACTCGGCGCGCGTGGACAGCGGCTGCTGGATGCTCTATGAGCAGCCCAACTACTCGGGCCTCCAGTACTTCCTGCGCCGCGGCGACTATGCCGACCACCAGCAGTGGATGGGCCTCAGCGACTCGGTCCGCTCCTGCCGCCTCATCCCCCACGTGAGTACATCCTCAAGTCAGGACCCAGGCCCTCAGGACACTCACTGGATGGTTTCAAGCAAAAGTTAAACATTAGAAGTAGTGATCAGTCACAATAACTGAGAGTGGACAAAAGATGAACTATAGTGGATTAAGTCAATAGAGTTTGCTCCCCACATAAGCAAAGTATTACCCAGACACCAGTTAATCACAATTAATCCACAAATATGTATTGAGTAGGAATGTGTCTCCTGCCCTAGGGGTTGTATAAGACTTAAGTCCTATTCTGGAATCATTTAGAATGGAGTTGTAGAAAAACCACTAATACCCAATAGAAGAATAAATGCTAGAGCGTACAGCAGTTACTGAGCAAACAGGGTAATTTCTTTTGAGACTTTTTCCCGTTTTTGCTCCTCTCTTGCATATTTTGGGTTTTCCCAACCTATATAAGTAAGACTTTCCTTCAAAGGAGAGCAACACACATATTTTACACATGTGTCCCTTTTATCCCATATGTGTGTTAGAACACTAAAGTTTATGCAAAATTCGTCCTTGGACTTACTGATGTTTCTTCCTCCATTTTTCTTCATTGCATTCACAAGTTATTGACTTAGAATTAATTGTTCTTTAATATATGAAGATATTTAACATTTTATATTTTAATATATTTTAAATATTTATATTTTAATATATTTAAAACACTTATATTTTGAATAGAAGGCTTATATATTTAACATATTTTATTTATGTCATTGATTTAAATGATGCATTATCATTTAATTCAATATATTAAATGATATATTTAATATATTTTAAATACTTATATTTAAAATACATATTTTTATATTTTAAATATATTTACATTAAATATATTTAATGAATATAATGTATTTAATAATATATTTATTTAATAAATATGTATTTAATATATTTATATAACTACATAAATTATATTATATTTTAAATATATTTAACATATTTTAAATATATTTTAATATATTTTTAATATATTTCATTTACATTATATGTGTGTATATATATATTTTTGTTGTTGTTGTTTTGTTTTTGTTTTTTGAAACAGAGTCTCACTCTGACGCCCAGGCTGGAGTGCAGTGGTGCAATCTCGGCTCACTGCAACCTCCGCCTCCTGGATTCAAATGATTCTCGTCTCTCAGTCTCCTGAGTAGCTGGAGTTACAGGAGCACGCCACCACACCCAGCTAATTTTTGTATTTTTATTTTTATTTTATTTTATTTTATTATTTATTATTATTATTTTTTTTGACGAAGTCTTGCTCTGTTCCCCACGCTGGAGTGCAGTGGCATGATCTCGGCACACTGCAACCTCTGCTTCCTGGGCCCTAGCAATTTTCTTCCCAAGTAGCTGGGATTACAGGCACCCGCCACCACACCTGGCTAATTTTTGTATTTTTAGTATAGACAAGGTTTCGCCATATTCGTCAGGCTGGTCTTGAACTCCTGACCTCAAGTGATCCACCTGCCTCGGCTTCCCAGGGTGCTGGGACTACAGGCATGAGCCACTGCCCCACCCCTTATATTTCTGTATTTTAAATATATTTTATTTATATTTTAGTAAAGTTATTTTAAAATAAAATATAATTTGTAAAATAAATATAATTTTAATTTATACTTATAAAATATAATTTGAATATAATTATTAAAATAAAATATGATTAACTTTAAATAAAATATAATTTTATACATTTTATAATATATTTTAAATATAGTATATAATTAAATATGTATTAGATATCATATGTATATTAAAATTATACATTATTTAAATATATTTCTTTATAATTTAATGTTTATTTTAATATTAAAACATTTCTTCAAAATGGTATAAAATAGTAATAAGCTGTTACAGGTTTGGATTTGCATGTGGTACAGGATACTGAGCCTAGGAGGCAGCTCATCCTAAGAAATAGCTGAATATATTAAAGAGTGAGATTTCCTTCTCAATTTCTTCACCACACTTCATAATCTTGAAAAGGTACTGAATCTCTGTGCTCGGTAATGAGGAGTTTATAAATATTCAGAATTAATTAAATTTTACCATGTATTTCAAAATGGCTTGAGCGGGTCCTCACCAAGCTGGACTGCCTAACAATGCATTGGAATCATTTCACACTTGCTTTTCTTCTCTTTTTATTTCTGGGTCCGCCAGTCTGGCTCTCACAGGATCAGACTCTATGAGAGAGAGGACTACAGAGGCCAGATGATAGAGTTCACTGAGGACTGCTCCTGTCTTCAGGACCGCTTCCGCTTCAATGAAATCCACTCCCTCAACGTGCTGGAGGGCTCCTGGGTCCTCTACGAGCTGTCCAACTACCGAGGACGGCAGTACCTGCTGATGCCAGGGGACTATAGGCGCTACCAGGACTGGGGGGCCACGAATGCCAGAGTGGGCTCTCTGAGGAGAGTCATAGATTTCTCCTGAAATATGTCCTCTTTTGTTGTTTCTTAATTTGGAAACTAATAAAATATTTTCTGTGTGTTCCTGGCACTGATTTGCTTGTGTCTTTCTTTACTTTGCCCTACTTCTATCTTATTTTATTTACACACACGAGGCAAATGGCAACCAAGATGTGTAATACATAGATAACAAAGGAAGTTCTCACAACAGAATGACGTCTTCATATTAAGTAGAACTTAACAGTTTGCAAAAGTTTCATAATTCATTATCTCATTTGATTCTCTGGCCTTTAAACAGCTTGCTGCTTCAAACCAGATTATCAGAAATCTGTTTAGATTTCAGTTTTTCTTTGAGGAGTGAGGACCTGAAAACGTAGGTTCAGATAGTGTGACCCACTTTTTCAATCAGGGATTCTGAACCTGGGTACCATAACGCGCGTCCATTTTTGAATTCTCTAAAATTGTATGCAAAAGTTGAGTTCACAAATCTCTGTCCGACTCCCTTACTACAGAGGTGGTCATGTGGCCTTCCTCTGGCCATCGAATCAGAAGTGAGAAATGATGATAGGGAGGGAGAAGAGATGGTTCTGGAAAAACTTGTGCCTTTCTAATGAAAGAGAGCAGATGACCCTGATGCCAAAGTTCCCTCTTATTTCTTACACTCAAGAAATGACAGCTGTGAGAGAAAGGCCAGGAGAATTTCAGAAATGTTGGCCTAGATGTGGCTGAGCCCCTGGACCATGCTAACAACCTTTTACCTTCAGACTTCTTGTAATGGCAGTCAAATAAACCACATTTTGTTTAAGCCCCTATAGCTGGGTATTCTGTTATCTGCAGTTCAACACACATTTCTAGCTGATGTAGAGTATATGTGAATTTTCCTTAGGTAACTGTATAGAATTTTATTTAGAGACATTCTTAATTTTAAAATTAAAAAAAAAAACAAAGAAAAAAGACGGGAGAACACACACGTGGACACAAAGAAGGGAACAACAGACACTGGACCTGTTGGAGGGTGGAGGGTGGGAGGAGGGAGAGAATCAGAAGAAATAACTATTGGATACTAGGCCTAGTAGCTGGGTGATGAAATAACCTGTACAACAAACCCCCGTGACACAAGTTTACCTACATAGCAAACATGCACATGTACCCCGAGCCTAAAATAAAAGTTGAAAAAAAAAAAAGGGGAGGAGAGAAAAAGAAAGAAAGGGAAGGAGGGGGAGAGAGAGGCACAGAGAGGGGCCATTACAGAACATTGTAGTTATAAGATAAGATGGTTAATATATTTTAAATCCGTAGATCATCTAACCTAGATAACTCATTTTATGTACAGTAAACTGAGGTCTAATTCCAAGGTCACACCAATAACAGAGGTGGAATCAGAAGCCAGAATCACAGCTCAGAAACTGCTGGTTTTCTATTATGAAATCAGGAAGATTTTGGCCAGGTGTGGTGGCTCACACCTGTAATCCCAGCACTTTGGGAGGCCGAGGTGGGCGGATCACCTTAGATCAGGAGTTTGAGACCAGCCTGGGCAACATGGTAAAACCCCGTCTCTACTAAAAATACAAAAATTAGCTGGGCGTGGTGGCAGGTGCCTGTAATCCCAGCTACTTAGGAGGCTGAGGCAGGAGAACTGCTTGAGCTCAGGAGGTGGAGGTTGCAGTGAGCTGAGATCACACCACTGCACTCCAGTCTGGGCGACAGAGCGAGACCCCGTCTCAAAAAAAAAAAAAAAATCAGGAAGATTTTATAAAATCTATTGTGAAATTTTGTGAAAGTAATGACAACACTAAATCATAGATTCTTACCATGAGGTCGTTGCAAACAACCAACCAGGAATTGAATTAAAAATATTGAATAATCCAAAGCTGCATTCTCTGAATACACATGGGCACACACATACAGTTATATATATTTATATAACCTCATCCAATGTACGTTTGTGTGTGTCAATATACTATGTATAAGGCTGTCCTACAATATATTCACTTACATTGGTTCTTTTCCTACCTCTTATTCTGTCTTATTTGTACTCTCATTGCTAGAATTTTAGAAAGGAGGAGTCACTATGTAAGTGCTTAGAGGCTAATCTGATCATGTCGTTTCTCTGATTAAAAACCTTTGATGTTCCTTCACTTCCCATAGGAAAACATTCAAATTCCTGGGATCCTGACCCCCAGCCTATCTACCTCATCTCCTATTTCCTGACCTCAGCTGTCCTTCCTTCCCATCTCACCTGAGTCCTCCAAGCACACCAAACACTTTCACATCTCTTTGCCCTTACTTATATCTTTTCCTCACCAGGATTTCTCTTATGCACCTTCTCCCTGGTGAGTTACTCAGCCTTTAACCAGATCAAAATTCATCCTAATCCCACAGCCAGAAATGGATCTGACTTAATGCTTTAGACTGAAAGTAGCAGCAACTTCATATTAAATAGATAAGCAAGATGGAAATCTACTAGCTCACATGACAAGAAGTCTTGGGAGCATAGGGTTTAGGGATGGTTGATTCAGCAGCTCAACAACATCATCAGGACCCCAGGTTTTCTCTGACTCCCGCGGCATTTAGCATCTGCGTCATCCTAAAGCTGGTATCCCTGGTAACCATAGAATCTATTAGCTGCAACTGGGGCAATAGACAAGAAAGGGTGAATGAAGAAACACAATAGCAGTCTTAGCCTATAACACAATTGTGTCCAGAGCACAAATTCCCAGGATTGAAGAGAACCTTAAAATATTATCCCATTCTTGAGTGTGACCTTTGGTGTTATAGGGAAATCAGAACGAACTGAATAAAGGGAGAAAGAAGGATGAAGTCCAAGGAGGAAAGGGTACAAATAGAGAAAAAAATTGTTTAAGATGTCAATTATATTCAATAATCTTTTATTTCTCTTTATAAAGTAAGAGAACTGTAAGGTTTGTTTTTGTTTTTGTTTTTGTTTTTGAGACGGAGTCTTGCTCTGCCGCCCAAGCTGGAGTGCAGTGGCGCAATCTCTGCTCACTGCAAGCTCCGCCTCCTGGGTTCACGCCATTCTCCTGCCTCAGCCTCCCGAGTAGCTGGGACTACAGGCACCGACCACCACGCCCGGCTAATTTTATTTTGTATTTTTAGTAGAGACAGGGTTTCACTGTGTTAGCCAGGTTTGTCTTGATCTCTTGACCTCGTGATCCGCTCACCTCGGCCCCCCAAAGTGCTGGGATTACAAGCGTGAGCCACCACGCCTGGCCAGAATTTTTTTTTTTTTTTTTTTTTTTTGAGATAGAGAGGACAACAGGTAGGGAGTGCAGTGGTGCAATCTCAGCTCACCGCAACCTCCGTCTCCTGGGTTCAAGATTCTCCTGCCTCAGCCTCCCCAGTAGCTGGAATAACAGGCATATGCTGCCACGCCCAGCTAATTTTTGTATTTTTAGTTAGAGATGAGGTTTCACCATGTTGACCAGGCTGGTCTCGAACTCCTGACCTCAAGTGACCCACCTGCCTCGGCCTCCCAAAGTGCTGGGATTACAGATGTGAGCCACTGTGCCCGGCTGACTATAAGAAATTTAAAGTAAACTTTGTTTTAGACACTCTTTAACTCGTTTATAATCCATGGAATTCATCCTGTCTTGGGAGGCAATTCAGATGGTACCAAATATTGGCAAACATTTACACTTCTTCAGTCCTTTGTGATAATGAGGAGTTGAATGTCACAAGAATAGCAGAGGGAGAAATATGAACTAACTTTTGAGCATACTTCTAGGAATCT
Organism: Homo sapiens; assembly: GCF_000001405.40. Lineage (NCBI taxonomy): Eukaryota > Metazoa > Chordata > Mammalia > Primates > Hominidae > Homo > Homo sapiens. The sequence continues at coordinate 208,117,946 of NC_000002.12, read as the reverse complement.
ATCTAAGAAACAAATCCTAAACATGAAAAAAAGTGTTATGCACAAACTACTCACTCAATATTTATTATAATAAAACTGTAGCAGGACTAGCCACAGACAAAACCCCTCAGACACCAAGTTAAAGAAGGAAAGGCTTTATTCAGCCAGGAGCTTCAGCAAGACTCACGTCTCCAAAAACCGAGCTCCCCGAGTGAGCAACTCCTGTCCCATTTAAGGGCTTAAAACTCTAAGGGGGTCTGCTTGAGAGGGTCGTGATGGATTGAGCAAGCAGGCAGTACATGACTGGGGGCTGCATGCACTGGTAATCAGAATGGAACAGAACAGGACAGGGATTTTCACAATGTTTTTCCATACAATGTCTGGAATCTATAGATAACAGAACCGGTTAGGTCAGGGGTCGATCTTTAACCAGGCCCAGGGCGTGGCGCCGGGCTGTCTGCCTGTGGATTTCATTTCTGCCTTTTAGTTTTTACTTATTCTTTCTTTGGGGGCAGAAATTGGGCATAGGACAATATGAGGGGTGGTCTCGTCCCTTATTTCCCCGCTTTGAGAACCTCACTCATTAGTGGCAGTGTCACTTTTATTTTCATTACCTGTGTCTTCTTGCAAGACAGATCGATAGTGATTCATATAGTACACTTGTGCTGAAGCATTTTGGTGAACTAAGGTAGTGATGAAGCTTTTTATCATTTGAAGAAGTACAGGTAACAAACAAGGGAGCAGTAAGCACGTTCCTATTACTATCACAACTCCTATTATAAGAGTTTCAAATTCTCCTAGTGCCGAGAACCATTTTTCAAACATGGCCCCAGGATCAAATCCATGCCACACTTGCACAGGCACATGTGCCAGTTTTGTCATATCTCTATGTCTTCAACTACCTTCCCTTGATCATCTGTGTGTACACAGCAATTAGTAAGGTAAATTTCCCACAGACCCCTCCTTTAGCTGCTAGCAAGTAGTCGAGAGCCAATCTATTTTGATAGACAGCATTTCTCATCCGAGTTTCTTGCCAGGCCACAATAGTCAAGGCTCTGTCAGTCTTATTAATGATTATTTCTAAGACAGCTTGTAACCGTATGATTCAATTGAGCATGTAAATGGGGGTCTGGTATCCCCACGAGCTGTCTTGTGCCCAAGTAGCAGTTATGTTCAGCTGGGCTCTCTGATACCAGGAGCAAGGTGGTGGGGTTTAGGGTGTTGCAAACTTCAATGGTTATGTGGGGATTTTCACATAGGAAGCTTTGGCACTTGGTTAATCTAGCATTTGCTAGCCAATGATGTCCTTTGGTATTCATCAAAGTTACCACAGCATGGAGGGGCCTTTATATTCAGGTTTTGCCCAAGAGTTAGTTTATCTGCTTCTTGTGCTAACAGGGCCGTTGCTGCCAGGGCCCTTAGACATGGGGGCCAGCCTTTGGAAACCCTGTCCAGTTGTTTTGAGAGATAGGCCACTGACCTTGGCCAGGGCCCCACAGTCTGGGTTAAAACTCCAACTGCCATTTTTTCTCTTTCTGTCACATAGAGTGTAAAGGGTTTTGCCAGTTCAGGTAGCCCCAGGGCTGGGGCCAACATGAGTTTTTTCTTTTAACTCATGAAAAGCTCATTGCTGTTGGTTGTAATAGATGTAGTTTATCCAATCTACATTTTTATTAACCGTCACCCACCAAAATATTGACTCAAATCCTGCAGCTATTTGATTTTAAGCTTTAAATTGATCTGGTATTCCCCGTGGGACTTCAATTGCTTCTAAATAGACGTGAGAGTCGAAAGACCCATAAGGGGCTTTTCTCGCTTTACAATGTCTTATTTTTCCTCCCTCTGGTTGACAAAATCCCAGGGCGAAAGGCAAGCCAATTGGACTGAAGTACAAGTGCCACTCCAGTTATTCGGCCACAATACCACCACACATCCGCTCGGGGATGAACGAGGGCTGACTGATTGATAAGCTCTTGAAAATTCTTAAGCTCACTGCATCCCTTCAGGTCTCCAAGGAACTCTAAGTTTCCTCCCTGTTGTGAGAGTCATGAAGTGAACTTAGTGTTGGGAGACGGAAACTGGATGGCCCTTGGGGGCTGACCTGCAGGGTGCTGGACTTTGGGATATAGCAGAGAGAGCTTGGCACAACTTATTACTCCAGGCTGTAGAATCCTGGAAAAGAGCTACCATGCAGTCCACGCCTGGGCGACTGGAGGACCACCTTAGTGGAAAGGGGACAATCTGGGCCTCTGACCTGCCCTGCGCACAAGCATAACAATTGCTTTTGTTTAACGTGCTGATGGAATATTTGATCCATTCCAACCAGGTATTTGCATCTTGGTATCCTGTCTTAATTGACAAAGTTTGTTTTAAGTCTTTAACTTTTATGATCCTCTAGTAAAATGAACATATGATTTTAGGAAATTACAAAAACCGGTCGGGGCAGTCCATCCTTGCTCTTTAGTGGTCCACAGAATGTTGGACAAACTGCGGCATAAAAGCTCTACATTGAGGGGCAAGACTCCTGGTTGACACTGGAGTCTTTAATCAAAATTTCCCCAGATTAAATGGTCCTAATTTACTAATGCCCAGTCTGAGGAGAGTCAGGAGGGACAGAGGTACTTTTCTGAAGTAGAGAGCTGTCTTTGACTTGGCAAGTCCCCACAGGGTATACCCACAGGGTATAACAAGGAAAGCATTAAATGCAATAGTTTGAGGTGAAATTGACTTGGTTATGGTAATAACTAGATGGTCAGTAATAGAGCGAGAAAAGAAGAAAGAGTAATAGAATAGATGAAAAAGTTAAATTTTTCTTAGCTTAGTTTGGTAGGGTTTTCCCCTGGGACTATGGCCCACGACTCTGGAGAGGGTGGCACTTTCTTGACTCGGTTGTGATGAGTCCATCCTTTTTTCGCTGTACGAACAGAAGTCTCGGTGGTTAGCAGCACAAGGGTCCTTCGTAGGCTGGTTCGAGTTTCCTTTTTTTTCACCCTTTGATGAGAACGTGATCTTCAGGCTGGTGCTGGTTTACCAGAAATTCTAGGGGTGGTACATGTGCTAAAAGACTTTTAGTTTTGAGGGAAACTCTGTATTCATTAAACCATAACTCCCCAATCCTACCTCCCCCAATCCCTGGTAACTGCCATTCCACTTCCTGTCTTTACGAAACTGACTATTCTAGGTACCTCAAATAAACGGAATCATACAATATTTGTTCCTCTGTGTCTGATTTATTTCCCTTCACATGTTTTCAAGGTTCTTCCATATGTGCCATGTGTCAGCATTCCTTATTAGGAATAAGGAATAAGGAACTTCCAACTTTGTTTTTTGCAAGACTAATTTGTTGATTTGGGGTCCCTTGAGATTCCAGATGAATTTTAGGATAGATTTTTCTCTTTCTGCATAAGGAAATCATTGAGATTTGATAGGGATTGCACTAAATCTGCAGATTGCTTTGAGTAGTACTGATGTATTAACAATATTGTCTTCCAATCCATTAACATAGGATGTGTTTCCACTTATTTATGTCTTCTTTAATTTCTTTCAATATTTTGTAATTTTCAGAGTATAATATACTTGTTTTTTTTTTTAACTTGACATATGGTAAGCATTTTCCATACCCTTAAATAAATTCTTTGACAACATGATTTTTGGTAGCTGCATAGCATCTCATCAAACAAGTGTTCCATGATTTATTTAAACAATGCCCTATTCTGGACATTTTATTTGTATCTAATTTTCTATATTATAAACACCATTCTGATAAAATATCACTGTTCATAATCTTTGTATGCATCTTTAATTTTTTCCATTGGACAAATTCCTAGAGATGGAAATATTAGATCACAGGTGTGAGAATTAGGAGTTTTTAAATATACATCAACAGTGCTACTTTTTATACAAAACTACGGCTTAAAATCTTTTCTCCTTTCTACTGCTTTATAGTTTCTAAATTTTCCACAAAAGTTATAATTTTTAAAAGAGAAATATGTAAATGAGGCTTATTAAACTTACGTGGATCACATAAAATTTGTCCAGAGAAAGCTATTTTTTAGTATTAGACTTAGGTAGCAAGAATCCAAACTAAGGAGTGAGACTGGGTGCACCAAAGTTATTCTAAATCAGTGGTTCTTAGTGCGGATGGGGAGTGGATTTGCTTTCCAGGGAACCTTTGGCAATGTCTGCAGACAGTTCTGCTTGTCACGACCGGACAGTAATGCTACCGGTACCCAGATGGTAGAGGCCAGGATGCTGCTCAATGTCCTGCAATGCACAGGACAGCCTCCCCACCCAGCAGATAATTTTTTGGGCCCCAAATGTCAAAAGAGTGCTGCGGTTGAGAAACCTTGCTCTAAAGAGAGTGGAACACCAGGAGGGACAGGGTCCCGGCAAAAGGAAGGAAGACCCCAGTCCCTGGAGTCAGAGCCTTAACTAGAGAGCCACGAGGGTTTTGCCCCAGGGTGAAGAAGGCAGAATCTTTGCAAGATTGCAGGATCTTCAATGTGTTATATTTGCATGTTAACTTGCATTTGTCAGCAGCTAGAACCAACTAAGCTTAGCCTTTAGTTAGCAAAGTTGTTAAATAGAAAGTTACCAGTGTAATAACCGCCAAAGTGTCACTTCATGAATCCCACAGTTGAGAGTTTCATTGCCTGTGCTGAGGCAGGCACGGTGCTGAAGCTGAAGACTTCCCTGCTTCCACCCAGGCTCCAGGGATCAGAGCTGAGGCCAGGTGCCTAAATAGGGCTTCCCCAGGCCCAACCCCTGGCGTCCAACCTCCTGCATTAGTTATCTGATACCCTGCTTATCAGCAGGTAGGATCATAGAGAGGTTCTCTTAAAGGAGAATCACATCCTACTGTAAACAGCCCGAGGAGAAGGCAAGTTCATCCTCACGTTTCACATTTCACACCAATCTAAACAATACAGCCTCATGCTGTAGTCTATTTCGACCTTAGACTTGGTCGCTATTCTGCTTTGTTGCTCAAACTGAACTTTTAAAAGGTAAATAAAACATTTAATTACAATTACTAACTCTTAAGCACTTGCTCAATTCCAATTTCCCAAATAGGCTTTATGTAAAGGCCCAAATGGCACTAAGTGACAGTTTTAACCAGATCATCAATTCGAAAGCTTTAGAGAGTCTAAAAGAAAACATACAATAAACCTCCCACCCCCTCCCCTACAGTCATTATATGGAACAGAGAGAGAGAGAAAAAAAAATGCCCTTGCTCCCCTCCGGGGGCCCCTTTTGTGCGGTTCTTGCCAACACAGCAGCCCTCCTGCTATATAGCCCCGCCGCGCTGCCGCCCCACCCGCTCAGCCCCGCCGTGCGCCCAGCCAGCCATGGGGAAGGTGAGCCCAGCCCGTGCCCCCCGGTAGCTCCCTGCATGGCGGGGGCCGGAGACTGGGGCAGGGGCAGGCCTGTGAGACCTCGCCTTGCCTCGCCTTGCCTTGCAGATCACCCTCTACGAGGACCGGGGCTTCCAGGGCCGCCACTACGAATGCAGCAGCGACCACCCCAACCTGCAGCCCTACTTGAGCCGCTGCAACTCGGTGCGCGTGGACAGCGGCTGCTGGGTGCTCTATGAGCAGCCCAACTACTCGGGCCTCCAGTAGTTCCTGCGCCGCGGCGACTATGCCGACCACCAGCAGTGGATGGGCCTCAGCGACTCGGTCCGCTCCTGCCGCCTCATCCCCCACGTGAGTGCAGTCCCACCCGGGCCCTTCCGTGCCCTCGAGTCGCATCAGTGATCCACGTGGATGATTCACACGACAGGCGATGGGATGCGATGGCAGGCTTCTTTTTTCTGGCTCTAACTATATTCTCTTTTCCTTTATTAACATGCGTAAGGTTTCCTCCCACTGAAAAAGTATGTGATGCAGTGCTTTTAACTGGTCATTTTATTTTATTTTGCTAAAGTCAAATTCACCTCTACTGGGAATAAGTTGTGCGTGGCATTAGCTCAGAGCGTCTATGCCACAGGTGATGAAACAGCAACAGATTAATTCCTTGCTCTCAGGTGGCCATAGGCTAGGTGGCTATTTCTTTTACGTCATCTGTAAAAAGGGCTGATGAGAGTAGTTCCTTTATAGGGTTCCAATGAGGGTAAAAGGAGGGTGCCTGGCACATGCCAATCCCCAACCCCGAGTATTAACTATTATTATGAACATCAAGGGTCTCTCAAGTCCTGCCTTCTGATTGGGCAAACCAGTAACCAACAATGAGATTCCAATAGCTCCTGCAGGGCCCACTGTTACCTAAATGAAGCCCCAGCAGCCTGAAATTTCACAGTTAGGGATTCCCTAAGTTGACTGTGACAGAGTCCCGGGAAAATGAACCACTTTTGTGAAGTCTGAAATCCCCTCACAGGGTTTAATAGCTGGATAAGGACCCAGTCTGGCATTGGAGCCCAAAAACTTAGATTTCTAATTTCAAGTACCAACTCTTCTAATTACAGACTGTAAGATCCACTTCACTAGCAGTCACTCAAACCTCAAAAAGAATTGCTCATGAGAATCTTCCCTAAAGAAGATACATACATATATATATATGTATATATGTGTGTGTATATATGTATATATATATATAGAGAGAGAGAGAGAGAGAGAGAAAGTCTCAAAGTCAGATTTGAGAAGGAAATGACATTACTGATCAGCTCTTAACCGAGACAGAAAAAATGTCATTAGAAGGCTCAGAAGGGGATCTAGAACCTGAGCTCCAAGCAGAAAAGATTTTTTTTCTTTTTTTGAGATGGAGTCTCGCTCTGTCGTCCAGGTTGGAGTACAGTGGCGTGATCTCGGCTCACTGCAACCTCCACCTCCCGAGTTCAGGCAATTCTCCTTTCTCAGCCTCCAGAGTAGCTGAGATTACAGGCACACGCCACCACACCTGGCTAATTTTTGTATTTTTAGTAGAGACGAGGTTTCACAATATTGGTCAGGCTGGGGAGGGGGGAGGGATAGCTTTAGGAGATATACCTAATGCTAAATGACGAGTTAATGGGTGCAGCACACCAGCATGGCACATAAGCCATTGTGCCTGGCCCCTAAAGAATATTTTAATGTGGAGGAAGAAAAACGTTGAGACAATGGGAAGGAACAAACAAATGAAGGAAGAACAAGTGCTCAAAACAAGAGACATGGCCAGGCGTGGTGGCTTACACCTGTAATCCCAGCACTTTGGAAGGCCGAGGCGGGCAGATTACCTGAGGTCAGGAGTTCGAGACCAGCCTGGCCAACATGGTGAAACCTTGTCTCTACTAAAAATAATTAGCCAGGCGTGGTGGCAGGCGCCTGTAGTGCCAGCTACTCGGGAGGCTGAGGCAGGAGAATTGTTTGAACCTGGGAGGTGGAGGTTGCAGTGAGCCAAGATTGTGCCACTGCACTCTAGCCTGGGTGACAGAGTGAGACTCCGTCTCAAAACAAAACAAAACAAAACAAAACAAAACAAAACAAAACAAACAAACAAAAACCGACAGAGACAAGAATAGCTCAGGACAAACAGCCTAAGTTTCCATTTTTCTAAAGGTTTCACACTCTTGAACCTGTACAGGCCTCCTTAACGATCTTTTTTTAGGCCAGGCGTGGTGGCTCACGCCTGTAATCCCAGCACTTTGGGAGGCCGAGGCGGGTGGATCACGAGGTCAGGAGATTCAGACCATTCTAGCTAACACGGTGAAACCCCGTCTCTACTAAAAATACAAAAAAATAGCCGGGCGTGGTGGCGGGTCTGTAGTCCCAGCTACTCGGGAGGCTCAGGCAGAAGAATGGTGTGAACCCGGGAGGCGGAGCTTGCCGTGAGCCGAGACTGCGCCACTGCACTCCAGCCTGGGCGATAGAGTGAGACTCCGTCTCGGGGAAAAAAAAAAAAAAGATATTTTTTTAAGACAAGGTTTCTCTCTGTCACCCAGACTGGCTTGAGTGGTGTGATCATAGTTCACTGAAGCCTGAGCTCAAGTGATTTTCCCGCCTCAGCCTCCTGAGTAGCTGGGACCACAGGTGCACACCACTATGCCCAGCTAAACTTTTTTTTTTTTTTTTTGGTAGAGACAGGGTCTCACTGTGTTGTCTATGCTGGTCTTGAACTCCTGGGCTCAAGCAATCCTTCCACCCTGGCCTTCCAAAGTGATGGGATTACAGGCATGAACCACCCTGCCCAGCTGCTCCTTCATGATCTTGAACTTCCATTTTTCGGTATTACCTAAAACTGATTTGTAAGAGCACATGTTGGAGCTAAGAACTGAAACCTAGTTCTCTTTGTGACGGCTCTTGCTTTTCAGCATGTTTGAGTAGCAGGGCTTAAAGCAGAAAAGCACGGATGAAGGATTGCTTGCGCTGGACTTTCTTCCTGTATTGCCACCAATCTGAGCCTCATTTGGGTAAAAGCAATTCAACCTGCTCTCCCTCTAGCTTCTCCTAATGCTATTGAGATTCAAAATAATATATTTTGCCAGGAATATATTTGCCTTTTTGTTTTAAAATCTTAATATTTGCCAGGCGCGGTGGCTCACGTCTGTAATTCCAGCACTTTGGGAGGCCAAGGCAGGCGGATCACGAGGTCAGGAGATCGAGACCATCCTGGCTAACATGGTGAAACCCCATCTCTACTAAAAATACAAAAAATTAGCCGGGCGCGGTGGCGGGCGCCTGTAATCCCGGCTACTCGGGAGGCTGAGTCAGGAGAATGGCGTGAACCCGGGAGGCGGAGCTTGCAGTGAGCCGAGATCGCACCACTGTACTCCAGCCTGGGCGACAGAGCGAGACTCCATCTCAAAAAAAAAAAAAACATAAAAACATTATTTTATGTGTCATCCAACAAGAGCCCAAACCACCACAAATTTATGAAGGAGAGAACAAAACAAACAAAACAAATACAAAAAATATTTAAAAGTGGTCCTGAGCAGGACAAGTGTGTCTATTCATGTAGATTGTAACAGAAAACCCTAGGGAGCACCATTCATACCAAATGAATGGGGAGTGGTGTCCTCTTGAGTTTCACAGTGTACAACCTACCCAACTATACACAGCAGCCCTGGTGTTGGCAGTGTCTTTGTTTTAGCTTGGTCACTTTTGATATAGGAAATTTTTTTTTTTTTTTTTTTGGAGACGGAGTCTCACTCTGTCCCCCAGGCTGGAGTGCAGTGGCGCGATCTTGGCTCACTGCAAGCTCTGCCTCCTGGGTTCATCCCATTCTCCTGCCTCAGCCTCCCAAGTAGCTGGGACTACAGGCGCCTACCACTACCCCCGGCTAATTTTGTTTTTGTATTTTTAGTAGAGACAGGGTTTCACTGTGTTAGCCAGGATGGTCTCGATCTCCTGACCTCGTGATCCACCTGCCTCGGCCTCCCAAAGTGCTGGGATTATAGGTGTGAGCCACTGCTCCCGGCCTAGAAAAAAAATTTTTTAGGTCCATCCCCCAGGAAGTCAGGTTTTCTGACGTTCCCTCATCTGCTGTTTGCTGAACCCCCAGGCCAGCTCCCACAGGCTCAGGATCTATGAGCGAGAGGACTACAGGGGCCAGATGGTGGAGATCACTGAGGACTGCTCCTCTCTTCACGACCGCTTCCACCTCAGTGAGATCCACTCCTTCAACGTGCTGGAGGGCTCCTGGGTCCTCTACGAGCTGCCCAACTACCAGGGGCGGCAGTACCTGCTGAGGCCGGGGGACTGCAGGTGGTGTCAGGACTGGGGGGCCACGGATGCGAGAGTGGGCTCCCTAAGGAGAGCTGTGGAGCTCTACTGAAATGTTTGTACTCTATCCCTTGCTTCATCTGGAAACTAATAAAATATTTCCTGTGTGTTCTATGCAGTAATGTATCCTCTGTTCCTTTCAGCCTCCTTGGAAGGGCTCAGCAAAAATCATGCTGGGAATCATGTGGATTTTCTTGCATGTATCAGTGGAAAGGGGGTGTGAGGCAGCTGTTAAGAGCACAGCCTCTGGGGCCAGAATGCTGGGCCCAACTCTACTTACTAGTTATAGTTGTGGAGCAAGTTACTTAGCATCTCTGTCCCTCAGTTTCCTAATATGTAAAAATGGGGGTTAATAGTACTTTTCACCTCATGAGGATTAAATGTGGATTAAATGAGTTTATAGTTCTCTAACAACAGTGCCAAGTATGAAGTAACCACTATGTTTAAGTATTTGTAACATAACTGTTTATTATTATTCAGTATTTGCACCTTATAAATTACTGTTTCTCAAAGTATCTATAATGGGTTAAACATCACCTGGGATACTTCTTAAAATGCGGATTCCTTGAGCCCACTGCCTCCCCCACAGTAATTTTTATGCAAATGAAATTTGAGAACCACAGTTCTTTTTTTTTTTTTTTTTTAACGACAGGATTTCACTCTGTCACCCAGGTTGGAGTGCAGTGGTGTGATCACGGCTCACTGAAGCCTCAGCCACCCCAGGTTCAGGTGATCCTCCCACCTCAGTCTCCCAAGTAGCTGGGACTACGGGCACATGCCACTACACCCAGCTAATTTTTGTATTTTTTGTAGAGACAGGGTTTTTTGCCATGTTGCCCAGGCTGGTCTCGAACTCCTGGACTGAAGCAATTCGCCCGCCTCAACCTCCCAAAGTGCTAGGATTACAGGTGTGAGCCACCACGCCCGGCCTTGAGAACCACAGTTCTAAATCCACTTTCTTGTAGTACAGAATTGCATCCAAAAAGATGAACACCTCTATTTAGACGCTTTGCTCTGCACTGGGAAACAACCATGAATAGGCCAGTATCCTGGCCCCCAGGAGTCCACAGTCTAGGGCCGTGAGCAGAAGATCCAAAATAATTTTTGAAATCATGACCCCAGTAGCATAATAGATGGATGCATGTCCACAGGGCTGTGGGTGCATGGAGGAAGACGCTCAAGACATTTATCAGAGTATTGTGAGATGCTCCAAATGCAACCTCACCCATCGCTAGAAAGGACTTTGAATACTCCCAGTACCACACTCAGAACTGTGAGCAAACATCAAAGATACTGCTCCAAGATTCCCCGGGTAAAATTTCTAACATTTTCTAGGAAAAAGAAATTGAAACAGAGTCATCATACTGACATGACAGGCGTTATAACAGAGGGATTTGAACCCTAAACTGTGGTAGGATTTAGACTGCTCGGGTTTGAATAGCAACTGTACCTTGCATGAGCCAGGCAAGAGTCTTAGGTTGAGTTCCTCCAGACACAGGTCATGAGCAAGGATTGGAAAGGAGGTGATTTACTGGGGAATGTGCTTCCAAGAAGAAAAGTGAAGGAGTAGGGAAGCAAGCCAGGGAAGGGGAAGAAGCCAGCTCAGGCTGATCCTTGGAGAGTCCTGGAGCATGGCTCACACTTCAACCTCTCCCTCCTTGAGGCCAACGATCTGGGTGCTTGTGTTCCTACACCAGTTCCTTCTGTCACTGGCAAGGGGGGAGAGGGACACAAACTCCCAGAGCCTTTCCACTCTCCCCCCAGTGAGGGGTAATGTGCAGAAGTTTCCAGAGAAAGCATTTGCAGCCAAGCCCACAGGGGTCTGAGCATGCAGAGCTGGAAAAGAGGACCCAGGGGGATCTGGGCAGGGCATACCTGGCAGTATAATAGGGATCATAAATGGTCTACCTTATATAGTGTGGGGTTAAAATGATAAAATTACCATAAACACTTAACACACTGCCTGGCGCAGAGTAAGTGCTCACCAAGTGTCGACTATTACTATTAGGTTCTATGGATTTAGAGGAAATGGGTATAAAGGTGGTGGAAATGTCGTGAACTAATCTTGTCCCACAGGGAAGAAAGCATGGCACATAGGGGAAACACTGAATAATTCACCCTAACTGAAGTTTAGGGGCCCAGAGGGGAGAAGCAAGGGAGATGGTAGTCAGATGGTTAAAGCCAGATTTGAGAGGGACATGACATTATTCATTGTTGATCAGATCTTAACTGAGACAGAAGAGATGTCATTAGAAGGCTCAGAGAAGGATCTAGAACCTGAGCTCCAAAGCAAAAACGATTTTTTTTGAGACGGAGTCTTGCTCTGTCTGGCAGGCTGGAGTGCAGTGGCGCAATCTTGGCTCACTGCAGCCTCTGTCCCCTGGGTTCTAGAGATTCTCCTCCCTCAGCCTCCTAGGTAGCTGGGATTACAGGCGCACGCCACCATGCCCTGCTAATTTGTATTTTTAGTAGAGACGCAGTTTCGCCATGTTGGCCAGGCTGGTCTCAAACTCCTGACCTCGTGAACTGCCCGCCTCGGCCTCCCAAAGTGCTGGGATTACAGGTGTGAATCACTGCGCCCGGCCAACAAAAACGATTTTTTAAAACACACACACACACAAACAGAAGGAAAACGATGGAACAAGCAAAACCATTTCACATCCATATCAGCAAAAACCAATACAGGAGAAACACTGGTACATACAAAACATGAACACAGCTGCTTTCTCCACAAGCAAAGCAACCACACTCTCGAACCTGTGAATTTGAAAAGCTTGTTATATAAGAAAGAACACGTGCCCAGGCGTGGTGGCTCACTCCTGTAATCCCAGCACTTTGGGAGGCTGAAGCAGGCGGATCACGAGGTCAGGAGATTGAGACCATCCTGGCTAACATGGTGAAACCCCGTCTCTACTAAAAATACAAAAAATTAGCCAGGCTTGGTGGCAGGCGCCTGTAGTCCCAGCTACTCGGGAGGCTGAGGCAGGAGAATGGCGTGAACCCGGGAGGTGGAGCTTGCAGTGAGCCAAGATCGTGCCACTGCACTCCAGCCTGGGCAACAGAGTGAGACCCCATCTCAAAAAAAAAAAAAAAAAAAAGAACATGTGCTATTTAAAACCCTCGCATTCTTATTGTCATTCCTCTTGTTTCTATCCATCTGAACTATTCCAATAACATTTTAGGTCAGTTAACCACACCTAGTTCCTTCCAGCTTTCTTTAAACAACAATTTTTTTCCTCTAAAAGCAAAATTAGAATATTGAAAATACAATGTTTTGCAATACAGGTTGCTCCTGTTACTACCAATGGCTAAGGTTATTTGAAGAAACTTTACAATAAAAAGAAAAAGGAAGGGGAGAGGAAGAAAAAAGACAAGAGCTAGCAAGTTGCTGCAGTCATTTAGGCAAGAGAGAATGGTGGCTTCAGGCAGGTTGTAGCATTGACAGAGGTGAGAGGCAGTCGGATCTTGAATATATTAGGAAGGGAGAGCCGACAAAAACTCTGGATGGATTAGATGTGGGTGTGAGAGAGGTTTGGGCTGAGCGGCTATAAGAATGGAGTTGCTCCAACCGATACAGGGAGAACTACCAGGCGGAGTAGGTTTAGGAAAAAATCAGACATCTCGTTTTGGATGAGAAGAGTTTGAAAATATCCATGAATATCCAAGTGGAGTTATTAACCAGGCAGCTGGTTATACTAGCCTGCTCAAGAAAGAGGCGTGGGCTGGAGATCTGTGTTTCCAAATCATTAGACAGTAGGTGGTATTTAAAGTCCTAAGTTTGGATAGGATCACCAAAGGACTGTGTGTAGGTGTAGATGGAGAAGTCCCTGGGGCACCCCAGTTTTAAAGGCACAAAGCAAAGAAGAATGTATGCATCAGGAAGGGCTAACTCCTCCAACAAATGATGCCAAATGTTCAGCGACTTAGAGGTTGCAGTGAGCTGAGATCGCGCCATTGCACTCCAGCCTGGGCGATAAGAGCGAAACTCCATCTCAAAAAAAAAAAAAAAAAAGTTCAGCAGCTTAACATGATGAAAATATATCTTTCATTTAAAACAATAAATTAATTTTAAAAAACTCATGTTTTTTCTTGATGATAACTTCTTAGCCAGTTTTTTAGAACCCAGAACATAGAGGTCAGCAAGAACAATGCCAACACAATTAGTTAAATGGAATCAAAGTATTGTTTTCGATCATTTTTTATTTTTTGTCCATTGTACTAGAAAGTACTACCTACCAGGTAATCAAAAAATTTTTGAAAACTGAATTGAATACTAAAAAATATCATGCTGCCTATACACCCATATTTAGAATTATTAAGAAAGAGAATAAGATTTTGAAGCTTTAGTAAGTAAAACAACAAAAGCCAGGCAAACAATCAACTCCCTAGAGGAAGTCAGGGCAGCCTTTCTCCAGCAGGCATGCAAGCCATGAGAATCAGCTGGGCAGCTTTTAACGCAGACTCCCAGACCTCCTGAATCAGCAACCTTCAAGGAGCGCCCTGTGCATCTGTGAGGCTTAACCAGCTCTCCTGGGAAGGGTTATGATGTGGAACATTTGGGACCCACTGAATACAAGCCTTTCTTCTCAAAGTGTGGTCCAAAAACCAGTAGCACAGGGCATGCGCTGGGAACTTGTCAGAAAAGCAGAATCTCAGGCCTCACTCCAGACTTGCTGCCTCGGATTTTTATTTTATTTTATTTTATATTTTATTTTATTTTATGACAGGTTTTCACTCTGTTGCCCAGGCTGGAGTGCAGTGGTACAATCACAGCTCACTGCAGCCTCGAACTCCTGGGCTCAAGCGAGCCTTCTGCTTCAGCCTCCTGAGTAGCTGGGCCTACAGGGGTGCATCACCACACCTGACTTAAACAATTTTTTTTGTGGAGATAGGCATCTCCCTATGTTGCTCAGGCTGTTCTTGAACTTTTGGCCTAAGGGATCCCTCTGCCGTGGCCTCCCAAAGTGCTGGGATTACGGGCATGAGCCACCACACTCAGCGGCCTCCCAAAGTGCTGGGATTACGGGCATGAACCACCACACTCAGCCACCCATGGAGCTTTCTAAAAATGCTGATGCCTGGGCCCCACTGAGACATTAATTCTTTTTTTTCTTTTTTCTTTTTTTTTTTTTTTTTTGAGACGGAGTTTCACTCTTGTTGCCCAGGCTGGAGTAAAGTGGTGCGACCTCGGCTCACCGCAATCTCCGCCTCCTGGGTTCAAGCGATTCTCCTGCCTCAGCCTCCCAAGTAGCTGGGACTACAGGCACCTGCCAGCACGCCTGGCTAATTTTTTGTATTTTTAGTAGAGACGAGGTTTCACTATGTTGGCCAGGCTGCTGGTCTCGAACTCCTGACCTCGTTATCTGCCCACCTTGGCCGAGACCTTAATTCTGAAAATAATTACACAATTTTCAAATAATTTCTCTCCTCTGATTTACATTTTACTTAGGTATACTATTTTACTTATTTATTTTGGATATCCAAATATCCCTAATATTTAATAATGATAAAGCTTTATTGGAAAACAAGATTTGGATCCAGGACCAAGATGGGACTTATTGCTTCTTTCCAAATCAAACTAACCACCATCCACAGGCAGAGCAACTATGGATTGCAAATATTCTTTCCTGGGCCAGGACCTGGCCTGGTGACAGAGTCAGGCAGTGAACGTGGCGTGGACAGATGGCCCCAGCAGAGAGAGCCACAGAGACCCAGTGATGGTAACGAGGGGGCTATGACCCATTCCAAACTGAACTTTCTGTTGATTAGGCCACTGAACCATCTAAACACCCGGGAGACATTTACCTTGCTTAGGAACAAGATCATGAGACTATGAGGTCTACACAACTCAGCTGTGCTTAAATTCACCATCAGTGGAATTTATTATTAACAAGTGTTTCCATTCATGATTCGTGAATCTCCTTTTTCTTTGTACTCTGCTTCTCACATCTTCCTTTATTTTTGATTTGTGACTCTACTATTTCTTTTTCTTTTTTTAAGCAAAGAGTTGGAAGCCTTCTGTGCCACACAGAGACTAAATGGATAAAAATTCCTAAGTGCCAACTGTTTAAAGTAGCTTCCATCCCTTCCATTTAGAAAATGCTTTTATTTAGTCTGGATAAGAGCTCCACCCTGTGCTGGCCAGAAGGAAGGCAAGTATGATTTAAAAGCCTCACAAATAGAGATTATTCTGCACTTTTAAAATATGCTCAGCTATGCAGTATATATGCAGGTTAATCTTATAATTCAGCCAGTGGTTATTAAGCAAATATAAATTGTTTGAGATCTTTGTGACACATCCTAAGCATTTCCTAAGAGATAGTGAAGAGAGGCATGCCAATTGGTCTTGAGTTAGCCCCAGTGGGTGTGGCCTTTTTGAATGGACAATCCAGCATCTACACTGTGCTTTTTAAAAGAGCTCTGTGTCGGCTGGGAGAAGTGGCTCACACCTGTAATCCCAGCATTTTGGGACGCCAAGGCGGGAGGATCACCTGAGGTCAGGAGTTCTAGACCAGCCTGACCAACATAGCGAAACCCCGTCTCTACTAAAAATACAAAAAATTAACCAGGCATGGTGACTCGTGCCTGTAGTCTCAGCTACTTTGGAGGCTGAGGCAGGAAAATTGCTTGAACTGGGAAGTGAGGCTGCAGTGAGCCGAGATTGTTCCACTGCACTCCAGCCTGGGTGACAGAGTGAGACTCCATCTCAAAAAAATAAATAAACAAAAAAATAAAAGATCTCTATGTCTTCTTCCTCCATTTCTCAACGTCTGACAGGCCCACATGTAATTTATGAAACATTGAGTTCATGAATAAAACAGACCCCACATCCGTGTTCAAACATTTCCTCCACTTCATCTTCAAGCTCAATCTCTGTGGTTTCTCTCAACGAACTGTTTAATATCCTGTACATTTTTTTCTTACCATTATTCATGAATAGTTTTTCTTTTACAGAAATCTTAATCTCTTTTATTTAAAAAAAAAATGGATACCTATTCCAAACATTGTTTGGCTGACTTCCACTGTTCTTCCTTCTCTCTCTAAGTGTCTACAGACCTATAAAGCTATCCTCATCCCCCTCATCTTAAGCTATCTCAAATCAATCTGATTGTATTCAGAGATAATGGAGAGTGTGCAGTGTTATTCCTCTACTGCCCATTTCTGCATTTGAAAGCCACCAACTTGACTCTAAAAATAACACCTGGCTGGGCACAGTGTCTCACACCTGTAATCCTAGCACTTTGGGAGGACAAGACAGCCAGATCACTTGAGCCCAGGAGTTCCAGACCAACCTGGACAACATGGCGAAACCCCATCTCTCCAAAAAAAAAAAAAAAAAAAAAAAAAAAAAACGCAAAAAAACCGCAAAGAAAAAAAATTAAAATAACACCCAAGCTATGCACCTCCAGGTTGCTTCGAATATTTCCCTTAAGTGATGTTTGTCTTTCTGCCTTGTGAAAGTTGTCAGAATCAGCCGGATGCAGTGGCTCACACCTGTAGTCTCAGTACTTTGGGAGGCTGAGGCGGGTGAATCACGGGAGGTCAGGAGTTTAAGACCAGCCTGGCCAACATGGTGAAACCCCGTCTCTACTAAAAATACAAAAAAAAATGTAGCCGGGCCTGGTGGTGCATGCCTGTAGTCCCGGCCACTCGGGAGGCTGAGACAGGAGAATCACTTGAACCCAGGAGGCAGAGGTTGCAGTGAGCCGAGATCACACTATTGCACTCCAACCTGGGTGACAAGAGCAAAACTCAGTCTCAAAAAAAAAAAAAAAAAAAGAAAAGAAAAAGAAAGTTGTCAGAATCAAACTAGAGTGACCAAGTATAAGAAAATGAAACCCTGACAAATAGGGACAGGGAAGGTTATGAAGAGAACATTCTTGTGCTTATATGCTTGATAACAAAAAACTATCACAAAAGACTCTGCAAAAACCACAACCTTGCACACAGAACATTGCAACCTTATATAAAAAATACTTCTGCAAAGACATCTGCCCAGCAACTGCCTGTCCAACCTCGGACGGGTGTCACCCTCGTTAACGATCTTTGTAGCCAAGGATAATTATTTCAAAACAATTATGCAATCCTCCTCATTTTTTCCTTTGAAAACCTTTGTCTTCTTTTACCTCCCTGAATATGCACATAGTTTACTGTGGCACGCATATTCCCATTGCAATGCTTCATTCCCAAAGAAATATCATTTACTTTTAGAGAGTCCCTCTCTGTTACTTAGGTTGACAGTCTGAACCCGCGTACTCCCAGCTGACTCTGGTATAGAAGATGGGAATTCAGAACTGTTGATATAGCTCACAAATACCGTTTATGTTCTCATACCTTTGGGGCTTTATGTACCACATGAAAGGAAAGCACTGCAAATAAACCCAGATCCCAAAGCCCTATGCGGTCACCAGACTCTGGCTTTGAAGCATACCCTTTCCTGGTACATATACACAATGGAATACTATTCAGCCGTAAAAAAGAATGAGATCCTGTCCTTCGCAACAACATGGATGGAACTGGAGGTCATCATGTTAAGTGAAATAAGAAAGACAAACATCACACGTTCTCACGTATTTGTGGGAGCTAAAAATTAAAACAATTTCACTCATAAAGATAGAGAGTAGAAGGATGGTTACTAGAGGCTGGGAAGGGTAGTGGGGGATGAGGAGGGAAGTGGGGATTGATATAATTTGGATCTGTGTACCTGCCCGAGTCTCATGTGAAATTGTAATCCCCAGTGTTGGAAGTGAGGGCTGGTGAGAGGTGATTGAATCCCAGGGGCAGATTTCTTGTGAATGGTTTAGCATCACCCCTCGGTGCTGTTCTCGTGATAATTAGTGAGTTCTCACGAGATCTGGTTGTTTAAAAGTGTGTAGCATCTCCCTGCTCGCTCGCTCTCTTGCTCCTGCTCCAACCATGTGACAGGCTGCTATCCCTTTGCCTTTCACCATGATTGTAAGTTCCCTGAGGCCCCCAAGAAGCTGAGCAGATATCAGCATCATGCTTCCTGTACAGCCTGTGGAACTGTGAGCCAATGAAACCTCTTTTCTTTATAAATTACCCAGTCTTGGCAGGGCACAGTGGCTCATGCCTGTAATCCCAGCACTTTGGGAGGCCAAGGTGGACAGATCATTGAGGTCAGAAGTTCAAGAACAACCTGGCCAACATGGTGAAACCCTGCCTCTACTAAAAGTACAAAAATTAGCTGGGCATGGTGGCGCACACCTGTAATCCCAGCTACTTGGGAGGCTGAAGCAGGAGAATTGCTTGAATCCAGGAGGCAAAGACTGCAGTGAGCCAAGATTGCACCATTGCACTCCAGCCTGGGCAACAGAGTGAGACTTCATCTCCAAATAAATAAATAAATAAATAAATAAATAAATAAATAAATAACCCAGCCTCAGGTATTTCTTTATAGCAATGTGAGAATGGACTAATACAGAGATGATTAATGGACACACACAAAAATAGAAAGAATGAATAGGACCTAGTTATTAATAGCACAACAGGGTGAGTATAGTAAAAAAAAAATGTAATTGTATATTTTAAGATAACTAAGAACATAATTGGATTGTTTGTAACACAAAAGATAAATGCTTGAGGGGATGGATACCCCCACCTACCCTGATGTGACTATTACACTTTGCATACCTGTATCAAAATATCTCATGTAACCCACTCTAGGCCTCCTCTCTGCTATAGCTGAACACTTGACAGGTTGACCTGCCTGCAGAGAGGAGCCACCAATTCCAGAGCCACCTCTCTGCTGAGAGCTGAAGACTCAACAGAGACGAGCTACTCACTATGGGTCTCCTCTAAGCTGTTCTAACACCCAGTAAAGTGCCTCTTTGTCTTGTTCACCCTCCACTTGTCTGCATACCCCATTCTTTCTGGACGCAGGACAAGAACTCAGGCAAAAGTGCCACTGGCCACAGAGGTTTCCAGCCAGAAAAGTGACACCCCAAAGATCTCATAACACCACCACTCCCAGATAATTTTTGTACTTTTTTGTAGAGACTGGGTTTTGCCATGTTGGCCAGGCTTATCTCTAACTCCTGGGCTCAAACAATCAGACTGCCTTGGTTTCCCAGAGTGCTAGGATTGCAGGTGTGAGCTACCGTGCCCAGCCAAAAATCACATTCTTTAAGTATCTGGAATCTATTTCCAGATATGTAAAGCTGGCTTCTCGGTGCTGTATAATATAACCCATGCAGCAGTGAGCAAGTGTTGAGCAGCTGCTGAAAGGACCACAGCTTTGGAAGGCTTCCCTGCTGTTTTCACAGTGTTTTTTCCTGCCACGCAGCCAATAATAATAATCAACAACATTCCTAGACTGTTTCAAGGGTGTCGGGCATAGTGTCATTTACTTCACATCCATTTGATTTTTCAATCTTTTCGTAACAAACATATGAGTCAGGTACTAGTAGTATCTGCATTTAACAAGGATATATGTTCAGAAATTAAAGAATTAGTCCAGTGCCACATACAAATAAAAGTTGCAAAACCAGGATTGGAGGCCAGAGTTTTCTGACTCCAGAGTCCCCACATTTCACCATTAAGTGATACTGCCTCTCTGTGGATAAGGAGACACTTGGACATAGAAGAAGGGTGTGAGGGGTGGTTACAGGAAAATGTGTATATTTTTTCCTGGGCCGTGGCATTTCTAGCAGTAATTTACTCAATAGAAGGGATAGCGAAAGCAATGAATATGGACATCAGGAGCTTGGCCAGGTACCAGGGACCCACACCTAGCAGGCTACTGCCCGATTCTGGGCATCCATCCCAGTAGGGACCTCAGGCAAGAAGCTGAAGCCAGTGAAGCAAAATGCAATTCCCATTAGAGGGAAGGCTGGCTGGTGGGCAGAAGTAGCTTAATGTCTAGGCAGTATTTTGTGATTTTGCTCACCTCTATTACTTCAAAGAACACTGACTATAACATATGTTGGCAGAAAAAGCCCCAACACCTGAATAGTCAAGTTTTCTAATAGGTTGACTAGCAGATTTTCTCATTGGTTTAATGATTAGAAGGGTAAAGTCTGCAGGTAATAGGTGTTGGTAGCTGGGTGGACTTGAGCAGGTAGGAACTAAGAAGGGTTCAAGAACAGCCAACCTCAACATGGAGTGAGACACAGGTTAGGAGATGCTATGGGCCGGGTGCGGTGGCTCACACCTGTAATGCCAGCACTTTGGGAGGCCAAGGAAGGCAGATCACGAGGTCTGGAGATTGAGACCAGCCTGGCCAACATGGTGAAACCCCGTCTATACTAAAAATACAAAAAATAGCTGGGCATGGTGGCAGGTACCTGTAATCCCAACTACTTGGGAGGCTGAGGCAGGAGAATCCCTTGAACCAGGGAGTCGGAGGTTGCAGTGAGCTGAGATCGTGCCACTGCACTCCAGCCTGGGTGACAGAGCAAGAGTCCATCTCAAAAAAAAAAAAAAAAAAAAAGATACATGACAGCCACGACATGAATTCAACTCATCCTTTAATAACGGTTGAGTGCCTTTTATGTCCCAGGTCTTAACGCTGCTGAGTTAAGCAGAAACATTTCAGGGATGATAAGATAAAGTCGCTGCCACTAAGGAAAAGGGAGAAAGAATAGCATTGATTGAGCTTTTACTCTGTGCCAATCACTGTATCTGGTTGTGGGAATGCAAAGAGGAATAAGTCAGAGCCTTTCCCCTTAGAGAGCTTAGAGTCTAGCCAGAGGAGCCAGACCCACAATTAACTCCATAAAGTAAAATGTGGTTAGCTTTGTAGGTGCCCAGGATGTGAAGGGCTGCAGAGCATGGAAGAGGAAATACATGAATTCACCCTGTGTAGGTAAAAGAGGATTTTCTATCTTCCATGGAGATGACATTTGAAATGGATTTTAAATTCTGATTAGGTATTTAACAATTGAGAAAGTAGGAGGACATTGTTGGCACCAGAACAGCATGAAAAAGACATGAACATAGGGAGGCATGGTGGGGCATGGTACATAGCAGACAGTGTGGAGCCCAGCATGGCTAGAGTACAAGACATAAGGGGCGGATAGAGGTGAAGGGCAGCGAAGACTAGAAAGTGGGTAGATCAGGGTTTTAAGTACTTTCAGGTAATAGAGGACCACTGAAGCCTTTCAGCAGGCTTGATGCAATCGGGCCTGTTTCCTTAAAGACAAAGAACTGACAAATGAGAGGAAGGATGGAAGCAAGAAATCCAGGAAGCCACAAGAGTGTTAGCAGAGAGCAGGGCCAACTCCAAGTGTATCTGCTCCTTGATAGGGGTCAGCTGGACATAGCCTGTGCCTCCCATTTTGGAGAAATAAGAGCTTAGGGTAGCCAGATCTTCTCACTTTTTGCGAAAACCTAAAACTGTGCATTCAATGGCAATTACCTACCCCAACACTGATTTTTAATGTTGCTTAAACATCTTTAAATCACCACACAGGACAAGCAAAACATCCTCAGTTAAATTTCTGTACAATTAGGAATACAGGAGGGATTTAAATTCCAAACAGGGCCGGACGCGCTGGCTCATGCTTGTAATCCCAGCACTTTGGGAGGCCGAGGTGGGTGGATCACTTGAGGTCAGGAGTTCAAAACCAGCCTGGCCAACATGATGAAACCCCATCTCTACTAAAATACAAAAAAATTAGCCGGGCGCAGTGGCAGGCACCTGTAATCCCAGCTACTTGGGAGGCTGAGGCAGGAGAATTGCTTGAACCCAGGAGACAGAGTTTGCAGTGAGCTGAGATCACACCACTGGAATCCAGCCTGGGTGACAGAGCGAGACTCCATCTCAAAAAATAATAAATAAATAAAAATTAAAAAAAATTAAATCTAGACAATAAGGTTTGGTAATTGATTCCTAGAGTCAGGCCAACCTGCGTTTGAATTCTTTTTTTCTCACTAACCAACCAGGAGGCCAGGGGCTAGTGAGACAGCCTCTTTGAGCCTTATTACACAAGATGGTTGACATTGTTGCTATGAAAGACAAATAAGAAATGCATGTTAAGTATTTAGAACAGGACCTAGCATATAATAAATACTCAATAGACTGGGTGCACTGGCTGATGCCTGTAATCTGAGCACTTTGGGAGGCAAGGTAGGAGTATTGTTTGAGACTGGGAGTTCAAGACCAACCTGGGCAACATAGTAAGACCTCACCTCTACAAAAATAAATAAATATATACATTTTTTAAGTGCTCACTATGTGTTTCTGTGGCTGTTGTTATATCTATTGTATTGTATTCTACATTGTATATTTTATTATTGTCTAGTTAATATATTATTATCCTTTTCATCAGTTAGAATTGAGTTTTTATTTAGATTCAAAGCACCACAAATACCCACTGCAATCTTAAAAACAACAATTCATATCCCTGGTTTTGATACCCATAGTTGTAAGAAAAGCAAGAGAAAACCGGCTGGGTAGAGCGGCTCACACCTGTAATCCTAGAACTTTGGAATGCCGAAGCAGGAGTATTGCTTGAGGGCAGGAGCTCAAGGCCAGCCTGGGCAACATGTTGAGACTCTATCTCTACAATCTTTAAAAAGTTAACTGGGCCGGGCGCGGTGGCTCACGCCTGTAATCCCAGCACTTTGGGAGGCCGAGGCGGGTGGATCACGAGGTCAGGAGATCGAGACCATCCTGGCTAACAAGGTGAAACCCCGTCTCTACTAAAAATACAAAAAATTAGCCGGGCGCGGTGGCGGGCGCCTGTAGTCCCAGCTACTCGGGAGGCTGAGGCAGGAGAATGGCGTGAACCCGGGAAGCAGAGCTTGCAGTGAGCCGAGATTGCGCCACTGCAGTCCGCAGTCCGGCCTGGGCGACAGAGCGAGACTCCGCCTCAAAAAAAAAAAAAAAAAAAAAAAAAAAAAAAAAAAAAAAAAAAAAAAGTTAACTGGGCGGCCAGGCCTGTGGCTCACACCTGTAATCCCAGCACTTTGGGAGGCCAAGGTGGGCAGATCAGGAGGTCAGCAGATCAAGACCATCCTGGCTAAAACGGGGAAACCCAGTCTCTACTAAAAATACAAAAAATTAGCCAGGTGTGGTGGCGGGCACCTGTAGTCCCAGCTACTCGGGAGGCTGAGGCAGGAGAATGGCGTGAATTCAGGAGGCGGAGCTTGCAGTGAGCTGAGATGGCGCCACTGCACTCCAGCCTGGGCGACAGAGCGAGACTCTGTCTCAAAAAAAAAAAAAAAAAAAGTTAACCGGGCATGGTGTTGAGTGCCTGTAATCCCACCTACTCAGGAGGCTGAGGCAGGAAGATCACTTGAGCACAGGGGGTGGAGGTTGCAGTGAGCTATGATGAAACCACTGCACTCCAGTCTGGGTGACAGAGCGAGACCCTGCGAAAGGAAGGAAGGAAGGAAGGAAGGAAGGAAGGGAGGGAGGGAGGGAGGGACTTAGCTGTCATTATTTTTATCCTGCCTAAGGAAAACAAGCCAGAAAATATGGACTGGAAATTCAGTGAGTCTTCTCCCAAGAATATTTGCTAATTGCATTTTCGAATGAGCCTCATTCTTTCTCTCACTTCTTTTCAAGTCTTGCAAGTTTTTAACTTAGAAATTTTTCAGGCTTAGAAACTTAGATGGCTCACGCCTGTAATACCAGCACATTGGGAGGTCAAGGTGGGAGGATTGATTGAGCCTGGGTATTTGAGACAAACCTGGTCAAAAAAGTGAGACCTCACTTCTAAAAAATAATTTTTAATTAATTAATTAATTTAAATCGATCAATTAAATTTGTTAATTAAATTTTTCCACCTTATATTTTCAAAAATAATGAATTTTTTTAACATTTTCAATAGCCCAACCTAAATTTATAATTAAAGATAAAGTGGACTGTTTCAAGAAGTCTAAGTGAACAGAAATCTCCCTTGCTAAAGATAAGGGTTCAAAGCTTTACATTTAATCCTCAAAATAAATTAGATCCAATCTTGCTTTGAGAGCACCCAGCAGATGAGCAACAGCTGTTATGTTTGACATACATTTGACCTTCATTTCTGTCTTCTAGCAAAATAGGAAAGTAAGATTAGCTTATATGAGATCAGAATAGAAATAACTGAACTGAGATCACTGTTATAATATGCTGGGCAGGACTCTTTCAGTTGCAAGTGACTAAAACTA
Organism: Homo sapiens; assembly: GCF_000001405.40. Classification (NCBI taxonomy): domain Eukaryota; kingdom Metazoa; phylum Chordata; class Mammalia; order Primates; family Hominidae; genus Homo; species Homo sapiens. The sequence continues at coordinate 208,093,161 of NC_000002.12, read as the reverse complement.
ACTCACACAAGCTTAAACAAAAAGAGGATGTATTGCTCCACATAATCAAAAGCCTTCAGGCATGGCTGGATGCAGGGGCTCAGGTGAGATCGTCAGGAGCTGGTCTCTGTAGCCCTCTCCTTCCTCCACTCTGCTTTCCTCTATGTTGGTTTTATTCTCAGGCAGGCTCTTTCCATATGGTGGCTGTGGTAGTTAATTTTAGGTGTCAACTTGTCTGGGTTAAGAAACCCAAATAGCTGGGAATACATTATTTCTGGTATATCTGTGAGGGTATTTCCAGAAGAAATTGGCTTTTAAATCAGTAGAGTAAGGAAGACCCATCCTCACCCAATGTGGGTGGGCACCATCTGATTAGTTAAGGGTCCAAACAGAACCAGAAGGCAGAGGAAAGCTGAATTTGCTCTCTCTTCTGCAACTGCGACACCATCTTCTCCTGCCCTTGGACATCAGAACTCCAGGTTCTCTGGCCTTTGGACTCCAGGATTTGCACCAGCAGTCCCTCAGTTTCTCTGGACTTTGGTCTCAGACCCAGAGTTACACCAATGGCTCTCTTGGTTCTCAGACCTTTGGACTTGGACTGAGCCATGCTACCAGCTTCCCTGGTTCTCTACCTTGCAGGTAGCCTGTCAGGGGACTCCTAAGCCTCCATAATCACAGGAGTCAATTCCCATAATAAATCCTCTTTCATCTATCTGTCTATCTATCTCTCTATCCATCCATCCCATTGGCTCTGTTTCTCTGAAGAACCCTGACTAATTCAGTGGTCCTCAACTGTTTCAGCCTTAGAATACTCTAAATGGCTGAAGCAAACCCTGGAGTTGGGAGATAGAGTCAATGAGACTTAAGCCACATGGAATGAGAATGAGGAAGAGGTCACATGTAGGTCAAACATAACAGCTGTTGCTTATCTTTTACTGGGTGTTCTCTAAGCAAAGTTGGATCTAAAGTATTTTGGGGATTAAATGCAAAGCATTGAACACTTATCTTTAGCAAGAGAGATTTCTGTTCATTTAGACTTCTTGAAGCAGTCTACTTTATCTTCAATTATAAATTTAGGTTGGGCTATTGAAAATGTTCACAAAACTTCATTACTTTTGAAAATATAAGCTGGAAAAATTTCTTTAATTAACAAATTTAATTGATTGAAATTAATTAATTAATTTTTATTTATATTTTTATTGAGATGAGGTCTGTTTTCTAAGGAAAAGAGGAGTACTTGAAGGTAGAATGGATTCCAAGAAGAAAAATCAAAACAAAACAAGTGCTCCACCAACATTGCACATGTATACATATGTAACAAACCTGCATGTTGTTCACGTGTACCCTAGAACTTAAAGTATAATAAGAAGAAGAAGAAGAAAGAAAAAAAAAAACAAGTGCTCATCACCTGAGTATGCTCACTACAAAGTCCAAAGAAAATTGATAACTTGCTTCATGCCACAGCATGTAGCAGACACTCCTGCTAACAAACAGGCAAACTAGTCACTGGCTCCCTCATTCACTAGGAACACAGACACTGACAGTGGAGTCTATGGAGAGCATCTCCGATTTCCCAGTTAGCACCCTATCACATGCAGCTTTATGAAGTAGAACATGTTTCTTCTTCCTTGAAATTTAGACTGTTTTAAGCCTGGCATGGTGGCTCATGCCTGTAATCCCAGCACTTTGGGAGGCCGAGGCGGGTGGATCACCTGAGGTCAGGAGTTCGAGACCAGCCTGGCCAACATAGTGAAACCCTGTCTCTACCAAAAATACAAAAGTCAGCTGGGCATGGTGGTGGGTGCCTGTAGTCCCAGCTACTGGGAAGGCTGAGGCAGGAGAGTTGCTTGAATCTGGGAGGCGGAGGTTGCAGTGAGCCAAGACTGTGCCATTGCACTCCAGCCTGGGTGACAAGAGCAAAACTCCATCTCAAATAAATAAATAAATAAATAAATAAATAAATTTAGACTGTTTTAAAAAATATGACTGAAAAATTTCAGGTTAGATAAGCACTTCCTGTTGGTAAAGGTGAGTAGACCCTGGAATGGAATTATTATGTAAAGTTTTAAGATTTTTCTATCATGAGCTATGTAGAAAATAGGGCCAATAAACTTACTGATCTCTTAAAGGCAAGCCTTAGAGTAATCTACAAATAAATAAATAAATTTAGACTGTTTAAAAAAAAGTGTACTGAAAAATTTCAGGTTAGATAAGCACTTCCTGTTGGTAAAGGTAAGTAGACCCTGGAATGGAATTATTGTGTAAAGTTTTAAGATTTTTCTATCATGAGCTGTGTAGAAAATAGGGCCAATGAACTTACTGATCTCTTAAAGGCAAGCCTTAGAGTTATCTACAAATTATCCCATGCCTTTGAATGGCCAGGTCTCTTCAGGGTTCTCCAGAGAACTAGAACCAACAACATATGTGTATATAAGAGGAGATTTGTAGTGAGGATTGGCTCATGTGATTATGAAGGCTGAGAAGTCCCACAATTTGCTGTTTGTAAACTGGAGAACCAGAAAACTGGTGATGCAATTCCACTGGAACTCTGAAGTCCAAGTCTGAAGGCCTGAGAAACAGGAGAGCTAATGGTGTATGCTCCAGTTCAGACCCAAAGGCCTGAAAACCAAGAGCACTGATGTCTGATGGCAGAGAAAGACAGATGTCCCAGCTCAAACAGAGTGAATTCACCCTCCTCTACTTTTTTGACCTATTTGGGCCCTAAAAGGATAAAATTATCCATAAAATGATAAAATTATTGTATTGATGAACTTAATTTTCTTTACCGAGTCTACTGATTCAAATGTTAATCTCTTCCCAAAACACTTTCACAGACATACCCAGAAATGTTTTACCAGATATTTCAGCATCCTTTAGCCCAGTCAAGTTGACGCGTAAAATTAAGCAACCCACTACTATATACCTAATGTGGTCCTTCAATCTATTATCTCATTTTGAAAACCAGACTTTGAACTTCTGTAAAGTTCTGTACTGCTCTGAAATCAAGGCTTTGTAAAGCTCCCACTTTTAATGAGCAGTAGGATGATGCAGTGAGAAGTTAGATTTGGAATCACAAGCTTGGAAGCCAAGTCTCAAATGTGCTTCCTGTTATTTGCATGATTTTATGCAGCTCTGAGCCTCAGTGTCCTTGTCTCTCAAACACCAACAGAAATTCCTACCCTACTACCTTGCCAGAATTTTTTAAGAAGCAAATGCGATAATTGTTCAGGAAGCCAATATTTAAACTAGAAAGTGTTCTACTTTTTTGTAAGGTAGACACATGGAGCTACTCTATAATTAAATGACTACTTGCAGAGTCATTCAATGTCAAGCCAGTTTCCTTCACTCTCCTCCAAGTGGGCAGTTATTAATATTTAAATATTTTTTTAAATGCTGATGGAAGCTAATTTAAGACAGCCTGCCTTTCTTTTAGAGAAATAAAACTATCTTTTCTTCTTTAATAAAGATATTTATGAATTCATGGACTTTAACTCCTTTTTTTTTGTAATAAATCTGTTTGTCTTCAGATTATGGAAGAGTGTTATGAGATTTTAAAAGAAATCTGTATTTTTTTTTTTTTTGAGACAAAGTCTCACTTTATTGCCCAGGCTGGAGTGCAGTAGCGCAATCTCAGCTCACTGTAACCTCTGCCTTCCAGGTTCAAGCGATTCTCGTGCCCCAGCCTCCCCAGTAGCTGGGATTGCAGGTGTGTGCCACCACATTTGCTAATTTTTTTGTTTTTTTGGTTTTTTTTTTGAGACAGAGTCTCACTCTGTCACCCAGCCTGGAGTGCAGTGGCGCAATCTCAGCTCACTGCAAGCTCCGCCTCCCGGGTTCACGCCACTCTGCCTCAGCCTCCCAAGTAGCTGGGACTACAGGCACCTGCCACCACACCCGTCTAATTTTCATACTTGCTAATTTTTAGTAGAGATGCTATTTTTAGTAGAGAGGCTGGTCTTGAACTCCTGACCTCAGGTGATCCACCCACCTTGGCCTCCCAAAGTGCTGGGATTACAGGCGTAAGCCACCGCGCCCAGAGGAAATCTGTATGTTATTTCTGGCTGCCATTTTTTCCACGTTGAGTTTCCAAATTCTTTAATTGATATACGTCAGACTTTGGTGTCTGGTAAGTTCTCTACAACTTGATTAGGAGCATTCTTCCTCTTCCCCTATTTCCTCTGTTGGCTCTCTCTGCAGGGACATCAATGTTGCATCCTATCGCTCATCAGCCCGTCCCTCCAGGACACTCTAGCAAAGCAGTGCTTCTCAGTCTGCATGCACACCTGAACCGTGTGGGCAGCTTTTCAAAAAAATCCCAAAGTTTGGCCTCACTCAGAAGTAGGACTTAGTCAGAGGTAGGGCACAGGCTTCCCGGTCTTTGTAGAGTCCCTCAGCTGATTCTAATGTGCAGTCAGAGCTGGAAACCATGGGGGAAATTTACCTTCTGAACAAAGTTTTTTTGTTTTTTGTTTTTTTTGAGACAGTGTTTCCCTCTTGTTGCCCAGGCTGGAGTGCAATGGCATGATCTCCGCACACTGCAACCTCCACCTCCTGGGTTCAAGTGATTCTTCTGTCTCAGCCTCCTGAATAGCTGCAATTACAGGTGCCCACCACTACACCCAGCTTATTTTTGGTATTTTTAGTAGAGACGGGATTTCACCATGTTGGCCAGGCTGGTCTCAAACTCCTGACTTTAGGTGATCCTCCCACCTCAGCCTCCCAAAGTGCTGGGATTACAGGCATGAGCCACCACACCCAGACTAACAAACTTTTTAAATGCAGTATCCACCATTGTGAACAAGGCAAATATTCTTTGCTAATTCTATTTCTAGTTTTAATCTTTTTCTTTATGTCTTGGCTACTGCATTCTATTTGTAATGTTCTTGTGTTCTTGAAGTTAATATAAATATTAGTATAGAAAAGACCAATATTCCTTCATAACAACAAAATTAATGTTCCCATCTGTTTTTATTGCTTATTTTATTTTTGCTAATACATGGAGTTCTTTGAATATCTGAACTTGTCCCTACTTTTTAAAATTATCTAGAACCTCTAACAGTGTTAAATATTAATTTTAGAGTTATTACAGATTCATGGTTGCATTCTGTGGTACAACAGTCATAATATTTTTTTCTTTTTAGACGGAGTCTCACTGTGTCACCCAGGCTGGAATGCAGTGGCGCCATCTCAGCTCACTGCAACCTCTGCCTCTGGGGTTCTAGCAATTCTCCTGCCTCAGCCTCCTGAGTAACTGGGAATACAGGTGCGCGCCATCACGCCTGGCTAATTTTTGTATTTTTAGGAGAGACGGGGTTTCACCATGTTGGCCAGGCTGGTCTCAAACTTCTGACCTCAGGTGATTCACCCACCTTGGCTTCCCAAAGTGCTGGGATTACAGGAGTGTGCCACTATGCCCGGCCATAATAATTTTTATTAATATGATCCTCATTCTTTCATTCGTTGAGCATATACCATGTCAGAGACTTTGCTTTGCTCTGAGAAGACCAGGATGAATAAGACATGTGTCTAAGTGATGGCAGAGGCCTGGGAAAAACAGGCATGTAAATCAGTCAATTTAGAGCAATATAACAAGTGTTCCAAAAGAAATAAGTAAAAGTGCAATGACATCCCAGAGTCCCCTAGGTTTCAGGTTCGTCTGTAACTCTCCAGTCCAGACTTTTCACAGAACTTTAAACTCACTAGAGGAGGGGCCAAGAGCAACAGTGGTTAGGAGGCTGTTACAATAGCCCAGGCGAGATATGGTGATGCTCAGAGCAGGATTCAGGCTGTCATTACTCACAGGGACAATTGCCACAGCTTCCTTCTTGGTTTTCCTACCTCCAGTCTTCTCCCCTTAAATCCATTCTCCACATGCAGCCAGACTAACCTTTTTAAAAGCAAACCTGATCATGTTGATACCACCCCAACCCCTGCTTACAAGCATTTATGGCTCCCTGTGGTTCTCAGGGGACCATCCAACCTCCCTTTTTAGAAGGTCCCTACCTCCTCACTTGTCACCCTTTCTCTCTACCATACCCTCTTTGTCCTTCTCAGCATACCTGCCAATTTCCTTCTATTCAGGGCCTTTGCACATGCTCTCTGTGCCCTTAGCTAACTCCTAACTCTTTCTTTGGCTCTCCACTTTTTCTAACTAGGCCATTTCCCCCATTTCACTCTGTTACAGCACCATGTACTTTGCCTTCATAAAACTTACCATAAGTGAAATGTGGTGCCTTTCCTGAAGCTCTTTGATCACTATCTGTCTCCAATAGAGCGGAGACTGTGTATGCTTTTGTCTTGCAGCATAGCTATCTGCACTGAGCTCAGAACTGGGCCCACAGCAGGTGTTCAAGAACTATGTCCTGATGAATGAATGAGGAAATGAGGAGGTCTTGGAGGTCCTCACAGAGGAACGCGTGTACATCATCTGGATGTGCTCAGGGATCATCAGGAAGCATGGCATCAATGGAACACAGGGTATAAGACAGGGATCAGGAAAACATGAAGCTAAACAGACAAGCTGGGACCAGCTCATGAAAAGCCTCATGAGTGTCTCTATTCTGCAGACAATAAGGAACTACCACATAATAGCAGAGGAGTAATACTATTACGAAGGTAAGTTGTAGAAACCTAAGTCTGGCAGCTTTGTGAAAGGTGTGTTGGTGCAAGGAAGCCCTGAAGGCAGGGACTTGAGTTAGATGATGATTACATTTCAGGATAGTTTCCTATTTCCAACTGCACTAGCCACTCAATCTAGTGGCTTCTTCAGTTTGACCCTTGGCAATCCTCCTCAGACACAATTCTGTTCTCTATTGGCTGTCCATTTTCTTCCTACCCTGTTGGGTAAATACCATGGACAATTTGGACCAACACCTTTCCACCAAATTGGCCAGATTCACCAGTATTTCCTCACAAGGATGATTCAGACAGGATCAGGATGTTAAACTCGGTCAGTCAAACTGTTTCTAGACTTCCTCAATTCTTTTTCTTTCCTTTTAGTCAGGTTTGTATTAATGGCAACTGGAGCCCCAATGGTTGATAAGATGACTCAAAAGGAACCTACAGTGTGCAGAGAGAAAAGGGCTTGGGGAAGAAACCTTAGGAACACCAACATTTTGGAGCAGAAAGAGCCAGTAGCTGAGACCAAGGCAAAAAAGAAAAAAAGAAAAAAGAAAGGACGAAGCAAAGGAATGACATCTGGGACACTTCTAGAATATCACCAGAAGCTAAAGGAGAAGAGAGTTTCATGAAGGAGAGAGTAGTCAATGGTGTCCAAAGTCACAGATATGAGAAGCAACATTTGGGATCTAAAAGATGCCAAATGAATTGTGTTGATAGGAGGTCTTTATTAACCTTAACAAAAACAGTTTCTTTGCAAAAGTGCAGGCAGAAAATGATTTCAAGTGTACCAGTGAGATATGAAGACAGCAAGTGGAGAATACTCTTCTGAAATTTTCACAGAGAGAGGGGAGTGGTTGAGGTTGAGTAGAACCATGGGAGGGGATGTCAAAGGCCATGATGATAGTGTAAAGTTTGAGAGAACAGATTTTGTTACAAACTCAGCCTGCCTAGGTTTGAATCTCCCACTCACTATGTGACCTTGAGCAAGTTGTTTAAATTGTGCCTCAGTTGCCTCTTCTGTTGAATGAAGATAATAATAATACTTACCTCATAGGATTATCATAACGATTAATGGAGTTAATATTTGTAAATGCTTGGAACACTGACTCATGGCAAGCACTAGGTGAATGTAGCAGCTATTTTTTTCCATTTATATAAAATTTATTTTTTTACAAGGTTTTTTTTAGAATTGGGTTTTTGTTTTATTATTATTATTAATTATTTCAATAGGTTTTGGGGGAACAGGTGATGTTTAGTTACGTGGATAAGTTCTTTAGTGGTGATTTCTAAGATTTTCGTGCACCCATCACCCAAGCAGTGCACACTGTACCCAATGTGTTGTCTTTTATCGCTCATCCCCCTCCCACACTTGCCCCTGAGTCCTCAAAGTCCATTGTATCATTCTTATGCCTTTACATCCTCATAGCTTAGCTCCCACTTATAAATGAGAATATATAACATTTGGTTTTCCATTCCTGAGTTACTTCACTTAGAATAATGATCTCCAATTCCATCCAGGTCGCTCCAAATGCCATTATTTCATTGCTTTTTATGGCTGAGTAGTATTCCACAGTGTGTGTGTGTGTGTGTGTGTGTGTGTGTGTGTGTGTGTGTGTGTGTGTGTATATATATATATATATATCCCATTTTCTTTATCCACTCATTGATTGATGGGCATTTGGACTGGTTCCATATTTTTGCAATTACAAACCGTGGTGCTGTAAACATGTGCGTGCAAGTGTCTTTTTCGTGTAATGACTTCTTTTTCTTTGGGTAGATACCCAGCAGTAGGATTGCTGAATCAAATGGTAGATCTACCTTTAGTTCTTTAAGGAATCTCCAAACTGTTTTCCATAGTGGTTGTACTAGTTTACATTCCCACTAGCAGTGTAAAAATGTTCCCTCTTCACCACATCCATGCCAACATCTGTTATTTTTTTATTTTTTTAACTATGGTCATTCTTGCAGGAGCATGGTGGTGTCGCATTGTGGTTTTGATTTGCATTTCCCTGATAATTAGTGACGATGAGCATTTTTCCATATGTTTGTTGGCCATTTGTATATCTTCTTTTCAGAATTGTCTATTCACGTCCTTAGCTCACTTTTTGATGGGATTGTTTGTTTTTTTCTTTCTGATTTGTTTGAGTTCCTTATAGATTCTGGATATTAGTCCTTTGTCAGATGCATAGCTTGCAAAGATTTTCTCCCACTCTGTGGGTTATCTGTTTACTCTGTTGATTATTTCTTTTGCTGTGCAGAAGCTTTTTAGTTTAAGTCCCATCTGTTTGTTTTTGTTGCATTTGCTTTTGGGTTCTTGGTCACGAAGTCTTTGCCTAAGCCAATGTCTAGAAGGGTTTTTCTGATGTTACCTTCTAGAATTTCTATGGTTTCAGGTCTTAGATTTAAGTCTTTTTCCATCTTGAGTTGATTTTTGTATAAGGTGAGGGATGAGGATCTAGTTTCATTCTTCTACATGTGGCTTGCCAGCACCATTTGTTGAGTAGGGTTTCCTTTCCCCACTTTATGTTTTTGTTTGCTTTGTCAAAGTTCAGTTGGCTGTATTTGGCTTTATTTCTGGTTCTCTGCTCCATTGGTGTTTGTACCTATTTCTATGCCAGTATCATGCTGTTTTGGTGACTATAACCTTGGGTATAAGTTGAGTAATGTGATGCCTCCAGATTTGTTCTTTTTGCTCAGTCTTGCTTTGGCTATGTGGGCACTTTTTTTGGTTCCATATGAATTTAGGATTGTTTTTTCTAGTTCTATGAAGAATGATGATGGTATTTTAATGGGAAGTGCATTGAATTTGTAGATAGCTTTTGGCAGTATGGTCATTTTCACAACATTGATTCTACCCATCCATAAGACTGGAATGTTTCCATTTTTTGTGTCATCCATGATTTCTTTCTGCAATGTTTTGTGGTTTTCCTTGCAGAGGTCTTTCACTTCCTTGGCTAGGTATATTCCTAGGTATTTTATTTGTTTATTTAATTTGCAGGTATTGTAAAAGGGGTTGAGTTATTGATTTGATTCTCAGCTTGGTCGCTGTTGGTGTATAGCAGAGCTACTAATTTGTGACATTGATTTTGTAGCCTGAAACTTTACTGAATTTATTTATTAAGTCTAGGAGCTTTCTGGTTGAGTCTTTAGGGTTTTCCAGGTATACAATCATATCATCTGCAAACAGCAACAGTTTGATTTCCTCTTTGCTGATTTGGATGCCCTTTATTTCTTTCCCTTGTCTGATTGCTCTGACTAGAACTTCCAGTACTATGTTGAACAGAAATAAGAAATGCTTTCAACTTTTCCCCATTCAGTATAATGTTGGCTGTGGGTTTGTCACAAATGGCTTTTATTACCTTAAGGTATGTCCCTTCTCTGCTGATTTTGCTGAGGGTTTTAATCATAAAGGGATACTGGATTTTGTCAAATTTTGTGTGTTTATTGACATGATCATGTGATTTTTGTTTTTAATTCTGTTTATGTAGTGTATCACATTTATTGACTTGCATATGTTAAACCATCCCTGCACGCCTGGTATGAAACCCACTTGATCAGGATGGATTATCTTTTTTATATGCTATTGCATTCAGTTAGCTAGTATTTTTGTTGAGGATTTTTGCTACTACATTCATCAGGGATATTGGCTGTAGTTTTCTTTTCTTGTTATGTCATTTCCTGGTTTTGGTATTAGGGTAATACTGGCTTCATAGAATGATTTAGGGAGGATTCCCTCTTTCTCTATCTTTTGGAATAGTGTCAACAGGATTGGTACCAATTCTTCTTTGAATGTCTGATAGAAGTCAGCTGTGAATCCTTTTGGTCCTGAACATTTTTCTGTTGGCAATTTTTAAATTACCATTTTAATCTCACTGCTTGTTATTGGTCAGTTCAGGGTTTCTATTTCTTCCTGGTTTAATCTAGGAGTGTTGTATATTTCCAGGAATTTATCCATCTTCTCTAGGTTCTCTAGTTTGTGAGTGTAAAGGTGTTCATAGTAGTCTTGAATGAGCTTTTATATTTTTGTGGTATCAATTGTAATATCTCTCATTTTATTTCTAATTGAGCTTATTTGGATCTTTTCTTGGTTAATCTTGCTAATGGTCTATCAATGTTGTTTATCTTTTCAAATAATCAGTTTTTTGTTTCATTTATCTTTTGTATTTGTTTGTTTATTTGTTTTAATTTCATTTAGTTCTGCTCTTATGTTTGTTATCTCTTTTTTGTGTGGGGAAGGGGCTTGAGATGGGGTCTCACTCTGTTGTCCAGGCTGGAGTGCAATGGCATGACCTCGGCTCACTGCAACCTCCACCTCCCAAGTTCAAGTGATTCTTGTGCCTCAGCCTCCCCAGTAGCTGGGATTATAGGTATGCACCACCACACCCAGCTAATTTTTTTTGTATTTTTAGTAGAGACAGGGTTTCACCATTTTGGCCAGGCTGGTCTTGAACTACTGATCTCAAGTGATCCACCCACTTTGGCCTCCCAAAGTGCTGGGATTACAGGTGTGAGCCACCATGGCTGGCCTGATCTTTGCTATTTGTTTTCTTCTGCTGAGTTTGGGTTTGGTTTGTTCTTGTTTCTCTAGTTCTTTGAGGTGTGACCTTAGATTGTCTATTTGTGCTCTTTCAGACTTTTTGATTTAGGCATTTAATTCTATGAACTTTCCTCTTAGTACCACTTTTGCTGTACCCCAGAGGCTTTCATAGGTTGTGTCACTATTATCATTCAGTTCAAAGAATTTTTTAATTTCCTTCTTGATTTCATTGTTGAGCCAAAGATCATTCAAGAGTAGGTTATTTAATTTCCATGTATTTGCATGGTTTTGAGGATTCCTTTTGGAGTGAATTTCCAATTTTATTCCACTGTGATCTGAGAGAGTACTTGATATAATTTCAATTTCCTTAAATTTATTGAGACTTTTGTGGCCTATCATATAGTCTATCTTGGAGAATGTTCCATGTGCTGATGAATAGAATGTATATTCTGCAATTGTTGGGTAGAATGTTCTATAAATATCCATTAAGTCCATTTCTTCTAGGGTATAGTTTAAGTCCATTGTTTCCTTGTTGGAAACAAGGGCTCAAGGGCTGCTGTTCAGATTCTTTCTAACTTGACGACATGTCTAGTGCTGTCAGTGGAGTATTGAAGTCTCCCACTATTATTATGTTGCTATCTGTTTCATTTCTTAGGTCTAGTAGTAACTGTTTTATAAATTTGGGAGCTCCCGTGTTAGGTGCATATATATATAAACTCATATATATATATATCACATAGAAACTCATATATCACATATAAACTCATATATATATATATGAGTGTAATATTTTCCTGTTGGATTAGACTTTTTATCATTATATAATGTCCCTCTTTCTTTTTTAACTGTGTTGCTTTAAAGTCTGTTTTGTCTAAGAATAGCTACTCCTGCTTGCTTTTGGTGTCCATTTCCATGGAATATCTTTTTCCACCCCTTTACCGTAAGTTTATCTGAGTCCTTACGTGTTAGGTGAGTCTCTGGAAGCCAGCAGATGTTTAGTTGGTGAATTCTTATTCATTCTGCCATTCTGTAGCTTTTAAGTGGAGTATTTAGGCCATTTACATTTGGCATTAGTATTGAGATGTGAGGTGTCATTCTCTTCATCGTGCAAGTTGTTGCCTGAATACCTTATGTTTTTTTAAAATTATTTTATTGTTTTATAGGTCCTGTGAGATTTATGCTCTAAGAAGGTTCTATTTCGGTGTATTTCTTTTTTCTTTTTTTATTTTGTTATGGGGACTCGCTGTGTCACCCAGGCTGGAATGCAGTGGTGCACTCTCGGCTCACTGCAACTTCTGCCTCCCAGGTTCAAGCAATTCTCATGACTCAGCCTCCAGAGTATCTGGGACTACAGGTGTGTGCCACCACACCTGGCTAATTTTTTGTGGTTTTAGTAGAGACAGGGTTTCACTGTGTTAGCCAGGATGGTCTTGATCTCCTGAACTCGTGATCTGCCCACCTTGGTCTCCCAAACTGCTGGGATTACAGGCTTGAGCCACCATGCTCGGCCTATTTTGGTGTATTTTGAGGCTTTGCTTCAAGATTTAGCACTCCTTTTAGCGGTGCTTGTAGTGCTGGCTTGGTAGTGCAAATTCTCTCAGCATTTGTTTGCCTGAAAAAGACTGTATCTTTTCTTTATTTATGAAGCTTAGTTTTGCTGGATACAAATTTCTTGGCTGATAATTGTTTTGTTTAAGGAGGCTAAAGATAGGACCCCAATCCTTTCTAGGTTGCAAGGTGTCTGCTGAGAAATCTGCTATTAATCTGATAGATATTCTTTTATACATTACCTGAAGCTTTTGCCTTATGGCTCTTAAGCTTCTTTCCTTCATCTTGATTTTAGATAACGTGATAACTATGTGCCTAGGGGATGATCTTTTTGCGATGAATTTCCCAGATGTTCTTTGAGCTTCTTGTATTTGGATGGCTAGATCTCTAGCAAGCCTGGAAAAGTTTTCCTCAATTATTCTCTCAAATGTTTTCCAGACTTTTAGATTTCTCTTCTTCCTCAGGAACGCCAGTTATTCTTAGTTTTGGTCATTTAACATAATCCCAAACTTCTTGGAGACTTCGTTCATTTTTTTAATTTGTTTTTCTTTGTCTTTCTCAGATTGGGCTAATTCGAAAGCCTTGTCTTCAAGCTCTTAAGTTCTTTCTTCTACTTGTTCTATTCTATTGTTGAGACTTTCCAGTGTATTTTGCAATTCTCTAAGTGTGTCCTTCATCTCCAGGAGTTGTGATTGTTTCTTATTTATGCTATCTATTTCTCTGGAGATTTTTCCTTCCATACCCTGTAACATTTTTAAAATGTCTTTAAGTTGGTATTTACCTTTCTCTGGTGCCTCCCTGAGTAGCTTAATAATCGACCTTCTGAATTTTTTTGCTGGCCATTTAGAGATTTCTTCTTGGTTTGGATTGTGAACCTAGAAAACCTGAGACAGCTCTCAGTTAATTTAGAAAGTTTATTTTGCCAAGGTTGAGGACGGACCATGACACTGCCTCAGGGAGTTCTGATGACATGCCCAAGGTGGTCGGGGGCACAGCTTGGTTTTATCCATTTTAGGGAGACAGAAGACAACAATCAATATATGTAAGAAGTACATTGGTTCTATCTGGAAAGGCGGGACAACTTGAAGCAAAGACAGGAAGATTCAAAGCAGGGAGGGATCTTCCAGGTCACAGTTAGGTGAAACACAAACAGTGCATTCTTTTGAGTTTCTGATTAGCCTTTCCAAAGAAGGCAATCAGATATGCATCTATCTCAATGAGCAGAGGGATAACTTTGAATAGAATGGAAGGCAGATTTGCCCTAAGCAATTTCCAGCTAGTTTTTCCTAGTGATTTTGGGGCCCAAGATATTTTCCTTTCACAGGATCCATTGCTGGTGAGCTAGTGTGATCTTTTGGGGGTGTTAAAGTGCCTTGTTTTATCATATTACCAGAATTGTTTTTCTGGTTCCTTCTCATTTGGGTAGACTATGTCAGAGGGAAGATCTGGGGCTCAAGGGCTGCTGTTCAGATTCTTTTGTCCCATAGGGTGCTCCCTTGCTGTGGGGCTCTCCCCTTTCCCCTTGAGATAGGACTTCCTGAGAACCAGACTGCAGTGATTGTTATTTCTCTTCTGGGTCTAGCCACCCAGTGGAGCTACTGGGCTCTGGGCTGGTACTGAGGAGGGTCTGCAAAGAGTCCTGTGATGTGCTCCATCTTCAGATCTCTCAGCTGTGGATACCAGCACCTGCTCCAGTGGAGGTAGCAGAGGAGTGAAGCGGACTCTGTAAGAGTACTTGGTTGTAGTTTTGTTTAGCGTGCCGGTTTTCTCAAATGCTGGTTGTACTGACAGTAAAGCTATCATGTGGACAGACTTAGGACCTCTGGTTAGCCAGGATGTTACAGGCAGTGGAGTTAACCATTGTTTTCTCCTTTCTTGGGGCAGGGTTATTCTTTGATGAGTTGCTGTAACAGTTTGTGTTGGTTGGCCTCCAGCTAGGAGGTGGCGCTTTCAAGACAACTTCAGACAACTTCAGCTGCGGTAGTATGGGGGGACGCAAGCTTGCCCTAGGGTCTCCTGGATGAGCCTTCAGGTTTCTCAGGTGATGGGCGGGGCCCTAGAACTTCCATGAGTTGTACGTCTTTTGTTTTTGGCTACCAGGGCAGGTGGAGAAAGACCATCTATCTGGTGGGGGTAGAGTCAGGTGGGTCTGAGCTCAGACTCTCCTTGGGCGGGGCTTGCCGCAGCCACCTTGGGGGAGGGGGTGTGGTTCTCAGGCCATTGGAGTAGGTTCCCAGTAGGACTATGGCTGCCTCTGCTGTCATACAGGTCGCCAGGGAAGTTGCGGAAAACTGGCAGTGACGGGCCTCACCCAGCTCCCACGCAGACTGAAAGGCCAGTCTCACTCTCCCAGTGCTCCTCGACAGCACCGAGTTTATATCTAGGTGAGTTTATTTGCCAGTGAGCAGGACTGGGAACTCCCTCCACCGCCACCATACAAGCCTCGCGCCTAATAAAGCAAGCAGGGCTTTCAGGCCTTCCCCTCCTCGCTGCGGCTTCTGTGCTCCTATCTGGACTTCCTGTTTGCCCCCGACCCCAGATTCTGCTCTGGAAAATTCATGCTTGAAATCATTATAAAGTTCAGCTGGAAGTTTCCTTCTCCCTGTGGGCTTTCCCTAATTCCACTGGCAGCCCGCTCCCCACAAGGGCCCCTGTGAGATAAAGTCAGAAATGGGTTCTCTGAGCTTCCCTGGGGACCGGGAGTGCCTACAGGGCTCTTCCTGCTGCTGCTTCTACTTTTATATTTTGCTCAGCTCTCTAAATTCGCCTCAGCTCTAGGTAAGGTTAAATCCTTCTCCCATGATATGGATTTTCAGGCTCCCCAGTGAGGATGTGTGTTTGGAAAGAGACTTTCCCCCTCTCACACTCTGGGCACTCACGGTTTTTCAGCTGTGTCTTGGAGTTTGCAGCGGCAAACTCTTCTTTCAAAGGGTCTGTGAATTCTTTTGGTTTTCCTGGTATGTTCTTGCAGTAGTTCTTGGAGCAAAAGTTCACAATGTGAGTCTCCTCATGCTGCAAGTCAGCATGAGAGCTGCAAGTCAGTCCTGTCCCCCATCTGGCAGCTATTTTTATTATGCCTTCTCTTGCCATTCTTGAGAATGTCCAGTGATTGTCTTCCAAGGAAAAACTTTGTATGCTATATTTTCTACCATGCTATTTCATCATCAAATCCTAAATTATCTTTCTAGGTGTGATGAATGAGACAAAAATGCCTGGGATACTTTCCCATATCACTCTGAAGCATCAGCATCCGAAAAAGAAGCAGATGGCACACTCAATATGGATAAATTGAGGATATTTTAATAAAGGGTCTATCTATAATGGTGTAAGCCAGATTAGGGAAACTAGAAAAGAGAAAGTGTAGCACCCTGGAGCTAGCAGTGGGGGAAGCCATTACTTCCTCCCAACTCCCTAACCTAAGGCTCAAGGAAAAAGAGCAACTGTTGCAACCCAGAGAGCTTAGCCATCTAGGGAGGTCTTCTGAAAAGAGCAGTGGCCTTCAGAAGAAGGATGCAGCCAACCTGTGGAGACACAGCAATAGGGAAACAGGTGAATAAATATCCTGGCCTCACTCTTCTCCCACTCTCAGATCCCTTAATGGTATTCACCCTTGGCCAAACTCAAACCACGGGCAAACAAAGCAGTTGAGCCCCCCATAATCATGCTGTTCTTTGTTCTGTTAGATCTTGGAAAGAGTGACATCCCTCCTCCATTCTAGCTTGTCACTTTTTAGGACTTTTTTTCTCAGCCACACAAGGATGACTCAAACACCCCTAAAGTGCAATGTTTTAGCGGGGAAGAATTTTTGATGGAAGTCTAGAAGTACTGAGTGTACAAGTACCTAAATGCTTACTTCACTCAAACAACCTCTGGACCAAAGCATCTCTCTTTCCTAGTTTAGAAACTAGTGATTAGCAAGTGATTAGTAATTGACATCCAGTTTAAAAATAAAAGTTGACTTGACTGATTTCATCATTGAAACTAGTGCTAAATCCTTTGGACTCGTTTAAATATTGGATTCATAACACAACAAACATTTATTCAAATTCTACTATGGCTCAGGGCCTCCATGCATGCTATGGCTTAAGGACACAGGCACATAAGACATCAAATAGCATATTTCTTCACTCAACAAGTGTTTCTTGAGAGCTTTCTATGTGCCAAGTACTACGTGAGATTTATAGTCTAGAGGGAGGGAGGCAGAACAGTAATAACGGTAAATGAGATAATTATAATGCAAGGTGATAGTATTTTAATAGTTATGTGAGTCTATAGAGTTATAAAGGCAAAAGAGAAAAACCCTCATGGCTTGTTATGCGATGAAGCTAATGCTGAACAAATACCACATATTCCTGAGTATGGTCTTCCTGAAGACCAAATTCTTCCTTTTTTTTTTTTTTAAGATGGAGTCTCGCTCTGTCGCCCAGGCTGGAGTGCAGTGGCGCGATCTCGGCTCACTGCAAGCTCCGCCTCCCGGGTTCACGCCATTCTCCTGCCTCAGCCTCCCGAGTAGCTGGGACAGGCGCCCGCCACCACGCCCGGCTAATTTTTTGTATTTTTAGTAGAGACGGGGTTTCATCGTGTTAGCCAGGATGGTCTCGATTTCCTGACCTCGTGATCCACCCGCCTTGGCCTCCCAAAGTGCTGGGATTACACCAAATTCTTTATATACATAATTTTAGAAAATATTTAAAAATGAGTCCTTCTAGAACAACTGTATACTACTAATGCTTTGTATTTATACCACTCAAAAATGTTTGCTGGGCACAGCAGCATGGACCTCTGGTCCCAGCTTCTCAGGATGCAGAGGTGGGAGGATCTCTTGAGCTCAGGAGTTCAAGACTATAGCACACTATAATTGTGTCTGTGAGTAGCCACTACACTCCAGCCTAGGCAACATAGCAAGACCCTGCCCTTTCAAAATAAATTTTTAAATAAAAAAATTTTTAAATCTTCAGAAGGCATTGTAATGGTTAAATATCATTCATTCATTAACAAACAATTATTCAGCACTTATTATAAGCTAGCAATTTACCCCAAGTCATATGGTTCTGAAATAACAGAACCCAAGTCTGAACCCAGCCTGATTCCAAATCCACGCTAGTTCCTCCACAGTAGAGAGAAGAAGAGGAAAATTTGTGAAGGAGAAAAATATTCCTATAAATGTGAGGAACTGAGCATTTTTGTGGAAGAGGAATGAAATCAGAGTGTATCAAGTCAGGACAATAGAAGCCACTCTTTCAATCCAGGGGAATTTAATTCAGGAAATAGATTATAAAAGTGATAGAAGAGCTGAGATGCCAAACGGGGTGGTGACGTAACCCGGAGATTAGCGACAGCAAGAATCAGCTAACATCCGTGGGCTGGAGGGACAGTAGGAAGAGATGCTATTCTCAGCCTAAAAGCTAGAATTGTCTGGCTGGAAATAGAACCATTATAGAGGCTCCCTTGCAGGGGTCTGGACCATGGAGGGAGGGCCTTTCAGAGGGAGTTAGAGCCTTGAAAGAGACTCTGCTGCTGTGGAAGACATCACAGGAAGCACAGAGAGGCGGGAGAAATACCCATCCACTCATGCCTGTCCCCAGCAGAATATACAAAACTCACGGAGCAAGGAAGCCTGCAGACTAAAGGTTCCCACAGTGCAGAACAGGGCAGGGTGAGGAATCACGCTGGGCAGTTGACAGGCTCAGAGCTTCCAGGAAATATTTATGTAATTTATGTAATGTAGTTTTATGTAACCACTTACCCTATCAGTACTATCCGTTTTTCAACACTCTAGGTCTTACTTCTTGGTCTTAAAGAAAACAGAGGGCCAGGTGCAGTTGCCCATGCCTGTAATCCCAGCAATTTGGGAGGTTGAGGCAGAGGGATGGCTTGAGCCCAGGAGCTTGAGACCAGCCTGAACAACATAGCAAGACCCTCTCTCTATTTAAAAAAAAAAAAATTTTAAAGTGAACAAACAGGCCTTGCTGCGTTTCCCCGTTTCTTACCATTAGATCATACCCTTTTTGCCCTACCACATTTCTCCACAGTGGTCCACTCTTCACTAAACCTACAATAAACAACGCTCACATTTAACTGCTTCTTTGGGTCTTCATTTCCTTATGAAGCTTCCCATGTCATGTAAAACTTAAATAAGTTTGTTAATCTATCTTTTGTGCTAAGAATCAGAAAGAGTAGAGGAAAAAATATTTTTTTCCTCCCCTACACAATTCTATGGGACAGATATTGGCATGTCCATTTTAACAGATGAAACTCAGAGAGTGAATGACCTACCCGAAGCTCAGAAATGGTAACTGGCCAAGTAAAACTCACTCCTTTTGTAGTTCAGGAGCATGATTTGGTGTTTGTGCCTAAGTGTGATATGTGCCTCCCTCTGAACCTTGTTACAGCGCTGGCACATTACCCATCCAACCTGAACAACAACAACAACAAAACTCAGTCCTAGTTCTTCTGATCATAAGTTTAGTGCCCTTGCCACCTCAACACAACCACCTCCCCATGAGAAAGAAGCTTCTGTATTCCTTCCATACTGGGAAGGCACTGTTAAAGTTGAGTGAACTTTATCTTGTATTATTCCAGCCATCTGCTCTATGATTATGATTTTGGTATAAACCTTAAGGCTTTACCAAGGAAAATCACTATTAACTTTTTCTGCTCACCTTTTTTTCTTTTTTTTTTCGAGACGGAGTCTTGCTCTGTTGCCCAGGCTTGAGTGCAGTGGCGCGATCTCAGCTCACTGCAACCTCCGCCTCCTGGGTTCGAGTGATTCTCCTGCCTCAGCCTCCCTAGCAGCTGGGATTACAGGCACACGCTACCATGCCTGGCTAATGTTTGTATTCTTAGTAGAGACGGGGTTTCACCATGTTGACCAGGCTGGTCTTGAACTCTTGACCTCGTGATCTGCCCACCTTGGCCTCCCAAAGTGCTGGGATTATAGGTGTGAGCCACCGCTCCTGGCCCTTTTCTGCTCATCTTTAACAAAATATTGAAATGTGTTTTCAAGGCTGGGTGTGGTGTCTCCCACCTGTAATCCCAGCACTTTGGGAGGCTGAGGCAGGCCGATTACTTGAGCTCATGAGTTCAAGACCAGCCTGGGAAACATGGCGAAATCCCATCTCTACAGAAAAATGCAAAAATTAGCCAGGTGTGGTGATGCATGCCTGTGGTCCCAGCTATTCAGAAGGCTGAGGCATGAGAATCACTTGAACCCAGGGGGTGCAGTGAGCAAGATCATGCCACTGTACTCCAGCGACAAGAATGAGACTCTGTCTCAAAAAAAAAAAAACAACAAAACAAACAAACAAAAAAACAAAAAATAAAAAAAGAAGAAAAGAAGCCAGATGCAAAAAAGTACATATTGTATGATTTCATTTTTATAAAATATAAAAACATGCAAAAGAACTCTATACTGTTAAAATCACAAGGGCACGGGTGGGTTTCTGGGTTTCTGGTGACATTCTGTTTCTTGATCTGTGTACTGGTTACAGGGGTGTGACCAGTTTTTGAAAATTCATTGAACTAGACACTTACAATGTGTGCACTTTTCTGTATATATGTAATACTTTAATAAACAGGGTTTTTAAGAGTAGCGTAAGTTGCTTGAAAAAAATTTGCAGGATAGATGCCTTGAATTTATATTTTCTCCTACGTGCTGCAGTCAGCTAGAGTGAAGTGTGAAAGGCTCACTCTTGACATTTGGGCCCTTCATTCCTCCTTTATTCATCCATTTAACACATATTTATTGAAGAATGGTGTCAGGCACTCGGAGGCAAACAGAGTCCCTGCCCTCATGCAGACTACAGCCTATGCAGAAAGGGAGGAGACAGACGTCAATCAAATAGTCATACGAACACACATATCAGAGATGGTGAGAGAAAGGGGGGATGCTGAGAGGCCTCTCTCAGACCTAAAGGGTGAGTAGGCTTTGGCAGAAGAGGATATTATAAAGGGAACAGTGGTCTGGTGGCTTTTAAACGTTAGGCTTAATTCGTCCAGTAGAGGGCGACCACAGCCAGGCATTTGTGGCAATTCCTACTGCATCAGGAAAGCTGAAGGCTGAAGGTTTGCTTATCATCATCTCTCACTGAGTGTTGAAGGAGCACAAACTACTCACCAGAAACTAAGAATCCAAGTGTAAATTTACAGACGTCAATGTTGCTGTCTACCATTGCCCAACAGTTTGATGCAGATTCCTACCAAATGCCTACTGACCTTAATAAAGAAAAAAGAAAAAAAGTTAATAAGGCACAATTAAAGGAATCAAAATAAAAGCCCTTTTCTTGATTTGCACACATCCTCAAAGAGCTGCCTCAAGCACAGATACATACACATGTGACGTTTTCTTATTTATTAGTACTCCCCTCCACACAAACACACAAGTGCCTCATATCTGCTGTACCCCACATCCTCTACGGAAAGCATGCTACTGTGGATCTACCTCATGGATTATTGGTTTTATTCAGGCAGCTGATGAACAAATATAATTTTATATGTTGCCTATAGACATAAGGCAAAACAATCAATAATTTCCCACATCCCATTAAATGATTAGGGATGTAATCAGGATTAAAAACCAAGATATTTCCAGCGTACTTAAGGATAGATTTCTTTAACATCTACTATATATCAGCACTAGCGAGACTCTAAGTCATGTCACTTCCTTCCTTTAAAATTAATTCCCACTGCAGGCTGGGTACAGTGGCTCATACCTGTAATCCCAGCACTTTGGGAGGCCAAGGTGGGTAGATCACCTGAGGTCAGGAGTTTGAGACCAGCCTGGCCATTATGATGAAACCTCATCTATACTACAACTACAAAAATTAGCCAGGCATGGTGGCACACGCCTGTAATCCCAACTATGCAGGAGGCTGAGGCATGAGAATCACTTGAACCCAAGAGGCAGAAGTTGCAGTGAGCTGAGATCATGCCACTGCACTCCACCCTGGGTGATAGAGTGAGACTCAGTCAAAAAAAAGAAAAAAATCCCAATGCAATTAAAAATTTTCAGTTTTTTAAAAAATGAAAGCAATTCTCTGACAGGTAAAGGCCTGTGTGGTCTAGCCATTATCTATTATCCCAGACTAATCTCCTTTCCTTCTCATTATGTTTCAGACTTTCTTGTTTCCATGAAATTGCCATTTTCCATTTGCTGTTTCCCTTGCCTGAAACATTCTGCTTCCATCATCTAACTGGAGGCTTCTTATCATTCAAGTTCCAAATTGTTGCTTCCTAGGAAAAGACCTCTTTGACCACTCATTCCTGTCTGCCCTTCCCAACATGCAAAACAGAACCCTGATCTTTGGCTGGAAATGTTTTGGGTTTTGTTTGTTTGTTTGTTTGTTTGTTTGTTTGATGGAGACAGAGTCTCTCTCTGTCGCCCAGGCTGGAGTGCAGTGGCATGATCTCAGCTCACTGCAACCTACGCCTTCCGGGTTCAAGCAATTTTCATGCCTCAACCTCCCGAGTAGCTGGGATTACAGGCATGCGCCACCATACCCAGCTAATTTTTGTATTTTTTGTAGAAACGGGGCTTCACCATGTTGGCCAGGGTGATCTCGAACTCGTGGTCTCAGGTGATCCACCTGCCTTGGCCTTCTAAAGTGCTGGGATTACAGGTGTGAGCCACTGCGCGCGGCCTAGCTGGAAACTTTCCTGCCCAGTATATCAGTCATATTTCTCAGCCTCACTAGCAGCAGGATGTGGCCATGTTTCTGGCTAATGGGATGTAAACGGATATGTTCAGTGGGACTTCCTAGAAGCTTCCTTAAAGGGAAGCAGACAGGCCAGAGGAGGTGCCTCATGACTAGAATCCCAGCACTTTGGGAGGCTGAGCTGGGAGGATCACTTGAGGCCAGGAGTTTGAGACCAGCCTGGGCAACATAGTAAGACACCATCTTTACAAAATATAAATTTTTTCTTTTTTTTTTTTTGAGATGAAGTCTCGTTCTGTCGCCCAGGCTGGAGTGCAGTGGCACGATCTCAGCTCACTGCAAGCCCCACCTCCCGGGTTCACGCCATTCCCCTGCCTGAGCCTCCTGAGTTGCTGGGATTATAGGTGTGCACCACCATGCCCAGCTAATTTTTTTTGTATTTTTAGTAGAGACGGGGTTTCACCGTGTTAGCCAGGATGGTCTCAATCTCCTGACCTCGTGATCCACCCGCCTTGGTCTCTCAAAGTGCTGGGATTATAAGCGTGAGCCACCGCGCCCAGCCTGTTTTCGTTTTTTGTTTTTTTTTTCTTATTAGCCAAGTGTAGTGGTTCATGCCTGTAGTCCCAGCTACTCGGGAGGCCGAGGTTGGAGGATGGCTTGAGCCCAGGAGTTCAAGGATACAGTGAGTGAGCTATGATTGCCTCACTGCACTCCAGCCTGGGCAACAGAGTGAGAACTCATCTCAAAAAAAAAAAAAGTGGAGAGAAAAAAGGGGGAAGCAAACAGCTCTTCTTCCTATTTTCCCCTCTCCTGCTATCTGGAATGCAGATGTGATCACTGGAGCTCCTGAAAACACCTTGGATGCTGAGATGGCAGTGAGGATGGGAGGAAGAGCAGGTAGGGGCCTGGCTAATGGCACTGTGGGATAGGGGTGGAGTGTGCAATACCAGCCTCTAGATAACTTTGACGTGAAAAAAAAAAAAGTTTCTATCTAATTTAATACACTGTTATTTGCAGCTTGACTGTTACATGCCGCTAAACCTCAATACTAACTAAAAATATCACAGCCATCCCCAGACACATCACCTTATTTCTTCAGTGTCATTTCATTATTGGAAATACCTGGATCATTGTGTTTATCTGAGAGTAGGGATCTGGCCTGTCTTGTTCATTGCTGCATCCCCAGCATCTGCTGCAATGTGATGTTTCCATGCCTTCCCAGAATTTCAAGAAATAAATTGTAATGATCTTCATGGAAATGTTACTGGTCAGGAATTCCATCGATATCAACAGCTAGTGATGGTGCAGCAGTAACGAAAAAATTTGGAAAGTTTTCAGCAAATGTGTTCCTTCTTGCTGTAACAAAAGTGTTTTACTCAAAAACTGGAGGTTACAGCATCAGAAACAACTGGCAGAGGAGGTGAACACAGTGTAGTCTGTCTATGACACAGATGAAAGCAATTACTCTGATTCAGATGATGTGGCTGGAGCCAGTCAGTATAATCCACAAGGTCGTGTCTTTCTGGCAATTTTTAGAAAAAGGAAAGTTGTAAAACTGTTTACATTTTCTCCAATAAGAAATTCTCTCTTGCATAAAGAAAGAAAAAAAACACAGGCCGGGCACAGCAGCTCACACCTGTAATCCCAGCACTTTGGGAGGCCAAGATGGAAGGATAACTTGAGCTCAGAAATTTGAGACCAGCCTGGGCAGCATAGCGAGCCCCTGTCTCTGCTAAAAATAAAAAAATAGCTGAGTGTAGTGGTGCACACCTGTAGTCCCAGCTACTCAAGAGGCTGAGCCAGAAGGATCACTTGAGCCCAGGTGTTAAGGCTTGCAGTGAGCTATGATCGTGCCACTGCACTCCAGCCTGGGTAACACAGTAAGACCTTGTCTTAAAAAAAGAAGAAAGGGGGCCAGGCACGGTGGCTCATGCCTGTAATCCCAGCACTTTGGGAGGCCAAGGCGGGCAGATTACCTGAGGTCAGGAGTTCGAGATCAGCCTGACCAACATGGTGAAACCCTGTCTTTACTAAAAATACAAAAATTAGCTGGGCATGGTGGTGGATGCCTGTAATCCCAGCTACTTGGGAGGCTGAGGCAGGAGAATTGCTTGAGCCCAGGAGGCGGAGTTTGCAATGAGCTGAGATCACGCCATTGCACTCCAGCCTGGGCGACAAGAGTGAGACTCTGTCTAAAAAAAAAAAAAAAGGAAGGGAGGAAGTAGGGGGGGCAGGAAGAAAGGAGAGAGAAAATGGAATATTGTCAAATTGTGAGAGAGACAATAACTTGCTTAAAACTTGTTTGATTAGTAGTTGAAGCATTAAGTAATCATGATGCAAATCTTCTAATCGAAAACAGACTTGTGCTTTGAGTAGTATGCTTTTAAAAGAAGTTAGAATTGAATTATTTAATGCAGAAAAAAGATCTCATATTTCTCATTAAAATATTTCAGCAGTTAGTTTATATGAGGTTGACAACTCTTTTTGCTTCAGCAAACAAAAATGAAATGGCTCAATTAGCAAAATCATTAAGGAAAGACTTTTGTGGAGGAAAATATGCTTTATCAGAAGCAATGCAAAGAAGAGTGAATATTGTTGGGAACTATTCCATCACGAAGTCAGAAACATCTAAAATCTGAATTAGCGAAAATAACATAGACTTCAAGGAAAAAAATCAAAACCAGTGAAAGAAGACAATTATTTTCATCATTAAGAAAAGTGAATGAGTTTATAATAACCAACACGTACCCTAATGCTCAATTCGAAGAAGCTTGTAGACACATTCTTAGTAATAATAAATTAACATTAACAGAGGATGAAAAAACATTCTACACCTGGAATATTTGTCAGGAAACAAGGACCAAGACATTCAGGGCAATTCATGCTTTATGTGTTTTTCAATTTCATTTTAAGAATAACTTTTGGCCGGGCGCAATGGCCCACGCCTGTAATCCCAGCTCTTTGAGAAGCCAAGGCGGGCAGATCATGAGTTCAGGAGTTTGAGACCAGCCTGGGCAGCATGGTGAAACCCTGTCTCTACTAAAAATACAAAAATTAGCCGGGCGCAGTGGCATGAGCCTGTAATCTCAGCTATTCGGGAGGCTGAGGTAGGAGAATTGCTTGAACCTGGGAGGCGGAGGTTGCAGTAAGCCGAGATTGCACCACTGCACTCCAACCTGGGTGACAGAGCAAGACTCCGTCTCCAAAAAAGAATAACTTTTAAAATGTAAATGTTTGCAGTATTATCTTTCAATTGTTTGAATCATTTTATTTGGCATTATTGTGTGTTAATGTTCCCTTCTTTTAATATATTCTATTGTCTAACTCAGGTAGAAATTATTTTTATGGGTCATTGAAATGTAGTGTAATCTTGTCTCAATATATATGTCCATAATAATAATAAACCATATAACCCATGCATTTATTATCACTGTCTGGGGGGATTTCTTGTTTGTTTTGGTTGCAGAAAGCTTTAGAAACTTTTTGTATAATCCCATCACAGAAAAATGGTCCGCTATTTACTAGTGTAGTCAGTCATTGTTTTTAAAAACATACCAAGAAGATGTTATGGGGAAATGTAGATAACTTATGATTTTGAGGATCACCAAGAATTCTCAAGAATTCTAGTTTTTTGTTCCAGAATCCTGCAGATTAATAACTCTTAGAAATTATCAAACACTAGTACAGTGCCTGGGATAGAGTAGACATCAGCATATATTTAGAATGAATGGGTATTATTTTGTTTAATAGTCACAGCAATCCTGTCAAGAAGATGCAAATGTGCCCATTTTACTCATTAGAAATACCTGGATCTCCTTTGAGGTTCCTGTGAGACAACACCTTTAGGAGTCTTAAAAGTTCTATTGTTTACTGAGATGGTCTATGAGGCACATCCTTGAGATTCTTAGACATACTACTAGGCCTGCCCTTAAATTTTTCTGACAAAGCATCTTATTCTGGATTTGATCTTAGGCCCTAGAGATATTTATTATTTGGGAATCTTTTAATGGAAAAGACCAGGGATAAGCAACAGTTTTATTTTATAACCCAATATTTGTACTTTTCCATTTTTGCTAAGAACTTGAACAATTTTTCTTTTTTCTTTCTTTTTTTCTTTTTTTTTTTTTTTTTTGAGACAGAGTCTCACCCTGTCGCCCAGGCTGGAGTGCAGTGGCGTGATCTCAGTTCACTGCAACCTCCGCCTCCCGGGTTCAAGTGATTCTACTGCCTCAGCCTCCCAAGTAGCTGGATTTACAGGCGTGCACCACCACACCCTGCTAATTTTTTATATTTTTAGTAGAGACAGGGTTTCACCACATTGGCCAGGCTGGTCTTGAACTCCTGATCTCGTGATCCTCCTGCCTCGGCCTCCCAAAGTGCTGGGATTAGAGGCATGAGCCACTGCACCGAGCCCACAATTTTTCTTTAGATCATCTCTCCTGTCTCATATTTTGTCATAGGCAACTGAAAAAAGCCAGTTGGCACCTTCTACATTCTGCTTGGACATCTCTCTAGCCAACCCCACAAGCTGTTAAGCACTCTTTCTGTTTTCCACGTTCCCATAGGCGACAGTGTCCTCACACTTTCTGTCGCTACATAAAGAGTCCTCTGTTTTCCAGCCCCTATAAATACTTTGCTCAGTCTTTCACACCCTCACCCATAGTCTCCTCCTGGCTTTTTCTGCTTCTCCCTGACACTCTGTCCCAAAGCCAGTGCCATATGGTTTGGGTATTCGTTATGATAGCACCCCACTTCCAAGTACCAAATTCTGCCCAAGTATCTATTATTACTGCACAATACTGTAGTGGCTTGAAACAACCATTTATCATGACTATCTTCAAACAGGGCACAGCAAGGGACAGCTCATTTCTGCTCCAGAATGCCTGAGGCCTCAGCTGCAAGACTGGAATAGCGGGGGGACCAGAACAACCAGGGGTTGGCTGGGCATCTGTTTCTCTTTCTCCCTCTGTCTGTCTGTCCCTCCCCACCCGCCTTTCCACAGTTTCTTCCTGCAGCCACCTTAGGCTTCCTTATTCGATGGCAGCCTCTGGGTAGTCAGACTCTCACAGGGAAGCTCGGGGCTCCAATCAATGTCCTAAGAGACAGGAAATGGAAGCTGCCAGTCTCTTAAAGCCAAGCTTGGAAACCAGTACAGTGCCACTCCCCGGATATTCTACTGGTCAAAGCAGTCAGACTCGAGGGGAGGAGACATAGGTCCCATTTCTCAATGGGAGCAGTGTCAAAGAAGGTATAGTTGTCTTTCACCTATTATTATTCACCTATTTTACTATGGTTATAATAATATGGTAAAATAATATGGTAAAGCTTTGTGATAACAAAGATTATAAAACTTTATTATTATTATTATTATTATTATTATTATTATTATTATTACTGAGAGGGAGTCTCACTTTGTTGCCCAGGGTGGAGTGCAGTGGCACGATCTCAGCTCACTGCAACCTCTGCTACCCAGGTTCAAGCGATTCTCCTGCCTCAGCCTCCCAAGTAGCTGGGATTACAGGCACCTGCCACTGTGCCTGACTAATTATTGTAGTTTTAGTAGAGACGGGGTTTCACCATCTTGGCCAGGCTGGTTTTGAATTTCTGACCTTGTGATCCACCCGCCTCAGCCTCCCAAAGTGCTGGGATTACAGAGGTGAGCCACCATGCCTAGCCAAAACATTATTATTATTATTATTATTATTATTATTATTATTATTGAGAGAGGGTCTTGCTATGTTGCCCAGGCTGATCTTGAACTCCTGGCCTCAAGCGATCCTCCAGCCTTGGGTTCCCTAAGTGCTGGGATTACAGGCATGAGCCACTGTGCCTGGCCAATTCAGATATTATTTAACTCCTGCCCAAACCCACTCTTAAAAGGGGGCATCCTCAAGTTCCTATCTTCTACACGGTGGTGTCTTGTGATCATTCTGAGACTCTCAGTTCCGCATATGAAGCACACCGTTTGAAAGAGTTGGTGTGCAGAATAGTTTTCATTCATCTCTCTAGGGTAATGCTTTGTCCCTTCCTCACCTGCTCTGTGTCCCAGGAGGCAGGTCTTTCCCTGTAGGCTTCCAGTTGATTTCAGCCACTGGATGACAACAGAAGTTCCATGGAGGAGGTAAGGGAGCGTGAGAGTGCTGGTTTTATTCCCCAGCTTCATCCCAGCTGAGTCATTGTGGTTTGGCTTTCTGGCTCTCCAGGCAGCATTCTCCATTTAGCTACACCATATTCTCTGTCAATTAGTTCAGGCCTAGACCAATAATATCTTCCTGGTTCTTGCTAACTTCAGGATACTGCACCATTCTTTGTGAGGTTCCCTTAAACCTGATTCTTTATTAAATTCCTCTAAATTATTCTATTTGGGTCTTCTGTTCACCGACAGAGACGGATACAGACGGTCTACTTCTGATATAACTAACACTTTAAAACTCTCCCTACTTTTTTTTTTTTTTTTTTTTTTTTTAAGTCAGGGTCTGGTTGTGTTGCCCAGGCTGGAGTGCAATGGTGCAATCTCAGCTCACTGCAGCTTCTGCCTCCCTGGTTCAAGCGATTCTCCCACCACAGCCTCCTGAGTAGCTGGGACCACAGGTGTGTGCCACCACATCAGGCTAATTTTTGTATTTTTTGTAGAGATGGGGTTATCGCCATATTGCCTAGGTTGGTCTCAGACTCCTGAGCTCAAGTGATCCACCCACCTCGGCCTCCCAAAGTGCTGAGATTACAGGCATAATCAGCCTTTTTCTTATCAGAATTGTGTATTAATGTAGTTTTCCCATTTTTTAAATCAGGCTTTTGATCCTTTGTCCTTCCATTTATTTAGAGTTCTTTACATATTAAGAATATTATACTTTTATCTGTAATACAGCTCACTGCTTATTGTGTTTTATTTTTCTTTTTGTGGGAAACAGGGTCTCATTCTGTTGTCCAGACTGGAGTGCAGTGGCACAATCACAGTTCACTGCAAACTCAACCTCCTGGGCTCAAGCAATCCTCCCACCTCAGCCACCCCAGTAGCTGGGACTAAAGGCACGCACTGCCATGCCCAGCTGATTTTTTTTCATTTTTAAATTTTGAGATAGAGTCTTACTCTGTCACCCAGGCTGGAGTGCAGTGGTGAGATCTCGGTTCACTGCAACCTCCGCCTCCCGGATTCAAGCAATTCTCCTGCCTCAGCTGGGATTACAGTAGCTGGGATTACAGGCACCTGCCACAACGCCCAGCTAATGTTTTGTATTTTTAGTAGAGATGAGGTTTCACCATGTTGGCCAGGCTGGTCTCGAACTCCTGACCTCAAGTGATCTGCCTGCCTTGGCCTCCCAAAGTGCTGGGGTTACAGGCATGAGCCACCATGCCTGGCTTGTGCTCATTGTTTTTTGACTTTGTTTACAGTGGGGTATTTAGCCATGCCCCCAAAAAATTATTTTTATTTTTAATGTAGTCAAATTTATTAACATTTTCTTTTATTGCCTCTAGATTTTGAGGCTTTCTCTATATCAAGGTTAAAGAAGAATTCACCCATGTTTTCTTCTAGCACTTGTGTGATTTTGTATTTTACATTTAGATTCCTACTTTGAATTTATTCTTCAATATGGTGTGACGTATGAATTTAATTTTATCTTTTTCCAAATGTACCATCTGTCCCAGAACCGTTTATTTAAAAGCTTATCTTTGTAGAACTTGAGGATAACTGGTAGATTTTAAAAAATAATAACAAAAGTTTATCTTTGACCCAATGGTTTGAGATGCCAGTTCTTCATATAGTCAATTACCATATGTGTTTCTTTCTATTTCTGGACTTTTTATTCTGCTGCATTAGTCTACTTGTCTAGTCATGGGACAGTACCACTGTGTGTTAATTATAAAAGGCTTTATAGTGTGTTTTAATATCTGTTAGTCTACTTCAAAGTTTTGTGTGTTTTTAAATGTTTCCCTGGCTATTTTTACATGTTTCTCCATATAAACTTTAGTATCAACTTGTATGGCTTCATTTAAAAAGCTAGCTGCTATTTTTATTGGGATTATGATCGTTAATAAATTGACTTGGACAACTGACATCTTTGTGCTGCTTAGTCATCCTATCCAAGAACAGGAAATGTTTTAATTATTAGGGGCTTTATAGAATATTTTAATATGTGGCAGGCTACTCCCTGCTAAAAGTTTTTCTTTTTTATTGGTTTCTCGACTATTCTTGCTTATTTTTAAAATATAAACTTTAGTATTAATTTGTTTGGCTCCATAGGAAAGTTTGGTGGTATTTTCATTGGAATTGTGATAAATCGACTTAGGAAGAAGTAACAAGGCCCCCAGATCTGATCACTTCAAAATAGATATTTTGAATGTAAACACACACACACACACGCACACACACACACACGCACACCAGAACCTAAAAATTCATTCCAGATGTGGAAAGGATCAATGTCATTCAATTTAGCAAATATTTATGTATTACCTGCTATTTGCAAATTACTATAATAAAATATAACATGAGTCACTGTCTCTGTTCTCAAGAAGATAAGCACCTGAAGGGGGCGATAAGCACTTACTGATTATAGTGAGCCTGCACAGCATTTAGTGCAGTGTCTTTTGGGGTGAGCATCTCTCTACGCCACATAAATCTACAGCCCAAATATCTATGTGCAGCACTTGGATATATCCACAGCAATCCATGGCAAAAATGCAATTTGCTTTTTCTTGCATCTGCTGCATGTTATTATAACTTCTTATTCTCTAGGGCTCTTAATCACGTCTAACATTGATCCTCACTCCCAAAATGTTCTCTCTCATAGGAGAAGAAAAGATTAAGATGAGACCATTCATTTATTCTATAAATATTCCTTGAGTACCTTCCGTATGTGAAGAATTGCTCTTGGAGCTGAACTCTTAGTGGATTACAAGAAAGACCACATCCCTGCTTGAGGAGATTCCATTCTAGAGACAGAGACAGTTCAGGCAGAAACAAACAAGTTGAACGATACAACATAATTGCAGGGTGAGGAGGTCTGTATGGAAGAAGAAGGCAGGGAAAGGAGATGAAGGGCAAGGTGCCCTTTTGGATAGGACAGTGAGGGAAAGCCTTGCTGGGGAGAAAGAATTCGGGCAGACTTGAATGATGTGAATGGGGGAATCACATGAAGGTCCTTGGAGAAGACCCTGCCATGCACAAGGAGCATCTGCAGAGCCCGGGGGCCACACAGCCAGAAGAGAAAGCAAGGGAGAGACAGGGAGAAAAAGGGCTTCAGGTGCACAGTGCCTAGAGCAAGTAGGTACTCCAGGTTCCCCAAAAGGAGTTTGGATTTTGTTCTGCGAGAAAGGATGCTTTTTTGCAGGGGTATGACACGTGTGATCTTTAAATTTGGCTGCCATGGAGAAAATGGACTGTAGTGAGGGGGAAAGGGGGAGGCTGGTCAGAAGTCACTGTGCTGATCATGTGACAGATGACAGGGGCTTGGACCAGGGGACCACAGAGGACAAAAAAAGAAGCAAAGTGGAAGAATGTGGGAATTTTTTTGGAAGACAAACTAACAGGACTTACAGATGGACTGAATTTGGGAGTGGAGGGAGAGGAAGAGCCCAGGGTGGCTCTCTAGTTTTTGGTTTGAGTAACTGGGCGAATACCAGTACCATGTATTAAAAAGAGGTGACTATTGGAGAAGGAGCAGGTTTGGGGCAAAACCATAGAGATCTATTTTAGACACATTATTCAAGATACTTGGTTACTTCCCACTAAGTTTTAATAACCTAGCATAAGTTATATTGTCCTTTTCTATTCTTCTTTCATCCCCAATTAGAGTTGTTCCCAGGACAGTGTTTAACCTAAATGTGAAAGAAGATATGGCAAATCATCATTTGATCATTTCTGAAGGTCTCAAGCATTATCCTTCTATAAAAAGGATTAAATAAGGCCGGGTGAGGTGTCTCACGCCTGTAATCCCAGCACTTTGGGAGGCCAAGGCGGGCAGATCACCTGAGGTTGGGAGTTTGAGACCAGCTTGACCAACATGGAGAAACCCCGACTCTACTAAAAATACAAAATTAGCCAGGCATGGTGATGCACGCCTGTAAGCTACTCGGGAGGCCGAGGCAGGAGAATCGCTTGAACCCGGGAGGCGGAGGTTGCAGTGAGTCGAGACCATGCCATTGCACTCCAGCCTGGGCAACAAGAGCGAAACTCTGTCTCAAACAAACAAACAAAAAGGATTAAATAGTCTGGGTGGAGTGGCTCACGCCTGTAATCCCAGCACTTTGGGAGGCCAAAGTAGGCAGATTGCTTTGAGTTCAGGAGTTCGAGCCTGGTCAACATAGTGAAACCCCATTTACACACACACAGACAAACACACAAATCAGCCAAGCATGGTGGCTCACACCTGTAGTCCCAGCTACTTGGGAGGCTGAGGCTAGAGAATTGCTTGAGTCTGGGAAGCAAAGGTTGCAGTGAGCTGTGATCACGCCACTGCACTCCAGCCTGGATGACAGAGCGAGACCCTGTCTCAAAAGAAAAAGGGGGGAGGGATTAAATAAATATTGTCATTGATAGCAAAAGCTGTTTGGATCTAGTTGATGATATAATCTAGATACATGTCCTTGCCCAAACCTCATGTTGAAATGTAATCCCCAGTGTTGGAGATGGGTCCTGATGGGAGGTGTTAAGGTCATGGGGGCAGATTTCTCATGGCTTGGACCTGTCCTGGAGATAGTGAGTGAGTTCTCATGAGATCTGGTAATTTAAAAGTGTGTGGTACCCCCACCTTCACTCTCTCTCTCTTGCTCTTGCTTTTGCCGTGTGAAGTGCCAGCTCCCACTTCACCTTCCACCATGAATAAAAGCTCCCTGAGGATTCACCAGAAGCCAAGCAGATGCCAGCACCATGCCTCCTGTATAGCCTGCAGGAATATGAGCCAATTAAATCTCTTTCCTTTATAAATTACCCAGTCTCAGGTATTTCTTTATAGCAATGCAAGAATGGCCTAATACAGCTGATTTCAACTATAGTCAAGGAGGGGAAAAAAGTAAGTGGAGGTTAAACAAAGTTGTTTGCCGTTTTTCACATAATCAGGAGCAGAGATAAAGTTATAACTTGCAAGTGGCTCTATTCAGGCTGATGGTGCACGATCACAGTGCTTTGGTTACCTGGTGGGCCTCATGGGCTGAGGCCTCAAAGGCATAACCAGGCCCTATTGTGATCTCTGCATTGGAAACATGGGACCTTTTTTCAGCATCTGCCATCCACAAGACACTGTGCCCAGGACTTTCACCATGTCTCATAAGGTAGCCCTACTATTATTCCTAGGCAGCTCTTTATTCCCAGAGGGTTTGCCTTGACTTCTTAGATATAATGGATCATTTGAGTTTTGCTTGTGAAATTGTGAAAAGTCTTTAAGAGCAAACACATACCTCAATGAGACCATAAAGGGGTTAAGGCATGTGCAGTGCTTTGAGGTGTTCAGGTGAAAAGCTCTCAGTAGTATTAATTATTATTCTTTTAGTTAAAAGTAGCTCTTTTTTTATATATATACTTTAAGTTCTAGGGTACACGTGCACAACGTGCAGGTTTGTTACATATGTATACATGTGCCGTGTTTGATTGCTGCACCCATTAACTTGTCATTTACATTAGGTATTTCTCCTAATGCTATCTCTCCCCTATCCCCCCACCCCACGACAGGCCGGGGTATGTGATGTTCCCTGCCCTGTGTCCAAGTGTTCTCATTGTTCAATTCCCACCTATGAGTGAGAACATGTGGTGTTTGATTTTCTGTCCTTGCGATAGCTTGCTCAGAATGATGCTTTCCAGCTTCATCCATGTCGCTACAAAGGACATGAACTCATCCATTTTTATGGCTGCATAGTATTCCATGGTGTATATGTGCCACATTTTCTTTTTTTTAATATATATATATTTTTTATTATATTTTAAGTTCTAGGGTACATGTGCACAACATGCAGGTTTGTTACATATGTATATATGTGCCATGTTGGTGTGCTGCACCCATTAACTCGTCATTTACATTAGGTATATCTCCTAATGCTATCCCTCCCCCCTCCCCCCTCCCCACACCCCAAAACAGTCCGGGGTGTGTGATGTTCCCCTTCCTGTGTCCAAGTGTTCTCATTGTTCAATTCCCACCTGTGAGTGAGAACATGCGGTGTTTGGTTTTTTGTCCTTGGGATAGTTTGCTGAGAATGATGGTTTCCAGCTTCATCCATGTCCCTACAAAGGACGTGAACTCATCATTTTTTATGGCTGCATAGTAATGTGCCACATTTTCTTAATCCAGTCTATCACTGATGGACATGTGTGTTGGTTCCAAGTCTTTGCTATTGTGAATAGTGCCACAATAAACATACTTGTGCATGTGTCTTTATAGCAGCATGATTTAAAATCCTTTGGGTTTATACCCAGTAATGGAATCACTGGGTCAAATGGTATTTCTAGTTCTAGATCCTTGAGAAATCGCCATACTGTCTTCCACAGTGGTTGAACTAGTTTATACTCCCACCAACAGTGTAAAAGCATTCTTATTTCTCCACATCCTCTCCAGCATCTGTTGTTTCCTGACTTTAATGATCACCATTCTAATCATTGTGGTTTTGATTTGCATTTCTCTGATGACCAGTGATGATGAGCATTTTTTCATGTGTCTGTTGGCTGCATAAATGTCTTCTTTTGAAAACTGTCTGTTCATATCCTTTGCCCACTTTTTGATGGGGTTGTTTGATTTTTTCCTGTAAATTTGTTTAAGTTCTTTGAAGATTCTGGATATTAGTCCTTTGTCAGATGGGTAGATTGCAGAAATTTTCTCCCATTCTGTAGGTTGCCTGTTTACTCTGATGGTAGTTTCTTTTGCTGTACAGAAGCTCTTTAGTTTAATTAGATCCCATTTGTCTATTTTGGCTTTTGTTGCCATTGCTTTTAACAAAACAATAAGTAAAACATGAGTCCACAAAAAGCTGTGAGAGGGATATACCTTATAAAGACCTTGGGTTCTTTCGGCTCTTGGCTTGGAGGAGGCCAAGGTGCAACTTTCTTCCGTCATCCTGAATCCGGGTTCATCCATCACCAGCCACCTCCACCATGCTGCAGAAGTTCGACCCCAACGGGATCAAAGTCGTATACCTGAGGTGCACTGGGGGTGAAGTCAGTGCCACGTCTGCGCTGGACCCCAAGATCGGCCCACTGGGTCTGTCTCCAAAAAAGATTGGTGATGACATTGCCAAGGCAATGGGTGACTGGAAGGGCCTGAGAATTACAGTGAAACTGACCATTCAGAACAGACAGGCCCAGATTGAGGTAGTGCCTTCTGCCTCTGCCCTGATCATCAAAGCCCTCAAGGAACCACCAAGAGACAGAAAGAAACAGAAAAACATTAAACACAGTGGGAATATCACTTTTGATGAGATCATCAACATTGCTTGACAGATGCAGCACCCATCTTTACCCAGAGAACTCTCTGGAACCATTAAGGAGATCCTGGAGACTGCCCAGTCTGTGAGCCATAATGTTGATGGCCACCAACCTCATGACATCATAGATGACATCAACAGTGTTGTTGTGGAATGCCCAACTAGTTAAGAAGCACAAAGGAAAATATTTCAATAAAGGATCATTTGACAACTGGAAAAAAAAAAACACCACCTTGCGTTCTGCAGTCAATTCTCCCTGCCTAAGTGAAAATCCCTGATATTTTGTGAATGATGGGACACAGTCATTCCAGTCCCCAGCACTAAGTCATAGTACATAGAGCAGGGCAGAATATCTGTAGCTACTGTGAATGAAATTATTTTGAATTTTGTGGGAAAAGAACAGTGGGATTGGGCCAGGAAGGAATGATTTACATTTTAAGCATCAAATGTGTGAATATTTTTTTCCAAAAATATAGTCTTCTTTTATTATAAGAAAAGTAATACAAGTTTTACATAGAAAATTTAAAAATACAGACTATTTTTTTTTTTTTTTGAGACAGTCTTACTTTGTCGTCCAGGCTGGAGCGTAGTGGCGCGATTTCGGCTCACTGCAACCTCTTCCTCCCAGGTTCAAGCGATTCTCCTGCTTCAGCCTCACGGGTAGCTGGGATTACAAGTGCCCACCACCATGCCTGGCTAATTTTTGTATTTTTAGTAGAGATGGGGTTTCACCATGTAGGCCAGACTGGTCTCCAACTCCTGGCCTCAAGTGATCCGCCCGCCTCAGCCTCCCAAACTGCTGGGATTACAGGCATGAGCCACCATGCCCAACCAGAATATTATTTTTTAAATGACATTTAAATTAATTTTAACCACTACTGAGATAATCACTATTAATATTTTATTTATATACTACAAATATATATGTGTATGTGTATGTATATTTATATATAATCATCTTTTAGAAATATCGACTTCTATGAGTGTATTCTTTAAGAGAACATAATTTGAAAACTAAAAGATCAACTTTTGAAAACCTTTGTTATTGGGAAAGTTGCCTAGCCAGATATAATAACAATTACTGGCATTTTATAGCATCTTATGTGAATTCTCTCTTTTATTACTAAAAATAGCTATTGTTATTAACATAATAATAATTATTATTGACATATTAGTAACAGAAGAAAGAATACCTTGCTGGGAGGCATAAGTCCCAGTTCAAAGTTACGATTAGATACAAAGCCGTGAAATACTTTGAGCCTGAGTTTCCTCAAGTATATAATAAGCATCTTGGACTAAATGAAGCCTGAGGCCTCTTCCAGTTTTAAAATCCTACCCAAGTCTTATTTTAGAATAGGGGCACTTACTGAGATGCATTTGCTGAGATGCAAATTTACTTTCAAATATTTTATCTAAAATGCACCTGTTTTCAAGCTAAGAAAAATGGATCACATTTTGAAGAAAATTCGAAGGCTTTGAAGATGGGGCCTATTTACAGAGACCAATTTATTTCTCTGCATTATTTTAACATGCAACTCTTCTCCAGTCCTGAAGCTTCCTAAGTATCTGAGGCTTCGAAAAGTGGGGGTAGAGACAGCTTATTACCATGGAGATAGATGGGAGCAAACGGTCACATCATCAAAAGCAAACTAGAAATGTACAAAGCTTTTGTGATGCTGATCCTTTTTTTTTTTTAAGTAAGAAGAAGAAGGGAAAAAGGCACAAATAAAAGGACAGATCTCTCTCATTAAATCCAACACAATTTAGTAATCAGTGAAATAAAGATACCCTTGAAAGCCTGCTGCCAGAAAATACAGTACAACAAAGAAGCACAAAAGGTTGCTGGCTGCCAGGTATAATTTCCAGGTACTCCAAGTGCATTTGGACTCCCTGTTCTCTTAGCTTTGCTTTGCAGATTGGCCGTCTTCGTGGTAGGCTCGAAGTATCCATTTAGTCACCCTAGTGTGTTATCCAAATATTTAGAAGGAGAAAAATTGTGGGAAAATAACCTTTAATTTTACAATTCTCCAAAGGAAACTGTTCAAAATTAAGAGGTCTAAGAAGCTAAGAATGAGTGTTAATCTATTTTTCTGTTTATTACCTATCACTTTGGATAATCTGGAAATAATTTTGACAGTGGGATAAAAGTTGAAGTTGGGGTAAGAGTCCAAATTTTCGCAAAGTAGCTTACATCAGAATAAAGTCGCTGTCAATTAGATTGCTTGCATATAGATATGCGAGCTGTTACCCCTATCCATTACATAATCTTACTCCAGCAGGGGCTGCCAAAAACCTGTAGGCAGGAAAGATTTACACTCAGTTCTTCATAAGTACCCAAAAGAAAAGAAATCACTTTAGAATGATTATATAAGTTAAAGAACATGGCCAAGTTTGTGCCTTGAACTTTTAGTCTATCAATTAGCAATAGTAATTGCATACTGCTGAGATGTTTTAGAGACTGAGATGGTGTTTTAAAAGTGTTTTGTGCTATTCAGAGGGAAATGCAATTTACGTCATATTTTAGAATGTGAATTATGAAGGAAATTGTCTCTTTTTCTTCCTTATTCCCCTCTTCCCCCTCCTCTACCTCCTTCTCCTCCTCCTCTTCCTTTTCCTCTTCAGATTTTCCCTCTTTGCCTACAACATTAAGAGAGACTATTCACATTATAAAGACATTGATTTCCTTAAATGATCTGTAAATTCAATGTATATGCCAAATAAAACACCAAGGTGATTTTTTTCAACCTGACAAAAATAACACTAAAGTTCTTCAAGACATATAAATGGGCAATTAGAAAAACTCTGAAAAACAAGAGTAGTGAGAGGGTAATTAATACAACTATACATTAAAATGTATCATGGAGTTATAATAATTAAAATATCTTATTCTAGAGAAGAAATAGAATAGCTAAATAGAATAGAATGGAATAGAAGAGAATCAACAGAAATAAACCCAAATACGTATACAGATTTAATGTGTGAAAAAGGTAGATGAGTCGAATTTATAGGGGAGGGATGGGAGAAGGGAAGATGTATTAATCAATAGACAGTGATGAGAAAACTGGCTAGGAATGGAAAATAAAATAAAATGGATTCTTTACCATGCTCTTTATATTCCCAAATTTCCAGAGGATTCAAAGATAGCAATATAATACATAC
Source organism: Homo sapiens (assembly GCF_000001405.40). NCBI lineage: Eukaryota > Metazoa > Chordata > Mammalia > Primates > Hominidae > Homo > Homo sapiens. Next base: position 208,054,257 of record NC_000002.12, on the reverse strand, counting down.
TCTATGGCCATACCACTCTGAATGCCCCCAATCTTATCTGATCTCAGAAGCTAAGCAGGGTTAGGTCTGGGGGCCTGCTTAATACTTGGATGAGAGAAATGTAATATAAACAAGTAAGTGTATATATGTGTATATATATGTATATATACACACACACACATACACATGCATAAGTATATATATACACACACATATACTTATATGTATATATTATACTTGTTACATATACTGGTTTTGAACTACTATTATATATATTAGATTATATAGTTGGTGAATTTATATATAATCTGGAGTATGAAATATATGTTAATCTAGGAGTTGTATATAATCTAGGAGTTTTTAAAAAACTGGTGAATTTATATATAATTAGGAGTTTTGAGTGAATTTATTTATATATAATAAATATATAAATAAATAAATTTATTCATTTATTGGTGAGTTTATTTATATATAATCCAGGAGTTTAAAAATAATTTCTAGGCTGGGTGCTGTGGCCCACACCTGTAATCCCAGCACTTTGGGAGGTCAAGGTGGGAGGACTGCTAGAGCTCAGGAGTTGCAGACCAGCCAGGCATGGTGGTGCACACCTATAGTCCAAGCTACTTGGGAGGCTGAGGTGGGAGGATGGCTTAAACACAGGAAGTTGAGGCTGTAATGAGCTATAATTGTGCCACTGCACTCCAGCCTGGGCAACAGAGTGAGACCCTGTCTCAAAAAAGAAAAAAAGAAAAGAAAACGTAAAATAAAATAATAAGATTTTTTCTTCATTTTTTTTGTTTTATTTTTTATACCCACACTACACAGATGTAATATAAAAAGACTTTCTAGGCAAGACACACAATTCTAAAGTCTTAAAGGAAGAGAAAAATGTGAATATATACAAAGTGGAAAAAATATTGCAACATTTGGCAAGCAAAGAAAATCATTAATATACAACTTCTTGTACAACTCAGTAAGTAAAAACAAATCAAAAAGAAAATGGTCAAATCTATTAAAATCTTTGTCTCATTCACAATTAAATAACTGCATATAAAAATAATGAGTATATCCATATAATGAAATATTATCTGGCAATAAAAAGCAGAATTATTAAATAACTGCCAAAAAGTATAAATAACCCAAATTCTCATCAACTGATGAATGGATAAACAAAATGTGCTGTATCTATACAAAAGACTGTTATTCAGCCATAAAAAGGAATGAAAAACTGACACGTGCTACAACATGGATGAGCCTTGAAGACGTTATGCTAAGTGAAAAATGCCACACACGAGAGCATATGTTTTATGATTCCAATGACATAAAATGCTCAGAATACGTAAATCCAGAGAGACAGAAAGTGGGTTCATGGTCGCCTAAGGCGTGAGGGGGTGGGACTAGAGGGAAAATGGTGAGTGACTGCTAATAGATACAGTTTTGGGGGGAGGTCATGAAAATTGATTGTGGTGATGCTTGCACAACTCTGTGAAATACTAAAACCATTGAATTGTGCACTTCAAATGGGTAAACTGCCTGGCATATGAATTATATCTTAATAAAGCTGTTATTTTTTAAAAGCTTATGTAAAAAAAAAACCAATGAGCGATTTGAATTTGTTTATCATATTACAAAGCTAGATAATAATAAATGTTGTTAAGAATACAGACACAGTCATTCTCATGCTGTATTGGTAGGAGTGCAAATTGGTACACTTTTTTGAGGACAATTTAGCAATATCCTTCAAAATTTAAATACACCACATCCTTTAATTCTGCAATTCAAAAAATTACCATATGGATATACTTGCAAAAACTTGCCAATATAGATGTACAAGTATATCGTTTATAATAGAAAAATCTGAAAATCTGGAGCTAGCCATTCTGGGGACTATTATGCAGCCTTTTATTTTTTATTTTATTTCTTTTCTCTTTTTTTTTTTTTTGAGACAGAGTCTCACTCTGTCACCCAGGCTGGAGTGCAATGGCGCAATCCTGGCTCACTGCAAACTTCGCCTCCTGAGTTCAAGCGATTCTCCTCTCTCAGCCTCCTGAGTAGCTGGGATTATAGGCACATGCCACCACACCCAGCTAATTTTTATATTTTTAGTAGAGACGAGGTTTCACCACGTTGGCTAGACTGGTCTCAAACTCCTGACCTCAAATGATACACCCGCCTCAGCCTGCCAGAGTGCTGGGATTACAGGCATGAGCCACATGCCCGGCTTTATACAGCCTTTTAAAAATATTATAGTTATATGGGCTGATATGAAAGGATCTCCAAGAAAACAATAAAAATAACAAATATTTACTGAGCTTTTGCTATGTGACAGGCACTCTTCTAAGTCCTTTACATTCAATAACTCACTTAATCTTCTTTGGAACCCTATATTTTTATATCATCACCCTCATTTTCTAGATGGTGACACTGAGAGGCACAAATAGGTTTAAGCGACCTGCCAGAGATTGCATGGTAACTTAGTGGTAGACACAGAATTCAAAACCACTTGAATAAATTTAAAAAGTATACATCTATATAAATATGGCTTCATAGTTATTTTTTTCTTTCTAGGAGCATACGTAAGTAACTGTTTGAAGAGAGAGGTACTGAACTGCCTCCTGATTGGTTACTAGGAGGCAAATCAACAAAAGCTACAAAATGAGGTGGGTTTTTTTGTTTGTTTGTTTGTTTTTTAATGGAGGGATGGGAGTGGAGGGAGTTGTTAGTGTTTACTTTGTATGTTTCATGGTCTAATGTCTCTGTTACTGACTGGAAGCAGATTGCTGAACCCATAATTTGATTTGCCTGACATTTTTAGATATGAAAATCAAAGGTCAACCTAACATATCTAAAACTGAATGACTAATTGTCCTTCTGATCTTTTACTTAAATGAAACAACCAGTTTACAGACCTAATTTTCCCTTCTTAAGATGTTAATTCTCCCTTCTTAGGGTGTCTAAGACCTGACCCTTCTTTTTCAGTATAACTACATTATGTCTAGACTACTCCAATCTAGCATTCAACATTGGTTTTATCCCATTACTTTCTTGCACAAAAGCCTTCAAACTCCCAGTATTAGTCTGTTCTCACTCTGCTATAAAGAAATACCCGAGACTGGGTAATTTATAAAGGAAAGAGGTTTAATTGACTCACAGTTCCACATTGCTAGGGAGGCCTCAGGAAACTTATAATCATGGCAGAAGGCAAAGGATGAGCAGGCACCTTCTTTACAGCGTGGTAGAATGGAGCAAGTGCAAGCAGAGGAAATGCCAGATGCTTATAAAACCATCAGATCTCCTGAGACTTACTCATTATTACGAGAACAGCATGGGGGAACCAATCCCATGATCCAGTTACCTCCACCTGGTCCCACCCTTGACACATGGAGATTATTACAACTCAAGGTAGATTTGGGTGGGGACACAGAGCCAAACCATATCATTCCCCTCAGGTAATGGTTTCATCCTCAGCCCAGGTTTCACACCTTCCTTGGTCTGTTCAAATCTTTCTTTCCAGGCAGGGCATGGTTGGTCACACCTGTAATCTCAGCACTTTGGGAGGCCAAGGTGGGAAGATCGCTCAAGTCCAGGAGTTCAAGATCAGCCTGGGCAAGATGGCAAGACTCCATCTCTATTTAAAAAAAAAAAAAAAAAAAAAAAAAAGTATCTTTCCAGTATTATTTCCCACAACTTTACCCTCCACACCAGCATTTGCTTTATGAGATTTTTGCTTTATCCCTAAATCAGCCCGTCCCTTTCTTTCTGCCCATATCCATTATAGCCTGACTTCGAAGTCCAACTTCAATACAACATTTTATCTAGAGCCTTCCCTGACCATCCCAAGTCTAGTAAGAGTAATCACAGTTATGGCGACTTCCTTGTAAGCTCATCCAGGCATTATTTATGGTTTACTTTGCAATGGAAGAAATGCCAGTGCCTCCATTTTGTCCTCTCTCACCTGACCAAGATCCTCTCTCTGCAGATTACTGTCTCTCTCCCCTGTATCCTCAATCTCTCTTTCTTTACTGGCTCCTTCCCATCTCCATTTAAAACTTTTCAAGAGTCTCCAATTTTAAATGAAGCAGAAAGTATGTGGCAGGGAAAGTTCTGGTCCCCCTAAGTAAAGCGCTGAGAATACTGAATTGCAAGCCCCAGAATACTGCAGCAGTGAATTCCGGGGCTCGCAATTTTCCGTGCACTGCGTTAAGCTCCAAGTATCAGACAATTAAGCAGTGGGCAGATGGGGAGAGGGAGGTAAACTGTAACAAGTATTTTGGAAAAACAGTTTGACAGTAAAGAGTTGAAGATTAAAGTGTTCCCTGGGGCCTTACCTGCAGGCGATATGTTCCAAGATCCCCAGTGGATGCTTGAAACTGCGGATAGTACTGAACCCTATGTATACTATGTTTTTCCTTATACATACATACCTATGAATAATAAATTAGCCACAGTAAGAGATTAACAACAATTAACAAAATAGAACAATAATACCAATATACTGTAATAAAAGTTATATGAATTTGGTCTCTTTCAAAATATCTGATTGTACTGTACTCACCTATTTTCAGACGTTGACTATGGGTAACTGAAACCACAGAAAGCAAAACCACATGTTGGGGGGACTGTTGTAACATCCTTATGACCAAGCAATTCCATTCCTAAATATATACTCTATAGAATTCCTTGAGCATGTGCACCACGAGACATGTACAAGAATATTCATAGCAGCATACTTGTCATAGTCCAAAACTGCAAACAATTCAAATGTCCATCAAGAGTAGAGCAAATAAATAAAAATGGTTGTATTGTAATACACACAAATGTATTATACTGTATATGGAATGCTTAATAGTATTCTATACAAGAGAATACTACTGAGTGGTGAAAATGAATAAACCATAGCTACATGTAACGACATGGATGAATCCCATCAACATTTGAGAAAAAAAAAGGAAAAGCAACCCCTAATATCCAGCAGCTGTGCTCGTGCTATCAGATGGCCGCTCACAACTAAACATTGGTGTTCACCTGTTGAAAGTAAGTAATTTCATGTAACATAACACCAGATAAGGCCACACTGTGACCATGATAAAGACAAAAACAAGATTACTCTGTAATCACATCTGACCACAGACAAAACATGGATATTGCCCAGACCACAAAAATGACTAAGTACCCTCTTATTCTAGCTAATATGAGGGACTGCTGCTTTTTTCCCAATTACAGCATTAGCCTTGGTCTAGCCTTCCCTCCTTCTAGATAAGATTTAGTGCGATACTCAGTGCTCCTGACAGTATCTAATCCAGAGCAAAGTCCTTGTTCCTTAAACTCTCCCCAAAATTACCTAACAGAAGCCCAAATCCTACAATGAGTCCTGACACCCTCTTACTAGGATGTCCTGACACCCTCTTACTGAGATATCCTGACACTCTCTTACTGAGATGCCCCCTCCTTCCCCATGCTGTGCTTCCCCCTCACTATAATGAGTAACGAACTCAATTTCTTCAACTGCAGGAGTTTTCCTGTTGGACTGCAGGGCATTGGCACATTAAATTGAAAGAAGCAAGTCCTCCCAAGATAAAAACTTCCTTGAATAGGAATGATGAGAAAAATAACAATAATAATAAGAAGAAAAAAAGCAAAATATAAACTTGCATTCAAATTTCTTGAAATACTAATTACATTATTTAGGGATGCTTATCACATCCTAAGTGATGTGATACAACTATACAACTATAGCTGTATAAATGATACAACTATAGAAATAAAAGCAAAGAGGCCAGGCGCCGTGGCTCAAGCCTGTATTCCCAGCACTTTGGGAGGCCGAGGCAGGCGGATCACCTGAGGTCAGGAGACCAGCCTGGCCAACATGGTAAAACCCTGTCTCTACTAAAAATACAAAATTAGCCGGGCGTGGTGGTGCACACGTGTAGTTCCAGCTACTCGGGAGGCTGAGGCAAGAGAATCGCTTGAACCGGGGAGGCGGAGGTTGCAGTGAGCCAAGATGTACCACTGCACTCCAGCCTGGGCAACAAGAATGAAACTCTGTTTCAAAAAGAAAAAAAAAGAAGAAAGAAGGGCAGGGCAGGGCAGGGCAGGGCAGGGCAGGGCAGGGAAGGGAACGGGATGGGAGGGGAGGGGAGGGGAGGGAAGGGAGAAAGAAAGGAAATAAAAGCAAAGAGAGGATTATGACAAACACTGGCATAGTGTTAGCTCTGAGGGGAAGAAAGGGAGGGGCTAGGTCAAGGCATAATCGAGGAGTGAGCACCAGTGAAATCTGCTGCCAGAGAGCAGGTAGGGGAAAGCTGACTGAAACCTGGAAACTGACCTGACAGCTACAGAGGTGACCTCTTCTCCGGATGTGTCTGAGAAGAGGGCTCCAGCATTATTCCACTTGACAGAGAATGGATTCAAGAGCTTGTTTGATAATAAACCTTCAGTCTAGACGTAGCTTACCTTATTCAAGGATGAGTAAAGAGGGCAAAACACTGCAGCCTTGGAGACACTTGCAGAATAGGAAAAAGGAAACAACTTCCAGAAGGTTCCAGGGTAGAGCTTGCCCCAGGAATTGATCTACTGTAGAATACAGAAGGAAACTTCAGGGAACTGGAAGTCTCCAAAGGTATAAGAAGGATTATTTTTTTTTTAAGGGAAGGGCCAGGAGTTATTAAAAGAAAGGAATAAAATCAAGACATAAGGATGAAATGAAAAATGCAATGTATTCATCTGTTGAGGCTACTCTAACAAAGCACCATGGACTGGGTGGCTTTTAAAGAACAGAAATTTATTTCTGATTGTTCTCTAGGCTTGGAAGTCCAAGATCAAGGCACTGGCAGATTCGGTGTCTGGTGAAGGCCTGCTTGCTTCCCTTTAGACAGCCGTCTTCTCACTGTAATCTCACGTGGCTGAAGAAGCCAGAGGGAAGGGCCTCTCTCAGGCCTCTTTTATTAAGACACTAATCCAATGCATGAAGACTCCATCCCATGACCTAATCACCTCCCAAAGGCCTTTTACCTCCTAATACCTTCACCTTGAGGGTTAGGATTTCAACATATAAATTTTTGGGGAATGCAAGCATTCAGACCATACCATAGACAATCTTTTTTTTTTTTTTTTTTTTTTTTGAGACAGAGTGCAGCGTCACGATCATGGCTCACTGCAGCCTCAAACTCCTGGGCTCAAGCGTTACTCCCTTCTCAGCCTCTCAAGTAGCTGGGACTATAGGCATGAGCCACCACACCCAGCTAATATTTTATCTTATTTTATTTTATTTTATTTAGAAATAGGGTCTCACTCTGTTGCTCAGGCTGGTCTGGAACTCCTGAGCTCAAACGATCTTCCCACTTCGGCCTTCCAAAATGCTGGGTACAGGCATGAGCCATCATGCCTGGCCACAACAAGATTTTTATTAAAGGAAGAATGATGTAATGAAGAAAGATTGCAAGGAAATTCTTGTGTGCTGGAATTAAAAAAAAAAAAAAAAACAGGCCAGGCACAGTGGCTCACTCCTATAATCCTAGTACTTTGGGAGGCTGAGGCTGGCGGATCATGAGGTCAGGAGTTCGAGACCAGCCTGGCCAAGAGACCAGCCTGGCCAATATGGTGAAACCCCGTCTCTACTAAAAATACAAAAATTAGCCGGACATAGTGGTGGACACCTGTAATCCCAGCTATTCAGGAGGCTGAGGCAGGAGAATTGCTTGAACCCGGGAGGTGGAGGTTGCAGTGAGCCGAAGATCATGCCATTGCACTCCAGCCTGGGCAACACAGTGGGACTCCGACTCAAAAACAAAACAAAACACCACAATGTTGGAAGCGTAGCAAAACTGATGCTGTAGTGACAAGGACAAGTTAAATAACTTTCCCAAAATACAGGGAAAAAAAGGACAATGAATGATAAAGATAAGATGGTAGAAATGAAGGCTAAAGAGCGAAAAACAGAGTCAACTGACATTTCTTAAGAACTCAGAATCAGTGGAAAGACACACTCACCAGGGATATGAGAGGAGAGTGATTCTCCACTGGAGGGTGGAGATGAGAGAGTGTGATAACAGCCTGGGTGGGCACATGATGAGAATGGCCCCAATGGGCTGGCGTACTTTTAAATTGCAGTAATTAGTGTCTGCTAATTGGGCTGTATTGTGTGCTTCAGTTGAGTTAGGAAAAAAATAAGTCAGAACCACTGTAAAATAGAAGTCTGATATAAGAAAATGAATGCGTATGAATGAATGAGTGAAGTTGTTTAACTAGATCAAAAGTGCTAATACATGTTCCAGATGAAATAAATCTCAGGACTTCAAAACCAGACTGGGCAACACAGTGAGACCTCATCTCTACAAAAAAATAAAGGAAATGGCCGGGCGCGGTGGCTCACGCCTGTAATCCCAGCACTTTGGGAGGCCGAGGCGGGCGGATCACGAGGTCAGGAGATCGAGACCATCCCGGCTAAAACGGTGAAACCCCGTCTCTACTAAAAATACAAAAAATTAGCCGGGCGTAGTGGCGGGCGCCTGTAGTCCCAGCTACTTGGGAGGCTGAGGCAGGAGAATGGCGTGAACCCGGGAGGCGGAGCTTGCAGTGAGCCGAGATCCTGCCACTGCACTCCAGCCTGGGCGACAGAGCGAGACTCCGTCTCAAAAAAAAAAAATAAAAATAAAAATAAAGGAAATTAGCCAGGTGTGGTGGCATATGCTTATAGATCCTACTCCAGAGGCTGAGGTGGGAGGATTGCTTAAGCCCTGGAATTCGAGGCTGCAGTGAGCTACGAACATGCCATTGCACTCCACCCTAGGTGATAGAGTGAGACCCTGTCTCAAAAAAAAAAAAAAAAATCAAGAAAAACGTACACCTAGACATATTTGAACAAAATTTTTGAACCACAGAATTAAGAAAAAAAAAGCTACCATATTTTCTCATTATAAAAATTAAATCCCAAAACAAAGAAAAAAATTAATATTGTCACAAGTTTCTCTTTTTGTGTCACATGAAATACCTGAACGCAATGAAACAATGTTTACAGAGTGCTGAGAAATGAGGTTGAAATAATACTCAGCCACATTTTTATTCAGGAAAAGGCAATATAAAGACTCCTCCAATTCAAAAGCACTTGGAAAGAAGCCACCTCTGTACTCTTCATTAAAAATTACATGAGATGGACTCTAACAAACTAATAAACTGGTAAGTCATGGTGATCAGTACTTATCAACTAAAATTGAGATAGTTTTAATACAAAAATTAACTAAGCATGGTGACGTGCATCTGTAGCTCCAGCTACTCGGGAGGCTGAGGTGGGAGGATCACTTGAGCTGGGGAGGTGAGCCAAGAACATGCCACTGCACTCCAGCTCAGATGACAGAGCTAGACTCTGTCTCAAAAAAAAGGGAAAAAAAAAAGGAGATAGTTTTAACCAGTGGCACAGCAGATTCCTATTCTCTATACAACAAACTCAATTTCAGAAACAAAATCATTAAGTAAAACAACAATAATAATAGTTTATCTTTCAGAAAAGAAAAGCAGAAAGTGAAAATATTTTATTAAACTTTGTTCTAGTAAAAATTATTACATTACAAAAAAGGAAAATATGGATTAATGCTTTTTAATAACAATGACGTATTTTGTTTTTGTTTCTCATAAAAGGAAAATCTTGTAACTTTGTGCCTACATACTGGTTGGTTGCAGCAATGAATAATAGCATTACAGTTTGATAATAATTATGAAAGACCAACATGTTAAAAACAAGAATAAATTCCAATTGTAAAGATTTTATTCAAATTCAGTACAATATTTCACGTAAAAATGAAAATTTGTAATCAAATTTTTGCCAATCAAATACATTCACTTTGTAGTCTGCATTGTTTCACTGTTTCATATTACAAATATCAATAGCCCAAAAGGTCACAAAGGACAGAACTAAAGTTAACTCATATTCTTATTTTTTCTCTTTGTAATCACTATTATTTCAAATCTACTGTTTAAACACAGGCATTTCACTAGGATTGAAATCACAACTAGGCCCCCAAAGTGAGCTGGAACCATCTGGTCCATTATAAAGGTACTTTTAAAGGAGCCTGCAGGCCGGGCGCAGTGGCTCACGCCTGTAATCCCTGCACTTTGAGAGGCCAAGGCGGGCGGATCACGAGGTCAGGAGACCATCCTGGCTAACACCGTGAAACCCCGTCTCTACTAAAAATACAAAAAATTAGCCGGGCGTAGTGGCGGGCGCCTGTAGTCCCAGCAACTCGGAAGGCTGAGGCAGGAGAATGGCGTGAACCTGGGAGGCGGAGCTTGCAGTGAGCGGAGATTGTACCACTGCACTCCAGCCTGGGCGACAGCAAGACTCTGTCTCAAAATAAATAAATAAATAAATAAATAAATAAATAAATAAATAAATAAATAAATAAATAAGGAGCCAGCATCGCTGAGTCCCGTGTGTTGGAAACTGAATGTATAACTGGAAATTCTTGTAATTTACTTCCATGTAGAACACTGGGTTTGCTGAAGGATGAGTAATAAAATGTGCTAAGTTGAAGTTTACATGCACATTATTAAAACTCAGTAACCTCAGCAATTGTTCAGATTTACGCCAAATATTTTTTTCAGGGAGGAATATTTTGTCATTGACCTTGTTTACGTTTGCTGGCACATGGTGATCAGCACGGCCCAACTTTCAGTTGATTTTATTATTGTTCCCACTGCCCTACCCTTGGTCTACCACTGGCTTTAATAATTCTGGGAGGCCAGACACGGTGGCTCACATCTGTAATCTCAGCACTTTGGGAGGCTGAGGTGGGACGACTGCTTGAGACCAGGAGTTCAAGGCCAGCCTGGACAACATAGCGAGACCTTATCTCTATTTTTTAAAATGGAAAATATGTATAAAAACTTTTCCTTCAGCTCTCATTCCACTCCGACCACTTCTTTTCTCAATTTTTATAATGCCTTTCAAACTTTAGTGTGTATAGGAATCCCCTGGAGAGATTGTTAATGCTCCTGTTTCCCCACCCCCAGAACTTCTGATTCAATAGGGTGACCCAACATTTGCATTTCAAACAATCATTTGCATTTCAAACAATATTCCCAAATGATGTTGATGCCGCATGCAGGTTGTGGATCACACTTCTAGAGACACTGGTCCAGAACTCAATAATTTAGAACGTATATTCTGTTGCTTTGTTCATTCTATGAAACACATATCTCTTTCATTAGACTGTGTTAGAACACATTAGACTGTGTTCATTAGATATGTGTTTCTATGAAACACATATCTCTTTCATTAGGGCAGGAATCTTGTTTCACACTCCTCTATCCTGTGCAGTACAAGAGTGCCAAGAGATGCCCATAGGATACGTGTTAATTGAGGCTTGGAGGTTTGCACATTTTCTCCATAATTTAGATGCAGTAAAGATTATGTGTTTGCAGCAGTCTCTTCCAGTAGTACCAGCTCTAGAAAATTTCCTGGCACTGGCTCTGAACTTGAATGCATCTGGAACCCATGAGGTGTGACCATGTGGCTTTATGTTCACCTGTCTTGGGAGGACAATTCTCTATGGGCCTCAGATTTTCTGAAAACACAATTTTATAATAAGACTTTTTCTTTGGTCTCCAGACTGTCCCTAAATTGGTGCAATCCTGAGGCTGAGTGATGCAACTTGATTATAAGACAGCAGTCTGGGTCTAGGTGGCCATACTAAGTATAAAATACACGTATGCAATCAATTTCTAGCTTTTTTTTTTTTTTTTTGACAGGGTCTCACCCTGTTGCCCAGGCTGGAGTGCAGTGGTGCAATCACAGTTCTTTGCAGCCTCGACCTTCTGGGCTCAAACAATCCTCCCACCTCAGCCTCCCAAGTAGCTGAGAATACAGGTGTGCACTACCACGTCTCGCTAATTTTTAAGTTTTTGGTAGAGATGAGGTCTCACTATGTTGCCCAGGCTGGTCTCAAACTTGTGGGCTTATAGCTTTATATTTTTAAAAGGAGTGATAGGATACACGGCTTCAGTCAGCCCACTGAATGCCTGATCCCATTCAGTATGAGTCATGGTACATTCAGCTGGCTGTATATGGCCTGATGGCCTTCTCTCCAGGGCAGCTAAAGGCAACAGAATACACACCCAATCCATGCTGTTACTCTGCATCTACTGAAGCCCATGCTTCCTTCTCTAAACAGTAGAGAAAGTCCCCAGTTTTCTTGGGGATCATAAATAATTGGAACAATTCCACCCACCTATTTCTGTGCTGGCATATCTGGAGTGCTGAGACACTCTAATTCTTCAACTTCTTCTTTGGATAGACCCTCTGTTCTCTTTCCCACAGGGTCTTGAGAAGACAGGAGGCATCGCTAAAGCTTGTGTATGTCTACTTGTGCCTTGTGAGTCTGTTATTGTGTAAAGATGCTCTCAGAGGGGGAATGAGAATGTGCTTCTAGTTCTGCCCCTAAAACTAGAAAATTAGTCTTTAATCCCATAGGAAAAGAGACCTGGCCCCTTACGCTGATCTGAGAAAATATGGAATATAGGTAGTTCCCAAATATACCGGACATAGGAACCTCTCAGGGAATAAACTTTGGTTGATAAATTGCAAACAGGCGGCCAGGCGCAGTGGCTCACGCCTGTAATCCCAACACTTTGGGAGACTGAGGCGGGCAGATCATGAGGTCAGGAGATTGAGGCCATCCTGGCTAACACGGTGAAACCCCATTTCTACTAAAAAAAAAAAAAATGAAAAAAAAATAGCCAGGCGTGGTGGCACGTGCCTGTAGTCCCAGCTACCCAGGAGGCTGAGGCAGGAGAATCACTTGAGCGACAGAGCAAGACTCCATCTAAAAAAAAAAAAAAATTGCGAACAGGCATGGAGGAGCCGGGGTACAGTATTTTGAATCACTATACACAATGCAACAAAGATTTATTAAGCACTCAGGTCACAAACATTGTACTGGGCACTGAGGACAGGATGGTACAACAAAAATAGGCAGAATTATTGCTTATGGAACATGTGGTTATTCTCATGAAGCTTACAGTTTCACAGCAAGGTAATTATTAACATAAAAGCATTCTGATAAGTATAAACGTTTACTGTAAATGCTGTGAAGAGGAGCATATGGTGCTATAATTGCATGATATAGACGTCGTCAACCTAGAAGGGGCACTAAGGGACAACTTTCCTGAAGGGCTGACTACTGAGCTGAGAGCTGAAGGATGAGTGGAAACTACTCGGGTAAAGAGTGTTCTAGACAGAATGATATGCAAAGGCCCTGTGGCAGGAATGAGCATGAATTGCTCATGGCATTGAAGAAGGCTGCAGTGGCTGAAGCAGACGCTAGGGGGAGCATGGTACAAGATGTTGCTAGGGAGGAAAAAAGGACCAGACCATGTCTGGGTCTCTTAAATCACAGTAAGAATTCTTATGAGCAATAGGAAGCTACTGAAATGCTTAAGCAGGTTTCTGTTTTGAAAGAGCTACTCTGGCTGTTGGCTGTTGCAGAGTTAATGGATTGAAAGGGCCAATAGTGCTGCTAGGAGGTGATTGCAGGACAATTGCAGTCACCCAGAGGAGAGAAGATGGAAGCTTGGTCTAGGGTTGGGAGAGGGGAAATGAAGAGAGGTAGACAGCTCTGCACAGAAGAGTTCCCTGTATGTGATGCAAGCTTCTAGGAGAGCTAAGCATTTGAAGCCTTTGTTATAAAGCTAACTGATTATGGAACAGTAGTTTTAATTTAGGTGGCCGTATTAGGTTTGTAAGCATGTGATTGACTTCTAGCTTCATATTTTAAAAGTGATAATGGGACAGGCAGTTTTTCTAGAGAAGTGGAGTCCTGGAGAGTGAGTAGAGAAGCCAGCTCAAGGAGAAATTCCTCAGGAGTGCCATTCTGCTTTATCACCACTGAGTGCTGCTGTTTCCAATGACAAGTTCCCAAGAAACCAAAGGGCCAAGTAAGGTAAGAGGAACAGTGGCGGGGGAGCGGGGGGTTGGCAGGGGGCAGCGGGGAACCAACTTAGAGTTTTAAAAAGTGGAGAAGACAAAGATGTTTTCTAATTTTGGAAACCTGAGTCCTAAGCTGCAAGGGTCCAAATCAAATTTTTGGGAAGGTCATTTTGTAATATGGTAACTTCTTGCTTTACTGTCAGCATCTCTAAAGACAGTCCCCAGTAATAAAGGGGCCAAAAGAGGCTTTTTTAGAACCATTAGTGTACCCCTCCTGTACAGTCCCATTAGCGGGCCTTGTTAAACCAACCCAGACAAAGAGCAAAGATGCCCTAGTTAATGGAGAGTCTCCGATAATTACTCTGCTCAGCCGCTTCTTTTAGGGTCTGAATGGTCTTTAAATAATGTTTCTCTTGCTGTGGTCACAGACAATGACCTAGCAGTCTGCTTTAAGCGGTGCCAATCCCATTAGCCGAAGAATAGCAAAGCTCTGTGTGTGTCTGCGTGCCAAGGAGCGAGTGTGTGTGTGTGTATGTGTCTGTGCGTGCATGTGCGTGTGGTGAGGAGCTCAGCTTATGGCAGGGATCAGGCTTAATGTTGCTTTCTTCCTCTTTTCCTCCCTTTCTCTACACATCCATCCCTCCCAGGAACCAAACATACCACTGTGTCTATTGGGTCATCTGCCTGTTGAGTGACAACCTGCCCTTACTGAAAATGGAAACAGACTCCCTTAAATGCTTGCGGACGATGTTTCTCATTCCTACTTACTAAACACTTCTCTGTAGGATGTGATTCTAAACATGCCCCTGTCCTCTAAGAACTTCACGTCCCAGAACCACAATAATGCAAACAATGTAAAGTCACCCCAGTAAATGTGTGCCATTCAGGGTGGAAAATGTTTTAAAAGCTTCATAAATGTGGAAGAAAAAGATTGAGGGTACAAAAGTTATAGGAAGAATGCCAAGATCTTTGGAATATTTTCCTCTGTGGCTCTCTCTCCTGATGCCTTGCAACTCTTTTTTCTGATAATGAGAATGCTTACTTATATTTGAAGACAAGTTATATCCCAGACACAGAATGTGGAAACGGGGCAACATTAATTTATTTAGGAAGGATCGAGTGCTCCAACATGAAAGTGTGAATAAGTTCGATCGTGAACTGTTTTGTAATAAAAATGTACAAAACAACATTCAGAAACACTGCCGTAAATGGAACCTGGTTGCAACCTGCTCTTGCCCACCGTTGTCTGGAGGACTTTTTCAGAAGCTCCAGAGTGGTCTGATTCAACAGTTTTTGAATCAACTGAGTGTGAAAACAGGCTAGCATAAGTAGGTAGGGTGACTCCACTCACACAAATACATGGGAGTGAGTTATTTGCAGCTCATTAAGTATCACAGGGCCTCTCCCCACCACATACCCACCCATCACCCACATCATATGCCTCCTAGGAAGAATGATTATATTGAAGCCAACAGGATAAAAGAGCCATTTTCTGTTTCTGGGTTCTAGAAAGACATCCTAGACAAAGAAATAGTCTACTTGGTAAAACTAAAAAGATGCTCCATTTAGTTCTTACTTTCTTTAACTTTGATCTGCAGTTGTTGTTGTTGTTGTTGAGACAGGGTCTCACTCTGTCACCCAGGCTGGAGTGCAGTGGCATGATCTTGGCCTGAGCAACAAGAGTGAAACTCCATCTCAAAAAAAAAAAAAAAGCTCATTTGGGTCTCAGTGTAGTGTTGGGGGAAGATTTTTAGATCACATAAGAAAAGAAAAGAGATGGGGCTGTTAGAGATAGGAGTGGACCTTAGGTAAGATATAAAAAAAAAACAAAAAACAAAAAAACAGGCCAGGTGCAGTGTCTCGTGCCTATAGTACCAACATTTTGGGAGGCTAACGCAAGAGGGTCACTTAAGGCCAGGAGTTTTAGACTAGCCTGGGCAACGTCCTATCTTTGTAAAAAAAGAGAAAGACAAATTTAAATTAGCCAGGTGTAGTGGCCTGATCCTGTAGTCCCAGCTATTCAGGAGGCTGAGGTGGGAGTTCAAGGCTGCAGTGAGCTATGATTGCGCCACTGCACTCAAGTCTGGGCAACAGAGCAAGACCTGGTATCTTAAAAATAAAAAAACAAAAGACATGATGTGTGCTTCATGAAAGGGCCATATACGCAAACCAACCCCCAAATGCAGAAGGAACCAAGAAACCAAAGAACAAGGCAGACAAATCCAGTTTGTCAGTAGAGGGTTATTTACTGGGGAACTTATGGACAAAAGGATGGTCTTGGGCAGCTGCCAGACAGGTAGATTTCCACAGTTTTCTCCCAGATATATACCACAGAGAAAGGGTATATGTGCTTTAGAAGGAATGTATAAGGACAATTGAAGTCCACCTCTCAGGAAAAGGGAAGAATGCTATGTGTGTCATAGCCTAAGGGCAGGATTTGATAACATCAAGGGTGTCTTGGCCTAAGAACAGGATTTACAGACAGTATACATAGATAAAAATAGAAATCTTAGAGGCATTCCCCAGACTGGGGTTAATCAGAAGTCAACATGGCAGATTAGCATCCAAGATGGAGTCACTTTTGTCTCCACAACCAGTTCACCAAAATTTGAACAAGGGAGTGTTCTTTCCAAAATGCTCTTTGCTTGTAGACAAATGAGTATGTTTGCCTTAATTGTCATAGACATTTATTTGATTTCTGTTTGAGTATTGCTCTTAGATCTTAAACTGGAAGGATGACTATATGTCCATCACCTAATAAACATTTTGATGTCTAGTATTCCTTTATCTGAAAAACAAAAAAACAAAATAACAACAAATCCTTAAAAATCACTGTTGAAACCCAAGTATAATTCTGAATCCTGATTGTCTTCAACATTACAAATATAAATTGCTCATTAGATCTTCCTATAGACCATCATTGTGCTTGGTATTGTGAAGAGTAGTAAATATAATTCCTAATCCTACACTTTGTGGCTAGGATTCTAATTCAGATGTCCTGATTCTTTTATTTATTTATGTTTTATTTAGAGATGGGGGTCTTGCTGGGCCAGGCGGGGTGGTTCATGCCTGTAATCCCAGCACTTTGGGAGGCCGAGGCAGGTGGATCACTTGAGGTCAGGAGCTCGAGACCAACCTGGCCAACATGGTGAAACCCTGTCTCTCCTAAAAATACAAAAAATTAGTTGGGCTTGGTGGCATATGCCTGTAATCCCATCTACTCCAGAGGCTGAGGCAGGAGAATCACTTGAATTCGGGAGGCGGAAGTTGCAATGAGCAGAGATCACACCACTGCACTCCAGCCTGGACAACAGAGTGAGACTTGGTCTCAAAAAAAAAAAAAAAAAAAAAAAAGAGATGGGGTCTTGCTATATTGCCTAGGCCAGTCTTGAACTCCTGGCCTCAGCAATCCTCCTAGCTTGGCCTCCCAAAGTGTTGAGATTATAGGCATGAGCCACCGTACCCAGTCACAAATGTCCTGATTCTCAATCCAGTGCTTTTTCTAGTATAACAAAGCCTCTCTTATGACATAAGTACCTTATCAAAATCCCACATATATAAAAGATAAAATATTGCATTAAAAGGGTTGATCCCCAGTAGACCCTCCATGCACTGCCATCAGTCCTGGGCAATCAGCTGTTCTCTGGCTCCCCTCTGGCCTCTTTGGCCTAGAAGGTAGCAACCTGGAGGCCCCTCCTTCTAGATCAGGTACATGGGGCTTCAGAATTCCCTGCCCTGAAAGTTGAGAGCCTGCCTCCGGGCTGCATGGGCCTTTTTCCCAGGGTTTGTCATCCTGGGAGCTGACCCAGCTGTCAGTATGTCGTCATAGGCCTGAGGAGTGACTTCATCTGGGGAAGCAGTCGGTGAAGTTAGGACATGGCCGCTGAGGTGTATGCATACACATGTGGGTCCTTGTGGTGCAGGACAGGGCCTAGGCTGGGAATCTGAGGGCACCCATTTGTTTTCTTCCCCCAATCCTTGTAACTATCAGGGGTGTGCCTGCCATTAAGGACCTGTTCTGGCAAGGTGAAACTTCGCTCTTTGAATTTTTCCTGGCAGTTTAGTTTTGAGCACACGTCAAAGTTTTGTTATACTCTGGCTGCCAGGGCAGTTCAACTTGGTTTTTTTGTTTGTTTTGTTTTTCCTTTTTTATTTTTTTGTGGAGAATGGGGTCTCACTATGTTTCCCAGGTAGATCTCAAACTCTGAGACTCAAGCTATCCTCCTGCCTCTGCCATCCTAAGTGCTGGGATTACAGGTGTGAGCCACCATGCCCTGCTACCAGGGAAGTTCAACCCAAAGATTCACTCTTGGTAGGACATTTTGTAAGAAGGGAAAATAGGTCATCATTTCTGATTAAAGTTCAGTATATTCTTTTTTGTTATTTTTATTTTTTGCACTACTCTGCAATATGATATCTCCATTTTGCTGCATGAAATAACAGATTGTTTGTCAGAGGCCAAATATTACTAAGCACTGTTATTAACTCTCAATATGGGCTGGTTGCGGTGGCTCTCACCTGTAGTCCCAACACTTTGGGAGGCTGAGGTGGGCGGATCACTTGAGGTCACAAATTCGAGACCAGCCTGGCCAACATGGTGAAACTCCATCTCTACTAAAAATACAAAAAATTAGCCGGGCATGGTGGTGGGTGCCTGTAATCCCAGCTACTCAGGAGGCTGAGGCAGGAGAATCACTTAAACCTGGGAGGCGGAGGTTGCAGTAAGCCGAGATCACGCCACTGCACTCCAACCTGGGTTACAGAACGAGACCCGGTCTCAAAAAAAAAAAAAAAAAAAAAAAATCTCAATGTGAATTAACTCATTTCAACAACACTTTGAGGTAGATAATATTATTACTATTATTATGTCATCATCATCCCCATTTTACCTATGGATAAACTGAGGCACAGAGAAGTAAAGTAGTTTGTGCAATCCCTGAAAATTAAAAAGCGGTAGAGACAAGATTCTAACCACAGTGCAATGCTGCTTCTATTCAATCTCCTCTGCTTTTCTACCTCTACTTATCCTTTAGGTCAAGCTCAAACCCTCCCTCTTTATAGAAGCCTATCTGAGCAGCTCCATCTGATTTTCTGGACTTCTGGACGTTCCTTTGCCTTCATCCCTCCCTGGATGTTTACTGTTTGGGACTGCTGGAAATCTTTCCAAATTTGTATCTATTAGCTCTACCATCTAAAAGTGAAAGGTCTCAGAGTATATGTTCCAGGTTGAAAAACATTTTTAGGTGAAAAGTGACTAGATTGACAGTTGAGTAGGCAGATGACTGGTTTCCCATAACAAGTACGGTGGACTCTGTGATGTACTGCCCAGATCCCCCATCAAAAAAGGACTTGTTGCTCCAGCTTCCGGGAGTGCTGTCAGCAGATTACCATCAGTGGCCATTCTTCTTAGGGACTGTCTCAAGTTCATAGAGCCACCTTGCCCTAGAGTGGCCCATATCCAATGACTAAGGGATGTGGGAATATAAAATCCTGGCCATCTGGGTCAGTGGTGTGCTGGAGCCAGCTTCTACTGATTCTTAAGGCTTTAATATGTGCATTTCCAATTCTGTGTTCTGTGATGATACATCCAGAGCTTGAAATTAGGCATGGTAGGGATTTTTATATTGTGAAAATCGGCAAACTCTAACAAATCAGAACTTTTACTTTTTCAGAGTCAGTTTACCAGCACACCACTGTTCTTGGTTCTACATAAAAACTATGCTGAAGCCACATCAAGACTGAGACAGTTTTTCTTTTATAATATTTTAACTTTCTGGACGATTCTCTTGTAATCACCCAATGGCTTCTTCCTGCCCACTGCACAGATAAAATCAATATACTAAGACTGTGGCATTGCAGTAGGGAAAGAGTTTAATTGACATGAGGCTGACTCATGCAGAGGAACTGGAGTTATCACTCCAATCAATCTCCCCAAAGGCTGGAAGACTAAGGTTTTTATGGACAATTTAGTGGACAGGAGGCTAGGGAATGGATGCTGCTGATTGGTTGGGGATGAAATCATCAACGTGTGGAAAAAGCTCCTGGTGCACTCAGTGCGCCTCTAGGTGGGGCCATATGACCAGTTGAGTTATGAGTCACAAATCCAGGTGAGGTCAGTCTGAAACAACTACAAACCCAGTATTCGTTTCTACAACAGTGGTGTTATCTATAGGAGCAAGTGGGGAAGTCACAGATCTTGTGGCCTCCTGGCCACATTACTCCTGGCAGTAAAGGATTATAGAAACTACATCTACATTTTACCAGAGTTCAAGCCCCTTCCATAATCCTATTCTGTGGTCTTTCATTAGTCTTACAAAGGCGGGTTTCTGTCCCTGAGCAAGGAGGGGGCTAGTTTTAGGGAGGGACTATTATCATGCTTGCTTTCAAGTTAAACTATAAACAAAATCCCTCCCAAGGTTATCTTGGCCTATGGCCAGAAATGACCAAAGATAGTTTGAAGGTCAGAAGCAGGATGGAGTCAACTATGTCAGATTTCTTTTACTGTCATAATTGAAACCACAAAGGCAGTTTCACTCATCTTTAAGCTGTTAATGGAGGCCTCTGGATAGTACTGACCATTATACAAGCCACCAAGAGTCAATGAACCTCATACCTAGAGGACAGTGAATTCCTTAGTAAATGCTTGTTTTTTCTGTTTTGTTTTGTTTTGTTTTCCAGATGGAGTCTCACTCTGTTGCCAGGCTGGAGTGCAGTGGCATGATCTCAGCTCACTGCAACCCCTGCCTCCCAGGTTTAAGTGATTCTTCTGCCTCAGCCTCCTGAGCAGCTGGGACTACAGGTGCGCGCCACCACGCCCAGCTAATTTTTGTATTTTTAGTAGAGATGGGGTTCCACTATGTTGGCCAGGATGATCTCGATCTCTTGACCTCGTGATCTGCCCACCTCAGTCTCCCAAAGTGCTGGGATTACAGGCATGAGCCACTGCACCCAGCCAGTAAATGCTTGTTGAATGACCACATTCAAATTGCTCTATTAACGTCTTCTGTAAATTCTATCACTTATTCTTGATCTTTCTAGTTTAAAAAGCCTTGGTAGTTGGTGGTGGGGTGGGAAATCATTGAATAGTTAGCTTTGCTAATGGCTTTTCGCTTTTTTTCTGTTAACTTATTTGTAGAAGTGATAGTCAAAAGAGTTAAAGACATATATGGCCTGGCCATCAACTAATCAAAAAGAATCCTAGGCCACGCACAGTGGTTCACGCCTGTAATCCCAGCACTTTGGGAGGCTGAGGCAGGTGGATCCCCTGAGGTCAGGAGTTCAAGACCAGCCTGGCCAACACAGTGAAACCCCGTCTCTACTAAAAATACAAAAATGAGCTGGGTGTGGTGGTATGCACCTTTAATCCCAGCTATTTGGGAGGCTGAGGCAGGAGAATCGCTTGAACCCAGGAGGTGGAGGTTGCAGTGAGCCGAGATTGCGCCACTGCATCCAGCCTGGGCAACGGAGTGAGACTCCGTTCCCCCCCACCCAAAAAAAAGAATCTTGGCCCTAATGTAAGAGCAGGGCCATTTTGCTCTTACATTAATGAAAGATGGGCTGAAATACCCACCATTTCAGCAAAATAGGGTCAGATATTAATCTTTTGTGTGCTGGATCTTAGGATGTGGGAGGTTTCTTGTAAAGAGACCTTAAGATACTTAGAGTGCTTAGAGACTGAAGCTAGTTACCAACCCATATGGAACTGTTTCAATATTTTAACAGCAGGTATGTCCTTGTGGGTGCCTTCCAGCTGAACAGCAGGTTCATTTATACTTTCAAGGAATAACTCTATTTGTGACTTCAATATTTGACATCCCCTATGCTTTTAATTTACCTAAAGAGACAAAGAACAGTAATTACACTATGTTGGTCTTAATAAATATCCTAATCATTTTTACTTGGGCTTATTTTGGGAGATGGGTGAGGTATACTTGGCTTGCAAATTTTAAGCTATAAATAGCACTAAAAATGTTCTGATTAAGTTTAAAACACTTTTGATGAGGTTTTTGTTTTGTTTCTTGGAAGACAGCATTGTTTTTTTGAATCCTGGTTTGAGCATTACTTTAGTAAATGAAGGCTAAAAGGAAAATACTTAATGAAAGTATATAGTAATGGCACTTCCTCATATGATGTTTAACATTTTTTGAGATCATTTTCTAAGTACCATAATACTTGTGGAGGAAAATGCAAAGATGAACAAGATAGGGTGCCTGCCCTGCCAGGGATGCTGAAGGGGATATGATGGGGGAAATTTTGTATTTGTCAATTAACCTCAATAAAGCTGGGAAAAAAATCAATTAATTAATTAAAAATGGGGAACCTAAAGTTGGAAAAGAAGAGTTTCCAGGAGTGGGTTAAAAAAAAAAAAACAGGCTTTCTTGTTGTTGTTGCCACATCTACTGCAAGAATGAAGACCATTCTCAGCAACCAGACTGTTGACATTCCAGAAAATGTCGACATCACTCTGAAGGGACGCACAGTTATCGTGAAGGGCCCCAGAGGAGGCCTGTGGAGGGACTTCAGTCACATCAATGTAGAACTCAGCCTTCTTAGGAAGAAAGAGGCTCCGGGTTGACAAATAGTGAGGTAACAAAAAGGAACTGGCTACCGTTCAGACTATTTATAGTCACACACAGAACATGATCAAGGATGTTACACTGGGCTTCTGTTACAAGATGAGGTCTGTGTCTGCTCACTTCCCCGTCAACGTTGTTATCCAGGAGAATGGGTCTCTTATTGAAATCTGAAATTTCTTCGGTGAAAAATACATCCCCAGGGTTTGGAGGAGGTCAGGTGTTGCTTGTTTGGTATCTCAAGCCCAGAAAGATGAATTAATCCTTGAAGGAAACAACATTCAGCTTGTTTCAAATTCAGCTGCTTCGATTCAGCAAGCCACAACAGTTAAAAACAAGGATATCAGAAAAATTTTGGATGGTACCTATGTCTCTGAAAAAGGAACAGTTCAGCAGGCTGAAGATCTAAGAGTTGTCCAGCTACAGAAACAAGATGCTGGAAGACTCCTAAGACCTATTTGTGATATTTAAATGATGCAATAAAAGACCTTTGATTTTGGGAAAAAATAGGTGTCTGAACTATAAAATGGGAAGAAAGGGGTATGTGGGAGATAAGTCTGGAAAGGTGAAGTGTCAGTCAAGACACTTGCAGTTGTAAATGTCAGAAACCAACACAAACTCCCTTGAGATAACATGGGATTAATTGATAATAGAACTATAGGGTCTAGGAGGTGAGGTTAAGCTCCAAGCCTGAGGAGATCCTGGGACTCAAGCAAGGTCATTTGCTCTTACTCTCCCACCACACCTTCCAACTCCCCTCACACAAAATCTTCATCCCTCCCTTGGTGTTACTCTCCTCTCTCCTGTCACCCTCCTTCCCTTGTTCTGCAGACAGGCATTCTCACATGGTGGGAAAGATGGCCATCAGGGGCCTCCAATTCACATCCTTCCAGTCCTGTATCCCAATAGGCAAGGCTCCTTCCACAGCTTCAGAGATAAAAATTCCAGGGAAGGACTCTGATTGGGTGGGTCACATGCCCACCCTGGCTCAACTGCTATAGCCAAGAGACTAGGGTACTGTGAATAGTAGAACTGGCTTAGCATTGATCACATACTTACCCTGTGTCTTACAGGTAGGGGAAGTTCCCAAAGGAAGTAGGAATGCTGAGTGCAGAAAAACAGAGATGTCCCCACATGTAGGAGGGAGCCAATAATGTAGAGAGCCTCAAGGTCAAGCCATGAAGTCTGAACTCCTTCTGGCAATAGGAGGCCGTTAAAAGTATTGGAGGCCGGGCGTGGTGGCTCACGCTTGTAATCCCAGCACTTTGGGAAGCAGAGTGGGGGGCAGATCATGAGGTCAGGAGTTCGAGACCAGCCTGGCCAACACGGTGAAACCCTGTCTCTACTAAAAATACAAAAAATTAGCTGGGCATGGTGGCAGGCGCCTGTAATCCCAGCTACTCGGGAAGCTGAAGCAGGAGAATAGCTTGAACCCAGGAGGCAGAGGTTGCAGTGAGCTGAGATCACGCCACTGAATGCACTCTAGCCTGGGCAACAGGGCTAGACTCCGTCTAAAAAAACAAACAAACAAAAAAGTATTGGAGTAAGAAAGTGGCTGTGGATTAATAATTGGACTAGATAATCTTCTAGGTTTCATTTCATTCTAGTTTTGGGTGTTTTTTTGTTTTTGTTTTTTAAGACAGGATCTCACTCTGTTGCTCAGGCTGGAGTAAGAAAGCAGCTGGGGATTAACAATTGGACTAGATCGTCTTCTAGGTTTTGTTTCATTCTAGTTTTAGGGTTTTTTGTTTGTTTGTTTTGTTTGTTTGACAAGATCTCAATCTGTTGCTCAGGCTGGAGTGCAGTGGTATGATCATAGCTCACTGCAGTGTCCAACTCCTGGGCTCAAGTGATCCTCCTGCATCAGCCTCCTGAGTAGCTGGAATCTTGTGCCACCACACCTGGCTAATTTTTTAATTTGTTATTTTTTGTAGAGATGGAGTCTCGCTATGTTGCTCAGGCTGGTCTCTAATTCCTGGGCTCAAGTGATCCTCCTGCCTTGGTCTCCCAAAGTGTTGGGATTACAGGTGTGAGCCACTGCCCCCAGCAAACCTTAATTACTGAGCTACAGCATGACGCTCCATTCTGTGTTAAAAATCATTCCGATAATGGAAAGAGAGGCCTTCCTGAATGTTAGGGTATAAAGAAGTCAAAAAAATGGTTCCCCTAATGTAAACTATGAACTTTACATTACATGGGTGGTAATGATGTGTCTGTCAGTGCAGTTTCATTGATTGTAATAAGTGTACCACTGTGGTGCAGGATTGATAGTGGGAGAGGTTGTGGGTTTGAGGAGCAGGGGATATATGGGAAGTCTGTACTTTCTGCTCAATTTTCCTGTGAATCCAAAATTGCTCTAAAAGACAAAAGAAGGCCGGGTGCGGTGGCTCACGCCTGTAATTCCAGCACTATGGGAGACCAAGGCGGGCAGATCACAAGGTCAAGAGATGGAGACCATCCTGGCCAACATAGTGAAACCCCGTCTCTACTAAAAATACAAAAATTAGCTGGGTGTGGTGGCAAATGCTTGTAGTCCCAGCTACTCAGGAGGCTGAGGCAGGAGAATCACTTGAACCCAGGAGGCGGAGGTTGCAGTGAGCCGAGATTGCGCCACTGTACTCCAGCCTGGGCAACAGAGCCAGACTCCATCTCAAAAAAAGAAAAAAAAGGCAAAAGAAGATGATGGAGCTGCTTTTAGCAGACAACCTTTTGAATGGAGATATGAACTTAAATATTTTACATTTAGAGAGGCAAAATGTTCCTAGCTGACATACAGAGGCCTAGCTGACATATAGAGCTCCTAGCTGACATACAGAGGTCCATGAGCCAGTGGCTGCCTAGCTGAGATTATTCTCAGCCCTAAATCTTTCAGCCTTTTTCTGGGATCATCCCCTTAATTCTGGTGCTGAGGATCTGTATTAGTGAGAGTGAATAAAATCAGTCATTTTGCAAACACAGCTTTTTTTGTTTTTTTTTTTTTTTTGAGATGGAGTCTTGCTCTATCTCCCAGGCTGGAGTGCAGTGGCATGATCTCAGCTCACTGCAGCCTCCGCCTCCCAGGTTCAAGTGATTCTCTGCCTCAGCCTCCGAGTAGCTGGGATTACAGATGTGTGCCATGACACCCGGCTAATTTTTGTATTTTTTAGTAGAGACAGAGTTTTGTCATGTTGGCCAGGCTGGTCTTGAACTCCTGTCCTCAAGGGATCCGCCTGCCTTGGCCTCCCAAAGTGCTGGAATTTCAGGCGTAAGCCACTGTGCCAGGCCAAAAGCAGTTTTTTAAATGCATTTTATGTCCCAGACTTCATGCTTAATCCATGAAAAACAATGACAAATCACAAACTCCTGACATCAGACTTCAAGACTAGTCTGAAAGAGTTTTTCTCAAAGGATGGTCCATGGATCACCAACTTGGGAAGCACTGAGGACCTTGTAGAAATTATGGAATTCAGGACCCTAATGTAGGTAGATCTTCAGAATAAAAATCTGTGAATGTGTGATCCAGGAATCTGCGGGGGTTTTTTTGTTTTTTGTTTTTGTTTTTGTTTTTTTTTTTGAGATGGAGTCTCACTCTGTCGCCCAGGCTGGAGTGCAATGGCATGATCTCGGCTCACTGCAACCTTTGCCTCCTGGGTTCAAGCAATTCTCCTGCCTCAGCCTCCCAAGTAGCTTGGACTACAGGCACCAGCCACCACATCCGGGTAATTTTTTGTATTTTTCGTAGAGACAGTGTTTCGCCATGTTGGCCAGGCTGGTCTCAAACTCCTGACCTCAGGTGATCCGGCCGCCTCAGCCTCCCAAAGTACTGGGATTACAGGCATGAGCCACCACACCCGGCCTAGGAATCTGCATTTTTAACAGCATTCAAGAACCTTGACACTCAAAATGCAGCATCACTTAGGAGATCATGACTGTTGGAGAGGCCCCATCCCAGACTTACTGTATCAGATTCTGCATTTTGACAGAATTCTTACCCGTTAAAGTTTGAGAAACACCATCCTAGAAGATTCTGTTCCATGTGAATTTTGAGAACCACCAATCCAATGGAAGACTGATCTGTGTAGCACAATGTAATGGGTACATTTATAAAGGAACACATGAGATCCTCTAGGAGTGCATAAAAGGAGCAGGTTCCCCTATCAGGCAAGGTTTCCAGAAGAGGTGTGATGTCATCTGCTTTTTTTTTTTTTTTGAGACAGCGTCTCGCTCTTTTGCACAGGCTGGAGTGCACTGGCTCAATATCAGCTCACTGCAACCTGCGTCTCCTGAGTCCAAACGATTCTAGTGCCTCAGCCTCCTAAGTAGCTGGGATTACAGGTCGTGTGCCACCATGCCTGGCTAATTTTCGTTTTAGTAGAGACAGGGTTTCACTATGTTGCCCAGGCTGGTCTCGAACTGCTGGCCTCAATCAATCCACCCGCCTCGACCTCCCAAAGTGCTGGGATTACAGGCGTGCACCGCCATGCTCTGCTAATTTTTGTATTTTTAGTAGAGATGAGGTTTTATCATGTTGGTCAGTCTGGTCTCGAACCGCTGGCCTCCAGCGATCCACCCGCCTTGGCCTCCCTAAGTGCGTGGATTACAGGCACGAGCTACCACACCCGGCCTTTTTTTTTTTTTTTTTTAGAGTGAAAGTTTATTAAAAAGCTTTAGAGTAGTAATGAAGGGAAGGAAAAGAAGAAAAGAACACTTGGAAGAAGACCAAGCAAGTGACTTGAGAGACCAAGCACCTGTTACCTGCTTCTTAAAGAGCAAAGAGAAATTAGCCAGCCTAAGTAAGAGGATGGGCCAGGAGTGAGAACTCTCATCAGAGGGAATCACATGTACAAAGTCCTGAGGCAAAAGAGAATACTGCAAATATTCTCTTTTGGTAATTAAAACAAAACAAAACAAAAAATGTACCTCTGGCCAGGTGAGGTGGCTCACACCTGTAATCCCAGCACTTTGGAAGGCAAGGAAGAAGGATTGCCTGAGGCCAGGAGTTCAGGATCATCCTGGGCAACACAGGGAGACCTTGCCTTTACAAAAAAAAAAAAAAGAGAAAGAAAGAAAAAAGAAGTTAGCCACGTTGTGGTGATGCGTGCCTGTAGTCCTAGCTACTCAGGAGGCTGAGTTGGGGGGATCCCTTGAACCCAGGAGTTCAGGGCTGCAGTGAGCTATGATCGTGCGACTGCACTCTGGCCGGGGCACAGAGTGAGATCCTGTCTCTAGCAAAACAGAAAAAAAAGTACCTCAAATTGCAGGGTTTAAAGAAAGCTTATTTAAACTTTGAATATCAACCAAAGGAAATTTTTTCTTAACTCAAAGCTTAAAGATTTGCTTATTAATCTTCTGGAGGGTGGGAAGGTGGGAAGAGGAATCAGAGTTTTAGATTTCTGTTTCATCCCTGACCCCTTTGACCTTTTTTTTTTTTTATCATTCCTTTGTTCATTCATTTATTCAGATATATATACATTGGGCCTGTGCTAGGTGCCTACTAGATGGTGGTGAGTGAAACTGAAATAGTGCCTGCCCTCAGGGAGTTTATAGGTGAGATGGGTGAGCGTGGGAAAACCAATAAAACTGATAAATAAGTGTGTACTTATAAAGTGAGAAAATGGCTAAGAAGTGTGCTATGATGGAAAACAGACAGGAAACTGCAAGGAAGGTCTGTCCAATCAGACCAGCATATCCCTGCAAAGCGACCACAGTCACTGCAGGTGGGATGTGGGCGGTCTTACCAGGCAGTCCTGCCCGCGTGCACACACACGCACACCCTATTTTGCTGGGAATCCGCAAGTGGGGGTGAAGACCTCACCTCAAAACCACCCCTTTTCAACCTGCGTAGGAAAGGACAGTGAAAACGGATTTTCACTGCAGCCCCAAAACCGGAAATGAGAAGCAATCTCCAGAATAGTCCCACTTTTGGAAAGAACTTATTTGAGTAATTAATTCCCTTAGACAAGGGAGCTGCTAAAAACCAGCCCGATCCTGACATGTTCTAAGTGACATTTTCCAATCGCAAACACCCATTTTGGCGTTGGGTGGAGCAGTGAGGAGACTCCACGACACACGCCATTGCTTTCACAATGTGTACAAGAGGAACTGTATATAAGAAAGCAAAGAAATAAGGAGGCCTGGCGGGTGCGGTCAGGCCTTGCCTAGCTGCCGGGTCCCTCGGGCAGGAAAGACTCGTCCTCGCGGCCTGGAACCTTGTGTGTCCGGCTCTGGCTGCCCGGGCCGCCGGCGGAAGCATTTCAGAGTGGGACCGCGAGAAGCCGCTTGTAAACAGAGCCGGGCCGGGATGGTCAGCGCCCGGGCGGGCTGTCACCGTGAGGCGGGCGGCAGGCTGCGGGAGTCAAGCCCCTCCAGGAGCGGACTGAAGGCCCCGCAGGTGAATGGAGAGTAGCAGCCGGGGCCCAGGTGAGCATCCGTCTGCTTCTGTGCTGCCTGGCCGGCCAGTTTGGGGGATGGGGTGGGGACGACTGCATTGTAAATATCCGAGCAGCTCCCAGGGATAGCAGTGATTTTGCTGTTTCTTGCATGCTCAGGTTTTTATTACGTGCTGGAGATTGTACCACACTGCAATGGCTAATGGGTGAGGGGAGATTACATGATGCATTGTCTGCTTATTTTTGTGAATCAGGTATGTAATAGGAGGAGAAAGTAGTTGAAATAGTAGGTGATCTTGTTGAGTGCGTTATTAGTATCCCTGCCATCCCCGCCTGGGGATTATAAAACCAAACCCCAGCAGAGCTTTTAACCTACATCAGGCTGGGGCTTCCAGAAAACGATTGTTCTTTCTGTCGACTCTGTCCGTTTTTAATGTATAGTAAATGACACCACATGACTGATGACAAGCATGGTTTGGTCTTGTAGGAAAGAATTATTAAGCTAAAAAATCAAGATAAGAAAATCTCACACTCATCCCTTAAACAAAAATAAATTACTACTGAGATATATATTTGGATGACAAATTGAGACTGGTCTGGATGTATACCTTGCAAAGCAAGACAAATTTGAATTTACCAGGTTAAACTGAGATTGAGCCATGCTGTTGTAAACTTATTTAGAAGTTTATTTCTCTCTTCTTTTTTCTTCCTTGGAAGGGACCAGAGAGAAACAGCTGAATTTTTTTCTCTATATTTTAAGTAATCGTAGTGAGTTGTGATTTGTATTTATAAAGTATTTTATTATAAAATACTACATGTAAATTATAATTGGCATACTTAAAATACAAGGCAGTTTTTGACTGACTGACTTCAAGAAAATGCCTTAACAAAAGCTGGGCTATATATCTAGTCTCTAAAAATATCAGTAGACATTTGTAACCTTGGTCACATAGTCTTTTAGACAGGAGATGAATATTAGGTTAAATTGCACCTACAATAGATAGATATACATAGAAGAAATGATACTAATTCCTGATGAGTTTTTCTTTACAATGAATATTTTTACAATGTCATGGTTTATAGCAAAAACTATAAAGCCAGACTACTTCAGTTTGAATTCCTGCTTGGTCACTTCCTAGTTGTGTAATCTTGGGCAGTTTACTTAGCGCTTCTGTTTCCTAATCTGTAGAATGGGAATAATAATAGTATTGACCTCATTAGGGTTTTTATTATTGTTATTTTATTTTATTTTATTTTATTTTATTTTATTTTATTTTGAGACAGGGTCTTACTCTGTCATTCGGGCTGGAGTACAGTGGCGTGATCATGGCTCACTGCAGTCTCGACTTCCTGGACTCAAGCGATCCTTCCACCTCAGCCTCCCTTGTGGCTGGAACCATAGGCACAAGCCACCACGCCTGGCTAATTTTTGTACATTTGGTAGAGACAGGGTTTCGCCATGTTGCCCAGGCTGGTCTTGAACTCCTGAGCTCAAGGCTTAGAACCGTACCTGGCATATAGTAATTGCTATATACATGTTTGTTAATAAATATATAAAATAAAAATATGCCAGTGTTGAAAGTGGAATGGTGATTACCAGGGCCTGGAGGGAGGCAGGCAATGGGGATTTGTTGTTTAATGCTGCGGTCCCCTGGTGGTTTTTGGCACCAGGGACCGGAAGACCATTTTTCCACAGAGCGGGTGGTGTGGGGTCGGGGAGTAGGGGGGTGATAGTTACGGGATGAAACTGTTCCACCTCAGATCATTAGGCATTAGTTAGATTCTCATAAGGAGCGTGCAACCTAGATCCCTCGCACGCACAGTTCACAATAAGGTTTGCGCTCCTATGAGAATCTAATGCTGCTGCCGATCTGACAGGAGGCGGAGCTCAAACAGCAATGCGTGGCTGGTCCATCGCTCACTGTTGTGTGGCCCAGTTCCTAACAGGCCATGGACCCGTACTAGTCTACAGACATGGGGGTTGGGGACTCCTGGTTTAATGGGTATAGAGTTTCAGTTTTGCAAAATGAAAAGAGTTCTGGAGATTGGCTGCACAACAATGTGAATGTACTTAACAATACTGAACTGTACACTTAAAAATAGTTAAGATGGGGCTGGATATGATGGCTCAGGCCTGTAATTCCAGTGCTTTGGGAGGCTGAGGCGGGGGCATTGCTTGAACCCAAGAGTTGGAAGTTAAGTGAGGTATGATTACGCCACGCACACCAGCCTGGGCAACAGAGCAAGACCATGTCATAAAAAAAAAAAAGGTTAATATGGTAAATTTCATATTATATATATTTTACCACAATTTAAAACTTTTAAATACCAGTGTTAGCAAAGTTATGTTTTCAAAATTTTATTAGCATGCTGCAGCCCCATTCATAGTTAGTTGCCTTTGCCATTATGGAAATACAGCTTCTGGCAGTCAACAGTAAGATTCATTTTTTTAGTAGATTTGTGTAATTGAGGTTTAATTATAAAGAACACAAACAAATGATAAGAAACAACACCTAAGACTGTGGCAGGCAAAATTCTAAAAATGTCTCTCTACTAAAATTGCTGTCTGTAATCTGTGAAACCTGTGCATATAATAAGATATCACTTTCTCAATTATGTTATGTGGCACAGTTTAATTTAAAATGGTGAGATTTTCTGGGTGGGTCTAATCTAATCACAGGAGCCCATACAAGTTGGGAGCTTTCTCTGTCTGGGAAATTGGAGAGACTTAAAGTAGGGGAAGGACTCAACATACTGTGTTGCGGCTTCGAAGGTGGAGAGGAACTGTTGAGAAGGAATTTGGGCAGCCTTGAGGAGTGCTGGAGGCCTAGAGTTGCTGAGGGTGGCCCCAGCTAACAACCAGCATAGAAAGAAATGGGGACCTCTGACATAAGCCACAAGGAACTAGATTCTGTCAACAATCCCAATAAGCTTATAACTGGATTCTTTACCTGAGTTTCTATTAATAGATAAGAGCCCAGCCTGGCCACCACCTTGGTTTCAGCCTTGTGTGAGAGACTCTGAGCAGAAAACCCAGCCAAGCCCATCCAGTCTTCTGACCTTCAGAACTGTGAGAAAATGAATAGGTGTTGTTTTAAGCTACTTAAGTTTGTAGAAATTTGTTATGCAACCATAGAAAACTAATACAGAAAGAAAAATTGAAACAATAGCAAAGTATCATTTTTTCCAAATCTCAAATTAACATAAATTTTCAAAAATCCTCCTCAACAGTTAGTGTGCAGTGCAGCAGACACTTGCAAATGCTAGGAGGGATGCACACTTGCTGTAACCTTTCCGAACAGCTCATTGGTGAATGTATGAAAAGCCTCAATGATGCTCCTACCTTTTGACCCAGTTAATTCCACTTCTAGGGTCCATCCAAAGGAATTTATCAGAAATATTTTAAAAGTTAATGTTCAAAGATGCTCAATATAACTTTATTTAGGAAAAAACATATGTAATAACCTAAATGCCCCAAAATGGGAACAAATTATGGTGTCATCAATAGATACAGTGTTATATAGACACTAAAAAGGATTTTTTAATGAAGAAGTTTAGCAGTGTGGAAAGGTGTTACCAATGATTGCTAGGTGGGGAAAAATGCGTATCTATAGTAAGCTCTGAACTATGTTTAAAAAAACAAAATCTACATAAGGGCTGAAAGGGCCACAACGGGGCAGTGCTTTTTTCCAGTGGAGGGTGAATAGGCATTGTTTATTTTGCCTTTTATTCTCTTTCGTATTTTCAAAATGACAAGCAATGAACATGTAGTACTTATTTATAATCACAAAAGTCAATAAACATTATTTTAAAAGCTGTTAAGTCTCTACATTGTGGGGAATACAATGACTATAAAACATTGTACAGTCAAATACTGGAGATAATAAAATCCATAAATAATGTAATTATGTGGCAGAAAGTGATTTTTTAAAGAAAACAAGATATAGAAAACAAATTATAATTGAAAAGATTGAAAATAAAGTTGGAAACTTATTTCTCAGTAGGGTAATAAGTGAAAGCTTCATGGTAGAAGGATCGCTGAATGTCATATAGAAGTAATAGAAAAAGGAGGCACATGGCTGAATGTTCATTAAAAGTATTTGTTTTCTCATAGATTGATGGATTTAGGTTTTGGGCTATGGACCCAGGTTAATTATACTAGTGGAAAACAACTGTGAAGAATATGTAACCATTTACAGAAAAAAATGGTGCCTGATTAGGAAAACCAAGCTGGTTCTAGCCCAGTAACATCTTCATTAAAAAACATCCAAGGCTGATATTTACTGAATATTTATGAGATACTTGACATACTCTATTACAGTTTAATCTTGTATATAGCCTTTGCTTAAGACTTGAAGTCATTCATTTACATATTTAAAAAGTAGGCAGATAGACAGGTGCTAATTTAATTACTAGTTTCAAAAGGCCTGACTTTAATGGGAACTTGGAGAAGGTTAGACTGGGCAGTTTTTTTAGGATTCTTTATCTCTAGTCAGTTTCCAGCAGCATCAAGCTACTGCTGCTGTTACTTTTATTTTCCCATTGTCACCCTATCCTATTTCACCTCACCCTCTCCTCCAACACCCCTAGAAAAGTACAGAGAGTGTCTGTGGCCCCATTGGTTGCTGGCCAAAGGCTGATTTGCTTCAGCAAATGTTAACCCCTTAAAATAAAAAGTCTGGAGGGATATCTAGCAAGGAGTTTTTTTTTCTTCTTGCGTTCTCCTTTCAGAGTACATTTGGCATTTGGTTCATAAGGAACTGAACTACATCCTAGCTTGGAGTTTCTGATGCAAGCCAATTAATTCAGAGAACTCAGTGCTGAGTGAGAGCGTGATAAAAATGACCACCAGCAATAAATTCCATGCATTATGTTTGCTCTGTTTCATTGGCTACTGTGGGATCATACCAGACATTGAAAAACATGCATAATTTGCCTTCCTGCTGACAAGGTAAAAGTTTTATTTGTTCCATAAGTAATTAATCTTGATGACAGTATGAGTTATGAGCAAAAACCAAAGTCAAAATATGGAGGCAATTGCATTAAGATGTCAGGCATGCTGTTTTCATTAACATTTTGTTTGTTTTCGTACACTCATTAATTGTTAATCTGAGTTATGTGGTTCAAATAGAATCCTTCAATTATATGCCACATTTATGACCATGGTAGAGATTTACTTATCCAGTTCTCCTGACTAGTGTAACCAGTTTATAATTCAGTACAAACTAAAGCTCTTCTGTCTCGCATTAGCCAGTTTACCTGTGAATACTTACGTAACTGGGAAATTGTTAAATATCCACTTCACCTTGTGTTCTGTAGGTGTGATTATATAAATGTTGATTTTTCAGTCACAGAACAAAAAACATGTGTTGCAGGTTAGAAACATCAGAAATATAACTAGCAGATTTTTTGCTCCAGGAAATTAGCTGAATGATCTCCTCCTACATGCTCTTGATCCACTTTTACCTGCACTATAACATTTCCAGAACAACTTCTCTTCCACGTTCAGGGATTCATTAATTTGTTAATTCAGCAAGTAAGGATTGAGCACTTGTTTTGTGCCATGGCACAGTACTTGGAGCTAGGAATGAACAAGACAGGCACAGTCCATGCCTTCATGAAGCTTACAGTCTAGTGAGGGAGACAGACAGTAAACAGGCCATTTGAAAATAACTTGCGTGCTCACTTTGGCAGCACATACATTAAAACTGGAACAACACAGAGATTAGCATGGCTTCTGTGCAGGGATGACATGCAAATTTGTGAAGAGCTCTTTCAGATAATGTTAAGATGTATATGGTTTATACAAATGGTAAAAAATTATAAAGTTAAAAAAATAGCTTGAGATGCATAATAATGGAGGAAATCTGGGTGCTATGGGAGCATATAAGAGGCCATTCAAAATGGACCTGGAGGTCAAGAGAGATGTGATTCCTCGTCAAGGACTGGACAGCTGAATTAGACTTAGCCAGGTTGTGTGTGTGGGTGGGAGGTAAGGAGGGGACAGTGTTGATAAAGAAGATGAGGGTGATGGTGGTGGAAAACAGTGTTCCAGGCAGAGGAAACAGGATAGGTGAGAAAGCAAGTGGAAAATTCCAGGTTTGGTTTTGTTTTCAGACAGGGTCTTGTTCTGTTGCCCAGGCTGGAGTGCAGTGGTGTGATCATAGCTCACTGCAGCCTCAAACTCCTGAGCCCAAGCGATCCTCCTACCTCAGCCTACTGCATAGCTAGGACTATAGGTTCACGCCCCCATGCCTGGTTAACTTTAAATTTTTTTTTTTTGTAGAGATGGGGGTCTCACTATGTTGCTCAGGATGGTCTTGAACCCCTAGCCTCCAGCAGTCCTCCCATCTTGACCTCCCAAAGTGCTGGGATTACAGGTGTGAGCCACCACACCTGGTCCCAGTTTCTATAAATCCTTTCTTTTTTTTTTTTGTGAGATGCAGTGGCACAATCACAGCTCAAAGTGCTGGGATTACAGGCATCAGCTACTGCTCCTGGCCTCTATAAATTCTTTATATGTAGATATAGAGTGGGGTTGAGGTGGGAGTGGGTGTGGGGTGAGGGTAGGGGTAGAGAGAGAGATTAAAGAGATAAGGCCAAGAAGGTAAGTGGCCATAAACTCTTTCAGGTAATGTTAAGATGTGTGTAGTTTATCCAAATGGCAATAGGTTTTAATTTTGGAAAGAACATTTTGGTTGCAGTGTGGTGAATGGATTAGAGGAGGGTAAGACTGAAAGGAAGAAGACTGGATGGTGGTGATTGCATGAAGGCAACGGAGACAGAGAAATGGATAGATGTGGCCAATGCTGTAGATGAGAATTCATATGACTGGCTAATTTGGAGTGATTGCAGGTGAGGGAGCCAGAAGGATCAAGAATGATGTTTATTTTTTGGGGACAGAGGATATGTCCTTTACTCTATGGTGAATGTTGGGAGGAGGGGCAGGTTTGAGGCAAGATGAGTTCTCTGTCGCATATGCAGATATAGAGCTTGAGAGTAGTATGTTTCTTTTTTTTTTTTTCTTTTCTTTTCTTTTTTTTTTTTTGAGACAGAGTCTTGCTCTGTTGCCAGGTCAGAGTTCAGTGGCATGATCTTGGCTCACTGCAACTTCCGCCTCCCAGGTTCAAACAATTCTCCTGCCTCAGCCTCTGGAGTAGCTGGGACTACAGGCACATGCCACTACTCCCAGCTAATTTTTGTATTTTTGGTAGAGATGGGGTTTCACCATGTTGGCCAGGATTGTCTCGATCTCTTGACCTTGTGATCCACCCGCCTTGGCCTCCCAAAGTGCTGGGATTACAGGCGTGAACCACTGCGCCCAGCCGGAGAGTAATATGTTTCTTGTCTGCCACGTGGATTGCAGCTAAAGCCACAGGATGGAGAAGATCACTTGGGGAGGGCAGAAGAGAAACTAGATAAGAGGGTTATGGGCAAAACAGGAATACCCACATTTACGATATGGGCATAGGAAGGGGAACCCATAGAGGGTAGTGGGAGGAGCCTCCAGAGTTGAAGGAGAAATACCAGGAGAGAGCATCTGTGAATTCATGAGAGCAGTGGAAAGAGTGGGTGTTCAGTAGGTCAAATACTGCTGTGTGGTTAGGTCAGATGCTGAGTGAAAAGTCTTTAGGGTTTAGCAAAAAGAAAATCACTGGTGACCTTTTCCTGTGAAGTTTCAGCTGGGGCAGAATCAGACTGCTTCTTGAGGGGAGAATGAATGGGCAATGAGAAATGGAGTCAGAAAGCATAAAGAACAAGTTTCTTCAAGAAACTTACAAGAAAAAAGAGAGGAAGGGGAAAGTATCCTAGCTGTGGGGGAACTTGGGTGGCAAAGATGGATTTTATTCATTTTTTACTTTTTTGAGAAGAGATATTCCGTTTGAATTTTTATGCAACACTTGCGCCACTGAATCCCTCCTTTCCAAGACCACCAGAAAAGCTGATGCACAGCAAACTCTTACTGCCTTGAAAATGCTGGAGGAACCTTGAGTAGATTAAAACCTTATTTCAAAGCTTCCTAAACTCTGTCGCCACTCCCTCCACCAGTTCGTTGGTTTATAATGGAGATCAAAGAGAATGTGGTGACCTTTTTGTTGGTATCAGACACCAGTGGGCATCCTGTACACTGCTTTGGAGTTCATAAAACACTACATTATGTTATTTGATTTGCACTCCAAAAAAGGTGAGACAGTTATCCTTATTTTCCTCACATCACAGACAATTACAGTTGGCCCTCTACATCTGTGGGATCCACATCAGCAGATTCAACCAACCATGGATCAAAAATATTAGGAAAAAAAAATTCCACAGAGTTCCAAAAGGCAAAACTTGAGTTTGCTAAATGCTGAATACTACATTGACTCCACCAAATGAGAGGATGTGTAGGCACTGTAATAGATATTGTAAGTAACCTAGAGATGACTTACAGGAGGATGTGCGTAGGTTATATGCAAATATTGCATAATTTTATATGAGGGACTTGAGCATCTGTGGATTTTAGTATCTGAGGGGATCCTGGAACCAGTCCCCCATGGATACGGAGTAACTGAAATTCAGATTCAAGTTGCTTGTCAAAAATCACACTTCTCATAATGATACATAGAAAATTGAGACCCGGATTGGCTAATTCCAAATATTGTGGTTCAAAAGTGGTTGCCTCACGCTGAAAGGTTAGCTATGGTCTCTGTATTTTCATGGTAGTATGGTAATATGAAACCAGGGTGTGTGTGTGTGTGTGTGTGTGTGTATTTTTTTTTTTTTTTTTTTTGAGACAAAGTCTCACTCTGTCACCCAGGTTGGAGTACAGTGGCTCGGTCTCGGCTCACTGCAATCTCTGCCTCCCAAGGCTCCAGCAGTTCTCCCACCTCAGCCTCCTGAGTAGCTGGGACCACAGCCATGCGCCACCATGACTGGCTAGTGTTTTGTATTTTGGGTAGAGACAGGGTTTCACCCTGTTCCCCAGGCTGATCTCAAACTCCTGAGCTCAGGAGATCCACCTGCCACCATCTCCCCCCAAAGTGCTGGGATTATAGGTGTGAACCACCACACCTAGCCAGCATATCATCTTTTAGTAGATTATAGAAACAAGACTGAAGGTTGTGGCTCAATTTTGTTATTTTGTTTGAACCCTACATACATTGATATTTGCCCGTCCCCCCAACAAAAGTCAAGTTAGTTTTAGAAGGAGGCAGTTTATTTTATTTATTTATGTATTTATTTATTTGAGATGGAGTCTCTCTCTGTCGCCCAGGCTGGAGTGCAATGGTGCAATCTCGGCTCACTGCAACCTCTGCCTCCTGGTTTCAAGAGATTCTCCTGCCTCAGCCTCCCGAGTAGCTGCGATTACAGGCACCCACCACCACAACCAGCTAATTTTTGTATTTTTAATAGAGACAGGGTTTCTCCATTTTGGCCAGGCTGGTCTCGAACTCCTCACCTCAGGTGATCCACCTGCCTCGGCCTCCCAAAGTGCTGGGATTACGGGCATGAGCCACCGTGCCTGGCCAGCGATTTATTTCAATATGCCTTAATCATCAAAATATGTTTGAATTATCGATTGTAACATCTAATTTGAAATATTTCTTTTAATTCTTTTGACAGAAACATTTGTTTGCAGGTTGTTTTAAGTAAACATTTTTACAAGTGTTTCTATTTATTGGCTAAATAAAAAATGATGTTGCAGGGAAACACTAGTAAAAGGCTTGGGCAATTAGGACTATGTAAACATTTGCAGAAGCACTTGTTTCACCTAAATGAAGTCACAGTTATTATACTCTTGCAAACATTCCAAGTAATGTGTCCAAGGTCACTAAGACAATTGAGGTTAGCTATTTAGTTAGAGAACAACTTTTTACTGTGTTTGTTCAGGAACCTGTCTTCTACCATTCCCGTAGAGAACTTATAATAATAACACAGAAGTATTATAGAGGTGATTTTTTTTTGTAAATTAACTATAAACTACTTCCCTGGGTGTAAATATGATATTTAGCAATTAACTCTCTGGGTCATGGGATTAACAAACAGATTTTGAAATAAATAATAAAGTTGCTGGTGTTTGACACTAAAATTTGAAGCACCATGTTCATGTACTAAAATTTTAGCCATATTATCCCAGGGTAATTAATTTGCTTTGAATTGTCTTATGGGGCTGTGTGTGTATCTTAGAGTCTTGTTTCTACTCACTGACCATATTTCCCTAGATAAGTAACTTCATCTTTTTAAATCTCAGTTTCCTTGTCTGTAAAGTAGTAATAATAGCAGCTCTCTAATAGGGTGGTTGTGAGGATTTAACAACATAATGCAGTAAAAGGCTTAACATACGTTAAGTAGTAAGTACTTTAGTAAGTATGCAATAAATATTAGCTATAACTTTTTAATCTTGGTCTTAGATTAGAACTTATAAGAACTATATTTTGTTTTTAAACATTTTATCAAATATATCATTCTACCTTTAAAATGTGTCCATCCACATTGAAGGTGTCCTCTGCAGGACATGTTTAAAGAGATTAGCATAGCCGTAGCAGTGCCTGATTCAACTATTTGAGTCCCAGCTATCATATGCCTATCATCCTAATGTCAGAGCAAAACAATCCGAGAAGTATGGATCAGTCAGAGCCCCAGAATTCAACTCCAGAATGTTCAGGCATTGTTTGATAAAAATCTATGCCATGCTAATGGTAATAGTCCATAATAAAAGAAATTCAGAAACTGTTTTAATGTAAACCCAGATTAGGGGGATGAAAACATAGTTCTTACTACTCTTTTTTGTTTTTTGAGATGGAGTCTGACTCTGTGGCCCAGGCCAGAGTGCAGTGGCGCAATCTTAGCCCACTGCAACCTCTGCCTCCCAAGTTCAAGTGATTCTCCTGCCTCAGCCTCCCGAGTAGCTAGGATTACAGGCGCCTGCCACCACGGCCAGCTAACTTTTGTATTTTTAGTAGAGACGGGGTTTCACCATGTTGGCCAGGCTGGTCCCAAACTCCTGACCTCAGGTGATCTGCCCGCCTCGGCCTCCAAAGTGCTGGGATTACAGGCATGAGCCACTGCACACGGCCAGTTCCTACTATTCTTATCCTTCATACCTTATAAGCTTTTCTTCTGTCCTGTGTGATGGGCAGAGATTCTTCTGTCCTTCAATTTGTGTATAGTTAAATGACAAAGACTCATTCTGTTATTTTGCCTTATCTTGTGCTTATCTTTGAGGGTCAGAGACAGTGTTTTGTCTGCCTTTGCCAGCCTTGCTTGTTTCCTGACTAAATTGGTTAAGAGGCTGATTGGTAGCCAAGGTTGTTGTCACAGATTAAGTCCAAAAGGGAGGGAGAGGTCATAGATGCAGCCCATCACTGCTGAGTATGTCTGCCCTTTCAAACAAGAGGTGAGTCACCTTTTTGCTTAGATCTTATCACTGGTCTCATACTCTCGGGATGCCAGTTAACAAAGACCTAGGCTCACTTTTTAGCAGGTTCAAGTTCAGCAGAGACAGAAAATAAATCAACTAATTACTTCTCTCATACATTTACTCTGAATGCCCATAGAAACTGGTTTGTGAGAGTGTGCTAAGCCATAAGCCGGTTGTTGTTTTGAAGGTTAAAGTTTTAAGTATTCTCCCTTCTGCTGGTGAGTTGCAATGACCAAAAGAGTTAAAGTCAACAGGAAGTGAGGGAATTATTAATTTCCCATGACATCCTCACCACCCAGCAAAGGCCTTCTGTTGGACAGGAATGTGTCTGTGGGTCAGAAAGACTTGAACAGCTTGTGAAGAAGGCCTTTGCATTCTTGCCTTCCATGTGTGGTTGTTAGTTCACATAGTGCTCACTCTCTGGTGGAACCTTTGAGGCTGTTATTGTAGGCTGACAGCTTCATGCAAGAAGCAGCATGATTTCTTTTTTTTTTTTTCTTTTTGAGATGGAGTCTTGCTCTGTTGCCCAGGCGGGAGTGCAGTGGTGTGATCTCGGCTCACCACAACCTCCGCCTCCTGGGTTTAAGCAATTCTCCTGCCTCAGCCTCCTCAGTAACTGGGACTACAGGCACGCGCCACCATGCCTGGCTAATTTTTATATTTTTAGTAGAGATGGGGTTTCGCTATGTTGGCCAGGCTGATCTCAAACTCCTGACCTCGTGATCTGCCTGCCTCGACCTCCCAAAGTGCTGGGATTATAGGCATGAGCCACCATGCCTGGCCCACAGCATGATTGCTGGAGCAGGAATGATTGGTTTTGTTGTATGTTTTTGTTTCCTTTGTTTTTGATTTCTTTCGACTGAAGTAATCTCTGTATACCTATCATTGTCATTTAATTGTGTTCTGTTACTTAAAATTCTTTATTGTCCCTTAATTAGTAATGATTCCTTATTTATGCTTGTATAACACCTTTGTATACTTCTGTTGAAGTGCTTTTTATATTTGGTTTTGTGTCTTACTTTCCACTAGCTATTTAGCTCTTCAAGAGCAGGAGCTGTGTTTTGTGTCTAATATCTCACATAGTGTTTGGGTACTTGGTCCGTCCTCTATAAATGCTTGTTGAGGATAAATGGTTATGTGATTAGAAATCAGCTAACTTCTAATAGAAGTAGTAATTGTTTTAGAGTTTGTAAAGAACTTTCACATACTTTGTCCACATTTGTGCTTCTCTGCTTTCTCAGGTAGATGGGAGCAGGCATTGGCAGGACTTCCATTTGCAGATAAGAAGGGCACAGAGGCCCTGAGTCAGCCTGACTTGCTGGATGTCAGTTAGCTCAGAAGGCAGTGTGGGGACATGACCCTTTCCTGGTGTCATAAATTTATGTTCTTCCCATTGCCACACTTCTCTCACACTGAACAAACTCAATACTTAGTCTGAGTGGCTGAGGGGTTGGATTCAGCCTACTCACTCCTTGTTTATGGTCCTTCTACTAACATCAGGGCCCCTGTATGATTTAAGGTGATTTAAAAGGTAATTGAACTTGGGTGGCCCAAAGTACTCAGTAATTAGACAAGGATTTGAGGAACTTCGTTTTCTTTTCTTTGGGAACTACAATTGACAATAAATGAATCATGGGTTCTCTTTCATCATCTTTAAAATAGTCCCATTACTTTACTCACCTCTCTTTTTTGAGGTTACTACAAGTATTTATTAAGAAGTTTATCAGGCAGGCGGATCATGAGCTCAGGAGATGGAAACCATCCTGGCTAACACGGTGAAACCCCGTCTCTACTAAAAAATACAAAAAAATTAGCCGGGCGTGGTGGCGGGCACCTGTAGTCCCAGCTACTCGGGAGGCTGAGGCAGGAGAATGGTGTGAACCCGGGAGGCAGAGTTTGCAGTGAGCTGAGATCGTGCCACTGGACTCCAGCCTGGGCGACAGAGCGAGACTCCGTCTCAAAAACAATAAATAAATAAAATAAAGAAGTTTATCAGAGTTCGAGACCAGCCTGGCCAATATGATGAAACCCCATCTCTACTAAAAATACAAAAGATTAGCCAGGCCTGGTGGCGGACACCTGTAATCCCAGTTACTCAGGAGGCTGAGCAGGAGAGTCACTTGAACCTAGGAGGCAGAGGTTGCCGTGAGCCGAGATCACACCATTGCACTCTAGCCTGGGCAACAAGAGTGAAGCTCCGTCTCAAAAAAAAAAAAAAAAAAAAAAAAAAAAAGTTTATCAGAGCACTTAAAAATTTTTTTTATTCCATAGGTTTGTGGGGAACAGGAGGTATTTAGTTACTAAGTTCTTTAGTGGTGACTTGTGAGATTTTGGTGCAACCATCCCCCAGGCAGTATACACTGAACCCGATTTGTAGTCTTTTATTCCTCACCCCCTCCCCACCCTGTCCCCCTAAGTCCCCAAAGTCTATTTTCTCATTCTTATGCCTTTGAATCCTCATAGCTTAGCTCCCATTTGTGAGTGAGAACATACGATGTTTGGTTTTTCATTCCTGAGTTACTTCACTTAGAATAGTAGTCTCCAATCCCATCCAGGTTGCTGTAAATGCCATTAATTGATTCCTTTTTATGGCTGAGTAGTAGTGCATCATATATATCTATATGATGTATAGATATATATATCTCACAGTTTCTTTCTATTCGTTGATTGATGAGCATTTGGGTTGGTTCCACATTTTCGCAGCTGCAAATTGTGCTACGATAAACATGCATGTGCAAGTGTCTTTTTCGTATAATGACTTCTTTTCCTTTGGGTAGATACCTAGTAGTGGGATTGCTGGGTCAAATGGTAGTTCTACTTTTAGTTCTTAAAGGAATCGCCACACTATTTTCCATGGTGGCTGTACTATCTTACATTCCCACCAGCAGTGTAGAAGTGTTCCCTTTTCACCACATCCACGCCAACATCTATTTTGTTTTTTTTTTTTTTTTTTTGATTATGGCCATTCTTGCAGGAGTAAGGTGGTATCACATTGTGGTTTTGGTTTGCATTTCCCTGATCATTAGTGATGTTGAGCATTTTTTCATATATGTATTGGCCATTTGTTATCAAGCACTTTAAACTTTATTCTAAACCATGCATGTGAAAAATGATTATTTTCTGTAAAAACCAAGTGATTTTTTCCTGAGATTAACTCAGTTTTAGTTTTGTGAGATAATTAGATAAACACAGTCCTGTATTGAATTTAGAAACACAGCCTCTATTACTCAGGCTCAAGTAGAAGATTCTAAATAGTTATATAAACTGATGACATCTTTAAGTCTACTTCCCCAGCCCTTTCTGGGTATCTTGCATATTTGGTCTCACTGTACTTCCTTGTTACATTCACTGTTGCAGTCAGCCACACTAGCTGGCTTGGCCCTGATGGAACCTACTTGCACCTCACCTGTGACTCCTGTTGCAGTTGGAGGCTGATAAAGTTTTTATCATGGAAGTTTTTGCCTTCTTCCTCTCAGTCCCAAGATAAAGCTAATTCAAGTGGTTCTTTTGTTTGTTTTCTAGTCAGTGTTCTCTGCCATGGAGGCAAAGGGAGATGGAAAACATCAAGTCTGCATTTTTAGACATTTCGTAACTGAAGTTTGTGTCTTCCTGCTTTGTTTCTAAGAGCAAGACATATTGGATCTCTGGTGGTTTTATGAAAATGGGCCATTTTGGTTTTCCAATTTCACATAAAGGTGCAGTAACACTGCTGCCTTCAGTCGCAAAGCAATCTGAGATTTAAAGTGCCATGCTTATATTTAGTTAGGTTTCTGAGGCAGCAAATGTCTCAATGATTTTGCAGGTGGCAAACAATAAACATGTGCAGAGATGTACTGAAAAATGCTTTAAATGGATTGTTGGGACTACTTCAAAGGGAACATCTCATTACTGGTGTTGTAAAGAGCTTGAGCTCTAAGTCATTGGAAAATGAACCCAGCCAAGTTGCTGATAGTGTAGTGGTTCACAGGACAATTCCTAAGTAATGCATAGGTGCTTTGGTTTCTATAAAAGGTCTGAGTGAGGTTTTTGCTACCTGATCTTTGCCATATTATTTTTTAAACCCAGGTTTTAATAGTTAGGAAGACTTTTCTACCAAGAAAAAAATGTAAAAGCTTGAGTCAACATAACGTTTCGGAAAGTATGTCAAATTTTACTGAAATGAGCCTATAAGGAATTCAAATATAATTTTGCCAGGAAACTAGAGTGGTATATATACTTACAGATGTCAGTGGCTTGAAAATATACTGTTTATTCAGTTATTCATTTGGCAAATGCTTACTGAGTACCCACTGTGTACTAACCACAGTTCTAGGCCCAGTGAGAGTTACACAAATGGAAGAGGGCAGAATTGCTGCTTTCAAGTTCCTCTAAGTCCAGTAGGTAGGCGTGTTACTTGATATCAGGTAAGTTACTTGATATCATTGAGCTTCCTCATTCGTAAAATGAGGGTAATAGTACTCACATTGTACATTTTGGGGCTTAGAGATATGAAATACCAAGCGACATACCTGGCACAAAATAGGCTTTTGATAACCTGTAATTATTGTCATCGTCATTTGAGAAGGAACATGCAGCATATAGTATATGTTGTGGGGGAGGTACCAAAGATATTCAGTGGCAGTTTAAAGAAAGAACAGACCATTTTAGGATCAGGGACCCAAAAAAGCTTGCGGAAGAGGTGGCATTTGAGC
This sequence comes from Homo sapiens, assembly GCF_000001405.40. Lineage (NCBI taxonomy): Eukaryota > Metazoa > Chordata > Mammalia > Primates > Hominidae > Homo > Homo sapiens. The sequence continues at coordinate 208,009,327 of NC_000002.12, read as the reverse complement.
TGGGCCTTGAAGAATAGAATTTCAGTAGGTTGAGGTGGGAAGAGGGTATTTCAGAGATAACTGCAAGCCTTTCCTGAAATAACTGGAAAAGCAATAGCATTCAGTTTGGAGGTAAAGAGTGTGTGAATTGAAGTAGAAAGTTGGAATGGCAAACTAGCCCAAGATTGTGAAAGGCCTAGAATGTCAGGTTAAAGAGTTGAACCTTGTTGTCAATGGGAGCTTCGTCGAAGGGTTTCCCTGGTGCCCAGAACAGTGTCCCCCCCATAGTAGGCACTCAGCAAATACTTACTGAATAAATAACTGAGTGTAATTTTAGACAAATGGAGCTTAGTAAGCCAGGTAGAAATGTCTTACAAATAGCTGGGAACATAGGACCAGAAGTCAATTCTGAGATTGAGACTGAAGGTAGAAATTTGAACAGCGTGAATATAGAAGAAGTTATTGGAGTTGCACGTGTGGATAACTTGATTTAAGGAGAACATCATGTAGCTCTAGCCAGAGAAGAGAGCTCAGACAACACCCCTATTTGACCAGGAAGGGAAGGAAGAAGATGGAGACTAAGTGGGTAGAAATGAGAAGAAAACTTCAGTGAATGTGGTACCCACAAAACCCTGGGAGGAAACTTTTAAGGAGGGGCTGGTTAACAGCACAAGGAATTTAAGGACTTTGGGAAACACTAATGGCTGTGTAACAAGGAGGTCCCTTGGTGGCTATAGAAGAGAAGTTCAATTGAGTGGGGTCTTGTGTCAGGTTGTAAGGTATAAGTAGGCACAGCACTCCCTGGGACATTTTTTTTTGTCTGTTTTTTTTTTTTTTTTTTTTTTTTGGCAAGGTTAGTATTTACTGGTATTTGATTTTTTTGGAGCATACATTTAAACAAACAGTGTGCCCAAACTGTGTATATAGTTTTGATTCCAATTAAATATTGGATAAAAGTACACCTATTTATTTTCACTGAGTTATGAGATCATGACTGATTTTTATTTTCTTTTCCATATCTGTCACTATTTACCAGAGTTTCTACAAGTATTTATTACTTTTAGAACTGGAAAAAAATTATATAAATTATTTTTATTTATTTATTTATTTTGAGACAGGGTCTCACTCTGTCCCCCAGGCTGGAGCGCAGTAGTTCAATCACAGCTTACTACGACCTTGAACTCCTGGGCTCAAGGGATCCTCTTGCCTTAGCCCCCTGAATAGCTGGGACTACAGGCACATGCCACCACACCTGACTAATTTTTTATTTTTAGTTTTATTTATTTATTTATTTTTGAGATACAGTCTCACTCTGTCGCCCAGGCTGGAGTGCAGTGGTGCAATCTTGGCTCACTGCAAGCTCCGCCTCCCGGGTTCACGCCATTCTCCTGCCTCAGCCTCCCGAGTAGCTGGGACTACAGGTACCCGCCACCATGCTCAGCTAATTTTTTGTATTTTTAGTAGATGAGGTTTCACCATGTTAGCCAGGATGGTCTCCATCTCCTGACCTTGTGATCCACCCGCCTTGGCCTCCCAAAGTGCTGGGATTACAGGCATGAGCCACTGCGCCCGGCCTATTTTTAATTTTTTGTTTGTAGAGAAAGGGTCTCACTATGTTGCCTAGGCTGGTCTTGAACTCCTGGCCTCAAGTTATCCTCCTGCCTCAGCCTCCCAAAGTGCTGGGATTATAGGTGTGAGCCACCACCTCCAGCCCAAATTATTTTTTTAATGGTATGCTCTTTATGTATGTGGCAATAGTCTTCTCTTTCATTTAAACTTAGATAAAATGTAGCAATTTAATGTTTGCTTCAAACCTATGAAAATGGGATTCCATCTGTGTTTCTAGCTGTCTGTTTCATCTGATAGGCCTCTGAGCTCTTTTTATGAGGTCCACCCTGGCACCATTTCCTTACTAGCTGCTTGCGGCATGCCTGTGCTCCATCCACATCCTTACGTCACCATGTAGCCTCGTGGTCCAGAAAGGCCATTTTACTAGGGGCAGATCCTCTTGTGGTGTGTCCTTCACATTATGTAACTCTTAGAAAATTCTCAGTCGGCCACAACCTTCAACCAAGGTGATGTGAACGCCCTCAATGTGGACCATCCTTGTAATCACCCTTGGCTCTTATTTTTGAAAATTGATAGACATAAGTTGTCCTAGGTGTCTTTGCCATTGCAGTTTTCTTCCCAGTCCAGCTGCTTCTAAAATGATATGGCCCCAGACACCTTCAGCACTCATAATATTCTAAGTCACTTAGCTAAGAGGGAGGAAGTCAGCGCTTTTACCGTCCAGCTCAGGAGGACACAGCATCTCTGTGTGAGTCAGGGTAGAATTATTACTCATAAGTGCTTCTGTCTCTGTGTGGGAGAACTACTGTATTCATCCTGTTAATTAGCCTTGCCTAACGAGCATGTAAAAAACAGATTTCTTAGTTAGGAAATAGCGATACACTGATTCGTTTTGATGCATGCATAGGATTCTTTGGGTTGAGCTCTTTTATTTCCTCAATTTCTCAATCTATTAAATAGGGGAAATACCCCTTCTTACAGAAAGGGCATTCTATACAAATATAAGATAAAATGTCTATAGGTCACTGAGTTTGGCTGAAAAGCAGTGTATTATAAATAGTTCGTTGCTGACTTTGCCTTTGTTGGACTGACAGATCTTTCCAGGAAGAGATGAGGAACACTTGGTTGTTGAATGGGTGAGGTCCAATGGAGTGCTCCATAATTATGTAGCAGTTTACATTTGTAAAGGCATGTTGGAGCAGCTACCTAGTGAATGATCCACACGCAAAGCAATTCGATGTTAGCAACTCTATGGGATACAGGTAGCTGAGTAAGGCATGCAGAGGTTAAATGGTTTGCCAGAGGCCACCCAGCAAGTGAGTGGTTGAGCCAGATTTAGAACACAGTTCTAATTAGCTCCTGATTTCCAGTTTTGTACTGAGGCAAGCCACACTGCACCCACATGCTGATCTTATTCCCTTCACTTTGTCAGAGGAAGGTCCCCTTTATATTTTGACCTATCTGAATATATTTATTATATTTTGATTAATTTCAAAACTAAATGAGGCAAGCTAGTAAGAAGTACTCAATTATAGAAATTAAACTTGACATCAGACTGTTGTACTGTAGTGAATTTGAGGGCTATAGAGCTCAGGAAAAAGATGAAATTCCAAAGAGTAAGGTTGGAAAACAGAGCCTAAAAGAATGAAGACAGAGTATTTAGGAAGATAAGTAAGAAGGTCACGGTGTCTGCAGTCAAGTAGCTCAGAGTTTAGAGTAGGATCTAGAGAGACTGGCTGATCATTTTGGTACAATTTGGCAAACCCAGGTGCTATGAGAGCCTGACCGACTAGGAAGGGCTCTTATGCTTTTGTCCCAATTTGGACAAAAGCATGGAGGAGTAAAACAACAAGGTGGGTGGGTGTTCGTCAAGAACTTTAAACTGGAGAAGTAGATAGGTCATGAGGCGCTATCTCTTATGCAATGCGACAACAATGCATTTGTTCAACGCATGCACATGCGTGTGTGTGTGTGCCAAACACTATTCCATGTATTTGGGGTCCATTAGTGAACACAATGAACACAAATTCCTGGACTTGTAGAGCTTATATTTTAGTGGAGAGAGAGAAACACTAAATGTTAAATAAGTCAATTAAATGGTATGTTAGAAGATGGCAAATGCTTAAGGAAAAAGGGTACCTCAAGCCAGGTGATCAAGGTTAACATGAACAGTAGTAAGTCATGTTCATAGTATATAACCTTAATATTATATGATGAGAATGGTACTTTGCCTCCGTGGGCTTCCACTCAAAAACATATAGCCCTGGTTTAATAATGAGAAAAACATCAGACATGTCCAAAATGAGGGACATTCTATGAAATACCTGACTATTACTCCTCAAAACTGTCAAAGACATCAAAAACAGGTAAAGTCTGAGACATTGTCATAGCCAACACAAGGCCCAAGAAACATGACAACTAAATGTCATGTGGTATCCTGTATAGGATCCTGGAATAGATAGAGGACATTAGGGAAATATGAAGAATTCTGAAAAAAGTATAGACTTAAGTTAATAATAATGTAACAATATTGGTTCATTAATTGTGACAAATGCATCATACTAATGTGAGATGTTACATAGAGGAAACTGAGCATGGGGTATATAGGAACTGAGTGTATTATCTTTGTAATAATTTTATAGATATAAAACTGTTGGCCAGGAGTGGTGCCTCACGCCTGTAATCCTAGCACTTTGGGAGGCCAAGGTGGGCGGATCACCAGAGTTCAAGAGTTCAAGACCAGCCTGGCAACATGGTGAAACACCGTCTCTACTAAAAATACAAAAATTAGCCAGGCGTGGTGGCGGGCGCCTTTAATCCCCACTACTCAGGAGGTTGAGGCAGGAGAATCGCTTGAACGCCGTGGGGTAGAGGTTGCAGTGAGCTGAAATCGTGCCACTTCACTCTAGCCTGGGCGAAAGAGCAAAACTCCGTCTTGAAAAAAACAAACAAACAAAAAACTGTTTTAAAATGAAAAGTTTATTTAAACAGAAGCAGAGTAAGGGAGATCAAGAGTCTAGGGCAGAGAACTGCATTATAATTTTAAAGAGGGTGGTCAGGGAGGGTCATATGAACAATTACCTAAGGAGAGAGTTGTCCATGTTGGGGTATCTGGGGGAAGAGCAAATGCAAAGGCCCTGAGGTGAAAACTTGTCTGCAAGTTTAAGAGCATGAAAGTGCTCGTGGGGCCTCTTACCTTCTTTGGGCCTCAGTGGCTTCTTCTATGAAATACTAAGGTTGAAAACATAATCCCAAAGGCCAATTTCCTTGTCTAACAGTCTATGGCTTTAGACCATGTGGGTTAGAAGTATTCCACCAACCAGCATGGCCAACAATGGTGATATACATTTTTTTTTTTTTTTGAGACAGGGCATTGCTCTGTTGCCCAGGCTGGAGTGCAGTGGCGTGATCTCAGCTCACTGCAACCTCCGACTCTCTGGTTCAAATGATCCTCCTCCCACCTCAGCCTCCCGAGTAGCTGGGACTACAGGTGCACACCATCATGACTGGCTCATTTTTGTATTTTTAGCAGAGATGAGGTTTCACCATGTTGGCCAGGCTGGTCTCAAACTCTTGGTGGATCAAGTGATCTGCCTGCCTCCCACAGTGCTGGGATTACAGGCATGAGCCACTGCACCTGGCCTGTTATATACTTCTAACCATCCTGCAAATACCAAGCCAGAAGCATAAAAAATAATATATCTAGATAGTTTGATAAATCAAAAAAAAAAGAGAAAGAAACAAATAATTTTTTGAAGGTTATTTGCACCTTATCATGAGTAAAGACTAAATTTGAAACACTGGATGAGAAAAGGAATATCAGTAATCTTCAATTAACAACTTAATGCTCTGAACCTTGGTGCCTTCTTTATAAAATGGGAAACTTGTACTTTGTTTATGTTCATTTCAGTTTTTAGTAAGGAAAGAACAAAACGTTTTAAGATTTATTATATTTATGTATATTTCCGTCTCTGGTATACAAGATGAAATTGAAAAATATCCCAAGTTTCAAAATTACAGAAGCACTAAAACCCTGTTACATAGTTGGAGAGACTGAAGGTTTAACTTTAGACTCAGAAAAAAACCCTGTTTACAGCTAGAAATGTTTTATAACTAATGTATATCTCTAAAAATAAATCTGTGCCTTGCTTCATGAAGTACTAACATAATAAATATCAAAATATATAAAAGTAGACAAATTCATAATCATTATCACTTTGCAAGAGGTTCTATAGAGGTGCTATGAACTGCAAACCTCCTTGATCTAAAATAAAGGTCTGTATATATGAGTTTAATTTACATAGGTTAAGCAAAGTAGATTGGTGCTGTTGATATAAATGTAGTGGTTTAATGACCTAAGAGGTAAAAATGAATTTAACCATAAAAATTGTGAAGTTTTTACAAAGAAAGCACATCTATCTACCTTTGCGATAACATATATGTATTAGTCCGTTTTCACACTGCTGATAAAGATATACCCCAAGACTGGGCAATTTACAAAAGAAAGTGTTTTATTGGACTTACAATTCCACATGGCTGGAATCATGGTGGAAGGTGAAAGGCACGTGTCACATGGCAGCAGACAAGAGAAGAACTTGTGCAGGGAAACTCCTCTTTTTAAACTATCAGATCTCATGAGGCTTATTCACTATCACAATAACAGCACAGGAAAGACCTGCCCCCACGATTCGATTACCTCCCACTGGGTCCCTCCCACAACACATGGGAATTCAAGATGAGGTTTGGGTTGGGACACAACCAAACCATGTCAATATATAATGGTGTTGCTAGTTGCCTAGTTTTGCCTACTTATAAGTAGTTAAGGATTAAAAAAGCCCTTGCCTAGTTGTTTTATTTGTTTTTTTTTTTTTCCTGGTAAAAGGTATATGTGACAGTTGGGCACTTGAAATGTGACTAGTGTGACTGAGGAACTTTGACTTTACTAAATTTAAGTTTGAATGGTCATAATGGCTACTATCTACTGTACTGGACAGCATCATTGTCAAGGTCTGCTCTAATTTGGCCTGGTCTTGGTAATCTAGTGTTTGAAAGCATGGGTTACTGCTTATGTAGGATTCTTTCTGCCCAGGTAGAGATGTAAGGTTTGGAACTTGAGTTCTGTAGACAGAAAAGGATGAACTCAAGCCTGCCATTCAGGCCATGACTTCACCTTAAGCTCTTAGACACCCTGCAGACTGGACCCATACTCTGAGGCCAATCCTGGAAGTCTTGGGGAGTTTGGAGCCTGAAACCGTAAGAATGCCAGAGCAATTCTGAAGTCCAGAGTCATCATCAAGCATTATATAATCTAAGTCTAAGAAGCACAAGCACAGTCACATTTGGATTTAAAAAAAGGGCAGAACCTCCTTCTCTGCTTCCCTGTGGTACCTTTAAACCCAACAAATCATCAGTGCCTTCAAAGTTTGTGAAAGGACTCAAGCATTTATGACTTTTAGACTGATTATGATACAGGCCCAGTCACAGAATTCCTAGTCTCTTTTGCTTACTATTTTAGGTCAGCATATCAGAGATTTGCCAGGGCAGTCTTTTCACAAATGCTCTCAAAGCATTTTCTCTGTGTGAGTAAAAGCTATTGACTTTAATTCCTCTTATCAAGTGTTCCTCCCTGCTCCGTGTAAGTTTTTATCCAAAGCGGGTAGTGATATGTATTCCTGACAATGGCACTTCTGTGTAGGTGTTGTCTGCCTTTGTGCTTGAGTACCATAGAACGGGCATAGAGGTGGGAAAGCAATTCGGCAGACTTGTGTACTGTAGAATACAATGAACCATGTGCCAATGTTATCCTGTTTATTTTCTTCCAGGAAATCAAGGATTGGCGTGGCATTGCTTTGACAAGTACTTGCTGTTGTCTTCACAGAGGTCTCACTGAAGAATAATCTCAAAGGAACATTTGGTCTCCCTATACATCTGTTAATGCCCATTAGCCACTAGCAAATGCTTTTAATTACCAGGAAAACATCAACCACTTTGGGTTTGGCCTGCTCCAGGGAGCCCAATGAAGGTTTCTTCCAGTTGTTTCCATAGCTCTATTGCTGAAGCACCCCTCTTGGTTGGGTGAATGTTCATGAAGCCATTTCTGGAACCAGCTTAGGAGGCTAAGGCCTCCTGGAGCCTGTGACATGGAAGCTTTGGAAGTGGATGATATCAGCCCAGCCTTAGAAGTTACGGAGGAATTCTTTAGTACTTTGGATAGTAATCTAGAAAAGGCTGTGCAGCAGGCAGAGGTTTATGGGATCCAGGAAGTCCCTGAACTGGTGGGGCATGAGGTACTCAGTAACATAACAGACAATGGTGCTATGAGAAATGTCACCTCCCTGGGCAAGGGGGGCATGATTTGGGACCACTGTAAGAGCAGGCTCTTAGAAACCAAAGCTCAAAATGTCTTCCCTGCCAAAGAACAGTTTATGGTCCAGAGAGGGACAACCCCAGATAATCTTTCCTGGATGGAACAAAAGGAAGCATCAACCTTTAATTTCTTCAATATCTGTCAGCGTCGGAGGGACCGGCCTCGTTCTGTAAATGACTTACTGGATGAGACCTCAACTTTCAAGCCAGGGCATGCTCGATCACGATCAGATATTACCCAAGTGGACTGGAGGGTAGTCCTCAAAACCACGCCTTTGCAGCAGCAGCAACAGCAGCAGCCATTGCTTCAAGGCCCGCATGTCACCAGGCCATCTTTTCTGTTGCCCTCACCAAATAAGATAGAAGATGCTCAAGGAAATACTGGTATGTTTTTAAATTTTATTTATTTCCTTTTTTTTTTTTTTCTTTTTGGGGCTGTGACTCAGATAAGCTTGTATGTTTTTATATCTGACTTCTACTGAATCATTGTTGGTTTTTCCTTTGTCTCTCTTAATCTGGCTCATGAGAATCTTATGCTCCAGCATCCACATCTGCCTTGCATATTTAAGCTCTCTCTTCCATTTTCTTGTGTACTTTACAGTCTTATTATCTTCCTAAGAGGTATTTAGTGAAAAGACAATTACGGTAAATTCTCCCTTTCTAATCTTGTATGTTAGAATCGGAATACTCTCATACTTAATGTATTAATAGTATTTTTCTGTGCACATTGTATGATACTGCCTGTTCTTATAGTAGATCGTACGTTGGGCTGAGCCTATGCTAGGAAGGATTTAAAGATGTGTGAAGACACAATCCCTGCCCTAAAGAACTTTTCATCTAGCTGAGGGGATCCAACACCAGCAAAGACTCAAGAAGGTACTCGGTAATGAGAGACAATAGATGGGCCATTGAAATTGTGGGAGGGGCTTTCATTTTACTCTGTCCATATAAGAGTGAATGGCAGTGACCGTAAAAGGACAGAAGAAGGAGAAGACACTGTGGGTTGGGCTTCTCAGGAAGGGCTTGGCTTGCAAGGGGACATGGAACTTGAACTACATCTGGAAGGACACTAAGATGCAGACATAGAGTCACAGGACATGACACTTCGTCAGGATTATGGTGTAAACAAAGGTGGGGAGAAGGGCGTGCAGAAGAGAGCAAGCAGACCCTGGCAAGTAGAGCAAAGGACCCCATAGCCAGCAGTAACAAGGAAATGGCTGGGGAGGGTGGTTAGGTCCTCCCTCATGGCGGAGGGTCTTGAATTTCCTTTCTCCTCATACTTTATACACATATGTGTGCACATGAATATGTACTCATGAACTTGCTCTTCTGTGAGACACAACAAACTCTCTCACCATTTTCCCCAGAATTTCCTTTGAGATAAGCTCATTTATACAGGCTATCAATTTTTATTGCTAATGACTCTCAATCACCCTACTCATCCTTTAATGTAGATGGCTTCTACTCAATTAACTAGGAGACATTTTTGGTACTTCACTGCTATTTTAGTATTACTTCAGTTTCTATCATTGCATGGTATTCTATTGATGCATTCAACATTCTAATTATAAAAATTAGCTTATAAGTGTAACCCGAGGCAAGGATATAGTTTAATATGTCTGTTAAGCAAATGCAGTGTTCCTGAAATTCATCTTTTTCAAATCTTTTCCACTCTAATTCATGACTTGTAATTCCTTGTCTTCTCTCGTAGGCTCTCACCAGTCTTACATCTAGCCAAGGGTAGTGACCATGGGAGTAAAAAGAAAAGGACATTCCATGTATTTTTTCTTCTTTTAAAATCTGTTTTTTTAGGGACAAGGTCTTGTTGTCTCCCAGGCTGGAATATGATGATGTAATTGTAGCTCATTGCAGCCTCAAACTCTTGGCTCATGGGATCCTCCCACATCAGCCTCTCAAGTAGCTGGGACTACAGGCAGGCCCGGCTAATTTTTTCAGTTTTTTTTAGAGATGGGGTCTTGCTATGTTGCTATGGCTGGTCTTGAGTTCCTGTGCTCAAGCAATCCTTCCATTTCAGCCACCCAAGTAGCTGGGATTACAGGCATGAGCCACCATGCCTGGCTAAGAAAAGGATATTTTAAAGCACAGGACTTGATGACTGATTAGATATTAAGGGACATGGCTGGGCATGGTGGCTCATGCCTGTAATCCCAGCACTTTGGGAGGCTGAGGCAGGCGGATCATTTGAGGTCAGAGACCAGTCTGGACAACATGGCAAAACCCTGTCTCTACTAAAAACACAAAAATTAGCTGGGCTTGGTGGCACGTGCCTGTAGTCCCGGCTACTTGGGAGGCTGAGGCATGAAAATCGATTGAACCTGGGAGGCGGAGATTGCAGTGAGACTGTGCCACTGCATTCCAGCCTGGGTGACAGAGGGAGACTCTGTCTCAAAAAAAAAAAAGATATTAAAGGACATACAAGTTGCTGTAAGCCCAGTGCCTAGCAGAATCATAGCTTTGCTTTGAGCTCATGTACAAGCAGTTGCACCTTCTGATTAGTAAATAACCTCAGTAGCTTTTTGGTTTCTTGGCATTCATTTAGGTTTTTATTACAACCTCCTTAACCATTCTAAATCCCTGGTGTAGCACGAGTCAAGAGGGTGTCCTATTTGCAATTTTATTTTTCCTATCTTGTTTTGATTGTAAATATAGGAATTCAGCCTTCATTAGGCTCTGTAAAGACCTGAACTACTCCTTTGAGTGCTCAACAGACCATGATAATTATTTTTTAATTCTCATGTTTTAAAAAAGTTTGATATTAAATTATGTTGAAATATGAGAACTGAGTGGTAGTTTGAAAAGTCAGCTGTAACAAATGGCATTTGCAAGTATCGCTATAATATATTCTGACCACCATTTATTTATTTATTTTTAAATTTTTTTCCAACAGGGTCTCACTTAGTTGCCCAGGTTGGAGTGCAGTGGTGTAAATCATAGCTCACTGCAGCCTCAGTCTCCCACGCTCATGCGATCCTTCCACCTCACCCTTCCAAATAGCTGGGACTACAGGCATGTACCACCATGCCTGGCTAATTTTTTATTGTTATTATTTTTAGTAGAGACGAGGTCTTGCTATGTTGCCCAGGCTGGTCTCAAACTCCTGGGCTCAAGCAATCCTCCCACCTAGGCCTCTCAAACTGTTGGGGTTACAGGCGTGAGCCACTGCTCCCAGCCACTGCCACCTTTTAGTCATCCAGGAGATAGCGAATGTGAGTAAATGGCATGCCAAGTTTTTGACACCTTTTCTTTCGGCATTCTCTGGAGAGCAGGCAAGATAAATCATATTCCTATTGCCCATCAGTTGAAGGGCAGGGGCAAGCAGTGGCCACCCATTCTCAGGCTGGAGTTCTAGATTGCATGGCTGATCACCTATTCTGAGGCCGGTATTCTCATAAGCATTTGTGGAGGGGTGTGCCAATATCCAGGTGCCAACTAGTCAAAATCAGCCAAGATCTCTGAGTAAAATTTATTTTAAAACCTTTGAAGTTAGTAATCCAAACTGAAGAAAGACTCGTTGTTTCTCCTGAGGAATATGCCAAAAGCAGAGGGAGGCAGTGTAGTACCTTGGCTAGAGCTGGAGATGAGGACCCAGGAGATCTGGGGTCAGGCAAGACCTCTTCCTTGAGCTGCAGACTCGCATCTCCAACTGCCTGGTGAGCATTTTTGTTGAAATGTACCAAAGGCACCTCAAATTCAAAGTGTCTCAAATGACCCATAATCCTCCCTTCTCCCATTCCTGCTGTTCTAAGTTAACAAGGGTTAATGAGAGGCTGGGGGCTCCTCAGAAGAAATAAAATTTCCTCAGTGGATTTCTTTCGATGAGGTCAACAGGTTTTGTGTCTGGTCCTGTCATTCTCTTACTTGCTGGTGTTATTACTGCATGGTTATGTTTTCTCCAGTTAATGTTCATTTTTTTACCTGGCTCTTTTTCTGAACTCACCTTGAATAGCTTAAAGCCTTATTGGAAGTGCTTCTTCCCTCGTCTGCTCCTTCCTCCTACCCTCCTCCATCTCTTTCCTTCCTCCTGTAGTAAGTCCAAGGGTCTTCTTCATCAGGTAGGGCCTCTGCGTCTTCTGTCTCAATTGGTGATGAATAACCAGGCTCTTGAGCCTTTCTGAGGATAAGTGCTGCTTTGGGTGCATAAAGCAAAATTGGGCTCCGGTATAATGAGGGCTGTGGGTAGCTAGGGTGTAGCAGCTATTTTGCTAATAGGGAAGCCTGGTCTGAAGGAGGCCTTCTGGTCAAACAAAGTAGCATATTTGTTAGAAACACTGACTCTAAACCTAGACTGCCAGGGTTTCCAACTTTGCTCTAGTACTTACTAGTTGTGTAATATAAGGCAGGTTTCTTAATCACTCTGTACCCGCATTGTAATTTTTTTTTTTTTTGGACATAAAGTATGAGGTAATGGTAGTACTGACCTCAATTTCTTGTGAGCATTAAATGGGTTAAAACATCTAAAGTGCTTCTTAGAACCATGTTCAGTACACTTGAACACTTAATAAAAGTTTTAAACATTTAATGATATAATTGTTATTATTATGAATTGAATTTGAAACCCATCAGTGAGAATCAAAGTGACACTAACAAGCATTTCAAGTTTTTTTTTGTTATAAAATGGGCCTCATAATAAATATTTCTTGAAATGAATTGGCCTTCCTGTGGTACACTTTCTCATAGTTATTAACTGGTTTGTTAATGGGAAATAGACCATTCTTTCCCTCTCTCATACTGATTTGTGATCAGCTATTTAATTGTCATTCACACCAGAGTTTATAGTCACTGATGGAAGCGATTGTTTCTTACCTATTTGTTTTTCTTTTCTTTTTAAGTTACTTTTCACCTGAGAATTTTACCCATTGTTTTATCTTCAGTATCTAACTTAGTGCTTTGAACATGTGCTCAAAAATATGTGCTCAAACATTTTTAAAATGTAAAATGAATGAATTCTGGCAAGAACTAAGCTGATAAATTAAAGATATTAACTTCTTTAGCTGGTTTGTGTCTTTCTAGAAAAAATGACTCCACCCTCTTTTCTGACATCCTCCCTTTCTCCACCTTCACATCACCATTTGGCATTTGCACATCCTCTCTGTGAAGCTCTGTAGCAGCAGTAAATACTGAAAAATGAACATAGGCTTTTGTCTCAAAAGCTGCCCTGATAAGAGAAAATCAAACACTTTTGATTTTCTCTCCCTGACTGTGTTCACTTTCCCCTCCCTGACTGTGTGTGGCTTATAAAGTGCCCCTAACGTTGGAAGAATGTTACTCTGGTCTTGGAGAGCTATTTAGATACCATTTCAGACTCCTGAGTTGCATAGGCACAATTAAGATTTCCCTTCTTACAGGAATCTGACTGTTTGATGAGCACAAAGCCTGGTGAGATCACTGTGGTTTGCCCTTTAGTCTGTCCGAAGTTGGCAATCATTTGAGATAATTTTATAACGTTTTCAACTTTTCTCTGTTCCTTGATTGTGTTTCTTTATAGAAGATTATTGCTTTGGATTTGGAGGCCACTGCTTTCCTAGAATGGGGAAGGGATATATGAGAGAAGAATACATGAACCAGATTAACAGTTTGTTTATTACTATCAAAGCCAACATCTGAGCACCTAGTGTGTTTATTCTCAGGGTGAGTGAGAGAGCCCAGGTGGAAAGAGAGGGAAAAATAATAATAATAATGGCAGTGGCAGCTAACACTTTGTGCACTGATAATTTTAACTGCTTTATAGGTAGCAGCTTATCCTGTGACATGGGTTTTTCATTGGTCCCGTTTTAAGGATGATGAAACTGAGGCACAGGGAGCATAAGTAACTTGTTCAAATTCCCACAGTGAGGGAGGAGTGGAGCCTCAATTTGAATCTAGGCAGTCTTCCTCCGAGTCCAGGCTCTTAACCACTAAGCTGGGGCTGTGCCCTTACTTTGGAAGCTAGTGGTCCTCAGTCTCCTCAGCCCTCCACTTTGAAAGCCTCATTGGCAGTAAATCTCTATGGGGGTAGTTGGTGGGGATCAGTACGATAATGTTCACTGAACTAAAATTAACCAATATAGGTATAGTTGAAATTATTTAACACAGAAAGATTTATGTGTGCCTTGTAACTCTATCATGGGTTCAGAAAAACTGAGGCATGCCAAAGCAATCCAGCTAAGCAAGGATTGTTTCCTGCATTTAACTTATTCACTGAAATACTCGGACACAGAGCCGGTCACAGTTTCTTAGGAGACCAATGAATCTGCAAAAGGAAGATGGTCACTTTGCCTTTCATACTCTTTAATGTTAGCATGCCAACAGCTGAAGTGAACCGACCCTGATGGGTTTGTAAGCATGGAAGGGAGAGCTTTGGGGTTTTGCCCCATTAAAAAAAATTATTATGCTTTAAGTTCTGTGATACACGCGCAGAACGTGCCAGTTTGTTACATAGGTATACACGTGTTTGGCCCATTTTTTAACTGTCTTACTTGGGAGATTGCCTTGCCTTATGGAGAGACAGACCTAGCTCTGTCTTCTTAAGAAGGAATGTCGGCTGTGCTAGTGGATGAAGGTTGCCACCAGTTGATGGGATGTGGCTTTTTTCCTATCTAAATAGTTAACACCATTTCCATCATCTGAGGATTGAATAGTTTTGTCTCAGGGTTAAATCATGAAGTGATGATGGGAAGAAATAGATCTAAGGCAAAGTGACAGCAGAGGCAGTTATCTCTGAAGAACCTCAAGGTAGATGGTGGACACCAAAGCTTTCTCAGGATCAGTGCCTCTCCTTACTGCCATCCCAGCATCTGCTATGCACTTGGTAGCTATAGCAGGGTGTGACTGGGAACTAGCCCTGAGAGTGGGCCCTGATCCTACTACCAGAATGGCTGATTTCTTACAAGTCAACTCCAGAAAATGAAAAAAAAAAAAGAATGGCTGATTTCTAGTCTTAGCACTGCTCTTAGTTGTATAAAGACATGCTCTTCACTACTGTCTGTACTAAACCCTTTTCCCTCTGCATCACTGTCATCTGTTCTTGTTCATTGAGTAATGACACAATCATAAGCACCAAGGACTTTGCCGTAGGATAAAGAAGACAAGGTCTTAACATCTCAGAATTACAATCTAAACATAAATGTGTCATAAGGTAAGAACATAAAAAGTCATGTGAACATATATATGAAATACAGGTTATACACACGCACACTTATAACAAAGTATAGATACATAGGCTATATGGAAAGAATCCTCAACTAGGACCCGAAAGGTTATCCAAACTCTACTCCTGATTGACCATGTAAGTTTGGAAAAACCACTTTATTGTCTATTGCGTTTGGTTTACGAACCTACTGAGGCAGGTTAAATTATCTCTATTGTCCTTCCCAACTCCAAAATTATATCATTCTAGGATGTATTTGAATTGACCCTGACTCATGGTTGTGTGGAAGCTAATTACTGTAGTCAGATAATAAAAAATTGTAATGAAAACGTAGGTATGGTTGAAATTATTTAACACAGAAAGATTTGTGTGTCTTGTAACTCTACTTCTGGGTGAACCACTGTTGCAATTTTTAAAATAAAAAATTTTTAAAGAAATCCTTTGCATTAGCTACAGAGCTCTGAAACTCAACAAACTGCCAGAATCTAACTTACTTTTCCATTCCTGACTGTGTTCACATTTTCATCTGCTTGGCAAGGGCAGTGGTCAACTGGGCTTTTGTTTCCGTCGGTTTCACTCTCTGGTGACCTGGTACCATTCCTATGCCTGTATTTTCTTGTTCTAAGTACTTCAGGAGAAGATCTCAAGCAGAGATTTTCTTTAGGGCTAGAAAAACCATGGCAGTATAGTTTCTTTATCTCAGGTTTTGTGTTACTCTGTTTCGGTTCCCTTTTTCCCATCTTTCACTTTAAAAAAAAAAAAAAAGCCAAATTTGGGACTTATACTAAAATGACTGCTTTTTCAATTATGATGTTTCTCAAAAGCCTTGGAGCCAGTAGAGGTGGGAATATTCCTGCAGGCTAAGAACAAGTGAGGTCACCAGGACATGGTCTCTTGCTGAATTTATGATTCACCCTTCAGCAAGATTAGTCAGTACAAAGAAGTTGCTAAAATAGGTCACAGAAAATTGATTTTATATGGTCGTATAGTTTCCATTGGTTACATTATTGAATGTTGGCCTGTGGCAGCTATTTGGAAACCCAATATGCCTCATTGACAGCCCACATTCTGATTCATAACACTTCTCTATGGGAACCTTTAAATCAAAATGTCTGATATTTTTTCCTGGTTGTCCTATTAATTTTTTTTTCTTTTTGGCTAAGGAAAACTATGGTTACTAATTTTATAAACTGCTAAAGTTTTCTTTCTAAAACACAAATCTTTTCATGTCACTTTGTTCTCAAAAGTGAACCATAGTTCCCCATTTCTTACAAAATCAAGTGTAAACTTTATAAAGCATCCAGGTATCTTCCCAACCTTATCACCCATACCTTCTTGCTTTTGAACCTTTTTGCCATTTTTGAAAGTGCCATGTGCTTTCAAGCTCCTGGGCCTTTGCTGTCTCTTCATCCCAGAATACTTTCCCTGCCCTTTTCACTTTCCAAAAATCCTCCATTATTTTTCAAGGGCCAATTCAAATCCCACATCCTCCCTGGGACCTTTCCAGATTTTTCTCAATTAAAATTCTTTTTTTTTTCTTCCCTTTCACTTTATGTTCCCATGGCACATTTTACTCTGCTGTGCACGATAGATAATTGCTTGTCCATCCATCTCCCACACCAGATTGGAAGTCCTTTGAAGATACCAACTGTATTGTAGAAAACTGTACTGTACCAAGCATGAACACATGGAAGGTTGAATTCTGTGTATTGGTGCTTAAAAATCAGGACAGAATAGTGATGTTTTGTTTTTTATTCAGAATGGAAGGGGCTACTCTTTCCTTTCTCCTTAGTTACAGCTTGATTCAAGTTGAATGAAGTTTGTTATTATTAATACTGTCAGTAAGAGCTATCACTTAATGAGCGATAATTTTATGCCCAGCTCTGTGCTAAGAAGTGTTCATTATCTTAGTTAATACTCACAACAGTTTAACATAATAGATGATATTATCCTGATTCTACAAATGAGGAAACTGAGGCTTAGAGAAGATGACCTCATCCAAGCCTATGCAGCTAGTATGTGGCAGGGCTAGGATTCTAAGCCAAGTCTAACTCCAAGACTGCACATAACCACTGTGTTAAACCGCTTCTCCAGCCTGAGGAAGGCTAGGACTCATTCCCTCCACCACAAATAAAACACAGTGTGATCTAGATTTAAAGTCTGGAGGTTGGAGTTCCACTCTCAACTTGCCCACTTTGTGGTATAACCTTGGCCAAGTCATTTTGCTTCCTGGAACCTCTTTCCAAATGTGTTCAGTCAGTCAGAATGCTTTCAGAAGCAAGTAACAAAATACTCAACCAAAAGTGGCACAAATAGTAAGGCCAAAATATCACTGTAATTTTTCTTTTATCTGACAGATAACTATTGAGCACTTAGTGAATGTCGAGGACTTATGCAATAAACACTTCACAGGATACCCAGGGGTAGGTGGTCTTGGGGTCATCCAGGACCTACAGGCTTTCCATCTTTTTGCTTTGTTTTCCTTGGTATATTGGTGATTTCTCTTCTCTCCCATCATTGGTACAAAGTGGCTACAGCTGCCCCAAGGATCATTTTAAAAAACATTTTCCTAACTTCCCAAATGTGTTAGGATCATTTTCTTAAATACCAACAGTAAAAACCAGGAAGAGAGAGAGCAGGGCATCTCTTCTGGGTCTTTTTTTCCAGAGGCTCCCAATAGCACCCGCTCCTTGGCCAGAACTGGGTCACATGTCCACCCCTAAGGCAATCTCTGGCAAAGGAAAATAGGATTACTGTGATTGGATTAAACAAATTATTATTCTTTTTACAGGGCAGGGGAGAGGCCATCTTTCCTGAGCATATTGCCCCCATACCTGAACAAAATTAGGGTTCTGTTAATGAAGGCAGCTGATAGGTTTTGCCTTACATGTGGATGTGCTAGTGGGATTTCTAGGATCTCTTCCAGCTCTAAGTCTCTATAATTCTGTAGGCTGCATCAAGAAATTGTAATGGAATGCCATTTATGCCTAAAATCCAGCAGCCTAAGTATGGGAGGGTCTTTTATATTTAATTCCTATAGATTAGATATATAGAGCCAAAAGCTCACCATGGCAAAGAATAAGCATGGTTTGAAAGGTGATGTTTGGAATTGTTTCCTGGGTCCAAAACCTCAACAGAGGCTAAGGCTTGCCCTCATCACAGAAGACAGAAAATCTCTGCTTTTAAAAAGTTGGATCTGTGATCTCCTAGTCAGGTTCACACTTGAGAAAAATTGGCCAGGAATGTATTGACTTATGCTCTATCACTGTTGCCCATAGCAAAGAACTGGATGGAAGAGATCCCTAAACTGGTATATCTAGTTAATGTTAATATGTAGCCAGATATGTTACAGGTCTGTTTCCACTAGAGCTGACATAGGTAATCTTTTTCCTAGGTTTATGAAGGGAAAATGAATGGAATATCCTCTTTTTACCCAAAAAGAAAGTCTCCAAAGTAGCCATAGAAAAGACTAGTTCATTTCTACCAGAACAAATTTGTTAATAAAAATATCTGTGGAATACCATCTGTGTACTCCACTGGCCAACACTGTACGAGGGCCTGTGGAGCATATTAAATATGTGCAAGACACAGTCCAGCTTTGATTCCTGTAGTATCACTCTCTTCATGTTCTTTGCTATGGACATGTGTGGCAGTGTCATGATTAGTGTGCCCCGATGTGCCTGTAATGAGGAGAACAAAGACCTAAAATTAGTTCATTTTTTCCGTTTGTTTCTGGCTTGAACATAGTCGAGTACTATAATATGAAACAAATTGACTTGGAAAACTGTATTTTATTAACCAGGAATGCAAAGAAAAGAGTGATGATTGTGACTCAGAATGCCAGAGGAGTCTTCATTGAGGAAAGGCTATTTCAGCTGAGCTTTGAGGATTGAGCACAAAGTCAAGGTGGAAAGAACACAGCGTATGTATGAGATGGTCAGGAGGCTAACCTAGAACAGGGGTACATTTTGGAGTAGTGAGCTGAGACTTTGGAGGACCTTCAAAGCCATATGAATAGACTTACTGTGATATATTTGGCAAGAAGCAACCACACATGTCTTGAGACTCAAGATTAAAAGGGTATTTAATAAGAAATATGGAAGTTGGTGGGGTGAAAGTGGTGATAGGGTAGCAGGGACCCTCCTTTTCAGTGGCTTTATGTGTCCATGTAAAGGGACGTCAGCTGGAATAGCACTCTTGGCCTCCGTCCATCCCTTTGCACACCCCACCCATGAGAAGGAGGAGTGACTTATTGGCAAGTTTAGGAGAGGAACCAGGTAATTCAGCTGCTGTCCTAAGAGCACTAATTCTGGTCCGCTCCCCCAGATCTGCTCCTCCATGCCATCAGCCCTTCATGGGCAGTTTCCCAGGAGGGGAGGCCTCTGGCTATCCAGTGATGCTTGTGACTCAGAGGTAAGTCTCTGAAATCCTGGGGTTCAATTTGCTGCTACGCAACTAAGTTGCATCCTCCAACTGTCTGATGTTTTGATCCCCATGTATCTGACCACCCTCTGTCTATCTCAATTGGTTCAAAAGTTGGGTGAGGAAAAGGAAGGCTCTTCAGTGGGTCTCCTCAGGCCCCAACAGTGCATGGAATGATTGGTAGGTGGAAAGAACTAAGGGATGGAAACCAATCAGAAGGTCTGCCAGGCGTCATGATGTGTGATGAGGACTCAGATTAGTGTTGAGGACTCAGATTAGTGTGATAGTGGCAATAAAGAGAAAGTGGGACTTGTGAAAAGGAAAAGAAAGGCTGTAATTGGGGATAGATGGAGGATAATGGATGAAGGAAAGGGAAAATCTAAGTGAAGGCCCACCATCTGGAATGCTCTTTACCCCTTCCTGCCGTCTCTGAATATCAATTCTATCCTGTCTTCAAAGTCTACCTCAGATACCACCTCCTTCTCAAGACTTTTAAGAACTTCCCAGGCAAAAGCCCTCTCTTTCTTCTCTTGCGTGTTAGAAGGCTCTGAGTACTTTATGCTGCATATTGCAGATACTTTGGGGCCCATCTTTTCTCCACTATGGGCTATAAACTCTGTTGACACGATCTGTGTCTGATTGGTTTGGTATCTCCACAGATTGTAGCAAAGTCCTTTGCTGATACAGTCAACAATATTTATGGAGCTAGCCTCTGGTATTCAGGAAGGAGAGAGATATCAAGGTTCCTGTTCTCAGGAGGAGAGAGTTCTTTGAAGGAAATAAAGCAAGAGGTGTGATGGAGAACGATTGAGGGGCTCTTTAACCTGAGTGTTTAAGGGATGGCTTCACTGAGGACAGCACTTTTGAGGTGAAAAATTGAGAGAGGCAAATAAGGTATTGGAGCTGGGGAGAGAAGCCCCAGACAGAGAACATGGCAACTCAGAGGCCTCGGAGCTAGAATGTGCTTGGCTTGTTCAAGGAACATAAGAGAGGATTGTGGCTGGAGCGAGACAAGGGTTATAAGATGATATGAGATGAGGCCAGAGCAATAGCCAGAGGCCAGGTCATGTGGACCAGGAAGAAGAGGCGTTGTAAGCACATGGAATCTGAAGGAAGAAGACGGGTTCAGCCATAAGGGGGTAGGTCAAGCAAATAATTTTTTAATAGACACAGTAAACCTTGGGATATTGGAAGATGGAGAAAAGGAGGTTAGTAGAGAGAGAATTGCAACATATTATAGAGGAATGGATTCTAGAGAAGTAGGAAGGAATTTGTTAACAGAGTAGAGGTGGAAGGGTCTGCTATAGCAAGGAAGCAAAATGTTTCTTCTTTTGATACTAAAAGGCTGAAACAGAAAACATCTGTTGAACACTTACATAGTGTCAGGCATTGTCCTAAGAGCTACTTATTTCTTCCTCACAACAGTACAGTGAGGTACATACTACTATGATAGCCCCACTTTAAAGATGAGGAAACTGAGACTCAGGTTAAATAATTTGTCAGCGGTCACGTAGGCAGTAAGGGCAGAATTGGGAGTTGAACCTAGGCTGGTTGCTCCAGCAACTGTGGCCTTAACCACTGGGCTCTGTGGCACTTCTACAGGACATGGGTTAGTATGATGTTGAAGTGAAGCCAAGCATCTTATATATACAAGAGCTCCCTACAGTGCACAGAGAAAGAGACCGTGGAATTAGGTGTTTGAGGAAAGTGAAGATGGTATGGAAATACTGTTCTGGGGATTGTGTTTCAGACCCACTGAAGTGAATAAAAGAATAGATTATCAGGATTAAAGATATGATAGAAGGTGAGCAATATGAATTTGTATTTGCTGGGGTTAGCATTTCTATCTCTTGCTCAAGAAAGCTAGATTTAAATAGAGAATATAGATGATGGTGTGATCCAGAATTGGTGATTAAATCGGAGAAGTAAGAGAAAATGAGTTTTAGCTACTGACCACAGGATCTTGAGAAGCTAGGAGTCCAGTGAAACAGGGAAGAGGTTGTAAGGGGTAAGGTGGAAGAGTTTTGTGATTGAAGGCCCTCATGAAGATGGAGTGGAAGGCAGGTGAGGTGGACTGAGAAAAATGCCTGTGTAAAGAATGAAGGAGGACCAGGTTGGAATTGATAAGAACTTTATTATGGAGAGTTCTAAAAGGTCTAGGATATTACTGTTGTGGAAGACAGAATTTGTCTCTAGAGTCAAAGAGGGTAAGGAACTGTGTTGTCAGGATGCTAAAACCAGAGGGCAAATGCATAACTCATATTATTACCTACCACAGCAACACCCCAGTGTTCTTTCCCGCTGAGTCCGCATGTGTCTCAGCATCTTTCTCAGTGCAGAGTTCCAGGAAGTCAATAGCAGTCAATGAAAATTGATTTTTGTCTTTGCTTTAGACAGTGCCACAAGGGGTTGTTACTCGAGACCAAGGGTGGGTGGAGCTGACAGTAGGGCAGTGTATAACAGGTGAAGTTTAGTAGTCCCCCTGGAATTAGAGTCGGTGGCTAGAGTGGAATCTTGAAACCTAGAGGTTGTAACTAACCTTGGAGAAGTGTGCAGCCTTAGAGGAGGGAGTAGGGCTGGTAGGTGTTTGAATGGTTCTCAGGAAGTCTAACCACATTCTCTCATGCTCTAGGCTGTCAGTGCAGTGCTGGCAGCACCTGGGCCAGAGCCATTAGGTGAGGTTGAACCAAGTAGCATGCTGTCTGGAAAGCTGGAAATGGGGCCTAAAAGACAAGAGAAAGTAGCAGTTGAATACAGATTATTTGTATTGGCCATAAGTGAAGACAAGCCAAATCAAAGGAATATCTTTGTTCTGAAGTGATACTTCTTTTCTTTTATCTTGAGCTAATCAATTATATTGATGGAGGGCGAGTGTAGTGGCTCACACCTGTAATTCCAGCACTTTGGAAGGCCAAGGCAATAGGATTGCTTGAGCCCAGGAGTTTGAGACCAGTCTGGGCAACATAGCGAGGCCCTGTCTCTACAAAAAAAAAAAAAAAAAAAAAATTAGCTGGGCATGGTTGGCACACGCCTGTAGTCCCAGCTACTCAGGAAGCTGAGGTGGAAGGATCCCTTGAGCCTGGGAGGTTGATGCTGCCGTGAGCCATGATCATGCCACTGCACTTCAGCTTGGTCAACAGAGCAAGACCCTGTCTGAAAAAAAAAAAACAAAAAAATTTGTAATGATGGAGAAGTCTATATTCAAGTAATTTACCACAATCAAATTGTAAGGACCTTAAGAACTTCTGTACCTTCATGTCTGCAACAAAGCTTAGTGCCCTGCTTTGCACGTAGTTGGTGCTCCATAAATGTGGGTCAAATTGCTTTGCTTCCTTGTCTTTGAGCCTATATAACAGTTGTAAACCCTGTTTCCTGACTTCCAGATAATATCATTTATCCTTTCAGCTTACTATAGCCTGGATAGCCTGTAGAGAAACTGAAAAGAAAGATGATCCAGTGAAAGAAATGTCATAGATCTGCTAAACTTTGACAGAGAAGCAGTCCGGGTGAGCCTGTCTAGGACAGAGTGTTATACTGCAGTCTTACGAGTACTCCATCCACTTTCTGCTCTGGCTTCTTTTCACATTGATTAATCTTATTATAATAAGTGTTTCATTTAAATTTTCCTAGATAATTTTGATATGGAATATTGGCACCACATGGCTTTTGAGTTCTTTGAAAACATTAAAATGTTGCACTTTGTCTTTCATTCCAACTATTGCCTGATCTTCAGAATCCTATTCCTGTGGGTTCATTCATTATTCTGACCCGGGCAGCCCAGACTGAAAGGTAAAGTGGGTTACCTAAACATTTCATTTATTGTGATCTGGAACATGGTATTTTTTTTTTTTTTTTTTGAGACGGAGTCTCGCTCTGTTGCCCAGGCTGGAGTGCAGTGGCCCAATCTCGGCTCACTGCAAGCTCCACCTCCCAGGTTCACGCCATTCTCCTGCCTCAGCTTCCCGAGTAGCTGGGACTACAGGTGCCTGCCACCACACCCGGCTAATTTTTTTGGTATTTTTAGTAGAGACGGGGTTTCACTGTGTTAGCCAGGATGGTCTCGATCTCCTGACCTTGTGATCCGCCCACCTCAGCCTCCCAAAGTGGTGGGATTACAGGCATGAGCCACACCGCACCCGGCCAGAACATGGTATTTTTTAAAAAGGCAAAATTTTATAAAGTAACCAAAATGAAAGCACATTAATAGTCAATAATTATATATGCTAACATATGTGAACATACCTAATTACTTTATCTGAATGTATTTATTAAAATATCTAAAGGGTTCATAGCAAACAGTATACAGTCTGGGCAGGAGAATTTTGTGGGTGCTAGGGTGCAGAAGTGGAAATTTTTTTCCTTTTACATTTCTTACTGATTTGGGGAATAATTTTTATTATAAAATTTAATAAGTATTTGATGAGCATGAAATAGTATTTGAAATATAAGGCAAAAATGACTCTGAGTCGTCATAAGGGTATAGACATAGAGCCATGAGGGTTCAGAGGAGGACAGTTGTTTTCAACTAGAAGGGATGAAGAAAGCCTTCAGGAATGGATGAGATTTTATCCTAGCCCTCAAGTATGAGGAGAACTTGGACAAGCAGAGACGAAGGAAGATCTAGGTGGGGGACTGTGGAGAAAAATGCATGAAGGTCAGGAGTGGGTGAGCCATGGACATGGTGATTTGGTCAGCTGATGGAAAGATGGTGGAGTTAAGAGTGGCAGCACTGTGTGAGGGGTTCCTGAGGAAATTTATGATGGAGGGGTCAGGCTAATATACTCTGAACCCCCTAATTATCTTAACATCCGTAGAAGTGGGACAACCACCTGTGACATATTCTTACAAAAACAAAACAGAAACAAAACCAAAAAGCCACCAAGAACCAAAACACAAAAAACCTCACTGAACCTTGAGGTCCAAGTAGCAGTTGACAGAAAACATGGGAAACAGGAACATTGAAGTAATTCTGTGAAGATACACTCAGCCAAATCCAGAATGTGGGAAATTCTACAGGATAAATGAACCAGCTTCTTCAAGAAATACATGGCATGAAAAAAAGGAGGAAGAGAGAACTGTTATAGATTTAAAAAGACTTAAAAGACATGTCAACAAAATCAACATATGAACTCATTCAAACAAACTATGTATATTAAAGAAATGTGCCCAGGCGCAGTGGCTCATGCCTGTTACCCCAGCACTTTGGGAGGCCGAGGTGGGTGGGTCACCTGAGGTCAGGAATTTGAGACCAGCCTGACCAACATGGTGAAACTCTGTCTCTACTAAAAATACAAAAACCAGCTGGGTGTGGTGGCACACGCCTGTAATCCCAGCTACTCGGGAGGCTGAGACAGGAGAATTGCTTGAACCTGGGAGGTGGAGGTTGCAGTGAGCCGAGATCACTCAAGCCTGGGCAACAGAGCAAGACTCCGTCTCAAAAAAAAAAAAGAAATATTTGAGACAACCTGGGAAAATTAGACACAGACTGGGTATTAGATAAGGAATTATTAATTTTGTTGGGTGTGAAAAAAGTATCGTATATATTTTAAAGATCTTATCTGTTAGACTAGAAATATACCCTGAAGTATTTACAGGTGAAATAAAACAAATGTCTGTGATTTGCTTTCAAACATACCAGCAAGAAAAACAAATAAAAAACAAGAGTTGGAGAGGGGTAAGAGGGATGAAAGAAGAATGGCAGAAATTTGCGATTTTTAAAACTGAACAATGAGTACCTGGCATTCATCTTACTCTTCTACATGCTTTTCAAGTGTGTTTGAAACTTTCTGTAATGAAATGTTGAAGGCCAAGCTAAGGAGTATGGACTTTACTGTTTGGCACCCAGAAACCTGTGAAGAGTGTTAGCCTGAGGAGGGACGTGAGAGGGACTGTGAGATACCCAGAGAGTTTAGCCTGGCAACAGTGGGTGAAGTGGCCAGGAAGGAGGAGGACTCAACCTTGATGAAGGTGGCCATGAGGATGGAAACTTTTTTGAGAACAGATAGAGGAAATAGTGGCAAAAGAGGAACTCTTTGGTGTGTTGGCAGTAGAGAAGTGAATCAGGTGCATGACAGGGAAAATTCCCTTCTTCCTCTTCAGTAAGTAGCATTTATTGTCCTGAAACCACTGCACTGGATACTGTAAAGACGAGGAGGAGAAGGAAAAGGGGATCTTCACTGAGGAGGAACAGAACCAAGTCTTTGTATTAGCCACAGTAGAAAGCAATGGAGAAATAGTTCTGTTTTTTTTTTTTTCTTTTTCATGGGGAATTTGTCTTGTGGTTTCAGTATGAAATTCATGGGTACAGTGATTTGTTTTGCTCACCTTTCTCTGTTTTCTTTGGGGAAATGGTGATACTCTGTCCGTGATCCTATCTGGATCATTTGTGATATTAGATAATTTACTCATTTGCAAAATAAATTATATTACAGTTGACTCTTGAATAACTTGGGTTAGGTGTGCTAATCCCCCATGCCATAAAAAATCCATGTTTAGGCCAGGCGTGGTGGCTCACGCCTGTAATCCCAGCACTTTGGGAGGCCGAGGCGGGCGGATCACAAGGTCAGGAGATTGAGACCATCCTGGTTAACATGGCGAAACCCCGTCTGTACTAAAAATACAAAAAATTAGCTGGGCGTGGTGGCTGGTGCCTGTAGTCCCAGCTACTTGGGAGGCTGAGGCAGGAGAATGGCATGAACTTGGGAGGCGGAGCTGGCAGTAAGCCGAGATCATGCCACTGCACTCCAGCCTGGGCGACAGAGCGAGACTCCGTCTCAAAAAAAAAAAAAAAAAATCCATGTTTAATATTTGACTCCCCCAAAACTTTATTAATAGCCTACTGTTGACCAGAAACCTTACTGATAACATGAACAGTCAATTAACACATATTTTGTATGTTATATGTATTATATACTGTATTCTTACAATAGAGTAAGGCAGAGAAAAGAAAACGTTATTAAGAAAATCAGGCCGGGCGCGGTGGCTCATGCCTGTAATCCCAGCACTTTGGGAGGCCGAGGCAAGCAGATCACGAGGTCAGGAGTTTTGACACCAGCCTGGCCAACATGGTGAAACCCTGTCTCTACTAAAAATACAAAAATAAGCCGGGCATGGTGGCAGGCACCTCTAATCCCAGCTACTCAGGAGGCTGAGGCAGGAGAATTGCCTGAACCTGGGAGGCGGAGGTTGCAGTGAGCCAAGATCGTGCCATTACACTTCAGCCTGTGGGACAAGAGCAAGACTTCGTCTCAAAAAAAAAAAAAAAAAGAAAATCAATGCTGGACACAGTGGCTCACACCTATGATCCCAGCACTTTGGCAGGCCAAGGTGAGAGGGTTGCTTGAAGCCAGGAGTTTGAGACCAGCCTGGGCAACATAGCAAGACTCTGTCTCTATAAAAAATTAAAAAATGAACCAGGTGTGGTAGTGCATACCTGTAGTCCCAGCCACTCTGGAGACTGATCTTGGAGGATTGCTTGAGCTCAAGAGTTCAAAGCTGCAGTGAGCTATGTTTGTACCACTGCTGTCCAGCCTGGGTGACAGAGTGAGACCCCGTCTTGAGAAAGAAAGAAAAGGAAGGAGGGAGCGAGGGAGGGGGGGAGCGAGGGGGGGAGTGAGGGAGGGAGGGAGGGAGGAACGAAGGAAGGAAGGAAGGAAATAAATAAATCACAAACAGGCTGACAGGTGCACCATGGTGGCCATAGCCATCTCCATAAAATAAGTAAATAATCAGAAGGATGAGAAAATATATTTACTATTCATTAAGTGGAAGTAGGTTATAAAAGTCTTCATTTTCTTCATCTTCATGCTCAATAGGCTGAGGAGGAAGAGAAGGGGCTGGTCTTCCTATCTCAGGCGTGGCAGAGGTAGAAGAAAATCCAGGTATAAGTGGACCTGCACTGTTCAAACCCATGCTTTTCAAGAGTCAACTGTATTCATCTGTGATGATATTCATTTATGAAGTCAAACACTTTCACTTCATTATTATATGATATTATTCATTTATCAAATTAGTCATTGTGAGATTTTATTATTTATGAAATTGAATACTTTAAAAGAATATGTGTGGGGTTAATTAAATGAGTTGATATGATATGGCCCAGAGAAACAAAAAGTGAACTATGGTAAATTAATGAAAATTTAGATTTAAATACATAGCTTCTGATTTGTCAGTAGCAAAAATATTAAAAATAAACTTCAGTCTGGGTGCAGTGGCTCACACCTATAATCCAAGCACTTTGGGAGGCCAAAGTGGGAGGACTGTTTGAAGCCAGGAGTTCAAGACCAGCTGGGGCAACAGAGTAAGATTCCTTCTCTACAAAGAAATAAAAAAATAAGCCAGGTATCATGATGTGCGCCTGTACTCCCAGCTACTTAGGAGGCTGAGGCAGGAGAATTGTTTGAACCTCTAGGAGTTCAAGGCTGCAGTGAGCTATGATTGTGCCACTGTACTCCAGCCTTGGTGACAGTGCAAGACCCTGTCTCAAATAAATAAACTTCAGATCCAGTAGAAAGAATTGTTAGAGATTAAAGAGAGATGGTAGTTCTCTAGCCCTTTATGATCAGATATATAACTTTTATATCATACACAATATATTAATAAGGTATGATATAGACAGATCCTCCAGAGAGGAATGGATACTCCAGAAAATAGCTTCCTGATCACCTTTGCTATTTTTCTTCTTGTTTTTCTTTTCTTTTTTTCTTTTTTTTTTTTTTGAGATGGAGTCTCTCTCTGTTGCCCAGGCTGTAGTGCAGTGGCGTAATCTCGGCTCACTGTAACCTCTGCCTCCTGGGTTCAAGTGATTCTCCTGCCTTAGCCTCCCGAGTAGCTGGGATTACAGGCACACACCACCACACCCGACTAATTTTTGTATTTTTAGTAGAGATGGGGTTTCTCCATGTTGGACGAGGCTGGTCTCAAACTCGACCTCAGGTGATCCACCCGCCTGAGCCTCCCAAAGTGCTGGGATTACAGGTGTAAGCCACCGTGCCCGGCCGATTCTTATTTTTCAAAAAATTACATGACAAACAGCAGCCTGTAAGAATACACCATTTCCCCAGCCTTGGCAATATGGTGAAACCCTGTCTCTATTAAAAATATACAAAAATTAGCCAGGTGTGGTGGCATGTACCTGTATTCTCAGCTGGCTGGGAGGCTGAGGTGAGAGGATTGCTTGAGCCTGGGAGGTCAAGGCTGCAGTGAGTCATGATAACGCCATTGCACTCCAGTCTGGGTGACAGAGTAAAACCTTGTTTCAAAAAATAAAAATAAATAAAAGGCCATTTCCTAGGATTCTAGGATTCACAGTTTTTATTTTCTGTTTCAATTTAATGTACCACTTAAAGAGGGCTGAAGCTGAGTTGGGAGAACAGAGATAGGAAATGTTGCTTAGTGAGTGGGGAAAAAATGTTGGTACCCAGTGCATTTTTTCTTCTTCTGCATCTAGAAGGTGAGGGAACCTTGAAGATTCCCTCGCCGGTCTTCTCATTCAGTCCACCCAAGCTGGCACCTGCCACCCTAGCTCATATAGTTAGAAAGAAGTGAGGTTTTAGCCAGGCTTGCTGCTGGTTTGGGCCCAATTAAAGTAGAATTTTTAATTCCTGGGAGCTGTTATTAAAAGCTCACAGGGAGATAAGAAGAGGGGAGGAAAATTCCTAGCTAAAAGCAGGAGAGGTGGTTTTTATTTTACTCAGCAGACTCAGCTGAGCCTTTGGGTCACAGTAGGGATGGGGATAGAGGGACACATAGTTTTAAGTCTTATTGTGGAAAAGATTGAACTATCATCAGTGCTTGATGGAAATGAGATCAGGAGAGGTGGCAGCAGTGTCGCTAACAGCACTGCCTCCCTTATTGCATTATCAGAAGAGAAAGATAACCTGCAAATAGGCATCCATTATCTCTTTCTACAAAGGGATTAGTGTGGGTTGCAAGAAATTAATGGCTTTTGAGTTACCACAGAAATACTAATGAATGTCAGGACCAGAGATGTAAAGCAGGTAAAACTGGCTTTTCTCAGCCTCATTTCTCTCCTTTTCTCTTTTGGTTTGCTATTTTAAGATCTAGACCTGTATTACTCTTTTTTTCTTTAGTCAAAAGCAGAAATCTTTAGCCAAAAGCAGAAATCATACCCTTTGGCAGTATGATTTATCTTTTTTAGGGAATGTCTCAATTAGTTTATGACTGTCTCCAATGTGTGTTGGCAAAGAGATTGAGAAACATTTCAGAAATTAAAGTCTCTACCAGGGAGGAGATGATTGACATCCTTCACATGGATGTCATTTTCTTTCTTTCTTTTTTTTTTTTTTTCTGAGACGGCGTTTCACTCTTGTTACCCAGGCTGGAGTGCAATGGCATGATCTCAGCTCACTGCAACTTCCGCCTCCTGGGTTCAAGTGATTCTCCTGCCTCAGCCTCCCAAGTAGCTGGGATTACAGGCGCATGCCACCACACCCAGCTAATTTTTGTATTTTTAGTAGAGATGGGTTTCGCCATGTTGGCCAGGCTGGTCTCGAACTCCTGACCTCAGGTGATCCACCCTCCTCGGCTTCCCAAAGTGCTGGGATTACAGGCGTGAGCCACTGCGCCTGACTGGATGTCATTTTCATGTCTGATAAGAATGTCAGGAAATCTCTCAAGTGATAATCCCCTTTTATTAAGTACTAAACTAGTATATATTGCAGCTAATCATTGATTACGGATGGCATGACTTGTAAAACAGAGGGGAAGGGAGAAAAGAAGATAGGAGGGGAATTATACCTACTATGTGCTGAGCATTGTGCTAGGTACCTTATTTCTAATTCAACAAGTACTTATTAAGTACCTACTATGTACAAGGCAATGTTCAATGTTCTGTGGTCTAAGAATGAAAAGACAGATCTTACCCTTGCCCTTAGTGGAACTGATTGTCCAGCAGGAAAGACAGCCTTAAAAAAAATTTAAGACTTATTTTATTTGTTCAGACATGTAAATAAGCTATTATAATATAGCCTGAACTAAGAGCCCATGATAGAAGAATAATTTAGTAGTGATACCTGATACTGACTCAGGCATGCATGCATGTGTGTAGGCGAGGTTGGGGAATCAGGACAGACTCTCTGAAAGAGGGTAAGTGTGCAGTTGCTGATTGAAGCCTGTGGAAGGAGCATTGCAAGCTCAGGGGACAGCATAAGCACAGTCAGGCTCAGAGAGAAAACGGCCATCTAAGCAGAGACCTAAAAAGTGAACTAGTCGAGTCAAGCTTGGATCTCTGATTACTAGACAGAAGGCCCATGAACTGGCCTGGAGGGCTGCTGAAGGTTTCTGAGAAATGAGAGTTTGTGAGCAGCACATTTTATGCTCGCTCCTATTCATTGACCCTTCCTCGCTTTACCAACCTGAGGGAAGATAAAAGTATTAGCAGGGAGTTAGGTCCAGTGGCGGAAGGCACGTTCTCTCTTGTGTATTTGGTACTGTTAGGTTGGTGCAAAAGTAATTGCGGTTTTTACCGTTAAAAGTAATGGTAAAAACCGCAATTACTTTTGCACCACCCTAATAGACTGTTACCTAGAAAACATGGAACCCTGGCAAAGCGTGATTGGTTCCTAGATTCACAAGGCATAACTAGTCACAGTTGTTCCAGTATTTCTGTTTTCTACACAGACCTCTGCATCTCACGTTGATGTTGCACGCTCCGTTGATGTTGCACGTTCCATGCCCCATACTTATTCTTGTACATGTGATTCCACCCTAGTTCTAGTTTTTATTTTTATTTTACTTTTAAGACAGAGTCTTGCTGTGTCACTCAGGCTGGAGTACAGTGGCATGATTATGGCTCACTGCAGCTCCAACCTCCAGGCTGAAGTGATCCTCCTACCTCAGCCTCCTGAGTAGCTAGGGCTACAGGCATGTGCCACCATGCCCAGCTAATTTTTTAATTTTTTATAGAGACGGGCTCTCACTATGTTGCCTAGGTTGGTCTTGAACTCCTGGGCTCAAGCAATCCCTCCCACCTTGGCCTCCCAAAATGCTGGGATTAGAAGTGTGTGCCACCGCACCCAGCCTCCTAGTTACAGTTTTTAGACTCGAGATTTCCCCGGCTATTTCTTGCCAGTTAGGTACCATCGTGGGATTCTACTACTTTTATTTTGTTTAATTTGAACCAGAAGACTGTCAGTCCCTGATCTGTGTGGTTTCTTGTGCCCTGATCTGTGTGGTTTCTTGTGCCTGCCTTCTTATAACTAATTCTAATCAATACTTTGCCTCTCTTTTCCTTTCTAGAACACAAGCAGACATTCCCAAACATTCTAAAGAAGGGTTACCTGGAGATTAGAAAGGACCATGACAGTTACTGGCAAAGCTGTTATGCAGAACTTTCACCTTACAACTTATACTTCTACAGCCTCGACAGCAGTGGGAATCAAAACCTTTATGCCACGTACCAGCTTTCACACTTCCAGAGCATATCTGTTTTAGGCAACCTGGAGGCCAGGATGGTGGATACTGTTTTGTATGACAACACTCAGCTACAGCTAAAGGCAGAGTCACCATGGGAGGCTTTGGACTGGGGACAGAAGCTTTGGGAAGTAGTGCATGCTGCTGTGCCCGGTTACATGGGGCGGCAGAATGAGCTGACAATCTCACCAGGGCTTGGCCATCATGATGACTATACACAGAATCATAGTTTCCAGAAGAAAACCAGTGGGCTGCTGCCACCGTCCCCTGTCCTGGACAGCTCCAAACAGTACCAAAACATCCTCAAATCAGGGACTCTCTACAGGCTGACTGTCCAAAACAACTGGAAGGCATTTACATTTGTGCTGAGCAGGGCTTACCTTATGGCTTTTCAGCCTGGCAAGCTAGACGAGGATCCACTGTTGAGCTACAACGTGGACGTGTGTCTGGCTGTCCAGATGGACAACCTGGATGGCTGCGACTCTTGCTTTCAAGTCATTTTCCCCCAGGATGTCCTTCGCCTCCGAGCTGAGACCCGACAGAGGGCTCAGGAATGGATGGAGGCTCTGAAGATAGCTGCCAATGTGGCGAGGAGTTCAGAGCAAAACCTGCAAGTCACACTGAGGAACAAACCCAAGGATCAAATGGGTGGGCATGAACTCAGGAAGAACAAACGCCAATCTGTGACTACCAGCTTCCTGAGCATTTTGACGACTTTGTCTTTGGAACGAGGACTCACTGCTCAGAGTTTCAAATGTGCAGGTATGAAGCAGATTTTCAGCCTATAGCTCATTAAAGAACAATCCTGAACCCCACAATTGGAATTCACTTTAAAAATCCCCTTAATAGGCTAGTCACAGCTATCTCCTGTTTATAAAAAGTATCTCTCCTCGAGAAGCTTACTGTATTAAAACATCCTATATTAAATTACTATATTAAAACATAAGGACAACCATCTTTATCCCATGCTGTTGAAGTAAATAGAAGCAGCTATGATATATCCTGTTGAATCAAAATGATTTGGCTAAAGCTTAACCAGACTAGAATTTAGGTTTCCTGAGTCGGCTGTGATTCCATTCCCTCTGCTTTCTTGAATAAAGGTCACTGTGAATATGGATGTCACAAATTGTCTCATAAGAAACATTCAAGTCCAAAGCTGACTACTAAAACTCCTTAGGCAAGGAAAATGGCCACAGTCAGTAACTGTCATTGATCTTGACCTTGTCAAATCGTCTTAAGGTGAAATCTAGAAAATCAGTCTTGACAGAAAATGTGGGGGTGGCTAAAAGCGGAGTAAATGATGATTCAGCAGATGACCACTGAGTCACTATGGGCTTATGCCCATCATGGGGAAGCCCAGGCCTTCTGGAACTGCTATGTAAGGATGAGATGCAAAGTGGAGTTTGAGGTCAACAATCTTATTTTGTAAAAGCTTGTTACTTCATCTTTCCTCTACTCCCCATTCTTTCCACCTTTCCTGAAACAGTAAAATTACCAAAAAAAAAAAAAAAAATTGTGCCAGGTGCAGTGGCTCACACCTGAAATCCCAGCACTTCGGGAGGCCAAGGCAGGTGGATTACTTGAGGTCAGGAGTTCAAGACCAGCCTGGCCAACATAGTGAAACCCCATCTCTACTAAAAGTGCAAAAATTCGTCAGGCTTGGTGGTGGGTGCTTGTAATCCCAGCTACTCAGGAGGCTGAGGCAGGAGAATCACTTGAACCCAGGAGGCAGAGGTTGCAGTGAGCCAAGATTGAGACTGCACCACTGTACTCCAGCCTGGGCGACAGAGCGACACTCCATCTCAAAAAAAAAAAAAAAAAAAAAAAAAAGCTTTTAAAACCTCACTGAACCCGATCTAGATATCTGTTATAAACTAAATAAAATTATTTTCCTTCCATTAAACCCCACAGTTTGTGACATTAAATTTACCATGAGAATGGCTTTAAATGGAAATCTGATTTGGAAGGTTTTAATTCAAGTCTATTAGGTTTAACATGTTGTTTAAAAATCATCAAGAAGCTCACCACCAGCCAAAACCACATTTAAAATTTTGTCCTTGCTCCTGCATTGAAAAAAGCCAAATAAAGGTGGCCATTGAAAACCCACGTTTTGAACTTAGGTTAGTTATGATGCTAGTCTTTTCTATGGAAAATAAATTACCCAGAGTGAGGACTGAGTGAATCATCCTTGCTTTGACTCAAGGGCCTCAGTGATTGTGGACCAGAAACTTGCAGAGTGGGATCAGAGAGACCAGAAACACTGAGCCAGTTAAGAAGCTCTACTAGACTGGGCGCGGTGGCTCACACCTGTAATCCCAGCACTTTGGGAGGCCGAGGCGGGCGGATCACAAGGTCAGGAGTTCGAGACCAGCCTGGCCAATATGGTGAAACCCCGTCTCTACTAAAAATACAAAATTAGCCGGGTGTGGTGGTGGGCGCCTGTAATCCCAGCTACTCGGGAGGCTGAGCAGGAGAATCGCTTGAACCTGGGAGGCGGAGGTTTCAGTGAGCTGAGATTGCACCACTGCACTCCAGCCTGGTTGACAGAGTGAGACTCCATCTCAAAAAAAAAAAAAAGAAGCTCTACTAGTTTATATATATGTATCTGTAGGTATGAAAGACCTGTGTTAAGTCACCCAGATACTTTTGGAAAATGGTTTTGAAATGATGAGATACTAGTTTTAGCAGTTTTTTAAAAAAATAGAAATTACTGACATTTCAGTGTCTTATACTAGTACATATATTTTTAAGTTCAGACATTCAATAATAATTTACTAAGTGCTTACTCTGGACATCCTGGAATTATGGTACACTTCCGTGGCTTTAGATTACAGACGTGGTCAGCAAATCTGTTGTGTTATTGGAGTAAGGAAGAACAGCTCAGCTTAGTTCTCAAGATGTGGAGATTGGAGTAGCTGAATCAAGAAACTTTCTAGTAAAAGAGGGAAGAAAAGCCTCAGGTATTTCACAAGAGGTATTGCCTAATTCACCTCCCTCTCAGAAGTGTGCCTTCTGATGGAGTGTGCACTGCCCATGCTCTGCACTGCATTCGTAGCATTCCTGACACTCAAGAGGAAGGAGAAATGTAGGTAAGAAGGTGCCATTCAGCAAGCTCATTCGCATCCGGCAGCTGGAGAAATGAAATCAGGAAAAAAAGAAAAGTGAGCAAAAGAAGGAGAAGGAAGCTGAGTAGAAAAGAACAGGAAACGTATTATTATAATATAATGGGCAGGAATAGAAATTTCTGGCAGCTGCCTTAGTTAGGTTCCATATGATAGGATGCTTCCCTTTGCTGTCTAAATTTTGTGCTCACGAAATTTGGCTTGTGGAGGATAGGTTGGGTAAGGGTAGTAGTACGGAATCAGGGGAGGAAGGCAGTCTAAAATTTATTTGCACTGCTTGACTTTTAACTTTGTGCTTTGGTTCGGAGTTTTAACGAACGGGGCAGAGAGAGACAGGTTTCTAATTTGGGACAGGGAGAAGTCAGTCTTATTTTGTATAGTGTGGCACATTCCAAAAAAAAAGAAAAGAAAGAAAAGCTGTTCCATTTATATGCCCTTTCTTCCCTCAGAAAGTGCTGCATTCAGTTGCTTTGTGATACTTGTGGTTTACCAGGTTGTTTTTCATACCAGCACTTGAACTCTGGTTTTCTTTCTTTTTTTTCTTTTTTTTTGAGATGGAGTTTCGCTCTCGTTGCCCAGGTTGGAGTGCAATGGCATGATCTCGGCTCACTGCAACCTCCGCCTCCTGGGTTCAAGTGATTCTCCTGCCTCAGCCTCCTGAGTAGCTGGGATTACAGGCATGCGCCACCACGCCTGGCTAATTTTGTACTTTTAGTAGAGATGAGGGTTTCTCCATGTTGGTCAGGCTGGTCTCAAACTCCCGACCTCAGGTGATCCGCTTGCCTCAGCCTCCCAAAGTGCTGGGATTACAGGCGTAAGCCACCGCCTGTGCCAGGCTGAACTCTGGTTTTCTAGGTAAGAATACTTTATTTCCTGATCTCCTGTAGGGGGCAGAGTCTCAAAAGAAAAAGGCCAAAACCTGTTAAGCAAACTTCTGAATGTTTTTTAAATTACCTGGGAGACTGTTCATTATATCAGAGATTATTATAGCAGATGGAACGTTAAAAATTGATCTGTGTTTCTCACAAACACAGTTAATCTAAACCAGCTGCTTCTTCCTTTTGTACCTATGTCTTCTAACTTTGCATCCTCATAAAAACACACCTTCAGTGAAAAAGCTGGTGGCATAGCATGTTGATCTTCCAAAATGCCAAAAACTTCAGCACATTGTTTTTGATGAGTTTTGGCTTTACGTATTATTTTAAGGAGAGGCTAATTCACTGTATTTCATGGTTTTAGTGTGCCCCTTTATAAGTTTTTATGTCTACTTAGTTCTTCCCCCTTTAAATAGTTTGGATGAATAAACTTTAGAAGTGGAAGATTGTATGGAGTAGCTCTTTGTTATGATGTCATTTACTTGCTATTCAGGGGAGCCACAAATGTTGGCTTTTAAATCTACAAAATAGTGCAATTGGCCTTATTTCATTAAATTATTTCTGTAAGTGAAGAATTTTCTATATCCTTCTTTAAAATTTAAACAGCCCTGCAGAAAAAAATGGACCATGGTTATGCAAAAATGCCTGAGGTTATGGTTTTAAAAATATATGCTGATACATAACGGTATATTTCTTAAATGTGTACTTGATTTTTGATAGTTGTATCTGATTATGTGTGACTGTTCCGTGGCTTCTTCTGCAGCTCCAGGGTTGCACTGAGCTTAGGAAGCCCCAGCCATAGTGGTCTTCTTTTTTTTTTTTTTTTTTTGAGACGGAGTCTCGCCCTGTTGCCCAGGCTGGAGTGCAGTGTTATGATCTCGGCTCACTGCAACCTCCGCCTCCTGGGTTCAAGTGATTCTCTTGCCTCATCCTTCCTTGTAGCTGGGATTACAGGCGTGTGCCACCAGGCCCGGCTAATTTTTGTATTTTTAGTAGAGACGGGGTTTTGCCATGTTGGTCAAGCTGGTCTCGAACTCCTGACCTCATGATCCACCGCCCCCCCGCCCCCCGGCCTCCCAAAGTGCTGGGATGACAGGCGTAAGCCACTGTGCCCAGCCTTATAGTGGTCTTCTTGCTGTTCCTGGAACCTACTATTATCATGCCTACCTCTAGGACCCTTACACTTGCTAGTTCTACTTCTTGAAATTTGAAAACTTAGTTGTTTCATTCATTCTGTCATTTATTGTGTGCCCAGAAACTTGGATGCACCTAGATGGGTCAGTGCTGGAGGAAAGCAGACATGGTCCTTGCCTTCATGAAATTTGCAGTCCACTAGGGAAGACATGAATCAAATAATCACATCAGTGAATGTCAAAAGGCAGCTGTGACAATTGCTACAGATGTGACGCCCATGCATTGGGTTAGAGAACTCTCAGAGATGGTGCCAGGTAGAACTATGTGAAATTGCAGATTTTTCAGTCATTTTTGACCTATAAAAGTAAAGACAGTTCAGATTACATTTTATGTTTGACCCTGAAGTCACAGAAGGTTCTTGAGCAGAGAAGCACATGATGGGAATGGTATGTAGGAACAGTTAATTTGGTGGTACAGCTTTTCGGGGACACCTGTAGCAGCAAATGAGGCATGCTTCTTCGGTGAAATTACTGGTTGAGGTTTAAAATTGTGTTTGGCAATGGGGAATCTGTGGTGCTATAGTATTAATGCTAAAACAAATGACTATACAGCTTATTAAAATATTTATGAAGTGTGTACCTGTATGTGATTCTATATTAGGTTATTCACAAAATGCCATATAAATTAGATTAAGGCAATAGCTCTTTTTTTTTTTTTAGTTAAAAAAAGTTTTAATTGACACAATATACATCTTTATGGGGTACATAGTGATATTGCAATACATATGTATAGTGATCAGATCAGGGTAATTAGCATATCCATTATCTCAAACATTTATCATTTCTTTGTGTTGGGAACATTCAGTATCTCCCTTCTAGGTATTTGAAACTACGTATTATTGTTAACTATAGTCATCCTATAGTGCTATTGAACACTAGAACTTATTCCTCCTATCTAAGCAGCTCTGTTTTCTTTAGGAATTTGACATTTGTACCTACCTATTTGCACTTAATAGATACATAGTTTTCTTGGCACTAGCACACACAGATATTTTTCCTATAATTTCCTAGCAATCAAGAAACCTTGCAATTGAGTACTATAATAAAAGGGCCCAAGGACTTGTTTCTGAGTGTGACAAGAGATGCAAAGCTCACCTTTGGAAGTGTTCCTTGTATGACTGTTTTGTAATCTGGAGATGAAATTGGATGGCCCACTGTAGGGCAGTGTTCCCAATTCTGAACTGAATTTGAACATGTTAACAGCAAAGACAGCAAGAAAAACAGTGAGCCTGGGGGATCCCCTACACCATTTTCACTGTGTCAGATTTTATGGTTTTACTCCTTGGCTGCTGTTTAACCTCTTGGGACTGCTGTTGGTAATTACATCTCTCTGGCATTAAGAGCTTTTTTGCTTTTCTTTTTTTCCCTCCAACCCTTGGGAGGGGTAAACCCAAGAGGTGGTGGGGAGAAGTTTTGCTGTGAATTCTTCAGCCATTTAGTGCAAATTCCTGTAATTACCGGCATTGTGTCTTCTCTGAATGGCACATAATACAGCAGAAGCCATTCCTAATTGAGACCTTACAGGAGGTACAAATCCCCTCTTTGTTCAGCCTGACAAATTAGTGCCAGAAAGTGGCAGGGTCTGAGTGGGAATCAAAGGCAAGAAACACAAAGATGGAACTTAAGGCTACAGTAATAACCCTCTCTTGTCCTGGAGGGAAAAAAGTAATGACCAATGAAAAATGAAGTTTTTTTTGTTATAAATTCCCTTGACATGACAGCACCTCGGGGCTGCTCTATTTATTTAGCAAAAGTGATTAAATAGTAATACAACAGGGCTGTCCATTGTTTCCCTGGGTGCCCCCCACCATCACAGACCCCTGCTGCCTGGGCTAATTGATTGACAATGAACCTCTGATAAAGAAGTATGTTGTTAGGACCTGGGGTGGGGGGTGGGGGGGCATTTTCCTCCTCTTTGTGTGTTTGAGAGAGAGAGAGTTTCATTTTTGTTTGAATTGCACTCTAGTTTTTCTTTGCCCCACCCTACCTCCTCTTTCCTCTCCTCTCTCTCCTCTCCCCTGCCTTATTTTCCTCCCTGCATTTTTTCCCCCAAAGCTTTTCAGCGGTTGCTCCCAGCTATCATTCACAAACAGGTAGAGGGCAATTAGAATTGTAGGACAGGCTTTTGATGAGTTTATCTTTGTAGCTAACTTCCTCTCCCCGTACTCTGTTTAAGCCTGAACAGCAGTATGAGAAGAAAGAAAAAGAGAAGGGGGCTGATTATTGGTGCTTTAAGGGCAGAAAAGTTGTGCTTTTTAGTTCTTTATTTGTGGGAATGGATGTCTGAAACTAGCCTTTGCACTAAGATTTTATCTTAAATTCCTTGCTCAACTTTAGAAAAAAATCTATGTACTAATAACATTTATATGCTTAGTGGGGGGAGTTGTGGAATAAGAAATAAAAACTCAAATTTTTAGCCTCCCCTTAGTAACCAAGAAGCCAAGATTAATTACCCGAGGATAAAATCTGGCTGCTTTTGGTGTAACTTAGTCCTCCAAGGATGCTGTAAGTTGTGGGAAGATGACCAAAGGATTCTAGGCAGATAATTAATAGCTCCTAGTTATATATGCTCAACTAGCTAAGCTGAAGCTAAATCCCTAATTTAACTCTGTTACAGCTGCAAAAACAAATCATTTCAAGCTCCTATGAAAGCAAAATATATTAAACAAACATTATTGACCTTGCTAATACCACATGGCATTTCATATGATAAATGAGGACGTATTTCTGGCAAAGGCCTGTTTTATGGCATCATTTAGACATAAAGGATACCTTTACCCTAGCAATACAAGCATCCTTGATAGAAAGTATGGGGTGGTTAATTACTCATTAAATGGCTGCCAGTCTGGAAGTAAGCAGTATTTCTGGGTTGGACCTAGTTAGTTACTTATTGGCTTCTGGGTAAATCATGTAGAATAGCAATTCTTAAGAAAAAGGGAAATCGAATTTGGGAACTTCTTATGAATGTGAGTCTAGGTAAAGAAAGATCTGTTGGTCTCT
Source organism: Homo sapiens (assembly GCF_000001405.40). NCBI lineage: Eukaryota > Metazoa > Chordata > Mammalia > Primates > Hominidae > Homo > Homo sapiens. The sequence goes on along the minus strand of NC_000002.12, from coordinate 207,969,222 downwards.
AAGTGCCCAGAAGGGTCATTGTGTATTACGCTCTTGAAAAACAAGAAGTTCTAAGGTAGCCAAAATCTGTTTTCATTCCCATGTGAAAAATTGGGGGGTCCTTTAGTAGCCAAAGAGCCAGATCTTCTAAGGAACTGAGAGGTGGAAATAAGGAAATTGACTTTCCTTGATATCTCCAATTATCATCTTTACTACTATTTTCAAATTTGTCTCCCACTTAGAAGTAATAAGGTGAAGATTTATTAGAGTTAGGGAATAGGTATGTAGCTAATTGGGGGAGGAAAAGACAATGAAGGAAAACTCAGATATGACCCTTCCCCAAACATATAAACAACTTGGATACATGAGAAATGTTTAGCGTATTGTTGCCTTCTTATGTTGTATTGTCTAAGTCATTTTCTTATTGAGTGTTTTGGATTGTTGTCTCCCAGAGGAGAAATCCCTAGGTATTTGTGTGCGATAAAGGGCTAAATTTTATTTTTCCAACTTTGAATATAACTGTGGAGGGCTTGCTTATAGTAGAGTCCTTAGGTGAAGTTTTAGTTGGGAGTTTTCAAACCCCTCTTTGTGTGCTACACCCACTCTGACAGGCACCTTGGGATATGCAAATAAGAATGAGGTGCAGGTTGTGCTCTTCAAATACTTATAGAAACACCCAGCCTCCCAAGGCTATGGAGGGCTTGAAGGGAATGAGCTGAAGAATGGGATGGGGTGACCAAGGGTCAAGCCATCATGGCCAGTGGCTTGGAGACCATTAACATCCCTGTCTCTGCTCATGTCAGAGAATCTGTACTAGAGAATTTGAAAGCTAAAGAGCTAAAGTGGCCCCCCACCCCCAACCCCACTTTAAACTTTGTCGTTAGTTCCCACAGAATTTAACTCAGGGAAAATCTCCTTGGCTTTTGCTACCATCTATCAAAGATAAAACTTTCTGTTGTGTGTTCATGCTGTAGTAGGTGCTCTGGGAGATACAAGAGGAAGTGTAGTTGTGGTCTGTAACTCCCAGGACTTTATAGTCTGAGGGCACACAAAAGAAATTGAGGAATACTAGAGAAGTAGGTCAGGTCTGTGCTATATAGCACTTAGTGTTCAGGAAAGCATTTGGCAAAGCCCTCAAAACAATGCACATACTACAATCTCTGTTAACTTGGGTTATCAGAGATTGTAGTATGTGCATTGTTTTGTGAATAATTTGCAGTTTTACTCAAGGATTGTTGTCTAATGGTTCCCTCTCAGTCTAGAAGTTTGTCAGTAAAGGTACACAATAATAATGAGAAGCAGAATAATTTAGTAATTAAGAGCAAGGATTCTGGAGCCAGACTGCTTGGGTTTCTGGTTCTACTCACCAGCTGTGCGACCCTAGGTAAACTACTTAACCTCTCCGTACCTCCACTGTTTGATCAGATGTAAGAAAATAATCACATCTGCCTTATTAGTTTGTAGTGAGAATAAATTGAGTTAAAGGACTTAGAATGCTGCCTGGCACATAGTAAATGTCATATGAGGCTAGCTGTTATTATTAGGTTTGTGCAAAAGTAATTTGCGGTTCTTGCCCTTACTTTTAATGGCAAAAGCCGCTATAACTTTTGCACCAACCTAATGGTATTTGCTCACTTACAACTATAATTACCTGGATAAAGATACTATAGGCATACTTATCAAATTTGCAGCTATCACAAAACTAGTTTGGAGAGCTAATATGCGGAATGACAGAATTGAGATTCTGAAACGTTAAGCTAGAGGATGGATCAAAACAAACAAGATGAGATTTAGTAGGGAGAAATAGTCCTCTATTTATATTCAGAAAATTAACCACAAAGATAGAAGGTAGAGAAAACCTGAGCTAACAGCAGCCCATGTGGGCATACAAATGAGGCAGCCGTGAAGCCAGCATTTGTGTTGCTATGGCTACATGAAAACCATTTACAAGATTGGTGCAGTAGCTCATGTCAATAATCTCAGCATTTTGGGAGGCTGAAGTGGGAGGATTGCCTGAGGCCAGGAGTTTGAGACCAGCCTGAGCAACATAGCAAGACCCTGTCTCCACCAAAAAATAAAAAATAAAAAAAATAGCCCAGCCTGGTGGCTGATGCCTGTAGTAGTCCCAGCTGTGCAGGAGACTGAGGTAAAAGGATTATTTGAGCCCAGGAGTTCCAGGCTGCGGTGAGCTATAATCATGACACTGCACTTCAGCCTGGGTGACAGAGTGAGATCCTGTCTAAAAAAATAAAAATAAAAGAAAGAAAAGGAAAGCTTTTACAAAACAGATCCATAAAGAAGAGGTAATATTCTTGCTGCACTCTGCCCTGGCCAGACCATATCTGGAAACTTCAGTTATGTATGCTGTTCTTTAAGAATACACATCCTAGGCTGGGTGCGGGGTGGCTCACGCCTGTAATCCCAGCACTTTGGGAGGCCGAGGTGGGTGGATCACGAGGTCAGGAGATCGAGACCAGCCCGGCCAACATGGTGAAACCCCATCTCTACTAGACATAAAAAAAAATTAGCCGGGCATGGTGGCAGGCACCTGTAGTCCCAGCTACTCGGGAGGCTGAGGTAGGAGAACCTCTTGAACCCGGGAGGTGGAGGTTGCAGCGAGCCAAGATTGAGCCACTGTACTCCAGCCTGGGCGACAGAGGGAGACTCCGTCTCAAAAAAAAAGAAAAAATACTCATCCACATCTATTGATGTGTGATAGTGAAGGAGCTAAAAACCGTAGCATGCAAATCAATGTAACCTAGAATAGGGAAGACACAAGTATTATCCCCTCATGTTTGAAGGCTGTCACTTAGAGGAGAAAAGAGGGTTACTATGTGTAATCCTGTTGGGCCAAGGTAACAAAAATATGCAGAGTGGATTGTATTTTTTCTTATTTAAGAAAACTTGATGGCCATGGGTGAAAATGAGTAGAATGGCAAGAGGCCTGGAATTTTGACCTTAAGACAAGTCATTTAACTTGTCTGATTTAGAATTTTCTCATCTGCAGGATAGAGATTTATTCATTCAGCCTTTCTGCAAATGTTTATGGAAGCCTTACTATGTGCTAAGCACTATGCTTTCTGCAGAGTGAACAAGGCAATCAGTCTCATTTTGTGTCCTTACAGAATTTGAAAACTGGAAGCCAGACAAATAAATAAGTAATTATAACACACAGTTGAACTCAAAGGTCTTAGACTTTCCTTCCAACTCTTCCACCTCTGTCTGGCATATTTTAGAGGGACTGACTTTGCTCTGTGTGGTTCCTTTTATCTCTCATTTTGTGATCCTTTGAATGTCTATAGAGGGTTAGAGAAAATGAGATTAATGTGGTCCTTCATTTAAACTTTATTTAATAAGTAATACGTTTTTCCTTTGGGGAAGAGAACTTAAACTAGTAGAAATATCAATTGACTAAGGAGACAGGACATGGAAATTCTTTTCCTGGCTCTGATGTCTATCATTAAATAAATTACTTTACTTTTTGCAGTCTTAAGTTTCTAGGCCAGGAAATAATTTTAAATAAAAATAAATGTATAAGAAGAATATGAATACATACTAAAGCAGTAATGCGAGTCTATGGAAGAAGAATGTTATATAATTTGTGTTTTAAACTATTTCATATCCTAAAATTCAAAGAGATTTGATCACTTTATATAAGTAGGCCCTTTGATTTTATAGGATATAAATTTGCTTTTTTGATTTATTCCTGGTATTCTCATCATAGAAGTCACATGTTGGTCTTTGATATGTTTCAGAAGAATAAAATCATTTTGAATTTCAGAAGATATAGATCTTTTGATGGACCTTCCTGAACTTCATAGGCCATAGCTGTGCTGTCGTTTTTTTTTTTTTAAGCCGTTCATTTCTCCTAGTCTTTGTTGCTATACTTTGGTCTGGAAAGTTCTTGTCCCTTTTTGTAGCTTCCTTTTTGGTTAACATTGTTCTCATCATGTGTTCATTTCCGGCGTAACTTCTAAAGAGAGTGTTAATGTACCATTGGATTCCACATTGACTTCAAAGTTTTTATTTACTGACCTTTCACTGGGAGAGAAACTGGTGTAGGTACAGTTTTAAGATAAACTTGGGCAGGTTAAGATTCTCCTTAATTTCTAGCTAAGTTCCTTGAAAAACTAAGCTTTTCATGGACCTAAGAATAAAAGCTACTTGAGAGTTTCTAAAATCTATTATACTCCCTGAAGACAGAAACATACTTAAGTGAAAAACTTGCCATTTTAAAATATATCCACTAGGTAAGGAAATCTAGTAATATAGCAGTACCAACTTATTTCTTGCATTAATATTTTCATCTAATCATTTGTACATTCAGCAAACTTGGACCACACACAGTCCCAGAAATTGAGGTGTGGGGGTAAAGTACAGGTTAATTTTGCAGTAGGATAAATGCCTGTATGTATGGCTATCCATCTTTATACCTTGAAATATGTTAACATAAAAAAGTTTTAATTAAATTACAGTAATAAAAACCCAAAGAGCGTGAAACTCCCTCCCTTTTTTCAGGTGAAAAATGGAGCAAGCCTGAAAAGCAGTGAGATCAGGAGGACAGCTGATGTTTGACCATGTTCGTTATGGTTCTGCATTGTACTTTGTTGAAGACTTCTGGGTGTGAAAAATCTTTTACACCCCTAAAGACTTTTTTTGCAAGACTTTATTGACCGCCTTCCCCTCCACCCCTAATTCTAATGCTCCAGATATAATCGAACATTTCTCCTTTGCAGCCTCCCTCCCTCCACTCTCATGGAATCCTGTCATGGGCCTATGACTTTGCGTTTTACTTTTGTGAGGGCAGGGCCCCAGCACCAGTGTGTCTACCCCAGGATCTCTCAAAGTGTGATTTGAGTATCATTTGCATTAGAATCATGAGTATGATTTGGGTAGGGATGACTGGACCCTTCCCCAGACCTGTTGAAATCAGAATCTCTGGGATTTTTAAACAAGCTTTCCTATTGATTTGAGTGCATACGAAGTTTGAGAAACAATGGTTTAGCCCATAGGAGGTTCTTTTTTTTTTTTTGAGACGGAGTCTCACTCTGTCACCCAGGCTGGAGTGCAGTGGCGTGATCTCAGCTCACTGCAACCTCCGCCTCCTGGGTTCAAGTGATTCTCCTGCCTCAGCCTCCTGAGTAGCTGGGACTACAGGCATGTGCCACCACGCCTGGCTAATTTTTGTATTTTTAGTAGAGACGGGGTTTCACCATATTGGCCAGGCTGGTCTCAAACTCCGGACCTCAGGTGATCTGCCGGCCTCAGCCTCCCAAACTGCTGGGATTATAGGCGTGAGCCACCATGCCCAGCCAGGATGTTCTTAGTGAATGAGTCAACCCATACTTGAGTTTTCTCTAGTTTATATAGGCACATTTCCTTTAACTATTTCTTCTATATATGTTCAATATGTTAGCCATTGGGGTATCAATCTGCTGAAACATCTCCAGGTTTCCATGTTTTCTTTACATTCTGGAAATGTCAATGATGTTCTAACAGGGTCTACCTGGTGGCTAGTATAAAGAAAGGAAGGAGTTAGCCCGAATTCTTTACCTACATTCCAGCTTCCTTTTTAATACATCCTAATATCATGCCTAATTTTTATTTTATACTTGGTAAACATAGTTGGTGTTTGAGTTTTGAGATCTCCTTTACCTCCCTCACTTTATTTGCTGCTGGGTCATCTTTCACCAAGATGACTATAGTGACCTTCTAACCAGTTTTCCTGCTTTCATTCTGACTTTTTCTAAATCTTGTCTCAACTGCAGCAAGCGTGATCTTATTAAAATTCAGATTGACCCCTGATAGTCTTCTCTTTACAATTCTTCAGTGTCTTCCCACTTCTTTTGGAATGAAGACCAGCATCCTTAATGACCCTGCCCACCTCCTCAGTTTCAACTCTGGCCTTCTTGCCACTTTCTCCCTTACACACTGTTCCAGCCACACTGGCTTTCTTCTGTTCCTCAGATGCACCACTTTCTGCTCACCCACCTTAGAGCCTTTGCATATGCAGTTGCTTCCTCAGAGTATTGCCATCCCCAGCACGACCCCCAGCTCATTCTTCAGGCCACTAACGTAAATGTTACTTTCTCAAAAACACCCTCTCCATCCCGGCACACTGACTTAGGACCTATCAGATTCTCTCCACTGTAATGCTTGAACTGCCATCCCAACACCCACCATTAGGTTTCCTACTTTCACCATCTTTTCTAGGAATCCAAGGTTGGAGTCATCTGTAGATACAGTTAACATGTTCCCTATTTAGCAAACCAATTATAATCTTGCAAGTTTCCGGGCACGTCTTTTTTTTTTTTTTTTTAATTTTTGACTATAGGACCTCTTAGAGCCTTTATTCTACTAATGTGAGAGAAAAGTATACAACATTTCCTAACTTACTTAACCATAATACCCTCTCTGCAGGACTGGGTTCCTCAGATATAAGGTACAATCCCCTGCTCTGGGCACTGCACTGTCAGTTTATTTGCACGGTTTATTTGCACATAATCTGTTTCAACTCCAATTAGATACTGCAATACAGTTCTGTCACTGACCACCCGGAATTAGCACAGACCTCACAAATTAAAGGCTCAGCCCTCTACAAGACTGCTCCCACTTCAGATGCCAGTGCAAGTTCAGGGGGTTCCCAGGCCACCTGCACAGTGACTGACTGGCTACAAATTTGAGGGTTCCTACCCCGCCTCAGGTTTGATAATTTGTTAGAACAACTCATAGAACTCAGGAAAATGCTATACATACAATTGCAGTTTTATTATAAACGATAAAAACCAGGAACAGCCAAATGAAGAGACTAGAAGGTAAGGTGTGGGAGGGCCATAAATGCAGCACTTCTGTGCCCTCTGTCTGTGGAATCAGGCTGCATCACCTTCCCATCAAATTGTTATGATCATCAATGAGGAAGCTCCTCTGAGCTTCAGTGTCCTGAGTTTTTACTGGGGCTTCATTATGTAGGTATGATGGATTGAATCATTGGCCATGCAACTGAACTTAATATCCAGCCTCCTTCCCCTTCCTGGAGGTCAGGCTGGCTCAAAGTCCCAACCCTCTAATCATGTGGTTGGTCTTTCTGTTGACCACCCCCCATTCTGAGGCTATTTAGTGGCCCACTATGACTCACCATTAGCATAAACTCAGGTGTGATCTTAGGGGCTCGTGAATAACAAAGATATTCATATCACTTGGGGAAATTCCAAGGGTTTTAGAAGCTCCCTGCCAGAGATCAGGGACAAAGACTAGACAAATTGTTATACAGTAGCCCAGGACATTGAATGGACATTTCCACAGCAAAAATGGAACCTGGATGAAAGGAGGATGAATGATGTGTGTAATTTCCCCCCACAGAATGAGGAAGCTTTGGCCTACTTGCCCTGTTCCCTCATTTCCAGTCAGCTACTTCCAACACTGACAGCATCCACCTGGGGAAGGGAGATTTCTGGTGATATCTTTTTGGGTGCTTCTGGGACCAAGCAGACGAGAAACTGACCAGCTCTGGACTGCTCAGCTTGTCTGCAGCCCTCTCAGAGCCGCAACTCAGAGTGGTGGGACGATGGGCAAGCACACTCAGTGACTCTGTGATCTCCACTATCTAACCCAGATATCCTTCTTAAATCTTGGCTAAAAATAGAAGGTGTTTCTTTCTTAAATGGATATAAAAGCAACCACAGAATTGATTTTATTTATTACCTTTAACTGAAAAAAAATGTCGTACTTACCATATACCACTTCCAGAAGGAAACTAGGATTCTAAAACCTAAGACATATGGGTTTGTATCAATTTCCAAAAGATTGAAAAATCACATTCTAACTAGGTATATATCAGTGTACCAAGGACTGTGCCTTACCCATATTTTTTCTATAAAGGAAGTAAATCATGTAGGGCTGAACCAAAAACTTTGCTGAAAATTGCTTCTCTTTTAAATCAGCAGACTTGTACCTCTGACACAGAGGATTGACTTAGTTTGAGTCTTGGTCTCCTTCTCCATCTTCATCAATAAAGATGTTTTTCTTGAGCCCCAGACCAGACAAAATAATAGACACACATGATGTGGTGGCTGGGAGGCATCCACACTCAGTGGGATAAGTAATAAATTAGGAGCACAAGAGCTTGGTCTTCTGTTTATAGTCCTGCCACTGATTTATTATATGGCCCCGAGCCAGCCTTTTCACAGTCTTGTGGGTCAGCCTCTTCAACACTATTTTGAGGGAAGATTAAACTGTCTTGACTATGTACAATTCAAATGTTAGAAAATATCAGTTGAACCAAAAGTGACATATCCTAATTCAGTAATTAGTACATCACTGCAATTTTTTCCCCCAGAAACTACAGGGAGGCTCCCCAAATGATCTCTTAGATAAAGAGAAGTCGTCTTATGGCCTCATAATGGATGGAAAACCTTTGGGAAAATGATGTTTCTCATCCATTGTTAGGCTAGGGAGTTTTAACTTGAGTAAAAGTTTCCTGATAATGCTAAAGGTTTCCAGGCAGCCCCTTTAGCCCGACTCTCCTGTGTGATCTTCATCTCTCAATAATGTCACCCACCAACATGCATCTGAGTGCCTTTCCCTTTCCTCTCCACTCCCATTATTAGATGCTGTCTGTGTGGGCCACCATCCTTGCAGGAGTTTTACAGGGTTAATAAATGAATAATACCTCTTCTTTCTTATGCCAAGAGGCAGGAAGATGGGGATTAAAATATCACATATATTGCTTCCAGATCACATTTATTATTATAGAGTGGACCCCTAAATTAGATGGACTTACTCACCTGGCCACAGCTGGAGTCCTGAAGGGCATGATGTCCTCTTACCACAGCAGACAGAAACCTGCTTCCTGAAGGCTGTGATGTCCTCTTATCACAGCAGACAGAAACCTGCTTCCTGAAGGCCATGATGTCCTCTTACCACAGCAGACAGAAATCTGCTTCCTGAAGGCCATCATGTCCTCTTATCATAGCAGACAGAAACCTGCTTCCTGAAGGCCAAGCTGAGCATGCCCGGGTCCTTCTTCTTAACTCAGCAGTCAGATACCTAATTTCCCCCATCTGTGAGGAGGGCTGGATAAGGGATGGGGAGAGAAGCTAGGAATATCACTCTAGGGAATTCCCCAGAAGCAGGAGTTCCAGATAATAGGAGTTTTCCACTTGTGTCTTACCTAGTAAGTCTAAATAACCTGATACAAATAGCTTATTGCAAATACTAAATGTATAGTTAAAAGATTAGCTTTGGAGGTAGTCACAAACATGTGCTTCTAAAAAGATAGAAAAGCCTGGAAAGAAGGTGAAAGGGAAAAGAATAAAGGAAGAGAAAATACACCAAGACAGTCCCTAAATCTTGTACAACATAAATAATTTGGTTGGGGTGAAAACGAAGAAATTCAAGCATGGATTTAAAGGAAGCTGATGAAAGTAATCTTTTTCACTTTGAGACTGTTCCTAGCACTACTCGGATCCACTCTTATGACTTTAATTTTATCAAATTGTTATCATTACCAAAATGGCTCAAGTAGAATTACTCTAAGAAATGCTGTCAGGGTTTTTTAGGAGGTTTTAGCAAAGGAGAGGACAGGTTTTGTTTTCAGGATACTGTAAAGTTCAAAGAGATGAGACTCTCCTAAAATATGAGGAAAGAGAAGCAGGCATTAGGAATGGGGAGTGGCATGAAAGAGAAGTCAGAGGGGACCCTGGTAGGACACTGTATGTGATAGAAGCTACAGAGTGGAGGAGACTGATGTAAGAAGCGACTTCTAAATAAATCCAAGCTGGGAGAAAATGTTAGTTCCAGAAACAGTAAGAAAAGACAGGTTGCTTTTCAGGTAACCCCCCAAAATAATCTGAACCTCTAAGCCAATAGGAGGTTCTTGGCCTTTTGAAGCAATCATAAAAGAGAGATGTAACTGGGGAATCACAAAAAGAGAGTTAGTAGTGGTTTAATATAATGCTAAATACCAGGGGAAATCACTGTAGAAAATGTTAAGTGCAGCATACATTGGATTCTCTGTGAGGCAAAAGTGTTCAGAACAGGACTGGGACTAGGGTAAGGTGAGAGAGGCATGTGCTTTGGGTACAGAATTTAAGGAAGTGCTGAAAAACCCTTTGTAATAAAGATTTTAAAAATATGTTAATATGATATTCTTTAAAAATCAAAATTAATGTAAAAAGTCCATGATGAACAAAATATAAAAGCTTAACTAGAGACAGGATTAGAATTCCTGATTTCTCCTTTTGTCTCGGGTTCTAATATGGCTTGGCACTGGTTCAGAGAAACATTCCAGTAAGATAGTTTATTTTATTTTATTATTATTATTATTATTTTTGAGATGGAGTCTCACTCACTCTGTTGCCCAGGCTGAAGTGCAGTGGTGCAATCTCAGCTCACTGCAGCCTCTGCCTCATGGGCTCAAACGATTTTCCTGCCTCAGCCTCCCAAGTGGCTGGGATTATAGGCGTGTGCCACCATGCCTGGCTAATTTTTGTATTTTTAGTAGAGACGGGATTTCATCATGTTGGTCAGGCTGCTGTCGAACTCCGGACCTTAGGTGGTCCGCCCACCTCGGCCTCCCAAAGTGCTGGGATTATAGGCGTGAGCCACCACATCCAGTCAAGAGTTTATTTAATTAGACATCTTCCCCTGAAGCTCTCAGTGCTTCAAGTAGCCCAGCCCAGCATTTGTCTTGTTTCAAGGATGGTGAGATTGACCTTCCTTTCCTGTCTGAGATTGCAGGAGAATATATAGAGAATCCTGGTAGCCCCATGTTGAAAATAGAACTGATAGAGAAAGAGGGAGGTCAACTATGACAAGAAGCATTCTTTCCATCCACCACTACCAGCTTTCATGTCTGAAATCATCAGCTCAGCTGAGCCCTGTTTATGCACTTGTTTTTCAAGTAAGAGTTCTTGGTGAGCAGTGTTTCACCAAGATTAATTTGTGAAGAAAAGAGCCAAGCTTGGAGCAGATGTTACTAGCAGGTAGTCTAGTAGATGATGGTGCCTCTTTTTCATGACACTAATTTAACCTACCAGCATAAATAATTTTTTAAGGTAAGAAAGTAGAACTGGTGAAAGGGCTTTTCCTCCTTCCCGTAATAGATGGTATATCCATTGCTAGCAGAGAAAAGTGATTAAGTAAGATCAGCATATTCATCTCTTATTTTGCCCTCCTGTCTTTCTGTTGTCATAGGGTTTTTCCAACAGTGGCGTTATTGACATATTAGGCCAGATACCTCTTTGTTGTGGAGGGATGTCTTGTGCATTGTAGGATGGTTAGCAATGTTCCTTGCCTTCATCCTTAAGATATCAGTAGCTTACCCACCCATCCTACCAAAAATGTCTGCAGACATTACAAATATCCCCTGTTGGGACAACAATCTCCCTTGGTTGAGAATCGCTGTGCTACCAAAGGTCAAGGCCTACAATGATGTCTTCTTTTCTTCATCTAGCTTTTTCTCACTTCTTTATAAATTAATTAATGTCTTCTGCTGAAATAGATGTTGATTATTTCATACCACATACTTTTTTTTTGTTTTGTTTTTTGAGACAGAGTCTCGCTCTGTCACCTAGGCTGGAGTGCAATGGCACATTCTTGGCTCACTGCAACCTCCGTCTCCTGGGTTCAAGCAATTCTCCTGCCTCAGCCTCCCAAACAGCTGAGATTACAGGCTCCTGCCACCACACCCAACTAATTTTTAGTATTTTTAGTAGAGACAAAGTTTTGCCATGTTGGCCAGGCTGGTCTTGAACTCCTGATCTAATGATCCACCCGCCTCGGCCTCCCAAAGTGCTGGGATTACAGGCGTGAGCCACCGCGCCCAGCCACCACATAATGTTTTATAATCTAAGACCTCTGCATCTTACGTAAATTTAAGTGAAAGTAGTAGGTTATAAAAATAGGACCTTCACCAACCATCATTTGATATCAAGTATATCAAATGCTTTCAGTAGCAACTAACAGAATATACAATTCAAACTGATTTTTACAATAAGGGGGATTATTCTTAATCACCTGAGCTTTAAGCATCAGTAGATCTGGTAGCTCAAATTTTTTGAACTATGTTTTTTGGATTAAATGCTTCAAATAGCATTTTCTCCCCCAAACCACCTGCTCCTTCTAATTGATGGATTTCTCACATGAGTCACAGGCTTGAAACATCATGAGCATCTTTAACAGTCCCTTTGCATGCCCCCAACGTCTGTCAGTTGCCAGATCATCTGCATTTTGTCCCCATGCTATCTCCTTCTCTTTCTTTCTTCCTGTTTCCAAGACCACCACCTAATCAAGTCAAACTGGTGCAGTAACTTATCAACTAGTTCCCTCCCCTTCCAGCTTTTCTTGCTAATTAATCTTTTCAAAGCGTACATTGCAGCTGGGCATGGTAGCTCATGCCTGTAATTCCAGCACTTTGGGAGGCCAGGGCGGGAGGATAGCTTAAGGAAAGGAGTTCAACACCAGCCTTGCACAACATAGCAAGACCCCTGGGTCTCTGCAAAAAAAAAAAAAAAAAAAAAAAAAAAATTTTAATCAGCCAGGTGTGGTGGCATGCACCTGTAACCTTTGATACCCAGGAGGCTGAGGTGGGAGGATCACTTGAGCCCAGGGGGTTGAGGCTGCAATGAGCCATGATTGTACTACTGTACTCCAGGCTGGGTGACAGAGTAAAACCTTGTCTCCAAAATTTAAAAAAAAAAATTTTTTTTTTAAGTTTACTTTGCTACTCTGCTTCAAACTCTGGTTGTTCCTATATCTTTTTTTATTTTTTTTGAGATGGAGTCTCATACCGTTGCCCAAGCTGGAGTGCAATGGTTCAATCTTGGCTCACTGCAACCTCCGCCTCCTGGGTTCAGGTGATTCTCCTGCCTCAGCCTCCCAAGCAGCTGGGACTACAGGCACCCACCACCACGCCCGGCTAATTTTTTTTTGTGTGTATTTGTAGTATAGATGGGGTTTCACCATGTTGGCCAGGCTGGTCTCAAACTCCTGACCTCGTGATCTGCCTGCCTTAGCCTCCCAAAGTGCTATATCTTATTAATTAGGACTTCTCACTCTGAGCACTCAGGATTCTTATGTTCTAGCTTCACTTTATCATTCCAAGCTCTTTTCTTCATACTCCTCTATTTACAATGAGCCTCAGACAACTAGAATATCCAGTGTTTCCAAAGGTGCTTCCATTTTTCTGACTTGAGCCTTTATGAATGAACGTTCCTTTTCCAAAATCTCTTCTCTTCTTCAAGACCCAGCTCAAATGCCCCTGTGTCGACACAGCCTTCCTCGATCTCCACAATAGTGATTGCTTCCTCCTTTCCTCATCTCTTATCTTCTGCTGTTTACTTTATAGATTTGTATTCTTCTTCCCCTCACCCTTCATCTTCAGAGGTGATGCTAATGCCTGTGATGTCCCAGGCTATATTCATTGATGAGCTAAATTATGTTCTTTTATGTAAATTGATTCATAGTTTTTGTCCTTGTTTTGTCATCTGCAGGGGACAGTTTTTCTAATGTCTTACAAAAGGAGATAACTACCTGAAAATGCCACATTGCCACTTTTATTAGGCTCTGCCTTTTAAGCAGCTGTACAACAGTGGACAGAATTACTTTTTCATCTTCTGCCTCAGTTTCTTATTCTGTAAAATGGGCATAATACCTACCTCATAGAATTGGTATGAGGATTAAATGAACAGAGACATACACATGTATTTACATATGTTCGTTTGTGTGTATGTAAAGTAGTTATGACAGTGCCTGGCTTATAGTAAGCCTGTCTTACATAAGGTGTTTGCTTATAATGTGTTTATCCATTTGCTTAGTTCTTATTTATTTATTTTTATTTTTAAATTGCTTACCATTTTCTTGAAAGACTTTGGGGAAAGAACATAGAAGTAAATGAGAAAGTCTAGTCATAGACTGTTAGGAAAAAAACAGGATGAAAAAAATACTAAGTTTAGACTGATTTCAATATACTAGAAGCTGAATTTGTAAGATTTTATTATTAATATTAAACTTATCTTACACCAATAAAAGCACTATTGAAGCATCTTATCCTAAGAAAAATTAAAAGTAACTCAACAACTCAAGTCATGTCTTCGGAAGTGAAAATCTGTATTACAGATCATTATACTTACAACTTTTGGGGTAGATATTTCATAGAAAGCAGTCAGATTCTCTAAAATGGTGTACATATTTACTTACGTGCTTTAGCAAAAATCAAGATTTATTGCCTTTCAAGATAAATTTTGACTAAATATTGACTTTAGGTTCTCAATCATTGTTTACCTGAAAGACCAATAAATCTTGACACTTCTCAACTTGAGTTGGAATCTACTTGGTATTTATTAATTTATTTCACACGATTTATAATCTTAATAACAACATTCCATGAGATTAAATAAACATTGTAGAGTTTAGCAAGTTTATATTTTCAGTCAGCAGTAATTACTTGACATGTGATTTTCACTTCATTTCTTATTTAAATATAGTACCTCTAGCACTGTTAACACAACGTAGGTCCTACATGTCAAAGCTGACTTAGCTATTTAAATATTCAGAGGGGGAAAACCCAAATAACTCTTAATAGCTTATAGAATTGCTTTACATTTTAAACCAATTAGTATTCAGATTGGAGTTTCTAATCTGAATTGATTTTATTTTTTTGGTTGCCTTAGTTCTGCAAGTATAATCTACTAATACATGATTATACGTCATAGATGGCCTCTGTCTTGGACAGTTTATGTCTGTTGGTTTTGATCTCTGTTTCATGCATCTGTCTGTTCTTGTCTCTCTCTCTAGATATAATGTGTATTGAACATTCACTGTGTCTCAGCACAGTACTAATACTTTACAAACATAATATTTGCCATATTGTTGTGTTGACAGGGTTTTTAGAGACAGGGTCTCGTTCTGTCACTTAGGTTGGTGTGCAGTGGTACAATAATAGCTCATTGAACCCTCGAACTCCTGGGCTCAAGGTATTCTCCTGCCTCAGCCTCCAAAGTAGCTGGGATTGCAGGTGCAGACCACCACACCTGGCTAATTTTTTAGAAATTTTTGGAAAAAATGGGGCCTCACTCTATTGCCCAAGCTGGAGTGCCATGGTGCGATCATAGCTCTCTATAACCTCGAACTCCTGGCCACAAGCAATCCTCCCATCTTGGTCTCCAAAAGTACTGGGATTACAGGTGTGAGCCACCAGTGCCTGGCTGGAAATTCTTTGGTTAGGTACATTCAGTGTGTCTAGGAGGAGTTACTTACTTCTATGAGATTCTTAAGGACAGAGCTGTCCTAGCTATAGCAGTAGTCCATTCTACAAGTGCCAGCTGAAGTTAACCTAAATGTGTGTCACCCATGGTAGGAACATGGTTTTTAACATGTCAGCTCTCTGTGCAGTGGAACTTTATTCTTTTTTTTTTTTTTTTGTAGACAGAGTCTTGCTTTGTGGCCCAGGCTGGAGTACAGTGGCACAATCTCAGCTCACTGCAGCCTCTGCCTCCCAGGTTCCAGCAATTCTCCTGCCCCAGGAAAAGCAGGGATTACAGGCATGTAGCTGGGATTACAGGCATGTGCCATCACACCCAGCTAATTTTTGTGTTTTTAGTAGGGGTTTCACCATGCTGTTTTTAGTAGAGGTTTCACCATGTTGGCTAGGCTGGTCTCAAACTCCTGACCCCAAGAGATCTGTCCACCTCAGCCTCCCAAAGGATTATAGGCATGAGCCACCACACCCGGCTTGTGCAGCGGAAATTTATGAGTCAGTTTCAGCCAACAAGGAATGACAATTTCTCATATATAATCTCTCACTGCTATAAAATTTGTAGATGAACATAAAACGAAGCCCATCAGAAAAAAAAAATTCTGATGAACAGAAATGAATTTTTGTGTAGCTTTGGAAACAACCATCAGTACATTTCAGGATTGTATTTGAGCATGTGTATTTCCTCCCAACTGTGAAGTTTTCAACTCCTGGGAAGAGAATTCACTATGAAGGGACTTAAAGGCTTATGGAGAAAATAATTTTGAAGTGTTGCAGTCTAAAGTCCATGAACTCAACCCAAAGACTATCAGCTGCATGCCATACTATCCGCATTAGCAATTACACGTGGCACGCAATTGATTTTTTCCGGATTTCCCCTATTGTTCCTTTAGTTTTATTTGAGATGCTGTGGATACTATTTGCTTTGTAACCGACAGAACGTATACTTAATGGCATGTGCCTGATTCTCCATCCAAATGTTTAATGTCTTAATTGATTTATGGCTAAACAGATAGCTCCTACTTTATGGGTCACCACCTTGTCCCAAAGACAGAATAACTTGGATGCTTGGGATGCAAAAAGTATTGGATCACTGATTTTTGAGTAGATGTTTCTCAGTGTCCCTCACTCTTTACCCCCTTTCTACTTTACAGTTATGTAGAATTCTATAGCTTCAGTTTCACCATGTTAACTTCAGACTACATATGTGTGGTCAGTCTCAAATTTCAGCTCTGTTCCCTCTGACAGTGGAGGATGCAAATATGGGGCCCAGGTTTGCTTTGCCTCTACTTCCTTTAATGGACCTCAAAGCTACATTGCAAAAATTGCTTGTGCCCTGTGTCAAATAATCCTTTCTTTAAACACTGTGCCCAACTTTGTGCTAATCCCAGGGAGGACTTTGAATTGTATACCAAATGTAATACCTTATTTTTTAAAGTACAGGTTCAAAATTTCACTACTTAATGAGCCAATGGTTAGAGACTATAAGCTAGGAAAGCTAAGTTATTTATGACTTTAACCCCTAATCCTTGTAAAATAGCAAGTCCTTGAACCTGCATGTCTATTTTTCTTCATTTTGGGAAATCTGGTCTGAAGAGCATATGATCAAAGTCTAGGCCTTCAAGCAACATTTTACACAGTGCTTACTGCAGCTCACTGTCCCCAGCCAGGAAAATGGAGGGATGGAAGGAGGGACAGGGAAGTCCCCTTGCTCATTCCTGTGGACATCTCTCCCTACTTAGTGCATAAAATAAAAGAGGATGTGAAACTCGCCAGATATTTTTTTCTATTTTTACAGAGAAAACGACAATGTGTCTTCTCACCCTCTTTATCTCTTTTCCTTCCTTTTACAAAGGCACCTTCTTTTCTTTTTTATTTGCCCTTGTTCTTTTCCTAGAGCGTTTCTACCTTCTAAATGCAAAAGACTGGATTTACCTTACTGAATTAGGTAAAAGCTTACTTTAAGAGATGGAAAGTGGGTGGCATAACTGACCACACTTAGCACTGTATGAGGTCCTTCCTTAGTGAGAGAGATTCAGTTGGATCCAGCCACAGCTTTCTCATTCTTCCCTCTTAGCCCATGAGTTTTCCAACTGCTGGTCAGGGAAAGGAGAACTGAAGGTAATAGTCGTAAAGTAGAGAGAAAGTGGCTGGCTCTTCCTCAAGATCGCAGCTTCAGTAACAACAACTGCAGCCAGTTGAGTTAACTAGGTACACTTGTTAGAAGAAAGATGGTGCTTTTGTGGAGAAGTATGCCAAAATTCTGCACAACCCCCAGCAACAGATTCTTTTGGGTGTATTTAGTGAAAGGCCATTTGGGAAATGGACTGTACGTGCAGCAAATAGGATTTTGGTTAAATGGTGACATTTGTTTCCAAGAGTGTATCAGAGGGGAGGCTAAGCTCTTCAGAGCATGTGTTCATTAAAGATTTGAAGTGGAGTGGGAAGCAATAATAAAAAAAAGGCCAGTGGGTTCTCTGGTGAGATAGTTTTTTGTTCCTATGAATTGAATACACTCTGAAAAGTTTCAAAAAGAGTCTGGGAAGAATGTATTTGCTTTGATCCAACATGTGGAGTGTTCTTTACTACAAATGCCCTTTAATTTAGAAACATTGCTGAAAAGTCTGTTTGAAAGTACATAAAAATATAATATGTAAATAAGCCCTAATTAGTTATTTCAATTAATTATTTTTTGTCTCTACTTTACAGCTCTATTTTTCTTCCCATAATGTCGCTTTTCAGAGTCCAGCTTTGACACTCTCTAAAAAAATGGTTTTTTGTAACAGTGATTATTAAGAAAAAATTTTCCCTGTTAAAAACCCCACAATGATAAAGTAAAATCCCAGATTGTGTATTTTTATGGGGAATTGTTTCAGACATTTTTAGTCCATGATTTGCTACTCTGATAGTAAAGGAAATCTTGCAGTTAATTGAAAAAACTCGTGTTTCCTTCTTCAAATAAATGGCATGTGTTGTTTTTTAGAAAATGAATCTACATCAGGCCACTAACTAGCCTCTAATCTTCTTTTCCAACCATTCTGTGTTCTTTCAAATACAAATACTTTGGATTTGGGGGTTAAACGTTTTCATTCTTTTTAAAGTGAATAGGATACTCCCAGTGGAGACAAGAATGCTCTGGAAAAACACTGGTAAAATGAAGTCAGGTTGTTTCTACATAGCCAGTTTTTTAGAAATTGACTAAGTACCTAAAATATTGATTTTTTTGAAGCCTAGAGGGTAAACTGTGTGACAAATTCTGAGCTTTTCACTGAGCAGTCTGCACCCCCTCTGCACTTTTGTTGAATAGAAGCAGAATTTTAGAGCTCGAGGGACCTTGGAGGTCACCTAGAAATCAGGGAGCAATCCTCAGCTTTTACCCGTCAACGTCCCGCGTGTGGGTTGGGGATAGGATGGGAGGGGGAGGATGCTCATTTCATTAGAAATGCAGATTTCTGGTCCCTACCCAAGATCTACAGAGTCAAAATCATCTCAGTGGGAAGAAGGGTCCATATTTCTCACAAACGTCTGCAGAAAATTCCATTGCTCACTCAAATTTGGCAATTCACCAATTAAAGCTAACACGTTTATTTTGTGGTGAGGAAGCAAGGCCTAGATAATTTGATGGTCAGGGTCACAGTGGTGCCTAGGCAAGAACAGACTCAGGCTTCCTGCCTTTAGACTAGTGACGGTCTGTATACCATGTGCCTAAAGTAGTTCTGAGCATGCAGACAGGTTCAAACCTACTTCTGGGTCATTAGGGTGATTTCAGCACCAGGAGTAGGATAGCCTGGTTCTAAATAAAGTATGAAAGTAAAGACACCCAAGGACTAAAGGTAGGTGTTTATGTGCTGCTGCTTTTGTCCAAACTAAAACCTGAATGGACCCTATCCATGTTCTCTCATCTCTGTCTTTTATGAGCCTGGAGACCTGTACATAGTTGCGAGGATGTTTAACTCAGTTAGTTAACTGAGTTGATCCCCCAGCATGGTGAGCTTTGGATCTGTGTGCCCGGTTGATGTGAACATTCTTAGGCTATAGGCTTTCTTAAAATGCATGTTTGTGTATGTTAATATTGCCTATGTGTGTTGCATCCAGAAAATTAGAATAAGCTCATTAAAATTATAGACAGATAAATCCAGTAGTGCCTACTAGGGAATATATAAATATCCAGCAAATGCTTACTGATGTCTGTTATATCAAAAAAAATTTTTTTTAGTGTTCTTTGGTGAGAATTTAAACTATAATGATGATCCTGAATTTCTGCAATATCATGGTCACCTTTTAAGTCATTAGGAAGGATTGGATTCTACTCAGTGTCATTTTAGTGTTCAGTCAATTTGTCTACTAATTTTTGGAAATAGCAGTATCCCACTGTCTAGGATATATTAAGTTCCACTGAACTCTGTTCCACAGTTCATTCTTTCTTTCTTTTTAAAAAATTTTTTTCTTTTGAGACAGAGCCTTCCTCTATCACTCAGGCTGGAGTGCAGTGGCATGATCACAGCTCACTGCAGCCTTGACCTCCTAGGTTCAAGTGCTCCTCCCACCTCAGCCTTCCAGTAGCTGGGATTACAGGCCCATGCCACCACACCTCACTAATTTTTTTGTAGAGATGGGGTTTCACCATGTTGCTCAGGCTGGTCTCAAACTCCTGGGCTCAAGCAATCCACCGGCCTTGGCCTCCCAAAGTGCTAGGATTACAAGTGTGAGCTACTATGCCTAGCCAGTTCCATGGTTCCTATGTGAACATGGGTAATATATAGTTCTTAGAATGGGCAACATATTTTAACAGCGATATTAATGAAAGGCTGTTTTCAGAAGCAGGTGATCAGGTTAAGAGGATCAGTTTTGGAATCACTACGGAAAATTAAAATTTCTGTATATATATACAGTTTATGTGAGTGTACATGTGCCAGATAGTACTCAGTTTATCATCCCTTTAACATAAATATTTATTGATTGTCTGCTATTTGTAAAGCTCTGTATTAAGTGCTGAGGATAAAAAAAAGATCTGGACCGGGCATGGTGGCTCACACCTGTAATCCTAGCACTTTGGGAGTCCAAGGCAGGCGGATCACGAGGTCAGGAGTTCAAAACCAGCCTGGCCAACATAGCGAAGCCCCGTCTCTACTGAAAATACAAAAATTTGGCCAGGCGCGGTGGCTCACGCCTGTTATCCCAGCACTTTGGGAGGCCGAGGCGGGCGGATCACGAGGTCAGGAGATCGAGACCATCCTGGCTAACGTGGTGAAACCCCGTCTCTACTAAAAATACAAAAAATTAGCCGGGCGTGGTGGCGGGCGTCTGTAGTCCCAGCTCCTCGGGAGGCTGAGGCAGGAGAATGGCATGAGCGCGGGACGCGGAGGTTGCAGCGAGCCGAAATCGCGCCACCGCACTCCAGCCTGGGTGACAGAGCAAGACTCCATCTCAAAAAAAAAAAAAAACAAAAAAAATAGAAAATACAACAATTAGCTGGGCATGGTGGCACGTGCCTGTAGTCCCAGCTACTCGGGAGGCTGAGGCAGGAGAATCGCTTGAACCCGGAAGGTGGAGTTTGCAGTGAGCTGAGATGGTGCCACTGCACTCCAGCTTGGACAACAGAGTGAGACTCTGTCTCAAAAAAAAAAAAAAAAAAAAAAAAGATCTGAGGAGTTTCTAGTGTGGTCCTGGTTGGACAAGCCCATAAAAAGGCATGATAATTTAAAGAGGCACGCGCTAAATGCCAAATGAGTAATGCAGTCAGTGAGTGCAGTGAACAGCATTCCAACATTCGCAGACAGCCCTGTGACTGTGGCAAGATGTCCTTTGTCAATCAGGAGCTACATGTGTGTTGGTTCTAACTCATCTTTCACACATTTCTCATTCCTTAGCCAGTCTGAAGAACAGGAGCTTGTTATGATTTTTTTTTTGCTGCTCAATAGTAAAGAAATAGCCATTCTAGAAAGGAACTGGATCAAGCTCTGGAAGCCTAATACTAATATATTTACTTATCTTCTTCCCATTTCTCATGTATTTAAAAACAATGAGATCTAATTCTCTTTCTAGAGGATGCACTGGGAAACTGCTTAATTACTGATGCCATTGTATTTGTGATGAAAATGAAAGTTCTGTTGAGTCTTGTGATACTTTCATTCATGGAGTTCATGTGAATCAGAATCTTCTTAGGTTGGTAGTTCGTTAAGTAAATGTATTTGACCTCCTTGTAATGGAAAGGGTTACAACACTGATCATTATATTATTAGTACTAGTAGTAGTTGTCGTAGTTGTAGTAGTAATTGTAGTAGTACTGAAAGAGTAATTCATTTTTGCCCCACTTCATGAAATAGGCTTAGTGCGAGATCTCTTTGATCCATATAGTTCTTGGCACCCAACCATAAAATGGGCCACATGGAAGGATTTCTAAAATGAAAGCTGTAGACCAGAAATGTCAGATTAATGATGCTGTTTGTGTATTCTTGATGACCTGTTCTGGATCTGCCAGGATTTTGTCCTTGGGGATGATTGTGATGGAATTTACATACTCAGTAGAAGGTAGTTCTTCCTATCTAAAGAAAACGAATGGCTTCCCTATGGAAGGGCTATGATTATTACCAGGTTCGCTGACAGTACCAAGACAGCGCTCACAGAGTCATGGACTTTCTTAGATCTGAAAAGGGCATTGTAGGCAACCAGTAATCTTGGGCAAGATTTGTTGAAGTAAAGAGCAGAGAAGAGGGTGCTGTGTAAGGAGAGGTAATACATGTGAATATATGGAGGGTGGAGTAAGCATGCTGTGTTTATTTGGGGAACAATGAGGAGAGTTCTCTGACTGGAATAAAGTGATTACGTTCCCATTGGACAGTAGTGGGAGGGAAAGTTAGAAAAGTGAGATGGAGCCAATCAGAGGCCAAATTCCTTACAATGATTTGGTAAGCAAAGGAAGGCTACATAACAGTTTTGGGGATTATTTTAGCATCCAATTTAGAGCCAAATCCAAACTCTGGCTTTTTTTGACTGGGTGAACTCAGACAAGATACTTAACCTCATAAAAATCTTAGATTCTTCATCTATAAAATAGAATTAATAATATCTTCCTCATAGAGAAGTGGTGCTGGTTAAACAAGATTCTGTATGAGATGCCTTCAGCAAAGTGCCTGGTGGAAATGGAGTTCTGAGCAGGGCAGTGAGGAGATAAAGGCGAGGTTGTAGAGAGACTGATCTCTGGCAGCTGTATGCAGAAGAGATGGAATCAGAAGAAACCAGAGACAGGGGACCAGTTGATGACCCTTACAGCAATACCCTAGGAGGTGAAGGGACAGGCTGTCAGACTAGGAAGAAGAGGACACAACTGTACAACTCTATTATCTGTAACTTCTTTTTTGTTGCAGACTAGGTAAATGAAATATAACCTTGTTCTGTGATGTTAGAGCTCTATAACCTTGTTCTGTAGTGTTAAAAGTACAACAGCAATCATAGACTCTTCCTTTTTCCTTGAACAGGCTGCCAGCGATCCATAGGTCTTTCCAATGGGAAAGCCAAGGTGTGCAACTACAGTGGGTGGTATTACTGCAGTAGCTGCCACGTGGATGACAGCTTTCTCATTCCAGCACGCATAGTCCACAACTGGGATACTTCAAAGTATAAGGTAGGTACAAAAACTCAGTTCACTTAATAATAATAATTCAGGTGTTCATATGTTCTCAGGTGGATTATAAAGATGGTGATCAAACAATTTGAAGCAGATATGATTAGGTAGTCTCATAAAAGCTGCAAGACCTTACCTAATGCTTCTTATATATCTCACAGTTGAAAGGCTTCTTAACTATGACTCTTATTAGTTTCCTCATTTAAAAAGACATATAGAGCAGTTTTTACTTCTGGTGCTAGAGAGAATTCTGAGAGAGAGGAGCCTCTTTTATTATTTTTTATTTGATCTTATCTTCAACATTACAACACTATGGGAAGATAAAAATGGGAAAATAATACATGCATGAACATGCTAGTGATCTTTCTAGGCAAGGCCTTATATAATCCAAGATATTTCTTTTGTTTGTTTGTTTTGTTGTTTTGTTTTGTTTTTGTTCATTTGTTTGTGTCGGCTTTTTTTTTTTTAGACATTGTCTCACTCCATCACCCAGGCTGGAGTGCAGTGGCATGATCTTTGCTCACTGCAACCTCCACTTCCTGGGTTCAAGTGATTCTTGTGCCTCAACCTCCCAAGTAGCTGGAATTACACACATATGCCACCACGCCCAGCTAATTTTTGTATTTTTAGTAGAGACGGGTTTCACCATGTTCCCCAGGCTGGTCTCAAACTCGTGACCTCAAATGATCTGCCTGCCCTGGCCTCCCAATATGCTGAGATTACAGGCATGAGCCACTGTGTGGTCCGAGATATTTCTTATAGTAGAGTAGCGCTCCTACTCATGTGAAGGTCAGTCTTCTAGCAAATCCAGGCCTTTGGAACTAGAACCAGAACCTTGAGAGAAGCTGTGAAGACTTCTGACTAGGGGCCAACAGTAAGGAACAGTACACTGAGCCATCCTCAGGCCTTTGTCAGCACTGCTGTTTTTTAAAAAGGAGAGCAAGTGAGAATCACAGGTATATGCTAATAGCTTTGCAAAGTAACTGCTAACAGCCAAGGAGGCTCTTCAGGAAGTATAAATAGCAGGCTTAGTGGCTATCAAAATGCAGGTCAATAGAGGAGAAAAGTGAGCACGGGGACCCTCCAACTTAGGAGCCTAGAGACAAGAGGAGGGACCAGCAAAGGAGGCCAAGAAGGAGTGAGCAGTGAGGTAGAAGGATCCCAGGGTGTCTGACAAGCCACGTGAAGAAAGTGTTTCCAGATGAATTGTGACAGATGCTGATAGCTCAAATAAGATGAGCACTGAGAACTGACGATTTGCTTTAGTAATGTGAAGGTAATTAGTGACCTTAATGAAAGCAGTTTGAATGGAGTGGTGGGAGCAAAGGTCTGATTGAAGTGGGTTCAACATAGAATAGAGAGAGAGAAACAAGAAACAAGAATAGACAACTCTTTTGAGAAGTTTTGCTATAAAAGGAAGAAGAGAAGTCAGGAGTAACTTGAAGGGAAGTGGGGTCAAGTTAGGTTTGATTTTGTTGTTGTTGTTTTAATGGAAAAAATAACCGTATGTTTTCTATGCTGGTGTAAACTATCCAGAAGAGAGAGAATTGCTAGAATGATATGGTTGAATCAGTAAGAATGATGGAATTGCGTGAACAATAGGAGGGTCTGGCTATTGCTTGGAGCATGGAATAAGAGAAAAAAGCTGTCTGCAGCCATAGGGGCCAGTAGGTACTTCGATGTGATGTTGGAAGCTTGTTGAAGTTGTATTCCATTTATATCAGTAGCTTTCATCAGATTCTTTTATTTCAGCATCTGTGATCTTAAAGAGATGAAATACCCAGTCCAAGTTACCCTGTGAAGTGCCATTATCTTCTACTTCGTAGAGAAAATAGGGGTGATTATGCAATAATCCTGTCAACTGACCTATAAACGTGCCTACATCCGCATCTATCCTCATTGTCCTCCTTCCAGCCACCAAAGAAACATTACTTGTCATATGAAAGTTTATCCCTTCTGCCTGTATTCATGGTCTTCTCCTCTCGTCTCCATCACAGTTTTGCCAAATCTCGTCTCTTCTCCAACACAATTTTGCCAAATCTGTTGACCCTTGGCAGTTTCTTATTCTACTGGACTTCTCTAGGATACACTATTTGACCAGATGGACCATACTCCTTTTGAATTCTCCTGCCTTGGTTTTGACAACACACCCCTGGTTCTCCTCCCTCTAACTCTTCTTTTTCAATCACCTTCTCTAATTTCTTGTCCTCTGCCTAAACCTTTAATAGTGGGCTTCCTTAAGATTCATTATTTTGTTTCCCACTTTCTTGTCTTTCTATTGGGCATCTCCCTCACTTACATCATTTTAACTACCAGGATTCTTATGCTGATAATTCCTACTTTTATCTGCAGCTCCAGTTTTGCTACTAAAATTGAAATCTGTGGCTTTAATTGCCTATTGGACATCTCGACTTTATTTTCAACCTAGTAGTCTTCAAAATATATAAATTGGTTAGCTATATGGTACAGCATTTCTTTTTTTTTTTTTTTTTTTTTTTTGAGACGGAGTCTCGCTCTGTCGCCCAGGCTGGAGTGCAGTGGCGGGATCTCGGCTCACTGCAAGCTGCGCCTCCCGGGTTCACGCCATTCTCCTGCCTCAGCCTCCCAAGTAGCTGGGACTACAGGCGCCCGCCACTACGCCCGGCTAATTTTTTGTATTTTTAGTAGAGACGGGGTTTCACCGTTCTAGCCGGGATGGTCTCGATCTCCTGACCTCGTGATCCGCCCGCCTCGGCCTCCCAAAGTGCTGGGATTACAGGCGTGAGCCACCGCGCCCGGCCTATATGGTACAGCATTTCTATCCTTGCATTAAAAAAGGTAGTAGAATTTGGCAAGTCCAGGAATCTAACTCCCTACTGGAGTAGCACTCTAGGCTTAGGATTCTGTTATGATCCTGCATCTTACACACATAATAGATAACATACTTCAATTACCTGATATGACCAGAAGCTTTTCTGATCCTTCTGCCAGAATGTTGTGACATCTGCCTTGAATGTACCTTCTGTGCAAGGGGCTTCATATGGAAACAGGCTGTATGACTGCTTTTAAAATTGATCCATAATAATTGTACATGTTTATGGGGTATATGTAATATTTTGATACATACATACTATGTGTAATAATTAAATCAGGATATCCATCACCTCAAATATTTATCATTTCTCTGGGTTGGGAACATTCAAAATGTTCTCTTCTAGCTATTTTTGAAATATACAATAAATTGTTATGAACTATAATTGCCCTACTATGCTATCAAATACTAGAACTTCTCTTTCCCACTATATTTTTATACCCATTAACCAACCTTTCTTCATTCCCCTCTTCCCCCTACTTTTCTTAGCCTCTGGTAACCACCATTCTACTCACTACCTCCATGAGATCAATTTTTTTGCTCCTACATATGAGTGAAAATATGTGATATTTGTCTTGTCTGTGCCTGCCTGCCTTCTTTATTTCTTTATTTTTTTTGAGATGGAGTCTTGCTCTGTTGCCAGGTTGGAGTTCAGTGGTGCAATCTCGGCTCACTGCAACCTCCGCCTCCCAGGTTCAAGTGATTCTCATGCCTCAGCCTCCTGAGTAACTGGAACTACAGGCACATGCCACCACACCCAGCTAGTTTTTGTATTTTTTAGTAGAGACGGGGTTTCACCATGTTGGCCAGGATGATCTCGATCTCTTGACCTTGTGATCCACCCTCCTCGGCCTCCCAAAGTGCTGGCATTACAGGAGTGAGCCACCGGGCCGAGCTGGCTTATTTCACTTTAATTTCCAGTTCTATCCATGTTGCTGCAAATGACAGAATTTGCTGCATTTGACAGAATTTGCTGCATTTGACAGAATCCATGTTGCTGCAAATGACAGAATTTTATTCTTTTTTCAAGGTGTGGAGTGCAGTAGCACGGTCATGGCTCACTGCAGCCTTGACCTCCTGGGCTCAAGCAGTCCTCCCACCTCAGCCTCCCAACTAGCTGGGACCATAGGTGCACATCACTACATCCGACTAATTTTTGTATTTTTTTGTAAAAGAGTCAGGGTTTCACCATGTTGCCCAGGCTGGCCTCGAACTCCTGAGCTCAAGCAATCTTCCCACCTCGGCCTCCCACAGGCATGAGCCACCACACCTGGACAAGAATTTCATTCTTTTTTATGGCTGAATAATATCCCATTGTGCATATATACCACATTATCCATTTGTCCATTGATGGGCACTTAAGTTGATTCCATATCTACCACCTTTTGGTTATATATCTAGCAGTGAGATTGCTGGGTCATATGTTAGTTCTATTTTTAGTTTATTGAAGAACTCCCATACTGTTTTCCACAGTGGCTGTACTAATTTACATTCCCACTAATAGTGTCTGAGCATTCATTCCCTTTTCTCCACATCCTCACCAGCATCTGTTATTTTCTGTCTTTTGAGTAATAGCCATTTTAACTGGAGTAAGATGATATCTCATTGTGGTTTTGATTTGCATTTCCCTGATGATTAGTGATGTTGAGCATTTTTTAACATACCTGTTGGCTATTTGTATGTGTTTATTGAGAATTGTCTATTCAGATCTTTTGCTCGTTTTAAAATAAGATTTATTTTTGTTGCTACTGGGTTGAGTTGCTTATGTATTCTGGTTATTAATCCCTTGTCAGATTAATGGCTTGCACATATTTTCTTCCATTTTGTACATTGTCTCTTCACTTTATTGGTTGTTTCTTTTGCTATGCAGAAGCTTTCTAGCTTGATGTAATCCTACCTATCTATTTTTGCTCTTGTTGCCTGTGCTTTTGAGGTCTTACCCAAATAATCTTTGCCCAGGCCAATGTTCTGAAGCATTTTTTCAATGCTTCCTTCTGGTCATTTTATTTGTCAGGTCTTACATTTCAGTCTGTAATACATTTTTATTTGATTTTTGTATATCCTGAGGGGGTCTAGTTTCATTCTTCTGCATATGAATATCCAGTTTTCCCAGCACCATTTACTGAAGAGACTGTCCTTTCCCCAGTGTAGGTCCTTGGCAGCTTTGTTGAAAATGAGTTGGTTGTAAATGCATGGATTTATTTCTGGGTTCTTGTTCTGTTCCATTGGTCTATGTGTGTATGTCTGTTTTGATGCCACCTTGCTAACAGATGTCTGAGACTTACTTTCATTGTAAGTGTGTTACCTGGGAGCAAGTAGGTGGGAAAGGGCCCTAGAGCTGTCACCTACCTGGAATCGTTGGTGTCTAATAAAATAAACATGAAAATTGTGAGTGGTCAATTGGCTTATGTCCTTTTCTAATATATCCCTGGGCAACTCTGTGTCCAGTTCTACCCAATAATCATCCAAATCTTCACTGTTTTCAAGATGCCTCTTCCTAAGTATTCTCAGCATATGACCTTGTCTCCTACTTCAAGGAGAAAAATGAAGTTATGAAATATGAATATGAATATCTACAAATCTATCTATATTTGTACCTATCCTATTTTCCCTCCTAACTTGAGAGAAAGAAGAACCCCTTCTCTTGTTTAGTGACCATCTTTCCACCTGTGCTCCAGATATTTTTATCCATCTAGGGAATCCTTGCTTATTCTTTGAGAGCTAAAGAAGGCATGTCCTCCGTGGTGACAGCTTTTTTGTTGCTCCTCACCATTCCCCATTGACTGCATTGCTGGCTCTCTCCTTCGTGCCACCATCGTGTCATGTGGCCCTTGAGGATTGCACTTATTAAGGGATTAATAGCAGGAGCTTGGAGTTAAAACCTCTACCTGTTATCAGGTGCTTGATTTGTTGGGGCAAGTTGCTTGAATTTCCTAGAGCCTCAGTTTTGTAATCTGTAAAACGAGCCCAGACTGCCAGAGCTCAAGTCTTAGCATTGTGACTTGTTAGTTAGCTGTTTAACCTAGGCAAGTTATTTAGACTCTTGGTGTCAGTTTCCTCATATGTAAAATGAGGATATTAATGCCTTACAGAGTTACTGCTGGGTAAATGGGTTAATGCATGTGTCATGATTAGAACAGTGCCTAGCACATAGTGTGTACCAAATTTGTTCTCATCATAATTTCACATATTTACCTAAAAGAGTTGTGTGAATTGGGGTAATATAAGAAAAGCACTTAGCAAATGACTGTGATAAGCACTTAATTAATGGAAGCTGTTACTATTTTCATTATCATAACATCTATATAACAGCTAGTTGCTTGTCTATTTTCTCTATAAAGGTGAGCTCTCTGGGCACACGGAATGTGTTTTAGCACAGTTCTGGCACATAGTAGACAAGCAGGAATGTATATTAAATGAATGAAAGAATGAAGCCTGTCCCCTGGGAACATCAAACTCAACAGTTCCCAAATTGGCCTTATCACATCACACTCACCAGATGTTCCCCCAAGTGCACATTACCTGTCTTAGTGAATGCCCCACAGTCACCACTGCCAGATATGGGAGACATCCTGGACTCCTCCGTCTGCCACACCTACGCTGCCTAAGCAATTAGCAAAACCAAGCCTTTATTTTAGCTCCTGAGGCCATGCTCTCCACTGTACTCCAGTCCCACCACACTAACTCAAACCCTCAGTATCACTTACATGAAGGAAGACAGAAGCCTCCTATTTGCGCTTCCTGCCTTTAAGCATCACTCTCTGGCTGGTATATTTCAAAAGAAAAGTCCTAATCTTACCTTAAGTAAGTTTCTTACTCTCTCTCAGTCTTAGTTTCTTCACCTTTAGAATGGAAATAATAATAGAACCCAGTTCATAAGGTTGCTGTTTGCTTAAATGATTCACAGAAAGCACCTGGCACAGGGTGTGGCGCATCATAAGCCCTCAGTTATGGTTAGCTTTGACTACAATTGTATACAGGACAAATACAATTCTCTTAGCCTTCGTGATCCTTAGTCCCTGCCTGCCTTCCTAGCTCCTTCATCCATAACCGTTTCCCAGCACCAATCTCTTCATTAATAGTACAGCCATCCGTCTATTTCCCTGTCATACCGTGCTGTTTCACACCTCTTGTCTTCCTCTTGCCCTCACCCACAACAGCAAATCCTAAAACTCAGCTTAAAACCTCTTTTCCTCTCCTGATTGTTTCTTTCCTCTCTACCAGACAAAATTATCATTCTATCCTCTGCTTCTTGTACTTGACACTTTGAATATAGGCTATAAATATATTTGCCATGTGTGTATTAGATAAAAACTTATTTAGAGGGAAAGAATGATAGTTGAGCTTGGTTTAGAAGTTTTGGATTAATCTGCTTGGAGCGGGGCTTTGACAGCTATGAGAGGTGTATAGAGAGCAAGTGAGTGAGGCAATCCGAGCCCTGTGATCCATTGAGAGCTTAGGCGTGTGGCACTTGCCACCAGAATACACACCAATTAGTAAAGCAAAAGCAGAAAAGGTGGCACTGAATAAGAAAAATGAAAAGGCAAGCATGGTTGATGATGGCATGAAATGGAGGAGGAGATCCGAGTCTGTTTGCAGTGAGCTCTGAAGGTCACAGAAATCACCAATTTAGCCATCATTGACACTTAAAATCTCTCTGTAAAGCAGGATGTTTTGTTTTGGTGGTCATTCAAGTAATTAGATTTGATTTTGAGAGGATAGCTAGGCAATTGAAGATATTAGGTACACTCGCTTCATCCGTGTTGCACATGAGGAAAATCTCCTTTGTCAGACCACTCCTTCCCAAGTTCTTAGTGGACCAAGGAAGATTTTAAAGCAAAAGTGGACCTGGTGGATTTTATCTGGATCATCTCTCATTGGCATTAAGTAACTATATTCCATTTAGTCCAGTGTCTGGCTGTCTTTTCTCAGATATCAGGATTTAACTTAATTCTCCTAATTGTGAGGATCAATTCAGACCTATCAGTTTCCAAGACCAGACATCGTTCTGTTAGATCTGCCTGCTGTCCTTAATAGCAAGTACGTGACTGGCTTGAATAGCCATTTAAAAGAGTAAAAAAATGGTTTTGCAGAACAGAATGAAATCTGTCATCTTAAGCATTTCCTGGCCTGCCCTCTGGAGTATTAATAATCCTAATTATTTTTAAAGCAGGATTTCGTCTATTTTCTGGTGTTATACTGAAGATTGAATTGAGCTCCAAGATTAGGAAGCGCTAAACCCTATCCTCAATTTCTATAGCCATTTTCTAATAAAATCTCTTTGAAGATAACTTTCCCTATCCCCCTAATCAAAAATATCAAGCGTAGCAAAGAGATGTTAAGGAAATCAAACAACCCTAACTCTTCCAAATAGTTCCCCTTAGTTTTGTTTTAAAAAAATTTATTTGTATCCTAGCTTGAATATTCACATTCCATTTAGCTAGGGGTTTTCCATGTTACATAAACCATTTCCTATTTCTACATCTTGAGAGGTATTCAAGGCAAGCTCTACTGCCCTTGTGGAGCTGAGGAAAAGCTCACTGATGGGAAAAACCTCTTGATCAGAGTCATTTGGAGATTCTGAGAACAAATTGTAATTAAACTGAAGGTTTCCTAATTTCTCCTCCATTAGCCCACTGACTGTTTTAACAGGACTAAGAAGTATTACCGTTAGAATTGATTTTATTATGATTTTGGCTATGAATTTTTATGATAGAGATGGGAATAAACACAGGAAGGAAATGTTTTACCAAAGCAATAAGGTTATTTTACGGTGGTAAGATTATAGATATTTTTTCCTCTGTTGATCTTTATTCTCCAAATTTTCAGTAATGGGATTATATTACTTTTATAATTTTATAAATTTTAACTGTCATATTTTATTTAAGAAAATGTATATTAAAAGTTAACTTTTTTAATGCCTTGGAATTTTTTTTTTTTTTTTTAGAGACAGTGTCGTGCTCTGTTACCCAGGCTGGAGTGCAGTGGCATGACTGTAACTCACTGCAGCCTTGAACTCTGGCACTCAAGCATTCCTCCCACCCCAGCCTCCTGAGTAGTTGGGACTACAGGCGCACGCCACTACACCTGGCTAATTTTTAAATTAGTTTTTGGTAGAGACAAAGTCTTGCTATGTTGCCCAGGCTGGTCTCAAACTCCTGGCCTAAAGCAATCCTGCTGCCTCAGCCTCCCAAAGTGTTGGGATTATAGGCGTGAGCCACTGTGCCTGGACCAGAATTATAAATGTAAATGATTGTTCTGTCCTGTGATAGATAACTTGAGAGTTTAATGGGATAAGTGAGGCTGTTTTTCCCTAAATGCCTTGCACTGCTATATTTTATTCATTCTTCTTTTTTGAATACAGTATACTTTCAGAAAGTTCAAGGTTCAAAAAGTAAAAGGGGGCGTGCGTACATACATAAATAATCTCCTTTTTACTCACCCCATTCTTCTCAGAGGCAACCAAAACACTCCTTTCTCGTGTATCCTTCCAGAGATATTTTATGTACATGTATTTTTTCATACAAAAATGACAATATAGTATATACCCTGTGCTTAGAGAGCTTTCCATTTAGATAATAAAACTCTTCCTTGCATTTTTTAAAATATTTCATGAATTTTACATGCATATTTACACACACACACACACACACACACACACACACACACTAATTTATCTAACCAGTTCTTTTTTGGTGGACATTTAGATTTTTCCAGTCTTTTGCTATTATAGACAGTAATTCAATGAATAACTTTTTACATAATATTGAATATAATTTTTTTTCATTGATAAGCAAAACTATCTGTAGATAACTTCCTAGATATAGGCATGTACAATTTGTGAGTTTGATGGATAGTGCCAAGTTGCCCTCAATTAGGGTCGTATGCTCTTTGTTTTCACCTTGTAGCTTCCTGTAGGTGCCTCTCTTCCCCTGGTGCTAGGATGTCAGCTGTCATTTATGTTGTATCCATGCTGCCTCTAGCTATCTTTTCTTCTTTATGGACTCTAAATATGTTATGAACTTAGAAACAAATAACCAAGCTGTAGGAACTATGTCTAAAGCAAGAGTGTATGCTTCAAAGTTGTGGCCAGAGCATTGTAAATTATTCATTCATTTGTTCAACAAGTATTTATTGGATATTTATTGTGCTCACTGTTCTAGGCACTGGGGATATAGTTTCTGCCCTTATGGATGCTCTTATTCCAGTGAAAGGAGAAAGACAGTAAAAAAAATACACAAATAGACTGGGCGCAGTGGCTCGTGCCTATAATCCTAGTGCTTTTGGAGGCTGAAGCAGAAGGATTTGCTTGAGACCAGCTTGGGCAGCAGCAAGACCCTATCTCTACAAAAAATTTAAAAATTAACCAGGCCTTGTGTCATGCACACGTAGTCCTACCTAGCTACTCCAGAGGCTGAGGTGGGAGGATCCCTTGAGCTCAGAAGTTCGAAGTTACAGTGAACTATGATCATGCCACTGCATTCCAGCCAGCCTGGGTAACAGAGCAAAACCTTGTCTCTAAAATAGAATAAAATAAAATAAATTGCACAAATAAGTAACTTTTGTATAAATGAAATGTTATTGAACTTCAGTTTTATTTTAAAGTTAAAATCAAATGGGATCCTACATGTCAGTGTCCTGCTTAATTACATTATAGATTAGTCTTCATTTGTAGCCTACTTGCTGTAAGATGGAGAAGGGACAGGAAAACTCTTTTATGAAGTGATAAGCTGATAGAGTATGGTAACATTATTAAAAAATAAGAATTGTGAATATAAACAATGCTAAAAAGCACAGAGCAGAGTCTCCAGGGATCTGAGTTGTGGCTCTAATTCTACCATGACATGACCACAAATAAGTTACTTATGCTCTTTGTACTCAATTTTCTCTTCTATTAAATACAGGCAGTGGATTAGTTCAGTGTTTCTCAAAGTGTATTCCATGGAGCATTACCAAATTCTTTCGTGTTAGTAGGTGTTACGCAAAAAGGAGGGCCACAGCTAGGCCAGCTTTATGGGAATTGGAAAAGAGCCCCTCCAGAACACAGCTCAGCAAACTCACAGCTTAGCAAGAGGATGCAGCAAGGTAGAGAAAGACGCCCTTTCTTCTGGTTGGTGAGTGGGGGTCCGGGCTGGATCTTATCTCCCACACTCCCACCGCCCATGCATCATGTGCAGCACTCAACAGCTGCCCTGTCTGTAGTAAAATAGCTTTGAGAAGTGGCTGGGTTAAGCAGGTTTTCTTCGGTACAAGATGTCTCAGTTTTAATATGCAAACATGCTGTACTTTGAATCTCCAAGGAAACAAAGTGGTGTGTGGCATACATCTTATTGGACCTTAAAACGTCTTTTTTTGTGGGACTAGTGTTCCTTGGAACACAAGCTGAGAAAAATTGAATTAGATTATCTTTACTAGTCTTTGTTATTCTACAAGTCCTTCTTATTCGTGTTTTATTCTGATACATTTTCCTCCTTTAATAAAAACAAAGTCCACACTACCACCACCATAATACCATGTCGTCTCCAAATTGCTATCTATGGTTAAACATTCCCTTTGCCCCATTACGTTATCACCAGGGGCTATTTTTGTGGGGGAGCATACCAGAACACTCTCCCTCAGGATTACGCAAACCTGAACAACATTCAAGAACTTTGTTTTTAAGAAGTGGCTGTCACTAGCGTAACAAAAGTCGTATTATGTTCGAATCTATACTGATGACACTTAATAATGTTCAAATCAAGTGACATGTGTTTACTTATAAATGTATATGTGTAAATAGCAGATCTGATCATTGTTAGTTTGTAGCTAATCATAATGTGATTTTACCATTTTCTCCACCTCCTCCTGAATGTGAGGTAGGGGAGGAGGCCTCTTTCCTCTTGGATTCCTCCTTCTCATCTCTCTTGAATCATGTAGATGGCAGGGTTGTGAAGAAAGAATCAGTTCACAAACTGCAGCACAATCACTGTCACAGAGTTGAGTTCTTATAGCTTAAACTGTTCTGTTTATAAGCTACAAAAGCTATGGAAAGAAATTCGTTCATATGAATAGAAGGAATATAATTAATAAATATTAAATATTATTTGGTAAAATACTAATAGGTCAATACTAATACTAATGTGAATGGAGTGGTATCATGGAAAAGAGTGCCAGCCGAAACCATTCATTTGAGCTCATTCATCTGCACCTGACTATCAGCTGAATTTTTCTTTACATCAGAAATGGCAGCAGGCTTTTTAGGTTTTTCATAGTTTGGTTGGCAAGAAGTAGGACAGTAGCTCTTAGCTCTTAGTTGGAACATAGTCAGTGTTCACATATAATTCATGAAATATTTATATTAACAAAAAAACTTTTTCTCACATAAACTTTATCACCTAAGAATATCTTTGGCTTTTGTTCCTAAGTAACTTTTTTTTTAACATTTTTAATTCGAGTTGAGTTTGAGAGTACAATCCTCATGCCAGTGTGGAGGGTCATTTAGAACTTAGGAAATCAGTGGGGATACAATGCTCTATTTTGCAAAAATAGTAGGCCATGCCAGATTTTGAGTTCTCTCAAAAATTCCCTCACCGATTATTAGTGGCTGATTCTCAAAAATGAGTGCATGTGCTCAGCCTTGCTGCCAAAAATGGCTGAACGTGGTGGGGATTTGTTCATGTACTCAGGCAGCAGCGGTAGCGATGTGCACCATATGCCTACTGCTAGTAACAACTGGTGAAGGCAGCGCCTCCGACATGGTTGAAACGAGCTCTGTTTTTGTTTTTTGTAATTTCAGTTTATGAATACTGATGTCAGTGGCTGCTGTTCCATTTGTCTCACTGCTTTTACTTTCTCTGTAAAAGATTTTTTTCTTCCTTTCGGGCTTAAGTACCACCTGAAGAGAGAAGCCTTTTAAGGCCTGGGAGACTGGCCAGTGCCCTCTGTCGCTCTGTTCACCTACTAAAAGGTAGCATTGTTAACCTAATTCAGCAGGGCCCTGACTCCATATAAACACTGCTCAACAGAGCCAGAAAGACTAATTGAATTGTACAATACATCATTTTTCAGCAACAGTTTCAAGTGGGTTGTACTTCATTTCCCAAAACACCATCAGTCTTTTCCTCATTTTAAGATATTTAAATATCACAAATATTTAATCATGATAAATAAAATATTTAAACCCAAGTCTTTCTTTCCCACTGAACTGTGGGCTATT
The DNA here is from genome assembly GCF_000001405.40 of Homo sapiens. Taxonomy (NCBI): domain Eukaryota; kingdom Metazoa; phylum Chordata; class Mammalia; order Primates; family Hominidae; genus Homo; species Homo sapiens. The sequence goes on along the minus strand of NC_000002.12, from coordinate 207,933,320 downwards.
ATACCTAAAGACAGGGCCATGTTTGTTTTATTCTCCACTGAATGCCTAATGCCTGCTACAGTATCTGGCATGTACCTGTGTCTATTAATAGATGCCTCAAAAATAAAAGTGAGGAATAACTGTTATTTCCAATCTGGTTAGATAGTTGAAGATTTTGGCTAATTCTAGGTGCCTTTTTGTGATTTTCAGAGACTGTAAACTTCTCTAATTCTGTAACTCTAACTCTGCAGGATGCTATAGGATCACACAACACAACAGGTACCTCAAAAATAATTGCTTATAAGGAAAAAAATTAGAAGTTTATTTTTTAAATGATGTATTTTTTTGCATTCCTATAAAGAACATAAACTTTGGTATAAGCTTTGCAATATAAGAAAATGATCATATTGAATTTTATGTTTATGTACGAGAAATTTATAATCAACATATAATAGCCATACATTTAATTATGACATATACATACAGAGGGGTTTTTATGTTTGTTTCTGCCTGTTGTACTCTATTCTGTCCCACATTTGTTCACCAAGTGAATTTCTGTTTATCTTCTACACCCAGATCCAAGTGCCACCTGCTTTGCCAACCCTCTCCCCACCAGGAGAGTTGATTTCTCCTTCCTCTAAGCTACCAGTGGGCCCCATCCATACCTCTTTTGTAGCAGATGACAGGGTACATGCTGCATGTTACATGTGGTTTTGTTTTAAATACTTGTCTCATACTACACAGTGAGCCACTTGAGGGAAGGAACTGTATCCTATATATCTTTATTAATATACTTCTAGCCTACCATATGAAACATAGATTTTTTTTTCTTTTTAATAAGCAAAGTTTTTTGTTTATTTTAATGTTGAATTCTAACCTTGCTCCTAGAGAGATTTTAATGGAAAGTTTTTAGAGAGGTTTTATCTTCCATAAATAGAAACTGAGCCAACTTTCTATGTATTAGTAGCCAATCTACATCTCACTGTCAGTGATTGGTATGTAGAGATTCTGAAAAATTACCCTCATGTTATGCATTATTTAAGCCACTCCCTCTGTATCTCTGAGACATTGTGTTTCCATGTACTATTTGTTTCTACTGATGACAATGACATTATAAAATGAACTTTCATAGTCTTGTGGATTACCGTGGATTACCACTCAAGGTGAATACAGAATTGGATGGATATATTGGCTGGAGTTAGCTGAAGTTCAAAGTTGTAATAAGAGCAACTCCTTTCTGGTCACTGAAGCAGTATATTTGAGCTTGTTTGCTAGTCAGTCAGATTATTCTGCAAATAATATCCTTTTATCCTTTTTGAATGTTGTAATATGTACATGATTTAGTCTTTTTATTTGTTTGTTTGTTTGTTAGATGGAGTCTCGCTCTGTTGCCCAGGCTGGAGTGCAGTGGCATGATCTGGGCACACTGCAACCCCCGCCTTCTGAGTTCAAGCAATTCTCCCGCCTTAACCTCCCAAGTAGCTGGGATTACAGGCATGTGCCACCACGCCTGGCTAATTTCTGTATTTTTAGTAGAGACGGGGTTTCGCCATGTCGGCCAGGCTGGTCTCAAATTCCTGACCTCAAGTGATCTGCCCGCCTCAGCCTCCCAAAGTGCTGTGATTACAGGCATGAGCCACCACACCCGGCCTTGATTTACCTATTTTTTAAGTGGCTACTTTTCAAAAGTGTTATGGAATATTCATACATATATATGCACATATAAATTTATGACGTTTTTAAAAATCAGCATTTGTGTTAAAACAGTCTTCTTAATTCCTTTTTTATTTTGAAATAATTGTGGATTCACAGGAAATTGCATAGACAATTCAGAGAGGTTCTGTGTACCTTTCACAGTTTCCTCCCTTGGCTACATCTTAGGCAACTAAGGTCCAATATCAAAAACAAAAACAGCAAGTTGACATTGGTATAATAAGTCAGTATAACGGCACCATACTGTGCCGTTCTGTCACATGTGTAGGTTCCTGTAATCACCACTGCAGTCAAGATACAGAATTAATAAATTCCTTCCTAGCTTACAGTTGAATGTCTGGAAGAGAGAGAAGTCAAAATTTACATTTAATTCAACTACAGACTTTTTCATTTGTCTGTATTGAGAAAATAATCGTGTTCCTTTGATATTTCAGCTATGGTTCCTAGTTTGAGCAGGTGTGGAGAGCCAGGTGCTTCTCCAGGACTGACTGACGACGCTTGTTTTGTAGGTGTCGAAGCAGGCCAAGGAGTTTCTGGAGTACGTGTACGAAGAGCCGCTCATCGACATCCAGCAGGAGAACGCCATGCTGTACCACCACGCAGAGCCGCTGGCCGCCGTGCTGCGGCTGCGGCAGCGGCTGAAGTCGCTCCGAGCCTATTTGTTCAGCTGCCGGGCAGCGGTGGCAGAGGATCTCCGCCGCAGGTAAGAGTCATAAATCTCAGACGGCTCCCGTTTGTTTTTCTTTCCCGCCCACGGAGGGTGGTGAGATTATCTCCAAAGGGCCTTTCCAGCACGGACCGCCTCTAATTTTGTGGCTCGCCCTCCGCCTCTCCACTGCCAGCCTCTCTCTGGGCTCATCTTTTTACTTTTTTTACTCCAAGGTCCCCATTTGGTTAAGCCAAGCAAAATGAAAATAACATTCACCGTTACTGAAGGCTTTCACCCATGGATCGAGTGCCCAGGACGGTGAAGGCTTCTCTTACCAATATGTTAATTTGAGATAATAATCATGGAAATATCTATATTGGTCACTTATGTAGTATTTTATACTTTTCCCAATTTCAATTCCTGTTTCTCATCAGCAAAAAATAAGCATGTTTAAAATAGTTCATAACTAAAAAGCATTTTCAATGGGAAATAAGTAAATGGTTATTCAAATTTTATTTTATTTTATATATTTATTATTTTTTTATTTTTATTTTTAAAGAATAGAGACAGAGACTCATTCTGTTGCCCAGGCTGGTCTTAAAAATCCTGGACTCAAGCGATCCTCCTGCCTCAGCCTCCCAAAGTGTTGGGATTACAGGTGTGAGCCACTGTGTGGGCCTCAAATCTTATTTTCTGTACAGAAACAAATACCCAAACTTGGTCAATGATGCAGGCAGTAGAGCTATAATTAAAATGCACAGGCCCAGGATTCTGCCTTTTCATCTTACCGTGGGTGCAGGCTGCTTTCCCGTAACTTAGTTAGCTCATAGTTCATAGAACACCAAGTCCAAAGCAGGCTCAGATCCTTAAAGTTGAAAGTAAAATGTGCCTGCTCTCATAAAATTCCTTTTTTACAGACAGATTTTATAGGCATTTAAAGTCTCACCCTTGGCATATACAAACTAGCTTATACTTGAAATAATTGTTGATGGCGTTCATAAGTCTCTAAAAATACCTTTTAATTTTTTTGTTTTAATAGAAATGACCAGCAGCATGCATTAGTCATGTTAAATGTTTTTGGAGGTAAGCCTACCTGCCTAAGAACTTTTGGAAAGTATTGAAGTGATGGAGTTTTGAGATCCAATTAGATCCAAAGAAACTGACATAACCCCGGGCATCTAAAAAAGAACTAAATGTAGATAGTAAAGGATATATAATATCTAGACAAGCTCTCATAAAATAATAATGAAAAGACAGCTGCCATAAAGCAAAATACTTCTCAGTGGTAGTCATTCTATTACCTAGTTGTTTTTCAGAAAGCACAGAAAGTGGTCAGGATTTATTCTTATAAAGTCTAGGCAGATCTTAATTTTAAAAGATCAGGGCTTTCCTTGGAAGGCAATAGAATTATATGTCTCAAACTAATTTACCAACTAAACCAGATACAAGATTTTTAATGTTCAAAGTATGTTCTATTATTTTCAGTACCTTTTGGCTTTGCTCAGAGCTTATTTTTCTTGTGCCTGTATTTCTAGACAATATTAAAATCTCTACATAGGAATCATGTTAGATACCTTTATGGTATAATGTTTTGCTCTGCTTAAAATATGCCAAATCAGGGCACACATTTAGAAGTTAAATAGAAGGTCCTCTCCTCATATGGATGACTAAGAATCTCTACTCAATTCCAGCAGTCTGGTGGTTTACCACCATGTACTGTGCCTTATGGCCAGACCACCAGGAAAGAAATGGGAGTTCTAGAAACAAGGCACTCCCAAAGCTATGAGAATGAAGACAGCATTTTTCCCCTTCATTTTCCCTTTTCCCTATATTTTTCTTTCCTGGACTTGTTCATAACCATTATATAATGCAATGCCTGGCACAAGGTAGGTGTTCAGTAAGTACTGAATGGATAGATGGAAGGAGGGATGGATGTATATTAAGTGTCACTTCAGACCACTGAGTAATAGCTAGTAGCTCAGTTTTGGGGAGGGAATCATCTTCAGAGTCTTCTTTTTCTTACCTTCCTATTTTTCACTTAGCGCAATGTCTGACCCATCCAAAACACTCAAAAATAGTTGTTGAGTGAATAAGAAAATGAGTGAAAGAGCAGTCAAATCAGTCCAAAAAATTTAGATGGTTCTGTTTCTGAGATAACTCTCAAATCTTTCCTCTCCTTTTTACTTCTAATACACTACCCTGGTTGAGAATCTCAAGGCTATTGCCGTGTCCTTCTAACTAGCCTAACATTTCTTCCCTCTTCAATCCAACCTTTGCATTAGATAAATTATTTAAAATAGAAGTATAGAATTCAAGATCTGCCCAAGTCTAACCCAGTATATTGTTCTACTCTCAAATACCCTGCCCTTCCGGCAAAAATTATTACTTTGCTCTCAAGGCATTCCCTTGTGGGAATTAAATGAGTTCACACAACTGAAGTGCTTAAAACAGTGCTTGGACATACTAAGCATACAGTAAATACTATTATTGTTATTAATATCACTTTCTTATCCTAGACTGTTCTTATATCTGGCTTTAAAAATATTTGATAAAATATTCCACTTAAAAGCCACCACCTGTTATTTTCTCTACTAGAATTAATCCTCTTTTCCTGCTGCTATGTCAAGAAAGGAGTGAGCAAGGGAGAGTGGATGGAAAGCTAGCTGGGCCCAGGCCTGTAGTTTCTGCTTATACAGTGCTTGCTTCTCCATGTGACTGTTTCATAAAATGGGTGGAGCAGTCTGCCTACAAGCCAACAATGAGACATTGATTCCTACAGAAACTGAGGAAGCACTGCTTTATTTTAAATTTTGTTATTTTAGATTTCCTATACTTACATGTTGTTAAAATATTGTTTAGGGTTACCATTTCTCTCAAACCTGAGGCAGAGAAAAGTGTGCTAGTAACAAATAGTACTTTTACGGCTTTTGAGGGAAGGGGTAAGTTGAGGGGGGATGTTATTGAATTTTTTTTAAATCTTTTTTATTAAAAAATTTAATTAAAATGTAATTATTAAAAAATTGTTTTTCTAGCCACTAAACAACCAGGGATGATTTATTCTGAAATACGACTATTTAGTGAAATAATCTCCAAGAGTTTTGCCAGGGTGTCCATACTTCCTGCAGCCAGGCCACACTTTCTTTTCTTTTTGAGACGGAGTTTTGCTCTGTCACCCAGGCTGGAGTGCAGTGGCACGATCTTGGCTCACTGCAACCTCTGCCTCCCAGGTTCCAGCAATTCTCCTGCCTCAGCCTCCTGGGTAGCTGGGATTACAGGCATGTGCCACCACGCCTGGCTAATTTTTGTATTTTTAGTAGAGACGGGGTTTCACCATGTTGGCCAGGCTGGTCTCGAACTCCTGACCTCAGGTGATCCGCCTGCCTCAGCCTCCCAAAGTGCTGGGATTATAGGTGTGAGCCACCACACCCAGCCAGCCACACTTCTTTTTTTTTTTTTTTTTTTTTGAGACAGAGTCTCACTCTATCGCCCAGGCTGGAGTGCAGTGGCATGATCTCGGCTCACTGCAGCCTCTGCCTCCTGGGTTCAAGCGATTCTCCTGCCTCAGCCTCCTGAGTGGCTGGGATTACAGGCCTATGCCACCACACCTGGCTAATTTTTGTATTTTTAGTAGAGACGGGCTTTCACCATGTTGCCCAGGCTGAATCTGACTTCTTAAAAACAAAGTTAGTCACCAATACCTTTATATGTAATGAGTTTATCCAAAATCAATATTTAAGGCTCCCTTTGTTTTACCTGAGGATACGACATCTAAAGTGGGGGAGTTTAAACAGTGAGGTGAACTTGCTGGACTTAACTAATCTCATATATCCCTGATAGAAACTGAAAGAGGGAGGAGTTGATGGGGAACAAAAAAAAGCAAGAGAATCCAGTTCTTATCTAGTCGTAAAAGGCATTCTCTTCCTGCCTGGTTTTTACCTCAATATGAGAGTGGCCATTAATCTCCAGCAAGTAGGCGCAACATGCCGAAGACCTGTCAGCACCATATAAACAGAATAAAGCAAACTGTTAATATTGCTGTCGTGAGAAAACTGAAAACAGACTGATTAATTGTATTAGCGCTCGACCGCCAGGGAGCCAGCTTTGGCCGTCGCCTTATTAGGGAAGTCATAGTTTGCTTTTAGGCCTTTCATTATGATGGCTGTCCGGTATTCATCCTCACTGTTTTTGTTATTGTTGTTAAATGAACGCCTTGTTCTTGAACCCACACTGCACATCTTGACTGGCAGGGGTGATTAGTTTAGAAAAAGTCAGTGTCCTCCCCGAAGCTTAAAATGTTTACAGTGCTGACAATTCACTGTTTCTGAGGACTCCCAGATGGCGGTCCTGCTGAATTAGTTCAAGGTCTAGTTAACTTTTCATGAGAAGAATTATTTACAGTGTCCACACATGAAGGTGCATGAAGAACTCTGTGGAAAATCTGGGCATACATGGCAATGTCAGGACACATCCGGATCAGCAGCTGTTAGGGAAATTTCTGGGAGGGACGTTAAGAACTGCTAGGAAGAGCCTCAGCTCTTGCTGAACACAGGAACAGCAGGATGTGTCACACACAGGCACGGTAGAATGTGTCACCTCAAGGCCAGATTTGGCCAGCAGACATGTTTTGTTTGGCCTCACAGGGATGGCCCCACAAAGTTTTGAAATTGTGAAATAGTTGCCAACTTTAAAAAAATCAGGAGTTTTCATGCACACACAAAGTGAAGCTTTCTGGTTTCTCTTGGGAAATGAGTTCTGATTACACAGAACTTCCCTCATTCTGTGTAGCAGAGATCAGCTTTAGACACTTGACTTGCCACTTTGCCATAACTTCTTCTGCTCTAGTTTGTCTCCCCAAACCCAGTGCCACTTGGCATATAACACATTGCTGCCCTGTTTTTCTCATCTCCAGCCCATTTAATTCGTTTATGGTGGTTCCCTGGGCCTAGGCATTCGAGGTTTTAACCCCAAGGCCATGTAATTAAATATTAAGAACAGAGTTTGTCGATGTCTCAGATACTAGATCCGTAACTCGGTCAGGAAGTTCATCTCAAAGGATGCCGAATGTCTAGATGTGGTTCTCTCAAAAGACAGACATGAAGAGTCCTGTAGAACTAGAGGAAATAACACCAGGTCGACTTCAAAGTTCCTCAGAAGATGTGTTGGGGTGTCCTAAGGCTTGGGCTAGGCCATTACAATGCGCCCCTCAGGCAGTTGCGGTACAGTGATTTGAGGGAGGGACCATTACCTGGAGCAGCAGCCTCACCACAAAGCTGAAGATTAGAGCTGGGTTACCAAGCCCAGGTGGGGCAAACTGAGAAAAAAGAAAAAAGTGAGGACACAAATGGAGGTGGTTTATTATAAACTCTGCGTTAAGTTGGACGGCCTGAGCTCAGAGCTCATTTCTGTCTCTGTTAGCTTTCAGAGCCAGTTTTCTCACCTGGAGACAATACCACCTCATAAGGAAAGTGCGAGGATTCAGGGATTTAATGCCCAGAACAGAGCAAGCTCTCAGGAAATATTAGCTGCTATAACTTTTATTTTAAGCAGATCATAATTCAGGAGGAGCCAGGAGGTGAACAGGGGAGAAGAGGCAAAAGGAAGATGAGCCTGGAGGCATCCAAGAGCCTGGGATTCAGGGAATTGCCACACCTTTCTGTGCAGAGCACACAGGATCAGTAGAAGTTATGAGATGCGGACTCTGGCCCATCAGTAGCGATCTACCCGGATCCCTCAGGGACCATGCCCCTTAATCCTCCCTCCCTGCTTCTAGCATATTTAATTAATGTCATACTCTCTAATTTTTTTACCTGCCCTCTCACTAAAAAAAAAAAACAAAAAACAAAAAAACAACCCTGTTCATACTACCACCTAAGATCCCATCTTAAGCACTCAGAACTGTCTCCATTTCCCTTTTGCCCACTCACTTCTGACGTGGCCCCTTGCAGGCTGGCTGTGGATTGCACTCTCCTCTGACACCTTGACTTCCTGAGGCCCTTGTTTCTTTGGCCTCCTGGGCATTGTTGGTCACCATTTCTCCTAGACCTCCTTCTCCCTGTCCTTCTCTGCACTCTGTCCTGTCCGAGTCTCCCCCTTCTCCTTGCCCTCAATGCCTCCACATCCTCCAGCTCCCTAATGCTAGGAATACCCAACACCTCGGCTGCCCTTCTGCATAATCCTCCAGCCTTCACAGGAGCCAATGGGGCAACTTTATGTGAGCTAGCAGAAGGTGCCCCTTTCTCAGGGCACTTGGTTTTGTTGTTGTTGTTGTTTTGTTTGTTTGTTTTGGTTTGGTTTTGAGACAGAGTCTCTCTCTGTCACCCAGGTTGGAGTGCAGTGGCGCGATCTCAGCTCACTGCAACCTCCACCTCCCAGGTTCAAGCAATTCTCCTGCCTCAGCCTCCTGAATAGCTGGGAATTACAGGCATGTGCCACCACACCTGGCTAATTTTTGTATTTTTAGTAGAGACAGGTTTCACCATGTTGGCCAGGCTGGTCTTGAACTCCTGACCTCAAGTGATCCACCTGCCTCGGCGTCCCCAAGTGCTGGGATTACAGGCATGAGCTGCCACACCTGGCCTTATCAGGGCACTTTGTTGTCATCTGCAGGGAGAGAGTCATGGTCCCTCTGTAAATCGACACTGACTATAAGGTGACAACGTTTGGCCCAGCACTCTTCCTTGAGGAGATCACTCACTAGTTTGTTATGTCCAGCTGCGTACTGGACATCCCCACTTCAAATTGAAATTATTTTTTCCCTGAAAAATATATCCATGTGGGCCAGGCGCAGCAGCTCACACTTGTAATCCCAGCACTTTGGGAGGCCGAGGTGGGCAGATCACCTGAGGCCAGGAGTTCAAGACCAGCCTCGCCAACATGGTGAAACCTGTCTCTACTAAAAATACAAAAATTAGCAGGGCATGGTGGCATGCACCTGTAGTCCTAGCTACTCGGAAGGCTGAGGCAGAATCGCTCGAACCTGGGAGGCGGAGGTTGCAATGAGCTCAGATTGCGCCACTGCACTCCAGCCTGGGAGGCAGAGCAAGACTCCGCCTCAGAAAAAAAAAAAAAAAAAAATATATATATATATATATATATATATGTGTGTGTGTGTGTGTGTGTGTGTGCGTGCGTGTGTATGTATGTATATGTATGTATATATATCCATGTGGTCAGGTATGTTTCAGTTAATCATGACATTATTCCCTTATTTTCCCCTAGTTTGAACCTTGACATAGTCCAAAAGTTTTGCTTTAAGGTTCTCTAAGAGCCAAATTCTTCCCTTATTTTTCATTCCCATTGCCATCCCCCTTGTCTCTACTCTCATCACCTTATTTCAATAATTTTCTTTTCTTTTATGAGCGTGTGTGTGTGTGAGACAGAGTTTCGCTCTTGTCACCCAGGCTGGAGTGCAATGGTGCCATCTCGGCTCACCGCAACCTCCACCTCCCTGGTTCAAGCGATCCTCCTGCCTCAGCCTCCCGAGTAGCTGGGGTTACAGGCATGTGCCACCATGCCCAGCTAATTTTGTGTTTTTTGTAGAGACAGGGTTTCTCCATGTTTGTCAGGCTGGTCTTGAACTCCCGACCTCAGGTGATCCTCCTGCCTCCGCCTCCCAAAGTACTGGGATTACAGGCATGAGCCACCGCACCTAGCTATTTTAATAATTTTCTTTTTTTTCATTTTAATACTTTTCTAGCTGGGGATCCTACCTCCCCATGGCACCCCTCCTCAGTCCCTCTAACATATGTACTACTGTAAAATGGTCTTATTAGACAGTGAGTAGTTCGGCTACCTACAGGATAACGCAACACCCTTGGATGGGTTTTCAAGGTTCTCTGTCATCTGACCCTGACCTACATGCACAACTTTAACTTCCACATGGTTCCTGTGTGGACCACACCACGAGCCAGAATCTTCCACTGTGTTCCTGATGGACCACAGCCACCCCAGCCCAGCCAAAATGACATACTCATTTCCTTGACACCAGCTGCCTCCCAGTCCTCTTGACTCGACTTGACTTGGCTTCTCTTACTTTAAAGCCAACTCAAGTGCTGCCTCTTCCCACCTGTCCTCAGTAGCTGATCCCTTCTCTGGTTTCTTCCAGCAGTGATCATCTGGACCACGCATTTGGCACTTAAGGGCTTGGATGGTCTTCTTTTTTTTTTTTTGAGACGGAGTCTCTCTCTGTTGCCCAGGCTGGAGTGCAGTGGCACGATCTCTGCTCACTGCGAGTTCTGCCTCCCGGGTTCACACCATTCTCCTGCCTCAGCCTCCCGAGTAACTGGGACTACAGGCGCCCGCCACCACGCCCAGCTAATTTTTTGTATTTTTAGTAGAGACAGGTTTTCACCGTGTTAGCCAGGATGGTCTCGATCTCCTGACCTCGTGATCCGCCCGCCTCGGCCTCCCAAAGTGCTGGGATTACAGGCGTGAGCCACCGCGCCTGGCCAGGGCTTGGATGGTTTTCATCTCCTTATGTATATATCCTCTCTTGCTGGCTAGATCAGAAGGCCCTTAAAGGCCATGATTGTCCTCAAAACCTAAAATAGAAGACCACACATGCTAGTGGTGCAATAAAAGCTTGTTAATAATAGTAATTATGTGTAGAATAGTTTACTGTATATAAAGATAATTATGATTTCATTAGTCACAAAGTACTTCCCCTTAAATATATTATTTGTTCTTTACAGCAGCCCTTTTAGATAGGTAGGGCAGATGGTATTTAGAAAGAAGAGAAAGCATCACTAAACATCAGGGAAATGCAAATCAAAACCACAAGGAGATATCATCTCACCCCAGTTAGAATGGCTATTATCAAAAAGATAGAAAATAACAACCACCAGCAAGGATGTGGAGAAAAGAGAACTCTTATAAACTGTTGGTGGGAATGTAAATTAGTACAGACTCTATGGAAAAGAGCATGGAGCTTCCTCAAAAAACTAAAAATAGAGCTACCATATGATCCAGCAATCCTACTACTGGGTGTATAGCCAAAAGAAAGGAAATCATTATGTCAAATGGATATCTGCTCCCCTTATTTATGGAGATCCCACTAGTCACTGTGGAAGTGTCCATCAAATGGACAAAGAAAATGTGGTAAATATACACAATGAAGTACCATTCAGCCATAAAAAAGAGTGAAATCCTGTCATTCACAGCAATATGGATGAGCCTATACAATGTTATGTTAAGTGAATAAGCCAAGCACAGAGAGACAAATACTCCATGTTCTCATTCATATGCAGGAACTGAAAAAGTGGATCACATAGAAGTAGAGAGTAGAACAATGGTCACTAGAGGTGGGGAAGGGTAGAGGGATGAGAGGGTTAGGGAGAGGTTGGGTTAACAAATACAAATTACAGTTAGAGAAATAGGTTCTGGCATTCTATAGCACTGTAGGGTGAATATAGTTAATAATAATTTGTTGTATATTTTCAGATAGCTAGAAAAGTGCATTTTGAATGTTCCCACCATAAAGAAATGATAAATGTTTGAGATGATAGATGTGCTAATTACCCTGATTTGATTATTATACATTGTATAATGTACTGAACTAGTACATTGTACTCTATCAATACATATCATTATATGTCCATTAAAAATATTTAATAATAATTTTTTTAAAAGAAGAGAGGCCAGGTGCAGTGGCTCACGCCTGTAATCCCAGCACTTTGGGAGGCTGAGGCAGGCAGATTGCGAGGTCAAGAGATTGAGAACATCCTGGCCAACATGGTGAAACCCCGTCTCTGCGAAAAATACAAAAATTAGCTGGGTGTGGTAGCGTGCACCTGTAGTCCCAGCTACTCAAGAGGCTGAGGCAGGAGAATCACTTGAACCCAGGAGGCGGAACTTGCAGTGAGCCAAGATAGTGCCACTGCACTCCAGCCTGGCAACAGAGCGAGACAACATCAAAAAAAGTAGGAAGGAAGGGAGGGAAGGAGGGAGGGAGGGAAGGAATGGAACTATGACTCTAAGATGCTACACTCTGAGAGTGTAAAGGAAGGCAGGGAGGTGGCAGACAGTGGTGTCCCTTGAACAGGGAGGCGGATTGCTGAGACGGGCACTCCTGTGCTCGTTGGCAAGCTTGATCAGCCGTGGAGAACCAGGCATGACAATTGGGTTAGTGCTAGCAAATGCATTTACTCCAGGTCAGCATTTGCCAGACCCTCCTATGTCCCAGACCTGTAAACTTAAAACAAAAATACGAAGTTAACTATAGGGTTGCCTTGTAAATATCTTTAGCCAAAACAGAAATAAAAACATTACCCTCTATTTCTCACCATCATTTCACGTAAGAACATAGTAATACTAAAAAAAAAAAAAAAATAGGCAAACTGCTTTAGAAATCAAACAGCTTTTTAAAATCAAGTAGATTTAGAAATCATTCTACATTTTTTTTTCTCTCATTTTACTTTGGACTGCTAAAAACATCAGCAGACTGACACCAGCTGTTTGGACTAGCTTTTCAGAAATCCCAGTTCAAGTCATATTTTCTCTTCTGAGTGCTGAAGTGAAATCCACTCCTGGGAAATTTCTGTGGATGCTTCAGTATTTCCCATTCTCAATCATCAAAAATGTGATTTGGGGGCTTGGGGTGCCTGGCAAATCCATAGCCCATTACGGTATAAATGTAAAACTCGTCTCTCTCCAGCACTAGTCAAGGGCAGTAGGCAATATTAGGCCTCTTTCCCTGGTTGCTTAGAACAGAATTGTGTTCTCAGGGAGCATTTGCTCCTACATGTTTGTCAGGTTTAGTCCTTGACTTAGACCATTCCGAAGCAATTTAATGGCTTGGCTTGAGAGGCTCAAGAGAATACCCAAAGTGATTCTTCTACCTTCTAAGCCATCTCTTCCTATCTTTGGTGTCACATTTTATTTCAAATTATGATTATATCCAGCAGGAGTTCCCACTGAAATATCAGTTTTACCGAATGGTGAGAAATTTCTATTATAAAGATTGCCACTTTTATTAAAACTGTCCTGGTGAATACCAGAAAAAAATGTGTGTGTGCGTGTGTGTGTGTGTCTGTCCTGACAGACTCTCATTGCTTCCCCTTCCTTCAAGCAAAATTTAGCAGCTTACTCTGCTCTTAGACCAGTCCCCATCAATGTCACTTGATTTAACAAGACTGCCTTCCCCCTCCTTCCCTTGTTATGCCAGAAAATAACTATCTTTCTAGTGAGTTCACTGTAGCTGAGGCTGAGTCCAAAGGTTGAAATGTTCTTTGGCTGTCTAATAACGTCTTAACCTTAATATGTCCAAAACTTAGCTCCTAGTATTCCCACCCACGCCCACTCACATTGCAAACCACTCCTCCTACAGTATTTCCCATCTTGCTTCATGGCATCTCTGTCCATACAGTGATGCAAGCCAAACACCTTTCTCTCATATTCTACATCCAGTCGGCAAACCTGTCAGCTTCAGCTTCAAAATCTATCCACTTTTCACCACTTTCACTGCTGGAGGTTGGGTCCACCATCACCTTTCGCCTGGATTATTCCAGTAACTGGTCTCCTGCACCACCCTTATCCCCCTTCAGTCTGTTCTTAAGACTATAGCTAATGTATAAATTAGATGATGTCACTCCTGGCCCAAACGGATAGTTTCACCTCTCGCTCCAAGTAAAAGCCCAGGGCATACGTGGTCTCATCTCCCATTACCTCTCTGCCTCATCGCCCACTACTTTCCCCCTCATTCACTCTGTTCCAGTCACACTGGCCTTTTTGTTGGTCCTTGGTCATACCAAGCTGGCTGCTACCTTAGTTTCTATACTTGCTTTTCCTTTCCCTCTGTAACTGCTGAGATTGCTTCCTTTTTTCTCTTTTTTTCTTTTTTTTATCGTTTTGTTTCTCAGTGTGAAACCAAGCTTGCTTCGTAACTCCATTAGGTCTTTGAGCAGCCATCACTTAATGAAGCATCCTTTACCACTGTGTTTTAAATGGCAACACAGTGTCTGTTTGTACCCCACTGCCCACCACACACGCCTCCTGTCTTCTTTCTCTGCTTACTTATTACCATTAAACATGGTATTTTATTTTGTCTGTTTCCATCTCTTAGGCCATCAGGTGTGAATGTAGACGTTTTGCTTTGTTCAACCTATGCAGCCACATGCACTGGCGCTGCCCTTTCTGCTAGATGTAAGCTACAAAATGTCATGACTTTTTATCTGTTATATTCACTGCTTAGAGCTATACATATAGTGGGGGCTAATAAATACTTGTTGAATAAATTAATTAAATGAATGAAGATTCTGCCCAATTTGGCCAAACTTATTTTTTCTCTTATTACAAAAGAATACTGTTCATCATAGAAAACAAAAATAAGAAAGCCACCCATATCCTACCACTTTGATGCATATCCTCCCAGACCTTTTCCTCTGCAGATGATCTTTCCCCATGAGAGTGGTTTTTTGTTTGTTTGTTTGTTTGTTTGTTTTTTGTTTGTTTGTTTGTTTGTTGAGACAGAGTCTTGCTTTGCCACCCAGGCTGCAGCACAGTGGCGCAATCTCGGCTCACTGCAAGCTCCGCCTCCCAGGTTCATGCCATTCTCCTGCCTCAGCCTCCTGAGTAACTGGGACTACAGGCGCCCACCACCACGTCCAGCTAATTTTTTGTATTTTTAGTAGAGACGGGGTTTCACCGTGTTAGCCAGGAAGGTCTTGATCTCCTGACCTCGTGATCCACCCACCTCAGCCTCCCAAAGTGCTGGGATTACAGGTGTGAGCCACCACGCCCGGCACTGAAAGTGGTTTTATATTATCCTTAACCATTTCACTTAGTATATTGTGAACATCTTTTTTATGCTGGTAAATATTTGTCTAAACATAATGAAATGAGTGAAAATGGTGTTTTAATGTGTGGGCATACCTACATGTTATTGATCTTGGAAGAAGTAAATGGGGATTATTATTCAGTGTACTCAAAAGATTGCATGAGCAATCTAATACTAAATGAGCTGGTAGAATCACTTCATATCAACACTCCCTCTTCTCCCCTCACCCCCTAAAAAATCAAGTATATTAGGTAGAAGGATTATCTAATACAGAGAGAAAAGATTGCATGCTATTGTAAATCAAATACACTTGCTCTAGGAGGGCAGTTTATTAAGAACATGTCTCTTAGGGCAGAATTTTTTTTTCTTTTTGAGACAAGGTATCACTGTTGCTCAGTGCCATGACATGACCACAGCTCACTGCAGCCTCGACCTCCCAAGCTCAAACAATCCTACTTCAGCCTCCTGAGTAGCTGGGACTACAGCTGCATGCCATCATGCCCACTTAATTTTTTTATTTTTTGTTTTTGTAGAGACAGAGTCTCACTATGTTGCTAGGGCTCCTCTCAAACTCCTGGGTTTAAGGGATCCTCTACCTCAGCCTCCCAAAGTGCTGGGATTACAAGCGTGAGCCACCCTGCCTGGCCAGGGCAGCCTAACTCTTAAAGCACAATCTACACAGACTGGAGTTGCAATGTCTCTGAACTGCATATGAGGAATATCTTACAACCAAAATCTGAGACTGAAGTGTGCAAGGTCTGGTTAATACTGAATTTTAGAAGAATAAGTCTATTTTAGCAAAAATATTAGCACTAAATTAGTCTCATTAAAGACCAGTAAGTATTAGCTCTTCAAACTTGTGGATAACACTTCTTTAAGCTCACTAAGTGAAAACAACTCTTTATGTTCTCTGTAATATTTAAGGTTACCCGAATTTTGTGGCTACTTTTCCAGTTAGCTAATTAAAAATTTCATCAGCTGCAGCTGGGGCTTTAGCCTTAACAGATTAGCTGCAGAATCTATCAGGACTCAGAAATAAAGGATGTCATTTTGGTAGTTTTGATAGCAACCATTCTCCTCATTCTACTTCAAGAATTCTTTTCCATTAGATGACTTCTAAAAGTGTGGTTTTTGAGTCATCTATCTTCCTGATATCCTAATAGCTCTTCCCTCTCCCTTCTTTTTCTCCAGAGATCTAATTCAGCAAATTATGTATATACCAATATCAGCACTGTAAAAGGGTGCTACAGACTGTCTGCAGTGTCATTCATGACTAAACAGATTTGAAAAGTTTCAAAAGGAATTCTGGGAAGTTATATATTAATTTTACTAAACTACATACATACATAGCTCTTTATTTACTCAGAGATCTTTCAAAAAGCCAGGATGTTTTCTCTTATTCTGAGATGAAATGAAATATATAAATTCTCTAAAATCATTTTCTTTTTTTTTCTTTTTTTGAGATGAAGTCTCACTCTGTCACCTGGGCTGGAGTGCAGTGGTGCAGTCTTGGCTCACTGCAACCTCCGCCTCCTGGGTTCAAGTGATTTTCCTGTTTCAGCATTCCTAGCAGCTGGGATTACAGGTGTGAGCCACCATACCCAGCTAATTTTTTTCTTTTGTATTTTTAGAAGAGATGGAGTTTCAACCATGTTGGCCAGAGTGGTCTCGAACTCCTGACCTCAGGTGATCTATCTACCTCGGCCTCCCAAAGTGCTGGGATTACAGATGTGAGCCACCGTGCCCGGCCTCTAAAATCATTTTCTAAGAGAAAACAAAAATAAAACTCATTGCGGGGGAAGTGTTATATTCTTGCGACTGTTAAACACCTTAAGAATTTGAGCTAGGTATATAACAGCTATGATATAATCTATCATTTTTATAATCAGATGCCACAATACTCACAATTAAAATTACATCCCAGATATTTCTACTTGAGGCTTTAGATTGTGGCTAAGAAACTTAAGTACAATTTCTGAATAAGCAGGTAAAAGGACCCTTATTTCCTGTAACTACCTGCCAAGATATAATATCTGATGCAATCTTGCCATTTTTTCAGCCAATGAGATTTGCAAAATGAGGTACCTAGAGAAGTGATTGAAGCTTGTTTCTTCCACATGGGCTGCTATCGAAATATGTGCCTTTGATTTAAAATTGTTTTTCCATTAGCTCAGAGTATGGCTGGACATACGAATCCTGTCCACGTCCAGCCTAATGTAACTATTTCAGGAAGAGTTTGCAGCTCATATCAAGAACATCAAATTGCATCTCCCTGGGGATGCTTCATAGTGCTTTTTGCTGATTTCAGTGTGGGTATATGTGCTCTCCAAAGGAAAGACACTGGCCATCTCAACTTAATATAAATTACCTACCCTGGAGCACATATTCTTGGAAGACAGTAAAACTACGTGAATAAATGGTTTTCCTTTCAAAATTATTCCTTATGCATCTTTATCCGTATTCTTTATTTAGACCCTTATCATTTAGAATCAAATTGTGGAGTTTGCTTTTGGTGTTGTGCTATCATTTTAATTTTACATGTGTGTATGTTGTGGGTCTTTTCTTTAAAGCCTAAGATGAGATATTTCCATTGCAAGTTTTTCCCTCATTTTAATCATTGAGTCTTTAAATGCCGGTTGTGCATCTCTAAGAACTGAGCTTCAGGAAAATGGTAATATTATCAAATCTATCAGAACCTTGCAAAGGGTCTGCCTACTTTAGAGCCTGACCCCAATCCCTTTTTTCTCGTGAGCACTGGGGCTTGGTGGGAGCTGAGTTGAACTTCTCAGGAATTAGTCAAGTTAAATAAGTCTTGATTTATTTGACCTAATGTCATGGAACAAAATGGAATGAGGCCCTTCTACCTTTTTGTTAAGACTACTGCCTTTGATTTCATAGGCAATTATCTCTGCATTTTTAACCCCAAGTACCAGCTACATAATATAAGGGCTCTGAATCATATATGACCTTTTTCCTTTTTAATTTTCATCTTTTCTCACCTTTCTCATTAGAGCAATCTATAAATGAAGCCTAAGTTACCTTCCCAGTGTGTCAGGCAATTCTAAAGATGATAAAATAGAAAATGTTAGCACTAGAAGCGATTGTGCTAGTTGGTTTTCATGATCTTCTAGCACGTTTCTTCAATGTTCTTTGCTACCAGGAAACTCGGTAGTGCTACCTGCTAGTGATATCGTTTCCTTTGATGGGCGAGTGAAGTGTGGAGTTGACTCTTCTTATCTCATTTATTCTTTGGCTCTGGTGTCAGGGCTTGCATTGGCATAAGCAGGGCTGCCCACTGCAGAAATGCTGCCAGACATGATGATTAATAGCCCCTGCAATACAGTGACGTCAGTTAATGCACAGAAGGCCCTAAACACAGCAGCCTCTTCTGCAACAAGGATCCTGTTTACCAAAGGACTGCTAAGCCAGATAACCTTCAGTTAGTTTGTGGCTTTTGGTTCTTAATATAATGAAGTTTAGGGGTTAAATTTAATAAATTAGTAATTACTTTTTTTTTTTTTTTTTTGACACAGGGTCTTGCTTTATCACCCAGGCTGGACTACAGTGGCATGATCATGGCTCACTGCAGCCTCAACCTCCTGGGCTCAATTGATCCTCCTGCTGCAGCCTCTTGAGTAATTGGGACCACAGGCATTCACCACCACCCCCAGCTAATTTATTTTATATTTTGTTTTTTGTTTTTTTTTTTGAGACGGAGTTTCATTCTTATTGCCCAGGCTGGAGTGCAATGGCGCGATGTTGGCTCACTGCAACCTCCAGCTCCTGGGTTCAATCAATTCTCCTGCCTCAGCCTCCTGAGTAGCTGGGATCACGGGCATGCGCCACCATGCCCAGCTAATTTTTTTATATTTTTAGTAGAGATGGGGTTTCTTCATGTTGGTCAGGCTGGTCTCAAACTCCTACCCTCTGGTGATCAGCCCGACTTGGCCTCCCGAAGTGCTGGGATTACAGGCGTGAGCCACGGCACCCGGCCCCCCAGCTAATTTTTGTATTTTTTTTAGAGATAGGGTCTTGCTATGTTGCCCAGTCTGGTCCCAAACTCCTGAGCTCAAGTGATCCTCCCACCTCACCCTCCCAAAGTGCTGGGATTACAGGTGTGAGCCACTGCGCCCTGTTGAGTAATTATTAATCTTTTTTATATAACACTTTAGTAAAAACTTGAACTGTTTCAATTAGGAAAATACTGTGTGTGGGGTGTGTGTGTGCGCGTGTGCGCACGCACACGCGCGGTCAGGGGAGTGTGTGTGTGTGTGTTTTCATGCACGCACATACACATGTGCAAATGTGTGTATTTGAAAGAGCTTCCAGCTGGGTCCACATCCCATTTCCTTTAGGCCTTTTGAAGGCCAGGCTTCATCAGTTATCTCTACTTTTGTGTCTTCAGCTTTTGTTTCTATAGTAGCTTCTTAATGTTAGCATTTAAGTATGCCCAAGTTTCTCTTATGTTTTTAGAAAAAAAAAAATCCTTTCTTAGTCCTACATCCTTCTTTAGCTGTGGCCCAATTTCCCTCCTTTTCTTTAAAGTTGACTTCGTAAAAGAGTAACCCACAATCCTCACCCCTCTCCAGTCTTTCCTCCTCCTCCCCTGAAACCACCCAGTCTGAGGTCACTGATGGATTCCTGTTTGCCAGCAGGCACTTTCCAGGCCTCATGAGAGTCTTCCTTACGTTATTTGACCTCTCCACTACCTTTGATGCCATTGACCACCTTCTTCCTTCATGAAATTCTCTCCTTCCTTGGCTTCCCTGGTGCTGGCTCTTCTGCTTTTTCTCCTCCCTGTCAACCTACTCCTTCCCAGTCCTCTTTCTGTTTATCTACTCCTAAATATTAATAGTACTGTTTCACCAGGAAGCAATCTTTTCTCATTTCCCAGCATGTGCCCCCCTGGACTATCACTTTTTCTCATGGCTTCATCTAAAACCTGTAAGCTGGGGGCCCACAAATCGCCCACTTGGACTCACAGGTGACTCCACTTGAGCATTCCAAAGACAGTTCCAACCGTCTGCCCCAACATCTGAGCTACCCTTTCCCCCACCAAGACAACTCCTCTTCCTTAGTCCTGTTTTTCAGACCCCTTTGTACTAATCAGAGTTTAAGGCAAACTGGCTCCTGGGAATCTTTACTTTTCCCATTCATTTCCTAAAGGACTCCTGTCAGGCCCACTTGTAGGACCTCAGCCACAGCAGAGGAAAGCCCTTGGAATCACCCAGATGGGAAGCTGCCGGGGCCCACACTTTCCTGAGCTTGGCTTTTAGGTCCATATTTACCCTGAGTTTCCCTGTGTTTGGTCTTCCTAAAGAAAATATTTAGAGAATGTCTTGCAAATTCAGTCTGCCTTAGGGGAAAGAGGAATAAATGGCAGTGTGCGTAAGTTATCTGGCCCTGCCTTGGAAACCCTTACCTCTAAGCAGAAGAGTGAGTCCCTATTTCTAAATAGCTGCAAAAAAATCTTTTTCTTATTTTATTTACATTAAAAAGCATTACTATAAGAGATACATTTTAATACCTACCAGTCTTCCCTCTCAGGAAATTTATTCCCATATTTGACTTCAGTGCTTTCATACTACAACTCCCATCCTCCAGGGAGAAAAAAAGGTGATTGGCATTATCTCTCTTAAAAGTCTTTATTTGTAATGGCCACCACTAAATCTCTTGGACACAACATCTTCTCCAGTTCTCCAGACACAATAAGCTGGGTTCCTTCATCTTTCCCGCATATATTGCATTTTCCAGTTCTTTGTGTCTGTTATGACTGACCTCATGTAAATTATAGTATTAGACACTGAAGTGTGATGGAGAAGACAGTAGAGGAAGTGCTTCTGGAGGGGCTTAGAATCTCATATAAAAGGAGAGAGAAAATAAACATATGTGAAATATATATACACATAGAAACATTAAATAAATACATAGCCACTTTAGCTGTGCTGTACAAATAATGTTGAAGGAATATTAGAGATGATTGTGACCAAAGTTGGTTAATTTTTGTGAGAAGAATAATGAATAGTGTT
This sequence comes from Homo sapiens, assembly GCF_000001405.40. Lineage (NCBI taxonomy): Eukaryota > Metazoa > Chordata > Mammalia > Primates > Hominidae > Homo > Homo sapiens. Next base: position 207,912,178 of record NC_000002.12, on the reverse strand, counting down.
TGGAAGCAAGAAGGACCCTGCCTAGTAAGGAGAAATTGGAAATTCTCTTTGTTGCTCATCAGTTGTATTCATTGAAGTATCTATCTCCAGCACGTAGCACGATGCCTTATTTTAGACACTCAGTAAGTGCTTGTTGACTATGTGATAACTGACTGGTTATAGTACTCCAGGAAGAGTATGCCAGTGTGATTTGGTTTGTAAATTTGTAAATAAGTCTGATATCCTGTATATCCCTAATCATAAAAGTTTTAGAATTTTAAAGCAGAAAGGACTTTTAAGTAGCAAAACATTACAGATATGCTCTCCTGCATTTGTCCCTGCCGTAAATCATTTCATCTTCCTTTTAACTCTTTCTCCAGCTGACCTATGTTTCTACAAACCAGCAGAAGAGGCAGGAGCTAGTCTTGAAATGATTTTGCAGCCCGCTTACTGGACTCCATTTCTTAGCACTGCTGCCACATTGCTTTCATTTTACTTTATTTAAGGGATTTCATTATTAAGCATTTACCTTTCAGTAAGATTATTCCTTCAGTTTAGTCACCCCTAAACATCCTCTGTCTCTCATATTATCATACACTGCTCCCTTTAAGTCCCACTGAAAGACTGCCCTAGTTTTCCTTTCCTGCAGATAAGTTTGGGCCCTTGGATCTTGGAACAGCAAAAGGACATTAGTGAAACCACTGGTGAAACCTGAATAAAGTCTATAATTTGCATAATGTCGATTTCTTATTTTTGATCAATATGCCATGGTTATGTAAGATGTAAGCATTAGGGGAAGCTGGATAAAGGGTATGAAGGTAAGGACATTTTACAAATACAGAGAAATGTTAGGAACTGTGGAAGTACATGTGAACATTCTGGTTATTTTCAAAAACATAGTTTTCAAAATATAATGAGAAAATTGCAGACTACCAAAGTACACTTTTAGATAGTTCTAGATTGTAGGTAAACAAAGTAAAAACAAACAACCCTCATCTGGGTTCAGCCCCCTTCCCATTCAGGTTTTTCCTCACTCCATTCCCTCCATTCCCATGGCTTCAGCTGTCTGCTCTGTGCTCCCATCAGAAGTGCCCTGGGTCTTCTACATCTCAGGCCCAGGTCCATGCTTGCTGTTCCCCACACAGGCACTGGATATTCAGCACATAGGAAGCTCAATTTTTTATTCCCTCCCCTGGAAGCCTGCCCTCAGTTGGCCAATGGCATCACCATTCTCATCCCCAGGCTCTATACTTCAGGGTCATCTTAGAGTCCCTTCTCCTTTTTCACTTATTCCCAATGTTCTCAATTCTTCCAAAAAGTCTCTGGTATCTACCCACTCATTCCTTTCACTGTCCGCTTGTCTGCCCTAGAACAGACTCTCACATGCCTTGTCACCTGTCTGTAGTCTCTCCACCCTCCCTGCTGCCTTCAGAGGCACATCAGTGTGGCGTTCCTGCTTCAAAAAGCATCAGTGGCTCTATACTGCTACCGGCCTAAACTACAGTAATAAACATCCATCCAGAAGAGACATGCATGATATTACTAAATTAGATGATCAGCTCAAACCTACCTCCCTCCTTTCCCTACCCCCAGCCCCAAGAAATTAGAAGGAGCATAGGCCTTTGGAGTCAGAAAGTCCTGGCCTTGAAACTCAGCTCTGTGACCTTGGGCAAATTGGTCTTTGCCTCTGTGCCTCAGTTTCCTCTTATGTAAAATGAAGTTTGTGTTTACCATCCAGGGCTATTGTGAGGATTAGATAAAATGATGTATCTCCAGTGCCAAGCTCAGTGACCTCCTGTAGGCTGCCTTGAGGAAGAGGTCCCTTGATCATTTGTGTCATGTGCTTGTGTTATTGAAAATGGAGGTTGATTACATCTCATGGTCCCTCCAGGGACCATGGTCTACCTTCCACGACAGGGGCCTTCCTGTAGAGAAGCTAATCCTACATGGAGGAATTGAGTACTTTTCCTATGCCCTGCCCAGCTGTGCTGGACCTGTGCTCTGCTTCCTGTCGCAAGTGCAGCCCTGAACCATTAGAGTTGAAGGGAGCCCAGCTGTAGGAACTGCATTCAGTTTCCCAGAATATAATGCCCTTGTCACTCATCTCATTCCTGTGGGTGAAACAGTGCTTTCCAGCAGAATTCTTCAGCGACTTTCCTACTTTCCGGGAGAGGTCCTTACTAGAATACACCTACTCCAGTCCTCCATCTGGTCAGGACTTCATTTAATTGATTCAGTGCTCCATTTTCAGTAGTCTAATAGTGTCTGATATGCAATGTGTGCTTAATCAATATTGGATGGATGGAAGGATGAATGATTTAATATCTAGGATTTGGCAACTAATGCATACTTAATTGAAAGACTGAATAATGATTTTCCCAGTGAGCAAGATTATTAGGCCAGTGGTTCTAAACCTTGGCTGTGCTAATCACCAAGAGAGTTTTTGTTTTGTTTTCTTTAATACTGATTTATGGGCTCTACCCAGGCATATACCCTGTGGTTTTCTAAAAGCTCTCCAAGTGATTCTAATAGACAGCCAGGGTTGGAATCCACCATGTTAGACTACTCAAAAAATATGGACCCCATGCATAACTCTTTATCATTTTCAATTACCACATTGTATTGTATTTATCAGCTTATGTGTCTTTCCCTCACTTGACTTTATGCTCCTTGGCCTCATACTTGGGCTGTCTTCCTAGTGCCTGGCATAGTGCTTGGCATATAATGAATAGTCATAAATGTGAATTGGATAAATTGGTGGTTTCTTTCATTTAAGACACAAGAAAATTGCATAGTACCAAATAAGACAAAGAGAAAAATGTTAGTATCATGGATTTTGTTTTGGGTTTAGTTTGTGTGTGTGTTGTTTTCCAGTCATCTACACTTTGGTAACCTGTTTGCTTACCCATAACGGATTATTTTTGTCTGTTCATTCATTGTCATCTATCCAGATGCTGTGAACGGACAGCAGCTAAAGATACTGGACTTTGTTGAAGAGTCCTAATTTAAAATATCTTGTCCCATTATTCTCATTTGTACAGAGGTTCTAAAATTGCCATCACTGTACATATGAGAGGATAGTTCATTAATATGATATTCAGTATCACTCCTCCTCATTAATGAAAGCCGTAGAAGCCTCTAGACACGAGTGGCCACTCCAGTTTTTCTGAAATCCAAGATCAATATATTTAGATATAGAAAAATACAGCTAGAAAGATATTTGGAGACATCACATTAAACCACCCTCATTCTGCTGTGAAGAAGCTGAAGCCAGGTGGGCATGTGGGGACTTGCCAGAGATCACACAGCTTATTACGGACACAGCTGGTACAAGAAAACTGATGTTCTGGTCCTCAGACCTGGGCCACCACGCAGTGCTTATAGCACTTAAGATTACATTAGAAGTCAAAGATCAAACTTTTACCTCCATTCTGGTGTCTGTGTTGGGAAGAAAAATATCTGAGAAAAAGATATTACAGGTTCCTCAGAGGGCTTAGGAGAAGTATAGGTGGAAAGTGGACAGGGCAGAGGAAAGGAATTCTTGAATGAGACTGAAACTTATCAGAAAAATGTGTGTTATGGCAGCACCACAGTTCACTTGTCTATCTGCCCTTGTTTTCAGAATTTTCCCCAGAGAATACCTCCTTCAACAGATCCACCTGTATTCACTTGCCGACCTGCAGCAGGTAAGTGCTCAGAGGGGCTGTTTCATTTTTGTTGCTTTCCTGGAGAAGTCTCTTTGTTGACTTTGGTCTTTGCACCGTATTCTGCCATCATTGGGGTAGTTTTCATCAGAAACCCTGATAATTCTTTTTCAGAATGGGGGGAAAACTTAGTATAAAAAGATATATGGGACAATAACAAATGTTGGCAAGGATGCAGAGAAACTGGGGCTCTTATACATTGCTGATGGGATGCAAAGTACGTTAGCCACTTTGGAACAGTTAAAAAGTTAAACATAGAGTTACCATATGACCCAACAATTTTACTCCTAGGTATATACCCAAGAGAGTTGAAAACATATGTCCATAGAAAAACCTGTACACAAATGTTCAGAGCAGCATTATTCATAATAGCAAAAAAGTGGAAACAACCCAAATGTTCATCAGCTAATGAATGGATGAACAAAATGTGTTGTAGCCATATAATAAAATATTATTCTGCCATAGAAAGAAGTGAAGTACTGATGCATGCTACAATATGGATAAATCTTGAAAACACTATGCTAAGTAAAAGAAGCCAAACAGAAAAGAATACATACTGTATGCTTCTATTTACATGAAATGTTTAGAATAGGCAAATCCATCGTGACAGAAAGTACGTTAGTGATTGCCAGGGCCTGGGGAGAGCGAAGAAATGAGGAGTGCCTGCTCATGGATAAAGAGTTTCTTTGGAGGCTTAATGAAAGTGTTCTGGAATTAAACAGCAGTGATGGTTATACAGTCTTGTGAATATTCTGAAAACCACTAAATTGTTTACTTTAAAAGAGTAAATTTTATGGTGTGTGAATTTTCCCAATTAAAAATTTGTATGAAAAGATGTAAAAGGCATTGAATGTGTTAAGCCCTTGACTTGTGCTCAAGCCAGAAAGTTGAATGGCTTTTAAAGTTTAGTAAAACATAACAGAGCATGTAAGAGTTGAAATCATCCTTTTATACTTTTATTAGAACATGTACTTTTTTTTTTCCTTTCGTTTGTGAGACAGAGTCTTGCTCTGTCGCCCAGGCTGGAGTGCAGTGGCATGGTCTTGGCTCGCTGCACCCTCTGCCTCCCGGGTTCAAGCGATTCTCCTGCCTCAGCCTCCCGAGTAGCTGGGATTACAGGCATGTGCCACCATGCCCAGCTAATTTTTGTATTTTTAGTAGAGATGGGGTTTCACCATGTTGGCCAGGCTGGTCTCGAACTCCTGACCTCAAGTGATCCGCCCACCTTGGCCTCCTAAAGTGCTGGTATTACAGACGTGAGCTACCACGCCTGGCCACACTTGTACTTTTAATGATTAACCAGATTAGCAGCTAGGAAGAAACTGGCCTTTTGTGTATTCAGCCCTAAATTCTAAATATGTTAAGCTTTGGTTAATCATTTAAATCAACAACTCACTCCTGAGAAGCTGTTGGACACTAGATAATGATTCTTTCAAGAGTTCATTAAATAATAATAATAATTGTGACAACTTTCAGAGTATCTCAAACTGCTGTGATTCTGTTCTTTCGTTGTTGTTTTCCTCTCTGGTTGTTTTATCCAGAAGAATTTAGGTCAACTTAAAAACCATGCTCATATCCTTCAGTCATTTTTCTGACTTTAAATTACTTTTCAAGGATTTTTTGTGTCTTTTAGTTTAATAACTTAAGACTTTTGTGTTCTTTTTGTCCCCCCAGAGCTAGGAAAGTTATTTATTTATTTATTTATTTATTTGACAGTCTCGCTCTGTTGCCCAGGCAGTAGTACAGGGGTGTGATCTTGGCTCACTGCAACCTCAGCCTCCTGAGTTCAAGCAATTCTCATGCCTCAGCCTCCCGTGTAGCTGGGATGACAAGCATGTACCACCAGCCCTGTCTAATTTTTGCATTTTTACTAGAGACGGGGTTTCACCGTGTTGGCCAGGCTGGTTTCAAACTTCTGACCTCAAGTGATCCGCCTGCCTCAGCCTCCCAAAGAGCTGGGATTACAGGTGTGAGCCTCTGCTCCCTGCCAGAAAGTTATTTTAAATTAAATGGCAGACATGATGTTAGAGCATTTAGTTGGAGAAGTCTAAGAAAAGACTAAGGTTTTCATTTCCATTTATGTGTCAAGTTGAAACCTATTTGCACATATCAGCTCTCCCAACTCCTTTGGTCCTGCCTGACCTTTACTACATAGTCAAGCAGCAGTGGTCTGCTGGCTAGGGTGGAAAGGGGTATATTTTTACTTAAAATTGTTGTTCAAGGGGAGGAATTGGTTAAAACACTTGTTATACATTTATCTATTTTCTGAAGTCTACCTGATCGTAGTGCCTGAGGACACAGACTCTATCATTTGAGAAGTATGTTTAAAGGCACTGAACATTCTTGTAAAGATGGTTTAAAGTACAATGGGTGGGCTCCAAAGTGAGTACTCTTTGAGGGAGCCTTTCAAACGTGAGTTTTGATATCTGATGAAGAGAAAGAATCAGAGTAATTCCATATTCATTTTAGGGTGTCAAAGTAATGTATCCATTTGGAATCATACAGCCTGCTTTTTAAGGCTTTCCTATACCCTGCTGTCTTTCTCTCCACCCCCTTTTCTTTTTTTCCTCCTTTAATAATCAAACCATACATGCCAAGCAGCTTACTTAAATCAGTGGCAGGGGTATTCTTGGTGGCCAGGCCATTAGCCCCTGGAGCCCCATAAGCAGCTTAATCAGTTTTCAGTGATGGAGGCAATCAACAGCTTATCAAACACCCTGTGGGTGGGGCAGCTAGAGCTCAATGCATCCATTCACTTAACAGCTCACTCTAACCTGGTTCTTTGTGCCTGGCTTTAAGAGCCCCAAACTTATCATATTTAAAGGAAGTTTAATTCGATTACTTTTTCTGCCTGAGGTGGGTTAAATTGGATTTAGCTTTTGATCTGTCTGCATCTTGGCTATCAGCACTGAAGGGCATCCCCAGCTTCATCTTTCCTTGGTTTCTAAGTAAATAACAAGCATGTTTTCTAGATCTGAATTGTTCTTGCAAATATGTAATGGAAAGGACACAAGGAGAAAGAACAAAAAATAGCATTGCTTTGTGAAAGGGCATGTGGTGGTATCGGGAAACCCTACCTAACTGACCCAACCACCAGCCTTATGGCGTCCTGGGCCTTTTTGGCCTCTTCTGGACTGCTTCATCATCCTGCTTCTTGTCAGTTTCAGGCGTTTTAGAGTAAATTATTTTCCCTGTTTGATTTTTCTCCTCACTGCTAAAGGTTTCTGTAAAAGCAGACCTGTCTGTCATATCGAGTAACTAGAGAAAAGGGGCTTTTAATGTTCAGATTTTGCAGGGGAAAGGAAAATAAACTAAAGCAAGTGACTCAAGAGTTATAAATCAGAAAAAACAATAATGCAGATATTCTTCTTAAATGCACAGGTTCCTGTCTACACATTTCTCTTAAGTTAATTTGATTTTTCCCATTAGCTCTTATTTAAAAAGCAAAACAGACATTTTCCTCTTCAAAAAGAAAAAAAATAGGTAAGAATTTAATAAACATGGTGAAAGGAGATTTATAATTTAGAGACAATTTTAAAATAATATAGTACACAAAGCACTAATAATACTTAAAAATGCTGAAAGAATTCTGGTACCAAAAAAATTGCAATCTTATTGTCCTCTGTCTGGTTTTATGTTTATAAGTAACAATGCCTAAAATTTTAGCAGATAGACTCAATTTAACAATTTGGCTGAAGATTTCAAGCTACCTTACCGCTGCTTTTGTTACATTCAAGACAGTTTTCCCCCTTCTCATTATTTGAATTACTGTCCTCTTTGCATGCATTTTCCCTTACATTTAGATGTGAGGAAAGAAATAGCAAGGATTGACAATTGCTTTACAAAGGAGATTCCCTCCAGTTGTTCTGGGAACGACTGTCTCCTGCTCACTGTTCACTGAGTACCAGTTATTGGCAAAATTAATACTCAGACTGAGTCCCTAATTGTCTGTTTGTTTGACCAGTGATTGAATTGCTCACTGGTATGACTTGCACATTGAAAAAGTAGTAGTTGAATATAGTCATTATCTGACTACATACAGTCAGTTGGTAGCGTTTAGCCATAACGTGTAAAATGGAGCCAAGTAAACCTGGCCTAGTAGCAGGGCCAAGGAAGAAGCATAAGACACAGGCAGAGGCTCTCCAGATCCTAGGAGCTCCAGGGAGCATGGCCTTCCTTTACTCATTTCTTGTGTTTAGAATTCCAGGTGAATTTCTGTTCTGCAAACTAGATATTGTTAGAAAAACATATTCAATCCAAACTCTTTGAATATAACTTTAACAGAAGGTACTGCTCATTTTTAAAAAAATAAAATCTTACAAACTTTCTTTGAGGAGGTATGAATGCATGGTGGCTTTTGAAGTGACCAAGTACTTCCTTATAAAGGAAGTAGCAGGCAACAACTCAGCGTGTGTGGATGCATGGACTAGTATTGGTGCACGTTTTGAATGGGGAAACTGAGGCACTGCTTTTTAAGAGCTTTTCCTTGGTTAGCTACTTTGAGAAGGATAAATAGAATAGAATTTGTGTTTTGTTATTTTCAGTCTATCCAGCATTATCACAAATCCATGAGAAGGCTTTAAGACAGGAATGCAATAAAAATATATGCTCACCTGAGATGGCAAGACTTGTACCGTAACTCTCAATGCCTTAACTTTTGGCGTCAGCTATCTGCTTTCCCTGTTAAGTATGTGACAAACCATCTCCTTACTCACATCCCCTTGGCACTTTTAACACTAATGAAAAGGTTCCAGATTTTACCAGTAGAATACATTAGTACATATAAATAAATGGTCAAGAGTTCTTAGTTGTTCTTAAGGAGCAAATCAGAACTCTGGTTTAATATGTCAGTCTTTGGACTGTGTAAATGATAGGAGAATTCTTCTAAAGTTCCTTCTACTTGCTGAAAGAAAAGGTCAGATTTTACTTTTAAATTTTGGCTACCTGTGCTCTTGTGACAAAACCTAAAATGTATATTAATGACTAACTCTTCTGGTATTACTCACCTTTGGGGGCATATGTAAGTTAAGCATTGAATGATTCTATTTGTGGCGATTCATGAGAAAGGATACTGGATGATCCCATGGGTGAGGTGGCTGGTTAGAGTAGGCCCTCCCCGCTACTCCCTCCACTGCCCACCACCTCACCCCCGCACACACACACCCCTCTTGTGAGACAATCTAAGGAGCTAATTTTCTCATTATTTTCCTTCCCTGGGCCCTAAATTTCCAAATGAGACCCTACCTTTAGGTGAGGGCAGTTTAGATTCTAGTTTATAGGAAATATATTACCCAAGAAAAATAAATTATTATTTTGGCAGAAATTCATTTGAAAACATGGCATGGTATTGGGGGCGGGGAGACATTTCCACAGATAAGTTTTAATGAAAGAAAAAGGACAGGAAAGTCTGGAATTTGGAGTACTTACTAAAGAGTTGTGAAGTGGGAAGGATGCCAGGTGGGAGGACCCACAGCACTCAAGAGCCATGAAAAGAGAGAGGAGTGACCAGATGTACACTACCTTTCTGGAATTGCCTAGCACTGCCTAAACCGTTTGTTTTATACTAAAGCAATACACACTTACACTAAGCAACTAATGTAACTTATGCAACATAGAAATGTTCAGTGGATGGATGGATGGGTGGGTGGATGGGTGGGTGGGTGGATGGGTGGGTGGGTGGATGGGTGACAGGGTGTATATGTACATATGTTCATACATATACTATCGTGAACTCACTGGTTCTCTCTCCCTTGAAAAGCAAAGCAAACTGATTAACATTAGCCGCTAAACAAAACAAAATTAGAAAAGCTGGCGATGAAATAACAATGCACAGAATTCTAAAACCAAATAAAAATCTCTGCTTATGTCAGAATAATGGGGAGTTGTTTAGTGTTGTAAACTTCCCGAACACTCCATATCCTGAACAGTTAACTCTTCAGTTAACTTTTTTGCTAGTCCAGCATACCCACAGAGCTTAGGAATTGTCATCCGTGTGACCTCAGCATTTGTTGGAATTGGCCCCTAAAGAAGTAATTCAAACAGTGGTCTTACCTCAACTGTTTTCTAACTGGTAAGATCACGAAAAGGCAATGTTTAAGGTATTTCAAGGCCACTTTTAAACAACATACTTTACTGAATTCTTCTTCAAGGAAGTGATGTGAGTTATTTTGCACGGCCCTGCCCCACCAAACAAACCCATTATCAGAGAACGTTTTTCTCTATGGACGCTCTCACAGAGTCAGCAGACAAAGGCCGAGCCTAAGTGGGCACCCAGCACAGCTGCCCTTTCACCAAAGAAGTAACAGGTGATGACCTTTATTCACACAGGGGTTGACATCTTTGAATCCACAGCTCACAGGAACACAGCGCCTCAGTGCCCACAACCGAGTCACCAGTCCCAAGCCTCAGGAGCCCAAGGAACTTGTATTCATAGCTTCTCAGCAGCCCTGATCCCTACACCATTGTCCACCCAGGCATTAGTGGTGAGGATAACTAATTAGGAGCATTCGGATTTAACAAGCAGAAAAACAAAGCGTGACAGCTCGCCTGTGTTGTTCCATGGCAAGTGCCTGTGTCCGCTGCAGCCGGCACTGCCTTCAGAAACCACTGAACATAATCTGGGGCGAGACAGGAACGAGGCCTCCATTAAAACATCACTAAATCTCTGTTAACTATTTTAGCCACGGCTCTTCCAACCAATTAATGAGCTAGGAAAGAGGACTATAAGTTATTTGGGGAACAAATTATGCCTTTTAAGCAAGTGGGTTTTCAAAAAATGAATGCACAGGCTAAGATCTTGCTGGGGAGGAGGAAGGGATTGAGTGTTATCCTTTGAAGTTTTGATAGACAGGCAGCAGAGCAAATGGAAAAGTGCTGTTTCTCAAGAGAGCAGGTGTATCTTGAGTGGGTGCCGAACAGTTCATGCCTCATGCTCGGTCTCCCAGTGTGTTTCACATCGTACAGGGAGGGGAACGGGAAGAGTGACAACTGCTGCTAGGTGCCAGGACTGGAGCTGGGTCTTCTGACTTCTCACTTTCAGTCTTGATGTCCTTACTACCTGCTGAGCATAACTACTAGTTTTCTGGTGTTTTGGTGATGGGGCCAGTTAGCTGAGTGGGTTAAAGCAGGTGATTAGCAAGGTGCTGGTGCAGATTGTTCTTTATGCAAGCTGACTTTTCTGTTCTGCAGACCCAGGCACTACAGCCAAATCTAACCTGATCCACAGATGATTGAAGGATCGGGGGAGCTCGGCACGGGATGTGGCAGCAAATGTGCGGCACTAAGGACAAAGTCACTGCCTTTTGTGGAAGCCAGATCAGAAAGATGACTGTGTGTTGTGAGTGGTGGATAGAGAGCCCTGTTGCCCAGGTGAGAAGGAGCTCAGTTGAGATAAGGATTCCAGGAGCCAACTCGAGCCCCTCAGGTAGAGACAACAATACCGGTTGAGGCTGCAGCTGTGGAGTTGGATGGTGTTTAGTCAGTGCTGAAATCACTTTCCTGGGAGTCCCTTGGCATGCAGTCATCTGAGTGCTGTTGTTGTTGTTGGGTTTTTGTTGTTTCCTATTTTAAAAGAGTAATCATAATACTGACGAAGTGAGGGCCTGTTTTCAAAGAACATTTACTTAAAGATATAGAGTAAGGTTAGCATCGGTCTTGCCAGTGGTAGAAACCTATGCCACCAACAGCCATCATGAAAGGGCCCCAGGAGTCTTTCTGGTTCTTCATTTCTATTCAGTTTGATTCAACAAGTGTGTATTGATTGAATGCTTTCTGTGTGCCAATCATTGAGCTAGCCACAGAGGAGGCAAAGGTGATTAAGCCACAATTCCTTCCCTCACTGAGCTCACAGTCTGATGAGAGAGGCAGATAGGCATTGTTGAAGTCAGCGGAGTTGAACCTAGGGTACTTGGGGAATACATCTGACCAAGTGTGTGGCAGATTGTATTTTGCAAAAATAGCTGCAACAGTATCTTCCATCCCACATGTCTTTCTTACACTGTGACTTTGATGCTCCTCCTATTCAGTAGTGAGATCTGTGTTCCTTCTCCCCGAATTTGGGCAGGTCTGTGACTATGGAAGTGATGCCATGTGATTTCCAAAGCCAAGTCATAAAAGGTGATATAGCTCCAACCTGGTGCTGTCTGGAGATGCTCACTCATGGCAACCCAGTGGCCATGTTGTAAGGAAGTCCAGATTAGCCCTCATAGAACAACCACATGAACAGGCCTCATATGGTAGTTGTTCTAGCTGGCAGCGATCATCAGCCACCAGAGAGATGAGTGAAGACAGCCCCACATGATTCCAGCTGCTAGCCTTCAAGTCTTCTCACCTAGGCTAGAGATGAGGCTGCAGATATTATGGAGCAGAAACAAACCATCTCCACAGTGTCCTTCCTGGAGTCCTGACCGACCGACAAAATGTGTGAGCCCATAATAAAATGGTTGTTTTGCACCACTAGGTTTTTGTTCGTTGGTTTTTTTTCACCACTAAGTTTTGGGGTAATTTGTTTTGCAGTAATAGTAACCAGAACACCCAGTAACTTGGCCATCAGGGAAGGCTTCCTAGAGGCTATGACTGTAAGTTAAAATTTTGGCCCATAATCATGAGCCAGAGAGAGAGGACTAGGAAGAGAACTTTGAGGCCATGGTAACCTTAAACCACTCTAATGATCTGATCTACAGTGTTTCTTCCATGGGGGCAAGCTAAAGAAAATTTTCACTACCAACTGTGACATTTCTTAACACTGTCTGCATGCTTCAGGATTATTCTGATAAATTGTCTCAACAAAACATTCGTAGAATGAGTAAAACGGTATCGCTTCACTTCCCTCAGAAATGAAAGATTCTGGGATGTGCCTTGAGGTGCAAGAACGAGGAATTGAGTTTTAAATCTTTCCATCCCACCTGTGCACCTGAAATGTGAGCCCAACTCTGTCACCAAGCCCCTCGCTGGGTGTTTTCTCCCTATTCATTTATTCATTCAGCAAATATTTATTAAGCATGTACTATGTATCAGGAGCCATGTTACCCCTGAAATTGAAAGGGCACATTTTCTCAGAAACGGACTAGATTCTTACTGATTATGGTCAAACTCTTGCACTCTGTCTGTGTGCCAGGAACTTGTAGTCAAAGCTGCTCATGATTCTGTTCCACTTGGTGATGTCCAGTAGAATTTCATCCCTTGATGCCTTGGACTAGCCATCCCACCACACCCACAGTTGGTCTTCAAGGGACTAGAAGGATAACCAGAAGGCACTATCTATTCAGATGTTTGAGGGCTGAGGAGGTTTCCAGCACTTCACCCAATTCAGAAATGTAACCAGGATGCATGGCAACCTCAGAAGACAGCATTGCCACATGTGTCTTAGCGGACATCATTGTCTCCATGTGATAGTGGCCTGCGATTCCCTCCATATTTGGAACTTGCAGCTTTTCAACAATATTACACCCATCTTTGTGAGGAAACATTAGAAGGCTGATGGAGGCAGCTTTTCATATTGTTGTTTGGCTTTTATTTGAACTTCCGGCTAAAGCCTAGTGAACCATCAACACATTTGCTCCTGGAATTTTATTTTATTTTATTTTATTTATTTATTTTTTTGAGACAGGTTCTTACTCTGCTGGCCAGGCTGGAGTGCAGGGGCATGATCATGGCTGGCTGCAGCTTTGACCTCCTGAGCCCGAGCAATCCTCCCATCTCAGCCTCCCAGGTAGCTGAAACCATAGGCACGCGCCACCACGCTACGGCTGATTTTTAAAATGTTTTATAGAGGTAGGAGTCTCCCTATGTTGCTCAGGCTGGCCTTGAATTCCTGGACTCAAGCAATCCTCCCACCTCAGCCCCCTGTGTAGCTGGGACTACAGGCTTGCACCACCATGCCCAGCTAATTTTTGTGGGGTTTTTTGGTAGAGATGTGTTTTCGCCATGTCGCCCGGGCTGATCTCGAACTCCTGGGGTCAAGTGATTTGCCCGCCTCAGCCTTCCAAAGTGCTGGGATTACAGGCGTGAGCCAGCACGCCTGGTCCATTTCACGTTTTAAAGGAGGGAATTCTGGCTCTAGAATAGAGCTATGTTGATTGGTATTCCTGCAGAGACCAGGCAAATGGCATCTGTCCCTGAAGCAGGCCCAAGGGGAGACAGGTTGTGCAGATGAACCAGAGAGAGCTTCCATATCTGAAAGGGGCAGCTGTTACTCAGTAGCCCCAGAGTTGTCTGCTCTTCCCGTTTTCCAAGAGAAGCCGGAAATCTGTATTTTTATGTGAAATTTCTCAATATTTAAACACTCTGCAGGCCAAACAAAACACAGCCACCAGTTTTGACCTCTGCTTTATAATAGAGAATGCCTGCTTTTGTTCCGTCAAACTAATGAATGCTGAATTACGAGAAGGAATTTGGAGGTTAGTGTTAGATTGTGCTCCTCAAAAGGCGGCAGACCCCATCCCAAACCCTTGAGATACTAATTGGCAGACTTGCACAGGCTGACAGCTGGACTCTGAAAGTGGACACACACAAGGAAACAGCCAAGCTATTCCAGGTCACTTTGCAAGGTCAGGGCAGCAATGCAAACATTAGGAAGGCTGAAGACAAAGGTCAGGTGGCAGCAAGGAAGCCCTACATTCCCTTAAGCTGTTGGTTGATAAATCATATTCTAAAGGTATCACCAGACTCCCTCACCCTGACATTGCTTTGTGAGGTAGAAAATTAAATAGAAATCAAAATTAAGATGGCTGTCAGGAGCTTTTAGGAGGCCAGCACGCCAGTGTGAGGTGAACATGGGATGGAGTTTCTGCCTGGAGCAAAGGTCTCCTAAGGGATGATGATATCCAACATTGGGCATTGCAGAGGTGCTGGCCGCTGCAGCGGTCACACACTGCAGCTTTGGAGGCTGCCTGTCTATGTTCAAATGCCGACTCACCCCAGAAATATTAGGTGACCTTGGGCAAGTCACTTCTCTTTGTGCCTTAAGCACTTCATCTCTGAAGTGAGAATAATAGTACCTGCCCCCGAAGGTTGTTGTGAGGCCTTAGAGTTAGTATGCATAAAGCACTTAGAACTTTGCCTGACACTTAAGGGCTTAGGAGATAGGCACTTTACTAGGGGTAGAGTATTGCTATTAGTGTTGCTGTGAGGTGTGGACCTTGTATAAACGGCTCCTGGGAGTTTTCTTCAGCGTCATCAAGACACTGCATCTGTGGACACTAAACCACAACCATTGCCACAAAAGCAATGCTTGCTATGTCTCAGTTTTCCCCCTCATGTTCCGTAGGGGAATCTAGGCCATAGAAACCTGCTATAGCTGCAGCTATATAGTCACCATATGGAGCAGCACCTTGGTAGGGAATGCAGAATAGCTTCATTTCCTTTTGCCTCCAGGATGATCCTAGACCAGACCTCCCCAGTGGCTCCATAGGGGAATTGCACCTGGAGAGCCCCCACCCTCTTGAGCCAAGGAACTCTCCCTAGGCCTGCGCTTGAGTGAGTGGTACTACCTACCCTCTGAATCTTGCCACTTGTTTCTTGCAAGAATGCATGACCTTTTGGTGGGCTATGCACAGACGTCTTTTCAATTTTAACAAAAAGCAGTCTTTCTGTAAATTTTGTAGAATCCTGGAGTACACATTTTTGTGCTTAAAGAAAACCATGGAGTCCACACTCTTTCTACAGCTGCGGAGAGAAGCTTACCAGACTGAAATGTTGGCAGAAACAAAGAGACGCCATGTTCCTTCCCACCTGCAATTATAGTTTTACTAGCTTGTAAAGCACACATAGAATTTGCAGTACATTCTTCCCTTGCAGTAGGGGAGAGGCCCTGCTGTGAATGTAATTGGCTTTCTAGCTTCCTTTAACATTGAGGTGGAAGGGAACTGGACCGAAGGGCCTTTACTCTTAGAATTAACTGATGTTGAATTGTGTTTAAATTCCATGCATCTCCCTGAATGCATTTGTTCCATTAAGTCTTAGTCAGAAGTGGAGGCACAGCTTACCTCTGAAAATATTCCAATCCCTATCATTTCTCATCACTTTGTAAAAGCTGAGTTTCTTTCTTTTTAAAAAATGGATTTTTAACTTAACCCGGGTAGGGATTATTTTCCATCCTGTTAACCTCTGTTAAAGATGTATGGCATCTTTAGATGACAATTTCATACAGTACAGCCCATTTAGGTCACTTTTTATTCTGGCTATGGCCTTGCAACTATATCAGTTCCCAGGAAGAGGACCACAGGCATGTATTTGGATGGAAACTGTATTACTTTACTTCTCGAATCCCAGTTTCTTCATTCGTGAAGTGAGAGGATTGGATTAAACAATCTTTACAGCCCCTTCCAGCTCTAGGGCCCTCATTCTGTGATTTTATAGAGCTCGAGAAGTGATGAAATTGTGGAAGTCTTTCTGCGTGTATCTGCTTTCTGGGGGCTCCCAGCCAGTTTGCACGAAGTATCCAGGCTTCTGGGTGCAGCAAGGAACCTGGAATGAGAGCCAGGTCGCTGAGTGTAGGCTCAGCACCTTCAGTTCTAACTGACAAATGGCTGGATTTCCATTTGCCAAAGGTCAACTATTTCAACTTTTTGTCAGGAAATAACAGCTTTAAGCATTTTGACAAATATGATCTGAAGGACAGCTTATTAAAACAAGTTAAATATACTGATTTTATATTTTCCTTAAAGACAAATTGTTGTCTTAATACCTTACAATTCAGTGGCAGTTAAAATAATGCCCAGTAAACAAAAGTTGGCCAGTAAGAACATGCAGAAGGTAATATGCCACCTAGCGGGTTTCCTCCTAAAACGGGCAGCACCAGTCAGGTTATCTGGTGAACTGTGAGTTGGCATTTGTGTTTGGGCTAACAACAGAGAGCCCATTGCAGCTGAGGTTTCCAAGAGGTGGAACTATTTAAGAACTTGGGCTATAAGGGACATTAAGGGAATGGGGCACCATAAGGGAAGCTTTAGAGCTGAACAACAAAGGAAATCAGGGGAAGGAGACTGTGAAAGGATTCTTGGCTAGAGCACAGGTCAAGGGCACAGAGAGAAAGTAGGCTAGGCAATCACGGGTAATAAAACTACGGATTTGAGTTTGGGTAATAAAACTACGGATTTGAGTTTCACCTTTTTCTCTTTTCTCTGCCTCCTGCCTGCTGGGGACAGGGACTGATCATCTGGCAGACAGGCAGATATGCTGACAGGGCCAGGATCCTCAGCCTGTTTGCTCCATCCCTGACTTGGTATGGTGCAGTCTCACTGAAGGCAAGGGGCCTGCCTGGTTCACTCTCATTTTACAGCACTTAGCCAAGAGGAGAGAGGGAGGGATGGCCAGAAAACTCACGACCCAGGATGACAGCAACAGTTTATCCTTTAGCAAGTCACAAAATACCTCTGCTGCTTAAAATCTTTCTTTGTAAAATGAGAAGGTTGTACTAAATAATTAGATTAATAATAGCTCCCTTTTAGTATATGCTCAAAAAATGTTACTCACTTTTATTATTGAGTGCTTACTTTAGGCCAGACCCTGTCCTAAATCTACGTGGATTATCTCATTTAATCCACACAATAGCCCTATATAATGACCTATAATAATAGGTACTATTATTATCCACATTTCACCAATGAGATTTACTGGCACAAAGTCGTCCAGCTAAAGTGGAGGAGCTGGGATTCAAACCCAAGCTGTCCTGTTCTAGTACACATCCTGTTTTGTTATGTTTTTTCAATTTTGTGTGAAATGTTTCAAACGTATTAAAAGAAAGAAGAATGAATACTGCCAGCTGCATGATTGCTTCTGCAGTGGAAGGACTCCCTTCTTTAGAGAAATGGGCACACACTCTGAACCACTAAATTGGACTGTTTTCTCCCAGCACTCACATTCTCTATTTCTAGAGGCAAATTGCTATCAAATCCACCTGGCAGCAAAACAAACCCCACCCCCCCACCCCAACCACCACCATTTCTGAAACTCTACCATGTCTTTCCACTGGTTGGAAGGCAGGAATAATAGGGCAAAGGTGGGGAAAGAAAAGGGCAAATGCACCCATCATTAGCCCTGGAGTGCCAGCACCATGCATGGCAAAAAAACCCAGTGCTTGGAAAGACTCTGTAGATATTGGGACTATATTGGTCAGGCCCAGCTTCCTGCCCAGTTTCCCCCAGATAGGCTGTAACCCCTAAAATTATTTACAGGTCAGTTTCAACTGGTGCCACGGTGGTCAAAATATTTTATTCTGTCTACACCAATGACCTGTAGTCATCAAAAACAGCAAGATGCTAGAACAAAGGAACTGGATAATCCACAGAATATATTGCAGTCCAAAAGGGAATGCAGCCTAATTAGATATGGATTTATGATGCTGTGAATTTCCTTTTTGCTTTTTTGATTATTTATTTTTAAGACCAGGACTCTCTCTGTCACCCAGGCTGGAATGTAGTGCATGATCCCAGCTCACTGCAGCCTCGACTTCCCAGGCTCAAGCAGTGCTCCCACCTCAGTCTCTCATGTAGCTGAAACTACAGGTGTGCGCCACCACACCCAGCTAATTTTTTTTATTTTTAGTAGAGACAAGGTCTCGCTGTGTTTCGCAGGCTGGTCTCGAACTCCTGAGCTCAAGTGATCCTCCCACCTCGGCCTCCCAAAGTGCTGGGATTACAGGTGTGAGCCACTGCACCTGGCCTTGCTTTTTGTTTTTGTTTTGTTTTTCAAAATTTTCAGGTTAGCACACTCTGTATCTGTAGCTATGACTGACCTGTGTCAGTGTGTGGTTTTGTATTTATAGCTGGCCTGATTCCAAAAAGGACTTTTGAGAGAGAGCTTCTCTCTTTCTCTCTCTCTCTGTCATGCATATATATGTGTGTGTATTTATAACTGTGACTAATTTTAATTCCTATCCCCTTCCATTGGTTTGAATTATTGACATATACACTTGTCAAAGATGAGTCTTTGCTACCCAGGATCCCGCATGTCTGGAGTTCTGCTAGCATCCATCCCCTAGTTTATGGTTAAAAAACCCAACTTCTAAAATTGCCATCAGCCTAAAGGTTCCCTTCAGCCACGCAAAAGATAGCAAAAATCTCTGATGCAGCTGACATTTTAGGTGTGTGTATAATTTAACAAATTGTTGACCACTCAGCTTTTAGTCAGTGGTCACAAAAGGAATTAGCAGCCCTCCCCTGCTCCCCCAAAACCCAAAGAAGGAAGGGTGTTCCTTGGCTTTGGCCCAGAGGCCTGCTGGCACGCAGTGTCAAACAGCAGCACAATGGTACATTTTGGCCACAAAAGGCTTTGGGGTGGCAGAAAGGGCCAAAATAGTTGTGGCATAAGTTGGCTGGGATATTAAGTAAATCTGAGTTTAATTTAACATAGAGATAACAACGCTTTTTTTGTTTTCCAACTGGCTGCTGCTTTCTCTGTCTCCATGAGACCAAAGATTGGAGCCAGGAGTTAGTTCATGAGGGTATTCAAGTCCTTTCAAAGTGAGACATGCAGTGGTCTTTACACAGGCTTTCACGTTTGTCTGGGCAAGATGGAGTAAGGATAAAAAGGCACATGGGTAGCTGGGGGAAGCTGAAAATGGATCTTGAGGCTTGAATTCCTTCTATGAGTTTGCTTAAGCCACATCGCCTGAGCTTAGAATAGCGAGGCAGGCAGTCTGTCTCCTTGGGATAAGGAAGGATTTGGAACTCGGCGACTGTGAGGTCTTGGCCCCTACTGTGTTTTCTGGTTTGTTTTGTTAACAGGAGCAAGTTATTCTAGTTTCTTGCTTCTGGGTTTTTCTTCAGCACACTTTAAGCAATGAGTCTCCACCCCACCAATGGCAATGGGGTGGATGGAATGGGATAATGAAAGGGGTGGCGAGAGAAGTTGATTCAGCTGCTTAGGATGAGGGAGGCAATCTTCAGACCTTGGATTTAGCTTCTGAATCTGTCAAGGGTGGAGAGGGAAGGGTTCCACGGGATTGAAACCATCTCAGCGTAGGAGAGAAGTTGAAGTCTTTCTGAGAAACTGATATGGCCAGCCGTGCTAGTTAGGAAAACCAGCTTATTGTCTCAACTGCAATTTTATTACCCATGAAATGGTTAACAGTGGAGGAGAAGCTATAGTATTTTAAAATGCAATCTGCGAAATGTAACCAATCAAAAATGATTATGATGCATTGGTATGGATGTGTATGGTAAATGGTATGCTGTGTACATTTACCACAATAAGAAAAAGAATATCATCCCCTTTACAAAAATGATGATGAGCACCGCAGGAAAGTACTGGCACTGCATGACTTACGGAGTCTATTTTACAGCCTTTCCAGGATCTGTTCAGTGCTAGGTTCAATGTACTGTGATGCAGTGAGTTTGAAGAAAAGTATAAGACAAGACACACATTCTAGGTGGGAGTGTGCTGACAGTCCTCTGAACTGAGAGGAGAGGAATACAGTTAGGAGGAAATCACCAGCCCCTCATACCCAGGCTCTAGAAGGGCTCACCTTGAAGGGTGTCCTCAGTTTCGAGGCCAGGGAGCCCAAGAGGGTACCATTTTATGTTTCTTGCCAGGACTGTGTTATGCCTTCCCCAAATAAAATGTCACCTGAGTTACTTAGTTCTCAGGCGTGCTTGCAAGAGCCTTTAAAAATAATCCATAAGTGAAAGATTCAGCCTTGAAAGCAAGTCTTGATCTTATCCATCCTGGACCCCAATCCTAGGAGCAGTGCCTGGGCAAGAAAAAGTGCCTCATAAATATGGGGTGAATGAATGAATCAGTTATAGGAAGAGGTGGTGAGGGTAAGAATGAACTAAAAGGGGGCTATCTGTTCATTCAAACTATGTTATTGCATAAGTGAGCATTTGTGAACTGAAAACCTCTTTGGTTTTTTTCTTTAGGACTGCTCGGTCCCGAGTTCAAGTAAACAATTGACTTTCAAGTAAATCTTTAAATAACCCTGGTCTATTGGTTAACTTCAGCATGGCCTCTGAAAAGCAGTTTAGCATAATAGTTGTGGGCAGAGAGTCTGGAGCCAGACAGCTTGAGTTTGTATCTTGCCGGCACCCCTTACCTGCTGTGTGACCTTAAGAAATTTATTTAAACTTATGCCTCAGTTTCCTTTTCTGCAAAATGAGGACAATTAAACTCCCTGCCTCACAAGGTTGTGAGGTTAAGTGAGTTACAAATATGTACAATGCTTAGAAGAGTTTGGCATATAGTGAATGCCCCATGAGGGCTGCAATTCAAAATCCCTTAACAAGAGTCACTTGATTTACAACTGTAATGAGGCTTTATCCCACCCCCATGACCACAGATTCTTTGTCTCCGTTTTTTATTCTGACCAGCAGTTAAAACTATCCCTGGATAGCAAGAACACCTTGAGTGATGTTAGAAACTATCTGAAATGTTACAAAGGGTGTTTCCTACATGAACAATTTGACATTTATTTCACATCCACCACCACTACTAATCTTTTTTAGTTTAAGTAGCCTCAATTTTTCCATCTCTGACATGGATAACAATTTATTTCACATTACTGATAAGAAAACTAATAAAATATTTATTAAAATTTTATTGAAGTTTGTTAGCCAATGATAAAGTGTAATAAAAGTGCTTTTTCAAATGGCCCAGCAAGAATTACTGATGCTGGCATTTTTAAAAAATACAGTGAAAATAGTAGTTGATTTGCTTTGGTAATCATATCCTCCAAAAGCAATACTATAAAGCTAAGTGACAATGGCCTAATAGAAGAAGCAAAAATAACAATATGTAGCCATCATGATATAGTCTGAAATTCAAACTCAGAGTTTGGTAGATGATGTTGCTAGCAACTGAGCCCTTAAATGATGGCCTTTTCTATTGTCAGGTCTTACAGTATATTCTTGCTTTTTTGTTTTTTTATATTTTGAGAGCAAATTTCTCTCTGTCACCCAGGCTGGAGGGCAGTGGTACGATCTTGGCTCACTGCAACCTCCACCATCCGGATTCAAACAATTCTCGTGCCTCAGCCTCCCAAGTAGCTAGGACTACAGGTGCACGCCACCACATCCAGCTAATTTCTGTATTTTTTGTAGAGATGGGGTTTCACCATGTTGGCCAGGCTGGTCTCGAACTCCTGACCTCAAGTGATCCACCCACCTCGGCCTTCCAAAGTGCTGGGATTACAGGCGTGAGCTACCATGCCCAGCTCTATTCTTTAGTAGTAAGTTATTAATATATATTATTCACAGTCATGTATTTAAGGAAACCATCTCCTTCCCATAATTTGAAGATTTCTGGTAACTCTATTTTGTTTTATTAACACACATTCTCATTTGATGTTAACTACCTGTTTTCTAGGATGCTCTATAATTTATACTCCTGATGTCACCTCGTGACAAGAATTATGAGCACTAAAGCCAATTTGCAATTTTTAAAAAATGAACGAATAGGCAGGGGACGGTGGCTCACACCTGTAATCCCAGCACTTTGGGAGGCCAAGGCGGGCAGATTGCCTGAGCTTGGGAGTTGTAAACCAGCCTGGGCAACATGGTGAAACCCCGTCTCTACTAAAAATACAAAAAATTAGCCAGGTGTGGTGGTAGGCCACTGTAGTCCCAGCTACTTGGGAGGCTGAGGCAGGAGAATCACTTGAACCCGGGAGACAGAGGTTGCGGTGAGCCGAGATCAAGCCACTGCACTCAAGCCTGGGCGACAGAGCGAGACTCTGTCTCAAAAAAAATAAGAGGGAAAATGTGTGAATGTAGAAGGGCTGGGGGTGGCAGGAGGAAGGGAGGAAGGCAACTTGGCCCAGGAATGGCATTGGAAATGGGGAGAAAGGAGAGAGCTGACTGCCCCCAAGACATGTTATTTTTGCTGTGGCTTCTTGCTCCTTTCCACCCCCACCTCTTCCAGTCTGAGCTTTGAGCTTTGAGTACGCTTGAATTTTCACCACAGAACTTGGCTAGGCCTCCTAAGGGACTTTCTCTTTCCCATCTTTCCATAAATTATAGGTTTGCACATGAGAGCAGAACAGATGATTCCCATTATCTTTTGGGTTTGGTTAGGGCCGTGTGTGTGTGTGTGTGTGTGTGTGTGTGTGTGTGTGTGTGTGTGTGTGTTGAAAAAAACCTCCTGTCTGCTCTTAAATGTGTATTCTAGTTGAGGGAGGTGGAGCTTTGTTAACATAGTGGCCTATCTACCAAAGAAGTGGTCCTCTCCTCCTCACTAAGGTGGTTTTAACCTGATTTCCTTGACCAGGGTTGACTGCAATCATTTTCCTTGGCCTTTCAATAGGAAGTCACGGCCCCACCATAGCAGGGCCTTGTCTGGGTTGTTCACCTGCATCCCCAGCATGTGCAACAGTGCCAAGCATACTGCAAGCTCCTCCTGAATGTATGGGGAGATTTTTCTCCCTATTTTGGTGACAAAGTGACATTTCTAGGATACTTTTTACTTTCATAAATGACCCATTCAGATCACCACAAAGTAATTGGACAGATCCAAAAAAGTTGATTTACCCCAGAACATAGAGGCCATTTATAGGTAGAGTGTGGAACTCACTAAAAACTGGAGCCACTGCTAATACTAGTTAAGTTTAGAAAGCTCCACTCCTGGGTACTCATTTTGATTTCGTACCCAGACCACTGCAAACACAATAACAGACAGGGAAAAAGAGTTTATAGCATTGCCCCTGAGTTTATTCTGCTCTTTTTGGTATCCTAAAGTATTAAAGCCTCTAAGAGAAATAGGTCCTAGGGAACAGGTATAATGTGGCCTACCAAGTAAGGGGAGTAGACTATAATTCATGTCAGAGTCTGGAACATTTTATTGCTTATAGACATAATAGAAGTAGAGTGAAGGGGCTGGCATGGTGGCTTACGCCTGTAATCCCAGCACTTTGGGAGGCCGAGGTGGGCAGATCACGAGGTCAGGAGTTCGAGACCAACCTGACCAACATGGTGAAACCCCGTCTCTACTAAAAATACAAAAATTACCTGGTTTGGTGGCGGGCGCCTGTAATCCCAGCTACTCGGGAGGCTGAGGTGGGAGAATCACTTGAACCCAGGAGGCAGAGGTTGCAGTGAGCTGAGATCATGCCACTGCACTCCAGCCTGGGTGACAAAGCGAGATTCTGTCTCAAAGAAAAAAAGAACTAGAGTAAAGGAATTATCCAAGTGTGTGTGTGTGTGTGTGTGTGTATGAAGAAAAGCAGGATAAGGCAGACAACATTCATCAAGAAAGAATAGTTTGTGTTTGATGCACAATTCAATAGCAAAGCTGAGGTCCTGCCTGAAAGAGCAGAGCAAGCAAGGATGGTAACTTCACCCACTCAGAGGAGAAGCAGCCTAGCAATGAAAAGGTCTGTGGAGAAAAATGGAGGATTGTGACATCAAAAAGGAACAGCAGGAAAAGGAACACCTTGAGATGCTGGAGGAAGGAAGAGCCAGAACTGGGTGGAGAGGAAAGGGAGGTGGTAAAGATGTCACCGAGAAGCCTGTTGCAGAGATGGAAGAAACTGTCCTACATTGAATGGACAGGGACTGAGAAAGACAGATATTTTTATAATGCAGATCTTTCTGAATGAGACCACCATCAACATAGGCCCAGTATAGGGTCTAGAGATTGCCATAAATTTCCAATATAACCTTATCTTGTAGTTCAATTAGCCAAATACGTACTTGTCCACTATCTCCTGCCCTAACCTTGACCAACTTCTACTAAATTAATGCCCTCTCTTTCTACTTGACTGCCCTGGCAGTGCTGTTGTTCTCTGTGTACTAAATATAGTTCCAGGGACAAAAGGGATGAGACACATGAAAGGCAACAAGCTTAGATATGTTAATATATGTCTTTTTTGTTCAGGACCAACTAATCCATCTTAGGAGTCCCCTAGAACTACTGCTTTCTGATGTTAGCATATTTATTTGATTGTTTACTGATGAGTAAGTCCTCCCTTACTGTATTTCATAACATGAATTAAATTATAACATGTGTTGCCACTCTGACAATTAAATCCTATGTTAATTCTGTTGTTTACTCCAAATAGATGAGACACTGATTTCATAATTTAACAGCTAATACATTTGGGCAGCCTTGTTTACCTAAATAGTGACTTACAGTTAAGATCCTAAAATCCTTTCTCTGTGGTGTGATATTTTTGTGTCAAATGCATTGTGTACTATGCCCTAAAGGCAATAATATATCATTCAGACTTGCTGTTGGTCAAGTAAATGAGGCATGGAAGGAAACATGAGCAAAATGAACAGTAAATTGCCTTAGATGCATTTGTAGTAAGTTATTTATTTAAATTTACATCAGCAAAAGAATTGTCATTCTTATTCTCTAGCCATATGTTCTTTCCAGAAATGTGTTGCTATATTACTGTATGCCTGATACAGTCTAACATAGGCCTAGACCAATATCCTAATTTGGTGTTTCCCAAAGTGTGGATAGTAAGAATAATAACTAACATTTTTCAGCTCTTAATATATGCTGTTTACTGTTCTAAGGGTTTTACATGTATATACTGTACTCGTTTGATCTTCACAATGAGCCTGTGAAGTGGGTATTATTTTCCCCATTTCGTAGATGAAAACCTTAGGCACAGAAGGTAAATTACTCAGGGTCATGAGCTGGTACATGGCAAGGTCAGAATTTGAATTCAGGAAGGCTGTTTTGGCCAGTGCTCTTAATTATTATATGAGGATTCCTCTGATTCCATGGATTGTCTACCAAGACAATATTAGTTGGTACAGATAATTATTTTAGGCAGTTACATAGATGTGGCTTAAAATGACATTGAATTACATAATGAGAAAATTATTCCCTTCAATTCTCTTTCTGTCCTTCAGGTTAAATCAAACAGAAAGTTTCATTCCGGTGCTGGTATGACTGGAACCCCTAACACCTGCTGATCTCCCTTTTCAACAGAGAGTTGGCTGCAGGCTCAGGGCCTTGCAGCATCTGTGTTAGCTTCATTTTATGGCAAGGGATACTGGCTTCCCATTTATGGTATTTCTATAAGGCTTTCATTTTAAATAAACTTTTAAACGTAAATGACTCGATTTAAATAAAGCATTAAATAAATAACACAGGTGGAATGCAGCTATGACAATACCTGGAAAGGTGTTTTCACCTTGACAGTGTTGAAAACACTGTCCTGATTCTTCTGTTTTGAAATTCACTTATATGCAATGACTTTGGCTTTCAGTTACTTTTAATTGCTTTTAATCTATAGGTTATTTCTTTCTCCTTCTTGTTGGAATCCCCTGGGCTCATATTACAAAGATTCCCCATTTCCCTCCGTGGGCTTGGGGCTCATCTGGGATGGAGTTTTCACCAGATTTTAATAATATCACATATATTTAGTTTAAAATATTCCTGTTTTTAAAAATTATACTTTTCCACTTTTTTGGTGTTAAAATCCCCTTTTTTTGTGAAATATTGGTGAAAATAGATGGTAGCTTTTGTTTTGTTTTTAGCATCTTTACTTGGCTAATTTAAAATTGGAAACTTGAAAAAAATTATACTGATCTAGAAGACAAAATATTGGGGTGCCACTGTTCAGTCACTCTCTGCTCAGATATGATTCTTCCCAGTTGCCTAAGCATTCTTGAATGTTTCAGGAACGGTGTATGGACTCATGCTAATCTTTCTTTCTAAAGTGTACTCAAGCATTTTCTTCAGGGAAATTGTTAAAAAGTTCCTGCTTATGAAACTCTCTTATGTCTATTCCCCTAGGTTTATCGTTTTCCTATCAGAACTGCAATCCTAATTATTAATAAAATCATTTTTAAGTATCTGAGATAACTAATTATTGTGAGCAATCAATCAACTGGAATACTTACACAGTACTTACTAAGATGTGTCTATTTCATATACCCTTCCAAAATGGAAAGTTCATAGCACAGTTGAGAAAAACCTAAACAGTCATTGGTTTTTGTTTTTATTTTTCTTTAATGTTACTGGGATTCAGGGGAGTAGAGAAGCTACAAAATCTTGCACATATTTAAGAAAATTTTAAAAGGCCATCATTTCTCCATCTGCTTCTTTATTTCCTGCTTTGATGAACACAGTATTTTACATCGGATTTCAGAATTGGTCTAGAAAGACATCATTTGGAGGTGCTGATAGATTTGCAAAAGGCCCAAAATGCCCCATGTCAAGCAAGCTAGAGTTAGAAGAGCAGGGCTGAAGCACAAACAAGAAGCAAAGTTCAAGAACTCCAGGAAGCTTCAAGGCAGTTTGTCAGGATATATAATTGTCTGAGTTAGTCAGGGAAGATCTGTTAAATTCAAGGCCAACATACGCCAATAAACCCAGAGCAACAGGATCACTGCCGTAGTCACTGCTCTAAGGAAGAGAGTAGAAACTAGTCAGAGCTTTCAGACCAAAACATTCCCACGCCACCGGATCGCTCCGTAGATTCAGTGGATATGACTAGCTGGTGTGGAGCTTTTATTTTACTAACTCTGCAGTGTCTGAGTGGCCCTGTCCCTTACATGGCTTTCCTTGTGCCTTAAAGGATCTTCATAGAGAGACATGCAGGTTCTCAGCTTCGTCTACCCAACGAACTCAGTTTCAGCAGCACATGATGATGGCTTGTTTCTGATCTTACTCTAGGCCCCGTGTTCATATGGAGTCTTTCATGATCCACTCCAAAGGGACCTGGAGCAGGCCTATCAGACTAATATCATCTGTTCCCTTGGGAGTAGGCAGGGCCAGATTGAACTATGTGGGCGCCCAGGAAGGCTGGTCATTTGACATCCTGCACTTTGACACTCTTTAAACATATTTTCAATACATATTTAAATAGTATTCAATATATTTAGTAGGAGAAGAGAAACTGATTTTCTATTAATAAAATATAGATACATCATCTTTATGTTGAAAATGAAGAATGTATTACATGCTTTGATAGTAACACTACCTTTTTTACTTATTTGGAATGAGATTCCTTAATAAGCTTTTCCATAACTCTGAGCTGGACAGGGTTAGCCATTTAGTCTCTTCAAGAGTAGAAGCAATATACATGGATATAGTTACAAAGTCTTGTTCAAAATATATTTAAAAGTTAATTTTTTTCTAACTTTTGTGTCATCAAAATGTTTCCAACTTTCCTGTATACCAGATCTTGTCATCTGAGACTAGAGATAGTTTTACTTCTTCCTTTCCATTCTGTAGTTTTTTTCATTTCTGTTTCTTGCATGATTGCCCTGGCTAGAACTTCCAGTAAAATACTGAATAGATGTGGTGAGAGCAGACATCGTATCTAGTTCCTGATCTTCCTAGGAAAAAAATTGAGTCTTTCACCATTAAGTGTGATGTTAACTGTGAGTTTTTCAGATGTCCTGTATCAGATAAGGAAGTTCATTTCTATTCCTAGTTTGTTGAGTGGTTTTTTTTGGGGGGTGGGGGTGGGGACGGGGGTCTCGCTATGTTGCCCAGAGTGGTCTCGAACTCCTGAGCTCAAGCAGTCCTCCCACCTCGGCCTCCCAAAGTGCTGCGATTACAGGCGTGAGCCACCATGCCTGGCCTGTTGAGTGTTTTTATCAAAGAAGGGTATTAGATTTTGTCAAATGCTTTTTCTATGTCTATTGAGATGATCATATGGCTTTTGTTCTTTATTAATATGGTCTGTTACATTGTTTGATTTTCAGATGTTAAACTAACCTTGCTTTACCAGGAGAAATCCCAGTTGGTCATAGTGTATAATTCTTTTTATATGTGGATTCATTTAGTTTAATAGTATTTTGTTGAGGGTATTTGTATATTTTTCCATTTTTTATATAGTTATTTTCTCTAGTTTTTTGTTCATAATTTTTACTGAATCAGTCCATTTTAACATTTATGTAATAAAACCAGTCACCTGGACCCATGTTAGTTGAGTGCTGACTCAGATGACGGTCAGCTGCCTCACTCCAGGGCTGCTTCTCTGGCTTATACTTGCACGCTACACCTTACACATGCTCACCACCAAAATGCTCAATGCTCACTATATAAAGAAATGTTTAAACACTTTCAGTGCTATCTTCTTATTCTCAAGTGAGACTCGTTCACTTTTGCCAGTAATTTAAGAAATGTATGTGAAAACCTGAGCTCACTAGCACCTTATTTCCAATTATTTGGTGGTGATTTAATGCAGTTTACCAGTTTGTGTGCTGGGGCTGCCTGAGCTATACCTTAATCTAACTCTAATGGCAGGGGCTTGAGAAGAAGAACCTCACCATTGGACTCTGATGTTTTGATGCCTAGTCTCTGGTAGTCAAAACAGATCTAAGGCCACAGAAAAGAGCTATCTGAAATTCTTTCAGTTTTATATTGCACCAGCCATGGTTTTGGAAAGTACAGTCACAAAGCAATATTCTCATCTCATCTTCCCCTTTCAGCCACTTCCTTTAGGGGGAAGGAGACAGAACACTCAGCTGAGCACATGGTACCAAAGCCTTGTCAACCAATGGTAACGTCACAGGTGTGGAGCATCCTAAGTTGAGTATGTGTAGTTCAGCCAGGCGCGGTAGCTCATGCCTGTAATCCCAGCACTATGGGAGGCCAAGGTGGGTGGATCACTTCAGGTCAGGAGTTCGAGACCAGCCTGGGCAACATGGTGAAACCCTGTCTCTACTAAAATACAAAAATTAGCTGGGCATGGTGGCGGGCACCTGTAATCCCAACTACTTGGGAGGCTGAGGCACGAGAATCTCGGGAAAAAAAATTAAAAAAAAAACTTTTAAAAACTGTAATTACTGGCTGAGAATGTGTAGTTCAGTATGACTGAGCTTATCGAGCTTGTATAACAGGTACTTAGACATATATGTAGTCTGCCTTTTAGTCTGAATAAACAACATCATCAGTAGACAATGACTTTTATTATTTGATTAGACTGTAGGATTAACCAACTCCCATTGTGAAAACCCAGGCCTTTTTTTTTTTTTTTTTTTGAGATGGAGTTTTGCTCTTGTCGCCCAGGCTGGAGTGCAATGACGCGATCTGGGCTCACTGCAACCTCTGCCTCCCGGGTTCAAGTGATTCTCCTGCCTCAGCCTCCCGGGTAACTGCGATTACAGGCACCCATGACCATGCCCGGCTAATTTTTGTATTTTTAGTAGAGATGGGGTTTCACCATGTTGGTGAGGCTGGTCTCGAACTCCTGACCTCAGGTGATCCACCTGCCTCAGCCTCCCAAAGTGCTATGATTACAGGCGTCAGCCACCGCATCCGGCCAACCCAGGCCTTTTATAACTGTTTTCAGAGAGAGAGAGAAGAGAAAACAAGAAAGAACAACTCTGACCATGGTCTAAGAGCCAGGTTTCTGTCACTAAGCAATAAAGAAAAAAAGCTCAAGTAGCCCTTGCATAAGTGGGAATTTGTGGTTTCTAAAGCTGCCCATTCCCCAAATGACTAAAATATGTTACTGGCATTTGGCACTGTTTCCTATGTTTTGCTCTCCTTAAATTTCTCTTTAAAGGGGTTTGAGTTTAAAGGCAGAACCACTGAAAAATGTGATTTAATCATAGAACTGTGAAAGGCCAAGCCCAGAGTTAACCCCAGGATGCCCTGTGTTGTTTTGTTAAACCAGGACCTTGAACCAGGCTTATTCCCAAGAGGTGGTGGAAAGCCTAAGGGCAGGCAGGAGGGAGGCAAAAGAGGGAGGCAGAGGGAAGAAATCCAGTAGGCCAGACTGACCCCAGGATGGTGCCTCCAAGCAGCAAGGGCTTCCCTCCCTCACTAGGCCCAGTAGCTCCATGATTTTCACTGGAAAGAGTAGGAGAAAGGGAAGGGAAATTGAAGGAAGGGAGCCCAGAGCCAAGGAGAAGAGTAAGAAGACCCAGTGGTTGACTGTCAACCATACCGCAGGCTGTCACGGGACAGAACACGGAACTTCAAAGGGCCTTCTTGGCCCCAATTCCCATTTTTAAAATTGTTTTTTCTTGATTATAAAAGTATGCTGATTACAGAGAATTTGGGAAGCACACATAGTTACTGAATAGAAAATAACGCTCCAGGCAGCATGGCAGAGATTCAGACCTTAGCCTTTGGTAGACCTGAGTTTGAGTCCCAGCTCCTCCGTTCAGTATCCTCATCTATAAAACAGGAGTAGTAAGACCCCCATAATGATGTGGTGAGGATTCAATGGGATCAATACCTTGCGGAGGCTAGCTGCCAGTGTTATAATCATTATGATGGCACCAAGGTTAACATTATCTAATGTTACACATCCAGCTTATTCTTTTCTGTGAATGTATAGGTTTAAAGTATGGCTCATTCTTTATAGCACATCAGTTTTTATCCTGCCTTTTTAAAAACTTACTAAATAATCTTCAGAAGAATTAGCTAGTTTGAATGCCTGTATAAGATTCCATTGCCATAATTAGTTTAACCTTCTTGTTTGTATTGGGTATTTAGGTTTCCAATTTTGTATTATTATAAATAATACTATTATGTATATCTTTGTGCAAAACCATTTATCTTCTGACTATTTAAGATAAATTCAGAAATTCAGAAGAGGATCTACTATATTCAGAGTGTTTCTATATTCAGAACTACTATATTCTGAACCTTTTCAAAGTTCTGGATACAATTACCTATACCCATCAACAGTATAAGCAAGTTCTCCATATCACTGGAGCATAACCATTGTCATTAAAAAACACAAATCTTTGGTCATTTTAGAGGTAAAAAAAAAGACTTCTTATGATTATTTGACTTTGCATATCTATTTTTTATTTGTTTTTTTGTTTTTTTTTGTTTGTTTGTTTTTTTGGTTTTTTTTTTTTTTTTTTTTTTTTTTGAGACAGAGTCTCGCTGTGTCTCCCAGGCTGGAGTGCAGTGGCACGATCTCGGCTCACTGCAGGCTCCGCCTCCCGGGTTCACGCCATTCTCCTGCCTCAGCCTCCCAAGTAGCTGGGACTACAGGCGCCCGCCAACACGCCCGGCTAATTTTTTGTATTTTTAGTAGAAACGGGGTTTCACCGTGTTAGCCAAGATGGTCTCGATCTCCTGACCTCGTGATCCGCCCGTCTCGGCCTCCCAAAGTGCTAGGATTACAGGCGTGAGCCACCGCGCCCGGCCTCTATTTTTTATTTGTGAAGCTAAACTTTTTGTATGTTTATTACTACATCAATTTGCGTTTTTTTTTTTTTCTTTTAGACAGAGTCTCACTCTGTCGCCCAGGCTAGAGTGCAGTGGCACGATCTCAGCTCACTGCAACCTTCGCCCCCTGGGTTCAAGTGATTCCTGTGCCTCAGCCTCCCCAGTAGCTGGGATTATAGGCACATGCCACCACGCCCAGCTAATTTTTGTGTTTTTAGTAGAGATGGGGTTTTGCCATGTTGGCCAGGCTGGTCTCGAACTCCTGGCCTCAAGTGATCCTCCCACCTTGGCCTCCCTAAGTGCTGAGATTGCAGGTGTGAGCCACCATGCCCGGCCTGAATTGTTTGATTATATCTTTTGTCCATTTGGGAGCAGGCTAATTTTTTAGTTAAACAATTAACTTATGTTATAATCTTAAATACAAGTAAGATTGAGTGATGACAACCAAATGCTGCCAGAACTTGTCAGGAAGCAATTACAGAGCCACTTCCTGACAAGTTGAGAGACTTGTGTAGATTGTACATTAATATTCACTTTTGATGTACAGAAGGAGCTGAACATGTACCAAATGTTCAAATGTTAGGGTATTTTTTTTTACCCTGCATAATCAACAAGAATGTCAGCTATTCCAATAATAAAATGCTTTTCACAATCAATTTAAAAATTGCCCATTTTGGCCTTTCTGGCAGCCCACAGAATCCACCCTCCGTTGTCCTCTTGTTTAGAGAGCTGGCTAGCTCATTCCTCAGGAATGACCCATGTCCCAGGAGCTCAGGAATCACACATCCCCTAGAGGTTATTCTGAAGTCCATGTGGTGCTCTAGTGGCAGCAACTTCTCCATTTGCCCTCTGTGTTCCTGCCATTAGGCCATAACCCGGTCTGGTCAAAGACTTGCCATTTTGTTTGGACAAAGTTGCAATTTAAATGTTTGGATCCAGAGCTTGCAGTAGGAATGTTCCAGAAATACTTAGTTTAGCTTTTTGAATGCAAAGGTTGAATGCACTTGGAAAGGCCTAGAATAGAAATTAAGCAAGAGCACTTCTTTCTTAACAAGTGATCTGTTCATAACTATGGATGGCAGTAGAGCAAGAGGACGCAAACTGGTGAACAAAGTCACAAATGCCTTAGAAACTAGGTGACATTTGAGCCAGATGTGAAAGAGTGTGACTTGAGAGGAATTCGCATAGAGGAGAAAGAATCTAGCATTAAAATCAGACAGGCCTGAGATCAAATTCCAGTTTTGATGCATATTAGCTCTCTGACCATAAACAAGTTCTTTAATCTTTCTATGTCTCAGTTTACTTATCTGCAAAATGATTATAATACTCATTTGGGGAAGTTACAGAGAGAATTGGAATGAAATACAGAAAGCACCCAGAACTCATACATGGTAATAGCAATAAATGGTACTTATTACCATAATAGATGTTTCAGGGAATAGGCAGGCAACACAAGAGCAGAATATGAGTACATGGTAGATAAAGACTAGAAGCAAGTGAGGAAAAAGAGGCTGTCCCTAGCTTAGGGAAGACTTTATAGGGCATGCTGAGGAGTTAAACCTCATCCTCCAGGGGCAGAAGAGGCTTCCGGGGCTTTTCAATAAAAAATAAAAAAATAAAAAAAATAAAAATAAAAAAAACCCAGCTCTAGCAAGACACTAAAGCTTAGTGCTTAGGGCTTAAGCTCTGAGAGTCCAGCTCCCTACTCTGTACTTCCAAGCTGGGCAACCCCGGGCACATGACTTAAGCCTTCTAAGCCTCAGTTTTATCCCCTATGAATTGGTAATGACAAAAATATTGACCTCTTGGAACCATTGTGAATAACAGAAATAATAGTTTTGTTTGTTTGTTTTTGAGACAGTTTCACTCTTGTTGCCCAGGCTAGAGTGCAGTGGCGCGATCTCAGCTCACCGCAACCTCCACCTCCTGGGTTCAAGCGATTCTGCTGCCTCAGCCTCCCCAGTAGCTGGGATTACAGGCATGCACCACTATGCCTGGCTAATTTTGTATTTTTAGTAGAGACGGGATTTCTCCATGTTGGTCAGGCTGGTCTCAAACTCCTGACCTCAGGTGATTCGCCCGCCTCTGCCTCCCAAAGTGGTGAGATTACAGGCGTGAACCACTGCACCTGGCCAGAAATAATAGTTTTTTTTTTAATGCTCACTGTGTGCCTTCCAGTGTTCTAAGTGCTTTGCATGTATTATCATAAGTGAGGCAATGAATTAAAAGCCTAGGGCAAGGCTGGGCGCAGTCCTAACACTTTAGGAGGCCAAGGCAGGAGGATCACTTGATCCCATGAGTTCGAGACCAGCCTGGGCAATATAGGGAGACCTTATCTCCAAAAAATTTTTAAAATTAGTCGAGCATGGTGGCATGTACTTGTATTCCCAGCTACTAGGGAGGCTGAGGTGGGAAGATCGTTTGAGCCCAGGAGGCAGAGATGGTTGCGGTAAGACAAGATTACGCCACTGCACTCCAGCCTGGATGACAGAGGGAGTCCCTGTCTCAAATAAATAAATAAAAGCCTAGAGCAGTGACGGCACATATCAAACAGTCAGTCAGTGCTATGGGAATGGTGGTGGTTGTTGTTGATGTCATTATTAGTATTCTTTGGTCAGATCTATATTTTAATAAGATCTTTCTGGTGATGGCATAGAGAATGGTTTGGAATGGTTGAAACTAGAGGACAGGAGAGAAGATAAGACAGTAGTAGCTTCACATACATGTTTAAAAATTCATTGAGTAATATATTTAACATTTATGCACTTTACCTTATATGTGTTATACTTCAGTTTTTTAATGTAATTTTTTAAAAAGAGATAACCAACAAAACCTCTTCTCTCAGTTTACATAAGCTAGTCTACAGCTGCTTGGAGTTTCAATTAGCTGAGTTATCTTCACTTAAGAAAACGGACTGTGAGGAACGAAGTAAAATCCTTTTTCTTCAATTAGTCACATTCATGAAGGACAGGGAGCCCAAGGAAAACTGAAACCTCTACAACTCCTACAAAATTCTGCCCCGGTGGATGGTTTCCCTCTGCTAGAGCTGCTAGCAGGAGCAAATGAATCTAGATAGGCGTCAGCTCTCCCTTCCTCTGGCCTGGTGTTTCAGAGAAGCTAGCATGGGAAAGGCAGCTGATCAAGGTGGTGCAGAGAAGGACATTAGGGGCTGAGCCAGATCACAGACTGTCTGCCCTCAACCCTCAGGAAAATTGGCTGTTTCCTTTTTTAGGACTCTTTTCTATTTAGATTTTACTGAACCTCTGAACATGTCTCAGGTGGGCATGCTATTCAAAATGCTTTTCTTTTTGAAACTAATCTTATCTTTGAATGCCCTCCTATTGCAAAACCATGGTTTTCATTTCCTTCTTCGGGCCAAGTCTAAGGCAGGTCGGTCAGTACATTGACTTTTCCTTGGAATGACCTCAAACTAAGTGGTAAAAAATCTTCAGATTGGGTAATATACTTCCTTGGCACAGTACTTTGAGTGGTATGAAATTATTGTGACCTCTGAATAGATGAGGAATGGACTAAAAAAATCTGATACCAATACTGTTTCTCCTCCTTTTACTGTTCATTACAAATGTGCCTGAAGGGATGGAACCAGTAAGAGTGGGTCATCTCTGTTAGGGCAGGAGGGAAAAAGCCCTGGCGGAGCAGACCTGAATCTTGGTTGGAAGAGGGCATTTAAAACATGTGAGTGAATTCCTAATAGAAAACGGCAATATGCGTCCTAACTGATTGGTTACTTAAGTCCCAGTCAAGTATTTAAAGAGATAAGTTTAAGTGTCTAGAATTCAGTGTTAATCATGTAAACAAAAACCATCCTTAAATCGCCTGGTATTAGATATGGCTATTGACACTGCATAAGTCATTCTAATTGAATGGGCTGAAGCCTAAGAGACCCATAAGTAAGGGAACATTCTGATTAGGCAGACAAGTCTCATGGGAAGCAAACAAGCCTGATATAGTCATGACAGATTCATTGATAGGCAATTTTCAAGAACTTTTGTGAAAATAAACATATTATTAGGGACAAGTGAAAACACAGGTCATCTAAAACCAAAAAAATAGAGACTTTCTACATTTTTATAATGTTTATGTATATGCATATGCAGATTATGTTTGTTTACTTCTAAAGCCATGCTTTGTAGAGCTGTCATTGGTTTTTTTTTTAACAATTTAAATATTTGTTATAAAAGTGACAATTCATATTCATTATTTAAAAATCAGCCAGGTGCAATGGCTCACACCTGTAGTCCTAGCTGCCCAAGAGGCTAAGGCAGAGGATCGCCTGAGCTTTTCAAGTCAGCCCTTTTCTCCCCTACATCCCACTACAGTGGTAGCTTTTGTTCACTGTAGCCAGTCTGTGTCCTTCCAGACAATTGTACACAATTACAAATGTTAAATATTTGTAATGGGATCAGACTATGCCACCTTTCTGTGCTTTGTCTTTTCCAGTTCACATTATACTGTGGATATTTGGGCATGTATACACATTTAGTACACATGAAGATTTACCTCATTCTTTTTACTGGCTGCATAACAGAGTTATCTTATACCTAAAGTAACTGAGGTGTAAGCTAGGTAAGTTAAGCAAGGTAACTTAAACCTGTTTTGTTGTTGTTGTTGTTGTTGTTGTTTGCTTTTTTTAAGAGACAGGGCCTCACTGTGTTGCCCAGCTGGCCTCAGAATCTTAGAGTCAAAGGATACTCCCACTTCAGCCTCCTAAGTAGCTGAGACTACAAGGTGCACACTACCCACACTACCACGCCCAGCTAAACCTAAGTTGTGTGTTTGTGTGTGTTTTCAATCTGGCCAGTGTTTCTCTTTGAGGACCTATACTGCAGTGAACACCCTCCACATTTCCCTGTACACTTGTGTGAATATCTCTGTAGTGTAAATTCATTAAAGTAAGACTGCTAGGTCAAAGGGTATGCATGCTTCGCAGTTCAATAAATATTGCCAGTCCAGTTGCCTTCTGAAAAGGTAGAACCAATTTAATACTTCCATTCACTGTCTTGAGAGTGCCTGTTTTCCTGAACACACATTAATTTTCTATATTAACAATATTTTTAATCCTGGCCAATCTGATAAATAAAAATTAACTTCACAGTGTTGTTTTAATTTGTGTTTTTTCCATGAGAAGTAAAGTTGAGCATCTTTTTAATATCATTATTGGCCATTTGTAGTTTTTCTGAATTGCCTTTTTATTAACATGTGTTTAAGTTATAACATTGGTCTTTTCCTTATTAATTTAAGAGAGCTTTGTGTATACTAAGGAAATTGACACTTTTTTCATATAAATAGGAAATTTTTTTTTGTTTCTGTCATTTGACTTTTAAATGATATTTTATATTGAACTAATTGTTTACTTTATATATTTAGATTTATTACTTTTTTATAGCATCTAAGATTACAAAATATTTACCCCACATAAATGGGGTAAATTCTATTTTTCTAATATTCTAAATTTCTAATATTTTTCCCTAATGTTATAGTTTTAAAAATATTTTATGGTTTTCTTTTTATATTTAAGTCTTCAGTTTATCAGAAAATATAGTTTTTAAAGGCCAGACATGGTGGCTCATACCTGTAATCTCATCACTTTGGGAGGCCAAGGCGGGCGGATCATGAGGTCAGGAGTTCAAGACCAGCCTGGCCAATATGGTGAAACCCCATCTCTACTAAAAATACAAAAATTAGCCGAGCATGGTGGTGTGCACCTGTAGTCCCAGCTACTCAGAAGGCTGAGGCAGAAGAATCACTTGAACCCAGGAAGCAGAGGTTGCGGTGAGCCAAGATCGTGCCACTGCACTCCAGCCTGGGCGACAGAGCAAGATTCCATCTCAAAAAAAAGAAAATACAGTTTTTTTGTTTGTTTTTGAGACGGAGTTTCATTCTTGTTGCCCAGGCTGGAGTGCAAAGGCACGATCTCGGCTCACCGCAACCTCCGCCTCCCAGGTTCAAGCAATTCTCCTGCCTCAGCCTCCCAAGTAGTTGGGATTACAGGCGTGTGCCATCACGCCTGGCTACTTTTGTATTTTCAGTAAAGACAGGGTTTGTCCATTTTGGTCAGGCTTGTCTCGAACTCCCAACCTCAGGTGATCCGCCCACCTCGGCCTCCCAAGGTGCTGGGATTACAGGTGTGAGCCACCATGCCCGGCCTGAAAATACAGTTTTTATGAGATGAGTTAGGGATCCAGCTTATTTGCTTTCCCTGATGGCTAACAACTTGCCCCAACATCATTTATTTAAAAATTCATCTTCCCCACCTTTATTGTATAGCAAATTCCCATGTATTTGAATCCATATTCCGGATGTACAGGTGCCCAGGCATACAGACACTGCAGACACAACAGATAATATTCTAGAAATATAGGACATGTGAAATTGTAATCACTACTGTATTGAAAGTTGTGGCTTCTACTTGTGGACCTTGAAGCAAAGAGTAAAAATCCCCAACCATCTTAGACAATGATATACAGGCTAATAAAAGCACCTATTTCAATGTACATGCAGGGCTTGTTTTTCCTCATCAGTGAGCCAGCAATGTATTAGATCACAACCTTCTAACCAGGGACTCACTTTAGTTTCTCATTTAATCTCAGGAATGGCTGGTCCCATAAAAGCTGTTAAGTAATAATAATGTTGAGCCCTTATATTGTACTTTACATCCCGAAAGTGCTATCTAAACATTAACTAATTAAATGCATTGATGAAAGGAAGGGATTTGTAGAGGTTTTCAGGAAAACTGATAACTGGTTGCATACCTGTGAGGGGATGATTCTTAAAAGGCCTTACTTCCCTCTTTGAATGGAGCTCAGCAGGCAGGGGAACAAAAAGCTGGTGACATTATTTCACTTTTGTTGAGAATTTCCTGGAGTATCTTCTAATTAGTCTGGTTAAACTCACCTTTTATCTAGCTCCGCAGATATTCCCTTGCAACATTCTTGGAGCTATTCAACAAGTTTCTTTTGATGTCTTCCTTGTTGGTTAATTATAAAATCGTACAATCTTCAAATTGAAAGAGATCCCTATTGATCATCTAGTTTTGAATGACTGAATAGAATCACTTTATTTTGTAGATGAGGAAACTGAGGCATGGAGAAGTTAAGTGATTAACAGAAAAGGTCATAGAGCTTACTGGGGACATAGCTGGGAATAGAAACCAAGATTTCCAACTCCCATTTCAGATCTCAATCAGCTTCATTGAGCAATGAAACTTTCTTCCCTCTTTATAAGCCTGTGTTCTCTATTTTTTAAACTTAAAAAAAAATTGCCACAGAACCATCAAGCCCAATTTCTTCTTTTTTTAAATATCACTATCATTGTTATTATTATTATTATTGCTTTCATCCTTCCCTACTTCTTCCCTTCTTTGCTCTCAGCCTTTCATGTCTCTCCTAACTCTTATGGTTCATTCCCCTACATGATCAGGTAATGCTACTTTTGTTTTTCCTCTGTTTCTGAAAAGCCATATTTCTTTAGTTTCTCCCACATACGTACATACAGGGAGTTGCTTTGTTTTGCTTTCTGTTTTTCCTCAGCTGTAGTTGCTTCTCCTTTTAATAAAGTTACTTCTCTAGTTTTGGCAAATAGCCTAAGGTGTTTGTTTGTTTGTTTGTTTGTTTGAGACGGAGTCTCACTCTGTTGCCCAAGCTGGAGTACACTGGCGCGATCTTGGCTCACTGCAACCTCCGCCTCCCGGGTTCAAGTGATTCTCCTGAGTAGCTGGGATTACAAGCATGCAGCACCACCCTCGGCTAATTTTTTTGTAATTTTAGTAGAGACGGGGTTTCGCCATGTTGGCCAGGCTGGTCTCAAACTCCTGACCTCAGGTGATCCATCCCCCTCAGCCTCCCAAAGTGCTGGGATTACAGGCATGAGCCACTGCGCCCGGCCGCCTCGGGTTTAAGTTGATGATAAATCCATTTCTGTCACAGAATTTTGTGTAACTTTAATTTATGAGTTTCCCCTAGTTGAGCCAATAAGATGCTGTTAAAGATCATCTTCATATTCAGAAAATTGCATGAGATGTGACCATTAAAAGAATTTTTATACAAGAACTTCATATAAGGACTAGAGGTATTATTTTTCAATAAGCCAAAGGCAGATCCAGTTCAGATCAAAACTGTGGATCTAAACCTGGGCTAATTTAGTCTGCACAATCCTGCTTCTGTGCAGGAACTCAGTTTTAGAAATCTTACATTTCTACAAGGTGGGTCAGTAGGCATCCAGTGACCTCAGAATTCCTGAGCTGAACCAAATCCTGGGGCTACACTCTGACCTCAGATGCCCTCAGAAAGGCCCCTTCCTTGGAGTAGCAAGGGGTGCTTAAGAAAGTGAGTCAGAAGTTGTCACTAATTAGCTGGGTGATCTTAGGTAGAGCTCATCACCTCTCTGGGCTCAGTTTTCTCATATATTAAGTAACGAAGGTGAGTTAAAAAGTCTGCTTAGAACTTTTCCTCATTTACTGCTCAATGAGTCAGTAATGTCAGAACTCGGGCTAAAAGGAATAGTAGAGACCTAAATCAGATTTATTTCAAACATGTAACTAACTCAACAGAGAAGCACAATTCTGCTGACCATCTATGAGAATTTTCTGGAATTGTCTCAATTTAAAATACTGTAGTTTATTTTCCTCATAAATAAAACACATGTACCTATATCAGATCATATAACCTGTTTTGAGCTCAGAATATTTGGACCACATTCTTGTACTTACTCTTTGCAAATGCTTCATTAAGTTCCATGGAGTTGTGGTTTAACTAAACCACAACCCTTGAGGCACTTAGTGCAGAAAAGCTGTCTGAAGTAGACCCCATCCCATATATTTTTCTGGATAAGAAATGTGCCTTCTCGGTTTCATCTTTGCCATTCTAGCCACTGAGAAAAATGAAATTGAAATTTTTTAAATCTTTTATTCCCTAAGACCTAGTTTCCAGCAGAGAGCAAAATGTAATTTGATAGGAGTGATGGTGGCCACTCATAAATCTACCCAATTGCATTAAACCAGATTAAACTATCACATAGTTTCCCAGCTCTAAGCAGAAATTATCACCTTTGGGAGAGGATCAGATAAGAGCTAATTGGTGGCATCACAATCCACCCTCAGTAAAGTGCTTGATTAGCCAAAATTTAAGTCTTGTTAGAGTAGTCCCATAATGGATTGGGGAGGGTGAGGAGCAGCTAATTAGAAAAGAGACACTTCTATGTTTATGTACAAACATCCCAGCATTGAGCCATGATAAGGAGCTCAAAGGTTAATTATGGGAAAATGGAGTTTTGAACAACTTTTTGAAATAGGAATATCCCATATACTTTGGTGATATTTATTTATTTTGAGATGGGGTCTCGCCCTGTCACCCAGGCTAGAGCACAGTGGCCCAATCATAGCTCGTAGTTCACTGCAGCCTCAAATTCCTGGGCTCAAGGGATCCTCCCACCTCAGCCTCCTAAGTAGCTTGGACTACAGGTGCATACCACTGCAATCGGCTAATTTTTTAATTTTTTACAGAGATAGGGATCTCACTTCATTGCCAGGCTGGTCTGGAACTCCTAGGCTCAAGTGATCCTCCCACCTTGGCCTCCGAAAGTGCTGGGATTACAGGCATCAGCCCCCACATCCAGCTTACTTTTCATTTTCTATTTTTAAGGATTGATGAGTAAGAGAAGTAAAATTTAAAATTGAGGATTCAGAATAGTCTCGTGAGGTGTGTTAGGATTTTCAAGCTTGAGCAGAATCCACAGGCTGTTTTTTCCTAACTTCCCATGAACTCACCTGGCCAAGGCCACTAGACTTCACTCTACCCACCTATTAAATGAACTGAGAAATGACCCTAGAAACAAAATGCAACCTTTCATGGTTGTCTGGCCAGGCAAATGCAACTGAACTATATGGGAAATTATTTCACAATGTGTGACAATGTTGATTCTTCCATTTCGTCAAGCCAGCCTGTTCCTAGTGAGTGGCAGGTGACCGTTCACTGTGAATTGGGTCTTTTGGTTAGACTTTCAGAGACGGAGTTGTTTGTCAAGTGCAGCAGCCCTCTTCACCAAAGCATTCCCGACAGTCGCTCCAAATCTAGATGTTACACAATGGCTAAGGAAGCTTGTTTTGAAATGGAAGGTAAATTGACAAATCAGAGGGAAGGAATTAGCCAATGCATAAGGAAATTTGATGAGAAAGAGCTTTTTCCTCTCTTTTTTCTTGCCCAGGTTACTAGTTCTCTGTCTTCTCCGCCCCCCATAAATTTTGAATTTTGTGGTGGTGCTGAGGGAGTGAAGGTAACCAACATAAAAGAATCATTTGTGCCCTTTTCCCAATCCCACAGATCTCTATTGGCTGCAGACCTTGAACATGACACTGCAATTTCCTGGTGCCACACATGAGTAATAAGCAGCTGTTTCTGAAACTGTGGTTTGGGGAAGGCAGCACTAGGTTATTTTTTAACTTAATTGTAATTTTTGATTGGTCTGCAAGAAAGTAAATCAAATAAAGTCTGTTGTCTTAGTCTGCAAGAAAGCCATAGGCCTCAAATTCCAATGCTGACCATCTTGACCAGAATAGAAGAGGGAGGCAAAATGTGTGTATCCCTGAGCTGGAAGTTCAACCAGGCAGATTTCATGGGCTTCTTTCACACAAGAAGGGTAAGCATATTTGACATATTTGTCAGGGACTGGATGGTGGAAAGTGATATTTGGCAGTTCCTTGAGTTCTAGAAGTACCTAAAATGATGGTGAAAAGAATTTATAGACAGACTGCAAAGGTGGAAAAATAGCAAAATCTGGAAGCCGATACAAGCTTGATGCTACATTTTGTCTTTGTGTTACAGGGCAATAAAGTGACCTAATTTTGTTACAAATGAAAATGTGTATTCTTTGAATACCCAGTTAGTATAACACCTCTGAAATAGTCATATATACACACTCCCCAAGTAAATAAATCAGACTAGTACCTTCCTTAGTACAAGACATTAAGTTTAATGGAAAACAGAAACAAACTTTCACCCTATTTTGGACATCTGCCTTTTCTCAAGGAGATAGGGCAATTTGGTATATGGAGAAAGGGAAAGGAGGTTGAGTGCAGGGAAGCAAGGAAATGGGGGAAGAGCTACACGTTTCCTTCTAATTACACTGTCATGATTTTGTTCACGTAGACATGCCCTTTGAGGGAATAAATAGAGATAACTAAACCTCATCTCAGGTCTGTTTCACTATCACTAGTCATATTACCAAATGACCGCCTGGTTTAACTAAAAACTACCAGCCTTCTAATGCTAAAGATGAAGTGTCCTTTTGACTTTTTGAGGGGTTGTTATAAAGTTATATTAGCCTATGACTAATTTAAGTACAAGTAGGAAAGGAGTAAGACACAATTTCCAGGTGTTGCTAAGATGTTATCTTACGTAAGTGATTCAGATTAAGTTTGAGGCATGTTAAATGTCTTCCCCCTAGCATTTTGGCCTTGGCAAAATTACGTATGCTTGTACAAGCCCTGTTTTCTTATTTACAGCAATACCAGAAGAAATGGATGTGACTGCTTTACATTAATTTCTACTGATCCCATCCAAACAGATAATATCAGAAGAAATGGATGTGACTGCTTTACATTAATTTCTACTGATCCCATCCAAACAGATGAACAACTTGATGTCTTCCTTTAAAAAAAAAATGACATGTGGCCTTCATAGCTTTTTTCCTTCCCCTTGATGTAAATCTCAAGTGTTTAAAAGGAGGAATGAGTCTAAATCATAGAAAATCTCTATTTAGATTGGGATAAGCTAATTAGCTATTATTTATTGATCCCTTGCTGTAAGTCAGAAACTATATTCGATGCTTTCAATGTATTAAATCTGATCCTTCTCTCAACCCTGCAAAGTGGATACTGTCCTAATTTTTCAGTTAAGGAAACTGAGACTCAAAGAGGTTAAGTAGCTTGCCAAAGTCTCACAGCTGGAAAGTAGATGAGCTAGAATTTGTCCTCAGATCAGCCTTGCTTTTTCCACTCTACCCCACTACTTCCCAATACCCAGAGACAACTGAGTTATGATGGGGTATGGAAAGCTCCCGAAGGCCAGCCCCTCTGGGAGACTCCCTAATGAGTCCACCACTATCCATTGGAAAATACCCCAGTTTCTGAGAAGCAAAAACTCTACCATGTTTAGATTTAAAAAAAAAAAATAATAATAAGCTTTGACCAGTTAAGGAAGTCATTTTGAAGTTTATTTTGTCCTAGTTGGTCCTGGCTTGATCTCAGTGATAGTAGATTCCCCTGCATCAACTCTAGCCAGAGCACACTGTTTCTAGGACTTTTCCCCACGCTGAGCCCTGTTGAGGACTGTGGTCACTCTAGCAAGTCACAGCAGTTTAGGGTTGACATAGCAGAGTTCAAATGTCTGACTTTTCTCACTGTTGTGTACTTGTTGGCCAGGATGCCTCATTTGACTTTGTCTCACCCATAGTCATTTTCAGATCCAATGGCCCAGTGGCATTCTGGCAGCTCTTTTCTATTCTTCATTCTTGGTTGGAACCTGAAGGTAGTATGCTCCTCTGGCTTTGGTCTAATATTTGAGGCCACTCTGCCTTCCTAGTATTTGTATAATATGGCCCCTTAAGCCCCTACCGAGATGGCTAGGAAGTGGGAGTGAAAGTTAAGGCTCTTGGGATGGTGGGAGGAAAGACAATTGATTTATTTTTGAGCACGTATCCAAAATAAATAAATAATATATTTATAAACATAAATGTATATGTCTATGTGTGTATGTATGCATTTATGTATGTATTATATATAAAATGATTTATATAATTTTGTGTGTGTGTGTGTCTATGTATGTATGCTTTTTCAAAAAGAACCCTAGGAGAAATCAC
This sequence comes from Homo sapiens, assembly GCF_000001405.40. NCBI lineage: Eukaryota > Metazoa > Chordata > Mammalia > Primates > Hominidae > Homo > Homo sapiens. The sequence continues at coordinate 207,867,587 of NC_000002.12, read as the reverse complement.
ACCTGGAGCCCACTTCTTCATAGTGATGAAACCTCTGGACCAGATGCTAGGATGGCCGGATTCTGTTCCTAGTGCTTCTAATAGTTGTATTCAAAGACAAGATTAACCCTTCTGAATATATCTTTACCCCTGGAAAATTATAAATGTAAGGTTTTCCTTCTACAATATTAAAGGAATGTTTGTAAATTCTAAAATAAACTTCATACTATTACCTCACTTTTCTGGATAAAAAAATTCCAGCAGCTTCAGCCATTTGGAACATGGCCATGAATGTAAGCTGACAAATGGGAAGAGCAATTAATCAAGTAAATCAAGTATAAAGAAGCAAAAGGATCCCTGAATAGCTGAGCTGCCACAGAGGCCATGCACTCTTTATCCTCCTCCTTGAATCACACAGCAGAACGATTGAAAATGTTTGCGACACAAGACAACCTAAGATATGACTGCTGACAGCCAGGGGTAAAGACAGAAAAGTGTCCTTGGTTAGTCAACAAGAACTTGGGTGCCTGGAAGACGGGATATTTCAAACAAGTATGAGACTGTCTTTGCCCTCAAGCAATTTATATTCTCTTAGATTTCTCCATATAAAATTGCCATTTGTATGGGTAAAAATTGTCAAATATCATCATTTTTAAATGTTCAGTCTACAATTGGATAAGCAAAACAATCGTATGTTAAAAGCAAAGAGTACAAAACAGCATCAAGTTCTGTATTATATGATGTAAAAGTTAATTTCTAGGGAGAAACACAAGAGATTTATGGTGTCTGAAGTAGCCAAAGATGGCTTTCTAGATCAAGACAGGGTAGATCTGAGCTGTGAAGCCTACATGAAATTTAAGTAAGGGTTAAGAAAAGTGAAACTCCAGATAGAGGAATGGCATGGATGAAGGCACAGGAGCAAGAGCAAGCATGTTCTACATAGGGGAAAATTTGCTCACAACAGGAGGTACATGTTAAGAAATACGAAATGAGTTTGGATGGCTAATATGGAATCCACTTGCATACCAGGCAAAATATAAGCTCCAGTTTTGTCCAGTTCACTCTACATTGAGTGTCTGGGACATAGTAACTCAATATAATTTTATGAAATGAAAGAGTGAAGAGTTTTGATTAATGATACACTTAAGAATTCGCCAGGCCCAGTGGCTCACACCTATCATCTCAGCACTTTGGGAGGCCGAGGCAGGCAGATCACACAAGCTCAGGAGTTTGAGACCAGCCTGGCCAACATGGTGAAACCCCACCTCTACTAAAAATACAAAAAATTAGCTGGGCATGGTGGCTCATGCCTGTAATCCCAGCCACTTGGGAGGCTGAGGCAGGAGAATCGCTTGAAGCTGGGAGGCAGAGGTTGCAGTGAGCCTAGATCACACCACTGCACTCCAGCCTGGGTGACAGAGCAAGACTCCATCTCAAAAATGAAGAATTCACTAAAGGTTTGAGGGAAGAGATGGTATGTGATGAAAGTGATGTCTAAAACTGATTAATATGTATGCATGATGGATCTAAGAAAAAAGACTGACATCTAGAAATAAAACTAGGAGATTAGTTTATTAATCTAGAGAGGAGAGATAAAAGTCTAGGGCAGGGTGGAAAAAAGAGACTTACAGTGAAGGCATTTAAAAGAAAATCAGCATGAACCTTGAACACTTTATGCTAAGTGAAAGAAGCCAGTCATAAAAGACTACATATTATATGATCATATTTACATGAAAGCTCCAGAATAGGCAAATCTATAAAGACAGAAAGTATATATATATATATATATATATATATATATATATCTTTTTTTTTTTTTTTTTTTTTGAGTCGGAGTTTTTGTTCTTGTTGCCCAGGCTGGAGTGCAGTGGCACCATCTCAGCTCACTGCAACCTCTGCCTCCTGGGTTCAAGCAATTCTCCTTCCTTAGCTTCCCGAGTAGCTGCGATTACAGGCATACACCACCATGCCCGGCTAATTTTTTTGTATTTTTAGTAGAGATGGGGTTTCACCATGTTGGCCAGGCTGGTCATGAACTCCTGACCTCAGGTGATCTGCCCGCTTCGACCTCCCAAAGTGCTGGGATTACAGGCATGAGCCACTGCATCTGGACAGAAAGTAAATTATTGGTTCCTTGGGCTTGCAGGGGCATGGCAGAGGGAAAACAGAAGTGACTACTAATGGATATAGAGTTTTTTCAGAGGGTTAGTGGAATGCCCTAAAATCGATTGTGGTGATGTTTCACAACTCTGAATAAACTAAGAACCATTGAATTGTAGACTTTAAATAGGTGAATCACATGGTATGTGAATTATATCTCAGTATAGCAGTTATTTTAAAAGAGGGGGAATAAATGAAATGTGGTGAATGACGGGATATACGTATTTAATGGAGAAAATGAGTCATTCACTATAAACTCCATAAGTTCCAGTTTGATTCTTACTGAAATAATAAAAATAACCACTAGTACCATTATTAATACTGTTTTAGGAGCCCTGGGTGATGCAACAAGAAATGAAACATAAACAAGAGATATAATACTAGAAAAACCAAAAGAATCACCTAGAAGTAATTAGCATCAATGGAAATTCAGTAATTATTGTCATATAGTAAATGCACACAAATGTCAATATATTCTAATATACCAGCAATAGCTAATAAGAAAAATATACAAAAGTTTAACCTTAAACTAAATAATAAATGTGAGTAGCTTGTACAAGGAAATAAATTTGTATTAAGCAATAATAAGTGAAGATTTAATAAAATGGAGATATGTATCACATTGTTTTAAAGGAAGACTGAATATTATACAGATACCAATCCCCAGAGCTTATTAAGGTCCCTATTTAAGAATAAATATACATTGCTAACAGTGTAAATTTGGTGAAATATTTCAAGAGCCTTCAAAATGTTCACACCCTTTCTCCAAGGACTAAATAGAGAAAAAACTTTATGCACAAGATGCTCAAACTTCTCCTTTAGAGCCTAGATAATAACTCTCATGTCTTCCTCAAGGTCTTCTCTTCCCAGTTTCATCAACCTTTACTCACCTGGTTTCCAGACTGTTCTCTATCCTGGTTGTTTCCCCCTAAATGGACTATAGTTTGTTAGTGCCTCTCTTTAAATGCCTCATTAAGTTTGGTTGTTTAGAGAAGAGTAAAATGAGAAAACCAAACTCAACTGAAGTGCTACCATCACAATTTAGAAATAACCCCATCACGCATTAAAAAGTGTTTACTGGTGGTTGCATATATGATTTGGTAGTGGCTGTTTCTTAGAAAGTATATCTCATGTGTTGGTATTAGGAGCATGCCTTACTGGGGTTTATTGGAGTTAATGGTTCCTCAGAGAACATAAATAAAAGAAGGTCTATCTATGGCTTCCTAAAGGTAATGGAGAGAAAAGTAAGTTGAAGAATGGTGGGAAATGTATGCTTGACTCAAAACAGCCAGGATAATTTCTACCCCCTTTACTAAGAAAATAAATTCTACTCTTACAAAGCCTTCTTCAGTTTAATGCAAAATTATTATACATTGTTTTTTCAAATGCAAAAACACAGCTATATACAAAGTGACAATTTGCTTGCACCAGGAGATACATAATAAGAAATAGAAAATGAGTTTGGAGAGCTTATATATATATATATAAACTTTGTATATAGTTGTGTTTTTGCTTTTCTAATATATATATATATTTTTTTTGCTTTTCTGACTTATTGCCCTCCCTAGAGTTAACCACCATTATATTTATTTATCTCTTTTTCATAGAAAAGTTATTCTTTTATTATTTTAAGGAGGTAATACATTGCCCAATATGCCAAAGCAGTAGGGAATTAGAGGCAGTGAATGGCCAGGTTTTTTTTAAGAGCCTCATGCTGCATCTCTGAGGTCCTATCTGCCCACAGCCCACGGCTGCTTACATAAAGACCGGGTCGGTGGACAAATGACCCAACTCGACACCCATTAACTGAGAAAGGGCTCAATCAGCAGAGGCACTGCCAGGGCCCAGCACGCCGGGTGGCAACCCCCGCTGCCACCACCAGCTTCCGAAGCTAGTGCCTTAGTGGCAGCCAGTGTGTCTAGCACTTGATTTTATTTCTGTGAGCCTAGAGTGGGCAGGACGTGAATAAATCCTGAGTCATAAATTAAGGTGAAAGACTTAGTAGTGTTAATACTCTGGGTGAGAAAAGACAACACTGTCTTGGAGGAGAGTGGGCTTGGAGTCTGGTGGAAGAAAGATGGAAACCCCCAGAAGGGCCTCGGCCTGCAGGCACTGCCTTGAGGCCATCAGAGGGGTTTTCATGGTTCATGATGGGGAGGGGCAAGGCAGGGTAGGCACTGGGGGGCTGCTTCATCTGGCACAGTTTAACTAGAGGTTCATTTTCCACTCATAATTGGTTTCCTAAGTCTAAGTCACCACACCTGGGGCCGAAGCAAGTCTTGCCTATGCACCAAGCATGGCCTTGGACCTCGAAGAAATGCATGGCTCAGTTCTCTAGTGTTGAAGGGGAGGGACTTTCAATTGAAGGAGATCTTTCTCCCCGTACCTCCAGCTCCTTTCCCTTGCAAATGACCGGGGTGGGAGGCAAGAGGCAAAGGTACCTCCTGGTGCAACCTCACCACAGTCTTCCAGAGAAATCATCTTTGTGGGACCCAAAGCCTAGCCTTGGCTTGGAGCAGACATTTCCACACATGGGAGGGTACCCTGTCTGGCAATTGAATGGAACCACCATTATATTTATTTCTAAAACATGGATCATTCCATGATGTTTAAAAACCACTTCAGTTTTTATCTCTGGTATTATGTATAGCTTCATTTTTTACAAAAGGCATGATTACATTTTTTGTAGTCTTGTTTTTGTATTACCAGTCACTACTACCTACTCACCTGGACATTGTAATTTCTCTTTAGGTATGATTTATACTACATTTCCCTCAGATACTATTTTTTTCTTTTTCTTTTCTTTTTTGAGACGGGAGTTTCACTCTTGTTGCCCAGGCTGGAGTGCAATGGTGTGACCTTGGCTCACTGCAACCTCTGCCTCCCAGGTTCAAGTGATTCTCCTGCCTCAGCCTCCTGAGTAGCTGGAATTACAGGCACCTGCCACCACGCCCGGCTAATTTTTTGTATTTTTAGTAGAGACAGGGTTTTGCTATGTTGGCCAGGCTAGTCTCGAACTTCTAACCTCAGGCAATCTGTCTGCCTCAGCCTCCCAAAGTGCTGGGATTGCAAGCGTGAGCCATAGCACCCAGCCTCCCTCAGATATTATTTGTATGTAAAATTATAATGTAACTATATTCATTTGAAAGAAACTATTTTCAGCTATTTCTAGCTATTTCCAAATTAAATGTAATCTTCAATTGTTTTCTTATGTCAAAACCAGCATGTATTTGTGTCTGCATTAATTAGAGAGAAGCAAAGGCAGATTTTATCTAGCTGGCGTGTGAAATGCTGAAGTCTTTGAAGCCCATGGGTATTAGTTAAGTGAGAAATGATCAACAGAACATGAGTTCCAAACTCAGGGATGTATGCAAGCCCACAGGTGAGGCCACTGTGGAAGGCAGGCAGATGCAAGACTGTGGGGCCTGATGGGAACAGCTGTCAGGCAGAGAGCAGATATCTCAGTGGAAACAGGCAGCCCCCTCGCGTGGCCAGGATCATCATCACGTTGAATCCAAGCATAGTTGTGCTAGATCATCTGATTTTTCCAAAAATCTGGGTTTTTATGTGAAATTTCCCAATTTTTAAATTACTTCATTTTAAAAATCACAAGTTAAAAGAAAAAAACCTACAGGCTGAAAATGGCCATCAGGCTGCCAAATTGCAAGCTTTTTTTTACTATACTTACCAGCAGCAAAAGAAACCTATTTTTCCCCATTTACTCTATGTTCTTGGGGAAGATGGTGAAAAAACTATCCCATTAATTCATCAGAGAAAAGGTATTATTGCATTTACAACATAAACTTAATGCATTCAGATTTACTCTGTATGTTTTCAGTTTACTCTGGGAAACCTACCACACTCCTCTTATACCACACCCTAACTGTGAAGTTGGTCTATCCAAGCAGGGTTCCCCATTTGTTGGGCCTCAGTCTTCTACACTATACTACAAAGCAAGAGGAATACAAAAGAAGTTTCAGCATCTTAATTTACAACCTCCAGTGGTTTAAACCAGAAAGTTCTTTTGGAGCAAAACTACTATGTCTTTTCTTCCTCAGAGTTGCTGAGAAATTATAATTAGAGGTTTTCCTGTTGTGTAAAGGAAAGGAATTCCTTTCCTTTCCTGTGTGTACAAGACTTCTGTTCTCAATAAATGTGCTTCCCTGTCCCATTTCTCTTTCTGCAGGTAATAGAGGGAAAGCTGGCTCCATTCTTGGGCAAGGTCATTAAATTTGCCACCTCACACGTGTACAGCTGCAGTCTTTGTAGCCAGAAGGGGTTCATCTGTGAAATCTGTAACAATGGAGAGATCCTCTACCCTTTTGAGGATATTTCAACAAGCAGGTACAGAATATCTTATTTCATAAAAGAACACCCAAATGTGTAATATGCCATTTTCTTTGGCCAAATCAGGCCAACTTTTAGTCAAGTAGTGTATCTCTGTCTCTTACCCTGGATCAGGTTTTCCTTGTTCTTGGAGAACATGTTTCCCCCTTTGGTTTCCTGTATTTATTTCCACCCCTTACCTCGCTACCTTTATCCAGAATGAGATAACAGAGCTGCAAAGAAACATTGCCTAACTCTGCCTTATTAGGTAACAGAGAGTGTTCAGGTTCAATTTTAGAATGAAGACTGGGGAGGAAGCATCTTAATAATTTTTTCAGAGCCAAATGATAGGCAATGGGAAACTGCAGTCTCAGAGGAAGGCCCAAACTGGACCGACCGCCAGGGGTAAAACTAGAGGACACTGGTGAGCAGCTGCTGCCTGGCCATGTGCTTTTCTCCGCAGATGCATGCACTGCAGTGGAGCGATGAAAGTTTTAGGATCCAAAGGAGAGAAAAATGGGAGTTTATGTGGGATGATTTTTCTAACCAAAGTAATATTTGGGCATCATCACATCCATGGATTGATGGATGATTCACAAAATGATACATATTACTTTTCCTTTCATCCCAAAAGCGTAATAGAAATCTACACGGTATGTGTGTGCACTGGCCTCTTTGGGCATGAATGTCATGGCTCATTTCCCACCCTGCAGGGCTCACTTATACTGTGGTTCAGAACAGAAGGTAAGGCATACAGCCAGGGAGAGTTGAAGCATGTAGGGTAGAGCTAAGATATTGAGAGTTGACTCAGCCCTTTTAGCCTCTCCTAAAACCTAAAGACTATTTGTAAACATGCGGGAATTTGGGTTGGCCCACACACAGAAAAACAGACACATAAACACATAGACATGCAGATACACACACACACACACACACACACACACACACACACACACACACACACACACACAGAGGCAGAGTTCAGCCTCCAGTTTCCTGAGCAGGTACTTAGCTTATAGAGCTTATATAGCCCAGAGATTAGCTACCTCTTAAAGGGAGGAAACTCCTCACAGCCTTTTTATGGCCAAGTGAGAGGCAGTGGGAAATTGCAGTCTCAGAGGAAGGCCCAAACTGGACGAACCACTGGGAGTAAAATTAGAAGACACTGCTGAACAGTAACTTAGCCCATAGCCTAGAGATTAGTTACCTCTAAAAAATGTACACCAGGCTGGGTGCGGTGGCTCACGCCTGTAATCCCAGCACTTTGGGAGGCCGAGGCAGGTGGATCACTGAGGTCAGGGGTTCAAGACCAGCCTGGCCAACATGGTGAAACCCCGTCTCTACTAAAGATACAAAAATTAGCCGGGCATGGTAGCAGGCACCTGTAACCCCAGCTACTCAGGAGGTTGAGGCAGGAGAATCACTTGAACCCAGGCGGTGGAGGCTATAGTAAGCTGAGATTACGCCACTGCACTCCAGCCTGGGCAACACAGCAAGACTCTGTCTAAAAAAAAAAAACAAAATGCACACCACATAAAACTTGTACACAAATGTTCATAGCAGCAGCATTCGTAATAGCTAAAAAGTAGAAACAACTTAATTGTCTATCAACTGATGAATGGATAAACAAAATGTAGTATATCCAGATAAATGGAAAATTATTCAGCTATAAAAAGAAAAAAAGTAGCCGGGCGTGGTGGCTCACACCTGTAATCCCAGCACTTTGGGAGGCCAAGGCAGGCAGATCACCTGAGATTGGGAGTTCGAGACCACCCTGACCAACATGGAGAAACCCCGTCTCTACTAAAAATACAAAATTAGCCGGGTATAGTGGTACATGCCTGTAATCCCAGCTGCTCGGGAGGCTGAGACAGGAGAATTGCTTGAACCAGGGAGGCGGAGGTTGCGGTGAGCCAGAGATTGCGCCATTGCCCTCCAGCCTGGGCAACAAAAGTGAAACTCCATCTCAAAAAAAAAAAAAAAAAAGAAAAAGAAAAAACGTACTGATACATGCTGCAACATGTATTAACATTGAAAACATGCTAACGGAAAGAAGCCAGACACAAAGCACATATTACATGATTCTATTTATATAAAATGTCCAAAATAGGCAAATCCATAAAGAGAATAGATTAGCGGTTGTCTAGGGCTTGGGGGAAGGAGGAAAGGGAGTTACTACTCATGGGTATAGGTTTCTTTTTGGGGTGATGAAAATGTTCTGGAATTAGATTGTGGTAATGGTTGCATGGTCTTATGACTACACTAAAAATTAGTGAATTGTATATACTTTAAAGGGGTGAGTTTTATGGTACGTGAATTATATTGCAATAAAATAGTTTAATGGCTAGGCACGGTGGCTCACATCTATAATCCCAGTGCTTTGGGAGGCGCAGGTGGGTGGATCACTTGAGGACAAGAGTTTGAGACCAGCCTGACCAACATGGCAAAACCTCGTCTCTACTAAAAATATAAAAATTAGCTGGACGTGGTGGCAAATTCCTGTAATCCCAGCTACTCAGGAGGCTGAGGCACAGGAATCGCTTGAACCCGGAAGCCAAGGTCGCAGTGAGCAGAGATCATGCCACTCACTGCACTCCAGGCTGGGCAACAGCAAAACTGTCTCAAAAAAAAAAAAAATCATGTTTAGTAAAGAATTTCTAAATGCTTCTAACTGAATAAATCATATGCTGGGCCACAAAACAAGTCTCAATTAATTTTGAGACTATACCAAGCGTGTTCTCTGGCACATGGAATTAAAGATTCACAGTAGAAAAAAATATGATTAGTTAGGTGTGGTGGCATGCACCTGTAATCCCAGCTACTTGGAAGGCTGAAGCAGGAGAATCACTTAAACCCAGGAGGCAGAGATTGCAGTGAGCCAAGATCACACCACTGCACTCCAGCCTGGGCAACAGAGTGAGACTTCATCTCAAAAAAAAAAATATATACACACACACACACACACACACACACACACACACACACATATCTATATGAAACCCCAAAATATTTGGAAATTAGACAATATATTTCTAAGCAACTCATGGGTCAAAGAAGGATGCACAAGGGCAATTTTAAAATATTTTGAAATGAATGAAAATGAAATATAAAATATATAAAAAAACAGCTAAAGTAGCAGTTAGAATGAAATTTATGACTATAAATACCTGTATCAGAAAAGAAGAAAGCTCTCAAATCAATATCCTAAAATTTCACCTTAAGAAACTAGATAAAAAAAAGAGCAAACTAAATCCAAAGCAAGCAGAAGGAAGGAAAGAATAAAGATTAGAGCCGATATCAATGAAATAGTAAACAGAAAAATCACAAGTTGAGTCTTTGAGAGATCAACAAAGTTAACAACCTTTTAGCTACCCTGATCAAGAAATTAAAAGAGAAGATACAAATTGCCAAAATCAGGAATGAAAAGAGGTACAGAAATTAAAAGAATTATAAAAGAGTATTATAAACAATGTTATACCAACAAATTAGACAAATTTAGATGAAATGGACAAATGACTAGAAAGACAAATTACCAAAACTGACTCAACGAGAAGTAGAAATATGAATAGACCTAAAACAAGTAAAGAAATTGAATTAGTAATTTTGAAATCTTCCCACAGAGAGGCCAGATGGCTTCACCAGTGAATGCTATGGAATATTGAAAGGAATAATACCAAACTTTCACTCACTACCTTTATCTCCAGAATGAGATATCCAGAGTGAGATATTCATAATGAGATACTAGAGTTGCAAAAAAAAAATTGCCAAACTCCACTGTATCAGATAACAAAGAGTGTCCAGATTCATTTTTAGAATGAAGATTGTAGAGAAAGAATCTGCAAGGATAAGGGTGGGTCAGTTCTCCAAAAAGATGTAACAATCCTTAATGTATGAATAGAGTCAAAATATGTAAGACAAAAACTGATGGAACTGAAAGAAGAGAGAGATAAGTTTACTGTTATAGTTAGAGCCTTCAACACTTCTCTGTCCATAACTGACAGGTCCAACAGACAGAAAATCCCTAAGCATATAGTTAAACTCAACAGCACTGTCAATTAACTGGATCTAATTGACATCTCTAGAATACTTCATTAAACAACAACAAAATATACATTCTTCTCAAGGTCGCATGGAACAGTTACCAAAAGAGACCACATTCTGGGCCATTAAAAAAAATCTGAACAAATTTAAAAGAGTAGAAATCATGCAAAGTATGATTCTCAAACCATAATGAAATTAAACTAGAAATCAATAACAAAGATACCTGGAAAATCCCAAAATATTTGGACATTAAACAAAATACCTTGAAATAACACAAGTTGATAACATATCCACACAAAAGCACGCATATGGATGTTTATGGCAGCTTTATTCATAATCACTAAAAACTGGAAGCAGCCAAGATGTCCTTCAGTACCTGAAGGCATAAACTGTGGCATATCCATACAACGGAATATTATTCAGCCACAAAAGAAGTGAGCTGTCAGGCCACAAAGAGACATGGAGGAAACCTAAACGTGTATCACAAGTGAGCAAAGCCATTCTGAGAAGGCTACGTACTATACGATTCCAACTATATGACATTTCGGAAAAGGCAAAACTATACAGACAGTAAAAAGATGAGTTACAGGGATTTGGTGGCTGGGAAGGGATGCCTAGGTGAAGCACAGGAGATTTGTAGGACAGTGAAACTATTCTGTATGATGCTTCAGTGGTGTATACATGACATTATACATTTGTCAGAATCTATGGTTTCATACATCACAGAGTGAGCCTTAACTCAAATGGAGGACTTTAGTTAATAATGATATATCGATATTGGTTCACTAATTTTGTAACAAATGTATCACAGGATTGCAAAATATTGTTAATAAAGAAAACACAACAGGTGGTGGTGGGGTGGAATATGGGAACTCTCTGCCCAATTTTTCTCTTAATCTAAAACTATTCTAAAAAATAGTCTATTATTAATAAAAATTTAAAAATTGTTCAACTGAACAGTTGACTCTAAGATCAAAGATGAACAATTTTTATAAACCTTACTGGAACAATTTTAGATTAACAGAGAAATCACAGAAATAGTACAGAGTTCCCATATACCACACACTCAGTTTCCCCTATTAATATTTTACGTTAGTATAGTACATTTGTTACAATTAATGAACCAATATTGATATATTATTAGTAACTAAAGTCCACAGTTTTTTCAGATTTCCTTAGTTTTCACCTAATATCCTTCTTCTGTTCCCGGATACCATATTATATTTAGTTGTCACACCTCCCTAGGCTCCTCTTGGGTGTGACAGTTTCTCAGACCTTGTTTTTGATGACCTTGACAGTTTTGAGAAGTACTGGTCAGTATTTTATAGAATATCTCTGTTGGATAGGCCTGATGTTTTTCTTATGTGTGGAGTCGGTTTTATGGGTTTGGGGAGGAAGGCCATAGAGGTAGTGCCATTTTCATCACATCATATCAAGGGAACATACGATCAACATGACATCACTGTAGTGTTTGTGTCAGGTTGCTCCACCATGAAATTCCTCTTCCTCCCCCTCTTTCCATGCTGTTCCTTTTGGAAGGAAGTCACTATGTGTAGCCCACACTTAAGGAGTGGGGAGCTATGTTCCACCCTCTTGGGAGCCAAGTATGGATACAGTTATTTAGAATCCTTCCACATGGGAGATCTGTCTCTTCCTCACTTATTTTTTTTAGTTGTTTATTTATATCAGTATGGACTTGTGCATAGTTCATTTGTACTTTGGGTTACAGCCCAGTACTATATTTTATTGTTCAGACTGTCCCAGCTTTGGCCATTCAAGCTCTCAGTAGGCTCCTTTGTTCCCTTGACATACCCCACCCATTATGGGATTTTTGCTGGGGGGAGTTGTTTTTGGTTTGGTTTGGTTTGGTTTTCAGCATTTCCTTACTTTCCAGCACTACCAGATGCACCAGGATCGTCTTACTTATTTCCTGCCCTAATCCTAGGAACAGACATGTGTCCAGGGAGCCTTGGTTTCTTTTGTTAAAGAATAACATTAGAAACTGAGATCTAGGCACTGGGTTTTGCATACATTTTTAAAGCCCTCCGTTCCTGGACTTGTGCCTTGACTGGGGCAGAGTGCTGCCCTCTGACTGTATATCAGAATCTTTTGTGAGACTTGGCTTTTAAAACTCCAGAATCTGTATCTTCAAGGACTCCATATGATTATGAATCACCCCAGAAAAAAGAATCACTCCTCTAAGGTAGCTGTGGTCATAGTTAAGATGCTGGATTCTCACCAAAATAACCACATTAGCATATCTCTGAGTTCATAGGGGTCTTTACTCAGTAGTAAAAACTGTGGAGAATCCTCCTTCTTCCTTGATCAGATGCAGTTCTCTAAGCTTGTACAAATGTCTGAGTCAGAAGGAATATTGACCAGCTTTCCTGGAATTCCAGGTTAACACTTTTCAGAAACCTGTTGAGCTTTCTCTTGGTGTTCAGTTTCCAGTTAAACACCAAGAGTGGTTTATACAACCCTGTGAAAAGGCAAAGAGAAACACTAATAAAAAATTTATTAAAGGAAAATTTTAGTCAGAAATACAGAGTTGCTGATTCAAAACATGTCTATAAAAATGTTTTAAATAAATAAATGTGATAAATAAAAATAAATTTGAATAGTAAAGTAAAGTTTAAAATCTCAGTGTAACTGAAATCTTTATGGATTAAGTAATACAATGTCTGGGATTTGCTTCAGGATAATCTGATGATGGGGTAGGGGGATGATACAGATGAAAGAAATTTCCATGTATTAATAATTGTGGCAGCTAGGTGATAGGTACACAGGGATTTGTTATATATTCTCTCTACTTTTGCATATGTTTGAAATAAAACCTGTATGTAAAAATTTTAGAAATAAGGTATTTAGTGAATTTGTTACCACATACCCTTGACCATTCTGCTAAATTTGGCATTTTTATGTCCTCAGAAATATACCTAATATCCTTTCAGGTCCAAGTATCACTTGAATAGCATAATTACAGTTCAGTTAAAAAAAAAATTCAGGGCTGGGCGTGGTGGCTCATGCCTGTAATCCCAGCACTTCGGGAGGCCTAGGCAGGATCACTTGGATCACTTGAGGTCAGGAGTTTGAGACCAACCTGGCCAACATGGTGAAACCCCGTCTCTAATAAAAATACAAAAATTAGCTGGGCATGGTGGCACACACCTGTAATCCCAGCTACTCAGAAGGCTGAGCCATGAGAATCGCTCAAACTCAGCAGGCGGAGGCTGCAGTGAACCAAGATCGTGCCACTGCACTCCAGCCTGGGCAACAGAGTAAGACTTTGTCAAAAAAAAAATAATAATAATAGCAAGCATGAGAACAATTTGTACTTGTTTGTTTGTTTGTTTGGCGACTTGCTAGGTCGCCAAGGCTGGAGTGCAGTGGCATGATCTCGGCTCACTGCAACCTCCACCTCCTGGGTTCAAGTGATTCTCCTGCCTCAGCCTCCTGAGTAGCTGGGATTACAGGCACCCGCCACCACACCTGGCTAATTTTTGTATTTTTAGTAGAGACAGAGTTTCACCATGTTGGCCAGGCTGGTCTGGAACTCCTAACCTTTGGTGATCCACCCACCTCAGCCTCCCAAAGTGCTGGGATTATAGGTGTGAGCCACCACACCGGGCCCTGTACTTTTAATAAATGATTTTTTTTTTTTTTTGAGACGAAGTTTCACTCTTGTTGCCCAGGCTGGAGTGCAATGGCGTGATCTCAGCTCACTGCAACCTCTGCCTCCCAGGTTCAAGCGATTCTCCTGCCTCAGCCTCCCAAGTAGCTGGGATTACAAGCATGTGCCAAGACACTCGGCTAATTTTGTATTTTTAGTAGAGACGGGGTTTCACCATGTTGGTCAGGCTGGTCTTGAACTCCTGGTGATCCACCCGCCTTGGCCTCCCAAAGTGCTAGGATTACAAACATGATCCTGACCCTAATAAATAATCTATTGAGCATACCATGTGTGTGCATTGGGCTAGGTTCTGGAGACAACAGTGAACACAGCATGCTACTTGCTCACAAATAGTTGAGTTTATTAGGGACAGACAGGCCAGTAGGCAGTTCTATGAAAGCGTGGGAGGAGCACAGTAGCGGGGTGGACCTGGAGCTCCCAGAAGGGCTCCATCATCCACAGAAGTGATGTGCATGTTGAGTGAGAAAGAAGTTCCACAGTTTCTAAAAGTATTAGGGAGCTCTGTGTTTTTTAGGTTTGGGGTTTTTTTTTTCTTTTTTTCTTTTTAAATTTTAGATTCGGAGACCCATATGCAGATTTATTACAAGGATATGTGGCCTGATGCTGAGGTTTGGGTTTTCATTGATCCCATCACCTATATAGTGAACAGGGTACCCAAAGGAAGTTTTTCAGCCTTTCCCTGCCTCCCTCCCCTCTTTTGAGTACCCAGTGTCTGTTGTTCCCTCTGTATGAGGGAACTCTGTGTTGAACTTGAGTCACTGATTTATGTTCTTCAGTACTAGAATATACTCAGTTTTAACGTTTTCATTTGATTATGACTATATAGCAAACATTCATCAACTCCTTCAGGCTTTCTTTTCCTCATTAAATTAATCATTATGCAGGAGGAAGTTTCATGACTATGTAATTTGAAAATATACCCCTAGTATTAATTTTTAGGATCCCACCTCTGACAGATATAGAGAAGGTGCTGGGATTGAAAGGGAATGGCACTAACATTTATTAGTACTAGTGCCAGCAACTTACATATCTTATCTAATTTTTCTGCCAGTCCTCTGAGGAAATAGTGTAACTTCCATTTTAATAATGAAGAAACCTAGGTTCAGAGAAGGCAATTAACGTGGCCCTAGAGATAAGGCCAAAACCTGAATCCAAATACATCTGACTCCAAAATCCATGTTTTTTCCATTATATCTTACTGCTACTTCTGCACCTGTAGTCTTCAAAACATTTTGCCATATACCCCCTAAAATCAATTTGAAAAAATTGTGTACCTCTGTCATTAAGTCTTCTCCAAAACTGCTATTTTGAAATGTCATTTTATTTGCTGCCTTGGGAGTCTTTACACTCGGAGCAATAAGCCATGACTAGATTGGTTTGGGGGAAAGATATGCCTTTCTTCTGTAAAATGGCCAAAGTACTGTTGTGGAGACAACAACAGAGCTTCCACCTCCTGTGCATCCCTTGGCGGGTCAGGTTCAGCAAGGGGTACCTGTGAAGCTGAGGATGTGCCTAAATTAGACTTCCATAGGCAAACCCCTGTTTGTTGCACCAAAGCAACCTCCCCTCCATTCAGAAGATAATGCTGACAGTTTTACCCTGAGATATTCTTTCTTCTCAAACACCTTTTTTTTTTTTTTTTTTTTTTTTGAGATGGAGTTTCACTCTTGTTGGCCAGGCTGGGGTGCAATGGCGCGACCTCAGCTCACTGCAACCTCTGCCTCCTGGGTTCAAGCGATTCTCCTGTCTCAGCCTCCGGTGTATCTGGGATTACAGGCACCCACCACCATGCCCCACTAGTTTTTTTGTGTTTTTAGTAGAGACTGGGTTTCATCATGTTGGCCAGGCTGGTGTCAAACTCCTAACCTCAGGTGATCCTCCCCCGCCTCGGCCTCCCAGAGTGCTGGGATTACAGGCGTGAGCCACTGCACCCAGCCTCAAACACAAATTAAATACATACCTCTCTTTAACCTAAATAGAAAAACCGTAAAGCCCAGATTGCAAGATTTTTAAATACAATAAGAATATCCTGAATTATAAAACTGCTTTGCTAAAGCCTAATCCAGGATTTATCCTCCTAGAGGACTACAAGGAAAGCACAGCCTTGGGAGAGATAAACATTTTGACAAAACAATGATAAAATTCCACATCCTAAAAAAACAGAAATGACGAAACATGCCCTCCTTGATTGAGAATAAGAAGGAAGGGCTCTAACCTTTTTTTTTTTTTTTTTTTTTGAGACGGAGTCTCTCTCTCCGTCACCAGGCTGGAGTGCAGTGGCGCGATGTCGGCTCACTGCAACCTCCGCTTCCCAGGTTCAAACAATTATCCTGCCTCAGCCTCCCTAGTAGCTGGGATTACAGGTGCGTGCCACGACGCCCAGCTAATTTTTGTATTTTTAGTAGAGATGGGGTTTCATCGTGTTGGTCAGGCTGGTCTCAATCTTGTGACCTCGTGGTCCACCCGCCTTGGCCTCCCAAAGTGCTGGGATTACAGGCGTGAGCCACTGTGCCTGGCCAGGAAGGGCTCTAACTTTTAAGAATTACAAATCAGAAGATTAGGCTGACACTGCTCTATGATTTAAGGGAAAACAATGAATATAAAAGCAAAAAAGTCACATAAATCCACAAAATGACCCAGGACTTAGATTTTTTTTTAATCCTTAAATTGCCTCCTATGCAGCTTTCTTTCTGACATTTTTACACATCCCTAATCTTCTCTCGTTATTAAGATCCCTTTCCTAATGCTGCTAAGGAGACAATCCTGCTTTCTACATTTCTGCAGAGATGCTATTTCTGAACCTTGAAATGCTTCGAGATTACAAGTACATAAACACTTCATCTTAAAAACCCTCAGCATGCATTTTTAACATGGGACTTAGAAAATAAACCAACTGTGATAAATCAGTTCCATCATTTCTGTCCTGTCCATTTGGCTTTCGTGAGTTTTTCATGTGACATGTAAGTCATCCTCCTAGGTTTTTCACTATGAAGAACATTGTACTTAAAGACTTTGTGACCTTTATGCCACTTGGCACTGTATTTAAATGTGAGTATTCTATGAGAAGATTCTACTGAAAACTGGTGTTGGTATCCTCCATCTGGTAGGCATTTGCTATGGTTTGAATATGGTGTGTCCCCAGAAAATCTTGCTGAAGCTTGGTCCCCAGCGTAGAGGTGTAGGGAGGTGGTGCCTTTAAGAGGTGATGAGGTCGTTAAAATGGATTAATCTCCTTCTGACAGGAATGGATGAGTTCTGGAGGGATTGGGTTAGTTTGGTGATAGGGGGTTGCTAGAAAGCGAGTTGCCTCCTGTGTTTGGTCCTTTTCCACATGCTTGCTTCCCCTTCCACTTCCCTGCCATTTGTGACGCAGCTCGAGGCATCACCAAAAGCTGAGCAGATGCCAGTGCCATGTTTCCTAGACCTCCCAGCCTCCAGAATCAGGAGCCAAATAAACTTTTAAAAAAATGTTTCCCTGTCTCAGGTATTCTGTTTTACCAACACGAAATGGACTAAGCGTTACATAAATACTTACTGTTTGGTTTAAGCTTGCCTAAGTATATATGCATTCATAAGAACACTGACAACATTTTTTAAATAAACTAATTAGTTAAGGGAATATAAAACACCTCCAAAGATAGAGGAGCATAACACAAGTCTGAGGTAACACTAAAGCTTTCTATATAAGGTTGAAGCAATTGACATACCATTTAAGGTGTTTCACTGATGACAGCATAAGCCTGCCCTGGTCAGCAACATTCACTAACACCAGGGAAGGCATCAGAGGAGGTGTTCTTCCTTTGTTAGTAGGGCATCGGCAGCTCTGTGGTTACTCTTCTAAAAAGGGTTGTTTTTTAAAGCACTGGAATTCAGAGGTGTAGGCTGGACATTGCTTGCCAGTTTTTCTTTGTGCACAAGTAGTTGACCACTCCATCCCCTCTTCTAAGAAATAATGGTGGCACACAGGGCATTGAACTTATTAACACCAAAATCTTACCTGCTTACCACTTGAGTTAGCATACTCTGCTACTACATCTAGTCTGTACACTTTTTTTTTTTGAGACAGTCTCGCTCTGTGGCCCAGGCTGGAGTGCAGTGGCAGGATCTCGGCTCACTGCAACCTCCACCTCCCGGGTTCAAGCGATTCTCCAGCTTTAGCCCCCTGAGTAGCTGGGATTACAAGTGTGCACCACCATGCCCGGCTAGTTTTTGTATTTTTAGTACAGATGGGGTTTCGCCATGTTGGCCAGGCTGGTCTCGAACTCCTGGCCTCCAGTGATCCGCCCGCCTCGGCCTCCAAAAGTGCCAAGATTACAGGCATGAGCCACCACGCCCAGCCAGTCTGCACACATTTAAAGAATATTTTCTACATCAGTCTTGAGAACAAACATCAGCCTCATGGAAAAGTGCATAGCAGATGAGCTTCTAACAGGGTTTATCCGCTTTTTCATTTTTAAAATCTATTTTGTCAGGTAATCTTACCAAAAAAGGCAGCCTCCCATGAAACTTAGTCCAAGCCCCATTGCTTTCATCCATCTGGCCGGACTTCAGAAATGTCCAGCTTGTCCTGAAGAACATGGAGACTCCTCCCAACACGCTCAACGTTTTGAATTGGTCTTTGTCATTTTGCGTTTCACTGCAATCCATACCACCCTGCTCCTGAGGACCTAAACTTGTTGGGGCATGGACTTTGTTCTTTGCCTTGGCACTTTCTTCCCTTCTTTAAGCCTCATGTACACATGAAGCTTCAAATGCCTAATTGTACTCAAACCATATAAAGGCTTGTTTAAAAAGAAGGAACCTGCTTTATTATAAAATGTGGAACTACTTCTTCCCATAGATGGTGCTGAGATGCCTAATTGTTCTCAGCACAGCTTGAACAATCAGTCCATCAAGAGCTGTGTTTTCTGTTGCCCTGTTGCCCTTAGATTTGCCCCTGGGCACAGTGCATGGAGAAGGCTCCATGGAGGCTGAATGTGGAGATGATTTTGCCTAAAGTTGTCACTTACTTACCTGCCAAAAAAACCATCAAGCCCCAGATGTGTCAGTAACCTTACAAAGACTCTTTCATTTTTCTGAGGAACCAGCTGTAGTTTGTCACTTTTTGAAAGAGACTTTCATGTTAAGTGTTTAGGCAAAATTTTTTGGTGGGGAAGGGGTGGGGATGGAGGCAGGTGGAACAAAACTCCAGAGGAGAAGGGGAGAGAAGCACTGCCCAGAAGCTGGGCTTTCCCCGTGGCTTCCTATTTGCTCGGCCTTTGTTTTTGTGAGTCCTTGCACAAACAGACTAAATACCTGGATTATGCCCTCATCTGGACTCAAATACACATACATTACATACCCTTTTCTCCCTAATCAGCCTGACACATTCCTTTGTTGGTAAATGGTTCCAAAACAAACACTGTCAGGGCACCTAATTAGCAGGTTTGTGGGCTGCGCTTGGCAGTCTTGTTACATCCTGTTCAACAATAGAGAACAACAGCCTTGGCTAGGCCGGTCTTCAGGGAGGGAGTAGCTTCCCCCAATGTATATGCCATTTTTTAATGATATTTCCTTTCTGTGGCTTTTCTTGGGAAGCAGCCACTCAGTGAGTATTGCAGTGAGGTGTGGGATCCTAGAAGCAGCTAAAGGAAACTTCTGCTCCTCTGTAGAGTACCTTTTCAGAGGAGCTGTTTGTTTCTAATCGTTCTTTTCTTTCTCTGGTGTTGAAGAGGAACATTTTGAGGAACTTTCTCAGTGGTTCTCTAATACCAATGGTGGAGGACCAGACTCTCGCTTGTGTTTTAGAATTATAAACTAATAGAGATAGAAGGGACTGTGGGGACCCTTTAGACATTTTGGGGGTGGGAAACTTGAAGCCCAGACAGCTCACATGTCGTGTGCATGGCAGAGGCAGGGTGATGACTCCCCAGATGGAATTTGACCCTTCTTCAGCTCTGACTGCCCACTCTTAAATGTGTTTATTGTGTCAATGACAGTTTTCTTTAATGAAAACTCTTCAGCACAATGCTAGTTTTTCTGGATTTTAAACTTTAGTCAAAGAGTAACTTGGTAAATAACATTTCACCTTGGCCTGGTGGCTTCTGTATTCACATGTCAAAATGTTTCAGAATGTCTGCTAACATAACTGAGACTTCTGTGAAAACCTCAGGGCTGACCTGACCCTTTATGCCATTAAGCCACTTGATAAATATGGTGCATTTATAAACACAGTCCTAGCTGCTGAAGCCACCATTGTGTTTTGAGGCCATTTGGTCACTTGAATAGATGGCTGTCACCTAGACACATTTCTTACCAAGCTTCTAGTTAGGTATCTGGTTAATATTGTATTGATCATCTTAGCTTTAAGCATTTCAGACAGCTTAATTTTTTGCTGTTTAAAGAGGAATTGTTCATCGTTTAACTCATTTTAACTTTCTAACTATAAAACTAATTGATATTTATTATAGAAAATTTGAAAAGTACAGAAAATTAAAGAAAATATTCTCCATTATTTCTCCATTTTTCTACACATATGTATTTTTAAATAGTTAGAATCATATTGAATATATAATTTTATATCCAGCATTTTTTATCACATTGTATCAGAACCAGAAAAATAGTCACATTTAATCTATAAACTTATATTAATGGGTACTTTTAAAGAAAAAAAAAATTTTTTTTTTTTTGAGACAGGATCTGGCTCTGTCATCCAGGCTGGAGTGCAGTGGCACCATCTTGGCTTTCTGCAACCTCTGCCTCCCAGGCTCAAACGATCCTCTCACCTCAGCCTGCCGAGTAGCTGGGACTACAGGTGCTCTCCACCACGCCCAGATAATTTTTGTATTTTTTTTTGTAGAGATGGGGTTTCACCATGTTGCCCAGGCTGGAGGAAAAAAATTTTAATTGGCTCTAAAATCATTAAGATCCATCGAATAAACACAGGCAGGCCAGTCCATAAAAAGATCACTGGGCCAGGCGCAGTGGTTCACGCCTGTAATCCCAGCACTTTGGGAGGCCAAGCCTGGTGGATCATGAGGTCAGGAGTTCAAGACCAGCCTGGCCAATATGGTGAAACCCCATCTCTACTAAAAATACAAAAATTAGCCGGGTGTGGTGGCGGGCGCCTGTAATCCCAGCTACTTGAGAGGCTGAGGCAGAGAACTGCTTAAACCCAGGAGGCGGAAGTTGCAGTGAGCTGAGATTGCACCACTGCACTCCAGCCTGGGCGACAGAGCAAGACCCCATCTCAAAAACAAAAAACAAAAAGATCACTGGACTAGGAACAAAGAAGTCTCGATGTCGTTCCTAGCTACTAATTTGTGTGACCTTTGACAAGCCACCACTCTGCTGGACCTTCATACCAGGCATATGGCACTGTTTTAAGCTTTTATTGACAAAAGGAGTAAGATCTTTGCTTCTGCTCCATTGCTCAGCATTTTGTATTTGTGTTTGATAGTTTGTCATGATGTTTTCCGTAAAGTTGGCTGATTTTTATTCTGTTTACCCAAAGGGATTTAGATACAAATCCAAATTGCAGTTCAGTCCACCGTTTTGAAATAATGTAAGCTCCATGAGGGAATAGACTTTTTATATTTTGCTCACTGCTCCATCTAAGACAACACTTAGTAACTGCTCCATAAATAATTCATGAATGAATAGAGAGTTTGCTTTATTCTGTAATTTCAACTATAATCTGTAGTTATTAACATATTTTCTTTTAAATGGCTTTTAAAGTGATTTCAGGAAATTCATTATTTAAGTAGGCATTACCGAGATATGTGACTTTATTGAGTGATGGCTTACATCCTTATCATATGTTGGAGATGGATGTGTTTTACTGGGTCAGTGGAGACTTTAATGTCAGGAGAGAGATGATGTAAAAAATGTGAGCTTTGCTAAGCTACTCAGGTAATTTCATTTTCAAAACATCTTTTAGGTCGGTTTTTAGCATGTGCTTTTTCTTCCCCATGGGACTGTAAATAAGTAACCTGAACACACAATAGGGAAGAGAAGGAGTATTTACCTTTCCAAACAAAATGTGTTGACTTTTCAGACTGAGCAGTATGTTCTGAAATGAACTGTTTTATGCTTTAGAATTACAAAGGGTACAATAGTATCTTGGTTTTGTCAATACATGTTTGTTATTTTTAAGACTTCTTTCATACAACTAATTATAGGAGTACAGATAGTAATACCTCATTAAATTTGTCTTTTAAAAAATCTTTTTTAAGTATCTAATGTATATTATCACACTTTTACTAAGCCCCTGCAGAATTCTGAATATTTAAACCACTTAACAATGCTACCTCAGGAAACATCTTCACAACTATCTACAGCTACCATTAATAATTATCATTTCAGCTCCTGATGCTTTCAGAGCACTTAAAATAGAGAGAAAGGTGCAGCCCATGTTAACCCTCTGTACAAAATTATACTAGAGCATCGAACCTTTGTAGAGCTAGGGGGAGCTTAGCAATAGTCTGCCCATGTCTCCCACCTCCTTGAAGGCCGGAATCCCCCTCCAAACCACACCTGGAGCTACTGGAAGATCCAGGCTGCTGAATCCCAGAGCAGTACCCTTTCTGCCCTACCCTGTTGTCACAGCAGTAGCCCTGAAATCTGGGGAACCCACAAACCAACCTGGGGGGCAAAGGACTCTGCCACCTACCTTTAACTAGTCTCACTTGTGGTGGTTGATGTGTAGTTGGGATCATCACCACCACATTTAATGGGAAGAATTTTGTAGCCTTTTGATGAGAAAACAAGGGAAGGTAGCATTAAAAAGTAATTCATATGAAAAATAGGCCGGGCGCAGTGGCTCACGCCTGTAATCCCAGCACTTTGGGAGGCCTAGGCGGGTGGATCACGAGGTCAGGAGATCGAGACCATCCTGGCTAACACGGTGAAACCCCGTCTCCACTAAAAAAAAAAAAAAAAAATTCTCCGGGCGTGGTGGTGGGCGCCTGTAGTCCCAGCTACTCCGGAGGCTGAGGCAGGAGAATGGCGTGAGCCCGGGAGGCGGAGCTTGCAGTGAGCCGAGATCGCGCCACTGCACTCCAGCCTGGGCAACAGAGCGAGACTCCGTCTCAAAAAAAAAAAAAAAAAGAAAAATAAATGTATGAATTGTTATTTTATAAAACCAATAGCATAATAGAGTACACAAATAATGAACCTGATTCAAAGACTGCCTTGGAAATATTGGAAGCCACTAACTTGAACTGATTTAACTTAGACTGAAAGATCTAGTGTGGCTCTGAGAGTTGGGAGGTTGAAGTATCTTAAGACCGTTCTTTGAGAATGGAGTTAAGTCCTACTTTTTTTTTTTCGAGACAGGGTTTTACTCTGCTGCCCATGCTTGAGTGCAGTGGCACTATCAGGGCTCACTGCAGCCTCCACCTCCCAGGCTTAGGTGACCCTCCAGCCTCAGCCTCCCAGGTAACTGGGACTACAGATGCACGCCACCATGCTTGGTTAATTTATCTGTGGAGACAAGATCTCAATATGTTGCTCAGACTGGTCTCCAGCTCCTGGGCTCAAGCAATCCTCCTGCCCTGGCCTCCCAAATTGCTGGGATTACAGGCATGAGCCACCACTCCCGCCCCAAATTCCACGTTTTTTTCCAGAAAGCGAATCTGTGATGGTGGAAAGGAAATTTAAATGAAAAGACTGGGGGAAAAGCAATTTATATCAATGATTGGAAAGAAAATCTTCAAATTCTAGATTGCAAAGAGACAAGCAAATTTCCCTTGGTAGCAGAAGACACAGGAGTCAGAGAGGGAGGCAGCGTGGAATGAGCTCAGAGGCCTGAGGTAACAACCTCTTCGGTGGAGCGTGGTTTTCCTGCAGTGCTTGAAATAAGCACCAGCTCAGGGGCTTAGGGACAGAAATGATGTGAATGTCAAAGCAGCAAGCAAAATGACTTTTCCCTTCCTCTGGCTTCCCTGAAAGCACATTTAAGATATACTGTTTAAAAGTGAGAGATCTAGTTAGGGGGACTTTAATACTTCCAAAGTACCTACAAGCAGTACTCAAGTCTCCTTCTCCCAGGCTAACCCTCCCATTAGTTTGTTACCTCACTTTTTCTCAGAGAGGGGTCTGGGGAGGTGGCTCAGGCAGGCTGCTACCCAAAGACAATGAAAAGGAAAAGCCCCTGGTGCGGTGGCTCAACACTTTGGGAGGCCAAAGGAGGCCAACACTTTGGG
This sequence comes from Homo sapiens, assembly GCF_000001405.40. Taxonomy (NCBI): domain Eukaryota; kingdom Metazoa; phylum Chordata; class Mammalia; order Primates; family Hominidae; genus Homo; species Homo sapiens. The sequence goes on along the minus strand of NC_000002.12, from coordinate 207,843,206 downwards.
AGGCTGAGACAGGCAGATCACTTGAGCCTAGGAGTTTGAGACCAGCCTGGGCAACATGGCGAGACCCCATCTCTCCAAAAAATACAAAATGAGCCAGCTATGGTGGTGTGCACCCGTAGCTTTAGCTACACTGGTAGCTGTGGTGGGAGGGAAGATCGCTTGAGCCTAGGAGGCGGAGGTTGCAGTGAGCCGTGATCACACCACTGCACTCCAGCCTGGGTGATGGAATGAGACCCTGTCTCAATAAAACAGAAAAAGCTTAGTTCTTACTTAGCACAGCTCGATGCTTCCGCCTAAGAAGCTCACATTGGCTCCCAATGTGACTGTTGCTCCCTTTGAGAGATTCCTTTGCTGAAATACTACTATTTAGCCTTCTCTATCATATTTCTGTCTTATGAGTATGTGTGGTGTTGAAAAAAATAAGGTTTTCAGTGACTTCTTACATATCAGCTTATGGCTTGTGTACGCAGCAGAACTATTCTTATTATTGTGACTATCGGTTCCATCCAACATTTACCAATACGCAGAATGGAAACAGAAGTTCCAACGAATGTTCTCACTGAATGAAAGGGACTGCTAAAACATGCTTTGCTGTTCAGGCCTTCCCTCCTTCTTCCCTCCTTCAATGTTAATATATATCAGGCTGAAAGCATTATTGCAGTATTTTTCCAAGGTAATACATCTTTGGTTCATGCAAAGTAGAGTAATTTTAATTATTAAAAGTTTATACATTATTAAACAATTGAACCATGTTTGCTAATTTTATAAACATGTAAACAATCAGTCTAATTAGTTTAACCCACCAAACTTGTACAATGCCTTTATCCTTATATAAAAATGAAAAGCATCTGAGATGTTCAGAACGTCCAATATCTAAAGCCAGGATTAGTTCTTAACTACCTGAGGTGTTTATTATACAGGTGCATCTCATTTTAAATAAACCTTATAAATAAAACTATAATAAAAAGATGGGGGCCAGGCGCGGTGGCTCATGCCTGTAATCCCAGCACTTTGGGAGGCAGAGGCAGGCGGATCACGAGGTCAGATCGAGGCCATCCTGGCTAACACGGTGAAACCCCGTCTCTACTAAAAATACAAAAAATTAGCTGGGCGTGGTGGCGTGCGCCTATAGTCCCAGCTACTGGGGAGGCTGAGGCAGGAAAATGGCCTGAACCCGGGAGGCGGAGCTTGCAGTGAGCTGTGATCACACCACTGGACTCCAGCCTGGGTGACAGAGAGAGACTCCGTCTCAAAAATAAAAATAAAAATAAAGATCGGGGCAGTAAACTTCCCTAGTATATTTAATATAGAATTATATAGAATTTAACTTCTCAAAGTTTTATGTACATGAAGGGAGACTGTTTCTATCAGATATAAAAATGTATTGTAAAACAATATAATGGGAATAAGGATACAAAGATCACTAGAACAAGAGTCAAAAAGATTCAGAAAGTATGGAAATAGACCCAAGTAATATGGGAATTTAATACATGGTAAAGGTGGCATAGCAAATTGGTGGAACAAAAAAAGTATTATTCCATATTAGGAATTGGGAACTAATTAGCCATTTGGAAAAAGAAAAATAATGCTGCCCATACACCTTACATCAAGATAAATTCTAAGTGGATCAAATATTTTAATGTAAAATAAATAAAGCCCACAGAGTACTAGAAATGTACTAGAAAGAAATGGTGGTGAATATATATATATATATATATATATATATTTTTTTTTTTTTTTTTTTTTTTTTTTTTTTTTGAGATGGAGTCTCGCTGTGTCACCCGGGCTGGAGTGCAATGGCGTGATCTCGGCCTCCCAGGTTGAAGCGATTATCGCGCCTCAGCCTCCCAAATAGCTGGGATCACAAGTGAACATCACCAAGCCCGGCTGATTTTTGTATTTTTAGTAGAGATGGGGTTTCACCATGTTGGTCAGGCTGGTCTTGAACCCCTGACCTCGTGATCTGCCCACCTCGGCCTCCCAAAGGGCTGGGATTACAGGCGTGAGCCACCGCGCCCAGTCTATTATTTTTATCATATTAAAGTGTGAAAGGACTTTCTAAGCCATGGAAGCAAAATGCTTTTAAATACGTAAAGAGTTGTCCGGGCGTCTGTAATCCCAGCACTTTGGGAAGCCAAAGCAGGTGGATCACTTGAGGTCAGGAGTTTGAGACCTGCCTGGCCAACATGGTGAAACCCTGTCTTTAAAATATAAAAATTAAAAATTAAAAATATAAAAATTAGCCAAGCATGGTGGCACACACGTGTAATCCCAGCCACCTGAGAGGCTAAGGCATGAGAATCACTTGAACCCAGGAGGCGGAGGTGGCAGTGAGCCGAGATCACACTACTGCACTCCAGCCTGGGTGACAGAGACTCTGTCTCAAAAAAAAAAAAAAAAAAAAAAACATAAAAAGTGTTAAATGCTTAAAATTCTATAGGTAAAGATAAACATAAACAGGAAACTTGGAGAAATAATTTCAACACATGACGAAGTATTGATTTCCTTAATATGAAAGATATATTTAAAAATTAGTAAAATATCAGTAGAAAATGGGCAGAGGACATGAACCAATTTACTGAAAGAATATGCAAATGGCCAAAAACTACATGAACAACTCCATATTACAATTAAAGCAAAATTAGATTTTAACCTATTAGTTATGAGAAGATATTAATAGATGTGAAAAGCCCTATATAAAAACACTAGTTGGCTGGGCATGGTGGCTCACACCTGTTATCACAACACATGGGGAGGCCAAGGCAGGAGATCCATTGAGGCCAGGAGTTTGAGACCAGCCTGGGCAACATAGCAGAAACTTGTCTCTGCAAAAACAATGGTTTTTTTAATTAGCCAGTCATGGTGGCACACACTTGTAGTCCTAGCTGTTAATACTTGGGAGGCTGAGGTGGGAGGATCCCTTGAGTCCAGCAGTTTGAGGCTGCAGTGAACTATGATCACACTTGCACTCCAGCCTGGGCAACAGCAAGACCCTGTCTCTAAAACAAAAAACAAAACCCACATTAGTTAATATCACCTCCTATTTTCGTTTTGCAAAGTCCATATTTTTGTTTTAAATATATTATATGAAAAATAAGAGCCCTGCTGTCTTTAGCAATGATTGACTTAGAAGTATAGTTCTCAAACTTCTGTGTTCATCAGAATTCCCAGGAGGACTTGTTAAAACACAGATTGCTGGGCCCCAGCCCAGAGTTTATGATTCACTAAGTCTAGAGGGAGACCCAATAATTAGCCTTTATTTTATTTATTTATTTATTTAGAGACAGGGTCTCACTCTGTTGCCCAGGCTGAAATGTAGTGGCACCATCACGGCTCACGGCAGCCTTGACCTCCCAGTCTCAAGCAATCTTCCTACTTCAGCCTCCCCAGTAGCTGGGACCGTAGGTGTGTACTACCATACCCAGCTAATTTTTTTCTGTTTTTGTAGAGATGGGATCTCCCTATGTTGCCCAGGTCCTGAACTCCTGGGCAGGATCATCCTGCCTCAGCCTCTCAAAAGTGCTGGAATTACAGGTGTGAGGCACTGTGCTGGCCACTAATTAGCCTTTCTAACAAATTCTCTAGTGATGCTGGCTTGGCTGCATCACATTTGGTCCAGGGACCACACTTTGAGCACCACCAGCCTAGAATAAATTGAGTATTGGAAAATTATGGTTACCATCTTTGAAGAGCATTGTCTTAGAGAGACAAATAGGAGAATAATCTAAAGTAATGGCAAAACACTTTAGGTCTTTTATTTAAATGCCTTTCTCCTAAATTTACATCAATAACCAGTAACTTATTCATAAGCAACTAATCACACTGCTCATAAAGTTAGATAGGGCTTATCTTCTAGACTTTTTGCATTTTCTAATGTACATTAGGTTAATGTACATTAATGTGCATTTTCTAATGTACATTAGATTCATGTACATTAATGTGCATTTTCTAATGTACCCATGCTTGACCTTTTTTTCATTTTGGTTGTACTTAGTGTCTTAGTCCTTTGAGGAACTGAAATGTCATGTGTTAAATACAAGTGAGTCCCATTCAGAGTCTTAGGTGCGTATCTTCCTGTTACATTATTATTTCTTTTTAAAAGGCTTACTTCAAAAACTTGGCAGGTAAATGTTTCAATTTTACATTAAGAAGGTAGACTGGTAAATCATGAGAAGTTCATATATAAACCAAGATCATTTGTTTGAATCTGCATTCGCCTAATAATCTCGTATTCACTCCCTTCATCTTAGATGTAGCAAGATAATTCTAAACACCCCTTTGGCTCTTAGGCATTTTAAACTACTTTAGGAATTTCTACAGAAAACCATTTATCTTGTTTATAGTTCTCTATGGCTACAATTATAATACAGTGTAGCTTTTTCCCAGAAATGGTAGAAATGTTTAAATCCTCCGTCAGTTCCTTTACTTTGTCTAATATTAAACAGATTTTTCCTAAATACCAAGGTGGGTATTTGTTTCTCGAGAATTATATTAATTACCAGATGAACCTTAAAATAAAAACTTAGAAGCATCAGAAATATCCATTTTCCCTATCCCAAGAAAACTGTTTCATCAAGGTCAAATCTATTATAATTTTATACACATACTTAGAATATAACTGAGAAGTTCAGTCACCATCCACAAGTTAGCAAGAAGCACTGATTAAGTGTTTGCACAAAAGATGGCAGTGAGTTAATGTCCCCAGTAGGGTAGCAAAATTAACAAATGAATTAATTAACCCTTATTTACATTCTATTTTAAAGCCAAGATTTAAGTAAAGCTTTTGTCAAAGGTATTTAGCTGAACTTGGTTTACAAACTAAAAGTGCAAATGCTTTGTGGGCTGCCATCAGGGAAAACCTCTCCTTAATTAACTCTGGGGCTTAAAGTGTAGATAAAAAGAGCATTGCAGGACATACCAATTGTTCTTCCCAGATTTGGGTCTTAGCAGGTATCTGGGCATGTGTTAACTTAAAGGACCAAGTTGCTAGTAATAGAAAAGGGGCCACATTCACATGAGAACCCTGGAATCAAATAGGCTTACTAGCTCTGGAACCAGATAAACCTCCAGTTATTATATTATATTATATCTATTATTTTCTTACTGACTGACTTAATAAAAATGGGAGAACTCGAGGCCGGGCGCGGTGGCTCACGCCTGTAATCCCAGCACTTTGGGAGGCCGAGGCGGGCGGATCACCTGATGTTGGGAGGTTGAGACCAGTCTGACCAACATGGAGAAACCCCATCTCTACTAAAAATACAAAAAATTAGCCGGGCGTGGTGGTGGGTGCCTGTAATCCCAGCTACTCGGGAGGCTGAGGCAGGAGAATCGCTTGAACCCGGGATATGGAGGTTGCAGTGAGCTGAGATCGCACCACTGCCCTCCAGCCTGGGCAACAGAGCAAGACTTAATCTCAAAAAAAAAAAAAAAAAAAAAAAAAAATGGAAGAACCGGCCAGGCGCCGTGGCTCACAGCTGTAATCCCAGCACTTTGGGAGGCCGAGGTGGGCAGATCACGAGGTCAGGAGAACAAGACCAGCCTGACTCCATCTCAAAAAAAAAAAAAAAAAAAGGGAGAACTATTGTAATTTTATTTTATTTTATTGAGATGAAGTGTCGCTCTGTCGCCCAGGCTGGAGTGCAGTGGTGCGATCTCAGCTCACTGCCACCTCTGCCTCCCAGGTTCAAGCAATTCTCCTGCCTCAGGCTCCCAAGTAGCCGGGACTACAGGCATTAGCCACCATGCCAGCTAATTTTTGTATTTTTAGTAGACACGGGGTTTCACCGTGTTGGCCAGGCTGGTCTCAAACTCCTGACCTTAGGCAATCTGCCTGCTTCAGCCTCCCAAAGTGCTGGAATTATGGCTTAATTTAGCTGGGCACAGCTAAATTAATCCTATTAATCATATTTAATTCATTTTACCTTAGAATGTCTAGTATCCTGTGTATGTCTATAAGTACATGCATAGCATATAGGCTCACATGGAAGCATAAACTATACATGATATTGGCTGATTTCCTATTCAAGCAAATTACAAATTGTTTGCTTATGTTTACTTACACAATAACAAATAAAACACCAACCCAAAACATTTAAATAACCAGGATCCAGTAACTACCCTCCTTAGCTAAGAGATTTAAGTAATCTTGGTTTTTTGGAAAAACCAGTAATAGCTAGTGGCTGTATGGGGGGCGTTGCATAGTAGCCATACGCAAAGCCGCACTCACATGCCTGATAACGTGCACTTATTTCTGAGCCCCACCCCATTCGTTGTGGGCTCTGCAGAGTGGAAACCAGCCAAGGCTCTGCCCTGCTCTGCAGGCCTGTCCTTTTGCTTGTCAGAGATGCAACCAAACTGAAGCCTGAATTTCAATCCAAGTGAAATATCTGAGGCCATTGCCTGAGCCAAAAATAAAAATGCAGCAGGAGAAGAACCCAACATGAACACAGCAGAAGCATTTCAGTGACCTCAACTCGGGGCAGCGGCCTTTAGCAGTTTCCTGTGACCTCCCTGTGTGCAGCTAGAATCTGGAAGGGTGCAGACAAAGCCATTGGGCCTGTCTCTAATTGGTCTCACATCATCAGCATTCCAGAACAGGAAACTCTGCAGCCAGGAATTCTTGCCTCTTTGCCATAATATTTGAGAAGCAAACCTTTTCCCCCTGCACATACTTAGTTCTGCTAGTTTGCAGCAGGTTCATTTTCCTAGTTTCAATAACTACAATAAGAGCATCGTGTCTGGCCTATCTCTTGGTGATGGACTATTAGATTTCTAGGGTATGAACTTCTTCCTCACTTGCTATGGGTCAATAAGCTAATGTTTGGGTCAAAGACTGTTCATAAAATATATAGTCTCATTCCATGGTGCTTTTTTTTTTTTTTTTTTAGACTCTCTCTCTGTCGCCCAGGCTGGAGTGCAGTGGCATGATCTCGGCTCACTGCAACCTCTGCCTCCTGGGTTCAAGTGATTCTCCTGCCTCAGCCTTCTAAGTAGCTGGGATTACAGGCATGCATATGATGCATTTATTGAAATTCAAAGTGAGATTTATGCTGCCCCAAAATGGGGGAGATGTTCCCCTGCTCCTATCCCAAAGAAGGGGACCAGTTCGTCAGGGCACACACAGATAATTAGGAGTGCTCACAAGAGCATCCACAGAAGTTGAACTCTGGTCCTCCCTTCCTGGTCCCATGTCTTGTGGTGTATCCAGTGTTGACATGCACCCAGTTAACTCTGGTGCAGCTGTCCCAACAGTTAAAACACAAACATATTTCCACATAGGCTGGTAAATGGCTGTCATCTCTAGCTGGCCCTCCTCATCCCCATCCCCCCAAAAAACTTGACAACATTTAACAATTATGTTTTTTTCCCTTGGGAAGAAGAGGCACTGATAAGGATTGGGAGAAGGCTAAAAAAGGAACCCTTAATTTTTAATTGAAATTTTATTAAATAGGGGCAAACTCAGCTCCTTTTGGCCAAATTCCTGAGTCAGAGCTATATATACTAGTTCATATAAGCTATTTCATAGCTTGATTAATCAATGCAAATAAATGAAATAAAAAGTAATGCTTTACATCTTAAGGTTCATCTCATGCAGTCCCAGCTTATGAGTTTGAGACTCTCTGGGGAGGTACCAAAACTACGTTCCTACTCATTAACTCACAGACCTTGGAGCAAGACAATTTGGAGAGAGGAGAGTACAACCCAGAGTAGCTCCCCCGGCCCCCAAATCCTGCACAAAATCTGCAAGTTGGAAGAAACTTTAGATTAACCCAAGCTTCTCTTTTACTTCTGTGGAGAGTGAGATTTAGAGATAAAGTAACTTACCCAAGACCCCTGTGACACCAAGGCCAACCTGCGCCAAGGACTCGGGGCTCCTCACTCAAGCTGAGGTCTACTCTCTGTAGTAAGTACCCCATTGAAGTAGTATTGGTCTCCTTTTTATTGCAGAAGTTGTTGAAACCGGCAGGGTACGGTGGCTCACACCTGTAATCCCAGCACTTTGGGAGGCCAAGGCGGGCGGATCACAAGGTCAGGAGTTCGAGACTAGCCTGGCCAACGTGGTGAAACCCCGTCTCTACTAAAAATACAAAAAAAAATTAGCTGGGCATGGTGACGGGTGCCTGTAATCCCAGCTACTTCGGAGGCTGAGGCAAGAGAATCACTCGAAACCGGAAGGCAGAGGTTGCAGTGAGCTGGGATCATGCCACTGCACTCCAGCCTGGGCAACAAGAGTGAAACTCCGTCTCAAAAAAAAAAAAAACAAGTTGTTGAAACCTAACTGCTTCACAGTTGCATAAAAGCAATTTATTTTATGAAGTAGATGTAAAACTTTTAGCTTTGCTTTGTTAGATGGCCCAGGTAGGACATAAAGAAGCAGAAAATACCACAGAGAAACAGCCCAGAGGTTCTTGGCCAAAGAGCAAATAAATGGGACTAAGACGCACCACCAAGACGGCTTTTAGGTAGAATTGAAAAGTCAGGCCGGGCACGGTGGCTCACGCCTGTAATCCCAGCACTTTGGGAGGCCGAGGCAGGTGGATCACCTGAGGTCAGGAGTTCAAGACCAGCCTGGCCAACATGGAGAAACCTCATCTCTACTAAAAATACAAAATTAGCCAGGCGTGGTGGCACATGCCTGTAATCCCAGCTAGTTGGGAGGCTGAGGCAGGAGAATTGCTTGAACCCAGGAGGTGGAGGTTGCGGTGAGCCGAGATTGCGCCATTGTACTCCAGCCTCAAGAGCAAAACTCCATCTCAAAAAAAAAAAAAAGAAGAGGCTGGGCGCGGTGGCTCACTCCTGCAATCCCAGCACTTTGGGAGGCCGAGGTGGGCGGATCACCTGAGGTCGGGAGTTTGAGACCAACCTGACCCACATGGAGAAACCCTATCTCTACTAAAAATACAAAATTAGCCAGGCTTAGTGGTGCATGCCTGTAATCCCAGCTACTTGGGAAGGCTGAGGCAGGAGAATCACTTGAACCTGGGAGGTGGAGATTGTGGTGAGCTGAGATCGTGCCATTGCACTCCAGCCTGGCCAACAAGAGCAAAAACTCTGTCTCAAAAAAAAAAAAAAAGAAAGAGAAAAATCAGAGTGAGTTGATAGGGAGTGACAGTGATGCACAGCATTGCGTCACTGATATTGACTTCTTAAATGATATTCTAAATGATTTCCATTTAGGTTGGTGCAAAAGCAAGTGCGATTTTTGCCATTAGAAGTAACAGAAATCACTGGTTAATATTAATATTAGTGGTTTCAACTATTTTAATCAAATGATGTGTTTAAAATACGTACTTGTGAAAGTTAAATGAATAAGTACACTACACTGGACCTTATTGGTTGGTAAGAACGTAAGCCAGCAGGTGACACTTGCAAATTCAGTGTGGGAGTCCTGTGTAAGTATCCCTGGGTACTCCCTCTGTGATGCATTTTCCACTAGATTAGGTCAGTGGTTCTCAACAGGGATGGTTTTGCCCGCAGAGGCATTTGGCAGTGTTTGGAGATATTGCTGGTTGTCACAACTGGGAGGAGGGGGTGACATGGCTATTGGCATCTAGCCGAGAGAGGCCAGGGATGCTGCTACACATCCTATGATGCACAGGACACCCCCTCACATCAAAGGATTATAACTCAAAATGTCAGTAGGGCCAAGGTTGAGATCCCTAGGTATGAGAAAACATGAAGCAATGAATGTTTTCAAGAAAAAAAAAAACAGAAAAACCCATTGGATGACTTTGGTCAGTAGCAAATGTCTCCCTGCAGTTGCAGACACTGCAAAGGGAGGACGTTAGTCTTTGTTTTCTGTGATGTACAGCAACATCCAACAAGCAGTGAAACTGCTTATCACTGGACTGGATGACTCAGAATGAAGACACCAGCTTTCATTTCATGTATCACACAGGAACACCAAAGGGACATTTCTCTTTCATTACCTGTTGCAATTTTCAGCAGAGATGATTACATTGGTAGATTTGCCTTATAAGAAAGATGTGTTCCTGAAAAGTTGTATGTGCTAAATCATATTTTAAATACAGTCAAGAAACTCAGTGAGTACTCAGGGGGGCCAATGAATCTTTTTTTTTTTTTTTTTTTTTTGAGATGGTGTCTTGCTCTGTCACCCAGGCTGGAGTGCAATGGTACAATATCAGCTGACTGCAGCCTCTGTCTCCTGGGTTTCAGCGATTCTCGTGCCTTAGCCTCACAGGTAGCTGGGATTACAGGCACACGCCACCACGCCTGGCTAATTTTTGTGTTTTTAGTAGAGACAGGGTTTCACCATGTTGGCCAGGCTGGTCTTGATCTCCTGACCTCAGGTGATCCACCCACCTCAGCCTCCCAAAGTGCTGGGATTACAGGCATGAGCCACCGCACCCAGCCCAATGAATCTTTTTTTTCTGGTGTGGGGGAGGTGCAGGGGGAGGGAGTCTCGCTCTGTTGCCAGGCTGGAGTGCAGTGGTGCAATTTCTCGGCTCTCTGCAAACTCTGACTCCCGGGTTCAAGCGATTCTCCTGCCTAGCCTCCCGAGTAGCTGGGATTACAGGCACACACCACCACACCCAGCTAATTTTTGTATTTTTAGTAGAGACGGGGTTTCACCATTTTGACCAGGATGGTCTCGAACTCCTGACCTCAGGTGATCCACCTGCCTCAGCCTCCCAAAGTGCTGGGATTACAGGCATGAGCCACTGCACCCGGCCAATGAATTTTTTTAAAGTGAAAAAATAAAATCCTATTCTCAAAGAGGAACACACCCATATATTACATTTTTTAATGTAAATATTTATCCTGAACTTTACATTTTTATTACAGGGCTCCATAAATCTTATGTAAGAGAACAATTTCCCTTTCTCCTTCCTTTTCCTCCCCTTATTCTTTTCCTTTAAAGAGAAAAGGGTTGGGGGAGGGATTAACTATAGATTCTTGGAATTTGGAAAGTCATTGATCAATCTATCCATACTACAGTTTAAAAGATACCTGCTGGGTTACAAATTGTTAGAAAATAGGACTTAGTTCTATTTTGAAATCATTAATTTTTTTTTATCTCATGCTTTTTGTTCAGTTACTGACCTTTGGTTAGAAAGAGCAGGTGCGCTCAGCTCTTCCATCACCCCATGGGTGTTTGCTGCACCAGAAATATCCGATAAGACCCAATCTCTTCACTCACTGCAGCCTGGTATCAGCAGAGATAAGGGAGTGGTACTGAAGGAACCCAGGGTTTTTCCTCCTTATCAATCACTGCCCTGGGGCAACATCCCTAGGTGTATAAATCACTGACTAACCCAGCAGGGGAAAGGGGGCTGGAAGGAGGAAATTTATATGATAAAGCTATCATTAGTGTCACTTTAGTGATAGAAGGTTACAGAGGTGTGACCAGTGGGGACAAAGCCATTGCCACTAGGAAGGAGCTGGCCCAGATGAGAGAGGCTCTAGAAGACATGGGTCTGACCTTTATCCTCACTGGAAGGAGGAGGGGGCTGGGAAGAGGAAGATGCTAGAGGTGACCCTGCCATGTCCAGGATAGCGCCTGTGTCAAGGAGACGGGTACTAGAGTCACCTGTGAGGGGCGGCGTCGCAGCCTTTGCGTAGTCCTTCCACTTAAAAGTATATTTCTCATTTTAGTCTCACAGCAACCCAGTGAATAGGAAGGGGTTCACCGTGAGCAGCATTTTACAAATGAGAAAACCAAAGCACCAAGAACTTAAGTAGTAACTTGCCCACTGTCACTCAGCTACAAAGGATTTGTGGTTTGACACAGGTGTTCTGATTGGAAGCCCTACGTTTCCCTATGCGATGGCTCCATGCTCTCGCTGGGATGGCCAGGCCTCAGCCGGCAGCGTGGTGCTCGGTAAGAGCCTTGGCTGGGCTGCCAGGAGCCCTGGGTTCCAGTCACAACTCTGTCTCCAACTCACTGCGTCCCCGGTAGGCAATCCCTAGCCCTCTTGGAGTCTCTTTTCTCATCTAGGCAAGGAGGGGGTTGACTGAGATGTCCTCAGGTCTCCATAGTGACATGGGTGAAGTCAGGCTGCAATGCAGCTGCACAGAAGGCAGCAGGCAGCCTGGGGGGCACCCTGGCCGGAGCAGTCCTTGCTGTTCACTAAGCACTTCCCACCACGGCCAGGAACTGGGAATACACTGCATCCATGATGTTACCTGAGCCCCGCAGCACCCCAGGAGGTGGGTGCTATGTAGTCTCCATTTAGCTGATAAGGACACTGAAGTGCAGGAAGCTCAGAAAGGCGACGTGACTTGCGTAAGGTCATTAGTCTGCTCAGACTGTCACACGGAAGACCACAGACTGGGTGGCTTAGACAACAGAAATGTGTTGCCCCCAGTTCTGGAGGCTGGAAATTTCAGATCAAGGTCCCAACAGGGTTGGTTTCTGGAGAGGCCTCTCCTCCTGGCTTGCAGGAGTGTGTATGTCCCCACAGGGCGCTGCCTCTGAGGCATGCGGAGTTGGGGAGAGCAAGCTCCCCAACTTAGGACACTTCTAAGGACACTTCTAAGGACACTTAGAAGAAGTGTCCTTCTTCTAAGGACACTTATGAGCTTGGATCAGGGTCTCACCCTCATGACCTCATTTAATCTTTTTTTTTTTTTTTGAGACAGAGTTTTGCTCTTGTCACCCAGGCTAGAGTGCAGTGGTGTGATCACTGCAAACCTCCACCTCCCGGGTTCAAGCAATTCTCCTGCCTCAGCCTCCCGAGTAGCTGGGATTACAGGCATGCGTCACCACGCCCGGCTAATTTTGTATTTTCAGTAGAGTCGGGGTTTCACCATGTTGGCCAGGCTGGTCTTGATCTCCTGACCTCGGGTGATCCGCTCACCTCGGCCTCCCAAAGTGCTGAGATTACAGGCATGAGCCACCATGCCCGGCCTACCTCATTTAATCTTGATTACCTCCTAAGCATGGTATCTCCAAATATAGTCACATTGTGGGTAAGGGGTTTAACATATGACTAACGGGGACACAGTTCAGTTCATAGCAGTCACACAGCCAGGAATTGATGTGAAGCTCCTTGCTGGCTGGCCTCACCACCTGTATGTTTCACTTGACCCAGAGAGCCAAGCTGGGGGTAGAGCTGCTGGGTGCAGGAAGTCTTGTCTTCCTGTGCCTCTGCTGGAATAGGTGTGCACGCACACACCCACATACACACACACTTTCTCTTTCTCCCCCTTCCAACCCCCCACCCCGCAACAGTGTGTCTCCATCCAAGTCACTGCCTCCTCTCCAAGGTATGAGGGTGGGTAGGAAGATCTTCCTTTCACTAAGCCCTCTGGGTCCTGAATGGTGGTGGGGTAAGTCAGTGGCAGACTAGGAGATAATGCCCCCAAGACCATCCTGCACCTGGCACTGAAACTCAAGACGCTGTGAAAAAGCAAAAGAAGCCTGAGGCTGAGCCCTCGGGACTGGTTCCTTCGCAACCCTCTTCGAACCCAGTCAGTTCTGGACCCTCCCTGAATGCTGCAGGCTGAACAAAATTACACAGGTGCAATTCCCTGGGCTCCTAGGACTTGGTAAAAGTTGCCTGTTACCCTCGTGGAAGGATGAAAACTCAGTCCATATCGGCAAACCACTCACTGGAGCAGCTGTATTTGAGCTTGTCAGTTACTCATTATTAAAAGCTTTGCAGACCAAATGCAGTGGCTCACACCTGTAATCCTAGCACTTTGGGAAGCCGAGGCGGGTGGATCACCTGAGGTCAAGAGTTCCAGACCTGCCTGGCCAACATGGCAAAACCCCGTCTCTACTAAAAATACAAAAATTAGCCAGGTGTGGTGGTGGGTGCCTGTAGTCCCAACTACTCGGGAGGCTGAGGTGGGAGGATCACTTGAGCCCAGGAGGAGGCAGAGGGTGCAGTGAGCCGAGGTCACACCACTGCACTTCAGCCTGGGTGACAGAGTGAGACCCTATCTCCAAAAAAATAAATAAATAAAAACTTCGCTGTAAAAACAAGTTATTTAGACTCCCGTGCAGGCTTCCACCAAGCCAAACAACAAATGAGTCATCCACCTGGAATGTTTGCTCTCTACATATTACAATATCTGTCATATTGTTTGAAAAATGTTTTCTTCCCCACTGTCTCCTGCTTTAATGTTCACGCTCATGTTATAAAGGTAGACTTACAAAGGTAGGAGTTTTTTCCTAATTTTTAAAAAACTCACAAGATTTCATAGACCACAGGATGTCATTCAGAAAATGAAAATGTGTCATTTTATCTTTTCAAACTGTCAAATAAAGGCAGCTAGTTAACAGAGAACCACTTAGCTCGTGTTAACTGATGTAGAAAGCTGCCTCGCCATGGATGTAACGCTGTGGCTGTCACTGGTGTGCCGAGCGTTTTCACGAGGCACTCCCCTCTCATTTTCTGTCATTTCACTCTAGAGTCACTGCCAATTCCCTTCTCAATGGAGAGCTTCTGGTGTTCTGTCCATTGTCACTATAACCAGAATTGCTGGGTGACTGCGGACTCCCCCCCACTCATAAGCCCTAGTTCAGATCAGAAAAGCAAAAATGTTTTTCAAGTGAAATTCAACCTTGAGCATTTTGGAAAAACAAACAGTTCATTTCAGTGAGTCATCTCCCTTCCCATTGGCAGGGTTGTCCAGAACAGTAGATTGTGCCACCAGCTGCACCTGAGGCCACAGGGCTTCCCATTTGTGTCTTGCTGGCTTCAGTCTTGCTCATCATATCCATGGTTGACTTTTGCAGGTGTGAAAGCTGTGGAGCCGTTTTCCATTCTGAATGCAAAGAAAAGTCTGTCCCCTGCCCGAGGTGTGTTCGCCGAGAGCTGCAGAAGAAGCAGAAGTCTTTCTGGCAGAGACTGAACATGGACGAGAGTCTAGAGGAGGCTTGCACCATGTTCGAGCTGTCCTACCAGAACACCTGACTCCAGCCGACCCGAAGGCCAGGGATTCACCAATCAACAATCCATCAGCCCCAGAGCGGCCTCCTAACTAGCCAGTTAGACCCCTTTGGAAGAAGAGTATGTATCCTCTTCAACTAGATATAGATATATATATTTATTTATATATACGCAAATACCTATACGTCCTGTACGTATGCTCTGTGTACATCATTGTCCAGACGATCCACAGAACCTCTGTGGCTCGAGAAACTACCAATAGCTGGATTACACTTAGCCAAGAATTTCAGCTGCTTGCTCCCAGACAAAACGTGGTATACACAATGCTTTATAGTTCAGACTTTTTTTTTCTCTCTGTCTCTCGGTACATTTTATTACCCAAGACACAAAAGGAAGCATTTCCTGCACAAAACAGTGCTTTAGGTTATTTTTGTGTTATTTATTTTTAGCCTTCACAGAGGCTGAGGTAACTGAGGCAGGCACCCATCATCATCTGTTTCATAAGAAAACCTTCAAAACACAAGAGACTGCTGGGTCCTTCCAGGACCTGGTGTCCGTGGCGCTCCCGCCTCAGTTCCTCCTGTGGAGGCGGGGAATCACGTAAGCAGAGCCGATGGCTGGAAACAGGAGCCAAGCCCCCTCTGACAGAAAGCATACACCCCTCATTTATGAGGAGGGCTGGTTCTGGTTTTGAAGTTAATCTCAGAAGTTTTTTTCCTGAGAAGAGAAGAAACCTCTGCGACCAATAACTGCGTGTTGTCGGTCTGTTTTTCGGTACTAATCCCATCACCCACCTAATGATGTGACGCTCCACCGTGTTTTCCAGGCTGTACACATGGCTTTCTTAACAGTTTTCAACGGGTGCCCATGGTTGATATTTATGATTTTTTTCATGATGCTGGCCGGAGGAAATGTCCTGGGGTGGTTGTTAAAGACATCGTCGTGTAGACTGGTAGATAAGGCTATCTAGTAAGTATATTCCCAAAGAGGGTCGTTTTAGTTTCTTTTCTCAGAATCCTGTGGAGGCAGTTCCTACCTATTCATTTTAAGTGCTTTATTTCTCGTTGTTCTTCCTGCACTTTCATTTCGACCTTTGTCAATGTGACCATTCTTGCTTTCTCATTTTTTTGTTTAAAAAATCAGAGTAATGTGGAACTTCAAAATACCAACTTTGGACTATTAAGAAAATACAAACTTACAAGTATAATTAATGAATTAGATCTAATATTATTTAAATAAATATATATATATACACACACATATATAATTGCCACCTTGAAGTAAAACAAAGAGTGCTAAAATAAATAATAGGAGTAAGAAAGAGATCTGCTTTGCTATTTGGCAGGTAGTGTTCTCCAGCTGCAGTGCCCTTGGAAGAGCACGTGGCAGTCACTGTGACCAAAACGGCAGGTAGGACAGCCCTGGGACCCTGACAGCTCCCATTCCTTCCCCTTAACTCTCCCTAGAGCAAGAAAAATATGTTTATAATGGAACAGTTCTCAGTAGACTTTATGAGAAGATTCTGTAGCTTTCGCGCTGAGCAGATGCCTTCTATGTCTTCATGGTTTAGTAGTTTTGCTGCTATTAGGATCAGTGGCTCACAACATACTTGGTACATTCAACCCCATTGCTCCTTTCCCCCACACGCCGCTTCCCCAAGACCCCAACTCATGATACTTCCATCCATCTAGAGATGTGACATTTCAGACTGACTTTTGTGCAGTTAGATGTAAGCATTTTACCTCTCAACCCACACCAGTTCCTTTGGCCCCAGGCCACACATTTCACCTTAATAGCTCAACACCATACATGCATTTATTTTCTGACTATACAGTAGCCGCAACCAAGGCTTGAAAACTTGTTAAAAGGCCAGGGCCCTATTCATGAGACGCCTGACGGTGCCTTTTACCCTTAGAAAAGCAGGTTGACTTTTCCCCCACTCTAGTTAAAGAGAATGTTGCACACAAAAGAAAAAGGGTGGAAAATCTCAAACACTTGGCAACAGGCAAACAAATTTGATCATCTCCTTTCCTCCTCCTCTTGGTAAAATACAGTATTTATATTTTCCAGCCTCAGAGAAGATAGCAGAACATGATCTTTCACAAGAGAATTATAGACCTGCTTATTATAAAACAGATGTGCTCCCATGGCAAAGTGCCTTCTCCCTCCGCCCCCAGCTCCCTGTCACTGTAGCTTACTTTTGCCTTCGCTGTAATTAATGTATCCGTGATTCCAACTGTCAGCGAGGCCATTCCTAGCACACTGCATTTGGAGACCTGAAGTGCAGTGCCATCTCCTCCCCTTGTAACATGTTTGCCCTGCATACAGAATTTCCTCTCCTAGCTCACAGGCACCCAGGGTCATACCTGCCGAGAGTCAAGGGCGAAATTCTGGATCCCCGTTCAAAACATCTTTGTTTTCACCAGTCCCCATTTAGAGGGCCCTGCTAAATACGAGCAGTCCCTGTGAACTCCTAAGGAGGACTTTCCACCCACATCATTTTCTGCTTATTTTCAAAAGGGAAACAAAAAATCGATGTGTTATCACCATCAGCTACCCAGAGCTGGGTCCATGTCCAGCACTCCTGTTTCCTCTCCTTTTCGTACCACCCTGACAGCTTGGTCGGTGCCAGCCACAGGCCTATGACATTCTCTGCCACCACCACCAAAATCTGATAGGACAGAGTGGAGCCAGCTTAGGAGTTGGGTCTGCCATGAAAATTCAAAATTGCTGTTTTCAGCCCAGAATACCTTGGCGCACATGAACGCCCTTACTGTTTTCAACTTTAACAAATTACTTGGTGCACTGTTAGGTAATTGTTCCACTGCTTAGAAACTGTCGAAACAAAAGCAAATCTGTGGATTACCACCTCTTTCAGACCAAACTAATACCTGCTTTTCCTCGTGTTCCATTTTTCATCCCATATTAAATATCTTGCACATAAAACATATGAAAAAATGGCCAATTAATCTCCTGGAGCTGGCAACTGACTCCGGGGAACCGCTTTTTGCTGAAAGGCTCATTCCCTAGTGTATCACTTGAGGAAATCCCTCCTAAAAGTGCCAGAAACTCATGTGTGAGATCGTCCAACCCTGGTGAAATGTTGGCATCTAACCCCGCAGTAAAGAAGCCAGTTCCTAAAATAGACCTCATTTTGCACCGCGGCAGGAAGGCCACAAAGTACTTAAAAAGCCGTCAACTGGAATGGGGGTAGTGTTCTTTCCAGGCCCGCTTTTTCCAAAGTTAAAAGCCTCTTTATATGAAAACCATGTAAACTCTCAGCAGCCCCCTTTGCTTCACTGCCTTTTCTAGGGAGTGCATTAGAGTCATTTTTACGTCTGTAGTGCTAAAGGGTCACCTAGTTAGGAGCTTTAACATCGGATTCGCTGAGAGGGTCATCGGTTTTTGATTCTTCTAGAGTAGGCCTCCACCAAGAAGGGAATACGTCTAATACTTGGGATCTGTGGTTTGCAACACAAGTGGTATCCCTCAGACTCCTGAAAAGGGACTATGCCGTGACTTCCTTCCGGCTGCAGTGAGATCCGAGGTGTTTACACCACCCTAGTTGCCGAATGCAGCCTTTGCTCAGCTAGAGTGTGTCCTCTGACGGAGCCTGGCCTCTGTTTTTGTCTCTGTGTGTTGTGTGTACACACTGAACGTGGACATCGGATAGTTCTTTTCTGTGCCTCCTCAGAGAGGCTTGGCTTCCAAACCTGGGAGTTTGTTCTCTACCCATTGGCTAGAAAAGGCCGTCCATAAATTAGTATATCCAGGTGGGACTAGCACGATGCCACGCACACTGAACATTTTCTGCAGAGGGGCGTTAGCAGTGGAAGTAGAGACACATTCTGGTCCTCCTTTAGAGTCAAGCCAATGCTGTTGCTCGTGTATTTGTGCACAATTATTCATCTCCGTTGATCTGACACACTCTCTTGAAATCACTAGATTATGAAACAGATCTTCACCTCCTGATTCCAATACTGCCTGGTTTCAACACAGGGGTTGTTTTATTTTTTTACTTCTCCTAGTAAATAGAGATGTGTATAATTTTTGCCCATTTTATTTCTTGAGTTGTCTGCACCACTTCTTTTCTTACTCTGAAATAATGTGAAAACGTGAAGTTGGAGCAAGACCTTGAAAGAGCCTCCCTCCTTTGCGTGACCTGAATCGGTAGCGGCACTCTCTGTTTCCCCTGCCTCCGTGTCACTTGTTAGTGATGGGCATTAGGAGCTTCATATGTTGCACACCTTGTATCACTCTTCCGACCCTGAGTCAGGTAGAGCTGTCTGCTCGAGGTCGAATCCAGTGATGGGTGACTAAGCTCTGCTCGGTTAATGTAAACAGACAAGTGTTGATTTCTGTCATGTGGAACGGTGTTTCGACAGTTAAGTCTAGCACCCAGTAGTCTCCTTATTGGTAGACGATTCTAATTTCATTGGATTCAAAAATCTCTGACTCAAGGGTCTTTCCTTAGTGCGTTTTAATGGGTGCATGGCTGAGGGAAAATCCAAGTCATTGTTAAACTCTAGGTAAAAGACAAGAGTATGGGATACCCTCCTAACCATACCGGTAGTTGTCAGTTTTATTTAAAGTGGGTTCCACTTGGCCAGGATTGGTGGCTCACGCCTGTAATCCCAGCCCTTTGGGAGGCCAAGGCAGGCAGATCACTTGAGGTCAGGAGTTTGAGACCAGCCGGGCCAAAAATGGTGAAATCAGGTCTATACTAAAAATAAAAAAATTAGGCTGAACGTAGTGGCTCATGCCTGTAATCCCAACACTTTGAAGGCCGAGGTGGGTGAATCACTTGAGGTCAGGAGTTTGAGGCCAGCCTGGCCAACATGGTGAAACCCCCCTCTTTACTAAAAATACAAAAATTAGCTGAGTGTTTTGGTGGATGCCTATAATCCCAGCTACTTGGGAGACTGAGGCAGGAGAATTGCTTGAACCTGGGAGGCAGAGGTTGCAGTGAGCCGAGATTGCGCCACTGCACTCCAGCCTGGGCGACAGAGCAAGACTCCGTCTCAAAAAAAAAAAAAAAAGTAAGTTCCAAATGATCATGTTTTGTGGCACTGTCTTCGTAAAGTGGCCGCTGGTGTGATGGAAAGCATTGCTAAACTCAAGTGAGACAACTGCTGTTTTGCTTTGGATTTTCCCTGTGAAAAGAGAAGCCACTGCCTGTTCGTCTTGTTAGAAAGACAAGACTTTGAATGAAGTTCCAGACTTTGAATGAAGTTCCAGACTTTGAATGAAGCTGGTTGTTGCCCAGAGTAGAAGATTCAGGCACCTACAGCAACTCACAGCAACTCCTAACTCTTAGGAGGGCTCCCTCCTATTGGCCGTGAAGCTGCAAACCAGCCTCTCTCTTTTCCCTGGATCTTCCTTGCCCCTAGTTCTGAGCCCCAGCCCAGAGGCAGGCCTCATGGCTAATAAACCAGCTAGAGGACAGCTGGGGCCTGTGGCTCCTTCTCCATGTTGGCCTTCCCTTGTGTCTCTTGTCCCTGTAGGAGTGCCTTATAGTACTGTCTCGTGCTTCTAGTCTAGTCTGAACCACTTGAAGCCTGCAGGACCCTTCAACTAAATCTGGATCCCTTTGCTTCTTCCCTGCTGGCTACTCTTCATATAGATGCTCTTGGAGCCTGTGCATTCCATGATGCATGTCAGAACTCTCACCTTGTTCAGCCTGGTGTGCCTTAACCTCAGGAGTAAAGGGAATCATGTCGGAAACACGTCGTTAAAGTAGAATGGTACAAACATTGGCTTCTTAGTGCCATTAGCACTTTTACCAGGAAATGCAAAAGATGCAACCACATAATGTTTTCACTTTGTTTTATGCTGTTCTTCAATCGCTCTTTTTGTTTATTTGTTTGTTTGCTTTCATTAACCAAACTCAGGGGAATGTCATGATGTCACCAAGGCCAATGGGTAGAGAAATAAAAACCAGCCATCCATAATTGAATCTGTAAAGTCAGTGAACTTAGCCTTTTCAGGTTCAAAATTACACAAACACAAGGATTTTCTTATCTTTCACCTTTCAAAGGTTTTCTTTTTATTTTGCCACCTGTTTTCCAAATAAGAAGTGGGAAGCCTCTTAGATAAATTGTGATAAAAATGTCTCTTTGTTTGGCGTGAGCTATCAAATTAGCTTTGTGTGTCCACTGAGCCATCAAATTAGGCTTTGGCTGCTGGAGGCCTAGGTTCTAGCTTTGGTCACCTATCAGAATCTTACTGTTACGCTGGGCATGGTGGCATGTGCCTACAGTCCCAGCTATTTGGGAGGCTGAAGTGGGTAGATTGCTTGAGCCCAGGAGCCTGTGCAATATGGTGAGACCCATCTCAAAAAACAAACAAAAAAAGAAGTAGAATCTTACTGTGAATAGCTACTAGCCTACCCTAGAAGATATATATTTTAAATCTGTTTCTTAGGAATAGTAGCTAAAAGAAGGAATGGCCAAAGGAGGGAAAGTGGTTGGCCGCAGCGGCTCACACCTGTAATCCCAGCTCTTTGGGAGGCTGGGGTGGGAGGATCACTGGAGCCCAGGAGTTCAAGACAAGTCTGGGCAAGATAGCGAGACCCTCATCTCTTTGAAAAATATATATATATACTTTTTTTTTTAAAGGAGAGAAAATGCTTAGGTTGCAAATGGAGAGTATTGAACGTGGTGATGTAAAAAACTTCTGCAAAACTTGTTCTGTAGCTCCTGGGTCAGGTCTATGCCATTTTTTCTTATATCTGCTCACACAGTACAGAAATGACTAAAATTTTGGGTCTGGGCTGTTATATCACTTTGTGTTAAGTTATTTGTAGTAGCTAATGTGCTAACTTATATATGTGTTCTTTCTGTTTTTTGGATTTTACCTTTTGTTTTGGCATAACTTATCTATATTTTTGTTTACATTATTTTAAAAATATCAGTAACTGTAATAATATAAAATTGAAGTTGTATTGTTGACAATACCTCTAGTTTTTAAGGTCATCTGTCACATAATTTAAGTGCACCAGTTCCTAATGTATAAAGTTCTCTCTCTCTCTCTCTCAATAAACAATGCAGAAAATACTTTCCTTTCTCATAACAACTTGATTAAAATACTGCTCTTGAGGGGGTGGTGAAAGCCCAAGGTGAGCCCTATATATTAATTCAAAGTCAAGATTTGAGCTTTATTGAAAATGAGCCACAGCCAGGTGCGGAGCCCAAGGCAGGCAGATCACCTAAAGTCGAGAGTTCGAGACCAGCCTGGCCAACATGGCAAAACCCCCTCTCTACTAAAAATACACAAATTAGCCAGGCATGATGGTGGGCACCTGTAATCCCAGCTACTCAGGGGAGGCTGAGGCAGGGAGAATTGCTTGAACCTTGGAGGCGGAGGCTGCAGTGAGCTGAGATCGTGCCACTGCACTCCAGCCTGGGCGACAGAGCACGACTCTGTCTCAAAAAAAAAAAAAAAAAAAAAAAAGAACCACTTTTAAATTATCTCAAGTATCTTACAGATAGACTTTTAAAACAATTCATCAACCTACAATATTCTCATCAGCCCTTTCCATGCTCATGAAAAATGTAGTGTAACTTTTAAAAAGATGCAGGTGTAGTGTCATGGGCCTTATTTGCTGAATCTAAGCATGATTGCTTTCAGTTCCAAGACAAAGCTGCCAAAGCTCATGCATGGATGTTCTCCCACCAAAGCTTTTCCCCAAGCCTTCTGGCCCTGATTCCATTTCACCATTCCTGCACTCTCCAAATTAGATGGCCAAGTGCCAGGTGGCCAGCTAGGCAAAAGTGTTGGTCCTTCCTTCAGGGACCATATTTTGGGAGCAAAGAAGGAGCAAAGAGTGGAGAGTAAAGAAAAACTTCCTCCTCAAAACGGCAGCTCTCTGGGAGTTGAGAAATGATCAGAAATATCTGCAGGGCCTCATGCCTGGGCTGACCCTCACCCACTCAAAAGGCCAGGGGTACAACAACTATCCACTTGGAACCTTTAGAAGGCTCGATTTAAACTCACTTTCCCAAAGGAAGACATGGAAAAGAGACTAGAAAAGGTTCTTCTGGTAAAACATTTACCAAGATGAACCCTGAGCCTTACACCCTAAGACACACCTAAACAAGTTTATGCCTGGCCCCTCCCACTCCACCCTCAGGAAATCGGCCTGGGCTCACACCCACTCTGTCCAAGAAATAACTGGACTTCGTCGTCACACGAAACCTGCCACAATCCACGATAAAGAGAAACGGGTTAATGTTTCACTGAACCAAACTAGACATACGATGTAGTCAGAGCCTGGATTCATAATCAGATGAATCACACAGGACAGGTTAGCTTTCCCCCAGTTGTAGGAAACTGGCAAGGCTGGATAACTCCAGGAAGTTCTGACATCAAAGAGAAGATAGGCAAAAATGTGTCAGAACCGTGGAAAGAGACACTATTTTGTTCATCTCTTATCCTCAGGAGATGAGGATGATTGAATCTCCCTTAATTGTTTCCCATGTCCTGTTCTTTGATGACGGCTCAACATGATGGTTTAAATCCATGGTTCCTGCATTCGAAACACAGAAATAAAAGCAAAATCTCCGGGCCTCATCACAGACAATTGACTCAGAATCTCTCCGGATGGGGCTTGAGTATTTGTATTTTTTAAAAGCTCCCTGGGTGACCCGATGCATTCTGGAGGTGAAGAACCACTAGCTTAAACGAAGCAAGTTGCCTTGAAATAAACATTTGTTTGCTGTATTGATGGTCCACAGTGGGAACAGTGCCAAGAGGAATTGGAAGGAAGAACCGCGGTAGCTGCCCTGCAGTTAACAGCTGTTGCTTCTCTTCTTCCTAAAAGTCACAGCACTTTGGAACTTGCTGCTCATGGACTGCAATTGTTTGCATAAAGCCTTACCTTTACACCCCTTTTATTTTCTTCCAGGGTGTGATTAGCATGTATTTATCAGTATATCTCATTGCCAGAGAGCATTAGTGAATAGAAGTGTCCAGGTCGCAGCTGCAGGCAACTAAGCTGGCCTAAAAGGAGAGCTCTGTATGCTCCCATTCATTTTTTCATTCCTCCCAGTTATCCTGTGATTGGTCCTCAAATGCATGTGAGAGTCCGCTCCCAGTTGAGGCCAATCCAATGAATGTGAACCTCACACTCTGGATGGTGGTTTTTAAAACAGAAAATCACACCAGGCGAGGTGGCTCATGCCTGTAATCCTAGCACTTTGGGAGGCCAAGGCAGGTGGATCACCTGAGGTCAGGAGTTGAAGACCAGCCTGGCCAACATGGTGACACCCTGTCTCTACCAAAAATACAAAAATTAGCCGGGCTTGGTGGTGTGTGCCTGTAATCCCAGCTACTCAGGAGGCTGAGGCAGAAGAATCACTTGAACTCGGGAGGCAGAGGTTGCAGTGAGGTGAGATCGTGCCACTGAACTCCAGCCTGGGCAACAAGAACGAAACTCCATCTCAAAAAAATTAATTACTTTAATTAAACAAAATAGAAAATCACTAGGTGCTTCTTGCCCAGAAAGGCTTAGGAAATTCAGGAAATCTTGGGCTATGTCCAGATTCATCTTGCTTCCATAGAAGAACTAAGGTTTTGGGGAGGTTTTTTTTGTTTCTTTTCTTTTTTTTTTTTTTTTAAGCTCTGTCTCCCAGGCTGGAGTGCAATGACACGATCTTGGCTCACTGCAACCTCCACCTCCCAGGTTCAGACGATTCTCCTGCCTCGGCCTCCTGAGTAGCTGGGATTACAGGCATGAGCCACCACGCCTGGCTAATTTTTTTTTTTTTTTTTTTTTTTTTTTTGAGACGGAGTTTTACTCTTGCTGTCCAGGCTGGAATGCAAGGGCACGATCTCCAGCTCACCTCAACCTCCGCCTCCCAGGCTCAAGCGATCCTCCTGCCTCAGCCTCCCGAGTAGCTGGGATTACAGGCATATGCCACCACACCCGGCTAATTTTGTATTTTTAGTAGAGATGGGGTTTCTCCATGTTTGTCAGGGTGGTCTCAACCTCCCAACATCAGGTGATCCGCTCGCCTTGGCCTCCCAAAGTGCTGGGATTACAGGCGTGAGCCACCGCGCCTGGCCAGGCCGGCTAATTTTTGTATTTTTAGTAGAGACGGAGGTTTCACCATGTTGGCCAGGCTGGTCTCAAACTCCTGACCTCAGGTGATCCACCCACCTCAGCCTCCTGAAGTGCTGAGATTACAGGCGTGAGCCACTACGCCCAGCCAGAACTAGGCTTTAAAATGAACCAGAGTTCATTCACATCCAGGCATCTGTTGAACTGTTGATTTTCAACTTCAACTGCCAGCTACAGGTGAACAGATACTTAGAAAGGCATTCTTCCCCTTTCCTCCCTTTATGAGGTCAATAACTAATGACAAATATTCCTCATGGATGGACTACTTCGCCAAAGAGTTCAGAGTCTCCTACCAAAGATGCTATTCTATCTCCATTCCCACAATGCTGAGCACATCAGGTGCAGCCACAGCGGCAATAACTGGATTATCAGTCTGTGTAGGAAGCAAGTGCCAAAGGGCAAGGATGCAACTAGAAATGAACTTGGGTCTACTGGGGCTTTACCTGGGACTTGTTCCAAAGTAGCATCGTTGGAAACCACATTCCTCATTGAGAAAAAAGTGTTTTGCATTTATTACATTATTATATTGGATTATGACTGGGGTAGAAGATTCCTCCCCCACGATAACAAAGGTCCCTGGTACACAATACTTAGGAAGCCTGAGACAAAACACACCTAAGAGAAAGATATAGTTTATTCTCCCTCATTTGCATATATTCTCTTGTAGCTTGGGCAGAGAAGTCTAGCAGGAAGAACAGATCGTTCCCATAGCTGAACATGTAGAGATTCTGATTTATGTGCACTGACATCCAATTTACCTGGACAATGTGGAAATTCATTATTTCTCCACCTTTATTTCATATTCCTCCATTAAGGGGTATTGATTTTAAGCAAATCAGCTAGTGTTCATGAGTTCATACAGTATTTCAGATCCTGCCATACAACCTCAGGCAGCTGTTGGTCTGGGGGAAATTCCTCCAGCTTTTGTCCAGACTCTCCCAACATGGTCTGTTGTTCGGAGGCTGAAGAGCTGCTATTAGCACAGTAATTTTTCCAAATGAACACTGAGCTAAATTATCTCAAATGTATAAAGGAACATCTCTCACTGTGTTAGGGAAAATTGCCTCCCAAATTATAAGACTATACAAAGCACATATTAATTCTAGGCCCAAGGACATCCAAATTGCCTGAGATTCTGTGCTGTATTGTAATAACACACTCTTAATAATGTCAGGCTCTGAGCATACTGCAAGGTACACGTTGTTAGGAAGATAAACCAGGGTTTTTCTCCATTAGGATCACCACATGCACACCCAAGCCCAGCTACAGGTATTTTGCTCTGAGATTCAAGCCTTTTGCAGAGGAAATAAATTCCAATTGCATAGACAGGGAGTGAATTTGAATTCTAAACTGGGTCAACTGTCCCAAATGGCTTTCTCACTGCTGCCCATGAGTGAGGCAACCTAGGAAGCAGCTGTGGGCAGCCATAGTGCTCGGAAGAGATGCCTGACAGCCGATGCCTCAGGGAGTAGCTCCTGCTCACGTGTGTTTAATTCCACGACAAGGGGAAATCAGAGGCCAGACACCAGCTGACAGACTGTGCCAAATGCCAATGCTGTGGTCAGTGTGTGTGGACAAACCCCAGAAACTAGTGCTACCAAAATTGCCAAAAACCAGTCCCCCAGGCAGCGAAACAGCTCAAATGTAGTCCACACAAGATGTTTTCAGTGGATATTTTCAAAAATAAGGTTTATTCAGTTTTTCACCTTGTTTTATCTACTCTTGTTTTTTTTTTCCTACTTCTCTGAGGAAATATTACAAAGCAAATCCCAGATATAATGACATTTTATCCCCACATCCCTCAGTATGCATCTAAAAAATGTTTTTTTCTCCTGTGCAGTCACAATGCCATTACACACCTCAACAAATGGATAATAATTCCTTCTATCATCTCAGTTCCAAATCAAATGTATCTAATTGTGTCAAAAATTGTCTTTCCTAGGCCAGCACAGGTGGCTCATGCCTGTAATCCCAGCCCTTTGGGAGGCTGAGGTGGGCGGATCACCTAAGTTCAGGAGATCGAGACCAGCCTGGTCAACATGGCGAAACCCTGTCTGTACTAAAAATACAAAAATTAGCCGGGCGTGGTGGTGCGCACCTGAAATCCCAGCTACTTGGGAGGCTGAGACAGGAGAATCACTTGAACCCAGGAGGTGGAGGCTGCAGTGAGCCAAGATTGTGCCACTGCACTCCAGTCTGGGCGACAGAGTGAGACTCTGTCTCAAACATACATACATACATACATACATACATACATACATACATACATACATACATAAATGTAGGAAAGTGAGTACCCCTCCTGAAGGCTTGATAAAATGTAAAAGGCTGTGGAGTCTCCCCAGCACCCTGCCCCCTTCTTGAAGGTAATGGCACCTCACTTTTCCCTCGGAAGGCAGTAGCCATCCCACCCTTATTCCACCACGTAGTCCTGGTGGCCTGTCAGCAAAGTTAAGTCCTTCGGGGGGGGACCCATAGCTCAAGCTTGGCCAGCAGGAATTTGAATCTTGTGAGCGCTAAGCACATGCATTGACTACAGCCTCTGAAGAGGTTGTCCGTTGGTTTCTGCTCCATTGAAACTGCCTGAATTCTCTTCTTCCAAAGACCTGATTTTTTTATTCCTTAAATTGTATGAACTGTGCAACAAATAGTTCTCTCTTTAAGTTAGCCAGACATGGTTTCTGACCCAATGGCTTTCTTGCACAATTTCTCACTACGATTTCCTTCCTGGCTCTATGTTTTTGCAATCTCACCTGGCCTATGCACTCAATAGACACAGCAGCATGAACATTCAACAAGAGTGAGCCGGGCACAGTGGCTCACACCTTTAATCCCAGCACTTTGGGAGGCTGTGGCAGGCAGATCACCTGAGGTGAGGAGTTCAAAACCAGCCTGACCAACATGGAGAAACCTCGTCTCTACTAAAAATACAAAATTAGTCAGTCATGGTGGCCCATACCTGTAATCCCAGCTACTCGGGATGCTAAGGCAGGAGAATCACTTGAACCTGGGAGGCAGAGTTTGCAGTGAGCCAAGATCGCGCCGTTGCACTCCAGCCTGAGCAACAAGAGCAAAACTCCGTCTCAGAAAAAAACAAAGAACAAAAAACAAGAGTGAACCCTAGGCCGGGCGTGGTGGCTCACGCCTGTAATCCCAGCACTTTGGGAGGCCGAGGTGGGAAGACCACGAGGTCAGGAGATCAAGACCATCTTGGCTAACATGGTGAAACCCCGTCTCTACTAAAAATACAAAAAAATTAGCCGGGCACGGTGGTGGGTGCCTGTAGTCCCAGCTACTTGGGAGACTGAGGCAGGAGAATGGCCTGAACTAGGGAGGCGGAGCTTGCAGTGAGCAGCGATCACACCACTGCACTCCAGCCTGGACTACAGAGCGAGACTCCGTCTCAAAAAAAAAAAAAAAAAAGAGTGAACCCTGCGAGGGTGCACCATTCCTGGCCTCTGTATTCACAAAGCTCAAACAGGGCCAGGAAAGCTTTCTTTTTTTTTTTTTTCTTTAATGGAGATGACATCCTCCTTCAGGAGCTTGCTGCATTGCTGACACAGTAACAGGGACTTAGCAAGGGTGTTGAATAACTTGACTAATTGAAAGGATCTACTCAAGAAGTAGGGTCGGTTCCTACAGAGCTGAGTGGAAAGAGAACCTCAGGGTGCAAAAGTGCCTCTCTGTTCCCTGGCACCACATTGAGACCCAAGGCATCCTGAGCCAATTCCTGACCTGTCTCCAGTGCTGCCCCCACCAAACAATTTTAGGATTCAAGTGCTCTTTATTTAGCTCTTCTATTGGATGAGTATTTGAGTTTAGAGTATTAAATATTCATGAAATGAAATTTAAAGGCACAGGCTGGGTGTGGTGGATCATGCCTGGAATCCTAACACTTCGGGAGGCCAAGGGGGACAGATCGCCCGAGCTCAGGAGTTCAAGACCAGCCTGGGCAATGTGATGAAACCCTGTCTCTACAAAAAAAAAATATTTTTAGGCCGGGTACTCACGGCTACCCCGGGAGAGGGCACACTTGAGGCTGGTCTGGGAAGGGGAGTCACTGTGTGTGAAGGAGGGCATAGGCTGGAACTAGAAAGCTCTGAGACTCCAGGTGACCTTGCAGGGCTTCTCAGGCATTCTCCAGCAGGCCCTGAGCCCCAGCAGCATGATCTGGCCACCAATTTGTTCTTATCTACCATCCAACCCCACTCCTCTTTAGGGTCATTTTAAAGGTCAGATTAGCCTCTCACATCTCCTGGACTTCCTGGGAGTCTAATATACCATAAAATAAATGACAAAACCCTTACCCTGTCTGCCTTGCCCCCCATTCGGAAATGTGGTTGAAATGGGGACTTCCCCACGCCTCTCAACATCCTGACCTTCAACCATCCTGCCGAGAACTTTCCCTGGAGCCTTTTCTCACCAGCCTCTCCCACTTTTCCGTCAGCTTGCAGAGACCCAGGAGCGCTGGCTGTGGAAGTCAGCTCTGTTCAGGCCCCCCTTCCCACAGACTTGTCCTGGAGGGGTGTTCACCCATCCCCGCCACCAGGGGTCTAAAGCTGACTGTGGCAAAAATCTATATTTTTTTTTCCAAAATAAAGATTTTCTCCTTTGTTTTTATTATTCATTTAGAAAGCCCAGTACAAACCAGAGCCCTGCACCCCCTCTGTGGGTCTATTCCCCCTCTCTATCAGGAACCTGGGCCTCCCGTCCTCCTCCTCCTTCTCCTCCTCTCCTTTTATTTCGGTGGCTCCCTGATTGGAAAAGGCGGCCCCCTTCTTCCTCCCCAGCTCCACAATTGTCACCGCCAATTAGTGCATTGTTAGGATACACAATGGCGTTACTGTAGCCAGTGGAATGGGAGGCCTTTGTGCTTCTCCAACCGGCCGTGGGGACAGTCAAGTTTCATTTAGAGATTTAAAACACAACGCCAGAAGAAAAATGCTATCAGAAAAGCCAAAAGCAAAAAAAAAACAAAAAAAAAAAACACAAAAAAACGGGGTGGCAGGGCAGGGCGGGGGTGGGGGTGGGGGGAGAAGGGGGAAAAAAGCACAAAAAAAAAAAAAAAGAAAAGGAAAAAGGAGAAGGTGAAGATGAAGATGAAGGAAAAGAAAGGCACTGGCAAGCAAACGTTGAAAGGGGAAGAAAAGAAAAATCTGCTATTCAGGAGTTAGCCCGGACTCAAGAAAAGACCCGAGTGGTTGCTGCACACCGAAGTCCCCCTCAGAGCACAAAAAGGGGCTCAAGCTTAACAGTAATTAGTGGTCTGATTGTGCTTGGAACACTGTGTGTCTTTAGAGGATTTTTCCAACTTTTTTTTCAGTCTTCTTCAATAAAGGAGATGGGAGGAGAAAGGTAGGGGATAGGGAGGGAGGGGCCTACAAGCTATATCCCCCCCCACCCCAACAATCAGTGTGGGAGGGGTGCAATTCAGCCTTTCTCTTTGACAGGTAAATTGGATTTTATTCTCTAAAGCTTGTAACTAATTACAGAAGGTCTTTTCTCTAAGAATGTGACATATGGGTGTGTTTTAGAGTCACTGTTTTATTTGTTTCAAGTACTTTTCGAGCAGCCTAGCCCTTTTTGCAGCCCGGAAGATACCCGCAGAGGCCCAGGCCTTTCATCCAGAGCCCATGGGTAGTAGACTTTTTCTGTCAGCAAAACTTTTATGTCTAGGAGATCTTTTCCTATCCGTAAAATTAAGATCCCAGTTTAAATGAGCGATTGACCTGAGAAAGCAGCCTTCTCCTCCGAGCATCTGCACAGATATCCCTTCTGCTGGAAAACACGACTTCTCTCCCAATGTTCTCCCCTCTCTCTTCCTCCCCCAAGATCCCTACAACAATCAGATGTGGCCCCTGCTTGTTAGAGCTCAAGGTACAGGGAACGATCTGTGGGCAAGGGAGCCACCCTGAAGTCAGGCTGATCTCATAAATGGCCAAGTTCATTCTCCCTCTCCCACTTGCCCCCACCATATCCCCACATTTCTAGAAAGTCCAGAATTACCTCACCAACTCAGACTTACAAGCATATTCATACATTTTTCTTTAAAAATTTCTTCCAACAACCTAGCCCAGTGCAGCCCATTCACAACTTATACCTGCTTCACTCTGTTGCTTGTGTTTCTTATTTTCCCTCAAATGCGTTAACTATGCCTCCCCTTTCCCTCTCTCTGGGTCAGACCAGACTCCTAGCTTTTACTTCTTCATTTCTTTTTTACAAATAAGCTAATGGAGCTGGGCACGGTGACTCACACTTGTAATCCCAGCACTTTGGGAGGCCGAGGCAGGCAGATCACCTGAGGTCAGGAGTTCAAGAGCAGCCCGGCCAACATGGTGAAACCCCGACTCTACTAAGAAGTTAAAAATTAGCTGGGCGTGGTGGCGCGTGCCTGTAATCCCAGCTACTCAGTAGGCTAAGGCAGGAGAATTGCTTGAACCCAGGAGGCGGAGGTTGCAGCGAGCCACCACTGCACTCCACTGCCACTCACGCCACTGCACTCCAGCCTGGGCAACAAAGTGAGACTCCATCTCAAAAAACAAAACAAAACAAATAAGCTAATGGAGACGTCCGCTCCTTGCAAGGTTCAAATAAAGTCTCCCTCATCTTAGAAACAAGACAGTCGGAATTTACCCAAGATGGTCTGTCTCACTATTGCACCTCTTCCTTTTTTTTTGAGACAGAGTTTTGCTCTTGTTGCCCAGACTGGAGTGCAATGGTGAGATCTCGGCTCACCGCAAACTCCGCCTCCCGGTTTCAAGCAATTCTCCTGCCTCAGCCTCCCGAGTAGCTGAGATTACAGGCATGTGCCACCACGCCTGGCTAATTTTGTACCCAGGATGACCCATGGTTGTTCCTAGGCACTGACTCCAGCTGGGAGGGGCAGCTGGGGATGGGGCAGCCATCCGGAAATGAGAAGACCAGAGTTCTAATCCACATCCCGTCAACAAGTGACAATGGGCAGGTAGCTCCAGTCCTGGGAGAGCCTGAGTGCGTTCATGTGTAAAAGGCTCGTTATGCACACCTTCAGGCATTGTAATGAGGATTAGGAGAGAGATTTTATCAAAAGGGAGGAGTCCTGGCACTGAATACACACCGGTTTCCCTTTTTGTCTGGTAGTGGAGGAGGGCACGTTCACTTCCTTTTCACCCCTCTCTGCTGTGTTGTGGAATTGCCCTGTGCTCTTGGCAGACACCTCATTGCACACCGGCTCCCTCACCACCACCACTCCCCGCAAAAGGGGCACGTCCTGATTCCACCAGGAAATGAAAAGTGAAACCTTCTGATAATGACCCCTGGAATGTCACAAATATCCAAGTCAGGAAATGCAAATCCAGGGGAGGGGTTATTGAAGCGACAATGATTTAGCTTCCTCTAAATGCTGTATTTCCAGGGCTGGAGAGGAGAGGGGGCATTCTTTGGCTCTCCTTAGATTTACTCTGTTTTCCAAAGAGTTTTGGAAAGTCCAAAGGGTCTTGGAAAACAGAATAAGGGGATTCCTGAAAGAGTTCCTGGCAAGGGGTTTGTGGCAAGTGTGGCATCAGCCCTTCCCACTGTCCCTGCACCATTGGCCTTTGTCCTGTGTGGGTAATGGGAACCCAAAGACTCCAGAGCTTGCAAAGGAGGCACAAGAAATCTCAACAGGAGGCAGCTGGCTGCACGTACACTCTCCAAGCTGGGGCCTGGCATCAAGTTCACCACCTACATAGCTCTCAGAGCCCCAGCGCCTCTCTGTCCCATGGAGAGTGGGACATCCTCCTGTTCTCATCCTCTCTCTCCAGACCATTCCAATCACTTCTGAGCCAGCCTTCCTGCCAGCTTCTTCCGTGCTGCCCCCAACACAGTCTTTGTAAAAATGCAAGCCCGATCTTGCCTTACCCCAGGTTAAGAATCTCTTATGGCTCTGCCACCTTCAGGACACAGCCCAAGCTCCAGAGCATGAATGGGAAAGCCTTTGATAATATGGGCCTACCTTTCTCTTTAACTTCATCTCCTGCCACCAGGATAGCTTGGTTCATGAGCACACAACCTGTGTGCTCACTGGATTTAATGCTCACCTGTCTCCATCTTGAAATTCTGAATAATTTTTGAGCAAAAGGGTCTCCACGTTTGCATTTTGCACAGGCCCTGCAAATGTGGTGGCTGGTCTTGCCATTCTCATTCCTGCTCCACATTCCTCTAACACCAAACTTTTTTTTTTTTTTTTGAGATGGAGTCTTGCTTTGTCGCCAGGCTGTAGTACAGTGGCACGATCTCGGCTCACTGCAACCTCCGACTCCCTGATTCAAGCAATTCTCCTGCCCCAGCCTCCCGAGTAGCTGGGATTACAGGCACGTGCCACAACACCCAGCTAATTTTTGTATTTTTTTTAGTAGAGACGGGGCTTTACCATGTTGGCCAGGATGGTCTCGTTCTCCTGACCTCGTGATCCGCCCAAAGTGCTGGGATTACAGGCGTGAGCCACCCCGCCCGGCCACACCAAACATATTACTGTTCTCCAAAGTGTTCTGCAGTTTCTTCTATTTTGGACATTTCCCCCAGCCTATTAATAAATTTCTTTTTCTTTTTTTTTTTTTTTTGAGATGGAGTCTCGCTCTGTTGCCAGGCTGGAGTGCAGTGGCGCAATCTCGGCTCACTGCAACCTCCGCCTCCTGGGTTCAAGTGATTCTCCTGCCTCAGCCTCCCAAGTAGCTAGGACTACAGGCATGTGCCACCATGCCCAGCTAATTTTTGTATTTATAATAGAGATGGGGTTTCACCACGTTGGCCAGGATGGTCTCGATCTCTTGACCTCATGATCCACCCGCCTTGGCCTCCCAAAGTGCTGGGATTACAGGTGTGAACCACCGCATCCAGGCCCCACATATTAACAAATTTCTAGCCACTCTTTTAAACTGCCCACATATCCCTTTCTTTGAGAATCTTCCTTGATCCCTTTCTCCAAAATATCTATTGCCCCTTGGCAAATGCCCACTTTTCAGCTTATCACAGCTTATTATTATTTATTTCCTACCTCAACTTGAAGGTTATGAACTCCAAGGGACAGAAATTGTGTCTTGCACAGTACTGGGGTTTCTGATGCTTGTTGGAATAACATATAACTAAGTGCTATGTTTAAGAAATAAGTGTTAGTTGAAAGTGTCATTAAGTGTTCATTCCAATGGCCAAACCTGCACTATACATGTAGCATTATTCATGTATACTCACTCTAGCCTCACTAGGGGTCCTGGAGCCACAGTGCAGCTCACCACTGCTGGGACCAGTTAGGCAGCCTCTGCTGAGTGGTTTGCCTTAGAATAACACTGTCCAGTAGAACATTCTGGGATGATGGAAGTGCCCTATAGCAGCTCATCCAGCATAGCAGTCACTAGTCACATGTGCTATTGAGCACTTGAAATGTAGCTAATGCAACTGAAGAAATGAATATTTGATTTGACTTCACTTTAATTGATTTAAATTTCAGTAGCCTCCTGTGGCTAGTGGTTCTCACATTGGAGGTACCATCTTCCATGACATGACTGATCCTTGCCGTGAGCCAGGGAACAAGTCAGCTCAGAAATCTTGTTGCTTCAGAAAGACTTCTTTGCAAGTTACCAGCCTTTGAGTACCTCCTGAGGAGGATTTTCAATGAAAAGAAAAACAGTCTTTTCCATTTTCCTTGAGTGATCCCGGCAACCTCTCTCCACACACATTCTGCTTGCGGACCACAGTCTGGGTAAATATGGCGTAAATATGAAACAGGACAGGGTGGTTGCAGGAGAATAGAAAATTCTAGGCAACAATTTCACATTACTAGCAAGAGGAAACTGTTGAAATAGCTGCCGAAGGTAGGGACAGCTAAGCCCCTGAGTAACCAGGGTGTGGACCATACTGGCTAAGACCGACTAACATGGCACTGGGTTTGACCTCAGTTTCTCTTAGGACCTCATTATGTGCTCATTAGCATACTAAATGCACACCCACCACCAGCACCAGCACGGCTCCGGGAACACCCATATTTGATGTAAAAATGGGTGGCCCCAGACTGGGCACGATGGCTCAGGTCTATAATTGCAGCACTTTGGGAGGCAGAGGTGGGCAGTTCATTTGAGGTTAGGAGTTCAAGACCAGCTTGGCCAACATGGTGAAACCCTACCTCTACTAAAATTTTTAAAAAATAGCCAGGCGTGGTGGCAGGTGCCTGTAATCCCAGCTACTGGGGAGGCTGAGAAGGAAAATTGCTTGAACCCAGGAGGCAGAGGTTGCAGTGAGCTGTGATCACGCCATTACACTCGAGCCTGGGCGACAGAGTGAGACTCTGCCTCATAAAAAAAAAAAAAGGTGGCCCCACAGTTCCACGAAATCTCCACCTTTTTCCAGAAATCTTCATGAAAAACCCATCCCTTGGTTAAAGAACCCCATAAAAATAGAAACCTTAAACCTCACTGTGAGACTTTCTTGAGTCCACCGCCCTCCCTTTCCTGAGTGTGTCCTTTTCACTTTGTGACAAATCTCTGTACTTTCACTGTTTTCTGACTCATCCTTGAATTCCTTCACACCATGATGTCAAGAGCCTGGACACCACCGGCATTTGGGGACCTCCCCCAGCCCACCAGTATCAGATATACTTGGCCTTATTATCTGTGCAATGAGGGGAAAAGCCTTCCACACCTGGGAGGGAAATACATGTTGGGGCCAGGTATTTCTTTTTTTTTTTTTTTCGAGACGGAGTTTCACTCTTGTTGCCCAGGCTGGAGTGCAGTGGTGCCATCTCGGCTCACTGCAATCTCCGCCTCCCGGATTCAAGCGATTCTCCTACCTCAGCCTCCTAAGTAGCTGGGATTACAGGCATGTGCCACCATGCCTGGCTAATTTTGTGTTTTTAGTAGAGACAGGGTTCCACCATGTTGGTCAGGCTGGTCTCGAACTCCTGACCTCAGGTGATCCGCCCACCTCAGCCTCCCAAAGTGCTGGGATTACAGGCATGAGCCACCGCACCTGGCAAGGATTCCATTTTCAAGGTGCATTGCTTCTTTCAATGAGGACTTCTGTAACTTACACAGGTAACAGAAGATTGCCTGGGGACAATTTCACAGATGAGAGCAGCTGGCTTAGAAATCACAACAAATCTCTATGGCCAAAAATCTGCAAGCAAATCACAGAAAGCAAGTCCCCCATCAGCCTCACAATGGACTTTGGGGACTTGGGGTGAAAGGGTGGGAAGCAGGTGGGAAGGGAGGGATAAAAGACCACAAATTGGGTTCAGTGTATACTGCTCTGGTGATGGGTGCACCAAAATCTCACAAATCACCACTAAAGAACTTACTTATGTAACAAAATACCACCTGTTCCCTAAAAACCTATGGAAATAAAAAAAATTTTTTTTAATCACTCACACAAAAAAGAAAATGTGGTCAGAAAAAGAAAATAAAACAAAATGATTCACAAAGTTGAAAAAAGAGAAAACCCCTACAGGATTTGAATTATAATTCTATATGCTATTTTAAATTATGATCATTAAAAGGATAAAATAGGCTGGGCACAGGGTGGCTCATGCCTGTAATCCCAGCGCTTTGGGAGGCCTAGGCGGGTGGATCACGTGAGCTCAGGAGTTCTAGACCAGCCTGGCCAACATGGCGAAACCCAGTCTCTACTGAAAAAAAAAACTTAGCCAGGCATGGTGGTGCATGCATGTAGTCCCAGCTACTTGGGAGGCTGAGGCAGAAGAATCGCTCGAATCCAAGAGGCAGAGGTTGTAATGAGCCGAGATTGTGCCACTGCACTCTAGCCTGGGTGACAGAGCAAGCCTCCCTCTCAAAAAAAAAAAAAAATGCATAAAACAATTTTCAGGCCTCCAAGGAAAATGTTGGTCCTTCCCCTCATCTTCCTGCCACCACTCCCACCACCATGGCCTCCAGATTCCCTAAGGCACCCCCAGTTTTCAAAGGAGGTGCTAGAAAACTAGCTACACCCCAGAAGTTAGGATGAGAATGACAGAAATGATAGCTGAAAGTGTGTGTTGGGCAAAGCGGGGTAGGGTTCCCCTTAAAGCTCTGCTGGCTGCATTTAAAAACAGATACAGGCCAGGCATGGTGGCTCTTGCCTATAATCCCAGAACTTTGAGAGGCCAAGACAGAAGAGTCTCTTGAGGCCAGGAGTTCCAGACTAGCCTGGGCAAGAAAGCAAGACCTCTGACTCTACATAATAAAAATTTTAAAATGAGTCATGCATTGTGGCATGCACCTGTAGTCCCAGCTAGCCGGGAGGTTGAGACAGGAAGATCACTGGAGCCCAATAAGTTGAGGCTGCAGTTAGCTGTGATCATGCCACTGCCCTCCAGCCTGAGTGCTGGTGGGACCTTGACCCCAGTCTCATAAATAAGTAAGTAAATAAATAAATAAATAAAAACGGATACACAGCACACTTTCATTCGTTCCGGAATCATAAAACTGAGTTTGAGGGGTTTGTCCTTCTCTTTTTCCTCTTCTATGAGAACAGCTGTTCATACCAATTATTCTTAGCTGACTCTTACAGAAGCTCTGAGTGTCCACTAAAAATGTACTTTGTCAGTCAATAGTTGAATCTAGTGCTCTATTTAGGAAGGGTTGTGTACAAAAAAAGTGTAACCCAGGTCTCTGGCCTCAAAAGGGGTGACTATTTTTCTTCTGTGACAAGGAACAAAGTTTAGAGAGCAATACAAGAATGAACATAAGCCCTTATTAACCCTTTTCCCATTTAGAAAAAAAAAGTGCAGCTCACTGCCAGCACTCATTTAATTTCACATAAACACAATATTTGAGGCTGAAGCAAATCTGACTGACTTCAATGTAAAAATAAAATATAAAAACTGTTCTCAGGCCAGTGCAGTGGCTCATGCCTGTAATCCCAGCACTTTGGGAGGCCGAGGAGGATGGATCACTTGAGGTCAGGAGCTCGGGACCAGCCTTGCCAACATGGCGAAACCCCATCTCTACTAAAAAAAAAAATTAAAAAAAAATTAAAAAAAAAAATAGCCGGTCCTCTTGGTGCACATCTGTAATCCCAGCTACTTGGGAGGCTGAGGCAGGAGAATAGCTTGAATCCAGGAAGCAGAGGCTGCAGTGAGCCGAGATCACGTCACTGCACTCCAGCCTGGGGTACAGAGTCAGACTCTGTCTCAAAAGAAAAAAAAAAAAAGAACTGTTCTCAGAGTTATTTCTAAATAGAACTAACATCAGAATTGTCTGAATCATCAGAATTATCTATTTCAGAAAAATCAGATTCATCAAAAGAATCCGGCCAACAACCATTCCAGAATGATGTTAACATCATGCATAGGAATGCTATGTTTTCTAGGATTGGACATTTTCAGTGATTGAGAATTACTATATTTTGTAAATGGAAATACTGTTTCTAAAAACAGAATGTTAAAAATAGAATGATGTCTTTTGTTTCCAAATTCAATATATTAGAGTGATGCAAAAATAATAATAAAAGCGAGATACTTGTGGCAAAGTTATCTTGGGGGTAAATGCTGCACAAGTGCTGCCTGTGAGTATTCTCGGGGCAAGCGGGAAAAGGGTTAAGTATGGGTTACAAACTGGTGTGGTTAGAGTTGGAAAAGGCAAAGATCTCAATGGGCTACAGTTAGGAGGCAGCTTCACAGAGGCGATAAGCAGGACCATTCCCAAGGGATGACAACCTGGAGACATGGTGCAGTCACAGAGGCTCCTCCAGCCCCAAGGCAGTCCCAGAAGTAGGAGGTGCTCTGCCAGTGAGGCTGTGGACTTTAGGGGCTCATGGACACACAGCCACCCAACCTGGGCTCCCACATCCAACCACAGGGCCCCAAGCAAAACCACGGGAGCCCCTTCCTGTCTCCTTCTGCACACACACATGCTTGCAAAGTCATCCATTCCTGGCCACGGTTCTTGTTATACCCCAGATCCAGTGTCAGGGATTCCATGAGCACAGATCAGGATAATGGTGGCTCCACCAAAGGGACAGGGATGAATTCCCAGCTCACTCTCTATCACAACGGTGACCTTCAGTGTGGGACTCAGCTGTCCTGAGCCCTCCACACTGTGAAATGGGGATGATGATACTTCACTTGCAGGATTATTATGAAGACTAAATCAGATATTAAATAATAGCTCCTTAGTGGGCCGGGCGCGGTGGCTCACGCCTGTAATCCCAGCACTGTGGGAGGCCGAGACGGGCGGATCACGAGGTCAGGAGATCGAGACCATCCTGGCTAACACGGTGAAACCCCGTCTCTACTAATACAAAAAATTAGCCAGGCATAGTGGCGAGTGCCTGTAGTCCCAGCTGCTCGGGAGGCTGAGGCGGGAGAATGGCGTGAACCCGGGAGGCAGAGCTTGCAGTGAGCCAAGATCCCGCCACTGCACTCCAGCCTGGGGGACAGAGCGAGACTCAGTCTCAAAAAACAAAAAACAAAAACAAAAAAAAGAAAACAGAACTTAAATTGCCAAAAATATGTGAAAAATACAATGGAATATTTTGCAGTACATAGTTAAAAAGTTAACATAGAATTACCACATGATCCAGCAATTCCACTTCTGAGTATATACCCTAAAGAATTAAAAGCAGGGACTCAGTTATTTGCACACCAATGCTTATAGCAGCATTACTCGCGCTAGCCAAAAGACAGAAATAACCCAAATGGGCTGGGCGCGGTGGCTCACGCCCGTAATCCCAGCACTTTGGGAGGCCGAGGCAGGCGGATCACCAGAGGTCGGGAGTTCGAGATCACCCTGACCAACATGGAGAAACCCGTCTCTACTAAAAATACAAAAAAATTAGCCAGGCGTGGTGGCACATGCCTGTAATTCCAGCTACTGGGGAGGCTGAGGCAGGAGAATCGCTTGAACCCACGAGGCAGAGGTTGCGGTGAGCCGAGATCGTGCCATTGCAGTCCAACCTGGGCAACAAGAGCACAAAACTCTGTCTCAAAAAAAAAAAAGAAATAACCCAAATGTTCATCAACAGATGAATGGATAAACAAAATATGGTGTATATATATTATGTATGCATATATGTATGTTGTGTATATATTATGCATACATATATGTATGTTGTGTATATATTATGCATACATATATGTATGATGTGTATACATTATACATCATATATAATTATAATATATATATATTATTCAGCCTTAAAAAGGAATGAAATTTGGACATATGCTACAATAGGAATGAACCTTGAAGACATTATGCTAAACTAAGCTAGACACAAAAAAACAAATACTGTAGGTTTCCAGTTATATGAGGTACCTAGAGTAGTCAAATTCACAGAGATGTAATAGAAAGTGAGTGGTGAT
Organism: Homo sapiens; assembly: GCF_000001405.40. NCBI lineage: Eukaryota > Metazoa > Chordata > Mammalia > Primates > Hominidae > Homo > Homo sapiens. The sequence continues at coordinate 207,802,918 of NC_000002.12, read as the reverse complement.
TGCCAGGGGTGGGGAGGGGAAATGGGGATTCCACGTTTAATGAGTACAGAGTTCAGTATGGGATGACGAAAACGTTCTGGAAGTGCTGATGACGACGGTTGCACAGCAGTGTGAATGTACTTAGCCACTGAACTATCACCTAACAATGGTTAAACGGTCAATTTACTGTTATGCTTTGTTTTATCCTACCACATTAAAAAGAAATATTTTCAAACTTGGATTCCAAAAGAACTGTCATTTTTCCTACCTTTAATTACACTTGAGGAATATTCTTTCTTCCTTCTCATCATTGAACTTCTTCCTTGTGCCTTTTCTATGAAAAATACAAGGGAGCTGGGGCTCAGTGGCTCATGCCTGTAATCTCAGCACTTTGGGAGGCTGAGGCGGGTGGGTCACCTGAGGTCAAGAGTTCGAAACCAGCCTGGCCAAAATGGTGAAACACTGTCTCTACTAAAAATACAAAAAATTAGCCAGGGGTGTGGTACATGCCTGTAATCCCAGCTACTTGGGAGGCTGAGGCAGGAGAATTGCTTGAACCTGGAAGGTGGAGGTTGCAGTGAGACGAGATTGCGCCATTGAACTCCAGCCTGGGCAACAAGAGTGAAGCTCCGTCTCAAAAAAAAAAAAAAAAACAACCAAGTGAGGCCGGGCGTGGTGACTCACACCTGTAATCCCAACACTTTGGGAGGCTGAGGCAGGTGGATCATCTGAGGTCGGGGGGCTCGAGACCAGCCTGGCCAACATGGTGAAGCCCTGTCTCTACTAAAAATACAAAAATTAGCCTAGCGTTTTGGTGCCTGCCTGTAACCCCAGTTACTCAGGAGGCTGAGGCAGGAGAATCACTTGAACCCAGGAGGTGGAGGTTGCAATGAGCCGAGATGGTGCCATTGCACTCCATCCTGGGCAACAGAGCGAGACTTTGTCTCAAAAAAAAAAGAGAGAGGAGAGAAAATGGAAGTGGGGAAAGAAGAAAAGAAAGAAAAGACCACTGCTCAAAGATGGGGCAGAAGGACACCTGAAACAGGAAGCAGAGATGCCTTGGCATTTAAATGAAAAAACCTAAAGATCGCTGATCCCATGTGATGGGCAGGCAGAACTTTGCATCCTCTGGGACAAAATGGGAAGAGTTTTCCAGTTGTGGGCATCTCTCATTTCTGAATAAGAGAAAAATGGGCTAGAGAGAAGAGGGGGTGGATATGAAGGGAGGCAAACTGACAACGCAGGACAGGACAGGACATCGCTTGAGTGGCGTTCAGGCCAAATAAAGAAATAAAAATAAAAACTTGCCTAATGCTTTTTTGGTTTTCCTGCTGCTTTACAAACACCAACTAATGAATTCACCTGTCTGGGACAGCCCCTCTAGAGGGAGGTAAATAGTTACAGGCTCTTAGACCCTATCTGCTAAGTAAACGAGCCACACAATGGACTAGAAGTTCCACGGCTTGTGTGGTGAGAGGTTGCAGAAAATTAGTTAATTGCATCATGTCTGCAGCTGATAAAGCAGGTCTAGTGGGTGGCATATTTTACAGTGACACAGTTTCAGGTGGAAGCTGAAAATTCAAATCGCTGCTTCTCTAAGAGATTTGAGGCTCCAGGATCTAATCCTGTTAAAACTTAGGCTCCAAATGAAGAGAAACCTGAGGAACTGGGGTTGGTGGGGGGCGGGGTGGGGGAGCAGAGCTTCCTGTTAAAGGCAGGAGCTAATGCAACCATTATCCTGGATGTTTAATTCAAAAGGCAACACAGATGCATGCACAAGAATCTGTTTTGTCTCACTCTATATCCAGAGGTCCTCCAGCAATGACCCTTCCCCCATTATATGTACACTCCTCCCTTCCAATGTGCTTAATCATTTCTTTTAACTTTTTATTATAGAAAATTTCAAAAACACATGTGAACTCCCCACCCCATGTACCTGTCACCAGCCTCAACAACTATCAACTCATGGTGAATCTTGTTTCATCTAAACCAGTGTTTCTCAAGCTTGAGTGTGTATCAGAATCAGCTGGGGGGAGCTTGTTGAAACACAGATCGCTGGACCCCATCTCAGATTTTTTTTTTTTTTTTTTTTTGAGATAAGAGTCTTGCTCCGTCACCCAGGCTGGAGTGCAATGGCATGATCTTGGCTCACTGCAACCTCTACCTCCCAGGTTCAAGCGATTATCCTGCCTCAGCCTCCCCAGTAGCTGGGATTTACAGGCACGTGCCACCACGCCCGGTAATATTTTTTTTTTTTTTTTTTTTTTTGAGACAGGGTCTCTCTCTGTCACCAGGCTGGAGTGTAGTGGCACAATCTCGGCTCACTGCAACCTCTGCCTCCTGGGTTCAAGTGATTCTCCTGCCTCAGCCTCCCTAGTAGCTGGGACTACAGGCATGCACCACCACGCCCAGCTAATTTTGTACTTTTAGTAGAGACGGGGTTTCGCCATGTTGGTCAGGCTGGTCTAGAACTCCTGACCTCAGATGATCTGCCCGCCTCGGCTTCCCAGAGTATCGGGATTACAGGTGTGAGCCACTGTGCTTAGCCCCTTCTCAGGATTTCTGATCCACTAGGTCTGAGGTGGGACCTGAGAACTTGCATTTCAGACAAGTTCCCAGGTGATGCTGATGCTGCCCTTTGGCAACCACTTTGAGAACCACTGATCTGTATGCCTAGTCACTTTTCCTTTCTGGTATTATTTTTCTCAAAGCCAATCCCAGACATTACATCATTTCTTCTTAAATATTCAGTGCTGTAAAACATAATATACTTACTCAGTTGGATACATTAATATGAACAAAAAAAGATAATACACTGAAAAATAATAATTCATTCATACCAATAATCATCTAATGAGTGCTCACATTTGCAAATGCTTCATCAATTACATAATTTTTTTACACTTTATTTTAATCAGAAGAAAGTACGACTACTGTGATGGAATGGTATGCCTTTAAGTCTCTTAATCTTTAACCATTATTTAACCATTAGCCCTCCTTCAAGTCTACTATTTCCTAGAAATTGATTTTTGAAGATATTCTTTTTTTTTTTTTTTTTTTTTTTTTGAGACGAAGTCTCACTGTTGTCGCCCAGGCTAGAGTGCAATGGTGCGATCTCGGCTCATTGCAACCTCCGCCTCCCGGGTTCAAGCGATTCTCCTGCCTCAGCCTCCGAGTACCTGGGATTACAGGTGCTGCCGCCACCCCCAGGTAATTTTTGTATTTTTAGTAGAGATGGAGTTTCACTATGTTGGCCATGCTGGTCTGTAACTCCTGACCTCAGGCGATCTGCCCGCCTCAGCCTCCCAAAGTGCTGGGATTACAGGCATGATCCCCCACGCCCGGCCCGAAGTTATTCTTTATTATTTTTGAAGAGATACAATAGCACAGCAATAAGTGTTCTGGAGTCCAGCTGTCTGCTTGGCTCCACCATGAGCCCTGTGACCTTGTCAAGTTAGTTGACCTCTCTAAGCACTAGGGTACTGGTCAATGTTTAACAACCAGCACTCTGCCCATCAGTAGGAGCTTGGAAAGAAATGCAAGCCCTGATCTGTACATTTGTCAATTCTTTTTTTTTTTTTTTTTTTTGAGACGGAGTCTCGCTGTGTCGCCCAGGCTGGAGTGCAGTGGCGCGATCTCGGCTCACTGCAAGCTCCGCCTCCCAGGTTCACGCCATTCTCCTGCCTCAGCCTCCCCAGTAGCTGGGACTACAGGCGCCCGCCACCATGCCCGGCTGATTTTTTGTATTTTTAGTAGAGACGGGGTTTCACCGTGTTAGCCAGGATGGTCTTGATCTCCTGACCTCGTGATCCACCCGCCTCGGCCTCCCAAAGTGCTGGGATTACAGGCGTGAGCCACCGCGCCCGGCCCCGTCAATTCTTGTGGTGTAAATACCCACACGGTTACCGGAAAGGGCCCCAATGCAGACCCCGAGAGGGTTCTTAGATCTTGCACAAGAATTTGAGGCAAATTCATAAGAGTGAAAGCCAGTTTATTAAGAAAGTAAAGGACTATAGAATGACTAGGCAGAGCAGCCCCAAGGGCTGCTGGTTGCCCATTTTTATGGTTATTTCTTGATCATATGCTAAACAAGGGGTAGATTATTCATGAGGTTTCCAGGAAAGGGGTGGGCAATTCCTGGAACTGAGGGTTCCTCCCCTTTTTAGACCATATAGGGTAACTTCCTGACATTGCCACGGCATTTGTGAACTGTCATGGGGTTGGTGGGAGTGTCTTTTAGCATGCTAATATATTATAATTAGCGTATAATGAGCAGTGTGGACGACAAGAGGTCACTCTCCTGGCCATCTTGGTTTTGCTGGGTTTTTGCCGGCTTCTTTACTGCAACCTGTTTTATCAGCAAGGTCTTTATGGCCTGTATCTTGTGCTGACCTCCTATCTCACACTGTGACTTAGAATGTCTTCACCTCCTGGGAATGCAGCCCAGTAGGTCTCAGCCTTATTTTACCCAGTCCCTGTCCAAGATGGAGTCGCTCTGGTTCAAACGCTTCTGACACCACCATGACCAGTTTCAAGTTACCAGCATGATGTCGCTAAATGGAGAGTTGGGAAAAGCAGTAGACTAGCACACTATATTCCACAGAACTTCTACCATACAGATACAACAGACGTAACCTCCAAAGCACAGATACAAACACAGTCAAATAATTAGTAAGTGATGAGTTCTGTGTATTTATTACCTTTGTTCTAAACATAATTTACTTAATTATAAGTTTATGTAATAAACTTTTTATTTATTTTTTTTTTTAGGCACTCTCACTCTGTTGCCCAGGCTGGAGTGCAATGGCGCTATCTCAGCTCACTGCAACCTCCGCCTCCTGGGTTCAAGAGATTCTCCTTCCTCAGCCTCCCGAGTAGCTGGGATTACAGGCATGTGCCACCACATCCGGCTAATTTTTGTATTTCTAGTGGAGACGCGGTTTCACTATGTTGGTCAGGCTAGTCTCGAACTCCCGACCTCAAGTGATCCACCCACCTCGGCCTCCCAAAGTGCTGGGATTACAGGTGTGAGCCACCGCGCCCAGCCTATTTATTTATTTTTTGAAACGAGGTCTCATTGTGTTCCCCGGGCTGATTTCAAACTTCTGGGCTCAATCAGTCCTCCCACCTCAGGCTTACCAATGGCTATGTTTAACCATTCGCTTACTAAATTCTTTTTTTTTTTTTTTTTTTTGAGACGGAGTCTCGCTGTGTCATCAAGGCTGGAGTGCAGTGGCACGATCTTGGCTCACTGCAAGCTCCGCCTCCCGGGTTCACGCCATTCTCCTGCCTCAGCCTCCCGAGTAGCTGAGGCTGGGACTACAGGCTCCCGCCACCATGCCCAGCTAATTTTTTGTATTTTTAGTAGAGACAGGGTGTCACCGTGTTAGCCAGGATGGTCTCGATCTCCCGACCTCGTGATCTGCCCGCCTCGGCCCCCCAAAGTGCTGGGATTACAGGCTTCAGCCACCATGCCCGGCCACTAAATTCTTGAAGTTTAACAACCAGCTCTGGCTTCCTCACACTGCTGTCTCTAAGTCTGTTCTTTCTCACCTGTGAATTGGAAAGCACAGCAAGCAATCATGCTTAGAGGCGAGGATTAAAGAAGAGTGTGCCCTTGAGTGCACAGGAAAGAGTTCGTGACTGTTCTTGGTCAAGAGGACCTCAAACAGAAAGTTACTTGCTCCCCCTGGCTGGGCCAGGAGAGCAGCCATGTGGGGCTTGTAGCAACTCACTGCACACAGGGCAGCCGTTTTCAGAATTCCAAGGGGAGAAAGCAGCCAGAAAAGGGTGTGAGCTCACCCTGTAGGCCCAGGAATTGACCCTTGGGCCTGGCTTGAGAAACAAGAGCTAAGCAGTCAGGCAGCCGGCTCCACCCCTCCACTTTACACAGAGGCCACTTACACTGTTTGCTAAAATCAAGACCCTTCTTTTGAGGTAGATCAGGTTACAGGTAAGGTGATTATTGTTTCTAATGGTCTGCAAACAGCTTCTCAACTGTTAACCCCTCCAGCATCTGGGGACACTTGGACAAGCCCTGCCTGGGCAGAGCTACTCAAGCCCCCTGAGCTCAGAGGACTGAAATATGTCCCAAGAACGGGGCCGGAGTTAGTGGGGTCCCAGGCCAGCCAACAGGTTGAGGCTGAGCGCTCGGCACCCATCTTCCCCAAATAGCCTGTGACTCCCTCCTGGCAGTCTCATTCCTGGGAGTTTAAGCCAGGGACTGGAGAACTCATTTGGCTTTGGAGACAAGCCAAATCTTGTCTGCAGAGCAAGTAAATAAAAGAGGCAGGATCAAGTGGCACTACATCCTTTGTGCCTGTCAGACTCTGAATTCTAGGCCCCCACTGCCCATCAGTGGGAGCTTGGGCAAGTTACTAATGTTCTCTGTGCCTCAGTTTCCTCATAATGTATAATGAGGATAAAATGGTATCCACCCTGAGGAGTTATGGGCCAAATTATAGGCAAATGCATGGAGAGCACTTAGCAAAATACCTGGCACATAACAAGTACACAATAAATAGTAACTGCTATTACTATTATTTTAGTAATATTTTAATGCGTGTAGATATTCTTTTTTTGTTGTTTCCTCGAGAGAGAGTCTTGCTCTGTCGCCCAGCCTGGAGTGCAATGGCACGATCTCAGCTCACTGCAACCTCCACCTCCTGGGTTCAAGTGATTCTCCTGCCTCAGCCTCCCAAGTAGCTGGGATTACAGGCATGTGCCACCATGCCGGGCTAATTTTTTGTATTTTTAGTAGAGACAGGGTTTCAGCATGTAGGCAAGGCTGGTCTCGAACTCCTGACCTCAGATGATCCACTCGCCTTGGCCTCCCAAAGTGCTGGGATTACAGGCGTGAGCCACCACACCCGGCCGCATGTAGATATTCTTATAGTTAATAAAATGCAAATCCATTTAGAAGCATTGCATTTAATTAATATGCTTTTCTTTTCTGTATTTTCCCATTCAGTAGATATAAAAAGTGTCATAAAGGGCCATCTTTGGGGTGTTTAGACTTTTAAAAACAGTCCTCATTCTTGGGAAACCACTGATCTAGCCTATGAGAGATCAGCACTGTCTCCATGTACCTCAAGAGGGCTCAGGCCCATGAAAGATGACAGGATTTTGCACAGTTGAAATGGGAAAAAAAGGCCAGGCACGGTGGCTCATGCTTGTAATCCCAGCACTTTGGGAGGTTGAGGTGGGTGGATCACCCGAGGTCAGGAGTTTGAGACCAGCCTGGCCAACATGGTGAAACCCCATCTCTACTAAAAATACAAAAATTAGCTGGGCACGATGGCAGGCGCCTGTAGTCCCAGCTGCTCGGGAGGCTGAGGCAAGAGAATTGCTTGAACTCAGGAAGCGGAGGTTGCAGTGAGCCACGATTGTGCCACTGCACTCCAGCCTAGGCAACAGAGCAAGACTCTGTCTCAAAAAAAAGAAAAAGAAATGGAAAAATAGGCAATGGGGATTAGACAGTGTCACCTTAGATGTCAAGAAGGAAGAGGGAGGCCAGGCATGGTGGCTCATGCCTGTAATCCCAGCACTTCGGGAGGGCGAGGCAGATGGATCACCTCAGGTCAGGAGTTCAAGACCACCCTGACCAACATGGAGAAACCCCATCTGTACTAAAAATACAAAATTAGCCGGGCACGGTGGCACATGCCTGTAGACCCAGCTACTTGGGAGGCTGAGGCAGGAGAATCACTTGAACCTGGGAGGTGGATATTGCAGTGAGCCTAGATCGAGCCAGTGCACTCCAGCCTGGGTGACAGAGCAAGACTCCGTCTAAAAAAAAAAAAGAAAGAAAGAAAGAAGAGGGGGCTGAGGAGATGGGAGCCTGGGATGAGGTGGGATGGAAGGGTGTGGCTCTTCAAAAGAAAAACAATTCAGAAAAAAACAGTATCTTCAAAATGTTCTTTTACCCATTAGTGGCATCCACAAAATCTTTCTGAGGGCTCTAACATGGAAAAATAGTTAATATTAAAACAGAAGAACAGGAAATTGTTGAGATTCAGAAACGGCTGTTTTCAATTTTGTAGCTTCTTCCTCTCCCATTGCCAGTTACAGTGTGAGGTACAGGGTGAGCCCATTACACAGAATTACATTCATATATGCCCAGAAAAGGTCTCTGGAAGGTTATTGCATGAAAGAATGAATAGCAGTTAACTCAGAGATGTGAAATTTGAATATGGGGAAATAAGAATAATTTTTGCTGGCCGGGTGCGGTGGCTCACGCCTGTAATCCCAGCACTTTGGGAGGCCAAGGTGGGCGGATCACTTGAGGTCTGGAGTTAGAAACCAGCATGACCAACACGGAGAAACCCCATTTCTACTAAAAATAGAAAATTAGCCGGGCGTGGTGGCGCATGCCTGTAATCCCAGCTACTCCAGAGGCTGAGGCAGGAGAATTGCTGGAACTCAGGAGGCGGAGTTTGTGGTGAGCTGAGATTGTGCCATTGCACTCCAGCCTGGGCAACAAGAGTGAAACTCCGTCCCCGCCCCCCAAAAAGGAATAATTTTTGCTTACTTCTTTACTTCTATATAGTTTTGCAACAGTCATGTACTACCTTTTCCCCCATCTTTCAAATGTAGTTAGAACTTATGATATCCAAGTGCACAGATCTTGTGTACAATTTGGTCAGTTCTAACAAATGCTTACATCTGTGTAACCTACACACCTATCAAGATATGGAACATTTTTCGCTGGGCACAGTGGCTCACACCTGTAATCCCAGTGCTTTGAGAGGCTGAGGCAGACAGATCACCTGAGGTTAGGAGTTCAAAACCAGCCTGGCCAACATGGTGAAACCCCGTCTCTACTAAAAATACAAAAAATTAGCTGTTCATGGTGGTGGGAGCCTGTAATCCCAGCTACTCAGGAGGCTGAGGCAGGAGAATTGCTTGAACCCAGGAGGCAGAGGTTGCAGTAAGCCGAGATCCTGTCACTGCACTCCAGCTTGGGCGACAGAGAGAGACTCTGTCTCAAAAAAACAAAACAAAACAAAACCCAAAAAGCAGGATATGGAACATTTTTAAGATGAACCCAAAAAACTTTCCTCATGCCCCTTTCCAAGTAATCGTCTTCTCCTTCTGTCCTCTGTGCATCTTCCTATCCTTCCAGCCCCTGCAAGCAAACATGGACCTGATTTCTAGTTTTGCATGATCTAGAACATCGTGTAAGCAGAGTCATATGGCATGTACTCTTGTCTCTAGCTTCTTTCACTCAACATAATTTCTTAAGCTTCATTCATGCGGTCATATGGATCGGTAGTTTGTTCCTTTTTTTTTTTTTTTTTTTGAGACAGAGTCTTGTTTTGTCGCCCAGGCTGGAGTGCAGTGGCGCGATCTCGGCTCACTGGAAACTCCGCCTCCCAGGTTCAAGCGATCCTCCTGCCTCAGCCTCCCGAGTAGCTGGGATTATAGGTGTGGGCCACCACGTCCAGCTAATTTTTGTATTTTTAGTAGAGATGGCGTTTCACCATGTTGGTCAGGCTGGTCTCGAACCCCTGACCTCATGATCTGCCTGCCTCAGCCTCCCAAAGTGCTGGGATTACAGGCACGAGCCACTGCGCCCGGCTAGTTTGTTCTTTTTTATTGATGAGTAATAACCTGTTGCATGGATCTACCACAATTTGCGTATTCATCTGTCAGTTGACACCTGGACTGTTTTCAGTTTTTGATTATTACAAATAAAAATACAGAGAAAGGCCGGGTGCGGTGGCTCATGCCTGTAATCCCAGCACTTTGGGAGGGTGAGGCAGGCAGATCACCTGAGGTCAGGAGTTCAAGACCAGCCTGGCCAACACGGCAAAACCCTATCTCTACTAAAAATACAAAAATTTGCCGGGCATGGTGGCACACGCTTGTAATCCCAGCTACTCAGGAGGCTGAAACAGAAGAATTGCTTGAACCCAGGAGGCAGAGGTTGCCGTGAGCTGAGATCGCACCACTGCACACTCCAGCCTGAGCGACAGAGCAAGACTCTGTCTCTAAAAAACAAACACAGCAAAAAAAAAAAAAAAAAAAAAAACAAAAAAAAAAAACATGTCTAAGTCTTTTTGAAGATAGGTGTTTTTCCTCTCTTGGGTGAATGTCTAGGAGCAGAATGGCTGGATTAAAGCTGACTGTTTTCCACATTCTTCCTGTCACTCAGTACCTCAAGATTCACTGCCTGGACAAAATGGAGGCAAAGAGAGTTTGGGGGAAAATATAAGCTGGAATGGGAGGCGGCAGCATTTTAGAGTAGGAGATACCAGGAACTTGGATTTGTAAGACCTCAGCCAGCTCTCGCTTCTCCTGGGACTGACTTTGTCTTTGGTGAGTCAATCATTCAGGACCCCAGTCCCCTCATGTGTAAAGAGAGCAGTCATGCTAAAGAGCTCCAAGTAGGAGCACACATTTTCAAAGGTAGATGCCCCAGGAATGAAGCTGGGCCATTAGCCAACTCCTTGCCCCGTCTTGGAGGTGAGAAGACGTGGTCAGGCTCCCCACCACTGAGTCCAAGTGAGGAAAATGGCATGTTCAGCATGGCTTTCTGGAGGTGGCTAGGGAAGAACAAACCAGTGACTCATCTAGATCCAGGAAGTTCTGTCTTTGTTCAGCCTCCAGCTCACAGTTGAGCTGTGGCGGGGTGGGGGGGGGTGGGGGGAGGGGGGGAAGGGGGAGGAGATTCCGGTCTTCTGCACCTCCTTCTATGTAATCTGGAAAGTAAGCTTGGATTCTAGTCCCGGCCCACTACTAACCAAGGGAGCTTGGACAAGCCACCTAACATCCAGGCACTTCAGGGAGCTTCCATTCAGCAACATGTATAAAGCAGTCCCATAATAAAATAAGGAAATGTGTTATTAGAAGTGACAATGAGAAATGCTGAGGACTAAGGTTTGGGGATGTAGAGATAAGCAATTCATGAAACTCTGCAAACAGCAACTTCCCATCTCTCCCGGTTTTCTCTCTCAATATCTTTATTTCCAGTTCCCCAGTCAAATGCAACAGCTCCCCCAGCCACCCCCACCGCGCCCAACCCCTCTTGCCCCCCCGCCCCCCACCCCCCACACCAGTGAATGCCTGCTAGGCTCCAGGTGTTTATCTGGACTGGAATGCCCCCATCCCTGGAGGGTCAAATACTTCTTGCCAGGTAATAGAGCTCCAGGAGGACAGGGTTGGACGCTAAGAGAGGCAGGCCTGGGCTGGAATGCTGACTCCACTTGCTAGTGGGCAGATGTGGAACTGGGAGTTACCTCATCTCATTTTCCCCAGGTACAAAGTGGAGCCAGTGCTACCTTCCTTGGAGGAGTCTTTTGAGGACTAAATTAAAAGCTATAGTTTAGCATCATGCTAGTACATCATAGGTGCTGAAATAAACATTTGCACTGAATAAAAGTAAAGAACGATCCATGGATGTTTTTGGGGAGCTGTGAAAATAATTTGTTTAGGGAAGTGTTAGATATGGATCAGAGATCATGAGCTCCATGAATTTAAGGGACCCTGTCCTTCAGGTTTATCTGGCACAGTGCGTGGCATATCACTGGCACTTGATAGTACTTGTCCAATGAATTATTCCATAAGGAAGACCTTGGATAGCAAATTGTTCAATTTGCAAATCCAGTGATTGTTTTGTCCTTTTATTTAACAGTGATTACATGCTAATCTCCAGGGCAGGCTCTGAGAAAGGCACAGAAGCCAGACCCTGCCTTCTTAGGGGTGCTGCATAAAAGCCAGGTTTCATGATGTTAGGGATGAGGATTTGGCTGGGGAGTGGAAAAACTGGAGCACAAGGGACACTGATGGGTGGGAGGCTAGCCGGGAGGCTCTAGCTGTGGCTGGACAGGACCAGGCAAGGCTGGGAATGTGGCCAGAGGCACTGGTTTGAGAGATAGTACCAGGGGAGAGTTCTCAACTGGTGGAGGAAGGGAGACCTCAAGACAAGTTCAGGTTTTTGTAGACAGATTTTCTAGCCATGTGCTTGGCCACTGGAGAGTAGAACCTTCCTTGCCATGGTGGTGACAAGTTGTTGTGTCTTGGGGAGAAAGCCTCCCCTATTCCAGAAGGGCAGTGGGCTGGTGTGAAAGACCTCCACAGATGGGACTCCCAACCTTCTGGGAGTCCATCTGATTCTGCAGAGCAGGGGGTTTCCTGATGTTCCTGGGATATGGTAGAAACTTCAACTGCCCCTCTCCCTGCTCCACTCTGTCCTGCTCACAACAGGGTAGACTGATATTCACACTGATAGAGAGCACTTTTCCAGGGAAACCCCAAATGCCATAGCCTGAGGCCCAAGGCCTAGAGGCTTTCTGAAGAGGGTAGGAACTGGGCTGAGCTCAGAGGAGCTTGTTGAAATATTAAACAAGCATCTTTCACTACATGACCTCCGGGGTTTCAATTTGTGTCTCCTTAATATGCCATTAACTGTTCCATGTATTCCATTGTATTTACTTATTTCTTTCCTCATCCCCTACACCTCTGTTGGGAGGTTTTCAGCCATCTATTCACTTAACAATTATTCATGGAGTGCCAACATGCTGGAGATACAAAGGAAAACAAGAGGCCGGAGCGGTGGCTCATGCCTGTAATCCCAACACTTTGGGAGGCTGAGACAGAAGGATCACTTGAGGTCAGGAGTTCGAGACCAGCCTGGCCAACATGGCGAAACCCCGTCTCTATTAAAAATACAAAAGTTAGTCGGGCATGTTGGTGCGTGCCTGTAATCCCAGCTGTTGGGAGGCTGGCAGGAGAATTGCTTGAACCTGGGAGGCAGAGGTTACAGTGAGCCAAGATCTGCCACTGCACTCCAGCCTGGGCAACAGAGCAAGACGCCGTCTCAAAAAAAAAGGAAAACAAGGTAGAATTTCAGCCCTCCAGATTGGCAATTGCTAGTAAATAGTTAAATGTCATTATAGATTTGACCCAGCATTCAATTTACAAAAAATTTATTTTAAAGATATACTCCCATAGGTTCCAAAGTTTTGGTTTTTTGTGTTTTTTTTTTGAGATGGGGTCTCGCCCTGTTGCCCAGGCTGGAGTACAGTGGTGAGATCTCGGCTCACTGCAACCTCTGCCCCCCAACCCCAGGGGTCAGGCAATCTTCCCACCTCAGCCTCCTGAGTAGCTGGGACCACAGGGGCACACCACCACACTTGGCTAATTTTTTTGTATTTTTGGTAGAGACAGAATTTCACCATGTTGCCCAGGCTGGTCTTGAACTCTTGAGCTCAAGTGATCCACCTTCCTCAGCCTCCCAAGTGCTGGGATTACAGGTGTAAGCCACTGCGCCCAGCCTAGTGCCAAAACTTACATGTAAAAGGACAATCCCTGCACTATTTTGAATAACAATCCAAAATTAGGAACAATGCAGATGTCCATCAGTAGGGAACTGACAAAATAGCATATGATAAATCTAAACAATGGAATGTTATAATTGGCCCAATAAATACAAATTGATCTTTGTAGAATGGTAGGGAAAGATCTCTAAGAAAGATTATTTAGTAAAAAGTTATTATACTACTTTTGTTTTTAAAAATATATGTAATTGGCCAGGCATGGTGGCTCACGCCTGTAATCCCAGCACTTTGGGAGGCCGAGGTGGGTGGATCACCCGAGGTCAGGAGTTCGAGACCAGCCTGGCCAACATAGAGAAACCCCGTCTCTACTAAAAATACAAAAATTAGCTGGGTGTGGTGGTGCACACCTGTTGTCCCAGCTACTCAGGAGGCTGAGGCAGGAGAATCTCTTGAACCCAAGGAAGCGGAGGTTGCAGTGAGCTGAGATTGCACCATTGCATTCCAGCCTGGCTGACAAGTGAAACTAGGTCTCAACAACAGCAACAACAACAACAACAAATGTGTGTGTGTGTGTGTGTGTGTGTGTGTGTGTGTGTGTGTGTAATTATATGCTTACAAAGACAATCTAGTTTCTTTTTTTTTTTGGAGACAGAGTTTCACTCTGTTGCCCAGGCTGGGGTGCAATGGTGCTATCTCGGCTCACGGCAACCTCTGCCTCCCAGGTTCAAGCGATTCTCCTGCCTCAGCCTCCCGAGTAGCTGGGATTACAGGCATGTGCCACCACTCCTGGCTAATTTTGTATTTTTAGTAGAGACAGGGTTTCTCCATGTTGGTCAGGCTGGCCTCGAACTCTCGACCTCACGTGATCCACCTGCCTTGGCCTCCCAAAGTGCTGGGATTACAGGCATGAGCCACTGTACCCGCTGACAATCTAGATTCTACAGCTCAGCTGTCCAACAGGTGCCTATTGAACATGTGAGATGTGGCTGGTCTGAATTGAAATGTGCCGTGTGTATAAAATACACAGCAGATTTTGAAGATTTAGTAAAATACAAGAATGTAAAATATTTTAGTAATTATTTGATTATGTTTTGATTTTGTGAGGAAATAATATTTTGGGTATATTGGGTTAAATTAAACATAACGTTGAACATTAAACATAACATTGAAATTGATCTCAGCCTGGTGCAGTGGCTCACACCTGTAATCCCAGCACTTTGGGAGGCTGAGGTGGTTGGATAACCTGATGTCAGGAGTTTGAGACCATCCTGGCCAACATGGTGAAACCCCGTCTCTACTAAAAATACAAAAAAATTAGCCGGGCATGGTGACATATGCCTGCAGTCCCAGCTACTCGGGAGGCTGAGGCAGGAGAATCACTTGAACCCCGGGAGGCAGAGGTTGCAGTGAACTGAGATCGTGCCATTGCACTCCATCCTGGTCAACAAGAGCAAAACTCCATCTCAAAAAAAAAAAGAAAGAAAGAAAGAAATTGATCTCATCTCACCTTTATTTAAACTACAAGGAAATGGAAAATTACATATGTGGTTCCCATCATGTTTCTGTTGGACCACATGGTTCTACGGCAGGGGTGGCACACTGTGGTTGCAGGGCCAAGTCAGGCTGAATCCTGTTTTTGTAAATAAAGTGTTACTGGAACACAGCCACACCTATTCGTTTAGGTGTTGTCTGGCTGCTCACAGAGACGCTCTCCTTTGACCAAACTTGAATCAGGCTCCCCTGAGTCCTCTGCTTGACTGAGCTGACCTTGGGCTTCCCTCCCTGTCCTTGTAGAATCTACTTGGAGCAAGATCCCACTACGTTAGTTTAGTGAACATCCCCCACCCTCAATATCTTTATCACCCTGGTCTCCCTTCAACAAGAATTCTACTGAATTTGTCTAGCAAGAAGCCCCCTTACACCTGATGTTTCGTCTGAGTAATTTTCCATCCACTGCCACCAAGCCTGCTCCTTGGCTGTAAATCTCCACTTACCCTTGCGGGAGTTGAGCCCACTGCAAGACCCCACTGTGGTGGTCCCTATTCCTACAGTGATAGTTGCCTCCTAAGTAAAGTCTCCCTTCCCATATTTAACAAGTGTTGTGAGCCAGGTCTGGTGGCTCACACCTGTAATCCCAGTACTTTGGGAGGTCAAGGAGGGAGGCTCATTTGAGCCCAGGAGTTCAAAACCAGCCTGAGCAATATAATGAGAACCTGTCTCTACAAAAAATTAAAAAATTATCAGGCCATGGTAGTGCAAGACTGTAGTCTCAACTATGATGGAGGCCGAGGTGGAAGGATTGCTTGAGTCAGGAGGTTGGGGCTGCAGTGAGCCGTGGTCATGCCACTGCACTCCAGCCTGGGTGACAGAGGAAGACTCTGTCTCAAAAAAAAAAAAAAAAGTCATGAATAATTTTTCCTTAACATTGCTTTTCTGCTGTAAGGGCAAAATTGAGTGGTTGCAACAGAGATGGTGTGGCCACAAAGCCAAAAATATTAACTATCTAGCCCTTTACAGGAAAAAGCTCTCAGTGTTGCCCAACAGTGTTTAGATAATCTACAATGATTATCTTTGGAGATTGAGATTAGGGCAGATTCTTACATTTCTTTTTTTTTTCTTTTTTCCCGAAAGAATGTATTCTTTTTGTCAACAGGGGAGAAAAACAATTAAAAGAACTTGAAAAAATCTGCCCTCATAGGGTGCACATTCTAACAGATGGGTAAGTAAATAAAAATCTAAAGAGTCAAGGGAAAGTAGAAGGTCACTTAGGCGTTTGATATGTTAAGTAGATAATAACGGTAATAGCCAGTAATTATTGAAAGCTTAACTGGGTGTTGGACACTGTGCGCAAAGTGACATTTTAAATATTTATCTTTTTCTTCGAGATCAAAATAGCTTTATTGGCTTTTATGATTTTAAATGTAACACATGCTCATTGCAAAAATTCAGAAAATATTTTTTAAAATGAATTCCGTGTATAATTTTAATGAGATTAGTCTATAAATACTGTTTGATAACTTGCTGTTTTCACCAACAATGTATTTTGTACATCTTTCCATGCTAGTGAATATCACTCTGTGGCTACAGATTACATCCTTGTATGAGTATGTCAAACTTAATGTTTATTGTAATTTAATTTAATTTAATTTAATTTAATCTTACCTCTCTTAATCACAACATGCCCATTTTACGGTTGAGGAAATTGAAGCCCAGAGACATTAAGTAACTTGCTCAACCAAACAAGTCCATGCTCCTTTTTTTTTTTCTGAGGGCAGAGTCTTGCTCTATCACCCAGGCTGGTGTGCAGTGGCATGATCTCGGCTCACTACAGTCTCCAACTTCCGGGTTCAAGAGTGATTCTCCTGCCTCAGCCTCCCAAGTAGTTGGGATTACAGGTACTCACCACCATGACCAGCTAATTTACAAGTCCATGCTCTTAACCACACTACAGTATGTTGGGGAGTTAGCCCGGAGAAGTCCATAGAATCAAGGAAGGGCTTTACTATTGCTCTCCCTGCCTGCATTTTCCTAAGCAGCATTTCTGTCTATTTTCCTAAAGTAGTCTTGAGCTTGAGAAAGGCAGTATGAGGGTTACCTGCTCTGGGATGTTCTGAATGCTTTAAAAAAACCTTTCCATTAGGAACGTAACCTGCTTATAAACTACTATAACAATGCAGAAGCAAAAACTGGCTTTTCCATTCTGTCCCCTTCTCCACGACCCTGTCCCAGACCTGGAGAATGGCCTCCCAGGCTTCATATTTAAACGATGTTAAATAATGCTTTTAGCAGAAGCAGTGCACATGACATTGTTTTTACTTGCTTTTATCACGTAACAATAGAGGATAGGCCTTTTTACATAATAGCATTCATACTCAATTTTTTTAACAGTTGCATATTAGTTTAATAATCCCCCCCCCTTTTTTTTTTGAGACGGAGTCTTGCTCTGTTGCCCAGGCTGGAGTACAGTGGTGCGACCTCAGCTCACTGCAACCTCTGTCTCCCAGGTTCAAGTGATTCTTCTGCCTCAGCCTCCCAAGTAGCTGGGACTAGGAGCGTGCCACCACGCCCGGCTAATTTTTGTATTTTTAGTATAGACGGGGCTTCACCATATTGGCCAGGCTGGTCTAGAACTCCTGGCGTCGTGATCCACCTGCCTTGGCCTTCCAAAGTGCTGGGATTACAGGCTTGAGCCACCGCGTCTGGCCAATTATCCCCCTTTTAATGAAAGAATCAATCAAAATTCTGGAATTTTGAATACTAGAAAAATAACTTTTAAGAACTGCTTTTACCCTTTAGTCTTTGCTTTCAGGAAGTGGATTTATGTTTCTGATTTCTCGGTGGACACAGCCAGCAGGCTGGGTGCAGTTCTGAATCTCTGTTGGAAGACATGGCCCCCATCAGTTTTCAATCTGTGACAATCTGGGAACAGAGAACCAGAGACGGAAGTAGAACCTGATGATCTTTGACCCTCAAGATCTTGCACAATCACAGCATTATGCACCTGCAAAACTGGAGATGATAACTGTCACGATAATTATGACTTGCCAGGGAGGGAGGCGTGTTATGGAATGTCAAAGTCGTGTCCAGGCAGAGTAGGCTGAGGAATGATGGCTTCATGTCTGCCTGTCTTTCTCTACCTTTGCACCCACCAGCCTAGCTTGGGCCTCTTCACTTCATTCCTGGGCTTCTATCATGGTTTCCAGGAATCTCCTAAACTGAAGACCTCCTCTGCAACAATCCGCTTAGCCTAGGATGGCTAGATTACACTCCCAACACAAAGTTTTGTGCATGCTGCCTCTCACTCAAACACTTAAACAAAATTCCAGATCATTATCTTGGCATCCAAAGCCCTCTCTAGTGTTGCCCCATCTACCCTTTTAATCTTATCACTGAGTCACTCTCTACATCTGTCTCCTTGGTCCCACCAAAGTGGACCTCTTTGCCCCCAACCCGCCTTGCTCATTCCAGGCTCTGCCTCTGACATAGTTCAATAGAAACGACATAAATTTTAGGGTAAAAAAACTTAATTTTTTATCTTTCTCGTATAAAGCATGTGACTTTGGACAAGCCACTTAATCTCTCTGAGCTATAATTTTCCCCTCTGAAAAAGGATCTAGTCATATGTGTGTGTGTGTGTGTGTGTGTGTGTGTGTATATATATATATATATGTATGTATATATGAGGGTGTGTGTGTGTGTGTGTGTATATATATATATATGTATGTATATATGGGTGTGTGTGTGTGTGTGTGTGTGTGTGTTTGTTTGTTTGCCCAGGCTGGAGTGTAGTTGAACAATCATAGCTCCTGGGCTCAAGCAATCCTCCCACCTCAGCCTCCTAAGTACCTGGGACTGCATGTGCATGCTACCATGCCTGGCTAAGTTTTTGTAGAGACAGGATCTCCCAGTGTTGCCCAGGGGCTGATCTCAAACTCCTGGGCTCAAGCAATCCTCTCACCTCAGCCTCTCTAAGTTGGGGGATTACAGGCGTGAGCCACCACGCCTGGCCTAGTATTATATATTTTGATATGAATGACAATATGTGAGAAGTCTGTCTAGCCTGAGTTGGTAGCCAGCTCAGGAACCACGTGTTCACCATCTCATCCCCAGAGTCCGGAATAGTTTCTGGAGGGGATCATGTAATCAGAATGGAATGAATAAATGAATCCTATTTCATCCACTTGTCCATAAGATAGGTGATTCGTCCAAGGTCAGATATTGAGTGACCAAGACAAGCTAAAGGTAACTAAGGAGGGAGCTCAGACAGGCATCTGACTGCTAGTTGGGCCTATTATCTCCCCACCTGACCAAACACTTCATCACTGTCCCCAGCTTTGCTTTATTCCATGGGAAGGGAAGAGCTGTCAGGAAGGTGCCTTCTAGAAGCCATTTTCAGGGTCACTCTTCTCTCTCGTACTCATTCATGTAGCCCACACTTTCAGGGCAATGTCTTTGATCTCTGGGGAAGTGAGACTATTTTATATCTGGGCTTCAAGACTACCTTTCAGCTTTAATCAAACATTTTCTTCAAAATTCTTCAATTCACGACTCAACAGATCTGCCCCTTTTATTTGAGTATAGTATTTTATTTTATTTATTTTTGAGACAGGGTCTCACTTTGTCACTCAGGCTGCAGTGCAGTGGCACGATCTTGGCTCCCTGCAGCCTCAGCCTCCTGAGCTCAGGCAATTCTCCCACCTCAGCCCCCCAAGTAGCTGGGACTACAGGCTATAATATTTTATACTCAAAATTCCCTCTAAACTCCCTCCTACCTTCCTCATCCCTTCCTCACCTCTGCCAATGAAGTTCTAGGACTCATATTAATTTTTTGGCATCCTCTGAAGCTCTTATGTTTTGAATCCGCAAGTCAGCTCTGTAACTTTATAGTAAGACCCAGGAAAGTGAAATTATTTGCCCAAGTCTAGAGTGAGCTGAGAGTGAGGGTGAATTGTAACTCAGGTTTTCAGACTCCAGAGCCTGTTCAGTCCACTCTCCAAGTTCCCATGGCTGTACATTTGCAAAGTGCTTTTGTTTCTAGTTGCTCAGGTAATCATCGTAAGTCTCAGAGAGCATGACCTCATTGCTATTGCTGGATAGCAAACCACCTAAAAATTGAGAGACTTAAAACAACAATCACTTCCTACTCCAGCTCCTGCATCTGCTGTTCATTGGAAGCCTTGCTACGCAGACCTGCAAATCCTGGCTGGGTTTGCTTATGTACCTCTGGGTCAGCTGGGCTGCTCTGTTCCAGGCAGAGCTGAGCCTGGGGCAGCTTCCTTGGAGCAGCTCTGCCCGACATATCTCTCATCCTCCTGCTGGGACCAGCGGGCTAGCCCTGGCACCCTGGCCTACTCTTCTCATGGAAATAGCAGAGAGGCGAGGGAGCGAGTCCAATCACACAAGAACATTTTCAAGTCTCTGCTTGTGTCACATCTGTAACATCCTATTGGCCAAAGCAGCTGTCATGGTCAGAATCGACGTGTAGGGAATATACCCATCTCTTGATGGAAGGAACTGCAAAGTCCCATGGCAGAGGGTATGGATATCAGGAGGGATGAAGAGTGGAGGCGCTAAAGCGAACTCCCACAGCCTTCAAATATCAAGCCATCCTGCATTCAGCTATTTTTTTTTCTTGCCTCCAAGCACAAGCCCATTCTCTAAAACATGGCCTCCCCATCACATAGGTACCCCAAGCACACAAGTGTAGCAGAAATGGGCACTGAAGGTACTTCTTTGGCTGGTGACTTCAGCACAAAGGTTGCACTTTGGCCTGCTGCAGCAGGGTAAACAAAGAGTGAGGTTGACAAGCTGGCACTGGCTCGAACCTCTCAGCTCTGCATCCAGCTGCCCCCACCCTAATGGCTTTTTAGAATGTGATTCACTGCTCTAGGAAGATAAAAGTAATTGAGAGTGTAATTTATATTGAGAAAATTGCTCTGAAAAAAAAATTAGTGAGCAACAGTCCAGACACTTTGTCTCAAAGGGAGTTTAATACCAAAAAGTCTAGGAAAGACTGAACAAAGCAGGATAAGGGTTGTGGGTAACTGGAAGAGTAGATATAAACCTGCGGATATGAGGGGTGGGAGAGAGATCTAAAACAGAAGAAAACATTTTTTAACAATTCTGAGAAACTCTGAAATCATCTTAGAGGAGAAATATGGACAAGCAACAAGCCTCACATTTTCTGAGATTTGTTTTCCTTCCTGGAAGGGCTCAAGAAGAGACTTAGATGTGTAACACCAAGTTTTCAGTGAAAACTTCTCCAAGAGATTTCTTTCACACACCCTACCCCTTTCACTGCCAGAATAAATATGCTAGGAGGCCAGTCACATATGACATGAAATCCAAACAGACTGAACACATTCAGAGAAACCTGAGAGAACCCACTTTTCAACTCAGATAACTGTGATCATCAGCTCTCTCTCTGGTTTAGATTATAAGCTCACTATACAGAGACTTACAATTCTATAAATAATAATATTCACTTGTGACGAATGTTAAACCAAATAATAGTAGTAACATTACTGGCCACAAAGTTATATTTACAAAGGCTGCAGACTTGCACATCTGAGGGCGAGAACAGATAAGTCAAAGCCCCTACTTGCCCAGGGAAGCGTTACCTGGAGTTTCCCCAGGAGTATTTGGACTCTCTAATTTTCTCTCATTCAGTTTAAGTTTATCCAAAATCTTCTTTGACCCATTTCTTCATCTGTAAAATGAGGAGGTAAAAACCACAGGATCATCAAGATCCATTCCAGCATACATAGGTGACTGTGATTTTTCCCACCATTATCCCCGCTCATTACACTGTATATCGAAAGAATGAAATCGATGTGGCATTAATCTTTGCCCAAGTATTTAATAGCAGAGGTAAGATGGCACAGATATTTAAAATAAAACCACAATAGAGTTACAGCAAGAGGAATCCCTGCAAGTGAAGCATTGCCAATTACACACTGAGTGGCCCTAGGCGAGCTACTCAATCTCTTTATGCCTAGGTTTCCTCATCTGTAAAATCGGGAAAATAAAATAACCTATTATTACTGGGTGTTGTGAGGATTGAATGAGATAATGCATGAAGCATTTAGCTAGGGGCTTGGTACATAGAAAGCACTCCATAAATCTTTTATTGCCATCTGCAAATATGATTTTGGCAACCCTCAGGATGGCAGATTTTCTTTCACTAAGAGGTGAATCTGAGAAAAGTTGTTGTATTTTAAATATGTTGGTGTGTGGGCTTTGGGGTTTTTAAAAAAACTTTTAGGTTCGTGGGGTATGTGTGCAGGTTTGTTACATGGGTAAATTGTGTGTCACTGAGGTTTGGTGTATGAATTATCCCATCATGCAGAGAGTGAACATAGTACCAGAAATTAGCTGGGTGTGGTGGCAGGCACCTGTAATCCTAGCTACTTAGGAGGCTGAGGCAGGAGAATTGCTTAAACCTGAGAAGTGGAGGTGTCAGTGAGCAGAGAATGCGCCACTGCACTCCAGCCTGGGTGACAGAGTGAGACCCT
This sequence comes from Homo sapiens, assembly GCF_000001405.40. Classification (NCBI taxonomy): domain Eukaryota; kingdom Metazoa; phylum Chordata; class Mammalia; order Primates; family Hominidae; genus Homo; species Homo sapiens. The sequence goes on along the minus strand of NC_000002.12, from coordinate 207,780,645 downwards.
GTCTCAAAAGAAGTTCCCTGGTCTCGAACTCCCGACCTCAGGTGATCCATCCGCCTTGGCCTCCCAAAATGCTGAGATTACAGGCATGAGCCACCATGCCTGGCCTGCCTCTTGCAGAATTAGTCTCTTGCAGAGACTATTTTTTTTTTAAAGCTTGGAACTAAATCTGTGACTAATTAGAATGGAGTGTTCCACCACCTTTAAGTCACCAACTAAAATCCACTGCTCCATGTCCCGGTGCGCACGAGGCCTTCTGGGTGACCAGCTCAAAGGAAAATTATTGTCTCAACTTAGGTCTCTGTGTGTAGGTACCCACAGAATGGAAATCGCTTTACTTGGGGAAGAACAAGAGGACAAGATGAGATAAAAAGGAAGCATGTTTAAATGGATAAAAGAAGGTACTTTTTTCCCCCACTACACACAATTGACCTGGGGAACTCACTGCAGCAGGATATTAAGATCAATGGTGAAGATTTGTGTTTTAAAGGATTAGACATTTCACATGCATATCATCAACAGTGAGGCTCAATAGGATAAAAGTACAGCGGATGAAAGTTCTCAAGCTTCAGTGTATAAGTTGATCACCAACTGGGTCAGGCAAAAAGAAAAAAGTTGTCTACCTGATTATCTAAGATGTCAAGGGACGGTGGGTTTGGGGGTATTTGGGCATTCCAGTTACCACTACTGTGTAACAAACCACTCCAAATTAGTGGTGTAAAACAAGAGCCATTTAATTATGCTCACGGATGCTGCAAATCAGGAAGCGGGAGAGGGCACAGTGGGGATGGCTAGTCTCTGCCCCATGCTATCTGGGGCCTCAGATGGGAAGACTTGAACGACAGGGAGTGGCTTGAGGCTGGGGGTAGAATCATCAGGGAGCTTCTTTAGTCATGTGCCTGACACCTGGCCTGGGATGACCCCGTCTCTACAAAGAAAACAAACATTAGCCGGGCGTGGTGGCGCATGCCTGTAGTTCCATCTACTCAGGAGGCTGGGGTGGGAGGATTGCTTGAGCCTGGGAGGTTGAGGCTACAGTGAGCCGTGGTCGTGCCACTGCACTCCAGCCTGAGAGACAGATTGAGACCCCGTCGCAAAGAAAAAAAGAAAAAGAAAAAATGGAAAAAAAAAAAAAAAAAAAAAAGGCCGGGCATGGTGGCTCACGCCTGTAATCCCAGCACTTTGGGAGGCTGAGGCAGGTGGATCACGAGATCAGGAGATCGAGACCATTCTGGCTAACACGGTGAAACCCTGTCTCTACTAAAAATACAAAAAATTAGCCTGGCGTGGTGGCCTGTAGTCCCAGCTACTCAGGAGGCTGAGGCGGGAGAATGGTGTGAACCCGGGAGGCGGAGCTTGCAGTGAGCTGAGGTCATGCCACTGCACTCCAGCCTGGGGACAGAGCGAGACTCCGTCTCAAAAAAAGAAAAAGAAAAAGAAAAAGAAATGGAAAAAAAAGAGGGGCAGGAGGGAGCAACATGGTCAACTGGACCAACTGTGTATTATGTCTTTGGGCTTGGACTGGAGTTCCTGCCTCCACTGAAGCACATGGCGGTGAAAAGAAGGGTAGATGCCTACAAATCAAAACACAAAAAAACCAACTGGGGTTCTGTTAGGAAACTGAAAGGAGAGATGACTCGGGCAGTAATCAACAGTGTTTGTAGCATGAAGCCTGGGGAAGGTTAAGGCTCTGTTTTCTTTGTGGGTATCACCCAACACTCTTGTTTTTTCTCTCTTGTGCTCTTTGCTCCTTTCCTCTGTCCTTTTGCATTAGTAATGAGTTGGATAAATCAAACACTGTATCAATAAATAAGTGTTTTAGGTAGAGTGTGTATATGAATTTAACTCATTAAAAAATACTTTGGCCGGACGTGGTGGCTTACACCCTGTAATCCCAGCACTCAGGGAGGCAGAGGTTGGGAGGACAGCTTGAGCCCAGAAATTTGAGACCTGCCTGGGCAATGTAGTGAGACCCTCTTCTCCACAAAAAGGGGGAAAAAAAAGACAAAAAGAATACTTTGATTAGACATGAGTGACTAATCAGGTACAAGTTTGACTTTCAGGTACAAACCTTGACTCAGTTGCTTCTGCTACTTCTTGATAACCTGGTAATCCCCAGCTGTTCACCACTTGTGCCAGCCTCACTCCTGGCTCTATGCCCTTTGCCTGGGCTGATTCCTCCATCCAGGAAGTCCTTCTCACTTTCTTTTTGCACACATAGTAGACACTGAGGCTTCACTCTCCTGGCCTCCTTTCTATCCTTCTAGTAGTCTAGTTGGAGAGACTGGAAACCTCGAAACTACATTTCCAAGAGCCAGGTGTGGCAGTGCGTGCCTAGAGTTTCAGCTACTCAGGAAGCTGAAGCAAGAGGCTTACTTGAGCCCAGTTCAAGACTCAGCCTGGGCAACATAGAGAGACCCCATCTTTAAAAAAAAATTACATTTCCCAGACTCCCTTACAGCTCCGGTGTGGATCTGAAATAAGTTCTCGTGTGAGATTTGGCGGGCAAAGCAGAAGCTACTATTCCACTGTTGCTGCGGTAGCGGCTGCGTAAAGCAAGCAGGGTGAAGGCACTGAATGCTGCTGGACTCAGAGTCCCTTCTGACCATCTGGTCGCCAGCTTCGTGTGGCAGTTGCCTTGTCACAGGCAGTTGCAGCAGCACCACCACCATCCTGATTTCTGGAGCATGGCTACTGTGGTGGGCCCTTGAACTCAATACTCCAGGGGTACCCCCCTGGCATGTATCCCTCCAGCCCTCTCGAAAATTGTGTAATGTCTGCTTGATTCTCAGTATTAAATTTTTCTTTGCTTGAAATACCTAGAGAGGCCAGGCGTAGTGGCTCATGCCTGTAATCCCAGCACTTTGGGAGGCCAAGGCAGGCTGACAGCTTGAGCCTAGGAGTTTGAGACCAGCCTGAGCAATGTGGCAAAACCCCATCTATACAAAAAATCAAAAATCAGCTGGGCATGGTGACACAGGCCTATAGTCCCAACTACCTAGGAGGCTGAGGTGGGAGGATCGCTTGAGCCCAGGGGGTCAAGGCTGCAGTGAGCCTTGATTGCACCACTGCACTCCAGCCTGGGTGACAGAGCAAGACCCTGTCTCAAAAAAACAAAAACAAACAACAAAAAAATAAATACCTACAGAGGTTTCTACTTCCTATACTAAACCCTGATGGACCGTCTAACCCATAGGCCAGCCTGGGTCTTCCCTGAACCACCAGGTTGTGCTAAGTGCCTCGTGTGAGCTCCCACTATGCCCCACATTGTAAGTTCCTGCCTTTTCATCTTGTGACCCTGGCACCAGTGCTTGGCTCACAGCAGGTGCAGAGTCAGTGTTTAATGAACTGAAGCTCCCTCTGCCAAGATACTGGGAGGTTCTATAATCTAGCTTAAGGGGCACTCCACCTCCTGCTTGCTCTGCAAAGCCCAAAGAACATGTTGCCTCTGGACGCTTACTGGATTCAAGATGAATCCCAGGTCCTCGACTTTTCCACGCTTGAACCACCCCGCCACAAGAGGCCACACCAGAATTGGAGAGTTGACCTGGTCCCAGGAAAAAGGTGCTAAGGAGCAAGAAAAATTGCTTATCTCAAGATTTACCATCTGGTTGTTCTTAGGGCCCTGTACTTGATGAATGGTTGCTGCTAGGCTGCAGTGAAGGCTGCAGTGAATGAGAGCATCGGCTTTGAGGCCAGGGAAACCCTCCAAGTTGGAAGGTGTGCAAGCTTCAGCAAGTCACTCAGCTTGTTTGAACCTCAGGTTTTTGTTTGTTTTCGAGACAGGGTCTCACTCTGTCGCCCAGGCTGGAGTGCAGTGCAGTGGTGTGACCATGGCTCACTGCAGCCTCAACCTCTGGGGCTCAAGCGATCCTCCCATCTCAGCCTCCTGAGCAGCTGGAACCACAGGTGCCTGCCACCACGCCCCACTAATATAAAAATAAAACCTTTTTTTTTGTAGAGCTGGAAGTCTCCCTATGTTGCCCAGGCTGGTCTCGAACTCTTGAGCTCAAGAGACCCTCCCACCTCAGCCTCCTAAAGTGCTGGGATTACAGGCATGAGCCACTCACCCAGCCATGATTTTTCATCTATAACATGGGAATGATAAAATCAATCTTACAGGATTCTTAGGCATAAAAAGGTATGCATAAAATGTCAAATGCTTAGTACAGTGCATGTACTTATGAAGTGCTCCATACTTATCAGTAGCTCTTGTAATGGTCATCATTGTTGTCACTTCATCACAATTCTGTTGCTTTATATAATTTTTCCTTCAGCCTAAACAGACTCGGATGCGATTAGCCTAGAATGCAGTTCTTTATACCTATTCCCAGTGTTCCATTTTACACACTGATGTGAATAACCCTCCTTGCAAAAGACTCAGCTAGGCCCAAGTCTGGGGCTGTACTGAGGAAACACCAAAACCATCTATGCCAGTGGTTCTCCACCCTAGCCAAAAACAGGGTTAAGACTTAAAAACAAAACCACCACCAAAACAAACAAATAAACCAAAACACATTTCCTGTCCCTCAACCAGAGACTCCGATTAAACAGGGCCCAAGCTTCAGTATTTCTAAAAGCTCCCCGGTGATTGCAATGCGCAGCTGAGGGCCACTGATCAGCGTGGCAAAGATTAGCCCAGTACTTCCATTACCCCGAGGAGAAAAAGAAAGCTGCTTTTACTCTTCTATAATCTCCACCACATTGTAGGAGAAGAGAGGACTGAAGATTACTGTTGAATTATTCCACTTACAAAAGATACTCTCATTATGAACCCAGGAAAAATGGCTCATTGTTTTAATCCTCTGGTTTGTGTCTCGAGGTATCTGATACGATGGGAAGAGCAGTGATCAGAGATGCTGTAGGACATGTTGGGAGCTAGTCTGGAAATACCTGTGAGGAACTTGGGTTGGCTGGTGGCCTCTATCCTGAGCCAGCAAGTGTGCACATACATGGTTACTGATAATCAGGAGTGTGCACTTTGATCCTGGGCAAGTGACACGATCCCTGCTTTGGCACTAAATTTACCAATATCTAAGTGCCAGAGATAGCTGGTGAGAGCCTGCAGTGTTCTCAGAAATAAAGTACACCTGGAAAAAAATAGTTATTTTTTCCCTTGTTAAAGTAATATACAAAAGAAAATACAGAAAACTGGAAAAACAGAATGAACCTTAGAAGAAACTAATAATAATAGCCAAGACCTATAGAGACTCAGGGGCTAGACATGGTTCTAAGCTCTTTACCATATAAATATACTTACTCCTCACTATAGCTCTGGGAGGTAGATAACTATTTCTAACTCTATTTTACAGAGAAGTAAGGGGGCCTGGAGCTGTTAGGTGACTTGCCCGAGGTTGCCTAGCTTGTAAAGGCAGAGCCAAAATTTGGACTTAGGCTTCATTTAACAGGACCTGGTCAACCTCAGAGGGAGAGTTCATCTGAATTCAAGGACTGAATGCCAGTTGCTAAAATTGAAAAAGTTAGTATCAGTTGTCATTCACTCATTTATTTATTTCACAAATATTTATTGAAGGTGTCTAGATGTAACATAATATTCCAGGCTTGATTATCAAGATATTGAATAGTATACATACAAAGGATACCTGTTCATTCATTCCTACAGCATTGAACTCTCAAGAATCTCAACAAAATAATGCATGTATAAACAACATAAATGTAGAAAGTTTTTTTTTTTTTTTGAAGACAGAATCTTGCTCTGTCGCCCAGGCTGGAGTGCAGTGGCGCAATCTTGGCTCACTGCAACCTCTGCCTCCTGGGTTCAAGAAATTCTCCTGCTTCAGCCTCCTGAGTAGCTGGTACTACAGGCGCCCGCCACCATGCCTGGCTACTTTTTTGTATTTTAGTAGAGACAGAGTTTCACCACGTTGCCCAGGCTGGTCTCGAACTCCTGAGCTCAGGCAATCTGCCCGCCTCAGCCTCCCAAAGGGCTAGGATTACAAGCATGAGCCATTGTGCCCAGCCAAATCTAGAAAGTTTTAAAATGATGTAACTGTTCCCTGATGGCAAAAATCCAAAACCAATACTTCAAAACTTATGGAATGTCACACGCCTATTAGATGGAATATTTAGCATTATCCTTTGTATTTTCATCAATTAATAAACACAATTTGGACAATAATTCCAGTTGAATTTCATGAGTTTGGCTTCATCAAATTATGTTTTGTATGGCAGTAGTGTCTTCAACTCAGAAATTTGACATTTGGCGAATGGATGGATTAATCGATAGATGGACAGATACATGAGTGAATAAATAGACAAGGATGCTTAACAATGTTCTAAATGCTTAAACATTGCATCTTTAAAAAAATTTGGCCAGGCACAGTGGCTCACACATGTAATCCTAGCACTTCTGGAAGCTGAGGTGGGAGGATTGCCTGAGTCCAGGAGTTCAAGACCAGCTTCAGCAACATAGTGAGACCTGGTCTCTACAAAAAGTTTTTAAAAAATTAGCTGAGCATGGTGATGCATGCCTGTAGTCCCAGCTACTCAGAAGGCTGAGGTGGATCACTTGAGCCAAGGAGGCAGAGGTTGCAGTGAGCCAAGATCGTGCCACTGCATTCTAGCCTGGGTGACAGAGCACGACCCTGTCCCCCCAACCAAAAAAAAAAAAAAAAAATTCAGTGTTTTCTAGTTTGTTGGGTAATAAAGTATGACTCAGGTGAAAATTGTGAGATATTTTATTTTTTAATTGACAAATAACAATTGTATATATTTATGATGTACCACATGATGTTCTGACATATGTATACATTCTAGAATGGGTAAATTGAGCTAATTAACATATGCATTACCTCTACATATTTTTCATTATTTTTGTGTGGTGAGAACACTTAAAATCTACTCTCTTAGCAATTTTCATTTACAGTATGTTGTTACTGAACTGTCATCATCACGGTGTGTGAAAGTTTTTGACTCCATAGACTAAATAAATAACTTCAAGCAAGTCATCAAAGTCATTATAGCACCAGTTTCTTCATCTGAGGATTAAACGACGTCTAGCACCCTGCCTAATACATGTTAAACAGCCAGCATATTTTAAAGTGCCTTCAAAATATAGACAAAAAGCAACACAATACAATACAAAAACATATACGATATAAAATGTCTTGCTCTCTCCTTTTTTTTTTTTTTTTTTTTTTTTTTAGAGATGAGGTCTCACTATATTGCCAAGGCTCGTCTTGAACTCCTGGGCCCTAGTGATCTTCCTGCCTCAGCTTCCCAAAGCGTTGAAATTACTGGCATGAGCCACCTTGCCCAGCTGAAATAAGTTTCTTTCCATAAAGTTCTCTGCTATCACTATTATTATTAGAGATCTCCAAGTAAAATTAAGATTTTGCTGTTGATGAAGAAAAGGTTTACAAACCAGTAGATAACATTGTTTTCTTCAGAACCTTTACTGGAAAAGGGTCCTGATTCAGACCCCAAGAGAGGGTTTTTGGATCTCATGCAAGAAAGAATTCCGGGCGAATCCATAGAGTAAAGTGAAAGCAAGTTTGGTAAGAAAGGGCCGAGCGAGGTGGTTCATGCTTGTAATCCAGCACCTTGAGAGTCCGACCGAGGCGGGCGGATCACTTGAGGCCAGGAGTTCCAGACCAGCCTGGTGAACATGGCGAAACCCCGACTCTACTAAAAATGCAAAAAATAGCAGGGTGTTGTGGCGTAGGCCTGTAATCCCAGCTTCCTGGGAGGCTGAGGCACAAGAATTGCTTGAACCTAGGAGGCAGAGGTTGCAGTGAGACGAGCTTGCACCCCCACTGCACTCCAGCCTGGGCGTCAGAGCAAGACTGTCAAAAAAAAAAAAAAAAAAAAAAAAAAAGAAGGAAAGGAATAAAGAATGGCTACTCCATAGACAGAGCAGCGGCATGGGCCGCCGGTTGCCCATTTTTATGGTTATTTCTTGATCATATGCTAAACAAAGGGTGGATTATTCATGAGTTTCCGGGAAAGGGGCGGGCAATTCCCGGAACTGAGGGTTCCTCCCCCTCTTAGACCATACAGGGTAACTTCCTGACGGTTGCCATGGCATCTGTAAAATGTAAACTGCTTTGGCATTGGTGGGAGTGTCTTTTAGCATGCTAATGTATTATAATTAAGTTACAATAAGCAGTGAGGACGACCAGAGGTCACTCTCCTGGCCATCTTGGTTTTGCTGGGTTTTTGCCGGCTTCTTTACTGCGCCCTGTTTTATCAGCAAGGTCTTTATGGCCTGTATCTTGTGCTGACCTCCTATCTCACCCTGTTGACTTAGAATGTCTTCACCTCCTGGGAATGCAGCCCAGTAGGTCTCAGCCTTATTTTACCCAGTCCCTATCCAAGATGGAGTCGCTCTGGTTCAAATGCCTCTGACAGAACCGTGTGAAATAACACAAATATTCTGGCTAAATTCCAGTGTGAGTGATTAACATTCTCCAACTTCAAATAATTTTTATTATTAGCCAACACTTGTCCATCCCCAGTAATACACACGTTGCATAAAGAGCACAGAATGAGATGGGCCTCCCTTGGCATGTTCATAGTCTGCACATACTTTCCACTGAGGGCTTCCCTTTCTTGCTCACTGCTATGCCCACAGCTTTTCAACTCCCACTATTTTCAACCCTGGGATGCTTCCTGACCCAGAGTGGCAAGTAATTCCAAAACACAAGAGATAAAATATGAACACCTGTAGAATTCCAGAGAAAGAAAGATGTAAGGTATATTTATTCATTTATTTAATTATGTATTTTAGAGTTGGGGGTCTTGCTATGTTGCTCAGGCTGGTCTGCAAACTCCTGGGTTCAAGCCATCCTCCCACCTCAGCCTCCCAAAGTGTTAGGATTACAGGCGTGAGCTATGGCGCCCGGCCTTTTAAACGTTTATTAATAGTTTTGATATCCGCGAAGTGATTGATATTTGTTCCTTTTTAACTTGGAGGCTGGGATTAACACACGTGTTCTTCATTATTGCCCACAAAGCGTTGTTGATACGCAGGAGGGGAGTGGCACTTCCGCAATTTATTCTTCCAACCTGTGCCAATGGGATCCAGCACAGGAGATGGACAGTAACCCGCGGTTGATCTGGATCTAGTCCAGTTAGTCCAGTCCCTATCCCTTCAAGTGTCCCCAGGCCCTCTTGCCTATTTTCGCCCTTTGCCCAGTGGAAGGAAAAGTTTGGGGAGAAGGAAAAAATTTAAACCCTCTTCCTAGGCGTGTGAATGTATTTCAAGTATGCTAAATACCTCAGTCTTCCAATCTAATTACAACACATAGAAAAGAGGCATTTTTAGGACATTTAAAACTTGTAGCATAATTGCGCAACTGAAGAGCGCCGCCGTGTCCCCGCCATCGGTGCGCCCTCCGACCCCCCGCGGCGCGCAAGTGCGCGGCTTAGCAGCAGGCAGCCGGGGACGGAAGGGCACGGGGAGGCCGGCGCCCTGCCCAGCACAGAACCCTGGGTCGGTATCGCTTCTCTCTGCGGGCGACTTCGGAACTGCCTGGGATTATAAACCTCGACCAATAAAGGACTCACATCTTTCTGGGTCTTCTAAAGGCAGAAAGAAATCCATTTTCTTGTCACAACAAGATTTTGTTAAGAGATGCAAAAGTAAAGGTCGAAGCCAGGGAGGCTGCGATAGTATGGGGGGAGGGGCGGCTACGATGGTGAGTGCCGCTGACCAACTACCTGGGTTCGAATCCCAGGGTTGCCATTTGGGCGGCTACTATGTGCCAGGTGATCGGAATACGGAGGTGAACTTGCTTGCCGAGGTCGCCCTTTCTTGGGGGAACTATGATTAGCTCGGTTGCCTTGGCCAAGTCTCAGTCTCGGTTTCTTCACCTGTAGGAAGTACCTGCCTCAGAATTGTTGTAAGGAGTGAGATCTTGTCTTAAGATGTAAACGGGCCGGGCGCGGTGGCTCACACCTGTAATCCCAGCATTTTGGGAGGCCGAGGCGGGCAGATCACGGTGTCAGGAGTTCGAGAACAGCCTTACATGGTGAAAGCCCGTCTCTACCAAAAATACAAAAATTAGCTGGGCGTGGTGGCGGGCGCCAGTAATCCCAGCTACGCAGGAGGCTGAGGCAGGATAATCGCTTGAACCCGGGAGACAGAGGTTGCAGTGAGCCGAGATCGCGCCACTGCACTCCAGCCTGGGAGACAGAACAACTCGTCTCAAAAAAAAAAAAAAAAAAAAAGGATGTAACCGATTAACACTTTGTTGGGCACACAGTAAAGGGCTCAGTAAGTATCCTCTCTTCTTTCACACAGTTCCAAGACAGCTCGGAAGGGAGACAGCCACGCCTAAGAGTGATTCCTTGAGCAGTTCTTTCAAAGAAGCACTGAACTCTGTAAGGACGCTTAGCTGCAGGCAGAAAGGGCAGGGGCCCTGGGAGCAAAGGTGCATAAGCCAGGAAGTTACAGGAGCGAGTCCTGCACCCAGGGCGCGGGCAGAGAACTCCGGAGGGACTTCTGGCAAGGGCTTCCCGCCCGGGTGCCCAGAGCGGCATGATTAGCATTCGCCCCGCCCCCATCTCCTCCAGGCCCGCGATTGGTCAGCGCTCCTTGGCTGCCCGCTCCTGGCGGGGCCAGAGGGCGCCGGGGGAAAGGCCGAGCCCGCGGGGCAGTGGGCGGGGACGCGCGGAGAGCTTGGCGAGGCGGCCCACCAACCGCGCCCGGGCCTGAGGGGGCGGAGCCGGGGCGGGGCTTCCCGGCGGGCATTAGAAGCAGGTGACCCGGGCGGGGCGGGAGAGGGCAGCCAGCCTGCGGCCGTGAGTCCGCTGTGGTCGCCGCCGCGCGCGGTTCCGTGCTCGCCAGAGGTGGGCGAAAGGGTGCGAGAGCGCGGGGGAGGAGCCGAGCAGGGCACGTCCCGAGAGCGTCGCCACCGCCCCCAGGAGTCCACTGGAGCGCGGAGCCCCCTGCAGGGGAGGAGGCGAGCGGCGGGCGGGACGCGGCGGCCGGCGCTCACCATGCAGTCCCGGCCTGGCCAGCGCCGGCTGCTCGCGGTGCTGTGAGGCGGCGGGGTCCCACGGCCCCCGCCTCCCGCCTTCCTCCCGCCCAGGTGCTGCCAGGCGCGCTCGCCCTCCGTCCGGCTCCCGGCCCCGGGGAGAACGCACGGCCTGCCCCTGCCCGGCTCCGTCTGGATCATGCGGGGGGCTCCCGAGGAGGAGAGGGCGAGTGACCGGCCTGCGCCGCCCCTGTTCTGGGGGCGCCCCCCACTCTGAGTCGCCCCCACCTGCTGCCATGTGCCGCTGCCACGGGTACCCAGCCTGTCGCTAAACTTTCCGGGCGCCAGCCCGGCTCTGAGTCGCGCTTCTCAGCGGAGTGACCCAGGGACGGAGGACCCAGGCTGGCTGGGGACTGTCTGCTCTTCTCGGCGGGATCCGTGGAGGTGAGAACCTTCCCTTTCTCCCTGTTCTTCTCCCGTTTCCTGTGCCCTTTTCCGGGAAGCTGAGGGTTCTGGTCTCCGGGCACTGCCTGAAGGGCCCAGCTTGGAAAGAGAGGGTGGGGGAGTCGGTAGTTTGGTTACAGGAGGCGGAGCGGGGAGGAAAGGAAAGGGGTTAACTTAAGAGATTTGGAGACAGCTCGCGGGGACCGAACTGTTGACGCCTCTCCAACAGGGAGTGGTTGCAATCTTTCTTCTCCCCCTTCTTTTTTAAAGAGTCCTTTCCCTGGAATCCGAGCCCTAACCGTCTCTCCCCAGCCCTATCCGGCGAGGAGCGGAGCGCTGCCAGCGGAGGCAGCGCCTTCCCGAAGCAGTTTATCTTTGGACGGTTTTCTTTAAAGGAAAAAGCAACCAACAGGTTGCCAGCCCCGGCGCCACACACGAGACGCCGGAGGGAGAAGCCCCGGCCCGGATTCCTCTGCCTGTGTGCGTCCCTCGCGGGCTGCTGGAGGCGAGGGGAGGGAGGGGGCGATGGCTCGGCCTGACCCATCCGCGCCGCCCTCGCTGTTGCTGCTGCTCCTAGCGCAGCTGGTGGGCCGGGCGGCCGCCGCGTCCAAGGCCCCGGTGTGCCAGGAAATCACGGTGCCCATGTGCCGCGGCATCGGCTACAACCTGACGCACATGCCCAACCAGTTCAACCACGACACGCAGGACGAGGCGGGCCTGGAGGTGCACCAGTTCTGGCCGCTGGTGGAGATCCAATGCTCGCCGGACCTGCGCTTCTTCCTATGCTCTATGTACACGCCCATCTGTCTGCCCGACTACCACAAGCCGCTGCCGCCCTGCCGCTCGGTGTGCGAGCGCGCCAAGGCCGGCTGCTCGCCGCTGATGCGCCAGTACGGCTTCGCCTGGCCCGAGCGCATGAGCTGCGACCGCCTCCCGGTGCTGGGCCGCGACGCCGAGGTCCTCTGCATGGATTACAACCGCAGCGAGGCCACCACGGCGCCCCCCAGGCCTTTCCCAGCCAAGCCCACCCTTCCAGGCCCGCCAGGGGCGCCGGCCTCGGGGGGCGAATGCCCCGCTGGGGGCCCGTTCGTGTGCAAGTGTCGCGAGCCCTTCGTGCCCATTCTGAAGGAGTCACACCCGCTCTACAACAAGGTGCGGACGGGCCAGGTGCCCAACTGCGCGGTACCCTGCTACCAGCCGTCCTTCAGTGCCGACGAGCGCACGTTCGCCACCTTCTGGATAGGCCTGTGGTCGGTGCTGTGCTTCATCTCCACGTCCACCACAGTGGCCACCTTCCTCATCGACATGGAACGCTTCCGCTATCCTGAGCGCCCCATCATCTTCCTGTCAGCCTGCTACCTGTGCGTGTCGCTGGGCTTCCTGGTGCGTCTGGTCGTGGGCCATGCCAGCGTGGCCTGCAGCCGCGAGCACAACCACATCCACTACGAGACCACGGGCCCTGCACTGTGCACCATCGTCTTCCTCCTGGTCTACTTCTTCGGCATGGCCAGCTCCATCTGGTGGGTCATCCTGTCGCTCACCTGGTTCCTGGCCGCCGGCATGAAGTGGGGCAACGAGGCCATCGCGGGCTACGCGCAGTACTTCCACCTGGCTGCGTGGCTCATCCCCAGCGTCAAGTCCATCACGGCACTGGCGCTGAGCTCCGTGGACGGGGACCCAGTGGCCGGCATCTGCTACGTGGGCAACCAGAACCTGAACTCGCTGCGCGGCTTCGTGCTGGGCCCGCTGGTGCTCTACCTGCTGGTGGGCACGCTCTTCCTGCTGGCGGGCTTCGTGTCGCTCTTCCGCATCCGCAGCGTCATCAAGCAGGGCGGCACCAAGACGGACAAGCTGGAGAAGCTCATGATCCGCATCGGCATCTTCACGCTGCTCTACACGGTCCCCGCCAGCATTGTGGTGGCCTGCTACCTGTACGAGCAGCACTACCGCGAGAGCTGGGAGGCGGCGCTCACCTGCGCCTGCCCGGGCCACGACACCGGCCAGCCGCGCGCCAAGCCCGAGTACTGGGTGCTCATGCTCAAGTACTTCATGTGCCTGGTGGTGGGCATCACGTCGGGCGTCTGGATCTGGTCGGGCAAGACGGTGGAGTCGTGGCGGCGTTTCACCAGCCGCTGCTGCTGCCGCCCGCGGCGCGGCCACAAGAGCGGGGGCGCCATGGCCGCAGGGGACTACCCCGAGGCGAGCGCCGCGCTCACAGGCAGGACCGGGCCGCCGGGCCCCGCCGCCACCTACCACAAGCAGGTGTCCCTGTCGCACGTGTAGGAGGCTGCCGCCGAGGGACTCGGCCGGAGAGCTGAGGGGAGGGGGGCGTTTTGTTTGGTAGTTTTGCCAAGGTCACTTCCGTTTACCTTCATGGTGCTGTTGCCCCCTCCCGCGGCGACTTGGAGAGAGGGAAGAGGGGCGTTTTCGAGGAAGAACCTGTCCCAGGTCTTCTCCAAGGGGCCCAGCTCACGTGTATTCTATTTTGCGTTTCTTACTGCCTTCTTTATGGGAACCCTCTTTTTAATTTATATGTATTTTTCTTAATTTGTAACTTTGTTGCATTTTGGCAACAATTTACCTTTGCTTTGGGGGCTTTACAATCCTAAGGTTGGCGTTGTAATGAAGTTCCACTTGGTTCAGGTTTCTTTGAACTGTGTGGTCTCAATTGGGAAAATATATTTCCTATACGTGTGTCTTTAAAAAAAAATGTGAACAGTGAACGTTTCGGTTGCTGTGACTGGGAAGTTGTTGGGTGTGCTTTTTCAGCCAGCTTCTCCTTCCACTGCTTAAAGTGTCCATGATTCTTTAAGGTGAGCTGCAGTTTATAGCCCCAGGTCATACCTAGGAGGGGAGCATAATGAGCTCAGGGCCTCCCCAAAGTGACAAGGTTAGGGAGTGCTTAGCGGTTTTGTGTTCAGCCTTAGCTTTGTTTATAGAGGGAGGTTCAGTTTCTTTTCTGTAGTGCTTGTAATAATTCTCACTCCTAACAGCACCATCGTTGTGTCTTGAATAAGTTAGAGGTAGCATTATAGAGGATCTGGCATAAATATTTGCAGTAGTGAGAGCCTAAGCGATGGTGATTGGTGGAGCTTGAATTTTAGGCTGGTGAGATGGCAGCTTTGTGCCTGAGAGGTAGTGGGTGGTTCTTAAGCTTCAGTGATCCCCTTTTTTTTTTTTTTTTTTTTTTTTTAAGGAACTTGTGTTATAATTTTGGTAAAAGTATAAACCCACTCCCTCTGGACAATACTTAGCGACAGTTGCTAAAGGGGGCTCCTTTTTAAATGTAAGGACTGAAATGGATATACTTCTAATAAGTAAATTTCCAACACTTATTTGCTCCACCCCCTCCCCCCTCCCCCCTCCCCCTTTATCATGTTAAACAGCCTTTTTGCTTTTCTTATTCCTCCTCTCCTGGAGAGCTGTGATTAGAAACCACACCCACCCTTGAATGAAGTGCTTGAACTGGGGGAGGGAGGCTGGCTACCTGTGAACAAACATTGGCCCAAATAAGGGAAAATAAGTGTTCCTGGACTTTGGACTAGTTTATAGCCAGATATTCCAAGAGCAGCAAGACGTTGCTCTCTGCCGTCTCTGAAAACAAAAGAGATGCATAACATGCTTGCACAACCTTTTAAAATATAGATCAGTATAGTGCTACCTCTATAGTTTTCTTCCTCTTCTGAGAAAGCCTGTATATTGATGATCACACACACACACACTTTGCAATTAGAGAATTTGGTTTGCTTTACTAATCTGTTTAACTATTCCTTCATTCATTATGAACGCTTATATTGATGAACATACACACAGAGGTTTCTTTGCTATTAGAAAATTCTGTTTGCTTTCCTAATCTGTTTAAGCATTCATTCATGAAGAGTGTGGGGCCATTACTGGGGAAGGGGGGTGACAGTGCCTCAGCCAGCAAAATACCAATGACCAGGATTGGGGACTAAATTTAGGAAGCTAAAATGGCCAGAGCAATTAACATTTGAGAAAATCCTGTCTAGGAAAACAACTTGAGTGTAGGCATTTGTAATTCACTTATACCAAAGTTGGAAAAGTAAAATTTAAGCCTAGGACAATTTTTACTTCATGGATGTTAAATAGACAAATGCATAGTTCCCAGGGGGAATTTAAACACTTTACTGGTGGGAAGAAACCTAGTATTAAAGTTGTAAGGACTCTCAAAAACTTCACATTTATTAAAATGCACTGCTCTTACCCAATTTATCCTCTGAATTAAAATTTCAGTGGATTCTACAAAACCTCGTACAAATAGCTACAGAACTTTGTGCCTATTTTATTCCTCTATTTATTCTTCTAGGAAGAAGCCTCTTCCTAGAATCTTGAAATAGATCCCTTGACTGAATGCCAATTCCTCTCCTGTTTTTCAAATGAGAGAACCTTTTCTGATCACCTTGACCTTTTCCCTCATTTCATATGTCTTCCCAGAAAGTAGACAGACTGCTCTGCTGCCTTCAGTCATTGTGCCTCATTTGGGTTGTCCCTCCTTCTTTGTGGAGAAATCTGGAAATGATGCACAGTGTATCCAAAAGTTGTGGGATGAAGTGGATGAAAGTGATTTAATTCATTTTTAGAATTTTTTTTTGTTTTGTTTTAGCAACATGCTGAACAACTAATTTACTTTAAAAATAAGCCAGTTAAAACAAAGGACGCTAAGCCCAAGTGGGGGGCAATATTAGTCAGGATCTTTGGGGTCTAATTCCAGACCAACTTTCAGAAGCACTTCTTTGTCTCTGTTCTCACCTCTGCTGTCCCTCTCTTCCCTCATCCCCTAAGAGAGACAAAGATAAAAGCCCACCTGCATCCCTAAGTCTTACTGAGATCAGCCACCCCAGGGGAGAGAAACTGGATCTACTTACAGCCACCCCCTGTTTCCATCCATATAGTTACTTCCCCCAATTTGCATGTGATTATGGAAACAAGTCATGCTCATGAAAGCAACTGTAAAATAAAAGGTTATGGAGTAGTTCAGCAACTTCTTCACAGCCAGCTTTGTGGAGCTGGGGAGGACTTAGGGCCCATTGGAGTCTCTTATGTGTACAGCTTCAGGGCTGTCCCTTTCAGTTTGATTTTAAGCAATGCCTCACTTCATAGCTTAGGGGGTAAGGATTCCATTCAGGTAGGTTGTCTAAAGGAACTAATGGGACCTCTCAGTGAATTAGCTGACCAGATTTTAGGAAATCTTTTTAATTTCTATGATTTTCCTTCTCACATTTTGAAATGGTAAAATTGACTGGAAATAATTTTTCTTGGTGCCTTATTGGTTTTCCTTGCAAACCTTTCTCATATTTTCTCATGACCATTGCCAGTGACCAAGGCCCATGTGTGTGTTGTGTGTAATTGTGGGCATGTACAAGCTTAAATAACGTGCCGACAGCACTGTTTCAAAGTTGGTATTCATTAGGCTGTTGCCTCCTGGGCTGGAGCTGCGCTAATCCTGACACCGGCTGCCAGGAGAAAACCTCATGGATCACACACCAAACCTTAATAACAGCATCCGTGACCTGCACTCTCCAGTACAGAATGGGAACCCCAGAGCTAGGAAATGTAGTTGTATATTTTAATGAACTGCTACCCCAGCCAAAGAAGCTTCTTTCACTTTTGTGCTCTACAGAAAGCCCAAGGGGGGTAGGAGGGACAGAGCTTTGAATAACTGCTTTCTAACACTAAATGTGGCCAACAGGACAGAGCACATCACACGTATAGGCAGGTGTGAGGGACAGTGGCTAAGAATTGCCTGCTCCCTCTGCATGCTCTTTCTTGTTTCCAAAGTCCAATCAAGTGATCCTGGGAAACAAATCTGTCTGGATTGCGGAGGGTGGTTCTGAAAGAACTGCCAAGACGTTAAAGAAGGGTGAAGAGTAGGCAGAATATAAGTAGCTAACCTGAGTCAAGACTCTCAAAAGCTAGCAGCCTGATGACAATAGGATTTATTTCAGCCAGGATAGTGTCTGTCTGTGAGTGCATCATTTTAAGACAGTATGACTTCATGTTGTTACAAACTATGTATAGTATGTATGTTTTGTGGGTTGTATATATACATAATATATATTATATATATATATGAGAGATTTGGTGACTTTTGATACGGGTTTGGTGCAGGTGAATTTATTACTGAGCCAAATGAGGCACATACCGAGTCAGTAGTTGAAGTCCAGGGCATTCGATACTGTTTATGATTTCCATATATGTATAGTGCCTATCCCATGCTGTAGTCACTGTTATGTTAAATCCAGAAGTTACACTAGAGCCAGCGATACTTTATTTGTAGACAATCAATTTGAATCCATATGTTATTACTGGCAGATGATACATGATTACAGTTCTGAATCTGTAACACTTACAAAAGGAAACCCAGAGCAGCTTGATGAGTTTTTGTTTCTGCTTCGTTCCTGGGAGTCAGTAGAAACAGCAGTTGTATGTGGTTATGTTAGTCTCAAGATACTTAATTTGTTGACCTTACTTCAGAAAAATTTTGTATGTATTATATTTGTGGGAAGGTAAAATAATCATTTGAGATTTTTATCAAATATGAAGATTAGTTATTTATGAAAAACAAAGAAATGTCTATTTTTCTTTGTTCCCAATTAATGTAGATAAATTTTAAAATGCATTAAAGTAATGGTAAAGACAATAAAAAGATGCTGTAGAAGTCTTTTTCTCCTCATGTTTTTATAGAGAGACATTGCTTTCTAAGAGTATTCGAGGAGATAATACGGATTCTAACTTCATAATCAGGTTTTTCAGATGTACTTAAAATATAAGCAGCAAAAATTTTATTAGTAAGTAAAATCAAGCAAATTCCAATCACCAGAAACAGAACTAGTTAAGAAACATGTTTTACTTGAATATCTTTCCTAGGTCTCACTCCTGCCGATCCTGTGATTGTCTCATGAGTCACTTGATGAAGGCAGATACGTGGAAGAACAGAGACTTTGCCTGAGATTGCGTTCTATTTTATAAACCCTCCATTTACACTGAACCAATTTGATTAGAGATGATGCTGTTTTGTGCGTCCGGTTGGAGGGCAGGAACTCCCAAAACTTTGTCATCCAGCAGTTGGATCTGCAACTTGGTATTGCGCTCTAAATACAAGTCAGGGAGCCCAGAAGAGACAGTAACACTGACTGAGCTGGCTCTTCCCTGTTATCTGGACAGATGCTTAGTAAGCCTGAGATACTATTGTTGGACCACCTACTGATGCTGCTTTGGCAAAATGCAGATTAGCCACCATCTACCAAACACCACCTCATTTTAATGCCTGGGATGTCAGTGTTCTCCACCAACGCTCTGAGACATAAGTATGTGGGAGAACATGGGTAATTAGCTTAAAATATTTGTAGGAGACAACATAAATCCAGTAAGAAGTTAGCATTATGAGAGTGTGTAATTCAATGTCAAGGTGAACACTAGGAAGTTTATTACATTGATGCATAAGGTAGTTAGGAGAGGCAGACTAGAAAATATAGTTGAGTTGAATCCTAAGAGAAGAGCAACTGTACCTTACATGTCCGGGACACAGTAGTTAGCACATCTTCCCCATGCTTTCTTGTCACTCATTTTTCCCCATTGGAAAAGGGGGCAAAGGGCAAAGTCACAAGCTGGAACAGAGAGAGGGACTGTTGGGCTTAGAAGGTTGCAGAAATAGGCTGGGTGCGGTGGCTCACGCCTGTAATCCTAGCACTCTGGGAGGCCAAGGCAGGCAGATCACCTGAAGTTGGGAGTTTGAGACCAACCTGACCAACATGGAGAAATCCTGTCTCTACTAAAATTAGCCAGGCCTGGTGGCACATGCCTGTAATCCCAGGTACTCGGGAGGCTGAGGCAGGAGAATCACTTGAACCTGGGAGTCGGAGGTTGTGGTGAGCCAAGATCACACCATTGCACTCCAACCTGGTCAATAAGAGTGAAACTCCGTCTCAAAAAAAAAAAAAAAAGTTGCAGAAATAGGTGGGCCCAGGGTAATACTGGTAACAATGGTTCTTTTAGTGATTTAGTTACACAGCTCGTTAGCTTGTCTATGGATGGTAACAGGGTTGAGAGGCAGAGTGGTTATGAGCATGGATTTGGGAGCCAGACTTAATAGGAATTAAAATCCCAGCTCCACCACTTATGTGCCATGTGATCCTGGACACAACCTCTGGGTATTTCAGTTTTCTCATTTGTGAAAAGGGAGACTTATATTTTAGGGTTAAAAAGATTTAAAGGATTGACTCAGATTAAGGCAAAGTTAAGGTAAGTAAAACAATGGGGGAAGCCGCTGTTCAGACATGGAATGAAAGGAGATGGAGAGATTAGGTTTTCAAATTTGTATTTGCGTAAGAATCATTTGAGATTCATGTTAAAAATGTCAATTCCCAGATCTCAGCCCCAGGAATTGAGATTCAGTAGCTCTGGGGCGCAGTAAGCTATTTTTTTTTAAAAAAAATAAGCTTTTAATTTTGGAATAATTTTAGATTTACCAAAAGTTGCCAAAATCAGTTTCTGTATGCCCCTTACTCATTTCCCAACGTTAACATTTGTTAAAACTAAGCAGTCAATGTTGGCACATTACTATCAACTGCAGACTTCATCAGATTTTCCACTAATGTTCTTTATCTGTTCCAGGATCCAGTGCAGGACACCACACTGCCTTTAGAGAAGCTTTGTTTTTCACAGGCACTTTCAGCTGATGAGAGGCAGGTGGGTTGGGGACCACATTGTGAGAATCACTGGGACATTTAAAGAACTGGACAAAAATTGCTGCATCCCCAAACTGGGGAGATGAATGCAATTTTAAAGCAGAAGGGAATAAAGTAGTGGAGGGTGGATATAGAAGGTTGATTTTAGAGTTAGAGATAGAATCCCCTCCACTAGATGAGGAGGGTTACTTTAAAGAAGGCATCTAATGCCAGAGGAAATAGTAGATTTTGGAAGGTGCAGTTGCCACTTAGTCCACAGCCTAGATTGAGGATACATGACTAGGGTTGTGAGCAGGTCAGGAGATCGGGTAAGTGCAGTAAGTTGGGAACAGCTGCTTTGGGGAACACAGGTGGGCTCAAATAGGTGATGAAGGGGAATTACAAGAGGCCTGTTAGCCTGTGAGCCTCATGACACCTGCATGTCCTGGAACCTGATGCTAATGCTTTGGCAGTGGGTCACAGTGACCAACATCAAGCATTGCCACATTGGGTCAGGGTGAGGCTGGGATGATTTTGTTGAGGGAGGGTCCTAAGGATCTTCACCTAAGAGTGAAGGAGCAGGTGGAAGACCAGGTGTGTAAAACACTTGAAGCTCCTCCTTTGTCAGAGGCAGTTCTCATGCCGAGGAGACACAGGAGCCACCAGCTAGGGGGTGGCAGGTAAACATTTGTAGAATTGAGGTTAAGAAGACAAAGCAACAGATTTTCTTTTTTTCCGTAAAGCTAACAGTCTAATTTGGGAATCTTTTGAGGTCTTTTGAAGTAGATACTACTGATAGCTCATTGAAGACCTTAGGTTCTGGGACCATTACTGAATTTTCCTAATCACATTCCAATTGCTTTGCTCCCTTACAGCAGTTATAATAATCACCAAACCTGTCCCTTTTTTTTTTTTTTTTTTTTGAGATGGAGTTTCGCTCTTGCCTCAGCCTCTTGCGTAGCTGAGATTACAGGCACGTGCCACCATGTCAGGCTAATTTTTGTATTTTTAGTAGAGACGGGGTTTCACCATGTTGGCCAGGCTGGTCCCGAACTCTTGACCTTAGGTGATCCACCCGCCTCAGCCTCCCAAAGTGCTAGGATTACAGGCGTGAGCCACGGCGCCTGGCTAAACCTGTCCGTTTTTAAAGACTGTTAACCTTTTTTCACTGGACTCGGGATTCCTCTTAATTTCTATACCATTTCACTTTCATAGTTAGTTGTTCTTCCTGCACCCTAGATATCCTAAACCACAAACTAACACTCTTAAAATTTCACATTTAAGTGCACGTTCTCCCACTTGCCAAATAGTTTAGATGGAAATTGCCTTAGAAACCAAACAGATTGCTCCTGTATACTAGGGGAGCAGGCTTCACTGAAGAAGGGCTGCTAGGTATTGCTTGCTGGCACAATGTCAGTCAGCCCCAGCCAGGTCCACCAGATGGGTAAGTAGGCAGAAATTAGACTTTAAGGTAATACAATCCTTAATCTGTTGAGAGATGCTGGGTGTAATCTACAGTTTCTGCATAGAAACTAGCACTTATCTGGGAGATTTCTCTGCCAGCTGTCAAGTGCTTTTCCAAGTAGTACTATACTCAGTAAGCCTGCTTGAGGCTGGTGTGGTGGCTCATGCCTGTAATCCCAGCACTTTGGGAGGCTGAGGCGGGCAGATCACCAGGTCAAGAGATTGAGACCATCCTGGCCAACATGGTGAAACCCCGTCTCTATTAAAAATACAAAAATTAGCTGGGTGTGGTGGCACAAGACTGTAATCCCAGCTACTTGGGAGGCTGAGGCAGGAGAATCGCTTGAACCTGGGAGACTGAGGTTGCAGTGAGCCAAGATCGCGCCACTGCACTCCAGCCTGGTGACAGAGTGAGACTCCATCTAAAAAAAAGCCCCAAAAAACTCCAAAAATTAGCCGGGCAGGGTGGCACATGCCTGTAATCCCAGCTACTCAGGAGGCTGAGGCAGGAGAATCGTTTGAACCCGGGAGGTGGAGGTTGTAGTCAGCCGAGATCATGCCACTGCTTTCCAGCCTGGGTGACAGAGCAAGACTCCGTCTCAAAAAAAAAAAAAAAAAAGAAAAAGAAAAAGAAAAGAGAAAAGAAAAAAGCCTGCTTGAGAGTCTGTCATAGCTATCTTAAACGTAGTTAGGGAGAAAGGCTGGGTGATGAAAGATTCTAGTTAACCTGCATACTGTAGCTAAACTAGTTCCCAGAAATACTGCAGAGCCTGAACACAGAATCAAGACTGATTTTGTTTTCTGGTTAAAATTGGCTTTGGCTTAAAAAAAATCAAGGTATACTTAGAAATGCAGGAAAACTAGACCAAGAAATGAACCTTGAGCTGTTGTAAAGCCAGGATTTAGTGCTGTTGGATTTCAATCATGTATAGACATATGGATTACATAAAGAGGAAATGTAAAATAAAGGGCCAGGATAAAATTTCTCTTTAACCAGAAACACTGAGCCCTAAGTGGTCATTTTAGGATGAAACATATGAAATTGCCAAAAGGCAACCAAAAGGCCTATAAAAATGGCAATTTGGTTCAAATATATCTTTCATTTTCTTAACTCTTCACCCCCAGACTCCTATCAAATATGTTTCAGGTATTCTGTCTTGTAATGAAAATGTGAAAGTTCAATTCACAATATACCAAAGTTAATATTCTATTGGGGTCTGTATTATAGTAGTTAAAAAAAACCTACAAATGAAAATAAATTTGAGTCCAGGTAATCAGCCCTTTTTTAAAGTCTCATGTTAGGGAACGAATCTTCCCTAGGTATAGAACTCTTGAGAAAAATGCCATAGTTACCACCCCACTAGCAACTTGGTTTCCATGCCCCATTTGTCAGAGAACCTACCTGCTTTTCAGTGACATTTATACTCTTTTCCTCAACTGACCCAATTTCCCATTTATCAAAGTCGCTGTATTGCCTTCTAGAATTAAAAGTCAAAGGAAGAGAGCAGCTTAGTGATACTTATTTTACCAACTTGTTCTTCAAGTCACAGATTCATGTCCAATGTCCCTCTCCCAACTTTTAAACCTTTGGCCAAATGTGTCAGCATTTCTGCTTATAACTGGCATATCACAGGGTGCAAACCATCTTATAAAGTGACGTATGATAGATTTTTTTCCTAAGTTAGATCTTTTATCCTAGTCGGCAACTTATCAAGACACAGTGATCAGTTAGTTTTTGTTTTTTTGAGACACAGTCTCATGCTGTCGCTCAGGCTGGAGTACAGTGGTGCGCAATCGCGGCTCACTGCACTCTGCCTCCTGGGTTCAAGCGATTCTTGTGCCTCAGCCTCCTGAGTAGCTAGGATTACAGGCGTGTGCCACCACGTCCCACTAACGTTTTTCTAATTTTATTTCTTTTGAGCCGGAGTTGCAGTGTCGCCCAGGCTGGAGTGCAGTGACGTCATCTTGGCTCACTGCAACTTCCGCCTCCAGAGTTAAGGGATTCGCCTGCCTCAGCCTCCCGAGTAGCTGGGATTACAGGCGTGCATCATCACACCTGGCTTTTTTTTTTTTTTTTTTTTTAAATAGAGACGAGGTTTACCATGTTGGCCAGACTCCCGACCTCATGTGTTGTGATTACAGGCGTGAGCCACTGCACCGTCTTTTTTTGTAATTTCAATAAAGACGAGGTTTCACCATGTTGGCCAGGATGGTCTCAAACTCTTGGCCTCAAGTGATCGACCCACCTTGGGCTCCCAAAGTGCTGGGATTACGGGCGTGAGCCACCGTGCCTGACTGTGATCATTTACTTAAATATTTGACTTTAGGTAATGAAGAATTAAAGTGGATGAAAATATTGCAATGCTATCAGGATTTATTGAGAATTGCTAAAGCTGAGTGGCTAGACTCTTAGTTCTAAAGAAACCTAATAGTGACTTGGTATATTTTTAACTGAAATGTAAGCTTGAAAATAGCACATTAAAGTCAAATTATGTGGCTTAAGACATCCTCTCAACAGCAACACAAATTCTAGTTCCTGTCTTTCCATTCTCTTTCCTGTTTGTCTGAAAACCTCAAATACCTCTTGTTCTAATTCTACGCTATTCCTTTAATTCCTTTCTCTTTGATACATTTTGCTTAATTTTATATTCTAATGTGCTTTTCCCTCTCAGACACGATAACCAACTATTCAAGATGCCATCTAATGCACTATGCCATTAAGTATTGTGGTCAGTGATTTTAAGTGTAATAAATTATCTTCAGGTTGAAAAGAGCATATGCAAAAGAAATGGATCACTACATCTTAACTAGAGGCATGGATCAAATCAACTTATGGTTGGTTTGAAAATGCTTTAAGACATATCAGGATTGACTTAAAACTAGGCTGGGCAGAGATGTAACACTATGTGGATAGAAGTGTTACAAACACACTAGCCATATTTTAATTAAAATAGAGTTTATTAGCTTTTAATATAAACATGAGAAATAAAAACCACATAAATTGTAGCATTCTTTTCAAAATAAAACTGCAATCAATACTTGAATCTCCAAACTCTGAATTCCATAAACAATATTTGTTTTTTTGAGGTGGTAGATTGTAATATTTGTATACCATTATTTATCATTTATGTCTCTGTCCTTTAAAAATGATGGAAACTGCAGCACAATATGATGTGAAGCATTGCTATAATAGAGGAAGTACTCCTGTCCCAGAAATGCTTTGTTTATAAGCAAGATTCCTAGGATTAGATTTGAGAAAGTAGGAGAAACAGATTTCACATAGTTGAGAACACTAACCTCTTCTTAGTATTTCAAATTTAGGTGACATTATCGGTCTCCTAAAATTATTTGCTCCTTGCCTTTTAAAGCCTGAAGAGTTCCTAAGGGTTATGTAAGTATTTCTTAAATAGCAGGACTTAATGGGACACCTACAGCTTGGTAGCATGTAGGATGATAAAACAGCTGTTCATATCACCTTCTATAATTAGGGTCCAATTCCTTTTATTACATGTTAATTAACACTGCTCTTCAAAATCTTCCTTTAAAGAAACTGCGGTAATCAAAGCATATAGAGCACAGCTCTGCGGGTAACTACTTTTAAAAAGAGGGCATTTTATGGAGATACAAGGTATTCCAAAAGTTCAGTGTAATTTTAAGCTTTGATACTTGTAGAAATATAAATGCTACAAACCTTTACAAAACCTTGTCTGAACATTTTTCTTCTGCTTTTTTCTTTGAGACAGGGTCTGGATGTCGCCCAGGTTGGAGAGCAGTGACATGATCATGGCCCACTGCAGCCTTGACCTCCTGGGCTCTACTGATCCTCCCACCTTAGCCTCCAGAGTGGCTGGGACTACAGACACATGCCACCATATCCAACTATTTTTATTATTTTTTTTTACAGGCAGGGTCTCACTATGTTGCCTAGACTGGTCTTGAACTCCTGCACTCAAGCAATCCTTCCACCTCAGCCTCCCAGGGTACTGAGATTACAGGCATGAATCACTATGCCCAGCCCATTTCTTTTGCATTTAATTTTGCATTTTTCTAAGAGATGGGGTCTTGATAACGTTGTCCAGGTTGGAGTGTAGTAGCTATTCCTATAGGCACCATCATGGTACACTGCAGCCTCCAATACTTGACCTCAAGCAATCCTCCAGCCTCAGCCTCCCAAGTAGCTGGGACTATAGGCGTGCACCACCACACCCAGCTTCATTTTGCAAATTTTGAATATAAAGCTTTTAATTTTTTGTTTCAGTCAATGTCTGCTATCAAGAGTGACCGAAACAAAAAATTAAAAGCTTAATATTCAGGAGACAGGTGCCAGTTGCACTTGTAGTCCCAGCTACTTGTGTGGCTGAGGCTAGAGGATGGCTTGAGACCAGGAAGTTCTAGGCTGCAGTGAGTGCACAATGATTGCACCTGTGAAAAGCCACTGCACTCCAGCCTGGACAACGCAGTAAGACCCCCATCTCTTTAAAAACAAACAAAACAAAACAAAAAACTTTCAAATCATGTTTTTTAAAGGTTTATAGCATTTATACTCATGCTGCAGTGCCTTGGAGGGCCCAAACTATATTCAAGCTTAAAACTGCTTCACTTTTTCTCATCGTCACTGAACCACCATGTTGGTTGGCATTATGAAAATATCTTTTAATACATTTATTTAGCAAGAGAAAAATTATCAGAAAATGAGAAGCACCATTTATAGTTCACAAGAAATGCAACATGGACTCCAATAGAAGTAGATATCAATAACTGATACTTCCTCTGTTTATGACCCCAAACATGCTAAAATGCTAAAGTAATGCTTGCAAAGAATATGAATGACAAATGTTATCCAGCAGCTTTTTGGTTTAAAATGATTGCCAATGACTAGCAGCTTCAATGGTAACAGTAGGGAGGAAGAACCCTTCAGTACCTAACAACGCTGCTGTCTGCTCCTAAGTGGCTTTAGTTAGAGTCCCATGTTTTAATGGTAATACTGCATTGATTTTAAAGGCATATGCAGCAAAATGCGGGGGGAGGGAGAGAAACTGGAAGAAACATAAAAGTTATATGGTTAGTGTCTTTAAAGTCTAAAAATTTAAACTATTGTTTAAAAAACCTTACATAGTTCACAGCTATCGGCCCACACAGTAAGCAAATATCTGTGTGTAGGATGGGAGCCTTCACTTTGGAGTGGTTTTTGTAACTCTGTTTACATTAAAAAGGACAGAAGAGTGTTTTGTTGCATTGACAAGGTCCCATTCTTTCCTGTGGAGTATAATCCTTGTTGTCCATGAGTCTCTTGAATTTGAGATCTTTCCTTTTGATGAAAACACTAATTTTGCTGGTTTTTGAGCAGGAAAGGTGGTATTTCTCCAGTCTTTGTAGATGAAGGTCCCATGACGTTATAACCCCTCATTTCTCCTTTTAAGAGAGGATGGCTTTAGAGCGCTGAATACCAATGAAGTTATCAGCACTGAAAGACCTTCTCATAGCGGCTCTACACAAGTCTTTGTCTTCACACAATCTAGAAATAGCCTAGGAAAGTCAATCAAATAGAAAACAGGTACAATTTTAAAAAGGGTTCCCGCCTTTGAAAGAGCACCATTGTGAAAGCCACACATGTGGACTCCTTTAGATAGTTCACAGTTACAGCTACTTTGGCTGAGTTTTACACTGCCAGGTTGTGGGGACACTACTTCCTGACAGTTCACCAAGGTAATATCCTTTAAGGGCTATGGTTAGATTCCCAGAGAACAAAGGGGAATTTATTATATTATTAAAAAACTGGATTCCCAAAGATATCAAAGGTATTGTGATAGGGCTCCTAACAGCAATAGCATCTGTTATCTGTTAACTTATTCCTTAAATATAACAAACGTACACTTGTGCAAAAAAATGTTTATTCAGCTATTCAAATTCTACCCAATCCTTATTAGCTATTATATACTCAAAGCACATTTTAATGAGGCAGGTGTGTGCTGGACTATACTGGAACATATGAGCGGTCTGATGACTGACGCGCCAAAAGGTATTACTTCACATGCACGTTAATTATGGTAGAAATACATATTATTATTTTTTTCTTTTTTTTTTTTGAGGCAGAGTTTCGCTCGTTGCCCAGGCTGGAGTGATCTCAGCTCATTGCAACCTCTATCTCCCAGGTTCAAGCGATTCTCCTGCCTCAGCCTCCCAAGTAGCTAGGATTACAGGCATGTGCCACCATACCCAGCTAATTTTTTGTATTTTTAGTAGAGACAGGGTTTCACCATGTTGGCCAGGCTGGTCTCAAACTCCTGACCTCAGGTGATCCCGCCTGCCTCGGCCTCCCAAAGTGCTGGGAGGAATGAGCCTCTGAGGCATGAGCCACTCTCAGGCATGTGCCACTGAGCCCAGCCTAGAAATACATATTATTCTAAAGTACCACCAAGGTACCACAGAAAGTGTTAGTTTAAAATATGTGTCCATTTCAGTTGTAATTCTGCTGTATACTCACCAAGAGTCATAAGCCATAAATATTACTTTGCCCCATAAAGTTACCATTTCTATTAAAAACCCATGTACTTCCTACATTATTATTTTTTTTTTTTTGAGACAAGGGTCTTGCTCTATCGCCCAGGCTGGAGTGCAGTGGCATGATCTCGGCTCACTGCAGCCTCCGCCTCCCGGGTTCAAGCAATTCTCATGCCTCAGCCTCCTGAGTAACTGGGCGTCTGCCACCACGCCCGGCTAATTTTTGAATTTTTAGTAGAGACCGGGTTTCTCTGTGTTGGTAAGGCTGGTCTTGAAGTCCTGATCTCAAGTGATCCACCTGCCTCGGCCTCCCAAAATGCTGGAATTACAGGTGTGAGCCACCATGCCTACCACTTACATCCAGCATTTGAAACACCTGCATCCTATACAGTGAAGGGTATAGGTCTCTTGGCTTATCCACTAATCCTTTGTCTAAAAAACTCATGGGACTGCACTGTGATACATAAACCATGACATGAATTTGCAAACAGTAAGTAAGACAGTCAAGAGTGGCAAGTGAATTATGTATGTAGATAAAATTAGGAATACAGTCGCAAAGAAAAAATTTTTTTTTTTTGGAGACACAATCTCACTCCGTCACCTAGGCTAGAGTGCAGCGGTGCAATCTTGGCTCACTGCAACCTCCGCCTCCCAGGTTCAAGCGATGCTCATGCCTCAGCCTCCCAAGTAGCTGGGATTACAGGCATGCACCCCCATGCCTGTATTTTTGTGTGTGTGTACTTTTTTTTTTTTTTTTTGAGATGGAGTTTCGCTCTTGTTGCCCAGGCTGGAGTGCAATGGCACGATTTCAGCTCACCACAACCTCCGCCTCCCGGGTTCAAGCGATTCTCCTGCCTCAGCCTCCCGAGTAGCTGGGATTACAGGCATGCGCCACCACGGCCGGCTAATTTTGTATTTTTAGTAGAGACGGGGTTTCTCCATGTTGGTCAGGCTGGTCTTGAACTCCCAACCTCAGGTGATCTGCCCTCCTCGGCCTCCCAAAGTGCTGGGCTTACAGGCGTAAGCCACCGCGCCCGGCCTGTGTGTGTATTTTTAGTAGGGACAGGGTTTCACCATGTTCGCCAGGCTGGTCTTGAACTCCTGACCTCAAGTGATCTGCCCACCTCAGCCTCCCAAAGTGCTGGGATTACAGACATGAGCCACAGTGCCCAGCTAAAAAAATTATTCATGTATGGTTATGTGAAAGGGTAGAAGTTCAAAAGGAAACCTCATTAACAACAGATTAAATTTGATTTAAAATATTCTGAATTATGGTCACAGAAGAGTTAATATGTATAATTTTTAAATAATGTTGATCCTTGTATAAACCATACAAGACACAGGAAATCTGACGCCAAAGGGCTAATAAGCTCTTCAGTGTTAGTTAATTTTAAAGCTTTCCATTTTCCTAATCACTACTTAATATGATTTAGTCACAGATGTTGGCTTTGGTGGCTGATGGAAAACCTCACTTAGTGACTTCATAGCCTTACCTCTAGGTTCTGTGCTCTTTCTTTGCTAAGAGGAGCAAATAGAAAATTCAGGTTGTTGTCATCTGCTAAGGAGCGAAGGTCAAAGTAGTATTTGGCATAAACACTGGCAGGAACATTAATATTAAACTGAAGAAGCTCCAGAAAATGCCTTTCCATTTCATTCCTGGAGGAGGAAGAACACAACAGAACCAGCACAGGACAATGTCAGTCAACTGGGCTATCTTCAAAAATATCATTCTAAGAGACTAGAATGGCTCTAAACTCTATTTTAAAATATAGGCTACCCAGTTGTATTAACATACTAATGTTCACATAAGGTACAGTTACTTGTGGTCCCTTCTGCATCCCAGCACTCTGGAACTGGGATGAAGGTTGAAGGTTACGGCCTCCGATGCACTTGTGCTGCTGACTCGGGCCTCATTCTTCAGAGTTCCATTAGTGCAGCTGTACAATTCATACTTCACGCTCACTCACAAGGCCCCACTATAGTGATCAGATGAAAGGAATGATGTATGCTGTTTATTAGCTCTGAAGAACTTGCAGACATTTTCACCAGGCTGATAACAGGAAGGGGCTTATTGAAGTAGAGAAGCACCAACAAAAGGAGTAGGCATATCACCACGGCAACAAATGGATCCATCAAGAGCCACTGCTATTATCTCTGAGGGGGAAAAACTCTTGAGGCAACAAGGATTCATCTCAAATAAATAAATAAGCAAGCTACATTACAGGGGAAGGGAATCCCCTCCCCCTGTCCCGGCGCATGAGGCTATGTCAAAGGGCATAATGCAAGTTTCTGCTCACTTTAATATTATGAAGGTGAGAAATTGTCACTATGACAGGGTGAGGATACTCTTTAAACTTTGGAAGGCAGAAAGATCAAAGGTGGATGTCTTGGCTAGACTAAACCCATTTTATGATATGACTTATGGTAGGTCACTGGACTTAAAAACTCAGTGTTTCTTCTGAGTTGGGAATGAAACCCTGAGGTGCTCAGTATCTACCGTCCTGGTCAGAACAGAATGTAGGAGTGAGCTGAATGCAATGGGAGAGGAAAGGGCTGGGAGTAGTAGTCGGCTACATGACCACACAGCTGCCCTTGCCAAATGCTTAAGCAAATAAACATAAAACTAGAGAAAATCTTAACCACTTTCACAGTAATCCCTATAAGGAGTTAACTGTATAAAAATGATAAATACCTAAACAACATATTTGGTTTCTTGGTTTCAAAGTTTTAATATTTTATCCACTGGGTAAGTCAACAAATGCTTGATGATCTCCTGTATGGAGAGCAGTTAATATGAGCAGAGATGTGGTTTTCTCATTTGCTGAGCTTAAAAACCCAACTGAACCTACTTCCAAAATTAATTTCCTGTTCATATGTCCATAAGCCTATAGAAATGTAAATCAGATAATGTTTTGATAATCAGCTAACCAGGACTTAATTTACTACAGCAATAAATGCACTTCACAATCCCTTTTATATTTTTTCCACTAATACATTTTAACTGTGTAGAAATATAGTACTTCATAGGATTAACACACATATTAATAGAGGTTTAATCACTGAAGAAAAGCATTATGCTTACAGAATATGCATCTTCTAGGTTTTTTGTTTTTTTTTAAATGGCTAGGTGGCTGAATAGCATACCCTTTACAGGCACAGCAAACCGTCTGAATAGCAGCTGCTCAGTTTAACTTATTCTTTTAAAGGGAAATATATTCTAACAGGACATGTAGCTGTTGAAAATTTTTAAGAAAAACCTGATAGACACCAATTTAAAATTGTTTCAATTTAGACTCAAAATGAGACCACTACAAATAGTCAACAGCAGGGGGATGAGACAAATGTATATTAAACAGTTTGTTGAAATGCTTTCCAAAGATCATAAACAAAAGCAGCCTGTTTGTAGCATAGCTCCTGGTGCTTCCCTGGGCATACACAAACAGCACTATTTAGAACTGGTCTTCTTGGAGCTGGCCCCTGCCACCACTGCTCCTGAAGCTTACATCTGTAGAAACCTGCACATTTCCCTGCAGGTTCTCTGATACTGTATCTTGAACTAGAGCACCAGTCAGTTCAGTTGCAGGTTTTGAGAACATTTTAGCTGCCATCATGGTAGGGCTAAGTGTTCATAATAATAAATTTTGCTTCCTTCAAGAAACCAGTTTGCAGACGGATGACAGCAGTGATCAAAGTCACTTTAGTTTCTGCAATTTCCAAAAGTACTTCCATTTGTTTCAAATTCATTTGCTGTCACACCCTTTGCTAAAACGGCTACCAGCAATATCACTAGGGCTGTTCGGTAAACAGTAAAGTGGTCAACTTCACCAGAAGCCACTTCAACAGCTACCACAATTACTGGTTCCTTTTTAGTCACAAGTATCCTCACTTCAGTTGTGAATATATGGTATGGTAATTCTGAATGACAGTCATATGGAGTAATGGGCAAAGGCAATAAAAACAAACTCTTGCCACTGCCTGTCATGACCTTGATCTTCCTCTGCTGCTCAACATCATCAAGAGGTGCTCCTTCATATTTTTCTAAATGCCACCCACAAAGCCATTCTCACTGTCTGGTGGGCACCCTGAGAGCCTTTGCTGGAAATGCCTCCCTGGCTCAGCCTGCCTACCAAGCTCCAAGGCCCTTCCCTTCACGGCCGACACGAGGCCAGCCTGGAAGGAACCCTGATGAAGCTGCTGTTTCAGGGTCATATTGGTGCCATCTGTGAGGAACTCCATGACTCAGCAAGGATCCTTGCACTCTCATAGGTAACTCAAGGCCCCCAAAGTGGTGCTGTGGTTGTCCGAGTGCCCAGGGAGCCTCTCGAGTGTGGTGAGCGTTGGATGATGCCCCAGCAGTGCTTCTCAGACCGCCTGAGGGGAACGCTGGAGCTTCCTAACTCAGGAGACCAATTTCTAAATACAAAAAACACTCCTAATGGGGAGGGGTCAGGGGCACAGGGATCTTCATATCTCAAGGCTTCTGTAAAAACAGACCTTCAGATAAAATGTGGAAAGACTAGCAAAAGCAAATATACAATGTGTGACTCAGGTTGAAGCTACGTAACTTCTCAATAGTCCAGAGGCCCTAAGACCTAATAGTGGCCAAACAATTATTTCAAAGGCCAGACATATGCCCTTTAAGGGCTGTTTATACCCTACTGGTCACATGAAAAGATATAAATGAATGAATGAATGAATGAATGAAAAAGAGAAAGGAGCTTGAACTGGCAGATAACTTTTTAAAAGCCATAAAGAGGCCAGGCGTAGTGGTTCATGCCTGTAATCCCAGCTCTTTGGGAGACGGAGGCGGGCGAATCACAAGGTCAGGAGTTCAAGACCAGCCTGACCAACACAGTGAAACCTCGTCTCTACTAAAAATACAAAAATTAGCCAGGCATGGTGGCGCATGCCTGTAATCCCACTGTAATCCCAGCTACTCAGGAAGCTGAGGCAGGAGAATCGCTTGAACCTGGGAGGTGGAGCTTGCAGTGAGCCGAGACTGCATCACTGCACTCCAGCCTAGGCAACCGAGCAAGACTCCGTCTCAAAACAAAAAATAAAATAAAATAAAGATATTTACTGTGCTATGTTGTTCTGGTAGTATACTTGTAAGATTTTTGCCAAAAACCACCCAAAAAATATTTTTCAATTTATCAAGCAGATTATTACACATCAAAACCTACCAAGTAATGATGGAAAATATGAAGTTAGTTTTTTTTTTTTTGAGACAGTCTTGCTCTATTGTGAACTGTTATACTAAAGATAGACAGATATAGTCTTATGCCTATTTCCATTATCTGCATAATGTAACCTTTAAAAATATTCCTTAAATTGTTAACTTTATAGGAATAAGATACTGGAAAATGGTTAGAAAGTTCACCAAAACCTTACAAACTCACATGTCCTCAACTGTAATGTCCTTGAGGATCTGGCAGTAGTCCACATTCCATACAGCCTGATCGTCCCAAACCTTGGAGGCAAGAAGAATGGCTCCCAGAACAATCCTTTTCCAGTTGGTGGGACAAATGTCGATTTCAGCATAAGTTAAAAGCCTTTCTAAGTAAACCTGTAAAATAGAGCACTGGTCTTTGATTTTAGTTCAGTTTAAATGCTTTGATAAGCTTTTTTTTTTTTTTTGAGACGGAGTTTCACTCTTGTTGCCCAGGCTGTAGTGCAATGGTGCGATCTCGGCTCACAGAACCTCCGCCTCCCAGGTTCAAGTGATTCTCCTGCCTCGGCCTCCCGACTAGGTGGGATTACAGGCATGCGCCACCATGCCCAGCTAATTTTTGTATTTTCAGTAGAGACGGGGTTTCTCCATTTTGGTCAGGTTGGTCTCGAACTCCTGATCTCAGGTGATCCACCAGATCCTCCCAAAATGTTGGGATTACAGGCGTAAGCCACCGCGCCCGGCCCCGAAATGCTTTGATAAGAATTCATGACTGACAAATTTCTTTTGTTTTTGACCAGAAAATAAGTGCCTTTTATTCTTATGTTCTACAGAGACTTTGCTTACTCAGCCAAAGCAAGACACTAAATCACAGTTGTAGGTCAGATATCTCTGCTGCCTATTCTGCCCATATACATTTCCCACCCAGTCACAGGAATGACTGGACATCTCAGCAAACAGCATCATCAAGAGAGGCACTCTTATCACCTCCACACCCATAATAGAGTTGTTCAATAAATAATGAGTGCCTACCAGGTACAATGTATCATACTTGCATGGTAGATAGTAATTTTACAGGTAGCTATATTATGCTCAAATATGTAAAACCCAAGTAATACTGAGCACATTTTTACCTTCTCCTTTTCACAGTAACTAACCCTTTTGTGGCACTAGCTTGAAGAACTGCTGGTCAAGAGAGCCACCCAGTGGCTGCTGTGCAGAGCAGCATGACAGGTCTTTAGGCTGTAAAATATTCCCCGTATTCAGTGCCTCCACAAGGAACACAGATGGACAAAAGGATGTCTCTGGACCCCTGGTATTCCTCTAAACCTGCCAAGCAGTTTATGAGACAATTTCATGAATTATTTTACATCTACCAAACATCCTTCAAAGAACTGAGCAAAGTGAACAGCTGAGTAAAGATTTCAGAGGTAAGCTGTAATTTGCTGTTACCTCAAAGGGTTCTCTGTGGAAGAGTATGTCTATATGCTGTTTGAACTCTGTATCAAGACAAAAAGAAATCTTTTTAGGCTGGAGTGCAGTGATGCAATCTTGGCTCATTGCAACCTCTGCCCCCTGGGTTCAAGCGATTCTCCTGCCTCAGCCTCCCAAGTAGCTGAGCACCCGCCAGCACGCCTGGCTAATTTTTGTATTTTTAGTAGAGACGGGGTTTCACCATGTTGGCCAGGCTGGTCTCAAACTCCTGGCCTCAAGTGATCTGCCCACCTCAGCCTCCCAAAGTGCTGGGATTACAGGCGTGAGCCACTGTGCCAAGCCTGAAAAAAGTTCATTTTAACAGAGCTTATTTACTGTCTGAAGGTTATCAGATAGGCAGATCAGATCTGGCAGTGTTCTCCAAACTGGACTGTGTTTTCAAAAATGGATATTGAACATGACATGTTCTTAAGAGAGATTCTGTTCCCTTTCCCCCAAATTCTGCACTCTCAGTATCCTAACAGGGTTCAAATCTCAATGGGAATAATTAGACCACAGGGAAACAACATAGACAATCCCTCAACTTCCTGTTGCCTTTACGGGTAAGCTGGTGATGTGCTGATGCTCACTGATACCACTTGCCCTCCTGTGTCAGTGTGAGAGTTCTTTTCTTCCCACTAAAGCCAACTCCATCAGTGCAGTTGATCCCCTCCCACTTGTGCAGAACACTGTCCCCGCAACTGCGTCTTTTTGAAGGCTTTCTCCTTCTCTGCCAGAGATTTTCCCCAACGTGTTTCCTTTGTTCCCATCCCCCTCCCCACAACTCCCCGGATGTGTCCTCTCATTTGCTCAAAGCATCATGTCCTGGTGTCAGCTTCTCATCTCCCATCTCTCCTTAACCCACTCCTGTTTGTCCCTTGCTGCTGTCACTCTCCTGAGACTCCTCTTGCCAAGGTCCCCAGAGTCTTCACACTTACAAGCCAGAGCTCTTCATCCCACTGCTCCACTCCCCAAGTCTTCCCTAATATTGTACAGGGCATTTCCATTCACCTAGTTGCTGAGACCAAATACCTACATTCAAGTTATCCCACACCAGACTGTGCACAATTCCTGCTATGTCCACCTTCATTGGTAGGCTGCTCGCTTTTGATTCTGAGCTGCCATTTGTCACTGCTCACCTGTATCACCCTCGTTGCTTCTTAACTCTCTTCTCTGCCTCTATTCTGCCAATTATGGCCTACTCTCTTCAAGCCATCAGCATAACTTCTTAAGAGCACTTCACTCCCCTGCTCAAAATCTACCTAAAGTACCCATCAAACTGGAATAAAAACTTCTTCCTGGCCAGGCGCAGTGGCTCACACTTGTAATCCCAGTACTTCGGGATGCCGAAGTAGGCGGATCACCTGAGGTCGGGAGTTCAAGACTAGCCTGACCAACATGGCGAAGCCCGGTCTCTACTTAAAAAAAAAAAAAAAAAATTAGGCGTGGTGACGGGCACTGGTAAGCCCAGGTACTCGGGAGGCTGAGGCAGGGAGAATTGCTTGAACCTGGGAGGTGGAGGTTGCAGTGAGCCAAGATTGAGCCACTGCACTACAGCCTGGGTGACATAGCAAGACTCCGCATCTCAAAAACAAAACAAAACAAAACAAAAAAAACCTTCCTGTGGCCTGCAAGCCAAAAGGCCCTATGTGACCTCAACCTCCTCCACTCTTTCCAACTCACTCCAACCACACGGGACACCTTGCTGTTTGTTCCTTGAACACACACACACACACACACAAAATGTTCCTGTCTAGTCTTGGCACTTGTCTGGCTGCCTGTAATGCCAGCACTCTTTACCTTCTTGCTTTGATCAGGTCACTGCTCAAATGTCACCTCTAGAGAGGTTCTTCCTGATCATTCTATCTAAAATAGTGAGCCCCTCCTGTCACTCTGTATCCCTTTATGCTGCTTCATCTTCTTGCTACTTACCACTACCTGAAAAAATGTCTTCCTCACTAGAACATAAGCTCATAAAGGCAAGAACTTTGTTCAATCTGCCTCTCCTCTACTCTAGCACTTGGTAGCTCACGTCTGTAATCCCAACACTCTGGCAGGATCACCTGAGGTCAGTTCTGAGACCAGCCTGGGCAACATAGCTAGACTCTAGTTCTACTAAAAAATTAAAACAAAACAAAACAAAAACAAAAACAAAAACAAAAAACAAGAATAGTGGCACAGAGTAGGCACCCAGTGAATATTTACAGAATCAGAAACTTCTTGGCAGCATTTAACACTGGGACCATAGCCTCTCTTATCTTGATCTCTGTTCTTTTATTACCTTCTCCTGGGTTTCCTCCTTCCACTCCATCTGGGAGCTTGTCCCTCAAAAATGCTAACAGTCTTTAGAGATCTATCTTCTATCCACTTTCTTTTCTTTTTTTAGAGATGGGGGTCTTGCTATGTTGCCCAAGCTGGACTCAAACTACTGCACTCAAGTGATCCTCCCACCTCAGCCTCCCCAGCAACAGGGACTACAGGTGTGCACTACCATGCCTAGCTTCTCCACTTTCATTCTGCAACCTTTCTCTGTATTTGAACAGCTACTATAACTCTTCATTCCTTACCTCTAAGCTCAGATTCATGCTCCAGTCCGGTACATTCAAATGATTATTGGACACTGTCACTGCTACCTCACAGGCACATAGAGCTTAAACCATCTAAAATGAACTCCCCTCTTCCTGTACAGCTTCCTCTCCTGTATCACCTGTCTCTCTACATCTGGAAGCACCACTCCTGCTTCTCTACAGTATGTGCTAAGTGTTCCAAATGGCTTACAGCTCCATGAAAAGGCCTAAGTCTGATCCAGTACCCACTGAGGGGCTTCTATTCAAGTGCACAGAAGCCTTCTCTCCTAAATTCCAATTGGATGCTAAAGGAGTAGGTACTGACCTAAGTATTCTTTCCCTCCAGGCCATGCAGTTGACCTTCCTCTATAGGTTTGCTGTGGGGAGGAGTAAAACAATCCTAACCACTTGAATAGGATTTATTATTCAATGATAAAATCTTACCATAGGAATTCTGTATGGAGGACATAAAGTTAAGGACACAGCTATAGCTTAGTAAGCTAATCAGCAAAGCCTTTGTCCAAGTATTGCTGGTACCACATTGCTGGGCAACATCACGAGCAGGCACAAGAGGTAGGCAGAGATGATTAAAACCCATCATCCAAGGAACAAAGAATTTAGGGCAATAGTTCTCAATCACCACACATATCGGAAATACCTGGGGAATAGAGCCTGGGACTTGGCTTAGACCTACACTGGAATCAGTATCTGGCTCTGAACCACATGGTTTTGTTACCACTCCCCATCACCCCCAGCCCTGCCACCATGCCTTGTATGTGTACACACTGAATGTGTACATGTGCATTGATGGGTAGGGGGAGAAACCAGAAATCTCCCCGGCTGCCTTTTGTAGCAACTGTTCTGTGATGAGAAAAGCAATGGAAACATGTTCAACCATAATGATGATTAAACGCGAATGTACGTATTTATGTTCCTTTCATAGGTTTCTCTTAAAGTTCTGATGATAATTTCAGGAACCTATTTTTATTTGAAAAATAGGACCATACCCTGTGTACAAGACTAATTTCTAAAGACACTTTATAAATGAGAAATATCTTACCAAAGTTACTATTGCACATTCAGCTGTTAGCTGTGCAGCACTAAAAAGAGTACGAACAAATCTGTAAATAAATTTGTGCTCAGGATCATGCTTAAAGTATTCCTCTGGAACTTTTTCTCGCTGAAAGAAGAAAAGATGCAATGTTAGTATCCACTGAAGAAAAAAATTTTAAGCTTTTTTTTTTTTTTTTTGAGACTGAGTTTCACTCTTACTGCCCAGGCTGGAGTGCAATGGCATGATCTTGGCTCACTGCAACCTCTACCCCCCGGGTTTAAGTGATTCTCCTGCCTCAGCCTCCTGAGTAGCTAGGATTACAGGCACCCGCCACCACGCCCAGCTAGTTTTTGTATTTTTAGTAGAGACGGGGTTTCAACATGTTGGTCAGGCTGGTCTCAAACTCCTGACCTCAGGCAATCCACCTGCCTTGGCCTCCCAAAGTGCTGGGATTACACGCGTGAGACACCACGCCCGGCCTAAGTACTTTTTTTTTTTTTTTTGAGACCCAGTCTTGCTCTGTCGCCCAGGCTGGAATGCAGTGGCACAATCTCGGCTCACTGCAACCTCCACCTCCCAGGTTCAAGTGATTCTCCTGCCTCAGCCTCCTGAGTAGCTGGGATTACAGGCGTGCACCAACATGTCCGGCTAATTTTTTGTATTTTTAACAGAGGCAGGGTTTCACCATGCTGGCCAGGCTGGTCTCAAACTCCTGACCTCATGATCTGCCCACCTCGGCCTCCCAAAGAGCTGGGATTACAGGGGTGAGCCACCATGCCCAGCTGGCCTAAGTACTCCTAAGACCAGCAGTGTTGACGTTTGAGCCCATGTACCCCTTAAAATAATTCTGGTTGAGTGACATGACTTTTAGTTTTTAAAATATAAACAATTGGATCTTAAAATATCATAGTGATTCAATACTCATCACCATTTATCATTAAGGAAAAATACAGGCACAACTCAGAAAATTTTTATGTTCCTTTCCACTTTCTATCCACAGAATTCTATCAAAATGTAAACTACTTGTAGGCTCGAAAGTCTTACTAATCATATGTTAGGATTCTCTTAAATACACTTTGAAAAATTTTTTTTTTTTGAGATGGAGTCTCACTGTCGCCCAGGCTGGAGTGCAGTGGAGCGATCTTGGCTCACTGCAAGCTCCGCCTTCCACGTTCACGCCATTCTCCTGCCTCAGCCTCCCAAGTAGCTGGGACTACAGGCGCCTGCCACCGTGCCCGGCTAATTTTTTGTATTTTTAGTAGAGACGGGGTTTCACTGTGTTAGCCAGGATGGTCTTGATCTCCTGACCTCGTGATCCGCCTGCCTCGGCCTCCCAAAGTGCTGAGATTACAGGCATGAGCCACCGTGCCCGGCCTGAAAAAATATCTTTAGTTTCCTGTAACCATAAGGCTCAAAGGCTTCACTGTCCAAGACAATAGTCATTAGCCACGAGCGGCTATCATATACCTGAGGAAGTGAATTTTTAAATGTTTACACCATTTTAATTGATTTAAATTTAAATTGTTTTCTAATTATCTTCATAGAGATCATGTATATTTGTTAGGACTATTTATAAATATCAGCATGAAATAAACACAACTCTATGAGAGAAAAATACTACCTCAAAAAAAGTGACACTTACTGTAAGTGGATGTGATCTCTCATCAAAAATATCCAGGGATCTATTTGCATCTCTATAAAATAAGAATATGCATTGAAGAAGTTAATTCAGGAATTGTTAATATCTGAGTAAAATGTCTGCTGGGGGTGGCGGGAGATGCCTCCTGTTTGCTTTGGTGTTTGCTTCACCAAAGCAAAGAGTTGTACAAATTCTTCTCCGGGATGCCAGCCTTCAGAGGATTTCCTGACCTCTTTTTACTCAGCATATGAGGTTCTGTACTGTGAGGTCTTTTCTACAATGACGATTCAGAATTGCCTTTAAGTATTGGCCCTCCCTAACAGGCAATGGTAATAAAGTATATTTTCACTCTTCTAACCCCTCATTGGAACTCAAGAACGTTTTACACAGCAGTAGTGGTGGGCAATAAACTCTTTAGAACTTTAATGACTGTGAATGAAATTCAGATTTCCCAGGCTTTTCCTTTCTAGTTCTCCGTATTACATTCTTGACATGTATTTGTTTAAGTAGTTTGATGAGTTAAAAACCTTATTGTCTTTTTATTTTAAAAGAGACAAGGCTTTGATAATCTTTACAAGTTTATAAAACTAATACATTGTGCTCATTTAATAAAACCAGTGGTTCTCCAAGTGTGGTCTGTGGACTTCTGGAGACCCTCTAGATCCTTTTCCAAGAGGTCCTTGAGGTCAAAACTGTTCTTTTAAGAATACTTATTCAACCTGAGAAAGCTGATTGAAAATTTAGAAATAAAAATAATTTAAAAAAAAAGAATACTAAGGTATTGCTTGCTTTTTGACTGTATGACATTTGTAATGAGTGTATAACAGCAAAAGTGGGCAAACTGCTGGCTTCTCAGCATGAATCAAGGCAGTGCTACCAAATTATACTAGAAGTTATGCTACTCTTTACTGCCTCTTGCAGTTTAAGAAAAACACCTGCTTCACTCATGAATATCCTTGCTGAAGCAGTAAAAATTAATGGTATTATTAAATCTTGACCTTTCTTTTCACTATTCTGGAGTAAGCAGAAAGTTCACATAAAGTAATTCTGCATACCGAGGTAGAGTTGTGTTAAGGAAAAGCACTTGTGATTTAATTGTGAGCTAAACAAGCCATTTTTTTTTCACAGAATATCATTTTTACTTGAAAGTACAAATGTCATTCTCAAAAATGAAAGAAGTGGCCAGGTGTGGTGGCTCATGCCTATAATCCCAGCACCTTGGGAGGCTGAGGCGGGTGGATCACTTGAGGTCAGGAGTTCGAGACCAGCCTGGCCAACAGGGTGAAACCCCATCTCTACTAATACAAAAATTAGCCAGGCATGGTGACAGGCGCCCGCAGTCCCGGCTACTCAGGAGGCTGAGGCAGGAGAATCACTTGAACCCGGAAGGCAGAGGTTACAGTGAGCGAAGATGGCACCAGTGCCCTCCAGCCTGGGCAACAGAGTGAGACTCAGTCTCAAAAGATAAATAAATAAAAAGTTTTAAAAAAATGAAGCCTGTCACTTCAAGAAAATAACACTATTTGTTGCAATGATAAAATTCAAGCTTTCAAACTAAAAATCAGGATTTGGAGAAACTTGTACCTTATTATGTGAGTTTAACAGCTTCTCAATACTTAAAGATTTTTTAATACAATTGGTGGTGATACTAACAAAAGTGAGCTTTGCCACTGTCAAGAAATGTGAACCAGGCTGGGTATGGTGGCTCACGCCTGTAATCCTAGCACTTTGGGAGGCTGAGGTGTGCGGATTGCTTGAGCTCAGGAATTCAAGACCAGCCTGGGCAACATGGTGAAACACTGTCTCTACTAAAAATACAAAAAATTAGCTGGTATGGTGGTATGTATTTGTAATCTCAGCTACTTGGGAGGTTGAGACAGGAGAATCGCTTGAACCCGGGAGGCGGAGGTTGCAGTGAGCTGAGACTGCACCACTGCACTCCAGCCTGGGTGATGGAATGAGACTCTGTCTCAAAAAAAAGAAAAAAAAAAGAAAGAAGAGATGTGAACCAATATTTTCCATATAACCAATGCATAATATTAGAAAACCAAGTAAGGGGAAATGATACATATATTGTACAAGACAGATGGGTGAGTACTAATAAAAAATTCATTGATAACACAAAATTCCACTGTAACCATTTTAAGAAACTAGCACTTGTGGAGTGTTGGGTAGTATTAAAGAATACTGGCCGGGTATGGTGGCTCATGCCTGTAATCCCAGCACT
Organism: Homo sapiens; assembly: GCF_000001405.40. NCBI lineage: Eukaryota > Metazoa > Chordata > Mammalia > Primates > Hominidae > Homo > Homo sapiens. Next base: position 207,738,482 of record NC_000002.12, on the reverse strand, counting down.
TTGGGAGGCTGAGGCGGGTGGATCACCTGAGGTCGGGAGTTCAAGACCAGCCTGGTCAACATGGCAAAACTCCATCTCTACTAAAAATACAAAAATTAGCCAGGCGTGGTGGCATGCGCCTGTAACCCCACCTACTCGGGAGCCCGAGGCAGGAGAATCGCTTGAACTTGGGAAGTGGAGGTTGCAGTGAGCCGAGATCGTGCCACTGCACTCCAGCCTGGGCAACAGACAAGACTCCGTCTCAAAAAAAACCAAATAAAAATAAACTAAAAAATAAAGAATACCCACAACCATCTGAAAGCTTTAAAAATATACCTTTTACCAACTATATATTTGCGTGAGGCTAGGTCATCTTCTTATCACTTCTTCAAAACAAATTACAGCTCACTACCAGGGTGCACTATTAGCCACGTAATACACCTACACATGTACTCACTGTATCTAAAATAAAAGTTGAAATTAAAAAAAAAAACTAATTGCAAAGACAGAGATGAGAATCCAGCTGTTTTCTGTTAAGCTGGACACTAGAGAGTTGTATATATATAAATACATGACACATTTTACTCAACTTCGTTGTTGTAGAAGAGAGTTATTTTTCATGAAAAAATATTATTTATGTTAACAATATGATTCTCAGTCAGGGGTTATATTTTTGTTGTCACAACCTGGGACAGCTGTTAAATATCCTACAATACACAGGACAGTCCCCACAACAAAGACTTATGTAGCTCAAAATATCAACAGTGCCAACGTTGAGAAACTGAAACTAAATATAGGGTTTTTTTTTTTAAATTCTCAACTTCAATTTCTAATGCAATAAATATCAATATAACCAACATAAACAAATACTCTTTGGGATCCTCAGTAATTTAATAATTGAAACCATCTTGGGGACCAGAAAAACCACAAATGATTCAGTTCAATACTGTAATAGCAATCTATAGCTTATGATGTCTATAGTTATGACCTAATACTGAACTTGATATCATGCAAAGTAATTAGCTGGAATAACAAGACAGGTTTTAAAGGAGCTCACCTGTTCTTTATGTGGTAATATATTGCTAAGGTCACACTGTGAAGGGAAAAAAAAATTATTTTTAACAACTGATTTAAACATTTGTTAGGCCTGAAGACATTTTTTAAATGAGGGAAGGGAGGAACCCTCCTAGCGGCCCTGAAATCCTCTAGTTCAGAACAGTACCATATGGGTACTTTCCCCTTGTTTTAGTTCCTTTCAGCAAAAATACACGAACCAAAATGCTAAGTAAGGCCGGGCGCAGTGGCTCACGCCTGTAATCCCAGCACTTTGGGAGGCCGAGGCAGGTGGATCACGAGGTCAGGAGATCGAGACCATCCTGGCTAACACGGTGAAACCCCGTCTCTACTAAAAATACAAAAAATTAGCCGGGCGTGGTAGCAGGCGCCTGTATTCCCAGCTACTCAGGAGGCTGAGGCAAGAGAATGGCGTGAACCCGGGAGGCAGAGCTTGCAGTGAGCCGAGATCGTGCCACTGCACTCCAGCCTGGGCGACAGAGCGAGACTCCGTCTCAAAAAAAAAAAAAAACCCAGTAATATGCTGTTAAAATACATGTTTCTGTGGACTATTATAATATATAAATAATTACATATATCCCCATTTGCTCTTCTGCCCATAGAACCTTTCATTTTATACAAGTTCTACCTATTTGTATACATGCTTAAATTTAAACTATTTGGTTTTTTGGTTATTTTTATTTTTTGCTTTTTAAGCTGTTAGGCTCTGCATTTCAGTTGATTTAATTAACTATCACCTACCCACCCATCTTTCATTATTTCCCCTTAAAGTAAATAAAAGTGTTTTATACCAAATAAAATCATTTATGATCAATTTTGCATCATTAGTAGAAAATTTATTAGTAAATAAGTGCACACAAAACCAATGATAGGTGTAGCTATCCTGAAATAAGCAGTGCTAACAATGCAGCATAAAACTACAAAGTGTAATATTAATGGCAAGTATTTCCACATTGGTTTAAGTAAAATATTAGTGAACAGACACGACTTTTCAGATATATGTTACTGTATTCCTAAATTACCCACAGATGTTGTGTATCAGGAAACAAGGAGTTGTCTTAGGTAAGTTATATGCTTCCATTTGCCCTCAGTCTCTAAACTGAGGCTCAAAATAATTGAGGGAAGGCAAATCTGAATTTTAAGTCCATACAATGTTAGCACTTTTTTAAAAAGTCTGTAACATTAGCATCTAAGATGGATACTTCTATAGTGCTTCAAACATTTTCATGTCCAAATTGATTTTAACATTACAGAATTTGAAGTTATATGCTGAAAAGGACCACGGAACCTTACATGACATTTAATCCAACACCCAGTTTACAGATATGGGAACCAAGGCTTAAAACTGACTTGCCCAAGGTCCCACCAAATAGAAGCAGTTCATCCTCCTACATTCAATTAAGCAGTGGTTCTCAAACTTTCTGCACACTGCAATCACCTGAGGAGCTTTAAAAACTGCCTAACTTCCAACTTGAGACATTCTGATTTAATTGGCATCGGGTATGACTTGGGGCATGAGGAGTGTTTTTTGTTGTCTTTTTGTGTGTTTTGTTTTGTTTTTTTTTTGAGACAGAGTCTTGCTCTGTCGCCCAGGCTGGAGTAAAATGGCACAATCTCGGCTCACTGCAACCTCCGCTTCCCGGATTCAAGCTATTCTGTCTCAGCCTCCCAAGTAGCTGGGATTACAGGTGCACGCCACCACGCTTGGCTAATTTTTTTGTATTTTACTAGAAATGGGGTTTCACCGTGTTGCCCAGGCTGGTCTCAAACTCCTGAGCTCAGGCAATCTACCCGCCTTGGCCTCCCAAAGTGCTAGGATTACAGGTGTCAGTCACCACGCCCAGCCTGAGGGTTGTTTTTAAAGTTCCCCTGGTGATGATTCCAATGTGCTGCAAATTTTGGGAATGACTGAGTTAGGGTTAAGACCAGAATCATCTGGGATGTGCTTGTCTGTGTAATTATGCCTCACATGCCTTCTCCATTTTCCTAAAAGGCTTGTGACTGCCTAGAGATCAAGGGAAGGTGGAGGTGAGATGAATTTGTTTGTGGACATATATTTTGAAAAAAGTTGCGTAAGTGATTCTGATATGGCTCACCCAACCTATGAGAATAACGCACTAGTAAGCCATGATAAACATTTTTCAAAATCTTTCCTAAAAGTCAATTTGCCATACTTGTGAAACCTTTATTTAACCAGTAGTGAAATATACCAAATGATCATTTCTAAAACTTACTGAGAACAAATTAAAACTTACTGTACTTCCAAAAGTAGACATCTAAAAATTAAGACTAAAATGGGGGGAAAAAAGCATGAAATCTATTATACTTGTTTGAGCAAGGTTAATCTTTAAAACTACTTTGAATCTTATAGAAACATCAGAATCTTTTGAATTCAAAAGAAGCCAGGGACTCTAGCCAAAGTGGAGTGGTTTTTTAACTCAAGGATTTAGGACCTTGGCTGAATACAAACATTGAATGATTACTCAGTAGGTGCCAAAGCTCAGGACTTTAGACAGAGTCAGAGTCCAGTTTGTGCTGAAACACAATTTGATTTCAACTATTGTTTTAAGTGAGAGAGGAAAGTGACATTATTATGAGTGTAAATTTGCTGCTTTTAAAGTAGAAGTTACTGACAATTGAATTAACTAAAAAAAAAAGCTAGTACATTAGAAACAAAATTAAGTTTATAAGCTAGTTATGTTTTTAGACTAAAAAGTAAAATTAGGGATAAGGACATTAATATTCTAGTGTAGCACTTCCCAACGGTGTTCTGAAAATCAACGCTCATAATCCAAGGAGATGTTAATAGTTTCCTGACAACCCCAATGGAGTTGTTTGCTGTTGTTGTTGGTTTTTAAATAAACTTGAAAAGTTCATCTTAGGGTGTTCTGAAAGTGCATCTCAGATTGTGCCCAAGAGGTGCTCATGCACGACAGGGAAAATGTAAATGCAGATACACTATGGTGCCAGTAGAGGACAAGCTGTTCCTTCTTCCAAGAGTAGTTTGCAAAGCAGTACACATTGTTTGAGACCTGTAACTCATAACAAACTAACGTTTTTCCAGAAACATCCAATAAAAAGCACCTCTCCTTCTCACATTATGTTCGACACTGTCTTAACATAAATGCATTAAATAAATAGCTACACTTTTCTGGGATTGCTTCTTCACTAACTGGCTTTCCCTTCCACCATGCAGCCTAAGATTAAAACAGGAAATTAAAATTCATATTTAGATCCTTGAAATCAATATATAGTTGACACCGATTTCTTAAACTCATTGCTGAAAAGGACAATCAAATGGCTGAAATTACCGAGGATGGCTAGGATGCTTTTAGCATAAGGGGGTCTGTCACTCAGCCCTTGGCAGCCTAGTTGTACTCACCATTTTACTGTGGTTCTAAGATTAGGCTGGCTGACTGTGCTGTCATCTAGAAATATTGTTGAGCATGAGCTATACTTTTTAGTAAGCTGCCCTGGAGATACCTGAAGGGGAAGGGAAATAGAAGAAAATGTCACAGTAAGTTAAACCTATAAAAGTGTGGTTTTTCCTTGGTTAAAATGTCAAATGATAAAGCATTAAGATATTTCTTACACTCCATGAACTGCCTGAGTGTAGTATCATGTGCAGCTCTATGGGAAACCCAGTGGAGGCTCTCCCACAGACAGTGTTTGAGGAATGGGTTATGAAATGCTGCTCTTGTGGTACCTATAATCAAACCTGGCAAGCATCTGTTATGCATTCCCTGTATAAATTAATGGGAAAAGTTTACAATAAGATTTCAGTGTTTTTTCTTAAGCAATAAAAAGCAGCTGAGATTTTCTATTATTCCTTCACTACAGTAAAATGTAATGCCTTAAATCATATTTGCATAAGAGCATTTTATTGAAGTAAATGAAAGCCTAATACTACATTTACTAAGTTACTAATATTAAACGTATTAGTTCAGGAGACAGTATGAGAAACAAGTGTTTCACAGTCAGAGGCTTCGTCTGCCAGGGCTGCTCCATCACCCTCAGTGAAAGGGCCTGTTTTCTTATGTGGAGAAGAAAAAGTATCACTTTAATATTCCAAACAAAAAAGATGACAAAAACAACTTTAGGAATTTAACTTGCACTTCATATTTAAATAAAACTGCCATTACATTATTCAAATGAGAACCTCAGAGAACACTCTCCATTTCAAAATGTTATTAATTTTATTCTATAAGTTATTTGACAGGCATCATGGCACTTGCCTGACTCACTCATGCTGCTCTGCCTGGAATACCTTGTTCTTCCTCCTTATCCCGATAAGCCTGACCCCATCTGCCTTCTGGGATCCCTTTGCCCGCAGCCACACCAAAAAACATTTCCCTTTTGGTACATTCATCCATCTAATTCACCACTTGTTACATGATACCAACTGCTTGTGGAGTAACCCCTCACAAGAAAGTAAGCTTCTCCAGGGAAGGAAGGACTCTTCCTCCTCATACCTCTGGCTGCTGAGCACAGAATTGGGGACAAATTAAGGAGTTCAACAAGTGTTTGACAAATTATTTAAATCAGTTACAATTTGGAAGGTAAATGCTACTACACACAAATTAGCAGAATTTATCTGCATTTGTATCAAGGAGGTGACTATGAACTTTTTGAGCCCTCTAGAAAATAAACCATCTTTAAAACACTTTAGAAGTATCCATTTATTTGGGAAGAGTGCAACAGTCAAATACTGAAACAGCCTGAACTATGTTAAGAAGGTCAGTAACCAAATCCCAGTCATTGAATAGCTGAAAGTAACAGTAGCATTTTTTTTTAAAACCACAGAATACTAATAATTTTAACACTTAAAAAAAAAACTAATTCAGATGAGCCTTCCTTCTTCCTATTAATATGATAGTTTTTACCATGTTGTCACACTCTCCCATCAGTATCCCACACATATACATGAAAGACAGGGCAGGGAGAAGGTCTAGTCATTGCTTTTAAAAATGCATGCATTAAAAAATCGCCAGTAGCCAATAATCAGAAATATCCATACAGTGTAACAGCATTTTGTTTCAGATGTTTTTACTGCAGTCACTTAATTCTTACTAACAAAAAGTCCCAGATATTCTATTTTTAAAAAGTATTACTATTTGAAGGACCAAATTCTCCTTCAACCTAGAAATGTTTTCAACTATATCTAAACTCATGTTTCTTAAGCTATTATATTTAATGTATATAGTTTACATTAACTGTGTATGTGTGCTAATGTATATACTTTTATTGTCTCAAGAAACACATACAGTATAAAAAATAAAAACTGACTCATTCAAATACATTCATTCAAAGTGGAAGGTGGGGCTGGGCACGGTGGCTCACACCTGTAATTCCAGCACTTTGGAAGGCCAAGGCGGGTGGATCACCTGAGGTCAGGAGTTCGAGACCAGCCAGGCCAACATGGAGAAACCCTATCTCTACTAAAAATACAAAAATTAGCCAAGCGTGGTGGTGGGCTCCCATAATCCCAACTACTCGGGAGGCCGAGGCAAGAGAATCACTTGAACCTGGGAGGCGGAGGTTGTAGTGAGCCAAGATTGCACCACTGCACTCCAGCCTGGGTGACAGAGCGAGACTTGGTCTCAAAAAAAAAAAAAAAAAAAAAGAAGAAACCTCTCTGCTAATCAATATATAGCATGAGACACACCACTAACTTTCAACTATCCAAATTTTTTGTTATCAAGAGTATCACTATATCTCTTGAGACTAGGGGGTGGCAGAATTAAGCTTCTGAGCAAAGCAATTATAGCTGGCAACAGGTAATTCCCCCATCATGTTGCTGGAAAACTCAACAATTTCCTTTATTTTAGGCTAAAGCCTTACCAAAGCTGACTTACAACCTCAACAAACTCTATTGACAAACATAATAATATAAAATATAAATACTTAAAAAAAATCCAAACAACAAAACACTACTGAAAGTTCACAGATGTCATTTCAGGTAGTCACAAAATAGGGACAAAGAATATATCATTCATCTTCATTTAGTCTGCACAAATGACAATCTTTAACAAGAAAGGGAAGGGGTACTGAGTAGACTTAAGGGAGAATAGCAAAGATAGAAAATAATCATACTTAGTAATCTACTGAGTCACAACTGAAACCTTAAAGGTAAAGTACCTGTTGAACTCCTATGCCTATCCACTGACTTTTCCCATTGTGCCTACTGCCTCTAATTTTAACCCATTTAAAATAAGAGGTAAATGCTACTACAGAATCCGTCTCAAAAAAAAAAAAGAATTAATGACTTTTAATTAACTTAAAAATTTCTGACATTTTGTGCATTAATGAAACACCTCCATCTATGTTGCACAGTAATGGGGCAATATAGCAGGATGCAGAGTTTGAATACAATTCCTAAGGCCTTACTAGAAGAGTATAATATGCTTATTATAACTAAAAAATGTCTGGATTAGTATCATTATGTTGAATTTAAACTTAGATTTACACTTTAAATAAAGGTTCTAAATTTGGGTTAAACATGGCAGATTGACCATAAATTTATTTCCTTGCCCTCCTGAAATTTCATTAGAATTAAAGACATAAAATAAAGGTTATACACAGGAGCAGGCAACAGGATTGACAGCAGATAATATTTCCATTTGTTTTATTTTATTTTTGAGACAGAGTTTATAAATTTATTTATTTATTTTTTAAACAGAGTCTTGCTCTGTTGCCCAGGCTGGAGTGCAGTGGTGCAATCTTGGCTCACTGCAGCTTCCACCTCCCAGGTTCAAGCAATTCTCCTGCCTCAGCCTCCCGAGCAGCTGGGATTACAGGTGTGCACCACCACACCCGGCTAATTTTTATATTTTTAGTAGAAACGGAGTTTCAACATGTTGGCAAGGCTGGTCTGGAACTCCTGACCTCAAGTGATCCTCCCGCCTCAGCCTCCCAAAGTGCTGAGATTACAGGCGTGAGCCACCGCACCCGGCCACAGCAGATGACTTTTAATAAATCTTGAAAGATGAAAAAGACAAAGGAGTGGTAACTGATATGGAAGCACAACTTTAGTGCCTACAGAGAGTGACTGGAACAGGATCAAGTTAGTTTGTCTTACAGAACCCAAGGCAGACTTCAAACTCAGAGGCACATGGCACCTTGGAAGGTAGAGTGAAACACAAAACAAAAGCCAGCAAGGTCGGCTGAAAATATGTAGTTGGAGTCCCAGGTCCACCTGTCCTCCCATCTTATAAGGAATATAGAAGGTTCTGGGCTCAGAAATAGTAGGACTGAAATCTGGGAAATGGGAAAAAAAACTACACACTGAGAAGTGGAACTCCACCTCCCTTTTCCAACTCTGCTTCTGGAAAATGAGCAGCCATGCTTGTACTCCCCAGGTAGAAAATTGGGAGATTCTTCTCTGAAGAAACTGAACAGTCTCAGAAAAGACGCATCCAGCAGGGCACAGTGACTCACACCTGTAATCCCAGCACTTTGGGAGGCTGAGGTGGGTGAACTTGAGGCCAGGAGCTCGAGACCAGCTTGGCTAATACGGCAAAACCCTGTCTCTACTAAAAAAAAAAAAATTAGCCAGGCGTGGTGGCACACACCTGTAATCTCAGCCACTCAAGAGACCGAGGCACAAGAATCACTTGAACTCGGGAGGAAGAGGTTGCATCTTGGCAGAGGGCGCTGAGATCACGCCACTGCACTCCAGTATGGATGACAGAATGAGACTCTCTCAGAAAGAAAAGCAAAGGAAAGGATAGGACAGGAGAAAGGAAAGGGGAAAGGAAGGAGGAAAGGAAAGGAAAGGAGATAAAAAAGAAGAGAGAAAAGACAAGACAAGACCCACCAGATAACAGACTGAGGTCTTCTAAATTAAAGGCTAGCTTGGCCTCCAATGTCCTTGCAGTAAGAATCATCAGTTAACAAAAGTCCTGCTTCCAATTAGAGAAAGCCAGAGACTATCACACGTGAGGGAAGCCTCCAACAAGAGAGAGCAAAACAATAGGAAAAAGGAATGCATGGGAGTGGTGAAAATTCAGGAGCAAATGAAAACTTAAAAAAATTCTTAAAATACCTTCAAAAAGATGAAAGATTCAATAGAATGGTTAGAGCATAAAGTAAAAGAATGCCCAAGAAGTAGAACAAAAGACTAACTAGAAAATGGGAGAGTGCGGGGGGGTGGGGGGGGTGGGGTGGGGGCGGGGGGGGGCGGAGACAAGTAAAGATCAATGCAGAAACACTGGTCTAATAAGCTCAGCATCTGAATAGTAAGAATATCAGGAAAAAGAAGGAACAAAGAAAACAAAATTCTCTAGAAGACATAGTCTACAGACTTATTGGTCCCAATAAAAAGAAAAGGTCTAGGCCGGGTGCGGTGGCTCATGCCTGTAATCCCAACACTTTGGGACGCCGAGGCGGGCAGATCACAAGGTCAGGAGATCAAGACCATCCTGGCCAACATGGTAAAATCCCTTCTTTACTAAAAATACAAAAAAATTAGTCAGGCTTGGTGGCACGCCCCTGTAGTCCCAGCTACTTGGGAGGCTAAGGCAGGAGAATTGCTTGAACTTGGGAGGTGGGGATTGCAGTGAGCTGAGATCACGCCACTGCACTCAAGCCTGGCAACAGAGCAAGACTCCGTCTCAAAAAAAAGGAAAAAAGAAAAGGTCCATAGCAAGCCATATTAAGCAATTTCAGGATCTCAGGGATACAGAAGGCACTAAAAAGCTTCCGGAGACATGTAAAAACTGGTTACATGAACTGTATCACACAATGGCAACAGATTCAAGAATACTATAATGAGAACATAATAGAGAAATGTCTTCAGAACTATGAAATTTAGAGTGAACCTAGCATTTTATACTCTTATGAAATAGGAAGCTTTGGCTAGGTGCAGTGGCTCACACCTGTAACCCCAACACTTTGAAAGGCTGATGCAGGTGGATGGCTTGAGGCCAGGAGTTTGAGACCAGCCTGAGCAACAGGGCAAAACCCCATCTCTATGAAAAATACAAAAATTAGCTGGACATAGTGGCACATGCCTGTAGTCCCAGTTACTCGGAAGGCTGAGATGGGAGGATCACTTGAGCCCAGTAGGTTAAGGATGCAGTAAGCCAAGACCACACCACTGCCCTCCAGCTTGGGCAACAGAGTGAGACCCTGTCTCAAAAAAGAGAAAAAAAGAAAAAAAAAAAAAAAGGCCAGGTGCAGTGGCTCATGCCTGTAATCCCCACTTTGGGAGGCCAAGGCGGGCAGATCACCTGAGGTCAGGAGTTCGAGACCAGCCTGGCCAACATGGTGAAACCCCGTCTCTATTAAAAATACAAAAATTAGCTGGGCGTGGTGGCAGGCGCCTGTAATACCAGCTACTTGGGAGGCTGACACAGGAGAATCGCTTGAACCCGGGAGGCAGAGGTTGCAGTGAGCTGAGATCGCACCACTGCACTCCAGCCTGGGGGACAAGAGCAAGACTTTGTCTCAAAAAAAAAAAAAAAAGAGAGAGAGAGAAAGAAATAGGGGAGGTTTTCAGACAGGCTAGATCTCTAAATATGTCTGTCTATGGGCCCTTTCCCAGGAAAATGTACTCCGGTAAAACTAGGAAGGATAACAAGATAGAGGGAAACACAGAATCTAGGATTTAGGGGACCCAACACAAAAGGACAGTTATGTGAGATCCCAGATGACTTCAGAGAGATATCCCAGGAAAACAGGCACAGAACAGTCTTAGGAAAAACCCGTCTATATTTGAAGAGGATGACAAAAGGCTGAGGAAAGCTGTCTCCAAGAGAAAAATGGAACAGATGTGTTTTAGTAGATGGAAAACATTTTTGATAGGCATGTGGCAAATGCTACAACATTTGGGGGGAAAAATAGCTGTTAGAAAACAGCCAAATGAATATAGTCAGGAAATTAATTCCACACACACAAAAAAAAAGACATGAAAGCAAGGAGACCAGCCAAGGGTTACTACTGCATTTGGCTGTGTGAGCTAGTGGAGGCTAGGAAGAGACGTGCAGACACGCCCAGATTTCAGAAATATTTAAGAGAAACAAAGGATGTACAAGGAGAAGACAGTGAGAATAATATATGACTCAGCAGTGAATAATATCTGTATAATCATAACAATGTAAACATCAATTACTGATTTAATTAAAAATGTGATATATATGGGAGAAATAGAGGGAAGAAAATAAGGTCACGGTGGAGTGAGGAAGCTAAGTTTTCACTTGTTATGACAGGAAGTCAACATATAGTGCTAAAAATGAACTTAGCTATTATAATTTTGTTACTTGATTTTTAAAAAGATTAAAAACTTTAGGCAAAAATATTTAAGGCAGATATTTATACCACAACCAAACTATTGAAATTTAACTTAAATGTCAGAAACCCTTAACAATTGGGTACACTAAGTCAAAGACTTTCCTGCATAAATCTGATTCTCAGCAAAATAGAAATGATTTAGAAAATCCACAAAAAGAGGCTCATACTAACAGTATTGGGTCCCCATTATATTTTTATGGAATCATGACAGACATACTTTTAATTCAACTGTTAATTTCTTAGCTTTCCAACTGTTTACTTACATGGTTCAAATGGTTGCTCTTCCTCTTTTCTCGCACTAAGAATAAAAAAAATTAGCTGATCAATTCTGATACAAATGCCACAGTATAAAAGTAGTTGCTAATCATCTGATTAACAATATACAAAATGAGATAAAATTCCATTTAAAAAATAATTTCCAACAAAATTCATCATTTAAATCATCTGGCAAGATGAATCCCATAAAATAAAATCTAAAAACTTAGTTTTACTTTTTGAACTGACAGATATTCTATTACATGGAAATGAAAGAATCCCTACATAAAAAAGAAAGGGGCAAAACAAATTATGCTAAATGAGAAATTTAGCTAATAGGTTTCCCTGTTGCATATCTGAACCATCATCCAGCAGTATTTTTTAATTCTACATTTACAGGTAGCTTACTTTAATTACCAAGATCTAACACCTGACAGCTCTAAGAACCAGTTTCTGGCTAGGTGCCAATCTCTAGCTGCACCACAATCACTGCAAACATCCTGAACCACTTACTGGTCATCTACTAGTATGTTACTGAAAAAATAAACGGGTCTTTACACAAGTGGAAAGTAAACTTCCTTAAATTTAAATGTTAAAATGAATGTTAACCTAATTGAACATGGTATATTCAGCACATAAAATCATTTTAACAAAGGCCAGAAGAATAAAAGCTCCAAGAGGGACTTGGACCACGCTTTGTTTCCTATACTGCCTCTTCCTTTGATGCTAGACAAGTATCACAAGCACACACTCCTTACCACTGAAGAAAGAGGAGCATGGGATAGCTCTTCTTTTACTGCTTCCACACTCTGTCTGTGTGAGAAGCCTATGGCTCTGAAAGAAACTGAGAAATACAACTATCCTAACCAGAAATGACCAGCTCAAGACAAAGTCCACACGAGCTTCGAAAATGCTGCTTACAACTCCCCTGCTTTGTGTTGTGCTCCATTACTTCAAGTATTATAGAACCCCCACTTCTTGTATTCTTGCTGTTGAAATCAAATGAAAAACCTGGTTGTATATAGCTTTTTAGCAAATAAATTAGGATTTAACATAATTATAAGGAAGATAAACAGGAGTACAGAAAAATACAACAGTTCTGATTCTCATCCTAAAACAAGCAGGACAAGGAAAATGTACGTAAGTTTCACTTGCTGAGGCTAACCTTCTGGGAAACACCATGGGGCATGTTTATATTTACACTACATTAGGATGGAAAAGTTAATAGCTTAAAAGTTCTGAGTAGCATAAATTTGAATGTGATAGGCTCATGTGGTTAGAGCATTGTATAAAAGGAAGCCAAAATCACAGATTCAATCCCTGTATACGAACTGATTTTTTGTTGTTGTTCAAATGAAACCAAGCTGCAGCTTAAATCCTATCATTCATCTTTAAAATGTACTCTTTTGGAGCAAGGGAAAGAGGTCAAAGAAGTATGGAGAAATATGCATAAATCCATGATACTGGCCAGATGGCTCACGCCTGTAATCCCAGCACTTTGGGAGGCTGAGGAGGGCAGATCACGAGGTCAGGAGTTTGAGACCAGCCTGGCCAACATGGTGAAACCCCATCTCTACTAAAAATACAAAAATTAGCCGGACATGGTGGCTCATGCCTGTAGTCCTAGCTACTTGGGAGGCTGAGGCAGGAGAATTGCTTGAACGTGGGAGATGGAGGCTGCAGTGAGCTGAGGCCACATCATTGCACTCCAGCATGGGCAATAAAGGCACTCCAGCCTCTCAAAAAAAAAAAAAAAAATCCATGTTACTAAATCATGTGGCCAATTAATTGTGTTATAAAAAGGTGGCAAAACCTGTAAATAGGTCTACATGTTATTACTAAACAATCACAACTAAAGGAAAGTATATCACATATTAAAATCAGTGAACATATGAAAAGAAAATTTTAAACTAATACATCAGTTCTTCTAAATACCTTCTATAATACATCCAATAAAATAGAAACAGTTTTCAGTCTTTTCCTTGGAAGGAAAAAACAGTATTGTCTTACCATCCGTTTGAGATTTGCTCAGGAAAATTGTGCTTGCCCTTGGATGGTCAGAAGGGTTTGACTCCAAAGCTAAATCTATAGAAGAGGAGGAAAAAGACGTGACACTTTAGGTGAGTAGAAAAGATGATTTCTGAAATAGATACACATCCATTTTAATCACTTTTAACAGTCTTCAGAGAAGTTTTTAGTAATAAATATAAAGGAAATAAAGACAATACAAAAATACTCCTGGGGAATGCAAAATTGTAGAATCTCTCCACACACGTGGAACAAAAACCAGGCTGTGTCAGAGACTTTTAATAAAAAATCTGTGCCTAAATAATCTGGTACAAATGTTAGATGAATCATACGCATGTCCTCCTCCTTCAACTTATCAAATAGAAATATAACCACACTCTCCTCTCTACTGCTATTACTAGCACATTTCAAGAACAATCTCAAGTAGCAAGTGATGCTGTGGCCAGTTACTGTCAGGCACCAGCTCAATACATCAAATATGGTAAAACAAAGAGTTGTTTTTGGCAAATGTTCTTTAGACAATTAAACGGCTAATTCTAACTCCATTCAACAAGTAAACTAATTTAGTTAGCTGTGGTTTTTTGGGGGGCCATTCATCATGGCAGATTTAAGAGGACTGAATGGAAGTTCTGTGTTCTAACATACAGAAACATGTTAGAAAATGATTAACGTTTGCCCTCAATTTCTCACTTCTTCCTTCTAACAGCATGGTTAATTTGGTGTTTCATCAAGAGTACGTTTTAAAGCAGATCTTAGGGCTGTTTCTAAAAAATTTTGCCCCTATCTATGTCAAGATAAACCTGCCTGTAGTCCACCTTGCACCAAAGTTGGATAATATATTTAGGCAAGACTACAAAACAGACTCTTGAATTTTCATGAAACAAACTTTGCCATAATATGGGATAATAAAAATTGTCACGAGGGGAAAAAATAAAAATCTATGATATTCTTCAGCAAGGTCTTTTTTTTTTTTTTTTTTTTTGAGATGGAGTCTCACTCTATTGCCCAGGCTGGAGTGCAGTGGCACGGTCTCAGCTCACTGCAACCTCTGCCTCCAGGATTCAAGCAATTCTCCTGCCTCAGTATCCCAAATAGCTGGGATTACAGGTGCCTGCCACCACGCCGGCTAATTTTTGTATTTTTAGTAGAGACGGGGTTTTACCATGTTGGCCAGGCTCGTCTCAAACTCCTGACCCCAGGTGATCCACCCACCTCAGCCTCCCAAGGTGCTGGGATTATAGAGGTGAGTCACCGCGCCCAGCCCAGCAAGGTCCATTTCAAGCCACTTATCTTAACCAATCTTGTAAGAAACTGGGCCAAGATCCAGAGTAACAGTTAAGGCGATATTTCCCAAAACTACATATTAATATAATTGCTCTACTTTTAAAAAAGCGATTTAGTGGTCAAATGACAATATACTCTATCCCTGGCTCTTACAAAATCAAAACGCACATTGATATACTAAAAACTAATCAGTCTAGTAGTGATTACTGTCTAACTCAGCATTTCACAAATTTATCTACCTAGAATCCTTTTCTCTCTTCCAAGTAATTTGGTTAGAATCTTATATGAACATAATTTTGGGACTTCCTGGTTAAAATGAATTATGAATCATCCATTTTAATAGTACTGCCAGATCACTAAAAACTTACATACCTAAACCAACTGCTTTGTTCTCCATGGAAAGTCCTTCACTCAACTTTTTTAAACTGCTTTTAGAGGAAACTATTCTTATGTAAAAGACCCACACAAAAATTATGTTTGAAGTTTTTCCACATCTTGAAAAGATGACGTGACAATTTTAAGCTATTTGGAAAAATAAAATCATTTGTGCACAAAATGACAGGCAGAGACTTTCACAGCTGCCTCTACCTAAAGCTCCTTTTTTTTTTTTTCCGAGAGAAGAGTCTCACTCTTTCGCCCAGGCTGGAGTGCTGTGGTGCAATCTTGGCTCACTGCAACCTCCACCTCCCGGGTTCAAGTGATTCTCCTGCCTCAGCCTCCCAACTAGCTGGGACTACAGGCACGCATCACCATGCCCGGCTAATTTTTGTATTTTTAGTAGGGACTGGGTTTCACCATGCTGGCCAGGCTGGTCTCAAACTCCTGACCTTGTGATCTGCCCCCCTCGGCCTCCCAAAGTTCTGGGATTACAGGCGTGAGCCACCACACCCAGCCTCTACCTAAAGCTTCTAAAAGGATTCATGACTACTTCCTTTCAAAAAGAAAGCAAATATACTACCATTTGAATCTAAAAAATAACTAATGTTTACAGAAGAAGCCATATTATGAATCAGTACCTATGTCATGATAAAGTTTAATTAGGAATTTTCAATGAAGTCCAGGAAAATTAAGTACCAAAATCAAAGAGGAGCAGGCTTCACACACACACCTCCCCCGCCCCAAATCAAGATGTGCTACTATGTATTTAAATATAAGAAAACCAAGATGTGCTACTGTGTAAATATAAGAAATATCCAAGGCGGCTGGGCATGGTGGCTCATGCCTGTAATCCCAATACTTTGGGAGGCTGAGGCTGGCAGATCATGAGGTCAGGAGTTCGAGACCAGCCTGACCAACCCAGTGAAACCCCATCTCTACTAAAAATACAAAAAAATCAGCCAGGCGTGATGGCGTGCACCTCTAGTCCCAGCTACTCGGGAGGCTGAAGCAGAAGAATCGCTTGAACCCAGGAGGCAGAGGTTGCAGTGAACCAAGATCACACCACTGCCCCCCAGCCTGGTCAACAGAGCAAGACTACATCTCAAAAAAAAAAAAAAAAATCCAAGGCAACTAGGATAACAGAAATGATAAGATATAGAGAAAAAAGCCAAATAAGCCCAAGTAACAAGCTGGCACTCCCTCAACTCAGGGGTTTTAGGGTGGGCATGTGACTTACAGCTGGCCAATCAATTACATTTCTCTTGGGACTTCCCAAGAACCAAAGGAGAAAGGCAGGGCTGTACTCTAGCACTGCTAGCCAGCCAGGAGCTGCCACCGAGGCTGAGGCAGGAGAATTGCTTGAGCTCAGGAGGCAGAGGTTGCAGTGAGCCGAGATGGCGCCACTGCACTCCAGCCTGGCAACAGAGCAAGACTCTGTCTCAAAACAAAAAAAAAAAAAACAAAAAACTCCTAAGAATGTTTGAAACTAGAAGAAATAGTTTTTGATATCATGGTTAGGGGTTATGTATAAAATTGTATTTTAAGACCCACCAGTTTTGTATTATCAATTTAAATTGCAACTTAATTCGAAAGCATGATAGTATGATGGGGGGCAAGTAAGACAAAAAAAAATTAAACTCAGGTCTTAATATAAACACCCCCCTCAGGGGAAGAAATCTGTAAGATCCACTGACATTGAACACTGCTTCTCCTTGAATCTATCAGCCATCTCAATTTCACAGATGTTAATTAAAAATGTAAAAATATGGAACTTAGAATAAATGAAATGCATTATTACTAAAGGCTAAAAGTGTTAAAATTATGCAATTGTAAACTGTAAAGAAATTATTTTTCTTGTCAAAATATTAAAGGGAGAGGGCAGCAACCAAGAAAGTAACTGACAGAAGCAGCATATTTCAGAGAAAGAGATTGAGTTCAACATATTGATTTCAATATATCCCAATTAAACAGGAGACATTGGCAGTTTCTGGGCCAACTGCTGGGCATCTGTTTATTTAAAGGCTTACTGCATTTACTGACCTGCTCTACCATACTGCACACTGTATTAGTCTTACGGTCCATAACACAAACATTTCAAACCTCTCAACTATGATGTAAACGCTGAGATTTTATCTAAGTTCACACGTTCCACCCATCAGGTAAGTCTTACCTGATGGGTCTTGAGCTGCCCTGCCTCATCTGAGGTCACACAGTACCAGCCAAGCTCCAGTCTCATGCTCACTCATGCCTTGCTTTTGCTTTCCTAGCTTCTGACAATCCTAAATCTGGTTTCCGAAACACTGCTCTACCTCCTTCTATGTCAGTGTTCAGTCTTGCTTTAACTTACCTTCACGCCTCAATCTATGTTTTAGTGATCGTGACTGAGCTGTGACATTTCATATGCTATAGTATACCTTTCTCCCTTTGTGTATTTCTTAATAGCACTTAACTCCTTTTTTAGACTTTTAAGAGTATTTCTGGGTGGAGTGCAGTGACTCACACCTGTAATCCCAGCACTCTGGGAGGCTGAGGCAGAAGGATCACTTGAGAACAGTTCAAGACCAGCCTGGGCAACATAACATAGTGAGACCCCCATCTCTACAAAAATTTTTTAAAAGATTAGTTGGGTGTGGAGGCACATGCCTGTAGTTCCAGCTATTTGGGAGGCTGAAGTGGCAGGATAACTTGAGCCCAGGGATTTGAGGTTACAGTGAGCTCTAATGGCACTACTGTGCTCCAGCCTGGGCGACAGGCAGAGTTGTGACCCTGTCTCATACAGAGAAAAGAAAAAAAAAAAAAAAGTCTGGGTTACAAGTACCTCCATTTCATTTTTCATTATCCAATGTTATTATTTTAACTCTAAAGCTTAATTAACTGAAAAAAAGGTGGAAAAAAGGCAGTATCCAAAGAAGCCCATGAGTCATTCTATAAATTCTAATCCTATATGCCATATATCTGAAATTTACATTCTTGATCTACCAAGCCTTTTTTTTTTTTTTTTTTTTTTGAGACGGAGTCTCACTCTACCACCCAGGCTGGAGTGCAGTGGCATGATCTCGGCTCACTGCAACCTCTGCCTCCTGAGTTGAAGCGATTTTTCTGCTTCAGCCTCCCAGGCAGCTGGGACTACAGGCATGTGCCACCACACCCAACTAATTTTTGTATTTTTATTAGAGATGGGGTTTCACCATGTTGGCCAGGATGGTCTCCATCTCCTGACCTCGTGATCCACCCACCTCAGCCTCCCAAAGTGCTGTAGTACAGGCATGAGCCACCACCACACCTGACCATACCAAGTCTTATCTTTTTAAACCTTGGAAAACTCTTAGTCCCAGCTACTTGGGAGGCTGAGGCAAGAGGATCACTTGAGCCCAGGAAGTGGAGGCTGCAGTGAGCTATGATCACACCACTGCACTCCAGCCTCGGCAACAGAGAAAGACCATCTCAAAAACAAAAAACAAATTAAAAAACCTTGGCAAACTCAATTTACACCTCTCAAAGCCTGTCTTCTCATATGTAAAACAAGTATAATTCTTATACTACCTAACTCAAAATATAGTGAGAATAAAATGAAATGCAAGAGCAATTGCTATAAGCCGGGCGCAGTAGCTCACACCTGTAATCCCAGCATTTTGGGAGGCTGAGGTGGGCAGATCACCTGAGGTCAGGAATTCAAGACCAGCCTGGCCAAGATGGCGAAACCCCTTCTCTACTAAAAATATAAAAATTAGCTGGGCGTGGTGGCACATGCCTGTAGTCCCAGCTACTCAGGAGGCTGAGGCATTAGAACTGCTGGAACCCAGGAGGTGGAGGTTGCAGTGAGCTGAGCTCGTGCCACTGTACTCCAGCCTGGGCAACAGAACTAGACTCCATCTCAAAAAAAAAAAAAAAAGCAATTGCTATATACCACATAATGCACAATAAATTATAAAACAAAGTTTTCACAAATTAAAAGCAAAAGTGAACAGTTAGCATTTATTGGAAAGCCCATACCAAAATAACATCTTCAGCAAATATGCACTTTGGCTACCTCTGAAATTAAGGGAAAAACAGTCACACACCACCACCAAGAATTCCTTTCAGTGTTGTTGTTTTAAATAAGCAAATACATATTATTTCATACATTACTGTACATTCTCCTCCTTGTTTTTTTTCATGTAACATATCCTGGATATCTGGGTATCACTCCATAGCAGTAAAGAGAGTTTTTTTTTTTTTTAACAGCTCCATAATTCTCCTCTGTGTGGATATAACAGTTTATTTTACCAATTTCTTACTAGACATATTATTTCCAATATTTAGCTATTGAAAATAATGCAACAAAACCTTATGCACATGTTATTTCATATTTATGGGGTATGCCTTCAGGATAAATTCCTTGAAGTAGGATTTCTGGATTAAATGCATTTGCAATGTTTGAGATTATGCCAAATTCCTCTTCAGGGAGTCAAACCACCTTACATTTTAACCAGCAATACACGAATGCAACTCTTCGCAGCCACACCAAAGAATGTATTGTCAAGTTTTTGGATCTTCTCCCAACAGAAGAGAAATCACAGCACAGTTTTCGTTTGTATTTCTCTTAAGTGTGAAGCTGTGTTTAAGGATCATCTGCATTTATTTTTCTGTGACTTGTCTATTCATCACTTTGCTACCTACTTTTACAGCTAGTCTGATCTTTTTTTTTTTTTGAGACAGTCTCACTGTCACCCAGGCTGGAGGGCAGTGGAGCAATCACAGCTCAATGCAGCCTTGACTTCCTGGGCTCAGGAGATTCTCCTGCCTCAGCTTCTTGAGTAGCTGGGACTATGGGTGTGTGCCACCACACCTGGCTAATTTACTTTTTGTAGAGGCAGGGTCTCAGCACGTTGTCCAGGCTAGTCCCAGCCCACTCCTGGGCTCAAGCAATCCTCCTGCCTCTGCTTCCCAAACTGCTGGGATTATAGGCATGAGCCACCGTCTGATCTTTTTCTTAAACAATTAAAAATATTGGCCGGGCATGGTGGCTCACACCTGTAATCCCAGCACCTTGGGAGGCCAGGGTGGGTGGATCACGAGGTTGGGAGATCGAGACCATCCTGGCTAACACGGAGAAACCCCATCTCTATTAAAAATACAAAAAATGAGCCGGGTGTGGTGGCACGTGCTTGTAGCCCCAGCTACTCGGGAGGCTGAGGCAGGAGAATCGCTTGAACCCAGGAGGCGGAGGTTGCAGTGAGCCAAGATTGAGCCACTGTACTTCAACCTGGGCGACACAGTGAAGATTCCATCTCAAAAAAAAAAAAAAAGAATTAAAAATATTTCCCAGGCTATAATCCTCCAATGGTTTCCTATCACAACTAAAGTCTATATTCTTTGCCAAGGCCCACTATACACACATGGCCTTAACCCACCATAGTCCTGGCATCCTTTTCACTCTTCCGCAGCCACCCTGTGTCTTTCTGTCCTTGGCCAAAAACAAGTTTGCTCCCATTCAAGGAACTCCAAAGTAACTGTCTGTGTGGACCCCTGGCTCTCACCAACCATCCTCACAAGGCTCCCTTCTCACTTTAGGACTGCTCACAGGTCACGTAAGGAGAGCAGCCATCTTTCATCCCCACAACCCCCATGTAACTGTCCTCCTCCCCAATCCATGACCCTATTTTACTTTTCTCCCTAGCACCTCACCACCTAACATTCTTGATTATTCATGTATTATCTATCCCTAGCTCCCTCCAGAATGTAAGGATCAGAGTTAGGATGAGGTTCTGTCTTGTATACCACTGTCTGCCCTAAATCTGGAACACAGCCTGGCCACCTAAAGGTACTCAATAAACATCTGTTTCAGCACACCCAAAACTAGTCAAGTTTCTCCCAGTTTTCCCACATCTTTTAATATTTCTTCTAACATTCTCTCTTGATTTGTCATCTAATCAAATCTTTTAAAGTGGTAAGCATCAAATCTTTTAAAGTGGTAGCTATTCAGAATTAAAGATGCAAGATAGGCTACCAAGAAACAAAAAATATTAAATGATGAATTCTAAAGTCCAGGGAAAAGTCAATGCTAACTCCAATTTGACATAAGAACTTTTTTTTTTTTTTTTTTTGAGATGGAGTCTCGCTCCGTCACCCAGGCTGGAGTGCAGTGGCGTGATCTCGGCTCACTGCAATCTCTGCCTCCTGGGTTCACACCATTCTCCTGCCTCAGCCTCCCGAGTAGCTGGGACTACAGGCGCCCGCCACCACGCCCGGCTAATTTTTTGTATTTTTCGTAGAGACGGGGTTTCACCGTGTTAGCCAGGATGGTCTCGATCTCCTGACCTCGTGATCCACCCGCCTCGGCCTCCCAAAGTGCTGGGATTACAGGCGTGAGCCACCACACCTGGCCCATAAGAACATTTAATACTAAAATATCTTAACTACAAAATGACTCAACCCATAGATTTAACTGAATTCTACAGGGAGGTACAAGGCATCAGTCATCAAAATATGTTTTTATCGGTACCCTTGAAATCAAATGTAATGAGACTGTGTATGATGTTACTAGAAAAGATGCCCAATCATAAAGGATAGGTAAATAAATGATACTCCAACCATCTGATGGTACATTAAGCAGTTACTAGAAGGCATGCGATAGAGCAGGGTGTCCTGGCATGGAAAGATATCTTGGAGCACTCTCTGGATGTCAAGCAGTGATTCAGGAATTTATGACATTATTTCACTGCTGTAAGTTATGAAGCAGCTCATATAGAATGATCTCATTTTTCTAAAATAAAATGTTATATTCATATGCATACCATAATCAATGACTTTTCTGTATTCTCTATGTCTTTTACATCAAACATATTATTCAAAAAAGCAAAAAAAAAAAAAAAAGAGAGGGCTTAAAATAGCTACTGGAAAGAGGAAAGATCTGTTGCTCAGAGGTTTTTCCACATTACATTGCCAATTCTTTCCCTACCTTCACCCATCAGTGGAAAAGAATAGAAAGAGTCACTTCAGAGAGCGCCTTTAGCCAGCAAATTAGCAAAGCTCCTAACGTCAGAACATAAAATGCTCCATGAAAAGTCAAGAGTACTAATAAAATCGGACAATAAGATCTTAGTATCTTATTTTGTGTTACTGATACTACCGTCAGTTATGTTAGACATACCGTTAAATAAAGGCAAGGTAGTAGAAAATACTTTGAGTCTATCTGAAATGTTTACTAGGTTCTTAGGAGCATCTCTTAGCTTGACGAGACCAGGCGTGGTGGCTCACACCTGTAATCCCAGCACTTTGGGAGGTTGAGACAGGTGGATCACCTGAGGTCAGGAGTTCCAGACCAGCCTGGCCAACATGGTGAAACCATCTCTACTAAAAACACAAAAAATTAGCTGGGCGTGGTGGCACACACCTGTAATCCCAGCTACTCAGGAGGCTGAAGCAGGAGAACTGCTTGAACTCTGGGCGCAGAGGTTACAGTGAGCCGAGATCGCGCCATTCCACTCCAGCCTGAGCAACAAGAGCGAAACTCCATCTCAAAAAAAAAAAAAAGGCCAGGCGCGGTGGCTCACACCTATGATCCCAGCACTTTGGGAGGCCAAGGCAGCTGGATCGCTTGAGGTCAGGAGTTCGAGACCAGCCTGGCCAACATACTGAAACCCTGTCTCTACTAAAAATACAAAAATTAGCTGGGCATGGTGGCATATGCCTGTAATCCCAACTACTTGGGAGGCTGAGGCAGGAGAATCACTTGAACACGGGAGGAAGAGGTTGCACTGAACCAAGTTTGTGCCATTGCACTCCAGCCTAGGCAAGAGTGAAGCTCTGTCAAAAAAAAAAAAAAAAAAAAAAGAAATAGCTTGAAGAACAAAGCCGAGCGTCATTTATGTATGATTTTTGTCTAAGTAACAAAAATAATTCTTCATTGTAGAAAAGCTAAATTTTTTGTTTGTTTGTTTGTTTTGAGACAGAGTCTTGCTCCACTGTCCAGGCTAGAGTGCAGTGGCACGATCTCAGCTCACTGCAACCTCTGCCTCCTGGGTTCAAGTGATTCTCCTGCCTTAGCCTCCTGAGTAGCTGGGATTACAGATGCCCGCCACCACACCCAGCTAATTTTTGTATTTTTAGTAGAGACGGGGTTTCACCATGTTGGCCAGGCTGCTCTCGAACTCCTGACCTCGTGATCCGCCCACCTCAGCCTCCCGAAGTGCTGGGATTACAGGCGTGAGCCACCATGCCCAGCCAAATGTTTTACATCTCAGTAAGAATTTCTGTTTCCAGGGAGACTGATATAAAATTGTCTGAAATAAAGATATTAAAAGCAAACTTTCAATGTGTCTATACTTTATATTTGGTGTTCTGGCCATGTTTCTATGGAAACTTATGAATAATAGGCAAATGCCGAAATGGAGATTTCTATTATCACTTTATTGAATGCCACAAAAATAAATTTTGAGACAAATTGAAATAAAAATGTAACTGTCATACTAACATACAATGGTAAATTCTGTGCTTACAAATTCTCTTTTTCCAACTTTTCTGATTTAGCACTCTTTATCATCATCCCATGCTTAATGCCTGGTACCTTACCTTCCCTCTTGCCAGCTTCTAATATTCCTCTGTCCAGTGCATTCTCAGCTTCAATTCACAGTTACCAGAACAAACTCTTTAAAATTTATCAACCTGTTTATTTGATGGGTATATTTAGGCCATTTTGTTACCTCTACTTTTATTCTTATCCACTGAAATGAATGTATAGACATAAGATGGAGCCAGGCAAGATGGCACACGCCCGTGGTCCCAGCTATTCAGGAGGCTGAGGTGGGAGGACTGCTTGAGCCCAGGCCAGGAGTTCGAGGCCAGCCTGGTCAACACAGTGAGACTCTTTCTCTTAAAAAAAAAAAAAAAAAAAAAAAAAAGAGATGTAAGTGTTGCCTCTGAATCGTGTAAAATAAACTTTGAAAGGAACTAATCAAGACCGAAGTAAGTTCTCAAAAACAGGACTATTTTATGGGTAAAATACATGATGCATTCTGGATTTTTAAAAGTTTTTTAAGAACTGAACTTGGTATATCTCACCTCCATGTCAGTCTGAGAACTGAGAACCTTAGTTCTGCTCAGTGGCTGTCTTACATAGTCATTCTACATACCTAACTCTTTATTTCTTCATTAGCAACACGGGGAATATAAACAGGCCTTATTTTGGAAGGGCTAAATTACATGTACATGAAAGTATGTATTTTCATGTACACTGGGTGGGAGCCTTATTTGGGGCTCTCACCCAACACCACCCACCCATCTACTAACTGGTGTGTAAAATCACTCAGAGGCTTACCTGACACCACTAAGAGAGCATTAAGTTTTCACAAGCACTTACATGCTTTGTGTATAAAGGTACAATCAATTAACTCACATAATATATTTGTTCATTCTTTCACAATGTCTGAATATTCCGAAAGGTAAGTAAAGTAGTTCCTAGTTACAAAGGCATGTCCATCATGAAGCTTAATTATTATTTTAAAGAAATTAAGAGTCCAAGCAAAGTTTAAATATAAGAGTTCTAACACATTTCTTCTATAGTAATGAAATCTCTGGCATTTATACGAAACAAATGAGCCCACTGGATTTAAACATCTTTATGATACAATGTTTTTCTACTTCAAAAGAATTAGTTTTTATTCAAGAATCACGCTGCTACCCAGAATTATTTTTACCTAGACTTATCTCTTTCCAAAATTCTAAAGGCAAAAAACTAAACGTTTCCTCTCCCCTCACCCCTACCTCAACGGTTTAGAGTCTGACGAACCCCAACATTCTCATCTTTGACCAGGATTCTATTGGCAGGATTGGGAGGAAGGAAGGGGAACCACGGAAACAAATACTCTTGAGCAGGCAGGGTCTAGCATTTTAACTTCCAAACCATTACATTATAAATTAAGTCTAAATTTATACTTTGTCTCTTTTGAAACTTCTAACCATGAACCACCCCACCTCTCTTTTAGAACAAGGAGGTATTGAAGTCTGTTAAGTCACCGGAGAATGGCTGGAGATGTATTTGCCACCGTGGGAATTTTAAAGTAATCAGAACTCCGTGGCTAAACTCCTTTGAGTTAACAACCTCTGGGCGCGGTGGCTCACGCCTGTAATCCCAGCACTTTGGGAGGCCGAGGCGGGCGGATCAAGAACTCTGGAGTTAGAGACCAGCCTGACCAACATGGTGAAACCCCGTCTCTACTAAAAATTCAAAAATTAGCTGGGCGTGGTGGCGCACGCCTGTAATCCCAGCTACTCGGGAGGCTGAGGCAGAGGAATCGCTTGAAACCGAGAGGCGGAGGTTGCAGCGAGCCGAGATCGCGCCACTGCACTCCAGCCTGGGCGGGCGACAAAACGAGATTCCGTCTCAAAAAAACAACTTGTCTGCACCCCTGGTAATAACCTCTCACACCCTTCACAGTCATTTTACGCCCCTCCCCCCATTTTCTTTCTTTCTGTGTTCAAATTATAGTTGGAAGGAATAAAGCAGCTTCTTTCACGCCGACTTAACCTATTAGGAATACCATATAGTGTCTCCTATGGCAACCTCTATTTTGAGTCTAGATAAGAAATCCTCAAACATCTGGGTCTAAACTGTCGCGGGCATCAGCTATCTTCACGGATGGGAGGAAGGAACAATCAGACCCTTACCTGGTTCCTTCACTTAGGTACCATCTGGATGGGTTAAGGGAGGGAATGGGATGAGTACTCCGAAGTTGAGGTATTTGAGTTTCCATTGAGAAAAGGAAAACAATATACCCCAAAAGTCTTAGCAAAGTCCCACCAGACAATGAACAGAGCTACAAACAAGAAGGGCGGCGGACTAGAGGGTCCCACGCCGGCTTGGGAGAATGGGAAGCGGGAGCAAGAACTGGGCGTTACGGTAAGGAGGAGGAAAAGAAACTGGCCAGACGCAGCAGGGCAAGAATAAGGGGTGGGGACGCGAGGCAGAACCAGCCTTCGTCCCGGGGCCGGCTACCGGCAGGAAGGAGCCCGAGGCGGCGGATGCCTCCCGGGGGACTCTGGGGGAGGAGGCGGGCAGAGGTGAGCCCGAGGGCGGATGGCATCCGCCGCCTCCTTACCTTCGGGCATCTCGCGGTCGCTGATGTGCTGCAGGTGGTGGCCCTCGCCCTCTCCGAAATCCAACTCGGCAGGCTCCACCACAGCGGGCGCTACCGCCACCGCGTCCCCGGACACCGCCTCGTAGATGTCGGACGCGCAGTACAGCTCCGCCGACCCCGCGCGCCGGCCCAGCTTGGGGCTGGCATTGGGGGACACGCAACAGGTCAGCGTGTTCCCCATGGGAAGCCTCCGCTCCTCTCTGCCACCGCCTTCGCTCGCCCCCTACTCCGCCGCCCTCAACAGCCGCCCCCTCCCCCAACAATGGCGCGGCCGGCACCGGCAGCCCCGGGCTACGCTGGGGCTGCACCGCGCAAGCAGACGCCGCCTCGCCCGCGGTTCGCCCGCCCGCCCCGCGGCCCGGCCCCGGGCAGGGCTCGGGCCTCGGCCGCACCCCCACCGCCGCGCTGCCGCCGCCTCCCTTAAGCTGACTCGTCTGCGAGGGCGGTGACCAGCCCGGCTTATTTAAAAGGGGTGGGGAACCCAACAAGCGCTGTGAAGCACAGCCACTGCCGGGAGAGAGCGCGGCTGGAGCTCCTCCTCCTTCCGCCGCCGCCTACCGACTGAAGGCCGCTGGCCCTGGCCGGTGCCTGCCAACCGGAACGCGACCTGCGGTCACCTGGTTAGGAGGAACCAATCATGGTCAGAGTTCCCCCTCCGGCGCCCGCCTCGAAGCCAGGCACGTGACCTGCTGCCCCGCCCCCGCCTGGCAGCTGCCCAGCCCCTCACGCCGCTATCCCAGACTCGGGTTTTCATTCATCGCTGGCTGCTGGGAGCTTTCCGGTCCTACTGGAAGCGCACGGGCATTTGTAACTGGAAGCTGTGTCAATGATCTCTGTAGAAAGCCGTTATTAGTAAAGAGTTCGCTCCATTAGCAACTCTTCTTCCGAGTCTGACAGCTTTCGTTTGCTCACTAAACTTGGTTACACCCAAATTGTTAACTGTTTTTGTAACTCAGTGCTCCGCTCCTGTCTTCCAATGAGCGTTAGTTTTCACCTGCAACGTGATCATAGCAACCCTGGGGCCCTGGTCCTACTCTCCATAAAGAGTTGTGGCTGTGGGTCTTGAATGAGACTCGAGGACACGTCACCCTTCCACTTCCTCATCCATAAAATAGGGACCTAACTCGTCCCTGCCAACTCTGAAATGCTGGGACTCGCCAACTCCCTTTTCTTGCCTGTTTCTCTCCTCTAGGCAGGGACTTCCAGGTTTCTCTTCTTGTACTAAAAACAGCACAGAAAGCACGATTTTCTCACGCAAAACTGAGAACCATGCAGTGGGGCACCACAGTCTTGATTCCATGAAGATGAATAGTTACCATTTGGCAAGCACTATGTGCCAGACAGTGTTCCAACTGTGGTATATTTATTTAACCCTTAAAAACAATCCCGGCCGGGCGCGGTGGCTCATGCCTGTAATCCCAACACTTTGGGAGGCCGAGGCGGGCGGATCACCAGGTCAGGAGATCCAGACCATCCTGGCTAACACGGTGAAATCCCGTCTCTACTAAAAATACAAAAAATTAGCCGGGCATGGTGGCACGCGCCCGTATTCCCAGCTACTCGGGAGGCTGAGGCAGGAGAATCACTTGAACCCGGGAGGCAGAGGTTGCCGTAAGCCGAGATCGCGCCATTGCACTCCAGCCTGGGCGACCTAGGCTCCGTTTCAAAAAAATAAAACATAAAAATAAAAATAAATAAACAAATATATATATATACACACAATGTCACTTCCTCCCTAAGCTTGATTTCTACCTTTATTTTCTGATCATCATGATCAGGGACCCTCACCCTGAGCAGTCATGTAAGCTTGCGGAAGTAACTTAACTTCTGCGTCCCAATTTCTTCTATAAAACCTGCAAAATGGGATTGTTTTTTTTTTGTTTTTTTTTTTTTGAGACGGAGTTTTGCTCTTGTTGGGCGCGGTGGCTCACGTCTGTAATCCCAGCACTTAGAGAGGCAGAGGCGGGTGAATTGCTTGAGGTCAGGAGTTCAAGACCAGCCTGACCAACATGGAGAAACCCCGTCTCTACTAAAAACACAAAAATTAGCCAGGCATGGTGGCGTCCACCCATAGTCCCAGCTACTAGGGAGGCTGAGGCAGGAGAATCTCCTGAACCTGGGAGGCAGAGATTGCAGTGAGCCAAGATCAGTCCACTGCACTCCAGCCTGGGCGACAGAGCAAGACTCCGTCTCAAAGAAAAAAAAAATTGTCTGAAACCCTAGGAATGTCATTAGATACCATTTTGGATGATTCTTGTAGACTTGAGACGATGCCTATTTTAAGGTACAAAATAATGCCTGCATTTAACAACAGACATACACAAAAATAGATATCTACGACCTTGAAAACTGAAGAATTTAAAACTTGCTAACCAGGAAGATATTGGGAAGCATTGTTACGGAAATAGATTTTAAAACATTTTGAATGAAGGGAATATTAGAGAGAATTAAGAAAAAAAAATTCTGTAACAGTGGCAAGCCTGGGAGAGCAAAGGGAAGCAAGTAGGAGGAATGTGCTTTGAATTAAGCAAGAGTTTGATTCTGTGAAAGAAGCTGAGACTTTATATAGGTCCAGAGTTAACTCATACGTTCACTATCCATTCAATACCTGAGCTCTTAGCACATGTCACATACTTTTTAAGTGCTGGGGATGTTGCTTTCACCAAGATAAAAAAAGGCTCCTGTTCCTGCAAAACTTCCAGTAAGGGAGTCAACAGACAACATTGGCCATCACCTCCACCTTCATGGCCTAGGATGGCTATTGATCTCCAGCTATTGGGTCTTCATTCCAGACAGCAGGGTGGAGGAAGGAAAAAGAAAGAAAAAATTTGGGGGCCGGGCATGGTGGCTCACACCTGTAATCCCAGCACTTTGGGAGGTTGAGCGGGGGGTGGATCACCTGAGGTCAGGAGATCGAGACCAGCCTGGCCAACGTGGCAAAACCCTGTCTCCATTAAAAACACAAAAAAAAAGGCTGGGCACGGTGGCTCACACCTGTAATCCCAGCATTTTGGGAGGTCCGAGGCAAGCGGATCATGAGGTCAGGAGTTCAAGACCAGCCTGGCAAACATGATCAAACCTTGTCTGTACTAAAAATACAAAAATTAGCTGGGCATGGTGGTGCCTGCCTATAATTCCAGCTACTCAGGAGGCTGAGGCAGGAGAATTGCTTGAACCAGGACCATGGAGGCGGAGGATGCAGTGAGCCAAGATCACACCTCTGCACTCTAGCCTGGGCTGCATAGCAAAACTCCGTCTCCAAAAAAAATGCAAAAAAATTAGCCGGACATGGTGGCAGCTGTAGTCCCAGCTACTCGGGAGGCTGAGGCAGGAGAATCACTTGAACCCAGGAGGTGGAAGTTGCAGCAAGCCAAGATGGTGCCACTGCACTCCAGCCTGGGTGACAGAGTGAGACTCTGTCTCAAAAAAAAAAAAAAAAAAGAGAAAAGAAAGAAAAAATTTTGGAAGGCCCATATAGCACAGTGCTTACAAATCATTGGCTTAAAGCTTAGTCACATAGCCATACCTAGCTGCAGGGAAGGCTCAAAAAAAAAAAACAATAGTCATATAGCTAGGGTGACTAATACAAAAGGAAGAAACGGATATTGGAAGGCAACTAGCACTCTCTGCCACATTCTGTAAGGAAAAATTAAGGAAGTTTCTGTTTAAAACCAGAATAACAACAGGCCTGGCATGGTGGCTCATGCCTGTAATCCCAGCTCTTTGGGAGGCCAAGGCGGGTGGATCACAAGGTCAAGAGTTTGAGACCAGCTTGGCCAGCATGGTGATATCCCGTCTCTATTAAAAATACAAAAAAATTAGCTGAGCATGGTGGCACGTGCCTGTAGTCCCAGCTACTTGGGAGGCTGAGGCAGGAGAATTGCTTGAGCCCAGGAGGCGGAGGTTGCAATAAGCCAAGATCACACCATTGCACTCCAGCCTGGGCAACAGAGAGAGACTCCGTCTCAAAAAAAAAAAAAAAAAAAAAAAAAAGCGAGAAAGAATAATAGCAATAAAATTTCATAGCCCTTTGCAAGAGTATGTGAAAAACAAGGAATTTGTAATGATCTTTTCTTAAGCTAAGAAGACAGAAAAAGTACAGAGAGGATTAAACTATAGAATGAGACTTTAGGTTAGATGCAAGAACAATTTTATGACAGTCAAGAGATCAGGAATATACAGTTTATTGTGTGTGTGTTGTGACTAATTGGTTCCATCTCAGGTATCATAACTAGTTGTTCTAATATAATAGGATTTTGTGTGTAAGTCATATATACATTTTTTTTCTCAGCAGAGGGTCTATAGTTTTCATCATACCCTCAAAGGTAGCTCTTGGCAAAAATTTTAAGAATTACTGTTATGCCTAATATGATGTGGAACAGCTCAACTTCTCTCATTCCTGATTTCAAAAAATTCCAATCTGGATTTTTCAGTAAATTCGTCATACGATGGTGCTGGTACCTCTAATTTAGTAAACTGCCCTTCTTCCACTTATCTCTTCACTTATCTCTTTTCACTCCTTCTGAACTATTCCCCTGCCTTCTCTCTTCTACACCATGTAGATTTGTTTCTGCCAAGTGAGTCAGTTGAGATGAGAAAGCTAATTTATGAGAAATGATGCTCTGAAAAAAAAAACGAGAAGGGTGTTAGTTTGCCATATCACCAGGGCAGATAATGCTCATTGGACAGGTCAGTTCTTGCCCCAAATTTTCACTGTGATTACAGTTCCAAACATCAGGGTATTTTATGAGACAAATTCTAGGAAGGGCTTGCAGTTTTAAGAGAGACTAGGAGCTTCCTTTTGCCTTCCTGGGCTCTTTTCTCCTCCTTATAAACTGGTGTATTTGCTTCCAGTTTCATTTGCCTAGGTGCTGCAAAAGGTCTAAAATCTTACCCAGCCTTTTCAGCCCACTGCTAGACTTCCTCAGATCACCTCCTAGTGGGGGTGGAAGATCCTTTTTTTTTTTTTTTCCGGAAGTGTCTGTTCAGGCTCCTGGTTTTCTAAGCAAATGCCTGCTCCACTCCCAGTTCCAATGACTATAACAACATGTTGTTTGCAGTTACTTAGTTTTATAAGAGAGCTGCCATCTACACTTGCTCAGGAAATAAACTTACTACAAAATTAATCTGGGAACAACACAAGTATAAATAAATAAACTAGCCAGGTCTGGTGGCTCATGCCTGTAATCCCAGCACTTTGAGAGGCCGAGGCGGCGGACCACCTGAGGTCAGGAGTTTGAGACCAGCCTGGCCATCATGGAGAAACCCCATCTCTACTAAAAATACAGAAATTACCTGGACATGGTGGTAGACGCCTGTAATTCCAGCTGAGGCAGGAGAATCTCTTGAACTCGGGAGGCGGAGTTCAAGTGAGCCAAGATAGCGCCACTGCACTTTAGCCTGGGGGACAGAGCAAAAATTTTTTTTTTTTGAGACAGGGTTTTGCTCTTGTTGCCCAGACTGGAGTGCAATGGCACGATCTCGGCTCACTGCAACCTCCGCCTCCCAGGTTCAAGCGATTCTCCTGCCTCAGCCTCCTGAGTAGCTGGGATTACAGGCATGTGCCACCATACCCGGCTAATTTTTTGTATTTTTTTAGTAGAGACGGGGTTTCACCATGTTGGCCAGGCTGGTCTCGAACCCCTGACCTCAGGTGATCCACCCACCTCAGCCTCCCAAAGTGCTGGGATTATAGGCGTGAGCCACTACACCCGGCCAGCTGGAACCATTTTCTTGCAATGGCTTAACACATTCCCACCAGGTTATTCTAGTAGCCTTTTTGACAGGTACCTTCTCAAATCAAGCTGACATTAGAAAGACAAAACTGGAGGAGGAGGAGGAATTGCATTAAACTTGACAGCAGGGAAAAGTTTGAGGAAGTCTTTTGAACCAGATTTGTCCCCTAGAAACAAAGCTCATAGATTTTAGGACGTCATCTTTTTCTCATGATGGCTCTATTGCCCTATTGTTAAGACAACTCTATTTTTATCCTCACAGCATGCAGTCTACCCTTAAGTACCTCTAGAAATTTTCTATCAGAAGGGATTAGGACAGCAATCTGGATGGATATAGGGCCCAGGAAACTAGTCTTAAGCGATATGTTTGTATAGAAAGCACATTAAAACAAATGAACAAACAAAATACCTACTTAGATTGAATTTTATTGGGAATAGGTCCTTGTCTCCTGTGCTGAGCAGACCTTGCTTCTATAGGGTGCTTGTTTGATGAGTCTACATTGAATAATGCCACACACTCCATGAGCTGTTTCTTTTCAACACACAGATGAAATAGAATACATTTTTTTTTTTGGATGGAGTCTCACTCTGTCGCCCAGGCTGGAGTACAATGGCACAATCTTGGCTCATTGCAACCTCCGCCTCCTGGGTTCAAGCAATTCTCTTGCCTCAGCCTCCCGAGTAGCTGGGACTACAGGTGTGTGCCACCACGCCCAGCTAACTTTTTTGTACTTTTTAGTAGAGATGGGGTTTCACCATATTGGTCAGGCTCGTCTCGAACTCCTGACCTCAATTGATCCACGCACCTCTGCCTCCCAAAGTGCTGGAATTACAGGCATGAGCCACCGCACCCGGCCATGAATGCTCTTATTAAAAAAAAATTCTGCCCAGCACTTTGGGAGGCCGAGGCGGGCGGATCACAAGGTCAGGAGATCGAGACCATCCTGGCTAACACGGTGAAACCCCGTCTCTACTAAAAAGTACAAAAAATTAGCTGGGCGCAGTGGTGGGCGCCTGTAGTCCCAGCTACTCGGGAGGCTGAGGCAGGAGAATGGCGTGAACCTGGGAGGCGGAGCTTGCAGTGAGCCAAGATCGCGCCACTGCACTCCAGCCTGGGTGACAGAGCGAGACTCTGTCTCAAAAAAAAAAAAAAAAAAAAAAATTCTGGTTATGTAATCAATGCTTTGCTCAGGAAAGAAAAAGAAAAACTCTGAGCTCACAGGAGCAATTGAAGCTAGAGTGTCCAAACTGGACCTGTCCTGTTCTTTGCAGCCATAGTGTTAGCTTCAAGATCTAAAGAGTTGGGAACTCAGTAGCTGCCCTGCTCTGGCCATCTGATAAACCTCTATTCAGTCTTTGAGCCTCAGAGTGCCTATGAATTTCTTTGATTCCCTCAAGGCTGTGAGATTCTGCATCTTCAAAGCAATCAGTTCCTTCTCCAAACCCTTACTATAGAGCAACATTGTATTACAGTGTGTGCTAATTGTTTACTTGTCTGACACCCCCATTAAACTAGGAACTTGCTGAGATCAGAGCTAATTTAGTCATTTTTCAATATCTCCCACACTAACTAGCTTGTAGCACTCTCAACAAATTTTTCCTGAATGAATGGATAAATAGATGAAAAAGTTGAATTGACAGTACTAACAATCACAATTTGAGAATTGTGTGCAATGATTCCTTATTTTGTTCAGTATTTCCTATTCTGTTTTATGCCTCTGCTTCTAGTTTCTGTTCTCCTGTAGCATTTTAAAAAACAACAACCATTGTATAAAGCTCATGAGTTCGGGTCAGGAAATTAGGCAGGCCACTATAGGGACTGTTCATGCCTGCTCCAGGATGACTGGGGCCTCATCTGGAGTGGACGTAACGATTGGACCTGGCTGAGACTGCTCACCTGGGGCCATATGTCTGGAGTGTTAGCTCTAGCTGTCAGTGGGGTTCTTCCACTCTTCTCCAAATCACATCCCCAAGACTGAAAGTTTATGATGACTTGCAAATCAAGTGACTAGCCCGTGAAGGCTGGCACATGTGGGACTGGTTGCACATTCCCTATAGCATGGTAATCTCACAATAGTCAGACTTCTTACAGAATGCAGCTATCTAATCTCAGTGTGTTTCACTTCTCCAGGAAACATTAATCTAAAAACATGGGGCAAGTAGAAGAGGTGTGGTGAGCAACATTCCTTCAAGTGAAGGGGAAAAAAATCTCCAAATCTCAAAACCAGTTTCTTCACTATTGTGAAGTTCATCCAGATCATCAGCTTACAATGGATTATGCTAAAATTACTGTAACCAAATCTAAGTCTTATGCACTATCTGGCATCCAGAGAAGCCCATTTTTCTCCTTGCCTCTGAGTTTTTTAGGAGTTAAAAAGAACGCAGCTTTCTGCAGGTGCTTTCACCTGCATAAGTCTATTTTGCTGTAAGTCTATTTTGTCGCATCAACTTATATTTTCAATATATATTCAACTTACATTTTTTTGAAAACAACACACACACACACATTAAATCAAACTAAAAAGAGTAATAGGGGAAATTTCCTAAAATTTACACATTAAGAACATCATATTTTTCTTTTTTTTGTTTTTTTGAGACGGAGTCTCACTCACCAGCCCAGGCTAGAGTGCAGTGGCACGATCTTGGCTCACTGCAACCACCATCTCCCAGGTTCAAGCGATTCTTCCATCTCAGCCTCTCAAGTAGCAGGGATTACAGGCACCTGCAACCATGCCTGGCTACTTTTTTTTTTTTTTTTGAAATGGAGTCTTGCTCTGTCACCCAGGCTGGAGTGCAGTGGCACAATCCTGGCTCACTGCAACCTTTGCCTTCCAGGTTCAAGCGATTCTCCTGCCTCAGCCTCCCGACTACGTAGCTGGGACTACAGGCACGTGCCACCACGTCTGGCTAATTTTTTGTATTTGAGACAGGGTTTCACCATGTTAGCCAGGATGGTCTGCATCTCCTGACCTCGTGATCTGCCCTCCTCGGCCTCCCAAAGTGCTGGGATTACAGGTGTGAGTCACTGCACCCGGCCATAAAACAAGATTTTAAATGTGATTATTATTGCTACTTTTTTTTTTTTAAGAGTCTCGCTGTGTCACCCAGGCTGGAGTGCAGTGGCACAATCTCAGCTCACTGCAACCTCTACCTCCTGGGTTCAAGCGATTCTCCTGCCTCAGCTTCCCAAGTAGCTGGGACAACAGGCATGTGACACCACGCCAGGCTAATTTTTTGGTATTTTTTTGTAGAGACAGGGTTTCACCATATTGGTCAGGCTGGTCTTGTACTCCTGACCTCAGGTGATCTGCCC
This sequence comes from Homo sapiens, assembly GCF_000001405.40. Lineage (NCBI taxonomy): Eukaryota > Metazoa > Chordata > Mammalia > Primates > Hominidae > Homo > Homo sapiens. The sequence continues at coordinate 207,703,029 of NC_000002.12, read as the reverse complement.
GCCTTGGCCTCCCAAAGTGCTGGGATTACAGGAATGAGCCACGGCACGGGCCTATCATTGCTACATTTAACTAGCAATTACCATGTGAATGTGTACTGGGTATTGCTTTACATGATTAACTAATACCCACAAAAATCCCAGGATATGTAATATGAAAGTCCCTCAGGAAACCCTCCACCAAGACCAAAGACCTGCCTAACTCCATCACATAAGAATTTCCCTTCGGCCGGGCGCGGTGGCTCACGCCTGTAATCCCAGCACTTTGGGAGGCCGAGGCGGGCGGATCACGAGGTCAGGAGATCGAGACCATCCCGGCTAAAACGGTGAAACCCCGTCTCTACTAAAAATACAAAAAAATTAGCCGGGCGTAGTGGCGGGCGCCTGTAGTCCCAGCTACTTGGGAGGCTGAGGCAGGAGAATGGCGTGAACCCGGGAGGCGGAGCTTGCAGTGAGCCGAGATCCCGCCACTGCACTCCAGCCTGGGCGACAGAGCGAGACTCCGTCTCAAAAAAAAAAAAAAAAAAAAAAATGGATGGAATGAGCAGACTGTGTGCTATGGCCTGTTTTTGAAGCAAGGTATGCCCAGGTCTGGGTGCCCTTCCCCAGAAGTATCAGGGGAGGAGTCTGCAACATCTGTAAACTCTGCTTAGTCCTCTTTTGGGTAGAAATCATACTCTTCTGGCATTTTATGTTTCTATAAAAGAATAGGGAGAAACCTGCCCCTCAGAGTTCTCAGTGAGGTAGAAGGGCCACAATTAGGTAGCAATTATGATTAGGTATCTATATAGAGGAAAGGAACAAACAGGGTCAGAAAAATAAATATTCCCTATTGATATCCTAACAAGGCCTTGACTGAAAGCAAAACAAACACAGAATGAGCAATGCAGCTTCTGAGGCTCAAGACAATTTGGATAATTAATTATAATTAAGAAATAGTTAATAATGATTTGGATAATTGATGGTCTGCTCCCTTCAGGCTGTGGGCTGGAAGCAGTGCTTAACTCATCCATAATGGAGCCCGAGGCAAAGGAAAAATTACAAATACTTACTGTGTCTTTATCAAAATTATTGCTATCTTGTTCATTGTAAATTTGTATATAATTTTATGTTTTAAAATATTGCATTAGCATATTATTTATGATGAGTACCAATGGTTATGGTTTTGGTGCCCCTTAGGTTTGGTGCCTGTGGCAAGCACCTTACTACTTCACCCTAGTTCAGGCCTGTACTCAGAAGCAATGTGAGCAGTATCTGGATAATGCTTGGCTTGCCCTTGGAGGGGAATAAAAGGAGAACCAAACCCTTGGACTAGTCTCTGACCCTTGGTGTCTTGATATTTCCAAATCGCTGAGATCAAAAGAATAAAATTCCAGCCTAGGCCAGAGACTAGAGGCAATATGTCCTGTAAGTACAATATTACCCCATTTTACAGTTGAAGAACCAGGACAATATGAATGACAGACATGTCCGAGATGACAGATCTAGAAAGTGGCAAGTGAGGGCATGAATCCAGATGGGATGGATTGCACAGGTTATGTCCCCAGCTGCTGGGCTCGGAGACATCCGAGCTGTGACATCCACTCGCTGTGCTTCCCACCATTCCCACTGAAAAGAAAATGAGCGTCTTTTTTCTTTCTTAACCTAACAGCCAGTTAAAAGTATGACAACATATCTTCTATTAACCGTTCATAACTTCTATTGTTTTTTCTCTTACAGAATTTATATTTGCTACAGAGAAATTAGAAAATACACATCAATAAGAGAAAAATAAATCAAAATCTCAAGAGCCAGCCAGGTGCAGTGGTTCACACCTGTAATCCCAGCACTTTGGGAGGCCAAGGCAGGCAGATCACCTAAGGTCAGGAGTTCGAGACCAGCCTCGCCAACACGATGAAACTCTGTCTGTACTAAAAACACAAAAATTAGCCGGACCTGGTAGCGAGTGCCTGTAATCCCAGCCACTTGGGAAGCTGATGCAGGAGAATTGCTTGAAGCCAGGATGCAGAGGTTGCAGTGAGCTGAGATTTTGCCACTGCACTCCAGCCTGTGTGACAGAGCGAGACTCTGTCTCAAAGAAAAAAAAAAAAAAGAGCCACCTGCTATTACTAATTTGTGGCATATTTCACTAAGCTTTATTTGTTTATTTGGTTTTTTCTTTTTTTTCTGAGATAGTCTTCCTCTATCACCCAGACTGGAGTGCAGTGGCGCGATCTTGGCTCACTGCAACCTCCACCTCCTGGGTTCAAGCGATTCTCCTGCCTCAGCCTCCCGAGTAGCTGGGATTACAGGCGCCCGCCACCACATCTGGCTAATTTTTTTGTATTTTTAGCAGAGATGGGGTTTCACCATGTTGGCCAGGCTCATCTTGATCGAACTCCTGACCTTGTGATCTGCCCGCCTCAGCCTCTCAAAGCACTGGGATTACAGGTGTGAGCCACTGCACCCAGCCAGTTTTTTGTTTTTGTTGTTGAGATGGAGTTTCGCTCTTGTTGCCCAGGCTGGAGTGCCATGGCGCAATCTTGGCTCACTACAACCTCCGCCTCCCAGGTTCAAGTGATTCTCCTGCCTCAGCCTCCCAAGTGGCTGGGATTACAGGCATGCAGCACCACACCCAGCTAATTTTGTATTTTTAGTAGAGATGGGGTTTCACCATGTTGGTCATGCTGGTCTTGAACTCCTGACCTCAGGTGATCCGCCCACCTCAGCATCCCAAAGTGCTGGAATATCAGGCATGAGCCACCGTGCCCAGCCTCTAAGCTTTATTTGAATACAAATAAATAATATGTACATGATTTTAAAGTGAAACAACGCTACCCAGGAGGCTTTTGTAATTTGCTTTCTTCACTTGACAATATACCTTGAACATCTTTCTCTGTCATTACTTTTTTGTGGAGTGATTTGTAATGGCTTCCTATGTGTTCATCCATTCCTGAACATTTATCGAGGGCCTGTTACTGTCCAGGCAGGGAGCTAGGTACTGGAGATACATCAGTTCATAAAGAAGTTGGCACTCTGGGGTTGACATTTAAGTAGAAGGAGACCTTCAAAAAAACTAAATGAGGCCGGGTGCGGTGGCTCATGCCTGTAATCCCAGCACTTCGCGAGCCCGAGGTGGGTGGATCACTTGAGGTCGGGAGTTCAAGACCAGCCTGACCAACATGGAGAAACCCCGTTTCTACTAAAAATACAAAATTAGCTGGGTGTGGTGGCACATGCCTGTAATCCCAGCTACTCGGGAGGCTGAGGCAAGAGAATCGCTTGAACCCGGGAGGCGAAGGTTGCTGTGAGCAGAGATCACACCATTGCACTTCAGCCTGGGCAACAAGAGCAAAACTCTGTCTCAAAAAAAAAAAAAAAACAACCCAAAAACAAAAACAAAATTAGCCGGGCATGGTGGAGCATACCTGTAATCCCAGCTACTTGGAAGGCTGAGGCAGGAGAATCCCTTGAACCCGGGAGGCGGAGGTTCAGTGAGCCAAGATTGCACCATTGCCCATTGCACTCAAGCCTGGGCAACAAGAGTGCAACTCTATCTCAAAAAAAAAAAAAAAAAAGAAAAAAAAGAAAAGAAAAACTGAATGAATAAATATATTCGGTTAATAAGGGCACTATTTTATAAAGAATGGTTGGGGAGTCTTCTCCAATCAATAAGGGGCTGTTATAATCTGAATTTTGCCTCCCCCTCTACCCCCCAAAATTTACATGTTGAAGTCCTAACTCCCAGTACCTCAGAACGTGACCATATTTGGAGACAGGATTTTTCAGAGGTAATACAGTTAAAATGGTATCATTAGGGCAGTTCCTAATTCAGTAATGGTGTGTGGTGTCCCTATAAGAAGAGGAAGGTGGCTGGGTGCGGTGGCTCATGCCTGTAATCCCAACACTTTGGGAGGCCGAGGTGGGTGAATCACGAGGTCAGGAGATCGAGACCATCCTGGCTAACACGGTGAAACCTCGTCTCTATTAAAAGCACAAAAAATTAGCCGGGCGCAGTGGCGGGCGCTTGTAGTCCCAGCTACTCGGGAGGCTGAGGCAGGAGAATGGCATGAACCCAGGAGGTGGAGCTTGCAGTGAGCCGAGATCGTGCCACTGCGCTGTAGCCTGGGTGACAGAGTGAAACTCTGTCTCAAAGAAAAAAAAAAAAAGAAGAGGAAGTTTGTGCCAGGCTTGGTGGCTCATGCCTGTAATCCCAGCACTTTGGGAGGCCTAGGCGGGAGAATCACAAGGTCAGGAGTTTGAGACCAGCCTGGCCAACATGGTGAAAACCTGTCTCTGCTAAAAATACAAAAAATTAGCTGGGTGTGGTGGCAGGTGCATCTAATCCCAGCTACTTGGGAGGGTGAGGGAGGAGAATCGCTTGAACCCAGGAGGCACAGGTTGCAGTGAGCCGAGATCGCACCATTGCACTCCAGCCTGGGTGACAGTGCAAGACTCTCTCTCAAAAAAAAAAAAAAAGAAAAAAAGAAGAAGAAGAAGAGGAAGTTTGGACATAGTCATATGGAGGGAAGGCAGTGTGAAGACACAGGGAGGGAATGGTCATCTACAAGCCAAGGAGAGAGGCCCGGAACAGATCCCTTCCTCACGGCCCTCAGAAGAACCCAATCCTGCCAGCACCTTGATGGCAGACTTCTAGCTTCCAGAACTGTGAGAAAATAAATTTGTTTTTTAAGTCACCCATCTGTGGTACTCTGTTATGGCAGCCCAAGCAGACTAACAAGGGGCATAGAAAGCAGCCTGGATGAAGTGAGAGGGTACAAGCTCTATGGGTATCTGGGGAACAGCCCAAAAGTGGAGCCCTAGAGGAAAGCCAAGGGCCCAGGTGCCTGGAAGAGGGGTTGGAGGAGAATGGAAGATGTGGTTAGAAGAGGCAGCAAGGTACCACTAGGTCCTAAAGTGCCTGCAGGCTTTAGAAAGGACTTTAGAGTGTATTCTGGGGGAAATGGGAAGCCACTGGAGAGCCACTGAACCTGACGTATTTTATAGGGGCTCCTTGGCTCCTGCATGAAGCCCAGACTACGTATATCAAAAAGTTTGTAACCTTCATATTAATTATTTAGTAGCACAGTTTGAAGGTTTGGGGCAAGACAGAAAGAAGCGCTTCTAAGGCATTGACCCCAAGTCCAAATCCCTCTTTGTACCCCTGCTATCCCACTTGGCCATCCTACTTCCCAATCTGATAAACTGGATAAGCCATCATTTGAAACCAGCCTGATTTTTTCATGAGTCCTCTCTGCAGGGTGATTCAATGGGACCTCTCTTCCCCTCTTTAAAGTCAACTGGTTGCTCTTCCTTTCCCTTCCTACTTCTGTTCCCTGTCCCTGTGTTGCACACCAGGCTCCTCATCCTCAAGCCTTTCTGGCTCCCTGGTTAGCAACTGCCATCTGCCAGGATTCCAGCGCTCATTCACTCTCCCCTCCCCAACCCCAACTCCCACATTCCTGGCTTCCCCTTAGGGAATGCAGAAATGTAACCCTCCTCTGATATCTGCAAACAAAATTTCAGGGAAGTGGACAATTTTTGCCAGTCAGGTTTGGGAGAAAAGTCATGAGTGCTCTGCCCAGTTTGGAAATGTCCATCAACTCAGTGGTAATGGCTTTGTGGGAAATAACACAGCTCAGAGTTGGACCAAACTTTGACCAGCATGCTCCTCTTGGGAGACTTTGAGATAAGTCTCAAGACCCCTTTTATGATACTCAGGGGTCTTCTCTTACGGAAGGAGCCTGCATCAATAGCTTCCTTTAAGGATGTGTGATGGTTAATATTGAGTGTCAACTTGATTGGATTGGAGGATGCAAAGTATTGTTCCTGGGTGTGTCTGTGAGGGTGTTGCCAAAGGAGATTAACGTTTGAGTCAGTGGGCTGGGAGAGGCAGACAAACCCTCAATTTGTGTGGGCACCATCTAATCAGCTGCCAGCATAAAAGCAGGCACGGAAAGAGCAGACTGGCTGAGTCTTTTAGCTTCCATCTTTCTCCCGTGCTGGATGCTTCTTGCCTTTGAATATCAGACTCTGAGTCCTTCAGCTTTTGGACTCTTGGACTTACACCAGTGGTTTGCCAGGGGCTCTCGGGCTTTCGGCTACAGACTGAAGGCTGCATTATTGGCTTCCCTACTTTTGAGGTTTTGGGACTTGGAGTGGCTTCCTGGCTCCTCAGCTTGCAGACAGCCAATTATGGGACTTCACCTTGTGATCATGTGAGTCAATTCTCCTAATAAACTCCCCTTCACATATTCATTTATCCTATTAGTCGTGTCCCTTTAGAGAACCCTGACTAATACAGGGTGTATGTACTTTTTTTGCTTCCTTCTGCTCAAAGTCTCTCCACATCCTCCCCCAAACTGCCCACCCCAAGGCCAATCAACTCCATCTACATACACTTGTCCTTCCACTCCAGGCTGCTTTTGACAGTTATTCAACAAAAACAAGGGATCAAACTCAGGGCACGTGAATTGGAAAAAATAACAATAAAAAACAAAAAATGCCATTAGTAAGAGCCCAGGTTCTTGGGCCCATCTGCTCACTTGACCACAGAAGAAAGGTGACACTAAAAAGACAGGTAGGGGCTGGATGCGGTGACTCACACCTGTAATCCTAGCACTCATGCCCGTAATCCCAGCACTTCGGGAGGCCGAGGTGGGCGAATCATGAGGTCAGGAGATCGAGACCATCCTGGCCAACATGGTGAAACCCTGTCTCCACTAAAATATAAAAAATTAAGCCAGGCATGGTGGTGCGTGCCTGTAGTCCCAGCTACTCGGGAGGCTGAGGCAGGGGAATTGCTCGAACCTGGGAGGCAGAGGTTGCAGTGAGCCGAGATTGCACCACTGCACTCCAGCCTGGCGACAGAACAAGACTCTGTCTCAAAAAAAAAAGATAGGTAGGGCTGGGCACGGTGGCCCACACCTGTAATGCCAGCACTTGGAGAGGCTGAGGTGGAGGATAGCTTGAGCCCTGGAGGTCAAGGCTGCAGTAAGCAATTATCGTGCCACTGCACTCCAGCCTGGGCGATAGAGCAAGACTCTATCTAAAAAAAGAAATGATAGGCAGTGGTGCCTATCTAATTAAGCTGGACATTTCCAGGAGCAAACATCTTGAGACTGAAAAGGGGACATCAGGAGGCCACTAGCTCTGGGCCTCACTATCACCAAGGGCCTCAGTGCCACCAGGTCACACCCACAGTTAAATAGAAGCACTGGCAGGTTTGAAGAAAGAAGATGGCATCGACCAACTTCAGCTCTCTGTCTCATTACTGTCTCACCTCTCATGAACTATGAACCAATATTTTAAATAAACCCCCTAATAACCCCCCAGTCACTTTGGGAATATAATAATTACACTGAACTGAATGTGTGTGTGCATGTGGATGTTGGAATTGCTTACTTGTTAAATACTGATGTTTAAAATACACGACAAATCTTGTAACCCTATTTTGGCATATCTTTTTCTTCTTCTTTTTGGTTTTTGTTTAATATGGAAGTGGACAGTGCCTCTCTTGACCTCTGGAAGGCCCTATGAAAACCTGAAACCGAGGCAAGGTGACAAAGTCTGGTCATTCAGCACTAAGGGCCGCCTCAGATTACTTCTTTACTTAGAAAAACAAAATGTTGTTGCAAAAGATTCAGAGTCACAAATATTCTTCCCGGGCCTGTCAGTTTCTGAATTCTTAGATTTTTCATTTAATTTAGCCATCAGGGAATTTCTGAGACTAGAAATACCTAGGCAGAACCCAAACAAAATCTCGAGCACGAGCCCATATCTTCAAGGTTGGTGAGAATCAGATATGTGTCTGGGCTAAAGTGAGCGAGGGAACTGATTTTTACCCCATGCAGTCACCTCAGGATCAGATAGAAGGTGAATGAGAGGTTGCACGTGTCTCGATGTGTATCTTACCAGATCCTCATGCTTATTTTCTTGAGCAATCCTAAATACCTTGTTTAGAATGTTTGCAAAACTATAGTTTAGTCTTTGTAACTGCCACTTCCTACCAGAAACTAGAATGCCATATGTTCAGTATAGAAATGACAACATAAAGCTTTTTAACAACTCTTGTCCTCTGTAATAGTACTGTCCCCTTGAGTTTGAGGGATCATGACACTGTCTGTATGTAGTTTTAAATTCCCCAGTGATGCCAAATATATTTGTGTCAACAGATACTGTTCCAAAATACCGGAGTTCAACTTAGCTGAATACCAAGGGACTGACTCAAATTACTTTGAAGGAAATAAATATATCTTTACCGAACTCATATGACAAACTGTAGAAAACTCAGAAAATTTGTATTATAAAGAGTTAGAAAGTAGTAAAGTAGGAAATTTCCAAAAAGGCTAATAAGTTTTATGCTTTAATTATATTAGTGTAGCCCTTTTCAATTCACTTTTTTAGCAGCCATATGTGAAAATGCTGATTTTGCTAACTAGTGATAGTATTTAATTAATTACTAATACTAAATAATTATTGTTAGAAACATAGAAAGCTGTCTTTTACTACAGAACTTTTCAATATAGTGAACTAATAATCATAGTAATAATAATCATCAAGTTAATACCTAATTTTGAGGACTTAAGATGAGCTGAGAGCTCTGCTAAGCACTTTTTTAATTTTTAATTTTTTTTTTTTTTTTTTTTTTGTGGAGATAGGGTCTCACTTTGTTGGCCAGGCTGGTCTCAAACTCCTGGGTTCAAGCAATCTGCCCACCTCTGTCTCCCAGGGTGTTGGAATTACAGGCATGAGCCACCCCACCTGGCCGTAAGTACTTTTATAGGTTGTCTCATATAAACCTCCCAACAACCTTATGAGATAGGGGAAATAATTTTTTACTTCAGAGCCTAGGGATCATAATGGCTAAGATTTTTATTGAGAATTTACTATGTGACAGGTGCTGTTCTAGGTCCTGTATGTGGATTAACTCATTCATTCCTCACGACTACCCACAAAGCAGCACTCTCATTATTCCCATCTTAGGGAATAAGGAAACAGAGCTGAAGTGACCCGCCCAAGGTCTCATAGCTGTAAGTGACAAGCCAACATGCTCAGGCTCTAGCAATCTGGCTCTAAGCCCAATCTTTTCCTCTCTAAATGGCTAGTCAACACTAGTTACATTATCTTTAAGACTTTTGCATGCCAGGAACTGTCTCAAACGATCTTCAGCTATTAAATTATTTCTCCATGAGGAGCTCATTGTTTTTCCCATTACTCAGATGAAGAAAGTAAGGTACAGGTCACTTGCTCAGAGTTTAGAGCTAGGATTCAAAATCTGGTTTTGCCTGATTCCCAGGCTCTTACTGTTTCCACCTTACTGCACAGGAAAAGTTGGTATGGCTTCTAAAGATGCATCGTGACTCCAAAGGAAAAGTATATGCATAGTGAAAATTTGATTAATCAGGTCATGAAATAGAAGAAATGCCCCGCAAACACAGTGTGCCACATGTTAGACACACACACGGGAGTGCAGAGCTAGATGACACCCTTCCTTTGTCTCCTTGCATCTTCCAGGGTTCTGGCCCTAGAAAAAGATTAAAAATGGGCAGGGGAGGCTGGGCGCAGTGGCTCATGCCTGTAATCTCAGCACTTTGGGAGGCCGAGGCGGGCGGATCACAAGGTCAGGAGATGGAGACAATCCTGGCTAACACGGTGAAACTCCATCTCTACTAAAAATACAAAAAATTAGCGGGGCGAGGTGGCAGAAGCCTGTAGTCGCAGCTACTGGGGAGGCTGAGGCAGGAGAATGGCGTGAACCTGGGAGGCAGGGCTTGCAGTGAGCCGAGATCGCGCCACTGCACTCCAGCCTGGGCCACAGAGCGAGACTCCATCTCAAAAAAGGACGGGGGAAGCTGCCATCTTCAGCAAACCAGACTTGGAAGACATCCATGAGTCCTGGTTGCATCCAACCCGACTCTTTATTGGGCTTGCCCAGGCTGGAAGACACAGGGTCAGAATCTATCCTCATGGTTTCTCATATTTTAAAATTATTACCTGGGAGTAGTGGGCCATACTTACAGGGCCAGCTACTTAGGAGGCTGAGGCAGAAGGATCCCTTGAGCCCAGGAGTTAGAATCCAGCCTAGGCAACATAACAAGACCTTGTCTCTAAAAAAAATGTAAAAACATCGTTTTAGTTATTTATTTAGGCCAGTGGTGTGAAAAGGCTCAAGTGGCAGGCGAGCAGTGGAAGCACAAGAGAAACTATTCTTGCAAAGTGAAGACCAGCTTGTAGTTTTTCCTGTTATTCATTTTGCGTTTCCTCTTCCTCACCATTGAACATTGTTTAAGGCATTATTTAGGCACTAAGTTGAAGTAATTTCTATTTTCTTAAATTTCTTAGATTTCTATTTCCCCACATTACTTTTTGAAGGACACAGCCTCAGCTTTTTGCAGTGTACTTTCAAAAATCTGGAGATGGTTCCAGCCTAGCCTGGTGCACAAGGCAAAAGACATTTCCCCTGCAAAAAAGGTGTTTCATTTTTCTGAACTGTATACACAATTGTCACTTTTCTTTGTTTCTTCAGAAATATATCCCTCCATACAATAAACTATTGTCATTTCTTCTTTCTGAAGTCATCTTAGTCTGTTGCATTATTCAATTGCGATGCTTGAGTCCTCTGCCAGGGCTTGCTGTGAATGGCGCCCCCTGGGATTATTCAGGGCACAAACAACGATAAGCAGTGGCCCTGAGGTCAGAGCTGTATGCTAGGAGAACTGAGCACTGGAGCAGAGAACTTAATAACAGGAACTATTGTCCTTTGATTTATCACTCCTGCTCTATCTGTAACCTTTTGCCTTATTTCTAGTTTTAGCACTACGACATGTATTTATTTACTTATTATTTTTGGTTTTGAGATGGAGTTTCGCTCTTGTTGCCCAGGCTGGAGTGCAATGGCGTGATCTTGGCTCACTGCAACCTTCGCCTCCCGGGTTCAAGTGATTCTCCTGCCTCAGTCTCCCAAGTAGCTGGGATTACAGGAGCATGCCACTACGCATGGCTAATTTTGTATTTTTAGTAGAGATGGGGTTTCACCATGTTGGCTGGGCTGGTCTCGAACTCCTGACCTCGTGATCCGCCCGCCTCAGCCTTGGCCTCCCAAAGTGCTGGGATTACAAGCATGAGCCACCACGCCCAGCCAGCACTATGACTTTTAAATAATTTTCTCTGCTATGGCAGAATCTAAACAGACGTAAAATAGTCTATCTACCTCTGTGTCTAAGACAGAATGGAAATCAACTGGCCTGTTTGAAATAAGTTCAACTTAATTGTTTTTTAAATATAAGTTCTCCAGGAAATTGTTGCTGTGAGTAAATTTGGTTTAGTTGATCAGAGGGTTAGTGTTTCTTTTAGTTGAAGTAAGTAATGAAGAGCTGGAGTTTGTAAACATAGCTCTGAAACGTGTATGCTGTGGTTGATTAGACATTTTGGTAAACCAATATAGTTTTTTAATGTCATTACAAAAATAGCCACCAAATACAGAATTATAACAGGAAGAAAGTCTAGGAAGGGGTAATTTGACTCACCTTACTGATTTGGTGCAGACATATTCTAAAGATCAAGTGAAATAAACCAACACTCCATCACCTTTGTACCAATCCAGCAAACTTGCTTTGCAGATTTTTACTTCTTCTTCTTCTTCTTCTTTTTTTTTTTTTTTTTTTGAGACGAAGTTTCGCTTTTGTTGCCCAGGCTGGAGTGCAATGGCGCAATCTTGGCTCACTGCAACCTCTGCCTTGCAGGCTCAAACAATTCTCCTGCCTCAGCCTCCAGAGTAGCTGGGATTAAGGGCGCCCGCCATCATGTCCAACTAATTTTTTGTACTTTTAGTAGAGACGGGGTTTCACTATGTTGGCCAGGCTGGTCTCGAAATCCTGACCTCAGGCGATCCACCAGCCTAAGCCTCCCAAAGTGCTGGGATTACAGGCATGAGCCTCCATGCCTTGTCTGCTTTTTAAAATTTTTTATTTGTTTTGCTGAGACAGAGTCCCACTCTGTCACGGAGGCTGTAGTGCAGTGGCGCAATCTCAGCTCACTGCAACCTCTGCCTCCTAAATTCAAGCGATTCTCATGCCTCAGCTTCCAGAGTAGCTGGGATTACAGGCACGCGTCACCACATTCAGCTAATTTTTGTATTTTTAGTACAGACGGGGTTTCACCACGTTGGCCAGGCTGGTCTCGAACTCCTGACCTCAAGTGATACACCTGCCTTGGCCTCTCAACATGCTGGGATTATATGTGTGAGCCACCATGCCCGGCACTTTGCAGATTTTAAAATGCCCAGCAGAAATTCTTCAATTTGGAGTTTTCTTTTTGCTGGCTTAGATCCTACAAACTGAACACAGAAAAGAGGTGAATTCACTGATGCTTCCCCTTTCCTGGCTTTTCATTTTCGAAAAACACACATATAAATTCCAAATTATGTATGTGATGACCTTGACAATCAGAAAAACAAAACAAAGACAATAAGTGTCTAGGGAAAAGTTATGTGGCAATTAGTGAATGCTCAGTGAATTTTGTTGAATTGAAATAAAATACATTTGAATACATGAATTGTAAAGATCAAGACTTGTCCCTTGATTTTAAAAATTATAGATGTAGCCTAAGGACATAGTTAAACCCGTAAACAAAGACTAATGCACAAATATTTATTGAAGAGTTATAACAATGAAAGAAAGGAAGCAATTTAAATATGCAATAATGAGAATTATTAAATAAATGGTGTATCCATGAAGAAATACTATACGTCCATTTAAACTATACTTATAGCAAGTTCTAAGGACGTGGGAAAATGTGTATGATGTAGGTTAAATTTATAAAACAAAGGGTATACTAAACAATATTTCAGTGTAAGTTCAGCTTTGTTAGAAAACATTGTTCAGGGCTGGGCGCGGTGGCTCACGCCTATAATCCCAGCACTTTGGGAGGCCAAGGCGGGCGGATTACCGAAGGTCAGGAGTTCGAGACCAGCCTTACCAACATGGAGAAACCCCGTCTCTACTAAAAATACAAAATTAGCCAGGCGTGGTGGCACATGCCTATAATCCCAGCTACTCAGAAGGCTGAGGCAGGAGAATCGCTTGAACCCAGGAGGCGGAGGTTGCGATGAGCCAAGATCATGCCACTGCACTCCAGCCTGGCAACAAAGCGAGACTCTGTCTCAAAAAAAGAAAAAAAAAAAAAAGAAAACATTGTTCAGGAAAAAAACCCAGAAGAGACTGCTAGAATATCAATAGTGTGGCCGGGCGCAGTGCCTCACGCCTGTAATCCAGCACTTTGGGAGGCCGAGGCGAGCGGATCATGAGGTCAGGAGATTGAGACCATCCTGGCTAACATGGTGAAACCCTGTCTCTACTAAAAATGTAAAAAATTAGCCAGGCACGGTGGCAGGTGCCTGTAGTCCCAGCTACTCGGGAGGCTGAGGCAGGAGAATGGTGTGAACCTGGGAGGTGGAGCTTGCAGTGAGCTGAGATCTCACCACTGCACTCCAGCCTGGGTGACAGAGCAAGACTCTGTCTCAAAAAAAAAAAAAAGAATATCAGTAGTGTTTCTGGGTAGTGAGACTATTGGGTTTTTTTGTTTTTGTTTTTTGGGGGGGTTTCTTTTGGTCTCTTCTATATTTCAGAATTTATCTGAAATAAAAAAATTGTGTTATTTTGGTAATTTAAAGACGTTAAAAATTAAAAACACTTTTTTTTTTTGAGACGAAGTCTTGCTCTTGTCCCCAGGCTGGAGTAAAATGGCATGGTCTTGGCTCACCACAACCTCCACCTCCTGGGTTCAAGCGATTCTCCTGCCTCAGCCTCTCAAGTAGCTGGGAGTACAGGCGCCTGTCATCAAGTCGGGCTAATTTTTTTTTGTATTTTTAGTAGAGACGGGGTTTCACCATGTTGGCCAGGCTGGTCTTGAACTCCTGACCTCAGGTGATCCACCCGCCTCGGCCTCCCAAAGTGCTGGGATTACAGGCGTGAGCCACCACGCCCAGCCCAGAAAACATTTCTATGAAAAAAATTTACTGGTATAGCAACTCAAAATCAATGAAAAATGTATGCATTTATCATCTAAGCTAAACCTGTCACATGGCTTTTGATATAATCCAACCAGAGTCACATAATCCAATGAGATAATAAAATCCAATGAGGTAATAAAATCCAATGAGAGTCACATAATTCATAATTCTTGCAGGTAATTTATTCTAAAGTATAACCAAACATTTTCAAGCTTACTTTCAATTCTCTAGTTTCAATTTGAATCCATTGTGAATCAGTGAGTTTGTAGGAGTATGTACACTTAGGTCATATTCTAACATCTCTTTTACTAAATAGCATGTTACTTTTCATCTTTTCCTTTTTGTGTTGTTTGATTGATTGCCTCTTTGTTTTCTTTTGCTGTTTCTTATTTTATCATTTACTGTCTCAGTTTCTTGGGGTGCTAATTCTCCCATTTTGCTTCCTGACTCCCCTGTAGATCGCTTCCTCAACATGCTCTGTAATTTTTCATTGTGAGCACATTTTTAGCAAAGTGCAACTGCTCGTTAGACATTCCATGTGCCTTGAATTATAAAAGTGTCTCCAAAAAGAGATTTTGTGTTAACTTCTGTCAGGGCTTTCGCTGATATCATCCTATTCAGGGCCCACTTTTATACAAATTTCTGGGCTTGGACCGGGCACGGTGGCTCACACCTATAATCCTAGCACTTTGGGAGGCTGAGATGGGCGGATCACTTGAGGTGATCCCAGCTACTTGGGTTGCTGAGGCACGAGAATCGCTTGAGCCCGGGAGGCGGAGGTTGCAGTGAGCCGAGATCGGGCCACTGCACTCCAGCCTGGGCGACAGAGCAAGACTCTGTCTCAAAAAAAATAAAATGCCAGTCCATGGCCATTAGAACTTGTATCTGGGCACAATGCCCCCATAGGCTTCTTTGACATCATGTCACACTCTAGTTTTGAGTTCTATCTTTTGTTCTGGTGCCTAGATATTTCCTTTGGAAGGATTAGGCTAGTCAAGTGAAGCAGTGGGAATGGAGAGGGAACAAAGAAATCTGTAACTCGTGGTGATCATAGTTGTAAACACAACTGCACACAGACTAGCCTATATTTTATTTATTTATTTATTTTGAGATAGAGTGTCGCTCTATGGCGAGATTCTCCTGCCTCAGCCTCCCGAGTAGCTGGGATTACAGGTGCCCACCGCCGTAATTTTAGTAGAAACTGAGGTTTCACCATGTTGACCAGGCTGGTCTCGAACTCCTGACCTCAGGTGGTCTGCCCACCTCAGCCTCCCAAAGGGCTGGGATTACAGGCATGAGCCACCGCAACCAGCCCGACCAGCCTATATTTTAAACTGTTATTGCATTTGATACAGGAATCTTATTGTTTGGGGTAGGAGGAGTTCTGTGGAACTCTTGTAACTTTGGAGAGGAAAGAGTTAATTCAGCTGTATTTCAAGTCCTCTAGAAGTTTTCTAGATCAGAGCATCTCAGGCTATGGCAACACACCTGTGTGTGATAGCAACCTGCGTCTTGCTATCCATCTGAAGAGCCACAAGAGATTAACAATAGTTAGAACATCTAAATTCTCCAATTTTTCACCTTTTCAAATAAATTTAAGGCTCTTCCTGTATGATAATGTGATCCTTGTTTCCTTGAATTATTTTCTTTCTTTCTTTCTTTTTTTTTTGAGATAGGGTGTCACTCTGTCGCTCAGGCTGGGATGCAATGGCCTGATCATAGCTCACTGCTGCCTTGAATTCCTGAGCTCAAGGGATTCTCCTGCCTCAGCCTTTCTGAGTAGCTGTGACTATAGGCCCACACCACCACACCCAGCTTGTTTTTAAAAGTTTTTATAGAGACAGAGTCTTGTGTGTTGCCCAGGCTGATCTCAAACTCCTAAACTCAAGCAATCCTCCCACCTCTGCCTCCCAAAGTGCTGGGGTTACAGATGTGAGCCACCACGCCCAGCCCTTTCTCTTTCCTTCTCTCTTTCTTTCCTTCCGTCTTTCTTTTTCTTTCTTTCTTTGTCTTTCTTTCTTCCTTTCTTCCTTTTTCTTCCTTCCTTCCTTCCTTCCTTTCTTTCCTTCCTTCCTTCTTTCCCTTCCTTCCTTCCTTTCTCCCTTCCAACCTCCCTCCCTCCCTCTCTCCCTCCTTCCCTCCCTTCTTTCTCTTTCTTTTCCTTCCCCTTCCCACCCTTCCCCTTCCCTCCCCTCCCCTCCCCTCCCCTTCCCTTTCTTTTTCTCTTTACTTCAGACAAGGTCTCACTCTGTCACCGAGGCTGCACCGTGCCCAGCCAAATGTTATCTTTCATGTTGAGGCAGACAAGAAAGCTAAGAGGTTACTCTAGACTGTATTCATGACTCTGTTAGTGCCATCTGAAGACACTATCAACCTCAAACCTCTATCAAATTAATTCTTAAAAAGTAAACATTGGGCCCGGCACGGTGGCTCACACCTGTAATCCCAGCACTTTGGGAGGCCAAGGCGGGCGAATTACCTGAGGTCAGGAGTTCGAGACCAGCCTGGTCAACATGGTGAAACGCCGTCTCTACTAAAAATATAAAAATTAGCTGGGCGTGGTGGCACACGCCTGTAATCCCAGCTACTCGGGAGGCTGAGGCAGGAAAATTGCTTGAGCCCGGGGGCAGAGGTTGCAGTGAGCCAAGATCGTGCCACTGCACTCCAGCCTAGCCAACAGAGAGAGACTCTGTCTCAAAAAAAAAAAAAAAAAAAGTAAATATTATGCTTCATAATCATAAGCAGAAAAGTAGATTTACTTCTGCATCTTTCTCAAGATTCTTCTTATGATTAATTCCAAAGTGCATTTTCACCAAAATGAAATATAATTTGTAAAGTGTGTGCTATAATTGGCCAGTTACCATAATAGGAAACTGAACTGAACTTTTTTTTTGAGATGGAGTCTCGCTCTGTCACCCAGGCTGGAGTGCAGTGGCGCAGTGGCAGCCTCCCGAGTAGCTGGGACTACAGGCGCCCGCCACCACGCCCGGCTAATTTTTTATATTTTTAGTAGAGATGGGGTTTCACCGCATTAGCCAGGATGGTCTTGATCTCCTGACCTCGTGATTTGCCCGCCTCGGCCTCCCAAAGTGCTGGGATTACAGGCGTGAGCCACCGCGCCCGGCCTGAACTGAACTTCTTCCCTCACCACAAGTCCTGTCCCAAGCCTATAAAAAAATCAAACCTACCTCAATGGGACATCCCTAACCTTGTGCCTCTACTCCATGCCAGGGGCCACTCTTGCTACTGAGATCTCTGGTATTTGTAGCCGCTTTGTCCTTACTGGTGGTGAAAAAATTTAAGAGGGGGCTGGATACAAATAAGAATAACTCGGGCAATTGTTTGGTAGGGTCTGATTTTTATCTACTTCACGAAAATGCATTTTCTTCAATTACATGACAACTCAAAGAGAGTAATGGGCCAGGTGCGGTGGCTCACGCCTGTAATCTTAGCACTTTGGGAGGCCAAGGATGGCGGATCACCTGAGGTCAGGAGTTCGAGACCAGCCTGGCCATCATGATGATACCCATCTCTACTAAAAATACAAAAATTAGCTGGGTGTGGTGGCACATGCCTATAATCCCAGCTACTCAGGAGGCTGAGGCAGGAGAATTGCTTGAACCCAGGAGGCAGAGATTGCAGTGAGCTGAGATCTCGCCACTGCACTCCAGCCTGGGTGACAGAGCGAGATTCTGTCTCAAAAAAAAAAAAAAAAAGAGAGTAACGGTAAGAAGTCTTTACCATTCTTACTAACGATAACTATCTTTTTGAAAAAAACATAAAATGTGTTCCTTGCTGTATAGGACATCAAGATTTTTATAAACTCTTGTTGTCACCTGTCACCTCACTGACTTCGAGAGTCCTCTGAGGAAAGGAGATAAAATTATGACTCCACTCATTTAACAGCAGAGCTGCCCAGTGCCGAAACCAGGGCCTGGGGCCCTCATGTGCCATAGAACCTACAGTATGTCCACTGGGTGAATCTGGGGATCTAGGTTAGCATCGATCTGAAACCTTCTTTGACTCTGTCTCTTTCTTTTTATCTGAGATGGGAGTTTCGCTCTTGTTGCCCAGGCTGGAGTGCAATGGCGCAATCTCGGCTCACTGCAACCTCCACCTCCTGGGTTCAAGTGATTCTCCTGCCTCAGCCTCCCAAGTAGCTGGGACTGCAGGCGCATGCCATCAGGCCCAGCTAATTTTTTTTTTTTTTTTGTATTTTTAGTAGAGATGGGGCTTCACTGTGTTAGCCAGAATGGTCTCGATCTCCTGACCTCAGGTAGTCCGCCCGCCTCGTCCTCCCAAAGTGCTGGGATTACAAGCGTGAACCACCGCGCCTGGCCTCTTTTTTTTCTTAACTTTTTTTTAGAGATGGGGTTTTGCTGTGTTACCCAGGCTGATCACAAACTCCTGGCTTCAAGAAATCCTCCTGCCTCAGCTTCCCAAGAAGCTGGGATTACAGGTGCGAGCTACTGCACCTGGCTTGCTGCCATGAGTTTGACTCAGCAGTTCTCTCTAAACTTGATGGGTCTAACCTCTCACCCCAATTCCATCCATGTCTCTGCTCCACCACTGAGGAAATTCTCACACATGCCACTGCCTTACTGCCATAAATCTTCCTCCCGTTGTTCCAGAAATGGGTCTACATGGGCTTTCACATGAGCTAAGTGCACATTTATCACTTTGGCTTGTGTTGAACATTGGCCGTAACCTTCTAAGTCACAGCAGATGAACCAGTGTGATTCATGCAAGAATGGTAGGAATGACTGTGACAAATGTTTGTCTTCAGAAAGACAAACATTATTTGTAGCTCACTTGTGGTGGGAAAGTAATCTAATATGCAAAAGACATCTGAATTTATTAGGTTGGTATAGCTATAACATAACTACTAATATATGAGATTTTTCTCACAGACTGATAACAGCTTTATTGCATGTGAGTCCTTGTCATTTATTGCTTCCTAGTACTATAAAAACTGAAAATAGCATATTATTCCTTGACCAGCTGACATGAGTTTGTGATTCATTTGACCAGAAATGTGCCCTCTAACCACAGCACTTCAACTTATGGTCATAGTTGGTTTGACAATAAATTTAAAAACATAATTAGAGAGCACTTAGGAAATTGGTCTACTTACCTTGATTAGAGTTTCTAAGGTGGTTATTTAATGTGGGCCAAAACTCTACTTAAGTTTTGCAACTTTACAAAAGTTATGCAGATAAGTCAAAAGATCTAAATAAGTAGTTAAAAGGCCACAAACTCTCTTCATATTGCTTCAGCTCTTAACAGAAGGACCTGCCCAGGGTCACACTCATATGTGTGAGAATCAGGAGGCAGCAGGTACACGAGAGGGAAAATGCTGTGAGCAGTGAGACTTTGGCACAAAGATGAGAATAACCATGTTGGCAACAGATAATGGACAGCGAGGAGGGATGACTGTTCCTCAGCTCTGCCCCTTTGCCTGTGCACGGAAACAGTGGTCCAGCAGCCATTCAAAGCGAACACGAGAGAAACAGATCTTCCTATTTTGAAGCCAAGAGTTTGAGACCAGGGCAACATAGAAAGACCCCATCTCTAAAAAGAAAGATCATGACTGTAAAAGGAAACTTGCATCAAGAAAGATTGGCATATAATGTTGGTAGGAATGGTCTGGGATACATTAAAGAGGAGAGCAACAGAACTTGGCAAAAAAAAAAAACAAAAAAAAAACTATGAGTGGAATTATTGACTTAGTACCTAGTAGTACTGTACCTACTAGTAGCACCTTTAATACTTAGCAGATATATTAAAACTGATTTTAAATCCCAACACTCTTGTTTGATTTTTGGCTTTTTAAAAAAAGAAATCAAAAGGATTGGGTGAGGCCAGGACAACTGCTGTTGTGAGAAAAGGGGAAAATTTTGAGGTTTGGCACTTATAGGTTCTTATTTAAGAATCCCATAAAAAATCCTGAGTAGATTGGCTGGGCGGGGTGGTTTACGCCTGTAATCCCAGCACTTTCGGAGGCTGAGGCGGGCAGATCACCTGAGGTGAGGAGTTCGAGACATGCCTGGCCAACATGGTGAAACCCCGTCTCTACAAAAAAGACAAAAATTAGCTGGGCTTGGTGGCGGCCGCCTGTAATCCCAGCTACTTGGGAGGCTGAGACAGGAGAATTGCTTGAACCCGGAAGGCAGAGGTTGCGGTGAGCCAAGATCAGGCCACTGCACTCCAGCCTGGACGGTAAGAGTGAAACTCGGTCTCAAAAAAAAAAAAACCAAAAAAAAACCGAAAGTACAGTCAGGCTGGCATGTGGCTCACAGCTGTAGTCCCAGCACTTTGAGACTTTGGGAGGCTGAGATGGGAGAATTGCTTTAGCCCAGGGATGTTAAGGCTGCAGTGAGTTGCACCATTGTACTCCAGCTGGAGCGACAGAATGAGATCCTATCTCAAAATAAATAAATAAATAAATACATATTTTAAAATACGGAAAAGTACAGTCAAAGGACTAAGATTTATGTTCATATATGTCCATTGCAACATTATTTATAATATCAGAAAACTAAAAACACTAAAAATACGTAACCATTCGTATGGCTAAATATCTTCACTTGATGAAAGATACGGTGTTTAAGAACGTATAATAAACCTTAACAAAAAAACCCTAAAAAGCAAGATACTGTTACATTGTATGTACAGAATATCTCAACTGTGTTTTAAAATAAAGAAAAAAAGATTTAAAAATATAAAAATATAAAAATTGTATCTACTTGGGGAAGACTATGTTTTTTCAGGAGAATGTATTATATATAGAAAGAATTTTTTTTTAAAGTCCCATCAGTTTAATCACAATAAAAAACCCCAAAAGTGGAAGACTGAGGGGGCAGGGGAAGAGACCCCTGGGCCAGGGGCAAGAGGAGACCGGCTCATGGCACCAGGCCTGGCCGCAGGGCCCCCCGGTATTGCTGTTGCTACGAGGTCGAGGGGCAGCAATTGTCCTGTGGGAGCCACCGTTCGCCTGGGTCGGGGACCCTCACTTCTTCTGGGGTGTGCTCAGCTTCTGCATGCCCCGGATCTTGTCCAGCAGGCCAGAGATGAAGGTCTCTGTGGGTTTGTAACAAGTCAACCAGCAGCTCCTTGACCCTGGCAGTACGGGCATCGTCACTCTCCATGTCCAGGAGCTCATCCACGTCAATTTCCAGTTCTGGGATCTCCTCTTCCTGGCAGTCGTAGAGGCGCGTGAGCTGCTCCAGGATCCACTCCTCTAGGTTAAGGCGCTTCCGTAGCTCCTTGCGGTCATACTTGACGGTGACCTTCACTTGGCGCCTCACTGGGCCCTCATCGTCCGCGCCGCCCGGGCCCTCTCCTGCGGCCCAGGGGGGCTCTGAAAGTAGACGCGTTGTCCTGGGCCGCCACTGCCCTGCCCGGGGTCCGGGGCAGCCAACGCCACGCCCCTCGCGGTGCAGCTGTCCGCCATGGCGGCCGTCGGGGCCACGTGAGCGCGTCGGGCTCCTCCCTGCGCCGCCGCCTCCGGGACGCCCGCCGGCTGGCTCGGGTTAGCTCGCCGGCTCCGCTCCGCGCGGCTCCGCGGCGAGGGCGGCGGCGGGGGCACCCGGGAGCAGCTGCAGCATGCGGAGACCCCGGGCCTGGCCTGGCCGCGCCCCGCCCCCTCCCCGCGGATCCGCCCGCCCTTTGTCCCCCGCGGCCGCCCTAAAGAATGTTAAGGTTCCCTAGGACCAGATAGGATAACTTAATCATAAGATAAATACAAGTGAGGAAAGGAATTAGATGAAATAGTATGAAGGAAATAGAATTTAAGAATTCAAGCCTGGGTGCGGTGGCTCACGCCTGTAATCCCAGCACTTTGGTAGGCTGAGGCGGGTGGATCATTTGAGGTCAGGAGTTCGAGACCAGGCTGACCAACATGGAGAAACACTGTCTCTAATAAAAATAAAAATAAATCAGGCGTGGTGGCGCATGCCTGTAGTCCCAGCTACTCGAGAGGCTGAGGCAGGAGAATCACTTGAGCCCAGGAGGTGGAGGTTGCAGTGTATGGAGTTCATACCACTGCACTCCAGCCTGGGCAACAGAGCAAGACTCAGTCTCAAAAAACAGAATTCAGGGAAATTGGATTATCTATGTCTTTAATTTCTCACAAGTCAACTATGTTCACACAACCTGTATTTTTCATACAGTAGAGGCCTGAAATGCAAACCAATGACTTCATTTGTTGCCGATCCACAGCAACAGTGATGGACTCCAACGCTGGAGGAAAAACTGGCTGCACTGCGTTTATTAAGATACAGTAAAGAATATATTAATCCTGACTATTACTATACCCTGGACAATTCAAGGGATTTTTCCAGAGTAATATTCATAGATCAGATGCAATTTTCATTTGACCTACACTGTAGAATATAACTTTTGGTGCTAGTTTCAGCAGCACATATACTAAAATTGGAATGATGCAGAGAAGATTAGCATGTCCCCTGCATAAGGATGACATGCAAATTCATGAAGTGTTCCATATTTTAAAAATACCTATCAGGTACTACACTTAGTACCTGGGTAATGAAATATTCGTACACCAAATTCTCGTGACATGAGTTTACCTATATAACAAAACCGCATAATGAGCCCCTGAACCTAAAACAAAAGTTAAAAAAGAGAAAAAAAAAGAATATAATCTTTGGTTAAAAAGTGACTCCTACCTTGATTTTAAGAAAATTTTTATCATTTAGTTTAATTCCATTCAGGGATCATAAATAAATAGTCTAATTTTTTTAAAAAAATCGAGATAGAATTTACATAGCAGCATTCACTCTTTTAAAGTATAAATTTTTGTTGTTGTTGTTTGTTGTTTGTTTGTTTGAGGCAGAATCTTGCTCTGTCACCCAGGCTGGAGTGCAGTGGCATGATCTTGGCTCACTGCAACCTCCACCTCCCCAGTTCAAGTGATTCTCCTGCCTCAGCCTCCCGAGTAGCTGGGATTACAGGTGCCTGCAACCATGCCCGGCTAATTTTTGTATTTTTAGTAGAGACAGTGTTTCACCATGTTGGCGAGGCTGGTCTTGAACTCCTGACCTCAAGTGATCTGCCCGCCTCGGCCTCCCAAAGTGCTGGGATTACAGGCGTGAGCCACCACGCTTGGCCTGGAACCTCCCTTTCCAGTTTGAATTCCCTCATGTCTCCTACTCACACCTCTGTATTTCCAGCATTACCTCCTCCTTCTCCTCCAGTCTAAATCCCACCCATTTTACAAGTCCCACTTCAAATCACGAGTTTTTGATAAAGCCTTCCCAGGCTATCCAGCCCTCAGAGACAGCTTCCCAAATCTCATTGCATGTAGTAGTTGCACCTTTTGTTTGGCAAATATTCTGCCTTTCTGGCATATATATATGGCACATTGTAGGTGCTGCATGTATATTAAGTGAATGAATGAATCTCTACACCAGATTATAAGCAAATTGAAAGTCGTGGCCTATGCTATGTTCTAATCCAGGGCTGTAGCGTGGTTGAGGAGAGATATATGGCAATGATGAAAATATTTGAGAAGCTTAGGAGCCCCAGGGAGGGAGGAGCATTTCCCAGAGTCCTCTCTGTTTCCTTAGTTTAGAGCAACACCGATTTACCTTCTGGCTATGATCAAAATGTTTTTGTCCCCCAGAATTCATATATTAAAAACCTAATCCTCAAGGCGATGGATGGTATTAGCAGGTGGGCCCATTGGGAAGTGATTAGGTCATGAGAGGGGAGCCCTCATGAATGGAATTAGTGCCCTCATGAAAGAGGCCCCAGAGGGCTGCCTCTCCCCTTCTACCACGTGAGAACACGGAGAGAAGGTATTGCTCACTAACCAGAACACAGGCTCTCCATAGACACCACATCTGCTGGCGTCTTGATCAAAGACTTCCCAGCCTCCAGAACCATGAAGAAACACATCGTTGTTGTTTGTTTGTTTGTTTATTTATTTTTTGAGACAGAGTTTCACTCTTGTTGGCCAGGCTAGAGTGCAATGGCACTATCTGGGCTCACCGCAACCTCCACCTTCTGGGTTCAAGCGATTCTCCTGCCTCAGCCTCCCCAGTAGCTGGGATTACAGGCATGCGCCTCCATGCCTGGCTAATTTCTGTATTTTTAGTAAAGACAGGTTTCACCATGTTGGCCAGGCTGGTCTCGAACTCCTGACCTCAAGGCCTGGTGCAGCGGCTCACACCTGTAACCCCAGCACTTTGGGAGGCCAGGCAGGCAGATCACCCAGTCAATGTTATAGCAGCCCAAACAGACTGAGACACTCCTGCAAAAGCATGCCAAGAGCAAAGGGCCTTTTCTTCTTTTAGGGTCAGGATCAGGGATGGCCTTTAGTAACCATTTTGCCTTGGACCTTTCCTGTCCAACTTCTCATGCTCTCTTGATTTGACACCCAGATGTATGGCCAGCAGACTCCTACAGGGCCACTAACAGCTCCTCTGCAAAGTGCTCTGATAGCACAAAGGTGTCAGTTCTTCCTCTCAGCCACCACTGCCTGTGGAGAGAGGGACAGAAGTAACAAGTGAGAAGACCCCTCATACCTTCTCTCACTCTACCTCATGATGATATTCTTCAAAATCTGTGGGCTCCTTTAGTTTTAGCATCACTAGTATATTATAATATGGTATGTTATAATACAGCACAATATAGTATAGTGTAGTGTAGCATAGTATGATATAGTATATTCACCAATCTATTTTTTGTTCTTTTTTTTTTTTGAGAAGGAGTCTCGCTCTGTTGCCAGGCTGGAGTGCAGTGGCATAATCCTGGCTTACTGCAGCCTCCGCCTCCTGGGTTCAAGTGATTCTCCTGCCTCAGCCTCCTGAATAGCTGAGATTACAGGCACATGCCACCACACCTGGCTAATTTTTGTATTTTTAGTAGAGACGGGGTTTCACCATATTGGCCAGGATGGTCTCGATCTCTAGACCTTGTGATCCACCCGCCTTGGCCTCCTAAAGTGCTGGGATTACAGGTGTGAGCCACCACGCCCGGCCTTTTTTTCTTCATTTTTTTTAGGTTTCTGGAGGGATCCAGCTTCTATTACTCTTTCGTCCCGTAAGCTGGATACCACTATTTTATGTGTAATTCTATTTTTATTTATTTATTTATTTATTTTGAGATGGCGTCTTGCTCTGTCGCTCAGGCTGGAGTGCAGTGATGCGATCTCAGCTCACTGCAACCTCCGCCTGCCAGGTTCAAGCGATTCTCCTGCCTCAGCCTCCCAAGTAGCTGGGACTACAGGCACCTGCCACCACACCCAGCTAATTTTTGTATTTTTAATAAAGACAGGGTTTCACCATGTTGACCGGGCTGGTCTGGAATTCCTGACCTCATGATCCGCTCGCCTCGGCCTCCCAGAGTGCTGGGATTACAGGCATGAGCCACCATGTCTGGCCTTGTGATTAGATTTTTCTAGCTAATGATAATCACTTTCTGAAAATAAGTGCTTTTAGTTTTATCTTAATACTTTGAAAAAATATCTTTACCAGAACTTTTCCCTCATCAGTGAATAGCGTTCATTGGACAGTTCTTCCTGGTCAAGGAAAAGGGAAAAGGAAACTTCTGGGTTACTTTTGGCCTTACGATTCTAACTACATATCCGTGAACACATCACAAAATGCTATTTGTTGTCTCACATATTTGACAGATTAGTTGAAATGCTTTTTTATAATTCAGCAAACATTTAACATGGGAACACTGTGCTAGGCTTTTGTGAAATATATAGATGAATGAGAAAGTCTTGGCCATCCGTGGATGATAAGACAGGAACACAGATAACTTCACAAGAACTATTTCAGGCATCCCTTCTGACTCACCACTGGCAATAGATTGGGCCTTAGACCAAGAAAAACGAAACCCAAGATTAAAAAAAAAAAGTCCTTTCAATGTACTGGGCAATCAACCAAAACTACAGACTTTTCAGGTTTTAGATAACATTACAAAGAATCTTTCTTGATTATACATTTGCTCTTGTAGCAATGTAAAACGTTTTCTGTGATTATAGTTAAAGTGCTGGTTATGTGACTGTTTTACCGTTGGGGATAGATATGGATTTTTACTTGTGTTTAATTGCGGAGAGTGAATACATAACTCCTCTCCTCCCCAGCCCCTGCCTACCTTCAGGGGGGCCAGGGGGAATCAGGAAGGAACTAAAATACAAGGCTTTTCCTCCCATTTTACATTCAAACTTGTCTCACAGGAAATGAACAAAATAGTGATTCTCAAATGTAACATTGTGCTTCTCTGTGCTGTGGTACAAAAAGAGCTTTACAGGAATTTTTTTAAGGACAAATATGGAACTTGGATTTTCTTTTCTTCTCTTTTCTTTTCTCTTTTCTTTTTTTTTTTTTTTTTTTTTTTTTTGAGACAGAATCTTACTCTGTCCCTGAGGCTGGAGTGTTGTGGAGCGATCTCGGCTCACTGCAACCTCCGACTCCAGGGTTCATGCAATTCTCCTGTCTCAGCCTTCCAAGTAGCTGGGGTTACAGGCGCCTGCCACCACACCTGGCTAATTTTTGTATTTTTAGTAGAGATAGGGTTTCGCCATATTGGCCAGGCTGGTCTTGAACTCCTGACCTCATGTGATCCACCCACCTCGGCCTCCCAAAGTGTTGGGATTACAGGTGCGAGCCACCGCACCCGGCTAAGAACTTGAATTTTCATTTCCTGAAGAATAAATGCCAAACTCCTTTACATTCAATATCTGCAAAATCTCATCCCGAATCATTTCCAGCTTTATCTATATATCCACCCTTACTCCATGTACCCAGCAACATCCTGTGAAGCATGTGGAATATTTTTATTTCCATATCTGGATTCCATCCCCCCCTTTAAAATACCCTTTTTCTTTTCTTTCTTCACAATCCTACTGCTAAAATCCTCCTCTTTCAAGGCACATCTTCAAAGAGGAGGCATCCATAAAGCATCCCACTCACCATTCTCTAAACTAGTATTTCTCCTTTCCTGAATTTTAATAATTTTCTATAATTAAGAGTTATTGTGGCTGGAGCAGTAGCTCATGCCTGTAATCTAACACTTTGGGAGGCTGAGGTGGGTACATCACATGAGATCAGGAGTTTGAGACCAGCCTGGCCAACATGGTGAAACACTGTCTCTACTAAAAATACAAAAATTAGCCAGGCGTGGTGATGTGCACTTGTAGTCCCAGCTACTCGGGAGGCTGAGGCAGGAGAACTGCTTGAGCCTGGAAGGCAGAGGTTGCATTGACCTGAGATCGGCCACTGTTCTCCAATCTGGGCAACAGAGTGAAACTCCATCTCAAAAAAAAAAAAAAAGAAAAAAAAAAAAAAAAGTTATTGCTTTTGTAATCAGAAATAAAAACTAAATGGTTTGCCTTTGCTTTATTGGTAAATTTAAAAAAGAAATAAAAACTAAAATGTATAAAATAGCTTGTCAAATAAAAAATGAACATAACTTTTTTTTTTTTTTGAAGCCGATTCGATCTTTGCTCACTGCAACCTCCGCCTCCCAGGGTCAAGTGATTCTCCTACTTCAGCCCAGTAGCTGGGGTTATAGGCACGTGCCGCCATGCCCAGCTAATTTTTGTAGTTTTAGTAGAGACAGGTTTCGCCATATTGGCCAGGCTGGTCTTGAACTCCTGACCTCAGGTGATCCACCGGCCTCGGCCTCCCAAAGTGCTGGGATTACAGGTGTGAGCCACTGCGCCCAGCCTAAACTTTTGCACCTTGAATATAAGCAGAAGGACACAATTGATATCTGCCTAAGAGGTGTGTCAGCCTCATTCTTTGGTCAATTTCTCCCCCTCTCCCACCTTCAGCCCCTACCCTCATTCCAAACATGTAGCAATAAAAAGTTTATAAAAAAGGGGAAATAAAAATGATGTAGTTAGTTCAGAATGCAAAAACGTACATACCTCTGTGGCACAGAAACAAACAAAAATTACACAGTGAAGAGAGCTGAATTGCAGCTGTATACCTACTTGCCTTCTGTTCTTATGTCCAGGGCTTTGGCTCCCACAGGGTAGTGAAGAGTAACAGTAGACAACATCACGCAGAGGCTTTGAGGATGGGGACTAGCAATGGGGCTCCCTCTTGTGATGGAGCCTGAAAAAAAGTTGGATACCCCATGGCTTAAAGGTATGGAAGCAGAAGATGGGAAAGGAATTCAAGGACAGAGCCTGATGTAATGAAGGAATCAAAAGAAAAAAATACAACACTTTAATGGAAGATTTTTTAGAAGACAAATTAATGCATGTCATAGTCCTATAAATTTTTCTCAAATTGACATGTGGGTTTAATTTTTTGGTATTCCTGGCTTATTTTGATATTGTAAATGTTGTGACAATTGTGATATTGTGATATTTACAATATCAAACTAAGGCAGGAATACCAAGAAAAAATGCTGTGTTTCTGCTCTGAACTGAGGTCCCAGGCTGCCATGTGGAGGTAAAGGCAATACTGTCAGGTAGGAAAAAGTGAGCATGGAGGGAACAGGAAACAGAAAATAAAAGACTACAGCTCTTTCTGCTCAGAATAGCCTCCTGCAAAGTAAAATTCAAAACCACATTAAAATATTTTACATAAGAAAGAATATGAATTCCACCTCCCCAGTTAAGAGTATGAATTCACTCTAGTTAAAATTAGGCCTGGCATGGTGGCTCTTCTCTGTAATCTCAGCATTTTGAGAGGTCAAGGGTTTGAGACCAGCCTCAGCAACACAGCATGACCTTGACCTTAACCTAAAAATAAAAAAATTAGCCATGCACAGTGGCTCACTTCTGCAGTTCCAGCTACTCAGGAGGCTGAGGCGGGAGGATGCCTTGAGCCCGGGAGATTGAGGCTGCAGTGAGCCATGATTATGCCATCGCACTCCAGCCTGGGCTGCAAAGCCAGACTGTCTCAAATAAATAAATAAATAAAATAATAATTATAATAATTTTGTGGAACTGCTTGATAAGGAATTGAAAATAAATGTGCTTAGGATACTTAAAGAGATAGAGATATTTCCTCCATTAAAAAAGAACAAGCAAATAGGAAGCAAAAAAAAATCTATTATGCAACAAGAAATAGGTAGATCTGAAAGAGAAACAAGTAGAAATTTAAAAATAGACATTAAAATTAAAAAATCAATTGAAAAAATGAACTCTAGGCTGGATACCTTTGAAAAGGGGATTACTGAATTGGAGGGGAGGACTTCACACAATCATGGTCAAAGACAAGAATAACATGAGAGAACCATGAAGGAGTATTGACGTTAGACTGTGAGGATTCCAGGAGAAAATGAAGGGAAAGTTAATTTTTACAAAAGCGTGTTACATACCAAAAGGATAAAGAAGCCAAATCATTACAGAACAATTTTAAAACATCAAGAACAACAAGAAAATCTTAAGGGCTATCAGAGATAAAAGACAGATTAGGAGCAAAGGAATGACAATTAGGAATGACAATTAGTCAACTGTCTTCTCAATTGAGAGATTAAATGCCACAAAGAAGCCAGTGAAGTAGTATCTTCAAGGTGCTGAGGGAAAACAGTATCTACACTGCTGAACTACTGCAATGTGGGTGCAAAATAAAACCATTTTTCATTCTTTTCCACAAAAATATATCTAACAAGCTTGTTATGTGAAATCAAACAATATTTTTGGCATTTTGTCAATAATTCAAACTCTTACCAATAATTCAAACTCACTGATACCTAACTAGGAGTGCTTTGTATTTTGGAAGATTCCCTAAACTAAAAATATATTCAAGGCTGGCCACGGTGGCTCACGCCTGTAATCCCAGCACTTTGGGAGGCCGAGGAGGGCAGATCACAAGGTCAGGATTTCAAGACCAGCCTGGCCAATATGGTGAAACCCTGACTGTACTAAAAATACAAAAAATTAGCCGGGCATGGTGGCGCCTGTAGTCCCAGCTACTCGGGAGGCTGAGGCAGGAGAATCGCTTGAACCTGGGAGGTGGAGGTTACAGTGAGCTGAGATCGTGCCACTGCCCTCCAGCCTGGGTGACAGAACGAGACTCCGTCTCAAAAAAAAAAAAAAAAAAAATATATATATATATATATATATATATATATATATTTACAACATATGTAAATATAACTGAAGAACTACTTCAAATAATATTGAAATTCACAGAATTCTAAAGATTTATAGCCTAGAAGTATCATAACTTTGTCTGCAGTTGGCCGGGTGCAGTGGCTCACGCCTGTAATCCCAACACTCTGGGAGGCCGAGGTGGATGCATCATGAGGTCAGGAGTTCAAGACCAGCCTGGCCAATATGGTGAAACCCCATCTCTACTAAAAATACAAAAATTAGCCGGGTATGGTGGCGGACGCCTGTAATCCCAGCTACTTGGGAGGCTGAGGCAGAGAATTGCTTGAACCCAGGAGGCAGAGGTTGCAGTGAGCCGAGATCACACCACTGCACTCCAACCTGGGTGACAGAGTGAGACTCCGTCTCAAAAAAAAAAAAAAAAAAGGGTCTGCAGTCAAACATACTGTGCTAATTATGAAAAAATGTCTTAACAACTATTAAACCAAAAGGAGAATAAAATTGAGGGGAAATATATGGTTTTAAAGTCCTATGACAAACGGAAGATTAGTAATTGCGGTTTTTCCCATTAAAAGTAATGGCAAAAACCACATTTACTTTTGCACCAACCTAATAAAAAGTAATAATATAGGCCGAGCGCGGTGGCTCACACTTGTAATCCCAGCACTTTGGGAGGCCGAGGCAGGTGGATCACGAAGTCAGGAGATCGAGACCATCCTGGCTAACACGGTGAAACCCTATCTCTACTAAAAATACAAAAAAAATTAGCTGGGCATGGTGGCAGGCCCCTGTAGTCCCAGCTACTCAGGAGGCTGAGGCAGGAGAATGGCATGAACCCGGGAGGCGGAGCTTGCAGTGAGTGAGACTGCACCACTGCACTTCAGCCTGGGCGACACAGGGAGACTCCGTCTCAAAAAAAAAAAAAAAAAAGCAATAATATAAAATCGATTTAATGACCAAAATTTCTTATTGAATCCCTGATTGTCATTTTTGGCAACTTAACCCCATCTGTCAGAAGCTAGTGTGCTATGCTGTCAGAAATTCTCCACTCTCTCATCAGAGCCATGCCAAATGCAGTAAGAACCCTGGCTGAAAGTTAGGAAGTTGATGTTAGCAACTTTGAGTGCTGCACACACCTTCCCCATAGAGGCTGAATCCTTATGCTTATGTGTATCCCTGAAAGATGTAAAGGCCTGTCCCCCTTTCATACCAAAAAATACCTTCTCAACATGCTGTAAAAGGGTTCCTTACTTTGGCGGAGGGAGACAACCACATACATCATATACAGAAATTTATCACAATAAGATTCCAAATCCTATTTTATATTTTAAACTACACTATGGTAATATTTAAACCATTCCATTCCAGGCAATATTCCACACTAGAACAGTAAATATCTTTAAAAAAAAAAAAAAAGGTCAGGCACGGTGGCTCATGCCTGTAACCCCAGCACTTTGGGAGGCTGAGGCAGGTGGATCACAAGGTCAGGAGTTCGAGACCAGCCTGGCCAACATGGTGAAACCCCGTCTCTACTAAAAATACAAAAATTAGCCGGGCATGGTGGCATGCACCTGTAATCTCAGCTACTCAGGAGGCTGAGGCAGAAGAATCGCTTGAACCCGGGAGGCTGAGGTTGCAGTGAGCCAAGATTGCGACACTGCACTCCATCCTCGGTGACACAGTGAGACTCCATCTCAGGAAAAAGAAAAAAAAAATACTGCATATAGTCTCTGTCTCTGTCTCTCTTTCTCTCTCTGAAGGCTGGGGCTGATGGTCACCAAGGACGGCAGCACTGGTGTGAACAAAGAGGCTGCTTAAAGTCAGTGCCCATTCTGATGGGTCAGTGCCCTGTTCTGGCTTGTGAGTGCCTGTCTCTCCACGGCTCCCCCTCACCACAATCCTCCCATCCTTCTTCAACCGCTCCCCGCCCCCGCAGGAAGAGAGCCTGCTGATTGGTCAGCTCAGTTTGATTCCAGGGCCCTGGCTGTTACATATTTTGAAAAATACCTTGTATTGTAGCAGGTCTTCTTGAAAGTGGCAAGAAGAAAAGTGACTCAGATACATTTGTACACGGAAAACAGATTTTAGCACACAAATTGACAAATTATGTTAGAAAATTTATTTAACAATTGTGAAAAACAGTTATGGGGTGAGGGTGCTTAAAAGAATGTTAAACCTCCAGAGAACACTATTATGATGGGGTGGGAGGTAAAGTTATACAATAAATTATTCAAGCATACTTTAATACGTCACAATGTGTTTAAGAAAAGAAAAAACAGTAAAAACTTTCGATTTTGTTAGAAAAAAGTATTTTATGGCCGGGCACGGTGGCTCAGGCCTGTAATCCCAGCATTTTGGAAGGCCAAGGTGGGTGGATCACCTGAGGTCAGGAGTTTGAGACCAGCCTGGCCAACATGGTGAAACCCTGTCTCTGTTAGAATATAAAAATTAGCCGGGGGTGATGGTGCGCCCCTGTAATCCCAGCTATTCCAGAGGTTGAGGCATGATAATTGCTTGAACCCAGGTGGCTGAGGTTGCAGTGGGCTGAGATCATGCCACTGCACTCCAGCCTGGGTGACAGAGAGAGACCCTGTCTCCAAAAAAAAAAAAAAAAAGAGAAAAAAGTATTTATTAAATAATATACGTGTAAAAAAATTTAAAGTCTATTGTAAAAGAATTGAATTGTATCGCCTCCAATAAGAAAAAGAAAGAAAATATAGGAAAATTTATCAAACCAATCAGTTAGTCCAGGTAAACGAGATAGGTTGTGTTAAGGTAATGGTGGAGAAGAAAAAAGGAAAGCAAAAGATAATAAACAGAAAGCTTCTACTGAAAGAGCTTTTAAAAATACCCATGCTCTTTGGAACACTTGTGCAGTTCGTGGGAATGTAAAATGATGCAGCTGCTATGGAAAACAGAATGGAAGTTCCTCAAAAAATTAAAAATATACTTAACATATGATCCAGCAATTCTACTTCTAGCTACATATCCAAAAGAATTGAAAGCAGGATTTCAAAGAGATATAGTATTTGCACACCCGTGTTCACAGCGGCGTTATTCACAATAGCCAAGATGTGGAAACAACCTAAATGCCCATCGATAGATGAATGGATAAAGAAAATGTGTTATGTACATACCAAGAAATATTATTCAGCCTTAAAAAGGAAAGATATATAGTATTTGCACACCCATGTTCACCCCGGCATTATTCACAATAGCCAAGATGTGGAAACAATCTAAATGCCCATCGATAGATGAATCGATAAAGAAAATGTGTTATGGGCCGGCGTGGTGGCTCAGGCCTGTAATCCCAGCCGAGGTTGGTGGATCACGAGGTCAGGAGTTGGAGACCATCCTGGCTAACACGGTGAAACTCCGTCTCTACTAAAAATACAAAAAAATAGCCGGGCATGGTGGCGAGCGCCTGTAGTCCCAGCTACTTGGGAGGCTGAGGCAGGAGAATGGCAAGAACCCAGGAGGCGGAGCTTGCAGTGAGCCGAGATCACGCCACTGCACTCCAGCCTGGGCGACACAGCAAGACTCCATCTCAAAAAAAAAAAGAAAAAAGAAAATGTGTTATGTACGTACCATGAAATATTATTCAGCCTTAAAAAGGAAGGAAATGCTGACACATGCTACAACATAGATGAGCCTTGAGGACATTATGCTATGTGACATAAGCCACAAAAGACAAATACTGTATGATTTCACTTATATGAGGCATCTAAAGTAGTCAAACTCATAGAAACAAAAAGTAGAATGGTGGTTGCCAGCACCTGATGAGAAGGGGAAGTGGGGAGTTGTTTAATGGGTGTAGATGGCCGGGCGCAGTGGCTTATGCCTGTAATCTCAGCACTTTGGGAGGCCGAGGCGGGTAGATCACGAGGTCAGGTGTTTGAGACCAGCCTGGCCAATATGGTGAAACCCCATCTCTACTAAAAATACAAAAATTAGCCGGGCATGGTGGTGAGCGCCTTACTCTCAGCTACTTGGGAGGTTGAGGCAGGAGAATCGCTTGAACCCAGGAGGTGGAGGTTGCAGTGAGCCAAGATCATGCCACTGCACTCCAGCCTGGGCAACAGAGCAAGACTCTGTCTCAAAAAAAAAAAAAAAAAAAGGTGTAGGGATTCAGCTTTGCAAGATGAAAAGCTTCTGGAAATCTGTTGCATCACAATGTAAATTTACTTAACACTACTAAACTGTACACTTAAAAATGATTAAGATGGCAAATTTTACGTTGTGCGTTTTTTTGTTGTTGCTGTTGTTTGTTCTACCACAATTAAAAAAAATACCCATTCTTAGGATCCAAGTAATTTCTTTTTTTTTTTCTTGAGATGCAGTCTTGCTCTGTTGCCTAGGATGGAGTACAGTGGCACGATCTTGGCTCACTGCAACCTCTACCTCTTGGGTTCAAGGGATTCTCCTGCCTCAGCCTCCCAAGTAGCTGGGACTACAGGCATGTGCCACCAGGCCTGGCTAATTTTTGTATTTTCAGTACAGACAGGTTTCACCGTGTTGGACAGGCTGGTCTCGAACGCCTGACCTCATGATGTGCCCGCCTCAGCCTCCCAAAGTGCTGGGATTACAGGCATGAGCCGCCGTGCCTGGCTGATCCAAGCAATTTCAATTTAATGTCTCTAAGGGAGCAGGGAGCAAATTCCCTTTGTTCTCTGCCTGGGTATTTCTGGATCTTTTTTAAAGCTTCCCAGATAATTTTTTATATACAGCCAAGGTGAAAGTAATTGAAGTCTGCATTTCCTTTAAGAAACTTACCTAAGGCCGGGCGCGGTGGCTTATGCCTATAATCCCAGCAGTTTGGGAGGCCGAGGCGGGTGAATCACCTGAGGTCAGGAGTTTGAGACCAGCCTCAACATGGAGAAACCCCGTCTCTACTAAAAATACAAAATTAGCCGGGCATGATGGTGCATGCCTGTAATCCCAGCTCCTCAGGAGGCTGAGGCAGGAGAATTGCTTGAACCCAGGAGGCAGAGGTTGCGGTGAGCCGAGATCATGCCATTGCACCCCAGCCTGGGCAACAGAGTGAAACTCCGTCTCAAAAAAAAAAAAAAAGGAACTTACCTAAGGCCGGGCGCAGTGGCTCACGCCTGTAATCCCAACACTTTGGGAGGCTGTGCGGGCGGATCACCTGAGGCCAAGAGTTCGAGACCAACCTGGCCAACATGGTGAAAACCCTTCTCTACTAAAAATACAAAAATTAGCAAGCTGTAATGGTGCACTTCTGTAATCCCAGCTACTCAGGAGGCTGAGGCAGAAGAATCGCTTGAACCTGGGAGGCAGAGGTTGCAGTGGCCTGAGATAGTGCCATTGCACTCCAGCCTGGGCAACAAAGTGAGACTCCGTCTCCAAAAAAAAAAAAAAAAAAAAAATTCATACAGGCCCAGGCGTTGAGGGAAGCTCAGCTTCTTCACTCACTGTATGTGACAGCTGGGGCCTCACTTCTCAACTTGCAATGGACAAAGCGCAGTGGAGCTTCTTAACCTGGATGGCAGAAGAGAGAAGAGAGATGGATTTGCAGATGCATTCATGTGGAGACAGCTATCTTTAAACTTATATTGTGCCATTATAAATGAGAACAACAACAGCCTTCCGTGGGTTAGAATGGGGAAGTTGAATAATTTCAATAATTTAAAACAAAGCAGTAAGTCAAAGTCAAAGACTCCTAAAAGGATTTTAATTACTGCAAGAGTATAGAGTCCCTTCAAACAGGCTCCCTTTCTAAAAACACAGCAATCCTAGCTCTGGGGAATAAATGTAGTACTGACTGAAACCACAAATGATGACTGAGAGTGAAAAAAAGAGCTATGTAATTTAAATAAGCATTTTCTTTTAAAAGTATCTATTTTTTTAAAAGAAAGAAAAAATATTTC
The DNA here is from genome assembly GCF_000001405.40 of Homo sapiens. Classification (NCBI taxonomy): domain Eukaryota; kingdom Metazoa; phylum Chordata; class Mammalia; order Primates; family Hominidae; genus Homo; species Homo sapiens. Next base: position 207,667,109 of record NC_000002.12, on the reverse strand, counting down.
AAAATATGTTTGTTGGCCTATCCTCAATCTACAGACACATTCATAGACATTTCTCTCAAGGTTCTCCCCGAAGAAAGACACCATCTCCCAGACAAGAAGAAATTATATTTTGCAAGGTTTTGAATGAGAACACGCCTCCAAATCAAACATGTGTGTTGTCTTAATGATTAAAATAGTCTCTTGTTTTACAAAGGCAGATTTGATCTTTCTATCAAATAAAGCATGTTTTGATGATTAAAATGTTTGTAAACACAGCAGTAGTCAGAAAGAACACTTTCATTTGTTGAATCCATTTTTCCTCTATCTCTTCTTTCCTTTCTTCCTTGAGTTGCCCATAAGGGCCAGGCAGGTGGTGCAAAATAGCGGAAACTGTTAGATGCAAGAGTAGGGATGCTGGGGTGGTGATGAACTGGAGAGTGCGGGCTCCATCTGCAACGAGAAGCCACTGGTCAGCAAGAGCCAATGGGTGCCTTGCAGGAATGCTGGCCCAGTGCTAAGAGATTATCCTGTTACTCAAATAAGCCAGAATTCTTCATATTCATATGAAACCTCTCAGGTTCCAAATGGTTGCAATCCATTTAAACATTTGTTTAAACCAGGCAAGCCAACAGTGAGTGACCAGATTGCAGTCTTTGACTTAACCTGTTTAAGCTCAACTTTCTCATCTAGATCAAGGGGCTACAATACAGAAAATACTTTTTAAAAAATAATAAAAGCTGAACTCGTTGAGTCCTTACTTTGTGCTAGACAGTGTTTCAAATACTTCATAAATATTAATTCATGGCCGGGTGTGGTGGCTCACGCCTGTAATCCCAGCACTTTGGGAGGCTGAGATCGAGACCATCCTGGCTAATACAGTGAAACCCCGTCTCTACTAAAAATACAAAAAATTAGCCTGGCGTGGTGGTGGGTGCCTGTAGTCCCAGCTACTTGGGAGGCTGAGGCACGAGAATGACGTGAACCCGGGAGGCAGAGCTTGCAGTGAGTGTCTCTCTGCCTGGATATTTCTGTATCTTTTTTAAAGCTTTCCAGATAATTTTTTATATACACACAGACACACATACATAAAGGCTGGGCTCAGTGGCTCAGGCCTGTAATCTTAGCACTCTGGGAGGCCAAGGTGGGCAGATTGCTTGAGCTCAGGAGTTTGAGACCAGCCTGGGCAACATGGTGAGACATTGTCTCTATAAAAAATACACACACACACACACACACGCACGCACACAAATTAGCTGGGCATGGTGGTGCGTCCCAGCTACTCGGGAGGCTGGGCAACAGAGTAAGACCCTGTTTCAAAAAAAAAAGAATCTAGTTTTGCCCAAAGTGAGAATCTGCACAGCAAGCAACACCCTTCCCCTCCCCCTCTTCACACCCAAAACTTATCCCCTATGTCCCTCATTTTATTGAAATAAATAATTCCTGGCAGCAGTGCTCTGCAGGCCTAGGCTAGGCTCTGTGTGGGGAATCAAGGACGAATCAGACATAGAATTGCCCTGCAGTAGTTCGCTGTTGTCAGGAGAAAAAGACAAGAAATAACAGTAGCAAGAGAGAGAAAGGGGAAAGTGTCATAAGGAACACAGCTAAAGTGTTGCAGAAATTTAGAGAAGAGAGATTACTTCCAGCTGCACCCTTAATCACATACTGCCTCACATCTCTTGTATTATTGTCTTGTCTGGTTATTAATTCCTGTATCATTAAACAACAGCAAACCAGTCACACTGAATAATTAATGGTGTTGCTTCTTCCTCCACATCCAGATCATCAGCTCCTCCAAGTCAGGATTGGAGACTCTGATAGGCACATTTCAGAGGCTAATATCTATAGGCCCCCTCTTTTTTTTTTTTTTTTTTTTTTTTTTAGATGGAGTCTCGCTCTGTCACCCAGGCTGGAATGCAGTGGTGCAATCTCGACTCACTGCAACCTCCACCTCCTGGGTTCAAGCAATTCTCCTGGCTCAGTCTCCTGAGTAGCTGGAATTATAGGCATGCACCATCTTGCCTGACTAATTTTTGTATTTTTAGTAGAGATGGGGTTTCACCATATTGGCCAGGCTTGTCTTGAACTCCTGACCTCAAGTGATCCACCTACCTCAGCCTCCCACAGTGCTGGGATTATAGGTGTGAGCCCCAGCGCCCAGCCTATCTATAGCCTTAAGAATACCTGCTTCAGCAGAAGAGACCACCAATAAAATGTTATGGGAATAAAGCCTGTAACAATATAGTCCTTTATTAGCTTACTAATATTTCTTCAATGCATTCAACAAAATAGGAAATTCAAAGTGATAAATAGAAGACTGCTTTTCGGCTGGCTGCGGTGGCTCACACCTGTAATCCTAGCACTTTGGGAGGCCGAGGCGAGCGGATCACCTGAGATCGGGAGGTCGAGACCAGCCTGACCAACATGAAGAAACCCTGTCTCTACTAAAAATGCAAAATTAGCCGGGTGTGGTGGCGCATGCCTGTAATCCCAGCTACTGGGGAGGCTGAGACAGGAGAATTGCTTGAACCTGGGAGGCAGAGGTTGCAGTGAGCCGAGATCGTGCCATTGCACTCCAGCCTGGGCAACGAGAGCAAAACTCCATCTCAAAAAAAAAAAAAAAAAAAAAAGACTGTTTTTCCCTATAGTCACCTTTTTTTTAATTCTAGTGGGAGAAAATGTCTTCTTATTGGTGTTTCCTGGTTCCAGTGATGGATATCTCAGTTGGGTTTGTTCCCTCCTCTTGGCTACACAGAAATGTCAAATAAAGGTGACTAACTGTAATAGTAAATACACCTTGGGTGTTTAGACTGTTTTTATATAGTAATCTGAGACTCTTCTGAGAGCTTTTGTGTGTGCACCACCAGAGTATTGCCTTTTGGCATCATTTCCAAGTCTTTCCGAAAAACATGCTATGTTTCCTTTTTTCGTTTCTGATTTTTAAATGACAGATGGTTAGGAAAGGTCTTCTTTACTCTTATAATTATTTTCCCCAGTTTTTCTCCATTAAACAGCAATTACTCTCATGCATAATCTTCTTAAGTAGTTACTTTCTAGCTCCTGAAGAGCATAATCACCATGAATGTATTCATCTTATGCACTTCCTGGTTTTTCTCAGCGTGAAACTTCTACTGAATATAATTTGTACCACAGTAACTAACATGGACACTTAAACATGTTTGGTAGTTAACTTTTTATAAGCAGACCAAATTTTTAGATGAAACATTCATCTGTTTTACAAAGGGTCGTTTTCCTGGAATCTATCCAAAAGTACCTTCAAAGGGAAATTAGAAATATGACCACCGTATTTTAAATATTTTCCAAGGGAGTGGTGGAGTGAGAAAAATCTTTTTCCTCTGGCTTAAATTATCTCACATTATACCATGCTAAGCAGTTTACAAAACATGCAAATTATCTGCTTTGCAGAGAAGTAAAACCCCTTGTAAATTTATTTTTTCATGCTAGCAATATCAAAAACAATTTAACTTACACTATGCCAAACAAATCTTATTCTTATTAATTAATTAATTAATTAATTTGAGATGGAGTTTTGCTCTGTTGCCCAGGTTGGGGTGCAGTGGCATGATCTCGGCTCACTGCAACCTCCGCCTCCTGGGTTCAAGTGATTCTCCTCCCTCAGCCTCCCAAGTAGCTGGGATTACAGGCATTGTCACCATGCCTGGCTAGTTTTCATATTTTTAATAGAGACAGGGTTTCACCATGTTGGCCAGGCTGGTCTCAAACTTCTAACCTCAGGTGATCCACCTACCTCGGCCTCCCAAAGTGCTGGAATTACAGGTGTGAGCCACAGCACCTGGCCCCCCAAAAACTTGAGATTTAACAGTTAAACATATAAATCAAGTCATAACAAAGTAGTGAAAACAGAAACAAGCAGTTATGATATCTTCAGAAGAATTATAACTTATCTAAAAGCTTGGAAACAGTAAATGAAATATCAAAAGACAAAAACAAGAGATTTGATAATTTGTGAATTGTAATATTAAAGGCGATTTTGGCAGGCCATATTATTTTACCAGAAGCCACTCATGATGAATTTAGAAGAAATTTTATTCTTGGCATTTGGCATTCAGTGATGTCTACATTTTACAAATAATCTCAAAAGCGAATGAGACACAAAATTTTTTGCTTTTGTTGTTGAGTGTCAAAGTTTGAATTCTGTGGAAGGCATAGTATCCCTTAGTCTCTCAATAAAAAGTAGGCCGAGTGCAATGGCTCACACCTGCAATCCCGGCACACTGGGAGGCTGAGATGGATAGATCACCTGAGGTCAGGAGTTCAAGACCAGCCTGGCCAACATGGTGAAACCCCACCTCTACTAAAAATACAAAAATTAGCCGGGCATGGTGGTGCACATCTGTAATCTCAGATACTTGGGAGGCTGAGGCAGGAGAATCGCTTGAACCTGGGAGGTGGAGGTTGCAGTGAGCCAAGATCACCCCACTGTACTCTACCCTGGGTGACATAGTGAGACTCTGTCTCAAAAAAAAAGTATCCTATCTGACCCCCCATCTTAGTCTGTTTCTGCTGCTATAACAAAATACCACAGACTGAGCAATTTATTTTTAAAAACCCCAGAAATCTATTTCTTACAGTTCCGAAGGCTGGGAAGTCCAAGATGAAGGCACCAGCAGGTTTGTTGCCTGGTGAGGGCCCAGTGTTTGCTTTCATGAACACTGCATCCTCAGGAGGGAGGAACACTGTGACCTCACATGGCAGAGGGCAGAAAGGGAAAAGGGCTGAACACAGTTGGTTAAGATTTTTTGTAAGTCAGTCAAGCCTAATGCCACTCACGAGGGCTCCACTCTCATGACTTAATCACCTCTGGAAAGCCCCACTTCTTCTTTTTTTTTTTTTTTTTTTTTTGAGATGGAGTTTCACTCTTGTCACCCAGGCTGGAGTGCAGTGACACCATCTTGGCTCACTGCAACCTCTGCCTCCCAGGTTCAAGCGATTCTCCTGCCTCAGCCTCCCGAGTAGCCAGGACTACAGGTGCATGACACCATGCCCAGGTAATTTTTGTATTTTAGTAGAGATGGGGTTTCACCATGTTGGCCAGGATGGTCTCCATCTCCTGACCTTGTGATCTGCCGGCCTCGGCCTCCCAAAGTGCTGGGATTATCGGCATGAGCCACTCTGCCCAGCCAGCCCCACTTCTTAACACTGTGACATTGGTGATTATGTTTCAAAACATGAGATTTAGAGGGAACACAAACCTTCAAACCATAGTAGACTTCCAGTATCTGAATTTCAGTCACTCTCCAGAAGTCACACGTTAGTGTGTTTGGACAAAAAAAGCATTTATTACTATGTTTTTTCTCAAATATGGAGACTAAAAAAGGTCTCACTTAGGCCTGGCGCGGTGGCTCATGCCTGTAATCATCCCAGCACTTTGGGAGGCTGACGCAGGAGAATCACTTGAACCCGGGAGGCGGAGGTTGCAGTGAGCCGAGATCGTCCCACTGCACTCCATACTGGGTGACAGAGCGAAGCTCTGTCTCAAAAAAAAAAAAAGGTCTCACCTAGAATGCGTTTCTGGAGAATAGTATTATTGCTGGAAAATTTCATAGAATGGAGATAAAAGAAAGATAAATAGGAAGTTAGTGAATTTCTGGAGCTAGTCTCCAGATCAGAACTCTCTCTAATTGGTTTAGGAGAATTGCAACTTTGAATACAAATGGCAATATTCAAGAGAAATAAAAGAAAGAAAGAAAGAAAGAGGCAGAAGACCCTTTCCCAGAGTCACACACAACAATGGGAAACAAGCTAGTGACCATATGATCTCTCCAGGCAGTATCAGCAACAAACTAAGCTAAACAATGCCCAGAGTTACTCAGCCAGGCAATGTCCACGGCTACACACCTCAGGAATGGCGACAGCAGCTCCCAGCCACCCCTGCATTCCTGCGTGCTGTCGCTTCTCCTTCCTGCTTCTCCCTGAGCCTGACCCACCTCATCACCCCATGCTGGATGCCTGGCCCTGCAGCTGGCCTCCTAGGCTCCAGTCTGTCCCACCGCCAAACTGTGAAGCACCTTCCTCTGAGTTTGCTCCGTAAAATACAGGTGTGTTTGTGTCCCTCCGAACTTTAAACTACTTCAGGGAATGGCCCATTGCCTTCACCAGACTGTTTCTACTTTGTAACTGTGATTCACGCTCCTCGGGATATGGTCTTAAACCCCCTTTCGTCACACCCTTCTCTCTGGTGAGAGGAGTTCCCCAAGGTTCCGTCATGGAGGAGCCGGACTATTCACATCTCCACTGGGAGTTCCTGATGGGGTGTTCCCCTCCCCACCTCAAGCACATCTTGATCCCTAGGGCAAAATCCACTTCCGTTAGAAAGAAAAATGACATTGAGGGGATCGCCTTTGGGAAGCCGTCTCTCACCATGTCCCATAGCCCACCAGCCCCCTCCAACAGATCTGAGTCCTCCTTCCTGTGGACCTCACTGGTGTGCAGGGCTGATCATGTGGGCAGGCTTGTGATATTTATTTATTTATTTAATTTATTTATTTTTGAGATGGAGTTTCACTCTTGTTGCCCAGGCTGGAGTGCAATGTCGCGATCTCGGCTTACTGCAACCTCCGCCTCTGGGGTTCAAGCGATTCTCCTGGCTCAGCCTTTCGAGTAGCTGGGATTACAGGCACCCACCATCATGCCCAACTAATTTTTTTTAATATTTTTAGTAGAGATGGGGTTTCACCATGTTGTCCAGGCTGGTCTTGAACACCTGACCTCGTGATCCACCCGCCTTGGCCTCCCAAAGTGCTGGGATTACAGGAGTGAGCCACCATGCCCGGTGTGATTTTTATTTATTATCTGCCTCCCCTAGAAGACCAGAGATCCTTAAAAGCAGAGCCAATATCTTTTTTTGAGACAGGGTCTCACTCTGTTACTTGCTTAGGCTGCAGTACAGTGAGGCTCACTGCAGCCTCGACCTCCTAGGCTCAGGTGATCCTCCCACCTCAGCTACCTAAGTAGCTGGGACCACAGGTGTCCACCACCACACCCAGCTAATTACTTTGATTTTTTTTTAGTAGCGAGGAGTTCTCGATATGTTGCCCAGGTTTGTCTTGAACTCCTCAGCTCAAGCGATCCTCCTGCCTCAGCTTCCCAAAGTGCTGGGATTACAGATACGCGCCACTGTGCCCGGCCCAGAGCCAATATCGTATTCAGTTTTCAAACTCTGTTACCCAGCACGGGGACTGCCAGGTAATCTGCATCGTTGATGTCTTCTGAAGGAAGGGAGGGGAGGATGAAGAAAGTTTGGTGGGTGGGTGGACAAGCAGGCGCGAAGGAAGACACAGGACCAAGCTTCTCCTCCACCCCTGCCCCGGCTGACCCTGCTGCCTTGTTCTCTGTGCTCGGGATCAGAGGACTTGCCCTGGCTGCTCTGGCTGCTGCACGCACATCTCTCCGGAACCCCGTCTCAACATCCCAAAGCTAAATATCACTTAGTCCTCACAAATGGGACCCTTCCACTTCCAGATGTGGGGGGCCAAAAGGGGAGCTTAGATCCAGGGATTGCAAACTGATGGTTCAGTGCAATCTGACAGATCAAGCCTTGGATTATTGAGGAGAAAACTATCATGTATGAAGCATCTACTCCATGCAAGCCAACACACAAGGCCTGCAGACTGATTACATTTCAGTTCCTTTTCAGTCTTTTGAGAGAGGTGTTATTATCCCCACTGCTCAAATGAGGAAAGTGAGACACAGCCAGGATTCCAGCTGTTTCCTTAATGCCAAGGCCATTCTCTGATTACCACACCTTGACACCTCAAGGTTGGAGTCTTCTGAGACTTACAATAGAATGCTCCTTTTTTTTTTTGAGACGGAGTTTTGTTCTCATTGCCCAGCCTGGAGTACAGTGGTGTGATCTCAGCTCACTGCAACCTCTGCCTCCTGGGTTCAAGCGATTCTCCTGCCTCAGCCTCCCAAGTAGCTGGGATTACAGGCATGCACCACCATGCCTGGCTAATTCTGTATTTTTAGTAGAGACAGGATTTCACCATGTTGGTCAGGCTAGTTTCGAACTCCTGACCTCAAGTGATCCACCTGCCTCAGCCTCCCAAAGGGCTGGCATTACAGGTGTGAGCCACCGTGCCCAGCCTGGTCCATTATTTTAATAACTATTTACTAGATGTCTGCTGTATGGTTCATGGACTTAGAGGATTTTAGAGCTGGAAGGTGTCTTAGAGAACACCAAATATAATCCCCTTATTATATTATATAATATTATTTTTATTTATTTATTTATTTTTGAGACAGAGTCTCACTCTGTCGCCCAGGCTGGAGTCCAGTGATGCGATCTCGGCTCACTGCAACCTCCACCTCCTGGGTTCAAGCAATTCTCATGCCTCAGCCTTCTGAGTAGCTGGGACTAGACAAAGTTTCATTCTTGTCACCCAGGCTGGTGCAATGGTGCGATCTCAGCTCACTGCAACCTCCGCCTCCAGGGTTCAAGCAATTCTCCTCAGCCTTCTGAGTAGCTGGGATTGCAGGCACCTGCCACTACACTAATTTTTGAATTTTTAGTAGAGATGGGGCACCTGCTACTACACTAATTTTAGTAGAGACAGGCACCTGCCACTACACTAACTTTTGTATTTTTAGTAGAGACAGGCTGTGGGGCGGGGGTGGTGTTCACTATGTTGGCCAGGCTGGTCTCAAACTCCTGACCTCAGGCGATCCACCTCAGCCTCCCAAAGTCTGGGATTACAGGCGTGAGCCACTGCACCTGGCCAAATCCCCTTACTTTATAATGAGGAAGCTGACAACTTGATGGGATCTGTAACAGTGCAGTGAGGGATCTGCAACAGTGCAGTGAACACATGTATGATATAATCATGCTCGGCAGAGATTTTTTTCTAATTGATTGTGTAATAGTATTTTTTTAAATATTAAAGCAATACAAGCTCAGTGTTAAAAAAATGAAAAACTAAATAAAACCAGAAATTAAAAATAACACATAATACATATTCCAAAAATGCTAACTTGGTTTTAGATTTGATTTGCTTGTTCCTCATTTTAGGCCTTGCTAAGCAGATGTATTTATTAGGTGAATGATCATATATTTATACATATACACAGTTATATACATACAAAATTAGTTGCTATTATATTCTTTATAAAATATAGTGTTTTTTACTACATATTGTGAATATTTTGTTTTATTAAAATTCTCCATAAATATTCTTTTTTTTTTGTATTTTTTTTTTGAGACGGCGCTTCACTGTGTCTCCCAGGCTGGAATGCAGTGGTGTGATCTCGGCTCACTGCAACCTCCGCCTCCTGGGTTCAAGCGATTCTCCTGCCTTGGCCTCCTTGTTAGCTGAGACTACAGGCCCACGCTACCACGCCTGACTAATTTTTGTATTTTTAGTAGAGACGGGTTTTCACCATGTTGGCCAGTCTGGTCTCGAACTCCTGACCTTAAGTGATCCCTCCACCTTGGCTTCCCAAAGTGCTGGGATTACAGGCATGAGCCACTGTGCCCGGCCTGTATAAATATTCTTCAGTGATTAAAATAGCTATAATCAGTGAGTAATACTTTCTCACTGGTTATAAAATTTTTAAATATAATTCCAAAATAAAAACTACCTATTATCCCATCACCAAGAAATAACTATCATTAACACCTTGACTTGGCAAGGGGTGGGGCATTTCTTTTAGCTCTGTTTGTGCATATGTATATAATTGAGACAAATGGAATAGATGTTTTAAATTCTTGATACATTTTTGCCAAATTGTTTTTGAGAAAGTTTGTTCTGATTTAAATTCACAGCATCAGTGAATGAAAATGTTTATCTCATGATAGTCTCACCAACAATGTTTTTTAAATTTTTGCTAATTCGATAGTGGGAAAATGGTTGTGAATGTGAACTTATAAAAAATAAATATCAGTTGTTATGAAAATTATTGCTTCCTGCTGGGCGCGGTGGCTCACGCCTGTAATCCCAGCACTTTGGGAGGCCGAGGCCTCAATCACGAGGTCAGGAGATCAAGACCATCCTGGCTAACATGGTGAAACCCTGTCTCTACTAAAAATACAAAAAATTAGCCGGGGGTGGTGGCAGGCGCCTGTAGTCCCAGCTACTCAGGAGGCTAAAGCAGGAGAATGGCGTGAACCCGGGAGGTGGAGCTTGCAGTGAGCTGAGATTGTGCCACTGCACTCCAGCCTGGTGACACAGTGAGACTCCAGCTCAAAAAAAAAAAAAAGAAAGAAAGAAAATTATTGCTTCCTTATAATTATTTTATGGAGCACATAAAATTAAGCATATAATATTAAGAAGTCGAGATATCTAAGTTCTAGTTTATATCATGCATGGCTTAAAAACAGTTTTGTAAGACTGAATTATATTAAATAGAATCAAAAGAATAAGAATAAGTAAAGGCAAGTTGTAGAGCCTCAAGTAAGACTTCTGTAGAAGACATGAAGCCACCATCTCTCTTGTAAGCTATTTGCTAATTTGTCTGTTTATTTCCTACTGTGTTCCAAAAAGGGAACAACTAATATTAATAGATTGATGTATATAGCACAATGCAAAGCAGTCAGATCCCACCTGCAACTAGAATTTCTCAAATACTCTACTTGGGTATATTTTGGAACCTCAACTGATTTGGAGGAATACACATGAAAGGCATAATTCCCAGAATGCTAGAATTACAGAGCAACTTCAGAAAAAGTTTAATTACTACCTTCCTAAGGTGTCCCAATGCTGCTGTATGTACTCCTCCTGTTACTTTGCACCTAAAATTTTAAAAATAAATATTTATGCCTGTAAAATTCCTAGTATGGATCGTACACCACTGTTGACCTTCATACTGTGACTGCACTGTCTGCTGAAGGAAAAGGAAATCATATTTGTGGAATATACAGTGTTTGGTTTTGGTATTTAGAGTTCCCAGGCCTGATAGGATTCCCTTTCCATACCTGAGAGGAGGCACAGATGGTTTGTGATGTTGGTGTGTAAGGCTACCGCTGGGATCTCTAGATAAATACATGAGACAATCTGGGGAGAAGTAGAGCAAGAGTGTAGTGGAAATGTTTGGATTGGATTTAATAAACATTAAGACACATGGGAACAAATGCAAAATTCTGGACTCTGTTATAGCCCATGAATGCAATTTGATGCTGTCATTAGTGTTGCCCTCTGCAAAATGAAGTCTTTTCTGACTGAATGTATTTTCTGGTCTGGGGCCATTACTTGTCAACAATTAATGGTGTAATTGTTCTTGGGCCTTTACGTTAAAAATGCATGATGATCTGGCTGGACATGGTGGCTCACACCTGTAATCCCAGCACTTTGGGAGGCCGAGGCAGGTGAATCACCTGAGGTCAGGAGTTCGAGAACTCCAGGCCCAGCCTGGCCAACACGGTGAAACCTTGTCTCTACTAAAAATAAAAAATTAGCTGGGTATGGTGGCATGCGCCTGTAGTCCCAGCTACTCGGGAGGCTGAGGCAGGAGAATTGCTTGAACCCAAAAGGCGGAGGTTCAGTGAGCCGAGATCGTGCCACTGCACTCCAACCTGGGTGACAGAGTGAGACTCCGTCTCCAAAAAAAGGAAAAAGCATGATGATTATGATAATGGAGGAATGGAATTAAAACTCTTTCCCTGTGTAGTCCCAGCTACTCAGGAGGCTGAGGCAGGAGAATGGCGTGAACCCAGGAGGCGGAGCTTGCAGTGAGCCGAGATCGCACCACTGCACTCCAGCCTGGGCGACAGAGCAAGACTCCGTGTCAAAAAAAACAAAACAAAAAACAAAACAAAACAAAAAAACCTCTCCCTGACATCGAAGGCCTTAGACAGCAGGGATCTAACCCACGTTTAAAGCTTAATCTCTCCCCTATGCAAAACTTTGTGAGGAAAACTAGTTACTCAACATTCTCTCTCCACCACTATTGCTTTATTAGTGCTCATTGCTCCTTCTGGAATGCTGCTCTTACTAAGGCTGTCTGGCAGTTCTGTCAAGGATCATTTCAAATGCTACTTCCTCCATGATACACCTCTTCTATGAACTCTTTTCTACTCTGATGAAGTTTCTTTTCTCTTTTTTTTTAATTAAAGATTTTTTAAAAATAAATGTTTATTTTATGTACAAAAAAGCATCATGGTTTTTCATTGGGTAGATGCCTTGGATTATCCTTTGAAGGAAGATCATTTAGTTCAACTTAATGAAACCGATATCCTTCACATACTGACGGAAACACTGGCTGCACTTATTGAGGCCGTATTTCCGGATCAGACCGTGCTGGTTTGAGCAGACGCGACAAGAGCGAGAACCGCGGCCAAATTTTCGCGGGTGGCTCCAGTACAGTTCTTGGTGACCCATCTTGCTCTCAGGAGTTTAACATGGTAAAAGTAAAAAAAAAAAATTTTTTTTTTTTTTGAGGCAGAGTTTCGCTCTTGTCGCCCAGGCTGGAGTGCAGTAGCACGATTTTGGCTCACCATAACCTCTGCCTCCCGGGTTCAAGCCATTCTCCTGCCTCAGCCTCCCGAGTAGCTGGGATTACAGGCATGTGCCACCACACCTGGCTAATTTTGTATTTTTAGTTGAGACAGGGTTTCTCCATTGTTGGTCAGGCTGGTCTCGAACTCCCAACCTCAGGTGATCAGCTCACCTTGGCCTCCCAAAGTGCTAGGATTACAGGCGTGAGCCACTGCGCCTGGCCAAGATTTTTTTTTTCAAGATCAGTTTTAGGTTCACAGCAACATGGAGAGGAAGGTAAACAGATACCTCATATACTTGTCCCCACAGATGCATAACCTTTACCATTATCAACATCCTGCACCAGAGGGGTGCACTCGTTACAACTGATGACGCCATACTGACACATCATATCCCCCAAAGCCCATAGTTTATATTAGTGCTCTCGGTGTTATTCATCCTACGGGTTTGCACAAATGTATAGTGAAATGTATCCACCATGACAGTATCATGCAGAGTATTTTCACTGCACTAACCCCAGGCTCCAACCCTTAGCAACCACCGATATTTTTACTGTCTCCATAGTTTTGCCTTTTCCAAAATGTCATGCAGTAAGCAGCCTTTTTTGGATTGGATTCTTTCGCTTAGTAATATGCATTTAAGTTTTCTTCGTAACTTTTTTTTTGAGACAGCCTCACTTTGCTGCCCAGACTGCAATGCAGTGATGCGATCTCGGCTCACTGCAACCTCCGCCTCCTGTTTTTCAGCGATTCTTTGCCTCAGCCGCTTGAGTAGCTGGGTTTACAAGCATATGCCACCAAACCTGGCTAATTTTTGTATTTTTAGTAGAGATAGAGTTTCACCATGTTGCCCAGGCTGGTCTCCAATTTCTGGCCTCAAGTGATCCACCCGCCTCGGCCTCCCAAAGTGTTGAGGTTACAAGCGTGAGCCACTGTTCCTGGCCGCTTCATAACTTTTTATGGCTTGAGAGCTCTTTTTTTTTTTTTCTTTTCCTTCCCTTCCCTCCCTGCCTCCCCTCTCCCTCCCTCTCTGCCTCCTTTCCCAGCTCCTCTCTGCCTCCATCCTCCCTCTCTCCTCCCCTCCCCTCCCCTCCCCTCCCATTCTCTTCCCTTTCCTCCTTCTTTTCTTGTTTTTTGAGGCAGGGTCTTGCTCTGTCACCCAGGCTGGAGTGCAGTGGTGTGGTCATGGCTCACTGCAGCCTCAACTTCCCGGAGTCAAGTTATCCTCCCATCTCAGCCTCCCAAGTAGCTGAGACTACAGGCATGCACCACCATGCCTAGCTAATTTTTAAATTTTTTGTAGAGACGAGGTCTCACTATGTTGCCCAGACTAGTCTTAAACTCCTGAGCTCAAGTGATTGTCCCACCTCAGCCTCCGAAAGTGCCAGGATTACAGGTGTGAGCCACCATTCCCCACCCTGGACATAAGTTTTTAACTCCTTTGGGTAGACACCAAGGAGCATGATTGCTGGATCATGTGGTAAAAGTATGTTTAGTTTTGTAAGAAACTCCCAAATGGTCTTCCAAACTAGTTGCACCATTTTTGCATTCCCACCAGCAACAGCTCCTGTTGCTCTATGTCCTCACCAGCATTTGTTGTCAGTGTTCTGAATTCTGGTCACTCTAATAGGTGTGAGGTGGTGTCTGTTTGAATTTGCTTTCCCTTGATGACATATGATGTGGAGTATTTCGTCATATGCTTATTTGCCATCTACAACCTGTTTGGTGAGGCGTCTGTTAAGGTGTTTGGCCAATTTTTAAATCAAGTTGTTTTTTTTCTTATTGTTGAGTTTTAAGAATTCTTTGGTCTCGGTGCAGTGACTCATGCCTGTAATCCCAGCACTTTGGGAGGCCGAGGTGGGTGGATCACCTGACATCAAGAGTTCAAGACCAGCCTGGCCAACATGGCGAAACCCCATCTCTACTAAAAATACAAAAATTATCCAGGCGTGGTGACGTGTGCCTGTAATCTCAGTTACTCGGGAGGCTGAGGCAGGAGAATCACCTGAACCCAGGAGGCAGAGGTTGCAGTGAGCCGAGATCGTGCCACTACATACCAGTTTGGCAACAGAGCAGGACTCCGTCTCAAAAAAAAAAAATTCTTTGTATCTTAGGTAATAATCTTAATATATCTTTTGAAGATATTTTGTCCTAGTCTGTGGCTTACCTTCTCATTCTCTTGACATATTCTTTCACAGAGCAGAAGTTTTTAATTTGAATGAAGTCCAGCTTATTTATTATTTCTTTCATGGATCATGCCTTTGATGTTGTATTTAAAAAGTCATCACCATACCTGAGCGTATCTAGGTTTTTCTCCTATATTTTCTTCTAGGAGTTTGTTTGTTTGTTTTTGGAGTTGGAGTCTTGCTTTGTCGCCCAGGCTGGGGTGCAGTGGCGCTATCTCGGCTCACTGCAAGCTCCGCCTCCTGGGTTCACGCCATTCTCCTGCCTCAGCCTCCTGAGTAGCTGGGACTACAGGTGCCTGCCACCATGCCCTGCTAATTTTTTTTTTTTTTGTATTTTTAGTAGAGACGGGGTTTCACCGTGTTAGCCAGGATGGTCTCAATCTCCTGAACTCGTGATCTGCCCACCTCGGCCTCCCAAAGTGCTGGGATTACAGGCGTGAGCCACCGTGCCCGGCCTAATTTTGTATTTTTAATAGAGACAGGGTTTCTCCATGTTGGTCAGGCTGATCTCGAACTCCCGACCTCAGGTGATCTGCCCTCCTCGGCCTCCCAGAGTGCTGGGATTACAGGCATGAGCCACCGTGCCCGGCCTGAAATCTGATGTTTTATTCCTACAGAGCTAGAGCCATTTCCTTGACTATTACAACTTGGTATCCTTTTAGTGCTTGGCTCATTTCATTTCATATGGCAGGTGCTCAAAAAGTATTTATTAAAATGAACTGAAAAATCAGAGACAAACACAAAGGAAATATAAATTAGGTTATACTATTAAAACATAGTTTGAGATGTCTGATGACACAAAAATACTCTCTCAACCCTATTTTTCATTGAGAAAAATGCCTCTTCCCCCAAGTCATTTGTTTTATAGGTTAAGTGCTTACACTTTGAGATCAGTTGTCACTTGGTTCTTGGCAAAGAGAAAATAAGATGTTTTGAGAATTGACGGTCATTCTGGTTGAATACGGATGCCAAGTTTTCTTCTGGGTATAAGAGCCAGATGGCATAACTGTGAACAGGTAACAGCAGGATGAAAGCTATCCCTCTTTGATTGCCAGATACTTGGGTCAGATTTTCAGATGATACATAATTAGTGGACAGGGGCCCTTGGCCAATAGCACATCCATTCACATTTCAATTAGAGTTGCATGGTAAGGGGATGATATTATTATTGCTGGTATTATTTCTGCAGTTGAGCTAAGTACTAAAAAAGGGAGATAGTCCCAAGCCCAAAATGTCATCAGGCCAAAATGAGACTGGGTCACCAGCCCTCCAAATCAAACTTCAGGCTAATTCAATATGATCGAATGAGGTATTAGAAAGTCAGAATTTAAAGCCTGAAGAGTAAGAAAGGGGAGGTGATCAGAAGTGTGGAATACAGCTTTTCTTTTGTGTATTAAAGTTACACTTCAATCTCCTCTCAGAGTGCTTCTTTTTTTTAACCTCTTTCACCCACTTTATTTGTCCTACATCTCAATAAGCAAGCTCCCTGTGGAGCCACTTTTCTCTCTCCATTCAGAGACATGTTCCCATGATTTCTTTCTGCTTGGATTGTATGATTTACCTGGCTGGCCTCCTGTTCCATCAGATTGTTTCCCATAAAAATGCTGATGAACATTCATTTTTGAGAATTTTTCCAATTTTTTTTTTTTGCTTTTTCCTTAAACAAAAAGCCAAACACATAATTTCTCATAGCAAGTAGACTAATTATGATTTAGACCTGTTTTGGGGGACCCATTCATAGTCATAAAAATCAACTTACTGAGGCCGGGTGTGGTGGCTCACACCTGTAATCCCAGCACTTTGGGAGGCCGAGGTGGGTGGATCACTTGAGGTCAGGAGTTCAAGACTAGCCTTCCCAACATGGTGAAATTCCGTCTCTACTAAAAATGCCAAATTAGCCGGGTGTGGTGGTGCATGCCTATAATCCCAGCTGCTCAGGAGGCTGAGGCAGGAGAATCGCTTGAATGGGCGAGGCAGAGGTTGTGGTGAGCCAAGATCATGCCATAGCACTCCAGCCTGGGCAACAAGAGTGAGACTCCATCTCAAAGAAAAAAAAGAAAAGAAAAAAATTTCCTTTTGCCTCATAGTACATAACAACATATAAGTAACATAAATAGGTGTTTATGTAACATAAATAGGTATTTATATAAGTAACATAAATAGGAGGTCTGGAGGTCGAGACCAGCCTGACTAATATGGTGAAACCCTGTCTCTACTAAAAATATAAAAATTAACTGGGCGCAGTGGCAGGTGCCTGTAATCCCAGCTACTTGGGAGGCTGAGGCTTGAGAATCGCTTGAGCCCAGGAGGCAGAGATTGCAGTGAACCAATGTGGTGCCACTGCACTCCAGCCTGGGCGACAGAGCCAGACTCTGTCTCAAAAACAAACAAACAAAAAAACAGCTTTATAGAGATGTAATTCACATACTGTAGCATTCACCCAGTTAAAGTGTACAAAAGAGTACTTTTAGTATGCTTAGAGTTGTACAACATCATCAACCAAAAAAGAAATCCTGTACCCATTAGCGATGAATCTCCATTCTCCACCCCACAACCCTAATTAACCACCATTATTTTTTCTGTCTCTATAGATTTGCTTCTTCTCGATATTTCACATAAATATCATCATACAATACATGTAGCCACACATACATACATAAATATGGTCTTTTGTGACTGACTTCTTTCACTGAGCATAATGTTTTCAAGGTTTATCCATGGTGTAACAAATACAGTACTTCATTCTTTTTATTGCTGAATAATAGTTCATTATATGGATATACCATATTTTGTTTATCCATTCACCATTTGATGGACATTTGGGTTGTTTCTACCTTTTGTTACTATTGTTAATGGTACCATGAAATTTGTGTATGTGGTTTTGTGTGGACATATATTTTCATTTCTCTTGGTAATATATCTAGGCATAGAATAGTAGGTCATATCATAACTCTATCTATAACATTTTGAGGAACTGCCAAACTATTTTCCAATGTGGCTGCACCATTTACATTCCCATTAGCAACTTATTAGGATTCCAGTTTCTCTACATCCTCTCCAACACTTATTATTATCTGTCTTTTTGATTATAGCCATCCTAGCAGGTATGAAGTGGCATCATATTATGTTTTTGATTTGCAATCTCTGTGAATTAATAATATTGAGCATTGACTGGGCATGGTGGCTCATGCCTGTAATCCCAGAACTTTGGGAGGCTGAGGTGGGTGGATCACGAGGTCAGGAGTTCAAGACTGCCCAACATGGTGAAACCCCATCTCTATAAAAATATAAAAATTAGCCAAGCATGGTGGCAGGAGCCTGTAATCCCAGCTACTCGGGAGGCTGAGGCAGGAGAACTGCTTGAACCAGGGTGGCAGAGGTTGCAGTGAGCTGAGATCAAGCCACTGCACTCCAGCCTGGGCGACAGAGTGAGACTCCGTCTCAAAAATAAATAAATAAAATAAAAATAAACAAACAAAAAAACTACAGTTGAGCATTGTTTCATATGCTTATTGGCTTTTTGTATATCTTTGGAGAAATGTCTATTTAAATCCTTGTCCCATTTTTAAGTGTTTTGAGCTGTAAGTGTTCTTTATGTATTCTGGGTGCAATTCCCTTATCAGACAAATGACTTGTAAATATTTCCTCCTTCTGATTGTCTTTTAACTTGCTTGATGCTTTCCTTTGAAGCACAAATATTTTAATTTTGATGAAGTCCAATTTTCCATGTTTTCTTTTGTCACTTGTGCTTTGGGTGTTACATCTTAAAAGGCATTGCCTAGTCCAAGGCCATGAAGATTTACTCTTGTGTTTCCTTCAAAGAATTTTATAATTTTAGCTCTTATGTTTTGGTCTTTGATCCATTTTGAGTCAATCTTTTTGTATGGTGTGAGAGGTAAGGGTCTGACTTCATTCTTTTGCATGTGGATACCAGTTGTCTCATCCCTATTTTCTAAAAAGACTGTTATTTCCCCATTGAATTCTCTTGGCACCTGTGTTAGGCCCTTTTTGAGTTGCTATAAAGAAATGCTTGAGACTAGGTAATTTACAAAAGGAAGAGGTTTCATTGGCACACAATTCTGCAGGCTGTACAAGCAGGGCACCAGCATCTGCTCAACTTCTGGTGAGGGCTTCAGGAGCCTTACAATCATGGTGGAAGGTGAAGGGGGAGCAGGCACATCACATGGTGAGAGCAGGAGCAAGAGAGAGAATGGGAAATGCCACACTTTTAAACAATCTGATCTCACGTGAACTTATTCATCTCCAAGGGAATGGCACTAAACCATTCATGAAAAATCTCCTTCCATGATCCAATCATCTCCCACCAGGCCCCACCCACAACCCTGGGGATTCCATTTCAACATGAGATTTGGTGGGGACACAGATACAAACCATATCAGCACCCTTGCTGATGCTCAGTTTACCATAAATGTAAAGGTTTATTTCTGGACTTCCAATTCTATTCTGTTGGTCTACATGTCTCTCTTTATGTCAGTTCCACACAGCCTCGGTTACTAGAGCTTTGTAGTAAGTTTTGATATTGAGAAGTGTGAATCCTCCAACTTTCTTTTTCAAGATTGGTTTGGCTATTCTAGGTCTCTTGCATTTTCTTCTGAATTTTAGAATTAACTTGCCAATTTCTCCAAAAAGTCTAGCTGGAATTTTTGATAGGTATTGCACTGAATCTGTAGATCAATTTGAGGGTATTATCATCTTAATAATAGTGTATTGTGATCCACAAACATGGAATAGCTTTCCATTTATTAGGTCTTTAATCCCTTTCAACAATACTTGTTAGCTTTCAGTGTACAAATTTTGCACTTTTATTAAATTTATCCAGAAGTGTTTTATTCTTTTTGATGCAATTGTAACTAGAATTGTTTTCTTAATTTCATTTTGGATTGTACGTCACTAGTATATAAAAATATAATTGACTTTTGTATATTGACCTACTATCCTGCAGCCTTGCTAAACTTGTCATTAGTTCTAATAGCTTTTGTCTTATTTTGTTTGGTGTGGATTTCTAAGGATATTCTATGTACAAGAACATGTCATCGGAAAATAGAGATAGCTTTACTTTTTCTTCCTGAATTTGGATGCCTTTTATTTCTTTTTCTTGCTCTGACTGGAAACTTTACTACAATATGAAACAGAAGTAGTGAGATCAAACATCCTTTCACTCTAAGGAGGAATGCATTCAGTCTTTGACTATTAAGTATAGTGTTAGCTGTGGGTGTTTCATAGCTGCCCCATATCAGGTGAAGAAATTCACTTCTGCTTCTAGTTTGTTGTGTATTTTTTTTAATCACAGAAGGGTGTTGCATTTTGTCAAATGCTTTTTCTACGTGTGTTGAGAGAATTATGTGGTTTCAGTCCTTTATTCTATTAATATGGCATACTATTTCGATTGATTTTTGGATGTTAAATCAACCGCGCATTCCTGTGATAAATCCCACTTCATCATGGTGTATAATCCTTAAAATGTCTTTGTCTGGTTTTGGTATTAGGGCAATACTGGCCTCACAAAATGAATTGGGAAGCATTTCCTCCTGTTCTAGTTTTTGGAAGTTTGTGAATCGTTGGTATTAATTCTTCTTTAAAGAAGAATTTTGGTGGAATTCACCAGTGAAGTCATCTGGGCCTAGGCTTTTCTTTGTGAAAAGTTTTAAAATTGCTGATTCAATCTGTTTACTTTTTTGTGTGTGTGTGTGAGACGGAGTCTCACTCTGTTGCCCAGATTGGAGTGCAGTGACACAATATCGGCTCACTGCAACCTCCACCTCCCGGGTTCAAGCGATTTCCAGCTAATTTTTGTATTTTTAGTACAGACAGTGTTTCACCATGTTGGCCAGGCTGGTCTCAAACTCCTGACCTCAAGTGATCCGCCCGCCTTGGCTTCCCAAAGTGCTAGGATTACAGGCGTAAGCCACCATGCCCGGCAATCTATTTACTTACCATAGGCCTATTCAGATTTCCTATTTCTTAAGCCAGTAGTTTGTGTCTTTCTAGGAATTTGTTCATTTTATCTAAGTTATCAAGTTTGTTGGCATACAGTTGCTCATAGTATTCCCCTGTAATTATTATCATTTTCTTTCAAGATCTGTTTGTGGACCCTTGTAATTATTTTTATTTCTGTAAGGTTGGTGGTGATATTCCCTTTTTCATTTGGGTCTTCTTTCTTTTTTTCTTGGTCAGTCTAGCCAACTGTTTGTTAATTTTGTTGATCTTTTCAAAGAGCAATTTCTCGCTTCATTGATTTTCTCTGTTGGTTTTCTATTCTGTTTCATTTATTTTTTCTATGTTTGTTATCTTTTTTTTCTAAGTTTGCTATTTGTTTTTCTTTTTTCTTTTCTTTGTTTTTTCTTTTCTTTCCTTTTTTTTTTTTTTTTTTTGAGACAGAGTTTTGCTCTTGTTGCCCAGCCTGGAGTGCAATGATGCAATCTCGGCTCGCCGCAACTTCCATCTCCCAGGTTCAAGTGATTCTCCTGCCTCAGCCTCCCTAGTAGCTGGGATTACAGGCATGTGCCACCACGCCCGGCTAATTTTTGTATTTTTAGTAGAGACAGGGTTTCTCCATGTTGGTCAGGCTGGTCTCAAACTCCCAACTTCAGGTGATCCACCCATCTTGGCCTCCCAAAGTGCTGGGATTACAGGTGTGAGCCACTGTGCCTGGCCTGCTATTTGTTTTTCATATGTCTTACGTCTTTTTTGTTTGTTTCTCTATTCTTTAATTACTGCCATTGTGTTGAATAGATATTTTCTGGTGTTTTATTTTTATTCCCACATATCTATATATATATATATAGATATATAGATATAGATAATGTTCCCATATATATATGTTCCCATGTATATATGTACCCGTGTATATATGTTCCCATATATGTTCTCATATATATGTTCCCATATATATATTTTCCCATATATATATGTTCCCATATATGTTCTCATATATATATGTTCCCATATATGTTCCCATATATATATGTTCCCATATATATATGTTCCCATATATATATGTTCCCATATATATATATTCCCATATATATATGTTCCCATATATATATTCCCATATATATATTCTAATATATATATATGGGAATATATGTATATATGGGAACATATATATATGGGAACATATATATATGGGAATATATATATATATATATATATATATTTTTTTTTTTAAATTGAGACAGAGTTTCACTCTTTTTGCCAGGCTAGAGTACAATGGCATGATCTCAACTCACGGCAACTTCTGCCTCCCAGGTTCAAGTGCTTCTCCTGCCTCAGCCTCCCAAGTAGCTGGGATTACAGGCTCCTGCCACCATGCCCGGCTAATTTTTGTATTTTTAGTAGAGATGGGGTTTCGTCATGTTGGCCAGGTTGGTCTCAAACTCCTGACCTGAGGTGATCCACCCACCTCAGCCTCCCAAAGTGCTGGGATTACAGGCATGAGCCACTGCTCTCGGCCTTTTACTATGTATGTTTTAGTTATTTCTTTTTTTAGTGATTGCTCTGGGGATTACAATTAGCATCTTAAAACAATCTAGTTTGGATTAATATTAGCTTCATTTCTATGGTATACAGAAACTTTGTAACAATATATCTGTTTCCCCCATCCTCATTTGTTCTTTGTATTATAGTGCCATACAAATGACATCTTTATGATTTATATATGCATGAACACAGTTTTACAGGTGCTACTTTATGCCCTTGTCTTTTTTTTTTCTTTGAGATGGAGTTTTGCTCTTGTTGCCCAGGCTGGAGTGCAATGGTGTGATCTCCGCTCATTGCAACCTCCACTTCCCAGGTTCAAGCAATTTTTCTGCCTCAGCCTCCTGAGTACCTGGGATTACAGGCGCCCACCACCACGCCCAGCTAATTTTTATATTTTTAGTAGAGACGGGGTTTCACCATGTTGGCCAGGCTTGTCTCAAACTCCTGACCTCAGGTGATCTGCCCGCCTTAGCCTCCCAAAGTACTGGGATTACAGGTGTGAGCCACCATGCCTGGCTGCCCTTGTCTTTTAAATTAGGTAGGAAAAGAGTTACAGACACAAACAGAAACCCATTTATAATGTTATTTATATTTACCTTTGCAGTTTTATTTTTACCTTTACTGGTGCTCTTTATTTCTTGGATTCAATTACTGTCTAGTGTTCTTTCAGGTAGCTAAAGGATTCCCTTTAGTATTTCTTACAGGGCAGGTCTACTAGAGATGAATTTTTTCAGTTTTTGTGTATCTTTGTTTATTTGAATGTCTTAATGTCTCAATTTTTGAAGGATATTTTGCTGGATGTAGAATTCTTGTGTGATGGTCTTTGTTTCAGCACTTTGAATATGTCATTCTACTGACTTTTGGCCCCTACAGTTTCAGATGAAAAGTAAGCTGTTAATCTATTTGAGGATCCCTTGTACATTATATGTCATTTTTCTCTTGCTGTTCTCAAGATTCTCTCATTGTCTTGAGATAATTTGCTAACTTTACTATAATGTGTTTCAGTGTGGATATCTTTGAGTTTATCCCACTTGGAGTTTATTGGGTTTCTAGGATGTGTAAATTAATATTTTCCGTTAAATTTGGAAAGGTTTTGGCAATTGTTTCTTCAAATATTATTTTTGCCTCTTTTTTTTCTCCTCCCTCTGTGGGATTCCCATTATGCATATGTGGTTAATTTGATTGCCTTATTCAAAATTTTTATTACAGGCATAAGTACTCCTATAGGTGTACTCTTTAAGTGGAACTGCTAGGTTATGGCAGTGACATTAAGAATTTTGATAAGGCTGGGTGTGGTGGCTCATGTCAGTCATCCCAGCATGTTGGGAGGCCGAGTCAGGTGGATCACTTGAGGTCAGGAGTTTGAGAACAGCCTGGCCAACATGGCAAAACCCAATCTCTACCAGAAATACAAAAATTAGCCAGGCATGCCTGTAATCCCAGGTACTAGGGAAGCTGAGGCATAAGAATTGCTTGAACCTGAGAGGCAGAGGTTGCAGTGAGCTGAGATGGCACCACTGCGCTCCAGCCTGTGTTACAGAGTGAGACTCTGTCTCAAAAAAAAAAAAAAAGAATTTTGATACCTATTGTCAATTGCCTTCTCAAACGTTTATAACAATATATCCTCATACCAACAATGTATGAGCAAGCCCATTTTTCTTAGGAAATTTTTAATTGATTACACTGAAGATGCTTTTTAATACTAGATAAATAACTTATTTTCAGTTGGCTAGAGTTCCTTAGATGTGACTTACTGCCTCTCAGAATCTTCCATCAATGCTGCTGTTACCTACTCCTCTAGTTCCTTCTAGAATCATCCTTGAAAAACATTCATGAAGGAGGAAGAAATGATGGGTATGTTTCCCAATACTTTTTTGTCTGATCTGTTCTGTTTCGTTCTTTTTTTGTGTTTCAGCATCTAACACAGAATCTGCTTGATAAAAGACACCCAGTAAATATGGATAGAAAAAATGTGTTTGAGGCCGGGCATGGTGACTCACGCCTATAATCCCAGCACTTTGGGAGGCCAAGGCGGGCAGATTGCTTGAGGTCAGGAGTTCGAGACCAGCCTGCCCAACATAGTGAAACCCCATCTCTACTAAAAATACAAAAATTAGTCAGGTATAGTGGCTCACGCCTGTAGTCCTAGCTACTCAGGAGGTTGAGGCAGGAGAATTGCTTGAACCCAGGAGGTAGAAGTTGCAGTGAGCTGAGATCGCACCACTGCACTCCAGCCTGGGTGACAGAGTGAAACTCCATCTCAAAAAAAAAAAAACTGTGTTTGAATAACAAGCATTTTTTTTTTTTTTTTGAGAAGGGGTCTCACTCTGTCACCCAGGCTGGAGTGCAGTGGTGCTAACTCGGCTCACTGCAAGCTCCGCCTCCCAGGTTTGTGCGATTCTCCTGCTTCAGCCTCCTGAGTAGCTAGGACTACAGGTGCCTGCCACCACCCCTGGTTAATTTTTTTGTATTTTTAGTAGAGATGGGGTTTCACTGTGTTTGCCAGGATGCTCTTGATCTCCTGACCTCGTGATCCACCCGCCTCGGCCTCCCAAAGTGCTGGGATTACAGGTGTGAGCCACTGTGCCTGGCCGAATAACAAGCTTTTATGTATTTAAATCTTTATTCACAAATTCAATTATTTCCTTTTGAAAAATCCTCGGAGGAGAAATTGCTAAGTAGGTGGATCTGTTTATTTTTTGAACCCTTGGTTGGTATTTTCAAATTGCCTGCAGAAAGGTTTGGCCATTTTCCACTCTACCAGGAATATCTGTTTTTCTACCCTGACCAACTACTGATTCGTTTAAATCTATGTAATTGCTGGTTGAAGAATAGGGCATTACAGTTTTAATGCAGATTTCTTGTAGGACAAATGATGTTGAACTTTTTTTTTCTTGCAACCCATGCAGGCATGTTGGACTTTCTATTGTCTTTTGCCATTTTGCTCTCTTGATCAGCAAAAGCACATCACTTTGGGAAGGAGAGCTGGTCTCTCTGAATCCCAGGGGCCACAGCCTGGGGCTGCTCAGGAAATGAGAGGGCTGTTTAGGGCTTGTGACAATCCACTTGTTTCTGAGGCAGTCTCACAAGATGTCATCCTCACTGGTAACAAGAAAAGCAGGAGAGGTTTAATTGTACCTTGCTTCTGGTAGGTTCTCCTTTCCCTGTACCATGACCCAGGCAATTCAGTTTATCTTTTGGATCATAGGAATTCAAGTGTGGGCTTTTGTGATCAGCATCTTCATTAATGTTGACCTTCCTCTAGGTAGGTAGACTCCAAGCTTTTTTAGTTTTGCACACACATTAATAAACAATTTCCAAGCATGCCTTTCAAATATATGTCTATTAATGAATAAAGTCTAATACATGTATTACATAGTACTAGCGTATCAAATACATATAAACCTATCACACAAAACTCTACATCTAGTATATCAAATACATATAAACCTATCACACAAAGCTCTACATTTTAAAGGGTGAGATGAAAAAGATATACAAACATGGTAGTACCAACATTCCTTCTTGGTCAGTGATATTTCCTTCTGAGCACCTCACTTTTGAGTCCACTGCTCTCGTGTATTTGCAGAAAAGTGGGTTGTCTCCTGTCTGAGCTTGTGAGTCGTTTAAATATTTCTTAGGGTGCTAGACTTTCTCAGATACTGATCAGCTGGCTGTGTAAACCAGCACTTTCTATGGGGTTGAAAGAAGGGCACTTTAAACTACTGATCAGTAAACTGAGCCCAATGTCCTTTAAGGCAAAATGTATACAATGGACAGCCAGAGAAGCAAGCAGTGCTGGCCATCTTTCTTATTCTCCTCAATCTCCACTGCCTCAGAATTAGTAGTTAATCTTTTTATTCAAAAATTGCCACTGGAAAGACATAGTGCTCATGCTTGCAACTCCAGATCTTTGGGAGGCCCCAGCAGGAGGATTGCTTGAGGCCAGGAGTTTGAGATTAGCCTGGGCAACATAGTGAGACTCTGTCTCTATTTTTTTTAAATTGCCATTGACATTTGAGTAAAGGAAGCAACAGCAGGAGGCTTGGCAGGACCTACCCTATGCTGTTACAGTTTGTTTCCAATTATCCAATTGAGTAAAGTATTATATTACATCAAACTGTGTGATATGGTTTGGCTGTGTCCCCAACCAAATCTCATCTTGACTTGTAGTTCCCATAATCCCACAGTGGGGGGTAATTAAATCATGGGGGTGATTACCTCCATACTGTTTTCATGATAGTGAGTGAGTTCTCACGAGATCTGATGGTTTTATAAGGGGCTTTTCCTGCTTTTGCTTGGCACTTCTCCTTCCTGCTGCCATGTGAAGAAGGACATGTTTGCTTCCCCTTGTGCTATGATTGTAAGTTTCCTAATGTCTCTCCAGCCCTGTGGAACTGTGAGTCAATTAAACCTCTTTCTTTTATAAATTACCCAGTCTTGGGCAGTTTATAGCAGTGTGAGACTGGACTAATATACTGTGTAAACATGTAAGGTCTCTATATGTATTAGACCATTCTTGCATTGCTAACAAGAAATACCTGAGACTGGGTAATTTACAGAGAAAACAGGTTTAACTGGCTCATGGTTCTGCAGGCTGTATAAGCATGGCACAGACATTGCTTGGCTTCTGAAGAGGCCTCAGGGAGCTTTTATTCATAGCAGAAGGTGAAGTGGGAACAGGCATTTCACATTGCAAAAGCAGGAACAAGAGAGGGGGGCAGGCAGTTGCCACACTTTAAAACAACCAGTTCTTGCAATAACTCACTATTGAAAGGACAGCACCAAAGGGATAGTGCTTAGCTATTCATTAGAAATCCACCCTTATGGGCCGGGCGTGGTGGCTCACACCTGTAATCCTGGCTCACACCTGTAATCCCAGCACTTTGGGACGTCGAGGCAGGAGGATCACCTGAGGTCAGGAGTTCAAGACCAGCCTGGCTAAATGGTGAAACCTCGTTTCTACTAAAAATACAAAAATTACCCACTGCATGTGTGCCAGGCTCCTCTCATAAATATGTATAGCTTTTCACTCAAACTTGGTCAATATGTATGATACTGGCCCTGTGAGTCATAAAACCTAACCTGTCCTTTCAAGAGGGAGCACCTTTATTTGACACTGGGGACTTCCTCTTCACGACTTGGAAATTGATGTGGCCAATAAAGCTCTAAAATAATAATAGTAATATGGCCAGGTGCGGTGGCTCACGCCTATAATCTCTGCACTTTGGGAGGCTGAGGTGGGTGGATTACTTGAGGTCAGGAGTTCGAGACCAGCCTGGCCAACATGGTGAAGCCCTCTCTCTACTAAAAATACAAAAATTAGCCAGGCATGGTGGCAGGTACCTGTAATCCCAGCTATTTGGGAGGCTGAGGCAGGAGAATCACTTGAACTTGGGAGGTGGAAGTTGCTGTGAGCCGAGATGGTGCCACTGCACTCCAGCCTGGGCGAGAGAGTGAGAGCCAGGCTCAAAATAAATAAATAAATAAATAAATAAATAAATAAATAAAATAATCATAGTAAAAGTAACAACATACAAATAAAAGTTATGAGGGAATTTTTCGCCCTCCCAAAGTTTTGGGATTACAGGCATGGGCCACTGCACTTGGCCCAGAATTTCTTCACAGAAAAATTTACTATCAAATGTTTTCATGGAAGTAGTTTTCCCTGAAGAAAGAAGGAAAATCAGCTGGGTGCAGTGCCTCATCCCTGTAATCCCAGCACTCTGGGAGACCATGGTGGGAAACTGCTCGAGGCAAGGAGTTTGAGACCAGCTTGAATCACATAGCAAGACCCCATGTCTTACAAAAAAAAAGAAAGAGGCCAGGTGCAGTGGCTCACGCCTGTAATCCCAGCACTTTGGGAGGCTGAGGCGGGCGGATCACGAGGTCAGGAGATCGAGACCATCCTGGCCAACATGGTGAAACCCCATCTCTATTAAAAATACAAAAATTAGCTGGGCGTGGTGGCATGCGCCTGTAATCCCAGCTACTCAGGAGGCTGAGGCAGAAGAATTGCTTGAACCTGGGAGGAGGAGGTTGCAGTGAGCCGAGATCGTGCCCCTGCACTCCAGCCTGGGCAACAGAGTGAGACTCAGTCTCAAAAAAAAAAAAAAAAATTATCCAGTCTCAGGTATTTCCTTGTAGCAATGCAGGAATAGACTAATACAAGTTATATTATGAAACTCAATGGAGAGAATGCCCACCAACCATCTTGCATGTGGTAGTTGCTCAATAAATGTTCATTCCTTTCTCACTTTTTTTTTCTTTTTTAAGCCATGGGAATTTCCTTAATTCCTGCTAACTTTGCCACTCTTTTTTTTTTTTTTTTTTTTTGAGATGGAGTCTCGCTCTGTTGCCCAGGCTGGAGTGCAGTGGCGTGATCTCTGCACACTGCAACCTCTGCCTCCCAGGTTCAAGTGGTTTTCGTGCGTAAGCCTCCAGAGTAGCTGGGACTACTGGCGCCTGGCACCATGTCCAGCTAATTTTTTGTGTGTTTTTGGTAGAGATGGAGTTTCACCATGTTGGCCAGGCTGGTCTTGAACTCCTGACCTAAAGTGATCCACCCGCCTCAGCCTCCCAAAGTGCTGGGATTACAGGTGTGAGCCGCCAAGCCTGGCCCAAAGTTTGCCTCTTTTCTTTCAGCATCGATAATGTAAAACATTTCTCCTAGGGTTACTTTAACTAGCTAAAAAAAATTCTTAAGCTTGAAACTTCTATTAGAAAAATCTGTGCTTGGCTAGGCGTGGTGGCTCATGCCTGTAATCCCAGCACTTTGGGAGGCTGAGGTGGGCGGATCACAAGGTCGGGAGATCGAGACCATCCTGGCTAATATGGTGAAACCGCGTCTCTACTAAAAATACAAAAAAGTAGCCGGGCGTGGTGGCGGGCGCCTGTAGTCCCAGCTACTCCGGAGTCTGAGGCAGGAGAATGGCGTGAACCCGGGAGGCAGAGGTTGCAGTGAGCCGAGACCACGCCACTGCACTCCAGCCCGGGCGACAGACCGAGACTCCGTCTCAAAAAAAAAGAAAAATCTATGCTCTATTTGATCATCTCCACGTCTATCGTGCAACCAAATGGGTTTACTGCTGATGGAAGTTAGTGGATAGAGGCCGGGCATGGTGGCTCACGCCTGTAATCCCAGCACTTTGGGAGGCCGAGGCAGGCGGATTGCCTGAGCTCAGGAGTTCGAGACCAGCCTGGGCAACAGGGTGAAATCCCATCTCTACTAAAATACAAAAAATTAGCTGGGCATGGTGGCAGGCGCTTGTAAGTCACAGCTACTTGGAAGGCTGAGGCAGGAGAATGGCTTGAACCCAGGAGGGGGAAGTTGCAGTGAGCCGAGATAGTGCCACTGCACTCCAGCCTGGGCGACAGGGCGAAACTTTGTCACACACACACACAAAAAAAAAAACAACAACAAAAAAAAACAAAGAAAGTTAGTGGATAGAGGGATAGAGCCTTGGGTACTTCTGTAATGTGACTGGCATCAAAACCATTTTTGGTATCATGATTTTTTCTTTTCTTTTTTTAACTGTAGGTAAAAATTCACATACACTGAACATACACACAGAAAAACCTGTCTTGAGAGAAAGCTTATCCATCCAGCTCTTTCTGTTCAAATTTTCTTTGCTCCTGATTCAGTTCTGTAAATATAGATTTATATTTAGCCACTTTTTGACTCTCCATATGTTCCTTCTAAAAACATTTCCTATTAAGGAAATTTACACAGTTGTTCTCTTAGAGAACTGCTGAGTGAACGTGACTCTATACAGGTATGTGTTAGGTTTGTCTGCTGGTGGCATCGTGACTACTGAATCAGGAGTCAAGGAAGTCCCTGGAAGAAGGTTCTCCTGCCACACAGCTCCCCAGCTTTTCTGGAAACCTTGTTGCTGATGACTGGAGAGGGTCAAAAACAGTGTCTGTGAAGGCTGGTTTCATATCCCTGGGTGTTTAGCTTTTCTTACCTACCTTCTTTGGCTAGGTGTTGCTCTGTGGTGTGGAGTGGGGACTGGACAGCCAGAGGAGGGGTTGGTCAGGTCACAGCACCACAGGGAAGAGGATGAACAGGAAGACGAAAATGAGTGCTTGTTAGCAGGAAGATGCGCCAATGCTTGGACTCTCTGGGTAGGGTGAGCCTTGAGTTTCCAGCCCCAGCTGAGGGCCTTGGCTCCAGACCTGCCCTTCTTTTTATTTTATTTTGTTTATTTTTTTGAAACAAGGTCCTGCTCTGTTGCCCAGGCTGGAGTGCAGTGGCATGATCATAGCTCACTGCAGCCTCGACCTCCTAGGCTCAAGGGATCCTCCCACCTCAGCCTCCTGAGTAGCTGGGACTACAGGCGTGTGCCACAATGCTTGGCTAATTTTGTTTATATTTTGTAGAGACAGTGTCTCTCTGTGTTGCCCAGGCTGGTCTCAAACTCCTGAGCTCAAAGAATCCTCCCCGCTCTGCCTACCAAAGTGCTGGGATTACAGGTGTGAGCCACTGCACCTGCCCTGCCCTTCTTTAAAGGAGCCAATTCCAGCCATCCCAGAGGCCTCAGGCTGCTCCTGCTGTCTATGAAGCCCCATTCATTTGGCTGAAACAGCAGGCAAGGAGAGGGGAAAGGTTCCTTTCGGAGTCAGTGGCGCTGCCTGTGGAATCTCTCCACTGGCCTTTTGGAATCACTCTCTGCTTCAATTTCCTCATCTCTAAAGTGGGGTTCACATGACCTACTTTGCATCGTCACAAATGTGCATGGCACCAGCTAGTGCTCAGTGAATATGGTGGTTATACCTCACTCACTGGCCCCTGGACCCCACTTGGCCACCTGTCTGTGCCTGGGCCCTTTCTTGTTTTCCTCAATTTAGCATCTATCTTAACAGCACATCTTGGACTCCCTTTTGATTCGTTTTTTTTTTATTCTCTTGCCTTTGCTTTTTATTCTAGTTGATTTGCCCCAGTAGATGGTGAGTTCTGCTTTTTTCTTCCTAGAAACTTTTGTGTTTCCATGGTAGCTGAATGTTACCATATTTACTTGAGCTAAAAACCCCTTGAAAAAAAAAAATCAGCATGACCATGGAGAGGACATCAGGTATTCTTTGCTTGGGATGTTAAAGAAATCTTCCGTAGCCTTCATCAACTCCAGACCTGTGAGGCCCCGGTGAGTTGAGGAGTGCTACTTCTCCTCAACGGGAGCTCTGTGAATGCCACTCCAGGCCTCTCTGCCCTGGAGCATGCATTGGCAATAAATTCCCTATGTGCGGCTCAGTCCAGATCTTTCTGCCTCTAGGAGCAGGCCTGTGGGCAGAACCTGCACTCTCCTCTGCTCCTTCATGCTATAGGAATTACATGCGAGGCCTGCCCCATCCAGTGCTGGATGAGTCACCTTAGCGTTCTTCGTTCTTCGTAGGTCCATCTGCCTGCAGATATAAGCCTCGCCCTCCAACTTCTTCTGTCTCAGTAAATAGAGGGGATGTTTTTGCCTTCAGCTTTAGTCGTTGTTTTATTTCTCAGCTTGTTTAGAACCCAGAGAAAATAAAGTGAGAGGCTGTTTACTGGTGCTCCGTCACAGACCCTGACAGTATCGTAAGTAAATGAATGAAGCTTGTGGGGACAAGACAACAAGCAGGGGAGGGGACCGCGGCACACTGAGGGGAGACCATAATGTCCAAAGGAAGAGCCAGCTTGGCTCTAGCTCATTGCCATCTTGTGGGCATTTGGACCCATGTTTGCCAGATATTTCAAAATTTTCAAAGAAAGCCATTTCAAATAATTATCTTAATTTTACTATCTTGATTTTTATCTGACATCTTGCTATGGTTTGAATGTGTTCCCCCAAAAGGCATGCATTGGAAACTTAATCAGTGTTGGGAGGTGGGGCCTAATGGAGGTATTTAGGTCATAAGGCTCCACCCTCATGAATGGATTAATAATGATTATAAAAGGGCTTGAGGGTGCAAGTTTGAACTCTTGCTCTCTCTCACTCCTTCTTTGTGTTTCCTTCATGGGATAGCACAGCAAGAAGGTTCTCCCCAGATGCCAGCCCCTTGATCTTGGACGTTCTAGCCTCCAGAACCAGAAGTCAATAAATTTCTGCTCATTATAAATTACTCAGTCTTAGATAATTCTTTTTTTTTTTTTGAGATGGAGTCTCGCCCTGTCACCCAGGCTGGAATACAGTGGTGCGATCTTGGCTCACTGCAACCTCCACCTCCTGAGTTCAAGTGATTCTCCTGCCCCAGCCTCCGAAGTAGCTGGGATTACAGGTGCACGCCACTATGCCCAGCTAATTTTTGTATTTTTAGTAGAGACAGGGTTTCACTATGTTGGTCAGGCTGGTCTCAAACTCTTGACCTCGTGATCTGCCCGCCTTGGCCTCCCAAAGTGTTGGGATTACAGGCGTGAGCCACCTCGCCCAGCCGGTAATTCTTCTATAGCAGCACAAAATGGACTAAGATACATCTCCTTACTTTCAAATATTGACACTAAACTAAAAAACAAAACACCATGAGAGCCAAGTCTGCATGGGACACACAAAACACATCTGTAGGTCAAGGCTTTTTGGAGGCTGCCAGTCGGGGACACTGCCTCCATCCTGCCCTGGATCCTCAGCACTGCATCCTCTCTGGTCACATTAGCATGTAACTCCGCTCCCACTCCTGTACATACCACCAGGAAAACCTGAACTCAAAATGCCCTGTGTCACCTGGGAAGAGGCACTGCTCAAATACATGAGCTCTTGGAATTACAAGCTAGCACTTTCACTTGACTATTTACTATTCTCTTCTTGATGTTGTCTTTTGGTTTGACTTACTTAAAATGTACCTGCTTTTCTAATTACACACAAATTAACCTATAAATTATGAAAAGGCAAATGGCTTCATACCTTTTCTTGGAATCATCAAAAGATAAGACAGTCAATAGCTTCTTACCCAAACATGTACTATACCTGGGAATATTATTGAACCCTAGGTTAATGAAACACAAATAATGAAAGTAACTACAAATTCTTCAGCATCATTAACTCAAAGGTATCTAATAAGTTGAATTCGCATTTAAACACTTTTGGAGTGAGGTGGGCAATAATTTGATGTGATGTATTGTAACATTCATTCATTCATTCATTCATTCATTCATTCAACAAATAGTTGTCCAGCCGTTTCCAGCTGAAAGCCACAGATGTGACTCTAAAACCCAACAGAACACAAGTCTGGAAACTTCTCCCCTAGCTGCTGCTTCTATTTTGTTGTAGAACAAGAGCATCAGGCATGGCTGCAGTTGTCCAGGAGCTGTGATCAAAAATGCGATTTCATCAGCAAAATGAAAAATCCAAATGTAGCTATTTATGCTGCATATTCCCTCAAGGTAGCGCTGAGCAGTTGTCTTGTTTTTTCTCTCTGCAGTCAGGTCTTACGGAAATACTGAGAAGCTAGACAAGAACTTAAAAAAGACAGTGGTGAACACAGTTATAC
Source organism: Homo sapiens (assembly GCF_000001405.40). NCBI lineage: Eukaryota > Metazoa > Chordata > Mammalia > Primates > Hominidae > Homo > Homo sapiens. Next base: position 207,633,524 of record NC_000002.12, on the reverse strand, counting down.
CAAGACTCTGTCTATGGTTGTCTTTCTTTAGCACCAGCTGGAGCTTTATTCCTTAAGGCTTTTTGAATATCCTTAAGCCAACTCCTTAGCTGTATGGTAGTGTCTTCAGGGCAGCCAGCCTCACCCTTGAGGGCACCCAGGGTCTGTGACTCACACAGAGAGTTGTGTAGTGATGATGCAAAAATACCTCTCCTGCAGGGTGTAAGTTGTTAGTGGAGTTTGGGTAGTTCAAAGCTTTCATTCTTCTGTTTGACTTAATCTTAAGAGTTATCTTGTGCCACTTACCCCTTGCTCCTGGCTGGTCAGTTGACAGTTTCTTCTGCCTGGGGGCTTTTGCAGTTTCTGTTCCCTTGCTTGAAATGCCATTCCCTTGGCTCTTCAAGTGGCTGTTTTCTTCTACTCTTTTAAATTTCCATTTAAATGTCACCTCTTCAGAGCCCTCTCCTTTCCCCAGCTCAAATGGCCTGCCCTTGTGTATTAATGGAGATAGGCTATATGCTACAATAGTGAATAAATTCCAAATGTCAGTGGTTAACATGACAAAGATTGATTTCTTGCTCATGTCACAATCCACTGTGAGTTGAGCAACTCTCCTCTAAGCAATGACTCAGGGATCCAGCTTCTCCAGTTTGCCCACCTCTGAGGGTGTGCAGATGGGGAAGAAAGGGCTTTTAGGCAGGGACATTACGGCCCACATCATACTGGCCAGGACCCAGGCATATGAGCAAATGGCCTCAAGTTATTTCGAAGGAGGGGTGAAAAACTAGTTTTCTTCTACATTGATTTTTTTTTTTTTTGAGATAGGGCCTCACTCTGTCACCCAGGCTAGAGTGCAGTGGTGCGATCATAGCTCACTGCAGCCTCGAATTCCTAGGCTCAAGTGATCCGGCTACCTTGACCTTCCAAATTGCTGGGATTAAAGGCGTGAGCCACCGCGTCCAGCCAGTTTTTGTTTTTTTTTTCTAATAAAAATTTTACTTTATTTTCTTTCTCCACTTTTGAAGAACAGATGAATTCACTTAATTTTCACAGCAAAGATAAATAGTAATATAATGATCATTTTACAGATAGGACATTGAGGCTCAGAAAGGCTAGGTGACTCACCCACGGTCACCCAGCTAAGCACTGAGGTTAGAATCCAGGACACCAGCCTCCAAAGCCCACTTTGAACACACTCTCTCTATACTGCTTTCACGTTAAAGATAACAAGAAAACTGATAATGTATCAGTTGTATATTTACAGTCAGTGATAGGAAGTCAGTGTTATAAGTATTCTTATTATTTAGTCCTTGAACAACAGTAACTCAGACAAAAGATAGTTTTGCCAAGAAGGCTAAGAAGCAGTGTAGACTAGTGGTTCTCAAAATATGGTCTGCAGTTTCTGGGAAACTCTAACACCTCTCTACAGCATCTATGAGATTGCAACTATTTTCGTAATAATACTAAGATGTTATTTGCCCTTTTCGTTCTCATTCTCCCATGAGTATACTGTGAAGTTTTCCAGGGGTTCCCTGATATGTGAGGATGTCACTGCTGTGATGTTAATCCATAATGGAGGTATGGCTGCTACCTTTACATAAAATAACAAATAGTTTATTATTTTAAGTTTTAACTTCTTAAAACTTAACATTTCTAACACAATAAATATGAATGGTTCTTGGGAGTCCTTAATAATTTTAAGGAGTGTAATAGATCCTGAGACCAAAAAATGTGAGAACTGCTGCTGGGTTAGACAGTGCAAGGAAATGTGTTTTCTGCTATCAGTTTAATCTCTAGTGTACAGCAATTAAGGATCTCAGTTAAAAAAAAAAAATATTTTAGGCTAGGCACGGTGGCTCGTGCTTGTGCTTTGGGAGGCTGAGGTGGGTGGATCACTTGAGTGTAGGAATTCAAGACCAGCCTGGGCAACACAGTGAGACACCATCTCTAAAAAGAAAAAAAAATCTTTAAAAATTCTGTCTCAATTTCTTTTTTTTTTTTTTTTTTGAGATGAGGTCTTGCTCTGCTGCCCAAGATGGCGTGCGAGGGTGCAATCTCGGCTCACTGCATTCTCCGCCTCCCGGGTTGAAGCAATTCTTCTACCTCAGCATCCTGAGTAGCTGGGATTACAGTGGTGCACCACCACGACCGGTTATTCTTTGCATTTTCAGTAGAGATGGGGTTTCACCATGTTGGCCAGGCTGGTCTCGAACTCCTGACCTCAGGTGATCCACCTGCCTCAGCCTCCCAAAGTGCTGGGATTACAGACGTGAGTCATAGTGCCTGGTCTTCAATTTCTTTTTCCCTTTTTTTTTTTTTTTTTGAGACGGAGTCTCACTCTGTCGCCCAGGCTGGTGTGCAGTGGCGCGATCTCGGCTCACTGCAAGCTCTGCCTCCCGGGTTCATGCCATTCTCCTGCCCCATACTCCCGACTAGCTGGAACCACAGGCGCCCGCCACCATGCCCGGCTAATTTTTTGTATTTTTAGTAGAGATGGGGTTTCACCGTTTTAGCCAGGATGGTCTCGATCTCCTGACCTCGTGATCCGCCCGCCTCAGCCTCCCAAAGTGCTGGGATTACAGGCGTGAGCCACCGCGCCTGGCCTCAATTTCTTTAAATTTTTTGAAGAACACTTTTAATACTACCTATATTATAACATTGAATAGGTCTGAGGAACTTACAGAATGTTTATATTCTGTCTACATCACTTCCTAAAAACAAAAAACATCCTTTTCACTGGGACTCTGGCTGTATGTATGTCACAGGCACTCCAGCGAGCTTAATCAAGAAAGGAAAATGTCTTGTCTGGTTACCCTGGGTTCCCATGGGACCTGAGAACCCAGGTGCAGCCAGGAAGGGCTCAGGACAAGAGAGGCATCAGGAAAACGGCAGCTGGCAGCTCAGCCCCAAGTTTCTGCTGGTGACTGCTCTCTGTAGAATGGTTTCTCCATCTATACCGCACAGTGAAGATGGCCCCATACAGGCATGGCTTTATATCTCTCCTTTGCTCAAGGGACCGGCCCAGACTGAATGTATTAGGATTGTTTTTCTTCTTCAGGATATGGAAAAAAAAAAAAAAAGCTGCTCAAATGACAGCTTAAGCTAATTAGGGAATTTAATGGCTCAAATAACTGAAAATTCCAGGACAGCTGGATCCAGGTGGTCAAACATCAACAGGAGGCAGCCTCTCTCTCCACCAGCGCCTTCACTGGCCACATTTGCTGCTAGTTTTGTTCTCTTGGGACCAGATGGCCAATAGGACCTCTAAATTTCTATCCTTCCCCAACAGGCTGGTTCTCTGAGAGTCTCAAGTCTCAGAATGGGTTCTGGTTAGGCCCAGCTTTGGTTACATGTTCACATCTCACCTACCTGTGGCCAGGTGGAAGGACTGTGTTCATATTGGCCAGGCCTGGGGCATGTGCCTGATCATGTAGTAAGGGCTGAGGATAGACCAGTCCAAACACATAACAGTATAAGCAAATGCTCTATAAAATGTGTTTGTTGGGCGCAATTCTAAGTAGATAAGTTAACTCATTTTAATCTCAGGTTATCTTTGTTGTTTACTCATACAATAATCACATTATCCCTATTTTATAGATGAGGACATTGAGACACAGGTTAATGCATTTCACCCAAGCCCTCACAGCTAATAAATTGCAGAGCTGAGTTGGTGCAGAACTTGCACTCCAGAAGCTGGGCTCCTGACCATCAGCAGAAGAGAACTGCTGCTACCAGGAAAATGAGAAATAGATGTTGGGCAGGCAGTAACAACAGATGTCTGATAGTCACTCTGCATTCTTTCTGCAGAGAGAATTATGTACCCAGCGTGGGGTTGGGTATCCACCCTGGCCTAAAAAGGGAACATGCCTGGGGGAACATAGGGATCAAGCTGTGCCAAGGTAGTAGCAAGGTGACTGCTTCTACTATGACCTTGGACATGGACTAGTTCCAGGAGACAGGAGGGACAAAGGCCTAAGTGTCCTTCTACCATTATTTTGCAGTCAGGCATCATAGGATTGGGAAAAGGACATTTCAATCATTCAGATAAAAGTAAAAAGCACTATTTTTTTTTTTTTTGAGACAGAGTTTCACTCGTTGCCCAGGCTGGAGTGCAATGGCGTGATCTTGGCTCACTGCAACCTCTGCCTACTGGGTTCAAGAGATTCTCCTGCCTCAGCCTCCCGAGTAGCTGGGATTACAGGCATGCGCCATCATGCCAGACTAATTTTGTATTTTTGGTAGAGATGGGGTTTCTCCATGTTGGTCAGGCTGGTCTCGAACTCCTGACCTCAGGTGATCCGTCCGCCTCGGCCTCCTAAAGTGCTAGGATTACAGGCGTGAGCCACCTCGCCCAGCTAAAGCACTATTTTATACACTGTTAACACTACGATTAAACTGCACTTCGGAATTACAAACAATGCGGGAAGTAAATCTATCTTTTTGCATATTCCTAACAAGACTGTCAGGAGAGGCCAGGCTCAGTGGCTCCCGCCTGTAATCCCAGCACTTTGGGAGGCTGAAGAAGGAGGTGGGGGGATCACTTGAGGCTAGGAGTTCAAGTCCAGCCTGGGCATCATGTCAAGACTCTATGTCAAGACTCTCTCTATACAAAAAATAAAATTAGCTGGGTGTGGTGGCACACACCTGTAGTCCCAGCTACTTAGGAGGCTGAGGTGGGAGGATGCCTGAACCCAAGAGGTCCAGGCTGCAGTGAGCCATGATTGCACCACTGCACTCCAGCCTGGGTGACAGAGTGAGAAGACTCTGTGTCAAAAAAAAAAAAAAAAAAAAAGACTGTCAGAATTTCTTTTTTTTTTTTTTTGAGACAGGGTCTTGCTGTGTCACCCAGGATACAGTGCAGTGGTGTGACTTCAGGACTCACTGAAGCCTCCACCTCTGGGCTCACATGATCCTCCCACCTCAACCTCCCACGTAGCTGGGACTATAGGTGTGCACCACCATGCTCGGCTATTTTTTTTTTTAAATTTTTTTTTTTTTGAGACAGAGTCTCGCTCTGTCACCCAGGCTGGAGTGCAGTGGTGCAATCTCAGCTCACTGCAAGCTCTGCCTCCTGGGTTCACGCCATTCTTCTGCCTCAGCCTCCTGAGTAGCTGGGACTACAGGTGTCCACCACCATGCCCGGCTAATTTTTAGTATTTTTAGTAGACATGGGGTTTCACCGTGTTAGCCAGGATGGTCTCGATCTTCTGACCTTGTAATCCACCCGCCTCAGCCTCCCAAAGTGCTGGGATTACAGGTGTGAGCCACTGCACCTGGCCTTTAAAAAAATTTTTTTAGACATGGGGTCTTACTATGTTGGCCAGGCTGATCTTGAACTCCTGGGCTCAAGTGATCCTCCCACCCTGGCCTCCCAAAGTGTTAGGATTACAGGCGTGAGCCACCACACTTGGCCGACTACTCCAAACAATATGTAGTCTGCCACACACCAACTTGTTTTTAGGATTAAAAATGTATTTTCAAATATTCAGTGGACCACTGGCTTATTTTGATAAAAACAGAGCTCTGCTTAATGGCTACACTGCTATACGAGTTGCATATGTTCCTCAATATTCCTTTTGGTGCTTCCTGAGCCATCTGATACAGCTTAGAACATTGGGAGGACAAGACGGTTGAGAAAAAGTAAATGACACCTTCCTAGAAAACTCATAATATAATGAGGCACATGTTCCATGTTAGAGTGCTGGAGAGGTGGGGAAGGTTTTGCTTTGTTTTTTGAGGTCATATGCTTGATTTCAGCAGAAAGGATGGAGAATAGGGAGAAAAAACAGAAGGGGCCCAAGGCTCCATGCCAGGCTTCAGGGATGAGCAGCCTGGGATCTAGCGAGGTTTAGTAATTTCCCAAAGTCATCCCATTTAAAGAGTCAGAGGAATAATTTAAATTTTCCATATTTGTCTGGCCCCAAAGCCCATACATGTTCTTTCTTGTGCCCATTGCTGGTTCTCCCTGCAAAAAGGGACAGAGAGAAAATAAAGGCAAGAAAGGGAGGTCTTCGATAAAGGGAAAGCTGAGAGGCAGAAACACCAAGTGCAGGAGGTAAGAGAGAAAGGAAATACTAAGAGAGAAAGCGAGAGGACCAAAAAAGAAAACGAAAAAGGAGGTAAAAGTCCCTCACTGGTGGTCTTCCAAGTTCCCTGAGGTTACCCTCGAAGCCACAGGCCCCACCTTCCGATGGAAGATTAATCTGGAGGCCGGGGACGCCGCCTACAGGACGGAAGAGGCCAGGAGAGAGAGGTTCAGGCCCCCGCCAGGCTCCCACCGCGGGAAGCAGGCTCCCGGGGGCGGCCCCGGGAGCTCTTAAAAATATCAGCGCTTGCCGGGCGCGGTGGCTCATGCCTGTGATCCCAGCACTTTGCGAGGCCGAGGCGGGTGGATCACCTTTAGTCATGAGTTCGAGACCAGTCTGGCCAACGTGGTGAAACCCCCGTCTCTACTAAAAATACAAAAATTAGCCAGTCGTGGTGGTGGGCCCCTTAATCTAAGCTACTTGGAGGCTGAGGCAGGAGAATCCCTTGAACCTGGGAGGCGGAGGTTGCAGTGAGCCGAGATCATGCCATTGCACTCCACCCTGGGTGACAAGAGCGAAACTCTGAATAATAATAATAAAAAAAAAAAATCAGCGCTCGGGCGGTAGGGGTGGGGGAGGTGGCAGTGGTTCACACCTGTAATCCCGCATTTTGGGAGGCTGAGATGAGCGGATCACCGGAGATCAGGAGTTCAAGGCCAGCCTGGCCAACATGGTGAAGCCCCGTCTCTACTAAAAACACAAAAAAAGCCGGGTGTGGCGGCGGGCGCCTGTAATTCCAGCTACTTTGGAGGCTGAGGCAGGAGAACTGCTTGAACCCGGGAGGTGGAGGCTGCAGTGAGCCGAGATCGCGCCACTGCACTCCAGCCTGGCGACAGAGCAAGACTCCGTCTCAAACAAACAAACAAAATCCCACAAAAATTAGCTGGCGTGCTGGCGCAGGCCTGTAATCCTAGCTACACGGGAGAATGAGGCAGGAGAATCGCTTGAACCCGGAAGGCGGAGACTGCAGTGAGCCGAGTTCGCGCCCTTGCACTCCAGCCTGGGCGACAGAGAGAGACTCCGTCTCAAAACAAAAACAAAAACAAAAACAAAAGCAAAAAACCAAACAAAAAAATCAGCGCTCGGGCCCCCTCCCATGGCCAGCTCTTGGGGCGGGGGACTGGTAAGGGAGGTTTACCCCAGCTGGTTCTAACGTGCAGCCGCGCTGAGAGCGCAGCGGGCGGTGTGGGGCGAGGGGCCCCAGGAGGAAAAAGAAGCCTGCCCCGGGAGGATGCCGGTCCCCGCACGGTCCCACTCAATGGACCCACTCCAGCCGCGCGCTCTGCCAGGGCCTGCGGCCAGGGTACCAGGCCCTCGGCACCTTCCACGTCCAGCGTGGGTCCTCACGGGCAGGTGCGTCTTGGCATCGGGAGGAGGGAGACTGGGGCACTGGAGTCTGCAGCGCCGCCTGGGGCCGGGGCTGGAGCCGAGCGCACGCCCAGAGCTCCGCGCTTCCGACTGCAGCCAGAGCCCGCCGACCCCCGCCCCACTTTAAAAACTTGGACTCGGGCGCCACGTGTTCACTTCCCCCACTGTGCTTTAGTTGAAAAGGGTTTTGTGACTTTTCCACTCGATTGCCGCCAAGCGGGCTATTACGCCGCTTCTGACCCCACCGTGGAGACGCGGGGACTAGAGTGACCATGCCTTCTTCGGAGCGAGCTGTCTCCATCATCCGCTAACGCGCCACCTTTAAAAAACAGGCACAACGCGCAAGCGACAAAGTCAGAGGCAGAGAGCGGCGGAGCACATGATAGAAAAGGTCGAGAGGCACATTCAGCGCCAGGTGGGTGGCTTTTCTCTCCCGCTAGGAGAGCCCAGGGCACCCCATGCTCTCCCTGTGCACCCGCGGCAGTTCGGCACCCCGATCTCACTCTTGCTCCCGCCCCCACAGCGCCTCCCTCGGCGGCGGGGGAAACGGATTAAGTCGTCCGTGTACCCTGGGGACGCACGAGGGAAAGCCCCGGTCCCCCCTCCCGCAACGTCACTCCTCCACCGCGCCACGGCCCGGCCCCGCCCTCGCCGTGAGCTCCGGGGGCACCTGCCGGAGGCTGGGTGCCGGGAGACCGGAAATGCGTGGCTCCGGGCCGGGGCCGCCCGCCCCCGCGTCGCGGGCTCTTTAAGGCCGGCGGTTTTCGCAGCCAGCCCGGGGCGGGGAAAGCGGAGCGCGCGCTCCACGCGGGACCGCCTCCCGGGCCGTAAGTACCGGCGTGGCGGCGCCTCAGCCCGGCCTGGGCGAGCCCTGGGTGCTCCGCCGGGCAGCTCACGGCGCCCCGTATGGCCTGGGGATCCTAAGAGGCCCTGTGACCCCCCTCGCCTGGTCTCCCTCTCACCCCTGGAGGGTTGCCGCAGCTCCGGGGCCCCCGGGCAGGAAGGGCGCACTGGTCGTCCCGGGAGAGGGGTGAGTGGGGGGCAGCTATAGGGGGAGTTCGGGGAGGCCTCCGAGTCCCCGCTGTCCCCGCGAGCCGCTTGGAGGCCCCCAGTGTCGCTCACTTCCAGGGTCGGGGAGACGGAACTGCGGCGACCATGTATTTCTGGTTTATCAAACCGCTAACACCCAGTCTAAGGGCAGGTTCTGTCCCATTGTTATCACTATCGAAGCAGCCGATGGAGGAGGGGAGGTGGGTAGCGAAACCGTAGCGAAAGAACCCGGGCCGCCCGGCTGGCTGCAGCTGCAGTCCGGGCGCCCGGGTCTGGGTTGGAAGCGCTGCTTTCCGCGCTGCTCTGGGGCCCTGGGCGATCACCGCCGCTTCCGCCGCTTGTGTAGTTCTGAATTCACGGAGTGGTAGCAGTGCAGTGTATAGGGTATTCTGCGGAAGTTGGAATGTTCTGGGCTTTTTTTTTCTTCTTCCCCAAACACATCCGTTGACACAAATTCCGAGCCAAATCTCACTCAGATTCGGAAGAGCCATGCAAAAGAAATTGGACAAAGGCTTCCTCCACCTGTTTCTTTTTTTCTTTTGAACTTGTAAACGACCTTAAAAGCATTTGGAGTTAGTTAAGAACAGATAATGTATCTTTTGGCCAGAGCGTCACCCAGGATTCTTTTGCACGGCAGGTCTGAGCAGAGGGCGGGGTGCAGGCGGAATGGCCCTCGTGCCCTATGAGGAGACCACGGAATTTGGGTTGCAGAAATTCCACAAGCCTCTTGCAACTTTTTCCTTTGCAAACCACACGATCCAGATCCGGCAGGACTGGAGACACCTGGGAGTCGCAGCGGTGGTTTGGGATGCGGTAAGTAAGCCCTGGGGGACCTCTGAAAACGTTCACACTTGCAAGACTGGCTTTTATTTTTTATTTTTTTTAGAACAGCTTTATTGAGATATAATTCACATAGCATACACTTTACCTATTTAAAGTGCACAATTCAGTGCGGTTTTAAAAATACAGTATATTCACAGAGTAGTGCAACTATTACCGCTTCAATTTTAAAAGTTTTACTATCACTGCCACTCTCAAACCCGTATCCCTTAGTCACTCCTCTTGTCCCTCCACATAGATTACATTTTAAAGGTGTAAATGAAAGCTGAGGAAAGTTAATGACTTGTCGGAGAGGATAGGAAGGAAAGCCCCCAACTGCTTTGGACACGAGTTAGTCTTTTTTTCTTTTGAGACATAGTCTCGTTCTGTTGCCCAGGCTGGAGTGCAGTGGTGCGATCCTGGCTCAATGCAGCCTCCGCTTCCTGGGTTCAAGTGATTCTCCCACCTCAGCCTCTGGAGTAACTGGGGCTACAGGTGCACGCCACCACACCTGGTTAATTTTTGTATTTTTTGGTAGAGATGGGGTTTCGACATGTTGGCCAGGCTGATCTGGAACTCCTGACCTCAAGTGATCCACCTGCCTCAGCCTCCCAAAGTGCTGGGATTACAGGCGTGAGCCACAGCGCCCAGCCGAGTTAGTCTCTTTATTTCACAGAGTATTGTAAAGTGGCAGAGCCCAAAATGGAGATTATGTGTTTTCTTTAAGTTTTCCATAGTTGTAATTGTTAAAAAATTGTAACTGCTTTTTAACTTCTTCCTCTCCCTGCCCTGTTCTGACTTGAGCCCTCAGCATCTAGCCCCACACCTAGGACTCAGTGGGAACTCAATTAATGTTGAATGCATGATTGGCATAAATACAGTTTGACAGTTTTAACATTGTTAGGGATGTTAAACACGTAGGAATAAAAATCTCAATATATTCTAATGTAGTAATACCACTTCTAGGAATCCAGTCCAGGTAACTACATGGAAGTTACTCTGGTAATAATAAAGATATAGGCCTGGTGTGGTGGCTCACACCTGTAATCCCAGCAGTTTGGGAGGCCGAGGTGGGCAGATCACTTGAAGTCAAGAGTTCGAAACCAGCCTAGCCAACATGGCGAAACTCCATCTCTACTGAAAATACAAAAATTAGCCGTGGTGGCGCACACCTGTAGTCCTAGCTACTCGGAAGGCTGAGGCAGGAGAATCGCTTGAACCTGGGAGGCAGAGGTTGCAGGGAGCTGGGATTGCACCACTGCACTACATCCTGGGTGACAGAGTGAGACTACATCTCAAAAAAAAAAAAAAGATAAATAATAACGAGGAATGGGAAGACTCGTAAATGCTCACCAAGAAGAGGAATTGCCAATTATACTCACAGTATGCGGCTGTGAGAAATAAATTATAGTAACAAGTTATGTTAGCTTTATACACTTCTTTCTGTAGGGTCATAAACAAATGTTGAAACCACACATCAAGTATCCAAAACTTTGGCCAAAACTTACCTTCTGATGCCCAAAACGTATGGTGAGGGCCCCTGTGGGGCGATGACCATCAGTGACGCAGTTCAGAGACCCTTGGGCAATGTGTTGCTTTTTCCCTATGGGTGAAGTTGTGGCTTTGCTGACCTGAGTTTGGTTTAGGAACTGGGCATTCCCTTAAACAAAATCATAGAAATTGTTCATGTCAGTTCTTGCAGAATAGTTGTGTAAACTTCAAGCATAAAAGTGCTGTGACACAGTAAAAAGTTAAGCTTTCCAGGCTGGGTGTGATAGCTCACGCCTATAATCCTAGCACTTTGGGAAGCTGACGCAGGAGCTCAGGAGTTCAAGACCAGCTTGGCCAACATGGCAAAACCCCATCTCTACCAAAAAAACTACAAAAATTAGCTGGGTGTGGTGGTGCACGCCTGTGTCCCAGTTACTGGGGGTGCTGAGGTGGGAGAATCGCTTGAGCTTGGGAGGTGGAGGTTGCAGTGAGCTGAGATTGTGCCACTGCACTCCAGCCTGGGTGACAGATGGACTGAGACTCCATCTCAAAAAAAAAAAAAAAAAAAAATTAAGCTTTCCAGATCCAGCAGGACCCCATTTAGTGTGGGCATCATCTCTGGGCACTGCTGTGGGACCCTGTGCTTGCTCTAAGGGGGAGGTTACCTTGCTGCACCAGCTAAGTTCCTGTGTGTGTTGTTAAGCTGGGAATTGAACCTCGAAGTGGGAGAGGGGTGGGTGTAGCTGACCTGAAACCCTGCAGCTACTCAAGCACATGTTGACCTTAATCGTCATCACACTGTGTTTTCATTCAGGCCATCGTTCTTTCCACATACCTGGAGATGGGAGCTGTGGAGCTCAGGGGCCGCTCTGCCGTGGAGCTGGGTGCTGGCACGGGGCTGGTGGGCATAGTGGCTGCCCTGCTGGGTGAGTGTCATGCATTGACTCCTTAGTGAGCAGAACTCATTGAGAGGTGCATTTGCTGTTTTCTTAGCGCAAAACCCTTCGTGGGTTTTCCCCTTACTGGGTTATTATCTTTTGCTTATACTTATGAGTTGTGGGCCAACTGCTGGGGTTCTTAACTCCAGTGAGGCTAACGGGCTAATTTCTCTCTCTCTAATTTCTGTCTCTCTCTCTCACACACACACACACTCTGTTATTTATACTTCCCATGGGAGATTGCTCTGCCCCCTTCAATTCTGTGATGCCAATAATACGATCTTAAAGTGAGTTGATTCAAGGAGAATAATCTTACCCATGTATAGAGTTTTTTTCACATTCAGGGGCTTTCTTTCCCATACACTATCTGATTTAACCCTGTGAGGGAGATAGAGCAGATAGTCTTTTCTTCATTGCTGAGGAAACTTTGCTGGTTTTTCTCTTGTAGGGAGGGCTAGCCCCCACTATAGTTTGTACTGACTTCTTATTTTTAAAATTGTATGAACAGTATACAGTTCTGACTTGATATCAAAGTTTGTCATTTTAAAATTTGGTATACACACATTAATTGAGGCTTGGAGCTAGAGCATTTTTAGGCTTCATTGTTATTTTTATTATTGACTATTGACTCATTTCTATAACTTCTGACATATATAGTTCAAGCTATCTAATCATAAGGGTAGACCAGCTTTCAAGATACAATGTATAATGTTTATCACTTCCATATTGTCACCTGGTGCTCTTGTTAAAATGCAGATTCTGATTTGGCAGGGCTGGACCAGGGCCTGGGAACCTGCATTTCTAACAAGCAGTAGAAATGTCAGTAGTGATGCCGACACTGCTGGTTCTCAGACTACACTTGGGTAGGAAGGATCCAGGATTCCAGAGTATTCTAAACCCATCGCATTGTCTACAGATATTTGAGGACCAGCTAAAGCCCCTCTTTTGTCCTGCCTGTTTTCCAGAAACCCAATACTTTTTCACTATTTCTTTTTCTGCTTAGCTGCTGCTTTCCAAAATTCGACAGGGAGCATGGGCAGGGGTGGTGGTTGAAAGTCTGTGTAAATTGACAGAGGTTTCCGTCCGTCTTCAACCACAGCACTTAAGTCATCGATGAAGCCCTTGCTGGTACACTGCCTTTTATTCTTTTCAGGTGAGCCTTAGAACATTCCCGTGTATGTTAGGTATTATTTTTAATTTTCATTTTTCAAACAAAGCTGGGATTCTGGGAGATGAAGCTACTTTCTGAAGTCCTGATCACTGGAGATCTGGGACTCAAAACCAGGCTTGTTAGACACAGTTAGTTGTTTTATTTTATTTTATTTTATTTTATTTTATTTATTTATTTTTTGAGATGGAGTCTCACTCTGTTGCCCAGGCTGGAGTGCAGTGGCATGATCTCGGCTCACTGCAACCTCCGCCTCCCGGGTTCAAGCAATTCTCCTGCCTTAGTTTCCCTAGTAGCTGGGACTACAGGCATGTGCCACCACGCCCAGCTAATTTTTTATTTTTGGTAGAGATGGGGTTTTACCATGTTGGCCAGGCTGGTCTCGAACTCCTGACCTCAGGTGATCTGCCCACCTTGGCCTCCCAAAGTGCTGGGATTACAGGAGTGAGCCACCGTGCCTGGCCTGTTTTATTTTTTTCTGTAACACCAACTTCTCTCTCTGCTGATATAAGAGTTACTATAAGGGGAAATGAGGTTTCTTCTGTTTCCTCCTGAGAACCAGGGCTTCATGCAAAACTTTCTTGGCTGGTGTATAGACATGTTAGTGTAGCAAAGTGCATAGGCTTAGTTATACTTGGTTTTGACATTTCTTTTCATTCTTACTAGTCGTGTGACCTTGGGCAAGTTGCTTAACCTTTAAACATTGATTACCCCATCTGTACATTGTGCATAATAGTAATATTTACTCCACAGTGAGGAACCAATGAGATTGCGTGTATAACATCTGCTGGCTCACTGAGTGACACAAAGGAAGTGCTCCACGAGTGTTGATTACTCTCTGAGTAACTGCTTTTTCTGATCTAGCAATCTGGTTCTCTGGGGTTGGGAAAGTCAGAATAAGATATTTCAGATACCACCAGAGTTACCATTAGCATTTTGGTATGTTTTGTTTCTCTCCATCTGTATTTTTAATCATAGTTGTAATTATGATTATATATATGTAAATATATATGTCTGCGTATGTGTGTTTTGTGTATCCGTATACACACACCTATACAAATGATGTTTTCACATTATGTCATAAGCATTTCTCTGCTACTGTATGATTTTCATACTCACTATTTGTAGTCACTACAAAGTGTTAGGTTGGAGAAGTTTTGCTGTTGGAGCCTGAGGGTAAGAAAATGTTAGTCTCTTCAAAATAGAATCAGTGAGTACTAGAATAGGTAGTGATTTTGAAATGTCAGGAAGAGATTAATTATTATTCTTTTTAAAGTATATTCTCTTTTTGTAACCTTAGTCATTTATTCCTGAATTTGGGGAGAACCCACCAGAAGCCTGGCGGTCCACTGTGGATGGGGCAATAAACAGGCTGGCAGGTGTCTCCGGAAGCTTACGTTCTGAGTTTAGTGGGTAGAGGTAAAGAAAGAAGATTAAAAAAAAAAAAAAAAAGCGGTGCTATGTAGATATTAATATAGGGTGATGAGACTTTCCTGTTAAAAACCAGCTGCTAATTCCTGAGTAGTTCCTGTGTTCTGAGGACTGTGCATTACACCCTTTCATTCTCACAGTCACCCTGCATGGTAAGTAGGCCTTACCTACTTATAGCGCCCTTCCAGTGGTGAAAGGGAGGCTTCTTGGAGGGTAAGTAACTTGCCTGAGGTCACAAAGCTAATGGATTGTGCTTAGAATTTGAATCCAATCTGACTCTCAAATCCTCGTTCTTAGTTTGAAAATCTCCCTGGTCTTATGGTACTTGGAACTGTAGCAGTCCCCCCTCACCTGTGATCACTTTCCCTGGCTTCAGTTACCCACTGTCAGCCTTGGTCTGAAAACAGGTGACTAGAGTATGATAAGATATTTTTTAGAGAGAGAGAGAGACCACATTCACATACCTTTTGTTGTTGTTGTTGTTTTTGAGATGGAGTCTCACTCTGTCACCCAGGCTGGAGTGCAGTGGTGCGATCTCGGCTCACTTCAATCTCTGCCCCCGCCTCCGGGTTCTAGCGATTCTCCTGCCTCAGCCCATTGAGTAGCTGGGATTACAGGCACCTGCCTCTGCACCAGGCTAATTTTTTTTTGTATTTTTAATAGAGATGGGGTTTCACCATTTTGGCCAGGCTGGTCTTGAACTCCTGACCTTGTGATCCACCCATAACTTTTATTATGGTATATTGTTATAATTATCTTGTTTTATTATTTATTGTTTATCTCTTACTGTGTATAATGTAGAAATTAAACTTTACCATAGGTATATACATATTGGAAAAAGCATCTTATATACAGGGTTTGTTACTATCTGTGGTTTCAGGCATCCACTGGGGGTCTTGGAACATATCCCTTGCAGATAAGAGGGAACTGCTGTATCCATAGAATAAAAACACCCCATCTTGAAGATAGGAGGATTCTGTAAATTGGGATGGGGTCAGGGAATCTGAATTTTAAAAGTTTCCCATGTGATTTGATGCCCAGCCAAGGCTGGGGACCACTGTCTTGAAATATAATGCTGAGGAAGATACTGTCTTTGATTTTCCTGTAATTCGAGTGCAAATCTCAGCTGAACTTATGGCTTGTGTGTTTAACTGAAAGCTGGATATCTATACCTGGCTATTTCCCAGCACCTCAAATGGTATCTGTTTAAAGCCAAACTCTTTTCTTTCTAAACTTGTTCTTCCTCCTTTATTCTGAGTTGGCATCACCTTCTAAGTAGTCACCGCCCCCACCCAACTCCTTGACTCCCCGTCTACCTCCCCTACCCCTTGGAGTCCCACTGATTCCGTCTTTTAACTATTTCCTGGATCTGTCTCTCTCTGTCCACTCCCACTGCCTGGCTTGAGCTCTCATCATCTGTCACCTGCCTGCATGATCACATCACTCTTCCACCTGGCCTGTCTGCCTCTGTTTCGTCTTTTTAAACCTATTTTCTCAATAGCTGTCAGAGTGGCCCATCTGAAATGCAAAATTGATGGCATGACCTGTGCTTGAACACTTGTTTGCCTTCCCACTGCCTGCCTGCAGGCTAAATCCCAGGCGTCTTAGTAAGGCTTTGTTATCGCATCCTGCCTGACTCTTCAGCCTCACTTTTTCTCAGCAAGATTGGAGTGCATGAAGTTCCTGGGACACACATCCTGCTCTGGCCTGTCCCATCTGCCTTGGATGCCCTTTCTTCACACCTTTTCCTTGGTTCATGCCTCATCTTTTAAGCGTAAGCTCAGATTTCCCTTCCTTTGGGATTTTTTCTTTGACCTCTGCTCCTCTTGAAGAATTTCTCCTTTGTGACCTCATGATTTCCTGCGCACACTCATGTTTCTATTATTTTTCTTCCCACACTGCATCACAACTGTGTTTATGTGTCTCTCCCACATGAGACTTTTGAGCTGTGGGTAAGGACTTTCTTCCTCATCTTTGTATCTCTAGCACATAGTATGTGCTCGAATGTTTGCATAAATAAGGTGTTATAAAACTAAAACGAAAACTGATGACACATGTTTATACATTCTTTTCCCATTACTAATGGACAGCATACTGTGTTGTCCTATTGGGTCAGTCTCCACTAGTCTTTTCTGAACTAAATACTGTCTCACCCTCCTTACCCAGCATAAATCTCACAGGCAGTCATTTTATCACCATCTTCATGTACGGTTGACACCGACTCCCTGCCTTTCCTTGCTTCAAAACAAGCCAGGTTAACTGCAGCCTTCCACTGTCCCTGGTCTGTGCCTCTGTGGCTGAGTGGGGCTGAAGGAAATGCTGCTGCTGGATTTCACTCTATTTTTTCTTTTGAGATGGGAGTTTCGCTCTTGTCGCCCAGGCTGGAGTGCAGTAGGGCGATCTTCACTGCAACCTCTGCCTCCCGGGTTCAAGCGATTCTCCTGCCTCAGCCTCTTGAGTAGCTGGGATTACAGGCGCCTGCCACCACGCCTGGCTAATTTTTTGTAATTTTAGTAGAGACAGGGTTTCATCATGTTGGCCAGGCTGGTCTCGAACTCCTGACCTCAGGTGATCCACCCGCCTTGGCCTCCCAAAGTGCTGAGATTACAGGCGTGAGTCACCGCACCCAGCCGGATATTCTGTTTTTTTAAAAAACGTCTTACTGCCTATCTCTCACTTGAATGTAAGTTGTATGAGGGGAGAGGTTTCTGTTCCATGGCTGATGGTAGTCATTCAGATATGTGTGGAATTACAGGGGGTGGTCAACTGACATTAAGATCCTATTCAGACTTCTGGAATACCTACCAGGTTAGAAGTAGCCTTTGAAATGCCTGGGACAGGCATTAGAGAAGGCCTTTATCTATGAGCTGGTAAAATGAATACTGAGGTGATGTGCAGATGACTCAGTCACTCCAATATTGCCTGCAGAGTGCTCTGTGTACTGTTAAGAAATTCAGAGATACAGTTCTAACTCAAACCTTGGAAAAGGCTGTCTGCATTTTTTTTTTTTTAAAAGAGATAGGGTCTCGCTCTGTTGCCCAGGCTGGAGTGCAGTGGCATGACCATGGCTCATTGCTCACATGACAAAATACCAAAAATAGGGAAAGCCTGTATCGTGAGGTTAAAATTTTAAAAAAGAATAATAGGGCTGAGTACAGTAGCTCACGCCTGTAATCCCAGCACTTTGGGAGGCCAAGACGGGTGGATTGCTTGAGCCCAGGGGTTGGAGGCCAGCCTGGACAACATGGCAAAACCCTCTCTGTATGTTTGGGAAAAAAAAAACAATCATAGAAGAGAGACATTGGCTATTAAGAAATCCCAGTCCACCTCTCCTTAGGCTGTTATGAAGCAGCCAATCTATATGTGTTTATGTAATACATATATAATCACTGAAAAATTACTGAATTGTATGACAGTAATGTAAGTGAAAATACTTGTTCTTTAAGTGGTAAGTTAAAGTTGTTCTTTTCTTTTCTTTTCTTTTCTTTTTTTTTTTTTTTTAGACGGAGTCTCACTCTGTTGCCAGGCTGGAGTGCAGTGGTATGATCTCGGCTCACTGCAACCTCCACCTCCTAGGTTCAAGCAATTTTCCTGCCTCAGCCTCCTGAGTAGCTGGGACTACAGGCACGCGCCACCATGCCCAGCTAATTTTTGTAGTTTTAGTAGAGACGGGGTTTCACCATGTTGGCCAGGATAGTCTCGATCTCTTGACCTTATGATCCACCTGCCTCGGCCTCCCAAAGTGCTGGGATTACAGGCGTGAGCCACCACGCCTGGCCTAAAGTTGTTCTTTTAAGTGCAGCCTTGACCTCCTGGGCTCCAGTGATCCTCCCACCTCAGCCTCCTGAATAGTGCCACCACGCCTGGCTAATTTTTTTATTTTTTTGTGGAGATGGGATCTCTCTATGTTGTCAGGGCTGGTCTTGAACTTCTGGGCTCAAGTGATGCTCCTGCCTCGACCTCCCAAAGTGCTTGGATTACAGGTTGAGCTACTCGGCCTGGCTGTCTGCAATTTTTATTTTCAGAAAAGATGAAAACTGTCATTGAAATCTATCCATTGGGCAACACACTGTCTAGCAACGAATGGTCAAAGTGGTAGGTTCAGGCTTGTAAAATCTAACAACTTGAGCATTTTCATCAGTATCTCATAGTAGGACTGTAAATGTCAAATTGAATTACTGCCCTAACTTATGTGTCAAGATAAGAAACACTGAGTATCAGCTGCCACTGAAATAGTGCTTATTGCAACTAGTCTGGAATCCTGTGGGAAGATTACCTATGAAGATTACAAACTGAAGAAGGATGCAAATGGAAAGAATTTTATGAAAGATTGAAACATAATTTTAAATTTCAGAATTTCTGGGGTCAGAAGTAAAGAGTACTACACATATTATATCTTTCCTACAACGTAGATGAGGTGGATCCGACCTGACCTTATGTGCTTGCTCCACCTTAAGGTCTTCTCTTACCCACATTGGTTCAAAAAAAAGGATCTTTTTGTCAACAACCCATAAGAAACAGTTTAGTTTTTCTACACTGTGTGTAGAAACTTAGCATTAAGAACAAGCATTTTAACCTACATTAATAAAATTAAGTAATTTTTAAGCTTACAATTTTTCAAGAAATACGTAAAACATGTAAGTTGGCTGCTTCATAACAGCCTAAGGAGAAGTGGACTGGGATTTCTTAGTAGCCAATTTATTTCTTCCATGATTCTTTTTTAAACTGTAACCTTACAAAACAGCCTTTCTCTGTTTTTGGTATCTTGTCATCTTTGCAATAATAGTCTGCTCCCAGATATTTTTTTTTTTTTTGAGACTGGGTGTTGCTCTGTTGCCCAGGCACAATAACAGTTCACTGCAGCCTCGATCTCCCATACTCACATGATATCCCACCTCCGCCTCCTGAGTAGTTAAGACCACAGGTGTGCACTGTGCTTAATTAAAAAAAATTATTTGTAGAGATGGAGTCTCCCTGTGTTACCCAGGCTGGTCTTGAACTCCTGGGCTCAAGGGCTTCTCCCACCTCAGCCTCCCTAAGTGCTGGGATTACAGGCATGAGCCACTGTACCTGGCCTGCTCCCAGATATTTCATTCTTGGATTCCATTTTAGCCTGCGGCCAACTGACTTAAAGATAATGACCCAATGAATAAAGTATGGGCCAGCTCTGTTGGCAGAATTCAGAAGCATCAGCCGTGTCACTGGTTAATTCTACTTTTTTTTGAGATGGAGTTTTGCTCTTGTCACCCAGGCTGGAGTGCAGTGGCGAGATCTCAGCTCACTGCAACCTCTGCCTCCCAGGTTTAAGTGATTCCCCTGCCTCAGCCTCCCGAGTAGCTGGGATTACAGGTGCCCGCCACCATGCCTGGCTAATTTTGTATTTTTAGTTGGCCATGTTGGCCAGGCTGGTCTCCAACTCCTGACCTCAGGTGATCCACCCGCTTTGGCCTCCCAAAGTGCTGGGATTAAAGGCATGAGCCACCACACCCAGCCAATTCTGCAATTTATAGGCACAATTTTAGCAAATAGCAGGTATGTCATAGAGGCAAATCAAGAGTCACTTCTACCAGTAGTTAATGCAAAAGGAGCTGTGAGTCATTTTTCTATTGCAGCTGTCCATGAAAGGTGTGATTGATATTATGCATATCAGATGCAATATTTAAGAGACACTCTACATTTAACTTGACCCCCTCTCTACCTAACAGAATTGTACTGATGTACACATCACTTTTTCTTTGTTCCACATTGTAGGTGCTCATGTGACTATCACGGATCGAAAAGTAGCATTAGAATTTCTTAAATCAAACGTTCAAGCCAACTTACCTCCTCATATCCAAACTAAAACTGTTGTTAAGGAGCTGACTTGGGGACAAAATTTGGGGAGTTTTTCTCCTGGAGAATTTGACCTGATACTTGGTGCTGATATCATATATTTAGAAGAAACATTCACAGATCTTCTTCAGACACTGGAACATCTCTGTAGCAATCACTCTGTGATTCTTTTAGCATGCCGAATTCGCTATGAACGGGATAACAACTTCTTAGCAATGCTGGAGAGGCAATTTACTGTGAGAAAGGTTCACTACGATCCTGAAAAAGATGTACATATTTACGAAGCACAGAAGAGAAACCAGAAGGAGGACTTATAATTGGCTATAATTTATAAGAATGTTGTCATTGAGTGTGTCACTTAAGGTCTTAGACTGCAAATCTAACCATATTTAATGAAATGTCTTACTGTACAAAAAGTCTAAGCCAAAGGTTCTCAGGGGAGAAAGCACATGTGCAGTTTTAAAACAAAGCAGTGCTTTGTCCCATTGCTGTGATTTTTAGTCAGACTTTACTCAGTCTGAAATGCAATTAACATTAAAGGATTAAGTGTGAGATTTCGATTTATGCTATTTGTGTATCCCATACTCCTCCCTTTTAATAAACAGTTTCCACTGATGATATGAAGGGCCGGTATAAAGAAGTCTTTAAATGAGTAAGCTTTCTTGGTAAGATTAAATCTTACAAATTATTTTTAAAACCTTGTGATATATACAATGTTTAGCTGAGTTTTCTAATTTTCTGGATGTAAAACAAAAGGTTTAACCTATACATTCCTTGAGCTGTTAGTGCTATTTAAATCTTTTGCCCTGTTTAGGTCCTAAACACTTTTAGTTGAGTAGGATATGAGCTTTTTTGGGTCTCATATCATGCTTTTTGCCTTAATTTCAGGTATATATATATATATAAATAAAGGAATTAAGTAAAAATAAAATTTCAGTTACTTTTTAAAAGCACCTGAAATCTGGCCGGATGCGGTGGCTCATGCCTGTAATCCCACCACTTTGGGAGGCCGAGGCGGGCAGATCACCTGAGGTCAGGAGTTCAAGACCAGCCTGGCCAACATGGTGAAACCCCATCTCTACTAAAAATACAAAAATTAGCCGGGCGTGGTGTCAGGCGCCTGTAATCCCAGCTACTCAGGAGGCTGAGGCAGGAGAATCGCTTGAACCTGGGAGGCAGAGGTTGCAGTGAGCTGAGATTGCACCATTGTACTCCAGCCTGGGGGACAAGAGCGAGACTCCATCTCAAAAAAAAAAAAAAAAAAAAAAAAAAAAAGCACCTGAAATCTTGAATAGGTTTTCTTTTTTTTTTTTTTTTTTTAATTAATTTATTTTTTTTTTATTGATCATTCTTGGGTGTTTCTCGCAGAGGGGGATTTGGCAGGGTCATAGGACAATAGTGGAGGGAAGGTCAGCAGATAAACAAGTGAACAAAGGTCTCTGGTTTTCCTAGGCAGAGGACCCTGCGGCCTTGGCCTTCCGCAGTGTTTGTGTCCCTGGGTACTTAAGATTAGGGAGTGGTGATGACTCTTAACGAGCATGCTGCCTTCAAGCATCTGTTTAACAAAGCACATCTTGCACCGCCCTTAATCCATTTAACCCTGAGTGGACACAGCACATGTTTCAGAGAGCACAGGGTTGGGGATAAGGTCACAGATCAACAGGATCCCAAGGCAGAAGAATTTTTCTTAGTACAGAACAAAATGAAAAGTCTCCCATGTCTACTTCTATCCACACAGACCCGGCAACCATCCGATTTCTCAATTTTTTCCCCACCCTTCCCGCCTTTCTATTCCACAAAACCGCCATTGTCATCGTGGCCCATCCCCAATGAGCCGCTGGGCACACCTCCCAGACGGGGTCGTGGCCGGGCAGAGGGGCTCCTCACTTCCCAGTAGGGGCGGCCGGGCAGAAGCGCCCCTCACCTCCCGGATGGGGCGGCTGGCCGGGCGGGGGGCTGACCCCCCCACCACCCTCCCGGACGGGGCGGCTGGCCAGGCAGAGGGGCTCCTCACTTCCCAGTAGGGACGGCCGGGCAGACGCGCCCCTCACCTCCTGGATAGGGCGGCTGGCTGGGCGGGGGGCTGTCCCCCCCACCTCCCTCCCGGACGGGGCGGCTGGCCGGGCAGAGGGGTCCTCACTTCCCAGTAGGGGCGGCCGGGCAGAGGCGCCCCTCACCTCCCGGACGGGGCGGCCGGCCGGAAGGGGGGCTGACCCCCCCCACCTCCCTCCCGGACCGGGCGGCTGGCCGACCCCCCCCCCCCCCCCCGCCTCCCTCCCGGACGGGGCGGCTGGCCGGGCAGAGGGGCTCCTCACTTTCCAGTAGGGGCGGCCGGGCAGAGGCGCCCCTCACCTCCCGGACGGGGCGACTGGCCAGGCGGGGGGCTGACCCCCCCACCTCCCTCCCGGATGGGGCAGCTGGCCAGGTGGGAGGATGACCCCCCCACCTCCCTCCCGGGCGGGGCGGCTGGCCGGGCAGAGGGGCTCCTCACTTCCCAGTAGGGGCGGCCGGGCAGAGGCGCCCCTCACCTCCCGGATGGGGCGGCTGGCCAGGCGGGGGGCTGATCCCCCCACCTCCCTCCCGGACGGGGCGGCTGGCCAGGCAGAGGGGCTCCTCACTTCCCAGTAGGGGCGGCCGGGCAGAGGAGCCCCTCACCTCCCGGACGGGGCGGCTGGCCGGGCGGGGGGCTGACCCCCCCCACCTCCCTCCCGGACGGGGTGGCTGCTGGGCGGAGACGCTCCTCACTTCCCAGACGGGGTGGTTGCCGGACGGAGGGGCTCCTCACTTCTCAGACGGGGCGGTTGCCAGGCAGAGGGTTTCCTCACTTCTCAGACGGAGCGGCCGGGCAGAGACGCTCCCCACCTCCCAGACAGGGCTGCGGCCCAGCAGAGGCGCTCCTCACATCCCAGACAGGGCGGCGGGGCAGAGGTGCTCCCCACATCTCAGACGATGGGCGGCCGGGCAGAGACGCTCCTCACTTCCTAGATGGGATGGCGGCGGGGAAGAGGCGCTCCTCGCTTCCCAGATGGGATGGCGGCCGGGCAGAGACGCTCCTCACTTTCCAGACTGGGCAGCCAGGCAGAGGGGCTCCTCACATCCCAGACGATGGGTGGCCAAGCAGAGACGCTCCTCACTTCCCAGACGGGGTGGCGGCCAGGCAGAGGCTGCAATCTCGGCTCTCCGGGAGGCCAAGGCAGGCGGCTGGGAGGTGGTTGCAGCGAGCCGAGATCACGCCACTGCACTCCAGCCTGGGCACCATTGAGCACTGAGTGAACGAGACTCCATCTGCAATCCCGGCACCTCGGGAGGCCGAGGCTGGCGGATCACTCGCGGCTAGGAGCTGGAGACCAGCCCGGCCAACACAGCGAAACCCCGTCTCCACCAAAAAAAACCGAAAACCAGTCAGGCGTGGCGGTGCGCGCCTGCAATCGCAGGCACTCGGCAGGCTGAGGCAGGAGAATCAGGCAGGGAGGTTGCAGTGAGCCGAGATGGCAGCAGTACCGTCCAGCCTTGGCTCGGCATCAGAGGGAGACCGTGGAGGGAGAGGGAGAGGGAGAGGGAGAGGGAGGGGGAGGGAGAGGGAGAGGGAGGGAATAGGTTTTCTATTTCAAGTCAAGAGCTGAGGTTTTCCCCTTCTGTTTTACCCTTGCTCAAATGTCTTAATGCAGTTCTTTCCCAAGCTTTCCCTGCTTCCTTAACAACGCATAGGATGACATTAAAAGTTTTAAATCTCATCCCTGCCTGAGAGGTTAGCTTCCTACATATAAGCTCCTTTTGTATTGGACTTGTAATTGCTCATTCAGTGGTAGTATTGCCCTGTAGAGTGTAAGCTCCTTGAGGGCCAAGAATGCTTCTGCCTCTTCCATTGTTGCTTCCCCAGTACCTTCTGTATATTTCATAACCAAATAATGAAAAAGATACATTCCATTTAAAGGGCATTGACTTTGGGTTAAATGATTGTTATATTGTTTTAGGATTATCTATGATACACTTTGACATCTCACACACACACATGAACTTTTCTTTTTACAATGCAAAAGTTTAAACAATAGCTTAAATTTAGACTGCAAGAATATTATAATCTCAATATGGTATTTGGTACTAGAGATAGATTTCTTTTATAAAATCTTAAAAACAGGACGTTCTCTTCCTTTTGAACCTTTATCCCAGAGGTGAAAATATCCAATATGTTGTTTTCTGCATATATTGAAGTAGTAGTTTCACTTTAATAAAGATGGATTAAAAGTTGTGAGCATTCTGTGATATACCAGTTCAACACAATTCTAATACACATGAAATGGAAATGTCCATAGCTTACTGAATCCATAAAATGTCAGTACTGCACCATGAATATGAAAGATTGTTTAAAACAAAATAAAGCCTGGCAGTATCACCAACACCATAATGACAAGCCAGTCCCACTTAGGTATGTTATTGGGAATGCATATTCGCTCTGTCACCCAGGCTGGAGTGCGGGGCACGATCTCAGCTCACTGCAAGCTCCGCCTCCCGTATTCACGCCATTCTCCTGGCTCAGCCTCCCGAGTAGCTGGGACTACAGGTGCCTGCCACCACGGTCCGGCTAATTTTTTGTATTTTTAATAGAGATGGGGTTTCACCGTGTTAGCCAGGGTGGTCTCGATCTCTTCATGATCCACCTGTCTCAGCCTCCCAATGTGCTGGGATTACAGGCGTGAGCCACCGCGCCCGGCAGAGTTCAGTTTCTTTAAGATTCATTAACTTTGGAGATGGAAGTTAACGTGGATGGGGCAGGGTGGGTTAGAGGTGGGGAGCTTCAATAATATCCCTGGGTGATCTACCAAATGAGGTAAGCTGTTATTGGGTTGTTTTCTGTTTTCATAAAACATTAAGAATCAGAAAAATTTGAAGGCAGCTTTTTTCCCTTGCCCTACAAATTAGAAGCACAGGCAAGAAAAAAAAAAATCATCAGAAATAGTTGGGTTGTCCAAGTGAAAATCAAGTGATTTTCTTGGCTTTGGACTTAGAATGTTGTTGCAGGTCAGGTTCCTTGGGGAAATAGACTCAAAGATTGAGATTAGGGTGTGAAAAGTTCATATGGGAATGCTTTTTCCAAGATCAATATTCTGATCTTGGAAAGAAGACAGACTGGGAAAGAGGAAGAAATTGGGCTGGGATGTAGTCGGGGAAGTCCTCAGCTAATTCTTTAGAGCTGAGATGGTCCTGCAGTTAGGCCATATTGAGGCAGGGTGATGGTCCTTTATGACCCTGCATGGACTAGTGGATACAAGGTTTATAACCTGAGGCTGAAGACAATATTGGAGAGGGAGTCAGTTGGGAGCCATCAGCCACCAACATTCCTGGAAGCTGGGGAAATGAGTGTTTCAGGTGTGGGGTGTGTGTGAGAGGAGAGCGAGCGCGCGTATCTGGGCAGCACACCACAGTGTCCACTACCAATGTCAGTGAAGTTGGGACTTATTTTTTACTTACATATTTTATCACATAAATGTACATTTTAAGTGTGCTTGTTTTGTTTTCAAAGATAGAAACCTAATCCAAACCTATTTTACTAAGTCTTGATTCTCACTCACATTGCCCAATTTCTTTAAAGTTATGCAGTTAAATAATCCAGTGGTATCACTAATTTTTCCCCCAATTAATACCAAATACTGCTGCCAAGATGCTATGTTAAAATGTATGTATGATACCAGGTTCTTGGAACCCCACTGTAAAGAATGCTGTTTTTGAAGTAGATTATCACTTAAAGGGTAGCTTGCTTTAGTTCATGGTAGATGGCCTGGATACCATCTTCAAATAGTAGTTGATCAAAATGCTTTTATCTGTTAACTGAACACTAGATTGCAAACTCAGGGCAGAATAACATTATTTGGAATGTTTTATCTTAGCAAATACAATTTATGCTCCTAGAAGGCAAGGATGATAGCATATATCCATATATCGTTTTCTTTCTTTCTTTCTTTCTTTCTTTTTTTTGAGATGGAATTTTGCTTGTTACCCAGGGTGGAGTGGAGTGCAGTGGTGTGATCTTGGCACACTGCAGCCTCTGCCTGGGTTCAGGCGATTCTTCTGTCTCAGCCTCCTGAGTAGCTGGGATTACAGGCATCTGCCACCATGCCCAGCTAATTTTTTGTATTTTTAGTAGAGATGGGGTTTTAATTATATTGGCCAGGCTGGTCTTGAACTCTTGACCTCGTGATCGACCTGCCTCGCCCTCCCAAAGTGCAGGGATTACAGGTGTGAGCCACCAGGCCCGACCTTATATTCTGTATTTCAAGTGGTAACATGGTACCCTGTTCAAAAAGGGAGTTCACACTGACTCATGAAAAATACACATTCCTTTACAGATGAGTTACCATATGCCTAATTTATGTGCTTTATTTCTCCTTGCCGAAGGTATGGGAGAAATAAATTCTCAGGGATATTAAAGTATCAAGGCATATGCTGAATAACAAAATTACCATAATGCAAAAGATTCACCTCCAATAATAATACCATTTAATTGCTATTTATGGGAAGCATTTACTGCCAATTCTTTAAAAATGAACAAAAATAAAATTTTAAAGTACTTTAAAAAATCACTATATAATGTACCCCAGTACTGTTAAGTGGCCCTAGATATAGGACTTCACTTAATAGTTGGTAAAACAGACTTGTAATTTGTGTTAGTGTTAGACGAAGTCACAACCTCACTGCTCCCCAGAACCTCTACCTAGAGAGAAGTAGCTTTCTCAAGGTCTTTAACATGAATTGGTAAGTACAGTGAGTATAGAGAACCCTCCTCTGGGAAGCTGGAAACTTGTACTATCTTAGCACTGACATAAACAGCATGACACCGGACAGTCCTTAGCTCTGTTTTACCTTAAAACTTGAAGTTTTTTTTGAGACGGGAGCCTTGCTCTGTCGCCCAGGCTGGAGTGCAATGGCGCAATCTCGGCTCACTGCAACCTCCGCCTCCTGGGTTCAAGTGATTCTCCTGCCTCAGCCTCCCGAGTAGCTGGGATTACAGGCGCCTGCCACCATGCCTGGCTAATTTTTGTATTTTTTAGTAGAGATGAGGTTTCACCATGTTGGTCAGGCTGGTCTCGAACTCCTGACCTCAGGTGATCTGCCCTCCTCTGCCTCGGCCTCCCAAAGTGATGGGATTACAGGCGTGAGCCACCCGCACCCCGGCCCAACTTGAAGATTTAATTGTTAGCTTTCTGCTCTAAAATCATGTTACACCTTTCCTTCTACAACCAGAGGGGTTAAAAATTTAGTAACACTAGAAAAGATGGCATATTGAAAACTTGTTTCTTTGCTAAGAACAGTTATTTCTGAGGATATTAGAAAGAAAACAGTATTAACAGAGATGAGAAAAGGAAAGCCTTATGAAAGTCTGTGCCACTTCTAATTTTAATTCCAGAAAAAAATGCCTAGACTGTAAAGTTTGACATAAAAATAGTAATCAACATAAGTTAATAAAAATTGCTTAGCAGATACCTAATAATCATTAGGAAACAATATCCAAATATGAAGAAAACCATAATTCAGAAATAACTTTTACTTCTCAGTATCCTGGAGATACAACTTGTGTAGACCTAGTTACCAACCTCTGTATATCTGTAACAGTAAAAAATTTCAAACAGCCAAATGTCCCCAGAAGAGGACTGGTTAAACTGTATCTGTACAATGGCAGCAGTTTATAAACCACTGTTTGTACCTACCTTTTGTGTAAAAAAAGGGAGAGGGAGGAGGAGAGAACATACATTATATTTGTGTATATATGCACAGACTGTCACAAAAAACATAACACAAAAAACTTCTTACAGTTTGCCCTTTTCCATGTTTCTTTTTTTTAGAAGTGTACATATTACATAAAGTAAGTTTGAAAACAATGAGGACATTATAAAGCAAAAACTTATAGGCGAAAATATTATAAGGGCCTAGTACCCAGAATATATAAGGAACTCAGAACCCAACAACAAAATTTCAATGAACAAAGGACCTCAACAGACATTTCTTCAAAGAAGATACGCAGATGGCCAAAGACAACAAAAGATGCTCCACATCATTAGTAATCAGGGAAATGCAAATCAAAACCACAATGAGAGACCACACCCATGAGGATGGCTATAATTTTTAAAATGGCAAAATAAGTGTTGGTGAAGGTGTGGAGAAATTGGAACCCTCATACATCAATGGTGGAAGGTAAAACGGTACAGCTGCTGAGGGAAAGTTTGACAGTTCCTCAAAAAGTTAAATGTGCGATTTCAACATGACCCAGCAACTCCACTCCCAGGCATATACCCCAAATAATTGAAAACACGGACTCAAATACTTGTACACGAACATTCATAACAGCACTATGAACATTAGCCAAACAGTAGAAACAACTCAACTGGATGAATCGATAAACTTGTGGTATATATCTACAATGGCATACTTACTATAAAAAGTATACTTAGCTATAAAAAGGAATGAAGTAGTGATAACATGTTACAATGGATCAACCTCAACAACACATTAAAGCTAGACGAAAGAAGTAATACACAGTGTATGAGTCTCACATGAAATACCCGGATGTAAATCCAAAGAAACAGGAAGCAGATTGGTGGTTGCCAGGGACAAGGGCGGTGGGAGGAGAAAATGGAGAGTAACGGGACTTTACTTTTGGAGTGATGAGAATGTTTTGGAGCTAGATAGAAGTGGTGGTTGTACACCATTGTGGATGTACTACCACTTAATTGTTCACTTAAAAAGTTAATTTATGTGAATTGCATCTTAATTAAAAACAAGGATAACATTCCAACTCCTGGACATTATCCTTCCTTTCCATTTGATGTCAGGCCCGTGTTAGAATTCTCATCCGGTTTGGTCACTGCACTTAAGAAAGATGTGGAGAAATTAGGACGCACAGTTAAGAAGAAGGATAACACTGATTAAGGTAGTGCTTTTCTAGGTTTCCCCTAAACAATTTAACAGATGGATAGTGGCACCACTTACGAGATGGAAAAACCAGCGGAAGGAAGATTTGGGGGAGAAGTTAAGTTTGTCTTGGGCCTGTGTTTTGCAACCTGAGTGTAAAAGACATATGTTAAGTCTTCAGTGGCGAAACACTAAAACTAGAAATGGATCAGAATTTTATCTTTGGATGTGACTTCTCAAGGATGGTCTTGTCACTTCAGTGCCTGGTCAAATGACAAGATGGGCAATCTTTTCCTGAAGGTCCAAGCACCTGAACGTGGCAGGGTGACCCGATTCCGATTTGCTTAGAACAATCCTAGTTCATGCCTATTGTCCCTCATGTAATTAATATCACTCTCAAAATGTCTCATTTTGTGCAATAAATTCTGTAATCGTTGTTGCAGAAAATAAATGAAATTCATTAAGCCTTCCAATACAATGGCAGGTATAGCAGGCTTGAACACATCTTGGCAGTGAAGAAACATACAAATAATGCAGCTGCTTATTTTCAGATGTCTCGTCTCAGAACTTATTTCAGAAGTTAATAGTATAGGAGATAACTTTTTTATTCTTACAGCTTAAGCAAAGATTAACCATATCCCCTCCCCTTTCCTTCCAATTTATATGATCACAGAGTTTTAGAATTGCAAGGGGACCTGAGAAGGTATATAGTCTTATTGTCCTTTCAGTGAACACGTGTTTTATGACATCAGACACAGCTGGTCGTATGTCTCCATTAGTCATCTTGACAGTAACATCTCCAAATCCACAAATAGGCACTGTTCAATCTTATTGAAAAACAGGTTTTGTCCTGAAAATTAGGGATCCAGTAACTGAAGACATGTTGTTGTCTGAATTAGTTTTGCTGCCTTCCAACACAAGCTTGTAATATATTGTAACTTTAAGTCCAATAAAACATGGCTTCACACTACTAGCAAAAAAAACCCAACAAAATATAGAGATCCCATCCCCAAAAAAGAGACTTACAGAGTTTTTAAAAGCATGTTTATGTGACTGCACATAAATGTTTGTGTAAAAAGAGCATTATGACAGTTGATACCACAAAGATTACAGTAAGAAAAAGCACTTTATGACAATATTTCACAAATTCACAAGGATCACTTTAATATACAAAGCAACTGCTACTATTCTGAACACAAAGCAGCTATTATGTACATAGTGTTAATAAAATGCATTGTAACTCAGTACATTTTTTTCTTTACACATAAAGCACAAAAAGATTTAGATAAAAAAATTAAAACAGGGATGTTTCTAGAATGTAGGGAATTTTATTAGAAATGTATTTCCCTCATTATAGTTATTTATTTAGTATTCAACTCCAATAGAAACATCAGAGTTAAAAATCAATACCCTGTTTTGTGCTGACAGTTGTGGGGGAAGTCTTCTTTACCCCAACCCTCAAAAACCAAAAAGCCAAACACCTTTCTAGGAACTTCCCTGATTATTTTGCTTCTAAAAAGTTTCAAGTGATACATCTGGGTTAGAAATAATTCCTTTTGCAGGGAGTGGGGGAGTTACAACTGACATGTGGACAAATCAGTCAAGGACAACTTTACATGGAAAACTGCTAACTAGCACTCTTCTTTGCCACCCCTAATAAATCTATACTCAAAAAAAATGTTGACAATTATTTCCCACTTTTAATATAAATAATTTTATTACATACACAAATTGGAGTGGCACTTGGATAAAAATACATCTATAAAGCATTTACCAATTTTAAAAACATAAGAAAATAAAACCTCCCAAACACAATGATAGATCATTTCACTTGGCCAACAAACATAAAATCATTATTTGCAGAGATTTTCTTCCTCCCTACCAATTTTTAAGCTAACTCAGATTTACTCTCACTTCTCTGAGATGCTCCTCAGACAAAAGCTTGGAAATGCCATACTTCTATAGGCAAGTAATGTTAGGTCAAATGTGAATTTCCTACTCTTTGATCCTTTTCAAAGACAATTCCAAAAGATTGTTCATTTTCCTTTTACTTGCTGGTGAGAATAATTAAAAATGTATCATGTCATACCCAGCTGGGACCTGCACCCACCGTACCAGAATGCAGACAGGTCAGTATTTTCTTTCTGTGCTAAAACTGCCTGTTTATAATATCAACTTGCATCACCGGCTTTGTTCTATTTTATTTATATATTTTTTAAATTTTTCTTTTTTTAAAAAATAAATTTCAAGCTAAAACACCTGAAATATAATCCCTCCATTCAAACGTTATCTGGTCCCTCTTAAAGTCGGTCTGCCCCCTGAGGACACATACAAAGGCTTAAGCTACATTCACTAATCAATAAGAACTTATCATAAGCAGATGAGACAGATGGAACTTCAGCACCCTGTTTATTTGAAAATTTTCCATACTGACTCAGCTTCATGATATGTTCAGCCCCTCAAAGATTAATGCCTCTCCTAGCCATTGATTCTAGAATGTCAAGGAAACCAGTTCCTAGTACATACAGTGACTGTGTAGCCAACTTAATAGTCAACATTATTACATTAAGAATATTCAAGATGTATGTAAGCCTCCCAACAAAAAGTTCTAGTTGTGCTTTGTACAACTGAGTGAACTATTTATCTCACAACTCTTCACCTACAGCCTTACTATGCACACTTTACTTTCTCCTTCCTCATCTGAAATCAAATTTAGGCAGCATTTCTTTGATGTTAACAAAGCCATTAAAAATGAACATATTTCAGTATATTACATGTGGTCTCTGTGAGGACAATTGCTTTAAAAAGTCTTGTACTATTCTAGACAAATTAATGGATATTTTGGCATACTATGTACAGTATTAATGTTGTGATGAGGATAAAGTCTCATTAAAAATTGAAAATAAATATTATGCACTTGAGTTATTTTCCCTTCAATCTTCATCCAAGATGAAAAAGAATAAAACAAGGTTTGAGCCCGTCTTTTAATTAACTGGGCTAGTCATATCTAATTTCCTGATGTTTTTCTTTTACAGCTGTTTTTAAGGCTAGCTTTTAGGTGCTAAAATATTTTAATCAATGAAAAACTTCCATTTAAAAAGTCACATGATTTGAAGAGAGGAGAAAGACTAAAAAGTTGAGAATTACTTGATGAGGGAATTTCTTAAGTTGCTAATACCCAAACTGGGTCATTTAAAAAAGTGCAAGTTACACCAAACATTTACAAAGGACAGAATGTAAATATAATCCAAATAAATATACAACTTTTCTATTGGGTCCATGAGGGAAAAAATATACCAACAGCTTTCAGGGCTACAAAGGCAACAAAAATAAAGCCTCTTGAAAACAACTGAAAAGGTATGTAACACTATTTCTAAAACTCACTTTAATTCAAGATCTTAACTTTAAGATACATTAGCCCTACTTAATCCTGCAAAATGAAGCAGCCGTGATCTTCAAAATAAACAGAGACCAATTTATGGTAATAGCTGACTGTGGCTGATCATAGAATTAAAAATTTGTTAAATATTAAAAGAAATCTAGATTGAAGTCACTTCAAGTAAGTAAAGCATCCTGGTTTAAACAAACGTATTTCTTCCTAAGCCTTTGTATGATTCCACATGTCACCCCAAAAGGTAGAAATGATAGTAGGGATTTGTCCTACAGGGATTTATCCTGAGAGACAGAGATAAACTTCAGCCAGATGACATCTGATGGGATAGGCTGCCTGACTGGTATTGTGCTTTCAGAGACTAGCACTGCTGCTGACCTACCATCAAAACACATTTTCTGACAAAATCCCTGCTCAAATGAAATGCCAAAATTCCTCCCCCAGGATGATTTTTGAAAAAATCAGTGGTTCCTTTAAAAAGCTATCTTCAAAATGTTCTTACCACTGTTATAGCTGCCACAGACAAAGCATACAAACCAAATACTTTTGGGGGAGAGGCTTTCAAGTGACTAGTAACATATTTAAAAGTATCAAGCCAAAGAAAACTAATAAAAAATAAAATACTTGGAAGAAAATTAGAAGATAAAATCAATCATGAGTGCTGGAGTAATGCAGTCATAGAAACTACCAGAAGGAATGCAACAGAACACACAAAAATGTAAAATTTCATCTGACCTCAATATACTATAATACTCAGCATTCCTGACTTAAGAGCTCTCAGAGCTTTAGATTATATACTGTATGTATATATATATATATATATATATATGTACACATATATTATACAAATGCCACCCCCCCCAAGAATATCTAAATGAAGAGAGCACCTATGACAATATTATGGTTGCCAATATGGTACTTGAGTTTGAAAAAGAATGAACTTAAAATTGTATCTGATAGCAATTATTTAATAATGAACACATTGGATCTAGCCCTTTCTAAGCCACTTTTCAGTTAAACATTATCAAAGCTTGAAAACTCATAAGAGTAATATATCAAAAATAAACCCCTCCCCACTTCATTTTTATTAATCTGTCCTATAGATAAAAGTGCCACATGGCCCTATATTTGCAAAGTGAGCAATATCAAACTTGCTATTTTCTAGGCAAATCAGTAGCATATGTACAAATTCCTATGATGACATTTTTATTCCCTTTTGGCCAATATAAAGAGAAAAACATTTATTACTGGTAATGTGGCCACATATGTTCTTGGCTACAAGGTTTTTAAAAATTATGTCATTTTCTTAATAAAGATTCTCAAAGTTTCATGCTTACAAACAAACCTCCCCACCATTCTTGCATTAAAAAAAGAAAACTGCACAAAAGATGCTTGATTTTATCTTTATAAACTGAAATCTTCAAGTTTCACCAAGGGTCTAAGACAGATTTAGCAACAGGATACATTTCTCACCTCATCATTAAGCAACTGACTTCAAAACCAGTGCAATCATCCTCAAGGTATGAAGGATAAGGTCTTTATAACTTATAAATTCATCCAGCTCACATGAATGTGATTGCCTTGATTTATCAGGGACTAAGAGGACCACCAACTTCCCAGTAAGTAGAAAGCCTGAACTTTTGAAAAAAAGCTTTAGAGAATACAAACTGCTAAACATCAGGCAATTTTTCATTTATAACACTTACTTCATTCAAAATGTTCGATTCGACATTTTGACTCAATAAATAATTCCAACTTGTGAACATATTTGTGACTTTGCTTGATTTCTGTTAAACCAGTTTTTAAAAATGACATATCTATGCGGTTACACAATTTTTATGCTATAACTTTCCCCATTAGCTCAGCAGGACAAACATCAAACTTTATAGTTGTTTGAAAGCCTTCTTGAGAATCTGGTGAACTGTCCAAACATAAAGACTACATCACTTAATTCTTAGAATGATGCTCCTTCATAAACTCTGTTCATCCTTGAAAAAAGACAATGGTTTGTTACAAACGAAAATATACCATTTACAAATGTTAATTAAAATCTTATTTTAAAATGGATCCAGCAATTAACACTTAAATCTTCATATTTTGTTGTTAAACAAGCTTGACTTTCTTAAATAACTCTTGACTAAATATAAAACATTAGTTTTCTAAGTGTCTCAACTCTTTTTTAAAAGGAATTTCCTTCCCAAATGAGACATTTTTTTTATTTTTATTTTTTGAGATGGAGTCGCCCAGGCTGGAGTGCAATGGTGCTATCTCGGCTCACTGCAACCCTCTGCCTCCTGGGTTCAAGCAATTCTGCTGCCTCAACCTCCTGAGTAGCTGGGATTACAGGCGCCAGCCACCACGCCTGGCTAATTTTTGTATTTTTAGTAGAGATGGGGTTTCACCATGATGGCCAGGCTGGTCTTGAACTCTTGACCACAGGTGATCCACCCACCTTGGCCTCCCAAAGTGCTGGGATTACAGGCGTGAGCCACTGCGCCCGGCTCCAAATGAGAAATTATAACCTAACATTATGTCAGTTTCCAATTTTTAAAATCCACCTTAGTCTTTTTTTTTTTTTTTTAAGAGTAACTGTTAGATTTATCGAGCTTAGTGAATAAAATGAGTAACAATTAAAAGTGGTATTGAAAACAATGTATGATATACACAAATACAGACTGTTTTAATCAGGAATTAAAATTATAAAATGACAAAGGCTATACAGCATATTGGAAAGCTAAAGCAGAACTAATAACTACTCTTTTTACAAGAGAACAAAAAAATGTTTTGTAAGAATGACAATCCAAATATTGCAGTACAGCAGTCATTCAAATATGTCTGAAAATAACTTTCCTTGTGCACATCTAACACTGTACTTTTTATATCCTTACAACTTCTTTCATTTAAAAAATTCACTAGAGATTCTCTGTTAAATTGTTAATATGGAAAATATTTAAAATCAGTATTTTTCTACATGTAACATTTCATAAACAAATATATATCACTTTGCTTTATTTGACATCTTGAAGGCTTTCTTGGTGGTGGTATGTAAGTGCAATGGGCAACAGTAAATTAGAAATATCTTTTTACGTAAATGAGTGACAATATAAATATTTTTGAAGGTGAGGACAATAACATTTATTTAAAAATCTTGTTATATAACTCAAGGGATTGGTTTACTGATCAGCATTTTACTAAGAATTTAGTACTAACTAAAATATGCTTTGTACTTTTATTTACTTTGCTTTAATTTAAAATTCAAATACCATGCTTTGTCGTTCAGTTGGTTACTTCTTTTAATGTATTCAAAAATGTTGAACACATACAGAACTGAATTAAGAAGCAACAACTGCCCTATGGAAGAGCTGTATTAGTACAGAATGCTTTTAAGAACCAAGGACAAATTTTCAGTATTGAAGAAGACAACATACATAAAAAGCACTCCAAATTCATTTCTAATTCCTTCAATACCATGCTAAAGTTCTTTTTTAGAGGGTATGTCTCTTAACAACTTTACATAATTCACAATGAGAATGTGACAACATGTCAATTTGGCAATCAACACTTCTTCATTGCACCTTACTTACTTTATGCATGCGGCCCACACATTACTTCAGCTCAAGAGGCTGGGGTAATTCTGTCCCTAAGGCAATCAAGGAGCTCAGCACAAACCTTGAAATCATTTTTAAAAAGATTTTCTTTTCCTCATTTCTCCCATCAATTTACAAGTAAACAAATTATTACTTCTTGAGGAGGGTGGGGGTTGAAAAGCAGAAGTCTCTTCATGATTCCTGGCGTTGAAAATTTCTTGAGGGGAGAAGTGGAGGCAGGTGTTGGAACATTCACAGTTTAATGCAAAAGCACAAATGAATGAAATTCTGTAGTTGCTTTCAGGCAGTTTTGCGCATAGAAAAAAAGAAATGTTTAGAAAATAAAATGTTTATTTTGTCTTTCAGGTTGTGGCCAAGCCAGTCCATTTTCCACCTTAACAGGTGAAAATTTAAATCCCAAATTAATCTGATTTGTGGCAGTAAAGGTCCTTAAGTGCTTTTAGCTCCTCAATCAATGTCTTGTTTTGATTTTCAAGCACTGCCACTCTGTTTTCTAAACATTTCACATATTCTTTCTTCTTTCTACGACACTCTCGAGCTGCTTCCCTACAAGCAAAAGAGGACGGGAAAAATTATGCAAATGATTTCCACATATTTATTTTGGATTACCTTTTTTTTTTCTTTTTTAAAGAAATAGCTCACAGCAACCAACATTTTAGTATATATTAAGCATTGGAAAAGATATACAGAATTACTTGGAAATTACCTTATATTAAAATTTTAATCTGGCCAGGCGTGGCGGCTCACGCCTGTAATCCCAGCACTTTCGGGGGCCAAGGCAGGGAGATCACCTGAGGTCAGGAGTCCAAGATCAGCCTGGCCAACATGATGAAACCCCTCTCTACTATAAACACAAAAATTAGCGGGGTGTGGCGGCACATGCCTGTAGTCCCAGCTACTTGGAAGGCTGAGCCATGGGCATCGCTTGAACCTGGGAGGCAGAGGCTGCAGTAAGCTGAGATTGCGCCACTGCACTCCAGCCTGAGTGACAAGAGTGAGACTCCGTCTCAAAGAAACAAACAAAAAAACAACTCCATAAACAAACAAGACCTAAATGACCACTTAAAAATTACATCTTACTATTAATTAAAATATTCTGCATAATTCCTGCAAAACTTGAAATTCTATCCATATCAATAACTAAGAAAACATTAAAGCTAAATTTCAATGTGTAACAATCCTTTAAATAGAAAATCTTACAAACTAATCATTTCAGGGCATTTAAAAAAATCTAACAGTCTCTTCAACAAATGGTGCTGGGAAACCTGGATATCCACATGCAAAAGAGTGAGGTTGGGCCGCACCTTATGTTGTACACAAATATTAACTCAAAATAGATCAAAGACCTAACCGTAAGACCTAAAACTATAAAACTTCTAGAAGAAAACACTCTCTGACATTGGATTTGGCAGTAATATCTTAAATACAACACCAAAAGCAGAGGTAACAAAAGCAAAAATAGACAAATAGGACTATATCCAACTAAAAAACTTCTGCACATCGAAAGACAATAAATAGTGAAAAGGCAACCTACAGAATGAGAAGAAATATCTGCAAATCATATATCTGCTAAGGGGTTAAGATCTAGAATAGGCAAGGTGTATGGCTCACGCCTATAATCCCAGCACTTTGGGAGGCTGAGGTGGGAGAATCTCTTGAACCCATGTGTTCAAGAACAGCCTGGGCAATATATTAAGACCCTGTCTCTAAAAAAAAATTTTTAAAAATTTAGCCAAGTGTGGTGGCACATGCCTGTAGTCCCAGCTGCTCAGGAAGCTGAGGTGGGAGGACTGCTTAAGCCCAGGAGGTCTTAGGTTGCAGTGAGCCGTGATCCTGCCACCTGCATTCCAACCTGGGTGACAAACCAAGAACCTGTCTCAATTAAAAATTAGTTAGGTGGTGTGTGCGTGTAGTCTCAGCTACTCAGGAAGCTGAGGTTGGAGGCCGGGAGGTCGAGGCTGCAGTGAGCCATGATCATGCCACTATACCACAGCTTGGGAGACAGCAAGATGCTGTCTCAAAAGAAAGGGAAAAAAAAAATCTAGAATATATAAAGAACTTTTGAACTCAACAGCAAAATAACCCAATTTAAAAAATGGGCATAGGGACTTGAACAGAGATTTCTCCAGAGATATATAAATGGCCTATAAAAAGATGCTCAATATAGGCTGGGTGCGGTGGCTCATGCCTGTAATCCCAGCACTTTGGGAGGCAGAGGCGGGTGGATCATGAGGTCAGGAGTTCAAGACCAGCCTGGCCAACATGGTGAAACTCCATCTCTATTAAAAATACAAAAATTAGCCAGGTATGGTGGTGGGTGCCTGTAGTCCCAGCTACTCAGGAGGCTGAGGCAGGAGAATCACTTAAACCCGGGAGGCAGAGGTTGCAGTAAGCCGAGATTGCACCACGGCACTCTACCTAGGCAACAGAGCGAGCCTCCATCTCAGAAAAAAAAAAAAAAAAAAAAAGATGCTCAACATCACTAATCACTAGGGAAATGCAAATCAAAACCACTAGGTATCACCTCACAACCATTAGGATGGCTACTATCAAAAAACCACCACCAGCAGAAAATACCCATTGTTGATGAGGATGTGAGGAAACTGGAACTCTTGTGTACTGTTGGTAGGAATGTAAAATGGTGCAGCTGCTATGGAAAATGGAATGGAGGTTCCTCAAAAAATTAAGAACAAAATTTACCATATGATCCAGCAATCCCACTTTTTGCTACAGATCCAAAAGAACTGAAATCAGGGTATTGAAGAGATATCTGAACACTCATGTTCATTGCAGCATTATTCACAATAGCCAAGAGGTGGAAGCAGCCCAAATGTCCATCAGCAGATGAGTGGTAAGCAAAATGTGGTATATACATACAATGTAATATTAATATTATTCAGCCTTAGGAAGGCCCTCTGCATGCCAAAACGTAGATGAACCTTGAGGGCATTATGCTGACACAAGCTAGTCTCAAAAAGACAAATATTGTGTAATTTCTCTTATGAGGCATCTAAAGTCAATCAAATTCATAGAAA
Source organism: Homo sapiens (assembly GCF_000001405.40). NCBI lineage: Eukaryota > Metazoa > Chordata > Mammalia > Primates > Hominidae > Homo > Homo sapiens. The sequence continues at coordinate 207,594,424 of NC_000002.12, read as the reverse complement.
CAGGACTTACATTAGTGGCTGCCAGGGGCTGGGGGAACGAGGAAATGGGGAGTTGTTGTTTACCGGGTACAGAGTTTCAATTTTGCAAGATGAACAAGTTCTGGAAATCTACTGCACCACAATATGAATGTACTTAACATGACTGAACTGAATACTTAAAACTCATTAAGATGGTCAATTTTGTTATATTTTTTACCACAATTAAAAATGAAATTATTTAAAAAAATCTAACACAGATTAAAAATAATTAAAAATTATTCTTTAGCAAGCTGCTCAATCTAAACCAGTAAATTCTTTTTTAGCTCTGTGTGGTCAAGGGCCACAATCTTATTACTTAACCTTAATTTCCTGACTGTAAAAAAGGACATGGTAATATTTTCTACCTCAAAAGGTTTGTGAGGGCTGGTGTGGTGGCTCACCCCTGTAATCCCAGGTCCCAGCGCTTTGGGAGGCTGAGGCAGGCAGATCACTTGAGGCCAGGAGTTTGAGACCAGCCTGGCCAACATGGCGAAACTCTGTCTCTACTAAAAATACAAAAATTAGCTGGGGATGGTGGCAGGTGCCTGTAATCCCAGCTACTTGGGAGGCTGAGGTAGGAAAATCGCTTGAACCCAGGAGGCAGAGATTGCAGTGAGCCAAGATAGCGCCACTGCACTCCAGCCTGGGTGATAGGTGTTTCCGTCTCAAAAAAAAAAAAAAAAAAAAGTTTGTGAGGATCAAATGAGTTAATATATGTAAAGCACACAATATAGTGCCTAGCATGTTGAAGATGTGTTAGCTATTATTATTTTTAGGTAACTCCAAATGGCAGTACATTGTAATTCCATTGATGTCTTCATCCTCATGTAACTATCAATTCAGAAAAAAGTAGCATTTGCTTCTATTTTTCATTTTTGAGATGGGGTCTTGCTCTGCTGCCCAGGCTGGAGTGCAGTGGCACAATGAGGGCTCACTGCAGCCTTGACCTCCCAGGCTCAAGTGATCTTCCTGCCTCAACCTCCCCAGCAGCTGGGACCATAGGCATGCACCACCATGCCCAGCTAATTTATTTTATTATTTTTTGTAGAGACAGTGTCTTCCTATGTTTTCCAAACAGGTCTTGAATTCCTGGGCTCAAGCTATCCTCCTGCCTCAGCCTCCCAAAGTGCTGGGATTACAGGCATGAGCCACCGCACCCAGCCTTGATACAAATTTTAAGTATGACTAACATGTTAAAGGCTCTAATAGGAATGGTGGATAACATGTAAGATCAGATGGGTTATTTCAGCAGTGGCATGGAAATTATGAAAAGGAATCAAATGGAAATGGAGATAAAGAATATGTTTGATGTTCTGGTAAGTAAAACTGACACAGCTGAGGAAACAATCAGTGAACTTGAAGACAGAACAACAAAAAGCTGTGTGACCGTCTCCAACATCCTAACATATTTATAACTGTAATCTCAGAAGAAGAGGGAGGACAGGACGGAAAAATATTTGAAGAAAGTATATCTGAGAATTTTCTTTTCTTTTTTGAGATGGAGTCTTGCTCTGTCGCCAGGCTGGAGTGCAGTGGTGCAATCTGGACTCACTGCAACCTCCACCTCCCAGGTTCAAGCAATTCCCTTGCCTCAGCCTCAGCTGGGACTACAGGCATGCGCCACCATGGCCAGCTAATTTTTTGTATTTTAGTAGAGACGGGGTTTCACCATGTTGGCCAGGATGTTCTCAATCTCCTGACCTCGTGATCCGCCTGCCTTGGTCTCCCAAAGTGCTGGGATTACATGCGTGAGCCACTGCACCTGGCCAAGAATTTTCTAAAATTAATGACAGACACCAAGCCACAGACACAAGAAGAATAAGATAAATATGGTGGGGATGGGGGAGGAAGGAGGGAAGAGAGGGAAAATCCCTAGGCATATTATATTTGAATTGCTGCAAATCAGAGGCAGAGGAAGAAAAGGAGCATTATATACACACAGATTTCTTGTCAGAAACCATTTAAATCATAAGAAAAAAAGTGACATCTTTTTTTATTTTTTGAGATGGAGTCTTGCTCTGTTGCCAGGCTGGAGTGCAGTGGCGTGATCTGGGCTACTGCAACCTCTGCCTCCCGGGTTTAAGTGATTTTCCTGCCTCAGCCTCCCGAGTAGCTGGGACTACAGGCGTGTGCCACCACGCCCAGCTCATTTTTTGTATTTTTAGTAGAGAGAGGGTTTCACCATGTTGGCCAGGATGGTCTCAAACTCCAGACCTTGTGATCCGCCTACCTCAGCCTTAAGTGACATCTTTAAAGTCTGTCACTTCAAAGAAAAAAATGATAAACCCAGAATTCTATACCCAGCAAAAATATCTTTCAAATATGATGATGAAATAAACTTTTTCAAACAAAACTAGAGGGAATTCATTGCCAGAAGATCTATTTTCTAAGAAATGTAAAAAAGAGTTTTTGAGGCAGAAATATAATAGATTAAAACATGGATTTATATAAGGAAATGAAGACAATTGAAAATTAAATATATAAATGTAAAATTAAAAATTTCTACTTGTGCCATAGTTTGCCAATCCCTGATCTAAACCATTTAAAAGGCATGTAGCTCAGTAAAAAAGGAAGACCTAAGTATATGCCATCTACAAGAATCCCACTTCAAATATAAACAGAGAAGAAAAAGGATGGAGAAGGATATATATTATGCAAATACTAATCAAAAGGAGGCTGGGAATGGTGGTTCACGCCTGTAATCCCAGCACTTTGGGAGGCTGAGGTGAGCGGATAACTTGAGGTCAGGAGTTTGAGACCAGCCTGGCCAACATGGCGAAACCCCGTCTCTACTAAAAATACAAAAATTAGCTGGGTGTGGTGGCGCACACCTGTAATCCTAGCTATTTTGGAAGCTGAGGCACGAGAATCACTTGAATCAGGGAGGTGGAGGTTGCAGTGAGCCAAGATTGTGCCACTGCCATTGCACTCCAGCCTGGGCAACAGAGCAAGATTCTGTCTCAACAAACAAAAACAAAACAAACCAACTGGGGTAGTTTTATTAGTATCAGACAAAGCATTCTTCTGAAGAAGGAATATTGTCAGGGATAAAGAAAGACATTATATAATAATAAAGAGGTCTATCCTCTAAGAAGACATAATTCTAAATGGAAGATGTAATTCTCCTGTATGAGGCAAAAGCTAATAGAACTGAAAGGAGAAATGAACAAAGGGATGAATGCCTTAATACACTCTCCTGTCAGTGATGATAGACTAAGTAGAGTCTCAGAGATGACAGAATAAGTAGAAAATTAAAAATGATACAGTACACCTGAATGACATAATCAACTACACCTATCTGACATTGATATGATACTTGATAATTTAAGAGAATAAAAATAATACAAAGTATGTTCTTGGGCCATAAAACACCTGGGAAGATCCTCGATTATTTGGAAATTGAATATTAAACATTTCTAAGTCTATAGGTCAAAAAAGAAGTCTCAAAGGAAATAAAAAAATTTTTAAACTGAATGCAAATAAAAATGACAACCCAAAATTTGTGGGACACAGCTAAACCAATGCTAAAATGGAAATTTACAGCCTTAAATACTTATGTTAGAAAAAAAGGGCTTAAATCAATTATTTATATCAAGGGTTGCCAAACTTTGCTTCCCTGCTTGTTTTTGTAAATAAAGTTTTACTGGAACACAGTCAGTATTATCCATCGCTGCTTTGGTATTACAACGGCAGAGTTGAGTAGTTGTGACAGATCATTTGGTCTGCAAAGCCTGAAATATTTACTATCTGGCCCTTTACAAAAGATTTGCCAAACTGATCCAACTATTGTCTTAAGAAACTAGATACCTGCAGAAGTTTTCTTAGAAACTGAAATAAGACAAAGGTATATATTAATAGGAAAAAATTTACAGTTAATGAAAAAAGAAACTAGAAAGAGAACAACTAAAAAAACCAAAGCAAGCAGGAGAAAATAACAAAGATCAGAGTACAAATCAATACAATTCTAAGGAGAAAACTAATGAAACTAAGAATTTTGGTTGCTTAAAAACAATCAACAAAATTGATAAACCTTTAGCCAGACTTAAAAAAAAAGGAGGGTGGCTGGGGTAGGGGTGGCGAATACAGAGAGAGAGGAAAGACAAAAATTAACAATATTAGGAATGAAGCGGGGGGACATCCCTACTGACATCCCATACAGTAAAAGAATAATAAACTAACACTACAAACAACTCTATGGTCATGAATTTGATAACTTTGAAGAAATGGACCAATGTCTTAAAAACACAAACTTCCAAAACTCACTGAAGAAGAAATAGTCTGAATGATCCCGTATCTATTAAAAAAAAAAAAAAAAAAAAAAAACTTCTCAAAATAGAAAACTCCAGGCCTATGTGGGTTCACTGGCAAATTCTACCAACCATATAAGGCTTAAATAATACAAATATTATAATCTCTTCCAGAAAAAGAGAAGGGAAGGGAAGACTTCCACCTCATTTATAAGGTCAGCATTACCCTAATAACAAACTCACGGCAAAGAAACTAAAATCCCATATTAGCCATAAACGTAGACATAAAAATCCTCAACAAAATATTAGCAAATTGAATCCAGCAATGTATAAATGATACTTCATGACCAATTGGGGGTTCATCCCAGGAATGCATGCATATCTCAAAATTGGAGTATGAATGTAATTCACTCTAATAACAGACCAAATAAGAGAAACAACACGATCACCTCAGTAGATTCTGGAAAAGCATTTGACAAGATTAAACAACAATTTATGATGAAAACTCTCAGAAACTAAAAATCAAAGAGAGTTTTTAAAAAAATGTAATGAAGAGCTTTTTACAGAGACCCTACAGCTATTACATTACTTAAGGTCCCCCAAAGGTGTCCATGTACTAATCTCTGCAGTGTGTGAGTATGTTACCTTATATGGCAAAGGGGAATTAGGTTGCAGATGGAATTAAGGTTGTTAATTAGCTGACCTTAAAATAGGAAAATTATCTTGGGTTACTTGAGTGGGCCCAGTTAAACCACAAGCATTCTTAAAAGTAGAACAGGAAAGCAGAAGAAAATGTGACTGCAGAAGGGGAACAGAGATAACACTATGTTGAAGATGGAGAAAGGGGGCCATGAGGCAAAAAATGTGGGTGGCCTCTAGAAGCTAGAAATGGCAAAGAAACACATTTTCACCTAGAACCTCCAGGAAGGAATGCAGTCCTGCTGACACCTTCATTTTAGCCCAGTGAGATCCAATGAAGGCCTCTGATCTTATAGAACTGGAAAACAATACATTTGTGTTGTTTAAGCCAGTAAGTTTGTGGCAGTTTGTGACATGCAGCAATAGAAAACTAATACACCCCCTAAGATCAAGAATAGGGCAAAGATGTCCTCTCTCACCACTCCTATTCAACATCATAGCACAAGTCCTAGACATTGCAATAAGGAAAAAAAATTAAAAGGCATGCAGATTAGAAATAATTAAAACTGTCCATATTTGTAGGTGACATGATAATTTGTGTAGAGAATCCCAAAGAATCTACACCCCCCCCGACAAAGCTCCTAGAACTAATAAGTAAATTTAGAATGGTCATAGGATAAAAGGTAAATATACAGAAGCCAATTTTATTTCCATATACCAGCAATGAACAATTGAATATACCATTTCAAATAGCACATGTCCCCCCACCCCCACACACAAAAAAAAAAAAAACCAGAAAACAGTTCATACTTGGGTATAAATCCAGTAAGATATGTACAGGATCTATGTGCTGATTAGATTATATTGTGTTCATGGAATCAAAAACTAAGTATTGCTAAGATGTGACTTCTTCACAATTTGATCTATAGACACAACACAATCCTAACTAAAATTCTAGCACACTTTCCGTAGACATCAACAAGCGGATTATAAAATATACATTAAAGTGCAAAGGAACCAGAATAGCCAAACAATTTTAAGAACAAAGTTGGAGGACTCACATTATCAAATTCAAGACTTATTATACAGAACTCAAGGCAACATGGTATTGGCTAAAGGACAGACACAAAGATCAATGGAAAGATATCCAAGAAACAGACTCACACAAATATGGTCAATTAATTTTTGAAAAAAAGAGCAAGGGCAATTCAATAGAGAAAGAATAGTCTTTTCAACAAATGGTCTGGAACAAATGGATGTTCCTATATAAAAAAATGGATCTCGACACATCCTCACACCTTATACAAAAGTAAACTCAGGAGGGAATTATAGATCTAAATATAAAACTCTAACATAAAACATAACACTTTTAGAGGAAAACGAAGTCTGTGTGATATTGATTTAGGCAAAGAATTCTTTTTTCCTTTTTATTTTTAGTTGACATAAAATAACTGTAGACATTTATGAGATGCAGTAATATTCTAATATGTGTATACAGTATGTAATGATCAAATTATGGTAACTAGCATATCCATCACCTCAAACTTATCATTTTGTTGGGTTGTGAACATTCAAAATCCTCACTTCTAGCTTTGTGAAAATACACAAGTTGTATTTAACCATATTCACCCTATGGTGCTACAGAACACCAGAAATCATTCTACCAACCTAGATGTAAGTTTGTGTCCATTAACCAACCTCTCCCCATGCTCCCTATCTCACCTTCCCTTCCCAGGCTCTAATACCCACAATTTTACTCTCTACTTCCATAAGCTCAAAAAATTTTTAGCTCCCACATGAGTGAGAACATGTGGTATTTATCTTTCCATGTTTGAGTTATTTTGCATAACCCATAATGTCCCCCAAGTTCATCCACATGGCCACAAATGATGTATTTTCATTCTTTTTAGTGGCTTGACAGTATACCACTGTGTATATATACTGCAATTTTCTTTATCCATTCATATGTTGATGGATATTTAGGTTGATTCCCTATCTTAGCTACTGTGAAGTGATGCAATACTGGTTTCCTTTCTTTTGAATAGATACCCAGTAGTAGGATTGCTAGATCATATAGTGGTTCTTTTATTTTTTGTGTGTTTTTTTCTTTTTCCTTTTTTTTTTTTTTGAGATGGAGTCTCGTTCCGTCACCCAGGCTGTAGTGCGGTGGTGCGATCTCGGCTCACTGCAAGCTCTGCCTTCCGGGTTCACGCCATTCTCCTGCCTCAGCCTCCCGAGTAGCTGGGACTACAGGCACCCGCCACCATGCCTGGCTGAATTTTTGGATTTTTAGTAAAGAAGGAGTTTCACCGTGTTAGCCAGGATGGTCTCGATCTCCTGACCTTGTGATCCACCCGCCTTGGCCTCCCAAAGTGCTGGGATTACAGGCGTGAGCCACCACGCCTGGCCCTTTTAGTTTTTTTGAGAAACCTCCACACCGTTTTCCGTAATGGCTGCATTAATGTACATTCTCATCAACACTGAGACAATTCTAACACAAAGAGTTAGAAAGAGTTCACCTTTCTCTGCATCATCAGTGTTTACTTCTTGTCTTTTTGATTATAGCCATTCTAACTAATGATACTTCCTAACACAAAGAGGAAGAGTTCACCTTTCTCTGCATCCTCATCAGTTTGTTACTTCTTGTCTTTTTGATAATAACCATTCTATCTAATGATACTTCATTGTGGTTTTAATCTGACAATTAGTAATGTTGAGCTTTTCAAATATATTTCTTGGCCATTTGTATGTCTTCTTTTGAGAAATGTCTATTCAGACCTTTTGTCCACTTTTTAATAGGATTTTTGTTTGTTTTCCTGTTCGGTTGAGTTCCTTATATATCCTGGTTATCAGTCCCTTGTCAGATGAACAGTTTGTAAATATTCCTCCCATTCTGCAGGTTGTCTCTTCACTCTGTTTCCTTTGCTGTTCAGAAGCTTTTTAGTTTAATATTTCCACTTAACTATTTTTCTTTTTGTTGCTTGTGCTTTTGGAGTCTTAGCCATGAAGTTTTTGCCAAGTCTAATGTCAGGAAGCATTTCCCCCATGTTTTCTTCTAGTAGTCTAAGAGTTTGGGGTCTTATGTTTAAGTATTTAATCCACTTGGAGTGGATTTTTGGGTATGGTGATAGGTATCTAGTTTCATTCTCTGCACACAGATATCCAGGTTTCCCAATACCATTGATTGAAGAGAGTGTCCTTTCCCCAATGTATGTTCTTGGCACATTTGCTGTAAATAAGTAGATTTATTCTGTGTTCTTTATTCTGTTCCACTGGTCTATGTGTTTTTATATCAATACTATGTTTTGGTTACTATAGCTTTGTAGTATATTTTGAAGTCAGGTAGTGTGATGCCTTCCATGTTGTTCTTTTAGTTCAGGAATGCTTTGGCTATTTGGGCTGTTTTTGGTTCCATAAGAATTTTTTCTTTGTTTTTGACTTTTGAGTTTGAAAATAGTGTGTCTTAGAAAGGCCTTTTTGGATAAACTGTTTTAGTACATATGACCTTCCTGTATCTGGATATATATCTCTCTCTCAAGACATGGGAGGTCTTCAGTGATTATTTTGTTAAATAGGTTTTCTATGCCTTTTCCTATATTTTCTCCTTGTGGCACTCCCAAAATTGAAATATTTGTTTGCTTTATGATGTCCTATGTAGGCTTTCTTCATCCTTTTTAGTGTGTGTTTGACTGGGTTATTTTAAAAGACCTCTCTCTTAAAGTTCAGAAATTCTTTCTGCTCGACTGTTTTTTATTTATTAAATTCTTCAGTTCCAGAATTTGTTTCTTTAACTATTTACCTCTTTAATTTCTCATTCAGATCATGAATTGTTTTCCTGATTTATTTGTATTGTCTATCTGTGTTCTGTTGTTTCTTGCTGAGTTTTCTTAAGATCATTATTTTCAATTCCTTTTCAGGCATTTTATTGATTACCTGGTTCTTTGAGATCTGTTAGTGGAAAATTATTGTGTTCCTTTGGAGGTATCGTGTTTCCTCAGTATTTTATGTTTCTTGTGTCCTTATCTTGATATCTGTGCAACTGCTGCTTTATCCAATTTTATGGACTGGCTTTTGTAGAGAAAGACTTTTACTGTAGATGTAGCTGTAGTGTTAGCTGGGTAGGGTGCTCTGGATTTGATTCTAGGTGGGTTCAGATGTGTTGTCTCTGTATGATTTCTTTTACTGTCATCAATGGTGGTATCTATGATTCTCTCATGGCATCTATGATTTCTTCAGTGGCTTAGGCTTCGGTTGTCAGTGGAGGCTGTGATAAAGCTTTGCTGAGGATGGGGACATCAGGTTGGCTGGTATGTGGACACAAAGGCCTTTACGGTGGCAGCAGGCCAGGCAGGCCTATCTGCAGGCCTCTGGGTGGCCAATGTGATAGTGAGAGCGAGCTGGCCTTCATGATTCCAGACAGTGGGTGCTGGTGGGCAGGACCAACCAATCCTCAGGCACCCTAGATGATGTATGTGGACACCAATGGGCCTGTCCATAGGCTCCTAGACGTGTGTAAGTGGGCTGGGCCTATCCAGGCAGAAAATTCATAAATACCACAAGCATGATGTACAAAAGGACACAACTGATAAAATGGGCCTCATCAAAATGGCAACCTTTTGCTCTGCAAAAGATAGATAATGTTAAGAAAATTAAAGAAAAAGCTGCAGACTGAAAGAAAATACTTGCTCTGACAAAGGATTTGGAAAAAAGGTCTCTGAAAACAAAAGAAAACAAACAATAGAAATGACTAAAAGATCTAAATAGACATTTCATCAAAGAAAACATATAGATAGCAAATCACATAAAAGTCACTAATGAAGGCTGGGCACAGTAGCTCACACCTGTAATCCCAGCATTTTGGGAGGCCGAGGTGGGTGGATCATCTGAGGTCAGGAGTTCAAAACCAGCCTGGCCAACATGGCGAAACCCTGTCTCTACTAAAAATACAAAAAATCAGACGTGGTGGCAGGTGCCTGTAATCCTGACTACTCAGGGAGGCTGAGGCACGAGAATCTCTTGAACCCAGGAGGCAGAGGTTACAGTGAGCCGACATGGTGCCACTGCACTCCAGCCTGGGTGACATGACAGAGGGAGACTCCGTCTCAAAAAAAAAAAGTCACTAGTGAAGTGCAAGTTAAAACCATAAGATATCCATTATACCAGTTCTAGAGCTGGGGGACAAACAATAAACCTGACAATGTCAAGTTTTGGCAAGGATACAAAGCAACTGAACTCTCATACATTCCTGGTGGGAATATAAAATGGTACAGCCATTTTGGAAAACAATTGGACAGTTTATTTAAAAAGTTAAATATACAGTTAGTTACATTTCATGCAACCAGCCTACTCCTAGATATTTACTCATGTTAATGGAAAGTTCATATAAAAACCTTTATGTGTTGATAGTAACTTTATTTCTCTAAAACTGGAAATAACTGGGATGAAATTCAAAGTGAATAAACAAAGCACAGTATATCTATAAAATGGAATTATCTGGGATAAGTCCCAACTACTGATTCATGCAACAAAATCAATAAATCTTAAATGCATTTTGCTAGATGAAGGAACCAGATCTAAAAGGCTACAAATTATAATTTAAGATACCATTTATAAGAGATTATGGAATAGGCAGAACTATAAGGGTAGAAAACAGTTCATTGGTTTTCAGGGCGTGGGGGAAGCTGACTTCAAAGGGATATAAGAGAATACTTAGTATTATATAACTGTTAGTTAACTAGTATAATTGTTCCATATGGCATTGTGGTGACAGATACATGACACTGCATCTATCAAAACCCATAAAACTATACAGCACAAAGAGTGAACTTATGTATATGCAAATTTAAGGATAAAAACTTAGGGATGTCAGAAAATCCCAGACTGAAGATTGTGACAAATCTAACTGTACTACAATCATATGATATAACCTCATTGAAAGGGGTGGAGAAAGGAGCAGAGTGAAGTAACTTTAGAAAACAGCACTTTTGCTAAATACTATTAGGCCAAAAACAAAAAGAAGTGTATATAAATACTGCACTGTAACTGGTAATCCTGTTTCTCACAATGGTACATATTATCAATTCTTACAAGTTTTCTGTATGTATAGTAGATTTAAACAAACATATAAGCCAAGTTTCTGTCGGAGAAAGAAGTTACAAACAGGCAAAGAGAAGTCTAAAATGAGCCACGTGGTTAAAGCTTAGAGTCAGATATGTTAGTGTGTATTCCTATTTAAGTATATAGTTGTCCCTCAGTATCTGTGGGGGATTGGTCCCAGGAACTCTCATGAGTATCAAAATCCACAGATGCTCAAGTCCCTTATATAAAATGGCATTATATTTGCATATAACCTATATGAATCCCCCTATATACTTAAAATCACCTCTAGATTACTTATAATATTTAATACAATGTAAATACTATGTAAATAGTTGTTATACTAGGTTACTTTTTTATTTGTATTATTTAAAAAATTGTTATATTGTTACTTTTTTTCTTGAATGTGGGCTATGGAAAACAGAGCCAACTATATATAAAGATACAGAAATAAGAATGTGTGCATATATGAAGGTGTATGTGTGTGTGTATGTATATATATATATTTTTTTTTGTTTGTTTGTTTGTTTTTTTGAGACAGAGTCTCACTCTGTCACTCAGGCTGGAGTAGTAGTGCCATCTCAGCTCACTGCAACTTCCACCTCCCAGGTTCGCACAATTCTTCTGCCTCAGCCGCCTGAGTAGCTGGGATTACAAGCGTGCACCACCACCCCGGCTAAATTTTCTCTTTTTAGTAGAGAGAGGGTTTCACCATATTGGCCACCATTTTCTAATAAAGGAACTAGAGATCATTGGAAAAACAGCTCATTCCAAGGCTAGGGAAGGGAAAACACAAGATGAGAACCTGGACAATCTTGTAGTCTCAGAAAGTAAAGATGTGCTTAAAAAGAAAAAAATGGGGCATGTCAAAAGGACACAGAAGACACTTATAAAAGATCCCAGTAGCCAAAGCTAGAACAATATGAACAACATAATAAATAACAATAGTATTGGATTATAACTCCCAAAGTATGTGTCTGTATTGATAAAATAAATAATGTGGAGAAGAAACAAATCTTGTTTATAGAATTCAGTTGTTAAATATATTAGAAGGGATGGAGATATACAAAATTCCCATTAGAATAGCAAATAGTAATAATTACTGTAGACAAGATTTACTGATGAATTCTAAAACTGGTGGGCAAAACTTTAAAGAGAAAAGAATATATCTGCATAGCCTCCAAGTACTTCTTCTAAAATACACCTAATTACTGTGGTGGTTTTAACATATGACCACAAATTTCTTTCATATTCTCCCTTTTAGGAGGTGGAATTTAATTCTCCTCCCCTTGAATATGGGCTGGACAAAGAGAAAAATGGTAGCTCAACAGTGGAGACACCTGGACAGCACTTTAACCAAGTGATCAAAGTTAATATCGCCAATTATGTATGTGCTCCCGGATGTGATGTTATGAGAAAGGCACACTATACCTCTGTGGAATTCCTCCCCAAAACCTATTATCTCAATCTATCCATAGAAAACACTGGACAAATGCAAACTGAGGGATATTCTAAAAGAAAACAGATCACTACTCTTCAAAAGTTACAAGGCCATCAAAGACAAGGAAACAAACTTTCACAGACTGAAGGAGACTATAATTAAATGCGATATGGTACCCAAACTGGATTATGTAAGTAAAAAAACTGGGGAAATAAAATGTATAATTCAGTTAATGGTATTATACCAATGTACTTTTATTTTTGATAAATGTACCCTGGTTATGTAATATACTAAGATTAGAGAAAGCTGGATGAAGGGTATCCGGAACTCTGTATTTTTAAAACTCCTTTGTAAGTTTAAAATTACTTAAAAATATATTAAAAATGTATATTTACCTTTGTACTGGTTTGAGTAAAAAAACTGACTTTAGAATGTTAACATTTTAGATGGTGAAATTAGAAGTAATTCAATTTTTAGGTAATGTTTCTTAATTTACTTATAATGAACATGTTTTACTTGTGTAATAATAAATTTAAAAAACCTGATAGTAATGTAAATACTCTTTGGTAACCTGCTTTTGTCCGAGAACATCTTCCCATCTTAATAAAAATACACCTTTATTTACTCTTAATGGCTAGTTGTATATAGTTGAATGGATATATTTTAATTCATATCAAATACATTTTAATTTTTTTAGAATTTTTCAAATTTTTTACCCTATCCATTTTCTAAGAATCTGCCTATTTATATCCCTCAACTCATTAGTCTTCTGACATTATTTGTTAAAATGTTTGCTACTTTATCTTTTACTTTCCTAAATAGGGGGTTTATAGTTTTATATGGTCAAATCCATTTAACCTTTTCCTTTGTTACTTCTGCCTTTAGGGAATCTGCTTTTAAAATCCCCCTACAATGTAAAGTTACATAAAGGCAAAGGTGATAGATTGTATTACTTTCACAATTTTTCACTCTCCACTTCCTGTAGGAAGAGTTCATTCCCACTCCACTGACTTTGGGCTTGTCCTTGCCTGTGCTGTGGCTAACAGATCACGAGTAGATGTAACGTTCACCAAAATCAAGCAAATGCTTTCAAAAGCATTGCCCTTTTCTCAAAGACGTGCTGCTCTATCTAGCCCAGGATCCTAGACCCAGATGGGCACATGAAGGAGAGCCACAGCAACTGACCTGCAGCTGCCAAAATGTAACAGAAGTGAGGAAGAAATTTTAAGACACTGAGATTCGTGGTTGTTACTGTAGCAACACAAATTAACAGAAGAGCTGTCTACACTTTCTTTTAGAATGTTTACCACTTACCTTCATCTTGAAATAAATGGCAATTTGGATAGTGATGAATTTTTTGGATTACAATCTTTTCCTATCAAACTTTAAGATAGGCTGTGTTTGATGTGCATAAGGGAAATTCATCCTAGTGAGCATGCTTAGGAGTGTGCTTCTCTTAACTTTTCCACTGAAATAGCCACACTAGAAGAGGAAACCAAATATGGAGACTCTGGGGGTGCAGCAAAACCACTGCTGGTATAAATTTCTTTTAAAACTCTTATTTTACCTTAAAAATAAGGTTTATTTCTCTCAAATATTTTAGCAAAATGAACATTCAAGGAAAGCACTCCACGTTCACCTCCTTAGGCTACACATCCCTAGCATACTGCCATGTGCTCTGGTTTGAGAGGCACAGCAGAAGATGGCTGCATACTGGAATCAGTGAAGTAGCATGTTTACAGGTTTTGGTGCCAGATATGGGTTCAAATTTCAGTTCTACTAATCTCATAAAGTGTGTGACCTTTGGCAAAATATTTGAATTTTCTGATATTTACCTTCTCCTCCTCTAAAGTGGGGATAAGCTTCTACCTCACTGTAGGTAGAATTAATAAAATAATATATACTGGAGCTTAATAAATAGCACTCGGCAGAAAGGTCAAAGCCAGAATATACAGAATTAAGAAGTATCAGCATATAAAGTAATGCCTGAAATACATGGGTATGGATGAAGGTTCAAAGGAAAAATTTGAAAAGTAGCCAGAAAACCAGGTGAAGTAAGCCAAGGAAGAGTTTAGAGTAATGAGAAGTCGAAAGTGTCAAATACTCCATAGAGTTAAAATTAAATGAAAGAAAATACTAGATTTGCCAAGTGGGAGGGAATTTGTACCTTTTTATAGACATATGAGCGGTATGCTAGTCATAGAAGCCAGATTCCAGTGAATGGAGGCTGAAAAAGTAAAAGCAGCAGTAATCTGGTAACAAAGGGGAAAAGGAACTATGGCAGAATCAATGAGAAGTTTCCTTTTTAAAGAGTAGGGTAACTATATCTAAGCAAAGTAATGTTATGAAAGAGTCCATGGTAAGTCGGGTAGTTTCCCTGAAGATCTCAGGCAAGCAAAGCCTGGTAGGAACTGTAGTTATGTGTGCCCTGTTCCTAACTTGTTGGTGGCAGTGGTCATAAATCTGAAAGAAAAATAAATAGAACAAAAAGGAAATTTGGTCTGCCAGTCAACGGGGGTAAACATTTTGTTCCACACAGCCAAACTACATAGACATAAACAGAAGTCCTTCTGTTGTTTTTTATAATCAAAAGGATTTATTTTTTGATTCTGCTCCTATGTTTGCTTTGAACTCTTTTCTTTAGTAAGCAGTGTTGTCTTAAATATTACTACTCAGCCTGTGCTTGAGACTTCTTGATCAGACTTGCTTCTAATTTTAAGTTAAAGGTTTCCTTATAAACATTTTTAAAAACTGAAAATATTTTAATTTTTATTTACAGATTTTAATTTATATTTTAAAATATATTTGAATTATGAATGCAGCTTTTATGCTTCTCTTTAGTAAAACTTAAATACTCAAAATCACAGATGGATGGAGCACAAATAAAAGTCACTTGAGGGCTGGGCACCATGGCTCATACCTGTAATCCCAGCACTTTGGAAGTCCGAGGAGGGTGGATCACAAGGTCAAGAGTTCGAGACCAGCCTGGCCAAAATAGTGAAATCATGTCTCTACTAATACAAAAATTAGCCAGGCGTGGTGGTGGGCACCTGTAATCCCAGCTACTCGGGAGGTTGAGGCAGGAGAATTGCTTGAACCCAGGAGGTGGAGGCTGCAGTGAGCTGAGATTGCACCATTGCACTCCTGCCTGGGTGACAGAGCAAGACTTCATCTCGGGAGAAAAAAAAAAAGTCACTTGGCTTGTTTCCAACTCTTTTTCTAATATCCCAGAAAAATCTCTGCCATTTCTCAGAGTTTAGATATAATTTACTAACATTGTGACAGCTAAGAATATTTTAGGAACAAAAAAGCTGATCTGAGCTGTGAAATTGCACACACACACACAAACCCATTTCAACAGAGCACTACAGTTACAAAGTGCTTTCAAAGGATTCTCTTACTTGACTCTTACAACAATACTTTGGGTGTGTGCTGGAATCCCATTTTACAAAACTGAGGTACAGAAGGTTAATACCTTCTCCCAAAATGGAGGGATAGGGCTAGGACTTGGAAGCCCTGCTTCTTTCACTTTATCAGTGTTTGAAGTATCCTGGGATGAACAGTGAGATACTTTCACTAATTTCAAACTTTTTAAACCTTTACATAACCTTATTTTCATTTTCTTTTGTTTGTCTCGGTCACTTCTATATGAAAGTTCTAAACCAATATTTAGTAACTTATTTTTATTGTTTTTGACGGCAAAATCATTTACAGCAATAAAGTTACTTTCTGAGAATTGCTTTACCAACATTTCACAGATTTTGAATGTAGTATTTTTTTGAAGACTATATTTTAAGATTTTTGTCCGTAACATGGTATTCTTAGAATTAACATATTTTTGAAGAATCTTTAGGTGTTAAAATGTTATTATTTTGAGTAAAGATATTATTCATTAAAACATGAACTGGCCACCATACATTTACTTTATATCAAGTAAATTTAATATAGATAAAATTTAACACACAGTTAATATACATATATGAAACTCTTGATCTTCTTGAACAATACTATACATGAAAAGAAACCATTTTTAAATAACCTGGCTAACTGGTTGGAGTGCAGACATAGGGAAGTTGTGCATTAAATCTCCTGTGGGGAAACTGCATGAAAGAAAACTACTCCACGATCAAAGATTGACCCATAATCATACAGCTATCTTATAAGTGCAGCTTATTAAATAAAGAAAATTTAGCAAGATCCATTAATTCTGCTGGAAAAAAAAAATTCAATGCAAAGATCCTATTACCAGTAGATGTAAAGATACACATCCAGCAGAATGTGAAGACACACTTAACACATAACAATCTAAGTAAATGCAGTATTTGTACCTGTTCTTCATTAGACGGACCTCTCTCTTTCGTGCTGCTTCTTCAGCAGGCTGTGTAGGAAGTGCTGGGGAGGATGCCATAACAACTCCAGGGGCAATAGTGCTAGTGGGTGCTGTGCGAATCTGGTATGTTTGTACGTCTCCAGAGGCAGCTGAAAAAAACAGTGAGCATGGTGTAAGACAGAAACATTGCAACTTGATTCAATTATGTGTATCAATCATCAATCTAAGCATGTATTTTGGACTAAAAGGGAAACAAAAAAGAAAAGATGATTCTGGCTAAAGCGTTGAAAGAATCAGCACTCTTCGCGCCACTACTAAGAAATAATTCCCAATGTAATGTATTTATTACAGTAACCTATGTCCGCTGGATCTTACATTTTATTTTTCATTTGAATGCAGTTCTATTCTGTTGTTAACATGCTTACCAACCTTAAGTCTAAAAGGTAAGTGGGGCACAGCTTGGATGATCTTCCTAGATAGAGTATAGTCCTCAGTGTCTTCCTTTGATATTGGTAAATTCATATTAAAAAATTTCAAGTAGACTCTTGCCACGACATAAAAACGACCATGATTTTTCATAAAATAGCAAAATGAAAAAGAAGATAAAGCATTATGGTCAACTATTATAAATTTTGAATTAAAACAAAACTAAAAGTATGAAAAAGTGTATCACTTGATGCCAATTATATTATTTGAAAAACATATTGTTTTAATGTAAATGATAATGGCTAAATAAACTGAAGTTTTATTTTTCTAACTGATTCACCATTTGTAAAAACAAACACAATCACTATTTGTCAAACTGCTTCTAAAAACAGCGTAATAATATGCTCTCCTAATAAGGAACCTAATGTTACTTAAAAAAATTTGAAGGTCTTTATAAAATTATTCATATTAATTATTAATATCAATTAAAATGTATGGTTTGAGTGGAAAAGATTTATATACTAAACATGTTACCATCTTCAAACTGACGTTCAGAATTCAAATTCACTGACATCCTGCTTTACAATTTTTGAGTACCTGCATGTAAAGTGAAAAGGTGTTTTACTCTCATCAATAAGCAAAATAGTATCTTTTTCAAATACTCGTTTAATAACAGAATATATTCTGTAAACATTAGGGCTCTTTAAATAAGTTATGACTCTCTCCAGTTGGTGTTTCAGGATTATTCAATTATCCATGGTGAAAGGATACAACTGTCATTACCTAACACAGGCAAAATGCATTATTATTTATAAAAATATTTTCAGAAACAAATTTATTATTATTTCCTCAATCAGCAAATTTCTAACCTGGCATTAACTATATTCTTGAAATATTCAAACAAATCCAAAGAAAAATGGTTAACTGCTATCCATAAAGATTCCTGAAATAAACAGAAAAAAAAAACTAAAAAAAAAAAAAAAAAAGCCAAAAAAAGCAACTTCTATAATTTGTCGAGAATTTAACAACTACTTTTTCTCTAAAGAGCAGCAGATTTGCATATTGGTATAAGATCCTGTGGAATATAATGTTTTCATTTGAAACAAAAACTGAGTCAAGTGCAGAGGCATCCCAACACTTTGGGAGCCTGAGAAAGGAGGATTGCTTGAGGCCCGGAGTTCAAGACTAGCCTGGGCAACACAGTGAGACCATGTCTCTAGAAAAAAATAATAATAATAATAATAAAAACTGATGATCTCAGAAGATTTAAATTTCTTTTGGGGGGGGGGGGGGAAGCAGAGAAACAGAATCCTGAACTTCTGAAGATTGTTTCCAGAGATTCAGTGCAACTCTTATTTTACAGATGAAAAAACAAAAACAACAACAACAAAAAACAAAACACTTTCCTGAGGCTCAGAGCAGCTGACTTTTACTCAAGGCCTCATAGCAGATCCATGCAGTTAGATACAGAATCCATCTTTTCTAACTCCTGATTTCCTGGTCTTTCCTTCTAACCTATCCTGTTTCTTCTACCCCAAAAGATGTTAAAGGTAGATGCAATATTTTAAAAACTGAAAATAGTTGTTTTTATGCCATGACATTTTGGTCCAATTGGAATAATGGAAGAGTTCATGAAAAATACTATCAATATTGAAGAAATGTTAACTACATTTGAATGGTGGTTTGCAATATGATACTTACTTTTTCTGTGAGTTTATAAAATTTTAGTATTTTGAAGAATTTACCACACCTGTGAATTCTGAATTCCCTTACCTTGAACAACAACTTGGTTGCTGGGCACTAAGATCTGCTGTCCATCAGTGGTCTGTGCATACTGTAGAATGGTAGTACCCGGCTGAGTGGCTGCTGCATTGGTCATGGTTAATGTTTGCAGGCCCTGTACCCCATCGGTACCATTGTTAGCCAGCTGTATTGCTCCTCCCTGGGTAATGGCAACTAAAAGCCAATGGATTTTATTGTTACAAGTTTAATACCATATAAGACTTTTAAAACATTACATCCAATGTAGAATAATTTGTAAAATAATCTAGGAGAAGTTACAGCAAATAACATCACCAAGAAGGGTCTAATATATTCAAGTAACTTGCTCCTCAGGAAACCCATATTCAACTTCTACAATAGAAATGCACTCTATGAACTGCATTCTAATTTATAATAATAATGCCTGTTAACAATTTTTTTAAGTGGAAAAATGTTAAATTCCTTCTGAAGTTATTTGGTTCTGAAGAGGTTCCACTCTGTGATCCTTTCTTTTATTTTAGCATTAACTGCATAATGTATTAATACTTGTCCCACTAGTAAATAAATTTCTGGAGAGTAGGAATTTTCTTATATACTTTCATACACTTAGCACAGTGGCAGCCATGAAATAGGCACCCAATAAATGGTTGTTTTAACATATAACTAATAAAGCAGTTCATCAGTGCATTGTATTCCCTAACTCTTGTAGAAATTCTTTAATGGTATCTAATCCACTCAATGAAACAACTGAAATATCCTATGGAACTTAATTATCAACAGTCTCTCATGGAATTTTAAAATCAGAGCTCAAGATCATCATTTAGAAAAAAAACTTTAACTGTCATTTCTAAATTATTTAATACATATCCAAGCATTCTCATATAGAACCCTTTGTTGTTTATGCCCTAATTAGCCACACCTGTCATTCATTTGTTAAACAATAAATCAGTCAACTTTTGCTCATACTAGTAGATATTTCACTTTATGAAAAACTAAATCACCTTTATGCTACAGTACATAGAAAAATTTAATTTAAAAATTAGATGATTTATTTGGAAGAAGCATTTTTAGATAGGTGGCAATATCCTCTCTAGACAATTCTCCCTGTAGGGGTCAAGCTTTTCAGAAAGAGAAGGACCAAAAATCACAATATCACATATAAAACTACAAAACTGATTTTAACTGAGTAAGAAAAAAGTAAACAATGCAGGAAAGTCAACATGTCTGATTAAGCATGTTACTGTCCATTAGAAGGGAATTAGTTTGGGATCAGTTATCCACCAGCTATGGGAAATAACATCCTGAGACATCTGTACATGGAAAATTGATTACTGCCTCATCAAGAAGTAAGAAGAGTTAATGGCTACAGTGTGATTAGTTTAGCAAAATGACACTTGTGAAAATTAAAATGCTGGCATATACACTGGATCTAGTTTAGCTAATCCCAGAAGTTTTACTTATCTTAGGCAGGGAGAAAAATGAGTAAGAACTATTCTAAGATTAATTTTGCATGATTACTTGAAAGAATCAGAAGGTTAACAGAAACAAATCACAATTTCTCATTTAGAGTTAATGAGTGAATCCTACTGTATTTAACATACCACTTTCTTCTTGGCTACAGAGCAGTGAATTCAAGGTGGGAAGAAGAAAGAAATAGTAAACCATATATGACAAGACTGGGTTGTAGTTTGAGTTCCATCACTGAACAGTTTTTTGTTTTAATTTTTTTCTTTTGAGACAGGGTCTTGTTCTGTCTTCCAGGCTGGAGTGCAGTGGCAAGATCACAGCTCACTGTAGCCTCCAACTGGTGGGCTCAAGTGATCCTCCTGCCTCAGCCTCCCAAGTAGCTAGCACAGGACATCAGGCCCTACTAATTTTCTAAAGACATTTTTTTGTAGAGACAGGGTTTTGCTATGTTGCCCAGGCTGATCTTGAACTCCTGGCCTCAAGCAGTCCTCCCACTTTGGCCTCCCCAAGTGTTGGGATCACAGACGTGAGCCACTGTGCCCAGCCATCACTAAACTGTTATTTGATTCTGTTCTCTCTTCTCTAAAAACAAAAGCATCTGGGTTCTAGCCACTAAGTACAATTGTTGTAAATATCAAATGAGGTCATGTATATGAAAATACTTTGGAAACTGAAGTCTAATCCTACTGAACACAGTTTTTCTCTATAATGTTTATGTATACACTTTATTATTCCAAAAAGATTTGAGATAGCTTTCAATAAAACACAATTCATTAAAACAAAAATAAAAAGACAGAAGTCAAGTAACGGATGTATCCTTAGTTATATAAAACAATTGTAGAAGAAAATCTAGACTAAGAAAAGAATACAATTAAACAGAAAGTTAGCTAAGAATCTGAGTTGCCAGAATAAAGAGGGAAACATCATGAGTCATAGTTTTATTTACTGAAACAAAAAAATTCAAGTTCAAAATGACAGATACACATTTTCTATCTAAGAGCAGAATCACTAATAAGATTTTACTATCTGGGACACTGAACTAATAAGTAACAGATAAATCTAGTAACAGCATGAATTTAATAAAATAACCAATTTAAGGAAGGAGTGGAAATTCATGCCTCCACCTGGAAGGGTACTTGCGGAGGATATGCTTTAATTTGATAATTCCACTCTTTTTTTTTTTTTTGAGATGGAGTCTCGCTGTTGCCCAGGCTGGAATGCAGTGGCGCTATCTCGGCTCACTGCAGGCTCCGCCCTCTGGGTTCACACCATTCTCCTGCCTCAGCCTCCCGAGTAGCTGGGACTACAGGTGCCCGCCACCTCGCTCGGCTAATTTTTTGTATTTTTAGTAGAGACGGGTTTTCACCGTGTTAGCCAGGATGGTCGATAATTCCACTCTTAGGATATTTATGTAGCACTGTTTGAAACAATAGAAATGTCCTAAATGTTCATCAGCAGGAGAATGTTTAAATAAGTGCTGTATTTACACAGTGAAACACAATGCAGCTATTAAACAAAATATATAACTATGTGTGTTTATATATCTATGGTGAATTCTGACAACCATATGTTCATTTTATAAGTTAAGAAATATAAATGTTGCTGTATATGTATTTATTATATTGCTCTTAATGAAAATCAAGAATATAATGTTAAATCAGTTCCATCAAAGCCAAAGCCATGTGTACATATACAGAGAGGACACAGGATAAAAATAATGAACAAAGCTTTAAAAATTTCAAAGTATTAATCTCTCTTTTTTTTTTTTTTTTTTGAGACGGAATCTTGCTCTGCCACCCAGGCTGGAGTGCAGTGGTGTGATCTCAGCTCACTGCCAGCTCCGCCTCCTGGGTTCAAGCAATTCTCCTGTCTCAGCCTCCCGAGTAGCTGGGATTACAGGCGTCCGCCACTATGCCCGGCTAATTTTTGTATTTTTAGTGGAGGCAGGGTTTCACCATGTTGGGCAGGCTGGTCTTGAACTCCTGACCTCATGATCCACCACCTTGGCCTCCCAGCGTGCTGGGATTACAGGCGAGAGCCACGGCGCCTGGCTCAATCTCTTAAAACTAGCAATTTTCAGCTGCTGGAGGAGACGAGTGTACCAAATTAAACATCTATGGGGGTGCTGGTACTTTTCTAACCTTCATTTCCCCTTTTTAGATTCTGATAGGCCTCTTTCCTAAAGAGCATGCTTCCTAGTTCAAGTGAGAATCTCTGTAACAGTGAATCTGTTACTGACAGGAGTATGTTGTATCCCTCAGGTATGCTGAAGTAGAAGAAAAATAAACATCATGTATCAATGTCTTCGAACACATATCTTGAATAACTAAAAGCATCTGGTATGAGGCTTCAACTGATAATACACATACACGTACAGAATTGTAGGTAAAGAGTTGTACTTTATATCTGCCACAAAGATCTTAAGAAGAAAAAAGATGACTAAGCTAATTGAGCACAGTGGATAAAAACCTTAGTCAAAAATGCCTTCCTTCTACTTAGTCTCAAAAGTTTCAGCCTTGGCAGAGTTAAAAAGTTTGCTACTTGAGAACTTGTCTTTAATACAGATGGGAATGCAAATTAGAGTTACGCAAAACAAAGTTGAACTGGAACTAAAAAATAACATGGGGGTCAAACTTTCATGCATATTTCTTAATTTTTAAATTATTTTTATAAATAGGGATGGGGTCTTAAACTCCTGGATGGCTCAAGTGATCCTTCCACTTTGGCTTCCCAAAGTGCTGGGAATACAGGCATGAGCCACTGTGCCTGGCCTCAAACTTTTATGCATATTTCTGATACAGATTCCCTCAGGGATTAGGAAACTATCTCAGTAAAGAAGTTTCAATGTGTACATTTAATTTGAAACTAAGGTGGGTGGGGAAAAGGGTATAAATGGGCAGCACCAGGTTTAATAAACAAATACAAATGAAAAAAATCACTGAATGAATAAAGCACTTTGAGAGGCAAAAAAAAAAAAGGGAAAAAGAGAAAAAAGTACCATTCACACAAATGCTTTTGATCAAACAAAATAAAATTCAAAAGTGTCTTATAACAGATTTTGGTGAAAGATAAGAAGACAGACCTAAGTGCCAGACAGAGACATCATAGAAATGAAAACTTTTAAATAATTTTGTAAGAGCAATTTTTGCTTTATGTGGGCCAAAAAGTATATTACTATCTTTCATATGAAAAGGAATAATTGAATGTGCTGACTCAACCAAGCCATGCTTATCCCCACTTGAAACATTATTAAATACGAAGACATTAAAATGCTACTTTCAGAAGGCAAGACAAACTATTAAAATGAATACCGAGATATATTCAAGGAATGATTTTTTTTAATCTAAAAAACTTATGTTCTCTCAACACATGAGGCCTCAAACCTAGGGTCTCAATTAGTGGTTCAAAAACTTCAGACTTTCCATGCATCTGCACAAAAACAAAAGGACATCTAAAAGGTTTATACACTTGACTAATCCTAACTAAAACTCTCTGAAGAAAAGAAAATACTACCATTACAGACCTTTGCATAGTGAAGAGTAAAGGAAATATAATAATGGCAGCAAAACTGAGAAGACTTGGCACTTGTATTGGTTTCTCTGAAGAGAATGCAACTATTAGCTTTTTCTCCTCACTTTTTTCTCCTCACAATAGAAACAGAAATTGTCTATTACTCACTATACTGTCCACTGCTAGTTTGGTAAATTGGAGTTGGCACCGTTACAGTGGTGATGGCAGGTGCTGAAGTCTCCTCTTCAGACTTCTCTTCTTCAATCCTTGGCACTCCTGGTGCATCAGAAGATAAGTCATTCAAAATTTTCCTACAAAATTAGAAAACTAGAATAATTAAAAATATAAGTACAATTTACTGGCTAAATACAAATATAGTTAAAGATGAGAAAACTCACAGAAAGCTGCTAGTGCTTAGGACAGAAGGTTTTTTTTTTTTTTTTTTTTTTGAGATGGAGTCTTGCTCTGTCGCCAGGCTGGAGTGCAGTGGCGCGATCTTGGTTCACTGCAACCTCCGCCTCCCGGGTTCAAGCAATTCTGCAACAGCCTCCAGAGTAGGTGGGACTACGGGCGCCTGCCACCACGCCTGGCTAATTTTTTTGGTATTTTTAGTAGATGGGGTTTCACCATGTTGGCCAGGATGGTCTCGAACTCCTGACCTCATGTGATCCACCCGCCTTGGCCTCCCGAAGTGCTGGGATTACAGGTGTGAGCCACTGCACCCAGCCAGCAGAAGTTTAAAATATATAAATTACATGAATAAACTCTTCATGGGTCAGGGATTGATCTAGATGTCAAAAGGAACCCAAATATGTACAAAAACAAAAAAAAAGATGTATTATCTTTAACCTCAATGTAAGGAAGGGTGCAATTAAGGGTAATAATAAGACTGACTACATTAAAAAAAATCTTTTGCATCTCAAAGAACACATACACAAAGTCGGAAAGTAAAAAGTCAACAATCAACTAAAGGGAAAAAAGATCAAAACCTGATTTTTAAATTCTCACTTCTCAGATTGGGAAACAAAAAAGTGTTAACAAAATCTGTTAGCAAAGCTACAAAAAAAACAAAAACAAAAACAAAAAACACCACACTCTCATACATTGCTGCTGGGAGTATAAAACTGGCACAATCCCGATATAAGGAATTGTTGATATTTAAGGAAATATGGGTGTTCGTGCCTCAATCCCATTTCCAGGAATTCACCCCAATTCCAACAATATTAAAATAAACTCGCTTAAGATTATTCCCATTGGCACTGTTTGTAACTGCAAAATACTGGAGCCATATATCCAAGGTCTAAAATAGAAAAACAAATAAAAAGGAAAAAAAATACTGGAAACAATCTATATGCCCATATAAAGGCAAGTGGTTGAATCAACTATGGTACATCCAAATAATGGATACAGCATATCTTTTGTGTAAGGAAAAAAGGGAAATATGAAAACAGACATGTATCTGCTCATTTGTTCAAGGAAAAAAATCAGGATGGATAAACGAGAGAGTAATGGTTTTAGCTATTTACTGGGGATGGGTAGGAAAGAAATGAAAACGACAGAAGGAATGGGGAGGCACTACTGAGTATACTTTTTTTGTGCAATTCTGACTTTTGGTACAGTGTTAAATGTTTCACTTACTAGAAAAAAAAATAAAGATCAACAAGGATGGGTGGAGAAACTCTAAAATGGAACCCAAAAACAAAGGAACCATACCATATTTCAAATGAATAACATAATCACACTGAAAGGTGGGAAAAAACCCCTAAAAACCCTAACCCAAGTAATTTTTGATATCTTAAATTTGTAACAAACTAGTTATAAACTCTGTCCCTTTATGCTATTGTCAAAAATGACATCTTCATATATCATGTGCTTAGTCACATAAATTTATAGTTATTGTTCTATGCCTTTGTCTTTCCAATCACATAGGAAAAAAAGGAGTTACAAACCAAAACTATAATAATCCTGGCTTTTATATTTACCTGTGTAATTACTTTACTAGTAGTATTTGGTTGGATTTGCTTCAGGATCAAATGTGTTATATACTAACAGGAGATATACTTCAAAGTTAAAATCTAACACTAGCTATACTTAAAATAAATTATGAATATAAATACATATAACATAAACTGGTAATATAAAATTTCTTAGACCTCAAAATCTATTTATTGCTAGTCACTTAGGATTCTTAATTTAATTGTAAGGACAGAGAAAAGGGTTAGTTTAATAGCCAAGCGGGGGGAAAAAACCATCCCTTTGAAAAATAGGAATATATAAAAAATAATTTACACTAACAAGGAAGATAATTATGAGTCTGAAGTTTCTTCAATGCTGAAGTAAACTTATCAAGATTTATGGAACTGCCCTTCCTGAAGATATTTAATGTGGAGCTAATTTTTACATTAAAAAATGGTTTTGGTTCACCTTGGAGGCAAGGCATGGACTAGGCAACATCTATAACTGAACACAAAAATTACAGTAAGCTACTGCTAAAATTAGGGGATGTTAGTAAAGCATCTCCCTGAGACAATTATTAAATTAATAGCTATCTGTTAAGTACCATGGCATAAAAAATGGTTTGCAATGTGTTACTAAGTAGATAAATAACAGAGCCTCAGAGTTGGCTTATAACTAAAAAATGCTATAACCTTATCAACTGTATTCCAAACTTTTAACAGAAAGACAGCCAGCACAGTCTACAGAAACAGAAACAGAAAAAAAAAAAATTAGGACTGGTGAGAGTAACAAGTGCTCTTCTTATTCTGTAGGATAAGCTTCCACTTTATTTGAGACAAATAACTCAAGATGAAGAAAAGTAATCTATAAGGAACTGACGTGAACAACTAACTGGTCTTCTGACATCTCTTTATCTGCAACTACCTAAGACTTCCTCCACATCTTTGATTCTAACTATTAAATTCCATACCTGTAGGAAGGCCTCCTTGAAAGAATTTCCCTTCGCTTTTGGGAATCAGTTACACTATCCACTGACTCCTGTGAATCTTCACTTTCTGCAATAGTTGAAATCTGAAATTAAAGAAAAACTTCATATTGATAATCAAATTTAGTTCCTGTAAAATTTTTATTAAACAAATATAAAAAGTCATATATAAACTTTATACATGCTTCAGTAGAAAAAAATCAGTTCTTATGGGAGACAACCACACCAATCACTTTCCCCTTCCCTTTACTTACCCTATAAACTACGATGAAGTTAGAGAACCTAAAATAGCTGCAGTTTAATTTTTTTTTCAGGACTCCATGTAATCAATCCTGAATGCATCAGTATTACTTATCAGTTTTTTCTTACATCTGTTGGAACAAAACTACCAACTAAAATAAGGTTTCTGATATAAAGGATAAAATGGATGGCTAAATATTTGGTCCTAAGTCTATATAGTGACTATACAAATATTATTATTTAACTGTATAAACACTTATGAATATATTTACAGTTGTACAGTAAGACTGGCGATCCATCATGACATCCCTGACAGTTGTTCCTAGCAAGTTAGGAAAAACTCCTAACATGTTTCAAAGTTAGCATTCTATAATCACTTTTAAGTAAAAATTCAAGGTAAAGAACTATGCTTTTCTGATAAGAATACCTAGACTGAAAAGTAATGAAGATAAGTGAATAAAAAATTTACATGGGATATTAATGATAGAAACTAGAATTTACAGATGCCTATGTGCCAGGTGTTATGCTAATGCATTTACATATACTACATTACTTAATACTCACAGTAATGTAGGCGCCAGATGGGTACTATACTATTATATCCATTCCATAGATGGAAGAACTAAGGCACAAAGAAGTAACTCACCCGAGTCACAAAGCTAGGAAGTAGTGGAGCCACTGTCATTAACCTCCATTTTAGACATCCTTACCAGCATCAAAATCCTGGTGGTTCCAGTCTCAAACCAGACTGTTATAGTCTCAAACCAGGTTTGTCAGAAGCAGCAACCAGTGGCATTTTCACACCTTTTCTAGACTAGAAGAGTTCACTTACCTAAGTATGCTTGATTGTCAAATTTACACTGCCCAAGTTTCTCTAATCAGCAGAAACGTTATGCTCTTTCCTGAACTAGGGGCACATTATGCGGTCAGAGTAAGAATTATACTTAACCAAGACAAAAGGGTCTATGTAGGTCAGCTCCACGTCAAAACGTATGGCAATGGCAGTAAGAAAACATATTCAGAAGTACTTGAGAAATTCCAAGCGTACTCTATGTGTGGTCTGAGCCTAACAGTTCTCCCAAGTGGGCATTCATTTTACAGGGCTTTGTGATATGCATGCTCATTTAAAATGAAACCAGGTAAAGTTAGTAACTTGTAGTAAAATATATTTATAATGAAGTAATTTGCCCCATCCAAACACTTTAAAGTCTAAGTACAATCTGAAAGACCTAAAAATCAATAGGCAACATATAATGAATTCACAAATGACAGATAAAAAGATGAGTAATGCTGAATTTAGTCTGTGATTCTCAGCAGAATAATAATGCTGTAATTACTGCCAAAGAAGCACACAGAAAAGTTTCACGTTAATCAGTAGCTGCTGTAACTAGCCCACACACAAGAGTCTCTGCACAAACTTTCTCACATACAGAAGATCAGGAGCTATGAAAAGGCCTGAGGAAAGGATCAGAAATTCAAGGAATAACAAGACTGAACTCAAAGTTGATAGTACTGTGACAAGTGTTGTTTCCCTTCATTAATACGCCACTCAGAATTCACTTAGCTCCTCTGTGGCTCTTTCTGTGTCCACTGCTTGACTCTCATATGCCCCATCCTTACATGCTTCTCTTAAGGACATATAGTGATTAGGGAACACCCCCCTTCCAAGTTGGAACTCACTAAAACAACAACATTAAAACATGCCATATAAACTACCCACAGGATAGTTTTGAAATGAAACAAATTAATGTTGTTTTTTAATCTGTGTCCTTTTTTTTTCTAACTCTGGATCTATGGCCCTTAATGAAAAAAAAAAAAAAGGTTGCCTTTCTCTGACCTGTAAGATTTTGTCAATTCACACAGAAGGAATTAACTTATCACTATTTAGTGCTTGCAACTTTGTAAATGTAAAGAGAATTCAGACCACTGAAATAAACACAACACTTCCTCTTTGGGAATACCATCTGAAGAGAAGTAAGCCATGAAGCTAATTCCTATGGAGTCCCTGATCTATCACTTAATCAATAATAAAAATACTGCCACAGAATATACCAAGCCAAGAATGAAGTTTAATGTAAACTATGGACTCTGGGTAATTATGATGTGTTAATGTAGGGTCATCAAATTATAACATAAATGTACCGTTCTGGGGGAGGATGTTAAGAACAGGGGAAGCTATCCATGGAGTTGGGGAGGGAGTATACAGGTAATCTCTGTAGCTTCCTCTCAATTTTGCTGTGAACCTAAAACTGATGTTAAAAAAAAAAAAACATACTGGACCCACATAACTGAGATCAATAAAAATCATGTCAAAAATCTATTTTTATAAATAACAGAATAAAAACATCATATGAAAAATTATATCCCAATTATAAACATCACGTATCATCATCACATTCCAATGATGGAACCCCTTCCTTTTATTCTCATCTCCTATCACTTATTAACTTCTTTCTGAATTCCTTAAATAGGTCTTTAATTTTGGCCACTTGTAAGTCAAGAAATTTTCAAAAAGCTAAACTACCACTTGTAGATATAAAGTTTTAGGTCTGTATTTCTCAACTTTGGTTTATTTAAAACCCATACTACCTGTTTATATTGGAAAGGTGGAGGACCCCGTTTCGATTATTTGAAATTTTAAAATAAACTATAAAGTAACTAGAACCAATCAAAACAATGGTAATATTCGATGTTTCCTAAACCTATATATGGTCCTTTGGAAACTTAAGTACTATCCCTCGGTAGAGTTGAGACTCATGGTTTGGATATATATTTTTTTTTTAAGATTTTTTTTTTTTAAGAGACAGGATCTCACTCACTCACCGAGGCTGGAGTGCAGTGGTGCGATCACAGCCCACTGCAGCCTCAAACTCATGGGCTCAAGGGATCCTCCAGACTCAACCTCCTGAGTTAGCTGGGATTGCAGGCATGCACTACCACTCCCAGCTAATTTTTAATTTTTTTGTAGAGACAGGGTCTTGCTATGTTGCCCAGGCTGGTCTTGAACTCCTGGCTTTAAGCAATCCTCCTGCCTGGGCTGGGATTATAGGCCACTGCACCTGGCCTTAGATACAGTGTTTTACTCATTGGATCAAGAAGCTTACTGAAAGTCTAGATCAATGATCTTCCAACTCTTTTGATCTGCATGTATCTCTTATAAATAAGAAAAATTTTACACAGGCATACATTTTTCTTATTTCTAAATTTTAAGTATTCGTATTATAAAACAAGAGTTCTTAAAGAGATATGATAAGCATAAATATTAAAAATTTATATATTTCTTAAAGATAAATAATATTATTTTTCAGGATAGTGAGAATGACATAATATGCTTCATTAAAAATCATTTAACACTTTTATTTTTTGAGACAGAGTCTCACTCTGTCACTCAGGCTGGAGTACAGCAGCATGATTTTGGTTCACCGCAACCTCCGTCTCCAGGGTTCAAGTGATTCTCGTGCCTTAGCCTCCCGAGTAGCTGGGACTATAGGTGCCTACCACCACGCCTGGCTAATTTTTGCATTTTTAGTAGAGATGGCGTTTTGCCATGTTGGCCAGGCTGATCTCGAACTCCTGAGCTCAAGTGATCCGCCCGCCTCAGCCTCCCAAAGTGCTGGGATTACAGGAATGAGCCACGGAGTCTGACCTCATTTAACACTTTATAACAGTCATTTAGAAGTCAGATTCTAAGCTTGGGTTTTCTGAAATGTGATTTAACAACTGCTGGCATTGAAAAAGAAAACTTCATGTAGATAACAAAACTAGGTGCATTTGAGGTATGCTTACTAAATAATCATTTTCATTTGCATCTACCAATTATGCAAGCTTTCAATGAGATTTATCTAGTTTATTATTTTCATCTCCCTGGCTCTAAGTCAGTTTATTCCATGTTAATAGGAAGGGGTTACAATTTTGTATTTTTAAGAAATAAGTTCAATACCTGCTGAAACTCCGGAAGACTCCTGAACAATTTACAAAGTTCTATTCCTAGGGTTTTAAAATACGTAGATTTGACATTTTAAAGGAGACAAACTTACGTTGTAAATTGCATCTCCAATCACTTCCCTCCTCACTTACTCTATTCCAGCCATACCTTTCTGTTATTCCTTGATATCCCAAGTATACCCTCACTTCCAAACCTTTCGATCTGCATGCCTTAGCCTCCTTCATTGCCTTCTGGTCTGTGCTGTGTTCCCTGAGCACATTACATAAAGTAGAACACCCTTCCCTCCACATCATTCTCCATCCCTTTCCCCTGGCTTTATTCATCTCTCTCGTTAATTCTCCTAACCTGACACAATTTATTTTTTCATAGTCTGTCTCTTTTCATTAAAATGTGATCTTCTTGAGAACAGAGAAGTATTATTTGCTCATTGCTGTCTTTTATAGCAAGCAGAACAGTGACATAGCATGTCACCAATAAACATTTGTTGTAGGAATGAATGATAATTTAAAGTAATAATCTATTCTCACAACAAGAGAACTGTACCTTGTATATTTTGGAAACTTTATTCTGGAATATTAATGAGGTCTCCCATCTAGAAGATCCTCTCCTTGTTTGATCATCTCTTTTGATAAAAACTATTTCCTAGTTGTTAACACTAATCACCATTAACTGGCTAAGATAACTATTAAAATAGATATTCTATAGTTTAGGCCTTTTAAAGAAAAAAATATTATATTTGTATCTCTATTTGTAGAATCCAGGGTTCAATAAGTCCAACTTTTCTTTTATAAATACACACTCTTAAATTAGAAGTACAGCTCACCTTAATGGACCTTAATGGACAAATGTGTTCCTTAAAGATGAATACAAGCAAATAAAAAAAAGAGAATATTTCTATACTTAATGGCCATAAAATCTTCATGTCCAAATTATGTTGCCCCAGAATAAAGATTAAAATCAAGAATACAATCAACAATAACACATATTACAATAAAAAACAGTAATCTTAGCAAATTTTGTGGCTGTAACTTAAGTAATTTTTGTGTTCTTTATAGAAAGATCTTCTATAAGTGAAAAAGAGAAAGGTAGATGTGCCCAAGGCCATTTGACTTATTAATGTCCAAACTGGGTCTGGAATCTAGGTCTCCTCACTAGCAAATCAAGTTTTCTCACTATTACTAAGAGGAGCATATGGTTAGGGAATTAGTAATGGCACAGTATGGACAATGGTAAGGTAGCACTCAATGGAATAAAAACTAAGGCAAAGGACTATTGCTCAGTCATTGTGATTTCATAGAAATATCAAGTTCTTAGATCTTTACATGCACAACACTATCTTTTACTTGTTAACAAATGCCATTCCCAGTGTCTTATGGAAATTGATCCAACTGATGATTTCACACAAAAACATTACTTCTCCTCCCCCACGCTCCCACTTAAGTGTCAAAGTGAACCAAAAGCACAAAGACAGAATGAAGTAGAGGTGGTTAATAGAAGTTCGATGACTCAATAGTATAAAATGGCTGACAAATTCTACTGAGGACATTAATAGAATGCTTCCAGGACAAAGACAGCACTTCTCCCCTCTACAAATATTAATCAGTTCTGGTTACTATATGTAAAGAAAACATAACAGCGCTCACCCAGAAGAAAACAACCAGGATGGTGAAGAGGAAACAGAGTTATACCATCTAATAAATGGCTAAAGAAAAATAGTTTGTTTAGTCTGGAAATTTTCTTAAAAATAGGAAGGGTGCGGGGGATGGGGAAGAGGAAGCAGTCCAATAGAACAGGAATTAGACTTGCTAATCTAGTTTCCGAGAATAGAACCTGTGTTTACCCGGGATCACTAGGTAAAAGTTTTAGGAAGATATATTTTGGATCATCACAGAGAAGAATATTTTAGCAATCACTCCTAATTGTAAACAGGTTACCTCAGGAGATTGAGCTTCCTTTCTCTGAAAGTGTTCAAGTAAATGCTGGACTACCATTAGGAAGAGGGGAGAAATGTTAAACAGA
The DNA here is from genome assembly GCF_000001405.40 of Homo sapiens. Taxonomy (NCBI): domain Eukaryota; kingdom Metazoa; phylum Chordata; class Mammalia; order Primates; family Hominidae; genus Homo; species Homo sapiens. The sequence goes on along the minus strand of NC_000002.12, from coordinate 207,561,343 downwards.
ATTAAGCAACAGACTAAGGGCTGGGGAGGTAACAAGTATGGCCTAGACCCAGAAGATCTCTGAGGTTTTTGTTCAAGTGTTGAAATTCCATGTTTATAGAGGAAAAGGACAAAGACATAAAGAATAATTTCTCACCTTCCTTTCTAATAATAGTTCTCTCCAAATCTAGGACCTAGGACTCACCTGTGTTCCGGAGAAAAGTCTTTTTAAGTCCTTACAGGAAGACTGTGAAGCAAAAAATATGAAATGGGAGGCTGGGGTTATGGCCTACTTGAATGAACGTTCAAGTCTTTTTTTTCAATAAGCTCAATTGCAATGATCTATACTGCTCTCGGTTCCCTACAGTTAAACAGAGTAGTCACCTTCAAAGGTCTACAGTGCCTTTATTACCTGTGGATCAAACCCAAAGGAAAGATCTCTCCAAAGAATTAGATAACATGCATAGTATAATTCCTGACCCTTAAGATGTAACCTCTGAATATATTATTTCAAAGTTACACACTGTAACTGAAAACCCTAAGCACAGCTGATTTTACAAATGCTTTATGTAATCTCTAAGGTCAAATAATATCTTAGGTAAGGTTATTAATTTTTGATCAAGGGTATATTTTTCTCCAATTGCAGATTTAGAAAATTAGTTACTATTTTTGCATCTCAATTTTCCTCGACTGAGGTACTTCAGTCCTACAGTTTCTCCCAAACACTTCCACTTTATCTCATGTACTTCATTATTTTCCCCAATCAATTCTTTTTCCTCTGCAGCTTAAGAAATTAGTCATTTTCTTTTATGTTTGTTCTTCTGTATATATGTTCCTATACATAAGGTGACTATACAGATGCAGCATATTCCTATACTGTGAATAAAATAAACTGAACTAGATGTGTCCTTATTTTCATAACTAGTGAAAGGAGAGAGATATGGCTATAAACAAAAGTTATTAAAATAGATGCAGAACTTTTTATACACATACCTGAACTGTTTGGACTTGTGGAGACTGAATAACTGATGGCTGGGCCGCCTGAATGACTCCATGGACTTGAACTGTCTGCCCATTGGGCAGCTGTACTAGAGTTACGGTGGGAGCAGATGATGTTGCATGAGCTGCTGGCATAGATACCTATGGTGTTGAACACAGAAAAGAATTATCATCCCAGACACTCTTTGGCAGTACTCATGTTCAATATGAAATAACTTTTTAGAAGCAAAAACGTGACCTTTTTGCTAGATATGTATTTCACTGATATGAAAGTAATGACTAAATTTAATATTCTTTAAGAAAAAACACTATAAAAAACACCAAAAACTATACCCCTATCCTTTTCAGCTCTTCCCAAGTGACAAAAAATTAAAAACTATTCCCATGTTATACCAAATATGTAATACAGACTCTCTGAACATGAGATATCACTTTATTTGTATGGCACTTTACATTTTCCCACCTGCTTTCATTTCCAATTTCTGATTTTGCTATTTGAAGAAACTGAAGACTGGGTGATAAGGATCTCCATTTTTAAAAACACAAATAACTGCTCAATGAGATTAAGTGTTCACCCAAGGTCAACAGATATACTATCCTTGAAGAAACATAAAATTCTAAAGAATATCATGTTAAATAAGTCACGTTCTAAAATCTAACTGCTCTCAAGCATAAGCAAACCTGACCTACTAAGTCTAGAACTAAGGCAGTTTTAATGAGTCAATACCCAGGTTAAAAGGGTCCTTAAATCATACATGTCTATCAGATGTTATTTATTGCTCCTATGCTTGAACACATTCAAGGATAGGAATTTTATTTGCTAAATCAGGAAACAGTTATTGGGGACCTATGTTCCAGGAATAATGTTAGAACTGAAACTACAAAAGTGAGAAAGATAGGGGTCTCTGACCTCAAATAAATTATTGGGGGTATGTATGCGAAGGAATGGGGAAAAGAGACACAATACAATTCAGTTTAGTAATGAGGTTTGCTAAAAGAAAAATGGACACACTGAGAATTACTCTACCCAACCTAAGAGAAGGGGAGGCTATCAGGGAAGAATGTGAATTTAAAACAAAAGAAAAAAGTTAGACTTGTTATTATTACTTACAGGGAAGAGTCACAGAATTTCAAGCACAGAGTGGAGTAGTGGCAAAAGCAAAGAGAAACAGCACACATGGCAGAGTGGGATAACCAGCAGCTCAGCACCAATGGTGCACATAAGTGTGTTACTGTATGATGTATGAAGTAGGGAGAGAGAAAACAACAGAGGCAGGTGGGGCTAGATGTGCTAGTCACAAAAAGCCTGTATTATGTCACCTCAGAGAAACTGCATTTTATCCTGAGGGTATTGCAGAAGCCACTGAAGGGCTTTTGAACTCCTGAATACCATGGTGATGTTTGCTTTTAGATAGATCACTTTAGGCCGGGCAATGTGGCTCACGCCTGTAATCCCAGCACTTTGGGAGGCCGAGGCGGGTGGATCATCTGAGGTCTAGAGTTCGAGACCAGCCTGGCCAACATGGTGAAACCCCATCTCTACTAAAAATACAAAAAATTAGCCAGGTATGGTGGCAGGTGCCTGTAATCCCAGCTACTTGGGAGGCTGAAGCAGAACTGCTTAAACCCAGGGGGCAGAGGTTGCAGTGAGCCGAGATCGCGCCATTGCACTCCAGCCTGGGCAATAAGAACAAAACTCCATCTCAAAAAAAAAAAAAAAAAATCACTTTAGTGGCAGTGTGAAAGATATATATTTCAGGGGGAAAACTGGTGGTGGGGAGACCAACGAAGAAAGCCCATGAAGTAGTTAAGGAAAGATGATGAAGGCCAAAAAGAGGGCAGTTAGTAGTAGTAGAGATGGGAACGAGGGAAGTGATTTTATGAAAATTTGGAAGCAGTCCAGAAAGGGCTTTATGAATAGTTAAAAGAGGTGAGAGAGGAACTGCAGATGACCCAATGTTTCATGTCTGAAAGAGAATTGGCAGACTGTCCTTAATTGAAAAAGAGAATGCAAGAAGTAAGGATAGGCTTTTGGGTGACTGGGGTTGTAATGGAAGATGATGAAACTACTCTGACATCTGAATTTGTAGAGATGTTTATTTTAGCAGGCAGCGAAATATGTGACTGTGAAGCCTGGGGGGAAGATCCCTATAAAGACAGTGTCTTTGGCATATAGGGTAAAACCAGAAGCTTCCATCTCTGGATAGTAATAAAGTCCTTACTTATTAATCACTTTCTCTCTGGCCACTATAAATCTTGCTTAGTTTTATTTGATTCTCAAAATGTGGTCCATGGAATAGCTTCATTAGAGTCACACAGGATACTCTGTAAAGTCAACTCTAACAGGAACCCAATCATACTTTCCCGTACACTGAAGTTTGAGAACCATAACCTTATTCAGAGTATCTCATCTCAATTCCATATAAATGCTCTTGTAATATTTGAAGCAATTACTATGTTCTCTTTCCTGAGTCTTCTCTAGGGAAAATATACCTAGCTAACTCAATGAATAATCCCTTTTCTACACTAATAATTTTATATAATGGCTCCTCTCATTATAAATTTATAAAATACAGATATAAAAAATAAAATAAAAACCCTTTATATTCCTATCACCCATAGCTAATCACTTTTAATATTTTTGTTGTACATCTTCTAGATGTTAAGGCACATGTACATTCAATTTTTATTTGTATTTATTTACTTTTTGAGATGGAGTCTCGCTCTGTCACCCAGGCTGGAGTGCAGTGGTGCGGTCTCGGGTTCATGACATTCTCCTGCCTCAGCCTCCCGAGTAGCTGGGACTACAGGAGCCCATAACCACACCCAGCTAATTTTTTTGTATTTTTAGTAGAGACGGGCTTCACTGTGTTAGCCAGGATGGTCTCAATCTCCTAACCTCGTGATCCGCCTGCCTCGGCCTCCCAAAGTGTGGGGATTATAGGTGTGAGCCATCACACCCGGCCCATACATTCAATTTTTATAACATGCTATCTTTACTCAGCCAACCTTTCTTTCTCATAAAACCACTGAAAAACATGCTTTACCATATCAAAAACACAAACTGTGAGAAAATGGAAGTAGGGAGAAAGGAATTCCCAGGATGACACAATACAGCCTACTCTGGGGACAACCAGACTGGACAAAATAGTGTGACTCCAGAGATAAGATGTGTTAAGGGCTATCATCATAAAGAAGCCTGCTGGCATTGCATCTTCTTTTTTTTTTTGAGAGGGAATCTTGTTCTGTCACCCCGGCTGGAATGCAGTGGCGCAATCTCAGTTCACTGCAACCTCTGCCTCCCGGACTTAAGCAATTCTCCTCCCTCAGCCTTCTAAGGTCGCTGGATTTACAGGTGTGTGCTACCACGCCTGGTTAATTTTTGTATTTTTAGTAGAGATGGGGTTTCACCATGTTGGCCAGGCTCGTCTTGAACTCCTGACCTCAAGTGATTCGCTCGCCTCAGCCTCCTAAAGTGTTTGGATTATAGGCGTGAGCCACAGCGCCCGGCCTAGCATTGTGTCTTCCTCTTTCTAAAGGGCAAAATATACAGATGAGCCCAGATTCTTATCTGTTGACCCTATATTGATGGAAGTCCTGGCTCTCTCCCCTTCAATCCTGCAGCCTGCCTCGTATGAGTACATTAGATGTATTTGGCTTTGTCTTATTCCTGAAGGCTGGAGGTAAACCCTGGTGGTCTTAGGAGAAAACACAGAACAGCTCACTCCTTCTGACTATATTCTTGCTGGAAATCCAGTATCTGGCTCACACTACCTCAGCCAGACACCCAAGTGTGGTGAGTCCTCTATTTCCCATGATTCATTCTTGCTAGGTGACTTCTCTAGGAACTTTTAAACTCTTGGAGAAACTGAAGCTACATATATCAGAGCTTCTGCTAGGATTATATTCTCCTGGGAACCTTCATCTGAAAGAGACGGTATCACACTATTACCTAGCAGGTCTGTATCTGCTATTTGTTTTTTAAGTTAACCACCTTTCTCATTCCTATCTATGTAAACAGCTGTTAATAAAATAGTTGAGGAGAATGCATGCAAACAAAAACATAAGAATGAGAGAAAATATTCTTAAAGATAGGATGTTAAAGAGAAAGATGAAATGAAAGAATCAGAAATTATATTTAAAATATACAGGAAACAAAAACTGCTATCATCCTTAAAATTTCCTTACATGTCAATTTATTTGCTTATCCTAATTTTTAGTTTAGTTATATAAACTTAGGCTTTCATATTATCTGCATTCCCACTGTTAAAAAATAAATCTGTGTCATATTAAAAAAATAAAAAAAGCAGTTGTCATACATAGCCAAGGTTTTCTTCCCTTATCTGAGAGCACCATTTACCCATAAGTTTAAAATGTAATTATTTCTGGATCATTTCACTAAAAATACTGTATTATTGTTTAATAATACATTTTACTGTTATTGAATTAATACTATCATTTCTAAATATACTCTAATACTAAGTAAATAGGAATTTTGATATTGTAAGAGTATCTCTGCTCATTCTATGTATATCTATGTAATAACAACTAAATTCTCTTGGAAACGTATTCCTCTAGGAAGAGACACAAACTGGAATCTCTCCATGTATTTTATACCTGGGCTAATGTGGCAATCTGTGGCTGGGCTTGAACTGTCATTTGTTGGTTTTCAGCTTCTGTTACAGCTGCATCTCCACTCTGCTGGTTCTCGGCTCCAGATTCCATGGTCATTTAGTTACCTATAATAATATGGAAGAGTGTTACAAGCACCACAGTGCTTTGTGCTTTCGTGACTTTAAAGGCAAATTTCAAGTTATAAATAGGTATATATGTGGTGGTTAGGTTACCAAATGAACTCAGAAATCTAGCTAAAATATAATGTAGCTGAATTACCATCAAACTTATTCAAATTTGCTGAGCTATAAAAGTTCTAGTCCCTTCAAAGAAGAAAAAAACATTTCTTCTCCCTTGGCTGTTTCTTCCCAATGGGATATTACCTTGTCTAGAAATAAAAGATTCTTCTCTTACATAAATCTCCCCTACTAACAAGGAGAGGTGCAGTGGTAGCAAAATTATAATTTTTCAAAACTATACTAATCAGGTACAGAGAGATGGCAGAAGAGTGGAAGTGAGCTAATGATGACAGAGTTTATTAGATATTGGCTTCATAATACCTCCTATAAGGGTATTTCCCCCCATAAGAAGGAAGAAACAGCAATTGTAAGCTACTTCTAAAAGTGATTACTAGTGGTAGGACAAAATCAGCCCGTTTCAAGCCCAAAATTTTTTAGAGATGAGGTCTTGCTCTGTTGCCCAGACTGGAGTGCAGTAGCATGTTCTCACAGTTCATCTCAATCTCAACCTCAAACTCCTGGGCTCAAGTGATCCTCCCGCCTCAGCCTCTGGAGTAGCTGAGAATACACGTGCATTGCACCATACCAGGTAATTTCAAGAGCCCAAGTTGTGGAATTTCAAGGTAGAAAGGTGGAATAAATGGCCACAGAGCCAAATTAGAGGTGCCAAACACTGAAAAAGCATTCTGATACCTCACCCCATGTATAGCATGCAACACTATACTGTACACATACATCCACACACAGAGAAATCTTTTATTTATATATTTTAATTGTAAAATTCTGGGTAAGACAAAAATTGATCTTACATTTGGACTCTGCTTTGCTAAGCACTTAGTATATTTGTAGGGTAATGTAACACTGGATGGCAGCAAAAGTGGAGTGGAGAGCAATTCCTACCAGCAGTAGCTACTGTAAATCAAGGTTAGAGAAATCTCTGGTAACTGGGGAAGCAATCCTGTCTAAAGGATTCAGGAAAATAGGCAATGTTTCTAGTGCCTATTATAATTCAGTGCCTCACATATTATGTGTCAAAACAAATTTGTTAATAGTGAGGGACTACCTTTAGTGATTCCACAAACAACACAAAAAGCCCATGACTTTTCCAGAATATATTTCATTTATTTTATAACTCTGAAATTGGTCATCAAAACTGTCACTGATCCTTGTGATCATTACACTCCATCACAATGTATTACATACTAATACATCTTGCTATCACTCATAAGGTTCTATAAAAAGAAAGTGTTTTACAAGTGACAGTTCAAAAAATGGAAATGAAAATAACTCTGTAGAAATGAATATAGTTTGGAAATACCAAAATCCACAAAACACAGATGACAAGGAAAAAGATCAACAGACTTGACTACATTATTTAAAATATTCATAAAGCCACAAGTGCACTGACCATATAATCGATAGTAATATCCAGAGATGTAGCTCAACAGTATTCACTGTAAAATTTTTTAAATCATAGCAAAAAAACCCCTGAAAACAATTATCCATCATTAAGAGAACCATTACAAAATTGTAACCATGAAAAAAAATTAATATATTGACACATTGTAAAATAGAGCCCCATTTATTTTTTTAAAAAAGTAAAACAAATTGTTGTAAAGGTTTATGCATGCAAAAGGTGTGCAAGATTAAACACTAAACTATAAGCAGTAGCTCTGAACAGAGAAACAGAATTTTGTAGAACTGTACAGAATGACTTTCACCTTTAACTCTTCACATATTTCAGTATTTTAATATTGACTTAAGTATCTTTCTTCCCATGAGAATGGATTCAGGATTACTTGGATAATTAAAACAAATTTTAATATCAGAAGACATATATAACACTTTAATAAGCCAAAACTATACTTTAATCATGATTTTGAGATGCATACAAAGTTTTTTAAACACCAGATACTTTTTTATATGAAATTACCATTTTTGTTTACATTTTGCCTATTCACCCTGTATTTCTAAATTATAAGAAAACTTAAAAATTATCAAATAACTCTGGTTATTATCAAATAATCAAATTATCAAATAATAACTGATTAATTCACTGAGTTATATTTTGCAAACTGTGGTCTTTTAAACTCAAAATAAGAAAGACATCAAATGTAACAAACAACAACAACAAAAGTTTACCTGGGCCCGGCGCGATGGCTCACGCCTGTAATCCCAGCACTTTAGGAGGCCAAAGCGGGTGGATCGCCTGAGGTCAGGAGTTCAAGACCAGCCTGGTCAACATGGTGAAACCTCATCTCTACTAAAAACATAAAAACTAGCCGGGTGTGGCAGTGGGCACCTGTAATCCCAGATACTCGGGAGGCTGAGGCAGGAGAATTGCTTGAACCCAGGAGACAGAAGTTGCAGTGAGCCAACATGGTGCCACTGCACTCCAGCCTCGGTGTCAGAGTGACACTCCATCTCAAAAAAAAAAAAAAAAAAAAAAAAGTCTACCTGTAAGTTATCCGTAATTTTCATCTTGAAGAAAATGGCATATAAAAACAAAAAACTAGTTTCAATAACAATAAAATAAAATAAACAAATGAATACACTCAATGACAGTAATGAGTCAAAGTATTAAGAGCAGACATTCACAGCCGGGCGCGGTGGCTCATGCCTGTAATCCCAGCACTTGGGGAGGCCGAGGCGGGTGGATCACCTGAGATCAGGAGTTCGAGATCAGCTTGGCCAACACGGTGAAACCCGGTCTCTACTAAAAATACAAAAAATTAGCTGGGCGTGGTGGCAGGTGCCTGTAATCCCAGCTACTTGGGATATTTGGGAGGCTGAGGCAGGAGAATTGCTTGAACCCGGGAGGCGGAGGTTGTAGTAAGCCGAGATCGCGCCACTGCACTGCAGCCTGGGTGACAGAGCAAGACTGTCTTACCAAAAAAAAAAAAAAAAGACATTCACAATTTTTTCTTCATTTTCTCCCCCTGTAAACCATCATTTTATCTAGAATAAAGATAAATACAAATGTATCATACCTCCTTTGTAGACAGGGTATACACAACCATTTTTGAAAGACTTTATTCCAAGCCACATTTTTAAAGCTATGCTGTCATCTGGTATGCGTAGTTTTACCCTACCATTTGATTAAACACAATCTAATGCACAGATTGACCATTTCTTTCATTTTTATTTACAACACATTGAGACTACTTAATCTTTTTTGACATTTAAGGTATAGAACACCATTACAACTTTTTGTTTTAGAAAATATTACTCCATTACAATAAAGGAACAAAGCCATTAGTGAATCCAAGTAAATTTTAGTTACAAAGACATACTCAAAATGTTTTTCATCCTCTTCCCTCCACAACTCGATATTTCTTTTTAAAACAAAGTGTGTATAGGAGCCCCATTTAAACAACTGGTGTTTTATTATCATTTCATTCAAGCAGCCTACCAATCCTTTTTAGGGTAGAGGATAGCCTTCTTAATTTTTTTTTTTTTTTTTTTTTTTTTGAGACGGAGTTTCGCTCTTGTTGCCCAGGCTGGAGTGCAATGGCTCGATCTCGGCTCACTGCAACCTCCGCCTCCCAGGTTCAAGCAATCCTCTTGCCTCAGCCTCCTGAGTAGCTGGGACTACAGGCACCCGCCACCATGCCAGCTAATTTTTTATATTTTTAGTAGAGATGGGGCTTCACTGTGTCAGCCAGGATGGTCTCGATCTCCTGACCTCCTGATCCGCCCACCTCAGCCTCCCAAAGTGCTGGGATTGCAGGTGTTGAGTCACTGTGCCCAGCCGAAAAATGTCTTCTAAGTTTAAATCCTCTGATCCTAGGAGCTGAGACCATAATTACATGGCCACGTAATAAAATAACATTTATGGTAAAGGAAGTATTTCCTTTTACTATATACTAATACATATAACAAAGAACGACCCATTGAGTAAGAGGTCACCTAGCCTCTTGATCCTAGGCAAATAGAGATATTCCCATCCATCTGTATAACCATGAGACTGTAATACAACCTGAGATTATTAGCATTTTTTAAAAAAACTACAAGTCATACTATTACCCAATGAAGGCTCTTAGTGGAGATTGTCTTTTATCTATTATGTTGCTCTGGTCATAACTGTCGTTAGAGTTATTAAACAGTTAATTAACAGTCCCTTTGCTTAACTTGTAAAGTTTTTCCTTTCCATCCTAGCCTCACGAAATTTATCTGATTAGATTTCCCAATAGTAAAGGGCTGTAACACTTTCACACCCCTTTCCACAGTAAAAACAGTAGTAATTAAAAAGTTTAAAATGTAGTTTAGGTAAACATCTCAGCAAAGTGTCAAATGAGTGCTTCCTCAGCATTTAAAAGAAGAGACTATGTTCAGCAATAGTCAGGAGAATGAGAGAATTCCAAAGAGGCATTAATGATGAATACAGTATTGATAAGTTTTGGAAGAACTTTTTCTATAAGAAAAATGGTATCAGCAAAGGGTTGAACTATAGCCCTGTATGGAAATGAGCAAGTAGTGGCTGATAAGAGACTTTGCATAGAAAACAAGGAAAAAAGGTAAACGATAATAGCCACTCAGAATAAAGCAATGAACAGAATAAAAATTTTAAAAACTCTGCTTGTATGTAGCTTACATTCTAGTAAACAAGTAAAACACGTAAGTCAGATGATGGGAAGCGTGTAGAAAAATAAAGCTGGGAAGAAGGTTGGAGGTTCTCAGTACAAGGCTGACCATCTAACTCTTACTAATAAAGTAGCATTTAAATTCATCTACTCAAGACCTGCACAGAACTATACTGAATCAGGGACAAATTCTGGCACCACTGTTTCCTTACCTGACTACCTATAGCAAGTTAACAAAAATCTTCATCAAATTACAAATTAAAGCTCATAATAGAAAGCAAGCGCATATTACCACTTTTTCTTTCAATCATTAGGCAAAAGGAAAGAATACATACTTTCGCCTTAAAATATTTTGACCTTTAGGAAGTGTCCCAGTCCTTATAATCGTCAACATTCTAGTTCAAGTTTATGAAAAATAAACCCATCTTCCCCACAACCTAGTAAACTTTTAAAACTCCTAAATCTAGGGCAATTTTGATCCCATCTAGGATCAGAGATAATATTCAAAGAAATGAGTTGTGAATTTTGACTCTAAAGAAATAATACATTCATAACTAATGGAACACATGCTATGGTTTAAAAAAAAAAAAAAAAAAAGAATGACCTCAACTAGAAATGAGAAAAACACATTTCCCTGCACACTAACAAGTGGGCAACTCCTCCTGAATTCTCAGCAATCAAAAATTCCAGGGATTTAAGGAAATCACATGGCAGAACTCCAAAGTCTCCAGGGTAACCACAGCAAAACACATATTTGGGCACATGATTTTCAAACTAAATGACTATTTTGTTGTCACAGTCAGATATGTTAACTAAAAATACTCTGCATAAATATATCTATAAGTACCTACATGTGATACATAATTATGTCTACACAGTTATGTTGTGCCTGTATTTAGTTTTTAGGGTAACTGTTTGAAAGCCTTGCTAATACATTCTTTTCTCTCTTTTTTTTTTTTTTGAGATGGAGTCTCGCTCTTTCGCCCAGGCTGGAGTGTGGTGGCACAATCTCAGCTCACTGCAACCCCCGCCCCTTGGGTTCAAGCAGTTCTCCTGCCTCAGCCTCCCGAGTAGCTGGGACTACAGGTGTGTGCCAATTTTTTTGTATTTTTAGTAGAGATGGGGTTTCACCATGTTAGCCAGGATGGTCTCGATCTCCTGACCTTGTGATCTGCCCACCTCGGCTCCCAAAGTGTTGGGACTACAGGTGTGAGCTCGTCTAATTTTTTTGTGTTTCATCGTGTTAGCCAGGACGGTCTCGATTTCCTGACCTTGTGATCTGCCTGCTTTGGGCTCCTAAAGTGTTGGGACTACAGGCGTGAGCCACTGCACCCCAGCCAAAGCCTTGCTGATACATTCTTACATCCTTCAAATGTCTTAATTTTCTAAAGTGTTATAATGTTCAGGTGCTACACGATAGATTTTAGCTTTCCAAGAATCAATAACTAGGGTGCACTGTCTACTGTTTTCCCCTACTTTTTTTCCTGCACCTTTTTTTTTTAAGCGGGGGAGGGTTAACCTTAAAATACTTGTCATTTATCTTTACCATATGTCCAACCTGGCAGAACTGAGCTGTTATCTAATCAATACTGGAAACTTAGCAATGCTCCAGGTTTCTGATGCTAATAATAGTCTATTGGTGTTAAATATAGCACACTTTCATTGAAACCAGACAGGCAAAAAAGCATATTCAAATGTCATATGCATATACATGTATGTATATATGTACACACACTCCTCAACATAGATCAACCTCAACTGAATAAACTTTAGATTAGACTGATCACACTGTAACAAAGGTTATAAATATTTTAAGGGAACAAGTCAGAGCAGACAATGTGATAAATGAAAATAAATTGGTATCTTTATCAAGCTGAGTTTTCCCTGTGCTCCTACCAAGGTCTTTCTGCTTTTAACAGAGAACAAATCCTTATTTCAGCCTCCAATCTAGATATTACAAAGCAAGAAAAGTTATACATGAAGTTAACTCTGTGATCTGAATTTGATAAGATTTAAATTACTTATATGACAAAAATAAAAGCAAGCTTGAAAATTTGTTTACTTTTATAAACTGTATTAATAGTAAATACCAAAATAACCCAACCACCACCATAGTCATCAAAAACAGGGCAATAAATAGCAAAAAGGAATCTTTTTGGGGGGGAGCGGGGGAGGCAGGCGGGGACAGAGTTTTGCTCATTGCCCAGGCTGGAGTGCAATGGAGTGATCTCGGCTCACTGCAACATCTGCCTCCCCGGTTCAAGTGATTCTCCTGCCTCAGCCTCTCAAGTAGCTGGGATTACAGATGTGCACCACCACACCTGGCTAATTTTTGTATTTTTAGTAGAGACAGGGTTTCACCATGTTGGCCACGCTGGTCTCAAACTCCTGACCTTAGGTGATCTACCCGCATCAGCCTCCCAAAGTGCTGGGATTACAGGTGTGAGCCACCGGGCCTGGCCCCAGGAATCTTTTCAATATTATTTAAGAAAACAAATTCCCTGATTTATTTATTGGATTTAGCTCAGAGAAACTGTTTAAGTTCAATATTTTGTATTTTATCATTGCAGTTTTGTAATTACCAGGGTATTTGAATGCCATCCTTGATAAATAAATTTGTTTTTAAAAAATGTAGCATATTCTATGACAAAGATATTGTTCTTGAAGGAAGTATTTAACAGAAGTGTGTTAGAAATAATGCCAGCCAGATGCAGTGGCTCACACCTGTAATCCCTGCGCTTTGGGAGGCCTAGGCGGGCAGATTACTTGAGGCAGTTTGCGATCTGCCTGGCCAACATTGTGAAACCCCGTCTCTACTAAAAATACAAAAATTAGCTGGGCGTGGTGGTGTGCACCTGTAATCCCAGCTACTCAGGAGGCTGAAGCACAAGAATGCTGTACCCGGGAGGTGGGGGTTGTAGTGAGTCGAGATTGCACCACTGCACTCCTTCCTGGGTGACACGGTGAATGAGACTCCATCTCAATTTAAAAAAAAAAAAATCATCTGATATATAGAAACATATTGCATGGTTTGACAGCCATCTCAGAATATGTGACTAACTCTATAGCGCCTTTCAACAAGAAAGCTGTAGTGCTTTCTTAAAGTTTTTTGTTTGTTTGTTTGAAATTAAGTATTTGCAAAGTTTACTTGCCTTGTTTTCCTTCAGGTAAGACTATACTCATGAATTTGAAACAAGTCTTCATGTATGTGACCACCAAGAGACAGTGTTGCTTAGCAAAGCAGCAGCCACGACTATGCAATATTTTAGATAATATTTTTATCTCATCTCTTTCCATTCCCCTTTCATTCCAAACACCCACTTAATGGGTGTTTCACAGCTTTTTACACTTTGAACACTTGGAAGAATTGATCTCACAGAAACCTCTATACATGAAGTGTTACTAAATGGCTATTTGGAGCTCATTTTTTTAAGAAAAAAAGGATCACATACTTCCTACATACAGTTACTTTGACAAAAACAATTTTTATGTTGACTAAAGAATGAAGCTGTCTTCAAATGTTAGTTCTGCTTCGTAAACTAGCTCAATGCTGAAACTGTAAGTACCCAAAAGTTACTATGCCCCGAAGTTAAATATGTATAGCCTACTTACATTTACTTAAGAAAATCAAAGTGATTACGTCAAAATCACTACATCCAAATGGGAGATGAATGTCCAAGTGTTTTTTAAATAAGTTTATGAAGTAACATCTGTTATTTTGAACTAAATTTTGAAATGTTATTCTTGGTGAATTATTTACAAATTGGACATGGAAGAGTGAAAATTCAGTTTTCTTGAGGTGAGACAGCACATGTTATGGGAGGAGTCATAATACAGGAATTCTGGTGTTAGCTAACTTCACAGATGGAGAACAAAAGATGTCAAGAGATTTGTAAGGAATGTTCAAGACTTCAGGGTTATAACAGCCTCCAATATTACAAAAAATGAGGAGTTCTCTGTAATATTTGGGAATGGAACTATGTGGACTATTATGCAATATGCTAATTACTTTTATTACATTTTGCTTACTAGTCAAACAGCAAAGGAAAAAGCCCAAGAACTCAAAGGTACCAAGGATATACTGGACTACATTTAAAAACTGACCATGGTTAATCTTTAAAACTGACAAATGGCATGCAGGCAACAGTACATACTTTATGTACAGGCTTTGATTTGTTTTTGTTGTTTTTTGTTTTTTTTTTGATATAGGGTCTCACTGTCCCCCAAGCTGGAATGCAGTGAGTGGCATGATCTCAGCTCACTGCAACCTCCGCTTCCCAGGTTCAAGCGGTTCTCTTGCCTCAGTCTCCCAAGTAGCTGGGATTACAGGCACCCGCCACCACAGCCAGCTAATTTTTTTATTTTTAGTAGAGATGGGGTTTCACAACGTTGGCCAGGCTGGTCTCAAACTCCTGACCTCAGGTGATCCGCCCACCTCAGCCTCTCAAAGTGTTGGGATTACCAGCATGAGCCACTGCGCCCAGCCTATTGTTGTTGTTTCTTTTTTAATCTTACGGTTCACTCTTGGTGTTGCACATTCTACAGATAAATGCGTAATGATATGTGTCCACCATTACAGTATCATACAGTGTGTTTTGCTTTATGTACGGTTTTGATAAAAGACTTGCTTCAAGTTCGGGCATCTTCATCTTTAATCTTGAAAGAATCAACATCAAGTCCATCCTTCTGTGTAGATGTACTGTTTTTCACCAACCTGGTGGTGATTTCTGGTAAGGTCATTTTGATTACTACAATCTCACGCTATTTCTCATGTCTCAGAGGCTGGAAGTACTGTCATAGTAAAGTATCAGAGTTAATAAAAACTCAAAGTAGAAAATCTTCCTTTTAAGCTTTGGACAATGAATCTAATTTCCTCAGTTAAAGAAAAATATGTTTGGCCAGGTGCGGTGGCTCATGCCTGTAATCCCAAGACTTTGGGAGGCCAAGGCGGGCAGATCACCTGAGGTCGGGAGTTCAAGACCAGCCTGGCCAACATGGAGAAACCTTGTCTCTACTAAAAAAATACAAAATTAGCCAGGCGTGGTGGCGCACGCCTGTAATCCCAGCTACTCGGGAGGCTGAGGCAGGAGAATCGCTTGAACCTAGGAGGCAGAGGTTGCAGTGAGCCGAGATTGCGCCATTGCACTCTAGCCTGGGCAGAAAGAGCGAAACTCCATCTCACAAAAAAAAAAAAAAAAAGTTCACTTCCTTTAATCTGTACAACTCTAAAGAGAAATTGTTCTTAACCTTTACCTTTCAAATTTATGACCCTTTAATAGAGAATCACTCATTAAACAAATATTCTGCGCCTACTACGTAGTAACGACTACAGCATTTTCAGCAGAACTGAAAATTACTACATAGTAGTAGTCCCATACTATGGGACTATAGCATAAAACATATAAGAACCTTTCTCTGGAATTAGGCCAGGCGGAGTGGCTCACGTCTGTAATCCCAGCACTTTGGGAGGCCAAGGCGGGTGGATCACTTGAGGTGAGAAGTTCGTGACCAGCTGGCCAACATAGTGAAACCTCATCTCTACTAAAAATACAAAAATTAGCCGGGCATGGTGGCACATGACTGGAGTCCCAGCTACTCAGGAGGCTGAGGCAGGAGAATCACTTGAACCCAGGAGACAGAGGTTGCAGTGAGCCGAGATCATGCCACTGCACTCCAGTCTGGGCAACAGAGTGAGACTGTCTCGAACAAAACAAAACAAAAATAAAAGAACCTTTCTCTGGAATGCTTCTACATTGTTGGTGGTGTTAGTTCAACCATTGTGGAAGACAGTGTGGCAATACCTCAAAAACCTAGAGGCAGAAATACCATTTGACCCAGCAATCCCCTTACTGGATATATACCCAAAGGAATATAAATCATTCTATTATAACAATACATGCACGCATATGTTAACTGCAGCACTATTCACAATAGCGAAGACATGCAATCAACCTAAATGCCCATCAATGACAGACTAAAGAAAATGTGGTACATACACACCATGAAATACTATGCAGCCATAAAGAACAAGATCATGTCCTTTGCATGAACATAGATGGAGCTGGAGGCCTTTATCCTCAGCAAACTAATACAGGAACAGAAAACCAAATACCGCATGTTCTCATTTGTAAGTGGGAGGTACATGATGAGAACACATGGACACATCGGTGGTTGGGGGGACAACACACACTGGGGCCTGTCAGAGGGTTGGGGGTGGGAGGAGGAAGAGCATCAGGAAGAACAGCTGGTGAATGCTGGGCTTAATACCTGGGTGATGGGATGATGTGTGCAGCAAACCACCATGGCACACGATTACCTATGTAACAAACCTGCACATCCTGCACATGTACCCCTGAACTTAAAAGGTGGAAATAAAAAAGAACCTTTCTCTCAAGAGCTTACAGAAACTAATGAGAGATAAAATATGTACTATATATGAAAGAGCTTGACAGGTATAAATTATTATAACTAGTTTAACTATAAATTCCTTCCAAACAAGTACTTAACATCAGTAATTTAAAACCATAAACTTCTATTTGGAAATGGTAGGAATACAATGAACTGTGGAAAAAAAGAAAGAATAGCTGCCTATTTATGGTAATCTGATGCAGATCTGATTAAGAACATAATGAAATCAATGTATTTTTTCATGATCTTGGCTAGAATATTTACCCTAAGTGAGCTACTTACAAGCCTAAACTAATATTGCTTAAAAAGAAAAATTTTGGCCGGGCAGTGGCTCACGCCTGTAATCCCAGCACTTTGGGAGGCCAAGGCGGGCAGATCATGAGGTCAGAAGATCGAGACCACAGTGAAACTCTGTCTCTACTAAAAATACAAAAAATTAGCCAGGCGTGGTGGCGGGCCCCTGTAGTCCCAGCTACTCAGGAGGCTGAAGCAGGAGAATGGCATGAACCCAGGAGGCAGAGCTTGCAGTGAGCTGAGATGGTGCCACTGCACTCCAGCCTGCACAACACAGCGAGACCTCGTCTCAAAAAACAAACAAACAAACAAAAAAACAAATTTTGGCTGGGCGCCGTGGCTCACGCCTGTAATCCCCAGCACTCTGGGAGGCTGAGGTGGGCAGATCACAAGGTCAAGAAATCGATACCATCCTGACCAACATGGTGAAACCCTGTCTCTACTAAAAATACAAAAAAATTAGCTGGGTGTGGTGGCATGCACCTGTAGTCCCAGTTACTCGGTAGGCTGAGGCAGGAGAATCACTTGAACCCAGGAGGCAGAGGCTGCAGTGAGCCAAGATAGCACCACTGCACTTCAGCCTGGTGACAGACTCCATCTCAAAAATAAATAAATAAATAAATAAATAAAATTAATAACCATTAATAAAACAGAAACCCTGAAAACTTTACAAAGAGATAATGCAGTACTACAAGAGTGATGAAGACTACGCCTTACTTACTGTGAGTTTCTACACACATCACTTAAATTCTCCACGACTCAGCTTATTTGTAAAAAATGAAGGAATGACTACTCACTCCCCCTTCATAGGTAAATGTTTGTAACTGTGAATTTCCCAAATATGGTAGAGTTTATAAGTTATAAACTACCATCGCAGTCATTATAATAAATTCTCTCATAATAAATAACAAATTCTTGGATCATAGTTACAACTGGGCCTCTGTATCCAAAGATTCAGCATCTGTGGATTCAACCAACTGCAGATCAAAGATATTTGGGGGAAAAAAATCCCCAAGTCCCAGAAGTAAAGCTTGAATTTGCTGCATGCTGACTCCTATGCTGAACCCATAAGAGTCAAGTGATGGGCAGGCACTGTATAAGGTATTATAAGTAATCTAGAGATGATTTAAAGTATATGGGAGGATATTTGTCGATTACATGCAAATACTATACCACTTTATATAAGGGACTCAAGCATCCGTGGATTTGGTACCTGAAGGGGTCCTGGAACCAATTCCCCATCGATACCAAGGGACAACTGTGCTTCAAATTAAAATGTTTCACTCAAAATTATTTCTCGATTTTCATCTTTGCTTCTTTCATCTGTCACTACAAACTGAAGGATATGGACACAGAATAAAGGGAAGGCCTGAGGTAGGTGGATTATAACTCCAAATACACATTAGTAGCTTCAGTTATTTTTCATTAAATAATGGTATCTTGTTTGCCTGGGCCTTCACAGAGATCAGAGATATTTTTTAAATGTTTATAATAAACAAGAATTTATGATATACACAATATAACACCAAAACACAAACAAGAAAAGAAAAATTAGATGAACCGGAAATCATAAAAATTAAAAACTTTTGTGCTTCAAGAGACACCATCAAGAAAGTGAAGACAACCCACAGGAGAAAATTTTTGTAAATCATGTATCTGACAAGAGATTTGTATCTAGAATAATAAACAACTATTACAACAAAAAGCCAACCGAATTTTAAAATGTGCAAAAGATCTGAACAGAAATTTTCCCAAAGAAGATATACAAATGGCCAAATCAGCACATGAAAAGCAGCTTGATATCATTAGTCGTGAGGGAAATACAAATCAAAACCAAACTGAGCTACCTCTTTGCACTCAGTAGAATGGCTATAATTGAAATAAACAAAAAAACAAAAACAAAAACCCAAAACCCCAAAAAACAGATGATAACAAGTGTTAGTGAAGATGGGGGAAAATTTGAACCCTAATACACTGCTGGTGGTGCAGCAGATTGGAAAACAGCCCGGCAGTTCCTTAAATGGTTAAACACAGTTACCATAAAATTCCATTCCTGAGTATATACTCAGAGAAATGAAGGCAAGTCAACATAAATGAATGTTTATGGCAGCATTTTCATAATAATCAAAAAGTCCAATGTCCGTGAACTCACAAATAAAATGTTCTATATCCATAAAATGGACTATTATGGCAATAAAAATGAATACTGATACATACTACAACATGAATAAACCTTGAAAACATTATGCTAAAGGCAGCTCATCACAATGGACATTATGCTATATGATTCCACTTATACACAATGTCCCAGAATAAGCAAACCTATAGAGACACAAAGGTGATAGGTGGTTGCCTAGGGCTGCAGGTATGGGGAGATTAAGAGGTGATGGCTGAGAGGAGATGTGTAGATTTCTTTTAGGGATAATGAAAATGTCCTAAACTGATGGTGGTAATAGATGCACAACTTTGTGAATATACTGAAAACCACTGAACTGTACACACCAAATGGGTGTATTGTAGAGTATGTGAATTATATTTCAATAAAGCTGTTTAAAAAAGAATCTATGATGTCCAATTTTTAACTGTAATACATATACAGTCATGTGTCACTTGATGGTAATATGTTCTGAGAAATGCATCATTAGTTAATTAGGTTAGAAAACAAAACCTAGATGGTATAGCCTACTATGTACCAAGGCTACATAGTATAGGCTACAAACCCATACAGCATGGTATTGTACTGAACACTGTGGGGAAATGTAACACAACGGTAAGTATTTGTTATCGAAACATATCCAAACATAGAAAAGGTACAGTAAAAATAAAAGATATAAAATATAAAAGATAAAAAATGGTACATCTGTACAGGGTGCTTATCACAAACGGAGCTTGCAGGACTAGAAGTTGGTCTGGGTGAATCAGTGTGAGAAATGTGAAGGCCTACAACATTACTGTACACTATTGTAGACTTCAAAGGCACTGTATACTTAGGCTAATTTTTTTTTTTTTGAGATGGAGTCTTGCTCTTGTCACCCAGGCTGGAGTGCAGTGGCACGATCTCGGCTCACTGCATGCTCCACCTGTGGGTTCAAGCTATTCTCCTGCCTCAGCCTCCTGAGTAGCTGGGATTACGGGCGCCTGCCACCACACCTGGCTAATTTTTGCACTTTTAGTAGGAACAGGGTTTCACCATGTTGGCCAGGCTGGTCTCGAACTTCTAACCTCAGGTAATCCACCTGCCTTGGCCTCCCAAAGTGCTGGGATTACAGGTGTGAGCCACTGTGCCCATCCAGGCTACACTAAATTTATATAAACAAAATTTTCTTTCATCAGTAATACATTAACCGTAGCTTACTGTAACTTCATATGCTTTTTAGTTTTTTTAACTTGTCAACTCTTTTGTAATAACACATAGCTTAAAACACAAATAAATTGTACAGCTGTATAAAAATATTTTTTCTCTAAAGGGTTTTTAAGTGAAAGCAAATTTAGTAATAAAGTAAAGCAATAAAAGAATCTAAGGTTTTTTCCTTTTTTTTTTTTTTTTTTTTTTTTTTTTACTTTTTAAACTTTTTTGTTAAACTTTATTTTTTTGACACAGGGTCTCACTATGTCACCCAGGCTGGAGTGCAGTGGCACAGTATCAGCTCACTGCAATCTCTGCCTCTTGGGTTCTCCTGCCTTGGCCTCGTGAGTAGCAGGGATTACAGGCATGCACCACCAAGCCCAGTTAATTAATTTTTGTATTCTCTGTAGAGACAGGATTTCGCCATTTTGCCCAGGCTGCTTGAAACTCCTGGGCTCAAGCAACCCGCCTGACTCAGCCTCCCCAAGTGCTAGGATTACAGGCGTGAGCCACCATTCCCGGCCACTTTTTAAAATTTTTTGTTAAAAAGACATTCACACGTTAGCCTAGGCCTACACAGGGTCAAGATTGTCAACATCACAGCCTTCCACCTCCACAACGTGTCCCACTGGAATGTCTTCAAGGGGCAATCACATGCATGGAGCTGTCATCTCCTATGGTAACAATGCCTTCTTCTGGAATACCTCCTGAAGGACCTATCTGAAGTTCTTAATAGGTTTGCTTACACTAGCACAGGACCACTGTTGTATATGCAATCTGTCATTCACCAAAACGTTCTTATACAGTGCATGACTGTATATCTCTGTCTACACTAAGGAGAAGAATTGGGAGTCAGGAAATCTACATTTCAGCCCAATTTATCATTGTATTCCTGTTTATATCTTACCTTCTCTTACATGAAACTCAAAGCTCCCTGCCTCATACTCAGCATTCCTCAAAATGTAGATCTATAATCTAATACTTTCTTCACCAATTTATGAGTATGTCAAGTTCATTATATGTCCATGTTTTCATTTTTTTGTCCATTCCACTGCCTAGAATACACTCCATTTTATCTGTACTTACTGAAGTTCTTTAGTATTCAACTTGAATTCTACTTCTCCCACAAAACTTTTCCTCACTAAGCCCCTTCTCTTCTGAACTCTGTAGCTCTTCAAGACAGTAAAAACTCTGTCATGTACTCTGGCACATATAAATCATTCTTACACTATTTCATCATCCCTACTATACCGTAAGATTCTTGAGGGTAGGAGCCATATAGTCAGGCTTTATTGCTTATATCAACTAGAACAATCTTCATTTAATACCTAGGTATTTTTATAAATACCTAACTGAATAAATTTTCTTGCGATTATTTCACCAACCATAATAAAGTCAATGGTCAATAAATCTTCACTGAATAAATGATTGATAAATGGCAATACATAAAGTCAAGGTGTCACCATTGATCACAGCAAACAATAGAGCTACTACTGATACTTATTATAAGAAAATGACTCCCCTTTAAGAGTACAAATAGGGCTGGGGGCGGTGGTTCATGCCTGTAATCGGAGGCTGAGGCAGGCAGATCACATAAGGTCAGGAGTTCGAGACCAGCTTGGCCAACATGGTGAAATCCTGTCTCTACTAAAAATACAAAAAAAAAAAAAAAAAATTAGCCAGGTATGGTGGCACATGCTTGTAATCCCAGCTACTTGGGAGGCTGGGGCAGCAGAATCGCTGGAACCCAGGAGGCGGAGGTTGCAGTGAGCCGAGATCACACCACTGCATTCCAGGCTGGGAGACAGAGCGAGATTCCTCTCAAAAAAAAAAAAAAAGAGTACAAATAATTCAGAATAATCTGTAATTTTCACTTCAGTGGTGAAAAACAAGGTATTTCTGTGTCCCCTACTGCCAACTACTTACTTATACCAACAGGGATAACAGCCCTCAAAAATAATGGTTATTTAACCTTGGGTAAATTACAAACATTTTTAGTTACATCTGTACTGTCATACAGTTACAACCAAAAACTCACAAGTAGATAACCAGATCCTTAGAAATTCACTTAAAATTGATGAAAGAAACGTCTTCATTTCAGAGAAGATGCACTAACCTTTGGGAAAAGACACATTCTATCATCATTGGTATAAGTCAACTTTCAGATCCACTCTACTCCTAAACTATTTTATTAATAACTTCCCTTTTAACCCTTTCTTATCTAATCAAATGTCACTTCTCTTCTTTCAGAAAAAACTCACCATCAATTCCTTAGACCTCATCCTCTCAAAACCTCGCCCCTTTTAAGATTATTTTTTAGAGATCCTAGAATCATCCAAGAGGAAGAAAACTGAAAGGGTGTTTTTCATCTTTGTTCACACAGCTAGTCTCACGGTAAACTCCTTTATCACCTTATTTCAACTCTAAGAAAAGGCAACTTAGCATCTGTAAGTTCATCAAGGAGTACTACTGTTTATTTTCTTTTTTAGGAGTTGAGATTATGTACCTAGCTTCAAGAATTTTTTAATACACAGTGATTTTTCATCACTGGAGATGTATAATGCACGTATTAAATTATAGGTAATTATTCATCACTGGAGAAACTGCCTTCTCATCTGTTGGAATAAACGCCAGAATACGTTTTTCTAAGCTAACATCTTTCTGGTAGCCTAGAAGACAAATGAGGAAACATCTGGGCAAAATATAATACAGGGTAAGCATCCCTAATAAAACATCCAAAATCTCAAACTTTTTGAGCACTGACATGATGCCATGAAAAATTCCCACACCTGACCTCATGTAACAGTTCACAGTCAAAACTGTTTCATGCACAAAATTATTAAAAATTTTGTATAAAATTACCTTCAGGCTATGTGTATAATGTGTATATGAAACAAATTTCATGTTTAGACTTGGGTCCCATCCCCAAGATAGCTCATTATGTATGTATATGCAAATATTCTAAAATCTGAAAAAACCCAAAACTGGAAATACTTCTGGTCCCAAGAATTTCAGATAAAAGATTCTCAACCTGTAAAACCTATCTTCATAGGGCCTTGTCTGGCAGAGCTTAAAAAGAGAGAGAGAAAAGGCAAAACAAAAAACAACAACAAAAAAACCCAGTAGATAAGACAAGAGTGTGTATATATTAAGGGGAGTCAGACATTCTGAATGTGAATAAAAACTAACGTCTATTCTTATTTAAGTTTTGTCTCAAAAACCTACATTTACAGATGTGATAAAACCACACCTTCTACTTACAACTTCAACAAGCTGACCAGCATCTGGCTCTTCTATAATGACTAAACTAGCATATATTTAATTGGCAGAGAAAAAACAACCACGTTCACATTATCAGTTTGCTGCTTTAATGATCTTTGCCTCCACCCCAAGAGGCAATCCACTGATGATTCCATGACACTGTGGGAAATCATTTAACTCTGTTAGTCTACAGATATGTTCCAGATAAAAAACGTTCTGCCTTTACAGATTTCAATGATCTACCCCACCCCCATCCCCAAATATGTAAAGACAAGCACTTTGTAGGCCAGGCGCAGTGGCTCACGCCTGTAATCCCACCACTTTGGGAGGCAGAGGTGGGTGGATCACGAGGTCAAGGAGATCGAGACCATCCTGGCCAACATGGTGAAACCCTGTCTCTTTAGCTGGGCATGGTGGCAGGCGCCTGTAATCCCAGCTACTTGGGAGGCTGAGGCAGGGGAATCGCTTTAACCCAGGAGGCGGAGGTTGCAGTGAGCTGAGATCGCACCACTGCACTCCAGCCTGGCAACAGAGAAAGACTCCGTCTCAACAACAACAACAACAACAAAGCACTTTGTAAACATTTTAATCATTTAGCAGGTACAAATAGCACACAGTAATATTTTATTTATGAGATGGCATCTTGCTCTGTCACCCAGAGTGGAGTTCAGTGGGGTGATACTGGCTCACTGCAACCTCCACTTCCAGGGCTCAAGCAATTCTCCTGCCTCAGCCTCCCAAGCAGCTGGGACTACAGGCGTATACAACTATACCCAGATAATTCTTCTATTTTTAGTAGAGATGGGGTTTCACCATCTTGGCCAGGCTGGTCTCAAACTCCTGGCCTCAAGTGATCCGCCCGCCTCGACCTCCCAAAGTGCCGGGATTACAGACGTGAGCCACCACGCCTGGCCAAATAGCACATAGTAATATTTTAAATCAAATATTAGTAAAACCTCAAAACAATATTCTTACATTAAAAACTTTGTATATATGATCAACGCATAAACACCAACTTGGGAATACAAAAAACGAAATATACCATGACAGCTTTTGTTTTTTTCTTAAGACAGAGTTTCGCTCTTGTCGCCCAGCCTGGCGTGCAATGGTGCAATCTCAGCTCACTGCAACCTCTGCCTTCCAGGTCCAAGTGATTATCCTGCCTCAGCCTCCTGAGTAGCTGGGATTGCAGGCGCCTGCCCCCATGCCCAGCTAATTTTTGTATTTTTAGTAGAGACGGGGTTTCACCATGTTGGCCAGGCTGGTCTCGAACTCCTGACCTCAGGTGATCCACCTACCTCAGCCTCCCAAAGTGCTGGGATCACACAGGCGTCAGCCACCGCGACTGGCCCATGACAGCTTTACTTAATGATGTTTTCTGGAAAGAGATTTGTGCCCTTGCTGCTATATTATTAATCACTTTCTGAGTTTAATCAACTCAAAAAAGTCATAGTGTGTACATTTTAAAGATAAATACAAACAGCATGTATATTTAAAATGTACTACAGCATTCGGGCATGGTGGCTCACGCTTGTAATCCCAACTCTTTGGGAGGCTGAGGCAGGTGGATGGCTTGAGCTCATGAGTTTGAGACCAGCCTGGGCAACATGGCGAAACTCTGTCTCTACAAAAAATTAGCCGGGCCTGGTGGTGCGCGCCTGTTGTCCCACTCACTCAGGAAGCTGAAATGGGAGGATGGCTTGAGCCAGGAAACAGAGGTTGCAGTGAGCCAAGTGTGTGCCACTGCACTCCAGCCTGGGTGATAGAGCCAAACCTTGCCTCAAAAAAATAAATAAATAAAAATAAATAAATAAATAAATAAATAAAAAAGTATTGTAGCTCAATGCTGTTTCGAAAAGCTAGAGGAAAAAAAAAAGGTAGTGAAACGCATTTTGTGCTTTGGCTGAAATACGTATTACTTGGTCCAACTGGTTGACCAAAGGTTTCCCCACGGGGGTAAAAAAATCATCTATGCAGTAAAGTTTATCATCTCAGCAATCATATAGGTGAATCTCACTATTTTTAAATTTAGGTACAAAATATAAAACTCACATAATTACATTAAGAAATACTAGAAAATCGTCAAGGTAAGTTAACAAGTATGTAAAAAATAAATGAATGCAGGGAGAAATCTAGTATAGTAATCAGCCTTACTGGGTAATAATATCCCATGAGCTGTCTGTTAAAAAAAACCCAAAAAAACACCGGACTATATGAAATGTTCTTTCTCATTAAGAAAGAAAGCTATAAAAACCTTTTGGGCCAAAATAATAATTGAAAGAAGTAGTCTG
This sequence comes from Homo sapiens, assembly GCF_000001405.40. Taxonomy (NCBI): domain Eukaryota; kingdom Metazoa; phylum Chordata; class Mammalia; order Primates; family Hominidae; genus Homo; species Homo sapiens. Next base: position 207,535,330 of record NC_000002.12, on the reverse strand, counting down.
TTCAGAACTGTAAGAACCTCAACAAAAGAGTTAAATTCACCTTGTGAGTTAACTCTTAACCTGGCTTGCTTGCCTCCTCATGTACATTTTGATCATTTTACTAAAACTTTTAAAAACTGGAGTTAAACAGGAAATGAGGGACTTTAAATAACAATTTCCTGTCACAAACTATTTATTTTTCATTCAAATAGAAAGTTTTTCATTTAAAGAAATAAAGGCAAGATGGCAGTTTCCCTTAGTTTAAAAGGTAATATAAGACCTAAGAATAAAAGCAGCTCACTAACTGGTTAATACAGTCTACTTACATAATAAAATGCTTCCAATTGTATGTTAAAAAATGAAGAAGCTCTTTATGTGCTGATACAAAATTGCTAAGCCATATTAAGTGGTGGGGGTAAAGCATGATATAGGAGAGCGTATACCTAGTATGCTACCATTTGTACAAAAAGGGGGAGACTGTACATACATATTTGCTCGTGTTTGCATAAAACACCTCTTAAAGGACAAATAAAAAATTGCTAACACTTAGGTAATAGGGCAAGAGAATGTAGGGCATTTTGCTGTTATTATGTTTTGAATTATAGATCATGTGAATGAATTACTTATTCAAAAAACCAAATTAGAAATATAAAAAATATACTCCTCACTTCACCAAAGGTGATCCCTTTTTCCTTTGACTGCTTTCTTTTGACACATATTTTGCCTTAGTCACTGTGTCCCCAACAGTTCCTGAGGGTAGAGATAAGACAGCGTAATTCATCTTTGGATTTGTTGTAGCTTCTGACCCACTGTATTACATATAGTAATAATAAATAATTTAAAAAGTAACAGACCAGCTGGGCGTGGTGGCTCACGCCTATAATCCCAGGCATTCAAGACCAGCCTGACCAACATGGTGAAACCCTGTCTCTACTAAAAACACAAAAATTAGCCGGGCGTGGTGGTGCATGCCTGTAGTTCCAGCTACTAGGGAGGCTGAGGCAGGAGAATCACTTGAATCCAGGAAGCAGAGGTTGCCGTGAGCTGAGACTGCATCACTGCACACCATCCTGGGCAACAGAGCAAGACTCCGTCTCAAAAAAAAATTAAAACAAAAGAAAAAAGCCTTGTCAACACTTGAGCACTTGACACTTGCACAATGCCTGGGACTTAGTATGTATTACTTTATAGTTAACCCCCACAATTCTGAGGTAGTTGTTCTACACTGATCAGAAAGGAAAGTGAGGTATTAAGAAGTTAAGATAACTTGCCTAAGGGCCCACAGGTAGGAAGTTAAAATAAAGCTTAAGGGACTAGCTATCATTAGTTGTAGCCCTAAGGTACTTTATGTTTATCTCGCAATCTTATGAAATAAGTAGTAGTATTCTAATTTTACATATAAGGAAACTGAGGCTGAGAAAGATTAAGAAACTTCCTTCAGGACACAAAATTCCTTTAGGGTGGGTACAGGATAGCAGTGGCAATGCTTGGATTCAGACCTAGGCCTATGATTCCAAACCTCATGCTCTTTCAACTACATTCTCTGTCACAGTGAGTGCCAAATAAATATTTGAATTACCATAAACTGCTGTCTCAAGTGATACTGCAGTACAGATGAGTTTACACATGGGTAAGAAAAAAAAAAATCCTGCATTTTTCCATCTTGACATCTCATTACATTCTTAAATTTAGATTTGAGCTCTATTCAATAAAGAAGCCATCAAAGTTACACCATATATCAAGATATTTGCAAAACTATGTCACAAGCTGGCTGTAAACAAGTTTATGTAACTCATATCTGATAAGCTATTTATGGAATAAATGAAATTATAAATTTCGGTAATATATTGTAAGCATTAGGTTAAAAATAATTTTCTGTTATAAAAAGTAGAATTTAAAAACACGTGAGGAAGACATACTTGGTTTTACTATAACCCCATAACCATACTGTATCCAAACAAACAAAACCAAATGTCTTAGAATGAGAGAGAAATAAAGCTACTTCTCTATGAAGAACCCAAAATTTCTAATAATGAGACCTAATCAAGAATATGAGTTTCAGAAAGTAGAAAAAGGTGCCATTTTTATGGATCAGGTGTCTAAGTTTCTTCAGGCTCTTTATGTAAACAAAAAAAAAATCATTCAAAACAGGTAACACTTAAGTTTTAAATTCCCAAAGAAGTGTTCTTTTAACATTCTTCAAGCAAACTCTGTCAAGTAATTTATTAGCTTTCTAAATGTAGGTGTTCATGAAAAAAAAAAAAAGATTCAAGCAGATCCAGCTGTAATTTTTATCCATGGCTGGAACAGTGCAGAAGTACAATTTAGTAACATGTTCCAGGTGAATGTTCAAGTATTAATGAATACAAGTTTGAAGTTTCACCTGGAATTGCTAAGAATCACAAATTATGAATGTATAAATAATAAAACAGGCCGGGCGCGGTGGCTCACACCTGTAATCCCAGCTACTCGGGGGGCTGGGGCAGGAGAATTGCTTGAACCCGGGAGGCGGAGCTTGCAGTGAGTGAGCCGAGACCAGCCCACTGCACTCCAGCCTGGGCAATAAGGGCCAAACTCCGTCTCAAAAAAACAAATAAATAAAAATAAAAATAAAAAATACAATTTAAAATATCTCTCGGGCAAGACTAAAGAAAGAACTTATCAGTAAACTTTTTTTTTTTTGAGATGGGGTCTCGCTGTCACCAGGCTGGAGGGCAGTGGCGCGATCTCGGCTCACTGCAATCTCCACCTCCTGGGCTCAAGAGATTCTCCTGCCTCAGCTACCCTAGTAGCTGGGATTACAAGCACGCGCCACGACACCCAGCTAATTTTTGTATTTTTAGTAGAGACGGGGTTTCACCATGTTAGCCAGGATGGTCTCGATCTCTTGACCTCGTGAGCCGCCTGCCTCGGCTTCCCAAAGTGCTGGGATTACAGATGTGAGCCACCGCACTCGGCCATCAGTGAACAATTTTTTAAAAATCTCACAAATGAAGAGTCATATATTCTTTCTTTTTTTTTTTTTTCTTTGAGACGGAGTCTTGCTGTGTCGCCCAGGCTGAAGTGCATGGCACGATCTCAATTCACTGCAACCCCAGCCCCCCGAGTAGCTGGGATTACAGGCGCGTGCCACCACACCCGGCTAATTTTTGTATTTTTAGTAGAGATGGGGTTTCATCATGTTGGCCAGGCTGGTCTTGCACTCCTGACCTCAAGTGATCCGCCCGCCTCGACCCCCCAAGTGCTGGGATTACAGGCCTCAGCCACCGCGCCCGACTTATATTCTTAACAAGAAAAAAAATTCTACTCTACTGATAGTGGCTTGCGGAACAACATAAAGGAAAAATGGTAAGCTACCATTATCAATACTATAATTTTTTCAGTGCTCGGAAATAAAATCATTTCCCCAATCTTTATAGAAAACCTGCCTTTATTGCCTCTTCTTAATTTTCTTGGAAATGACAAATTGCCAATGTGGTCTTTTAAAGAGAAGCAATACAGCAAAGCACGTTTTGGAAAAGTGACTAGAATACAGAAAAATAAGACAGTGCTTCTGCTGCCAATCAATATTTGTTCTTAACCAGAAGGTTTGTACGTATCAATCACAATGCAATCATACAGTGACAGACAAGTATTTTTAAAACAAACTTGTTCGTCTTTTGCACCACCTAAAATAACTGTTCGGGGCTTTACTTTTAAATCACGAAATGAGCCATAAATGTAAAAGATTTCAATAGGCAGCAATCAAAAGTATCTTCTACTAAACCTTCAGAAGTTAGACGCCAGCTGAGGTTAGAATTATAACTTGAGATGGTATTACAAACTTAAATAGGTCATACCGCACGTCCTTCAAAAACTGTCTTTTAATTTTTAATGTGTCAATGACTTTTCTGCTGTCCTCTTTTCCCAACAGGCGAAGAAAAAATACAGCTTGTGGCTTAAATTGTCAATCTCAAGACGGGGGTTACCTACTGCATGAGACAAATAATGGATACTTTAATGTCTATTTTTAGTAGTAGTATTAAATCAATCTCTCATTAAAGTTCACACAGAAATTCGTGGGAAATATGGTAGGGGGAGTGGGACGGAGGGTGAGGGGAGATCCAGATGACCCAAACGCGGTTGGCAAGGTTGCACCCCGCGAAATGATGTAAAACAAGAGTACATCGGCTGATACTCGTTCCAACGAAGTGTTTCAGAATGATAGATCTCAAGTGATGATTACCTTATTAAAAAGGGTTAAAACCGAAACTGTTTTCAAACACCAGCTTCCCTTTTATAAGATCCCAACAGTTTAAAAAGTTATTATAAATGTTTTTCTTAGCACCCTTTCTCCCAAAAAGCATGCATTTCCATGACTGACTTTAAAAAAAAAAAAAAAGCAAAGGGGTGAGGGAGTCAAAAATTCCCCCCAAAAGCACAAGCTCTCATCTCTCAACTAAGCAACACAGGGCAGAAAGCAGCATTTCCTCAACGGTGTAGGAGCGGGGGGGAAAGGGCACGAATAAAATACAGCACGAGAGGAAACCTTGGGTTTCGAACTTTATTGCACAAAGAGTGGAGAGAAGAGTAGGTCAGACGTTGCAGCTCTTCCCCTTGCGAAGCGGGCATGGCAGGCACCGAAGCCACCGGGAAGGCAGCAGGCACCTTCACCTCCTCTGCCCTCAACTGTCGCCTTCTTCCTCCTCCATCCCCCACCGGCACCTAGGCGGCGGCTGCCCCGGAGGCCCGGCCGGGTCGGGCCGGGGGCGAGGCGGGCGGCGGGGGCCGGACGAGCGAGCGGCGCGGGGGGCAGCGCCGGGCCGAGCGGGCGGCCTCCCCCGGGGCGGCTCCGGGTTCCCGGCTCCGCGCCCGGCCCGGCGGCGGCGGCGGGAACGCGGGCGCCAGCTCGCCGCGGCCGGCCGCCCGCACACACCCCCGGCCGCCGGCTCCCACCCCGCCCGCCGCCCGCCGCCCGCCGCCCCCCGCCATGAGCGCCGCCGCTGGCTGCAGGCAGAGTCGCTGCCGCCCCGGCCGCCGCTGGCTCCAGTCCGCCGCCATTATTCTTTGTTCGCTGCGAGCGGCGGCGATGTTGTGGGGCTCGGGCGGAGGCTCCATCTTTACCGCGGCCCCTCCTGCGAGGGGAAGGCCCCAAGCGCGGGTGTCCGGCGCCTCCCCGTCCCCCCTCCGTCCCCCCGGCTCTCTCTGGCTCCTGCCTCCTCCTCCTGCTCCTCTTACCGGTGGTACAAGCTCCTCCGTCACTGCTTTCGTTCACGGCCCGGATCTCGCTGGAGTTTTATTCTCTCCCCCACGTAACACACCGCGTCAAACTACACCTCCGCCGCGTCACTCACCAACACTCCGCTTCTCCCAGCCGCCCGGGCCACAGGCAGCAGCAGCCGCCGCCGACTGAGGAGCCGCAGCCAGGGAGCCAGCCAGCGCCGCCCAGTGCCGAGTGCGCAGCGGCCGCGCACGGAAACAGCCGAGCTAGGCCCGGAGCAGCTCGAGCGGCCCCGCCCCCGCGCTGGGGACGGAACTTGCCGAAGACCTTCGGGTTTCTTCGGGCGACGAGAAGGGGTTCCGCGGGGAGAGGGAAGGCGAAGGCGGGCTGAGCCCGGCGCCGGGAGGAGTGGTCTAAACTCCACCGCGGCTTTCGCATCGGTAAAGCCGGCAGCGGAAATTTGAAGGAGGAAGCGGGGTTTGTGTGTGGCCCAGTGGGGGAATTCCCGAGGGGTGTCGGCGACTTGGTGGAAACCCCCGCTCAGGCCTGCCCCTGCGGCGGTGAGCGGCGGGCTAGAAGGCGGCTGCGGCTGCCCTGGCTCTGCTCTTGACCGCCGCCAGCCCCGGGAACTTTCCGACGCCGCCGGGAGACGGGGGACGGGCAGCCCGGGCTGGGACGCGGCCGGACCGCTGGAGCCGTGCGGGCTGGGGAAGAAGGTCTGCTGCGCCTCTGCCAACGTCCCGGGGCCTGGGACCCGGGGGCGTCGTGGGACCCCCGTGGGGACGGGTTTTCCTTTCCGAGACTCCGCGGAGAAACCTGGCGGCCGCCAGCGGAGCATGCTTTTCCGGGGGGCGCTGGCCCCGATACTGTGGCACCTTGCGGGGCTCTGCCCGGACCATGGCTGACGTCGACGGCCCTCGGAGGCCTCCAAGCCACACAACCTGCCCGGACCCCTGGAAATATGCCCCATCCTACCTCCCCGCCTTTCTCCAGACAACATCCTGTGTCGCTTTCTTTCCTCAGCCTGTTTTCTACAGCAGGGATTCGCACCCACTGCACCCTAAACCCAGCAGGGGGACTTCCGTGGCTGGAAACTACTGAATTGTTCTTTCAGAGGTCTCTCAGGACGGCACCACTAGGTCCCCATTCTCCTTGATAGTGAACTCTGCAGCCCTCTCCTTGGGGTTTCAAGTCTTTTTTTTTTTTTTTTTTTTTTTAATGAGACGGAGTCTAGCCCTTGTCGCCCAGGCTGGAGTGCAGTGGCACGATCTCGGCTCACTGCAACCTCCGCCTCCCGGTTTCGAGCGATTCTCCTGCCTCAGCCTCCCTAGTAGCTGGGATTACAGGCACCTGCCACCACACCTGGCTAATTTTTGTGTTGTTAGTAGAGACGGGGTTTCACCATGTTGGCCAGGCTGGTATGGAACTCCTGACCTCAGGTAATCCACCCGCCTCGGCCTCCTAAAGTGGTGGGGTTACACGTATGAGCCACCGCGCCCGGCCTCAAGTCTTAATCATTCTTTTTCTGTCCTTTAAAGGAGACGTGTCTTTAGGAAGCAGAGAGGGTTCGATTCTGGACTCCGCCCATGACTCACTTCTCTTGTAAAGAAAGAGTTGTCCTTCCTGGTACTCCAGGTACCCTACTGTTTTCTTATGGACTTTGCCCTTAACGAGTCTCCTTTCCTTCTGTTACTCTCAACCTTTCCTTCTCTACCGGCTCTTTCTTACTGGTATTTAAACATGCTTAAGTCTTTCAATTCTTTAAAAAGATTTCTCTTCTCCCTAAATTGCTCTCCAACAACTGCAGCTGTCTCTTACCCCATGGACAGTCTTTCATGTCCCACCTCCCAGCCCTCTCCAGTGTCCCCACCGCTCACCTGAAGTGGCTCTGAATTGTCCACAGACAAGCTTCATGACTGTAAATGCAGCGGATCATTTTCAGTCCTCATTTTACAAGCCCTCATCCCAGTATTTGACGCGATTGACCACAGTTGCTTCCAAATACCCTCTTCCCTCTGGTCTTATGTCCCAGGTTTCCTCCCTACCTGAGTTTGCTCTTTAACAACCAGCTCCTCCTTGATCTACCTCTTACACATTGGAATCATGCTGAGCTGAACCCTGGCCCTCTTACTGAGTCTCCCCATACACTTTCCTAGGTGGTCTTATGCTCTCCCAGCAGCATCAAATACCCTCTGTCAAAGACTCTTCAATCCATAACTCAAGCCTAGATCTTGCTCTGGAATCCTACATTCATAGTTCCCAGCATACTGCCTTTGGTACACTTTCATTTGGATGACTTAGGGCATTTCAAACTCAACCCGTATATCATAATTCCTTCAAAACGCTCCTCCCATAGTCCCTGGTTCAGTAAAGGGTATCTTAACATCTACCCAGTTCATGCCAGAAACCTAGCACACCTCCAACACACAGCAGAATCACCTACATCTGTCTGCTCCCTGGAAAATTGGATTTGTGACCTCTCTCTGTTCCCATGACCATTTTTTCATTCCCATTCTAGTCTAAACCACTGTTGCCTCTTGCTTGAAGTCCCACAGTAACCCATTCAGGTCCTCCAAAACTGCTCTTGCCTCGTTCCAATACATTTGCCATACTGCTGCCAGAGTAATTTTTTAAATATAAATCTGATCATTGACCTGCTTAAATTCCTCCAGTGGTCTCCCTTTGCTTACCACACATTGTCTAAGCTCCATTATCTGTACTTGTCTTTCTCTCCAGCCTCTCCATCTGTCCCCCTAGCTGCCTGCACTCCTGCCATAGTATTTTAATTTTTTCCAGGCTCTCCTCTTTTTATTCCCTACTGTAGGCTCTCACTTCAGGGCATTTACACATGCCCTTCCCTTCCCCTGGAATTTTTTTCTGTCACCCATTCCTCCTACTTAACTGTAACTTATCACTTTCTTTTCCAATTCCTACTTCTCATTATTTGTTTAGTGTCCATGTAATTGTGCAGGTAAGGACCACGTCTGTCTTGTTCACTACCAGCTTTTCCTCTCCCTAGCAACAGCACAATGTCTAGAATATAGTGGTACTTGTTAGGTATTTATCGAATAAATAGTGAATTTCTGAGTGGTCCCGGGCAAAGTTTTCTCAACATTTGAATTCAAATCCTGGCTCTCAGTGAGTTCAGGTTGCCGTAGTAAAGTACCATATAGACTGGTGGCTTATAAACAACAGAAATGTATTTCTCATAGCTCTGGAGGCTGGATATCTGAAATCAGGCTGCCAACATGGTCAGGTTCTGGTGAAGGCCCTCTTCAGGGTTGTAGATGGCTGTTTTTTCCCTTTACCTCACAATGCAGAAAGAGAGCAAGAGCTCTCGGGTTGCTTTTATAAGGCACTAATCCCATTCACAAGGGGTTTACCTCCCAAAGGCCTCATCTCCTAATACCATCACATTGAGGGTGAAGATTTCAAAAATACGAATTTGCAGGAGACAGGGGTGGGGGTGAATTCATTGCACTGGCTCAGCCACTTATTAGCTAATGACTTTGGGCAAATTGTTCACTCTTGTGCCTCAGTTTTCCCATCTGTAAAATAAAGATGATAATAGCACCTCATAGTGTTATTGTAATGATTACGTGACATAATACATGTGAAGTATACTTGGAACAATGTTAGGAAAAATGTTGCCTATTACTAGCTTTTACTTGGATAGCTTATCCTCGTGTCAAATACGTTTTCAAAATTGAGTTCATCTTCCTGCTCTTCTTACCGTGGCTCTATACATGATATCAAAAAACTTTGGAATTATTTACTCATAACCTATAATTATCACCCACCAAATATGGTGAGTTTTTATTTAAAAATGTCCTCATATTCATTCTTCCTTTTTATATACACTAACCTTCATTTAGACTCTATTATCATTGATTATTTTGCTAACTTCCTAGGTGTCTTCTAACTGGAGGCTAGCTTTCCCTATTCATTTGGGCCCTTACTGTCAGACCAGTGGGCCTCAAACAATTATTAAAACATATATTCTTCTTGACTTCTGCTCAAATGACCTCCGTTCCCACCTAACTTTGTTCATTCATTTATTCAATCATCCATTCATTCCAATGCAAGTTATTTTACTACTAACATTTTGGGTATACTCTAGATTTTCAGCCTCTCTACTTTGACATTTCTCTCTTGGATATTCTCTCTTCGGATATACTCTAGCATTTTCAATCTCACTATCTGACATTTCTCCTTTCAGCATCCAAGTTTTGTCTCTGGGATTTGGAAGCCACCTGCATTTTAAAAGAAATTTTTTCCAGGATCAGTCTCTCGCTGTGTTGCTCAGGCTGAAGTGCAGTGGCTGTACACAGGAGCGGTCATCGCATGTGACAGCCCCACACCCCTGGGCTCAAGTGACTCTCTTGCCCTCAGCCTCCTGAGTAGCTGGGACTACAGGTGATCCCCCATTTTTGACTCAGTTTTCCAATTGCAAAATGTGGTCAATATCAGGGAGATGAAAGAGGAGCACACATGGATGTAACTTGATAGAGTATAAGAAAAGTATCTTGAAAGAGGTCCAGAATAGGGGGAAGGTCCCATAAGATGATTATAAAAGGCTTCAAAGAGAAAGTAGTATTTGAGAGCTTTTCTATAATCACAACTTCCTCTTCCTGTTATTTTTTGCTCATTTCTGCTGTCGAATATAATTTTCACCCTCACTGTGAGCTCAAGTTCCATGAACCCTGCCTGCCCTAGTTCATCACCTCCTGTGATTTGCTTTCCTACCTAACCCCAAGACCATGGTGACCTATTTCATTTATTCTAAAAATATCTGTGGAGCACCTCCTTTGTGCCAGGCATTCTTCTAGAGACTGGGGAAATTATGAATAAAACAGATTGTCTTTCCTCTCAAATGTCCTAACATTTTCAACTTCTCTACTTGGGAGGTAAACCCCTTGTGAATGGGATTAGTGCCTTAAAGCAAGGAGGGGGATATATTATGGGTTTCTTTCTTATTTGGTAAGATTTCCTATAGTCTTAATATAATAGATAGCAATAAATAAATACTTCTGGGTGAGGAATTAATTGAAATCCTCAGTATCCCTCTATTTATAATGGCTAAAAAAATGTGAATGACCCAAATGTCCCCATTACTGAATAGATAACCACTTAATTTGTTTTTGTCTCTTTTATATACATGTACCACTCTTAACTCTTATAACTATACTTATTCATTTCATGTATACTTACATATATTCTTTATTGAACCATGAACTCTCTAAAGGCAAAGTTGTGTTTTGTTGAACTTGTATCCTAGTAACTGTCATGTAATAGTAGGTGCTCAGCAGTGTCTGTTGAATGAAAGAGTGAATGAATGGTAACAGTTTCTCCAGCACTGGCCAAGGGAGTGTGCTCTACCCTGCTGATTCAAGCATCAGATCTACTCAGAAATTCTTCCCCTGCTGAGAAGAAGGGGATGCTGAGACTCTTCACAGTTGAAATCAATGTGAAAGGAGCTGTTATCAATGCTCACTAAGTAATCCTGTGGTTTTATTTTATTATTTATTATTTATTTGTTTAGTATTTTTGAGACAAGATCTCACTCTGTTGCTCAGGCTGGAGTGCACTGGTGCGATCATGGCTCACTGCAGCCTCTATCTCCTGGCTGAAGCAATCCTCCCACCTCAGCCTCCTGAGTAGCTGGGATGACAGGCACACACCATCATGTCCAGCTAATATTTTTAAATTTATTTTTTGTAGAGACGGGTCTCCCTGTGTTGCTTAGGCTCGTCTCAAACTCCTGGGCTCAAGCAGTCCTCCCACCTCAGCCTCCCAAAGTGCTATGATTACAGGCATGAGCTTACCACACCCAGCTGTGATTTTAATTTGACTTTCCAGATAGAAAAGAAAGCACTAATCTCTTCACAACTATTTCTGGTCTGTTTACCAGTTACATTTCCCCCATGCAAATTAATGTATTGTATCTTAAAACTGATTTTAAAAACCAGAAAAACAAAACAAAAAAAATTTTGGCTTTTACTTCCCCTTCCAGCTACTGTCCCATTTGTTTTTGTTCTCCTTTACTATAAAATCCTTGAAAGAGTTCTATATTCACTGCCCCAATTCCTTTTCTCCTGTTTTCTATTAAAACTATTTTAACTACCTCTTGCCCCCAGCATTCCACTGAAATTACTCTCCAATTACTTTGTTATTTTGTTAGTTAATCCAATAGCCAGTTCTTTGTCTCTATCCTTGACCTATCAGCATTTGCCATAGTTGATTACTCCCTCCTCCCTTTAACACTTTCTCCACTTAGTTTATAGGATACTTCAGTCTCCTGGTTTTAGTCCTACACTACTAGTCACTGTTCTCAAACTCCTGCTCATGACCTCTTAATATTGGAGTGTCCCAGGCCTCTGCCTTGGAATTTTTTTCTTCTGTTCCTACCCCCTTTCCTATAGTGCTCTCATTCAGTCTTCTGTCTTTACATGTAAATATGCTCACAACTCCCAAGTCTTAAACCCAAACTTGTATTCCAAGTACCTCAGCATCTTTACTTGTATATTTAATAGACCTCTTCATTTGATCATATCCAAAACAAAACTCAGCATACCCCTTCCCCTCAAAAACTTTCTCTACCTACAACCTTCTTTATCTCAGTTATTGGCAACTCCATCATTTGATTGCTGAGGCCAACTCAGCAACTCTTTTATATCCCACATTCAGTTTGTCATCAAAGCCTATTGCTCTCTCTTCAAAATATATGACCACTCTCCCCAACTCCACTGATAGCAGCTTGGTCCAAACTACTGTCATCATTGACTAGAATTTTGTATTAGCTACCCTTAACATTCATTCTATTCTCAACACAGCAGCCAGAGTGATACCTTTAAAATATAGAGCAGACCATATTAAGACTGTTCAAAACTTTCTAAAAGCTTCCTATCTCACTCAGAGTAAAAGCACTTATTTTTACAATTAGTCCCTGTACACCCCCTTACCTCTCTGGTCTTAGTTCCTTCTGTTATTCCCCTCCATTCTCTGTTCAGTCACATTGGCGGCCTCCTTGCTGTTTCTCAAACACTTTGAACACACTTTCTCCCAAGAGACTTTGCCCTTGCTATTTCCTCTGCTCTGAATGCTTCTCCCAGATATCCATGTCTTCCTTGACTCCTCATGTCTTTGCTCAAATGCTCCTGTTTCTGTGAGGCCTTTCCTTACTACTCTGGTGGAAATTGATCACCGAACAACCACCTCTTTGCTCTTTTGCTCTCCCTATTTTCCTTTACTACTTATTTTTCTCCATTGCACATATCACTTTCTCTGTGCTATATATTAACTTATTTATTGTGTTTATTGTCTGCCCCCTCTAGGGCAGGGACTTTTGTCCCTTTTTTTTTCGCTGCTGTATCCTTAACATCTAGAAGAGTACCTGGTACACAGCTGGGACTCAAATATTTGTTGAATGAATGCAATTGAAATTTTGGATGTAATCTCCTGGATTAGCATAAGCAGGTCTTTCTTAGACTGATCACCTGTAGGTGCATCTATAAATATTGAGCTTCTGTATTACAGCCTGAATCATGGTGGCTCCACCAAGCTAACAGCTTCTTGTGGTGCCCAATTTCTATGTGGCTACACTCTGCCATTTCTGTCTGGGTTCCTTATAACCTTAAAGAGACGAAGACCTCTTTGAAGCTTTCTGGTCTTCCCATGTCACAGAGTCGGAACTGGAGAACTGATCAGCAAGATTCTGGTAGCTTGTAATTAGCATTTCAAGGGCCAAATGGTAGGATACTAGTGCTGCTGCATGCTCCATCTTCTCTGCAACTGAAAGCAATACCATGTAAACATGTCAGGTGGTCTCTTATTATCTTAGAAATTGCAAAAAGTCCAGTGGCTGGCACTAAAACCAGGAACAGTAACAAGCAAAGATTTATTGGCTGGGTATGGTGGCTCAAGCCTGTAATCTCAGCACTTTGGGAGGCTGAGGCGGCCAGATCATGAGGTCAAGAGTTCGAGACCAGCCTGGCCAACATGGTGAAACCCCGTCTCTACTGAAAATACAAAAATTAGCTGGGCGTGGTGGCACGTGCTTGCAGTCCGCAGCTACTTGGAAGGCTGAGGCAGGAGGATCACTTCACCCGGGAGGCGAAGGTTGCACTGAGCCGAGATCGTACCACTTGCACTCCAGCCTGGGCGACAGAGTGAGACTCTGTCTCAGGAAAAAAAAAAAAAAAAAGATGTATTGAGTGCTTGCTTTGTGCTGGCACTGTTCTAAACACCTTTTGATATATTACCTAATTTAATCCTCACAACAACCCAGTGAGGGAAATATTAATATTAGGAACATTTTACAGATGAGTAAACTGAAACCAGAGAAGAAACGTGTCTGTGGTCTTAGAGCCAGTGAGTGTCAGAGTCAGAATGTGAACCCAGGCACATTCTGACAGGCTTTAGAGCCTGAACTCTTAACCATTGTGTTCCACTGCCTGCTTACAGAATGAAAAGGGGAGAAGAACTTTACCTTGAAAAGAAAGCAAAATAACTATGACTCCATCACGGTAATTCTGCCATTCTAAAAGCACCTTCGTAACCAAGCACTTTCTTCTGGCATCAACCCTGTTGCTGTTTCATGCATAATACAAGATTTAGGCTGACTGGCCTCCAAGGTACTTTGTCACTCTTTCTAGTCAAAGGAGTGGGCTCCTTGAAACACTCTGCCAAACCTTTCCCCTGTATCTTTGCTTCACTAGCTCCTGCTCTTTAGCTGTGCTCTTAAGGGTGTGTCATTAACTGTTGAGAGCCACACATAACTCCCCAACACCAACACCCTAGTCTGGTTTAGGTCCCTGGACTCTACGTTTTTATTTCCATCAAAGCACCTATCATAATTGTCATTGTTTGGTGAATTGTCTGTTTCCCTGCTGGACTAATCTCTGTGAAGACAGAGATTGTGTCTGTCTTATTCATTGCTGTACCCTTAATACCTATCATGGTGTTTGGCATGTTGGAGGAGTTTGATAAAATTTTTTTGAATGTTCCATCCAGACTTGGTAAAAAAAAAATCTGAATGAATTTAAGTGATATTTCTATAGCCTATCTGCAATTATATCCAGGTATTAAGGTGAATTTTCTTGTGGCTAGGCTAGCCTACCTTTTTAGAAATGGAAGAGATGGTTTTCTTTCAATCTGCCTTCTAGCTGTTGGGTTTTCGTGTTATGGAATCACTGCCAGTGCCAAAATGCTAAGTTTTCAATTAGTGCCACTGTCTGCTTCAGATACAGCTGACATTCAACTGCTGTGTGATGGATGTTTTCCTAGGGTCTTTTACATATATGTGCTAATTTAAATTCAGATAACTTCTCTGGGTTTCAGGTTCCTCAGCTATAGAACCAAGTTACCTAACTGACTTCCACAAGATCAAACTTGTAAGTTTGAGAATTGGGGTCTGAATTTAGAACTTCCAATTCTAACTTTAGCTTTTTTGTTCATATATGATGTTGCCTTCCTGTTCCCAAGAATCCTATTGATTCTTCTCTGCTAGTCCACAGGTAGCACCAGATTACTAAGTAACCTGCACATTTCATAATCTTGTCATATGCATTTCCTTTAAAAAAAACTTTCCCCCCTCTCATTTTTTTTCTTTTTTCTACTTTTATTTTCTTCCCATTCCTATTCTGCCTGCTTTCCAAAACAGTGACAGAGTTTATGAAAACATTTCTGAGGCCTGTTCTAGCTTCTTTTCTTTTTTCTTTTTTTTTTTTTTTTTTGAGATGGAGTCTCGCTGTTGCCCAGGCTGGAGTGCCGTAGCGTGATCTCTGCTCACTGTAACCTCTACCCGCCAGATTCAAATAATTCTCCTGCCTCAGCCTCCAGAGTAGCTGGGACTACAGGCATGCACCACCACACCCAGCTAATTTTTGCATTTTTAATAGAGATGGGGTTTTGCCATGTTGGCCAGGCTGGTCTTGAACTCCTGACTTCAGGTGATCTGCCTGCCTCGGCCTTCCAAAGTGCTGGGATTACAGGCTTGAGCCACCATGCCTGGCCCTGTTCTAGTTTCATATGTGGATTGAGGACTTTAGTGAGATTTGATTATTTCTGTGCTGTTATTATATCTATATCAGAAGTAGATGTGAGAAGAGTCTCAAAGATTGGAACGCAGGGCACATACTATTTGGGTTCCTGATTAAACAAGATGATTGAACAATGCTTTTTACTCTTTTCTTTCCTGATACCCCACAGTAAAGAATAAGAAAAGTATAAAACCGGCCAGCGCAGTGGCTAACACTTGTAATCCCAGCACTTTGGGAGGCCAAGGTGGGTGGATCACCTGAGGTCAGGAGTTCGAGACCAGTCTGGGCAACATGCTGAAACCCCATCTCTACTAAAAATACAAAAATTAGCCAGATGTGGTGGTACATGCCTGTAATCGCAGCTACTTGTGAGGCTGAGGCAGGAGAATCACTTGAACCTAGGAGGCGGAGGTTACAGTGAGCTGAGATTGTGCCACTGCACTCCAGCCTGGTTGTTGACAGAGCAAGGCTCTGTCTCAAAAAAAAAAAAAAAAAAAGAAAAATCAAAGTATAAAACCTTATGTAGAACAATGCTCTCTCCCCCAAGATGTCCATGTCCTGATTCTTGGAACCTATGAATATGTTTTCTCTCATGGCAAAAGGGACTTTGCAAATTTGATTAAGTGAAGGAGTTTGAGATGAGGAGATTAATTTGGAGGTTTTGGGTGGGCCTAATGTGATTACAAATATCCTTATGGGGAAAGAGGGAGGAAGGAGAGTTAGGATTTGCTCCACTGCTGGCTTTGAAGAAGGAAGATGAGGCCATGAGCCAAGGAATGCAAACAACCTCTGGGAGCTAGAAAAGTCAAAGAAACAGATTCTCCCCTAGAGTTTTCAGGAGGAATGCAGCCCTGCTGACACCTTGATTTTAGCCCACTGAGACTGATTTTGTACTTCAGCCCTCCATAACTGTAAGATAATAAATTTGTGTTGTTTTAAGCCATTAAGTTTGTGGTAATTTGTTACAGCAGCAATAAGAAATTAATATAACCTTCTGAGGACAAAAAGGGCAGGAAAGGAGGTAACAGAAATTGAGAGAACTCAACATATGTTTGGAAGATGAAAAGTGGGTGGAAGAAAGGTAACTGACTTGGCAGAGTAGAGGGAGCTGATACCTAAGTGCCTGCAGAAGGAATTGGAGGCTGTACTTTTTCATTCCATTTGCAGAAGCTAGGAAAAAAGTACAAAGGGGGGCCTACAGAACATTTTAGCTAAACGTTTAAAAGATATATAGGCTGCTAAAAAATTGCTCACTAAAATATATCCAAGTTCTGTTATGCACACAGAGCTTTCCTTCATCATCTTAGTGCGTTCTTAAATATGACTGGAAAATCAGGGATTAGCATACGCTTAAAGAAAGTGTTCAGCATGAAAGAGATAAGTCAGCAAACCATCTAACCAACTGACCAAACAAACAGAAAATCTGATGTGTTTGAATGTATTGAGACGAGATTTGAACAAGTGGTAGATAGTTCTGAATTAGTGATATCTTCTTAGAAAACTAATGAAAAGAACAATACACTTATTAACTCCAGGGAAAACAAAGAGTTGGGTAGGAGAAGAAAAGTAATCATAGTTTATATTTGGCTCAAATCTGACTAAAATACAAGGTTCTAATAATAGAAATACTGATTATTAATCTAACTAAAATAATGATACACGGTGAAAGGTGAATGTATGTGGTGGGCATGCAGAGAGGGAGGAGACCTCTTATTTCCATAATGAAGTCAATAAATAATGTCTAAAGCAGAAATATCACATTGCCACAATTAAAACATTTTATTTAGAGATATGGTAGTCAATTCCAAAGAATCAGCTAAAAGCATTTACAGTGGCTGTCTTTGGGGAAGGGTAAATATTCAGTGAGAGGGCTTTTGACTCTTCAAACTGTGAACATATATAACTTTGAAAAGGCTAAATTATTTTTTTTAAAAAAAGGACTAAAAGATGATCTTAAAGAGAAAAATGATAGGAGATATTCTCCTAGATTAGAAACACATGAACATTAAGATTGAAAGAGGTATTTAAATCTCTTGAAAAGGACCTGTGACCATGACATTTTGGAATAACAGTTATTTTTTTAAAAACACATACAACCTTGTAGGTGGGGATTAAGGGTTACATACAAAGGATTAGGAGTGAGATTGGCCTTGGACTTCTCAACAGCATCATTGAAGCTAGAAAATAACGTATCAATGCTTTCTAATTCTGAGAGAAAATTATACCAAATCCATTATTCTGTTGTTTTCAGACTACTAAGTCTTTGCCTGTTATGAATACTTTCTCAGGAAGCTACTAGAATACCAAATGAGGGAGTAATCCAAAAAAGGAGCCAGGAACAAGGATATATTTGTCAGCTTAGGCTATGATGCAGTAACAAATAACACCAAACTCTCCATGGTTTACATCATAGGTTTATGGGATGCAGGATAATGGAGCATGCTCTATCTGGGACATTGCTAGTCTTATGACAGAGGGAGAAGACAGCGATGGTAAGTCTGCCTTTTAAGCTTTCACCTGGAATTGATGTATCACTGGCTAATCCAAATCACCTGGTCACTTCTGAGTTTAACAGGGCAAGGATCTGAAATCCTTCTATTACAGCATGTCTATAAGGCTGACATCACAAATCATGGCCAAGACTCATATCAATGGGATGAAGAAGTAGAATCCACCCCAATGCAGGAATAGCAAATATTTTGAACAATAATACAACCTATTTCAAAAGGAACCTTCTTATAGAAGGGAGCAGAAAGAATGCTCAGGACAGTATGTGTGCAACGGTCTCAGAAGCAACAACTTGGGATTGAGAAGGATAGGTAAGAGAGCCCCAAGAGGAAGGTCAGGTTGGAAGGTGGGTGGGTGACATCTGTTGCTTTTCTGACAGGTTTAGTTATTAGATAGCTGCCTCTCTGGGTGGGCACTAGAAGATAGGGAGAGATGGGGTAAGAGACTGCTGTTTTCTCATCAGCTTTTTTTTGTATGAAGTGTTTTTAAAAACTATGCAATGTAATAATATACGTTTAAGCTATTTTTTAAGTGGATAGAAATTTACTTTCTCTGATATGTCAGTGTGTGTGTGCATCTGTGCTGTGTATATGTTCTGTGTTTGTGTATATATGTGTGACTAATTGTCAAACTATAGTTAGGGATAGTTTGTTACTGTCTGCAGCAAGATAAGTGCAGGCATTGAGAGTAAGCATTTATAAACTTGAATAGTAATTTGACAGAATATTTTATGTCTATTAAAATCAATGTAAATTTTTTGGGCTTATATTTTGTATTCTTGGCTTTAAACATTTTGCTTTTCTAGTAATTCATTTTAACTGTATTTTACAAAGGCATTGGTCTGCAATGGATTGGAAATTTAAAAAAATTGGTCCATCTTTACACAGTTTAGAAACACTGGTTTAAGGTACAAAGGTAAGATTATAGGATAAAAATATTTGAGAATTGTTATGCTAGAACAATCAGCAAATCACTAATGCTACATTTTCTGACCATCCTTCCTCCTCCATGATTATGAGAGTTTATGTAGAAGAAACAGAAGCGTATTGAAGTCAGCACTCCCTGTCTTTCCATAATTAAGTGATTCACAACAGCCTTCTCTTCCTCCATCTTGCCCTCTCAATAAAGCACCTGGAAATAACCCAAAGAAAATAGTGATATTTTCCAACAGGCCATGGGAAAACAGCATTAGCAACCCTGAGAAGGTGGAGACACTTAACTTTGTGAGAACAACAAGATCACTTTTTTATACTTCTGTCCAAATACTGCATTTTTGACTGTACTACTTTCATACCAGTGAGTGTTAATAGTCAAATATCTAAAGCATTCATAGTAATAATGCAAAGTGATAGGGATTCTCATGCCTTTTTAACTGATTCATTGGGTTCTTGCTTCTTTCCCTTCAGACTTTATGCCCATGCTACCTGATGCTAAAAGAAAGCAAAGAAAATGTCCACAGCAAATGTCTTTTGGGGCTTAAAAACTGATGCTTTACTGGGATAAAGTAAAATTTATCATAGGATGTATTTTTAGGAGCACAAGCAAACAGTTCTTGTTAAGAATAGTGACATTTCTTTCAATATATAAGTAAAAAAGATATCAGTAATTCTACCCATCCTAAAGCTGAAGTTCACGTGCATCTTGATAAAGCGCTTCTGTTCTCTGTGTTAGTTGTGGTTCAGTCATGAGTGTTGTCTTGGTAATACTGGAAAACAGAACACAGAAGACTCATGCCCTAACAGGAATCATTACTACCTAAACTCAGTTACAGGATACAGTGGTTCATGCCCAAGGAGCGTCCCATCTCTGCATAGTAAAAGGTTGTCATAACATGGTTAGGAGTTACAGTGTTTCTAAAACTAACCTTATCAGAGTATCTGACTTGTGTGTTCAGATGCTTAATCAGTGGTTGTCTTCCCAACCCCCCCACCAATCAAACACACACACACAACACATTTACATTAATAACATCCAAAGAAGGGCTGGGTCTATTTTCAAAAGCTCCTCCCAGCAAGACTTTTATTCTCTCTCCACCCTCCCCACTTCTGCGACGATTTAGAAACAGGTTTCTTGTCTGGGTGTGTACATATGATGGGGAAGGGGAGAATGAATCTTTTTTTGTTGTTGTTGTTTTCGTTTGTTTATTTGCAACTTTAAGTTTGTTTCCTTTGACAATAAGGCTGTGAAGAATTATGTCTCTTTTCAGGATTTCCCCCCAAATTTATTAAAGTATAGTTGACAAATAAAAATTGTGTATGTGTCAGGGCATGGTGGCTCATGCCTGTAATCCCAGCACTTTGGGAGCTCGAAGCAGGAGGATCACTTGAGCCCAGGAGCTCGAGACCAGCCTGGGCAACATAATGAGACCCTGTCGCTACAAAAAATAAAATTACTTTAACTAGGCATGGTGGCATGTGCCTATAGTCCCAACTACTCAGGAGGCTGAAGTGGAAGGATCACTTGAGCCCAGGAGTTGGAGGCTGCCGTGAGCTATGATCATGCCACTGTACTCCAGCCTGAGTGACAGATCCAGGCTTTGTCTCTAAAAAGACAAAAAAAATTACTAAAAAAAATTGTATGTATTTATAGTACATACAATGTGATGTTTTAATATATGTAAACATTATGGAATGATTAAATCAAGCTAATTAACATATCTATCACCTCATATACTTATTCTTTTTTGTGGTGAGAACATTTAAGATCTACTCTCTTAGCAATTTTCAAGTACATAATACATTATTCTTAACTTTAGTCACCATGCTGTATCATAGGTCTCCAGAACTGAGAATAAATCTTTTAGTCTGTGTACATCCCTGGGCAGCAAATGAGAATACGAACCCTTAAAAAATTCAATGTCATGATTGCTAGTGTTATTTTTCTGTGTAAACTTTTCTTAGCAAGGAATCTCTTCCTATTAACTAAATTCTTAACTATTTGACATACTTTTTAAAAAAGTCCTGTCAAAAATGACAATGATTTATTGTACATGTTTGTTTTTCTTCCAGGAATATCTTCTTGCTAACAGAACTTAGAGGAAGGCACATATGCCTGTGCCTCCCCTGCACAATTAGATTTTCATATCATTAGGGTTTTACATTTATAGATCAGGAAACATGTCTATTCTATCGTAATCCATGAGTTGGAGCAGATACATTTACAGTTCTGAGATCCTTTTAAGATTAGAGGCCCCTTAGTACCTATATTCTCAAACTATGAATGAGAGTTATAAAGAGTGAAATGGAGTTGAATTAGCTAGAATTTGTTGTGCTCACAGTCCTGGCTCTTGCCAGTATAATTTCTTAATCAAAGTCCACAATCTCCTTAACTAGGCTTCTTCCAGGACGAACTACATTCTTTTTGTCCCTCTCTTCCCCCAGTACAATTACCCAGTGCAAATTCATGGACCGAGTCTGCAGATGTTATTGTCTAATATGTTACTGTCTGATACTCTGTAAGTGTTACTAATATCTTTCCATGGCACAGTCCTAAATAGTTTTCGTAACTGTGGTTTTGAGCCTATGCTTTTGTCATTATGTGTCAGAGTTTCTTGCACATTTTCCAGGAAGCTGCAACTGAATCATTTTCAGGACTTTTATATAACCTAGTCTATTATGTGTAGTCCAAGATTAAGCAGATACTGCATGCTCTTGTGGCCTAAGTGATACAAGATGCGAAAGGGTTATAACCAAACACCCCTAAGTAGCTTGCTGAAGCCCAGGAATGCTTACTGGAATTATCCACAATATGTGATATAGCCAAAGGAGTTTAAAAAACGCCCTCTCTTCTTTTCCTTAGGGCTTGTCCTAAGTTGTCCCTTCCTTGTCAGAGCTTGCTACACACACAGAGGCCGAGCACCTGTCATGTGTTATGAATTATATTACGCATTCAGATATTTGTCTAAGCCATTAGACTTTAAGTGTCCCAATCCTCTTAACCCCAACTTCTCTTTCTATGCCTGAGTTTTGACCTTAACAGAGAGAACCAAATTTAGCATTCTAAACACAAGACAGAGGAAACTAGAATTCGAGGTCTACATGGAACAGAGATATAGGCCACACTTGGGATAACATATGGAGCAGGTATGAAAGGCCTGTGCTAAAGATTTTGTTCTTAAAATTCTTAAAGGTGAGGAATTATTAAATAAGAGGCTGATGACCTTTTTCCAAGAAAAAACATTGCAAAGTATGAAAATCTTATGGGACATACAGAAAGTATAAATTTACTTTGCTATTTTGAGCTTTTGCTGAAGAGGAAAATAATGGCAACTACTTCATAGGATTGTTGTGAGGATGAAGTGAAAAGATCCAAACATATCACTTTGCACTGTCCCTGGCACATTGAAAATGATTAATATTGGATATTACTATCATATTTCATTGCATCTGATTAAAATGTCATTTTTGTATCACCAATAAAAATTAATTTCCAATTAAACTGATGCAATGATTTATCACCAAATTATTTTACATTTATGAAAAAATATTAGACTTATTTAGACAGGTTTTTAAAATCGTATTATTGTGCCATAGATATAAAGGCAAATGTAAACAAATCTGTAAACATAACATTTCAAGTATTTCTAGGATTTTTTCATGATCAGAGTCTAATTCTTCAGGATCAGTTTTCAACTCAGAGACATTGATTTCTGTGTTTTTTTTCTCAAAATATTGTCTGTGATATCAAGTATTGAAAGTGAGAAATGCAACATTTCTAAAATGTTCCTCTCTGCAGAATCCCAGATTTTCTTTCAAACTACTATGCCCACTCTCCTTCTGTTTGCTCCATCTTACTAGAACGTGTCAATGGAAGGTTTTTAGAAAATGACCAGGTTTATATTCTTTTCTGAATTCCTGCTCTTTGGATCCTAACTTGTTTCTTTCATAGTCTCCCTGCTTTGTTCATGATAACTCCATTGCAGTAGTTGCTTAGATCGAAATCCCAGGAGTCATCCTTGGGTTCTGTCTGTCTCTTACATACCACATCTAATCTACCAAGTTTCTATATAGAGAATTTGCCCTCCTTTACTGCTACTGTTCTGGCCTGAGGCATCATCATCTCTCACCTATAATTACCTCTTAACAGGTTTTTCTGCTTCTGTCTTGGCCCCACTACAATTCTATTCTCAACGTAGTGGCCAGAGCAAATCTTACAAAACTAAGTCAGATAATGTCTCTCCTCTACCCAAAACTCAGCTCTCCCAGCTCCCCATTTCGCTCAGAGTAAAAGCCAAAGTCTTTGTAATGGCTACAGGTCTGACAAAATTAGTGCTCCCTGCTTCACCTCTCTCCCTCTCTTCCTTGCTTCTGGTGCACTTTGCTCAAGACTCACTGGTCTCGCAGTTTCTCAATCTCATCATCATGCTCCTGCTGGAGGGATCTTTGCTTTAGCTCTTCCCTTTGCCTGGAATCCTCCTCCTCCAGGATCTACAGAGTTAACTTCCTCACGTCCATCAAGATTTTGATGAAATCTCATGTTCTCACTGAAGCCTACCATGGCCACCCTATTTTAGACTGCAACCTGAATCTCTTCTGTGCTCCCTTCCATCCCATTCCCTGTAATCCACTCCACGGTTTCTTTTTCCCATAGCACTTATCAGTATAACATACTACAACATTTATTTATGTATTGTAGTTTATTATCTATCTTTCCTTAGAAGGGTAGGCATCTTTGATTTGTTCAGTAATGATTCCTAAGTGCCTAGAACCATGTCTCATTGGCATTCATTCAATACTTGTTGAGTTGTACTGAATTGTGATAAATCCTATGAGCAATGTCAGCACAAGGTGCTATGGGAGTATATAGAAATGACCCCACACAGATCAGGTTAAGAAAGACTGTGAAGGAGTTGAGGCCTCCCCTGAACTTTACTTTTTTGGAGATGAAGTCTTGCTATGTTGCCCAGGCTGGGGTACAGTGTCTGTTCACATGTGTGATCATAGCATACAACAGCCTTGAACTCCTGGCCTCAAGCAATCCTCCCCACCTTAGCCTCCCAAGTAGGTGAGACTACAGGCGCACCTCAGCTCTCAGCAGAACTTTTTTTTTTTTTTTTGAGTTGGAGTCTCGCTCTGTCGCCCAGGCTGGAATGCAGTCGTGCGATCTCGGCTCTCTGCAAGCTCTGCCTCCTGGGGTCACGCCATTCTCCTGCCTCAGCCTCCTGAGTAACTGGGACTACAGATGCCTGCCACCATGCCCGGCTAATTTTTTGTATTTTTAGTAGAGACGGGGTTTCACTGTGTTAGCCAGGATGGTCTCCATCTCCTGACCTCGTGATCTGCCTGCCTCAGCCTCCCAAAGTGCTGGGATTACAGGTGTGAGCCACCGCACCCAGCCTCTCTGCAGAACTTTTAAAGATAAATAGAGTGAGGCAGATGAAGGAACCACGAGAAGCAATGAAATCATAGATGCAAAGTGCTCCATTGGTGTCTTAGTCGGCTTGAACTGTTATGACAAAATACCATAGACTGGGTGGTTTAAATGACAAACATTTATTTCTCATAGTTCTGGAAGCTGGGAAGTCCAAGATCAAGGCATCTCTCTCTGTGGGTGAACACCCACTTCCTGGCTTGCAGATGGCCATCTTCTCATCTTCTTGTCATGTCCTCACATGGTGAAGAGAGACCTAGAGACATCTCTGGGATCTCTTATAAGAGCACTAACCCATTCATGAAAGCTCTACCCTCCTGATTTAATCACCTCCCAAAGCCCCACCTCCTAATATCATCATATTGTGGATGAGGATTTCAATATATGAATTTTGTGAGATCACAAACATTTGGTCCATTGCACTTGGGTATTGTTTCAGGTGGCTATTTGGATTGAATATTACCAATTGATTCCAATTCAGAGTATAGAAATCAAACCTCATGGGTAATGCACTTTGTAGAATACTTCTTCAGCAAAGCTTATATCTGCCTGAATTGTACCATGTTATCATAGTGAGCACTCATAACATTTCATGGTCAAATTGCATTGGCCGGGAGTTTCAGTCTGAACAGCCAAGGTGCCAAATCTTTGTTTTGGTCAACAGGGTAGCCAATAATAAAAACACTAAGCCAAAATCATAGTTAAGGTTTACAGTGAATATCTTTGGAAAGTAATGCAATGACTTAGAGATTTTTCTCATTTGAGATGTTCTTTTACCAGGGATATATTCGGAGATAGAGCCTTCACTATAAGTACAAGACACAAACCCACTCTTAAATCAGCTTTGTAACATATGATGTATGATTTATGTGTTCTTAACACTTTGTGCCATCTGGTGGCTTCATATTTAAGTAATTTTTCTTGATAATTAGATATCAAGCTTAGTTGTTTCTACCTGTTAGAGAAATATATGTGTTGTCAACATGTAAATATAACACATTTCAGAACAGAAAATTCTTGAAAATGTTTGCTTGTGCCCTTTAAATTTTAGTGGGCTGATACAAAGCCTCCTTGCTCTCCCAATTTTAACTCTGCTCATAGAATTGCCTAAACTCAGTCCCTTACTGGCACACAATAAGCAATACACATTATGTTAAATAATTGAATCAAATAGATTTTGATCCAGAAGAAACATATAGCATAAGCCTAAAGGACTTTAGGGAACATAACTTAATGTACATTTTGGATTTGTAAAATAGGGCTCATCATAGTTATCTATCTCAGTCTCTATGAGAATTAATACAGGCAATATGAGTTGATATATGTAACAGTCTTTGGCACACGTCTTTTATTAATAGACTTTATTTTTAAGGAAAGTTTTTTTTTTCTTTTTTTTGAGATGGAGTCTCACTCTGTCATCCCGGCTGGAGCAGTGGCAAGATCTCAGCTCACTGCAATCTCCACCTCCCAGGTTCAAGTGATTCTCCTGCCTTAGCCTCCTGAGTAGCTGGGATTATAGGCACCTGCCACCACGCCTGGCTAATTTTTGTATTTTTAGTAGAGACAGGCTTTCACCATGTTGCCCAGGCTGGTCTTGAACTCCTGACCTCCAGTGATCCACCCACCCTGGCCTCCCAAAGTGCTGGGATTACAGGTGTGAGCCACCGCACCCAGCCCTAAGGAAAGTTTTGGACTTGCAGAAAAAGCAAGCAGATAATATAGAGAGTTCCCATGTAACCTCCCCACCCCACCCTACCCAAAGTTTCCTCTATTGCTGACATCTGACATTAGTATGGTACATTTGTTATAATTAATGAAGCAATATTGATAGAGTATTGTTTTGAACTAAAGTCCATAGTTTATTGAGAGTTTCTTAGTTTTTGCCTAGTGTCCTTTTCTGTTCCAGAATCCATCCCAGGATACTGTGTTATATTTAGTTGTCATGTCTCCTTAGGCTCCCTTGGCTGTGTCAGTTTCTCAGACTTTCCTATTTCTGATGACCTTGACAGTTTGAGGAGGACTGGTCAGGTATATTGTAGGTTGCTCCTGTATTGGAATTTGTCTTTGGCACATTTTAAAGCTTCTAAAAGTGTTTGTTACTGATATTATTGCTTCATATTCAGATTAAATGTGGAACAAAGCTAGGATATGGGCAGGGGATAGTTTTGTTGAAAATTTAGTATTTAAAAGATTTATTTTGAAGCATAGTCAATTTATCAGTGCCAAAAACGGACAAAATTTGGTTTGCCTACATCCATCCTTCCATCTTCCATTCAGTAAATATTGTGAGGATAGTGTGTATTAGATGCTGGGGATTCAATAATAAAGAAAATGTAACTGCTTTCATAGAGCTTCCAGACCAATAGGAAGAGAGTCAAACAACTAAAGAAATAATCTGCAAGATAACTTGTGACAATAAAGAAAATATTCTTATATTAAAGAACATCTTAGTAGGTGAGGGGAAAGGGGACTAACTTTATTAAGATCATGCATTAGGATATTATAGAGATAGAAAACAGAATAACAGGCTTAAACAAGGTAGAAATTTTCTGTTCAGGAAATCAGGGAGTCAGTTCAGAGCTAATATGGCAGCTCCACAGTGCCAGGGTCCCATACCCCTTCCACTTTGTTGCTCTGCTGTGCGTGGATTAATTTCTCAGCATCATCTCTTGTCTAAGACTATTTCTGGGGATCCAGCTATCACATCTGAATTCCAGCCATCATGAAGCAGGAGGAGTCAGAGAAGATAACTCCCCTTTTCACATTTCTGTTTACTTTTTGCTGTTTTGACAGAACTTTTTATTTTACTTTTTGTTGTTTCTGTTTTGACAGAACTTAGTCAAGGGGCCTTATGCAGCCACCTTACCTAGTCTCTTTGTCCAGGTGGCCATGTTTACCAGCTAAACATCAGAGGTTTTATTGCTATACTGGTTCTCACGCTATGGCGTGCATCGGAATCACCGGCAAGACTTGTTGAAATACAGATGACTGGCCCTCATCCCCAGTTTTTCATTCAGTAGGAGAATAAGAATTTGCATTTCTGACAAGTATCTATGTGATGCTGATAATGCTGGTCCAGGACCACATTTTGAGACCCATTGCTGTAAAAAGGGAGCATGGCCAGATACAGTGGCTCACACCTGTAATCCCGGCACTTTGGGAGGCTGAGGTAGGAGGATGACTTGAGCCCAGGAGTTTGAGACCAGCCTAGGCAACATAGCAAGACCCCCATCTCTACAAATAATAATTTTAAAAAATTATCATGCGTCTGTGGTCCCAGCTACTCAGGAGGCTGAGGCAGGAAGATCACCTGAGCTCAGGAGGCTGAGGCTGCAGTAAGGCTTGATTGCACTGCCACACTCCAGTGACAGAGTAAGACCCTCAGGTGACAGAGTAAGACCCTGTTAAAAAAAAAATGAAAGAAAGGAAAAAAAAAAAAAAGCAAGCATGGATATTGAGGGAACACTCTCTGATTTGGACCATGATATGGACTTTGATCATTTACATTTTTTGTACTGAGACAGACTATGCTTTCTTTTTTTTTCTTTTTTTATTTTTTAGATGGAGTTTCACTCTTGCTGCCCAGGCTGGAGTGCAGTGGTGCAATCTTGGCTCATTGCAACCTCCGTCCCCTGGGTTCAAGCGACTGTCATGTCTCAGCCTCTCGAGTAGCTGGGATTACAGGCACCCGCCACCATACTCGGCTAATTTTTGTATTATTATTATTTTTTTTAAGTAGAGATGGGGTTTCACCATGTTGGCCAGGCTGGTCTCGAACTGGTGACCTCGTGATCCACCGCCTCGGCTTCCCAAAGTGCCGGGAGTACAGACATGAGCCACCGCGCACGGCAAGACAGACTGTGCTTTCTTAGATCAGGTATCTGGTCTTTGAGATGTCTGTTCTGGGTAGCTTTATGCAATTTAGTCAGTTTTGTATAAGGTCTGTTTTCGTTATCTTACTGCTATGTAACAAACCACCTCAAAGCAAAGTAGCTTAAAACAGTCATTTGCTTATGACTGTGGATCTGCAATTTGAGCAGGACTCAGTGGAGCTCATGCTGGGAGTACAGGCATGAGCCACCATGCCCGGCGAGACAGACTGTGCTTTCTTAGATCAGGTATCTGGTCTTTGAGATGTCTGTTCTGGGTAGCTTTACACAATTTAGTCATTTTTGTATAAGGTCTGTGTTTTCGTTATCTTACTGCTATGTAACAAACCACCTCAAACAAAGTAGCTTAAAGCAGTCATTTGCTTATGATTCTGTGGATCTGCAATTTGAGCAGGACTCAGTGGAGAAGTCTGGCCTCTGCTCTTCATGTGGTGGCTGGCCTTGACTGGATAGAAGGATCCAATATGGCCTTCCTCACATGTCTGGAACTGGCTGTCAACTGGGGCACCTCGGTGTTCTTCTAGGTGACTCTCTAGCAGTACAGCAGTATACCCTGGACTTTCTTACATGGAGGCTTGGAGCTCCAAGGGGGCAAGATAGAGGTTCTAAAGCTTCTTTAGAAAGCCTAAGCCTAGCAATTAAACTGAGTCCTTTCTGCTAGAATCTCTTGGTCGAAACAAATAATGAAACCAGCCCAGATTCAAGAGGAGAGGAAGCAGACTTCATCTATTGATGGGAGGAGTGGCAAAGTCACAGCAAAAAAGAGCATGCAGTGGGGAGGGATTATTATAGCTATCTCTGCAACAGACTGCCACAGTCAGAAATGAGAATGCCAGTATTACAGTAGGAACCTCATATAATTGTCATGTGGACATAGACCTATCATTTATTGGATTTTATCCCTATCAGGACCAAAGTGTAATTTGGATAAAACACTTCCAAAATATTTTGGTTTACTAATAGAAGTGTGGCAAGATCAAACAGGGTTTTAGAAAGGTTTGTTGGTTATTGAAAAAATGTTTCCATTTCTTCACTGATAAAAAAGTTCAAAAATGGGGACAAGTTGAAAATAAGTTCATAAATATTTTTCTGCTGGTCTTCTTTAAATACATGAGTATTTTGATTGAAAGTTGATGTCAACTTTTGAAAGTCAGCATTTAAAAAAATAATGTTCTACCTATGCAATGTGAATTTCCACATAAAAGAGGTCATGTTTATAGTCTGTTTTTATATGTGGTATAATTTAGAGTATGAGAAAGAGACTCCTCTTTCCCTCCCCCATCCAATGAAATTTTTACCAGTGCCTGAAATATTACCAGGAGTGATTCACTATTTGTTTCAAGCATTGCTCACTTTCACTGGGTTTTAACATAGCAAATATTTCTTGGAAGGAAAGGACAGGAAGTAGCACTGTGGTATGAATAATTTAGAGAAGCATTCTTTCTGAGGTTCCTGGGTGTCTTTGGAGGAAGGCGGTTCTGAAAGGCAGGAGGTGGGTGTGGTGGAGCAGGGGAGGATGAAGAATGTGGGATAGAGGTACTGAGCCCACATTTCTCTACCTCACATAGCCTGCTGCTTAGGAGGCATGATTAGGCTGATGTGATTCTGAACCTACTTTTTATTTTGGATAGAACATATTGTACCTATAATATGGTATTCATGCTCTCTTTGTGTTTTTTCCTAAACACTTTTCCACAAAGGGTATTTATTTACCCTTAAAATTTTATCTCCAGTAATGTGCTTTAGGGCCTTTCTCTTATAATAACTTTTAGCTTTTGTGATTTTCCTTTGGAACTAAATATCCCTTTGAGCCTGTCCTTTTCATCCTATTTTCCAAGGTCTAAGACACAGTCCTGGCATTCTAGGGGCCTCTGAAATTGCTGGTCCACTGTGGGAAAATCCCGGCTTGGGCAGAGTCAGTGTTGTTTTGTTCGCCAGGTGTTGAATAGACTGCAGAGTGAAGCTGCCTCACAGCCTGTGTTTTCCTGGTTTGAATAGCAAGCTTAGTTACTTCATTGACTTTCTTAAGGGTACCCGGTTCCTCCTTTTAATTTATGCCTTTACCCAGTGAAAACTAAATCCAACTCAGAAACCCCTCATAATTTTATTCTAGGGAGTTACTTTTGTTTGAGGAGCTAATATAGTTACAGGACTGTGATTTTATTATTCCCACAGAAAGCAAAAAGCACGAGCCTGTTCTGCGGTTCAGATGAAAAGCTCTGTGACTAACAGGATTCTTTCTTCCTTTCTTTCTTTTTTTGGGTTCCATTTCTCTCATTAGCTGCCAGGTCGTTTCATGACAGTTCTCCCAGCTGAAGTGATTTATCACGTAGAGTGAAGAAGTGGGAACTGTGTCGTTTCTTTTTACCCCCTGACAGTGGGGCTTCTCCTCCTGCTGTCAGGGCACGCCAACAGCCCATTGCTTTGGTGGTATGGGCTGAGGAAAGGAAGCTTGACTTGTAACTATTGCGGTTCTGCAGAAGGCCCTGGCATGTAGGGCAGTGAGCCAGTGGCTGCAGTCTGCCTCCTGGTGCTCCCTCCTAAAGCCAAAGGCTCTTGGAAGAAAAGACTTAGTTTTGCAGCCAAACTAGAGGTGGAGGTCTTTCTGCGGTAGTCATGGTAATCTACTCAGTATAGATTTTATAGTTAAGCAGAGGCTGCCGTAAGGAAAACTGGGGCCAGAGCTGGACGGGCATTTGCCTCTTGAAAGGCTCTGCCTGTGGCTCCTCCTCCACCCCCAGCTGGCTGATAGGATCCCCAGGAATATCCACAGGCTGTTGAAGGCTCCTCGGTGTTAGTGTCCCATCCTGTCTTCCTTAGTCCCTCTTTTCTCCCCAACCATTTCATATTAGCAAGCACATTTTTTTTTAAACTTTTAAGTTCAGGGGTAATAGGTTACGTAGGTAAGCTGCAGGTTTGTTACACAAGTAAACTTGTCTCATTTCATCACCCAGGTATTAATCCTATTAGGTATTTTTCCTGATCCTCTCCCTCCTCCCACCCTCCACCCTCCAATAGGCCCCAGTGTGTGTTATTCCCCTCTGTGTGTCCGTGTGTTCTCATCATTTAGCTTCCACTTATAAGTGAGAACATGAGGTATTTGCAGTGTGACGAATCCAATAGTAGCTTACAGTTATGACAACAGCTGAAGAAGCTGGTGATAAAGGCATGTTTTGTCTTGATGTCAGTTAGAGGTCTACCTGAAAAATAGGTGAGCCATAGACAGTGAATAAATCAAACAAGTGCAAATTTGATAACAAGATGGACCAATAAGTTGTCAATAAGTGGAGAACAAATGTAATACAATTCCTGGTATTCTCTTGGAGAAACCTCTGCTTATGAGTCCTCTAGCTTTCAGCCTCTGTGCCTGGGCTCCATCTATATATCTAGACTCATCCCAGTTACTGAGCCAGTTATGACAAATAGGGAATATGTCAGTATACCAGAAAAGTATAATCCAGAAAAGAGAAACCCTGCTGAGCATTTGAAACAGAGGGAATATGCAGGGAACTGGTTATACAGGAGACAAAAGAGCTGAGAAGCCAAACAATGGATGGTGAGATAATCCAAAGAATTGTGATAGCAGAAAACCAGTACCACTTCTAAACTGGAGGTCAACAGGGAGGAGGTCGTATTTTTTTTTTTTTAAACCGAAGAGGAGGCACTAGGGTCATCTGTTGGGAGCTGGAGCCAGAGAAGAGATGCTGAGATACTGCCCAAGGCAGAGAGGGAGGAGGAAAAATATCCTGGGAAATACAGCTTGCAGTGGTCAGTCTCCTGGGACCCAGAGAACAGCAGCAGAGCGTGAGGACTGGCCCAGGCAGGAAGCCCCATGCAGTGTGTGCATGGGAGGGAGGGAGCTCAGAATCGAGTCTTGGCTGGGGGTGGACCTTGTGTCCACAGTTCTAGGGATGACTACTGCCTGCTGTGAAATCTACCAGTGGCAGCACCTTCTGTCATCACGAGGTCTGGTAGGGTGTGGTGGCTGAGAGAACTGTATCGTTCTTGATAGACATGTGGGTCCCATGGACATAAGCATTTATTCAAAACTAAGTGAGCTATAATATTTAAATTATACCTTGATAAAATATGTATTAACACACACGAAAAGCATCAGGCTCTGGAGTCACACTGTCTATGTTTGCTCCTTATGAGCTATTATGAACTGGACTGTGTCTTCCTCAAATTCATGTGTTGTTGAAGCCTCAGCCCACAATATGACTATATTTAAAGATAGGGCCTTTAAGGAGGTAATTACAGTTAAATGGGGTTCCTAAGGGTGGGACCCTAATCTGACAGGGCTGGTGTTTTTGTAAGAAGAGGAAGAGAAACCAGTGATCTCTTTCCACGAGTGCACAGAGAAGAGGCCATGTGAGGACATAGAAGAAGGTGGCCATCTGCAAGCTGAGAATAGAGGCCTCGCCAGGAACTAACCCTGCCAGCACCTCGATCTTAGATTTTGAACCTCCAGAATGTCAAGAAAATCTATTTCTGTTGTTTAAGCCACCCGGTCTGTGTATTCTGTTATGGCATCTGGAGCTGACTGATATATGAGCTATGTGACTGTGAGCAAAACACATATATTCTGTCTGCCTTAGTTTCTTCATCTGAAAAATGGAGATGATAAAAGTTCCCTCCTCATGGGGTTTTTGGCAGAATTCAGTGAAATATAGTTTAAAGCACTTGGCATGTAGACATGTAGTAAGTATGCCATGTAGCTTTTACTATTCATAAGCCTGAATTTTTGCCTCAGTATCCCTGCCCAGAATCTGGGTCTTCCCTGTAAATGGATGCTGCCTCCCAATTCTCTAGCCCCACACAGGATTTTGCCAGTCCCCTCTCTTGCTGTTCCTGGCACACTCCACCTTTCATTTCGGGTTCTGCTAGCACCACTCAGAACTGTCACCTGCTTTCCTTTTAGCTGTTTGCACTCCACTTGCCAACGTCATCTCCACCCTGAGATTGTCATGTCCTTATGATTATGTGCTTTGACCTATCTACCAAGTGGCTCATGGCTGAGCCAGCCTCTGTATCCATTTCCCATAACCCCATTCTCTCTGGTCCTGGTTCCATCCCATCAGCTTGTGTGCGTAGAATGGTACCCCATATTTCCTGCTTCCTTTAGCATTTAGGCTTTTTATACAGACTCATTGACCTGTGGCAACTCTAGATTTTTCTCTCTAGAAATGTATTGGGTTGGAAAGGGGCAAGTGGATAAGCTTGTTTTGAAGCTGCAGTTGCAGAGCAAGATTGCTGGTTTAGGTTTTGTTTTTAAATTTACGTCATAGGCTTACTTGGGTTGGATTTTAGGGGAAATTATCTGTGCACGTGGGGCCGTGGTCACAGGCCAGTTGGATACAACTTCCCAGCATCAGTCCTTCACTCAGCAAATTGTTACTGGTTTTATGTGGGCATTGGGACCTGTGGTTGTCTATCTGAGGTTTGTTGGGTGGTTTGCAAGCAGTGGTTGTCAAGTTTTCAGTGATTCCCTATGTGTATTTTCCGTTGCTGTATACCTCAAACTTAACAGCATCAAATAACACACATTTATTATCTCAGAGTTTCTGTAGTTTTTAGACTTTTAAAATTGCAAAATGATACAAGCTCATTATAACAAGTTTAAACATTGAGAAGTTTACAAAGTACAAATGATACATATGTCCTCCTTACTCCCCTCTATTCTGACTCTCCCCAGAAATAACTACTGTCAACTGTTAAGTGTATCCATTCCGATTTTTTCTATGCTTAGATGAAGACACATTCACACTCATGCACCCACTTTTTTCCCCACTTTTTTTTTTAAAACAAAACAAAACAAAACAAGAATGGCTCTTACTTAAATTAGGCAGGACTCTTGTTTGCAAGTGATAGAAATGCTGTGTGAAATATCTTAGGCAAAAAGAGGAATTCACTGCCAGAAGAATTTAAATCACAGGACTCTCTCTCTCTTTTTTTCTCTGCTTCTGTCAGATCAGCACTGTCCACAAGCTAGAACTGTGGTCACCAGGAGCTGCCTAGCTGACACCCTCAGGCTTCCCCATACGGAGAGCTTGTTCCTCTGCCTTCTTTTCTACATAAAATATTCCCAAGGAGGTCTTCAATTGGCCTCATGTATCATGGGCTGGGTGCAGTGGCTCATGCCTGTAATCCCAGCACTTTGGGAGGCCGAGGCGGGCGGCAGATCACCTGAGGTCGGGAGATCGAGACCATCCTGGCTAACATGGTGAAACCCCATCTCTACTAAAAATATAAAAAATTAGCTGGACGTGGTGGCACATGCCTGTAATCCCAGATACTCAGGAGGCTGAGGCAGGAGAATTGCTTGAATCCAGGGCGCGAAGGTTGTGGTAAGCTGAGATCGTGCCATTGCACTCCAGCCTGGGCAACAAGAGTGAAACTCCATCTCAAAGAAAAAAAAAAAGTACCTTTGCTGCAAGTAACAGAAAACCCAATTAAGAGTGACTTAAACAATAGGGGCTTATTCTTTTCACAGAACAAGATATCTAGAGGTAGTTGGTCATTATGTGGCTCAGTTGTGCCTGCATTCTGGGTCAGCTTCTCTGAAGCTCTCTAGGTCTTGCCCCCTGGTTGCCACATGGATAAGGCAGCTCTAAACACCATGTCCTCACTTGACAATGTCTTTCTTTTTTTCTTTTTTTGTTTTGTTTTCTGAGACAGGGTCTCGCTCTGTTGTTCAGGCTGGAGTGCAGTGATGCAATCACAGTTCACTGCAGCCTCAGCTTCCTGGATCAAGTGATCTTCCTGTCTTGGCCTCCCTAGTTGCTGGGACTATAAGTGCACACCACCATGCCCAGGTAATTAAAAACATTTTTTTAGTAGAGACAAGGTCTTGCTATGTTGCCCAGGCTGGTCTTGAACTCCTGAGTTAAAGTGATCCTCCCAAAGTGCTGGGATTACAGGCATGAGCCACCAGGCCTGGCCAGCAATGTCTTTCTTAATGTGGCTTCTCTCAAAAGCAAATTCTGAGACAAAAGCTTGTATGCACTGACTTGGGGAGGTGACTGCAGGGCGTAGGGGCAGGGATCAGGGCGGGGAGTGGGGGAAGCAGGGAAAGAGGGGCGGCTAATAGAAAGGTTCATTACTGAGCTGGACAGTGCCGTGAGTAACTGGTGCTAGATTTTGCTGGGACCTCCTGGGGGGCCTTGTGCAATGCATCTCAGAACTGTCAACCTGGGGGATCAAAGAGGGAAGCATTTTTCTGTCAATACTCACTCCTCTAACTAAACAATATAAGAAGGAACATAATTTCCACTTAGTGTTTATAAATATGTAGTATACATAGTTCATAGCTGCATAGTATTTTGTTATAAAAGTGAGCCTATTCTTTTGTTAATGGACATTTAATTCACAGCCCTGGTTTTTATCAAGTTGCTATAAACATCGAAAGGGGCGTGACTTTGGTGAGGGGGTCAATACCAGGACTGAGGACTCCTGTTTTATCCCATTTCAAGACTTTGGCTGGGTGAGGTGGCTAATTCCTATAATCCCAGCATTTTGGGAGGCCGAGGTGGAAGGATCACTTGAGTCCAGGAGTTCAAGACCAGCCTAGGCAACATAGCAAGCTCTTGTCTCTAGAAATTATTTAAAACTTAGCTGGGCATGGTGGTGTGCACCTGTGGTCTCAGCTACTTGGGAGGCTGAACTGGAAGGCTGCTTGAGCCTGAGAAGTCGAGGCTGCAGTCAGCCGAAATTGTGCCACTGGACTCCAGCCTGGGCAACAGAGTGAGACCACCATCTCAAAAAAAAAAAAAAAAAAAAAAGAAGACTTTGGCACATTAAAAAATATAGCAATATTTCATCTTGCTAAAACAATTATTTCACACTAACCTATTCAGAACAAAAATAGAGAAGAGGTAAAAATAGTTTCTAAGTAGCCAAATAGATGACAGACAGTCATGCATTCCAGATGGAATGGGCAGTCCTGCCTGCAGCGTCACTCTGGTTTTGTCTTAAATCTCATACACTTCACTTGTAAGTATCTTGTATCTTTATTAGGATCTCACTTTACCTCATTTTACTTACAAGTTTAACTAGATTGGTATCCTAGTTACTATTTTCCATAGCAAAGGAGAAGAGGAAGGAAGTTGTTAAAGGAAGTCACACTGACAAAACCAAAATTTAAAAAGTGACCACTGACAACCACAGAGGAGGGAAAAACAAAACAAAATAAAACAACAGCAACAAAAACCTTTTAAAAATGACATAAATATGCAAAGAAGATTGGCATTCTATCTGCTCTACAGAACTGTAAAAAACTCTGAGGTTCACAGCCAGAAAGAATGGTTAAAATTGCACTCAGAGTACTCTCTAAGAGGCAAGGAAATGAATAATTTATTCCATGCTATTATATCTTTTCATGCAGTATTGACTCGGTATGATTATTCTTTTTCTGTAATATATTTTAGAGAGATTTCCCAATAAGTAGGTTTAAAATGATGAAAAAAGTTGATTCTCGCTTGAACCCAGGAGGCGGAGGTTGCACTGAGCCGAGATTGCTCCATTGCACTCCAGCCTGGGCAACAAGAGTGAAACTCCATCTCAAAAAAAAAAAAAAAAAAAAGTTGATTCTCAAAGCTCTAGGGAACTTCACTTTCCAAACAACCATTTTCCATGGACTTTTAGCCAAGAAATTTCCTCCAGCAAGACAGGTGGGGAGCCATGGGGAATGGCTTCTCTGCCCCTCTGCACGAGGGGGCGGTGTCTACCAGCCTCCTCCTCTAATTTAGGCCAGCGGTGTCCAGTCTCAGGAGGGCACTTTGACAATCACCTTCAGCCCTTGCGTGGTGATGGCTTCAATTGGGGAGGCAAATGTAGAGTCTTTCCTCTGCCTTCCTAGAAATTTCTGGACATGTTAGAGGTGAGCTAGAATGCAAAGGGTAAGAAAATAATCCTTTTTCAGGAAGAAAGGAATTTGAGAACTTCTTCTACAAAAACTATAAATAACACACGTGCCATTCATGCCTTGTGTAGTTTGTTTTATTATTAGTAAACAGTAATATCCCAGCAGTGACATCAGCTAACCAGAATATTACTTTGTGTGTGTGTGTTTGTGCACTCACGTGTGTGCAAGTGCTTGAATTTAGCTAATAGTGTGGGACAGATCCTTTTTTTGGCCTTGTTCGAGAATCTTGTAGTCCATGCACCAATCCTTATATCTCTAGTGTTATTACTGTTATTAACTCTGTCACTCCATTGTGTCCATTCACTGTCTTTTCTTCTTCTATTTGTCCTTTTTCTTTGTTTTACGTGCTATGATAGACACAATAATGACCCCCAAAAGGTGTCCATGTCCTCACAACCAGAGCCTGTAAATGTTATGTTACATGGCAAGGGGAATTAAGGTTGCAGATATACTTAAAATTGTTTATCAGCTGGCCTTAAAATAAGAAGATTATCCTGAGTCCTTAAGTGGATAAAGTAGAGGCAAAAGAGTTAGAAACAGAGAAATAGCATTGTGAGAAAGAACTGCTACTGATGAATTTGAAGATGGAACAAGGTCCCAAGCCAAGGAATGTGGCAGCTGCTAGATGCTGGAAAAGGCAGGAAAACAGATTCTCCCCTAGAAGCTCTAGGAAAGAACACAGCTCTGCTGACACCGTGGATTTAGCTCAGTGAGACCTATTTAGAACTAACCTCTAGAACTGTAAGACAACACATCTGTGTTGTTTTAAGCCACTAAGTTTGTAGTAATTTGTTATACCAGCAATAGGAAACTAATACACATGCTTATAAATTGCATTTAAGAAGTATTTTCCAGCTGGGTGCAGTGGCTCACGCCTATAATCCCAGCACTTTGGGAGGTTAAGGCGGGTGGATCACCTGAGGTCAGGAGTTCGAGACTAGCCTGGCCAACATGGTGAAACCCCGTCTCTACTAAAAATACAAAAATTAGCTGGGTGTGGTGGTGGGCACCTGTAATCCCAGCTACTTGGGAGGCTGAAGCAGGAGAATCACTTGAACCCGGGAGATGGAGGTTGCAGTGAGCTGAGATCACGCCACTGCACTCTAGCCGGGGCGACAGTGACTCTGTCTCAGAAGAAAAAAAAAAAAAAAGAAGTATTTGCCGCCAGATGTGGTGGCTGATGTCTGTAATCACAGCACTTTGGGAGGCCGAGGCTGGTGGATCACTTGAGGCCAGGAGTTCGAGACCAGCCTGGCCAACATGGGGAAACCCCCGTCTCTACTAAAAATTACGTAATAATTAGCCGGACGTGGTGGCACATGCCTGTACTCCCAGCTACTCGGGAGGCTGAGACATGAGAATCTGTTTGAACCCAGGAGGTGAAGGTTGCATTGAGCTGAGATCGTGCCACTGCACTCCAGGCTGGTCAACAGAGTGAGTCTCTATTTCAAAAAAAAAAAAAAGTATTTACTTTGTGCTTAACATTGTGCATGGGGGAAGATACAAAAGTAACGTAAATGTTGTGACACCTTCTCACAAGCTGTTGATATTTCAGAAGATGAAATAGGATTTTATTTCTGTTACATGCCATTAGCTATCATGTGATGCTCATAGTTGCCTAGGTAAATACTAATTCATCTAGTCATCTACATTTATTGATTGCCTTCTCTGTGCCAGGCATTGTGCATACAAAGATAAGCAAGATATAATGATGAACAAGATATGGTTACTTAATATAAACCAAGAAAATTCTTCATGTCCACTACCACCCAGTCAGCTTTTCCTGCAGTCTTCTCCCAATCACCCAATTCCTTAAACTCCAAATCTACAAAATAGAGCTGAGGTTTTCAACCAGTGGTGTCTGTGAGCGTCATTGCTGTGGTGGGCATTATGTGGCAGATAAAAATACAATACCTGGATCTGTCATAGTAAAATTGTGAAATGTTCAGAAAGAAATCACAATGAAAGTAGTATATATTAAAACTGTGGAAAGCAGCCAAAGTGGTATCTGAATAAATATGGAGCCACTCTCTTTTGTTGTTAATTTATTATTGTATCATATCATAATCAAACAACATGGTATCACCCATATGAAATCAAACATTTTTTAACTTGCTGAGATTTCTTTTGTGGCTTGTTTTTTTCTAAAATTTTCTCACTCTCTAAAGCAAGGTAAAGAATTATATAAGGAGCTTTTACAAAAAGATCTATAGCAGTAGTCTGCCAGAAAAAAAACTCAACAAGTTAAAAAATGTTTGATTTCATATAGGTGATATGTTGTTTGATTATGATGTAATACAATAATAAATTAACAACAAAAGAGAGTGGCTCCATATCTGTACATTTGGAGACTAACAAAGCACATCCCTATGTAATTCTCTGGATAAAGAGACAGTCAAAATAAAATTGTGAAATGTTCAGAATGAAACCACAATGAAAGTAGTATATATCAAAACTGCGGAAAGCAGCCAAAGAGGTATCCAGAAGGAAATTTGTAGGCTTGATTTTTTATTAGAAAATGAGAAAGATTCAAAATAAAGTACTCAACTCAAGATAGAAAAGGAACAACAAAAATAAATCCCAAAGAGTAAATGAATTTACAGCAGATTAAAGATAAAAGCAAAATTAATGAAGCAAAACAACCTTCATAGAATTGGTTAATAAAACCAAAAGTTTGTTTCTTGAAAAAGATGAAAAAAGCAAACAAACTTTGGTTGTGATAAACATACAGTATTAGCATTAGTGGTAGTAGCAGTAAGGAAGCATGTATATAATGCTCTGTGTCAGAGACATTCTTTACCCACCAGAGATGTGTGTGCATCCATACCTTTCCAGTCATTCTTGGTTGAGTTCGATGCTGGTGATTGAGCTACAAGAGGAGTGACACGTGCCATATCTGAACCAAACCATTTACAAGCCTGTGTGCAATCCTTCAGCTCCTGTCTTTCTCTGCAGCTATGATTTGGAAAGCCATGTGCTGAGACAGTGAAACCATTGGATGGATGCCTCCTGGTTTATTGAGTTCCCAAAGAGAGGACAGATGCTAGGGAGTGCCCAATTGCCATAGCACTCTGTGTGAGCAAGAAATTCAACTTTGTTAAGTCACTGGCTTTTTTTTTTTGTGAGATGGAGTCTTGCTTTGTCGCCCAGGCTGGAGTGCAGTGGCACGATCTCGGCTCACTGCAACATCTGCCTCCCAGGTTCAAGCGATTCTCCTGCCTCAGCCTCCTGAGGAACTGGGACTACAGGCATGTGCCACCATGGCCGGCTAATTTTTGTATTTTTAGTAGAGTTGGGGTTTCACTATGTTGCCAGGCTGGTCTCAAACTCCTGGCCTCAAGTGATCCACTTTGGGACGCCTTTGCCTCCTGAAGTGCTGAGATTATAGGCATGAGACCCCCCACTGGCCCTCACTGGCCCATGTTTTAATGTAGCATAGCCTCTCTTATCCTGATTAATTCATATTTTGTAAAATGTGTTCTTTCGAGAGTACCTCTCAGTTATTAGATAAATACCTATAACTTAACAATTTAATTTTAAAGTTAAAATGTAGGAAGAGAGTAGAAAAGGAAAGATAAGCCGAGCTCTTCAAAGTTCATTATTTTTCCTGTTTGTTGACAGGCAAACGTACTGAAGTCCCAATCAGTTACAAAGACCTAATAGGCCACATTATGCGCATCCACAAATACATATATACCTGCAAGTCTGTAGAAAAAAAAGAGTTTCCAGCCACCTCTTGTATTGTTTTCTGTTTAAAACATTTTTCTTAATTTGTTAATTCACTGTCACTTTAGAAAGATAGTAAGACGAAAGCATCAGCTCTTTCTAATCTCTTACTTCAATAAACTATCATTGTGCTTTATCACAATTCACTCATTACAGCATATTTCCATCAAAATAAGAGAATGAAAATAAAACAAAACCAATGTCTGTGCATCAAATTACCTGTAACTGAATTTGACCTGATTCTGATGCTAATTCTCATATTAAGAATGCAGTAGAGCAAGCCATTTATTAACATTTATTGAAATGCTAGTTATATGATATTCACACAGGAGTGGTTTAAAGTGTTAGTCATATTTCTAAAATTTACAAAACATTAAGCATGCAGTGGTTAAATGCATAGAGTCAGCTTGCCTGAGTTCATATCCCAACTCTATCACCTTAACAGCTAGGTGACTAGCTACGATTTAACCTACTTGAGCCTCAGTTTTCTCTTATGTAAAATTGGAATAACAATAGTAACTACCTCAAGAGGTTATGATGGGGACTACA
Source organism: Homo sapiens (assembly GCF_000001405.40). Taxonomy (NCBI): domain Eukaryota; kingdom Metazoa; phylum Chordata; class Mammalia; order Primates; family Hominidae; genus Homo; species Homo sapiens. The sequence continues at coordinate 207,494,146 of NC_000002.12, read as the reverse complement.
AGTGTTACTGTATGTAAACTGCCCAATTAACATTGTTGTGGCTGTTGTTGGTGATGATGATGATGTTCAAGATTAAACAGGTTTGAGAGTGGCCCCAGAGCTGTCACTGGTGAGCAGCTTTGCCTCTAACTATCTGTGTGTCTTTGAGCAACTTACTCTCACTCATCTTCAGTTTTCTTGTGTACAAATGCAGATAATTATAATTATCTGATAGACTTCCAGAGAGATTAGAATATTACAAATAGTGGTAGTGCAGAAATGAGTATACAAAGCACTTAATAAAAACAATTATTATGAAAACTGAACATTGGAAAACTACTATTTAGTTTACCTATATAGCACAAGTATCCAAAATAATATTCTCTGTTATCATGCTCTTCCACTTCTTCCTGTGCCTTCAATATTGCTATTATTATCTCCTGAACTACAGGTCGAATTCTAATACCAAGAATTCTAATATATTACCCAATATTCTTTTGTGTTTGTGTTTTTAATGCCTAGATTTCATGAGGTTTCAATCTAGAAACTTGAAAATCTTTTTGTTGTTGTTATACAGATTTTACTTGCCCATGTTGGATTTAACTCAGCGTCTGCATGTTTGCTTTTTCTTCTTCCTCTTTTCTTCCTCCTCCCCTTGCTTCCTTCATCTCTTCCTTCTTTATAGTTAGGTATATCTCCAAACTGTGCTCCAGGAAACTCTCCATGGCATAAAGGACTAGGTCTGTTTTGTGGAAGAGCAGCTTTGAGAACGTAGCACCTTGTTTTGGCTTCCAAATGCCCATCTAAGTGATTGTCTATCTACTCTGCCACACAGAGGCTACCATTGTTCCATTATTGCTTTCATTCTCATTTTTGCCTAAACTTCACATTCTCCAAATGTACTGAATATTAATTTCAGGTTGCAATCATTTGATCATTTTAAACTCATGCTTCTTTCTTAAATGCTACTGTAAACTTATTATCTCCAGATTTTCTATTGATTACTAATTCGAAGTCCTTAAAGAGAATGCCAAACAATTAAAATTCGATGTAACCTGGCAAAAATACCACAAGAATATAAAGTTATTGCAGGGAAAGCAAACCATTTCTTCCTTGAATTCTAGGGCTATATTCATTTGTTTGTTTGGCACCAAGCTGCAGGGGAAATGGAATTATCTAGATTGTCTTCAATAAAGAGGATTCTTACTTTCTGAAAATGTTAAAGCACATAGACTGTTTTAGGACTTGAGTATATTATTCATATTTTATTTCTAAAGAAGAAAAAGTACCAATGAATATTAACAGTGATTGTGTGGAACTTATCTCTTCTCTGAAGAGAGGAGGGTAATTGTGAGGTTTGGGGAGTTTAGGAAGAGAATCACCTCTCCAGGTATGCTTGGCAAGGCTCTTGGATGAGGAAGTGTGGGAGAAGGGAGTACCATGAACTTGATAGATTTGTGGTCAACCTCCTTGACTCTTCTGTGGAGTAGGGGCACAGTTTTGCATATTCATTTTGAGGGTGGCAAGATGACATAATGGTTAAGAGAACAGGCCCTGGAGGCAGACATAGCTGACTTGAAAAGCCAGCTCTATCATTTACTGGTTGCTTGAGCTTGTATAAATAACTTAACTTCGCCACACTTTGGTTCCTTCATCTGTTAAAAAGGGACAGCCCTTTCCTCCTCCAGGGCTGTTGTGAGGACTGAGTGACAGAATGTATGGAAAGCATTTAGCACAGCTCCAGGCACATGATAAACTCAGTAAATGTTTAGTAATGTTATGGTTGTATTAACATTATTCAATAATAGTAAATAAGAATAAATAAATTTATAGAAAATATTTTATTTCCAGCCAAAAGCAAGTTGAGTGCCTATAACGTCTTGGTTTAAAATCCAACGCGATCATTTTTCTTTTGTTTCCTTTTTGAGACAGGTCTTGCTGTGTCACCCAGGCTGGAGTGCAGTGATGCAATCATACTCCATACTCGCTGCTGCTTCAAGCTCCTGGGTTCAAGGATCCTCCCATTTTAGCCTCTCAAGTAGCTAGGACTACAGGCACGTGTCACTTTTCTTAAATTTTTTTTTGTAGAGATGGGAATCTTGCTATGTTGCCCAGGCTAGTCTTGAACTTATGGCATCAAGCAATCCTCCTGCCTTGGCCTCCCAAAGTGTTGGGATTACAAATGTGAGCCACTGTGCCAATCATTTTTCATTGACAAGAAAAATCCTTTTGGTTTTGTAATTTCAAATTCTGGATCACATTTTCCCAGCCAAGGGAAATTTTTAGTAACTTATAGGTGTGGAAGCCTTATTGTAGGCAAACTTGGATTTTAATATTACACTATCATGTTTGAAAATAGAAGAGAATTTTAAGTAGTCTAATAAAAATGATTATTATTATAAAGCTTTGTGGTTAAAAGGACATGAGATTTATCAAATTGTGCAATTTAATATTGCATCGTCTATTGTTTGTCATTCATGCCTCAATAAATCTGTAAAAATGAAAGGACACGAGGCAAAGAAGGACACACATGCTTTGTGAAGTCCTGCTTGGGGTAGGACTTCGCTTCTCCTTTAAGGACAACTGCTAAAATATAGTTTGGTCAATTAATTCACATATTTTGGGTCCTGTCTCTTTGTAATATGCAACATTGGTTTGGGTTAATAACTCAAGAAAGCCTCTGAATATTTCACAGCTGACAGTCCTGATGAAAACTTAACTCATAGCAAAGTTGTTTTTTATTTATGGGCTTCTAGGGGCATCCATGGTGCTCCACAAAGCATGGGAAAGACAAGTTTATGCTCTGGGCCTTCTGTGAGTGCTTAGCATTTAGATAGCAGTGACAGTTACGAGCATGAGTGGCTTTGTGAGTTATTTGGAATGATAGCCTCCTGGTAGGAATGACAGGCAGTCCTCCCTTGGGAAAGATGATTATACTGGGTATGGTCATATGGTCACCAGTCACGGCATTGGGAGTCACTTTTTTAGAAGTAATGATAAGCATTTAAGGGACAGAAGGACTGGGGAGGGTAGCAGGGAAAAATAAAGGCATTCAAAATGAGGAAAGCAGCATGACCCAGGCACAAAGGTGCTGTATCTGGAGTGTTCATGTGACATATTTTGGGGACAGAATTCAACGAGGCTGAGTAGCAGGGTGGACCCAAAAGGTGAAGGATCTGGACAGGCAGACCTTGGCATTCCGACAAATGGAAAACAGAAGGTTTTATATTGAAGGTGTTTGAATAATGATTTTTTTTTGGAATGATTACCATACACAGGTAATTATAGAAGTTCTCCTACATTGACTCAAAGCAACCCTCTGATGTAAACACTATTTTTAGTATCACATGTTATAGATGAGGAAATGGGGCACCGTAAAGTGGCAGAGATAGGATTTGAACCCAGTCTGTTCGGTCCAAGAGCAAATACACTTAATTATTAGGCTGCCTAGTATTCCTTAACACAATAAGTGGTATTTAAGGATGGGTAAATCTGGTGGTGATTCACAGGGTTGATGAGAAGGGAAAAAGTGTGGGGTTGGGAAATCCAGTTAGGAGGCTGTAGCAATAATTATAGGCATTCCAGAAACCATTCGTATCTTTGCTTCCTGCAAATGGAATGGATTTCATCCATTCCCACTATACCTATGCTAAATCCAGTCTCCACCATCTTCTAATTCTTCCCTTGCCCCTCTCCACTCCCTTCACAATGTGCAGTAAGAGGGCATTTGTAGAGAACAAACCTGATTATGTTGCCCCCTTGATTAAACCCTTCGTGTAAGATCCATACTCTTGGGTTACAAGATTTTTCATGAGCTGGTTCTTGCTTTTCTCTCCAGCCCCATGACTAGGCATCAGTGTCCTTGAGACAGAGTCTCACTCTGTTGCTCAGGCTGGAGTGCTCGGCTCACTGCAACCTGCGCCTCCTGAGGTTCAAGCGATTTTCGTGCCTCAACCTCCTGAGTAGCTGGGACTGCAGGTATGCGGCACCATGCCTGGCTAATTTTTGTATTTTTAGTAGAGACGGGGTTTCGCTGTGTTGCCCAGGCTGGTCTTGAACTCCTGGCCTCAAGTGATCTGCCCTTCTTGGCCTCCCAAAGTGCTGGGATTACAAGTGTGAGCCACCATGCCCAGCCTTAGGCACCTGTGTCCTTTCATGCCACTCTGCTGACCAATGATTTTTCTCCTGGCTGCATGTTAGAATACCAGATAGATGCCCAGGTCCCATCTCTGATGTCAGAACTTGGGGACAGGGACGGGGGCAGAGGAAGCTTTGGTAAAGAATCTCCCCAGCAGTTCCTAATAAGCAGCCAGGGATAGCCAATGCTTAATAGACAGGCTGAACCCCATGTTCTGGAGGGAGCTGCTCTCTTCCCTCTCTGGGTCTATACTGTTCTTTCTGCCTAGAGCACATTTTCCCTCATCCTGTTTCACCTGGTTGACTCCTAGGCAGTCTTCGGATCTTATTTATCACTACCTCCCTAGTGCCTAGAAGAGTGCACATGGTAGACTTTCAATAAATATCAGCCAGGATTAGTTAAATGACTGAA